>NC_000020.11:51314719-56314719 GCF_000001405.40 Homo sapiens | reverse complement strand
TTTTAATCAGCTTCTTTGAGTTATAATTCACTTACCATACCATCCACCCATTTAAAGTATATGCAATTCAATGGCTTTTATTATGTTCACAGAGTTGTGCAGCAATCACCTCAATCAATTTTAGAACATTTTTATTCTTTAAAAAAGAAACCATGCACACTTTAGCTGTCATGCCCCAGGCCCTGCATCTCCCTGCAGCCCCAGACCACCATTAATCTGCTTTCTGTCTCTAGATTTGCCTATTCTGGCATGATACAGTATGTGATGCTTGGTAATGGGCTGCTTTTATTTAGCACGATGTTTTCAAGGCACATTCATTTCATAGAATGTGTCAGTACTTCATTTATCTCTTAAAAATTATTTTAAAAAATTGAGATAAAATTCATATAATAGAAAGATAACTATTAACTATTTTAAAGTGTTCAATTTTGTGGCATTTAGTACTTTCAGAATATTTTGCAACCATCCCATTGCCTCTATCTAGTTCCGAGATACTTTCATCTGTACAAAAAGAAACCCCGTCCTCAGGAAGCAGTCATTACCCATTGTTTTCCTTCTCCCAGTTCCTGACAACCACTAATCTGCTTTATGTTTCTATGGATTTATCTGTTCTGGATGGAATCATACAATATGTTACTGTTTGTGTCTAGTTTATTTTTTCCACTTAGTGTAATGTTATTGAGGTTCATGCATGTTGTAGCATATCTCAGTATTTTATCCTTTTTTGTGGCTGAATAATATTCCATTGTATGGATATGTCACATTTTGTTTATCCATTCATTAGCTGACGGACATTTTGAGTTATTTCCACCTTTTGGCTATTGTGAATAGTGCTGCTGTGAACATTTGTGTGTAAGTATTTGAATACTTGTTTTCAATTCCTTAGGGTAAATACCTAGGAGTGGAATTGCTAAGTCATATGATAATTCTATATTTAACTTTTTGAGGAACTGCCAAACTATTTTCTTCTAAAGTGACAGCACCCTATTACATTTCCACCAGCAACATGCAAGGGTTCCAATTTCTTTACATCTGTGCGATCACTTATTTTCTATGTTTTAGGTTATAGCCATTCTAGTGAGTGTAAGAAGGCATCTCCTAATGACTAATGATGTCATGTCATAAGCAATTTTCACATGCTTATTAGCCATTTGTATATCTTCTCTAGAGAAATAACAATTCAAGCCTTTGCCCATTTTAAAAATTGGGTTGTTTTTCTTTTTGTTGAGTTGCAATAATTCTTCATATATTCTGGATACTAGACTTTTATTAGATATATAACTTTTAAATATTTTCTCCCATTCTGTAAGTTGTCTTTTCCCTTTCTTGAAAGTGTCCTTTGATGAAAAAAGTTTTAACTTTGATGAGGTCCAATTTATTTTTTCATTGTTGTTTGTGCTTTTATTATAATTTCTAAGAATTCATTGCCATAGGGGTAAATCATGAAGATTTACCCCATGCTTTCTTCTAAAAGTGTTATAGTTTTATCTCTTACATTTAGGTCTCTGACCCATTTTGAGTTAATTTTTGTATATGTTGTGAGCTAGAGGTTCAAATTCATTCTTTTGCATGTGGATATCCAGTTGTTCCAATTTTATTTCTTTTTAGTGTAGAATGATATTTCATTATATGAATGTACCACCATTTATTTATGCATTCATCATCAGTTGATGGGCCTCTGTATTGTTTCTACTTTTTGGCTATTATCAAAATCTGTGGACTTTCCACCCCATACCCCCAGTACTTCTGGAGCAGAACACAAACGAGAGTTTAGGAGAGCCTGACATGCAGGCATTTGGGGACCAAGGGTACTGGTGCCTGCTCCTTGCCTAGAGGAGCCTGAAGGCAGGGAGCTGTCTAGAGCAGCTCCAAATGGTAGGAGAAAGAAAGAAAAGGTAGCAGAAGAAGCTCCCTGCACTTACTAAGGTTGCTGGGACTGTAATGCCCGTTTTCCCATGGGTCAAGAAGATGCTGTGGCAAGCAACTGGCTATGAGCCACAGTGGGATGTCAGTCAGGGCAAGGGACTCCAAAGAGTAACCTTAAGGCAAGAGTTAAGGGAGCCTACAAGGTGTAGACCAGAAAGTCATAAACTCTGTTAGGAAATTGTGCATTATCAGGGGGCCCTAATAAAAGTGAGAGTGTGCATTTTTTAAATAATTCCCCGACATGCTACCTGATGGAGCTGGCATTAGGATGCTCTCCTTGACAGGTGTATTAGTCCGTTTTCACACTTCTGATAAAGATATTACAGAGACTGGGTAATTTATAAATAAAAAGAGGTTTAATGGACTTACAGTTCCATGTGGCTGGGGAGGCCTCACAGTCATGGCGGAAGGTGAAAGGCACGTCTTATATGGTGGTAGACAAGACAGAATGAGAACCAAGTGAAAGGAGTTTCCCCTTATAAAACCATCAAATCTCGTTAGATGTATTCACTACCATGAGAAGGAAATTGCCCCCATGATTCAATTATCTCCCACCGGGTCCCTTCCACAGCACGTGGGGATTATGGGAGCTACAATTCAAGATGAGATTTGGGTGGGGACACAGCCAAACCATATCAATGGGACATTTGAGAGTCAGGGGGGAACTACGAATAGCACCTACTAATAAAAAGCCAGTGTATTTCCTTCGAACCATTCTTCCCTTACCCAGGAGGATGTTTCTGAAGCGAGAGTGGAAGAGGAAGAGTGGAAACAAACTTTGTCCTCCTCCTTCCTCTAAGGTGCAGGACCAGTGCAATGATGGGCATGGTTCGGGGTCTGGTTCAGAGTCCAGCAGTTTTGTCCCAGGTGTTCAGAGGAGGAGATGCTGTCTTTCCCATGATGGGATTTAGGTCCGCAGGCTGGGAACCATTTTTTTTGAGAATGTCAGTGTGAAGAAGGGCAGAGCCAAGAGATGGGGGGGAGACTATTCCTGGATGGTATTTGTTTGACACCTGAATCAAAACATGCCCCATGGGTGATCTATCTATGAATTTTTTTTTTTTTCCCTAATGCAGTTAGAGTTGAATCTTTAGTCTCTTGCAACTCATGGACAGAATCTTGTCTGATTCATCCATATTCAAATGCACTTTTCTCCCCACACACTTTATTTAATAACATTTCTTGTTAATTCTTAAATGTGCTTGGTGCCATGTATCTAATTCTGAAAGCATGGGTCGTTCTACTCAGAATGAAGGGAAAACAGAAGGGTTAGACATGGTCTCAATTTGTCTTAATGAGCAATTGCTTTGGCAACATTGGAAACTGTGAGTCAGTAGCTCTTCACTGGAACTAATTGACATGAGAATGGATTCTGGCCTTGACATTTTTTCTTTTCCCTGGGGATTTTGATCTTTCAAACTTTTCTCTCTTCATATGAAGTTCCTTTGGAATTGAAACAAATTTCAATTCTCATAAGATATTAACAATTGGGTGTCTATCCGTTAATAGTGGGGTGGAGGGGTTATTGTCAAGAAAGAGTCCCTCTTAACAGATGAGCATTCCAAAGGCTTACCTGTGTGCCTGCCTTTGCTTTTTGGCCGGAGGTAAGTGTGAATGGGTGAGTTAGACTGTTGTTTTTTATTTGTGAGAATAATTTGTGGAATGAACATGGACTATTTAAGAGAAGTCAGGAAAGATTTAATTATAATGGATTTCTTTTATTAAAAAATTTAATAGTTTGAGTTCTGAGAAGTATGTGGTAGTATTTTTAAAATACTTGGTAATTTTGTTGGTGGAAGTGTAAATTGGTAGAGCTCCTTTGGAGGGCAACTTGGAAGATCTATTAAATATAAAATACACACATCCTAGGGACCTGCAATCCCACTTCTGGGAGCTTTTGCTACAGACATACTCCTAAATGAGCATAAACAGTGATGTTCAAGGTTATTTATCATAATATTTTCTTTAATGGCAAGAGATTAAAAGATCCCTAAGTATTAATCGATAAGAGCTGGTTAAGTGAGAAAAACCAAGAACCTACCTTCTGTGCGAAAGGCAAGGGACAGCCCTCCCTTCATCTCTGGGTGTCTGCAGAAGGACCTGTTAGAGGTGAATGCATCTGGTCATGAGAACTGAGATGCTAAAAGAAAGGAGTGTGCCATCGAATACCCTTTTTCCTATTTTATTTTGGTGTTTTTCTACCTTGTATATCTATCATCTATTCAAAATAATAAATATCTAGGAAAAATTTAGTTATTTTCTTATTTTAAAATTTCTTTTTAATAAACAATTTTTTAAAAAGAGACAGGATCTTGCTATGTTGGCTAGGTTGGTCTTGAACTCTCAGCCTAAAGCAATCCTCCTGCCTCGGCCTCTCAAAGTGCTAGGGTTACAGGCATGAGCCACTGCGCCCAGCCAATGCAGTTATTTTCAACTTTGCCTCATAGCCCAGGTTTCCTGAGCAGGTTTACAGGTGAGCTTTAAAGAGGAGCCTATGAACCTCCAGAAATGATCTATGCAGCCGTGAATGCTTAGGTGCATTTCCAGGGGATGTGGTCTATCATTTCCATTGGATTCTCAGAGTGGCCCAAGATCTCCAGAAGGTTAAGAACTGCTGCTTTAGAGGAGAAGTATTATTCATGCCAAGTAGGATGAGTTTTTATAAGCTGGAAACTCCAGTTCTGACTTGTGATGGGGCCCTTGGGAAATCACTTCCATCTCACTGAGCTTTAATTCAAGCTAACTTAGCCCAGGAATTAATGCTGAGTGGGAAAGTGTCTTCAATATACTCTGTTGATGGGTTAGTTCAGCCACTGTGTCCAGGGTGTCCTGGAGGGACTGAGGTTTAATCGCCAGTGAATGGGAATATGGAGTGGAGGACCAGCTTTGGCATTAGATGAGAGTCCAGATCAAATCCTGGAATTTTTCATTATAAAGCATACAAAATTTTATTTCATTTTTTATTTATTTATTTAATTTTATTTTATTTTACTATTATTATACTTTAAGTTTTAGGGTACATGTGCACAATGTGCAGGTTAGTTACATATGTATACCTGTGCCATGCTGGTGTGCTGCACCCATTAACTCGTCATTTAGCATTAGGTATATCTCCTAATGCTATCCCTCCTCCCTCCCCCCACCCCACAACAGTCCCCAGAGTGTGATGTTTCCCTTCCTGTGTCCATGTGTTTTCATTGTTCAATTCCCACCTATGAGTGAGAACATGCGGTGTTTGGTTTTTTGTCCTTGCGATAGTTTACTGAGAATGATGATTTCCAATTTCATCCATGTCCCTACAAAGGACATGAACTCATCCTTTTTTATGGCTGCATAGTATTCCATGGTGTATATGTGCCACATTTTCTTAATCCAGTCTATCATTGTTGGACATTTGGGTTGGTTCCAAGTATTTGCTATTGTGAATAGTGCTGCAATAAACATACGTGTGCATGTGTCATAAAGCAATACAAAATTTTAAAAAGATGATGCAGTTCTGTATTTATTGTGCTGTGCCTGGTCTTAAGTGGAGCCAGTTAAACAAGTTTCATATGTATTTTTCCATTGTTAAATCTCACACATTGTAACCCTTTGGAAATTTCCTTCCATCCTGAAGAATGAATAGAAGAAGCCATATATATATATGTGTGTGTGTGTGTGTGTGTGTGTGTATATGTGTGTGTATATATGTATATATATGTGTGTGTATATGTATATGTATGTGTGTATATACATATATATAGCTTCCTTATCCTTGAGATTTCACTACCTTTATGTTAAAAGTTGTGTATAATTGTTAAAATCTATGAAGGAATAAAAAGTGGATGTAAATTTAAAAAAATACAAAAGAGTAGGCTGGCCAACTCACTGCCCCAGGACAGGGCAATGCCATCCCTTTACTTGCCCAAGACAAACCCTTGGAATCACTCCTGACTCCTCTTTCTTTCACATCTCACCCCACCCAATCCCCTTGATTCTACCTTCAAAATATATTACTATTGACCCCTTCTGACCCCCTGACTGTTCCTTGAATGTGGCAGAGAGTATCCTGCCCTCAGGACCTTTGCACTGGCAATTTTCTGCCACCTGGAACACTCTTTCCCCAATTATCCCCATCGCTCACACCTCATCATCCTCAAATGCTACAGCTAAAATGTCATCTCAGTGAAGTCTTCCCTCATATCTTGTTAAAATCATAATCCCGACACTTGCTGGCTGCCTGGATGCCCCTTCTCTTGTTTAATTTTTCTATGACATTCATTACCTTCTAACATGCTCTATAATTTGCCTGTTTATTATTATTTTAGCCTGGTTTCCCCAAGTAATTCTACTTGGGGAAGATCAAGGAAGGCAGGATTTTTTACCTGCAACCTCAGTGCCTAAAACAGTACTTAGCACATAGTTGACGCTCGGTAAATATTTGTTCAATGAATGAATGCCAGGCACCATGCTAAGTGCTTTGCATTCATTTATTCATTTAATCTTCACAGTGGCTCTTTGAGGAACGTGCTGTTATTATTCCCGTTTTACAGATGGAAAAACTGAGGCCCTGAAAGGGTAATTTGCCCAAGGTCATTTAGTTATTAAGTTGTAGAGGTATGATTTGAAGTAGGCATTCTGGCTCCCACTCCAGATGAAGGTACACAGAATCCAGGTGGCAAGTAGAAAGTTGGTAAGACTCTGTACCTAGGGCTTATAACTATAGGTTGCTCACACTGTACAGCTAGGGTTGCCACAGGCTGGTACAAATCCCTGGATATACCTGGCATTACTGACCACAAGAAATGAAAATCCTCCAATATAAATAGTATTGATAGCAATCTTGTGTGTTACATTTGAGTGTTGAGCTTTAGATCAGTAGTTTAGTTTTCAAAAACTCATCTTTTGCTTTCAAGAGGGGAAGATCTAGTAAAACTTTCTTCAGGAACCCTTGTGGTGAAATACCACTCAGACCATTGTATGTCTCAGGCAGTAGATAAACCTAGAACTTTTTACACCAGATTTTGACACAGGAATTAGGGCAAATATTGAATCAATTTCCATAAACTTGGAACAGCGGTTCTTTGCAGAAAAATCATTTCTATTTTGTAAGAACTGTTTCTTTCTTGATGGTCAGGGGATGTTAATTCAAGGCACAAAAATCCTCATAAATAAGGAATGTTTTCCTATGAGTGTGTGTGGTGAAACAGCCACCTTTGAAATGAATTCTTTGGCAAATTTTTCACTACAAACAAATAAATAGAGATAAATTAATTAATATAAATCTCTGAGGCCATTATAAGATGGATTTTTAGAAGGAATTCACTTCTACAGTTATTTGAAAACATCAGTATTTATACCCCATACTTTAGAGATAAATTGATTATATGGACTAATAATCCTATAATAAGCTAACATTTATTGAGCACTAATATGTGCCAGAGACTGTGCTTTATGTATCTCTTTATCTAATGATCAGAATAGTTCTCTGACAAGGGTACTAATATTATGCTAATTTTACAGTTGAGACATTTTCTCTGTGTGCCTCTTAATCCCATAATGCTCTTGGTCATGGCAGGACAACCTGTGTGTGCTGCATCAATCATGGCCCTTCATCCCCTGGTTTCCAGCTGGGTTTGTCCAATGGGAGCCATCAAGAGATTGAAGCTCGAGCCACAATATCATATGACGGCAGACTGAGCTCCTCCCCTTAAGTAACAGCACCTGTCAGGTGGCGCTTTCCTCCAGCTTTGGGTCTCTCCAGGTCCTGGGCCCCACAACCACATGCCCCTTCAAGTCCAGACTGGGGATCGCTTCCTGCTATTTCCAGCTCCTGGGGATTTCCCCACTCCTTGTTGATTTTCCTTAATTATGCCCACGCCTTTGTAAGTTGATCCTTTGTTAAATTCTCTTTAATTGTCTCTCTTGAGCATGCCATTTATTTAATGCCTGGATCCTGAGTGATATACAAGATACAACAGAGGACTTTTTTTTTTTTTAATAGTTGCTTCTCCTAAATGCCTTGTCTATATTTTGGTTTTCATCATATTATTTGATATTTATCATGTCCTGAGAATTTCTAGAAGCAGGAGCTATGTTAATAATGAAGATCCCTCCCTTGGGTACTGAGGACATGGTGGCATTTGATTTTGTACTTTACTTTTAAATTTGATTTTTGTACTTTACTTTTAAATTTGATTATCAATTATACGATGACTTTTTATTTCTAAATTATGCCTCAAATATTAAGTGAATAGAACATAATTTCTTTGCAAATGTCAGGCTGAACATGTATCTTTGATTTTTTTTTTTTCAGCCAGTTCCTCTGCAGTTTTCTCCTGGACCACCCACAGTTCATCCTTGTACCGTCCAACTCCCATGACTTGGTAATAATTGGAAGGCCAGTACCAGGCTCAATCTACCTTCAAGTCATTAAGCAGAAAGAAAAAATTAAACCTAAGCCAGATACCGTTCCAGTGCTTTTTAAATCTCAACATATTTGCTCCTCATAACAACTCCACGAAGTGGACATTATCATTGTCCTAATTTTAAAGGTGAGGAAACTGAGGAGCAGAAAGTCTAAGAATATTTCCCAGGGTCACAGGGCTGGTAGATAGGGAAGCCAGACCACCACTGAAATCTTTTTAGTTTCTTTACTGTATTACCACATTGAATTGTAGGATTTCTGTACTCAAATACAAATGGGAGCCTATTTTGTGCCAATACCTGTTCCTGGGAGACTGTAAGCCCTTTGAGGGCAGGCAGGCTCCAGGTCTCATTCATTCTTACATCCTGTGCTGCCCTCAGTGCATAGTAGGACCAAAAGAAATGCTTGTCAGACTCTTAACTGTTGGCCTTGGAGGACTTTTTCTCAACAGGTCAGGTTGCCTGGCCCAGCTACTTATATATGATTTTGAAAGCAAAACCTTTCCAGAAACCTGCCTGCCAAGCTCCTGGCATCTGCTCTCCCTCCTCAAGCCCATTTCCCATTATCCTGGTCAGTCTAACCAGGAAGCTATTGATTATTTTTATTCCTGAACATATGAGGCTCTTGTGGATAGTAGACACAATTAGAACCCTGCAAAGAGGGACATTGTGACTCTGTTTCCTGAGGGGGTAACCCAGCTTGAGTGAGAGAACGCCTCCAAAGAGCTGGGCAGGTACAGCATACCAAACGACATGTTCCCTGACCCATGGAATGTCCAGAGTTCAAAAAACAAATCATTATTCTTTCATAAGCTCAAATGCTCAATCCACCCACTACATACTGCAGTGAAATTGCCTCAAGGCTATAAATTGTTGAAATTAATTGGTTAAGGTAATCCCCATAACCACTTATGAACCACGTTCTCATTGAGGAAATAAAAGGCACACCGGATGCATAATTTAATAAAAGTGGCTCCCCTTCAGGTGTAGGAACAGCTGTGCGATCCAGCGAGGCTCTGGTTTAACTTTTGCATTTTGCTTAATGACTGTTGAATCCACTCAGTCTGGCGCTGGCCTCCCAATTATTACCAAGTTGTGGGCGTTAGGGGAAAGCGCAGGGGTAGCGGAAATGAACGGTGGGTGTTTCAAGGAAAAATTAGAGAAGAACTGGCTGGAAAAACTATCTGCCGAAGACACTTCTGCAGGCTGGCATTTGCAAAGAAATGATTTTCTGTTTGTTTAATCAAGTGTTTAATTTTTTAAAAGAAGAGGGAGAAAGCGAAGGGAAACTGAACTATTCACTCTCTACCAGAATTAGGGCTGGGCGTTTGGGCACATACTTCATCTAGCTGAGTAGATGGGAAAGATGTAAATGAAGAGGAATTGGAGGTGAGTTTTGAGAGGCAGTTAGGGTTTGGGGCCCGGTGCTGGGAGGGTGGGACCATGGGGCTGGTAGTGGCTTTCACAGGGGAAGAAATGGTGCAGGCAAGGCAGCTATCAGGGAAGCCTGGAGACAGGGGTCCCTAGCGACTTCTCTGTGCCATGGGTGATGGAGAATTGCTCAGAGCAGTGGGAGTAGGGAGAGGCCACCACATTTGCATTTTTACAGCAGGGGTGGAGAGCTGACACTGCCCAAATTGCTTCAATAGAATAAAAACAGCGTCAGAAAATCCATGGACCAAAGTGAATCAGCAGCAACCCTCCAGCCCCCACATGCGTCTTGGCTGTCATTCTATCAGTGTTTTATTTTTAATTTTCTTTAATTTTTTACATTGTTTTCCTGGAAGTGCTAGGTGCTTTGAAAAGACATTTGAGAAATAAAGGAAAGAAGGAAACAAAATACCCAAATTCTAAGACCTAAACGCAAACACACCCACATTTTGGCTTTTCTCCCCCAAATATAGTTTGTTTTTACACGGTCGGTATCATAACACATGTGCAACATGGTGTCCTCATTTTTCACTTAGGTCATAAGCATTTACAACTTTTCATATATACATTAGAACTATTACTTGTAGGGGAAGGATAGTATTCTATCCAATGAATGTATGAGAATTGATTTCATGATTTCTTTCCTTGTTCTAGGTAGATTAATTGTTCCTCGTTTTCTCTCCAAATATAGCAGCTCTTGTCAACATTGTCTTTGCGCATTTTCTCTTAAGTTGTTTTTCTTTGGATTTGATTGCACTCATCAAATGGCAGAGTTGAAAGCCAGAAAAAATGAGCAAATAGCAAGTTATCGAAACACGAAAAAGAGCTTCTTGGAAAAGAGGTGGTCAGGCACTGAGGAGCAGTTGATCAGTTTTCCTTTTTTTTTTGGCACAGAGTCTTGCTCTGTCACCCAGGCTGGAGTGCAGTGGCGTGATCTCCGCTCACTGCAACCTCCACCTCAAAGCGATTCTTGTACCTCAGCCTCCTGAGGAGCTGGGATTACAGGTGCATGCCACCACGTCCAGCTAATTTTTTGTATTTTTAGTAGAGATGAGGTTTCACCGTGTTGTCCAGGCTGGTCTTGAACTCCTGACCTCAGGTGATCCACCTGCCTCAGCCTCCCAAAGTGCTGGGATTACAGGTATGAACCACCATACCTGGCCTCAGTTTTCCTTCTGTAAAACATGTCCTGCAAAAATCTGCTTGTGTGAAGTGTCATACTGTGTAATGTTAAAGGGTGGTAGGAAAGAATAAATGTCAAAGACAGTTGAAAAATTTAGCATGTTATTTTACTGCAGATTAATTTTTTCAGAGCCTCTAATGGGGGCAGTGTGCCTTATACATGTTTTTAATCCATTTTAGTTTTTTTTTTATCTTTTAAATATATTTTAACCTTGCAGAACAGGGTGAACTCATAGGCAATATGCCCAGAGTCAGCCTGACTTTTCAATAGCAGTGGCATCCAGAAGTTCTTTCTGTGATTGTGGAAGTGTTCTCTGCACTGTCCAATAAGGTAGCCACTACCCATGAATAGCTGTTGAGCACTGAAGTGTGGCTATTGAGACCAAGGAACTGAATTTTTAATTTTAACTGAAATTTAAACAGCCTCTTGTCTGTACTAGACAGGACAGGTCTAGAGGAAGACTTAAACTGACATCTGTCTCCAACGGATCTGTTCACAGAATCTTTCTTTTTCCCTGTGGCATTTCTGGAGAAAATAGCATGTTTCACAGGGCACACCTTGGGGAAGTTGGTGCAGAATATTCCCCCTTGTAGGACATTTGAGAATCAAAGATCTCTAGGAAAAATAAGAGAAATCAAGAAGCAAAAATGAGCTCTCTGAGCGTAGGAACCTGGTTTGTTTTTTATTTTAGAATATATTATAGAGACGTGGTCTCATTCTGTGGCCCAGGCTGGAGGGCAGTGGTGTGGTCATAGCTCAGAGCAGCCTTCAACTCCTGGGCTCAAGTAGTCCTCCCATCTCAGACTCCAACGTAGTTGGGACTACAGGTATGCACCACTACACCCAGCTAATGGAACCTGGCTTCTTGTCTTCCAAGTGCTGAGCAGAGCTGACACACAGCAGATACTCAGTGAAGATTCGAGAGATGAAATCATGGTCCCAAAGATAAGCAGAAGAATTCTGACAAGAACCCACGTCTCCTAAAGCCCCTATTCAGTTCTTCCCACTTGCTGCTGTTCGAGTATCACTTCTTCTTTGGCCTTTCTCAAGATAATCCTCTTTCTGTCCCACTCAGTGAAGCTTTTCCTGTTTTCTGCATTTTTACGGTGTTTTGTTGCCATAAGCTCTTCTCTACTTTCATGTGCCTTTCTCTAGTTTTCCAAATGGGAGGTTTCCAAATTCAATCGACTGCCAGGAGAAGCAGGAATAGGTGACTTTCTTTCGTGAATGGTGCTTTGAGCCCTGCGGAGGTGCTTGCTTTTGTTTCTTTCTCTTCTGTATTATTACAGCTACTTTAGCTAAATCAAGTCTTCTTCCAGGTCACATATGGTCTAACCCTGGGTGCAATGACTCTTTGAGGAGGCAAGAGTTTAAAAACATTTGAGAGGCAGGGCGTGGTGGCTCACACCTGTAATTCTAGCACTTTGGGAAGCTGAGGTGGGCAAATCCCTTAAGCCCAGGAGTTCAAGACCAGCCTGGGCAACATCGTGAAGCCTTGTCTCTATAAAAATACAAAAAAAAAAAAAAAGTCAGGCATGGTGGTGCATGTCTGTGATCCCAACAACTCAGGAGGCTGAAGTTGGAGGATCACTGGAGTCCATGGGGTTGAGGCTGCAGTAAGCTGTGACCATACCACTGCACTCCTTGGGCAACAGAGCGAGACCATGTCTCAAAACAAAGTTGAGATCCTTTATTGAGATGGGAAATCTTTAATTATCTTTTTTTCTGGATACAAGGCCATGGTTGCTCAAGTGCTTCAAGGAATGGTAGATAGGAAAATGTTGATAGTAAGTTCTTGAACACCTGGGAAATTCCAAGAGTATATGTTAGGAATGCATTTAGCGGCAAAGAGAAGGCAGACTACAGAGGGTTGAACTAGTGGGTATTATTTTCTCCCATATGAAGTCCAGAGGTAGAAGTCCAGACCCAGTGCTGTCAGAGACCTGGGATTGCTCTCCCTTTCTGCTCCACAATTTCCAGAATCTTTGTTTTGTTATAACATTTGTCACCTCCTAATTGCAATGTGGCTGCTATACCTCCAAGCATAAATTCCGTGTACCAGGTAGAAAGAAGAAAGAGAGTAAATGGGCTTTGGGTACTTCCAACTTAGTCTTTCTTTGTCAGAAAATCAAAAGGTTTTCTGGAAGTTGCCCTAGAAATGAAATGTTTGCTTACATTTCTTTCACTAGAATTGGGTTCCATGGTCATCTTTAGGCAAATCGGTGGGCAAAGGATATAAAATTATTATGGCACATTTAACCAATCATGATTCAACCTCTGGAGCTGGGATCAAGATATCTCTGCTGCTATCTGGAAAAAAAAAGTCGGGGGAGGGGAGAATTTGTTAGCAGGAAAGCAATGAGAGGAGTGGATATTGGGAAGGAATCTTCCAATGATTGGATGGAATATTCCATGATGATTATAACAGATATCTCTTGGGATACATTCTTCCCTTTTGTCCCTTAGGTAGGTAGTTCTCAGGTGCATTCTGTAAGACTTCTAGAAAGGGCCATGAGTGGAGCAACTGGTCACCTCAGCAGTGGACAACTCAGTTACACATTTTTGTACTGACTCTTTCTCTGTCACTGTTTGTTTCCTCTGTCCCTCCTTTTACTCCCTGATAATCTCACTTCTAAATAAACTACTCATGTATCAGCTTTCATCTCAGGCTCTGATTCCAGAGGAGCACAGGCTGTGACACTAACCAACGGACTTCTGGAAGGGAAGGAACTAGAAGGCAGATAGAGATGCTTGGAGACGGGGACCTCAGGAACAGGAGGGTACGGGTCGCTACTCTAGTATCAGGGTACCTGCTCCTATCACCTCTCTAGTTGCCTTGTTTTCTCTCTGTTTCAGAAATTGCCCACTGGAATACAGGCTGATACAGGCATTAAAGAGTGGGTGGGGATTGTGGTGATCTGGAGAACACCTGCCCCCTCTAAAGGGGGCAGCCGCTAGAATTTTGCCTCTTTTTCATTTTGTTATAAAAAATTTTCAAATTGAGATGCTATAATTAATATTTTACTATTTGATTTGCCACATAAGTATTCATCTGTCCTTGCATTTACCTACCATTTCATTTTATTTTTGGATGCATTTCCAAGTATGTTGCAGATATCAGTAAACTTTGCACCTGCACACTTCAGCATGCATGTCATTAACTAGAGCTTAATATTGATTTACAGTTCTCCCCTCCCTTTTTGGAGTTAAAATATACATAGGTGAAGTGTATATATTTTAAATATACCATTTAATGAATTCTGACAAATACATGTATCTATGTAACCCAAATAGCTGTCAAGATGTAGAACATTATAATTACCCTAGAAATTTCCTTCATTTGCCTTTCTAGTGTCCCCCCACCCCTACCCTACCAGGGACAATCACCATTGTCTTTTTCTCCCATATAGTTTAGTTTGGCCTGTTCCTGATCTTTGGGGGAAACCACCAGAAATTTGATGGTTTTTTTTTTTTTTTTTTTTTTTTTTTTTGAGACGGAGTTTTGCTCTTGTTGCCCAGGCTGGAGTGCAATGACACGATCTCGGCTCACTGCAGCCTCTGCCTCCCAGGTTCAAGCGCTTCTCCTGCCTCAGCCTCCCGAGTAGCTGGGATTACAGGCATGCGCCACCATGCCCGGCTAATTTTGTATTTTTAGTAGAGACGGGGTTTCTCCACGTTGGTCTGGTTGGTCTCGAACTCCCGACCTCAGGTGATCTGCCCGCCTTGGCTTCAAAGTGTTGGGATTACAGGCGTGAGCCACTGCGCCCGGCAGAAATTTGAGTTTTTACATAAATTAATTTTAAATGTTGTTAACTAATGCAAATTATATAAAAAACATTGTGTGACCAGATAAATCACATCTACTGGCCTGAAGAAATCAGCAGGTTGCCAATTTGTGCATTCACTACACTCCATTTATATAATTTGTACCCAATCCATTTCCCTGCCAATATAACTTTAAATTAGGGATGACCCATCCAGGCTACCCTGGTGTACCATTTCTACACCAGTCTACATTATTGCATTCCCAGATATGCTCCCACAGTGAATTGTAGTATTTTCCCCTATTTCCTAGTTCACATTCTTGAAGGTATTCTTTGGTTGGTCCACTTCATTTTTTCATGCCAGACTGTGGTGTCCATTGCTAGGCAGCTTCTGGATTGGCTGCTCTTGTGGACAGTGTTTGCCAAAGGTCCAATCAACTGTGGCCATGGAGGTCATGTGATCTAAAATATGGCTGCCTAAGGGCTGCCCTTTATAAGGGATCTTCTGTTCAGGGCACAGCTGCTTAGGTCTGTTTGTGGCTGGCAGAGGCAAAATACTGGACTTGTAGCAGCAATGATAGTGATCAGTCAGGTAGTGGAAAACTTGATTTTAAGGGCTGTATAACACTCATCCTGCAGACGGATCACAACTAATTTAATTTTTACTATAGTTGGATGTCTGGGTGTTTTTGAATTTTTAAATGATATACACAGATATGATGAGCTTTCTTGCGCGGAAATCTTTGTTGGGATGTCTGATTGTTTCTCTAAGATTAACTTCTAGATAGAGGGTTGCAGGAGCAAAGTGTGTGCACGTAAATGCTTGACCAGTTGATAGTCCCATCAGCCACAGAGGGATTTAGAGCAGGCGTTAAGCTTGAAGCTCTGAAGTCTGCTGTGAGAATGAAATGAGATAGCAAAGGTAAAACATGCATCACAGTGTCTGGTATATAGTAGGTGCCCAGTGAACAATAACCAGTATTCCCATTTCCCTATGCCCTAGTTATAAGCAGACACTCATATTTAAGAAAAGTTGCCAACCACCAAAAAGTGTTACCATTATTTTTGACTTGCATGTTTAAGGCTTTTTATCTGTAGATGAGCTTGCACAGTAGTCAGGGGCTTATTTGCCTATTCAAGTGATCAGGACCATTTTGGATATTTTATTTATCCTCTTGTTCAAGGAAGAGTAGGGAAGAAGAAGGGACACATTGTATTTTTGAGATACATGTGTGTGGTCTCTATTTTTAGCACTGTTATGGGATAGGCATTACTTTCCCATTTTATGGATGAGGCAACTGAAGACCAGGGAGGATAAGTAATTTGTCCGAAGTCATACTAGTAAGTTGGGGGTCCGTCTGACTTCAAAATCTGTGTTATCAGTTCTGTATTGTGTTGTCTTTTGCCCTTGATCCTTTTGGAGGGAACGTGTGTATTAGGGCATTGGGTGCCTGCAGCCTTCTACTTGTTTGTTTTTTTCACTCTATGGTATAGCAGGTATAGCATTGTAGTAAGAACCTTGTGTTTGCATCCAGGCTCCCACACTTACTGGCTGTGTAAGCTTGAAGGAGCCACTTCCTTTTTCTAAGCCTCAGCTTCCCCCTCTGTGTCCTGAGGATAATAATAAGTACTTCATGGCATGCTGCGTGAGATAATGTGTGCAAAGCACTTAGGTCAGTGCCTGGCATATATTAATAATTCCATAACTGGGTAGTAGCAACAATAATGTTTGCACCCTTATTGCTGAGTTGTCAACCGAATTTCTTTTTCACCTGGAGTTATAGACTTTGGAATCTGGAAAAGTTACTGTTATACTGGTGGTTTCTGAGGGGTTTGTCATCTGTTTTGTGCAAGTGTGTGTGTGTTCCCAGCATTCTACCTTCCTCTTCTGTCAAGACATCCTTTGCCTCTCCTTTGTGCCTCCCCCAATCATTCTGTGTACTTCTGTGGGGCCACCAGTCACCCTGCTCTCTCCTGACTACAGAGGCTTGGCCAATCGTAGGATGTCATGCTTCTGATAACAGTAATTGGTCCAAGAGCACTTGACCTAAATGTGTCCAATCAGAGTGTTTCCTGGAATAGACTTTTGGGATGGTTGAAAGGAGTTCTTTTCTTGTGGGAGCGCCTAAACCGGTGCTGTAGTCCTGCCTCCGAAAGAGCCTTTCTGCACGAGAAGAGGATGAGGCAAAGAGAAGATTGACAATGTTGGGAGAAACAGTCTTATCATAAGTCCATGACTTTCCAGCAATCTTCCTAGATATAAGAGCCTTCATGTTCCTTTGTGACTTAAGCTAATTTAAATAGCATTTCCAAAAGGAAGCTGTACAAATCCACCACATTTCTCAGTACTTAATTATAAGCTCTGGGCCATATTTTGGCCAAGTCCACATGGTTCTTCTGGTGCAATTATACAAAAAATTTATTCTAAACATACATGTATATTTCTTTCGTTTTCCTGGCAATCACCAGGGATACTATTTAGGCACTAATACTCTTCTCCTCTGTTTCTCCAAACTGGTTATACCTTTCTGGCTTTGGAAGGTAAAGTGGATTACCCCAATACATTAAAAAGCAAGCAGGTGACTGTTATTAAATAGCTATTGAGAGCAGTTTGTCTTGCAGTTGATGAAAACCTGCCATGGTACAAGACGCAGCACCCTAAAACTTTTCCACCAAGAATTAGAGGCACTAGCAAGAATTCACACTGGGGTTAATTGGGGTCTTCAGAGGTAGGAAAACACTTCCTGGAATAAAGGAATCTCCTCCTGGCACATGCCTGATGAGCTCAGCTGGGATGCACTTGTTCAGAGGGGTGCGTGCCCTGGAAAGGGACCGTAGTGGATTGGGGATAGGGTCTGTTGGTTTGTGGATGGTATCTAATTTGGGATTAGGACTCACTGGCCAGTTTTTTTTTTTTTCCAAGAAGGTTCCAGGAAGACTGATTTCTGCCCTTTGAGAATTTTGATACTTGACATTTTCCAGGTTGATATTTGAGTTCCAGTTCTATTTTCTATTTTCTTATCTATGGTACAATCCAAAGACTGTTGAACCGAAGCCATCTTGTTTATTCCACAAATGTTTACTGCATACCTCTGTTATGCCAGGCCCTCTCCTAGGCCCTGGGGAAGCATGACCAAGACATGGCTTCCAACCTAGGGAAACACTTTTCAACGGCGGGGAGGGGTGTGCACACCAATGGTGAGTAGGTTGTGGTTAGTAGGATGATGGGTTTTTGGCATCTGGTGTTTGAGCTTTTGCTTTTTTGATTTCCTGCCATCTATGCCTCCTTTTCAGGTTATAAGCTGCTACTTTCCTTTGGGGCCCCATATACTCCAACTTGCAGATCGTGTAGCTTGGATGTGGCTGGCCCTCCAGTTTAGATCAAAGGGTTGGCATATGACTTAGGTGTGGCCAGTCAAAACATTTTGCCTCCTGGTGCAGTAATTGTTCCAGGATGAGAACACGATTTAAGCCAATGAGTGTCAGTATTGGACCTACTACTAGGACCATCACAAAAGACAGGCATCATCCTCTGGGGTGGGTAAGCTGGAAAGATGGAAGCCTGAAACTGCTGGCAGTACCCTTGCTTTGGCAGGGGAGAGGTGCCTGAGAGTGACACCAGCCCGAGGCTCCTGCTGAAATCATCTGTGTTCTTATTTCCAGCTGTGCCTGAAGTCATGTCTACCCTTTGGACTTTCTCTTCAATTTAAGTCATTTTGAGTAGTGTTTCTGCCTCTTGGAATCTAAAGGATCCACATGAATGTAATGAAGTTATGTGCCAGGTGCTATGAGGCGATGAGAAGGAAGAAGAGTATGTACCACTGTCTTCCTGGAGGAAGTGACACAGGACCTGAGTCTTGAAAGCCCAGTAGGACTTAGCCAGCTCAAGGGATTCTGAGCAGAGTGAGCCACATAAGAAATTACGTAGGAGCATGACAGTTTGTGCCGTGTTTTGGAGATCAATGCAGTTCATTGTTATTGGAGTGAGGTTGGCAGTAGTGGAACATTAGGTGGATGAATAAATGTCACTATCTCCGTCCCCAAGCTGATGTGTGTTAAGTACTTTCTATTTATCCTTCAGGAATTGCTGTGCACTTTACCTGGATTTATCTCATGTAAGCCTTCCACAGCCTCTTGAGGTGCACACTATAGTTATCTCATTTTACTGATGAGGAAACAAGCTTGGGGAGGGGCTAAAATAATGTGTCCAAAGTCACTTAGCTAGGAGGTGGTAGATGCAGAGCTTATAAGGGCCTAGGGGAGACCTCAGAGGCTCTTTGCTAAATTTTGATTTTATGTTCAAAAGATTTTTCATCCATCCTCCCATTTCTGTTCTAAGATTGGACCATCCTCACCTTTTGTTCATGTTAGTGTCCATTCATCCCAAAACGATGCGAGCACAGTTAGTCCCAAACTTTGACTTGACAGCAAACCCATATATAGAATTTCAGAGGGAATGTCTGGAGTTTCTGTTTGGGTTGTTTGCCTTGCTTGGGATGAGATAAATCAAAGCAGGTGGCAGTGCCTGCATTCTGAATGTCCTGCGCTGACACAGGTAGGTTATTGCTGCTACCTGAGAGCAGTTGTGCTTGCCCACATGAGTGACGGCAGATCTGTGATACACCTCTTGGGTTCTGGGAAATAAGTGTGATCTCTTCCTGGCCGATCCTCGTGCCTCCACCCCGCATTTTGGTCTGAGGCCTTGATGGATTCAGTTTTGTTTCCAGTTCAGGAGCCTACGCATTTCCCCAGGATGCAGGGAAAATGTGTCATCTTCCCTCCCTTCTGGTAGCGGACCCTGTGTGTGAAGCTCTGCCCCCCCTGGAGGGTGGTATCATCAAAAGCTTAATGGTTAAAACACTTCATACTCAATAATCAATAATTAAACACATCAGAGGGAAAGTAGGCTTACAGATTAATGGGTAGTAGCTTAGAGAGGGTGGATGTATTAGTCTGTTCTCATGCTGCTGATAAAGACATACCCAAGACTGGGTAATTTATAAACTGGTAATTAATTGGCTCAGTTCCATATGGCTGGGAAAGTCTCACAATCATGGCGGAAGAGCAAGGGACATCTTACATGGCAGCAAACAAGAGAGAATTTGTGCAGGGGAACTGGCCTTTATAAAACCATCAGATCTTGTAAAACTTATTCACTATCATGTGAACGGCACAGGAAAGACCCTCCCCCATGATTCAACTATCTCCCACTGGGTCCCTCCCATGACATATGGGAATTATGGAAGCTACAATTCAAGATGAGATTTGGGTGGGGACACAGCCAAACAGTATCAGTGGGTTTTGTGAAGGAATTTTAGGCCATATTTGGCTTATTGTGCAAGAAAAGGGGAATAGGTTCACTTGTTTTAGGGTTCATTGGTTTTTTTTCCAGGAAGGGATTTTTATTACTTTTTTTTGAGGCTCTGTGACCTCAGAACAAGGCGAATAGGTTGCAAGTTAATACTTGAAAAATCAGAGTTAAAACTAAAAGGAAAAATGATCCTACTTGAGCCTTGTAAAAATTCTGTAACTTAGATACAGTAGGTGCGTGGCCTTGTCTCTGTTTTACAGAAGCAGAAAACTGTGACCCCAAGAAGCTTAGCAAGTGCTCATGGTGCACATGTAATAACCAGCAGATGTGAGATTTCAACTCAGATCATATATGGGTTCCAAGAGGGTGGATCAAGAGGCATTAGAGTCAGGGCTCAATTTGATTCCATATTTTGGAGAAAGCGGACACGGCAAAGCATATGACTCTTTGCTTCAAGTCTAGTTGAAGAGACAATGCTGCTGGAAGGAAATTCAACAAATACGTCAGCCAAATAATTCCTGAATCCAGAGCATGTCCCAAGGAGGGGACTGGTGACTAAGTGAATGGCACAGTTTTTTACTTGCAAATCACCCCAAGCTTATTTAGAAAAGCTATGCTTAGTCAGGGGGCTATAACAAAATACCTAGACTGGGTGGCTTAGAAACAACAGAAATTTACTTCTCCCTGTTCTGGAGTCTGGGAGTCTGAGATCAGGGAGTCAGCATGGTCAGGTTCTGATGAGGACCCTCTTCCAGGTTGCAGACCCCAGTCTTCTCATTGGAAGGAGGGCTAGAGAGCTCTCTGGAGTCTCTTTTATAAGGATACTAATCTCATTCATGGGGGCTTCACTCTCACAACCTAATTGTCTCCCCAAAGACTTACCTCCTAATACCATCACATTGGGGATTAGGATTTCAACATATGGATTTTGGGGAACACAAACATTTAGTTCATAACACATGAATTCCCTCTACCTTTTTTTTTTTTTTAATTTTGAGACAAGGTCTGGGCTCTGTCACCCAGGCTGGAGTACAGTGGTGCTATCTTGGCTCACTGCTACCTCTGCCTCCCAGGCTCAGGTCATCCTCCCACCTCAGCCTCTCGAGCATCTGGGAATGTAGGTGTGTGCCACCACACCCAGCTAGTTTTTATATTTTTTGTAAAGATGAGGTTTCACCATATTATCCAGGTTGGTCTTGAACTTCTGAGTTCGAGTGATTTTCCCGCCTCAGCCTCTGAAGTACTGGGATTATAGGCATGAGCCACCAAACCTGGCCCCCCGTTTACCCGTTTTGAGGTTGACATTCAAAACTTTCATTTGTAAGTTCAAATCCTTGCAAAAAATATTACTTCTGGCATATTATAAATATTGACATTTTAAAATAAAAAAGTTGTATGTTTAAATAGATCCAATGAGTTCAAACCCATCATTATTCATTTAAAAATGTATAAAAACTTATTTAAAATTTTACATGGTCTCTTTTTTCTTTGAAGTTACTATTTAAAAAATTTCCATACAGAGTCTTACTCTAATGAAATTTATATTTCTGCTTCAAAGACTTTTATTGATCATTCTGTTATGATTCTCTACAAGCAAACATATACATACACACACACACACACACACACACACACACACATTGGAGATGGTATATATTTTTTCTAGCACTGTCAGATTTTTAGTGCCTAAAGAAATTCTTCTAGGTTGGATTTGAAATTCATTTGTTATTAATATAATTGAGCCACATAACACAAATTCATTAACAATATGAGAATTTTTTTTTTTTTTGAGATGGTGTCTTGCTCTGTCACCCAGGCTGGAGTGCAGCGGTGCGATCTCGGCTCACTGCAGCTTCTGACTCCCAGGTTCAAGCGATTCTCTGCCTCAGCCTCCCAAGTAGCTGGAATTACAGGCGTGCACCACCACACCGAGCTAATTTTTGTATTTTTAGTAGAGACCGGGTTTCACCATGTTGGCCAGGCTGGTCTCGAACTCCTGGCCTCAAGTGATCCACCCGCCTCGGCCTCCCAAAGTGCTGGGATTACAGGAGTGAGCCACCACGCCTGGCTGAGAAATAATTATTAAGCATAAATGTAACATTTTATTAGACTACATTGCTTAATAAGATGGATAGAGCTTCTTAAAAAAGGCTGTTTAAAAGGAGGAAATTACTTATTGTTCTAATGATACAGGGATCAGCATTAATTCTGTTCTTACTATGCATTTTTATAGATGTAAATGCTGAGAAATCTTGTTCACACATGAATAAATTGATAGACTTGAAAATAATTTTGTTACAGCAATGCCACTCAATGATTTAAGCTCCTCCTGAGCTATATGCCAAAAATCGCGTGGCGATTTACCATAAAATTTATTCTTAATGATCTATGAGCTGACAGCTCAATTAGGTCTTGCTGTAATATTTTTGAAAGCAAAGAATTGGAAACTAATGGAATTGTGGAAGGATTTATCCCCTAGACTGTAGGGTTATTCATTTTCTTAACACTTAACTCCAGTATTGAGAATTATCCTTTTGTGTGATGCCTTGGACTTTTTGGACCTGGGGATGTTACACCATAGTAAAATTATGGGTAGGGAGAAGTAGGCTGTGTGTGTGCATGTGTGCGTGTGTACGTGCCTGTGTGTGTAGAAGGAACAGGATAAATATGAAAGAGGAGAGAGGAAAAGTTGATGCAGGATTCTTGAGCGCTCCTGGGCAGAAGGAGTGTTCTCAGGTCAGTTTTAGAGTGAGCACGTTTGAGATTTGAGAACCTGGAAACTGGTAATTAGAAAACTATTCCTTTGCTGGGTGTGGTGGCATGTGCCTGTAGTCCCAGCTAGCTGTATCTGTAGTTCCAGGAGGCTGAGGTGGGAGGATCACCTGAACCTGGGGAGGTTGAGACTACTGTGAGCCATGATTGTGCCACTGCCCTCCAGCCTGGGTGACGGAGTGAGACTGATATGGTTTGGCTCTGTGTCCCCACTCAAATCTCATTTCAAATTGTAATCCCCATGTGTGGAGGGATTCGCCCATGCTGTTCTCTTGATAGTGAGTTCTCACAAGATCTGATGGTTTTATAAGTGTTTGACAGTTCCTCCTTCACATGTACACTGTCTCTGTCACCTGGCACCATGTAGGATGCCTGCTTCCACTTCCACCATGATTGGAAGTTTCCTGAGGCCTCCCCAGCCAGGTGGAATTGTGAGTCAATTAAACCTCCTTCCTTTATAAATTACCCAGTCTCTAGGAAGTTCTTTATAGCAGTGTGAGAATGGACTAATATAGAGACCGTGTCTCAAAGACCCCAAAACAAAACAACAACAGCAAAACTATCCTCAAGGCTGACTCCAGAGTCTTCATGGTATGCATACTCCACTTTGAAGCTTGCTGGTACAGGCAACGTGAGTTCAGGCTGAGTAGACCATAGTGGGTATGGGGAGTGGGAGAAGGTTTGCCAGGCAACTGGGTTTTGTGGAGACCCACGTATGAGAGGTCCAATTTGGACAGCAGGGATGGGGAGAGACATGGGCTTTAGAATGAGAGCTCAATTCAAATCCTGGCCTCATCTAATGGGTGCAGAATCTTGGAAAGTTATTCACTTTAATAGGCTTCTGTTTCTCACTGCAAAGTGGGGATAAAAATGATATTTGCAACTTTAGGCTCTTTGCAAGATCCCACAGAGACAATGAAAGACAAGGTTTCAGGCTAGCATAGTCTTCAGGGCAAGAGTGGTCCCTGTGCCCAGCAATGTCCTCCCACTTCCAGGGTTGGAGCTACATTGGGGTGAGGAGTCTGGAGTCAAGGGGACATGCCCGCCTTAGCCCATGCCCTCTCTTTAGTGCTGCCTTCCAGTACCAGGACCCTGGAAGGAATTCCCTCCTGCTAAATCCCTATGTCTTCTCCCAGGGCTGCACGTGTCTCTTCCCTGATCCATTCTTCCAGCGTGCCTCATCCACGGGTGCCCCCATCAGCCTAAGGAGTGGCTAAGGCCCTTCAGGGTGCAGGACTGAGTCAGGGGAAGGAAGAACAGGGGGTAAGGTTGGGGGTGTGGTCAGTGTAGGTGGGGGGCTGTGGCACCTCATGAGCAGAAGTTCTAGGCTTGGGTGGAAGGAGGTGAGGGAAGTCTCATGGCCTGATGTTGGGGCTCTTCACTGGTATGTAGATCGTGGGGGTGAAGGTGGGGGAAGAGATGAATCTTGGTGGGTGGTGAAAGATCTCCCCTCTCAAAATGAGGAAAAGAACATGGTTTCTGTGAGTTTCACAAGAAAGTGGAAGAGGCCAGATGGTGTGACCTGGTGAGGGAGGGAGAAATTCTTTGCAATCCCATCTTCCCATTCCCACTCCTGCCCAAGAGGAAATCATTGTCTTTGGCAGAATATACAATTGATGTTGAATTTGTGCTATCCATAGTTATTTGTATGAACTGTTGCTTCACGCATGTGTTTTTGTTTTTGTTTTCCATTTTGTTGTTAGGTGGGTGTGTTTGTCAAGGTCGGAGAATAGAAGTAATTTTATTTAACGATTTCTTACCCTACTTTGTAATGTTGAAGTACTGAGAATTATGTACGTGGACCTCAATTTGTGCTCTTGCTCCAGGTCCTGCCAATGTTAAGATCAGTACTGTTTCTGCTGCAATAAGTATTTTCTTAAACACACAAGCAAAACAATAAAAAAAAGAAGAGGTGGGCAGGTTATATTAAAATATGTCATTCCCAAATGGAGGATCTGCTTTTTCTGGGAGTCAGTCATCACTGTACTAGGCAGAACAGGCCAGACTTGCGTGGTTCTTAACCTTGGCAACTCATTGCAATCACCTAGAGAGCTTTCCAGATGACTGATGACTGCGTCCCACCCCTAGAGGTTCTGATTCATTGGTGTAGGGTGAGGCCAGGCATCCAGCTATCTAAAAGCTGCCCGGTGATTACAATGTATAGTAAGGGCTGAGAACCAGTGGGCTCGAGGAATCCTCAATTGGCTTCAGATGAGCTGAGTGACGGTGTACCTTCTTCAGGTGGGTTGTGTTATGCCTGGTGAGAAAAACTGGACTGATTCTCTTATAATCTGGACTTTTTGGCCACTGTAACTGCCTTTTAAACAGCTGCCTACTAGTTATGTTGCCAGATGTTGTTTAATCTTTGTACCTCAGTTTGCCCATCGATACAATGGGAGATAATCATAATTTCTTACCTTTTGGGGTTGTCCTGGGGATTAGTAAGATAATTTGTAAAATGTTTAGAACAGTTGTCAGCACTGAGCCGAAGCTATGTGGCACTTCCTAAATAAGGGCTGATTTGTTCCTGATGCATTCAATCTGAGACATCCCTTTGTGGACCATCGGTCAAAGACAGATGCCCAGTATTCTTTAGCTAACTTTAGCAAAGGTACACAAAGTGGCTTGATTTGTTTCTGGACATTTACCCACAAGGAAACAAATGGACCACACAGTTCTGTCTGTACCAACTCAATGATGTTGGATATAAAAGGAGCATTAGGGAGCAGAACAACATGTAATTAACCAGATAGGCAAGATTGTTGAGTTTAGCATCAGCTTTTATTTTTCTGTCTATTTTGGGTGGTGATGATGGGGTTGAAATATCTGGAATAATACAGAGAACGTCTGTGCTCATACAAGGAGTGCTTTTTCTCCCTAAGTCGGGGCCAGCTTCATGGGCATCTGACCTGCACAGTTGCTCAGGGGTCTATGTTCAAAGGGGCAGTTGCTCTTGGTTTAAAGCCCTGCTATGGCCATCCTGAAACTCTTAACAGGTTTGTCATTGAACTTATGTTTTGTAAGTGAAGTCTGATGGCACAATGTGTGTGCGCAGAGGAGACACCTGCAGTGTGAGTATACATTGCAGTTCCTTACTGCTCGTTTGCATATAGCTTTCACGATGCCCCATGAGCTCAGGATTCCAGTGGGCCCACCCCTCACAGAGTTCAATGAGACTCAAAGGGTACAAGATAAGCACCTTGCATTTTTGGCTGAAGGAGCTGGGACGCTGACAGCCTTGAGAGGTTAATTTTTTTTTTATTTGAACCAGAACTTGCCTTGAAGGCAGTGTTCTAAGAAACAAAAATGACATCCTTTTTTACTTCTCTATACTAGCCAACCACTTATGCTGAAGATGAAACAGAAGGATAGGAAAGATAGGGCAACCCAGAGCCCTTTTTCCTTTCACTTTTTCCTTCCTCATCGGTAAGCCAAATGTAGACAGTGTTGGTAGGATGTGCAAGTATCAAGAAGTGAAATAAAGTTATTGGTTCAGCGTTTCTAATGTTCTGGCAAGAATGAAATACATATGCACGTATGAACTACAAAATACAAATTGGGTAATCTCAGTGACACTGCACATGAGTTAAATGCTCTTATATTTGCATTCAAACTGACATTGCACAACATAAACAGTACAATTCATGCTAATAATTTATTTTTTTCTTAGAACAATATTAATTGGCAAATAAAAGACACCAGGACAAATTCAGAGGCCATGGAGAAAAGGAAACAGCTTTCTGTCCTGGTACATTTAACAGCATTTACCACCTACTTTTTGGACAAGGCACCTCACATTTTCATTTCCCACTAGACCCTGAAAATTATGTAGCTGGCCCTGTCAGAATTATGCTAGAAGAGGTCAGTCTCCACTGGTGTTTTTCTGCATTGGCTTCAAAGCTGTTAAGCTCCTCTTAAGCAGCTGTGCAAAACACGTTGCTGAGTGAAGGCTTTTGGAAGTGCCTGTGGTGAACATTGGCTTCTCAGCATCTATTTCTTCACTTTTCAATATTCTTTTGGCAGTAATCTTTCTACTCTCTGACTGTGCGCTTCAGTGGCAGGGCCACACCCACAGGTCAAAGGTGGAGTGACCTAGAGTTAGGTCAATCACTGCATCACAATATCTTGGTCTTACTGATTGGTTCAGGGATAGGCATGTGACCCAACCAGAGCCAATGAAATGCAAGGAATCTCAGGCTGGGAATCCTGGGAAAGAAACCAGGATTCATATTTGAACCTGGAAGCAAGTTGGCTAAAGGTTGCTACCATCTTGCTGCCAGGCATAACGTGAAGAAGAAACCAAGTTATTGAGATGGAGAGAAACCAAGTTGCTGTTAATATGATGATGTCTGAATTATTTGCAAATTGAACAAAAAGCCAGATCTATCCTTTTCAGTTAAGCAATCAAATCTTTTCAGTTAAGCATCTCACAGACAATTTGAATGCAGTCAGGTTGGGGAAGTTTGCACTTCTCTGCCAATACAAGCTCTTACACAACAAACATATACACTCCTGAAAAGTTGTGGTAAACTGAAATGTTGTAAATCAATCACATTTTAAGTATAAAATGTGTTGGATTTAATAAATCCAAAAAATAATGGATAAGTAAAGGAGATTCAACTCTTTC
Organism: Homo sapiens; assembly: GCF_000001405.40. Taxonomy (NCBI): domain Eukaryota; kingdom Metazoa; phylum Chordata; class Mammalia; order Primates; family Hominidae; genus Homo; species Homo sapiens. The sequence goes on along the minus strand of NC_000020.11, from coordinate 56,287,300 downwards.
TAAAACTAACCAACCTGCAATAATTCCTTTAGTAATGTGAAGAATACTTCCTACAATTTATTACTTCTCAATAAATTCAGATTTAAAGTCAGTAGTTTTAGTGTCCTGTATTTTATATGTGTAAACCTGAATGACTGGATATGAGAATATGGCTATTTTAGTCACATCTAAAATACTGTTAAACAGAAACAAGGTAATTATATTAATAACAAAAAATGTACACTCATTTCAACAACATGATGAGATAAAGCTGTGAAAATGCCTAGCATACCATACATAAATGCTTGATAAATCTGAAACTCAAAAATCCTCTGCTAAGAAATATGTTCTTTATGAACATATAATCTTCATAAAGTTGTTATGAGGATTTAAGTGAGTTAATGTGAACCAACTACACACTAGTTGGTTGTAGTGGCCAACTGCAGCCAAAAAGTCCCAGTAATACAAGCAGCTGTCTAGTTACAGGGAAGGAAGACACAGAAAGAAACATTACTAAGCATGATATGCTACAAGCATTATCTCAGGTAATCCTTATATTCCTGAGAATTAGGTTTCTTTTTCTCCTTTGTACTATACAAAAACAGGAATGACAGGCCCTGGGTCACAGGGCTCATCGCCATAAGGCTAAGAGTCAAACTCAAATTTGACTGCTTCAAAACATTCACAGAAAAACAGCAACAACAACAACAAAAAACTGATACATGTGATAGTAAGAGTTAAAAGGATCATGGGTCTTTGGCAGCAAAAGGCAGAATTATTCACTCATTCATTTGTCCATTCAGTCATTCATTCCACAAAGATATATGACATTGAACATCTGCCATGGGCAAGACAGTGCTAGATATAAGACCCAAATCTGAAAGTCTATCAAGAGAGACATAAAGCAGAAAATTGTCTAACAGTGCAGAAATAACAGGCTCAAGGAAGTGGAGAAAACGGGTTTAATGTCTCACAGTAGAAAGTACAGAATGCTCAAGGAAGGCTTGGATTTAGGGTAGATGTGCATTGCCTTTAGTTCTTTTTTGCACATTTTGCTTAGGCTAAATGTGGGTTTCTGGGAGGCAGTGAAAATAAATGATGACAGGGAGAAAAATGGCTGAATCTGGTTAAAGGTTTAAGGAAGGATGCAAGCTGCAGGTGAAGTTCTGATAGAACTGAGATTTTATTGAAAATGCTGAAGAGAAGGGTTAGATGGATGGGCATAGATATAAATATGATTCTTTTTGCTGGTGCTTACAGACAGGCATCCACTGGACTTTTCTATCATTCATGTAAAATTGTGCTTGAATGCAGAGGGAAAAACCGTTCTTCAACACGGAGGCTCCCATGTGGCAGAGTGCAGGGAGGGTCCCTGTGCCTGGTGGTGGGAACTGAACACCAGGTGTTCAGTTTATGGTGACATCTGTGAACTTGTGTGGTCAGAAAATGAAGTGCCACTGGGATTCAGGATTGCTTGAAAGTGAAGATTTACCCAAAGATTCTGGATGTGGGCAATGCGGGGGAATATTAAACAAAATGACCTGTTGGGAGTTTTTTCTGTTCACCATACCGTCTCCATCATTTGGGTGAATCATGCCCACTTGTGCAACTTTTGGCCAAGTTGCCTTAGGTAATTTTTACATAATATTTATAAAACCTTCCTGTAATTGTGACTCATGGTCATGCTTCTACTCAGAATTTTGTTAAAGCTAAACATTTCAGGGAAAAAAGAAGGCCTGAATGATGTGGAAGGCTTTCAGAGAACTCAATTAAGGAAGGCAGGATGGTCAAGGCTATCATTTGCCGCAAATGCCCTTAGTCACCAAAGCTGCAGCGACAGAGATGCTAATTACATTTCTTTTACATTTCCCCTTCATTTGTTTGAAATAAAAAAGCAATAATATATACACATTTGTCAAAAGTATTCAAATGTTACCCAAATACATAAAGCCAAAGTGCAAGTTTTCTTACCGCTTGTCTGCCCGCGACTCCCAACCTGTAGATGTGACAACTGTTAACTCTTTAATATACATTCTTCTAGGACTTTCTTTATGAATGTATACTCTTTAGCTAATTGCAGTTATGTTTTTATTATACTAAAGTAATACAAGGTCAGTATGAAAAGTACACAGAAACCTTAAAAAATATATTTCCAACATTTTGCCTTGTGTATGTGTGTACATATATATACAGGTATATATGTGTGTTTGTGTATATATATGTATACGTATATACACACACACGCGCACTTAAAAACAAAAGAAAGTAGTGTCATAAAATGACCCTATGGGCAGTAATACTTTTATCATGTTTTACAGATGAAGATATTTGGGCTTAGGGTAGGGACATTGAATAACTTGCCCAAGATCACACAGGTTACAAGTAACAGAGCTGGGATCTGAACTCAGGTTTATCTGACTTCAAAGTCTGTGTCCCTGGTAACTATGTAATCCTGTTGCCCTTTCTGTGTCAACAAACAGATTCATCCCATTTTTTAAATAATGCCAGACAATTACCTGGTATAAATGTGCCATTAAAAACAATCTCACTTGGTAGCTTTTCAGATGAACTGAAAAGGTGAATGTTTGGTAGCTTCTGTTTCTGTATTTTGTTTGAAAAGTCATGATGTTCTGATACCAAGGGTTCTTCATGGTTCAAGGTACCTCAACTGCTGCTGAAAAACAGAGCACTGTGTTCAGCTGTCCTTCAGGAAAGTAACACTGGCAAATTATATTGCAATATGTATACCGAGGAATGTGGTTTATGAGAACCTGACCCTGACACTCAATATTCTGTCCATTTTGTGCTTCTCCTTCCTTCTTCTTTTCTTTTCCTTCAACACATTAACCCTACATCTGCTGAGTATAAAGGAAGTTTTTTTAAAAAAAATTTTAATTTTCACTGACATATAATAATTGCACATATTTATGGGGTACAATATGAAATATATATATTTCTATATATATATTTCATATGTATATTTCATATATATTTCATATGTATATTTCATATATATTTCATATATATATATATGAATCCTTCCCGCCTTAGCCTCCTGAGTAGCTGGGACTACAGGTGCGTACCACCACATCTGCTCTTTTTTTTTAATTTAATATTTTAAATATTTTTGTAGAGATGACATCTCACTGTAGCCCAGGCTGGTCTCAAACTTCTGGACTCAAGCAATCCTCCCACCTCAGCCTCCCAAAGTGCTGGGATTATAGGTGTGAACCACCACACTAGGTGGCTCATTTCATGTAACATAATGTTTCCCAGGCTCATCCATGTTGTCAAAATGACAGGATTTCATTATTTTTATGGCAAATTGTACTCCGTTTGTGTTCATATACAACATATTCTTTATCCATCCATCTGCTGTTAGACACTTAGATTGATTTCATATCTTCGCTCTTGTGAATAGAGCTGCAGTAAATATGGGAATGGAGATATCTCTTTGATATACTAATTTCATTTCCTTTGGAGGTATATCTAGTAGTAAAATTGCTGGATCATGTGGTAGTTCTATTTTTAGTTTTTTGAGGAATCTCCATACTGTTTTCTATAATGGCTGTACTAATTTACATTTCTATCAACAGTGTGTAAGTGTTCTCTTTTCTCCCCATCCTTGCCAACACGTCTTTTCATTTGTCTTTTCGATGATAGTCATTCTAACTGGAGTGAGGGGATATCTCATCATTGTTTTGATTTGCATTTCCCTGATGATTAGAGATGTTGGACATTTTTTAAAGATAACTGTTGGCTCATTATATGTCTTATTTCTAATGTCTATTAAAGTCTTTTTCCCATTTTAAAATTAGGTATTTTTCCTATTGAGTTGAGTTTTTTACATGTCATGAGTATGTTACAAGAATATATCATGTGAGCCACCGATTCAGGAATATACCATGACTATATCACAAGAATGTCAGATGTATGGTTTGCAAATATTTCCCGTAGATTATCTCTTTGTTGATTGTTTCCTTTGCTGTTCAGAAGCTTTTTAGTTTGATGTAATCCCATTTGTTCATTTTTGCTTTGATTGCCTGTGCTTTTGAGGTCTTATGCAGAAAACCCTTGTCCAATTCATGTCATGAAGCATTTCCTCTATGTTTTCTTCTGGTAATTTTATAGTTTTGAGTTTCACACTTAAGTCTTTAATCCACTTTGAGTTGATTCTTGTATTTGGTGAAAGATAAGTGTCAGGTTTCATTCTTCTGCATGTGGGTATCCAATTTTCCCGGCACCATTTATTGAATAGACTATCCTTTTCCCAATGTGTTTTCTTGGCACCTTTGTCAAAAATTAGTTGGCTGTAGATGCATGGATTTATTTCTGGGTTCTCTCTTCTGCTCCGATGGTCCATGTGCCTGTTTTTATGCCAATACCATGCTATTTTGGTTACTATAGCTTTGTAGTATATTTTGAAGTCAGGTAGTATAGTGCTTCCAACTGCCTTCAACTTTTTTTTTTTTTGGTCAAGGGTGCTTTGACTATTCAAGATCGTTTATAGTTCCATATAGAAAGTTATTTTTAATAACATGCTTATGACACCCTAAGGGCTTTAATCACTGGCTGCTGAGTTTAATATGGGAGAGCTGCTGCTGAGTTTAATATGGGAGAGCCTGTAGAATTTCATCTCATCCCCTTCCACTTTGGTTCAATGTATGGTGTAATGGCAAATTTTTTGTGTCAACTTGGCTGGGCCATGGTACCCAGCTATTAGGTCAAACATTACTCTAGATGTTTCTGTGAAATGATTCTTCAGGTGAGATTAACATTTAAATAAGTAGACTTTTAGTAAAGCAGATTACCCTCCAAATTGTGGGTGAACCTCACCCAACCAGTTGAATGCCTTCATAGAAAAAGACAGAGGTCCCCAGAAGGAGAGGGAGGCTGGCCTACTGAAGGCCTTTGGACTTGAACTGCGGCTCTTCCCTGGGTCTCCAGCCTGTTGGACTACTCCACAGATTTTAGATTTGCCAAGACTCCATGATTGGGTGAGCCAATTCCTTAAAACATCTCTCTCTCTCTCTCTCTCTATATATATATATGTGTATATATAAATATATCTATATATATCTATATACTCAGAAGTGGAAGGGGGCAAGGGATAAGAAGATTAGATTAAAATTAATGTATTATAGCAATGATTAAAAGTGTCCCAGTATGGAGAGTAAATTATACAGTCACCCTACCTATTAGTTCTCCAGAGAAACACAACTCACAGGAAGTATAGGTAGATATATCTCTATATAGATGTATCTATATATATCTCTATGTAGATGTATCTATATATATCTCTATGTAGATGTATCTATATATCTCTCTATGTAGATGTATCTATATATCTCTCTATGTAGATGTATCTATATATCTCTCTATGTAGATGTATCTATATATCTCTCTATGTAGATGTATCTATATATCTCTCTGTGTAGATGTATCTATATATCTCCCTGTGTAGATGTTTCTATATATCTCTCTGTGTAGATGTATCTATATATATCTATATATCTATATATAGATGTATCTATATATATCTATATGTCTATATATAGATGTATCTATATATATCTATATAGATGTATCTATATATCTATATATCTATATAGATGTATCTATATATCTATATATCTATATAGATGTATCTATATGTATCAATATATCTGTATAGATGTATCTATATGTATCTATATATCTGTATAGATGTATCTATATGTATCTATATATCTGTATAGATGTATCTATATGTATCTATATATCTGTATAGATTTATCTATATGTATCTATATATCTGTATAGATTTATCTATATGTATCTATATATCTGTATAGATTTATCTATATGTATCTATATATCTGTATAGATTTATCTATATGTATCTATATATCTGTATAGATTTATCTATATGTATCTATATATCTGTATAGATTTATCTATATGTATCTATATATCTGTATAGATTTATCTATATGTATCTATATAGATTTATGTATATATATCTATATAGATTTATGTATATATATCTATATAGATTTATGTATATATATCTATATAGATTTATGTATATATCTATATAGATTTATGTATATATATCTATATAGATTTATGTATATATATCTATATAGATTTATGTATATATATCTATATAGATTTATGTATATATATCTATATAGATTTATGTATATATAGATTTATGTATATATATAGATTTATGTATATATATCTATATAGATTTATGTATATATATCTATATAGATTTATGTATATATATCTATATAGATTTATCTATTTTATATATCTATATAGATTTATCTATATATATCTATATATCTACATAGGTTTATCTATATATCTATATAGGTTTATCTATACATCTATATAGGTTTCTCTCTATATATCTATATATCTATATAGGTTTCTCTCTATATATCTATATATGTATATAGGTTTCTCTCTATATATCTATGTATCTATATAGGTTTATCTATATATATCTATATAGCTTTATCTATATATATCTATATATCTATCGATAGATATATCCAGATAGATATCTATAGATATATCCATATATATCTAGATATCTATGTGGATATATCTATCGATAGATATATCTATCGATAGATATCTGTAGATATAGCTATAGATATCTATAGATATCTGTAGATGTAGCTGTAGATATCTGTAGATATCTGTAGATGTAGCTATAGATATCTGTAGATGTAGCTATAGATATCTGTAGATATCTGTAGATGTAGCTATAGATATCTGTAGATGTAGCTATAGATAGATATATAGATATATCTATATATGGATGTTATATCCATATATCTATATATGTTATAGATATTATATCTGTATATGGATGTTACCTTTTTGATAGTTATTTTAAATTTTCTCATGGTTAGATTCAGGCTTTCCATTTCTATTTGCGATACTATGTAGTAATGTTGTAACCATCTTAGATTGTCCCATCTGTAGATACACTATGTCCACCTGCACCTCACTAGAGATGTTAACTTTTATCACCTAGGTAACTTCTCCACTGAACAGAGACTGTTTTTCTTGTATTAAAGAAGCAATTTGTATACAGACACTATAAGATCACTCATATATAGTGTTTCTCATCAAAATTTTCCCCTAGAGTTGGCATTCTTTAATGATTTTTGTCTGAATTAATCAATGATTTCTACAAATCTGCCACTTCCTGCACATTTACCAGTTGGCAGTTAACATCCTTCTGTAAATAAGAACCTCCCTGTGTTAGTTTGTTTTTGCATTGCTATAAAGAAATACCTGAGGGTGGGCAATGTATAAAGAAAATAAGTTTAACTGGCTCATTTTTCCGTAGTCTGTACAGGAAGCATGGTGCTGGCATTTGCTTCTGGCGAGGGCTTCAGGGAGCATACAATCATGGTGGAAGGCGAAGGGGAGCCAGTGTATCACATGGTGAGAGAGGGAGCAAGAGAGAGAAGGAGGAGATCCCAGATTCTTTTAAACAACTACATCTCACGTGAACTAACTGAGCAAGAACTTACTCATCACCAAGCAATGGCTAAGCCATTCATGAGGGATCTAGCTCCATGATCCAGTACTTCCCATAGGTCCCATCTCCAGCAGTGGTGATCACATTTCACCATGAGATTCAGAGTGGACACACATCCAAACCATATTACTCCCCTCTCCTTTTCATTTTTCTTGTATTTACTTATTTGTCTTTCTATTTCTCAGCAGTACACACTCATGGATTCCTGTCTTTCCCAATGGTTTTTTTAAATTCACTATTGTCCTTAATCATTTTGGTACTCAAGTTGCCTGAGATTTACCCAGTGGGAGCCACTTCTTTTGACATGCCATTATTGTTTCAACCACTTTCTTATTTTCTGTTATAACAAGATGTTTCAGGTATACTTGTACTTTCCCTGCTCCAGCCCTGAAATCAGCCACTTCTCCAAAGAGCTCTGGTTTTTAGTGGGGAATGGTTTCTGAGACCAAGATTTTGTTTTTGAGATCAGTTCTTAATTATGTCACTGCATTTTTTTCCCTTCTCTTCAAAATGATGTATTTATTATGCCATTGTCAATGTTGTTAGTTACACTAAAAATATTGAAGACTCTTATACATAAAGTGATTGCTACTTGTCCTTAGAGAAGAGTTGAAAAAAATTTTTTTTTGAGATGAGGTCTCACTCTGTCTCCCAGGCTGGAGTGCAGTAGCACAGTCACAGCTCACTGCAGCCTTGACCTCCCCGGGCTCAGGTGATTCTCCCACCTCAGACTCCCAAGTAACTGGGACTACAGGCATGTGCCACCACGCCCGGCTAATTTAAAAGATTTTTTTTTTTTTTTTTTGTAGAAATGTGGCCTTTCATGTTGCCCAGGCTGGTCTCAAAACTCATGGCCTCAGCTGATCCTCCCACCTCAGCCTTCATGTCCTCCTGATGAAAACAACTTGAGAGAAACATTTATAACATCAAGACTTAAAGTTCTTTCATTGAAGTTGTTTTTAAACATTATTACATGTTATGTTCTTGTGAAGTGGCCTTTCAATACAGGATATCAGCAGCTTTATACAAGTGTTGAGAAAGCAAACACATTTTACTGCATTGTAGTTTTGTTCATGCTTTTGATGTTATATATGTCTACTTTCTCTGTATGGTGGAAATCTTATACAATGGTTTGCTGCTCCACATCTCTTCCCAAGTCCACTTTGAATGGTGTCATGTTAGTAGCTTGAGATCAGCCACGGTGAGAGCATTTGCACAAAAGAAATTGGCAAATGCTCTAAATCCAAGCTTATTTCTCCCTGGAGAGCTAGTGGTTAAACATTTACTAGGATACCACTGCCCTCAACCTAGTCACTTTCAATGATGTTGTGAAATTAAATAATTCAGACTTAAAGCAGTTGAAGCTTTAAACTATTTTGAGCCTTGAGAGGCATGTGGTGGCTGGCTATGTGGTCTGAGTCACATAGCATGCAGTTACAACTTCTGCTTTTTCCTATAAATGATTAGGAAAGGCCACAGAGATGACACCAAGGATAAGACCCCTTTAGATCATCACCCCTCCTCATGGAATGTTAAAGCATTCTTCCTTGGAACGTAGCAAGCTGTAACCAATCAAATCACTGTAATGTGTATAGTGATCTCGTGTAGAGAGGGTTGCAGCCCCATTCACTGTCTATATAAGTAAAAATCTTACTTTCCCACTTTGCAATGCTGACCCATTCTTTTGGAGCCTGTGTTTTCCAGGTGGCCATCCTTAAGCTTGTGCTTGTATAAACTCTATAATAGTTTCTGAATCTCATTATTTAAAGTTGAAAATATCAACTGATTTATTTCCATCACAATGTTACGAGATCTTTGGGGTATTGCTTTTGTGGCTGGAAACCTGTGTGGCCAGTGGTGCCTTTGCCTTCATTCTTGTCCCGCATCCAGGAAGAATGAGGAACGCACACAAGTGGAGGGTGGGCAAAACTAAGAGAAGCTTTATTGAGTGTTAGAACAGCTCAGAGGAGACCTGCAGTGGGTAGCTCCTCTCTGTTGGCAGGTCATCCTGATGAGTGTTCACCTCTCAGCAGAGAGGGTAGCTCCTCTCTGCAGCTGGTCATCCCATTGTTTGCAGCTCTCAGCAGAGAGGAGGTCCTGGAGTGAGTAGCTCCTCTCTGCAGCTGGTCATCCTGATGTCTGCTCTGCTCTGGCCGAGTCCAGGGTTTCAACGTCTTCAGAGGCAGGAAGTGTTTGGTGATTGGATCATGGGCAGGAAAAAGCACCATGAGTTCCCCCTCCAGTCTGCAGGACTGGCAGCCTGGCCCCCAGGCTCCAGGCCTTCTCCAGCCTGAAGGTGGGTCTTCACTGGAGACCCCTTTCCTTCTGCCCAGGAGCCTGTCTGCCTCCCCTGTTGTTCATGGTGCTTAGGCTCTTTGTGCCAAGGGGCACCTGCAGGACAGTGCTGAGCTGCCCTCAGCCCCTCCTCAGCTTCCCTCCTGTGCTCATTGATGCCCAAATTCTGGAAGGGGCCAAGGTGGCAGGGGTCTGGTGTGTCAGTGCTGCCACAAGCATGCGTCCACCTGGCTGTGCTGCAACAGTGCCCAGGCTTGGCCCCAACTTTGCTCCACTATCAGAGTGGGTGCTGGGAGCAGGGAGAGGCCAGGCAGGCGTGAACCAGTGGGGAACAATGGGGCCTTCCTGGGCCCCTAAGAATACAGAGATGCCTGGGTCTGCAGCCAGGCTGAGGCAGCTGCATCTGCACCTGGGGAGCTCCTGCCCCACCAACTTGGAAGCAGTAGGGCTCCTGTTTGTCCCCAGCTCCCATTGGCTCCATGGAGTGTGCAGCTCTGGTAAAGAAGAGGCTGCTGATAGCAGGGAGAAGCCAGGCAGCAGGAGCAGGCACTTTTGAGCTCCCCAGGCCCCCAAGAGCACAGAGACATTCAGGTCTTGAGCCATGCCAGGGCAGCTGCAGCAACAACCAGAAAGGATGGGGCTTCTGCCTGCTCCATGGAGAGGGAGGCCCAGCCGTGCCTCCCCACTGCAGTTGGTGTCTTGGCAGTGGCCACTCTAGATGGGCCGCTACTGCCATCATTTCCCCTTCTAAAGAGGTACATCTAACTGCTGTTAGGATAGGGATGATGGTTGCTCTTAACTGCTTCATGCTGACAGGGGGCATTGTTTTGGGGAAAGCAGCAGTCAGTTCTCTCTCAGAGGCTTATCTAAGAGTTCCCAGTAAAAAAGGAGCCATCATCTGAGGCTCCAGTTGCATGACCACTTGAAATTTAATGGCTTCTAGGTGAGAAGAAACACATTTTACAAGGAGGTTAAGTATGCGATGGGCTGTTTCACACTGGTGGGAGAAATTGAATCTTCTATGGGGACAGTTAAATTTTAAAAGAGAAGTAACTGTTTAGGGGAGTAGATAATCCCTTGGGAAGGGTCCTTGACAAAGATGCCTACAGTGAGGAACAGAACAAAGTTGAGAATAGTAAGCATAGGATATCCCTGGAGGGTTAATTATTAGCACTTATCTTTTTGCTAATCTTGGTGATTTTTTAGCTCGAAGTCCCCGATTTCCTCACTCCAGTACTTTAGGTGCTCTCCTGGACCAACAGAGGCAATTTCATTGGTTTCCCAGGCCTTAACTCGAGTATAAGGAATACAAGAATCTATTTCAGTGACCTTTACTGCTGTAGGAGTAGAAAAAAGTACAGCGTAAGGTCCCTCTCATTCCAGGCGTAGAGAGGGAGAAAGGAGAGGGAGAGCATTTACCAGTGGTGAGTCCCCTGGGTTGAATAGAGGGGGCTCCAGGTCACGGGGTTGGGCCTCTGATAGTTGTTTCAGTTCCTTTTGGAAACGGGCCAAAGAGGTTATATGTTTAATTAAATCAGAGGTTTCTTGGTCTAGCAAGAAATCATTGGTGAGAAAATGCCATTCATACATCATTTCGAAAGGATTTAAACCCAGCTTTGAAGGGGTGTTCGTAACAGATAGTTGGGCTATGGGGAGAAGAGTAACTCAGGGGAGATGAGTCTCTTGAGCCAGTTTCCTAGGTGCCTTTTGATAATATCATTTCTCTTCTCTACCTTTTCCAAGGATTGTGGTCTCCAAGCACAATGAAGATAGAATTTTATGCCTAGTGCCTTTGAGGACCCTTGCATGACAGCCACCTTGAACCAGGGGCTATTACCACTGTGGACATACTTAGGAAGTCCAAAGCAAGGCATCATTTTGTTAATGCGTACTTTTATCACCTCAGAGGCTTTCTCTGTTTGACATGGAAATGCTTCTACCAAGTTAGTGAAGGTATCTACCCATACTAGGAGGTACTGGATGCCCTTTGTCTTTGGCATATGGGTGAAATCCATCTGCCACTCTTCCGCTGGGTAGCCTCCTATTCTTTGGGTTGCAGGGTGGAGAAGCCATTGGTTGAGGGGATTATTTTTAAGGCAAGTCTCACAAGCATTAATGACCTGTTTGTTTTTAGCAAATTTTTTTTATTGTACTTCAAGTTTTAGGGTACATGTGCACAATGTGCAGGTTAGTTACATATGTATACATGTGCCATGCTGGTGTGCTGCACCCAGTAACTCGTCATTTAACATTAGGTATATCTCCAAATGCTATCCCTCCTCCCTCCCCCCACCCCACAACAGGCCCCGGTGTATGATGTTCCCCTTCCTGTGTCCATGTGTTCTCATCGTTCAATTCCCACCTATGAGTGAGAACATGCGGTGTTTGGTTTTTTTGTCCTTGCAATAGTTTGCTGAGAATGATGGTTTCCAGCTTCATCCATGTCCCTACAAAGGACATGAACTCATCCTTTTTTATGGCTGCATAGTATTCCATGGTGTATATGTGCCACATTTTCTTAATCCAGTCTATCATTGTTTTTAGCAAATTTTTACCAGAGAACAACCTTTGGGCCATTTGATAGGTTTTATCCTTACCTAGGTGGAAGGCTTGGTGGAAGATTATAAGGACTTTCCATTGGCTGGAACCTTGTAGATGAATCTTGCTGTCCCCTGATTGCAGCCTTCCTGAGCTCTGAAGGGTATATCCCTGAGAAGCAGCCCATTCTATCTCCACAGAAGAATACTGAGGTTTTATTTCCTTTGTGGTGCCTTCCCAGATCATAGGGGCCTCTAGTGGATCAGAAATCTGAGGCCCTCTCACTGCTGACTTAGCTGTTTGGTCTGCCAACTTATTTCACTTGGCTACTTCATCTCTTCCTTTCTGATGGCCTTTACTATGTATTACTGCCACTTCCCATGGAAGAAAGACTGAAGATAATAGTCTGTTGATTTCCTGCTGGTATTTAATGGGAGACCCACTGGCTATGAGGAAGTCCCCCTCTTTCCAGATAGTGGCGTAGTCATGGAGGACTGGGAAAGCATACTTAGAAACAGTATAAATGTTAACCGTTTTCCCCTTGCTTAATTCAAGTGTCCTCGTGAGGCAATTAGCTCAGCTAGTTGAGCACTTGTGCCCGAGGAGAGAGGCATACTCTCAATAACATCATTCAGAATGACTACTGCATACCCCACCTTATGGATTCTTTGCTCCACAAAGAAACTTCTGTCCATAAAGAGAATGCATCCTGAGTTCTCTAAGGGGGTTTCTTTGAGGTCCTCTCTGGTCTCGTAAGTTGGCACTACTATCTGTTCGTAGTCATGTTCAAGCTCCCCAGCTCCCTCTGGGAGGAAAGTGGCTGGGTTTAGGGAGGGACAGATTCTTAACTGGACTGCTCACCTGTGCTGTGCACCTTGACTTCTGCTGTCTTCTGCCTCTGGAGCCCTCAGATCTAGTTTTCCTTTCTAGGGCCTCAAACTGAAGCTTGGGGGAAAAAAGGTGCCTCAGAAGGATGTATGGACTCATTGAATTAGTCCCAGGTGGCTCTTGCCAAATTGTAGCCAGCAGCTGGTGGGGCAGCCCCTCTGTTGCTTCCCTATCATAAGCTGTGGGACCATGTCCTCCTCTACCAAGGGAGAGAAAGGGAGTCCTGGGAATTGGGGTCCTGGCTCAACTAGGTGCCTCCCAAAAGGACAAGTTAAGTGCAGGGGAGGGGAAGGTGCCTGGGGAAAAAAAGCCTCTTGCCCTATGCATGTGAGCTCCTTCAACAGGGGAAAGAAAACTCTCAATTGTTATATCCTCCTTACTTCTAAGAAACGACAGACACCACATTGTTCTCATGTACGCTCCTGATGACTAAGCCAAATGCTCATTCTACCCAGTAATATTTCTGTCATTTTCAACAATATCCTTAACATTTAATATTGTATATAAAGAAGAATTAGGAACCATGATAGCTGCAAAAGAAAGAAAAAATGATAGGTAAGATGGAGCTCCTAGTGCTGACATCCTAATCGGTGGCTGGGGACAGGAGTTAGTCCAGGGGCCTTTGGATAACACTGAGGTGTAGCCTCAGTCAAATACCCTCAGTTGCCCTACCCAGGACCTCTTTCTGGTCCCATGCTACGGCCAGACCCTTGTGAAGAAAAACTGGGTTGGAACAAAGCCAATGTTTCCAGCCCGTGAGGGGGATGGGGGATTGACAGTGTCCTCCCCAGCAAGCCTGTATTCTGTGTCTTGTGCAGCACCCACGCTAGTCACTTTTAACTGGCTAACAGAGGCCTGGTATTTTTCTTTCATTTTGACTGCTGTGTAGTTTAGAGACTCCAAAAAAAAAAAAAAGGACAGAAAGATCTGCTTTTACTCAACCTTCTGCAGATCCCAGACGAGCCCCCCACAAATCGTACAGGATTTTTGGGGTGTTGCTTTTCTGGCCAGAAACCTCTGTGCCTGATGGCGCTTTTGCCTGAATTCTTGTCCTGCATCCAGGAAGAATGAAGTATGCAGACAAGCAGAGGGTGAGCAAGACAAAGAGGAGATTTATTGAGTGTTAGAACAGCTCAGGGGAGACCTGCAGTGGGTAGCTCCTCTCTGTAGTCAGGTCATCCCATTGAGTGTTCAGCTGTTAGCAGAGAGGAGGCCCTGGAGTGGGTGGTTCCTCTCTGCAGGCAGGTCATCCCAAAGAGTGTTCAGCTCTCAGCAGAGAGGGTAACTCCTCTCTGCAGCTGGTCACCCAACATTTGCTGCTCTCAGCAGAGAGGAGGCCCTGGAGAGGGTAGCTCCTTAGCCTCCTCCTAGCTTCCCTCCTGTGCTTATTGGTGCTCAAAGTCAAGAGGGGGCCCAGGTAGCAGGGGGATGGCATGGCAGCACTGCCCCAAGCATGTGCCCACCTGGCCAGGCTGTGACAGTGCCCAGGCTTGGCCCCAACCTTGCTCCATGATTGGAGCAGGTCCTGGGAGTGGGGAGAGGACAGGCAGTGGGGGCAGGCACTTCCCAGCCTGCAATGGGGAGGAAGCCTTCCCAGGACCCCAAGAGCACAGAGATGCTTGGGTCTATAGCTGGGCTTGGGCAGCTGCAGCTGCACCTGGGAGCTCCTGCCCCACCAACTCAGAAGGGGCAGGGCTCCTGCTTGTCCCTGGTTCCTGCCAGCTTCATGGAGTGTGCAGCACTGGCCATGCCTCTGAGATTGGAAAGGACACTGAAAGCGGAGAGAAGCCACGCAGTAGGAGCAGGCACTTCTGAGTCTGCAGGGGGCAGGGGGGCCTCCCTGGTCCCCCAAGAGCACAGAGACGCCTGGAGCCACACCAGGGGAGCTGCAGTGGCACCTGGGGAGGGTGGAGCTCCTGCCTGCTCTCAGTGGGAGGTCCAGCTGCGCCTCCTCACTGTAGCCAGTGTCTTGGCAGTGGTCACTCTAGATGGGCCACTGCTGCCATTAGTAACTCTTATCACAATTGGTAGTATTCTGTTTAGTTATTTGGTGGCTTAAGATTCATGAGGGTAGAGCCCTTCTCTATCTTCTGCGTTCTCTATTCCCTGCACCTGCCACAGCAGTTGGTGTGGGTAGGTGCTCAAAAAATCATTTGTTAATGAAAGAACTAAGAGTTGCTTGTAATAAATGCTAAAGCCATTCAGAGGAGGAGGAACTGATCACTGATGCTACTGTAGTCAGCAAAGTCTTCCCATAGCAGGGGGCTTTCCATGGAAAAGCCAGTTCTTAAGAAAGACAAGGGATTTCTTTGTAGTTCAAAGTCACCTCTGAGTTTTCTAGGAAAAGTAGTTCTACTGGGAAACTCGGCCAGGCTATTTAAAAATGTAGTTTGTTTTTCAAGGTAAATTTGATTTTTTTTTTGAGATGGAGTCTTGCTCTGTCACCAGGCTAGGGTGCAGTGGCACGATCTCGGCTCACTGCAACCTATGTCTCCTGGGTTCAAGCGATTCTCCTGCCTCAGCCTCCCAAGTAGCTGGGACTACAGGCAAGTGCCACCACGCCCAGCTAATTTTTGTATTTTTAGTAGAGATGGGGTTTCACCATGTTGGCCAGGCTGGTCTCAAACTCTTGACCTGATGATCCACCCACCTCAGGCTCCAAAGTGCTGAGATTACAAGCATGAGCCACTGCGCCCAGCCAATTTTTTTCTTAGCTTTCTCTTAAGAGGGATTCAACGTGTTAAGCAGTAGGGTTTCCATTTTCCATTAAAGCACAAATGCCAATAATTATAAATAGAAATGTGTTGTAAAAATGGCCTTTCTTTGCACTTAGTGAGCTGCCACTTTCTTTTACAGTACATGAAAGCACTTTGCCCATTTCATTTCAAATGTTAAGGAACAGCAAGGGGGTTAGTAAGTGAATCATTAACTTGCTTATGGGGTCTGGAGCCATGAATTTGGCAACTAATAGCTGCTTTTGTCAGTGCTTATAAAAGAAAATGTGTTAGTGGCTATTGTGACACATCATCAGAGTGGAGGCATTTTCTTAAAACTATTAAGTTATTCTCAGCCGTATTTGTTTTAGTCTTTCAACATGAGCAGAGTTTATCCCACATCCCGCAACATGGGAAAACACCAGATTTAAAATGCAGATAGTTCTGAGCTCAAATCCCAATTTCAGTTTACCATGTGAGCGTAGAAAACTTACAAAGCCCTCAGAACTTGAGTGTTCTTGCTTACTGAAGGTGAGGAAACACCTACTGGTCGGAATTGCAGGGTTTTAATGGAACATATCTTGCAAGCTTCCACTACAGTGCCCATAGATTCACTTTCATCTTTCTCTCTTCTGCTTAAAGTTATCAGCTCTTGCTGCATTATGGTTTTTTTTGTTGTTATGTAATTGTTTGGTGACCATCTAATGTGGGTTATAACAGCATCTTGTTCCTGTGCTCCCCAAGGCCCTTGAAGAAAACAGGAGTTGTGAGTTTTCTCCTGCTGAATGGCAGCCTGCCCGCAGATCTACTTGCTGTGAGTTGCCTTCTTCATTCAACAGTTTTCATTGAGTGCCTGTTCTGGGCCAGGCTTTGAAGCATGCCTTAGGAGTCATTGGTGAACAAGATGGCCAGGTCACTACTCAGAGGGCTCCTGGTCGCTGGACTGGGCATCTTCTGTTTTTCTGCCAGACCCATCTTCCCCACTCTGCACCTGCCCACTGTCCTGGAGGCCTGACCACATCACAGGCTCCCTTCAACTCTGGCTTCAACAAAAACCACATATTTATGTCTTTCTTATAACCTCTCTTGCCCTAAACATGTCCTACTCTTTTTGTCCATTTTATATACAGAATTGTTTCTTTATATATTCGTTAAAACTTTAACTCTTAGTAACCCTAATTCCTGGTTAAAAAAAAAACCCTGGAAGTAAACAATTTTACTTGTAACAAAGTAAAGAAATTTACTTGTTATACTAGGTGCAGAGCCCAGGATAGAGGACAGAGCTGTGAAGACAATGCCTGGAGGACCTGACCCCTCCAAGCCTGTTGCCCTCTGGCTTCTGATAGGGCTCGGCCCATGGGGCATGAGTGGAGATGTGAGGGAGAGGGATGAGTGAGTAAGGTTGGACAATGAATTCCTCTGGCTGCCTCCTTGTGTCCCCATAGCTCTTTTGAAATTTGCCTTCTCTAACATCTCTCTCCTTTCAGCTTTAACTGTTTGTTCTTTATCTCCTTGGGCTCAGTGCCTTGAGTTACTGCCATGTCTCTTGTGGTTCCCCTATGATGCAGGATATTTTGCTCCTTAGCTAAGTCCAGGTTATAGTCTCACGACCGGAAAGAATTAGGCACGTGGTCATCAAAGAGTGAGTGGAGTACAATTCATTAAGGAAAGCTCTCAGTTAAGAGAGGGGCCCTGGAAAGCAGGTTGCTGATTACCCCCTCACAGTTGAATACAAGGGCATATGCATATATCTAATGCTGACGGGGCTGGGTTCCCTATTTGTATAAGGCGCAGATTCTTGGTGATGTCACCCCATTCCCCCAGTGCACCTGCAGACCCTTAGTCTGTTGTGAGCATGTTCAGGCGAGCCCCCTGTGCAAGTTCCCTTATCTGCACAAAACATCTGCACAAGTGTAAGCACTTGCTGGGTGGGTTAGAGGTTCCCCAGGGACCCAAGTTGGCTAACTCCTTTCACCTACACCTACACTTTGTAAATAATATCTTTGTGAATAAATTCTATTTGAATTAGCTTAATTTAAAAGGCCCTTCTGTTTCCTGCTGGGGTCCTGACTCAGTTGCAAATAATAAACCCCCATCCTAGCCCTAATGTGCAGTGAGATGCATGTTACCAAAGCAGGATTCTCTATATTCAATGCATTCATAGGGTTTCTTTTCTGTGTGAAATCCATGGTGGTGTGTAATGAGGGATGAATTACAGCTAAAGATTTCTCCATGTTGATTACACCCGTGAGGACTTATTGCAGTATGAATTTTCTGATGTACAATGACGTGTGTTATTTTTGAAAACAAAAGTTTCCCACATGATGACATTCATAAGGTTTCTCCCATGTTTGAATTTTATGGCACTTAATGAGATGTGATTTCTGGCTATAGGCTTCCCCACTTTGCCTGCATTTGTAGGGCCTCTTGCTCTGGTAAAGTTTTCTTTCTTGCATAAGAGTTATGCTCTCATTAATCTCTTTTCTCAGATTCATTACTTCCATAATGCTTGTCTCCACTGTGAATTCTAAAACATGTGATGAAGTTTGACTTTTGACCTAAGGCTTTCACATAATCATTACATTCAGAGTTTTGGATAATTACTTTCAACACTGGATAAGCCATAGCAGAATGATTTCTTTGTCTCTATCACACTGAGATGACTGTCTCCTTGTACAATTTCCCTTATGATTATCCAAGCCTAAATTATGTTTCAAATTTGTTCTAAGTGAATCCCATTGATGGGGTTTTAGTTCTTGGAGAAATAAGTTTGGAGGTTAAACCAAAAGGTTTCCAACATTATTACATTCGTTGTGGATCACCTTAGTTTGGATTTTGCTGCAGGTGGATGTCATGTGTCTGGAAAGGGTCACCTGTTTCCTATCATCAATCTGTCAAACCATCATCTTTGTATATTTTTTCTAAAGTAGAATATAATAAACTGTTCATGGTGAATCTTTCCACTTATTTAAGAATAAACCCATCTTGAAAAATGCTTTGCCCCAGGAGTTTGAGACCAGCCTGGGCAACATGGAGAAACCCCATCTACTAAAAGGGAGAGGGACGAGTGAGTGAGGTTAGCTGGGCATGGTGGCACACGCCTGTAGTCTCAGCTACTCTAGAGGCTGAGGCAGGAGAAACACTTGAGCCCAGGAGATGAAGGTTGCAGTGGGGTGAGATCATGCCACTGCACTCCAGCCTGCATGACAGAGCAAGACCCTGTCTTGAATGAATGAATGGATGAAGGAATGCATGAATAAATAAATAAATGGAGTTGCCTCCTTCGTTCCAGACTTCTCTTTAATATAAGTCATCTCAAATGCAAATATACTCAATCCCTCTCGGTTCTGAGAAGGAACATACTGGACAGAGCTGTTTTGGAATTTCTCCCTTTCATCCATGGTTTTCCTCCTTGTTCCAACTTCAAGTTCACATGTAGTTTGCTGTTTTGATAATCCATGGAGACTTGCCTTCTTAAGTCAACCGCATGATATCTCTAGAGGGCATTTGAACTATTCCCCTTCCCTCAGGTGGAATCCATAGCTACATTTGTGATTGTAGCTGATGCCTGGTACTTGATTCTTTCAAAGTCTTCTTGGGAAAGAGCAGAATCCAGTAAAAGTGGAGCTGGCTCATCCAACATTGGTTAAACACTCTGTCATTACACAGGTTCTTAGGCTCTTGGGAGGTGGAGACACCATGGAAATCTTCTTTACCTTGGGTGCAATGATCAAGGACAGATTCAGGCCTCCAAACCTTCTGAGACTCTTGGTTCTGCCCTGAAGTCTTGCTGCAAGTCTCCAGGCTGAAGGTTCTCCTTTCTAGAAAGAGTGCTGCTCCTGACCTCGGAAGAGTCATTTGTGTGTGTGTGTGTGTGTTGAGCTGGGACTACCACCTGCTTCAGACCCTGAGCCCAGAGGAGTTTTCCTGCAGCCACTCTACAGCCCACCCTGGGCACATGCCATGCAGTGGCACATGCCGTTTGCCTGCAGCAAAGCCAGACTTCAAGTGGCCGTTGGGTGTACTCGCTATCTTCTAACTTATTGCAGGTGAATATGTTGCTAAACTTTCTGCCACTACAAATCATGGCTTGTTCTTTCTTCAGCTTCCAGTATCGATTTCTTCACTCTTCTTCCAGACTCTATTTACTGCCTCCTTGAAGCCTTTCTGGACTTAAAATAGTGCCTGACACCTATGTGGGTATTAGATATTTTTTCAACCCAGCAGGCAAGACACAGAATTGGTCTAAGAATGGGGATTCAGATGACCTTGCCTTTATATCCCTGGAGCACCCCACAATTCAGCTTAAAAGCTGAAGATGAGTCCGGCACAGTGGCTCACACCTGTAATCCCAGCATTTTGAGAGACCAAGGCAGGCAGATGGCTTGAGCCCAAGAGTTTGAGATAAGCCCAGGCAACATGGTGAAACCCTGTCTCCACAAAAACACAAAATATTAGCTGGGTGTGGTGGTACGTGCCTGCGGTCTCAGCTACTCGGGTACTGGGAGGCTGAGGCAGGAGGATCACCTCGCCTCGGTGAGTCGAGTTTGAGCCAGTGCACTCCAGCCTGGGTGACAGAATGAGACTCTGTCTGAAAAAAAAAAAAAAAAAAAAAAAAAAAAGCAGATGAAGTTCAACCTAGGGAAACAGAGACCTCATGAAGGTCAACCACCCGCCTAAAGTCACATATTTGGTTACTGCCAGACCTAGGGCTAGAACCCAGCTTCCTGATTCTAGTTCTGTATCTTATCTCCTGTCATTTCTGCATCTCCCATCTTAACCCGCTTTGTTTATGGATAAATCCCAGAAGAGAAATCCTTGCCTCTAAGGGATGCAGAATTTTGGTAAGGGCTTTCAAAATAGAGCCCTTTCTCAAAGAATGAGAATTGCTAAAGAAAAGCTCAGAGATCACCCCAAAATGACACCTGTACAAGACTGCAGGAGGATCCTGAGAGTGGTGTTAACTCTTTCTGGTCAGCACGTCTTCCTTCAGGCAGGTTATCTTTGGGCACTTGAGAAGGAGGCGAAGACGCAGACTGCAAATGACGTGGGTCAATGTGTCTCAGATTTAGCATCTCTGCTCATAAAGGGTTCACTTGATGCAGTGGTTTGCTCTTCTAGTGTGGCTTTTTTCCCTGCACAGAGTGTTCAGGACCAAGAAGAGCAAGGCACTGGAAACTAAGAACAGCTTTTGAAATCGATCAAAACACCGAAGACAGAACTTCATTGGCTTAAATGGCTAATGGCTCGTGTGACAATTTCACTGGGGTAGGACAGTCTGACCTTTCATTTTGAAGAATGTGTAATTACTAAGCTTTTTCCCCCAAGCAGCAACAGTCACTTCCTGTCCCATTTAATTTAATTTTTTTTGTGTGTGTACCGAACATCTAATCGCTATCCAGTCATAGGAAAGTAAAGCTAGACAGATTTTGGTCTTTTTCTTTTCAGAAGTTTGAATTTATCCATTAAAAGGGTGTGTCCATCTTATCAAAATTGCTCTTGGATATTAGGCACACATTTTAGACTTTGAGGTTTGGTTATTTTCTAAACACATGCTAGTGTTTCCTTTATTAAATGGTGTACACTTTCAAATCCTTTGAAAATGTGTTTTTATGATGAAATGATGGCGATCTTCCCCCCACCCTCACCCCCATTTTACTCCTCGCATCAGAAACAGCTCAGGCTTTGGGCTCAGACCTGGGCGTGCCTCTTGGCTTTGCTGCTTTCTAGCTGTGTGACCCTGGCTAAGTTACCTGCCTCTCTGAGCCTCAGTATCAGCACCAACAAAATGAAGAAGATTTCTGTGTGTGTGGTTTTTTTTTTTGAAGATTAAATAAAATGAAAAGAGAAAATGGCATGATGGACTCGAACGGTGCAAATTGAGATCTCTGCAGATAGTTTTCAGCGCACAGTGTCTGGCACCTGAGGCATGAAGAGGATTTAAATAAACATGAAATTAAATAAGTTTGTCAATTTAAAGCAACTGGAATGGTGCTTGGTGTACGGTGGCCTCCCAGCACATATTAATTCTCTTTATGGTTATAGTCATTACTGTTTGCCACAATCCCTCACCTCAGAGAATAGAAAGATATTAGAATCACATCTTCCTAACTGTTGTGGGAGCTTTAATACAGTGCTAAATCGAGTGCTGCAGGAGTGACATGACTGTCTGAGCCTTGGTTTTCTCCTTTGTAGAATGGGAATGTTATACTCTGTTTGCAAGGTTGTTGTTGAGATTAGAAGTAACACCTGAGAAGATTCCAGCACAATGTGGTTGCTTGAGAAATTGTAAATATTAACACTAACAGGTGTTTCTTGAGCAAAGATAGAGCATGCATTAAACTATGTATCTATTTTCTCGGCAAGAGAGGCCACCAGAGAGATGCTCTAGGTTTCTCTTAGGTACACCAGTGTGAGGTAAGAGGCTCCCTTGATCAGGGGAAAGGGGAGAACAGAGTTTTTGTAGGACTTCACAACCTTAGCAAGGCTGATCTTACTTCTGGAATACAGAGCATGTGGGTGAGAGGACCAGTTAACATAACAGGCCATGGGGGCTTCTGGAAGGGAAAAGGTTGACAACACAGTTGCTTCTCCCTGGGATTTTTTTTTTAATGCAATGATTTTATGTATTTTTATAGCCAATTACAGTAAAATCTAGCAAATTCCATGATTATTTTGAGAGATCTTTATCATGAACAGGAATAGATGGATAATGATGCACATAGATCTCCACAGAATGATCAGGAAGATCTAATTATATTCAAAAATGCCTTTAACTATTCTAATAGGAAAATGAGATACAAGTGTAGAAGGTTGTCAAGACTATGACATGGAAATGAGTGATGCTGTTAATAATCACAGAGCTGGCCATCTCTCACCTGGACTATTACCACCGCCTCCTAACTGCTCCATTCTATCACCTAAGTCATCTTTCCTACACATCCAACACATTGTGTTACTTCACTGCCCAGATTTCATTTTTGGCATTCCATCACTTACAGAAATCCATCCAGAGCCCTCGGGATGCCATATAAAGTTCTTCTTTCCCCATGACGAGGCATGTCTGACTCTCCAGCCATGTCACTCTCTGTTCCTAAACAAGCCCTCTGTGCTCCAGTCCTACGAGCTGCTTTCAGTTCCCAGAATGCCTGTTGCTCCATGTGGAAACTGCCCAGGCTGCTCCTGGGAAGGACGGAAGCAGTACAGTGAGGGAAATCAAACAGCCAGCCAGGCATCCCTGAGATTTCAAGTTAGAAAGACTTACTGGGTTTGGGGGGACGGGGTTCCCGCTAAGACCTAGGGACAGGGAAAAGAAAAGTACCAAGAAATAGAAAATAGCTGTGGGGATGGAGTTGCTCGATTTAGCAAATAAAAACACATCTCACTTGAATTACCTCATTCATTTCCTTTGTAGGGTTGCCAAATAAATGGCAGTTTTTAAAGTGTATGTCCTGTGCAATATTTGGAATACGCTTAAACTATATAAGATGATGATTTGTTTATTTGCAATCAGATTTAACTGGGCATCCTTTATTTTATCTGGCGACCTACATAGGGGATGAATGAAATAGCCCGTGGAGGTTGGGTCTGCCATGGAACTGGGAGTAGGTCTGAGTGCTGGTTTTAGGTTGCCAAAAAGGAGGCCAAGCTGTGGGAGGTTTATGCCCTGGAAGTCTGCAGCTTCAGTAAGTTTAAGGGGCCTGGCCATGATGTACTGGGAGTCTGGGCCACTTTGGGGTGGGGTGTAATGTTGGGGTAGTGGGATTCTCGCTGTGGTTGTCCCTAGTCTCAAAAAGCTGGGACCTAATTTGTTCTTGGAGATAGATATGAGCAGAACTGAACCTTCCCTCTGTAATCTTAACAAAAGTGGAAGGTATCGGAGTGTCTTCAGGGGCATGGTCTGGACATCCTGCTAATACGGGTAGGTGGGTCACTGACCATTGCAATGGAGCAACAGGCACATTATCTCATTTCATTTGTCTTTTAACTGCTAGAACAACTTTGTTGAGGTATAATTTATTCCTATAAAATTCCCTCATTTTAAGTGAAGGGTCAATTATTTTTTAGTTTCTTAGTGAGTCCTGTAGCCATCACTACATTCCAGTATCAGGACATTTCTGCCACCCCAATAAGACCCCCATACCTGTTCATAGTTAATCCCTGCTGCCTCCCCCAAGCCCAGAAAACCACGAATCTACCCTCTGTCTCCATGAATTTGCCTTTTCTAGATATTTCATAAAGTCATACAAAATCTAGTCTTGTGTGTGTCTGCCTTCTTTCACTTAGCAGAATGTTTCTGAGGGTCAATCGTGTTGTAAATGCAATCCAGTCCTTTTTATAGCTGACTATTATTTCATCATACAGATGTGCCACATTTTGTTTATCCCTTCACCAGTGAATGGACGTTTTGGCTTTTCAATTTTGGTTATTACAAAAATTCCTACTAGAAAATTTGCACAGGGTGGACGTGGTGGCTCATGCCTGTAATCTCAGCACTTTGGGAGGCTGAGGTGGGAGGATCACCTGAGGTCAGGAGTTCAAGACCGGCCTGGTCAACATGGTGAAACCCTGTCTCTACTAAAAATACAAACATTAGCTAGGCGTGGTGGCAGGCACCTGTAATCCCAGCTACTGGGGAGGCTGAGGAAGGAGAATCGCTTGAACCTGGGAGGCAGAGGTTGCAGTGAGCAGAGATTGTGCCGCAACACTCCAGCCTGGGTGACAGAGCAAGACTCCATCTCATAAATAAATAAATACATAAATAAAATAAAATAAATTTGCTTGCATACCTTTTTTATTTTTAATAATCTAACTGTATGTGTGTAAGTTGGAGTGGGAAAGGATAGTTTTAAAATTGAATAAAAATTGAGGAAATGGTTCACCTGTTTTTATTTTATACTCCTGCTTTAAGAGTTAAGATACAATTTACTTATTTTTTTTGATTCATAACACACATCCATTTGATTAGTTCTGAGCAGTACTGTGGCCCAGAAAAATCAAAGCTTCAGTCTAGTGGTATTATGAAACCAAGGACAAGACGAGGCATGAGAAACAAACCATTTAGCAGGCTAGCTTATGCAAGCCCTTAAATGTTAGAAAGAAAGAACTGAAAAACTCAACTTGTAGGAATACTCACTACAAAACTAAGCATTTTTCCTATCATGTATATCTGTGGATTTGGATATAAGTTTTAGAAGATGGTTTAGTATTTTAAAATGGATGTACTAAATTGCCATCTAGAAATTACCAGCTGTATTTTAGAGCAAGCAAAAGAACCCCTGCAGCCTGCAAGAATGAGTGGATTGTGCAAAGAAAGCCTATAAAAGAGCCAAAGTGTTGGGGACTAACAGAGTAGAATAAGAGAGAAAGGTGGACAGTGACTGGTTTTGCTTGCCTTTTTTTTGGAATCAGCACCCAATTCTCTTGTGGGAGACTTCCTCTCCGTCTCTGCTGGTCCATGTGGCTTGGGTGTGGCTGTTGCCCCATCACTAGCTCCAGGGTGTGGTTTTATCTTGGCCTGAGTGAAGATGCTGCTCGTGGTGATTAGTTCAGGCTGGCATAGATTTGAGTTAGCTGGCCTGAAGTTTGTATTCGTTTTTTGAGGCAGAGGGACATGAATAGGGAGACTATTGGGAAAGAGTAGCTGGTTTTCTCCTGGAGTTGGTGAGCTGATAGTAAAAGTAACCTGTTAGAGAAAAAAACAAAAGAAGGGAATGTTCTTGGGACACACAGAAGGAAAGATTTCCGATGATATCATTTCACTACGCAGATGAAGCAGGGCCTGAATAAGTATCCCCTCTCCATGCTGTTTTTTGCTCAAGTTTGAGATGAGATTTTGTTGCCTGCAGTGGAAAGAGCCTTGACTCTGCTTGTGTCTGGAATAAATAGGGGTCATCAGAATTTGATTTAAAAGTGGCATGCTGTCTCTTGTTCCTCAGTGTTGTGGAGGAAGTTCTTACCTGCACAAGTGTTTCTGGCTGAGCTTTAGAACACAGAAAACAATCTGTTTGCCTCTGCACTAAATCTTTGCTTCCTTTTTAGTTCCCCCTTAGCAAAGTGATCTGAGATTGGGAGAAAAGTCTTGGTTAACATAAAACGTGCTTGATAAGGAGTTCTTATCATCTTCAGAGTCTGTTTACCTGCCCAGTGTCAGCTGGTAAGTACAAGAACCATTCCTGTTACAGATGGGGAAACTGAGGCACAGAAATGCTAAACGATTGGGTTAAAGAGACACAGTGAAGAGATCAATCCATCTGTAGCTTTCTGTTCCCTTTCCCTGCAAACTTTCACTTTAAGAAGAATCCAAACTATGCTTGTCCAAGGGGTGTCGCTTTACCTGCCCTGTAGACTTTGTGAGGACCGGGCTATCTTATTCTCGGCTGCATTCCAAGCACCTGGTCCATGTTAAACACTCAACCTGTGTTGACAGAAAAGAAGGAAATTCAGGCTTGGAGAAGAAGAAAGAGTAGGCTCAGAAAGAAGGTACAGGTTTTATGTGCCAAGTAGGATAGTTGAAGCCTAACATCATCTGAAAACAAGCAATTGCAAAGTTGGTGATTGCTAAATTGGCTTGAAATTATATATAAGATATACTTGCTAAATTGGCTTGAAATTATAGATGAGATATGCGTTCAAAAAGATAAGGTCTTATCCTGGCAGGAAAATGCATAGGAATGATGAATGTTTGCCAAGGAGACTGTTGGGACTTTTTATCCGTGATGTTCACCACAGTCCTGAAGCAAATTATTCATCCCATTTTACAGAAGGGAAACCCTTGGCTTAGTGGGGTGAGCATTGCCCAGCACTGATGGCATTCCCATCCTGAGCCGACTGATGCCAGTTCTCCGAAGTGTCACATTGGAGCTTTTTAAAAATAATCCCTCCATCTGGTGTGCACTTCCCTCCAATTAAATCAAATGCTCTGAGGGATAGGACCTAGAATCACTATGTTTAAAGTTTTGCAGTTGCCTCCAAATTTGAGAACCACTTCTCTCAGTGGTGCTAGTTCACCTAGAGCCAGTGCAAGTAGTGCTGGGCGCCTTGACTCACCCTCACTTGCCATCCTCTCTTCCCATTGCTCCATGCCTTTCTTGCTTGATAGCTCATTTTTCCTCTTTTTGGAGTTTTCTGGTGGGATTTTGTATTGATGGAATCATCTCAGAGATGGGTGACTCAGAGGGTGGACTGTTTGCTGGTGATTCATGCCCATGTCTGGAATGTTGATAACTCACCTATCTGCATCATTTCATCCCAAACAAATGGGTGCTGTGGAGAGGCTGCCAGAGGAGGATGAGAGAGGGGAGACGGAAACTAATCCTGTATGAAGAAAAATGCAAGAAAATTTCATTTAATTATGATCTCTTTTGATTTCCCTAGGCATTTCCTTTGGTCTTACAGGATTGAGTGGATACGGTTGCTTTGGGAAGGAGCTGTGTTAGCTATGATTTCCAGCTGTGGGTTGGCTTGTCCTCTGTTCTGCTGTCTTGGTTGTGGGAGGCCTCGCCATGCCAAGCATGGGCCTCAGAACAGCAGCATTGGCATCAATGGTGTCTGCTAGAAATGTGGAGTGCCAGGCCCCACCCCAGGCCTGTGGATCAGAATCTGCATTTCAACAAGATTCCCAGGGGATTTGGGTACACATTTCTATTTGAAAAGCCCTGTGGTTTGTGCCCAGAATGTACTATGGTGACCCACTAATATTCTTTCATGGTAATATTAGCAATAGTACAAATACTAATGGATGCTAGGCAGTGTGCTGAGAAGCCTTATATGTATTACTTTGTTGAAATATCTAAACAATCCTTGACCTAGATGTTATGATTATTCCCATTTTTCTTGGGGAGGAAACAGAAATAAATGGCCCCATGCTGGTGAGAGGCAATGAGAAGCATGATCCCAGATGGAATTCAGGTCTTGCCCTCATCTAAAATTCATGGTAGCTCTATGTTACACTGTTCATCTTTTTGAATGAATTAACTAGGGAGTCCCAAGTTGCCCTCATTTATTCATTTGCTCAGTCCTCAGACATTTTCTGAGTCTGCTTTGGACCAGGTTGCGGGCCAGGCACTGGGGTGAACTTGGAGATGAATGAGGTAAAGCCTGCCTCCTCATGGCCCTCTCAGTGTGGAGGGGTGGTGGGAAGATGGGAGGGAAGAGGAGAAAGATATAAATATTGAATGTCTTCTGCTTCCTCTGGGCACCCATAGTTTATGCTGTCGGCCAACCTTGAAGTTGAACTCAGCATGTTGTTTCTCTCCCAACGACTACATCCATTGCTTTAAGCACTGGTGACTCATGCATTTTACTGAAGGTTTTGTGACGAGAGAAGAGGTTCCTTTGCACCCCATGCAGCAAACAGCTTAGGAGACATCACCATGAGACTTCTAAGCCCTCCTCATTTCTTCTCTCCACTTTCCTCCATGCAGCTCTGAATCACCATCCTTTGCCTTCTTCTGCAAAGACTCTGAGCTCTTCACTGGCTGGTCCACAAACCCTGGAGATGCAGCCACTCACTGAGCATCTTAGAGCCTCCACCCATTGGAAACCTGTCTTTCCCTAGCCATTTGGCTGCCAAGAAAACCCAGCTTGTCTTAATGTTATTATATTTTATAGTTACCATAGCACATGAGAAATGGTTTGGTGCAGTGCCATCCAGAAATCATGGGGGTCACCAAAAAGGAAACCAGTGGCTAAACACAGTAGAAATGCTGGTTCTGTTGTTCAATTTTCTACCTTCATTTTCATACTTTAATTAGAAATGTTTCAGTGAAGTTCTGCCTGTTTATTCTTAGTATAAATAGGATGGCAGATCAGACGTTACTTTAAATCATCTACTCTAGGGGTTTGCTTTTGTTTGTGTGGTTTTTAGCTAATTCTTTTTTGAAAATGTGTAAACTCACTATGCAAAGCAGATCGAGATAGAGGTGGTCTCATTGAGCTTGGAGCCATTCTTCTCACTCAAGGTCCCTCTATTCTCCCCTTTCCCTGACCTGGTTTCTTCTTGTCCCCCTTAACACTGACACTGGCCTCTGAAGAATCAATACATTGGTCTCCACATGTGTCAGAATACTGTTGGTTAAAAATGACAAATAGCTCAGTAACTGAAATTCTGGACTAGCTTCAGGCGTAGCTGGATCATGGTGCTCAAATTCTAGGATCAAAAATCTCCTCTCTTTCTTTTGCCTGCTTTCTTTGATGTTGGCTTCATCCTCTAATAGACTGGTCCCTCACTCCTTAAGCCTCAGGTAGCTTGGTAACAAAAGGCTTGGGGGAGGAAGTCCTCTCTTTGTCTTAGTATTTCAAGGATGGTATTATTGAGTCTCCCCAGGCTGTCTTAGGTCATGGACCTGGCTGCTGTGGCCAAGAGATAGAGGACTCCAGTTGGTCAGGTGTGGGCCAGACACTTGCCTTGGGGCTGGTGTTGAGGTGGAGTTTGTTTCACCTGAAACACAGTGCTGTGGCAGCCGTGACCTGTGACCACCACAGACAAGGATGAGGGTTGAAAACCACACATTGGATTCGGAATCCAGCTCTGCCAGTCGCGTAGATGGTATGACTGAAACCCACAAGATAACAATAGACTTGCTCATGTCATACGAGCCTTGAGCCACGCCTGGTCCCAGGCTCTCCTGAATTTCAGCTTGGTTTCCTCCACTTGGCACCCGCATCTTTTCAGGGTGAGGAAACAGTTTCTTCTTTCCTGATAAACAGAGTCCTTCACAGCCACTCTCTGATAGTTACCCTGAGGACCACCTGTGACTTTGCTCTGTGTTCTTTCTGATGCTGAGTGGGATGTGCCAGCCTCTTCAAAATCCAGCACACATCACAGAAGCAATGAGAAAAACACTAGGAAGGATTCTTTCCCCCTAATAAAAAACAAACACACTGGCAGGATTGTACATGTATCTATTTCGGTGCTTAGGCCTGTGCTCTGTAGAGTGCTTAGAGAAATGAACTGATTATTGGGGTATTTCATGGGAAATGTGTGTTTCTGGCTTGAGCAGCTCATATCATTAGCCAAATTCTTTGCTTCCACTCAGCAGAGAGCTCTGGGGGTGTAGACTTGATTTCAGCACGGCCTAATTAACAAGATGGCAAAATGGAGCATTTGAAAGAACATTTTGTAAGTTCTTACAAAGTTTTCAGAAACAAAAGCTTAACAAACGTTCACAAATGGATAGCATATAGAATGCTACGAACCCCCCTGCCAAAGCCCCTGTTATGCCAAATAATGAAGAATTTAATTATAAAATAAAATTCCCATTTAGCAGCTGCTGGATTCCCACTTGGCTCATGAGAGCTTACTTTGCATCACTTCTTAGTCTAAAAGTGACAACCTTGCACTTGTCCTTGGTGACTGTTGAAACGGAGGCTGAAATTCCTTCCAGAGAAATCCTGACCACCAAGGAGATTGTGTCCAGGGTTTGCTTATCATCTGTGCTGGATACAGAGAGCATTTATTGTGCGCCTTTTATTTCAGCTGCCATGTGGGGTCCTTTGCATTGATTTTACTTTGCTTTTTAAAACAGGTTTTAAAGTGCATGGTCATTATTATCCCATTTTACAGGTGAGGAGGCTGAACCTCAGTGATCATCACACAGCAAGTAAAAGATGCAGGATTTGAACATGGGTCTGCCTGACCTCAGAGACTGGACAACAAAATCAGAAGGGAGCTCTAGGGCTTCAAGATTTTCCTTTTGCCTCTGTGCCATTAGTTGCAAACCCCTGGGTCAGAGGTCCGTGCTTACATTTGTTGATTTTTTTTTCTTGAGACAGAGTCTTGTTCTGTTCCCCAGACTAGAGTGCAGTGGTGCAATCATGGCTCACTGCAGCCTCCAACTCCTGGGCTTGTCAAGCAATCCTCCCACCTCAGCCTCCCAAGTAGCTGGGACTACAGGTGCATGCCACCATGCCTGGCTATATTGCCCAGGCTAGTCTGGAACTCCTGGCCCCAAGCAGTCTTCCTATTTTGACCTCCCAAAGTGCTGGGATTACAGGAGTGAGCCACAAATCTCACTCAGCCATTTGTTGAATTTATCCGTGTCCTAATATGCTTTCAACTTTTGGTTAACAGCCTGGTAGAAAGGAGAAGTTAGCAGAAAAATGAAACAGTGTAGTAAGTTCTCTGATGGGGAGTCTCTGGGGCCTGGGGAGCATTGCTGAAGCCATTTTGCTCATCCCAGAAAGCTTGGTTTAAGGTGGTCCATGTTAATGTGACACATAAGGGCTTAACATGCTCCCTTTGCTCTTTTGAATTAGTGGATTATTTAACGTAGTACAATAGCACCTTTTTCTGAGCACTATTTTCCAGGCATGTGATTGGATGTTCACATACACCACCTTGGCAGCCTGCATAAAATCAGGCCCCCATGTGGTTCTGTCCCAATGTGGCATCACAGTCAAAGAAATAAGGTGGAGAGGAACAAAATGAGGGTAATGCAGGCCATTTCATCCCCCTGAGAACATTTGGCAATGTCTGGAGACATTTTTGTCATGTGTTAGGATTTGGGGAGTTACTGGCATCTCATGGGTAGAGGCCGGAGATGCTACTAAACATGCTAACAGCACAGGACAGCCTCCTACAACAGAGAATGAGCTGCTTCCAAATGTCAGTGATGTTGAGGCTGAGAAACTCAGGTGAAATGCAGTGAAAATATTTAGTGCATTCTCTCCAGAGAATGCCAAGGGGTCAGAGAATACATGCCAATTGCACAGCCAAACTGCTTGAGAATCCTGACTCGATCTATCCTTCTCTGTGGACCCATCACATGGATGGCAGCTTCTTTCTTGGCCCAGTCTCAGTGGTATTCTTGACTTCCTCTCCTCTCCTGCCTTATTTCTGGGCCTTACTCCCCCTCTCCTCTAATGGTTTTATTTTGAGCATAGGTTTTCTCAAACTTCAATTTTTCAAACATTCCTATTCTGAATTTTAAAATGCCTGTATCCCATTAATTTAATTTTTTTTTTCCTTTGGAGACAGTCTTGCTCTATTGCCCAGGCTGGAGTGCAGTGGTGCGATCTTGACTCACTGCAACCTCTGCCTCCTGGGTTCAAGTGATTCTTGTGCCTCAGTCTCCTGAGTAGCTGAGATTACAGGCATGCTCCACCGTGCCCAGCTAATTTTTGTATTTTTTAGTAGAGACAGGGTTTCACCATGTTGGCTAGGCTGGTCTCGAACTCCTGGCCTCAAGTAATCCACCCACCTCAGCCTCCCAAGGTGCTGAGATTACAGGCGTGCTCCACCATACCCAGCAAGTTTTTGTGTTTTTTAGTAGAGACGGGGTTTCACCATGTTGGCTAGGCTGGTCTCGAACTCCTGGCCTCAGGTAATCCACCCACCTCAGCCTTCCAAGGTGCTGGGATTACAGGTGTGAGCCACATCGCCGGCTTTATTTAATTTTATCCTAGTCAACTCACTTCTTTCTTTGCAGGTACCACTCAAGTCTCATGTTTAGCAATACTATTTTAAAAATCATGAGTTTTATAAACAATATAATATACATTCAGACATACATATTATGTTAATACACTTTAAAATATTCAAATTGTTGTTTACTTGGAAAGTTATTCTGTGAAAAAAAAGTGGGCACGTGTTGATATGTGTACTCATCACAAACCATCTTGTATGCCTCCCGTGGAATTCACTTTGTACTTGTAGAAACATTAGGCTAAACTTTCACCTTCTCCTCTCCTTCCCCTCATTAATAACTGCTGTTTTCAGGAACCTCAGAGACGAGGGGCAGGAAAACTGCAGGCAACTTCAGAAATGTCTAGAGTCCAGCAAGCGAAGGGGAAAGGGGACGTGAAGTTCACGTGCTAATTATTTTTGGACATTGTTATACTTCACTGAATCATCACAGCTGCTTGCTGCCATGTAAGTAGGTGGAGCTCCCACCTTGCAGATAAGCCAATGAGGTGCCCAGAGGTCAAGAGACTTGCCTAAGGATGCACACCCAGCGCTGCCTGGCTCCTCCTCCAAAGCCTTTTTTTCCCTTGCTGGCACTACCGCCTTGGGTGTCCTTGTGTGTTGGTTTTTATCCACATCTCTGATGATTAAAGAAAAGTGGATTCAATGTGTAAGTGCTTCTTTAAGCCTGTAGCGTTAGTGGTCATTTTCCAATCATCTCAGCTCTGCCTCATCCCTGCTGAGTAGTATCGGTCAAGACAGTCAAGATGATTCACGTCTGTGATCCACAGATTCCTTATCTATAGGACAAGAGGTAAAAGTGCCTGCCTTACGGGGTTTTGGCGAGGATTAAATAAGTTAATATACCTAGGTGCTTAGTAAAGTATCAGCCACATAATAAACACCATATCATGTCTTTTGTTATTATTTTTGTTGATTTGGCTCCTAAATAAATGCTCTTAGATATGAAAGGTTGAGTTCTCTGATTGAAGGGTTTATCTTGTATTCTGCATTTCGTTATCTGGTTCTTCCAAGTTTCTAGATTTGCCTTGGTTTTTGGATGATCCAACATTAATTTAAGGTAGGTGACACCCCGACCTGAAAGGATGACAGGAAGGGGTGATAGGGCAGACATGTAAGCTCCTGAGGTGTTGATTTTTGTTATTCTTTAAGGATAATAATCAGAACTTGTTGGTTTTGGTGGTTTTCTGAGTTTGGTGTACATCATACACCGTGTATACCAAACTCGGAAAATCACCTGTGGATTTTAAAATTTTCAGATATCTGGAGATGACCTCTGATCTATTGGATCATGAGATTCAGGGAACAGGCTGTCTTTCTCAAACTTCACATGGTGCTGACAGTCACCAAAATTTGAGAATCTCCAGTGTGCTATATTCTCTTTGGTTAGATTTGAGCTCATATTTAAATGTGTTAATAAAGTCACATATTTTTATTGACTATTTTTATCTCCTAGGCACTACTTTCTGGTGAGAGAGATTGATGAGAATTAATCAAATAAATTAACAAGAAAATATAAAATAGTAATAAGAGCTGTGATAAAACAGTGATGGTGTGAGTGACTGAGGTCCTCCTTTAGAGAGCGCAGTCAGGGAAGGCATCTCTGAGGATTTGGGCTGGAGGCTGATAAGAAGGAGCATGTGCCAGGAAGATCTGAGGTAGAGACCCGAGGCAGGGGGAACAGTGGTTGCAAAGGCCCTGGGGCAGAGAGGAGCATATGGCAAATGCGAGTCTGGTTTGGGGCGGGGCAGAGGCATGGTGTAAGGGGAGGCTGGAGAGTTAGCAGAAGAGATCAGATGACTAGAGTTTAGCAGGGCTGGGTAAGGAACTGGGCTTTTATTCAAAAGGTAATGGGAGACACTGAAGAGTTTTGAGCAGAAGTGTAATATAATCTGATTTATATTTTTAAATAATTGCACTAGCTGCTATGTGGAGAATGGATTTTAGTGGAGGTGAGCGTGAATTAAAAAATGTTTTCAGCCAGAGAGGCTAGCGTATGTTTTAGCACCCAGCCTCTATAGAAAGATTTCAAAATTAAATTCAAAAGTTCATCTTAAATAAGGACAACAGGCAACAACTTCTCAGGACTCAGAGAATCAAGTACTGCAGGGATTCTGCCTTGGGGATGGGGGTGAAAATCGATAAATGAATTAACAGATGAGCTAAAATCATGGTGTGCTTTTACTTCCAACAATTAAGCATTTTCAAACATGACTGTCCTGCCGCTTAAAACATCTGGTGAGTTCCCACTTGAGAATCTGAGAAAGTGGTCGCGGAGGAGACAGTGGCACCCCAGCGTTCAGGGTTGTTCACTAGGGAAACGGATGCTTTAGTAACTTACCTCTTTGATGCACTCCCCAGGGCTACTCACAGACTTTGGAAAATTTATAGCAAGTTAAAGAATTAATTGTGCCTTTTGATTTTTATGACATCTCTCTGGAAACTCTGCTGGGAACATCTGGACCTGTGTGTGGTAGAAACATGCATCAAGTTCTCTCTGCATGGCGACACGTGGCTCCCAAGTCATTGGGTCCCAGTTCAAAGGTTCCTGTGTCATCATGAGAGGGGCTAGGACACTGGTTGGATTTGGGGGTGGGGGCTGGCCAGCCTGAATCTCCCTATCTCTACTTGCTGGCCGAGTTCCTATAGACAAGCTCCTTAACCTCTCCGAGTTTCACATAGCTCATCTGCAAAATCAGGATAACCATGGTATCTACCTGGTAGGGTTATCACAAGGAGCAAATGCCTGTGAAGTGCTTAGCACAGTCCCTGGCGTGGGGTCAGCATTCTAGGCAGAAGAGTACTTTTACTTCGCATAATACTCATTTGAAAATCCTCTATGCCCTTGCTCTTTAAGATGGGGACCCCCAACCAGCAGCCACGTCCCCGAGGAGCTTGTCGGAGTTAGAAATGCAGACTCTTAGTCCCTACCTTGGACCTGCCGAATCAGATTCTGCACTTGCACAGGATCCCAGGTGATGCTCGTGGGCCTTCCAGTTTGGAAGTGCCCCTGCAAGCTAAAACATACAGGGAGGAGAGGGGGACTAGTTTTGATGATGAAAACCTGCTGGCAGCAGCATATTGGTGCAAAAGGACATCAGCCCCAGGATGCAGAATATACCATGACCCTAACTAGGTGGGTGCTCCTGGACAACCATATCACCCCTCCAAGGCTAAATTTCTTCATTTGTAAAATGACTCACCTATTTTAGAGGTTTGCTAATGGGATAAAATGAAATAGTGTGAAAACTGATATAAGAGTGAAAAGTAAGTTATTTTTATCTTGTTTACATAGAAAAAAGACATAATCCCTATAGCTATTCATATCACTTTCAAGTAATTAGATTCCCCATTCTCTACATTTACCCACTGAGCGGCCATGGAAAGTCCTGTAATTTAGTGTCTTGATTAAAATAATGGAGAACGACAGTGGCCCGGGAACCACAAACCTGGTATTTTTGGAAACTAAATGGGAGAGTTTTGTAGTTTGGCTAAAAGGCATTGCCCTAGAAAAGACTAGCACTGTGATCAATGGAGCTGTTTATGCCACTTACAAAGTCATCACTGAATTGCAGTGAAACATACCATGGCCGTGTGCAGGAGTCACCAGAATGATTCCAGGGTGTATTTCAATGTAACACACGTTTAGCAGCCATAAAAGCTTTTTATTATTTCCAAACATCATAACCAAAGCAAGAAAGGA
Source organism: Homo sapiens (assembly GCF_000001405.40). Lineage (NCBI taxonomy): Eukaryota > Metazoa > Chordata > Mammalia > Primates > Hominidae > Homo > Homo sapiens. The sequence continues at coordinate 56,251,208 of NC_000020.11, read as the reverse complement.
ATGGTTTTGCTTATATTAGCAGAAAATCTTCAAGTATTAAAGAACCCCAGTATATGCTAGTGCAAGATAAACACACAATTGCACCCCAAGACACAGCTTAATATAAGAATTTGTGACAGGGGGAGATATGGGGACAGCCAGAAAGCACAAATTGAAGTTATCTTGGGCAGAAAAGGATCTGACAATGCGAGCACTAGTCAGCCAGTCTCACCCTTTGCTCCCAGGAATGAATTCCTGTACTTGATAGGATATAGACATTGATAACAGGGTCACTCAACTTTAACACAATGCCAAGCAAAAAGGGAAAAGAACAAAAAAACTTTCTCTTTCATAGATAATATTGAAGAAGTCCTGTGATAGAGATGCAATTACTATAAGCAAAAACAAGGGCTCCCAAGAAAGTCACACAGTGGTTCTACGGTTTCTCAAACTATCTTAAGCTACAGTAAAGCAATTTCTTGTGATACACACACACACACACACACACACACACACACACACACACGTATATACATGTACCCCAACCCATGATTTCCTTTCTTGTTTTAAAGGCTAAAAGTAAATGATAGAAAAAAAGAAGTTATTTTAAAAAGATTAATCTATACCTTAAAATAGCAAGGTATCAAAATACACGTACACAAGTATATTCTGATTGTCCAAAGCACTTTCTCTCTTTCGTTAGAGTTTTGAAGGTTGTCTTAGATTTAATCCATAAAAACAAAACAACAACACACACCAACACAACAACAGAAAAATAGAAGTGGGTTACATCCTCATGCTACCTTTGGGGGTGGGGACAACTGAAGGGATATGGGGGTAAGAAAAGGGGAAAACGGCATAGCATTGCTCCTTTCACAAAGAGACAATTGTCTAACTGTAAATAGAATAATAGAGTAGAACTCAGTCTCCTACGGAGTTATAAGTGCAAAGCTATCTCTCCGTGTAGCTGGCAGCAGGAGGTCGTAGCTGTAACAGGTTTGCTTGCAAGAGATCTGAACCACCCTTATTGTTCATGAGAATCCTTCAGTCTGGTCTGGCCTGGAGCATGAAGACGTGGGTGTGGAGCAGATGAGCAGACAGGCGTCGCACACCCTGGGTGTTTGGAAATGAGTGCAGAGAGCATGCAGAGAAGCCTTCGCTGATTTCTCCCAGTGACTATTTGGGAAATCAGAGTTTGTGACTTACCCATCTTGGAATCCTTTCAGAGAATCTGTTGTTCACCAATTTTCCCCTTTAAAAGGCTTTGTAAACTTAAAAACAAACGACAAGTACAATCATGGCTGTTAACACATTTTTATATTTTCTAAGTATATATATTTTTCTTTCTAAACACCTCACGTGGATGGAAAGTCAAAAGTGACCCGACTGATGATCATTTCCATGGCCCTGCATCCTATCCCAAGTTCATGCCGTTGCAGCCACAGAGAATCTCCCTAAAGGTGTTGCGCAATTCCAGGCTCCGGAAAGCGTAGATGAGTGGGTCGATGACGGAGTTGCACATGATGAGGACCAGGTAGGTGTTGAAGTGGGCAGTGTAGCAGATGCAGTAGGGGTTGGTGGGGCAGGTGATGATGAGGACCAGGTGGAGGAAGAAGGGGGCCCAGCAGAAGATGAACACGCCCAGGAGAATGGTGATGGTGACTGCCCCCTTCATGCATGAGTGTTGCTGTGGGGCCACCCCGTCGGCAGGTGGCAGTGCTGCTATGCGCTTGACGTGCAGCCGCGCAAAGAGGAACATGTGCACGTAGAGGGTGCCCATGAGGAGCATCATGGCGAAGAACATGGTGATGAGGCACACAATGACCATTTTGCTCTCCGAGTAGACGATGAACACCACGCCACAGACGCCGCAGCAGACCCAGATGGCCACGATCAAGGTGAGGGCCTTCCTCACGGTCATGATGCTGTGGTAGCGGAGCGCGTAAAAGATGGTGACGTACCTGTCGACGGCGATGGCCAGGAGGTTGCAGATGGAGGCCACCAGGGAGATGCAGATCATGGAGTCGAAGATGTTGTCCATGTGCTGGATAAACTGGTCCTCGAAGGTCAGGTAGTCGCTGTGGACGATGGCGATCATGATGGTCTCCAGGGCATTGGACACACTTACCAGCATGTCGGCCACCGCCAGGCTGCAGAGAAAGAAGTACATCGGGGAGTGCAGGTTGCCGTTCCTGACCACGGCCAGGATAACCAGGATGTTTTCCAGCAGACTGACGATGCCCAGAGACAGGAAAACCTCGGGCTTGATGAAGACCTGCTCACAGAAGGCGCTGCTGCTCTGGTTGCTGAAGAAAGGGGCTTGGAGGTGCTCCGAGCCATTAGGCAGTGTTGGCTGAACAGAGGGCAGGCAGCACGAAGCATTCATTGCTGTCAGAAGGGCTGATCCGAGCTGGGGCTCCAGCAGGGTCCGTAGGAAGCTGCTGCTGCTCACAGGAAAGACAAAATCTCCCTCCAGATACGTCTTTTGGATGCTCATTCAATCTGGCCTTAGAGTTTATTCTCCTCTAGAATAAAAGGATGGGGAGGGTAGAGAGACAGATAGTGAGAGAGGGTGGAGGAAGAGACAGAGAGAGAGAGAGACATACACACAGAGAGAAAGAGCGAAGGGGGAAGAGAGAGAGAGAGGGAGAGTAGCTAGTTAGTAGCTAGCATGCAAGTTTGTAGCTTGGAGACATAGGGAGAACTTTGCTGTTCCAGGAGGAGCAGTTTTTATCTTGTTTACATAGAAAAAATACACCATAGGGTCTCTTACCAGCTGTCTTCCTTCTGTCTCCCTCTCACCCCTCTGTTTGTCTCTCCTCACTTCCCCACCTGGGAACAGAAAACCTGCCACCGGCTGCTACAGTTACAGCTCTTTTCATGGCAAGACAGGGGATGTGTTACTTGTCGCTAGAAGTGAAGGGAGAACACTCAGGTTTTTCATATTGGCCAAGGGCAAACAACTCCTACTTAATCTTCAGCGCAGCAGAATGACCACTGAGCATCGGGCACCTCTCTGACTGACAGCAGGTACCTGGCCCTGAGGATTCTGCAGGGAGATTAAGAAGCAGACTAGTGCCCTCTGCAGGCCGCACGGCTGTCTGCTTGCTGGCTTGGCTTAGCCCTTTGTGTTTGTCATGGAAACTGCCACAGGCATCCACTCATCTGTTCATTTGTTTGTTTATTTGTTAGTTCATTCATTTGTTGTTGTTGTTTAGCAAACATTTATTGAGCGCCTACTATGTGTCAGGTCTCTGCTGAGTGCAGGAAATACAGTGGTGAGCAAGACAACAGCCACTATCTCAGGCTTCCCCGAACTCAGAGTCTGGGGTGGAAGAAGAGGAATCAATAAATGCTTGAATCAGGAAAGTCCAGGAAACCAGGGATGCAAAGAGGAAGAGCCCTAACCCGGACTGTCAAAGTTCCTGGAGGAAGGAGCACCTATGCTTTGACTTCAAGGAGGAAGAGGTCATATCCAGTTTGGGGTGGGTGGTGGGGTGGGGGCTGGAGCTGGAGGAGGTAGAAGAGGACTCCAGGCAGAGGGAATCACACGTCTGCAGCCTGGAGGCAGAGAGCACCCTGGCCATAGAAGTCATCACAGATTGTGGATGTGGAGATCCCATTTGACCCGCGGAGTCAGAATCACCCAGGTGTAAGACCTGAACAAGTGTGTTTGCAATTTTTGACAGGTGAGCTGGGGCATAGTCACAGTTGAGCTCCACTGAAAAAGAATCTTGGGCTTTTGAAAGTGCTGAAAGTAGTCTGCTCTGGTCAGAGCATGGAAATAGGAGACACAATCTGAGAAATGAGGCTGCACAGTTTCTTAAAAAGTTGAGAGGTGCCTGAATCCTGAAGGACAGCCTCAGCCAGATGTGAGAATTTGGACAGTACCTTGACAGCAATGGGGACTGTGGAAGAAACATAGGTAGGGCAGGAATGAGATGGGGTCTGCATTTTAGAAATATTCCTGGTTGCAGGGTGGAGAATGAATTAGACAGACTGAGCATGTAGGCCAGGGAGTCCGGGGCAGAGGGTGTTGCAAAGACCCAGGGTGAGATGATGGTGGCCTGGAGCAAGGGAGTGGCCATGGGGACTTGGAAGACTTGGAGGGTGGTCAGAGAGATTCAGAAGGTTGGATAATGCAGCTTCAGAACTGATGGGTTATGGGATCATGGGAGAGGGAGCAGTCAGAAACACCTGTACTTCTTTCTTACATAATGGGGAGGATGGAGATGTTTTAAGCTGGAAAATGTGAAAGGCAGAAGTTAGCAGGTGGCCTACTAATGTAGTGTTGTTCTTGGAAGTATGGTTTAACACTTGGTCCATGTTAGATCTGATTCCCCATGTAGATCATATGAACTCAGAAAACACTGAGTCTTCTCATCCCTACACACACACACACACACACACACACACACACACACGCACATTCTAGGTGAATTAATGATCCATCTCTCCATGTAACTATGTATGTGTGTGTAGGTGTGAGAAATATTAAAAATATGCATATGGAAATAGAAGAAAACTTAGGATCCTTGGGGTGGAAAGATCTTAAGCAAGATGAGCAATCCAAAATTTAGTATGGAAAAACACCCTGAACTAAGTTAAAAGAAAAACAGAATGAAAATATTTGCTATAGGTAAAGTTACTATCTCTTACATACAAAGACTACTTTCACATTAACTAGAAAAAGATAAATTACCCCTAAGAAAATTGGGCAAAGGATATAAATAATAATTTACTGAAGAGAAGATGCAAATGGTTAATAAACATGAAAAGATGTGAAGCCATCTAGGAAGTTGGGGAAATGCCAGTCAAAATGAGATTTTAATATCGTTTTCCCAGCTAGATTGACAAGAGATAAAAAGATGCAAAATTCAGGTAAGAATATCGGGAGGACACTCTCATGCATTTCTAGTGTTTGTGAATAGTTTCACCATTTGGCAGTTCTTACTAAAATAAAAAAAAAGCCTGTTGGTATGAGTTTCTGTCTATGAACTGAGGGGCATGAGAAATACTTTTGTTTATTTGCTTTTTTTAAAAAAATATTTTGTCAAGAGCATGAGTTTAAGTTGCCCTGAATATACATTTCCACTTCTGTTTATTTTCAACAGAACGACTTAATTTCTGATGCCAAGCCACCATTCTTCTAGGTTGGAAAAAAACACATTCTTAATCCTTTTGGGAACTTCTCTTACCCTCAGGGTCACATCCAGTCTGTGGTTTCAAGGGCATGAGTCATACATGTAAAGCTAGACTATAAGGCAGGGACCATTCATTATCTACTAGGTCTTTTCCTGCTCTGTGCTTGGCACGTGCTGAGCACTGACCACCTTTTCCTGCTTTCATTCTCTGGTCGTGTGCATCCTTCAAAGAGAGCAGCTGGGACCTAGTACTTAAAATCTGTGTCCTCAGAGGTATCATCATCACTCATGAGTGTTTATTTGGTCTTCTCCAAACACTACTTCCCACTTTCCTGGGGGAGTTGCACAGATGCAGCATTACGTTTTAACTGAATCTTGCATGAATGAATTGGCTTTATTAATAACAATTGTAGGACATGACAGTCTCTGTCAGTGTTTACCGTATGTTGTTGGCATATGTGGGGGTGTCTGTTTTGAATCAGTTATAATAAATGTAACAAGGAGATTCTTATTCTAGGAGATAATGAACCCAGGTGGTCTCTTTGCCTGAAAAGCTCTTCCTCAATTTTGTGACTGGTATACCCTCCTTATTCTTCAAGATCCAGCTTAAATGTCAACTATTTTTTACAGCTTTTCTTAAATTTCATACACTAATTTACCACCCTTTCTCCTTGCTGACAAGCTGACAGGGTTCAGTACTCCTTCCCCACTCTCAAAAGCACAAGCAACAAGAGAAAAAAAAAGTGGGCCAGGCATGGTGGCTCATGCCTGTAATCCTAGCACTTTGGGAGGCTGAGGCAGGTGGATCACCTGAGGTCAGGAGTTTAAGACCAGCCTGGCCAACATGGCAAAACCCTGTCTCCTCTACTAATAATACAAAAATTAGCCAGGTGTGGTGGTGCACGCCTATAATCCCAGCTACTCGAGTGGCTGAGACAAGAGAATTGCTTGAACCCAGGTATCAGAGGTTGTAGTGAGCTGAGATTGCACCACTGCACTCCAGCCTGGGCAACAGAGCGAACGAGACACTGTCTCAAAAAAAAAAAAAAAAAAGTAAATTGGACTTCCTCAAAATTAACAACTTTTGTGTTTTAAAAGATGCCACAAAAATGAGAAGACAACACAAAGAATGGGAGAAAGTAATTACAAATCAGATATCTGATAAGGGACATGTATCTGGAATACATAGAGAACATTTACAATTTAATATTATAACAAAAAGACATATTGCCCAATTTAATGATTGGAAGCAAAGGATTTGAATAGACATTTCACCGAGGAAGATATCACATGTCCAACAAGCACATGAAAAAAGACTCAATATGATTAGTCATTAGTGAAAATACTAAAATACACTAAAAATCCATTGAATTGTCCACTTTAGGTGAATTGTATGGTATATTGACGCTATCTCAACAAAGCTGTTTTAAAAATGACATGCAGAATATTGCATAATTAGAGGTCACATCCATGCCACGAAAAGGGGGACAGTTTGGCCAGCAGTCATGTTAGAACACAACGATTAGATTTTATTATAAATATGAACTTTTCATGAGGGGCAGATGCTGCTGATGCCTGTGTCCCTGCACCCAGCTTACCTCTGATTTCAACAGCCGTTTGCTGGACAGCTCCCCCAGTTCCGTGGGAGCTCAGATTCAACTTACACTGCCAGGGTGCCACTTTAAGGGTGACGAACACATTCTGCCCCAGAGTCTTCCCTGGTGTGTGTGTGTGTGGCATTCCTCATCTGACAAAGTTCAACCTGGAAATGAGGGGGGAGTAAATGACCCCAGGGGCAACGCTCAACTAATGAGGGCCAGAGGCAATAGATACATTCTTCAGCTCCCCCATCCTGCAGGTGGACAATGGCAGATGCTGTGTATGCTTCCCAGATATCCCCTGAACCTCCATCACCTACTGCAACTGCTTGATAATGTGTCTTATAATTGGCTTTTGCTCCGTATCCATCTCATTCTCTCTAAGCCCTCAGACCTGTTTCCCAGGATCACCTCTCAAATAAATTACATGCTCCCAAGTCTCTGTCACAAGTTCAGCTTTAGGGGAATAGGGTCCAAATTAAGGACTACAGAAGACCTCCTGTGCACCAGGCTTCTTTGGCATACTCTTTCCCTTGCTTGATTACTTACTCCTAGAAGTCAGGGCTGTGGGTTGTCCACACAATACCTATTCTCTTCTTCCTCACCAATGGACTCCTGCTTTACTGGGGCAAGAGCATGTCCAGCTGCAATACTAATGTGCCAGCCTCCCTTGAAGACCAGGTAGCTACATGATCCAATACTTGACAGTGATGTAAGGGAAGTCTTCTATGGAAGTTCCAGGGAGGCAATTCAAGTAACCCAGCCAGCAAACTTCAACAGGCACAAACTCTTCTGCTCTTGACTGTTTCTCCTTTTTACTGCCTGGAATGATGATGTAAAGGCTGGAGCTCTATCCCTCATTTTATAAGTGTGAAGACAAGGGCCTGATCCTGTGAATGTGGAGCCCAAACCTGAAAGACTTCTGAATCTCAGATGACTTTAGAGAGAGGTAGTCCCAGCCCTGAATTGCTTACCTTTAGGTTTCAAGTTGTATCACAGAAAAATAATCCTTTATTTCTTTAAGCTCTCATTATGTGGGATTTTCTGTTTCATGCAGCTGAACTCAACTTCTGGCAGAAGGCCATCTTTAGCTCTGATTTCTGTCAGAAATATATCAAGTACTTAATACGTGTCTGAAAGGAAGAAGCCTTTAGCTTTCTCTGTTTTGGTTTCAGACAATCTTAATTATGTAAAACCCCAGTAGACTCTACTAGTTAGACAGAAAAGGAAGCGACTTCATTTCCTCAACTTTGTAATTATATCTATAATTATTTTGGCTATTAGACTGTATAATGCTTATGGGCAGAAACTGACTTGTTCATCTTTATATGCCAGCACCTAGCACAATACTTCTATATTCTTAAAGGAGATGCAGTAGGCAGCTTCAAAGTACTATCGCAGTACTGCCATTATGGAAAATGGGAAGTTTGTTTAAAAGTTAAACATAAATTTACCATATGATCTAGCAATTTCTCCCCTAAATGTCTACCCTAGAAGAAACATATGTCCACACAAAGACTTGAAAGTGAATATTTATAGAAGCATTATTCATAATTGCTAAAAATGCAAACAACTTAATGTCCATCAGATGATGACTAGACAGACAAAATATAGTATATCCATACAATAAATTACTATTAAGCAATAAAAAGGAATACAAAATTGGTACATGTGCCATATGAATGAGCCTCAAAAGCATGACATAGGTGGAAGAAGTCAGACATAAAAGACAACATACAGTATGCCACTACTTCTAAAAAATATCCAGAGAAGACAAATCTATGGGGACAAGCAGATTAGTAGTGGCCTGGGATTAGAGGTGGAAATGGGAATAACTATAAACAGGCATTAGGGATTTTATTGGGATGATGAAAATGTTAGAAAACTGGATAATGGTGATGTTGCTCAACTCAGCAAGTTTACTAAAAATCACTCATTTGTATCCTAAAAATGGGTAAAGTCTATGGTATGCAAATATACCCGTAATAAAGTCGTTAAAACAAGTAACTGTGATTGTATTCCTTGTGTCTTTAACATATTATAGTCACATAAAGAATGAATAATGAATATGCTAAATAGATTGATTTAGCCATTCCACAATGTATATGTATATCAACACGTTATATACCATAAATATAAGCAATTTTCACTTGTCAGTTAAAAGTAAGAAAAAAATGAAAAAAAAAAAAAGAATCACCAATGATGTATCCTTTCACAATGTTGACTAGAATGACATCCTTTCTGAAAGCACATAAAATTAACGCTTGTGAAACATACAGTATGTGCAGCCCATTTCTAATCTCCAGGCCCTTCTCTGATTCCCTGGAAGTTCTAAGAACCCATCCAAAGCTAATGACTCTGGTGAGCTCTAGGTTGTGCAGCTCATGATTGAACATCCTCTCAGCTTCCAGTCATCATTAATTGTTCCTTTAATCTGGACTGACATTTTATTCTCATAGTCACCAGCTTTGACTTTATTCCCTTTTATTATTATTATTATTATACTTTAAGTTCTAGGGTACATGTGCACAATGTGCAGGTTTGTTACATATGTATACATGTGCCATGTTGGTGTGCTGCACCCAGTAACTCGTCATTTATATTAGGTATATCTCCTAATGCTATCCCTCCCATGACAGGCCCCAGTGTGTGATGTTCCCCACCCTGTGTCCAAGTGTTCTCATTGTTCAATTGCCACCTATGAGTGAGAACCTGCGGTGTTTGGTTTTCTATCCTTGCAATAGTTTGCTCAGAATGCTGGTTTCCAGCTTTATCCATGTCCCTACAAAGGACATGAACTCATCCTTTTTTTTTATGGCTGCATAGTATTCCATGGTGTATATGTGCCACATTTTCTGAATCCAGACTATCATTGATGGACATTTGGGTTGGTTCCAAGTCTTTGCTATTGTGAATAGTGCCGCAATAAACATTTGTGTGCATGTGTCTTTATAGCAGCATGATTTAGAATCCTTTGGGTATATACCCAGTAATGGGATGGCTGGGTCAAATGGTATTTCTAGTTCCAGATCCTTGAGGAATCGTCACACTGTCTTCCACAATGGTTGAACCAGTTTACAGTCCCGCCAACAGTGTAAAAGTGTTCCTATTTCTCCACATCTTCTCCAGCACCTGTTGTTTCCTGACTTTTTAATGATTGCCATTCTAACTGGTGGGAGATAGTATCTCATTATAGTTTTGATTTGCATTTCTCTGATGGCCAGTAATGACGAGCATTTTGTAACATGTCTGTTGGCTGCATAAATATCTTCTTTTGAGAAGTGTCTGTTCATATCCTTTGCCCACTTGTTGATGGGGTTGTTTGATTTTTTTCTTGTAAATTTGTTTAAGTTCTTTGTAGATTCTGGATATTAGCCCTTTGTCAGATGGGTAGATTGCAAAAATTTTCTCCCATTTTGTAGGTTGCCTGTTCACACTGATGGTAGTTTCTTTTGCTGTGCAGAAGCTCTTTAGTTTAATTAGATCCCATTTGTCAATTTTGGCTTTTGTTGCCATTGCTTTTGGTGTTTTGGAGGACATGAAGTCTTTGCCCATGCCTATGTCCTGGATGGTATTGCCTAGGTTTTCTTCTAGGGTTTTTATGGTTTTAGGTCTAACATTTAAGTCTTTAATCCATCTTGAATTAATTTTTGTACAGGGTGTAAGGAAGGGATCCAGTTTCAGCTTTCTACATATGGCTAGCCAGTTTTCCCAGCACCATTTATTAAGTAGGGAATCCTTTCCCCATTTCTTGTTTTTGTCAGGTTTGTCAAAGATCAGATGGTTGTAGATGTGTGGTATTATTTCTGAAGCCTCTGTTCTGTTCCATTGGTCTATATCTCTGTTTTGGTACCAGTACCATGCTGTTTTGGTTACTGTAAACTTGTAGTATAATTCGAAGTCAGGTAGTGTGATGCCTCCAGCTTTGTTCTTTTGGCTTAGGATTGACTTGGCAATGCAGGCTCTTTTTTGGTTCCATATGAACTTTAAAGTAGTTTTTTCCGATTCTGTGAAGAAAGTCATTGATAGATTGGTGGGGATGGCATTAAATCTATAAATTACCTTGGGCAGTATGGCCATTTTCACAATATTGATTCTTCCTATCCATGAGCATGGAATGTTCTTGCATTTGTTTGTTTCCTCTTTTATTTCATTGGGCAGTAGTTTGTAGTTCTCTATTCCCTTTTTTTGAAGCCTACTTCAGAATTTTATGCTGTTGATTGCTCTTGCCACCCAAAAAGAAAAAGTTTCCAGTTTTCTTGTTTTCTTTTTCTGTTTTAAGAGACAGTTTAACTAAAATTCATTTTAAAGAGATTATGGCATTATTCTTCTTAGGAAGATGACGTTCTTGAAATTTTTGGAATAGGAGAGCATGCCATTGTCTCAGGGACTTCTCAGATCAATTTTCTTCATCCTAAGTTAGGGTTAATCAAGTGAACCATTTTTGAAAGTTGAAGCCTCGTAGTGGATATTTTCTCCAAACGTATTGAATGAATTAGTTGCGCTTTTAAAATATTGCCTGAGAAAAGATGGGCTGAGACCTTGATGTGCAATTGCTTATGTCTCTCCCATAAAAACCTCAACCTCTTCTTTTTGCTCATATATTATTCTTGCAGCTCTTTCTCAACTTTCTGCCCCCCCCCTCCCCAGCTAAAGTTCTTGGAAGAATTGTCAATAGTGGGTTTCTCCGTTCTTTTCCATTTTACTCTTCAACCCATTCACTTTTGACTTCTGCCCTGGTCACTCCATAGAGACAGGTTTTGCAAGGGTTACTGCTGAACTTTTTGTCATTAAATCCTATGCACATTTTCCACTCTTGCCTGAGTTGACTTCTTAGCTAAACTCGGCACTCTCGACTACTCCTTCCTTCTAAATCCACTCTCTTCTCTTGGCTTCTCTTGCACCACATTCCCCTGGTTTCCCTCCTATTGCTGTGGCTGCTGTTTCTCTCCCCTGTTTTGTAAGTTCATCCTTTTTACCGCACCATTAATGATTGAGGTTTCTTAGAGCTGACTTCCTTCAAATTTGCCTTCTTTTTTCAATCTTTTCTTCCTATGTAGTTTCATCCTTTCCATCACTCCAACATTCAGCTATATGCCCTTGACTTTCAAATTTATTCCCCTAGTGCAGCCTTCTCTGAGCTCAAGACCATTTCTCTAACTGTCATCTCTACATGGATAGTCCTGACTTGCATGTCTGGCACTGAATTTGTGTTATTCTTCCTTATATTTGGTTCTTTTCCAGTGTTCCTTCTTCTGTGAATGGCTGCACCATCCATCCAAGTGTACAAATCAGAAAGGCTGGGATCTTGAATACCTCCTTATCCCTCACTTGTAGTAGTTAAGCTGTCAGCAAATCCAATTCGTTTCACCTCTGAAATTGCCTCTGAATCCATCCCCACCATCTCAGCTTAGGCTGCCACTATATCTTGCCTAGACCCCCGCATGAGTCCTCTGCTGGTCTCTCCTTTCCTCTTCTCACCCTCCTTCAATTGTTTTCTAGATGCGGTAGCACAGTGCTCTATTCCAGATCCAAATGTGATCATGTCACTTACTGGCTTAGAACTCACCAGTGTGTTTCCACATTTCTCAGGAGAAACGTAACCACCTTTGACAGCCAGCAAGGCTAGCAAGCCTTTCATTATCTGCCCCTCCATCTGTCCTGTTACATGCAATTCCCCACCTATACCTCCATACATCTGCACTCTCTCTCTAGACATCCTGGCGTTCCATCAGTCCTTGGAGCATTCTGGTCTTCTGTGGAATCTTTGCACAAGTCTGCCCTAGATTGAGAAGACCCCGGCCTCCCAGCCCCACTTGCTTCCTGCAATCTACTGCCTGTGTATTCTTCAAATGTCAGCTCAAGGGCTCTTCTCCTTGATTGTCAAGCCCCTACCCTTGGCCCCAATAGCCACATACTCCCTTCCTGAAGCAGATAGGTCAGCTTACTTCTTACCTTTATGTGCTCCCATAAGACCATATGTTTCTCTCCTAGAGACATATCTCAGTTAAGTTTTAGCCTCACCAGTATTTGGTTAATGTCACGCTCACCTATCATTCGTAAGCTCCATGGGATCAGAAAACAACCTGATTTTGGCCACCTATAAGCCCTCAGCACCTTGCACATATGTGTATTGGGTACAACTAGTTGTTGAAAAACTAATCATAATGACAGCTGGGGTCAGGGCATAACAAAGAGTCCTGATAACACCTAATGACAATGCATGAGGCTGTCAGGACCGTGGGCAGGTGGAAATACACAACACTTCCATCCATCAGTGCAGAAAGTTATACTGGACAGCACTGGTCTAAAGCAATCCAGCTCTCTTGCCACAGTGTTGGGTCAGGTGCCCATCAGGGGGCCAAAGCTGGGCGATGAAGACCCTGTTCAGGTGGTGAGAGTGGATTAAGCTAGAGGAGAGGGAGGCCTGCCTAAGAATGCAGTTTGTACAGAAAAATGTGGAATGGAGGAATGAAAAGAGATTCATGGTATTCTTTGAGTGTTCGGTCCAGCCAGGTCTGAACCTTCAACTCCTTAACTTTCCAGTAACGTGAGTCAGTAAATTCCATCACACCAATTTCTTAAATTTTTGCTAGGAAGGTTTGAAATGCCTATGTGACATTTGCAACTGACTGATACATTAATATCCCGTTAGTTTTTGAAAAAACCCATTGAATATGAAAGTGAAGTCTCTAATCATTGTCTTGAGTTTGTCATCAGTGCATCGAGAAGAGAGCCTTTTTTATGCTGTGGAATCAAGATCATTTTTCTCCCAAATCTTGGTTTGCCTAAATTCATAATTAGGGTGGAGTTAGGAGGGGAGAGGCATTAAGAGATTACAAAAATAAGAAAAAGGAGACCCATTTGTAGAATTCAGGCTTGTCATGAGTGTTGCATTAAGAGAGCAGTTGAAGCCCTTTCTATACTGTCTCCTCCTGTGATGATGAAATAGCAACCAGCCCAAGACTCTGGCTCTAGGAGTGTAAGGTATTTGCAGTGCTGGCAGCTTCTGATTGCATTTTTATTCTTGGAGCTTTCATTATCAGCTGCTCTGAAGAGTTTTCTTATTAAAAATGTGTGCTTGTTTTATGATTGAAATTATCTTGAGGAGACTGAATTAATAGGCCTTGCTTTTCATTTAGGCACTGCATGCACGGAGAAAATAAAGAGATTTGTTGTGCTTCTGCTCAGTTTATAGACCCTTCTTCTCATTTTACAAACACTTATCAGGTCCAAGATTAGGCCATTGACAGGAGGAAGTGGGTCAAGCTGGGGAACATGGTTGCAGATGGACTCAGTATTTGCAGAAAGGTTGCAGTTTGAGGCCACAGAGAACTCCCTAGGTGGGTAGGTGAGCAGCATTCTCCCTAGGTGGGTAAATCCTGATGGCCTGCCAAGGGTGCCAGGGCCTTGTTTGGTGATACAAAAGCAGTTGGAAGTAAAGATACAAAGAGGTTCAGGCCAACACTTAACATCTGAGCATAGATGAACTAGGATTAAAAGTAACAATTAATATTTATTGAGAACTAATGTATGACAGGCCCTCTGCTAACTTCTTTACAGCTGAGAATCAGGATGAGTGGCTACAACAACCCATGGGATAGGTAACAATACTATTGCCACTTTACAGATGGAGACACTGAGTGCAGAGAGAATGTGTAATTTGCAAAGGTCACACAGAAAGTGATAACTTCACATCTGGCTAACAAGCCAAAGTGCCTTTAACTAATGTTGTAAGCCTTCCCTAACCATTGAAAGTAGGTATTCAGAAGCCAGATGTGGGATTGGGGTTGTATGAGTTTGTTTTCACACTGCTGATAAAGACACACCCAAGACTGGGAAGAAAAGGAGGTTTAATTGGACTTACAGTTCCGTATGGCTGGGGAGGCCTCAGAATCATGGTGGGAGGCAAAAGGCACTTCTTACATGGTGGTGGCAAGAGAAAAAATGAGGAAGCAGCCAAAGTGGGAACCCCTAATAAGCCCATCAGATCTTGTGAGACTTATTCACTATCACGAGAATAGCATGGGAAAGACCTGCCTCCATTATTCAACTACCTCTCTCTGGGTCCCTCCCACAACATGTGGGAATTCTGGGAGATATAATTCAAGTTGAGATTTGGGTGGGGACACAGCCAAACCATATCAGGGGCATTTTGGAAAGCTCCATCCCTGGAATAAATGTCAAAGTCAAGACAAGCCCCCAGGCCTGCACGGGGCAGGGGTTGGCCTGGTCATAGAGATGAGAGCGTGCATGATAAGGTCAGAGTTATTCTACAATAAGGAGGCATAGTGATAGAGAAAGTTGACAAGAGTATTCTTAAATTATTTATTTAAAACTCTGTAGGAAGTGCATAGCTGGCCTAAATCCTTCTACAGTATTTACCAGCCATCATCCAGTGTTATTCATAAACTGCTTGTTTTAACAGTCAAAATACTGATAATAGTTTGAGTCAGGCACATGGTTGTCCAGTTAGAACTTGCATTTTCCAGGCTCCCTTGCAGCTAGATGGCCATGTGACCAAGGTCTGACTAATGGATATGAACAGAAGTGACAGTACTACTACTCTGTTGGGCTATTCAAAGAAACAAGCATATTTTCCCCTGCCTTTACCCAACTTCTTACTGGCTGGGATAAGGATAGGCTGGAAAAAACAAGAGGCCACTTTTGAGCCAGGAATAGAAACCATATGTTGTAGATGGCTGAACTCACCTTTAAACTTGGGATGCTTCCTTCAGGAATCCTACATGAAAGAGAAATAAACTTCTATTTTATTTAAATCATTAAAAGTTTGAGTCTTTTGGTTGTAGCACTTTAGACTGCTAATATTACAAAAGAGGGAAGTGATTTAGGGAGGAGACCTAAGATGTTTTATCCCTAATTCTTAGAAAAGTATCTGGCACTTAATAAATATTTGTTGAATTGATGAATAAACAAATGAATGTGCAAAAGCAGCACAAGCTTAAAATATTACTTAAAATTCTGGTCTTGCATGCTGAGTTGTTATAACAGAACTCAGAAGAAAGCTCCACTTTCTTTAAATGAAACCTCTGTGTAAAGATGTTTGATTATGTGCTATTAACTGAAATCAATATTCTGATAGAGACGTTGGATCTTGATTTTTTCCCAGTGGTTTGCAGCTGCTTTCTCTCTTTCTGTATTGGGGTGCATAGAAGCCAGATATGTGGGTGGAAAGGAGAAATGTTTACTTGGCTACAAACAAAAAACCAAAGCCATTATGCCTGGGTAGTTTGGGAACTGATTGCCTTCCTAAAGTAATAGCCAGAATTAGAAATATCTTAGGTAGCTGTGTTTTCTAAGTGAAAGCCAAGCAAAATAATCTGTGTTTCAAAGTGCTTGTGTAATATCCCGCTCTTCTAATGCACTTCTGTATTTTGAGATCTTTCTAAATAAGAACTGTTGGTGTTTCAATAGCTATCAGACAGGAGCTGGTAGACAGGCAGAGGCAGAAGATGAGGCTGAAATGCCCTCTCCTGCTGTAATGTACAGGGCGTGTGCTGGTGCCCTCACATGTGTTTGTCATGGCCTCATATCTGAGACAGGTCCTTGGCTCAGAGCGGAGGCCACAACTCCCAGGTTCAGATTCCAGGGCTGGGTGACTAGATACAGTATGTCTGCCCTGCATCCAACCTTTGTCAGGAGTGAATCAGTGGGCCTAGGCAGGGCTGGGCAGTGTGTTTTTAAGGAGCTGTTGTGGACATTAAATGAGAGAGATTAGAGAGTGTTCAGTCCTGGGCTGGTATGCAGCAGGCACTCAGTAAATGCTGTTCTTCACTCTCTGTTAGGGATGTGTTCTGTTGCAGGTAACAGAAAGTGACTGTAATGTAACAAATGAGAGTTTATGTTTCTCACAGATTGCAATGTCTGGTGGTAGGTGGTGGCCATATTGATTTGGAGGCTCAGTGATTTCAGGGTTATTGTCTCTTCAGCTATCATGGCATTTCTTTCATATGAGTCACCTGATGGTTACAAGATGGCAGCAGCTCCAGATGTCACATCTATGATGAGAAGAAAATGGAAGGTGAAAGGTACTGAGATGATCCCTGTACCAATGGGATACCGTGTATGAAGAAAGAAAAACTTTTTTGTCCTGCAAATATCCATCTATCCTCCAATAAAATTTTGATGATGCCTCATTGGCTAGAACTGGGTCACGTGATTCACCCTAGCTGCAAGGGAGGCTGCGAAATTAGGTAAAAGATCATACAGTTGGTCATCCTGAACACAGTCTTCTCTCCCTCTAAGAAAGATGTCACAGGCTGAGTTCCCCAGAAACAGATGCTGAGATGGAGTTGGTGGGTATGTAGGATGGTCATTAGAGAGCAATACTTATGGGAAGGAAGGACAGAAAGCAGAACTGGGCCAAGGAAGAAGCTTAACTGTGAGGCAGGCCTGACCAGGCCTCAGCCAACTTTGGACAGCTCCAGAGCATAGCAAAGTTGTCCCTGTTGGGCTGAAATGTCTGGGTCTTTATACCTACTACACAGTCAGTCACTGTATGTGGGCTGGGCAGGAAGGGGGAGCTCACGGTCAAGACGTGGCTCTGCAGATGAGGCAAATCTTGAAGGAATTACAACTCAAGGCTTTCTGCTGACAAATGGGGCAACAAATTCTTCCTTGAAGAAGGACCTGAGTGGTGCATGTCCTTGTTCACCACAAAAGAAGAGTTAAATGTGTGCCAACATTGAGATGTGACTGGCCAGCATCCACAGGGGTTATTCCCACTGTATATACCTGGGAGCTGAGTTTTACAAGAGTTCTAGATATTGTGGGAGAGCTGATGACAGGGTGTTTTTGGTCCTGCCACCTCTCATAGTGTCATGTAAGGGCTGCCTACATGAGGGAGTTGACTGTGGCACATCCTGTGTGACTAAGGTACCAGTGTAGGTTTGTGCCTGGCCGGAGGCTCCTGTTATGATGGTGAATAGTTAGAACAAGTGGAGGCGGAGTTACTCACTGTCCAAGGACATGACAGCAGGGGCAGCTACTGGGAAGGAACACAAAGACAGCTCATCTATGAATGTTATGGAGGCGTTGGGACACATTTTACAATAATCTAAAACAAATATAGAAGTTCCTAATATCTATTTGTGACACTCCTATAGTGGCCAACCATGGTGCCATGTAATGGTGTTTTTTTCTGATGATATTTATATATTTATTTTTATTTTTAATTATTATTATTATTTTTTGAGACAGGGTCTCACTCTGTTGCCCAGGCTGGAGTGCAGTGGTCCCATCAAGGCTCACTGCAGCCTCAACATCCCAAGTTTAAGTGATTTTCCCACCTCATCATCCCAAGTAGCTAGGACTACAGGCTTGTGCCGCCATGCCTGGCTAATTTTTAGTAGACATGGAGTTTCACCATGTTGTCCAGGCTGGTCTTAAACTCTTGGGCTCAAGTGATCTGCTTGCCTCAGCCTCCCAAAGTGCTGGGATTACAGGTGTAAGCCACCGCACCCAGCCTCTAATAATATTTATGAATTGTATTTTGGAATGGTTTTAGATTTACAGCAAAATGGCAAAGGTAGCACAGAGAGTTTCCATATGCCCCCCATCCTATTTTCCCCATTGTTAACATCATACATCAACTCAGCACCTTTGTCAAAACTAAGAAACCAACATTGGCACGTTGCTACTAATGAACTCCAGGCTTTATTTTGATTTCACCGGTTTCCCATTCATGCCCTCTTCCTGTTCCAGGTCCAATCTAAGATGCTGCATTGCACTAGGTTGTGTCTTCTTAGTCTTCCTTGGTCTCTGGCAATTTCAGTCTTCCTAGCTTTTCATTCGTTTGCCAGTTATGAGGAGTACTGATCAGGTGTGTTGTCCCTCACTTTGTGTGTGTGTGATGTTTTTGTTACAATTAGACTGGGGATATGGGTTTATGAAAAGAATATCACAGATGTGGGTGCTTTGTAATCACAGCATATTGGGGGGTACATGATACATAACATCACTGGGATGATAGCCTTGATCACTTATTAAGGTAATTTTATGTAATTGAGCTTTGATTACACAAGTTTGGCCCTAGGGATCTTGATATTTTTATATAGGTTTTTTTCTCCATCTTACATCCCTACTCTTACTCATGGAAGGGACATGGTACATAAGTACCAAACAGTAACATTGATAGTAGGGCAGGTCCTGTGTGGGGTCCAACAGAAGTCTTTCTCTTGTTCTTTCCCACGTTCTCCTTCCCACACTTTTCCTACCAGGTTCAATGCCGACAAGTGCCAAAATGCCTGCCCTGTCATCATAATATCAGCAGTCACTTTATTGAATATTTTAACGTGCCAGGAACTTTGCTTACATTGCCGCTTACCTCCAAAACCACCATCCAGGTACATATCACCATACCATCTTGCAGATCAAGAAACAGAGAAATGAAGTGAATGTCCCTAGGTCATACAGTGGGGATAGAAAAGCAGAAATTGGAACCCACATCTGTTTCACGCCAAAACCTGTGCTCTTTCTACCTCCATTGCTCATGGGCAGACCTGTGCAATGGGAAAAGGAGTAGCAGAAATTATGGATGTAATATTAACACAACAGCCTCTAGTAGCCCTATGGTTAGCCATGAGAGGAACAAGGAACTCTAGGGGACAGGTAGACGACAACTACTCAGAAAAAATGGACACTTTTTTCATAATAAAAAGAAGGGAGAAGAGAATGAGATGAGCTTTTCTGAATCATTATGGCTGTGGCAAGAAATATACAACCATCACCCTTATTATTTCTATTAGACATAGGGGCCGGGCACAGTGGCTCATGCCTGTAATCCCAGCACTTTGGGTGGCTGAGGCAGGTGGATCACGAGGTCAGGAGATCGAGACCATCCTGGCTAACATGGTGAAACCCCGTCTTTACTAAAAATACAAAAAATTAGCCAGGCATGGTGGCTCATGCCTGCAGTCCCAGCTACTCGGGAGGCTGAGGCAAGGAGAGTCGCTTGAACCTGGGAGGCAGAGGTTGCAGTGAGCCGAGATCACACCACTGCAGTCCAGCCTGGGTGACAGAGCGAGACTCCATCTTAAAAAAAAAAAAAAGACATAGGGAAAGATAGTGGCTAAGCTGAAAATTATGTGCTTATCACATAGTAGGAGGTGCTGAGTAAACTATGTTTTTTTGAATGGAGAATCATGATATATACAGGCTTTGTTTTTAGAACATATTGCTTTTTGCTTGGGGTTTGACAACAACAAACTGCATTTGAAACATTGCTAATTGTCGAGGTTTATGTTTGTCCCCTTTCTCTGCATTCTTCTTGTTCACAACTCTTAATGACCTGAGGCTGCCTGTCCACAGCTCTTCCTGGCTGTTCCACTCCTCTCTGGTCTCCTTTTGTCCGCAAATGTGAACTCATTCCTTCTTCTTCAGTCCCCAAGACATCACTGTCAGAAGCTTCTGTACATAACAATTTTCGTTTTTTTAAGACAAGAGTCTCGCTCAGTCACCTAGGCTGGAGTGCAGTGGTGCGATCTTGGCTCACTGCAACCTCCACCTCCCGGGCTCAAGTTATTCTCCCTCCTCAGCCTCCCAAGTAGCTGGGATTTGTGTGTAACAATCTTTACTAAAGGTATAGAGAAAGCAGAGGGGGATTATGTAGCTCCAAACAGGAAATCAGTTTCTTGGCACTTTTCTCTGTTGGGAGTTTCTCATTATGGAGGATTTCTTATTTGTCTTCTCCTTCCTTAGGTCTTGGTTTGTCATTACTTTGCTGGATCTGGTCTTTCCTCGAGTTCTAGGTTTTTAGTGAGCACATAGCCTGGCCCACTAAATGTTTGTTGACTAAATCAGCCCTGCCTTTCGTAACCATAAGAACTATTAGCACCACTCTTTAAAGAACCATTTACCTCTGGGTCCTACCATCAATAGCTCCGCTAATTGGCAGAGGCTCTTTTTTCCCCTCCTTCCCCTCTTTCTTCCCTCCCTTCCTCTCTCCCTCTTTCTTCCCTGTCTTCCTCCCTTCCTCCTTCCCTGCTCTTCCTCCCTCCCTCCCTCCCTCCCTTCCTTCCTTCCTTTTTTCTTCCTTCCTCCTTCCTTCCTTTCTTCCTCCCTCCCTCCCTCCCTCCCTCCCTTTTTTCTTCCTTCCTCCTTCCCTCCCTCCTCCTTCCTTCCTCTCTTTATCTATAGATTTTAAAATTTGTTTACATATAAGTACATAAATATGTTTGTCCAAATGGCATGCAACAGAAAATTAGCTCTATTTTTTCAACTTAGTGTCCAAGTATTTTAATACTGTGTGTTGAATAAACTTTATTTTCCAACTGATTTTTAAATTTATTTTTACTCATATACTGTTTCTAATATTTTTACAACTGTAAATCTCACTTTCTCTTTATTTTTAATTGAAATATATATACCATAAAATTCATGATTTTAGAGTGTATGATTCAATGGCTTTTAGTATATCCACAAGATTGTGCAATCACTAAATCCAGCACATTTTTAGAATTCCAAGAAGAAATCCTGTACCCATTAGTAGTCCTTCTCCACCCTGTACTTCCCTCAGTCCCTGACAACCACTGATCTACTTTCTGTCTTTATGGATTTGCCTCTTCTGGACATTTCATATAAATAGGATTATATAATAGGTGATATTTTGTGTCTGGTTTGAAAAGACTTTCTTTAATTCAGAAGCTTCACATGTCCCTCTCTGCGGTATTTGGTGTGAGTTGATAGCTTAAGGCCAGGATATCTGTGCTTCCCCCCTCCCCATTGACTGCCCCTTTTTAACCCCCAAATCTCTCCAGGTGGAAGGAGATGAGCAGCTCTAGACCACTGCAAGAGTCACACCTGCTTACCTCTTGCAATTTCATCCTTTTTTAGATCTTGTGTTGGGGAGGTGACTTGCGTCATTGCAGGGCTAGTACCCGATCATTTCACCAAGGAGATTGCTTAGTTTTATTTTTCATTTCTTTTCAGTAATAATAAATAAATCTTCTGTTATTGGTAAAAGCGTGCGATACAAATTCAGGGAAGAGTCATTTTCCTGGTGCTGAAATAGCAGCGAGAAACATGCTCATCTAGGCTGGGTTTAACTTTTGCATCACAAAAGCCTTTATTTCCTCACTTTCTCCTTTTCCAAATTAAAAAAAATTCAAACTGGAAATATTCCTTTTTAAAATTCAGCAGAATGTAAGAGCATTTCCAACCACAAAGCTACAAATTTCTTTTCCCCTTGCATTTCAAAGAGCTCTCAGGGATAGAGAATGGGCAATTTTGTTTTCTGAATGTTTCAGTGGAAGGAACAGGTCAAGGTACTATTTGTGTGTATTTTTTTTCAAACATTTATTTTTTTGCACTCTGTTGGAACCTCTTTGGAAACTCAGAGTAAAAACCAATTTGCTTCTCCAAGTCCATTTTCTTATGGTTGCTTCACAAATTGTAGCAACCGAGCCAAGTAATGACATAAGGCAGGAGTTTTCTGTGTCTGAAGATAAAATGATGCATTTGCTCCTAGTTCTTCTCGATGCCACCAAGTCTGGATGAAGAACCAGAAATAATGAAGAGAAAAACCTCTATGGTGTCTAAGCCATTTGTACATATTTCCTGGTTAAAAAAATTCCATTTTAGCCCTCTATAGTTGTATTTCTCTTATCAGTCACAAAACTGGGTGCCCTTGATCTCCCTCAACTCTGTTACAGGAAGGGAGTCTTGATCCAGACCCCCAGAGAGGGTTCTTGGATCTCGTGCAAGAAAGAATTCAGGGCGAGTCCATAGAGTAAAGTGAAAGCAAGTTTATTAGGAAAGTAAAGGAATAAAGAATGGCTGCTTCATAGACAGAGCAGCCCCGAGGGCTGCTGGTTGTGCATTTTTATGGTTACTTCTTGATGATATGCTAAACAAGGGGTGAATTATTCATGCCTCCCCTTTTTAGACCATATAGGGTAACTTCCTGACGTTGCCATGGCATTTGTGAACTGTCATGGTGCTGGTGGGAGTGTAGCAGTGAGGACGACCAGAGGTCACTCTCGTGACCATCTTGGTTTTGGTGGGTTTTGGCTGGCTTCTTTACTGCAACCTGCTTTATCAGCAAGGTGTTTATGAGCTGTATCTTGTGCTGACCTCCTATCTCCTCCTGTGACTTAGACTGCCTTAACTGTCTGGGAATGCAGCCCAGTAGGTCTCAGCCCCATTTTACCCAGCTCCTATTCAAGAGGAGTCGCTCTGGTTTAAATGCCTCTGACAACTCCACTTTCTTCCTTTGCCTGGCTCACTTTTGAGTCATCTGTTTTGAGTGTTGTGTTTCTGAGGGCATTGCCTTGGTGGTGTTATAGCAGGGAGTAGGGGCCTGCACTGTGAATAATGGTTAGGGGCTGGGATGCTGTGCAGCTGGACCTCTCAGCCTTCAGTGTGCGTCTGAACCACCTGTGGAGCTTGTTAGACTGCAGAGAGTCAGTTCTGAAGGTCTTGGTGAGGCCAATGCTGCTGGTCCGGAGCCTACACTTTGAACATAGAGGAAACAAATCTAGCCTTTTAAAACTCTGATTCAAAAGCAGGGGTATGAGGCCAGGCTTGGCAGCTCATGTGGGTAATCCCCGTGCTTTGGGAGCCTGAGGTGGGAGGATCACTAGAGGGCAGGAGTTCAAGATCAGCCTGGGCAACATAGTGAGACCCCTGTCTCTACAAAACTAAAATTTTTTTTAAAAAAGGAAACATTGCTATCCATCCCTTCACCAAAAGAAGTCTCTTTATTCACCAGGAAAACAGATTCTTTAAGAATTAAGGAGAAGAGTGAAAAGAAAAAAAAATTATGTGATATTTTATAGAAGCAGCCACTACCTCACAAGGCTCTCATTTCTACCTAAGTTCAACTTAAATCCAAAAAATAATAACTAAAAAGAAGCAGTGGCCGGGTGCGGTGGCTCACGTCTGTAATCCCAGCACTTTGGGAGGCCAAGGCGGGTGGATCATGAGGTCAGGAGATTGAGACCATCCTGGCCAACATGGTGAAACTGCGTCTCTACTAAAAATACAAAAATTAACTGGGCTTGGTGGCTTGTGCCTGTAATCCCAGCTACTCAGGAGGCTGAGGCAGGAGAATCCCTTGAACCAGGGAGTCAGAGGTTGCAGTGAGCTGAGATTGTGCCACTGCACTCCAGCCTGGTGACAGAGTAAGACTGTCTCAAAAAAAAAAAAAAAAAAAAAAAAAAAAAAGAAGCAGTGATGTGAGGAGTAAGCCCATTGTGGAATGCATCCCAGTGATGCGGGGGGAGGAACATCTTGCACTCAGAAATAGCCTCAGTGCTTGTTCTCTGTCCTTGCAGTGTGTGACCAGAGGTGGGGGCCAAAGGCTTTGCACTGGGACCATGAAGGAAGGTAAGATGGGCATTTTTGATGTAGTACAGTGTCCAAGCCTAATATTCTGATCTTCCCAGAAAGTCCGCGAGCTACCTGATATCCTTTAATATATTGCTTTTTTGTTTAAATGAGCCAGAATAAGTTTTGCCGTTTACAACTAAGAATATGGACCATTCTTGTATTCTAATTTGGGTCAATAGATATTTGTTACCAGGAGAACTAGGTGTCAAAGAATCCCAAGGCTTCATCCACCCAGAAAAAGAGTGCTAGGTTGCTCAGCAATGCCCACAGGGATACAGGTGGAGGGGATAGAAGCATTCCTGTTGTGCTTTTGTCATCCCTGCATGACAGGCTGGATTAGTTTCCTATTGCTGCTGTAATAAATGACCACAAGTTTAGCAGCTTAAAGCAACATCAATTTGTTCTCTCACAGTCCTGGAGGGAATTGTACAAAATGGTTGCCCAGGAATGCATTTTTTCTGGGGGCTGTACGAGAGACTCTGTTTCCTTGCATTTTTCAACTTCTAGAGGTCACCTGGATTTCCTGGTTTATAGCCCTTTCCTTCAGTTTCAAAGGCAACAATGTAGCAACTTCAAATCTCTCTCTGATTCTAATGTCTGTTTCTGTCATCACATCTCCTTTTCCAGCTTTGTCTCTCCTGCTTTCTTCCTATAAGGAGAAATTACCTTGGGTCCTCCGGAATAATCCAGAATATTCTCCACATGTCAAGGCCTATAACCTAATCACACCAGCAAAGTCCCTGTTGCCATGTAAGGTAACATATTCATAGGTTCTGGGGATGAGGATGTGCATATCTATGGGGGGGGCATAATTCTGTCTATCGCATGTCTATTAAGCAGTATTTTACACCCTTCGGTGGGTATTCTTAGCACATCCGTAGATACTCAGTTCATTTTAACTAAAGATTGATGCATTAATTTATAATGATAAAACTGTAGAGATCAGAGTACGAGAGCATTTTGTAGAGAGGAGCTCATCTTTCTAGTATTCCTAAAAATATTGATTATTATCCAGAGGTTGCTTGATGAGTTAGGAATCAGAAAAGAGGCAATTGGGTAATTGAAAGGGGGACACCTAATTTTGTGAAGCCCTAAGAAAATATTTCTATCCATAGAACAAACCTCCACTCTTACGCCTGGAGAGCTCATTTCCCTTAGTAGAGCAGGGATTGCCAAACTAAAGCCTACCGTCTGTTTTGATAAACACATCTGCAAAATTTATTGGGACACAGACACACCCATCTGTTTATGTGCTGTCACGACTGCCTTTGTGCTATAACAGTAGAGTTGAGTAGCAGTGATATGTGTGGACTGCAAAGACTGAAATATTTACCATCTGATCTTTATAGAAAATGTTTGCACACCTCATGGGATAAAGATTTACTAGATCAGTGATTCTCAAACTTTAGCATGTGTAAAAATCACCTGGAAGGCTTATTAAAATACAATCCCACCACCTCCCCCTCAGTTTCTTACTTAGTAGGTCTGGAACGGGGTCAGTGCTATTCTATGAAGTTCCCAGGTGGTGCTGATGATGCTGTCTGAGGACCACACCTTGGGAGCTGCTCTACTAAACTGAAAACTCCACAAAGTCAGGGGCCCCATCTAATTTGTTCACTGATACACATAGCACCCAATACAGCAGTTACAACAGTGTAGGCATGAAATACACAGAATGATAGCTAAATAAATAGCTGAATCTTTGTTTTTCTGGTAGAGCTAGATGAACATGGACACACTAAATATACTTTTTTATGCATGTGGTAGCAAAAACATCCTACCCCTCCTTCCTCCAAGATATCCATGTCCCTGTTCCAGTAATCTGTGACTAAGTGGCCTAACATAGCAAAATATATTTTGCAGATGTGTGCTGAGACCAGCTTGGTTGTGGAGACCCCAACCCAGCGGCACTAGAGGAATAAAGACACGGACAAAGAAATAGAGTGCAAAGTGGGATCAGGGGGCTAATGGCCTTCAGAGCTGAGAGCCTCGAACAGAGTTTGACCCACCTGTTTATTGACAGTAAGCCCGTGATAAACATTGTTTCTGCAGTTTATAGATTAACTAAAAGTATTCTTTACGGAGAACAAAGGGACAGATTCTGGCTTGTTATCTGCAGTAGAGACATGTCCTTAAGGCACAGATCGCTCATGCCATTGTTGTTTAGGAACGCCTTGAGCGGTTTTCCACCCTGGGTGGGCCAGGTGTTCCTTGCCCTCATTCCGGTAAACCAGCAATCTCCAGCATGAGCGCCATAGCCATCACAATCATGTCGCAGTGTTTCAGAGATCTTGTTTATGGCCAGTCTTGGGGTCTGTTCCCAGCAGATGTGATTAAGATTGTGGACCTTGATACGGGGAGATTACCGTGGATTATCTGGGCCAGCCTAATCTGATTACATGAGTCCTTAAAAGTGGACAACGTTTCCCTGTTGCAGTGAAACAGTGACGTTAAAGAGAAGGCAGGACTGATGAGATGGGACAAAGACTTAACCTGCAGTTGCAGGTTTGAAGATGAAAGGGATCGTGAGTCAAGGAGTGTTGGTCTCCAATTGCTGGGGGCACCCCCCAGCCAACAACCAGCAAAAAAAGTGGAGAGCTCAGCTCTACAACCACATGGACCTGAATTATGTCAACAGTAACAGTGAGCCTGGGATCTTATTATTAATATTTCCCAGACCCTTCAATAAAGGATCTGGCCTGCCAACACCTTGATTTTCACCTAAGGAGATTTATATTGAACTTCTGATCTACAGAACTGTGAGATAATAAGTTGGAATTCCCCTTCCCCCTTGCATATCCTTAGTTAAGACATCTTTCATCTGCTGAAGGCAAACAAGCCTCACTCAGAGAAGGACTCAGCTAATTTCTGTCAGGCACCAGCACTTCTAGAAGCTGGGGAAAGAGCCCCTCTGTCCTAGTGAGTGGAATCCAGGCAACACACCACAGTATCCGCTACTCTTATTGACTAAGTTATAAAACTTACAATTCTTTGTGTCCTTCAGATTGTCACAAAGTTGACCATGAAGTTTTCTCATTTTGCTGAATTCATAATTTAAAGGAACATTGGTTGACAAAAATAGATAACAACGTTATATAAAGCGGAATGGGATAGAAGAAAATTAAGTGCTCCAAGGACAGGTGGGCTATTTTGCCACTGGAACCTTTCTCTTTGAAACAGAGCAAGAAAATAACTCTTTATGTATGATCTGAACCATGGTAACATGAAGGTTTTCTCTGTTAGAAATGGCTTTTTTTTTTTTTTTAAAGTCAAGGCTTTTATGGAAAACATTGCTTTCAAAGAAAAAAGAGTGGGCCCTTGACTGACGATTAATAGTCTAGATTTTGCCTGAAAGGTGTCCTTACTTTTCTGAGAATTAAGATTTGTCCAGTGTGAGTCCTTCACGTGGGGGCTATAATGATGTCTTGACTTAATAGCCGGGTTGATGCATTCAGCATGAACATGCGATAGAGAACAATGTGTGATGACTGAGTGCAGGGCTTGCTTGCCGTCCTGTCCGTGAGAGGTTGCTGTGTGTTGGCATCTGCAGAACCTCTGCTCTAAACCCTTTGTTCCTCTGGTGCTTCTAAACTCGTCTGCACTTGTTGGCTTTTTTCCTTGAGCCATCAGTGGCATGTTTTTCTGGGTCAGGTGCCAGAAGTTGAGTTGTAGTCAATGGGTTAGAACTCAGTAGGTTGGCATGGATAATAGAATGGGTTAGGATGTTGGAATCGGTTAGAATGCTTTTGTTTTTGAAGTTTCTTGACCTTCCTGTGAATCAGACTTGAGTTTAAAAGCATCATTCCATTTATTATCCATTGAAGTAAGCATCCAATATATCTCATAACTAAGATGACTTAATTAGGAACACAATTTTCCTGTTTCATAGAAGATGAGTTTATGGGTTATTACCTGAAAGTGGAAAGAGAATAGAGAGATTGTAGCCAATGCTGAGTGTGATGAAACACCAAATGCTATTCATTTAATCACATGCCTGTAGGGTGAAAGTACATTTCCGGGAGGTTTTCCAGAAGTCAAAACGTAGTAGTCTTTCAAATCATTTATTGTAGCACTATAGTAGAGTCCAAATTGACTTTCTGTACAAAGTACAGACTTTATGTACAAGTACAAAGTTGACTTTCTGTATATACTTCAATATCATCTAACTGAACCCCTGCCTCTGTTAATTTATTTGGTCACTTGTCCCCTCATTCCTTCAGTTGTGCATGTGCTCATTCTTTGGCTGTGCATGCACTCATCACTGGTCATTTATTTATTTATTTTGTCTCTGCTATGAACTGAGTTGTATCCATACTCCCACCCCAATTCATATGTTAAAGTCCTAAATGTGTGACTGCATCTAGAGATAGAGTCTTTAGGAGGTAAGTAAGATTAAATGAGGTCATAAGAGTGGTCATAAGAGTCCTAATGCCATAGGACTGTGACCTTAAAAGAAGAGGAAGGAGATCACTTTCTCTCTCTCTCTCTCTCTCTCTCACTCTCTCTCTCTCTCCCTCTCTCTCTCTGTAACATATGAGGACACAGTGAGATGGTGGCCATTTGCAAGCCAGGAAGAGAGTGCTCACCAGAACCCAACCATATTTGATCCTTGATCTCTGCCTTCCAGCCTCCAAACCCAAGAGAAAATAAATTTCTGTTGTCTAAGCCTCCCAGGCTATGGTATTTTGTTAGAACAGCCTGAGCTGATGAATACAGAATCTGATTCAATCAATAAACATTTACCAAGTATGTCAGGCATCCTGTGAGATACTGGATGTGAAGTAACAGATGTGGTCAATCGGACATTCCTTGTTGGTTGCCTGCAAACAACTATGCTTTCTTGTTCCTGGCAGCAGAACCTAGACTTTGTGTTGGTGGCACTGTGGCAAACCCCAGGAGATAAATTAAGATTGATCTAGGCCTGCCATGGCAATCCTACTCCCTACTCTAAGGCTTCACCTTAGAGCCTCAGATTCTTTATCTATGAAATGGGATCAATAACCTATCCTTCTTAGGTTGTTGTGTGATAATTATGTTAAGTCCCAAATACAATGCTTGGCATATCGTTGATACTAAATTAATGGCTGAAAATGTTACCAGAAAGCGGACTTGATGCAGATCTCAAGAGAGGGTTCTTGGATCTCTTGCAAGAATTTGGGGTGAGTCCATAGAGTAAAGTGAAACAAGTTTACTAAGAAAGTAAAGAGGCTGGGCATAGTGGCTCACGCCTGTAATCCCAGCACTTTGGGAGGCCAAGGTGGGTGGATCCCCTGAGATGAGGAGTTTGAAACCAGCCTGGCCAACATGGTGAAACTCTGTCTCTACTAAAAATACAAAAATTAGCCAGATGTGGTGGCAGGCACCCATAATCCCAGCTACTCTGCAGGCTGAGGCCGGAGAATCCCTTGAACCTGTTAGAAATAAATTTTTGGTGCTGCAAAAGAAATAGCACTCGAACATAAATTAAATTTTCTCAGCGAGGCAATTTTACTTCTATAGAAGGGTGCAACTCGTGGATGGAGCAATGGCGAAAGCACACCTTGACAAGGGAGGGGAAGGAGTTTCTATTCCTGATGCAGGTAGCCCCTACTGCTGTGTCATTCCCCTATTGGCTAGGGTTGGACCACACAGTCTAAGCTAATTCCGATTGGCTGTTTTAAAGAGAGCAGAGGTATGAGTCCAGAGTGGCGGGGTAAGTAGTTTGGTGGGAAGGATGGTTACAGAACAGATGACTCAGGTCAGAGCAGGTGACCAGGAGTGACTCAGGATGGAGCAGGTGACTCAGGAAGGAGCAGATGATAGAAGCTAGGAGGGGATTGTTTACTGAAACTAGGGGCAAGGAGACAAAGAGAATGAGGAAGTTGAACTTTAAAATGAAGAACAAAGAACGGGGAGCTGAACATACGGATACATTGGTTCTTTGGAAAGGATCTCAGAACTCATTGTACTTAACAATTTAGAAGCTAAAACCTTTGAAGAGGAATTTATTATATCCTACAGACCCAAGAGGCGGAGGAGGTTGCAGTGAGCCGAGATTGCACCATTGCACTCCAGCCTGGGCAACCGAGTGAGACTTTGTCTCAAAAAACAAAAAACAAAAAAAAAAAAAGAAAGAAAGAAAGTAAAGAAACAAAAGAATGGCTACTCCATAGGCAGAGCAGCCCCAAGGGCTGCTGGTTGACTATTTTTTATGGTGATTTCTTGATTATATGCTAAACAAGGGGTGGATTATTCATGAGTTTTCTGGGAAAGGAGAGGAGATTTCCTGGAACTGAGGGTTCATCTCCCGTTTACATCACATAGGGTAACTTTCAGACATTGCCAGGGCATTTGTAAACTCTCATGGTGCTGGTGGGAGTGTCTTTCAGAAGCTAATGCCTTATAATTAACGTATGATAAGCAGTGAGGATGACCAGTGGTTATTTTCATTGCCATCTTAGTTTTGGCAGGTTTTGGCAGGTTTCTTTAGTATGTCCTATTTTATCACGGGGGGTTTGTGACCTGTATTTTGCACCAACCTCATGTCTCATCCTGTGACTAAGAATGCCTAACCCCCTGGGAATGCAGCCTAGTAGAGCTCAGCCTTATTTTACCCAGCCCCAATTTGAGATGCAGTTGCTCTGCTTCCAATGCCTCTGACAAAAGTGTAGATTCTGGGATCAAGTCATAAGAGTTAAATTTCCTGATCCCAGACATTTCCTAGCTGTGTGTCCTTGGGCAAGTGACTTGGCCTTGCTAAGCCTCAGTTACATTGTCTGTGAAACAAGAGTAACATTAATACAGGCTTTTGGAGGCAGTTGTGGGAATGAAACATGACAATCCTTATACAGGGCCTATAGAGGCCCAGTGCATGCTTAGTGCCAGGTAAGCTTGGTGAGGGCAGGGACCTTCCCTGCCTTGGTCACTTGTCAGATACAGTCAGCTCCTCTTCAAAAGTTTGGCATGTTAACTTCCTTGTTCTTCATGTCTCCTTGCCCCTGGTTGCAGTAAACAACCTTCCTACCGGTCCTAATCTATAGTCCACATCTGTTTCTTGCTCGTTTCCCTTAGTCACTCACTCTGCAGATTACCCCTCCAGCCATAATGGCTCTTCCCGCCAAAACTGCCCTTCCTGCCAGTGTAACCCCCTCCCTGCACACTTCAAATTAGCCAGCTGGGACCAGTTTAGATTGTGTGGTCCAGCTCCAACCAATGGAGACAGGACACAGTAGTAGAAACCCATTGCATTAGGAATAAAACCCCCTGCTTTCCTTTGTTCTGTGTGCTCTCGTGGTGATCAGATCTGCGAACAGCACCCTTTCTGCAGAAAGCAAACTTGCCTTGCTGAGGAACTCTTTGTTTGCATGCTCAGTTTCTTTATGACTCTGAGCTTTATCTCCAACACCACTCCTGCAATTCCAAGGTCACCAAATGAATTAATGAATGAACAAGGAAGTGAAAATTGAATTAAAATAATACAGTGGTCTCTGAATAAAACCCAAGCACATAGTTGTCAGCTTTGAGTCTCTGTTTAAAAATTATAAGAAGATTGTGAGAGGAAAATAAATTTCAGGACCACAAAATCACTAA
Organism: Homo sapiens; assembly: GCF_000001405.40. NCBI lineage: Eukaryota > Metazoa > Chordata > Mammalia > Primates > Hominidae > Homo > Homo sapiens. Next base: position 56,219,569 of record NC_000020.11, on the reverse strand, counting down.
GCCAAAGGGAAAAGACAAGCTGGGAACTGTGGGGGCAAATCTGCCTCCCATTCTATCCTAAATATGGTAGCTACAAAGATAAAAAAGCTACATACCTCCCTCACAATTTGCCCACCAGGAAATTCCTTATGGAAAAAGGACAGACAGAACTCAAAGTCATCCCTCTGCTCTGGTGAGACAAATGCATATCTGATTGCTTCCTTTGCCCTATTGTCTCACTAAGCCAGACTAAGGCATAAGTAATGATTCTTATAAATTGTGTATTCAGTGAAAGGCTAATCAGAAGCTCAAAAGAGGCTAGGCACAGTGGCTTACACCTGTAATCTCAGCACTTTGGGAGGCTGAGGCAGGTGAATCATCTGAGGTCAGAAGTTCGAGACCAGCCTGGGCAACCTGGTGAAACCCCATCTCTACTAAAAATACAAAAATTAGCTGGGTGTGGTGGCACACACCTGTAGTCCCAGCTACTCAGGAGGCTGAGGAGGCAGAATTGCTTGAACCCAGGAGGTGGTGGTTGCAGTGAGCTGAGATCATGCCACTGCACTCCAGCCTGTGTGACAGAGCTAGACTCTGTCTTGGGAAGGAAAAAAAAAAAAAATGAAACCCAGAAGAATGCAACTCTTTGTCTCTTATCTACCTATGACTTGGAAGCACCCTCTCTGCTTAGAGTTGTCCCACTTCTCCTGACTGAACCAATGTACATCTTACATATATTGATTGATATCTCATGTCTCCCTAAAATGTATAAAACCAAGCTGTGCCCTGACCACCTTGGGCACATGTCCTCTGGACCTCCTGTGGCTGTTTAACAAGAGCATATTTAACCTTGGCAATATAAACTCTCCAGGTTGATGGAGAACTGTCTCAGATAGTTTTTGGTCTACAGGATCAAGGCCAATGTTCTTAAGTGGAGTCTGTTTTGCCCCAGGGGACATGTGGCAATGTCTGGAGACATTTTGGTTGTCATTCCTGGGGGCTGCTACTGACATCTATTGGGTAGAAGCCAGTGATGCTGCATGCTACAATGCACTGATCCCCTCAAGAAAGAATTATCCAGTCCCAAATGGCAATAGGGCTGAGGTTGAAAAGTCCTGTTCTAGACGCAGAGTTATTTTTGGTCCCTTAGGGTTTATTAAATAATCAAATAATCTGGTGTTGGGTGAGTTAATCAGACCCATAAATTCCTGGTTATAACTAACATTTTCTCAAACTATAAAAACAGGTAGCTGGTATCTATAGGTCCCCAAGGCTCCTGTGTTTCTTCTTTGACTTACAAATTTTCCATATGCCCTGGTGGTAATTTACTGGCTCAATTTTGCCTCGGATCAAATACCCCTTTAGGCATGGGATTTGCTGTAATTAAAACCCAAGCAGATTGAAACTTTATCCTTTGAGAAGAAGCTCATGAGATGAATAATTTATACTTTCCAATGAACCATCACCCCCCTGTGGTTTTCCTTTTCGCATTTGCTATTCCCTCTTATCCAGTGCTTCTCTTGCTCCTTTATTTCCCAGTCTCCACTGATTGCTAAATTGTTGAAGAGCAGCAGGGGAGGTGCCTCCAAGCCCAGAGAATCCTCTGGCTGTGGGGAACATCAAGAAGATATGCCACTGAGTGACACCATCGCTGACAACCCCTTTACATGCAGGGACTGCAAAAGAAACAGAATGCAAGAAGTTGCCTTTAAATTTTAAATGATGCTTAGAATGAAGGGAATAAAGTAATGAGCATGTTTCAATTCCTCAAATACTTTCTCAACATTAATCTAGAACAAATCAACTCACTGTGGCAGAGGCTGCTAGTCTGCCTTTCCCAACATCTACTCTCTTTTATTCTGTAGTAATGTTACCGGAAAAAGGTCCCAATACAGACCCCAAGGGAGGGTTCTTGAACCTTGTGCAAGGAAGAATTCAAGGTGAGTTCACAGATTAAAATGAAAGCAAGCTCATTAAGAAAATGAAAGAATAAAAGAATAGCTACTCCATAGGCAGAGCAGCAGCATGGGCTGCTTGACTGAGTATACTTATAGATATTTCTTGATTATATGCTAAACAAGGGGTGGATTATTCATGAGTTTTCCAGGAAAGGGGTGGGAAATTCTTGGCACTGAGGGTTTCTCTCCTTTTTAGACCATGTAGGGTAAGTTCCTGACATTGCCATGGCATTTGTAAACTGTCATGGTGCTAGCGGGAATGTCTCTTAGCATGCTAATTCATTATAACTAACGTGTGATGAGCAGTGAGGACAACCAGAGGTCACTTTCATTGCCATCTTGGTTTTGGTGGGTTTTGGCAGGCTTCTTTACTGCATCCTCTTTTATCTGCAAGGTCTTTGTGACCTGTATCTTATGCTGAGCTCCTATCTCATTCGATGACTAAGAATGTCTAACCTCTTGGGAATGTAGCCCAGTAGAGCTCAGCCTTATTTTACTCAGCCCCAATTCAAGATGGAGTCACTCTAGTTCAAACGCCTTTGACAGTAATAGCAAAATTACATATGGCTACTCAGAGTTAATACTCCATTTCTCAGTCTCCCTTGCAGCTAGATATGTTTGTGTGGCTAGATTCTGGACACTTAAGATAGGAGTGGAAATTTTGTGTGGCAGCTTCCAGCAACAGTTCCTAAAACAGAGCTGATGAATGGCCTTACCCCTGCACTCTGTCCTTTCTTCCATCCTGCTACCTGAAGATACCTGTGATGGCTGGAGCTCTAATCATTATTTTGGACCACGAGGACTAGGGCTACACTCAAGGGGTAACAACCTGGAAACAACTTGGGTGTATGAGAACTTACTGCCCAGAACCACCTTCTCAACCCTGGTCTGGCTATATTTGAACTTTTACTTGAAAACAAGAAACTATATATTTTTTCTTTTATTTTCTGTTTTTTGTTTTTTTGTTTTTTGACGGAGTCTTGCTCTGTCACCAGGCTGGAATGCAGTGGTGCAATCTCAGCTCACTGCCACCTCCGCCTCCCAGGTTGAAGCGGTTCCCCTGCCTCAGCCTCCCGAGTAGCTGGGACTACAGCCATGCACTGCCATGCCCAGCTAATTGTTTGGGGGTTTCACCACGTTGGCAGGATGGTCTTGAACTCCTGAGCTCATGATCCACCCACCTCAGCCTCCCAATGTGCTGGGATTACAGGCGTGAGCCACCGTGCCTGGCTGAAAATTCTATTTCTTTTTAAAGCCACCATTGTCTTGTCAATGAGAAGAGTCAAACTCTGTAAAATATTTGAAGAGATTTATTCTGAGCCAAATATGAATGACCATGGCCCATGACACAGCCCTCAGGAGATCCTGGGAACCAGTGCCTAAGGTGGTTGGGTTACAGCTTGGTTTTATATATTTCAGGGAGACATGAGACATCAATCAAATACACTTAAGAAGTACATTGGTTTCATTCAGAAAGGCGGGACAACTCAAAGCGGGGGCTTCCAGGCTGTAGGTAAATTTAAACATTTTCTGGCTAACAATTGGTTGAATTTATCTGAAGACCTGGGATAAAAGGAAATGTTTAGGTTAAGATAAAGGATTGTGGAGACCAAGTTTTATTATGCAGAGGAAACTCAGATAGTCAGCCTTCAGAGAGAGAGAGAGCAGGTTGTAAAATGTTTCTTATCAGACCTAAAAGGGTACCTGGCTCTTAGTTGATTATCTCCTGGATCTGGAAAGGAAGGAAAACAAAGGGGAAAGGGGATTCTCTATAGACTGTGAATTTTTCCCACAAGAGACTTTGCAGGGCAATTTCGAGGTATGGCAGGGAAATATATTTTGGGATAAAACATTTTGATTTTCTTCCTTATCTCATAATGTTATGCCAGGGTCAGATTGGAAAGTAAGCCATGATATATGGGGTTAAATAAAACCCATCTGATGAGAATTTATGGTTTGTAGGGAATAACTCCCTCGAGTTCCTAGATAGGAATTTGGGCAAGATAAAAAAAAATCAGAGCTTAGTCCTCAGTCTTCAGAAAAATGTCATCCTAACTGATGCCTAGACCAAGAGAATGCAGCCACAGCTTTCATCTTGATTTCTGTACTTGAGAATATGTTTTCTTCCATGGAAACTCTTCTAAATTCATAAAGTGGACTTCACAGAGGCTTGAGAGTGTTGCCCAAGAAAAGTGCCTTTGAGATGACAGAGAATGGGGAGATTTTTAGCTTAATGAATAGTAGGCACTCAAAAATGTGCTAAGTCAGTGCATGATGTAGGATGCTGCAAATAAACATTTATTGAGCATCTGCCATAAGCCAGGGACTCTGCGAGGCTCAGGCCAGAGGGGTCACGAACAGAAAAGTAAATTCTGGGTCAGTGGCCTTAAGAACACTGAGATAAATGGGAGAGAAGAGCTTGTAAGCAAAGAATCACAACTTGGGATGATGAGCATGGCAGGATGTTTTGAAATCTTAACCAGTTCCTGTTTTCTACCTCTCTCAATACTTGAGCTGAGGTGATGTGACTGCCGCAGGTAGTCCCAATATCCAGACTGCCCTGTCATGGAACAGTGCACTTTGTAGTTGGACCCACGGTTTTCCAGCTTAAGATGTTTTCTAGCCAACTTGGCGGCTTTAGGGAGACTGGAGAAAAAACAGAATGTAAGAAGTTGCTTCAAAGTTTTAAATGATGCTCAGATAGAAGGGAATACAGTAAAGAGTACATTTCAACTCATTCTACGGATGGAATGAGGAGGAAGTGAGGAGCCAGTCTGCACACTGGACTCTTGAGAGGAATACCCTCCCTTTTCCCCTTTTCCTTCTTCCTGGTGATGGGAAGGAGAATGGGATGGCGGGGGCTCTTGAAACAGTCTTGGATAATAAGTTAGAAGCTGTGTGTTGATGCTGGCAGAATGACAAATGAGAAACCATCCTAGCATTGTTCCGACAGTTGTGGAGCTACCATACCAGCTCTGAGCTGCCTACCTTCCCCACCACCTTTTTTTTTTTTTTTTTTTTTTTTTTTTTAAAAAGGTAGGCTCTTGCTCTGTCACCCAGCCTGGAGTGCAGAGGTGTGATCATAGCTCACTGTAGCTTCAAACTCCTGGGTTCAAGAGATCCTTCCACCTCAGCCAGAGTAGCTAAGACTACAGGTGTGTGCCACCACACTTAGCTAATTGCAATTATATGTATATATTTTTTGGTAGAGATCTGGTCTTGCTATGTTGCCCAGGCTGGTCTCAAACTCGTGGCCTCAAGTGATCCTTCTGCCTCAGGCTCCCAAAGTGCTGGGATTACAGGCGTGAGCCACTGTGCCAGGCTTCTCCCTGCATTTTCACATGGGAAAAAAGAAACCTCTCTCTTTCATATGCCACTGCTATTTTGGATCTCTGGGTCCAGCAGCTAAACCTGTATGCAATTAAATATGCTCAACTCCTGTGTCCTTATCCCTCAGCTACACTGATCCCAGTGAGGGAGTAGAGACATGGTAAATATCAAAGATGACCTTGGTGTGTCTGAGACCAGAGATACGCTTGTTCCCTATCCCTTGGCAAAGCCTGGGGATATGGTCCTACAATGCATAGGAGTAAAAGCATGCCGGTCCGGCTCATCTAGGCTTTTGTGCCTTGGACACCCTCACAGTGTTTCCTGAGGCCTCCGCAGGGTTAAGAGGCATCAGGATGATTTTGTGGGACCAGAGGGGTTCAGCAGCAGATCTTCCACAGCCTGGAGAGGACAGGGAGCAGGAGTATTTCCCAGGAGCCCAAGCTAGTGTTAGGAGTTGGGGAGGAGGCAGCATGGTGGACTGCCGCACGTGGTGAAGTTGGACCGTGACACTAGGTCCAGGCATTCCCTGCCTGGATGTTTGATGTCACAGAAGCCTCCAGAATATAGAAGTCACCTTGAGGAAGGAGGCGGCTACCAACTGATAGAAATTTAGTTTCTAACACTGGATGGAATGAAGCCTAGAAACAGAACCTTTGAGTGATGCACAAAATTATGTATCTTTAATAGTCTGTGTTTGCAGACTGAAATGCATACCTGCTCCAAGTGCAAGAATGATTAACCTGGAGAGGCGTCACAGAAGGAGCAGTGTATTGCTTATGTCACCTGGGGGTTGGGATGAGTGAAACTTGTTTTTTTGTTTCTTGGTTGGTTGGTTGGTTTTACTCAAAATGTATTTGTCCAGACATTTTCCTTCAGAATTATGTGATCATTATGAGTGAGACTGGACACAGATTCCTTTGGTTCAGCTCTCATTGCTGCCATTTATTAACTCTGTGGCATTGGGCTAGTTTAACTTAACCTTTTGAGGGTTTAGTTTTGTAATCTTTAAAATGGAGGTTATAACAGTGGTTATTTACTGAGCTGTTATTAAGTTTGATTAAACAATGTGTATTAGAATTTATCATGGTGCTTGCACGTAGTAAGCATTTGATTGGTGTTTGCTATTGTTATTATTATCTAATACTAAAAAAGATCATGTCTCTCCTTGTATGGACTGTATTAGAAATAGTATTTTATTTGGCTGGGCGTGGTGGCTCATGCCTGTAATCCCAGCACTTTGGGAGGCCGAGGTAGGCAGATCACAAGGTCAGGAAATCGAGACCATCCTGGCTAACATGGTGAAACTCTGTCTCTACTGAAAATACAAAAAATTAGCTGGGTGTGGTGGCACGTGCCTGTAGTCCCAGCTACTCAGGAGGCTGAGGCAGGAGACTCGCTTGAACCTGGGAGGTGGAGGTCGCAGTGAGCTGAGATCATGCCACTGCACTCCAGCCTGGGTGACAGAGTGAGACTCTGTCTCAAAAAAAAAAAAAAAAAAAAAAAGAAAGAAAAGAAACAATGTTTTGTAGGGAAAAGAAAGAGAGTTCAGACTGTTACTGTGTCTATGTAGAAAAGGAAGACATAAGAAACTCCATTTTGATCTGTACCCTGAACAATTGTTTTGCCCTGAGATGCCGTTAATTTGTAACTTTAGCCCCAACCTTGAGCTCACAGAAACATGTGTTGTATGGAATCAAGGTTTAAGGATCTAGGGCTGTGCAGGATGTGCCTTGTTAACAATATGTTTACAGGCAGTATGCTTGGTAAAAGTCATCGCCATTCTCCATTCTCCATTAACCGGGGGCACAATGCACTGCGGAAAGCCGCAGGGACCTCTGCCCACGAAAACCTGGGTATTGTCCAAGGTTTCTCCCCATTGAGAGAGGCTGAGATATGGCCTCATGGGAAGGGAAAGACCTGACCATCCCTCAGCCCAACACCCGTAAAGTGTCTCTGCTGAGGAGGATTAGTAAAAGAGGAAGGCCTCTTGCGGTTGAGATAAGAGGAAGGCCTCTGTCTCCTGCATGCCCCTGGGAACGGAATGTCTCGGTATAAAACCTGATTGTACATTCGTTCTATACTGAGATAGAAGAAAACCACCCTGTGTCTGGAGGCGAGATATGCTGGTGATAATTCTGCTCTGTTACTCTTTACTACACTGAGATGTTTGGGTGGAGGGAAGCATAAATCTGGCCTACATGCACATCCAGGCACAGTCCCTTCCCTTGAACTTATTTGTGACACAGATTCCTTTGCTCACATGTTTTTTTTGCTGACCATCTCCCCACTATCACCCTGTTCTCCTGCCGCATTCCCCTTGCTGAGATAGTGAACATAGTAATCAATAAATACTGAGGGAACTCAGAGACCGGGGCTGGGGTGGGTCTTCCATATGCTGAGCGCTGGTCTCCTGGGCCCACTGTTCTTTCCCTATACTTTGTCTCTGTGTCTTATTTCTTTTCTCAGTCTCTCTTCCCACCTGATGAGAAATACCCGCAGGTGTGGAGGAGCAGGCCACCTCTTCAGTATTTTATTTATATGTTTATTTATATTTTATTTAAGCATTTGTACTATGACTCTTTTCCAAAAGGATTGGAAGTTTAGCCAATATAGGCCTGCATTACTCTGCTAGGGCTGTTATAACAAAACACCACAGTCTGGGTGGCTTAAACAACAGAAATTGATTTTCTCATAGTTTTGGAGGCTGGAAGTCCAAGATCCAAGCGTTGTCATGAGTGGTTTCTGCTGGGTAGGATGTCAGGGCCCTGGCAATGGAAAGTGGTTGGCTTGCAGGTGGCAGGAAGAATTTACCAACAACAGTACAGGTTTGAAAAGGAAAGTTTTATGTGATAGAAAGAATAGAAAGAACCCTTCAGCAGAGTGGAGTGGGGCACTTCAGCAAGAGAGGACTGAGCGCCCTGCGGTGGATTTTCCTTAGGGCTGTTTATGGACCTTAAAGCAGGAGCCTAAAGGTAATTTGGACCATATTCAGCACGTAGGTTATGATAAATGGTTACATTTTCAGACATTTTGGTGCCTTGACCTCAGTAAGGGTTGCGCAATGGGTTTTGACATGCCTGCATTCTGGAGATGTATAGAAATTCTAGTTACTTATAAAGTTTTGGGAAAGAAGCCTGGTACTGAGGCAGGAGAATAGGGTCTGGAGGCAGAGAATCTAAGGACCTCCTAGAACTAAATCAAATGGAAACACTTCAGCTATGACAGGAAATATCCTCGCCATTTACATAGGGTGTACACTGAGTAAATGATTTTGTAACCTTACTTCATCCTCTTCATTTACATAGAGCATATACCCAGTAACCAGTGGAAACCTCTAGAGGGTATTTAAACCCCAAAAAATTCTGTAACGGGGCTATGCTCAGGCCCATTTTCACTCTGTGGGGTGGGTGTACTTTCGTTTCAATACATCTCTGCTTTTGTTGCTTCATTCTTTCCATGCTTTGTTTGTGTGTTTTGTCCAGTTCTTTGTTCAAGACACCAAGAACCTGGACACCCTTCACTGGGTACAGTACCAGATGCTGGCTTTTGCTAATAGGGAAGTCTAATTACTTCTGAATTCCTCAGACAGGGAGTTTTGCCTCTGGCTGGTCTGCTGGATATTTGCTCTCCTCAGTTTCTTCTGAGGCCTCTCTCCTTGGCTTGTAGATGGCCACCTTCTGGCCATGTCCTCCCCTGGTCTTTTGTATGTGCCTGCATATCCTTGGTGTCTCTCTGTGTGTTCACATTTCTTCTTCTTGTGAGGACTTGAGTCAGGTTGGATGAGGGCCCCCCTTAACGACCTCATTTTTACTTAATCACCTCTTTAAAGGCCTAATCTCCCAATACATTCACATTCTGAGGTCCTGGGAGTCGGGGCTTCAGCATAGGAATTTTGAGGGGACACAATTCACCAAAAATAAAATTGTGAGCTCCCCATCCAATTGAACAGATGCTCCTCCTGGCCAAGGGGACTCCAGGGAAACCTGAAAAAGGGAATTCCTGGTCGTGATAGGAAGGGAGGTCAGACATCCCATTATTCCCCCTCTCTTTTGGGGTTTAGGTACCACTGACCAACATTCAGAGATGATCAGACTGACAATGCAGACTCTTTGGCAATAAGATACCAAATTCCTTTCTGGGATAGCATCATATGACAGATAGCAGGACCTGAAAGAAATAAAAACATTTCACTCCAAAATATATTGTATCGTCATATTTTGAAATGGCTCTCACAGGGCCAATAGATTGAAATGACTTTGCAAAGCTGTCTTTTGTGGAGGAAATTTACATCTGTATAGAATCTCCACTAATGCAACCAAGCTTTCCCTTTCTAGGTCTTTCCCTGGATCTAGGAGAGTTTAACTGAAAGCTTCACACCTTTAAGTTCTGAAAAGAGACATTTACCATCTCTTCTCTCCACAAGCTGCTAAGTCTGAGACTTCATCTACATAATAAGAACCTTGGCCTCCACGACCTCCTTAACTTAACTCAATCATTTTTTTTTTTTACCGACTTCAAGTCTTTAGGCAAAGCTTAACTCTTTCAACCAATTGCTAATCAGAAAATCTTTAAATCTACCTATGACCTTCAAGCCACCCCTTCCCCCACTCCTTATTCCACTTGTTTAGGCTGAATATAACATGTATTGATTTATGATTTTATCTATAATTTCTGTCTCCCTAAAATGTGTAAAACCAAACTGTAACCCAACTGCCTTGCACACACTTCCTCAGGACCTCTTGAGACTGTTTCCCATTCCATGTCACTCATATTAGCTCACAATAAACCTCTTTAAAATATTTTCCAGAATTTGATTGTTCTATTAATGTGCCAATAACAACAGTTTTGCAATAATATTAAATGTGGCTTATTTGTATCAAGTTCTGACAGGTGCTCCAAAGACCGGGCCAGTTTGTGAGATCACCTTAGTGATGGTGAATGGGTTCTGCTCCAGCTTCCTCATCGGCCTCCAAGCTGTAACAGAGATGCTAAGAATCCTTGGGAGGTGAAGAGACAGGCAGTGCAGGTGCCTTTGGAGAGGATGGTTGTTGTGTCTCCACCACATCTCAAGGCGATGGAGGCATTTCAGAGATTGACGAAAGTTTCCAGGAGTTTGAAGGATTTGGGACTGATGCCTGGATCCTTGTTTGAAAGTGCAAGAGTCCACAGCTGTGGCTGGCTAGGCAGAAGGTGGAGGGTTGGGTGGAACCTGGCTGCAATGAGGTTGATGGCGTGAAGCAGTGTGGGTTTCCTGTTGGTCGTCTGCACATCTCGGGGTGTCTCAATCTTGGCACTATGGGTGTTTGTAAGCTGGAGAATTCTGTGTGTGTGGTGAGTGGCGGTGGCGGGGCGGGGGGCTTGTAAGCTGGAAAATTCTGTGTGTGTGGTGAGTGGCGGTGGCGGGGCGGGGGGCTTGTAAGCTGGAAAATTCTGTGTGTGTGGTGAGTGGTGGTGGCGGGGCGGGGGGCTGTGTTATTTAACAGCATCCCTGGCCTCCACCCACTAGATGCCAGGATCACCCCCACCTGTTGTGACAACTCAAAATATCTCCAGATGTGACAAACATCCCCTGGAGGCAGAATGATCCTGGATTAGAAACACTAGTATATTCCATGAAAGTGGGCTAGACCAGGGGGACTTGGGATGGACTTTGGACAAGAGGACCACTTGGGGAGGGGAGTGGGGAAGTGATTCTGTTACCAGAAGTGGGGTCCCCATCCAGTGCCCAAGGGTTCTTGGATCTTGCACAAGAAAGAATTTGGGGCGAGTCTATAAGGTGAGAGCAAGTTTATTAAGACAGTAAAGGAATAAAAGAACGGCTACTCCATAGACAAAGCAGCAGCATGGGCTGCTTGACTGAGTATGCTTCTGGTTATTTCTTGATTATATGCTAAACAAGGGGTGGACTATTCATGAGTTTTCTGGGAAAGAGGTGGAGATTTCCCAGAACTGAGGATCCCTCCCCCTTTTAGACCATATAGAGCAATTTCTGGACATTGCCATGGCATTTGTAAACTGTCATGGTGTGGGTGGGAGTGTCTTTTAGCATGCTAATGCATTATAATGAACATATAATGAGCAGTGAGGATGACTAGAGGTCACTTTTATCACCATGTTAGTTTTGGCAGGTTTTGGCTGGCTTCTTTACTGCATTCTGTTTTATCACCAGGGTCTTTGTGACCTATATTTTGTGATACTAATCCTGCCAACCTCTTATCTCCTCCTGTGGCTTAGAATGCCTAACCTCCTGGGAATGCAGACCAGCAAGTGTCAGCCTTGTTTTACCCAGCCCCTATTCAAGATGAGTTGCCCTGCTTTGAATGCCTCTAACAATTCTCTAAAGGGGAGGACCACTCGGGTTCACTGAAGCCCAGGAGGAGAGCTGTGTGGTCAACCAGAGTAGGAGGAAGGCACCACTCACGTCCAGGGCAGTGCAGGGAGAGCTCTCCAGGGAGGGAGTTGGGTTGGGGAAGAGGGAGTCCCTGAAGGACCCACTCTATGAGGAGATGACTCGGCATCTGGAATCTGCCTCCCCCAGCAGGTACCAAGGCCAAAATAAAAGTGTAATAATCCTGTGAGATGTCTCCACCCTTCTTCAAGTGAGGGAGGAGCCAGGACAAGTCGAGGGAGGAACTGGACAAAGTCATGTGACTGCCAAGCAGCAGACAGGCCCAGCCCAGAAGGAAGAGACATTTCCATTGGCTTCAATTATTATTTAAAATTAGGACTGACTGGGTCTTTTATTATCCAAGTAGGACAGAAAGAATTTTGGAGCCTGTTTTAAGTTTCATTTAGGGACGGGGAGAATGTATTCAACAGAAGGAATTAAAGAAGTTGTAAAAGAGAATACATTTGCTTTGCTGCCTATACTCTGCTGAGCTCTTTCAATAAACGGTGTCAGGAGAAATCGCAAAAGACTCTGAAATGGACCAAAAAAACAAGTCCTGTCTAGAACACTCCACTCCTCTGGGTTACTTGTGCCTTTTATTGCCTTTGAGCTGTTTTTTTTTTTTTTTTTTTTTTTTTTACTAATAGTTAATTTGAGTTACTTAACTCTGTAAGTTGTAGAAAGTTGAGAGACATGCAAATGAATTTTGTCCAGTGAAGCACAATTAATTATCGCCCTGGGGATAGAGACTATTTTTATGTCTATTGGTGAGGTCTGTGCATGTTCTTTCAATTCTCCTTGAAACAGTGATCCCATCTTATTAGTTCCCTCATTAACTAATGAGTTAAGTAAATCTTTGATCACACATTCCTTTTATATTTGTGTAAAAGTCATGATTTTGCTTGTTGAGACAAATGATCCTTTAACAATTCATGGCATTTTAGGTTAACCTGGGTTCTGAGATTTTTGTTTTCATATTCATTGCCTTAGGCTGCAAGCTGAGATCCCAAAGTGCCTACGCTTAAATATAGCTGTTTGAACAAACTATATACTTAAAAAGTGCCATTGTTCTTGAGAAAGTGGCTTATTGAGGGTCCCTCAGATGCCTGCAGTTGATGTATGCAGCGATGACTTGCACCGGGAAGGACGGGTTCGCCAAAAGGCACCATGACTTGGTTTTGTCCTCACCAATTTTTTCCTAAAATAACATTTGTGCACATTTACTTGCTTATTTTTTTAACTGGATCTCCTCGCTTCAACTCTTCTCAGAAAAGGGTTTTACCACAGGGATGCTGTCATCTTCATGGGTCTCAGAAAATTGAGGCCAAGCCTATTGGGCACTTGGCCTCTGGAACAAGCAGCAGGACATAGGAAAATCCATTTGACATCCTGCTGGTACCTCAGCTTGACCCCAGTGAGATGCCAGCCATTAGAGTGTGTGGTTAAAACCCAGGAACCCAGCAACGTGGGCTTGTAATTGGTTGTAGATTTTTGTTCTAAGTAGCCAATTAACTCAGTAATTCATGCTAGGGACCTCTTGAAATGACAGCCTGAATTTTACTGGAGCCTGTAATTTGTGTATTATTTTTAAAAGGAAAGACATTTGTAGTTGGCAGATTCCTTCCCTTATCAATTACCATGTAACCCCCTTCTTTTTTTTTAAAAAAGCCCAAACATGCTATGGGGTGGAAAGGAGGTGATTCCTTTTCTCTCCATCAAAAGGCCCACGGCCAACACTCCCATAACAAATTTATGTGATTGTAGCTTTACGTGACACAGAAAAAAGACCCATAGACCTAGTGTGATTGTTAATACTGAGTGGCAATTTGATTGGATTGAAGGATCCAAAGTATTGATCCTGGGTATGTCTGTAAGGGTGTTGCCAAAGTAGATGAACATTTGAGTTAATGGACTAGGAAAGGCAGACCCATCCCTAATCTGGGTGGGCATAATCTAATCAGCTGCCAGCATGGCTAGAATACAAGCAGGCAGAAAAATGTGAAAAGAGAGACTGGCCTAGCCTCCCAGCCTACATCTTTCTCCGGTGCTGGATGCTTCCTGCCCTTGAACATCGGACTCCAAGTTCTTCAGTTTTGGGACTTGGACTGGCTCTCCTTGATCCTCAGCCTGGAGAGGGGTTACTGTGGGATCTTGTGATGGTGTGAGTTAATACTTAAGAAACTCCCCCTTATAGATATATACTTATTCCATTAGTTCTGTCCCTCTAGAGAACCCTGACTAATATACCTAAGTTGAATTATTCATTTTTCTGCTTAGGTTTGATGAAGCAGGGACAGAGTGTAGAAATGTGATTGGACAAGAAGGGCCTGATCTAATGCCAGTAGACTGCATGGGAAAATCCAGCAAGGCCTGTCTGTGCAGATTCTTCTTGGCATCTGTGCAGCATTCCTTCCGCCAGAGTACAGGGTAGAACCCTTCTGAAATGAGGGTCTTAATTTCTCCATGGCGGTTACACAGAAAAGGAAGTTTGGCATAACATTTTCGGTTTTATGGCTGGCTTTGGAGAAAAGGGGCTCTGGTTTCTATGACCTGCCCTGGAGAAGAGGAATTCTAGCTTATATGGCTTATCTCAACAACCCTACCTGGAAATAGATTTAAATGAATAAACTCCAGAGCCCTGAGAAGACACTAGACAGCTCTTTAAGCAATCTGGTCAGCTTCTCAGCGAATGCAGTTGACCTGTGCTGGCTATCTAAAAAGTTGTTACTTTTATTTCTACTCTGGTCTGTGGCCATACCACCCTAAAACCATCCTGATCTTGTCTGATCTCATGAATTAAGCAGGGTCGGGCCTGGTGAGGAGTTGGATGGGAGACTTAAGTTCTACTCCCAGTGTTCCTCCTATTTTTCTTCTTATTTCTGGATTGATTTTGCATCTTTGTATCTTGCCAGCATGAGTATACTCTATTAACAAATACTTATTTTTTTTTCTGTTTGTAAATGGAATTATATTCATTGTAGAAAGCTGAATTCAGAGAAGTTTAGGATTAAAAATAAGTTATAATGTTGCTACATAAGTTAAATTGTGATATTTTCTTTTTAGTCTTGATTTCATGAAAAACAACATATACTTATGGCTAGAATTTATGCTTCTTCCTTGAATTTTTCTCCTGCTGTTTCCTCCTAAAAGCAGGTAGAAGCCCCTGCTCCTCCTTAACTGAGTGAGGGTGGCTAGTGGCAGGGCAGGGCAGCAGGCTAGGGTCGCCTACAGGACCCTTCTTGGGCTGCCTTTGTGTCCATATGAATGGTCATTGATGGAAGTAAGGGAGAACTTCTGCAGACTAGTGAGTGAGTGAATGCCCAGCCCTGGGGGTCCCAGAATGGCCCTAACCTGCATTCCACCTGGCAGGTATGGCAAGACCAGTTAAGGCGGTGCTTTTAAAACTGAAATATGCACATGAATCCCTAGGGCTCTGGTTGACATGCAGATTGTGATCCAGTCGTGCCCAAGTGATGCAGGTGCAGCTGGTCCGGGCCACAGGCAGCAAGTCCCCAGGGGGAGGTCCAGGTGCTGCCCATGCAGCTGGACCATGAACCACATGTACCAAGGCCCTAGGGAATGGTCCAAGGCTGGGCCCTGGGGATCCTGACCTAAAGTTTTCCCAGGCTTGTGACCTTTCCTGGCTCTCACAGAAAGACCAGAGCAGTGGATCTGACAGGACCACAGGGGTGGGGCAATGGATGTCTTGGGATAATCACTGTACACACATGAGCAAAGATACTTGGGTCTTGGATGAGACTCAGAACCTTGACAAAATTCCAGAGCATGGGAGGAGGAAGGTCTGAGGCTGATCAAGGCTGAATTTCTTAACCTTACAGGACTGGGGCTTAGAGGTAAAATTAAGTTGATTTATAGAAAATAAAGAAGTGTGCTCTTTCTTACATACATGAAACTGTGAACTAAAATTTTTAATACTATATTTATAATGTACATTTAAATTTGCATGTTGCATGTACATTTTTAAAAATTTTCCTTCCACTTATAATACTATGGACATTTTCCCAACTTATGAAATAGTCTCTGAAAATACCATTTTTTAATATTCCATTCTGTGACAGTAGGGACCTGGTCCATTGTGTTCAGTACAGTATTTGAGTACTCAGCGTAGTGCATGAGGTAGTGCATAATACATGGCAGAAGCTCAATGATTATTTATTGATTTAATGAAGTGAGGACATACCTTGATGAATGGTTTCTCTGACATTGGCCATTTAGACTATTTCTAGTTTTATAAATAATGCTATGGTAGACATCCTTGATGGAAACCTTGAATTTATCATCTTGATTATAGTGTTAGGATATTTGTAGAAGTGGATTTATTGAGTCAATGAATATTTGCAATTAAAATATTCTGCATATTTACTAAAAATTGTTAAATATCATATCAATTTATGTTTTCAGCAGCACTGCCTGGCAGTGCCCATTTTTCTTTCTTTTTTTTTTTTGAGATGGGGTCTTGCTATGTTGCCCATACTGGAGGGTAGTGGAACAACCATAGCTCAGTGCAGCTTCAACCTCCTGGGCTCAAGCAATCCTCCTGCCTCAGCCTCCAGAGTAGCTGGAAACACAGGTGCACACCACCACACCCACATAATTTTTAAAAATTTTTTGTAGAGATGGGGTCTTGCTATATTGCCCAGGCTGGTCTTGAACTCTTGGTCTCAAGTGATCCTCCTGCCTGGGACCCCCAAAGTGCTAGGAATACAGGTGTGAGCCACTGTGTTTTGCCCCCATTTTTCACGCTCTTGCCAATGCTGGGATCATCATTTTGAAAAACAGTCTTGTTAGGCATAAATTATATCTTATTTTTGTTTTAATGGACATCTCTTTGATGATTAGTGAGGCTGAGCAGTTTTTCTTGCGCTTATTGGTCTTCATATTTCTTCTTTAGTAAATGGGTCCATTTGGGGCTTCCATCCATTTTTCTGTTGGCTACACCAGCATATTTTAATTGGAGAGTTGAAGTTCGTTCATCTTTCAGTTTCTCATATGATGCCCTGGCCCGTTTGCTCTGTTAAACAACACAGAGTCTGGATATAAATGTAACTTAATATGGAGTAGGTTCTTCTTGAAACCTACACAAGGGGTTAAGTCACTGAAATACTTGAATTATAGCTCTTAAGTTTCTATAATAATAGAGGACACTAAAATAGACATTGTGGTGGAGATGAATGATTTTCCTGTGTGGTGTTGCCATCTAGTGGACCTGGGAGACAGTGTGATTACAAAAGTGGACATGAAAACGGAGCCCGTTTTACCTTATTACGTGGGGCCCAGGCTACCTTCAGTGTTCACCTGATTATTGACCCAGCCTCCCAACTGAAATTCCTGCCTTCATTCTTTCACTCCCCAATTTCAACCTTTATACTGCAGAGTGATTGTTCTAAAAGTGGATATGGATCAGTTCTGTGTTTAAATCCATTCAGTAACTCACCCCTGTACATGTGATAAAACGTTATAATCTCTTAACCTGGTTTACAAAGTCTTCCCTGATCTAGCCCAGGGGCTGGCATTTTTTTCCATGAAAGGTCAGATAATAAGTAATTTGGCTTTTTGTGCATATGGTCTCTGTTGACTGGTCACCTCTGTCACAGACCACACCTGAAAGAATGGGCACAGCTGTGTTCCAACATCACCTTATTTGCAACAGTGGGCAGCAGCCTGCCATGAATTATGAAAATACAGCAACACATTTGCTACATTATTACTGTACCTGGTGTTTAATATTGAAAGGTCAGTATGGCCAGGCAACGTATCAGAGCCCTGGCATCAGAAATGAATTGACTCACAGGTAGTAAGAAGAATTTACTGACAACAGTGTGGGTTTGAAAGGAAAGTTTCATTAGATAGAAAGCGCTGTAGCAGCATGCAGCAGAGCACTTCAGCAAGACAGGACTGAGTGTGCCGTGGTGGATTTTCCTTTGGGCTATTTATGAACCTTAAAGCGGGAACTTCAGGGTAATTTGGACCATATTAGCCACATAGGTCATGATAAATGCTTACACTTGTAGTTGCTTTGGTACCTTAATGTCAGCAAGGGTTGACATGCATGCATTCTGGAGATGTATAGAAATTCTAGTTACTTCTAAATTTTGGGGAAAGAAGCCTGGAGCCATTAGCTAAAGCAGGCATTTAGCTAATAGGAAAGTCTAATTACTTCTGAATTCATCAGATAAGGAACTTTGCCCTGGATGGTCTGCTTGATGGCCACCAGGGGGTCTTGGATCTCCTCAACTAGGAAGGAAGGTGGGTGACTAGTATGTTGTAAAAATAATTCGAGTAAATTTCCTATGGTCAAGGCTGGTTATTATCAGCATTAGGGTAGTTTAATCAGTACCCCCTGCCCAATAAGTAAACTGTCACCTTACCTCACTTATACCTTCCTCCCTCTCCCCATGATGTAGGATAATCTCTATAGGATTGTGGATTACTTTCCTGGGGTACCTGTAACAAATTCCCACAAACTGGCTTAAAACCACATAAATTTATTCTCTCGTAGTTCTGAGGTCAGAAGTCTGAGATCAAGGTACTGGCAGGCCATGCTTTTTGTGGAAGCTCTAGGAGAATCCTTCCCTGCCTCTTCTAGTGTCTCATGGCTCAGGTGTCCTTTGGCCGCTTCACTTCAGTCTCCGCCTCTGTCTTCACACAGCCTTCCTCTCTTTTCAGTGTTTTGTCTTCTGTCTCTTATAAGGACACTGCCGCTGAATTTATCCAGACAATCCAGGATAATCTCATTTTGAGATCCTTAGTTATATCTACAAAAACTCTGTTTCCAAATAAAGTCACATTCACAGATTCTGGGGGTTAGGATGAGGATAGCCAATATTTGGAGGACATTGTGTTCAGTGGACATATCTTTTTAAGGGCTGCCACTCAGCCCACTACAAATTACATTTTAAAAATTATTCTTCTCCTGTTTCCTCCCTTCTGAATGTTAGTCACCATTGAGCACTCTCTCACTATGTTCCCATTACCATGTGAAGTGCTTTTTACCTGAGTTAGTATTAGTAATTCCACTAATGTAGCCTACATGTGCCATTATATCTCACTGATTCTCTAATCAATTGCTGGAGCCCTCCTCTCTGGCTTCTTAGCAGTAGTTCTAGCACCTCCCATTGACACTCTCACTCTCTCTCACTCCCTGCCATTGGCAGAGTCCTTGCAGCTTACTTAACCCAAAGAGGGCAGGACTGGAGTCACATCAGTCCACCACTGCAGTTGCTTTTAGCTGCCACATGGTGTCACTGTTGAAGACAAGTCTGGTACAGTTTGGCGGACGCACTGTTGAAACAGTGCCCTTATAGTCTAGGTCCCTGCATCATCAAAGTGCTCTTTGTTTAGCTTCCCGAGTTGACAGTCTTTACTTTATATGAAAAATGCACAGCATGAGCTACAAAGCTATACAACTTGCTCTCCCCACACAAGAACAAGCTCTTGAGTAGAACACAGATTACCATTCATTCGTTCACAAAGGCCTGGTAGTTCTAGTCATTTGGGGTATATATCAGTGAACAAAGCAAAGGACTGCAGGCTGTGGTGGCTCATGCTTGTAATCCCAGAACTTTGAGAGACTGAGGCAGGAGGATCACTTGAGGTCAGGAGTCTGAGGCCAGCCTGGACAACATAGCAAGACCTCATCTCTAAAAAAAAAAAAAAATTAGCAAAGATCCCAACTCTTACCATAATAGCATTCTACAAGAAGACAAGAAACATAAGTAAATAAAAAGTATGTTGGAAAACGTTAAGTATTATGGAGAAAAATAATATAGCAGGGTATAAGAGATTGGGAGTGCCAGTTGGGAGAGAGAGAAGGCAGTTTCAGTGCTAAACAGAGTAGCCAGTCTTCTTGAATGAGGTAAAGGTTTGCTATGCAGATGTGTTGGGGGACAGATAGTGCAGAGACCTGAAGATTGGAGCATGCCCAGCATGTTCTAGGGACAGCAATAATGTCAGGAATCTTGAGTAAAATGAACAAAGAGAAAAGCAGTTGAAGTTGAAGGTCAAAGAGCTGGTAAGATGGAGAGCAGATCTAGTAGGGTCTTTAGTCACTGCAAAGATTTTGTCATTTAGCCTGAGTGAGATGGAAAGTTGCTGCAGGGTATTGAGCAGACGAGTGACATAATTTGACTTAGGCCTTAAAAATCTCACTCTTGCTGTGATATTGAGGATAAACTGAAGGGCAGGCAGGCAAGGCCAGAGCAGAGCGACCAGTGAGGAGACTCTTGCAGTCATCTGGGTGATTATGATGGTGTCTTGGAGCTGGATGGTACCAGTGGAGGGAGCATGCTATTGCTGCCATAATATGTTATCATGAACCTAGTGTCTTAGAACAACATCCATGTATGATGTCACAGTTCTGTAAATGAGAAGTCCAGCACAGCATAGCTCACAGGATCTTCGGCTTGGAATCTCAAAAGGCCAAAATTAAAGTGTTGACAGGTCCATTTATTTTTTGGAGGCTCTAGGGAAGAATGTACTTCCAAACTCTTTCAAGTCATTGGCAGAACTCAGTTCCTTGTGGCTGTAGGGCTCAAATCTCTGCTTCCTTGCCAGCCGTCAGTGGGAACCTCTCTCAGCTCCTTAAGGACACAGGCATGCCTCGTCACATGTCTCCCTTCATCTTTAAGCCAGCAACAGTGAGCCATGTCCTTCCCATGTTTCAAATCCCTTTGCCTTCTCCTTTTGCCACATCTCTCTACCTCCAGCTGGAGAAAATTACGTGTTTTTAAGGGCTCATGTTATTAGATTTTTGGGTCCACCTGAATAATCCAAGATAATCTCCTTATGTTAAGGTCCATAACCTTAATTACATATGCCAAGTCCTTTTCTTTTTTCTGGGTAATGTGGCATATGTACAGGTTCCAGAGATTGGATGTATGTGTGGCAGGGGTGGAATTATGCTGACCACAAGAAGTGATTGGATTCCAGATATGGCCACCAGATGCCTGACAGATTGGTTGTGGAGTGGGAGAGAAAGAAAAGAGTCAGAGATGACCCCGAGGTGTGTTGCCCAAGCAACTAAAAATGTGGAGTTGCCAATAACTGAGATGGAGAAGTCTGGACTGGAGTAATCTATATTCCCCCTTTCCTCAGGCTTAAGAACCCCAGTTCTGTCTTCCCCTCATTGCTTTTCCCTGGCTGGGCTAGAAGTGGGATCACTTTGGTCTCGCTCACTATGTGTCAGGTGTTGTTCCCTTTCAGAAGGCTCCAAACTTATTATGTAAAGCATTCTCTTTCCTCCCCAGTAAATGGCTTTGGCTTTCTATTAGGTTGGCATAAAAGTAATTGCATTTTTTTGTCATTATAAGTAACGGCAAAAACTGTGATTTCTTTTGCACCAACCTAATAGCATCTTAGGAAGTGACGGCTTTGAACTAGTCTCCAAAGATGCTGCTCCTCCCTGTTTCCAGGATGCTAGCTTCTCACTCACGCTCATCCTGCATGATGCAGCAGGAGACCAGTGAAGCCACTTTCTCTCTATATTTACACACACATTTGCCAAAACTACGTTATTGAATTTTGAGATATATTTTACTATTGTCCTCATTTAACAGAGACTAATAGATACACTTAAGGTATAAAAACATCAGATCTCTTTTGTTATTTCAGTTAATTGCAGAAGAATATTATCTTTATTTTAGAGAAAGCTGTGGCTAGTGAGGTTAAATAACAACCAAAGTCACAGAACAGGTTGAGATCAAATTCATATCTCTGACTCCAAAGCCTGTGTTTTTAACCATTACCCTCCCATCCCCACCCCTACCCCTTCAGAGCTGTTGCTACATCGACTTCTCCAAGAGGTAGCCATGATTATTGGGGTGACTAAGGGTAGAGTAGTAGAGGTATAGATTATCTTAGTCTTCCCTCACTCAACTAGAAGGAAACTTATGCAAGTACATTGCTTGAAGATGAGGCCAAAGGTAGAAAATGAATTACATTACAGTTAAACAATTCAGTATTATCCTCTGAAAGGTAGGAGGAACTCAGCTCATGTATGATTAGCACCTACCAGCAACAAATTAGGATAATTTGGAATGGTTTCCTAAATGCAACAGATGGAAATGTCTCTGTTAAGAATATTGAATGAGAAGGAGTAAAATGAGACTCCATTTGTGAGAATGAATAGCATCTCCTTGCCTCCCTCATCATTCTGTTCAATGTCACTCTGCAACATTTTCTACTGAGATGTTCTGAAGTCAAATGCCTGAGACACTTTCAAAAAGACATCCTTGGTATTCTGGATTTTGATGAGTACAGTGATCAGTTGTTATTATTTTAGATGCTGCTTGGTGGCTTCTTCCCTTGATGTTCTGGGCTGAAATTTTGTGATTATTAACGTAGTGGAGAATGCTAATGGTGATGAAATGAGGTATCAATGTTTGGTTATTTGCAGTAATGGTGATTCCTCTGAATAGTCTGTTCCTGTTTGTGATAAACATGCTTATGAACAAATATTGCAGCATTTGTAAAGCTCCTGCTGTGTGAAGGGGCTGTCAGTATTCCTGTCTGGTTAGACTCTGATCCACTTATTACAAAGAACCCTAAGAGGTTCCTGCTCTGGGTCTAGCTGGACCATAAGAACAAACTTTATTTCAACACCTGAAAAGAAAAATAGATTTGTCCTGGTGTATGTGCTAAGGTGACCAAGGGAGATGAGTTGGGATGGTTCCCCTTTGGAGGAGCACAGACTTGGCCTTTCAGTGACTGCTGGGAACCTGGATCCTGGCTGAGGCACTTGGTTATCTACCAAGGAGGTCAACCTCAGAAAAGAACTTGCATGTTGCTTTTTAAAAGGTGGAATTTTGAGCCTTGCTCTTTGAGCCTGCCATGCCTCCTACTATTTCAGGTGTGTAAGTCAGTTTTACTCCTTATGAATTAACAACTAAGAATTACAACCCTGGATTCTTGTTTCCAGAATGGGAAAGTTTATTAAATAAACAAAAGTAGATATGAAGTCCTAGTGCCATTTGAGCGTGCTTTGGCCATAGTTCCTCATTCCCTGCCCTCTTCACTGCATGCTCCTCACATCTGTCTTGCTGGGAACAAGACAGGATCCAGCTTCTTTCTGTTCTGACATGTGGCAGCCCTGGACCGCAGATAACTAGTGTGTGAGGACAGCAGGAGAATGTGGGGTTCAGCTGTATTGGGTCATCGATATAGCTCCAAATGCATGGCAACCACTCTGTGTTTTGTTTTTACATCCAGGTTTTTTACCTGTGATTCAGAGCCCAAAGTCTGTAATAGAGAATTGTTCTGCCTTTTTCAGAAACAGAGATTGTGCCATGTATCTGAACCAGGGACACAGGGATGATACTGTTTTGCAATGGGATTTTTTTTTTTTTTTAATTGCCATGGAGAGTGCTAGGGTGGCTCTGAAGTGAGGAAAGGTAAGTGTGGGGTGGACTCGGCTCTTGACTCTCTCCTTGGTCTGGGTACAACAAAGGCACAGAAAGAGAACCAGGAATTCCTGCCCAATGTGGATGGGCAATATTTGGGATTGAATAATAAGGAAAAGATAGATGAAATTCCTAAATTAGAATTCATATTTATGCTACAAAATTTATTGTTGCATTATTTTCAGTCAAACTAGTAATTATGTTGTTGAAATCAAGATTTTCACATAATTTATGTTTCACTGACAGTAATGATATGCAGGGCTATTCAACATGTGGCCACAGGCCCGCAGTGGAAGAGACTTATCTCTAAGTGGTTTCCAGTGGATGATGACATAGAATACATATGATAGATGCCCACTCTCAATTTCTGAGTCATCTTCCACACCCTGCTGGTAACAAAGAATACAGACTGGCCACGCACCACATTTTGAGAAGCCATGGAAAGAAGGTTTAAAAGTATTTGTAAAATGAAGTGTACAAAAGTTGAATACATTTTCACAAAATGATAAATTGAAATAAGCAAAAAGTGTCTATTTAAAGTAAAATCAACATCAAAATGAGAATGAATGAATATAATTTTAAACAAAATTATTTAAAGTTGACATTTTCAATTTGAGAATTTAATGATATTTTAATTAAATATTTTTATATAACCTTAAGTATTTACATGTATATTTATTTCTAGTTCTTGGGTTCAGTGTCCATCTGTTACCAGTGTTAAGGAGAGGAATACTGTTTCACTCAAGTTTTGTCTGGACACACACATGTATGGGCACACAGGCTAGTTTGAATCCTGTGAGATAGCCCAGGTTGCCAACTATTTTTCAGCCACCATCATTGCACTTATGGTTACCATGCTAATTGATGAGTGTGATGGTTAGTTTCACGCGTCAAATTCATTGGATCGTGAGGTGCACAGATAGCTGGTTAAACATGATTTCTGGGTGTGTCTGTGAGGGTGTTTCTGGAAGAGATTAGCATTCGAAGAGGTGGACTGAGTAGAGCACATGACCCTGCCTCATGTGGGTGGGCACCATCCAAGTTCTTGAGGGCCTGAAAAGAACAGAAAGGGGCAGGAAGGTTGAACTCCTCTGCCTGGCTGCTTGAGCTGGAACACCATTCTCCTGCTGCCCTCGGCACTGCTGGCCCTGAGGCCTTCAGATCTGGACTGGAATCTACACCATGGGTTTTCAGCCCTCAGGTCTTAGAACTACGCCACTAGCTTTCCTGTATCTCCAGCTTGCAAACAGCAGATGATGGGACTTTTCAGCCTCCATACTCGTGGGAGCCAATACCTTATAATAAATCTCTTTCTAGATATCTCTCCATCTCTATCTCTATGTCTATCTCTATCTTATCTCTATTTCCATCTCTATCTATCTATCTCTATTTCCATTTCTATCTCTATCTCTATCTCTATCTCTATCTCTATCTCTATCTCTATCTCTAACTCTATCCACATTCTATTGGTTCTGTTTCTCTAGAGAACTCTGAATAACACAATGAGTTTATCTGGAACCACAAATTGAAAGACAGATGCAAGAAAATGAATGCTTGACATATAATGACCCTTTGATGTCTCCTTATTAAAAAATGAGGATTGTACACGTTCATTAACTTCTCTTTTCTCTTACCTAAACATTTCTGTCACTCAAATCCTGTCTATATTCCACCTGTGAGGCTATACAACCCCCAACCCTTCGTGGTGTTTGGACACAGTTGCCTTTGTAACCAAGGACCAAGGCAAGTGATGAGGAGAAGCATTTCCCAGGGGCCTGAGCAGTGTTAGCCACAGAGTGAGTGTTTAGGGTGACTATTCGCAGTATGTGGTGCTGAGCAGCAGAGCCTGGGCAACATAACTCGCTCAGCCACCCGGTGATGATGGTGATTTATTTATTTACTTATTATTTATTTATGTGACAAGCAGAGACTGTGGGGAAGACAGCAGGGACCCTTTTGTATGGGTCCAAGCATGAAACAGTTGATATGCATGAAGGATTTCTTTTTGAGCTGGCTTTTTCTCTTCGGCTTCAGGAGAAGAGAAGAGTGATCTAGAGCCTCCCCTGAGAAAAAAGAAAAAAGAGGGAGGCTACAATAGGAGGACAGCTTGAGATCAGCGTCCTACCTGGCCCTGCCTCTTGCAATAATTTACAGCTTAGATGCTGAAGGGCACAGCCAGGGGCTTGGTGAGCTGTTTCTCCAAGATTTCGTGTGTTGCAGGGTTCTTGCAGTGCTGCTTTGGAATTCAGATGGCCAGGGGCAGTGCTGAGTTGGGGCAGGTGTTCTTCCCTCTTGTACTTGTAGGGCTGCTGCTGTGATCCGTGAAGAATCAGCAGGGTTGATCATCCCACTGTAAAAGATAATGGGTTTGGCCAGGCGTGGTGGCTCATGCTTGTAATCCGAGCACTTTTGGAGGCTGAGGTGGGTGGATCACCTGAGGTCAGGAGTTTGAGACCAGTCTGACCAATATGGTGAAACCCTGTCTCTACTAAGAATACAAAAATTAGCTGGGCGTGGTGGCGTGTGCCTGTAGTCCCAGCTACTCTGGAGGCTGAGAAAGGAGAATTGATTCATCCCAGGAGGTGGAGGTTGCAGTGAGCAGAGATCACGCCACTGCACTCCGGCTGGGTGACACAGCATGACTCCATCTCAAAAAAAAAAAAAAAAGATAATTGGCTTTTCTTGGAGGACACCAGCCACCATGGCAGTGAGGAGACCCTCCACAAAGGACAGTGGCTTTTTTTAAGTTGGAGGCTGTAAAAGAACATAGAAATATTTTCTCAGAGTCCTTCAAGGACGCCTAGACATAGTTACGGTTGAAGGTGGTTGGTTTTGCAGGCAAACCTGGAGGTCCTATGTGAGCAGGTGAGGTGGTACCTAAAAAAAAAATTAGATCTGTGAGTTGGAGGCCAATTTTCGAAGAAAGAACACTGGTAGCAGAAAAGAAAAGCACTGGAGAGAACAACTGCAAAGGTCAGATGGTAACAGAAAGAACTCGATTTTAAGAGGGCTGGGTTTTAGTTTCAGGAAGGGCCTTCAGAGCCAAGAGGAGCAAGAGATGTGCATGAGTACTGAAGATATCTTGAGGGTATGAGTGGATGCATAACGACCCCCAAATATGTCCTTGATCTAATCCTTTGGACCACACGGCAAAGGCAATACAGGATGGAGATGGAATTAAAATTGAGAGATTAGCCTGGAATATATAGGTGGGCTCAACCAAATCACAGTGGTCCTTAAAAGTAGAAAAAGGAGGCAGAAGAGAGAAAGAGATGTGATGATGGAAACAGGGCAGAGGGATGCTGCGTGTTGGCTTTGAAGACAGCGTATCTAGAAGCTGGAAAAGGCAAGGAAATGGACTTCCCACTGGAGCCTCCAGAAGGACGCTCAGCCCTGCTGGTACCTTGATCTCATCTCATTTTGTAAAAGATAATAAATTTTGCGTGTTAAGCCAAGGAGTGTGTGGTAACTTGTTGCAGAAGCAATAGGAAACTAATACTAATGAATTCTTGGTCTCTGGAATTTGCTTATATTTGAAAGTGTTTCTTTGGGGTTACATTTGAGGGTCTTTGGATGCTCTAGGATGCTGCACAGTCCCCTGATATGAAGGTTGCACTCAGACTTGTGCTGGTGACCCCCATGTTTCAGTTCCCACTCCTGCTGTGTCTCTTTGCCCTGCAAGCCACACTGTTGAACAGGGATCCTTCAAGATGGTGCCACGTCCTCTGTGGGGACCCCATGGCTCTTGGGAAATAGACATTGTTGCCACCCAAGGCAGTAGGAGTGCAGCTCCCTCTGCTGCCCTAGCTCCTTGCCCTGATATCCAGGCAGACACAGCTCTCATCTTGGGCCCTACCCGTTTCAGGACCCACAAACTCCAGAGAACTTTGGACAGCAATCTGACTAGTTCCCTTATTGTTTCTCTTGGAGGCTTCTCTGGGGCAGTGTTAGAAAATGCACCCGAACCCCAGAACCATTTTCTAAAGGTATAGCTGTTTCTCTTGGGCTTTTCATGCCTGAAGTAGGAATTGGGCAAAGGGCTTTGTTTATTCATTGTACAGAGCTGCTATATTTGATACGTGGTGTCTGTCACTGGTCTTTTAGGGCCGCCACCAAAACTGAGAGTGAAAGTCTCATTCTGACATCTTCGTATGTCACTCTCTGAGTATTTGGACATCACAATATTTTTTCCTCTGTCCTTGGGGAGGGGTGTGTGTCCCAGTAAATTGACAGGGATCAAGACACAGTGGAAGAAGTAGGGAGCATTTTGTTCTCTTTAGGACAAAACAAAATGTCAAGGACCCCAAGTTGCTACTACCAGAGAAGCACCTGAGTTGATAGGCTGGAGTTTCTGTGCCTGACCTCCATGTTGGCAAGACACAGGCAGGAGGCCCATCAGGCCAGGAGACATGAAGACAGGAAGGCACATCCTGGGGAGTTCATGGCCCTACAGGAGAGTAAGGACAGCAGGCCGCAGAGGGTTTGCAAAGTGAACGGCTGTTGAAGAAGAGAGAAGAGAAAGGAGAGAAAAGTGGTAAGGTTGAGCAAGATATTAAGCCAGGGTCACTAGGTCTCAGACCAAGATTGTAAGAGCAGACCAAAGCAGCGATTCCCTGACTGTGGTCTGTAGATACCAACAGTCTGTGGAAAAAAAAAAAAATACCGTAGGCTTGCATGTTTTGATATTGATGAAAGTTATTAGATATTTTTACAATTTATGACGTATTTTTGAAAAATATCAAAAGAGAAGGTGCAAGATTTATAAACTTTGTCAGATACATACAAGTATAATTCTACTTTTTAATAACTGAACAACTCTTGCCAAGAGCTTCCATTTCTAATGGCACATCAAACTGAACCATGTCTTTGAAGGTCACTCGGGATAAACAATATCTTTTAGAGTGATTGTCTAGTCACCTTAAAGTCCCAGCCCATTTATTAGGGCTGTTGCTGTCCTCTAAATGGTCTCCCTTCTGCCTTTCTTCTCAAGATGGCTTCCAAGGAAGTTCCTGGATCCACCTGGGCTGGGGGTCCCTGGCTCACGCATTGTCCTCCTATACAGGCTTCCGTGACCTCTGGCTGAGATGGAGCCATCTTGCTGGTCTCTGTCTTTGAGCAGCCATTGTTGAAATGTCGAGGGTGACATGGGTTCCCAGGGCACAGTGGTCCCTTCCCGTCCTCCTGCTGGCTCTGCCTTTTTTCAGCGTTCTCAGCTTTCCCTGTGTAATTCATGCCTCGTTCATCCACTTGTCATATGTCATAACTTGTAACCTCTGTTACAAGTTAACCTTGGCCTTCACATTGACAATGTGATGGTGGACTCCAGGGCCCCCACCTCTCAGCTGCTTGTGTGTGTCTTGCTGAGGGAAAACAGAAATGTCTGGATCTCTTTTAAATCACGTGAAAGCAGAGGATAATTTGGGGGGCACGCTTAGTTTCGTCTCTGCCCGAATGTGGGTTACCTCCATTTTTCCCAGTGGAAGCCAGCCCATGTTGGTGTAGGGAGCTCTGGGGAGCCAGTCTTTGGCCTTTGTTCCAAATTAGCAGCTGGCACAAGCTCTCACACTTCCAGTGCCCCCTCAACCCATGCAGGGCTCTGGTCTTCCCCTCTCCTGCTTTGTAAGGGTCAGAGAAGCGGGGGAGCTGGGCTCCTGAGGCATCTGGACTCAGATCCTGGGCACTGGGCTCCTGGGCATTTCTTGCCCCTGTTGGAAGGCTTCTGTTTTCCCATGGAAGGTTCTGGAAGGAGCTCACCACTGTGACATATCATCTTCTCTCCTACTCTGTGGCAAAAAAGGTTACTACAAACATCGATTCAATCCAAGCCAATTCGTTATTTTTTTCTCTATGTGCCAGACCCCATACTAGATGCTATAATAACAAAATCTCCATTTTTATTTTTATTTATTTATTTTTGAGTAGGAATCTCACTCTGTCACCCAGGCTGGAGTGCAGTGGCGTGATCTCATGTTCACTGCAACCTCGCCTCCTGGGTTCAAGCGATTCTTCTGCCTCAGCCTCCTGAGTAGCTTCTGGGTGTGGTGGCTCATGCCTGTAATCCCAGCACTTTGGGAGGCCGAGGTGGGTGGATCGTCTGATGTCAGCAGTTTGAGACCAGCCTGGCCAACATGGTGAAACCCTGTCTCTACTAAAAATACAAAAATTAGCCAGGCATGGTGGTGTGCACCTGTAATCCCATTTCTACTTTTGTTGCCTACAAAAGATGTAGATTCAAGTTACAAAGGGACTGTGTGACCTTGGGGAAGTTGCTTAAACTCTCTGAGGCTTAAATTCCTGACTCACAGATGTTCTGTTTAAAGTAAATGAGATGATGTATATAAACATTTAATGTAATTGTAACGTAAATCTGTAAATAGTCAACACTAGGTAAACTGACCGGATTTTTCCTAGACCTCTCCAACATGTGGGTCTAATGGGGTCATGACAACAATTCCAACTTAGCCCTTGTCCTGATACAGGGCCTCCAGCCACTGATAAAGGTCTGTCCCCAGTAAGTTTATTTCCAATTAGTTTTCCTTTAGCTCATTCTTAAGAATAACCATTACCATTTATTGACAGCACTATGGACATAATCTCATTTAATATTCACAACCACCCCATGAGGATGCTGAAGAGGTGACTGAGGTACAGAAAGATGAGGTAACGTGCCCAAAGTCACCTGCCTCAAACGCATCAGAGATAGGATTTGATCCCAGGCATTGGAGACCCCTGACACTGTCCTTTTTTTTTCTTTCCCAACATATATTGCTACATCTTTTAAACAAATTTAATTTCAATAGTTTTTGGGGGTACAGGTGGTTTTTGGTTACATGGATAATTTCTTTAGTGGTGACTTCTGGGATTTTGGAGTACCCGTCTCTGAAGCAGTGCACACTGTACCCAGTATGTAGTCTTTTATCTCTCACCCCTCTCTCACCCTTCCCCCCGAGTCCCCAGAGTTCACTATATCACTATGTTTTTGCATCCTCATAGCTTAGCTCCCACTTATAAGTGAGAATGTGTATATTTATTTTTTCACTCTTGAGTTACTTAACTTAGAATAATGGCCTCCAGCACCATCCAAGTTGCTGCAGAGGCCATTATTCCATTCCGTTTTATGGCTGAGTAGTATTCCATGGTGTATACATACCACATTTTCTTTCTGTTTTTTTTTTTTTTTTGAGATGGAGTTTTGCTCTTGTTGCCTAGGCTGGAGTACAATGGCACGAGCTCAGCTCACCGCAAACTCTGCCTTCTGGGTTCAAGTGATTCTTCTACCTCAGTCTCCCAAGTAGCTGGGATTATAGGCATGCACCACCATGCCCGGCAAATTTTTTTTTTTTTTTTTTTTTTTTTTTGAGACGGAGTCTCGCTCTGTCGCCCAGGCTGGAGTGCAGTGGCGGGATCTCGGCTCACTGCAAGCTCCGCCTCCCGGGTTCACGCCATTCTCCCGCCTCAGCCTCCCAAGTAGCTGGGACTACAGGCGCCCGCCACTACGCCCGGCTAATTTTTTTGTATTTTTAGTAGAGACAGGGTTTCTCCATGTTGGTCAGGCTGGTCCCAAACTCCCGACCTCAGGTGATCCACCCGCCTCGGCCTCCCAAAGTGCTGGGATTACAGGCGTGAGCCACCGCCCCTGGCCTATACCACATTTTCTTTATCCACTCGTTGGTCGATGAGCATTTAGGTTGGTTCCATATCTTTGCAATTGTGAATTGTGCTATAAACATGCATGTGCCTGTGTCTTTTTCATATTGGACTTCTTTTCTTCTGGGTAGATACCCAGTAGTGGGATTGCTGAATCGAATAAGGAATCGCCATACGGTTTTCCATAGTGTTTGTAGCAATTTACATTCCCAACAGCAGTGTAAAAGCGTTTCCTTTTCACCACGTTCACGCCAACGTCATCCCTCACCTGTCGCGTATCAGGGCTGCTCCACTGCAAACTTCTGTGCAGGAAATGATTTGAGGTTCTGGAATGACCTACGGGAGAGCCACTTCTCGAACCCAAGTCTCTGGCTCCTTGTCTGGTGCTCACTCCATTGCCTCATTCTGTCCTGTCACATTGGAATACGGCATTCGAAGGGCCATTTGGTGGCTTGGTCTCATCCGCCACTATTTGCCTTGTGCTAATTGCCATTTCCCATTGCTTCTGAGCTGTGCCGACCAGACTGGAAGGGTAAACTCCAGCTTATGAAACGTTCCTTGGAGGGGCATCAATTCGTTTTACTGAGAGCAGCCCCAAATATTTGACCAAGTTTTCTTTTGAGCTCTGGGATTCCTCTTAAATGTAGAAACATTCCTAATGGAGTTTCCTCTGCATGAAGGAAAACCAGATTTGTCTGGAAAGTCATTTAATGTCTAACCAGCGTGCAAACCCTCCACTCCAGACTTCCTTCCTGTCTGCAAAATCTCCTTTCCGTAAGGAGATGAGCTTTCTCATTTGGCTGACATCAAAATGAGACAGGATTTGGTGCCACCTTCTGGCCCAGTCACTTCTCTGACTCTTTGGGAATTGTTGGTGAGCACCCCTGAGAGAGGACAGCCTTTTCGTTATTAATGAGGGTGGGTGCTGGTGAGCGTGGGCAATTAGGGGAGACAGTCAGCTGCACACTTGGCTAGACTCCGGCTTCGATGTGTTTAAATTATGCAGGTGTGCTTCTTAATTAACAAGGCATTTTGCCAGAGGGAAAAAAACAACTGAATCTCTGCAATGTGCTTTCTGCCTCAGGGGGTGGCTGGTAGTCTTTTTACACTAAGTAGGTTGGCCTCTAAAGGCTTCCTACTTAAAAAAAAATGGAAAAAGTATTTGTTGATCCTCTATCAGCAGAGGAGAGGAAATGAGTCTGTTGTATCAAAGAAGGATAACTGGTGATAACTTTCATTTTTCACATTCTAATGGCTTCATGGTCACGCTCCTCATTAAAATGTGAAAGGCAAGAGCTGGTGGCTGGGGAGTTAATTACTGATCTGAGATAGTTTCAGCAAACATTGTAAGGAACTTGCCTAGTTACAGATAATGACAATAATTGATAGCTGGGATAAGGTGGTTTTATACAATGGAAATTCCGTCTGTAAACAATAACATCCATCTATTTCTAGAAAGTGAAAGGATTCAGAAGACTTGGCATAGATTATCCTGTCGCAGGCAGATGTGGCTCACAGAGTCACGTGTCGCAAAGTGAAGACAGGGGCTAAGATTTGTGCCAAAAAGCCCACTTGAATCTTCTTTAATCTCAGTTACTGGACTTGCCCTGATAGGATAATGTAATTCAGTCTCCAATTTGTCTTTCAGGTATAAATATAATGTCAAATATTAGCAGAAACATAATTAGAGAATAAAAAATTAGATGGTAGGTGGGATTTTAGGGGCTTATCCCGAAAAGCTCAAAGAGGATGAAAACAGGGCTGCTGTGTACAGGTGTATAGGTTTCACACTGTCCAACTCCAGAGGGCACCATGCTTACAATGAGTGTCTTGGATTTGTATAATATATTTGTTAGGACAATTTTTCTGATGAATGGCAGTAAAATATCTGTGGGGGAAGGAACACTTTTATCTTATTTGCACAAATATGCCAGAACTAGGCCAGGGGCCACCCTGGGCAGTACTGTACCCATAAGGGGTTGAAAATTCATGTCCCAAGGGCAGAATGTGGCCCATACTTGTTTGTTTAAACTACAGAGCGTAGGCCTGCATGGCATTAAAAAAATGAAGCTTTGAATTGTTTGCCAACATTTAAAAATCAGATACGTTTGCATAAAAATCTGGATTTCTGGTTTCTGTCAGAAAAGAGATTTTTTGGGAACTTGATTTCCTGCATACAATTCATAGCTCTAGCTGGTATTAAAGTTTCCCTTTCATTCAGGACAGGAGCTCTCCAGTTTGCCATAAATCCCCACCATGCCTTACAGTATCTAGAACAGGGAGGACCAACGTCATTCTTTAATATTTTACTTACATTTATTTTCTTCATAGAATTAAGAGGAAAGTGATATCATTCTTTATCTATGTCTTCATAAAAAGTTTGAAAACAAAAGGTAGAAGAAGAGGACATAGGTTTAAAAAAAAAACAAGTGTTAGGGAGCATATCTTTTATTGAAGGGGAAAATATTCCTATGTGTTTAATATACAAAATGTGTCTGTGTCAAATGACTAAGATACCTAGCTGGCCCCAGTTGGCATTTGAGTTTGTTACCTCTGCAGTGAAAAGGCCTATGAAAATGTAGTTTAAGAGACACTTTTTTTTTTTTTTTTGTAGACAGAGTCTTGCTCTATCACTCAGGCTAAAGTGCAATGGTGCCATCTTGGCTGACTGCAACCTCTGCCTCCTGGGCTCAAGCAATTCTCCTGCCTCAGCCTCCTGAATAGGTGGGATTACAGGCACGTGCCACTGCACCCGGCTAATATTTGTATTTTTAGTAGAGACAGGGTTTCACCATGTTGGCCAGGCTGGTCTTGAACTCCTGACCTCAGGTGATCCACCTGCCTCGGCCTCCCAAAGTGCTGGGTTTACAGGCGTGAGCCACCGCGCTGGGGCCTTAAGAGACTCTTGATGGAAAAACCTGAGAAAAAGGAGCAAAACACCTTGCTGGGAAAACTTGTTCCAATAGCACTTCTGAAATCACATGCTGCATCCTGATGTATGTTCCCAGTCACTGGGGAAAGTCTGGAGAATGGGATCCTCATGACACCCAGGTGTCATGTTTAAAGGGAGGGATTCTGTCCTGTATGTCCCCAGCACCCTATCATCTGAGCATGCGTCCCTTTGTTTGGTCATTGCCTGTGCCAGTGACTTTGGGGGGCAGCTATCATGTTTCCTGCTGCTCCTGACAGCTGAGCGCAGAGCTTGGTGCCTAGTAGACATTCACTCAAAACCATTTACTGTGTCATCTACGGATAACCAGCATCATGAATAGAAGCAGGAAAGAGGCTGTTGATGGTGCCTGGACCTGCAGCAGAGTCAGTGGGGAGAGGAGAACTGTTTCATTTGGAATTCTTGGGTTGCAAGCAATGGGGACCAATCTGGGGTAATTTATGCATGGTAGGAAGGTATCTGAGGGTTATGGAGTGGATTAATCCATTCTTGCACTACTATAAAGAAATACCTAAGACTGGGTAATTTATAAAGAAAAGAGGTTTAATTGGCTCACAGTTTTGCACGCTGTAAAGGAAGCATGATGTTGTCATCTTCTTGGCTTCTGGGCAGACCCCAGGAAACTTACAATCATGGTGGAAGGCAAATGGGGAGTGAGGCATTTCACATTGTGGGAACAGGAGCAAGAAGGAGAGAAGTGGGAGGTGCTACACACTTTTAAACAACCAGACCCCATGCGAACACACTCACCATCATGATGACAGTACCAAGGGGGATAATGTTAGACCATTCAGGAGAAACCACCCCTATGATTCAATCATCTCCCACCAGGCCCCACCTCCCACGTTAAGGATTACAATTCAACAGATTTGGTGGGGACACAGATCCAAATCATAATGTGTGGTGTTCCTAGAATAAAAGGAAACTCTATAGGACCTTTGTTTTGGACAGAATGGGTCCCAGGCAGCTATGGGTGTACAGTTAGCAGGGACCAATGCTTCAGGATTCTGCCTTATCAGGATCTATGGGCTCTGTTTTCTGCCGTTGGGTCATTTGACTCAAGAGCTGAGAGAAACAGAGACTCCTTGGCTGTAGTCGGTGTCACTCACCCACCTCTTGGTGAGAGAAAGGCAAGGAAACTTGATTGATAGTCTCAGAAAGATTCCATGCATTGGTGGCCAGGTGGGACTCACAAAGGAAGGGGATCTCTGTGTTGAGAAGGCACAAGCCTCAAAGTGGGATCGGTCTGTGCCCTGTACGGTATTCTGTGCAGTGCATCAAGCCACATGCCCCACCCCGGTCTTTCTTCCCTGGCTTTGGCAGACTCTGTGCTTTTCTCCCCTCTGTAACTCCAGCCCACAGTTACCCCAAAGTAAGTGCTTTCTTACCTGGGCATCCGTATCTGGTGTCTTGGGTGAGAAGAAACCTCCAAGTGCTTGGGATGCTAACATCAGCTTGGCCCTGCCCTTGGCTCCATCTTGATTAGGCCTTCATCTTCCAGCTGAAAAAGTACCACTGGCTTTGAAAATTTGGTATCAGGATAAAAGTATAGTAACATTAGCTATTATTTATTGTTTAACCCATGAACAAGTTTAGTGGTTCTGTGCTGAGTAGTGTATCTGCATTATCCCATTTGATCCCCATATCTCTGACATAGACAGTTATGTTACCTATTGTACAGGTTATGACATTGACATTTAGAGACTATTTAAGTGCCAAACTGGTAGAGCTGAATTCACATTCAGATCTGACTGACCCAAGGCCCATGGTCTTACCCACCACATGACACTCTCTTCCTAATTGATTGGTCCCATCTCTGCATCAGGAAGACTTAGAACTCTGTGAATAAACTTCAGCCATTTCTTAGCCTCTGGGCTATAGGATTCTGGGGTATAGACTCCTAAGACTGGGTAATTGTTTATCAATTACCCAGTCTTAGGAAGTTGTACCTCAAAATCCTATAACCTTAGGAAGCTGGTTGTCCCACTATTGGAGATGCCAATATTGATTACTGGCTTAAGACTAGGGCAGTCACATTTCTGCATTACAAAGTTACATATTCCTTCTAGCACATAGAAAGTAATCTGTGGAAGGATCTGTCGACAGCATGCACATGTCATTCAAGTTCAATGGGGGCTTGGAATTTTGGTTGTCAAATATAATCATCTGTTAACATACTTGGCAATGGTGCTCTTTTTGTACCCATAAGATGAGAAGACCTGAAGTCTGAATTCCACCCAGCAATGCATCCCATTCTAATACTTCATGCCAGAAGCAAGGCAAGTTAACCAAGCCCCAGCTGCCTGAGTTTAGTTGTTTCCTCAAATGTATTCAGATGATCTAGGGCATCTTCATAAATCTTATTCTGTGTAAAGGACTCTTCTCCATTTTGGGATTATATTCATTCATCTGTACATTTTGGTAATAAAAGATCCTATCTTGTATGAAAAGATAACACCAATAAGTGATAATTTTTTTTTTACTTAATAAGATAGGAATTTGTGCTATTTGCAACTATCCTTGCCATTATTTGGGGGTGAGGTTTGGAAATGTTACCAGTTCATGAGATACAAATTTTAGACCACTATCCTGTAGGGCCTTATCTGCTAGAGGCATAGTAATTATGTTCATCTAATGAGATGCCAAAATCTAAGAATGTAAAATAAAACGTAAACAAATTTTAAAATTAAGTAGATGTAAAAGTAGAAAACAGCAATAAAATACCCATGTCCTGTAGAATATCCTAGCTTTTGGATTTTGGAATTGGTTCCTCTTGATGGTGCTTCATTTGTTCCTGTATTACCTTATTGTTCTGTTGTTTTCTGAATGTTGTATCTAGATGCTTGAATAAATTTAGGGTAAAATTTTGGCAAGAATATTTGGTAGGTATACTCCACATTGCAATTACAACAGAAAACACATAATGTCTGGTTATCCCACCAATGGTGATGCCAATATTGATTACTGGCTTAAGACTAGGACAGTCACATTTCTGCATTACAAAGTTACATATTCCTTCTAGCACATAGAAAATAATCTGTGGCAGGATCTGTCGACACCATGCACGTGTCTAGTTTTCCATCACTTCCCCTAATTGCTGATTCTTATCTCAATCAACTATTTCTTTTGGAGTTTGCAAGATTTTGATTTTCACATTCTGTCCTATACTCTACATTGATTAGCTGACATTCTCCTGTAAAGGGGAGCTTTCTTTCAACTGCTGAGCTTATAGGCTTACCCTAAAGTGCAGCTCCTGCTAGAAATGTAGGATAAATGCTTAGTCCTTTCTCATTAATTATCAATTTTTGGAGTAAAGAGTAAAACCATAGTTGTCTCCAATAGTGGCAGAGGAGTTTAATTTTCGTTTGGCTGGCCTTCTTCTTGTGTATCAATATGGACTAATTTATTTGTATATACTTGCTGTGTTTCAATCAGTTATGGCTATTATTATCTTTGATGTTTCACTTGGCTCAACTTTGGTCATTGCAGACCCCTTCGAATTGGCTCATGTCCTTTGGGCATGAACCCATTACTCACTGAATGTTGTTTTTTGCTTTCCAGCAATACAGTATCACCTAAATTGAACTTGTCTTCTTGTGTGCACATTAAAACAATTGTCTAGGGTTAATTCTGAAATGAGAATTGTTGGATTATGTGTGTTCAGTATTTTAAAAGATAATATCAAATTGTCATCCAAAATACAGAAACAATTTACCCACCCACCTGTGCCATGTGAGTTCTAGGAGTACCACCAGATCTCCCTCTGCTTAAACTGGCTCCTGAGATGATTACACATTAGCCATGTTTCTAATCAGGTGGGTGAGATGGTATTAAACTTCAGTAATGTTTCCAATTTGATAGGTGACATGGTATTTAATTTCTGGTTTCATTTCCTTTTCACTGGTGATGCTGAACATATTTATATATATATTTACTTGGCATTTGAAACTTTTATTTTTGTTTGTGTTCTTATATCCTGTACCAATTTTTAAATCAATTTCCCCATCAATTTTTTCAAAAATGTACCTTCTAAGTTATTTCCAGTAAATCCAAGCACAGAATTTTTATTAGAAGCAGGTACCAAGAAAGCTTTGTTCCCATTGCTCGCACTGGGTGTCAGTGTTCACCTGCTTAGTGACTAGAGAACCATCCTGGGTGAAATGGAAGGAAGTGTGTGACTAAAATTTATAGATGTCACCTGCCTCTCCTTTCACTTGCTTCAGCATATGACACACAAGAAATGACCTCATTCTATAGGCAATCCAATCCCCTGTGCATAAATATATTTCTTAAATGAAACAGATCAAAATTAGGTCAAATGACAGCATGCCCCTCTTGGCCTTTTTAAAAAAGATGCCAGAAAACACACCTTTTATTTTAAACAATGCAGGCAGAGGATTGAAAACCAGCTATGTTTAAAGATCTTCAAACTGATCTGCACATAGAATAAGATCTGCACATAGACTCTTTTGGGCTGGGTGTGGTGGCTCACACCTGTAATCCCAGCATTTTGGGAGGCTGAGGCAGGAGGATCACTTGAGCTCAGGAGTTCAAGACTAGTCTGGGCAACATAGCAAAACCCCCTCTCTATGAAAAATACAAAGATTAGCCAGGTGTGATATCATGTGCCTGTAGTCCCAGCTACTTGGGAGGGTGAGGCAGGAGGATCGCTTGAGCCCAGGAGGTTGAGGCTGCAGTGAGCCGAAATCGCGCCACTGAATCCAGCCTGGGTAACAGAGCGAGACCCTGTCTTAAGAAAACAAAGACTCTTTCGCCTTGGACAACGAAATATTTCCTCTTGATAAGAAATCTGTTGATTCTAAAATATGCATTTGGTTTTGGGTAAGATTGTGGGAGGGGCATACAATCAGATTTTTCTCTTTTCATCTGTAAACTTTCTGTTTTCAACCTGCAGGTTCACTTTTTTCTCCTTTGCTATTTTTTGGTGAAAAAGTCACTAAGTGAGTTATATTTATTAAAACCTAATCCGCTATTTTTTGGTGAAAAGGTCACTAAGTGAGTTATATTTATTAAAACCTAATCCTTCATAGGAACAGATATCTACTTTAAAAAACTTTTTGACTATAATATGCATATCACAGTGCCTAAAGCAAAAGCGCACAGCTCAGATTTTTACATGCTGAAACACCCAAGTAACAAGCATTAATGTCAAGAAACAGAACTTGACACCATTGCCTCTGTTCCATCAACCCAAAGATCTCTTTGCAGTCACTCCTCCCCTAGTCCCACCAAAGGTCACCACGTTCCTCACTTTTGTCTCTGAAGGTGATTAGTTTAGCCTGTCTTTGTACATTATGTTAATGAATACAAACAGCACGGGCTCTTTGAGTCGGCTTCTTTCTCTCAATATTGTTTGTGAGATTCATCTGTATTGTTGAGTATAGTTGTAATTTCTTTTCATTGTGGTATACTATTCCATTGTGTGGATATGCAATGATGTATTTTATCACTGAGGCACAGTCGAGAAGTTTCTAGTTTTTGGTTATTGTAGTACTGCAAAGAATATCCTACTCCATGTCTTTGGGGAAAGTTGCATAGTTCCTGGGTCCTAAGGTAGCACATGCTACCAAAGACAGCTTTCCAAAGCAGTATGAATTGATACCCGCAACATCAGCATTTGAAAGTTCCAGGTGCTCCAAGTTCTCAGTGGCACTTGGCATTTTCTGTCTTTTCCATCGTAATCATTCTGGTGGGAATAACGTGTGAGGTCTGTTTACTAAGGTCAGTTATTTAGTATGGGGGTGTTGAGGTTTCAAAACATGACCCTGGCCTACCTGAGACATCAAAGAAATGCAGCATTTGAAAAAAGAAAGCAGACGTGAAAGAAGCAATGCCTAGAACTTAAAACATTTATTAGCTTTCACACTTCTAGTGAGGAAAAAGTGTAAGTGAAATTTTACTCTGTTGGAAGACATTTTTTAAAGACCCCTCCCCCTCATCCACATTAGTGGGAAAATAAAAAAGAAAGTGTCCTTTGCTTTTTTCTTAATTTTCAAAATGCTAACTGCTGTTTTATTCTGATTATTAAAAACCCATGCCTATTATAAAATGTCAAATAACTTTGGGAGGCCAAGGCGGGTGGATCACGAGGTCAGGAGATTGAGACCACGGTGAAACTCCATCTGTACTAAAAAAAAAAAAATACAAAAAATTAGCTGGGCGTGGTGGCAGGCGCCTGTAGTCCCAGCTACTTGGGAGGCTGAGGCAGAATGGCGTGAACCTGGGAGTCAGAGCTTGCAGTGAGCTGAGATCATGCTGCTGCACTCCAGCCTGGGTGACAGAGCGAGACTCCGTCTCAAAAAAAAAAAAAAAAAAAAAGTCAAATAATATAATACAATAGAACGCGAGAAAACATCTCCTGAAACATCATGGATGGTAATATGACCCAATTGCTGATTGAGTCTCTTTTCCTCTACGCTGTTCTTAAATATAGTTAGGCTCAACAGTTTGACCTTTTCAGGAGAGGAGGGAAATGTGGCCACTTTGCAAAAAAAGGTGGGTGACCCCCGCCAAAGCTTCCCCATCCTGAGAAACAGGGAGGCAGAGGGAGGGGCCCAGTGCTACCAGAATGCTCCTGGCTCTGTTTTCCTGAAGTGTGAGCCAGCTGGCAGGGAGAGTTCCAAATTCCTGGTAAGACGAGTCTTCTCCAAAGCCCAGAGTCATCCACAGAGTTATTTCCCCAGAGGAGGTTCCTGCTGCCAGGTAGTACCTGGGGCAGCAGGAACTCGAAACAGTGGCACCTGGAGTGTCTGTGGACTCCCATGGGCAGGTGCCGATGCTCCCTGGGTCTCATTGACTGTGTGGGAACTTCAGCCCACATTCAATGTGCTTAGATTTAGGGACCCGCTTAGCACATGATGGTTGGGTTTTAATACATTCATCAGAAAGTGTGATCTGAAACCACAGCCCCCACTTCACCCACACAAAACCACCGTGAGCCTTCAGGTAAGCACTCTTCCAGGAGTCTCTCTGAGCCTGAGTGCTCACCTGACGTGGCAGAGTTTGGCTCTTTATGCAGGGAAGTGGGGAGTGGCATGGGGGGTGGGAAGTTGCTGACAACTGAGATGGACTGATGAGTACTTTCTCTGATAGGATGAGGGCTGAGTGTGTCAGTGAGGGAGGCAGAATGTGTGGTGTGAAGTGGATTCTGCCTCCAGGAGCTGGCAGTGTCACTGGGGACAGAGGATGTAAAAATGTGAATCAGACTCAGCTTCGTCGTATCAGTGCTGAGAACATCAGGGGATATTTGGTTGTAAGGGCTGGGTTAGTCTAGGAAGGCTTCTTGGAGGAAGTGGACCTTCACGGCTATGAAATCCGATGTCTTAGATACAGTTTGGTGCATGCACCATTGGACCATAGTGGCCACGCAGAGCTGGGCCCACAAACTCCTTGGGTTTGGCTAACTGAGGCTTTTACCACCTACTAAATCACACTGAAACCTGCAGCTTCCTTCACTCCCTGCTAGGTTATTTAAGGGCAGTCAAACTGCATTCCTGCTGCTTGCCACAGTCCCCGACAGGCTCCAGGGGTTAAAAATGCAATTCAAACAAATTTCAAGTCCCTCTGTGGCTCAGTTTAAGCGTAGAGATGGAATTACAGAAACACAGTAGAGACCAAATTAAAAAGAGACTCTACTATGCGTTTCTCTTTTCTAGGACAGAGTAAGTGTTTTAATTTATAGCTCCCAGAAAGACTTCTTGCAGATTCTTTCGTCCACTCCTCACTCCTGTCCTCCCGCATGACTCTCCCGACACTTTCTCCAGGATGAGCCAGTCTTGGTTCTGCTCTTCTCTTTCCCTAAGATGTTCTCAGTTTGGTTCCCAATCCAGTCTTTTTTTTTTTTTTTTTTTTGAGATGGAGTCTTGCTTTGTCACCCATGCTGGAGTGCAGTGGCATGATCTCGGCTCACTGCAACCTCCGCCTCCCGGGTTCAAGCTATTCTCATACCTCAGCCTCCTAAGTAGCTGGATTCACAGGTGCCCGCCACCACGCCTGGCTAATTTTTGTATTTTCAGTAGAGACAGGGCTTCCACATGTTGCCAGGCTGGCCTCGAACTCTTGACTTCAAGTGATCCACCTGCCTTGGCCTCCCAAAGTGCTGTGATTACAGGCACGAGCTACTACACCTGGCCCCAATCTAGTCTTTATTTCCTTTCTTTGGGGTGGGTAGGAGAATAAATAAAATATAAACTGCATTTGGATCTCTTTCAGTATTATTGGAGAGATGCAAATAAATAATGAAACTGGTATTAATCACATTTTGAAGCTAAATGATGCTTCCTGAACTTGATCTTGCACTGACACTGAACCATATGTGCCCCAAGATTTATAAGGTTTATGTAAAAGGCTCGTTTTACAGATTTCCTTCTGAAGTTCCCTGTGATAAATTCTCATCATCTCCTATCACCCCGGATGCTCCCCTGATCCCCTGAAGGGTCGTAGGCATTGTCTCTTAAGGAAAAGGGAGGAAAAAAGGAGCAAGAAGTTGGTTAAATTCTTCTGGATAAGAATCTAATGAGAATATGATTCGATGAGAGCTATATATGGGCACCTCACCCAGTTCATGAACAGATGAAGTGGGGTGCAATTCTGGGGTCCACTGACCCTGTGAGGCCCATCTGTGTGCTACTGGGAGAGTGGGCTGGGGGCTTAGAGGTTCCCACAGACCTCATTTTGGTGTTGCTATGAGCATTTGCACAAGTCTCTTAGATCCTTGCTGGATGGTGAAGTCTATGAGAACAGGCACAGGCTTTTCTTGCTATCTTCTTGTTAGCACAGAGCTCTCTCTAAGCCACTCTCAAGTAATTGATGACTAATTGAATAGGATGAGGAGCAAGGAGAGTAGAGGCCCCCAAATGAGTTGGAAGCTGCGTGCTGCAGATAATTTCTTCCACTTGGGCCATCAGGGAAGGATGAACACAGGATGTGGCTATTGAATGGAGCTCACCACTGTGGATGTGTGGGACTGGAGAAAGAGAAAGAGGGGCCAACCCAGTTTAGACATAGAGGGTGAAGTTGGATTATGCTCACCCAAATACAGAGGGCAGACAAGTTTGAGTGAAATGCAAGTCAGAAAGGTCAAACGGAGAGAGATGGAATATGACCTTTAATGCCAAGGTAACGACTGGGGACTTCATCCTAAGGGCAATGGGGACCGCCACTATTTTATAAATAGAGAAGAGGTAGGATCACAGCAATTCTTTAGCAAGAAAAAAAATTTCTTCCTGAAATACATTACGGCAGTATGAGAGGTAGAAGAACACACAGGAGTTGGGAGCATGTACTCTGCATCCAGACTGCTTGTAGTGTCGCTTACCGTGAGTGCGGTGTGGCTGTTTTCTCATCTGCAGGATGGGGACACTTTAATACCTACCTCAGAGTTACTGTGCATGTTAAGCCAATAGATTAGAAATGACAAACATTATATACAGTGTTTTGAACAGTGCTTTACACATGCTACGCTACTGGTAATTATTAGCTGCCATTGTTATTGCATCAAATGGGCAAAGGGAAGATACAGCCTGCCTCTCTCTCCCTTTTTTTTCTTTTCTTCTCCACAATTCTCCCTGCCTTGGAGGAGACATCTTATTTTCTTTTACTATCTGTCTAATATTTCCTAGGAGTACTTTGTTGTGCTTATTCTCAGGCCATGAACTTTGTTTTCTAGATTTCATCAAACAGCAGCTGCTGAGCAGAAGTTGCTGACATATTCCCATTGTGTCGTGTGACATCCTTAGGGGTTAATCTTCATCTCTCAAACCTGTTTCTTTCTCCTTAAAATGTAGGATACTGATGACGTCAACTTTTTAGGGTTGTTTTGACGGTTAAATAAGATCAAGTATGTAAAGAGCCTAATGCAGTGTCTGCAACCAAGTGCAAACAACAAAATGTTAGCTATTGTCTTTCTGTCCCTCTTCAGAACTAATGGTGAAGGCCATCTCTTGCACCTAGGATGTCATCTACCCCTCACTTCCATCTTCACTGTTGAATTACCACATATCCTCTAAGCAGAGAGCATCTTCTGTGTGAAGTTTGTTTTCTTCTCTCTCTAAGCAATTTCTTGCTCTTTTAGCATTGATTTTCTCTACTATTGTATTAGTTTGATTAGACTGCCATAAATACCACAGACTGGGTAGCTTAAACAACAGAAATTTATTTCTCAGAGTCCAAGAACAAGGCAAGACATCCAAGATCAAGGTGCTGGCAGGTCTTGTTTCTGCTGAGGCCTCTCCTTGGCTTGCAGGTGACTGCCTTTCTGCCGTGTCTTCCCACAGTCCTTTCTCTGTGCACCTGCATCCCTGGTGTCTCTTCCTCTTCTTAAAAGAACATAGTCCTATTGAATTAGAGACCCGCATTAGTCCGTTTTTACGCTGTCCATAAAGACATACCCAAGACTGGGTAATTTATAAGGAAAAAGAGGTTTAATGGATTCATAGTTCCACGTGGCTGGGGAGGCATCACAATCATGGTGGAAGGCGAAAGGCACATCTTACATGGTGGCAGGCAAGAGAGAAATGAGAGCCAAG
Source organism: Homo sapiens (assembly GCF_000001405.40). NCBI lineage: Eukaryota > Metazoa > Chordata > Mammalia > Primates > Hominidae > Homo > Homo sapiens. The sequence continues at coordinate 56,175,356 of NC_000020.11, read as the reverse complement.
CAAAAGGGGAAACCCCTTATAAAATCATCAGCTCTCATGAGACTTACTCATTACCATGAGAACAGTATGGAGAAAACTGCCCCCATGATTTAATTATCTCCCACCGGGTCCCTCCCACAACAAGTGGGAATTATAGTAAATTCAAGATGAGATTTGGGTGAGGAAATGGCCAAACCATTTAGGATCCCACCATGATCTCATTTAACTTCAGTTACCTTTTAAAGACCCCCATCTCTAAACACAGTCATATTGAGGGCTAGAGCTTGAACATATAAATTCTGGGAGGTACTCAAGTCAGTCTATAACAACCTCTCATTTGATACTCATCATATCCTGGCTTGCTGGGCAATAATTTGTGTGCCCATCAAATAGAACTAAAATGGTTGTGCTAGATTAGTTAATTATTTGGCAAATATAAACCCCTCCCTCCTAGCTCCATGGCTGGAGTATATTTCCCTGTTTCTTGATTTTCGTTTTGGCTATGTGGCTTGCTTTGGCCAATGGCCAGTTAGCAGATGTAAGCAGAGTCTTGAAATTTGCTCCTGTGGTTGGAGTTTCCCTACTCAGCTATTGCTGTTCTCTATGAGTAGAACAAGCCTCAGTAGCCACAAGTCCAAGGAGGATCAGAGACACATGGAGTGGACTTGGACCCAACCTGCATCTTGAAACCAGGCCCAGCTCAATTCCAGCGAACCTGCAGATGTGTGTGTAAGAGACTGGTGCTTGTTGTTGGATGTCCTTGAGCTTTGGAGTGCTTTGTTACACAATATTATTAGGATAACAACCGACGAACACAATCCTGAGTATTTACTGAATCCTTATCATGTTCTAGAACAATGCTCAACAGTTTGTATGCATTATTTAATCATTTAACTATTGCAAGACCCCTGTGATATAGATAAGCTTATTTCTATCATTTACTAGATAAGGAAATTGAGACTCAAAGAGGTGAAATGCCATGCCGAGAGTCACCTGGCTAGGCAGTAGCAGAGCCAGGATCTGAACCCAGGCCAGTTTGATGCTTATGTTAAATATCCCTACAACTGTGAGCTTCAGGTGAATGGAGCAGCGGCTTTTTTTCAAAGCTGGGACTGGAATTTCCTGGCTTCTGACTTCCCCTTTAATGATCTTCTCTACAAAACAGAAAAGTCGCTATTTGTAGCCTCTTCCAAAACTACCTTGGATTCAGTAGCTCCTTTTAATTGTCTAGATCAAGCTCTATAGAATTGCTTTCTTTTTGAGATTCTGCTGCACAGTGCATCCTGCTAGTATTGTGTATGTTGCAAGCAGCTTGCAAAGGTTATTTGATCTATAGGATGAATTTCCCAAATCTCTCACCACCCACAATTTTCAAGAATTCTCCCACGCTTGCCTTTATAACTTGTCTACCCAGCAGATAATACAGCCCTTCTTTATCTTTGACTCTCTCACCCCCCTTTCTTCTTCCCTGGTCTTTTTCTACCTGTTTGCTGGTTCTTAGTTTGGGGGCATATGGTTGAATCAATTAATAGAGGATTTGTAGAATCACAAGTGCAGTTATTAAAGAACGATGTAATTAACTTCTTCAGACTAATTGAAAACTTTCATTTAGAAGGAGCAGCCAAGTGCCTCCTTGCTCAAATGGCTTTCTCACATAAAACAGTCCTCATGAAAAGATTCTTTAATGTGTGTCCATAAACCAGAGACCTCTGAGCTGCCGCAAAACTTTGGGAAAAGAATGAAGTCATTTCTCTCTCTTCCCCTCCTCCCTCTCTTAAAGTATCCCCGGAGTTATACAACGTCCACTACATTGTGCTGCTTCGCAAATCATAGGATAAAGTCAGGAGAAATGAGTCAGGGGAAAGAGGATCTGGCATGATGTGCCTTTGATTGGGAGAGTGAAGAAAAGAGACAGTGTGGCTCTTGTCTGTCTGGCATCTAATGCTGCTGCTTCTGGTGCCAGCAGAAGATTTCCATCTGGGAAGAATTGAGGAAATTTCCCTCAATTTCTATGTGAGGGGCCACACCTCCAGTTGTCTCTGTCTGGGCCCTCTCGGATGGTGCTTTCCCAGCTTCCCATCCTCAGGTCCCAGGGCTGCTCACATGATCCAGCTCTGTGCACTCAGATGACTATACTTCCTGGTTGCAGGAAGTGATTGGTTCAGGGATTAGCATGTGATTCTCCAAGTGGACCAATGGAGTGCAAACTGAGATGGCTGCTGAAATTACAGAGCAGAGAAACTCAGTTTCCACAGGGATTGCTGAGCTGCTAGGGTGTCTGCCTCGGCCTATTGGCAGCCATTTTGCTATTGGGAAGGGAAAGCATACCTGTGAATAAAGCCAACACCTAGCATGGGGTAGACGTCACAGGAGCCCTTTGAGGGCTTGGGTCCTTCTCTGAGTTAGCCTTAATAAAAGAAAAACTTCAGCCAAATTAAATTTAAAGGAGTTTAATTGAGCAATGAATGATTCACGAATTGGGCTGCCCCCAGAATCACAGCAGATTCACAGAGACTCCAGCGCAGCCACATGGTGGAAGAAGATTTATAGAGAAAAAAAGGGAAATGACGTACAGAAATCGGAAATGACGTACAGAAATCGGAAATGAGGTACAGAACGGCTGGATTGGTTACAGCTTGGCGTTTGCTTTATTTGAACACAGTCTGAACACTCAGCAGTGTATGAATAGTTGAAGTATGACCGCTGGGATTGGCCAAGACTCAGCTATTGTTACAGGCGCCTACTCCTAAGTTAGGTTTTCAGTCTTGTCTACTTACTAAGCTAGATTGCAGTTCGTCCACAAGGACTCGAATATAGAAGTACAGAGTCCTTCTCAGGCCATATTTAGTTTGCTTTAACAGTCTCTACTCCTGAACTTTCCAATTGTATGTGCCTATTACTGGCATTTTCCCCCTCTTAATCCACTGGATTGAGGTCTTTTTCTTTTTTCTTTTTTCTTTCTTTTTTTTTTTTTTTTGAGACAGAGTCTTGCTCTGTCGCCCAGGCTGGAGTGCAGTGGCTCGATCTTGGCTCACTGCAAGCTCCTCCTCCCGGGTTCACGCCATTCTCCTGCCTCAGCCTCCCGAGTAGCTGGGACTACAGGGGCCCGCCACCACACCTGGCTAATTTTTTTGTGTTTTTAGTAGAGACGGGGTTTCACCGTGTTCGCCAGGATGGTCTCAATCTCCTGACCTCGTGATCCGCCCGCCTTGGCCTCCCAAAGTGCTGGTATTACAGGCATGAGCCACCGCACCGGCTGGTCTTTTTTGACTCAAAGAGACTAATAGAGCAATTATGTAGTCAAGTGTTGACTTTGGGTCTCGACAGAGGACAGGCTATGCTAATCATCACAGGTGGAGACATGCTTGAGCCACGCCTCTTGGCTGGAGGATAACAGGATTTAGAAACCTAGAGGGCACAGAATATTACTAGGGGGCTTTTGATTCAGCCTCTGAGATTCTTAGAGTGAGTTTCACTTTTTCTGAAGGGCACTTGAAGGCAGCAGCCAGGAACACGCTGCCATGGACCTTCACTGCTGCAGACAGACTCTGACCCCTAGCAGAATGGCTGTGATCTCAGGCTCTGCAGCCAGCAGACTTTGGCTTGAAGTCCAGTTCTGTTACCTCCAGCGAGTGTGATCTGGGGGCAAGAGAAAGGCCCTTTCTGAGCCTCAGTATCTCCACATGTAAAGTGCAAATGATAACCATCTCTACTTTGTGATGATGTGCTGAGGCTTCCCTGGGCTTATGTTTATGGAGTGCTTAGCTCAGTGCTTGGGATTAGTTATGTGCTAAAAATGTTGGCTATTATTGCTGCGGGCAGGGTTTGTACTAACTACTGTATTGAATGGAGACTTAGGACAGTCAGAGGTAACTTGACTATAGGAGATCTCAGCCCACCAGTGTGAGGAGTTTTGAGGAAGGAGAAAGACAGCCCTATCAATATCCTTATTCCAATTCCTAGTAGGGAAATCAGTTTGGATTTCATGATGATGATAGCATCCACTGATGCCACTGTGCAGCTGCACTGTGCGTGGAACTTCACCAGGCTTGAGCTGAGCCATCTCCTTGGAGCAATGGGTGCAGATGGTTTTAGGTTCCACCAGAGGGCACAGGCTGCAACAAAAAGATTTCCATGACTGGCTACAGGGATGCTTAGGCCAGGGACACTTGGGTGATGGCAAAACTATGTTTGACAGTTAAGAACAGCAGGGTAGAAGTCAGTAGCCTAATTCCTGCAGGCAAACTCGAACTTCAGCAGAATGATAAAGATCTTTGTTTAATCCTTACAAGAACCGCAAGTGGTAGATATGATTATTTTCTCTATTTTACGCTAAAAGGAAAAATGCTTAAAGAGGTTGTGTCACTTTGCTGAGATGGCATCCAGCATATGAGAGGAGAACCTGGAGTTTAAACTTGGGTCTCTCAACGGCCTAACCACCGAGCTACATGGTCTCCAGGTTTGAATGGACCTTGGTAACCCAAAAAGAAAATGCTGGACCTCCAACTGATGTGCTGTATTAGTCTTTCTTTCAGAAGAGTCCTGATTTCCCTCTGGAAGGTTATGTGTAAGCTGTTCTTAGAAAAAAGCAAGAGAGTGTTCTAGGTCGTTTTGTGATTCCCATCTCATTGGCTAACAACTGGGACTTGGTAAATATTTTGTTAGGTAAGTGACAGATTAACTCAAAATATACCTTCAAATCTGACAAATGCTACAGCCCTCTGCACAGGCCCAGGAGGTAATTTAGCATAATGCTTAATCTCATGGGATTTGGAGCCAGTCTGGCAGGATTCAAATCCTGGCCTCTCCACTTATTCCACTTATGACTTTGTCCCAATTACTTCATCTCTTTTAGCCCCAGTTTTCTCAACTGTAGAATGGAGAGCTGTATAGTTCCTTCTAATGCTGCTAATAAAGACATATCCAAGACAGAGTAATTTATAAAGGAAAGAGGTTTAATGGACTCACAGTTCCACATGGTTGGGGAGGCCTCACAATCATGGTGGAAGGCAAAGGAGAAGCGAAGGCACGTCTTACGTGGTGGCAGGCAAGAGAGTGTGTGCAGGGGAACTGCCCTTTATAAAACCATCAGATGGCATGAGACTTATTCACTATCACAAGAACAGCATGGAAAAAACCTGCCCTCATGATTCAGTTACCTCCCACCAGGTCCCTCCCATGACATGGGGTTATGGGAGCTACAATTCAAGATGAGATTTGAGTGGAAACACAGCCAAACCATATCACGATCCATCCTAAAGACACCTATATCTGCCCGGTGCAGTGGCTCACGCCTGTAATCCCAACACTTTGGGAGGCCAAGGTGGGTGGATCACAAGGTCAGGAGTTCGAGACCAGCCTGGCCAACATGATGAACCCCGTCTCTACTAAAAATACAAAAATTAGCCAGGTGTGGTGGCATGCACCTGGGATCCCAGCTACTCGGGAGGCTGAGGCAGGAGAATTGCTTGAACCCGGGAGGCAGAGGTTGCAGTGAGCCGAGACCACGCCACTGTACTCCAGCCTGAGCAACAAAGCAAGACTCCGTCTCAGAAAAAAAAAAAGGCACCTATATCTACATAGGGTTGTTGCATTAAATGAAACAATGCAACAGTGCATCACAGTGCATCATATCTGGCATGTGTTAAACGTTCAATAATGTTAATTCTTAAGACAGTCTCAGCCCTTTCTCTTTGACCTCGTTGTGGATGGGTAGAGACGACCCAGTTCCATTTACATCATTACTTCCTATCACTTATTCCCATCATTCTTTTCCCATTCTCTTAGACATGCAGGGAAATAGCAATTTAATTTTAAAATTAGCATTTATCTTTGCCTCTCCACCTAGGTCGTGTGTCATTATAGCAGCTGTTTGGTGTTTATCTGAGAAAGCTCTTTGGTTAATAATATGCTATTGGATTGCTGTTGAGCGTCAATTGGGAGGCAGCCTGGAAAACAGCACTAAGTAAAGTAAACACAGCCATAACCTTTTCTTCTCTCTGCCTCTCATGCTGCCTGAAAGAAGTACACAGCTTCTCTTTTTCCATCACTAACTCATAAATGGAAGGAGCAGGTAATAAATATCATGGGGCTGATGGGTTTCCAGGGAGCCTGAGAAAGAGTGAAGGAGGCTGCCGGAAAGCCAGAGCAGTGTGTGAATGAACCTTAAAACTGTGACCGCCTCCCCCTTGTGCAGCCACGGGAGTAGGATGACCCCCAGTTGACTGAGAAAGGTGAGGCTCTCAACCCCTATCACGGCTGGGGATGCTTTATATTTGGGGAGGCCAGCATGTCATGGTGGATGGAAAGTTTATAAAATCAACATGGGCTGGCTTCCAGGGTGGATGGCCACCTGTTGGGGCTGATGGAATTTAGAGTGCACTGAATCTTCCAAAGGGTCCGTGGGGCAGTGAAAAGAGCCCTGGACAGGGGTCAGGACAAGTGGGCCCTTTTGTCCTGTATTTGCCACAGACCTGCATGATCTGAAAGAAGTCAGATTTTTTTTCTGGATTTCAGTTTCTTCTGTAAACTTGGATGGGATTATAAAATCCGATCCAAGTTAACAGAAAACTTACATAAGTTACGTGAAAAGCACCCCTTGGATTGCTTGGGTTAATTCTCAGAAACAACCACCAGCACTTATCAAGGGCTTTCTGTCTGTCCCAGGCATGATTTAAAACCCTTTATATGTATTAACTCATTTGATTCTCAAAACAAGCCATTTCCCACTATGCAGACAAGGAAACCAAACACCATTGCCTAGCGTCAGTTGTAGAGCTGGGAACTGACCCTGGGCTGCCTGGCTCCTGACACCACATCCCAGTCATGCTGCCATGCTGTCTTCTCAATGGGACTTCCCTGTCCATGGATACAATGTATTATCTTTGTTCCAGGGCTGATGTGAGGATTGAATAAACAATTACACGTAGAGCATCCCTATTTCCCTTGGAGCCCAATCTCAGTCCATGGTTCTGGGTAGGTTTACTCACCCTGACTCTACAGGTGGACGCCTGACTCAGGTGTGACCAATGACAGTGCTACATTCCTGGCTATGGTGATTGGTTCAGGGGTGGTCAAGTCACCTAGGTTGGAAAATCCAGCCAATTGCTAGATCATGACATGAAGTATCAGGAAGGAGTGCTCTTGCCCTGAGGTTATCAATTTAGCAGAACATAAGCTGTTGCTCTTTATAGCCTCCACAAGGAGCGAGGCTACTTCAGAATAAGACAAAAAGGAAGGAGGAAAAAAGAACAGAGAGAGGGAAGGAGGAAGGGAGGGAAGGAAGAAAGAGGGGAGGGAGACAGAAAGAGATACTGAGATTATTTCTGATGGCATCATTAGAACCTCTGGGTTTTGCCCTGCCTAATCAATTATTTGTACAATAAGTCCCATTTTATACTTAAGATGGCTTGCATAGGGTTTTTTTTGCCACTTGAAAAACGGAAAAACATCATGACCTACATATATCATGTTTCTGATCTTGGCAAGAAAAAGAGAGTTTGTAGATTAGAGAGCTGACCTTTGCCACACACTATTGTTCCAGACCTTGGTTTCTGAACCTTGGCATTATTGCCATTTTGGGCCAAATAATTCTTTGTTGTGGGGGCTGTCCTGGGCCTTACAGGATGTCTAGCAGTGTCCCTGGCCACTGCCCACTAGATGCCAGGAGCACCCCTGCCCCCCACAGTCCTGAAAAGCACAAATGTCCCCAGACACTGCCAATGTTTCCTGCAGGCCAAAACCACCTCTAGGTTGAGAAGCACTGATCTAGATAGATCCACGTGGAGTTTCTCTTCAAGCTTGCTTCTTGGATCTCATTTTCTCAGCCGGAGTTAGGAACACGTGTGGAAGTGAAAGTGGAGGTCTTTTAGAACTTTTGTGCTGGCAGACATGATCCATGGTGATGGGCTTGGAGAGTTGGGGAGCTTCCTCATCGATCTGCCGCAGCAGCCCAGAGCGCAAGAGCTCTGTGTTTGGGAGCATTTGTGATAAGCAATGAAATTGGCCACCGAAGGTTGAGTTGTTTAGCGGTGAGGCTGTCAAGTGCTTCCTGATAAGAGCCCTTGATCTCCCATTACAGCGCACGTCACCAGAGGCAGCAATGAGCCCCACCACCTGGCACCACCGCTAATGGCTTTGGCTTCGGCAGAGAGCGGTGTCAGGGCTGCAGACGGAGCACAGATGGGAGTGGCATCCTACAAGATCCCCAGGTTCACTGCCTTTCACAAACATTTTACATCTAAATAACCCTGTAATTAATCTCACAGTCAATTTCCCCTGCTGTTTGCCTAGCTACTCCTATGCAGCTGAAACGTCACCTCCTCAGGGAAGCCGCTCCTGATAACCCATCACTAACAGGAGGCTAAGAGCCCATGTGTCATGGACACTGTTGGAACTCCGCCACATCCCCCAGGGGGACTGGCGGAGTTCCAAGGGACTGGTTTCATGGAAGACAATTTTTCCATGGACTGGAGGAGGTGGGGGGATGGTTTTGGGATGATTCAAGTGCATTACATTTATTGTGTACTTTCTAATATTATTACATTGTAATACACAATGAAATAATTTATACAACTCATCATAATATAGAATCAGTGGGAGCCCTGATCTCGTTTTCCTGCAACCCACATCTGGAAGTGATGGGAGACTGTGACAGATCATCAGGCATTAGATTCTCATAAGGAGCACACGACCTACATCCCGTGCATATACAGTTCACAATAGGGTTTGTGCTCCTATGAGAATCTAATGTGGCCGCTGATCTGACAGGAGTCGGAGCTTAGGCAGTAATGCGAGCTATGGGGAGCTTCTGTAAATACAGATGAAGCTTCGCTTGCACATCTGCCACTCACGTGCTGCTGTGTGGCCTGGGTTGGGGTCCCTGTCCTGGGGTCCCACTAGTGCTCTGAGTGCCCCTCCCTGGCTTTGTGGGCTTCTGCTTCCCACCACCCACACCTGCTCCTTTGCTCAGAGGATTTCCCTGGGCTGCTGGAGACAACTGGTCCACAACCCAAAAGTGCCAGAAGTGCCTGGGTTTATGTCTCCCAGGGTGGGCCTTCGCCAAGGTCTGCAGTTGTGGAATGATACATTTCTGGCTTGTTGGCCACAGATTGGGACAACCCTGAGGCATAATTTGCATTGCAGAGTTGCCTGTGGGGTTAGCTGAAGCTGCTCTTCGTGTGACTTTAAGGGGGTCACCCCTTGCCTGGCCTCCTCCCCTTCCTTATCCTGTTTCTGTCTTCCATCTTCTTCCTGATATCTCCCCTGAGGGGCACTTTCTCCATACGTCACTTTCGTGCGTAGATCTTCCACCTAAAACTCCCTATTGTTGCTCTCCTAACATGGTGTACTTCTTATCAGAACTTTAAATTACACACTTCATTATTTATTGCTGGTCCCCTCCAATGAAACATACCCTCCATTAAGGCAAAGATTATTACCTTATTTGTTGTTGAATCTCCAGTGCCTGGTTAAGATGGGTTATTATTATTATTATTTTATTTGTAATGATTTATATACTAGTCCTAGCTCTCTTATTAGTAGATGGTAAGCTCTTGGAAGGGAGGATCCATGTCTGATGGACTTTACATTCTTCACATCATCTACCACTGAGCTTTACTCATATGAGATCAGTTGATGTTACTGAACAAATACATGGTGTTGATTGTTACTCTATATTGAGCACTTACTTTGCAGTGGAGGAAAGTTATCTTTTCCCTCTATTCATCTTAGGTTCATTGGCTGGGGCCTCTAATAAAAGAGATTAACAAGAGCAAGCCATTCACATTTATTTAATATCAGTTTTACATGACGTGGGAAACTTTAAAAGGAGACCTGAAGAAATAGTTACACTTGAGTGTTTGTTATGCTGGGTTTGAGGAAGAGCGGACAGTGGTGAAGAAACATGATAGGACCAAGGGCAGATGAGCTAAATGTAAGGAGCATGGGGTAAACTCAGTAAGGCCTATTTGTTCAGATTCGTCTTTGTGTCCCTGTGTCTTAGAGATAGAATGTTCCTCTCCTCCAGGGATAGGGAGGGTGCCTCTCTCATGAGGGTCTCATGATCTGCTTTAGGGGTAGGTCAGAAAATCCTTCCTAGGTTCTATGAAGTCTTCAGGGGAAGGTCGAAGAGCCTTTCCCATACATGCCCTTCCTCAACTTCCTTTAGCTTACTCTGTATGCCAAGGTGCCACATTTTGGGGTAGCGTATTCTGAACCCCACCAATGGCATCGTGCTTAGCTCCTCATCTGCAACGTTTCTTCAGGTCTTTACAGCAATCCTGTGAGTTAGGAACATTTTTCATCCTCATTCTACAGCTCAGAGCTGAGGTGCAGAAGGCTTAGGTGGCTGGATCAAAGACACACAGCTGCTACATGGCAGAGTCTTGAATTTGGGTTCTGTTTGATGCCAAAACCCCCCAATCATGCTACCTTCCTTAGTTGGAAGGGATTCTGGATGGTGTGTTTTCAGTCATTCATTCTCTTAAACTGTTTGTGGAACCTCAAGTACTGAAGTAGGTGGGCCTCAGACGAATTAGATAGGAATAAATAACATCACAGCCTGCGACGATGGTGACTTTGTTGTCTACTCTGTGCTTTATCTTCACCCCGAAGAACTGTCACTGTCAAAGGAGATTTGTTCTTTTTGACAGCACTTATTTGTCAGAGCAATCCCTTTAAAGTAGTGATTGATTTGTCGTGTTAACTTTGTAGGTAAGGGTGTGAAACGAATGAGAGCAGGATTGTAGCAACAATTGATATAGTCTTTAGTTGTAAGAAGAATCCAGAAGAAGCTGGTAAGGTGATCAGGGTGAACCAACCTTAAAACTGAACACATACCTCAATGCTGCTAATCATTGGCTAAGAGCATATTAGTCAGGATTCTTTTGGTTCCAAGTGATATAAACTCATTTAACTTGGCCCCAGCGATGTAGAGAATTTATGGATTGGTGCTACTTCAGGTATAGCTGGATGCAGGAATTCAAACTGTCATTCGGACTCCACTTCTCTCCCTTTTTGGGCTCTGCATTTCTCTTTATTGTGTTTATTCTTAATTGTCTCTACCCTCCTGATCCTGTGTGGCAAGAGAGAAGGCCATTGGCAGCTCTAGGCTGTGTGTCTTTTTTTTTTTTTTTTTTTTTTTTTTGAGCCGGAGTCTCACTCTGTTGCCCAGGATGGAGTGCGGTGGCGCTATCTCGGCTCACTGCAAGCTTCTAGGCTGTGTGTCTTTAATGCCCATTGTCTCCGTGGGGGTAAGGGCCTGCCTTTCCCTTTCCTGGAAGAAGGGTCCTGACTGGCTCTGCTTGGGTCATGTGTCCTATCCTGGGCCAATCACTGTGCATGAGGTCAGAGGATTCCTGTTGCATACCAGCCTGAGTCACATGACCACCTTGTCACGTGATGGAGGTAAATCTGTGTCACCAGATGGTGGAGGGACAGTTTTTGAAAACAAAGGAAGGATATTGTAACAAGAGGAAGGGGGCAAAGATTCAAGGCAGACAAAACCAGTCATCAGCTGAAAACAGCACCACCCTCTCCTTCAAAAAATTCTTTGTTAAGAACATCCGATTCACCAAATTGTGGCTGAAAGGATCCACCTTCTTAGTTTTAATAAATTTTGGCATGATGAAAAGAATTTTAAGATGTTCTGATACTACATCAATCCTCCAGTGATGAGTAATGGCCAGTGATGTTGTTCTTTGGGAATTAGGATGTTGAATAATTCAATCTCTATTTTCCCCATCGAATTTTTAATTTTAATTTTTGACAAGGTCATCCAGTCATGTATACCAAAAATATAAAAAAGATAAAAAGATAAGTAGCAGGAAATATTTTTCCTGTCCTAATTCCCAAAGCCTCCAAAACCAAAACTTGTAGCCATTGTTAGTGGTTTCTTGTTTACCCTTCATGTGATATTTTTCTTCATCTAAGTTTAAAAATGGATCTTTTGCTTTTTTAAACAAAAAGTCATCCATGTATACATATTATTCTGTACCTGCTTTTTCTACTTGGAATATGTTCTCTTATAGTTCCTTTTATATTTGAATATAAAGGGCTTATTTCTTCTTTTTTTCAGCTTTCTAATTTTCTGTTATATAGCTATACCATGATTTACTGGACCATTCCTCTGTTGATTGACCCCATAGATTGTTTATAATGTGCTATTATTAGAAACAGCACTGCATTGAATTAGAAACAACACTGAATAAACGTGGGTATTCCTTTCTTTACACATGTGCCAGTGTATATGTAAACATTTACGTATAGAAATATGTTTCTAGGAGCGGTGTTTCCGACGGAGTTTACTCTGAGCCAAAAGGTAAATGCATTGGTAAGTTTTATAGCAGTTGCCAAATGTGTCACAGAAAAGTTGTACCAATTTGCACCTGATGAGCAAGAAATGGTACCTATGACCCCTCTCCACCCCGCAGCCTCATCGGGACAGGGAGTTGCCAGGGTTTTGACTTGGGCTGCGGTGTTCAGTGAGGAATGGTACCTCATGTGCTGTCTTCCCTTCTCTCCCAGCTCAGCGCTCACTTTTGTAGTGAAGACATGCTTTAAAATCATCGAGTGTGCCTGCCTTTGAGATTTGCAAGAGGAAGCAAAGAGCACGTTAATGAAACTTGGGAGGAAACTGAATTTAGAGCTGCTGCAAACACAGAAGTAATGAAAGCAAACATAAAGATGTTAGAAGTGTGGTCAGGAAATTAAAAAAAAAAGAGCTACAGCTTGGAAAATAGGTGATTAATGAGGAATATTGTTAAGATGGAATCAAAGTGTAAGATGGATGGGGAGATGGGGGCATTGTTAAGTTCGTGTTTTCCTGAGAAGGTGGGTTTTGTCACCTGGCACTGAACACACTTTCACACATGATTGATAAACACTGTTGAGAACAATTGCAAACGGCTGCAGTTTTTCCATCTGTGAAATGGGGATGTTTCTAAATTAGTGGGGGTTTCTTACTGGGCAATTGTGAGGGTGAAATGAGATAATATGAATGAAGACAGGGTCCGGTTGGTGTATGACGTTTTATGATCATAAGGCACAGAGGCAATGTGTTAGGAAGCAAATTATGTATCAGCCTCTGAGACCCTTACATACCTGGACCCCTGTCACTTCTGGGTTTTTTTCTGGGAGGCATAGAATGTTCTAGGTGTGTAGCAGAGGCCAGGTCACTTTTGGGAGGCATTCCTATTTGAGCATTTTTGGCAAATTGCCCAGGGACATCCAAGAAGAAAGGGATGTGAATTTCTAAAACACTTATTGTGTGTTGTGATTTGTTTTCTCGTTTTATATAAACATACGTTTCCATACCTGCTGTTATGTTGATAATTTTATATTCTTAAAGAGAGTCTTTATTTTTTATTTTAAATTTTATTTATTTATTTTTGAGATGGAGTCTTGCTCTTGTTTCCCAGGCAGGAGTGCAAAGGTGCGATCTCGGCTCACTGCAACCTCCGCCTCCCGGGTTCAAGCGTTTCTCCTGGCTTAGCCTCCTGAGTAGCTGGGATTAACGGCATGCGCCACCATGCCCGGCTAATTTTTTTTTTTTTTTGTATTTTTAGTAGAGATGGGGTTTCTCCATGTTGGTCAGGTTGGTCTCGAACTTCCAACCTCAGGTGATCCACGTGCCTCGGCCTCCCAAAGTGCTGGGATTACAGGCGTGAGCCACTGCGCCCAGCAGAGAGTCTTTAAAATTGTGTATGTTCCCACAAAACTTAGACCTGCCCCTGATGAATCACTGTTATTATTATAATTAGAAGATTTAGGGAGAGGCAGATGAGGTCCTAGTTTTTGAAAACGTAGATTACAGAAATTAATACCAGTCAAATGGATGGCAGTGCTTCATAAAGCTCTTTCTTTCCCCTCTGCCTCTCTGCTTTCCTTTCTTTTTTTCTTATTATCTTCTTTCCTCCCTTTCTTTCACAAGCATGCTGTTCCAGACACTTAGTGCTAGAAATATGAAATCCCTTCTCTCATGGAACTTGCATTGTGGTTGAGGCAACAGACAAGGAAGCGAAGCATCAATAATGCAGTTTGCAAAGCAGTGAGTCCTGGAAAATAAAACAGAGCAGGGTGGATGTGAGACAGCAGGCTGGGGGTGGGGGATGCTGACGCCCAGTGGCCCGTAAAAGTCTTTTTAAAGTGGTGACATTTCAGCTAAGCCCTGCATGGCACAGGGAGAGGAGCCAGTCCTAGAGATAGGAGGAGCAATCCAGGCAGAGGAAAGAGCAAGTGCAAGGTCCCGAGGTGACAGGAGTGCAGCCTGTGTGAGGGGTGGGCAGGAGCTGGCAGCAGGGAGGAGGAGTGTGTCGGGAGGTGTCTGCGATGCAGTGGAGCTCTAGGAAGTGGTCATTTACTAGATGGCTTCGTTTGCCATGGTCAGAAGTTTAGATTTTATTCCAAATATTATAGGTCACCATTGCAGGGTGTAAATTGTGGGACAGATATTTATATGACGAGTTTATAGGCACATTGGGAAGAAAGTAACAGTTTAAAGGGCTCCCAAGGGTTCCCTAGGTACAAGGTATACCAAGTAACTCTATATCCTTTATTGTAATGTTTTTGAAAGAAAGAGATTTAAGAAATTCTGTAGACATTGTGGATCATGTTTATAAATGCATTTAGTGAAATAGAACAGTAAAACATGGAGCAGACAATGATGCTTTGCAGCAAATTTGCACCTGTTTGGACAACAGATTGAGGTCAAGACCCTGTTGAGTTCAGAGAATCTCAGCTTCACAGAGTTCTAGCTCACCAGTGCTGGGGAGGGAAGCTAACACAAGTGATGATAGGAGCTGAATGATAAAATAAAAGTAAGGGCACTCAAGACGTATTACCCTTTAAGACAGGTATTTATAAAGCATAGCTCTTCAATTTAACTTTGTAGTTCTGTTCATATTTGGTCAACTTCCACCCTACCTGGCACTTAAAAAATGGCTATGGCTATCTAGATTTATTTTAAAAGGTAAAATTGGAAGCAAAATTGATTTAAAAGTATGCTTAGAAAGAGGACCCCAAATGAGACAGAAAGATACAGAATGAAGGCAATTTTTTTTTTCAAGAACGGCCCTTCTGGCATTGTAAAAATTTGTGTTGGTTGGTTACAAGCAACAGAAACCAGTTTGTTAGTTTATGAAAGGCCATGATTTATTGAGAGGCTACCAGGCAATTCACAGGACAGAGGGAGATTTGGAAGCCAGGCTTAGCTGGTACCAAAACTCAGTTGCTGCAGAGAGTCTTGCTATCAGGGTCTATGAAGAGTCCTGACTGGAAAGACCCTCTTTTTGGAGTTTTCCAGGCCAGCTCTGAGAAGCCTGGCTGGAGGTGTGTTCTGCTGTTGCCCAAAAGAGGGAGGGCATATTTGAAATTCAGTCTTGAAGAACTGATTCCACATGGGCACAGCGATTACCGCAAAGGAAATCAGGGTACTCTCCCCCAAGACAGCAGAATGGATGCTGGGTAGCTCCCTTTACCCCAAAATAGTCCTTTACAAGCATCAATTAACAGTTTTGATACAGCAGTGTCATCTCCAGGGTCTTTGTGCTGTCTCAATATTCATTTATTCATTTAGGTGTGTATGCATTTAGTGTGCCTTTCAAAGGGAGGTCTGGGAACCCTCAATGCTATGAAAGAAAGTTCATGTAAGAGGACGGAGAGAAGCATGTAATCCTGCAGAGTCCACCTTGGATATCTCATCTGCCTTGAATGGAATGAGCATCATGATGGAGCCAGGAGGCGGAATTTTGAGATCCATAGTGTCCACTGGGCAGCTGCTTCCGAGGTGTGGGGAGTAGGGGAAATCTATCCCATTGCTCATAAAGTTTATTTATTTAGCAAATCATGTTTTTTATTTTATTTTATTTTTTTGGTCATATTTTCAAAGGTACTCTATTCATCTTAGCTTGTTGGGCCCAGGAATGTTAGACATTTTGTTTTACTGACAGAAAGCTGAGCCCCAGAGACACAAAGTGTCTTAGTCACGGGAACCAGCAGCCAAGTATACCCGATGGCTCTGGAGCCTACTCCCCGGCACTGCCTCACATGAGCTGGGTGATCTTGAGGAAGTCATTTTACTTTCCAAGTCTCAGTTTCCTGATCTGTGAGATGGGTTTGTCAGTATCATCTATCTCATGATGGGTCTGTTTTAAGGGTTAAGAGGACAGTGCTTGGCAGAGTGTCTAAGTGTCAGTAGCAAAGGTGCTGTAGTTAAGAAGATCAGATTTAAAATCAGATAGATTTGGTTTTAAAATTGCCTCTGTCTCTTATCAACAGCAAATTATTGATATTCTAGCAAAGTCCACATTGAGGTGGCCTGAATATTCAAACAAGATAATGGAGACAAAGTACCAGTCCAGTACCTGGGTCCCTGGTCCTCCTAGCAGGCACACACTGGAAGTGTTACCCAGTACAATGTTATGACTCCTAGAAAATTAATATGGGCTGTTTTACCTCCAGAGAAGATGATTGGCAAGAAATGTCTACAGTTCTTTTCCTTGCTTTTGTAAAGACTAGAAGAAACAGTACAATGGAGAGAATTTGGCAATTCCAAATGTCTCAGATTTATTTCCACTTCTTTTCCTGAAAGAAGAAACTGGAAGGCAGAATGTGAAGAAGCAATTCTTGAGCGCAGGGGCTGGCAAGCTTTTCTGTAAAGGGTCAGAGAAGAAATTAGGCTTTTCAGGCCAAATGATCTGCATTCCAACTACTGAACTTTGTCATCCTAACATGAAAACAGCCACAGATAATACATTAAGTGAATACAGCTGTGTTCCAGTAAACCTTTATTTACAAAAACATGCATTGGTCCAGATTTGGCCTGCAGGCTCTAGTTTGCTAAACTGCTTTAGCAATTAAAAAAGACCACATTGGTACCTACTTGGGCCAGGCTTAGGTGGAGTTTTGCATTTTAAAGATCACCGTTCTTGATATATTATTCATGGAGGCACTTCCTAGGGTTTCAAAGCATCAAACATTTCATCGAAAAATCTGGTCATTCCTACCAAAGGCCAACCGTGAACTTTTGGCTTTTCTAATCTTAGATGTGTTCTCTGTGTCAGCTGGACCATTCCAGGGTCAGTTTTGGGAACTACTGTCCTAGGCCCAGAGGATAGATTCCTGGTACTTCAGGGGTCTTTCAAACCCCTTTCCATTCTCCCAGCCCCTCCCGTCCTCTCTTCTCAGATGTCACTGGAGGTGACGCCTTTGCTGTGGAGAGGTGGGCTGTACTGTCATGCCCAAACTTGGGGATTTTATCTTCTCATTCTTTTGCAACTGCAGGAGACAAGTCCTGCCAGTCTTCAGATGGTTACCTTTGAAAGGAGAGAGCTTTCCAAGCTCTCCTGGGCTGACCGTCCGATAATAGCTTACTCCAGTCCCAGGTTCTATTGTGTTTGCTTAACATTTGGGCTTCTGCCAGGTAATTTACCTATAAGCTATGCATAGAAGAGAAAAGAAACTATCCATCTAAAGTATTCAGATTTTGGCCTTAATTAAAATGCAGGATAAATATGTAAAGGCTAAAGAGCATGAATTATAGATACTGGGGTTTCTATATTAAAATCAGTTTTCATCTATGGAGGCGCTTGTGTTTTTATGGCGGGAAGGAAGTGTGTATACAAGTCGGTGGAAAGCAATATAATTACGGCTGTGTGTGCTTAGCAAGATGGGAAACGGAACTATTGTAAGAGAATGAATGCTAGTCTACCTTTCTCATTTCACTGCCTCTGCGGATTTTTTCCCCACCTCGATACCATAAAGGGCTAATCCTGACCCTTGTTATTTAAATTGCTCTGCCATGGCTAGAAAAGCCTCTTAAAAACGCTCGCTCACCTGGTTCCAGGAGCAAAGCCCTTTCTGTTCATTGCTCCTCCTTGGAACGTGGCCCTGCTAGCTGTGGGGACGGAGTGGGGAGCTTTCAGAGGCTGAATGACAAGCCTAGGGTCCTAAGTAAGGTCAGGCCACAGCTCATCCACCTATAAAGTTAGAGGCTCTGGGCTTTTCCACCAAGGGTCACAGAAGGGAGATGAAGGAGCCCAAAAGAGCTGAAGTCAGGCGTCCAAGTATGTGGCTATCCACTTAAGGGCCAGGATGGATAAAGGTCAGGAATGCTGAGGTCGGGGGCCACCTGTGAGACAACTTCATAATTGGGATTTTTAGAGGTTACATTCACACACGTTGTTTTAAAGCAGTGTTGGGAAGAATCACGCTGAGAATTTGCTTTACTCTGGACCTTTGAAAAACAAATATTAAATGTGCAACAATTATGTTTTAATCAACATGGGTGGGGGAAAAGTGGCTTTTTGTAGCAGACAGAAAGTGCCAGATTTTCTAGAAAGCATTGAATTTTTTTTTTTTTTTTTGAGACGAAGTGTAGCTCTGTCACCCAGGCTGGAGTGCAGTGGCGCGATCTTGGCTCACTGCAACCTCCATCTCCCAGGTTCAAGTGATCTTCCTGCCTCAGCCTCCTGAGTCTCTGGGATTACAGGTGCGTGCCACCACACCTGGCTTTTTTTGTGTGTTTTTAGTAGGGACGGGGTTTTGCCATGTTGGCCAGGCTGGTCTTGAACTCATGATCTCAAATGATGCACCTGCCTCTGCCTCCCAAAGCGCTGGGATTACAGGTGTGAACCATGCCTTGCCATCATTGAATGTTTAGAGAGATTTAGTTTTAGAAAAAAGTGATGCTTTAAACAAAGCCCAACACTTCAAGTGCATGAAGAATGCATTAACAGCCTGGACACTGGGCTGTTGGAGTATTCCTACTCCACTGATCTTGGGGGGGATGTTGAATCCAGGGCTGTGAGAGCTGATGCTGTTTTGGGGCACTCTGGCTGGAGGTAAAAGCCAGGGTATTTCATGGGATTGAAAAGTGAACAAGTGGGAGAGGAGCAGTCCCACCTTCACTCAGTCTGTCGTGAGACCTGCCTAAGCGGTGATAGATGCTGAGGGCTGCCATCCTCTCATTTTGGGTCACTTCCGGCAACTTTGCCATACTGGCCTGAAAGTACCTGTTACTGTTTTCAGAGTGGATTTGAGGATGTGTGAGGAATAAAGATATAATCTGTAGGTTTTTTTTGAAAAAAGCTCTGCTGTTATTATAGAGTTTTTTTTCTTTGTTGTAATTTTTATTGTTATGGTTTCTGATTTGGTATTGAGTGGCCATAAACCAAGATAGACGCTTTCTAGGAGTGCCCTCTCTGGGGGAAGTTAGGTTTGGGTGTGTCAGTCAGGTGAGGCATAAGAAAAGGCAAAACCAAATGGCATGAAATGGAAGAAATGCATTACTTACAGATTGGGAGGTTAGAGATGCCTCTGGGAGACTGTCAGAAACTCTGAGGGGGCAGGAAGATCAGCCAGGGGATGGGGAGAGACACACACACAGAGAGACAGTGAGAGAGAGACAGAGAGAGATAGAGACAGAGAGAGACACAGAGCGAAAGAGACAGAGATAGTGAGAGAGAGAAAGCGAGAGACAGAGACAGAGACAGTGAGAGAGAGAGACAGCAAGAGACAGAGACAGAGAGAGAGAGGCAGAGGGCGAGAGAGAGATAGAGAGTGAGAAAGAGACAGAGAGACAGAAAGACAGTGAGGAGACAGAGACAGCGAGCAAGAGAGAGACAGCAAGACAGCAAGAGAGGCAGAGAGACAGCAAGACAGAGAGACAGAGACAGCGAGACAGCAAGAGAGACAGTGAGACAAAGAGAACAAAGAGAGACAGCAAGAGAGAGACAGAGAGAGACAGCAAGAGAGGGAGAGAAGGAGAGACAGAAAGAGAGACAGAGAGAAGGAGAGAGACAGAAGGCAGGGTAGAGGGAGAGGAACCTGAGGGTTGGAGACCTTATTAAGGCCAGGGTGTTGCCCATGGAGGTTTCCTATGGAGCTCTAATTGGTGGGTTTAGAGCACACAGGTGGGTGCGAGTTCTGAGTGGGGTGACTAACAGGTGGTCAAACTGTGGCATGTCTTTGCAGTCCATGGGGGGTGTGGGGGCCAGGGGAGTGAGTCAGATAGGTGGTACCCAGCTGTCCCATAAGGAAGTGGCCACCTCCCAACCAGGAGGCCAGGAGGCGGTTGTATACCGCTGATATCTGGATCCACCATGTCAAGAAACTAGGAGTAGGCAGAGGACTGGAAACTGTGTCAAAGGTGACTAAGCCCTACTCTGGTATGAGAAGTTTAAACTTATCTTTAAAATGGATTTCAAGGCAATGTAAAATTACAGGAATTCACTACAGAATGGTTGAAGCAAAATTTCCTAGTTGTCACATTGAGAGATTCCCCCAAACCTTGGATATTGGGTGGCATCTCTGAGGCTATGAAGGCCTACAAAGCCTGGTCAACCTTTAAAGTATAGTCCACAAACCAAGGCCCACGGGCCAAAGCCAGCTCAATGCCTGTTTCTGTAAAACCAAGAGTTCTTGGAACATAGCCATGCTCGTTCATTTACAGTAGGTTTCTATGCTGCAGCAGCAGAGTTGAGTAGTCATGACAGAGACCATAGAATTTACACAGCCTAAAACATTTACTGTCTAGTTCTCCACAGGAAACATTTGCTGCCCCCTGCGTTAGACTATAGAAAAAAATTCACTTATTTTTGAAAAAAAAATCTGAGAATTTCAGCATTTGTAACCATAGCTCCAGGAGGATTCCCCTGGGACCCTCATTCTCCCAGACTATTACTTCTGGTGGCCACACTGGGGTCCCATCAGTTGGACCACATCACATGGGTTGAGTTGGTGATATTTCAACAGGAAAATCGACAAATGAGCTTTTTCTCTCTTCTCTTTCTCTCTTTTGCTTCTTGAAGCCACATAACAGAAATTGCAGCATGACAGGCAAATTCTTTGCTCGTTATGAAATGATAAAGGTCAAGTTGCTCCAATCTTGCTTGCAAGTAAAATACCTGGCTAAGTGAAATCTGTCAGAGACTTCACCCTGTTATCAGGATGACAAATATTTTGACGGGTCTCAGAAACAGAACTGTTTTTATTTACCTGTTCTATTTCCCACATAACACCTTTTCCATTTGTCTCTCCCCTCTTTGGCTGGTCTGGTTGGCCCATACTTTTAACAATTGCAGGCATGAGGATGGAGACACTTGAAAACCTGTCATCAGCTGTCCCCAGCACTGTTTCCATTTCTTCCTGAAGAAAGCATGGAATGTCAGGCTTCTTGCAGGGAAATTACCGTATATACAAACGCACAAGATGCTAGCCCATATGGGATACCCCATAATTTTGCAGCAGCAGAAACAAACAACTGCCTCTCGATTATGCCTCATGTGAACTGTGCTTACTGCATCTTAAACTTCAAAGCATTGAAAATTGCCTCATATCACAGGCAAACCTATTTCAACTGTCCGTGAGCAAACCTGCTTGTTCTTTACAAGCCTTCATGATTATAGAGCTTTGTGCTTTTTGTTTGCGGTTTAGAATTATGTGATCTTCTAAAAACCCTTCCCCTTGGTTGGATGTTTTTTTGTCTGTAAAATAAAATCCCTAAAAATAATAACCTGTAGAGGTATGTACAAAATATATTGCATTTTTAGCATCCAGAAGAACCTACAGTTTTGATAACTTTAATTGGGTCCCTGAAGCAAAATTATTCCTGGAATAACCAAGGCATATTTCTTAAAACATGGCAGAATTTGGCCTTAGGAAATTTCTTTTAATTCTAATATATCAAAATTACTGGCTGTTTACATAAGAACTGTTCTACAGAGGATTATCTATTTAAGATGTAATTGTGTACTAAGAATGAATTGCAAGTGGAAAGCAAACTTAAAATTCAGACATCACATTTAGAGGTCAATCAAGTTCTTTAGACATTTATTTATTTATTTAGTTTTTTGTCTTTATATTCATTTTCCACCTTCTTTCTTCCCTCATTGTTTGAATAATCTTAAGCCATTTGTTCTGGTAGGGCTGAGTTTGAAAGTTTTAAGAGCTTCAAAGATATGAGGTTTGTACTTCATTCTTTTCGCTGTGTCCCCACCCAAACCTCATCTGAAATTGTAATCTCCCTGTGCAGAGGGAGGCACCTGGTGGGAGGTGATTGGATCACGGGGGTGGTTTCCCCCATGGTGTTCTCATGATAGTGAGTGAGTATTCACAGGATCTGATGAGTTTATAGGTGCTTGGGAGTTCCTCCTTCACTCGCACTCTCTTCCCTGCTGCCTTGTGCAGAAGGTACTTGCTTCTCCTTCACCTTCCACCATGACTGCAAGTTTCCTAAGGCTTCCCCAGCCACGTGGAACTGTGAGTCATTTAAACATCTTTTGTTTATAAGTTACTCAGTCTCAGGGAGTTTGTTACAGCAGTGTGAAAAATGGACTAATACACACACAATGGCAGAGGCAGGTTTGCTGCAGCAAATTCATGTAATCCCGAAACCATGACAGTCACACAGTGCAGGTTCAGCGTGACTGAAGTTCGGGTGCAGGAGGAACAAATCTGCTCTCTTCTTCAATGAAGAGCTAACCTGTGCCCCCACACCACCCAGATTAAAAGGGTCTCTAAATCCCATCTGGTAACCCAGAGAAGTCCTGAGCGGGGAATTCAGATGGGAAGTCTCTCAAACCAGCTGTTTCCCTTTCAACTTGACTTGGCGTGCTCAGCTGATGGGTGGCTTAGGAAGGGCCAATGTGGGGGCAGGTGATCACTGATGTGTAGGCCTCCGGGAAAGCCCTGTCCTCCATCTGTGATGTCTGTTGGCTGGTCTGCAGGGGAGGAAAGAAAGCCCTCTCTGCTTACAGCCCAAAGTGGTGGTGCTTCTCATTTGTGGATTTTTACCTTTTCATTGTTGTTATTTTGATGGCTCTTGATTTAATTCGGTGGATAATTGTCTTTATTGTATGGAGTGTGGAGGACAATTCTAGGCATCTGCCTTCTGATAGGAAAGCAGAGCTCACAGAGCCTGCCCTGGTGCTCCAAAATAGCCAGCGTGTGACTGAAGCTGGGCTCACTCAGTGGTTCTCAACTGGGGGCAGTTGTGTCCTCAGGAGATATTTGGCGATGTCTGGAGACAGCTTTTGGTTGTTAGAATTGGTGGGGGGTGCTGCTGGCATCTGGCAGGTGGAGGCCAGGGATGCTACTAAACGTTCTGCAATGCACAGGAAGGGACCCACAAAAAAGAAAGATCCAGCCCTAAATGTCAGCAAGTGTCACAGTGGAGAAGTCCTGGGTTAATGGAAGGTGTTTCCCTAGGGCTTTGATTTCTGAGTGAATCACGTGAGGAGAGGGTCACCATGGGAAGCCATTCCTTCCAGCTGTGACAAGAGCAGTGGCTACAGGATGGCGTCCGAACTGTTTGGCTACAGGGTGGTTCCTTTACATCCTACTTGACTTCCTGCTGCCTGCTTCTCAGTGCCTGCCTGCCTGCTGTCAAGCCTGGCCACCTGGGCTCCCCATAGAGTCTGTGAGTACCTCTCTCCTCCAGACATTATCCTTCCAATAAACTCCATTAGCTGGAACTGGTTTCTTTTACTTGCAACAAAACCATAACTGCTACACCATTGCTTTTCAAACTTAAACTGTTTATTATTATTATTTGTTTAGGTAGTGGAACCATTCTACCCCACCCTCACCTCCAAGTAGGATCTTACACAGAACTTCATTATACGGGGCAGGGAAAACTGCAGCTGCTGTCCTGGTTATCTTGCTCCCCCTCCACCTCATTCCCCAGGACTGACTTCCCACAGCAGCACCTGAGAGGAACTCATTAGGAATTTGAGGCTTCAGGAAACCTATTTATAGCTATTAGGTTAAAGCACAGAAGGCTCCTGTTAAGTTGTAACCTGAGAGGTAGAGTATATGAAGCCATCCTCAGCCCTTCATACCCTATTTAGAATGAGTTTATGTGACTGCCTAATTAGTGAGCAGTGTCCAAAGAGGAGGATAAGTACTGGAGTCAGAGCAAGTTAGAAAAGATTCAGGGCATTGGACCCAACCTTGGGGGCAGACCTAGTTAGTCCTGGTTTGGAAGATGGAATGAGAGGAAGGGCAACCAGAGCAAGGCTTGGCAGGAAGGTCCAAGTCCTAGGACGGATATAAGCCTGGGGGCCCAACCTATGGTAGGTACACAGTGAATCAGGCCAGATGTTGGCATATTGAAGACATGGGATAGTCTTCACTTCTACCCAAAAGATATTTGCCTCCATTTGCCTTGAAATATGTGTTCCTCTTGGTCTGTGTATGATTTTGCCTCTTATGATAGAGGTTTAGTTGTGAGAAGTAGACTTCTACTCAAGAAAAGAAATATTGCAAGAGTAATGATAAGCCATAACTTGACTTCAGTGTTTAGGAGTAATAGGGAGTAGTGGGGAGTGTGGCAAAGTGGAGAGCGAATGTGCCATCCAAAGGAAATAGCTGATGTTCAGATTAGACAAATGTTGCCAAGGGGAACGTGGGGTCCAGGGTGACTAAATTTTCTGATTTTTGTTGTTGTTGTTGAAACAGAAACCTCAGCCTCCCAAGTAGCTGGGACTACAGATGCATGCCACCACACCTGCCTAATTTTTTAATTTTTTGTTTTGTAGAGACAGGTTCTTGCTATGCTGCCTAGGCTTGTCTCAAACGCTGGCCTCAAGTGATCCTCCCACCTTGGCCTCCTAAAGTGCTGGGATTATAGGCATGAGCCACCACACCCAGGCTAAATCTTCTGATTTTTAAAGAGAATCTAGAAATGTGAAGTTTCATGTGAATTCTCCTTATTAAACAATTATGAAGCAGAGATACATATCTGTGGGTTATAGTTGATTTATTGGACACCTGCTTGAGATCTCTGTCTTTAATCAAAGAAAGAGATGTTGAATAACTGCAATGTTGGGCTCACTGGTTTCCCTGTTTCCTCCGCCAATGCCGACTCTCTCTCTTCCTCTACTTCTGTGTCACTGTCTCCCCTGTCTCCCTCCTTCTCTTTCTTTCACTCTCTTTTAATCTCTCTCTGTCCTGTCTCTCACCTGCCTCTTTCTTTCCCTTCTTCCTCTCTCTCACTCTCTTTCAATCTTTCTCCCTGTTTCTCCCTCCTTCCCTTCTTTTTCTCTCTCTCAATCTCTCTCTCTTTGCCTGTCTCTCTGTGTCTCTCTCTAAAGATCTCACAGATCCTAAGTAGGATCTGTGACCAGATTGATCTTTCCTAGAACACCTCTTCCATTGCATTCTTTGCTCTAGTTCACCACTTGTCATTGACCTTTTCAGTTTAAACTTCACTCATAGACTCGAACTGTGGATCTTAAAGAGTTGTAAAGGTGTGCAAAGGCTCGAAAGGAGCGGAGAAGGCATTTCTGGGGAAAGTGCCAGTGTGAGTGCACGTGGGGTGGGCAGAGTGATGACGACTCATGTGGAGGTCTGGATGGTGCAGAGTGATGGGGGCACAGGGTTTACAAGATGACAACAGGCAGTGCAGGTTGGTCTGGTTGGAAAAGGACCCACCAGTGTTTGGGCTTCATCTTGCAAGAAAAGGGGAGCTATGGAATGGGTTTCAGCAGGATG
The DNA here is from genome assembly GCF_000001405.40 of Homo sapiens. NCBI lineage: Eukaryota > Metazoa > Chordata > Mammalia > Primates > Hominidae > Homo > Homo sapiens. Next base: position 56,149,886 of record NC_000020.11, on the reverse strand, counting down.
GGCAGGCAGGAAAGTAATATTTCAGACTTGATTTTTTTAAATCACGTGTAGTGTGGATTAGACAGTAGAAGACCAGAATTTTGTAAAGGGTGGCAGTGGAATGGAAAGGTTGGTTGAGTTGAGTGAAATCCATCAAAGGCAAGATAAATCAGCTGGATTTGGAGACTGCTTGAAATGAGGGATGAAATAGACTGATAAACATTTCTCAATTCCCAACTAAGTGCAGTGGTGAGGTGCATGGATTCTGGAGCCAGCTGTGAATGTGAGTCATAGCTCTCCAAGCTGTGACCATGGAGATATCCTTTATTCCTCTATACCTCAGTTTCCTTCTTTGGAAAAGAGAAAATAATGGTATGAAGATTAAATGGATTAATAATTTTCAAGAGCTTAGAAAAATATCTAGCTTAATATTGCACTAAATTGGTGGGAGATAAACAAAATGTGAGCTTCCTACTCTGCTTACTACTTCACACATTTTTTCACATTCAATCCATGCAGACAATTTCAGAACTGGAGTGAATAGTAACTACCTTTTATTCCTATTTTTGCAGAATAAAACACTGGGTCTCAGAGAGGTTAGATAACTTGCCTGATATCACACAGCAACTGGCAGAGCTGAAAATTGGACCCAGTCTGAAATCAGAGATACAGCAACATGATTTAACCAGTTGGTGCATGGATGGCTGAAACAGTTCTTGAAGAGGCTCTCTTAGAATCACGAAGTAGCTAATTACTTGCGGTTATTGGAAGCACAGCTACCTGTATGCAGAATGGGGCTCGGTTAATCATTTAGATTGGTGACCAGAACTGGATTTGGAATTTTCTTTTCAGTCTTTGACTCCAGCAGAGACTGGCATGGAGGGAGCTGGTGTCTAGCCACAGTGATGTGACAGCTAACTCTTGAAGTTGAGCAGATTTTCCACTGGTGTCTCCTCCAGTCTCTGGCCTTGGTGTGGAATAAAAAATTTGAGACTGTGGTTTTATTCCCACATCAGGGGGATTCTGGGCGGGTTTATCTACTCTGAGTTTTCTTTCCCTTGTGGTCTGCCTCTGAAACAGTAACAGTTTTGTTTTGAGCAATCCGTAATGTCATTTCAAACCTATTAACAGCTCTCAGCTTTGTTTGTGTACATCGGAGAGAAGTGCAATGCTCTGTCATTAACACACGGCAACAAACAGCAATGGCAACCCAGGAAGCATTCAAGCTTCCTCCATTTTGAATTCGAGAGTATGCACTTGTGTGTGTGTGTGTGTGTGTGTGTAGAGCAGGTGTGTCCCCACTTTTCTGGTGTTTTTTTCTCTCCTTCTGCAGTGCCATACACACACACACATACACTATTGCTTGATATTCTCCCCTCATGCTAGGCTAGGTAACTAAAAAGGCTTTTTTTTTTTTTCCTGGAAATTTTACTTCCAACCAGAGCCACCCTTTATTTTGAAATTGCACAAAAGCCCTGTATATTTGATATCGTGCGAGCTCTTGGTGGGTTCCAAATGTGGATGAAATTTACAGGATAGCTTGTCGATAGAACATAAAATATGAATGAAACTGTCATCTTGTGGTGGGATCTGGAGATGCAGCTTATTGCAGGCAACACAGCTCATTAATCATAGTTGGGGTTTTTACATGTATTTGTGCCATTTGTGTGATCAACATTTGTCTTCTGAATAGATTTTTAGCTTCATGAAGGCATGAGCCATCATCTTTTTTTTTCTTTCCTTCACATCGTCGCATCCCCAGAGCTCTATTTGGCAGATAGAACAAGCTCAATAAATATCTGTTGAATGAATGAAGCATCGTATAAGGAGAGTCCCAAATCCTGTCAATTGTTCTCTTGCCCGTTCCTTGCAGGATCTATTCTTTAAGGTGGTAAAGCTCAAGGTGTTGGAGCCTCACCCCATCCCAGAACAGAGAAAATCTCATTCTCCTGTGGCTGATGCTTTGCACCCCTCAGTGGGGACGGAAGGGGGACGGTTTGAGGATCAGGCAGGAAGTAAAGGCCAGGAGAAGCCATGGATGAGCTTTATGACTTTTCTCAGGAGGCAGATGTTGGAAATGCAGCAATGCGGTCTCTTATTACTGAATTAGTTGGTGCTGAAGTATACTCATTGCCTTCAAACAGGAAGGTGTACTCCACATCGTATCACCACCTACTCTCCCAATCTGTCTTTGTCATAAAACCTAGCAGGCAGACAAGAATTGAAAGAGCGAGTGTTTTCAGTGACTTTGGGGGGCAACCCATATTCTTTTCTTTAATATTGGCAATGATAAATACGACATAAGTTGCATTACTGAGGTCAGATAGGAAGTCCTGAAGCATGAGGCTTGGAATACCTTTCCCTTGAAATAAACCGAGAAAACAGAATCGTTAACTGTTGGGAGCATTTTGCTATGTGAGGGAGTCCAAGATGAAGAGACAGAAAAGAGGCAAACTGCATTCTCATCACATGCTCCAAGGCAACACCTATATTTTGAGAAGTGTTAGTAACATTTCAGAGCAATTATCATAAGTAGAACATCTACTGGGTTCTGATACATTTACCTGTGACATTACACCAAGTGAGTCTGTTGGAAGTGGGAGGATTATGCCTCATTCCAGATGCATTTTGGCACTCAGGACAAAAAGCAGTTGGGCTGCTAGTTTAAAAAATAGAATGAAAGCTATGGAGAGCATAAGCCTAGATGTTTCCTTGCTGCCTTCCTAAGACTTTGTGGAGTGCCCTGTGCTCCTCCCTGATGAGCTTAACAGCACTGATTCTAGCTCTCAGGAGGCATCCCTAACCTAGGCGTGGAATGATAAACTCGTGGGAACCATCCTAGAGGCTGGAAGAAAAGACCAGAAGAGATGCCAGAATCCCATTTAGCAAAGACATAAAAATATGGCTTTTGTTTGTTTTGTAAATTTTTTTTTTTTTACCAGGGTAGTACATTTAGGGTGAAGGGAGAAATGAATAAGCAGAGAACAGGATTTTTAGAGCAGTGAAAATGTGCTACAATGTTGAATACATGGCATTGTACATTTGTCAAAATCCCTTAGCATGTACAATACCAAGAGTGAACCTTAATGTAAACTGTGGACTTTGGGTGATAATGATGTGTTATTGTAGGTTCATTAATGGTAATAAATGTATCACCCTAGTGTAAGATGTTGATAGTTGGGAAAGTTGTATGTATGTGTGTGTGGGGGGGGATGGGGGGAGGGGTGGGGGTGGAGGCAAGAGGTATATGGAAACTGTGCTTTCTGCTTAATTTTTCTGTGAACCTAAAATGATTCTGTATTAGTCCATTCTCATACTGCTATGAAGAACTACCTGAGACTGGGTAATTTATGAGGAAAAGAGGTTTAATTGACTCATGGTTCCAGAAGCTTAACAGGAAGCGTGACTGGGAAGCCTCAGGAAATTTACAATCATGACAGAAGGCAAAGGGGAAGCAGGCACCTTCTTCAGTGGTGGCAGGAGGGAGAGAGAGAGTTAAGTGGGGAACTGTCACACACTTTTAAGCCATCGGATCCTGGGAAAACTCACTATCATGAGAACAGCAAGGGGGAAATCCACCCCCATGATCTGATCTCCTCCCATCAGGCCCCTTCTCCAATTCTACATCAGATTTGGGTGGGGACACAAATCCAAACCATATCATGCTCTAGAACATTAAAAACAATGAATTTATTTAGCACTCACTATGGACCAAAATATGGGAGCCCTCTTAGAGCTCCAAAGAGAGATTGCTGCTAAAAATATCAATTACATAACTTAACTGAAATTGTGATAAGTGCACTGAAAAAAAAAGTACTAGGCATTATGAAAGGATATATGAGAAGACCTAGCTTGATATTGGATGGTCAGCTTCAGTTTCTCTGAAGAAGGAATATTTGAGTTGAAGTTATTTCAACCAGGAAGAAACAAGAAACAAAGTAGAAGGAAATCAGTGGCTCCTGGAATTGAAAAGTCGAGATGTAGGTCTAGTTTCAGGCATGGCTTGATCCAGATGCTTCATCAATGCCACCAAGTCTCTCTTCCTCTCCACTTCTCAGTCCTGTTTTCTTCTGTGTGAATTTTACCCTCAGGCAGACTCTCTCCTATGGTGGCACCCACTGGACTGGGACCTTCTTGAAGTCAAAGACAGAGCCTTATTCATTGGGGGTACTCTTAGCGCTAAGAGAGGGCTCATGTGAAAGAAGAAATTCTATAAATAGGGCTGGGCGTGGTGGCTCATGCCTGTAATCCCAGCACTTTGGGAGGCTAAGGTGGGTGGATCACCTGAGGTCAGGAGTAAGACCAGCCTGGCCAACATGGTGAAACCCCGTCTCTACTAAAAATACATAAATTAGCCAGGCGTGGTGGCGGGTGCCTGTAATCCCAGCTACTCGGGAGGCTGAGGCAGGAGAATCGCTTGAACCTGGGAGGTGGAGGTTGCTGTGAGCCGAGATCATGCCATTGCACTCCAGCCTGGGAGACAAGAGTGAAACTACATCTCAAAAAAAAAAAAAAAAAAAGAAATTCCATAAATGTTTCTTGAGCAAATGAAGGCATTTTTATGCTTGTTCAGCCTTCTGTGAGTGACATTGATTGAGCACCTGCATCAAGCCACATGTGAAGCTCGAAGTGCTTCTAGACTCTCCAATTCTGTGAACCAATGGATAGTTTTTGTTTTGTTTGATTGTTTGATGATTTTCTTAAAAAAAAAAAACAACAACTTTAACTCAAATATCACTTCTTCAAAGAAAGGTTCCTAACCCTCCCATATAAGGTGTGGCTTGTATATATACCTGCTTACAAACCTCTGTATTTTTTCTTTTCTTTTCTTCCTCTCCTCACCGGTTGAAATCTACTCCATCCTTAACAGATTCAGCTCAAATCTTCCCTCTTTCATAAAGGAATAGAACAGAGGTCAACAAACTATGACCCCTGGGCCAAATCTGGTTGGTTGCCTGCTTTTGTGAACAAAGTTACGTTGGCTTTAGATAGAAGAAGTAAGACCTGGTGTTCAATAGATCATGAGGGTGATTATAGATAACATTAATCCTTTGTGCATTTCACAATAACTAGAAGAGAATAATTTGAAGGTTCCTACTGTCTTGAAGTAAATGTTTAAGGTGATGGCTATCCTCATTGCCCTGATTTAATTATATGAATGTATCAGATTATCACATGTACTGTGAAAATACAGCTAGAATGTATTAATATAAAAGAGTTTTATTGCCACACAGCCCTGCCCGTTTGTTCACTTCTTGTCTATGCTGCATTTGTGCTATAACAACGGAGTTGAGGTCCATAGATACTTCATAGCCTGAAATGCTGAAAATATTAACTGGCCTTTTACAGCAAACTTGTGCTGACCTTGAGTACAGAGGAATAGTTAGTAGTCTGGACTGTGGACTCGGGCTTTGGGTTCGAATCCCAGCTATGTTATTGGTAAAGTGGTGGAATCCCTTAATCCTTCTGAGCCTCATTTTCCTTACGTGTAAAGTGGGAATAATAAGAGCTCTTACTTTATAAGGTTATAATAGTCAAATATGATTATGCATATATATCACTCAGCACAAAGCTTTGACTATGGTGAGCAATACAAATGTTATTGTTATGATTTTTAATACTAGCACTAGTTTGTTAGTGGAGATTTTAATGTTGAATCCCTAGATTTTGGAAGAGTTGTTGAATTGGCTTCCTGTCTAACTGACAATTTTTTCTTGTGGTAGAAAATAATTGCTTGATGATTTAGGAAACTACGTCAAATGTGACTCTGAATTGTTTCAATGAGTGCTAAAAAGATAAGCAGCCTCTTCCTGTTTTTTTTTTTCATTCTCTCTTCAATTTTCCTGAAACACAGGATAAAAATGTAAAAAAAAAAAAAATTCTCAGCTCTCAGGGTGGGCCATGTCAAACTCCCACAGTGTGTTAGCATAAAAATCTGAAAAGCTTCCAAATAAAGGAAGGCAGTGGTGGTGGAGTGGGGTGTGGCGTGGAGGTGGATATTTTCCTGCTGTAAGACTACGTGAGGTTTTGTCTAAATAGCTTCACTGTCGGCTTCTTAATCCTGATCAAATGTGGCTTTATGAGGAGCTCTGTTTTGGTAAATCTTACTTGGAAGCAAAAAGAAAACACAAAACCTCAAATAGCATGTTGAGATTAAGATGACAACTGCTACCAGAGTTCTGTCTGCTTCTCTTCGATGTGGAATCCACAGTGAGTGACTTAAAGCCTAGGCTAGGGCATTCGGGCAAGAGTTTAAATCCTGATTTCATTGCTCTGTTACCTTGGACAGTTTACTTAACCTCTCTGAGCTCTAATTCCCTGACCGTGAAAGAGAGGCGTTAATATCAGCTACAGGCTGGGATGAAGATAAGATGAGATGATATATGTAAAGTGCCTGGCTTATTATCAGCCTAGGGAATGTTTAATAATTTATTAGCTGCTTTTATTATGGTGGGTTGGCAATGTTATTTACATCTCGTCTTTGTATATCAATACAAGAAAATTATGTAGGTAAATTTGTTGGGGTGTTAATTAGGTAAGTTGAGTAATAGGGTTTAATAGATCTCTGTTATTATTCCCTGATAATCTTTTCAGGTAGGGATTTGTGATCCCAAAGTCTTCATTCAAAAAGCCTCAAAACCTTCTAATATCCGACAGTGGGAGATGAGGAAAGTATCCTCCTGAGAATGCTGGCAGGGTTTTTGTGAAATTATTTTCTTAAATCAGACTTGCAAATGTGTTTTTGAAAAGCATGACTCTCACAAAGTCAAGCCTGAAAACCGTGGTCTCATCCCACCTCCACTTACCAACATATCACACCCTTTCCTTCATCTCTTCCTATTGCTTTGGTACTCAGCCACATAAATACCTGCAGGAAAAGGAGGGGGTGCCCAGAGGATGAGAGGCAAAGGAGTTTCTATGATGATTAGAGCTATGGAAGCTGGGAGTGTTATTTTTCAAAATCACAGAAATCTAAACAGAATGTTATGAAAATTGCTCGTTCATATTTATTTTCTAAAATACCCTATAGAATACAGGATATTGGGGGAAATGGTTACTGTCCAGGTTACTTTTGGTTTTCAGCAACTACTTATTGATGGAATCAATAATGGCTTTTTCACTGATATTTGGCTAAAATTTGGGGGCTGGATTCCCAAAGTCCCCACATAGCTCACAGTTATGCTTGAAAAGGCGCTTGCCTATGACTCATGCCTTTTCTTGTCTTTCAAAAGGAAAGTCTAGTGATTAGTGGGCGGTAGACCCCTGAACCACAGGTTTAGGCTTTGGGAGGATCTCTACCCAGTATTACTTTCTTTTACAGATTTTGAACATTCGCAAAGACTGATTTGCTCCAGGACTGTCTAGAACCACATTCCCAGAAGTGTATTCTGGGAGCATTAGTCCTACCAGATGCTCTACCAAATAAAGGACTCTTGGCCAAGCAAGATTTAGGAGTGTTGCTTACTCTGCCCTTTCCTAGTGAAATTGCCTTTGCAAAGATTATGACAGTGAGAGAAATCTCACATAACTGACTCCATCTTACTTCTAATCTCACACACTCACACACTAACTGTTCTTGCTCATTCCTTGGTATAGGCCAAGCTAACTGTGGAAGGAATTTGGTTTATAGTTTAAAGCAAGGATGGTAACAGTCTCTTCCCAAAACTAACCCCCTCCTCACTTGGGGACTGAAATTGCCTTTGTAAAACCAACAAATTGGCCACAAGGTTAGAATTATGGTAAGTGCCTGCATTCTGTTAGGATGGAGGCACAGTTAAAATCTAACATAGGCATTTTATAACTTGCCTTTTCATAACTGCTTTCTGCTAGGAGTCCTGTAGCTGCAGGTCACAATATTTTTAATTTTCCCAATTGCTCCCATCGATAACATCACTATTGTAAAACCTAAGATTGGTCTTTGAGATATTTTTCAGACTTTTGCATTCTGGCAACAGACTGACTCCACCTAGACCTGTGACTCATACCAAGGAGCTGACTCAAATGGTCCTGTGACCCCTACCCAGAAACTTATTTAGTGCATGAAGATAGTTTCAACACCCCTATGACTTCATTTCCAATCAATCAGCAGTGCCCACGCCTTAGTCCCCTTGCCTGCCAAATTATTCTTAAAAACTCTAGTCTCTGAGTTCTCTGGAAGGTGGATTTGAGAAATGTCTCCTGTCCTTCCACTTGGCTGCCTTGTGATAAGCTCTTTCTCTGCTGCAATACTGCTGTCCCAGTATATTGGCATTTATATGCAGTGGGCAAGAATAACTAATTGGGCTGCAACACTAGAAATTAATAATAAACAGTTTGCTAAAGGCCTCAAGAGTCTTGCCTTAGTGACTCAATACAATGTGGTCATCGAGATCACGGATCAACTTTATGACTTCCTGCCTGTCAACTAGAGCTGAAGACAGTTATTGAAGATTGTGTTTAGAGCAAAAATTGGCCAACTTTTTCTGTAAAGGACCAGATAGTAAATATTTTTGGCTTTGTGGACCACATGGTCTCTGTTGCAGCTATTCAACTCTGCCATTATAATGTGAAAGTAGCCACAGATCATATGTAAATAAATGGATGTAGCTGTTTTCAATAAAAGTTTGTTTACAAAACCAGGTGACAGGCTGTATTTAGTCCATGGGCCATAATTGTCTGACCCCTGATTTAGGGAAAAAAAGAACATGGGCTCAAAAGTCACATACTCTGGTTCTGACTCTTGGCTCTACCACTCTGTAGGTTTCTTCATATGAAAAGTGGGGATGATAGAAGCACATACCTCATAGGGTTGTTTTGAGTATTGAGTGACATATGCAGGTAAAGCACTTAATAAAGTGCCTAGCACACAAGAAGTGCTTCATAAATGCTAAAAGGTATACTTTTATCATAATGGCCATATTATGGTGTGCAGTCGTCATGATAAATCTATGAGGAAATTGAAGATTAGGAAAGTTAAATGACTGTTTCTGTCCCAAAGCCAGGAAGAGTTGGAGCTAATTAATTAGCCAGAATTACTCATCATGTCCTTGATAAGCAGGGAACAGTATTCACAAGGGATGGTGAAAGGTGGGGGAGGGAAGCATCAATCCATTGTATACTTAAATGCTTTCCTCATTTATGGCTCAAATCCTTACTGAACACTCCCACTTCATGATGTGAGGCTTGTTTCTGAATCCAGGAGTCAGAACAGGGGCAGAACTACAAAAGAGCAAACTTCTGTGTTATGATTTGGTGTTGAACTTGGTGAGTGTTACTGCAGGTGTTTGCGTACACTGGACTGCCTCCTGTGCCAGAACCTTGGAGTCCTTTGGCTTATGGCCCCAAAGGACAGGATATTGCTATTTATGCTAGAAATACCCTATACCCAGGCTAGGTTCCTGCCTATATTTAGGGAAGGAGTTGCTGTCTTAATCAGCCATCTACAAAACCCTTCATTTATGGGATGATTTCAAGGATAAAAGACACACAGTAGAGAAAGATGGTTAAGAGCTTTGGAGTCAAACAGACTGATTGAAATCTCACATCTGTTGCTGTCTCACTTTGTAATTTACTTAAGCCACTGGAGCCTCACTTATCTCATCTGTTAAATGAGGACACTAATATTGCCTGGTAATAGGGAGAATTAAGTAGAATATATAATATGTGTAAAGTGCTTACTGAAATAACTGGCACAGAATATGTGCTCAAAAACAGTATCTTAAAAAGTAGTCTTAAAACTAAAATTCAGAAGTTAACATGAGTCTAAAGTAGTGGACTAAAGATTCCAAAAGGAATGGCTTCCCAAAGCTGGGAGTGACCTGAAAGAATGCATGGCTCAGTGCCTGTTTTCAGCAGAAAGATGTCTAATAATTCTGGGGCAAGTAATGTTATCAAGCTCGACAATGCAAGGAGACTTTTAATCAGTTTCAATGGCCTTTTCCTGGCATTTTATAACTTTGACATCCAGCTCCATCCAGTTTTAAGCCCCTTAGAATCTGAGACCCTGACTGGTCATCACTGAAAAACTTCAGCTCCTTGGAATAGCCCAGACTAAAATGGAGGCTCCAAAAATGTTTGGTGAATGAACAGAAGAATGTTATTTAAAAAAATATACCCTTTGGCCAAAGTGAAATCTTTCTAATTTTAATTTTAATTCCCTTCTGTTTTTTGTCCAACTGGTTAATAATTTCACTATCAAAAATTTGAAAGCAGTAATTTAGAAGTCCCTCAGGCATCTCTTCTCTATGCTAATCCATCCCCAATTCCTTTATCTTGTTCTTTTCTTTGAATCGGTTTTAAGCTCTGCTCTTGATAGGTGTTGGGTTACATGATCCCACTCAGCTGAAGAGCTCCTGGGGTGAATGGGGATAGTAATTCTGGAGCCACTGCAGATAATTTGCAAGGTAGACCATCCAATTATAGGTTATTAGGAGACACACCAAGATTCTTTAGAAAGTAGCTTGATATTGCCTTATGGCCATAAACAATTGAATATGAATTAAAATAGACCTGAGATAACTTGGCTGCTAATTTCTGCCATTATTTATGTTTCCCAGAACTTTCATCCTGTCATACATTCAACTTCAGCATCCTTGGATACAGGAGTTGCAGATGTCAGAATGTATTTTACAGTTAATTGTACCTTGTTTGGAACTGTATTGGCATTTTTTTCAACGCTATTCATGTGGCATTGAGACTCATTAAGACTTTATAGTAGTAAATGGAATGAATTCGCCCTATAAAACTTCAACAATAGCTCACCCTTATTTCTGTTTTTTTCCACCCACAACAATGTTTTAAAAAGAGAAATAGCTTTTTTTTTTAGCATAAATATATCTCCCAGACATATTGAAAACCTTTAAACATTTACAAAAAATAGAAACCACTCTTAATTCAACACCTAGAGATGATCATGATTAGCTTTTCAGAGTAGGTCTTTTAGTCAGTCAGTCTGTTTCTGTGTATCTTATTTTGTCTCATACTCTATTTAGAAACATTAAATCACCCCATGTGTTCTGTTTTGGGGTATTGTATTCATCACTTAATCTTTATAGCATCAATAAATATAGAACTTTATCATCATTTTAAATGGCTGGAGAGTGATATTTCATAATATGTGTATTGACAGCTCCATCATTATTTCAAAATCGTCTTATCCTCACCTTTCACTCCAGATATTGCCGTTATGGCTAGCTACAAAGAGGCATTGACCAGCTTTGTGCAGAAACAATTCAGTCATCTTCTCAGAAATGGTGCTGAAACAACTGGATATTCACATGCAAAAATGAACCTCAATCCCTGCCTCATTTCATACATAAAAATTAAAGTGAAATAGATCATAGCCCTAACTGTAAGATCTAATAGTATAAAATTTCCACATAAAGTAGGAGAAAATCTTTTTTGACCTTGGGTTAGACAAAAATTTTTAGATAGGACCCAAAAACAATTATGAAAGAAATAATTGATACATTGAACTTTGTCCAGATTAAAATCTTTTCCTCTCCAAAAGACACTGTCAAAATATTAAGAAAGACAATATTTGCAAAATAAGTATCTGATCAAGAACCTCTGTCCTGAGTACATAAAGAGCCCTTACAACTCAATAAAAAGATAACCCACCAAAAATATTGTCAAGAGATTTGAATAGTCATTTTACCAAAAATAGATATGAATGACAAATAAGTACTTGAAAATATGCTTAACATTATTGCTCATTAGAGAAATGCAAATTAAAACCACAATGAGATTCCATTCCACATCCACTAGAATGGTTAAAATTAATGACTGATATTAATAGCATCAAGTGTTAACAAGGATGGGAATGCAAGATGTTGTAGCCTCTGCAGAAAACATCGTGACAGTTCTTGTTAACAGAAATAACAGTCACTATATGATCAGGCAACTCATTCCTAGGTATTTTCTCAGAAAAAAATAAAAATATCGATTCACACAAAGACTTGTACTTGAATGTTCATAGCAGCTTTTTTTCATAATAGCACCAAGCTGGAAGCAACCCAAATGTCCTTGGATAAGCCAACTGTGGTTTATCCATACAACAGAGTACTATTAGCAACAAAAAGGGCTGAACGGTGAATGCGTACTAAAACATGTATGAACTTCAAAGGCATTATTGCAGGGAAATAAGCCAGACTCAAGAGACCTCATACTGTATCATTCCATTCATGTGAAATTCTAGAAGAGGTAAAAGTTTATTGATAGAAAGTTGATCAGTGGTTGCGAGGGCCTGGAGTGAGGGTAAAGACTGACTGCAAAAGGACATGCCAAACATTTTTGGGATAATGGCAATCTTCTATATCAGGCTTCTATAGTGGTTATGTGACTGTACACATTGATCAAAACTCATTGATGTGCACATTTAAAATGAGTGAATTGTATGTAACTTAAGCCTCAGTAAAGGTGATCAAAAATAATAAGGTCTTTTTAGGAAATCAAATCAAGGGGATGGTCTGCGGTTCCCGCTGTTGTAAAATGACTCACACAAGCCTGTCGTGTGGGTTCTGGAATCATCTAACAGGTGTTCTGGATGAACCAGGGGTTCTGAAATCATCCAGAACCAGTGTGGGTTCTGGATCATCCAGCAGGGTTCTGGATGAGCCTAAGTTCTGGAATCATCCAGCAGGCATTTCTTAAGCAGCAACACTTCAGTCATTGCATCCATAAGTATCCACAGTTACACATTGCTGTCAGGACTGGTGATTTTCTTTATGTTAACTCATCAAAGAGGGATTATCTTACCAGAAGCATCCTGAGCCTGCTTTCTGCATGACTAGAAATTAGTGATAAACATTCTCAGTAAACTGTCACAAGAACAGAAAACCAAACACTGCATGTTCTCACTTATAAGTGGGAGTTGAACAATGAGAACACATGGACACAGGGAGGGGAACACCACACACCGGGGCTTGTCCGGGGGATGGAGGGCTGGGGGAGGGATAGCATTAGGAGAAATACCCAATGTAGGTGATGGGTTGATGGGTGCAGCAAACCGCCATAGTACATGTATACCTATGTAACAAACCTGCACATTCTGCACATGTACCCCAGAACTTAAAGTATGATACAAAAATAGTATGTGTAATAGGGAATAAAAATTAATATAAAAAAAGAAATCAGTGGTAAACTATGTGGTCAGGAGGTCTACACTACTGCGTCTGATTTGGAATCTTATCTAATGTGATCCACGAAGGTTTCTGAGAAGCCAGGAGGGGGGAGAGGGACTTTTCCCTGGCCATGTCATAGCATGGCCAGTATCTTAAACAGTGTTTACATTGTTCTCTCTTTCAGTCCTCTCTTCTCATCCCCTCAACCTTGTCCCTACTCCATCTCCACTGTGGATTTTACTACAGGTTCTTATCATCATCAGTCACCGATTTCTATGTAAAATATTCAGTCAGCTCTCTTGAACTGACGCCTTATTTTTGCCCTTCAATTCCGCCTTCAATTTACCTTTTGCATAGCTTGATACACATCGGTGGCATTAAATAAATAAACCATAATTAATACATATTTGGCTCTTGTACTGTTTATTTTCCTCTTCTGAAATTCCGATTAGAAAACACACCCCACAGCTTGAATATTTAAATACTAAACCAAAGGGACTCTCCTGCCCTCTTCTTTCCCTTTTTTTTTTTTATAGCAAACTAATTATTTTAACTAGGGAATGGCATTGTTCTAGGCCCTTCAGTTTTGCACCTTTGTAATTAGATGACTAAAAAGAATATACTTGTGGAAGTAGCAGTCACATATGTATGCTTACGGAAAAGGAGGAAGTCCCTAGGAATATTAATTTGCCTCTTGAAAATTGTTCCCAACCAGCAGCTATGTGTTATACATGTTCACCAAGAGTCTTGAGGAGCCAGACTGAGGAGAAACACTTTTCAACATCCCCTCCGAGGCCACTAATATGCATCACTAAACATTCATAAAGTGGAAGAAATATGTCTGTTGGAAATGTTTCTGAAGTAATGTCTAGGGAAGCACCATGAAATAACTGTCATTATTGTCTGGTGAATAGAAGGAAATTGTGCACTTGTTGCGGATGATCAAAACAGAAGTATTTATTCAATGCTTACTGTGTGTCAAGAGCTCAGTATACATCATGCTATTTAATCTTTGTAACAATCTTAGAAGTTCGGAACACATTTTATCTCCATTTTACTGATGGAGAAGCTGAGGCTCATGGAAATTGAATAACTTGCCTAAAGTTATACCAGGAAGTACGGAATTTGCATCCAGACCTGCCCCATTCCAAGTCTGGGTTTTCAGCGGTGGATCTCCTACCTGTCCCTGAACTGCTTCTATAGGAATTTGACATCATTGTCAACCAGCAGTGTTGGCGCTTCACCATCAGGGCTGGTAAAGACTTTTATTTCCAGCAGCCAACAATCAGAGTGGCAGTCAGATAATTAACTTGTCTACCCCGAAGGAGCTTCGTTCGTGGGACAGTCTTCACGCAGGGCATGAAAAGGCACTTGGCAAATTGCAAAAGGAAATAACGCTTCAAAATGAAAAATTGATGCACATTTATCAATGTGGGTAATAAAAGAGCAGTTCCGTCCATTTGGGGCCGTCTCTGAAATCAGTTACAAAGAGTTATACTGATGATGAAAATGGTTGCATTCTTTGATTCTAATCTTCTACCCAAACAGATATGATTTCCCAATCATTGCATTACCCAGGCCCCAGATGGGCTTTCTTTTTGTTTTACTTTATTTATTTATTTTTTGTTGCTGTTTTAATAATGGTGAAACACACCAGAGTGTCCTAGCAAGCATTTGCAATGGGCAATGACAAGCTTTTAAAATATTTTCTATCAGATCGATTTGAATATAAAAGCCATTTTTTAACATTGAGAGAGAGATGGTTAAAAAGCAGTTTGCATTTTCCCCAAATTAAATCTTGTAATAGCGGAGATGGGGCATAATGAAATATTGGGCTTTGTAGTTACTAGGATTGGGAAACAGAAGTAACGTCCCCAATTGACAAAAGAAAAGTAGATTTGAGAGGCTTATGGTGACTATTGATTTCCTGTTTGATTTATCAAGGTATCAAATGAACGCACTGAATAATAATAATTTGTTGTCTTTTTCTTTCTCCACTTCCTCCAAACAGGCCTCCCCATCTCATGTTCTCAGGACCAAAATGTGAAGCAAATAGAGGCAATCCCTAAAATTCCATCCATAGAAATTAGCACAGAAGAGTAGATGGTTGGGTGTGCTTAGATGAAGTCGTATGTGTCTGTTTAGTCTCATTAACAGAGCTGGAGTAAAGGACATTTTATGCACATTTCAATTAAAGGAATAAAAATTGGGTTTAATAATGAAAAATGAGAGCAAAGCCTTTTGCCATTAATTAAATCAAACACCAAACAACCTAACAATTGTTTTTAAAAAACAAGAGCACTCTTGGGGCCTTGGAAGTATCCAGCTTTATCCCTTCCTCAGCACGATTGAATTCAGGAAGGGCTTTCAGAGTGTCTACTAATAATGCTACAGATTTTAAAAATTCCTGTCTGAACTCTAAGAGGCTGATCTGAGCTTTCCTACCTGATTGCCATTACGTCCTCCTCAATGATCGAGTTCTTAGATGCTGTGATGTCTGTGCAGGCTCTTGGCATTATGTTGGGTATAAACAGAGAGCTTTTACCACAAGCTGCTATGATCAAAAGACAATAACAAGTTTTTCAGTCTACATACAGAAATAAATCTTGCAAATCCATGTACGTTTGTATTTAAATGGGATGAACAAGATTAATTTATATATTTTTCAGTCTTTCTCTTTCCCTTGCCTTCTAAAAATGAATTTTGCATAGGGTATCAGCCCTCAACTTGCCTTTATTGAGCAGAATCTGAGTAATGGGCAAAGGAAAACAAAAGTGGAGCTGTCAGAGAGGCTCAAGGGCTTTTCCTAATGAAACAAATGAGAAAATAAACAAATAAGCAAAAAATGGGGCCAAGTGTAGAGGGGAGAAGGTCAGAAGAAAGCCATATAGGCTGGGTTTCCAGGAAAGATTTCAGAAGTAGTGAGAATCTGGGAACAGCTAATTTCCGTTTGGAGAACAATGAGTGTAAGAACTGGGTACAGAGTAGTTCTTAAAGGTGTTTTGATGTATGTGAGTAATATCCTATGTTTTATCAAGACCCATGAGAATGGATAGAGACTTGAATTCTTATTGATTATATGTTTTGTTGTACGGTAATTACTGTGATTGTTAATATATAGAAACACAGAATGTCCAACGAGACCACATATGCTTATATAAGGAATAAGGTTATAGCCACATATTCATCTCTCCTTTTGGTTTACTTAGCTGTTTTCTGCCTCTTTTATGTAGCGTACTAATATGTCCTGGATTCTTACTTAAGTCATTTTTATAGGATCATTGATTATGTGACCTCAGGTGATAGTCAAACCTTATAGCACTCCCAACCCAGCACTGTCCTGTCCTACAGCTAATTTATCTTCTGAATGAGAGGGAGGAGGAGTAACCTGGCTAAATCCCTTCTGTTCCATCTCCCAGTCATGGAATAGCATGTGAAGACTTGCTGGAACTGGACTAAGATGCTGTTCAGAGAGCCAAGCATGACTGCTATTTTCCCCTGTAAGCCTCCTTCCTGGCACCTTTTAAAAAATTTATTTTTTCTTAGAGACAGAGTCTTGCTGTGTCATCCAGGCTGGAGTGCAGTGGTGTGATCATAGTTCACTGCAGCCTTGAACTCCTGGCTTCAAGTGATCCTCCCACTTCATCCTCCTGAGTAGCTGGGACTACAGGCATATGCCACCATACCTGGCTAATTTTTTAAAAATTATTATTTTTTTTAGAGACAGGGGTCTTCCTATGTTGCCCAGGCTGGTCTCAAACTCCTGACCTCAAGTGGTCTGTATTAGTCCATTTTCACGCTGCTGATAAAGACATACCTGAAACTGAGTAATTTATAAAGAAAAAGAGCTTTAATGGACTCAACAGTTCTACATGGCTGGGGAGGCCTCACAATGATGGTGGAAGGTGAAAGGCATGTCTTACATGGCAGCAGACAAGACAGCATGAGAGCCAAGCGAAAGGGGACACCCCTTTATAAAATCATCAGATCTTGTGAGACTTATTCAGTACTAGGAGAACAGTATGGGGGAAACCGCCCCCATGATTCGATTATCTCCCACCGGGTTCCTCCCACAACACATGGGAATTATGGGAGCTTCAATTCAAGGTGAGATTTGGGTGGGGACATAGCCAAACTATATCATGGTTCTTCCACCTCAGCCAATGTGCTGGGATTACAGGTGTGAGCTGCTGTGTGCAGACATTAGCACCCCTTTTAGAATCTAGTTGCTGCTGCTGTCTGTGGAGTTCATTCAATGATGGGAAAGCCATTGACATCTCTGGGTCTGGATTAGACTATATCTTTTTCAACTTAAAAACGTCATGGCTTTATAAGATATACAAATTCTTTATTTACAGATGAAGTGATTCCCTGAGATTAATTGAGGAAGCGGGGAAACAGTAGGTTGTTTAGCATATTAGCTCTATGTGCCAGCTCAGATTTTGACATTGGACGTATTTGATACATTTGACACTATTGTAGAACCTGCTTTTGTATTTATAGATCTCATAATGATTTGTGTTTCCACTGACATTTTATTCATGTAATAAGGATGGCAGATGTTAAGGGAAGTTTTAAATTTCTTCCCTCACCATTGTGAAAGGTAAGGACATTTCTCTGCTGTACAAATGTTCTAACCTTCTCTTGACTCAATCTGAAGTATAATAATAATAGAAGAGAGAACTGGATCACTATGGCAGTTTAAACTACAGAGCAGAAACTAGTAAATTGTTAAGGTACGCTGGAGTAATCTTGAGACTAACTTAAAGAAAAATCAAATGGTAAATTAGCTTTGTTCTGATAACACTAAGTTTGTACATTTAGTGTGGGTGTTGATTATTTTGTAGTTTGTGGATAATCTTTGATATGCCATTGACTTGACTTCTCTTTTTGTTTCTATTCTTTTAAACTTTTTAATATTTTTATTTTTTTTTCCTTTTTCAACTTTTATTTTAGATTTGGGAGGACATGTGCATGTTTGTTACCTGGATATACTGTGTGATGCTGAGGTTTGATAAACAAATAATCCCATCACCCAGGTACTGAGCATAGTACCCAACAGTTAGCTTTTCAGTGCTTATCCCCACTCCCTGCCCCCTCCAGTCATCCCCATTGTCTATTGTTGAGGACCTGATGTTTAGCTCCCACTTATAAGTAAGAACACGTGGTATTTGGTTTTCTTCCTGTGTTAAAATTTCCTCAAGATAATGGCCTTCAGCTTCACTCATGTTGCTGTAAAGGACATGATTTTGTTCATTTTCATGGTTGTATAGTATTCCATGGTGTATATATATATACTGCATTTACTTTATCCAATCCACCAATGATGGGCACCTAGGTTGATTCTATGTTTTTGCTCTCATGTATAGTGCTGTGATGAATGTGGGAGTGCATGTGTCTTTTTGGTAGAACAATTTGTTTCCTTTGGATGTACACCTGGTAATGGGACTGCTGGGTCAAATGGTATTTCTGTTTTAAGTTCTTGGGAAATATCCAAACTACTTTCCACAGTGGCTGAACTCATTTACATTCCCACCAACCGTGTATAAGCATTCCCTTTTCTGTGCAGCCTTGCCAATATCTGTTGTTTTTTTGATTTTTTAATAGTAGCCATTCTGACTGGTGTGAGATGGTATCTCACTGTGGTTTTGATTTGCATTTAGCTGATGATTAGTGATGATGAGCATTTAAAAATGTTTTTTGGCCACTTGCATGTCTTCTTTGGAGAAGTGTCTGTTTATGTCTTTTGTCCATTTTTAAATGGGGTTATTTGTTTTTTGCTTGTTCAATTGTTTAAGTTCCTTATAGATTCTGGATATTAGACCTTTGTTGAATGCATAGTTTGTGAACATTTTTCTCCTATTCTGTAGGTTGTCTGTTTACTCTGTTGATAGTTTCTTTTCCTGTGCAGAAGTTCTTTAGTTTAATTAGGTCTCACTTGTGAAATTGTTTTTGTTGCAGTTGTGTTTGAGGACTTAGTCATAAAGTCTTTCCCAAGGCCCAGGTCCAGAATTTCCTAGGTTTTCTTCTAGAATTATTATAGTTTGAGGTCTTACATTTAAATCTTTAGTTCACCTTGAGTTAATTTTTGTGTGTGGTGAAAGGTAAGAGTCCAGTTTTATTGTTCTGCATATGGCTAGCCAGCTATCCCAGCGTCATTTATTAAATAGGGAGTCCTTTCCCCATTGCTAACTTTTATTGACTTTGTCAAGGATTAGATGGCTGTAGATGTGTGGCTTTCTGACTTGATCTCTCTTAATTCCAATTTCTTTATTAGTAAGTAATGTAATGTTGCCTGTCTTACAGAAGGATGGAGTTGAGCAAATTATTGACTGAATGGTCTAATGTAATGCATTTAGCACATACCTGGCACCCAGTGCATGTTTACCCGAGGATGAGGTTGAGCCTGGTGATGATGATGATGATGATGATGATGATAATGATGATATATAGCAGCACCCATTCTTCCAGATATATTCTTATAAATATCTAGGGTTGGTAGCTGGATGGATAGGCATAGGCTTGGACTTGAATCCTGGATATGCCATCTAGTAGTGTGATGTTACACACATTGCTCAGTCTCTGTGAGCCTCAGTTCCTTTCTCCAAATAGAAGAGGATAATAGAAGCTTCTTCACAGTTTTGTGTGTGTGTGAGAGAACTAAATGGTTTAATATGTAAAAGTCTTAGCTGAGTGTCCCAGAGAAAGTGCTCAGTAAATGGTGGCAGTAGTTGCTGCCGTTGTGATTATTATTGACAAAATGTAACGTGTGAGCATGTCCATCTTCTATCCATGTTAGAAGACTGAAGGCTTGATGGCAGTTCAGCTCCGGTGTCTGCAGTGAGAGAAGAAGCATTCCTTGCTTGTGATGGAGCAAGGGTGGGATGCTTAGCTGCACAGGGCAAACGGCTGGGGGCAGACAGGCTCGCCCAAAAGGGGAGGTACTTTGAAGAAACTTCAAAGCAGGGTAGACTTCCCTTTCAGACTTATTATCTCCAAATACACAGTAACATAAGATTTTAGTAAAGTTTTCAACAATGTAGAACTGAAAAGCACACATTTTCTCAGGCTGCCACTCGAACTGTTAGTAATTTGTTGAATTTCCTCATAGACCCTTCCCCATGCACACAGAATCATTTAAATTACATATATGTAAGTAAAACTTACATTATTGATTATGATTTTTGTTATTCTTAAGTGGGATTGTGTTACATGTGTTTCTGCAACCTGCTTTCTTCCCCTAACCCTGTATCATGGACATCTTCCTAGGCTTTAGAATACATGATACGTTTTACAAATGAAAAAGCTAGAATAAGGGAGTTGGATGATTCTGTTTCCTTCTGGCTTTGTGGTATGTTTGTCTGTGTTTGTCTTAGTTATCGGTGAGATGACAGGAAACAGAACCAAGTTTCTCTCCTGCTAGCATCCATGAAGGTAAGGGGAAGCAGGTCTGTGCGTGTGGACAATAGCTGTCCATTGAAAGCTGCGAAACAAATTGTACCCACAGCAGTTTGTCCAAAAAGATGGCAGGCATTTTTAAGTAGAGCTTTTAATGATCTCTCAAGATCTGGTATCTTTAACACCAAAAAACTTCTGATGTTATTCCTCTGGCTGTACCTTAGTGGAGTATAATGGTTAACATTTTGCTCTTTGGAGTATGTATGACTTGAGGTCAGTTCCTAGCTTTACTACTGACTTTCTGTGTGACTTTCAGAAAGTTACTTAATCTCTCCAAACTTTACCTCTTTAATTGTTAAATAGGCAGTAGAATAGTTCAGACCTCATAGAGGAGTGGGAGGATAGATTGAGATGATGCACGTGAAGTGGTCAGCATGGTGCCTGTTGATGGCAGGTGCTCAGTAAATGGAAAGTATTCTCAGAGTGAGCTTTGAACCATCTGGGTGCACTAAAGAGGCTGGAAAATAATATGCAATGATATGGGACATCTGGCTGATAAATTCTACCAAAGAACTGCTTGCTGAACACCCAGCGAGTGCCCAATGCTATATCCAGCAATAGAGTGAATGGGAAAGTGATGGTAGCCATCTCGGCTCTGGAATAGTTTATAGTGTCTTTGGGGAGGGAGATGAATTCAAGCCTAATCCAAACAACCAAACAATAAAAATAGGCTCAGAAGAGGACTGGATGCATGTTCCAAGGATGCTGAGGAAGGAGCCATATGTAATTCTCACCATGGAGATGGTTAATTCTCGTCTTACCCCTTCTTCCTTGTTACCCACCTCTTCAGTAGCTCAAGTTGCAAGCTCAACTTAGCCAAGTGATGTGCTTTGCTGTTTTTTTTTTAATGTTCTAATTTTTAAATTGGATGTCAATAATATGAAAAAAATCAGGCATATTTTGCATAAAAATAAGGAATTCCGGCTTTTCTTGAAAGGGGATCAGCTGCAGCTGAGTAGTTATTGCCTTTTTTTTTTTTTTCTGGGATGTACTTTCTTGTTTCCTAGTCCCCACCTGTCCCACTCCTTTCATGCATGTCACCTGTCTGGTCCCTGCTCTGGTACCTTGTGCTCTCCATGGGCACAGAACCATTGCTCACACATGCTCTCTCTTTGGGACACCCTGCCCTCCCTCGTTTGCCTGGTTAACTACTGCTCTCCTTCCCATTCGGGCTCCAGCTGAACATATTCCTGGAAGTCTTGCTGAGTGACCTGATTACTTTTGCAATCTTGATTTCCCTCTTGTTCTCTCTCATCCCATGGTGAATCTAAGAGAAAGGTTGGTGAAAGTGCTCTACCCCAGGAGGAAGAAGAATTTCATTAGCAATAATGTTTGAGTTTCTGACAATAAGAAGACTGACTGACTTCTAAATCCCCTACAGACAAGGCACCACTTACTGCCTGCACCTCAGAGAAGACCACTCCCACTGCCCTGCTCCACCCACCATGCCTCTTATTCAATATAAATACAGTACGTTTACTTTGTTTGTCTAATCATTTGATTCATATTTATCTCTCCCACTGTAAAATTTAGCTCACCATTGTGTCTGCTGAGCCTACCACATTGCCTGCCCCACTGGCGGTGCTTAATGAATATTAAATAAATGAAAAACTAAGTAGTTTGGTTGAATTCTTCCCTTGAGAAATTGCACTGCATAATTGGCTCTGTTGATTTGGTCACGGAAACTTTCTGAATATTTATGTTCCTCTCAGAGAAGATGGAAGGTATCAAGGCAAATTCCTACTTTCTCCTCAAGAGGAAATTAAAAATTAGGAGGGAAATTTGCACCTCTGGATCAATATATGGCAAAATTTCAGCTCTGTAACCTTAAAACCCTAGCAATTAACTTTGTTTGAAAAGGTCAATGGTAGTTGCGCTCTTCTCCTCTGACAAGCTGAGCTGTCCAACAGAACTCAGTTTAAATTAGAAATATCTTTGGCAAAGTTAATCAGACCTTGCGTAGACTGTCATCCTGCAGGGGAGGTATATCTGTTGGGATTCCAAGCTGCTCTGGGGAGCAGTTTTCTTTTGCCATTCTGAATACGGCATGGAAATCTTGCCACCACCCATCAAAGAACCTAACAATAAAAGTAGCTGCTGTTTTGGAGTGTCTGCTCTGGGCCAGGCCCTGTAAATTCCTTTATATATATTCATGAAACTTTCATCACTTGTGAGGTTAACATTATTAATATTCTTATTTCAGGCAGGGGAAACTGAGGCTCAGAGAGGGTAAACCACTTGTCCAAAGTCACACAGTAAGAGATGGAACCTCTTACTGCTCAAACCTGGATTATCTGATTCCTCCATCCACGATCTCTCAAATTCTGGGTTGAGGGAAAAATACCTTGGGTTCCAGAGGGAAAGCTGGCTCATTGTATTATGTCCTGAGTATTTGTCCCTTAAATTTCCTGCATGTTTATGGCTTTGGGGTAATGCAGTGCAGTTTGGACCAAAGAAACATTCCAAAGGAGTCTGGGAGAGTAAAGGGGGTAGAAAGAAATACTCTTTCATGGATGTCTTAGTCTGTTCAGGCTGCTATAACAAGTATACCATAAACTGGGTGGGTGGCTTATAGACAACAGAAATTTATTGCTCACAGTTCTGGAGGCTTGGAAACCCAAGAGCAAGGTGCCTGCACATTCAGTGTCTGGTGAGGGTTCAGTCTTGGGGTTCATAGATGGTACCCGCTCTCTGTGTCTTCATATGGTGGAAGGAAGAGCAAGGCAGCTCTCTAGGGCCTCTAAGGGCACCAATCCCATTTATGATGGCTTCACCTTCATGACCTAATCATCTCCCAAAGGCTCCATCTCTTCATACCATTATCTTGGGGATTCAGATTTCAACACATAAATTTTGGGTGCACACAAACAATCAGACCATAGTAGTGGGTGTCACTGTAAGGAAATTCTCTATTAACATGTAAACTCTGTCTCCATGTAGTAGACAGGAAAGACAGTAGGTCATGGGGGTATAGAAGGATATGGACTTTGGATCATCTGGGACCCAAGTTCAAGTCTCAGCCTTTTCACCTACAAGCTGGGTGGTCTTGGGCAAGTTACTTAACCTCTCTGAGACTCAGTTTTCTCTTTCACAGAAAGATCTTTATCTATCTCACAAGGTTGTTGTGAAGACAGAGATATTGTTGAGAAGCCACTAAAATTCTGATTTGGCTTACGTTGTGTACTGGCTATACAAAAGTTTATTGTTGTCATAGAACTTATAATGTTGGGGAAAGATGAACCAAAAAAGACAACTATAATAAGATGTGCTAAAGGCTATTATGGGGGAAATATTGCAGGCTGTGTAAACAGAGAGGAGTCCCTAACCCAACTTCAAGGTGAGGGAGTGATGGGTGGGAGAGACCTGAAGACAGACTAGTAATGCACCCCAAGATTCGGGGGGGGGGCTTTCAAGAATATATTATTGTTGCTATTAATATCCAGCTGCTCAGTGGATATCTCCACTGTGTGTCTTTTAGGCATCTCTATTTAACATGCCCATTACTCAATTTTTAGTTCCCCTCACTCAAGTCACTCCATCACCCTACATGAAACTCCATTTTTGCATTGGTTATACCAGCAACTCTGAAGTCACCTGTGATTCCATGCCTCTTTTAAATTCCATTTCTAATCCCTCCATAAATCCTGTCAATGATATCTTCAGAATGAGACCACTTCTGATCACCTCCACTGCTACCTCCCTGCATCAAGACACCATCCTGTCCTGTCTGAACTCTCTTGTGGTGGAATCCTAACTGGTCTTCCAGCCTCTGTCCTGGCTCTCTACCTTCCATTATCTGCCCATCAGCCAGGGTGGTGTTTCTACTGCGTAGACAAGGTCGGCTCCTCTGTTCAAGCCTGTCCAGGGCTAATCCTCTACTTCAGAGTCATTGCCAACATCCTCACCCCTGGTCTCCTGGCTGCCTGCTGATCACACCTCCTACCACCTGGCCTTTCACTCTCCTCTGGCCAAATTGGCTTCCCTGCTGCTCCTCAAATGTGCTTGTCAGGCTCGATGGACTTTGGATTGTCTGGGACCCAAGTTCAAGTCTCAGTCTTTTCACCTACAAGCTGGGCGACCTTGGGCAAGTTAGATGGATGATAAAGATGGCCTTTGCCATCCATCATTGATTCTGCTGTTTGGCATATTTTTCTCCCCGGATAGACAAATTGGGTTGCTCCTTCATTTTATGCAGGCCTTTCCCAAGCATCCACTCTATTTACAGACCCTCCTGGGCTTCCTGTGTATGTGGCCATTTCATACCATCATTCTCTGTCCTCTTTCTCATGGCATCCGTGACCACTTGCTATGGCATGTCTTTGCTTACTGCCTATCTATCTCCTTCAACCACAGTATAAACTGTGAGAGTAGAGAATTTGCCCATTTTATTCTCTGTGTCTTCAGCACATAGAACTGTACCTGGCACACAGTAGAGACTTAATGAACCTCTAGCATCCTTGGAGGGCAGACGTGTCTCCAACATTGTTCTGGTTATGAAGAGTTTCCTTGGCACCCCCAGTCAGCAACAGAAAGGATGGAATTCTTTCACCAGGACATGCTTGTTCTACCCAACAAGATAAGAAATTCCATGTGCTCTTCACAGTGGGGCTTGACATCTAGTCTATCCTGCCATTTCCCAAAGGACGGCATCTGGGGAGCAAATGAGATGGTGGGAGGTGTTACTTGGAAAAGATCAATTGCAATAGTTATTCCTTTTAATGTGCATCAGCTCCACAAACCATGTCTTATGGCTGTTACTTCTTAGATCCTGGCTTCAGCAGTGGGGAAGACCATGCTGTATTCCAAATGGGTAGTCCTGGCTTATGTGACAAGAGGCCTAAAGATGCATTACAAGGTGATTTTACCATAAAATGAGACTGAATAACACAGTCAGAAAGTTACTCTGTTATCCATTCTCTTTTAGTTTTTCTGATTACAGGAGAAAGCATCGAGCTTAGTGCTTAAACACTTGCTAACCATTTTTATCAAGACAGTAAGTTCAGGCTTAGACCATTCCACAGGCAGTAATGTCTAGCCAGGATCTAGCAACAGTGCTTGTTTTCATTGTATTTATTTTAATTGCTGCTTTCTATTCATGGCAAATGATGCTGGTTTTCCATTGGTGGTTTTTATATAAAATTGCAATCAAAATACATTAAGATATTGAGTGAACATAAATAAAGAAAATTAAGTAAATCATAGAAGAGCAGGATGTGAGTGATAAAAAAAAAATCATGAAGTTAGAGCACAAAGGACCGCTGCTGGGGAAGTCTTGCTCCAGCCTGCCTCATTGCAGTAGAGGTGGCGACTGCCAGGCCGAGCTGGACTCTGGGTTGAGTTGTGCCATCCGTCTGGGTAGGCTGTGGCTACTGGTCCTGTTTCGAGCCCATTATCACCTCCCAGTGACTTTGAATTGGGTCCATCAGCTGCTTTTCTGCCAGCGATTCAGACCTTGCAGCCTGTCCCCTGTCCTCTGGAAACCATGGTGACCCAATTACTCCTGTTTAAGTGGCCCTCTTGTCAGCATGCAGGGACTCATTAAAACATAGTCGGAGCAGTCATAAATGTGGCATACAACGTTGCCCTTTCTAAGAACCACAACCTGAAGTCAAAGCACGTTTCTGGTAATGTCACCATGTGCAGATTCCCATTTTCTTCTTGCCCTCCCTCATGCTTTTGCACATTCAAAGACTTGTCTGGGCAAAGTGTGACCTCAGGAGGAGAAAACGTGATGTGACAAGACTCCATGACCAGTTCCATTCTCTGAATGCCACTGAGGGCCTGGACAACTGCAGCAGTTGAAGGAGCCAAGTGATTCTTTTGAACTAAAAAGTTGAACACAGTATTGGTGAGGAATGCTCACTACAGCAGCTCCACAGGGCTTTGTTGCACGAAAAATGGGTTAGGTGGTATCTCTGTGGACGCTTCTGGCATCCTCTGTGTGTCTGCCTATTGAACTAGTGATTACCCGTAACACCCAGGGCTGCTGACAATACAAATGGCATTATGATTCTAGTTGGTTTAGCAAAATGAGATATTTTGCTGATGGAGTTCTACTAGTGATGATTTAGTGGGCCCTTACTATGTACCATGTGTCTTATATAAGTAAGCTTTCATAAGTTTATTATCATTGCATTAAAAAAAATTTTTTTTGATATGGAGTCTCACTGCGTTGTCCAGGCTGGAGTGCAGTGGAATGATCTTGACTCACTACAACTTCTGCCTTCTGGGTTCAAGTGATTCTCATGTCTCAGATTCTCGAGTAGCTGGAATTATAAGCAGGTGCCACCAACCTGGCTAATTTTTTTATTTTTAATAGAGAAAGGGATTTTCCTTGTTGGCCAGGCTGGTCTCGAACTCCTGACCTCAAATGACCCACCCGCCTCGGCCTCCCAAAGTGTTGGGATTACAGGCATGAGCTACTGTACCCAGCCCTATCATTGCAATTTTATGTTGTGTGTGGTATTTTCCCCACTTTGCAGATGAAGAAATTGAGACTCACAGAGATTCAGTCACTTTCCATAGGGTTTGTAAGCAGCAGAGCTGACCTCTGGCTCCATTTTGACCTGAACTGTTCACTGTGACCATGTGAGGGCACATCTCTAGTCTCTGTGCTTATACTACCTGAGAGGAGGAGTAATTGATTCATTAAAATAAGTAATTTCAAGGTCCTGAAACTTAATGTCCCAGAATTGTGTCTGTTAGCACACTGGCTGGAATGAGATGGAACACTCAAAGTGGATGAATAAAAAGAGTCAAAGGAAAGAATTGTTTATAAAGGTGTGGGCAGAATTAAGGAATATTAAGTTGGTGCAAAAGTAATTGTGGGTTTTGTCATTACTTTTAATACAAGCTGGGACTGGGGAAGCACCCCAGGGCGCTGGGGGTGGGGGTCGGGGGGTTGGGGAGAGAGAGAGAGAGAAAGAATGAGAATGAGAGAGAATCCTGGAACCCAGAGAGACCTGAAGCTATAAGAAAGGGATCAATTTCTAGGAGCTGTGGCCTTGGGTAGAGAAATGCAGTCAGTGTCAAACTGCATCCTAGCAGGGAGAGCTGAGATATGCTGACCCCTGTTTCTTTCTGTGCTCTGACTTTCTCCTGGTGCCACCCATTGGCCAAACCAGAAGCTGGAGCACAAGGAGGCTGGTTGAGTAGCTCATAGAATTCACTTCCAGGGCAAATAGAGATAGTGGAGATTGAATCTGGAGGGCTCAAGGGAGAATATACAGCACAGAAGCCTTAACCTTTCTGAGCCTTAACGACTTGCATTTGTCATCCATAGGCAGTGCAGCACATTAGCACAACACTCAGAGGCTTGAAACAGTGTTATTTATAATCTCACAGTTTCTTTGGGTCATGAATCCAGGCATAGCACAGCCAAGTCCTTTGCTGCAGAGTCTCTTAGAGGCTGCAGTTAAGGTGTTGGCTAGGATGCAGTCATCTCTAGACTCAACTGGGGAAGGGTGTGTCTCCAAGTTCACATGCTTGTTCATAGGACTCAGTTTGTTGCATACTGTTGTTCAGAGGCAGCCCTCAGTTCCTTGCCATGTGAGCCTCTCTGACACACATCTTGCCTCATCAAAGCATGTAAGCCAAGAAGGCAATAGATAGGATCTTCTAGCAAGACTGAAGTCATAACCTTTTGTATCCTAATCATGAAAGTGACAGCCTTTGCCATATTCTGTTGGTTAGAAGTGAAGGAATGGGCTTATACAAAGGCATGGATGCTTTTGTTGGGGTGATGGGGGCACCTTAGATGCTGCCTACGACAGTGACCTCATCTGAAAATGAAGACAATCGTATAGTGTAACATAACCCAACAGATTTTCCTTAGAGGTCTGTATGAGCCATTGAAAACAGAAACACACACATAGGATACCTTTTGAAAATTCAATTCCCAGAAGTATTATGGTGAAGGTCATGAAACATTGTTTATATGAAAGTGCTTTGCAAACAAACAATTCTCAGTAGTTACCAGTGACCTCTGTGTTACAAAATCAAGGGGGCATATTTTTAACCTAAGCTTATTTGGTTTCTCTGCATAGCTTGGGACTCTTGAACACTTCTTATCTCCTTTACTGTGTCATTATATGTGGAGAAACCAAACTCTTGGCCCTATACCCTTTTCTCTAGGCAGTTGTATATGTGTGAATGGCTTCAATATGCACAATTTGCAATTTTTCACCCACAGATCCCTAGTCCCTAAGCATCACTCTCATGTCCAACTCCCTACTTGATATTTCCTCTTAGATCTTTCAAAGACACTTCAATTTCAGCTTGTCCCCAATTCACCCCTGATATTCATCCCCAAAATGGTCCCTCTCAGTGCTTTTATTCTCAGGGAATAATTTTACTTTCGTTTTGTTATGTAAGGGAGAAATCTGGAGAGAAATCTTCCATGACGTCTCTGTCCCTCACTGATGCTCATCTATTACCGGGTCCTGTTGATTTCCCTTCTAAAATAACTTTCAAAGCTGTACTCTTTTTGTTCATTCTTAATTTTTTATTTTTGAAATAATCTTAGATTTATAAAAGAGTTGCAAAAGCGGTGCCCTCACCCAGCTTTTCCATAGTAAATAACCAGAAGGTCATTAGGGAAACCGGGAAATTAACATTGATACAATACTATTATCTAATCTATAGATCATTTTCAACAATTGCCCATTTGCTCTGTCTCACTAATGCCTTTTTTTTTTTCTTTTTTCTTTTTTTTCAAAGTTTCACTCTTGTCGCCCAGGCTGGAATGCAATGGCGCAATCTTGGCTCACTGCAACCTCCGCCTCCCGAGTTTAAGCAATTCTCCTGCCTCAGCCTCCTGAATAGCTGGGATTATGGACACACACCACCATGCCTGGCTAATTTTTGTATTTTTAGTAGAGTTGGGGTTTCACCATGTTGGCCAGGCTGGTCTCGAACTCCTGACCTCAGGTGATCCACCCGCCTCGGCCTCCCAAAGTGCTGGGATTACAGGTGTGAGCCACCACACCCAGCCTACCAATGCTCTTTATTGTGTTCTAGGATTCAATTCAGAAGCCTGCTTTGTGTTTTGTTGTCACATCTCCTCAGTCTACTCCAATCTGGAACGGTTCCTCAGTCTTTGTTGTTCATGATGTTGAATATTTTCAAAAGTGTCAAGAGTACTGGTCAGTTACTTTATAGAAGGTCCCCCTATTTGGGTTTCTTTGATTTTTTTTCTTTATGGTTAGATTTAGGCTATGCATTAATAAGAATGCCACAGAAGTGCTGTTGGGCCCCATTGCCAGTGCTTGACATCAAGAGTTACATGAAGCAAATATGGCTCATTACTGGTGATGTTAGCTTTGGTCACTTGGTGAAGCTGGTGTCTGACAAGTGTCTCTACTATAAAGTTACTATTTTTTCTCTTTGTAGTTAATAGGTATCTTGTGGGGAGATATTTTCAGACTTTTATTTTCTTTGAGACAGGGTTTCTCTCTGTCGCCCAGGCTGGAGTGCAGTGGCGCTATCTTGGCTCACTGCAACCTCTGTCTCCCGGGTTCAAGCGACCCTCCCACCTCAGCCTCCTGAGTAGCTGGGACTACAGGCATGTGACACCATGCCTGGCTAATTTTTTGTATTTCTTGTAGAGATGGGGTTTCGTCATGTTGCCCAGGCTGGTCTTGAACTTTTGAGCTCAAGTGATCCACCTGTCTTGGCCTCCCAAAGTGCTGGGATTACAAGTGTACACTACTGTGCCTGGCTGAGATTTTTCTAGTATCCTTTCTCATCATACTAATTTTCCCACTAATTTTAGCATCTTCCGAGGATTCATGCCTATAACAATCATTACTTTGGTATTTGCCAATCATTAATTTGGTATTTGGTATATGCCAGAGGATCTAAGAGGAGATGCCAAGTGATTTTCTATTTCCATCATTCCTTCTACAATTGTTAACTAGAATTCTTCTATAAGAAAAGGCTGCATTTTTCAGTCATTTATTTGTTTCTTCAATTCTTTATATCAGTATGGATTTATGGATATTTATTCTGGGTTTTAATCCATTACTATCATTACAACCCAATTATAAAGGGTTATAATCCATTACTATAATTATTTATCTTTTGGCTCAAGTTGTTCTGGAATTGATCATTGGCCAAATGGCTCCTTCAAATGGCTCCTTCGTCCTTCTGACATACTTGCATTGCTTTTTGAATATGTTGTTAACTCTCTACCACCAAAAGATGTTCCAGGTTCATCTTTCCCTGCCCGAGCCATGGAATCTGTTGTGGACTGAATTGTGTTCCCCAAAACAATATATCCAAGTTCTAATCCCTGGCCCCTGTGCATGTGATCTTATTTGGAAATAAAATCATGCAGACATAATCAAGTTACAATGAAGTTGTCCTGGATTGGAGTGGTCCTTAGTGAAAGACTAGCGTCCTTATAAGATGAGGACGGTTGGGACACATACACAGAGAGGAGAATAGCACGTGAAGGGACAGAAGAGACATCAGGGGAGAGGCAATGTGATGACAGGGGCAGAGATTGGGGTCATGTGGCCACCAGCCCAGGAAGGCCCAGGATTGTCAGCAACCACCAGAAACTCAAAGAAAAAGGAAGGATTCTTCCCTAACACCTTTGGGGAGAACATGGCCCTGCTCACACCTTGGCTTCAGACTTCTAATCTCCAGGACTATGAGAGAATAAACTTCTGTTCTAAGCCACCCAGTTTGTGGTACTCTGTTTGCAGTAGCCCTAGGAAACTCATACAGAATCTGTCATTTCTCCCTTTCATATAAGCAACGTTACATGACCCTCACCATAATACTTCCGGGAATCAAATTTTTGGAGGGTATGCTATGTGTGTGGCTCTGTTTTCAATGCCTTATACATACCTCTAAGGAAAATCTCTGAGAAATGGATCTTTGTGTTGGAAAATGGTTTTTGGATGCCAAAATCTGGGTACCAGGATCTTTTTCTCTGTCTTCTTTGCAGAATCATCTCATTTATTGCATCCTTATAATGTTTAGGTTACTCAACTCTTGATCCTAGGCATTCCTCTCTTCTAGCTTCATACGCTTCTAGATAATGGCATAGTGTTCTTTTTCCCAAGTTTATTTCCACTACCACAGCCCAAGCCACCATCTTTTTCTGCCTAGGCAACTGCAACAGCTTCCTAACTGGTCCCCGCCCCACTAGCCCCACCTACTCTAGTCCTTCCTATGTGGCTCTTGATGGATAATATTGTCAAAACAATCTTGTTTAAAAGTGGCTTTTTTTTTTTTTTTTGAGACGGAGTCTCGCTCTTGTTGCCCAGGCTGATGACACGATCTCGGCTCACCACAACCTCTGCCTCCCGGGTTCAAGTGATTCTCCTGCCTCAGCCTCGCGAGTAGCTGGGATTACAGGCACCCACCACTATGCCTGGCTAATTTTTGTACTTTTGGTGGAGACGGGGTTTCACCATATTGGCCAGGCTGGTCTCGAACTCCTGACTTCAGGTGATCCGCCTGCCTCGGCCTCCCAAAGAAAAGTAGCTTTTTATGCTAGAACAGTTTTAGATTTATAGGAAAATTGCAAAGGTGTACAAAGTATTCCCATATACCTCATACCCAGTTTTCTCTATTATTAACATATGGTACATTTTTCACAATTAATGAACCATTATTCATACATTATTATTAACTAAAGTCCACACTTTATTCAAGTTTCCTTAGTTGTCACCTGGTTTCCCTTTTCTGTTCCTGAATCCCATCCAGAACACCGCGTTACATTTAAGTAGTCACATCACTTTCGGTTCTTTTCAGCTGTGTTAGTTTCTCTGACTTTCCTTGTTTTGATGACCTTGACATTTTCCAGAAGTACTGGTCATGTATTTTGTAGAAAGTCCCTCGGTTGGGATTTGTCTGATGTTTTCTCATGAACAGACTGTGGCTATGAGTTTTTGAGGGGAAGAGCACAGAGGTAAAGAGCGCTGTTCTCATCACACAATAGCGAAGGTACATCCAGCTGATGTGATTTATGACTGTTGATGTGAATCTTGATCACCCGGCTGAGGTAGTGTTTGTCAGGTTTCTCCGCTGTGAAGTTACTCGTTTTTTCTTCCTTCCCATCCTGTGCTCTTTGGAAGAAAGTCACTACGATCTCACACTTAAATAGTGGGGAGTTATGCTATGCCCCTCGAAGACAAAGTATCTCCATAAATTATTTGGAATTCTACACAGCACGTTTCTCTATTCTCCCATTTGTTTATTTATGTATTTATTCAATCATTTGTTTATATCAGTATGGACTCATGGACGTTTATTTTCTACTTCGGTTTATAATTTAATACCGCTTATTTATTTTGTTGCTGAAATTGTTCTAACTGGTCATTGGGAGGTGTTTCAGTTGGCTCCTGCATCCCTTGGACAGACCCTGCCTCTGTGTGTGAGTGTGTGTGTGTGTGTTGAACACTTCCTTACTTTCTGTATTACAAGATGCTCTGGACTAAACTTGTATCTTCTCTATCTCAATTCTATTAGATTCGTGCAAAAGTAATTGCTGTTTGGGCCATGACTTTTAATAGCAAAACCGCAATCACTACTTCTGCACCAATCTAATAGAATCAGCAATTTCTCCCCAAACTGATTTTTTCAAAGTGCAAATCTGATAGTTACCCAGCTGCTTCAAAGTCCTTACCTTGGCATTCAATGCCTGGTATACCTTGACTCCCGTTTACCTTCTCAGGCTCAACTTGTCTCCCCTGTGGAACCCCTCCTCCCAGCCACGTTAGCCTCATTTCAGTGTGTTGTGTGTGTCATGCTCTCTCCTGCTATAGGATTTTAACTATTCCCTTTGCTGGGCCACTTTTCCAGCAGTTTCCCCATCTGTTTTGCCATATTAATTCCTCCTCATGCTTTGGTTCTCAACTGCTTGGTTAGCTTACCTTGACCTCCTTGACCAGGCTGTTTGCCTTATTACCTCTCCAAATAGTACTGAATTGTAACTTCTTTTTTCAATTTTCTTTTATTTTAAGTTCTGGGATACATGTGTAGGGCACGCAGATATGTTATATGGGTAAACGTGTGCCTTGGTGGTTTGCCGCACCTATCAACCCCTCACCTAGGTATTAAGCCCCGCATGCATTAACTGTTCATCCTGATGCTCTCCCTCCCTCCCCTGCCTCCCTTCATTGTAATTTTACAATTCTTTGTGAAACTATTGGAATAATGTCTGTCTTCTACCATGCTATACCCTCCATGAAGGCAGAGTCTCTGTTCATTTTTGCTCCCATTATACCCTGGCTCAGTGTCTGTAATATGGTGGGTGCTGAATGCATACCTGTGGAATGAATGAATACGAGTGAATTACTCTATGATGATTTTATTCGTGTCATTATCTTACTGAGTGCCTAATAACAGCTGTGCTAAATTCTAGGAAGAGAAAAGTGCATGGTCTCCATTCTCTCACAGTCAAGAAATCTGTTTAATTTCCTTAAGTGAGCATTTCTCTAAAAGATTTTTTGAGCATAGAAGAACT
Organism: Homo sapiens; assembly: GCF_000001405.40. Taxonomy (NCBI): domain Eukaryota; kingdom Metazoa; phylum Chordata; class Mammalia; order Primates; family Hominidae; genus Homo; species Homo sapiens. Next base: position 56,115,869 of record NC_000020.11, on the reverse strand, counting down.
TTTAACACCATGGCACAGCTATTAACATCATATGGTATTAGATTCTGCAAAAAAATTTAGAGATTGCTGTGTTAGAATTCCCATGGGAGCATGGATCACATATCATCAATTCATTTGTTCACCTATCCAAGTGTCCATCTGCCCAACCATCAAGCATTCCACCCAACATATATTTCATGCAGCTTGTGATGTGTCTGGCACTAGAGACTTAGAGCTGAGTGAGATGAGCTCCCTGCCACATGGTGCTTACATTCAGGTGGAAATGATATGCAATACAGATTTAATGTTTGCGGGTAGACCACAAGGTCAGGAGTTCAAGACCAGCTTGGCCCAGATGATGAAACCCTGCCTCTACTAAAAATACAAAAAATTAGCCAGGCGTGATGGCAGGTGCTTGTAATCCCAGCTACTTGGGAGGCTGAAGCAGGGAATTGCTTGAACCTGGGAGGCAAAGTTTGCAGTGAGCCGAGATTGCACCACTGCACTCCAGCCTGAGCAGCAGAGCAACACTCCATAAAAAAACAAAAAACAAAAAACAAAAAAAGAATTATATATATATGCACATATTTTAACTAATCTAGATCCATATTCAAATAACAGTATATGCTTCATGTGCGTTATAACAGAGTTTGCCCATTTCTTCCCTCCTGTCTCTGTGATGTTACTATAATTCATTTCACTTACCCATATGCTATAATCACCAAATACATTGTTACTATTATTACTTTAGACGGATGCTTATCTGTTAGATGAATTAAACATAAGGAAACTGATATAGTTTGGATATTTGTCCCCACCCAAATCTCATATTGAAATGTAATCCCAGTGTTGGTGGTGGGGCCTGGTGGGAGGTGATTGGATCATGGGGGTAAATTTTTCATGAATGGTTTAGCATCATCACCCTTGGAACTGTCCTCACAATAGTGAGTGAGCTCTTGTGAGATCTGGTCATTTAAAACTGCAGCACCTCCCCGTTCTGTCTCTTGCTCCTGCTCTGGCCACGTGACATGTCTGCTTCCCCTTCCGCTTCCACCACGATTGGAAACTTCCTGAGTCCTCCTGAGAACCTGAGCAGATGTCAGCATCATGCTTCCTGTACAGCCTGCCTAACCATGAGTCAATTAAACCTCTTTTCTTTATAAATTACCCAGTCTCAGGTATTTCTTTATAGCAATGGGAGCACTGACTAACATAAAAACCCAGAAATTTTCTCTTCATTTATTTCTTTTATGATGCTCTTCCTTTCTTTATGTGGATTCAGTTTTCCGATCTGTATCATTTTCCTTCTGCCTGAAGAACTTTTAACATTTCTTCCAGGGCAGGTCTGTTGAAGATAAAGTCTTTCAATTTTTATTTGTTGATAAAGCTTATTTCTCTTTGCTTTTGAAAGATAATTTCACTGGGTATAGAATTTTAGAATTCCACCCCCCAACACTTTAAATATTTTATTCCACTCTTTTCTGGCTTGCATGGTTTCTGAAGTGAAGTCTACTGTAATACATATATTTGTTCCTTCATAGGTGAGATGCTTTCTCCCTCTATGGCTTTTTTGAGATTTCTCTCTGTTTCTCATTTTCTGCCGTTTGAATATGATATGCCTGTGTGTGTGTGTATTTGTGTGTGCATGTGTGTGCGTATTTTGGTATTTATTCCAATTGTTGTTTTCAGCGCTTCCTCTATGTGTGGTTTGGTGTCTATCATTAATTTTGTGGAGTTCTCAGCCATAATTCAATTATTTCTTCTGCTCCTTTTTCTCTTTCTTTTCCTTTTGGTATCCAATTACAAATATGTTACACCTTTTGTAATTGTACCACAGTATTTACTCTGTTTTCTACTTTTTTTTTTCTTCAATTTTCTTTTGTCTTTGCATTTCAGGTTGGGAAGTTTCTTTGACCTATCTTCAAGCTTGCTGATTTTTTTCTTTGTCTGTGTTCAGTTTACTGATGAGCTTGTCAAAGGCTTTCTTCATTTCTGGTGCTGTGTTTTTAATTTCCATTTGATTCTTGCATGTTGTCTTCTTTTTTTGAGAATAAGGGGTTAACACATTAGTTACAGTTATTCAACATTTTTTATCTGATAATTCCAACATCGGTGTCATATCTGAGTCTGGTTCTGATACTCGCTTTGACTCTTCAGACCATGCTTTTCTTGGTATTAGGAGCTGACGTGAATAGGCCTTTACTGTGTGGATTTGTCATAATATGGATAAGAATCTGACTGTTTTGTGTTTAATGTTTGCTGTAACTGTAGATACCAGAGGCTTCAAATTTGTCCTTGTTTTCTTCTCTCCTCTTAAGCTTATACTCCTCAGAGAGAGTCCTTGTTTTGGAGCTCTTTTAGCTGTAACACACTATCATTACACTGGAGTCCTGTTGGCATGGTAGTAAGTAATAGGGGAGGGGGAAACTTCTAAAATCTACCAGTTAAATCCCAGTCCTGTAGTGCACCTGTCTCCTGGGCTGTGACCTTCACAAGTGTTTCTCCATAGTTTTATTCACTCAGCCCCTACTCTCTTCCCTGAATGCAGCGTTCCCAGTCCATATTCTTGCAGCCATGACCCTTCATAACTATGTTTTACCCCTCTTAGGTGAGGCAGGAGGATTGGAGGGGCTGGAGTGGGAGAATGCCCTTTTACCAGCCGGGATAAAGCTCTGGGAATGTATTTATCCTGGAGAGGAGTCCCCGCTCCCCCACTTTTTATCCCTATGTGCTCAGTTAGGATTTTATTTATTTATCTTTCCATCTTTACTGAGGTATAATTAACAAATAAGAATTGTATATATTTAGGGTGCACAATGTATGTTAATTAGCTTGACTGGGGCAATAATTTCAAAATGTGGGCCTTTGTTTTGAGGAAGGCTCTGGATTTATTGCACAAAGATTACAGTTCTTCTCCTGCCAGAGTCATCTAGGGATCTTACTTAGATCTTCATGAAAACCTGGTGGGGTTTCTGGAGGTAAAGTCCATGGAATCGTGGGGTTCCCCTAGGATAGCAGCTCCCAATCTAGACCCTACTTAGCCTTCAGCAATTCATCAAAATTACCATCTAAGTATTCCTGTCAGTTATAGTCCCAGTGGCTTTTTTTTTCCTCTTTGGATTTTGGGGCTACAGTTTGCCTTGCAACTTCACTTCTTTGATGGGTCCAAGAAAAGTCATTGATTTTCAGTTCATCTACATTTTTCTTGTTGTGAGGATGGGAGTGACAGCTTCCCAACTCTTTACTTGCGGTAGCTGAAACTAGAAGTTAACACACTGACAATGCACACTTAAACAAAGACACAGTCTGATTTTGTTTTGTCCTCCACCCTGAATAGACCTCATTGTTAGGACTTCCTAGATGCCCCTAAAAACTTGATAAATGCTGACTAGATTGAAAGAAGCTTGTCTCACAAATTTAATCTCATATTCTGAGCCCTAGGCTCAACCAGGCTCAAACATTGCCAATGTTTGGGAGGTGAGAGGGAGTCAGCATTGAACCAACTTTCCCTTGGTAACAGGGGCCCAGAGAAAAAAACTCAGCGAGAAATACAGCAAAATAGGTTGATTTGCATCAAAATTAGACCTTCTTAAATCTGCCCAGCCCTTCAGCTGCAGAGTGAGTATGAATTTCTACCCTCTAAACTAAGAGCTAGTTTATTGTTAAATGGGTCGACTTGGACGCACACAGCAGAACACCATGAGTGCAGAGAATGAAGAGAACTCTTTGTGTTAACATCTGTGCGGTGGCGAATGATTCATCAGTCAGCTACATGCTGGCCTCCTCCACACTCCCGGAAATCATTCATGAAGTTCTCTGAACTAGTCTTAAAGGCCCCACACTACGACGTCTCAGGGTCATGATATACCCTAGATGTACCCCTTCCCCTCAGCCAGCCACAAAATGGGCCTGACCTTATCCCACTTCCCATTGTTATGTGCACATCTGGATTTTAGGCTGTTGTAAGAGTGAACACCCAGGCCTGACTCTTTTCAAAGAGCAAATTGGCAGAGGTCTCATCCTGAGGCCTCTCTTGAGTGAGGAACTACTTACCAGTCACATGAAAGCACAAATCAGGGCTTGTGCCGAGCTGAACTTCCCGGCTAAATAAAATGGATCGATGGTGCCATGTTGACCTGGTATGTTAGATGATGAGAAACGCTTTCAATTATTCTGCGAGTGGCTGTTACGAGGATGAGAAATCATCTGTGTTCAAAGTTGGCTTTAATTTCTCTAAACGAGATAATTTACCAAAGAACTTTTGCCTATATGAAGACTGTTACCTGAGCAAGACATATGGGTAATTGGGCATTTGATGTTGGTTTGGTGTCACTTTTATGCATATTGATGATCATGTGACTGTAAAGACCTTGTTTTACTTTAATTGGAATTCCTGCATGGGAGGGGCTATGGTGAGCTCTGGCTGGTAGCAGAGTTCTCTTAGAAGGGCCAGTGTGGATAAAGAAATATCTTTGGCATTTTTCCTTTTGTGTTTTAGTGAAGACACTTCTGGTTGTAAGGAATAAAAACAAATTTGTGATGTATTTAGCAAAAAAAAAAAACCAAAAAAAAAAAAAAAAAAAACAAAAGCTTGAGGAGTTTTACTTTTTTTTTAAATGAGGCTATAGTAATGTCTTCAGCGAGTTAAATGTTGGAATGCAGTCACAGCTCAGAACCAGAGCTAGGAGGTGGACTGCCATCAGGAACCCTGGTAGTTACTCTGTCCCCATGCCCTGATTTCTCTGCATGCCCATCTCATTCCTTTATCTCTCCCAGCTAGCTTTCATGCCTTCTTTACAAACATGTCACAGGATGGCTGTCCCTGAAGTTTGCAAGTTTACATCACCTTATTTTGAGTCACACTCAGCAATATGACTGGTTATGTCTGAATGCCAGTTCCAAACTCTTGAGACAATCTGATTTGAAAAGGTGCCCAGTCTGATAGAAGAAGGTGCCCTGTGGGTGGCTACTTGTCAGAGAAAAGGGACATCTCGAAAGACTGCCTATAATACGCTTAACATCTAGCATTGTCCCCATTTTATAGATGAGAAAACTGAGAAAAATGAGAAAAGTTGCTCAAGGCCACATAGCTGCACCTACCTTTTCTTCCTGAATGACGATTATCATGAGAAAATAATTTTATTTTGGATGAAAATTGGTGATATTCATGTTGCAGCTATTTTTGAAGGAGGGGAGTTATCTTTTGTTAAACGAGATGCATTGTTTAGCAAAAATCATTTTACTTTGTAATTTTGTTGAAAGGCAACGCTCTTTCTGAAAATAAAATGAGAGTAAATGAGAGTAAAATTTTAGTAGCGAAGAGAAGGATTCCTAAAATAATCCAGGACAGTTATGCAATTGCAAAATTCTCCGATATTTCCGCATTCAAGAAAAATTAAATGCAGGAAATGAATAAGAAGGGGATAAAAATTCTTTGCAAAAGTCAAAGCCACCCCATTGGCCAAAAGTTGGAGGCATCCTAAGACTTTTTAGAAGCAACAATCTACTTTGCAAACCAAAACATGAGGTAAACATGGGAATTGAGCCATTAGAGAGAAAGCGAAAGAGAGAAAAATCAACTTCTGATCTGACTTTTCTTATTCTCCAGTTTTCTCATTAGATTTTTTTTTTCCTCCCAGAAGAGCAGTGTTGGGAGTTTCAAAAATAAAATCAAGTCAAATTCAGAAAAATAATTATATCAGATCAAATTTTTAAAAATTTAAAGTATATTATGTTTACAAAGGAACAGTTGGCCGATCTTGAACCAGGAAACTTCAAATGAAGACAGTAAGAAGCTCACCTTATAGCAGTTACAGCATAGCTTATAAAGCATCAAGAAGTATTTTGGCCTTTTTTATGGTTGGCTGTTATGCATTAATGTTCTTGTTAAGGCAAGCAGAGTTGTTTAAGCTGATTTATCTATAGCTGTTTGGCTTAATTTCACTGAATCATATTGACAAGAATGTAAAGCTTACATGTTGTGTTTCATTGTGATTTGAGATAGCATCTCAGGGAAATCAGGATAACTAAGTTTTGCTTACGTGGTACGTGGCTATGGGTGGTTGGCCTTGGGGTATCTCTCAACTTTGGCTTCTATGGTAATTTCTTTTTTTTTTTTTCTTTTTTCTTTTTTCTAGTTTCTTTTTTTTAAATTAATTAATTTATTATTATTATACTTTAAGTTTTAGGGTACATGTGCACAATGTGCAGGTTAGTTACATGTGTATACATGTGCCATGCTGGTGAGCTGCACCCACTAACTCGTCATCCAGCATTAGGTATATCTCCCAGTGCTATCCCTCCCCCCTCCCCCCACCCCACAACAGTCCCCAGAGTGTGATGTTCCCCTTCCTATGTCCATGTGTTCTCATTGTTCAATTCCCACCTATGAGTGAGAATATGCAGTGTTTGGTTTTTTGTTCTTGCGATAGTTTACTGAGAATGATGATTTCCAATTTCATCCATGTCCCTACAAAGGACATGAACTCATCATTTTTTATGGCTGCATAGTATTCCATGGTGTATATGTGCCACATTTTCTTAATCCAGTCTATCATTGTTGGACATTTGGGTTGGTTCCAAGTCTTTGCTATTGTGAATAATGCCGCAATAAACATACGTGTGCATGTGTCTTTATAGCAGCATGATTTATAGTCCTTTGGGTATATACCCAGTAATGGGATGGCTGGGTCAAATGGTATTTCTAGTTCTAGATCCCTGAGGAATGGCCACACTGACTTCCACAATGGTTGAACTAGTTTACAGTCCCACCAACAGTGTAAAAGTGTTCCTATTTCTCCACATCCTCTCCAGCACCTGTTGTTTCCTGACTTTTTAATGATTGCCATTCTAACTGGTGTGAGATGGTATCTCATTGTGGTTTTGATTTGCATTTCTCTGATGGCCAGTGATGGTGAGCATTTTTTCATGTGTTTTTTGGCTGCATAAATGTCTTCTTTTGAGAAGTGTCTGTCCATGTCCTTCGTCCACTTTTTGATGGGGTTGTTTATTTTTTTCTTGTAAATTTGTTTGAGTTCATTGTAGATTCTGGATATTAGCCCTTTGTCAGATGAGTAGGTTGTGAAAATTTTCTCCCATTTTGTAGGTTGCCTGTTCACTCTGATGCTAGTTTCTTTTGCTGTGCAGAAGCTCTTTAGTTTAATTAGATCCCATTTGTCAATTTTGGCTTTTGTTGCCATTGCTTTTGGTGTTTTAGACATGAAGTCCTTGCCCACGCCTATGTCCTGAATGGTAATGCCTAGGTTTTCTTCTAGGGTTTTTATGGTTTTAGGTCTAACGTTTAAGTCTTTAATCCATCTTGAATTGATTTTTGCATAAGGTGTAAGGAAGGGATCCAGTTTCAGCTTTCTACAGATGGCTAGCCAGTTTTCCCAGCACCGTTTATTAAATAGGGAATCGTTTCCCCATTGCTTGTTTTTCTCAGGTTTGTCAAAGATCAGATAGTTGTAGATATGCGGCATTATTTCTGAGGGCTCTGTTCTGTTCCATTGATCTATATCTCTGTTTTGGTACCAGTACCATGCTGTTTTGGTTACTGTAGGCTTGTAGTATAGTTTGAAGTCAGGTAGTGTGATGCCTCCAGCTTTGTTCTTTTGGCTTAGGATTGACTTGGCGATGCGGGCTCTTTTTTGGTTCCATATGAACTTTAAAGTAGTTTTTTCCAATTGTGTGAAGAAAGTCATTGGTAGCTTGATGGGGATGGCATTGAATCTGTAAATTACCTTGGGCAGTGTGGCCATTTTCATGATATTGATTCTTCCTACCCATGAGCAGGGAATGTTCTTCCATTTGTTTGTATCCTCTTTTATTTCCTTGAGCAGTGGTTTGTAGTTCTCCTTGAAGAGGTCCTTCACATCCCTTGTAAGTTAGAAAAGAGAGAAGAATCAAATAGATGCAATAAAAAATGATAAAGGGGATATCACCACCGATCCTACAGAAATACAAACTACCATCACAGAATACTACAAACACCTCTATGCAAATAAACTAGAAAATCTAGAAGAAATGGATAAATTTCTGGACACATACACTCTCCAAAGACTAAACCAGGAAGAAGTTGAATCTCTGAATAGACCAATAACAGGATCTGAAATTGTGGCAATAATCAATAGCTTACCAACCAAAAAGAGTCCAGGACCCAGTGGATTCACACCGAATTCTACCAGAGGTACAAGGAGGAACTGGTACCATTCCTTCTGAAACTATTCCAATCAATAGAAAAAGAGGGAATCCTCCCTAACTCATTTTATGAGGCCAGCATCAATCTGATACCAAAGCCGGGCAGAGACACAACCAAAAAAGAGAATTTTAGACCAATATCTTTGATGAACATTGATGCAAAAATCCTCAATAAAGTACTGGCAAACCGAATCCAACAGCACATCCAAAAGCTTATCCACCATGATCAAGTGGGCTTCATCCCTGGGATGCAAGTCTGGTTCAATATGCGCAAATCAATAAATGTAATCCAGCATATAAACAGAACCAAAGACAAAAACCACATGATTATCTCAATAGATGCAGAAAAGGCCTTTGACAAAATTCAACAACCCTTCATGCTAAAAACTCTCAATAAATTAGGTATTGATGGGACTTATTTCAAAATAATAAGAGCTATCTATGACAAACCCACAGCCAATATCATACTGAATTGGCAAAAACTGAAAGCATTCCCTTTGAAAACTGGCACAAGACAGGGATGCCCTCTCTCACCACTCCTATTCAACACAGTGTTGGAAGTTCTGGCCAGGGCAATTAGGCAGGAGAAGGAAATAAAGATATTCAATTAGGAAAAGAGGAAGTCAAATTATCCCTGTTTGCAGACGACATGATTGTATATCTAGAAAACCCCATTGTCTCAGCCCAAAATCTCCTTAAGCTGATAAGCAACTTCAGCAAAGTCTCAGGATACAAAATCAATGTACAAAAATCACAAGCATTCTTATACACCAACAACAGAAAACAGAGAGCCAAATCATGAGTGAACTCCCATTCGCAATTGCTTCAAAGAGAATAAAATACCTAGGAATCCAACTTCTATGGTAATTTCAAGACAGCCTGAGACCGGGAGGGTTTAAATGGCTTCATTTGTGTTTTCATTCCTACCAAAAGAATGCCTGAACAACATTCACACGTTGCCATCTGCCTGGATTCCTCTCCGTGGTCCCGCAGTCCCTGCCCCCTAGCGTCTCCATGGTCTCGTGCTTCCTGGTCCTTCTCGTCTTCATGGTCAGGTGCTACCTAGTCCACCTCGTCTCCGTGTTCCCTGGTCCATCTTGTCTCCATGGTCTTGTGCTCCCTGCTCCGTTTCATCTCAGTGGCCTTGTGCTCCCTGCTCTGTCTCATCTCAATGGCCCTGTGCTCCCTGGTCCATCTCGTCTCCGTGGTCCCGTGCTCCTTGGTCCGTCTTGTCTCCATGATCCCGTGCTCCCTGCCCCGTCTCATCTCAATGGTCCTGTGCTCCCTGGTCCACCTCATCCCAATAGTCCTGTGCTCTCTGGTTGATTGGGTTCTACAATGGAGAGGTCACTCGTGATCTTCTGGCCCATTCTTTGTAGGCCGTACCAGGTTACCCTTCCAGAAAATGGCAAAGGGTGACTTATATGACTTTTCCTGGGGCAGATGGGACTACGGAAAAATCCATCAAAACAATGGCTTATTTGCTGATAGCTCATGAGCTGTCAATAACAAAGGGTGTGCAGGAGCTTGGCCAGTGCTGGGTTTGTGCTTCAGGACTCCTCTATTTCCAAGCCACTGCTGCCCCTCAGGCTGTCCTCCTGGCCTGGACACCACCCTCCTGGCTGTGCCTGGCTAAGGGGAAGAGTTACAAAATAGACTAGAATGTACATATCCCTTGAATATACAGTCTCCCTTGATGCGACTGGGAGCACCTACTTTCCCACAGCGTGTTGCTGTCCCTGTAGTCCTGCTATGGACCTGGTTTCAGAGCAAATGAGATGAAACACTGGTCATGATGGAATTGGATCAGACCGACCTATATGGGGGTCAACAACACAAAGCAGAGACTAAAGAAAGGCAATTTTTAAAAATTGTTGTTCCTAGCAAAATAGTATTGGTAATCTTTATTCAGATGATGGTAATATTAATTCATTCATCAAATATTGAGCATTTACTGTGTGCTAGAATCTCTTTGGGAATGTTTGTAGAAATGCCAGATCCTAGTCATTGTGTGAACTCTGAAAGTTTATTTTAACAAAAATGAAAGTTTTAGTGAATCTTTCCAAATCAGATGAAAATATTGCTTTCAAAGTTTAAATAATTTGGTTCTTTCTCCCTTTCCCTTCCATGGTTCACTATGCTCGGAATCTACAAGCTCTAAGAAATATGAGAAAAGAATTTGACTTTGGTTAGGATTTGCATTTTTAAGTCGTTAGGAGCTACCCAGCTTATTTCTTTTTTAGTATTGATTAAAATAAAGACAGGAAAGACATCTCCATCACAGCACGTTGTAGTTTGCTTTTGTCTCACTTTAATCCTTTGCTCTTGAACACATTTTTATTACCTAAGTTATTGTTCTGTGCTCGTTTTTCATAAATTAGAACTACCCTAAGGATTTTGTTTCTAATGAATACGTTACTGACAGCACATTTTGCTTAGCACCCTGTTTCAATCTGCCATACAATGCAAAGCCTACTTAAAATAACCTTTTTTGGGGGGCATGAAGATTAGAGCTTTGAAGTCAATTAAAAATATGCAATGTGTAAATACAGAAGAAAGAGCAATCTACTAACTTAACAAGGACCCCAGAACATTTTCATATAAGCACTGTAGATTTCAGTTATCCATGTACTGAAAATGGACCAAAAAAAATCTTAAAAAAAGGTTTAAAATTAGCACTTTGTGCCGTTTGTGGTGGCTCACGCCTGTAATCCCAGCGCTTTTGGAAGCTGAGGCGGGCAGAACACCTGAGGCCAGGAGTTCGAGACAAGCCTGGACAACATGGTAAAAACCCCATCACCACTAAATATACAAAAATTAGCCAGGAATCGTGGTGCACGCCTGTAATCCCAGCTACTCAGGAGGGTGAGGCAGAAGAATCACTTGAATCCAGGAGGCAGATGTTGCAGTGAGCTGAGATCATGCCACTGTACTCCAGGCTGGGCAACAGAGTGAGACTCCGTCTCAAAAAAAATTATTAGCACTTTCTGTGTATTTATTAAGCGATTAAGAAAGCTTACTTTCATCAATAACTAAAAATGCCAATGAGACTTCCATTTTACAAAAATAGACAAGTTTCTCTTTGGTCAATTTGTGGAGACATATGTATATAAAAGAGTTGAGAGAAAATGATCTCACAACAGCTGATATATGCAGACAGAATGACTGCAGTTTATATTGCTTAAGGTTAATGATGTTTGTCTAGTAGTCACTTTTTTCTTATGAGAAGAGAAAACCTTTACATGTTGGTGCCAGGGATTTCTGGTTTTATTTTGATATTTTCCCTTATGTATTCCTCAAACAAATACCTACTTTACTTTTGTTGTTTGAGATTCCTCATATGAGTAATTATTTAGATCAACCTCCTGTCTTGATTGACCTAGGCAAGACCTTTGGAAATGCTCTTCCCACTATTTAATGCTTCTGGTATAACTTAAAACTTGAAGGAAAATATTTTCTGAGTTATTGGGGAAAGCACAATTAGAAACCTATCGGCAACAGAGAGAGACTCCGTCTCAAAAAAAAAAAAAAAAAAACCTACAAATCTCCATGAATTGTAGAAATTGGCCAGTTATGCTTCTTTAAACATCAGCCTCCAGATCTCAGTGGCTTAACTCAATAGAAGTGGTTCTTTTTTTCTCATGCAGACCTCACATCCCATTGCAGGTTGCCAGAGGACTCTGCTCCATAGAGTCTCTCAAGGTCTTAGGCTGATGGCTTTGCTGTCATTTTTAGCTGTAGCTGCACCATCTGGAATACATGGCATCCCCTGTTGCTACAGAGAGGAGGAGAATTGAACCTGGGCTTTTTGCTCTCTCAGCCAGAAGTGACACACATCACTTCTGCCCACATGTCACTGGCTATGACTGGTTAATGGCTAGTTGCTAGTAGGCTGGGAAATGTGGAGGAGGAAATGGGAAGAAAATAAAACATAAGAGAATTTGCTTTGGATCCGAATCCTAGATAGAATTATAAATTCTGATATGCAGACAGCTTACATACAATTCATCATCATATTCTTAGGCCATTGTGGTATCATTTTCAAGCATTCAAGGCTGATGATAAAGATCCAAACATAGACCCTGGAGCTTGAAATGTCCAATCTCCAGCCTTTATTTAATGCTAAAGAATAACAATAAAAAAGGCTCCTGTCTTGCTGACCTTCCTAGAGACGTGGCTCTACTAGTTGGACTTATACCTAGGAATAGGAAAAGTCCAAGGGTAAAACTGGTTACTTGCTTCAAGCTATTTCAGCAGTAACTAGTGTCTTTCAGCATTCTGGCTTTCCTTGGTGTGTTGGCTTCATTCCGATGGTCCCTATAGTGGCATGAGAGCTCCAGTGACTCCAGCTTTCTATTCAAGTTCAGCAGGAAAGAGCAAGTGTCTTTTCCAGTAATTTTTGAAGAAGTCCTAAGATTCATTCTTGCTGGGCTGACTTAGCTTATGTGCCCACTCCTGAACCACTGGCCAGGGATATTCTGATTGGCTCTGGCCAGGGTCACATGCTCCATGCTTGGGTCCACTAAGTGTAAGGACAGGGTCCTAGAGCCTCACTGTTGTCAGAAGAGGGGGATTTTCAAGTTAGGGAGGAACACAAGAAATGTCACTGCACACATACTTCCCAGACCTTCTTTCCTGAAGAAAGTTCCGGGCCCATATGCTCTAGGAATAAACCTACACACTCTGAGACCTGCCCCATAGCCAATCTGCCCTGTCATTCAATTCAAGCAATTGACATGTATTTAGGACACCCATTGATGTCCTTTATGAGCCAGACACTGCTCCAGTATCTTAGAACGCAGACATGAGTTAGTCTTAGGCTCTGCCCTCACACAGTTTATAATCCAATTGTGAGTAAGTAGAAGATGACTTCATGGTGTTCTGAAAGACAGGAGAGGGTGAGAATTGGTTGTCATGGGAACTCTCTGATACATACTCACGTCTGTTTGAGTGTTTTTTCAAGGTTAGAGATTAAATAAGAGGGAGAAGTGCTCCCTTCTGTTGCCTCCTGTTTTCACCTAGGAAGTCAGACCAAAATGATCCGTATATTACTGGATCAAAGAGACCTAAAAGCAAGTAACCCTATTTCCTCCTGAAACTGGCTTTTCTTACAGATGGTTTGTGATAATTAAAAGCCACAAAAACCACCTGATTGATAATCTGAGCCATTTAGCTGGATCTAGGCAGAGTCCAGGTAGATACATTATATATTTAGGTGGGTACAGTATGTTCTATTAGTCAAATATATGTTACACAAATAGCTTTTAAATAAAGCCAAGGTGCATAATGGTATTGACTTCAGTTTTTGTTCATTCTAAGCAAAGATTACTTATCACAAAATATATGAAAATTCTCTGATTCTCACTCATATTAGCTGTGGTAGAGAATTCTTGGCTCAGGTGTATCTTGGGCATATGGGAAAATTAAACTTCCCAGCCTGCCTTGCAGTTTGGCAGGATCATGTGATGAATCCTAGCCAAAGAAATGAGAGTGGAAGTGATACATATTTCACTTCCATTCTGAGACGTTTAAGAGTAATTGTGACACATCCATAAGAAACGAGCCCAAATTTCCAACAAGCTGGATGCCCATAGGACAGAAGCTTGAGAAACTTACATTTGTACACTGAGATGCACCTGCTGCATGTCAACCACATCCTCTTTCTCACCCCTCCCTAATTCCTTCTTCCTTCACATGGCTACAAAGAGATGCCAGACCCCTCATTTGACCACCTGCTGCCTGTTGACCAACTCCACTTCCTTCCCCCTCCTGTTTTCCTTCTCTGCTATATAAACCCCTAACTTTAGTCAAGGGAGAGAGAAGGGTTTGAAGTTTTCCTACCATCTCTTTGGCTGATGTCACCCATAATAAAGCCTTTTTCCCTGGCATTACTCATTGTCTCAGTGATTGGCTTTCTGTGTGGGAAGCAATGGGACATAGGCTGAATGCCTGGCCTTTGTTAACACATAATCACTCTATCCCGGAGGTCATATGTTGAGATGGTAAAGTCACAAGGTGGAGGGATCCTAGGTCCCTGAGTCACTACGTGGAGAAGAGTTTCACAATAGAGTTCCAGACCTGTGTTGGAATACATTTGAGAGAGAAATCAACTTATGTTATGTTAAGCTGCTGGGATTTTGAGTGTTTATTTGTTATTGTGGCATTGCCTAATTTAGCTTGACAGTATACTTTCACTTCTTGAAGGTTGTGAGAATCTCCTCTTTGTCTTCTTTTTGGACATCCTCCTCAAATATTTCCAGAAAGAATCTGGACAGCTCAGATATAAGTTTTGGTTATACAGAAGCAGTTTAGAACAGCAGTTGGCAAACCATGGTGCATGGCCCAAATTTGGCTCACTACCTGTACTTGTAAATAAAGCTCCATTCATCTATGTATTACCTATGGCTGTTTTTGCTTCACCGTGGCAGAGTTGAGTCATTGAAATAGAGACTTCATGGCCCCCAAAGTCCAAATATTCACCATGTGACACTTTACAGAAAAAGTTTAACATCTCCTGGTTTTGAACAAAATTTTTAGAGTGAGACAGACCTGGGTTTGAATCTCTGGGCAAGTTACTCAATGTCTCTGAGTTCTAGTTTCTTCCCACGGTTATTAGAAGGATTACATGAGCTAGTATCTGTAGTAACTTTCACCCCATGCCTAACTCACAATAAGCACTTAATACATGGCTACTAAAATTATTGTTAGCATTACCCCTGATGTTGGACATTTAGGCCATTTCTAGTTTTTCACAGGATGCTATGATTAAGTCACTCATTTCTTATGCTGCATTCATAAAGGTGGAATTCCTAGGTTGAAAGGCAAATACATGTAAAGGATTTTGTTACAAATTGGTAAATTAACCTCCGGAAAGTTAGTAACAATAGGATCTCTCTTCTCCCAGACAACACTAGGTATCACCATGGTCATAGGTAATGGACTTGCAATTGCAACTTTACTGACTCCTACTCATTCATTAGGTAGAACGAGGCTCGCCAGGGTTCTATGGCATCCTGCTGACCCAGGTCTTCTTCCAGAATACTCTCCGCAACCCCCACTCTCATCTTCCTAGGAGACCACCAGGACTAGGTCTGCCACCTATCACATCCCTGGTTTTGTCAGTCACCACAAGAAGCCAAAAGCTCCCAAGAGCTACCATCTGGCTCTCATCCTCATATAAACCCATATACCTGCTTTTCTGACCCCATCCTGATTCCCATCTGCACTGTGCCCTCTGGAGCTTAGAGTCCATCAACATCTTCTTCTTGAAGTATTGCAAGAGCTGCTTAACTAGTGATCCTGCTTCTATCTGTTCCCCAACTGTCAATTTCTCAACTCAGCAGCTAGAGAGATTTTGTAAAAATGTGAATCAGGTCAGGCCATTCCTCTTCAAATCCTTCATCTTTCCATTTCATGTGGAAGAACATCCAAAGCTGTTGCCAAGGCGGGATAAAGTTCTAAGCTCACTTTCTGATCTCTCCTACCGTACTAGCCCAGCCTCCTTGCTTCTTCTTGAACAAGACAAATACATTCCCACCCCAGGGCCTTGGTGCTTGCTGTGGGCTCTGCCTGGCATCCTCTCTCTCTAGCCATCTGCACATCTGACCTTTTTACTTCCTCAGGTCTTTGATATAATGTCATTTAATCAGAGATACCTTCTCTGACCATCCTATAAAAGTGACAACCTCATCAAACTAGCACTTTCTATCATTCTCACCTTACTTAATTATTCCTATAGTATTCATCACCTTCTGGCAGAATGCATATTAATGTGATTATTCGTTTATTGTTAGCCTCTTCCCACTTGAATAGAAGGCCCAGGAAAGCAGAGACTCTTTGATTCACACTGAGTCTCTACCATCCAGTGCTTGCATGTAGTGAATGTTTACTAGATGACCAAATAAATCTACAAAATAATACATAGCTCCTTTATTTAGTGTAATCAAGCTAATCTTCCTAATAAGTGCCAGCTACTGGTATTGTTGTCTTCCTGATCTGCAGAGCCTCTATTTTTTTTTTTTTTGAGACAGAGTCTCACTCTGTCACCCAGGCTGGAGTACAGTGGCATGATCTCGACTCACTGCAACCTCTGCCTCCCGGGTTCAAGTGATTCTCCTGCCTCAGCCTCCTGAGTAGCTGGGATTACAGGCACCCACCACCATGCCTGTAGTGTAAATAATTTTTGTATTTTTAGTAGAGATGGGGTTTCACCCTGTTGGCCAGGCTGGTCTCAAACTCCTGACCTCAAGTGATCTGCCCACCTCAGCCTCCCTAAGTCCTGGGATTACAGGCGTCAGCCACTGCATCCAGCCCACAGCCTCTTTTGGATCAATGCCCAGTGTTCTGATTTTCAACTCCTCCCTTCAGCACAAGTGGCTTTTTTGGCACTTGGTCAATGAGTGGGAGGGATGGGTAGGATTACATAACCCAGCTGAGACTGGGTCATGGAGCCTCAAGTCCACAGATGCTGGGACATTTACTGGCCTCTTCTACTGAAGTCTGCAGCTGATGGACTCATGGTCAGCTTCCTTACCTAGTTAAGTTTAGACTTGGTGGTTTTCTCTTGCTGAGTCAGCCATGCTCTGGTTTTCTCTGACACTGACCTTGGTTATGTTTTCAATCCAGCTCCTTGCCTGAGTCATCTATGCCTTGATCTCCATGTTGAGGTAGCTTGGTGGCCACCCATGGTGGTTCCAAGTAGGTTCAACTGGCTCCCACCTTCACGAAACTCACCAGGTGTGCAGAACTTTTGGGTTCTTTCCATGCTACATCGGAACTGAAGGGTGTTGGGAGGGTTCCTGTGGTCTTCTCTCTACTTAATTGCCTTTCCATTTTCACTGGCTCCAGCTCTCTAATGTTAGTGATAGACAATTTTCCATGGCACTCTTCTCTAAGAATTAAAATTGGGGATGTAGGGGCACAAGCATTATCCATTTTCAGCATTCCTCTCAGTCCCCCCTCCAACTTTAGGATTTCAGTCCCTAGGAACCCCCGCTTTAAGTTCAGGCTATCTATATCTCATGTCTCCTCCTCTGAGTACTCCCAAAGGGGAAGGCTTTGTCTCCCGTTAGAGGCCAAGTTCTGTCTTCAGTACCACTTTAGAGCCTGGATGCAGAGCTCACGTTTAATGGATATGTTTATGGCAACTTTAGAAATTTCAAAAACAATTTCTTCTTGAGTCAATAAACTTTGAGACCATTTTCTTGAGGCCAGAGTCTCAAAAAAAAAAAAAAAAGAAAATAATTCTTATAGTCAGAGGCTAAACATAGATAGCTGTCTTTTTTTTTTTTCTAATTCATTTGTAGAATTCCTAAACTTCCACGAAGCAAATGGGTGATGTTACCAGAATGGGTGTGGAAGGTGGGGGTGAGGTGGGGAAAAGCAACAGAAGAACATGTCATTGATATGTTTCAAATAAAATTAATCTCTGTACATCATTGAAAGAGAATCAACATCTCATTGCCACTGGTAAAAAAATGAATGGCTTCATGCTCTACATTTCTTGGATTACTAGCATGAGTGTGTACAGTTTTGCACTTCCCTTACTCTTTACTGTGAAGTGCTTTTTCATGTCCTTTGTCTTTTTTTTTTCAATGGAGTGTTTGCTTTTCTATTACTGATTCATGTGTGATTTATACACAGTAAGGGGCTAGTGCTGCCTCATAAGTTCTTTCTTAGATGAGAAATGCCTTTCAATCTTGATCATTGTGTTTTTTGACAAACGAATGTTTACAATTTTTACGTAGTCAAATCTATCAGATTTCCCTTACACTATCACACTTGGATTCCAACTTAGAGAGTCCTTCTCCACTCCAAGTTTGGTAAATATTGACCATCATGGTGAACCATGGATACAGGCACGAGGTGCTTTCCTGCTCGACCCTCTCCCACCCGTGTGACCTTGGGTAAGTCACTTCGGCCTTCCTGAATCTCCACTTCCTTAGAAGTAAATGGGATACAAATTGCACTTACTTCAAAGAGTGGTGGCGAAGAGTAAATGAGAAAATGCATAGAAAGCATTTAACTCGGCAGCTGGCTCAAAGCAAGGATTTGTTGGAGACAACAAAGGTTCTAAGTGGCTGACTTGTGTTCAACTGTGTTTTAGGAAAAAATAGGAACATGTAAGCACTGGAATCACTTTTAGCAAAGTGAAAGACCCTGAGGGAACACAGATGAAGGTTCACGGCTGAGTTCTGCATTACGCATAGAAAGCACAGTGCCTAAGGCAGGTGATACCTTTAGGAGACTGAAAATGTTTGCGTGTATTTTTTTTTTAATCAGAAGAAAAAAGTAAATATAGTAACAATGCATATTTATTTATTTATTTATCTATTTTGAGACAGGGTCTCTCTCTGTTGCCCAGGTTGGAGTGCAATGGCACAATCTCAGGGTACTGCAACCTCTGCCTCCCAGGTTTAAGTGATTCTCATGCCTCAGGCACCTGGGTAGCTGAGATTACAGGTGCGTGCCACCACGCCCAGCTAATTTTTGTATTTTTAGTAGAGACAAGGTTTCACCATGTTGACCAGGCTGGTCTTGAACCCCTGGCTTCAGGTGATCTGCCTGCCTTGGCCTTTCAAAATGCTGGGATTGCAGGCATGAGCCACCATGCTTGGTCTAGTAACAATGCATATTTAATAATGAACCCAGCCTAGATGATATTTGTCTTTATATCAGTGAATGATAAAACACAACTATTAATATTTTTTTTTTATGAAAGAAGGGGCCTATGAAGGCTAGAGTGGCCAGGGCCCATGGCAGTCACAGTGCAGCCTGGGTGGCACGGCTACCCTGCTCTCACTTAGGATCACATGCTCATTGATGAAAGTGGCAGGCAGAATCACCTGGAAGGTTTGCAATGTTATTTCCTCTGCCCACACCTTAGCTGAGTATGTTTGAGCCTATGTAGGTTAAATGATGCAATTATTGGGATATGACATACTATTCTCTGGTATTTTGTTGTATTGTTAATTAATTAATTAATTAATTAATTAATTTATAGGCACAGAATCTCCCCTTGTCCCCCAGGGTATAATGCAGCCACATGATCATAGCTCACTGCAGCCTCCAACTCCTGGGCTAAAGCAATGCTCCTGCCTCAGCCTCCTGAGTAGCTGGGACTACAGGTAGATGCCATCACATTTAACTATTTAAAAATTTTTTTTTCTTAGTGACAGGGTCTTGCTATGTTGCCCAGGCTAGTCTCAAACTTCTGGCCTCAGGGGATCCTCCTGCCTCAGCTTCCCAAAGTGTTGGGATTACAGGCATGAGCTTTCACTCCCAGCCTGGCATTTTGTATACTAGGAAGATTGAGGCAAAACCTCTTCCTGTATGAAAGAGGGATTGGCTAAGGATGTGATGGAAATGAGGAAGAATGATTTACACAGGTTTGGGCAAGCATAATTGTTTTCTTACAAAGATACATGCAAACAATGACTAATGTCATAATAAGATGCTAATTTTATAATAAGATGCTTTGGCATCTTATTATAAAATCAGCACCCTTTGTGGTTTTGTTGTATTTCATAACTTACATTTTTCCTATTTCAGACTGGTTATCTCCTGCAATCCAATTAATATAAATTATTTCATTAACATTGAAACATGTTATTTATTAGAAAGGCAAAAGTTGGGGAGGGGTGGAATTAGCCTGGAAAAATTAAAACTATGTTCACACAAAAACCTGTACATAGTTGTTTATAGTAGCTTCATTCATAATCACCACACATGGGAAGTGAACCCAAAATCCTTCAGAGAATAAATGGATAAACAAACTGTGGTGCATTCATGCAATGGAATACTACTCAGCAATAAAAAAGAACAAACTATTGAGACATGCAAGAACATGAGTAATTTCAAAGGCATTGTGCTGAATGAAAGAAACAAGTCTCAAAGGTTAGATATATGGTATGACTTCATTTATATGACATTCTGGAAAAAGTAATAACTAGAACTGGTATAGATCAGTGGTTGTCAACAGCTAGGTATAACTGAAAAAGGGCAGCATAAGGGAGTTCTTAGGGGGATACAAACTTTCTGCATCTTGATTGAGCATGTGATTATACAAATCTATATGTGTATTAAAACTCATGGAACTGTGTACCAATATAGGTCCATCTTACTGTATGTAACTAAAAACAGTATCCTATGTATTTTAGAAAGTGTGTGTGTGTGTTTGTGTATGTGGTGTGATATGGTTTGGCTGTGTCCCCACCCAAATCTCACCTTGAATTGTAATAGTCCCCATGTGTCAAGGGCTGAACCAAATGGAGATAACTGAATCATGGGGGTGGTTCCCCCATACTATTCTCGTGGTAGTGAATATCTCTCATGAGATCTGATGGTTTTACAAATGGGAGTTCCCCTGCACAAGCTCTCTTGCCTGCCACCATGTAAGATGTGCCTTTACTTCTCCTTTGCCTTCTGCCGTGATTGTGAGGCCTTCCCAGCCATGTGGAACTGTGAGTCCATTAAAAATTGTTTTCTTTATAGATTACCCGGTATCAGGTATGTCTCTATTAGCAGCATGAGAACACACTAATACAGTAAATTGGTACCAATAGAGTGGGGTGCTGCAGTAAAGATACCTGAAAATGTGGAAGCAACTTTGGAACTGGGTAACAGATAGAGGTTGGAACAGTTTGAAGGGCTCAGAAGAAGACAGGAAGATGTGGGCAAGTTTGGAACTTCCCAGAGACTTGTTGAATGGCTTTGATAAAAATGCTGATAGTGATATGAACAATAAAGTCTGAGCTGAGGTGGTCTTGGATGGAGATGAGGAGCTTCTTGGGAACTGGAGCAAAGGTGACTCTTGTTATGTTTTAGCAAAGAGACTGGCGGCATTTTGCCCTAGAGATTTGTGGAACTTTGAACCTGAGACAGATGATTTAGGATATCTGGCAGAAGAAATTTCTGAGCAGCAAAGCATTCAAGAGGTGACTTGGGTACTGTTGAAAGCATTCAGTTTTATGTAGTTTTGGAATTGGAATGTTTAAAAGGGAAGCAGAGCATAAAAGTTCAGAAAATTTGCAGCCTAATGATGCAGTAGAAAAGAAAACCCATTTTCTGGGGAGAAATTCAAGCTGGCTGCAGAAATTAGCCTTAGTAATGGGGAGCCAAATGTTAATTGCCAAGACAATGAAGAAAATGTCTCCAGGACATGTCAGAGGTCTTCATGGCAGCCCCTCCCATCGCAAGCCAGGAGACCTAGGAGGGAAACATGGTTTCATGGGCCAGGCCCAAGGCCATGCTGCTTTGTGCAGTCTTGGGACTTGGTGCCCTGCATCCCAGCTGTGGCTAAAAGGGGTTGATGTGCAGCTTAGGCCATTGCTTCACGGGGTACAAGCTCCAAGCCTTGGCAGCTTCCACGCGGTTTTGAACCTGTGGGTGCATAGAAGTAAAGAACTGATGTTTGGGAACCTCCACCTAGATTTGAGAGGACGTATGGAAATGCCTGGATGTCCAGGCAGAAATTTGCTGCAGGGGTGGAGCCCTCATGGCAAACCTTTGCTAGGGCAGTGCAGAAGGGAAAGGTAGGGTTGGACCCCCCACACAGAGTCTCCACTGGGACACTGCCTAGTGGAGCTGTGAGAAGAGGGTCACTGTCCTCCAGACCCCAGAATGGTAGACCCACTGACAGCTTGCCCTGTGCACCTGGAAAAGCTGCAGACACTCAATGCCAGCCCATGACAGCAGCCAGGAGAGGGGCTGTACCCCGAAAAGCCACAGGGTTGGAGCTGCCAAAGGCCATGGGAGCCTACCTTTTGCATCAGCATGCCCTGGATGTGAGACATGCAGATAAAGGAGATCATTTGGACCTTTATGGTTTGACTGCCTCACTGGATTTTGGACTTGCTTGAGGCCTGTAGCCCCTTCATTTTGACCAATTTCTCCCATTTGGAGTGAGTGTATTTTCCCAGTGCCTGTACCCCATTCTGTCTAGGATGTAACTAACTTGCTTTTGATTTTACAGGCAGAAGGGACTTGCCTTGTCTCAGATGAGACTTTGGACTGTGGACTTTGAGTTAATGCTGAAATCATTTAAGACTTTGGGGGACTGTTGGGAAGGTATGATTGGTTTTGAAATGTGAGGACATGAGATTTGGGAGGGGCCAGGAGTGGAGTGATATGGTTTGGCTGTGTCCCCACCCAAATCTCACCCTGTATTGTAATAATCCCCACATGTCAAGGATACGGCCAGGTGGAGATAATTGAATCATGGGGGTGGTTTCCCCATACTGTTCTTGTGATAGTGTATAAGTCTCACGAAATCTGATGGTTTTATAAATGGGAGTTCCCTTCCACAAGCTCTCTTGCCTGCCACCATGTAAGACAAGCCTTTGCTTCTCCTTTGCCTTCTGCCATGATTGTGAGGCCTCCCCAGCAATGTGGAACTGTGAGTTCATTAAACCTCTTTTTCTTTATAAATTACTCAGTCTCATGTATGTCTTTATTAGCAGTGTGATAACAGACTAATACAGTGTGTGTGTCTGTGTGTGTTTACAGGGGGCATTATAAAAATGTTCCTGACACTTAAATGTATATAATATGGTAGATCTTAGATTTAGTTTTCTCTTTGGCTATCGTCTAGCTTTCTGGGGAGCTTTTTAACACTACAAATATTGGGATATGTGGCCAAATCCTGTTTTAGGAGGCTTAGGGTGGGGTCCTAATTCTGTGTGTTTTGATTTCCAGGGAACATCCAGGGCTAAGGATGACAGACCTGGGGACCCATAAAGTTGAGGAGACCTCAGATCAAAGGCTTGTATTAACCTCAGATCAAAGGATTGTTCATTGCTGCACCATGTATGATAATAAAATACCAGAAACAACCTAAAGACCAATCAGTAGGTGACTGGTAAAATTAATTATGGCCCATCTGTACAGTGCATTATTATACACCAACTAAAAATGATGGTACTGTGCAAGCTTTTTACATTCATGATTTTATTTAATCCTTACAACAAATCTGTAAGGTAAGCACTATTATTATCATCTCCAGTTTTTGTATGAAGAAACTGAGAATCACAGAAGTTACTTGTTCAAAGTCACAGTACATGATCATGTCAGAATTTGAATGCAGGGCCTTGGACCCTGAGTGGGTGGGGATTTTAGTAACCATGCCCTGCTTCTCTCTGAACCAAACATGTCATCTAGTTTTCTCTTCCTGGAATGCCTTTCCCTTCTCTGCTCTTTGCTTTTTCATCTCCTGTTTATCCTTAAGATCTTATCTCAAATGCCACATCCTCAGGCATGAGTTCCTGAATTTTCTGAGTAGCTTACATACCTTTATTATTTTCTCCTAGTATGTGTACTTCTAATTACAGCCTGGATATTTCTGATGACTTATATGATCATTGGATTATTGTCTTTCTCCCACTATGCAGGAAGCTCCCTGAAGGTAGGGTTCTTATACATTCTTGTACTCTCATCTCTCAGCACAGTGTCTGCTGCATAGCTGTCACTCAATAAATATTTGTTGAATAAATTAAAGAGGAACAGAGAAGTACTCAAGCCAGCTCAAGAAATGAGTAGCTTGTTGTAAGTTCATGACTCATGAGCATCCCATACAGTGACTGCAGAGTTTCAGGAGATGTGGTTATTCTTCCTGCCTCTCCATGGCTGAATAGTCACAAGGTTCCTGCTTTTTCCCTTTGCATTTGCTCCAATTGTTCTTGTTCCTTATGGACAGCTTCCTTTGCTTCAGCTTGTTCCTGTCCAGTAATGATTGCCCCATCTTTTCTAAACCAGGCTTTCTGCTTCTGAAGCTGCTAATGATCAACCCTTATTCCCAATGCACTAAACCCAGCTCACCATCTCAAGCTGGGCCACGTCAGTCATAGGCAGAGCCAGCCTATGGATGAGTCACACTGGTCCTGATGGAGGTAGGTGAGGGAATGAGTCATGCAGAGAGAAATGTAGACATCCAGCAAAGCAGAGTCTGTGACCAGGACAGCCCTCTGCCTGAAGGAGATATGGGTTGTTCAGATACCCTGAGATGTAGTCATATCATCTGCTAAAAATCTCAGTCTCTTAAAATTTCTCATCCCTGTTTTGATAGCGTATACCTTTTACTGTTCAGAGAGGAAAATAAAAGGGAATCTGAACTCAAAAGATGACATAAGAAAGATGTACACTTTCTGTTCAATATCTTCTGGTTATTTTTGTTGTGGCTATTATTCTTTCACAAGGGTCGCTTCACATTGTGCCATCTCACTTTGCACCTTGGCTTAGAAGAAATTCATCGTGGTTGTCAGTGTTATCTTGGGGTTTCTTGAGCTCAAAAGATGATGCTAACCAATTTACCTTTTGAGTAGAATCATGGTCTCAAGCCTTACCCTGGTAAGCTTTCCTTCTGGATGAGGCTTAGACAGGGAGATCTGTAGGGAGCTCTCTGGGCAACTACCTGGGTCAAGAGTGAAATAGTCACGAGACCTTCACAGTGAAGTTGTAATATCAAAACGACTAGTTTGTGTAATTGACTATGGAAATTGGTCAATTCAATTAAAAATAGTCAGTGATTCTAAGTTGCATAATTGGAATCTTATTCTGCAAGACATGGGCTTCTTTAAGAACATTGAGTAACAGTTTTTCTGAGTGTCACTAGTTCCTTCAACACCTCATGAAATGGGGTGTGTGCATGCATGTGTGTGTGATGGGGCTTGAGGATAGGAAGGGTGAAGAGGAAATACCTTGTCAGTGCCATCCTGCTCCCTTGCAACTATCAGGCTATTCCTGTAATTTTTTGACTCTTTAAAAAAATTTTTAGCTCATTTAAAAAAATTAAAATGTTTAAATATATTTTATAATTGCAAAAATAATACAAGCCTGTTGTAATTTCAGGCCCAAATCCACTTCCTAGGTGCCACTTGTAACAGTTTGACATGTCCTTAAAGAATTTTTCAATGCACATATAAACATATACTAATGACATTTATTTTTAAAATAATTATACTACAACTTTTTTGTCATATTAATATAGCATCTTCCCATCTAAGCGTATATCATTCTACCTCATTCTTTTCAATGCTACATAAAATTCCATATATTCTCCAATTTATTTACTCATTTTTCTATGGTTGTACACTTAAGATGGTGAT
This sequence comes from Homo sapiens, assembly GCF_000001405.40. Classification (NCBI taxonomy): domain Eukaryota; kingdom Metazoa; phylum Chordata; class Mammalia; order Primates; family Hominidae; genus Homo; species Homo sapiens. Next base: position 56,090,592 of record NC_000020.11, on the reverse strand, counting down.
TCTTTGCAGAAAGAGAAAAAAAAACAGGCTGCAATAAATGACTGGTGTGTGTGTGTGTGTGTGTGTGTGTGTTTACATGGACTTTTAAATTCTTCCTCATGCTTCTATATAAATGAAAAATTTCACTTTCTTATGAAAACCCCCAAAATAGGGCCAATAGTTCCTTATAGAAGTTGATGCTTTCTGAATAGTTTCTTTTTCCTTTTTTTCCAGTTAATCCAACAACGTGTAGAGTTTATTCCTTAAGTGAAGTGGGCATTGTGTGAAACATTCCATTGCTTAATTACCTCTGAATCACTTGTCATAGCCCTAATAAAAATGTACACCCATGGCCGTGAATGCTTAATCACATTTGCTGGAAGGAGAGTAAGCTATTGAGAGAGAAGAACAGGAGGTTGTTAAATGTTGGGTCTTGTTTAGAATATAAAACACTTTCTCCACACTGGCAATGAAGTGCCTCGCCTGAGACCTGTGGGTTGGGAGTTACAGAGCTGGTACTGGTGGTCTCCAGAGAATCCCAGGCCCTTGTCTGAACATGTAGGGCTTGGGGGTTGGAGACTGGAAGAGGGGAGTGTTTAATTTTACAAAAGTATTCTGCTTCTTATAAAAGATCAGCCTCTGGCCTTCTTTCAGATAACCTGTTTAATTAAGTTCAACAAATACTTACTGAAACCCTACAATATGCACATTCTTGGTACTGAGATCAACCGGTGATCAAAGCAGATAAGAAACGTACCTTCATGGAGTTTGCATGCGAGTAGCAGGGCACAGATTTGAACAAAGCCACTAATAAAGATACAGCATCAGAGAGGCCAAGAAATACAGTGTGTAGAGGCAAGTGACAGAGAGGGGTGGGATGGTTGGTGGTCAGGGAAAGGCCCTCTTCAGAGGAGCCAGCGAGTAGGGTTTAAATGAGGTGAGTAAATGGGCCAAGCAGTATCTTGGGACAGATCATCTGTTTAGGACCAAGGATCATTCATTAATTCTCCTGGTGAAGATGCTGCCTTCGCAGACTTGATCTTGGGAGTTTCTTCACTTCATGGCGAGCAAAATTTTTGAGAGATTTCCCAATAAGTAATCCTTGTTGTAGCTTTGCTATCCAGCATTAAGTACTCAATATCTACACGTAGCTAGTAGATACCATATTAGACAGCAAATATAAAGAACTTTCTATCTTTGTCAAAAATTGACAGTGTTGTACTAGAGGATTTTTAATGGTTAGATGCATTATTGCCAATAACAACAATACTGATGATGGTATGTAATGGTAATTCATGATACTGATATTATTTATCATTTACTAGGCATGTAATATATGCACTTTACATATATTATCTTATGCCAACCTCATCAAAACCCCATTTAAACAGGTAGATTTACTCTCATTCTACAAAGAGAATTCTCAGAGGGTTGAGTAAGTTACCCAAGGTAGTACTGCTAATAAATGGGGGAACTGGGGTTACAACACATTTTGGCTGAAATGAATGCCCATATTCTCAGCCACTGTAGTATGTGGCTTATGCTGCTTTTAGATCCATGGGATAGTTCCCAGAGCTGAAAAAAATTCCCAAAAGGGACAGACAGGATGGCTTTTAGTAGGGAGATGACTCTATTCTATTATGGAATAACTGGAATACTCAGTTGACATATCAACCACTTTAAACTTCTCTGCAGCTAAAAGTCTAATGAAAATTTCAACTGGTGTCCCCTTCTCAATATACTTTGTTGTTGTCTGTTGAAAACTTGTAACTGTACAAATGTACAGTGTCTATAGAGTAATAGGAGTCCCTGCAGTTGTGCAAGAAGCAATCTGAACAATGCTAGGTGGTGGCTAAGTTCTATGTGGTCTTTTGTTAAGTGTAGGGAGACTTTAAGACTTCCTAAAAGTAAGTGACTGAAGCTTGTCTAAGAAAAAGTAAAATATTTAACAGGTGCTCGTCAGTGATTCCTGCAGAAACCACCCACACATGCTGATATTTCAGGGCTGGGACTCATTCCCACTCTACAGGCTCTTGATGGCATGACTCAGCTGTCATGAGGCCCGAGACATAACTTAAAGCATAATTTGTCACTGCAGCCCACAGTCAAGAAATATTAGGGCTGAGCAGATCCGGAGTAAGGAAGATGGAGGCAGGGAAGGAGAGGAGGAAGAGAGAATAAGCTAGAACAAGAAGCCTAGTAATTGTAATGACAACCACCATTCGTTGAGTCCCTGTTGTTTACCAGTCACTGGAGAAGTTACTTTACAACAATCTCATAAGGTAGGTTTTGTTACTTCAATTTACAGATGGGAAAGTAAACTAATAGAGTTAGTGCAACAGCAAGCAAGTGAACCTAGGTATTCCTGATCCCAAGATTATAGTATTTCTTTGAGTCAAATCAGAGAGGCAGAATGTGCTAGAAGGTGAGTGATCAAAGCATAGAGTTCAGTTGTTGGGAAAACCAATCAGGGGCCCTTATTAGAAATGAGTAGAATAGGTAAAGTTGAGACAAGGACTTCTACTTCCAACTAAGATGAAGGATTTTTCTTCCTGCCCGAAATAAGCAAAAAGGAAACAAAATATATAAAACAATAGGTTTTCAAGACACTGGACATCAGACCACGAAGGACAGTGATCCCTGACAGATGGGAAACAAAAACCGTGAGCCCTACGTTTGCTTCAGAAACCTGCAAACCTGAGAGAGTTTCCAGATTGTGGCACAAAAAAGGAACCTCGGGTGGAGCCCAGTGAACTCCTTGAGTTGAGGAGATGGAAATGAAAGTTTAGAGAAATCAGGGTAGGAGAATTTGTAAGAAGTGGGAGAGCACTGCATAGAGAAGAACTGCAGAGATCTGCAGAGGGTCGCTTTTGAGTATTCAGCTGAATACTGATCAGCACATGCATATGACTAAACTACCCAAGGTCATGGAAAAGACCACAAAAAAAAAAAAAAAAGGTGAGAGATAACAGGACCTGACATTTATATAGGGCCAGAGATGGTGCTTGCTCCCACCAGTGAGATGGGAAAACCCCATGATTTAATGAACATCGGTAGAGTACACAGAAGGGTCTTGCTTCAATAGTGGGGAATAATCATCTCAAGACTGAGCATTGCTTACATCTCATTTAACAAATCTTAAAATCTAGACATGAAAGGATCAAACTGTTTCCAAGTAACTAACTGCATCTCAGGACAAAGCTTGAGAATATCAGAAAGAATAGAAGAATAGCCAGCATTCCACAATAGAAAATTCATAATATTTGCATCTAATAAAAATTGCCAAGCATGCAAAGAAGCAAAAAACCCCTATAACCCAGAATAAAATTTAATCAATCAAAATGGATCCAGAACTGACATAGAATTATCAGAATTAGAATTATTAGATAAAGGTATATTAAAATAGTTATTATAACTGTAATGTATATATTCAAAAAGTTAAGTAGAGGCATGGAAGATATTTTTTAAAACATCCAAAATATATTTTTTAGCTGTATAATTATACTGTGTAAGTTGAATTTAGTAATCTGGAAGACATAAAAGTAGAAATTATACAAGATGAAATACAAAGAGAAAAGAGAATTTAAAAAATAAACAAAGCATAAATGAACCATGGAACAACTTCACATGGCCTCATATATATGCAATTGGAGTCCTAGAGGAAGACAGAGATGGACAGAAAAAGTATTGGAAGTAATGATGAATGAAAATGGCTAAAAACTATAAATTCACAAATCTAATCATTTCAACAAACTCCAAACACAAGCAACTTAAAGAAAACTACACCAAGTTATATCATCATCAAATTGCTGAAAACTATTGTTAAAGAAACCTTAAAAACAGCAGAGAAAAAGAGCATAATGTAGAGAGGAACAAGTATAGGGATGACAGCAGATTTCCTGCTGAACAATACAAGTGACAAGGCAGTGCAGAAACATTATTAAAGTCCTGAAGAGGGAAAGTGTCAATCCAGAATACTATACCTAGAGGAAATATATTTCAAAAAAAGGGCAAAATAAAGATGTTTTTAGACATGCAAAAGCTGAGAGAATTTGTTACCAGCAGACTACTAAAAATGTAAAAGGAAATTCTTTAAGCAAAAGGAATATAATAGCAGTTGGAAATAGGAATGCACACAGAAGAATGAAGAGCACCAGAAATGGTAACTATATGAGCAAATACATAGAGTTTTAAAAAATTATTTAAATGTCTTAAAAGACAATTGACTCTTTATACAAAAATAGTAACAATGCAGTGTGTGTTTTATGTCATATGCATGATTAAATGTGTAATGATAATGCAAAGGTTGGGAGGGGAAGAATAGAATTATACTATTGCAAAGTTTTTATACTGTATGTAACATGCTATAATACCATTTGAAGGTAGACTGTGAGAAAATGTATACTATAAACCCTACAATAACCACCAAAATAACAAAACAAAGAATTATACCTAATAAAATGATAAAAGAGATAAATGATATAAAGTATTCAATTAACCTAAAAAGGCATAAAAAGAGAAAAAAACCCAAGTAATATGTGGGACAACTAGAAAGCACATAGAAAGGTAGATTTAAATTTAGCAATATAAATTATCACATTAAATACAAATGGTCTAAATATCCCAATTAAAAAACAGAGGTTATCAGATTGGATAAAAAAGCAATGCCCAATTACATTCTGCCTACAGAATTGCACTTTTAATATAAAGATACAAACAGGTTAAATGTAAAGGGATGGAAAAAGATACACAATTCTCATGATTTGAGGATTCCATATTTGTGAATTAGCTTACTTGGTAAGATTTACTTGTAACTTCAAAATCAATACTCTTGGTGCTTTTGTGGCCATCTGTGGAGATGCACAGAATAGCAAAAAATTTGAGTCACCTAACCCCCGACTACTGGCTGAGAACAAATAAGGCAATACTTTGTATTCTTGTTTTAGCTTTTAAAAAGAGATAACCAGAGGATAAAGAAAGTAGGGGATAGTACAGTGTAGTGCAAGAACACTCTTGGGTCAGTTGAATAAAATTTGAATCCTAACTGTCACTTGTTAGTGAGACAACCTCAGTTAAGTCACTTAACACTTTTGAACCTTATTTTCTCTTTTTAAATATCAAGCAAATAGAATACATCATGATGAACTACTTTTAGGATTTAAGATTATAATTTATATGAGATATGTATATACATATTTCTTTTAGGTGCAATGGTTCAATATTTGCTACTTCAGTGTTCACAGTGACTTTATAAAACACAGCTACCACAAATGATAAGAACAGACTGTACTATACTAACACCAGTCGAAAGAAAGCTAGAACAGTTATATTAATGAAGAAAGGTAAATCTCAGGTCAAAGAATATTACTAGACAGAAAGGTTGTAATTTCATAGTCATAATGGAGTCAATTCTTCAAGAGAATATAACAGTCCTGAGGGTTTATGCCCTTAATAACAGAACTTCAAAATACCTGGGCAATAACTGATAACATTATTAAAAATGTACACATCTGCAACTATAGTCAAATATATTAAATAACTATTTCTCAGTAATTTGTAGACTAAGTAGACAGAAAATCAATAAGAATATAAATATCTGAACAACACTATCAACCCACTTGACCTAATTAAGTTTTATAAAATGCTCCACTGAGTGGAGGTAGAATATACATTGAACATTTATCAAGATAGACTGTATTCTGGACTACAAGGCAAGATTTAATAAATTTACAAAAGATTTAAATCATGCAAAAATATGAAAGTAATTTATAAATCAATAACAGATTTCTGGAAAATCTCCAAACAAGGTAACACACTTTTAGACAACCCATGGGTCAAAGAAGAAAACAAATGAAAACTAGAAAGCATTTTGAACTAAATAAAATAAAACGCAACACATTGAATTTACAATATACTGCTAAATAATACTTACGGTGAATTTTATAGTACTAAATGCTGATATTAGAAGAGAAGAAAGGTCTTGAATCAAAGATCACAGCTTCCAGGTTAAGAAACTAGGGAAAAAACCCAAATTAAACTCAAGATAAGTAGAAAAAACATTAGAACAGAAATCAATAAAATAGAAAGCAGAAAATAAATAGAAAAAATAAAACTAAAAGGTGTCTTTTTGAGAAGATTAAAAAATTGATATGTGTCTAGTGAGGCTGACTAGAAAATAAAGATAGAAGACACAAATTACCAATATCAGATGTGAGAGGTGACATTAATGTAGATAATACAATTTTAAAAGGTTAATAAGGGAATATTATAAACAACTTTATGTAAATAAGCTCAACAACTTAGATAAAATGGTCAATATTCCATGAAAGACATCAACTACCAAAGATTACTCATGAAGAAATATATAACCAGAGTATCCCTATATCTATTAAAGGAATTTAATTTGTTGTTTAAAAACGTTCCATCAAAGAAAACTTTAGGTCCAGATGGTTTTGTTGAAGAATTCTACCAAACACTTAAGGGGGTAATGATGACAATTTTATACAAACTCTTGTAGAAAACTGAATAGGGAGAACTATGTCCCAACTCGTTAGATGAGGTCAATATTAGCCTATATCCAAACCTAAGTAAAATATTACAAGAATATAAAATTATAGATAAAAATATTTCATGAACACAAATAAAAATTATAAACAAGATTTTGACAAGTGAAATTTAACTAATATACACATATATACACATGTATGTGCATACACACACATACACACACACATCATGATTAATTGGGATTTTTCCCAGAAATGCAACGTTGCTTCAATACTCAAACTTAATTGATGTAATTCACCATATTATAAAATAAAAAATAAAATGTGAGCATCTCAATAGATGCAGCAAAACGCATTAAAAATATTCAACATTCATTTTTGATTTAACCTCTCAGCAAACTCATAGTATTAATGGAAGGAAACTTCCTCAGCCTAATAAAGGACAGTACAAAAACCTACAGCTAACATCATACTTAATGTTGAAAGATCAAATGCTTTTCCCTAAGATCAGAAACAAAGCAAAGATGTGTACTCCCACCACTTTTATTCCACATTGTATTAGAGCTTCTAGCCAATAGAATAAGGCAAGACAAAGAAAGAAAAAACTTCCAGATTGGAAATGAAGAAGCAAAATTTTCTTTGCAGAAGACATGATTATTTATGTAGAATCCAGAAAAAAGCATCTTGAACTTGTAAATAAATTTAGTGTACTTCAGATTTGAGATTAATATAAAAAGTCAATTTGCCACAGACAATTGGAAATCTCAATTAAAAAAATACAATTTACAACAGTATCACAAACATGAAGTACTTGGGAATAAATATGACAAAAATGTAAAGGACCTATGAATTGAAACTACAAAAATAAAGGACGATGTATGAAAACTATAACACATTTCTGAGAGAAACTAAATTCTAAATAAATGGAGAGAGATGTCCATGGGTTGAAAGATTCACTTTTCTAACTGGTGTGAGATGGTATCTCATTGTGGTTTTGATTTGCATTTCTCTGACGGCCAGTGATGATGAGCATTTTTTCATGTGTTTTTTGGCTGCATAAATGTCTTCTTTTGAGAAGTGTCTGTTCATGTCCTTCGCCCACTTTTTGATGGGGTTGTTTGTTTTTTTCTTGTAAATTTGTTTGAGTTCTTTGTAGATTCTGGATATTAGCCCTTTGTCAGATGAGTAGGTTGTGAAAATTTTCTCCCATTTTGTAGGTTGCCTGTTCACTCTGATGGTAGTTTCTTTTGCTGTGCAGAAGCTCTTTAGTTTAATTAAATCCCATTTGTCAATTTTGTCTTTTGTTGCCATTGCTTTTGGTGTTTTGGACATGAAGTCCTTGCCCATGCCTTCACACCAGTTAGAATGGCAATCATTAAAAAGTCAGGAAACAACAGGTGCTGGAGAGGATGTGGAGAAATAGGAACACTTTTACACTGTTGGTGGGACTGTAAACTAGTTCAACCATTGTGGAAGTCAGTGTGGCCATTCCTCAGGGATCTAGAACTAGAAATACCATTTGACCCAGCCATCCCATTACTGGGTATATACCCAAAGGACTATAAATCATGCTGCTATAAAGACACATGCACACGTATGTTTATTGCGGCATTATTCACAATAGCAAAGACTTGGAACCAACCCAAATGTCCAACAATGATAGACTGGATTAAGAAAATGTGGCACATATACACCATGGAATACTATGCAGCCATAAAAAATGATGAGTTCATGTCCTTTGTAGGGACATGGATGAAATTGGAAATCATCATTCTCAGTAAACTATCGCAAGAACAAAAAACCAAACACTGCATATTCTCACTCATAGGTGGGAATTGAACACTGAGATCACATGGACACAGGAAGGGGAATATCACACTCTGGGGACTGTGGTGGGGTGGGGGGAGGGGGGAGGTATAGCATTGGGAGATATACCTAATGCTAGATGACGAGTTAGTGGGTGCAGCGCACCAGCATGGCACATGTATACATATGTAACTAACCTGCACAATGTGCACATGTACCCTAAAACTTAAAGTACAAAAAAAAAAAGATTCACTTTTGTATAAGATGTGAATTCTCCCCAAATTGATCTATATATCCAATCTGATCTCAATTAAAATCCCAGTGAGAATTTTTTTCAACTTTTATTTTAGATTCTGGGGCTACCTGTGCAGGTTTATTACCTGTGTATATTGTGTGATGCTGAGTTGGGGTATGAATGATCTTGTCAACCAGTTACTGAGCATAGTATGCAACAGTAAGTTTTTCAACCCCTGCACCTTCCTTCTCCTCCCTGCCCCACCAGTAGTCCGCAGTGTCTATTGTTGCCATCTTTATGTCCATGAGTATCCAATGTCTAGCTCTCCCCTATAAGTGAGAACATGTTGTATTTGGTTTTCTGTTCCTACATTAATTTGCTTGGGATAATGGCCTCCAACTGCACTCATGTTGCTACAAAGGATGTGATTTCTTTTTTTTTTATAATGATTGCATAGTATCCCATGGTGTATATGTAGCGCATTTTATTTTTCCAGTCCACCATTGATGGGCACTTAGTTTGATTCCATGACTTTGCTATTGTGAATAGTGCTGCAATGAACATGCAAGTGCATGCTTCTTTTTGGTAGAAGGATTTGTTTTCTGTTGGATATATACCCAGTGATGGGATTGCTGGGTTTTGAATGGTAGTTCTGTTTTCAGTTTTTTGAGAAATCTCCAAACTGCTTTCCACAGTGGCTAAAAAAATGTAAATTCCCACCAACAGTGTATAAGCATTTCCTTTTCTCCACATCTGTTGTTTTTTTGACTTTTTAATATAACCATTCTGATGGGCATGAGATGGTATCTCATTGTCATTCTGATTTGCATTTCTATGATGATTAGTGATGATAAAAATTTCTTCATATGTTTGTTGGATTTTTGTATGTCTTCTTTTGAGAAGTCTCTGTTCATGACTTTTGCCCATTTTTTAAACATGGGGCTGTTTTTTTCTTGTTCTGTTGTTTAAGTTTCTTATAGATTCTGGGTATTAGAACTTTGTCAGATACAGAGTTTGTGAATATTTTCTCCCATTCTGTATGTTGTCTGTTTACTCTGTTTACAGTTTCTTTTGCTGTGCAGAAGTCCTTTAGTTTGATTAGGTCCCACTTGTGAATTTTTGTTTTTGTTGCAATTGCTTTTGAGGACTTAGTCATAAATTCTTCCCTAAGGGCCATATCCAGAATGGCATTTCCTAGGTTTTCTTCTAGGATTTTTACAGTTTCCAACAAGAATTTGGATAGAAATCAATAAGCTGATTCTAAAATTCATATGGAAGGACAAAGGATCTAGAATAGCCAAAACTACTTTGAAAAAGAAGAAAAAAATTGGTAGATGAATTTTACTTGATTTTAACACTCATTACAGACCTATAATAATCAAGACAGTGTGGTACTGGCTTAAAAGATAGATAAATATGTAAATGGAACAGAATAGAGAGTCCAGAAATTGACCCTTACATATATAGACAACTGCTTTTGACAAAGGTGCAAGACAATTCAGCATAGAAAGGATATTCTTTTCAACAAATGGTGCTGAAACCATCGGCTATCCACATGTAAAGAAATGAACTTTGGTTCATATCCCTAATCATATAAAAAATTACCTCAAACAGAATCTTAGACCTAAATATAAAGCCTAAAACCATAAAAAGTCTAGGAAAAAAGCCATAGGAGAAATTCTTTGAGACCTGATTTGGGTAAAGATTTGTTAGACACTAAATCAAAAGCATGATCCATAACAAAACAAATTGATAAACTTCATCAAAATTAAAAATATCTCCTTTTTAAAAGACACTGTAGAAGAATAAACAGACAAGAAGCACACTCGAAGAAAATATTTGCATATCGTATATCTGATAAAGAACTTATATCCAGATTATATCAAAAACCCTCAAAACTCACTAATGAGAAATCAAGCAACCCAACTAAAAATAGGCAAAAGATTTGAAAAGAGGCTTCATCAGATAAAAAATATATATGACAAATAAGCATCTGAAAAGATGCTCAGCATCATTATTTGTTAGGGGAATTAAAATTAAAATTATATTGAGATACCACTGCATACCTAGTAGAATGGGCAAAATCAAAAAGACTGACCAAGCCAAGGATTGGTGAGGATGTGGAGAAACTGGGAAGAAACACACATTATTGAAGGGAGGGTAAAATGGTACAACCATGTGGAAAGCAGTTTGGGAGTTTCTCAAAAGTTAAACCTACAGGAACCATATTTAGCCATGTGCCCAAGGTAAATAAGAGCATGTATTCATACAAAGATGCACATATGAATGTTCATAGCAGCTTATTTTTAATAGCCCCAAACTGAAACAACCCAAAAGCCAGTCATCAGGTGAATGGATAAACAATCTATGTTTTATTCACATACTGCTACTCCTCAATGACAAAGAATGAACCACTGATACCTGCTACAACCTGGATGAATCTCAAAATGGTTATGCTGCATGAAAAAAGCCAGACCAAAAAAGAGTACACATTGGATGGTTCCATTTATATAAAATTCTGTAAAATGCAAACTAATCTATAATGACAATGCAGATTAACGGTTGCACAAGGATGAGATAGGGAAGGAGGTGACCGTGGTAGGGATTACAAAGGAAATTTATCTTAATTATGGTGATGGTATTTTTTTTTTTTTTTTTACAGGTATACACGTTTCAAAAGTTATCATTTTTTTTTTTTTTTTTTTTTTTTTTTTTTTTGAGATGGAGTCTCACTGTGTTTCCCAGGCTGGAGTGCAGTGGTGCGATCTCGGCTCACTGCAAGCTCCGCCTCCCGGGTTCACGCCATTCTCCTGCCTCAGCCTCCTGAGTGGCTGGGAAAAAGTTATCAAATTTTATACACTGAATGTCTGCAATGTATTTATGTCAAATGTAACTCCTAAAGCTGTTGAAAACAAAAAGACTTGAGTTGGTCAACAGGATTCTACAGACCAAGACTGCCACTTCTGATCTTGGGAAAATTGTTGTTTTTAAAAAAGTGTCAATGATCATCATCTCCATCCACATAGTACTTATAATATGCCAGGCATTGTTCTAAATGCTTCACAACTATTAATTTATTTAATCCTCATAACCACCCAGAGGTAGGCACTATTATGGTCCCCATTTTACCTCTGACGAAATTGAATCATCATAAGGTTAAGTAACTTGTCTAAGGTTTCAGAGCCAGGAGTGGCAAAACTGGAATTTGACCCACAGCAATCTTGCATCCGTTTCCATGTTCTTAATTACTGGAAGTAGGTGATACCTACCAGAAGTGCAGAGGCCTGCAGAAAGAGTATACTCTTGGGCGAAGCTGGAGCAGGAAGAATTTCCCTATGTAAATATGATTCTAAGCTTTAGTTTTGGGAAAAGGAATGAGCTGTAGAGAAAAGCCCGCTTCTTAAGGCAGAAGTGGAAATTTGTACAGCTGGTATAGGCTACTGGTTAGGTTTTTGTTTTCTTTCAAAAACATTTTAGTTAGGTTTCATCTCTTATTGAAAATCTTTCCTTATTTCAGTCCAACTCCCCTCCTTCCCATTTAGGCCTTCCTCTGTACTCTCAAAGCTCTAGTGCTAATCAATATCACAGCATTTATCCTTTAAGGTTGGAATTATTGTTTTTGTTTCTTTTCCTAGTCTGAAGCCTCCTACAAAGTAATAGTAAAGCTAACATGATATGACACTGCCACTATTCTAAGTATTTTACAAATATTAACATATAATATTTGTCCAACGCTGTGATGGGTAGTATTGTTATCCACATTTTGCAAATGAGGAAAGTTAAGTGATGTCACAGAGTAGTGAGTGGCCAAATGAGACCTTTGCTGTCTGGCTCCAGGGATGAATTTCTAGTAATAGTTTGGAGTTGTCTCTTCCTGTCTTCATATTTCAGAGCCTCGCACACAATAGGCACTCAACGTGTACTTAGTGAACTCAACAGAGTAATGGGTCACCATTCATGTGAGGCTACCAATTTTCACTGGTGTCTAGACACACAGCACCATTCAGCTGAACAGAACACAGGGTTGTGGAAATGGAAAGATAAAATAAATGAGGAAATTAAATATTGATGAATACTCAGAATAGAAGGGTTAGGGTTTTGAGAGAACATGGGATCTTCAGGCCGTGTTTTTTATTCTTCTTTGCTGTGTCTGGCTTTCTCTTTCCTATGAATAAAGTCTCAACAGCTGAGAATAATTCATACTTTATTTAAAATCATTCTGTGTGCACTGGCTGCGGCACTAATTCTCTCATTACACTCCGGGTTTCTTTTCAGTCATCTTCTAGGTAGATGAGTAAAATTCTTCACTGGGGCCAAAGGTTGGATTCCCCCTCTAATGATAAGATTTCCAGGATACATGACTGATCTCCAGCCTGTAAGCAGTGGCCACACTTACTTTTTGTTCCTGTATAATTGAAATCTATCAGTTAGATACTATTAAAGAGCCCAATGCAAATTGTAAAAATTTTTTTTGCAGGAAATGAGCCTTTCCCCTGAAATAAAGAGTCTCCTACTTTAATACTGCTGCTTTGTACTGTAATGATCCAGCCTTAGCTGCAAGAAGCCATTTGCTGCGTTACTTAGAGGCAGTTTACAAAAGGGTTTTGATCTCTGCCTTACAGCTTTTAAAGCCGAGGGGAACCTAAGTAGAATGGAACTTAAATAGGGTGGGTTTGAAACACAGTCCCCTCTCCTCTCGGATTCAAAATCTGCCCTAGTGTAGGCTTGTTTATTTTTATCACACAGGACCTGAGTTAGAGTCCTCTGGTTGTGTTGTAATATCCCCTCATCTTCTATTACCACCAAGCAGAAGCACCTAGATATCTTCAAACTTCCTTGAAACTCCATTACATGCAAATTCATTATAAATGGTCTCAGGAACAAGAAGGAGGCAGAAACCCAACAGACAGAGCAACCAATCAACCAAAAGCCAAACAAATAAAATCAACAGAAAGATTTGAGGGGCTGGATCTGACCTGAAAAGGCTTTACTATTTACTTCCCACAGTGCAGTTTGATCACCTCAGACATCATGATTTTAGACTGCAGTTGTGGTGAAATGATCAATTATGCAGGTGTTCTAATGCAATTAAGCCTCATTTACTTTGTACTTTACATTCATTCACTGGAGCTGAGGCTGTCTAAGCTCTCTAAGATACAGGATTATTTTAGATATTTATAATTTTTATACATGTCTCCTTTGAGAATATTGTGAAACCCTAGATATATAGAATTGTTTAAAATCTGCTTGTTTATTTCAACTGGGGAATTTTCTTCATGATTAAATGATTCATTTTATTCAAGGCTTATGACCGAACTTAACTAAGATTTCTATGTTCCAGTTATTAAAGCAGAAAATTCAAGTGTGAAAACAGCTAAAACCCAGCCAGGCATTTGCAGTGGTATTAGAATATCTTGTAGCCATCAGTAACTACTTACTTAAATGAGAAGCTGGGAAAGAGAAAGCCAAAGGACTCCGATTAGCTTTTCCTTGCAGGTTGAGGTAAAATTTCCTGCCTCTGTACCAGGAAGTTGTACCGGTTTCCCAGAATGCATCACTTAATCAGAGACACTATCTTTGTTTCCATTTCTGACATAACAGCTATTAGAGGGAAAGGGCTGTTTTTGGAAGCCAGAAAAGGATATCCCATTACAATAGAAGAGGATACAGACCCTGAGACCCTCTCTGAGACCCTTGCAGCTCAGCAGCATCAATTAGTGATGCTTCTTATTATGGTGGCTGCCTTTTTTCTTCTTTCTTTCATCCTTTTCTCTCTTTTTTTTCACTCCCTTCTTCCCCTCTCTTCCCCATCTCCTTCATTCCCTTTCCTTCCTTCTCCTCCTCTTCTCTAATCCATTCATTGCACACTTAATTATTAAGCTCCTACTACATCCCAAGAACTCTTTAAATGCTGGGATATAGTTAGTGAATGAAACAAAGTCCCTGCCCTGGTGGAGCTGACAGTCTGGTTAGGGAGACAGATAATAAGCAAACAAACAAATCAATACATAATAGAATGGCAGGTACTATGAAGAGTGAATTAAAAAAAAAGTATGATAAAGTGGGAGAGGGACGAGGTGCTCTTTTAGATTGGTGTTTGCAGAAAGCATCTCTGATGAGGTGAAATTTGGATACAATGGTGTATTAGTCCATTCTTGCACTGCTAAAAAGAAATACCTGAGACTGGGTAATTTTTAAAGAAAAGGTTTAATTGATTCAGTTTCCCAGGTTGTACAGGAAGCATGGTGGCTTCTGCTTCTAAGGAGGCCTCAGGAAACTTACAATCATGGTGGAAGATGAAGGGGAAGCAGCACGTCTTACATGGCAGGAGCAGGAGGAAGAGAGATGGGGGAGAGGTGACACACACTTTTTAACAACCAGATTTCGTGAGAATTTACTCACTGTCATGAGAACAACACCAAAGGGATGGTGCTAAACCATTCAAGAGAAACCTGTCTCCATGATCCAGTCACCTCCCACCAGGTCCCATCTCCAACACTGGGGATTAAAATTTGGCATGAGGTTTGGGTGGGGATCCAGATCCAAACCATATCAAATGGAGTGAGACATCTGAATGTCTAAGGGAAGAATATGGCAAGCAGGGAGCAAGGACATAAGTGGGAGAAGAATAGAGTCAAGGCTCAGATTATATGGGTCCTTGGAGGCCTTAAGAAGAGCTTTTGCTTGTATCCTAAGCATGACAGAAAGTCGTCTAAGAGTTGAGGGAAGAGAAGTGAAATGGCCAGGTTCATATTTTAAAAGGAACAGTTTGGGTGTTGACTATCAAGGGTGCATTATAAGCATGGTGCCCTATGCCATTCAGTCATTCAATCATCCAGCCTTTACTGGGTGTGATGTTACTTCAAGTCAGGCACTCGGCTAACACAGGGGCTGTAAAGTAGACAGAATATGATCTCTTCCTTCACGAAGCTCAGAATAGGAAAGATCTCTCAACTATTTAAGTGTATCCTCAAGGTCTACTTCCACTGTCCACATGGTGATTTCTCTGATTTTTTAATGTATCAATCTAGACACTGACTCTAGAAACTCTGCATTCTCCCAAAACAAGCCATCTACAACAGAAACATTGGTAAACAATGCAAAACTTACTTAAGATTTCATAGGCTAGATTTAAGAAAGTGTTTACGTCAACACACTTTCAAGATCTTTGGATCTCATTATACTTTTGTGTGGCCTGCCACAGTTTCGTGGATGCTAGCAGAAGACATGAAACTCCTGGGTCAGAGACAAAAGGCATTTTGTTATTCATAGCAATAATAATTGTCAGAGTATCAGCATCTTTTTTTGTTGCCTGAGCCAAATCCCACAGGGTGACACAAAGAGAGCCAGATAACATCTGCACATGCAGCACATTGGTTACAAGAGAAGAATACCAAATTTAGGAAACTTGAATTTTTTAGAATTTAGTTTTTTAATTTTTTTAGAGATGAAGTCACCCAGGCAGGAGGCAGTGGTGTGATCATAGTTCACTATAGCGTTGAAGTAATCCTTCCACATCAGCCTGCCTAGTAGCTGGGACTACAGGCTTCACCATGCCACCATGCCTGGCTTTTTTTTTTTTTTTTTTTTTTTTTTTTAGTTTTTAAGAGAGAGGTTTCCCTGTGTTGCCCAGGCTAGTTTCGAAGTCCTAGTCTCTCAAGTGATCCTCTTGCTTCAACCTCCTGAGTAGCTGGGATTATAGGCCCAAAACACCATGCTCAGCTGAAACTTGAATATTTTCTAATGGGCAATAAGCCTGCCAGATATTTGCCTTGGGGTAAACATTGTCTTTTTTATATTAGAAATGAACAAATCTGCCATTTGCTCTGGAAGGAGACACTGCCTCTAACTTCCAAAGCTCTTTGCTATACAAGTGTCCTTGGAAAGACAGTCTGAGACAAAGGTCAGTGCAGAAACAGAAGAGACCAATGGAGAGCTAGCCTTCCATCACATGCCTGATAATAAATTCCTCAAAACCTTCACTACATCTCATTGAGTTCCATAATTTCTCTCTCCTATATCCTTACTGGCATTTTTCTTTCTTTCTCCTTCATGCTTCCTTTACAGAGCATTTGGTCTTTTTTTTCTGTTATCTGAGCAGTTCAGCTTTACTACCAAACTTGAATGCCCATATTTCTACAAACCCAAAGTCTCCGATTTTCCTTAGAAGGTGGTTTCACAGTCTTTTCTTAATAACCTAGAATGCTCTTTGGGGTTCATCGTTTATTCAAGTGGCTAATGAAGGTATCTCGTCCAAATCTATACTTCTCCCCATAAGAATGTAATTCTAGCATGCTGTGAATGTTCTTATAAAAAGTCTGTCCTGGGTATAGTGAGGATGTGAGTTAAGAGAAGTCAGTTTTTCCAGAGTGAAGAGAATGGGAATTGGTGTGGATGATTTGCAAGAGGAGAAGGAGCCATAGTGTTTGTAATGATTGCTTACATACTTCCTAATTTTCTGCTTCTTGATGTATCTTAATCTACTTTACCATTCTTCAGTGGTTGGGCATTTGGATGAGTTCCAGTGTCTTATAGTTGTAGAGAGCAAAGTAATCATGTCTGCAATATTACTGTGTTGTGAACATTATTGAAAGTGTGCTGGGTGCCTGACCTGGTGTTATTCTGGAGTTAATGAGGTAAATAAGGCATACCTTTATTTTCAAAGAGCTTATAGTCTAGTGGAGCAGACAAGCTTATGTGTGCAAACAGATCACTGACTATCATAGAGAGACTTAGTAAGTACTTGTTGAATTAATAGTTGCTCAATGAATGGGCCAAACTTATGTTCAGTGTCTATTGGATTCACTGGGGTGAGCTCCCGTGGAATGATGGGCTTCAGATACATGCTGAGTCTGGAGGATGGAGGAGGGAAAGGGGAGGCCCACTAGGCAGGATAAATGGAGAGAGTCAGATGAAGAGGTGAGAATATGTGGGATGGCTTTGAGAAACAAGTTAGTAATTTGGTTGTGGAGAGAAAGGTTGGGGAGTGTGGTTTGAGATCGAATAGTGGTGGACTTTGAATAATAGGCTTTGGTCTTTTGAATGATGTGAGGAGCCCCTGAAAATTATTATTTCCAAGGAGGCATGACATACTTTCTCAGATGTGGTGCATATTTGAGATCAAAAACTATTAATCTAATGGTTTAAAATACAAAATGGGAAATTCTTTGTGGCCTGATTGTAACGACATAGGGGAAGTTCAAATTGCATGTGTTTTAAATCTTTCTAGAAAGCAGAGTAGTAAGTCTTAAATAATCAGAGAACACTTTTTGGGGAGTGAAATCACAAAAAAATTTCCTTAACATAATGCAAATCAAACCTCCGTGTTCTAGGGAAACACTGGCAGAGAAGATACTTGAGAGGAGTCGGAGAGCAGCTTTTCTTTCATTGGCTTTGTGCTCCCATCGTAGTGTTTGCCTGTGTGTATTTGTGTGCTTCTATTCACGTGCAATCTAGAATTGATGAAGATTTGCTCATTAATCAACGAGTCTCTTTGGATTTCATAACCACGTTTGACTTTTACCAAATTTGTTATTTCAAAGCAGTAAGCCCAGTCTGTCACCACTTTCCCACACTGGCTCCTGTGATCAAGAATGAGTTAAGCATAGGAATGATTCTCTAATGTGGCATCTTATGGTGTGACAAAGCTAAAAAAAAAGGAATTTATATTCAGACAGACTGGGTCCAAATTCCAGCTCTTTTATTTACTAGGGATGGGACTTGGGCCAAGTTACCCAATAGCTTTGAACTTCATGTTTTCCTTGGTACAAATTATACAAAACACAACCCAATTACAGGATTTTAAGAATTAACTGGGACAAAATTTTAGTGTGTAATGGCCTCCATCCCTCCCTTCTTTGTATTCTCTTTCCATTCTTTCCCCTTCAGTAATTGTGTTAGTAACACAGTTACAGAGAATTTTCTGGGACATTTACAGACTGGCCTGAACCCTTGCACCATCCTATGATAGTTTTTCTTCTCAGGAGTGGAAAGTGCGTTCTTCAAACAGAGCATAACTGCTGTTGTGCTCCATTTTGTTTCCTACAGGACATTCAAAGGTCTGCACTGAAGAAAATGAATGCCCCAATTCCTCGGGTGAAAGCCTCTTTTGTTTAGAAATATAACATTCTTGCATCTCTGTAAATAGTAGAACCATGTCCCAATAATGAAAATGAAGTTGGAATCAGAATCCACCCTGGGCTC
Organism: Homo sapiens; assembly: GCF_000001405.40. NCBI lineage: Eukaryota > Metazoa > Chordata > Mammalia > Primates > Hominidae > Homo > Homo sapiens. Next base: position 56,071,863 of record NC_000020.11, on the reverse strand, counting down.
ACAGTTACTTTCCTTAAAAGACCAATCAAAAAAGATCAGATCATCACAACCCTCTTGACTGGAGGGTTTGCCTGGTTAACCCTAGACCAGTTTCTCAACCTCAGCACTGTGACATTGCGGGCCAGATAATGCTTTGTTGTGGGGGCTATTCTGTGCATTGTAGGATGTTTACCAGAATCCATGGCCTTTACTCGTCAGATGCTGGTGGAACCCTTTCTAATTCTGACAATGAAAAATGTCTCCAGACATTGGCAATGGCCCCTGGCAGGCAAAATAACCTCCCTGTTGAGGACCACTGGCTTAGAGGTTTAGCTGTAGATGATGGGGAAATCCCCTCGGTCCATATCCCCACTCTACCTCCACCAATTAGCAATTGGGTTTCAGACCACTGTGATCAAAAGGAATCTCACCTATGTGAGGAGGGCTAAAAGCGGTGTACACTATACAGAAAAATGAGCAAGTGTACTTCTGTGATCAGTCTTTGCCTCTCTGTTTTTTTCTCCCATACTCTGTTTAAATTACTCAAAATCTAATATGGTTTAGAGAGAGAGAGAGAGAGAGAGGGCATACTTAAATTTGGAATACTTCAAATTAGGACCTTCTTTGCTCAACTGGTATTATAGTATAGAGTTACATATTTTGATTGCCTACAAAGACAGAAAGACCAATATGTACACATACTTCCATTGTATAAAATAAATTGTATTACTGGCACAAAACTGCTTCTAATGTATATAATTTATTAATTTTAATTAATTCTCTTCCTAGCTTATCTTGCAAATGGCAATGGAGTTCTCTGTCCCCAGTCTCTTGGAAGCATGAACTTACTTTACCTTCACATTTATGGCAGAAAATGTTAACTCACTGTGTGGATGGTTCCTTCCCAACTCAGCAGTAATGGAATGTGATCTCCTGATCCTCACATAAGCACTGAATACAGATTCTCTAAGCTGCCTTGAACCTTTAAGAATAATGCCAAATTATACCTAGTCTGTAAATAGAAGATGAGAGTTTTTTTCCCCTCCAGTTGCTTTCCACAGACTTTAATATACGAGTGAGTGATTTATAACACTAGTGACAAAGCTGCAACACAGCTTGAAATTTTATATAACAGCTGTAATACCACATCTATCATAATGAAAAATGTCTATGAAATCATTTTCTGCCAAAGAACATCTTCCTAGATTCTATTAACAACTTGCTATCTGCATGAACACCACATAGTGCTGAAATACATCGCTTTAAAATGGCCCTTGGGGGCGGGGCCAAGTGTAGTCTTTGGAGTGACTAAAATTCCAATCAGTCGTAATCAATTAAGATGTTGTTAGTGGAACTCTCCATAGAAGGAAAACTAGGAGGGTAGAGAAGATGGTGGGGAAATGCATTCTTTCGTAAAAAAAAACCCTAATTTTGTCAGGATATTACTGTTTGGCAGTTGGATGGATTTAGATTCTATTGTGCTTTCAATTCCTGTCACATTTACCTAGGAGCTATCAACTTCTTGCTGTGCCCAATTTTTAAAAGAATATAATAGTCCTGCCTGCCTATTATTACTGTGTTCTATTTGTAGTCATCTCTGCTTCAAGGAAAGGAGAAGAACTTCACCTTGATTTGTGCCCTTGTTCAACAAAATCTTTTGCAATAGCCAGACACGTTTCCTCAGGAACTAAGACAGCTTGAACTAAGAGGCTTTCCATTCATGGAAGCCTCTCACACTGTTGTGTAGAAACTTCTATAAAGCCTGTTTTCTTTGCCACCACCTACCATCAAAGAGCTCTGTATGGAAGCTGGTGGTATGCAGATACGTCTTCTAAAAATCACAGCAAAAACGTTCATGGACTGGCTATCGTTTGACACAAGTTTCCATTCTCTTCTAGTTTATGATGCAAACTAGTTTTAAAATATTGATTTTAGAATGTTTTCTTCATAATTCTTAATCAGATACATTTGAAAGAAAGAATTTCTAAATTGTGAGTTTTTTTTTTATTTTTAAAAAGAATATCTCTGCCAGGTATGGTGGCTCATGCCTTGTAATCTCAGCACTTTGGGAGGCTGAGGCAGGAGGATTGCTTGAGGCCAGGAGTTGGAGATGAGCCTTGGCAACAGAGAGAGACCTCATCTCTACAAAAATTAAAAAATTAGCCGGGCATGGTGCATGCTTGTATTCCTAACTACTATGGAGGCTGAGGTGGGAGGATCACTTGAGCCCAGGAGTTTGAGGCTGCAGAAAGCAATGACTGCACCACTGTACTCAAGCTTGGGCAACAGAGTGAGACCCTGCCTCTATATGAAATAAATATCTGAAGTATATGGAAAATTGCATAGGCATGCCAGTTTGACATATTTCAGCTCAAAGTATCACCCTTGTAATTCTAAAAATATAATAGTCTGGGCTTGGGTTTAGTGTGCAGTACAACCATTTTGGTAGCTCTCTCTCTTTCTCTACAACTCAGTTTTCTTATCTGTAAAATGAGATATCTGCATTGCTTGCCTCATACTCCTCAACTGTGATAAAGTATTTGAAAATTGTTTGAAAAATATGAAGTGCTGTTTTGATGCAAAGTATCATCATGAGGATGATGCGTGAAGAATTGTTCTCAGTGTTCCAGCATCCTGTTGGTGCAGACCTCAGTATATTTGACCAAAGGGTTGCCCTGTCCTTGGTTCTGAATAGCATCTGCCAACAAACACTGCCAACAAAACACATCTTTACAAGAATGCTTTTAACTGAAGACACCAGTAAGCCCCATGTTTTTTGTTTTGTTTTTTCTCCCTGGAGAAAGTTACTATAGTTTTTTTTCTCCATCTTGATTTTTGCATTTCCATTTATTAAATACAGGCTTGAAGTAAATAGAATTATGAGCTATTTCACTATTGTATATGTCATATTTACTTTTTGGCAGTTATTCCTTGTTTTTAACAGTTACAGATTTTTGCCTGAATATTTGGGGACAGGTACTTGCCTCTCCAGCCATTCCCAATCCCTTGCTGATTTCTGAATGTGAAAAGGGCTGTCACTGAGTGTCACTAATTAGAGAAATTTCTGGAAATCTAAGTCAAGAAGGAGAGTGAGCATGCATTTGGTACCTAATCTCTGCCATAGGATCTGTTGAGAATCAACACATTCTATTTCATATATACCTCATAACAACCCTGGGGGGAGGTTTTAGCATTCTCATTCAATAATAGATGCAACTGGCCTCAGTGAAATTAAATAATGCATCATTTGTCATGTAGCTGATAATTAAACTTAGGTCTCTATTGCTTAACATGCAGTAGTCTCTCTAGTACACCAGCTTGGGGAAGGGTAACATTTTGGGATAGGGTCCTGAAATTAGTCCGTCTACTTCTGTGGCTGTGGTTACAAGTCTCTTGGTCACTGTCTGGGGATAGCAACTAGTAGTAGGTAATTTGCCCTGTGAGCTCCAGTTATTTCCTATTTCCACAGTAGATGAGAAACACAGTCAAGTTGCTGCTAATTATTAATGGCCCCAAAGTCACATAATAATCCTGCCTCACCTTGTACTTGTGATTTGTAAATTCAAAATTGATTTTTCATATGTTACCTCCTTTGATTTTTGCTGCACCTGTGAGGCAGGGATCATGGAAAGCATTGTTCTCCATTTTCCAGAAATGGAGGCAGATCTCAAGCTAAGTGACTTGCTCAAGTGGCTATGAATCCTCCAGAGTCCTTTATGAAACCATACTGCTTCATAGTATGAAGATTGTTAGTGTTCTCAAGTCCCCAAGTCCCTAAAATATGATTTCAAGTTCATTTTCATACTCATTCTGGAATATCTGTACTTTCTTTAGTCTCAATGTATTGTCAAATTTGTTGTACTGCCTGAGAGTCCCCTGTAAATGGGTACTGTGGACACGGCCCCTGCTGTAAGTCTGACAACCAGATTATTGAGCAAATAGGACTCCTCATCCCTCAGAAGAGAAAAGAGAAGGACAATCAAGTTAACTTTGCATGACCTTGTTTCATATGTTAATTTTCTTTCAAATGCCAGTTCTAGAAAACTTTTTGGCATTTTTACATTGATTGGGTAGTATTGCCCTGTTTTAGAACAAAGAAATCACAAAATTCTATGCGTATATTTATTTATACATTGTATATACAAAGACACATGAATATAAAGTATTCTCTAACTTGTGTACTTTACATTGTGTCATAAGTATTTCCATGTGTCATTACAAATTGTATGAAAATGTGACTTTCATTGGCTACAATAATATTACCTTAAAGGGATGTATTGTTATTTGTTATTTGTTTATGTTTATGTTGTTAGATATTTTAGTTGTTTTCAATTTTTAATGAATTTTTAAACTCTAATATGTTGGTGCATTTCTGATTATTTCCTTAGAACAAATTCTAAGACATTTAGGGGAGAAAAAAAGAGATCGGAAGAAAACACACTAAGAATGTTAACAATGGTTAGGTAGTGAGATTGCAAATATATAATTATGAGGCCTTCACCATGGTCGCAACACAAAACTTTTATCCTGAAAAGGTCCCATTTGGAAATAATCTCCCCTACTCTCAGCCACAGGTGATTATGAATTTGGGTTTTTGTCACTACAGTTTTACCTTTTCTAGATTTTTGTATCAATGAAATTACACAGTATGTAGTCTTTTGCACCTGGCTGCTTTTACTTAGTATGCTGCTTCGGAGCCTCATGCATGTTGGTGTGTGTATGAGCAGTTAGTTCTCTGTATTCCTGAGTAATACTCTTTTGAATGGTTACCTCACAATGTATTCATCCATTCACCCATTGATGGACATTTGAGTTGTTTTCAGTTTATAGTTATTATGAGTAAAGCTGCCATGCACGTTTGGATACACATCTCTACATAAATATAGGTTTTGACTTGTCTTAGGTAAAAGTCTTAAGATTGCTGGATTATGTGGATAGTTTCGTTACAAGAAACTGCTGGTCTGTATTAAGAAAATGTGGCACATATACACCGTGGAACACTATGCAGCCATAAAAAATGAAGAGTTCCTGTCCTTTTAGGGACATGGATGAAGCTGGAAACCATCATTCTCAGCAAACTATCACAAGGACAAAAAACTAAACACCGCATGTTCTCACTCATAGGTGGGAATTGAACAATGAGAACACGTGGACACAGGAAGGGGAACATCACACACTGGGGCAAGTTGTGGGGTGGGGGGAGGGGGGAGGGATAGCATTAGGAGATATACCTAATGTTAAATGGCGAGTTAATGGGTGCAGCACACCAACATGGCACATGTATACATATGTAACAAACCTGCACGTTGTGCACGTGTACCATAAAACTTAAAGTATGATAATAAAAAAAAAAGTAACTGCCAGTCTGTTTCCCAAGGCAACTAATATTTTGCATTCCCACTAATGCTACATGAGAATTCGAACTGTTCCATAGTCTTATTAACACTTGCCATTAGTCTGTTCAATTTAAGTCTAAAATTTTATTTGGTGTGAAGTGATATCTCATTATAATTTTGTATTTTAAATTTATTACATTTTTAGTAGTATTTTTTCCAATGTACAATTTAGTGAGTTTTAACACATTTCCTTAATGAGTAATGATGTTGAATGTCTTTTTATATTCTAATTTTTTATTCATATGTTGTTTTTAGTGTGGGTAACTATTCAAATTTTGGGCCCATTTTTAATCTGTTTTTGATCTTCTTATTGTGGAGTTGTAAGAGTTTTTAAAATATATTTTAGATGTAATTCCTTTATCATATACGTTTTGAAAGTATTTTCTCTTAATTTGTGGTTTGCTTTTTCATTTTATTAATAATATCTTATGCAGGACAAAGGTTTTAATTTTGATGAATTCAATTTATCAATATTTTTCATTTCCAGTTCATGCTTTTGTCCCATCTAAGAAATCTTTTCCTAACTCAATATCATAAAAATTATTTCTTGTGTTTTTCTACTTGAAATTTTATCATTTTTCCTCTTACATTTAGGTCTGTGGTCCACTTTGAATTATTTTTTGGGTGTATTGTGAGGTAATGAATGAGGTTTTTTTAAAAAAATATAGGTAACTGATTGTTACAGTACCATCTTCAAGAAAAGATAGTTGAGAATTATCTTTTTCTATTGAATTGTACATTTGCTGATAATCAATTGGCTTTATATGTGTGAGTCTATTCCTGGAATATTTATTCTCCTTCATTGGCTTTTATGTCTATTATTAAAGTGATGCCACACTATTTTGATTATTTAATTCTATAGTGCGTTTTGTAAATTCCCTAACATTTTTATTTTTACAAATTATTTTGACTATTTCAGGTCCTTTGCATTTCCATATAAATTTTAGAATCAGCTCATTCATTTGCATAACAACTCCTGCTAGAAATGTGATTGGAAATGCATTGAATATATAGATCAGTATGGGGATAACTGACATCTTAGCAACATGGAATCTTCCAATCCATGAGCATTTATGGTGTATCCTTCTGTTTCTTTAGGCACTCTTTAATTTCAGTCGCAATGTTTTGCAGTTTTTAGTACAAGTCTTGCTACGCGTTCTTAAATTTATTACAAAGTGTTTCATATTTTTGATGCCATTTTAGTTTGTACTTTTACATTTTCAGTTTGCAATTGTTTAGTCCTAGTACATAGAAATTTAAGTGACTTTTGAACATTGGCCTTGAATTCTGAAAACTTGGTATCCTAAACTCACCATTATTAGTTCTAGTAGCTATTTCTGGTAGATTCCTTAGGATTACTACTACGTAGTTTGCCAATAAACAGATTTTTACTTCCTCCATACACATTTTATTTGTTTTTGTTGTTAGGATTGTCATCAACATTAGGATGACAAGAATCTCCAGTAAAATATTGAATAAGGGTGATGACAGAAGACCTTCTTGCCTTGTTCCTGAAATAGAAGTTAAATGTTCAGTCTGTCAACATTTCAGTATGATGTTTGTTGTACGTTTTTCACATGTGCCTTTTATCAGGTTAAAGAAATTCCCTTTCTCAATGGACTGAATGTGTTCCTTCCTTCCTCAAATTCATATGGTGAAACCCTAATGCCAATGTGATGGTATTTGGGGATGATGTTTTTGGAAGGTGATAGATCATGAGGACAAAGTCCTCATGAATGGGATTAGTACCCTTAAAAGAACATGCCAGGGAGCTAGCTAGCTCTCTTTCTGCCATGTGAGAACACAGTAAGAAGATGGCTGTCTATAAACCAGAAAAAGTCAATCCTGCTAGCACTCTGATCTGACTTTCAACCTTCAGAACTATGAGGGATGCATGTTTGTTGTTTAAGCCACCCAGTTTATGATATTTTGTTATAGCAGCCCAGGCCGACTAAGATGCTGTGATGCTATTTCCTCTTCCTCTTCCTTCTCCTCCTCTTCTTCCTCTTCCTCTTCTTCTTCCTCTTCTCCATCTTGTTCTGGGATACATGTGCAGAACGTGCAGATTTGTTACATAGGTATACACGAGTCATGGTTGTTTGCTGCACCCATCAACCCGTCATCTACATTAGATATTTCTCCTAATGCTATTCCTCCCCTATCCCCCCACCCCCTCAACAGGCCCCGGTATCTGATATTCCCCTCCCTGTGTCCATGTGTCCTCATTGTTCAACTCCCACTTATGAGTGAGAACATGCAGTGTTTGGTTTTCTATTCCTGTGTTAGTTTGCTGAGAATGATGGTTTCTAGCTTCATCCATGTTCCTGCAAAGGACATGATCTCATCCTTTTTTATGGCTGCATGGTATTCCATGGTATATATGTGCCACATTTTCTTCATCCAGTCTATCATTGATGGGCATTTGGGTTGGTTCCAAGTCTTTGCTATTGTGAACAGTGCTGCCTATGTGTCTTTATAGTGGAATGATTTATAATCCTTTGGGTATATAACCAGTAATGGGATTGCTGCGTTAAATGGTATTTCTGGTTCTAGATCCTTGAGGAATCGTCACACTGTCTTCCACAATGATTGAACTAATTTACACTCCCATGAACAGTGTAAAAGCATTCCTATTTCTCCACATCTTCTCCAGCATCTGTTGTTTCATGACTTTTTAATGATTGCCATTCTAACTGGCGTGAGATGGTATCTCACTGTGGTTTTGAATTGCATTTCTCTAATGATCAGAGATGATGAACTTTTTTTTCATGTTTTTTGGCCACATAAATGTCTTATTTTGAGAAGTGTCTGTTCATATCCTTCACTCACTTTTTGATGAGGTTGTTTGCTTTTTTCTTGTAAATTTGTTTAACTTCCTTGTAGATTCCGGATATTAGCCCTTCATCAGATGGACAGATTGCAAAAATTTTCTCCCATTCTTTAGGTTGCCTGTTCACTCTGATGATAGTTTCTTTTGCTGTGCAGAAGCTCTTTAGTTTAATTAGATTCCATTTGTCAATTTTGGCTTTTGTTGCCATTGCTTTTGGTGTTTTAGTCATGAAGTCTTTGCCCATGCCTATGTCCTGAATGGTATTGCCTAGGTTTTCTTCTAGGGTTTTTAAGGTTTTAGGTCTAACATTTAAGTCTTTAATCCATCTTGAGTTAATTTTTGTATAGGGTGTAAGGAAGGGGTCCAGTGTCAGTTTTCTGCATGTGGCTAGCCAATTTTCCCAACACCATTTATTAAATAGGGAATCCTTTCTCTATTGGTTGTTTTTGTCAGGTTTGTCATCAAATTGTCTCTGTTTGCAGATGACATGATTGTATATTTAGAAAACCCCATCGTCTCAGCCCAAAATCTCCTTAAGCTGTTAAGCAGCTTCAGCAAAGTCTCAGGATACAAAATCAATGTGCAAAAATCACAAGCATTCCTATACACCAATAACAGACAACAGAGAGCCAAATCACGAGTGAACTCTCATTCACAATTGCTACAAAGACAATAAAATACCTAGGTAATACAACTTACAACGGATGTGAAGGACCTCTTCAAGGAGAACTACAAACCACTGCTCAAGGAAATAAGAGAGGACACAAACAAATGGAAAAACATTCGATGCTCATGGATAGGAAGAATCAATATCGTGAAAATGGCCATACTAGCCAAAGTAATTTATGGATTCAATGCTATCCACATCAAGCTACCATTGACTTTCTTCACAGAATTAGAAACAACTACTTTAAACTTCATACGGAACCAAAAAAGAGCCCATATAGCCAAGAAAATCGTAAGCAAAAAGAACAAAGCTGGAGGCATCATGCTACCTGACTTCAAACTATAATAAAAGGCTACAGTAACCAAAACATCATGGTACTGGTACCAAAAAAGGTATATAGACCAATGGAACAGAACAGAGGCCTCAGAAATAACACCACACATCTACAACCAGATGCTGTCTATTCCTAATTTGTTGAAAGTTTTAATTGTGAAGAGGTGTGGAATTTTGCCACTTTTTCTGTATCTTTTGAGATGATCATGTTTTTCATCTTCAGCCTGTTAATACATTGAATTACATTGATTGCTTTTCAAAAGTTAAAACAACCTTACATTATTGGGATGAACTCTACATGGCTTACATGTTGTTGGATTCTGTTTTTAGATTTTGCTACTTGTTACTTGTTACATCCATGTACATGAGGTATGCATGCTCATGGTAGTTTTCTTTTTAAAACAATATCTTCACTGGTTTTGTTAACAGAGTAATGCTGGTTTTCTTAAATCATTTGGGGTGTGTCACCTCACCTCATGTTTTGTGAAGAGCGTATAGAATTTACCAGTGAAGCCACCTGGCCTAGAGTTTTCTTTGTGGGAAAGTTTTAACCTATGAATTTAACATTAATTGATGTAGGGTTATAGGGCTATTCAGGTTGTCACTTTCTTCTTGAGTTTTGGTGTTTGTATCTTTCAAATAATTTGTTCATTTTATCTAATTTGTTAAATTTAATGGCACCATATTGCTCAAAATATTACTTTAAAAACATCTCTTTAAGTACTGTAGCGACGCCACCTATTTCATTTGTAATATCAGAAATTTGTGACTTCTCTCTTTTTATTGATTAGTCCAGCCAGAGGTTTTCAATTCTTTAAAACCTGTATTGTCACAGCACCTACATGAGGACCTGCTATGTTCTAAGCCAACATTAGTATTATTCACTAATAGTAATACTAAATCTTTGAAAAAATTACACCAAAGTGGAAGGATAAACACAATGATCAAGATGTGCTTAGGGAACTGTGAGATGACACGGGGGGATGCCTATGCCTATTTCACTGTGGGCTAAAGGAAATCAGGGAAGGCTTCCTAGAGGGGAGGATACCTGAACCTCTTTGGAGAATGAATAGAAGTTTGCCAGATGATGAAGGGTGAACTTCTTGTAACTCTTCAATAAATGCTTGTTGTATTGTGTCTGACTCTGGTGTAATGTCTGCTATTTGGACTTGCTGGCTCAATAATGATAGCCCTTAAAGTTCTTGAGACTATTTCTTCAGAATTGTTTTCTGTTCCATTTTTTGAGTTGAAAAATATATTAGCAGAAATAGGCCAATATTTATTTTGGTGAATTTGAGAAAAAGTTATGAAGAGTAGAGATGCACTTGTAGGAGCGTGCTAGAATGAAACATCATTCCAAACACTTTAATAAAGGGGAAAATCCTTCTATTGCCTAATGTTCAGCTCTTTTCAGAGCTTTGTACATTATTGGAACACATGCCCAAGCTGACTGTCTATTAATATTACCGCTTAATTATAAGCTTACTGCTGGGGGTTTTGGTCATGTAATAAACCTGTCTCAAGTCAAGACTGTGCATTTATTACAGGATCTAATTTAGAAATATGAAGGAGACCTTTCTCAGCTGTCAAAAAGCTGTGATGAAATAAAGAAATTTCTATAGTGACATTCTAGTAAATGTATTTTAAAAATAATTCAAATCAATCTTTAAGAAAATCTATAAAATCTTTAAACTTTCAAATTTCTGAAATTGTTTCAATACATTAGATTCATCTTTAAAATGTGCATAGCATTGGAGGATTTTAGTGTAGATGAGAAATTCCAGATCTCATTTTTATTAACTATATGGGGAATGAAATGCTTTCAGTTAGCACTTGGATCTTTCTCATAAAGTATTATTTAGAACAAATGGAGTTCAGAGACATTTTCAAAGAAGAAAGACCAAATTCTTTTTCACTGATTCAGAGGCATAAAAATGGTTATCTCTAAGAACTTGTGTTTTTCTATGATGCAATTGAATTGACTAAGAATTTGATGAGGTTGAGGTGACCCCAGATGACCTCTGTCAAAATGAAACCAAAAGATTAAAGGGGTCTGCAATCAGAGAAATTTAATAATATTTGACTAAAAATATTCATGTGGCGAGTAAGAAGTCCATGGGTCTTCTGGTGTCTCAAAACGATTAAAGAACAAGTTTTAAATCTAACACAAGAATGAACACTAATAGCAATAACAATAGCTGTTTTGCTGAGTTTTCGGTGGTTCCAGGGATGGTACTAAACATTCTATAAGCATTAACCTTTTTGCTCTCTGAGGGCAGCATGCTGGGTCACAGATAAATGTACTGGGAAGTGGTTAAGATGCTCACCCACTCCTTTAGCTCATAAGTGGTGCAGCTGGGATTCAGACTCAGGTTTGTAGAATTCCCAAGTTGTGCTTGTGATCACCGCACAGTTCTCTACTCACAGCTCACATATGACTGTGCCAGCTACTATGTAGGTGCTTTATGTGTATTAACCCAGTTGATCCTCACCAGTACCATAAGGTAGCTACTTTTATTATTCCAAATTTTTAGATAAGAATACCAAGCTCAGAGAAGTTAAGTAACTTGTTTAAGTCACACAGCTAATGAGAAGTGGGACTCGAATCAGAAATTTGGTTCCAGAGTTAACCTGGTTTTTTTTCTACCTTATGTGGCCTCTGAATCTATTACAGAGCCACATGACAGAGATTCTATTATGTGTCAAGGCAAACGACAAGAAGGTCCAGCCATTGGAAAAACTGGCGAGGATTTCACTCTGCAGTCAACAACGTAGACAGGAAATAACAGTGGCTTACACAAAGGAGACGATGTTGGGAGGTCGTTTCCCACGTTCTGTGAGCAGAGGCACTGGCAGCTTTTGTTCTGGAGTGTTGTCTCCAGAATATTTGTTGCAAACAGCTTTAGAAGATAGAGATAGTGGCTCCCTCTGAGGCAGAGAATAGACTTGTTTGCTGTGTAGTATAATAAAGATAGTGTGTTCTTACAAGGTAAAGGTTGGACACATTTGCTCACAGCGCATTATAAAAAATCAGGGTTTCCTAAGTGGTTGGTTCCTCAGCTGTGAGGCAAGGCTGGGTAGGCACAGAATCCCTATGGCTGCTCCTCATTGGCTCCTGGGACCTGGGAGGTAATGGGCAGCTGACCCGACCACGGGGCTCATGCTGCTTGCTATGCTGTGAGTAATAAACTCTTCAGTCTCGGACTTGGGAATCTCATGTCTTCGGCCAGAATCCTTGAAACCGTGGCAGGCTCACTTGTTGTCTTGCAAGTAAGGTGACATTGAGCCCTGCACAGTTGTTGAAAGTTTTTTTTTCCTCCCTCATATGAAAAAGGATAGGAGGTAAGCAGATTAGGGTTAATGTAGCAGCTTCCAGAAGTCAGCAGGCACCCTGGATCCTTCAGCTTTTGACTCTACCATCTTTAATATGTCCTAAGGCCATAGGCTGCCTGTGGGCACTCCAGCTATCATGTTACCATGCCAGGAAGGAAGATGGCAAGATGGCAAGAAGGGCTTTCCCAGATATCTTACAAGGTCTGGAGCCATCCTAGCTACAAGGAGAGCTGGGGAATGTCGTCTTTTGACTGGGCACAATTTCACTCAGAATATAATAGGTGTTCTGTTATAGACAAGAAACAGGGAATGGCTTTGGGGAGAGCAGCAAGCCATCCCAACTGTGGTGACACAGACCTTGTACTGGCTATATGCAGAAGAGGATTTTTTTTGTGAAGATTTCCAGCATAACTATACATTTGATTTCAATACTAAGTCCCCTTCTCTTTGCTTAGAAAAATGCAAACTGCAGTGTATGAAGGCAAATCTTGCTCCTGCATGCATTTCCCAACTGCTAATGGAGACCCTTGTGTGCATGAAGCATTTGGTAGTTGAAACTGGGCTAACAACCAGTTGGAAGGAAACAGTAACCCCTGGAAGTGTCTTTGCACCAGTAATGACCCTTGTGAGCCATTAATCTGCAAGAGATGCCGTATCTCTAGGTCACTGCTTTGTAAACCGAATATCAATAAAGGCTGCCAGAAGCATGTTAATTATTTCTATGGATGAAGCCATTGCTGTTGGTCTGTGCAAGAAAATTTTTGATGAGAGAATGCCTTGGTTCAGTGAATCTGTGAGAAACAAGATCCCTTAAACTGGAGGAATTGTCTATGCCTCTCTCTTGGATCCCTCTAAGGAGCTCAGGACAGTTGGTCAGCACCAATGTCCCCTGGTGATATTGTAGGACACTTTTCTGGGGGTCTGGTTGGACAGTTTTATCATCATTTGTTTTCTCTGCTACAGGTTAGCAGCTCAGATTTTTTTATGATTATAAAATGATGTTAATGGTAATGGTAAAAGCAATGAATATGATTGCTTGTCTATTATGTGTCATTCAGGGTGCTTTGCATAAATTATCTCCATGGTGTTCCCAAGAGGTTGGTACTGTTAGTGGCTCTATTTAAAATCTGTGCATTAGATTTAAGAGAAGTTACTGACCTTGTCCAACTTGTCCAGTTAGGCAAAGGGCAGGGGTAGGATCTGAGATTCAAATGTAAGTTCCTGCGATTCTAAGGTCCAGGTTTTTTTTTTTTTTTTTTTTGAGACGGAGTCTTGCTCTGTCGCCCAGGTTGGAGTGCAGTGGCGCAATCTCGGCTCACTGCAAGCTCCACCTCCTGGGTTCACTCCATTCTCCTGCTTCAGCCTCCTGAGTAGCTGGGACTACAGGCACCTGCCACTACACCCGGCTAATTTTTTGTATTTTTAGTAGAGACAGGGTTTCACTGCGTTAGCCAGGATGGTCTCGATCTCCTGACCTCGTGATCCACCCACCTCGGCCTCCCAAAGTGCTGGGATTACAGGTGTGAGAAGGTCTAGGTTTTTAACCATTACGTTAGCATAGCTTTCAATGTCATAAACAGAAGAGCTTTAGGTTTGTTCTGCTTCCTTACCTCCCTCATTCCCTCCCTCTTTTCCTTTCTCCCTTCTTTCCTTCTACTCTTTTTGATTCCTTGCTTCATCCCTTTCTTGTCTCCTTTATTTTTAACAACAGAAACAAACAAAACTTGCTTTAATGCCATCAGTACCATTTTCATACATTTGCATGTCACTTTTCAAGTCTGGTCCACATGTTTTTATATTCCATTCAGTACATATTTGCCCAGTGCTTATTCTTTACTAGGTGCTGGCTATATAGTGGTGAAAGAGACTGACATAGTCCCTATTGTCATGGAGCAGACATGGCATTTTGCATTCTATTTCTCTTGTATAACATTCTACTAAAACCCATTTCCATGTCACTATGCTGTTTCCATAATTATTGTTTTTAGTGTCGTCATAATATTCTATCATATTGATGTTCCATAATTACCTTCAATATTACATTACTGTTGGGCAATTAGGTTGTTTCCAGTTATTTGCTATTATAGATAACAAGCATCTTTAATCCTTTTCTAAAAATAAAATAAATTCCTTGGATGATCCTCCAAGGAATATCTTTGTGCCTGTAGTTTTATTCTTTTTTTTTCCCTTAGGAAAAAAAATCCCTAGAGTGCAATTACAGACAAGAGGGAAAGTACATTTCTATGACTTTATAGAAGTGTTAATAACTAAACACTATGTGCAGGTCCCTAGCAAGTATTTTCTACATTTTATTTCAAATAATCTTCACAACAAACTTAAAAAGCAGCTAAGATCATGCTAACTTTACAGATGAAGAAACTGAGTCACAGAGAGGTTAAAGTAATTATCCTAGAGTCACGATCTGGTACATGGAGGAAGCATCCAAAACAAGGTCCATGACGGCTAAAGTCTATGTTCTTCACAGTCTCTGACTCGCTTTTGCTTCTGAGAGTCATTCGTTCATCCTTCTTCGCAAGCCACTGGTAGAGTTGCTTCTAAACTGTGAAGCTGAGAAGCAGGGCAGAGGACCTGTCTCACAGATGTTTCTGTCTCTATATTAACCACCTCATGCCCTCTGTGGTTGAGCAGGTGTAGGGATTATGGGAGTTAATCCATGAATGAATATCATAAGCATTAAATAAATGTCCAACCTGGGCGACAGAGCGAGACTCCATTTCAAAAACAAACAAACAAACATGAATGAATAAATGAATAAAAACAGTCCCACAATAACTTTCATCAAATTGCAACAAGGAGATTAGAATTGAATTATATTTAGCAATTTATACATTCATGTTTGGCTACATAATTGTGAAGCTCAGTACAAAATCAAAATGCACAGCCCTTTGTTCAAAAATTATTAAGAATTTCAAGACAGCGACAGCTGAGCATTAAGCCTAATACAGGGCTCTTCTAAATGTAGGACCCTGGGTGACTGCATGGGTCACCTGCCAGGAAGCCAGCCTTGCCCACATTCTAAAGGAGTTTCATTCATTGGTTCACACTTTACAACTGTTTCCTGATTTCCTTTGTAATCTGTGTAGTGACCTCCAAATCAACAAGTGTGATTAAAATCTTTGAAATCTCTGGCTTTCTTCTTTCATTTTAGGAGACCTCTTCTAAAAAGTAAGTTTGTTTTTATCTACATTGATGATATGTATAGCTGGTGGGGGAAAAAAGCATAACCATCTTATGAATTTTTGTATCATCTTTCCATTTTCTTTTTTTTTCTTAGTACCTTTTTTTATTATTATACTTTAAGTTCTGCGATATATGTACAGAATGTGCAGGCTTGTTACATAAGTATACACATGCCATGGTGGTTTTCCACACCCATTAACCTGTCGTCTACATTAGGTATTTCTCTTAATGCCATCCCTCCCCATACCCCCAACCCCACGACAGGCCCTGGTGTATGATGTTCCCCTCCCTGTGTCCATGTGGTTTCATTGTTCAACTCCCACTTATGAGTGAGAACATGCGGTGTTTGGTTTTCTATTCCTGTGTTAGTTTGCTGAGAATGATGGTTTCCAGCTTCATCCACGTCCTTTTTTATGGCTGCATAGTATTCCATGGTGTATATGTGCCACATTTTCTTTATCCAGTCTATCATTGATGGGCATTTGGGTTGGTTCCAAGTGTTTGCTATTGTGAATAGTGCTGCAATAAACATAATGTGTGCATGGGTCTTTATAGTAGAATAACTTATAATCCTTTGGGTATATACCCAGTAATGGGATTGCTGGGTCAAATGGTATTTCTGGTTCTAGATCCTTGAGGAATCACCACACAGTCTTCCACAATGATTGAACTAATTTACACTCCCACCAACAGTGTAAAAGTGTTCCTATTTCTCTGCATCCTCTCTGACATCCGTTGTTTCCTGACTTTTTAATAATTAGCATTCTAACTGGTGTGAGATGCTATCTCATTGTCGTTTTGATTTGCCTTTCTCTAATGACCAGTGATGATGAGCTTTTTTTCATATGTTTGTTGGCCGCATAAATGTCTTCTTTTGTGAAGTGTCTGTTCATATCCTACACCCACTTATTGATGGGGTTGTTTTTTTCTTGTAAATTTGTTTAACTTCCTTGTAGATTCTAGATATTAGCCCTTTGTCAGATGGATAGATTGCAAACATTTTCTCCCATTCTATAGGTTGCCTGTTCACTCTGATGATAGTTTTTTTTTTTTTTTTGCTGTGCAGAAGCTCTTTAGTTTAATTAGATTCCATTTGTCAATTTTGGCTTTTGTTGCCATTGCTTCTGGTGTGTTAGTCATGAGTCTTTGCCTATGCCTATGTCCTGAATGGTATTGCCTAGGTTTTCTTCAAGGGTTTTTATGGTTTTAGGTCTTACGTTTAAGTCTTCAATCCACCTTGAGTTAATTTTTGTATAAGGAGTAAGGAAGGGGTCCAGTTTCACTTTTCTACATATGGCTAGCCAGTTTTCCAAACACCATTTATTAAATAGGAAATCCTTTCCCCATTGCTTGTTTTTGTCAGGTTTGTCAAAGATCAGATGGTTGTAGATGTGTGGCATTATTTATGAGGCCTCTGTTCTGTTCCATTGGTCTATATATCTGTTTTTGTACCAGTACCATGCTGTTTTGGTGACTGTAGCCTTGTAGCATAGTTTGAAGTCAGGTAGTGTGATGACTCCAGCTTTGTTCTTTTTGCTTAGGACTGCCTTGGCTATACAGGATCTTTTAAAATTCCCTATGAAATTTAAAGTAGTCGTTTCTAATTCTGTGAAGAAAGTCAATGGTAGCTTGATGTGGATAGCACTGAATCTATAAATTACTTTGGGCAGTATGGCCATTTTGATGATATTGATTCTTCCTATCCATGAGCATCAAATGTTTTTCCATTTGTTTGTGTCCTCCCTTATTTCCTTGAGCAGTGGTTTGTAGTTCTCCTTGAAGAGGTCCTTCACATGCGTTGTAAGTTGTATTACCTGGGTATTTTATTGTCTTTGTAGCAATTGTGAATGAGAGTTCACTCATGATTTGGCTCTCCGTTTGTCTGTTATTGGTGTATAGGAATGCTTGTGATTTTTGCACATTGATTTTGTATCCTGAGACTTTGCTGAAGCTGCTTATCAGCTTAAGGAGATTTTGGGCTGAGACGATGGGGTTTTCTAAATATACAATCATGTCATCTGCAAACAGAGACAATTTGCCTTCTTCTCTTCCTATTTGAATACCCCTTATTTCTTTCTCTTGCTTGATTGCCCTGGCCAGAACTTCCAATACTATGTTGAATAGGAGTGGTGAGAGAGGGCATTCTTATCTCGTGCCAGTTTTCAAAGCGAAGGCTTCCAGCTTTTGCCCATTCAGTATGATATTGGCTGTGGGTTTGTCATGAATATCTCTTATTATTTTGAGATACATTCCATCAATACCTAGTTTCTTGAGAGTTTTTAACATGAAGTGTTGTTGAATTTTATTGAAGACCTTTTCTGTATCTATTGAGATAATCATGTGGTTTTTGTCATTGGTTCTGTTGATGTGATGGATTACATTTATTGATTCAGGTATGTTAAACCCATCTTGCATCCCAGGGATGAAGTCAACTTGATCGTGGTGGATAAGCTTTTTGATGTGCTGCTGGATTTGGTTTGCCAGTATTTTATTGAGGATTTTTACCTCGATGTTCATCAAGGATATTGGCCTGAAATTTTCTTTTTTTGTTGTGTCTCTGCCAGGTTTTGGTATCAGAATGATGCTGGCCTCAGTAAATGAGTTAGGAAGGAGTCCTTCTTTTTCTATTATTTGGAATAGTTTCAGATGGAATGGTACCAGCTCCTCTTTGTACCTTTGGTAGAATTTGGCTGTGAATCAATCTGTTCCTGGGCTTTTTTTGATTCGTAGACTATTAATTACTGCCTCAATTTCAGAACTTGTTATTGGTCTATTCAGGGATTCAACTTCTTCCTGGTTTAGACTTGGGAGGGTGTACATGTCCAGGAATTTATTCTTTTCTTCTAGATTTTCTAGTTTATTTGCATAAAGGTGTTTATAATATTCTCTGATGGTGGTATGTATTTCTGAAGGATCAGTGGTGATATTCCCTTTATCATTTTTTATTGTGTCTATTTGATTCTTCTCTCTTTTCTTCTTTATTAGTCTGGCTAGCAGTTTATTTTGTTAATCTTTTTTTTAAAAAAACAGCTCCTGGATTCATTGATTATTTGAAGGATTTTTCTTGTCTCTATCTCCTTCAGTTCTGCTCTGATCTTATTTCTTGACTTCTGCTAGCTTTTGAATTTGTTTGCTCTTGCTTCTCTAGTTCTTTTAACTATGATGTTAGAGTGTTGATTTTAGATCTTTCCCACTTTCTCCTGTGGGCATTTAGTGCTATAAATTTCCCTCTAAACACTGCTTTAGCTGTGTCCCAGAGATTCTGGTATATTGTGTCTTTGTTCTCACTGGTTTCAAAGAACTTATTTATTTCTTCCTTAATTTTGTTATTTACCCAGTCAGTAGTCATTCAGGAGCAGGTTGTTCAGTTTCCATGTAGTTGTGTGGTTTTGAGTGAGTTTCTTAATCCTGAGTTCTAATTTGATTACACTGTGGGCTGAGAGACTGTTATGATTTCTGTTCTTTTACATTTGCTGAGGAGTGCTTTACTTCCAACTATGTGGTCAGTTTTGGAATAAGTGTGATGTGGTGCTGAGAAGAATGTATATTCTGTTGATTTACATTCAACAGAATGGGGTGGAGAGTTCTGTAGATGTCTATTAGGTCCGCTTGGTCCAGAGCTGAGTTCAATTCCTGAATATCCTTGTTAATTTTCTGCCTCGTTGATCTGTCTAATATTGACAGTGGGGTGTTAAAGTCTCCCACTATTGTTGTGTGGGAGTCTAAGTCTCTTTGTAGGTCTCTAAGGGCTTGCTTTATGAATCTAGGTGCTCTTGTATTGGGTACATATATATTTAGGATAGTTAGCTCATCTTATTGCATTGATCCCTTTACCATTATGTAATGGCCTTCTTTGTCTCTTTTGATCTTTGTTGGTTTAAAGTCTGTTTTATCAGAGACTAGGATTGCAACACCTGCTTTTTTTTTTTTCTTTGCTTTCCATTTGCTTGGTAAGTATTCTTCCATCCCTTTATTTTGAGCCTGTGTGTGTCTTTGCATGTGAGATGGGTCTCCTGAATGCAGCACACTGATGGGTCTTGACTCTTTATCTAATTTGCCAGTGTGTGTCTTTTAACTGGGGCATTGAGCCTGTTTACATTTAAGGTTAATATTGTTATGTGTGAATTTGATCCTGTCATTATGATGCTAGCTGGTTATTTTGCCCATTAGTTGATGCAGTTTCTTCATAGTGTCAATGGTCTTTACAATTTGGTAAGTTTTTTCAGGGGCTGGCACCAGTTTTT
Source organism: Homo sapiens (assembly GCF_000001405.40). NCBI lineage: Eukaryota > Metazoa > Chordata > Mammalia > Primates > Hominidae > Homo > Homo sapiens. Next base: position 56,051,880 of record NC_000020.11, on the reverse strand, counting down.
CCTTTCCATATTTAGTGCTTCCTTCAGGAGCTCTTGTAAGGCAGGCCTGGTGGTGACAAAATCTCTCAGCATTTGCTTGTCTATAAAGGATTTTATTTCTTCTTTGCTTATGAAGCTTAGTTTGGCTGGATGTAAAATTCTGGGTTGAAAATTCTTTTCCTTAAGAGGGTTGAATATTGGCTCCCCTTCTCTTCCGGCTTGTAGGGTTTCTGCAGAGAGATCCACTGTCAGTCTGATGGGCTTCCCTTTGTGGGTAACTCAACCTTTCCCTCTGGCTGCCCTTAACATTTTTTTCCTTCATTTCAACCTTGGTGAATCTGACAATTATGTGTCTTCGGATTGCTCTTTTCAAGGAGTATCTTTGTGCTATTCTCTGTATTTCCTGAATTTGAATGTTGGGCTGTCTTGCTAGGTTGGGGAAGTTCTCCTGGATAATATCCTGAAGAGTGTTTTCCAACTTGGTTCCATTCTCCTCGTCACTTTCAGGTACACCAATCAAACGTAGGTTTGGTCTTTTCACATAGTCCCATATGTTCCATATCTAATCTTGTCTTCACACTTTATTTTATTAAGTTGATCTTCAGTCTCTGATATCATTTCTTCCCCTTGATTGATTTGGATATTGAAACTTGTGTATGCTTCACTAAATTCTTGTACTGTGTTTTTCAGCTTCATCAGGTTATTTATGTTCTTCTCTAAACTGGTTATTCTAGTTAGCAATTTGTCTAACCTCTTTTCAACATTCCTAGCTTCCTTGCATTGGGTTAGAACATGCTCCTTTAGCTCGCAGGAGTTTGTTATTGCCCAACTTCTGAAGCCTACTTCTGACAATTTGTCAAACTCATTCTCCATCCAGTTTTGTTCCCTTGCTTGTGAGGAGTTGTAATCCTTCGGAGGGGAAGAAGCGTTCTGGTTTTTGGAATTTTCAAATTTTTTGCACTGGTTTTTCCTCATCTTTGTGTATTTATCTACCTTTGATCTTTGATGTTGGTGACCTTTGGATGGGGTTTCTGTGTGGATGTCCTTTTTGTTGATGTTGAAGCTATTCCTTTTTGTTAGTTTTCCTTCTAAGAGTCAGGCCTCTGTGCTGCAGGTCTGCTGGAGTTTGCTGGAGGTCTCCTCCAGAATCTCTTTGTCTGGGTGTCACCAGCAGAAGCTGCAGAACAGCAAAGTTTGCTGCCTGTTCCATCCTCTGGAAGCTTCGTCCCAGAGGGGCACCCACCAGATGCCAGCTGGAGCTCTCCTGTATGAGGTGTCTGTCAACCCCTGCTGGGAGGTGTCTCCCAGTCAGGAGGCATGGGGGCCAGGGACCCACTTGAGGAGGCAGTCTGTCCCTTAGCAGAGCTCAGGCACTGTGCTGGGAGATCCACTGCTCTCTTCAGAGCAGTGCTGGAGCTGGCAGGCAGGAACATTTAAGTCTGCTGAAGCTGCATCCACAGCTGCCGCTTCTCCCAGGTGCTCTATCCCAGGGAGATGGGAATTTTATCTATAAGCCCCTGACTGGGGCTGCTGCCTTTCTTTCAGAGATGCCCTGCCCAGATAGGAGGACTCTAGAGAGGCAGTCTGGCTACAGTGGGTTTGCCAAGCTGCAGCGGGCTCTGTGCAGTGTGCTCCGCTCAGTTCTAACTTGCTGGCGGCTTTGTTTACACTGTGAGGGGGAAACCATCTACTCAAGCCTTAGTAATGGCAGACACCCCTATCCCCACCAAGCTTGAGCGTCCCAGGTTGACTTCAGACTGCTGTACTGACAGTGAGAATTTCAAACCAGTGGATCTTAGTTTGCTGGACTCCATGGGGGTGAGATCTGCTGAGCTAGAGCACTTGGCTCACTGGCTTCAGCCCCCTTTCCAGGGGAGTAAATGGTTCTATCTCACTGGTGTTCCGGGCACAATTGGGGTATGAAAAAAAAAAAAAAAACACTCCTGCAACTAGCTCAGCGTCTGCCCAAACAGCTGCCCAGTTTTGTGCTTGAAACCCAGGGCCCTGTAGGCACCCAAGGGAATATCCTGGTTTTTGGTTGCAAAGACCGTGGGAAGAGCATAGTATCTGGGCCGGAATGCACCATTCCTCACAGCACAGTGCCGCTCGGCTTTCCCTGGCTAGGGGAAGGAGTTCCCCGAGCCCTTGTGCTTCCCAGGTGAGGCAACACCCTGCTTCGGCTCACCCTTTGTGGGCTGCACCCACTGTCTAATCAGTACCAATGAGATGAACCAGGTACCTCAGTTGAAAATGCAGAAATCTCCCACCTTCTGCTTTGATCTCGCTGGGAGCTGCAGACCAGAGCTGTTCCTATTCGGTCATCTTGCCAGCCACTCTCTCATATTCTTATATAGTTTGGGAATAATTTCCAGTTTTCTTACTAAGTGGTGTATTATCTACCTTGTAAAGGAGATAGCAGCAGCCTCTGCTTATTGATGGTGTAGAATGTTTAATATAAGTTCCATTAGTCTACAGTCCCTGAAGTAGAAGAGCTAAGGATATCTAACGACAAGAGATTAAATTAAGACAGACACTAACTCTTCGTTCTCCTAATGATCATTTTCTCAGTGTGAGTTGCTACTGTTTCAAAAGAACAAAGACATTATGTTTTCTTGCTCTTCCCACAGCCTGATCTGTAGCGAGATATTGCAGCTGGTTAAGGCTGATGCTAATGAGGCCCAAGGTCATAAACTTGATCCCTATCTAGGGCAATTAGTTAACCTCAAAAGAAAATCCACACTACCCCTTCCACTCTAGGCAGCCAGTTCACAATTCCTGACATGGGACATTTTGGGGCATGTGGATAAAATAACAAATTGTTGGTTTGCAGCAATATCAGATATTCAGTTTAACCGTTTTCCCATTTGCCCCAAGAATACTCACTGGTGGTGCTTACAGCTGCAGCATTTACCCCGAGATAACTTTGCCATGAAATATCTCGCTTTTATTATTATTTTCACATTGCTCTATATATTCACTTTGGAAACAAAAGAGACCATTCTATTTACAGCATTCTATTTTTAGTAGTAGTATTTCCATTTACAAAATATAGTAATTCTTGATAGCTGAAAATGTCAAATCCTAGAAAACGTAGCATTTCTTTTTTTTTTTTTTTTTTTTTTTTTTGTTTTGAGATTGGGTCTCTCTCTGTTGCCAGGCTGGAGTGCAGTGGCATGATCTCAGCTCACTGCAATCTCTGCCCCTCGGGTCCAAGCGATTCCCCTGCCTCAGCCTCCCAAGTAGCTGGGACTATAGGCTTGAGCCACCATGCCTGGCTAATTTTTTTTTCTATTGTAGTAGAGACGGGGTTTCACCATGTTAGCCAGGATGGTCTCCATCTCCTGACCTCGTGATCCATCTGCCTTGGTCTCCCAAAGTGCTGGGATTACAGGCATGAGCCAACGTGCCCGGCTGAAAACGTAGCATTGCTATGAGTGATGTTAACATTGTTCTTGAACAGTTGTTGACCGAAGATTCATTTGATGAATTAGATTTTTCTGAAATAGATGATTCTAATGATTCAGATGATCCTGATGTCAGTTCTGTTTAGAAATAACTCCAAGAATGGTTTTTATATTTTATTTTCACATTGAAAATCAGTAGGATTTGCTTCAGCCTCAAAGAGTGTGTTTATGTAAAATTAAATGAGTGCCAGCAGCGAGCTGCACTTTTTTTTTTTCCTAAATGGCAAAAGGGTTAAGTGCTGTGACACTTCCTTTCCTCCCATTTAGCAGGCATCACCAATTGATCTTGACAGTCTCTCCTACTGAGCTCAGACAAAACCTCAGAATCCATCTCAACACTGCGTTCTAGGTCAGAGGTCAGTAGATTATGGCCAGTCGGGCTAAATAGTGCTCGCTCCCTGTTTTCATAAATAAAGTTTTATTAGAACACAGCCCCTGGTTTATTTGTTTATGGGGCTCTGGCATTTCGCTGGCAGAGTTGAGTAGTTGTGATAGAGATCATATCTCACAAAGCCTAAAATATTTGCCATCTGGCCTTCAGAACAAATTTGCTGACCCCTACTCAAGGTGGTTATTGAATCAAGAAGAGTTGGCACATATTTATGTTTTATCCTGAGGTTAGGGAGTAATTATTCTCATGATAAAATGATTTTTCTTTTAGGAAATGATTGTATCCTCAAGAAGGGAGCTCCTTTAGTATATCTGCTATTCATTTTATAAATAATTAACTGTTTCTTTAATTTATTCTTAGCAGCAAGCATGGCATAGGATGTTGGGAAACTTTAGGTCAGTATTTACAAAGCTATGGCTTCTAAAAGAGACAAGAAGTTTTACAAGTCTTAGTTTTTATAAGTCTTTAGAAGTCTTAGAAGTTGTTCTTTGAGTTCTGCTAATTGCCAACTTATCTACTTATATTTTATTAAGGAAAGAAACATCTGTTGAAGAAAATATAGAAGCATGTGTTGTACTGAAGAAAAATCAGTTTCTCCATTTTATATGTAAAGGGTAGCAATTCTTATTTATTTGGATTTCATATTTTCAATGTTTCTTTCAAATACTCCCCATAAAGCCAAAACTTCTGTGTGAACTTTTGGCTGGAGGTTCTCCATTCATACTTTCTTCACTGTGCCTTTGAAAAGCCATACTATTTGATTGAACATTGTTCTGCATAATTTCTAGTTAATTGAAAAGGCCCCAGAGAGGTTGGGCTTAGTTGCCTAGGGCAAAGAGAAAAATCACATACAAAATTCAACATCTTTAAAATAAATTTTCTTACAGAGACACAATCTTTCTCTGTCACCCAGGCTGGAGTACAGTGGTGCAATCATAGCTTACTGCAACCTTGAACTTCTGGGGCCAGGTGATGATCCTCTTGCCTCAGCCTCCTGAGTAGCTAGGACTATGGGTGTATGCCACCACATCCGGCTATTTAAAACACCTTCTTCTATAGAGACAGAGTCTTGCTATGTTGTCCAGGCTGGTCTCAGATTTCTGGCCTCAAGCAATCCTTCTGCCTCAGCCTTCCAAAGTTTTGGGATTATGGATATAAGCCGCATGTCTGGGCCCAAAAATCACTTTTTTATGAAACCCTAACAGCTCTGGGTTGTGGAGTCTGTGGTTTTGATTTGCAAATGGGCTAGAAATAAACTGGATGGGGAGCAGAACAATGACTTGAAAACAGATGAGTCAGGAAGACTAATAAGGTGGCTCTCTTTTGTCTATCTATGAGTAACCATTTGCTCTTGGCCTTGATGGAAGCTTTAATTGCTTCCCAGGCACCCTCACCCCACCTTTTTTCTTTTTATTTATTTCAGTAGCTTTTAGGGTACAACTGGTTTTTTTTATTACATGGATGAATTACATAGCAGTGAATTCTGAGATTTTAGTGCACCTCTTATCCAAATAGTGTACACTGTACCTAATGTGTAGCTTTTTTAAATCCCTAGTCCTTCTCCCACCCTCTTTCTTCTGAGTCTCTAAAGTCAATTACATCACTCTGTATGCCTTTGCCTACTCATCGCTTAGCTCTTACTTATAAGTGAGAACATACAGTTTTTGGTTTTCCACTCCTGTGTTATTTCACTTAGAATAATGGCCTCCAGCTCCATCCAAGTTGCTGCAAAAGACATTATTTTGTTCCGTTTAACGGCCAAGTAGTATTCTATGGTGTATATATCGTATTTTTTTTTACCCACTCATTAGTCAATGGGCACTTAGATTGGTTCCACACCTTTGCAGTTGTGAATATGCTGCATAAACATATGTGTGTGAAAGTGTCTTTTACATATAATGACTTCTTTTCCTTTGAAAAGATACCAAGTAGTAGGATTGCTGGATTGAATGGTAGATCTGCTTGTAGCTCTTTCAAGACCCATTAATGGCCTCTTTTTGTGGGCTATGAAGAAACGCTGTTTTTCATCTTCTTATAATAGCATTTTGCATTTCTTTTGAGAAACCACCCTACTAAAATGAACTCTGTTCTCCAAAGGTAGCAAATCAGGGACTCAAACTCCTCTGGCCACGGTGGCCGATTCAGGAGAGACACATGATCCAGCTTGATCTATCTGGAGAGAATCTCAGCACTTGTATCATACCAGCAAGGCAGTCTATTTCCAACTGTCTTGAACCTGGGATGATGCCAGTCTGGAGCCAGGCAGGCCACAGTATGAGGCCTGAGGATAAAATCAATCAATAGAAGCAGAGCTGAAAAGAAGAGGGAAAACCAAGTCCAGATGGCAACTGAGTTCTTGATACAGCCACACCTGCAGGCTATCTTGCATTCTTCAGTTAAATAAACCAGAAAATTATCTTAATTTCTTTGGTGCTTAAGTCAGTTGGAACTGAAGTTTTTGCTACTTACACTTATAGCAATTCTGAATTCTCCAAGCAAGGAGGGCCAACTTTGTAAAAGTCATAGATAGGATCTTGGAAAATGTTTTCAGTACCATTTATCTTAGATTTGCACTCTTTACTGAGTTTCTAGGGTAATTTATTAAGTCCATCAACTCTTTGGTGTCCCTCATGACAAGATCAAACTGAAAAAGTTGTGAAAATCCAATACGCTAATCAACACTATATAGTTTTTTAACTTGCTGGAAATTTTTTGTGGATCATTAAATTCCCCAAATATGAAACTTCTTCATTGATATGTGGATCATGTAAAATAACCTTGAATACAATTGCTATTTCCATGGTTTCCAGATCCCTGAGGTCCCAGAGAGCATTTGTGCTGGTCATGATAATTTTTCTGTTTCTACCTTTTGCTTAACTCTTTAGCATTGAGTGGTCTACTGCATTTAACTGATTGATTTCTACAAATCTGTGTGTGAATGTGCATGCAAACACATAGATATATTTTGCATTTACAGACTGAATTTCTTCAATACATCAAGTGGCAATCAGAAAAGTGTTTTGCTACAGTTTTTCAGTACCAGAGTCCACATTGATATTCCCCTAGGTTGCTAGGGAGAATACCTCATTCACAGAAGTAATTGCTCTTTGGGATCTCGGAGAAACCTAAAAAATCCATGATAAAGATAAATCGCTTTTGTAGTAACTTAGGAAATTTTATTATCTTCCAGTGTCCACAGAGAAATAGGGAAGGTAGGCAGAATCACACCTTCATTCTGCCTCAAAGTCTGTATCATTGTGGACTAGGAGCAATCATAAGAAACTCTTTTCCCAATCATCAGCCTGCATTCCTCCACCATTTTAAAGCTCTTTTATGCTCACCGTCAGAACCATGTTATAGCATTGGAAATAATCATCAGGAAAGATGGAATAAACCTTTTCACAATTGCATCTCTAACTCCTTAACTCTGCAGCTTCCTCTAATCCTTTTGGGATTTCTTGGTATCTTGTGAGACTATCTGTAAGCACCATGGTGGCTTTCTAATATTTTCGTCTCCTAACATTTCCTTTCTCTTATATGGGCAACAGCATCTTTGTAGAGCACCTTTTCCCACACCCTATCCTCCTGGTTACTGGATAACCCTGCCCTACCATGGCTTAGATGCGATCACATGATCAAGGCCTGGCCAATCAGCATATTTCATTCCCTCAGCCATGATGATTGGTTCAAGGATAGACCTGTGTCCCAAATCACTGCATCAGAGTAAATCCCAGGACTTCTCCTGAAACCACTGGGAAGAAAATATACATTCTGGTAGAAATGTAAGCATTAAGTTACCATAGGCCATTTTGCCACCATCAAAAATACCTGAGAAGTCATCGCAAAGAAAGCAGAACTGAGAGATGGAGATACTAGGTCCTGATTACATTGTTTGAACCCCTGGTCTTGCTGTTCCTGAAGCCAGACCTATCCCCAGACTTCTTAGGTAGGTGAGTCACCAAATAACTTTTCTTCTTCTTAAGCTAGTCTGAATTGGATTTCTGTCACTTGTGGCAAATAGAGCCCTGAGTTATACAAGCAATCAAAGAACAGAGCTTTATTCACTAGGTCTCTCACCTGTGTCCAGCATCAATAAGTCAGCAAATGAAATACTCAGGATTACATAGGCATGAACTAGAGGAAAAGTGAAAAGCAATTTGGTACAAAAGGAGTGGAATAACTCCTTGAAGGTGGCTCCATTTAATAGATGAGGAAATTCAAGCAGAAGACATTTACATTGCTTACTTCTAGAGCAACTAGGCTTCTAAAGAATAACTGGGAGATCAGCGTATCCAAAGATTCCTCCTGACAACATACCAATGCTGAGGTTTTTACTGAAAATCTATGTAAGAAGATGCTTCATTGATAAGGCTTTCCAATTCTTTTAGAATAATTGAAATGGCTTTGTCTGTTGGAAGTATATCTTAAATTACCCTCAGCTAGCCTCTGCTGGGGACTGAGAGGTCCAGTAAGGTAGGAACCACACCTCACTCACATTAGTCTACCAGCTGTGTACTCAAGGCCATTATTTAAGAACAACAGCTTGCGAGCCAGAAAGACCCAAGTTCAAGTCCTCATTTTGTCACTTGTGGGCTGTAAAACTTAGGGTAAGTTACGTAATAATCCTGAACCTGTTCCCTTCTCTGTGAAATGCAGCTGGTGTTACCATCTACTTGATGGCTTCTGGTAATAACTAAATGAGCCGATTTACGCTTTCAGTTATGGGAGGATACGGTAGTCCAATCTCATCGGAGGTTTTCACTTTCCTTGGTTTCAGTTACTGTGATCCACAGAGGTTCAAAAATATGAAGATGTTTTGAGGAAGGGAGAGAGAGCGCACACACGCGCATTTGCACATTCACGTAACTCTCATTACAATACATGGTTATAAAAGTTCTGTTACTAATTGTTGTTAATCTTTTACATACATACCTATCATATGACAAAGTTAAACCTTATCATAAGCATGTATGTGTTAAATAACATAGTATATATAAGGTTTAGAGCTATCCATGGTTTCAGGTGTCTACTGGGGGTCTTGGAACATATCCCTTATGTATTGGGGGGCTACTATACATACAAGATTCTTAAGCTATGGCTGGCACAGAAAGATGCTCAATAAATGAGTGAAAGAAACTCATTTGATGGCTTTTGGGATTCCATTAACATTTTCAACTTCATCTCTAGCATCCTTTCCCAGTTTGTTTCAATCACTTTAGCTAATAATTATTATTAATATAATAATGTAAATAATATGAATTAGTACTAATATGGCTTTTGATAATTGAATTCCTACTTTTTTATGCACTGTACAGGTAATTACATTCCACTCTTACAACAATCTTATGGGGCTCTGCCTTATCAAGCACCATTGCACAGATGAGGAAACAGAGGTTTGGACAGGATAAACGTTTGCTCGAAGTCATATAGCCAAGAAGTGGCAGAAATGGGGTTCAGCCCCAGATCTGTCTGACCTCATAGCCTGTGACATTTTCAGGATCTAAGCTGTATATTTAAAATGTGACCCCTGGACCAGCAGCATTGGCATTACCTGGAAACTTGTGTGGAATGCAAAATCTTAAGCTCTAACACAGACCTGCTGAATTAGGTATTTATTTTAACAAGAACTGTCCCCCATCCCAACCTCTAGGTGATTCCTGTGCACACTAAGTTTGTGAAGCAGTTTGCCACTCAACTTTTCAACTTGTGTCGAAATACCTATTAAATGTAGACCATTACAGTATTGCTTTTCACCATGATGTGAGAGTTTGTTGACAGTTTCTGAGTATTTTCAAATGGTAGTGAGACTGTGCTTAAAAACATTTAAAGACATGGGTTTGATGGTTCATTTCTTGATCCTTGAAGGGCTTCTCTTCTAATTGTTTTCACAAATGAGTTGTGTTACTTGGGGGTGTTCACTATGTACTGCCCAGTTGATGACACATCTCAAAAAATAAGATTTTTGACTTCTGTGGTTGATCTGGTTCCAACATATAGATGTGGTTTATGGGTCAGAATTTTTGACAGGTTTAGAATTACTTTAATCATGTGAAATCTGAGGCTATTGATTGAATCTAAATCCCCCACAAATATAAAAATCTTGTTGTTTGGAAAACTCCACACCATTTGAAAATGCCCATATGAAGAGAAAAAAAACCCTCTTGATTTATGGAAACCGTTTCTCTTTCCTACTCCCCTATTATTTTTTACTGTTGTAAGTTCTAAAGAGTATTCATGGCTTAAAGACTCCTTGCACAGTCTGTCCCTTGAGATATTTAGATGAAAGAAAGAGAAAAAGATAAAAATTCACCATGAAGTCTGCATCTTAACAAGAAGCTTCAGTCTCTTAAAGATAAGGCAGTGGGTGAGGAGATGGCTTTTGGCTTTTGAAGCAAGCTACCAGGGTCTGACTCTTGTCTTCCCTTCTTAGCAGCTGGGCAAACTGGGGCAGGGGATCTGGACTTTTTTTTTTTTTTTTTTTTTTGCCTCTGTCTCCCTAAAAGTAAAATGAGCATAACATGCCTCTTATGGTTGATGGGGAGATCAAAAGATGTTATGAAATGTGTAAGCACTTAGAGAAGCATTGAATAAATATTAAACCTCATTATTAGGACAACTTCAGGATGCATCTAACATTGACTCCCAGCGCATCAGGCTTCTGATTCTGTCAGCTGGACTCTAGCTCCATTAACAGTCCCTGGAGGATGATCATACTGAATCAGGGGAAAGGAAAACTGGTAGCAGCTCCCAAATGCACCTGCAATAGCCAGCTACAAAGCAGCTAAGAGGGCATGCTTTAGATCGAAATGGCTGAGTTTAAATCCTGCCTCTACCACTCAATTATCAACTAGTTTTCCAACAGCTGGGTTTCAGTCTCCTCATCCATCCCTGGTAGTAATAGCACTTATGTGACAGGGTGTTAGAATGCGACCTCGCCTGTAGTGAGCATTCATGAAGTGCCAGCTATCATCCTTATTGCTGTTTTTGTTATTAATTACATCCTTTGTGAAATTTTCATCACGGCTAAACTTGTGCCCCCACGCTCTGTCAATTCTCATTGAATACAAACTTAAAACAAGTGCCAAAAGATTTTACTAGCAAGAACACAAAGATGATAAATGAAAACAAGGCTTAGGAAACACATCCCATTTTAATCTTTTTGTGGATTAATTTTTAGTTAACCTTTTCTGGGGATGGAAACTGGTGCTTATAGCAATAAAAGAAGAAACAGAAAATAATAAATGCCCACAAATCAAAAGGAATACAATAAAAGTTTCCACAGGGGTGGTGATGCTGCTCACCTGCTTTCAGTTTGGCTCCTTCTATTATCTGCTTAAACCATATGCATCGGTAAATGGTAAAACTGCTACTTACAAACACAAAACAAATGGAGGGAAACACAATAACTACAAAAGTAAGTCATCTGCAACCAGTCTCCAAATGTCTTCAGTTCTAAAAGTTTAGGAAATAGTTGAACTCAAGTTGTATCACATAATGTAACATAGTCATAGCTGAGTGTGTGCTACAAGCATACAAAAAATACAAAACAGAGCCGTGGCCATGGGAAAGGAGAAGTTCTATTTTGGATAGTGTGGTCTGCCACAGCCTCTCTGAGGAAATGATATTAAGGTGTGGATGATATGAGGAAGTGAGTGGTATAAATGGCTGAGAGATCAAGTGCAAAGGCCCTGAGGTAGGACCATGCTTGGAGTGCCTGATAGACATTTAGGAGGCCAAGTCAGCATTAGCAGAGTGGCCAGTGGAGCCCGTATGGGGTAATGGAAAGAGCAAGAGCGTGGCAGTCAGACAAGGCTTCTTGAATGCTGAGCAATCTGGGCAAGTCACTAAATTCCTCAAAGCCTCTGTTTCTTCATCAGCAAAATGGAGACAATCATGCCAGCATGATTCCCATGAGGAATCAATGAGACGATTTGTGGAACATGCTTCATAAAGTACCTGCAGGACAGCAGGTGCTAAAATATTGTAGCTGAAACACAAAACCAAAAGCACACAGATTTTGAATTCACAAAGCTAGGCAGCCAAAACAAGTTTATAATTCATTTCATATTTACAATGTGCAAAGTGTGTGGTCAGAAAGGTAGGTTTATGGATGTCTTTATCCTCAAGGGGCTCCCTGTCTAGTGGAGGTGATAAATGGATAAGAGGCTTATCTTTAAAAAATAGGATGTGGGTTCCACAGGGGGGACTGCAAAGACACTGAAGCCTCTCTTTGTTTCAGGGGTTCCCTTTAATTTCCAGATAACCAAATTATGTAGAAGCTGCTACTGTCATAGGAAACTGAATTTAGGTCTACATGGATTTTGTATCGATGGTTCAGTGATCTGACAAATAACCTTTTTCTTTTCCTACCAGCAAAATGGGAGGAGGAGCACCTACTAATGCTTTCCATTTCCAAGTTTATCATGGAATTAGGTAGAAAAGTCAGAGGCATTGTAATACGACTTGGTGAATAAACAAAAGATGTTTGAGTGACATCAGAGGAGAAAACTAGCAAATAACATTCTGCAGAGCAATATTTAGTATTCATGAATTTCTCCAGTGATCAATGAATGTTCTTAAAAAAGTGCACATATTATCGAGGCTAGGAAATACATTCAGTTCTTTAAAATACCATTGCCTGGGAACATGGAAAGGATGGGAATGTGCTTTGAAAATAAACATTCTCGGAAGGTTTAAGCAGAGAAATCATGCTGTTTCAAATGTCTTCAAATGTATTGCCTTTATAGCAATAAGGTGAGATGGTGAAGCAATAGTGCTGATTTTAACAAATATTTCAAAATTCGTATATGAAAAAGGTGTTGTGCCTATCAGTATAATCTTTGGGGAAAAGAACATCTGCTCATCACCTCTCTCATGGTGTCGTGACTGCATTTACAGTCATGGTGTGGTGACTGCATTTAGGGGACCGGTGAGCTCTTGGGTTAGGGTGAATTAAACCATAGGTGAAAGTGCATTTTCTCAGAGGAAATGCCTATAGGTTTTCTTTTTCTTTTTTCTTTTTCTTTCTTTCTTTTTTTTTTTTTTGAGACAGTCTCACCCTGTCACCCAGGCTGGAGTGCAGTGCTCTGATCTGGGCTCACTGCAACCTTTGCCTCTTAGATTCAAGTGATTCTCCTGTCTCAGCCTCCTGAGTAGCTGGGACTACAGGCATGTAGTACAAGGCCCGGCTAAATTTTTTTTTTTTTTTGTACTTTTAGTAGAGATGGGGTTTCACCATGTAGGCCAGGCTGGTCTCAAATTCCTCATCTCAAATGATCCACCTGCCTTGGGCTCCAAAGGTATGGGGATTACAGGCGTGAGCTACCACGCCCGGCTAGGTCAAAGATGATTAAAAAATATCAAGAACCACCAGTTTGGAAGCTGAATATTGTCAATGATACAGTTTTTTTCTTTGAAAGTAAATTTGATATCTGGAAAGATTCAGAAGCCATTTAGAATCTTGTTTGATAATCTGAATGCCCACAGGCACCAAAACTCCACGCATCCAAATGGAACTCCAACCCTTCCCACAACACTTGTTTCTCATCTCCACAAAATGGGTCCCTGTCTACCTGGTGGTTAAAGTGCAAAGCAGGGAGCAGGAAAATACAGGCTTTGAGGGGTCTGAGGCTTATGTAATTTGAGGACCTTCCATTTAAAATATGTACGCAGATACCCCAAGAACTTATTGGTAAGACCTTCACTAAAGCCTTGGTTGGGGTTTCTCCATAAGGAAGAACCCAAAGCTGAAGCTCCATGGCTTCATCAGTAATCCAGCTTCCCTAGGAGTTATCTTGGATTCCTCCTTTTCCACTCCCCACCTTCAGCATCCAATTCTGCCTTTTCTAATTCAAAAATCCCTCTCAGATGCATATGCTTCTCTCTATAGCTACTACTAGGGTTCTCATCTGAAGCACAACCATTTCTTGCCTGGATATCTACTCTTTACTGGTTCCTCATACACTTTTACCCTCCATTCATTTTTCTACAGAGCAGCCTGAGTGCCTGTTTGAAATTCTAAGTCCAGGTTTGTCACTCTCCAGCTTAAAACCCTTCGATGGTTTCCCTATGTAATTAAGAGATTATCATTCTTCACTGACTAAATAGATGCATCCCCACAGTTATCCTCCATTACTGTACCATGTTCATTTCCTTTGTAGCATTTGTCTTAATGTATAATGATATATTTATCTACTTTATTTGTTTATTGGTTGTCTTCTTACTATGTTGTAAGTGTCAAGATGTCAAGGATCCTGTCTATTTTACTGGAATACATCCACAGGCAAGCATAGTTCTTCATACATAATGTGTTTCATTGAATATTAGTTGAATAAAGAAGGAATTGTGTGCTCTTGTTGGTCTAAACCAGAGATGCTCATAAAACAATGAGAGGTTTTCCTGAGAGAATGGTTGAACTGAACTGAAGGCAATTCCCAGACTGAAGTTTCAAGAATGGTTTGATAAATGGTCCACCCATTTGGAGTAAGTGTGCACCTTCACATGCGACTGCATGGAGGAAAAAAATAATCCAACGCACATGCTGGTTGGTAGAGAGGTTTTGGTGTATGTTAAAAATTCAGTTTCATGTCTTCGCAGTCATACCATGCATCTTTTGAAGGGTGTTGAAAGGGGCGTGAAACAGGAAACCTAAGACAGGGCATGTGTGGGGGAGTAGGAGAGGGTTTGTGAGGGGTGATGAATCATAGTTGCAATAAGCATGTTGTATGTTTGAATGCCAACTATATGGTAGGCACTATATTAAGTGCTTTGTCTAATCTTTCCACCAATCCTAGGAAGTAAATATTATTTTCTCCATTTTATGAGGATGCTGAGGCTCAGAAAGCTCAAAGACCTTGTCTAAGGTCACATATCTAGTGAGGTACGGAGCCAGAATTTGATCTGCAATCTCCTACAAATACTTTTACTTCCTCTAAAGAAATTTACATGAGTTCAGTTAAAAAATATGAACACATAATAAGAATGGCTTATCTTGGCTCCATTCAATTTTTTGAAGAGTTCAGACAAGGCTTTCTTCCTGGGGCAGGATAGGTACAAATGGCTGATGAACCTAATTTCTAAAGTCTACAATTTCCTAGTTATCTTCTTGGCAACTTGTTATTTACATAAAAATATCATACTCACCAAAATACTGCTGCTCTCTCATTTCCAATGCTGTTAACAAGAAAAATTGGTGCTATTTTAAGAATTTTCTTATAATATTGTCAAGAATTACTGCCTTCCCCTTCGACATATAATTTTCTCATTATAAACATCCTTTGATTTTTCTCTCTCTTTCAAACATTCTTTCTTTTGGTCTTGGAATGACAGACACATCATTAATGCTGATAGTAATTATTACATAAGCAGATTGTGTCATTGCCTTTAAACAAGTACCAATGAAGGCTAAAACAAAGTCAGATATATCCAGGTTTAGATTGGCTTTATAACCTTTGTCATCTTAAGACATTCCAAGTGACCATATCTCTGTTCATGCCATCGGTCCAAGGAACCCTTGGTCTCTGAAGCAGTGGAAGTTTCTTTTGAGATTGCTTTATGTGAGTGATCACATTGTGAGTTGGATATAGCTTGAGTTCTCATTTGGCTATCTGAATTTTTAAAAAGACCCAAATAGAGACAAGAAAATAAACAAATAAAAGTGTCCTTTTTATTCCAGAACTTCCATTTCTGGAGTTTCTTTATCAAAAGAGAGAATAGGCATATTATTTTTGTTCAACTTTAGCAGATATAACAGTCAAGGAAGTCTCAACACAGTAGTCAGGCCAGTACAAAGGGAGTGTCAGGCCAATTGGGCACCTCGAGAGGTTCTCTCAAGGGTCTTAGCTCTATTTTTTACTGAGGGCTGTGGGCTAAGGACTGTGCCAAAGTTGGTGGCCACATGGTTTATACTAAATACACACCATAATTTTTTTAGTAAAGTTGACCTTCAACCTACCTTTGATTGGTACTCTCAATCACTTTAAGAACTTTATTAATTTTCATTTTATTTCTAATTACACCAATAGAAAATAAACATATTTTTCTTGTAAAAGATTCACACAATCCTAAAGTGCCTAGAGAAATACTCTCCTATACTCCATGTTGGTAGACAGAATAATGGCCCCTCACCCCTAAAGATGTTCACATCCTAATCCCTAAAGCTTGTAACTGTATTACTTAAATTATAGCTTTGTTGATGTCATTAAGTCAAGGATCTTGAGATAGAAAGATTATCCTGGAGTATCCATGTGGATGCAGTATAATCTCAAGGGTCCTTAGAGAAGGGAGGCAGGAGGGTCAGAGTCAGAAAAAGTGATTGGACAATCAAAGCAGAGGCTGGAGTGATGAAGGGGCCATAGTCACGGGATGCAGGTGGCCTCTAGAAGCTGGGAAAAGGTAAGAAAACAGATTCTCCACCAGAGCCTACAGAGAACACACAGCTGTATTGAACCATTTTGGAGTTCTGACTTCCAGAGCTGTAAGATACTAAATTTGTATTGTTTTAATGCACTAAGTTTGTGGTAATTTATAACAACTAAAAGAGAAAACTAATTAAAAAAACTACTGTTATTAATTTGCTGTTATCTTTGTATACATTTATTGTTTTATATGTATCTATACATATCCTTCTATAAATTTCTCCTTTCTGAAAATTTAAAGCATAAATATTTGCTTATAATTATGTAGTTAAGGGGAAAAACAAGTTAAATAATATGTATAGTATTATCTCATTTACATATTGTAAAAATACACTATATGTCTTAGAGATATTTTTATATAAATGCATATAGGTCCATTTCATTGTTTCAAAATTCTATTCTATAGAATGGAGATTCTGTAAGACATTTAAATATTCCTATGTAAATGGACTTTATGATTGTTTTCTTTTCTTTCTTTTTGCTATTACAAACAACACTAAAGTGAAAATCCTTAACATTTCTCTTTGGAAATGTGACTATGTGTTTTTGCCTGCCAACTATTAAGATTTTCTCTTTATCTTTGGTTTTTAGTTGTTGGACTATGATGTACCTAAATGTGATTTTCTTTGTATTTATTCTGCTTGAGTTGACATCTTTCAATAGTTTTGGAATAATGTCATATCTTTTCACATGCTGCTATTGCTTCTATTAATTTTTTTCTGGGTCTCTCCTTATCTGCTTTTTGACTAATCCAACATTTATGCTCTGATCTTTTCTTTCTATTTTTTTTCTTTCTGTGCTTTAGTTTCAATATTTTCTGCTGACTTGTCTTTGGATTTAATAATACCATATTCTTTCTTTTTTTGAAATTAAATATTATTTTTATTACTTTTTAGACGGAGTCTTGCTCTGTCACCCAGGCTGGAGTGCAATGGTATGATCTCAGCTCACTGCAACCTCCTTCTCCCAGGTTCAAGCTATTCTCCTGCCTCAGCCTCCCTAGTAGCTGAGATTACAGGCACCCACAATAAGTGATGTATAAAAGTTTATATATAAATTTAAAATCAGAGCAGTAATGTAGTAGTAATATGCTCTACCCAAGTTTGAGGATTTCTAGAAGTTTGCATTAAATACATAATTTAGTTATAAACTTCAATCAACAAGTTAATCAGGCTTTTAAAACACTGTGTTCTTTAATTTCCATTATAGTATTAAGTCCATCCAATGAGTTAATTTTAGATATTATTATATTTTTCATTTCTCTTATTCTTATTGGATTCTTTTGATAGCTTCTGAATCTCTGCCAAAATTCTTTGTCATTTCATCCACATTGTTCATATTTCCTTCTGTTATTTTAAACATATTAATTGTAGTTATTTTAAAGTCAGTGTTTGCTAATATCAATATCAAGGTCATCTATGGGTCTGTTTCTATTCTCTGTTTTTCTCTTGATAATTACAATACATGGAACCAGGTAGGAAAATGTGAGTCTCAATTTCTGGCTTATCCTAGATCCTTGGGCACGACTTTATTACAATTTTGGCAAGCCTTTGTCTCCTCAACCCTGAAAGAGTTGAAGAGATTCCTTCCAGCCTGAAATTTGAGTTCATCAGCTCCTTATTGCTTCCTAGAAATATAAACAGAATTTTTATAATTTATACAATTTTTAAATAGTTATTTTAGTGGGATAATTGGCCTGCCATGACCTACTACATTCTACTTGTAAATATAAGTTTTCTATTAATTAATATTTTCCAAGCATAAATAATGAAAGATGAAATTGCTGTGTACTTAAAATTATAGTGTTTGTTGGCAAATTACTCTCCCCCAAAGACAATAACTTTACACTTCTACCAATAGTGTGTAAGAGGATGTCTTTTTCCATAGAACTTTACCGACTCTGGGTAGCATCTATATTTAATATCTTTACCAGTCAGATCACTAAAATGTATTATCTCATTGTTTATTTTTTCAAAGATTGGTTGACCATATTTATTTGTGTCTATTTCTAGGCACTCCCTTCTGTTTTATTGACCTATGTGCCTGTTCTTTCACCAATACCACACTGTCTCAATTACGGTAGCTTTGTAGTAAGTCTCGAAATCAAGTAATATGATGCTTCTAACTTTTTTCTTTCTTTTTAGTTTTGCAGGATTTTGTCTTTCCATGTAAACTTTAGAATCAGTCTGTCAGTATCTATAAATAGCTTCCTGGGATTTTGTTTGGAATTGTATTAAATCTATAGATCAAATTGTTGAGAAATGACATCTTAACAATATTGAATTTTCCAGTAATATAGACTGAATGTTTTTGTCACCCCCAAATTCCTATGTTGAAGTTCTAACCCTCAGTGTGATGGTGCTAGGAAGTGGAAACTTTGGGAGGTAATTAGGTTATAAAGGTGGAGTCCTCATGAATGAGATAGTTCCATTATAAGACAAGACCAAAGAGAGCTTGATTACCCTCCCTGTTCTCTACCATGTGAAGGCACAGCAAGAAGATGGCCATCTGCAAATCAGAATGTTGGTCCTCAGAGACACCCCATCTGATAGCACCTTAATCTTGGACTGAGGCAGAAATTAAAGAATTAAAGGAAAATAAAATTTAAAAAGAAAAAGAAATAAGCTTTACTGTATTAGGCTGATTTATCCCAGAGGCAGGAACAGGCACAGCCCAGACCCAGGAAAAGCCTTGATAAACACTATCTAAGAAGCTAGGACACAAAGGAATGTGTTGTGGAGACTCTCCCAGCACTCCCTCAACATAAGGATAAGAAAAAGTAAAGTTCCCCCTAGAATCCCACCTCTCTCCATGTGATTGTACCTTACTCTGCAAGTTTTATGAGTTTATAGATTCCTGTTCTCTGTAACTAGTAACTTCAAGTATTCTGTTTTATCTGAGAAATACAGTGCAGGTCACAAGAAGCCTGAGCAAGCCTAGATAACAGCCATCTGGCTTGCTTGGCAATGGTCATATGTAATCCTGAGTTATGCACGTGTCACAATTTGATTCACTGCCTTTGTTATGCCACTGCATCCTTGCTTTCACGCCACTACACTTCATGCCATGGTAAGCTTGTTTTAGGCTCGCCCACCCCCTTTTAGAAGTGTATATAAAAGTCATGTGCTTTCTTTGTTCTGGGCCCAGTCTCAGGATGTTAATCCACTGGGTCTGAGTGCACTCAATAAAATCCTCATCCTTTACCCTGAGGTCTCTCTGGTCCCCCTGATTCCCACAATAGGACTTCCCAGCCTTCAGAACTGTGATAAATAAATGTTTGTTGTCTAAGGCACTGTGTCTATGGCAATTTGTTATAGCAGTCCAAACTGAATGAAGACATAATTCATGAACATAGAATATTTCTTCATTTATTTATATTTTCTTTATTTTGAACATTAATCCCTAAGTATTTTATTTATTTGGGGGCACTAATATAATGGTGTTGTCTTTTAATTTCAACTTTTAATTGGTCATTGCTGTTCTATAAAAAAGGAATTGGACTTTTTGTATATTAACCACTCTCTATACTGCAATGTCTCTATACTTGCTTCTTAGTTCCAGGAGGAGTCTCTTTTCTGTCAAATTTTTGACTTTTACACAGACAACAATGTTTTTTGTTTTTATTTTTTCTTTTTCAATCCATATGACTTTTGTTTCTTTTTCTTGACTTATTGCACTAGCTAAGACTTGCAGTATGATGTTGAAAGAGAGTAATAAGAGAGGACAATCTTGCTTTGTTCTCAACCTTAAGGGTAAAAGCAACCACTTTGTCACCACTAAGCCTGGTGTCCACTGTAGATTTTTTGTAGGTGTTCTTTATCAAGTTGGGAAGACTCCCCCACTATCTCTAATTTGCTGAAAATAATGATCATGAATGAGTGTTGTATTTTTCAATATTTTTGTGTCTCAATTGATATAATTATATGAGTTTTCTTTTTTAGCCTATTGATGTGCTGTCTTACATTGATTTTCAAATGTTGAACCAGCCTTATACACCTTTAGTAAATCATACTCAGTTGTGGTATTCTTTTTATACATTGTTAAATTTAATTTGCTAATATTTATTGAGGATTTGTGCATGATGCTCAGAAGAGATATTGATCTGTAGTTTTCTTTCTTAGAATTTCTTTGTCTAGTTTTGGTATGAGGACAGTGCTGTACTCATATGATGAGTTAGGAAGTATTCCCTCTGCTTCTATTTTCTTGAATAGATTTGGTATCATTTCTTCCTTAAGTATTAGAATTCACCAGTAAAACCATCTGGGCCAGTGTTTTCTTTTTTAAGGTTATTAGTTGTTGATTCAGTTAATAGATACATGCCTATTTAATTTATCTCTTTCTCATTTTGTGAGGTAGTAGTTTGTGTCTTTCAAGAAATTGGTTCAGGCCAGGCACAGTGGCTCACGCCTGTAATTCCAGCACTTTGGGATGGTGAGGATGGCACATCACTTGAGGTCAGGAGTTCAAGACCAGCCTGGCCAACATGGCAAAACCCTGTCTCCACTAAAAAAAAAATTAGCTGGGTGTGGTGGCATGCACCTGTGGTCCCAGCTACTTGGGAGGCTGAGGTAGGATAATCACTTGAACCCAGGAGGCAAAGGTTGCAGTGAGCCAAGGTCACACCACTGCACTCCAGCCTGGGTAACAAAGCACAACTCCATCTCAAAAAAAAGGGCTCATTTATTCTAAGTTATGAAATTTGTGAGTTGTTCAAATAGGAAGTCACATTTTTGCCCCAGTTAATTTTCAGTTGATGTTTAACTATTTTCTAGTCTACATGCATACCTTTTGTCTTTAAAAATTTTACTTTTTAAAAATATATTCAACTAATCATCATCAAAAAGAATAGGATTTGAGAAAATACTGATACAGTGGTGGAAGACAAAGAAACTATTCAGCAAAGATATTCAAAGTCCAAAGTGGTGTGAGTTTGATAAAGGAAATTCTTATTAGGATAAAATCCTACATTTGGAAATTAGCCAGTTTTTGCCCATAATCTTCTCTGTCTCTTTTGTTCTCTGTTAAACAGATAAAAAAAATTCCCTTTATTTAGAATATTTTTGAAAGTTCAGGGCATAAGAAGTGTGTCATGTTAATAACCTAGTTGTTTTACAAGCTGTAAATTTAGCTTGGATTAGCTACTGTTCTGAACTCGTACAGAATATCAATGAAAAATGCAAATAAACCTAAATGCACAAGCAGTGCACTTATTGTCATATTCACTCAGCTTTTGTTTTTGACATCTCTGTGGCTGCTCTGTGAACTCTGTCTTATCCTGGGAAACCATTTGTGAAGTTTTTATTTGGCATAAAGTAACTTACAAAACTACTCATCAAGAAAGAACTTAGGCCAGAGGGAATTTGGTTTGGTGGAATATGAGATAAAGGCATTTATTCCTTGCTTTTGAGTATACTGTCATCCTCCTTTCATACCTGCTTACCTCCACTCCTGGATCTATAAAACAAGTTTAAAAAATGAATGAAGAAGTTTATAAATATTATCAACAAGAAATAATAGCTAATATTTGTTGAGTATGTACCAGGCTTTGTGACATGTACTTTATGTGTTATTTGATATTCACAACAACATTTAGGCAGATTGTGTATTATTATCTATTTTATAAATTGTGAAAATAAATAACGGATGAAGTAGTTAAATTATTCAGAGTCACACAGCTAGAAAATGGTTGACTAGGATGAATATTAGTCTCTTATAGTTGTACTTGATTGCAAAAATGACTCTAACCCATCTTTTCTCTGTATCCACAGCCCCTGCATTGAGACTTCGAAGCTTGGCTCATCATGGGGTAGAGTCTGTTTTTCCACTGTGAATCAAGTCTTGCTATGTGGCTTGCTTTGGCTAATAGAATGTGATAAATGTGACTATATGTCACTTCAAGCTTAGGCTGCAAGAGGCATTGCACATTTTCAACTCATGCTTTTGGGACCCTACCTCTGCCATGAGAAAAAGCCAAGGCTGGCTAACGAGAAGGGAAATGTCCATATAAAAGCAAGTTCAGTTGTTCCATTTAAAGTCATCCTAAACCATGTATATTATAAGATCTCAGTCAAATAGCACCACCCATGTAAAGTTCAACTGATCTCAGAAGTGTCATGAAGCACATTACAGACCAAACTTCCAAGCTGACCCTTAGATGCATAAGCAATAGTAAATGCTTATTCAAAGCCACTGATATTTGGGGAGGTTTGTTACCCAGCAATAGCTAACTGATGCAACAGACTTTTTAAGATAGTGTTATTACTTAGGGGTGAGTAAAGGTGAAACAGATTGTATTTCTCAAGATAATCTCATAAATTATCACAGATAGATAGTTCCAGAGTAAACATCTCTCTGGCTTTGCATTTTTTGTAACCATCCACAAATCCGAATTGTATGGTCTTTAGGGAGTAAATTGTGTATACGCTATTAGAGCCATACTTGGATAAAATAAAGCCTTTAAGTTGTTTGACTTAATTTTGAGGATTGTCGTAATATTTAATCAGACGCTTAGGTTTCGTATGCTTTTTTCAGTTTCTACTTCATGTTACATTTAAAACTAAAAGAACGGCTGGGCGCTGTGGCTCATGCCTGTAACCCCAGGGCTTTAGGAGACCAAGGTGGGTGGATCACCTGAGGTCAGGAGTTTGAGACTACTAGCCTGGCCAACATGGTGAAACCCCGTCTCTACTGAAAATATAAAAATTGGCTGGGTGTGGTGGCGGGTGCCTGTAATCCAGCTACTCAGGAGGCTGAAGCAGGAGAATTGCTTGAATTCGGGAGGCAGAGGTTGCAGTGAGCTGAGATCGTACCACCGCACTCCAGCCTGGGTATGACAGAGCGAGACTCCATCTCAAAAGCAAACAAACAAACAAACCCCCCAAAAACCTCAAAGAACTCTTTAAGTTGACAGTGAATATATGGTGCTAACATTTGAACTACATTCCCGAACCCTGGAAGTTTGAATTCTTACTATTTATTTCGAATTACTTACAGCCATTAGGTAGAAAATCTTACAGACACAGGGAATATTTAGTTGCAAGGAACAGAAACTCAATTAGATTAGCTTATGAGAAGCTGAGTTACCTTAAAGATGCAGTAGATACTTAAAAACCCAATTTTAGGGAAGAATTAGCAAAACATTAGGTTGTCTGTCTGTCTCTCTAAGTCTCTGTTTCTTTCTCTCACTTGAGATATGTGGGCTCCTGCAGTTGCCACGTATCTGGTGAATTCTCTCTGTGCAAGTTTCTTTCAGGCCTTTAAAGCAGATCCTATAGTGGATTCTCTGGTATATCACCCAGACCCTTCTTTCAGAACCGAGGCATTCTTTTTTCAGCTCCTGAGAGTGTTAGTGATTGATGGCTCTTAGTTGGATTGCTCTCTGGAAAGTTCCTTTGGCTAAAGAGAACCTCCTTGTCCTGGAAGTAGCCTGAATTCATAGACTTATCAAGGAGGTATAAAACTTGACTCTCTTTTATCAAGGTGGGAAACTGAATAACCTAGAGCTTTCAGCATGGAATAGGGCTGATAGCAGAAAAAGGCTCTGTAGAGGTCCAGACTGCAGTGCAATTGGTCCTGCTGCTTAGACATATGACCTGAAAGGCCAAATGGCATTGGAAGTATCTGATGGGGAAAGATGCAGAGTGCAGTTTATGGCAAACTCCAGTAGGAAGATAATGCAGAGCCCTAGGTTTCTGGAGTGCAGCCATGCCATCTGTAGCAGATAATTGCATGTCATTTTAAAAGCAGCTCTTGGCATTCTAGTGGCTTTTGTAGAGATGGAGTCCCTGACCATGGAATATCAAGTGACCATGTGTCCAGGGCTACCCAAAATGATGTAGGACCTACCAGGTCCAGCAGCAATGCATGGAAAGGTGTACATGGCACATCTGGTATTGGGAAGAAACAAGGCTGGAGAGCACAAATCAGCTCCATGAACAGGTGATCCAGAACCCCATGTAATTCACCAGGGCTGTACGATTGCTTATCCATTGGTACACACATGAGGCCACATGAGGGTTCCCTTATGACCACCTGAAAAAGAATGAAAGGGACCACATTTGTTTCATGGATGTGTTGGCTCGGTGTGTGAGATCAAAAGCTGTTGCACACTCAGGGATGTCCCAGAAAAGAGCAGAGAAGAGAAATCCTCCCAATGGCAGACCTTTAGGCAGTGCTCCCAGCCATACACTGTGTGTGAAAAGAGATGAGCCCTAAGAATAGAATGTAGACTCACAGGCTATGGGGGTTGCTCAGATGATTGGTTGGGGGCCTAAAAAAAGAAAGGGCTTTGGAAGAATGGGATCAAGATGATTTGAGGAAATAGCATGCGGATGGAACCATGTGAGAAGGCACAAGGTGTGAACCTCTTTGTATTGTATTCCAATGCCCACCAGAGAGCAACCACCAGAGAAAAAGCACTAAATAATCAAGGAGACAGAATAACTCGACTAGCTGATTGTGGCCAGTATCTATCATTGGCCAGCCAGTGCTGGCACAGCAAGTGGATGATGCAGCAGCTATGGCAGCAGGGATGGAAGATGTGCATGGCCCAGTAGCAAGGACTTTTCAATCACCAAGGCTTGTCTAGCTGCTGCTACTGCTGGATATCCAACCTGCCAGCCACAGAATGTGTGCCAAGCATGTGATAGGACACTATTCCCTAAGGAGTCTAGTCAGTCACTTGGTGGCAAATTGATTACATCAATCTCCTTTCCACTCGCAAGGCACAACGCTTCCTCTTGAGTCGTGTCAATACTTATTCCAGCTGAGTTTTCCTGTCCTGCTCGCAGGGCCTCTGCCAGTACCATGTTCCAAGACTCTACAGTATTTGATCTATCTGCACAGAATCTGGCATAAAATTGTGTTGGATCACTTTACAGTAAAGGAAATGTGGCCGTGAGCACACGGGTCCTGCCACTTCGTGGCGACTCTGAAGCAGCCAGCCTGAGCAACAGAATGGCCTTTTGGAGGTGCAACTGAGGCAAAGCTTGGAGATGCTTTCCGAAGAGGATGCAGTGCCATCCTCTAGGTTCTAACACACAGCCCCAGTCAAGTTGGTTATATGATTCTGTGTCCCCAGTAGGTAGAAAATGCAAATTTTTGGAACCCTGTGGTAGAAGGATAAGTGGCCCTATTTGCCATCATTTCCAATGATCTGCACACAAAAAATTCTGGTTTCATACTACCTACTTTGAATTCCTCCTGAGAGTTAAGGGCCTCCATATATACATATATATTTTATCCAGGGCACCTCACTTACCACATCCTGGCCCCAGTCCTGGTCTACATACTCACACAGCTCATACTTTTACTGTTAACTGACTCATACTCTGTTTTCCAGTTCTGAATTCCCAAGACCATAAGATTGAGGTGGGGTAGTATCTATCAGGAGCCAGAAAAACCTGGTTCCATTCTCAGCTTTCCACACGAATTGTTGGCTCTTGGACTTGCTTCTTAGTTCTTCGGACAATAGTTAATTTTCTCTAAAATGAAAGTAATTCTCATTCTTAGAGTGTAGGTTTGCTAAGAGGAATTAAATGAGGTAATACATATAACAACCTTATCACAGTGCCAGGCCCAATATGTACTCAGAAATTGTTATGTTTTATTTTTATTGTTATTACCAGTACATCAATTACCACAACTACTACCACTACATCCACATCTTTGGGTTACTGGGAGAATAGAGTGGGATTTTATGTACACCTGGCACTTAGTAGGTGCTTGATAGTTGGTAGTTATCAAATTCAACACAAATGTTTTATAAAAGGTAGCTCATCAAACTTATTGGCAACATTGTCTGTTTTACAATGTTGAGTACCGGACCTTCATACACAGATTTGTAGTATTTCTTCTTTGACCCACTGTTATCATTGTCACAATAGTCACTGTTCTTGGAGCACTTTATGTGTGTTGAGTACTCTATGGTATTACCTCATTTCGTTCTGACACCAATGGCAAAGCAGGTACTACAATTATCCCCATTTTACAGTTGAGGAAGCTAAGATAGAGGTTGAGATTAAGTTTAAACATAAACAGTTC
Source organism: Homo sapiens (assembly GCF_000001405.40). NCBI lineage: Eukaryota > Metazoa > Chordata > Mammalia > Primates > Hominidae > Homo > Homo sapiens. Next base: position 56,025,589 of record NC_000020.11, on the reverse strand, counting down.
CTCCAGTGCCTGTGCATTTAACCACTGTGCTATGCTGTCTTTGCTGTCTGCATGATGAGTTCATTGCCATGGATTTTTTATTAAGCATTGGCCCTGGGCAAAGAGGAGGGAAGAACCTTAGCATGGCTGGGGCAATATGGGAAGAAGGAGAGCTCTTAGGCTAGGTCCAGAAGATGACTATAACTTTTCTAAATTCTGAATCTTAACAACAGATGATTAACCCAGTATTGTACACAAGACTCTTGCCAAGTTTAAATTGGCTATAAACTTTTCAATTTCAATGTAAACCCTCCATCATTCTATTTTTTATACAATTCATTTGACAACTCGGCCAAATGAACCCTTCTGTGCTTTTGGTGTGGTTTACTTTGTTCTGAAAGGAGAGGATGTGATGAGAAAGCCACAAAAGTTATTACCAAAAGTAATAAGAAGTAAAAAGATAATTACAAATTTATATTAAATCTCTCTGATCCATATTTTATTAGTTGCTAGATTGCATAAATCAGGGACAGAGTGATTACCAGGAGTGTCTCTTACATTTTGAGACCTCAGATTTTAACTTTGAGTTGGAAAAGCTTTTCATTCCTGAAAAAAATGTAAACGGTCACCTCAATGAATTGTTTCAACAGTCAAATATGGATTGTACAGGTTCTGTGTCTTAATGAAGTGGCAGGACTGTGCTCTGATAAAATTTCATGGCATATTTGACCTTCCAATCATAAATTACTGCCATTTTCTTAGATGCTTTAGAAAAAGTCATTATGGGAACAAAATGGTCTCAAGTAATGTCTAGAACTTTCCACCTCGCTCCACATTTCTGTAATTTCTTATTTAGTGGTGAAATCTACAAAATGCTTAAGCTTGAAGGGACCCGCAGACCTTTATTGATAAAGAAATTGAGGTTTAGAGATGTACAATGATTTTCTGTTCACACAGTCACAGTCTCATTTATTCATTGATTCATTCACTCATTCAGAAACATTCTTGTCTACCACATGCCAGCACTTGTACTGTGCCCTACGGATCAATATGGAACAAAACAGACCTGACCCCGACTTCATGGAAATTGTTGACTAATAGGGGAAACTGAAGATAAACAATCATATGATGAACAGATGGAATTTATATAGTAAGTCCTATGATTAAAAAGTACAGGACTGGTGGGTGCCTGTAGTCCCAGCTACTCAGGAGGCTGAGGCAGGAGAATGGCATGAACCTGGGAGGCGGAGCTTGCAGTGAGCTGAGATCACGCCACTGCACTCCAGCCTGGGCAACAGAGCGAGACTCCGTCTCAAAAAAAAAAAAAAAAAAAGTATAGGACTAACATATAATATCTACCTCAACTAAAAGGGTGAGGAAAGATTTTTAAACTGAATTCTAGAGCTGCACCATCCAATATGGCAGCCAGATGTGGGTGTTTATTTATTATTATTATTATTTGAGATAGAGTCTTGCTCTGTCGCCCAGGCTGGAGTGCATTGGCACTATCTCAGCTCACTGCAACCTCTGCCTCCAAGGTTCAAGTGATTCTCCTGCCTCAGCCTCCCAAGTAGCTGGGATTACAGGCATGTGACACCATGCCCACCTAACTTTTATATTTTTAGTAGAAACTGGGTTTCACCATGTTGGCCAGGCTGGTCTCAAACTCCTGACATCAGGTGATCCGCCCACCTCGGCCTCCCAAAGTGCTTGGATTACAGGCATGAGCCACTGTGCCTGGCCTTTATTTGTTTAATTTTATTTTAAGCTCGGGGTCCTTGTACAGGTTTGTTATATAGGTAAACTCATGTCGTAGGGGTTTGTTGTACAGATTATTTTGTCACTGAGGTATTAAGCCTAGTACCTATTAGTTATCTTTCCTGATCCTCTCCCTCCTCACCCTCTTCACCCTCCAGTAGGCCCCAGTGTCTGCTGTTCCCAACTGTGTGTCTGTGTGTTCTCATCAGTTAGCTCCCACTTATAAGTGAACACATGTGGTATTTGGTGCCTGCATTACTTTGCTAAGGATAATGGCCTCCAGCTCCATCTGTGTTCCTGCAAAGGATATGATCTTATTCTTTTTTATGGCTACATGGTATTCCATGGCATATATGTACCACATTTTCTTTATCTAGGCTTCCTTTGATGGGCATTTAGGTTGATTCCATGTCTTTGCTATTGTGAATAGTGCTGCAATGAACATTCATGTTCATGTGTCTTTATGGTAGAATGATGTATATTCCTGGTTATATACCCAGTAATGGGATTGCTGGGCCGAGTGGTAGTTCTATTTTCAGGTCTCTGAGGAATTGCCATATTGCTCTCCACAATAGTGTTGAACTAATTTATATTCCCACCAACCATGTATAAGCATTCCCTTTTCTGTGCAACGTCACCAACATCTGCTGTTTTTTTGACTTTTTAGCAATAGCCATTCCGACTGGTGCGAGACGGTATCTCATTGTGGTTTTGATTTGCATTTCTCTAATGATCAGTGATGTTGAGCTTTTTAAAGTATGCTTATTGGTATTGACATTTACTAAAGTGAAATAAACTTTTAAATTCCAGTACTTCATCACACTAGACACATCTCAAGTCCTCAGTAGCCACTGTTGGCTTCTGGCTGCTGTATTGGGTGAGGCAGATCTAGAGCATTCCCATCATCCCAGAAAGTTCTGCTGGACAGCAGCCCTGTGAAGAATGAAGGTGATTTAACTACATGAGGCGGGAGATGGCTAGGATGAGGAATTATTTCATGTGAAGTTCCTGTGGCAACAAGGGACATGGCTCACGTGGGGACCTCAGGGAAGGCCACATGTGACTGAAGGGCCATGTGGTTCAGCACAAGAATGGAGAGGAGGGCAGGAGCCAGCTCTGCAAAGCCTTGGAGAGGTGGGGCCAGGGCTTTCTTCTAAAAGAAATGGGAACTGTGGCATGGTTCTGCACAGGGTAAGAGCACGATAGTATTTGGTTTTTAAAACACACTCTTTGTTGACAATGAGAACAGACTTCAGGAGGCCAGAGTGCGGGGCATGCTGTGATACCTGATAGTTGCTAAATAAATAAAGGGCAAATGTTGACTATGTAGCTTGAATGAATGGATGCTCTAAAGTGAATTATGTGGGCCCCAAACCAATCACATCTCTGTTTTAATAAACATTGTCATTTCATTTTCATTAATTCAATGTACATTATGTGTCTACCGAAATGAAAATATCTCCAGAATGTTAGCAACATATACAATAAAGTACTTGGTAGAGGTGGGACTTTACTTATTCATAAAGTTGGAGAACCAATGATTAAAAAGTGAGGTATACATTTTTTTCTAGTGACAGAAGCCTTTATTACTCCTTTGGAAGACTCCTTCTTTATATCTTGAAAAATAGTAGATTGAGCTCTTTCATTACACAAATGAAAAACAAACACTGAACCATTGTTCTGGAATGAGGGTTTCATGGAACGTGTGGACTTCATTGTCACTGCAACTTTGAGGTTTATGGGGAGGTGTTACAGCAATATGCCTAAGACCATGGGGGCATTCTGAGAGGATATTCATAAAAACATTTGCCCATTTGACTCCTTTACTTGTAGTTTAAAATTATTGAAACATTTGCCATAATGCTGTGTGGCCTTGATCAAGACTGGGTGGTAGATAGGACAAAAGGTCCCATAGATAAAATTCACATTAGAAAAGAGGGAATTTGAAATGGTGACCTTGACCTGACTCAAACCTAAGTTTTGGGGATGTTAAGTGGATGATAGTGAAACTCTTTTTGACCCTGTGTCTTAGGAGGAAATAGCTCTGTGTATCTAAGCAGAAAGAACAGATGAATGAGTTGAGTTTGAGGGTCTGGGCTGTTTTTGGTAAGGTATATTCATGGCTATAGTAAGAACTACAAGAAAGGTGCCTGCTCCTCTGCACCCTGAGGAACCAGCATGAGGATCAACCACAATGGCAGTAACAGGAGAAGAGCAAGATTCCATCAAAAGCACTGGTTCTTGGGTAACAGTTGCCAAAGCCCTGGGCTTTTGGCTATCTGGACTGTCCAACTGTGGAAGCGTTTTCCACAACAAGCTTGTCCACAGAATGGACCCTTCAAACTGGACAAATCCTCCTAGAATTCCTGAACATACCATAGAGGGACCTCCAAGGGAAAGAGAGAAAGAATAGACTTTCTTCTCATCTAACTATGTGGGAGTTTGATATTAAATAACATACAGCCTTGGGATATACAGGTGATACATGCATTTGTAGAGCATGTTGCAATTTATAAATTATTGGTACAAGTCTCTTATACAACCACTCGATGAATTCCATGTGAGAGATTCAGATTCAATTTTCCATGTGTCAAACACTGAGCTTCTTGTGATAGGGAGGAGATACAGATGTGATGAAGAGGGCCTCAGCAGTGCTCCTGGGTTAGCCAGGAAGACCCAAGAGATAACTCAAACCTGGGGCAGAATGTGCTGAGTGCAGTAGAAGAGGTGCTTGCAGTTGCTGTCAGCCAGTGGAGTAGGAGAGATGAATTCTGGCTGAAGGAATCAAGAAAACCACCTCGAGGCCGGGCACAGTGGCTCATGCCTGTAATCCCAGCACTTTGGGAGACTGAGGTGGGTGGATCACCTGAGGTTAGGAGTTTGAGACCACCCTGGCCAACATGGTGAAACCCTGTCTCTACTAAAAATACAAAAATTAACCAGGCGTAGTGGTGGGTTCCTGTAGTCCCAGCTACTCAGGAGGCTGAGGCAGGAGACTCGCTTAAACCAGGGAGGTGGAGGTTGCAGTGAGCTGAAATCGCACCACTGCACTCCAGCCTGGGCCAAAGAAAACCGCAGCAAGTTAAGTCCAGCTTAATGTGGCTCCTCTGAGCTAACACTTAAGTCCCCAAAGCATGTTCTGGGATCTGAGTGAATACCATGCCCAAGTTTCAATACTCTCCATTCCTGGAGTCATTTCTCACCTGCCTGTCACAAAGATCTTCTCCCCTTATGAATGGACTACGTTTGTTGCCCTATTCTCCCATTGAATCCCTGATCTTGTATTGAAGCCATGCCCTGTGATCCTTCTTCCATGACCTTAGCTTCCCTTATTAAGGTCAAGTTTGCTTTCTAACCTGAGCAGGATTCTTCAGACTTTCTTGGGCAACAACTCCTGAGTGGCTCCTGGAATCTTTCATTCTCAGTTCTAAAGTCCATTTCCCAAGATAACTTCTCCTCCTTGCTTATTCTCACTGCCTACCTTTTCCTGCCACCACCTTGAGGGCAGAGGCTTGGACGGTTTTTAAGTTGGGACTTAAAAGACATTTACATTTTAGCAGAGATCTGGCTTAGGACACTTACCATCATGCAGATTTATACTTGTGCACTACACTCTACAACACAACAGGCAGAACAGCCAAGAGATTCTTCCTTAAGTGATTTACGGTCTGGGGTGCCAATTTCTAGGATCTATTAACTAGTTCATCCATTCATTCCACAAAACATATTGAATTTTTCTTATGTACTAGGCACCATGCTGGGTATAGGAATTATACGTCTGAACAAGTCTGTTATGATCATAGGTCTCATGGAGTTTATAAACTATCAGAAAAGACAACATATTGGTTAATGGTAATTGTGATAACTAACAAAAAAATAGTGTGTCTAGGAGGTGAGGGCATGCCAGGACATTCTGGGTGAGGACTCGACGACGGAGTGGTGTTCAGGCAGCCCTGAAGAAATACAGGAGTGAGCCAAGGTGGGGATAAGGGTGGGGAGGAATCATTTTAGGCGGAGGAATCTGCATGCCCAGGCCTGAGATGGAAACAGTCAAGGCTAAATGTGAAGGGCTACACTTGAATTCTGTGGCTAGAGCGAGGCTAGCAGAAAACAAAGAGGAGGCTGGACTGTGTGCTGCTGAGGCTGGGGCGGAAGGCGAGGCGGACGTCATAGAACAGTAAGGACTTTGGGTTTGATGGGAATGGGAAACTAATGAGCCTTTTCACCAGGGGAATGATATGGTCATCTTTGAATTTAAAAAAATCATTCTGGCCTCAGTGAGAGATTGGAAAAGAAGAGGGTCCCTGGATTCAGAGTGACTGGTTAGAAAATGCTTCAGGACCTCGGTGGGAGACGATGGTGATTAGACCAGAGTGATGGTGGTGAAGATGCTGTGGAAGTGGAAGCTGTCAGATTTCTAAAAGAAATTCTGGGAGGTCATTAGCGAAGAACTCCCACTTCTAGATAAGGCAGATCTTGTGTGTTTCTGCCGACTTCTCAATATAGAATTATAGACTGTGTTGCAAAAATATTATACTGATGCCTTATTGGTTGCCAAGAAAGTTACAATTTCAGAACTTTCTGACCAAAGGGAAATAAAGGAAAGGAAACTTCAAGCACTTGAGAGGAAGGAGATGTTCAAGGCGATGAAGCAAGTATTGAAAACCCAGGAAAGGGAATCAGGAGGGGAAACTACAAGAGCAATAAAGCTTTATGACACTTCTCTTTTCCATGTTTCATCTATCAAACAAGATCTCCTTAGCCTAGGACCAAAGCAAAATGACTTCTGTAGATCCTTTTTATGAAGACATTTCCAAACATTTCCTTTGGAAAAAGCCTTCTAATGCAAATCTGCAGTCAAGAGGATGAGCATATGCTGGCTTTTTCCAGCACGTGTGTGTGAGTGTGTGTATGTGTGTGTATGTGTACAAACACATGCATGCTCACACAGATGCAGATCCAACAGTTTGCACAGAACTTGAGAATAACTTCTGTTATTTTTTTTGTTTGGAATGACAGTGTTTCCATAGCAATGTGGACTTGTGTTTTTGAGAGGCTATTTTAACGGGGCTTTGGCAAGCCAAGTACAATCACTACTTGCACATGAATCTGGCTTCTTTGGCACTAGCTTGTTATTAAGGAAATTTTAGGAACACTGGATTGGTGGGCTTTGGGATAAAACCTTTAAGTCCCATCTACGTCACGCATCTGTGATGAAACACATCCTGCCTTCCTTTCAGTATTTGTAGCTTAGCTGCCTCTCTGTGCCTGCCCAATCCGGACCACAGAACTGGAGGTACTAGTAGCATATATTTAATTTTTTTGGTCAACCATGTGGGCAACAAAAGTACTTGCTGGGCTTGTTATTGTTTACATTTTACTATTTAAACTGTCTTCACGAAAGGCATTTGTTCCCAGCTCATTTGGTCCAAAGTCCCCATTTGGTTGCCTGAAAAAGTCACTTTGAACCTTCACAGTCCTTTCGTGTCACTACATCAAATCAGACTGGCTTCTTTATTCATGCTTTCTTGTGAGCTAAATCAAGCCATGCTTTTGGTTAGAGCTGAGAATATTAAAAAGTGATTAGGCAAATGCCCATTTTATGCTGATTCACCTTACCAAAATTCAGAAAATTCATTTGTCCCTGTATTTTTTCAGTTTTCTTTTCAAAACAAAACACACCCCTTTAGGCTAGAAGTTTTGATTGCAAGGGGAAGAAATCCAACTTGAACCACTTCAAATATAAAAAGGATGTATGGGCTCCCTTTTGGCAAAGTCCAGATATGGAGGGGGCTTTGTCTATGAGTGGGCAAAGGCATTGTAAGAAAAGTATCACCTTTATCTCTCTGTTTCTTATCCATCCTTCTTTATCTTGGCATCATTCTCTAATACTCCTGACAAAGAAAATTATATCTGCTGGCCTGAATTTCTGCCCTGAAGGCAAAGGCAGGATCTGTTCTCTTCTGCCTCTAAATATAAAATCCTACTAGAATAACTTTGACTGGTTTTGCTTGAGTGATGTGCTCGCCTCTAGATCAACCACCATGACCAGAAGATGGGGCAATATGACTTGGCTAGGCCAGGATCACATGCTCATTCCTGGGACCAGGAAGAGGGTACTATGATCAACATTGTCCCTGTCAGTCATGAGACTTGAGTGAAACGGGAGTAGCTTTTCAATGGAGAGACATGTGCTTGCATGCAGAAACAAGATGTCCATTGTACTAAGAAACCTTAATTTTTATCCAAGGAGCCATCCACATCTTCAAAATGGAAAGATTTCCACACCAAAGAAGCTTTAAAATACAGATCCCAGGACCTCCTTAGAATGTTTAATTCAGTAGGTCTGGGCTTATAACTTTTTAAATGCTTCCTTGGTTGTCCTAATAAAGAACCTACTTTGGGAACCACTGGTGGTAGCAGGATGTACTAGTAAAAGAAGAAGGATGTAATGGTATGAGAATAATATAGAGCCTTAAAAGAAAGATTAAATTGAACTAAGTGTACTTTCATTATGAATTTTTTTTTTTTGAGGCAGAGTCTGGCTCTATCACCCAGGCTGGAGTGCAATGGCACGATCTCGGCTCACGGCAACCTCCACCTCCCAGGTTCAAGCGATTCTCCTGCCTCAGCCTCCCAAATAGCTGGGATTACAGGCTCTTGCCATCATGCCTGGCTAATTTTTGTATTTTTAGTAGAGGTGGGGTTTCACCATGTTGGCCAGGCTGGTCTCAAACTCCTGACCTCAGGTGATCTGCCCACCTTGGCCTCCCAAAGTGCTGGGATTACAGGCGTGAGCCACTGCGCCCAGCCTTTCATTATGCAATATTTAGTTGCAATCTAATTCTACAGAAATCATAGTCTATTTTTGGTAGATATTGTCAGATTCTTCCTATGTTAATGGGGAGGTAGAAGGGGAAACAGGCTTGAGAAAAAAAAAAAACAGAGCCCTGTCTGAAGAGGGGTACCACAGAAGTACAAATAAAGATATGCAGTGAAGATGGACATTACTTTTTGGCCACCAGCATCAGAAGCCCTTTCTATGTTTGGGGAATTATGCATCTGTTGAGTCTTGGTGAGAGGAAGAATGACCTTCCATTTTATCAGCTGAAAATGCCAGGAACACACTTTTCAAACCCTGTCTTGCAGCTGTCACTTAGATATAGGTCTCACTGATGGGATGCACCATCCTAAGACTTCAACTTGTGAGGTTGTGACATGAAGCAAGGCCTGTGGTTAGGAGAAAGCAAGCATCATAAATTGAAGCAGGAAAACCAGATGATTTGGGTGCTTCCCTGAGACAGAGGCACTATCTGAGGCTGGAGATTTGACATAATTCCAAATATTTTGATTGGCTGGGTGGGTTTGACCAGGAGGGTATGGGCAGTTGTGGTAGTTTGCTATTAACTTACGGTGTTTCCCATTCAGACCATCCTAGTACCCAGCAATTTTCTATTAAAGCTTTAAGGTATCTGATAGGGTTTGGCTGTGTCCCCACCTAAATCACATCTTGAATTGTAGTGCTCATAATCCCTACATATTGTGGGAGGTCATTGAATTGTGGGGGTGGGTCTTTCCCATGCTGTTCTCATGATAGTGAATAAGTCTAATGAGATCTCATGGTTTTATAAAGGGCAGTTCCCCTGCAAACACTCTCTTGCCTGCCACCATGTAAGACGTGCCTTTGCTCCTCTTTTGCCTTCCACCATGATTGTGAAGCCTTCCCAGCCGTGTGGAACTGTGAGTCCATTAAACCTCTTTTTCTTTATAAATTACCCAGTCTTGGCTATTTCTTCATAGCAGTATGAAAATGGATTAATACAGTATCTGAGTTATTGTAAAATGTAGAGCTCAGGCTGGGAGCAGTGGCTTATGCCTGTAATTGCAGCACTTTGGGAGGCCAAGGCAATTGGATCACTTGAGGTCAGGAGTTTGAGACCGGCCTGGCCAACATGGTGAAACCCCGTCTCTACTAAAAATACAAAAATCAGCTGGGCATGGTGGTGCACGCCTGTAGTCCCAGCTACTCGGGAGGCTGAGGCGGAGGACAACTTGAACTTGGGAGACAGAGGTTGTAGTGAGCTGAGATCATGCCACTGCTCTCCAACCTGGGTGACAGAGTGAGATTCTGTCTCAAAAAAAGAAAAAAAATAGAGAGCTTAAATGAGACCTAGAAAAGTTACTACAAAGAAATCTCTCTGTTACAGGTCTCCTGAAATGCTCTTTAAAAGTAAAATCAAGTCCTAAAGTGGTGGTAAACTGGCAGTCCTAGAGCTATATGTAGCCCCAAATCATGTTTAAGGTAGCCCACAAAAATTTTTGAATTAGTTGCTGACATCTAAAAGTTGGCAAACAATCTGAATTTATTTTCCTATTGAAAAGCCAAGTATCTGGCATTACCGGATTCACACTGTTCAGGGTGTAACAGCAGCCGCCTGCTGGAGGTGAGGCAGAGATGCTTGCTCCATCTTTTCACAGTTGTCTTCTACTAGTGTCTCCTGTTTGGCCTCATTATCCATCTGGACTCTTACTTGCAAGCAGCAAAAGTCGACTGACAAATTTCAGTAGAAAGGGAATTTATTTAAGTGTATTCTGTGGTTCAAGAGTATCTTAGAGCATTGGAGAACTGGGTTGCAGTGAAGCAGACAGGAATGACACCCCAGCTCCTGCTGCAGCACCAGGTTCACCAAGACGGATGGTTTGGCTGCGTAGCACAGACCTCACAGCCTGCTGCACCCGTATCACTCACCCTGGATGCTTGATGCTGGTGCCTGTCCCAGACCACGAAACCTGCTGCCACCTTCCCTAGCAAGGTTTCTGTGAGGTTCCTGCCACCTCTCAGGCCTCTAATTCAACCTCTGGGGTGGTTGTGTCCAATTTGCAGAGCTTGGGTCATGTGCTTGTCCTCTTATGGCAAGAGAAGCTGGAAAATGAGTATCTGGTACTTGATGCTTCTTTAGTGAGAGATGGGCTCTGTCTAATGAGCAGGAAGAATCTGCAGACGTAGGAAGGAGTTTCTGACATTGGGTGACCAAAAGGATAGCAGATGCCCACCATAGTCCCCAATGGCATTTGAGTTTGCTATGCTCACCCAGTACATACTAAGTCCTAATTAAATATCAGTTGGAGTGTAAAACTGGGAACTGTAGGGAGAAAAATAGGAAGGAGGTAGAAAAGAAGACATAAAGCAGAGGAATCACGGAAAGGTGAAAAGAAAAAGAATAAAATAAAGTAAAATAAAAGCAATAAAGGGGAGCAATGCAGAATTTCTCTGGTCTTAAAAACCATTAGCTCTAAAACATAGTCCATCTCTTTCCTCAATTATTTTGTTTTTCTTCTCTATTTGGCCTTATGAAGACTACAAACCCATACAAAGCCCTATAAAATTCATTTTGTGTGTGTGTAGTAAGGGAATATTGGATCCAGCCCAGAAGGGCTTCAGCTCAGTCAATTGCCAAACACCAGCTGCATAAGTGATGATTTGGTCCATCCAAGAGGTAGTTATTTAGCCAACAGACAGATGGCCAAGAAAGTCAAGTTACTTGGTGCATTGTGTGTCATTCAGGAGGCTCTTGGCCAGCTAAAATAGCTGGAAGCTAGTGGATTCCGAAGCCATGGCCCACCCTATTAGGCTTGCTTCTGGAATCCCCCCGTTCCCCAATTAGCAGCAAAGGACAAAGCAGGGCAGCTTTTGCTTTATGGAGCCTACAACCTAGCAAAGAGGAGCTACTCTGCTAACCCCAGTGGTAGATAAGAAAGTGGCTGAGCTGGTAGCTTGGCCAAAGCTAAGATACTCATAACCCAGTGTGAGGAATGCGAAAACAAGGAACAGCTGTGATAATGGGCATCCAGGGAAAGGAAGGGCTACTTACAGCAGTTTTTCCAGAAGTGCATTAAATTTCCAAGTAAAGAAGGATGGGTTATTATGCATCATAAATAATTACTGAGAATTAGAGAAAACATAAGCAAATTTTTGAGACCGTCTAGTTAAAATTGGAAATACACTCGAAAAGGGTACCCAAAGTTAGAATCTATGCGGTGTCACCGTATTCATTACTTCAACAAACACTTAATATACCTGCACCATGTGTCAGGGACTAGCCTGGGCAACCTCTGCCCTCATGGAGCTTATTATTGGCTGGGAAGATTCTTTCAGTCAAATAAGACAAATAAATGTAACATCTCAACTCTGGTAACCACTAGGAATGAAAGGCACATAAAACCATGAGAAGAGCGTAGGAGAATTTAACCACTTATCATCAAATTATAATCTCATTACATTTAATATATCAAATCTAATTATAATCTAATTATATTTAGTATATTAAATATTTTAATATGTATACATGTGAGTGTAATAAAAACATATATTCCCCCACCTTGGCTTATGGTCAATAGCCTTTATTAAAAATTTTGTGATATGAAGCCTGTCTTCTTCCTCTGAACTTTGTCACTTGCACATTATTGACATTAATTCTTCTTGGAATGCACTCAGCTTCTCCTCTGAATTTGGTGTCACCAACTACAAAATAATGAGTTCTGAGCATTCTAGGAGCTCCTTGCATTTTTGTTTCAACTTTTCTCATATTGTCTAGGGAAAGACCTTTGGATATAAGACAGATGTCCAGCCATGAAGTCTAACCCGTTTGTTGGCAGCAGCTTTTCAGATGCTGTATTTCCTTATCTGTAAAATGGTGGCAACAAGATCTACCTCTCACATGAGTGGTGGGAATTCAGTGGGAGAAATTATCAGCAATTGAGGTTACCCCAAACAAAACAAGACAAAACAAAACAAACAAATGTAGTTGCATTGCATTCCAGGGTTAGATTCTAAAATTAGTACGCAAGGAAAAAATTTCCTAGAGTCAAACTTACCTTGAAAATCCTTTTGAAGTTCTCACCATGGTGTCTGGTACACCAGCTCTCAGAGAGCTCACCGCAGCCAGTTTTCCTTTCAGTGTCAAAACAGATTGCTGTTTCTTCAGCTGAACATCAGATTAAGTGGTTGGCTTGTTTTAGTGGTCATGTTGTAGGAAAATACTTTCCTTTAAACACTAGAATCACACACAACGGCACAAGCTGCTCATATCTGAGAGGCAGCAGGAATGGAGCAGCAACAGCAGATCCGCACTTCCCATCTCACGCTTACAAAGGACAGATGTTCACTGAGTGCCCTGGCGAGGAGAGTTGCCTATTGGACTGAAGCTATTTTTCTCTCTTCCCACAAACCACACGCGCTAAAGTCAGGAAAGTTAAAAGTGTCTAGGACTCTCCATAGTTGGCATACTAGCTCCTAAGATGCCCGTGTTGGCTCCTGGATATTTAACAACTGCCGTGTTATTTTCTGGTGTCTACCTGGCTTTCTGAACTCCTGTTTCTGTGGTGACTGTTTCTGACCAGCTGTTCTTGACTTTCTGTATAATTTCCACTTTGAAGAATCCATCTATTTCCACTCAATGCTTCTTTCAGATGAGACATAATGATTGAGAGTATGGGAAGAAAGAAATAAAAATAAAATTAAACCTGTTGTTCATCCCCTGTAGGGAGCTCACAAACATGCCTGGTGTCTTCGCTTCATTCAAGAGCTTTAGCTCTGCATAATGATAAGCATTGATCTATCAGCAATGGCTGGCCCTGCAAACTCGGGTGTGATTATTTTCTGGGCATCTGAACCTGGATTGTCTCTCACACTTGGGTACACTTCGTTTTCCCCTATTATAATGTCTGTGAGGTTAAGTTGGGCCATTGCTTGCCAATAGTTAATGGGCCTTGGTTTAGAGTGTGGTGGTTTGACACCTTTAGTCATTAGTAGAGTCTACAGATTAATGATAATAATTGCTACCCTTAATTGAGCCTTTCCTGTGTGCCAGGTGCAGAGCTAAATGCTCTGCCCAAATTTCCCCACTCAGTTCTCACAAGAAGCTATGGACTGAATATGATTTTCATGATTGCAATTTTCTTGGATGAAGGAAGGTTTGTAACTTGCTGTATGGTCATAAAGCTAGTAGGAGGTAGAGCTGACTCTAAACACCCTGTTTTTAACCATAGAGCTAAAAAACCCGAATGCAAATGGACTCTTGTGGCATCACGCCAATGGCATCTACAAAGTCAAACACCATCTGCTTCAGATTTACCTGGGTGCTGGTTAAGTAAACCTTCCCAGTTCATGGGCAGAGCCATTATCTCAGAGTAAGGCCAGAGAGTCTCTGTTGGAAAGAAGCATCCCAGCTGATTCTTACAAGTAGCCATTGGTTTGGACCCCACATTTAGACTCTTCTTATCTACACAACATAAACACGAGTGGCCAGGCACATGTCATACACCCAGCACTGAGCTATGGCTTTCCTAGATGCTAACATACTATATAAAGAAAGCCAAGTTGAATAAAATGTAGCGAGAAATTTTGACAGCATGCATCAGTGTTACTAGTTGCAATGGAATTTTTTTTCTTAAATGTATACTGTGAGGCTTTCTATATCAGAGCATCTTTCTAAACTTGGAGTAAGTGATTTTTAGAGTCGGATCAGTATAACAAAAAAGGGAGATTGCTGTTCAATCAATGCCACTTTTTAAACTTTAATTAAGAGTAAACTATGGAGAAGAAGTGTGAATGTGATAGATCACTATTGGATGATCTACTCAGAAACCCTTTCTTTTTTAAAAAATATTTTAAATGTGGGCTGGGCGCGGTGGCTCACGCCTGTAATCCCAACACTTTGGGAGGCCGAGGCAGGAGGATTATGAGGTCAAGAGATCGAGACCATCCTGGCTAACATGGTGAAACCCCGTCTCTACTAAAAATACAAAAAAATTAGCCGGGCGTGGTGGTGGGCACCTGTAGTCCCAGCTACTTGGGAGACTGAGGCAGGAGAATGGCGTGAACCCGGGAGGCGGAGCTTGCAGTGAGCCAAGATCATGCCACTGCACTCCAGCCTGGGCAACAGAGCGAGACTGCACCTCAAAAAACAAAAAATTTTCAAACGTGAATCACAATGTAATACACAATTGCTGTGAGCACATATATAATAAGGAAACATCTGAAATACAATTAATAGTGTTTCCTTCTATTCAATTCCTTTAAATTTGACAAGTTGTTGCCAACTTGTATTCTCTGTGTATTGAAATACACACATATCTGTACACACTTGCAGGGAATTAACTTGGAATCACACAACACAAATTAGTCTGCCTCTTGTTCTTCTTCCCTTTGCCACATATTGCTTATATTAGCTTTCTAGGATTTTTCCTTTTCCCATGCCCCGCCCCAATTTTCTACACACCTCATTGCTGGGATATCAGTCACGTGTGCAGCATGATTCTGTTTCTACAGCCAAGTTGATTGGTTTGGGATTGGGCATCTGAACGCAGATGGCTGCAGTGCATCTCTTCTCGGGGATCTGGGGGCATCTCTGAGTGGATGGCTTTGTTATGTGTGAAATCTGGAAGTATCAGCTGCCATTTTCCCTCATGCGGGCCTCAGAGAACGGTAGATTGCAGTGAGCCAAAGAATAATGAAGATGTGCCCAGGAGAGGGGAAGAGAGGGAGGGACACAGAGAGAGCAGAGAGAGAGAGAGAGAGAGAGAGAGAGAGAGAGAGAGAGAGAGACAGTGGGGAGAGAGAAAGAGAGAGATGGGGGAGAGAGAGAGAAAGAGAGAGACGGGGAGAGAGAGAGAGACTGGAGAGAGAGAGGGAGAGGGAGGGAGGGAGAGAGAGAGAGAGAGAATTTTTTAGGTTCTTTCTAAGATTTTACTACAGTCTCAAGGTTCAACTCAACACATTTCAAGATGTGGCCCTTTCCACAAAACCTTTTCTCACTGGGCTTCCATTCTTAGTAACTAAGGTGGACTTGACGTTTTAAGCCCCCAACATTTCTGAAATAATTTTACTTTTCCTATCATACTTAGATCATAGTGATTAAATGTTATATTGTTTCCCTTATGAGAACTAAAAGCAATGATGTTACTTTATTCAGTAAACTTTATTTATGCATACCTACTCTCTGCTAAATTCTGTCCTCCCAAAGAGTTAATGGTCCAGGGAAAACACAACAATAAATCAACTAAAACCATTATGATAAATATAATGACTGGAACATGCTCAGGGTATCATGGGAAGCCAAAAAGGGGCATCAAAACCTGTCTGCAGCCATGACCAAGACGTCTCACTTCTCACTGATGTCTTAGACACGTACCTTATTTGCCAATGGGGTGAGTGGAATAAACTATCTAGAAAAACTGTCCCAAACAATTTTCAAATTCTAAAACCAATTGAGAAGTATTTTTTACAGCATCCATCTATTTTTTTCCCACAATACCATCCTCATATGAAACAAGTCTGTCATTTGGCTGTCTCCAGAAGGAGCTATGAAGATTTACTCAACATGACTCTGGAACTTTCCAGACTATGTAAGTTCTCACATATTGGTTGTTCATGGAGACTTTTTCTTCTTCTTCTTTTTTTCTAATATACTTTAAGTTTTAGGGTACATGTGCACAACGCGCAGGTTTGTTACATATGTATACATGTGCCATGTTGGTGTGCTGCACCCATTAACTCGTCATTTAACAGGTATATCTCCTAATGCTATCCCTCCAACCTCCCCCCACCCCACAACAGTCCCTGGTGTGTGATGTTCCCCTTCCTGTGTCCATGTGTTCTCATTGTTCAATTCCCAGCTATGAGTGAGAACATGCGGTGTTTGGTTTTCTGTCCTTGAGAGAGTTTGCTGAGAATGATGGTTTCCAGCTTCATCCATGTCCCTACAAAGGACATGAACTCATCCTTTTTTATGGCTGCATAGTATTCCATGGTGTATATGTGCCACATTTTCTTAATCCAGTCTATCATTGATGGACATTTGGGTTGGTTCCAAGTCTTTGCTATTGTGAATAGTGCTGCAATAAACATACATGTGCATGTGTCTTTATAGCAGCATGATTTATAATCCTTTGGGTATATACCCAGTAATGGGATGGCTGGGTCAAATGG
Source organism: Homo sapiens (assembly GCF_000001405.40). Taxonomy (NCBI): domain Eukaryota; kingdom Metazoa; phylum Chordata; class Mammalia; order Primates; family Hominidae; genus Homo; species Homo sapiens. The sequence goes on along the minus strand of NC_000020.11, from coordinate 56,008,863 downwards.
TATTTCTAGTTCTAGATCCCTGAGGAATTGCCACACTGACTTCCACAATAGTTGAACTAGTTTACAGTCCCACCAAGACTTTTTCTTCTTAAGCTACTTACTCTCCCTCAAAAAAGATCATTAGCTTGGGCTGATAACTATCATTATAAAGAGCAAAGGGTAATTAAGCAACTCAGTGGAACTTTGTCTGGGTATGATGCAAGCCTCACTGCTCTCTCTCTCTCGATTTTCCATCTTCTGCACGACTGACCTGCGGCTGTCTCTGCTGCATGATGCATGGAGTCTGCTTTCATTCAACCACAGTGAGGCCCTTAGAGCTGAATACCTTGTGTGTGTCTGTCTTTGCCTTCTCAGAAACATTTTCTTCACAGTCAGAAAATAGCTCATAGATCCTTACTGTCTTGGGCTTGCTTGAAACTTGGTTTCTCTAAAGGATGGCTGGACAAGCAGTCATTGAATTTACTGACCTCAGAAGTATTGCTTTCCTATGCAAGGATAGTTTAGATTCTAATTTACTTTAAAGTTAAGCCCAGCTGCAGAGAACTGAAATGCATTTCTGCGTCATCTCTAAAGGTCTAGGAGAAAAAAAAAATCCTAGGCATCAAATACAATATGGGAATCTCAGAAAGGGAAAATATTTGGGTCACTGCTAGGTCTTCTAATAGCATATTTTCAACTGGAAAAATACAAGAAAAAGAAAAAGAAAAACAGATCTATGCTGTGGTTGGAGAGAAACTTAAACTTGATCTTGTTTCTTTTCTCCTGGGGATGCTGGGGCTGAAGTAGGGGGTGAGGAACAGGTGATGCCTCCTTTCCCAAAATGTTGGAAAAGCATTTCCTACAGGCAGGAGATTGGATTTGTTAGTCTTTTGGCAAGAGATCCATAGCCTTTTGTGGTATGGTTTCTGGGACAATGTTCTAATGAGGATTCTGGATGACAGGGAGCGGTATGTTACTAAAACTAGCTCAAGGGAATTGGGTTTTTATTTCAAAGACATAGGAGGATACCAAGAAACCCAAGGTTAGGAGAAAATGTTTCTGGAACTCTTGTAAGCAAGAGTTCAGAACTGGCGATTGACTATTCACTCCCTGTACTTCTTAGAAGTGCTCATGCTCCAGAATTGGCTTCTTTCTACAAGTGTGGCCAGTCCTCTGGTTTATTCCAATACCTCTTCTGCTTCAGCTTGCAGATGACTCCTACATGGCCACGTCAGTTTGGGAGACTACAAACCTTGTCTCTGCCACATGTAGTGCTTACTGGAAGCTATTTTGATGTCTCATTAAGATTGCAGAGAGAAAATCTGGCAGCCCCAAGTCATCTGGCCAAGTTGGACCATACAAATCTTGGACTTCTGGTATCAAATGCATTGATGGTCCTAGAACCCAGGGGCTATCCGTGTTTAATCAACTGTTGTGGGAAAAAGAGTCAGGACCCTCTGATTCACAATATAAGATAACTTCTCTTAGCGGGGGTCCACAGAAAATGCTGTGTTCCTTATCTTCAGAACACTTTGAAGAGCAGAACATCCTTTAGTAAGGAACCGAGACCCTTATCCCCAATTATTAAGGAGGCTTTGAATTTAAATTTTACTGAGAGAGACTCATTTAAAGCAGTTTATACTATAATATGAGTGATAATTACCTTCTATTAGGAAGCATTCAGTCATTTCTCAATTATTGAGTCTTTACTATGGTCACTATGCAGATTTTGGGACTAAAAATGAATATTTTTGGTGAGAGAAAGAATAGGTTTCTTCAAATCTCAGTTCTTGCGTGCAGGAAGTGCCTGGAGAAGAAAAGGAGGTAGAGAGAATATATTGGAATTGGTGAGGAAGATAGCTTATTTTCTATTTAACAATTCAACACAGTTTTTTTTTTTTTTTTTTTTTTTTTTTTGTCAAACTTCTCCCAGCCTGAAATTGAACAACCAAAGTTCTAGTTATTGAACAGCTGTCCCAGACAAGGAAGGCAGGGTGCTTACCCCTACAGGAAATAAAAGGAACTAAATTCAACTCAGCACCCACCCTCAAAAGACTGCATCAAATGAGAAGAAATTGCTGCTGTTAACCAGGCAGACATCCCTAAAATCTGGAAGAGAGTTACAAAGTGCAGAGAGGGATCAGGTGAAGATTGTGCTGGGCTTAGGGTGGGGCATCAAAGCTGGGTAAATGGTGGCCATCTTCAGAAGGCACTAGTTCACCTTGTTTGGTTGTAGCTTAGATAGGTAACTTTCAACATTTTAACAAATAGCATGGTACTAGCACCTGCCAGCCGGAACTGACACCGGCCTGTAGTCTCAGCTACTGGGGAGGCTGAGGTAGTAGAATCGCTTGAGCCCAGTAGTTTTGCATCTAGCCTGGGCAATATAGCGAGACCACCCCCCACCACAAGTAAAATAAAATCATAAAGTCAAAACACCTGATACTGGCCCCACTGGAGCAGAATCTGAAGGCCCCTGTGGCACCAAGTATTAACACTTTAGTTGAGAGATTATAGGGAGGTGAGGGTTAGGGGATTCCTCGTAGTGTCTTCAATTTTAACAGTTGGAGCTGGTGCTTATAGCTCAATGCCCGGCCCTTCTGAAGGAAGGGAAAAAGGCTGGAGACGAGGTTCACCTTGTTTTGTGGAGGGCTCGAATGCCACGCTCATGAGGGCGTCCTTCACTCAGGAAGGAATGGGAGCCGTCCATCCCAAGGACCTCCCTCAATAAACATCCCTTCCATTCATAACTAGCCAATGCCATTTTAGGAGCTCCGAATGCCTGGAGGGGATACTGTTTTGGTTAAAGATACCATACGTGTCTGCCCTCTGGCAGCTGGAAGTGTAGAAGAAATTGGGGAAGGGGCGCCATGACCCCACAGCATCACAGAATTGGAAAGCTGGCGGGATGGGGGTGGGGAGGACCTTAGTTAACGCCGCGCCCCCCTCTCAGAGAGGGTTAGTGACTCGGCCAAGTTCACGCAGCCGGGTCCAGACAGAGACAAACCTCCCTTCCCCGTGGTAGCTGCAGAAGAGGAAGGGAACTCTTGCAAATCAGAGGCCAAGATAGCAGTGGAGTGGCACGGGGGCGGAAAGCGCATCCAAAGGGGAGAAAAATGCTGTATTCCTAGGAGTGGGATTGTCTTTTATTTTTATTTTTATTTTTATTTTTTTATTGTTGTTGGCACGGTTTCGGAGGACTTATTCTTGCTGAGTTAACTCCCTCTCCCACTCTTTTTTTTGGCCATGCCTGGGGAGGATTCGCGGTGTGGGGGGAAGGCGCGCCCCTGCGGCTTCTGAGGCTCATCTTCCCGGAGCGGAAGGAAGGAATCAGGCACCTCCTCCCAGCCGCCCCCACGGGCTCTGGTCCGCCCCAAGGCTTCCCTGAGCTCGCCAGGCCCCAGGGCTGTGTGGGGCGGGCTCCCGGCCAGGCGCGGTCGGGACGCCCGCCGGTCCCCAGGTTCGGGGCAGCGCGCAGCGCGGGTCCGCGGCGGCTTATCCTTTTTCGCGACCCGGCCTGGCAGCGCCGCGCTCCGCTTGGAGGGCACTCGGCGGCAGAGTTCCGCGCTGGGAGGGGTGAGGGGACCAGCCGCCTCCTCTGCGGACTCAGATCGAGCAGGAGAGAGTGGGCGCGGAGCTGGGGCCAGCGCAGGGCCGTGGGCTCCTCTCTGGGCACGCATCCTTTACGCCACGGGCTTTCAGGGGCTGAGGGGCCTCGAACCTTGCCAATCACCAGTGCTGTGCGCCCCGCTTGCTTTGGGGTGCGTTAAACGTCAGGAGAGAGCTGCTCAGATGGGGTCACCAGACGCCTTCTCCCCCTTTTCTCGGAGCCCGCGGGTTGCGCGATAAGCCAACCCAGCCGGACGCTGCGCTCCTATAAATAGAGCGCGTGTGCCCGCTTCGCGCTCTCCGGGCTGCACGAGGGACGAGAAAGTTGTGCGCAGGGACTGGGGGCGGGCGGCCAGGCAGGAGAGGACCCCGCCGGACCAGCCGCCCTGAACGCTGCGCCCGGCGCCCTGGACCTGATCCTGCGAATCCGCGCTTTCGGTGCGAGGGACCTGGCTAGCCGCTGCCTCCCTCCCTACCTCTGGGTGACACCAGGTTTGGGGGATTTTTTTGACCAGGCGAAAGTGGGAGTCGCTGGCGTCCTGGCCATGAACACAGCCTCGCGTTCTTCTCAGCCTGGGAAGGACCTTCTGCCTCTGTAACTCGTCCCTGCCGCAAGCCAGACAGGACTGGCACCCGCGCCGCTGGGCACCCGCCACCCTTGTGGCTTCTCTTTGAGTCCCCTCTTTTTGTTCCTGCTCCGTGGTTTAGCTGGTGGTGCTTGAGTTTGGGGTGAGAATTTATTATTATTATTATTTTTTGCCTTGAGGTGTGAATGTGAGGGTTTGATGACTTTCAGATGTCTAGGAACCAGAGTGGGTGCAGGGGCCCCAGGCAGGGCTGATTCTTGGGCGGAGGAGAGTAGGGTAAAGGGTGCTGCATGAGCTCCTTAAAGGACAAAGGTAACAGAGCCAGCGAGAGAGCTCGAGGGGAGACTTTGACTTCAAGCCACAGAATTGGTGGAAGTGTGCGCGCCGCCGCCGCCGTCGCTCCTGCAGCGCTGTCGACCTAGCCGCTAGCATCTTCCCGAGCACCGGGATCCCGGGGTAGGAGGCGACGCGGGCGAGCACCAGCGCCAGCCGGCTGCGGCTGCCCACACGGCTCACCATGGGCTCCGGGCGCCGGGCGCTGTCCGCGGTGCCGGCCGTGCTGCTGGTCCTCACGCTGCCGGGGCTGCCCGTCTGGGCACAGAACGACACGGAGCCCATCGTGCTGGAGGGCAAGTGTCTGGTGGTGTGCGACTCGAACCCGGCCACGGACTCCAAGGGCTCCTCTTCCTCCCCGCTGGGGATATCGGTCCGGGCGGCCAACTCCAAGGTCGCCTTCTCGGCGGTGCGGAGCACCAACCACGAGCCATCCGAGATGAGCAACAAGACGCGCATCATTTACTTCGATCAGGTCAGACCCGGGGGGAAGCGAGCACCTAGGGGGTGGGCGGTCTCCAGGCACCTCAGCACGAGGCTGCCTGCCCAGGCTAAGCTGGTCCGATTGGGAAATGGGGAATCATGTAAAGCACTCGCCTTCCCAAATATGCCTGGGTCTGAAACTTCTACCGTCCCTCTTCCTACCCCTCTCACCAGCCCCGGCTCCCATTTCTTCCGGGCCCCTAAAAGAGGCTGCTGCGGCGGCGGGGGAGAGGCTTGGGAGCCCAGAGCCCGGCAGCGAGAGCTCAGGGCAAGTTTCGAGCAACAGGTCGGCGGGAGCCGAAGGGCACCTGGTCCCTGGACGTCGTTATCTCTTGGCCAGATCTTGGTGCCCTTGCTCAGACTCCTCTGCGGGTGCCGCTGAGGCTGCTCCCTGGGTACCTTTGCGGAACAGGATAAATGTTTGATTTGTTTCTCCCAGGTAGAGAAGCTTCTCTCCCAAGAGAGCCCCGGGCTTCCACACTCTTCAGAGATCGGGCAGGTGGCCGCGGAGGGCGGGGGCAGAGCCGGGGGTCAGATCTCGCCTGCAGGTTCCACTGTTCGTGTGCCAGGCACCGCTGGCACTGCCGCTGCCTCGGAGTAGGCAGCAAGCCCTTCTCCGGTACTTAGAGAAAAGTTGCGGAGGAGGGGAGGAAAAGGAATTTGGCAACTGCGCTGAGCTCCTGTAGGAAAGCGCTTGGGAGCCAGTTCTCCCTTCCCGGGCTCATGTCCTTTCAGAGAATTGCAAATAGCTGGGGAAAGACAGACTTTGAGGTTGATGAGAGTAGGGGAAGAGCTGACGGAAGCTGTAGCTGCTGTTTAGCGACCTGGTGCTCCGTGTTTGGCTTGATGAGAAACCCCAGGATATCAGCTTACCTTTAGCAAGGGGTCTTAAGGGAGAAAACTGTCCTCAGAGTTTTTAATTTCAGCCCCAACAGTATCCAGAGTCTTTTTAAATTCCAAATTCACAGTTCACAGTTGTATGCAAAGCTGCAATGTGCAGGGGGCACAGGTTAAGTGGTGTTGCAGGATGTGCCAGGGAAAGCACGAGGTGACATCTGTATTCCTTGCTTAATTTTTCCTAACTAATGCACTCTCCAGCTGGCCAAAGACAGAGAATGCCTCTCTAGGGGCTTAGTATTTGATAGACATAATTTTTAAAGAATTAAGTAGCTCCATTTGGGGTTTTGGTGCAGTATTTTCCATCTTGATGGAAATAAAGTCTAGCACCACCCCTAGTTTGTATTTCAATGCTTTAATTAAATGTTGGAATACTGTGGGCATTGCACTATCCTCTATACAGGGTGTTCCTTTCAATGACCTTTCCATCAATTAGAAGAGGAAAAGGGTTTGTTCTTCTTTTCAGTGAGCCTTGCATCTTAGAGACAAGAACACACATTTGGTTATAAATCTCGATGTACCTGGATGCTCCAATTACAGTGTAGAGTCAACATCCAGTTTTATATGTAGCCAACACTAATCAGCTATTTTCATTATTGCTAATGAATTATGCTACTTGTATCTGAATCAGGAAGTCACCACTAAGCACCTCAAATTATTTTAATTGTGCTTGAAAAATTTCTTTGTAAAGCCTCTGCTGGGGATTATTGCACAGCTGGTGACTTGTTGAAAGACCATCTATCATCAGGTTACAAAAAAAATCTGATGCTTACTTGGAAGAAGGCGAAATCTCAGAATGAAATTATACACGTACATGTGTTTTAAGTTAGGTGTTGAGCCTGATACATCTGCTTGACTGTCACTACATTCTGGTATGTTGCCCAGAGGTAATAGTACATTTTTAGGGAATTATGCAAGAGGCTTGCAAGTGTGTTAATATTGGCAAGAATGCAGTGTTCGAAAGAGATAGTAGCAGATTGCCATTGATATATGAGAAGTATATCTTTTTAGGGACCTCTTATTATTTTTGAATGCCACTTACAGGTGTATTTCTTGGAAAGAAATGGAACAAACCCTGGTTATTTTAACATCCATCCTCCATCCCAATCCCTCTTTCTCATAGAAAGAGACTTACCCATGTGACATTGCAAATTTAGCTTAAGAGGTCACTTATTAAAATTTAGAGTTAATTTTATAACCAATAGAACTAGGCTGAATATTTTGGAATACAAAATGCATTGTTGCTTTCTTGGGAAACAGTATCTAATTTCACTTTTGAACCTTGAACTTCAAATAAAGAGCAGGTGATTGATAGGAGGTTAATGGACAGCCCGGGGAGGAACAGGGAAAGCCACCTATTTCATAGTTTAGCCTTCTCTATGCTCTCCTCTTTGGCAGCCCACAAGGGCTGACTCATTGCCACATTATTATAATTAAGGCCTAGCTGGCACAGGAATGAAAAAAAAAATGGTAACAGATCTTAGGAGAGGGGTGGTGGTGGCTCAGAGAAGGGCCAGGCATTCAGATCACTTTGTGCACCAACTGTTCAGTGTCAAGGATTATGTCACATGGTGGAGGGGGTACCCATGCCTCTGTGGTTTGTCCAGGGATGCTGCGGAGAGCTCACAGATGCTGATTGGCTGGCTTGGAAACGTCACCTCTGGACATTGCAAAGGCTTGTAGAAGGTGGGAATGTAAACACATAGCGGGTGCCTTTTATCCAACTCTCAAGGTAAAGCTAATATTTATAAGTTCTCAAATGTTAGCTCGATGTTTCCAGAGCCATTGGGCCTTGCTGGAAATTGAGACATGAATACAAAGCAGTTACTTTATTTATTCTTATATCATTTAAAAGACAGAAGAACCTTCCAGTATTCCAGTCAATTTTCCAAATCAGTTAAGAGGAAAGATACAGAACTAGATGTTTTATTTTCTATGATTTCTTAAGCTAGTTGCCAAGAATGAATGAATGAACAAAAGAAAAAAGAAAAGAAAGAAAGAGGAAGGAAGGAATGAAGGAAGGAGGGAAAGAAGGAAGAGGAGAGGAAGAGAGTGAGAGGAAGAAAATTCATTTTAGTTACAGAAGAAAATATAATAACTTATTGTTATTTATTATTTTTATTTGTAGATCCTGGTGAATGTGGGTAATTTTTTCACATTGGAGTCTGTCTTTGTAGCACCAAGAAAAGGAATTTACAGTTTCAGTTTTCACGTGATTAAAGTCTACCAGAGCCAAACTATCCAGGTGTGTGTTTTGACCTCTTCCATCCATACTCTCAACCAACTGTGCTTATCTTTAGTGGGTTATATATTTAAGTACTTATCCAAAGTTGTGTTTCCACAATAGAAATAAGCAGCCATCTTTATCATTTATTTTAAAACACTTAATTTCTAATTTTTTTCTCTTTAACATCCATTAAGACGTGACAAAAAGCGTATAGAAAAATAGAGAATTGAAGTTATTACCTTAATAACAATCAAACATTTTTTAAAAATCCATGGTTGAGTAAAAATTCAGTGACACAAATCTCTTTGTAAGATCATGCTTTCATTTAATGCATGTACAAGAATTACTTGAACTCATAAGAAAAAAACTTGTAAGACTAGTACAGCTTTACAAGTGCATACTAAATAAATAAAACACATTTGCTATTTTTTAAAATTATGAGATACAGCTAATCAGTAAGAATAAGTCTATGAAGGAGGAACTATTCAAAATACATTTTTAAAAAACGGTGTTCTATGCGTATGCTTGTGTTTATCCTCAGTTACTCTGATGCTAGTGAATTCTTACCAACTGCAGTTCCACAGTTAATATATTTTGTGTTCTGCTTTCTAAGACAATGGGCTTGACCTTACATTCAAAAGCAACAGTGGAGCTTGTTCCAACAATATTCCAGTATGCTAATACTAAATGACACAAATACATGTGCATGGAATTCTAAGATAACCTTTTATCTTATGCTCAGTATTTATGTTATACATTATGTCAATATGAATGATAGATTACATGCTTATCTATTAATACTTTTACATGTCCTAGTAAATGGATAAATGGATCAGCCTCAGATTTAATTTATTCCATATGACTTTTAACCTAAAAAAATCTAGAAAACAAACTTACTTCCATGGAAAAGTTTTCCCAACCCCCAATATTTAGAAATGTATGCAATGCTTGACACAGTGTAATCAAAATTGAAGAATAGAAAATAGTTAATACAGTTTTGAGTTGATTCTAATTATCTGTCACTGAAATCTCTAAAATTTAAAATCTAAATCTAAAATCACTAAAATCACTAAAATCAGTGATAGTGGTGATTATTATTTTTTATTTTTTGGTTTTTCTCTGAGATAGGGTCTCACTCTTTCACCCAGGCTGGAATGCAGTGGCATAACCATAGCTCACTTCAGCCTCAAACCCCTGAGTTCAAGCAATCCTCCTGCCTCAGCCTTTTGAGAAGCTACGACTATAGGTGCATGTGACCAATCAGGCTAATTTTTAAATTTGTTGTTTTGTTTGTTTTAGAGATGAGGTCCTGCTATGTTGCCCAGGCTGGTCTTGAACTCCTAGCTTCAAGTGATCCTCCTGCCTTGGTCTCCCAAAGTGTTGTAATTACAGGCATGAGCCACTATGCCTGGCCTGATGATTGTTTTTGATGCTTGTTTCCTATCAGGGAAAATAGAAAAAGAAATAAACACACACAGACACATATATACACAAACTTCATTATTTCAATTGATTTTCAGTAGTATGCATGTTACAGCTGCACAAAAATTCGCAAGGATGTTGGTAGGATTGGGTTGTATCTGGGTCTCTTATGTCAGTGGGCAGAGGGTCTCTTTTACGAATGTACCGGGAAGCCACAAGCCTGCTCTATTTCCAAAAGATTATTGTTGGGTGGAAGAGTTAAGTAAAGCAGTAAGCTTAATTTATGTGCTGAAGGGAAGCTAGTTTTCACATGGCTAGGTTGGTCTCCATAGATGTTATTCTTTTGTAGGAATTTAAGGAAATTCCAATCAGAAAAAAAAAATTAAAAAAATCAGTTCAGCAGACATGTGAAGTATGGCCCCCACAATTGGCTAATTTGAAAGGAAGGGAATATATTTCCTGAACATCAGGTATTTTACTGGGTCTATCATCTTAGACATTATTTATTCTCCCCAGTAGATGTTTTGACTTTAAAGAGAACTTTTCAATTATTATTATTTTTCTTCTTCTAGGTTAACTTGATGTTAAATGGAAAACCAGTAATATCTGCCTTTGCGGGGGACAAAGATGTTACTCGTGAAGCTGCCACGAATGGTGTCCTGCTCTACCTAGATAAAGAGGATAAGGTTTACCTAAAACTGGAGAAAGGTAATTTGGTTGGAGGCTGGCAGTATTCCACGTTTTCTGGCTTTCTGGTGTTCCCCCTATAGGATTCAATTTCTCCATGATGTTCATCCAGGTGAGGGATGACCCACTCCTGAGTTATTGGAAGATCATTTTTTCATCATTGGATTGATGTCTTTTATTGGTTTCTCATGGGTGGATATGGATTCTAAGGATTCTAGCCTGTCTGAACCAATACAAAATTTCACAGATTATTTGTGTGTGTCTGTTTCAGTATATTTGGATTGGGACTCTAAGCAGATAATACCTATGCTTAAATGTAACAGTCAAAAGCTGTCTGCAAGACTTATTCTGAATTTCATTTCCTGGGATTACTGAATTAGTTACAGATGTGGAATTTTATTTGTTTAGTTTTAAAAGACTGGCAACCAGGTCTAAGGATTAGAAAACTCTAAAGTTCTGACTTCAATCAACGGTTAGTGTGATACTGCCAAAGAACTGTATACTGTGTTAATATATTGATTATATTTGTTTTTATTCCTTTGGAATTAGTTTGTTTGGTTCTTGTAAAAAACTTGGATTTTTTTTTTCAGTAACTGGTATTATGTTTTCTCTTAAAATAAGGTAATGAATGGCTTGCCCACAAATTTACCTTGACTACGATATCATCGACATGACTTCTCTCAAAAAAAAAGAATGCTTCATAGTTGTATTTTAATTGTATATGTGAAAGAGTCATATTTTCCAAGTTATATTTTCTAAGAAGAAGAATAGATCATAAATCTGACAAGGAAAAAGTTGCTTACCCAAAATCTAAGTGCTCAATCCCTGAGCCTCAGCAAAACAGCTCCCCTCCGAGGGAAATCTTATACTTTATTGCTCAACTTTAATTAAAATGATTGATAATAACCACTTTATTAAAAACCTAAGGTTTTTTTTTTTTCCGTAGACATGACCACTTTATTAACTGGTGGTGGGATGCTGTTGTTTCTAATTATACCTATTTTTCAAGGCTTCTGTTGTATTTGAAGTATCATCTGGTTTTGCCTTAACTCTTTAAATTGTATATATTTATCTGTTTAGCTAATATTAAATTCAAATATCCCATATCTAAATTTAGTGCAATATCTTGTCTTTTGTATAGGTCATATGAATTCATAAAATTATTTATGTCTGTTATAGAATAAAGATTAATATATGTTAGTTGAATTGTTTTTTTCTTTCCGTTTTGGAAATATGTATTCTACATTATTTATTTCCTCTTACTTTGTCTCTTCTTAACCCTTTCTTCCTTCTTTGCTCCTTTTTTCTTTCTTTCTTCCTTCTTCCCTTCCTTTCATCCTTTCATCCTCTCATTTCTTTTTTCCTGAAGTCTAAGAAAAGCTTTCTGAATTTTCAGGTAGTGTCCTCTGAGCTGATATAGGAAATCTTTACTGTGTTTAATTTGTCCAAATGTAGGAATTGCGAGCTTGCCAAAAGAGAATCAATGAACTTAGTAAACTCTTCTTTCAGAAGGGCTGATTGTTAAAAAGTTAAGTTTAGAAGATCCCCTAAAATATCAGGAGGATGCTCAATGTATGAATGAGTGGTGATGAGTTTAAAGACCAATATTCTCATACTGAAGACTTTGAGGAAAAGTTCTGCCCTTTTTTCAACACTAAAAGACAAACAGAGGATCGCAGGCCTCTTCTTAGGAGGAATTATTATTACACCTGCCTTATTTGGAGATTTGGCTCAATTTCCTGGTCTTTAGTCCATTAAAACAATTTTTGGGGGGTGGGGCAGGGGGCTTTTGTATTTAGTGGCAACAGGCAAGGTATTATAGGGAGACACATGCATGCATGTCTTCCAGGATAATTGTGTTAATTGCCAAGTCAAAATATTCATTCATCACCAGGAAGACTCCTCTTTCTCTGAAAAAAATTATCTGCAGATGCTGGCAATGGATCCTCAATGTTTTGCTTGGCAAGTTGTCTTCTGTTGGCTTCCTGTCAAAAACCTTTCCTCCTGTGTGATTTTATAATGTAAAAAGAAAGTATTGTGCAGAGAGACTAAATAAAAGGGGCATTTTCTAATGTGAGTGGAATTCTCTTTAAATGGACCTGCTCTAACGTAGACTTCCACCGGGTTCCCTGTGTGCAGAATTTGTATGTATGCATTGCAACAGGTGAATCCTACTTGAATAAATACAGTTGGCCCTCCATGTCTGCAGGTTCTGCATCTGAGATTCAACCAGCTGAATATCAAAAATATTTTGGGGAAAAAACAAATAAAAACAATAATATAACAGTAAAAATAGTACAAATAAAAACCAACATAGTAGAACAACTATTTACACAGCAGTACATTGTATTAGGCATTATAAGTAATCTAGAGATGATTTAAAGTATAATTTATGTAGATTATATGCACATAATACTGTGCCATTTTATATAAGGGACTTAAGTATCTTCAGATTTTGGTGACCTCAGGGGGTTCTGGAACGAATTCCCCACAAGTACCAAGGGATGACTGTAGACTATCAGTCATTGTTTTGGCAAAATGGCCCAAAAGTATTGAAATTACCAATAGAAACCTATGATGAGAGAGAGAAAGTTAGGTGATCATCAAAATAGATCAATATAGAAATGTTTTTATAAACATGATTGTGGCCATCCTTTGGGGCTTGCCCTTTTTTAATTGATTTTTTTCTGAACATAAAAGAAAATTGGCAAAGTCCTTGACTCTAATTTCTGAGCTTTAGTGTACATATTTTTAAACACAAAATCCATTTGAAACTTTCAAGGAACTCCATTTGAAAAGGCAGTGGGGCCGCGGCTATAAAATGTGGAAGGAAACCTGCCTTAGAGTGTCCCCAGGTGGAGAGATGAAGTGAGAATGAGATCCTGAGATAACACACTCTAAGCTGGTTCTAGAAAGTGAGAGACACCACTGAACATAGTGGCTGGAAAAGATAAGACTGAGGGAGAGAATAAAAGCTACAAGGGCCGGGCGCGGTGGCTCACGCCTATAATCCCAGCACTTTGGGAGGCCGAGGCAGGCGGATCGTGGGGTCAGGAGTTCGAGACCATCCTGGCTAACACGGTGAAACCCCGTCTCTACTAAAAATACAAAAAAATTAGCCAGGCGTGGTGGCGGGCGCCTGTAGTCTCAGCTATTCGGGAGGCTGAGGCAGGAGAATGGCGTGAACCCGGGAGGCGGAGCTTGCAGTGAGCCGAGATTGCGCCACTGCCCTCCAGCCTGGGTGACAGAGCGAAACCCCATCTCAGGAAAAAAAAAAAAAAAAAAAATAGCTACAAGGCACAGAAGGATTTGGCCAGGAAGCATGGATTTTGGACAGACATAAGATGGAATCCTACAACATTTATTTGCCAGCTCTGTGACCTTGGGCGGGTTCCTTCATCTCTCTGAGCTTTAGTTACTTCATTTGTAAACAGCAGGTAGTTGGTTGTTACCATGAAATAAGACATGTGAAGGGCACACGGTAGGAGCTCAACTAAGGGCCTACTACGATTACTAAAATTTCGAGGTCTCATATGGGCCAAGCAGGAAATAAACCTGCAGGAAGGCATTAAGATTGGCATGAGGAAGGGAAGAAAATTAAGTTTGAGTAGGATACATTAAAGAGAAGGAGGCAGTGGTGTCAGAAGTATTTCCAGAAATGGAGCCAGATGCTCCCTGCGTATTCTATGACTCAAAAATAGTTTTCAGAAATCGCTGGGTCCACAAAAATGCTAATTGAACACAGTATTTGCATTGGCCCTATTTGCATTTGTCAATGCCAGCACCATCCCTTCCTTAGATGGTCCCTACCTCCTTTGACTCTTCCTTGATCTATTGATCAACAAATGCAAGCAATTGTCTGTAGCAAGCAGTTTCTTCCTGACAGAAGCTCATGAAAACAAAACTGAAGGAAATAAAGAGCTTGTACATAGGATATTACTGATTCTAATAGCTTTCCAGAGGCTTTCTATGATCCCAGATTCTATTAGACCCTGATTATCTGATTAAATTTGTGTTTTACTTTTTTCCTCTTTTTTTTTTTTTTTTTTTTTTTTGATGTAAGGTTGTTTCCCCTTCCTTTCTGGATAGTTGGATAGCTACGTGTTTTCATTCTGCTTCTTTTTTTTTTTTTTTGAGGCAGGTTCTTGCTGTATTGCCTAGGCTGGAGTGAATATGGCTCACTGCAGCCTTGACCTCCTGGGCTCAAGAGATCCTCCTGCCTCAGCCTCACAAGTAGCTGGGACCACAGGGGCACACCACTACACACAGCTAACTTTTTTTTTTTTTAAGATCAGGGTTTTGCTATGTTGTCCAGGCCAGCCTTGAAGTCCTGGGCTCAAGTGATCCTCCCATGTTGGCCTCCCAAAGTGCTGGGATTATATACATATTTTCTTTTAGCCTCTAGTTTTTAGCAAGTTACTATTTAAATCTTGATATTAACATCTTCAGCTAACATCAATGAAATTATCCTTATTAATGTGTCATGCACTTTGCAAGGTACAGGGTTTACGGAAGTGGCGACATCTCTTTTTTCTGGATCTCCCTAAATATCAAAGCAAAGCTTGAATCTTCACAAGGAGCAACAGACGTTCAAATGTATGGTTTCACCTCCCCTTCTGAGGGAAGGCACTAGGCTTTATTAATTCATCTTTACTGTTTAAGCCACCTGTCCATTGGGTATAGCAAGGTCCCCAAATTGGTTGATCTAATGATGTGAGAAGTGATGAAAACAGAGAAGGGTGAAAACATATAATAGCTGTTCACATTCAGAGTTGTGGCACTCACAATATCAAACTCTTGTCCTAAACGGTTTCCTTTGGTAGAGAGGAGGTTGAGATTTAAGAAGCTGGCTTCTCAGTAGGTTACTCTCTCTTCTAATATAGACCTGCCTTTAACATGGATTTCAAATATCTGAGAATCAAAATGGTGCCTCTTTTTTTTTTTTGCCACCTCTGACCTTTCTGAAAGAAAACAATTTCTTTGTGAATACCTTGAAGTTCTCCTATGTCAGCTTCTGAAACAAATATGCTTAAGAATCATATGGGAATCTTGATAAAATGCAGATGCCAATGCAGTAAGCCTAGGGTGGAACCTGACAGCCTGCATTTCTTTTTTTTTCTTTTTTAATTATACTTTAAGTTCTAGGGTACAAGTGCACAACGTGCAGGTTTGTTACATATGTATACATGTGCCATGTTAGTGTGCTGCACCCATTAACTCGTCATTTACATTAGGTATATCTCCTAATGCTATCCCTCCCCGCTCCCCCACCCCACAACAGTTCATGTCCTTTGTAGGGACATGGATGAAGCTGGAAACCATCATTCTCAGCAAACTATCGCAAGGACAAAAAACCAAACACCGCATGTTCTCACTCAGGTGGGAACTGAACAATGAGAACATTTGGACACAGGAAGGGGACAGCCTGCATTTCTAATGGGCTCTCAGGTGCTGCTGTGCCGCTGACCTGGGTCCCACACGTTCAGCAGCAAGGACTTCTGTGCCTGTTCCTTAAACCTTGTTACTCAAAGTGTAATCTGTGGAAGGTAGTGTCCACATCACCTGGGGGCTTGTTAGAAACCCCAGGTAGAATGTGGACTCACTGAGACCTACTGAACTGGAATCTGCATTTAACAAGATCCTCTGCTCTCCCTATGATTCTTAGGCATTGTGAAGTTCGCGAAGTTCTGTCTTTAAGTAAAACTTGAAGATGACCACCTGCCTCAGAATCACCCATGCCGGGCTTCAGGCAGGCAGCTGCAGCTTAACAGTCTCCAGGTGATTCTTATAACCTAAATCTAAGGAGATGGATGGTGTTTTCTTTGCAGTGACCCAGGAATACAAGTGCTTCTATTTTCTATCCTATTTTAAACTCGCCCAGCCAAAGGCAATTTGCTGGAGGCTTTAATGCTGGTAAGCATGAGACTTTTTGTTGTTGCTGTTCTGGGATGAGAAAAGGCACTAGGGAATCTTGCTAGTGTGTGCAGAGGACAGACTGCAGGAAGACGCTACCTACATGTAAGATTTGGGAAACCCTCACATGGAAACACAGGTAAGTCACTCACAGAAAGTGACCATCTTGTGAAGAAAGAAAATCCTTAGTGACATTCCTCATTTTGTCAGCATTTGTTCTGAAATAAAGATTCAGGCATATTTTGCTTTTCTTTGTAATTGAAGTGCCCCTCCTCCAGGGATTGCAATACCTTTATCTTAGTACACTTGGCATTTGGCTTCGGAAGACATTGCTCAGTTGACAAAAGGGTGTGTGCGTGTGTTGTGTGTGTGTGTGTGAGAGAGAGAGAGACAGGGTGAGAATATATTTAGAAGGATCGATGACACTGGCCATTTCTCAGCAGCCAGTCTATATGTTTAAAATTCATCCAAGGGCAGAGGCCTTTAATATTTTTTAGGACAATTGGTGATAATTTACAATAAGAAAATACATTGTCATAGGTACTGAACTTAGACGGTTTTTATTTCTGACGAGGTTACCTTTAGAACATTAATTTTGACTTTCTGACTTTCCAAGAACTGGGAATTTTGAGGAAACCCTAGAGGACATTGGTCTGGTCATTCCCAGGGAAGTTGAGAGACTCCTGCCAATAAATGCTTTATGCTCGTAGTTTGGAGTAAGGGAAGCAAGTTTCATGTCTCTCTCTTTCTGGTGTTTTTCTATTTTTGTCATGTTTCAGCTTTGATGTCAAGATGTAATCAATAAGTAGAGGAAAATGTAGGGAAATTAATGCAGATTGGGTGACGCTTTTCACAATCCTTTAAAATCTTTAGGAGAAGTGGGAAAAAATGGCTTAAAATGACCTGTCCACCCAGTGGAATCATTTTATGGTTTTCTTTCATAGCATTCCAGAGAGAGGGAACATGAAAAAGCAAGAAGCGGCTGGGCGCGGTGGCTCATGCCTGTAATCCCAGCACTTTGGGAGACTGAGGCAGGTGGATAACCTGAGTTCAGGAGTTTGAGACCAGCCTGGCCAACATGGAGAAACCCTGTCTCTAGTAAAAATACAAAATTAGCTGGGCATGGTGGCACATGCCCGTAATCCCAGCTGCTCGGGAGGCTGAGGCAGGTGAATCGCCTGAACCCAGGAGGCAGAGGTTGCCGTGAGCCGAGATGGTGCCATTGCACTCCAGCCTGGGCAACAAGAGTGAAACTCCATCTCAAGAAAAAAATAAAAAGCAAGAAGCAGATATAGAACCCACTTTGGGGTGGGAATATGGTGAGGGATGTGCACCCGATGGGGCTAAACGTGGTTAACTTGGAAACAGATTGTGGTGTGTGTGAAGGTGGCAATCCAATAACAGGGCTGTATCATCCTGGTCACAGTGTCACCACACAGGAAAAAGGATTGCTTACCATTGGCCAAGCAATGTAAGAAATGCATCTTCAGATCAGAAAATATCTTTAGGCCCTTAGTCATACAAAAACCTCTTATATTCTGTAGTCCACTGTTTTGACTAAGACAGTTACCCTGTTTAATCCATAATGAGGGCCAATTTGAATGATTCAGCTCTCAGGATGGAGTCGGGGGGCTTTGATTATTTTCTGTATTTCCACAAACGGATCCACCTTCCTTTTTCTGTGTCATGTGAGGCTATATTCTTCTACATTCCTTTGCCTTAGCTATTCGAAATTACATAAACAGTCACGAGTGATTCTTTTAAAACAGCGTTTACTTTGAGTGTTAGCATTTTTAACACTACGGTGAAACTCATGATTTTTTCCTCCAATGTAAAAAAAAAATGGAGTAAATACTAACATAAGAAGCATTTAATCAGAAAAGTCATGTACAAAGATACAAAAGAAATTCCACAAAAAACCCAGAAAAATAGTAATGATAAAACTTCACTGATATCTGACATGAAAATTCAATGGAAAGGAGTGAAATTGATTCTGGTTCTGTGTGGTTTTTTTTCCTTCATTCTCTCTGAGTGTTAAGGTCAGTTCTCTGCAGGTAAAAGGATGCTGTTTCACAAGTAAAAGATTTCAGCTGTTCTTCATTAGCGTGACTTTATGAACCACGGGTGGCATCAGAAAGTGTATTAGATTCTGCCTTTCCATTTTGTGGCTAGCCTGATTGGAAGGAAAAATGCTGCTGAAATAGTCTGGTAACTTCTCTCGAGGGAGAGAAACGCCCCACATTTCTGTAACTCAAGGAAACTGTTTCTGAGCTTGGAAAAGAGGCCACATCTAGCACTCTCTGCCCAAGGAGAGATACTCAGAATGGAAGCCTCTAGAGGCTTCAGGATTTAGGAGCAACATCAGAAGCAGCTGGGGCTCGTCTCAGAGGAGACGAGGACTTCATTTGCCCTTTTTCTTTCTCAGGAGAAGATCAGACAGAAATAAGGAGTCCATAAGAGCCAATAAAAGTCCTGTTTGGCAAGATTTTCTTTTCTTTGATTGAATTGGTTGTTAGAAGGAAGAACTTATTTTTTATTACTACAACTTGGCACAATGCCATGAGTTAAAGTTGAACACGAATCACAAAGTCATCAATGATTTTCTAAGAGAGTCCAAGACTCTTAGGAATAAGTCAAGAACCTTCTCCTGTCATTTGGGTGCATTTTTTTTTAAACTAAAGAAACAATTACACGCTTATTTTGCACCTACTGTATGCCCCTTCCTCTGGAAAGTTTGAAGTTTGAGTCTGCTTTTTCATCATTGCCAACCTCTTTATAAGTGCCTCTTCACTTTGTGGGTGGAAGTTCTGAAAAACTTAGAAAACAGAACATGGTATTAGTGTTCACTGAGCCCAGTGATCTCAGTGTTTTGAAACAACAACCTGCTGTAAGTGACCTCCTCACTGCTTTCACCAGTGTCCTTTTAGCATCAAGCTTTGTTAAAACAGTGAAGAATGATACAGGGCTGCCATGTACAATTGTACACTGCATTATTCCAGGGGTGTGTTGTTTCTTTCATAGACACCAGAGACTTTGTATATTTGATATAATTTTCTAGAAGAATCCACCAAATTGTCATATTCTAGTAAGCATATTATGACCATCTTCTGATGGATGAAATCATCTTTAGTAAGGAGCTCCCTTTCCTAATTTGCACAAGTTCCTCAAGAATTAGTGGTAGTGTGGCGTGAAGGTAGAGTTCTGCTTTGCTAGTCCTGCCCATTGTGTCTGATTTCTAAATATTGCCTTTATTTATGGGAAGTTGGGGCATCAGACCTGTAGGCCACTGGGTTTGTGTTAGGTAATTTTGTACCCATCAAAATTCACCTAAACCAGTTTGGGGCTCAGGTCTCTGGTCCAATCCAATCCACAGAAAGTCCCCCTTCCCCACACCTTGGGTACCAGGTGCTGCAGAGTGAAGAGAGCTATTTAATATTTCTCCTTGTGAATCAACCCACCCCTTGTGAGCCAAGAAACACAGCTTCCTTAAAAGTTCAGCAGGTTAAGTATTAATTCATAAATTTAAGTTTGCAAGGAAAAATTTAAAAAATCATGTATAACTCAATTTTATTTCTGCCTCAAAGCCCCCCAAACCCCACACCCAAATTTAGAATGGCTGATAGAAAATTTCTCCTCAGTTATTATTGCTTCCAGTCCATTCCCCCACAGATTTGGATAACAGTTCTGGGATTGTAGGGATTGTGAGTGGGGGAGAGGCACACTTGGTTATGGAATTAAGTAGATTATGGCTGAGGTGGCTGGAAGTCTTATCTTCTATTTGCTTTCTGCCACACATTTCTCTTGAGGAGCTGAGGACAAAGTAAGCTGCCTGCTTCAAAGATTGGGGAGGAAAAGGGGAGAAGGAGCACGTTTATTTTATCATATTATAGTATTCTGTTATCACACTGGCTTGTTGCCAGCCCATGGGGCCGTTGTGGGGGGTGTGGACAGTCCTGGCCATATGTCACATGCCTGGGCACCCATTTTCCAACTTCCCAGCCCATGTCCAAGCCTTGGGACTCGCTGTTGTGCTTCCTGCTTTGTGCACGTCCATCTCTTCTTACTGCTAGCATCTGGGCTCACTGAAGTGAGGTGATGGTGGGTTAAGCTGCCTTGCAGAGCCCTCATTTCAGAAAACAGTGCCCAGTGCAACTGAAAGGACTTCCCTTCTAATCCCAAGGGGTAGCACAGCTTCTGAAGAATTGGACTCATGCTGGTCTTCGATCACTTGAATGAAGCTGCAGGGAGGGATAGGCAGATTTTCTAGGACCTGCTTCTAGGATGTTCACAACGAATCATGCTGCTGTTGTGGCTTTGCAGGTTCTTGGAAAGTGGGGAGGAGTGAAGGTTCCTCCAGTTCACTCCTAAGCAACCGTGGCAAGTAAACTGTTGGATGGGGGTATCTGCCTTGTCTATCTAACAGGGTTAGCATGCTTTTTAGGCCACTGTGATGGCCCAAGCCTGTAATCTCAATACTTTGGGAGGCAAAGGAAGGAGGATTGCTTGAGGCCAGGAGTTTGAAACCAGCCTGGGCAACATAGTAAGAACCCCATCTCTACAAAAAAAAAATTTTTTTAAATGTTCCTCAGTTGTTTTTAAACTCCACTGTACTTAAGAATCATCTGGGGTGCTCCTTAAAGATGTTATTAATGTCTTTTCCTATCCCCAGAATTTCTGCTTCTATAAGCCTAGGGTGGGTCCCAGGAAATCTGCATTTTTTTCCCAGCACCATGGATGATTCTCATATTAGTGGTTTCTATACTACTGTTTGAGAATTACTATTTAAGTCAAAATACATGCTGGGGCTTTGCAAACTATAAAGCGCCACGCTGATGTGAAGAAGATTGTTTTAAATATTATAATTGGGAATGATCGGCTTTTCCTTGCTCATTGTCTTTTTAATACAGCCACCAAGTTTGAGCCAAACAGGTGAGTCTGAGCATGAGGTTGCTCTTTAAATTTCCAACCTAAAGAGTCACATCTGTTGGAACAATTTTCATGATAGTTTACTTTTACCTCCTTATGTTTTCTGAATTAACAAATTAATGTATGCTTTAAAAATTGCAAACAGTACTGCCATGTGTGGGTCAAAAGCAGAAAGGTTATTCTCGCTTTTCCTGCCGATTCCCGTGGGCTTGCTGACTTGCTGGGTCCATAGGGTGGGGGTCTGGGCCCTTAAATCTGTCCTAGTTTGCGGTTTCTCCAGATAACTTCAGAGACCAGCTAGGTAGACACTAGAGATGTTCTCGAGTGCATTTTCAAATATTGCCATTATTCAGTCCCAAACAAGAATTTGACTTTTTCATTTAAAATTCATTTTAAAAATCTGCTTCAAATTCCACATAGGAATGATTAAGCACTTGCCACAGTGTTGTCAATAAAAGCCTCTTGGTGCTTATGGATTTACTGATGGGTAAGCACCAGAGAGCACCTGCTGCACATTTGGAAGCTCAGCCAAATGCTTCTCCCCAGCCCACCTGTCTGATCACGAGTGTTGGGACAAGTGAGGAGGCTTGTTAACAGTTCCTAGTCCTCGGCCCTGGCGAACAGACTGGAGGCCCTGAGAGGTACCCAACCTTCTGGCTTCTGACCTGCTAGAAGTTCTTGCTGAACACATTCAAGCCTTAAATTGCCCCGAGGATGGCCAGGAAAGTCAGTCTGGGCTGCCAGTGATTAATGCTGGCAATATATGCAGCAACCTGCTCATCGTGAGGTTAAGTGTCGCGAGAGCTTCCTCTTGGGGGATTCTCAAGATGCCTTCTGGGAAACAGGCAAAATTAGGCGAACCCAATACCCTAAGATGTGCAGAGTCACATTCTTTCCCATGGGTTACCCTGTCCTAATCTTGTTGGCTGTGTGGAGCTGTGTGAAGCTCTTCAAGCCTGTGGCTGAAGAATCAAGATGCTGGGAGAACCCAAAAATTCACTGAAAACAAACAAGCCAATTAACCTCTTTTGCACCACTTTCTAATCACAATTGGAATACCTGTTCATGATAGTGAATTTTAGATAATAATTCAAGACAGAAACAAAACTGTGGCCATACTTTCAGCTCTGTAACTTTTCTTGTTCTGTTAATACATCATTAATATATTATCTTTTTTAGTATAACTTTTATTTCTTTTGTTATTTTGAAGGCATAAAAATCTGATAAAAATTTCACTTATAGTGCTGTATTTTTTTCCTGAATCATTTGAAGGTGTGGCCCCTCATTCTCCAACTTTAGTATGTATTTCTTACAAACAAGAAGGTTCATCTACAGAGCT
This sequence comes from Homo sapiens, assembly GCF_000001405.40. Lineage (NCBI taxonomy): Eukaryota > Metazoa > Chordata > Mammalia > Primates > Hominidae > Homo > Homo sapiens. The sequence continues at coordinate 55,986,461 of NC_000020.11, read as the reverse complement.
ATGATGCAACCACAAATAAAAGGAAATTTACATTGATGCATTACTACCGTCTAGTTCTCAGACTTGATTCCAATTTTACTAATTGTCCTAATAATGTCCTTTATAGCAAAAGGCTCTAGGTCAAATCATGGGCTGCATTCTGTTGTCATGCCTCTCAGATTCCTTCAGTCCAGGACATTTTCTCTGTCTTTGACTGACACTTGTGACCTTGACATTTTTGAGAGCTTCAGGCCAGGGTTTTATTTTGTACTATATCCCTCGCTTTGGATGTTTTGCTATGATTGGATTCAGGTTATTTGTCTTTGCCAGGGTTGTAACAGAAGTAATGCTGGCTTGCATCCTAGCAGGTGGCACACAACTTAAATGTGTCTCCATTACTGATAATGTTCCCTGTGATCATTAGATTAAAGTGATGCCTACCAGGCTGGTTCACGATACTTAACTCTTGATCCTTTTAGAATTAAGAGGTATTTTGTGGGAGGAAGATTTGTGATTATGTGACTATCCCATGAAATACTCTCACAGATCTATTTTTTTGTGCCTGTATGGACTTCTGGTTTTTGAGTTTATTCATTGAGTTTTAATCCATTGCTGTCATTATTTACTTGAATGCTAAAATTGTCTTGTGTTTGGTCATGTTTTTTAAAACATGTTTCCATCATTTTTTGAGCACTTTGTTGCTTTTCTGCCCAATGTTCTAGGCTCAGCTTGTACCTTTTCTTCCCCAGCATGAGAAAGAGCCATCTCCAAGGCTCTGTTTTTTTGTTTGTTTTGTTTTTGTTTGTGTTTTAGTAGGTATCGGTATTTAGAGGCCAAGACCTGGGAGCTAGGTGTGCTTACTGCTACTGGTATTGATGTTGCTAAGCATTCTCAGAAGACAAGCATATGCAGAACATAAACATTTATAACACATCGATGTATCTATCAGAAAGTATGAATTTATTGTGATAACCTTCAATTCCAGTCAAACAACACAGGTTTTATTTTCATTTTCTCCCTTTGCATAGCTGTATCTCACTTCACTGAGAATGAAAAACTTGGCTATCATGGTTCTTAATTTACTTATTGATGATTCCTGGATCTAACCAGTCTCCTGCTGCTTCTACTGCCTATTCCCCTGTGTGGATGGCTTCCTTACTTTACTCAGAATCTGACGTCTCATGCTGGGCTGTCCCCCCAACTCCCCACACCAGTGTGGAAGTCTTTGCTACCCCACTCGGACTCTACACCTGGCATGGAGTTGCTTCCCCCCATGTGAACATTCTCCCCACCCTTGGGCTTCAACATCTCAAGGTATGCTTCTTGTCCATGTGGATGCCTTCCTCACCCTGCTTGGGCACCAACAATACAGTGACCCATCACACACACCCATGCTCACAACCCCTACACCCCTACCTTGCTTGTCTCAGTCTCCTTGCTGTGTCTGAGTGATAAATGCCTAAATCATTGTTCGTGTGACTTGGTTCAGAGGCCAAATGGTCACAACTCATGCTGCTGGCTTATTTGACCAACCTCTTTAGCTTTAAGTCTCATAAAACCTCATAAAGCTTCTATTATCTGGCTTATTTATCTATTGACTTGGCTTTCTTTTGTCTATCTCCCCCTTTTAAATATAACCTTCACCATCAAGTGGCCTTGTTTTTCTTGTCACTGCATATCCTGATATAATAGGTGGTTATATCTGTCAGGATTCTCCAGAGAAACATATCAAGAGATTTACTTATTGTAAGATATTGGCACATATGATTATGGAGGCTGAAAAGTCTCATATCTGCAGTCTGGAGACCTGGGAAGCTGGTGGTGTAGTTAGAAGGCCCTGAGAGCTGGAGAGCTGATGATGTAGATTCCAGTCTGAGTGTAAAAACTTGAACAGGAGCACAGAGGGCAGAGGAAGATCAGTGAGTGAATTCAACCTTCCTTTACCTTTTTGTTTTGTTCAGGCCCTGAATGGATTGGATGAGGCCCACCCACATGGCAGAGGGCCATCTGCTCTACTCTGACCACCAATCCAAATGCTAATCTCTTCTAGAAACACCCTCACAAGCACACCCAGAAATAATGTTTAACCAGATATCTGGGCATCCAAGTTGACACATAAAATTAATAATCATAGGAGTCAATACAATTGAAGGGACGGTATGTTAAAGCCATTTGGCCACTTTTACAGAGTCATGTTCTTATTAGGTGGCCTTTGAGATGAGGTTGACATCTGGCATTTGTAGTAGATTTTTTTCTCATGGAAATCATTCATGCTATTCACCAAATACTTCCGGTTCTCTGCCTCCCAGGAACACAGATAGGTCATATGATAAATTATGACTAAACGATACGCCAATAAAATGAAAACGGAAGCACGGTGTGCCGCTTCCAGGAAGACACGTGGGCAGTTTGCCTTGTTCCCATCTCTTTCTTCTGGTGACCATAGAAGGACATACTAAAATATTCTTCATCAGTCTGGGGATCTGAGTGATGGTAAACATAGTCTTCCCTGCTGACTTGTGTTGGGCAGGAAGTGTGAGCAAGAAACATCTGATCTGTCCAGCATTGAGATTGAGATTCTGTTGCTGCTGCTGCATGCCCTATCCAATCCCAATGACTATTTCTTTTTTTTTCTTTTTTCTTTTTTTTTTTTTTTTTGAGACGGAGTCTCGCTCTGTCGCCCAGGCTGGAGTGCAGTGGTCCGGTCTCGGCTCACTGCAACCTCCGCCTCCCAGGTTCAGGCCATTCTCCTACCTCAACCTCCGGAGTAGCTGGGACCACAGGTGCCCGCCACCACGCCCAGCTAATTTTTTGTATTTTTAGTAGAGATGGGGTTTCACCGTGTTAGCCAGGTTGGTCTCTATCTCCTGAACTCTTGATCTGCCCGCCTCCACCTCCCAAAGTGCTGGGATTACAGGCATGAGCCACCACGCCCTGCCCCCAGTGACTATTTCTTGAAACAAAAACAAATAGGGAATCTTATTTTAGAGTTACACTTGACTTCTGCCTGCAAGAAATAGTTCACAGATGAGAAGAGCAGAATTTGAACTGTGACCTTTGTAGGAGAGAGGAGCAAATGAACAAGGGTGAACTGACGCCCACTTATCTCTAGGCACAAAGAACATTTCGACTAGGGAGTGCCATAAAACCTTACAAAAGATACACTAGAGACCTGTTCAGTACAGGCACGTGAGAGACTAGATGACCTGCCAAGCCTCTCATTTCCTCCTCTAATTTCTGTGATTATCAAAATGATGAAGTACCGCCAGTTCATTAAAATCCTTCTTTGAAGGCTGTCTCTGTCTCCTTGCTGTGCCTGAGTGATAAATGCCAAAATCGTCATTCATGTGACTTGGCTCAAAGGCCAAACAGTCACACCTTATGCTCCTGGCTTATTTGGCCAACCTCTTTAGCTTTAAGTCTCATCATCTCAGGGTTCTTTCATGTATTCACTTATTTGTGCAACCAACATTTGAAGGAGCCATGGCAACAGATGAACATGAAAAGGCCTGTCTGATAGTAGGAAAACCCAGGCTGGTGGGTGGGACAGGGAAGTTGTGCTTGAATGAGAAACTGCTCCAGGACTACTGCCTCGATCACTAGTTGGGCCGTGCTGGTCACCTTTCTTTGTGTATCATACCTTTTCTCCAAAATCAAATATTTACATTTTCTAATCAATAAGGGTAGAACCAGGAGGCTTTGTTCTTTTCCTCAAGCTTTCTTATCCCACATATAAGCCATGTTCACTCAGTCAACAGGGATGGGTCTAGCCCTTCTCATATGCTTAGGTGATACTAGCAGTTGTGGGGAGCTACTGATTACTAGAACAGTGCTTATTAACTTGGATGTTGTGTTAGTCTGTTCTCACACTGCTATAAAGATACTACCTGGGACTCGGTAATTTATAAACAAGAGATTTAATTGTCTCACAGTTCTGCATGGCTGGAGAGGCCTCAGAAAACTTACAATCATGGTGGAAGGTGAAGGGGAAGCAGGCATATTCTTCACAAGGCAACAGGAGAGAGAGAGAGAGAGCGAGAGAGAGACAGACAGACAGAGAAAGAGACAGAGTACAAAGTGGGAAGTACCACACTTTCAAACCATCAGAACTCCTGAGAGCTCCCTCACTATCTCAAGAACAGCATGGGGGAAAATGCCCCCATGATCCAACCACCTCTCACCAGATGCCTCCCTCAACAGGTGGGATTTGCAATAGGAGATGAGATTTGGGTGGGGACACAGAGTCAAACCATATCAGATGTGTCCCAGCCAAAATTCAGATTCTGGCTCAGTTGTTCTGTAGTGAGGTCTGAGATTCACCGTCACCAACAAAATCCACTGACTAACACCAATGTTGTTAATTCTTAGACCATACTTTGAGTTGCAAGAAGCTAGGAGTAGTAGTCCCTGCTCCGATGGATGTCATCACCTTGAAGAGGTAAAGTAAGGCCAGAAAATTGGAGACAGAACCGCATAGGTGGAAACAAATAGAAGCAAACACTGCTAGGCATTTTCACATTTTATCCTAAATCAAATTTTAAATAGAGGTTCTGTAACAGTGATGTCACAACTTGGATCTCAGGAAGTGGATGCTGAGACAGAGTTGGGGATATGAAAGATTTGAGAGATCAACATGTGGAAAGGAAGGGAGAGGAAGCAAGAATGGGCAGAAGGAAAAGCCAAACTGAGATGCAAGTCAACAAAGCTTCTTTTACTCCAGTGGTGGGCTCTGGAGCAAATATGGCCCCTCAGAATGTTTTGCATTTTAGCCAAATGGCCAGGCCTCCTATACTTTCTACTCCACCTTGCTCAGCTACCAAATGCAGGTTGCCCTAGGAAGAGTATGGCCTTGGGAAGAGGAAGACCCTGAAGGAGCTGACAGCTGGAGTCGGATGTTCATGAATTCTCTGCAGCTGAGAAACAAGCCCTTCCCTGAAGAGGGTGGGAGGTCTGGGTGGTTCATTTTAGTATCCACCATGGTGTTACGTGAAGAATTCAGGAAGAACTCCTTTCCTAAGATTAGAAACTGAAATATCGAGGGGCTAGCTTTGTATGGCTGCTTTGGAGCTGATCAATATAGCGATCGATAAATGGATTCCCAAAGTAGGTTCTTTCCATAAGACATGGCTCCTCAAAACCTTAATCGTGCAAATTTCTTGGGGGATGAAGGTTTCCATTTATTTGTAAGAAGTGAAAGTGATTCAGGCAGACGGACTACTTGGAGAAAGGGATCTCCACCTACTAGTATAATCTTGTAGGAGAGGCAGTGGCCTTCCATAAGGACCTCAGCAACTTGGTTAGGAAAGACTAGCAGCTTAAATAAAATCTGGAAAAATAAGGGTGTACATAAAGCCTTCACAGATAATTCAGAAATCATTGATCTTTTTTGTTTTGGGCTTCTCAGAACTTCAGTAAGATACTGTAAACTTTATGGAAGTTACCAGTGATTCATTTTGTGGCATTAAATTTCTACATGTGTGTTGTTCAGAATGACTAAGTGAGATAAGGAGAAAGATACTTTTTTTTTTGACTTTTAATTATAAGTGATAAAGCCATCAACAGAGTAGAAGTCAAGCATTTCTAGTTAGGCTACTGGTGAGCCAGATATGGGGGTGATGAATTAGTTACCTATTGCCACATACCAAATTACTCTAAAACTTAGTGGCTTCAAACAACACAGTTTTGAAAAAAATCTGACAGTTTCTCTGAGCCAGGAATATGAGGATAGTTTAGCTGTGTACCTCAGGCTCAAGGTCTCTCACAAGGCTGTAATTAAGGTGTCAGCTAAGGCCATGGTCTCATCTGAAGGCTCCACTGGGTGAGAATTAACCTCCATGCTCACTTGAGTGTTTACTGGAAGGATTCATTGCCTTGAGGGTTTATGGACTGACAGCCTCAGTTCTTTCCAGATGGCTGACTGTAAGCCACCTACACTTCTTTACCATCTCTTCAACAGGGCAGTTGGCCTCATCAAAATGTGCGTGCTGACAATTGCAAAGATGTGGAACCAGACTAAGAGCCCATTGATCAATGAGTAGATAAAGAAAATGTGGTATCTAAACACCATGGAATACTACTCAGCCATAAAAAGGATTGAAATAATGTCCTTTTGCAGCAACTTGGATGGAGCTGGAGGCCATTATGCTAAGTGAAGTAACCCAGGAAGGGAAAACCAAATATGATAACGTTCTCACTTATTAGTGGAAGCTAAGTTATGAGGACACAAAGGCATGAGTGATATAATGAACTTTGGGGACTCAGGAAGGTTGGGGAGGGTGAGGGATAAAAGACTATGTATTGGGTACAGTGTACACTGCTCAGGTGACAGGTGCACTAAAATCTCAGAAATCTCCACTAGAGAACTTATCTATGTAACCAAAAACCATCTGTAATTCAAACATTATTGAAGTAAAAAATGTGCATGCCGAAATAGCAACAGAATGTCAAGCAAGATGGAAATGAGTCTTTACAACCTGGTCTCTGAAGTGGCAGCCCTTCATTGTTGCCATACTTTTCCACTGGAAACAAGTCACCAGTTCCAGCCCTCACTGTAAGGATGAGGTTACACAAGAGAATACCAGTAGGTAGAGATCCCTGGGGGCTATTAATAAGTAAAGATTTATTGATTAATAAGGACAAACTAAAACAAAAGGAGACATTTTAGAAAACTGTCTACATCCAAGGTAAAACATCAAAAGAAAATTCTGATTAATTCAAAGTTAATGGTAACTGGCATAAAAAGTTGGTCATAGGCCAGGTGCAGTGGCTCATACCTGTAATCCCAGCACTTTGGGAGGCCAAGGTGGGAGGATTGCTTGAGACTAGGAGTTCAAGACCAGCCTGAGCAACATAGACCCCACCTCTACAAAAAATAAAAAAAAAATTAGGTATAGTTGTGCATTCCTATAGTCCCAGCTACTTAGGAGGCTGAGGAGGGACAGTTTCTTGAGCCCAAGAGTTGGAGACCACAGTGAGCTATGATTGCACCACTGTACTCCAGCCTGAGCAAGAGAGAGAAACGCTGTCTTAATAAAAAAAAAAAAAAAATTCTTAAAAAGAGGGTTAGTCAGTTTCAAGACTCTAGGTTAACAAAGGTAATCAAAGACACTCTTACACTTTAGGGATGCTGAGCTGGAACATTAAAACTTAGAACTTACCAACCAATTTCATCTAACAGAACCTCACTTAGGGACAAAACTCTGGATGTTTGAAAGAAATAGTTTGGATAAGCCACCGGCGTGAGGAATTAGATTCAAAAGGTAGCCAGTGGTCCATAAACTACTTTAAGGTCCTTGCTACTGCAGGTTCTTCTGTTTTAATGGAAGCCAAAATGCAACTTTGGGTGCAGAGTGAAATTTCTCAGTATAACAGAGTAGAGGGTAGGAAGCATGGCCCCTTGCTGGAGGCAAGAACATCTGAAGAGAGGCTCTGTGGTGGCAAAGGGAGATGGGGAAGAACATCTATTTCAAATACCTCTTCCCTTTATAAAATCACTAGGAAAATTCTCCTCTTGTCACTAATGCTTTGTGGAAAAGGAATCTTCAGGATGAGAGGGAAGCTTCTGAATAATGTTAAACATTCATCAGAGCAAAAGGAATAAAGAATTGAATATTTTGCCCCCTGTGCATCCATCTACCCTTTCATTCAACAAATGTAATAGTCATCACAGTCCACTGAGTGCTGGGGATACAGAGATGAACAAGACTGATTCAGTCACTGCCCAGAGTCACCTAAAGTGCAAGCAGACCTAAGGAGATGAAGGAAACCCCTACAGATACTCTGACGAGTCATGACCAATGGCAAGAAGAGGACTGCTGCTGAAAAACATCGAGCTGTGTGTGTTCACATGTGTGTGTTCATGTATGTGTTTTCATGCTTGTGCATGTTTGTATATATGTGTGCATAAAAGTAACCTATTCTGCACTTTAGGTTGGAGCAACCTATTCTGAAATCACAGTTTGGGGGCTCAAGATGAAACCACATGCATTGGTAAGGGCCGTGGAATGTGACTTTGGAGCTTTCTCACTCTCTGCCCAGAATCAGTGGGCATTATTTCCCAGACAGTGGGTTGGCAAGGGAGGGAATGAGATTCCTCAATTCACTTCTGCTGCCTCAAGTGTTTGTACAGCCCAGAGTTGACTTTTTGCCCATCCTCTCCAGAAGACCGAAGTCATACATTTTTAATTGGAGTTTTTCAGCCAAAGAGCAGGCTGGCTTGCTGCCCAACTTATGGGTGAAAATGTCGAGAGAGAAACCCTCACCTTCTGTCCCGCTGGCAGCAAATGAAAACAAACCACTTTTCTTCCTCTCCCAGCTGTTTTCTCTCCTCCACAGGCTGACTCTATTTAAAGCGCTGGCTCCTTAACTCCTTTTAAGCCAAGGGACAGAAATCTACTGACTTAGCTTTTGTCTTTCCCTGGTGAATCTAGGCCGGGGATGCTTGTAGAACTTAGTTTCCCCACCAGCTCGTTTCCCACCTCCTGTCCCCAGGGAGTTCAGCTGAGAGAGAGAGAGAGAGAGAGAGAGAGAGATGGGGAGAGAGAGAGAGAGAGAAAGAGAGACAGAGTGTGTGTGTGTGTGTGTATGTGTGTGTGTGTGTGTGTGTGTGTGTGTGTTGGGAGGAGCAGTGTTACAGCTCACCAAAAGCAGTAAGTCAGCACCATTTAAAACCACAGTTGATAACATTTATTTCTAATTCTTTAAAGCTGTCTTTAAAAGAAAATAAAGCCTGAAACCTACATGGCACTCTCATGGGGACAATCTTTCTTTGGCTCAGTTTGGTAATTCAGTTGTGATGGGTAAAGTTGTGCAGTCATAGCAAAAGAGAGCAGGGAAAAAAAAAAAAGCAAAAAGGAGGGAAGAAAAAGCCTGCCAGCAGCTGTCATCTATCTTGTGAGAAGTAAAAAGTGCTTACCCGTGCCCAGATAGTAAATCCTACCTGCTTTATTAAATAAATGTAGTATTTCACTCAGGGAAGGAGACCTTTGGAATATCTGGAAAATCTTGCAGGCTTTGAAATGGAATAAAGATTGATTTATGTGGAGTTTCTCTTGTATGTGTATTTTTCTTCCCCCTGACACAAAGAATGGTAACCGAGACACAAAATTCATTTTAAAAGACCAAGAAAAGGAGTTGGGTATTGGGAATTTGGATGTTTTATTTATCTTACTTTTTTCAAAAGGGATCATATGATTTATTGGATAGCCAGAAGTTTTATGATACGGGCCTTGCAGGGCTGTTTCAAGGAATAATGCCAGGGTATGCCAAGGCCTGGCCTGGAGCTTGTCATGTAGTAGGTATTCAGAAATGGTGGCTATTCTGCATAATTAGGAATTGATCATTTGTGGTTTTGACTTTTTTTGTTTTGTACCCTACTTTGCACCAAAGATAATTTAGCAGTGAACTATTAATATCATTTCAATTGCAGGTGATAGAAAGCCAAATAAAACTGGTGTAATAATAAAAAAAAAGTTGGTTTAAGAAACTAAAAAGTCCATGAGGTTATGGCTTCAGGTAAGGCTAGATCCAGGGCTTAAATTATAGCCACTTCTTCACTCTGATTGCATATTACAGCTTTAGCCTCAGTCAGGACCCCTCTTGTGGTGGCCCCAAACAATTTCAGGCTCTATCCCCAGGTTTACACATTTTCTGGTTCATTTTCAGCAAGAGAAGCAGTTTTTCTTCTAAGGGGCACCCACAAGTTGTAGGGATTCACTGTAGTTGGGTGAACTTAGCTCATGGATACAGCCTGAACAAGTCATGGCCAGTGGGACGGGATCATGCTGATTGACACAATTCCCTCTTCTCCCAGCTGTAGATAGAGTCCACCCTGCCCAAACTTCCTGGACTGACAATGGGAAAGAGTGGCTGTCTGAGGAAAATGGGGATATTATTACCTGAAAAGAGGGACAAAGCCAATAGAGATCCACATACATGACTGAAATAAATTCTAGGAACTTCGCTTCATCTCCTTTTCTACAGTTTTCACCTTTTCTTCTCCATTTCTCTTCATCTATTCAGCAGTTACGTGAAGGCTTGCTGAATGTCAGTACCCACGTGTGTCCTAGAAATACAACAGACTGTTTCAGAAGTGGATGTTTTTGCTTGCTCAATGATTTGATAACTTCAATATACATTTAATGAATATTTACCCACACTTTCAATGTTCACCCTTTTGTGCTGAGCCTAGTTTAGGTATAGATGAAGGAGAAGGGAGAAAAAAAAATCACCCAACTCTTGCCCTGGGAAAGAAAGTCATGACCATGTAATAAATCACATTTAGGGACTTATTATATTTCAGCCCCCGGGCTAAACACTTTGTGTATATTATCGTTAATGTTCACATAGCCCTGAGGGGTGTATATACTATTGTTAAGCTCATTTCTCTGATGAGGAAGCTGAGGTTTGGGATTCTATTTCTAACCACCTCTCTGTACTATCTCCAGGTCATTTTTAGTCTCTCTCTGCATCAATCATTTTTGTTGAATGAACAAGTATTTACTAACTTAACATATATGTTAATATATATGTTGCACATATATTAATCTGTGCCTGCCATGTATTAAAATCTGTGCTGAGGTCAGGCATGGTGGCTCATGCTTGTAATCTCAGCACTTTGGGAGGCTGGGGTGTGGGTAGATCATCTGAGGTCAGGAGTTCGAGACCAGCCTGGCCAACATAGTGAAAACCCCTCTCTACTAAAAGTACAAAAATTAGCCACGCATGGCGATGCATGCCTGTAATCCCAGCTACTTGGGAGGCTGAGGCAGGAGAATCACTTGACCCTGGGAGCTGGAGGTTGCAGTGAGCTGAGATCATGGCACTGCACTCCAGTCTGGGTGACAGAGTGAGACTCCATCTCAAAAAAAAAAAAAAAAAAAAAAAAAAATTCTGTGCTGAGCACGGGAATGCAACAGTGAAAAAGATGGGCCTGGTCTCTACCACTTATCAGCCACTACTTGTGCGTGAGTACTGAACCAGTCACTGAAGGGTCTCTGGGATGAGGAGGGGGGTGCAAGAACAGGAGGAGCAGGCAGAAGACCTCAGGCCTGCCCTGGGGAGAGAAGTCAGCCACAGGGATGTGTCTGCCAGATCTGCTAGATGTGAAGAAACATCGGTCCGGTCATGCAAGAAGTCAAGAAAAAGGGGAGGTCATTCCTCGGAGATCCCATTTATTCTCTGCAGCTTTTAGGGAACTGCGTTTCCCAGCACTGCCTTGGAGCAAGGGTCCCACATACGCTTGTCAACCTCTCTGACTCCCTGAGCTCAACTCTGTGGATGGCAGGGCAGAGGTGTGGTGGGGCATCCTGTTACAGTCTGACTTCTGGGAATGAGAAGGGCTGGTGGCTCATATATGTAAAGTGGTGCAGGTTACTGTGGAGCCCTGAGATAGTACCATGGGTTTCCTTCTGACAGTGTCTGAACGTGCTGCCAAGGAAGGCTGGCACATGTGTCCTAAGGCTGTCATAACAGAATACCACAGAGGGAGTGGCTTACCCCACAGAAATTCATTTCTCATCATTTTGGAGACTGAAAGTTCAAGATCCCGCTGTCAGCAGGGTTGGTTTCTCTTAGGGCCTCTCTCTCTGACTTGCAGATGGCTTTAGGTTTTAGAGAGGGCACCATTCAAACCTGACTTTCTTATGCCCAATATAGCACCCACACATCCTTCTAGATGTCACACAATTCCTTTTATATTCACTGTGCTTCCTTTACAGTGGTCCTGAGGGCATTGCTGGGACATGGCCTTGGGGCATGTGTGAAGGGGTGGTGCAAAGTCCTGACCTTGGCTGAAAGCCCAGCTGGTGAGAGTGCTTTCAGTGATCACAGCCAGGTGCCACCTGGTGCACCACTGTGGCTTTTAGGGAAATGCTTTTCCCAGCACTGCACTGGAGCAGGGGTCCCACATATGCTTGTCAACATCTCTGACTCCTTCAGCTGAACACAGACAGTCCACAGGTGCAGGCTGGGCAGTGGTGGCAAGAAGCTGCCTCCCATGGTCAGGCTCTCATTGCTTCTCTCCATTGGCTTCTCCAGCATTCCCTGGGTGGTGGCCCTCCTCTTGGGCCTGTCATTCTGGCTTCCTCTTCCTCCTCTCTCAGCCAGAATCCTCCCATTTATCCCTCCACATCACAGAGCCCAAACCCTATTGTTACTGAACTGGAATCTGCTAGTAGCCCAGTGCGTTAAGACCAGATCTCCACATGGAGGTTTGCAGTGGGAGAAAGGAAGGGCTTTATTGCAGGCGCCAAGCAAGAGGTACCAAGTCGCTCCCGTTCAAATCCTGACCTCCCCAGTGGCTTGCAGGAAAGGATTTTTAAAGGCAGGCATAAATTTCAGGAAAGAAGTTCAGGTAATATCATTAATCAATGGATGGAGGTTACATACTGGTTTCAGCCTAAGAGGGTAGGATATCTTGAAGTGGGGACTTATAGGTCATGGGTAGATTCAGAGATTTTCTGATTTGTGTTGGTTAAGGAAGAGAAGCTTTGCTTAAAAATCAGGGGTGAGTAGAAACATGTTAACTGGCCAAGAAGGTGTGACTTTCCCCAGGCTCCTCAGGAAGATACTTAGAACACAGGATGATGGGTCAAGCTCAGTCTTGACCTTCCTGCTTATCTGAGGTCTATGTGCCAGTGGATCCATTCCACAGAGGTCCTCAGTGTGGGTCCAAGTTTCTGAAAGGCATCTCAGGGACAAATGTGAAGATGTTATCCTTAGTTTCGGTGGGGGAAAGCAAACATCTCTGGAACCCTCTCTTCTTAGGCTATTGTTTTAAGCTACTATTACCTTCTTATTTAACAAGTTATTTATTTACTTCTGGGGCTACCTAGGTACCTAGCATTTCCTTTGGAAGAACTCAGTCTTTTCCTTTATTTTCATGCCCAGGGAGCTCCAGGGCTCCAGGCCCCTATAAAGGGGGTCCCTGCTCAGTCTCACTTTCTGGGGAGTGGGAGCAGCCTGGGCAAGGAGGTACAGGAGTGCTTTTAAGAGGGTCCTGGCTCTGGGCCTGACCCTGCACTTGCTCAGCCTGAAAGCAAGCACCTCCTTAAATACTTCTCTTGCCTCCCCTGGTCCAGACCGTATGTCTTCCTTTCCTCTCAAAATTGTGCTACAGGGATGATGAGGAAGGGTTTCGATTACCCATTAACTTGGACTTCAAATTGCTAATAACAGTTCTTTCTTGAGGGCAGGTAGAGTTCACTGTTGAGAAAAGACCATAGCCTGATAAGGTCTTCCTTTCAGGTTTCATTCCTTCTTGGGGAAGGAAAGCACCAGAGGCTAAAATGTTTTATTTTAATGAAGGTAAAAAAGAAGTTTTCTTGAAATCAAAACACGTTATTCATTTCTATCCTATACACTTGCTTTGTGAGTGACGCGTGGGTGACATGGTTGAAAACAGGATTTAGAGTCACACGCTTGATTTGAATCCACACCCAGCCATTTATTGGCAACATGACCTCGAAAAATTCACCAAAGTCCCGGATTATTGGATTCTCAGTTTACTAACTGGTTATATCCACTTACAGAGTTTGAGAGGATCAAATTAAGTAATGTTGGCTGTGTGCAGTGGCTCATGCCTGTAATTCCAACACTTTGGGAGGCCAAGGCAGGAGGATCACTTGTGAGGAGTTTGAGACCAGCCTGTACAACATAATGAGACCTCGTCTCTACAAAAAAAATAAATAAATAAAAAATAAAAAAATTAGGTGGAAGGATTGCTTGAGCCCAGGAGGTTGAGGCTGCAGTGAATTGTGATAGCACCACTGCACACTAGCCTGGATGACAGAGCGAGACCCTGCCTCAAAAAAAAAAAAAAAAAAAAAAAAAAAAAAGAGGTAATGTTCATAGAGCGGGTCGGTTAATACAGTACTTCAAACACAAAGTAGCAATAAACAATCATTCAACATGTACCAAATACTCATCGGGCAACCTTCTGTTGGCAGGCTTTGTCCTGTGTACTGGAAATGCAAAGGATACAAATGAACACATACTTCCTGCTCTGGACAGACTACAGTCTAGTGAGGGAAGAAGGAGAATTAAAGCAGCAACAGTAGAGATGGATAGTGCCCTCTGAGGGGGAAACAGCAATGTTCTGGTGGCGTAAGGTAGGAGGAATCTCTAACCTAACCTGGGGAGTTGGTGGCAGCTTCCCGTAGGAAGTGATGTTTACCCACATCCTCGATCTCCTGACCTCGTGATCCACCCACCTCGGTCTCCCAAAGTGCTGGGATTACAGGCGTGAGCCACCGCGCCTGGCCCCTGTGTTTACCCACATCCTAAAGGATGAATAGGTCTCGGCCAGGAGTAGGGTGCCTGGGAGGGACACGTGAGGCGTGGAAAGAGTCCTAGCACAGGGAGAGAGCAGGGGAGGCCTTATTATTGCCATCAGTGATCAGAATCCAGGAGGCAATACTTACTGGGTTCTGCCACTTGAAACTGTAGGAGTGTTTCATTTTGAATAAAACTGCTAATCACAGGTGATTTCCAAGTGTATCTTCTATTAGGGTCTTTTCAATAGCAGTATTTGACACAGGGCTTTAGAGAAATGGAATGGCATTAGCATATCTAAGAGAAATTCCCTTGGGAGAGAGTTTGGAAAAGTCCTTAATAGAACAGAGTTTGTAAAAGACATTTCTAAGCAATTTCCAATTTCAAATCTCCATTTCTGCTCACAGTGTTTTGACCTTTCTGTTCTATTTATTTAAAAAATTAAATTTTTGACTGAATTCAGTCCTTCACAATGGGGAACTCTATTATTGCTGACCTGAGTCAGAGGATAATTCAGTCTTCGGTCCCTCATTCTCTGGAAGTTCTTGTGATGGAAATCGGAGGCCCTATTCTGTAGATTTTTCACAGTTATTGCCCGTCAGCCTCAAATACCCCAGATCCAAACTGGAATACTCAGTTTATAATCAATGGTTCTCCCCACTTTGAAATAACAATCATGATATTAGTAAGAACTAACATCTTTTGAGCCTATAAACTGCTCTTTTCCTTCCAGTGTCTTCCAGTCCATTCTGTATGCAGCAGGTGGGGTAAACTTTACAACATTCCCCCCTTTGCTCCCCTCATCTCCCTGCTTAAAACTCTTCAATGGCTTCCTGTTGCTCCTCAGACCAAGAATATGTTCCTGGATATGGCACACAAAGCCATCTGAGGACAACTTTTCTGCCTCCTCTCACACCAATCTCTATGTTCTAGTCCCATGTACCTTCTTTGAGTTTCTAAAATGGGACATGCTTCTTCCTGCCTCAGGGCCTTTGCCTGTGCTATTCCCCTGACCCCGATGACCAACCACCCCCGTGTGCCCGAGGCACTGAGGGGCTTCTCACACTGTGTGACTTTCAGTGCTAAAACCAGGAAAGTCCTAGGCAATAGCAGCATGAGTTGACTGTGATACCTGCAGGAAGAACTCTTTCCCTTGCTTTCCCCTGTCTCTGCACTCAAAATTTGTGCTCTTCCTTCAGCTCCCAGCTCAGTGTCACCTCCTCCGGGAAACCTTCCCTGACTGCTCTGGCTAGATTCAACTATGCAGTCTGCCAGAAAACGATTGCTTTTCTTCAGAACATTTGAGTTTTTAATCTCCAGGACACACAAATACTGTACATGTAGTATTAATGTTTGTCTTCCTTCACAAGAGGAAGCTCCAGGAGGGTTGGGACAGTCTCTATGTGCTTTAGCAGTGAACAGAATCAATGGCACAGTGCAGAGAATATGCTTGATGCCCAGTGAACATGTGTGCAATGCATGAGCCTCACTTAGGAGCAAGGTGCAGTGCATAAATCCTCTCATTTTAATGCCATTTCATCCCTGAGGTAGATGCTGTTACTGTCCCCATTTCGCAGATGTGGAAAGTGAAGCTTCAAGATTAATGATGTATGTATGGCCACCCAGCTGGAAAGTAATAGACCATGCACTTCTGATCGCAGAGCCTGAAGGACCCCTCACTGAAAGTCACATGGTTAGTGTTATCAAGGTTTTCTGAGTGCTCAGTTCACTATGGAAAGATATTATCCACACATTTTATGATGGCACTCTCTCCATGCTTAAAATGTGTGCATGGTGTGGGTGTACAGCATGCTCCAACCACAACCATTTCTAAGCCTGGCTTCCTTTCAGGCCCATCAATAACCTGCCTGTAATCAGGAGGAACATTTTGAAAACACCCTCACTGACTGTGTTAAGGCTGCATCTTGTGCAGGACAAACCAGAGGGCATCAAAGTTCCAAAGTTAATATCGGTACTCCAGAGGGAGGGAGGGAGAGAGGGAGGACAAGTCTTTGCTGGGCTTCCGTTTAAGGAATAGCCTGGCCTGGAAGTCATAAAGCAGATTGTCCACAAGTTTGATGCCCAGGCCAGTGGAGAAGAGAGAATGTCTGTCTTCAGGAACTCTTGGAGCACTGTCAGAAAGGAAATAGTTCATCTGTTCCTTCGTTCATGCAATGGATACATATTGAGAACCTACTATTCATGGGGTAGAAAGTTCTAAATACCATCTAAAATAGATGGTAGAAACCTTCTAAATAGAAACTTCATGACGGCAGGGATTTTTGTCTATTTTGATCATCTCTATATCCCTAGTCCTGCACATAGTCCTACTAGTCCTACTATGTGTAGTACTAGAGATGTGTGCGGGTATGGGTGGGTGGACGTGGGTGTTGGGGTAGCTTTAATGAGCATGATCAAAGTCTCTCTGGGAAGATAAGGTATAAACAAAGACTTGAAGGAGGGTAGGCCTGCCACTTCCTCTACAGGGTTACAGTGTAGACACTTGCTCTTCCAAGCTTCATGAGTCAGAGACCAGGTTGCCCCTTGCTGATGGTGGCTGAGAAATAAAGGAGGGCAGGGAGGGCAGACTTGAAGGAGAACCACTTGAATACTTGGTGGAAGAACTCCTAAAACAGAGGGAAAGGTTAGTGAAAAGGTGCTGAGGTAGAGGCGTTCTTGGAAAGATTGAAGAACAGTGCAGCTAGAGTGGAGAAAGCAGGGGAAGAAAAGTAGGAGATACATCCAAGAACCACTGTAGGGGGTTAAGAGGGAACAGACACCTTGTAGCACCTTGTAGGCTGTTGTAAGAACTTTGGCTCCTATTCTGCATAAAGTGGAAGCTTTTGGACCGAGGTGTGGTCAAGTTCACACTGGAAGAAATGATCATGAGTCTATACAATGGAACTCATCCTGCAGCTTTTGGAATAAATACGGTAGATGTGTTTGTTATTACATGCTGGTTTGTTTACTTGACTATTTCATCCCATTGAAACATGTTTGCATGCCTGCTATGCGTAAGCCTTCATGCTAGTGGCTGAGGCTGCAGTGGTAATTGAAGCACATGGAAATGCGTAATCTAGTGGAAGAGCCAGATCAAAAATAAGTAGACTTTATTTCATTATTTTTTTTTGAGACAGAGTCTAGCTCTGTCACCCAGGCTGGAGTACCATGGTGTGATCTCAGTTCACTGCAACCTCTGTCTCCTGGGTTCAAGTGATTCTCCTGCCTCAGCCTCCTGAGTAGCTGGGATTACAGGCACCTGCTACCATGCCTGGCTAATTTTTATATTTTTAGTAGAGACAGGGTTTCACTACATTGGCCAGACTGGTCTTGCACTCTTGACCTCAAGTGATCCACCAGCCTCAGCCTCCCAAAGTGGCTGGGATTACAGGCATAAGCCACTGCACTCGGCCATCAAAAATAGGTAGACTTGAAAAAAACAAACCACCAAATAGAAAAGATAACGTGTTGGTAAGGATGTGGAGGGATTGGAACCCTTGTACATTGCTCATGGGAATGTAAAATGGAGCAGTCAAGGGTGCAACAGTTTGGTGGTTTTTCAAAAAGGTAAGTGCAGAACTCCCACATGACCCAGCAATTCCACCTCTATGTATACACCTGAAATAATTGAAAACAAGTATTCATACAAAAGGTATATGTGAATGTACATAGCAGCATTATTCACAGTAGCCAAAAGGTGGAAACAACCCAACTCCAACTGATGAATGGATAAACAGAATACGGTACATCCATACGATGTGCTACAACATGGAACTTTGAAAACATTATGCTAAGTGAAAGAAGACAGACACAAAGAGCCACGCAGTGTATGATTCCATTCACATGAAATATCTAGAAGAGGTAAATTCACACAGAGAGCAGGTTAGTGGTTGTCGGGGGCTGGGGGAAGAAGAGGAGAAGAGACTACTTCATGAGTATGAGGTTTCCTTTTGGGGTGATGCAAACGTTTTGAAAGTAGATAAACATGATGGTTTCACAGCATTGTGAATATATTAATCACTATTGAATTGCACACTGTAAAGTGGTTAATTTTATGTTACATGAATTTTACTTCAATTTGAAAACCTCAGTAAATTATTGTGCCAGCAAGTATAGATTGTGTTAAGTGTGAAGAAGGAAATAAACAAGGTGATGTCATAGTCAGAGGGATGGAGAGGAGAGGAAGGCTGCTGCACATACAGTGGCCAAGGAAGGCATCTGGGGTAAATGGATATGTGAGAAAAGCAAAGGGAAGAGCTATGTATGTTTCCAGTTTTAAATGGATACATACATTTGTATACAAATGGGAAATTTCTGGAACAATGCGCCAGAAACTTAACAGTGGTTGTTTTGGGGGAGGGGAGATAGAGAACTGATCAGAGGTTGAAAGAGAATTACTTGATTTCTGTAGGTCTCTTTATGTTATGTTTAGGAAACTATTTACTATGAAAATTATCAAACATGTACAAAAATGTATATGCTTGATAGACTATCATGAACCCCTATGTATAAGTCACTCAGCTTCAGCAATATTGATTCAGGGCAAATCATGTTTCATCTACGTCCCTACTAACTCAGTGCCCCCTGCAACCTTTTGAAGCAAATTCCATTCCATATATATATATATATATATACACGTGTATATACACGTGTATATGTGTATATATACGTGTGTATATACGTGTATATGTGTATATGTATACGTGTATATATACGTGTATATGTGTATATATACACGTGTATATATACGTGTATATGTGTATATATACACGTGTATATACGTGTATATACACGTGTATACACGTGTATATATACGTGTATACACGTGTATATATACGTGTGCATACACGTGTATATATACGTGTGCATACACGTGTATATATACATATACGTGTGCATATACGTGTATATACACGTATACGTGTGCATATACGTGTATATACACGTATGTATGTGCATATATACGTGTATATATACGTGTATGTATGTGCATATATACGTGTATATATACGTGTATGTATGTGCATATATACGTGTATATATACGTGTATGTATGTGCATATATACGTGTATATATACGTGTATGTATGTGCATATATACGTGTATATATACGTGTATGTATGTGCATATATACGTGTATATATACGTGTATGTATGTGCATATATACGTGTATATATACGTGTATGTATGTGCATATATACGTGTATATATACGTGTATGTATGTGCATATATACGTGTATATATACGTGTATGTATGTGCATATATACGTGTATATATACGTGTATGTATGTGTATATATGTATATATGTATATATTTATATATGTATATATGTGTATATATGTATGTATGTATATATATGTGTATATATATTCTAGTGTGTCTTTCTCTAAGATTCTTAACTCTCTAGACCCTTAAAGGATTTTTTAACAAATATTTACTGTGTGATAATAGTGTGGCTAACAATTTTACTTCTTCTTATATATATTTATAATTTTACTGTTTGAATAAAAATTATTAATTGTTTAAAAGGGAGGTAGGATCCTCCTTGGCCCTTTAATTTTTTAAAACTGAATGTAATATGCATAATATGCTAAGGGCTTGAATACAATGATTCAACTGCTCTCCTGCACACATCCCACCCCACACTTCAATACTGTGGTTAAAGTCATAGTTTTAGGTGTCAGATAATACTGGGTTCAAATCCCACCTCTCCCGCTTGTTCTCTCTCTGACCTAGGACAAAATCTTTCAGCTCCTTGAGTTGTACTTTCTTCCCTTACAGTGAGCATAATGAGTATTTAGCTCATGGGGTGAGATTTAATGGAATTTTGCAAGTAGGAATAATAGCCTTTAGCGTGGTAGTACACCATCATATACACTCTAAATGTTGGCTCTTATTTTTGTTCTTATTACTTTTCTTCTGTGGAAGGGTACAGAAGAGACAGAACAGTGGTTACTTTTGGGGAAGTTTTATTTAGTTTATTTTATAATGGTGTTCTGCATGTAATATTTTGGTTGCAACTATGGACTCTGGAGTTCCTAGCCCTGTTCATTAGTTAAGTCACTCTATCTTCCTCTTCTTTTTTTTTTTCAAGGGATTACAAGGTGCATATGAGGTGTTCAGCTCACAATATGGTAGATATAATTATTACTCTCTATTTAATACATAACAGGTTTGTATCAGAGAAGTATAGATGTGCCCTAGTTTAGGATGAAAGAGCATAAAGTTCCCCAAGGATGTTGAAGTTCAATTCCCACAAATAGCACTGTCAGATTGAAAAATAAGGACACACGTTCACTCTTGACTGGAATCTGCACTTGAACTTGTAGTGATATGAGAGAAAGGAGGATCAATCTGACTCTTAAGGCATCCAGCCAGCTTCCTTTTCCCTTGGGGAAGGGTCAGCCCAGGCTGCAAATAAAAGGAGCTTTTTCTGTAGCTTTTGTGTGCGAAGAATGGAGTGATGCTCTAAGAGCTGAAGCTTCTGGAATTCTGTTGAACAGTTAACTTCAGGACAAAGTTTATGTTTTTCCTTTCTTCAAGCATCACCCTCTTTATGCCCAAGCATTGGGGTTACCTGTCAATTGGGGAATAATAATATTACCCATGCAGAGGCATGTCTTTAAGTGAAAAGATGCATAAAATAACTTAGCACTGTGCCTGATGCAGATACTCAGGAAGAAAAAAATTTGTTGTTGTTATAATTGTCATTGTAATAATCGTGTGTGTTAACTATGACACAAGGCAGAAAGTAATAGTACTGTATGAAAATACAAATGAGATGGGAGGGGAACTTAGAGAAGAAAGGATTTGCTTCCAACTTGAGTATGGATGGCAAGGATCTTGAGGAAAGAAAATTAAAAACTATTTTCATAGGAGGTAGAATTTCAAATGGCCCTTGAATTATGGGCAGTATTTGGACATGTGATGATGCAAAGGTAGAAGAAACCGAAGGTAGTGAACCTCTGTTCACTAGCGGTAACAGAGGTAATATGGATGTAAGAAATTCAGATTAGATGAATGGAATCTGGATTCCATGAGAGGAAAATTGTAGGAATAAAGTGGGAATTACAGTTCATGGCTGAGCCATAGAGGGCCCTGAATGCAAGGCTGAGAAATACAGAATTTAATCTCTGGGTCAGTGGTTCATAAACTTCTCTGCTGACAAACGTGATGGATGGTGTTCACATACACAATCCAGCTGTTTGGAAAAAACCAGCATTTTGCATGATTTGATGATATTCCATTCCTCCCTCTTCCACTTGAGGGAGCATATTGAAAGGCAAGTGAGTAAGGGTAGCATTTTAAATAAGAATGTACCCCATCTGGTTCATTATAATAAAATTCATTCCCAAATTTTGAGAATTCAGTTATAATTTAGAGGCAGTAGATTATACAGTGGTTAGGAAGGTGACCTCAGAGACCAGATTGCCTGGGTTTGATTCTCAACTCTTCCACTTAGTTTCTGGATGCCCTTGGGCATATGCTTACTTCTGTGCCTCTGTGTCCTCATCTTTCAAATAAGAGAAAAATACTAACTACATCACACGGTTGTTGGAAGGATTAAATGAAATATATGACACACTTGGTGCAGAGTAGCTATGAAAATGTTAGCTGTTACAGTTTGTAATACATTGACACCTCATATGAACAATGGAAGCCATTGTTCCCAGCAAAGGGGAAGCCACTGAAGGTTTTTGAGGAGCACAATGTCATTATCAAGGGAGTAAGGGGAAACAGCCCAGAACAGATTTAGAGTGCAGACCCTGGACTCAGCCTGTGTTTGAAGTTTGACTTTAGCACTTACTGCCTGTGATGTCTTGAGAAAGTAAAATAAATCGCTGATGTCTTAGGTTCCTTCCTTATCTAGAAAATGATTAACATAATAGTAGTACCTACCTCACAGCCTGGTTGTGAGAATTTAATAAGATATGAAGACATATGTGAATCACTTATCATGGTCCCTGGTGATTGCATTAGTTGTCTCTTGCCATGTAACAAATTACCACAGACTTTGCAGCTTCAAACAACACAGTTTATGAAGGCACAGATTAGGTAGGTCCTCTGCAAAGCCACCATCAAGGTATCAGCCAGGACTGGATTTTCATCTGAAAGCTTGAGTGAGAAAGGATACACTTCCAGGCTTACATGATTATTGGCAGAGTTCAGTTTCTTGCTGGATGTCAACTGAGGCCAGCCTTAGTATCATTATACATGGGCCTCTCTTGAAATGACCTCATGCTTCATCAAAGCCAGCAAGGGAGCTAGTCTCTTTCCAAAGTGGGAATTACAATCTTATATAATTGTGTGATCATTGCATCCCATACCTTTGCCATAGTCTATTGGTTAAAAACAATTCACAGGTAGGCCAGGCATGGTGGCTCGCACCTGTAATCCCAGTGCTTTGGGAGCCCGAGGCAGGAGGATCATGAGGTCAGGAGTTCGAGACCAGCCTGGCCAGCATGGTGAAACCCCGTCTGTACTAAAAATACAAAAAATTAGCTGGGTATCGTGGCAGTTGCCTGTAGTCCCAGCTACTCGAGAGGCTGAGGCAGGAGAATCGCTTGAACCTGGGTGGTGGAGGTTGCAGTGAGCTGAGATTGTGCCACTGCACTCCAGCCTGGGTGACAGAGTGAGATTCTGTCTGAAAAAAAAAAAAACCAAAACAATTCACAGGTCTTGCCTACAGTCTATGATAGGGATCACACAATGTTGTAAACAGCAGAAGGCTGCAATAATGGGGGCCATCTTAGAATCTCCCTACCACATACATAATAGGTACGTTCTTACTTTAGGAAATGAATTTGGCAAGTGGGAAGCATCTGGAGGACAGGGGTAAGCTCATTTTTTCTTTGTATCCCATAGCACAGTGCCTTGCACATGGTGAGTTCCCATTAAATACCATTTGGACAGATGACAAATGTCAATTTCCAAGAATTCTTTCTCTGTTCAACTAGGCTAGTGGGGTTCCAGAGAGGGTCATATTAAGTCAGTATAGGCTCAGTTTGCTGTAGTAACAAAACAACCTCAAAAATCTCAGTGGCTGAAATAATATAAATATGGCATTTAAATAATATTAAATATAGCATTTAATATTATTTCTTAATAAGATAAGTAGATCACCTACACACTCTTTAAGAACATACTGTAGAGGATACACAGCAATACTGTATAGGATAATAGTTATCCTACACAGCATATTCTTAAAGAGTGGGTAGGGGATACACTTCTTATCTTCACTCAGGGGCCTCTATCTGCTAGAGTAGCCATTGTCTAGAATACTTCCAGTAACTATGACATAGGAAAATGGGGGAGCTCTGAAGGATCTAACCTGGCAAATAAATAATTGGTCCCAAAGTGCCTCATTTTACTTCCATGCTTATTGGCTAGACCTAATCTCATGGGCCCATCCACCCCAGGGGACAAGGGAGTAAAACCTTTTCATGCACTCATGATGGGAGGCATAGAGCCAGGGGCATTTGGTGCCTATCACTTTTGACCACCCTAGATAATGAATAGATAAACCAAGAGAGAATGTTCCTAACTACTTAAATCTATGTATAAGTGGCCTGGACATTCTCCATGTGCCATTCAGGTAGACTCACTCTCTACCCTTCTTTTGTTCTGTGCCCCAGGAGTATAAGCTCCTTAACCTCTGGCTTCTGGTTGGGTTCAACCAAAAGAAGCACCTGTAAAAGATGGGAGGATAAAAAAGAGAAATTTAGGCTACCAATTTTCATAGTTTTCTTTCTCCTCATCTCTGTCTACAGCTCAAATCAGGCAGCACTTCTCCTATAGCTAGGGTTTTTAGGGGGTTCTACTAACAAGTAGGGAACAGCTTCATCTTAAGGTGGCAGAGTCCTACTTCCTTTGCTGGTGCCTGGGGGCTTCACTGTCCTTTGTTCCTTCTGGAAACGCTGCCCACAGCTTTGCAAATAATCTTCATTGAATTCTCTTCCATCACCTTTGATTGGACTGTTATCTAGAATTCTGTCTGATTACTTTGACTTACTGCCTTTTGGCAACAACAGAAGGAGGCAAACACTTTATCTTTCCTGTGGTTGGATTTTAGGCATATGATTTAGGCATTAAAAACAAAATAAACACTGGCTGGAAACAGTGGACTGTCCAGTCAATCTTAGATCTAGTTTTTTATGGTGCGATTCCTGCTGAGCAATCTCTTATCTACTAGCTTCTCTGATTGTTTTTATGAGGCACCTATTTTCCTGACAGTAAACTCTAATCTTTTTATATCTAGACTATCTAACTTCTCCAAGCTTGTAGCCAATTGGAAAGAACTAAGAAGGTTGAACTGGTATGGTCAATTGCATGAATGACCCCAATTCTTCCTGTCTCCCTGTATTCATGCCTTTTGCAGCAACTTTGCGGTTCACTCCTCTGGAAGTAAGGAACACATTTTGCCCTCCCTGGGCCCTGGGTCAATCTGTGTGATTTACTTTGGCTAATGAAATGTTTGTAGGCATGCAACCAAAGTATTTTAAAAAATGCTTACATGATTTGTCTTATTCTCTGATACCTCAGTTATGAAAATTACATTTGGGTTGGCCTGCTAGTCCAGGGAGAGGAAGAAAGGAATGTAGAGCAGAGCCCAAATGCCCTCATCTGTTTCAGTCTCATTCAGCTGAGCCCAGATGTGTGAGTGAGTGAGCTCAGCTGAGGTTCATAGGGTCACCTGGCAGGGCTGCAATCCACCAGACAGTGAGAAGAAGCAGAATTACTTGTTGGATGCAGAATTATTGGATGCAGATTACTTGCTTGGCTATCATAAACCGATCCAAATGGCGGTGAGAAACAAACTGGTGTTTCATTATTCTTCTCTTCACTCTACTAACAGGTATTGTATTAGTCTGTTCTCATGCTGCTAATTAAGACATACCCAAGACTGGTGTATTAGTCCATTTTCACGCTGCTGATAAAGACATACCCGAGACTGGGAAGAAAAAGAAGTTTAATGGACTTATAGTTCCACATGGCTGGGGAGGCCTCACAATCATGGCAGAAGGCAAGGAGGAGCAGGTCATATCCAACATGGATGGAGGCAGGCAACAGGGAGCTTTTAAACATAAACTCCCATTTTTAAAACCATCAGATCTCATGATACGCATTCAATATCACAAGAACAGTGCAGGAAAGACTCACCCCATAATTCAATCACCTCCCACCAGGTTCCTCCCATGACACATGGGAATCGTGAGAGTTACAATTCAAGATGAGATTTGGGTGGAGACACAGCCAAACCATATCCACTGGATAATTTATGAAGAAAAGAGGTTTAATTGACTCACCGTTCTACATGGCTAGGGAGGCCTCACAATCATGGCAGAAGGCAAATGAGGAGCAAAGTTATGTCTTACATGGCAGCAGTTAAGAGTGCGTGTGCAGGGGAACTCCCATTTATAAAACCATCAGATCACATGAGACTTATTCACTACCACGACAACAGTATGGGGGAAACCACCCCCATGATTCGATTATCTCCACCTGGCCCCACCTTTGATATGTGGGGATTATTACAATTCAAAGTGAGATTTGGGTGGGGACACAGAAAAGCCATGTCAGTTATTAAACACATACTCTGGAGTGGAAGGCATCGGGGGAAAGAGCCATGAACAGGCTCAGACATTGTTCCTAACTTCATGTCTACTTCTTTCTCAGCTTGCTCACTGCTATTCATACTTCAGAGTTTAGAACAATTATGAATAAAACCAAGACTTGCGTCATATTCTCTCACATCATCCTGCACTTTCCCCTAGTGGCTGTGTTTAGTCAAGGTGTTTTTGATGGCAAGGGAAAGAAATCCAATCACATTGATTTAAGGGAAAAAAACCATATTGAGTGGTGTAACCAAGAAGACTAAAGTTAGATAACTTCAGGCCCAGCTGGATTCACATCATGAAGACTCCACTGATGGACATATTTCCAGCCTGCTTTCTTCTTGGCCATTCATCATTCTTATCTTGGCTCAGTTTTCAGGGAGACCTTTGGCAGAGCATTTCTGCACCAATAGTTCCCATGATAGTCTTGTCGCTGGATAGATCTCGGTCACCTGCTCATTTTGGAACTAATCACAGAGGTTGGTGGCGATGTCTAGAACATTTGTGCACCCTTAGAGCCTGGGAAGAGCCCCAAACCATACCACCTATAAGTGGCTGAGGTAGTTTACAAAATGAAAGAAAAAGAAAAGGAAAGTGCTGGCTGCTATTTGTAACAGTAAATAAATGCTGGAGATGCAAAATCAGAAGTCCACTGGAGTGGAACATATCCCAAATTGAATTATTTAACAATTAATGCATGCCCCTTTATTATATTTGTCTCTGCCACTAAGACTACAGGCCTCATGAAGGGCAATTATCTCCTATTAGCTTCTATTTTGCCCACCTAATGGTCCCCAGCATCCTATACAGGCTAGTACATAATAGGGGATCAATAAATATTTCTTGAATGAATAAATGAAGCTTATAGTTTGTAGGGAACAGATTAAAGTAAAATGTGGTTAAACTCAATGAGTTAAACTCAGATTTTGAATGAAAAGAAAGGCAGAAAAGTGTTTATAGTCATGAAAGCCCTACATTGGAATGAGATTTATACATGACTAAGAATCTATAAGCTTTGGCCAAAAGTATATCAGCTCCAAAAAAGCAGCTCCTTTTATATCTCCCTCTTCATCTTGGTGTTACAACTTGCAGGATATAATAGAAAAAATAAATGTTCTGAGACAGGTGAGATTTGGCTATTTAGGCACACACATACACACACATCTATGAACAAAAAGACACACATGGTGTGGAGGGTATTTTAGAACCATCTAGGGGAAAATATTGAGTCCCTGTCTCATCTATTCCTTTCAGACTGTTCTTGTTTATTGAGTCCATTGTGGCGTGCCAATATTATAGGTTTTAAGAAGAGCAGCAGCCATTGAAACCAGCACGAAGGCTGGGCTGACTGTGAAATTCTGGAGCTGCTAGTTTCAAGGGCATGGAGAAGAAAGGGTGTGGGGAAGAGCTGATATTGGGAGGGAAGGTTTGCCTTTTGCAATGGAAAGGTTATAGGGTGTGAAAATATGAGTTCTCTTGTCCAGAGGATTTCCAGGGAGAGCTGTCTTCAAAATCAGAGTACCTGGACAGATCATTCCCAAAGTAAAAAAAAAAAAAAAAAAAAGTCAACAAAGCATCATAGGCCATCTCTCATCTTTGCTCCTTGCAGCTGTGCTGATATAATTAAACCAATCTCGGGCAGAATACAAGCCATGTTTTAATCAATTCACTAGAAATAATTCCCTAAAGATAAATTATATAGACTACTTATACTCTTAAAAAGAATATTGTCTTAAAAATAGAATAGCATTTTTCTCCCTTAAAGATGCACAGCATGCATATCACTCAACAATAAACTGTCCAGAATGTACCCTTTGCATCAAGGGGTGGTACAGTGTGGTTAAGAGAACAGGTTCTGGAGCTACAGTTGAATCCAGCTCTCCTTACTCACTATGTAATCTTGGCCAGCTGCTTACTCTCTCATGCTTCAGTTTTCTCATCTGCAAAACAGGAATGATAATAGTACATATATAGGGTCATAAAGATTAAGTTAAAAAATAAAGTACTTATAATAGCACTTGGCACATAGAGTTTGCCATGCATGGTAACTATTACTATCACATTGATACATATAATAAGAGAAAAGATGCTTAGGATTTTCCACTATTCACTTTTGATCAAATTTGGTCATCTCTTCCTCCAATACAAGAATAGATGGTAAAGTAGGTCAAAGTGAGGGTGGAGGGATGGAAGCCCCAGCAAACATTATTTGCACAGAGAAATGCATGAATTCATCTCTCCCTTCCTATATGGTTTGGGCAGTCGTCATCTTTCCCTCAGTTGATGGCAGCAGGCACCTCACCAGGCTTCCTTCTTCTAATCTTATCTCCTAGTTCCATCTTCTAAGCTTCTACTGCTGCTTTATTTATCAAACATTGTAATTATGTCACTCCATTACTAGAAAAACCTCACATGTTTCCCAAGTGCCCATCAGTTGTAATTCCAAGTAGATAGCCTGGCATCTCACATTATTTTCAAAGTGGCTCCAGTCTCTCTTTTTTGGTCCTGTCTGCAGCCATCCTTCTCCCTGCTTCACATGCCCTTACCTGAAATGCACAGACTCTCATTCTTCCATATCTTTGCCCTTGGTGGTGTTTTTTATTTTGCCTGGAATGAAAAACAAAAACAAGATAACCACAAACCCATCCTTGTAAATTAAAATCTGAAGTCTTCTGAGAGTAGCCACAACTATGAATGCAGTCTTTACTTTGCCCTTACCTGAAAGAAGTCCTGTTAGAAAAAAAATTACCTACACCAATATCTCTAGAGAAGTACCAATTATGATGAGCAATTGATTCCTAGTTAAGCCAAGAAAATAATTTGAATATATAATAATGATGGAAATAGAGATTATCCCAGAGTGCTTACTACACACCAGAAACTATACACAGTCTTCTTCATGCATAATCTCACAATCTTAGGAGACAGGTACAGTGTGGTCTCATTGTATGCGTGGTTAACTTTCTGGTATTCAACTGTGAGCACTGTATGGGGTGAGTGGGGAAGAGAGGAGAAAGAGGAGAAGGGTGGGGGTGGGGGGAAGAGAGAAAAAAGAAATTTAAATTGTGCAGCTGATACTGCCAGCGATTCTAATTACTGCATTTGTATCTCGAATGAGCATGCAATGGAAGCTTATCTTTCAGTGCATTTAATCATCTTCAAGCATTTTATGCATCATTTTAGGACTTAAATATTTATACATTCCATACAGCATGGTTTCTATTTGTAAACTGCTACTTTAGTTGGGAATCAACCAAAGAAGCAGCAACTTGTTGCAGCACGGGAGGGAAAATCTACACTGGACTTGATGGGAGAGGTTCTTCATAGGTGGGTGACCACATGGTTTCTCATCCAAACTGAGGCACTTTTGACAGTAAGAGGATACTTTCAATAACTGTGCATGGATGAAAGACATAGAGTTGGACTGTGTCAGTCAGATTGGGACATATGGTCACCATTTATAGGTACATAAAGCAGTTTTCAAGGATAACTATGTTCATATTTGGCTTTCACCTAATGAATTTAGATTAGAACTTAAGCCCAACACAAAATGATTCCTCCATGCTGTTCATGATTCCCATCAGATAAATGAGGAAACTAAGTGTTAGTGGGACGAGGAAGCTTAGACATAGAGTGATAATATTATTCTAGGCAAATTATTGAGCACTTGCTGTGAGCAAAATCCCATTGTATCTCAATTCTCATCGTAACTGTGAGAAGTAGGTAATATTGTCCCTGTTTTACATGTAAGGAAGCTAAAATTTCAAGCAGTACCTTTCTCAAAGCCAGACAGATAGGAAGTAGTGGAATAAGAATTTGAATCCAGGGCAGAACACAGCTGGTGCTTTACAACTTGTTTCATACTGCCTCTTATAGGAATAACACCAAGGACAACCCCAATAATATTTTGTACTTGCTTGAGACTCTACAGTGTAGCAGTGTACTTCCCCATGACATGCCTTCTTAAAGCCTTTCATCAATGCTGTATGGTAGCCATGGAAGAAATCATCAGTCTTTTTACAGGTGAGGGTGCTGTGGTCAGGTCAAGCCTCTTGTCTCAGTTGCCCAGCTAGGAAGCTCCAGAACCAAGACTAGGATCCAGATTTTATTTCTAGTCCAGTGTACTTGCCATTTTTCAGCCTAGAATAGAGGTTATGGAATCCTCTGGAAGCCATGTAAGAAAGGCATGGATCATACCAGGACAGGAGAGCTTAGCTCCACTAGCTTGGTCATTGGGTACTGAGGGTCTGTAATGTTTTCCGTTCTTGAATTCATGGCCGAGTAGGGAATTCAAGTCAGACCCAGTTGTATGGGACAGAAATCCATAGTCAAGAGCCTAGCACTAAAGAGAAGTCAGCACTGGTGCCTGCCTCTGCCCTCATCCATAGAGTCTAATGTTTTCATCCAAATCTATCTTTTCAGGAACCAGTATATTCACAAACAACTAGGAGAAGGAGTATTGGTAGAGTAGTTGAGAATGAGGGCTCTAGACAGAAAGAGAGACCTTAGTTTAACTCTCAGCTCCAGCATTTATGCCTCCATAACATTGGGATTTCAAAATCATTGTAAACAGATGCCGGTTTTCAGGGGCAATGAAGAGTCTGTGTTTGGCCATTAATACCATAAAGACAGTGGTTCTTATGATTTCTCTCCACCTGAAGTTTTTTGAGTCATTTTGCATGTAAAACTTCATACTTAGTATGACTTATACAATTTATATAGTTATCCATTTATTTTAGAAGAGGGTACTTGACTGAGATTTGCATAACATTTGCCTGGACATTTTTGTACTGTCAGTTACTACCAGTGAAGGCTCACTAGTCAAAATCAATGTAACTGATTTAACATGACAGAGTACTATTTTTCTGAGCTTAAAAAGAAGGTAGATCAAGCAAGTCTAAAATGGGGCACTGAAAATCTTGATCACTGACACTATTATATTTTCCCACCAGCAGGGAAACTGGGGCCACACTAACAGAACCCAAAACAGTGGATCAATAAATGGCCAATCCAGTCCATGCACAGGAGCATATGGGGTGCCTGAACTATTTATAGTCATTCTCTGTCATTTTCTTCTGGAATTAAATGTCAGTGGGACATTTAAGGGAATCAATTTACATTTTAACATATTAGTTGAAAGGCAGGGAGATTCAAGGCAAATTTTGGTTATAATTTACTACGTTAAAACCTGAAGAACTGTGCTCAGGTTCTTTCCCTTAGAAGGATCTTAAAAACTTCATATTTTATGAAGTCAATTGACTTCATTGACTTCTCTGAGGTCCTGTGTATCTGTAATGACAATAGATTCTATGGCACGGTTCCCAAACTCTGCACTATGGTGCTCAGGGCTCCTGCGGTGAACTCTCAGGAGTGGGGCCATGTTTTAAATGTTGGCACCATGTAAATTAATAGGCACATATAGCCCATTAGCAATCAATTGTGGTTATTCAAGAATAGAATTATTATTTAAAAATTTCAGTTTATGACCAAATGTGGTGGCTCATGCCTGTAATCTCAGCCTTTGGGAAGCTGAGGCAGGAGTTTTGCTTGAGCTCAGGAGTTCCAGACCAGTCTGGGCAACAAGTAAGACTTTGTCTCTATTTAAAAAAAGAATCAGTTTATGTGATTTTTTTTTCAAATGGTTAAGATTTTTAGAACATAAAAACTTAATAATTTGTTTGGACCTAGTTACTTAGTAAATGGAACTATTAGGTATTTCTTTTGGCCTATGGGCTCTGTGACAAAATTACTGACACCTAAGGAGATGGAAAAAGCTTGGGAACCTCTGTCCTACAGTGGGTCAAGGGTAGCATCATGAGAAGATGAGATTGCCCCACACCTTTGCTTAGTACCCTCCTGTGGCTTCCCACTGTCCCACTGCACATAGCAAAGCAATGCAAACTCTCTCTCATGAGCTGCTAGACTCACCAGGCCCTGGCTCCTGCAGAGCCTTCCTATAGCTCTCCTTTTCATGCATTCCTCTGGCCACACTGGACTTACTTTTGCTCCTTTAACAGACTCAATTTTTCCTTGTTAAGCCCTTTTGCTCCTCCTTATGTGATATGATTTGAACGTGTTCCCCAAAAGTTGATGTGTTGAAAATGTAATTGCCAATGTAACCGTATTAAGAAGTGAGACCTTTAAGAGGTGATTGGGTCATGAAGGTAGAACCTTCATGAATGAATTAATGCCCTTATTGTGGGAATGAGTGAGTTTTCTTGAGTGCGAGTTGTTACAAAAGTGAGTTTGGCTTGCTTTTGCCACCTCTTTCACATATGCTGACTTGCCCTTCTGCTTTTCTGCCATGCTATCTAGAAGCACGAGGCCCTCACCAGATGTGGCTGCCTGATTTTGGACTTCCCAGCCTCCAGAACTGTGAGCTAAACAAACTTTTTTCTTTATAAATTATCCAGTCTTGGGTAGTGTGTTATAGCAACAGAAAACAGACTAAGACCCTATACCTGGAACAGCCTTTCCCCATCTTCTCAAGGTGGATGCCTTTGAATACTTCAAAAATCAGTATGACCTCTCCTATCTAAAGTAGGTAACTCCCTCCATGCCCCCACATCTTTCTGTCATCCACACATGCTATTTTTCCTATAGCTTTTAATAATGTTTGTAATTTAATTTTTTTGCTTGTTTATGTTTTCCCCCACAATGTGGACTGTAAGCTTCATAAAGGCAGTGCTCATGCTGATACTTTTCACTCTTTGCCTAGTTAGGGCTTTGTCCATAGTAAATACTCAAAATGTGTTTGTTGAATGAATATTCAAGGTCATATCAGGATCCCCAGTCTGTCACGTAGAAACATGACTATACAAGAGTTATTTTAAAGACTCTTATTCAAGATCTGATTATTAAAGAACTAGGTCTCTCCTCAAAGCAGGTCTGCAACATCCAGTTAGGTATCATACCTACTAAAAGTAAAGTATCTGTGTCTTATTTAAAATTAAGAGATGAAGAAAAGATGGCCCTCCAACCCAGCCTTTCTGCTCCTTTGCTGTCCATCAACACAGGACATGCTCCTTCCTGCCTTAAGATTTTTGCTCTTAATAAATCCCATTTATGCCTAGTGTTCCATTACTGGAATGCTAAGCATGTGGGAGTTATTTATATTCTACTGCTCAAGTAGAGTCTTGTCTGATTGCAAAATCACCAAGTCTGATTGCAAAAATTCAAAAAATTGCAACCTCAGGCATAAATGGGTTCATATTCCTTCTGCCTGTAACACACTTCCCTCAGATATTACAATGACTTGCTTCCTCACCCATGTCAGACCGGATCCATGAGGCCTTTTCTGACCACCTGTAACTTCTGTGATGTCAGATACGATTGTCCTGGCTGTGCTGTCTACAGAGGAGGGAATCTGAGGGAGCCTGAAGCTTAGCCCATGCTCTGCCCTTGGTTCACTCCTAGTGAGGGGCAGGAAGAGAGAAACGCCTTTTTCTAATTGATGCACCCAGGTGCCGGAGGGGTACCTTTACATAATTCAAAGATGCTATCTAGGCTAGCTGCAGTCTTGTGGCTTATCTAAATGCCAACAAACTTGTCGCTTGCATATAATCTTTCCCTGCAGAGCGTAAGCTTCAGGATGGCAGGGATTTTTGTCTGCTTTCTTCACTGCTGTATCCTCAGCCTTTAGAATAGTACCTGACACCTAATAGGTGCTCCCAAATATTTGCTGAATATGTGAATGAATTTAGGTATTTTTTTTTAAAAGCAACAAAAACAAAGCTAAACTTTAGCTCTTGGATTTAAGTCTTATTTCTCCATAGTTAGTTTAGTTTTTATTTGTAGCTTAGCTGTTCAACTGTTGTGATAAATTCACCAGGATCCTGGGATTTATTTGCCACATTATGGTTTTCATCTCACTTCACTTTCATTTAGAGATATGAAAAGTGGCTGCTGCTTTTCTTCAATTCTTTTTCTTTTTTTTTGAGGCTTCTCTCTTTTCCTTGCATCAGATTTAACAGAAACTCTCATAATGGGATGAAAATATCACCAGGTTATTTTATTGGGGCATAAGCAACATAAAAGACCCACACCTACATATAAATAAGATAAACATGAAATTCCATCTCAAAGCCTCACATGGAAAATAATTTCTTTTCTGGGGCTCCCCCAGGGTTCTCTCTTAAATACAAGATTACCAGGAAAAGCTTGACTTAAGAATAAATATTTTCCAAGCAGCTTTTGGTGTCTGGCTTAGATGAGTTTTCCAAAGCTGAACTATTCTTGAAAAAGCCAAATTATTTGGATCAATCTTTATGCAACATTTTCAAATTGGCATTAATGGTTTTGTTTTTGAGGTATTTTTGCATAATTTATGGCAACTCACATGTTTAAATATCTTAGTGTACACTGGTGTTGGGGAGTCAGATGCCACTTTAATTATTCAGCATCAACCACCCTGAGACTGAGAAAGCTATTAAAACTAAAATTCATTGCTGGCCTGGACTGATGCTACTAAAATTGAAAGATAATTCCACAGTTCTGGCAGCCTTATGGTTACTATTAAATTTCCTCCCAATGAAGAAAGGTGTAATTCTCAAACCCAGCTGACTAGAGACTTAGGATTACCTTGCAAAACCAGATCTGAAACCCATGTGGTCTAAATCCTCCTAAACTGATTACCTTGGTGTCTTTTAAGGTTTTGGTACTAATTTAATTGACTGCTGTGTGCAACCCCAGGAAAGAGGGTACAAAATCCATTCAAATTCTCACTGTTAAATAAAACCTGCCAGCAAATTACTGGCAGTTGAGAGGGTTGCAGAGCAAGAATCACCAGCAAAAACCTCATTCAAAGTAGTTGCCCCCAACCCCATTCCTTGATTAAATTAAAACATTTTGGCTTCCCCATTGGGTAGCCCAGTTATCATGTTTGGTCACAAGACACCTGATTTTTATGTTTTATTTCAAAATAGTATTCTGCAGCAGTCATATCTGTAATGCGTTCATATGTGGTTGTTCTTACTTGATTCAATCGATGCCATTGATTTTCCTTTAAATGCAAAGATTGCACAGTTCAGCTTTAATTGCGGATCTGGTTGCAAGGGCTGTCAATTGGAGGCAGGCTGTTCTATTTTTCTCCTAATAAATCACCTTTTACTGGTGAACATTGGCTGGGTTGGACCTTCCTCTGTTAGCCTTTTCCCCCTTAATGTCGTGCACTGAGGTCTGTGAACCTGTAAGGGAAAAAGTGCACAGGATCAGTTGATTGAAGGCATTTTAGTACGGCTTTAATATCTAGGTTACATGTTTTATTGTGTCTTAATAAAGGAGTTGAAGAGAAAATTAAGCTAAAGTGCCCTGGTGAATACTTTCAAGAGGGCATAACTGTGTTTGAGGGCCACGAATGTTTTGGGCTCATTAGTAGAGACCCATCTTCCCTCTCAGGACCCTTCCTCATAATTTACCAATACTTGCTTTATTTGGATCCATTTATTCACTGATGTACTGATTCACTGATCTACAGCCAGACCCAAGTGACTTTAAATACTGACTCTAAGACTTGTTAGCTGTGTGACCTTAGCCAAGTCTTTTCATCTGTGTTACTAATTTATCAAATGGGAATAATAACTACCTCCAAGGCTTTGCTAGGATTAACTAAAATAATGCATATGGAGAGCTTAGGATGATGCCTGACAAATAGGAAGCATATCGTTAACACTAGCCTTATTGTGATATGGTGTCAGTGGGAAGGGAAGAAGTGACTGGTGAGGTTTTATCCCTCAGTTGTTGAGCACTTACCTGGTGGTTCCCGTGTCTCAGGCACACTCCTATGTGCTTAACAAATAGTCACTCATACCAATCCAACAAGGTAGGTACAATTATTATTATCCCCACTTTATAGGTAAGAAAATTGAGGCTCTGAGAGGTGGAGACCTGCCCAAGCTCTGATGACTGGTGCGGAGGGCCCGGTCATTCCTTGTGTCCATACTTTTTTTGTTTTTTTGAGATGGAGTGCAGTGGCATGATCTTGGCTCACTGCAAACTCTGCCTCTTGGGTTCAAGCAATTCTCCTGCCTCAGCCTCCCGAGTAGCTGGGGTTACAGGCACATGCCAGACGAATTTTTATTTATTTATTTATTTATTATTTATTTATTTATTTTTAGTAGAGATGGGGTTTCACCATCTTGGCTAGGCTGGTCTCGAACTCCTGACCTCGTGATCCACCCACCTCGCCCTCCAAAAATGCTAGGATTACAAGCATGAGCTACCGCGCCTGGCCCCTTGTGTCCGTACTTTTAAATGTTCTGCTATGATATTCCCTGCTGGGAAACCAGATGCCTTTCCTTCACTTCAGATCTGGATTTGGGCATGATAGTTTCTGGGTACGAATTGTTACTTATGTAAAATGCCTAGAGCTGTCACTCCTTGTTCTCTCGATCCTGTGTTTTGTTCCTAAGGAAGCTCGTGGGGCATTAGGTCTTTGGAGGTCCTTGCATGGATGTTGTTCATTCACTGACTTGTGGAAGGGCAGCTGTGTGAGGTGGGATGGCTAAAATTACCTAGAGATGTGGAAACCTGAACAAATTATGGCATTGGTCTTTGATGTCTATTGCTTCTCCCCTGCTCTGTGCCATGGATTTCTCTCCTGGTGCTGTCATCTTCCTCTTACTTCATTTTGTCTTTATGCTGTTTCATTCTTTTTCACTAAAACCTGGACTTGGTAAGGTTTCCTCTCCTTCCCTTCTTTGCTCTCCCTCTTCCTTCTTTCTTCTTTCCTTCCCTTTATCTCTTCCTCCTTTCCTTATTTCTTCCTTCCCTAATACTTAAGGAGCTTTTATTTTGTGCCATGCACCTTTTTAGGTATTAGGGATGCAGCTCTAAGCAAAATATCCATTCATTCACTCACTTGACTATTTGAGTATCTACAAAGTTTCATGTTTTGTTCTGGGCATTGGGGAACATAACAGTCAATATACCATCCCAAAATCTTTCAGAGCCTACATTCTAGTGAGCCTACAGACAATAAATAGGGGGACTGATCAGTGATACAAAGGTAAATAAGGATATGTTAGGGGCTAAAGAGGGAAGGGGATGGTTCTCTTTTAGATGGTCTAGTGAGGAGAGGTATCTCTAAAGAAATAGCATGTTAGTGGTGTCTAAACTGTTAGGTGATTTATTATATGATATTCTATGTGGAAGAAACAGCGAATACAAAAGCCTCAAGTGTGAGTGGGCTTTGGTGCTTTGAGAAATACCACAGAAATCAGTGTGGTCATCTGTGGGCCATCTGATCTCTAATGCAACTACTTACTTCTGCCATTGTAGCATTAAAGCAGTGATAGACAGCACATAAACAAATGGTACAGCTCTATTCTGATAAAAGTGTATTTAAAAAGCATGCAGTGGGCTAGATTTGTTCAGATAACAAACTACAAGTTTGCTAATCTCTGGCATTCCAGTAGAATATTTAAGTATGATAATTAGATTGATCTGAAATAAACAAAAATCAGGAACAAAGATTTAAAGTTTTCATTTACTTTTACCAAAGATGCATTCATACCCTGAATCTTATAACCTCTCAATTCTGAATTAATTAATAATATTTGGCAGAGTTGACTTGAAAAAATTGGCAAGAAGTTAGGATTAATCTCTGTCATCTTTCTTTCTCTGTTCCTTCTTTGTTGATGCCTAGGTCTTCAGTACTCTTGAACCTACCCCAGTTTCAGGTAGCTGAGTTATGTACAGTGGTGGCTCTATGAATTTCTATATAGGAGAGATTTAAGAGAAACAATTGGCTTTAAAGAGGGCTTAAGGTGACTTGTCCTGAAATATGTATTCACATAGCAAGCTTATTATCTTACTTATAAGTTTAAGGAGGTTCTAAAGGGCTAAATGGGGAAGCCCTTGTAAGCCAACTTCTAGCTGATAAAGGGAAAATGATGGTGTGGCAGGTATCAAGGACTGGAAAGAAACATTTTTCCTATTTGCCTGCTAACAAGTTAGCTTGCTATAGTCTTAAGGTTGCTGTTGAAGACACAAGACTTCTGGGTCAGAGACAAAGGCTGGTTTATTATTCATGGCAATGGTAGTAGCCAAAGTATCAATATTTGTGCTGGTTCTCTGAGCTCTAATACCTGCAGAGTAACAAAGAGGGCTAGGTCATACCTGCACATGCAACCACGCAATGGGTGTGGATTGCATTACAAGAAAGAAATTTCAAGTTTAGGGAACACAGATCTTTTATAATAGGCAATGCCTATGCTTTGTGCCAATGGGAGACATTATCTTAATTATTTTGGTGATAAAACAGACCTGAAGTTTTCTCCAGAAGGAACTATCATCTCTACGTCCTCCAAGACTGTTTGCTACACAAAATCTTTGAAAGGATCATCTGTAACAAAAGCAGCCAGTGCTTCTGCTCACAAGACATGAAGAAATGCAAGAAGCTCGTGAAGAATTGTCTCAATAGTAGGCTTCACATTTTTTATTTTAATTAGAATGAAAATAGAAAGCTGAACTAACTGTGCTGTAGTGGTGGAACTTCCAGCAGCAGTGAGGAAGTAGATGCAGTGAACAAGATCCTCTCCACAGCCTTCTTGGGAGCCCCCTTCATGTTCGCTCTGCTTCAACGCATAGCTGTGTCCAGAGTCTCTATCCACTTGTCTTGGTGGTTAGAATTATTTGTATTGTGTGAAGGGCTGTTTTCACACACCCTGAGTTTGGAGAGAAACCTTCGTTGTAAACACACTTGATAAATGATGCCCAAACATGCCGAAGAGTTCCAACTAAGAATGAGTCACTTTTGAAGAATGCCTCTGTAAAATGTTTCGGGAAAATAGCCTTTCTTTTTCAACCTGGATATTAAATCACTACAGAGTTATCTTTCACTGAACATAATGTAGCTGTGCTGTTGTGTGGTCACCATGATTTTCACAGTTCCAGTGACATGGGCTGTGGTGTCTTATCATGAGCCACTAACATATCATAATTTTTGCGTAAGTGTAAGATAAAACTCAACGAGTTCTCCTCTTCCTCCTCCTCCTCCTCCTTCTTTCTTTCTTTCTTTTTTTTTCTTGACGGAGTCTCGCTCTGTCACCCAGGCTGGAGTGCAGAGGCGCGAACTCGGCTCACTGCAAGCTCCGCCTCCCGGGTTCACGCCATTCTCCTTCCTCAGCCTCTCCCGAGTAGCTGGGACTACAGGCACCCGCCACCACGCCCAGCTAATTTTTTGTATTTTTAGTAGAGACGGGGTTTCACCGTGGTCAAGATCTCCTGACCTCGTGATCCGCCCGCCTCAGCCTCCCAAAGTGCTGGGATTACAAGCCTGAGCCACCGCGCCCGTCCCCTCCTCCTTCTTGAGATTCCCTTCATGTTAGGAGAGTTATCTCTTAAAATTTCAACAGATTCCTGGGTCAGAAATGAGCTAGATTTGGAAATTCAAGGGCACAAAATGAACTTAGTTATTTTGACATCTCAGTGCCTATGCTAGAAATAAGTAGAATACATGGTATATTGAAGAAGCTCAATAAATGGTCGATGCAGTAAATGGTTCTTGGTTGGCGGTAAACAATCATGTATTAAGTTCTTATCAAGTGTAAGCATGGATGAAATGCAGATTGGAATAAGAGAAAGCACTTCCCTAGGGAGGCACAAAAGATAATTGCTACAGGAGTAATATATATTATAATGGTAATTCTTTGATCACTGATCCAACAAGCACAAATTTTGCACCTATTATGTGCAAGGCACTATGGTGCTGGAGAGTCATGGTGAGCAAGAGATCATGGCTTCTGCCTTCTCAGAGCTTAGAGTTTAGTGGAAAGGGAGAGACAATGGGATACTGGGAGGATGTGGGTGGAAGTTACATTAGTTAAGGAAAGTTTCTCTGAGGGAATGACTTGAAGGACTAGAAGAGCTGAGTTGTATAGGAATTGAGCATGAAAAGTCTCCAGCACTTGGAATAATCTTGGTTTGTTAGAGGAGCAGGGATAAGAACAGTGAGGTTGGGGCAGAATGAACAAACAATAAGTGGCATAAAACGAGGTTGGAAAGGGTGACATTGCAGGTCATATGGGTTATTAGGCCCATGTCGAAAACTTGGAGTTGACTGCAGGAGCATGGAGAGCCATTGGAAGGTTTTAGCTTGAGTCTTGCTTCACTTGACTTATGTGAAACATGGCACATACCTACTCTCAACCCGAAATCATACCGTAGGTATTTAAATCTGACTGTGGCAGAGATTGCACACAGCCTACTAAATATTTGTTCTCTGTTTTGTCTTACTAAAAGAACTAAATTTAGCTATTCACAATGGCACTACATATGAGTAGAGCTAAAGTCTATATTTCTCAGATTCCTTTGCTGCTATGGCTCTGTCAATAAATGAGATATAAGTGGAAGCATTGTGAGGGAGGATTCCTTTAAGAACCTCTTCTGGGGGATAATGTTTTTGCCTTACCTTTTTTTTTTTCTTCCGTCCTGTTCCTTGAAATACAGATGTGATGGCTTGAGTTTCCAGAGCTGTCTTGTACAATGAGGTAAACTTAGTGAAGTAAGCCATGCACTGGAATGATAGAGCAGAAAGAAAGCAGGAGCCTGGCCTGTGATAGCTGAAACTACCTTACCCACTCTGGACTGTCTACTTGTGAACCGATACTGCATATTTCAGTCATTGTTATTTGGGGTTTTTCAGCCAAATTCAATCCTTATTTATATACCAGCTCTGTCACTAGCCCATGGGCTCCATATGCTTCATTTTTTTCTTCTCTGTGAGTTGAGGGAAATAATAATATCTACCTCATATTTTGTTATAAAATGAAATGTGTTGAGTGTAAAGGGTTTAGGACATTGCCCGGCAGTTAAATATCTATAGATATCCAGATAGATATAGATATCTAGATATCTACAGATATCTAGACAGATACAATCTAGATAGCTACAGATATCTGGACAGATACTATCTAGATAGCTATCTAGACAGATACTATCTAGATAGCTATCTAGACAGATACTATCTAGATATCTAGATAGCGACAGATACTATCTAGATATCTAGATAGCGACAGATACTATCTAGATAGATATCTAGATAGCGACAGATACTATCTAGATAGATATCTAGATAGCGACAGATACTATCTAGATAGATATCTAGATAGCGACAGATACTATCTAGATAGATATCTAGATAGCGACAGATACTATCTAGATAGATATCTAGATAGCGACAGATACTATCTAGATAGATATCTAGATAGCGACAGATACTATCTAGATAGATATCTAGATAGCGACAGATACTATCTAGATAGATATCTAGATAGCGACAGATACTATCTAGATAGATATCTAGATAGCGACAGATACTATCTAGATAGATATCTAGATAGCGACAGATACTATCTAGATAGATATCTAGATAGCGACAGATACTATCTAGATAGATATCTAGATAGCGACAGATACTATCTAGATAGATATCTAGATAGCGACAGATACTATCTAGATAGATATCTAGATAGCGACAGATACTATCTAGATAGATATCTAGATAGCGACAGATACTATCTAGATAGATATCTAGATAGCGACAGATATCTAGATAGATATCTAGATAGCGACAGATATCTAGATAGATATCTAGATAGCGACAGATATCTAGATAGATAATATCTAGATAGATATCTAGACATCTACACAGATATCTAGATAGATACTATCTAGACCGATATCTAGATAGATACTATCTAGACCGATATCTATTTTTTTTTATAAAAAATGTGTTGAGTATAAAGTGTTTAGGACATTGGCAGTTAAATATCTATATATCTATATCTATGTCTATAGATTTATATCTAGATACATATCTCTAGAAATCTATAGATATATTGATAGATATCTATAGATATCTCTATCGATAGAAATATATAGATATCTATAGATATATCTATCTATAAATATATATCTAGATATCTATAGATATATACTCATAGATCTATATCTAGATATATATCTATAGATATCTATAGATATAGATATATTTTTTTAATGGAGTCTCGCTCTGTCATCCAGGCTGGAGTGCAGTGGTGTGATCTCGGCTCACTGCAACCTCCACCTCCCAGGTTCAAGTGATTCTCCTGCCTCAGCCTCCCAAGTAGCTGGGATTACCAGCATGAGCCACCACAGCCAGCTAATTTTGTATTTTTAGTAGAGATGGAGTTTCACCATGTTGGCTAGGCTGGTCTGGAACTCCTGACCTCAGATGATCTGCCCACCTTGGCCTCTCAAAGTGCTGGGATTACAGGCGTGAGCCACTGCATCTGGCATGCATGCATATATATATATATATATATATATATATATATATGTGTGTGTGTGTGTGTGTGTGTGTGTATCTATATATATATAAAATATATATATTTAAGAAAGAGTCTCTCTCTGTTGCCCAGCTGGAATGCAGTGGTGCCATCTCAGCTCACTGCAACCTCTGCCTCCCAGGCTCAAGCAGTTCTCCTGCCTCAGCCTCCTGAGTAGCTGGGATTACAGGCACATGCCAGCATGCCCAGCTAATTTTTGTATTTTTAGTAGAGGCGAGGTTTCACCATGTTGGCCAGGCTGGTCTCAAACTCCTAACCTCAAGTGATCCACCCACCTTGGCCTCCCAAAGTGCTGGGATTACAGGCTTGAGCCACTGCACCTGGCTGAAATGCTAGCTAATTTTATTGAGTTTCAGAAAATGCTGGTTCCCATGGGATTGACTTGGAAGGAGGCAAGGGTGGAAGTGAGGTAAACAGGTAGGAGGACTGGGACAGTACCCAGCACAGAGAAGATGTTGGCCTGATCTAGAGTTGTGTTCAAAATTGTCCTTAATTCTTCCTGGGGGTTTCATGCAAGGCTCCCCAAAGGAGACATTTGAAGAACAGGTGAAGGCATTTTGAGAAGAGTGGAAGGCATTTGGGGGAAGAAGGAGTTGCTGAAAGAGTGACATTGTGGAATTACCGCTGAGTATAGTAAACAGCAGGTTCTCTGGCGGAGTGGGCAGGGTGATATATGGAGAGGTGGGAGAGGATGCTGACCCTCCTGCAGGTGAGTCAAGGAGTAATACATATGCCTCCCCAAGAAGTTGGGATGTTATCTTTGGGCCAGGGCAGATAGTGAAAGGTTTTTGAGAAGAACAATGACTATATTATAGTATATCATAGGACATTATAGCATAACATAGCATATTAAGGTCTATAAGTGTATATGTTGTATATTTATACATGTGTATAGTCATAAGCTACATAATGACATTTTGGTCAATGACTGACCACATATATGATGGTGGTTCTGTAAGATTGTAATACCATCTTTTTACTGTATCTTTTCTATGTTAAGATTCACAAATGCTCACTATTGTGTTATAATTGCCTCCAGTATTCAATACAGTCACATGCTGTACAGGGTTGTAGCCTAGGACTATAGGTCATACCATCTAGCCTATGTGTATAGTAGGCCACACCATTTAGGTTTGTGTAAGTGCATTCTATGATGTTCCCACAATGACAAAATCACCTGATGATGCATTTCTCAGAATGTATCTCCATTGTTACATGACACATGACTGTATGTGTACATAATTATAATGGTAGTTGGTGGTCATGTGGAGGCTGAAGGAGATGTTTGCAGGATTTGAAATAGGGAAGCCAGTGTTGTTATAAAGTCATTATTAATGATCAGGCAAGAGATGTGAAGAGTTTGAAATAGAGCAGTGGACCCCAAGTTTGTACAGCAATAAGTGCAATAGTTTGGTAGTTAAGAGCATGAATTCTGGGGTCAGAACATTCTCAATAAGAAAAAAAAAGATGAAATCTACAGAGTTAGCCTGCATGTAGGCCCTTACATGTGGTTTACTGGCTTTATTGGTTATTATTATTATTGGTCCAGTTTTAATTAGGGAGCTTCTCACCTTGGAACATCTCCTGAATGAAGACAAAGGATCCCAGAATTAACTTACCTGGGGTCCCAGAGTTTACCTGGAAAGACATAGCTTTACTCTCAGGAAAGTCCTCACTTCAAAGCAAGGCAAGGACTGGGGACAAATAGCCTGATGTTCATTATTTGAAGCTATTTATCTAGTTATGAGTTTGAATCTATTGAGCCCTTCCTCACTCTTTGGCCAGAATGATACTGTGTCCTCAGGGATGGTTTAACATACATAAGTCAATAAATGTGATACACCACATAAACAGAATTAAAAACAAAAATCACATGAAAATCTCAATAGTCACAGAAAAAGCCTTTGACCAAATCCAGCATCCCTTTATGATTAAAACCCTCAGCAAAATCAGCATAGAAAGGATATACCTTAAGGTAATAAAAGTCCTCAATGACAAACCCACAGCCAACATTATACTGAATAGGGAAAAGTTGAAAGTATTCCCTCTGAGAACTGAAACAAGACAAGGATGCCCACTTTCACCACTTCTATTCAACATAGTACTGGAAGACCTAGCCAGAGCAGTCAGACAAGAGAAAGAAATAAAGGGCATCCAAATCAGGAAAGAGGAAGTCAAACTGTCAATGTTAGCTGATGATATGTTTGCATATCTAGAAAACCCTAAAGACTAATCCAAAAAGCTCCTAGAACTGGTAAATGAATTCAGCAAAGTTTCAGGATACAGAATTAATGTATACAAATCGGCAGCTCTGCTGTACACCAACAGCAACCAAGCTGATAATCAAATCAGGAACTCATTTTACAATAGCTGCAAGAAAAAACCCCACAACTTAGGAATATACTTAACCAAGGAGAGGAACGACCTCTGCAAACACAACTACAAAACACTGCTGAAAGAAATCACACAT
The DNA here is from genome assembly GCF_000001405.40 of Homo sapiens. Taxonomy (NCBI): domain Eukaryota; kingdom Metazoa; phylum Chordata; class Mammalia; order Primates; family Hominidae; genus Homo; species Homo sapiens. The sequence continues at coordinate 55,941,793 of NC_000020.11, read as the reverse complement.
GACACAAACATGGAAAAACATCCCATTCTCATGGATGGGTAAAATCAATGTTGTGAAAATGACCTTATTCCAAAAGCAGTCTACAAATTCAATGCAATTCCCATAAAAAATACCAATATAATTCTTCACAGAACTAGAAAAGACAATCCTAAAATTCCTATAGAACCAGAAAAGAGGACACATAGCCAAAGGAAGACTAAGCAAAAAGAACAAATCTGGAGGCATCACGTTACCTGACCTGAAACTATACTACAAGACCATAGTCAACAAAACAGCATGATACTGCTATAAAAATAGGCACATAGATCAATGGAACAGAATAGAGAAACCAGAAATAAAGCCAGATATTTACAGCCAATTGATCTTCAACAAAGCAAACAAAAACAAAGTGGGGAAAGGACACCCTATTCAATGAATGGTGGTGGAATAACTGGCAAACCACATGTAGAAAAATGAAACTGGATCCTCATCTCTCACCTTATACAAAAATCAACTGAAGATGGCTCAGATACTTAAATCTAAGACCTAAAACCACAAAAATTCTAGAAGATAATGTTGGAAAAACCCTTCAAGACATTGGCTTAGGCAAAGAGTTCATGACCAAGAACCCAAAAGCAAATGCAACAAAAACAAATAGATGGGACTTAATTAAACTAAAAAGCTTCTGCACAGCAAAAGAAAAAATCAGCAGAGTAAACAGACAAGGCACAGAGTGGCAGAAAATTTTTGCAATCTATACATCTGACAAAGGACTAATATCCAGAATCTAAAACGAACGAAAGCAAATCAGCCAAAAAAAAAAAAAATCCCATCAAAAAGTGGGCTAAGGACATGAATAGACAATTCTCAAAAGAAGATATACAAATGGCCAACAAACATATGGAAAAATGCTCAATATCACTAATGATCAGGGAAGTGCAAATCAAAACCATAATGTGATACCACCTTACTCCTGCAAGAATGGCCATAATAAAAAAAAATAGATGTTGGCATGGACTTGATGAAAAGGGAACATTTTTACACTGCTGGTGGGAAGGTACACTAGTATAACCACTATGGAAAACAGTGTGGAGATTCTTTAAAGATCTAAAAGTACATCAACCATATGACCCAGCAATCCCACTACTGGGTATCTACCCAGAGGAAAAGAAGTCATTATACAAAAAAGATACTTGGACACACATGTTTATAGCAGCACAATTTGCAATTGCACAAATACGAAACCAGCCCAAATGCCCATGGAATACTACTCAGCCATAAAAAGGAACAAAATAATGCCATTTGCAGCAACCTGGATGGAATTGGAGACTATTATTCTAAGTGGAGTGACTCAGGAATGGAAAACCAAACATCATATGTTCTCATTCATAAGTGGGAGCTAAGCTATGAAGATGCAAAGGCATGAGAATGACATATTGGACTTTGGGGACTCGGGGGAAAGGGTAGAGGGAGGGTGAGGGATAAGGAACCACACATTGGGTACAGTGTACACTGCTCAGGTGATGGGTGCACCAAAATTTCAGAAATCACCACTAAAGAACTTATTCACGTAACCAAAAACCACCTGCTCCCTAAAAACCTATTGAAATAAAAAAAATTATACTGTGTACTTCATCTGCATGAAGTCCTATACTCCTCAAAAGAATCCCATGAGGGTGTGCTATGGTCTGAATGTTTATGTCCCTCCAAAGTCCGATGTTGAAATCCTAACCCCCCAGGTGACAGTAGTAGGAGATGCAGTCTTTGGAAGGTGAGAATGTCATGAATGTTCTGCCCTCATGAACAGGATTAATGCCTTTACAAAAGAGACTTCAGAGAGATTCCCTGCTCTTCCCCTATGTGAGGATACTACATGAGAAGGTACAGTCTATGAACCAGAAAGCGGACCCTCAGCAATCACTAAACCTGTCAGTGTCCCAATCTTGGACTTATCAGCCACCATGACTGTAAGATATAAATTTGTGTGGTTTACAAGCCACCCAGATTGTGGTATTCTCTTATGGCATCTTGAATAGACTAAGACAGGGTGGTACTACTAGTACTGATATTTACAGATGGTGGAGTTGGGGCTAGAGAAGTTAATCACTAGTCATAATGCCATCATCAATAAATGGGGAAGGCTGAATTGAAACCCCATGGCCTGCCTCCAGAGTCATGCTGCTTCCCTATTACTCAGGTTTTTACTTTATCACCAAAACACAGGTGTGTGAAGAATTCACCAGAAAATCTTCATCTCCCTTGAAAATGGAACAATATTCCAAGAAGCAAATTTTATGATAATAGATCCCAGTGATGTTCAAGGTTATTGGAATTTTATCAGTTATGGTGACTGAAGGGATATAGTTGCTTCCTGAGACTCTTGTCTTAAAGTATAGAAAATCGAGGTGTATCAAGGCCAACAGATCAGGAGATGATTAACAGTGAAAAGGTAGTTTGTTCATTATGGAAGTCAGTGTGGCAATTCCTCAGGGATCTAGAACTAGAAATGCCATTTGACCCAGCCATCCCATTACTGGGTATATACCCAAAGGATTATAAATCATACTGCTATAAAGACACATGCACACGTATGTTTATTGTGGCACTATTCACAATAGCAAAGACTTGGAACCAACCCAAATGTCCAACAATGATAGACTGGATTAAGAAAATGTGGCACATATACACCATGGAATACTATGCAGCCATAAAAAATGATGAGTTCATGCCCTTTGTAGGGACATGGATGAAGCTGGAAACCATCATTCTCAGCAAACTATCGCAAGGACAAAAAAACCAAACACCGCATGTTCTCACTCATAGGTGGGAATTGAACAATGAGAACACATGGACACAGGAAGGGGAACATCACACACCGGGGCCTGTTGTGGGGTGGGGGCAGCGGGGAGGGATAGCATTAGGAGATATACCTAATGCTAAATAATGAGTTAATGGGTGCAGCACACCAACATGGCACATGTATACATGTGTAACAAACCTGCACGTTGTGCACATATACCCTAAAACTTAAAGTATAATAATAATAAAATTTAAAAAAAAAAGGTAGTTTGTTACAGTCCTCATGCAAGGGGCATGTCATGCCATGGGGGGCCTTGTGGGGGAGCACTAGGGCTGATCAGAGGCAGAGGGAGAAGAAAACGGTGGGTAGAGCCTTTGTTGTGGTTTCCATGGGAAGCAACAGGGAAGGCAGGGTCAGCAGGCTCAGGATTGGCTAATTTGAATAATTTCAGCAGACCCTGGGCATGGAGGCTGTCTTTAGCTGTCTGGTACCTGGCTCTGGGGTAATTAGGGGAGGTGAATAGTGGCCTGAATGGTGTGATCCTGATAAGAGGGATGACAGGAGTGTGAACTCTGAACTGGTGGGTTTGCATTTGAAAACATGCCCCAGGAGGAGGACTCCTCCCAAGGAGGGGAGGTGTTGATGATGAGGGAGGTAGGAGACCAAGGCGAGGTGACTTGGGCATATCACCTTATTGTCCAGAACGAGTGGTGTCAGCATATGCACATAGGGCAGATGTTAAAGCACGGAGCTTACAAAAGCTAGAAACATAGTTAGGAAAGCCCTGAAGAAGAGATGTATAAAGGGGTAAAACAGTGGAGTGGGGAGCAAAAGGAGGAAACGTGGAAGAACAGAGTCATGGACTTGACTCTTCTAGCCTATCCATGGGATTGTGTGCTTTCATTTTGCTTTACCAAGACCCAATCTCCTATTTATAAAGGCGGGACATTTTACTAAACCAATATTTACCAAGATAGGGGACATATCACTAGTGCTGCATTAGATGGCTTCAGGCAAAAAACAGACATACCATTAAATAACATTACATCATACAAGGTCATTTACCTTCCAGTTTCTTTCAGTCTTTCTAATTGCCCCATGGGGACAGTCTCAATTTAGCACTGCTCTGCTGTTAACAGCTCTTTAACACTTGCTACTTTCATTTCAACAAAAAATAGATCTCAGGCTCAGATACTTTGACAGGCTTCCGGTGGCTCCAGGCATTCCTTGGCTTGTAGGTACATCCCTCCTATCTCTGCGTTTCTCTTCACATGGTCTGCTCTGTGCATCTGAGTGTCCTCCTGTCTTCTAAGGATTGGATTTAGAGCCCACAACAAATTCAGCATTTCATCTTGGGATCCTGAACTGATTATATCCGCAAAAGCCCTATTTCTAAGTAAGGTCACATTATGAGGTTCTGAGTGACCCTAAGTTTTGCAGGGACACTACATCAACAACCAAGGAAAGCCAGGAATCTGATAAATTAAGCAAGAAATGTCATGAGACGGGCCTGCATGGGCACTGTGGGTGGCAGCTGGCAGTGCACCACACACTGCAGTGTGGGCGTCTCAGAAATTCATCCTTTTGTCTTTGGTTCTTTCCTTGCAAGGCTATGAGCCAGAATACAGGGTCACTTAGAGTTAGATGGGGAGCAGAAATCTGTATCCCCCTTCAGCATACATTTGAAAAATCAAGACCCTGCCCTGTAATTTGGACTTCCTCATAAAGGAAGGATTTTCAGAAGTTTCAGTATTAGGGTTCTCTAAAGGGACAGAACTAATAAGACGTATGTATATATAAAGGGGAGTTTATTAGGAGAATTGACACACATGATCACAAGGTGAAATCCCATAATAGTCCATTTGCAAGCTAAGGAGCAAGGAAGCCAATCCAAGTCCCAAAACCTCAAAAGTGGGGAAGCTGACAGTGCAGCCTTCAGTCTGTGGACAAAGGTCCAAGAGTCCCAAAGCTGAAGAACCTGGAGTCCAGTATTCGAGGGCAAGAAGCATCCAGCATGGGAGAAAGATGGAGGCCAGAAGACTAAACCAGTCTAGTCTTTCCAGGTTCTTCTGTCTGCTTTTATTCTGGCCGCACTGGCAGCTGATTAGACGGTGCCCACCCAGATTGAGGGTGGGTCTGCCTTTCCCAGTCCACTGACTCGAATGTTAATCTCCTTTGGCAACACCCTCACAGACACACCCAGGAACAATACTTTGCATCCTTCAATCCAATCAAGTTGACACTGGATATTGAACAACAGAGAAGTCAAGCATGCAAAAAATGACAAATGTGTACAACAGCTAGTAATCAGCTAGCTTTAATATCTTTTTCCTCATTAGCTGTATTTTTACCATTGTATTTTATTCATGTGATACTGTTTTTTCACTTACGGTACTACTTTGTAAATTAAATTTATTTTGGTAAAAAGCAGTACTGTTTTACAAATAGATACGAAGTTGACAACAGTATAGAGATGCTACGTTGCTACAGCCAGTTATGTAGTGATACTCAGATATTATAAAATTCACAAAGGTTTTGGGGGAGGGAGGAATGTCCACAGTCCAAGCTTAACTGGAGTATTTCCAGCCCAGACATTTCCAGACCTTATGATTCTTTGCACTCACAGCTATTTGTTTAGAAAGACTTAGATATCATGAGCCTTGGGGTTATATATCTATAACTCAGCATTTCACAAAGAACTGAGAACAGACAATTCATAAGCTTCAGAGGTTTCAGCAAAGCACTGCAATGCTTGTGTGTTTTAGGTGAGTTTTCCAGTCAGTGCTATTTTAACAAATACCAGGAACTCTATTTGGACTGGCTCCTATATCTTCAACAACCTACTGGGCATTGTCACCTGTATATCTTGCTGTTACCTCAAATTTAGCAGGTGGAGAAACAAATTCATCATTATGCCCCCAAACTTGTATCTACTCCTGACTTCTCTGACATACACGCTCAGCCTGCCAAGCCTGCAGCCTTGGAGAATTTCTGACTCACTCTTCTCTGGCATCTCCTAAATGTATCCACTCACTGCATCTTATTGAATTCCCCCTGGAGGGTTTCTTGTATCTTTCCTTTCCTTTCAGCTGTTACTGTCTTATTCTAGGCATGTACCTGTTCTTTTTCTCTAGCTGGGGTCTCTAATCCTCCCTTCACGTTACTGCAATGTACCTTCAGTTTGGTTACAGCTGTCTCTTGTCTGTTATCAGTAGTGCCAAGAGGTAGCTGGGGTGAAATTTAGCCCTTGATAATTTCTAACAGCCCCACAATCCTAAATAAGCAAAAGATCTCGTCCAAAGAGTGTCCTTGCTCAAGAACTCAGGAGCTCAAGAACAGTTCTCTTGCACAATCTTCCAAAAATATCATCACTCTTCCAGTTTTCCTACATGGATGTTTTGGAGCCAGCCTTGCCTCTTAGTGTTCTTTGAGTATACCACACTTAGGGCTTTCTCTTTCCATCCCAATTTTCTTCCCCTTTCCATTTGGAGTTCCCTTCTATTTCTTGATCTTTGTCCTTAATAATCACATGAAGGCCTAGTATAAAAAGAACATTAGCTGTGAACTCAGAAGAAATAGGAACATTTTGAACTTCGCTCTCATTGCCATTTGTTCCTGGAGAGTATTTTTAAGACAGAAAATTTTGAGTGGCTAAACATTTGCATTTTTTGTTTATTTTTTCCCATTCCTTCCCAGTTAATTTGCATTAGGATGCATCTGTTAAGCAAACATACCCAAAGCCCAGGACTAGTTACAGCCCTTGGTAAACAAGGTAGGAAAGGCAGAGAACATCTGTTTGCCTCTAGCTGGTAAGATTTCTGAGGTTTGGTGTGGGACACCAGCTGTCTTGCAATGTCCCGATTTATCACTGCTTATGGAAAGATGCTAATGCTCCAAAATTGACTAGAGCTGGCAAGGATAAGATGGGAGGAGACAGCACTTTGGACCAAGGGCAGAGATGGTAGCTGCAGCCTGTTTCTTAGGAGAAGGTTCCGTCCCTCTCTTCAGCCTCAAAAAGATACAGTGCATCAGGGCCTGTGTTGGGAAGGGGAAGAACATACAGGCATGGACTTGGGAGTTTGGAAACTAAGATCTCTGTGATTGTGTCTCATATTAATTCTGAGTTGACCTGGGGAATTTCTGGCACTCCTCGTTATGGGATACACTGGAAAGATAATAAAATATCCTGCTATTTGGCAGGTAAATGGGCTCCCTTTTATTAACATTACTTCGGGAACCTAAGGACCATCACTCTAGGTGTTTTCAAGCACTTTTAACTAATTCCGACCTGTCTTAGGTTGGTATACATTTAACCTTCTCCATGACGACCTCTCTGGATATTCCAGAATTCATTGTTTCTTACTTCTCCAACTTCTGTAACTTTACCCCTCTTATTCATAAGTAAACCATTTGGCTGGCCTATCCCACCAGAAGTTCCTCTGGTCAACTCGACGTGACCAAAAACATATAATTTAGTACTTAAATCGAGTACTCAAATGTACTGGCTTATGTTGTTAGTTTCATTTTCTCACTGTGCAGAGTTTGGTCTCTTCAAATAAAATACAACTTCTTTAAGGGCAAAGATGATGGCATTTGATCCCATGCCTTTTACAAAATACTCCCTACTTCTTAGCGAAGTGTTGAGTACATAGCACAGAACTCAATAAATACATTTCTAATTCATTTATCCTACAAATAATTTTTTCTGTCTCAATTATATCTTAGCCATTAAGGTCAGTGCTGGGTCTACAACCATAAACAAGACAGAGAAGATTCCTGCTGTCATGGAGGACAAGAATAACAAGCAAGAGCACACATGAATCATGTAATTAAAGTTTGTGATTTTCACTCTAAAGAAAATAGAGTGGCTGTTCCAGCCAGGCGGGGTGGCTCATGCCTGTAATCCCAGCACTTTGGGAGGCCGAGGCTGGCAGATCACGAGGTCAGAAATCAAGACCACCCTGGTCAACATGGTGAAACCTTGTCTCTACTTAAAAAAAAACACAAAAAATTGGCTGGGCGTGGTGGTGCCTGCCTATACTCCCAGCTACTCAGGAGGCTGAGGCAGGGGAATCACTTGAACCTGGGAGGTAGAGGTTGCAGTGAGCCAAGATAACGCCACTGCACTCCAGCCTGGTGACAGAGCAAAACTCTGTCTAAAAAAAAAAAAGAAAGAAAATAGAGTGGCTGTTTCAATAGGCAGGGCCTGGATTAGAGGGTGCGGCAAAGTAAGGCACTGCATGGAGGTGGTATTGGAGAAAAGACCTGAAGGGTGAAAAAGACAGAAATGCAAAATTCCAGGGCAAAGAAAATGTCTTAGGAAAGAGGTTGTTTCCTAGGGCACAATGGATGCTTCGTGCAATTAAAATGTGTTGTCGAGGGGGCTGTCATATAAAGTGTGGGAATTATGCAGGCTCTAGTCCCAGAGGGCTTGCAGACCCCAGGGAGGAGTTGGGAGTTTAATCTAAATGTAGTGGAAAAACTTAAAGGGTGAAAATCAGGAGCATAGCATTGTGAAAAATAGTGGGGGATGGCAAGCATGAAATGCAGAGGCTGGTGAGGAAGGTGCTCCCATAGACCAGGTGAGAGGTGATGGTGGTTCACAGCTGGTTGGTGACAGTTCAGATGGAGAAAAGTAGATGGACTTGAGAGAAAGTTTGGAGGTAAAACAAATAGAGCCTGTAAATATGGGGAGTGGGTAGTAAGACAGTATGTTTGGGATGCTGGTTTCATTTACTAAGATACGAGAAAATTGGAGGAGAGAGATTTGGGAGAGCAAAATCTTAAAGATTTTATTTTGGACATGTTAACAGCTTAAGATGCATGTGAGTCATCAAAGTAAAGATGGTGCAGGGGCAGTTGGTTGTGTGAATCTAGGGCTCAAAAAAAGAGATCTGAACTAAAAATACAAATTTATGTAGCTAAAAGATGTTATCTGAAGCCATGAGAATGGGCAAAATCAGCAAAGGGGATAGAAGAAATTTCCATGTGGGTTTGAAACCACATATATGAATGCAAACTGATTCATGCGCTTCCAGGCTCTGAAAGAAGGGTTTATGAGAGTGGAGGCCTCGTAGAGTTGACAGCAGGGATTAAATGGCAGACCTCGTGGGGCAGAGATATCTAAGAGCCTGATGGGTGTGATGACCCGAGAGAAGGTGCAATTGTCCCCATGTTATGAGTCCCGAAAAACCGTATTTTGGAGACAATGCTCTGTCTCACATAGGATATTTCCACCATTAAGGTCACATTTCAAGGATTTTATGCAGACTATGGATTTAAACTGGGTGGAGGTATTAGATGAAAAACAACAAAACTCATCAGTGTCATTGTGAATTTTTTTTTTGAAGAGAAAAGAAAGTTGATGATAATTTCCCAACAATATGCAACGATTGTGCCAAACCTGTTTTTTATGTGGCAGGATCATTCAACTGAGTGATGATATTTTGAAGAAAGATAATTGCACTGTGTATATGGGACACAGCCAGTTAAAATAAAAATTTAAATCATAAAAAGATTCCAGTCATTTTGCTTATTTCTCACCCCTTTGTTTTATACCTTGGGAAGTGGCTGAATATGTCTTTTTTCCTATTTATTCCTGTTTATTTTAGCACTGTGTAGTAGAAGCAGTTTACTTTTAGCTTGAAGCAGTGTGAGGTTACTTTCAGCTGCCTCGAGTGTTTATTGTTAATTTTTAATTGCATAAGTAATTCATGACCAAAATTTTATCGTTAAAAATTAAAACAGCAGATATGGCTGGATTCTCTTTTGACCCCACACTCAATTCAGTACTTATACTGTGGGTTTGGTATGTGTCCTCACAAGACTGTATAAAAGTACATATACATGTATTATTTGGAAAGAGACTTGCCTGTTCTATGGAAATTTATATATTGTTTCATTCTTTCACACAAATCATTGCCACTTTTTTTTTTCTGCTGGAAAATAAGTCTTATAGGTCTTGCTGTATCAGGGCATACTGAGTTAACGTTCATTGTTCTTTTTAAATTGCTAAGTAGCATTCTATAAGCGGAGATGTGCTTCACTTTGCCATTCTCCTATGGGTGAGTCTTTACATTATTTCTGAGTTTTTACTAGTACAGACGGGCTGCCTGGAATGTCCTTGTTGTTTCTTTTGCACTCCATGTGGGCTTCCCTAAAGAACTTTCCAATCAATATTTTATCTCAGAAGAGTTCGATTTGTGCCCACAGATTCAATCTTTCTTTCTTTTTTTTTTTTTTCCAACTTTTATTCTGGATACGGGGGATATAGGGGCAGGTTTGTTACATGGGTATATTGTACCCAGGTAGTAAGCATTGTACCCAATAGGTAGTTTCAACCCACGCCCACCTCCCTCCCTCCCTCCCCCTATCTAGTAGTCCATAGTGTCTATTGTTCCCGTGTTTATGTCCATCTGTGCTCAATGTTTAGCTCCCACGTTAAGTGAGAGCATGTAGTACTTGGTTTTCCTTTCCTGCGTTAATTCACTTAGGATGCAATCTTCAGCTTTCGTCTGACTCTTTCTTTGTTTTGGATTTAGTGTTAGATGTGTTTGAATCCATCATACCAGTTAATCCTTCTGAAACCGCCTTTGCAAAATTATGACTGAGACAGTGAAAGAGATCTAACTTAACTGACTCCAGCTTGCTTCTAACCTCCAAGCTATCCTTGTTCATTCCTGGGCGTAGGCTGCACCAACTTTGGGAGAAACTTAGTTTACAGTGTATAATTTAAACAAAGACAGTAACAGCCCTTTCCCAAAGCAGACCTCCTTCTTGCCTGGGGAGTAGACTGCCTTTGTAGGACCAATATTAGCCACAAGATTAGAAATTATGGTTTAGGAGTCATGCAGCTGGAGGCTACAAGATTCTGACCCTCCCTAAACTGCTCCTAAGATCAGTGCTTGAGATACTTTGCAGACCCTGCACTTGATGGATCAGCTGACGTCACCCAGATCAATAAACTGGCTCATCTGATCTTGTGGCCCTCACCCAGGAACTGACTCAGTGCATGAAGACAGCTTCAACTCCCTGTGATTTCATCCCTGGCCAATCAGCACTCCTGGCTCACTGGCTTCCCCCCATCTACCAAGTTATCCTTAAAAACCCTGCTCCCCGAATGCTTGGGGAGACTGAATTGAGTGATAACAAAACTCCAGCCTCCTGCACAGCCGGCTCTGTGGGAATTACTCTTTCTCTATTGCAGTTCCCCTGTCTTGATCAATCGGCTCTGTCGAGGCAGTGGGCAAGGTGAACCCCTTGGCTTGGCGGTTTCACTTCAGTCTCTTGAGAGGCAGGAACTGTGATCACGCTGGTTTTAGACATGGAGACCAGAAGGTCCGGAAGGCTGCATAGTTGTCTCAAGGGGAAATAGGGAGCATATCGTTGGGCAGTGCCTGTGGCCAGGTGGCCAGCAACAACTCACTACACTATGTTGCCCCCATATGTGCTCCTGTGATCACCTTCTAAGTTATGGAGAAGGCACCACTTGGAAGTCAAACTCCTTGGATTTTGGTTTCAGATTCCTGCTCTTTCTTCCCCAAGGGTCTTGAGACTATCATGTCACATAATCTCTTACACCTTCAGCTTCCTCATCTGAGAAGTGGACTCTGAATAGTACCTTGGTCAAAAGGCACATAACTCTCCAGTTACTGCAGGCATCCAATGATGAGCTTTGGAAAGGCAAGAGGTGGCAAATATGCAAAGCTTCATACTGTACAGAATAGGATGAATGAACAAAGTCTGTATACTCATGGAAATTGAACTCTGTGGCAGTGATGGCTAAGCATACAACCTTGACAGAATGCCTTCCAGATTCCCAGGCATCTGATCAAAAGGCCACAGTCATTTGTTTCTTTTTCTCCTCCTCCTCCTCTCAGAATTGCTAGTGCTTTAAACATCTCTAGGCTTTTTTTGTTAGTTTTAAAGAGATGATCTAAACCTAGAACATTTGCTTTATTTGGTGCCACATAAAAAACTAGTAAATGGAACTCCTTTCCCAATCATTTGGAAAATAAACATGGCTTGAGAATAGGGATGAGTATTGGAGTATGTATGTATGTATGTATTTATTTATTGAGACGGAGTTTTGCTCTTGTTGCCCAGGCTGGAGTGCAATGGTGCGATTTCAGCTCCCTGCAACCTCTGCCTCCCAGGTTCAAGTGATTCTCCTGCCTCACCCTCCCAAGTGGCTGGGATTACAGGCATGCACCACAATGCCCGGCTAATTTCATATTTTTAGTAGAGATGGGGTTTCGCCATGTTGGCCAGGATGGCTTTGAAACTCTGACCTCAGGTGATCTACCTGCCTCAGCCTCCCAAAGTGCTGGGATTATAGGCGTGAGCCACTGCACCTGGCCTTTAATAACAACAACAATAAGAAGAAGAGTGTTTATTAAGTCCCTTCTAAGCATTGCAAACTATACTGAAGCTTTAAAGTACTAGGACTCTTAGCTGGAAGTTCCAGAAGTCATACGTAAACTATCACAAGCATAATAGGTAATTAATTGGCTCATAAAACAAAGAGTTTTGATATCTCTGCCTTTGGGCATGGCTGCATTCAGGATCTCAAACAATATCATAAGGACCCAATAGTCCTCTCTTCAGGGTTTTGGTCTGTATTCCTCTGTTTGGTTTCTTTCTTAATCAAGTCCTCCCCTTTTGGGGTGATACAGCTATTCTGAGCTGGCATCCTCATCTTTTAGTTTTTTAAACTGAGCATCTTTCTCTTTCCAGAAGGTAGCAGAAAATAACTTGAGTTGGACCTTATTTAGCCTGATTGGCCTTGCTTGGGTAATATATCCATCCTGAAACTGATCACTGTGGCCAGGGGATGAATTGCTTTGATTAGCCAAGCCCAGGTTAAATGCCCATCTTTGACGCACAGGATGGAGGGTTAGTTCTGATCCCAATCACTTGATCTGAGAGCAGAAAAGGCAAATTGTAGAGGAAAATAAAGGGACGTGATAGTGACACTTGGGTGGGCCAAAGTCTCAGATGCCCCGTATAAATTAGTATCAGGTTTAGTTCTCATGATAATTCCACAAAGCAGTACTGTTGTTCCTGGTTAGATGAAAAAGTGTATACTTTAAGTGGTCAACTTGCTTGCTTGAGGTTACCAAGCTAGTAATTGGAGGAGCTGGCCTTTGAGTCTGGATGTGACTGCACATAATGATTTTACTTTAACTCTGACACTATCCCAGCATTCCCATCCTACCCCTTTTCCCCGACTTCCCGCAAGCACAGACTATGATGCATGTCTACAACCAGAGCTCCAGGACTCATCAAATTGCATTAGCATTGCTCCTGCCTAGTTTCTCTGAATGGCACACTCAGCGAAGCAGCAAGGGCAGGTCGGCTTGCAGTCTTATTAAGGGAAATCTTTACTAAACCAATCCATGGAGTCCACAAAACCATTGGTCTTTCCAACTTCCCATCAAGTGGCCTTGTGCTCAAGGGTAAAGCAATGGGCTTATAAATCACAGGAAAGATTCCCTTGACATATTCCTCACAGCTGGAATATGAACAAAGTGTTGTTTACTTTGTTCAGCTCCACAATTAGTGAAAATCAAAATGTCTACAGATGCATTCACTGTAGTAAATTATTAGGTAATTAACCTTAATGCTCCCTGCTCCGAATCACTAACTTACTTCTGCTCTGGAGTTGTTGAGAGTATTTTTTCAGGCATCATAATATACAACCGCACTGCAGCTTAATGCTAAACACAACAAAGTTTAAATACAGTGGATAGGATTTAAAATGGAACAAATTCTGAAAGAGGAAAAAGAAGAGTGTTGCTTACTGTTGCAGGAAAAATACAGACTTATAATCTAAAGACTGAACTGACAAAATGGGGAAGAGAGGTGTTCTTTTTAAGCAATTTCAAACTCATACTTTCTTTTTTTCTACTAGCCAAGTTTAAGCCCTTATCATGTCATGCTTGAGCTATTTTAATAGACAACTTCAAAATGGTCTTTCTTTCTCTCCTCTCTGATCCATTGTACCAGATTAATCTTCTTGAAGCACAGAACTTATAGCACCACCTGACTCGTAAACCCTCAGTGGCTCTACCTTGCCAATAAACAATACCCGAATACCTTCGTTTAATTTTTTATTCTTCCTCAATGTAGCTTTCAAACCACCTCCTCTGTCTGGTCCACTTTCTGTCTTTGAGCATCCAGCTGCTGTCCTGAGCACCCTTCCAGGGTTGTTTGTTTGTTTGTTTGTTTGTTTGCCTTAGCTTATGCTTCTTCCTAGAGCTGGAAGGATGTAAACGGGTGATGGGTAAAAGCAAAGGCTCTGAAGTGAAGGTATATGGATTTTAAATCCTGCTTTGTCAGTGACTGAATCTGTGACCTTGAACATGCCAGTTAACCTCCCTGTGACTTGGTTTCCCTATTTATAACATGTGCAGGCTAACGGAAATGGCCTCACAGGGCTGTTGTAAAGATTAAGCGGCATAATGCATGAAAATACCTAGGAAATGGCTCAGTAGACTTTGGAAGTTTTATTCCTAAAAGGGTATAACATATCATTGTTTATATATGGGAGCCTCTCCCTGTTTTAATACAACCTATTTTCATGTGTGATGATGCTGATAATATCCTTTTCTCTGCTTAGCTTATTTAACTTAAAACAGTGCACTGAAATAGAGTTTGTTGTCTCTAGTCAAGAAGAAAGCTGACAATCAGAGAAGATGGGTATTTCATATAAGATCACACAAGACCCAGTGAGTGACTGAGCTGGGATTGGAACCCATGCTTGTCTTCTGAGCCCAGATACTTACTCTAAAGAGATGACCCCCAACAAAAATGCCCCCCTCCCCATAAACATGTCATCCATCACTCTTTGAGAACTTGTCACCAGCCAACACATGCCTGTTTCATGTGATCTTTTTTTGCTTGAGCATAATCATGGGGTCTGTCTTTTTTTTTTTTTTAACATGAGCTCTTCACAACAACATGCCTAGTACCTTGCACATAGTGGGTTCTCTATACCTATTTGTAAAAAATCATTGCTTAACTTTATATGAACCATATACGGATGGTTAATATTGAAAAAGGATAGAAAATATTCAAGGTAGACTGAGACATATGATCTTGGCAACAAGGATCAAAATTATAAATGACAAGTTTAGGAGGGATTGAGAATATAAATGAGGCCAGTATTAACTTTTCCTTTCAGAAAAATCTTAGCAAATGTGATCTGAGTCTTTCCTTCCTCCTCAAATTATGTCTGTTATTTGAAAAATCCTTCATGCTAAAAAACACTTAGAGTCTCAACACATCAGAAGGCACCTATGGGCTTATGATGAGAACATGCCATCAGGCCATAGTGCACACATTTAATGAGATTCCTTTGTCACTCTGCTTAAAGAGACCTTCAGGGTATGAAGGACATCCCAGGTGTGGAGTCAGGTGAAGTCATAACATTTGATTGAGTTTTAACTTCTATTTAGGAAAAATTTTGTGACCTAGAGTGTTTGGTCCCATGCAATGAGAGTTGTTCCCACTCCACTAAGATTGGCAGTTTTGAAGGTCGAATGATGGGTTTGATGCAAAAGAGTCTGCACTCTGCTGATGGTCAATATGGTGGTTTCACTTGATTTTGATTATGTGGTCATACTGTAATATGAAGACCGGGGTACCTACATTTAGACTATAGACATCCAGATAGGTGGCAAACCAGGAGTTCAAGGCTCTGGCTCTAGAATCACACAGGCCCAGGTGTGACTCCAGATCCATGATTTCCCAGCTCTGTGATATTTGTCAAATCATGTAATCTCTTCAAGCTTTTACCTTCTTTTGTGAATTCGGAATAATAGTGTCTACTCCAAAAGGTTGATATACAACTAAAAAAAAAGTAAAAAATGTTTCAGGTGTTGAGTGTACACAGTGCACCCTCATTACTTGTGGATTCAGTATTCGAAAATTTGCCTACGTGCTAAAACTTGTGGGTAAACCCAAAGTCGATACTAGCAACATTTTCACGATTATTCACAGACATTAGGAAAGCAACGAAAGTTGAGTTGCCTGACATGCACATGTACATTCTCTAAGTTTTCTTTCTCTTTCTTTTTTTTTTTTAAGACAGAGTTTTCCTCTGTTGCCTAGACTAGAGTGCAGTGGCATGATCTCGGCTCACTGCAACCTCCACCTCCTGGGTTCAAGCAATTCTCCTGACTTAGCCTACCAAGTAGCTGGGATTACAGGTGCATGCCACCATGCCTGGCTAATTTTTTGTATTTTTAGTAGAGACGGGGTTTCACCATGTTGGCCAAGCTGGTCTCTAACTCTTGACCTCAAGTGATCCACCTGCCTTGGTCTCCCAAAGTGCTGGGATTATAGGCATGAGTTACCACGCCTGGCCGAAATACACATTCTCAGCTGAGGTTAAACAAGGCAATGTTCTGCCTTCTTGTTTCAGCACTTACACTGTAAATAGTGTTCATCTCCAGTCTATTTAGTGCCATTTTTTCACATGTTTGTGCTTTTTGTTGGTGATTTTGATTAAAATATCCCCAAACATAGCCCTGAAGTGCTCTATAGTGCTTCTAAAGACAAGAAGGATATGACGTGCCTATAAAGAAAATACATACATTAGATAAGCTTTGTTCAGGCATGAGTTATAGTAGTGTTGGCTGTGAGTTTAATGATAATGAATCAATCATATGTATTAAACAAACACATATGATATAACAGGGTTATATATTAATTGGCTGATGAATATATTGTGACTAGAGGCTCTTAGGAGCCTAGCCTTCTATTTCCTCTAGGAACAATGGTCCATTATTTGTTAATTCAGTGTTTATAGCAACTTTATGAAACATAACTACTATGAATGATGAGAATCAACTGTAATAATATCTCAAAGATTGATGGTTAGGATGAGGATGATGATAATTATTTTATTTTAGGAACATTGTAAACTCACAGATTTGGCTGCTTTCATCAGACTGAATTCTGCCTTTGAGTATCTAAAAATTGGTCAGTAAATTCAGTGCTTTTTAGATTTTAGCAAATCACCAATCACTCACATTTTGATCTCACCATTGTTCATCATCTTGTTAGAATCATAGTGTCCTTGGATTAGGGGCATCCAGGAGCTATACAACGGCTGGGTTCTGGCATCCTGGGAGTGGGCACAGGGTGGGCAGAGAGAGAGATGAAAGCTAGCATAAGCCAGTGTGATCGGAATGAGAGATGTCAGAATGGAGCAAGTGGCTTGACAAGAATGAGTGACCAGGAGGAAGAGCTTGGTGACAGTCCTACAAGGCTGAGCACAGAGACAGGGGCTTTTTATGGGGCAGCTCTGCCTTTGCTTATTGATGGGAGGGTTACTGATAATAAAGCTGAACAAGATAGGCCCATGTGATCATCACCTACTCAACGCTCTTTAAAAAATTATTTTAATTGCATAAGGAAGACATAAATTCCCCATATAACAAATAAAACATTACACATAAGGCTACCACCTCCTTTGACCCACTCTCCTGCTCCTTAAAGGTAACTTTTATTAATTATATAATTCTAGATATCAGCTGTGTGTGGATATGCATACCCGTAGAAATTATATAGATTAAAAAGTTTTTGTTTATATACATGGCATCATGCTATTTAATGTTGTCCTGAAATTTTTTCACTCAGTAATAATACCTATGTACTTCTGAGTTATTATTTCTCCACGTCTATTATTATATAGACCTATTATGTGCCTCCTGTTTCCTTAAATAGCCACCTAGCATTCTAAACTATGAACATGTCTTAGTTTATTCAGCTATTGACTCACCTATGGGCATTAGGTTGATCTATTATATCTGTGCATGTTAGCTCTTAAGCCAAAGCATTCATTTTGATTCCTACTGCAGTAATTCCTTCATTTAGTAAGTTCTTATTGAGCATCAGGCACTGTGGTAGCTGCTGGAGACCGGCTATCACTGGCTCTACAGTCTCATGAGCAACTGATTCAGGGAGCAAAGGAGCACATTCTCAGGACAGGTATGATGGGTTTCTCCTTACACAGGGCTGGGTTCTGAAGCCAGTAAGCACACATGGCAAAAATCCTGAGGCATCAGAATTAGCCTTGAAAATCCCCTGAATTGTTTCAAGAAGAGCATTCAAGGTTTTCATGCAGTCTTTTATGATACAAGAGGAGATAAACAGGGAATTCTGAAGTATTCCTCTTGCTTTCAGGATTTATTTTCATTCTTTTAAATGTGAGGCCTCCATAACCTTTATGTAGGGGTGTGTGTGTGTGTGTGTGTGTATGTGTATGTGTATGTGTACATGTGTGTACAAAAGAAATAATGAGATTTTGGTAAGTACTGGGGTGGCAGATGGTATGTGGCTATTAGATTCTCAGATTAGCTGTAACTTAGATTCACATAAATGACATGATTCCACGTTATAGAAAATTGCCACAAAAGCCAATGGCCATGTGATGGTTAATACTGAGTATCAACTTGATTGGATTGAGGAATGCAAAGTAGTGTTCCTGGGTGTGTCTGTGAGGGTGTTACCAAGAGATTAACATGTAGAAAATTTGGAATCAAAGGTTCACCAGTTATATTAGTCCATTTCCACACTGCTATAAAAAATACTACCTGAGAAGGCAATCATGGCAAAAGGGTAAGAGGCACATATGACCTGGTGGCAGGTGAGAGAGAGTGAAGGAGGAAAAGCCAGACACTTATCAAACAACCAGATCTCATGAGACTCACTCACCATCATGAGAGCAGCAGGGGGGAAACACCCGCATAATCCAATCACTTCCCTCCCTCAACACATGGGGATTACAATTCGAGATGAGATTTGGGTGGGGACACAGAGCCAAACCATATCACCAGGGAACTCCCCCAAAATTAGATAGCATGTGGTCACACAGCTTTTATATGGATGTGGATCTCATTTAAGTCCTGTCCTTTATAGCCAAAGCTAGCAATAAAGGTAAGTCTTAAAGCTAATTAAGAAGATAATATTTGCATGGAGTTTGTATATTCAGAGCAAGAATACAATATGGATGGTAGAAAAAACAGAATTGATCCAGATGTGGTAAATTTTTACAGATTATCTGTGATGTACCAAAGTGGTTCTGGGCATTCTGACTTATATTGTCTCACTGCAGCTTCACCAAGAATTGTCTCCTTGATTTCAGATCTACTAATATCTCCTATTCCTTTTCTAAAAAAACATACTCTCTTAGAATCTTATTTTCTATTTCCTATCTGCTCATTGCTATTTGGGGCAAAGGGAAGAGGAAAGAACTCCTCTAAAACTCCCTCCTAGCTCACTTAATGTGTTTACCTTACTATTGAATATAAATGATTTGGTGAAAAGAATGAAGAAAAGGAAGAACCTTGCAAATAAGAATCTACAGTGACATGGTTTATACATCTGTAGTTACATGTTGCAAATGCCATGAATCCTGCCACATTTTAAAATTATATAAAAGTTGTTTATTTTTACTATCACAACCACTGCACACTGTGCATTTATGAGTCTGCTTTTTTGTCCTCATCTTTGAGTATAACTGTAGGGTAAATATCATGTAGTAGTTTTGCTGGGACATAGATTTTGTAAATTCTAAATTTTAACCGACATTGTCAAAATGCCCCCCAGTTTTATTAGGAGTCTGTGAGAGAAACTGCAGGCCCATGGTTTCATGAACACTTTGTATTTCAAACTTTAATTTTTTTTTGTCAATCTGTTGGGTGTTTGTGCTGACTTCTTATTGTGGGATGGTCAGGGAATGGTGGCTTAAGGGATTTAGCGTCATCTGCAATATTTGAACTTTACAAGTAGAAGAAACTCATGCATTACTCGTAAAATTTAAACTGCCTTTTAAAAAATATACCTTAAAATGCATCTGTGTCATTGATGTTTGATGTTGACCCTCATGATATGGTGGTGACCATCTGAGCTGTCAGCACCAAGATAGTGAGAGAGAAGCCAAGGGCAGGTTGAAGTTAGGAATGAGAATGTTTTTAAGCTGGTGGCCAAAACCTAGGCATAGACTGAAACTGGAGTCAGGGTCCTGCTGAGATGTGATACTGAGTCAATAGCAGAAAATTTGCCAAATTGGAAAAGCCAAGTGAGGAAGTAAGAGTCTGAAAGCAAATCACCAAATCATAGCCCCAGAGTTTGATAAGAAAGCATGGCAAGGCAAGAAGTTAGGAAGGATGCTGGGGGTTCAGATAAATTTGTGTGGATGAAGCTTCCCTGATGCAATGGGGAGAGAAAAGTAGAAGAAACTTCCTTTAAAGCCTAGAGTCTCTTTTCCGGGGGATGCTCTCACTGGCTTTAAAAAAATGATAGGGGCAGGAGGCAGACAAATGCCTAGGCAGATAGGGGCAGGTCGCTGGTGAAACCTGACCTTCAAGCCCAAAACAGTGCTGGGTAAATCCTCAGACCAAATTGAAACCCACCTTCCCATTTGGCATGCTTTCCTCTGATTGATCCCCATCCTTCACTTATTTTACGTATATCTCCCTTTTCCTAATTGGTTTACTTCACTATTGTGCCCACCTTTGATGTCTTCACTTTAACCTTTTTTGCATACTCACAAACCAATTAGCACACACTCCCTATTCTGAGCCCATAGAAAGCCCTGGGCTCAGCCATATTCGGAACTCTCCTGCTTTCGGGTAGTGGGACCACCCTTGAGGCTCCTCTCTACCGAAAGCTGCTTCACCACTCAATAAAACTTCCTTCCTGACTCACTTTCTGAGTGTCTACATGCCTAATTCTTCCTGGGTATGAGACAAGAACCAGGACCTAGCTAAGCTACGAAGCAAAAAATCCTGCATCAAAAACACAGAACTCTATATTAAGCAAATAGTATTACTGCTGTCTTAATAAATTCATATAGTATCTCTTTTTATTCCTTTGTAGAACTGAAACTAATCTGTAATTAGAAATTTATGTTTTCTTTTTTAAGCCTCATATTTAGGGGTTGGCAAACTTTTATAAAAGGCAGGGTAATAAATATTTTAGGCCAGACAGTCTCTAGCTCAACTACTCAATTCTGGCATTCCACTGGGAAAACAGTCACAGACAATACATAAGTGAATGGGCATGGCTGTGTTACAATAAAGCTTTATTTTTTTTTTTTAAAAAAGGGGTAGGCTTTGGATCATGGGCTATGGTTTGCTAACCCCTGGTCTAGTTTGTTATATGGGGATAACGATAGTACTGATCTCTTTTGATTTGAAGATTGAATAAGAATATGCAAGTAACCTCCTGCCTTAATTACATTTGAGATTGATAATAATAATAAGCTTTATTTTTTGTATGTTATTAAATGTTTAATAAATAGACATGAGTTTTGTTATAATCACTGTAATTATTCTTTATAAGCTTGCTTAATGTATCTGCTCATGAAAATGTTGTTTGGGTCTGGTTTCTCGTCATGAACTCTACCTGCTCAGGTCATTCATTTTTGTGAGATTCTAAGCACATAGAATTTTCTTCCCTGAGGTGCCCAAATGATTTTAATAAAGACTGAACATATTCCTTAATGCAAACCAATGATTCTCCTCGGTAAAAGAGGTAAGGAAGAACGAACTTTGCTAATTGTTCTTGGTCAAAGACATTACCTGGCATTTGATCTTCAGACAGGCCTCTTGCAGTAAATGCATTTCAGATTCAATTGGGAAGCTCAGTGATCTCATAGAAGCATAATAAAGACATCACTTGCCCAGAACCCCTGAGGTTAGAGTGTCCTAGAAGGATTAAAAGCCATTTCACTGAATGTTCTTCTTCAAAGTGAATGAATATTCCAATGAGTACAGCTGTTTTTTTAAGTGGTAGCTTGATTTACTGTTCTGATAAGTCTGATGAAGTGTGTTTGAACATTATCAGAGATTTAGCAGGCATTCCAACTTGTTTGCACAATCTTCCCCAAATTGCAGGAATTATCCTCTCATTAATACTGCTGTTGCTATTTGGGCTAAGGCATGTAGTGGGTTCATTATAGTTGAGATAAAATTGAAACCAAATAAACAGATTAGTTAATTATCATAAGTGAATTTGCTCCAGAGTCATTTTATATCATATCAAGATGCAGAAGAAACAGTTAAAGGTGACCGGGTACCACGCTTTTGATTAATTAGAGTTGAGCTTGATAATTTATGGTGACAAATCTGTATTTTTAGTATTTGGTACCTTTTGAGAACACAGTAGAATGTCATGCCATTGGCCATGAAGAAGAGGGGTTCAGAATCACACAAAAGAGTATAATCTTGACCAAAAAAAGTTGAAGTCCTTTTGATTCCAAAGTGAAAAATTGGGAAACTTTTCTAGTTGTAGTTCTCTTTGAAACAAAAGAGTAAATGTCTAATTAGGATGGTGGTCAGGAGGTTAAGCTTTGGAGTACCCATTTTTATTACAAGCTAACACTTAGCCATCATGGTGTGACATAGTAGAGGCTGTGGGCTTTAGGAATTGAAATATGTGGGATAGCACCCTAATTACTCACTAATTACTCATGTACATGAGTAATTAGTGAGTGTCCTCGAGTCTCATCTGTGAATAGAGTGACCAACTTGTCTCAGTTTGCCCAGGTCTTTCCCAGTTGGAGCACTGAAGTGGCATGTTCTGGAATCACCTCAGTCACAGCAGAATGGGATGATTGGTCACCCTATATCTAAAATGAGAACCAAAACACTATTTTTACTGGAAAGGGGCCCCAATCCAGACCCCAAGAGAGGGTTCTTGGATCTCGCACAAGAAAAAATTCAGGGAGAGTCCATGAAGTAAAGTGAAAGCAAGTTTACTAGGAAAGTAAAGGAATAAAAGAAGGGCTATCCATAGAGGAGTCCCAAGGGCTGCTGGTTGCCCATTTTTATGGTTATTTCTTGATGGTATGCTAAACACAGGGTGGATTATTCGTGCCTCCCCTTTTCTGACCATATAGGGCAAGTTCCTGACGTTGCCATGACATTTGTAAACTGTCATGGCACTGATGGGAGTGTAGCAGCACAGATGACCAGAGGGCGCTCCTGTCACCATCTGGGTTTTGTTGAATTTTAGCCAGCTTCTTCACTGCAAACTGTTTTATCAGCAAGGTCTTTATGACCTGTATCTTGTGCTGATCTTGTATTTCATCCTGTGACTTAGAACGCTTTACTCTCTGGCAATGCAGCCCAGTAGGTCTCAGTCTCATTTCACCCAGCCCCTATTCAAGATGGAGTTGCTCTGGTTCAAACACCTCTGACACTGTCTTATAGGATGATTAAAAGGATAAAGGATAATCATGGCTCAGCAAAGGTCTGGCTTGGTGTGGTTGGGTGAATTACTTAACCTCTCTAGGTTTTCATTGCCTTATCTGTAAAATGGGACATTAACATCCACTTGGTGGAGTAATTGTAATGCTTACAAATAGGGTGTAAAATAAACTATCAGGGTACATGGCATAAAACTAGCAAAAATAACTGGTAGCTATTTTACTATCAATAAAATATCATATGGGTAAGGCCTAAGGAAATTAGATTGACCTGGCGATGGTGTGTATGTATTTTGTGCATATTTTTTAAAAACGGATTTATACTTTCAACAAACATGTGTCAAACACTGTCCTTTTTTCATGAAGGTTATAGTTTCCAGAGGAGGACAAATACTATTTTAAAAATCATACAAAATAAATGGAAAATTGCAATAGTGATAAGGCTGCAAAGGAGAATGGGGTGATGCTATGGGAGCATTTGGTGGGAAGATTGAACCTGGTCATGAGGAGTTGGAGATGGTTTCCCTAACAAGGTATTAGCTAGCTGGGCCAGGAAAGAAGCGATGACCATTCTTAGCAGAAAGAAGTATTCTAGCTGTTCAGGAGCTTGGTGAGAGAGAAGTAATCAAAGCATGCCAGAGGTATCAGGAGAGAGACAATGAAATGAAAGACTAGTGAGAGTGAAGCAGGCCATGAGGAGGAGGGGTTTGTGTTAACTGTAAGAGCACAGTGGGAAGGCATTTACATGGAACCAGTTGCAAACAAACAAAAAATTAACTGACCTTGAATCTAATCAAGACCCTGGATCAAATTACCAGGCTTCAGGAAATAAGAGGGACAGAAGAGCAGGATAAATGTCACCACAAGGGAGCAACCAGCTAAATCCAGAATGGGGGACATTCTGCAGGACAAATGACATAGTCTGGTTGTCTCATAATGCAATGATCTGAAAATAACAGAAAGTAGGGGGGAAAACTGATAAAGAATAAAAGAGCCTTAAACATCATGACAATGCAGTGTGCAGACTTTATTATTCAAACAAATCTGCTGTAGAAAGACATCTTTGAGTCAATCAAGGGGAAATATAGACATGTACTCATAGTGATATTAAGACATTATTAACAGTGATAGGTATGAAAATGACATGGTGGTTAGGCTTTTATAAAGTCCTTATTAGATATTCATATGAAATATTATAACATTGGAGGTTTGCTTTAAAGTTCTCTGACCATAAAAAGTGTAGAGGATGGAGGGTATGGATAAAATACATTTGGCAAATGGTTATAATTTTTGAAGCTAGGTAATAGATTTATGGAGGTTCAATACATAATTTCCTCCACTTTGTGTAAATGTGAATATTACCATAGCAAGAAGTTAGGGTGAATGGTGGTGGCAGAGAAATGATAACACATTCAGATGTGCATTAAAAAATTTTCTCTGGCCCACATAAAACATATGTTAGTTTAAATGCATTGATTTGACCAAATGGCAAGAGGACTCATTTTGGGGTAAGGAATAGCTGAGCAGAGATGGAAACCCTTATTTAATTAAGATTAAGTTTAAGAAAAGGAGAGAAAGAGAACAAAGTCTGGTTAAGTTCATTGTTCACCCAGAGAGCTTTTGGCATCCAGGCATCTCTTTGTATTTCTTCTGGAAGCACCAGCTCAATTTCCCTTTGGAATCTCAGCCCCTATAAATTAGTGGATGATAACCTTAGCTCCAGATGAGGACATGTAACTCTTGGCCAATCAGAGCACAGCACTACCCTGGTTACCACAGAGATTGGTTCAGATAAGGCAATTTGACTGTCTTTGAACCAATGAGATTCAGACCTGAGACTTCCTGAAGCTCTTAGAAAAAAAATCCACTCGTCTTCCACTGGGCTTCCTCAGCTTTGAGGATGTGAATCTGGTGCATCTGACAGTTATTTCTTTCCACCATATGGGGAGTCCCTGTCTGAGAAAAATGACCATTGAGAAAACCAGAATTGGGTATTGGAGGTAGTGACAAGTTAAACCTTAGTGACATTATTTCAGACTCTGGATCCTGCCAGACCTGAAATTAGTTACTCTTGAACTTTTTATTAGATTTTTGAACTAATAAATCTTTCTCTTTTTCTTCGACAATTCAGATGTGCTTCTTTCACTTGCAACTGGATGAGTTATAAATGATATCAAGTTTTGAAAAGTCTTGTGACTTTGCCACAGTAATAGTTATGCGTATCCCTTCCCACAAGTAATTCATAACTTGTTTTAAAGCTTTCTCAATTTCTGCCAATTGTTTAGTTTCTATTAGATGATCGGCCAATGTTCCCCTTTCTTTCCACTATAAATCTTCCACAATTTCAAACTTACATGCTCACAAACTACTTTTTAATGACAACCTGGGTATTCTATTGAAATCATTGCATATGGTAATTAGTAATCTGAAAGATAATTCTAGTTAATTTTAAATTTAAAATCCATCATGCAAAACGAGTCAGATCAGAGTGGAGCTACCAACAAAAGTAATGAATCAGAGTGTGAGAGAAGCTGCACATAACCTTGGAAATAAAAATGTGCAAATTTCTCAGGGAATGATCATTGTCTCCATTTTTACTTGTAATTATAATTTAATTATGAACCTACTTTTGCAACATATTAAAAGTACATAGTTAGCATTTAAGTACTTTCCATATAATTATCTGTTATTGAACCTGCTCATTATATACGAGTTGCTGCGTAAATTAATGTGCTTTGTGCCTTTTTTCCTAAGAATTTATTTCTTTTCTACTGTATTTTTAAAATTTCAGTAGTTTTGGGGATACAGATGGTTTTTGGTTACACGGATGAATTCTCCAGTGGTGGATTCTGAGATTTTAGTGCACCCATCACCCGAGCAGCGTACACTCTACCCAATATGTAATCTTTTATCCCTCATCCCCCTCCCAACCTTCCTCCCCAAATACCCAAAGTCCGATACATCATTCTGTATGTTTTTGCATCCTCATAGTGCAGTTCCCACTTTATAAGTGAGAACACATGGTATTTGGTTTTCCATTCCTGGGTTGCTTCACTTAGAATAATGGCCTCCAGCTCCATTTAAGTTGCTGCAAAAGACATTATTTCATCCCTTTTTATGTCTGAGTACTATTTCAGGGTGTATATTTACCCCATTTTCTTTATCCACCTATATTGGTCAATGGGCACTTAGATTGGTTCCATATCTTTACAATTGTGAATTGTGCTGTTATAAACACGTGTGTGTCTTTTTCATGCAATAACTTCTAAGAATTCATTTCTTTCCCCATTGTTCCCCTTGAGACATTCTTAGAGAATATATGAAATTACTGCTTCAGACACCTCCCTAGATCCTTCAGTAAAATAGAAAAAAAAGATTCACTGAATATTCCATTGAGAGCCTACTGTGTTCTCAGGTGCCTGTTCTAGCCCCTGATGGAAGGAATATAGGTGGGGGAAGAGTCAGCAGTGACATTTGAGCACCATCCCTATGTGTCTTTTCTAATTCAAACCTCCTGTCAACCCTGAAGGAATATCATAGCAAGACATATACAAATACTATTCCGTATTACAGAGGATGAGACTGAGGCACACAGAGGCTGATAACTTGCAGAGGGTTGCATCGTTTGAGGAAACCAAAGCAGAATTGAGACCTAGGCAGTGTGACTCCAGAGATTGCACACTTAACAGCTGTAATGCCTTGGCTCAGAGGGATGATAGAAGATGAGGCCAAGGCAGGGAACAGGAGGCACTGAGTATCACAAAGAGAGGAGAACTCCTCCTATTTGGCATGTGAATGGCTTTTTAGTACCTACATTCCAAAAAAGGAATTGTGAGCCAATCCAGGGCAAGAGACTATTAGAGGACATCTGGGCATCAACCTCAATGGATCCCTTTCTGCTCTCCCGGAAAAACCAGGTAGTAGGTAGAATGTGTTTTGCAAATTGTTAAATGTTACAGGAGAAAAGGGGTCAGTGCTGTCATTTCTGCTTGTATTTGTATGCAGCATTTTTTGGAATCCCTAGGACTTGAGAATTTGCTCAGGTATTAAAACATAAAGTTAAATTCAAACCACTTTTGTTGTTAACTTCATTTATTCATGTGCATAGATCAATTAAAATTAAATGCTTCCATAATATTTGAACATTATCCTGTAAATAATAGTTACATTTGGAGTTCTAAAAGAAAGGAATAATGCCTTTCAATTATGTTCAGGCCCATGTAATCTCTTCAGGTTCTTGGTGCTGGGTTGAAAGGCCATGGAAAGTGAAAAGAAAATTAACACTAACATTTATCAACTGTTTACTCCATGCTGGACATTGTGAGGGGTGCTCACCAATGATGATCTTATTTAGAACAGACGCCCCCAAGGATTAATTTTGATCTCCCTTTTGCTTATGAGAGCACTGAGGCTTAACTAATTTGCCCAATTCAGTGGTAGGGCTGGGATTCATGTAGAGGGAGCCAGGTGAGGCCGTCTGATTCCAGAGTGAGCCTCCTGATCAATATGGGAGAAGCAGAGGAATATGCCTCTTTGGGTATGAGGGCTGGATTAGGATGGAACCTTGGGTCCCCTCCTCTCCAAGTCACACAGGTCTGCTGCCTTCTTGTTCACAAAGGACTCTTGTGAGGCTGAGACCAAGCAAGAAGCACCAGAGGCTGTTCATTTCAGCACTTCTCACAGGGATAGTTACCGAGAGAAGGACACATACCAGATCATCAATGACCACATTATAAGCCCAAACATATCATGCAGGAGACCTGGTGGTGCATAGGAGGGCCCTGTATACCAAAGATGAAATGGAGTGAAAGCAAAACTGGGAGCCAAGCAGAATGAAACCCAAATCCAGACCAAGAGCTGCAGCAACTGCTCATACTCTCTTACCTGAAGAGGGAAGGTGTTTGCTCTGTAGCATGTGGGCTCCGTCCTTTCTTTTGTTCCACCAGATTCTCCTTCGTGTCCCCACCCCACGAAGACATGAATGCTCTTCAGGGTTCAGCTCAACGTGCTCCTCTTCTCTGAAGGCTTTTTTTTTCTTTTTGAGATGGAGTCTTGCTCTGTCACCCAGGCTGGAGTGCAGTGGCACAATCTCAATTCACTGCAACCTCCACGTCCCAGGTTCAAACGCTTCTCCTGCCTCAGCCTCCTGAGTAGTTGGGTTTACAGGAACCTGCCACCACTTCCGGCTAATTTTTGTTGTTGTTGTTGTTGTATTTTTAGTAAAGATGGGATTTTGCCATTTTGGCCAAGCTGGTCTTGAACTCCTGACATCAGGTGATCTGCCTGCCTCGGCCTCCCAAAGTGCTGGGGGTACAGGCATGAGCCACCGTGCCTGGCCTTCTCTGCCTTTAAAAAATTCCTCTATTGTCTTTTCCTAAAGATTTCAGCTGAGACATTGATTATAGCCCCCAGCACATTCTATCATCATTGTGTGTTTGTGCTTTCCCGGGGGAAACATGGGCATGAACTCTGTCCCTCCTCTATTTGGGTCTGTGTCTACCCAGTACTGGTAGGTGCCTGCATTTGGTAAATATTCAACAGAGGGTTGAGTAAATGAATTTTCCTTCTGCTTGGTTTGTTCATTTCCTAATTTCTCCCACTAGAATGAAATATCACTGACAGTAAGGAATTTGTTTTATTCATCATGATCATCCCCAGGGCCTAAAACAGAGCCCTCAAACTGACATACATGAGGTGTGTAATAAGTGTTGGGTGACAGAATCAATTATTCCTTTACTTCAGGCATGGGTCAGGATGGGAAGTTTTAATTTGTTTATACCACGAAGGAGTTCAGCCCGCTGAGTCACCTTTAGGGGACAAACTCACCAATAAACCAAAGGGAAGCATAAGCAACCCACATATCCATCAACAGAAGAATGGATACATAAAATGTGGTTTATCCATACAATGAAATATTACTCACCCATAAAAAGGAAAACAGGAGGCTGAGGCAGGAGAATCACTTGAACCTGGGAGGCTGAGGTTGCAGTGAGCTGAGATCGCACCACTGCACTCCAGCCTGGGTAACAGAGTGAGACTCCATCTCAAAAAAAAAATAAAAAAAAAATTACTGATCCATGCTATGACATGGATGAGCCTCAAAGACATGGTGCTAAGTGAAAGAAGCCACAAAAGACTACCTATTGTATGATTTCATTTATAGGAAATGTCCATTTTATATGATTCCATGTATGTAAAATCTGTAGAGACAGAAAATGGATTAGTGGTTTGACAGGGCTAGAGGAGGAGGAACATGAGGATTCACTGCTAATTGATATGAAGTTTTGTTTTTTGGGTGATTAAAGTGTTCTAGAATTAGGGGATGTACAACCTTGTGGATATACTAAAAACCACTGAAAAGTACAGTTCAAAAGGGGGTATTTTGTAATATGTGAGTTACATCTCAATAAGGCTTTTATTTTTCTTTTAAGTAGAAGAACTAAAGAAGAAAACACACTTAATCGGAGCCTGTGAGAGTTCTCTTTTTCCTGGGAGCTGTCCTCTGGAACTCTTCCTTTCAGGACCTTAAGAGACCTCTACAACTGCTTTGGAGAAGGATGCCCCTCATCACCAGCTGTCCGGCAGCTGAAGAAATGACAGCAGTGGTGTTTGCTAATTGCCAAGTGAAAGGGTCAATGAGGAATAGGGAGATTAGAGGAACAAAACTTTTCATTACCTTTTGAGTACTTATTCTAGAACTTTAAAAATAAAGTTTGATTACAAAGATAATATTTGCTTATATTTGAATTAATTGTATATTATAGTGATATATAATATCACTATAAAATACAGAATTAGTGATATATAATATCACTATAAAATATAGAATTACAGTGATAGATAATATCACTATAAAATATAGAATTACAGTGATAGATAATATCACTATAAAATATAGAATTACAGTGATAGATAATATCACTATAAAATATAGAATTACAGTGATAGATAATATCACTGTAAAATATAGAATTATAGTGATATATAATATCACTATAAAAATGAGTTTTATATCAGTATGGAAACAAGCAAATGTAAGTGTGAGGTGCCTTCTACCATTCGGCCCAGGAAATGTATGTGATTATAAAACACTGACTGATTGATAGGGTTGAACAATTAGTCCTTTTAATTCCAACACTTAAATACCTATGCATTTTGTCTAATTTTTTCTGACTCAGAACTCAACTAGGAGTAACTTTTCCCCACAGCGGACTTTTGGCAATGTCTAGAGACATATTTAGTTGTCACACCTGGGTGGAGGTGCTACTGGTATCTAGTAGATGGAGGCCAGGAAAGCTGCTAAACATCCTACAATGTATGAGATAACCCCATAGTGTGCGTGCACACATATGCACCCCGCCACACACACACACACAAATGATTTTAGTTCAAAATTTTAATAGTGCTAATGCTGAAAAACTGTCCTAAAGCCATTACCAACTTCCTGGTCCAAACTTCCATCATCTCTCAACCAAACCATTTCAATTGTTTTCCAGCAAAACTCTCTCCTTTCACTCCATACCATTGCCAGAACAACTTTCTAAAAACACACATCTGATCATTTTTCATTGCCCGTTGTTTTAGTTTCCTATTGCTGCTGTAACAAAACACCACAAACGGGTGGCTTTAAACAACACAAATTTATTATCTTACAATTCTTGATGTCAGAAATCCTAGAGTTGAGGTATCAGCAAGACTGTAATCCTCCTGGAGGGTCCTAGAGGAGAATTTATTTTCTTTATTATTATTATTATTATACTTTAAGTTCTAGGGTACATGTGGACAACGTGCAGGTTTGTTACATAGGTATATATGTGCCATGGTGGTTTGCTGCACCCATCAACTTGTCATTTACATTAGGTATTTCTCCTAATACTATTCCTCCACCAGCCCCCACCCCCCTACAGGCCCCGGTGTGTGATGTTCCCTGCCCTGTGTCCATGTGTCCTCATTGTTCAATTCCCACTTATGAATGAGAACATGCGGTGTTTGGTTTTCTGTCCTTGTGATAGTTTGCTGAGAATGATGGTTTTTGGCTTCATCCATGTCCCTGCAAATGACATGAACTCATCCTTTTTTATGACTGCATAGTATTCCATGGTGTATATGTGCCACATTTTCTTAATCCAGTCTATCATTGATGGACATTTGGGTTGGTTCCAAGTCTTTGCCATTGTGAACAGTGCCACAATAAGCATACATGTGCAGGTATCTTTATAGTAGCATGATTTATAATCCTTTGGATATATACCCAGTAATGGGATGGCTGGGTCATATGGTATTTCTAGTTCTAGATCCCTGAGGAATCGCCACACTGACTTCCACAATGGGTGAACTAATTTATGCTCCCACCAACAGTGTAAACGCATTCCTATTGAGGAGAATCCATTTTCTTGCCTTTTTCAGCTTTCACAAGTAGCCTGAATTCCTTGGTTCTTGGTCAAGCCAGAGCCAAGGAATGTAGCAACCTCAAATCTTCAAAGCCAGCAGTGTTGCCACCCCAAATCTCTCCCTCCCTTCTCTCCATCTTTCTTCCCCTCACCCCTGACCTTTTCTTTCATCATTACATCTCTATCTCTATAAACTTGGACACAAAGAAACCCATACAACTGCTTCAGGAAAGGATGCTTTTGACTCTCCTAACTTCCTGTTTCTCATATTAGGACACTGATTATACTGGACTTACCTGGAAAACCCAGGATACTCTTCACATCTCAAGATCCTTAATTTAATCACACCTGCGATGTCTCTTGCCATGCAAGGTAATGTATTCATAGTTTCTAGGGATTATGATGCATACATTTTTGTGAGAAGGAGACATTATTCTGTCTACCATTCCCAGCCTAAATTCCCAGGATGACTTCCCAGTGCTTCAAGGAGGAAGATCAAGTTCCTTACCAGATGTGCAGAATCTGATTCTTCTCTGCCTCTTTAGCTTCATCTTAAACCATATTCCCTTTTGAATTTTGCATAGCAGCTGTACCAGCCCTCTTCCACTTGCTTAAATGTACCAGGCTCCTCCTGCTTCCTGGCCTTCGAATATGCAATTCACTTTGCCTGGAACCTTCCTTTCTTCCCCCTTTCTTCTTCTTATAGTTTTCAGCTCAACATCATTTTCTCTGGGATGCCTTCCTTGCACCTCCTGACCTCCGCTTTGAAGCCTAGATCGAGGCCTCCTGCTATAAATATCTGTAGCATCCTCTTCTTTTCTTTCACAACACTCACTACAGTTTCTAAAGATAATGTCTGGCCCAACATTATATTGTAGCTCCCATAAAGATTAGGATTAGGTCTCTTTTGTTCATTGTTCATCCTTAGTGCTTACCCAGAGCCCTGATCTCAGTGGGTGCCCAATAAATATTTGCGGAATACATCTGAAAGCATAGCTAGGCTAATTCAATTAAGTTGGGGGAAAATACTTTAAATAATGATTTAAAACATTTCAAAGAGTTCAGCTAATCTATAAGTCACATATGTAATTATTCACTTGTTTTTTTTCATTTGACTTGTGTTGTCATGAGCTGAGAGAGTGTTAATACCCATCATTAGATTCTTATATTTGAGCAAGTGGAGCTTTTGCCTGATAAATATTTAACAGATAAAAGAATGAATAAAATACACCTTTATGCTGTTCTAAGGAGCTCTATTGGTTATTCTCACTGCCATCTGGGATGGGATCCGTGCAACGGTCAACCACACACCGACCATCCTCATGCAATGGTGAAGCTCATCTATACTTAGAGGCTGTTCAGCACATTTAAGCTTAACACTTAAACTCCCAGGCGAGCCTTCTTTCTTTCCATCACCTTATCTCTTGTAAGCATCCTTCCTGTTCTCAACACAGGGTTGGTCCTGGAACCCAGAAGAGAAAGCCCTGCTTTCATGTGCAGGAGAATTCTCTCCACTTTGTAATCTCTTATTCAGGTTGATGGACCAGGGCCAGGCTGAATCAACAGCAAATTAAGCAGGCAAGCTGGGGGCAGTGGTAAAAATCCACCCACATTATAAAGTGTTTGAAAAACAACAATATACAGTGTTATTAAACACAAATTGTTTATGGCCAAAAGACTGATGTTCTCATTTTCAGATACAGATAAAGTAGGCATAAGCCAAGTTCAGGTGGTTCTCCTCATACCACCCTTTTATGCCAGTAGTTACCAGTGAAATCTAGAAATTTTAAGTCTGACATATTAGACTTTTATGTGTATATTCTCAGTGCTGTGGGTTTAAATATGCGAGCCCTGACATTGGCTGCATGTTTCAACTTTATGGCCAAGCAATGTTTTGCTGCAGATTGATGTATAGAAGGATCGGTATCTGTTGGTGGTATAAGAGCAAGGCTGAGGTTTTTATCTCTCTCTCCTCCAATTATTCTAAGAAGGAGAAAAGTTTTAGGCAAAGATAAATGCAAATTATCCAGTAAATTCAAATATATTACTTCCCAGATCTCCTGTCTGGGTAAATCTGGGTAAATCACAACTATAGATAATAAGATAATTAAAAACTAGTAAATATAAATGTGAGGTGCCTTCTACCATTAAGCTCAGGAAATGTATCTGATTATGAAACACTGTGTATTTTGAAATGTCATATCAATTATAAGAGACACTTTTACAGATCTCCCTAAGAAATATTTACATAGAACTATATTTTTATACACTATGTAAAATAATGAAGTGTATATTTAATTAAAACTGTAAATAAGACCAAAGGTATGCTATAAGCGTGAAATATGCAAGCATAAAAAATCTTAGCAAAATTTTAAATCAATTTCACTTTGAATTATATTGGCTTTCCTGTTACTTGCATATCCTTCAACCCCCCTCCTCCTCAGCACCCCCGTCACCTTAATACTATTTCACTGGAGAGAAGGCATTTTTTGGGGAAAAAAACCCCCTCGAAGTGGTTTTGTGTTTCTGTGTTTGTTGGAAAAGGGATGTAAACTTAGAAAGTATATTTCTTTCTATATTCTCAATTAAGGTATTTAGTCCCTCCATTGCTTCCAGGAGGCCATGCGGATAACAGTATGAATCCAGGCTTTGGTGTTGGGCTGAGACTTGGGTTTGAATCCTGCCTCTGTTACCCAAGCTGTGTGCCCTGGGCAAGTGACTTTATTTGTCTGGGTTTGAGTTTCCTCGTTTGTAGAGTGGCATTCATGATACTAACCTCTGGGTAGGGGGTGGTAAGGATTGAAGAAGAGGATGCAGAACAGTCTGTAGCACATACCAGGCACTCAGTAATTGCTCTTGCAGTACTGCAATATCCCTCTTCCTTCTTCTTATTTCTGGTTGTAGTTGAGGTACTGACTCTCTGATCTCAACGTTATGGCTGGATGGAGAAGGATCGTGTGAGGAACATCAAACAGTCATTGTTGCCAATGTGTGCCAATAATTTAACTAAGATGACCAATTGTTTCAGAGTCAGAAGGGGCTCCTTGTGGAGAGCTTCGTTGTTGTATTCTCTTCAAATCAGAATGTTTTACAGTCCTTGATTTTTAGGGGTGTCCCTTTGTACAGTGTCTTTGCCTGACCTACCAAATTAGGCCACCCCATGAGGCAGAGGTCAAACGAAACGCAAGAGGGGAAAAGGAGATCTGAAAGTTTTGGCTTAAAAAAAGCACTATGGTCAAATGACCGACTTGCCCTGGTCTGCCCAGGACCGTCCAGGTTTTAACACTGGACACCCCATGACCCTGGAAATCCTTCAGTCCTGGGCAGACCAGGATGGTCACCCTACACTATGTAAGGCCAGCAGTTTTAGTTCTGGGATATGCAGAGATGGAAAGATTTGTGGTTAAACGAGGCTTGGGGTGGAAATGGGGAGCGACTGTAAACGGGCACAAGGTTTCTTTTTGGAGAAATGAAAATGTTCCAAAATTAGATGGTGGTGATGACGGACAACTCTGTAATGATACTAAAATTTGTCTACTTGTATTCTTAAAACAGGTTAATTTTGTAGTATGTAAGTTATATTCAATGAAACTTTTAAAAATAGATTATTAAATGGCATCTTCATAATAAAGCATTTGACTTTTTGGACAGAAAAATAATAATACTCTGTCCATAAAATAAATATATGCATTAAGAATTTGAAGTGAATTGCCCATTGGATTAGAAAAGATTTTAAAAGATTGGCAAAACTCAGAATCGATGAGGATATGAAAAAACTGTCAGTCTCATGCTCAACTGATCAAAGGTGTGAATTAATAAAATATTAAAAAATAGGATAAATTGGCAGTATATAGCAAAATGTAATACGTATGTACTCTTAGAAACTTCATTTAAAAAACTTATCCCACACAGATAATTTTCAAGTGTGCAAAGATGTATGTGAAAGGAGGTTCATCACAGATGGTTTATAACAGGAACAGTGGCTTAAAATTAGAAACAACTGAGGGAAGCAGCCAAGATGGCCGAATAGGAACAGCTCTGGTCTACAGCTCCCAGCGTGAGCGACGCAGAAGATGGGTGATTTCTGCATTTCCATCTGAGGTACCGGGTTCATCTCACTAGGGAGTGCCAGACAGTGGGCGCAGGACAATGGGTGAAGCGCACTGTGGGCGAGTCGAAGCAGGGCGAGGCATTGCCTCACTCGGGAAGCACAAGGGGTCAGGGAGTTCCCTTTCCTAGTCAAAGAAAGGGGTGACAGACGGCACCTGGAAAATCGGGTCACTCCCGCCCTAATACTGTGCTTTTCTGATGGGCTTAAAAAATGGCGCACCAGGAGATTATATCCCGCACATGGCTCAGAGGGTCCTCTGCCCACGGAGTCTCACTGATTGCTAGCACAGCAGTCTGAGATCAAACTGCAAGGTGGCAGCCGGGCTGGGGGAGGGGTGCCCGCCATTGCCCAGGCTTGCTTAGGTAAGCAAAGCAGCCGGGAAGTTTGAACTGGGTGGAGCCCACCACAGCTCAAGGAGGCCTGCCTGCCTCTGTAGGCTCCACCTCTGGGGACAGGGCACAGACAAACAAAAAGACAGCAGTAACCTCTGCAGACTTAAATGTCCCTGTCTGACAGATTTGAAGAGAGCACTGGTTTTCCGAGCACGCAGCTGGAGATCTGAGAATGGGCAGACTGCCTCCTCAAGTGGGTCCCTGACCCCTGACCCCCGAGAAGCCTAACTGGGAGGCACCCCCCAGTACGGGCAGACTGACACCTCACACGGCTGGGTACTCCTCTGAGACAAAACTTCCAGAGGAACTATCAGACAGTAGCATTCGCGGTTCATGAAAATCCGCTGTTCTGCAGCCACTGCTGCTGTTACCCAGGCAAACAGGGTCTGGAGTGGACCTCTAGCAAACTCCAAACAGACCTGTAGCTGAGGGTCCTGTCTGTTAGAAGGAAAACTAACAAACAGAAAGGACATCCACGCCAAAAACCCATCTGTACATCACCATCATCAAAGACCAAAGTGATAAAACCACAAAGATGGGGAAAAAACAGAGCAGAAAAACTGGAAACTCTAAAAAGCAGAGTGCCTCTCCTCCTCCAAAGGGACGCAGTTCCTCACCAGCAACAGAACAAAGCCGGACGGAGAATGACTTTGATGAGTTGAGAGAAGAAGGCTTCAGAGGATCAAACTACTCCGAGCTACAGGAGGAAATTCAAACCAAAGGCAAAGAAGTTAAAAACTTTGAAAAAAAATTAGACGAATGTATAACTAGAATAACCAATACAGAGAAGTGCTTAAAAGAGCTGATAGAGCTGAAAGCCAAGGCTCGAGAACTACATGAAGAATGCAGAAGCCTCAGGAGCCGATGCAATCAACTGGAAGAAAGGGTATCAGTGATGGAAGATGAAATGAATGAAATGAAGCAAGAAGGGAAGTTTAGAGAAAAAAGAATAAAAAGAAACGAACAAAGCCTCCAAGAAATAAGGGACTATGTGAAAAGACCAAATCTACATCTGATTGGTGTATCTGAAAGTGACGGGGAGAATGGAACCAAGTTGGAAAACACTCTGCAGGATATTATCCAGGAGAACTTCC
This sequence comes from Homo sapiens, assembly GCF_000001405.40. Taxonomy (NCBI): domain Eukaryota; kingdom Metazoa; phylum Chordata; class Mammalia; order Primates; family Hominidae; genus Homo; species Homo sapiens. Next base: position 55,904,806 of record NC_000020.11, on the reverse strand, counting down.
CCAATCTAGCAAGGCAGGCCAACATTCAGATTCAGGAAATACAGAGAACACCACAAAGATACTCCTCGAGAAGAGCAACTCCAAGACACATAATTGTCAGATTCACCAAAGTTGAAATGAAGGAAAAAATGTTAAGGGCAGCCAGAGAGAAAGGTCGGGTTACCCACAAAGGGAAGCCCATCAGACTAACAGCGGATCTCTCAGCAGAAACTCTATAAGCCAGAAGAGAGTGGGGGCCAATATTCAACATTCTTAAAGAAAAGAATTTTCAACCCAAAAGAATTTTCAACCCAGAATTTCATATCCAGCGAAACTAAGCTCCATAAGTGAGGGAGAAATAAAATACTTTACAGACAAGCAACTGCTGAGAGATTTTGTCACCACCAGGCCTGCCCTAAAAGAGCTCCTGAAGGAAGCACTAAACATGGAAAGGAAAAACCAGTACCAGCCACTGCAAAATCATGCCAAATTGTAAAGACCATCGAGACTAGGAAGAATCTGCATCAAGTAACGAGCAAAATAACCAGCTAACATCAAAATGACAGGATCAAATTCACACATAACAATATTAACTTTAAACGTAAATGGACTAAATGCTCCAATTAAAAGACACAGAGTGGCAAATTGGATAAAGAGTCAAGACCCATCAGTGTGCTGTATTCAGGAAACCCATCTCACGTGCAGAGACACACATAGGCTCAAAATAAAAGGATGGAGGAAGATCTACCAAGCAAATGGAAAACAAAAAAAGGTAGGGGTTGCAATCCTAGTCTCTGATAAAACAGACTTTAAACCAACAAAGATCAAAAGAGACAAAGAAGGCCATTACATAATGGTAAAGGGATCAATTCAACAAGAAGAGCTAACTATCCTAAATATATATGCACCCAATACAGGAGCACCCAGATTCATAAAGCAAGTCCTGAGTGACCTACAAAGAGACTTAGACTCCCACACAATAATAATGGGAAACTTTAACACCCCACTGTCAACATTAGACAGATCAACGAGACAGAAAGTTAATAAGGATACCCAGGAATTGAACTCAGCTCTGCACCAAGCAGACCTAATAGACATCTACAGAACTCTCCACCCCAAGTCAACAGAATATACATTTTTTTCAGCACCACACCACACCTATTCCAAAATTGACCACATAGTTGGAAGTAAAGCTCTCCTCAGCAAATGTAAAAGAAGAGAAATTATAACAAACTATCTCTCAGACCACAGTGCAATCAAACTAGAACTCAGGATTAAGAAACTCACTGAAAACCGCTCAACTACATGGAAACTGAACAACCTGCTCCTGAATGACTACTGGGTACATAACAAAATGAAGGCAGAAATAAAGATGTTGTTCGAAACCAACGAGAACAAAGACACAACATACCAGAATCTCTGGGACACATTCAAAGCAGTGCGTAGAGGGAAATTGATAGCACTAATTGCCCACAAGAGAAAGCAGGAAAGATCCAAAATTGACACCCTAACATCACAATTAAAAGAACTAGAAAAGCAAGAGCAAACACATTCAAAAGCTAGCAGAAGGCAAGAAATAACTAAAATCAGAGCAGAACTGAAGGAAATAGAGACACAAAAAAACCCTTCAAAAAATTAATGAATCCAGGAGCTGGTTTTTTGAAAGGATCAACAAATTGATAGACCGCTAGCAAGACTAATAAAGAAGAAAAGAGAGAAGAATCAAATAGATGCAATAAAAAATGATAAAGCGGATATCACCACCGATCCCACAGAAATACAAACTACCATCAGAGAATACTACAAACACCCCTACGCAAATAAACTAGAAAATCTAGAAGAAATGGATAAATTCCTTGACACATACACCCTACCAAGACTAAACCAGGAAGAAGTTGAATCTCTGAATAGACAAATAACAGGCTCTGAAATTGTGGCAATAATCAATAGCCTACCACAAAAAGAGTCCAGGACCAGATGGATTCACAGCCGAACTCTACCAGAGGTACAAGGAGGAACTGGTACCATTCCTTCTGAAACTATTCCAATCAATAGAAAAAGAGAGAATCCTCCCTAACTCGTTTTATGAGGCCAGCATCATCCTGATACCAAAGCCGGGCAGAGACACAACCAAAAAAGAGAATTTTAGACCAATATCCTTGATGAACATTGATGCAAAAATCCTCACTAAAATACTGGCAAACCGAATCCAGCAGCACATCAAAAAGCTTATCCACCATGATCAAGTGGGCTTCATCCCTGGGATGCAAGGCTGGTTCAACATACACAAACCAATAAATGTAATCCAGCATATAAACAGAACCAAAGACAAAAACCACATGATTATCTCAATAGATGCAGAAAAGGCCTTTGACAAAATTCAACAACTCTTCATGCTAAAAACTCTCAATAAATTAGGTATTGATGGGACGTATCTCAAAATAATAAGAGCTATCTATGACAAACCCACAGCCAATATCATACTGAATGGGCAAAAACTGGAAGCATTCCCTTTGAAGACTGGCACAAGACAGGGATGCCCTCTCTCACCACTCCTATTCAACATAGTGTTGGAAGTTCTGGCCAGGGCAATTAGGCAGGAGAAGGAAATAAAGGGTATTCAATTAGGAAAAGAGGAAGTCAAATTGTCCCTGTTTGCAGATGACATGATTGTATATGTAGAAAACCCCATTGTCTCAGCCCAAAATCTCCTTAAGCTGATAAGCAACTTCAGCAAAGTCTCAGGACACAAAATTAAGGTACAAAAATCACAAGCATTCTTATACACCAATAACAGACAAACAGAGAGCCAAATTATGCGTGAACTCCCATTCACAATTTCTTCAAAGAGAATAAAATACCTAGGAATCCAACTTACAAGGGACGTGAAGGACCTCTTCAAGGAGAACTACAAACCACTGCTCAAGGAAATAAAAGAGGATACAAACAAATGGAAGAACATTCCCTGCTCATGGGTAGGAAGAATCAATATCGTGAAAATGGCCATACTGCCCAAGGTAATTTACAGATTCAATGCCATCCCCATCAAGCTATCAATGACTTTCTTCACAGAATTGGAAAAAACTACTTTAAAGTTCATATGGAATCAAAAAAGAGCCCGCATCGCCAAGTCAATCCTAAGCCAAAAGAACAAAGCTGGAGGCATCATGCTACCTGACTTCAAACTATATACTACAAGGCTACAGTAACCAAAACAGCATGGTATTGGTACCAAAACAGAGATATAGATCACTGGAACAGAACAGAGCCCTCAGAAATAACACCGCATATCTACAACTATCTGATCTTTGACAAACCTGAGAAAAACAAGCAATGGGGAAAGGATTCCCTATTTAATAAATGGTGCTTGGAAAACTGGCTAGCCATATGTAGAAAGCTGAAACTGGATCCTTTCCTTACATCTTATGCAAAAATTAATTCAAGATGGATTAAAGACTTAAACAGACTTAAACCATAAAAACCCTAGAAGAAAACCTAGGCATTACCATTCAGGACATAGGCATGGGCAAGGACTTCATGTCTAAAACACCAAAAGCAATGGCAACAAAAGCCAAAATTGACAAATGGGATCTACTTAAACTAAAGAGCTTCTGAACAGCAAAAGAAACTACCATCAGAGCGAACAGGCAACCTAAAAAATGGAAGAAAATTTTCGCAACGTACTCATCTGACAAAGGGCTAATATCCAGCATCTACAATGAACTCAAACAAATTTACAAGAAAAAAACAAACAACCCCATCAAAAAGTGGGCAAAGGATATGAACAGACACTTCTCAAAAGAAGACATTTATGCAGCCAAAAGACACATGAAAAAATGCTCATCATGACTGGCCATCAGAGAAATGCAAATCAAAACCGCAATGAGATACCATCTCACACCAGTTAGAATGGCAGTCATTAAAAAGTCAGGAAACAACAGGTGCTGGAAAGGATGTGGAGAAACAGGAACACTTTTACACTGTTGGTGGGACTGTAAACTAGTTCAACCATTGTGGAAGTCAGTGTGCCGATTCCTCAGGGATCTAGAACTAGAAATACCATTTGACCCAGCCATCCCATTACTGGGTATATACCCAAAGGACTATAAATCATGCTGCTATAAAGACACATGCACACGTATGTTTATTGCGGCACTATCCACAATAGCAAAGACTTGGAACCAACCCAAATGTCTAACAATGATAGACTGGATTAAGAAAATGTGGCACATATACACCATGGAACACTATGCAGCCATAAAAAATGATGAGTTCATGTCCTTTGTAGGGACATGGATGAAATTGGAAATCATCATTCTCAGTAAACTATCGCAAGGACAAAAAACCAAACACCGCATGTTCTCACTCATAGATGGGAATTGAACAATGAGAAAACATGGACACAGGAAGGGGAACATCACACTCTGGGGACTGTTGTGGGGTGGGGGGAGGGGGGAGGGATAGCATTAGGAGATATACCGAATGCTAAATGAAGAGTTAATGGGTGCAGCACACCAGCATGGCACATGTATACATATGTAACTAACCTGCACATTGTGCACATGTACCCTAAAACTTAAAGTATAATAATAATAAAATAAAAAATATATTAACTTTCCTAGTACTGCACAAGTAGTAAATAGTGGTTCCTGGGTTCCAACAAGCATCTGTATTGACTGTTTTTCTACTGAAAGTCACACATATTTATTAAAGACTTATTCAGCCAAATTAAAAAAATAAATAAATAAAATTAGAAACAACCTAAATCTCCACTAGTGATTCTGCTTAAATGAGTTATGGCAAATCCACATAATGAAACACTCTGTAGTATGACACCATTGAAATGGTAATATAAACCTACATCTACATCTAGGGCAACCAGCATCCTAGTTTGCCTGGGACTGTCCGTGGTTTAGTACCAAAAGGCCCAAGTTTAGAGAAGTCTGTCAGTCCTGGATTAATAAAGTTGGTTGGTCACGAAAATACTTATATAAAAACAGCTAACAGGATGTCACCAAAAAGTTTACTGGGGTTGTCTTGGAATGGTAAGATTTCAAAAGCTTAACTTTCTTTGTTATGGTTTTTGTTTGTTAGAATTTTGTTTTGATTCATTTGAATTTTTTTTCAAAAAGTGTTTACATTTGAGAAAAAAATAAAAGTATATGCATTATAAAACAACCTCTATATAGGCGCACCTCATTTTATTGTTCTTTCTTTGATTGTGCTTCATAGATTGCAGTTTTTACAAATGGAAGGTTTGTGGCAACCCTGATTTTTCCAAAAGCATGTGCTCACTTCATGTCTTGTGACACAGTTTGGTAATTCTCATAATATTTCAAACGTTTTCATTATTATTATATCTGCTATGGTGATCTATGATCAATGTTCTTTTTGTTGTTGTTGTTGAGACAGAGTCTCACTCCGTCGCCAGTGCAGTGGCACGATCTCTGCCCACTGCAACCTCTGCCTCCTGGGTTCAAGCGATTCTCCTGCCTCGGTCTTCCAAGTAGCTGGAATTACAGACACACGCCACCACGCCTGACTAATTTTTGTATTTTTAGTAGAGATGGTTGCCATGTTGACCAGGCTGGTCTCAAACTCCAGACCTCAAGTGATCCACCCACCTTGGCTTCTCAAAGTGCTGGAATTACAGGCTTGAGCCACTGTGCCTGGCCTATGATCAATGTTCTTTGATGTCACTACTGTAATTGTTTTGGGGCACCACCAACTGTACCCATATAAGATGCCAGACTTAATAAATGTGTGCATGTTCTGACTGCTCCACTGACCAGCCATTCCCCCATTTCCCTCCCTCTCCTAAGGCCTCCCTATTTCCTGAGACACAACAATATTAAGTGAGGCCAATTAGTAACCCTGCAATGACCTCTAAGTGTTCAAATGAAAGGAAGAAAGAGTTGCGTGTCTCTTACTTTACACCAAAAGGTACAAATGATTAAGCTTAGTGAGGAAGGCATGTCGAAAGCTGTGATAGGCTGAAAACTAGGCCTCTTGCACCAGTTAGCCAAGTCATGAATGCAAAGGAAAAGTCCTTGAAGGAAATTAAAAGTGCTACTCCAGTGAGCACATGAATGATAAGAAAGTGAAACAGCTTTGTTGCTGATGTGGAGAAAGTTTTAGTGGCCTGGATGGAAGATCAAACCAGCCACATCATTCCCTTAAGCCAAAGCCTAATCCAGGGCAAGGCCCCAACTTTCTTTAATTCTATGAAGGCTGAGAAAAGTTAGGAAGCTGCAGAAGAAAAGTAAAAGCTACTGAGTTTGGCTTATGAGGTTTAGGAAAAGAAGCCATTTCGGTAATATAAAAGTGTAAGACAAAACAGAAAGTACTGATGGAGAAACTGCAGCAAGTTATCTAGAAGATCTAGCTAAGATAGTGGGTGAAAATAGTTAAACTAAACAACAAATTTTAAATGTAGACAAAACTGCTTTATAGTAGAAGATGCCATCTAGGACTTTCATGGCTAGAGAGGAGAAGGCAATGCCTGGCTTCAAAGGACAGGCTGACTCTAACACAGTGGGTGACTTTAAGTTAAAACCAATGCTCACTTAACATTCCAAATATCCTAGGACCCTTAAGAATTATGCTAAATCTAGTCTGCCTGAACTTTATAAATAGAATAACAAAGCCTGCATGATAGCACATCTGTTTACAGCATGGCTTACTGAATATTTTAAGTACATTGTTGAGACCTACTGCTCAAACAAATTTCTTTCAAAATATTACTGTTCATTGACAATGTACCTAGTCATTCAAGAGTTCTGATGGAGATGTACAGGGAGATTAGTGTTTCCATTCCTGTTAACACAACATTTATTCTGCAGCCCATGGATCAGGGAGTACTTTTGACTTGCAAGTCTTATTATTTAGGAAATATATTTCATAAGGATATAGCTGCCATAGACAACGATTCCTCTAATGGATCTGGGCAAAGTAAATTGAAAACCTTTTGGAAAGGATTCACCATTCTAGATATCAGTAAGAGTATTCATGATTCATGGGAGGAGGTCAAAATATCAACATTAAAGGAGTTTGGAAGAAGTCAGTTTCAACCTGCGTGGGTGACTTTGAGAGGTCTATGACATCATGGAGGAAGTAACTGCAGATGTAATGGAAACGACAAGAGAATTAGAATTAGAAGTGGAGCCTGAAGATGAGACTGAATTGCTGCAATCTCATGATAAAACTTGAATGAATGAAGAGTGGCTTCTTACAGAAGAGCAAAGAAAGTGGTTTCTTGGGATGAAATTTACTTCTGGTAAGGATGCTATGAACATTGTTGAAACAACAACAAAGGATTTAGAAAATTACACAAAGTTGATAAAACAGCAACAGGGATTAAGAGGCTTGACGCCAATTTTGAAAGAAGTTCTACTGTAGGTAAAATGCTATCAAACATCATTGCATGCTGCAGAGCAAACTTTCATGAAAGAGTCAGTCAATGTGACAAAGTTCATTGTTGCCTTATTTTAAGAAATTGCCACAGTTCTCCAGCCTTTAGCAACCACCACCCTGTTTAGTCAGCAGCCATCAACATCAAGGCAAGACCCTCTACCAACAAAGTGATTATCACTTGCAGAAAGCTCAGATGATCATTAGCATTATTTAGCAAAAAGCATTTTTAAATTATACACTTTTTGCTTTTTAGATATAATATTATCACACTCTTAATAAACTACAATGTAGTGTGAATATAACTTTATATGCACTGGGAAACAAAATTTGTATGATTTGCTTTATTGCAGTTGTCTGGAACTGAACCTGAAAGCACATAAATTCGGAAGATTCGTATCTCCTCGGTTTTCTCTTATAACACATCCATCTAGTACAGTGCTTGTCTCACAGGACAAGTAAATATGTACTTATTAAAATATAATAAAAACCATCAAAATTGGAATAAAATGTCAAAGCAGTACCTTTAAAATATTTGGTCAAAGCAGCGAACAGGTTGTTATCTTTAAATGATGCCCATTGATTTGGCTCTTTTAACTTTCCTTCCTAACGAATTGACTAACGGCTTGATTACATTGACTGATTTTTCTTCCTATGGTGTTTTTCATTTCTGCTTTTCCCCTTATGATAACACAATGTGTGTCCAACTAAAGTCAGAAATTGTTGTCAAGCAAAAATACAAAAGTAGTAAGCCTCTTCAAAGATAGCCACTGCTAATGCCTTTGTCATACCCACTTTCCACCCCTTTCCTGCACATAAAGCAAAGACAGACATGTGAATATATGTATATATAAATGTGTATGTGAAACATTTAATTAAAATGAGACCATCTTATAGCCTTCATTCATTCAACATCATATTGTTTCCATCCACACCAATGTACACGCAGGTTTCACACTATTTTCAGTCTCCATAGCATGCCATTTCATAGACAGACCATACTTGAATAGAACTGACTCACTTTAAAAATATTTTCAGGTCAGGTGCAGTGGCTGATGCCTGTAATCCCAGCACTTTGGGAGGCTGAGCTGGGAGGATTGCTTGAGCCCAGGAGTTCAAAACAGGCCTGGACAACATAGTGAGCCCTGTTTCTAAACAAATTTTAAAAAATTAGCTAGGCACAGTGGTGTGTAGTGTAGTGATATCTTCCTAGCTAAGGCCGAGGCAGGAAGATCACTTGATCCCAGGAGTTCAAGGCTGCAGTGACCTATGATTGTGCTACTGCACTCCAGCCTGAGCAGCAGAACAAGACTGTGTCTCAAAAAAAAAAAAAAAAAAAGTTAAAAAAAATTACAAGTTTGAGAATTTCACTCCAGACCTAATGAACAACATCCTATGGGGATGGGGCGCAGGAATCTTTTAGTACTTGTGGTCAGTTGATTCTGATGTACCTCATAGGTGAGAATCACCATGATTTTAAGTTTAGGGTAGGGAGAGTCCTGGGTTAAAATAATACCTAGCTTTCAGGGCTGTCGTGCATATTCCATGCTGTAAGGGTTTAGACAGCTAAACTCTTCTTTTTTTTTTTTTTTTTTTTTTTTGAGACTGGTTTCACTCTTGTCACCCAGGCTGGAGTGCAATGGTGGAATCTCGGCTCACTGCAACCTCCGCCTCCCAGGTTCAAGTGATTCTCCTGCCTCAGCCTCCCGAGTAGCTGGGATTACAGGTGCCCACCACCATGCCCAGCTAATTTTTGTATTTTTGGTAGAGACAGGGTCTTGTCATGTTGGCTAGTCTGGTCTTGAACTCCTGACCTCGGGTGATTCGCCTGCCTCAGCCTCCCAAAGTGTTGGGATTACAGGCGTGAGCCACCATGCCCAGACTAAACAGCTAAACTCTTATGTGAAAAAATCCAAATCTTCACCATCCATGTGTGTTTTCATACATGCATAGGAACTCATCCATAGGTGACGTGACTTGTAAGAATAAAATGTTTTACCTTTGTAGATTTCTCCATTTTCGCCATAGCTTGACTTACCTGGATAGAGACAAGGCATAATGAAATGGTTGTTTTTAAATGCCTTGAGCCTGTGAAACTTTATTACTTTTCACACAAAGAAAATGTATATTAATAAAATATTACTTCAGCGCCTTAGAAATCTACAAGAAAAGCCTCTGTGATAATATAAATACTCTTTGTCTAGCTGCTATTTTGGCTAGAAGCAAACATGTAGCTCAATTACAGAATTGGGGCAGTAGGTATCAAAATTACATGGTTGGTGACTGTCACTCACAGGGCAAAATAATCAATGATTCCAGGCTTCCCTGTGGTTCTCAAGCTTTCTATTGTTTAACAGGTTGTCCTGCTCTCAGTTTAGGTCTCTGCAACTAGTGTGTCTCATCTAAGAGCTTGTATTTATAGACAAGTCTGTGACAGTTTCTTAAGAATTTTACTTGTTTACAGAGTTTCTAAATTGTAGGAAAAACACACGTTTTCCTACATGGAGGATAAAAATGAATCCAACCACGATTTCATTCATCCATCCTTCCTCTATTCTTCCTCCTATCCATCATTTTTCTTTCTGTCCACACTTCCATCTACCCAGCAATACTTGCATTATTCCAACTATATGATTTATTTATTCAACCGATTTCTTTTTTTTGTCTTAGCAATTTAATATATTTTTCAAAATTTTAAGTTCTGGGATACATGTGCAGAATGTGCAGGTTTGGGTTACGTAGGTATACACGTGCCATGGTGGTTTGCTGTACCCATCAACCCGTCATGTAGGTTTTAAGCCCCTTATGCAATAGGTATTTGCCCTAATGCTCTCCCTCCCCTTACCCCCCATCTCCCAAAAGGCCCCGGTGTGTGATGTTCCCCTCCCTGTGTCCATGTGTTCTCATTGTTCAACTCCCACTTATGAGTGAGAACATGCAACATTTGTTTATCTGTTCCTGTGTTAGTTTGCTGAGAATGATGGTTTCCAGCCTCATCCATGTCCCTGCAAAGGACATGAACTCATTCTTTTTTATGGTGGTATCAACCAATTTCTATTTAAGTGCCCACTACGTATGAAGGATGTTACTTGTTCCAGGTGCTGGTAATGCAATGGTGAGAAAATATAGTCATGGTGCTGAATTTCATGGGGCTTATCATAAAGTAGGGAGAGACATTAACAAAATACCCATACATGTATGTATTTATATTACTGTATATAATGCTAAATTTGAAAATACAGTGAAAGAGTGGTCATGGAGCCAGGAAAGCTTATAATAATAGTAGGGGGAAGGTAATTTGATCAATAGAGTTATGGAAATTACCCCATGGAAATGAAGATTGTGCTAAAGTCTAAAAAATGAGCATGAGTTAGGAAAAGAAAGGTAAGGCAAGTGCTAAGGGGAAAGTGGGCAGCATGTACTGTCCTGTGATAGGAGAGCATGGCAAGTGGTGGGGATTGAAGATCTTGGGTGAGACTGGAGCAGAGAGAGAAAGCAGGAGGGGAGCTCGGTAGACCACACCCGTAGAGCTTTGGAGACCATTTTCAGCATTTGGATATGATCCCTGGAACATCCAAAATGTACCAAAGCGTTTCCAGCAGGCATGTCTGTAAGCTGAGGAGAAGAACAGAGTAAAGAGGGCAGTGTGGGCATGGATAGTTCATGTAGGAAGCTTTATCAGCAGCCCAGGGGTGAGAGGTGCTGGATACTTGAGCTGAACATTGTGTTAAAACTATGGGGATTGATGGAGAACCATTTTATTCTAGGATCCTGGAGGGCATTTGGGGACAAAACTTGCTGATAGATAACTGGCACACGAACAACATAAGATGGTGTAACAACAAGTGGTGTGGTTTGCAACAGGGGTTAGAGCAGATTGGAATGGCTTCTTGGGATTGGAACTTAATATGGGCTGTGAAACAGAGGGTATTTCAGATTGGTGGGAGTGAGTGAACCAAGCCCAGAGTGGGGAGCTTGCATAGTTTGTATAGAAAAAGCAGAGGAGGAAGAAGAAGACAAACAAAAACAAACAAACAAAGAAAACACTGAGAATAGTGGTATATAGCAGCTGTGATGGTCTTTCCAGACAAAGTGATTAGTCATAACTCTGTGGTTTCATGACAAAAAAAACCCCAGCTCAAACTGACTCAATGCAAAAAGTGAATCAATTTTATCATGTAAATGACAATTACATGTGTAATGGGCTCAAGTGAAGCTGGATCCAGGTGCTCAAACAATGGTTCCAAGACCTTTTCTCTCTCTATCCCTTGGCTCTGCATTTCTTTGGATTGGCTTCATTCCCAGGAAGCCTCTTTCTTCACAGTGGCAAGATGATACCAGCAGACCTAGGGTTCCCTTCTACCAGTTAGACAACATTCATGGTAAAGCCTTCGTTTATCAACAGTTTTAACAAAGCTCCAAGATATCTGTCATGTTGGCCTGGCTGATTTTATTAGTCTATTCTTGAACCAGTTACTGAGACTAGGGTAGCCAATGTTCTCATCTGCCTGGCCTGTATCATATATATTTTTTTCAGCAGAACTAGGAAATGGGCTCATTGTCCTCTCTCCTAAGGCAAATGGATTGGAAGAAGGGAGAAAGTTTCTCCATTGAAAAATCGAATGCTGTTATGAGAAGAAGAGAACATGTTAACTGGGAAGGTCAACTAACAAACAATATGGATGTTTATTATATCACCTGATGCTAAGTGGGTAATTTGGTAAATTTAAAGGAGTGTCTCATTTGAAGAGATTCTTTTTGACTTAAGAGAAATTAATAATCTTGGGGTACATACTAACTTATAAATACGCTTAAGAGCCTTTTTTTTTTTAAATAGAATGACAATGTCTGTATTCTATCCTTGAGGTTAGTGGTGTTTCCTAGAAGGTAGAGAATCTTCAAATGCATGAATCTAAGACTGGCATCAAATACCTGGCTCACACCCAGACTGTCTGTTCACAAGTTGACATTGATTTGTTCATCTGGTATTTTATAAAACAGCATGAAAGTTGTCATAAAATTGGGAATTGAGTCATATCTGGAAGGCGAAAGAGAACTTCAGTCATTCTTTTTCATTTTCTGGTAGAGAGAGATTGATATGGGTTTTTGATCATAATTCAAGTAGGATGTGTCCTTGACAATGATTCAAGAGAAGTATCTAATTTGGAGCCCTTATTCTCTCATAAGTTATTTTTTTCATGTTCTCTGAATTATTTTGTCTTTTAGTAGATTTTTTTTTAAAATTTAATTTTATGTTCTTTTCATTTTATCTTGATTAAGCTTTGAAAGGCCTTTCTGAGAAACTTATTCTGGCTGATAATTAATTTTAAGGTATTCTTTCCTGGTTTGTAATAGCTTTTGTTATTGTGTAATTAAAAACAAAATTAAAATATTTCTACCCCCTCACTTTTGTGAAGCCTATAATCCAGCTCCTAGCAATGATTGGGATGTCACGGTCGGATGCAGGGCATGGAGACTTCACTATCTGTTGCCACTAAATTAAAACTCCAATAAAAGAAAACAAAGTAAATATTAAATCATTTCACGGAAACAATAAAATTTTTCATAAATGAATTCACTTATGAATTCAACACTCTTATGTTTAGCCTGTTTAGAGTTCTTGGACAAATGGGTATCAGGGTTAAGTTACTGTTTCCTAGGACAGCACTCACTACCCTCATGGGGCTTGCAGGACCCTACTGAAGTGAAATAGTGCCCAACTTTGAGCAAAGTAGAAAGCCCTAAAAGGAAACTACAAAAGAGGGTTTCTTCCCCTGACTCACTCTCAGATTTCCAGAAGGGTTGTAGGAGGTCGAATTCTAAAGATGGCTCCCCCAAGATTCCTGTGTCCCAGTTATTCAAGCAAACACTCATCTAGGTACTGCTGTGAAGGGATTTTGCATATGTAAAGTCCTGGGTCAGTTGACTTCAAGATGTGGAGATTATTTGGGTGGGTTTGGCCAACCAGGTGAGTCCTTCAAAATTAGAGAATTTTAACTGGCTAGTGGCAGAATGGGAAGTCAGATGTTCAAAAGTCTTCAAGAAAGACTCAACACACTGTGTCAATCCTGGTTTGAAGGTGGAGGGGGTCATGTGCAAGGACCAGCAAGTACCATGTAGTAGCTGACAGTACTTCCTGGCCAACAGTTAGCAGCAAAGAAAGGCGACCTCAGTCCTTAAACCACAACGAACTGATTTCTGCCAAAAGCCTGAATAAGCGTGCAAGTGGATTCTACACCAGAGCCTTCAGATAGGACTATAGCCTGGCCAGCAGCTTGACTTCAGCTTGGTGAGAACTTGAGTAGAGAACCCAGAGAGACCACCCCCTCACCCCCACCCCCACTAGGTTTTGCTACCTCCAGACTTAAAAAACCATGAGATAATAAATGGATGTTGTTTTTAGCAGCTAAGTTTGTAGTAGTTTGTTACACAGGATAGAAAACAAATTCAGGAGTTTAAAAGACAAGTACATAAGGTCAGGAAGTAATTGGGCACCAGGCCTTGGACATAGGTCTCTAAGACTTCAAGGTCAGCCTCTCAGAATGGTGGCCGTAGAACTATCTTTTAATGGTTCAGGCAACCAGAATGCAAATGATGTCACATACGTTTGTCTCAGTACTTATTCTGCAGCAGTCTTAAAAATGTACTATTTTTTTTCAATAAAGAGATAAAAGAAAAATTGAAACCTAATATACTCTGTTCAAGTAATCGAGCTCTCCCACCTGCCTTTAAATATTTTAGTGACACTATGCCCATGAGACCAAGAGCAGACTAGTGAGAAAAAGATAATATAAACTCTTGGATGCAAGTTTTATAATGGGAGCATTGTATCCATCTAATTCTTTTCATATCCCTGGTGAAAAATAATGAAAAAAAGAGAGGAAGACATTTATCAATTCCTGGAAACATTTTTGGTTGTCACAACTGAAGAGGGAGATGTTATTGGCATCTAGTGGATAGAGACCCAGATGCTGGTCAACATCCTGTAATTCACAGACAGCCTCTTCCCCCAGCCTGTACAACAAAAGATTATCTGGCTGACATTGTCAATATTGCTGAGGTTGATGGATCCTAAATAAAAGGACTTTTACTTCTCAGTGGGATGAACTTCTTTTCTCCTGCTTCCTTGTCATGGCCCCAGTTTTCATAGATAGCATGTTTTCATGATTTTCCAAAATATTTTATCATCTGCCTTGATTTCAATCTTGGGAACCCATATGATTTTTTAGATCATGTCCATTTCCTATGATATCCAACCCACTCATTCCCACGCTGGCTCTGAATACTCATAACAGCTAACACTGATGAGCACTGGCTCCATGCCAGGCACTACTGCACAATTGATAGCATCGCCTCATTGTGTCCTAATGGAAATTCTGCAACATAAATTCTATTGTCCCCATTCCACAGATGGAGAAACTTGAAGACTAGAGAATCTAGGTAATATTCCCAGCAGCATAAAGCTGGTGAGTGGCAGAGCTGTGCTCTGATTCCAAATCCCATGATTCTTGTAACAGTGCTTTCTGCTGCCTTCTTTGCTCATTGTGACTGTACTTGCTTCTACTTTTTGTTTTAGAAAATGCTTTAATGGTTTTTTCTTTTTGTGAATTTTTATTCTCATACTTTTAATATTGCTTGTCTATTAGTATTCCTTACTTTCTTTCCATTACTTCAAACCTGATGCCATTTACTCCTTACTATGGCATATCTCTGAAATATCTTATTGTTTTGCTACTTCCTTATCTAATCTAGTACAGGGGCAACCTAGCAAAGTAAAATGGTAAACTGGAGCAATTTATAACTCTCTATAGAGTGACCAGAATCATCTTTTCAAAAATATACATTTGATCATGTCTCACTATCTTGCATAAAACCCCTCAATGGCTCCCCATTTCTTAGGAGAAACCCCAATATCTTTTCTTTTCTTTCTTTTTTTTAATGGAGTCTCACTGTGTCGGCCAGGCTGGAGTGCAGTGGCACAATCTCAACTCAATGCAACCGCCGCCTGCCAGGTTCAAGCGATTCTCCTGCCTCAGCCTCTTGAGTAGCTGGGATTACAGGCACGTGCCACCACGCCCAGCTCATTTTTGTATTTTTAGTAGAGACAGGGTTTCACGATGTTGGTCAGGATGGTCTCAAACTTCTGACCTCGTGATCCACCCGCCTCGGCCTCCCAAAGTGCTGGGATTATAGGCATGAGCCACCGTGCCCAGCCTAAACCCCAGTATCTTTAATGTGACCCACAAGGCCCTGCACAATCTGGCTCACACTTCTCTCTCATAGTATGGGTAGGCCAGGCTGAAGGGATAGTTTCAAAAGTATATAATGATTCAACCACAACAGAAATTTATTTCTCACGCAGGCAACAGCCCTAACAGTGAGTTCAGGTTTCCTGGAAGTCCTGAGCTCCTTCCATCCTTTGGCTCCTCTTTACCCCGGGGTCTCATCATCATTTTTTTCCTGTCCGCTGAATGGGAAAGAATATGGAAAAAGAACAGCTGCTCCTTTAGAGTTAGGTCACTTCCTCCACATGCCATTGGGTGGAACTCTGCCACGTGGCCACATCTAACTGCAAGGGAAGCTGGGAAATGTAGTCTGGCCATGTGCCTACAGACTAGGAGGTCATGGGCTCTCATGGGCACATGGCAGTCTAAGTAATCTATGGTCACTCTTCTCTCTGTGCGCTAATTGTCCTTAAAGGCTCCATGTGTATTTTTTCACAGGGCCATTGCTATGAACCTATAGACAGAACCCACTGCCCTGATCTGGTCAACTGTTACTTTTCTTTGGCTATCAGTTCATGTGTCACTCCCCCAGGGAACACTTCCCTGATCGTTCCCCCAGACATACCTCACCAACTAGACTCTTCCTTGTTATATGCTATAATAAAACCTCATTTCCTCCATACCATCTATCTTCATTAAAAAGAATGCCCAGGCCGGGCGCGGTGGCTCACGCCTGTAATCCCAGCACTTTGGGAGGCCGAGGCGGGCGGATCACGAGGTCAGGAGATCGAGACCATCCTGGCTAACACGGTGAAACCCCGTCTCTACTAAAAATACAAAAAATTAGCCGGGCGTAGTGGCGGGCGCCTGTAGTCCCAGCTACTCGGGAGGCTGAGGCAGGAGAATGGCGTGAACCCGGGAGGCGGAGCTTGCAGTGAGCCGAGATCGCGCCACTGCACTCCAGCCTGGGCGACAGAGCGAGACTCCGTCTCAAAAAAAAAAAAAAAAAAAAAAAAAAAGAATGCCCACATTTATGTGATAGTTTTATTATTGTCTCCTTAACCATTAGACCATAAGCCCCAAGACAGAAGTGACTGTTTTGCTCATATTGTATTCCTAAGAATCTAGGCAATTTCTATAGCCACTTAATAAATATTTGTTATATAGATATATGTGTATATATATATATCTCTGTGTGTGTGTGTATATACATGTATGTACACATATATATATATGTATATTAGAATCCCATCAGTAGTTTCAAGCAATGATATATAAATTACACTCTTATTCTGGGACTGCTTTACAAACTGTCACTGAGTTTCTCTGGAGACAATTGAGAAGTGGAGTTGAAAATATTCCTTTCAACACATAAACAGATTTCTTTTTGTAGATCTCTCTCATTATGTTTCTTTACCCTCTTTCTGTTTATTTATTCATCAAACATATCCTGTGTCTACATCAGCCATTATAGTGGGTCCTGAGTATATGCAAATAAGCCACATTTTTAATTAAAGGATTCTGGATAGCAAATGAAATTGACACATATTCAACACACTAGACAATGCTATTATTCGTGATATAATAGAGGTATGAATGAAAGGCGACGTTTTGAGCATGGATGTTAGAAAGTAATTGTGTTCCTAGAAGAAATACTCCACATTGGCTTTGTCAACAGGCTCTAAGTCGGGGGGAAGAAAAGATGTTAATTATCTTATGTTGGCCACAAAGATTCTATTTTGCAGAGTGCTTTTAGATATGTTATCTCCTCTCATACTCCAACAAATTCAGGGCCAGGTAGGCCAAGTGATACTGATTATGCTTCAGTGACTAAAGAGAAGCTCAGTGAAATTACAAACTTTGTTGAGAAACTACAGGTGCTGGGGTATTTTGAGGAGCGGTTCATTCCTGTAGTGGCACTAGGACTGCCAGGCTGATGGAAACTTTCAATGTGTTCGGAGAAATGGTTATTTCTCAACTGCTCCAGACATAGATCAACATTTTAAAAACAGGCATGATCTTTCTAGCAGGATGCCAGCTGACCATCAGCCTAACTTCCAAATTGTGTTATATCTACTTGCCCATACATTTTTAGTCCATACATTTTATTAATTTTCTTTTAAAAATGTGTATTTTATAGTTTAAAATTATGTATACACAGTGAAAGAGTACAAAAGAATATAAAAGGGAAGTGAACTTTTCTCGATTTCCCCAGAAAACCAGTCCCTCAATCCTTTCCCTAGAGGTAATGACAAATTCTGCATCATTTACAAATATTGCATAAAACTTGTACATTGTTAAATACAAACAGGAGTGTACTATTGTCATGGTTCTGCTACTCGTGTTTTCTGCTTAATGTATCTTGGAGGTTTTTGTATTATAACTTGCAGGTTACCTTATTCTTTTTCACAGCTATAAGGTATAATCCTGTAGAAACTATTATTCAATAATATCCATGTATATAAAATACATAATAGGGATAACATAACATATATAATTAAATCATGTATGGAAGATTTATCCATAAAATTCACAATCTATATATCCAATTCATTAATAAGTATGGATCACTCACTTATCCATAAATAAATCCATTAAATCAGAGTGGAAAAACTACAGCCCAAGGGTCAAATCTGGCTTGCCATCCAGT
The DNA here is from genome assembly GCF_000001405.40 of Homo sapiens. Classification (NCBI taxonomy): domain Eukaryota; kingdom Metazoa; phylum Chordata; class Mammalia; order Primates; family Hominidae; genus Homo; species Homo sapiens. Next base: position 55,886,542 of record NC_000020.11, on the reverse strand, counting down.
TTTGTAAATATAATTATACGGAAACACAGGCACACCCATTTGTTTCTGTAATAGCAGAGTTGAAGAATTGTTAATGAGGCCAGATGGTACACAAACAAAGCCTAAAATATTTACTATCTGGCCTTACACAGTAAAAGTTTGCAAACCCTTGTACCTCATGTCCTTTATTATTAAATTATTTAAATCCTGTTTGTAAGAAATACATAAACCTTGTATGGATTGTTTATGTTTGTTTGCTTGTTCAACTATTTTATTACCAGGAGGTATGTAGGTTGTTTCCGGTCTTTTCTAATCAATGTTGCAACGAACATCCTTGTCCATATACTTTTGGACAAACAAAGGGCATGCTACACAACAAATACTTAGCGTTGGATTGCCAGAACCATCATTCTGTGCATTTTATATTTTTATAAATACTGCCAAGTTGCTTTCCAGAGAGTGTGCACCGATCTTCACTTACATAATAGGGCCTGAAAAATCCTGTTTCTTCCCATCCTCACCAAGTACTACATGTTGGTCTTTTTAAAAAAATTAAATTGGCTGGGCGCAGTGGCTCATGCCTGTAATCCCAGCACTTTGGGAGGCTGAGGCGGGCAGATCACGAGGTCAGGAGTTTGAGACCAGCCTGGCCAACACAGTGAAATCCCATCTCTAGGAAAAATACAAAAATTAGCCAGGTGCGATGGCACACACCTGTAGTCCCAGCTACTCGGAAGGCTGAGGCAGGAGAATTGCTTGAACCCGGGAGGTGGAGGTTGCAGTGAGCTATGATCGTGCCATTGCACTCCAGGATGGGTGACAGAGTTAGACTCCATCTCAAAAAAAAAAAAAAAAAATGAGTGGTGTTGAATACCTTTATGATTGTTTGTAAGTCATGTTATTCCTCCTACAAACACCATGTTAAAGTTATTTCTCATTTTTATAAATTGGGATGATCTTTATTTTTTGGTCACTAGAAGTCCAATGTGCTATCCATTGCGCCATGAAGCCACCTTGAGATGTTGTTTCTTTTAAATTAAGTGTTCTTGATAAAGTAGAGAAAGTAGTATTACATGAACTTTAAATACTTTTACCTTGTTAGTCATTTGTCTCTCCACAATAAAAGCAAACAGAAACATTTGAATACAGTAAGATTTATAATCTGTTTCTTAGAAAGATAGTCCTTATTTCAAGATTAGAAAGATCTTGCTTATAAAGATCTTTAATAGAAAGAAATGTTATTTTTTTAAACTCCCATGTTTTCTTCTAGTGCTTTTAAGGCTTTATATCATTGACCCATTTGAGATGATTTTTGGTGAAAGAAATAATGTAGAGATTCACTTTTTTTTTTTTAAATTTTTGTTTTTGAGACGGGGTCTCGCTCTGCCTCCCAGGCTGGAGTGCAGTGGCGCGATTTCTCACTGCAAGCTACACCTCCTGGGTTCATGCCATTCTCTCGCCTCAGCCTCCCGAATATCTGGGACTACAGGCACCAGATACCACTCCCGGCTAATTTTGTTTTTGTATTTTTAGCAAAGACAGGGTTTCACCCTGTTAGCCAGGATCGTCTCGATTTCCTGACCTCGTGATCTGCCCACGTTGGCTTCCCAAAGTGCTGGGATTACAGGCGTGAGCCACCGCCCCCCGGCCTGATTTTATTTTTAGAACACTTCTCAGGTGTCCCAAAGTCATTCATTGAATAATTTGTCTTTCCCCACTGATACAAAATGCAAGCTTTGTCATAAATTAAATCCCCATCTGTATTTGTCTGTTTTCTTCATTCAGTTTTGTCTCATTAATCTTTCCATTCCTGTGTCAAGCATTGTGCTAAGCAATTTACATTTATTATCTCATTAGATTACTCCAACTTCATAATGTTTTCTCTTTCAAGGTTAATCCTACCACCTACTTACATTGCCTTTTCAAAAAATTTTGTGTGTGTGTGTGTGTGATTATTTTTTCCTGAGACCTTAATTAATTGGCTTCCTTCCAAAAAAGAAAAAACCTACAACTCAATGAAATACACTTTTTGGAATTTTAATAAGGATCATACTACATTCACATACTAATTTAGGGAGAGTTGACTTCTTAGTAAGATTGAGTTATCTTAGCCAAAAGTGACAAATATCTTTTAATGTATCAATACTGTCTAAATCCTAGTAATTATGCTTTATAGGTATAGTAGTTTGCCTGGGCTGTAATAACAAAATACTACAAAACTGGTGGCTTAAACAACAATAATTTATTTTCTCACAGTTCTGAAGGCTGGAAGTCTGACATCAAGGTGTCAGGGCTGGTTTCTGGTCAGGCCTGTTTTCCTGGCTTGTAGATCGTCACCTTGTCCATCTGCACACACACAGTGGTCCTACTGTGTCCTCTATACATGTACTGAAACAGATCTCTGGGGTCTTTTCTTCTTCTTATAAGGACACTTCTCCTATTCATTAAGGTCCCACCCTTATAACCTCATTTGACTTTAGCCTTTTGAAAGTCCTATCTTTAAATGCAGTCAGTTGAGGGTTGAGACTTCAACAGGTGAATTTTAGGGATGAAAATTCAGTTCAATACAATATATTTTTAAGATACTATATATTTCTTATTGAATTTATGTGCTGATTTTAAAATATATATTTTCAATTTTGAAATAAAGTTTATTATCCCTTTATATATTCTAATTGTTTTTATATCTACATATGTCTTCAAAAATTATGTTATGAAATTATTCTTATATAACAAATATTTAACAAAATGTCTTTTTATTATCTTTACAACATCATGGGCTTTATAGCCATTGAGCACTAAATATGTTAGTTATCCTTCAGGTTATAAACCTCATTTGGGCATAGAATCATTCTTTTCATGTGCTAAGTTTTTGTTTCTTTTGTTTTTGTTAACATTTTAAGACTTTTCGCATCAGTGTTTATATGTCAGATTGTTCTTTTCTTGTGTTTTGTCAAGAATTAGTATCAATGATGTGGAGGCTTCAGAAAATGATTTTAGGTGTGTGTGTGTGTTGTTGAACATTTTAAACAAATTTAAAGATATCTGTTCATTGAATTAAGGGTCACTGAATTCCCTTGTAAATATCTCAGCCCCTAAGTATTAGAGAGTGAGAGGTAATGGGAGCGTCTTAGGTTGAGCTCCTGGGAAGCAGAGCCTGAAACAAGGGTTACTGTGAAAGTGATTTATTGAGGGATTGCTCCCAGGACAGATGAAGGGGAAGCACAAAGGAGCAGGAGAATCTAAGCAAGGATGTGGTTCCAGCAGGACTTGAGCCTCAGGCTAACCTCATGGGGAAGCTCTGGGGCATAAAAGGCTCCACAGGGTTGGTTTACTGGAGGCCAGGGACTGGGCACTCAAACCCCCATGTCAGCAGGGCATTGGCCACTGGCTTCTCCCCTAAACGGCTCAGCCTCTTCGGGGAATGGGGTGAAAGTGCAACCTCCTGGAAAGGCAGGAAGCTCTCAGTTGGCAGAGAGAGATTATCTGGAGAAAGGAGCATCTGTGAATCATTAACAGCCCCTGAGGCTTGGTGCTCAGGCCCGGTGAAGGACCCTAGCAGCACCAGCAGCAGCCACTTCTGGGTAAGAAGCTCTTTGACAACCAGAGGACATGGATTTCCTGTTTTCCTGAAGATGGTTTTCCTATCACAATATATGAAGCATATTCAATCAAACTCCTCTCAACAAATCCTTATTCTTTATACCAGTGATGACCATGAATTATTGCACTTTCTTAAAAATGGCTTTCAAACTTAGGAATATTTGCTATAAAACAAAGAATTAGGGTTTAGAGTAAAATGCTAAAATATCTTCACCTCTATGTCCCCGTTTCTTCCCTCAAATCACATTGATCTCCCTAGAAATGGCCACAGTGACCAAGTTGCCATGTGTGTATGTGTGTGTGTGTGTGTGTGTGTATGCATATGTAGGTATATGTACACTATGCATGTATATGCATATATATGTGTGTATATATATTTGCTATGCATTTGCATAACACTTATTTTTAGGAGAGCCAGGAAGTTGATTTAAAAAGGTGACCACACAGCCAGCATGATTGTCACATTTTTCTGATGTGAACTTTGATTCCTTTCTCTAGTGAGGAGTGATGAACTTTTTGGCTGCAGCTTAGTCTACATGTGAGAAATAAGAGTTCTGAAGTTTGAAAGAAAATGTGAATTAACAACAAGATTCTGTGAACTCTAGGACATTCAAAAGGGGAGTTAAGAGGATAGAAATGAACAGTGAATCTCTCAAGTGTCAGTGGCTGAAACGGTCTCTTTCAACTCATATACACCATGGAATACTATGCAGCCATAAAAAAGGATGAGTTCATGTCCTTTGTAGGGACATGGATGAAATTGGAAATCATCATTCTCAGTAAACGATCGCAAGAACAAAAAACCAAACACCGCATATTCTCACTCATAGGTGGGAATTGAACAATGAGAACACATGGACACAGGAAGGGGAACATCACACTCTGGGGACTGTTGTGGGGTGGGGGGAGGGGGGAAGGATAGCATTGGGAGATATACCTAATGCTAGATGACGAGTTAGTGGGTGCAGCGCACCAGCGTGGCACATGTATACATATGTAACTAACCTGCACAATGTGCACATGTACCCTAAAACTTAAAGTATAATAATAAAAGAAGAAAAAAGAAAAGTCATACTATTTAAAATCAATTTAATAACCTTTTCTTTATCATCCTCATTTTACTACATGAATCCAGTAAGCATTTTCTCAGTGTGTTCTTAGTGTCTCCTGAGGCAGGTTACTTAACAATATTTCTGAACCCTAGTTTCTTCACCTATCATTCGGGAACAATAATATGCCTTTTTATAAGATTGTTGTAGGTTTAAATGAGATGATGATTGTAAAGCACTTAGCATAATGTGTAGCATAAAGTAAACACCCAGTGAATTGTTGATTTGTTAAATGTTGTTTTCCTAGCCCACCAATTGCTTAGGGAAGTCTTTATACCTTACCATTTTCTCTTCTTAAATGTTAAGGGAGGCTACCAGATTTACATGGACAAACACCAACCTATCCTCCCCAAAAATAAAACATGAGAAAAATAAATGTCTGCTGTAACTCAAATGTTCCCGTGTCGTGCTGGCAGATCACTCAGGTCTTAGTGAAGCAATTTCTTCTTGTAAATGAATAACTCAGAATAGTCGACTCTTGCCTGGAGCTGTTCCTGTCTTTTAGATACATGAAAGATGAATATTGATTGAGAAATCACACAAAAACATGGCAAATGAAAAATCCTCACTGATTGTAGTCCAGCCAGTTACTTGAGAAAAAATAAACCAGTAAACAAATGCCTAAAGCAATTGAGCGGCATTTTCAATAGTTTTCTTTTTGTCTACTTGATCACCCGTTTTTGTAGTGGGAGTGCAGTGGGAGGCTGGGGAGGTGAGGGTTAATGTTCTTTCCTGCTTGTCCTTTCAATGGGCTACTTTGAATCAGGTGGCATGCTTGAAGGGGAAGGAAACATTTGTGGGGACAAATGCCCTTGCCACCCAATTCTAGCTTCTGCTAATCAGCAATCCCATCTGATCCTTTTGAGGATCTTTGAGGTGCATATTTTCTCAAAATTTTTAATTGTGTGTGCCCTCCTTGGGGAGATGCCAACAGAGAGGATTCTCCTGCTGCTTCTCATAGAAGAAACCCTCAGGGAAGCTTAGAATGAGAGGAGACACCTTTGGGTTTGGGGCAAGTGAAATGTGTTTCCTCCTCCTGGCCGCTCTGAAGGGAAAGCCACAAAAGAGCCCTAGGTGTCTCTTGGCAGTGCATCATTTGGAGAGACCCCAAAATGTACCTGAGGAGTATGCCAGTCATCACTCACTAAGGCTTTACATAGAGCTGGATGGCCTTGACTTGAATTACAATTGTGCATCCATTCTGTGCCTGGCTGCTAAACCTCGTAGCAGATCTTTTGATGTGTGTGTATTTTCCCAGCTTGGAGATTTTGCTGGCAAACTGCACGGTTGGCAGTAGGCGCAGCGCCAGCCCTCTGCAGAGCTGGCAGGGAATAGGGTAATGTACTCAGCACCCACAGAGCCCAAAGTCACTTGAAAGAGACAATGATGGCCTCTGGATGAAGTTGGCAAAAAGTTTAAAGGGATATAGGGTCTCAATCTTGGCCACATTTTTTGGTTTCAATTGCTGGTCCCAATAAATATTTAATCAGTTTTCAGTCTTAGAGATGAAAATAGTCTTCCCATCCATGTCGAGTAAGATGTGAAAAGATGCGGGGAGAGACCACGAAAAAGGGAAGAATAGAAGAATGCATATTTACAGACCCTCAGCAGTCAGATTTTCCAACCTCCTACTTGCTACAGAAATTCCCATTTAATAGACCCGAGAGTGCATTAGATTTTTCTGATTGCCTCCAGTGATTGCAGGCACAGTGTTTGCAAAGTCATCTCTAATTGTTAGCCAATGATTGTGTTCAACAACTTTTCATTGAGCTTCTCTTCTTTGCAAACATTCTTTTTTTTTTTTTTTTTTTTTTTCATGTAGTAATGTCTCTTCAGTCTTCTGGAAAAGAAACCACAGGCTACTTAGTTTTTTACCCTAGTAGCGTCCTTTGTTTACCACTACTCACTGCTTCTTCTTGGTTTTATGATTTCCTCAGTACATGAGTGTTTTTCAAAACAGAAAGTTGCATTTTTTTTTTCGCTTTATTCTCTGTGCCAAGTATAGGGCTGGTTATATTCACTAACCAATATCATAAAAGGAGCTAACAGTTGTAAGCAGTTATTATCTGTCATGCACGGTGCTAAGCACTTTACATAGATTCTTAAGTATCTTCAAAACAATTCTGTGAGGGAGATATTGTGATTATTTTCTATTTGCACACAAGAAAACTGAGATACATAGAGAGTAAGCAATGAGTTTAAGAACATATATCTGAGCCAGTAGGGAAGTTGTATGATTCTAGGACCTTATGCTTTTAACCAACCAACAAAATCTAACTGCCCAGAATCTGACAGCTTAAAAACGATGCGGTGTGTCTATGACTTGCTCAGTCCTGAGCAGTTTTGGTGGTTCTTACAACTAAGGTTAGCTGTACAATTTAAATTATTTATTTATTTTTGAATTACAGTCAGACCTCCATGTCTGTGGGTTCCACAGTTGTGAGTTCAGTTGACTGTGGATTGAAAATATTTAAAAAATTTGCATCTGTACTGAACATGTGCAGACTTTTTCTTGTCGTGATTCCCCAAACAATACAGTATAACAACGATTTACATTAACACTTACATTGTATTAGGTATTATAAGTAATCTAGAGATGACATAAAGCATATGGGAGAATATAGTTTATATGCAAATACTAGATATGTCATTTTATATCGGGAACTTGAGGATCGACAGATTTTTAGATACGAGGGAGAGCCTGGAACCAATTCCCCAAGGGTACCAAAGGATGACTGTATTTACTTTGAAATAATTTCAGACTTGGAAAATATTTGCAAAAATAATCCAAAGAATTACATACTTTCACCTGGTTCCCAAAGGTTTACATTTTTTAAAACCTCAGTAAAATTACAAAATAACTGTATAATGAATATTAATACAATACTATAATCTACAAATCTTATTCAACTTTTACAGATTATCCTACTAATGTCCTTTTTTCTAGTTCAAGATCCAACTCAGTATTACATGTCTCCTTCCTAGGTCCTTTTAATCTGGAACGGTTCCTCGGCTTTTCTTTCTTTTTTAGGACTGCCTTAGCTTCTTAGGGCTGCTGCAGCACATTGTCACAAACTTGGTAGGTTAAAACAACAGAAATTGATTCTCTCTCAGATCTGAAGGCCAGAAGAACAAAATTAGGGTGTCATCAGGGTGGCTTCTCCATGGAGGCTCTGAGGGAGAATCAGTTTCATGCCTCTCTTCCGGCTGGTTGCTGGCACTCCTTGGCTTGGGGCTCCAAAATTCCACTTTCTGCCTCTGTTCTTACATGGGTTTCTTCTATGTTCTTGTGTAGTCTCCCTTTTTAAAGACACCTGTTACTGGATTTAGGGCCCATCCTTAGGCAGAATGATCTTATTTTGAGATCCTTATCTCCATTACATCTGGAAAGATGTTTATTCCAGATAAAGTCACGTTTTGGGGTCTTGAGTTGGCATATATTTTGGGGGCCACAATTCAACCCACTACAATGGCCTTGATGCTTTTGAAGCATACTGACTAGCTATTTGTAGAATGTCTCTCAATTTGGGATGTTGTGGTGTTTGCCTGATACTCTCTCATGATGAGATTTAGGTTACATACTTTTAGGAAAATACTACAGAAGTACTCTTGTGTCTCCAGAGCTTTGAATCAGGAGGCACGTGGTGTGAATTTGTTTTATTACTGATGATATTAACTTTGAATATCTAGTTAAGGTAGTGTCCTGCAGGTTTCTCCACTGAAGTTACAATTTTGCTTTGCAATTTATATGTATCTTGTTACAAGATGCTTTGAGGCTATGTAAATATCCTGTACCTTCTCACTCTTTGTTGACTAATTTTTATTATTATTTTGCATTGAGATATAATCTACATACTATAGAATTCACTTTTTAATATATACAGTTCAGTGGCTTTTATTATATTCACAAGTTTGTACAACTGTCATCACTGTGTAATTCCAGAACATTTTCATCACCGCTTTTGAAACCCATATCCATCAGCCATCACACCCTATTATTACCTCTCCTCAGCTTCTAGTGACCAATAATTTACTTTCTGTCTTTCTGAGTTGTTCGTTCTGTTGCCCACTAATTTTAGCAACAATTGACAATTTTTACTTGCAACAATTATTGCTGTGGCATTTGCCAAATGGTGATATTTCTAAGCCATACACTTTTGAAGACTAAAAGTTATGGTGACCCATCCAAAGTGATTAAATTACATACGCTATTATTCCATGACTTGTATGCCCAGGATAGTCCTGTTGTCCATTGACATTTGTCATTTGTCTCAGACAAAAGCATCCTGTTTGGATGATAAATTATATGGTCATTCCACTTACTATCACTCAGGTTGTTTATGATAGTGTTTAACCAGGTAAATCCACTTCCGTAGCCCTATGTGGGTCTTGCACACGGAAAGATTTGTAGGGGACTTATCCCTTTCCTTCCCCCTCGGATATAAAAGAAATCATTGTTGTCCTGAACACATTCTCTTACACAATCAGGAAGCAAAATATTCTTTGCATTTCCATGTATTTTTTTTGTTCTGATTTGTGCATGACGTTATGGTGGTATTTCTCAGCAAACTACACCTGAGTCTACACCGTGTCAGACGACACACCCAGCTTATTTATATCATGTATTTATTTGTAATTGCGTGAGTGTACCTTCAGTTGTAGTAATATATTGTATATAGCAGGAATCCCAGACCCCCAGGCCGTGGACTAGTACTGGTTCGTAGCCTGTTAGGAACTGGGCCACATGGCAGGAAGTGAGTGGTGGGTGAGCGAACGTGACTGCCTGAGCACTGCCTCCTGTCAGATCAGCAACAGTATTAGATTCTCCTAGGAGTACAAACCCTATTGTGAATTGCACATGTGAGGGATCTAGGTTGCATGCTCCTTATGAGAATCTAACCTAATGCCTGATGATTTGAGGTGGAAGTTTCGTCCTGAAACCAATCCCCTCTAACCCTGGGTCTGTGGAAAAATTGTCTTCCCCAAAACTGATCTCTGGTGCCAAAAAGGTTGGGGACCGCTGGTATATAGTGAATAAAATTTCATGGCACACTTTGATGGTTCATGGCCCGGCACTTTTGTCATGTTGAAATCTACAGTTGTAGAAGAATGCAGACATTGATTGCTTTACATTTACTTTCAGCCATGTTCCCTGCATCCCTCAATGGCTCATAAGCATGCTTAAGTTTTGTTCTCATGAATCCCTGCTAAACTGGATCTCTAGATCTTATGTTGCTGCAGCTGATTTTTGAATATTAGGCAAAACAAGATTAATCATTTTAGTTCATGCCAACAATTCCAGATCTTGGAGATATATTTCGTTAGAGTTTTTGGCTTTGTGCATTCTATATGTTTACACATTCTTTAAGTTTGTTGAACAGTTCTGCTTAATTGCATTAGCTATTTTACACAGGTTATTTCATTGATATAAAGTTTCTTGCTCTGTGTCTGTTACTTTATCAAACAACAATGGCTAGGTAGGTTTTCATGAAATTTGGGAGCTTATTAGGGATAGCTGTACTTTTATTATGGGTTCTGTAGACTGGGGGAAGGGATCATTTTCAAGGGACTCTGGGAGATGACACCAGGGCAAGAAGAGTTGTCCTCCAGAGAAATACAAGGATTGGTTTGTAATGGATTGTGAAGTACTGCTTTGTATAAACCATGCAGTTCTTCATGTGTATTCAGGGTAAGAAGTAACACATAGATTCACTCCTTACTATTTTCAACAATGTTAGGTAGACCAATTAAATTTGATATAATAATAAAATGTCCCCTTATTGCAATACTAGGGCTAGGTATTGTTATTATCCATAGTTTATGGCTAAGGAAATTGAGTCTTAGAATGGTTAAACTGTATGATCAAAGTCACATGCTTACAATGTGGCATTGCAGAAATTCAGTATGGGATCAGTCAGATTCTAGAACCATTGATTTTAATCTTTATGGCTAAGTGTGTTAGTAACTAGGTTAGGCATGGGAGCTCATGCCTATAATCCCAGCACTTTGGGAGGTCGAGGAGAATGGACCACTTGAGGTCAAGAGTTCGAGACCAGCCTGGCCAACATGGTGAAACCCCGTCTCTACTAAAAATACAAAAATTAGCCAGGCACGGTAGCAGGCACCTGTGATCCCAGCTGCTCAGGAGGCTGAGGTAGGAGAATCACTTGAATTTGGTATGCGGATGTTGCAGTGAGCCAAGATTGCACCACTGCACTCCAGCCTGGGTGACAGAGTGAGACTCCAACTCAAGAAAGAAGAAAAGAACTATAGTAACTATATATAAAGTTTGCTCAGGGCAGTCCTGGTGTCCTGAACAAATGGCATTTATAATTTGTTCCAGGCAAAATAATCTCATTTGGATGATGATTGGTCACTGCAGTTATCACTCAGGTTGTTCTTAATAAGGTTAAAACCAATTTACCACTTCTGTGGCCCTATGTGGGTCTTGCTGAGAGGAATGATATGTAGGGGATCTATTAGGCTCAGTTTTATCAGACTTTTAGCCATATTTCATAGCTCAGAAATAGGATCCAAGCAAATAGGTGATGAGGGTTACTCATGGCTGGGCACTGGGCTCAGGAGAAATGGTAGGGGTTCAAGATTATGAGGATGTGCCATCATTGCAAACAGTTCACCAAGACCACTGGTTCTGGGGTTGGGAGGAGAGCAAAGTCACAATGGAAAAAGAGACTGAAACACTTGGAAAGTGTTCAAGGGTCTAGACGTCAAGATGTGTTTAAAGAACAGCATCAAAAGATTTGAGTGAATGGTAATGGGGAAAGATGAGTACTTGTGGACAGAATTATTTTGCATGTCAGCTCTCCTAGTGGGGGCAGTTTGCAATGTAGAGCGTGGTGATTTAATGTGTGGGCTTTGGGGGTGCACACAACTAGGTTTGAATCTTGGGGGTAGATGTGATTTTTACAATGGAGGGCATACTCATGATGAGTTATATTTGTATATTATTATAACTATCTTGAGTTACATCATCTTCCATGATAATCTGTTTTGGGGTTGTTCTGGAAGTGTATGTATTATTTGTGTTTAGTTTGAACTCAGTACCACACAGTTGGATAGCCTTGGTCTTGGTTATTGCTCTACAAGGCACCAACTTATTCTGAACTTGGCAAGGCTGCACTTGCTATCTTGGGAGCTGTGCCCATTCACACCGTGTCAGCAAACTCCACTCAAAGAACACAATACTTCAAAAAACCCCACAATGCCAGTGCCTCACTAAACACCTTCCCTATGGAGTACAGAAACAACTCATGCTTGTCTGGATGGGCAGGCAGCAGAGAAAGTCAAACGGGCTTAGAAATATTAGCGTAATTCATGCAACAAAACTTTTTATGTTCTAAAATAGAATCATAAATCTCTTTTAATTATTCCTATGCGAATGTTGAAAGGCTCCAACACTCCTATAATGGATGGGAGTCCATAATGACTCGTGTCCTATTCAAGTTTAATGGAGAAGAAATAAACACACAGAAACACTTACACAACCTGGAATTTTTGAGAGCTGATTACAGTATGGAGATAAAAGGTGTTGGTGGAACACATAGGCCTTTTAGAGTATATTCACCATAGTCCACTCTAAAGGTTTAATAATGAGATAATTATTTATATTTAATGATTCTCAATTATTTATGGACTTTGCCTCACTAACTCCTACCATTAAGTTATTTCACTATTTGCTGTCATTAGATTGTGAGGAGGGAAAGTAGCTGACAATCATACCTGCATTTTGCTCTTTTGTTTTTGTATAGCACATTTACACATTTCAAATTGCTTTGAGACTCATACTAATTATTCCTCTCAACACTCTTGGTAACAAATTAGCTTTTATGGGATTGCTGAAACCAAATGACTTATTCCATAGCAGCTAAGTTAAAGAAATAGGATGAAAACCTGGTCATTTAATTCTTAAAACGAATCAGTTTTCTTTCACTTGTCAGTGAATGACCAAAGCTCAAGACTCAGGCTCTTTTAGCCATCTTTAAGCTCTTCTCACCTCTGCGTTGGCTCCATTTCCAAGCAGGCTGTCCCTTGTGGTGACATGATGGCACCAACAGCTCTAGGCCTGCATCATAACTTCTTGGAAAATCTAGAGGGTAAAATGGTGCTTTTCTTCTTGGTCTTTCTAGCAAAATTCTTAGGGTCAGATTTGATCGAGTCACATGGTCATCTCTGAGCCAATCATAGTGGCCAAGAGAATGCAATGTTCTGATTGGACAGGACTGTACCCCATGGAATCCTGGGCGCTGGCAAGGGAGAAAATTCACCTGGACTTGTGGACCTGCAGCCTGAAAGCTGGGCAGACGTGGATTCCCAAGGAATGTTAGGAAGCTGTCATCAAAAGACGGGAGGGTGAGTGCTGGTCAGGCAGATCACAACCGTCCACTCTACTAGGTCAGTGAGTGGCAGACGGTGTATTTGAATTCACCATCTCCAATAATCTGTGGAGGAGATTGTAAGGATCACCTGAGCTGAAAACAACTCACTTCATATTTCCCAAAGGTTTCCCCTAGTCACCATCTGTATTCGTTTCACTGTAGTCCTTATAGTTTTAAAGATATTTTTCAAACAAATTACACTTTTTTAAGTAGTAATTGATTTTCTTGTTTCTATTAAGACTTATTGACCAATATAGTTTGAACCACACAGAGTGACTATAAAGTAACCCAAATGGGGAAGTTATATAACATCATCAGCAATGCAATATTATACTTCTATGCAAAGTTTCTGAAAATATTTTTGAAATATTGAAAGTAGTTCACTAAACCCAAGGATCTATTGGACATCTAGGAATGCAGTGCCCCGACTAGATAAAGTAAGAATCTTGGAGTCTTTCTGTACCTGTTGACTCTATCTCCAAAGCTTATTATAATTTCATTCTTACATAGTTCTGATGAAACATTTGGTGGACAAAGGAGGTTGAGAGTATTGGTATAGATATTGTTTGAGGACCTGAGTTGATTTTGACTATCCAACCTTTCTCTTTTCTCGTTATAAATAAGCTAGTAAATTGTTCAGATGGACCATAAAGGTGGGTCTCCTAGGGAGAATATTTAGGCTGCCTGGGGCTCAGGATTAAGTGATAAAGGGAAAAGGGAAAGGAAAGCTGTGGGTGGTAGCACTCCCCAGGTAACTTGCATTTTTACCAGATGTCAGAAAACCCTTTCAGCTCTACCTTGAAAATAGATTCCAGTGTCAATCATCTCTTCTTGGATGAAGGTCCTAGCAATCTTAGTTTGTTCCCTAAATTATTGTAGTAATTCTCCAACTGTCCCACTGCTCCTTGACTTGCCCCACAACCCAACCCCACAATGTCTTCTAATCTCACAACCAGAATGATTCTTGTACAATGCACCTACAGACCCACCACATTCAACTGCCCTGACCCATGCCATCATTACCTTTCACCTGGGCTATTAGAAGAGCCTCCTATCTGATCTCCCTCATTCTGCGTTTGCTCTCTGCAATCTAATCTCAGCAGCAGCCTGAGTAGTCCTCTTCAACATAAGTTCCATCATGTCATTTCATTGTTGTTGAAAACCTCTTCAGGGACTCATTTGAGGTAAAAGCCAGAATCTTTACGACAGCCCAGTTTGCCTGATATGTGTCTGCTTCCTTTGACAGTCACTTCTGACTTCACTCCCTGCTACATTCCTCCTCCTGACTCCACTCAGCTGCACTGTTCTCCTGATGTCACTCCAATGTGCTGGTTGTGTACCTGCCTCGGAATTTCACTTGCTGTTTCCTCTGCCGGGAATGCATTTTCCTCAGATACACACATGGCTTGCCCCACTTCTCCTTTATATATATATATATACACACACACACACATTATATATATGCATACACATTTTATATATATTATATATATATACATTTTATATATATACATGTATTTATATACATATATGTTTATATGTATGTATATGTATATATGTGTGTGTATATGCATGTGTATACACACATATATATATATAATTTCAACTTTTATTGCAGATTCAGGGGGCACATGTGCCCCCTGAATACAGGAGTTACATGGGTATACTGTGTGATGCTGAGGTTTGGGGTATGAGTGATCCAGTCCACGCAGGTAGTGAGTATAGTACCCAAAAGTTTATTCAGTCCTTGCCCCCATCTCTCCCCTCACAATAGTCCCCAGTGTTTACTGTTGCCATCTTTATGTTCATGAGTAGCAGGTATTTAGCTCCCACTTATAAGTGAGACCATATGACCATACAGTACTTGGTTTTCTGCTCCTGCATTACTTGACTTAGGATAAGGGCCTCCAGCTGCATTTATGTTGCTACAAAGGACATTCTTTTGTTCTTTTTTATGGCTGTATAGGATTTGATGGTGTATATATACCACATTTTAAAAATTCAATCTACCATTAGTAGGCCCCTAGGTTGATTCCTTGGTTTTGCTATTGTGAATAGTGCTGCAATGAACATACAAGTATATGTGTCTTTTTGGAAGAATGATTTATTTTCTTTTGGACATATACATAGTAATGAGATTACTGGGTCAAATGTTAGTTCTTTTTTAGGTTCTCTGAGAAATCTTCAAACTGCTTTCTACAGTGGCTGAACTAATTTACCTTTTCACCAACAGCATATAAGTGTTCCTTTTTCTCTGCAGCTTCATCAACATCTGTTGTTTTCTGGTCTTTTTAGTAGCAGCCATTCTGACTGGTGTGAGACAATATTTCCCTGTGGTTTTGATTTGCATTTTCTCATATGTTTGTTGGCCATTTGTATGTCTTCTTTTGAGAAGTGTCTGTTTCTGTGTTTTGCCCAGTTTTTTAAATGGGATTATTTGGTTTTGCTTGTTCAGTTCTTTAAATTCCTTGTAGATTCTGGGTATTTAACCTTTGTCATATGCATAGTTTGGAAATATTTTCTCCTATTCTGTAGGTCGTCTGATTACCCTGTTGATTATTTCTTTTGCTGAACAGAAGCAAAATTTAATTATGTTCTACTTATCAATTTTTTGTTTTTGTTGCAATTGCTTTCAAGGAGTTAGTCATAAATTCTTTCCCAAGGTTAGTGTGCAGTGTGATGTCCCCTGGGTGTTCTTCTAGGATTTTTATAAGCTTGAGGTCTGACATTTAAATCTATAATCCACATTTAGTTAATTTTGGTATATGGCAAATGGTAGAGGTCCAGTTACATTCTTCTGCATATGGTTAGTCAGCTATCTCAGTACGATTTATTGAATAGGGAGTCTTTTCCTCATTGCTTATTTTTGTTGACTTTGCTGAAGATCAGATAGCTGGAGGTATGCAGCTTTATTTGTGTTTTTTAAAATTCTGTTCTATTGGTTTTAAAATTCTGTTCTATTGGTATCTGTTCTTGTACCAGTACCATGCTGTTATGGTTACTGTAGCCTTATACTATAGTTTGAAGTCAGGTAATGTAATGCCTCTGAGTTTATTCTTTTTGCTTAGGATTGCTTTGGCCATTTGGGATCTTTTTTGGTTAGATATAAATTTCAGAATAGTTTTTCCTAGTTTTGTGAAAGATGATGTTGCCACTTTGATGTAAATATCAAATTGGTAGATTGTTTGGGACAGTATGGCCATTTTAATGGTATTGATTCTTCCAATTGATGAGCATGGAATGTTTGTCTATTTGTGTCATCTATGATTTCTTTTAGCAATGTTTTCTAGTTCTCCTTGTAGAGATCTTTCACCTGCTTGGTTGGATGTATTTCTAAGTATTTTATTGCATTTGTTATTATTGTAAATGGGATTGCATTCCTGATTTGGCTCTCAGCTTGAACATTATTGATGTACAGAAATGCTACTGATTTTTGGAGATTGATTTTGTATCTTGAAACCTTACTGAAGTTGTTGATCAGCTCCTTGAGCCTTTTAATTGAGTATTTAGGGTTCTCCAGGTATAAAATTTTATTATCAGAGACAAGAGCTACTTTGACTTCTTTTTTTCATTTTGGATGCGCTTTATTTCTTTCTCTGGCTAGGACTTCTAGTACTATGGTGAATAGGTGGTAAGTATGGGCATCCTTGGCATGTTCCAGTTCTCAAGAGGAATGCTTCCGGCTTTTGCCTCCTCCGTATGATGTTGGTTGTGAGTTTGTCATAGATGGCTCCTATTATTTTGAGGTATGTTCTTTTGCTGCCCAGTTTGTTGAAGGTTTATAACAGGAGAGGATGTTGGGTTTCCTTGAAGGTTTTTCCTGCATCTGTTGAGAAGATGATATGGTTTTTGTTTTTATTTCTCTTTATGTGGTGAATCACTTTTATTAATTTGCATCTGTTGAACCAACCTTGCATCCTAGGGATGAAACCTACCTGATTGTGGTGAATTAACTTTTTGATGTGCTGCTGGATTAAGTTTGCTAGTATTTTGTTGAGGATTTTTGAGTCTGTGTTCATCAGGGATATTGGCCTGAGGTTTTATTTTGTTCGTTGTATCTCTGCCAGGTTCTTGGCGTTAGGGTGACGCTACCTTCACAGAATGAGTTATGGAGGAGTCCCTCTTCCTTACTTTTTTGAAATAGTTTCAGTAGGATTGGTACTAGCTTTTCTTTGTAGGTCTGATAAAATTCAGCTATAAATCTGATATGGTTTGGGTCTGTTCCTCTGCCCAAATCTCATGTCAAATTCTAATCTCCAATGTTGGAGATAGGGCCTGGTAGGAGGTGATTGAATCATGGGGGCAGATTTCCCTTTGGTTCTGTTCTTGTGATAGTGAGTGAGTTATTGTGAGATCTGGTTGTTTAAACATGTGTAGCACCTCCTGCCTCACTTCTTCCTCCTCTGGCCATGTGAAGAAGTGCCTGCTTCCCCTTCACCTTCCACCATGATTGTAAGTTTCCTGAGGCCTCCCCAGTCATGCTTCCTTACAGCCTGTGGAATCATGAGCCAGTTAAACCTCTTTTCTTTATAAATTATTCCATCTCAGGTATTTCTTTATAGAAGTGCAAGAACAGACTAAGACAGAATCCATCTGGTCTGGGCTTTTATGGTTGGTAGGTTTTTATTAATGATTCAATTTCAAAACTTGATATTGGCCTGTCTGGGGTTTCAATTTATTCCTGATTTTACCTTGGGAGGTTGTGTGTTTCCAGAAATTCATCCATTTCCTCTAGATTTTCTAGTTTGAGTGTATAGAGGTGTTCATAGTAGTCTCTGAGGATCTTTTGTATTTCTGTGGGATTGGTTGTAATGTCATTTTTGCCATTTCTAATTGTGCTTATTTGGATCTCTCTCTCTCTTTTTTTTTTTGTTAATCTAGCTAGTGATCTATCAATCTTGTTTTTCCTTTCAAAGAAACAACTTTTTCTTTCATCGATTGTGTAGATTTTTGGGTCTCAATTCCGTTCAGTTCCACTCCAATTTTACTTATTTTATTTGTTCTCCTAGCCTTGGATTTTATTTGTTCTTGTTTTTCTAGTTCCTCTAAGTGTAATATTAGGTTGTTAGTTTGAGATCTTTCTAACTTTTTCACATAAGGATGTCGTGCTGTAAACTTTCCTTTTTTCCCCTGGTTTTTCTGCATCCCAGAGACTTTGCTATGGTGTGTCTCTGTTTTCATTTATTTCAAAGATTTTTTTAAAATTTCTGCCTTAATTTTTTTGTTTATCCAAAAGTTAATTAGAAGCAAGTTGTTTAATTTTCATGTAGTTGTGTGGTTTTGAGAGGACTGGGGTACTGATTTTTTTTCTTTTTATCCCACTGTGGTCCAAGAGTGTGGTTGGTATGGTTTTGATTTTTTTGAGTTGATTGAGACTTGCTTTATGGGTGAGCCTGTGGTCAATCTTGGAGTATGTTCTGTGTGCAGATGAGAGAGTGTATTATTCTGTGGTTGATAGGGGGAGTATTCCATAGATGCCTTTTAAGTCCAGTTGGTTAAGTGTTGAATTCAAGTCTAGAATTTCCTTGTTAGTTTTCTGCCTCTGTTTAATGCTGTCAGTGGTGTGTTGAAGTCTCTCAGTATTATTGCATGGCTGTATAAATCTTTTTTAGGTCTTAAAGTAGTTGTTTTATGAATCTGAGTGCTGCACTGTTAAGTGAATATATATTTAGAATAGTTAAGTCATCTTGTTGGATTGAACCTGTTATGATGTAATGTTCTTCTTTGTCCTTTTTTTAACTATTGTTCGTTTAAAGTCTGTTTTTATCTGATATAGGAATAGTGATCCCAGCTCTTTTTAGTTTTTTGTTTGCATGATAGATCTTTTTAACCCTTTATTTTGAGCCTATGGGTGTTGTTACATGTAAGATTGGTCTTTTGAAGACAAAAGATGGATGAGCCTTTTTAAAAAATCCAGTTTGCATCTCTGCGCCTTTTAAGTGGGGGTGTTTAGACAATTTACATTCAATATTAATATTGATATTTGAGGTTAATATTTGGTATTGAGATTTTTGATTCTATTTTTAGCTATTCTGTAGTTTCTATCGTGTGGTTGTTTTATAACATCTTCGGGCTATATACTTAAGTGTCTTTTTGGTAGTAGGTATTCTTTTGTTTCAATGTTTAGAACTCCCTTAAGAATCTCTTGTAAAGCTGGTCTAGTGGTAACAAATTTCCTTAGCGCTTTCTTTTCTGGAAAAAATTTTATTTCTTCTCCACTTATGAAGCTTAGTTTGGCAGGATATGAAATACTTGGTTGGAATTTCTTTTCTTTAAGATTGCTGAAAACAGGCTCCCAATCCTCTCCTGGCTTGTAAGATTTCTGCTGAGAAGTCTGCTATTAACCTGATCTGGTTCCCTTTGTATATGATCTGGCCTTTTTCTCTGGCTGCCATTCTGGTGACTATATGCCTTGAGGACGTTCATTTTGTATAGTTTCTCTGGATTTCTTGTATCTGGATGTCTACCTCTCTGTCAAAATTAGGGAAATTTTCTTGAATTATTCCCTGACCTATGTTTTTCAGGTTATTTACTTTTTCTTCTTCTCTCAGGAGTGCCAGTAATTTGTAGGTTTGATCACTTTACATAATCCCATATTTCTTGAATACTTTGTTCATTTTTCTTAATTCTTTTTTCTTTATCTTGTCTAAGTTAGTTCAAAAGACCAGTCTTCAAGGTCTAAAATTCTTTCTTCTATTTGATCTAGTCAAATAGAAGATATAAGCAAATATAAGCTTTCAATTATATTTTGAAATTTAAATGAGTTTTTAAATTCCAGAAGCTCTGATTGATTTCTTTTTAAAATTTTTATCTCTTCCTTCAATTCCTGGATTGAAGGAAGCTTTAGAAGTTTCTTTGTGTTGATTTTCAACCTTCTCTTGGATCTCATTGAGTTTCCTTGCAATCCATGCCTTAACTTCTTTATCTGCCATTTCTGAGTTTACATTTTGGTCAGGGATCATTGGTGGAGAGCTAGTGTGATCCTTTGGTAGTGTCACCACAAGCAGAATTTTTATGGTGTCATAGTTCTCATGCTGGTTCTTTCTCATCTGGAGACAGTGGCAATTCTTTTTTTTTCTTTTTTTAATTATACTTTAAGTTTTTGTTTGTTACATATATATACATAATTTTCATAATTATTTTCATGCAAGTAAGATTTTTTTCTTTCCCTATAATATTATTGTATTTATTTTCCTTTGACTCTACCCCTCCCTAGGGGGTGTTACTATAGAGAATGTTGGGTAGAGTTTCTGACTTTGCCTCTATAACCCTACGTACTTCTTTTAGCAGGTTTTTTATTGGGCTGTGCAGTTCAACCTATAAGTCAATAGGTGATGCTTATGGGTAAGAGCCAGCTGCAGCCAATGTGGCTGGGTATATACTTGATTATTTTTTACCAGGAGAATCTCTCTGTTGCCTCAGACAATGGGCCAATCCATAGAGTGAACAGTAGTCTGAGCTCCCTGCTCAGCACTGGGGGTTATGAAGCAGGATGGGTGGGGCCAGTCTTGGCAGGCCCACCTACAGGTCCCCAGAGGCAGGCATAAGCACCATTGTCAAGGGAGAATTCAGTGGGTGAGATGTGCCTAGTTGTGAAGCTGGGAAACCTCCTCAGTCCCTAGTGATCTGCATGGGTGGAGTAGGGGTCGGGGCAACCTAAACTCCTAATCCAGGAGAGTGGTTGTTGCAGATGCCTGGAGACCTGACTAGGCATGGAGTGTAGAAGGCTCCACATCACCACAATCTCTGCACAGGAAGGGTGCTACCCCTCCTTTTAGATCTTTGTCCAAATGTCCACTTTTCAATGAAGCCTCCTATGACTATCATATTAGTTTCTTCTGGCTGCTGTAACAAATCGCTACAAACTTAGTGACCTGAAACACCACAAATTTATTTATTTATTTTTTTTTTTTGTTTTTTTTTTTTCTTTTTTCTTTTTTTTTTTTTATTATACTCTAAGTTTTAGGGTACATGTGCACATTGTGCAGGTTAGTTACATATGTATACATGTGCCATGCTGGTGCGCTGCACCCACTAATGTGTCATCTAGCATTAGGTATATCTCCCAATGCTATCCCTCCCCCCTCCCCCGACCCCACCACAGTCCCCAGAGTGTGATATTCCCCTTCCTGTGTCCATGTGATCTCATTGTTCAATTCCCACCTATGAGTGAGAATATGCGGTGTTTGGTTTTTTGTTCTTGCGATAGTTTACTGAGAATGATGGTTTCCAATTTCATCCGTGTCCCTACAAAGGATATGAACTCATCATTTTTTATGGCTGCATAGTATTCCATGGTGTATATGTGCCACATTTTCTTAATCCAGTCTATCATTGTTGGACATTTGGGTTGGTTCCAAGTCTTTGCTATTGTGAATAGTGCCGCAATAAACATATGTGTGCATGTGTCTTTATAGCAGCATGATTTATAGTCCTTTGGGTATATACCCAGTAATGGGATGGCTGGGTCAAATGGTATTTCTAGTTCTAGATCCCTGAGGAATCGCCACACTGACTTCCACAATGGTTGAACTAGTTTACAGTCCCACCAACAGTGTAAAAGTGTTCCTATTTCTCCACATCCTCTCCAGCACCTGTTGTTTCCTGACTTTTTAATGATTGCCATTCTAACTGGTGTGAGATGATATCTCATAGTGGTTTTGATTTGCATTTCTCTGATGGCCAGTGAGGATGAGCATTTCTTCATGTGTTTTTTGGCTGCATAAATGTCTTCTTTTGAGAAGTGTCTGTTCATGTCCTTCGCCCACTTTTTGATGGGGTTGTTTGTTTTTTTCTTGTAAATTTGTTTGAGTTCATTGTAGATTCTGGATATTAGCCCTTTGTCAGATGAGTAGGTTGCGAAAATTTTCTCCCATGTTGTAGGTTGCCTGTTCACTCTGATGGTAGTTTCTTTTGCTGTCATGAAGTCCTTGCCCACGCCTATGTCCTGAATGGTAATGCCTAGGTTTTCTTCTAGGGTTTTTATGGTTTTAGGTCTAATGTTTAAATCTTTAATCCATCTTGAATTGATTTTTGTATAAGGTGTAAGGAAGGGATCCAGTTTCAGCTTTCTACATATGGCTAGCCAGTTTTCCCAGCACCATTTATTAAATAGGGAATCCTTTCCCCATTGCTTGTTTTTCTCAGGTTTGTCAAAGATCAGATAGTTGTAGATATGCGGCATTATTTCTGAGGGCTCTGTTCTGTTCCATTGATCTATATCTCTGTTTTGGTACCAGTACCATGCTGTTTTGGTTACTGTAGCCTTGTAGTATAGTTTGAAGTCAGGTAGTGTGATGCCTCCAGCTTTGTTCTTTTGGCTTAGGATTGACTTGGCGATGCGGGCTCTTTTTTGGTTCCATATGAACTTTAAAGTAGTTTTTTCCAATTCTGTGAAGAAAGTCATTGGTAGCTTGATGGGGATGGCATTGAATCTGTAAATTACCTTGGGCAGTATGGCCATTTTCACGATATTGATTCTTCCTACCCATGAGCATGGAATGTTCTTCCATTTGTTTGTGTCCTCTTTTATTTCCTTGAGCAGTGGTTTGTAGTTCTCCTTGAAGAGGTCCTTCACATCCCTTGTAAGTTGGATTCCTAGGTATTTTATTCTCTTTGAAGCAATTGTGAATGGGAGTTCACCCATGATTTGGCTCTCTGTTTGTCTGTTGTTGGTGTATAAGAATGCTTGTGATTTTTGTACATTGATTTTGTATCCTGAGACTTTGCTGAAGTTGCTTATCAGCTTAAGGAGATTTTGGGCTGAGACGATGGGGTTTTCTAGATAAACAATCATGTCATCTGCAAACAGGGACAATTTGACTTCCTCTTTTCCTAATTGAATACCCTTTATTTCCTTCTCCTGCCTGATTGCCCTGGCCAGAACTTCCAACACTATGTTGAATAGGAGTGGTGAGAGAGGGCATCCCTGTCTTGTGCCAGTTTTCAAAGGGAATGCTTCCAGTTTTTGCCCATTCAGTATGATATTGGCTGTGGGTTTGTCATAGATAGCTCTTATTATTTTGAAATACGTCCCATCAATACCTAATTTATTGAGAGTTTTTAGCATGAAGGGTTGTTGAATTTTGTCAAAGGCTTTTTCTGCATCTATTGAGATAATCATGTGGTTTTTGTCTTTGGCTCTGTTTATATGCTGGATTACATTTATTGATTTGCGTATATTGAACCAGCCTTGCATCCCAGGGATGAAGCCCACTTGATCATGGTGGATAAGCTTTTTGATGTGCTGCTGAATTCGGTTTGCCAGTATTTTATTGAGGATTTTTGCATCAATGTTCATCAAGGATATTGGTCTAAAATTCTCTTTTTTGGTTGTGTCTCTGCCCGGCTTTGGTATCAGAATGATGCTGGCCTCATAAAATGAGTTAGGGAGGATTCCCTCTTTTTCTATTGATTGGAATAGTTTCAGAAGGAATGGTACCAGTTCCTCCTTGTACCTCTGGTAGAATTCGGCTGTGAATCTATCTGGTCCTGGACTCTTTTTGGTTGGTAAACTATTGATTATTGCCACAATTTCAGAGCCTGTTATTGGTCTATTCAGAGATTCAACTTCTTCCTGGTTTAGTCTTGGGAGAGTGTATGTGTCGAGGAATGTATCCATTTCTTCTAGATTTTCTAGTTTATTTGCGTAGAGGTGTTTGTAGTATTCTCTGATGGTAGTTTGTATTTCTGTGGGATCGGTGGTGATATCCCCTTTATCATTTTTTATTGTGTCTATTTGATTCTTCTCTCTTTTTTTCTTTATTAGTCTTGCTAGCGGTCTATCAATTTTGTTGATCCTTTCAAAAAACCAGCTCCTGGATTCATTGATTTTTTGAAGGGTTTTTTGTGTCACTATTTCCTTCAGTTCTGCTCTGATTTTAGTTATTTCTTGCCTTCTGCTAGCTTTTGAATGTGTTTGCTCTTGCTTTTCTAGTTCTTTTAATTGTGATGTTAGGGTGTCAATTTTGGATCTTTCCTGCTTTCTCTTGTAGGCATTTAGTGCTATAAATTTCCCTCTACACACTGCTTTGAATGCGTCCCAGAGATTCTGGTATGTGGTGTCTTTGTTCTCGTTGGTTTCAAAGAACATCTTTATTTCTGCCTTCATTTCGTTATGTACCCAGTAGTCATTCAGGAGCAGGTTGTTCAGTTTCCATGTAGTTGAGCGGCTTTGAGTGAGATTCTTAATCCTGAGTTCTAGTTTGATTGCACTGTGGTCTGAGAGATAGTTTGTTATAATTTCTGTTCTTTTACATTTGCTAAGGAGAGCTTTACTTCCAACTATGTGGTCAATTTTGGAATAGGTGTGGTGTGGTGCTGAAAAAAATGTATATTCTGTTGATTTGGGGTGGAGAGTTCTGTAGATGTCTATTAGGTCTGCTTGGTGCAGAGCTGAGTTCAATTCCTGGGTATCCTTGTTGACTTTCTGTCTCGTTGATCTGTCTAATGTTGACAGTGGGGTGTTAAAGTCTCCCATTATTAATGTGTGGGAGTCTAAGTCTCTTTTTAGGTCACTGAGGACTTGCTTTATGAATCTGGGTGCTCCTGTATTGGGTGCATAAATATTTAGGATAGTTAGCTCCTCTCGTTGAATTGATCCCTTTACCATTATGTAATGGCCTTCTTTGTCTCTTTTGATCTTTGTTGGTTTTAAAGTCTGTTTTATCAGAGACTAGGATTGCAACCCCTGCCTTTTTTTGTTTTCCATTGGCTTGGTAGATCTTCCTCCATCCTTTTATTTTGAGCCTATGTGTGTCTCTGCACGTGAGATGGGTTTCCTGAATACAGCACACTGATGGGTCTTGACTCTTTATCCAACTTGCCAGTCTGTGTCTTTTAATTGCAGAATTTAGTCCATTTATATTTAAAGTTAATATTGTTATGTGTGAATTTGATCCTGTCATTATGATGTTAGCTGGTGATTTTGCTCATTAGTTGATGCAGTTTCTTCCTAGTCTCGATGGTCTTTACATTTTGGCATGATTTTGCAGCGGCTGGTACCGGTTGTTCCTTTCCATGTTTAGCGCTTCCTTCAGGAGCTCCTTTAGGGCAGGCCTGGTGGTGACAAAATCTCTCAGCATTTGCTTGTCTATAAAATATTTTATTTCTCCTTCACTTATGAAGCTTAGTTTGGCTGGATATGAAATTCTGGGTTGAAAATTCTTTTCTTTAAGAATGTTGAATATTGGCCCCCACTCTCTTCTGGCTTGTAGGGTTTCTGCCGAGAGATCCGCTGTTAGTCTGATGGGCTTTCCTTTGAGGGTAACCCGACCTTTCTCTCTGGCTGCCCTTAACATTTTTTCCTTCATTTCAACTTTGGTGAATCTGACAATTATGTGTCTTGGAGTTGCTCTTCTCGAGGAGTATCTTTGTGGTGTTCTCTGTATTTCCTGAATCTGAACGTTGGCCTGCCTTGCTAGATTGGGGAAGTTCTCCTGGATAATATCCTGCAGAGTGTTTTCCAACTTGGTTCCATTCTCCACATCACTTTCAGGTACACCAATCAGACGTAGATTTGGTCTTTTCACATAGTCCCATATTTCTTGGAGGTTTTGCTCATTTCTTTTTATTCTTTTTTCTCTAAACTTCCCTTCTCGCTTCATTTCATTCATTTCATCTTCCATTGCTGATACCCTTTCTTCCAGTTGATCGCATCGGCTCCTGAGGCTTCTGCATTCTTCACGTAGTTCTCGAGCCTTGGTTTTCAGCTCCATCAGCTCCTTTAAGCACTTCTCTGTATTGGTTATTCTAGTTATACATTCTTCTAAATTTTTTTCAAAGTTTTCAACTTCTTTGCCTTTGGTTTGAATGTCCTCCCGTAGCTCAGAGTAATTTGATCGTCTGAAGCCTTCTTCTCTCAGCTCGTCAAAATCATTCTCCATCCAGCTTTGTTCTGTTGCTGGTGAGGAACTGCGTTCCTTTGGAGGAGGAGAGGCGCTCTGCGTTTTAGAGTTTCCAGTTTTTCTGTTCTGTTTTTTCCCCATCTTTGTGGTTTTATCTACTTTTGGTCTTTGATGATGGTGATGTACAGATGGGTTTTCGGTGTAGATGTCCTTTCTGGTTGTTAGTTTTCCTTCTAACAGACAGGACCCTCAGCTGCAGGTCTGTTGGAATACCCTGCCGTGTGAGGTGTCAGTGTGGCCCTGCTGGGGGGTGCCTCCCAGTTAGGCTGCTCGGGTGTCAGGGGTCAGGGACCCACTTGAGGAGGCAGTCTGCCCGTTCTCAGATCTCCAGCTGCGTGCTGGGAGAACCACTGCTCTCTTCAAAGCTGTCAGACAGGGACACTTAAGTCTGCAGAGGTTACTGCTGTCTTTTTGTTTGTCTGTGCCCTGCCCCCAGAGGTGGGGCCTACAGAGGCAGGCAGGCCTCCTTGAGCTGTGGTGGGCTCCACCCAGTTCGAGCTTCCCGGCTTCTTTGTTTACCTAAGCAAGCCTGGGCAATGGCGGGCGCCCCTCCCCCAGCCTCGTTGCCGCCTTGCAGTTTGATCTCAGACTGCTGTGCTAGCAATCAGCGAGATTCCGTGGGCGTAGGACCCTCTGAGCCAGGTGTGGGATATAGTCTCGTGGTGCGCCGTTTCTTAAGCCGGTCTGAAAAGCGCAATATTCGGGTGGGAGTGACCCGATTTTCCAGGTGCGTCCGTCACCCCTTTCTTTGACTCGGAAAGGGAACTCCCTGACCCCTTGCGCTTCCCAGGTGAGGCAATGCCTCGCCCTGCTTCGGCTCGCGCACGGTGCGCACACACACTGGCCTGCGCCCACTGTCTGGCACTCCCTAGTGAGATGAACCCGGTACCTCAGATGGAAATGCAGAAATCACCCGTCTTCTGTGTCGCTCACGCTGGGAGCTGTAGACCGGAGCTGTTCCTATTCGGCCATCTTGGCTCCTCCCACAAATTTATTATGTTATGCTGCTAGAGGTCAGAGTCCCACATATTTTCTCCTGGGCTAAAATCAAGGTGTCAGCAGATCTGTGTTTCTTCCGGACACTATAGAGGAGAACTGGGTTTTTTGTTGTCAGTTGTTTGTTTTGTCTTTTCCAGCTTCTAGAGGTTGCCCACATTTCTTGGCTTGTGGCCCCCTTCCAGAAGCAGTGATATTTCTTCAACATCTGCTCCCATCTCCACATCTCTTCTGCCTCCTCATTAGGACCCTTATGACTACATTGGACCCATCCAGATAATCCAGGATAATCTTCTCATCTCGGGAACCTTAACTTACTCATACCTAAGCCCCTTTCGCCATGTAGGGTAACATATTCATAGGTTCCTGAAATTACAACATGGACATCCTTGGAGGACAGCCACTTTGTGTAAGTTAGCATGCCTTTACCAGCACACCATCCCTCTCTCTGACATGCTTTCTATTTTATTTGTTCATTGACTCAACTTAGTAGCTTAGAAAGTGAGCAATGTGAGATGGGGGCTTTATCTGCTATATTTCCAGGGGCTGGAATACAGCCTCACTCATAGTAAGCATTATTTATATAGGTACATACACACACACACACAGATAGATGTACACACACACGTACATACATATATACACACACACGTGTGTGTGTGTGTGCATGCACACGTGCATTTTGAGACAGCATCTTGCTCTGTTGCCCAGGCTGGAGTACAGTGGTACAATCTCGGCTCACTGCCACCTCCACCTCCCAAGTTTAAGTGATTCTCATGCATTAGCCTCCCAAGTAGCTGGAATTACAGGTGTGTGCCACCACACCTGGCTAATTTTTTATATTTTTAGTAGAGATGGGGTTTTGCCATGTTGGCCAGGCTGGTCTCTAACTCCCGGCCTCAAGTGATCCACCTGCCTCAGCCTCCCACATTGCTGGGATTACAGGTGTGAGCCACTACCCCTGCAATCAATATATATTTTTAAATAAATAAATAAATAACTTCATAAATGCATCATTTCTCCCCTGCAAATAGTATGAAAGAGAATTTCACAAGGCTATTTTGGACTCCTGTTAATGCTGAAAGAGACCAATACTGCAAATGCCATTACTTACTAAATATTCTGATTTTCTGCTTCATACAGACAACAGGGAGGGAGATAACCAGGCATCACATACCTGTGAGTGTCACTCTATGGCCCTGCTGTGCACAGTTTGAATCTAATGCTCAATATATACCATTTGACACTTCTCTGGTTATACTCTCCATCTGTGATACAGTTCCTGTACCTGGGAGTGAAAATAAATGTTAAAAAAGCAATTTATTATTAGCCTTTGAAGCAAAACCAGCGCTTTTTATTTCATCATTATAATTAAAATGTGCCTTACATTATTTTTAAGTTGTTACACTTGCTGTGGAGAGAACAGCCTATAATATTTCTGAATTCAGCCACTTAAGTGTGTGCTTGTGACTGTGACCCTAGTAGCCCCAGATGAAAAATGGGTAATCTTTTTGAAGTTTCAAATACAAATTATATAAAACAATTAACATTACTACTTAAAATTTAAATGTACGATAATTAATTTTGAATAATTAATACATACACGTAATACAACATTTTGAAGGTCAAAAGGTTATGTGGCAGCTCCTCTCCCAAGGATGTAAATGTTCTGTATTTGTGCCGTCCGGTATGGTATCTACTAGTCACGTGAGATACCTACACATTTGAAATGTGGCTATTACGACTAAAGAAGTGGCTTTTTAATTTTAATTTAAAAGCTCCATACCGGACGTGCTCACGCCTGTAATCCCAGCACTTTGGGAGGCTGAGAGGGGCGGATCACGAGGTCAGGAGATCGAGACCATCCTGGCTAGCACGGTGAAACCCTGTCTCTACTAAAAATACAAAAAATTAGCCAGGCATGGTGGTGGGCGCCTGTAGTCTCAGCTACTCGGGAGGCTGAGGCAGGAGAATGGCGTGAACTCGGGAGGCGGAGCTTGCACCACTGTACTCCAGCCTGGGCGACAGAGCAAGACTCCATCTCAAAAAAAAAAAAAAAAAAGAAAAGAAAACTCCATATAGCTGCAGTATTAGATAACACAGCTCTAGCCATTAAGCCTCTCATTTGCCAAGTTACTTCTGTTTCCAGGTTGTGTGTATTCTTTTGTTTTCCGTGGTGTGATCTCAGTGCATAAAAGCTACGCAATATGGGTCAGAGAGGGCAGATCCTGTCTCTCTGATTGACCCCATCAACTTAGCCTTTGCTGGAGGGATTACTGATGCAGAGCAAAAGGATATGAAGCTCCAATGGTGGCCATCTCCCTCAGGGTCACAGACTAGGAAATGCCAGCTCTTCCTGGTCAGTATTTTCCCTGAAGATTTCCTGGATGTATCCTAAAAACGCTTCTAAACAAACTCAAAGCAGAAAGA
Organism: Homo sapiens; assembly: GCF_000001405.40. Classification (NCBI taxonomy): domain Eukaryota; kingdom Metazoa; phylum Chordata; class Mammalia; order Primates; family Hominidae; genus Homo; species Homo sapiens. The sequence continues at coordinate 55,857,124 of NC_000020.11, read as the reverse complement.
GACTGCCTGGGGATTTCATCATGCATGGCAATGAATGACTTTATGTGTGAGGATAATACTATTGAAGTTTCACTGCCAGCTGAGGTGATGGGTTTGTCCTATGCCATCACATTCCATTGCATGTTACTGTGAGTTCCTTTTGTGAAAAGCTGGTGAGTGATAAGGTGCAGTTTGACAAGAATCCAAAGAGAAAATGCTACCCCTTCATTTTTCTTTTAAAAACATTATAGATATCTAGTATCAGAAGTTCTCTAAGAGGTTATTTGAAATGAGTAATACACTTCTCTTTATTACATGGGAAGTTTAAAAGACAGTAGAATACATCGTATATATGTATCGGAACATCACACTGTACCCCAGAAATATGCGCAATTATTACGTATCAATTAAACATAAAATTAAAAAGACAGTGGTACAGTAGCACAGAAATGGTAATACAATTTTCTTTGTGGTCCTGATGAGCAAGGAGACCATGCTTATATCTTTTATCTTTGAATAAGATCTCTAAAGACAGATTACCCCTGATATCTTTTATTCCCAATCTCTGTCTCCAGCCCCATCTGATGAATATTTGAATAAATGTTAAAGCCTCTCCGATCAATACTGATTTTATATATACCTTAATGGTTTCTCTAAGATGATATCTTGAGAATACAAAGCAAAGAGTGAAATACAGTGAAATGATCATGACATGAGAGCAGCAATTCATTTTCAGAACTTCCTTCCAGATAGCTCATGTGCACACAGCAATGTGAAATACATGCAGGGCACTCATGGGTATGACATCATAGTCTACCTGTGTTCCTGCAGCTGATTTCTTTTAACTCAGAAATGTCAATATGTCATGACATATTGCCATGTCAAAAATTATTGTGATAAGAACAAACATCTATTAAATGTTTACTTATTCATTTAATAAAAGTGTTTTGAGGCTCCACCAGGCCCTGTGATAAGCATTTCAAATGCATCCCCTCACTTAATTTCTACAATTCTCTGAGTCAGTTACTTCTGGAGAGGAGATATAACTTGCTTAAAGTAATAGAGCTAATAAATGGTAGAATGGGGATTTAAAGCTTGGCTTATCTGATACCAATGTTTGTGACCTTAAACCCTGTGTTACACTGTCGACATGATTATTTTTAATGACTCATTTGCATTCCATTGTGTTATGTCTCATAATTTATTTAGGGTGGTTGGAAAAATCTTTTATCACATTCAGCTACCTAACTCTGTAGACAAGATACAAATCCCAAAAATAACTGATTTATTCCTTGGAATCCAATTCCTTTTTTTTTTTTTTTTTTTTTGAGATGGAATCTCGCTCTGTCACCCAGGCTGGAGTGCAGTGGCATGATCTCGGCTCACTGCAACCTCTGCCTCCTGGGTTCAAGCGATTCTCCTGCCTCAGCCCCCTAAGTAGCTGGGATTACAGGCACGCATCACCACACCTGGTTAACTTTTGTATTTTTAGTAGAGACGGGTTTCACCATGTTGGTTAGGCTGGTCTTGAACTCCTGATCTCATGATCCTCCCACCTCGGCCTCCCAAAGTGCTGGGATTACAGGTGTGAGCCACTGCACCCGGCCTGGAGTCCAATTCTTATGCTTCACCTTAGAGTTTTCTAGTTTTAAATTTTAAACTTTTCATTGTACCAAGAATTTGCTAGAAATATTCTTGGGATGATACGAAAGGGAGTGGTTACCTTGAGCTGCAACAGGGTTTTGCATGTTTTTATCATTTGTGTTTACAACTATAAAAATAAATATATACATACATAAATGCATAAGCAAAACCCTTAATGCAATAACTTGTAGTTCTCCATTGTTCCCCCTCTGAACATTCAAAACAAGCTCCCAAAACACAGAATTGCCAACTCATCATTCAAAGATGGGCAAATCTTTGTCTCCAGATAAAGCTGTTAATTGTCCATTTATTATTCTCCAATGATCCCCAATTGTTTCATTAGCTGACAGGAGAAAATGCCAGTTCATTCCCTGTTAAAAAAACAAGGCCAGTATGAAGTTACATACTTTTACTCAGGCAACATGTTAGCCTGTTGTTTTATGAATAATGTCTTAGATAAAAACAAAATCTCTGCCCTCATTATTCTCTCTCCCCTAACCCTGGAAAATAACAGAAGAAAAAATAATCTCATGTTGATTTCTCTACTTGCCAACCAAAGATTTTACATTTCTTACGTAGTTAGTATGTAAGAAAGATTTTGAAGATCAAATTATATCTAGACTATTGAATACTTATCAAGAGTTTATCCCCAAACTATTATACAGTTATTTTACTTTTAACTTGATATTTTATATAATAATATCTAAAAATGCTTTATAGGTATTTTTACCTGTGTTCTGTGATTGAAGGACAAGTTTATTGCATTTCACATGAATTGAGCCAAAAAACTGTAGACCTTATGAAAGAATAAAAAGTATATAATTGATTTTCAAAGTAGGTCATACACTGTCATTGGCAAAACTTTAAGACAATTCAAGTTCATAGGAATGAGAAAAGAAGGAGTTTATTTGTATGTGCCTATATGCATCTTAGGAAATAAATTGTCCTTCTCAATGTAAATATAACAGACCTTTAATTTTAAGAAGTATTTCAAGGCTGGCATCTTTTTATTAAAGTAATTAGATTTTAATGTGTTTTTTATAGTTGTATCTAAGTCAGGAGATACATTCTTAATTTTTGATTAAAGCCTAAAGTTAAAATGCCCATCCCCTTTCAATGAAGAGAGATTCAATGAATTTCCTCAGAGATGAGCCCTTATTCTAACATGTCTTAGCTAAAGCTTTGATGGCTATTTGAATATCAACAGTATTATTGACTGTGATGAGTAAAAATAAAAATAACCTGAAATAAGTTTCCAAATTTAGACTTAGTTACAATCTCTGATCATGTTGTTATTTTTTTCCACTTTGCTTTTCTCACTCTTTCAAACCTTCTCTCTGATCATTTTTCTTTTTCCAGAAATTTGTGAGAGCCATACAAACAAACCAAAAGTAAATCAACAGACATAGGTGTCTAAATGAAACACCTACGACTTTTTTAACCTAAAATTCTCTAGAGTTTTTAGCAATCACTTTAGCTCTTTGCTTATCAGTCAGAATCTGAAATGCTACCCATTGTAGGAAAGCCGGAAGCCATCAACAGGCAGAAGTTATGGAAATATTTAACAAACATAGTCTTGTTGATGTGATTATTGTTGCTTTTTATTTTTACAGTATGGTACAGCCAAATGTAAAATTTCTTTTGTAAGTGTTGATGTTGAACACTTACAAAATGTAAGTTGATGATAAACCAACTGTAGATGCCTGAAATTCAGCTCATTCCCTTAATAATGTCTATTTTTTGAAAACCATGGACTTTATTAAAGGATAAAAAGGATGTGTTGAGAAGACAAAAGGGTACTGTTGGTGTAAGCAATGTGTTCTACATCATTTAGTATGAAGTTTTCATATGAGTGCATATATACACTCACATTCATTTCAACCTGTAACAATTAATTAGAATGCTTATACATTAATGAATATTCTATACCTAGTTCTCTTTAAGTAAGGAGATAATACACATTTGTTCAATTCTAAAAGTATATGTGTACTTGTGGCTTATTATACATACATATATGTTTAATATCTATTTATCTGTCTATCCGTAATCTATTTGTCTGTAGAGACTTGCAAATTACATAGATTGAGGTTAGGGATTGGATTTGTTCCTCGTTATATCAATATATGTAATGTACCAGCCATTATTCTAGAACCTAGTAGGTATTGCATAAATATGTATTGATTGAATAAATGAATGACTATTAATAGTTTTATTACAAACTCTCAACTGTTTTTCACTAAGATGTTAGCAAAACTCTTTCCCATAAAAGGTAAACAAAAATCAGCTTTTAATAGTGTGGAGAAGATGTTTAAAAATTTCATTATAAAACAGCTTTAAAAGGTCATGGCCATGGTGGCTTATGTCTGTAATGCCAGCACTTTGGGAGGCTAAGGCAGGAGGATTGAGGATTGCTTGAGGCCAGGAGTTTGTGACCAGCGTGGGGAACATAGTGAGGCCCCATGTCTACAAAAAATAGAAAAATTAGCTGGAGATAGTGGCTTGCACCTGTAGTCCCAGCTACTTGGGAAGCTAGGGTGGGAGGATTGCTTGAGCCTAGGAGCTCCACACTTCAGTGAGCTGTGATCACGCCAGTGCACTACATCCTAGGTGACAAAGCAAGACCTTGGGTCAAAAAAAAAAAAAGTCCATATACTCTTACTAAAAGCCCTTTTCTCTTCTGTTCCTCCGTCTTTCTTGTGGAGTGTAGCAGAAAGAGATTTTAATAAGCTTGTTACTGGGAAAAGTTTACCTCAAGGATATAGGCCTCCCTTTAAAATCAACCTATTTCAAAATCATGTGTATTTTGGTACTTTCTGAAAACTTATATATCTCCATCCCAGCATCCCTGAAGATTTTGCTTCTTACTTGATTTGTGATTGCTTATGTGGTTATTGGATAAAGAGGTAGTGGTTGTTCCTGAAATTCAAAATCATGATCCATCATCTGTCATCTTCTGGGTAACATGTGGCCAGAGTTCTAAAGTCTTCAGGATATGACCAGCTGAAGATAAAAATAGGAATAATTTTAGAACTCAGGAAAAGGCCCTAAATATGGTAGATATTTTGGTACTTTTAGCCACATAGAGTGCAGATAGGACTAGCCTAAATACTTGTGAGAACTACAATACAATTTCCAGGAAATAAGTAGATGAGAATAATAAATCAGGCCTTTACTTTAGAAAGGTGGAGGTGAACCAGAAAAGGGGCCTGCAGGTACACAAAACTAAAAGATGCTAAAACAGAAATCGTTCACCAAAGAGTATATTCAATCTGCTACAGTTTTAAGTCATGAATAACCATAAAGAATTAAGGGAAATGCCCCTTTAAAAAATAGATTGGCTACAAAACTAGGGGAATAGTTGAAAAAATAATTGCATTGTTAAGATTTACTTTATGAGTACATTTACAGAGTTAGAATAAGTAGGAAGAAGGAATAATCTGTCACTGAAATGTCTGCAAGGAAATTTAAGTAATGATTGAACTTAGGTGGGGATAATGAACTGCAGAGTGGGTACTGAAAAAAATAGAATTTGTTCCATGGAAGGCAAATCAAAAAAATTACCCATAATTCTATGGCAAAAAAGAAGTGTTAAAAATGATGAGCGAAAAAAATAAGAGATGAGGATAGTTCCAGGAAATCTACAAAACAAGAATTGCAGAAAAAGAGAACACAGGCATAGTGAGTCTAAATCTCAAACATTAAAAAAACCCAACCAGCCAAATAATTAAATCTAAAAATCAAAAAGACCAACGATTAGTCCTGCCAAATTAAATAAGACAAGCATATTAGTAAAACATTTACATTTCAAGGATAAAGAAATAATCTTTCAGGACTGTAGATTTTCAGATAAACAGGTTGCCAAAAATGAAGAAAAATCTCTCAAATAAATTAAAGTCTTTGAACAAAATAACAATAAAACAAGAGGTTAGAATATATGGAGCCTCGCTAAATCTACTCTTAGAGAACAATTTATTTTTCTGAATGCTTTTGTGATTAAGGAAGAACAGAAATTGTTGAACTACTTGATAAATAATAATTTTAAAAAATTATAAGCCTGAGCATAGTGGCTCACTCTTGTAATTCTAGCACTTTGGGAAGCCAAGGCAGGAGTATTTCTTGAGCCCAGGAGTTTGAGACCAGCCTGGGCAACATGGTGAGACCCCATCTCTACAAAAAGTTTAAAAATTAGCCAGGCATTTTGGTGTGCACCTGTGGTCCCGGCTACTTGGGAGGCTGAGATTGGAGGATCACTTGAGCCTGGTAGGTTGAGGCTGTAGTAAGCTGTGTTTGTGCCACTGCAGTCCAGCCTGAGTGACAGAGCAAGGCCTTGTCTAAAAAAAAAAAAATCTAAGTTACATATGTATACGTGTGCCATGCTGGTGCGCTGCACCCACTAACTCGTCATCTACCATTAGGTATATCTCCCAATGCTATCCCTCCCCCCTCCCCCCACCCCACAACAGTCCCCAGAGTGTCATGTTCCCCTTCCTGTTTCCATGTGTTCTCATTGTTCAATTCCCACCTATGAGTGAGAATATGAGGTGTTTGGTTTTTTTGTTCTTGCGATAGTTTACAGAGAATGATGATTTCCAATTCATCCATGTCCCTACAAAGGACATGAACTCATCATTTTTTATGGCTGCATAGTATTCCGTGGTGTATATGTGTCACATTTTCTGAATCCAGTCTATCATTGTTAGACATTTGGCTTGGTTCCAAGTCTTTGCTATTGTGAATAATGCCGCAATAAACATACGTGTGCATGTGTCTTTATAGCAGCATGATTTATAGTCCTTTGGGTATATACCCAGTAATGGGATGGCTGGGTCAAATGGTATTTCTAGTTCTAGATCCCTGAGGAATCGCCACACTGACTTCCACAAGGGTTGAACTAGTTTACAGTCCCACCAACAGTGTAAAAGTGGTCCTATTTCTGCACATCCTCTCCAGCACCTGTTGTTTCCTGACTTTTTAATGATTGCCATTCTAAGTGGTGTGAGATGGTATCTCATTGTGGTTTTGATTTGCATTTCTCTGATGGCCAGTGATGGTGAACAGTTTTTCATGTGTTTTTTGGCTGCATAAATGTCTTCTTTTGAGAAGTGTCTGTTCATATCCTTTGCCCACTTTTTGATGGGGTTGTTTGTTTTTTTCTTGTGAATTTGTTTGAGTTCATTGTAGATTCTGGATATTAGCCCTTTGTCAGATGAGTAGGTTGCAAAAATTTTCTCCCATTTTGTAGGTTGCCTGTTCACACTGCTGCTAGTTTCTTTTGCTGTGCAGAAGCTCTTTAGTTTAATTAGATCCCCTTTGTCAATTTTGGCTTTTGTTGCCATTGCTTTTTGTGTTTTAGACATGAAGTCCTTGCCCATGCCTATGTCCTGAATGGTAATGCCTAGGTTTTCTTCTTGGGTTTTTATGGTTTTAGGTCTAACGTTTAAGTCTTTAATCCATTTTGAACTGATTTTTGTATAAGGTGTAAGGAAGGGATCCAGTTTCAGCTTTCTACATATGGCTAGCCAGTTTTCCCAGCACCATTTATTAAATAGGGAATCCTTTCCCCATTGCTTGTTTTTCTCAGGTTTGTCAAAGGTCAGATAGTTGTAGATATGTGTCGTTATTTCTGAGGGCTCTGTTCTGTTCCATTGCTCTATAGCTCTGTTTTGGTGCCAGTACCATGCTGTTTTGGTTACTGTAGGCTTGTAGTATAGTTTGAAGTCAGGTAGCGTGATGCCTCCAGCTTTGTTCTTTTGGCTTAGGATTGACTTGGCGATGCGGGCTCTTTTTTGGTTCCATATGAACTTTAAAGTAGTTTTTTCCAATTCTGTGAAGAAAGTCATTAGTAGCTTGATGGGGATGGCATTTAATCTGTAAATTATCTTGGGCAGTATGGCTATTTTCACAATATTGATTCTTCCTACCCATGAGCATGGAATGTTCTTCCATTTGTTTGTATCCTCTTTTATTTCCTTGAGCAGTGGTTTGTAGTTCTCCTTGAAGAGGTCCTTCACGTCCCTTGTAATTTGGATTCCTAGGTATTTTATTCTCTTTGAAGCAATTGTGAATGGGAGTTCACTCATGATTTGGCTCTCTGTTTGTCTGTTATTGGTGTGTAAGAATGCTTGTGATTTTTGTACATTGATTTTGTATCCTGAGACTTTGCTGAAGTTGCTTATCAGCTTAAGGAGATTTTGGGCTGAGACAATGGGGTTTTCTAGATATACAATCATGTCATCTGCAAACAGGGACAATTTGACTTCCTCTTTTCCTAATTGAATACCCTTTATTTCCTTCTCCTGCCTAATTGCCCTGTCCAGAACTTCCAACACTATGTTGAATAGGAGTGGTGAGAGAGGGCATCCCTGTCTTGTGCCAGTTTTCAAAGGGAATGCTTCCAGTTTTTGCCCATTCAGTATGATATTGGCTGTGGGTTTGTCATAGAAAGCTCTTATTATTTTGAGATACTTCCCATCAATACCTAATTTATTGAGAGTTTTTAGCATGAAGGGTTGTTGAATTTTGTCAAAGGCCTTTTCTGCATCTATTGAGATAATCATGTGGTTTTTGTCTTTGGTTCTGTTTATATGCTGGATTGCATTTATTGATTTGCGTATATTGAACCAGCCTTGCATCCCAGGGACGAAGCCCACTTGATCATGGTGGATAAGCTTTTTGATGTGCTGCTGAATTCGGTTTGCCAGTATTTTATTGAGGATTTTTGCATCAATGTTCATCAAGGATATTGGTCTAAAATTCTCTTTTTTGGTTTTGTCTCTGCCTGGCTTTGGTAGCAGGATGATGCTGGCCTCATAAAATGAGTTAGGGAGGATTCCCTCTTTTTCTACTGATTGGAATAGTTTCAGAAGGAATGGTACCAGTTCCTCCTTGTACCTCTGGTAGAATTCTGCTGTGAATCCATCTGGTCCTGGACTCTTTTTGGTTGGTAAGCTATTGGTTATTGCCACAATTTCAGCTCCTGTTTTTGGTCTATTCAGAGATTCAACACAAAATTGGTCTTTCTATGCAATAAAGCTTCAAAATGCAACATTTTGTTGTTACCAAGGAGCATTCTACAGTAGTGTGGTGTATGATATAAAGCAAATTTATGGGAATTGTCTCTGCCATATGAAAGTTTAAAATATATTATTGAATAAAAGATGCTATTTTGAAAATAGAATGCACTTAAGTGCATTTTTTAAAAGCATATACATATTGAAATTTGTAAAATATTTTAAAAATACTCTGAAAAGAGACTGCAAAAAGTTTTTGGTGAAGTAATGGAATACAGAGTTCTTGTCAATATAAAAATTGTAGACATTAATCACTTAAAGTTTATATGCTTTATTACCTCTAATAGAAACATGATTCTTTGGGATTTGTGATACTCGATATAATATGTAAAATATTTAATAAATTGCTAGATCATTTGAAAAAAAAATCTAAGTACGAAAGCAATGAATATTCTTGTACCTGTGTTTGGCATTTCCTTTTCATAGTTTTTGCAGTATATCTGAGAAAGATTCCATGAAGTGGAAGTTCTGGGTTAAAGGATAAATTTGTATGGATTCTTGATAGATATTGCCAACTTCCTCTCAGAGAAGGTGAATCACTTTGCAATCTTATTGTCACCATTGGGAAGAGGCTCTTTTTTCAGAGTTTCCTCAACAGTGTGCATTGCAGAGCCTTTGGATTTTTGCCTATCTGATGGGTGAAGAGTAGATGGTAGCATGCTATAGGAGCTCATTATTCATGAGCCAAGGTGAGTTTTTATTCCCCACATCTTTAAGGATCAATCTGCATTCTTTTCAGTGAACTGTGAACTTTTATTATTATTATTATTATATTTTAAGTTTCAGGGTACATGTGAACTATGAATTTTTGTGTCTCTTAGTACAATTACAAAAAAATTATTGTTTGAGGATAGTGTATCCATCTGAGGAACTTAGAGAATCACCTGGAAATCTATTAGAAGAACTAAGAGCTTTTAGTAAAAAGGATTATATACACAATAAATGCACACAAATGAAGATCTTTATATAGAACAGTAATATATACTCGGAATATATAATAAAATGTATTAAATTTTCATTAGCAATTAAACAACTCCCCTACACAATCCTAAAGGAAATGTGTATTTTTAAAATAAAGATAATGGAAACCTTAATGGAGACATAGAATACTTAACTCTGATATAGAAAATCATATTTCTAAATGGTAAAGTTTAGTATTCTGAAGATGCGAAGTCTTTCCCAAATAATTTGTAGTTTTAAATGAATTTTAATCAAAATCCCAGAGGAATTCATTTTTTCCCTTGTAGCAAAATCTGTTGCTCATTTGAAAGAATGATACAGAAAGTTGATTAAATTTTCTAAAAGCAGCATAGTTAAATGAGACTTTGTTGCCAGTTATTTAGGTTCTTCTAAAGTTATAGCAATTTACACAGTATGATTGTAAACCAGGAAGAAATATGTAGACCAACAGACAAATCAGATACATAGACCCAAGTGTTTGATGTGTTGGTGGGGCCACTTCAAATCGAGGGGACAATTATTTGGCTGTGTGCTTTCAGGTGTGAATTTTATTTTTCTCAAAAGTAGAAGGACACTACAAACATACCTCAGGCAGTCAGGAATATTAAGGGGCCATATAACTAAGGTATTGAAACATAACTTATTTCTTCATAAATGATACTAGTTCAATTCGTACATCCTTATTTCTTTTGATAGCCAAAAAACCTTTAAATTTGCCATATTAAAGCAAGTCAGTCTCTTCTGGTGTTATATGAGTCTTACCTTCTCTCCAGGGATGATCTGAGATCCGGGATGTGTGGAATGTGGGTGTGTAGTTGTCGTGTGCCAGCCTGGCCTCTGGGGAGGGACATGTGGTACTTGCCAGTGCTCTTTTCTCACCCTACCAAGCTTCCACATCTTTGCTGTGTCACCTCGGTACTACCACTGATGTCCACACTTTCATGGTTTACTGCTTGTACAGTTTAACAGTGTATCCTTTAAAAGTATCCTCTTGTCATTCCTGAAAGTCATCTTCTAGTTCACCTACTCTCTCATCCATTTCTTCACCCATCCTTGGGTATTCCTTAGAAGCTTACAGAAGTTCTTTTCCACCATCCTCATGTGTGCCATACTGGTTGCAAGCCTGTGGCCTTCTGGCCATAGTTTTTGTCTGGCCTGCGACCTAAGAATATGTTTTTAATTTTACATTTGTTGAAAACTAATCTCACAAAAATTATATGACACGCAAAAATTACATGAAATTCAAATTTCTGAGTCCACAAATAAAGTGTTACCAGAGCACAACCTGGCCCATGTGTTTGCATGTTGTCTATGACTGCCTCCTCATTACAGTGGCAGAGTCAAGTAGCAACAGAGGCTAAAATATTTACTGTTTGGCCTATAGGACTGTGTGAGACCATAATCAGGCTCTCTGCCTTTATCTTTTTACCTAGGTCTTCCACTTTGCCACTCTGCGGCCTGGTTAGGATGAGGGGGCAGGGAGCTCATGAAGGGCTCTTCAGTCTTTGTGGGCTCTACCATGGGAAAAGAAGTCCCATCTCTCTGTTTTGTAGAACTTCTCTGGGATTGCTGCCATCTTCCCTCTAAGGTCATGGCCTGGCTGAAATACAGGGTAAAAACAAGAGGTAGAAACCTCATGTCTGCCTTTAAGTTATCTTTTACTCTGTCTTTCTTTTCAAATTTTCCCTTACCTCTTCCCAGAAAGGGTTATTTCCGTGCTGTGTCGTGAGAAAATTTTATTAGCTGTTATAAACTCTTCTTTGAGACACAAGTACACCTTTGAAATTTAAAAAAAAAAAGAGAGAAAAAGAGAAAAACCTTTTTGTAGTGCTCAGCTCTTCCAATCAAAAGACAAGGTTTTGCAGACTTTGCTATTGTTGGGCTCTTTTATGTCCTGAATTTTTTTGGGCAGTCTCTTCCAGAATGGGTCCAGTTTTAATGGGGGCAGTGGTCTCTAGGTTAAAACACCTACTTATGCATGTATACATACACGTGTATATGTCTCTCTCTGTCTCTTTACTCTCTCTCTATATATATATATTATATATGTATATATAGAAAAAAGTATATAGGAATATATATATATATAGAGAGAGAAATTTATATGTATGTATATAGAGAGAAGGGGAAAGGCAACACTTATTAGTTCAAAATATTTCCCTGCTGTATATTAATCATATATTAATCACATTTACATTTACATCCTGTAGACACCAGTGAATCTTGTTATATTAATAAAAATCGTGAAATAACCTAGTAACAGTTGCAGCATGAGCATGTGACATTTTGTTACTGTTGGAAGGTTGTATAAATGAGTTTCAAGTGGCAACCTCTAAAAATTCATTTGGGAAGGAGGCATTGTTTTTTTCTAAAAAAATGTGTTATTGTTTTTAAAATAACAATATATTTTAATGCACGTTAAAGGGACATGAAACCACATCAGGTGAGACTTTATTTCCAACTTGTGCTAATCGTGGGAAGTGTGATAAGATAATTAGCATCTGTTACCTCTGACTGTGACACACTTCCTCCTGGTCTCATATTAGAAACAACTTGACATATTAGTTAGAGAAAGTTGTGCCATATAACAGCAAGAAATAATAAAAAAATTATTAAAAACAACCTCTGAAAAAATGAGTTTTCTTTTTTTTTTTTGGTGGGGGGACAGGGTCTTGCTCTGTCACTCAGGCTGGAGTGCAGTGGTGCAATCTCAGCTCACTGCAGCCTTGGTCTCTCGGGTTCATGTGATTCTTGTGTCTCAGCCTCCTATCTGGAATTACAGACATGCACCACCACACCTGGGTAATTTTTGTATTTTTAGTAGAGATGCAGTTTCACCATGTTGGCCAGGCTGGTCATGAACTCCTGACCTCAAGTGATCTACCCACCTCAGCCTCCCAAAGTGCTTGTATTACAGGTATGAGCCACCATGCCCAAGAAAAATGAGTTAATTTTCTTAGAGAAAGTGAAACCCCATCTCTACTAAAAATACAAAAAAAAAAAAAAAAAAAAAAAGGCTGGGCGTCGTGGCGGGGCCGCTGTAATCCCAGCTACTCAGGAGGCTGAGGCAGGAGAATTGCTGGAACCTGGGAGGCAGAGGTTGCAGTGAGCCAACATCACGCCACTGCACTCCAGTCTGGGCGACAAAGCAAAACTGTCTCGAAGAAAAAAAAAAGAAAGAAAATGTATTAACATAAGTTTCAGATGGCTTAAAGAGTTACAAGTAAAAAATAAAACAACAAAAACAAGAGCGGCAGCATAGAAAGACTTGAAAGGATGACATAAAAAAGGCAGAAAGAAGATTTGATGGCTGCTTAGCAAAAGGTATACTGTGTGCCTTTGTCAAGACCCAGAACTTCTGTAGGACAAGAAATAAACACCATAAAATTCAAATTCAAACAATAAACCAGGAAATATATTTTCAGCCAGGGAGTAATTTTAAAATAAAAAGAATTCTTAAAAGCCATTGAAGAAAATGATACCTTAATGGAAAAAATGGGCAAAGGATATGAAAAGAAATAGAAATTTACAGAATAATATACATTATGACTGGAGAATATATATAGGCCTTCATCTTCACTAGCAATCAAAAAGTTGCATCTCAAAAAGCAACATGTACTTATTGCTTATCAAATTAGCACAGGATTTCTAAAAGTTTACCTTAATTGGCACGATCATACATTGCTTAAGGAAATAAAAAGTTGTTATCTTTCTGATGGACTGTTTGCCAGTATGTGTGAGAATTTTAAAAAGGCTGATACCAGTTTCACAAGTAGAAGCTATGAACCATCTGTCTGCATAAGAACTGCTTTTGGAGCTTACTAAAAAATGCATACTGTCTGAGACCTAATGAATCCAGACACTTGGGGTGGAGTGGCAGGTAAATCTGTAATTCGTAGGTGTATCAAGAACACAATGGTGAGGTTTATAGATACCACTGTATGGAATTGCTAGTTGTCCTAAACCCAGTTGTTCTCTTTAACAATAAATAACCCCCCACACACACATATTATTATATTTTTATATCTTTATAAAAGTGAAAAATTAAGATCAATCTAAATGTACAAGGTAGACATAGTTAAATAAAACATGTAAATTTATATAACAGGTACTATATGTATACACAACAGAACTGTTTCTCAAAAATATATTAGAAATGCCCATGATACAATTTAAATTTAGTTTTAAAAAGGGCATAAACCTTTATGTATTGTGTTAATTTAAGTTCATAAACCATGCATTTACACAGATAAGAAAATTAACTAAAATATTCACATTGTATCAATATAATTTTTTTCCAGATTTATTTTTTTGTTTTCTAATAGTTGTCTTCAAAACTATAGTTTTAAATATAAAATCATAAATTGGCATTTTCACAAAAAGTGTTATTTAAAACAGATTAGAACTCTTTTTATGGGAAAAAAATGAGATGTAGAACCTTTTAGTAGATCCTGCAGTGCAAGGAGGTCTCACTACCGTCTTCCTGGGGCATAGGTAATAGTCATATATGCTTAATTCTTCATTCACCCACATATTCTGCTACCTTTAAGCAGAACTCTTCCATCAACCTTACTAATCATATGTGTTGTAATTATACTGTTTGTGCATTTTTAAATGTGTGTCCTGAGGTATTGGATGATTACATTTTGGTCTATTGCACCACCTCATCTATTCTAAGTTCATCTTATAAGACAAGGTATACAATTAAGTGTACACCTGATTGTAACTCTGTACCCTGGACAGCTAAAATATATACCCCTTGCTTGCTGAAAATTTACCTTATTAAATAATTTAGCCTGATGACATCTTTGATAGAAAAGTTTGTGTAATTATTGAGTTTATTCTCGACTCATCCTTATAGACTGGTGCTTCTCAACATTAGTTCACAATAACTTTACCTGGAAACTTAAATATCTGTACAACCACCCTAGACAAATTGGGTCAGAATCTTTGGGGAAAGAGCCTTTAATTAATTTTTAATAGTGATAAGAACACGTAACATGAGATTACCCTCTGATTTAAGTTTTATGTGCATAACACACTATTGTTAACTATAGGGACAATGTTGTACAGCAGGTATCTAGAACTTATGCATCTTGCACAACTGAAATTTTATCTCATTGATCAGCAACTCCACATTCCTCCCCACCTCCAGCCCTTGGTAACCAGCATCTACACTCTGTTTCTATGAATTCACCTATTTTAGATACCTTATATAGTTAAAATCTCATGTATTTGAACTTCTGTGATTAGGTTATTTCACTCAGCATAATGTCCTCCAGCTTCATACATGTCAAATATAATGGATTTCCTTTTTATAAAGTGAAATAATATTCCATTGTATGTATATGCCACATTTATGTATATTCATTTATTGATGAACGTTTGTTTCCATATCTTGGTTGTGAATATTGTGAATAACACTACAGTGAATATGGGCATTCTAATAACTCTTCAGGATCCTTATTTCAATCTTTTAGATATATACCAGGAAGTAGGATTGCTGGATCGTATGGTAGCTCTATTTAAAAATTTTTAAAGAACATTATTACTGTTTCTATAGTGCTATACCATTTTATATTCCTGCTAACAGTGCACAAAGGTTCCAATTTTTCCAAATCCCACCAGCACTTACTATCTTTTAAAAAATGATAATAGCCATCCTAATGGGTGTGAAATAATATCTCGTTGCGTTTTTGATTTGTATTTCCTTAATGATTCATGATGCTGAGAATCTGTTCTTATCCTTTTGGCCATTTGTGCAACTTATTTGAAGAAATGGCTTTTCAAATCCTTTGGCCATTTAAAAAATCAGTTTTTTTTTTTTGGCTATAGAATTGTAGTCATTCATTACATTTGTGGAATATTAACCCCTTATTTTATATATGGTTGTAAATATTTCTTTCCATTTTATAAATTACCTTTTTCACTCTGTTGATTTTTTTATTTGCTGTGCAGAAGCTCTTTAGTTTGATGTAGTCCCACTAGTCTATTTTTGCTTTTGTTGCTTGTGCCTTTGGTGTCATATCCAAGAAGTCATTGACTAGAAAAATTTTGCTTTTGTCTTACGTTTTCTTCTAGGAGTTTTATCATGTCAGGTCCTTTAAGTCTTTAATCCATTTTGAGTTTACTTTTGTGTATAGTATATGAAAAGGGTGCAATTTCATTCTTTTACTTCTGGATATTCAGTATTTCTGACATCATTTGTTGATGAGACTATCCTTTCCCTGTGTATTCTTGGCACCTGGTCAAAGATCAGTTTCTGTATGTCTGCATTTATTTTTGGGCTTTCTGTTCTGTTCTATTGGTGTATACAATTGTTTTTGTCAGTACCATACTGTTTTGGTTACTGTAGCTTTGTAATGTATTTTAAAACCAGGAAGTGTGATGTCTCTAACCTTGTTCTTTCTCAGTATTGCTTTTGAGTATTTTTGTGGCATCTTATGGATTTTAGGAGTTTTTTTCTATTTCTGTAAACAAATGACACCAGCATTTTGATAAAGATTGGGTTTTTTAGACATTTTAATAGATAAGAGTGATTTTTTAGACATTTTAATAATATTAAATCTTCCAATCCATGAACATGAGATGGCTTTCCATTTCTTTTTGTCTTCTTTAATTTCTTTCATCAATGTTGTGTAGTTTCCAGTTAATAACTCTTTAATCTCCCAGTTTAAATTTATCTCTAAGTATTTATTTTGTTACTATTGTGAATAGAATTGTTCTTGTAATTATTTTGGATTGTTTATTGTTAGTATATAGACATGAAATTGATTTTCGTATGTTGATTTTGTATTATGAAATTTTATTTAATTCGGTTATTCTAAGAGTATTTTTGTGTTGTCTTTAGGGTTTTCTAGGTATAAGACTATGTAATCTGCAAACAGAGAATTTTACTCCTTCCATCAGGATTTAGGTAATTTTTATTTCTTTTTCTTGTCTAATTGCTCTGGCTAGCACTTTCAGTACTATGTTAAATAGAAATGGTGAGTGTGGGAATCCTTGCCTTGTTCTTGATCTTAGAGGGAAAGATTTCAGTTTTTCACTGTTGAATATGAAATTAGCTGCAGGCTTTCTATTTATGGCCTTTAATGTTGGGGTAAATTCCTTCTGTATGTAGTTTGTTGAGAGTTTTTATCATGAAAGGATGTTGAATTTTTTCAAATTCTTTTTGTGCATCTCTTGAAACGATTATGTGATTTTTGCCCTTCATTCTGTTAATGTGGTATATCACATTATTGACTTGAGCACGTTGAACCATCCTGGCATCCCGAGGATAAATGACACTTGGTCATAATATATGATCTGTTTAATGTTCTATTGAATTTTGTTTGCCAGTATTCTGTTGTGGATTTTTGCATCTATGTTCACAAGGGATATTGACCTCTGGTTTCCTAGGCTATCAACAGATTTTTCAGAGACATTTTTCAAGGCAAAAGGAAGTTGGATAATATATTTAAAATCATGAAAGACAAAAACTGCCAACCACTAAAAACTATACCCAGTAATCTCTTCTTCAAAAAAGAAGGGGAGATAAAGACTTTCCAAAACAAACAAGAGCTTAGAGAGTTCATTGCCCCTGGACTTAAGAGAAATGTTACAGGCAATTCCTTTTTTTTTTTTTTTTTTTTCCCCTTTGAGACGGAGTCTCGCTCTGTCGCCCAGGGTGGAGTGCAGTGGCACGATCTTGGCTCACTGCAAGCTCCGCCCCCCGGGTTCAAGCCATTCTCCTGCCTCAGCCTCCCTAATAGCTGGGACCACAAGTGCCTGCCACCACGCCTGGCTAATTTCTTGTATTTTTAGTAGAGACAGGGTTTCACCATGTTAGCCAGGATGGTCTCGATCTCCTGACCTCATGATCTGCCTGCCTCAGCTTCCCAAAGTGCTGGGATTACAGGCGTGAGCCACCATGTCCGGCCAGGACATTCTTTAAGTTGAAAAAAAGATTGCTAAATAGCAACACGAAAGCATATGAAAGTAAAACTCATTGGTAAAGTTTAGTATATATGCACAGAATACTGCAATGGTGGTATATAAATCACTTTTAATTCTAGTATAAAAATAAAAAATAAAAGTATTAACTGTAACTACAAAAATTTGTTAGTGGATACACAATGTAAAACAATAAAGATTATGATATCAATAACATAAAGTGTTGGAGGGAGGAAGTAAAAGTGCAGAGTTTTTGTATATGATTGAAGTTAAGTTGTTACTGGCTTAAAGTAGACTTTCTAACTGTAAGATATTTTATGTAAGTCTCATGGTAACCACAAAGAAAATACGTATAAAATCTACACAAAAGAAAAAGAGAAGGAATCAAGGTATATTAATACAAAAAGTCAACAAATCACAAAGGAGAAGACAACAAGAGAGGCAAATATAGACAAAAGAACTACAGGACAGATGGAAAACAATGAGTGAAATGACGATAGTAATTCTTACCTATCGATGAAAAAGTTGATCTCATAGAAGTAGAGAGTAGAATAATGGTTACCAGAGGCTGGGAAGAGTATGGAGGAAGGGCAGATGGGAAAAGGTTGGTTAACAGTATCATTGTTAAGAGGAATATGTTCTAGTATTCTATAGCACAGTAGGGTGACTATTGTTAACAATAATTTATTGTATATTACAAAATAGCTAGAAAAAAATTTTGAATGTTCTTAACACAGAAATGATAAATATTTGAGGTGATGGATATACCAATTACCTTAATTTGATAATTACACATTGTATACATGTATCAAAATATTACATATACCTCATAAATGTACAGTTGTTATAAATCAATTAAAAATAAAAAATAAAATAACGAAAAATTTGAGGAATATACTTTAAACATGAATGCAGTTTATGATATACATTTGTCAAAACCCATAGAAATGTATACCACAAATAAACCTTAATGTAAACTATAAATTTTAGTTAAGGATAATGTACACTGTTGATTCAACAATTTTAACAAATGCACTGAACTAATGCAGGATGTTAATAATAAGCAAAACTATTTGGAGGGTATATGAAAACTCTACTTTTTGCCCAATCTTTCTGTAAATCTAAAATGTTTCTATAGTCTCTAAAAACAAAACAAAATATAAATGGATTAGATTTCCCAATGAAAAGACATAGAGTGGTTGAATGAATAAAAAGATTAAGTCAAACTATGCTGTTTATAAGAGACTCACTTTAGATTTAAAAACATACATGGGCTGAAAGTGAAGGAATAAAACAATGATATTCCATGCAAGTGGTAACCCAAAAGAGAGCAGGGATGTCTGTACATAGACAATATAGACTCTAAATCAAAAACTGTAACAGGAGAAAAAGAAGTTCAATACATAATGATAAAGGAAAAGGTCAATTAATCAGGAAGATGTAATAATTATAAATATATATGCATCTAACATCAGAGCTGTATATATAAATCATATATATATATAAGAACTGCATATATAAATCTAAATATATATCAGCAAACATTGACAAAGCTGAAGAGAGAAATAGAAACACAATAATAGTAGAATACTTTAATCACCACTTTCCATAATGGATAGATTATCCAGACCAAAAATTAACAAGGAAACAGCAAACTTGAGCAAAGCTATACACCAAATGGACCTAACAGAAATATGCAGAACATTCCACCCAGCATGGAATGTACATTCTTCTCAAGCACACACAGCAGGATTGATCATATGTCTGGGCTTAAACAAATCCCAACAAATTTAAGAAAATTGAAATTATACCAAGTATCTTTGCTAATCACAATAGAAAGAAACTGGAAATTAAAAACAGAAGGGAAAATGGAAAATTCACAAATATGTAACAATTAAACAACACATTCTTTTTTTTGAAAAGATAAACAAAATATTCAAACCTTTAGCTAGATTAAGAAAAAAGAGAAAAGACTAAAACAAATAAAATCATATATGAAAGAGGAGACATTGCAACTGATGCTGTAGAAATATAAAGGATTATAAGAGACTAATATGCACCATTATGTGCCAACAAATTGGATAACCCAGAAGAAACGAATACATTTTTCTGAAATGTACAACCTACCAAGACTAAATCATGAAGAAACAAAATTGGAATGGACCAATCATGAATAAGAATATTGAATAAGTAATTAAAAATCTCCCAACCAAGAGATGCCCAGGACTAGATAGCTCCATAGCTAAATTCTACCATTTAAATAATTTACACCAAGCCCCCTTAAATTCTTCCAAAAACTTGAAGAAAGAATACTTCCAAACTAATTGTATGAGGCCAGCCCTATCTTGATATCAAATCTAGTCAAAGACATTGCAAGAAAAGAAAACTACAGGCCAATATCCCTGTTTGTTTTTAATAATCTCCCCTAAGTGTTTGCAGTAAGAGTTGGGGTCTTTTCATTTACATAAATGTGTTAATGGCCCAGGATTTGAGGTTGGATAAATGGAAACAACTAAGTGTCTATTTGCTAAGTACAGTGGAAAGTTAAATATTAGAAACCTAGAAAGCCTATGATGATATTTCTGTATTAGGACTTCTTTATAAGCCTCATGTATGAGAATCAAAGCCTGCAAGAATGAGAAGCAGTTAGTAAGAGAGGTAGGAGTAATGTAGTCAAGAGCATGTTTGACAAAGGCATATACCTATGGGAAACTTTGGAGGAAATGAGGTCAAAGGGATTAGTTAAACTTGAAAGAGAGGAAATCAAAGGGGTTAGTTAAACTTGGAGAAGATGGGGTCAAAGTGTTTAGTTGGGAGCCAGATAAACATGTGAGTTATGTTATGCCATCTAACTCTTATTCAGACAGCAACTGGGAAGCCATTGAGGTGTGTTAAATGGAAGAGTTCAGTAATTATATTAAGGTTGCGCCAGTGACAATATGAAGATCAAGTGTGCTGGGGACAAGAATGGAATCACCAAGACCAGTCAGGAAGCTAAGGCACACAGTAAGTGAGAGATGATTAGCTTGATTACAGAGGTAGTGGTGTAGGTGGAGAGAAGAGGCAAATTTGAGAATTATTTCTTAAATGATTTTTCAGGTCTAGAGTTTCATTTTTGAGTTATTCTCTACCCATCTAAAGAAAACAGGGGCTGAAATAATAATTTTTATTTGATAGATGTCTAACCAAAAACGCCAAGACAGAAGGCTACATGGCTATCTCAAGGTCATGGAAAGAATATGGCCAAGGAAAATGAAAACAGATGGGCAGAAGCATATCAAGGAGTCACCTTTCACTGGCCACCAGACAGCACTATAAACATCTCACTGTCACGTTATTTAATTCATTTTCCTTCATAACCTCATATGTATTTGATTTAAAGTCCTGTCTTAAGTAAAATATATTTCTCCCCTCTTTCTCCAAAGCTCAAGGTGTTTTCAGGCTGTTTGCTTTCTCCAAAGCAGCACTATAAGCTTATTCAAAACATAGTTAAGAGGAAATTGATCTGATTATTTACTATTTTTGGTGAACAGTTTAAAACATTCAAATCCACTTTTTAAAATTTCCTTGAACTTCTCCATCTAGTACAAACATTTTCAAATAAGAATATGGGGATAGTTGACCAGAAGTGTCATAAAATAGTGTCATAAATCAGTTGTTATAAGTTGGTGACCAAGAGGATCTGACTTCCAAGGTCAAGCCATACTGTATTTAATAACTGTATGGGTTTGGACAAGTCAATGAGCTGTTTTGGGGCTTAAATATCATCTGTAAGATAAATCTCCTGCTGTGAAGATTAGAAGAAATGAGCCCTGTAAAGTTGGACAGCACTTTGCATAATGCCTAGGACAACATTGGTGTCCAAAAAGGGGCTAATTAATTGTAATCAGTAGAAACGTAGAAGGTAGAAGAGGGTAGAGGTAACAAAGATGGTTTCATGCATCTTCCACTGATAGGCAAATGACTTGGTGTGAAAACTTGTTCTCAATGTGAAGAATGCTGCAATTTGAAGAAAACATTGTGTTGAAATACATTTTAAGAGAGAACTGGTATAGTAAAATGGAGGAAGCATCAAGAAAAACCTGTGTTCTAACCTCTTTATGCTTCTATGTCTGAGATATGCCTTTACAATGTTTGCCTTGTTATTTGTCTTGGTTTTCCTGAATGTGTGAGCCAGTATCTTCAACCTGTTATGGCTTGAAGGTTCTTTGCTCTTTTGAGGATGGAGCCTGTGGCACGCTGATAAATGGCCCCTCAAAGATGTCCAGGTTCTAATTTCTGGAACCTGTGCATATGTGGTGGTGAAAAAGCCTTTGCAGATGAAGTTAAAGAGCACAAGAAGGATTGATGATCCTGTAGTATCCGGGTGTGTAATCACAAGGGTCTTTATAAGACGAAGGCGGGAATGTCAGAGGGAAAGAGACATGGAAGATGCTACACAGCTGATTTTGAAGATTGAGGAGGGGGACATGAGCATGCAGAGAATGCAGGTGGCCTCCATAAGCCAGAAAAGGCAAGGAAACGGATTTTACCTGAGACCCTCTAGAAATCACACTGTTCTGCCAACACTGTGATTTTAGCCCTGTAAGATCCGTTTTGAACTTCTGACCTTCAGAACTGTAAGATGATAAATCTGTATAGTTAGATGGCACTATGTTTGCGGTATTTGTTATAGCAGCATTAGGAAACTAATACTGAGCTGAATCATCTTAATAGTAAGAGTTATAAATTTCACCAACAGCAGTGCTCAAGCAAATAATCCAAATGAGTGGGTGCAAGGACGGCAGTGGGTAATGTGGGGGTCTGTGGCAATAGCAGCTTATGCTCCAGTTAATAATCAATACATAGGAATGCTGCTAGAGTTTCTGATTTTTTGAGGAGCTGAGAAATCTGGATTTTTAAAACTATGAGTTTCTCTGTTTTTGTGTATTGGCAGCTAATTCAATGTTTTAAAAATATCGGGAAGCGAAACAATCTTCGTCTAGGAAGAGGTCTTGCATTGGAGAGTATTTTACTTTAATTGTGTGACAGTTTATCTCTGATGTTTTGGGTTTTTTAATTTGTTTGTCGATTTGTTACCAGCTTCTTTGCGAATGGGTATATCTATTGGTCTCTTATATGTATGTGGTCCTCTGCCAGTGGGAATTAGTAGGATTTCCTTTAGAAAATAGAGAAAAGAAATGTATATATTTGACCTTAGTTTCCTTAGCAAATACTTGGCATTTACTTGTTTGGAAAATAGAATAAGCCATTAGATCATTTGGTGCTATAACAAACACATATGGAGACTCAGCAGGGATTAGAGTACAGTTGTGGTTCACCACCCCCAAAACAGTGATTTTATGTATCCTACACAGGAGATCTTATGATTGTAATGATCTTGTACTTATTGGCAAAATGAGACAAAAATTAATCATCTATTTTTCCTTGTGTCCCTTCTTTGTTTCCCCTTTGTTCATGTCTTGGTCTTGCCTCTTCGTAATTCTGTCATATTTTTTCCTCTATCCTGTTTTTCTTCTCTGTGTTTCTTTTGTTTTCTCATTATATTTATGACACTCACCCTTTTTCTTTCATTATTTTGAGTTGTTCTTACGTTTAACAGCACTTGTTTTTATCTCACCCAAGAAGCTTGCGCCCTTGTTCAGAACTATTCAGCAATAAGTAAAGCTTACCTTTCTTTGTGAATGGTAGAAATTTATTGCAGATTTATTGCAGAAAATTTCCACTTTATTAAGCCGACAGATTTTGCTTGAAGGCATACTACCCTGTGAAATTCTAAATTTGATTTAAAGGTCAGAGGAAAAGCCTGGCACCTACAATCTCTGCCTTTGAATTGTTTTTGTAACACTAAATAGAGTTTACAAGGAGAGGAAATTGCAATTGATCAGCAGAAGACATGCCAATCACAGCTTCTCTCAATAACTCTTTGCCTTTAACCAAGCTAAGAGATGAAGAAAATGATGAGATTAACATGATCTTGTGGAACGTATGAAATTTCAGGTTCAATTAGGTGTACCAATTGGATGAACTACTTTGCGGGAAGAGAGGGAAACACTATTTTTCTGAAAGCTAGAGAGAAACCTTAATTACAGTTGTCAACCACAGGGGTATTTTCATTTGCATACATAAAATAACTTTCTAAAAGGATATATGTGTGTGTGTATATATATGTATATATAAAATAAGCTTTATTTTTGTTCGTTTCTGAATACATAATAGCTTAACTTGCTGCTAGTGATAAACATAGGTAATTTATTTCCAAATGCTTTCTGTTACCACAGCAAAAATGTATTACCTTCTTAATTGAAATTATTTTGTATATAATCAAGTTGTACATTTTAGCAGTGGGGCAGCTTAATGAAAATTTTAAATTTACTGTGTTAATCCCTTAAAATGTGCAAATTTTAGTTATCTGATAATGAATTATTGGTAATGGTATGAAAGAAAATAAAGCAAACATCTAAAACTTCTAAAAGCTGTTAACATCAGAGTTGTCCGAAACCAGGAATAAGACTAAAATATGAATCCAAAGTTGTCTAATATTGTTTTGATGGTTGTGGAATGACCATTTTTGGTGACCATTGTACTTCTTTCTACTAAAGGGTAACTCTTCAGAGGTCACCTTGAGGTAGAAACACATTAAGGTCCTCTAGAGTCCTCTAGAAACAACGTAGACTGCTGGCTATGCAAACAAAACAATAGAGTGTAACAGAATCTATATTTACCTAATTTAAGTCTTCTGCCCGAAATTGGTCCCTGGCAAAAAAAAAAAAAAAAAAAAAAAAAAAAAAAAAAAAAAAGCCAACTGTTATTGACAATGTGGCTGGTAGAGGTAGCACATTGGGGCTTTCGTGGTGAAGGCAACAACCATTCTCCTTCTCCTGTTCTTTCTGCATGATGTCCTCAGCTACCAGTGGTAACTTCCATAGGCTTTAAATACAGTTATTAATATGGCCTGCAGGTTCTTGTTTTTTAAATAACTTTTTTTTTTTATTAACTGTAATAGTAACACATGCTCACTGTTTAAAGTTTGGACCATTCATAATAACCTAAGGAAAAATGGAACTATCTCCACAATCTTAGTACCCAGAAATAATTACTTAATAATTGTGAATATTTTGGCCTGTTTCCTCTAGCTTTTCATTCTGTGCATTATGAACATATTGGTGTGTGTTTGCTACTGGGGTGTGTGTGTGTGTGTGTGTGTGTGTGTGTGTGAGAACTGTTACAAAATAGGAGGCATAGACTATGTAATTTTATGTTTATGTTTGTTTTTTACATTTAACATTTTGAGAATTTTATTAACAGTTTTGAAAAACCTGGCTTATGATAGCTAACTAATATTCCATCATAAGGAGGAAGGATCTTTGTTTATTTGTTTAGGGTATTAAGGTTATCTCTAATTTTTCACTGTCAGAAATTGTCCTGTGGTAAATACCTTTGTACCTAAGTCTCTATATATATCTCTGATTTTTTTTTTCAGGATCTTTTCCCAAAAGTGTAATGCCAGCTTCAAAGGATACATGAATGACCCTGAGGCTCTCAATCCATATTGCTGAAATACAGCAGTGTCCACACTGTGGGTGAGGTTTTGGGACCTCCCTTTTCTTTTTTCATGTGGCTTTGGCCACACAGCCAGAAAGCGGTGCTTCAGGCAGGAGCTGAATCAGTGTCACTGGAGCAGGCTTCCTTTGTGCTTTCCTCTCCTGCCAGGATCCTAGTCACAGCTGAGTTTGCCGACAATATGCATTTAGATTCTTGTTACTTTCTCAGAAACAGAAGGGCAGAAACTTGGTCTGATCTGGAATTTTATATATATATATATATATATATATATATATATATATATATATATATGAAATATATACACACTACGCGTGTGTGTGTATATATGAAATATATACACACTATGCGTGTGTGTGTATATATGAAATATATACACACTACGTGTGTGTGTGTATATTTGTATATATATATACACACTATGCAGGTAAATAATTAAAATGGCTCAGAAAGTTTGTAAGTCTTAAGACACTTATGAAACAAAATCACTCCTTTTTGAAGGGTTGGGATGCACTATATTAGAAGCTCAAGAGTACAGTAACAATATTTCAATTGGAATTCTTAAGCAATTAACAAGTTCATTTTGATTATGTTTAAATAATGCATCAATAAGGATAATTAATATTATGAACATAATAACAAATACTGACTAATCAAAGTATGTAGTAATTTGTATTATTTCATTCACCCACAAAGCAGGTATTATTACCTACATTTTATATATGAGGTAATGAAATTAGAAGCATTTAAATTTGCCGAGATAGCAAAGAACAAATCTGGCATTAGAAACCACGTGTAGTGATTCTCAAACGTGGGCTTCAACTACTTCCTAGCAGTACTTTACCTTATTACTTTATCAAACGATAATTTTATAGTTTATGTACAGCGATTAGATATTGTTAAAATATAATTTTAAGAAAAGTAAATTATGACTCAGATAAAATGAACATGTGTTAGATATTTTAACTCAATCAACGAGGAAACCAAGTGGATCTTATAACTGGTGCAAAGGAGAAATATGAAATAAAGGAATGTTGAAACAAATGTGCAAATGGAGGCAAAATCAGCTCCTTCCACAGTGGCAGAAGGAAGTCAATTGAACTGCTGAACAGGGCAGAATTTGGATGTCTATAGACAAGAATTATTTTGCTTTGCTATTAGTTATCTGTCATTTACAGAGTTGTAAAATAGCTCCCATAGAATAGATAATTCTCTGGGCTACACAATGCTTAGGTTTCCATTGACGCATGATTTTTCTGGTGTACCCTTAGAACACAACAGGAAAATGTCTTGCCCTAGAGCAAGGTAGTTCAGTCCTTCAAGTGCCTCTAGCTGAAGTTACACAGGTACTTGAAGTAAGAGGAAGTCACGTGAATTATGTAAACATTCAATTTTGTTGGTGGAGACTTGACCAAATCCACACTGTGCAATGACTTCACCAAAGCCATTTCAGAAGAAGATGGGGGAAAGTTTTTTATTAATTCTCTGACTTGCGTCTTCAAATTTTCTTGGTTTGTGAAATCACAACATAATTTTTCTAAATGCCAGCCTTGCAAATTCAAGCTGGGAATGAGATTCAAGCTGTGTTTTTTCTGCTTCTTATAGTCCATCATCACCAGTAATAAAGAGCCTGCAAATTTGTCAGCCAAGTCCTGACAGTAAAATCTTTATTGCTGGTGATGATGTAAGAGGCTAAAGGGACACAGCTTGAGTTGTAGATCCCAGAATATAGAAAGCTGATGTCGAGGAAAAAAAATCTTACACCAAACAAATTTGATCATTAAAGCAAGATAAATGTGGAACCCAGCAAGGCCAATTTTATAGCCATAGAACAGCCATAAGTACTGTTAATTGTTAATCAGAAGGTGAAGAAATTTAATGTAAGGACTAACTAGCCAAATAGAAAGAACTGGAAAAATTAGAAAATTAATTTAAAGCAACAGCTAGCAATACAAGTCAGATTCAGTGTACAGCTGCAGGGAAAAATTGATAAAGCAATTTCTCAGAAAATCTATGAAGTACTACAAAATTACCTTGTGATAAGAGTTGGAGAAGTAACAAACATTTAGCCTATTAAGAATTGGAGCATTGTTTAATTAAAATTAAGCCCCATCCAAAGGGTTGGTTAATTACCACAGGTTGTGATCAAGCAGCATTAATAAAAAAGCAAGATCTAAATTGGGTAACAAAACGAAACAATACAATATAAAACAACGAAAACGTACTTTATCTGTAACCTCTCTAAACAAAGTGAAATGGAGGTTTGCTGTAACTATGCTGCTGACCTGAGGTTGATCTGAGATCCCTTCTCTGCCCGCAGTTCCAGAAAAAGAGAAACTTTTCCAAACTTGTACTGTACGCTGTCCTTGCATTGCTGCATTGCTTAGAGCTGGACAGGAGGCTTGTGTCTTCAGTCCTGGGATGTCTCCACTCTCCAAAAATGTATCCTGTCAATCACAATGCTACAAGTGTTAGGAAATAGCTGCACCTTGGGGATTGATTGACAACTGTTGAGAGCATAGCTTTTTTTTTTTTTTTTTTTTTTTTTTTTTTTTTTTTTGAGATGAATTCTTGCTCTGTCGCCCAGGCTGGAGGCTGGAGAGTGCAGTGGTGCGACCTCGGCTCACTACACCCAACCCCCACCTCCCGAGTTCAAGCAATTCTCGTGCCTCAGCCTCCTGAGTAGCTTGGGTCACAGGCGCCCACCACGACACCCGGCTAATTTTTGTATTTTTAGTAGAGACAGGGTTTCACCGTGTTGACTAGACTGGTCTCCATCTCCTGACCTCAAGTGATCCGGCTCCTTGGCCTCCCAGAGTGCTGGGATTACAAGCATGAGCCACCGCACCCGACCAGAGCATAGGTTTTGATATGGCTTTAGTGTTTGCCCCTCCAAATCTCATGTTGAAATGTAATCCCCAGTGTTGGAGGTGGGGCGTGGTGGGAGGTGTTTGGGTCATCGGGTGTGGACTCTTCATGAATGGCTTCCTGCCCTACCCACAGTAATGAGTGGTACTGAGTTCAAGTGAGATCTAATTGTTAAAAGAGTGTGGCACCTCCCCACTCGCTTTCTCCTGCTCCCACTTGCCATGTGACGTGCCTGCTCCCTGCCACCTTCCGCCATAATTGTAAGCTTCCTGAGGCCTCACCAGAAGCACCATGCATCCTGCACAGCCTGCAGAACAGCGAGCCCATTAAACTTCTTTACCTTATCAATTACCCAGTTTTAGGCATCTCTTTATAGTAATGAAAGGACGACCTAATATAGCTGTGTAAAATAATGAAAAGCAAAACTGAAAATGTGAAGCCCCTTAAAAAAATTCAGAATTTCAAGATAGTAATAGCAGGGCATTAAACCAAACGAGGGGTGCTTCTGAGCATGGAGCCCCGAATGACTTGTGGGTCACATACTCTTGAAGCTACCCTTGGGTGCTTTGAAAAATCTGTGTGAGAATATGAAAGCCAAAACCAAAACTAGTACACGAATTGAAGGTAAACATCCGGTAAAAGAGAAAAGAAAGAGACATTTCTAACATATATTGAATGTTGAATACTTACAACGTATCAGGCTACTTATTTAATTCTCTCAACAGCTCTATGAATATGGGAGGTTATTTCCATCCCCATGTTGCAGATTAGGACACCGAGTGACTTAATGAATTACACAAGGTCACGCACCCTTTAAGCAGTTGAGCAGAACCTCAGAACCATGTCTCTGGCATGAGTACCCAAACCACTGCTCTTAGCCCCAAGAAAGAGTTGAACTGGATCCAGTTTCATTCCTCTGCATTTGGTTAATCAGTTTCCCCAGTACTATTTATTGAATAGGGTGTCCTTTCAAAATGGCTACTATTAAAACGTGAAAAAACAACAGATGTTGGCGAGGTCAAGAAAAAGGAACACTTGAACACTGTTGGTGGAAATTTAAATTAGTTCAGCCCTTGTAAAAAAAAAAAAGTGGTTTGAGGATTTCTTAAAGAACTAAAAATAGAATTACCATTCAACCCAACAGTCCCGTTATTGGGTATATACCCAAAAGAAAATAAATTGTTCTAACAAAAAGACACCTGCAGTAGTATGTTTATCACAGCACTGTTCACAATAGCAAAAACATGGAATCGACCTAGATGCTCATCAGTGGATTGGATAAAGAAAATGCACATATACACCACAGAATACAACACAGCCATAAACAAGAATGAAATAACGTCCTTTGCAGCAACACGGATGCAGCTAGATGCTATTTTCTTATATGCTTCAATGCAGAAACAGAAAAGCAAAACCCACATATTTTCACTAGTAAGTGGGAGCAAAACAATCGATATACCTAGGCACAGAGGTGGGAAAAATAGACACTGGAGGTCGGGCACGGTGGATTATGCCTGTAATCCCAGCAGTTTGGGAGGCCGAGGTGGATGGATTGCTTAAGCTCAGGAGTTTGAGACCAGCCTGGACAACATGGCAAAACCCATCTTAAAAAAAAAAAAAAAAGACACTAGGAATTCTAAAGGAAGGGAAGGAAAGGGGAGGCAAGGTTGAAAAAATACGTATCAGGCACTGTGTTCACAGCCATTAGAAAGCAGTCAATCAACTCCTACCTGAAGCTGTGGGTTTCTCAGGTTTCTACTCTTTCTAACACTGGCTTCTTCAACTATTTGAGCCATCACATACCTTTTCCTTTGTTCCCTATTTGTTTAACTTTGTCAGAATTCATTTCTGTTGTTTGCACCCAAAAGCTCCAATTAATATATGTGACAATTATTGGAATAATTGTAGCATTTTCATTCTGAATTTTCTGACCTCTCTATGCCTGAAAGCCCTCATGAGTGTCCAGCAAGGGCTTGGGTGGGAAAAGTAATAAATAGAATGGAAGGATAAATAAAGGTAACTACGGGGAAGAACAGGACAAGAACAGACAGAAGAAGGGGTTAGAGGAAGGAATCAGTTGTGTGCCATTCAAAGTTAAACAAGGTACCAAATTTGTTTTTCTTTCATGAGACGGTCTGCATTCTTTTGTTTTTTAAAGGGCTCTGTTGATCATCATCTTCACACTATAGCAGGGGGTATGGATTCCGTGCAGTGGTCCAACGGCCTCATCAAGCTGACTTCCAGAACTATGTTTGCAGCATTTACCTTAAGTCAGTATCAGGAATGCTCACCTCCCTCAGCACAGGGTCTTCACGCTTACAGTAGGCTTTCTGTACATATTCGTCGAGGTCTGTAAAAATGGATGGATACATACACATTTGTGAGGATACAGTTCTTGAAATTGCTACACTGGAAGGAAACTATCTTCAAGGTAGTGATACCATTAACAGTGCAGTGGAAAGGTTTTTATGATGGTTCCATCCCCACCTCCTGGTGTTCATGAGCTTGTGTGATCTCCTTCTATTAAGTGTAGGGGGGATTGTGACTTGCTTCTTACATGTAGAATGCAGCAAAGATGTTGGGAATGTACATGATTACATGACATCATACTGGAGTCTGTCCCTTACTAGCTTTGGGGAGGCAAGTGGTCATGTTGGGGAGCCCCTTGTGGCAAGGAATCGTGGAAAGCCTCAAGGAGCTGGGGCAGCAGCAACTGTGGACTTTGGTCCTATAGTGGCAAGAAAATAAATTCTGATAACAAACTAATTAATCGTGGAAGCTAATCTTCCCCTATCCCAGCCTTAGATGGGACCACAGCCCCAGTTGACACCTGAATTACAGCCTTGTGAGACTCTGAGTACCTTGGTAAGCTGTGCACAGGATGTTGTTTTAAGCTTGTAGGTTTCTGGTAATATTGCTGCTTAGTGATATATAACTAAGACAGGTAGCTTATGTCATAGATGAGAGCCTGGATTTGGAAAGCCATTGGAACCAGTAGAACCTCACCTCTGCCCTTTCATACTTGTATCCTTGGATGACTTGGCTAACCTAAGGCTGAGTTTCACAATAGGCATAAAGCAAGGTTACTCAGCCTTGGCACTATTGACTTTTGGAGCTGGGAGACCATCCTATGCATTGTAGGATGTTTAGCGGCATTCCTGGCCTCTACCCCTTAAAGCATCTCCCGCCCCCAATCTGTGACCACCAAAAATGTCTCCAGACATTGCCAAATGTTGCAAGAGGGGTAGGGGAGGGGAAAAATTGCCCCCAGTTGAGAATTACTGGTATCAAGATTAGTGAGGATGATAATAGTGATTACACCTAGTTAATGGTATCATTAAACCATAAAATGGAAGCTTTAAATAAGATGGTTAGACAAAAACTTGAAAATCTTAATAATAATAACGTAAAGAATGTAATACATTAAGGATACTTTTGTTCTCTTAGTTGCATCTATTGCCAGAACGTGGATTTTGGCTGACACCAAATCTGTCAAGAAGGGAGTAATATCTCCTAGCATGAGATGAGAGAAAATGCTAGCTCTTGAGAGTGAGAGAGGAAAATAAGAGATGGAAAGAGGAGAGGAAGGTCAAAGCCCTAGGTGGAGCCATATGCTTCATGGAACTTCCGGGTTCACCAAAGGTTGTACATATAAGGTTTAGAGTGGGAGGCTGAGAGCAGAATCACATGGGCATTAGCAGTCATGTGGATGAGACTAGGACTCCCGAAGGCTCCGTTAGGCTGTGACATTGGGATTGGGAGCAACCCTGCTCAGATCTTGAGAGATGTGGGACCCCAAGTGATGCCTGGATTGCATTGCTGTTATTGCCATCATCATTATGACTACAGGTATAGATGGGTACCAGCTAGAAGCATTTCTTTTTCAAATCCAGACATTTTAAATTTTTTCCCAATTGAAAGCAAAAGTGTTACAGTTTCATATAACAGTGAGTGAATGAGCACCTTGGGCCTCCTGGTAATTAGTTTAAGCTGGAACATCACTGGCCAAAAATAATAAAAAGAGAATCTCCTATCTCTTTATAAAGCTTGGTTATAGTGATTGGACACAGTTTAAACCAGCCTAAAATGATGGAAAATTCCCTGAAGGAAGAAAACAGAACGCAGAAGAAGCTATCCTTGCTAATCAGTCACAAAATAGTTCAGTAAGTGCCTCTTGTATCGATTTCTTTTTCTTTCTCTTCTCCCTTTTCCTTTGTCCTAATTTCCATCCTTGGCCTCTTCA
Source organism: Homo sapiens (assembly GCF_000001405.40). Classification (NCBI taxonomy): domain Eukaryota; kingdom Metazoa; phylum Chordata; class Mammalia; order Primates; family Hominidae; genus Homo; species Homo sapiens. Next base: position 55,824,865 of record NC_000020.11, on the reverse strand, counting down.
CCCTGCACAATATTTGGCCTTGTAACAAAAAGGCCCAAAATGCACATAAGTCCACAAAATCGATAGTGGAGGTTCACTGAATACAACAGGTGCATTTTGAACACTGTCTTTACAATAATGCCTCCAGGAGATGAAATAGCAACAGTTAGCAGTTGCACCGTTTTCACACGTGTGGAAATACTTCTAAATGCTGCATGTGCACTAACCCGTCTGACTTCAGAGAAGCCCTCTCATGTTCAAGGTGATATTCTTATGCTCACTTGTGAGATAATAACAGTACTACTAATGAACATCTAGTGGCATGTTCTGGTTTGAAGACCCTACACTGATTAACTCATGTAACAACTCTCTGAAATTGTTGTTACACAATTTTAAAGCTGGGAAAACTGAGGCATGGAGGGGTGAAGGGGCTTGCCAGGATTTTTCAGGTAATGTTGTCCTAGTGTAACTGCCATCCCTACCTTCACCTTCCCATCTGGTAGACAGCTCCATGCAAACCTGGAAGGTTTTAGCTATGTCTACAGTTAACTCAGAACAAAGCAAGCAGTAGAAGTGGTGTGTGCATGTGAGTGTGTGTGTTCCTCCAAAATGAAAGATGAATATTTAGGTAAGACTAGATTCCATTTATTTTGTAGTACATCTTCAGCCCAAATAGAATTGCTCACTGCATTTTTGTATGCTGTAGTAGATGTTGAAGTTTGTTTCCAGTAATGAAATACTGCAATTATATATACTTGTGAGACAAGTCACAAACCAAGAGATAAGCATTACTGTTTAGATACCGACAAAAGAGTGTAACTGCTAAAAGCTAGGTTCCATTTTAGCCCTGTCTAATTAAGCCTGGAATGTGTGTAAAATCACTAGCATAGAGTTTTGCAAAGTACATTATCAGGCTCTGGTTTGAGCTACACTTTGGCAGCTTGTGACAGCCAAAGACAATTCTGTGGTATTTGTATTGTTAAATGTGATCTCCAGCAGCATCTGTAAAGTAAAGCAATAAATAGCTCGTGTCTTTTGTTGGAGGCAGCAAATGACTGTTTGCATGGGTAGTAAAATCACAAAAGTTGCAGGTACATCAGGAAGCAGCAGTGGTGTCAGATGGAAAGGATTCATACCTGAATGAGCAATTAGCATCAGACTTATCTGAGGGGAGATGACATATGCACATCCACTTTATTCTGAAGAAGCAGAATTTTTATTTCCATTGCTAAAGATCTCTCTCAATCAGGGGTTCTTAACCTTTTAGAGGACACCAAGTCCTCTGAGATTTTCGTGAAAAGTGTGATCTCATAACCAGAATAATCTACATAGGCATATGTGATTGAAGGAGAGTTTTTATTCCTTGTGTCTCCCCTACCCATTTTTCTGCCTTTTAAAAAATCATTCAAGCAGGAAGATGTATCCTGGGCTTCTCTGTCTCATAGAAGGCTTCACTTTCAAAAGGCTAAGTGTGTAAGAAGAGGAACAGAGTTCATGGGGTTAGTCTTAGGATTTGCTCAAATCAGGGATGGCTCTTCTCTTTGCATCAGACTGTACCTTGAAAGAACTACAGAGAGAAATGGTAGATTCCAAGGAGACAGAGAAAATTACAGAGTGCCACATTCAGATTACTCCCTACATAAGTTACATACAGACATTACAGAGCTCTTCTCATGGTGACCTTCTTCAGTGGTCTGTGCAGTTCTGCTCACAGGGGTTGGGTGACTGGCTTGTCCATGGGAATGAACACAAAGTCCATAGCCAAGACCCTGGAGATTGGCCAAGACTGATGGGCCCAAGGGATTGGGATTGGGTGGAGTATTCTACCTGCTTGTATACTTTTGAGGCATATAGTGACATCTAATCTTGAATCTCATGTCTCATTGGAGATATTGAGGAGCCAGTTTCTCTGTTAGTAGAAATTAAAAATGGAGAAAGCAAAATTTATGAACAAAGGGATATTGAACAGGGACACTAGTGATATCTTTTTCTTTGCTGCAGATATACTGCCCAGGAAGGGACTGACAGTTGCTAGTATAATTTATTTTGGTAATAATCATAGTCTGTTCATCCCATCTGCTTCTCTTAAGAAGGGAGAATGGGATACAGTGATGGCAAAGGGTGTGGAGGATCATGAAGGAAGTTTCTCAGGACCTTCCTCGTAAGGAGGAAGGAGCAAGAAGACATGTGTAGGATGATGTAGAGTTCTCTGCAAGAAACAAGGACATGAAAGGAGTTTTTCACAGGTTCTGCACATATGCAACACATGCACATACATTTGCGACAGACATATACTCAAAACACACACACCACACACACACACACACACTCACAACATATTGAGAGAGAGAGAGAGAGAGAGGAGAGAGAGAGAAGCTGGGACCTAGACCCAGAGTGAACTTCTGGGCAGCATGCTAAGGCTTTGTAAAGGCTAAGCCATAGCTTACACATGCATAAAAGCACACAGATACAGGGCACCCATGCTCCAGAATTCATTTGCTCTGAACTAGTTACAATTTGTAGAATTCGTCCTTTTAGGTTAGGCCTCATGTATATTGTTCCCTAGGTCCACAATGCCTACTCCCAGCCCCAACTCTTCTTTATTCAGCCAATTCCCACCGTTCTTCAAAACTCAGCTCAGGCAACAGTTCCTTCAGGAATTCCATCCTACACACCAGGGCAATTTGGGTAAGTCTCTTCCATGATCTTGTAACCCACGTGCTGACATTTTAAGTTGTGCTGTACTAATTGGTTTAATTGTTTCTTCCTCCTCTGAATTCCAAGTTTCTTGAGGGCAGAGACCATATTTCATTCAACTTTGCTTTGCATAGTGTCCTTCATAATATATGCATGCATAGGTGAAGGAATTGATGACTGAAGAAAACCAGGATGATGAATATTGGATGAAGAGTTTGAATGAAGTAGAAAAACTCAGTAATAGCTGGCTTTTGAAAAGAATACCTTTCAACAAAAGTGACTGATTATGTTAACAAATGTAGGGGAAATAAAAATATGAATCAGGAGCTTGCATTTGGCCCTAGCAGTTGCAGAACTGCCAGTGGTTACCAAGGGGCAAGATGTATAATGGTTAGGAACTTAGGATGATGAACCAAAAAGTCAAGGGTTCAAACCCAGGCTCTCACCCTTACTAACCATATGAGCATGAGACAGTTATTGAACTTTTCTGAATCTTCATTTCCTAATCTGTTAAAAGAGAGAGAGAAGTAGCCACCTTTTTTAGGTGCTGTAAAGATTCAATATAAAGATTGCAAGTACAGTGGTTGGCTGGGTACCTGACACATGGCTCGGGTAACTCATAAATGTTAACATTGTATAGGTCTATTTGAAGGCAGTTGCATTTGCTTGGGACTTTTTTCCCAAGCTGAAATTTTAGGATAGTACTGGAGTATCAGCTCATAACAGTGCTATCCTATGTTCTGCTTAACAAATGCTTAATAAATTAATTTTATGGTCTCTATTTTGAGTAAAAGCATGCAATTTTCATTCATTAGTATTCATGAGCATGGTCCATAGTAATAACATTTCATAAACATTAAAGCATTTAATGTCTACACATGCCACTTTTATCTATCTATCTATATCTATCATCTATCAACTATGTACATACACACAGACATCAATAAAGTTTGGGTGGTAATTATCACTAGCAATATTTTCTACTCATGAATTTTTTTTTCAGCAAGGGTCATCAAACTTATTTACAAAGAAGCATGCTAAGAACATTCATGTTTTTTCTATTCTGGAATTTATGACCACAGTCAGACTTCTGAATCCTTATTTATTTGAACTTTGCATGTCATAGGAGGTCTAGAAACTTCACTAGCTAGAAATGAATATAAACAACTGAATTATGGCAATAGTGGCATAATTATAGTATGACAGTAGTAGGGAATTAATCTTAGGACAACCACCTAAGGCATTGGAAAACACTGGCCAACCGCACTGTCTTTAGTGATGGACTGAGGTAGGTTCAATTAATTGCATTAGCAGCTTTAGAAGAGCAGAGAGGCCTGATAGAGTCCAAAAATAATAATATAAAAATTGTTTTCAGCTAGATTGAATCTGAAAACAAGCAGCGAGGTTGCCAGAATTCCCAAATTCTTATCTTGACTTTGATCTTAAAAGCTGTATGACTTTTGGACCTAAGTTTCTTCAATATGTACAGTAGTCATCACAGGAGGAAAGGCATTAAAAACACGGGGTCTATGAATATTCATCAAAAGGTTTGTGAACTTCTTGTAGCTTTTCTGTGTAGATGCATTTTTCTGGATCTACTATACTACTGTCATACTATAATTATGCCACTATTGCCATAATTCAGTTTTTTATATTCATTTTTAGCTAGTGAAGTACATTAACATGAATGTTCTAGACCTCCTATGACATGCAAATATTTTCATCAGATTTGTGGAGGGGTTCATGAATACCAACATAATCAATAATCACTCCCCATACTGTACAATGTAAAATCTTAAGGATTTTAAGATTTCCTCTCAGATCCAAGATTTTGTGATTCTCTTAAGGTTGCTACTAAAACCTAATAATATAAAAATATAAAATACATAAGAAGTTTTGTAAAGATAATATCTTAGTTCTAATTCTTTTTTAGGAAAATAGCAGGGTGTGACAGTCAAAGCTCAGTGGATCCAGTAAAATGTATTTTAAACTGTGTTTAAATAATTGTTATGGTATGTTAATAGTTGTACCTGGAAAAATTGATTCTATGTTCAAATACATTTTGAAAAAATATACCATATCTCTCTCAGAGATTCATAGAGCACATTGGCATACAGTAAGCTCTAAGCAATTCTGCACTAAAGAACCTGTTTACATTTTTTAAACAGTGTATTCTAATTTACTTGATTGTAGAGCTTCTTATCCAAAAAAACACCTGTTTACATCTTAAAAGATACTTCTGAGGAACGCATTATTCGTAACGCTGAGCTAGTCCATTTCAGCTTTAATTCTTCAAGGAACGTTGGTGGCCTTCACTGGGTTCTTTGAGGTCTGATAATGTTTACTTAATGACATACATGCATTTCAGTTCCCATTTCATGATGTTTTAGGAAGACTTAAATAAGTGTAGGAAAAAGCGACCCATTTTCAAATGACAGAAGGGAGGTATAATTAGAAAGAGCTGAATATTGTGCTAGATAAATTCAAAAACGCAAAGACAAGGGAGGGTGTGTGTAGAGTTGTGGGTATCTGTGATTAGAGGTTCATTCATTCATGCATTTGTTTATTTATTCATTCTAGAATAATTATTGAAAATCTTCTAAGTAATGGGTGTCACAAGAGTTCCTGATAATCTGAAGAAGAGTGGGAAACAATGTCTTTAATTTTATTTTTTATTATTTTTTTTTTGAGACAGAGTCTCGCTCTGTCACCCAGGCTGGAGAGCAGTGGTGCAACCTCAGCTCACTGCAAGCTCCGCCTCCTGGGTTCACGCCATTCTCCTGCCTCAGCCTCCCATGTAGCTGGGACTACAGGCGCCCGCCACCGTGCCCGGCTAATTTTTTGTATTTTTAGTTTCACCGTGTTAGCCAGGATGGTCTCGATCTCCTGACCTCGTGATCTGCCCGCCTCGGCCTCCCAAAGTGCTGGGATTACAGGCGTGAGCCACTGCACCCAGCCCAATGTCTTACCTTAAGGTACTCAAAATCAAATGATATTGGGAGACAGGAAATAATTATAATACAGAGCGATGCATTCTAGGGTAGATGTAGATACTATTGCTCCAAAAACACAGAAAAAGGAGCCAGTTATTTTGGCAGATCTGAAGAAGGCTTCAAGGACCAGATGATATTTGAATTGGCTTTAATAGTCACAGTTGAATAAATTAAGTCTATCCTTTAATAGGAAGTCTTAAAATGAGTATAGGAAAAAACATAGCAGGAAGATATGCTGCTTAATAAAGTGAAAATTATACCAGTTTAGATTTTGGCTAATGGCATTTTGGCTGCAGTGAAGAAAACCCTCAACTCAAACCAGCTTAAACAATAAAGAAGTATGTTATCTCTCTAATAACAACTTCAGAAGGAGGCCTTCCGGGTCATTAACTTATTTCTTGCTCCATTTTGCCATCTTCATTCTGAATTTATTCTCAGCAAGATGACTGCAGAAGTTAACAGCCTTTACATCTACAGAAACAACGTCTAGAAGCAAAGAGACTTTTTTTCCCCCTTTGGTTCCTCCTTAGGAGAGAGAAAACCCTTCTTATGACTCTCTTAAGAGATGTCACTTTATGTTTTATTGGCCAGATATGAGTCACATGACAAGTCCTAAGCCAATCTCTGGCAAGGGGATCTTTACACCAATAAAGTCCACCCAGAATGCTGAGAGTGATGTCATCTTACCGAAGGCACATGAGTTGCACAGAAAAGAGGTGCATACCTGTTTAAAGTGAGAATCCTATCAGGAACTGAGAAGGGGTGAGGAGATGCTCAGCAGGCAATCTATAGCCTGTTCCAAGAGGGCTGTCAAAGAACGTTGCCATCTCCAAGATGCTTTTTCAGTAGCAGATATATTGTCTTTCCCCATTTCAGGGCCAAGACTAACACTCTGAACATAGGTAGTTGCCTGGGGTGCTTCTCCATAATCTTATCTATATTTTAATCCAAAAGAGCATGTATTATTGTAATTTAAAACACTATGCTTTACAATATCTCCCACACTGGCATACCATAAGGTGTTTTGGAACTATTCAAATTAACATCTCCCTTGAGGCTTTGTTCTCTACTAGAATTTAACATGGCCCTCTCTAAGAACATGAACTATAATATTAGAGACATGCTCAAAGTCTCATACAGTGTGCTATGCAAAATGACATTTGTAGAAAATTATTAGATGATGATGACGATTTGACAGTAATTGTCATTTCAGCTAATGACAAACATAAAAAGGTGATGAACTAATTCAAATAAAGAGTTGCAGTTTCTTTATTGTACATAGAGAAAGAAAAAGCCCTACCACATCAGTCTTTTTGTTTTCATATTGATTAACATTAATTGCTTAAAACTCTGATGCCAGCAATATATTACTGATTTATGGTTTGTGAAAGCTATTGACATATGTGGAGATGCAATAAGGAATCTTTTTAGGTGTTATTATAATAGATTGCAGTGGGGATTATCTAATTATTGAGTAAGCACTAGTGATGAACTTTGGTAATAAAAATACCGTATGCTCACCAGGGGGCTGTGGGACTAAAATAATGGCTGACTCTGACAGCATTAATTAGTTTTTCTTTTTCTTTGCTCTTAAGTAGAAATTCTCACTAGTGTTCTTTTGGAAGCAAAGAATGAGTGAGTTGAATAACTGTTTTCCACTCTTTCACCTCAATTTTCCTTTTTTCAATTATTAGTCATTTGAATTTCCAATTGAATTATTCCATTTTTCTTTCTAAATAATTCATTTTTAAGCATCCAACAATAGAAATGACAAAACCTCAATGTAAGGCATAATGTCATTAACTATTTTGCACCCGTAACTTATATTTTTAATACATTTACTGTATGTCAGGGCTTTGACAATTATCATCCACAAGCCCTAGTGGACCCTGAGTATGACCAATTCCCCATGTTCAGTCCCCATAATTGTAATACCTAGTATGGCTTCTGTTTTCCTAACTGGTTCCTGGCTGATGTTATGTATTGTTATTTTACTCACATTTCAGGTAAAGAAACCCACAGAAAGAAAAATTACAGCTAATGGATAGAAACCGTGTTTGAACTAAGGCAGTTTGACTTCAGTGTCAAACTCCTTTACACCCCATTGTTCTTCTGGATCTTAAATTTAGAGGTCTGAATTGGGAGAGATCATAGAAAATGTTTAATACAACTAATATTGTACTCTGTGGTGAATAACTGAAAGCTTTTCCTCTAATATCAGCACAAGATAAGGATGCCCACTCTCAACACTTATATTCAACATAGTACTGGAAATCCTAGCCAGAGCAGTCAGTCAAGGAAAAGAAAGAAAAGGCATCCAGCAAAATTCTCCTTGTAGGTGACATAATCTTATGTATGGGAAGCTCTATAATCTACAAAAAAACCCTCTTAGAATTAATAAACAAATTCAATTAAATTGCAGGATATGAAATCAACCTGCAAAAATCAATTATATTTCTATACACTAACAGTGAACAATACAAAAAGGAAGTTGAGATAATACCATTTATAATATCAACAAATAACCATAATAAGCTTAATCAAGGATGTAGAAGATTTATACATTGAAAACTACACAAAATTGATTAAAAATAATTAAAAAGACACAAATAAATGGAAAGACATCTAATCCATACTATGTAAAGCGACCTACAGATTCCATACTATCCTCATCAAAATCCCAATGGCAGTTTTTCAGAAGTAGTAAAAACAATCATAAAATTTCTATGGAACTCCCAAAGACCAAGAATAGACAAAGCAATGTTGATAAAGAAGAATAAAGCTATAGACATCACAATGATTGACTTCTAAATATATAATAAAGCTATTCTTATTAGAAGACCATGGTCCTGGCATAAAGACAGACATACAGACCAGTGGAACAGGATAAAGAGGCAAGAAATACATACACATATGATCAACTGATCTTCAATGAGAGTGTCAAGATTAGCAGTGGAGAAAGGACAGTCTTTTTAACAAATGGTGTTGGAAATACTGGATTATCCACATGCAAAAGAATAAAATTGAATCCTTATCTTACACCATATACAAAAATCAACTCAAAATAATGACTTAAATGTAAGATCTGAAACTATAAAACTCCTAGAAGAAAATAGGAGAGAACCTCCTTGAAAATGTCTCATTTTCTAGAAGGAAATTTTAGAAATTTAAAATTTTAGAAAAGTGAAATACTTGCCAAACTAGGTCACACCCAAAGAGCAGTATTTTCTTTTATTCATTCAATTCATTGAACAAATGTTGATCCAGGGTTTTCTATTTTGGGTACTTGCAATACAGTAATGGAACAAACTAAGTTTCTACTCTCATGGAGTTAGGATATTTATAAGTTAAGAGACCGAAAATAGTAAATTATACACGCCCCAAAGAAGGAGATGTATGCAACGCAGTGGGGGTGGCTTAAAAATTTGGTAGAGTGATCTAGATAGACCTCGTTAAGAAGGTGACATCTAGGTATTTTATTCTCTTTGAAGCAATTGTGATTGGGAGTTCACTCATTATTTGGCTCTCTGTTTGTCTGTTCTTGGTGTATAGGAATGCTTGTGATTTTTGCACATTGATTTTGTATCCTGAGACTTTGCTGTAGTTGCTTATCAGCTTAAGGAGATTCCGGGCTGAGACGATGGGGTTTTCTGAATATGCAATCATGTCATCTGCAAACAGGGACAGTTAGACTTCCTCTTTTCCTAACTGAATACCCTTTATTTCTTTCTCTTGCCTGATTGCCCTGGCCAGAACTTCCAACAATATGTTGAATAGAAGTGGTGAGAGAGGGCATCCCTGTCTTGTGCCAGTTTTCAAAGGGAATGCTTCCAGTTTTTGCCCATTCAGTATGATATTGGCTGTGGGTTTGTCATAAATAGCTCTTATTATTTTGAGATACGTCCCATCAATACTAGTTTATTGAGAGTTTTTAGCATGAAGGGCTCTTGATTTTGTCAAAGGCCTTTTCTAGGAATCCGACTTACAAGGGATGTGAAGGACCTCTTCAAGGAGAACTACAAACTACTGCTCAACAAAATAAAAGAGGACACAAACAAATGGAAGAACATTCCATGCTTATGGGTAGGAAGAATCAATATCGTCAAACTGGCCATACTGCCCAAGGTAATTTATAGATTCAATGTCATCCCCATCAAGCTACCAATGACTTTCTTCACAGAAGTGGAAAAAACTACTTTAATCTGGAACCAAAAAATAGTCTGTATTGCCAAGACAATCCTAAGCAAAAATAACAATGCTGGAGGCATCATGCTACCTGACTTCAAACTACAGTGCAAGGCTACAGTAACCAAAACAGCATGGTACTGGCACCAAAACAGCTATAGAGCAATGGAATAGAACAGAGCCCTCAGAAATAATACCACACATCTGCAACCATCTGATCTTTGACAAACCTGACAAAAACAAGAAATGGGGAAATGATTCCCTATTTAATAAATGGTGCTGGAAAAACTGGCTAGCCATATGTAGAAAGCTGAAACTGGATCCCTTCCTTACACCTTATACAAAAATTAATTCAAGATGGATTAAAGACTTAAATGTTAGACCTAAAACCATAAAAACCCTAGAAGAAAACCTAGGCAATACCATTCAGGACATAGGCATGGGCAAGGACTTCATGACTAAAACACTAAAAGCAATGGCAACAAAAGCCAAAATAGACAAATGGGATCTAATTAAACTAAAGAGCTTCTGCACAGCAAAAGAAACTACCATCAGAGTGAACAAGCAACCTACAGAATGGGAGAAAATTTTTACAGTCTACCCATCTGACAAAGGGCTAATATCCGGAATCTACAAGGAACTTAAACAAATTTACAAGAAAAAATCAAACAACCCCATCAAAAAGTAGGTGAAGGATATAAACAGATGCTTCTCAAAAGAAGACATTTATGCAGCCAAAAGACACATGAAAAAATGCTCATCCTCACTGGCCATCAGAGAAATACAAATCAAATCCACAATGAGATACCATCTCACACTAGTTAGAATGGCGATCATTAAAAAGTCAGGAAACAACAGGTGCTGGAGAGGATGTGGAGAAATAGGAACGCTTTTACACTGTTGGTGGGACTGTAAACTAGTTCAACCATTGTGGAAGACAGTGTGGCAATTCCTCAAGGATCTAGAACTAGAAATACCATTTGACCCAGCCATCCCATTACTGGGTATATACTCAAAGGATTATAAATCATGCTGCTATAAAGACACATGCACACGTATGTTTATTGTGACACTGTTCACAATAGCAAAGACTTGGAACCAACTCAAATGTCCATCAATGATAGACTGGATTAAGAAAATATGGCACATACACACCATGGAATACTATGCAGCCATAAAAAGGATGAGGTCATGTCCTTTGTAGGGACATGGATGAAGCTGGAAACCATCATTCTGAGCAAACTATCGCAAGGGCAGAAAACCAAACACTGCATGTTCTCACTCATAGGTGGGAATTGAACAATGAGAACACATGGACACAGGGTGGGGGACATCACACACTGGGGCCTGTCATGGGGTGGGTTGGGGGGGAAGGATAGCATTAGGAGATGTACCTAATGTAAATGATGGGTTAACGGGTGCAGCACACCAACATGGCACATGTATACATATGTAACAAACCTGCACATTGTGTACATGTACCCTAGAACTTAAAGTATAATAATAAAAAAAAAAGAAGGTGACGTCTGAGTAAAGACTTAAAGTTGTTGATGAGGTAAGGTGAGATGGTATCTGGGGACAGAGCATGCCAGGCATGGGAAGATAAGCATAAAGGCTTAGGAAGAAACATGTTTGCCAGGATAAGACACATCTAGGAGGATGGTGTGGCTGGATGGAGGGAGAGTATAGGAGATGAGGTCAAAGAGGAACTGAGCTCTGGAGGCCACCATAAAGACTCAGAACTTTCTTTCAGGTTGGCAACTATTGCACAGTTGAGCAGAATAGTAAGAAGGTCTGACCAACGTGTACAAATTTTTTAATATATGTTGTTTCATTTTATTTTTAAACTATTTTTTATCCCATGCTCTAACCTGTTCCCAGAGTTCCAGATTTATATACACAACTGCTTTATATGCATCATTAGACATCTCAAACTTAACATGACAAAATCAGAAATCTTGATTCTCCACCAAATATGCTTCTTCCCCAAACATCTCCCCTTCTCGGTAAATGACAACTTATCCCTTTCCATTGATTAGGCCTAAACCCCAAGGGATTTTTACCTACCTCTTTCCTCATTGCCTATTTGTTAGTTAATCCCATTGACTATGCTAGAAAATTAGCTAATCCCATTAGCTACATTAAAAATTAATTCAAAACCCCACTGCTTACACATGTACTGCTTTCATCCTGCCACTTGCATCTCTCTCTTGGACTCTGACCATCATCTCCTAACAGATCTTGCTGCTTATACTTTTGCCTACCTGCAGCCTACATCTCATCATAATAGCTGGAGTGAAACTTTTAAAATGTAAGTCAGATTATGTTGTTACTCTGCTTAAAACTCTTCACTAGCTCCTTATTTCCACCAAAATAAAATCTAGTGTCTTTGCAACGGCTGATATGGCCCTATGTGGCCTTGCCCTTTGCCATTTCTCTGACCACATGTCCTACTAATCTCCCTTTTATTTGTGTTACTGCAGTCACACTTGACTCCTTGCTGTTCTTTAAACACATTTAGCACAGCTTTTCATCAAAACATTTGTTTTCGTCATTTCCTGTACTTAGAAGCCTTTTCTCTCGCATATCTCCCACTTCTTTGTCATATTTTATGTGAGTGGGCGGGAAAAACATCTTATCTGATATAGTCTTAGTTATTGCTCCATGTACAGCTCTGATAAAAGTGCTTAAACGTAGAAGTGTGGTTCAATAAATAAGTTGTTGGATTGATGGATGGATAGATGGATTAATGAATGGATGAGTGGGGTAGATGGTTGGATTGATAGATGGATATGTGGATGGATGGGTGGATGGATGGATGGATGGGTGGGTGGATGAATGGATGAGTGGATAGATGGGTGAATGGAAGGGTGGAAAATAAACTGGTAATGTTTACATAATTCATCGGGAAGCCATCCATATGAAGAAAATGGCCTGAGATGATGATGATGAAGAGAGAGAGTCACCTCATCTGTTTACTTATTATTGCCTGAATTAGTTTAAATTTAGTATTGTTACTTACCTGAAAACTAAGTAGAGTCTAAGACTATACCACCTCATAAGATTATCTTTATTCACTTGACAAATATGTATTGAGAACTTTCTATGCCAGCCACCATTCCAAACACTGAGAACAGAAAAATAAATAAAACAAGATCTTTGCTTATGGAGCTCACAGCTTAGAGGAAAAGACAGGCTAATATATAAATAACATAGTTTTAGATAGTAATATGTGCTATTAAGAGAAACCAGTGAGTAGGAGAGGATAGGGAACCATAAAGGTTGTTCTCTGAGGATACTTAGAGAAAGCCTATCAAAAAGGAAGGATATCCCAGAATAGGCAGATCCACAGAGACAGAGAACAGATCATTGATTTCTAGGGGCTGGTGGGAGGTAGGAATGAGGAGGGACTGCTTAGTGAGCACGGGTTTTCTTTTGGGGTGATGAAAATGTTTTGGAAGTAGAGGTGTTTGTTGCACAACACTGTGAATGTACTAAGTACCACTGAATTGTTCACTTTAAAATGCTTAATTTTATGTTAATTTCATCACAATAAAACTAAAAATGAAAAAAGGGCAAAATGTTAAAGCAGAGATTTGAAGGATGAGAAGCTGAGCCAGGTAAGAGCATTTGAATGTTGCAGACTGCTCCAGGTAGAGGAAAGAGAAAATTGATAGATTCTGAATTGGGGCAGGTTGGCAGGCTTGGGTTACTTTCAGAAGTCTAGGGATAGAAGCAGTTAAAATGTAGAGATTGAAAAGAGAGTGGCAGGAGAGGAGCCCAAAAGAATGGCTATGCTCAACTGGCCAGTCCCTTGTGCCCAAATATGGAGCAGTGAACTACCCATCTCGTGGTTTTCTCAGGCAAATGCAAAAGAGATAGAGCAGCTAGCAAGTGATTATAATGTGGGGCAATGGGAGCTAAACTAGACAAGAATGGAAGTGAGAACATGAAAATGTAAGATAAAAAAGTAGCAGGGTGGATAGATTGGATGTCTGTATTAGTCCTTTCTCAGGCTGCTATAAAGAACTGCCCAAGACTGGGTGATTTACAAAGAAAAGAGGTTTAATTGGCTTACAGTTCCACAGGGCTGGGGAGGCCTCATGAAACTTACAGTCATGGTGGAAGGGGAAGCAAACATGTCCTTCTTCACATGGTGGCAGGAGAGAGAAGAATGAGAGCCAAGCAAAAGGGGAAGCCCTTTATAAAACCGTCAGATCTTGTGAGAACTTACTCATTATCACAAAAATAGCATGGGGGAAACTGCCCCCATGATTCAGTTATCTCCCACCGGGTCTCTTCTACCACATGTAGGGATTATGGAAACTACAATTCAAGATGAGATTTGAGTGGAGACACAGCCAAACCATATCAGTGTCTCAGTAGGGTTGGAGAATTGTTGCATAGAAATACTAGAGACAGACTGAACTGGAAAGATAGATTGGTGGTGGTTAGCAAGTGGGACCCATGGAATTAAGATTTTACTTGTTTTGAGGTGGTATGGCTCTGAGTGATGCAAAGTTAATAGTTAATTGTATAAGTGCAAGACTGAGGTCAGCTAGAGGAAACACTGTGGTATGTGTGATTTCAGATTATTAGCCTATGTGGTTGTTTAAGGTCCCAAGGGAACTGATGGGAGAAATGAAAATGCAGGCCTCTGGGCCACAGTCTTCACTGAATGATGGGGGATGCCATATTTCTAAGAGATGGTAACAAGGATGAATAGGGGGTTGCATCTTAGATGGTGTTTACTTCATGGAGGAAGGTGGAAGAAATTGTTTTGAGGGAGCTGTGAAGAGCTAGAAGGATACCTGCCTTACTCACAGGCCTGGTAGCACCTGAGATGTGCAGGACAAGTTGTATTTTGATTACAGTCAAGTTTGTTAGAGCCAGAAGAAAAAGAGAACATTCCAAGAAGAGATGGAGAGTCAGGGAGATTTTTCTGATGACAGACCATGAGTTCCAGTGTAGGACAGGAGTTGGAAGTTGCAGATTGGACCATATCAGAGCATGCACCCACCCTCCGGGATAAAATGAAGGATGCATGGAGATGCTTGGACTTTGATTAATAACTGGTATAAAAGGGAAGTAAAATAGGTCATAATAGGTCTGTGCTATTACAACCACGAAGTTTGGCTTGGCTTCCTGGCACTTTGTGGGACTGAGGCTAAAGGTATATGGTGGGCAGCTGGGTTATGGGGAGCTGCAGAGATAAAGATGAACATTCCTAAACTGCTTCTCTGAAGAAAAAACAACCAACTTTCAACTAAAACTCAGTAGGAATATTCAGACATTCTTGATAGCATCTCATCCAGTAATAGTTTATGGTAAACATCATCAATAGCTCCTCCTAGACGAAAAGTGGTAAATTTATTCATCTGTTAAAAAATAAATTGATTTCTCTGAATAGACCAGTAACAGGCTCTGAAATTGTGGCAATAATGAATAGCTTACCAACCAAAAAGAGTCCAGTACCAGACGGATTCACAGCCGAATTCTACCAGAGGTACAAGGAGGAACTGGTACCATTCCTTCTGAAACTATTCCAATCAATATAAAAACAGGGAATCCTCCCCAACTCATTTTATGAGGCCAGCATCATCCTGATACCAAAGCCTGGCAGAGACACAAACAAGAGAATTTTAGACCAATATCCTTGATGAACATTGATGCAAAAATCCTCACTAAAATACTGGCAAACCAAATCCAGCAGCACATCAAAAATCTTATCCACCATGATCAAGTGGGCTTCATTCTTGGGATGCAAGGCTGGATCAATATACGCAAATCAATAAATGTAATCCAGCATATAAACAGAACCAAAGACAAAAACCACATGATTATCTCAACAGATGCAGAAAAGGCCTTTGACAAAATTCAATAACCCTTCATGCTAAAAACTCTCAATAAATTAGGTATTGATGGGAAGTATCTCAAAATAATAAGCGCTATCTATGACAAACCCACAGCCAATATCATACTGAATGGTCAAAAACTGGAAGCATTCCCTTTGAAAACTGGCACAAGACAGGGATGACCTCTCTCACCACTCCTATTCAACATAGTGTTGGAAGTTCTGGCCAGGGCAGTTAGGCAGGAGAAGGAAATAAAAGGTATTCAATTAGGAAAAGAGGAAGTCAAATTGTCCCTGTTTGCAGATGACATGATTGTATATCTAGAAAACCCCATTGTCTCAGCCCAAAATCTCCTTAAGCTGATAAGCAACTACAGCAAAGTCTCAGGATACAAAATCAATATACAAAAATCACAAGCATTCTTATACACCAATAACAGACAGAGAGCCAAATCATGAGTGAACTCCCATTCACAATTGCTTCAAAGAGAATAAAATACCTAGGAATCCAACTTACAAGGGATGTGAAGGACCTCTTCAAGGAGAACTACAAACCACTGCTCAATGAAATAAAAGAGGATACAAACAAATGGAAGAACATTCCATGCTCATGGGTGGGAAGAATCAATATCATGAAAATCGCCATACTGTCCAAGGTAATTTATAGATTCAATGCCATCCCCATCAAGCTACCAATGACTTTCTTCACAGAATTGGAAAAAACTACTTTAAAGTTCATATGGAACCAAAAAAGTGCCCACATCGCCAAGTCAGTCCTAAGCCAAAAGAACAAAGCTGGAGGCATCATGCTACCTGACTTCAAACTATACTACAAGCCTACAGTAACCAAAACAGCATGGTACTGGTACCAAAACAGCATGGTACTGGTACCAAAACAGAGATATAGATCAATGGAACAGAACAGAATCCTCAGAAATAACACTGCATATCTACAACTATCTGATCTTTGACAAACCTGAGAAAAACAAGCAATGGGGAAAGGATTCCCTATTTAATAAATGGGGCTGGGAAAACTGGCTAGCCATATGTGGAAAGCTGAAACTGGATCCCTTCCTTTCACCTTATACAAAAATCAATTCAAGATGGATTAAAGACTTAAACCTTAGACCTAAAACCATAAAAACCCTAGAAGAAAACCTAGGCATTACCATTCAGGACATAGGCATGGGCAAGGACTTCATGTCTAAAACACCAAAAGGAATGGCAACAAAAGCCAAAATAGACAAATGGGATCTAATTAAACTGAAGAGCTTCTGCACAGCAAAAGAAACTACCAGCAGTGTGAACAGG
Source organism: Homo sapiens (assembly GCF_000001405.40). Lineage (NCBI taxonomy): Eukaryota > Metazoa > Chordata > Mammalia > Primates > Hominidae > Homo > Homo sapiens. Next base: position 55,807,846 of record NC_000020.11, on the reverse strand, counting down.
CAACCTACAAAATGGGAGAAAATTTTTGCAACCTACTCATCTGACAAAGGGCTAATATCCAGAATCTCCAATGAACTCAAACAAATTTACAAGAAAAAAACAAAAAACCCCATCAAAAAGTGGGCGAAGGACATGAACAGACACTTGTCAAAAGAAGACATTTATACAGCCAAAAAACACATGAAAAAATGCTCACCATCACTGGCCATCAGAGAAATGCAAATCAAAACCACAATGAGATACCATCTCACACCAGTTAGAATGGCAATCATTAAAAAGTCAGGAAACAACAGGTGCTGGAGAGGATGTGGAGAAATAGGAACACTTTTACACTGTTGGTGGGACTGTAAACTAGTTCAACCATTGTGGGAGTCAGTGTGGCGATTCCTCAGGGATCTAGAACTAGAAATACCATTTGACCCAGCCATCCCATTACTGGTTATATACCCAAAGGACTATAAATCATGCTGCTATAAAGACCCATGCACACGTATGTTTATTGCGGCACTATTCACAATAGCAAAGACTTGGAACCAACCCAAATGTCCAACAATGATAGACTGGATTAAGAAAATGTGGCACATATACACCATGGAATACTATGCAGCCATAAAAAAGGATGAGTTCATGTCCTTTGTAGGGACATGGATGAAATTGGAAATCATCATTCTCAGTAAAGTATCGCAAGAACAAAAAAACCAAACACCACATGTTCTCACTCATAGGTGGGAATTGAACAATGAGAACACATGGACACAGGAAGGGGAACATCACACTCTGGGGACTGTTGTGGGGTGGGGGGAGGGGGGAGGGATAGCTTTAGGAGATATACCTAATGCTAAATGACGAGTTAATGGGTGCAGCACACCAGCATGGCACATGTATACATATGTAACCTGCACATTGTGCACATGTACCCTAAAACTTAAAGTATAACAATAATAAAAAAAATTGATTTCTGGCAAAAGAGCCCTCTGTGGATTGATATTTCATGAACCGAGTTTTGTTTCCTGCTGTTGCTTCCAGCAGAGAAGCTAGGGGTGTACCCGGAGCAGGTGGTACTCATTAGAAGCTATTGCTGTTTCTTTCTTTCTACATTAAATATCTTGGAGAAGGCCTCCAATTGGCTCATCTTGGGTGCATGATGTCTCTGTGGTCAGAGGTGGGGTTTTGTGATGGGCAGGTGGCCTTGGGCATGAGGGGCAAGGGATTTCCCTGGAACATGGGAGTAGGCTAGGTAGTCTTCCTTTAAGAAGGGGAAGATGCTGGACAAACATGGCAATTCCTTTATGGATTATTATTCCAGATTATTAGTCTTCAATTTGACCACAAAGAAAGGGAGATTTAGAGAGTTAAAATGACTCAGATCCTCAGGATCAGAGATTGTCACCTATAAAACCTCACAGACCCTGGACCTCATCCCCACAGCTCTGAAAACATCTGCTAAGCGCCTACTAATAAATTATCAATCTGTGTGCTTATATTTTATCCTGAAGTTCACACAAATTCATCTTATGAGTTCACCCACATGACTCAGTGATCAAAATTACTTATGCATAGGTCCCAATGTCTGCTGTAGCTGATGCATCAAAAATCAGGACCCCTGGCGAGAAGTCGCAGTAGCAACAGAAACTTGGGTGTTGGATAAAAATCAACCAGGGCTCATCATGTGCACGGAGCTTGGGGGAATTTTAAACCTGGAAAAGATCCCTGACCTCAGTGCTTTGTCTATTCAACTTGTTCCTTCTCTTGGCGGAGAGGAAACACTATCAGTAGTGTACAATATATTTTTTCTGTTGTGTGAGTCAGATGTTATGAGAGTAGATGTCTAAGGGAATATTTTAAATAGGAAGAAATTGATGTTATTTACCTGGTATCATTTAATACATGAGTGGTTGAGTTCAAACCACATACTTGACATTCTGGTTTGCCATAAAGTATACTTTGCCCTTCATCTCACCTAAAATACATGTATAAATTGAGAGTTTTTATATTTAACCTTAAGCATTGCTCAGACAACAGATACTAATTTACGATCTCTAATGCTATATTTTCGAGTGTGATTCTGATAAGACCTGCTTTCCAAGTCGGCTGGGTAAACCCAAGATTACACTGAAAACAACCATTAGCTTGGTGCTGTTTTCATTTCTTGAAACAATTCTTGTCAACTGGGGCTAGCCCCAATATCAAATAACAGTTATAGAGGTGTGTAAAAAAATCCTCCCTTCTGAGTGAGTGAAATGAATCATTGCTCACTAATGGTGATATTTAGTGAGATTAATTTGAATTGCTTTCTCTTCTGGGTACATTTCACCATAGTCAGTATTTATCTTTTGAAGGTTTCCCAGTCATCCACAAGAGATGGATTAGACTGAATTAGTTTTGCAGGCAGAAATGTAAAAACAGAAATATAAATTGGAGTCTAATGACCATGGTTTGAACAACTTTATGTACAGCACTCTGAAGACCACTAAAATAAATGTTTCCTGTGTCAGACGGGGCTTGACTCTAATTTCTGAATTTTTTTTCTTTAAGCAAGGAGGTTGAGTGATTACATATGGCTTGTGTCAAGTCATGCTATCTTGGTGAAACAATCTGGGTGAAATAATTTTACAATTCAGGGACCTTGCATTGTATTTGACATGATTTAAATGAGGCGGATTAAAAATTCATGCCATCATTATAATCTTGATGATCCTCTACATTTTTGAAGTTTAAGAACAATAATCTTTCATAATCATCTTTATTTTTTTAATTCTCAGGTATTGGCTTCTTGTTTTACATACTAAAGAGTTCTGTGTTTTTTAGATAAATGTTATGAGGCAGCAGGCACACGATATTATAATGGTTTAGTATCACAGTAGAGAGTTAGGATCCTCAAATAACGTGAGTTTGTGAGTGCATATTGATTGCCTTGAGAGCAACCATTTCTTAATCTCCTTTTTTTCCTAACACTCAAGAGTTTTCTCTGGGAATTTATTCCTTCTCCATTTTTGGTCTTGCATTTTTAGGAGGACAGGCCTGTCCCTCAGTGTGAGGAATGTGGACTTGTTTTTGTGGTGTGTATTAATGTGTCATAACTCGGGTGGAGATGACTCTTGGGAACTCTGGGAAAGATGCCTCCTTTTGTTCCAGGAGGGCTACTAAGAGCAATTCTGCCTCTTCTGGTATGTGTGAAGCAGCAGGTACTGAGCCCCGGGAAATGCTCATGATTCTCAACAGAAGCAGCAATTGGACAAAGCAAGTGTGAGGGAGGGCAGAGAGGAGGCCACAAAGAAAGAGATCAGACCCTCAGCTGAAGATTTTCCAATTATGTGACACAAACAAATTGTTCCTGGAGTTGGAAGAGCAACCTTAGGTAATAGTTGCTTGCTAAATATTTGTGATCTATTGACTCTGTGAACGACTGGATGCATCCCATGTTAGTGAAGCTCATAAATTGAGAATTTATAGTTAGGGGCAAATTTTTCTCAAAAAAGAAAGAAAAAGATTTACCAACATTCTTCTTTAAAAAAGAAATTTACTCAAAACATTTAAAATTTCACTATGTGAATATGTGAATTACATACAAATTTTCCACAGCCTGCCAATGGGCTGCAGAAATTATACCAACTCTTTTTTCTTTTCTTACAAATGCCCCACTTTTAAACACCCACATTTTTACAAATGTCAAGTGTTGTGGAGAAACTGATGGTCACGAAAGATAGTCACTCTTCCTATTTCTCAAACACAGCCTGTTGACCTATCTTAGAGGCATGTAGTAGGATTCTTCCTGGCTTCCTTGTGATTGAGTGAGGCTGTTGACTGACTCTTGCCAATGAGCTGCAAGCAGAAGTGTTAATTCTGGGATAAATATTTAATTACCGGTGGGAGACCCTCTGGAGTTCTGGAGGTATACAGGTCACCAATATTTGAGCCTCGGCCATGAGTGACTGATAGGAGCAGAGATCCCTGCCCACCCGCAGTGCCCATGGAGATTTCGGAATTGTTGGTTACTACATTAGAATCTAGTCTATCTGGACTGACCCACTGGTATCATGACTCAGTTATAGACAAAGACACTAAAGCTAAATTCCCTCTAAGCTGTGAAAGAAACTGGCTTACAAATATTTTTTCAATGGGATGACTGGTTGAGCAATTATTTTTCTGAAAGCAAGTTTTGGTGTTGAAGACCTAGAGGCATGTCCCTGGTTTCTGCACACAGTGCCTTTCACACGGACAAGTCAGAGAAGCTCTATAGAGGACACAATAAAGGACTGGAGAAGAAGAAAGAGGAGGAAACAGATGAGATGCTGCATGTGTGAGCGAAGAGAGTGTTCATCTTTTGTAGGGGAGGTTAGAAAAATTAGAAATAAAAGGGAAGAAGATTCTATAAAGTGTTGGGATATAACTTAGTTTACCACAAGTTTTCCTCAAGGGATGCAAGTAAAGATCAGACTACTTATGTGATCACCTTTGGTTGCCATTCAGCGCTGTGCTACTTTTGTTTAACTTTGTTGAAAGGCTGGTCCATAAAGATTCTAACCTTTATTAAGGTGATGTATATAATACCAAGAATATGATTTGCTTGGAGTGAAGGCTTAATTTAAATTTTTGGGAAAGTTGGGCAGGCAATAAAAATTTTAATTTTTATTCAGTAAGACTTACGAATGTTTACCATATGACCTGGAAATTCCACTCCTAGATAACTACCCAACAGAAATGAAAACATATACACACAAAGACTTGTATGTAAATGTTCATGGCAATATTATTCATAATGCCCCAAAAGTGTAAATGATATAAACATCCATCAACTGATGAATAAATAAATACAGTACAGCCATACAGTAGAATACTATTCAGTCATAAAAAGAAAAATGCTGATATCTGCTACAAAGAATTTATAGGATGAATCTTAAACAGAAATGCAAATGAAAGAAACCAAGCACATACAAAAATATGATTCCATTTATAAGAAATGTCCAGAAAAGGCAAATCTATAAAGGCAGAATAGAGATGAGGAGTTGGTTGGATTTGGGAGTGTGAATGCAGATTAATTGAAATGGGCATGATGATGAGTTTTTGGGTGATGAGAATGTTCTGAAACTGAATCCTGGTGATGGCTGCACAACTATAAATCTATTAAAATTATTGAATTTAATACTTAAAATGGGCGAGTTTTATGGTATGGAGGTGAAACCTCAATAAAACTGTTCTAAAAATTCCAGGGGCTCACCATGGACTCTATTGTTTCTTTTAATAAAGTGCACATGATTTATAATCAGGGACATGTGCAGTGCCTGGCATGTAATAATTGCTTAATAAATACATGTTGAATTGAATCAAAGTTGTGTCCCTCAAAAGAGCCAGGGAGGTCTGTACATGTGCATGCCTGACTCTGAAGGCCGCTGGATTCTGCAGTCTACCTGGAGAGGACCAGCAGCAGGATGGCTAATGCTTCTCTTCCTGAGTTTCTACATCTGCTCAGCCAACTGTGATCATCAATTACAAAATCCACATGATTATAGTGAACATACGCTGGTTTAGAGCCACACAGCTTCCCATACCTCTTAGTTTGGCAGCAATATCTCAAATTTCTTTTGGCAAAACACCCCTCCATATTTTCAGTCCATTTAGTTTGAATGGAGTTGACCTCACTGTCAGTACCAGAAATGGGCACGTGGGTCAAACCAAGTCAGTCGGTGATCCCATCTCCCTGAACACTGTGATTGGTCTGAGACAGACAGGATCCCTGCTGGGCCATTGAGACGGAGCTCTGGACTTTGATTCAAATTCAGGGAAAACAGGTTCCCCTTCTGGATTTGAGCCACTGAGGATCTACCTCTTAGAGCTTTTGGCAGGTATTTTTCCACTGTGGAAATCTTGAGGATGAAGCCATCCTGGAGGAGAGCCCAGCTAGGAGGTGGAGCAAGATGGATCCTGGCAGCATCTTTGCATCCCTGGAGTCAGCCTTCCCTGGGTGTTTCACAAGTCAATGGCAACCCTCCTTTTCGAAGTCAGCTTGGATTATGTTTTTGGTCAGTCAAAACCTGAGCCCTGAAATTGGGATACTTCTTATATCCTGGAAAAAAGAAAGGGTGGAGGTTATACAGGCCCCATGGTGTATTCGTCCTTCCCTTTTTAGATATGCATGCCAGGCAGTGGCCTGCAAGGAGCTAATGAAGTCAAACCTGAGATCCTTGCTACTTTGAAGCTAGAACTGGCCAGGTCACCCATCAGTTTTTATTAGTATTAATGATTGTACTTATAGCTACCATTTATTGCATGCTTAGTCTGTGCCAAATTCTATTTAAAGTGCTCTATGAACAGACTCTGTGCTCGCTGTTTACTCACATCATTTCATTTGATCATCCCAGCACACTGGTGAGTTGGTGCTTTTATTGTCCCCATTTTACACAGGAAGAAACTGAGGCTGACTTGCTGGGTAATAGGCATCACTCAACAGGTCCTTGTTAGGTATTAAGCATAGTTTTGAACACTTTTTGTATTCTAACTCATTAAATCTTCATGACTATTCTGTGAGGCAGGGAGTACTATCATTTCCACTTAAAAGATGAAGAACTTGAGGCCACAGAGCTGGTGAGGGCTGAGCCAGCCCATAATACAGGTCCACAGATCAAACTGCGATCCATCTGAGTTGCACTCTCATGCTCATGAATATTAAGGTTTTTAAATTTTTTTTACCACATTTAAATATGGAGTACCTTTAGATTTATAGAAAATATGCAGAGACACTATGATAAATGCATGAGATGATGGATATCCCAGTTACTCTGATTTGATCCTTCCACATAGTATGCTTGTATCAAAATATCATATGTACTCCATAAATATGTACAACTATTATGTATACATAATGAAAGAAGAAAAAATATTTGCAAAGATAATGCAGAGAATTCTGTTATGTCACATGCCCATGGTACATTTGTCAAAACTAAGAAATCAACATTGGTACATTACTGTTTAATAAAGCTCCTTGATTTGTTTGGATTTCACCAGCATATCCATTATTGTCTTTCTTTTGTGCTTGTATCTCATCCAGGACGCCATACTGCATTTAGCTCTGCTGTCTTTTTGTGAATCCCTTTCATGTTGGAGCCTTTGGAATGAATAAATGCAGTGTTTGCTCTTGGTCTTTTCTGAGTTGGAAGAAAAAAAAAAACAGTTGTGTTTGTCTCCTCTCTCCCCTCACCTCCCCTCCCCTCTTCTCCCCTCCTCTCCTCTCTGCTCCTCTCCTCTCCGCTCCTCTCCTCCCCTCTCCTTTCCTCTCCTCTCCTCTCCTCCTCTTCTCCTCTCCTCTCTCCTCTCCTTTTCTAACTTCCAAGTACCATTCTTTTAAATACTAGAACATTCACATTAGGAATTAAGACCCAGAGTTTAGACTATTACTGGACAATGTGAAAGACTATCAGCAAATGTATTTATTGGTATTGTGTTTAACTTCCTATGGTTGCTGTGTTCAATTGTTTTCATGGAAGTCTCTCCAGTCATTTAAGGCAGTTGCTGTTAAATTTTAGTGACAGATAATTCCCTTTGATTTTTCAGATGTGCGAAATGGACCTGAATTAGGCCCTGATACATGCTGAGAACTTCATGACTCTGACCTAGCATTTTCCAGTGGCCATCCATCACCACAGGGCCAGCCCCAGATATACTGAATCTACTCTCTGGGGGGGTGAGGGAGGCCTGAAATCTGCATTTTAAATAGACTTTTCAGGTGACTGGCTGCATGCTAATCTTTGAGATCCACTGGTACAGAACCTCTCATATGCAAGAGACATCCTTAAGCAAGAGTCCAAACTAAAACATAAGCACACAGCCTTTGAACCATTGTTGTGGCAAACACATTTCTTCTTTAAATCTTTAAATTTGAATTATGGAAACTATACCATATCCACTCAACTAAAACTTATCCCTGGGGGAGAGAAGAAGGATGAAGACAGAGACAGAGAATTTTAGAACATGACATCTGCCTTAGCATGAGATGGAGGATTTGAATTCGCTTTGCCTGGCATTGTCGGGTTCTCCATGCCTGTGGAGGTTCCTGTCATTCTGACTGGTGCTAATATTTGTGAGGCAGCCACTATATCTGGCACTCGGTCAATGAAACAAAGATCTAGTTTAACAGTGGAGAAAAAATTGGTAGTTCAGACTTCTCAAGAGTTATTAAAATTGTGTTCTCTATGAGTGACCCAGGGGATTTTTCAAGAGTAATTATGACTAGTTAAGACTTTAGAACTGGATTCTTGCAGAAGAAATAAATTCCTTATACTTAAGAGAAAATCCTCTCTGTAAAGTATATACATTCATCTTATAAGTCCATATATATACATATTTGGTCAGCCCTCCATATTGGAGGGTTTTGCCTCTGTGGATTCAACTAAGTGTAGATCAAAAATATTTAGAAAAAATTACTTCTGTACCGAACATGTACAAACTTTTAAATCTTGTCATTCCCTAAATAATGCACTATAACAGCGATTTACCTAGCATTTACATTGTACTGCATTAGGTATTATAAGTAACTTAGAGATGATTTAAAGTGTATGGGCAGATGTGCATAAGTTATATGCAAATACTATGCCACTTTATATCAGGGACTGCAGTATTTGCAGATTTTCAAATCTGTGGTAGGTCCTGGAACCAGTCCCTTGTGGGTACCGAGGGACAACTGCATATATATCATTTATACGTTAAGCATAATAAGCATCTACAAATTATTACATTATTTATCCCTAGTGACAGCATTTTGAGACATGTTTATCATTACCCTTTTGTAGACGTTTATCTCGAGCTCTGAGAAGTGCAGAGACTTGCTCAAGCTCACCTAGCTGGTGGGCCATGTAGGCGTGATTTGAAACCAGGTGTTCTGGCTTCAGTCTCTGCTCTCACCCGCTGCTATGTGTAGGTGCCAGCCAGAGAATGTGTGATAACCAGTGTGTGAACTAACAAATGACAGAAGAGATTAAGCATGAGAACCTGGCCACACAGGGTTGCTTATGTGTGCTGACTACCAAGACGTGGCAACTAAACAGAAATACTAATGATGTGATGTTTTCTAAGCAATGGCAGATGAACTGAAAAATTGAATTATCCGTAGCTAGTAACTAATAATGGATATAATAAGGTTAGGGCTGCTTCCAAGTGTCTGCAAATGAAAAGGAACATGACAAGGGCAGAGCATGATGATGAGGTTCTATAGGGAGACCGATGCGACATTGCAAGATAAATGGAACTTGCCTCACCTTTGACTTTCAGGTACGCCTCCCAAGCTCTGCAACTGCCTCTGATTACAAGCTCAGATTTCTCAGTCCAAAGCTTCACAGAAGGGTGGTTCTTATGAAAGGATCTGGGTTTTGTTTTTTAAAAATGTTCCTTGCAAATGATTATCTTTCTCAAGTTAATGCAAACAGTACCTGTTTGTGCTTTAGCTAATACTTTCCTCCTTCTTTAAAGACATAATATGATATTGCCATACACATTGAATGAAATCTCTGTAGCTGTATAAGTAAGACCATAATGAGTTCTGGGCTGATGCGGGGAGCACACCACCAGCAAAACAAATACAAATGTCTCCAGCGTTTTCACTCACCTTGGTTGATTTACATGGGCTGCACGCCACATTTTATCCTGATGGCTCTCATTATCCTACGGTATATGTACTACAGAGACAATAATGGATGGAGCCTCTACTTGCCAGCCTTGCACCTTTACTGTACCAAGTACAATGTTATGTGAGGAAGAGACATCATTCACTCCCTCTTAAGCAGCTTGTCTAAGAGAAATCAGTAATATTTTCTAATATGTTGAGTTCTGCTGTGCACAGCTACTTCTTGAGGGAATTTTCCTTGACACATTTGAAAAAAATTTATGAGCAGAAAAAATATTTTAATATCCTGATGAAAAATAAAACTGTGAACAATGTTTCATTACTACCAAAAGGATATAAAACATTAAATGGAAAGAAATAATTATCATTAGGTTTGTAAGAGACATTTGAAGTTTTTTAAAGTAATCTTTAAAAAAACTAATTATATAATTATAATATAAAACCATATAATTATATATTTGCATATATAATATAATATATATTGAAGAGTTCAATTGCCAAATTTTGGCTTTTCTACTCACTTTTACAGCTGGATTGTGGAGCCATGACCCTGGCTAGCCTAATGGGATGAAGCCTTCCCAGTTTGAATTGGGAGTAGAGATTGGAAGGACCAGGGACTGCAGAGAGTTCTGGTGACAGAACCAGCAGCAGCAGCAGCAAAGCAACATGGTAGTTCCAGGAACACGAGAGGTGGCCCTTTGGTGGAGGTGCACCTGTTGGGGCCTGGAGCTCAGAGCTGCAGTGACTGTTGCTGGTGTGGCCACCTTTGGTGCTCACTGTTTTGAGGCTGATTGATGATGTGGCATGATTTGAGCGGGCCTCTTGTTCCTGCCTCTTCCATTTTGTCTTGCTAATTTTCTTTTTTTTTTTTCCTTTCTTTTCTTTTCTTTTTTTTTTTTTTTGAGATGGAGTCTTGCTTTGTTGCCCAGGCTGGAGTGCAGTGGCGCATCTTGGCTCACTGCAACCTCCTCCTCCCAGGTTCAAGCGATTCTCCTGCCTCAGCCTCCCAAGTAGCTGGGACTGCAGGCATGTGTCACCACACCTGGCTAATTTTTGTATTGTTAGTAGAGATGGAGTTTCACCATGTTGGCCAGGCTGATCTCAAACTCCTGACCTCTTGATCTGCCTGCCTCGGCCTCCCGAAGTGCTGGGATTACAGGCATGAGCCACCGCACCCAGCCATGTCTTGCTAATTTTCTAAGCCCTATTCCAGCAACTCTCTTCAAGATTTCCTGAGCTTCTCAATAGGCTTTTTGTAGATTCTTTGTCTACAGTGATCAGCCAGTCAATTTTTATTACTTGCAGCCAGGAACACTGATACACTGCCACGTTTTTAATATATGCACACACCTGTGGGTTTTTATTTTTAAACAAAGTAGAAATTTTCACATATTTACTTTACCTGTTTGGTAATTCTACACTAGGCCGCGTATTTTGATTTTTCTTTGTACCAGCTGCTTCTAGTTTTATAAAATGGAGTGTTCTATAGGGTCTTTTGAAACCATAAATTAAAGAGTCTCTAAAATCCTTTCCTACTTGTTTGATAGTATCAGAGATTGATCTCTTTTTGATGATTTGCAGGATCTTTTCATAGTCCTAACCATTTTTATCTGTTGGCACTTGGTTTATGGCTGGTTGTAGTTTTCTACTTTTACAGAAGGGGAACTTCTGTATCTTCTGTGTTATGCTGGTTTAGGGTTGCTGAATTTAGCAAATAAAAATACAGGACACACAGTTAAATTTGAATTTCTGATACACAATGAATTTTCTTTAGTATATGTTTGTCATGCTTTTAATATCTGATATGGCAGCCCAATGCTGATTGAAACCTTCAGCCTCATGACCTGCTGTCACTCCTTGGAATAAAGTGTGATCCTGGGGAGTTGTGTAAGGTCAGACTGTCAGGCCTCTGAGCCCAAACTAAGCCATCTTATCCCCTGTGACCTGCACGTATACATCCAGATGGCCTGAAGCAACTGAAGATCCACAAAAGAAGTGAAAATAGCCTTAACTGATGACATTCCACCATTGTGATTTGTTTCTGCCCAACCCTAACTGATCAATGTACTTTGTAATCTCCCCCACCCTTAAGAAGGTTCTTGGTAATTCTCCCCACCCTTGAGAATGTACTTTGTGATATCCACCCCCTGCCCGCAAAACATTGCTCCTGACTCCACCGCCCATCCCCAGACCTATAAGAACTAATGATAGTCCCACCATCCTTTGCTGACTCTCTTTTCGGACTCAGCCCGCATGCACCCAGGTGAAATAAACAGCCTTGTTGCTCACACAAAGCCTGTTTGGTGGTCTCTTCACATGGATGCGCGTGAGACAGACTCCACCACGTTAAAATCCATAAAACTCCTATGTAGATTTGGGAATTAAGTCACCACTTTCTTCCTTTTTCAAACTGATTAGAACTGTGCAATTGTGGGTAGAAATTCCTTAAAGTTTCTAGCACATAGATGATATTCTATTTTCTAAGTCTACTATAGGCTGTTTTTGAATTTTTTTACTCTGTTGATTACTTCTTTTGCAGCGAGGGGAGACTATAGATTTGGGTTGATGATGCTATTTTACTTTGAAGTCCAAATTATTTAATACTTACATGTTTCATGAAATGCATGTGATATGCATGCATACATATATTTACATACACACACGTAAAGTGCTGGCTTAATCTGTAGAAATTTTATGTGGCGGGTATTTTTTCCTTTTATTGTAAATTTGGAAGTTTATGCTTTGGACGTTAAGTATTGTGATTGCATCCATGACATTTATTTGCGAATCCAGCTCCCTCATCATCTTTGTTTCCTTAGCCCACATTCATTCCCTTACACTAATATGCACAATACAAACACAACTCCAATAATGTTGTTTTTACCAATATTCCAAATGCCAAAACTAAATTAGAGAACAAGAAATCCAGCCTCAATTTGGAAATGCTCAGCAATTTCCCTTGATTTGCAAAATTAAATAAAAGCCATCTTCTTTAAAAGTTTGCTGGTAATTTTTTTTGGCAGGGGCGCGGGGGGAGCAGGGGCATATCCTGTCCTTCTAAGAGGAAAAAAAACGTGGCTGAAAGTAACTCTTATAGACAGATGGGATACATTTATTTGTTTACTTAAAAATCAGTAAAAACTTTCCCTTCTTTAGAAATTCATTATTGTCATTTGAATAACTTAGAGAACCTGAACAGAAATTCCAAAGAACTCCTAAGCACTGGGTGACACTCTGACTCATGAGAGAGCATTGGTTTTTATTTTTTTCTCTGAAATAATGCCTGAGGGCTTTTGAGGGAGGTACTAGAAAATTTGAAGAGCTATTCCTATTTGATTACTTCTGAGAAACTAGGATTCAGACAGAAAGAAAATAGTCAAAAGTAGATAAAACATTATTTTTGCCATTAAAAAGGAAAAAAAACGTTCCTAGTAAAGTACAGGAGTGTAGATGAAAAATTCTGAAACCTGTAAGTATTCAAATCCAAGAGTATTTAGTCACAGTGATTCTAGAACTAGTGTTTTGGGTCAGCCATTTTTCAGACATACATCAAAGAGGTTAAAAGACAAAAATTGAGGGATGAAAATGGAAAGCCACACTCTGCCTCCACCAAGGATAGAGTAGGGGTATAAGACTGATACCACTAATGTCTATTCGATATCCATGTTCTCTGAGTTTATTACTCACAGAGTGAGTTTGTTTAGGGTAACAAGCTTTGCAGAAAAGTACAAATACAAAGCCATCTTTAGCCAAGGGCTGAGATCTCTTTAAATCTCTGATCCACTTTGAATCTTTCTGACGACTTCTACTCACCAGCCAAAGAAAACTGGCTGCTTTTAAGGACAAACCAGATGACAGGCAGCAAGTCTACACAGAGCAGGTTGGGAGAAAAGCTGCCCTTTTTCTCTGGATCTTCCTGTATGTTCCTTAGCTCCTCTCTTAGTGCCTCTCTATCTGCTGAGGTCTAAGGGTTTCCACTCTGAAGCACCTCTGCCACAAAAACCCATGAGTGAAACAGAAAGAAAGAGGGTGAAGTCATTCAGAGGCATTACTGATATGGTCCTGGGAGTAGCCACAATGGTGCTTCGTGGCTGAATCTGTGACCAGAGAGAAGAATCAGTAGAAAAGTTTGTAATAGTAGACACTAGTGAGACATTTCTGGAGAATAACTTAGAATCACATGGCAAAATTCTTAAAATATTCACGCGTATTGACCAATAATCTCTCTCCTAAGAAATAGCTCTTGAAAAGTATCATCATTGCGGGTCAAAAAAAGATAATGAGATGTTCATCATAGACTTATTTATAACATCAGACAGCCTGGAACCAATCTCTATGCTCTGCATACAGTTAAATAAATTAAGCTGCGTATATTAAAAATGTTATAGATTATTTTTATGGAAATGAAAAAATGTTTTAATATACTGTTAAATTTTAAAATCCTATGACAAAAGCCTATACAGCACAAGTTAATGTGTGCATCAGAGGGTCAATAGTACAGTTAAGAGCCGAGCTCTGGAGCCAGATTGCTTGTGTTTAAGCTGTCTTGCCACTAACTTGATTTTTTTTGAATTATTATTTTTTATTTCAGTTTTTGGGGTAGAGGTGGTTTTTGGTTACATGGATGATATCTATAGTGGGGAATTCTGAGATTTTAGTGCACCCATCACCCGAGCAGTGTACACTGTAGCCAATATGTAGTCTTTTATTCCTCACCCCTTCCCAACCTCCTCCTACCAAATTCCAAAGTCCACTGTATCACTCACTGTATACCTTTGCTTCCTCATAGCTTAGCTCCTACTATTTGCTTCTTCATAGTTTAGCTCCTACTTGTAGCTTATCTCCTCATAACTTAGTTCCTACTCATAGCTTAGCTCCTAGTGAGAACATACAATATTTGGTTTTCCATTCCTGAGTTACTTCACTTAGAGTAACGGCCTCCAACTCCATCAAAGTTACTGTGAAAGACGTTATTTTATTCCTTTTTCTGGCTGAGTAGTATTCCATGGTATATAGATAACCATATTTTCTTTATCCACCTGCTAGTCAATGAGCACTTAGGTTGGTTGTGTATCTTTGCAATTGTGAATCGTGCTGCTAGAAACATGCATGTACTTGTGTCTTTTTCATAGAAAGACTTATTTTCCTTTGGGTAGATACCCAGTAATGGGATTACTGGATCTAGTGGTAGATCTACTTTTAGTTCTTTAAGAAATCTCCATACTGTTTTCCATAGTGGTTGTACTAATTTACATTCCCACCAGCAGCGTAAAAATGTTCCCTTTTCACCTCATCCACACCATCTACTGTTTCTAGACTTTTTAATTAGGGGCATTCTTACAGGAGTAAGGTAGTATCTCCTAGTGGTTTTAATTTGTATGTTTCTGGTGATTAGTGATGTTGACCATTTTTTCATGTTTGTTGGCTGTTTGTATGTCTTCTTTTGAGAAATGTCTATTCATGTCCTTTGTTGGGCAAATTACTTAACTGGGCAGTGATACTTCTTGTACCTGATTGTAACAGATTAATTCTCATTTGTTAATCCACATAATCATGACCATAGTAATATATGACTATAATAGCTAGCAGTCTGAATCTGTTTTATACGCTAGGCACTGTTCTAAACACTTTATGTGTAGTAACTTAGTTTCTCTTCACAAACAACCCTATTTGCAGGTATTTTCCCCATTTTGCAGATGGGATAAATGAGGCTTTCCTATGCTTGATTTCATCTCTTATCATGGATGACTGCAGTGTATTTGCTTTCCATAAATTATATCTACCTCTAATCCATTCTTGTCACAGCAGAAAGAAAAACTGTTAAAATGCAAACTAAATAACATCAGTCACACCCTCTACTTCAAACTCTGCAGTGGCCTTCTATTCTGTGGGAGAAAGTACAATCCCAATGTCTTAGCAAGGCCTTCAAGGCTGTATCTGATCTGCCCACTTGAACAATCTCAACTCCAGCCACTTTTCCTTACTCATCAATTTCTAGCCACAATGGGGCATCTTTCCAAGTCTTTGATCAGTGCCATATTGTTTTCTTGCCCCTATTTCTTCTCCCTAATTATTTTTCCCTCTGTTATCACATGGACAACCCTTGGGCCTCCTCCAGATCTCCTTTTAAATGGTTCCTCTTCCACAGGATTTCTTTGAAATCCTTATGCTTTCTGCTTTTATTCTTTTTTGTTTTCTTTTTTTTTGAGAGAGAGTTTCACTCTGTTGCCCAGGCTGGAGTGCGATGGCACCATCTCGGCTCACTATAACCTCTACCTCCTAGGTTCAAGCGATTCTCCTGCCTCAGCGTCCTGAGTAGCTGGGATTACAGGCACACGCCATCATGCCTGGCTAATTTTTGTATTTTTAGTAGAGATGGGGTTTTGCCATGTTGGCCAGGCTGGTCTCAAACTCCTGACCTCAGGTGATCTGCCCACCCCGGCCTCCCAAAGTGCTGGGATTACAGGCATGAGCCACTGTGCCTGGCCTGCTTTTATTCTTTATCATAAAACATACTCATTTTCTTTGCTATCTCCTCTTCCAAATTATAATTCTATACCCAATTGTGTGTTTGTCACCATATTGGACTAGGAGTTTCATGCAGACAGTGTTAATATCTTTTTTATTCACTATTTTAATTAACTGAGTGCCTAACATATGCTTGTACCTCATTGGCATCAATACATATCTGTTGGATGGATGGATGGATGGATGGACAGATGGATGAATGGATAGATGGATAGATGAATGAGATAGATGGATGGATGGATAAATGGATGGATGGATAGATGGATAGAATGAATGGGATGGACAGATGGATTAACAAGTGCTGCAGCTCAAGTATGGTTTCTTTTATGTAGAAAGGAATTTCTACCTTCTTACCATAAAAGCATGTGTGCACAACAATTTCCTATCTAATGGTGTTCCTTACATTTTGTGTGTACATCCATGCACATCTGTCATTGCCATTCATTTGTGAGTCCCTTGAAACCAGGGATCAACTCTTACTTAACTGTTTTCTCCTCAGCTTTTAGCACACTCTCTTGCACTAGTAAGGGTTCAGCATGAGTTTGCTGAGTTGAAACAAGAATGTGCTAGTTGACTGGGATAGCGAATTTGATAAAGTAATTGCTGTTAATGAGTGAAAATGACTTAATGTGAGCTTCTTCCTAGTTCATATTTTTGTGTTTATATAGGAGTCTCCTGCTATTAGAAAAGTTTCTGGTGACTTAAACAGTGGGTATTTGAGGTCCTGAGATAGATTCCAGAATTTCAGAGATAGGTGCACTTGGTAATCCTCACATCATATCACGTAGGCAGATGTCTGTCTAGGTACAACACTTGCCCTCAATATATAAATGGGAAATCAGGAAAGCTGCCGGTTGCTGAGTGTTCACTGTGTGCTGGGCACTGTGCTAGGCAGTTCATATATGCGTTCACTCCCTTTGATTAATCCTCACTATGCTCCCAAAAAGGTGGTATCATTACCCTCCTTCTTACAGAGAAAATAACAAAGGCGGAGAAAATAGGTAATTTCGCCAAGGTCATTTAGCTAATAAGAAACACAGTCGGTATTTGAACCTGGTCCGTCTGACTCCACATCCTCTTAAGTGGTACCCTGTATTTACTACCTCCCAACAGATTGCAGGGTTGCCCTGCTGTGTTCTCTGGTTATACAGTTGAATGACAGTATTGCACGGTTTGGGGAGGGAAGATAATATGAAAGTGTGATAAAGGCTGACACAGACAGGGCCTGCTGCATACAAACAGAATGTTAATGCTTAACCAACGGGGACTTACTGGAAATGCGCCAACATCAGGTGGAAATGAAGCCAACTGAGGGGCACCAGTGGAGGCTCACCCAGACAGAGCAAAGGCAGGTGAGAGCAGCCGGGATATTTGCACTGATGTAAGAAGTGGAAGCGATACTGGGGGAAATCCAGAAACCCTATTGCCCTCTTTCTCTGCAGCCTGGCTACATGTTTTCGGCAGGGCTAATTTGCACATTTTTTTTTCCATCTTAATCTGATTTTGTGGTTCATAAAACTTTTTTTTTTTTTTAAATAGAAGAGTTAGGTATTTCTTCTCCCGGTCTTGAAAGCAAATAATTAAAACTGTTAGAGAATATTTGTCCTTGATATTGAAGGAAGTCTGTGAGGGGATAAGTGTGGAAATAAAGAAGTTATCTCACACAGTGAATATTTAAATATCCTATCTCTCCAAAGAGACATTTTTTTTTTTTTAGTGACAAAATATTATACTGCACTTCTCAGCTTAATTCATTATTGTTGTTGCATTTATAATTTAATTTATTACTTTGAGTGACTTGAGAATGAGCTAAAATATCAACTATCCAAACTGGGAAGCAGTGATGGTTTGGGACATATGTTGACAAATGTTTGCCCAAGGCAAAGCAGGTCTTGAAAGGAAGCTACACTTTAATTAAAAGCTATGCCTTTTACATCTCAACATTTGTTTGTCTTTAATGAAAGTTTAGATAAAGGGGCTTGTTAATTATATATCTGTCTCCCAATGTGGTCCTTTTTCATTTGCTTTTGTTATCAAGGCTTTTTCCAATTTCACTTAACTGATTAGAACATAGCAAATATTCCAAGTTATTAAGGGTTATAGCTATAAACTCCCAGTAATTAGTAAAAATGCTGTATTAATTAGTGCATCTATCTGACCTTAAAATTGAAGTGTCTTGAGGTCATATTGTGAGAGGTTGTAGGTAAAAGTGGAGAAAAAAGGAGGGCCATTCAAATCTATGAGAGTTACCTTGATTTCAGATAAGTAGAATAAATACATTTTTTGTTCAAATGAGGTTCAGCTGTTAGCAGAGCACTACATGTTTGACAGATAAAACATGAAATAGCGTATATCATACACAATAGCTATGGGCATTTTAGATGTTTCTTTTAAAAATGCATAAAGTGTTTTTTAAGATAAAATGAATAGACTTGTATATAAAGTATAAGAAAACATTAAAATTAATAAATTAAAAATATAGAAAATATTATAAAAATAATCTGTAATGTCATGTCCCAGTTATAACTATTTTTGACATTTAAGTTTTCATATGTATCTTCATGTTTAGATACACATATATATAATGAGATATATTAATTGAGATCATAATGCACTTGCATTTGTTTATATAAGTGTGCATATTCATATATTAAGTTTTAGATTCTGTTCAGACTTCTCTGTTTTCTTATTTCCTATCTTACTAAGGTAGAATGAGTAATTCCATCAGTAAGGATTCTTTGGTAGCAAGCATCGGAAACCAACTTTGACTAACATAACTAAAAAAAGGACTTTATCTGAAGGGTTGATGAATGCTCAAAGAGTTGAAGGAACCAGACCTAGAAAGAACAGAAATTAGTTCCAGAAGGTGTTGATTGCAGAGACTGCTTGACAGTTTCATTCAACCGCTCCTTCTGCAGTGAATGAATTTCAGCAAACTTGAGTCCTATTTGCCACTCTTGAGAGAAATTCAAGGGAGAGTGTGCCTAGTTGGCCCAGACTTAGGTAATGAGTCTTCCCTTCAGCTGAAAGGGAATAAGTATCAGGACACATTGATTAATTTTCCAGACTATGTCCAGAAGAAGAAAAGATAGTTTCTTTTAAAGAAATCAGAAAAATTGTCACTGAAAGAAGATGGGATGAATGTGATGCCCAGATACAACCATTGTCTGCTGCCATGATTTTCTAACTACTTATTGGTCACTCTTATGTCTTCAGTGAGATTTTGAGTTCCTGTAGGCCAGTGATTCTCAACCAGGGGTGGTTTTGTGACCTAGGGAACATTTTGCAATGTCTGGGGACATTTTTAGTTGTCAAAACTGGGGGCCTTCCTACTGGCATCTAGTGGGTAGAGGCTGAGGATGCTGCTAAACGTGCTGCAATGCACAGGACAGCCCCCCATGACAAAGAATTATCTGGTTTCAAATGTCAGCAGTCTTGATGTTGAGAAACTCTGGTCTAGGTAAAAGTTAGCATGTTTTACCTCCTTTTTAGTACCCTTAGTAGAGTTAATTGACACTTTCTGCAACATTACCATCTCTATCTCCACTTTCAAGGAAGAGAAATGCTAAAACAAAATGGCATATCATTGCATATATGATCTGGAATTCTTCACTGAAAAATAAATTCCACGATCAGAAAAGGAAGAGCCCAACATTGACCAAAGTAATCTGAAGCTTTTCTGAATATGGTGGGTACAATCTGGCTCCTGAATGCTCAGATAAATTCAGGGAAGTGGAGATGAAAGAGGAAGGAAAGACATGGATTTCCACTCTTATAGGATAGATTGTGACCAAATATATGGCAGAGAGGAACAATTATAGGATGAATCAGAAGGATGTGTAGACAGACTAGCACAATCTTATATTTGGGGAAGTTTGAGACCAAGTTCTAAGTCAGGCAGAGGGTGCAACTTTTAGTGAGTTCAGGGGACAGACGGGTGACAAAAATGAATAAAACTGAACAGAATATAACAACAGTAGTGGAAACTGTGAGGCCACAAGTCCTGTGTACAGGGGCCAGCCCTTACTCATTCCTGGGCAGTTATTTTCTTGTAGGAATAGAGGTCCAGTATTTCTAGATCTTCTGAGATTCAAGGGAAGCTAGAAATCTGGATTTTCTATGTTGCTTCCCAATTTGTAAATACTACAAGTAAATTATATTTTTTGATAAGCCCTTTGCAGGATGAATAAACATACTGTAAGTCAAATTTGGTCTTCCTCCACCAGTTTAGCCTCTGAAATAAGGCCTATTCATATTACAGAGACTCTTAAACATCAAGGAAGAATTCAGATGCACAGGCTTGTAGATGTTTAGACCAAGTAGAAGCCTTATGTAAACACACATTTTTAAAAACTTTATTTCTGTCGTTTATTCCCTTTTTCCCTCCAAAGCAGAACTTTTTTGTGATTGAGAGGGGTCGACTATTGCACAATCCCTCCTGAGTCACTTGTGCTGCTGCCAGTTTTTCTGCCACTGCCTGTCTCAAGACCACCGCCCTTGGTGCCATGACAATCTTTCTGCATGGCTCTACCCCATGCTAGGACCCACTTGCCTCTCCTCATTCTTCTCCAAGCAGCACTAAGCCAGGCTGAGTGGCAGAGCAGACTTTTGGGGATGGTTTCCTAGGCACTAAAGAGAATTTCAGCTGAGGTGCACAAGCGTGCCCTAATGGGAAGAGAATGGACTCTGGAGCCAGCTGCCTGGCTGTGGATCTCAGTTTTACCTCTCACATCTAACCTTGAGTGATTCTTATGTGTCATTCACACATAAGCGTGGTGTGAGGGTTAAATCAATCTAGTGCATGGAACATGCTTAGAACTCTGTTACTGAAAATATATCTGCCCATCTCCACTGAAGGTCATTTCTTAACGGCCACGTTCCCACAAGTATCTAACTTTAGTCATAAACTTACATCCTCTTCTCAAGTATTTTTCTTCTTTCTGGTCCCCTTACCTCCCCCATCTCGTACCCTATCTGTGTTCTTTTTTGTCTTAGCCAGAAAACAACTCCATATTCTTATTGCGGGGAATACTTTATTTTCTTCATGCTTTGCTTCATCTTCTCTCTCAAGACCAGGGTAGAGGAATCCTCATGTTTTACACGCAAAGTGGACTGTTAGAGTTAGAATACTCGGTTGCAGGTGACACCAGACATGGTTCAAACAGGCTTAAAAAATAAATGACACTAATTGGCTCTTGTTACAGAAAAGATAGAGCTGCAGTAGAATTGACACCAAGCACAGCTTGGTCCCGCACTAACAGTGTCTTCAAAGCCCTACTTTCCTTCTATGTCCCGTCTTCCTTCCATGATGTCTGGTTTATCATAAACCCAGTTCCCTTTGTGGTCCCCACATTGCTGTTACCCACAAGGTACTTTCTCACTGGGAATGTCTCTTTTCCAGCAAAATCCTGAAACCCTTTTTTTTTTTTTTTTAAATCTCGTCACCCAAATGCCTATCGTGTACCAATTACATAGACAGAGAAGTAATAATGCTGATTGGCTTAGTGAAGTCATGTGTGCTGTCCTTAGAGATGAGTGGCACGAGAGTCACTGGAACCCTGAGGACAACAGATGGTAATGAGAGCTGTCAGAAGTAGGAAAGCCACATACATATGTGCATAACAAGGCCCATAAAAGTATTCTTTTAGACCAATGGTTCTCATATATGAGCTTACATCAGAACCACCTAGAAGGCCAGTTGAAACACAGAATTAAGGGTCCTATTTTCAGAGTTTCTGATCTGGGACAGGGCCTGAGAATTTTTATTTCCAACGAATTCCCCAGACCATACTAATGCTGCCAGTCTAGGAACAGAACTTGGAAAGCCACTGAGTTAGACCGAATCAAACCAAACAATAAGGAATCCCTTTGAGATCAGAAGAAGCTACCTATAGCTGTACTTTTATATCATGTTTTTATTTTTATTTTATATTTCAATATACTTCAAGTAACCAGGTCCATGGAGGTGATTTGACTTTTCCAGGTGCCATAGATACTTTGTGGCCAAACTTAGACAATATCTCTTTTTTTTTACTACATCATGCTGTCTTTACAGAATGGATGATGGGACACCATTCTAGGGCATTTTATAGAGAGCATCCTGGTAGGAGAGTGGTATTATAGGAACACAGCAAATGTTTCAAAAGTAAATGCAGGAGTTTGGGTGCTGTCTCCTATAGCCAAGCTTTAGATGGAAATGGGATTCATACCTCAGCTCTGAGATGCATCTTTGCTCTTATGAACAAAAATGATGCCCTCCGGCTTCTGAGGATGTGTCTGCTCCATCCTCATACACACCTGGAAGACAGCAGAGGTTCAACATCCTGCTTTTGAACAGAGGTTAAGGCTGAAAACAGGAGACCTTAGAGAGATTGATTCAAAAGTAGTTCACCTTTCACCAAGGTGAGCATTAAAGGAATAAAAAAAGAATTTGGCTTTGAGAGGCACCCTTTAATAAGGCAGACCATCTGGTACCCTGATTTAAAAGATCTTTCTTCGGGGCTCTTGGGAAAGCATGTCTCTCACTTCCTCAGCTTTGCCTTCCCATGGTTTAGGAGCTGCCCAGTAGAGAATTCTCCAATACCACCTTCCACACTCTCTCAGACACTTGACAGCACTTCTCTGCTCTGAATTAATACTGAGAGTGGAATACTTATTGTACAAGCCCCAGAAACAAATTTGTGGTTGTCTGCTTCAGTGTGTTGCCGCAGAAAAAGTCATTGTCCATCTGGTGACAAATTCTTTCTTTCCTCTCGCCCCGCCTTTCTTCTTTCCTTCCTGTAGACATTTAGCAAACTTTTCTGAACAAGGGGTACCACAGGGGGAAAGAAGAATATATAAGGTGTAATCTCCAGCCTCAAAGAACTCTCAATCTGTTGGAAAACATTAAATCTGATCCTGAATACTTAAAATTCAAGACAGAGGTGGCTAGTAGTAAGCAGAATCCAATGTTATTTATATCATATTACCTTCATATTTTATACAGTCATTCATTTGGTCTTTTGTTATTTCAACATACAGTTATTAAGTTCTATTCCAAGTACTGCAGATACTGTAGTGAACAGGATCAAAAAGATCTCCTGTAGGGAGTGGGGGCTGTGGTATAAAGAGAACAGGTTCACAGACAGAGAGAGAGTGGCTGGGCAAGGGGCTTTGGATACTGTGAGCATGGAAGGTTTTCTGAGTGGAGATCTGAAGAGCAGGCATGCAAGAATCTTGCTATGGAGGCAGTAGAAACAGCAAATGCACAATTCCCGAGATGTGTTGGCATGCTCAAGAAATTGAGAGAAATCCCTTGTGGCTGAAGGATTGTGAACTTCAGGGGAAGAGTGGGTGAATGAAGAGTGACTGACAAATAGCAGAGGCCAGGTTAGGGAGTCTTATATGCCTTGGAAAAGAGCTTGGGTCCATTCTAACTGTAAAGAGGAGCCATTGGAGAATTTTAAGGCCAGCGGTAACTCTAGCCAAATAAATTAACAAGCTCCAGGTGTCTGGGACTTCTCCAAATCCCATTATGTCAACATAACCTATATATGTGCTCAATTAATACCAATGGAATTGACTATGTCTTTTTGTATAAACAAAATATGACCTGTCAATTCCTTACTAAAGTCAGGACTACTCTAATTTCATTCTTTCTAAGAGAGGTTAAAAAACGTTTATCTCAAATGAATGTTTAAGAAAACAGAATTGAGCCACTGGCCGTTTTAAAGGTTGGTGCAAAAGTAATCATGGTTTTTGCAACTAAAAGTAATTTATTTGAAAGTCAGAGTTTTAGACTGTCCAACCCCTGAAGCCATCAGCTGGGCTATGACAATTTCCAAAGAAAAATAATTGGCTTGAATTATCTGTCTTGTTTATCAACAGAGGCATTTTTCATGTCTTCCTTAAACCCCTCAGCTTACCTAGCTTTGGTAGGTATGTCTTAGGATTTTCCTGCGATGTCATTAGATCAAACTCCTTAAAATTTCTCTTTCCTGTCTTCATTAGTTAATTTCTCAGTCTGCAGTATCAGTGGTCATACAGCCCTTTATTCGAATGACATTTCACTGCTTCTTTTAAATTATTTGTTTTTTCAGATGAGGAAAGGGTTGGCAGATTAAGACATGGTCTGGAAATAAACAAGTTACATCTTGTTTTGTCACGTTCCCATAGCAAGCAGGAAAACAAGCCAGTCAAAAACTTCCCAATAAATTTTAAAAAGTATTTTCCCTTTGAGGACATCAGTTCTTTGTTTATTTCTCTCATTTTTGCACCCCTAGCAAAAGAAAAAAAGAGAGCAGTTGCTGATTTCACTTTATGTACCAATATTTGCAGGTTTCACCTTCATGACGTTAAAAGAGAGTTTCCACAGGTCTACCCAGTGTAACTGCAAGTCCAGCTTGTTTTCCAAAGAGCTCTGAGAGTTTTTTGCTATCTAAATTCCAAATCTTGCCATACTGTGAGCTCCAACTTAAATCCTTATGCAAAATAATTGCCGAGTAAAAGTGGTATTTGCACCAATTCCTCCCTAAGTGCAAGCAAAGTACAGTCTATAGAAATACGAACGAAGCGCTGATTAAGAAGTGACAGCAGAGATTTTTCAATAATGAAGGGAAGAACGGCAGTTGTTTGGAGACCTGCCAGGTTCTTGCAATTAATTTTGCTGGAAAGTCAGCAGGATGTCGTGCTGTGGCTTTGCAGACTGAGTGGGCATTTTGCTTCGCAGACTGGCTGGGACTTGGTTTGATTTTTGAATATGAGAGCTTTTCCCCACCTGTTTTGTTCATCCTTTCTAAAAAGCAGCCATCGTTTTCATAGGGAAAGGTCTTCATATCCACGGGGTGAAATGGGAAAAGAGGTAATGTTGCAAAATAGTAGTGGCCTCCTCCTATGTCACCATGACTCAGTAGTAAAGGGTGAGGGTGGGTTGTTCTCTAAACCCTCACATTAAAATATCAAGTAAGTTTCAAAATGAGTGGAAAGGTTCATTGTGTGCAATAAACTGAGAGGAGTTACCAGATCAGGGCTGGCACAGGCTGCAGTTAAACTCCAGAACTATGGAGATAAACAATTTGCCCATCAATACAAATAAAAATTAAGGAGTTTGTGTTAAAACCACTGGATGAATTTGTTGGGGGAACAGAACATTTATATAGTTCAATGAATCTTCCCACAGATCATTTTTATACAGAGAAAAGAAGATCCCTTTAAAGCAGAGAAGCCTCCCAGAAACTACCTCACTCATGTGATCAGCATTAACATCAACAATAGAACAAATTAATATTGTGTGTCTCCTGGGACACTGAGACAGACACAATATCACTCGAATAGCCTTCATGTGTAACTCCGATCTGATCGTAAGGAAACTACCAGACAGACCTAAATTTAAGACTATTCTACAAAACAACTCTCTTGTGCCTTTCAGAAAATGTTAATGTCATGAGAGCCTGTTCCAGATTGAGGGCACGAAAGAGACAAGACAATTAAATGCAGAGCAGAACCCTGAATTGGACCCTGGGTCAAAGAAAAAATGGTACAAAGTATGTTATTGGGACAATTAGTGAAACTTAAATATGGAATATGTATTAGATAACAGTATTATGTCCATATTAATGTCTTGAATTTAATCAATGAATTGGGATTATGTAAAAAAATTATTTTCCGGAAATATGTACTGATGTATTTAGGATGAAAGACCAAATTGTTCAGCAAAATAATTGCATGTATACATGTATGTATGTATACATGTATTATGTATGTGTACACGCATAATGCACGGAGAAAGCACATGTGACAAAATTAGTGATTCAGATGAGCAGTATATTGAACTAATGAATCCATCTTAGTCAATAGGTTACTAGTTTTGCAAGTTTTCTTTAAGTTTGAATGTTTTCAAGATGAAAAGTTGAAAAAGAAGCAAGGGAGAAGTGGGTGGGAGGAAAAAAGGATGGGATGGGGAGGAGAGGCTTGGAGACACCTGAGGCTCATTTGTAAACTACAGGGGGTGCTGCAGGCACAAACTGTCCTAGAGCCCTTACCCTGGCCTGCAGGACCCCGATGGCCATTTGTAAGTTAATGTCACCTGTCCTTTCCTTCATATCTGGACTAGTGGGCAGAGCAAAGGGCATGCTCCCCTCTACTTGGGATTTTGGGAGCCTGAGAAGAATACACCAAGCTGCTTCTCCATTTGGACAGTTCCCCTCTCAGTTTGGACTCCATTCACTATGGCTTTGCAGGCCCTTCTGAGGAATTTAGATTCTTTTGGAAGTATCCCATTCATTCTCCTGAGACATTTCTCTGTTTAATGTTGCTGGGATCCAGCTGGCTAGCTAACTAACCAATCAATACAGGGGTCTTTTCTTTTTATCATGGCCATAGCCCACCTTTTCATCCCCCCAACTAGCCTTTGATTGGTGATTTGGTTGATTCTCCCCACCCCTGACCCCTCAATTAAAAAAAAAAAAGAAAAAAGAAAATAAAGAAGCACAAAATACCTGTCTTTAAAAATCTTGAAATAAAATAAACTTTATTTATCTAATGGTAGTTCTGCAGGAAAGTTAGGGGTGGTTGCAGAAGAGGAAGCAGGTGCATGAATCGTAATGGAGAGAGAAACCTCCAAGCCTTTTCCAGCCATAGGGATTTTTGAAAGTCTGTGAAGGAAGAAAAGGAAGTTAATAAGCAAATGTTATAAATGTAGACTCTGTTTAGCCATTTTTAAATTTATGTTTATGTTGCTTTGAAGATTTTCATCCCTAAGGCTGTTTTTAAAATGTTTCAGCTTTATCATCACGCTCAGAGGACCCGCTCAGCCTTCTCTATTTAGTGGTCCTTCATTTGTATATCTATGTATAGTAGGCACCAGACTGTTTCCTACTGCTGAAGTTCTAATAGCTGGAATTTGATTTTTTAGGAGTTGAGGGTAGAGTTTGAGTGTTGACCTCTGGAATAAGGCAAGTTGATTTTCTGGGAGTGAAGAACAGCTCAGATAACTTGGGGTTGTGCTTCTCAAAGTATGGTCCTCAAACCTGTGTCAATTCCCTAACTAATCTCCACCTATTCCATCACTAATTTCTACCCATTCACAAGAGAAGGGGAGATATTAAAGGTGTTTAGAGACTTTTATAGCTATTTTCTAGAATAATTTTATTCTAATAATTAAAATGGAATCCTTGTGTTTTCAGCTATTTTAAAATTTTGTTTATTAGTATTTTATTTTTATCATATTTTGCAAAAAAGTATTGGTTTGAGCTGAATTGGAGTTGGGAGTAATCTGTCTCTTCATTATAGACAGTTTGAGTGGCACAGTCTTTGGGAAACCAAGGTTTGACCCCTCGTTAAATGAAGACTCACATCTTCATCTCTCAACTCTGCTTCTTTTCTAGAGTATCTACTTCATTCTCCCCTCCCTGAAGACTTCCCATCTCAGCTTCCCAAAGCAGAAAATGGCTTTGGACTGACCCTAACATTGAATCATAACCTTTGCTAGCTGGATGAACTTGGGGGAGATACTTAATATCTCTAACTTTTTTCTATTTCTTTACAGCATGGAGATAACACTAATACCTACTGCAGTGAGTTGTTTTAAGCATTAAGTGAGATGCCGTGCATCCAATATTTAGCACACAATGTGCACTCAAAAATCAATTTTTTTCCATTCAGAATTGAGTTTACTTATTTTTTAAAGGGTCTACACTTTAGAATAAGACAAGTTTCCATGGCTGTAATCAACCACTTATTTCCATCCACTGCCATGTACAGTCTTACAGGTTGTACACTGCCTAAATTCTAAGACTGTTTACGTACTTGATGAAATAAATAGTCAAGGTAGAGGTAATGCACAAGACCTAGGTCCTCATTTTTTGCTAATTTATTTATAATAAAAACCCTTTAAATAAAAGGTTTTAAATAAAAGGATTTTATTTAAAGGTTATTATCAGAAATAAATTGAGTTAGAAATAAATCATTTAATTATTAAATTTAATTATTACATTTAAAATATAGTATGATTAAGGAAAATAATGTAATGATTTTTAGACTCATCTTCTTTATTAAAATGCAATGGCAGTCAATGGCTTAAACATTTTTATATTATTTGAAATATTAGGTAGGTGACATTATGATTACTTTATTAGAACAGTTATTCAATTTAAGTGGCTTAATAGATTTCAGAATCAAATTTTAAGGTATGTTGCAAGTATAAGGTCCTTACTGTACAATTTGGATGGTCAAATGCTGGACAAATGAATAAATGGTTTCTTGATCCAAACTTCTGTCTCATTATTCTCTCTCAGACTTCTAGGGTAATCTATAAGAACTATCGAAGAGGAAAATTTATCCTGACAAAGCTAGATGGGAAAGAGGTAAAATGATAACATGTCAGAGAAAGTGAGTATCTACTTATTTATCAGAAAACAGGGAGTACCATTTAATCTCCTGTGCATGATCATGGATAGATCAAAGTGTGGTTGCAAGTGAAATGGGATAAATGACAAAATGACAGTTTTATAAAGTTAAGCCTGAATCACATTAATTCTGTATCTTCTAGACATGCACTAAATGTTTTGCAACCAAATTACTGTTTTAGTCCCACTTCAGGGGTGATGATTAGCATATTTATTGGGTAATGATGAGCTATCAAATTATCATCCACTGGTCAGAAACGTGTTACTTGCCAGGTCCATGGTGAATAGCCTACAGCCAAACAGATGGCTCTCGGCTCTGTAATGCCAAAAAGCTTGTTGGAAGGCTTTGCCTTTACCCCTGGCCCAGAACAGCTGGAAAGGAGGATTTCAGGAGGAAAAACAACCTCAGAACGGAAAAATCAATTTGCGTAAACAAGATGGACTTTTTGTTGTAGAGGATTGGGGGAAGAAAGCAAAATCATGAAAAATGCAGTATCCGTCTATCTGCCATAGAAACTCTCATAATTCTAAGGTACAGGATTCTGTTTCAATATTTGACATGACAAAAAATAGCAATTCAGTGCATAGTATCTGGAGTCATATAATCTTGGGTTTCAATTTCATAACAAACCTTCCCCAAATTTATTGTCTTAAGGAACATTTATTATTGCTTACAAGTCTACGGAATGGCTGGATGGTAATTCTGGCCTGGGTCGGGGCTTGGCAGGGCTCAGCTGATCTCTGCTAGGCTCTTTTATGCTTCTGTAGTTAGTTGGCCTATCACTTAGTATTGTCTAGTCTAAGATGACCTCACCTGGTAAGCTCTTCCCCATGTGGTCTCTCATTCTCTAGTAGGCTGGCTGGGCTGGGTTCATATGGCAATCTCAGGAGTCTAAGAGACAGAACAGAAGCAAGTTCTGATTCCTTGAGGTTCTTGGGACTGAGGCTTGAACTGGGACACTGTCACTTACGCTGCATTCGTTTGGCCAAGGTAAGCCACAAGGCCAACAAGATTCAGAGAGTGAAGAAATAGATTTCACCTCTTGATTGGAGAAGCCGCAAGGTTACATTGCAAAGAGCATGGCTTTAGGGAGAATTGTGACCATATTTGCAAATAATTTACCATGTACTTTCATCAGCTGTGGGGTTTTGGATAACTACTCTTTAGCCTCTTCACATGTAAAATAGAAATAATAATTACTCTCAAAGTGTTGTTGTGATGATTAAGTGATATAAGGATTGTAAAGAGCTTAGCTCATTGTCCGGACACAATAAACCCTCAGGAAGGGTTGTTATTAATATTGTCTGTGATTACTACTACCAGAACACCAAATTATTTAGGAAAGCAAATAGCTCCTTCTGCTAGGTTTGCTCTTTTCCCTGTACTGGCTGAAGCTACACAACCACTTAGTTCCAGAATCATCTCGAATGATTTGAAATTCAGCTTTCTACTGCTCACTCTGTTCCTGCCACACTGGTGTTCTATTTCTCGGAACAGTGTGGTTGCTCAGGAGGTGCTCAGTGAATGTTTGTTGAATTAACAAGCATTCTTGTTGAAAGGGACATGAATGTTTAATTTGTACTGGCCTCTGACATCTGTTTTATGATGTCTGTTGCTTGTATATCTCATGCCCACAAAGGTGGCACATATATTAATTGCTCAATTTATATTTGCCAAATTAAATATTTTTTTCCAATGGAATTTGACTTTTCCTGCCCCACCTTCCCAAAACAATGCCCCCCCCTCCTACCCCTAGGACTGATTTTCAGCATTTATATCCAGTTTTCCCTCAAGGGAGATTATTGATCTTTAGGATTTCTTAAGAAGATTAGTGAGGACACTTAACATTTTGCCAAAACTTTTGTTTTTAAACTGGGTGCACCTTCCGGGAAAAATGGAGAGGACCATTGTCTCTCTCTCTCTGTATATATGCACACTTGTATACACAAATACTCTTCACACACACGCATATGTGTAATTTGGCCTATTTATATATTATTATGTGTTACATTATCTGTATCTTACTACATCTAACTGACTAGATTTGTCAGGCATTTATCTTTAAATCCTAAATTAAATTTCATTTGTAAAAAACTTGTGTCCTGTATTTTCTATCAAGCTGCTCTTTAAGCATTAGGTTTTATATTTGGGGATCCTCATTAAGAAAACTCTGAAGCAATGTTAAGAGAACTTCAGCCTTGCCATTTACAATTATGTGAATTTGAAAAAAGAAATAAAGCAAGTTGCGCTATTCACAATAGCAAAGACAGGGAATCAACCCAAATGCCCATCAGGATAGACTGGATAAAGAAAATGTGGTATATATACACCATGGAATACTATGCAGCCATAAAAAAGAACAAGCTCATGTCCTTTGCAGGAACATGGATGGAGTTGGAAGCCATTATCCTCAGAAAACGAATGCAGGGACAGAAAACCGAATACCACATGTTCTCACTTATAAGTGGTAGCTGAACAATGGGAACACATGAACACAGGGAGGGGAACAACACACACTGGGGCCTGTCAGGGGAGTAGGGCTGGGGGAGGGAGAGCATCAGGAAAAATAGCTACTGCATGCTGGGCTCAATACCTAGGTGATGGGTTGATGAGTGCAACAAACCACCATGGCACATGTTTACCTATGCAACAAACCTGCACATCCTGCACATGTACTCCAGCACTTAAAAACTTAAAAAGAGGAACCGGGGATGTTTATCTTGGTTTAGCAGATAAACTTGGAGGATGCACACAGAGGAGCTCTCTCATCTGAAGTGTTGTCCTCATGAAGTCAGAAAAGAATCCTGGGGCCATTCGGAAAGAACTGTAGAAAGGCCAATTTGAACTCCAGCTGAGGAATTCTCCCTCTCTGTTTCCTTCAGAGTGATGTGAAATGCAGTTCGATTGCTTTGGAGAAGTAAGGGATGCTCATGAATAGAGACATTTAAGCAAAGACTGGAAAGTCCATAAATAATGCATTGTTTAGAGTTAGAGTTCACGGCTCCTGAAATTTTGGGATCCTAAGATACATCAGATGCTGCTTTTGGATTCTCTTGTCATTGTAAAATAATTTATTGTTGAATAACCTTTGATGTTTTTTTCAGTTTTATTTCAAACCCTTGGTAGTATTCAAATCATTTTAACAATTTCCCAACAATGCTTTATAATTTTTGTAAACAATTAGAATTAAAAGCTGTATTGCTTGTCTTCATACGTAGTTTTCATATACTCAATTCCTGCCAATTTTTCAGTTATCATGAAGTATATACTGTTAACTCCCAGTGCCAGACAAGAGCAACACTTAGCCCTTGTTAATCTGCTATGTGTTTATTTACGGCTGCAATGTATTATTGCTATTTTGTTTTTGGTCCAAATAGACTTTGCGGCAGATATATTTCTTAATATGAACTAATTTACTGTGAAGTGAGTTTGATCGGAGTCCTAGCACCACTGGCCCAGAAGGTAACATGTAAGATAAAGTTAACTAGATAATGTGATAATCTGCCAAATTAATGCATCGTATATCCGACTTCAAATATTTTTAATGATACGGTAGCAGGGCACAGATATATAAATACAGATCAAACAAATTATATTTTAATGAAGAAAGTTTATCTTTTTAAAAAGATTTTTGTTGATGTCTGTCTGTAATTGTCATAGCTAAATTTTGTATTTACTTGTTTTCTCAGTGCCCAGGAATCTTTGAAGAATCCTTGGCTCTTCTGTTCTTTTTATAGGGAAAATATTGTTCTCATTCGGCCACTGGTTATAACTTCCCAACTGAAAGCAGGTCACCCTGTAATTTAAAGGAAACAAAAAAAAAAGTTAATACAATACAGTGCCAGAGGAAAATGTCTCGGACCTGTAATTGCTGTCAGCTGAGGGTCCTGGTGGCTGTCTCCTGAACTGGTACTCAGTGCCGAGCTGGGCCTGCTTGACCCATTTCAGAATTTTTATCTAAGATAAGCATCAGGAGGATGGGTGGTAGGGCAGAGGGGAAACTGGGAGTGTGTAGTGGGTAGGTGCTAGGATTTGAAGTTCTTGTATGTTCTCCCTTTTAATTAGAATGCCTCGCTTATGGTCAATGACCCCTCTTCCCTCCACCACCCTCCTCTTTGCTTCTTTTCTTTTCTCTTTTCCCTCTACACTCTTATCCATGCCCATGGCTTTAGTTGTCAGTTACATGCTGAAGACAACCAGAATCCAATAAAAGAAAGTATTTCAATGACAGGGTGGTTAACCCTGGCTTAAAAGTGACGAAGAAGAGAGGCAGTGCCATCTTCCCAGATGTCCAGCACTGTGCCCATCACGGAGTACGTGAGCAATAAAATAGTCAGAAATAAATGAATTTGAGATAGCTAAAGGTAGAATGCTTTGGGGTATTCTGAGAATGACTAGAAATTTAAAGTTGAGTGGATCTGAACCATGGCAACAACCAAAACGCAGTTGCCACTTTACTGCAGCTCTTAAATGAATGACTTCTATTTGGCTTCACTCTCCAGCGCACTTAAAACTTGAGTGTGCAGCTTTGGCGGGTTGGTTTATTCCTTCTCTTGGCTGAGAGAAATATTCAGGCAATGATGAGAAAGCGTGTAATGGAGTTAGCTTATGAGAGACTGATTTTTAAGCTCTACAAATAAGAATTATTTTTATTTTGTCATTGTTTTCCTATTATTTCCCTGTTGGACAACTTTTCT
This sequence comes from Homo sapiens, assembly GCF_000001405.40. Lineage (NCBI taxonomy): Eukaryota > Metazoa > Chordata > Mammalia > Primates > Hominidae > Homo > Homo sapiens. The sequence continues at coordinate 55,774,624 of NC_000020.11, read as the reverse complement.
TATCAAACTAGCAAAGAAAAGGGACGATAGGACAAACACAATGTGGATCCATGCTCTGCAAGTTAACTTAAATGAGAGTCAGATATCTGCTATTCTGCCAGCCCTCTATGGGCTCCTTTGAGGGATAGCAAAGGATGTTATTGATTTTCTATGGGAAATCATGAAAGGAAGACTTAAGCTTCCCTCCTGGGTTTAGATTGTAGTAGACATTTGTATGTTTATGTGTTTGTTTTGGTTTTATTTTCTTTAATTAATTGACTTATTTATTATTTTATTTGCTGCCTAACTTCCATCTATTCTTCTTCTAGTTACAGACCAAATTTTATCTGAGAGAACCAGTCTTTTAAGTCAAAGCAGTTGAAATGGGACTTGTTCTACTCCCAGCTCTAGGGATGCTCACATGACCTGGGGCTAGTATTTCTTCCTCCTTGTATATTTGGGTTTGGTTTGGGTTTGGGCACAAAAAGTTCAGGACATCTCTTCAAGTGTGGAGTGAGAGGAACTTCATTTTCTTGCAGTCTTGAACCTAGGAGTCCATTAATCTGGCTCTGTTGACAGCCATCTTCTACCAGAAGGGGTCTAAAATTGAGGCCAACATAGAGGACAACAGAGAAGACAGACAGTCTAGGTCTTGGTGACATCATTTGACCCAGTAGATCGAGCCATGTGGACAGCCAATTCTAATTCTGCACTTTTTAGCTATGTAAATAAAGAAATCCCCCTTTAGCTTAAGTAAATTTGAGATGTGCTTCTGTCCTGTGCAACCAAAAAAAGTTTAACTAGATCTGCTGCATCCAGCATAGAATTATAAAATAAGAAATGTGTTCTAGCTTTATTCTCTAGAATCTAAATAATCTAGTATCAAGAAAAAATCTAAAACCAAGACTCTAGATGTTTGCAAGGTAAGAATCACAAAAGACTAGCAGAGGGTTTGGAATTGGCCTATAAATCCAACTAGAGCATACAGCAATACTACAGTTGAAAAATAAGGCCCAGGCTTACCTTCTTTAGTATTAGCTAGACAATTTAGAGAAAAGGTTTTCCATAATATTTGCCTACTTTTTATATAGTCCTCCTTCACCTGGCAATTAGAAACCCTCCTCTCCTGTTGAGCTGGTTATATAAGTTATCAAAAAAAGACCTTCAATAAGCCTAAACACCTACCTCAATTAGATAAAGTTCTTGAGAATTGAAACTCATGATAAATAAGAGTACTATTAATCAATAAGATTCACAGTGATGGAATGACCATAAAAATGTAAGCTATTTAGGGAAAGATGTACTGTTAGTAGAATGAGATTTGAAAAGCATTAAACACTGGATCATTTTCTTTACAAAAACATCCTGTCTCTTTCTCTGTCTGCTTGGAACATTAAACACAAATGAGTCCAGGCAAAATATTAAGTCTTTTGATGATTTATGGTTAATAGTAAATTCAGAGAAAAACACACCAATTTGAGGCATTATTGTTATTAAGGGACAGTCAGTGCTTTTATCTTTTGCAATCAGCATGTTAACTCATATTCTTTCTTTTGCATATTCATAGTCATGGTCATTTTAGAGGCAATATACATAACTTGATTTTTTTTTTTTATTTCTTCACCATGGTGACTTCTGGTTGGAAAGATTCCATAATTTAATATGTTCCCCAGCAGAAAAGTTTTAAGACTTTATTTTACTTTCAGAGAAAAGACATGAAATGATGTACATGCAAATGAGAAATAAGTCCATGATGCTGTGTTACTGAGATCCGGCCCCTGGAGGAGTTTTCTTTTACAATTTCCCCTATGCCATTTCACACAGACATTTGTATTCCGCAGCTATTTTGTCGTGGGTTCCTTTGTTCGTCACTTCTCTCATCAGATTGGAGACCATTTCTTTTCTTTTCCCATTCTGTTCCAGCAAAAATGCACTATTTGTTCCAAGTCAACAAAACCTTATTTATAAACTATGATAGGACTGAAAATAAATAAAACTGAAAAAATGGTTGGTGGTATTTTTTTGACAAATTGAACCATTTGAAGAAGACAGAAAACTTATCAGATCCCCATTACAGATGCATGAGCTGAAATCATCCTGTAGTCCATCCAGACTCTTCCACTGTGCTTCAGGCCATGGCTAAGAATGGAAAACAGTGACCCTGAACAATCTTTTCTTTTTCCAAATGTCCAAAGCAGAGTAGAATATTTTAAAATTATCTGAATGGGCAGTCCCAAGACAGTCACTATGAGTAACATAAGGAAAAGTTAACACTGACCTGTATGAGGTGCAGTTTGCTTGCCAAAGGGTAATTAATCTAATTCAAATAATTCTAATTCTCAATAAGCCTGTTAGAACAGTCAGAGTGTTTACGTGGTAAGCATACACCCTGAGATTTGGAATAGTTTGAAGAATTCACAATCATATGAAGTCTTACTTAACATTAAAATATAAATGGAATAAGCTCAGAGAAGCAGAAAACTTTCTTTCTCCTCAGAATTATTTATTCCCACTTTGCCTCCCCCAAAAGAATATCTTATTTCATATTCCTATACCACAGTCTACCTTCATCTGAAGCACTTTCAAGGTTGAAATTTTAAATGCTTTGGTATAAGTTCTCAAGGGCAAAGACCGCATAATTATTTGCTCACCATTGAATTCCTAGAACCTAATGCTAGGGTGGACACATAATAGACACATAGATATTTGTGGGTGAATAAAAAGTTTATATGAAAGAATGTCCATTGAATATTGTTTATTGTTGTGGTTGGAAGAGGAACCTGAGTATCAAACAATAGGGAAATTTAAAAAAATACATTATAGTATATCTGTAATGATGAGATGGCATGAGGGTTTTCCAAAGTTAATGTTTTAAAAAAACTTTTAATAGCAAAGGCAGCTTGAGCAACATAGTGAGACCCTGTCTGTACAAACAGCAACAACACAACAAACCCTGGCACGGTGGTGCATGCCTGTAGTCCCAGCTACTCAAGAGACTGAGGTAAGAGGATTCCTTGAGCCTGGGAGGTTGAGGCTGCAGTGAGCTGAGATTGCACCACTGCACTCCAGCCTGGGTGACAGAGCAAGACCTTATCTCAAAAAAGGAAATGGTATTTAGTGAAGAAAGGCAGAACAAAATCTTGGACGATCTTGAGTAATTATTCTAAAAAAAATTGCAGAATTATTTTTCTTTTATCTCTTTTTTTTTCTATTGCTTCAAGTAATTGCTGTAAAATAATGTTATGTCCACACTCCTCAAGTAGGAAGTCAGTCCCATGAACATGTAAAAGTGGGGCTTACAAAACTTTGTGAGATCTTTTCCCTTCTATATCAGGGTTGACCCTGAGCCTTATTTGACTCCCAAAGTGTGATATACATCATGTAGGCAAAGAATTCCCCTGAGATTTTTCCTGGCAGTTAATTTCCACGTAAGACATCTCAGAAACCCAACTTGCTAAAAAGGGGGTTCTATTCTGTGTGAACAAAACAGAGTGAAGAATACATATGTTTTACTGATAGGCAAATTCAACATACCTATAGACCACATAACTGGAACTAAATGCAGGAATAGCTTTTAAAGTTATATTGTAGGCTGGTGTTTCTCAAACCATGTAGTAGAAAAGCAAATTCCTTGGGAACGTTATCTGGTGGTCCAAGGAGAATCAACCAAACTTGAAAAATTCCATAAACTAAGACTGTCTCCTTTACATTCACAAATTATATTTGCGTATTAAAGGCTCAGAGAAATCTCCCAGCCAATAAAAAAAGATCAGTATCATTTATAATGAAAGAAGTAAACTTATTTGCACCAGATGATATTGTTTTCTAGGTATAGCTATTAAGTTAATAAGTAGCCACTCCCAAACATTTTTATCAATAGCAAGTTAATAACATCATTACACCTCTGTTTTAATGGAGTATAAAGCCCCAAGAACTTCCTGAAGATTTCATAGTTTTGATTGTTGCAATAACTTATTATTTTGTTCATAAAAATCTAGTACGATATAATTTTGCAAGTATTATTACATACACATTGCACAGAGAATATCAAAGCCTTGTTGACCTAGAACTGACTCGTATAAGTCTGGCTTACTCATTTTCTTTTTTTCTTTTTTTTTTTTGAGACGGAGTCTCGCTCTGTCGCCCAGGCTGGAGTGCAGTGGCGCCATCTCGGCTCACTGCAAGCTCCGCCTCCCGGGTTCACGCCATTCTCCTGCCTCAGCCTCCAGAGTAGCTGGGACTACAGGCGCCCACCACCACGCCCGGCTAATTTTTTTGTATTTTCAGTAGAGACGGGGTTTCACCATGTTGGCCAAGATGGTCTCAAACTCCTGACCTCATGATCCGCCCACCTCGGCCGCCCAAAGTGCTAGGATTACAGGCTTGAGCCACCGCGCCCGGCTGGGCTTATTCATTTTCTAAGGAACTTTTCTTCTCCATATAGTAGTGCAGAGATAACATAATTCAAATTAATGACTGAACAAAATGATAACTTACTATATATGGTGAATATTTGGTACATATTTTTGATCACTATTGAAGGAGTGGTGTAATACTGTGAATTCTGTAGTATCTATATACAAGGTAGGTTTAGGTAATATATTGCTTAATTTTTCTAAATTGTTTTTATCACCTGAAACCAACTTGTGTACTGGTATCACACTCATGTTAACACTGCATATTTTAATAAGTATCAGGAAAAAAAAATGCAACCAGCACACCACATTTGTGATTTTTCCAGTTACTACTGTTTAGAATGAAGCTAAAATCAGCCTAAGGTTTTAGAAAATGAGCTGATTTAAATAAAAATGTTATAAACATTAGTAATGTAAGTGATACAGGGCAAAAATCTCTAAATAGTTACGTGAATGATTGATGTTAGGGAAGCTCCAAGTTTACTGTTTGATGAGACTAGTAGCAATTACCAGTCTCTCATACCAAATGCAGTGGTTAAGCTAGTGGTTCCCAAAGCTGACCCTGCACTGGAATAACTTGGGAAGCTTTTACAACTACCATCAATCTTCACCCTAGAGCAATTAAATCCAAATCTCCAGGCATGGAATCTGGGCATTAGTAATACTTTAAAGCTCTCTGGTGACTTCACTGTGCAGCCAGGGTTCAGAAATGTGGGGCTAAGGTGTCATCCTAGTCCAGCGATTGTGTCTGATTTATTTCTTTCTTCCACCTACTTCTGGATCTTTCTCTAATCTGACTTGTCTAAATTCACATTCCATGCCAATCCACTAAGCCCACACTGGTCAACGATTTTCTTGAATGAAAACTGAAATATTACAGGCAGGGAGTTCTTGATCTTTCTATTGTCATGGTTTGAGTTCCAGCATTTACACTAGTTTCCTGTCTCCATTACACAGATTTTATAATTGAATTTTTGTCATTCTAGCTATTTGTGACCTACATAACACTGTGAAAATTCCATGCGAAAGTTGGAAATAATAACTTTTCTACAGTGCAAATGAACCTGCAACAAAATTTTGTAAAATAATTGAGACTGCTTTCTACAAGATGTTGTCTCTCCACATTTCCTGTAACTGCAGTGGTTAATTTGTTGATAGATCTCCTTAGTTTTCAGGGTATAAAAACACTCTTCTGGCCTGAGTTGGAGGGTGATTTCTGCATTATTTAAAATACTAAATTCTGCTCCCTTTTCTCTCCTCCATGCATCTGACTCCCACTCTGGATTGTGCCCGGACTCCCACTCTCAAATGTCTCTCAACCAGAGCGGGTGAGGTTAAAGATTATCTGCACTCATAATAATTGATTTTTGTTTTATTTTGATTCTATAAGTAATTACCAGATAACTATTGAATGCATACACATTTGGAGGTTAAACATGCAAAAAATATATTTTGTCCAGTATATTCAGACTGGGTGCTCAAATACTTTATGATTTGAGGACTGAAATATAAAATATCAACCATTCAACATCCAGAAAACCAGAGGTAGGAAGTAATTTCCCTGCCTCAACATTGGCCTGTTTATTTTATTTTATTTATATATATATATATTTATTTATTTTTTGATGGAGTTTCGCTGTTATTGCCCAGGCTGGAGTGCAGTGGTGCAATCTCGGCTCACCGCAACGTCCGCCTCCCAGGTTCAAGTGATTCTCCTGCCTCAGCCTCCCAAGTAGCTGGGATTACAGGCATGCTCAACCATGCCAGGCTAATTATGTATTTTTAGTACAGACAGGGTTTCTCCATATTGGTCAGGCTGGCCTCAAACTCCCGGCCTTAGGTCATCTGCCCGCCTCGACCTCCCAAAGTGCTGGGATTACAGGTGTGAACCACTGTGTCCGGCCGACCTGTTTATTCTTTTACAACTGCAACTAATGTGTTCTTTTCTAAAAGCAGACAATTGTAAAAAGTGATTTGGGTTGTCTTTTTTGGTTCATGCAAATGTTTAACCAGCATTAAAGCTGCAGTTCTCTCCCTATGAATCTTTCTTTGTCTACCTTCTATTCTCCCATCCCACCTCTTTCTCTTGTGAACCTCCAAGTTAACAATCAATTCTTGGTTTTCATAAGGGATTCAATATGAGATTTTGTGAACTTCTAAATTTGAGAGCATCTTTATAGCAGGTGTTGAGAACCCTTTTCTGTGAAGAACCAAATAGTAAATAGTTTGTTTTTGGACTATACCGTGTCTGTTGCAACTACTCAACTCTGCCATTATAGCATTCAATTGGCCATGGACAATACGTAAATGAATGAGCATGGCTGTGTTCCGATACAACTTTAGTTACTGGTGGTGGGCCAGATTTAGTTTATTCACTGTTGCTCTGAAGCATACAGTTTTCCCCACAAAGCTGAGTAAAGAAAAACTAAGAAGTCTTAGTGACTTCCTCACACCCTTACCACTCTATAAATATAAAACTAAAGTTGCCTATAAAACCATTAAAGTTAATTCTGCCCTTAAAATGAACTCTGTACAATGGTACATTATATCAGTATTATTTTACTATTGACCATGAACTTAACCTGAATCTGCAATATCTTATCCCTTTGCTACAATTATTGCACATAGAAAGACAGGCAGAGGATGATGAAGCTGTGCTGATGTGTAGAGGCCAGATGACAGGTCAGGCACTAGCTCAAGGGATTCACTCCCACAGTCCAACCCTTTAAATGGACCACACAGTGACCTTCAGCATCCCGGATGAAGAATGGAAACTGAAAAATTTTAAATTTGTGCATGCTAAGACTCCTGCATATCAGGCAATTTATCACTCAGTTATTTATATATAGACCACCTTAAATCTTTCATTCTCCTGTTCTGTGTGTGCTGGCTATGTCCACCCAACCATGCTACTAACTCGTGGTTGTCCACATCAGCCACAACATTTAGCAGAAGGCCAGACACTCAGTTAACAAATGAATATATTTTTGCTACGAAATGACTGGGTTACGGGATTGTCCTAGTTCAGATATTGCTCCTTCTTCTCAATACATTTATTAAAAAATACATTTTGGTTACATGAGAGAGCCATATAGGCTAGTTCTGCACAAAGTAAACTCAAGTGATGAGCTCATTATAAGGCCTAGGTCCTCCCATTTACTTGACAGAAATGGACATTGCTAATCTCATCCTGTTTTTTTTTTTTTTTTTTTTTTTTAATTCTTCACATAGCTGTTACCCTCTGGGGCAGAGGAGCAGAGGGATGAATTTGTATTTATTTCAATTAACAAATTGTATATATTGTGTACAACCTGTTGTTTTGAAATACGCATATACTGTGGAATGGCTAACTTGAGCTAATGAACATATACATTACCTCCTATATTCTTATATGTTTTTTTATAGTGAGAGCACTTCAAATCTATTATCTTAGTAGTTTTCAAGTATACAATACACTGTAATTAACTAAAGTCACCATGTTGTAAAACAGTTCTCTTGAACTTATTCCTTCTATCTAACTGAAATTTTGTATCATTTGACCAACATCTCCCTAACCCTCCCCACCACCACCCCCACTCCCTGGCAACCATCACTCTACTCTCTGCTTTTATGAGTTCATTGTTTTTAGATTCTACATGTAAGTGATATCATGCAGTATTTGACTTTCTGGGCCTGGCTTATTTCACTTAGCATAATATCCTCCAGGTTCATCCATGTTGTCACAAATGACGGGATTTCCTTCCTTTTTAATGCTGAATAGTATTCTGTTATATAGATATACTACATTTTCTCTGTCAATTCATCTATTGGTGGACATTACCCTGATCCTTAAATAGCATCACCAATCTTTGGATGATTGGGAAGTTTTGATCATTCTCTTATTTATTTGTATATATAGCAATTCTTTACTAACTTACTGGCATCTGGTATACACTGTGCTGGTTACCAAGTGTTGGAAAAAAAAAAAAGGGAAAAAGTGTAGTCTCTGTCCTGGAGGAGCTCTAGGCCAGTGGGAAAGATGGACACTCTCACAGGCAATGGTAACTCAGTTCCTCTGTAAGGAAAAACAGAAGGTATCAGGAGAGAGAGAGAAGGGTCCTAAACACGATAGCAAGGTCCAGGACAGCTTTCTGCAGGGAGTGACATACAAGCTGGGACCAAAGAATGGGTATTTATGGGTTAACCAGGTGAAGGGTGATATCGTTTGGCTCTGTGTCCCCACCCAAATCTCATCTTGAATTGTAATCCCCATGTGTCAAAGGAGGGATTTGGTGGGAGGGGATTGGATCATGGAGGTGGTTTCCCCCATGTTGTTCTTGTGATAGTGAGGGAGTTCTCACGAGATCTGGTTGTTGATAAGTGTCTGGTGTTTCCTCCTTCATGCTCTCTCTCCTGCTGCCATGTAAGACGTGCCTTGCTTCCCCTTCACCTTCTGCCATAACTTTAAGTTTCTGGAGGCCTCCCCAGCCATGTAGAACTGTGAGTCAATTAAACCTCCTTTTTTTTTTTTAATAAATTACCCAGTCTCAGGTAGTATCCTTATAGCAGTATGAGAATGGAATAATATAAAGAATTGGTACCGAGGTTGTGGGGCACTGCTATAAAGATAACCTGAAAATGTGTAAACAATGTTGGAACTAGGTAATGGGCAGAAGTTGAAAGAGTTTGAAGGGCTCAGAAAAAGACAGGAGGATGTTGAAAAGTTTGGAACTTCCTAGAGACTTGTTGAATTGTTTTGACCAAAATGCTGATAGTGATATGGACAATGAAGTCCAAGCTGAGGTGGTCTCAGATGGAGTTAAGGAACTTATTGGGAACTAGAGTGAAGGTCACTCATGCTATGCTTTAGCAAAGAGACTGGTGGCATTTTGCCCCACCCTAGAGATCTGTGGAACTTTGAACTTGAGAGAGATGATTTAGGGTATCTGGCGGAAGAAATTTCTAAGCAGCAAAGCATTCAAGAGGTGACCTGAATTATTCTGAAAGTGTTCAGTTAACAACATTCACAAAGAGATGCTTTGAAATCAGAACCTCTGTTTAAATGGGAAGCAGAGAATAAAGGTTTGGAAAATTTGCAGCCTGGACATGTGGTAGAAAAGAAAAATTGATTTTCTGTGGAGGAATTCAAGCTGGCTGCAGAAATTTGCATTAGTAACAAGGAGCTTATGAGCCAAGACAATGAGGAAAATGTCTCCAGGGCTTGTTAGAGACCTTCACAGCAGCCCCTCCCATCACAAACCCAGAGGCCTAAGAGGGAAAAATAACTTCACTGCTCTTTGCAGTTTTGGGACTTGGTGTCCTGCATCTCAGCTGCTCCAGCTCCAGCTATGGCTAAAAGTGACCAAGGTACAGCTCAGGCTATTGCTTCAGAGGGTGTAAGCCCCAAGCCTTGATGGCTTTCATGTGGTGTTAGGCCTGCAGGTATGCACAAGACAAGAGTTGAGCTTTGGGAACCTCCACCTGGATTTCAGAGGATATATGGAAATGCCTGGATGTCCAGACAGAAGTCTGCTGCAAGGGTGCAGGCCTCATGGAAGACCTGTGCTAGGACAGTGTGGAAGGGAAATGTGGGGTCGGAGCCTACACACACAGTCCCCACTGGGGCACCACTGCCTAGTGGAGCTATGAGTAGAGGGCTACCATCCTCCAGCTCCCAGAATGGTCGATCCACTGACAGCTTGCACCACGCACTTAGAAAAGCCACAGGCACTCAACGCCAGCTTGTGAAGGCAGCCACAGGGGCTATACCCTCCAGAGCCACAGGGGTGAGCTGCCCAAGGCCGTGAGAACCCACCCCTTGCATCAGCAAGCACTGGATGTGAGACATGGAGTCAAAGGAGATCATTTCAGAGCTTTAAGGTTTAATGACTGCCCTGACAAGATTCGGACTTGCTAGGGTCCTATGGCCCCATTGTTTTGGCCAATTTCCCCTATTTGGAATGGGAACATTTACCCAATACATGTACCCCCATTGTATCTTGAAAGTAACTAACTTGCTTTTTATTTTACAGGCTCATAGGTGGAAGGCACTTGCCTTGTGTCAGATGAGACTTTGGACTTGGACTTTCGAGTTAGTGCTGGAATGAGTTAAAGACTTTTTGGGGGACTACTGGGAAGGCATGATTGGTTTTGAAATGTGAAAAGAACATGAGATTTGGGAGAGTCTAGGGGTGGAATGATATGGTTTGGCTCTGTGTCCCTATCCAAGTCTCTTCTTGAATTTTAATCCCCATATGTTGAAGGAGGGACCTGGTGGGAGGTGACTGGATCATGGGGGTGGTTTCCTCCCTGTTGCTCTCATGATAGTGAGGGAGTTCTCATGAGATCTGGTTGTTGATAGATGTCTGATGCTTCCCACTTCACTCACTCTCTCTCCTGCTGCCATGTAAGATGTGCCTTGCTTCCCTTTTGCCTTCTGTCATGACTGTAGGTTTTTTGAGGCCTCCCCAGGCATGCAGAACTGTGAGTCAATTAAACCTCTTTTCTTTATAAATTACCTGGTCTCAGCTAGCATCTTTATAGCAGTGTGAAAATAGACTAATACAAAGGGCATAGCTGAAAGTGAAAGGCAAGATGCTCCAAGAAGGAAAAATGGCCCTACAAAGGCCTAGAGCAGAGTCACATAATCCAAATAGCTGTAGAACTGTGCTGGCCCCAGGATAGGTGACTTTCGTGTGATGTATCCTGAACATGGAGCAGCCTGAGAAAGGTGAGGATTCTGGGTCACTGTGCTGATTGATTTAACAAATGCCAGTAGACACTGGGAGAATTGTAGTAAAGGTATTAGGAATAATCTTCCCAGTGAAGTTAAAACTGGGAGTTGATTGCAAGGGGAATTTGTGGCGTCTCCTTCCTTTGATGCCTGTTAGAACATGATGGATTGTAATGGACCTTGGAGTGTTTGTAACTACATTATTCTCACTTTGTCAACAATGAGTGACCTCATTGAATCACTGAAATAAGGTGACTGTCAAAAGGCAGTCTGCTTGTGCCTTGTACTTCACCTCCAGCACATATCAAAGATTTGCTGATTAGCCCACCGTCTTCTCCAGCCCACACCTCGACCCACGCTCTGACACGCCCCTTCTATGCACATCGATTATGGTGAAACCCCACTGTAGCAAAGCTGCCTGTTATAAAGGGCCCTCCCTATTGACTTTCTAAATTTTCACAGTGAAATGCTTGTTCTTTTTGCTTTGGTAGCATATGTAGTACTGAGTACAAACATAACACACATATGCACACACACTCCACACATGTATTCATGTTCATATGTTTTAGTTAAAAAGCAGATTGCTCAGATGAGTATAAAGGAAATGGTAGTTTAGGTGGTACACAGATACTTTGATAACTTAGAATGACATTTGGGGAATATTATTTTCATAAACAATATGCATTTCTGGAGATATGAATCCTGCTTTGAATCTCAGGTTTACTACATCCCATCTTGGGAAAGTTACTCAATTTCTCTGAACTCTAGTTTTTAAATCTGTGAAATGGGTTAATGAAATCTACAGCATTGATTTTTGGTTTTTGGAGAACTAATGTAGACACTTATTAGGAAACGCTGAGCGGAGAGTTTAGCACATGGCAGCAGTGTAAACGTTAGTTCCTGCCTTACTGCCTCCAATCTCTCTTACTATATTTTGATGATGTTCTCCTTCTGGCAGATCTGTATTTACTCTTTGCCTTGTATCCACCATTACTCAGCACATTGCTTTTTGCTTGAATTTATATAAGGCTTTAAAAAAATCAGGTTCCTAGTTCTGTGATAATTTTTCACAATTATCAAGCAAAAGGCAAATTCTTTTTAGGCCTGTTTCTGACATGCAGTCAGCATTCCAACAAAGGAGAAAACCATTCTGTGTTTTTATTTTCCAATTGACATGTTCACTCTGATGGTGTGAAGATCTTTTTATTGTAGGCTCAGTGTAAAAATAAAGTGTGCACGGTAAGACTTGGGAGTGGAGTGTGTCTCATGCCTCACATCTCTCAGAAGTTAAAAAGGTTTTATTTAATAGAAAAGGTATAATTTCCTATTTATAAGTCCATCTTAAACAAAATTCTAAATTCCAGGCTTCAGTTAGATTTCACTTAAAAAAAAATTAACATCCTATTTCTGTTCCAGGATTCAATCCAGGCTATCACATTGCATTTAGATGTCATATTCTCCTCTGTCCTTTCTGTTCTGTGAATTTCTCAGAATTTATTTTTCATGACCTCAAGGGCCTTGAGGAGTACTGGCCTCATAACCAGCAGAATGTTCCCAATCTGGGCCTGTGTGATCTTTTGCTTATGATTGGGCTGGGGTTATAGATTTTGGGGAAGAAAGCCACAGGGGTGAAGTGCCCTTCTCATCCCATCACATCAGGTGGCACATTATATCCAGATGACATCTCTGGTGAGGTTGATCTTCATCACTTGGTAAAACTGGTGCCTGCTAGGCTTCTCCACTGTTATGTTATTCTTTCTACCTTTCCATACTCTATTCTTTGGAAGCGAGTCTGTAAGTATGGCCCCCTTTCAAGATAGGAGGGGTGAAGAGTAAACCTCGGGAGCTTTCCTGGAGGTAGAAGTACCTACAGATAATAAATAGACTATTTTTGTAAGAAAGATTTGTCTCTATAAGCCCATTTATAAAAATCAAATTTGTGTTGGGGGGTGCATTTTCCCCATAAATCAAGCCCCACACAATATAATAAAACCTACATGTAGAGTGATATCGATAGTCCCTCTGGTCTTTGTGATTTGAAGTATTTATATAACAAAGTGTCCCTGAAACGTATTCTTGATTTTCATCTGTAAAACAGAAGGGCTAGCTCAAATACTAATCTTTGTTTTCTTTTGAAAATAAAAACGAAAATTCCTTTATTACAATGCTGGAAGATACATGGTCCCACAGGGATTTAGCAAAAAGAACAAAAGATGAATTGCTGGCAAGTCTAGAAGGTATTTCTGCCAACTTTCATGGAGCATTTTTCTAATGCAAATTTCACTTATCTAGAGTAGGATAATTCATTCAGTGAAGATAAACTATGGCAGCTTGCATCTCAGACTAAGAGTTCAAGAGGGTTGGCGGGTATTCCAGAGACAACTTCTACATTGACAAAACACTTCTACCTTCCAATTGGTTTGAAAACATTGGTATCAGAAAATGCAAAAAACAAAAAAATTTGCTGAATACTTACAACGTGATAGGCCTAAGGATACACCGAGAAAGTTACCTACCCTTATGAACAGATGCCAGAAGTTGATTTCTCTGAAAATACTTCTTTGGAAATAACAAGCTGAAAAGTCTTTATATATGACTTTTCAATGTAGTTACTGGCTCTTCCACCTTTCTTTAGGGAAATGCAGTGGCAAAAACGCTGTGGCTGAGTTTCACTTGGTGCTTCATTTTAACAAGTCAGAGGACCTGACGTTGCTCTGGGAGCTTCTGTGGAAACTGCAGCCTAAAGATAGTTAGCTCACACTGGCCAGGGACTGAGAACTATGTAACTCTGTGGCCTCAGGGCCTGATGCAGTTTCTGCTGCATGTAAGGAGAGCTGCAGTTAGCTAAGGACGTTAGCCTTCATAGAAAAAGGGGAAAAATGCCAATACATTCCCATTATACTGAAAGCAGAGACACACATATTAAAAACAAAAAACAAACTCATAAAACATGAACAGTGCAAAATAATAAAAACTGATACACTGTGGCCAGGCACCGTGGCTCATGCCTGTAATCCTAGCACTTTGGGAGGCCGAGGCGGGTGGATCACAAGGTCAGGAGTTCGAGACCACCCTGGCCAACATGGTGAAACCCTGTCTCTACTAAAAATACATAATTAGTGGGGCGTGGTGGCACACGCCTGTAGTCCCAGCTACTTGGGAGGCTGAGGCAGGAGAATCACTTGAACCCCAGAGGCAGAGATTGCGGTGAGCCGAGATCGTGCCATTGCACTCCAGCCTGGGCAACAAGAGCCAAACTCTGTCTTAAAAACAAACAAACAAAAAACAAACAAAAAACTGAAACATTGTATTTCATCAAAATTAAAACTTTTTGAAAGATACCCAGAAGAAAGTCAAAGGCAGGCTTTGGACTGGGAGGAAACCTTTGCAAATCATATATTCAACAAATGACTTATATCTACAACATGGAAGTATTTCAACACAATAGCTCAAAAAATTGGGCACAAAATTTGAACAGACACCTGACAAAAGGATGTGTATGAATGGTCAATGCTGCTAATCAATAGTCAGTAGGGAAATGTTAACTAAAACCACAGCGAGATACCCCACATTATATTAGATTGGAAGCAAACAAACATACAAAAAAACATTAATTTCAAGTGGAGAAAATCTGGAGCTACTGGGAGTCTTGTACACTGCCAATGAGAATATAAAATGGTACATTCACTTTGGGAGTCAGTTTGGAAATGTTTTAAGAAGTTAAACATATTTACCATAAAACTCAGCAATCCCATTTCTAGGTATTTACCCCCCCCCCACCAAAAAAAATGAAAATGTATGTTCACATCAAAACTTGCATGCTAATATTCATAGCTGTATTTATAATAGCCAAAAACTGGAACCAAACCCAAATGTCTGTCAACAGGAGAATGAAAAACAGTCACAGTATATCCATGCAATGGATACTATTAAGTAATAAAAAGAAATGTGCTATAGATATCTTCTACAACATGACTGGACCTCAAAATAATTATACTGAATTGAAAGAATCTCAGACCCAAAAAGAAGGTACATTGTAGTATTCTATTTATATAAAGTTCTAAAACATATAAACTAATCCATAGAGAAGAAAGCAGGTCTGTCGTTACTGGATATGGGGTGGAGGAAAGGATTTCTGATCATAGAGTGTGAAGAAATTTGGGGGAGTGTATTGGTCCATTTTCACACTGCTATAAAGAACTTCCCTGAGACTGGATAGTTTATAAAGGAAAGAGGGTTTACCTGACTCACAATTCCACATGGCTGGGGAGGCCTCAGGAAACTTACAATCATGATGGAAGGGAAAGCAAACACATCCTTCTTCACAAGGTGGCAGGAAGGACGAGAGCAGGCGAAACTGCCACTTACAAAACCATCAAATCTTGTGAGAACTCACTCATTATAAGAACAGCACGGGGAAACCACCCCCATGATCTAATCACCTTCCATCAAGTCCCTCCCTTGACATGTGAAGATTACAATTAAGATGAGATTTGTGTGGGGATGCAGAGCCAAACAATATTAGGGAGTGATAAAAAGATTTGTTGTTTTGACTATTGTAATGGCTTTATACATACATGCATATGTCAAAACTGATCACATTTTACAACTTAAATTTATGCAATTTATTTACTTCAATTATACTTGATAAAGTTGTTTTAAAAAAACTTAACATTGCATGATGTTTTGTTCAAATGATCTGATTATTTGTCCTCTAATTCAGTGGATATTACTAAAATGTAAACTCTTTCTAGAGGAGAGAAATGACATCCTAAATAACATTAGAGATTTCAAATGAGAATGATATGGAAACCCAGTTATACCAGAGTAATAATTATTTGTCTCATAAACTAACCTAGATAATTGCACAATCATTCTGCCTGTCATAGATCTCGTGGTTTAAAATATTCTGAAATTACAGTTGATCCTTGGCATTCATAGCTTTGACATTCACAGTTTCAACAGCTCGCAGACACCTCAAAGACCCAGGATGGGGAGCAGTTGGTATTTTGTTGAGGCAGAAACATGAGGAGCACACACTGCTGGCCAGGCATGAGAAGCTAGTCATGTGAATCACGAGTAACATCAGCCCACAGCCCATATGCACTTCGACCACAGTTTTGCTCGTTAATCCTTGCTGGGTTTGCAGTGGCTCTAATGAAGTGATCATGTGTGTGCAAGCATGCATACATGTCTGTCTACAGCAGGTAACTCATCAGAGAAAGAAAAAAAGGTGGTTAACTTGTGGTGGGAGGACATACCTTACGTGCCAATCTTAACAGAAGTGTGCCTTAGTCATTGTATTGATTCGAGAAATAGTCATTGAGCTCAGATCAAGTGCCTTGCAATGCAGATGTGCCAACCTTTTTCCTTTTGGGTTCAGAGCCCACCAGGGGAGACAGACACTGATCACCAAAGTCAGCAATTATAAGCATTATCAGTGTCAGTGAGGGCATCAAGGGGGCTGTGGAAGTATCTGATGTCTAGGGTGGGAGAGGATGTCAAGGCAGGCTTGCCTGAGAGAGGGAGGGCTGAACTGAGATTAGAAAAGTGAAACAGAGGCTGGGCATGGTGGCTCACACCTGTAATCCCAGCACTTTGGGAGGCTGAGGTGGGTGGATCACGAGGTCAGGAGTTCAAGACCAGCCTGGCCAAGATGATGAAACTCCATCTCTACTAAAAATGCAAAAAAAAAGAAAAAAAAAATAGCCCAGTGGGTGCCTGTAATCTCAGCCACTCGGGAGGCTGAGGCAGAGAATTGCTTGAACCCGGGAGGCGGAGGTTGCTGTGAGCCGAGATCGCGCCACTGCACTCCTGCCTGGGCGACAAGAGCGAGACTTGTCTCAAAAAAGAATAAGTGAAACAGAGCCTAAAGGAAGGAACAGGAGGCTGAATGGCATGGACTGTTGAGGAGGAACATTCTAGGCAGGGGAAACAGCATGTCCTAAGCTAAGGGGTGCTTGGAAAAAGGAAATTAGCCAAGGTAGTCTTTTAAGTTATGGATACTTCAAAAACTATCACTCATAAATGCCCAGTCTGCTGTTTATATGAAAAAAAGATCGATCATCTTGTCTCTGGAATCCATGTTACTTATATGTTTTAACTTTTATGGACTAATTTGCTATAGATTTTGTGTTCTGCTTTTGGGGCATTTTGTTTCTGGGAACATACAGTTTGAAGCATGAACAATACATAGTATTTTTCTGGATTTTTTTCATTGTGATTGGTTTTATAAGGTAATTGTATTAGCTGGGTTCAAATTCCCTGAAGGGAAGGTCAAATCATTTTGCACAAAGATAACAAATAATAAAACCATTCACAAATTTGATCACCAATTATGAATGTAGAAGTCACTGCTGAGGTTTAGTCTCTCCAAAAGATACAATAAAATGATCCAACACAGTTGATAAAAGACATCATTGAAGAAAAACAGACTTTAAATATTTTTTAACTCCCAACTTGTCATTATAAAACAAATACCAAATTTTCTTGATTTTAATAAATCATTAATTGTAAAATACACTTTAAATTTAAAGAGCTGTTTATTTTACAAGAGAAAGAAGAACACCACCACCACGTTAAATATAGCACATTGATTGTCACATGTAATTTAATTTGGAAATGCTTTAAAACTTAAATATTGGGAAAAAAAGTTTTAAAAAGAAAATAGCCACTCTGAAAATAAAATCTTTTGAAAAGCCTGACTGTGTGCTAAGTCCTTTACTCGGCTCTTGTCATTTTATCCTCAGGAAAACCCTAGGTGGCTAAGTCCTTTTTTTTTTTTTTTTTCTGGGGACAGAGTCTTACTCTGTCACCCAGGCTGGAGTGCAGTGGCACAATCTCGGCTCACTGCAACCTCCGCCTCCTAGGTTCAAGCGATTCCCCTGCCTCAGCCTCCTGAATAACTGGGATTACAGGCATGCACCACCACCCCCAGCTAATTTTTGTATTTTTAGTAGAGATGGGGTTTCACCATGTTGGTCAGGCTGGTCTGGAACTCCTGACCTCGTGATCTGCCTGCCTTAGCCTCCCAAAGTGCTGGGATTACAAGCGTGAGCCGCCGTGCCTGGCCTTAAGTCCTATTTCTATCTTTGCTGTACAAATGTGCAAGCCAAGGTTTGATGCAGCTGAGCAGCTGAATCAAGGCTAGAAAAGCTTACATAAATGAAATTTCCTTTACCAGGTCACAGAGGAAGTTAGCAGGAGAGAGGAGAATCATTGCAGTTCCCCTAGTCTCCTGGCAGAATTTTGCAACAGGATTACCTCCTAACAGGTCACAATGCCATGCCGTCTCCCAAAGAGATGAACGTAAAAAGAAGGAAGAAAATTATGAACTAGCCATCCATTGTTCCCCAACAAACTTCAGTTCAAACTGAAGTTCCCAATGTTCTGTTTTTGGTCTGCCAAATTGAGTGTCTTGGTGATATGTTAATCAGGACCACTAATCTCTCTAAAGCCGACTGCAAAGTTTCTAGATCACTTAATAAGAACCCTCTGATGGGAATGGGAAGTAAATGAAGATGATTGCTTTCAGTGTTTTAAAACACTGGTAGCTTTATTCAATTTAGGTGGAGGGAAAAAGAGTGGCTATTCAATGTGAAAAAAAAATTATGGTAGAATTCTGTATAGGCAGAGAGAGGGGCAGTAAACAAAAATAAGATGAACAGGAAATGTTTTTGTTTATTGTTTGGTTTGGTTTTATGTATGCTTATTTCGAATATGAAAAAGATAAAATTCAAATAATAATTGCATTTAAATAGATTCAGATCATACAGAATGGGCATCGTGAGGCTTGCTTTGCCTATGGTGAAGTTCAAATGAAACACTGGGAGAAAGCATTTTTTCAACTGTGAAGAGCCATCTAAAAGTAATAGGTTGCTATCACAATGGTTATCTGCCAGACAAGTTTGGCATGCAATTTAATGAAGTGTTATGTATCATGAGTTCATGTATATTCTTGCAGCACACAAAACAGCCGATGGTGTGACTTTTTGTTCTCGATCATTCAACTCTTGTTTTATGCGTCTAAATCTTCTTGCTAGAGAAGTTCTTATTAAGAAGTTCTTATTAAGTGATCTAGAAGCTTCTGCTAGATATTGCCTCCCAGGTCCCTCATTGTGATTCTGATTGTCAGAGAAGAATCCAATGAATATGTGGGTTACTAGGAGATGTTCTTTGGATGTTTTAAGCACTTTGCCCTTTTTGATATACAAAGGCAATGTAGGAGACAACCAAATAAACATTCCAAAGCCAGGTCCTGGAGACTCTTACACTGTGAGCACCAGGCTTACCTGTGTAGCCTGGGATGTACTAGAAATTCAGTAAATATTCATGCAGCAAATGAATAAATATGTATCTGAAGAAACATAATATAAATCCTTCATTAAAGGCAACATTTAAAAGAAAGCAGCTTGGCTCTTCATTAAGAAAATGCTTAATGGGTTAATGTGTTCAAATTCTGACAGAGAGCTGGTCTCAAATTCCAGCAGTCACTGACCAGTTGAATACCTAGGAAAAGTGTGGTGTGTCTTTCTCTCTCATCTCTTTTCTTTCATCTCTCTCCTCCTCCTCCTTCTCCTCTTTTTCTTCTTCTCTTTTACTTTCTCTCTCCTCATATTTAAAAACTTGGATTTAGTCATATTTCTTAGTTGATGTCACATTACTTTATCATTTGTCCTGTGGTGTTATGATATATGTAGGTTTTCATCCAGGGCTCCTGGCTCCTAACTCCTTTAGCCCTGTTACAGTCTTCTGTTGCAATGTTGGGGTGTTGTAGGCTTCAGGGGCAGCCTCTGACCTTCCCCCACTCTTCTTTCACCTGTCTCAAGGCAGGACTTGACTCTCCCCCCACCTTTCTGATTGTGGGTCTTAACATCCTCCCCAGAGAGGGTCCCACCCTATACTATGAGGGGAAGGAATGCTAATGTCATCAAACTTCCATAAAAACCCAAGAGGACTGGGTTTGGAGAGTTCCCAATGGTTGATCAGGTGGGGTTTTCTGGAGGGTGGCGCCCGGTAAGGGGGACATGGAAGCTCTCTGCTCCCTGTTCCCCACACCTCACCCTAGGCATCTCTTCATCTGTATCCTTTGTAATATCCTTTGTAAGGAACTTGTAAATCTAAGTATTGTGTTTCCCTGAGCTCTGTGAACCACTGTAGCATATTAAACTCCAAGAGGTAGTTGTGCAAACCCCAACTTGAAGGAGGTTGGTCAGAAGTTCTGGAGGCCTAGACTTGCTACTTGTGGCTGTGGAGTGGGGCAGTCTCAGGGACTGAGCCTTCAACCTGTGGAATCTTGACACTATCTCTGGGTAGGGTCATAATTGAATTGGAGGTCACCCAGCTGGCGTCTGCTGCTTGATGGTGGGGAGAAAACCCACACAGTTGATCACAGAAGTCTTCTTCTGTGTTGATGATTGTTGTTGCAGTGTGAGAGCAGAGGAAAAACATAGTTTGGGAGTTTTAGAGAGTTTTTTCCCTACACAGTTTCTTACAGGGCTCCTCTTTCATTTTAATTTGTCATTCATTTGTCATTTTGACCCCATAATTCCCTCCAGCTCACCTACTCAATCCATAGGCACCCGTTCAAATGTATTTAATTTCAATTTCTTTGTTTGCATTTGTTCTTGCAAAACTAATGCAAGTATTGTTTATCATGTGCACATTTGTATATGATGTAAATACACTGTGAAGTGTGTGTGCGTGTGCACACGTGCATGTATGTGTGTGTAATTTTAACATAGGTGGATAAATATGGTTCTTTCTTCTGAATGAGCCTTTGTCCTTTTCAGCACTAAGGATTTAAGATCCTTCTATGTTTCTTTCTTACCTCACATTTTGTTTTTCATCTCTCTCAGTGATGGACACACAGATTGATTCCTAACCTCCTGCAGTGAAAATTATTACACAGATTTCCTGTGGACCTGTGTGATAATTTCTTTGGATTATACACCCAGGAGCCAAACTCTTGGTACATGGGTGTATACTTTATTTGGCTAAGTGCTGGCAGATTATATTTCAGGTTCTCTAATTCTTTGTGATTTTATGTATCAAAAGAGGATAATAGCATATGCTATGGTTTGAATGTGTCCTCCAGAATTCGTGTATTGGAAACTTCATTCCCAGTGTGACAGTGTTGGGAGACTGCATCTAATGGAAGGTGTTTAGATAATGAGGGCTCCTCCCTAATAAATAGATCAATGCCATTATGAAAAGGGTTTATGGGAGTAGGTTCTCTCTTCTGCACTCTTTCCCTTCCATATTTTGCCATGTGATGATGCAGGAAGAAGGCTTTGGCCAGATTCTAGCACTTTGATATTGGACTTTCCAACGTCCAGAACTGAGTCATTAAATTTCTGCTCATTATAAGTTACCCAGTCTCAGGTATTCTGTTACAGCAGCACAAAATGGACTAAGATAGCTTCTAATACACAAGTTTATGGTGTGCTTTAGGTGAGAGGCAGCCTGTGAATCACTAAGTCCATGGCACATGATCTGGCAGCCACGTGTCAGCATATGACATGTCTCCTCCACCTTGTGCTTCTGGAATCCAGGTAGCAACCTATGGATGACGGTGCCCTGTGGCCACTCTCAGCCTGACAGAGTTTCCTGAATCTGGGTGATTTAGGGGAGTGATTCTCAAACTTTTCTGAGCATCAAGATCACCTGGGGCAGGAGGGGGAGATGGCACTTGTTAAAAGAAACTATAGGACTCTATCCATTTCTGTATCAGTAAGTGCAAGATGGAGACTAAAAATGTGCATTTCTGACACGTTCTCAGGTGCTGCTGCTGCTGGTGCTGGTGGTGGTCCTGGGTTTACAGTTTGAGAATCTTTGTTCAGGGCAAGGATCGGGGTGGAGAGGTAAGCTTTAGGCACCAGGGTGACTCAGTGGAAGAAGCAATACATCTTTATAATATCAGCAAAATAATCATTCCAAACTGGTGAGCATTTCAGAATTGGATACTGGAATTTACAGAAACTGCATCTAACTGGTAATCCAGGAAAAATCAATATTTTGTTTTCTTTGCTTACTTTTCTCTTACTAGTCTTCCTTCCCCCACTTCCTCCTTTCTCTTGCTCTCTCTCTCTTCTCCCACCTCCTTTCTAGCTTCCTTTTATTTGCTTATTTATTTTATTTTAAGGCACCCTATTCTTTCTTTGTGCAAATAATTTAAGAAAACAAAATGATCCTCTCCACAATCTATGACCTAATTTGACTGGAATCATATTTTAGCTTGAGCCTTTATAGATCAAACCTGTACTTTTTTTCTGTCATGAATTGTTATTTTATTTTATATATTTAATATATAATATATTATAAAATAATATGAAATAATATAGAAATATATAACATCTATATCATCTGATATAATTAACGTATATTAATATATAGTTATATATGATATATTAATATATAACATATACTATTATAATACATTATTATAATACATATATTATGTCATTATATAATATATAATATGACATATATTATATATTGTAAAATAATATAAAATATGACATATATTATATATTGTAAAATAATATAAAATATGACATATATTATATATTGTAAAATAATATATAACATATAATATATCATCTGATATAATTAATGTTATATTAATTTGTAGTATAATATATAGATATTACATATTAATATATGTAATATATAAATATATAACATATATCTGATATATACTTAATATCTGATATATACAGTTATATATTTTATATATTTGTATTCTATATTATATAATATATATTATATATTACCAATTATATATGAATATAACCTTATATATTAGTATATTATCTGATATGATATATTACATATTAATCATATATAATATAATCATATATATCATATCTTACATATATAATACCATAATACATGCAATTATATAAGTATATATTATGAATATGTAGCATTCATATAATGACTCTATCATGTGATGATATAATGACTATATCATACGGTGTTATGAATGATATATATTATATATCATTTTTTAATATAATAAAAAAGAATGAGGATAAGTACCTGGAAGAATAATATATATATAAAAATTACATATAATAATTATAGGCATTTTTATATTACATAATTATATAATAATATAATTCTATTGTATAATTATGATAGTATACATTATATTAATGTATCATATATTAATAAAATTGAATATATAGTAATATACATTACATATTTATACATTATATTAGTATAGAATAGTATACTATATAATTATAGGCGATAATTACTATATGTAGTAGGTTATATATATTAAACTTTGTATATAATATATATATAGTTAACTTTTTGTTCACTTGCTCTAGTGCTTACTAATCAACCAGGGCATGAATTTTCATATCAATCCCAGTTCTTAGTTGTAAATGCGACATTCGGCCATGTCTATTGGGTATTATTTCTGATGACTTATTTTAATAACGGGGAGGTGATAATTTGATCTGTTTTAAATCAGGGCTTCCTGGTAATATGACAGTGCATTCCACTTGACTGAGAGTTTCTTCATTATTGTTCCTCATTCAACTTCTGAAAAATATTCCATGTATTTTTTTTCTTCAGGAATTCTATAGCTGTGTCCCAACTACCTGCTTTACTTAATACATTTATTATCTCATAAAACAACTGGTAGCAGGTGAGGACAGGTACATTTTCTTCATCTTCTGTGTACCTCGTAAGATCTTGCCCAGTAGTATTAGCACACAGTTCCTTGGGATCTGGGTCATGGTGTTCCCAAGGTACACTGCCTGCACATGGAGACTCCACAAATGTTTGTTGAATGAATGAGGATAAGTGCATGGAAGAACACTGATTAATTATTTTTGAATAGTTGACAAGTTTTGAATTAGGTTAATACTCTTTTTTATTATTTGTTAATAGAAATGGTGACCTGTTGATTTCTAGTATAGGAATCTAGGTACTGATAGATATGCTGTAGGCAACTTGTGTGCCTAAGAGTATTTTCACTTAAGAGTTTAGTTAAAATTAAGGGACAGTGCCTAGAAATAAAGCCCAACTTCAGTGGATTCCCAATTAAATGCCTGAAATCTCTATGGTAAGTAGGTGGCATATAAACAAATGCACATAAAAAGAATTCCAATGATGTACAATGGTTAAAAATGACATATTGTATTTTAAGTCAGTTTTCTCATTATTACAATATTATTAAGTTAGTTTTCTCATTAATAGAGAGTTATATATTGCATATAGTATTTTCCAGTGTTCCTTTGATAATTTTTATTTTGTGCTCTCTGATTATAGAAAATGTTGAAAAAAAAGAACCATCCAAAAAATAATCTATACCATTCAGATAATACTACTACTTCCTTGATAAACTTTCTATAGTTATTTATAAGAAGTACATTTTTAGTTCTTTCTGTATGTATATATTATTGCGATTACATGGTATTTTCAGGCCTGCTTTTATTTTATTCAGCATTATATTAGAATTATTTCCCCATGTCACTAAATATTCTTTGAAAATATTTTTCTCCCAATGGTTGTATAATATGACATTACACGGATACATCAACATTATTTAAGCAGTATTCTGTTCTCTGGCATTTAGGTTGAATATCCTTGTATATATGTGTGCTTTTACTTTTTCCTCCCACAGTTTAATAAGAATTGACTCCTACATATGAAGTAATTGGTTAAAGGTTTAAGACCATCTTAAGGCATTTGATGCACATCAACACATTTTTCAGAAAGTGCTGCCAACTTCACTAACACTCACAGTGAAAGGGAATTCGTATGGTATTATGCCATTGCCTTTGCTAAATATTGCTATTTTATTTAAGAAGATGACCAGTTTGATGGATTCATATTACAAGCTCCCAGTGATTTAAAATAGAGTGCTCTCTAAAATAATATGGACCACAAGGCACGTTCAATTTTCAGAAGCCTGAAAGTTGTAGATTGTATTGTATAGGATAGTAGGTAGAGATGTTATGAGAGCCTAGAACGAATAGCTGCTTATTGAGTGATAACATTTTGACTTTTTTTTTTTATCAGAGCAAACATCCCTGTTGCTGTATTATTAATTTCTCAGAAAAGCATGGCGTTGAATACTTTTCTATTTATATGGTCCTCCCACCACCCGCATCCAATCCCTAATTAGCTACCCTCTATGGGAATACGTATAGAAATGTGTTGGAGATATTTTTTTCCTTCAACTTTTAAGTTCAGGGGTACACGTGCAAATATGCAGGTTTGTTACATAGGTTAAGCACGTGCCATTGTGGTTTGCTGCACCTATCAATCCATCACCTAGGTATTGGGCCCAGCATCCATCAGCTATTCTTCTTGATGCTCTCCCTCCCCCCTGCCCCACCCCTGACAGGCCCCAGTGTGTGTTGTTCCCCCCAGTGTTTCCATGTATGTCATCATTCCACTCCCAGTTATAAGAGAGAACATGTGGTGTTTGGTTTTCTTTCTTTTTTTCTTTGCTTTTCTTTTTGAGATGGAGTCTCGCTCTGTCACCCAGGCTGGAGTGCAGTGGCACGATCTCGGCTCACTGTAATCTCTGCCTCCTGGGTTCAAGCAATTCTCTGCTTCAGCCTCTCGAGTAGCTAGGATTACAGGCACCCACCACCACGTCCTGTTATTTTTGTATTTTTAGTAGAGACAGGGTTTTACCACCTTGTCCAGACTGCTCTCGAGTGCCTGACCTTGTGATCCATCCGCCTTGGCCTCCCAAAGTGTTGGGATTACAGGCTTGAGCCACCGCGCCTGGCCAGTGTTTGGTTTTCTGTTCCGGTGTTAGTTTGCTGACGATAATGGCTTCCAACTCACATGATCTCTTTCCTTTTTATGGCTGCATAGTATTCCATGGTGTATATGTACCACATTTTTTTATCCAGTCTATCAATTATGGGCATTTAGATTGA
Organism: Homo sapiens; assembly: GCF_000001405.40. Classification (NCBI taxonomy): domain Eukaryota; kingdom Metazoa; phylum Chordata; class Mammalia; order Primates; family Hominidae; genus Homo; species Homo sapiens. The sequence continues at coordinate 55,748,603 of NC_000020.11, read as the reverse complement.
ATCCATGTCTTTGCTATTGTGAATAGTGCTGCAATGAAGCTACGCATGCATGTGTCTTGATAATAGAATGATTTATATTCCTTTGGATGGAAATATTCTTTTCCTCTTATAATTTGCATAGCAAATTTGCCTGCTTTAAAACATAGAAATTTGTTTTAAATATATAATTTTCCTGCTTTAAAACATAGAAACCAGGTCATTTGGAATGTATTACAGCTTTGTGGCATCTAGCAAAAATTGAATACATGTATTTCAGAGTTATCTTTACCTTATTCATCAAAGAATAAGGGGCTTATTTCCCAAATTAATTTATATGTGATTCCCTCAAGGTGAAGATCCAGAGTCATTTTGTTCACCATTATAAAACCTTACTCATAGAGGGTGATCAAAATATACCTGATGCACAGAGAGAAACCCATATTCTTTAGTTATAAATGACAGAATACTGTAAGAGGTTTAGGCTCATAGGAAAATTATCTGAATTTAGAGGACATATTGCACACAAGAGGTAATAAAAAAAGAAATGGCAGAGGTTAGAATTTCAGTTTTGATTAAAGGAAATACTTTCCAATAAGAGAATTAATATGTTTTCTCTTTTCTTACTCCTGAGCCCACTTTAGTTTCCTTCCAAGCTAGAAAAACAAGAAAAATAAGTGAAATCCAGCTCTCCATTGATGACTATCTAACCATTGGTGGTTTGCAGGCTTGCGTTCTGTTCTGTCTGATGAGGACATCATATTCAGACATGGGCTGTTGAGAATCCCATTGGCTATCACAGACTCCCTGCTGCATAAATTGTGTCACAACAAAGGCTTTGACTTTGGTTCTTTCTTCTCCTCTCTGAGGAGCCCAGTGTGAGGGATCCAGTGTGGCACAGCTCTTTGTAGTCTCTCCATTCATCTTTGAACTTTCTCAAACACCCATGAAAAAGATACTTTATGAGCACTATCATTTTCTCAATTTTTTTATTTGTGTATATCTTTAACATCCCTTTACACATAAATTACTTAGCAAAAATTGGTTGGATGTTCTTGAGTAATTTTATTTATTCCATTCCTTGGCATGTAAGTATTTTGTTCACCTTTTAGGAGCAAAGCACTGGAGCCAAATCATACCAGGTCTCTGCTGGGAATCATATATTAATAAAATCCTCAACCAAATCTATATGTAATTGCTACCAATAAAAATACCTTAATGGTAATGAACATAGTGCTATGAGATTGTTTAATAGGATTGTTTCACTCAGTAAGAAAAAGTAGGTGGAGAGGAGGATTTCTGGCAAGAGAAAGGGCCTACAAAGACGCTGAACCTTGGGAAGAATGAGAGACCTTTGCAGATGAAACTCAGAGAGAAGGAAGATGAGATCTATTGAGGCTGGGGTAGGAAGCGAAGGCTGGATTATTCAGAACCTTGCAGGATTTTGGTCTTTGATCCCAAGAGCAATAAAAAGTCACTGAAATATTTTAAGTAGAGGGTGACATGATTGTTTTTGCTTTTTGTATATAAACTTTCTACTATAGAGAATTTTAAGTATATTTTTAAAATGGAAAAATATTAAACCTCCATGCACCAGTCTACTAGCTAACATTGTTCAACTCATGGCCAATTATGTTTCACCTGTGACCCAACCCACATACCCCTGCATCTTGTCACATTTATTTGAAGTAAATCTCACATACCTTATCATTACGTCACTAAGCATATCTTTAAAAGTCAAGAACTCTCATTCCAAAAAATAAGCAGGAATATCTTTTAAAAGCTCCAGTGATTTTTAATATGTAATATCATCAAATATCCAGTGTTCAAATTTTCCCAGTTGTAGTGTGTGTGTGTGTGTGTGTATATATACTTTCTTTGAATCAGGGTTCAAATAAGATTCATAAGTTGCAGTTATTGATATATCTCTTAGGTGTGTTTTAATGTGTACATTCTTCTACCATCTCTATTTTTATTCCTTGCAATTCATCTGTAAAGAACCATGTTGTTTATGCTAGGCATATCCCACTGTCTGAGTTTTGATTGGTGCATTTCCGTGGTGGTTTTAACGTATTTCTCTGCCTTTGGTATTTCCTGCAAATTAGACCTTGAGAGGCTTTTTACATTGCGGATTCCATTTTTTTGGCACGTTGATCTCATAGGTGGTGGTTTGACCATGAGGAGGCACATAGTTGTCTGTTTTTTTCCCTCTTTAAGTGATATTAGCAGCCATTGATAATCATTGCCTAACTTCCATTAATTTACTGGAGTTTTAAATAGTGATGTTTGAATTCTATAATTTCTTCTTCATTCATTCCAAGAAGTGGAACGTTTTATAAAGAGAAGTTTCTTCATCAGCTGTTTAGTTACCCTGAGTTTGAATCCACATAGGAAAGGGAGATACATGCTTGTCTTTCCCTTTATTTAACATTTTTAAAATAAAGAAATTTCCTACATTTCTCCAATGAGGGATTTTTTTCATTTGATTTTATTTTTAGAATCAGTATAGATGTATGGATTTAAACTTATTTCGTTGTTTTAATGAATTGTACTAATTGTCTTCATAGGCCAAAATAGCAAAGTCAGCACTAAGTCTTAGGACTATCAGAATTCCCACCTAAATCTTTAGCTGAGGCCTGGAAGTTGAGCCTAAGCTATCTGGGCATTATAAAATGGGAGATTGGATAGGGGGAATGAAGGGCATGTGAAAATCCTTTGCTTGCCCCCTATTAATTTGTGTCTTGAAATGTCTATATCATCTCAAAGGATCTAAGAATGGTCTGGCCCACAGATGGGAGGGAGGCAGTTATAAATGTGGAAAATCACAGAACAAGGTTATTGTATTAATTTTCTGTGTTATATGATTTAACCACAAATTTAGTGACTTAAAACAACACTCACTTATTATCTCGGTCTCCATAGATCAGGAGTCTGAGTACGCAGCTGATTCTCATGCTTGGAATCTCAGCAGATTGAAATCAGGTGCTGGCCATGGCTGCACGCCCATCTGAGGCTTGGGGTCCTCTTCCAAGCTCACTGGTGGAACAATTTAGCCCCTTGCTATTATAAGACTGAATCCCACAGCTCCTAGAGGCCACCCACTGTTTCCTGTTATGTGGAATTGCTCAAAACAGGGCAGTTTTTCTCTTCAAGGCCAACAAGAGGGTATCTCTACTCTTTTGAGTCTCTGACCGCTGCACCCTCTTTGAATGGGCTTTCCTGATTCGGGCAGTCTCACCCAGGATAGTCTCCCTTTTAATTAACTTAAAGTTAACCAATTAAGATTTTTAATTATGTCTACAAATATATCCTTTGACATTTTCATATAATGTAGTCTAATCAAGGGAATATTACTTGGAGGAGGACAGATTCCTGGATGACCTTGGCTGACCTAGCTTTCCCACCTCCTGTTGGTAATTCTCAGAATAACTCCGGAATGTACTGAGAATGTAGCACCCTGAGATAAGGAGGAAGGGTGCGGAACAACCCAGGCTATGTCTGCATTCTTCCTAGAACAGAGTGTTCTGCAGCACGTGGGCTCAGTGAGCCAGGTGCTGCCCAGGGTATATAAACCCAGAGCCGTGCTGGGGTTTCTCAGCTGTGATGCGATGCGGGGCATGCGTAGATGAGACTCCATCTGCCCGGAGCAGCTTTCCTGAGCCTTGGAGGATAGCTTCGTCATGGCTCCTAGACTTCCGTTTATCCTTGCTGCCTATCTGTGAGTGACAGGTCTGCTTTGCCTGACTTGTGTGAGCGTTCTATCTCACTGGACTAGACCTAAGAACTTTTACATTATTCTACCGTGTTCACAGGGGAAGGGATTAAACAAGGGCCTCACTGAGGGCCATGGTAGAATTTTTCTGTCTCAGATGTTTGTAGTTTACCGTGAACTCACCATATTGCTGGGTGCAAGGCATAGCCCATCTCTGGGCCTGGATTTCCCTGCTTATACCCTGAATATACTAAACTGAATTATTCCTAAGGCCCTCTCAACACTAACATTCTATGAGTTTACTAATCTGCTTTTCTTACAGTGTTTTTGATAGTTGTTTTTTAGGTTTATATTTTACAGCAGTTTTAGGTTTACAACAAAACCGAGTAAAAAGTACAAAAGGGACCGGGCATGGTGACTCACGTCTGTATTCTCAGCACTTTGGGAGTCCGGGGTGGGTGGATAACCTGAGGTCAGGAGTTTGAGACCAGCCTGGCCAACATGGCAAACCCCGTCTCTACTAAAAATACAAAAAATTAGCCAGGTGTGGTGGCATGTGCCTGTAATCTCAGCTACATGGGAGGCTGAGGCAGGAGACTTGCATGAACCTGGGAGGCGGAGGTTGCAGTGAGTTGAGATCCCGCCATTGTACTCCAGCCTGGGCAACAGAGTAAGACTCTGTCTCAAAAAAAAAAAAAGAAAAAAAGAAAAGAAAAACTACTAAAGGTTCCCATACACCCCCTGTCCCCATTTCCCCGCAGATGCACAGCCTTCCCCACTATCAACACCCGCACCAGAGTGGCACACGTGTCACAATGGGTGAATCTACACTGACACCTCATTGTTAGCCAGGGTCCATAGTTTACATTAGGCTTTTATTCATTTGACTTTATTTTGTTTTATTTTTCTTTCCCAGCTTTATTGAGCTATAATTGACAAAGAAAGATTGTATCCATTTAAAGCTGTATTCACAATTTAATGAATATTGGCCCCAGTGCTTAACACTGACACTTTCCACAAAATAAAAAAGGATAAAGAAGTCCCCAGATCAGTTAACTGCAAAAAGACACACTTGTAAATAATTAAATGAGCTCTACCCCTTTGATGGGTGGTTTTTTACACAGACTGTAAGTCAGTCATTGAGTTTAAAAGGCTTGATGTACTTAAATCTAGCTATACAGAACCCATACATTTGCCTTTCCAAGATAAATACTTATTTTAACAGGGTATGTTGTACATATGTTTTTTTTTTCTTTTTCATTGCACATTTCATTCTAAAAATAAAAACGTGAAAAAAACTTTTTCTTTGTTTTACAGAAATTGAAACATGCTAGAGTGAGTAATTTTTAATAAGAGGAACAGCATAATTAGTAGGAACCCCAGTTGATAAAATACCTGTTTAATTTAAGCAATTGGCAAACTACTTTTAAAATCAGACTAAAGTTAAATACAGTACTTGGAATTATTTTTATGTGCAATTTAGGGCTCTATGTAACAATATAATATATTTAAGCATTTACTATAGAATCCTGGGGAGAAAATTCAAATCTAGTAGCTACTTAACAGGGTGTCACTTCAACTCCCGACGTTTATCCCCTTAAGCTTTTGTCTACTTGAAGCACAAACTACGTGAAAGACACCATGGCATAGTCCAGGAGGGCCAGGGATGATTTGCAGTAGGTTATGCAAATTGGTGTAAGACAATGTGGTCACTTTTTAAAAAAAGGTATTTGTTCATAGCCTTCAATAGTTACAGGTAGAAAACAGCTGTACATCTTTCCCACAGGTTTGTTCCAGGGTGGCATATTAAAATGAATGCAATTTCAGTCTGAATGATGGAGACATCAATGTATATAATAAGTATTTAGAAAAGCAGACACAAAAGCAGACCTACGTTCTGTCCTGTAAACTCATCACAATCCAGTCTCTCCTTCTAGACCAGAGTTTCTCATTTTTGGCACTCGTGACATCAATTGAATAATTCTTTGTTGTGGGGCTGTCCTGTGTATGCAAGAGGTTTAGCACCTCCCCTGACCTCTGCTTGCTAGATGCCAAACTCCCCCACCCCCACACTGTGGCAATCAAAAATATCTCTGGATATTGCCAAACGTCACCTGGGAAAAGTACCTCATGGAGAACCACTGTTGTAGCTGAAGTTCCCAGCCGTCTCTCCATGACTTGGTGCTCATGTTTTCTATGTGCCTTATGGGTTACTCCTATAGCAACTAAACCACAAAGATATGTCTTGTCTTCTTGCTTTTCCCACAAATGTCTTACGTAGACTGGGGGAAGAACCAGTACATAAAGAGTGTTGACTGATTGTTTTAGGTGCTCTTCCTGTGTACTTCTGTTTTGTCTTTCCATGACATAACCCTTCATTCACTTTATCTTTATGTTTTAAATGCTTTGTTCTCCATACTAGACCACGAGCCCCTCTAGAAGTAAGGCAGAGTCGGTCTTGCTCACTGCTATATCCTCAGTATCAGTCCCCGACCATACTAACAACAATAACAGCAATAGTTATCGGGTGTTATGCTATGTGCTAGCCAAAACTGAGTGCTTTGCGTCTGTTAACTCATTTTATGCTCACATCATTCCATGTGCTGAGAATTACTATCAGACCCATTTTATAGAAGAGGAAACAGGTACAGAGGGGTTAAGGGAATTGACCAAGGTCAGAAAGCCAGGAAATGGTACAGGATCAAATTTAGGGAGTCTGATTCTGGAGTCTGTGCTTTTAACTTCTAAGCTATGCTGTAGATAGTGGGAGGTCAATGAATACTTGCAGAATGATTGTGCCAACTATGGAAGAAATGGCAGCAGACGAAGGAAGGCTGGGTGTGGAAATCAACAATTACGCTTTAAAGTAAAGGATCTACATGCATGACTTGGAAACCCAATGACTGTGAAGCAGATGGTGCTGAACGATGATCAGCCCAGGCAGGAGTGTGTGTCTGCCTGTTATAGGAGTGCACACACAGCAATTCAGGGTGCTTAAGCAGATGCCCATTCTGAGCTCTTGTATTGGGATTCAGGGAGCATATACCCTAAGCTAACCCAAAGGCTGTTGATTTCTCAAGCCTTCATATCTTGGCAGTTTCCATCTGTGTAAAATAGAATTTCCAAAAGGGCCCCAGTCCTTATCTCACTCCCTAAGAAAAATACAGCTTAAAATAATGTGATTGTACCTAAGTTGTTTGTTTTTAGTATTTTAGGAGTTCTTTTACAGATCAGTGCATAGCATTCATGTGTACAGTATCCACAACACCTGACGCTAAATCAGGATGAATTTTGAGAGCGCTAAGAACCAATGGGTCCTCAGCATTCTGTTCCCTGAAAGTCTTCACTGACGGAACTTGCCATTTGGACAACATCGATAGTGGATCACGTCTGTCATACGATCCAACATTAATGGATAGCCACTTGGCAAAAGAACCCAGGCAATGACATTGGCTCCAGCCACTACTTGTTGACACTTCCTTTTTTAAATTAATTTTTTAAAAATATGCAAAGTGCACAACATTGTTCCTCCCTTCATTCATGGGATAATTGAATTGCTACTTGCTTGAAATTTGAGGACTTAACAGATTAAGTAGATTAATACAGTCAAGCCAATAAATTAATATGAACTAGCAGATATTTATTCCAAATATAGATCCCAAATGACCTATAATATAGATTTTGATTGAATTCAGCAGTATCATGTTACTTCTAATACTTCTCCACTGAATTTACCTTGAAATCAGTGGAGAATAGAGAAGATAGTTCTGGGGATAACAGAAAGCCACTAGGGGAATGTCTGAAACCACTTTGAACTCTCTTGTTTTATCTTCAGCATACCTAGGAATTTCACTCTATTCCACAAATATATCATGCATTTATAATATCTAAGGTGTTTTAACTCCCACCTCTACCATATATTAAGTTATGTTGTCATTTTTATATGGTTGGAAAACCTCCATATCTACTATTCACACCCCTGGTACATACAGCCCAGTGATTGAGAAGCACAGATCACAGAAATGTGTGGTGAGACTAACAAAAAGACTAAGAAAGCACAGCCTTACCTTTTAAGGTGCTTAAATCTGGTATTGACACTTGCAGCTAATAGATGAATACTTAGTCCTTGAGACATAAGATTTTATATGTGTTATCTCTTTTGTTTAATCTTTACAATAATTCTGTGAGGTTTTTATGATGATGATGATAATTGTTCTTTGGATAAAATTGCCTTAAACTTAAGAATGCTTGGGCAACTTCAAAGTCATAAAGCCAGAAACTGGTAGAACTGGGGTTTGGACCCAGAAATTCTGACTTCAGAGAACACGCCTATGCAGCTCCTCACCTCAAAGTCCAATGAAAATGAGAGAATTCATTTACATATGGGGAAAAACAGCATAAGAACTTGTATTGACTTTCCAAATCTCATTTTAAATATAGAAGAATAATGTCCTCATTGTGAAATACACAAATTTGAAGTATACAGTTTGATGAGTTGGGAAATGTGCATACCTATGAAATTCATGTCATATCAAGATGTAAATCATTGACATCACCACGGATCGTTTTCGCGTCTGACGGGATTCTGCCTGGACAAGCCCTGCATCCCCAATGAGGCAACTGCTGTTCTGATTTCTATCACAATAGATTAGTTTTGCCTGTTCAAAGTCTTTTTATACATAGATCTATACAGTAGGTACTCGATTGTATCTGGCTTCTTTCACTCAGCATAATGTTTCTGAGATTCGTCAATGATGTTTTGTGTGTCCGTGGTTCATTCCTCTTTATTGCTGAATCCATACTCTCCTCCACTTTCATTTCTTAACAAATGAATCTGTCTGTGGGATTTAGGGTACTAAAAGGGGACTTGACAGAAAGGAGTCCACAAGTCTTCAATGTTTGCCATGCTATAGGTGTCTTTTGCTGGCTTGATCTGGCCTATGCCTGCACACATTCCTGTTGGACTCTGCTCTCTCAGCCCAATCATTTGGCCACAGCAGTGGATTGGATGAAAGACTGATTGATGCACAGGCTAAAGATTTGTGATGGTCTGGACCCAAGGAAAGCTAACGACCTCTGAGGTTCCTTCACACTAACTTGCGTCCTATAAGATAATTCTATATTTTATGGTGAACAACTGGATCCATTAAACCTTCACTTTTGGAAAATGTGCATGCAAGGCAAATATAAAATGCCATCAAAAAGCAAGCCAGTGGCGTTGCACTTAGGTCCAGTAAGCTGGGCTATGACTGTGTCCTGCTCTTGACTTCCTTACCCTGCCATTGTTCCCTGCAAGACTAAGGAAGAACAATGGCGAGCAGGATGATCAAGAGGATACCAAAGGGAATTGGGACAGCATGAAAAGGGGTGGGTAGTAACAGAGGTGGGAAGTTGCTTGAGTGTTGAGGGCACAATACTTAAGCTACCTTAATTAAGCTAAAGATCATGCAGTGAAGTAGAGGGCAATGAGCTTGTGCAGGTAAATTGGGTTCAAATTAGAGAATTCTGGAAAGCCAGAGTAAGCTGTTTATATTTAATTTCATAGGCACTGGAGAACCATTTTGAACATAGAACTGTGAGCTGAATAGCCCTTGAGGACAAATAATTTGGCAGAAAGCTCTACCAAGAGGTGGGAAAAAAGCAAGTGCTATATTATAACCTGAGCTATGGCGGCACACAGACCTGAGAAGGAAGGCGTGATTTCATTTCTTGCTGGAAGAATTTCTTTGACTCATTTTCCTGTTGGGGGGTGTGTGTGTGTGTGTGTGTGTGTGTGTGTGTGTGTGTGTGTGTAATGGACCTAAAACTTGCTGCTTTGCAGGTTTTAAGCATAATTAACCTCACTGTGTTCAGACCTTTAAGTTTATTATATTCTAGACCTTAAGCCAAGGCACAAGTAAACCCAATTAGGCTAGTATTAGCTTTGGATTAAATTATATTAACTATTAAAACAACATAACTTATACAGAGTCAGCATGTTTAATTCTCATTGTAGAAAACACTTACATGCTAACTTGATATTAAAACCTGAGAGAAAGCAAATCTGCATAATGCGATAAAATCACTTTTACTTTGAGAGTGAGATTTTTTCAGATAGTGAAATTGTTATAGAAACAAACTGCCAAAGTAATGTCCAGTCAGCAGATGAGAATCAGGAGAAAAAAAGTTTCTCAGTTTGGAGCCAACAGGTGTTGTTAGTATTAAACTGTAATTAAAATAAGAAACTAATTCATGTATACTTTGGTCTCTCTAAGAGTTAGGAGAATGGTATGGGAGAAACTAAAGCTATTAAATAAATACTTCCTATTTAGGATAGTATGTTATAGGAAGAGTGAGTGAAAAGAAAAAAAACCTAGGTATTTTCCACAGGTACTTACTCTTTCTGTTCTACATTTAACTTTTTTTTTCTACATCAACTACTTTATTGATTTTATTTCAATAGTCTTTGTGATACAAGTGGTTTTTGGTTACATGGATGAATTATATAGTGGAGAATTCTAAGTTTTAGTGCACCATTACCTGAGTGGTATACATTGTATCCAATGTGTAATTTTAGTCCTTCACTTCCCCTCCATCTTCCCCCTTCCGAGTCTCCAAAGTCCATTATACCACTCTGTATGCTTTTGCGTATCCATAGCTTAGCTCCCATTTATGTGAAAATGTACATTGCTTGATTTTCCATTTCTGAGTTACTTCACTTACAATAATGGCCTCCTGTTCCATCCAAGTTGCTCCAAAAGACATTTTACTTTGTTTTGAATCTGTCAAATGGTGGGAACATGAGATGTTAGATATTAGACATTATTATCATCAGTATTGTATATGTTTGAGTGTTATCATCATTATTATCAGTATTGTATATGTTTGAGTGTTTCTTTGATGTTCTTTGATGTATGGGTTATAATGAAATATATGATTCATGGTCCAAATATCAATATATATGGAACATCACTAATAATGTAGGATATAGTATAAATATTAACTATCTTCCATAGATAGAAAATACATCTCAAGAAAAAAAAAATGAATTAGATTTCCCTAGCAGAAATGCATAAAAGTGATGAACAAAGACTTTTAGGAAAACAATATCATCGCTCGTGCCCCTAGAATCCATCTCTGATGTATGAGAGTTATTCAAGATCTTTAGGAAGTTTAATTAGTACCTTTTATAGTAGACTATTTTGTTGTTGTTATTAAGAGACAGTGGAGAGTATTCTTTTAATGCTAGGCTGATGTTAGCATGAGTCCCGGCTGCGAGACCTTCAGCACATTGGTTAATCTTTCTGAAAACTGGCTTCCTCATCTGCAAACTAGAAATAATAGTGGTATCATAGAGGTCCTACCTCCTGAGATTTTTGTAATATGTAAATGAGACAGTGAAAAATAAGCAGAGTGTCTAGTATGTAGTAAACATTCAATAAATATCTCCATGAGATTTTGTTAGGTATTAAACTTTGTAGGTGTTAAAGAAGGTTTAGAAAGAGATTTCATCTGCATAGGGTAATGTCCAGTTAGACGGGGCCTCGTATATTTGGGCAGCATTTTGAACTGCAGATTGGGGAATAGTTCTTTACTTTGAAGTTTTAGAAATTTTTTTTCAGGAGAGATCAACTAGAAACTGGAACAAATAATTTGTACTCAAAAAAGACTTGGGAGTATATAGAAAATTGATTTATTCTTCTTTAATGATAAATAGAAGCTCCAGGTGAAATCCTTCCAAGCTTTTATTGGTTAAGCTTACTCATCTACACAATCAGAGTAGTGATGGTGTCTTTCTTCTTGATATGTTTCAGGTAATACATGGTTAATCCTAAGTACCTATTATAGAGTGAGAGCTCAATAAGGAGTAGCATATATCATTAGCTATTGTTGATGTGTACATTCTTTTATATGTAAAAGCGAAATGAGGATTTATTAAGATTTATGAAGAAGACTGCTTATTTTATTTGGAATCTGGGGAAAGAGTATATATTTCTCCATTTATCGAGATAGTTTGTGATACCTATGAAGCTTTTGCACATACAAAAAAACAGCTATATATTATATGCCACCTGTTTGTATACTATATCTATTGTTCTACAACTTGATATTTTCAAAAAATATATAGGGCCACACATTACGCTACTCAACTCATTCTTTTTAACAGTTGTATATTAGAATGGACATGCCTTGATTTTTTCAATGTATTATGACAATTTCAGGCAAAGCACTTACCTAAAATTTTCTTTTTTTAACTTTTAAGTTCAGGGTTACAACTGCAGGTTTGTTATATGGGTAAACTTGGGTCATGGGGGTTTTTTGTACATATTTCATCACCCAGGTATTAAGCCTAGTACCCATTAATTATTTTTTCTGATCTTCTCCCTCCTGCCTCCCTCCACCCTCCTAAAGGGCCCAGTATGTGTTGTTCCCTTCTATTTGTCCATGTGAAATGGGGGAAGACTTCCTGATTCAATAAATGGCTAATATGCAGAAGATTGAAACTGGACCCCTTCTTTACACCATATACAAGATTTAACTCAATATGGATTAAAGATTTAAATGTAAAACCCAAAACTATAAAAGTCCTGGAAGACAACCTAGGCAATACCATTCAGGATATAGGCCTGAGCAAACGTTTTGTAACAAAGATGTCAAAAGCAATTGCAAAAAAAAAATCGACAAATGGGATCTAATTAAACTAAAGAGCTTCTGCATGGCAAAAGAAACTATCAACAGAGTAAATAGACAACCTACAGAATTGGAGAAAATTTTTAAAAACTATGCATTCAAAATTTTCTAATATAGCAAAGTTAAGAGAATTTTATTATGGCCACATATATACCCACCACCTAGATTCTAACATTAAGATTTTGCTATACTTGCTTCTTTATCTATGTAACCTTCATACACTTTCCCCTAAGTAATTTGACCTGCATATTATAATCAAAGTTCAGTAATTATGTACAGCTGGTTTCTTTTGATGTAAAATTTACGTGCAATGAAATGCACAAATCTTAGTTGTGTGTTTGCTGAATTTGGACAAATCCATGTACCTCTTGTGGTAAGCTGAATAGTGGCCCCCAAAGATAGGAGGTCCTAATCCCTGGAAACTGTGAATGTTAAGATGCCAAAGACTTTGCAGACATAATTGATTAGGAATCCTGAGATGGGGATGTTTTCTTGAATTATCTGGGTGGGTCCTAAATGCTATGACAAATGTCCTTATAAGAGAGGGGCAAAGGGAGGTTTGATACACAGCGAAGAGAGAAAGCAATGTGATGATCTCAGGAGAAAGAGGAAGGATGGAGGTAAGAAGGCAGAGGGAAAGAGGGAGAGAAAAAGAGAAAGAGGGAGAAAAACAGGGATAGAGAAAATTTGAATATGCTACCTTACAGGTCTTAAAGATGGAGGAAGGAGCTTGAGCCTAGGTATACAGGCTTGAAGCTGAAAAAGCAAAAAATGCAGCTCAAGATGCTGAAAGAAGCAAGGAAATGGGCTGCTCTCCCCTAGAGCCTCTCAAGGAGGCATTGTTCTAGGACACGTGGTTTCAGCCCATTGGAATTGATTTCAGACTTCTGTTTGAACTTCTTCCACAACTGTTAGAGAATAAATTTATATTATTTTAAGCCAGCAAGTTTGTGGTAATTTTTTACAACAGCCACAGAAAACCAACAAAACTGTATAACCCAAATCCTTATCAAGACATCTTTTTATTAGTCTAGAAAGTTCCTGCCTGCCCCTTCCCAATGTTAACCCCACCCAGAGGTAACCACTCTTCTAAATTTTTGAAAAATCATAGATTAATTTTGCCTCTTCTAGAATTTATATAAATGGAATCACAGAGTTTATACTCTTGTATAAGGCTTCTGTTAATCAGAATGGTGTTTTTGAGATGCATTCACATTATGTGAGTTAATATGTTCCTTGTTATTGCTGAATAATATTTCACTGTATGAATATACTATTCCTTTGTTTGTGAATATCTGAGCTTCTATAAAGCCACTATGAACAAACATTCTTGTTCAAGTCTTCGTGTGGACATATGTTTTAGTTTCTCTAGAGGGAATACTTACGAGTAAAATTTCCTAGTTTGCTGGGTAATAGGGTAATTGCACATTCAGAAATTTTCTTAAAAAGGTTGTATGACCATACATTCCAACAAACGATGTATGAGAGCTCTAGTTGCATCACAATCTTGCTAATATTTGGTGTTGTCAGTCTTTTTCATTTGAGCCATTCTAGTGGGTATGTAGTAGTAGCTCATTGTAGTGAGTGAGTTCTCACAAGATCTGATGGTTTTATATGTCCGACAGTTTCTCCTTCAAACACTTCTCTCTCCTGCTGTCTTGTGAAGAAGGTGCCTGCTTCCCCTTCCACCATGATTGTAAGTCTCCTGAGGCCTCCCCAGCCATGTGGAACTGTGACTCAATTAAATCTCTTCTTTATAAATTACCAGTATCAGGCATTTCTTTATAGCAGTGTGAAAACAGACTAATACACTAGTACTTTCAGGCTTCCCCTACCCCAGCTCTTATGTTATCTGAGAGAAGGTGAGACGTAGCAGGCAATTTCTCAGCTATACTAAAAAAGCTCAGATACACGTTATCTGAAGGTATTTGGGTTGTGTCTATTTTTTTTTTTACAATTAAAAATAATGTCATAATGATATAATGCTTAGTGTACCTTCTGGCATTTTTCTATATAGGAAATATATCAAATATTTATATAAGACAATTTCATGACATGAAAACTTGGGGCCAAATATTGATCAACACTGTAGTAGTCTGTTTGTTTTGTTTTAGGAGCAAATGAGATACTCTTTTAAAACTAGCTTAAATTAAAATACACACACATGCGCGCGCGCGCACACACACACACACACACACACACACACACACATGTATATATACACAAACACCTGCATCCATATACCTGCATCCATTTCACATTGTTAAAATCTTGTGGCTTTTACATCATATATACTGATTCTGGTAATGCAAATTCTTTATCAAGATAATTTTGCTGCTTTTTCTACGTTTACTTTTTCAGATGGACTTAGAATCAACTTCTCAAATTATAAAAAAAAAAATACCATGAGGATTTTATGAGAATTCTATTCAATGTGATGTTGGTGAGATTATTAATCTTAAAAGAATGGATAGATTTATAATACTGAATTTATCTTAGTCTTTCTTTAGTAAAGCTTTATAGTTTTTTCTTATGGTCTTAAACTTTTTTAAAAAAAGTTTATTCTTAGGTAATTTGTAGTTTTTATTGCTATGCAAATGGAATCTTCTCCATAATAAAATTTAACTGGTTTAAATGACTATATAGGAAAGAAACTGACTTTTAATGTTATTAATCCTAGTCAAAAAATATAAAACAACAAAAATACCAAACCACAGAATGACATTAAGTAGCATCTAAGTATATTATAGTGAATGTTATTTAATCCATATAAAATAAAATTTGTTCAACATAATTATTTCTCCTTCCACGCATTATCAATAAGAGAAGCAAGGCTTAGCAAGATTATCAAATGCCCACAGTCACACTGTGTGTAGACCATGTTTTAATTACTAGTTTATTTTTCTCTTATTTAGGACACAAAGATCATTTCTAAGAAACTCTTCCATATCCAACAATTAGCGTCTGTTAACATATGTTCTGACAAACTGGTAGTTTATTCTTAGTAGATGGTTAATCCCATCAATTTTATAGGATTTCATTTTTTTCACTTCTGAGGAGAAGTCATTACTATTGTCTTGGGGTGTAGGCAGGAGCCAGCACCTTCCCCGAACCCTGATCTCTTCATCACCTCTCTTCATTACAGGCAAAGTTTGGACCACTAGACACTAATTTTGCTACAATTTTGAAATTCTCTTACTTAAAAAATATCTCTTTCCTAAACCCATAATCCCTACAGGAAGTGTTGGTTTTATTCAAAGTAAAAAAAAAAAATGTTTCTGTGCAGAAATACATCAACAACTTGTCGAAGTTTATGGAAGAGAAAATGTTAAGTCAGTGAAGTGTATGTAATACTGTGTAGAATTTTAAAGAAAGCAAAGCAGAGTACCCAGAAAACATTTCATCTGTAGAAAGGATGGATTTTCAGAGGTGCTCTGTCTGAGCCCAAATATTGTATTTCAAATAGAGTCACTGGACCTATTTGAACCATTTGATATTTTCTTGAATTCAGCTGAGGATTAAAAGAGGCTTTTATGCTGTAGAGTATTTCCTATGTGTGTTTCTAGGACTACCTGAGTCAGAATCTTCCAGAGTGATCGTTCAAAGTGAAGACTCCTAGGCTCCATCCCAGATCCTGGATTTAGGACTGCTGGGAAATGATTTCCATGATAAAGTTTAAAACACACTACTTTAGAATTGTTACCTCATCATATACCAGCAAGCGATGGTGGCATTCAGTTGCCACTTCTCTGAATGATATTTAATTCAATACCTTTTTTTTTTTTTTCTGAAAAACATCCCACCTCTTGGCCAACTTTATACAAAACTGTAAAGCATAGGTTAAGGTACACAATTCCAGGATTAGAACAATTCTACAACCTGATAAACAGACTGCATGGCTTTAACCTGCCTTATAGCAATAGTGAAAAAACTCATATCTTCCTTTTGCTAGGATAAGTGCAAATACCATTTTAGTGGAGGATTCTACAGTCTCTCTGAATTGCCTGGAGCAAGAGGACTTTGTTCACATGGCCTCAATGACAATTCTGAGATGAATAATTATGGACAAAAAATACCTTTTCTGGTCTTAAAGAAAGACTTTGATAATTTGGAAGAAAGGGTTTGAGAATGAGCGATTTAGTAATAACTGCCTAAAGGTGAGAAAGCGTTCTTATTTATCAACACAGCCACTCTAACAAACTACCAAAATGGCCGGCCATTCCCGTCACCCATGCAGTTTTCCAGAAGGGGCTCTAATTGGCTTTGATTTAGTTATTTAATGGGTGCTAATTTAAATCTTGTTGTTATTCAGAGTGGTTCATTTCTCTCCCTATTCATGGCCACCTTCCTATTCAAGCTATCAGAACCTCTCACCTGACTAGCTGGTCGCTAACACCCAACTAGTCTCCTTGATGTTCAGTCTTCCACCTGCTCTGAAACCATTTTCCAAACTGCAGCCAAAGTGATCTTTGCAAAAGGCAGTCTTCGGAAACCCTCATGACTTTCTATTGCTTTTGAGAGGAAGACCAAAATCGTTAATTTGACCTATAAATCATTGCTTCGTCTGGCAACTGCCAGTGGTCCGGCTTTAGTTTTCAGTATGCACACGTGGTCGCCCACCGTGGCCCCTTCTTTTGCTCCTCCACCTAGTCAACTTGTAGTCATCCCTAAGGTTCTTGACTAAAAATCACTTTCTCAGGGAAGCCTGAAGCAGAGGTCAAACTCTTATTGTGTGCTGTCAAAGTGACAAATTGTTTCTTTGCAGAGCCTTAGATCAGCTTGTATTTAAATATTTATCCATGTGATAATTTCTGGCTAGGCAAGGTGGCTCATGCCTGTAATCCCAGCACTTTGGGAGGCCAAGGTAGGTGGTGGATCACCTGAGGTTGTGAGTTTGAGGCCAGCCTGCCCAACAAGGTGAAATCCCATCTCTACTAAAAATATAAAAATTAGCATGGCATGGTGGTGTGTACCTGTAATCCCAGCTACTCGGGAGACCGAGGCAAGAGAATCACTTGAACCCAGGAAATGGAGGCTGCAGTGAGTAAAGATCACACCATTGCTCTCCAGCCTGGGTGACAAGAGCGAGATTGTGTCTCAAAATAAATAAATACATAAGTAAATATTTATCCATGTGATAATTTTTATTGATAGCTGTCTTTTGCACTATATTATAAATCAGCATCATTTTAAAAAATACTATATCCTAGCACCTAGCTAATTTCCTCAATGCATGTTGGTTAAATGAATAAATGAATCTGCTACCCATATAAAAATATCTTATTTTTCTCCCAAAGATCTCATTCTTAGGAAAAAAAAAAGTTTGTCAGTTGAATTTTAATTTATCTGCAATTTTTAGATTACTTTTCATCAAAGAAAATATTTATCATATCTTCTTGCAAAGATAAAAAGTGAATGCAGAAAATGTCACCTCCACAGTGCTGACCTCATCCCTTGTTTTCTTCCTTTAGTGACTGAAAAAGTAATGGCATTTCTAATTTTGAGGGTTTGGTATATATCTTTTGTGATCTAAAAATTCAGAAAACTTAGTTGACTCCTAATGCTTTCATGCTCACACTTGTTCTTTTCTTTTGAGCCAAAGCTCTCCAGTTCCATTACCTAATGGGAGTACACATTGCAAGCTAATATTGAATAAATATTTTACAGAGCTACTTGCAATCACCAGCACGTTTCTGATATGCAGTTAAGTTCCACACGTGGCCAGAATACAAATCCTGAGAAGGGCTTTCTGGTAACGCAGATCTCTGACCGTCAGGGACAATCCAAGATGTTTCATCCTCTGCCTGCCTCTGGACCTACAGAACACAGAGGCAAAGAAAAGCTGTTGTATGGCCCTTGGCATATCTGTTAGCCAAGGCCACAAACAGCCTGGCCTGGGGGGTTTTGGTGGAATAAAGCATACTCAAAAATTGAGAGCCGCTCTTACAAGTAGATATTTCTGCTCTGTCTGTCAATGGAACACAGGATTAAACAAGAGAGAGAGTGCCAAAAGCACAGGTCTCATACGGACTGAAGATCTGGGTGCAGATCCTGAATTTGCAAATTAATTAAACGCACTGAAATGCATTATTTTCATCTTCCACATAGAATTGGGATTTTATTGCTTAAGTTTTTTTTTTTTTCCTTTTCAATTTCCTTCTTTCCTTTCTTATCTAAGAAAAATTGCACTGGATAGAGTTAAGCAGGTAAGGAAGACCATTCAAGACCATTGCAATAGAGGTCAAGACTATTGCAGTAGGAAAGAGATTGAACTCAATTCCACTGAAACAAAAGGTGGGCAAGTTGTTAAGTGCTGGAGTGTGAGGGATGGGGGCTGGTCAATGTGATTAGGCCACTTGCATTTGCTAATGAGCACTTTTCTAGATTAAGGCCCCTTGTCTCCTCCTCACCCACAACCCTGCAAAGACTGGGAGGTAGGGACCCTATCATTTTTGAGAATGACATTTCAAAGCGATGCCTCCCAAGTCCTTGAGAAAGTTTTCTAAAGTAAATGCTCTAAGATAAAGGAGGTGTGAGGGCTATAGTCAGAAAGAAACCTCTCTAAAATTTGGTCCAGCTGAGTGGAACATTGAAAGAACATCCTAGTCTCCCTCCCTCCATGCGACCCCATTTTTAAAAATCTTAATTGTGTTTCTTATATTAGAATTAGACTTTGTGAAAAAGCAATTTTTAAAAATGTAAAATAATTTTTGTGCAGCTATAGAAAGAAATACATGTTTAAAATTTTTCTGAGCTCATTAATTAAATGAGAAAGCCAGAAAGATTTTATAGCTGGCTCAAATGAAAATGGAAATAAGAGACATTTATACATCAGAAATATTGGAATGAGGATGCAAATGGAGGCAACACTAGCTTTTTCCATATCAAGGGAGGGACATTCATATAGTTTGGATGGTTGTGTTATAGGAAAGGGGTCCTGATCCAGACCCCAAAAGAGGGTCCTAAGAGAGGGTTATTGGATCTCACTCAAGAAAGAATTCAGGGCGATTCGTAAAGTGAAAGCAAGTTTATTAGCAAAGTCAAGGAATATGAGAATGTCTACTCCATAGACATAAAAGTGGGACTCTATGCCCACTTTTATGGTTATTTCTTGATGGTATGGTAAACAAGGGTGGGTTATTCATGCCTCCCCTTTTTAGACCATATAGGGTAACTTCCTGACGTTGCCATGGCATTTGTAAACTGTCATGGTGCTTGTGGGAGTGTAGCAGTGAGGACGACCAGAGGTCACTCTTACTGCCATCTTGGTTTTGGCAGGCTTCTTTACTGCAATCTGTTTTATCAGCAAGGTCTTTATGACTTGTATCTTGTGCCAACCCCCTGCCTCATCCTGTTACTTAGAATGCCCTAACCATCTGGGAATGCAGCCCAATAGGTCTCAGCCTTATTTTGCCCAGCTCCTATTCAAGATAGAGTTGCTCTGGTTCACATGCCTTTGACAATTGTCCTCTCCAAATCCCACATTGAAATGTGTCCCCGTATGTTATAGGTGGGGCCTAGTGGGAAGGGTTTAGGTCATGGGGGCAAATTCCACAAGAATGGCTTGGTGCCTTCCTCACGGTAATGAATGAATTCTCACTGTTAGTTACGTGAGAGCCGGTTGTAAAAAGGGTGTCACACCCCTCCCATTCTCTTTTGCTCCCTCTCTCACCATGTAACATGTTCCCGTTCACCTTCTGCCATGATTGTAAGGTTCCTGAGGCCTCACTAGAATCAGATGCCAGCACTATGCTTTTTGTGCATTCTGCACAACCATGAACCAAATGATTATCTTTTCTTTATAAATTACCCAGTTTCAAATATTCCTTTATACCAATGCAAAATAGACTAATACAGAGATCAGTTGGGTCTGTACTGGACGGGATTTGCATGCCATACATAAGAATTATTTTGGACTGCTAGAAGTTATCTCCAATTTACAGAGTTGTAAATAGCTCCCCTAGAATCAGAGTTAGGTAGCCCTGACTGGTTTGTTGTAGGCAGAGCATCATTTTCCACTGAAGCACAAATTTTTTTTATAGGACTTCACTACAATCAAATATTATTTCTCTAGTTCCTTGTTAACCTTTCTTTCATACATGTATATTGATTACCCTTTGTGGGTCAGACATACTGGAAGTTAAAGGAAATAAAAAATATTTTACCCCAAAATATATTTCTTTGACATATTTTGAAATGGCTGTTGCAGAGGCAGCAGAGAGGGGAGAGAAATTTGCATTTGTAGAGATCTCCATTAATGCAGCCAGGCCTTCTCTTTCTAGGCCTTTCCAGGGTCTAGGAGACAGAAACTGAGAGTCTGACATCTGTAAAAGTCTGAAAAGAAGCATTTACTGTCTATTCTTTCTGAGGGCTGCTACCTATGAGGCTTTATCTACATAACAAGACCACCTTTGCTGGCCAAGCCCCCTCCTTTCTCCCTCCCATATCCTGGTTTGCCACTAAAACCTGATTTACCAAAATAATCTGGTTTTGGCCATGTGCTCAGCCTGCATTTTTTTCTGTAACCTCATGATGATATATACTTTTCTGTTCCTTGTTGTGGGGGTTGAGTCTTCATTCTATAGGTTCTGTGTACACACATTAAATACATTTGTGTGCCTTTTCTCTTATTTGTCTGCCTCATGTCAGTGACGTTTCAGCAGCTCTTGAAGGAGGTAAAGGCCTTGGTTCCCACGGAAGGTATAGACTCAGAGGAGACAGGTCTTCTGCCCGTGGGGTGCTCAGCTCTGTTCAGCTGTGCTCACTAATAACTCTGCTCCACGGAAGCCTGTGATGCTTGCTATGGGGACCTGATGGAACCTAATGAAGAGCTCTGGGTCTGCCTGAAGTGATTTCTTACCCTTGGAATTAACCAGGAGGGCTTCCCAAAGGAGGAGGTGGCACCTTGTTAACATCTGGCTCCTCACATATCACCAGGACAACTTATTGATAGGACAAAGCTGAGTTTCTCGCTTGCCCTGGTAAGGAAGACCATCATCTCCCAAACTTTGGAACTGTCTCAGAGAGGAAAAAGTAAGGTCAGAATTTGTTGAGAACTGGAAATTTTAAGAAAGTTTTTTTTTTGTTTTGTTTTGTTTGTTTTTTTAAGAAAGAGGGTCTTGATTAGAATTGGATAAGGATTACCAGAATTAGTGGAAATAGCAATTTTGGGGTGATGGCTTCAAAGAATCTTAGGGTTAAACTGTGTATGGATGTTTTCCATTAAAGAGTTGATAGATCTTTTGGGAGGTTCTTGTAATGAACATTCAAACAGTTTGCCTGGGAAGGGGACCTGTTTTCAGCTCTTAGCGTCCAGGCTGAGTGTGGGGATAGGTGAATCAATTTCTCAACCTTGACTGAGACTTGAAGGATGACCAAGCTCTCTCATGCTGGAATAGAAGAAGCTCATTCCTTGCAGAAGGCTAAGAAAGAGAAAGCATGAGCATATTAAGAAAGTGGTAAATAGGTCCCCTGTTAGGACTTAGAATGCCCAGTGAATTCTAATTCTGTCTATGTGTGGCCTAGGAATAGAGTTTTTATGCTGAATGGCCTATAATGGCTCTCTCTAGGCTAGTGTTGCCAGATAAAATTGCATGGCACATACTTAAACTAAAAAATTAATTGTTCATCTGAAATTCGAGCTTAGCTTGGCATCTTGTGTTTTCATTTGCTAAATCTTGCAGCTCTGTTTCAGCCCTATAGGCTGTCTTGCAATGAGTTATCCAGGACTGGGGGCCCTCTCCCTCAACCTCCTGGTTTCCAGATTCTATTAGTGCCATGCAGTTCCTCTGAACAGCTAGTGTCCAGGCTCAGATGACAAGGCTGCCCCACTGTGTCCCCTCAGTGTCCTCTCCCTGTCAACTTCTCTCGCCATTTCTGACTCAACACTCTGCGACTTTGCCTCTGGTTCCTCTCCCACCTCCCCATTGCTCACCCTCCTTCTTACAATATTACAAGGCTGATTGCCCAAGATTCCAACTACAGGGAGAGTAGTGAAAAGAGTCTACCCCTCCAAACCCAGGCCAATCATGCCTCTCTATGTGTTGCTTAGGACTTCCTGCTGATCCAGCACTTGGCCCTTCCAGCCTGCACTGTGTTGCATCTGTGTTGTGTGCCTGAGCCCTGCACTTGATACCCTGCCTTGGAGACTGTGGTGACAGAAAAATAACCTCCCCCATCCCCAACAAATTCATGTCCTAATCCTCAGAACCTATAACTATCACCTTATATAGCACAAAATTGCTTTGCAGATGTGATTAAGTTAATGATTTTGAGATGGGGAGATCATGCTGGATTATCCAAGCGGGCTTGATGTAACCATAGGAGTCTATAAGAGGAAGACAAGAGAAGTCAGAATCAGAGAGAAAGTGATGTAACAAAGCAAGAAAATATTGGAGTCATGTGCTTTCAAGATGAAGGAAGGGGCCACCTGTCAAGGAATGCTGGCAGCTTCTAGAAGCTGGGAAAGGCAGGGACATGTATTCTTCCCTGGAGCCTCCAGAAGAAACCAACCTTATTGACACCTTGATCTTAGTCCAGTTACAGGGAATTAGGATTGCTGGCCATCAGAATGTATGAGAATAAATTTGTGTTGTTTTAAGCCACCAAGTTTTTGGTAATTTGTTACACCAGCAAGAGAAAACTCACAGTGACCAAGAGGTTCAGAATGAGAAAACTGAAGATTTGCAATGGGGGCAGGGCTATCAACTGGTGAACCACAATGTTTATACATTTGGAAAGGAGAGCTTTATTTTTTTAATATATTTTAGATTTTATTAGATAATGTCCATTATTTTTCAAAAATATTGTAACAATTTCCCCTCCAAAGCCTGCTGTTACAGGAAAGGGGTCCTGATCCAGACCCCAAGAAAGGGTTCTTGGATCTCACGCAAGAAATAATTCAGGGCGAGTTCTCAGTGCAAAGTGAAAGCAATTTTATTAAGAAAGTAAAATGGTGAAAGGACAGCTACTCCATAGACAGAGTAGGATGTTCCTGAAAGTAAGAGAAGGAACGCATCCACCCTAGGTACAATGCTTGATTATATGGGCAGGTGTGTTCTGGTACAATGGTTTGTGGTATTAATTTTTGTGGTAAGGATTAATTTTCTTATTATATTTTGCAAGAATCGATATTATTATCTTTAAAGCAAAATTAGGAATGCCTTTGTTCTCCAGATAGTGGGATATCTGGACACTCCCAAGTCTGGGTCTGTTTAGTAAACATTATTAATTTGTTCCTTAACCATAAACATCTAGGGGCTCTGAATGTCTGACTTTCTGGGAAAGCAGCCCAGCAGGTTTCAGCCTCATTTTCCAGCCCTCACTCAAGATGGAGTCGCTCTGGTTCCAATGCCTCTGACACTGCCTTTTTTAAATTGAATTTTTAAATTTTATTTTAAGCTCTCGGATACATGAGCAGGACACGCAGGTTTGTTACATAGGAAAACATGTGCCATGGTGGTTTGCTGCACCCATCAACACATCACTGAGGTGTTAAGCCCCACATGCATTAGCTATTTATCCTGATGCTATTCGTCTCCTTTTCATTTTTTATAAAGGGTTGCAGCCTGCAGCCTGGCCATCCTGCAGGCTGGGAAGCACAGCCCCTGGCAAAAACCAGACGCGAGCACTTCAGAGAAGGAAGGATGAGACAGGAATTGAAGCTGAACAGGTAGGCTAAGTATACGTTATCAACAGGTAACAGGAGGAACTATAAACAGTCACAAAGGAGGGTGCACACGTGTGTAATAAGCAAATGTGTGTTGCATATGTCCCGTGTTCACTTTGGGGTGGAGGCTTAACATTTAAATGCATTCCAGTTTGGCTTGATACATGAAAAGGTGATATGAAGGACACAGAGGCATCTCATGCACAGTCTCTGTAGACTAGCCAGAGCCAGTCCCTTTCTCTTATCAAGAAGAAATGCCGGTCAGTTGTTTTGTCAAAACCACAAGAAGGGAGGGGAGTATGGCACATCTTTCAAAAGGGCTGGTTTCTGTTTAGCCCTTAGGAAAGCAAGTCGAATGGCAGTTAGTGAGGGAGGAGCTATAATGAGGCTTGCCTGACTTTCTGACCAGTCATAGCCAGGAACTCAGTTGTGAAGACTTCTCTTGGGGCCGGGCGCGGTGGCTTATGCCTGTAATCCCAGCACTTTGAGAGGCCGAGGCAGGAGGATCACGAGGTCAGGAGATGGAGACCATCCTGGCTAACACGGTGAAACTCTGTCTCTACTAAAGATACAAAAAAATTAGCTGGGCGTGGTGGCGGGCGCCTGTAGTCCCAGCTACTCAGGAGGCTGAGGCAGGAGAATGGCGTGAACCCGGGAGGCGGAGCTTGCAGTGAGCTGAGATTGCACCACTGCACTCCAGCCTGGGCGACAGAGCAAGATACTGTCTCAAAAAAAAAAAAAAAAAAAAATGACTTCTCTTGGTTCCCCTTGACCAAGAGGGGGTCCATTCAGTCCACTTGGGGAGCTTAGGATTTGATTTTTAATTCTCAGGCGGTGAAAAGCCACGGGGCTCAGGCTGACATGTGAGCAAATACTTATGAGAACTGTGAACAGACTTCAAGGGAGTGTGACCTGTGCAGTCCCACAGACCCTATACTCAGAAGGACCTTGCACTTGGTTTAATGCTTCTATTGACATCTTAATAAATTTGAATGAGGGACCCCACAATTTTTCTTTTTGCCCTGAGCCCTGCGAATGTTGTAGCTGATCTTAACTATGATCAGGTGTTTTATTTGTGATATGGTTGAAGTGTTATAAGATTACAGATATGAGGTCCATGGAATTTTACTGGGGAGGAAAGGGTAACAGAGAGGGTCAGGTTAATCTAAGCTCAGATTTGCAGAGTAAAAGTTCAGAAGGCAGAGAAAGGAGTCGCATGGTGGAGGGCACAGCATGAATCGAGAATAGAAGACACAAAAATCACCTGTTATGCTTGGAAATGATAGGTCTTTTGTATAACTTCTGTGTTCTGTGGGGAGTGCTATGTCACAGGATAGAGTGAGCCAGATGCCAAAGGACTTTGAAAGCATCGAAGTAACTGGTTTGGAACCTACTCTTCAGGCAACGGGGTACCGTGGATGTCATTTGAGAAGAGAGGTGACAGGCTTGGCCACAAATTTTGGGCAGTCACTCAAAATTGGTTGAATTGGGATTTTGAAGGGTAATATTTTAGCTCAAGCATGGCAGATGGATGCCTATGCAAATTCTGTTCGGTTCTGTCATTTTTATGCAAAATGAACACAAATGGTCTTCGCAATTACTCTCCGGGGAAATTGTTAATGTAGACCACCAAGGGAGGAATCCATAGATTTGTTGAGAGCTGGTGTTCAGAGTGTAAAGTCTAAGAATTAGCCTCAAGGACTGGAAAGGAGAATCCAGAACTAAATAGAATCTGCATCTCAAGTTAAAAGCTGTATTGTACAGTGCCACAGTCACGCATAGACTGTATGTGATGGGAAAAAGGAAAGAATAAATGGAGGTGACGAGATATTTTATTGAACTATTAGCTTGTGTTGTTCCTTTATTTTCCTCTCTCTGCTGTTTCAAGCAGCTAACCAGGTGTTAGAGGATAATTTTCAAGAAAAAAAAAAAAAAGGATCATGGCTTTCATACAGATACAAATGAACAACTGCCAAAGATTTTACTTATTAATAAGTGAACTGTAACAACTGCTTCAAAGGAGAATTCAAGTACAATGCTTCTATAGATTAAAGATGCTGGCATAAATTGACAAATAGGTACAAACTGAATTTTTCTACACCGGGGAGAGAAATAATTTTGCCTTCTCTGGAGAGACTTTGCATGTGTATAGACATGAAATATTTTTGCTATAACCAGTTTTCTACAAGTTAACTTGTGTCTCTACAGAGTTGTAAAATGGCCTAAACAAATGTGCATACCCCTATAGGATAATTAAATCCGTGAAGAGGCTCCCACATCCATGAAAGGGTGTCTGCTAATCTCCTTTGTGTCTCTTTGCGCCTAGGGACGTTTGTTTCACAGGCTCAAAGCCATAGCCAGCTGCCATGTTATTATTTTCTTCCATGTATGAAGAAATTAACCCTTGGAAGGAGTTCTAATTGGAGTCAGGGAGAAGTAGGGAAGGGTAAGGAGGAATTCTGTGAGGCAGCCAGGAAAGCATGGACCCTTTAAACTCTGGTAGCAGAATCCTGTGCAAGTGTCAAGGCCTCTGAGGAGATGGCCTTCCCCAGGAATGGCTCAGGAGTAGCCTAGTCCCTGTACCTGGAAGGCTCAGGCATACAAAGAAGTAGATGTGGCAGCCATAGCCTGCATGGACTAATGGCCAGAATGACCATGAAATTTATCATCTAGACTAAGACACATTTAAGATGAAAGGAGGCACTAGGCCAGGGCAACAGCACAAACTGGGACAATGCCAGGCAAACTGGGACATAGTGTTTATGTTACCAGTAGAGGGTGTCCAGGTCCTTGGGGTCTTGAAAAAAGAATTAGACAAAAAGCACAAAGAAAGAAAGGAATGAAGAGATTTATTGAAAATGAAAGTACACTCCACAGTTTGCGAGCGGGCTGGAGCATAGGAGCTCAAGGGCCCTGTTAGAGAGTTTTGGGGAGTTTAAATACCCTTTAGAGGATTCCATTGGTTACTTGGTATACGCCCTATGTAAATGAAGAGGATGAAGTAAAGTTAGAGTCATTTACTCGGCATATGCCCTACGGAGAAAATATTTCCTGTCATAGCCGAAGTGTGAATTGGCCTTAGGTTCCCTGACACCAGACCCAATTTTCCTGCCTCACCTGAGCACAGTGAAAGATCCCAGGGTAGTTCCATGACCCGGAAGCAGGAAGGTCATGTCTAAGTTGATTTTGGGGGGAATCACTGAAAAATCTTCAGTCCCTGAAAGAGAATTTTATTATGCCTCTGATAGGTGCTGGTTTTAGAAAGCCATTACTTTGCTTTCTAAAGCAAAGAAAGCAAGTTCGATACTTATAAAAATTGTTTCAAAAGAATGTTTTGGATTTTGTAATGACAGAGTTTGAATATTGAAGAGCAGTGAGCTAAATTGATTTTGAGAGGTTTTCTTCTTTTTTTTTTTTTTTTTAAGCAGCAATGTAGTAAGAGAGGAAGACTTTGTTCTTTGAAGTGCACATGACAAATTTTAAATGGTTGAAGCATTATTGTGGTCTCAGTTGAAAGAGTGTGTATTTAAAAGTGGCTCTCTGTGACCCTCAGCAGCAACTGCTATCACTGATGAAAAGTCTTGGGTAACACTCAGAGCCACTAAAAGGGGCCATCACTAGACAGGTCAGTTGCCTCTAGCAAAACCACAAAGGCTGGTTTATTGGTGCCAGTCATCTAAGAGACATTTCCTTTTGAAGTCAGTTGGGGGCCAATCCATATTCTCTGGATCTCAAAATATGAGGGACCCAAAGAATAACATCATTCACCTTTTACCTATCCTGCTACTACCACCCTCCACACCCTGGGCACATTGGAAATTGAGGTCTGTCCAAAATGATTTGTGCATGAGTAGAACTATATTATCAGCTATTGCACATTTCTCTACTGCAACTCCATGATATTATGGAAACCTCTAGGAGGTAAGAGTTTGGCAGGACTGCTTTCACAAGATACAGGTCATGCAGACTCCTGATAAAACAGGATGCGGTAAAGAAGCTAGACAAAACCCACCCAAACCAAGATGGCTATGAAAGTGACCAGTGGCCTTTCTCACTCCTCATTATATGCTAATTATAATACATTAGCATACTAAAGAAAACTCCTACCAGTGTCATGACAGTTTACAAATGTCATGGCAACATCTGGAAGTTACTCTATATGACCTGAAAGGGTGGGGGTAGGGGAGTCAGTTCTAGGAATTTCCCATACTTTCCCTGAAAAACTCACGAATTATCTACATTTTGTTTAGCATATGATCAAGAAATAGTAAAATGGCCAACCAGCAGCCCTCAGGGCTGCTCTGCCTAAGGAGTAGCCACTTTTTTATTTCTTTACTTTTTTGATAAACTTGCTTTCACTTTACTCTGTTGGCTTGCTCTTGAATTCTTTCCTGTGTGAAGCCAAGAGCCCATGTACCCTCTCAGGTTGTACTCCAATTTTAGGGTTCACACTGTGACATCTAGAAGGCGAGGAATACAGAACTCCCCAGATTTAGACTGCAGCTAAACTCAACATTTGATTCAAAGAAAGCAAACAAATGCAATAAATCTTATCTACCTGTATTGTGGACTGAGGATTGTACCTGCTGTGAAGTGAAGATGTAGTGGCATATCCCTAAATACAGGAATCTGGGGTAGGGCATTTGCCAATTTGTGTCCCACGGACATTTTACGTAGTCTGGTAAAATCAACAGAAACCCTTAAGTACACACCATAAATATATAGGCTTAGAAACAGAAAGAAATCAATAGTATTAAAACAATTATCAAAATACTTAACCATATTTATGGTATAGTATTTACGGTTTATACACTTCTTTATTAACACACTAAAAAATGAGATCTAATGATACGTCTCATGACTCTTATAATTAAAAAGTGATGAAAGTGAAAGAGATTTTGAGGAACTTGCAAGAACCCTATTATGATATGAGCATGTCAGTGATTTCCATTTGTGATAAAGTCACAGGCGTTTCTAGCCTATTAGGGTTTATTGCTCACATTCATAAGTAAAAGGATTGCTAAATTTAAATTAGAGGTTAGTGAAAGTAAAGGTGTGACATCCTTTACATCCAACTTTACAGACTCCCTGAGTTCTACCTGTGAACCCCTTTAGGGGTCTGTGGGTCCTTGATTAAGAATCCCCACTACAGGGACAGTGTTCTCCATCTCCATTGGCACAGGCTGTTTACAACCATCTGTGAATTGACTCATCTATGCTAACAGTCAGCATCTGGAAGGGTTTGATATCATTTTCAAATCCGCGTTAGCCTGTAAGTAAACTCTTGCCTGTTGTGTTTATTCTGAGCCTTGGTGGAATGGCTCTTCTTGAGCCCACCAGCGCTGTAATCTTTCTCTCCCACTCCTTCACCCCTTGCTCTCAGTCTCCTCCTGGGAACACAAAGCCTTTATTCACTTTCCTCTCATGACACAGAGCCTCAAAATATGTAATTTTAACATCTTTGCTGATATTGAACTGTTTCCATTTCATCTTTAAATCAGTTTAGTGGTTGCAAAATTACCGCGGTATTGATATTCAATATGAGAGGCATCAAGGCAGTAGGAGGCTGACGAGGCAGTGATGCCTATGAGAGCCCTGAAACAAAAGCAGCCAAAATAAGGTAGAGGCGGCAGCAGCAACACCCCAGTTCTGGGGTATTTTCTTTTTCAGAGACCTGCAACTAGATCTTCTGAGAAAGTAGAGTTGACGCTGTCCAGCATGTTTTGAGGCCAGTAATGCAAATACATTCTAAGTAACCTGGCCTTCCAGAACACTTAAAATTAAATCTACACTGTGTACTGCAGTCTATGAATGAGTAAATTATATCATGTATCAGTTTAGCTGGGACATTCTTTATATATGTTTGCTTCCTCAGCTGATTATTAATAAGAACCCCTTTTACTTTCAGAAGTATCCCAGTCTGAATGATTCATTGTGTGGTCATTGTGACGGATGCTATAGTCTGTCACCCAGATCCCTGTTCCATGACAGAGATGCTCATTTCCCAGCTGCTGGGAGTGATGGTGGCTGATGGTTCTCAGTTGATGTCTTATCCAGAAATTGCTTTCAGGTGAAGAGAACCACTTGCATAGAGTCACATCCCCTTCCTAGGGTTAGCTGGCCAATGTGTGGGTGGAAGAAGACAGACATGAAAATCTGATCTCATGAACCAAAGGCAGGCCAATTCTGCTGGGACATCCTAACTCAGAGCAGCTCGTGGGGTTGGCTGAGCCCTTTGTTGCAAACAAAGTCTGTTCTCGCATTGTTATAAAGAACTACCTGAGACTGGGTAATTTATAAAGAAAAGAGGTTTTAACTGACCCACAGTTCCACAGGCTGTACCGGAAGCATGGCTGGGGAGGCCTCAGGAAACTTAAAATCATGGTGCAAGAGGAAGAGTAAGCAGGCACGTCTAATGTGGCCGGAGCAAGAAGAAGAGAGCAAAGGGGGAGGTGCTACACACTTGTAAACAACCAGATCTCGTGAGAACTCACTATCATGAGAACAGAAAGGGGGAAATCCACCCCTGTGATCCAATCACCTCCCATCAGGCCCCTCCTCCAACACTGGGGATTACAACTTGGCATGAGATTTGGGTAGGGACACAGAGCCAAATGATATCAAACACATTACAGCTCAACTTCTCTCTCTGCTCAATCCTGTCTCCTACATTTCTTAGATGGGTGTTGCTCTCAAGGACTTGATGTGAGCAAATCTCCATCTCAGTCTGTTTCTCCACAAACCTGTTGAAAGGCAGGCATGCTACCCACACAGTTCCACAAGGCCTGATCCCTGATAGCCATTTTGACTTTATCACTCATTGGCCTGCTTGCCTTTTGTCAAATATGATAGGCTTTTTATCTCTCCTGCACACTCCACTTGGGGTTCCCTGTTCTACTCCATGGGTTCTGTCCCCAGACTGTTGCATGTCAGACTCAGGTCTCAGCTCAAATCTCATCTCCTCAATGAGGTCTTTCCTTGCCTGATTCTGTCCAGATAGTCACTGTTCCCTTTCTCTATTGCACTCTTCGTTGATTTTCCCTATATCCTCGTCACTAACTGCAACTATATTATTCATTTATTTCCTTTCCTTTTTTTTTTTTTTTTTTTTTTTTGAGATGGAGTCTCATCCTCTCACCCAGGCTGGAGTGCAGTGGCACAATCTCAGCTCATTGCAACCTCTGCCTCTTGAGTTCAAGTGACTCTCCTTCCTCAGCCTCCCGAGTAGCTGGCACTATAGGCATGGACCATCATCGTGCCTGGCTAATTTTTGTATTTTTAGTAGAAACAGGGTTTTGCCATGTTGGCCAGGCTGGTCTTGAACTCCTGAGCTCAATGATCCAGCAACCTCAGCCTCCCAAAGTGCTGGGATTATAGGCATGAGCCACCACACACAGCTTACTTACTTACTTTCTGATTGACTTTCTCTTTCTCTGGAAGGTTAAGTTCTTTCTGGAGTAAAATCTTATTTGTCTTCTTCACTCCTGAATCTCCAATACCTAGAATAGTATCTGTCACATAGTAAGCACTCATAATACTGGTTGAAGGAGTAAATTTTTAAAAAGGCAAAGAAAACAATAAATTACACTACCTATTTACTTAGCTTACAATTTTGCCTTATTTCTTAGGGAATATCCTTTCCAATTCCTTCTTATCTCTCACTGTTTTCTGCCTCCATAACTTCCATTTTCTGAGAGTTTAATAGAACATACTGTCTACAAGTATTGTTAAAATTAACTTTAATAATAAACAATAGCATTATTGTCTGTATTTCCTAGACACTTCATTAGCTGCTTTATTAACATGTAATCCTCACCCTTTGAGATAACTATTACTATTATTATTCTGCTTTTGTAGATGAGGAAACTGAAATTGAAAGAAGTTTCACAACTTGACCAAGATTATACAGCTTTTAAGTGGCAGCAGAGCTGAGACATAAACCCAGCTTTTCTTTTAAGGAGCTCATTATATGATTTCTAAGTTGATGCAATAAAAAAGCACATTCCATATTTAGATCCAAAGACCTGAAATATACCACTCTTGGGGCATGTAGTTTTGAACTTAGCCCCCTCGGACTCAGCTTTCTCAATACTAATTGGGGCTTAGATTAAACCTTGTTGCTGATATAAATTAAGTGATAATGTATATAGATACCTGGCCTGTGGAAGAAAATAAAAAAGTTCACTCCTCTTTGATATATGACACTATAATCACAGTACTACTTAGAATACCTAGACTACTTAGAATCTAGGGACATTTTCCGTTCTGCTTGTCAAAACTCTACATATTGTAGGAATGTCAATAACATGTGTATTCAACCATGTATATTGAACTACTCATATATATTTGAGGGAGTAGCATTAGAGGTAAGATCACAGGCTCTAGGGTGAGACAGAAGTAGAAGAGAATCTCATCCTTGTTGCTTTAAACCTATCTCCTCCTTCTGCCTCATGCCCTCCCACTTGCCTTGGCAGAGGGGTGTAAACCATGTATTTAATCTCTTGAATTCTACATTTCCTCATCTGTAAAATGGATTAAAATAAAAATTAAAATATTATCTGCCTAGCACTTAAGATTGGACCTTTGACAAGCTATTATTATTAATAGAAATAATAGTTGTGAATATTATTTGGTTATATTTCACAATAGAATATGTTTTTAAGTGGCCTTCTCATTATTATGGACACAAAACTATGACATCTCTAGAGTGAAAGAGATAGACAATGTGAACACCTTGAAAACAGGTCCACGGGCCTAAACTCAAACCCCAGCCCTATACCCCACTTTGTAGCCAAGGCTTAGAGCAATGCCAGGTCCACTGAGTGGCTTAAGAAACACATGTTAGATGCTGAATCTGGCATAGGACCTGCCCACATCAGACTCCCTGGGAAGCTTTTAAAACGATGGATGTTTAGGGTTACTCTTGGTGATTATGATTTGAGATCCCAGGACACCGCATATAGAAAGAAAACAAACAAGAACACCACAATTGATTCTGAGGCTCAGCTAGACTTGGAAACCACCTGTGATTCAACCACACTTGTGACACATGAATACCTTACCCTCTACCACTGCTGAGTGAACTCCCACAGTGACCGTGCACCCCACAGTGATGCCAATCTTATGCCCTTCACAGGGGCCTCTCCGCATGCTTATCCACTTTTTCTGGCTATTTCAGGTGGCCATATAGGTTGCATCCAATTTAGTGAGATCTTGGTGAACTAATCTATTTTAATAGTAAATAAAAGCTATACTTATTGTCTTAGAATTCTAGAATAATAGCATTGAAGGTGACCTTCATGATCTTTTTAGCTTCCAGATGAAGCCTACTTTCAAAAGATAGGATTCATCCACTTCCCCCCACACACCTACCCCTCCAGCTCTTGCCCATGAACTCACAGAGAAAATAAACCTGTTTTTTTTTTTTTTTTGAGAAATTGGAGCAATTCAGATTCTTATTCTAGTTACTGTCGCAGTAAGCAGAGTGTCTCCTGATTCATAAATTTCTCAGAATGCATTCCCAAACAGGAATTTGGATGTGAAATTATGAGAAAAAGTTCCCTGGCTTTTCTTTAATCTGGAAGAAAAATGACCGAGATTTAAGAGTAATTTTTTGCCGTATTTGCCTTTGATATAAAATACTCTTCTGCCTTCTTTTTATCTGAGAAATGGCCTTGGATGGAATTCTTCTCTTATTTTGGAGAAGTTCTTGCTGACACATTCGGGAAGGCCAGGCAAACAACTCGCTAGCACAGTTGGCAAGGATAGTACATCTCCTTCCACTTAACGTAATCACACCTCATTATATACAATTACTTCTTTCTACAGGAAAATTTCCTTGAAAGGTTAAAAAGTTGATCGCCGAAACTGGAGATTTCAGATTTTTCTTGTGTGGACAATGTGTAAATATAATAATTTGGTGAACCATATTTAGTTCAACATGTTTTATCCAAATAGACATTCCCTTCTGGCCTTCAAAAATATTTGATTTCTCACCAAATAACCATAATCAAGATTAACCTAAGTGAATGAATCCAAAAATGGAACCACATTTTCATATTTTAAAAAACCTACATTCTTTCTCTGTTATTTTGATCAGCCTGTGGTCTTGGTGCCTAGGTTCATTTGATTGTGATAAAGAAATAAAAGGAATTGATGAAACTCACTTGAAAAACTTTGGTATCAAATTGCACTGGGTAAAAGTAAGATAAGGGAGGAAAATTGCAAAGCAACAATTAAGCTGTCAAGACAACATTTTCCTGATTTTTGTTCATCCTATTCCCTGTCCTTTCCTTCTGTCAATCTCTCACTCAGAGATGTCTTTGCTTTTGTGATTGTGAAGTAGATGGAATAGTCTGTGAGGTCTTAGCAACAACTTCCTGTTGCAGAGAAAAAGTCAGAAGCCTTACAATGGCTGACAGCTCTTCCCCACCCATTTCCTGGCATCCCCTCTGTCTGGCTTATTTTTGCCAACTGCCTTTCTACTCCTTTATTCTATTCCAGCCATGCTGGTCTTCTTACTGTCCCTATAACATACCCGTCAGTTTCCTTTTAAAAAGCCATTGCTTTATTTTCTCTGGAATGCTGTATCCATGAGTCTCATTTCTTTCCTGTGTTGTCTTCACTAGTACTTCTTTCCTTAGCCTATTTTTCTGTCTTCCACAAAGGGAAAGAAAGCAGATCGGTCATTGCTTATTCTGTTGTCATCTACTACTGATAGCTCCTAGATTTCTTGTACTTCCAAATGATGTTCAGAAAAAGCTGTGTAAATAGAAACAACTTTGTGTTTAGATTTATTGGTGATTACTTCCTGTCACCATCACCACCAAATTAATTTTTAATTTTACAATATGCCAGAAAATAGGCAAAATAAATAATTGGGAGGAACACTGGGTTACAAAACAGGAGACTTTTGTAGGACATCCCAGGTTCTAACTATGTATTCTAAAATAATAGGGTTGCAGGTGACCTTTTTGACAATTTTAGGTTCAGATGAAGCTTTCTGCATGATGCATTCTAGAAGTTAATGTGTGGCATTTACCAAAGATTCCCATATATGGAAGAGACTTTAAAAGTCATATTATCCAATGCTTCCTTTACTACATACTCATCCAATTCCTCACTGCATAAACGAGTTCTATAAAGTCATTGCCAATTGTTTCTTCTCTTCTCAATTCTTCCAGGATTGGGGAGTCCATTATCACTTATTCAATTAATTTATCACATGTCTATTGAGTGCCTACTGCGTCCCTGGTTTTGTGTTATGTGCTGGGTACACAAAGAGAAATAGGACACAGTGAATGAATTTTACCTATAAGGATGGCACAGCAGACCGGATTATAGGAGAGTTTTAATTTAGTCTAAACCAAACACCAGATGGGCACTGTCAGGCTTTCTGTCAAAGTGAAACAAGAAATTGAGATTTTTAGATTATGTATGGCTGGGTATAAGCAACTTCATATGATTCAACCTGCTAGAGTAGCTCAAATACTTACTCCAAGCCTTAAAGACATCAAAATTCCTGCCTAGATATCTTTGAACTTTATCATAAATGGAGATCAGGATTGGCTGGAGGGCAGACTCACAAACGCTTCTAGCTCTGAGCTCTTACTTCCATGCAAGGTGCCTCTCTTGCACCATGTCAACACAAATGTTAAATGAAGCCATGCCTCCAAGTTTCACTGAAAAACCCAACTCATTTAAGTATTTGTGACACAGAAAAGTTTTATTGAAGATTTGAGGGCTTTGTTGTGATGAGGGGTTTAAGTTGCAGTGATACAAACAAGTTCATACTGGTTGAAGATTAGGCCTATTCTTAAGATGCCTTTTGGCCAACCCATGACCCAGGGAAGCTGCATGGTCCATACACCCAACCTCGGCTCCTGGACCCATCTCCCTCTTCCTGTTCCCTGCTCCATTTCTGTCTTCTCTTCCATTTCGTATTTTATTGGCTTATTTTTTTTTTAGCCATAAAACAAATACTTCTCATCCTACATCAGATGGTATAGCTTTCTGCATCAAGTAAATTTTTTTGAATCTCCCTCTTTACCTGGACTAGTTTTTTTCTTACTCTTTACCTGAACTAGTTTTCTTTTGAATCTCACTCTTTACCTGAACTAGTTTTTAAAGAAAAAAAAAAAAAAAAAAACTAGTTTTTTCTTTACCTGAACTAGTTTACATGAACATCACTTACAGATGTACAGAAAAATTATCTTTCTTCTGTGTGGGCAGTTCTTTTCATAATTGAAGACAGCTCTCCTGTTCATAACTACTGTCCCCACCCCAGGTCTTCTTGGCTGCGTATCTCTCTGGGTCCCATTGTTCCATCTGTTAGAAGGACATTGTGCACAATTATTTCCCAGGTTCTTTTCTTTTTGGGTCCAATATTTTATAATTCTTGTCTGTGTCTGAACAATCAACATATAGTACATAGTTGGAGTGTCTTTCTAAAAGAGTGCTTGGCTCTTCTACTAGAACAAACGACCCTGATTTATGACAGATATTTTGTAATATACCCTTACCATCAAAAAGTGACATTTAGATAATATAACCTACTTACAGATATAATTTCAAAGAAAATGCCATATCTCTAATAGAAAATAAATGCATGACACATGACTTATAATATATGCATTATATTAGTCTGTTTTCATGCTGCTGATAAAGACATACTTGATACTGGGAAGAAAAAGAGCTTTAACTGGACTTACAGTTCCACGTGGCTCAGGAGGCCTCAGAATCATACCAGGAGGAGGAGGCAAAAGGCATTTCTTACATGGCGGCAGCAAGAGAAAAATGAGGAAGAAGCAAAAATGGAACCCCCCGATAAACCCATCAAATCTCATGAGACTTATTCACTACCACGAGAATGGCATGAGAAAGACTGGCGCCCATGATTCAATTACCTCCCCCTGGGTCCATCCTACAACATGTGGGAATTCTGGGAGATACAATTCAAGTTGAGACTTGGATGGGGACACACCTAAAATATATCATTTTGCCCCTGGCCCCTCCAAATCTCATGTCCTCACATTTCAAAAGCAATCATGCCTTCCCAACAGTCCCCCAAAGTCTTAACTCATTTCAACATTAACCCAAAAGTCCACAGTCCAAAGTCTCATCTGAGACAAGGCAAGTGCCTTCTGCCTATGAGTCTGTAAAATCAAAGGCAAGCTAGTTACTTCCAAGATACAATGGGGGTACAAGTATTGGGTAAATATAGCCATTCCAAATGGGAGAAATTGGCCAAAACAAAGGGGGTTACAGGGTTCATGCAAGTCCAAAATCCAGTGGGGAAGTCAAATTTTAAAGCTCCAAAATGATCTCCTTTGACTCCAGGTCTCACCTCCAGGTCACGCTGATGCCAGAGGTGTGGGTTCCTGTGGTCTTGGGCAGCTCCACCCCTGTGACTTTGCAGGGTACACCCTCCATCCTGGCTGCCTTCATGGGCTGGCATTGAATGTCTGCGGCCTTTCCAGGTACATGGTGCAAGCTGTCGGTGGATCTACTATTCTGGGGTCTGGAGGACAGCATGGTGGCCCTTGTCTTACAGCTCCACTAGGTGGTGTCCCAGTAGGGACTCTGTGTGGGGGCTCTGACCCCATATTTCCCTTCTGCACTGCCCTAGCAGAGGTTCTACATGAGGGCCCCACCCCTGCAGCAAACTTGCCTGGGCATCCAGGTATTTCCGTACATCCTCTGAAATCTAGGCAGAGGTTTCCAAACCTCAATTCTTGACTTCTGTGTACCCACAGGCTCAACACCACATGGAAGCTGCCAAGGCTTGGGGCTTCCACCCTCTGAAGCCACAGCCTAAACTGTACGTTAGCCCCTTTCAGCCATGGATGGACCAGCTGGGACACAGGGCACCAACTCCCTAGGCTGCACACAGCACAGGGACCCTAGGCCTGGCCTACGAAACCATTTTTGCCTCTGGGTCTGTGGTGGGAGGGGCTGCTGTGAAGGTCTCTGACATGGCCTGAAGACACTTTCCCCATGGTCTTGGGGATTGACATTAGGATCCTTGCTACTTATTCAAATTTCAGTAGCCAGCTTGAATTTCTGCCCAGAAAATGGGTTTTTCTTTTCTATCGCTTAGTCAGGCTGCAAATTTTCCAAACTTTTATGCTGTTTCCCTTTTAAAACTGTATGCTTTTAACAGCACCCAAGTCACCTTTTGAATGCTTTTCTGCTTAGAAATTCCTTCTGCCTGATACCCTAAATCATCTCTCTCAAGTTCAAAGTCCCACAAATCTCTAGGGTAGGGGCAAAATGCCACCAGTCTCTTTGCTAAAACATAACAACAGTCACCTTTGCTCCAGTTCCCAACAAGTTCCTCATCACCACCTGAGACCACCTCAGCCTGGACCTTATTTTTCATATCACTATCGGTATTTTTGCCAAAGCCATTCAACAAATCTCTAGGAGGTTCCAAACATTCCCACATTTTCCTGTCTTCTTCTGAGCCCTCCGAAGTGTTCCAATGTCTGCCTGTTACCCAGTTCCAAAGTCAATTCCACATTTTCGGGTATCTTTTCAGCAACATCCCACTCTACTGGTACCAATTTACTGTATTAGTCCGTTTTCACGATGCTGATAAAGACATACCTGAGACTGGGAAGAAAAAGAGGTTTAATTGGACTTACAGTTCCACATGGCTTGGGAGGCCTCAGAATCATGGTGGGAGGCAAAAGGTGCTTCTTACATGGCGGCAGCAAGCGAAAAATGAGGAAGAAGCAAAAGCAGAAACCCCTGATAAACCCCTCAGATCTTGTGAGACCTATTCACTATCACGAGACTGGCACAAGAAAGACTGGCCCCCAGGATTCAATTACCTCCCCCTGGGTCCCTCTGATAATACGTGGAAATTCTGGGAGGTGAAATTCGAGCTGAGATTTGGGTGGGGACACAGCCAAACCATATCTTGCATGTGCGCATCCGTATGTCAATTTTAGGGCATGTCTGTGTTTGTATCTGGGCATCTACACTGAATTATAGTGTTTGTGGCAGCTACAGATGCAGACAGTGTCAGTTGGGTTGTATGGACCTGACACAGTTTGGCTCTATGTCCTCACCCAATTCTCATCTTGAATTGTAATCTCCACATGTTGGGGTAGTAGTCTAGTGGGTGGTGATTGAATCATGGGAGTGGCCTTCCACTTTGCTGTTCTCATCAAATCTGGTTGTTTGGTAAGTGTATGGCTCCTCCCCTTTGTGTGAGCGCTCTCTCTCTTCTGCCACCATGCAAGAAGTTACTTGCTTCTCTTTTGCCTTCTTCCTTGACTGTAAGTTTTTTGAGACTTCCCCATCCATGTAGAACTGGGACTTAATTAAACCTCTTTTGTTTATAAATTACCCAGTCTCAGGTAGTATCTTTACAGCAGTGTGAAAATGGACTAATACAGGGCCACTGCAATATCCCAAGTAATACTGTCATTTTAAAATATTTTCCAAAATGATGAAAAACAAACTTTTGGTAAAATTCCTAACAAAATGAATGGATCCTTAACAAAACTAAGAAAAAAAATCCCTTGATTTGCATGCTAATCTTATTCCTGGAAAATTTACTGTTATTAAAATTATCAAAAAATACATTGTTTCTGTATACTAAATGAAGTCAATCAAAAGTCATGTGGGCTGTGGAAAAACCTTTTGTTACCTCAGGACTGTCTAACATTTCTGATGTCTAGCAGCCTTGACCCATCCTCTAAATACTATTAGTGCCCCTAAATATGCTCCCACGGATTTCCAACCTGCTCCCTAGAAGATGACAGTGTCGCCATTGACATCCCTTCCTCTGAAGCTACATGGATGAAGAATTTTTCCTCTGATTTTGGGACCAAGGTTCATTCTGAGCAAAAAGCATGGAAGTTATCATTCATGTGCCTTCTTCCAAAGACTTAAGTTGTAACGAAGCCAAGTTCTTGCCCTTAGTTGCTAACGTAGGTTGAGATGAATGTGCACTTCTGTGTGGACCCATTAACCGAATCACCTATGCTTTTTCCAGTGCCCACTCATACTTTACGAGTGTGATTTTATTCACATGGAATTTACTGAAGAAAAGAAATATTAAGGGAGAAAAGGCAAAAGCAATCTTCTTTTGCTACAAATGTCATAGACCCATTATTGTAAGATGTATAAAAATACTAAATTTACAGGAAGGTCTAAGTAATAGCAAACAAGGTGAGGAAATTTACTTCTAACTGGCAAGGTATAAACTCCTTAAAAAGAACCTTAAAGTAGACTTATTCAGCTGTACATTTCAGTTGCTTTGCTGTCAAGGGAAACTAGAGGAAGATTTGAGGGCAAATGTTAACCTGAAATACATTCACAGCTGCATGCAAATATCTAGGGCGCAATTCTGCTTTAGTTAAGCAGAAGACCTTAATCATTCTTCCAAAGTTTTAGCTCCTGGTAATAAACAAGTTTCATTCTTAATGATTGAATTCTCCATCCTGTCTTTATTTTTTTATTAATATATTTTTAAAAAATTCTTAGTGAATCCTTGTTTTTCAGGCAGGTAGAAGTTTAATAATTATCTATGACTCTAACAAGCCATAATCTCTTGGTGCCTCAGATCCTTCAACTATAAAATTGGGGAGGGAGTTTGAACTAGACACACTAATGGCCCTTCCAGTTTGAAATTTTAGGTTTCTACAACTCTAATGGTGGCTGAATGACCCTGTATTTAATAGCAAAGATATTTTTCTAGTAAATGGGTAAAGTGACTCACTAGTTGTCTAGCAAGAAATTAGGAGGTTCTGTAAATTCAGTTGGCTGTTCTGCAGTGTCTTAGCGATCTCAGCATAGAGTCATATCTCTGCATCACACAGTTGGGGTTGGAATCTCAGGCACACTACTCATTAGCTATGTGACCTGTGACCTTGGGACTATTTAACATCTCTGTGCCTCAGTTTCTTCATGTGCAAAATGAAGCACACAGTAGGTGCTCAGCATTATTTGACTTAATATTTACATTTCTAGTTCCTAGCACGTGGTGGGAATTTGGTCAATATTCGCTAAATTGAATGAGGTCATTTCATTCCTGGACATTGTTCCAGACTCACCTTTTCCTACTGCTGAGGCTCGATGTAAGTAATTTTCTACTCGGCATTTTAGAGATTTGGATGTGTAATGAATTTCTGCAATTGCATTGAATCTGGCAGTGCCTGGCTTCCAACAAATACTGCAAAGCATTTTCTCTGTCATTTGTGACTCCGTAGTAGCTCAGCAGACACATTTCGGGAGTTAGTCCCTTGGGACAGTTTTGTAGCACAGTAATTTCACTCTGTGAAAGTGAACAAAGTGAAATTTGAGAGAGGGGCACGTGGGGTTCCTATTATAACGTAACAAATGAAGGCTAGAGCCTTCCCATTCACATCATATATATGGCTTTTTAACCCTGGGAGGATTTCACTTTTCCATTATAAAAATGCTAAGTATTATGGGCTTCAGTTTTCCCTAAATTGATATCGTTGTGTTATATCATTCAAATGCTAAGGGCTACTCTCTTTCCTCATTCCCCACACAAGTTTGTTAGTCCTCATGGGAACTTCAGTCATGAATCAGTCACAGCAGGACCAAGACTGGGGTACAGAGACTGAGGTTCTCAACTCAGCACAGACTGTAAGTGGGTGCCAAAAAACTCAGTAATCCAGTAATACTTTTTAGAAAATCAACATTAATGCAAAAAATCTCATACTGAACAAAATAACAAAATTTTAAAGAAAAAACAGGTCTGTAACTGCACCATGGCAAGCCATATTGGAGTGTGAGGCAAAAGAAATGTCCATAATACTGATTCAGTCTTTTAAAAATATTGTAATATTAGGTCGGGTCTTTAATCCCATCACTTTGGGAGGCTGAAGTGGGCGAATCACTTGAACCCGGGAGTTCAAGACCAGCGTGGGCAATGTTGCAAAACCCTGACTCTGGAAAAAAAAAAAATTAGCCAGGTATGGTGGCTTGTGTTTGTGGTCCCAGCTACTCAAGAAGCTGAGGTGATCACCCAGGAAGTTGAGGCTGCAGTGAGTTGTGATTGTACTACAGCACTCCAGCCTGGGCAACAGAATAAGACCCTGTCTCAAAAAAAAAAATACATATATATATATATATATATATATATATATATATATATATATATATATATAAAATCCATCATGGATATTTTTGTAGTAATTGGGGTTTTTTAAAATATTGCATTGTAATGCTGTTGATCTGTATTATTGAGCTTTGATGTTCCCTCCCCTGCCCTTATATTTTGTGCCTAAGGCCAGTTCCTCCCTTCCCTCATATTAGTCCTTGCCCTGAGAAAGAGGCATATCCATCCATTTAGACTTCAGATTATGTTTAGGAAGCCAACAAATGCTCCAGGTGGATGGAGTCCACCTGTACAATCAGGTGTGTTGAGAGCAAATGGCCAAAAGCAGGTGAAGGGACTCATCTCAGAGCCGGTAGAGAAGCTCTGTACCCTCACCATGTCTCAGGCTTGCTAAGTATGAAAACAAGAAAGGAGTAGGCAGCCACAGAATAATATCTTTCTGGGACCACTAAAGGAAGGACTATAAATAGACAATGTGCCGAGGAGTCTGCTGATTGATGTTTGTTTGCAACATGCAACTAAGAGTATTAGGATGGCCTGTGCTTTTGTGTTTTACTACCTTTTCAAAAGTTAATGGATTTTCTAAGCCAGGGATTGGCAGAATTTGTCAGTAAAGGGCCAGACAGTAAATAATTTAGGCCTGGAGACCCTTCATCATAGCTTCTGTTATGACTACTTACTTCTGCCATTGCAGTACAAAAGCGTAGACATTAAATGAATGGGTATGATGTGTTCTGATAGAACTCTAAGTAGGGGCACCAAAATGTGCATTTCATGTAATTTTCATGTTTGAAAAATTGTTTTTCAACCATTAAAAAAAAAAAACCTACACAATTGTAGAAACCATTCTTAGCTACTGACCCATGTAAAAACAGGTGGCAGCAGGATTTGGCCTGTGGGCCAAAGTAGTTGGCTGTGCTCTGCCCTAGGCCAAAGTAGAAATTCCTAGTTGCTCTTACCTCTGAGGCAATCCATGAATATCTTTCACTAAGATATTTGCCATAATATTCTAGAAAGTAATCTGAAAATGCCTCAAGTTTCTAAGATGAGTGTCACAATTTTTATATGGCTATTGAGAGGGAGAAAGTTTAAGGGAATCACAGATTTGTTGCCCTAAATAACTAAGCTGCATTTAGGTACCCCCAATATTCATCTCTACCACCTTGTACTTCTCTATGTTCAATATTTAAATTGCCTAGTTGTGTCCATTTTCCAACCCAATCTTAGAGCCCCATGAGGGCAGAGGCTCTGTCAATCCTGTGTCCTTGGATCCCAAGACAAGCTGGGTACAAAGTAGGATCTTAAATATGTGATTGTTTGAGTGCTACATAAACACATGTCTTTATCCCAGGGAAAACAACAGAATTTTTCCATTTTTCAGGCTCACCAACAAACACTATATTTGTAAACACAGGCATACTTCTGCGGAGACTTTGGAAGACATTAATCCATTAGAAAAAATAAAATTGTATTCCTTAGAGGAAAGACATTCTCTAACACCAGTAGGCAGTAATAAACTACTGATTTGTTTGATGTAAGTTATTAACTACCTAACATAAAATCAAAAATAGAACAAACTTCAACAGTTATCTTAGTTTTAAGTGAATTTTTAAAAAACCTACTTTCTTATTTCAAGATAAACCAGGAATCCCAGAGTATCTGATGTAACAGTGAGCTTGTTGCTTGATAAGAATCAGTCACTCTTTGTTAACATAAAGGAAATGCCTTGGGTCTGGTAATTCAATTTGAAGATCAATGTTGTTCAATTATTTAGTAATAAATCTCTTACAACAGCATTATGTGAGCACCGTGCTATTTTTTAATAGGGGTTGGGGGAGATGAGATGGCAATTTATTGATCAGATGAGACCGTAGGTCGGGGGGTACTGATAAATTTCTGGAAGTGTCAGAGTATGCCCAGCAACACTGAATGCTGTTTAGAAATTATTTTAGTATTTTATCTAAAATATAAAGTACTAACTATCTAGTATTTTATCTATTTTATCTAGTATTTTATCTATTTTATTATGCCTTTGAAAAGCACTGGCGTATTTTCAATGCAAAAACCTTTTCAATGGATTTTCATCCTATCCGAGGTAAAGTTCTAAGGTCAGTACACAAGGCAAAAATAATCTGCAGAGAAAAACACCTTTGAAAATCTCTTGCCGGGCGCAGTGGTTCACGCCTGTGATCCCAGAACTTTGGGAGGCTGAGGCGGGCGGATCACGAGGTCAGGAGATCGAGACCATCCTGGCTAATATGGTGAAACCCCATCTCTACTAAAAATACAAAAAATTAGCCGGGCGTGGTGGCGGGTGCCTGTAGTCCCAGCTACTCAGGAGGCTGAGGCAGGATAATGGCGTGAACCCGGGAGTTGGAGCTTGCAGTGAGCCGAGATGGCCCCACTGCACTCCAGCCTGGGCGAGATTGCAAGACTCCGTCTCATTAAAAACAAACAAACAAACAAACAAAACTCTCTTGGGAGGCGTTATATTGGAAAGTGGTATAGCATAGGTCAATGATTTCAACCTGGTCACTTTCCTCCTGGGTTGGAAGATATCTCTGTCTTTTTAGGCGAGTACCCAATGAAGTGGATGGTTTGTG
Organism: Homo sapiens; assembly: GCF_000001405.40. Lineage (NCBI taxonomy): Eukaryota > Metazoa > Chordata > Mammalia > Primates > Hominidae > Homo > Homo sapiens. The sequence continues at coordinate 55,703,874 of NC_000020.11, read as the reverse complement.
TTTTAGACAATGCTGTTAGAAAAGTGAGTTATGTACCTTTAAGCTCCAGTGGGTCTGATGCTTATACTGTGAGAGGCAATTGGAAAGAGAGACGGACAGAAGAAATAGCAAATCTGTGTTTCCCATATCATGATTGCTCTAAAATAATTCGCTCAGTGGTTAAAGGAAATGATTGGTTTAAAGGTTGAGGGGAGGAATTACTTATATTGTTGAAGACACAGTTGCAGCTCTGTTCATTGACTTATACTCAACCAACTTGCTGGATTAATTGACTCTTCTCGTTCTCTCTGTAAAGGATACTGACTCCTTCTACCTCCATGCTAAATACACTTGGCTGGTAAACTAATCGCTATTTCTCCTGCACACTTCTGTTAACCTCTATGCTCAGCAAGTGTTAGCTTTGTTGTGCTTTAGTACGTTAATGGGTGTTTTGCTTGCTATTATAACTATACAATTTAATTAAGTATTATGTAAACAAATTATGAGTGTGGAAAGAGAATCATCTCTATGAAAATAAAATTTAATATTTTGGGAAAAATGATAATGACAATTAGCTAACAATGCTGTCAAATTAGGTTTAAGGGAGACAAATGTTAAGACAATGAAAATATAAAAATCTAGGAGTCTGAATCTAAATTATACTAAAAGTTTTTAAGAACTTACAGCATTTTCAGGGAACTAAAACTAGAAATTAGGGTTATATTATATTTTATGTAAGGAAGAAAATGTGGAACTCCAACCAGCAGATCTACACCCAAGGACTAATCTATGTCAAAAAATGGAGAAGTTCTGGATGTATATGTCAAATTATTTTTTTAAAAGTTGAACTACTTGGCTGGGCACGGTGGCTCATACCTGTATATCCCAGCATTTTGGGAGGCCAAGACAGGTGGATCACTTGAGTTTAGGAGTTCAAGACCAGTCTGGCCATCATGGTGAAACCCCATTTCTGAAAAAATACAAAAAATTAGCTGGGCTTGGTAGTGTGTACCTGTAATCCCAGCTACTTGGGAGGCTGAGGCAGGAGAATCAATTGAACCAGAAAGTGGAGGTTGCAGTGAGCCAAGATCTCTCCACCACACTCCAGCCTGGGTGACAGAGTGAGACTCCATCTCAAAAAAAAAAAAAAAAAAAAGTTAAACTGCTTAAGGCAGATACATGGTGAGTTGTCCACTTGTATCTATTTTCCACTTCCTTTAATAACAGAAGCGTTAAGTTCTTGGATGCCATAGCATCCAAGCTAGAGACTAAATTTCTAAGCTGCCCCTGCAGCTCAGTATGACCATGTGACTAAGCTCCGGCCACTGGAATGTGAGCAGAAGGATGTGCCTCATTTGTGTTGAGCCATTAAGAAGACTGGGTACATGCTTGTCTTTATCTTCCCTTACTCATAGGCTGAGTAACAGACATAGTAGTGGGTGCTAGAGCAACTCGCTTGGCCCCAGAGATGACGGCAGCACTGTGCTGAGATGGAACTGCCTTGTTAGCCTGTAGCACCTCTGCCTCCCTGCCCATACTGTTTTGGGGGTGAGAAATCAACTTCTGTCTTCACTAATCCACTGCATTTTTGTGGTCTCCTTGTTAAAGCAACATAGAATGTACCCTAGCTGAATCATTGTTTATATCTTAACACACATGTACACAGTTTTTACACAAATAGCAAACATACATATACAAAGGAACCCTTGTGTAGGAATCATTACCATAATTTCTTCCCCCCTTTTTTCTGTGGTGTGTCAACTCATAAGGATATTAATCCCAGGAAAAATGTATTACCGTGACAATTGCCATGAGTTAGTTGGAACCATTTAAAATGCTGTGTTTAGAAATAAAAAATATTTTAATACTGGCAATTTCATGTGGTTCAAGATAGCATCTGTAGCGTATTATTAAATCTGAATTAAATTGCTCATTCTCTCCAGACTCTCACCTTTTAATTTTTTTCCATTTGTATAAATTTATGGGGTACATGTGAAATTTTGTTACATATATACTGATATGGTTTGGATTTGTGTCCTTGCTCAAATCTCATGTTGAATTGTAATCCCCAGTGTTGGAGAAGCGGCCCTGTGGGAAGTGATTGGTTCATGGGTGTGGATTTTTTCCCCCTTGCTCTTCTCATGATAGTGAGTGAGTTCTCATGAGGCCTGGTGTTCAGAAGTGTGTAGGACTTCCCGCTTTGTTCTCTTCCTCTTTCTCTGGCCATGTAAGATGTGTCTGCTTCCTCATTACCTTCTGCCATGATTGTACGTTTCCTGAGGCCTCCCCAGCTATGCTTCCTGTACAGCCTGCAGAACTGTGAGTCAATTAAACCACTTTTCTTTGTAAATCACCCAGTCTCAGGTAGTTCTTTATAGCAATGTGAGAATGAACTAATACCAAATGCACAGGCAGGGATGAAGTCAGAATATTTGAGGCCCACGACCTGAGTGCAATACGTTTTTGTCAACTATAGTCATCCTATTCTACTATCAAACATTGCATTTATTTTTTCTATCTGTGTATTTGTACCCTTTAACTCTCTTCTCTTTATCTTCCTCCTTTGTCTCTCCACCAACCCTTCTCAGTTTGTTATTTTTCTTTGTGATACCTCCACCTCCATGTGTTCATTATTTTTTAATTTATTTACTGCAGAGGGACCTTTTTCCTGGGAGACTTCAGGAAAGAAAGTAGTAAAATGCTTTGTCTTTTTGAGATGGGGACTTCTACAATACCACAGGGCCCCATACTTAGAAGGACCCCAAGCTTGGTATAATACTGTCCTATTGCTGTGGCAAAATTCTTAATGATTTTTGAACAATGGACTTAAGAGTTTCATTTGCAGTAGGCCCACAAATTGTGTAGCTGGTCCTGCTTGGGAATGTTGTTGAAACGAATGGCCTATGATTTCAAGTGTACATTTTAAGATGGTATTTTTGGAAACCCTAAGGGAACAGTCAAACAAAATTGCCCTCATTTTCTAAGCCATAAACCTAGGCACAACAACACCAGCCTCTGTGTCACTGGAAACATCTCAGAGGATGCAGTAGGTGGCCATGTGTAGGAGGTAATGGAAGGCATCACTAGGTTCTTCTAACCAGAAATAAAAAAGAAGGATGAAGTTATATAACTCCCTAGGGTCCAAATGGGCATGCAGAGTTCTCATTACTGCATTCATAAGCTTTCCATATGCCTGTCAAAAAGAAAAGACATTCTACTTGCTTACGTTTGGAATGAAACTGGCAAGAAATAAAAACAGCTCTGACTTGTGCATCTTCCCTAAATACAGCAAATATGATGTTTCTTAGGTTGGATTCTTGACTTATTAAAACTGTGCTCTCAACAGAAGGTACTCACCTCTACCCCTTCTCCCTGCCAGAATGATACCTTACTGGAGAGGAGAGGGAGATGTGGAGGATATCACATTTGCCAATTACACTCCTCCAAACACCTAGGCAACCTGCCATTGCATTTAACCTATCATACTTTTGAAGGGTTATAGTACAGTCTCTTTGTCACCAAATAATACAATATCCCAAAGTAGTAGTCTTGAGATGTGCACACTGCAATCCTTGCTTATATGGCATTATTTCCATATATTTTATATTGCCCACTCAAATCAAGTGATATGCTGTTGTCTAATATATCCCTAGTATGAGATTTGTCTTAAAAATTTCAGTTGTTTGGTATAGTATTTACATGCCTAAGGACATATTAAAAGTAAATAATTAGTGCTATTAACAGATATTTAATTACAGCACTTTCATTTCAAGGTTGTGGAAAATCCTTTTTAAAAATGATGCCCCCAAATAGGGAAAGGATTAAATAATTTATGGCTGTTCCATGTAATAGAAAATCGTGCAGCCATTAGAAATCTTATAAAAAATTCTTAGTAACATGTAGTAGGGTTATATCTCAAAGTGCTTATGTGCTTGTTGCCTGCGTGTTTAGCTACCCAATACCACACTAAAGTGAAAATAATAGACAAAGATCTCAGGCGTCTAACAATGAGATAAGGATTTGGATCTATGCTTGGAGAAGCAGTTTTTCCTCTCTCAGATGAAGGAGAGATGCAAGATAGGCTGGACATTCAAATTCTACAGAAGTTGGATGGAATGGAGATACTATATATTCTTAAAATGTAAGGGAGAAAGAAAGAATATTCCATTGTGAGAAGGAGGGTGGGGACAGTGAAAGTTTTTCAGTGATGGATGGTTTCTGATTTGGTTTCTTTCAAAAATTAGGAAGGATCTTTAATTTCTCTCGCGAAGTCTCTAAGTGAGCAGTTCTTAGTCTTGATGTTACTGATATCTTTATATTACTGATATGCTGATAGCCCATATCCTGGAGTCAGTTTTGAAATGTGTTAATAGTTAGTAACTTGTATAGAGTACCAACTTTTTTAAAAACACTTTTAAAAAACGCAGTCATAGAAGTACAAGTCAAAATCACAATGAGATACCTCACACTAGTCAGAATGTCTATAATTACAAAGTCAAAAATCAACAGATGCTGGCAAGGCTGCAGAGAAAAGGGAACACTTATATACTGTTGGTGGGAATGTAAATTAGTTCAACTCCTATGCAAATCAGTTTGGAGATTTCTCAAATAACTAAAAATAGAATTACCATTCAACCCAGCAATCCCATTATTGGGTATACACCCAAAGGAAAATAAATCATTCTACCAAAAAGACACCTGCACTCATACATTCATTGCAGCACTATTCAAATAACAAAGATATGGAATCAACTCAGGTGCCCATTAACAGTGGATTGAATAGAGAAAATGTGGTACAAATACACCATGGAATACAATGCAGCTATAAAAAAGAACAAAATCACGTCCTTTGCAGCAACATGGATACAGCTGGAGGCCATTACTCTAAGTGAATGAATGCCAAAACAAAGTCAAATACTGCATGTTCTCACTTATAAGTGAGAGCTAAACATTGGGTACACAAGTTCATAAAGATGGCACCAGTAAGAGGCGGGTGGATCACTTAAGGTTTAGGAGTTTGAGACCAGCCTGACCAACATGGTGAAACCCCATCTCTACTAAAAATACAAAAATAACCTGGGTATGGTGGTGGTTGCCTGTAATCCAGCTACATGGAAGGCTAAGGCAGGAGAATCGCTTGAACCCGGGAGGCAGAGGTTGCAGTGAGCCAAGATCATGCCACTGCACTCCAGCCTGGGTGACAGAGCAAAACTCTATCTCAAAAAAAAAAAAGCCTACAATAAACACTGGGGACTACCAGAAGAGCGAGAGAAAAACTACCTATTGGGTAGTATTGGGATCAGTTGTATCCTAAATCTCAGCAGCACGCAATATACTCATGTAATGAACCTGACCATGTACCCTCTGAATCTAAGATAAAAGTTGAAATTATTTTTAAAAAATGTAGTCACAATCATATTTCCGGTAACCTAATGACTTGTCTTATGACACCTAGGAGAGAAAAGACTGGACTTCTAACCAGAGTATTGAATATTGTCATGAGACTTATATACAGTTTATCTCTCTCTTAACTCACTGTAGATTACAGATATGGTGCTTTAATGTCTGATTTTCAAAAATTGGGTACATCTATGAGAGTTAGTAAATTTGATTATTTTGTGACTGGTAAAGCTTTGTGTCAAAACCATTGTTTTTGCTTTTGTTTTTGTTTATAAACAATTATCAATATAAAAGATCACATTAAGCATTCACTTTCATCTTTACTGATAGGGAAGATAAAGTTTAAAATCAGGGCTATCAAAAAAACCATACATTGTTACCTGTCTGGCCCCAGTTGAAAGGTCCATGTGTAGGATAATTAGGATGGGTGGGGACTGTGGTGAATTTGAGAATGTATAACACATTGAAAACCATTTATTACAAAAACCACCAGCTCTCTTTGCTCAAATACTACCATCATTTAACTTGCTGTCAGTGCCTTTCCTTCTGATGACAGGATTCTCATAGTTTGATTTCTTTTAAAGTTTTCCTCTTTCCCAATATATTTATATGCATAAACAGGAATATATAATAATCCATAATCTGTAAAGGAACATATGGTCTTATTATGGTAAAACACCTGGAGGACACAGCTAGAATTTTCCAGGAGGGAGGCGAGTCTTGGATCACAGAAGTTTCGAAGACTCCTCAATCATTTTTAACCTGGTAGTCTCAAAAAGTTTGCCTGCTGTCTGCACTGGTTAAAACTCTTCTGATTGCCAGAATTCTGATTGAATCCCCCATTCAAATTGAACTAAGAAGAAAAAAAAGTCTGGTTATTCATTTATATAGTGAAAACATCCCAAATTAGAGTTGGTTTTTAGTGTGGTTTGATCCAGGGACTTGGATAATACCAGGGGGCAGGTCTCTCTCCATTCTTGTCTCTCTCCTCTTCTGTGTTGATTACATGCTCAGGTTCTATGTAATGGCAAGATGGACACACACAAATGCTTAATCTATGTTATTCTGGTTTTAAGTCCAGTGGAGAAAAATGTGTATTTCTCTTTTAGTATTTTTCTCAATCAATCAACTGTTCTCTGCATCCCTGACTGAGGCTCTGTTTCTAGGAAACCCAACCTAAAACTGCAAGAAAAAAAAATGTATCTGGGAGAGTAGTTCTTCTTTTGCACGATCTCAGGTAATAGAGGACAGTGGCTTCTACTTTGTGGATGCGTGCACAGGCTGGTGTATAGGAGATTTCAGAAACAATTTTTTGAGACTCTTTCAGAGCAAAGAAAATGTATACAATGCCCTCTCTCTCTCTCTCTCTCTCTCTGGATGCAGACCTAAATCAAGTGCACATGCTTTTGTGAGACATTTATAATGTCAAGTCATCCAAGCCTCCACTTGGGTGACCGTAGTATCCAGTGTTGCAAGAAGAGTGGATTTTAGGAACTATAACTGCTTTTAGTTCATTTTGAAAGGGCCCAGAGGTATTTTGGTTTAGTTCTTAACATTTAGTTAATGCTGTGTCAATTAAAGTGACTCTACTGAAAAAGACCAGAGTGACCAGACATTTTACAACTAAAAATAACTTTAAATTCCTTATACTTGGGCTGTAACCTCTTTGAAGCTTTCTGGCTCTCTGATTTCACATTCCGAAGACCAGGAGTGAAAAAGGAAGGGCCATAATTTAAGGCCACAGTGTAAGCACTGTTGATTGCAAAGAACAATGAATTGCCATCAGAAATCAATACATTATTTTCCAAAGCTTGTCTGGGGAGAATCATTCCATCTTCACAGACACAGTGAACATTTACCAGATTTATAGTTGTTTGCTGGGGGTTTATACAGCATCATATTTTCAAAGGAATCCACAAGGAAGGGAAGCTTGGATATGCAGCTTCCCCTCACAATGTGCAAGTTGCACAGAAATCTCACAGAGGATGCATCTAGGGTTACCAGGCAGCAATCTTGAATTGTGCAATTAATTGGTCAATCACAGAAAAGATTTGGTGGGTAATTCATTTAACTGTTCACTTGTTATTGCTCTATTTTTCAAATAAGAGCCCAATTTAGATAAGTTTATTCTATTAATGCACATGTAATAAACATTGAAACAGTCGGTATATAATGCTTAGATTCATGTATTTAAAGGGAAATATATTAGAAGAATATATACATAGGAATATATATATGTCCTAACATATAGCAGGACAGTGAAAATATTATAAATATGTTGATATTAGCCACAAAATGTACTAAACCCCAAATTGTAATTTAAGCGCAGCAGGGAAGTATAATTTGAGGATTTTGTACTCAGGCAGATGAAGTTTGAAAGAGAAGTATACTAAACATTGTTTTATTTTATTTTTTCCTCCTAAGAACCTTACTTAAAGATAATGGGAACTTTAAATACATTGTAAAAACAGATTTAGTCATAATTCATGAATTTGAGGTTCATAATAATCTGACCTTGGCTAGACTAACATTTATGTTTGTTTCTCTTCAAAGAGAGTTAGCTTTGCTACATAAAGGAATTTGGCCAGGGAGGATCTTATCTGTTTATTAAGGTACTTGAGAGCACTGAAATTGCATTTCATTGAAATTGTTTTATAATTTACCTGGAGTCCAATTAGTTAAAAAATGTGATGTTTGATTATAATTTGATTCATATCACATGAGCACCTAGCTCAAATTTTAAAATAGAACATTACTTTCTAATAAAATATTTTAATAAAATTAGATATTTTTCCTCCTGTAAAGATCCTTCTTTTAATTTTTATACCATAAACAATAATAGAATGTTATGGTTTTATAATAAAACATTTTCCCTTTCTGGGTAAATTGTTCTGCTCTGATAATTTGTGTTTCAAAATAGAGTCATTTTATTAACTAAAATCATAAACTCTCTTAACTCTCCAAGTACAAATGAAGCAGAGCCAATGACATTCTGGCTGACCATTTTTTACCAATGCTTTGAAGAAGCTTACGTGTTTTTAAAGTCTTATATTAGACAAACTAATCAATGTGCAAGGGTCTTGTGTAAGGTGAAGATACAGCAAGTTTATTTCTAAGACAGACTAATAAAAACAAAAGCATCTAAAGGGTCGCTGTCCTACCTGAGACCATTTCACCGTTGGAATGCAAAAAGAGATTGGAACACCTGCATTTATAACTGTCTCCACCCAAAGCATAAGATCCCACTTTTAGGACAAGTATTAGTGAAGGTGGGGATTTTCTAATTATTCCACGGACTCTGTCTGTCCTCCTATGCCTTCTCCTAATGAATAATCATGACGTTTCTGAAGCAGCCTGGCATGAAAGATCAGTCGAAGACCCTCTGTGTCTCAGGGTAATTCACCTCTGAGAATTGCTGTTCCTAGAATCAAAGAGTTGATAGGGGAAGTTGAAGAAAACACTATGCTTTATCAACAGAATGTTTCTGTTAAAAAAGATGATGGATGCAAGGAACACCCATTTTGATCAGCCTCCCACAGGTTATAAGGACACTGGAGATTCTAGTGTGATTCAAAATCCAGAAGTTTTCTTTTTTTTTTTTTTTTTTGAGACAGAGTCTCACTCTGTCTCCCAGGCTGGAGTGCAGTGGCGCGATCTCGGCTCACTGCAAGCTCCGCCTCCCGGGATCACGCCATTCTCCTGCCTCAGCCTCCCGAGTAGCTGGGACTACAGGCACCCGCCACCATGCCCGGCTAATTTTTTGTATTTTTAGTAGAGACGGGGTTTCACCCTGTTAGTCCGGATGTTCTCGATCTCCTGACCTCGTGATCCGCCCACTTCGGCCTCCCAAAATGCTGGGATTACAGGCGTGAGCCACTGCGCCCGGCCCAGAAGTTTTCTATTGGGCACTGTATAACTTACACACACCATCTCAGATAATATGCTCAAATATTTAACAGTTCCATAAATTCTTTTATTTATCTGCTTTATTTTATAATTGCCTTTCAGCTTAAACCTGCTGATCTTTAAGATAAAGGAGTATTTGGTCATTTATTCAACAAATACTTACTGTTCTATATCAGGCATTGTGGGTAGGCACTGAGGACATAGAAATTAACACGCAGACAAAAATCTTTGTTGTCAGAGACCTTATCTTCCTGGACAGGAACGCAGGGAGACAATGAACAAGTCTTTAATATAAAAATTGAGAGTTATAAGTACTATCACACACAAAGAAGGGTGAAGTGTTACAGCAATGATGTCGAAGCAGCAGCTATTTTAGTTAGGAGGTCAGAAAGCATCTTTCTGTGTTTTTAAAATATTCAACCTTTTGAGGTGCTTTGTCAAAAGGCAGATATATTTGTGCAAGATAGAGCTAATCTTTATTTCAGCTTGTTAATCATATCAGTGTCTCCCTATACGTGGATAAAGGTTAGATATTTATGGTAATATGACTTTGAAAGGCCCATGGGTCTAAAGCTTGAATTTGTAGTTACGCCGTTTCCCTTAAAAAAGAATATGTCTCATCAGTCACATGTTAGAAGCAGAAGAATAAACCTATTCACTTGGCCTGGATGCCTGACTTTGTAGTCAGCCTGTGTGTCCTGGAGTCCTTCTGTGAGAGGTAGGGTACCTGCAGCAGACACATTACTATTGGAGGCATAGTCCTATCTCCTTAAATCAGCAGAATTTCTGTTGATTTCAAAGGGTGTTCTATTGAAGATAAGGTTGCATAGCAACCGGTAGGTCAGCGCCTAAGAGATTCCACATCAGCAGACGTTCTCCTTAAATATGCACTTTGAGTTTGCAAGTGTTTCAAACAATATAGGTGTCAGTAATTTACTAAATAATCTCCAAATTCTTAAAACTTTTATGGCACTTTGGGCTTGCAATCTGGTAATATTTTATGTCCTGCAGGCTACTACAAATCAAAAATATTTATTATATGACTAAGTACTTGCACAAAAAGAACGCTCCTAGAGAAAGGAAAAAAAATCCAGGAAGAGTATTCGAAAAAAACAATGTTCTAACAAGACTTTGCATAAAAATGTTTCAATAAGATAAGATAAAATATGAATTTAGATAAAATACAATTAAAATGTTTCATTTAAAAATACTTTGTAGTGACGTGGTTGCAATGAGAATGGACTCCATGCCAACTGGAAATGTTAAATTGAGTAACCATCATCTCTTTAACCTGGTTTGCAATGAGTTCTTCAAAGGACTAGTTCGACCACAATTAGGTGAAATCCGATGGTGAGGAGATAGGTTCAGTTTGTTGCTCAGAAAGATGTCTTGCACTTAGTACATGCTTAATGAACTTGTATTAAATTGATGCCTTCCTGATTTATAGGGCCACATGATGTAGTCATGAAAAAATGTTTTCCCTCTCCAGTTAGCAAGAGCTCACAAACAAACCTCTTGCTCTAACTACAGCACAGAGTATGGAGGATTATTGGAAAAGTACATGGAAAGGCATGGAATATTGGCATTCATTGATATTTACTATTATTTCTTTACTACACCTGTATATCCAATCCAATGCCAATGTTTATAACAAATATTTCATGATATATCTTTTCCTCTCATGAAGTAAAATTCATGGGTGTTATAACCTATTTACCATGTAATGTAAAACTAGAATGTCCTAATCATAATATGAAAGAGAAATAAGAGAAAACTATTGTGATTTATGACAAAATGTGCATTTTGATACATGAACATTTAGGCTTGACCATGTTAGAAGATGTAATAATCAAATATTTGCACTTACATATAGAATTTCCTATTTATACACATCTATACAACTCCAAACGCAAACTAATACAGGTGTGTTGTGTTGGTTGTTGTATTTGGAAAATCCCAGGATTTTCCAAAATGATGAGTGAAAGACTCAGAGAAGCTCAGAATCAAACAGAATAAAATCATCTATCAATTTACTCAGAGATTAGCCCCCTGGAAATTTGAGTGTTTAAAACTGTGCAACAGATACTTTATGTTCATTATGTGACATTCAGTTAGGTTCCAGGCTCAAGATTATAAACAAATTTGTCTCCTACATGACGTCCATGGAGACATTTCAAAGCCATTAAGAATACAAGTGCATCTTTTGCTCTTTGCAACAAAGAAATTTACTATCCTGGGACCCCACCATGCAAATGATAGTCATGGCCTATGCCATCTTCCAGCCACTGTGACAATCAAAAGAAATGTCCCTTCATTTCCAAAATGTTCTCTTGACATGCCTGTTGAGACCAAATGAATTATGTCAGGAAAGCAAGACAGCAATTGTGAATCCCTCTTCTGCCTTATTTGCTGATGTCTTTGTGTTATTATTTCCCAAGTTCCTGAAAATCTGGGGGACTGGGATGCCACATGGCAATCTCATCATTGCACTCGGACAGTTAGTTGATGACATAGTGTTCCTGTTCCCCAGTCCTTTAAAATGGAAATGAATGGAAATAAAATAAACCCTGCATGTTTATAAGCAGCTTTGGTTTATATAACTACAGAACTAGAAAGCAAAATTATTGTTATGTGGAGGGAGAAATCGATCACACAGAATAAAAAGATGAATAAAAAGGAGGACTTTTTCATCTTTAAATATGAAGAAGACAGTGTAACAGCAATGAAATTACGTAGAGAAAGAAAAAAAGTCTCAAATGATTGTTGAATTCAGTACGTTTTGAATGTCTCTGAAGCACTGAGAAATAGGTAAGTAAATGTGGTTTTGCTGACAATTGCAATAGTTTAGATATTGAGCAAAACTTGGAAAAAGTGTTTGGTAAGTTAAATCACTTCTATCTTTGGGTGGCTTTGCTTGTACTGCTAAGGGTTGTAAAAAATCGAGTCATAGAGCCCATTCATTAAACTCCAAATGACCAAAGAATTAAAGCCATTTGGGGAGGGGGTAAATTATAATTAACAAAGTGACTCACTTAAGTTTAACAAATGCTTGGTGAAGATCCAGCACATGTTAGACACTGGAAGGGTGCTACTGAACTAGGTTGTATTGAGCGATTATAAGAAGCTGCACAGATCATCTTCTACAATTTTCTCAGTACCTGTCTATGTAGGTATTATACCCCCACTTTAAAGAGAAGAGTACTGAGTCTCAGAAAAGCTCAGAGATCTAGGATTTGAATGTCTGGCTATTTTATTGGGACAAAGAAAGTATATCCATGGACTAGATCTTGTACTAGAAAACATGCATAATGTATTTTCTTTATTCTTTTTTTTTTTTTTTTTTTGAGACGGAATCTTGCTCTGTTGCCCAGGCTGGAGTGCAGTGGCGTGATCTCAGCTCACTGCAAGCTCCGCCTCCTGGGTGCATGCCATTCTCCTGCCTCAGCCTCCCGAGTAGCTGGACCTACAGGTGCCCGCCACCACACCCGACTAATTTTTTGTATTTTTAGTAGAGACAGCATTTCACCATGTTAGCCAGGATGGTCTTGATCTCCTGACCTCGTGATCCACTGGCCTCGACCTCCCAAAGTGCTGGGATTACAGGCGTGAGCCACCGCACCCGACCCTCTTTATTCTTTAAGGAGCAAAAATGTATGGGTGGCAGTTCTCTAATTTTAAAGCTGAAAGAATAAAGGCTCAGAAAGTGAAGTGACTTGGTTAAGGTCACACCACCAATAATTGATGATACCAAGGTGTAAACTTGAGTTGAAACAATTTCAAATGACTTGGTCTTTGCATTATGAGCATCTTGACTTTGTAGCATCATCTCATTTTTTTCATTGGCCCAGGCATCACACTGGGGTGTAATGTAAGGTGTCACAGAGGGGTAATGTAAAGAATAATGATGAATTATCCTAACATTACACCTCCGTGTGATGCCTGATTAACTAAAAAGGTGGAAAAGTATTTTTTAAATGTAAGAACACACTTGTATTAGCTTCACTATCTAATTCGCCAGAGTAACCTTGCAAAATATGTATCATGCATGAAGAAATAGCGCTATGGGGAAAGTGAAGAGCAGCATCCCTCCACCCCTTGAAGCATCACAATGCTCGTGATTAACCGATGAAGGCCTCTGAGAAATTTAGCAGTAAACACGTGGCTTAGCGATGTTAAGTCAGGTTTTTCTCCAGCTTATTTGACCAAGGAATCCTATTTCCAACCAACAAACATTGAAATCCTCAGGATCTAACGTTTCATCTAATGCATCTTGGAACAAAAAAAAGATTGTCTAATTAATTTTTTTTTTTGAGAAACAAGGTACATTGTCTCATAGTTGACCTGCCTTTTGTAAAAGGTAGTCCAAACGTCCTGCCCTTCCTTTGAGAGCTTCTGTTCTCTTGTTTTCCAAGGCTTTTCCCTAGATTTCATTTGCCATAATTTCTTAAAGATTCCCCCAAAGATCTTTAGTGATGGTGGTTTATGGTGACTTTGAGGCACTGGGACCTTGTAGGATGTCAGGGTTGGGGGTGAAGACAGATGGCCAGAGACATGTCTGGAGTGCTTTAAATTATAGCAAAGGGAAATCACCATTTCAAGGTCTTCAGACCTCCCCATTAAGGCAGGCATTTATAAGCTATCTTTAAGTCTCTGTTTTCTGTTTTTCCAAAACGGAACTTTTTTGTTTGTTTGTTTGAGATGGAGTTTCACTCTTGTTGCCCAGGCTGGAGTGCAATGGCTCCACCACGGCTCACTGCAAACTCTGCCTCCCGGGTTCAAGCGATTCTCCTGCCTCAGCCTCCTGAGTAGCTGGGATTACAGGCATGTGCCACCATGCCTGGCTAATTTTTTGTATTTTTAGTAGAAATGGGGTTTCTCCATGTTGGTCAGGTTGGTCTCGAACTCCCAACCTCAGGTGGTCTGCCTGCCTTGGCCTTCCAAAGTGCTGGGATTACAGGGAACTAATTTTTATTATAATAAAAGATATGAAAGTAATACAAGTTCGCTGTGAAAACAATCTCACATTACTTAAGCTCATATTACCTACAGACAATACTTCTTCTTTCTTGGGAGGAGCCTTTGTATCACTGAGGGCAGCAGTTTTGCAGGCCTAAAAACTGCATTTCCCAGCCTCTTTTGCAGATAAAATTGGACAATGAGATATAAATTGAAAATTTGGGTGGACCTTTCAGGAAAGCTTAGCTGACATAGCTGGAAAATATGTCTTTTCCCCATGCCCTAATTTTTCTATCTGTAAAAAGAATGTCGAGTTAAAGTTACAGTGGCTGTCTTGCTGCAGGTGATGAATAAAGGGTTAGAAGTCACTAAATTGCCAAGAAGAAAGGCAGAAGGAGCCTGGAATACTGGTACAATGGGGTACTTCCATAGAGATTCTGATTTCTTAATTGTTGTGTATGTGAGAGAGATAAGAAAAATGTATCTGGCTTTAATCACTATTATTTTAGATCTCTGCCATTAGCAGATGAATATAATTATACATAAATATAATGAGCTTGTAAATTATTAAGTAGAACTAAATTGTAATAGCTTGAGGATATGTCTATCTCAATGATTAAATGTATCTCTGATTTTTTTCTACAAATACAGTCGTGTGGCTTAATGACATGTTCTGAGAAATGCATCATAGGTGATTTCATCATTGTTTGAACATCATAGGTGAACTTAACACAAATCTAGATGGTACAGCCTACTACACACCTAGGCTATATGGTATGGCTGTTGCTCCTAGGCTACAAACCTCTGCAGCAAGTTACTGTACTGAATACTGCAGGAAATTATATCACAGTGGCAAATATTTGTGTATCTGGACATATCTAAACATAGAAAAGGTATAGCAAAAATATGATATAAAAGATGAACATGGTATGCCTTTATAGATCACTTGCAGGACTGGAAGTTGCTCTGGGTGAGTCAGTGAGTGAGTGATGAGTGAATGTGAAGGGCTAGGACATGACTATACACTACCGTAGACTTTATGAACACTGTACACCTAGGCTAAACTAAATTTATTTGTTATCAACTTTCGAGACGGAGTCTTTGCTCTGTCACCCAGGCTGGAGTGCAGTGGTGTGATCTCGGCTTACTGCAACCTCCACCTCCTGGGTTCAAGCGATTCTTGTGTCTCAGCCTCCCTAGTGGGTGGGATTACAGGTGCCTGCCACAACGCCCAGTAATTTCTTTTAATGGAGACATGGTTTTACCATGTTGGCCACACTGGCTTGGAATTCCTGACCTCAAGTGATCCACCTGCGTCGGCCTCCCAAAGTGCTGGGATTACAGGCGTGAGCCACTGTGCCCGCCCTAAATTATTTAAAGAAGTAATTGTGCCACAACATTGTAACAGCTATGACATCATTAAGTGATAGGAATTTTTCCACTTCATTATAATCTTATGGGACCGCTGTCGTATATGCTGTCCATCGTTGATTCAAACATCCTTTTGTAGTGCATGGTGGTAATATAGAACAGTGTCCTATCGTATGCAATTTCACCTGTGATAATAATATATTGTGGATGTCCTTCCAAGTCAGTACATAGAGATCAACACTACTCCTTCCATTGCTGCTTGGTATTCTATTGTATGGATTAATCATAATTTATTTAGGAATCACCTTATTGACTTAGGTTGTTTCCAAATTTTTACTACAACAAACATATCAATTGGGTTTTTTATATACTTTTTTAAACCAATCAACTCCTGATTTTATTAGTAAGACTAATTATCAGGTTCAGGAATAGCAGAGCCAAGTGAAGCACTTGGGCACAAAATTAAACGAGGCCCTCAGCATGCCCATCCCCTCCTTGTGTGACCCTAGAGTGTGAGCCTTTTTGAATTCCGTGTCCTAGCTGCTTCACTCCCCTCTTCCTGCTCCAATAAATAAACACTTGTTTTGATTTTCTAACTGTCTTGTAAACTGGCATACATATTGGCATGACTATGCAGGACAATAATGACTGATAAGTACTTTTTTTTTTTTTTTGAGATGGAGTTTCGTTCTTGTCGCCCAGACTGGAGTGCAATGGCACGATCTCGGCTCACTGCCTCTGCCTCCTGGGTCAACGATTTTCTGCCTCAGCCTCCTGAGTAGCTGGAATTATGGGTGCCCATCACCACGCCCAGCTAATTTTTTTATTTTTAGTAGAGATGGGGTTTCACCATGTTGGTCAGGCTGGTCTTGAACTCCTGACCTCAGGTGATCCACCTGCTTCGGCCTCCCAAAATGCTGGGATTACAGGTGTGAACCACCACGCCTGGCCTACTCTTCTTATGAAGGAAGGTATGGATATTCTTGGGTGGAAGCCCAAGTGGTTTTTGCATGTGCATAAGCAGGGACCTTGTTAAGTCAGTAGTCCCATAACAGAGCAGGGACATGTCAAAATGTAGCCCACGTGTGACCCCCCTGACACTTTTCCCAAATCAGAAGACACTTGGGCTTATTAGGAGGCCCCAAGACATAAACACATTAACTTGTGATTAGGGTTTAAGCCAAGATTGAGACCAGAATGCCAGGTTCACTGAGCCTTTGGTTTTCTTGTGGGTTCATTGGGACTGTCATAATAATTTTGTTGGAGTACCTCCTTGAATAACCTTTCTTTACAAAAAAAAAAAAGCATATTGTGGATAATATACTCTTTCATTTATTTATTTATTTATTTATCTGAGATGGAGTCTCACTCTGTTGCCAGGCTGGAGTGCAGTAGTGCGATCTTGGCTCACTGCAGCCTCCGTCTCCCAGGTTCAAGTGATTTTCCTGCCTCAGCCTCCTGAGTAGCTAGGACTACAGGCGTGCTACCATGCCCAGGTAATTTTTGTATTTTTAGAAGAGACAGGGTTTCACCATGTTGGCCAGGATGGTCTTGATCTGTTGACCTCGTGATCTGCCAGCCTTGGCTTCCGAAAGTGCTGGGATTATAGGCATAAGCCACTGCACCCAGCCTAATCTTTTATTTTGCCTGCCACAAATCGCTGTCATTATTTTGCCATTCTGTTTCTGTACAAAATTCTTGGATGATAATAGTTTCCCCTATTAGTTCAAGCAATGCTTTATTGTCTTCTAGCATTTAGTGTCAGGTGAATAGTTAGTATTAGTCCTCCATTGCAAAAAGTTTTTCAGCATTCTTTCCTTAGTCCTCAGGATTAAAAATAATTAAAATGCTGTCACAGATGAACAGATTTATAAATATTTCTGCCCAGAATTCTGTGAGCTCTTTCAATTTAAAAATTCAAGTCTTCCTTCAGTTCTGATCATTGTTTTTTATTTATTTATGTTTTATTACTGCCTTTTCTGCGTCTGCATTGTTTTTCTCCACTAAAATCCCTTTCTGTGGCAGACTAATAAAACAGGCCAGAATCACTTTTTCTTTCTTTTGCCCACATTTGGAGCTAAATGTGGCAAATCCCTCCCTGTAGTTGATGAACAGTAATCGCCAAAGGAAGTCTGTTGACGACTGCCTTGGAGCTCCCTGAGAGCCTCGGCCATGACACCCACAAACCTCAATGCATAACCCGGAGACAGATCCAACATTGCTCCCTTGTTCCTGGGCTCACTGCCCATGCTTGGTTTTTTTTCGCCTCTGATACAGAATCCTGTTTACTTAAATTTTGGAGGATCCTTCCTCTGTCACACTAGATATCTTGTTTATATCGAACCGGGAGTACTAAGCATAAACTATGTGTAGGAATACTTTGTCACTTAAAGATGATGAGCTCGTTTCTTCTGACCTGAAGAGAAACATCCCTGTCCTAGTCTTTCCAAATAGGTGCAAAGCAGATTCTCTGCTTCCTTAATAACAGACCCATAACCTACTACCTGACATTAAAAAACATGCTTTCTGGATGCAATGTGGTTTTCTGGATTGGATCCTGGAATAGAAGGACATTCGTGAGAGAACTGTTGAAACAGGAATAAAGTCTGGAGTTTAGTTAATGGTAATGTATCAGTGTTGGTTTCGTAAGTTTTGACAAATGTACCATGGTTATGAAATGTGTTAATAATAGAAGACTCTGGATACAAGGTGTGCACGGCTCACTGTACAACCTTTGCAACACTTCTGAAAACTAAAATTAATTTAAAGTGAGTTTAAACTTAGTTTAAAAAAGTGAGAAGTTTATTTAGAAAACGGTCACCCACAAAAAATTTTAATAAATGTCCACATTCCTGTTTGAATATTTCCCTTCCCAATGTTCTTTTTAAACACACACACACACACACACACACACACACACACACACACACACTTCTGCTGATTATCTATATCATATGAACATAAGAGGTCATTTTTATTTTTCTTTATTTTAGATCCAGGGTCTCCCTATTTTGCCCAGACTGGACACAAACTCCTAGGCCCAAATGATCCTCTTGCTTCCACCTCCAGAGTCACTGAGACTACAGGTGTGAGCCACTGTGCCTGGCTGAGATTTTTTTTCATGGTTATATTTTCTTCAGCTCTCCTCAACCAAGATAAGATTTTCTATGATGTGATTTGGCAATAAAGTCATTTTATTTCTCCCTTTGTTATCGTTCTAAAATTTATACCCATGGGATTTTAATTTATGGAGGTGACTAAGTGGTGATACAGAGAGACCAATGCTATTGAAAGAAGGTGTGTATTTAATTTCCTGAGAGAGGGAGACACACCACATCACGCAGAAGCAGGAGTGAGAAGGCCTAGGCCACAGCCTTTATTGGGGTTTCTGCCAGAAAGGAAGGGCAGGGCAGAGTAAGCAATTTAGGATTAGCCAGTTTGAATAATGTTGCAGGCTCTGGGCTCCAGCAGTGGTCTCTAGCTGTCTGGTTCCTGACCCTGAGTGACGTAGGGCAGGGGAAACATTGGCTTGGTGTGGGAGAGTTAGAAAAGGAAGCGGTTGGGGCTGTAGACTCGGGGTTGGCTGATTTGTATGCAGAGGGTCACTTTCAGGCCAGTTGTTATTGCCTTTGAGAATTAGCTACAATAAATAAAAAAATCAAGAAAAGAATTAGCTAACCCTGAGGGGGCCAGTCTCACCCTCGGACTATAAGGTCCCCAAATGCCAGAGCACCAAGAAGACAGAAAATAAGAAAACATAGTTAAGATAATTGGCCCTGTGATGATAGGTTGCCCAATGCAAAATCTAAGAAAACACAATTAGAACAATTATTCGATTTGAAAGAAAATTGGGCTACTTTTTGGGAGCTACTTTTCAGTGAGTACTTTCATTTTTAAAACAACCCTGGCTGCTTTTTGCACAAGTTAAGTTTCTTCCGTCTGGACCATGTTAGAGCTGTGATTCTTTGCTGATTGACTAATGCCAGACCTTAGGTGAGCCACTGAGCTCAGTGGCCTTCAATTCTTCATTTATAGGGAATAATAATCTTTACTTCATAGCTGTGTTGTAACAATCATGGAAAATAATTATGTTGAGGTGTCTTGTGTGTATGGCACGTGATAGCTGCTCAGTGCATTTGATGTATTAATAATAATATTATAATAATGCATTTAGTTGGATCTCAGAGAAATCAAAACTCCTGAGGACCTGGAATCTATTTGAATCCCTGTTTGTTTGGAAGACTATATAGGTGCAACAGGGATTTGCCATACTCCTAAATTTTCCATAACTCAGAATCCTTAAATCCACAGGGAAGGAAATCTATTTTTCTTTAGAGTCTTTTATATGCCAGATGAAAAATACAATTCTTTGTTAAAAGATGTTGTATCTGATTAAAAGATCTATGCACTTAGCTATGAGTTAGGTATTCTTGCTCTTTTGTGTCCAATCATCACCCAGTTTCCCCATTTATTCTACCGTGGTGAATACATAACATCAAGGAATCTGCTCACCCCAGACAATTCAGGACAATGAAATGAACTGATGCAGCTTAACTTCAAACTAGGGGTGGCATTGATTTTCTTAATATTGCTTGACTCAATTCTCCATTTTGAAACTGGTTAAAATAAAGCAATATCCCCCTAAGCTCGCTGCTAAAGTCATGACTCTTTTCTCAAAATTCCTGTTGTACTTAATTTCAGAACCCTTCAATAGCCCTTGGCATTTTTGCCACAGGTCATCATTGTTAGAGGACTCTGTTACTTTACTTCCTAGGTGAAAACAGTCCTCCACAGCCCAGGTCCCGCCTTATTTCTTATAAGGCATTGACTACAGCATGTTGCAAAGAGTAGGTACCCGGGAGATTGCTGGCATCGACAACTGCCTGGTGGTTGTGTTATCAAGAGCCCCAGCAAAGAACCTCAAGCATAGGTTCACTTCCAAACTGAATTTCTGAGTTTACTGGTTTACAGAGGCCATGGAGAATGATGAAAGACCATAAACCTTAGAGCCATATTACCTGAGCCTCTGCCATTTAACAGGATGATGTTGGTTAATTGCCTAGTTCTTTGTGTGTCTGTTTCCTCACATGTAAAACATAGATAATAGTAGTATCTTCTTTATGCAGTTGCTGTGAGGATTAAATAAGCTTATTACCTGGGGAGTGTTTAGAGCAGTGTTTATTTAGCAGATAGAAAAGCTACAATTATCATAAAGGAGATTAACATAAGGAAATCATAGACCTTAAAGCATAACCATAAGTATACATTTTATTTGTAACAAGGAGGAGAGAAATTTAGTATGAAGGCATATATATGACACACACACATATTCACGCACACGTACTCAAAACTAAAACACACAATGAACATTTTTAACCAGAGGTGGTGGGATGTTTTGAAGAGAGCGATGAGATGCAAATCAAAAGATCTGAGCTTGAGATTCTTCTTCTGAGAAATAAGATGATTTTTGTGTATAAATCATCATCATCATTATAATGTTTCTTGAACTCCACGTGTGAGGTACGATACTAAAAGCTTGACATTCATGTTACCTTCTTCTCACAATAGCACTGTAGGAACTGCTACCATTTTATATTTACAGCTTATATATTTACAGATTTAATTGAGACTCCTACCACCCTCCTTAGTCATGGAGCTTTGACATTCAAGTTCATCTGTAGTTCCTAAATTGTGGTCACTGCCTCTCAGATCTGACTTCAAGTCACAGGTTTTGTTAGATTCTCTTACCCTGGCCACATCCAGCCAAACCTTGTAATGAGGGATTTTACCCAAAGCAAGTTTGAAACAAATATGTCAATAGTTAATGCAAAAAGGCGCTTAGGGCCATAACATCAGTTTAAATGCCTTCAGTTTATACCTGAAGACTGTTAAGCTGCATCATTTCATTTCAGAGATCTGTTTTGAATTTATTCTTTAGTACATAAGCAGAAAAAATGAGGCCAATAGGTAACATTGCAAAACTCTGCCTAATTATTGTGAATTGAAAGCAGCATAATGAAGCTATTTAGTAGAAATTTGAAAAGATTTGTAGAAAGCATCTGAGGTGTGTTCAGATAATTGTTTGATTGTGATGGTAATGTACGAGATTAAGCCTTGGATAAGGTGCTGGTATTGCAAACCTTTTGGAAAGAGTTTTCATCATCTAGTCAACATTAATTTGTGGGTATTCAGAAGTAGGGTAGAGATAGGGAAAGCACAAGGATATATGTTGCGGGGAATGAAGGGGGGAAGACACCCAGTGAGATTAATGCTCAATTTGAGTGAGAAATGCAGTAACCTTTATTGTCAGATAAAAGCTCACAATTATCATTCATTTTGTTAAGCAAAAATACAACATGAGAAAAGACTATTATCTTTTACTATTTTATTATGTTCCAAGGATTAATTCAAGGAATGCTTATCTAACAACTGTGTTCACTTGGGTGACATCAACATCTTTTAGTTTATACTTCCTATGAAAATTATAAATGCACAGTGTGATTCCAGGCATTCTAAGCTGTCACTGACATGCTTTCTCCCATTCTCTCTGTGGCCTGGACCTCAATGCAACCCCCCTGTGCTAGACCTTAGGTAGAATTTTCTTCTTAGATTTGATAGTTGTGGTTGATTGGGTTTCTATTCAAACGGAAGAAGTTAGTATATGAAATAGATTTTAGAAATTTCTAAGCACCTAGTGAAACTGAAATCCTTGAAAAGTTGTGGATGAGAAGTTTGCAGTTGTTTAGATATTTGAAGATAAACTATTTATTTATATTTAATTTTACTTAAAAATTTTTTGAAATTAGATAAAATTTATCCTGGTCAACATGATGTTTTGCAGTTTAAATACATTGTGGAATGACTAAATCTAGCTAATTAACATATGCAGTATTTTACATAGTTACCATTGTTGTGGTGAGAACACAGCTTACCACTAAGGTTGTGGTATCTTAATATTTTTCAAGGATACAACATGTTGTTAGTAACTGTAGCCACCATGTTGTACAATAGATCTCTTGAACTTATTTATCCTAGCTAATTAAAATTTTGTATTCTTTGACCAACATCTCCCCAACTGCTCCCCTTTCAGTCGCCCCAGTCCCTGGTAAACACCATTCTACTCTACTTCTAGGATATCAAATGTTTAAAATTCTGCATAGGAGTGAGAGCATGTGGTGTTGGAGAAGATAGAATTTTAACTGGCCCATATATACTTCTTTATTTGAAAGTGTAAAGAGAAAATGCTAATGCAGCCAGAATCCTAAGGAGTTTAACCTGGTACAAAGTACTGGGGATAATGTGAAAGAACTTGAAAATGAATTTGCATTCATAAGTGCTCTTCAATGTATTGAACCATTACTATCATTATTATTATCTCTTACGAGAAGCCTACATTTTCAATCTGGAATTTATTTGCTTTTAACAATAATCTCCTTTTTTTCCTCCCAAATCTACACAGTGTGTACATACACATCCCTTCCCTCTGCTGGGATGTTCGTTATAATATATACATACATTATAATGAGGCAGCATTTACAAAATCCTCATGGAATGATATTATGTTTATAGAACATCGCAAGCTTTCAATTAGAATAAAACTATTTACTCACAAACACACACATGCAATTTTTGACTTTCTTCTCTTGAATATCTTGAGTTTGTTCAGTAGACATTTAATGAATGCATATCCTATGTGCTGGAAATACACAGATGGATATGCTTCTGCACATCCTTTGAAACAATTAGTATTAAGTAGATCTATTACATAAGCAACACAGACTCATCTAAGAAAATTTGAACAACTGAAAAATCATGAGGGAATGAATCTTCCATAATCCCACTCCTTGGAGATGGGTACTGGCAAGATGTTGGTGATGTCCCTCTGACCCAGCCTCGTCTGTCTCTTCTTTTCATGTTTTATATGAAATGGGATCATGTTATGCATATTGTTTTATAGCCTGTCTCCTTTTTAGTATTGTTAACACTTCTGCAATGAATATTCACCTACAGCATGATTTTGAATAAGTGCATGCTAACTCATCCTATGACTATATCGTATTTCATTTAACCTAATATTGAGCATGCAGGATATTCACTGCGTCTTTGCTATGGCAAGTAGCACTGCAACAATTGCCCTTGTAAATACATATTTGAGCACATCTTAATTTCTTTAGAATACATTTTTAGCAGTGCCATTTGTATATGAAAAGAAATGAACATTTGTGAGGATTTGATACAAATCAGCAAATGGCCCCTGAGAAAATGTCTACTGATATATGATCCCATACCTATTGTGGCCCAGAGTTTATCATTTATTTTTCATCTTTTCTAAAACACTTGCCGACAAATGCTGTCTTGTTCCTGTATTAACATTCTTTGCCCTAATTACTAGTGAGGTTGAATATTTTTCATATGCATTTTGACCATATTTGTTATTTTGCAGAATAACCCTTCTTTACCTGTCTTGCTTATATATTTGCTGTAGGAGAACAAAGACCCTCTTTCAAAGGTCCCTAGATGCCATTTGCTTCAATCTGACTCTGTTGCTATCAATGCCTCCCAAGGAGGACAAGCTCTATGGTGGGTGGGGCAGGTGCAGTGATTGAACTTCTGCCATTAGTAGTGGGGGATACACTTTTGAAGTTATTGTGAACAAAAACGAAAGTATAATAAAAGGGCATATTTTGACATCCAGTAATCTGCTGTCTTGAAAGACCTGTGTCTTGTTTACTAAGGATATGGAGCAATCAACAGTGACTTTCAGTCCCCATTACATCGAGCTGTACTCTTGGCTGAACAGGGTTTCAGAGTCAGCAATTTCTCCGGTCCAGCCCAGGGAATTTATTAAAGAAATAGTCATTGTCATGGGTCCTGAAGAGGAAAAATGACACTGTCTCACCATTGCTGTCATCTCTTGTAGTAGGTGCACAGAATTCTACAGGTGGCAGTGCCTTCTTATATGTTATCTGGTGGTTATGAATTAGTGGCTCCTTTTCTACAAAGCAATTAAAGGGACTTTTCCAGAACTGTTAGGTGGCTCTTCTTTGCTCTTAGGTTAAAATCCACAATCATTAACCTTAGTGACTGGCTTTGAGCCTACCCGTCTGGTCTCACCTCCTGCCATTTGCTACACAGATACATTAAAGTTGTTCCAGTTTCTCAGAAGGATCAAGACCTGTTGCATCTCAGGGCTTCACAGGTTCCCTTCCTTCTGCCTGGATGTTCTTCCTGCTTGATCTTTCTTTGCCGAGTTGAGACCTACATCCCCTAAGGAGCACACCCAACTCCCATAATGGATCAGGCCCCTTTTTAATAGGTTTTCATGTTATCTTGTCCTCCTAAGTGGCATTTATCGCAGTCCTAAACAAATACTAAATTTGTTGTTTTATGCCCATCTCTTCCACCAGAATGTAAGTCCTGTGAGATGGGAGACCCCCTGCCTTATACCTTACTGTGTCTTCAGCATTTGGAACTGTTCCTGGCAAAAAGGAGACACCCAGTAGATATTTCTAGAATGAAAAGAAGGATAAAAGGGAAAAGGAAAGGATGAGCAAATGGGAAGGAGAAAATAAAGAAAAAAAGAAAGAATGGATCAATCTGGATCCATTTTTTTTTAAGTTTGTAAGTTGGGGGATGTGTTGGTTAATAGATAATTCTTGAGTTATTTTCAATCTTAGTTTTGAGAAGTGAAAATCATAAATAGTGTCTATCCAGGTCAGTAAAAGTGGCTTTCAGAAATGAGAAGGATTTCACATAAGAGAGCAAGTAGAAGCACAAATTTGTGGCTTAGTGCTTGACTATACATGTGCAGATGTGGCACAAGTTACCTCCTGGCTGGAAAACCAAGTGTATCTAGTGTTGAAGCAACACTTAGTGACAAAACCCCAGAAGTTGTGGGCTTTCCTAAGGCACAAGGGACACAAATGAGGGGGAGGGGAGGGTGCCACTGGACTGGGAAGATAAGAGGAAAAATCGTAGATAAATATTTGCACTTATGCTGCAAACAAGGATTGGCAAACCATTAACGAAATTAAATGTCTTTACTCTGAGGACTGCTGGAGAGGATATGGAGAAGTCAAGTCGTAATGTAAGCAGATGAAGAAATATTGGTACAGATAAGAAAGACCTGTTGATTAAAAAATGAGAACTCTGAATTTTAAAGTATATTTTGGCTAAAAAATAAATCAACTTACAAATAGGAAATTATAGCCTTTTCCATCTCCCCTCTTGGCTTTCTTAAAAAACCTTTGCCAGAGAAAAAGGGATTTGCCCCTTGGAGTAGAGTTTGGAGCTAATGCTAGGCTTTGCGCCAAGTATGATAAATAAATTGATGTGGAAGAAAGGCAGATCACAATATCATTAGATTGGAAATACCCATGAGAGTACAGCGCGTAACAGTGGAAGTTGATGCAGCATTGTATATTTGGCTGGTGCACACTAAATATTAAATATTAATAAAACAAATGCTATTGTTTTCAACTTTGGGGAGGAGATGGGCTCTGCCTAGGGATTTTTGTATTGAATCCCATAACTAAACTAAGTGCTTGAAAAAAAATATGGTTTCTCAATGAAACCATGGAAATTTGAATTCAATCTATTTAGGTATATGCTGGATTTAAGAAATGCAAAGGTGGGTGGTACTTCAGGAGAGGAGGTTAAGATAAGATTAGCAGGAAAAAAATCAAACAGAGGGTATTTAAATACTGTATTATAAATGAGTAATATATTCAGTCTTGTAAGAAGGCTTGGGAGATCTAAAGGAATCAGCAGAACTGTGGATAAAAAGGAATTTGAAGTTGGAGAGTTGCTTTGGAGACTTCAGTGATTAAAAGGTACGCAAAATTCATAGTCATAATAACACAAGGCAAATAGCTTATACTCAGTGTGTGGGCTGTTAGATAAATTCACTCAATATTTCCCATTTCTTTAAGAGGATGTAAGGAAGTCATTTGCTATGTATTGAACAGGAGACAACCGTGTTCCGAAATGAGCCTCTTAGCACTGCATGCAATTCTACAAAGGGAGGGCTCTTTGTTGACGTAGTGCTTTATTTAACTTTGTCTTCTGATCCTCCATCTAAATTCCAGCTTTCTCCAGGGGAATCTTTCAGGTTCTGTCTAGGGTCTGTAAACATCTTTGGGAGCCGTAATTCTTCCCAGCGTGACTCCCATCTATTAGATGGAAATAATAGCTAACATAGTGGGAGTTGTTTTATATTAAAACATGTAATTGTTCATTCATTTGCTAATCTTTTTGTAAGGCGAGAGCTTTTTCTTTGAGTGTGCGTTCGCTTATTGGAGTTCTGCACCTTTCTTATGTAAGCTATACCCATGACACATGTTGGCAATTTCCCAGTTTCTTTTTTAAGAGGAAATTTAAAAACATATTGTGAAGCAATGTCTATGGATGATTTTTAGATGTGTTCATGACTGTTCTATTTTTATATGATTTTCTATTTAAACCTAGTTCAACTGCCTTATAAAATAAGCAGTCTCTTTTCTATCTTTCCAAATATTTTAACTTAATTTTTATAGAAAAATTATTTTGCACTAATATTCAATAATTTATGTAAAGTTTAACAAAATGATATACTTTCAATAATAGGTACAAGTGAAATAAGCAACCATAAATGATCTTGGTTTATATAGAATTTACCTGGGGGAAGCACAGGTGTGCAAAAAGATGAGAGATCCAGGGATGAGTAAGAATAAGTCACTATGTTTTCCTGAAGGAATGGCGATTGTCATGTCAGTTAAGTGGAGGTTGATTAAAAGAGCTTCTACAATAATAAAACTGAACACTGTTCCATACTTATGTACTAGGAACCATGTGATATGTTTGCTTGCATTATGCCTTTTAATTATTGTTATATTCCTTGAGCAAAATGGAATTTGATGAAAGAAATTATTTCCCAAAAGCCAAGTAGCGTGTAGGAAGTAGAGTTAGAATTTGAATTGACACGGTCTGACTCAGCATTTAATCACACAATCTCGTTCCCACTCTGCTATCCACTTGGCCACACGTACCTCATAGGGCTGCATAAAGGATTAAAGGTGATAATTTGTGTGAAAATATCTGGTGGACCCAAGGCTCGATCATGGTTAGTGTTTAATCCTACTTGGCTGTTCCACATCTGCATATTAAGCTTAATAATTATTACCCCCAAACAGTTGATTGATTCTAGAGCACGGAAGGGATTTGAAGTCCTGTGCTAGGAAGTGTCAAAATGAAAAAACAATAAAATAGACACATGGTGTATAATAGCTACCATTTATTGAGTGCTCACCATGTGCTAGACCCTGGCCCCAGCTCTTAGCCTACATTATCTCATTAAATCCAGTGCTCGTGACAACTCTATGAGGTCATTGCTGTTATTATCCCATTTTACAGTTGAGCAAATTAAGCAAAGAGAAGTTAAATTGTTTGCTCTAGGTCACAGAGCTGACAGTTGGTAGAGCTCTGAGGAGCTTTGAATCCAGACTTATTTAGTTTTAAAATCTAGTTCTTAGAAATCTTTCTCTGAGGATAGGGGGAGGTGGAGTAATACTATGCCGAACAAATCGACAAAATTTTTCCAGAATTAGAATAAAAAATTGGTTGATTTCTTACACATTACCTTTTTGTTTCCATTTTGTTCCTATCTCTTCCCAAAGACCATTAAACCTGTAGATACTGAAATTATCTAAAAGCCGTCTGCATGACTTATCAAAAGCCTCTTGAGAGTAAACCAAATTTATAATAGGCATGCATGTTTTGTAGGTCTATCATTTATGTTAAAATTTTTAGAATGAGTCATCATTTAAATGTAATACCAAGCATGAAAGCCATGTTGAGATGAAAATATATTTGGGTGAATATTGAATTCTTTCTTCACCAGTTGCCTACAGTTTTCCCATGTTGGAAGGAGAGGAAGATGTAAAAAAGAGATGCTCTGTGGAAGATACATGACCCATATCCTTAAAGAGAAATTCTGACTGGCTGAGCTGCCTAGAGTCTTTTGGCTTCACTGAACAAAGGCCTCCTTTAAAAATAGGTTGACCAGGCATTTTTGCTCTTTTCCATGGGCTAGGTCTAAAATCTAACCAAGGTTGTCAATGGTTTATAACTTGGCTCTCCAGTGCCTTCACAGCTCCATGTACCTCTAAACCACACCACTGCCAAAGACCCCTTGCAAAACGAAAACAGAGAGAACAAGCAGATTAACTCAAATTCCTCCACCCTCTAGTCGATTCGAGTAGCTCTGCCTTTATCTGGTTTAGTTATTTAAACTTGGGATTAATTTTGTTTGATTAAAGATTTCTGAGGTGTTTTTTCCTTTTCTTTTTATAATATTGACTGCTTTAGGTCTTGCTTCTCTAAAGATAGAGAACAAAAAAAGATGAATCAAAGGAAGAAAGTGACAAGGAGGAGGTCCATCCACCTTCCTAGGCTTCTGTATTCCTCTTGTAAAAGCACCAGCCTCTGATCAGAGAACCCCTTGGACTTTGTCCAAGGATCTTGGGTCCTTCCAGGCTCATTGACTTTGTACTTACCTCTTTCTTGACAGTAGAATATGAACTCTAGAAAGCAGGGCCACTATCGTTAGCACTTTAATTTATTTATTTATTTATGAGACAGAGTCTCTTTCACCCAGGCTAGAGTGAAGTAGTGTGATCTTGGCTCACTGCAACCTCCACCTCCCAAGTTGAAGCGATTCTCCTACCTCAGCCTCCTGAGTAGCTGGGGCTACAGGGGCGTGCTACCATGCCGGGCTAATTTCATATTTTTAGTAGAGAGGGGGTTTTGCCATGCTGGCCAGTCTGGTCTCAAACTCCTGATCTCAGGCAATCTGCCTGCCTGGGCCTTCCAAAGTGCTGGGATTACAGGCATGAGCCACCATGCCTGGCCCTACCTTTAGCACTTTAGCTCCACTTCCCAGAAGAGCATTGAGATTTGATGAGCACTCTTATATTTGTTTGCCTGAATGGAATAAAAAAAGTGTTGTATACATTAATGAATGAAGATCCATTGTGAAGGAGCAGAATTGACAAAGGGGGGATAATTAGGGCAAAGAATGGCTGCATTTCAATTTGATAAAAATGAAATGACTGATGCAGGAGGGGGTGGGCTTTCCACACTTGGATCCTATCCAAACTTCAAGTGCAGTTTCAAGATCATGTCAGCTTAAAAAAGTGGACGTTTATCTTTCTCTTTCAACAGATCACTGATTAGATCAAATTAAATGGGACTATTTATTTCCCTGTATGGCATGGCTCCGGATGTGGAGTTGAAGAGGCAGAGTTCTTATCCCCTCGTGGTAATTTTCCAGCTATGAGATTTTGGGAAAATTACTTAAGCCTATCTGTGTAATGAGGTTCATAACACCTTGGCCTCCTATTGTGGAATCAGAAAGTTGTCTTCTTTTTGAGAAGAGAAAATGAAATCTCCATTTCTATCTTCTCCTGTCTCCATTCTTATATCTTTTTTTGACTCAGCCTCGATGAAAGGAATCATAAGTTAGGCAAGGGATTTTGCAAAGAGGAAGCAATCCTGAAGACCTACAAATTATTTTTTATTCAGATACAGTGATGTGCAGCATCTTTCTCTATAAACAAGATAGAGAAGGATACAGAGTATTTAAAACCTGTGAATGAAATATGGGGCAAAGGTTTCAGGTAAAATGAAATTGCATTACGCTCAATTCTTTTTCATAAGTTAGATCATCTCCTGTTTTCTCATAGTCCATGTAAAGAAGATAAACCTTTTCAGAGCCACCAAACTCTTAGACTACACAGACTTCCTTAATCTCAATTTAGGACTCCAACCATTATCCCCAAGACATGTGTTAACTCCAGAATTACAAAATGTGTCTTAGAGAATATGTATCATAAAACTCTGTCATAGGAAAATGTTCATAAAATTGATCTTATTACTCATATTTATGATAAATAGACTCACAACTTCCTCCTCCCCATCACCCTATTTCCTTGAAACCTATAGTGAGGGAGGAGGGCAATTCAGCTTGTATTAAAAAAATGACTCTAACACGCCATGAGCAATCCAGTCATTGCCAGAGCCTCTTAGTGTGGGTTCCCTTGCAGGCTTGTTGTAAAAATCTCATAGGATGATGGTTCCCCCAAACTGTTTTAAAACTATAAAATGAAAAATACATGTAAGTTTTGAATAATGTTATATTAATGGGTGGAATGAGCTTAGAGAAAAGGCAGGGAAAGGACAAATGCTAACATTTATCAACCATAGTCTTTGGAAGAAATCAAGACACTTTACTGACATTATCCCACTGACTATGACGGTCCTCAGATTAAGCCCCTTAGAAGCCCTTAGTATTACTATAAGGATTATGACCTAACTTCCTACTTCATGCGAAGTTCAGAATAATCAATAGTACAAGCATGAGTGGATGTCCAACAAATTTCTTTCCCCCCATAATTATTACTTAGACTTTTGAACATGGCAATGTATTTCTTACCAAAAAAAAAAAAAAATGCCCCTGGCTTTGTTGGTGCCCCAACTGTGTATTTCATCTTCCTGCTGGGGACTCCAGCACTGGATTTATATAATCTTCTAGATGGTGTAAATTAAATAGTAAAATCTATCCAAACTCATTTCTCTCTAGATTCCTTAATTCAAAATTATTTTCAAAAAGTTTGGGCATCTTCTAAGATTGATTTTTTTTTCCCAGCCCCAGTTTGGCTAAGTGAACCATTAAAAAGAGAAACAAATAGAACCAACATAACAAATTAAGACATGCTTCAGGCAACTAGCGCTTCTTTTTAACTCCCATCTGCCAAGCTCAGGTTTCTGAGGTGCAATGCAGTAACAGAATGTGGGTGTGATCTTTTAAATTTTTTCCTTTTTTCACCCTGAAGATCCACGTGCTTTCCTAATGAATGCATGACATAAGATTAGGACCCAATGCCCTAATGCAGTCAGAACTGGCATGTGAACTTGCACTCTGATGTCTGGGTCCTTCATGCACAGACTTAATTTGGGGAGCATAGACCTGATGCATTTTTCTTTTCTTCTTTTTCACCTTTGTTCAGGTGGGTCCCTGCACACAGCTGGCATATGCAAGACCCTGCTTGACACCAAGTATTGATGGTAGGGGCTGGAGACATATTCTTAGGAAGACTTAGGAAGAAGCAGCCCATTTGTTTCCATAGGGTAATAAAGAACCTAGCAAGGTTCCTCCTGTTTCTGGAACACAGGTGCAGCTTATGCTTTCAGGCCTCATCTTGAATTAATTCAACACCTGCACTTGCAAAGCAATCAACATTTCTCTCAAGTCTGAGCCTGATGTATTGGAAGATAGGCTGTTTCCTTCTCTATAAGATGAAGGTGTTGGACTTCACCTTCCAGAGGCCTCCTCTAGCTCTGACACCTGTGAGATTTACGTTCTCAATAAATCCCTCAAACATTCTCCCTTCTGTGTCTGGAAAAGATGTGTTTACCTCTGGCGACCTAGGTAAATGGCTGAAACAACCAGAGTTGTCTTTTAAGATGTAGGTTGAAGAGTGTTGTTTCCAAGTCTGTAAGTGTCTCGTGGCCTCCCAGCATACTTGGCATAGAAGCCAACTTCTCGCCAGTCCTCATGTCTGGACCTTGTCCCCGTTCTCCTCTGACACTTCATCTCTCACCCTTCTACCCCAGTCCAGTGGGCTTCTTTGCTCCACAATACAATACAAGCTAATATATTTTGGAGCAAGATTCTCGCCTTTGCTGTTCTCTGTGTGGAACACTTCTTTCTAAATGTTCTCCTGGCCAAGACTTTCTCCACCATTCAGGTCTCACCTCAAATGTCACCCCCACAGAGAGGCTTCTGTAGCTCCCCTGTTGTCCAGGGAGGCATCCTTTCTCATAAGCCTTTTTAAATTTTATGAATAGCCATTAACCAAAGCTGAAATTGTCTTGTTTATCTATTGCTTGTTTTCCCTATAAGAGTATATGGCAACAAGTAAAGACCTTGTCTTTGTTGCTCTCATTAGCAGATAAAAGAGAGTAGAGTAGGTGTCCAATAAATATATGTAAAGTGGGCTAGGCGTGATGACTCATGCCTGTATTCTCAGCACTTTGGGAGGCCAAGGCAGGCGATCACCTGTGGTCATGTTCGAGACCAGCCTGGTCAACGTGATGAAACCTCATCTCTACTAAAAACACAAAAACTAGCCAGGTGTGGTGGTGCACGCCTGTAATCCCAGGTACTCAGGTGCCTGAGGCAGGAAAACCTCTTGAACCCGGGAGGAGGAGGAGGTTGCCATGAGCAGAGATCATGCCGTTGCACTCCAGCCTGGGTGAGAGAGACTGTCTCAGAAAAAAAAAAAAAATTACATGACAACAACATAGCAACTTATGTGTGTGTACAACTTTGTGCTGAGTACTGTTCTAGGGATTTTTGTATATTGACTAATTGAACTATCAGCCTTATGAGATGGATACAGTTTACATTAAGTTGTTTTTGCATAGCTATAAAGAAATACTGGATCTAGAGGCCATTATCCTTAGCAAACTAACACAGGAACAGAAAACCAGATACTGCAGGTTCTGACTTATGAGTGGGAGCTAAATGATGAGAATACATGGACACATAGAGTGAAACAACACACGCTGGGGCCTATCCGAGGCGGGAGGATGGGAGGAAGGACAGGAATAGGAAAAATAACTAATGGATACTAGGCTTAATACCTGGGTGGTGAAATAATCTGTACAACAAACCCCATGACACATGTTTACCTTTGTAATAAACCTGCCCATCCTGTACATGTACCCCTGAACTTAAAAGTTAAAAAAAGTATTACATTTTATTAATTTTTTTGAGACAGAATCTCACTCTGTCACCCAGGCTGGAGTGCAGTGGCACAGTCATGGCTCACTGCAACCTCTGCCTCCTTGGTTCAAGTGATTGTCTTGCCTCAGCCTCTTGAGTTGCTGGAATTACAGGTGCCCACCACCATGGCCAGCTAATTTTTAAAATATATTTTTAGTAGAGCCGGGGTTTTACCATGTTGGCCTGGCTGGTTTTGAACTCCTGACCTCAAGTGATCTGCCCTCCTCGGCCTCCCAAAGTGCTGGGATTACAGGCATGAGCCAAAGTGCCCAGTCTGAATTTTATTTTAGATTTTACAAAAAGAAATACCTGAGACTGGTTAATTTATAAAGAAAGGAGGTTTAATTTATAAAGAAAGTAGTTTGGCAGGCTTTACAGGAAGCATGGTGCAGGCATCTACTCGGCGTCTTGTGAAGCCTCGGGGAGCTCGCGGTCACGGGGGAAGGCGAAGAGGGAGCAGGCGTGTCACATGGTGAAAGCACAGGGGCCAATGAGAGAGAGAAAGAGTGGGAAGGGAGGCACCACATACTTTTAAACAACCAGATCCCATGGAAACCCAGAGTGAGAGCTCACTTGTCACCCATGGGATGGCCCAAGCCACCCATGATCCAAACACTTCCTACCAGGCTCCACCTCCAACACTGGAGATTACAATTCAACATGAGATTTGGGCAGAGACAAATATCCAGACGAGATCACAGTTATTGTTCCCATTAACAGTTCGGGAAATGGAGGAAGAGAGAGGCTGATTGACTTCCCAAATGTTTTTAATGACATGGCTAAATGAACTCCTCTATGGCTTTATATTTTCTGGGTGGGACTTAAACAGCCATTCGAAAACACCTTTGGAGAATGCGATCTGGAAACTTGGAGCTTTTACTGTGTTATGATTGTCCCCACTAATGTGAAAAAGCTCACAATTCCTTCTTCAGGTAATTAACAAAGCCTACTGAGAAAGTCAGTTTTGCTTTTTGTTTTTAATTCTCTACATCTCCTCACCTCTCGAGAATTAGAGCAGGAGTTATACACGTACATAGCATCATGTCACTTGGTGAGCACCTGAGACTATCAGGGACAGGATTTTTCTTTTTATTTTTTCAAAATCATACCCTTAAACCCTGTACAATTAATAAAGTACCCTCAATATGTTAAGATTAATAAAGTAAATATTTTACAAGCTGATTTTCTTTTATTAGAATGAGGGATTCAGAGTAACATGAACCCTACTGGCTTTATTGAAATATTAAAACATATAAATAATATATATGGAGACAGACTCACAGAAGATACGAAATCTTCAGAACATTACATATATAAATTATATACACTATTTGATTCTAGAAGTTTAATGTGTTAGAAAATATTCATCTCACTCTTCCATGTTTAGCCCATCCTTATAGGATTTGGGGAAGGGAGGTTAACATGAATATGGAGAAAGGAAATTAGGATTTCGGACTGCCAGTTTTAGCAAAGAACAAAACCAACTATTGTCCTCAAATCAGCCAGACTTGTTATTCAGGAAAACAGATGCATTTTTATGAGAGGCCATAATACAAGTTTTATTGCTATAATAAAAAAAAAAGTCAAGCTAGATTGGGTCTTATTACCCTCCCCTGCCCCAATTCCATGCATTTCCTTTGTTAACAGTTGAAACACTTGAAATTCCTTGTTTCATGCTTGATTCCCCTCTAGGCCTGAAGCTTAAAGAGGACAATGTCATTGCCTGGCTTACTATTGTACCCAGCAGACATACATAGCTGTGTGACCTTAGCCTCATTCCTGAACCTGTGCCTCAGCATTCTCAATTGTACATCAGAGGTAATAAAGGTAGTTAACACATAGGATTATAATGAAAAATACGTATGTCAATGCACACACACTTAGAACAGTCCAGACCCCCAGCATAAAACTCAAAGTTTTAGCTGTTATTTTCACTAGAATGTAAGTTACTTGAGAAAACTTTGTTTGCTGCTGATTCCTCGGCGCCTATAACCGTGCTTTGGATGTAATTGGCACCTAGCTAATAATTCTTGAATACATCATTTACTAAATTATTATTTCAGATCCTTCATAATTAGATTTTAGTGCTGTGTTGCAGTATGGTAGAGTACACACACACACACTCTCTCTCTCTCACACACACACACAAACACACACACACAAACACACACACACGCACCCTCCTTTATTTTCATGATTCTCAGTATAGAAACTTTTGATTAATTACATTGGCCGGCAATTGCGAGGACAACCAAATAGCACAAGGTGTCCTCCCAGCACTGGACATCTGGGAAGGTGGACCATTTGCCTTTAGCTTTCAGCTGCCTTTGAACTCTGCCTCTGGCCAGTTCCCTAGATGTTTATGCTCTGGATCAAAGCCATAGTTTGTTTTCATTTTGCAAGGGGGGCATTGCAACTTATCACAAGGATTGCAGCAGGGAAGTCAATAGCCCCTCACCTTAAATGCCAATTTATTGTTCCCACTCTGTCACACTTGATTAAAATACAGAGTTTGCCTCCAAGGCTGAAATTAGCTTTTCATTTTGACTGACTGCCATCCAGGTCTGAAAAATAGCAGCTCGTTTGTTTCAATATTTACCACATCCATTCAGAAGAGGTTTACATTATTGCCAATTAGGGCTTAATTGTTATCCATAACTCAAACATTTGTGGCTGTTTACGGAGAAAAGCCATCATTCTCTTTTTACCACCATGACTTCCACTACCCTTAGACCCCTGCAACATGAGTGGAGAAATTTCTTTTCCTTAAGATGGAGCTGGCTGAGAATGTCATACTCTCTTCCGCTATTAGTTTCCAGATGTGGCTGAAGGCAAACAGTAATTGCCCGGTTTAATGGAAGATGGTTAAGCCTGTGTTGGACATCTGCTGTCTTTGCCGCCCTAGTCTGCATTTCCCAGTATTCTGCCAGCAGAAACGTGAGTTGACTTTGGAGGCATTCTGCGTTGCATGGATTATTGCATATCCTCTGGGCTGGGCTCCCAGCTTTTCCTATAGTCCCCTATAGCATGTTCTCAGGACAGCAGTTCTCAATGCAGAGTGATCCTTTTGAAGTATGTCAGA
Organism: Homo sapiens; assembly: GCF_000001405.40. Lineage (NCBI taxonomy): Eukaryota > Metazoa > Chordata > Mammalia > Primates > Hominidae > Homo > Homo sapiens. The sequence continues at coordinate 55,667,356 of NC_000020.11, read as the reverse complement.
TCATGTGACTCCTCTGTTTCAAAGCCCCCAACACCTACCTGTCTCCCTTAAAGGCCAGTATCTGTGCAACGGTTCAGAGTCTTGCACATCTCTGTCCCTCCTCACTGTTCTGAATTGACGCCCTATCACTCTTCCCTCATACATTCTGCCCCTGCCATGCTGACTTCACTGCTGTTTCTCAATCTTCCCAGGCTCATTCCCACCTCTGGGTCTTTGCTCTTCCTCTTTCCTTTGCCAGGAACCATCTTATTCCAGGAATATCACTGGCTTGCTGCCTCATGTCCTTCACGTTTTGTAAGAAATAGATCTTCCGGAACCACCTTGTTTAAGAAAGTACTCTCCGGTGTCTATTCCCTTGCTCTATCTACTTTTTCTTCAGTATCACTTATCACTTGGCATATATTTATTTGCATACTGTCTGCCTCTTCTTCAAAGACATAAATTCCAGCAAGGCGGGGATGCATTAGGTTTATTCTTATAGCCAGTGTCATTGTTATTTCTCCCTTTCTTTCTGTTAATCTCATCTCTGCCTGTCTTTCAGGTATTCGGTGCTCACACATCAATCCCTGGCTTCCCAGCGTCCCTCAGCAAACATCCCCTTCTCCTGATGCAAAATAACCTCTCTCCTATTGTTATTATCCCACATGGTTCTATTACTCAATGCAGAGTGGCATTGAGCAAATTCACTCCAAGGTATGAGAGTACTTGCAGGTGAAACATTTTTTGTTATATCCAGATTCATATCTCATTGGTGGAATTTTAGGCAACCTGTCAAAATTGTATGTTTGTAGCGGATGCTTAGGAAATCAAGAGATTTCATAGAAAACTCCAATTCTCAGTTCTCCTAAACATTGGACAACCTGCCAAAGTTCCTCCTGGCATCACTGCCTGGAGCTGACACTCATCTGGCCCTTTGGATAAGAAGTGGATTCTCCCCACAGTCCCCAGCAGGCCCCTTCAACTCATGTATATGTTCCTGTGTCCATGTATATGGAATGTGTCCCAGACTTGGTGCAGGTGAGCTGAAATATCTTATCCTCTATCTTTGTAAATGCACCCAAACACAGTGCCAGCATGAGTAGACATCCCTCCCGTCCATGTGCACAGCTGGCTCATCACAAAGTGAGCCTGGTGAGTCTAGTTTTTTCTCCTATTCTGATAATCTTGAAAAGGTACTTGTTCTGTGCCACTTAAAAAGAAAATACTGATGTCCAGTCCAGTCCCAGACCAATTAAATAGAAGCTTCTGGGATCTGGGGTGCCCAGCATTGGTAATTCTCTGATGGTCTTAGACATTTCTAAATATGCAGTGAAGTTTGAAGACTGCCATGAAAATGTTCATTCCTGATTACTATTGCAGGAGAGAGTGTCATTCAGTTAGGGTGGCCTGGGGTGGGCTTGGCCTAAGGTTAAGCCTAAGACAATTCTGGTGACCAGAGAGGGAACATCTCCAATCTTTACATTGTCCCAGCTAGTGTGACCCTGGGATTCTCACCATCTGGGTGAGAACAGCAGCTTGAGTTGGCTGACCTTTCTCTTGGGGTGTGTTTGTCCTTATTGGAAAAATAAAAGGATATGAAACACAATGGTGGAGAAGAAAATTAAACAGCACAGCTAGTTTCTGAACAGGAGACCCTCTCCTTTGTCTAATGGGGTCCTAAGAGAACGTAACTTTTAGACATTATTATTTTTGCATTTGACTTAGTACTAGATTTTAAAGCCTTTATTCAGAACAAGTTTTCTCTCAATCTAGAGAATCAAGCCTGAGAAATTTACTTGATAATATGTGCCAAACTTTACCAGTAACTGAACACCATGATTTCCGTTTCTTTCTCTGAGTTAAAATTTATAGCACCCTCCTAAAATGATTCCTGGCTGCCAGATATGTTTGAGAAAATGTAGTTAATGGCAAATGCCTACTGCCCCAGAACTAGAAGAGAGATCGCTTATCTTCAGAGACCTGAGAGGTGGTGGGAGCATCCCCGGGTCATGCCCTACTGGCTTTCCATCTTTAACAGGCAGTTTATTGCAGGTGAATTTCAGAAAACTATCCTTCCAAGATTGTTGCCATTGCTGTGAAGTGTTTCCACCTGCTCTGGGGCCATGGAAGAGAAAACTTCCAAGTATCTTTATGTTAACTGATTTTTCCAGTGGACCACAATTCACAGAAAAACCTGCTTATGGGCCAAGCCTGGAGAACAATCAATGGGACAAGGAGGAGAAAACTTACCTCTATTTAATCAGCTCCACGTTTCTGACAAATGTGAAGAGCAACTGTGAATACAGCTCGGCTGCTTAATTCCAGACTGTTTTATGTTGGAGCATCACTCTTCTCTCCAAAACTTTGTCAAGATCGTTTTACCAAGAGCACTTGCTGGAAAGCCTTTTTGGAGAAAAAGGCAAATAACGTATTCTGTGAGGCAGTAAAGCAGCCACTTAGAGACACAGTACTTTGATTATACTCTTTGAAAGACAGAGAGAATTAGATTTTAACAACTATTCCAAATCTCTCACCTAAGGGGTAGAATTATAAAAGAGCTCCGCATCACCCTTGTTATTACTACATATTTGGACAAGGGAAAAATTCAAAATAAAGTTATTTATAAAAAATGCTCATTTTTTCATAAGGCTGTGCAATATGTGATTTGTTAGCACAAATTGGAGTGTGGAGGGCATGTGTGTTGAATTTGGCCTGAGGGATCCTCCTAATGGTTTAGGCAACAGATGAGTGTCCCTACATTCACTAGTTTCCTTAAATAAACCACGGAAGCTTTAGAGGAAAGGTTTCTTTTATTTTTTCTTTCCAATTTGTATTTTAGGGTCAGGGGTTCTTGTGCAGGTTTGTTATATAGGTAAATAGGGGGTTTGGTGTACAGATGATTTCATCACCCAGGTAATAAGCATAGTACCGCATAGGTAGTTTTTCAATACTCAGCTGCTTCTTCCACTCCCCACACAACCAGGCCCTGGTGTCTATTGTTCCCTTCTTTGTGTCCATGTGTAGTCAATGTTTAGCTCCCACTTATAAGTGAGAACATGCAGTATTTGGTTTTCCGTTCTCGCGTTACTTCACTTAGGATAATAGCCTCTAGCTTCATCCATGTGGTTGCAAAGGACATGATCTCATTCTTTTCTTATGGCTGTGTAGTATTCCATTGTGTATATATGGTACATTTTCTTTATCCAGTCCACCATTGATGGGCATTTAGGTGGATTCCATGTCTTCGCTATTGTAACTAGTGCTGCAATGAACATACAAGTACATGTGTCTTTTTGGTAGAATTATTGATTTTCTTTTGTATATATACCCAGTAATGGAATTGCTAGGTCAAATGGTAGTTCTGTTTTGAGTTCTTTGAGAAACATCCACACTGCTTCCCACAGTGGCTAAACTAATTTATGTTTTCACCAGTACTACATAAGCATTCACTTTTCTCCACAACCTCACAAGTTTCTATTACTTTTTGGCTTTTTAGTAATAGCCATTCTGACTGATATGGGATGTGGATTTTTTTTTTTTTTTTAGATGGAGTTTCGCTCTTGTCACCCAGGCTAGAGTGCAATGGCACATTCTCAGCTTACTGCAACCTCCACCTCCTGGGTTCAAGTAATTCTCCTGCCTCAGCCTCCTGAGTAGCTGGGATTACAGGTGCCTGCCACCACACCCAGCTAATTTTATTTATTTTTTTTTGTATTTTTAGTGGAGACAGGGTTTCACCATGTTGGCCAGGCTGGTCTTGAACTTCTGACCTCAGGTGATCCACCCACCTCGGCCTCCCAAAGTGCTGGGATTACAGGAGTGAGCCACCATGCCTGGCCTCTTTGCCCATTTTTAATGAGATTGTTAGGTTTTTGCTTGCTAATTTCTTAAGTTCCTTATAGAATCTGGATATTAGACCATTGTCAGATGCATAGTTTGCAAATATTTAGAAAAAAGGTTTCAAATGGAGTCTCCTTCTATTCTCAGATAATTATTATTAAAGAGCTTGCTGGCCAGTGGGGAGTGTCTTAGAATAATTTTCTGAATTTATTTTTGTGTCCATGGCATACTAGTATAAGACTTTATAATGGTAATATATAATTGCATTCTAACCTAAATAAATAATATTCTTAGAGCGTGCTGGTGAGTAGGTGGACCACAAAGTAGAATACAAAATCATCTCAGCCTCAAGAAGAGCCTCATTCAGTGGAAGAAATAAGTGCAGCAATCATTTTTTTTTTTCCTTTTCTTTACCCAGTCCTTTTTCTAGAAATGGTACCGCTGCCTCCATCACCACAGCTAGCTAAGTGTAGCCCAGCATTGAGTTATAACATGATTCTGGTACCTTTTTAAATAGTTAATTGTTCAAGCATAAGCACCTCATTCTTGTTGAGCAAATGAGTAATTTTCCTTTGAATTTTGTTTTTGAGACAAAAAAGGAGTTGTCTAAAGTAATAATAGTCATGCATGCGCTCATCCAACAACTTACTAACTGCAACCTGGTGCTAACAGTGCAAGAGGGAAAAAGGAAAGAAGATCTCTGCTTTCATGGGGCCAGTGGTGTACTAGTGGGCCAACTCACTGGGAAATTTGTTTAAAAAAAGTCCTTACTTGTAGCATTTGCCAATTTCCGTGTTGCAAGTATATCTGCCATGACCAATTTCAAGCTTCAAGTGTAAAACTAGCTCACGAAAATTCCTCATATTTGACAATCAGCTCTCATGAGCCTGTATGAGCTAGCAGTAGCCCACCACTGCATGGGGCCCACACTCTAGTGGGAGAAGACAGGAGTTACAAGGGTAAACTAATAGATAAACAAGATACTTTCAGGTTTGGATAAATTCTATAAAGTAAATAAGCCGTGGAATAGAATATAAATAATCAAATGGAAACCGATTGTTAATTATTCAGGGATTTTGTGAGCCACCCATTGCACAGAGTAAATAGCCAGTAGTACATACCTAGGGAAGTCCTCTCTTAAGAGTAACTATTTGAACTGAATTATAATGATGGAGAAAGCAGCTGCTATGCAAAGTGCATGCCAGGCAGAGGGCATAGTGAATGCAGATGATTTGTGGCAAGAAAGAGTTCAATGAGTTTGAAAAATAGAGAGGTCAGTGTGTGTTTGTAGGGAATGGGGGTGAATAAGTGAAATTAACAGGAAATCAGTGGAGCTGCCTCACATTGTAGAGGGGGGAAGAAAGGGGAAAGGGGGCAGGAAAGAGAGGAGAAGAATGAAGCATATACCAGTAGAAAGACCTAGATGAATAATGGAGGCAGCGTTCTCACAACATTTGAGTTCCTCATTCTGGGTGTTACTGAAGCCCTGTTGATTTCCAGCCTGGTCTATAGGTATCAGTAATCTTTAAAATAAATTCCTGCTCCAGTTAGTATTTGGTGACTTGTTATCAAAAGAGTTGTAACACAGCGTGTGTGTTTTGGTATACACTTGCACACATGTACATACTTTTTTTCCTAAGATTTAAAAAAGTTATAGTAATCCTGTTGGCAGATGATGCATTTACAATCTAAACCCAGAAAAGTGTATTAGTAGTGCCTAAAGGTTCTTTTCTGTATCTGGGTTTGTCACAGTACTTAACATACTTCATCTCACAACAAGGGCTCAGAAAAGAGTTAATAAAAGAATGAATTAGGACTCAATTATGCCTAGAGCAGTGGTCATCAAGCTTGAATATGCATCAGAATTAGCCTTGTTAAAAATGCAGGTGGAAGGACTTTGCCTTCTGGGATTCTGCACCTTCAACAAACACACCAGAGATCCTGATGCAGGAAAACTGAGGGCCACATAGTAGGCTTGGGTTTAGCCTAACTGGCTGGAAAGGCAGAGACAGAAGACTGAGAATTCCTCAGCATGTTATCGTTCATGAGGCATCATGGTCTCACAGAAATAAAATCTGGGGCCCCAGTTTTGCAACTTAATTCCTGGATTTGGAGAAGCCATTTTCTGTTTGTTGGGCATCACTTCTCTTATGCATCAAGTTAGAGAGTTTGGTGATCTCAGCTGCTCCTTCCCGTTCTGTCCTTCCTTGACTTGTGGTGATCTTAAAAAATGCATCTATCTGCCCTGTGCTGTAGTTTCTGACACTAGCACTGACACTGTAGCCATGCCACTCAGAACTTGTCTTCCTTAGGTGACGGTTGGTAGAATATTGAAGAGAAGGCATCCCCTCAGAAACGGTTATTTTGTCTTAGAGCTTGGTCAGGTTGTCATTACCTCTGAAGCCACCGTGCCCAGCCCTCAATACTGTTTTTCTTATGACATCAACCACTACATCATTAGTGGATGAGTAGATGATGGTCATATCAAAGTCAATCTCATTGATAAGAAATTTAGAATTTCTTCTAACAACAGTGTTATGACAAATTCACAACATCAGTTCAATAGAAAAGGATCTTAAGATTGTGAAATTGAATTTATAGGCTCTCAAAAATATTTGCTGAACTACATTAACATTGGAGGAGTTCTAGACTATTGAGTATGTCTTCCCAGCATTACATTCTTCTGTCACACATTAACCAGGGACTTGCATTGTATCAGTGGACTCTTTGGGACACTTATCTACCTAAACCTTTTTGTGCGCTACAGCATACTGCCTTGCTCTTCTCTATTTATTGACAGGCAAAATCAGGGGCCATCCAAGAAGTGAAAGTCAAAAAAGTTTCACAAGAATTTTCTATAAATTATTATAATTAAAAATATGTCAACTCAGTCTTTTAATGTGGTTGCGTTAATTGTGTGTATTTTGCTTGTATTACATGAGAGAAGTTTAGAATTTTAATGTAAGTAGTTAAACATAATCTTCCAAAGAGAACAATGTAATTCAGGGAAAATTAATTCAGCTTTTACATGAATGAAAGGTTAACAAAGCAAGCTAAACACCACTCGCCACAAGATGTAATTTGTAAATTCTGGACTCCAATAATTACACAAGTCTTCATGTCATAAGAGCATTTTCATTCATTTTTACATTTTTTCCATACATTAAACTATCTTCTAGGGATTTGGGAATGAGGACATTGCAAGTGTTGAAAATAAATAAATCATTGTTAAATACCCAGTTATTTGATTTACCATTTCTTTCATGGCAGAATATACATAGTTTACTTTGCCCATGCATGGAATTCATTTAATTTAACAGCACAATAAACATTTATAAAAACATTAATATTTGATTACAAAGTTATATTGTTATTGTAATGTCATTTCTTTTCAAAATATATTGGCTTTATCATCTCCTGGAATTACCATTTTGAGAAAAAAAAGTAAATTTCCTGCATATGTTCTAATACAGAAGGCAGGTATCAGTCATACTTAAAGTTTTAGTGATAAAGTTAAAAAAAAAAGAAAAACCTATCATTACTTAGAGCTTCAGAACAGTTAATGTACTTTTATATCAACAGAATGTGCATCAATTCAGTTAAACGTTGATTTCAGTCATTGAATTCAAGTCAGTCAAGCCAGTTGCTTGTATAGCCTGAAGTGATTTTAAGTGACTTGACTAATAAACTCTACCAACTTCTATATTGTAGCTTTAATGAATTTTGAAAATGATGTTTAAAATAAAATGCTTTACATTATATTTTATCCATTTATAATATATTTGCTTTCCACATATGTTAAAAGATGTGCCATAATTAATCAGAATTATTGGGAAAGTAGTCTTTCCCAAGGAAATATCTACTTAGTTCAAGACTCACCAGCAAAGATTTTTTTTGTTTCAAATTATATTGTGAAAAGATTCTTCCAATTCATTCATTTACTCAAAAAAATTCCTGTTAAGCATACGTTATGTTCCAGGCACTGGTTCGGGCACTTAGGATACACTGGGAAGTAAAAGAGGCAACAGTCCCTGTCCTGGGGAAGCTGCCACTTTCCAGAGAAAGACAATAAACATAAGAAATCAGTAAATTATATATATTTTTAGAAGGTGATATGTACTAGGTCAAAAAAACCATTAGGCATGGTTAATGGGAATCAGCCATGCTGAGGGTGTATAAATGATGATTGCCACATGGAATATCGTCACCAGGGTAAGCCTCATTGAGATGGTGCCATTTGAGTGAAGTTCTTTAGGAGGTGAAGAGGCAAGCTCTGTGGGTGGATATCTAGGGGAAGAAGGTTGTAGCAAAGGGAAAGGCAAGGCCAAGACCATCAAGTAGATATGTGCAAGGATTCAGTGTGAATAGGCATGTTTTCTTGCATATAATAGACAACATGAAGCTGCGGTTTAATGACCAAGAGTTCTAGAAGGCTTCAAGACAATTTTAAAAAGAATGTCCAGGCTACATATTTGAAAGATCAAAGAGGTGGGTTTGAATTTACACTGACTCTGACAGATATCCTGTTGGCCCATCTTATAAATAAATAACCTAATACTATTTTGTCATATATTATATATATATACAGTCTAAGGATAAAATTATGTGGTAAATTTATTCTAGATAGTCAGATTCTGGTTCTGTTTTAAACTGCTGAGTATGATTAGTTGGATTCTTGTAAACTGAGATTTTACTGCATTATAATGTTTAGAATGTGCTTTTCAAGACCTATTTTCCTAAAAATGATTCTATAGGATTATTGGTGAAACTAAAAATAAATTGCAATCACATTTTGCCTTGACCATTCTGTAGAATCTAAGCCAGTTAATCCAACAAAATTTAGTTTTTAGCTAACACTTATGTTTTAATCATTTAAAGTATAATTATTATGAGTACCTACTATATACTTAGCACATACTGAAAATTTTAAGGAATCCTTAAAATAATTTGACACAACTTTTGCCCTCAAGGTGACTAGACTGGCATTTGTGAAATAAAAATGGAGCAAAATGACATCTTTAAAAGAGTAGAGCGTGAACAAATGCTGTCAACATTTATAGGAGGGAGATGATTGAAAAATATATCTTGGCAGAGAAGCTTCTTGGAAGAGAGACAAGTTGAACTGGATATGAAATTAATTGGGAGGTTGCATTATATTCATTACACTCATCTACTTTCGTATAAATTAGTGGGCCAGAGACTGTGGTAGCCAGCCTTCAAGATGGTCCCCAGCAATCTCTGCTTCCTGGTAGTCACACCCTTCTGTAGTACCTTTCCACATTGTACCAGGGTTGGTGTGTGTGACCAATAGAATACAATGGAAATGATGGTGTGTCACTTGTGAGATGAGGTTATAAAGGCCACTATAGCTTTTCTCTCCTCCACCTCTCAATGTCTCTCTCTGATTGCTGGTTCAAGCTAACAGTCACATGTGTGAACCACCTTGAAAGCTGAACCTCCAGCCTCAGTCAAGCCTTCAGATGATTCCAGCTCTGGTCATCAAATGGACTGCGATCTCAGGCAGGATCTCATGCCAGAGCTACCCAGCTAGGCTTCTCCTGAATAACTGATCCCCTCAAACTGCATGATTTAAATGGCTTTTTGTTTTGTTTTGTACTAAGTTTGGGATAGTTTTTTTACATAGCCATAGATAACTAATATTGGAGCAAGTAGCGCTTTGACTGTAACAGTTGTATCTGGCTATAAAACAAAACTGTTCAGAAACATTGGATTCTCCTCCTCCTATACCTCTTAAGGCACAAGAAGAATTTAAGTAGTAACAAGAGAGACACTCTTTTGGCTGCTAAGATGTGTAGTGAAGCAAACACAATTGCAGTCCACCTAAGCCAGGATGATAGTTAACATCTGTGGGAAACTCTTTTAAAACAATGCAGATAATTGAGCAAAACTGAAGCCCATTCAAGGCTCTTGAAGTTCCCATATACATTTCCAGATCAACACCACCAATAAAGCAGTAACACCTCAATAATAACTACCATTTATTTAAAAGGTAGTATGTGCTAGGCACTTCATGCAATACTATACAAATAATACACTATCTTATTTCATCTTCCAATACTTCTATGAAGTAAGTGCTAGTGCTGTCACTATATATGTGAATGAGGCAAATAAGATTTAGTGCAGTGTCTCTCAAACTGAAATGAGATTAAGAATCATCTAGGGGGCTTATTTACAATGCAGAACAAAATGTAGCAGATCTGAGATTTTGGGATTTTTAACAAGCTTCTGAATCCTGCCGATGCTGCTGGTCGAAGAACCAGATTTTTGAGAAGTGAGTGGTTCGAGGTTATACAATTTGCCCGGAGTTCAAAATAGTAACCATTTATTGAGGGTCAGCCTTGTTCCAGTACCTTATATATATTTCTCTTCTAAATCTCTGTGAAAATGGAGATGTTATTGTCTCCACTTTGTGAATTATAAAACTGAGGGTCACAGAGAATAAAAATATTTTAAAATAAATTTAAAATAATTTTCCCAAAGGTAACAGTCATTTAATAAGTAAGTAAACTTGAATCCAAGTCTTTATAACTGCAAATCTCACATTTTTCTACCATGTCACATATAGGAAAAACAATTGAGTACCAAGAAAGATGTTTGTTGAGAAAAATAGACATAATGTAAAAATAATAGTAATAACGATAAAGTCAGGATGATACTTAGGCTCAAACATACTTCTACACAGCAATGATGCCTCAAAGACTTACTTTGATCAAATATTTTGGCGATTGCCTTTCCCTGTTCTTATTTCTAGGTATTATGGGATTTAGAGTGGGATGGGGGATGGGCATCAAGAATTTTCCTCAAAATTACAAACAAAAACAAAAAAAACCCCAAACTGATCATTTGCATGGGGAATGCCAGCTGGGGAGAAGGGAACATATGCTTATATTCAGGAAAAGTTTCACAGGATGTAAAAAGAAACCATCTGCTTTTTCTTTTTGTTCTTGTTTAAGAACAGCTTGTGTTTGCAACTCACAACTTAAAACATGGTAATAACCTACAGGACTTTGTGAAGCATGAACTGTACCAGTTTTTTTTTTTTTTTTTCTCATTTTTCCTGCTTATTTTTTTCACTTGATGTTTGCAGAAAGCAGACTGCAAAGAAGATATTTGCATGTTGCAACTTGGATAATAAAATTCTTCTGATCGCAGCCTGAGTCTGCTTCTTTTGGGTTTTCTGGGCACTCCAGGATCCTGCAATGAAATCCAGCCAATGTGAATCAAACGTAATTCTCAGCTTAGCTATAAGAAACACCTCAGGCTAAGACTGTGCCTCGGTGCACCTCCTGCTCAACCTGTGCAGAAAAGCACTTCTGTGACCCTGCTTTATCTGCACAGCACCTGGTAGGGACTTGGAAATTGTTTTTGAAGGAAGAAAAAAGCAGTTTCATATGTTTACTCTTCTCATTAGCATTCATCTCTGTGGCTTTGATGTGTGCCTTCTTTCACTGCTGAAGTTTTCTTAATGTTTCAGACATCACCACTTCTTAAGTGCCAACTAGTACATACATCTACCATTCCTAAGAGATGGAAGGCAACACTTCCCAGTGGAAAGTGCCTTAATGACCTTATTGGGTAAGCAATTAAACACTGCAAACAATGAGTAAGATGAACTAGACTGGGTGAGAATCTTGGCTCCTCCACTTACCAGTTCTATGGCCTCAGGGAAGTTACTAAACGCTTCTCGATCTCAGTATTCTCATCTGCACTGAGGGAATAATAATAATACCCACCTGGGATCTTTATGAAGGTTCAGCAAGTTTATGAGAAAGTGCTCAGTCAAGGTAGTATCTTTGAGCACAGCAAGCTCTTGTGGGATAAACCAAGACATGTGGGAGGAAATTTCCTAAATTTAATAACAACATGTTTTCCTGCAAAGTAAAACACCCTGCATATACATACACAGTGATGTTATGTACATAAATGTATAAATATATGCATATCTTCTCTGGATATATGTACACATATGTATATATGTATATATGTACACATGTATATATGTATATATGTGTATATATGTATATGTGTGTGTATATATATATATTAGACATACAATTTATTAAACGCTTCTCAAATGGGAATTGTAAAGTCTGCCCCTGAGTTTCTCAGCATTTGCCCTACTGACGTTTAGGTCTAGATTAATCTTTATCCAGGGGGCGTCCTGTGCATTGGAGGATGTTTTGCAACAACTCTGGCCTCTTACCCATTCAATGCCAACTGTATATTCTTTCCATTTTGATAACCAAAAGTGTCTCCAGATAGTGTCAAATGTCCCTTGGAAGTTAAATTAGCCTTGGTTACTGCCAATCTAATTGATACTGCCCATCTTTAAAATCTCCAGGATTTTTTTTTTTTTGAGATGGAGTTTTGCCCTTGTCACCCGGGTTGGCATGCAGTGGCGCGATCTCAGCTCGCTGCAACCTCCGCCTTCCAGGTTCAAGTGATTCTCCTGCCTCAGCCTCCTCAGTAGCTGGGATTACATGTGCCCACCACTATGTCCAGATACTTCTTGTGTATTTAGTAGACACAGGGTTTCACCATGTTGGCCAGGTTGGTTTCGAACTCCTGACCTCAGGTGATCCACCTGCTTCAGCCTCCCGAAGTGCTGGGATTATAGGCATGAGCCACACCTGGCCAGGATCTGTTATTCTGAGTTTTGATGAGAAGAACCCAAAGAATACACAGGTATGTTCAGATATGACACTGGAAAAAATGTCTGCTTTTCTGATTTCTACATAAGCTTCAAGGAACAAATTCAAACTTCACTCTTCATATATATGACCAGTAATGCAGATGTGCTAAGTTTATTAGAAAGGAATCATTGCAAACTCATTAAGCAGTCAATTTTCTGTCTCTTTGTATGAACCTCCTTTGAATTAAGATATTATCTTCTTAATAGGTGGTGGACAGAATAGCTCAAAAGTGTACACCAGACTAGTGGATTGTCTTTAGAATTGGAAAATTACAGAAAAAAACAAGGATTAACATTATTTTTGGAGCGATTTTAAAATATTTAATGTTTTAATATTGCATGTTGGAGGTGGCAGCAAAGTTTTTATCAGTTTGTAGATATCAGTGCAATATTCATTAGCTTTTCTAAAGGTTATTTTAAAATTAATTATCTTACGTATTTCTTGTCTTCTGCTAGCTTTTCCATTTGTTTGCTCTTGCTTCTCTAGTTCTTTTAATTGTGATGTTAGGGTGTCGATTTTAGATCTTTTCTGCTTTCTCTTGTGGGCAGTTAGTGCTATAAACTTCCCTTTAGACACTGCTTTAAATGTGTCTCCGAGATTCTGGTATGTGGTGTCTTTGTTCTCATTGGTTTCAAAGAACTTATTTATTTCTGCCTTCATTTCGTTGTTTACCCAGTAGTCATTCAGGAGCAGGTTGTTCAGTTTCCATGTAGTTACGCGGTTTTGAGGGAGTTTCTTAATCCTGAGTTCTAATTTGATTGCACTGTTGTCATAGTGGCACGTGAAAAAAAAAAAATATCAAGCTCCCATTAAGTTTTTTTTTTTTAGTCACTTCTATTTATGTCTTTCTAAGTAGTGTAACTAGTGGACTTTTCTGTCAATGCAAAGTTTTATTTTATTTTGTTAATATGCAAATGAGTCATGTTATACAATGTGAATAATAAACACAGTTGTGGTCAAAATATTATGGTATTATCATACTTTGACTTAATCTCTCAGTTTCAGAAACAGTCATGATAGACGAAATGTCAAGCAAGAAATACCAACAGAGACATAGCTAGGCTTGGAAACAGAATGAACATCTCATGCTGAGCTCCTGGTCTGGATGCAGGCAGCCCTGGCTGGGAGGACAGTGCCTGCAGGTAATCAGGTTAAAAATATGAAGGTAGGAAAACAGAGGCATGCTTATGGCTTAGAGGACAGAGTTGGGATGGGACTGCTCTGTAAACCCACTAGAAGAAACTCTGCAGATTGTTGCCAGGCTTATGATTTCAGAAAGCTGAAGACCTAGGGAAATATGAGACTGCAGTCTTAGCCTTGAAACCAAGTCTCAAATGAAATCACCCGATTCAGTGGCTGGATATGGGGTGTCCTCTTTGTCTCTACAAAATTGGAATCTCAAATTGCCATTAAAAGGCCAATGCCAGATAGGAGACTCAGAGGGCTGGTGGAGGCATAAACAAAAGTAGTGTGTGTATGTGTGTGTACATGTGTGTGATCACCAAGGGAAAGTGAAAAATAAGTAATTCATTCCACTCAAAGTTTTCGTATGTATGTGCAGTAAGTGCAGATGTGCTATGTTAGAATGGTTTGTGAATAAAGCACAGGAAATTAATGCCAAGGAGGCTGCAAAATAAGCAATTAGAACCATTAGACCAACCCATCTGGAAAAACTTAACCTAAGACAACAACTATTCTTTGAATGTGGACACGTGTCAGGCACTGTTCAGGATGCCTTGCGCAGATGAAGCTTTTTGTCTTAGGTATGTTTAAGAAACTCAAAGACTTATCTGCGGAAACTGTGTCCATGAGGAAGAATAAGAGAGTATAAAATAAGATGCAATGAAACAGGAAATGCGGAAATGTTGACATTAGAAGCATAACCCTTCAAATGAGGCATGCGGTGAATGGCCAAATTCTAGAATGGACATTGTCAAAAAGAGAATTAGTATTGCCGATATTACTGAGAATTCACCATCATATATGACAAAGAGGTTTAAGACTATGAAAAACCAGTTAGGTGTTATGAAGACTGAGAGATTCCGACACACGTATGTTGAAGGGTAATATTAATAAAAAAGATACAAATCGTAATTCTCATACAGATGAAAAATGAACACATTAAAGATTTTATTTATTTATTTATTTATTTATTTATTTATTTGAAATGGAGTCTCACTCTGTTGCCCAGGCTGGAGTGCAGTGGTACAATCTCGGCTCACTGCAACCTCTGCTTCCTGGGTTCAAGCCTCTCTTTCGCATGCTACCATGACCACATTGCGATCAAATTACAACTTCCCGGGTTCAAGATTCTCCTGTCTCGGCCTGCTGAGTAGCTGGGAATACAGGCATGCGTCATGATGCCCGACTAATTTTTTGTTGTATTTTTAGTAGAGATGGGGTTTCACCATGTTGGCCAGGCTGGTCTTGAACTCCTGACCTCATGTGATCCTCCTGCCTCAACCTCCCAAAGTGCTGGTATTACAGTCTTGAACCACCATGCCTGGCCTGATTTAGCCTGTTATTAATTAGGGAATCTGTAAAATGTTACAACTGGTTTGAATAAGTTAAAGACAAATTTGTATAGAACAAAGATATTAAAATGAACTTACAAATACGTGACATGAAACAGGCTTTTTCTTTGTGAGATTGAGGGCCAAGTGAACTAAGTCTCCATGGGTCAGAATTGTCATGTCCAAGGACAAGAATTTGTTTGCATTGCTTTCAGTTATCCACGACTGAGAGAGTTGTAAAGCAGGGCAATGGCAATGGAAGGCCAGACTCAGGTGACCCAGAATGTGCCAAGCGAACGGCTGGCAAAGTATAGAAATGGGCCAAGTTGAGTCTGCTGCCTGTTTTTGTAAGTAAAGTGTCATGTGTTGTTGGAACACAGCCACATGTTTGCATGCCGTCACTGTCCACTTTCACACTACAATGTAGAGTTGAATACCTGCAACATGAAGCCTAACCCATGAAGCCTAAAACAGGATTTACTAGCTGGTCTTTATGGGACATGGATGCTCACATGGTTGTCTAAATAATGCCCTTTTTTCCATTGAGCCTCAACATTTTCTCCATGTGAATAATACAGTTCTAGAAAATTGAGAGAATGGTAAGGAAGTAATATTTAAAGAGAATAATTGACTTTTTTTTCTAGGATTGAAGCAAGATGTGAGCCTTTAAACCAATATTTTACTGTGAGTACAAGCAGATCCATAAAATTAGATTTTTCACAGATACATCATAGAAAAAACGCAGAACATTAAGAGACGCAGGGAAAAGAATTAAGAGAAGGACAAGTGATATATGAAAAAATAGTAAAAAGATGGATAGAGAATGAATTCTAAATTAGAAATGGGAAATGTTTTGCATGTATGATCTCATATAACTTTATAATTATTCTAGGAGCAGGTACTAATTTTGCTACCCATCTTTACCAATGAAGAAGTTGAGATCAAAGTCACAGAGCTAGTAAGTGGTACAGCTATAATTTGAACCCAGGTCTTCTGGCTCTGGAAACACTGAGATTTGACCAATCTGTTTTACTATCTTGTTATAATAAAGGAACAGATTTTCTTAACGGTAACATATGATCCTCAATTGGAATATACAGGGTGAGAAGTTGTTCACTGGCTGATCAGATTATGAGACCTTGGCAGTCAAGAAACAGCACGTGCAAAGACTTCTGGCAGTGGGGAGGCTGCCACAGATTCCAGAATTGGAAGAATCAGTATAGCTGGAAAGTAGAAGGGGCGGGAGCTCTGAGAGATGGGGTTGAAGAGCAGGTGAGGTTGTGCAAGTTGTGTGGCATTTCATGTTGTTCTAAGAGCAACGAGACAATATTGAAGTTTTGAAACAAAGAGAGGGCAGGTGGCTTGTTCTGATTTGCAATTTCAAAAGACACTTTGGGCTGCAGTGGAAAGAATGGATTGGAGCTTGGCCAAAATGGAAGTAGGAAGACCAATTAAAAAGCTGCCGATACATAACAGCCAAGATTATTACACGCCCAGAGGGAACTGCTAACCAAATCATAAAAAGAATTTGTGGTATTGAAACTGAAAGTGGAGGGGTACAGGACATGGGTGAGATTATTTCCACATGGAATCTTGGTTCTTTTCCCTGGCTTGTCCTTTCATTTATTTTCTTTGATATTTGGCCTTATTAGCAGATGGAATAAACTTCTATTGTTCTGAGTGCCTGAATTCCCAAGGCAGTTGAACATGATGCTGTGATTGGTTCTCTTTTTGTTTTTTATGCTTGTGTGCTTTGTGCTTCTTATGTCTAGTAGAGCACTTTTCACATTGAATTCTAATTTTCAGATTACCTCTGCCTTCCCAACTAAAGGCAAATGCTAAGAGAATGAAGACCTTGTCTAACTTACCTTTGCATCCTTACTGCCTAAAAGTGCCAACCAAAAATAGTCATTCAATACAAGTTGTTGAATAAATGAATGAGATTCAATTATGCAAAACAGATTTTCTTCTGCCAGTTTTAGCTGCTCTCTTCATTTACATATTTCCAGATTCATGCTAATTCCCAGGTGCCTTAGGGATTAAAAACCATCTGTAATAACTCTATCGTTCATTTAAACCTATGAATGTTTTTTTACACAGAGTATATAGGCCATTATGAATGTTTTGAATAACACTTACAAATGCACTTGAATTCTGCTTCAGATATCACTATTTCAATGACCAGTTAATAACTGTAACCCACAGTATCTCATACTGTGAACTCTTGAAACATGAGTTATTCCTTTCCATTTTCCCCCATGATTTGCTATTTGTGTGACTTGGTCAATACCTCTCTGAGCCTCAATTCTCTCATGTGTACAACAGAGATAATATTTATCCATTTTGACCCATTTTAAATGAATTAATGAGATAATATGAAGTATACTCACCACATAGTAGGTACAAAAGTATTAAATTCTGTCCACTTTTTTTCATGCTTTTACCTTTTGGTGGTTTCTCTTTCATCCTCTGTGTCCCTATATTTCTGTGGATAACCTAACTGGCTAGGCCTTTTTTTAAAATTCTCTTACTTAAATTACTGAATCTCTTCCAATATTCACTCATATTTTCCTTTTCCTCCATCTAGATAAAGTGAAATGAGAAAGCCTTCACTCCATACATCATAGAAATTTTGATTTCAAAATACCCAAAAATGTTCCCTTGAGGTGGAGCAATTCACGTTTCCCTAATTTTTCTAATTCATCCATCGTTACCTCTTTTCTCTATTGCATGAAAATCTGCAGATGGTATGAAACTCCCTCCTTCCCCATCCTAGTCTATCAGCTGTACTGTTATCCATGGAAACTGGGCAGTACCAGCTTTGTGGAGAGCCGGAAACAATAAAGGCTTTCATTCCAGGCATTGCTTTGTAGGGTTGGCATTTCCGAATTTAGGATCAGCAGATGTATTCATTATTCCCTCATCATTCCTCCCTCGTTCCACTGGCTCTGGACTTTGTTTAATCGTCCAGCTTGCCTGAGCCTCCACTCTCCCATTGTGATTTTAATAGGCTATTATTTTGAGACCTAGGTGAGAATTTCTTACATTCAAATTCTCAGCAGCAATTTCGCCCAACTTTGTTGCTTTCAGTTGTCAGATTAAGCCCCTTTTGAGATAAACACTTTAATACACAAATTTCTTTTGCCTGGGTAGTAAGTGGAAATGAATGCATTAGCAGCCCTTGCCTTTGTTCACAAGTTTCAAACATCTGGTTTGGTGCATTATCTAGCTTTGTTCTCACAGTGTCCTATTAAGGAGTTGGAAGGGCTCTCGCCCCCTAAGTTAGAATTTGCGTGTCTTTTTGTTCTGAATTCTTCTGGAATTTGTGTTTTTACGAACATTATCTCATAGACTTAGACAAGACAGAGGAGAAGGAACACTTTGTACTTCTGATCAACACAAACACAGGATCAAGAAGACACTCTGCCAAATTTGCTAATTGAAATTGAAGGGCTTCTCAAACATTAATG
The DNA here is from genome assembly GCF_000001405.40 of Homo sapiens. Taxonomy (NCBI): domain Eukaryota; kingdom Metazoa; phylum Chordata; class Mammalia; order Primates; family Hominidae; genus Homo; species Homo sapiens. The sequence goes on along the minus strand of NC_000020.11, from coordinate 55,648,840 downwards.
TATCTATGAATCACTTAGAGATCCTGTTAAAATGCAGTTTCTGATTCAGTAGGTCTGGGGCCTCAGATTCTCTCTGTCTAACTCATTTCTAAGAAGCTCCTGATGATGTCAATGCTGCTGGCTATTTTTCTTTCTCAGCTGTAAAGAATTCTCCCTAGCTCCACTCTCTGCCTTCTGCAATTTTCACCACTCATATACCACCCAGGTGATTCTGATAGGCAACCAGCTTTGAGAACTATATTAATTTCCTGTGGCTGCCATAAGAAATCACCATAAACCAGTTGCCTTATAAGAACAGAAATTTATTGTCTAACAGTTCTGAAGGCCAGAAATTTGAAAGTAAGGTTTTAGCAGGACTGTGCTCTCTCCAAAAGATCTAAGAACAATTCTGTTTCTTGCCTCTTCCAGCTTCTTGTGGTTGTCAGCATTCCTTGGCTTGTGGTTGCATTACTTTAATCTCTGTCTCTGTCTTGACATGGCCTACTTCTCCCCTCCATGTCTCTCCTCTGTATGCCTCTTTTAATGACACGTGTCATTGGATTTAGGGCCAACCCAGATTTTTCAGGATGATCTCATCACTATATTCTTAATTACATCAGCAATAACCCTTTTTCCAATAAAGGTCATATTAACGCATTCTAAAGGTTAGGACATAGATATATCTTGGGGAGTAGGGGAACCATTCAGCCCACTGCAGGAACCATGTGGCTATAAGACCTTCACAATGCCACATTTGAACCAGAGATCCTATAATTCTAATGAAAACTTGCTTAGTTTTAATAGCACTATTAATGTAGAATGAGGATGTTTTTGCTCCCTTAGGTATCAGTATCCTGTGAATGTCTGTAGAGGACAAGTGGAGACTGGAGAGGACTAGAATATATCAATAGTAGCATTAAATTCAAAGAGCAAAGTATGTAGAGGAGGAAGGTGGAAGTGAGACTAAAAGGCAGTAGAAGCCAAGACAACCCCCCAAAAAACTGAGTATATGCCTTCCATCCTGTGTGAACCTGAATCTCTGTCAGTACTTCTTGAACTTTCAAGGGCACATGAAATGCCTGGGTATCTTGTCTGAGATGGAGTCTGGGATTCTGCAGGTCTAATAATCTCCCAGGCAATGTTGACACAGCTCATTCATGGACCACACTGTGTGTTGCAAGGGCTTAGGCTAGGTATAGGTAACAAGCAAGTATAAAAGTCATTAATTGCATTAAGTATGCATTGCTAAGGAGCAAAACCATTGTGTCCGTAAGAAACTAGAGAGGGTGTGTGTCTCCTCTTTAGCCGTGTTACAGGATTCAAGTCTAGTGTTGCCAGTCTTCTTACTCTTCAAAAGAATTTGTATTTTTATATAAAATCTTCATATTTGTTAGTGTTGGCAACCAAGTCACAAAATTATAAAACACTAGTGAGTCAGATAAATAATATATATGTGTGTGAGTGTATATATATAGATACGATTTTCATTGTTTAACCTCCTATGTGACCCATCTGTAAATTATCAGATCTGTGACTCCCTTTGTATGAAATAATTATGAGAACATTGACAGTGATAAAATGAAGAAAAAAAGACCAACAATTTAATGTTAGGTGTTAAACTAGCTTGTATTCTATTTTACACAGCACTCCAAATGGGTAGCTGTTCATAATATACCACGTCAAGAAGGAAATGAGACATTCCAAGGGCTATTAACTACTCCACCAGAGATCTTGGAAGATCACTGCAGTTTTATTTAGTGTCGATGTTTATTTAATTCTGGTGCAGAAGGGCAAATTCACCATGCTCAATGGCCCTCAAAGTCACACTGGTTTAATGAGTGTGGATTAATGAACCATCGACAGTAGGCTATGGCATTACCTTATAAAACAAATGGTGACAGGAGAGAGGACAGCCTGGAGTCGTTGATTTTTAATATATTATGCATATAAAGAATTTGTTAGTAGGACTTGGAGTTACCATGGTTTTATCAGCTTATTAGTTTGATAGGACAAGGTTAAGCTAGTCATGGTAATTAACATCTCCCATCTCTCTGTGGTCACGATCTGTGAGTTTAGGTTAATGCATCCTACTCTGTTGAATCCTCTGAACAATGCTAGATAATCCGTACATCACTAAATGGTATAGTTTAGGCATCTTGAAAGAACATTGCTATCCTTTCGCAAATGTAATCTTGATCTTGAGAGCAGAAAAGCTACAAACACTCATGTAAATGCAATGTCCAGAGGGATGTATAATGAACAGTTGCTCAAAGTGCAAGAAATAGATCAACCATGTTTGTAACTCTCCATGCTAAAGTTAGAGAGCCATAGCACCACATTTTACTGGTATGGAGTAAAGAGAATATGATTTAATAGGCAAAAGAGTCAGCGCCATAATACAGCCAGATATTTCATCATAAAGCTTATTATATAAAGTTTGGAGCCATTTAAAATGTTCCTTAAAAATCTTGAAAAACTACCCCACCCAAAACAAAGAGAATGTTTGTTCTCTGTAGAGCTCAGAGGTGATCCAGCTTCTGAATCTATGGCTGAATTGAGGCTTTTGTGAACTTTACAAGGATATTAGAGTGAGAGGTTGAAATAAGTAAAATGATTTCGACTTTAAGAAAAAATTCCCATTTGGTTGTTTTCAGAATTTTTTTTTCTTTAAGCAGGTTATAAGTTAAATCTTACAAACAAATCTTGTATATAATCTGCAAAATTTAATATTAAAAATAATACAAGTAGGAAAAGGCTGCCAATTTACATAATTCTGTTTACCTGGGCAGCTTTCTCTGAGTTGCCGGTGTTAAAGTCTTGCTAGCTCCACTTGATTGGTAGTGACTTACTGGAACTCTGATTTCAGAGAGATTCTGTAGCTGATCATCCACTGGAAAAGAGTGCCATGATTGACTAACAATGTCTTCCTTGGGTATGGGAGGGAGTGGAGGTAACATGTGTGCCATATATTTGCTGCAGATGCTTTGTATTAATACTTAAAGAGATTATTTTACTTGACACTTTATAAAGAAAATTAGAAGGATTGATTGAGAATCCTAAAACCCTCTCTACTTAAGGAGAATTAAATGTAATTTATTAGACAAATGACAATATGTATGATGTATACATAAACCAAGTGAAAAATAATAATACTGATTCTTCACATTGGTAATGGGTAAATCTCAGATCCTTGCAAATCTCTAAGGGGAAAATCCCATAGGAACAGTTCATGAGAGTTACCACATAGCAATAGCAGTAAGTAAGTGGAATGGGCTTGGATGTGAGGATGCTGAGTAGTTGACCTGGACCATCATAGCTAAGTGCTCTTGCATAGCAGTGATCATTATATAAATATGGGCCTCTGAAAACCAGTGATCATGACATAAATATGGGCCTCTGAAAACCTGACAGCTTACTGCAGGTTATGAAACTTTGGCATCACTCCTTGTGGTAGGCAGAATGACCCCCAATATGTCCACACCCTAAGCACTGAGCGCCTGTGAATATGTTATGTTACATGTCAAAAATTACTGCAGATTTTGAGGTTCTGAACCTTAAAAGGGGAGATGGTCCTGGATTATCTGGGTGGGCTCCATCTAATCACATGAGCCCTTAAAAGCAGAGAACTTTTTCCAGTTAGATGGCAGAAGAAGTCAGAAAGACTTGAAAAGTGAGAGAAACTCCACCTGCCACAGCATGAGAGGAAGTGTGCACCCTCAGGTGTAACTGTGGGACTTTAGCTGACAGGAAAGGAGTATGGACCTCCGTCCCACAAGCACAAGGAACTGAATGCAGCCAACAGCCAGAATAAGTCTGAAAGTGGAATCTTCTTCAGTGCCTGGCCCAGAATGGCCAACACCTTGCCCTTGTGAAACCTAAGCAGTGGGCCTGGCTGAGCCATTCTGTGCTCAGACTTCTGACCCACGAAACTAGAAATAATAAATACATGTTGTTTTAAGCTGCCTAGTTTGTAGTAATTTGTTAATATACTTTCAAACAGTTGAAACTAATATGTTAAGACTTTGAATGACAAAGGTCTTATATTAGAGCCAATGATGTCTATAAAAGATAAGCTCTAGCCAGGCGTGGTGGCTCACACCTGTAATCCCAGCACTTTGGGAGGCCAAGACAGGCGGATCACCTGAGGTTGAGAGTTGAGACCAGCCTGACCAACATGGAGAAACCCCCATCTCTACTAAAAATACAAAATCAGCTGGGTGTGATGGCACATGCCTGTAATCCCAGCTACTCAAGAGGTTGAGGCAGGAGAATCACTTGAACCCGGGAGGTGGAGGTTGCAGTGAGCTAAGATGGCACCATTGCACTCCAGCCTGGGCAACAAGAGTGAAACTGTGTCTCTCTCTCTGTATACATATACATATATATATATGTATATATATGTGTATATATATATGTATATATGTATATGTGTGTGTGTGTGTGTGTATATATATATATATATATATATATATATATATGCTCTAAATCTTAGTGGCTTAACATAATGTATTTCATCACTTAATGTATTTCATCACTAATGCTATAGACAAGTGCAGGTCATTAGGCTTTCCTGGATGTTTTTCCCTCAAAGGGTAAAAACATCTCTACCTCTTGGAATTCCTAGTTGCTACAGAGGAGAAAAAGAGTGTGACCAGACATAAGGGGACATTTAAGACTAGGCCTGTAATGGTGAATATCACTTCCATTAATATCTCATTGTCTAGAATCAAGTCACATGACTCCAGCTTAACTGCATGGGAGAATTGGAAATTTAGCTTTTGTGTGTGTACAGGAAGAAGATATGCAACTGGGGAGTATTGGGCCAACTGCTGTCACAGATATATTCTTTATAGAGTTTGATTCTTCATGAACTAGTAATCTTCCATTACTTAGGAAGGATTGCTGTATTTGAACAAGGGATTTGTTTTTCTTATGGTTTGTGGGAAGTCATATATTTTCTGGCACTCTGATCACTTGTTATTTGCTAATTCTTGAAAATGTTGCAGGATATCCCATATCCTCTGCTGTCCTATCCATGTTAGGATTGCAGCATTGGTTACTGTGAGCTCTATTCTGACTGAAGAGCATTCTTGGTTTGACTGCCATTGCTTCATATAGCATTTATTTCATTATTTTAAAATGTCAGCCTTCATGGGGTTTAGACTTCTCTTTTCGCTTTTTGTCTCTGACTTTGTGCTATGATAGTGATGGGGAGGGCTTGTGAAGCTAGCACTCCCTTTAACCCTGCACTTACCTCTCCCCTGATTTTGATGTGCTAAGAACAGATTGATGGGACACGAAGTGGCACCTGACACTGCGGAGAAGTTATTGCTTCTGTGGCGATTCCCCTGCCACGGGTTTTCTTCTCTCTACCTTCCTGGTCCTGACGTAATTGCCTGGGCTGTTTGTATTTAACCCTTTATGCTTTTAAAGGATAGTCTACAATAATACCAGAGGACCTGGTTGTCTTATCTCATCTGTCCCTGAGTTTTTAGTAATTTAGTAGACTTAGCATATGTATTGGCTTGTATCGGGTTTCTCAACCTCAGCACGAATGCTATTTGGGGCTGAATAAGTATTTGTTGTGTATTTATGTATGTGTGAATGTGTGAGTTGGGGGGATGACATCGTAGGATAGATAGCAGCATCCCTGGAGTCTGCCTACTAAATGTCTGTATCATTTTTGAGTCTTGACTCTTGGAAATCTCCAGGCATTTCCAAGTGTCCCCTGGGGAACCAATCACCCCAAGTTGAGAACCACTGGTCCATGATGAAGCTACCAGCCCTGATGGGTTTATTTCACTCATCTGTGGACCATGGTTTTGAGTAGAGCACCAATTCCCTCTTCAAGTGAGTCCACAGACAGCAAACAAAAAATTCCAGTGTAGGTCAATTTCATGATGAGGGAAAAATATCCGTGCTCTTCTAGAGGAAGTCTTACATGTAGCCAGCAGACTGGGACCCAGTGAAGTCTTCAAGTTTGAAAGCCTAATTAGATAAGTAAATTCAGCTGGAGGATTTGTAGTTGTTAGTGACCGCTTCCAAATCTGTTGTACTCAAAGCCCAAAATGAACTTGAGCACACAAAGCCTTATCCTGCCCAAAGGACTGAGTTCTGAGAGGCTGGATGTGGCATTTCTCCTTCTGTGCTGCATCCTAAAGTAAGATCCTCACACTTCTTATACACAACATGATGTTAGGGGCACATTTTTAAATCTTTAAATTTCATTGGCTGTTTGCTTTCAGAATATATGGTGGAGGGATGGATACAATCAGCACTCCAAACTCATAGTATCAAAGCCTCTTTACAATAGATGTATATAAAAAGTGAGCTGATTTAATGAAAATAATAGGACAGAATATATTCATATGTACTAGTTTCCTATCTCTGCTGTAACAAATTACCGCACATTTAAGTAGCTTAAAACAACACAAATTTGTTGTCTTGAAATTCCAAGGTCAGAAGTCCAAAATGGGTCTTAGGGGCTAAAATTAGGGTGGCTCTGGGGAGAATCGACGTCCTTGCCTTTCCAGCTTCTAAAGGCAGATGGCGTTCCTTAGCTCCTGGCATCTCTATTTCCATCTTCAAAGTGCATGGCTCCAACTTCTGCTTCCATATCACATTTTCTTTGTCTGACATCAACCCCCTTACCTCTCTAATGGCCTTTGTAATGACATTGGGTCCACCCACGTCATCCAGGAAAACTTTCCCCTCGCAGGATCCTTAATCACATCTTCAAAGCCCCTTTCTAATCACAGGTTCTGGGGATTAGGAAGTCGACATCTTCGGGGAAGAGATGAGTGCTTACTTGTTAGCCTATCAAAACATGCAGAGGAAAAGTGAAGGTGAGGTATGGACAAGCAATGGCATACGGGAAAGCTTGTTTTAGTTACTGATTACTGTGCGGCAATTTACCTGCCCAAATTAACTTCTTGTCTCACAGTTTTGTGCATCAGGAATCTGGTAGCAGTTTAGCTGGGTCCTCTGTCTCAGTCTCTCCCAAGGCTGCCATCAAGGTGTCAGTGGGGGCCACAATCATCTTGTGGTTCAACAGGGGCAGGATCCCCTTCCAAGTTCACTCAGTGCATGTGGGCAGAATTCAATTCCTTGTGATCTGTTGAACTGAGGTCTTAGTTCCTTCTTTGTTGTGGGCTGGAGGCCTCTTTCAGTTCCCTGCCACATGGGCCTCTCCATCGAGCAGTTTATAAGCTGTGGCTTTGCCAAAGTGTTTAACTGGCAGAGAGCAGGAGAGTATCACCAAGATACAAGCCACAATCTTTTTATAATCTAACCCCAGGAGTGACAGTCCTTCATGTGCACTGCCTTTTCTTCATTAGAAGTGAGTCCCTGGGTCCAGTTTATACTCAGGGAAGATGATTACACAAGCGCACGAATGCCAGATACTAGGACCATTGGGAATCATTTCAAACTGCCTCCTACCCTTGTCTTAGGTCCTAAGTAAGTTTTTTGTTAGCCTATCTGATGTAAGATGCGGCTCTACAGCAGAAAAGTGACTGTGCTATAGATTTGCTTCTCTCCAGGAACCTGGGAGCTCCCACATCTCTGCTTCCATTGTCCTCACTGTGAGGAGCTATGTTGTCACAGTTGCCTCAGTTTCTCTCTGGGTCATGGGCCCTTCCCTTTGCTTCATTCCTCATTTCCTAATGTCCTCCTTTGCATCTTCACTACATCCTTAAATCATTGATTATCATTGTTTAAATGTATGCAATGCTCTACATTTTCAAGAAGGTTCAGTTACAAGCAAAAAATATGCCAATATATTTGTCTAAATTAAATTAAACTCAAACTTGAGCTCCTGCTCATCAGGGTGTTGGGAGATTCAATCTTGAAATGGTTTTGGGCAGGCATGGAGCTCTCAACCTTCAATTAATGAACCACATTTTAAAGTATCTGCATCATTGACTTTTACTCCATCTTTCTCTCCTTTAATCTCCCCACCCCATTTTTTTAAAACACTTTTATGGGTTTGATTCTGATAATCAAAGAGTTTTGAAAAATAATCTGTGTTCTGATTTGTGTGGAGGCTAAAATAGTCAAAGGAGTCAGACTCATTTATGAAAGCAGATGGTAAAAGGATTGGAGGATGCTTCCAATAAAGTGTGAGGGTGAGTTCATTTCTCTCTGTGAATATTATGATACGCCGGAGATGACCCATATGAATTTAATGTGGTGGCCTATTGCCGCTGTCAGGTCTCAGTAATTTGTACCTGTTTTGATGTCCCCTCAAACTGCTGAGGGCATTGGAGCACGCAGAGCTGGCGAATATGCATAAGTCTATGGCGTCTTGAGCAGCAATTTGTGTGAGTAGGGGGCTATGTAAGGCAGGTCCAGTCCTATTCCCCTTAGAGTGATTAGAGTCTTGGGAGTTTGGAAATAAAGTGTTTTGTCCCTTTGCTTTCATTCATATTTAATCATCATAACCGATTATCCTAAAAAATTCAACAGCTTTAAAGAAGAACATAATTTTTTTTTTTCTGTTTATCAAAGGGAAGCATGGGTTTAAAAACTAGCTGGAAATCTCTGTTCTTGCTAGTGATCTTTGATTCTGATACCAGGCATGTATCAAGCCCTTTTTAAATTTCAGGGGTCCATACAAAATGGCTCAACCACCCTAAAACTCTCCTCAGGGTTTACTAGCATCTCCTACCTACCTTTGTGAGGGAGTTCCTGTTTCAAGATGTATTGAATATTCTTTGATATAAAAAATGTAGAAATTAGCATGAGAGAGACAACAAAAACATTGCATTTTTATTGCACTCTAAATATTTTACAATTTTTAAAATATTCTTGTAGAATGGTTCCATAGATCATCTCATAAAATGACTTTCCTGGCAAATTTCAACTCAAGATGGGAGAGTATCTTATTTTCAAAGTGATCATTTGTATCTAGACTACTTTAAACAGCCCTAATAAAAAATGATATCACTCTTTTATAATAATAAATGTTGTTTTTACCTGAGTAAGACATTTAAAAAATGAGGGGGGAAAAAAAAGCTTCCCCTGGGGTGGGAATATCATTTCCCTTGAAATAATGGCATCTTGTTTCATGTTTAACAGATTATTTATCATGGAAATTGGCCACTGATTTATGTGTAATATATAATCTTGAATTTTTTCAACATTCAGAACTAAACAAAATCACCCCTCCTCCCATCAAAATGTAAATTATTTTAGAAAATAGAAAGTCAAGATCTGTTACCTTACTGGAATCTGTGTTCAACATGGAAATTGAGATACTGAGTTCTCCAACGTTCAAATTGTTTTGAAGGAATTTCATACTCCAACTGCAGTTGGAGATTGTCTGTAAGCTTCTTGGGGTAGACGCTGTCTTATTGAATAAGGACAACAGTTTAGTCTGTCCATTTATTCAGGAACATCTAACTGAAGCCAATGGGGATGGACAAAAACACATCCTGGAGGGTCTCCGGCATCTCCCTGACTTTATTCTCACCCTGTGAAAGGTTGGACTTTGACTGACATATCCAAAGGTTGGAAAACACAGTTCTCTGAAATTGCTGTTCTGATGTTTTCTGGGATTGTCCGTCAAAGAGACACAAATACAGTGATGATATCTCAATTCCAAGTTCCTCTTCGAGATGCATCAAGATGCAAACTCCTTTCAGAGCCTAAACCAGAAGAGTCTGTACCCAGATTTCCCTACCCCTTAAAACCCTCACCCTGCTTTAATGGAAAGGCACCTGGTCTTCAGGGGCTCCTTGAAATGTAGCAGCAGAATAATGCTGTTGCCTCCATTTGAGTCACTTAAATCCATTCTGGGCTGGGCACGATGGCTCATGCCTGTAATCCCAGCACTTTGGGAGGCCGAAGCAGGTGAATCACAAGGTCAGGAGATCGAGAACATGCTGGCCAACATGGTGAAATGCTGTCTCTACTAAAAATATAAAAATTAGCTGGGTGTGGTGGTGTGCACTTGTAATCCCAGCTACTTGGGAGGCTGAGGCAGGAGACTCGCTTGAACCCAGGAGGCAGAGGTTGCAGTGAGCTAAGCACTGCACTCCAGCCTGGTGAGAGAGGGAGACTCCATCTTAAAAAAAAACACCTCATTTTGGATACTAATTATTTCTTCTTTCCATTTTCCGATCTTAGCTTATAGATCTACAATCTGTTATCCTTTAATTTCTACATGAGCTGAGAAGTAAATATGACTATAAAACTCTAATGATGACATCTTTTCTCAAACACAATTTCGTTCAAAGTATTGCTTTTCTTACTCATTTAAAAATTAATTTGTCAATGTCACATTTCATTCTTAACTTTGACATTTCATTTACAGTGTAGGCTTAGATGCATCTTTCTTGAACTATCTACTGTTTCTGTTCCTAAGTCATCTTTAAAATATGTGTTGTCTCCTATATTTATTTTGATCATTTAATTTTTAACTAAACTTTTTATTTATGTAAACGAATAAAGTGGGGATAGCAGGTACTATTCCATTGTGATTATGTTACGTCAAATTCTAAAACTAACCTATCTGACTTCAATGCTGCAATAATTTTTGCTGTATATATTTATAATTACTTGTCCTTTTCTCTATTAAAAGAATTTGCACTCCTAGGGGAAGGCATTATAGAATTCACTTCTGCATCTTTAGTATTTGGGCATTTTGTTAAATAAATACAAGTAATATCTAAAATGAACGAGAACTTTCTTACATAGAGATCATTGAGATCATTGTTCATAGTCCTGAATTTAAAAAGAGAATATTAATCCTAAGCTTACTATTTGCCCAATACATTTTCAAGTATTTTACTTGAAAATGAGTTAGTTCATTTATCTTCCACTAAACTCGTGAGGTACAACCTGTAATTGTTCCTACATATGGATGGATAAGTCACAAAGCGGCAGAGACAGGATTAATTTGGACCTTAACTGCTATTCTCTACTATTTATTTATTTCTAAATCTGGAAATGGTTGTTTCCATTCTCTGACAGAAGGATCTGACTCAAGGATGTCATATACCCAAAGGGGAAATTCACTCAGGGTATTTATGTAAAGATGCATGTACTCGACATTCTGCCCCTTCTCCAGATTTCAGAAGCAGCTTGGATTTTTCTCTTTTATAAAGGAGAAGAAGCATGTATACCTCACACGTGCACATACATAGAATATTTCCGTATGTTGTTTGTGTTTCTAATACATACCCTCAGGCACCACTCACCTTGAATGTCCAGTCCATTCGCACAAGATCCTTAAGATATAAATGAGTGTTTTGCCCCTATAAAAGTGTCTGTGTGGTATGCAGTCAGAGAATGAATTACATCAATACCAATTCTTTCATCACAGTGCCTCTTTTTCCGTCTGTTTGTTTCCCATGTGCCCACGGAATGATGAGGCACTCCATCCTATGAAATTCTCCTTCAACATTCATTTAGCTATGAGTGTTGAAACTTAAATAGCAACACAATGGGAAGCCAGAGATGTCTGAGGCTGAAGGACTTAAGGGTAAGCAATATGTGTGCTTTCAGTTATCTGTTGATGTCGCAGTTAAGTATTTAGCACTTGCTGCATATCTGGTACTGTTCTGGTGCTGAGAATGTAGTCATAGGTAAAACAAAATCCTGTCTTTCATGTTGCTCCCATTGTATGTCTATATCTTATCTATTTATCAATCTAGAGTGTGGTAGTAGGTGTGAAGAAGAGAAACAAAGCAGTGAAGGGAGATAAGTTGTTTCTAGGATGAAGACTGCTATTTTGAAGATGATGAAAAAAGAAATTCTCACTGAGCCAGTGTCTTGGGCTAAGACCTGAAGGAAACCAGGGAGTCCAGCCACACACAGGAGGGAAAAGAGCATTCTAAGAAGAAAATGTGGCTGGAGGGGAGTCAATAAGAAAGAAGAATGGGTAGGAAATGAGGTAGGGTGGGGGTGTGGGGAGCTGGGTCTAGATGAGGCAGGGCTTTGTACGTCTTGGTAATACGTTGCTTTTTCCCATTGGGTGGTTTTGAGTAGAGTAGTAAATTCATTGTATTTGCATTTTTTTTTAAAGGATCCCTGTGTTTTCCTTTGTGTGTGGGAGGGAGCAGGAGCAGAACCAGTTGGTAGAGGGTCTTTCACTCCTTTTAGGAAGTGGTTGTGCTGGTTTTGGCTGTCAGTGGAGGTGATAAGGAGTGGCTGGAGTATGGGTATAACAGCAAGGTAGAACTGACAGGATTGGTCATGGGACATAAAAAGAAACTTTTCTTTGCTGAAGCAACTGGAACCATTGAGTTGTCACTGAGATAAGAAGTCAGCAGGAGAATATGGGGAGGAAGACCAAGGGTTTAACTTATACATATTAAATTTGAGATTCCTACCACACATGCCAGTGGAGATTTTGAGTAGGCTATTGGATATAAATTTTTACTCTAAGGAAATAAGTATTGGGCAAGAAATATAATTTGGTAAAGACAAAGATTAGATTTAAGGCTCTGAGATTTGATGAGACCACATTGGAATTGAATGTAGACAATGGGTTTGTGTACTTAGTGCTGGAGTCCACTAGCATTAGAGGTGAGGGAGATAAGGTGTCACACGAGGATCACTGGCCACTGAAGGAGGAAAAACAGGGTTAGAGGCACTACAGAAACAAAGAGAATGAGTTCCAAGGAAATTGGGGGCATCTACAGAGTGAAATTCTACTTTAACCACTCTCTCGGAGGGTGTGTTGAAAACACCTGTTGGTAAAGAAATGATGAAGAACATCACATGGTCCTGTTTGCAATCACATTTCTTTCCTATATAAGGAACATGATCTTGGGTTGCAAGCCAGCACAGTATGTGACATATGGTAAGAGCTAATTTCTTTTCTGGCTCTCAATAGGGAGACATCTACAAACTATAAATACATCTCTGAGCATGATTGTGACCAGGACTACAAGCATTAGTACATCTGTGTCTATATAGAGAAATGCAACCTCGTGGTCACTAGGAATTATACAGGAAACTGTTTTCACATTTTGTACATGGTAATTAACAAGGAACATAAAGGCATCTCCTGGTTCCCTACGATGTCTTCCCTAAGACATTTTCTAGGACACGTCCATCAAGCCTGGAATATCACATGTCAATTCTTTTTTGCAGTTACTCCCTCTGGCTTAGGGGTGCATTAATAAAAAAGTCCTAGTAAGGTGGATAAAGATTAACGTAAATGTTGGTTTCAGCTCTATAGGTAGGCAGTGTTTAATAAAGCGCTGCTAGACTGATATTTGTTGAATTTTATGGATGGAAAGGCATGCAAAGAAGGCGAGGATGACACCAGCTACATGAGTGTCCTTGTCTTCTGTATCTCAATGTGGAAAACAGGCAACAAACAAACAGAAACTGGAGGGCCCTTCATCAAGACCCCACATCATTTGTGATGCTCTCAAGATATGTCAAAATGTTTCCTTTTCATTTTTTCCCAAAGTGATGAATGCATTACATTTTTTTCTTTTAAAAGTCATTAAATGTTTTAAATGGCAGCGTGGAATAGAAAAATATCCCAGGTCCTCAGGCACAAACGATTTTCAATTCTATACAGAGAAGTCTTTCAAACTCTGACATCTGGAAAATGAATGATTCCCAATTGCACATAGAATTGTGCTGTAGGGCTGTTTGAAGTTCCTTGGAACTTGTAACCAACCCAAACATTTTTATCAGTTCCATAACAATACACAAGTCAATAACAAAGGGGTGATTCAGTGGCCAATCCAAGTCCAAATGACAGTGGCCTTAAACAGCCCAATCAAAGTGAGTGACATTGATGCCGCTTTCAAACAATAAATATTAGCTCTGCTACTGCTTAACAGTGTCAAAGTGCCATTTGCTTTCTGAGTGTCACCTTAGAAAATCTTCTGAGAGGGAGCAAAAAGCACCATAACAGAATGCATTCTAGTTTCAGCTGTAACTTCAAGTTGCAGTTGCCTTGAACTTCAGGATTGTCTCCACTGGCAATTTTGGACATGTTCATTATGAATGGAATCTTGGTTATTCTAAGCTTAAGTTATTCTAAGCTTAAAGAGGATTTTTAATTTCTCTATGACACTATTCTTTTTATTGTGATTTTTTATTTATACATTTGAGGGATGAGGTATATTCTGAAAAATAAAACCTTGTTTACTTCTATATCTGAATTATATTGTCTAATCTCAACCTCCAAGTTTGAGGATACAACTTCTTGTTTCCCCTTTATAACTTTAGTGAAAATCAGATGCAAATACATGAGCAACATTAGACCTTAGTCTTTGAAGTGACTGAACTAATGTACTAATAAGAGTAAGAATCATCATAAGATTAAAAATATATTATTACATATATGTGCATTTTTTTTTAGTGATGAGGGTGAACAACTATTAACCTGTAAAAACTAAGAGTTTTACAGTCTAAGATTACAGCTCTTTCAGGATTTCCCAAGTTTATTTTTAGCAGTTATAAAGGAAGTAATTGATCTAATTTTTCCATTCCTAAATTACAATGGTGAAATATCCATTATATTATAGCAATGCTAATTTCACTTTTACAGATTATATTCCTCACCTACCCCCAGATTCTTTTATTCCTTATCCATTCATTCATCTATTCCAAATAATATCTTAATTACTCCCTGGAGTGGCTGCTGCCGTCACACTGGCCACTGCAGGGAAGGCACGAGGAGGAGGTGGACCTGAGCCAGGGGTGGTGCTGTACTACACAGAGCTGGTGGGAGCCCCCAACAAGCCCAGTCCATTGCCTTGGGGGCCACTAACAGTGGAGCAGTGTGGTCGGGCATGAGGGGCAGGCAGAAAGGAGCCCAGCAAGGACCTGGAGTCCCTGCCCCAGGCTTGGAGGAGGCACAGCCAGGACTGCATACTCTACAGAGCAGGAGGGAATCAGGGACAAATGGGACACCTGCCCCTTCCATATTGGGGTAGGAGCTCCCCAGGTGCAGCCACAGCAGCCCAAGTAGTGGCTGCAGATCTGAGCCCCCTGCTCCATGGAGTAGGCAGGAACCCCACCCACAACCCTCCCCCCAGGTACACCTGCAGCCATCCAAACTGCTGCTGCAGACCAGCCATCTCTGTAATTTTGGGGGCCTGTAAAGGCCCTCTCTGCCCTCACAGGCTTAGAAGTGCCCTCTCCCACTGCAGGGCTTCTCCCTGCTGTTGGCACCTGCTCTAGTCTTGGGGCCAGGTATGCACAAGCTTGGGGCAGTGCTGATAAACCAGCCCCTGCCACCTTGGCCTCCTCTGGACTTTGGGCACCAATGAGCTAGGAAGTGCCCTCTCCCACTGCAGGGCTTCTCCCTGCTGATGGCATCTGCCCTAGTCTTGGAGCAAAGTCAGGGCTAAGCCTGGGCACAGTTGCAGCCTGGCCCAATATGTACATGCTCCGAGCAGTGCTGACAAGTCCCTGCCACCTTGGCCCCATCTGGACTTTGGGCACCAATGAGCTAGGGAGGGCCTGAAGCCTGGGGGCCAAGCTGCCAGTCCCACAGCCTGGAGTGGGAAATTGTGGTGCCTTTGCCAATCCTGCCCTTGGCCAGCCATGAACCAATTGGTGTTCACTTTCTCCCCTCTGAGGCCATAAAAGCCCTGGGCTCAGCCAGAGAACTGAGCAGATGTCAGGGTGACCAGCTACAGAGAGGAGCTACCCTCTCTGCTAGGAGCTGAACACTTGTTGGGACACCCTAGCTTTGGAAAGGAGCTACTCCCTGTGGGTCTTCTCTGAGCTGTTCTATCACTCAGTAAAACTCCTTTACGTCTTGCTCACCCTCCACTTGTCTACATACCTCATTCTTCCTGGTTGCAGGACAAAACTCCTCAGGACCCCCCGAATGGTGGGGCTAAAAGAGCTGTAACACAAACAGGGCTGAAACATGCCCCTTGCTTGCCACATTGTGGGTGAAGAGAAGGAGAGAAGAGCGGCAGCCCATCAGGGAGCCCAGACTTGAGAGCTCCCAAAGCCAGGGCTGTGACTCCCTCTTTGGGGCCTTGTGGTTCCTGGAGTCCCCAAGCTTCCAGGTGCTGCCGCATTCCCTGGTGCCAGCAGGGGAAGCTGCAGCCTTGCAGACAGCTGGTGCCTGTGCTGGCACCTGGAGCTGCCCACCCCTCAGCAACAGCCAGCATGTCTGGCTGTGCACAGTGGCTGGACCCTACACTTGCTCACACACCCCTTGCCACTCCACACCTGTCTCGCCCGTGGCAGGCATGGGATTGAGACCGGTAGTGAAGGTGAGCACAGCCTGCCAGGCTGAGTGGGCGGAATGAGGCCAGTGGGCCCAAGCAAAACTCAGGCAGAGGTGCCACTGGCCACAGAGGTTTCTGGCCAGAAAAGTGACATCCCAAAAATCCTGTAACACAGGGATCGAGAAATGTCAAAAATATGCTATCTGCCTCATTGTTAGGAGTTAAGGGAGAGGCAGACATGTAAGTAACCGGTTCTAGAATTAGGCAAAGTAAAATACGTTTCTAAAATAATATGAGCTCAATGCACATTGTAGAAGAAAAAGTAACTACGTGTGATTGTTGCCCTCGTAGTAGAAAACAACAACAATAACCAAGGCACTTTTACATAATATTCTTTGCCAGTGTAGAAATAGCCCCTATCGTCCTGGCAACTGCCTCTGTTGGTAGGAGTTACCCTGAGAGAGAATATTCAGTTTCTCTGACTCCATTGTTTTGTAAAACAAAACAAAACCTAACCTGAGCCAAATCTCTGCTTGATTTTTCAAGCTTAAATTCTTCTAAATCCTTTTAAACTTACAGTCAAAAATGGAAGGCACCGGCCGGGCCTGCTGGCTCACGCCTGTAATCCCAGCACTTTGAAAGGCTGAGGCAGGAGGATTGCTTAAGTCCAGGAGTTGGAGACCAGCTTGGGCAACATGGCGAGACCCTGCATCTTAAAAAAAAAAAAAAAAAATACAAAAATTGGCCAGGTGTGGTGGTGCGCACATGTAGTCACAGCTATTTCGGAACCTGAGGCAGGAGGATTGCTTGAGTCTGGGGAGGTTCAGGCTGCCATGAGCCATGATTGTGCTACTGCACTCCAGCCTCAGAAACAGAGTAAGACCCTATCTATCTCACAAAAAAAAAAAAAAAAAAAAAAGGAGTAAGGCAAGGCATCAAAATACCCATTTCACAAACACATAAAACACAAATACCAGAGAATCTGGTGACGATGTGGCTTTAAGGAATAATTCAATTACTACATGGGTGTTGGTCTTTGGTAGGACATGATGACACTGCCTAACATACGGTTTCCTACATAGATATTTACTCAATGTACTTGTTATGGAATGGGTTTTGTTGTGAGAAAACTTGTTATACACAGATTTTGTTAACTTTATTTCATAAGGCAAGGAGAAGAAATGTGAAGCACCGGCTTAAGATTTAATTCTTACAAGACTGAGAAAAAATGAATAGACAATAATGTATAAATGTTGATATCTGCCTCATTGCCAAGTTTTCATTGCCCTATCTTCTCTCTGTGCTTTTCCTAAGCAGCATAGTCTGTCCCTATTTAAACAAGATTTGATTTTAGCTTGTTCTTAGAGACAAAAATAAAATCCCCACTATATCTAGAGTCAGAAATGCATAATAATGCAAATTTCCACCCCCAGGTGGAGTAAAAAGCCTCAGGGTATGCAACACACAAGCTAACATTTAATATTAATGTAAATCACAGCGCTGAAGCTCATGATGTGAGGCAAATCCTCTCCGACTGCAATTCCTCCCTAACTACATTCCCCTGGACGCTTTCCTTTACCTGGCACACCACTGAAAAAAAGAAGAGGAACCCATGTTTCAAACCAACGGATTGTTTAGCAGGTAAAATAGTGCAATGCCTTTAACATGCCTTAAGAATGTTTAAGGCGTTCATGGATCCTGGCTGCTCAGTACCCATTTCTACCCCTCATTCCCCACGTTTTTTTTTTGAGACGGAGTCTCGCTCCTTCTCCCAGGCCGGACCGCAGTGGTGCGATCTCGGCTCACTGCAAGCTCCACCTCCCAGGTGCACGCCATTCTCCTGCGTCAGCCTCCCGAGTAGCTGGGACTACAGGCGCCCACCACCACGCCCGGCTAAGTTTTTGTATTGTTAGTAGAGACAGGGTTTCACCATGTTAGCCAGGATGGTCTCAATCTCCTGACCTCGTGATCTGCCCTCCTCGGCCTCCCAAAGTGCTAGGATTACAGGCCTGAGCCACCGCGTCTGGCCCATTCCCCACTTTTTGATGGGGTAACTTATAGTGCAACTTGTTTTTGGAAAATTATAGGTGAAACTGGCAAGAAAAATTCTTGATCTTTCATAGCCAAGTCGGGGTGGGGTGGGGGGCGATGACTTAAGTTTGGGCTCTCAAACTCTATATCTATGAATGTTGAGCCTTGAATGGGGTCTAACACAGATGGAGAAAACAAATAATGGAACTAATTTCTCCTAGGAGGCCAGGCCCAGATGTGATGGCTGATGGATACCTGCGCCTGGACGCTAGTTGTTGTTCTATTTTGCACCCCTTTCAAGCCAAATTACCAGCTCTTCAATGAATTTGATCATGTTCTACCATCATCACACATGATTAAATTCATCATTTTTTAATGGAGACAGCAATGGACACTACTAGTACAAATAGCAGGACTTCCAAGAAGCCATCCTTGACTATCTACTATAAAGTGGCTTCCCAACCATTACAATAGCCAGTTTTAAAATCCTTCCCAGCCCTTCTTACCATCTGACTTTCTCTCGTTTGTTGTAAATCATTACAGTATATCTGAGCAGTTTGGCTTCATAGTTTTCTTTGCCAACCACAGCAGAGGAGGAGATGGAGAATGCTTTCCCCCGGGAGCAGGAATAACTTGGTTTAAGGACAGCCAGTGAAGGGGGGTGAAGGGCTTCACAGACAGGAAGAGGATAATGCAGCATGGCTTCATACATCAGTGTATAAAGGCCAGATGGGAACAGGGTGTCTGCATACCCCAAGGCAAAAGAAAGGAAATACAAAAATCTAGATTGTTGTCTCATCCTGAAAATGCCACTTCAACACTAGGTCTGTCCCCTTGCAGAAATAAGACACACTCTGAGAAAAGATTTCTTTCACACTTGAGTTTGTAAACTGAGATGTGTATCTGATCAACGTGATTATGTATTCCTCAAACAATATGGTAATATAAAAGTTATAATGAGTCTCTACTAATCCTTTCTCCCAGAGATAACAGCTGACAGCCATTTCTAAAATTGTGTCAATATATGGGGCACGTACTTACATATGGAACAAGTCAGATCCCTAGACATGGCTATAGAGAGATTTAGTAAATTTTAATCATTCACTAAAAATTATTTTCATTTGAAAAAACAAATGAGATAATACCGTATGTACTATACAGCATCACCTTTTCGATACCAAGGACTGGTTTTCTTGTATTTGAGAAAATAAGATATGTCAATCATTGATAGGTTGACTGCTGACATTTAGGAATAACATGTGTATTTTCTTTTTCCATTAAAGAATGAGTCAGGCTGGGTGTGATGGATCATGCCTGTAATCCCAGCAGTTTGGAAGGCCAAGGCAGGTGAATCACCGAATCACCTGAGGTCAGGAGTTGGAGACCAGCCTGGCCAACATGGTGAAACCCTGACTCTACTAAAAATACAAAATTAGCCAGGCGTGGTGGTACACACCTGTATTCCCATCTCTTGGGAGGCTGAGGCAGGAGAATAGCTTAAACCTGGGAGGTGGAGGTTGCAGTGAACTGAGATCAAGTTACTGCACTCCAGCCTGGGTGACAGAGCAAAACTCCATCTCAAAAAAAAAAAAAAAAAGTTTTTGAAATTGCTTGCAGCAATCAGGAGGCTTCAAGGGTAAAAGAAATTATTCTTAAAAGAAATTATTCTTATATGAGTGGGAACTTTGACCAGCAGCATGAACTTCCATTGGCAAACTCATGAAAAAATCAGATGCTTGGTGCATAATATTGGAAATTAAAATTATTTTAATGGAATTTTGTTCTGATTCAAATATAATTAGAGAGCTCTAAATCCAAAGAGTATTTAAAATGCCCAACTTCATTTAAAATTTTTTTGGTGTGAAGAACCAGAAAAATGATTATTATTTTCTTCTCAAAAACTATCAGTAAAATAATCTAAATCTCAGGTGTACTTTGGGAAATATCCAGAATGCATTTCTCCAATGGTAAACTACCTGCTATTGAAAAGTTTACTCACCCCTCAATGACATTATGACTGGCAAATGAAATTTCTAAGAGTACTAGAGGTAATAATGCAATTATCCCAGTGTTATTTGGCCAGAAATTTTAGATTATCATTCATGTTATTTTGCTCATAACCAAATATGATTGATTGCAGATTTCAGAGTTGATAGATAAAAAAGGTTGATAGATAAAAAATGAACTAAAATATTTTCTTTAATAAGGGTTACATTTAAGAGTCAGGGCAGTGACTCTCTCCTATGTATACTTAATTTATTTGGTTGCATTACACAAAACCAACATATCTCGTGTGTGTGTGCACACACGCATATATACATATAAATTTATCATTTAATATATACGTGTATATACGTATATATGTATATACACGTATATATGTGTATACGTATATATGTATATACATGTATACATACATATATACATATATGTATACATAATATATAATATATACATATATGTATACATAATATATAATATATACATATATGTATACATAATATATAATATATACATATATGTATACATAATATATAATATATACATATATGTATACATAATATATAATATATACATATATACATATATGTATACATAATATATAATATATACATATATACATATATGTATACATAATATATAATATATACATATATACATATGTGTATACATAATATATAATATATACATATATACATATGTGTATACATAATATATAATATATACATATATACATATGTGTATACATAATATATAATATATACATATATACATATGTGTATACATAATATATAATATATACATATATGTATATAATATATACATATATGTATATAATATATATGTATATAATATATATGTATATATTACATATAATGTATGTAATACACATTATGTATATATTATATTACATAATATATGTATATATTATATACATATTTTGTATATATAATATACATATTTTTGTACAATATATGTACAAAAATACACATTTTTTGTATATATTATATACATATTTTGTATACATGTATACATATATACATGTATAATTTAATAATATACAATATTATATTATGTATATATTATGTATGTATTAAACATTTTATGTATTATGTATATGTAATATACAATATGTATATATGTAATATATACATATAATATATACATTTAATATATACATATAAATTCATCATTTAATGTATACATGCACACCCACATATATACATATAAAAATATATACATGAACACCCACATATATACATATAAATGCCCTATTTTTATTAAGCTATTTATATTAACACATACTAGTGATAAATACTTGACATTCTAAAATCCATTTCTATTCTCTTTTCACAGCCATAAAATGTTAATTTATGTTATGATAATTAGCCAAATTTCTAAGTATGTAGTGGATAGCTGATACAGCCTACAATATATGCATATCACGGCAAGATTAAGAAGTATAAAATAATAATTTTCCTTTTCGTTGAGGAGGAAATTGATTTATCAGATTTTCTTTTTCTTCTTCATAACTTAAAGGACAATAAGCATTGGCACAAATCAACCAAGGGGTGCTAATGGGGACGCAAAGGGAAAGAGAGAGTGATTGTTGAGATCGTAATTCATGTAAATTCATGTAGGGTCCTAGGGGATGAGATCACCTAATACAATAGAAAACACGCTGCTGACCTAACCTTAGATATTGCCAAAGGAAGTAAGACTTAGAAGGCAATGAGTAGACAGAACTGAACCTTCCTTTGGAGCAGAGGTGCAAGGCCAATTACAGAAGAAGGCATATTTCAGACAACTGGGGGAGAGTGCTGGCAGCTCTAGCAGGCTAGAGCTAGATGGACTCAACCAGTGTCGGCTTAGTTTTCTAAAAGCATTGCACTTTTGTGATTGAGCTTAATGCCCTTACAAAGATCTTACACTTTTAGAGTTTCCTCTTGACATTAGACAAAAAATAAGATTTGTGATCCAAACAAACAGTTAATCTAGAAGCATTTACCGAGTGGACTACAAAATATTTAACATGATGGAAGCAAAATGACAGCTATGAAGAACTGTCAACAAATGCTCTGTAATTAGGAGTCTGATTCTATTTTTTGATGTCTGACTGTTGATAGATTTTAAGCCTCACCCCTCTGCTTTCCCTTGTAGCCACATCTGTACAAGCTCAAAAAAAAAAGAAAAGAAAAAGCCTGGGTGCTTTCTCCTTTGGCACCAGCGAGACATCCAAACCATGGAAACCTCTGCCCATATGGAATGCTCACCCTGGTCCCACGGTGAATCATAATAGAGACCCAAGCCAGTCACCTTTCCTGGCCCTCACAAACCATTTCTGACCTGCTTGAGAGGTCTGCCCGGTTCTCCCAGAGACCTCAATTATGTAAGTAAGCATCCTTTCCATACCCTCTTTGTGTGCTTGTGATTTCATCAACCTTGCCATCTGAACTTTAGGTGGGGGTCAGTCCTGATTTTGCAAGCTGGTTATAACATAGTAATTATCTGTAGGGAGCATATAGTGAAATGGAATGACATACCACCTGCATAGTCAGTTTCATGTGGAACAACCTACCAGCACACCATGGTGTTTAATGAATGCCATTAATAATTACAGTGATTGCATTTGTTAATATCCCATGACTATATCAGCACGTAAGCCATGAATTGATTATTTTTTTTGTCCTTTTGTCACCTACACAGAAGGTGTTCAATCTGGGACTCTTGGCAGACTATTTTTGACAGTTCTTCATGAGGATGAAGGTGACCTTCCCTGAAAGTGAAACCCATTCTTCCTTTACAGTCAGTGGAGGTTAGGCTGAATATCAGGATTTTCTTATCCTGAAGAAGACAATTTTGTATATTCTAAAGTTTCTACATCATATATATGTATCTCACTTTTGAAGTTATATATATATATAGGATACAGGATCTTCATTTTGAAGACTATATATATGTCTTTATATACTATAGAGTATACTATAGTATAGTATAGTATATAGTATACTATACTATAGTATACAGTATACTATATACTATACTATAGTATATAGTATACTATACTATAGTATACTATACTATAGTATAGTATATAGTATACTGTATACTATAGTATAGTACACAGTATACTATAGTGTAGTATATAGCATACTATAGCATAGTATAGTATACAATATATTAGTATATATATTATATAGTATAGTATATAGTATATATAGTATATAGTATATATACTATATACTATATATACTATATACTATATAATATAGTATATATAGTATACTATACTAGATAATTATAACAAATAGTATATTATAGTATAGTATACTATATTATATATAGTATACTGTATATAATACTATATATGATATATAGTATACTATATATAGTATATATAGTATACTATATATAGTATATATAGTATACTATATATTATATACTATATATAGTATACTATATATAATATACTATATATAGTATTTTATGTATAGTATAGTATATATAATATAGTATATATAATATAGTATAGTATATATAATATAGTATATATAATATAGTATATTATATAGTATACTATGCTATACTATATATTTTGTAGTATACTATATGATACTGTCGTATATAGTATACTATATAGCATACTATACTACAGTATCGTATAGTATACTATAATATACTATACATTGTATATTATATATACTATATATAATTACTATATACAATATACTATTAAATATACTTATATATAGTATACTATATAATATACTATACTATATAATGTATAGTATATTATACTATATTACTATAATACTTTATAATATATTACTATAATATAATACTATATTATACTATACAATATAGTATACTGATTATATAGTATATTATAATCTAGTAGATTATAGTATATAATACAGTATACTGTATTATATAGTATAATATACTATAAATATTATAATAGTTATACTATATAATATAGTATACTAGGTATATACTATATATTCTATACTATCTATACTATATTATATACTATTATATTATATATACTATATTATATACAATATATACTATATTATATATATTATAGTATATTATATAATATAGTATAATATATAACATATATTACTATATATTATTTTAGTTATGTATATATATGAGAGACAGGGAGACAGGACCTCACTTTCTTACCCAGGCTGGGGTGCAATCGCATGATCTTGGCCCACTGCAGCCTCCACCTCACTGATTGAAGTGATTCTCCTGCCTCAGCCTCCCAAGTAGCTGGGATTACAGGTGTGCACCACCATGCCTGGCTAATTTTTGTATTTTTAGTAGAGATGGGTTATTGCCATGTTGGCCAGGCTGGTTTTGAACTTCTGGCCTCAAATGATTTGCCTGCTGTGGCCTCCCAAAGTGCTGAGATTACAGGCATGAGCCACCGTGCCAAGCCTGAAGTCATGTTTTAATGAGCTAATGATGGGATTCATAATTGAAGGGGATAAAGGCAAAGAGAGTAATAAAATTTATGGTGTGAAGGATAAGTGGGTATGGGGAAGAAAGTTCTGAGAAAGTAGGAGATGAGAAACAAGAAGATCTTTAACTCAGAGCATCCTAAGATGAAAGAGTGGATCCAATTTGGAAGTTGACACCTAGCAGTGCTAGGCAAGTTAATGTTAATCAAGAAAGACTGCTGTGAAGGATGCTATTTAAGTTCTCAGAACCTGTATCTTTAAGTCCGGCATCTCATTCTTCATTTAAATAAAGACAAATCTATTTGTACCAAGCATCCAACTGGTTGACCCAGAAACATTGCTCATTTTGTGAAAGGTGCCTCACTACAGTAACTCTGCAAAGATAACTACAGGGTCAAAGAGGACCACTAAACATAAAACACGGTGCTGAGAACAAGATCCCAAATCTTTACTTAAGGGATTAAGAAGTATACTGGCCTACCCTGAGCTATGCAAAGCTCAGGGGCATATAAAGCAGATCCTACTGTTATAACTATGTATGAATAATTAAACCACATTTTATGAAGCACTGATGGTCTTAGCATAGACAAAGCACTAGAAAAAATGATAGTTCTTCAGAAAAAAAATATAGCCTGAGGGATAGTATAAAAAGTATATTTAAAGAATAAAATAAGCAGGTTTTTCAGAGGTGGGGCTGTCAATAGCAAGGCCAGAAATCTAGAATGTGCTACAGGGAAGAGGGCTATCAAGAACTCAAACTACAATGAATTGTGAAGATTGAGAAGCAGAAGGAAATGTTGGTAAGGAGGTTTGGGATCAAGAAGCCAAGAAGAGGAACTTGGATTCAATATACCTGCCCACAGGGAAACTTGATAGTTAATTATTTGTATTTGCATGTCTTCATAGAATATATCTATCCCTTTTAAGTATTCAGATCCCATTTAGTGTCTTATGTAAGCAAAAATATATATTTATGTGCTAACTAGAAGGTCTTGATAAAAACAGAGTCTTTGGGTTGTCATTTAACCCACACACTTATTTAATATCTGCATTACCATTCAAAGAATCTGGTTTTGAATTTACAAAAGAGGCAAAGATTTGCTTCAATTCTAAAACAGTCTTATGAAGGACAAGTTATGGAAAGTATCGAGGATCTGCCAGAAGTGTGTATGTTGTAATCTCAAGCAAGATGCAGAGGTGTTGAATTGCATTTTTACTAACTCTAAGGTAGGAAAACATGAAGCCAGACCATTTAATATAATCCTAGACCATTCCAAGAGGTCAATGCCAGTCAAACCAAAAACAACCTCTTCTATATGGGTTTTTCCAAACCAGGGCACTTGGGAATCCAAGATGAAAATAATATATGACTCTATGAAATATTATGAAATATAAGGTCACTACAAAATTTGCAAATTGCATGAGAATGTAATCTAACATGAAATAAATAGTCAGTAGATACAACTGAAGAGAATATGTATCCCCACAGCACATGATATACTAAAACAATTAGGAAAGAGAAAAAATATGTATGTTCTGAATGATATTATTCCATTTATTTGAAGTTTAAACCTAGGCAAACTTGTGTGTGGTGCAAAAGCTAGGATAAAAGTTATCTATTAGAGAGCAGTAACTTAGAGTGGCCCAGTGGGGCTTCCAAGATGCTGTTAAGCTTTTATTTTTTATTATAGGTATTGGTTATTCAAGTGCTTTTTTCTGAATTTGTGAAAATGTATTGAGCTACATGATTATAATTTATACTGTATTTGTTACATGTCAATAAATAGTCAAAAGATAAGACAAAAAGAAATTTACGGATATATGTAAATTAAGAAAGTTCACCTCTCCAAGATGTATTCTGAAAGAACTGTTACAAGTTATACTTCAGTGGGAAGGAATCCGAATGCTGAAGGAAGACATTGAATGCAAAAACCAACAGTAAACATGATAGATGCTCACCATCATTAGTTATTAGGGAAATACAAATCAAAATCATAAATCAAAGCCCCTTCATACCTAACTAGGATGGCTATAATAAAAATATGGCAATATTAAGTGTTGGTGAGAATATGGAGAAATTATTAAGAATGTAAAATAGTGCAGCCAATTTTGAAAATTTGGCAGTTTTTCAAAGAGTTAGAGTCATCATATGAGCCAGCAATTCTACTCAGTAGTGTATACCCAAGAGAATGTTAAATACAGTAAGAAGTTCTTCTTCAAAGGTTTAGCTTGTCTAAGTTCCCTTGTTCTTTGTTTCCTGCTTTTAAAGCGGAACTTACTTATTCTTTATGTCTCCCTGTCCTAGTCTCAGTAAACAACTCCCCCATCAGTTCTTATCTATAGAGCCTACATTCCACATCTGCTGCTAACCCTGTAAATTACCCCTCCCACCACAATCGCTTTTCCCACCAAACCTGTCCTTCTTGCCAGTGTAACCCCCTTCCTGCACCCTTCAAATTAGCCAACCAGGACCAGTTTAGATTGTGCAGTCCAGCTCCAGCCAATGGAGACAGGACACAGTAGTAGAAACCAATTGCGTTAGGAATAAAAACCCCTGCTTTCCTTTGTTCAGTGTGCTCTTGCCATTGCTCCATCCATGAGACGCACCCTTCTATGGAAGTAAATTGCCTTGCTGAGACAACTTTTGCCAGAGTGCTGATTATTCTTTGCAGCAAAGAGCATTTGTTTCTAACAAGAATTAAACATATATATTCAAACAATCCAAATGTCCATCAACTGTTGAATGAACAAAATGTAGTATACCATACAATAGAATATTCTTTCGCAATAAAAAGGAATGAATTACTGATATAGGCTAAAACGTAATCAGTAACAAAACATGAGGCATGTGAAAGAAATCGGCCACAAAATGCTATATGTTGTGCAATTCCATTTGTAGAAATCGAGAATAAGCAAATTCATAGAAATAGATTAGGGGCTGCCAGGGTCTCGGGGATGGGAAAATGGGAAGTGACCACTAACAAGTACTTGATTTTTTTTATAGTAATGAAAATGTTTTGGAATTAGATTGTGGTGATGGTGATGTACTTTGTGAATATATTAAAGCTACTAAATGGTCCATTTTAAAATAGTACATTTTATAGGATGTTAATCATATATGGTGAAAATTCCAAAATAATAAACAAACAATGGCAGGCAGAGAAATTGATAAAATGTGAGCAAGTATGAATAACCACTGCCGTAAATGTAAAAACAATATTGACTAATATGGGTGAAGGTTAAAAGCCAGGAAGAATTAGCCACTCTACTAAAATTATTAATGAGGAAGATGAGATTAAAATGGTAGGGAGCCAATCAGTTATGAGTTGTAACTAGTTTATGATGCTTTTTATAAAAGTACGTAGTTGTGTTAGATTTCATATGTTCTCTAAAGTGAGCTTATGGTAGAAGCTATCAGAGATCTTTCTTTATTGTGCAGCTGTTATGTTAGCTTCCTAGAATGAAGCAGACATATTTTGCAGATGTGCATTGCATTTCTGGAAATACATTGGCACTAGTCACATATTTATTGGGAGGTTACTTTCATTGTTTTTCATTTTATAACTATTGGAAATGATTCACTTCAGTTTTTCTTCTGTGATGTGGGTAGAGGAAATAAGCTGAGACAGCTAAGAAAGTCTCAGTGCTGATTTTCACTCTGAAATGCACAAGTTCGGAGAAAGGGAAAAGAAGCAATGCCTCAAGGCTGGTCCTCCTCCTCCATTTCCCTACAGTGATGTGAGGATAAGGGGATTGAGCCATATGAGTTGTCATTTTTATTTCTAGGGATTTTAAAATATTGGATTGTTAAACGTTTTTCCCCGTGAATGTATACATGTCATTAATGATTCCAAAGAGACAATCTTGGTGTATTTTTTCAAAAGTTTGTTCTGTGGGGATGGATAAAAAGTACATACCATAAAATTTACTATCTTAACAATTTTTAAGTGTACAGTTCTGTGGCATTAGGTACATTCACATTGATGTGCAACTATTACCCCCACCCATCTCCTGAGTTTTCATCTTCCCCAGCTGAAAATCTGTGCTCATTAAACACCAACTCCTCATCCCCCTCCCTGCTTGGCCCCTGACAACCACTCTTCTACTTTTTGTCTTTTTGGATTTGACTACACTAAGAACCTCATAGAAGTGGAATCATACATATATGTCCTTTTGTGACCGGCTTATTTCACTTAGCATAATGTCCTCAAGGTTCATCCACATGATAGCATATGTCAGAATTTCCTTCCTTTTTAAGGCTGAATACTATTCTCTTGTGTATCTACACCACACTTTGCTTACCTGGACATCCGTTGATGGACACCTGGATTGCTTCTACCATGTGGATTTGCCATTTTAAAAATGCCTTTTACTTACCCCAAAGTAAACTGGATAGCTTTTTGAATGTTTTATAGTGTTATATTTTCGATCATGTTCCCTAATCTCAAGAAGGCATTCTGACTTCATACACTCATACACATCTACTACTCTCATTGACTAATATTTCAAATCATTATATACATGAAAGTATGTTCTAAAAATTAAAAAAGTGACATGGCAATAATATTCTTAATAATTTGGAAAATTTGTGGCTGACTGCTCATTAGTTCTTTTTAACTAGTTGACCCATTTACTCATTTGTTGAACCCTTTAAGTCAGACACTATTCTAATCTCTTTTTATTTATATTTATTTATTTATTTTCCATAGGTTACAGGGGTACAGGTGGTATTTGGTTACATGAGTAAGTTCTTTAGTGGTGATTTGTGAGATTTTGGTGCATCCTTCACCGGAGCCGTATACACTGTACCCTACTTGTAGTCTTTTATCCCTCGCCTCCCTCCCACCCTTTCCCCCAAGTCCCCAAAGTCCATTCTATCATTCTTCTGCCTTTGCATTCTCATAGCTTAGCTCCCACATATCAGTGAGAAAGTACAATGTTTGCTTTTCCATCCCTAAGTACTTCACTTAGAATAATAGTCTCCAATCTCATCCAGGTTGCTGCAAATGCCGTTATTTCATTCATTTTCATGGACAAGTAGTATTCCATTCTGTGTGTGTGTATACACACACACACACACACACACACACACATTCTTTATCCACTTGTTGATTGATGGACATTTGGGTTGGTTCCACAATTTTGCAATTGCGAATTGTGCTGCTGTAAACATGCATGTGCAAGCAGAATTCTACCAGACATTCAAAGAAGAATTGGTACCAATACTTTTGATGCTATTCCACAAGCTAGAGAAAGAGGGAACCCTCCCTAATACATTCTATGAAGCCAGTATCACCCTAATACCAAAACAAAGAAAGGAAGGACATAACCAAAAAAGAAAACTAGAGACCAATATCCCTGATGAATATAGATGCTAAAATCCTTAACAAAATACTAGCTAACCAAATCCAATCACATATCAAAAAGATAATCCACCCCGATCAAGTGAGTTTCATAACAGGGATGCAGGGATGGTTTAACATACGCAAGTCAATAAATGTGATACACCAGATAAACAGACTTAAAAACAAAAATCACATGATAGTCTCAATAGATGCAGAAAAAGCATTCGAGAAAATCCAGCATCGCTTTATGATTAAAACTCTCAGCAAAATTGGCATACAAAGGACATACCTCAATGTAACAAAAGCCATCTATGACAAACCCACAGCCAACATAATACTGAATAGGGAAAAGCTGAAAGCATTCCCTCTGAGAACTGGAACTAGACAAGAATGCCCATTCTCACCACTCCTTTTCAACATAATACTGGAAGTACTAGCCAGACCAATCAGACGAGAAAGAAAGAAAGGGTATCCAAATCAGTAAAGAGGAAGTCAGACTCACTGTTTGCTGAGGATACGATCATTTACCTCGAAAACCCTAAAGACTCCTCCAGAAAGCTCCTAAAACTGATAAAAGAATTCAGCAAAGTTTCTGGATGCACGATTCATGTACACAAATCAGTAGCTCTTCTATACACCAACAGCGACCAAGTGGGGAATCAAACCAAGAACTCAACCCCTTTCACAATAGCTGAAGAAGAAACATAAAATACTTAGGAATATACCTAACTAAGGAGGTGAAAGACCTCTACAAGAAAAACTACAAAACACTGCTGAAAGAAATCATAGACTACACAAACAAATGGAAACACATTCCATGCTAATGGATGGGTAGAATCATTATTGTGAAAATGACCACACTGCCAAAAGCAATCTATAAATTCAACGCAATCCCCATTGAAATGGCACCATCATTCTACACAGAATTAGAAAAAAAAATTCTAAAATTCATATGCAACAAAAAATAGCTGGCATAGCCAAAGCAAGACTAAGCAAAAATAACAAATCTGGAGGCATCACACTACCTGATTTCAAACTATACTATAAGGCCATAGTCACCAAAACAGCATGGTACTGGTATAAAAATAGGCACATAGAACAATGGAACAGCATAGAGAACCCAGATATAAACCCAAATACTTACAGCCAACTGATTTTTGACAAAGCAAAAAAAGTGGGGAAAGGACACCCTTTTCAACAAATGGTGCTGCGATAATTGGCTAGTTCTTTTTAGATCGCTGTTCTTCTTATCTTACTATATTGCTTACCAAGCAATTGAAATAGGAGTTGTGTAAAGGCCACGTTTTCCATTATCTTTCTATGCTTGTGTTTTTGTGTCCTTAGCATTATCTTCAGTTTATAGTCCTTTGAATAAATATTTTTTATGCTACTTGTCCATCTGGGGAGGGGTTCACTTAGTTGAAATTATACATTATTGTTCAAAAACTCACTCACCTGGTCATTCGTGATTTTCAGTAAGTTGCATTATGCATCTAGCCTACCCTGGCATCTCTCCATTGGAACCTGCAGTCTTTCTCCAGCAAATCTTAGGGGACACAGCAGCATCAGGTTTATGGACCCAAGTGAGGGGTGTCAGTGTCTCTCTGCATTACTGAGTGTTACTAAAGTTAATTTATTTCTTATTTCTTGAAAATTATAAGAAATACGTTATTTTAAGTGGGCATTTAAATTCTTTTTGCACCAAATTCAATAGTTTATTTGTGCATTCAGATTTGGGAGCTGTGAGTTCAGTTATGCAGTCCTGGGCTGTGTGGGGATGCAGTTTAGCAGACTGTGGTGAAAACAACCTGGTGACCATCAAGCTGAATCTGCCTGCAGTCAAATTTTGTATGACTCAAAATGTGTAGCAAATTTGAGTTTGTTTTTTTTTTTTAAATACAGAAGCTCTGGCTATATTGGGCTTACACGTCTAAATGTCAATCATTAGCTGGAGCTGAGTTGTAATAGCCTTATATATTTGTAAAGGTTACCAAATGGTATTTATTATTGGAAGACAATTTGAAAATTTTTATAGATTTCAAGGAAAACGTTTAGGCACCATGAAAGAAGATATAGATATAAAAAACTCAGTATCATTGTAAAATTTCAATTTATAATAAAAATTAAACATGGAAACGTTTTTGATTATGTGGAAAATGGCGATACCACCTTTACCTTAAGGCAAAAGAAAATCTCTTATAGATAGTCCAATAATTGAGGGCAACCAAAAAATTGTCTGCTTCTGAAGGTTCTGGGTTTCTTTTTCAATCGATGATGACGTCATCATTTGGAAGGGAATATGTAGCATGAGATGCCATGATCACCACCATAAAAATGGAGTTGAAGGAAGTTCGTAAGTCTCAGCACAGGGCTTCACAGCTACACCGGAGGTGGGTTAGGGGGTGTGGTCGTAGCCTCCCTTAAAGGTGAACAGACTTGCTAAATGGATGGAGAGAACAAGCCACCCAACAGGACAGGAGCCGTATCCTGAGCTCGTGATTAGAACATCCTCCAGAAAGGAGGAAGAAGAGCAGAAGGGAAAATCCTCAAATTCATGCAAGTGCAGAAACCCATGATTAGTGTCCTTGGGCTGACCTGTGCTCATTATAATAGTGAAGAACCCACATCTGGGTGGGGATTTATGATGCTAATGAGACATGTGACATATGTACCAGCATGCTCAACCACAGCGCATGTGCCACCAGGAGACAGCCCAGAACATGCTTAGCAGCATCACCCTTTTATGAATAACCATGTCAGTCAGACTCCCATAAGGTGGCTTCCCCAGTGTCAGTCGGTGCTGTTTCACTTTTGAGCGGCCTGCTCTGATCAGCTGGCAGAGTGCACTTTTGCTGTGCAATCAAGTCTCTTGCTTACCTTTACTTTGGACTCACTCTCAAATTCTTTCGCTGGTGAAGTCAAGAACCTGAGCCAACCCACAGGCTATACACTGAGGGATTAGAGCTGAGAGAGAGAAGTTGTCAGTGCTCAAAACTCTGGAAGCCCCAGTAGCTAAGACACATCCTCTCCAATCCACGACCATTTTAGACACGCTCACTCTCATCTCCCAGAAGGCATCTGTGTGGAGGAGGTGGTGTAATAATTCATTAAAAACACTTTATATTTGTTTATGGTCTCCAATACTGACACAATTATCTACTAACTGTATGACTTCTCACATTCATAAAACAGGGATAGTAATAGTATCTGTCTTTTAGGATTGTTAGGATTATTTTGACAAGTTCCTACAGAAGTCTGCAAACATTTCTGTAAAGGACCAGATAGTAAATACATTAGGCTTCATAGATCATACAGTCTCTGTCACAATGACTCAAAATAGCACAAAAGCAGCTGTAGACAATAGGTAAACAAATGAGCTTAGCTATGTTCCAATGAAACTTTATTTACAAAAACAGGCAGTGGGCTGAATTTGGCCTATGAGCCACCATCTATTGACAACACATGTAGCAGTAAGCTTAGCTCTGTGCATGGCGGCAAAGTAACACAAGAGGTGCAGTCAGAGGTCAAGACTAGCAGCTCACAGCAAACTCTGAAGCCTCATCTTTCCCATGGAATATTTTTACTTTATGAATTTCTTATGCTCATCTCTTTTTCTTATATGCTAGAGAACAAAGCTTGGGTTGTAGAGGCAGGCAGACCTGGGTCATCCTTGATTCCGTTTTATACATTCAACACTTATTGAACACATACCATATTCTAGGCACGAGCTGTGCACGCAGGGAGCCTACTTAATCTTCCTTTGCCTCAGTTTCCTCATATGCAGTTAAGCTCGATGAGGGCAGAATTCACTGTATCTCTAGTTATTTGAGCCATGTTTGACACACAGTAGGCTCAAAATATAAGTTTAATGCAAATATTATACTTCATATGTTATTGTCAAAATTAAATAAGTAACAAAAATACAATGTTTAACATAGCAAATAGACAGTGCTCCAAAATGTCACTTTTCTTACTTCCCAGGAAGATGTAGTTCAAGAAATTTGACTGGCATCCTTTCTTTTTTTTCTATTTCTCCTAACAGATTAAATAAATAGCCTTTTTAGGTATAGCTATAGAGATATAGTTAATCGGTTTGGAGAGAAATGGTATCAGCTAAAACACATTTGAAAAAAAAAGTCATCATCACCAGGGTCACCTTTTCAAACTCAAAGCTGAAAATCTGTAATCTGCCTACAAAAGATCTCTGCCGCGCATGAGAGGGTGAAGCAGATTTTTCTGCTGCCTCTGGAGGAAGATACATCAGCTGTAGGTGTCAATTCAGCCATGGAGAATAATTTAATCATACTTGTAAATGACATTCCAACAAAAGGTCATCAGATCTATCAGACCCTCATCAACTTAGGAAAATTAGACCTGCGTTATTGACGCTGAAAAGTGATATAGCGCCTGACTCTGACTCAGTAGGAAACTAGGGAATTAAAATAAGTCTGAGCCCAGCAGCGGAACCGCTGGAGGCCAGGCAGACTAAGAAGAGAGAGGATCAGGCACCTCTCTAGTTGCAAATTCCCAGACCAGCTGGGGGTTTTCTTTTTTTTTTAAAATTGTAACTAAGTAAACATGTAACAAAGTGATAATATAAGCATAACCATTTCATGAGACCAGAGATCTAGATCCTAGTAAAGAAGGCATGGAGGAAAAAACAAAAAGGAAGAATTGTCAACATCTGTTTAGTCAGGCAAAAGGCATTTGCTGTGACAGTGTGCAGTTCCTGGTACGTATAGGACTCAATACCCATTCTGAATAAATAAAATAAATGGTTACATTTTCACAATTTATTTTTATATATTCTGAATATATAGATATTTTTAAAAAACCCTGTTTTTTTTTTTTTTTTTTTTTTTTTTTTTTTTTTGTAGTGTAGTGTAGTCACTTTCCAGGGTAAAAGGTTGGTTACAGGAGGCTAAAAGACAAAGCCTGCGTTTCATATACAGTGCTGGCACAGCAGCTGAATGGGGAATTTCGATCTGGCCTCTACTACTTACAGCCATGTGTGTCCCTTGGCAAGTTACTTAACTATTATCTAAATTTTAGTTTTTTCACCCATAAATTATTATACAGTATCTCCCCATCTTTATCGTTTTTGGGGGAGGATTAAATGAGAAAATGTAGTGAAGAAAAAAGTACAATGAATGGCAAAGAACAAGCAATGAATACATGAGTTATCTTTAATATTATTTGTTACTCAGATACCAAGTTCTAGATGCTAACTTCTGTAATATTTTTAGTTTGTATTTATGAGATTCAAGCCAAAGAAATTATCTCAGTGTGAATATTAGTGTTAAATTTTTAAAACAGATCACTGGGGATGATTTTTGCATTTATGTTGTACTGAAATCTGCAGTCTCTGGACACATCATGATTAGAGTTTTGACCATGGAGGAACAAATAATTCATTTAACTGAATTTTAAAAAAACAGAAAGGAAGCATAGATAGTGTTGTTAGGTTTCTATTTCTGCATAAGCAATCTCACATACTTAGCTCATAATGTAACTCAGCAACACAAAGTTAGATCCCATTTATCTATTTTGGCTTTTG
This sequence comes from Homo sapiens, assembly GCF_000001405.40. Classification (NCBI taxonomy): domain Eukaryota; kingdom Metazoa; phylum Chordata; class Mammalia; order Primates; family Hominidae; genus Homo; species Homo sapiens. The sequence goes on along the minus strand of NC_000020.11, from coordinate 55,613,295 downwards.
TTGCCATTGCTTTTGGTGGTTTAGTCACGAAGTCTTTGCCCATGCCTATGTCCTGAATGGTACTGTAGCGTCTGCACAGCAAAAGAAACTACCATCAGAGTGAACAGGCAACCTACAGAATGGGAGAAAATTGTTGCAATCTACTCATCTGACAAAGGGCTAACATCCAGAATCCACAAAGAACTTAAATTTACAAGAAAAAAAAAAACAACTCCATCAAAAAGTGGGCAAAGGACATGAACAGACACTTCTCAAAAGAAGACATTTATGCAGCCAACAAACATATGAAAAAAAGCTCATCCTCACTGGTCATTAGAGAAATGGAAGTCAAAACCACAATGAGATACCATCTCACGCCAGTTAGAATGGCAATCATTAAGTCAGGAAACAACAAATGCTAGAGAGGATGTGGAGAAATAGGGACACTTTTACACAGTGTGTATATATATATATACATTTTTTTTGAGACGGAGTGTTGCTCTTGTCGCCCAGGCTGGAGTGCAATGGCATGATTGCAGCTCAGTGCAACCTCTGCCTCCTGGGTTCAAGCAATTCTCCTGCCTCAGCCTCCCGAATGGCTGGAATTACAGGCGCCCGCCACCACGCCCGGCTAATTTTTATATTTTTAGTAGAGACAGGGTTTCGTCATGTTGGCTGGGATGGTCTCGAACTCCTGACCTTGTGATCCACCCGCCTTGGCCTCCCAAAGTGCTGGGATTACAGGTGTGAGCCACCGTGCCCGGCCTACAAAGTGTAAATTAGTTCAACCATTATGGAAGACAGTTTGGCAATTCCTCAAGGATCTAGAATTAGAAATACCATTTGACCCAACAATTCCATTGCTGGGTATATACCCAAAGGATTATAAATCTTTCTACTATAAAGACACATGCACACGTATGTTTACTGTGGCACTGTTCACAATAGCAAAGACTTGGAACCAACCCAAATGCCCATCAAGGATAGACTGGATAAAGAAAACGTAGCACATATACACCATAGAATACTATGCAGCCATGGAAAAGGATGAGTTTATGTTCTTTGCAGGGACATGGATGAAGCTGGAAACCATCATTCTCAGCAAACTAACACAAAAACAGAAAACCAACCACCACATGTTCTCACTCATAAGTGGGAGTTGAACAATAAGAACACATGGACACAGGGAGGGGAATATCACACCGGGGCCTGTCAGGGGATGGGGGGCTAGGGCAGGGATAGCATTAGGAGAAATACTAATGTAGGTGACAGATTGATGGGCACAGCAAACCACCATGGCACATGTATACTTATGTAACAAACCTGCACATTCTGCACATGTACCCCAGAACTTAAAGTACAATTAAGAAACAAAACAAAGTTATTATCTTGCAGTTTTCTGGCATGTTTTAGCTGGTTTCTTCGTGCAGGGTCTCACAGTTCTGCATTCAGGTGTCAGCCAGGGCTGTGATTTCATCTGAGGCCAGGAGCCCTCTTCCAAGCTCACTGGTTGTTGGCTGAATTCAATTCATTGCAGTTTTAGGGCTGACCCTTAGTTTTCCATGTTCCCTACCACATGATTCACTCCACAGCATGGTAGTTCTCTTATTCAGCACCAGCAGGAGAATATATTCTGCTGTCTCAAATCTCTCTAACTTCTGTCTCTGACCCTAGAGCCTCTTTAAAGGGCTCACCTGCTTAGGGCAGGCCCACTCACACTCAAGGAGAAGGAAGGTCTGATACTAAGGCATCCACATCCAAGGAGAATTTGGGGGCCATTTCAGAATTCCACCTAATGCAGATAGCAAATGAAAATTTCACCAAGTTACTGAAACTTTGCTCAGTTATTAAATCAATAGCGGACAGATGGGTCTTCACTGGCAAAAAGTCATAGTTGGTATCTAAACCTAGTCCCTTTCTCATTCTAAGAATATGATCTCTCCCTGTGCTACAACTATATGAGGAGGAATAATTCACTCAAAATGCATCTTGGAGGAAATGAGGAAGCAATCACCATAGTCATGCATGCCAAGATATCTTAACACAAGATCTATTTTTCCTGATTGTGTATGGACTCTTCTTTGCAATCCTATTTCTGACACCTCCATGAGGACCATTATTTGATCTCATCTAGGGGGGAACAAAATAATTGGCTTAATTTAGTAGGCGAGTTTCCAGTTTTGTGATCTTATTCATTATACCAAAGAGTTCAAAATTCTATTTCTCTTCTCAGTTTTCTTGTAGTTTGGAAGGAACTATGCATTGCTATATTCTCCTGATTGCCTGAGCAGTCGCTTCAACTCAACCGCAGTCTGAATTATCACTAAGCCTCCAGCCTGACATGTTGATCTATCCAGAGTCTTTGCTGAAGCTGCCTAACAGGAGACCCGATGATAACAGAGAATAAGTCATGTCACCTCTCCATACCCAGAAACTATAGAGTCTTAGCCAGTGTTTATCCAGAGCTTGTCAGATTTATCTTTCAGATTCTGAGGGAAAATGGATGAATGATATGAGCCCAGTGGAAAACTGTCAATGTATGTGGGTGTGTCATTCAGAGCTTCAGCCAATTACTCAGGATTCATTATGCAATGGTGCATTTTTTTTTTCAATATTTCTTTTGCAGAGTTTTAGCAATTTTAGGCATTTCTGGATATTTTTTCCTGGAATCTCATTCTCCAAGTGCTAATTTGAGATGTTGATGCTGGTGACAGCACACAACACACAGCACGCACGTGCACAAGCATACCAAACGAACACACACTACATATTTTCATTATATAATAATTTAAAATTTTAATATAAATACTAGTACATTCAGAAAACTGTCTCTTTCCTTCAGTGCGCTTGTTATAGAATGCAACTACAAATGTATTTATCTGATTCTTTATTTTCTCTCTTACCTGCTAAGCTCCATGACAGAAGGGCCTGAGTTTGCTTTGCTCACTATTTTATTTCCATTGCCTAAAACAGTGACTATCATAGAATAAAAGGTTAGAATGTATTTGTTGAGTGAGTTAACGGTGCAGTGATTAAGTACACGAATGTATGTGAACCTCCAAATGCACTTTATATTCAAGATTCTCTATATGGTGGCATTATTTAACTCCTCAATATTATAACAAACCCCAACTGTAACTAATTTCACAACAAGAGCTTGTTTATTGTAAGAATTAGAAATTGCTAAAAGCCACAAATAAAAATTTACCCATTACCTGCCGGGCACGGAGGCTCATGCCTGTAATCCCAGCACTTTGGGAGGCCAAGGCAGGTGGATCAGACGGTCAGGAGTTCGAGACCAGCTTGACCAAGATGGTGAAACCTCGTCTCTACTAAAAATACAAAAATTAGCCGGGCGCAGTGGCGGGTGCCTGTAATCCCAGCTACTCAGGAGGTTGAGGCAGGAGAATTGCTTGAACCTGGGAGGTGAAGGTTGCACTGAGCTGAGATCGGACCACTGTACTCCAGCCTGGACGACAGAGTGAGACTCTGTCTCAAGAAAAAAAAAAAATTACCCATTACCTAGAGTTACTCTTATAGTTTGATTTATATACTTCTACCCTTTTTATTACTGTACAAAACTGAATGTCTATGATATTTATCAACTATCTCTTTAATATACCTACTTTAATATATCAAGAACTTTATTTATGCCATGAAATATTGTCCTTTAACTCAATGTTTAATAGTTATCTGACATTCCATCTTATGGTTAAATAATAATTTACTTATTTTATGCTCTATTTTCTTTCACATTAAATTTCTTTTTAAAATGTTGGTGTCCCTGAGATATTATGCCACATTGCTAGAAAGACAGCTTACAACTTATGGTCTCCAGTAGATGTATCTTTTGCTTTTCTTTCATAGTAACACCAAGTCTTAGTATTTTAAGACAATTTTTAATTTATTAGGTAAAAGTAATATGCTTGTGACTTTAGTATTCCCTTCCTAGATTATTAGTGTGATTGAATGTCATGATGGACAATTTGATGTATCAACATCATGGCGAGGCCACAGTTCCTAGTTATTCAATCAAATAGTTGGCTAAGTGTTGCTGGGAAGGTACTTTGTAGATATGATAAAAGTCCATAATCAGTTGATTTTAAGTAAGAGATATTATCATAGATAAGCTGATTGGGCCTGATCCAATCACATGAAAGATTTCAAGAGAAGGAGCTCAGGCTCCCTGAAAAAGAAATTCTGCCTGAGGACAGAGTCTCAGCCCATGTGTTAGAGTCTCAGCTTCCTGAAAACTTGCTCCCCAGATTCTAGGCCTACCCAGCCGGACGTCACAGTTGCCCAAGCTGAGTCCTTGCAGTAAATCTCTCAATATGTTGCTCTTACTATTTCTATTTTTTCTGGTCGAACCTTGCTAACACAAACTTTTTTTATGTTTTGTGAATTTCCCATTTATTTTGCTTGCCTATATTTTTATTGGAGTATGCTTCTGTTTATTATAAATGGGATAAGTTCTTTATTAGGTAGCTTTTTTTTTTCCTATTTTTTCCCATCCCCACCACCATTTCCAAATGCATAGGATGGAGAATCTGATGGCTCACTTTAGGTCAGCAGCTTACCCCTGGTTCAATCACCCACGAACAGGGTAATGGGATCAAGCAACACAAACTGGCTTCGCAGGGCCCCTTCTGTGAAACCCTCTTAAGTGAGGTATGAAAAGAACACTTTCTAGGAGAAGGAGTCATTGCCTCATGGACTGTACAGAACCCTACATTTGAAATCTTGACTTAAAGAAGTATATAAAACAAACTTGTCTGTTGACCACCTCGGGCAAGGTATAGAGCACCTTTCTATAAAATACAAGGCTATGATCATTAAAAATAATTGTTTCCACTATTAAATATATTCTGGAGGTGGACATCTGTTGTTTTCTATTTGGCAGCAATGCCCCATTCCCTTTCCTTCTAAGAACAGCACCCTGAATTTTCTTTGTGAAGGGACCTTTCTTTCTCAGTCCTGTGGCTCACACGGGATGCTAATGTCATTTTGTTCATAGCCTTTCAGAGCTGGATGCATAAGTCAAGCAGCATCAATGCCAATGACCTGTGAGGAAACATTTAAGAAGGAGACACTACCTCTCTTTTCTGAAGAATCAAATCAGTGACTCATTCTAATTCTCTTGGGTGTGTGGAAGGAGGATGAGAGCTTTGAACCTACAGCTACTGTTTAGTAACTACGAGGCGATGTCCTGAGATTTCCTACTAGGTCTCTGTCTGAGGATGTAGTCAGTATTTGAAAAAAGAACAGAGGGATAAGGAGAAAAATCATCTGTAGCATGACTCAAGTTGCTGGATCTAGCCTCACCTGAAGAGATACATCTTGGACTTTTCTGTTACATGACCTGACATCTTCTCTTTAAATATTTTTTGTAGACACAATTCTTCATGTGGACTTATGTATTAAATTTTAGCTGAATCCATGAAATAAATTTTTATAAATGGCTCAAATACTCCAAGTTAATGCTTACTTTTATCTTTCTTTCCCTTAATCTGAAAACTGCACAATTCAATATATTTTTATTTTGAAAATAAAACATTGAGTTTTTAAGCCAAGGGTTGTGACATACTAGGAAGAAAGAAATCCAACAGCCAAAGTACCTGAAGGAAAATAAATATTTAAAAAGACTGCGAGAGAAAAGAATGACTCTAATAAAGTCAAAGATTTTGTCACTTGGCCCGAGGACCTTCTTGCTATAAAGAATCTATAGGTGGTAATCCATATGTCATAATCACTACACAGCAGTCAGGAGAGATGAGAGAAATTAGAAAACAATGCTTTCTTTTCTGGAGAAGAAAAGCATAAATATTGAAATAAAATACTAGGAAGGAACACGAAGGTAAAAAGGCTGCTGTTTCATGCGATAATTAAGACAAGACAGAATACAAAATAGAGTAAAAGGGGGTCTTTTTCATTCTCCAAAAGTGAGCTGGACTTTTTTATGGATGTTTCTATTTGAGAGTGGGAGTCAGTGGGAAGTGAGTGAAATGGTATTTATGGATGAATGGCAGTTGCTTATATTTAAGAGACAGTCCAGATTTTTTCCCCTCTCCAAATAGTGCAAACTCCAGGGGGATGGGTGGGCATTATAAAAATGATAAGAAAAGAAAAATTTAAAAAGACACTTGATAACTTAGACTCTTATCGTCCAACTAATCAACTGTTTTCTTCTTATTTGGTTAGCATGTCAGGTCTTGCCACATACACCATTATAATGTCATATGACTATTAGTCTTAACAATATTGGTAATAATAGTAGCTAACATTTATTGAAAGCTTATGCCATACAAAGTATTATGGATTAATTCGTGTCTCCCCAAAATTCCTGTGTTGGGGTCCTAACCTTCAGTACCTCAGAATGTGACCTTCTTGGGACATAGGGTCTGTACAGAGGTAATATAGTTAAAAGGAGGTCATTAAAGTTGGCCCCAATCCAATCTGACAGGTGTCATTATAAAAAGGGGAAATTTGAAGACAGACATGTGCACAGAGAGAATGTCATGAGAAGATGAAGGGAATACTATGCAGCCATAAAAATTGATGAGTTCATGTCCTTTGTAGGGACATGGATGAAATTGGAAATCATCATTCTCAGTAAACTATCGCAAGGACAAAAAACCAAACACCGCAAGTTCTCACTCATAGGTGGGAATTGAACAATGAGAACACATGGACATAGGAAGGGGAACATCACACTCTGGGGACTGCTGTGGGGTGGGGGGAGGGGGGAGGGATAACATTAGGAGATATACCTAATGCTAAATGACGAGTTAGTGGCTGCAGCACACCAGCATGGCACATGTATACATATGTAACTAACCTGCACATTGTGCACATGTACCCTAAAACTTTAATAATAATAAAAAAAAGAAAAAAAGATGAAGGGAGAGATTGGGGTGACGCTTCTACAAGCCAAGAAACGTCAAAGATTGCTAGCAAATTACCAGAGCCACGGGAGGTACGTGAAACAGATTCTCCCTCACAGCCCTCAGAAGTACCCAACTCCACTAGCGCTTGGATCTGAAGATGTTTAGCTACCAGGACTATGAGACAATAAATTCCTGTTGTGTAAGCCACTCAGTTTATAGTAGTTTGTTAAGGTTAACAAAGTACTAACACAAACTAGCAAACTAACACACCAAGCAATGGATTAAACAAATACACATAATATCAATTAAATACTCAAAGATGCCCTGTAGAGGTGGTTACTCATCTCATACCCATTTTGCAGAGGAGAAAGAAACAGACTGAAAGAGATTAAGTATGCACAGCTCCTAAGTGGGAAGTTGGGGATGCTCCTCTTGGTCTGTCAAATGCAGAGGGCAGGGGTCATATCTCCCTCAGTTTTATCTGTCAGTTTTATGTCTGCTGCTTTTAGCACAGGGTGCAATGCATTTTCAGTGAGTACATACTGAATAAATAGTTATGGTTCTATGATCCTCATATAAATTTAATGATAACACAAATAACACAAAAGTTTGTTATAGGAATGTTCTATGTTCCTGCATAGTCATCATTATTTTTATTGGTTATATGTAATTTCATCAATTTCATGTTACTACAATTTATTTGGTCATTCTCTTATTGTAGGGCATTCGTGTTCATTTCAATGTCTACTATTATAAACAACACCACTATGAATGTTGTCATGCCCAGGCATTTTTCTAATTTTTTGGGATAGAAATGTTTCTTATTTTCTTATGATAAACCATTAAGTTTTTGAACATTTCTATGGTTGTAAAATTTATCAAATTAGCTTACAACAGATCAAAAATCAACTCTTCATAGTAATGCATAAGTGTAAATATTTTATAAGATTCACGTCCACATTGGGTTAATATTCACAGTGATTTTTAAACCTTATTAGTGAGGTTATAATTGCTTTGAGTTTAGTCATTTTAATTTCAAGCCCACTTTAACAAGTATCCTAACCAGGCTCTTTCTCATTCTCTTATTGAAATGTAGATTAATTTTGGACTTCCAATAACAAAGCTAGTTCTAAATCCTGAGGTGAGTTATACAGAAGAAAGAAGACATTGATTAAATCAGATTATCAATCAACTGATAAAATTGATGAAACTGAAGTCAAATTGAACTAGTATACCGATTTACTTAAAACACTTGCCTTAATATAAGTGGATACCAATACAAAGTATACATCGCAAATTGATTAAATGACAGTGTCTAGCATCCAGCTGAAATTTTATAATTAACAAAGATAAGTCCTAATATGTTTCAGAATTACAACTTCAAAATTACATATACACAACCCTGTTGTTAATTAGCCTAAAACTGCTAAATATGTAAAATGTGAAAGTAGATTAACAGAAAAGGTACTCGAAACATGAATTTTTTTCCTTAATTCTAACAAACAGAAGACATAATTCAGTCTACATTTGAGAATGTTAGAAGTTGAATGATCCTTGGCCACACTCAATCTATTTTTCTATTTCTCAAAGATTATATTCAGCTCATAAAAAAAGAATAAATTAGACATGCTGGACCCATGCTGTGAATTATCTGAGTAAATGTGGTAAAACAAGGAATACCTTTTCATCCTCCCTACCATCACCAAGTGGCTACTGAGAGGCTGGAAGGTGAGGTGGGGAAGGTGGAGCAAGACGGGGAGACGGAGGGAGTAAAGATGAGAAGAGGGAGAGACAAGAAAGAAAGAAAGAAGGCAAGAGAGAAGGAAGGAAGGGGACAGAAAAGGAAGGGAGTATAGAAAGAGGAAAAGGAAGGAAGAAATAAAAAGCAGAGAGAAAGGAAAGAATGAAGGAAAGGAAGAGTGGAGACAGTGCACAAAAGGAGGCAGGCAGGAAGAAAAGGAGGAGGAAACCAACGACTGAGTGAGGAAGGGAGAGAGGAAAGAGGAAAGAAAACAATTTTTGGCACATGGATAGGTAGGTGAAGATTGCTGGCACAAACACAAAACTCATTTCTGTATAAATATTCAATTAATTTCAAAGTCCAACGTTCTAATTACATTGATAGTGCCTTATGAATTGAAATTAATTAAAACAATAATTACATTCAAAACAAACAATAATTGCATTTAACATTTTTTTCCCCCAAATACAAGGAAGAATCTTTAAATGGTAACTTCATTTGGAAAAGTTCCAAGCCAGGCATTTCTCTGAATTGGTCAATGGCATCTATCTATAAGAGTACTTAATTCCTTTGCAACTGTCCAGAGAAAATGAAAGGGGGCAACAAACTTACTTCTGACTAAAGCCAGAAACCAGTGTAGCCCTGAATCCCTTTAAAAACATTTCAAATGTCTCTAATATCATTTCAACCTAGCTTGTTATTGCACACACTTTAAGAAAGATTATCCTTAAAAATGAAAACCCAGTACTTTCCTCTCTTGCTGTGATAATGGAAAAACTAAACTGATTTGGTCAAAGTGTCCAAGATTTATTTTCTTCCCTTCGGCATTACAATAAATGATTAGGCAGAAACAAAACAGGAAAATCTTCATTCTGTATGAGCCAGCAGTGGCTCAAAGGGAAGTAGAAAACAACGGTTGTCTCTGAGCTGCAGTCTACTTCATCTAACACCAATAAAGCTTGTCTGGACGGGTGTATTTATAGACTGCAGAGAGAGTAGATATAAATATTTGAATACCTTTTATTTAGTAGCAATATCTATTCTAATGTTGTATTTTTTTGTCTTTTCTAGTAATTGGTGTGGATGCCCAGAAGAACTGAATTAACTGCATGAGCAAACTTCTTAATATTGTTTAGGTTAGTTCTAGAACACGTTGGGAAAATGTAACTGGACTAGTATATAAAGAAGTTACGTTTTAGTTCTTCATTCTTTCAAACATCCACTAACTTTTTTTTAATCAAAATATTTTTCTATGTGCCAAGCACTACTCAAGGTTCTTGAGATAGAGTGGTGAATCTGTTATCTATTGACACATTAATTCTGTGAATAATTATCAACAATAGCAAAAAACTATCTAGAACAATAAGCATCTATTACTGCTCATCAGCCTATGGGACACCTAGGTTGCCCGCTGTTCTCATCTGGGCACACTCACCAATCTGCACTCTGGTACAGATAGGGTACACAGTTGAGCTAATCTTGGCTGGGCCCTCTCGCTTGTTTGGGGGGTTAGTTGGCTGTTGATGGGTCTAGGATGGCCCCTCCTAGGACAACTAGACTCTCTCCTATGGTCTTCCGTCCTCAGGTTAGCCAGAGTTTTATCTCCTAGTAAAGCTAGAGTACTAAAGAGGAAGGGGAAAGTACTTGAACCTATGCTCAGAAGTCACCTACTATCAGTTCTTATGCATTCTATTAGCTAAAGCAAATAAAAAGCCAGTCTAGATTTCAGGGCTGAGGGACTAGACTTTACCTCTTCTAAGATGAGGTACAAAGCCACGTTGTAAGGGGTAAAGATACAGGAAGGGGAATAATCAAGGCCATTTTTGCAATTAGTCTTCCATAAGTGATGAGTGAAACCTAATGCTAGAGGCAGAGAAAATAAGTACACAAATAAGATAATTTCATATATTGATTGGTGCCACAGTTACTGCATTCTGGAAAGGGGTAATTCCTGAGACTGGGGGTAGGGGGATGGGGAGGTTGTCAAGATAGCATTTATAAAGAGGAACCAGCCATTAAAGATCTCTGGGAATAGCTTTCCAGGCAGAGAAAACAGCATGTGCAAGCGTCCTGAGTTAGAAATGAACTTAATAATGAGTTTAAGGAAGAGAACTATAAGCAGAGCATTAACATCACAGTACAAAATTTCCAGAGAGACAAGTCTGGCTGCGGTGGAGAATAGATTACAGTGGGAGAGGATATAGTCAGGGAGAGGTGACTGGTTTGGCTAGTTATTCTCACTTAATCTTACTCCAAGATCAACACATTCACCAAAGACTGTAATGAAAATTTCTTAGTGTTCAAAGAATTTCCGCATTGAAGATTTTCATTAATTTTTGAACAACATATGAGATATTAAAATGAAGCTGAGGAAGACACTTGGAAAACAATGGACACAACGCTGATAGAATGCCAATGATTTTGGGTGTCATATGGATAGACTGAAAGATAAATTTGTCTTAATTATGTGCATTGATTTGAGAGTTCAGTTCCACTTAAGAGAAATTTTTGGTGTTTCATTTGCATTACTGAGATAAAGCTTGCTTTTCAAACACATGTAAAGGAAAGATGAGTTAAAGGAAAAAATGAAATTAATATAGGTGAGAATAGGACTGGGTCTAAGGTAAGGTAAAAGCGTACAAGATTTAAAAGTGCACTCACAGACACTTCCCATTATCACAGGGCCCTTCTCTTGGTAAAAAGGTGGAGCTAGTCAGTTTGTCTTCAGGGTACTCTACTCTCCCTTTTCTTCTGCTTCCTTCTATTTCTCCTGGGGCTGTCTTTGCAAAGTGACCATGACATGCCACTGGGAGGGAGAATTTGAAGTCTCTTTAGATTCATTGTTGGTACTTTCCTTTGATAGCACGGTGAAATTCGACAAGAGGTGAGTAGTTATACATTAGTTGCTAGGTGATAAATCTAAAATTATATCAATGCGTTTGTACTTTAGGACAGCAAAATCCATTTGGTCTATCTTCCACTATGAATGGGTCCTTTTCCCATGCGTGGCATCTCACATTGATCATTTGGGGACTACTGGTTCACTGCATCATACATTTTTCCAAATGTTGATCTAATTCATTCTCAAATATACAAAAAACTCACATTCATTAATGTTACCAGATATCTCAGCAGAAAAGTATCCTAAGTATTGGGAAGTTGCCAGGCTCATGGTGGCACATAGAACTTAAAAATGCTATTGTTCACTTGAAAGTCCAAATTTTATCACTGGTGGCAAATATTGTTTGTTTTTCCCCTTAAAGTGATAACTCCTTTCATTCACTTTCAAAAATACACCTTCATACTACACAAGTTTGAGTAACCATAGTTTGCCTACCATATATTATAGTTAAAAATGGCATTCCAGGTAAAAACAGGCTCATTTTCCCTGCACGTCCCTTTCCTTGATATGTGATAGCACTTTGGTGTGCTTTATGGGAACTTCCCATTTCACCAAACGGAACACTAAAACGCAATGTATGTAAGGGTCAAGAGTTAATAACATTAATAATATTTATTGCTTCATCAAGGATACTTGAGTAGAACTGGTTATCTAATATTATACATTTTATATATTGGGTAAAGATCCAGTTTTCATTCAAGCACATATATTTCCTTGAACTTACTCATTAGTTGAATATATATGTTCTCAAATGAACACTTGCTCTTTACCTAATGAGCCATGTATATCTACTTATATTAATGACATACAAATTAAATTCACACTGTAATATAGGAATAAACAAATAGTTTCTCCTACTCTACTTTATACTCAACATAACACAAATGTTTCTGTGACTTTTAATCACCAAAGTGCGGGGATTTCTCGCCACCAAGCAAGCAATTCCACAGATTCTCCAGCAGACATCAGTTGGGTGTTTTCTAATTCAATTCAGCTCTGACACTATCTACTGAAGATAGCATTGGATACCACAGGTTGAAGACTGCCCCCAAACTTCCCATGCCAATTACAAGCCCAAGGTTGTTTCACCTGTGCTTCTGAACAATTGGCTATACATCAGGCTTCCCACAACTGCCTCCTTGGGTTTGATTCATTTACTGCAGCAGCTCACAGAACTCAGGGACACACTCAGAATTACCTCTACAAGTTTATTATAAAGGATATTACAAAGGATACAGATGAAGAACCAGACGGAAGAGATGCATAGGGCGAGGCGTGTGGGAAGGGGCTTGGAGCTTCCATGCCCTCTCTGAGTGCACTGCACTCAGGGAACCTCTGTGTGTTCCACTATCCATGAACTCCCCAAACCCTGTGTGTTTTTTTGTTTTGTTTGTGTGTGTGTGTGTGTGTGTGTGTGTGTTTCAGGTTGAGGGGTTGGGTATGGAAACTTCATTAAGTAGGAATGACTGATTGGATAGTTGGCAATCAACTTAGCTTTCATCCCCCTCCCATCCCTGAAGGTTGTGGTGGGTCTGAAAGCCCCAATCCTTTAATCCTGCCTTGGTGTTTCTTGCTACCGGCTCTACCTGAAGATGCCCAGGGACTGCCAGTTGCCAGTCAGCTCATTGGTATACAGAAGACATCACTCCAGAGATTCCAAGCGTTTTAGAAGCTATATTATCAGGAAATGGGGATGAAAACTAAATACGTATTTTAACCATATCACACATATACACACATTGGTTCCAGGATCCCCAACAATACGTAAATCTGAGGATGCTCAAGTCCAGTGGTCAGCCCTGTGGAACCCATGGATACAAAAAGTCCACCTTCCTTATCCATAGATTCTGCATCCCACCATCACTGTGTTTTCCACCTGCAGTTGGTTAAATCTCCAGATGCAGATGCAGAACTGTGGATAAGAAGGGCTGACTGTGTATATAATTAACTGCCAAGTGCTTGGAGGGGAGGAATACAGCAGCTACTAGTCCAGTTTGGTCTCATTGTCTTGACTTGTTGCCACTGCTTTAGTTCTCTTTCTACTTTGCAAATAATTCACCTGTTTCTTGTCTCCTCGCAGAGCCAGATTCTCTGCTATGTCAGAGCTAGTCAAGTGGATCAATAGTTTTAATCGGAGATCACACGTACTGAGTAGGATGAACTGTTGTGAAGGAAACACTTTAAGGATGGCAAATACCTGGCGTACGTGGTAAATCGCTCTACCTGCACCCATGGCCGGCCTTGGGAGTCGGTCACTGTACTTTCTCCTGTTGAGCTCACAATTATTATCATCATCATCATTATTATATCAGCACTCAATAGTACTACAATCCTCTGGAAATTATATAAACTTTTTTCTCATCTCATCCTTCATGCAAATTAATGGCTCTAATAATATGCCAGTGGGATAAATGTTTTTATAAAGGTGACTACTTGTGGTCTTCTCAAATAGAAAAGTTTCCTTTCCCTTTTTTTCCCTTTATCTATGGTACCAGTTCCTTCTTCTCGGGATCAGAACAGTGCTGATCTCAGTGCTGAAAATACCTGGAAAAACATTTAACAAATACCAAGACTGGGCTCCAACCCAGGAGGGTTATGTTTGAATCTCTGGGATGTCTTGGGAATCTATACTTTAAAACTTTTAACCTTTCCAGGTGAGTCTAACTTAATAAGATTGAGCTACTGGTTTTTGATAGCATGTGGAGGCTGTCACAAGGGCCTTGGGGTTGGTTTCTTCTAAGGGTATTTGAAAGGCTTTTGCTTTGTCATCTAGGTATTTTTATTTTTATCTCTCACAGAGAGATCATTAAATGTTTGTTTAATCACCCTAACAAGGGGAATATTATTATTTAATAATGCCACATAACTTTCAAAGATAGAGCCCTAACACTAATGGATAATAACTACTAGTCCCAAAGATAAAACTGTTCTCATCTCCTATTTATTAAAAGAATAGTCAACTGGATGTTTTAGACGAAAAAAAATATTGCTTAGCATAAAATAGGTTGTTTGTTGTTCATTTCAAAAAACTGTTAGATGGATATTGCTCTTGGGTCCTATGGTGGAGATTTGCCCTTCTGCTTATGCATACCACATCTATGAATCCCTGTCCTATGTTTAGAAAACCTTCCTACAATGAAGGATCAAAGCTCAGGTACAGGTTCTCACCAATTTCTGGCAGCTTTGCCTTAAACATGCAGTTAAGCTTAGTCTACTGAATGCTCCCGAAAGAGGCAGGGTGCATTTGGGATTCATGTCAAAGGTGGACACAGTCTCCAAGGTGGAGACAATCCAGTGTGCAGAGTGCTGGTGGCAGCCGATCCAGCAGCATGTTGATGAATGTCCAGAGCGGCAGAACTAGGGCTTCCCATTCCTGCAGTCAAGTTTGTGCTCAGACGCAAATCCCTGGTTCTTGCCCATTTTCCCAACCAGGCACTGTGGACTCTTCAGTCACTCCATGAGCTAACAAATACCCTTTCCATCATTTTCTTTACTGCTTTAATAAATAAAATGTTTCTCATTTCTTATGCTTTTAATGAAGACAAAAATATATTAACTTAAGGAAGATCATATAGTTCTGTATTATCCACCATCTATCTTTGAAGGCAACATGGGTTTAGGATGCAGTTTTGCCTTTTCTTAAAGATCTGGCCATATGGGTCTCAATCCTCAATGTGACACTAATTGGCTGGATCAGAGGAACCAGTGTGTCATTAGAAAGAGAACCAGATGCCCTTCCCATGTGAGATGCTTGACCCATTTCCATTACTAGCTTGATTCCCATAAGACATGATTTCAAAGATATGATTTCATATCTTTGCTCATTTGACTAAACAAATTGTATATCTTATAAGAAAACATAAAATGCACTGAACTAATTCAAACTGTAAGTTGAGTAAATAAGTCTGTGTAATAACAACAATTTTGTAAAAAGCATACATAAGTTTCCCGTACATTTACTTGCTAAGGGTGCTAGTATTCTCAGAGAGTTAAAAATAGGAAAACATTAGGGAAACATGATTAGTTACACAAGTCCCAGGATTCTAGAAAATGAAACTTGAACATATTTCTCAGAGGAGTCATAACTATTCCTGATGCTAAGAACAGATAAAAATTTCTCACATGGATTCTAAAAAAGAAAGAAAAAGAACAGTGTGGAATATATGAAAAAAAGTCCTGAATAATACCTTCACAATGAAGATGAGGACTATTTCTAGAAGAGTGTTTCATTTAATCTCATAAAATAAACCAGTTTCATTAAAGTGCCTTGAAGAGAGGATAGGCAATATAGCACAGTAACTAAAGTTGCCACCAATATGTCTTAATCAAAGAAATAATTTTAGAATGCCTGTGATCATGGAAATCTATTGTTGGTGCTACTTAGTATCCATTCACCTTGCTTCTGTTCACGATGTGCCATATTCCTGTAGGGGCACCCTGCCCTGGTTCTTGGTCTATGTACTTTGAGTGGCACCTTTAGTTGCAGGAGAGGTTCTGTAAGTTGGGCCTGGCCAATGGCAACATCAAGTTCCTCTGAAATTATGAGCATTATTTTCCAAAAGTCTATTAACCAATTGAAAGGTATGTATAAAAATTACAACTTTGTTGTTTTTGGCCATGATTACAGAGCAGGCTGGTTGTCTGAGTTTTAAAGAATTCCTGTCTGTCTCTTCCCTTGAATGACCTGAATGCACGGAATTTTCATTCTTCATTCCCAATGAACAATGACATCTTTCCACATTAGATTGCATTCCCATTGGAAATATGGGTATTAGTTCAAAAAAAAATGGGTACAATATTTTGGGTAACATTTGAATAAGGATTTTTATTTAAATTCACTCCTAGTAATTCTCTTTACATGAGGTCTGAGAGTATAGTATCCATGCAGGATGACTCTGTCATACTCATTTAATATTTTTTCTGCGTCTTCACAATGTAATTGACTTACAATTAAAATTAAGTTTATGGGTCCTTTTCATGCCTCTCTAGTTGAAGGGGAATGTAATTAGATTTAATTGAAGTTGATTCTCCAAATGACACCCCTAGATACAGCAGACAGCATACACATGGCTTAATCTCCTCTTGCAGAGCACATATGCATTAAGTCATTTAATAGAAGAAGCTACACATCGAAAGCTTTCAAAACAAAGTTGATAAAAATAGGATATGACAGATTCCTCCCTTTACTTGTTAAGGTTACTGCAATTATGTCTGATTTTCCAGGACATGGCCTGATAAAAGATGTTTTATGAAAGTAGGGAGGTGGGGCAGAAAGCAAGGGAAAAAATAATCTCATAACTTTTATCTTTCTCAGCACTTTCCCATTAGATAATGAGACTGGGCTCAGGGAGAAGTTTTATACCTTGAATATACAAGATTTGCCTAAAGACTGATCTGTAGGTGGCCTTGATCCTACCAATTATGTTGTTTTTTAGAGAAATAATGAAAGATCAACTTTAGAATGATGCTTTTAAAATTACCTGCTCTTTGTAAAATGTCTTTCCCAAATTAGCTTGGAAAAAGTATTTTGTAACAGCTTTAAGAGCATATTAACAAAAGGAAATTAGACAGCTAAACAAGAACAACAATAAGCTTTTTAGGCAATAATCTGGTATTTAATTGTGATGAACCTTAACCACAAGCAACATTAAAAACTTGAACAGGAAAAAACTTTGAGGTATTATCAGTGTGCTGAGGTTTTCATTAGCCCAGTGGAGATTGGAATATTGTCAATTACATGGTTAAACTCATCAATTGTAGATAGTTCAACGAGATAGTTCAAGATGAGACAATGATTTCTTTCTATTACTTGCCACTGAGGAACCTCCAATATATAGTTATCTATGTTGATGAAATTAAGTGGAAAACTGGGCAAATTTAAAATTTTTTGTTATATAGACAAATAATTAAGCATACCTGCATGTCATCTGATGGGATTCTGTTCCAACTATTTGTATTTCTGGTCCTTCATATTTGAAAATGGTTATGACTGAGCTACCGCTAAGACCCATCCACTTCCAACTGATTTGTTTGTTTACATGATGAGAAGGGATAAGGTTGGCACAGTCATAATCTCTTGAAACATTTCCATATTTGACCAATGACTTAGGATTTTAAATACTGACGGATTATATTATATACTATATGACTTTGGATCAGATCAAAGACACAGCCAGTTTGGGTCTTGTAAAATATATAAGTAACTGTAAAGCAATGTGTGAAATGAAGTTGTCAAATTAAGTATTTTTCTGAAGACTTTACAATTTTGTTTTAAAAATGTATTTAAAGGGTACAGCCCCAACTAAGATCCCAAGCATAGAGGAATACATGCCAAATATAATGAAGCCTATGACAGAGAATTAACTATGAGAAACTTTAATTCTATATTGTGCATTTTCATTTTATACATTTTTTCACATAAGAATGATTTTATAATGGAAAAATATTTTTGACCTGTTATGTCTTCTCCCTAAATGGATGTGGTAGAGGGGTAGAGATTTTATAAGAAAATATTTATTTTGTAAGCTTGGATTCAAATGCAAATTGTGCAAATTATTTTACCACAGCTAGCAACAAAGGCAATGAAGAGAGCATTAGTTGAGCACCTACTTTGTACTAAGTGTTCTGCACTTTTTACAATCCTGAAAATAACCTGTCAAGATGTGTTTTATTGCCCTCATGTTACAAAACTTTGAGTCTTGAATAGATTATATAATTGGACATAATTACCTAGCTAATACCTGGGTGAGCCCTATTTGTGCCTGTGTTTGCAAAATTTTGACATATGTGCTTTTCTATCCAGGCTACTATTTTCTGTTCAGGAGGAAGTGACTCTTTTCTATTCAGATTGAAAGCTGTAGCTACAGGAACAAATTATTGTGATTCATTCATTTATGAAATGTTATTTATATATCACATGTTAAATTTTAGCAGCTACATCTACTTTATAATAAATGACATAGATATTACTAAATATATGATTGAATGCTCAATTCTATCATATATGTGTTTTTGGCCTTATTGATATGATCATTTTATTACTTTTCTGCTGATTTATATGCTGAATGAAAATGATATTTTTCTAATGTTAGATTATTCTTGAATATCTGAACTAAAACTTATTTTTAAAATGTTATGTGGATTCTATTTGTTGATATTTTGTGATTTTTCCATCAATATTCATGGGTTTGGTTTATAGGTTCTGTTTTCAGTGCTATTCTTGTTAAGCTTAGGTATTTGTGCTACAGTGGTTTTGTAAAAAGAATTAGAAAGCATTAATTCTAACTTTATGCTTTAGGACAATTTAAAAAGCTCATGAGTTATCTGTTTCTTAAAGATTTGTAGGAATTCATGCATGAAATTTTCTGAAACTTTATTGAGAATTCGATCTTTGAAAACTTTCTCAATTTCTTCCTTGGTTTTGAGTTTGTTGAAGAATTCTATTTTTTTGTTGGACCAATTTGTAGTATAGTACTTTTATATTTATAGAAAATGGTCTAGTCACATTCTCAAATTTGTTAGCATAGAATTGAGCAAATATTCTGTTAAATACTCTTTTAATCAGTTCCATTTTCCTAATAAGTTTCCACAGTGATGTATTTCTTTTCTTTCTTTCTTTTTTTTTTTTTTTTTTGAGACGGAGTCTTGCTCTGTCGCCCAGGCTAGAGTGCAGTGGTGCAATCTCGGCTCACTGCAAGCTCTGCCTCCCGGGTTCACGCCATTCTCCTGCGTCAGTCTCCTGAGTAGCTGGGACTACAGGCGCCCGCCACCACACCCGTCTAATTTTTTTATTTTTAGTAGAGATGGGGTTTCACTGTGTTAGCCAGAATGGTTTCAATCTCCTGACCTCGTGATCCGCCCGCCTCAGCCTCCCAAAGTGCTGGGATTACAGGCGTGAACCACTGCACCTGGCCGATGTATTTCTTTTTTATAATAAAATTATTTGTTCTTATTTTAAAAAGAATTATTTTATAAATTTTTCAATTCTATTTTTCTGTTTTCCAATGTATGCATTCTTCTCTATTGATGCTATTTTCCTTTTTATTTCGTGTACTAATCAATTTTACTTTTTGTCTTTTACAACAAATTAATTCATGCTTTTATATTGATCTCTTCTATTTTTCTGCTTTCCTTAGCTCTTTGAGTTCTTTTTTTATATTTTTTATGTTGAAAACACTATTTTTCTGTTTTCATTCTTTCTGTTTTCGGCAAGGAAACATTTATGATTCTGATTTTCTATTGAACAAATTCTTTGGCATCTTTCCATATTTTTTATACAGAGAGTTTTCAGTATCATTGTGTTTTAACTATTCAGCAATTGCACTTCTGATTTTTTTCTGTGGTTCAGGAGTTACTCAGTAGAAAATATTTTCTTTTAAATTCTAAGTAGTCAAGTTTCAGTTTTTTCATTTGTTACGTGTTTCTAGGTATATTGCATTGCTGTCAGAGATTATGGGCAATTATATATGTCTAGTTTCTGTTCTTCAGAATTTTGAATTTGTTTGGAGTCTAATTTGTAGTCAGTATTTGTAAATACCCCATATACACATAAGAAGTAGCTGCATTCTCTGTCTAGAAAGTATAATCTACATTTACGGGCTATGCTCTTCAGATTCATCTATATTTAACTTTTGTTTCATATCTTTGTGCCTGCGAAAGATGCAACGGTATGATTGTGGTCACAACCGCTAGTATGTTCATGTGATTTTGTGTTCGTGCTGTATCTGGAAGGTCTTGTTACGTATCTCGGTGTGTGGGATTCTTATGAATGGTGGTAAGTTGGCTTCAACTGTACATGGGCATGGCATGAACATTGGGAGGCAGTGCTTTCCTTTTCATTTATCTTCAAGTCTTCATTATGAAAGAAGAAAATCTGAACTTGGTGGTATTAGTATACTTTTACTAGAGAAGAGCAAGACTTCGTAAGAATATTGGGTAGAATAGAGTTGTTTTGAGAATCTTCTAGTTGCCCACACCCATCTACTCTCCATTATTCTTGCCTCTGCTTTCTGTCTCAGGAGGCAGACAAGTGTGTTTGAACAGGGCAATGGCAAGAGATTTGAGAATTGCTGGATCCTTCTCTCTGGGCCACTTAGGGTTGGCTACATTTTCTTCTCCAAATGCAGCAGCTTCTAGGAGCCGGGCCTCCTGAAAAGCTCTCCGTTCTGTGTCCTTCCTGTCAAGGGTGGGTAACTGTCCCCAGCGGCTGCTATTTCCAGAGCATCACACTATTCCTTGTCAACTTTAGACTTGTCCCCACCAGTCCAAACCTTTGTAAATAGTCTGTTTTCAAAACTCCTTTTATCTGTTTCTTTCTGAGACTTTCAGTGACACTAGCACATCTAGGGAAATTTCCAATTTTTAGTTTTTGTTTAATAGTTACCTTCTATTTTTTGCAATAGAGAATGATTTTGTATTTTGATGGTGATATATTGCTTCTGTTTAAGATGTATCATTTAATTTAAAAGAATTCAATGTAAAGAAATTGTAGAGCAAATTACAATTTAAATTTCATGAAGGCATAACAAAAACTTATGAAACTAGCCTATGAATTAAGCAAGTTTTAAAAGCGCTGCTTTATACATTGCAAAGCTACATTATACATTATTTCTTTATACATTATAATGCAGTAATACCAGGCCTGATGCTATATAATCTCAATATTTTTCTATTTCTCTGGTATATTATTGATCATCCTTTTATTTTAAAACAATTTTCATTACTTTGATTTGGTATGTATTTTATTTTGTAGTATATTTTGATTTTTTTATTCATTATGAAAGTCTTTTTAATGAATATGTGATTTCTATTTATTATGTTTATTATGTTTGAGACATTGCTCTTATTTCTGCAGTAGGCTCAGTATGTTTCCTTGCTGTTTCCTTTTTTAAAATGCTATACTCTAATTTCAGCATTTAACTTTTGTTTTATATCTTTGGGATTTGTGAAGGATGGAATAGTTGATGATGTTTAAAACCACTAGTGTGTTTATATGATTTTTGTGTTCTTGCTATTCCTGTAAGGTTTTGCTACATATCACAGTGTGTGACATTCTTATACCTGGTGGTGGTAAGATGGCTTCAGTTGTACATGGGCAATTATTTAGCATTAATTTCATTTTCAGTTAATTAGCATTTTCCCACATGCATCTCTTTCAGCATTTTGAAAGCATTTTAATGTTACTTGTATTTCCTGAATTAGCATATTTTAATCCTATATTATTAACAACTTCAGAACAAAATAACTTTCATTTCTTCCTTTTGTACAACAAGAAAAACAAAACTCAGGCAATTCGTACATTTACCTTTCATATTCTCTTCCGTCCTCCTGATTTTTTAAGTATGTTCTGAGGTTTATGTCTTATTGTAGCCTTGGACAGGCGTCAAACATTCCCATGCCTTTCAATCTTCATCTGTTAATAATATTGCTATCCTCGCAGCATTATTGAGAAGAGTAAATGAGTTTATCCTGTGAAGTGCTCAGAACAGAACACATCATAAGTACCATATTCGTGTTAGCTATTGTTATTATTACAGCTACTCTAATGACACTATGCTTTTTCTACAGCATGAAGTTTTTCTTTTAGGAATGATGACCTTAACTTATTTAGACCCAGGCTGTTCTGTATGCTATGTACTACTGGGCACTTAACATGTTAACTACTTAACAAGAGGTTCTCTGACTATAAAATACACAGTAGATTTTGAAGATTTAGTACAAAAAAAAAGAATATGAAATATCTCATCAGTAAAGTTTTAGATCTGTGATGTTAGTCTGTGCCGTCTCTCTATTGTAGAGACACAGTTCTATTGAGTGGGGGCTTATTCTGTTCCACGTGCTGTGCCCTTTGCATGTAGATCCAATTCCAGGTGAGCTGTTTTGCCAGACTGTAGCTATTGTGTTGGCCGGTGATTAGACTGTAGGCAAAGATGAATAGCATGCAGTCTCTAAAGTTGTGGATGTTAAAGGAAGAGAGAGAGTTATCTATTGCACTGGGAAAAAAATGTGATGGAGACTAGGTGGTCTTGAATGTAGGAGTTGGGTCTATGACATCCTTATCCCCAAGTCATCTAAGAGTTGGGTCGGTGGCGTCCTGATCTCCCACTATTTTCTGGAGGTTCAGTTTCTGTGGTGTCCTGAGAAGTATCTTCAGAAGCTTCCATGGAGCTTGATTCAATATAACTTGGAACACATTTTAAGTACATCATTTTATACATTAAATCCTTTTGTGTTTAACCAGTGGCTTTAAGCTGGGGGCAATTTTGCTCCCACCGCGTGGGTATTTGGTAAATCTGGAGACGTTTTGGTTGTTACAACTGGGAGAATCCTACTGGAATCTATTGGGTAGAAGCCAGGGGTGCTGCTGAACATCTCGCAGCACAATCCCCACAAGTGAGAATCACTTAGCTATAGCACTGATCATGCTGAGGCTGAAGATCTCCTTCAGTCATTTCGGGAGTACTCACCCTAATGAGATAAAGTGCTTTCTAGAGCAGCAGTAACAATGGTTAAAATGTGTTTCTATTGTAGTTATTCAAAAGACAGGTTAATAATTAGTGATATGAACAGGAGGCAAGGAAATACTGGGTAAAAGAGGGTGGTTCCCCAGCATAGGCCCCATCCTCAAGCCTGCAATCACGCAGCCCTAACTAGAAACAGGCATTCCTGTTTTCACGCCCAAATGTTGCCTTTTCCAAGACCACTCTGGCCCACCACACCCCTATCCTGTACCCATATAAACCCCAAGCTCCACAGCAGAGGAACAGAAGAGCAGCAGAGCAGCAGAGAAGAGATGGAGTGTCTAAACATCGAGAGGAGTTCTACTGGTGACAGTCAGAGCGGACATCAGCCATGGGATGGCTGAACTCCAGGGGAAGATCATCTTCCCTCTGTATACCCTTTCCAGTTTCCCATCTATCCTACTGAGAGCCACCTCAATCACTCGATAAAATCCCTGCATTCACCATTTTTCAAGTCCGTGTGACCTGATTCTTCCCAGACACTGGACAAGGACCTGGGTAACAAGAGGGCAGGGTGTAAAAGGCTGTTACCCTGACTCTCCACTGTGCTGGTTTAACACTTATCCATCTGTGGACAGGAACTGCTAAAAGAGCATTAAATTGTAACACACCCCTGGATGCTACCACAGCCTTGGAGCCCAAAAGTGCTCTCCCTGGCTCCTGCACCTGCCTGTCTGCATGCTCCCCCTCCCCTAATGGGTTTGAGCATGCTGCACCCCTGTCACAAATCCCACGAGGGCATTAGGGAATTCTCCTGTTTCATTAGAAAATGGGAAGTTTTGTTTTTTCTTTTTTCCCCAATTGTCAGGACTGGCAGATTTCTGTGGATTACGGCCTTGCACTTCTGATTTTAGTTTGCCTAGAAAGAGCACCAGAGGGTTTTTAATATACGAAGATTAAAAATTAAGCAGTAAAAGGACTTCCCTATGGGACAGCAGGGTGTCTGAGTCCTCTGTTTTAGACACAGGAGACAGAAAATTACATGATAAACAGTCTACTGGAATTGGAGCATATTGGTTAAATATGCAGATGCTTCAACGTGGAGGGAGATTTGTTGCAGCTGAGGTATGATTCTGAGACAGTTTATGAGACATGGCACAGTCATCTGAAAGGTTAAAGAGCAACAAGGTCAGGATCAATCCCTACTGAAGCCTGGAAATACAAAGATTAATTCTTTGCTTGCTGAAATACCTTCTCTTTCCTTTTTTTTTTTCTTGGTAATTTTATTATGGTATTTTAAGCACACAGAAAAGTATACTGGATAACGATAAATATGAAAATATATTTTTTCAAAAGTTCTTTCATCTATTTTTCCTCACTTCTAAGGGTTTAGTGAGAGGGAAAAATTGTGCTCAGACCTCAGATTCCCATCTTGAAACTTGAACAGTGTCATGACATATGTCCTTCTTAGCTCATCTATGTATTTTTTTTCACATAAAATACTTTTTAAATTGTAATCCCTCTTTCTGCAAAAAAAGAACAATGACATATTTGAGGTTATATTTTCACAACCAGGTATATTATCTTATTCTGCTCATGGCACAAAGCCTTCTCCATGCAATGTTCTGTAGTAATGCTTGCTAGAAAATACTGCTTACACGAAGTGTGTTAAAATGCCTTAGTTGACTGATTCTTCATTTGAACAATTTTGATATAACCCCAGTAAACAGTCTGTTTAAAAATGCCTTAGTTGACTGATTCTTCACTTGAACAATTTGTGTACAACCCCAGTAAATGGTCTGTCATTTGCAGCCCAGGAACTACATGAATGGCGTCTTGCTGACGTGTTAATCAGAACTAACTATATCCCTGTTCATGCCCCAATATATCAAGTTCTTGTCTATAAGATCATGCATCATTGCAGAATTTCATATTCAGCTTTCTCAAGCCTCTTTTCTTTTCATCAATATCACAGGAGATTTTGTGTGTATAATGTAACTGTTGAAATCAGAATACTGTATTTTTGAAACTAAGTATTTTTTACTTTGTTAAAATCATATTTACATAAGGCAATGTCATTATTTTTATTTCACATCAAATCATAAGAGCAACCCAAAAGCACATCTATCTTTCATTAAAACTACTTTCAAATAAACGTTTTGTCAAATTGAAAAATAAATAATACACATATGCCTGAATCAGACTGCCCGTGTGTGCATATTTATTCAATAAAATTCATGAGAAAGCATACAATATATCAGGAATCATATCAGACTTGTTTACAAAAATTCTGTGAGTGGATTTCTAAGATCAAACTCAGTGTTCCTTGAATCAGTGGGATGTTGCATATATTATTTATCAGTTAATTCCTGAGAACAATCATAAAGGCTTGATCTTACAGCCTTCCCAGCCCAGCTTAATTCCTACTGGTTTCCAAGCAAGTGGTAGGCACTTAAGTGCCACATGACTGAGCTGTGATTAATTAGGAAATAAAACATGCTGCATTCTCTACAAGCTGAGCAGAGGATGTAAGTGACTTCGATGTCCTGGAAACTTCGCCTTTGACTTTGTGTTCTGATGTCAAGATATCTGTTTGATTTTACCAGTTTAACCAATTTCACTTTTCTTTTTAAAAAACTAAGTGAGGAGTTGGAGTGAATTCTTCAACCTGTAAGGTTCCTTGTGTATGCAAGACAATTGGACAAGGTATAATTTCAATGTCAATGATGTCTATATTTAAAATTGTCTTACCAAACACAGGGAACATAAATACAGAGTATTTGTAATTGGCTGTCTTGATCAAGGGTATGCCAAGAGATAATTGTTTATTGTTTCTGCTGCTTCTAAAAAGCAGAAAAGAAAATCACACTGAATCCTTAAGCATCAACTTATTAGAATAAATACAACTTCAGGCTCTTCTTCTCCATGTAGTTTTAAGTGCTTATTTGAATAACCTGATGGCCAGTTCTTTATATGACAGACAGATAGTTTCTTAAAGATACCCATTCAAAAAAATTAGCAAAACAAAACATGGGTATTAGGATTTGTAACATTTAAAATGTAAAGTGGCTTGGAAGATATTTGAAGAAAGACTTGCATAAAACAATACCACTCAGATCAAACTGTGAAATAAACTGTAGCTTTATTGATGATTGTGCCTCTTCCGATGGGCCATGCATCACTGTTTTCCTGGTTATGTTTCCAATGTTGCTAGAAATGCACTGGCAGTGAAAGCCCTCCAGGGCAGTGTAGGCTCACTTGTGGAGTGGAGTTATGATGGGAAACTGTCACCTGCAAGTCCTGCAATTATTTTTTCTCTCTTTTTACCATCCACAGAAGATGCTAGGGGTGTTCCTGTTATAGCTCCTTGGGACATATTCAATTTCAGCGGCAGCTTTGGTGGCCATTTCCAGCTCACCTCCCACTGAAAGTATCCCACCTAAAGTGTGCCCCTGTAGTGTCTGTAAATCAAGCTCTAGGGCTGACCTGTGAGTCTCCTGGGCCCGTAGGCAAACACAGCTGGCAAGTACAGGAGTGAGGTGAGAAGGGCTTAATGCTCCATGAGCAAATTCAACGCAGGGGAGGCGGGAGCCAGGGGATTAATGCTCAGTCTCCTGTCTATTGGTTAGACAGTATAGAGAAGCATAGTTTATGCTTCCCAGAGATCCTGAAGCAATTCATCTGCTTTTCTCACAACATCACAGGCAATTCATTCCTATGTTGGGCTGTCTTTTCTTCCCCACTTTGTTCTGTCTGTCTCCTGTTTCCCAGCTTTCCCTTCCGAATAAACCATCTGCCTCAAAGCTCTTGCTGAAATTCTGATTCGGAGGGAACCCAGACTTAGATTCCATCTCAAGATATAAGTATCATCATCAGCTGTCAGTAGTAATAATTCCATGTGAAAGAAGAGTGATAGATTCCTGATAAGGCAGAGACTTACAGATGGAGCAGTTAGAAGCTAAGAAGGATCTCAAGAAAGTATCATGGAAATTATATATGATCATATATGATATATATGATCATATATGATATATATGATCATATATGATATATATGATCATATATGATAATTTTCTTTATAGAAAATGCTTTTTTGTATAATAACAACAATGGTTGTGCTATGATTATTGCTAACCTAAATTAAATGTTTTTATTTATTTATTTATTTTGAGATGGAGTCTCGCTCTGTCACCCAGGCTGGAGTGCAGTGGCACGATCTCGGCTCACTGCAAGCTCCACCTCCCAGGTTCATGCCATTCTTCTGCCTCAGCCTCCTGAGTAGCTGGGACTACAGGCGCCTGCCACTGCGCCCAGCTAATCTTTTGTATTTTTAGTAGAGATGGGGTTTCACTGTGTTAGCCAGGATGGTCTCGATCTCCTGACCTCGTGATCCGCCCGCCTCGGCCTCCCAAAGTGCTGGGATTACAGGCGTCAGCCACCATGCCCGGCCAAATATTTTTATTTTCTAGACACTGTGCTAAACACTTAAGATGCTGAGTGTTGATTGATTGCAAAATAGCTGCAATAATTGCCCAACCTCTATCTGCATCTTGGGTAGACCCCTCCCATACTGATTCTGGGATTGGTCATGTACTTTACTTTGGCAAATGAGACGATAGGAAATGTGATGTAAGTAGAGGCTTGAAAGGTGCTTTGCACATCTGGGCTTGCTCTCTCCCACTGCCCTTGGACCCCAGCACCACCAAGAGAATGAGCCTGAAATCTTTTGCTAGAGAAGCCCTGTGGAGGAGAACCAGGGTATCTGAGCCAATAGCCTGCCAATTATTGGACATGTCAGCGAGACCATCTCAGATGAACTGACAGTGATGTGTGAGAAATAATAAATGTTTATTGTTTTAAGGCACCAAAAGTGGGGTGATCTGTTATTCATCAAAAGCTAACCAATACAGATGTCCTACTTCCTTTAATCTGTGCAATGCTTCTATAAGGATATTATCACTCCCATTTTACGGGTGAAAAATTGGGCCTTGAGAGTTTATTTCCTCTAAAGTCTCATAGCTAGTAAATGGCAGAGCAATTTAAAAACCAGATTTGCTTGATCCTAAAGCAAAATGTCTTCCTAACATTGGCATATGGATCACATGTTTTTAATGAAGCCACTGATTCATTCATTCATTCCAAAAACTTTTTTAGGACCTACATTGTGTTGGGTACTGTGTCAGATACTGGTAATATACAAATGAATAAGACACAGTTTCTGCCTTCAAAATAAGCTCAGAGTTAAGGCAGCAGGCATGCACAAATAAAGACAACACAATGCAATAACATAGATATTTCAAAGTTGTAATAGGGACAGACTGATGATATTGGGAATTAGCACATGTGGGGACTTCTGGGTAGAGAATCTAATACTATATTGAAATTTTGATGTTCCAAATTTACTTTGAGTAAATTACTAAAAATTACTTTGAATAATTTTGAAAAGTATTTCTTTGCCACACTGTTCTGTTAAGCATTTCAGATTTATGTCTGAGGCCTAAAAATAAAAATGATCTAAACTCTTTGCACTAAATCTTATTCCACCTATGTCCACTAATAATGCTCCTTTCTATACTCAACTATATATTCATATTTTATATATTAATTGCATATCAAATTCTTAGTCCTTCAAGTGCATTCAGTTCCTGACTTAATACCACTGAGATTGAAAACAGTCTCTCTGTTAGAACTATTTTCTCAGCCCTGATCAGCTCAGTTCCCACAGCCATGTATAGTAACAGCCATGGGGGTTATCGTAACAGAAGCTTGAAGTGTTTAGAGAACACAAGAGTGTCTAATTTCTCATAGAATATCATACAACCTTTAAAAAGAATAGGGAAGATATTTAAGATTGCAACATAAAAAACATTGCTGAGTGAAAACACTGGAGGAGTTATACTGAAACATTAATCAAATAGTATATTTCATATATATATGCCCACACACATACACATGCATCCTCACGTACCTGGATTTGAATCTAACCTATTCTTTTAACTGCTCTGCTGAACAGTGTTTGTTAGCCCTCACTACACTTTTTCTTACCTTTCTTGGGGGCACTGCCCTAAGACAATTAGATATGTGCTTACTTTAATCAGTCTACTAAACTGTAAAATTCTTGAGTTCCTATCTGCTAGATAAAATCGTACATTAATGAGGGCCTGGAAGGGACTGATTAGGAAGTGAGGGGAGGTGCACAAAGTCCGGTGAGACAGGCTGACCAAGGTAAGATTCGCTTCTGACCCGTTTGTTAAAATGCCTGTGGTGTCTGCTTTTCACCTAGGAAGGGAGGAATTAGAATATTCTCTTATGGCCTAAATGTCTGCCTTGCTTCATAACTACTAAGATTGTTAGTCTTGAAGTTTTTGAGGGGCAGTTTGAAATTTAACCACCAGATATGACGGTGGAAAACCCATCTGGGGTTGTAATAAGCCAACTTTTGAAATAAAACCTAACCTAATGCTGGGTGCTACTTGTCCTTACCTTATTACACCTTATTAAAAAGGTTTAATCTCTTTTAACAACAGCTTATTCACATGACAGGTTCTATATCTACAAATCTATTTTTAACTCTATGTAGTTCTATCTCTACATGTAATGGTAGTTTTAAAGAGCGAATTTTTCTCATTTTAACAGTGTTTTTCTAGAATAAGTCAGACTATCTCTGCTACAGTTTATCTTTTTCTGCCAAATTTCTTCTAGAATATCAATTTATTATGTGAGCACCCATTCCAGGACGGCTGGGCCCTGCTTGTGTCAAATGAATACATAGATGTGATCCCTACCCACGTGGAGCTCTGTTCTAGGCTAACAACATATAAAGTATTACACTTAAAGAGGATGGCAGCCATGAAAAAATAAAGCCTGGGCCTGGTTAATGAGCGATGACCCCTCAGGGAAATGTCCTTTGAAAACAGTCCTGAAAGATGAGAGAGTCCCCAATAAAAGGATACCACGAAGTTAACTTCAGGCAAAGGGGACAGCATGTGGGGAGAACCTGAGGGACAAGAAAGGACCTGTTCTAATCTTGGGGCAGAGAAGACTCTCAGTATGACTAGAGCAGGGGCCAGCACACTTTTTATTTGAAAATACAGGTACCAGATGTTCTAGTATCTGTGGGCTATGAGGTCTCTGTTACAAATACTTGACTCTGTAGCAGTAGCATAAAAGCAGTCATGAGCAATATTTAAATGAATGGAGGTGGCTATGTTCCAATAAAACTTTATTTACAAGAATAGGTAGTGACTGGATTTGGTCATAGTCTTCCAATCCCTAGACAAGAATGAAAGGAATAAAAGGTATTGTGGTTCAACATGGGGACACTGAGGAGAGACACTGCCAGCACATGTAGGGTCTTGAATTGGAATCTCCTTGGTGGAATGTCCCTAATCAGGCCATCCTAGGATGGAATATTTCCTGCTCCTTGCTGGCTTAACAACCTTGATTTTCATATTATCAAGGAGATAGCTGGGCCCACCCGTTAGGGCAGTTATAAGGATTAAATGAAACAAGATGTATGCCTATAGAATAGACATATTCAACAAATTCCGTAAATCTCAATTCCCTTGTATCCAGTGTGAAGTGTCTGCTTTGTCTTGAAATACAGGAAATGAGTCTTATGCTTTCAGCGGGCCTTGGCTGCTTTACACAGCAGTCACTCTGTCTTGGAGATGGCTCTGCAACTCACTTGGGCCCTGTGGACTTCTTTATGGATTAGCAGAACGCTCTGGTTGCATATGTAACCTTTTTCTTTACCTCTAGAGAAATGATGTGAAAGTTTGTTTTAATTGCACCGCCCAGGTTTAATTTAATAACTCTTCCTATGTTAATTTAGTGATTTGATAAAAGCTGAATTTTGTCTTTAAGTGAGAGCAAAGGGCATTTTACATCCTATGTCAGGAGGGGGGCGAACATTATTGTTTGTAATTGGCAAGAATGAGGAAAAACATCCTACCCATTAATGAAATTACAAGGTTACTCCTGTTTCAATTTTGCCCCTCTCCCACCGTAGAATAGCTGAATACAATATGAAGGGTTTTTAAAATATAAGATGGAGAAAATGGTTTTTTAAGATACATACTATATATGCTATATATTACATATATAGTGCATCATACTATATATTATATATAATATATATACTATATATAGTATATACTATATGTATAATATATAGTATATATAGTGTGTATATTTTATATAGTATATATACTGTATATTTTATATAGTATATATAGTATGTATATTACATATAGTATATATACTATATGTATACTATATATAGTATATATATACAATATATTTATATATTTTAAAATTTTCTAATAGGACAGCTCAACTTATGTGTGTCTCTGTGTATGTGTGTGTGTGTTTACCTACAGTTGCATGAGTGCATGTGTTTTGAATGTAACTATCATTACATTACTAAAATGAAAAAATATAAAAGAATTTTACCACGTGTTTATTAGTAACCTACTTAAATAACTGCAGGCAGACTCCAGAATTTTATTTCTAATTGTATTCCCTAAATGACAGAGTTGAAGACCATGTATATACAAGAAGCGAGAGTAGAGACCTGCTACTAAGGCCAGTGGGAAAGCGAAAGCACTTGGTGAGTTGCCCAGTGTCTCACAAATGCACCCAGTGTCCAACAGGTATGAGATGCAGAAATGGCCTTTGTTCTTCACGTTGCACAAGCTGCTACAGTTTTTTGTTTTTGTCTTTAATTTTTTTTATTATACTTTAAGTTCTGAGATACATGTGCAGAACATGCAGGTTTGTTACATAGGTATACATGTGCCATGGCAGTTTGCTGCACCCATCAACCCATCATCTACATTAGGTATTTTTCCTAATGCTATCTCTCCCCCAGCCCCCTACCCCAGCTCAGGCCCCGGTGTGTGATGTTCCCTTCCCTGTGTCCCTGTGTTCTCATTGGTCAGCTCCCACTTATGAGTGAGAACATGTGGTGTTTGGTTTTCTGTTCTTGTCTTGGCTTGCTGAGAATGATGGCCTCCAGCTTCAAGCTGCTAGAGTTCTTAGAGCTGTTTCTTATTGAAATTTATTGTTAGGATGAAACCTGGGACTGCACATGTGAGGAGAAGATAAATATTTAGAAAGGGATCAGAGTCATTCTGGATTGAAATCCAAACAAGCATTGACTTATTTTTTCTTGTAGGATTATTTAAAAAGATTTGCACACGTGCATACAAAGCTTATTCAACCCATTCGTAAAAGTATCACTTGGGGTTCTTTTTAGAAATAAAGATTTCAGGGCCTTATGCCCTAAGATTCTAATTTAGTCCATCCAAGGCAGGGCCTGAAAACCCAAATTTATATTAAGTACTCTGGATGATTTTCATAAAGGTGAGATATGTGTCATGCTTTGAGAAACCCTGCAAGTAATAAGTTGACTTGAAAAATAGCATTATGAAAGCCAACTTATTTACAGTCTCTTTTTTGCCTAATGATCAGAATATTTCAATATGCACCCATAATATGCCAACCTTGAATTTTCAAGAGATAGGCCCAAGTCATCTTTTTCACAAATACAAAGGATCTTTTTTTAGCATTAATTGGCCAAGAAGGAGGGGGAGTCCACATGGCTGCCTTGGTGTAATTGCAACCCACTGTTGGCTTCTTTACCTCAAAACAGGTGTGGAAGTCATGAATCACCCCTCCTGGTTACTTCTGGCATTTTGCAACTGATTGTTTTAGAGGCCAAACTGTTTTGTGAAAAATTTAACTTGTCATTCTGTCAGAAAGCTTTTAGGAAGATATTTGACATTTAATTTTTTTAAGTCAATAATCTAGGTGATTCAACGCACATTTCTTTGGCTATTTTAAACATGCGTGTTCTGCAAGGAAACAATTTTCAATGAAGATTTAGCAAATATCTAGACATATAATCCCCAAAAGTCTGGTTTCAAATGCAATAGTTGTATGGGTGCTGGAGATTTTGTCTATCAAGAACTAATTTGAGAAACTATATTTTGCCAGGGAAATAGAAAAGATCATTTTGATTTTTCTACAGAAAATGCTCATGCCTGGAACTATACATGCATTTTATTGACTATGAGGAAATAAAATATATTGCTTGAAAAATTCTAGAGTGAGAATGGAAATAATAAAACTAAAAGCTACCATTATTGCAATGGTATTGCAATTATCATTTCTGTGAGCTGAGCCCTGTGATCAATGTCCTACATGTATTAACTGGTTTAATCCTTGGCAGATCTCATTATAATTATTTGTGGAGGTAGAAACTCAGTCTTAGAATGTTAAATACAACCATATACGTGGAGTCTAGCTCCCAAACTCACCCTAATTATGATACTACACTGACTCAGTGTTTGCTTTTGCCTGGCTTCCTTACTGCTTACAAACCACACAAATTTACGTAAGTCAAACCTCCCTGAATTACAATTTCCATCTCCACATTTAAAAAAGGAACACAATAAACCATTTTAGTGATTATTTTAGAGTGAATGCTATTAGAAAATGTAAGTGCTTCCTGAAGTTCTATATACATCTAAACTACTAAGAAAAATACCAAAATAATCATGATATTGTCATATTAATATGGGAGCATCCAGCATCAACTCCTGCTTTGAGTCTGCTGATCCACTTGATATTCAACCACAGTTACACAAAAACCTGGCTTAATTGGAGGTAGCTGGTGGTGCAGGCAATGGGGATTTTCAAAGGTCAATGACATGATCCCAAGCTGGTCATTGATATGAATGACTTGGACAGTTGGAGGTAACTTCCTTTGCTTTGTCTTCTCACCCAGGACTTTTGTTTCACATTTGTATGCAAGTATTTATAATCAAATTTACAGCTTCATGTAAAAACAGGGACAATGGTCACTCTCATACAGGTAACAAGAAACTTAATTTTGACTGTAACTTCCATTTTTCTTAAGAACATAGTAGATGAAGCTGATTTTTTAAGACTAAATTGAAAAGAGACTGTTTCTAATTTCCCAGAGGTGCTGAATCAAGGTGCTCTGTACCTAGGCTTTGAATTTTCTGTAGCTGTTGTTTACATGCTTGTTTCCATTCTGAGCGTTGCTCTGCATGTTGAGGAGAACTCAGCTATTCAGAACACAGGATTGATTTCCCTTTGGCCAAGTACAAATTTTTTGTTTGTTTGTTTTGCAAGAAAGTGATTATTTTCTAAAAGCATTAGATTGGGCAATTAGAACCACAGTCAACTAGCCAGATGTGTGGGCTTCACATACATCAATTTGTAAAGGCTTCATCTTGCATGTATTGCAAGAGAATCGAAAGCAATGTAAAAGAGAACATTTGAATCTACCCTTTCTTGAGACCCCCAAAAATGCTGCTGGGTGAAGGGAAGAAAGCAAATAGTAATATTCACTGATAACTTCCTAAATTCCAGAAGCTGTTCCAATCAGTTAGGGATTTGTTCAATAATCAGGTTGAATATTTGCTGAACACTTACACATGCCAAACAAATTCTAGGCATTATCTATGATCCTCCCAACAACCCCATGAAGTGAGTATTCTTTTTTATCTCTACTTTACAAATGAAGAAAAGGGACTGGAGCCCAGAGAGGTTAACTAACTTATCCAAGTCAAGAAAAGTCACAGAGCTGTGATCTGAATCCACTCAGCCTGGTGCTGGGGCTGTTGTATGCTATCGCCATTTATTTATATACCAGAAGCCTGCTAGAGTGACGGAGACAGGAAAACACAAAGTTGAAAGGCATTTAACAGAAATTATTAACAGACATTTTAAATTAATCAACGACAAATTTTCATATTGCAATTTTAGAAACACTCAACACAATTGTTAAAAAACAACTTAACACAATTGTTAAAGAGAAAAAAAAACTGAAAATGTCAGGGCCAGGTCAGACAAAATTGTCTCATTTTCTTATAAGTTTGTAATGGATATCTGTTTTGCTATTATCCTTCTTTTTGTAATAGCACCCTGAGCCTATTGGAGGAAACATTAGTTCTCTATTATCAATCCACATGGTTTGAATGGAGACCTAGGCCTGGCTAATCAGAGTAATTTTATCTTTCTGAATGATGCAATTGGTCCAGGGTGGGCACATGATCCAAGTCATTCAGTCACAGTGAATCATTTGGATATGGTTTGTCTTCACCAAAACTCATGTTGACATTTGATCCCCAGTGTGGCCATGTTGAGAGGTGGAACCTAGTGGGAGGCAGTTTGGGTCATGGGGGTGCATCCCCCATGAATAGATCAAAGCCCTTTCTTGTGGGGTAAGGGAGTTCTTGCTCTGGCAGGGATGGATTAGTTCCCATGAGAGTGAGCTGTTAAAAAGTGTCTGGCCTTCCTGGTTTCTCTCTCGCTTTCTCTTTCCCCAGGTGATCTCTTTACGCATACCTGCTCCCCTTCCACTTTCCACCATGACTGGAAGCACCATGAGGCCCTCACCAGATGGAGCTGCTCAATCTTAAACTTTTCAGCCACCAGAATTATAAGCCAAATAAACTTCTTTTCTTTATAAATTACCCAGCCTCAGGCATTCTGTTATGGCAACACAAGATGGACAAAGACAATGCTAGAACTACTAGAAAGTGAGTTTTCTCTTTTGCCCTGGACTGACCAGACACCACCACTTGGAGCCTGAAACTAAAGCTGATGGAGTAGAAGGCAGAGCTGATAGAGAGAAACAGATTTGCGATAATAGCATTTCTACCTTGTCTTTTCTACTGTAAGCATATTTTTACCTGTAAGTCCAGTCTTATAGCAGTCTTACTTGTGGACTCTAACATCACGTTATAGATTCATGTTTTGGCTTAAACCAGGTTGAATTGGGTTTGTCACTTACAATTGGAGGAGTCTGGTTTATTATTGCATCTACCCCAACCAAACTGGGAGGGACAGTGGAGGCACAAAATGAACTGTGAACTTCCAATCTGCATACTTGTGTTTGACTCTCTTCTCCATCATTTTTTGGCTACATGACCTGGGGCCAATCTCTTAATCACTCAGCATGTCAGTTCCCATTTCTATAAAACATGAAAGTAAAATTCATTTCCCTAATGCTGAAGGTGGTATAAGGACCAAATGATTACAGAAAAGCACTTTGAGAACAGCAAAGAACAGATGTCAGGATTCTCATCTACAACCTAGACCAATAAGAATTGGAAGATATTCATAATGTCTCTCAAAGCATTTCTTAATTGAGATGCTGGAGTATTGCAGGTTACCTCAAGTGCTGAATCTGGCCCTACGGGTTCCAGAAAAATAGGAAAACAATGATGATGCTTATCTTATTGAGATAAACTAGCATTTCCTGTTTCCATTATTCAATTACAGGAAGCATAACATTTATTTGCAAATGCAATTAGAAAGCTTAAAATCTAAGCCTCAAAATTGTGCTCTATGAAAATGAATGTCAATCTTTATGTAGAGGAAGAAAGAACTAAGAAAAAATTTTCCTACTCATTGATGAGTAATTATGTTCCAGATCATTTTGAGAAATGACACCTGTGTGGTTTGAAACAACACAAAAATAACACACAACCTGCACTGAAATCAAAGTGTGGCAAGTCAACTTAAATATTTTTCAAATGCAAAACAATCCACTGCCACTCATTAAATTGTTCTTGTTTGAAGAGAGAATAGAGTGCATTTTTAATAGACCATTATTCAGCTTACTAACTAGAGAAATATTACAGATGATGTTCAGCAGAGTTCATTTAAAATTTAACACCCATATATATACACGCATATATATGAATTACATATTACATGGTGCTATTATATATTACATGGTGCTATTCACATATATATTCATATATATGAATTATATATTACATGGTGCATCTTACATGGTACTATTCCTATATATATGAAAGTCCTCATATATATTTATATCTATATATATGAAAGTCCTCATATATATTTAAATCTATATATATGAAAGTCCTCATATATATTTATATATATATGGAAGTCCATATATATATCTCTCTCTATATATATAGATATGTGTGTATATATATCTGTATATATATATCTATATATATATAGAGAGAGATATATATATATATGAGAAAGTCCTCATGAAATGGCTATCCATGGTAGATATATATGTGTAGTTGTTAACTGGTAAGTTCCTAAGTAGATTTGTATATCCCGGCCCATATCCACTGAGTCCCAAAGTAGATTTGCCATCTGAAGTGAATTTGTGGGTATAATAATTGAACAGACGCAGATGTACTACCTTTTACACCACCCACAGCCATCAGAATGCTGTCTAGAGCTTAACTTCACCTCCTGACTCCCCCAAGATAATCCTTACCATTTTAAGTCCCCCAGGGCTAAATCCAAGGTTTAAAGATATTATATTATTAAATTAGAAAAAAATGAAAGAAGATTGCTTACTGAACATCTTCATACACTTCAACTGTGAATCATCCCAGTCTCTGGCTCCATTATCTCTTATCTGGACATTTCGAGTAACCTTCGTGCTCTGTTTCTATACTGGAAAATCTAATCTCATATTATTGAAAATAATATATTTTAAATAAACCAGATAATCACATTTTCTAGGCTTAAAACTCTAGGATGACTTCCCATTTCATATATACAATGTCATTATCAGGGTATATAAGACTTCATCTGCACCCTACCTGGAACCAACCTCTCTGTTTGGTTACATGGTGCTATTCCTATTGATCCCACCTCAGGAGCTTTGCATTTAATCTTCTTCTTGCTTCAAAAACTGTCCCCAAATATATCAATGTTGCCTTTTCCCTCAATGCATTTAGACCTCTATCCAAATGTTACCTCATCAGAAAAAGCAGAACACCATATTTACTTGACAGCCTTTTACCCAGTTTTATTCATTCATTCATTCATTTTTTTCAAAGTCAGACCTATTTGTTTGTTTGTTTTCTATGACTTTCCAGTAGAATATAAAAATCCACCAGAGTGGGTTTTGTTTTGTTCTCTATTAGGGCACTATGTGTCAAATGTAGTAGGGCACTTAATAAATATTTGTTGGATGAATTAATGTTATTATATAGGTAAATTCAATTTAGTCTCATCAAAGAGTAAAAGGTCAGTTAATTTAGTAGGGTGATTTAAAAATATACATACTAGCATTATAGTATTCATTAAGGTCTTGCTTTTTGGTTTTTATAGATCTGGGTTAAAATTCTGGCTTTGCTGCCTATTAGCTGAGTGACCTTGAACATGTCACTTAAACAATCTCAGCTTTAGTACACTCAAGTAAAGAATGTAGAAATGGAAACTACCTCATAATAAATTTAAATGACATAAGCTATGTTTTATTCTAAACATTTAGGACATTGTCTAGAATAAAATATATGCATACTCATACACAGGTAAACACACACAATACTAGCTCTTTTGTTCTATGGTTAATTCCAGAAAACAACTATAAAACTAAAAAAGTACAAGGAAAAAAATTAAAATCACCTGGCTTTTTGTATCCAGAGATTGCCAACACATATTAATTTTCCCTTAAATATTTTACTTTTAAAAACTAACAAAACAGAGTCATGGTGAAGAACATATTTAAAGTATATATATTTTATCATGAAAGCTTTCTTTTTTTATGAACTATGTCTTTAAAACATGCTTCTAAATGGCTACATATAGTTCCAGCATAGTAATATGAAAAAGTAATTGATTTAAAGAAAAAAAGTATAAATGGGTGTCTTGTGTAACACATGCTTACTTTTATAAAGGTAAATATAGATTTCTGAAAGATAATAAATATTCCTAACCCTTCACTGAGTGATCATCTTTATTCATTTTTTTATAAACAGTTTTTTTTTTTTTTTTTCCCAAGAAAAATGTGATCAGGCCAGGCATGGTGGCTCACGCCTGTAATCCCAGCACTTTCGGAAGCCAAGCCAGGTGGATCTCCTGAGGTAAGGAGTTTGAGACCAGCCTGGCCAACATGGCGAAATCCCGTCTCTACTAAAATACAAAAAATTAGCCGGGCTTAGTGGTGGGTGCCTGTAATCCCAGCTACTCCAGAGGCTAAGGTGGGAGAATCGCTTGAACCCAGGAAACAGAGCTTGCAGTGAGCCTAGATAATGCCATTTCACTCCAGCCTAGGCAACAGAGCAAGACTCTGTCTCAAACAAAAAAAAAAAAAAGAAAAAGAAGAAAAGAAAAATGTGATCAGCGTATACACCCTTTTACAACCTGCTTTTCCCTCACATAAATAATCGTACTTTTGTAATACCACTTTTTACAGATGTCCAATGTTCCCTTGTGTGGATATACTATAACTTACTTTTTAATAATCTATGATTGAAGATTCAAGCATTGGAGCATAATGATTAAAAACAGACGCTTTGGAATCAGGGAAAAAAAAAAAGTCTTAAAATCATAGTTCCACTACTTTAACTTTGGTACCTTGCACAGTTTTCTTTACCTTTAGAATCATAGTTTCCTCAGCTGTAAAATGTTAGGCTCTGGGATAATTATTTCTGACTTATATACATATTTTGAATATTAAGGGAGAAAATGAGAAAATGAGAAAATGTGTGAAAAGCATTTAGCACTGTAAATGACACATTTAGTCCATGTGGTTGTCATTATTATTAATTTAATATTATATTCATTGTGATTATTCTTGGCTGAATATGTTTGGGTATGAGAGAATAAAAGAACACAACACACGTGGGACAGAAAATGCCTTCGCATGGAGTAAAGAATAACTAGCATGCCGGGCGCGGTGGCGCACGCCTGTAATCCCAGCACTTTGGGAGACCGAGATGGGTGGATCATGAGGTCAGGAGTTCGAGACCAGCCTGACCAATATGATGAAACTCTGTCTCTACTAAAAATACAAAAATTAGCCAGGCGTGGTGGTGCGTGCCTGTAATCCCAGCTACTCAGGAGCCTGAGGCAGGAGAATTGCTTGGAGCCGGGAGACGGAGGTTGCAGTGAGCTGAGATCATGCCATTGCACTCCAGCCTGGGCAACAGAGTGAGAGCGAGACTCCGTCTCAAAAACAAACAGACAAACAAAAACAAAAACAAAAACAAAAAAAAAGAATGACTAGCATGGTAAAATGTCTACTGAGCCCTTTGCCAAGGTTTTAAGGCACTAGAACAAGCCAGCCTTGCCTTTCTGAGCTGAGTCCTAGCTCCATGGGGCTACATCCTAAAGATTCTAGATTCTTGTAATCCCAATATCTTTCTCGTAATCCCCCAGCCCTAGACAGTGTGGTTGCACCTCCTGCTTTTTATGGGTGCATTTAACATGCCTGTATTGCTTCACTGTCCCCTTTAGATTTTCAATTTTCTCATACCCCTTAAGCAAATTCCTTGTATTAAATTCTGTGAAAACACCTTGTATGATTCTGTTTTTCTCACTGTACTCTGGCATCTACACCTTCTTCATGAAGGATAGGTCTCTGCCCACCCACAGGAATAGTGGTCTCAAACATCACAGCGACCAGTACAGCCAGGGATGTCCAAAATTATACTATTTTAATGCAATGCTTTCTGGAATTCCATCCTTAACTTTTCTTTTGTCTTATCTATATTTGTATCACATCCACATATTTATTTAATATTTTTAAATGAACTCATTTTTGATGAACGCAGTTATTTGATAAGAAGACGTCATATCACTCCGGCAAATAAATTTGCCACAGATGAAAGATACTCATTATCATGCATTCGGATAAAGATACGTCTTTAAAACTAAATGCTTCAAAATTATCTAATGCCTCATCATCTTGAGAGCAGGCATTATCTACTTTTCTCTAATGACTTATTGGTTGACATGGAAGAGTAGGTGGGGATGTCCTCTATGTAGTTATTCAGAGACCCCAGGTTCCTTCCACCTGGAATCACCATCATCTTCAACATGTGACCTCCATAGACTTGCAGAGTAAGAAGAGAAAAGAGAAAATTGTGCAAAGGGGAGACGTATGATTCAGTCCTGGAAGTGATGCTCACCATTTTGCCTATATTCTCTTGGCTGTAACTCAGTCACATTATAACAGTCTAACTACAATGAGGCTAGAAAATACAGTTCTGCTATATACTCAGGTTATGCTAAGTGCTTGAGAAGGTGACACACCCAGGTATAGGTAAGATTCGGAATTTTCTACTCAGCAGATGCATTCATCAAGGGGCCAAATTACTTACTACTAATTTATTCAGTCACATAATATTTCTCCAGTGACAATCTTGGTTCAGGCATGGTGCTGGTTTCTGGTGATAAATAATGGTGAGCTAAATGGACCTTCACTCCATAAAACAAAATGTCTCATGCTTCTGCTTTCAATCACAGCCCACTAACTACATGAATCAAACACTGTAGGAATCTTTTTATAGAACTCCTTCCCATTTGGGGTCAATAAAATTATCATTCCTAGAGATGTACAGCGTATATTATAATTCTCTTTGGAAAAAAAAAACCCATTAGTGGGAAAATCCTTGTAATGAACGAAATGAGATAAAATTTTTCTCATGTGAAATAAAAGTTAGAAAAAGAAAAAAAATCAATAGCAGTTTGAGATAATCTACATTAATATAGATTAATTGCCAACACAGCCTTCCTTAGCTGGAACCCTTTTCTCCATTTTATCTGGCTGACTGCATTCTATCCTTGAAGATTCAATTCAAGTAACACTCTTCTATGAATTCCTTGACACTTATTTCTCTAACCCGTTGCAGCCATACCCTAACTAGGCCTTTGGTTAGGTGTCTTCCAGTAGCTCCTTTGTCATGTCAGTCCTAGCATTGTGTTCAAATCACATTTTTTTTTTTTCTCAGTTAGAATGTAAGTGCCTTGGAGCATGGGTCTGTGTCTTGTCTTTATTTTTTTCTCAATGTTTGTGATCTAGATAGTGCTTAATTAATGTTTATTCAATAAATAGGTGATTGAAGAAATATAAAAAGTTTGTCATTAATATTGGATTCTTCCAGGTTATTATATGAATGGAGTGATTTTTAGTTTGGGGAGGTTGTGTGTTTTGAAACAGGTAGCATTTGGTTAGGCCCAGAGGAATTGGAAAAAAAGTTCTGGGAAAGGAATGTGGGATAAGCAAAAGAGCCTTAACCTAGGAAAATATAAAAAGAACTGGGATGGGTGCTTAGGAATGAAAAAGTCTGACTGGAAGAGTCTTCCCTTAGAGTTGTTGAGGACTTTAATTATGATGACTGAGATTTTTGGAGAACTAACAAAATGAAAGTTGCTATGTTGTAACAAGTTTGGATAATGCTTTAGTTTTTTCCCTGAGTTGCCCAAAGAATGGGTAACAGATACCATAATGAGTGTGAACTGCTTTATGGAGATTTTCAAAGGAAAGGATCCAAACCACTGCATACCTCTTGAACCCCTTATCCCATTTAGAAATTATAAAAAGGGTCAAAGATGATTAGAGAGATAATTTTGTGAAATAAACAATGATGAGGTCCTCAGCCAAGCTTAGTGATGGATGATCTAAGGAAAATTATAAAAAGGGTCAAGATAATTAGAGAGATAATTTTGTGAAATAAACAATGATGAGGTCCTCAGCCAAGCTTAGTGACGGGTGATCTAAGGAGAGCCGTGGAACTCCGGAATGGATTCCCTGTAGTTGGAAGATGGAGTTGATGGCTCTGCGTCATATTCTCGTAACTAGTCTTGTAACTCTTTCCCTGAATAAATCTTGACCATCTTGAAATCTTGACCATCACCTTCCTCTTAATAGGGAACAAAAGAAGATGACTCCCAGTGAGCATATTTTAAAAGGACAAGAGAAAACAAACAAAATTGAATTTTGATTATGGCCACATTTATACCTAACTGTTCCACACACTGGTTATGCATATAGTCGTACATTTATTCCTCACAATGACCAAATACACTGTTTGTTATTGTTGTCTCTGTTTAATGAACAAAGAAACTGAAGATGCAAGATGCTGATAACTTTCTCAAACAAGCACAATCAATGTAAGTGGAGTTGTTATTTGAACCAGGACTAAATGTGACAACACCAAGACCCAATACTGTTTTCATAGAGTAGCACCCAGTGAATAGTGACTATAGGCGTGGCACAGCTAGAATGTTGACAGTCTTGAACACCAGGTAAAAGGTAAGAACATTTTCTCCAGTGATTCGTCACATGGCCAAGCTTTTTGAACAGGCTGACAAAACTTCAGAATGCAGGTGGTGGAATGTAACCATCACTTACTTATTCAAGGAATATTTTAAGTGTATTGTGTAAGATATTAGAAATGAACATGAAGAAAATGAACAGATTTCCCGAAGGCAGGCAGCTTGCATTTGGGGAGGGAAGCTTCACTAGATATTACAGTTCAACCAAGTGCCATTTGCAGAATTTAATGTGCTGTGTATCAAGTATATTAGCTTATTTTAGGAAGTGTGAACAAAACTGTGAACCCGAAGATGAAGACTGATGCCAGTGGCTGACAGATTCTCACAAATGAAACGACATGCCAGAGAGGACAGAGACATTTTGTCTGTGTTTTAAATATTCCCTTCCTGTCAAATTCCTGCTGCTGTGCCTCCAATATCATGCACAACAGAAGAAAATAGGAAGAAATGAACACAGAAATATTAGTTTTGCTGCTTGGGTTCCATAAGGCATCAGAAAACATTCTCATTTTCCCACTAGCAATGCTGTTCACACAGCTGGGTCTGCAGGCAGCATTCATCAACAATTTGTCAGGGTATTATCTGATGTTTAATAACACCACCAAAAAATTTGCTTTTGGAAGAATAGGGGACTTAAATTCCAAAATATATATTATGAATAATTTCCAAGCTTCACCAAAACACAAAGGCACCCTGGTAAGTTACAATCCTGCTTTTATTTTATTTTTAATGGACTCCTAGAATTATAAAATCATGCCAAATTTGTGAGTTTTCATGTTGGAAAGTTTCAGAGTATCTCTCCCCGGAGCATTGTTAGCAAATAAAACAAATTTATGAGAATGTGGGGCAAAGTCACTGGAAGGTCACATCTATTAATTTGAATTCTTCCGCCAAACCAGCGCATTCTACACATATATCCCAAGACTAGGGACAATTGTGAGAATTTATTTGCATTGTTCTAATGATGTACATTCTATTTGGAAAATGAGTCACACATGGACTTTTCCATACATCTTGGCTGACTAGTTCACCATTTAGAAGATTCCTCTGTAGTTGCTGATGAATAGAGGCTGCTGTTTGTGGTGCTCAGTACTGCAGAGAGAAAAGCTTGGGCCTAGAT
Source organism: Homo sapiens (assembly GCF_000001405.40). Taxonomy (NCBI): domain Eukaryota; kingdom Metazoa; phylum Chordata; class Mammalia; order Primates; family Hominidae; genus Homo; species Homo sapiens. The sequence continues at coordinate 55,569,104 of NC_000020.11, read as the reverse complement.
AAACACACAGTATCTGCTTCCCTGGAAAAGTTTCTAAAAGAAGAGAAGATGCATTTACTACTCTGCACACAGCTTAAGATTTTCTACATTCTGTTAGAGTCAATTATTATTATTATTATTATACTTTAAGTTTTAGGGTACATGTGCACAATGTGCAGGTTAGTTACATATGTATACATGGGCCATGCTGGTGTGCTGCACCCATTAACTCGTCATTTAGCATTAGGTATATCTCCTCATGCTATCCCTCCCCCTCCCCCCACCCCACAACAGTTCCCAGAGTGTGATGTTCCCCTTCCTGTGTCCATGTGTTCTCACTGTTCAATTCCAACCTATGAGTGAGAACATGCGGTGTTTGTTTTTTTTGTCCTTGTGATAGTTTACTGAGAATGATGATTTCCAATTTCATCCGTGTCCCTACAGAGGACATGAACTCATCATTTTTTATGGCTGCATAGTATTCCATGGTGTATATGTGCCACATTTTCTTAATACCATTTGACCCAGCCATCCCATTACTGGGTATATACCCAAAGGACTATAAATCATGCTGCTATAAAGACACATGCACACGTATGTTTATTGCGGCACTATTCACAATAGCAAAGACTTGGAACCAATCCAAATGTCCAACAATGATAGACTGGATTAAGAGTCAATAATTATTTTAATTTGAGGGCAACTTCAGTTTTATGATGATGGGTCAGAAAAAGGATGCCCTAAGCAGCAGAGGGGACAATGCTTATGAAAGTATAGCAGAGCAGATTGAAACAACCTAACTCTTCTTGGCTTAGAACTCACAGAGCATGGAGCTCAACTTTTAGTTTCCACGGTAGAGTCAAACAGAGAATGGCCAAGAAATGGCAGCTGAAGTAGTTGATTGAATGAATGAATGTCCTCTGTTCTTCATTCTTCCACGCAACCACCCCTTTGCCATTGTTCATCCCCACCCTTTGACTTTGAGTTGGACTTTCTTTGGCCAGCGTCCCTTGATGAGTGTCAGCATGGTAGTTCTGAGCATTGCGCGCCTCTGCTTGCTGTCTTGCCTCTGCTACTGCCACAAGCAGTACATGCCCTGGCAAGACCATCTGTCCAAGAAGCATAAGTCACCCACACCTGAGTACACCCTGGCCCACTCTAGTTGTGACAGCCTGAATCACGCATGTCCAACAAAGTCCGGTCTGAAGACATGCCCCAGCTGACTTAAGTCTTATCCATATCAGTAAATTATTTTTGTTCTAAGGCAGTGAATTTAGTTGTGTGTGTGTGTGTGTGTGTGTAGCATTATTCCATCCATAACTGATATAATTTTAATTCATAATTCCCTTCATTTATGTTTCCACTTGGGGGCAAGGGAGCAATATATTTACACTCTGTAGAGCTTAAAGAAGGACTTAGGATTTTCTTTTGTTGAGGTGATAATATGCAAAACTTTCAAAAGTAGGAATTTAACACAATACTCCTTGAAAATCATGATTATCATCTTCACCCACTGCTTAGGAGATTTGACATGTTTTCTTTGCTATGGAAATAGGTTGGAATTAATCCCAAATCCTTCTCTAAGAGTTGTTGACTATCTGTGGGAGTTAAGGTCAGGTGAAAATGAGTGGCTGTGATTAACCAAAAGTTGTCAGTAAGAAAGAGCTTTACTTTTTATTTTCCTTTTGAAATCTCTGTGTGGTAGATGTACTTGACAGCAATAACCTAGCTTAAGCATACCCTGAGAATGACCCCATATGACAGACACACATGAATGTGTGTTCTGCGTTTTATGCTAAGGAATCTGAGGGTGGGCAACCCAGAGGTTTGTTTCTTATCTAGGAGGAACACTGGAGCCCTCTGCCCATCCCGTGGGATGTGGGCCATACAAGCCGTAGAGGCCCCGTGTTTTGGGTTAAAGGTTTCCAGGTGAAGGTTGTTAAGGGGAAGGTGCTAAGTTGCTATATAAACTGCATGTTTTTTGCAAGCGACTGTGGTTCTCCTGTCCAGCCCACTGCCACTGGACTGCCCTGTTTGTAAGCTTCCCACTAATAAAATCCTGTATCTCATTTCTTGGTTCTGGGTCTCTTCTTCGGCCTCCTGAACTTGGTGCCATCCCTTCTGAAGTTAACAGGGGTCCAGCACAACACTCTGCCATTGGGCTTTGAGATCTCCGAGGGCAAGCTATGCCATTTTTGCCTAATGCACTTCCTTGGCACTTACCAGAGCCCATTTTCTGATTATTCTCTCCAGGATGTTTTTTATAAGGAATTTGCTTTCTCCACATTGAGATACTACCTCATGTAAGTGGAATCATACCATATTTGTCCATTTGTGTCTGGCTGATTTTGTTTCTTTTTAGGAATGTTGCTTTCTCCACATTGAGATTCCATGTCCTATAAATGGAATCACACCATCTTTATCCTTTTGTGTCAGGCTTATTTCACTTACCATAGTGTCCTAAAGTTTCATTAATGTTGTAGCACGTGTCAGAATTCCCATTCTTTTTAAGGCTGAATAATATTTCATTGAAAGTACAATATACTGTTGGCTACCACTGGAAAATCCCAGAAAATAAAAATTACTGGTGAAAAGGTGGGACCTTTGAACACTATTGTTAGGAATGTAAAATTGTGTGGCCATGGCGGAAACAAGTGTAGTGGTTCCTCAAGGAATTAAAATTAGAACTACCGTATGATCCAGCAATTTCCCTTCTGAGTACATAAAAAAAGAATTGAAAAGCAGGGTCTCAAACAGATATTGGCACATCCTTTTTTATAACCATATCATTCACAATAGCCAAGGGGTGAATGCAACCCAAATGTCCATTGATGGATGGACTGATAAAATGTAGTATATACTGTACTTACACTGGAATATTATTCAGCCTTAAAAAGAATGAGAATTCTGACACATGCTACAACTTTAATGAAACTTTAGGACATTATGCTAAGTGAAAAAAGCCAGACACACACAAAAAAATATGGCATAACACTTATATGAAGTATCTAGGGTAGTCAAATTCACAGAAACAGAAGACAACAATGGCTTCCAGGGGCTTGAAGGAGGTAATAATGTGGAGTTGTTTAATGGTATCAAGTTTCAGTTTTGCAAATGCAAAGAGTTCAGGAGATGGATGGTGATGTTGTACAACAACGTGAATGTATGTAACACTACTGGACTGTCCACTTAAAAATGGTTAGGATGATAAATTTCATGGGTATTTCATCACAATACAAAATGTTTATTTGCAATGTATATGATCTTTTTCTCCAACTGTGTATGAATGAAAGCCGAGAATGTCCGACAGTATTCTAGGCAACTTTTTTCTAATCATTTTTAAAGCCATTGACAGAAGTGCAAGGGCCACTGTCCCATCCACACTCCAAATTAATGGTAGATACGTTGACATGGGCCTCTATGGGCAACGACTGCATTCTGATGACTTGAAGGTTCCTCAAATGTTTCATTTTTGGCAGCTGAATAAAAAATGACATAATGTGAATGAATATTTTATAAAGAAGACGTGGCAGCTGTGCAACATGAATAGCTGCTTGACTTTTACTGTAGTGAGCACTGGAATGTCAGGCTCTGTCACCTTGTTTTAGCTGACGAGTTCAGGGCTGATGAGGTGAATGGGCCTGATTGTCTAGCACAGAGAGAGTTCATATTGTAATCTGAAGGCATATGATCCAGTAAGGTGAGTTAGAAATTAAAAGATAAGATTAAAAGATAATTAAGAAAGGGCTGCACTAAATAATCCCTTAAAAGAAATGAGTCAGATTTCATTGCCTTAGCTCAAATTATATTTTGCACATTCCAGCTGGAGGAAATCTCTCTCATCTAATCAAAGGAAAATCATTGTTTGGAGCTGATGTAAATTACATTGTTTGGAGGATTTATATTTGGGGTTACTTTTTAAAAAGGATTTTGCACGATAGAAACTATAAAGCAATCAGCTAATAACTTCATGACCAAATCAAAATCTCACATCCCAATACTGACCTAAATACCCTGTTTAAAAGGCACAGAGTGGCAAATTGGATTACAGTAAAAAAGACCCATTAGTCTACTGTCTTGAAGAGATCCACCTCACACATATTGACACCCACAGACTCAAAGTAAAGGGTTGGAGAAAGATCTACCATGCAAACAGAAAATAAAGGGCAGGGGTTCCTATTATATCAGATAAGAGAGACTTCAAACCAAAAAAAAGTAACAAAGGACAAAGAAGGGCATTACCTAATGATAAAGTATTCAATTCAAGAGGAGGACTTGTGTATCCTAATTACATATGCACCCAGCACTGGAGCACCTAGATATATAAAACAAGTGCTTCTAGCCAAGGCAGGAGAATAGCTTGAGGCCAGAAGTTTGAGACAAGCCTGGTCAACATAACAAGACCTGGTCTCTATGAAAAAAATATATATATATATTTATATATTTTTTATATATATTTATATATATTTTATATATATTTTATATATATTTATATATGTTTATATATATATATTTATACACACACACACATACACACACACACACACACACACACTGGCCAGGCACAGTGGTACATGCCTGTATTCTCAGCTGTTCAGGAGGCTGAGACAGGAAGATCACCTGAGCCCATGAGTTTGAGGTTGCAGTGAGTTATGATCATATCACTGCATTCTAGCCTGGATGACAGAGTGAGACCCAGTATGAAAACAAAATAAAATAAAACAAAACAGAAAACAAGTACCTGAAGCCCTACAAAAAGACTCAGTCACACAGTAATAGTAGGGACATCAACACCTCACTGAAAACATTAGGTGACCGAGACAGAAAACTGGACTTAAATTTGACACTTGACCAATTAGACCTACTAGACCTCTATAGAATACTGTACATATCAACCACAGAACATGCATTCTTCTCATCTACACATGAAATGTAATCAAAGATTGACTAAACGCTCAGTCATAAAGCAAGTCCGAATAAATTCCAAAAAAATCAAAATTATACCAACCACACCCACAGACCACAGTGGAATGAAAATAGAAATCAATACCAACAAGATCTCTCCGAACCAACAATTACATGGAAACTAAACAGCTTGCTCCTGAATGACTTTTGGATAAAGAAAACAAGGTAGAAATTTAAAAAATCTTTGAAATGTAAACAGAGACAGAACATACCAAAATCTCTGAGATGCAGTAAAAGCAATATTAAGAGGAAAGTTTACAATGCTAAACACCTACCTCAAAAAGTTAGAAAGATCTCAAATTAATGATCAAACATCATATATAGAGGAACTAGAAAAACAAGAACAAACTAACTCTGAAGGCAGCAGAAGAAAATAAAATTAGAGCACCAACTGAACAAAATTGACATCCAAAAATCCATACAAAGAATCAATGAAATCAAAAATTTGTTTTTGAAAGGATAAACAAGATCAACAGAATTCTAGCTAGATTAATGGGGAAAAAAAGATCTAAGGAAGCACAATCAGATATAAAAAGGTGACATTACAACTGATCTCACAGAAATACAAAAGATACTCTATGTATGCAAACTAGAAAATTTAGAGGAAGTGAATAATTCCTGAAAATGTACAATTTCCCAAGAATGAACCAGGAAGAAATAGAAATCCTGAATAGACCAATACTGAGTTCCAATATTAAATGAATAATAAAAAGCCTACTAACCACAAAAAGCCCTGGACCAGATGGAATCACAGTCAAATTTCACCAGATGCATGACGAAAAGCTAGTACTCATTCTACTGAAACTATTCCAAAAAATTGAGGAGGTGGTTCTCCTCCCTAACTCATTCTACAGAGTCAACATCACCCTGATAGCAAAACCTGGTGAAGACACAATGAAAAAACAAACAAAAAACAAATGAAAAACAAAACTACATGTCCATATCCCTCATGAAAATAGATGCAAAAATCCTCAACGAAATACTGGCAAACCAAATTCAACAGCACATCAAAACTGAATTCACCATGTTCAGGTAGTCTTCATTCCTGAGATGCAAGGTTGGTTCAACATATACAAATCAATAAAGGTGATTCACCACATAAACAGAATTAAAAACACAAACCATATAATCATCCCAATAGAAGCGAAAAAAGTTTTCAATAAAATGCGATATATTTTCATAATAAAAACCATCAACAAGCTAGGTGGTAAGAAAAATACCTCAAAATAACAACAGCATCTCTGAGAAACCCATAGCCATATCATACTGAATGGCCAAAAGCTGGAAGCATTTCCCTTGAGAACTGGAAAAAAAAAACAAGGAGGCTCACTCTCACCACTCTTATTTAACATAGTCCTGGGAGTGCTAGCCACATCATTCAGGCAAGGGAAAGAAATAAAAGGCATTCAAATAGGAAAAAGAATGCCTTTTCAAACTATCTCTCTTTGCTGATGATATAATTGTTTATTTAGAAAATCCCAGGGACTCCACCAAAAAGCTATTAGAACTGATAAATGATTTTAGCAAGTTTTCAGGATACAAAATCAATGTAAAAAAATCAGTATCATTTCTATACACTAATGAAGTTCAAGCTGAGAGCCAAATCAAGAATGCAATACCATTTATAATAGCCACACAAAAATAAAATACCTAGGAATACACTTAACCAAGGAGATGAAACATCTCTATAAGGAGAACTACAAAACATTCCTAAAAAAAATAGATTACACAAACAAATGGTAGAATATTCTATTCTCATGGACTATAAGAATAACATTAAAATGGCCATGCTTCACACAGAAATCTACAGATTCAACATTATTCCTATCAAACTAACAATGTCTTTTTTTTTTTTTTTTTACAGAATTAGAAAAAAATATGCTAAAATTCAAATGGGATAACAACAAAAAGAGTCCAAATAGCCAAAGCAATTCTAAGGAAAAAGAAAGCCAGAGGCATCACATTACCCAACTTCAAACTATACTATCAGGCTACACTAACCAAAACAGCATGGTACTGGTACAAAAACAGACACATAGACCAATGAAACAGAGAATCCAGAAATAAAGCCATACTTCTACAGCAATCTGATCTTCAACAAAGTCTACAAAAGTAAGCAGTGTGGAAATAACTCCCTATTCACTAAATGGTGCTGGAATAGCTGGCTAGCCATATACAGAAGAATGAAACTGGACCCCTACCTTTCATCATATATAAAAATTAACTCAAGGTGGATTAAATATTTAAATATAAGACCTCTAACTATAGAAATCCTAGAAGAAAACCTAGGAAACACCATTCCGGACACTGACCTTGGGAAATATTTATGACTAAGTCCCCAAAAGCAATTGCAACAAAACCAAAAATTGACATGTAGGACCTAATTAAACTAAAGAGCTTCTGCACTTTTTCTGTGAACTATTACCAGAGTAAATGGACAATCTACAGAATAAGAGAAAATGTTTGCAAACTATGTATCTGACAAAAGTCCAATATCCAGAATCTATAAGGAACTTAAAGCAATAAGAAAAAAAAACGCATTAAAAAATAGGGACACGACATGAACAGATACTTCTCAAAAGAAGAAATACAAGTGGCCAACAGACATATAAAAAAATGCTCCACATCACTAGTCATCAGAGAAATACAAATCAAAACCACAATTAAATACCATCTCGAATAGTCAGAATGGCTTTTGTTAAGAAGTCAAAAATCAACAGATGTTGGTGAGGCTGTGGAAAAAATGAAACACTTACATATACTGTTGTGGGAGTGTAAACTAGTTCAGCCACTATGGAGAGCAGTTTGGAGATTTCTCAAAGAACTTACAACTAGCATTCTACCCAGCAATCCCAATCCAGGGTGTATATCCACAAGAAAACAAATTGTTCTACCAAAAGGACACTGTTCACAATAGCAAAACCATGGAATCAACCCAGGCGTCCATCAGTGGTGGATTGAATAAAGAAAATACGGTACATATACACGATGGAATGCTACACAGCCATAAAAAGAACAAAATCATGTTCTTTGCAGCAACATGGATGCAGCTGGAGGCCATTATCCTACGTGAATTAATGCAGGAACAGAAAATCAGATACTGCATGTTCTCATTTGTAAGTGGCAGCTATACATGGGGTACTCGTGGTCATGAAGATGTCAATAATAGACACTGGAGACTAGTAGAGTTGGGAGGGAGGGAGTGGGGCAAGGTTTGAAAAATCAACTGTTGGGTACTACGCACAGTACCTGGGTGATGCAATCATTCATATCCAAACCTCAGTTTCCCACAATATATCCAGGTAACAAGCCTGCACATGCACACTCTGAATCTAAAATGTAAGTTGAAAGATAAATACATTAAGATTGGTTTTTATTTTTTCCTGATTCAGCACCAGTAGAAAAATGTAAGAGTCCCGGGAATTTCTTCATATATGTTATTAATGAATATTTTGCATCATACAAATTATGAAATTAGTTAGCTTTATATACATTGGATGTTGCACCAGAGTCCAAGTAACCAGAATTCAACACCAATCTTTCTAATTTTCTTCACCTGTTGAATGACTTTATGCACATGGCTGACAGGGTTTTATATTCTTGCTCTTCCAAAGTTTAGTCCGTAGGTGAGTAGCCTGGCCTCACCCAGGAGCTAGTTAAGAATGCCGAATATCAGCCCACCTCAGGCCTATTGGATCAGAATTTGTAGTTTAACAAGCTCCTTAGGTGAATCAAATGTATATTAAAATTTGAGAAACACCCCTCTAGACTAATGATCCTCAAATTTCAATCTTTCCCATATCACTTTCATGATCTCTTCTATAACAATATGCTAATCTTTAACTGAGGTTCTTTTCATTTAATCAACTTATTTCACCCAAATATATATATAGAAACTAGATAGAAATATCAGTTGCCATATGTGGAATATAATGGCACAAAAATTTATAATGACATAAAACAATAGTATGAAATTTCTACAGGTTATTTGGCATGGTTGTGATGAAGATAAAATGTGCGAATAAATGTAAGGCACTTGGAACGATGCCTGACATATAATAAATTACTGTGCAAGTTTTAACTATTTTATTACCATTAAAATTAAATAACAATTATTAATAAGCTTTTTTTATCAAAAGGAAAATTAGTACTAGAAAAAAGTTAAGGTTAGTACCACATTGAAATTAAAAGGAAATTTAAAAGGAGCCAAATTTCTCATTATTTAGCTGAATGTAATACTGTGTCCATGTACCACCTAATCTCATCATATGGCAACCAGTGGTGTATCTGCTTTGCTCCTTGAAAAACAAAAACAAACAAAAAAACCCACTTGTTTAGATCTAGATAGACATGTTTGTAAAATGGGTAATAATTAAGGGCATATTAATTTCAAATGTATAAGGATAAAATTACACCACTTAAATATTCCACAATTCATATAATAATTTTCTATTGTCAAATATTAAAGGCTTGTTTGCTTGCTTTTTGCATTTGTAAATAAAGTCATCCTTTGATATCTCTGGGGGATTGTTTCCAGCACCTCCTGGGAATATCAAAATCTGTGGATGTTCACGTTTCTTATATAAAGTGGCACAGTATTTGCATATAATCTACACACACCCTATCATATACTTTAAATCATCTGTAGATTACTTATACCACGTGATGCAATATAAATGCTATGTAAGTAGTTGTTATACTGCATTGTTTAGACAAATGACAAGACGAAAAAGTCTATACATATTCAGTACAGACACAATTTTCTTTAAGTCTACAGATGTAGGACGCACAGATAGGAAGAGCCAGTTGTAATGCTATGATGAGCCATTTTTCCTTTCCTTTTGGCAAAGATGAATGTTGATGGGATTACAGGGAACTAGATACCTTCAAACTCTTTTTTTTGAGACGGAGTCTCACTCTGTCGGTCGCCCAGGCTGGAGTGCAGTGGCGCGATGTCGGCTCACTGCAACCTCTGCCTCCTGGGTTCAAGCGACTCTCCTGCCTCAACCTCCCGAGTAGCTCGGACTACAGGCACCCGCCACCATGCCTGGCTAATTTTTGTATTTTTAGTAGAGACGGGGTTTCACCGTGTTAGCCAGGATGGTCTCGATCTCCTGACCTCATGATCCGCCCACCTCGGCCTCCCAAAGTGCTGGGATTACAGGCGTGAGCCACCGCGCCTGGCCTCAAACTCTTGATAGGTGTTTAATTTTATGATTGTAGAGAGTGGTCTCTTAATGTTTTTTTGAAGCAAAATTTTACATATGTTTGATGTAAAAATTTCCTTTCTAGGAATTTATTGTCAAAAAGAATTGTTTATACGAGTATTTTTACAAGTAAGATGTTCATCTTAGATCATGTAAGGTAGATTTTTTTAAAAAATTAAATGTCTAACCATCAGGGTTTGGTTAAATGAATAATAGTACATTGAGACCATGTAGCCATTCATAATCATATTGCAAAATAATTCTAAACTCATAACTATGAAACACTGTAAAATAGAAATGTTGCCTATGAAACACGATACATATTCTATTACATAAAATGTAAAAGTAGTAAAAATATAGTGTGAGAATACACCAGAATGCCAACAATATCTCAGAGTATCATAATAAGATTATGAATTATTTCGTTTTCATTTTTTGTGTATTTTTCTAAATATTGAGTGTACTAAACATGAATTTTAAATCAGAAAAGTGGTATTACCTGTTTACCTAGTAAACTAACATAGACATGAAGTTGGAAAGTCTAGGTTTGAATACCAACCTCATTTAGTTTGAGAGACAAAGAGAAACATAAATAGAATGCTATCTGGGGGCTATCATTGGTTTTCTCCAAGCCTTCATTTCTTCACCTTTACTCACAAATAACTGTTGCCAACAATACTAGCAACAGTAACTGCAGAGAAATGATGTCATGTGAATGTATGTTTTAACAATAAAAAAGTACCCATAGTTATGATGATGATAATCTGAGCCTCTTCTCACTGCCTCAACTACTGCTAGACTCGCCAGGCTGAGATCAACTTTCCCCTCCACCCATGGCAGCAACTTCCTAATGGGTCCTCCTGACTACCTTGCTTGTCATCAGTCATCCTTCTACGTGGGAGTCATATCAAGTCACTCCTTCATTCACCCCCCAGGGGCTTCCCATCTCATGAGCAATGCAGGCTCTTCCAGGTCTTTTGTATGTTGACTTCCAGCATCTATTTCTGACCCGATCTCTTACCATTCTCCCTTCTGCCCTGTTACACTTCAGTCACCTCGGCCTCCTTGCTTTCACTGGAGTATATCAGACACACACCTGCCTCAGGCCATTTATACTTCCCTCCCTTCTGTGTGAAACAGTATGGTCCCAGATATCTACTTGTCTTGTCCTTGAGTTCATTCAAGTGTCTATTCCAAATGACCATATGTGAATTAGTATCTCTCCCTACTTTTATCAGTTACTACCTTTTAGGATTTTTGTTTTTCTTTATAGCATTGGAGGTCAATATTTATGTTTTATTCCTGCTCTATGTTTATTTTTTGTCTCCCCATGACAATATAATATCTATGAGGGAGATTTGCCTCATGGCAAAGGGGATGCAATTCAAAGGCAAGCATCCTAAAAGGACCAGGCAGATACTGTTCCTCCCACCATAGCCACAGGCCCACCCAGATTCAAGGGGAGAAAGTACAGACTTTATGGAGGGGTGTTAACATAGCATTATGTCAAGGTCATGGCGATGGGATACTTTGGTGAGGCCAGTCTGTGACAGAAGTTAATAAATTATTGAATCTTTGTCTAATTAGTTTATTTTGCACTTACAGTCCAAGAGTAAACAGTTCTCAGAGTCAGATTTCAGCTCAATGTGAGAACAAAAAAAGTTAAAGCTGTCTGAAGGTGAAATAGATGCCTAGGTAGGAAGTGAAGTGAGTTCCGTATCACTGGTTCTTTTAAAACATGATGAGTAACCTCATGGCAGAAATATTAAGGGAGAACCTGATATGGAAAGTATATTCATTCCATTTTCTTTTATTGCCAAGCTCCAGTTCCTAGGAACCGTCACTGCCTCCTGGGGCATCAGAGCTAACCATGCTGATGAAGTTTTGCTATTTGGAGCCATAATATTCTCATCATACAGAAGAGTAGTTGAGAACCTAATTAGTTTGGGAGGGAGACACATATCCTGATTCAATTAAATTACATGGCCCTGCAAAAAACAATTACGTATTTTTTCATAGGTACAGTAAGACATCTGGAAATGGTATTAATTGAAGTAGAAAGTTAAGGCTAGAGACAAAGGTAGAACAGTCCATGTGTTGTTTCATGATCGATGATTAAGTTACTGTGGGAAGATCTCATCAACCATCTCTACTGCTGCGTGAATAATTGATAAACACACATAAATGCAAGGAAAGAAGATTTATTATCGTCATTCTCAGTCTGTGTAAAGTTAAAACTTTGTATGGAGCCTTATTTTTCAATACTTTCAGAAAGGTCACAATGACAGAAAGAGTACTCCATGTTCAGCAATGCATTTCAACTTTGTATATTTAATAATAACAAAACCATTTATATATAGCATTTCTATATGAAGAACTTGGGCTTGAGACAGACAGACCCAGTTCTGCTTCTTAGTAGCTATGTGACATGGAGTAAATTACTAACGTCTCTGAGTAAGCTACATTCCTTGTCTTCCAGATGGAAGTAGAATAGTGTCAGCCTACTGAGTTTCTGGGGATGTTAAATAATCTGATGCACTTAAAGCTCTTCGGATGTTATTCTTGCACAATAAATGTTAGTGATTATCAATTTATTACAACTATTAAATAGTTGCTTATGAAGCACGTACATTGAAGAATCCTTTCAGATACTCTGCATTTCTCAGGATTACTCAGCCTACATGTTGGGTAACACTGATCTGCACATTTATGCCTCTAGTTGCTTAAATTCTCCCTATTATGTATTTAAGAAGGTTTGAAAAGTTTTATGTTCTAATATCTGTTCTAGGCAAACTATTCACTTTCTAAAATCAGAATAAGAGCTATAAATAAGAACTATGCATAATTAATTTATTGTATTAATAAAATACAGTACAAAATACTATACAGAATTTCAAACCATAAATAGTAGGTAATTGTCTTAAAATGATATGCAGGTGCTTGGTCCAATTAAATAAAACTGGAACATTTGAAATTTTAAAATAATAAATAAATGTCATTTTTCATTCCATTTGTTAATCTCACAAAATCATTGCTGGTCAGTCAGCCGACTATGTGTTTATGAAGAAACCAATGTTAAATGTATTCCTTCACAACAATTTCACCCCAGTGACTTGTGAGACTATTCTGAAACAGGTTAAAGTTCCCTAACCAGTTTATAAACTATATCTAAGGAATTCAACTTCCACCATTCACTGGCATTTTGATAAATCCACATGACTACATTATTCATAGTCTCCAAGGATTAGATAATCTTAGCCTATTTGAAAGTCTATCAAAAGTGGATCTTTAATGATTTCAAATGTGAAAGAAATAGAAATACACAAAAAAATTGAAAACTGTTTTTTGTGGGTATGTCTTAGCATGAACAAGGACAAAATCATTAGGCCCCAGATTCTAAGCCAGTGTTTCTTAATTTTGGCACCAGTGACACTTTTGGCTGGATAGTTGTCTATTGTGGGGAGTTACCATGTGCACCGGAGAATGTTTAGCAGCAACTTTGGCCTCTACGCACTAGATGCCAGGAGTAACTCCTTCCCATTTGTGACAACCAAACATATCTTTAGATGTTGCCAAATGCCTTCTATGGGGGAAGGGGAAGGAAAAATTCATCATCCCCGGCTGGAAACTACTGTCCTTGAACAACCATTTCAGTAATTTTTTAAAGAAAAAAGGAGTTCTGCTGATTCATGAAATTTGACACATCGCTGGAGAAAAGACTTGTACTCATGATTCTTCCTACTGTATTCCCGAATCCCACCATCCCCTTTCTCTGTCTTCTTGCCTGTCTTGTGCTGAGAATTTTTTTTTAATTTAAAATTTCCCCTGGATTAAAAAGTTAAAGGTAATAGCATATTCAGGAAAGTATGTCCCTTGCTGAGTAATAGGTGGATAAAAATTATTGATCTGCAATAAAAGTCATAAATTTATAAAGTGCACAGCATTTGAGAACATGTTTATAAAAATCTAAATCCCAACTGCAATACAATGAACAAGTAATAAGGTTTGAGGTGTGCAATAAAAGAAGTGAAATATGTTGCCAGAATTTGTATTAGCCATGTGGTCTGCAAAGCTTGTTGAGGCTGAATAGAAAAATGTAATAAGGATGGTGAAAACTCTATTAGTCAAGTAGTAAAAATAGTTGTAGGGAACAATAGTCCATGCTTCTTTCTAAGTCTCTTTTCTCTAGGGACCTATATGCTGTGGCTCACATGCTTAATGTGTTCTGTGTCTTTGACACTGACACACTTCAAGAAATATATGATAAAGCACTAGGACTTTCTGCTTAGAGTTGGAAACCCAGAAAAACAATAAATGTTTATGGAAGGTGGTAAAATTTTAGGGCTCTATTCACAACAAATGTTAAACACATGAAGTCTTGCTGAAAGCATAGACATCGTTGAAATTCTATACTGTCAGAATCTCCCTGCACAAAATAGACCATAGTTTTGGCCCTTACTTGAGCGAACCAACTTAAGGCAAAAGAAGAACTTCCGTTTTTGACAACAGACAGCCCTATCATGTGGTTAAGTGTTCCTGTCAGAAAGAAATGTCTGAGTCTAAATGTTTTCCATGCACTTCCCAACTTTTTCTTGCTTTAGAAATTCTATTCTGGGTCACCGAAGTTTTCTAACTCTTCTGATGACTCCCATAGTTTTATCTTGAGTCTTGAGCTCTCTTGTGAGTTCCAGATTTTGATAGTCATCTGCCTCCATGGCAAATCCATGAAGATACTTATTAGGCCTCTTTCTTAAGCTTACCATGTCCAAGACTGAACTAAACCTGTTTTCTTTTTTACCGTTACTACTTCTCAGTTAATATTGACTTTCTCGGTTGTTCAAGTAAGAAACTTTGGAATCGTCCTTGATTCTTCTTTGTTCCTCTACTCTCTTCCCCAAACTGCTAATGCCATCATCTCTACTTCCAAAATATAGTCTGTATCCATCTACTTCTTTGCATTTTACTGCTGCCTCACCTGTTAAAGAAACGCTCATGCCCCCTGTGATGACTGCTGGCTTGTCTACTTTGAGCCATGTCTTTTGACAGCCCATTATCTCTACACCACATGACAATCAGTCAGAAAACAAAACAAAAAGAAACCAAAGTTAGAGCACACCATTCCCCTACTTAAAAAAAAAATGCATTTCTTTCAAAAGAAAAAAACAAATCTCTAATAGGAGCTATATAACAGGCCCTTGCTGAATCCCCAAAACTCATCTCCTCACATTCAATCCATCCTGGACTCGCAATTTTTCTTTCTGTTTCTTTAACATTTGAAGATTTGCTATTTCCCAGGGCTTTGACTGGGAATAATCTTCCCACAAATGCCGGCATTGCTAATCCAGCTCATCAACAGATCAAACAGGCCTCATTCTCATGACTACACAGAGGAGAGGCCATATTTCCTGAGGATAAATATTTAGTTCAGTATCTAGTGTTACTTTATGCAAAATTTCCAACTTACATTAAAAAGTTACAGGGTACACCAAAAAGGTAGGAAAATGTGACCACTGGATTCAAGGTCACAATGCAAAAATCATTTGTATTTATATACTAGCAATGAATTTATATATTAGAAAATGAGGTAGCAAGCAAACTATTTAAACATGGATGTACCCTGGTGTCAACCAAAGTCACCAGGATTTAGTCTTCCATCCAACTCTTGGCCGGACTGCTACTACCCTGGTTTCTTTGTTAAACTCTGCATAGTGGCTTCCTAGAGGTCTACTCTTTTCTCTCATGGTGGAGCTAGCCTTCTGTCATTCCAGGTTTAAGTACAGCAGAAAATAAATGCTCTTCTTAAATTACACATTTAAATGTCTTAAAGTGCTCTGCAATTGGTCAACTGAGGTTGCATTCTAAGCACTTAATAATAACCATGACAGGAGGAATTTGATACTTAGCTCTTGTCATCTTAGGCCTCCTATTTCAATACCCTGGCCCTGCACATAGAAGTTTTGCCTCAGCAGAAATAATTGGCTGAAAGTGGAAGAGAAGGAGCTTGTACTTAGATAAAGAGGAACGGATGCAAAGGAAGCAAGTACTCATTATCCAAAGCAGCAAAGGGAGTATAAATAGTATACAACCAGAAAAGAAGATCAGAAGTACCCAATTAAAAAAAATGGTATGGAACTGAAGAATGTGACTAAGGAAGGACACGTTGAAAAAAATTGTGGGAATGAACAGTCTGAAAACTTGAAAATTACTGAAGACCATGGACCAACATTTCTTAGAATCATGTAACCTGATAAATTCCCTCAGCAGCTGATAAAGAGCATGCATCGTAAGAGTGTCCCACAGAATAACGTATCCTTGTATAACCCAGAAGAATGACTTTTCTGGAAGTTTATAGTCAGATAAGAGGGCAACAGTTTCTAGAAGCAGAAACTGTGAAAGCTGCAGAGTCAGCCATTCTCAGAGAAGTTCAAATTCTTAAGATAGTAGAACGGCTCTTTTGAAGGATCCAAGCCACTATGGAGTTCAATACAACAGAGTATTAAAATGCTTTATGGTAAACCACAGGACTCAGGTTCTATTCTGGTAACTGCCACTAAAAAGACTTACAAGGAATATTATCTATATGCTTGGACTTCACATCTTCTAAGTGAGAGCCTTGAATTGCATGATCACTAAGTCCTTGTAGGCTATAAGTTCTGTGAAGTTTGGAACCACGACTATTTGTTCTCTTAATTTTGGAAACTTCTCATGTTGCCCATCACATGGTAGATAATCCATAAATATTCAATGAAAGGACTAAAGCAAACATGCAAGTACGGAATTCCTTTAGACCTTGACATAGCTTATATTTTTCAGATGTCATCTCCTCCAGAAAGCTCCACCACTCAATGGGTTATATTATCTCCCTCCCTGTACTTCTATACTCTGTGACTCTAACAGTATCCATCTATTTTTATATGGGTATTCATCTATTTTTATATGGGACTGTGACATCATTAAAGGCAGGAACTCTTCTCAGTTGACTGCTATATACATTGTCTGATAGAGTAGGATTCAATAGATGTCTGATAAATGATTGTCCTGTACTTCATAGTACCATTCATTTCTGCCAATTCCAAGATCTAGTTCAATGCTTGGTGCATAATAAGTGCTCAGGGCCAGGTGCGGTGGCTCACGCCTGTAATCCCAGCACTTTGGGAGGCCGAGGCTGGCGGATCATGAGGTCAGGAGATCGAGAACATCCTGGCTAACACGGTGAAACCCCATCTCTACTAAAAATACAAAAAACTAGTTGGGCGTGGTGGCGGGCACCTGTAATCCCAGCTACTCAGAAGGCTGAGGCAGGAGAATGGCGTGAACCTGCGAGGCGGAGCTTGCAGTAAGCCGAGACGGCGCCACTGCACTCCAGCCTGGGGGACAGAGTGAGATTCCGTCTCAAAAAATAAAAAATAAGTGCTCAGAATTGTATGTTTAATGAAGGGATGGGTCAAAAGCCTTCAGTCTATAGAATTAATACGGACCCTGAGATAGTTGGAGATAGAAGTCTGGAGTCTGAAAATCTAACATCCTTCACAGTCAAGGCTCAATTAAGACTTTTAGAAATCCTAAGCACTGAAAAGGTTTTGCAATTTAAAATTAAAATCCAACTTATGTGAATAGCGAAATCAACACAGCTTGCTTCTAGGATGTCAGATTGTGAAGTTCATGGAAGGTGAGCTTCCGCTTTTCCCTTTCTGGGTTTGCTATTGGGTGCATGCAGCTTAAGAACATACTGTCTATTTTGTGAGTCATTTTTCATTGAAAGTGACTTACCCAAGGTCACGTGGCTAGTCAGCAGGAGAACCCAGCACAAGTCATTGACCTTTCTGTCTTGCTGTGCTGCCCTGTTCTTCATTCACATCCCCACGTATTTCCGGACTGCTGTCAAGTGTTACAGAAATGCCACCAGCTCTAGTGTCTTCTACTTAGAAAGTTAGCTCCAATTGAACCAACCTAAACTTGAGAACACTGGCCAGCTGGCAGTGGGCAGAGTGCCCTGAATTCTTACAGAACAGCCAGGGGTGTTTCCTGCTCACCTTCTTTGCAATCAGCCCACTGCTGCTGCTGCGTGGAGATACTACAGTAGCTGTGGAGGACAACCTCAGGGGAATAGATAATAGAAAAGGGAAAAGTGTGTTGACTTGCTCAGCTAAACAAAGCCACCTGAGGTCCACCTCCAAAGGATACACAGACGTGGAGCTGAAGGAGCTTTCAAAGGAAGCTGGGGAATTACATAACAGGGAGAAAAGACAGAAATTAAAACCGGCTGTGTGGGGTAACTGACATGTATAGGAGGGCGACAGAGAGAACATTCTCTCTGCCTTATGATTTAGCTTATGTCCTCATAGGCTCAGGTCAGGCCTTGGTCTAAGGGTTCTCCTGGAATAAAGATGGCAGCCGAGGGATGTAATTTTGGTTTCTGCCTTTTTAAACCAGGGGGTTTCTCAACTTCAGTGCTACAACCATTTAGAACTGGACGATTCTGTGTTGGGGGTGGCAGTAGAGGTGTCTCTGTCTTGTCCATTGTAAGATGTTTAGGAGCATTTATGGCCTCTCCACCGCAGATGCCAGTAGCACCTCCACCCCAGTCATGACAACGAAAAATATCTCCAGACATTGACAAATGTTCTGAAGTGTGGAGTGGAGGTGGCAAAATTGCCCCAGTTGAGAACCACTGCTTTAAACAGACTGATAATATTCATGATAAATAAAATGCTAAGAAAACTTCAACATTTGCCTCCCTTTTCTTAAAATCTTGTGTTTGAGGCTGTAAGAAATTGTCTCTCTTTTTTTATATGTACAAGGACGTGGGGGAGAATGGAAGAAAACTGGCTTCAATCACTTTAAATCTCGCAAAGGAAACAATTCAATTTAGCATGCAAAAGAAAAAAAAAGGAAAAAATGTTTGAATACTGCCAACCTCCATCAATTACACTGTTATAGTGTAATTGACCTTCTATTAACTTCCAGGGGAGATAGTAACTAGGAGGTAAATTTAGTGTGTTGTGGAAAAATCTCAAAAGACATACTTAACCACTGTAGTCAATTCAAATGACTGTATCATTCTTTGAGTGTAAAGTGCAAAGCAGAAATTTTCTTAGTACTATTTAATGTCCATCCTGTATCTGAGTCCAATTTTCTCCATTAGGAAAATGGCATTAGTATTTGTGGAAAGAACTTGCTTCCCGATGGGGAGGTGGATAGATTGTAGTCTATTCATGAAATACTTTACTATAGATAAAATGAATCATATCTCCATAAATCAACCTGGGTAACTCTGTAAAGCATAACGTTTGTTATAAAACAGAAGGAAAACAACAAGTGGGTACTTTACAGGGATGCTATTATGTGAACTGTGCAAATACAAAACAAAACTGGATATTGTTTATGGAAATATATATGTATTAAAAATAAAAAAATCATGAGAATGGTATGTGCAAAAGATAAGATTGTTTTGTTTCAGGAGAGGGAAAGAAAGAGAAAGAAAGAGAGACAGAGAGAAAGAAAGAGAGACAGAGAGAGAGAGAGAGCAAAATAGTGCCTTTATGATAATACGTTAACACAGATAAAATATAAATGGTATTTACATGTGTATCGTTTTCTTTCATTTTATTAAAACTAGACTGCATTTTGCAGAGTTTCATTGTCAATTAATTAATACATTATTCTTTATACCTCAAAAAAATTACAGGGATAATGACTTTGGCTATTTGGTAAAGCTGATTAACAAGATAACTAGTTAACTTGATAGACTTTTAGACTGAGTTCAGAGGATCTGAAGGTTACAATGTAAGAAGTAAAAACGCCAGATCAGAGAAGAGAAGCAGAGAACCAGAAGCACCATCCTCTGTGGTTAAAACACAAAGATTCTACTCATTCCAATTAAATTATTAATACAAAATATTAAAATGGGGACATTTGTGCTTACCATGTGCCACTCACATTTTCTTAGGACATCCCTCAAAATTCCATGAGTTGTATTTATTTTAGAAAATGGAAAACTGCACTGAAAGGAAATTAACACATTTTCCCAAGCTCATCAAGATTTTACCCTACTGTGAAGTAAGTTAGCCTGCCAGTTTCATGGACACTGTCAGAAGACAAAAGACTCCTGGGTCAGAGCAGAGTATCAGTCTATTACAGCAATAGCAGTAGCCAATGGATTAGGATTCCTCAATTTTATGTCTTGTCTCACTACCTTGGCTGGTACTTCCAGAACAATGCTATGTAACAGTGGTCACTGGGTTTGTTTCTAACTTCAGTGATTATGCTCAAATATTTGAACATTGAGTCTGATGTCGTAAGGAAGTCTCTATTACTATTTTATAAGTGATAATGATGTTACATTTTACCAAATGCCTTTTATTCATCTGTAGATTATATGTTTTCTCCATCATTGCCCTGCCCACCCTCCCCACTTCCTAAGAAAGTGCTGTAATGGTAAAAATGGTAGCCCTAGTTTGCCTGAAAAAGTGGAAATCACTTATTTCATTCTGGTTCTATAATTTTCTTAATTAAAAAAAAAATTAGAACCACGGTCTCATTCTTTTGCCCTGGCTAGATTTCAGTGGCAAGATCACAACTCACTGCAACCTCAAACCCCTAGGTTCAAGTGATCCTCCCACCCCAGCCTCCCGAGTCTTTGGGATTGCAGGCATGAGCCACTACACCCAGCCTCTTTCTATAATTTTTCGGGCAGAAACTCCTCACAGTTTTTCACCTGATGATAGCATCTTTGTGATTCCATATAAAAGTGGTTTCCCCACATCTCAATGTGTTTTAGGAACTGAAAGCAACCAATCAATTAGTTCAAGAGATAACATGGAGGCTTTTTAACATTCTTGACATAAACTTTAATTCATATTTCTTATATAGTAGTGGACTGAATTAATCTTTTATTTTTATGTCAATATTAGTACATGAGATTGATATTTGGCATCTTTTTATATAAAGCTTTATGTTTTGATATCAAAGTTATGCCACATAATATTAGCTAGAAGTGCTTTTATTCTTTTGCTCTGCTCTAGAGAAGATTGTACAGTATTGAAAATTTGACTAAATTAGCATCAAAGCTCTTTAGAGATGTATTCATGGAACAACTATTTTGCCATCCATTGCTTTCCTTTTGTTTTTTTTTCACTATTTTTTCTTGGATAAATTTTGAAATGTATACTTTTTGAAAATATTACTCATTTAATTAAGAATTCCAAATTTATCACTACAGAGTGACGGTCAGCAGTTATTTTGGTAGCAATTCAAATATTTTTGGTTGTGTAGGCCATAAGGTCTCTGTTATAACTATTCAATTCAGTGGTTATAATGTAAAAGCAGCAATGGGCAATATGAAATGGATGAGCATGACTATGTCCCAATAAAGATTTATAAAAATAGGCAGTGAGCAAGTTTGTTCTGTGGGCCATAGTTTTCCAACACCTGGCACAGGGTTACTAATATTAGATTTTGTATTTTAAAATTTTATATTCTGGATGTTTTCTTATGTATTGTTTTTGGTATTTTTAAAAGTAAATTTAAAATTTTAAAAACATTTATGTATTTAGTAATTATTTAGGCTGTCCTCCATGCTTAAATGGCTTTTGTTTTTTTTGTTTTTTTTTTTTTTGTTTTTTTGAGATAGAGTCTTGCTTTGTCACCTAGGATGGAGAGCAGCGGCAGGATCTGGTCTCACTGCAACCTCCGCCTCCCACGTTTAAGTGATTCTCATGCCTCAGCCTTCTGATTAGCTGTGATTACAGGCATGCACCACCACACCCAGCTCATTTTTGTTTTTTTTAGAAGACGGGGTTTCACCATGTTGGCCAGGCCGGTCTTGAACTCCTGACCTCAAATGATCCTCTCACCTTGGCATCCCAAAATGCTGGGATTACAAGCATGAGTCACCATGCCCAGGCCTAGTTTTAATGTTAATCTTTAATTGTTTTATGAATTTCTTATTATTGGTTGGTTGCAGTATACATATTAGTTTTTTGTGGGGAGGGCTAAGGAAGACAATATGAATGTTATACACTTCTAATTTTTGTTTGACAAACAACTCTTTATTGTCTTCAAAAACACTTGTTTCCGTAAGCAATTCTTATGGGATATTATTTGCCCTCCATAACTGTATGCAAGTTACTCCATTATCTTCTCCTTTATAGTGACCGGCAAAAAATCAAAACACGCCTTGCATGCTTCCTGAATTGATGGACATCAAACTTCCTGAAGGCCAGAACCGTGTCTGCCTGCTCCTCCGCACTTTTTCCAAAGCACTTTATTGCCTAATACATAGTGGATGCATTAAAATATATTTGTTGGATTAATGTCAAATAAGTGAATCCAGAAAAGAAAATATGTGAATAGCTTCAACACTGATTTACATTACTAAGTCAACCTGCCCATCCAGGGCAAGAAGAACAACATTCATTCTGGTTTCCTTTATCCATCTTTGGATCTGATTTCTATGGTTTTGGTGCATTCATTTGCAGGAACTCCTTGTTTTCAAAACATTTTGTCATTTATTTTCATGGTCACATAGCAGGTCTAGGCCACTATGATCTTTGGTAGATTAGGGACAAGCCCTTGTGTATTATATTGATAACTTATTGCTGTGAAAAAAGCAACCACAAAAATCTCGAACAGCATACAACAAAAAGCAAGTATTTAGCTTTTGAGCTTGGGGGTTGGCTGCTCTGCCAAGATCAGCAGGTTGTTCTGGGTTAGTTCTGTCCCATGTGAATGGCATTATGCAAGGTCCCTTAAGGTGTCACCCCTGCACTGGCACATCAGCATCACTGCCTTGTTCTGTTGGCCAAGGCAAGTCACATGGCCACACTGTTAAGTCAGGAGGTAGAGTGGGGTTTACTCTGCCCGTGGGGCAGGCAAGGGAAGACAGCTCTGATGTCACTTAGCAAAAGGTGCGGGTGTCGAGAGAGGTTAAGAATTAGAGCCCCAGATGGGATCTGCTACACTGTTTATCTGCAGGCAACACATTTATCCCAAGGCTGATGTTCCCTTCTACTTTCTTTGGTCATAATTTCACAGAGGGTTCACAGGAAATGGCCCAATTTTAGCTCCAGTACTTTCTCTTCTGGTTTAGGTTGTGTTAATAAGGTTTTGACATGGTCCTCTAGGCTTTCATCCTAAAGATGTTTCTTAGAGCTGGTGGAGTAGTGGAGGTGGAGTTTCCCTGCTGTGTCTTCCTTCTTTCAATCTAGTTCTATTTTTCATGAGAAAAACTCAAACTTTCACCTGCTGATGACCTCCTTCTGAAGTCCTCAGCTCTAAAAGTGTTTTCCCCACACCTTAATGTGCCTTTAGAAACTTCAGTGAAGAGACAGGAGGGGAGATCTAGATACTTATTTTCAAGTCCCAGTCTTACTCAGAAATCCCTAAATTGCCACCTATAACCTCTTTTCCAGTTGTAGTTTTTCTAGCTCAATCATGAGTTGACCTCTTTTATTTCTTAGTTTCTTCCTCCTCTTCCCTTATCCTCAAAGCCTCTGTCCTCCACTAGGTTGAGTAGAACAGGCTTTGGTCTGTTTCATTTCCCGTATCTCTTTCCTTGAGACCTGAATTTGCCTTTGAACTCCTTTGATCACACTCACGAAATTGGCTAACTGGGCTTTTGCAGATATCCTCTTTTTCAATCTATCTGTGGGGTACCTGTGCACATTAAAATAGGACTTCTAAAGACACACATCTGAAAGGAAAAATACTCTTGCTAGAGAATAATAAATCACTAACTCTCTACCATCCATAAAGCTCAATTTTGGGGTAAATTTTAGAGGAGGAATGAAGAGAAGGGGTAAGATTATCAAGAGGAGGAAGAAAATAAAGACCAACAGTCCATCTCCTTTCTTGTTGCCTCTATGAGTTTGCCTTTATCTGTAGTTTGACCTCATAAAAGTCCAGGAAGGAAAGAGTTGAAGAAAAGTGTAGAAATTGATCTCATATAAAGAAAAATACCAAGAAGCTTCATGTGAGCAATACCATACAATCCACCGCAAATTCCTCCTGCTATAGTCTGCTTTTTTCTCCTCAATTGCAGGCTGGGGAAGCAGGTCTCTGGTTAGTCTGCCTTAAACGCTGTCCTGGAGCTGAGAGTTGCAGTAATAATGGTCAAGGTGCAGTCTGAAGTTCAGCTTTGAAAGGGAACTTCACCTCCTTAGAAACGGGGCAGCTACTGAGAAATAAAACAGGGCCTTTGGAGAGATAAAGAGAGTAGCAAATGTTCAAGTCTGTGCTTGTGAAAAGGCAGGCGAAGGTAGCAATGAAAAAAGAAAGGGAAAATAATGAAGTTCACCAGGAGTCCACTGCATGGGTAAAAATGCTTCTTCATCATGTTTGGGGAAAACACAATTGCTCTATATTCTATACATGGCTGTGGCAAGGTTGCATGATCTAGGAAACATAATTGGCACATGAAATCAGAGCATTTCCAAATTCAAAAGAAAGACCTGCAGAAATGGAGTTTTTCTGTTTACATATTAGTTGAAAGATATTTCATTTTTGTTTTAAGTTAAAATTATTCTTGTGATTAGTTTTCTATCTGCATGTCTGGCCAAATTTCCAGTCTCAATGTATCCACAACTTCTACCGAAACCTTTTCATCCTTGCTTTGACGACCCAAGTCAATCCTCGTGCTTCACCCTGGCCTGCCTAGCCACTTCTAGTCTGTGTCCTGGAAATCCTCCTCTTCGCCCTAAATGTAGGGCTTCCCCAATGCCTGTACTTGAGGTATTTTAAGTGCTGCCATCTCTCCAGCTTCCTTCGTGGCTTTCAACCATCCCAGATTTCAAGCTATCACTGCAATGCAGATGACACCACAATTCACCCTTCCCCACCTTGCAGTTGAGGCAGGAGAATAGGGTCTGGAGACAGGGTACCTACCGAAGGCCAATTTGCACTGACTTCCTAAAACTGAATCAAAAGGGGAACCCACCTCCCAGACCCAAATAACACAGGATCAAAAGGCTACTCTCCTTACAACCTCCTCCCTTCCACTGGGTCACATATGGGAAATGCAAAGTGCCCCTGATTGGCCTGGGCAAGCGTAGGCCATTCCTTCATTTGCATAAGGCACCAATCCATTCTGGCCTCGGGTTGGCTATGGGTCAAATCCTTCATCCACATAGGTGGTAACAAATAAGAGACTTCTAAAAGGTACGGAACCCCAGAAAATTTTGTAACTAGGCCCTTGAGTCACTGAGTCAGGCCTACTCCTACCCTGTGGAGTGCTTTCTCACTTCAGTAAATCCCTACATTCACTGTTTCATTCTTTTGTTACTTTGTGCATTTTGTTCAATTCTTTGTTCAACACACCGAGAACCTGGAAGACTCACACTGAATGCCTTCTTCAAGTAACAGTTATACAGCTCTTCATACCACATGTGCACATACTATACATTTTCTATTTAAATATTTTATGCAATTCTTTATTTTTTCAGATGAGGTATTTTAGGCATCCCCTCCTGAATAGAATATGAACTTCTTGAAATTAAATTGCTCAAAATGGAAGATATCTTTGCTGACAAAACACTTTATTAAATGTAGTGTGCTGTCTTCATTAATCATATTAACTGTCACCAATCCTTATAGTTGGGCTTTCTTTGGCAAATCTGAGAACTGATGAGGATTAGTCTTTAACTTTAGCCCTTGGGAATCTTCATGTTGTCACTGTGACTATTGCTGGAACATGTACCCCTGCCATGAGCACGTTTTTGTTCCTGTCCTCTATTGATAAGTCTTATGAAAACTCACTACTCAGTGTCCCATTTTCTTAGGGCTCTGTTAGGGTACTCATTTCTAAATTTCCTTACAGAATATGAAAGTTCACAATGGGAAAAGCTAAAGAAAAGTGCCCAATATCCAAGCTCTACCATATCTGATTTGTGTGGCCTTGGGAAAATCCCTTGTCTTTCTGCAAATGCAGATGATAAAAACCCACCTGACAGGCTGGGTGCAGTGGCTCATGCCTGTAATCCCAGCACTTTGGGAGGCTGAGGTGGGTGGATCACCTGAGGTCGAGAGTTTGAGACCAACCTGACCAACATGGAGAAACCCCATTTCTACTAAAAATACAAAATTAGAGGGGCATGGTGGCGCATGCCTGTAATCCCACAGCTACTCGGGAGGCTGAGGCAGGAGAATTGCTTGAACCTGGGAGGTGGAGGTTGTGGTGAGCCGAGATTGTGCCATTGCACTCCAGCCTGGGCAACAAGAGCAAAATTCTGTCTCGAAACAAAAAAAAACCCACTTGAGGTTGTATAAACTAGAACTCTTATATAGTCATCACTCCAAAAAATGGGATCTAAATGGGATTTATGGCAATATGTGCTGTCTGTCATGAGCATATTTTGCATTGTAAAGAGAAATTTAAAATAAATGTGAGTCTCAGCCCATTGGTAAAGTTTCATTCCAGGTGATAGAGTAATATGTTGATGGCCAAATTTCAAATGGAAGATTTCTAGGTGAAGCCTTCAAATTACATGATTTCAACAAGCTATTCTAGTACCCCGAAGATTAGCTGTGGTATTAGGAGATATTAAAACATAATCAAGAGGTATAAAGTGACAATATTTCACTTTGTCCTATTCAGACTATTGAATTTGGTTGCAAGAATAATTCATTGTCATTTTTACCCGGCCACATATACTGAAATATGCTTATTCTTTCTGCGTGTGTACGTGCGTGCGCCAGACTTAAAAAGTCTTACATTAGATGTTGCTCAGTTGATAGTTCTGTCTTTGACCTGCTACAGAGCCAAAATAAATGTAACACAGTGGTTAAGAATTCAGATTTTCCAGACAGAGCTTTTAAGTTAAAATTATTAATTGTGATTAATTCTCTATCTGCGTCTCTGACCAAATTTCCACTCTGTATCCACAACTTCTGTTTAATCCTTTACATCCTTGCTTTGATGATCCAACCTGCATAGGAATAGGATTTGGTGTTGTCCAGACATGACTACAATAGTATTTATTTACTTAACACCTACCTGAACTATTTTAGATAGGGGAACATACAAAAGTAATGTTGTAGAAATGCTTTTTTCAGCATTCCATAAGCTGAATGGCACTCTGGGATCTTACTTTTTTGCCAGTGTATGAGAACAAGGGCTAGGCCTAATGAAATTTAAGTCATCAACTATTGAAGAAGTATATTTGCTAATAAACTTATTCTCTCTTAAACCAGAACAGAAAATATTGTCAAAGGTAGTTTCCTTAGGTCGGATCGGCACTGGACCCTTGTTCTGCCAAGGTTCACCTATGATTGAGCAAGAGGCTTCACTGTTTCGAGTCTCCCTGCCCTGTCTTCAGAGGACAGCAGGACCTTCCTACTCAGGTTGGTGCAGAGAGGTGAATCGGTTCAATAGGTTCATGTTTTTAAGTACGTAGCATCTGAGATGTGCTCAACAAAAGGTAGCCCAAATGCCCTTCACTGATTTTTTTATTTTTGGTATTGGATTTAAGACAACTTTTCCCTTAAAAAGTGAGCATTTCTGAGGTAAAATAATATTTTTAATCAGCGATTATTTTCCTCTCCCACATGACCATAGGCCATCATACCCAACTGTCTAGTCAGGGCTTTGCCATCATGTTTTAACAGGATTGTCTTTCTGATGCTTGAGAAATTAGAAGTAATTCAGACTGACAACATACATACATGCAGCATGGCCAGAAATGAAGATCTGAAAAAATATTGAGTTATCCGAGAAGGAGGAGGAAGAATGAGAGGGCAGAAGACATATGGAGGCAGTGGATAGGAACAAGGTATCCTCCGGAGCTTAATTCCTTCAAAAGAACATTTCTTCCGCAGATTCGATGTGGTTTCCAAGCCTCAGAAACATGAGACCCCCGTGACCAAGCTGATGCTCATTTTTACTGTCGACATTAATCATATTAACTGGATAATTGCTGAGTACCGAGCCCACAGACTTAGAAGACTCGGTCATTTGATCCATGAAATAAGCCGCACCCATAATTCAGCTAATAAAATCACAGAAGGGAAGAGAAAATTGTTTCATTAATTTGTCTCTGTGAATTCTGATTCTTGGCTTCAATTTGCATCCTATCGAGCAGTGCTTTTCAAATGGAAGTACACATCCTCTTGGGGGTGTGCACTGAGAAAATGGGAAGGCTGAGGATACACACGGCATGTTAATTACTTATTTCTTTCATTCAGTCAACAAACATTTATCAAGTATTTACTCTTTACCAGGTACTGACTAGACCCTGGGGGTACAGCAATGAAGAAATGAGTCACAGTTCCATTCCTCTTGGTGCTTGTAGAACGGTGTTGTGAAATAAATATTAAAGCTGGAGTCACACAAATCTAGCTGCTGCACACATTTGTACTTAAAGATCTGGTCAGTTCAATGGGAATAAACTCAAATGAGTATTTTTACACTATACAGTTCACCGAAGCAAGCACACTTGTTCAATTATATAGAAGCTGAGATGCAAATTGCTTTTTAAAATAAAAAACCTTGAAGAATGTGTCATTACTTTGGGCGAATCTCCACATACTTGGGGAATGGGAGTTTGTTCTTTTTTATTAAGAGGCTTGTTAGCGAAAATGTTTACCAAGTATGGGGATAGATGAATCTAGACAATGTTTAGGAAGAAGATCACCAGGGATTGAACTGATTACACTGTCAGTGAACTTTCTCTAATGACACTGTCTAGAGTCATGTCTATAATGTATGATGACAGCCCAATGGACTAACAGCAATAGGGTGAATCACTTCCTATTTAAATATTTTACTTATCAGGTGTTGCTTCTTCCAGGAAGCAAACACATTAGCCTTTTCCAAAATACCTTGGGGCTTTTTTCCCCACTCAGGCCCTAGTTCTTCCAAAATGTGCACAGGGACAGGATTTGGTGTTGTCTAGACATGTCTACAATAGTTTTTCTTTAACACCTACCTGAACTATTTTTGATGGGACAACGTAGAAAAGTCTGTTGTAGAATGTTTTTTTCAGTGTTCCATATGCTGAATGCCACTTTGGCATCTTATTTTTTGCCAGTGTATCCAAAAGAAGGACTATGCATGATTAAATTTTATGTCATCCACCACTGAAGAAGTGTATTTGTTGATAGGCTTATTCTTTCTTAAATCACAACAAAAATATTGTCAATAGGTAGTTTCCTTAGGTTAGCATGCCAGTCCCTTTTATCTTTCTGGGATTGTTGTAATAGCAAAAGATATCAGAGTTGACCCCACTTGGGACATTGGGGAAACAGATAGGAGAAGTGAAGCAGCGGATTTAATATTTATTCTTTGGTCTATTACATATACAAAAGATAACTCTTCCACAATATTGCCTCTAAGTCCTCCGGAGGCTGGGGTAAACAGAAATGGAAAGAGTAAAATATTATTTGTTTCAGGACATAAAACATCATTATTTTTCTCCCTCTTTTATACACTTACACAAAGTGACAGAATTATCTACCCGTTCCAAACATTAAAGGGGCAGGCACATATTTTTATAAGAAAATAGGTCAAGTGTAGAATGTCCTTAAATAATGTGTTTCAATTTTGTTTTATGAAAAACACAAAGACATTGCATTAAAATTTATTTAATATGTCTGAACCCAAATCAATAGATACTAAATTACATTATTTAATCCTATGAAAAAATCAATTAGGTTTTAATAAAATATTAAATTTCAAATAAGTTAAATTTAAATGATAATTCTAGTAGAATGGAATTGTATTTTAATGGAGACTAGACTTAATTTTTTCAAACAAAAAGGCCTCGACTATGTAATTTACATATATTCACATCTTTTTCTCTTAAAAATCCCTGTATTATCCCTGACTTACATAAGAGAAGATGAAAGCACACACATTAATTTTCCCCAAGATCTCTCAGTATGTTGTAGACCCACAATTAGAAAACAGTTTTCTCTGATTTCAGAGCCAATCAATTTCCCATTCTACTCTGAAACGAAACTCATGCCTTGATTTATTCAACATGTACTCCTTTTTACCATGTGCGTTTTAACAGGTAGATGCTGCAGGGAAGGAGTGAGGCATGCAGTATGGGCCAGAGGAAAAGCAGGCATAATCCTGCTCTCTAATGAACAAGTTGTCGTTACCCACCCAAAATTCATCTCTCTTGCTTCTAGGTGTTCTCCTTGGAAGACACCTTTGTTCCATTCTCCTTCTACATGTTTCCAGTAGAGGCATTAAGGCCACCTCATTTCTCAGCCACAGGATCAGTTCCTGGATGAGCCTGTGACTAGAGCTGAGATAATGGGCATCCTACCTGAGAGGTTTGCTGGAAAGATTAGGAAAGAGGCACTATTTCCTTGGTTGATAAACTGGTAGAATGTAATTTTAGAGTAATAAATGACCTTTATGTTACATATAGAGAAAGAGAATGCTACCTGGAGAAGAGGTTAACCTTGATGAAAATAGATCTGAGATAGAAAAAATTAATATTTTTCTGATTTAAGCCCTTGAATCTAACCCTAGCTGAAGCAAGACTTGTGGCAGTCCACACCCCAGGCATTCCAGTTGTATGATTCAGTACATTCCTTATTTGATTAAATCAATGGATTTTTTTTTTTTTTTTGTCATTTACAGCTGTAAGAGTTATATCCTTAGGGAGATTAAATTATCTTGAACCACCAGATTTGAAGCACATGTAGCTATTTTAAAATTAAAAAGTTGACTTCAAAAATCTATCTTCAAAGATATTAAGGGAACACTTTAAATACATACACTTTTCAAAAAAAAAATGTAAAGAGCTAGGCTATATATTATGGAGTTTCCAAGTGCTAGATTCTGTAATGGAGGATCTTTTTTTTTCCTTTAGTTTACTATAATCGAGCTTTTTCCTATGTGCAGTTACTTATGTTATTCTTTAAAAAAAGTAGGCTATTAATATAAAGACAACTGTAAGTGAAGAGGTTCTATAAATATTACATTATTTATTTTGCTAACTTTGATATGTCCCTAATGTTCTCTGTTACATGGGTCCTAATAATGATTTCGACTATGACTTCCATGCAGAAAACGATCTAGAACACAAGCAACCTCTGGTGAAATTGATTAGTGTGGACTGCCACAATGGATAATTAATATACTTTAACAGAATTTATTCAGATTACCCGTCTGTATTCATCAAATTAAAGAAGCACTTTCCAAAGATTCCCTTTTAGTCTTGCTGTGGTCATGAGAATTACAAGTCCAGGCAAATTAAGACACAAAGATTTGCATGCAAGAGAGTGAAAGAAGTCAACAAACAAAAACGTAAATAAAACATGTCTCTAAGGTAATTTACCCATCAGAGATGCCCCAGAAACGTTAAATCAGTTTTTTCATGGCTATATAAATTCATATAGTGTTGATGCTAACCCTGAGGTCAGCCAAACTCATCACAATAATAAAGATGAGTGGCCAGCTGAGATTTAAAAGATTTATCCTGGGAGGGACAGATATGACGAGGCCAAGAGACTTGAGCCAAGCCTCACATTCATTAAAGACCTTATATTGTTAATGTAAAGTTTACATTGCTAATGTAAATGTTAGATTATATACTCAATTACAGATAAATATTGACAAAATTGAAAGAACACAGCATTCAACTTACTTGGTTTCCCAAACTTAACCAAAACAGGTACTACAAATGTGTGTTTTTTTAATTCAAAGTTTGATCATTGCTTTGTGGATGGCACAGTTGCATTGCATTACAAAGCTTTTGTTAAAAGGATTAATTTGTTAAAAGTGAGCATTAAACTATATCACAATTTTTATACTTCTGATTGAGCATTTATTATGATGTTTAAAAAGCTGAACTAGTCAAAAGATGGAAATGACTTGGGCTTTTATCACTCTGAGCTGCCCTGATATTTGAAAACATTTCTAGAAAATAGGACCTTCATTCACCTCCCCGATTTTCACTTGTCCAGAGTGCGCAATTCTCAGCTTTGTAACTTATGTCTGAATCCCCTATTCTGGCTCCCAGCTGTGGGATTTTATGTGCTTTCCTTGGACTCAGGATCTTGGTTCTCCTTTATGTTTTCTTGCATTTTTTCACCACCTTATCTCTTCATATTTTCTAAGTTACGTATTTTCCACCGTATAGCTAAAGCCCTACAAAACCCTATTTCTACCCCCTGGAACTTGGCCAACCCTAATTTTCCATGAAGGAGAGTGGCACACTCACTTCTTGAATTTCTGTGGTGAGGACAATAATTAGAAATTTCTAAATTTAAATCTCTGACTGGGAGGATATATATTGACTTCCGTATTCTATGTATTGTTTTTAGACACTAATATATTTGGTCCCTTTTGTAGACACTACTAAGATATAATGATATAGATCGATTTTCATATAATAACAGTCAAGGTTAGAAAAACCAGTGTTTTTATTCCTTGAAGACTTGAAATAAATAATGAAGATACAACCAACTATTTGGCCTTGTATTAACAAGACCGAGAGGAGGCTTACCCAGACCTGAGTCCCGTATGATGGCCTAAGAAAGACAGAGTTAATTCCAGTTTGTTATTCATCACAGCACCTTGTACTGATTTCCAAGAAAAACTTTATGATTTACTTTATTATTTATTTTTTGGCATAGAGAGGCTTGGAGAAAGGCTTCAGGAAAATTAAAATATGAAAAAAGGATTTGTAGGAAATAAGCTGGCACACAAAAACGTACGTAAGACATTACTCCAGGGGAAATTACTTATCAGAAATTCACTAGAAATGTAAAATCAGCCTTTTCAGATTAATGTTTGTGATTTTAAGCCAATAAAATTATAGGGTTGTTTATTAAGCATTGTTATCACAGAAAAAGTTGAGTCAAAGGTAAGCATGAAGAAAGGAAACAGAGAAGGAGGATTTCACACACACAGGTGGGGAGAGAATTTGAGGAAGAAAACCAGGACAGAGGGATATCAGAAACTATGGGCACAGAATATTTCAAGAAGGAGCTTGGTGGCTCCTTTAGAGATTTCTTGTTTTTGACTAAAGGAGAGTTCATCTTGAATTGAATAAAGAACAGACACCTACCTAGCCAGATGGATAAGCTGTGCCAAGCCTGATGCTCGTCTGGAAAGCCACGAGGTAAAGTATTATAAAACAAAATAAATTCCAGGCAAATCATCCTAGGATAATTTACATTATATTGAGAGTGGAGTTGTAGAGAAACATATATGGTGTTATTTTATGTGTGTGTGCGCCATTAAAACAAAAAACCAGCACATTAAAGTCACCTTACATGTGTATACATAGTTTTGCATATGCTTGTATGGGTCATGGAGAAAGATATGAAGAACACACGTGTGAGGTTCTTCACATGGTTTAAGTCGGATGAGGTAGGAAAGGGAAGGAGGGGAATACAAGAAAGAAACTGGCAAAATGATGCAATATGCTCTGTGTGCTAAGTGAAATGCCATACAGACTAGAAATAATGAACAAATACAAATCTGAAATTAGGCTAGACGTGGTGCCTCATGCCTGTAGTCCCATACTTTGGGAGGCCGAGGCAGGCAGATCACTTGTGGTCAGGAGTTCGAGACCAGCCTGGCCAACATGTTGAAACCCCGTATCTACTAAAAATACAACAAGAAAAAAGAAAAAATAGCTGAGCATGGTGGCATGTGCCTATAGTCCCCACTACTCACTAGACTGAGGCATGAGAATTGCTTGAACCTGGGAGGCAGAGGTTGTAGCCAGCTGAGATTGTGCCACTGCACTCCAGCTTGGGCAACACAGCAAGACCCTGTTTCAGAAAGTAATAATAAATCTGAAATTAAATACAGGATGGTATTGTAAACAATCATTTTGCTCTTGGATTCTGTTGTTGGTTTGTTTTGTTTTGTCATTAACATGATCTTTACAATGACTGCCAAAACAGTAAAGAAGGGAGCAGAGGAGAACGACGGCCCACGTGGGAGGAGGTTTTGCCACAAGAGAACTAAAGAACGGATGTAGGATTTAGCCATAAGGATGCCAGTGTGACTTGGTCAAAGAAGGTTCAGAGCAGAGGCGGAAATAAATGCTGGATTTCCCAGTGTCAATGTTCAACAGGAGGCGAGCCCTATAGCAGCAAGCTTTTCTGAAGCTTGTAAAGCTGAAGGGAGAGAGGGCGGCAGCTGGAGGGAGACCCAGGGCTGGAAAAGACAAAATGGTACTGATTCTCCTATGCTTGCCCTTATCCCAGCTCCACTATGCCTTCTCTGCCACTCTCTGTCCACATAGCTACCTTCTACTGCATCGGTCTAGCCAGCCTGTCCTCTGATACTCAGTAGTGACCAACCAATAGGTGACGTCAAACAAAATTCAAGGAACAAAAGAAGAAAGGTCAGGGTGTTTATTCCCCACTGTTCTCTCCCTGCCTGTTTGGTTTGAGCAGTAGCTGCATTTGTATATGGCTACACTTCTTGCCTTGCACTGCCTCTTCCACCATTCTAGCTCTTCCCAGGTTCCAAGAACCTTCTTTCCTTTCTCTCTCTTTTTGAGACTGAGTCTCGCTCTGTCGCCCAGGCTGGAGTGCAGTGGTGCGATCTTGGCTTACTGCAACCTCCGCCTCCCGGGTTCAAGAGATTCTCCTGCCTCAGCCTTCCGAGTAGCTGGGACTACAAGCACCCGCCACCACGCCCGGCTAATTTTTTGTATTTTTAGTACAGACGGGGCTTCACTGTGTTAGCCAGGATGGTCTTGATCTCCTGACTTCATGATCCACCCACCTCAGCCTCCCAAAGTCCTGGGATTACATGCGTGAGCCACTGCTCCCGGCCACCTTCTTCCTTTTCTTTCCCCCATTCATATCAAGTCATCCACTGTCATTAATCCCGGAGACTATCATGAACGCCTATTGGTTCTTTAAACATATTGAGCATTCCATTGTTTCCTGTGAGTACTCTAAGTAGCAATACACGATATTCTTTTTTTGTTGTTGTTTTAATCATGGGAAAAAGGAAATACCAGGACTTGCTTTTTGGATCAAATACAGAGCTGGGAGGAAGGTTAGTTTATGCTCTCTGTTATGTCAGATCATATACAAAGTGTTAACAGAGCTAGGATGTGGCAAACAGATATTCAAACCGCAAATGTCACAGTAAATGAGTGGTGTAAATGGATATGGTCAGTGAACAGCTGTCTATCCTTATAGTGAAAGAGAATGGGCCACATTGCATTTCACTGTTAGCAGCGCGTGGCTGGACTTCCCATCATGGAAGGAGGGCCCTGGATGGCATCCCATAGGTCATCCTGGCTGTTCCTATGCAGTATTCTTGCCAGAGCTTCCCTCCATAGGCTGGGAAAATAAACCACTAACCTCATAAGGGATTTAGGAAAAATATTGAAATGTACAGAGATTCCATAAGGATCTCAATCTGAATCTGGGGGCTCATGCTCAGACATGACTTTTTCAGGGAGATGACAAGATCTTCCCTGAGAATTATTAAAGTAAAAGTTATGGGATGGTGAGGGATATATTAACAGTAATAACCTGGAAAAGAAAAGTTGTGACAGCAGTCATTATAGTTCCATTTGCTTAATGATGTACTGCCTGAGCGTGGGCCCAAGTCCATGAAACAAAACTCCATGGTCTTTACCACCACTTTATACTTCCAGACACATGTATTTATGTATATATATGCACATATGTATATGTAATACATGCATGTGTTACATGTATGATATATAATACACGTATGTATGTGTTACATATAATGTATAATACATATGCATATGTAACACATACATATATGTATTATATAATGTATGTATATTATACATGTAACACATATATTTAACACACTGTACATATAATGTATAATGTACATATGCATATATAATGTGTAATACACATGTGTAATGTATAATATACATGTGTAATACATAATACACATGTATAACGTATAATATACATGTGTAATACATAATACAGATGTATGACGTATAATATACATGTATATACATACATAATACAGATGTATGACGTATAATATACATGTATATACATGCATAATACAGATGTATGACGTATAATATACATGTATATACATGCATAATACAGATGTATGACGTATAATATACATGTATATACATGCATAATACAGATGTATGACGTATAATATACATGTATATACATGCATCATACAGATGTATGACGTATAATATACATGTATATACATGCATCATACAGATGTATGACGTATAATATACATGTATATACATGCATCATACAGATGTATGACGTATAATATACATGTATATACATACATAATACAGATGTATGACGTATAATATACATGTATATACATGAATACAGATGTATGACGTATAATATACATGTATATACATGCATAATACAGATGTATGACGTATAATATACATGTATATACATACATAATACAGATGTATGACGTATAATATACATGTATATACATACATAATACAGATGTATGACGTATAATATACATGTATATACATACATAATACAGATGTATGACGTATAATATACATGTATATACATACATAATACAGATGTATGACGTATAATATACATGTATATACTTACATAATACAGATGTATGACGTATAATATACATGTATATACATACATAATACAGATGTATGACGTATAATATACATGTATATACATACATAATACAGATGTATGACGTATAATATACATGTATATACATACATAATACAGATGTATGACGTATAATATACATGTATATACATACATAATACAGATGTATGACGTATAATATACATGTATATACATACATATACATATAAATCATACATCTATTTATTGATTTCAACATTTATTGATCATCTATTCTATATGAAATACTGCATCTATTGGTATAGGCGACACCCGTGGTATATAGTAGCCATTTAATAAACATCAGTTTCCATCTTTCATTTCCATTTTTTCAACGCTAATTTGAGCAAGGGGGAGCCTGTGGAAGAACTCCTTGCTTTCATAACATCAGCTTTCCTCCATGTCATCCCACCTTCTCAAATCTGTGAAATCTGGTCAAAGAGAAAAGGCAAGAACAGAAAATGTAAGCTTTTTTGTTAAGCCTGCTGCAGCTATCTCATTGGTTAGCGCCTAATACATTTTTGTGCTAGAGAAACAGCTTCTTATTGACAATGTTGGCTAAGCTATTGAATACTCATGCCATGATAGATAGGCTCTGGACAAGAAACTGTACATGTATTACGCCATTAGCTGATTTCAGGCACAGTTTGGAAGGTAGGATGATGAACCAGCCATGTAATTATGATTATATGCTTCATTAATTCCAAACGTCATTTACCCCATGTTGTCTAATATATAAAGTTTAAACAGACTCCCTTCTACTCTATCAATCTTCCATCTCCCTCTGCCATTGTATATGAACTCCTTGTTGAAATGTTTAATATGAATTTTTTATTCGGTATAACTCCAAGTGACTGACAGTCCCCAAATGTCAGATCTTTGCTGAAAGAAGCATGTCTGAGGATCTCTGAAGGCTAATTAATGCTTCAGTCACAATGTGCTCTGAGAGAAGGCACAGAATGACTTAATAAGAGATGAAGAGAGTACTGAAAATTATTGTAATGGAACAAAGAGACCTCGTTTCAAAATTCGTTTTTTAAATAAAATAAAATAAAATCCAGACTCAGAAACTAGAACGTTTCACAGCTGGGAAGAAGAGAGCAATACACAATTCAATGTCTCTTGACCATCAGTGATATCACAAAACAGATATACAATACATTGCTACTGAATGCATGAGGTACACACCCCATATTGTTTCTGGTGGTGAAGTCTTAAAGGGATTTCTCCTAAATCCAAGTTCATGTTATCAAGCTAAATTATTACTTGAAAATGATTAAATATGGAAAATCCAAAGGGAAATGAACGAAAGAGTCATGCTCAACCTCTAGAAGACTGCAGAGAAAATCAGGAGTAAAATCAACACTTGCGAAACATAGAACTGGTCTGTGTGTCAGTAAAGATGCCATTTGTAGTCATCTTATGCTGCCAGACAAAAATGTCATAAGAGGAAATGTATTGCCACACATCTCAGTCTGTTAGTATGTCCAGTTAGTCAAGGTAACAATCTGTTACTGTGAACTAATTTTATTTCGGCTAAATGCAAGAAAAGAAGGTTCTGTTCTATTAAATATTTTCAATAAGTGGGGATAGGGTGCCAGGCACAAAGGAAGGGACCAAATGAGCCACTGGTAGGTCTGCAGTTGATGAGCCTGGAGAATACACAAGCCATCCCTTTTGTGTCTGTTGGCAGCAAATGATGCACAGGATCATGGCCATGCTTTTAATACCTTCTCTGGGAACAATTTTGCTCTTTCTGTTAACCTGGCTGGGGGAGATGTATCAGCAAAGCTTGTAAAAATGTGTGGGCCCATGGTCTGGAAAGAAGCAATTCTTGGACCATGTTCTTTAAAAAAAGAAAAAGTTAATTTTCTTGTGAGAATTTTTATTTATTTATTTTTGCAGTAGTTGATGCTAATTTGGTGTGCCTTTTTGTATATTTTCTTCATGTACCTAACATAGCAGGATACACTTGACAAAGCAGCTTCTACCAACCTGATGTGAAATGAGTGAAACATCTGCAGATTTTCATCACCAAAACCTTCCTTCACTTTGTTTCCATGGCTGTTCATTGTTCTCTTCTTTGTATTATTCCTTTTATTCAAAATAGACTGCAAACATGGTGAAGTTGGGAAGCACATCTGCTTATTCGCCACTGCATTCTCAAAGCTTGAGTTATGTCACAGAGAAAGAATCTCAAGTTTTTGTTGAATTAATGCGGAGGTACATTAGGCATTTTGCATTACAATCTTTTGTTTTAACAGTTCCTTGCCCACTCCCTGCCCCCAGCTATTTTTGAGTTTGGGAGCCATATCTAATTTCTCCTTTGTCAAAAATAAAGTTAATATTTGTGTTTAATATTTTATATTTGCGCATTCGCATTAAGAGTATTATCCATTGCCAATAAGCACATGATTTTGTTCACCATTTATTGTGTTTCTGCTTGAATTCTACTTCATCCACAATAATACTGAAACTTCTGCTTTCTTTACTTGTACAATAAACTGGCAATTCTTTGCCTATCATTTTACCTAGAACCTTTTGGAATCATTTTGTGTTTCTTATAAACATCCTGTAGTGTATACATTTTATAATAAATTTATTACTTTTATTATAATGTGTACATTTAGTCTGACTTTGTCATCTCGTTTTACATTTTCTTACTATTGCCATTCCTTCAATTTCATGTCTGAGGTTTTTATGTTATTTACAAGACTTATTAAATTCTATTAATAGCATCATAAACATTTACTTACACTTATAAGTACTCACAACTGCATTTCCACCTTTATTTCATCATTAGTAATAATACTGTGATATCCTACATTTAGACTAACTCTTTTATTCAGGGAGTTTATTTTCTTCTGTTGCATACCTTCTTTAGCATAGGTTATCATTTAGTTTTCGCCATCCTAAACTTTCTCATTCAAAAGTGATTTTTAATACATGCCTCCACTCTTGTGTCTAGGTTTATAAAATTATGTGGCCTCAATGCTATGCTTGACTGATTTCAGTCTTTGCCTATCATATTTTTATGCCATAATCCTTCTGATCTCAAGTTCTTAATTTTGCTTTCTTATTCATTAAGTGAGTTGTATATTCACCTATCATTTTTCTTTTTACTAAAACACTGTATTACCTGAGTCCTTACTGGCTTCTTCTTGTGTGACTTTAAGTGTTGTAGTAATAATTCTGAAGCCAGTCTGTTTTGCTTTATTAAGTAACCTTTTCTTTTCCTCATTTCCTTCAAATATTCTTGAAGGATATTTTTACCTCTCTCATAGAATTTAAAAATTATCACCACGTGTACATTCTTGTAGCTCTCTTTTCTGATTTTGTTGAGCACGCAGTACAGTCTCTCAAGTTTTCCTTTTTATATTTTGCTAAACTCAGGAAGGTTATGGTTGTTGCTGTCATTATAGGTAGATGAAATAGTCTTCTGTGCTTTTTGTTAGTTCTGTTCTGGTCCCTTCATTTGGAACCCTGATCACAGATCTCCTTCGTCTTCATGCTATGTCTTTATTTCATGTTAGCCTTTCCTTTGTCTAAATTCTTAGAAAACGTTTTACATCTGTCCTCTGCAACAAAGATGTATTTTACCTATAGAAGGGATTTTGTTCCTCATTGTCTCCAATGTGTATCACAGTTATGACTCTCCACTTTTAATTTCCTCCAATCATTCTTAATCTTGCCCAACCCTTCTAATATAAATGAACTTCTCAACAACCCTTTGATCTTATGACTTCCTGCTTCTGTTTCAGAGAATGCCTTTTTGCATTTTATTGAGGACAATAAACACTTTCATGTGAATTTATGGTGGTTCGTGCACAAATAATTTCTGGAAACCTAGGGTTTATATATCTCCAGGTCATTTTCCCTTTTTAGAGTTCATGCAGATTCCTTTTCCTAGCAACACTCAGTTTTCCTCTCTATTTACATTTGAATGAACAGAGACCTCTCAGAAGTGAGCCTGGGCTGGTCTTTGACCTAGCTCTTCAGCCACTTCAGAATAGCCCCATTAAGAGCTTTTAGAGGTCAGGAGAGACCCAGACCATTTCCATTTTTCAGGCATCTTGTATATTTTAAAATAACAAAAAATATCACTATACAGTATTATAAATGTTGTGGTATATTTAAAATGTTTGGATCTAACAAATTACTATTCTTTAATATGCATATGCATAAAGGTAACTGTATAACCTCATTTAAAAAATATATAAATAAGATATTCTCTCTGAAGTTTAGAGAAATATTCTTTCTCTCAGTGATAGATCTTTGGTGAGGGTTCTTTTTCAAATATACAGTTTGAGATTCATTAACGTACATACCCTTTAACCCACTGCATGCATTTTTAGCGTTCATTCTTTTACTGTGTCTTGTACTCTGAAACACAAAGAATACCACCTCTCCTTCCTGTTCAAGTTCTGAACCAACTGATAAATCAGACAAGAGTCAGCAGGTGGAGAACCAAACCCAACTTTTTTTTTATTGAAAACATCCTGGCTGGATGATGTAGCTTTTCGTGAAATCTAAAATGAGTTTGTTATGCTCCATTCTCAAGTTGAAACTTGAATCGATAGAGCACGCCAGCTTGTCTTCTTTCAGCTTCTAGCTTTCTGAGTGAAGAGGAAGGAGGATAAGATTGCATCCCTACACTCAAGGTCTTGTTAGATGAGCTCCAACCGAAAGAACCAGAGGCTCCTGATTTCCACACATCAACTATATTATCGACCTTTCTTCCATGAGGAAGAGGAAAGGGACAAGTAAGAGATCAGGAATCCCTTACAAATAGGGGAATGGAAAAACATGATTATCCTTAAATATGAAATCTTCCTCTCCTCACAGTGCTTAAATCTGATTATCAGAATGAAAAAATTTCTTAAAGAAAAAAAAGCTATTATATCCAGCACACTGTGTCTAAAAAGCTTCCTGTTATTAATACAGGGCACCAGCACTTCTGACAGACTCCACCCCAGCACACAGACAATATGCTGGCATTCTCTGCTCTGTTGTCTCTTGTGAGCCACCATCTCTAAACACACATAGAAAGGGAGAGGGCTATACAATTGCCTCAAATTCTGCTTTTCTGCAACTGAACCCAGGTCCCAGAACTTAAATGCAAGGAAAAGACGGTCTAGTACCCAGGTGTATTACTCCCTTCTCACACTGCTAATAGACATGCCCACCACTGGATAATTTATAAAGGAAAGAGGTTTAATTGACTCTCAGTTCCGCATGGCTGGAGAGGCCTTAGAAAACTTAAAATCATGGCAGAAGGGGGAGCAAACATATTTTTCTTCACATGGCAGCAAGAGAGAGAATAAGAGCTGAGCAAAGGAGGAAGCCCCTTATAAAACCATCAGATCTCATGAGAACTCATTCATTATCACGAGAACAGCAGCATGGGGGTAACTACTCCCATGATTCAATTATCTCCCACTGGGTCCCCTCCACAGCACATTGGGATTATGGGAACTACAATTCAAGATGGGATTTGGGTGTGGACACAGCCAAATCATATCACCACCTACCAGTCCTGTTACACGTACATAAATGTCACTGTGGTTAGCTTTCTCTCAGAGTTTGGCAACGGATTCCTGTTTGATAATTACCATTTTTTGGTGGTAGTGCTAGTTTTGTTCTTTTTTTAAATCTCTTCATAGCTATTTAATGAAAATGCTGTTGCCTCAGGTAAATTTGATGCCAACTTAAATGGTAACCTATTTTTGGGGAATTTATGGCACCTCAGAGTTACAAACTGTTTTCCATTTTTAGAGTGATGCAGCTTTTATTGTTCTTTGAGAGGCATACCTTGAAAGACCATAATCAAGCATGCTGACTTGGTTAAAATTGAACACGCACAAAAAAACCAACCAACGGACCAACGAACCACCACCACCACCACCACCACCAACAACAACAAAAACCACTTTGGTTTGGAGACATGCATATTTTTCAGATTTTACTTTTTTGCCTGATTTTCAGAAATTGAAAGCATTGAAATTAAGCAGTTTATACTCAGAAAAAAATGGTAACTAATGATGGTAGGTAGATAGGGAAATATTACTAGTTAGAAGCATGTCCACACTCTGAGTTTACAAGATTGTGCTCTGCTCATGTAGGAAAATGAAGGAATAAGGCCAGAGTGCACAGCTGTCATCTGCAGTCCAGGCCCATTGGCACAGATGTCATCTTTCATCAGCTAATTGGAGGCAGTATGTCATGCTTTTTATGATATGTCCCCACTGATGGCTTAAAAAGAATGATGGCAATTACATGAAAATTAAACTATTTGTTCCTGAATGACTTCTGGGTAAACAATGAAATTAAGACCAAAATAAGAAGGATCTTTGAAATCAATAAAAACAGAGACAAAAGTACTTAAATATCTGAAATACAATAAAAGTGGTGTTAGGGGGAAAGTTTATAGTGCTAAATGCCTACCTCAAAAAGAAAGATCTCAAATTAATTATTATACATCACATGTAGAGGAACTAGGAAAACAAGAACAAACTGTAAAGCTAGTAGAAGAAAAGAAACAAAGTCAGAGCTGAACTGAATGAAATTGAGACCAAAAAATCCACACAAAGGATCAGTGAAACAAAAGTTGGTTCTTCAAAAGGATGAACGAGGTTGACAGACTACTAGCTAGATTCACAAAGAAGAAAAGAGAGAAGATCCAAATAAGCACAATCAGAAATGACAAAGGTTACATTACAAACAATCCCACTGAAATACAAAATATCTTCAGAGACTATTATGAATACCTCTATGCACACAACTAGAAAATCTAGAGAAAGTGGATACATTCCTGGAAACACAAACTCTTCCAACATTGAATCAGGAAGGAATTGAAACCCTGAACAGACCAATATAAGTTCTGAAATTGAATCAGTAATAAAAAAATTATCTACTAACTAAAAAAGCCCTGGACCAAATGGATTCACAGCCAAATTCTATCACATGTACAAAGAAGAGCTGGTACAAATTCTACTGAAAATAAAAAAAAAAAAAAAAAAAAACAATCCAGGAGGGACTCTTCCCTAACTCATTCTACAAAGCCAGTATTGCCATGATACAAAAACCTAGCAAAGACACAATGAGAAAAGGAAACTACAGGCCAATATCCCTGATGAGTGTAGATGCAAAAATTATCAACAAAATACTAGGAAACCA
The DNA here is from genome assembly GCF_000001405.40 of Homo sapiens. Lineage (NCBI taxonomy): Eukaryota > Metazoa > Chordata > Mammalia > Primates > Hominidae > Homo > Homo sapiens. Next base: position 55,525,203 of record NC_000020.11, on the reverse strand, counting down.
AATCTAGCAGTATATCAAAGAATTAATTCAACATGGTCAAGTAGGTTTCATTCCTGGGATGCAAGGTTGGTTTAACATCTGCAAGTCAATAAAGGTTATTAACCAAACATAGAATTTCTATGATCCTCTCAAAAGACCTTGACAAAGCTTTCAATAAAACGCAATACTCTTTCATGATTAAAAAAAAAACCTCCAACAAACTAGGTGTGAAAGAAATACCTCAAAATAACAAGTGTTATCTATGTCCAACATCTTACTGAATGTGTAAAAGCTAGAAGCATTTCCTTTGAGAACTGGAACAAAACAAGGATGCCACTTTCACCACTCTTCTTCTATATAGTACTGGAAGTCATAGCCAGAGCATTCAAGCAATAGAAAAAATAAAAGACATCTAAATACATTAAAAATGTCAAACTATCTTCACAGATGATATAATTCTATGCCTAGAAAACCCTAAAGACACCTCCATAGGCTCTGGAACTGATAAACACACTTCAGTCAAGTCTCAGAACACAAAATCAATGCACAAAAATCAGTAAGACTTCTATACTCCAATAAAGTTCAAACAGAGTAGAAATCAAGAACACAATCCCATTTACAATAGCCACAAAATGAATGAAATACCTAAGAACACATCTAACTGAAGAGGTGAAAGATCTTTACAAGGATAACTACAAAACACTGCTGAATCATTGGTGACACAAGCTAATGGAAAAACATCCTCATGCTCACAAATTCAAAGAATTAATATTGTTGAAATGACCATACTGCCCAAAGCAATGTATAGATTCCAAGCCATTTCTATCAAACTACCAATGCCATTTTTCACAGAATTAGAAAAACTATTCTAAAATTCTTATGAAATGAAAAAGAGTCTGAGTAGCCCAGGGAATCCTAAGCAAAAACAAAACAAAACAAAATAAAACAACAGCAATAAAAAAAAGAAAACAAAGCTGAAGCCATCAGGTTACCTTACTCTGAATTATGCTATAAGGCTATAATAACCAAAACAGCATGGTACTGGTACAAAAACAGACACATAGACAAATGGAACAGAATAGAGAACCCAGAAATAAAGCGGCACACCTACAGCAATCTGATCTTCAACAAAGTTGACAAAAGTAAGCAATGGGAAAATGACTCTCTATTCAATGAATGGTGCTAGGATAGCTGGATAGCCATACACAGAAGAATAAAAGTGGACCGTTACATTTAACCATGAATAAAAGTTAACTCAAAATAGGTTAAAGATTTAAATAGATGACCTCAAACTATAAAAGTCCTAAAAGAAAATTTAAGATACACCATTCTGGATATTAGGCTTGGGGAAGAATTTATGGCTAAGTCCTCAAAAGCAATTTCAACAAAAAGAAAAATTGACAAGTAACACCTAGTGAAATAAACAGCTTCTGCACAGCAAAAGAAACTCTCAACAGAGTAAACAGATAACCTATAGAATTGGAGGAAATACTCATGAACTATGAAACTGACAACGATCTAATATTTAGAATCTGTAAGGAACATAATTCAAAAAGCAAAAGACAAATAACTCCATTAAAAAGTGGGCAAAAATATATTTCTCAAAAAAATACACATGTCCAATAAGCATGTGAAAAAAATGCTCCATATCACCAGTCATCAGAGAAATGCAAATCAAAACCACAATGAGGTATCATCTTATACCAGCCAGAATTGATTTTCTTAATAAATCAAAAAACCACAAATGCTGGAGAGGCTGTGGTGAAAAGGGATTGCTTATATGCTGTTAGTGGGAATGTAAATTAGTTTAACCACTATAGAAAGCAGTTTGATCTGTGGGTTGTACAGATCCATGTAAAAAGCATGGTTTCCCAGGCTGGGTAGCTCCGTCACTCACCGCCTCCTTGGCTGGGGATGGGAGCTCCTCTTTCCCCATGTGGCTCCCAGGTAGGCGGTCACACCACTGTGCTTTTCCTTGTTCTCCATGGGTTGTGGGGACCACCTAGTCAGTCCCAGTGAGAGAACCTGGATGCTTCAGTTGCTGGTGCAGGATTCACTTACCATTTTCCTTCTGGTGGGAGCCTCCAACTGCAGCTGTTTCTAGTCAGCCATCTTGGCCCTTTATCCCTTGTGAGCCCATGCCACCAGGGCCTTGGGTACCAAGCAGGGAGCTGTGCAGACTCCCAGCAGCCACTTGGCTGGAGACTGCCTAAGACTACCAAGTTTCCAGGGGCAGGGGTGGCCATAATCACTGTGGCTGTCTGCTGCCTAAGACAACTGAGCTTCCTGAGGGAGGGGCAGCCACCATCACTGAGGCTCCAGTCTGCTGTTTGACCCCTGCCAGTGCTGGGGAGACTGGATAGTTAGGACCTAGGAGGAATTCCCAACAGCAGCATAGCAACTGTGGCAGACTGTGGCCAGACTGCCTCTTTGGGCCAGACTCTGACCCATCCTTCCTCACTGGGCAGGGCCTCCCTGCAGGAATTTCAGCAACTCCAGCCAGGGGTTTAGGGACAGAATTCTGATCTCCCTGGGACTGAGCTCCTGGGGGAGGGGCAGCCATGTTCTCCACATGTCAGCAGTCTTAGTCTTTCCCCCTGCTGGCTCTAAGGAATCCAGGCAGTCTGGACCAGTGGGATTCTCCCCAGCGGAGTACATCTCCCCAGCCAAGGGGCAGCCAGAGTAATTTGTTAAGCAGGGCCTGGATCCTGTGCCTCCTGACTGGGTGAGACGCCTCCAACAGGGGTCACCAAATACCTTTTACAGGAGCATTCCCACTGGAATCAAGTCAGTGCTCCTCTGGGACAGAGACCCCAGAGGAAGGAGCAGGCAGCCATCTTTGCTGTTCTGCAGTTTCCACTGGTGACACCTCCAGATGTGGGAGGGACCCAGGTGAATAGGATCTGGAGTGAACCCACAGCGAACTGCGGCAGCCCTACAGAAAAGTAACAAGATCATCAACAAAATGTCCCCACAGAAACCCCATCCAAAGGCCAGCAACCTCAAAGATCAAAGGTAGAAAAACTCACAAAAATGAGAAAGAATCAACAAAAAAATTCTGAAAACTCAAAAGGCAAGAGAGCTTCTTTTCCTCCAAATGATCACAACACCTCTCCAGCAAGGACACATAACTGGGGGGAGGCTGATATGGATGACTTGACAAAAGTAGGCTTCAGAAGGTGGGTAATAACAGACTTTGCTGAGCTAAAGGAACATGTTTTAACCCAATGCAAAGAAGCTAAAAACCATGATAAAACATTACAGGATCTGTTAACCAAAGTAACTAGTTTAGAGAGAAACATAAATGACCTGACAGAGCTGAAAAACACAACCAAGAACTTCACGATGCAACCACAAGTATCAATAACTGCATAGACCAAGCAGATGAAAGAATTTCAGAGCTTGAAGACTATCTTGGTAAAATAAGACAGGCAGACAAGATTAGAGAAAAAAGAATGAAAAGAAAGAAACAAAACATCTGAGAACTATGGGATTATGTAAAAAGACCAAACCTATGAATGATTGGGGTACCTGAGATAGGGAGAATGGAACCAAGTTAGAACACATGCTTCAGGATATCAACAAGAAGAACTTCCCCAATGTAACAAGAAAGGCCAACATTCAAATTCAGGAAAACCAACGAACCCCAGTAAAATACTCCATGAGAAAATCCATCCCAAGACACATAATTATCAGATTCTCCAAGGTTGAAATGAAGAAAAAAACATTAAGCGTAGCCAGATAGAGGGCCAGGCCACCTGCAAAAGGAAATCCATCAGACTAACAGCAGACTTCTCAGCAGAAACCCTATGAGCCAGAAGAGATTGGAGGCCAATATTCAACATTGTTAAAGAATAGAATTTCCAACCCATAATGTTATATCCAGCCAAACTAAGCTTCATAAGCAAAGGAGAAATAATATCTTTTTCAGACAAGAAATTGCTGAGGAATTCATCACCACCATGCCTGCCTTGCAAGAGTTCCCGAGGGCAGCACTAAATATGGAAAGGACAAGCCGTTAGCTGCCACTGCAAAAACAGACTGAAGTACAAAGACTAATGATGCTATCAAGCAACTATATCAACAAGTCTGCAAAATAACTAGCTAGCACCATGATGACAGGATTAAATTAATACATAACAATATGAACCTTAATAGTAAATGGGTTAAATGCCCCCAACTAAAAGACACAGAATAGCAAGCTGGATAAAGAGTGAAGATCAACCGGTGTGCTGTATTCAAAACACCCACCTCATGTGCAAAGACACACATAAACTCAAAATAAAGAAATGGAGAAAAATTTACCAAGCAAATGAAAATGAAAAAAAAAAAAAAAAATCAGGGGTTGCAATCCTAGTTTCTGACAAAACAGACTTTAAACCAGAACTCAGGATTAAGAAACTCATTCAAAACCACAAAACTACATGGAAATTGAACAACCTGCTCCTGAATGACTCCTGAGTACATAATGAAGTTAAAAAGCAATCAAGAAGTTCTTTGAAACTAATGATAACAAAGAGTCAACATACCAAAATCTCTGGGATGCAGCTAAAGAAATGTTAAGAGAGAAATTATAGCACTAAATGCTCACATCAAAAAGCTAGAATAATGTCAAATCGACACCCTAACATCACAACTAAAAGAACTAGAGAGCCAAGAACAAACCTAAAGCTAGCAGGAGACAAGAAATAACTAAGGTTAGAGTGAAACTGAAGATAGAGACATGAAAAACCCTTTAAAGAAACCCAACAAATCCAGAAGCTGGTTTTTTGAAAAAAATTAAATAGATAAACTGCTAGCTAGACTAATAAAGAAGAGAAAAGAATCAAATAGACACAATAAAAATGACAAAGGGGATATCACCACTGACCCCACAGAAATGCAAACAACCATCAGAGTATACTACTAGGCTGGTGTAAACTAATCATGGTTTGGCCATTAAAAGTTATGCAAAAACCGCAATTACTTTTGGGCCAACCTAATATAAAAGTCTCTATGTAAATAAACTAGAAAATCTAGAAGAAATGGATAAATTCCTGGACATACACACCCTCCCAAGGCTGAACCAGGAAGAAGTTGAAGCCCTGAATAGACCAAGAATGAGTTCTGAAACTGAAGCAGTAATAAATAGCTTACCAACTAAGAAAAGCCCAGGACCAGATGGATTTACAGCTGAATTCTACCAGAGGTACAAAGAGGAGTTGGTACCATTTCTTCTAAAACTATTCCAAAAAATTGAAAAGGAAGGACTTCTCCCTAACTCATTTTATGAGGCCAGCATCATTCTGATAGCAAAACCTGGCAGAGATACAACAAAGAAAGAAAACTTCAGGCCAATATCCCTGATGAACATCGATGCCAAAATCCTCAACAAAATACTGGCAAACTGAATCCAGCAGCACATCAAAAAGCTTATCCACCACGATCAAGCTGGCTTCATCTGTGGGATACAAGACTGGTTCAACATATACAAAATCAATAAACATAATTCATCACATAAAGAAAACTGAAGAAAAAAAAACACATTATCTCAATAGATGCAGAAAAGGCCTTTCATAAAAGTCAACATCCCTTCATGCTAAAACCCCTCAAACTAGGTATTGATGAAACGTACCACAAAATAATAACAGCCATTTATAACAAACACACAGCCAATATCATACTGAATGGGCAAAAGCTGGAGGCATTCTCTTTGAAAACTGGCACAAGACAAGGATGTCCTTTCTCATCACTCCTGTTCAACATAGTATTGGAAGCTCTAGCCAGGGCAAGCAGACAAAAGAAAGAAATAATGGGTATTCAAATAGAAAGATGAAGTTGAACTGTCTGCTTGCAGGTGATATGATTCTATAGCAAGAAAACCCAGTTGTCCCAGCCCAAAAGATTCTTGAACTCATAAGCAACTTCTGCAGTCTCAGGACACAAAATCAATATGCAAAAATCACAAGCATTACTATATGCCAACAATAGAAAAGCAGAAAGCCAAATTATGAATGGACTTGCATTCACAATTGCTACAAAGAGAATAAGATACCTAGAAATACAGCTAATGAGGGAAGTGAAGGATCTCTTCAAGGAGAAATATAAACCACTGCTCAAGGAAATCAGAGAAGACACAAACAAATGGAAAAGCATTCCATGCTCATGGATAGGAAGAATGAATATTGTGAAAATGACCATACTGCCCAAAGTAATGTATAGATTGAATGCTATTCCCATTAAACTACCGTTGACATTCTTCACAGAATTAGAAAACAACTATATTAAAATATATATGGATCACAAAACAGCCTATATAGCTAAGATAATCCTAAGCAAAAAGAACAAATTTGGAAGCATCACACTACCTGAATTCAAATTATACTACAAGGCTACAGTAACCAAAACAGCATGATACTGGTATAAAAGCAGACACATAGACCAATGGAACAGAATGGAGATCACAGAAATAAGACCACACATCTACAACCATCTGATCTTTGAAAAACTTGACAAAAACAAGCAATGGGGAAAGGATTTCCTATTTAATAAACGGTGCTGGGAAAACTGGCTAGCCATATGCTGAAAATTGAAACTGGACCCCTTCCTTACAGCTTACACAAAAATTAACTAAGATAGATTAAAGACTTAAATGTAAAACCCAAAACCATAAAAACCCTTGAAGAAAATCTAAGCAATACAAATCAGGGCATAGGCAAGGGCAAAGACTTCATGAGGACAATGCCAAAAGCAATTACAACAAAAGTCGAAATTGACAAATGGGATCTAATCAAACTAAAGAGCTTCTTTACAACAAAAGAAACTATCATCAGAGTGACTAGGCAACCTACAGAATGGGAGAATATTTTTGCAATCTACCTATCTGATAGAGGTCTAATATCCAGAATCTACAAGGAACTTAAATTTACAAGAAAAAGAAAAAACCCATCAAAAAGTGGGCAAAGGATATGAACAGACATCTCAAAATGATATTTATGCAGCCAAAAAAACATATGAAACAAAGCTCAACATCACTGATCATTAGAGAAATGCAAATCAAAACCATAATGAGATACCACTCAAGCCAATCAGAATGGTGATTATTAAAAAGTCAATAAACAACAGATGCTGGAGAGGCTGTGGAGAAATAGGAAGGCTTTTACACTGTTGGTGGGAGTGTAAATTAGTTCAACCATTGTGGAAGACAGTGTGACAATTCTTCAAAGAACTAGGAGCAGAAATATCATTTAACCCAGCAATCCCATTGTTGGGTATATACTCAAAGGAATATAAATCATTCTATTATAAAGATACATGCAGGTGTATGTTCATTGCAGCAATATTCACAATAGCAAAGACATAAAATCTACTCAAATGCCCATCTATGGTAGACTGGATAAAGAAAATGTGATACATATACAGTGGAATACTCTGCAACCATAAAAAGAAATGACATCATGCCTTTTACAGGGACATAGATGAAGCTGGAAGCCATTATCCTCAGCAAACTAACACAGAAACAGAAAACCAAACACCACATGTTCTCACTCATAAGTGGGAGCTGAATAATGAGAATACATGGACACAGGGAGGAGAACAAAACACACTGTGGCCTATCTGGGGGCTAGTGGTGGGAGAACATCAAGTTAAATAGCTAATGCATGTCGGGTGTAATACCTAGGTGATGGGTTGATAGGTGCAGCAAACCACCATCGCACATGTTTACCTATGTAACAAATCTGCATGTCCTGCACGTGTATCCCAGAAATTAAAATAAATTTATTTAAAAAAGAAGTCGCTTGGCAATTTCTCTGAAGAACTTAGAATTACCTTTCAACCTAGCAATCCCAATACTCGCTATATATCCAAAAGAAAACAAATCATTCTACAAAAAAGACATATGCACTCACATGTTCATTGCAACACTACTCGCAACAGCAAAGACATGAAACAAACGTAGGTGCTCATCAACAGTGGATAGGATAAAGAAAATGTGGTATATGCACAGCATGGAATAGTATGCAGCTATAAAAAATCATGTTCTTTACAGCAACATGGATGTAGCTGGAGTCCATTATCCTAAGTTAATTAATACAGGAATAGAAAACCAAATACAGCGTGTTCTCACTCATGAGAGGGAGCTAAACACTGGGTATTCATGGGCATAATCATGGCAACAATAGTCACTGGAGACTACTAGAGGGGGCCAGGAGAGAGGGGAGCAAGGGTTGAGAAACTTAACTATTGGGGTACTATGTTCACTACCTGAGTGATGGGATCAATCATACCCTAAACCTCAGCATCATGAGATATGCCATCCATGTAACAAACCTGAACATATAATCCATGAATCTAAAATACAAGTTGAAATTATATATAAAAAACATGACAGTATAACAAAAAAGAGTGACAAAATGCATTGTGTAGCATTTAGCAAATCTTTCTCTGTATACTATCACAATGGGAACAAAAGATGAAGTTGAACACACAGCGTCAACATTAGTATGTGATATATGAGCTTTTCTTCATTCTTAAGGTTTTAATTTCATTATTTAAATAAATGTAATAAAATCTCTCAGGCATTACTTTTAAAGCTCTTTGCACATACAAATCATGTCGAGTGCTTAACAGGCAGATTCTGCATTTTGGAGTAGGCTTGAGGCTGCATTCCTGACAAGATCCAGGTGAGGCCAATGCTACTGGCCCACAGACTACATTTTGAGTGGCAGAGAACCACACACGTGCACACCGTATATATACACACATATAAATATGAGTTTTAGAAGCCCTTGGGAATCCCAGGTGGTCAGTACAATTCTTCAGTGTAGCAGAAACTAGAAGCAGTTGGTTTTTGTTTTGATGTGCTGCTTTCAACATTTTCATTAATATCACTAAGTGGAATTATAAAAATCACCAACCCCTTATTTTTAAATATTAGCCTTACAATGGCAAAGGCAGGAAATAGTTGCCAAAATGTAAAACACCGTAGGAGGCGAGGGTGATAAATGATTAGGCTTGTGAAGAGGCAGTAATTTAGAAAGCCAACAGGAGCACTGAAAAAAACTACAATCCTCAAATCCCCATCAATCACTCCCTAAACTCTAGTTTTAGTTCTCCCCTGAAAAAAAGAGAAAAGTTGAGTAACACACAAATAACTCAGCTGTAAGCCAGGGCATCTTCCTTTGTTATAAATGAAACAGGTCAGGTGTATTTACAACATGCCTCAAAAATGAGTCACATCTGGACTTGCTTTGTTTTTTTATACCAATAAATCTGTGTGTAGCCCTCAACATTCTTTCTTCTTGGTAAATTGTTTCCTTTCACAGCCTATGTCCCCAGGATCAAAATAAACGAAGCTGCTCACCTCTGTGAGGATGGTGAATCAGGGAACTTCCCGAAGAAAGCGATATTGAATGGCATTGATAAGAAAAAAGACACCATGCATTATGGAAGAAGCAATCTTCCCTGACATCCCTCCCTGGAAGGCAACATGATTAAGAGAATGCAAAGCAAGGGGGCAGAGAATGCTCCACTCCAAATGCTTTCATGTCCACATAATTTTAACTTTGGTTGGTATTTGATTTGATTGGTGCCTTCTAGGCTTTGTATAAAATCAAATGAGAATTTATCTATGGACTGTAGCAAGTAAAAAAAAAAAAATCCCTGAAATTAGTTGCAAAGTTCACTTAAAGTATATGAAGTATGTTATTATACAAGATTCCCAGAATGAACAATTTGTAACCATTCTGCTTCCCAGCCAGTGTTTTATTAGAAATGGTGGAAGGAAGTACAGGAGGTGCTGGATTGGATCTCTCTCTCTCCTACAACTCTCATGTTTTCTCCAGGTATGTGATTACTGGAAGTTTGTACTCCCATCGGGAGGTTTAAAGGACTGCAGTGCACTGTAGCATATTCAGGTTTCTTTCACTATTCCCCTGAGGTAGTTATGCTTGACTATTGGACTCAAGAAAAGGTATCATTAGCTGATAGAAAAGGTGGGAGTCTGCTTCCTGAGCCTCTTGATTGAAGTCTAGCTAGCTTTCTGCTTCTGAATACCACCTCCCTTTAACTATAGCGATAAGAAACACAGTGATCTGAGGCCAGACCAAATAAAAGATTTATCACCCTTGAAATACATCACGCCTAATAAAACAGGCTCAGCCAAAAGGCATATGGTATACATCCTCAGTTTTTAAATGACTAAAATCAAGGAAGGTAAAAATAAAAATAAGTAAAAAAAAAAAAATTTCTTCTACAGTAAACCAATGTGATGAGATTAAGACACTTAAAATTGATGGAGAAAAATTGCTAAGCTCCATAGGTCAGATGAAAAGAGGTCATTATTTACTGGACAGCTGTTGATGTGAGTGAAAGGTGGGCTGACAAAAAGGTCTAAGTAGTGTTCACCCTGCTTTATTTACCTGGAAATTACTCACTTGTCAAAGAAATTAGGCCAAATCCCACTGCGAACCTAATGCATAAGGAACTTCCTGTGGATTCCAGACCACAAACTAATTTTGGAACTCCCGAGGCCTCACCTGGCTTCACTCTTCCCCAGGTAATGCATTGCCTGAGTCACTAATTGATTCCTATTTCACTTTGTGGTTTCAGGGTCTATGAACTTGGATGCTTTTCAACTTACTCCAAATCATTATACAGGCAAAGCTTGTTTTAGTGTGCTTCACACTTTATTGCATTTTGCAGTTTTTTTTTTTTTTTTTAAAAAAAAACAAATTGTATGTTTGTAGAAACTCTGCATTGAGAAAGTCTGTTAGGGCCATTCCAACATTCTGACAGCATATGTTCCCTTTGTGTCACATTTTGGTAATTCTTACAATATGTCAAGCTTTATTTTTATTACTGTATTTGTTATGAGAACTATGATCAGTGATCTTTGATAATACTATTTTGTTTTGGCCTGCCACAAACCATGTTCACAGAAGACAGCAGACCTAATCGATAAATGTTGTGTGTGTGTTCTGACGGCTCCACTGATTGGCTTCGCTCCCTCTTTATCTTTCCTTGGGCTTCCCTAGTCCCTGAGTCTCAGCAATCCTGACATCAGGACAATTAATCATCCTGCAATGGCCTCTGCATGTTCAAGTGAAAGGAAGAGTTGCATATCTCTCACTTTAAATCAAAAGCTAAAAATGATTAAGCTTAGTGGGGGAGTCATGTTGAAAGCCAAGATAAGTCAAAAACTAGGCCTTGTTTGCCAGTTAGCAAAGTTTTGAGTGCAAAGGAAAAGTTCTTGAAGGAAATTAAGCATACTACTCCAGCGAACACATGATAAATAAGAGAAAAACAGTATTATTGCAGATATGGAGATCATTTTATGGTTTGGATAGAGGATCAAACCAGCCATAAGATTTTCTTAAGCCAAAGACTAATCTAGAATGAAGTCTGAGCTCTCTTCAATTCTATGAAGGCTGAGAGAGGTGAGGAAGCTGCAGAAGAAAAGTTCGAAGCTAGCAGAAGTTGGTTCATGAGGTTTGAGGAAAGAAGCTGTCTGTATAATATAAAAGTGCAAGGCAAAGCATCAAGTACTGACACAGAAGTTTCAGCAATTTATCCAAAAATTTTAGCTAAGATCATTGATGAAAGAGCCACAGTAAAACAACAGATTTTCAATGTAGATGAAACAACTTTATATCAGAAGAAGATGCTGCCTAGAACTTACATAGTTGAAGAGAAGTCAATGCCTGGCTTCAAAACCTCAAAAGATAGGCTCTCTTCTTAGGGGCTGATGCAGCTGGTGACTTTAAGTTGAAGCCAGTGCTTAGGTACCATTGCAAAAATCCTAGGTCCCTGAAGAATGATGCCAAATCTACTGTTTGTGCTCTATACATGGAACAATAAAGCCTGGGTGACAGCATATGTGTTTATTACAGTGTGGCTTACTGAACATGGTTTAAAACCACTATTGACTTTTTTTTCTTAATTTGTATTTCAGATTCAGGGGTCCACGTGCCTATTTGTCATATAGGTAAATTGCAAGTCACGGGGGTTTGGTGTGCAGATTATTTCCTCACCCAGGTAATAGGCATAGTACCTGATTGTTTTTTAATTCTCACCTGCAGATATTCCTGCACCAAACCTGCTGGGCTCTGTACAGGCTGCAGTCCCTCCTCTAGCACCTCTCTAAGCAACTCTTCCTGCCAGTTCGTGTCCACTGAGGTCATGGGGTCTCTTGCTGCCAGGATTCCAGAGTTCCATGGCAAGAGTGGGTCACTCCTTGCCTGTTCAACTCACTCCTTCCTCAGGAGTCTCTGGGAACGAGGAATGAGTCCTGGTGCACAGTATCCCTATGCAGGGTGCCCAGCTTCCTCCCTCTTCAGCCTAGTGTCTGTCCTCCCTCTGTTCACTCTCAGTGCCTTCCCCGCAAAGATCTGCTGAGAGTGTGCCATTCTTCCTGGCGTCTTGGTCCCTCTTTGGCTGATGTTCCTCCTGTGTCTAGTCGGCCATCTGGCCTATAATCAGGAGTCCTATTTTTGCTCAGAATAAAAGATGCTTTTCACAATGTTGCTGATCATTGATGAAGTACCTTTTTATTCAAAGGCCCTGATGGAGATGTATAAGGAGATTAATGTTGTTTTCATGGCAGCTAAGACAACATCCATTTTGTAGCCCATGGATCAAGGAGTAATTTCAACTTTAAGTCTTATTATTTAAGACATACATTTTATAAGGCTATAGCTTCCACAGACAGTGATTCCTCTGATGGATCTGGGCAAAATAAATTGAAAACCTTTTGGAAAGGATTTACCATTCTAGCTGCCATGAAGAACATTTATGATTCATAAGAGGTGGTCAAAATATCATTAACAGAAATTTGGAAGAAGTTGACTCCAGCCCTCATAAATGACTGAGGGGCTCAATACTTCAGTGGAGGAAACAACTGAAGATGTGTTGGAAGGATCAAAAAAATACTAGAATTAAAAAACATCCATTAAATTAAAAATTTATTGGATGAGGAGTTGATTTTTATGAATGAGCCAAGAAAATGGTTTCTTGAGAAGGCATCTACTTCTAGTGAAGATATTATGAACATTGTTGAAATGACAACAAAGGATTTAGAATATTACATAAAAGCTGATAAAGCAGTGGCAGGCTTTGTGAGGGTTGACTCTAGTTTTGAAAGAAGTTCTACTGTGGGTAAAATGTTACCAAATGGCATTACATAGTGCAGAGAAATATTTTCTGAAATGAAGAGTCAATTTGTGTGGTAAACCTCATTGATGTTATTTTAAGAAATTGCCACAGCCACCCTAAACTTCAGCAACCACCACTTTGATCCATCAGCAGCCATCAGCATTGAGGCAAGACCCTCCGCCAGCAAAAAGATGAGTTGCTAGAGGCTCAGATGGTCATCAGCATTTTTAAGCAAAAAAATATTTTTAAATTATATACCTTGTTTTTCTAGACATAACGTACATAAATGGTAGTCTATTGAAACTTAATCGACTACAGTACAATGTAGATGTAATCTTTATATGTACTAGGAAACAGAAAAAATTGACTCCTTTTGATATTTGTCTTATTGCAGGGGTCTGCAATCAAACCCACCATGCATCTGAGGTATGTCTGTAAAAGCATTGTGAGTTAATTGTGTGTTCAATAAATAATAAACAAGAAACAAAAGCAATAGAAATCACTCTTCAATGAGCATTGAATAAAGATTGTAAAAGGTGGGAAGTATTTGAGGTATTTTTAGTCTTCAAAGCAAAACAGAATCAGCAATTAGATGAACAAAACAGATGAGTCTCTTAATGGTCTCAGTTACTTTCTGATATATTAAATTATGTGGACTTGGGGAACCATGGTATTAGCTATGAAACAGGAACCTAATCCTTGGGACACCTACGAACTTCACGTAAATAGTTTGTCACATGTGTTACAGAAAGTATGGAGCTTGAGGGGGCTTTGGAAGTCATCTATCCTAAAACACTTTTTAACAAGAATCTTTTTGACAGATCCAAGAGAGGTTAAGTAGGTCATAGAACTAAAAAGACCAGAGCTACTAAGTTTCCAGCACAGCTGGATCAGTGGTTCAGCATATGTCAGTAACACCTTCTCTCTTGCTTGCACTCACTGTTTCTGTTTCTCTCACTGTCATTTCCACCTGCTGATTCCCATCTCAGTTAGATCCCTTTGTCAAGGTTGCAAAGCAACTGCAGCAGCTCCATCCTTTACATCCCCTCATGTCCTGATCCAGAGGTCAAGAGTATCTGCTCTGTCTTGGAAGCCTCGGGAAATTCTTAGGGCATCTCAGCAATCTTGACACAGTCACACACTCATCTCTAAACCAATTTGTATCACCACTGAAATTAGTTTCAGACTGTCCAGGCCCAAGGGACATGGCACATTTGAGACCAGGAGTAGAATCAGCTTCATAGAAACTATATGAATCTGGTAGAGGATGGATGGATATTAAAATTTAGCATGATTTCCTTGGAGCGATTTGAATCTGAGAGAATCCAGGTTTGGAATATATGGGTACCATCTTGTCCTCAAGTGGAACTTGGATTTGAGGGTAATGTGGAGCAGGGCAGCACAGCCCCACGACAGGCTGATTCCTGTGACGGGATTTGGAGTTTTGTCTGAAACTAAACCTCTTTCTGCCCATTAGTTTTATGTTTTCTCTTGCCTAAGCCAGTTTGGGTTGTATTTTCTGTCACTGTCCCAACATCGTAAAGGAGCTGTGTGACTCAGAAGAGGCCCCGTGATGCTGAGACACTGGGCAGAATTTTAAATCTTTAAAGTTGCAATTTTCCAAAAGCTGTCACTATCAGATGTTTGATCTATAGATCTCTAGATTTTTCACTTATTGGCCCTAGGGAGAAATACACACCCTGATACTGTGGTCAAAATATTATAAACGTATGTGTGCATGTGCATGCACTCTCTGTGTGTGCTGTGTGCATTTTTCTTGCAGGAGTCCAGAGAGTTTGTCAGAATATTAAGAGAACTGGACAAATCCAAAATTCTCTCTGGACTCAAGTGTAAGCGTTTCTCTCCAACCTTGGAGTTTCAGTTCATACTATCCCTCAAGTCCTAGAACACCACCCATGCTTTTTCTCTTGGACAGGTTAGAAATCAGTCACCAGTTCTCACCTCTGCTCACATTCTTGATACTCCCTGTATCCTGAATGCCCTTTCTTCTTTCTTTCCTTGAACAGCAACGTTCTCCTCCCCACCCCAACACACAGAAGTCCAGTTTCAGATTGTCTAAATGTAAAGCCTACTTGTTTTTCAAGGGTCAGCTTACAGGATACCTCTTCTCAGAAGTCCCTATTTTTCTAAGATTCAGATAATCTGGAAACATAACTGAATTATTCCTTAATTTGTCAAGAAATTACAGAAATTAACTAATGCATTGTTTTTCAAAGAATGCATATAATTCATAATATATGAAATGATACCTTAGGGAATATATGGAAGGATTGTTTGAATTATGGTAGTTATGTGTGTATTTTAATCTGCTAGAAAAAATATTATTGCCTGTGGTTTCTGAAAATTATTGCTTGGAAAAAGAGTACATTTCAAAACTGATCTGATTTAAAAGTAATCTATAATGAAAGGCAATTTAGCATCTGAAAATGACAAAACTCTCAAAAGTGGCTTATTTTAATGCATAAAGAACATGTATCCAAGGTTTTAAGTGATGAATTCATCAAAATGTTAGTGTATCAGTAGTAAAGCCAGTTCAGAACCCCACCCTACTGATGTTCCCAATGTTTCCTTCTCCTGTAAGTCTTCATCCTCTTATGTATTTTCTCTCTTTTGTAAGACTCTGGTCCTTATAAGGCATGTCTCTAACAATGAACTTCACACTCTAATTAGAGCTTGCTAAGTTTGTCATCTTCATTGTTCCACGCAGATCTCACAACCGCCTCAACAATCCTGTGAAGTGAGCACTCTAATCTTTATTCTACACCCTTGGTGCTCCAAGTCAGCTTCCTTCAACGGTAGCATTAGCATCTCCTGGGAATTAGTGAGTCTCTGCGCTTATGCCAGATCTATGGAGTCAGAAACTCCACTTTAACAAGAACCCTGGGTTAATCATTTATACACTAAAGTTTGAGAAGCACTGGTGCACTTTGTGGAAACTGAAGCTGAGAGAGTTATGCAGTAAGAGGCTTCTATTAGGTCTAGCAAAGAACCAGGCACAAAGCATCAGGGTACATTGGTTAAATAAAACAAGCAATACATTTTAAAAATTGATCAGTAGCTAAATTTGAGTGACTTGCGGCCACTCAGCATTTTAATTCTCACCTCCTTATATGGTGTCTGAGGAAGAAAAAATGAGAAAATTGCTGTAAATTTAGAGTCCTACTTCTGTTTCTGTCATGTGCAAAATGAATTCCACAGTGGACCGAGGCAATCATTGTCAATATCAGAGTCTGCATGGTTCTGCGCTGATTAACTGGGACAATATTATAACTGTTATGTCGTAAACATGGGCTCTTCTGTGGGAGCTACATTAATTGATTTATTCAGATAGCATTGTGGGTTGGACTAATTGAGTAATTAAGAATTTGACTGCTAATTACCTGTACTGGGGAATAAGTGCAGGCAAAAGCCCGAGGTGAGAAAGTGAGAGATTTTGTTGGAGTCAACTATGGCTGGGGGAGAACTGGCTTCCTCTTGCTGTGAAATAGTTTAACTTCTGCTGCAGAGGGTACAAAGAAGGATGAGATTGAATAAGAGTCCCTTTGGAAATCATTCTTTCTTTAGCAAACTCCTGATTGTTTTGGGTAATTTAAATTAACTACTCTTATTTTTTGGATCTTTTTAAAAAGGTATTTGTCTTTATGCATGTCTAATTATTTCTGAAAATTTAAAGCACTCAAATTGACCACAAATATTAAAATCTGATCATAATAATGGCAAGCATTGAATTTGCTTGTATTATTCATCAAGTACTAAGAACCTTCATGTATTAGTAACTCATTTAACCTCCTCAACAGCAGAATGAGATAGCTTTTAACATTACTAGTTAGAAAGGTAATATATTGAGATATGGAACTATCAAATAGCTTGTCCAAGGTTACACAGATACTAAGTAGTAGCCATACAATTTAAGTCATGTTGTCTGACTCCGTAACCCACACTGTCAGAATGTTAAAGCTGTTGCTCCACTGTCTCCTGGCCTCCATTATTTCTGATAACAAATGTGTGGATAGATAAATCATTGCTTCCCTGTATGCAATATGTCACTTTTGTCTGGTTGCTTTCAAGGTTCTCCTTTTTTTCATCAGTTGAACTATGATGTGCCTATATATAGCTTTATTTGCATCAATCCTGCTTTGTGTTTGTTGAGTTTCTTGAGTCTATAAATTGATTGATCTCACCAAATTTAGGAAATATTTGACCTCTTTTTATTTCTTTTCTTCCCCCCTTGCTTCTTTTATTTTTATTGTCTCTCTTCTTCATTTTCTAAAACTCAATATACAAATTAGACCTCTTCCTATTCTCTCACAGGTCTTTGAGTCTCTTATCATTTGTTATTATTTTACTTTTTTCCTCTTATTCAGATTGGATAATTCTATTGATTTATCTTCACATTTCTTTTTTTTTTTTTTTTTTTTTTTTTTTTTCAGTGGAGCCTCACTCAGCAGAGGCTGGAGTGTAGTGGCACAATCTTGGCTCACTGCAACCTCCGCCTCCCAAGTTCAAGCAATTATCCTGTCTCAGCCTCCCAAGTAGTTGGGATTACAGGTGCCCGCCACCATGCCTGGCTAATTTTTGTATTTTTAGTAGAGATGGGGTTTCACCATGTTCATCGTCAAGCTGGTCTTGAATTCCTGACCTCAAATGCTCTGCCCTCCTCAAGTGCTGGGATTATAGGCTTGAGCCACCACGCCCGACCATTCCTGGTTCTTTTCTCTGCTACCTTCTTTATGTCATTAAACTCATACAGTTTATTTATTATTTCAGGTGTCACATTTTAAAATTTTAGAATTTTTATTTTTAATGTCTCTTTATCTGCTAAGATTTAATTATTTTTATTGCAAGAATATTTAAGATTTTCAGCTTAGTTTTCAGAGTTATTAAAAAATCTTTGTCTGCTAATTCCAATATTGGATCAATTTAGGATTTGTCTCCATTTATTGCCTTTTCTGTTGAGGGTAAGTCATTTTTTTTTTCATAATATCAAATAATTAAGACTTTATACTTGACATTGTAAAAAGTATGCTATAGAAACTTTACATTTTTTGCTCCACTGAAGAGAATTTATTTATATATTTATTTAAATTGGCTGAATTCAAATCACAAAATTCAGTCTCCCCTGCTTTGGGTGGCAGTTTGCATTTCAGTTCACTTTTTTCTGGCCTTAGATGGGCTGACTGGACACGGTCGCACGTGTTTGTGGAGTCAGCCAGTGATCTGGGGAGAGCTGATGGGTAGAATTTTGTGCTCCTTCTCTCGGGCTTTTTCCTTTCTGGTATTTCCACCATTTCACTTTTTAACAGCTCTGATTGCCTCTTTCCCTAGTCTCTTAATATTCCTGCCAGCAAGGCAGCAGGGATTTTCTTGTTTTGTTTTTGAGGTAGAGTCTTGCTCTGTCACCCAGGCTGGGGTGCAGTGATGAGATATTGGCTCACTGCAACCTCTGCCTCTCAGGCTCAAGGGATTCTCCTGCCTCAGCCTCCCGAGTAGCTGGGATTACAGCGTGTGTCACCATGCCCAACTGATGTTTGTATTTTTAGTTGAGATGGGGTTTTGCCATGTTGGCCATGCTGGTCTCTAATTCCTGGGCTTAAGTGATCCTCCTACCTCAGCCTCCCAAAGTGCTGGGATTGCAGTCATGAGCCACTGCTCCCAGCCAAGATTGAAGGTTTTATATCATAGTTTTAACTTTCCTGCATAGGGCAGACAGGGCATGCCCTCAGGATAAAAAACAAACAAAACCACTAAATAATGGGAAACTCACCCAGTCTACTCCCTTCTCCCTGCCAGTTCCAGCCGGCTTTGGTTCACTCTCCAGTGTCTCCAGTTGGTTGTTTTTGTATTTTTTCAGAATAGATAGTTATATGAAGAAGGGTAAACTGAAAGGAGCTTCCCTGGCATACTGGAAGAAGAAATCCTACAACCAACATTCTTAATCACTATTCCATTATTTTATGCATTGTGAGGTTTAACCCAACTGGTAGTACTGAAAATGATGTTCTGAAAACTCTGCAGTTGGCCATCCTGTGATCTATGATTAAAAGGTGGAATGGAATTATTTTATTAATTTGAAAGTTTATCAACTTTTACTATCTTCTTAGCTTTGAAATGTATAGGAAACATAAAAGTTATAATATTGATATAAAACTTTATGATGATACCACATGGTATCTCATTTTGTTTCTTATCAGCCTCATGAATAAGGCTTTGTGTTTGTGCCCATTTTATACATAGGTATCAAATGAACCAGAAATGGTTCAGTTACTTGCTTGTTTGAAATACAGAAAGCCAAACCTTTTATCATCTATGGTCAAAAAACCCTAGGGTGATCCCCCAGGAATCTCCTTCTCCTAGCATCCACACTCTGATTCCCTTGAGAATCAGTGAAACCATTGACATGTTTCCAATACATGGTAAATATCATGATATATTGCTCTGCTCTGTTGATTAGATTCCATTATATGGCAAAGGTGATGGGATGTTACTCCTTGATTAGAATACATTGCAGCAGATTCCGTCTTATCAGACTGGAGCAAAAGAGTCTCTTTGTTGGCTTGATGAAGGGAACCATTGTGTTGAGGAAGCCCACATGACAAGACATTTTGGATGGCCTATGAGCTGTAGATCTGAGATGACCATTGGTGGATTATTAAAAAATAAAATAAAAACTCTATTCCTACAGCCACAAGATAAATTCTGCCAACAACCTAAAGGAGCTTGGAAGCAGATCATTTCTCAGTCAGGCCTCTGGTGAGGCTGCAGCTCAGGCCAACATCTGAAACACAGCCTGGGGAGACCTCAGAACAGAGGACCCGGGTAAGCAATGCCTGAACACTCCTGAGGCACAGCAACTGAGAGACAACACACAGCTACAAAGCCAATTTTTTTCTTCCACAAAATCTATACAGACTTCACCATAGAAGGATGTATGGTCTTGTTAAGGACTCAAGCCTCCCACCTAAGAAACAAGGACAGTCTCATCATGTTGCACTGGCAAAAATGTCCGCTGATTGTGAACGTTCAGCAAAAACAGAGATGCATGTGGGCTTGAGCAATACAGTATGATATGGAAAAAACCATTTTATCTCACACAACCTCATTCATCATTGTTGACTGTTTACAAATTATTGTGAAATGCTTTACATAAATAAAATTGTTTTGCCTGTCTTCTTGTTAACTACCTCAGTACAAAAAAAAAAAAATCAAATGTTGTGGGTTTTCACCACTTGTGGCAGGTGTATTTGTGACACGCTGCCTTGAATACAGGGTTGTGGTATGCTCAAATATACCTTGTAGAACGTTGGGTAGGCGGCATCTCAAGGTCCTAGTAGTCATTCTCCAGAGCAAATTCAGTGACCGTCTACTAAGACCACCTCTCGAAGCACGGTCTACAAACTAGACGCATCAGCGACGTGTTGCAGCTTGTTAGAAATACAAAATGGTGGGCCCCACTCAAAACTACTGAATTAGAGCCTGCATTTCAGCATGATCCCTGGGTAATACATTTTGAGAAGCCTGGCACTAAGAGCCCCTGTGATTCCTGTCGGGGAATATTTACTACATATAAAGATGCAGTAGGCACCTTAATAGTAGTTTTAAGGATAAGCCTCTAGTTGAAAATTGTGAGGTCGGGGACCCTGGTTAGAGTTTCTCATTTGCTGTTGAGCTGCTTCTCCCACTGGCATCGCTATGTGCGGTGTGTTCTAGCAGGAGAGGAAGACCAAAGGTGCATCAGTCTCTCCAGCAATCAAGAGGAAGTTAACTTGTATAAAATATAGCACTTCCTCCTAGAGAAGTCTTCGGTCGGCACCAAGCGAGTTTTTGTACCTCTTCCTCTGGCCCTGAGGCATTAACCAGCATGGAGTTTCCTAGATCAGGAAGCCCGGGATACACAGACACTCAGGCCTCACCTCAGACAAACCAAACCTGAATTCTGGGCATCAGCCTTGGGCATGGGTGTTTTTCAAAGCTCCTCACAAGGCTACCCAGGTTTGGGTACTGGGATTGAATACCAGGTGTTTGAGAGGAGAGTATCTTACTCTAAGGTAGAATTCTGCAACTCCAACTAATTGGCCAAATCTGGACCACTGCCTCCTTTGGCAAATCAACTTTTATTAGAAAATGGCCATGTTCATTCATGTAAATATTGCCTATTTCTGCTTTTGTGCTACAACATCATGTACTGCAGGCCTAAACTATTTACTATCCAGTGCTTAAAACGTTTACCAACCCTGTTCTAAGGCGAGCTCGTGTGATGACTGGTAAGAATTATCCACAAAACCAACAGCCAAGGGAAAATACCTATTTGCCTCCTTGATCCTAACATGTAATGCATTGAGGATTTTAGTGAGTTCCCATATTGAGATTCAGGTATATATTTTTTTCAAGGACTTCTGGTTATATAGTCTTTTGTGTGAAGAAAAACAAAGTGTGATGTTTTATCTAGCCACTAATCACAATAATTCAGCTACTTGTTTCAGAGAAAGCATTTCCTTCCAAAAACAATAGATTTTTTAAAAGCTACATTGGATTTTGTCCATTTTTTAATAAGAAAAAGAAAATAACACGTTTTATTAAAATACAGCACAATCAACTCTAGAAAGCATACAACCTCAGAATATAGACAAAAACATAAACTAATATGTGATTCCCCAAAAGTGGTCCCTGGATTAGCAGTATCAGCACCACCTAGGAAATTAAAAATTATCAAGCCTCATGCCAGATCTAATGAATCAGAAATGCTGGGGGTGAGGTCCAGAAATCCATTTTAATAAGCCCTCCAAGTAATTGTGATGCAAATAAGGTTGGAGAATTAGTTCTCTAATAATTATCAAAATTAGTTACCTAATAACTACTCATAATTACATGTTTTAAGTACTTAATCTCTATATTTCCATATGTATTCTATTTAAAAAATAGTTCCTGTACTAACACACCAAGTATTCTGATTTGTTCCAAAATTTTTTAAAAAGTGTCACTGAGAATTGGAAAAAGTTCCCAAAGTTCAATAAAAAGCTAAGCAAGAGTAGCCATAGAAAAGATACCAGGATTTATTTATTAGAGTTTCTATTTTTTATGATCCAATTTTTATTCTACTAATTCTGATTATTTGGCACCATAATTATAAAATTAAGACACTTAAAAGTTAATTTTGAACCAAACATTTTTAAGCAACAATTTTATCAAATGAAAACCAAAAAAAGAGGTAATTGTTTATGAAATGTATTATGTTTGGTGACCATTTCACAGGCAATAAAAAATATCCACTCTTTGATTTATGGCTGGCTTTTAGGTTGTTGGAAAATCATTGTACCACTATACTGATGCCCCTACATGTTGGAATAATAATACATTGTATCCCTGCCCTTAATCACTTTTCTTGTATTAAGATTTCTAAGTCATCCCTGTTGTTCAGCCTGGGTTTGTAGAAGGTTAAGATATCTAGTTGATTTTACTTAAACAAGGACAAAACAAACAAAACAAAACAAAAATAAGGCACAACAAACTCAAGCCAGTAATTTGGTGTTGTGTAGATCAAGATAATAGCAAGCTGACTGCTTCCGTCATTTTTAAATTGCCACAGTCTTATGTGTAGGACATCTATTGAGTCAGCCATTCTTAAAAGGGCAACTTCAAATTGCGTTTCTCTGATGATGTGATGTTGGCCACTTTTTCCTATACCTATTGGCCATTTTGGAGAAATGCCTATTCAAGTCCTTTCTCCTTTTTTTCAACCAGGTTGTTTGGTTGTTGGGTTGTTGCTATCAAATTGATTGTAGGAGTTCCTTAAAAATTTTGGAAATTAATCCCTTTGGAGATGTAAGTTGAAAATATCTCCCATTCTGTAGATTGCTTTTTTCACTCTACTATTTTCTTTGCCATATAGAAGCTTTTTAAGTTTGATGTGGTCCCACTTGTCTATATTTGCTCTAATTGCCTGTGCTTTTACTGTCATACCCATCAATTAATTGCCAAGACCAATGTCATGAAGCTATCCTCCTATGTTTTCTTCTAGGGGATTTATGGTCTTAGGTTTTAACCAATTTTGAAGTGATTTTTTTTTTGTATAGTGTAACATAAAATTCCAATTCTATTTATGTGTGTGTATTTCCAGTTTTCCAAAACCCTTTGTTGAAAAGATTATCCTTTTCTGATGTATTCGTGTCTCTTGTTTAAAATAAGTTACTCTGTATGTGTAAGTGTGCCTATAAAGTCTATTCCAATGGTCTATTTGTTTTTATGCCAGTACTATACTATTTTAATTAGTGTAGATGTGTAATTTCTAAATAAAAACCAGTAAGTGTGATGATTTCAGTTTTGCTCTACTTTCTCAAGATTGTTTTAGCTATTCTGCTGGTACCAAAACAGAGATATAGACCTATGGAACAGAACACAGGCCTCAGAAATACCACCACATATCTACAGCCATCTGATCTTTGACAAACCTCACAAAAACAAGCAATGAGGGAAGGATTCCCTATTTAATAAATGTTGGGAAAACTGGCTTGCCATATGTAAAAAAACTGAAACTGGACCCCTTCCTTATACCTTATACAAAAATCAACTCAAGAAGGATTAAAGATTTAAACATAAGTCCTAAAATCATAAAAATCCTAGAAGAAAACCTGGGCAATACCATTCAGGACATAGGCATGGGCAAAGACTTCGTGCCTACAACACCAGAAGCAATGGCAACAAAAAGCCAAAATTGACAAATGGGATCTAATTAAACTAAAGAGCTTCTGCACAGCAAAAGAAACTATCAGAGTGAAAAGGCAACCTACAGAATGGGAGAAAATTTTTGCAATCTATCCATCTGACAAAGGGCTGATATCTAGAAACTACAAAGAACTTAAATTTACAAGAAAAAACCAACCCCATCAAAAAGTGGGCAAAGGATATGAACAGATACTCCTCAAAAGAAGACATTTATGCAGCCAACAAACATGAAAAAAAGCTCATCATCCCTGGCCAATACAGAAATGCAAATAGAAACCACAATGAGATACCATCTCACACCAGTTAAAATGGCAATCATTAAAAAGTCCAGAAACAGGTTTGAGATCAAGATGGCCAAATAGGAACAGCTCTTGTCTGCAGCTCCTAGTGAGACAGACACAGAAGACAGGTGATTTCTGCATTTCCAACTGAGGTACCTGGTTCATCTCATTGGGACTGGTTGGACAGTGGGTGCAGCCCATGGAGGGTGAGTCAAATCAGGGAAGTGCAAGGGGTTGGGGAATTTTCTCCCCTACCCAAGGGAAGCTGTGAGGGACCGAGCCTGAGGAACTGGGGACTCCTGCCCAGATACTGCGATTGTCCCATGGTCTTCATACCCTCAAGACCAGGAGATTCCCTGTGGTGCCTACCCCACCAGGTCCCCAAGTTTCAAGCACAAAACTGTGTGGCCATTTGGGCAGACACTGAACTAGCTGCAGAAGTCTTTTTTTTTTTTTTTCTTCTCTCCATACCTCAGTGGCAGCTGGAATGCCAGTGAGACAGAACCATTCACTTCCCTGGAAAGGGGTGCTGAAGCCAGGGAGCCAAGCAGTCTCATTCGGCAGGTCCCACCTCCATGGAGCCCAGCAAACTAAGATCCACTGGGTTGAAATTCTCACTGCCAGCACAGCAGCAGTCTGAGATTGACCTGGGACACTCAAGCTTGGTGTGGGGAGGGGTGTCCACCATTACTGAGGCTTGAGTATGCGGCTTTATGCTCACAGTGTAAATAAAGCCACCAGGAAGTTCGAACTGGGCGGAGCCCACTGCAGCTCAGCAAGGCTGCTGTGGCTGGACTGACAGATTTGTCCTCTCTGGGCAGGGCATCTCTGAAAAAAAGGCAGCAGCCCCAGTTAGGGACTTATAGATAAAGCCCCCATTTACCTGGGACAGAGCACTTGGGGTAAGGGGTGGCTGTGGGTGCAGCTATAGCAGATTTAAACATCCCTGCCTGACGGCTCTGAAGAGAGCAGCAAACCTCCCAGCACAGCGTTTGAGCTCTGATAAGGGTCAGACTGCCTCCTCAAGTGGGTTCTTGACCACCATGTATCCTGACTGGGTGACACCTCCCAACAGGCACTGACAGATACCTCATACAGGAGAGCTCTGGCTGGCATGTGTCAGGTGCCCCTCTGGGATGAAGCTTCCAGAGGAAAGAAGAGGCTGAAATCTTTGCTGTTCTGCAGCCTCTACTGGTGATACCCAGGCAAACGGGGTCAGGAGTGGTCCTCATGCAATTTCCAGCAGGCCTGCAGCAGAGGGGCCTGTTAGAAGGAAAACTAACAAACAAAGGAATAGCACATCCACTCAAAGACTCCATCCAAAGGTCACCAAGAAGATCAAAAACCAAAGGTAGATAAATCCACAAAGATGGGGAGAAACCAGCGCAAACAGGCTAAAAATTGCAAAAACCAGAACAATTCTTCTCCAAAGGATCACAACTCCTCACCAGCAAGGGAACAGAACTGGTTGGAGAATGAGTTTGGAGAATTGACAGAAGTAGGCTTCAGAAGGTGGGTAACAACAAACTCCTCCAAGCTAAAGAAACATGTTCTAACCCAATGCAAGGAAGCTAAGAACTTGAAAAAAGGATGGACGAATTGCTAACTGAATAACCAGTTTAGAGAAGAACATAAATGACCTGATGGAGCTGAAAAACACAGGATGAGAACTTTGTGAAGCATACACAAGTATCAATAGCTGAATTGATCAAGCAGAGGAAAGGATATCAGTGACTGAAGATCAACTTAATGAAATAAAGAGAGAAGACAAGATTAGGGAAAAAATAACAAGGAACAAACAAAGCCTCCAAGAAATATGGAGCTATGTGAAAAGACCAAATCTATGTTTGATTAGTGTACTGAAAGTGACGGGGAGAATGGAACCAAGTTGGAAAACACTCTTCAGGATATTATCCAGGAGAACTTCCCCAACCTAGCAACACAGACCAACATTGAAATTCAGGAAATACAGAGATGACCACAAAGATACTCCTCGAGAAGAGCAACCCCAAGACACATAATCGTCAGATTCACCAAGGTCGAAATGAAGGAAAAAATGTTAAGGACAGCCAGATAGAAAGGTAAAGGTTGGGTTACTCACAAAGGGAAGGCCATCAGACTGACAGTGAATCTCTCAGCAGAAACCCTACAAGCCAGAAGAGAGTGGGGGCCAATATTCAACATTCTTAAGGAAAAGAATTTTCACATCCCTTGTAAGTTGGATTCCTAGGTATTTTATTCTCTTCGAAGCATTTGTGAATGGGAGTTCACTTCAAGGAGAACTCCAAACCACTGCTCAAAGAAATAAAAGAGGATACAAAAAAAATGGAAGAACATTCCATGCTCATGGGTAGGAAGAATCAATATTGTGAAAATGGCCATACTGCCCAAGGTAATTTATAGATTCAATGTCATCCCCATTAAGCTACCAATGACTTTCTTCACAGAATTGGAAAAAACTACTTTAAAGTTCATATGGAACCAAAAAAGAGCCCGCATTGCCAAGACAATCCTAAGCCAAAAGAACAAAGCTGGAGGCATCACGCTACCTGACTTCAAACTATACTACAAGGCTACAGTAACCAGAACAGCATGATACTGGTACCAAAACAGAGATATAGACAAATGGAACAGAACAGAGCCCTCAGAAATAATGCCACATATCTACAACTATCTGATCTTTGACAAACCTGACAAAAACAAGAAATGGGGAAAGGATTCCCTATTTAATAAATGGTGCTGGGAAAACTGGCTAGCCATATGTAGAAAGCTGAAACTGGATGCCTTCCTTACACCTTATACAAAAATTAATTCAAGATGGATTAAAGACTTAAATGTTAGACCTAAAACCATAAAAACCCTAGAAGAAAACCTAGGCAATACCATTCAGGACATAGGCATGGGCAAGGACTTCGTGTCTAAAACACCAAAAGCAATGGCAACAAAAGCCAAAATTGACAAATGGGATCTAATTAAACTCAAGAGCTTCTGCACAGCAAAAGAAACTACCATCAGAGTGAACAGGCAACCTATGGAATGGGAGAAAATTTTTGCAAGCTACTCATCTGACAAAGGGCTAATATCCAGAATCTACAATGAACTCAAACAAATTTACAAGAAAAAAACAGGCCGGGCGCGGTGGCTCACGCCTGTAATCCCAGCACTTTGGGAGGCCGAGGCGGGTGGATCATGAGGTCAGGAGATCGAGACCATCCTGGCTAACAAGGTGAAACCCCGTCTCTACTAAAAATACAAAAAATTAGCCGGGCACGGTGGCGGGCACCTGTAGTCCCAGCTACTCGGGAGGCTGAGGCAGGAGAATGGCGTGAACCCGGGAAGCGGAGCTTGCAGTGAGCCGAGATTGCGCCACTGCAGTCCGCAGTCCGGCCTGGGCGACAGAGCGAGACTCCGTCTCAAAAAAAAAAAAAAAAAAAAAAAAAAAAAACAAACAACCCCATCAACAAGTGGGCAAAGGATATGAACAGACACTTCTCAAAAGAAGATATTTATGCAGCCAAAAGACACAAGAAAAAATGCTCATCATCACTGGCCATCAGAGAAATGCAAATCAAAACCACAGTGAGATACCATCTCACACCAGTTAGAATGGCAACCATTAAAAAGCCAGGAAACAACAGGTGCTGGAGAGGATGTGGAGAAATAGGAACACTTTAATACTGTTGGTGGGACTGTAAACTAGTTCAACCATTGTGGAAGTCGGTGTGGCGATTACTCAGGGACCTAGAACTAGAAATACCATTTGACCCAGCCATCCCATTACTAGGTATATAACCAAAGGATTATAAATCATGCTGCTATAAAGACACATGCACACGTATATTTATTGCAGCACTATTCACAATAGCAAAGACTTGGAACCAACCCAAATGTCCAACAATGATAGACTGGATTAAGAAAATGTGGCACATATACACCATGGAATACTATGCAGCCATAAAAAATGATGAGTTCATGTCCTTTGTAGGGACATGGCTGAAGCTGGAAACCATCATTCTCAGCAAACGGTCGCAAAGACAAAAAATCAAACACTGCATGTTCTTACTCATAGGTGGGAATTGAACAATGAAAACACATTGACACAGGAAGGGGAACATCACACACTGGGGCCTGTTGTGGGGTGGGGGGAGGGAGGAGGGATAGCATTAGGAGATATACCTAATGTTAAATGACGAGTTAATGGGTGCAGGACATTAATATGGCACATGTATACATATGTAACAAACCTGTCCATTGTACACATGTACCCTAAAACTTAAAGTATTAAAAAAAAAAAGAATTTTCAACCCAGAATTTCATATCCAGCCAATCTAAGCTTCATAAGCGAAGGAAAAATAAAATTAATTACAGGCAAGCAAACGCTGAGAGATTTTTTCACCAGTAGGCCTGCCTTACAAGAACTCCTGAAGGAAGCACTAAACATGGAAAGGAACAACCAGTACCAGCCACTGCAAAAACATACCAAATTGTAAAGAACATTGAAGACGCTATGAAGAAACTGCATCAACTAACGGGCAAAACAATTAGCTAGCATCCTAATGTGGGATCAAATTCACACATAACAATATTAACCTTAAATGTAAATGGGCTAAATGCCCCAATTAAAAGACCCAGACTGGCAAATTGGATAAAGAGTCAAGACCCATTAGTGTGCTGTATTCAGGAGACCTGTCTCATGTAGAGGCACACATAGGCTCAAAGTAAAGGGAGGATGGAATATATACCAAGCAAATGGAAAGAAAAAAAAAAAAGCAGGAGTTGCAATCCTAATCTCTGATAAAACAGATTTTAAACCAACAAAGATCAAAAGAGATGAACAAGGGCATTACATAATGGTAAAGGGATCAATGCATCAAGAAGAGCTAACTATCCTAAATATATATTCACCTAGTAGAGGAGAACCCAGATTCATAAAGCAAGTACTTAGAGACCTACAAAGAGACTTAGACTCCCACACAATAGTAGTGGGAGACTTTAACACCTCACTCTGCATATTAGATCATCAAGACAGAAAATTAACAAGGATATTCAGGACTTGAGCTCAGCTCTGGACCAAGTGGCCCTAATAGACATCTATGGAACTCTCCACCCCAAATCAACGGAATATACATTCTTCTCAGCACCTCATCACACTGATTCTAAAACTGACTACATAATTGGAAGTAAACCACTCCTCGGCAAATGCAAAAGAACAGAAATCGTAACAAACAGTCTCTCAGAATACAGTGCAATCAAATTAGAACTCAGGATTAAGAAACTCACTCAAAACCACACAACTACACGGAAACTAAACAACCTGCTCCTGAATGACTATTGGGTAAATGACGAAATGAAGGCAGAAATAAAGATGTTCTTTGAAACCAATGAAAAGAAAGATACAATGTACCAGAATCTCTGGGACATATTTAAAGCAGCGTGTAGAGGGAAATTTATAGCACTAAATGCCCACAAGAGAAAGCAGGAAAGATCTAAAATCGACTCCCTAACATCACAATTAAAAGAACTAGAGAAGCAAGAGCAAACAAATTCAAAAGCTAGCAAACAGCAAGAAATAACTAAGATCAGAGCAGAACTGAAGGAGATAGAGACATGAAAAGCCCTTCACAAAAATCAATAAATCCAGGAGCTGGTTTTTTTGAAAAGATCAACAAAATAGACAGACTGCCAGCCAGACTAATAAAGAAGAATAGAGAAGAACCAAATAGACAAAATAAAAAATGATATATGGGATATCACCACTGATCCCACAGAAATACAAACTACCATCAGAGAATGCTATAAACATCGCTATGCAAATAAACTAGAAAATCTAGAAGAAATGGAAAAATTCCTAGACACATACACCCTCCCAGGTCTAAACCAGGAAGAAGTCAAATCCCTGAATAGACCAATAACAAGTTCTGAAATTGAGGCAGTAATTAATAGCCTACCAACCAAAAAAAGTCCAGGAACAGATGGATTCACAGCTGAATTCTACCAGAGGTATAAAGAGGAGCTGATACAAATCTCTCTGAAACTATTCCAAACAATAGAAAAAGAGGGAATCCTCCCTAACTCATTTTATGAGGCCAGCACCATCTTAATACCAAAACCTGGCAGGGACACAACAAAAAAAGAAAATTTCAGGCCAATATCCCTGATGAACATTGATGTGAAAATCCTCTATAAAATACTGGCAAACCGAATCCAGCAGCACATCAAAAAGCTTATCCACCATGATCAAGGCAGCTTCGCACCTGGGCTGCAAGCCTAGTTCAACATATGCAAATCAATAACTGTAATCCATCACATAAACAGAACCAATGACAAAGACCACGTGATTCAATAGATGCAGAAAAGGCCTTCAACAAAATTCAACACCCCTTCATGCTAAAAACTCTCAATAAACTAGGTATCAATGGAACATATCTCAAAATAAGAGCTATTTATGACAAACCCACAGCCAATATCCTACTGAATGGGCAAAAGCCAGAATCATTCCCTTTGAAAACTGTCACAAAACAATGCTGCCCTCTCTCACCACTCTTACTCAACATAGTATTGGACATTCTAGCCAGTGCAATCAGGCAAGAGAAAGAAATAAAGCATATTCAAACAGAAAGAGAAGAAGTCAAATTGTCTGTTTGCAGATGACATGATTGTATATTTAGAAAACCCCATCACCTCAGTCCAAAATCTCCTTAAGCTGATAAGCAACTTCAGAATCTCAGGATACAAAAATCAGTGTGCAAAAATCACAAGCATTCCTATACACCAATAACAGACAGAGTGCCAAATCATGAATGAAATCCCATTCACAATTGCTAGTAAGAGAATAAAATACCTAGGAATACAACTTACAAGGAATGTGGAGGACCTCTTCCAGGAAAAATACAAACACTGCTCAAGGAAATAAGAGAACACAAACAAATGGAAAAACATTCCATGCTCATGGATAGGAAGAATCAATATCATGAAAATGGACATACTGCCCAAAGCAATTTATAGATTCAATATTACCCCCATCAAGCTACCATTGACTTTTTTCACAGAATTAGAAACAACTACTTTAAACTTCATATGGAATCAAAAAAGAGCCTGCATAGCCAAGACAATCCTAAGCAAAAAGAACAAAGCTGGAGGCATCATGCTGCCTGACTTCAAACTATACTACAAGACTACAGTAACAAAAACAGCATGGTACTGGTACCAAAACAGAGATATAGACCAATGGAACAGAACAGAGTCCTCAGAAATAACACCACACATCTACAACCATCTGATCTTTGACAAACCTGACACAAGCAATGGGGAAAAGATTCCCTATTTAATAAATGCTGTTGGGAAAACTAGCTAGCCACATGCAAAAAAAAATTGAAATTGGACCCCTTCCTTATACCTTATACAAAAATCCACTCAAGATGGATTAAAGACTGAAACCTAAGACCTAAAACCATAAAAATCCTAAAGAAAACCTTGGCAATACCACTCAGGACATAGACATGGGCAAAGACTTCATGTCTAAAACACCAAAAGCAATGGCAACACAAGCCAAAATTGACAAATGGGAACCAGCAGCACATCAAAACAAAGAGCTTCTGCACAGCAAAAGAAACTGTCATCAGCATGAACAGACAACCTACAGAATGGGAGAAAATTTTTGCCATCTATCCATCTGACAAAGGGCTAATATCCAGAAACGACAAATAACTTAAACACGTTTGTAAGAAAAAAAACAACCCCATCAAAAAGTGGGCAAAGGATATGAACAGCAACTTCTCAAAAGATGACATTTATGCAGCCAACAAACATATGAAAAAATGCTCATCATCACTGGTCATCACAGAAATGCAAATCAAAACCGCAATGAAATACCATCTCACGCCAGTTAGAATGACAATCATTAAAAAGTCAGGAAACAACAGATGCTGGGGAGAATGTGGAGAAATAGGAATGCTTTTACACTGTTAGTGGGAGTGTAAATTAGTTCACCCATTGTGGAAGACAGTGTGGCGATTCCTGAAGGATATAGAAGGAGAAATAACATTTGACCCAGCAATCCCATTACTGAGTATATACCAAAAAGATTATAAATAATTCTACTATTAAGACACATGTACACGTATGTTTATTGTGGCACTATTCACAATAGCAAAGACTTGGAACCAACCCTAATGTCCATCAATGATAGACTGGATAAAGAAAATGTGGCACATATACACGAAATACTATGCAGCTATAAAAAAGGATGAGTTCATGTCCTTTGCAAGGCCATGCGTGAAGCTGGAAATCATTCTCAGCAAACTAACACAAGAACAGAAAACCAAACACCACATATTCTTACTCATAAGTGGGAGCTGAACAATGAGAACACATGCACACAGGGAGGGAAACATCACACACCGGGGCCGGTCAGGTGGTGGGAGAGTTTGGGGAGGGACAGCACTAGGAGAAATACCTAATATAAGTGACGGGTTGATGGGTGCAGCAAACCACCATGGCACGTGTATACCTATGTAACAAAACTGCACGTTCTGCACATGTACCCCACAACTTAAAGTATAATTTAAAAAGATTGTTTTAGCTATTTAAGGATTATTTTTGTCTAGTTCTTTAAAAAAATGTCATTAGGATCATGAAGGAAATAGATTGAATCTGTAGACTGCTTTAGGCAGAGTGGAGATTTTCACAATATTAATTGTTTTAATCCATGAACATGGGATCCAATTTATTCATGTTAATTTTTTCATCAATGAGTGTATGCTTTTTGCCTCCTTTGTTATGTTTATTCCTATGTATTTTATTCTTTGTGATGCTATTGTAAATGACATTGTGTTTTCATATTTTATAGATATTTTACTATTAGCATATAAAATGCAACTGATTTTTTTGTGTTGATCTTGTATCCTGAAACTTTTCTGAATTCGCTTATTAGTTCTAAGGTTTTTTGTGAGGTGTTTAGTATTTTCTACTTATACCATCATGTCCTCAACCAACAGTGATGACTTTCCGTCTCTCATTCCGAGTTTGATGCTTTTTCTTGTCTAATTGCTCTGGCTGGAGCTTCCAGCACAAGGTTGCATAGAAGTGATGAGAGTGAACATCCTTGTTTTAATTCTGATGTTAGAGGAAAAATTTTTAGTTTTCTCTACATTGAGAATGATGTTAGCTGTGGGATTTTCATATATGGCCTTTATTATGTTGATACAGATTCCTTTTATACCTACTGTGTTGAGCATTATATTAAAAGGGTATTTAATTTAGTCAAATGCTACCCCTGCATTTATTATGACTTTTATACTTTATTCTGTTAAAGTGGTATATCACATTTATAGCTTTGCATATGTTAAACCATTTTAGGGATAAATCCCACTTGATAATGGTATATGATTCTTTCACTGTGCTGTTGAATTTGGTTTGCTAGGATTTTGTTGAGGCTTTTTACATTCTATGTTTATTGGTGTATTAGCCTTCAATTTTCTTTTCTTACACTGTTTTAGTGTAGCTTTGGTATTAGGGTATTACTGGCCTTATAAAAATAGTTCGGAAGTTTTTGCTTCTCATATGCTATCACCTCAGACCTGCTAAGACAATCATTATATAAAAAAATAAGTGTTGGTAAGGTTGTGAGAAAATTGAAATCCTTGTACACTGTTGCTGGGAATGTAAAATGGTATAGCTGCTACGGGAAAATATATTGAGGTTCTTCAACAAAATTAAAAATAGAACTACCATATGACCCTG
The DNA here is from genome assembly GCF_000001405.40 of Homo sapiens. Classification (NCBI taxonomy): domain Eukaryota; kingdom Metazoa; phylum Chordata; class Mammalia; order Primates; family Hominidae; genus Homo; species Homo sapiens. The sequence goes on along the minus strand of NC_000020.11, from coordinate 55,491,331 downwards.
TAATCTCACCTCTGGCTATGTATCCAAAGGAACTGAAGTTAGAAACTCAAAATATGATCTGTGCTCTCATGTTTATTGCAGTGTTATTCCCAATAACCAAGACATGGAAGCAACCTAAATGCCTATGTACAGATGAATGAATAAAGACAAAGAAAATGTGATATGCACATACAATGGAATATTATTCAGCCTTAAAAAATCAATAATTGGGAGGCCGAGGCGGGCGGATCACGAGGTCAGGAGATCGAGACCATCCCGGCTAAAACGGTGAAACCCCGTCTCTACTAAAAATACAAAAAATTAGCCGGGCGTAGTGGCGGGCGCCTGTAGTCCCAGCTGCTTGGGAGGCTGAGGCAGGAGAATGGCGTGAACCCGGGAGGCGGAGCTTGCAGTGAGCCGAGATCCCGCCACTGCACTCCAGCCTGGGTGACAGAGCGAGACTCCGTCTCAAAAAAAAAAAAAAAAAAAAAAAAAAAAAAAAAAAAAATCAATAAATCTTATCATTTGCAACAATATGGATTAACCAGGAAGACATTATGCTGAGTGAAATGCCTGTCACAGAGGAAAAAATACCTCATGATTTTATTTGCATAAAGTATATTAAATAGTTGAACTTATAGAAGCAGAAAATAGAATGGTGGTTTCCAGGGCATGGGGGAGAGGGAGAAATAGAAAATTGTTAAATAGTTATCAAGTTATAGTCATACAAAGTAAGTTCTAAAGATCTGCTGAACAACATAGTGTCTGTAATTAACTGCTGCATTGTACACTTAAAAACTGTACCCACAAAATTAAGAATAAAAGAAATAAAAACAGTTAAGAGAGTAGATCTCATGCTAAATGTTCTTACCACAAAAATTATAAAGGTACAGAAGAAAATTTGTGAAGGTAATGGATAGTTTATTACCTTTATTATGATGGTGGTATCACTGGTGTATGCATATATCCAAACTCATCAAATTGTATATATTAAGTACATGCAGTTTTTATATGTCACTTATACCACAATAAAGCTGTAAAAATAACAATTTAAAGTGAGAATTTTAATTTTTGAATGTTAGACCATTTGCCTTAGTCAATGGTTGGTGATCAGATTTTTTTCCCTCTTATTAAATTTGAAAGTCCTTCAGAATAGGACCCACATTTTTTAAATAATCAGATCTTGGCCTGGCGCGGTGGCTCACGCCTGTAATCCCAGCACTTTGGGAGACCAAGGCAGGCAGCTCACGAGGTCAAGAGATCAAGACCATCCTGGCTAACATGGTGAAACCCCAACTCTACTAAAAATACAAAAATTAGCTGGGTGTGGTCATGTGTGCCTGTAGTCCCAGCTACTCAGGAGGCTGAGACAGGAGAATCGCTTGAACCGGGGAGGCTGAGATTGCAGTAAGCCAAGATTGTGCCACTGCACTCCAGCCTGGTGACAGAGCGAGACTCTGTCTCAAAAAATAATAATCAGATCTTGATTGTCAATTAATTGTTGTATTTAGTTAATCCAGAGGCCAGCAAAGTCTCAGACCCATTAGATTAGAACATAGTGGATATGAGTACCACCCAACACGTGAGGAGAGTTCTGTTTCCTTTTTTGGTCTCTTCTGAGACATTAGAGGTTTGGCTCCAGCTTTTTCATCATCTCTAGCTCCAATAGTCTCAGATAATAATCAGCTCAGGATTCCTCCATCAACCTCTGGTCATTCAGCCTTTCAGTTGAGTATGAGCCATCTATCCAGGTAACACTCCTGGTTAGGATGCAAGACAACCCAAGGTCCTTCTCTGTCACTGAGATGCCACCCATGTTGACCAGTGAGCATTCATGCACTTTTGTTGTGGCAAACCTGGGGATCAAAGGCCATTCCTTCACAGCAACTGTAAGGCCAAGTGGCTAACTGTGCAGAGACATGATCCTTTCACATTTCTCAGGCCTAGTTGCAACAGCAGCCTCCTTTGTCCCACAAGCTCAAAAACACATGAAGCCTCCACCTCTTTCGCTAGGATTGAGGTGACAGAAAAGTATTCCATGCCTTCCTAGTTGGGGTGACAAGACTCACGGTATACCTATGGCTCTCTCTAAAATCCTCCTCTCCTCTCCAACTCTTCTGTCTCAGCCATTCAAGCTTCAGTTACAGCTGGAACAGGATACACAAAAGTGGTTTCCAACTACCTGTAAGTTTGTAAGTTTGACTTTTGGAATATCACTTTGGAATATAAAGGTACTTTCCATATTGTCTCTTTGCCTCAGCCAAACTGGAAGGGAGAAAAAATCTATTTTACTGTATTTTTATAGAGAGAAAAAGTATTACTTATTTTGTTCTGCAGTTCAAATCAAGTTTTTTTTTTTTCCTATGGATTCGCCTCTATCTTTACCTGAGGCCTATTCATTAAAATTCACCTCTTTTATCAAAGTAGTTTTCTTTGCAAAGATAGCACCTTCCTTATGAGGGATTTGAGGCCAGCTGTGTGAGTACAACCAACCTGAATTGCTATTCTGTATTTCCTCCTTAGAGCAAAGTGGCTTTGGATAATTAACCTCTCCTAGATTTCCTTTCCCTTTAAGCAAATGCTAACAATGACCTTTTAAGGAATGTTTTGAGAATTAGTCATGCAGGTCATAAAGACTCAAACACAAGGCTTTGGCACAATAATGACAGTTTCTGCTATTTTACTAAGATAATTTCTCTGTTATTCCTCTTCCTTGAGTGTTTCTCAACTTCTCCCCTTCTGACACTGGGGGCCAGGCCATTCCTGTTGTCCTGTGCACTATGGGATGTTGATGGTATCCTTAGCGTGTCCCCACCCAACGCCAATAACACCTCTCCCTACTCATTTGTGACAACCAAAAATGTCTTCAGACACTGTCTAATGTTCCTTGAGAGGAAAACCATTTCTGATTGAAAACCACTGCTTTAAAAAGAGAAATTCTATCAATGTTTAATGTGTGTATATACATATGTTTATATGCATGTAAGTATGTGTTTATGGGTTGTCAAAAAAGGGTGACTTCTAATTTTGTCTTTAAATTGTTTTCAACCAATGTAATAGGATTCATGCCTTGTAGGTCCTCTTTTTATTTCACATTTTCTTTTATGAAAGGCTGCATGGGCCTTACTTGGTTTCTTAACCTCACAGTGCTGTCTCTACAGAGACACTGATCACATGCCCCTTCTCCACCAAAAAGCACTGTATTTCATGTTCGGCTCTATTCCCATTACTGACTGACAGTCTGCTCTTGAATTTCAACAAAGGGCAGCAGATGATGTGGTCAGAAAGTTTTCAGGTTGATTTAAATACAACTTTGTAGGTCCTAGATTGTTTTATATAGATCAATATATCCATCATCTAAAAGTCATTTTAATCAAGAAGAAAATCGGACATGTCTCAAATTCTACAACCCAGGACCATATGGTGGGACCTCTAAAGTGCATCCTAGTTCTAAAATTCCCAATATTTATAGTCGCAGCCACAACTTCCCTACCCCTTCCTCTCTCCCATAGCACCTTCCTGTCTTCCACTCTGCTGGACCCCAAGATCTCTAAAATACTCAAAAACATCCTCTGTGTCAAAGAGGTAGAAATGATCTAGGAGGCAGGGAATTTCTTCAGTTCAAAGCTAGATCTTCCCCTCCCCCCCCCTTTTTTTTTTTTTTTAAAGATGGAGTCTTGCTCTGTGGCCCAGGCTAAAGGGCAATGGCGCAATTTTGGCTCAGTTAACCTCTGTCTCTCGGGTTCAAGTGAATCTCCGGCCTCAGCCTCCCGAGTAGCTGGGACTACAGGTGCATGCCACCATGCTTGGCTAATTTTTGTATTTTTAATAGAGCTGGGGTTTCACCATGTTGGCCAGGCTGGTCTTGAACTTCTGACCTCAGGTGATCCTCCCACCTCAGCCTCCCAAAGTGCTGAAATCATAGGCATGAGCCACTGCAGCCAGGCTTAAAGCCAGATCTTTTTCTTTTAATTTTATAGCACATTTTAATTTGAAAATATTTTTCTTATACCCATCTCTAAATTTTATATTTCCCTGAAGTTCCTCAACTCAAATTTTTCCTCCTGCCTTCTAGGGTGGATGGCTGTCTCTCCTTGTCTCTTCCTCCTCTGTCTCTCCCCATTCCCTTCTCTTCCTTTCCCTCCTGGTTTTCCTCAGTCTCTCTCTCTCCTGCTATCCAAGCACACATTCATAAGCTTTCTACCATTTTTTGTCCTTGTTACCTATGGCAGACACTGTGGACTCTGCTTCCAAATTAAACATAGTGCTGCAGATGTTGTAGCTTATGAGGTTTAGGGCAACAATTTATCTTTTCTTCCCCCCTGTTGTTGTCAGTGCTGCCCTCCAATTCTCCACCCTTCAAAATTATGGACAGAGAGGATGAGCAGCTGCTTTTCCTGCTGCTCTGAATAATTCATGCCAGTTTAGCTTCAGCTTGGTAATATCATTGGCCTTGTTTAATACCAAGGGGAAAGAAGGGCCTCTTGAGATTTCTCAAAAGTGTGAATTTTCAAAGAATAATTTTTTTTTCACCTCCAGATTGTTCAATATTTTGTTCCAAAAATAAAATAAAATAGTCAATGGAACATAAATTCTTTCCAAAACTCTTCCTGAATATGAAATTAATTGAGCATGTTACTTATCTTTCATTTGGGAACTATGTTATCCAGTCCATAATATATATTAGATATTTTCTATGCTACAGGTGCTGTGTTGGGCACTGGAGGGCTGGTCAAAACAAGTGGATCCCACCCTCAGTGAACTTACGCACTAGGGGAGGAGATAGACGTTTATCAAGATAACTACTCAATTACCACTTAAAAGACTATGTGCATCCCCCGGTAAAACAGGGGCACCCACTATATTAATTTATTCTACAAATACTTACAATCAAAAGCTATGTACCAGACACCCCTAGATGCTCAGAAAGCAGCAATGAGTGAGCAGGAAAAACACAATGTTTGCCTCTATGGGCCTATAGTCAAGTGCAGGATCCAGACCTTAATCAAATATTCACACGCGCATAAGATTGCGATGAGTTCAATGAAAGAAAGTCTCCCAGCATATTTTCTGGATGTTCACATATATCCATTTATCCACTCCTTCAGGCAGTGTTTACTCATTTCCTTCTCTGTGCTAGGCACTTGGATTTTATAGTCAGCTAAGTTAGATGTGTTCTCTGTTCTCATGGAACTGCAGTGTAGTGAAGGAGTGAGTAAAGAAGCAAAGATATACATGCTTCAATATTTACAATCAAGATTTGTTGTGGGTCTAGGTTACAAACAGGCAATATGCTAGGCTTTTTACATGAATTCTCTTATTTAGTGCTTATAACTACACCTGTGCTATGATTAATTGTTTTTTTTCTTAACACATGTAAAACCTGAGTCTGGGAGTTAGAGGGATATTTTCAAGACACAGTCTGATCAAGCCACATGCAGGCACCACCATTCATGGCTTTCTACTACTTTAGGATAAAACTCAATCTCTTACCTGCTTATAAGGACTAGTATGAGCTGCCCTTGTGTTGAAAGAGACCGGCAGGGTGAGGAAGAGACTACTGATCATATATACAAGGCTAAGACTGAATGCAAAGACCTATTTCTGACCTTAAATGAACTCTTTGACATACATAATTCTGTGCCTGTAAAAAAAAGTCTATTCAGCCCTAAAAGCCCGTGAAGCTTCAGCTTCATTCTAGTTTACTATGACTTAATTCCGTGCCAGGCCCTAAGTCCAAATTGGCTTGATCTTTAAGAGTTGCTTGTTGTTTATTTTATACCTCTCATCAGTCCTGGCACAGTAACCAGGCTGAACAATAAGTGGGAGTAGTTACAAAACCACCTCATAGGAATTAAATAGAGAAAGTATTTCTGTCCACACATCCAGAGGAGATAGCTTGACCTGTCTCAGAAGCAATTGGATAATACTCGCAAAACTACCAAATTAGAATGAAGGCTGATATGTCCAATCTGTATCACCCTCAGGCAATTTCCATTGAAAAGAATAATTATATTTTTCATAAGTTAACCAGCTCCCAAGCCTGGAAGAACAGGGCTTGCAAGAACAGGCTGCAAGTCTTCCAGAATTGCCGGGAGGCTGCACCTGTGAGATGATAATTATATCCGAACACTCTATATGCCCACCTCCGTCATCAGGCAGTTCCTCTTGTGCATTGTGTGCTAATAAATATGTATTTTAATGAATTAATCATAGCATTGCTTTAGGACTTGAATGCATTGGTTTTACTGAATATTGTGTGTTAAAATACCTGGTACTAATATGCCTGGTACTAAAAATGTCCATTCTTCCTTTCTTTGCAAATAAAGGTAATAGTTTTCACCATTTCTAATCAGATGTGCTTTTTTTTTTTCCATTTAATAGTAAGGGATGATTTTTTAATGAAATGACTAAAACTCTTTGCCCATGCAATTTACCTAGATAAACGGTTATATTTGGGTACATAGAGAAGCTGAGTAACCATGTTGCCATTAATATCATTTTCTACCAGTGGACTCATTAAGTTTAATGGGGAAAATAGGTAACCAAACTGCAGGTCACACTGTTCCAGCCTGTTTTGTGCAGGGATGTGACCACTGCATGGCCAGATAATTTTCAAGGGAATCTAATTATGTAGATATTTATATGTCTGTGTATTGTTAAATATTGGCCAGAAAAACTTAAAGTAACAACCAACCTTCTGCAGCTGGCTAAAATGTAATAGAAACTGGATTCACTATACCCCCTTGAAACAACAAAAAAAAAAAAAAAAAAAAAAAACCTGGGCAGAGATAATACTTAATGCAATATTTTTCAAAGCATTGGGCATGCTTAACAAATAGTAATCTCCAAAAGGCAGGAACATGGAAAACCCGTTAAAGAAAAAGTGATAAATTTGACTTCAAAATTAAAAACTTCCGCTCTTCAAAAGACTACATGAAGAAAACAAAACGACTGGCACCTATCTGATAAAGTACGTGTGTCCAAAACATATAAAGAACTCTCCAAACTCAGTAAGAAAAGAAAGAACTCGACAGACAAAAGATTTGAACAGATTTCACCAAAGATATACAGATGGTAAATTAGCACATCAAAGGATGTTCAATATTATTATTAATGTGAATTAAAACCCCAATGAGTACCACTACAACCTATTACAATAGTTGAAGTTTAAAAATTGACAATACCAAACAATAAGTATGTGAAGGAATTAGAACACTAATAAAATGGTGATTAGAAATTAGAAGGTCACGACCACTTTGGAAACACAGTTTAACAGTTTCTTAAAAGCCTAAATATACCTATCATACGATCTAGCCATTCTACTCTTAGGTATTTACCTAAGAGAGAAAAATGTACACATTATTCTCTCTTAGGTAATGCTATTCTGTACAGCCTGTGGAACCATAAGCCAATTAAACTTCTTTTCATACAAACATTTGTGCACAAATATTCAGAGAAACAATTTGCAGTAGTCAAGTAATAGAAATAACCCACAAATCCATCAATAGGTATGGTAAACAAATTGTGGTATATCTATACAATGATATACTACTCAGTAATAAACAGAAATGAACTATTAATACCTGCTAAAACCTGATGGATTACAACATAATTATATTCCGTGAAAGAGAACAAAAAATAATACATCCTGTATGATGCAATTTTTATAAACCTTTAGAGAGAACTAACCTACAGTGATAGGAAACAGACTGAGGGTTGCTTAGGTAGGAGAGAGCTAATACAGAGAGGCATGAGGATACATTTGGAGGTGATGGATATGTTCACTATCCTGACTGTGGTGATGATTTTGCAGGCATACACATACACAGAATTCTATCAAATTCTACTTTTTAAATATATCTGGCATTGAATGTTAATTACACCTCAATAAAAAAATGTCATAAAACAGAAACAACATGAGTAAAAAACAAAAACAAAACACCATTCTGGCAAACAGTGATCCCTGGGGCTGTGAGTTTGCAAATTCTGACATCTATGTATATGACTTGCTTTTGGGGTAATACACAAATACATATACTAAAATGCAAAATGGAATGCTTGCTAATTGGAGGCTCTTTTGTTTGATTCTTTCAAGTAACACAGGTATCATTTCTAACTCTGTTGAACGGTCCAGACCAAGGTTCCCCTTTGTGAATGGTGTGATGGCCTCTTTTCAAGGTTTATGATTAAAGTCCAGAATCTCTCAATAGCAAATGATAGCATGCCAGGCAGAATTCGTTTTTCTTTTGATGTTCACACATAATTCCTATTCATAATAGAAGGAATTACGGGTTTAATAGTGTCCCGAATGTCTGCCGATGCAGTCCTTTTTTTAACATGACTTTTCCTTGTAGAAGAGATGCCCTCATTGATATTGTGCTTTTGTTTGCCAAAGGAGCGCAGAAGACATCTTTCTGAAAGATTTCACGACACTTAAAAAAAAAAAATGAAGACTTGCTCAGAGTTTTTTATAAATGTAGCGGTAGAAACTCATTTAAAACAGTAATTTATAATCTATGGATTGAAGGAACTGGACTTGGCAGAGTGTGAACAGAAAATAATTTTATTCTTTTTTTCTTCTGCTCCTTCAAACTCCTCTTCTGTGCTATCCCCTTTTCTATCCTGGATTAAGTCTTTTGCAAAACACGTCATTTTTTTAATGTTCCTTCAGTTAGAAGAAGAGTCATTTTGGTAAATAAAAAGCTCCATCCGTGCTATAGTAAACCACCAGTCCTTCAGCAATCTTAACTCTTCTCTCTCTCCATTCACTTGTAGACTGGGTTCTTCCTTCTTCCTCAGGGTCCCTTCCTCCTCACCAGCAGCTACGTATGGTTGCTATAGGGTTGGGTGCATGGAGGAGAGAGGAGTAATAAGAAAAATAAAGGTCTTGCCAGAGTGGAACTGTCTTAAATAAGTTTCTACTGCTTATTTAATTTTTTATTCTACCTCATACATTTATAAAAGACACTCTGAGGAGAGTTCATTTTTTTTTTTAAGTATTGTGAAATCTTCAGAAAGGTGTCTTGTGCACTCCTTTGGTGAAGAAAAGCACCATGTCAATGAAGGAACTGTTGTAATCTGGCTTTGGACCATCATCTCATCCGAGTGGAGGACCAATTTCTAGGGTATTCTTAAATCTCTTAGAGGGGTCCTTCTGGAGTGTCCAAACTTGTTCACTTGACAAGAACAATGCCTTCTTTATCATCAACTGGACTTCTTCCTCGGTGGACACTGGTCCTCTTGGCTGGGTCTCTTCTATTTTTTAATTTTAATTTTAATTTTAATTTTTTGAGACAGAGTCTCGCTCTGCTGCCCAGGCTGGAGTGCAGTGGCGCGATCTCGGCTCACTGCAAGCTCCGCCTCCTGGGTTCACGCCATTCTCCTGCCTCATTGGCTGGGTCTCTTCGAAGACAGCCCTGGAACAGCTCCCTTCGGGCATGGCAGGCAATGTCTGGTCCACACTCTCTTGCTCTACATTTAATGAAGGTACAGTCAGCTTGCAATGCACCTTGTTCTCTTTGCTCTATTACCCTCTCCCTTCCTCTTTAGATTCTTCCATTGAACATCAGATACTAACTCCTGTGTTCCCCAAACTTAAGGAGGGCATAGGTCTAGTTCCCAAAATGGTCCTTTTAAGAAAATCTTCGTCTCAGTTGGCTGAAGGTAAAAAAGACGCACCTTATTTTATTTTTCCATTGTGGTGTGCGGTTATAAAATACACAGCACAGCTACTGTTCTCCCTCCAATAGCCTGATCTACCAGCCCTTCATGTAGCTAGAATCTTATGCAAGTAATATGTGAGCAATGAACTACCTCTGGCAGAACCTCCAGGGTCATAATGTCCGCACAGCTGGTGAGAACTTTACTTAGAATAGGATTCCTATCATAAGGACTCCTCTTGTCCTGTTCTAAGCTTTGGAAAACAACCAAAAGGCAGCAGAAGGCAACCTTAGAAGTCATACTTAACTACACAAGTATCCACAGAAAAAGTGGTACAAAAAAGAATAATAGTCACAACTAGTCAGTGTCTTTCTCTTTGCCCTACTCTCCAGTAACCCAATGATGAGATTATACTCCAACTTTCAACTCAAAATTAGTTTTGTGAAAATCTAGTTTATAAGTTTTGAACCTTTTCTTACATTACCATTAATGAAAATTGGTAAAAACATGGCCTGGAATAAATTAAGCTTAGAATTTAAATGAATGTCATCTCATCTTCAGTTGTCAACAACATGCAAGTGAGGTAATTAAATCATCTCAGATTTTCTGTGCTAAAATATCCAAATGTTTAAGAGGAAAGTAGGTGGGTGGTATTGTGCTGTTTTTGTTTAATTTAAATTAAATAATTGGCCAAATTACCATTTCTTAAAAGACTCAGGGAGCTTAATCTGGATTCAATTTTCACTGCCTATTTAATAAGGCACATGTTCCAAGAACACGGGGCTAGACTGGGTACTTGCTGAACTGCCAGCTCTTTATACTAACTGTACTAGTCCATTCTCGCACTGCTATAAAGAAATACCCAAGACTGGGTAATTTATAAAGACAAGAGGCTTAATTGGCTAATGGTTCCACAGGCTGTACAGAAAGCATGGCTGGGGAAGCCTCAGGAAATTTACAATCATGGCAGAAGGCGAATGGTAAGCAGGTACGTCTCGTATGACTGGAGCAGGAGAGAGAGGGGAGCAGTGCCACTTTTAAACAACCAGAACTTCTGAGAACTATATCATGAAACAGCACTACAGGGACAGTGCTAAACCGTTAGCAACTGCCCCCATGATCCAATCACCTCCCACCAGGCCCCACCTCCAACAATGGAGATTACGACTGGACATGAGATTTGGGTGGAGACACAGAGCCAAATCATATTATCACCTTACGATTACATCTCTGTGATACGGTTTGGCTGTGTCCCCACCCAAATCTCATCTTGAATTATAGTTCCCATAATCCCCACATGTCATGGGAGGGACCTGGTGGGAGGTAATTGAATCATGGGGGCAGTTACCCCCATGCTGTTCTTGTGACAGTGAGTTCTCATGAGATCTGATGGTTTTATAAGGGGCTTTCCCCTCTTTGCTCGGCACTCATTCTCTCTCTTGCTGTCCCGTGAAGAGGTGCCTTCTGCCATGATTCTAAGTTTCCTAAGGCCTCCCCAGCCACGCGGAACTGTGAGTCAGTTAAACCTCTTTTCTTTATTAATTACCCAGTCTTCGGCAGTTCTTTATAGCAGTGTGAGAATAGACTAATACAGCTTTTTATTTTTTAAGTGGCATATTCAGGTTAGAGAACTCCTCTCAACAGCTTAGCTGGTGTCTGTCCAGACTTCCTTCATTTATACACAGACAGACCTATACACACATACACGTGTATACATACATATAAATAACCATGCACTGGCACACACATAAGCACATACAGTGCTTGTTTTCTTTTTAAAATAAAGGACTACTCTAATTTTGCAATTGGCTATCTGGTTTTTGTTTTGTTGTATTCTTTCCCCCTCACTCTGTAAATCATGGCCCTCCTTTGGCATAGGTGTGTATCATCTGTGTTCCCCTTTAATATGACTAATCTCGCTAATATTTATTAAGTTAATTTATTTACTCATTCTATTCTTGTTGGTCTTTTGGGCATTTTGTAGGTTTTTACAATGCTGCAATAAATGTCTGTAAGATTTAAAATATGTATGTGACATATCTTTTAGAGTTATCATCACCTTTGCTTTTATTTTGATAATTTTAAAAAATATGTAATCTAGACAATAATTAAGAATAACGACAATTTCAAGAGTGAAAAAAGGGGACTGTATCAGTAGAGGAGGTTTTTGTGATATCTTTGGTCATGATCAAGCAAGAGAAATAGAATGAATATAACCAAAATGCTCTCCCAAGGGGAGTAATATGCCTGCCCTTTGCTCAGACTTATCTGGAGACGTTGCCTTGTAAGTACCAGATGGCCTATAATACTTTGGATTTATTTTATCATTTTAAAAGGTTAGAAAGAACCAGACATTCAGGCTGTTCCTCTGCTGGACACGAAGGATGTTAAAAACTTTCCATGATCCCAATGAGGGCCAACTGACTTTTGGTCCCTCTGAAAGTCCTAGAGAGATTATCTTTGTCCTTGGGAAAGGGCCAGTTTGCCTTCTGTCTATGCTCATTTTGGGAAATATACTCATTATTAATCCAGACACAGTTCTCAAGCAAATGGAATGAGCAAAAAGGGACCACCAGATTGATGGTAATAAGAATCTTCCATGTATATAGATAAGATAAAGGGGATTACATTATCTGCATGTATACATTAAGTGTTCATTTTTCATATAAATAGGTCTATTTAATAAGTAATGGCACTGTAGTCCATTAAGTTTTGTGGTGAATACATCCCTCCTCCCTCTGAATCTTGTTTAAGTAAAAACATTTGGTTGGGTAATGTGACCAATGTACTTTAGGGTAGCAATTTATGGTACTCTCTTATCAGAAATTGCTTCCAAATGCCTCATATCCATATTTGAAATTCTGCAGGCAACAATTTTCCTAAATCTCACACATGGAGCTATGTGGCAGATTGCTTTAACTGACTTTATCAAGAAGCAAATAAAGAGTACATGGGTAAAATGGAGGAAAACCAAATAGAAATAATATGTGAGTATCAATTTTTACAAGGTTATTACATGTAATTTTACACTAAACATTTTTAATTAGCCTATTTCAAGCCACATTTTATTGTTAATATTATCCCAAGAATATTGGCTAGGTCTATGCTTTTTAAAATAAATGTATACAAATATGTAGATGTCTTTGGATTTTCTGTTCCTTCTTTCTTGATTCCCATAAATCCCTTTTATGAGGCTATGTCGGGCTCAACATTTGGTTATTAGTCAAATTCACTTCCTCCTGTTAAAAAGGACAGTTCTGGGTCAATTGGCAAATTTAGAATATGGATTGCTTTGAGATTCTAGTTTTGTATTAATGTTAAATGCCTTAAATGTAATATTGTGTCATGGTGATGCTCCAAATGGCACTGTTCTTAGCAAACACAGGCTGAAGGATTTAGAAGGGTCAAGATGCCTGTAACTCTTAATTGGTTCACAACAAAATTGAGATAGAGACATACAGAAGAGGGCAAAATGTTAGCAATTGGTTAAGCAAAGTGGAGGAAATATGGGAGTTCATTATACCATTTTTGCAGCTTTTCTGTAGATTTGACATGTTTTCAAAATAAACAGTTAAGAAAAACAAAATCACTTCCTCAGAGAGGCTGTCCCAACTGGGGCTTATGTTGGGAAATAATGCCATTGCTGCTCTATGTATTCTAAGAATCTAACATTGTCATGATGATTATTTATAATTTTAACAGCTCTACCTTCTGGATATAATTCAAGTAGACTATTTTAATCATGACTACATCCTAATAGCCTATAATGGTAAAAGATGCTCCAAGAATATTTTTGGAAAATCTGAATAAATGGCAGACACATATTAGTTACCCAAAATGTTTCCAAGATTTCTGTCCTTACAATGATTGATTGTCACATCTCAGGAAATGCAAACACTTTAACGTGTACATATAAGATGTTTCATTTCAACACATATACACATAACACTAATCCATGTGTATAAACATGACCAAGAGTATGGTGCACCGTAGAATCCAATTTATTTTTAAATTCACCCACTGTTTTGGATTATCCATGCTATTGATCTCATTCATTGGCAAAAGAAAAAGATAGTAATTACCTGAATTTCCTTTAATAGGCGCATTAAAAACCAACATTGAAAAATATCATTGGTATAACCATTGGAACACTGAGGCAGTGTTACTAAATATTTACATATTTTATGAAAAATTTTAGAAAATTTATACACGCTTAGAAAAGATTTCTGCTCAAAGCAAGCAGATGTATGAAACATGTTTCTCTTTGTCTAATACAAAAGACTAGCAGCATGTCATTTATCTGTGCCTTTTATCAGACAACTTGTGACCAATGTTCAACCTCTTTCTTCCTAATCTTAGCTAATTTTCCAGCATGAATTGTACAGTTGAATCCGATTTGTTTTATTTTATTATTTTGAATATTTCTATCTTTCCTTTGGACAAGGAATATTTATTCACCAAGGAATAATAGCTGCAAATGTTAATGTCCAATGTTAGTTATCAAGTCCATCTTAAACAACACATGGGGTACATACTTTTATGCTTTGGAGTGTTTTGATTTTTGTTGGGCAAAACAGGCATCTGGCACATCAAAGAAAATAATCCCGGTAAATTGAAAGGATCCCTCAACCTAAAATAATGAGCTTCATGTGTGTAGCTCATTTTTTTGTTAATTGCTCTTAATTTATTCAGCTGAAATACCTTACAGTTTTCCATGATTAAAGGGCATGATGTTTGACTTGTCATTAAATTAGTTTGATATTGATACAAATGAGCTATAAAGTATCTTCATGATTGCTTCCTGAATAATGTGAATGTATTTTCTTTTGTTACTTGCTCAATAAAGAATGAAATATACCTAATCTTTGGGTTTTGAAACAAATCTTTTGCAGTTTAAAAATGAAGGAAAGGGGAAATTAATCAGCAAGGAATGCATTTCCACAAAGAAATTAATAAGCTTCCACTGGTAATGAAGCTTATTTATTGCAATGCAAAATGAGTAATGGTAGGCATTTCCATTTCCATCTTAAACCTGATAGAAATATTTTGGAGGCTGAATCAAGAGGATTGTTTGAGGCCAAGAGTGAAGGCTAGACGGGGCAACAGAGTGAGATCCTATCCCTACCAAAAAAAATAACAACAACAAAAGAAAAAATAATCAGCCAGGTGTGGTGGCTCATGCCTGTAGTCCTAGCTACTTGGGAGGCTGAGACAGGAAGATTGCTTAAGCCCAGGAGTTTGAGGCTGCAGTGAGCTATGATCACACCCCTCTACTCCAATCTGGGCAACAGAGTAAGACCTTGTCTCTAACCGCCCCCAACCCACCTCCACACACAAATCTGACAAATCTCCATCAAAAATGAAAACTATTAGCTATAACTATACACAAGAAACTCTGTATTGAGCAGTGAGTGGCCCAATCTACAGTATCACATTTACTAAGTCTGCTGCTATTACCTATAAGTGTGTGTATTAGAAGACATACAAAAAGTTATTTTGCTGTATGATTTAAAAAAGAGAAAATATATGAAAATATATACCATTATTAGGCATGTCTCAGGTAAAAATAACTTACCTTTACTAAAATTTTGCCTATATCCTTAAGCTATAGAGAAACCTATTTGTCAGCATGCAATTCAGGGCTTATAACATATATGTAATAGTTTTTTTTCCCTATAGAATAAGAAAGACACCTCGAAAGGAGAACAGCTGGTAGCCTCTAAATGTTGAGGTCTTGCCCCTGAAAACACTGAATGAGATGCTTCCATTCCCTTTCCTTCAGTGAATTTTCCATGTTTCTAAAAGATGAGCTAGTAGCCCCTTATTGAGAACATATTTAGGATTTCATACCTGACTACACCAATTCACACCCGTTTATTCCATGATCCCTCTCTCCCTTTATTTCTGACCACATCTTTTTAACTTTTACATGACTGTCAATCTTTTTGTGTTTCTGGTTACCTTACTTACTTTGTCATAGGAAATCTAAGTTAAAACTGTCCAATAGAAATTAGATGTGAAAGCCGGGCGCAGTGGCTCATGCCTGTAATCCCAGCACTTTGGGAGGCAGAGGCTGGCAGATCACCCAAGGTCAGGAGTTTGAGGCCAGCCTGACCAACATGGTGAAACCCTGTCTCTATTAAAAATACAAAATTAGCCACGCGTGGTGGCACATGCCTGTAATCGCAACTACTCGGGAGGCTGAGGCAAAAGAATTGCTTGAACCCGGGAGATGGAGGTTGCAATGAGCAAAGATTGCGCCATTGCACTCCAGCCTGAGGAACAAGAACAAAACTCTGTCTCAGAAAAATAAAATAAAAAATAAAAAAGAAATTAGATGTGAGCCATAGATGTTACTTAAATTTTCTGGTAGTTGCGTTTTTTAAAATAGTAAAATGTAGAAACTAATTTTAATATATTTTATTTAACCTAATACATCCCAAATATTGTCATTCCAATATGTAATCAGAAAAAAGAATTAATGATATTGTTCTTTTTTTTTCTTTGATGCTAAGTCTTTTTTTTATTTTAGGTCGAGTCTCACTGTCACCTAGGCTGGAATGCAGTGGCATGATCTCAGCTCACTGCAACCTCCAACTCCCGGGTTCAGGTGATTCTCCTGCCTCAGCCTCCCGAGTAGCTGGGATTACAGGCGCATGCCCCCAGGCCTGGCTAAATTTTGTATTTTTAGTGGAGACAGGGTTTTGCCATGTTGGCCAGGCTGATCTCAAACTTTTGGCCGCAAGTAATCTGCCGGCCTCAGCCTCCCAAAGTGCTGGGATTACAGGCATGAGCCATAGCACCCAGCCAGATGCTAAGTCTTTGAAATTTGATGTGTACATTATACTTACAGTACATCTCAACTCAAACTAGCCACATTTCAAGAACTCAAAAGCCCTGTGTGGCCTGTGGCTGCCACACTGGACAGCACGGCTCAAAGAGAAACACAGAGGGGACTAGAATTAACTTCAACTTAAGGGCTTGCAGTTGCCCTCCATCAACCTCCTAGAATGTGTTAACAGAGGCACCTAACATACAGGCCATAGATTTTAAATCTGGAAAATAAACAGCTCAGAGTAGATGGTATTAAGCATTTGTTCTAACTCTAAGACTATGATACCATTATATAATGAAGACATTTTTACTTTCTGGCTTCCTTGGGGGTTGCTCTGAAAAACCATTCCCCATGGTTAAGTAAATAACATTCCTGCTGTGACCCACCGGGGAGCAGCTACACAAATGTGTCCTGTAAAGAGCAGCATTCTTGCAAATCAGAGCCTGCAACTAGGTGGGCCTACCCTAGAGGCTTTTTTTAAAAAATTGGAAGCTCATATATGAAGTCATTAAGTTTTGTTTTCATTTTTTCATAGCATCTTAATAAACATGACTTGTCTCTTTCAAATGCATTTACAAAGGCTTCTGACTGTTCAGTTTTACATGCCTTGGATTCTACTGAGTGTCTCCACAGAACTCAAAAAGTCCATTTTTGCCTGACATGTTGTCTACATTTTAAGTGAATTCATCCTCAAAGTATCTTCCAAACACTGAAAATCCAGTCATGTTTGTGTGATTGTGTTGGATGTAGAAATTTCATTGTACTTACATAGATCTTAACCATATTGCATGGTTTTAATATTTGGAGCCCCTGCTAATTTGCAAATAGTGATTGAAAAACTCAGCTAGCACAACTTCCCACAAATAATACAGTGTTATCTTGGTAGGTGCGCAGCATCTATTTCATTTAGTCTTCAATGAGGAAAGAGGCTTAGAAGATTCAATAATTTGCTCAAAATCACCCAATCATTTACTGGCGAATTTAACACTGGAATGGAGATTTTCTTGCTGAAGAAATAAAGGACGTTCTGAGCCACTGTATTATTGCACTTTACTGCACTTTGGGGTGATTTAGGTATGTGGACAGCCAGACTCAAGTTTATTCCTTTAGATCAGTGGTTCTGAAACCTGACCTTATAGAATCACCTAAGGGGCTTTTAAAAAAATACTAATGCCCAGACCCCTCCCAAGGTACCCAGACCTACTGAATTAGAATCTCTAAGGTTCATTTGGTCTTGCTTGAGGCCTGGAGCTGAGTATTATTTCAAACCTCCCCAGATTTCTAATATTGCAAACCAAAGCTGGGAACTATTTTAGTCCAATGTAAAAATGAAACCTTAGCCTAAGGAATGGATATTTTTTATTCTGCTCATTAAACGTATAGGCCTGCACAGGTAAAGGGAAGTAGATGCCTAAAAGAGTTGTGTGAATACGGATGTGTGCCAAATACTTATTTTTTAAACTAAAAATCTAAAAGTATGAGGACTCTGTGTGTGCATGTGTTGAAAATTTCAGTTTATTTTGTTTAAGCATTTGATTTGTCTACAGACATAACCAAACAATTTCAGATACTTCGTGGTACCTCTATGCTTAATTCCCATCCAATTTTTCCACCTCTTTTCCTAAGCAAGTTTCAGCACTCACTTCACACCCTTAATTAGGGATTGCATTTACCCATGAGTAACTAAAAATCTGACTAATACACATTTTTAAGTAAATTTGCTGTATAATCCCCCCCCCCCCCCCACATAACAAGAAGCCCAGGGTTAGTTCAGATTCCTTTACACTCTGCTTCATGCTCCTTGCCTCATGGTCACAGGATGACCACACTCCAGAGTCCTGTCCATGTTCCTAATTGATAAAAGAAAGGAACCACTGAGGATGTAGTCCTCTTAGGAAGCAATGTTTCCATCTCCTTCTACCTGATCGGTCAGATCTGTATTACAGACCATGCCTAGTTGAAAGGGATTCTGGGAAATGTAGTTCTTTTAAGTCGGATATAATTTCACCATCACCACTAGCATCCCACTGCCCCCAAACAACAATAATTAGTGCTATTGCTAAGGAAAAGGAAGAAATCGGATATAAGGGAGACGACAGTATATGCCATCCCTTCATTTTGGTATTGTCATTTTCTTCTGCTACATGCCATCACTTGACACAATTTGTAATGGTATATTCATTTATTTACTTGTAAGTTTTTTTCTTTATTGTCTATATATTGCCCTTTGTCCCCATAGGATCTATGTCTGTTTTACCCACCAATGTCTACACACCACCTAGCATCCTGCTTGGTGTCTAGAAGAAATTTGACAGATACTGGTTCATTGACAATGAAGTGAATAATATTGCCCAGGAGGAGAAGTAGGTAAGGACAAGAGGAAACAATATTTTTCTGATATTTAGGTATACTCTATTGTATTTAGTTAATTGATTTTTAAAATCAAAATATCTTTAGTGTGTTAATGCTACCAGTCTTTAAAGTGTGTTTTTATTGTGTTTACTTTTAATATAATTTTGGAGTAAGTTCTCAAATCCTGAATTACAAGAAAGATCAACTATACTATGTAAATGAGGTAAAGTTTTCTTTCAGAGTTCATATAAAATTCAGAGCATTACATGAAAAATATCATGAAACAGCATAAAATGTAATGAAATATTTAAAATACATACACTATAATACCACTGAAGTGAAGTCTACATAAACCAAACAATGTGTATCAGTCATATTGAAACTAATTTTAAATATATTGACTCTAGAAACTGGTAGATGTTTCATCACAGTATATAACTTGATTTCACATAAAGCTAAACATTGCAAAGACCTTTATACACAGCTCTGTTGTTGTTGAGTCAGGCTGTCTGAAGCCTGCTGTGTGGATCACCCCTTTCTGGTACCTCCTACATCCCCTCAGCATTCCCTCCACTCTGATCTCTCGATCCTTTTCCAGATTGCAGGTCATCAGCTAAAGCCTTAGAAGCTGGTAGGGAGTTGCACATGCATGCTCAGCAAAGACCGTGGGTAAAAGACAGACTTGGAAAAAAATCAGGAAAGGCATTATACTCATGCTCATTGGAAAGATGAGTTTTAGCTTACTTTGCAGAGAGTATTGAAAAAAAAATCACTCTGCTACATTGTGTCTTTTAGCAGCAATTTTAGAAAGGTTTCTTTTCCCTTCCATCAATTATTAAACAAAGAGAGCTCCAGTTGAGAGGCAGCCAATGCTTGCTGGCCATCCTGCAAAATCCTCAATTTTCCCTTTTACCCAAATGACCTTGGATAGAGCAAATATCCTCTCTGAGCTCCAGTTGCATTCCTGATACTAAAGCTTAGAGTTCATGTTTGTGGTGATGGTTAAATGAGATAACAGAGGAGATGAGCATTGTTTATTGTAAAACAAATACTCTTATAATGAATCATACCACTCTCGTGTTTAAACCTTCCAAAGGCTTCCCGTTGCTCTCCGAATAAAATCCAAATTTTTACTGACCCCTCTCCAAATCTCATTCAACCATCTCCCATTGAAGCCTGCACACTTATCTTGTTCTTATTCCATCAGCCTCACTCATCACAGCCCTTCACATAGAAAGTTGTACTGCCAAATTATCCCGTGTCCTATGTCATAATTTATACCTCAACCCAAAAGTCTTTTCAGAGAAGAATTATCTGACCATCTTCACTAACAGGTCTTCTTATCCAATTCCCTGCTGAGATCCTCCCTGACCAAACACCTTGGTTGACATTCTTCATAGCGCTATATGAAATACTTTTGTTTGTTAAAAGCTTATGGTCTGTTTTATCCACCTACCATGAAAGATCCAAAAAGGCAAAGACATTGTGTACCTGGAACAGTGCATCGTAGAATTTAGGAAAAGTACATTAAATGAATAAAATTTGGGCATAATAAATGTACAACCAGTCTAGTTTAGTACACTCACATTCTCAATGAGCTAAAGAGTTCAGTCAGAGAACTTTGAGAATGATGCCTGAACAGCTTGCAAGTAAATACTGCTTACATATATAATGCCTGAGATGAAATGTAACCCGGATGTCAGCTGTGATCTCATTCATTCATATATTCATTTTTTAAAAAATGTGCCAGTTCCTAGACTGGGCACAAACACATGATGGTGAGTTCACACTGGCTTGAGTCTTCCATTCCATGCTTTGTGGACATGTTGAAGACTCTCAACGTTTTCTATACATTCTGCACTGGGTAAGGAATGAGGCAGAGTGACCCCTGCTTCCGGAATTCCAATTTCTAGATGTGTGTCATTTTTTGCTCACAACCCGTCCCCACATCCAGGATATTAACTTTCTTAATGACCATACATAAAAGCTCCCACAGGTTTAACACATTCATGAGTAAAACAGACTTTCTTATGATGGGTTGGAACTACTTGATGGGTAGAGAAGGAACTTTCAATGAAGCAGAAAACTTAAAAGTGATTATGCCTATTCTTAGAAAATCCTCAACCACCCCATACTGGCTCCCATCCTGCAGTCTCTCACAATCAATTTTTTTCTATTTCCCTCCCTTCCTGGACCTTCTGACTCTCTCCTCTTCACTTTTGGGGGAAATTCTCCATAACCTCTTGAGCAAAGCATTTAATATCTCACCTTGTTGCTTGAGAACCATTAGACACATTCCCAATATTTCACCCGACACTCCACATGGTTTTAAAAATAACTTTACTAATAAAGCAATATAGGCTGGGCGTGGTGGCTCATGCCTGTAATCCTACCACTTTGGGAGTATCCACAATACGGATGGAGGTCAGGAGTTCGAGACCAGCCTGGCCAACATAAACCCCGTCTCTACTAAAAATACAAAAATTGGCCAGGTTTGGTGGTGTGCCTGTAGTCCCAGCCACTCTAGAGGCTGAGGTAGGAGAATCCCTTGAACCTGGGAGGCAGAGATTGCAGTGAGAGGAGATCGCGCTACTGCACTCCAGCTTGGGTGATAGAGAGAGGTTCTAAAAACTAAAGCAATATTCCCTCTAAGAGACATTCAGTGTCCTCTATTACCCTATTAATAGTGTTTTCATTGTGTTACCCTCATGTACACCTTATGAAAGAATGAATGGCTAGGAAAAAGACTAGTAGCAAAGATATCAGGACATGAGGTTACTAATGATATGCCTAATGAAAATATTTTACATTAATAAAAATGATTAAAACATAATAATGGCAAAGTGAATGCTTCCTATGTGTCAGACACTGCGTTAGGTTCTACACATGTATCATGTTATTCGATCCTATTTGCCTCGTCTGATAGGTACTATATTATCCCTATTTTATGGATGAAAATATGAGGCACATATGGGTTAAATAACTTGACCATGATCACTAATCCCTACAGATGTTTATGCTCGTCACTTCTCCAAGATTATGATTTTCAAAAGCAGACGGGTCAGAGGAATTATTCTGATTCTCAATGAACTGAAATTGTTTGTGAACAATGGTGTCTTTCCTGAAGAGAAAGGAATAGGAGAAGTCCAGGCACAGAATCTGATGCAGAGATTCAAGGTCATTTTAACAATTAGAGGCCAGTGTTTACCACTGCTTAGTACATGGTAGACAGATAGATTATGTCAACCACTTTAAAAGCTTAATCACATTTTAACCCCCAACAGGTCTCTAAGGCCAGTGCTATTATACCTTATTTCACAAATGAATCTCTGACAGCTTACAACCCTTAGGTCACAAATCTGGTGAGCAGCAGAGCTAGGCATCCACTCCAGGTGACGAGAATTTCTAATCACTCACCTGCATGCTTCCCTTGATGCCTGGCTCTGAGTTAACCTGGGACAGAGTTAAGACATTTGACTCCTTGCTGGTATATCACTCCTTCCCAAAGTTATATGCACAGAGCATCTCACCCCTTCCTTTGAGTTACTGGCATACATTTCATATAATTTTATTCCTCTTTTATTAAACAGTGAAAGCAATTTAAAAGAAAAGGCAGGTATTGATAAAATCATTCTCATTAAGCAATATGTTTCCATTTTCATTGCATTTCAGAATCATTTAATGACAAACTCATGCAGACAAGATACAATAACTTGTTGAGACTAACTTTTACTTCAGATTTAAAACAGTATGGTGTCTTGGCGGATTCATAACGAATCTTTTCTGTAAAATAATTTTTAGAAATGTCATCTTGCATTAGAAGCTTACTATTAGTTGTATTAGTTCATTTTCATACTGCTATAAAGAAACTGCCCAAGAATGGGCAATTTATGAAGGAAAAAGATTTAATTGACTCACAGTTCAGCATGCTTGGGAAGCCTCAGGAAACCTACAATCATGGAGGAAGGCAAAGAGGAAGCAAAGCACCTTCTTCACAGGGTCCAGCAAGGAAAAGCGTCGAGTAAAAGGGGAAGAGCCCCTTATAAAACCATGAGATCTCGTGAGAACTCACTCATTGTTATGAGAACTGCATAGGGGATACCACCCCCATGATTCAATTATCTCCACCTGGTCTCTCCCTTGACATGTGGAGATTATGAGGATTATGGGGATTAAATTCAAGATGAGATTTAGGTGGGGAGACAAAGCCCTTAGTAGTCTGTTAAATCTAAATTAATGCAAAGTGTCAATATTTGGTAAAGATAATAATGAGGGTCTTTCCATTTACCTGGGTTCAGGTGTGCTGGTTTTATATGCTTTTCTCCTCTGAGGGTCCTGATATACTCCAACCAGCCATACTTCAGATATACTTGAGAAGAGGCAGTGGGTAGTCTTATAAAAGAAGACATAACCTTTAAAAAGAAGACATAAATTTTACTACCAGTGGCTCTTTTGAAATATTTCACAATGGTTACTTGAGAGATGCTTTCTTTCTGTGGGTGATAGCACTAAGGCTTCAAGTTACAGGTGCTGAACCATGTCTTGCAAATAAGAGGCACATGGCAAACGTTTGCTTTTTTTTGTAGTTGTTTGTTTGTACATGGAGTGCTCTTAGAAAATTTAGTTTGGAGCCGCAGCACTTAGTAGAGTGTTCTGAATATCTACTGCTACATAATAAACCATCTTGAATCTCAGTGCCTCGTAACAACCATTTATTATTAATCTTCATAATTTTGTAGATGGACTGGGCTCAGCTTGGGGAGTTGCCACCCAGATTCTCCCATACATTTGCCATTAGATGGTGATCAGAACAGGAGCCATCTCTAAGATTCACTGCTCAGTTGGGATGGAGGTACCCAATGGCTCACAAATGTGTCCTGTCCAGACTTGCCGGCTATTGGTGGGGAGCTAAGCTGAGGCTGTCAACTGAGCACTTACACCTGGTTTCTCTGTGGGTCTGGGGCTTCTTACTACAAGGAATTTCAGTCCCCACAGACAATGTGCTTAGACTGTCTGTTCTAAGGGATTCTAGAGGTTGCAGCCTTGTTAGGTCTTGTCTTCAAAAGACCCAGATTATCACGTCTGCCACATTCTGTTGGTCAATCAATTAAATACCAAAACAAACAAAACAATGTGTGGTCATTTTTCCCCTGTGCACCGAGGTCTGCCACAGCAGCATGCCACTGCCCTTTTGCTTGAGCCCATGGAAGATGTGGCATTATTGCCCTTGAGATAGAACCTAGCCTCATAATCCTTCCAAGCAAACAGTTTTAGAAATTTTAGATTAATGAAGGAAAGTGAGATGAAACCTCTTTGGAGTCTCATTTTTACAACTGAAGTAGAAAAGCTTCTGATTCATTTTTTGCTTTTAAAATAAATTTTCTGTTTTAGATTAGAATTAGATTTATAAAAATTTAAAGTTCATACGGGGAGTTCCCATATACCCCACACCCAGTTCTTACAGTTCATATTGTATAGTACATTTGTCACAATTAATTAATCAATATTGATTAGCATTATTAACTAAAACCCATACCTTATATTCATTTCCTTAGTTTTTACCTGAGGTCGCTTTGTTGTTTTTCCAGGGCTGCATCCAGGATTCACCATTTTATTTGTTTATCATGTCTCTTCAGGCTCTTCTTGGCTGTGAAAGCTTCTCAAACTTTCCTTGCTTTTGATAACTCTGAAATGTTTGAGGTTTACTAGTCAAGTACTTTTTAAGAATATCCCCTCAATGGGGATTCATGTGATGCTTTACTCATGATTAGATTGGGGCTATAGTGTATTGGAAGAAGACTCCAGAGGTGAAGCACCCTTCTCATCACATTATGTCAAGGATTTGTGTGTGTGTGTGTGTGTGTGTGTGTGTGTGTGTGTGTGTATTTATTTTGGTCAAGGATTTATGTGTGTGTGTGTGTGTGTGTGTGTGTGTATTTATTTTGAGATGGAGTCTTGCTCTGTTGTACAGGCTGGAGTGCAGTGGTACGATCTCGGCTCACTGCAACTTCTGCCTCCTGGGTTCAAGCGATTCGCCTGTCTCAGCCTTCTAAGTAGCTGCAATTACAGGCAAGCACCACCAAGACCAGCTAATTTTTGTATTTTTAGTAGAGGCAGGGTTTCACCATGTTGCCCAAAGCTGGTCTTGAACTCCTGACCTCAGGTGATCTGCCCGCCTCGGCCTCCCAAAGTGCTGGGATTACAGGCGTGAGCCACCATGCCTGGCCAAGGATTCATAATATCAACATGACTGATTACTGCTATTGTTAACTTTGATTGCCAGGCTGAGGCAGTGTTTGTCAGATTTCTTCACTGTAGAGTCATTTTTTTTTTTCCTCCTTTCCATAGTGAACTCTTTGGAAGAAAGTCACTATGTTCAGCCCACACTTAAAGCATGGGGAATTAAGTTTTACCTTCTTAAGGACAAACAAATTATTTAGAATTCTTCTGCATAGAAGATTTGCTTATTCTCCCCTATGCATTTTTTTGATCATTTATTTGTGCCAGTATATATCATGCATATTGGTTTTATACTTTAGGTTGGGATCCAGTACAACTTTATTTTGATGCTTAATTTTTTTAGTTTTGGCCATTGAGAGCTCGTTCAGGACGACTTTATTTTGATGCTTAAATTTTTTAGTTTTGGCCATTGAGAGCTTGTTCAGGTGACTCCTACGTCTCTTTGACTTATCCCATCAGTGAGGGTTTTTTATTGTTTGTTTATCTATTTTTCTTTATAGCACCACGAGGCTCTCCAGGCTCATTTTCTGTTCCAGTCCTAGAATCAACCATTTTTTTCATTAAGCCCCGGGTCCTTTTATTAGAGAATGGAATTAGAGACCAAATTCTGGGCACTAGATGCGCTCATTGCTGCAAGGGTTTTGTTGTTTAGGCCCTATCAGTAGATACATGTGTATATACTAATCTGTGCATATACACATACCTATCAATATTTCTGTATGTAACCATCAATATCCACATTTAGCTAAACATGAGTTCACACTAATGACTCCAACTCTATTACCACATGGATCTTTCTAGTCTTTTCACTTGTTTTTCTGTAACTGCCCCCTCCAACGATGAGAAACCCATCTGCCATTCATTTACTTAATCATTCAATTCCAGACACGTATGGAGGTTTCAGAATTGTTAACTCTCACCTCTGCGGGAAACATCTTTACCAACTAGAGTGCTTATGTGAAGTTCTTTCTGCCTTTAATCTTATAGATTCTACTCCTTTCCAGATTTACTTAGATCGGCACCTTTTTCTCCCACTTCAGGAAATTTGTTTTACATATTTGCCATACAGTTATATTTATTCGTCACAGTTTATATTCCATCCTGAGAGTCCCTGGTCCCTTAAATACTTTATTTTCAGTTTGCATAAATTAGTGCTGACTCTTAGTACTATAAAATTCTATGGATTTTTGACAAACACATAGTATAATGTATTCAGCATTATAGCATCATATAGAATAGTTTCACCTCCCTGTAAAAAAATTAACTATGCTTCACCTGTTTTATCATTTCTCCTTTGACTCCCAAAAACTTCTGCTCTATTTATCTTTTACTGATCTGTTTACTAAACTGTTTTGCCTTTTGCAGAATATCACATAAATGAAATTATACAGTATGTGGCTTTTTCAAACTGGTTGGCTTATGAATTTTGAAAGTAAAAATTAACAAAAAAGTGAACAAAGAGAGTAAATTACCCTTTAAAAATGCATGCAGTAAAAATGATAAATTTTTAGGGAAAAAATACCTTTGATTTTCCAATTAAGGATACTATAAATGCAGAACATCGTTAAATAATAAGAGTGTAGAGTATGATAGTAGAGAAAGGATAAACATATAGATCAATAGAAGAGATTAGAAAAGTCAGAAATAGACTCACAAATTATAGTTGATTGACTCTTAAAGATGCAAAAGCAATTAGGGACAAGATAGTTTTTTCAAAAAATTATGCTGAAATATGGGAAAAAATGAGTTTTTACCAATATTTTGCACCCTATACAAAAGTAACTCAGAATAGATCATAAACTTGAATATGAAACCTAAAAGCACAGCATTCCTTAAAAAAAAAAAAAAAGAAAGAAAATCTCTGTGACCTTGAGTTTGGCAAAGATTTATTAGGTATGACACCAAAGACATGATTCATAGACTAATTTAAAAATAGGTAAATTGAACTTCACCAAAATTAACTGGATTTTTCTTCAAAAGAAACAAGAATGAGAAGGCAAGGCACAGATTAGGAGAAAATATTCACAAAACTCAATCTGATGAAAGACTTTTATGCAAAAGGTATAAAGAACTCTCAAACCCAATAATCAGAAAGCAAATAATTCAGTTAGGAAATGGGCAAAATACTTGAACAGACATTTCACTAAGAAAATATAAGGATGACAAATAAGCAGATGGAAAGCTACTTAGCATCACTAGTGACAAAAAAAAATGCAAATGAAGTCCACAATGTACTACTTCACACCTAACACAATGGAAAAAAAGAAAAAAATAACCCACCAACCTGACACTTCTGAGATGTGAATGACACTCAGATGTGAATAAGGTGCAGATTCATTGGAACACTCATTCTTCACAAGTGGAAATATAAAATGGTATAGCCACATCCACTTTGAAAAACATTTTGGCTATTGGCTTTGAAAAAAAGTTTTTTTATAATGTTAAATATATACTTGTCTTTTGATCTAGCAATTTCCATCCTAGGTATTTATCAAAGTGAAATAAAAACCTATGTTCACACAAAAACCTATCCAGAAATGTTTATGTTAGTTTTATTCTTAATCTCTAAAATCTGAAAACTATCTCTCAACTGCATAATGGGTAGAAAACATGGTACCTCTATGCAACAGAATACTTCCCAGTAATAAAAAGAAGCAAACTACTGATACATGCAACAACATGGATGAATATCAAATGCATTGTGTGCAGGTGAAAGAAGCCAGACTTAAACAGTTACATACGTATGATTCTGTTTACACGATATTCTTTTAAAAGATAAACTGATCCCAGCAGTTTGGGAGGGCGAGAAGGGCGGATCACGAGGTCAGGAGATCGAGACCATCCTGGCTAACAAGGTGAAACCCCGTCTC
Organism: Homo sapiens; assembly: GCF_000001405.40. NCBI lineage: Eukaryota > Metazoa > Chordata > Mammalia > Primates > Hominidae > Homo > Homo sapiens. The sequence continues at coordinate 55,463,392 of NC_000020.11, read as the reverse complement.
TACTAAAAATACAAAAAATTAGCCGGGCGTGGTGTGGTGGGCACCTGTAGTCCCAGCTACTCGGGAGGCTGGGGCATGAGAATGGCGTGAACCTGGGAGGCAGAGCTTGCACTGAGCCAAGATCAAGCCACTGCTCTCTGTCGCCTGGGCGACGCAGCAAGACTCCGTCTCAGAAAACAACAACAACAACAACAAACAGAATAGTGTTTGCCAAGGTTTGATGGTGGAGTGAAGAATTCACTACAAAACAGAAACACGGGAATTTTTGAAGTGATGAGAATTTTCTATATCGTTGCTCTGGTGGTGGATACGTGATTCTGTGCATTTGTCAAAACCATAAAAAATGAATCTTTCTTTACATACCTTAAAAAATGAATGAATCTTAGTTTATATATCTTAAAATAAAAATCAACCACCAACGATAAAATAAAAGTGTCACAGAGACTAAATAACAGATTGTTAAAATGACACACGGCTCTAGTTTTTCGTTCCTTCAGTTCCAAGTACTTTGTTAAATGACTTTCAAGGCCTCACCCATGTGGGGCCAGTGAGTGGTAAGGTGAGTCTGGGGAAAGAGCTAGTATTTAGGCTGGTGGTCTCAAAAGGATCTTAGGCCAACTGCTCTGCAAATCAACCCAAATCTACTCAGGCTGTGAATACTGAATTATTGTTGTCATTGTTTTTCTAGATCAGAAATCTTCACTCCACTGCTCTCTATGTTTGTGGCAATTTCCTGTCTTTATCCAAGTCAGGACTTGTCCCTTCAGGCACTGGTCCCCAACATTTTTGGCACCAAGGACTGGTTTCATGGAAGACAGTTTTTCCATAGACCAGGGGGTTAGGGGGATGGTTTTGGGATGATTCAAATGCATTACATTTGTTATGCACTTTATTTCCATTATTATTAAATTGTAATATATTATTTACATTGTAACAATATATTACATGTAACAATATAGTAATATACATTATATGTATGTTATTATATTATTATATATTTTATTATATTATACGTAATATATATTACATGTAATCATATATGTAATATATAACAATGTAATATATTACAAATGTAATAATAATGTATTCCCATGTAATTATATAATTATATATTACAATGTACATTATTACAAATACATTATTACAATGTAATAATATATTACAAGGTAATACATTATTACAATGTAATACCTTATTAAAACATAATAATAATATATTACAATGTAATACATTATTACAATGTAATACCTTATTACAACATAATAATAATATATTACAATGTAATGCATTATTACAACGTAAAAATGTAATGTATTACAAGTAATGTAAAGTATTACAACATAATGTATTACAAGTAATACATTATTACAACATAATAATAATATATTACAATGTAATAATAATAGAAATGTTATATATTACAAAATAGTATATAATGGAATAATTATACAGTTCACCACAGGGTAAAATCAGTGGGAGCCCTGAGCTTGTTTTCCTGCAACTAGACGGTCTCATCTGGGGGTGATGGGAGACAGCGACAGATCATCAGGTATTAGATTCTCATAAAGAAGACACAACCAAGATCGTGCGCAGTTCACAATAGGGTTTGTGTTCCTATGAGAATCTAATACTGCGGCTGATCTGACAGGAGGCGGAGCTCAGGCGGTAATGTGAGCAATGGGGAGCGGCTGTCAATACAGATGAAGCTTTGCTTGCTTGCCCACCCCTCACCTCCTGCTGTGTGGCTCAGTTCCTAACAGGCCACAAACTGGTACCAGTCCATGGCCTGGGGGTTGGGGAGCCCTGCCTTGAGGGTTCTGTTTATGGCTGGATAGCAAATGGGGTGACTCAAAGTATTTTCAGAAAACATCCTTTATAGCCCCCTTCCTTTACCTTGTTGTTGGGATGCTGGTGGAAGTTTGTCAAATAGGGACACAGAAATATCTGAATTTTCTGAGTCTAAGTATATCTGAGATTAAAAACTCATGGGCGTATACTTCTGAAAGTAAGTACTAGCCTTCCTGTCAGATATCACTTAGGCATCATTTGTCAGATGGATGAATGATCATAATAACAATTAGCACACACTGTAGTCCACACCCTTCTCCCACACTCCTAGGAACTCATAAGCCCCAGAAATTTAATTCCAGAGTTAGGGGAAAAGGAGATATTCCTTTCTACCCACAAAAGAGCAGTGTGAATAGGTGTCATGAGATAGGCTTTTCTGGGATCTGTGTTCTACTGAGCAAATTCAAATCAGCTATAAAGAGAATTTTAAACGTCTCAAGCTTCATTCTCCTGAATTTCAGGAAACCCTGTAAACAGCTTCTGAAGTTCTTTCATTCCATGTCAGTACATACCCGCGTGGCTTCTTCCCCTACACTTAGAAGAAAGAGCCGCAGGCTTCCATATCTTAGGCAAGGTCAATATGTCACAGACACTGTCCACACATACAAATATAAAATTGTGTTCAGTGTTTGCCACGGCTGTGAACTGCAGGGGTAGAATGAAAGCTTGGGATGGAGACAAAGTGAAATTGCTCTTTTAAGGGAGTGTAAATGTGCCCAGGAACACAGAGAGGCATCCAGCATCTCCTAATTGTATCCAGTCTGCACTGGTGATGCCACCTCCCAAGGTTCCCTCCAGCTGAGTCCGTCCCTGAATGAACAATGAGGACATTTCCTTTATATATTTTTTCTCCCGTCAATGTTGCAGATTCATTTTGACAGAAACATGGCAGGGTGATATTGTCCAAAAGGTGATTTGACAGTGATACACAGACTTTCTCTGTAGCTTGTTATCCACTAAAATGATTTAGAGGAAAAGGGAAAAATAAGGTGATTTGTAGTTGAAAGAAACCAAATAATAAATTAATGTCTGTTCAGAAGGGTGTAGTAGGAAAACTACTAGAAAAGACACAAGAATATGGTCTCTAGTCTTGTCTGTTTTCCTTAATGGCACCATGAACTTGGATAGTCTGCTTAAACTCAAACAACTTCCATTTCCATGTGCAGTAGATAGTAATAACATACTGCCTTATTCAAAAGGCTATGCAGAAAGGATCTAAGGGGAGGACAAAAAAAAAAAAAAAAAACATTTATTTTAAGGCAGCCTAGAATCTATTTCCTTCCCTAACAGCAGTCTGGTTTTATCTAAGGGGAAACATGCTAGTCATTAGTTGGAGAGTGGCCTATTACATGCAAGAGTTAGGGTACACAAAGGGAGTTCTGAAGAGTCCTTGCACCCTGTCCTTCTTTTTATTTTCTGGTAAGATCAAGATGGGCACGTGACTCAAGCTACAGGGATTTGATGCTCCTCCCTGGAATGCATAATGACCAGAAAATCTGGAAGCAGTAGAAGGTCTTCCCAAATGTGGTTGCCCATGCAGTTTACTTTCCAGATGAAAACATGCCTGTGATTCTATCATTCTGGGTTTCTAGGGACAGCTTCCTTCTTTCCTTATAGTCCAAAAAATTCCCTTCAGCTTCAACTAGCCAGAGTGCGTTTCTGTACTTCGTTACCAAATAATTGTTGCTCCTAGAGAGGTTATTCTTCAAACCCTTTCAACATATAAAAGACTAGATAAAAGTAGCTCTAATATTGTTTTTGAAACACATGCTTTTCTACATGTTTCTGAACATAATTCAATAATTAATATTTTATTAAAACTACTATGTCCTTCTACACTCAAACCACTAAGTCCGCACGATAAAGAAGTTTAATTACTAGACAAGAATGCAGACCAATTATTGTTATACATTTTGTGACTTTTTCCAAAGACTGATGGCTAATATTGGAATTAACATTTCAAGTTCTTATTCCATGATAATGATTTGAAGCTCAATTCTTCATCATGGGTTTCTATAGTTTTCATTCCTTTGTAGATTCTTTTGTTTAAAGGACACATAATACACCATCCTAATATCAGCAATTTGGATTAGAATAAGATATCAGTCACTTTAGATTTTTTAAATGATTACGCACTTAGCAAAGAGTTGAAAGTTCAAGTATAAAAATCATAAATATATACCTCTGTAGAGACATAAAGATCATGATCAGAGACAATAGCTTTTGATTTTGGATTGCTGTTCATTCTTTCAACCATGTCCCTATATTTTCTATCAGATTCCAGTACTTTGAGGTTTTGCAAACAACATTATTCTTATTTGGTAGATTTTTTTTAAAGCTAAAAGTTTAGAAAAATCTCACTAGGAGCTTATCATCACTACATTCTTTGATTTGGGAAATTATTCTTCAAAATCAGCATAATGAATGCTATTGAGATCCCTACCCTGGTACAAGAAAAATACTAAAAAGTATTTTTCCCAGGCCAAGAAAAAGCTGTGAGTGCGTTCACACAACCTCCTACCCTTCAATATCTCTTTTTGTCTATAACTATATGTCTATATGTCTGTGTCTATATATCTATATTTGTATCTGCATATACTATATCTATAACTCTAATATATCTGTACTATATGCACATAGCTATATCTACATAGATATATGTTCATATCTACTCTGTAACTGTATATATGTATCCATGTATATATGTATCTATCTATTTATTATGTATTTACCCATCATGTTCCTATTCATACTCAAAAAGGCTGGATAAATTTGCATTAAAGATTAATACCAAAGAAGAGGATACAGCATGTGCAAAAGTCACTGGGTGTAGGTGTGTAGGGCTGGGGACACCATAAAAAGAGAGACAGTTATCTTTTAGAGCAGTTGTAACAGAAGTGCAAGAAGGATTGAAAATTGAGTGACATAGGCCATAGAAGTCGATGGTTGCCCATTTCCAACTGAGCTGTCTCTCAAAGGGACCACTATGTGCAATATACTCCAAGATTAGTAGAGGAGGGATTTATTTATTTAGTGATGGTTAATGATTGATCTCACCAGGCATGTTGGGGAACCAGGCAATCATTATAATTATCAGTATCTGCCCAAGTAAGAGTCCAGCACTGTGTTAAATACTTTATGTGCATCATTTCATTTAATTCTTATAACAACCTTGCCTTAGTTTCACCTTACATGGCTGAGGAGACTGAGTCTAAAAAGGGTAAAGAAAGGTATGCAGAGTGATAGAGGTAAGAAGCAAAAGAGTCTAGGTTCAAACATAGGTTCTTTGACGCCAAAACTCAGGTTTTTAATCATTTATTATACTACACTGCTCCAAATATTAGCATCATTTTGTTACTTTAATTTATTTCATTTTATTTCTATTCTTCCCAGTGATTGCTATTATTTACCATTAGTGTATACGACATTTTTCTCCAGAATAAATTTAAAGGGCATTTTAAAATCTTTTTTTTTTTCAATTCCAGAAGGAATTATCACATTCTGTATACACAACAGCTTTCAACCCTGGATTATAAAACAATTTACAGATAGATACCACTAATCCCCAAGATCTCACTGAGGGATGGGTAAAGAGTATACTCAATCAGATAATTGATATTTATTGAATGTCTTCTATTTCTCCTTTACACTACACATTATATCATTTCATTTAATTTTCATCATGAATCTGTATGGTAGGTAATATAATCTTTATTTTACAGACAAAGTTGAGACTCAAGGGTTTAAATAATTATTCTATATAATACGTCGGTCTCCAGTGCCACAGTTAACTTTCCATCTTCGGACACGGAAAATGTCACCACATTATTTTCCAAATCACAGAGTGGTCAATCAGCAAGTAACATTAACTTCTTTATTTAAAGTATATACTTTTCTCATTAGCTTTCTTATGTTATCACACAGTTTTCATAATAATTAACAGTGTGGCATCCTTGGTTAAATTGCCTTGATTCTGTCTCACATCCACCACACTCATTATCTGTGTGACATTAAACTTCTCTTGAGTTTCCTCCTTTAAAAAATGGCATAACAATAACATCTACTTCATAATGTTGTTGTGAGGATTAAACAGGATAGTATAGATAAGTTGCTTATAAGTCTACCTAGTATACATCATACTAAATCCTTAGTAAAGGTTAGGCAATGATATCATCATAGCAATGTCATTTAAAAACTAATGTTGAGCATGTAGTCATGCATTCACTGACTTCTATACACAACATAAAATCTAATTTGATTCCTGGCCAAAAAAAAAAAAAAAAAAAAAACAAATATGTTGCTTGGCTTATTTCCTTTTAAAATGTTAATTATAACTCAGATCTAGGACCTAGACAGGTGTGTATTTAGTTAAACTTAAAACTTGGCAATCTTTTCTTCATTAAAAGGGAATGCAAAGATAGAAAAAAATTATCACAAATATTTATAAATTAATTACCCTTATTTGGCAACTACCTTTTGCACAATTCTTTGCAAAAGCCAGAAAACAAAACAAAGATAAAGAATGGGTGTAGCAGAGAAAAAAAGGATTTTAAAGGTGACTATATAGAAAGACATTCTTAGAGGACTTATCTGTCTGTGTTTTCTTTTCTTGTTTGCTGTCAAATGCATAAAAAAGTTGACTTTCTCATGTCATAAATTAGGAAGAACAGCATTGCATTACTGATGGAGGGTAAAGAGCTAGTATCTCAGCAGGTCATGCAAATTTTGAGATATTGGGGTTTGGAAGTTTAAGAGTTATGGTAGCATCATGAGTCAACACCTGAGAGGTCATGTGACTCATCTGCTGTCCAGGGGCTGTTTGTTACATCGGTCACAAGTTCTCTCTTTATCCTGGCCTATGAAATGCAGTATTACTGGGTCTTGACTGCATTTCTAACCTTATCCTCCATTACTAGTCATTCCCTGCTTTAGTCAGGGTACTTTAGGCTGTTCTGCTTTAAAAAAATAACTCCATCATCTCAGCAGTTTAACAGAGAAGTTTGTTTCTTGTTCCTATAGTTTCATTCTTGGATGGGAGACTCCCAGATTGCTGTTTTCCACCTGAGGTGTGAGTCATCTCAACAGGAAACCTATCCCATTCACTCCTACAGGAAAAGAGAGAGACTCAAGAACCATGAAAGGCTCTTTACTGCTCCATTGAGGAAGAACACATTTTATTGTTATTTGCATGGACAGAAAAGGCATATGTCTCTAACTACAAAGCAGCACAGGGATGTAATCTCTGCACGTGCCCAGAAGAAAAGGAGAAATGGATACGGGTGGGCATCAGACCCGTTCTTCCTCTGCTTTATCACATTGGTCTTCTTTCTATTCTTGGAACTCTCCAAGCTTATTTCTATTTTAGAATCTCTATACTAGCTCTTCTATAGTGCAAATAAGTCAAAACATTCCATGAACAGAGCAAAACCAGAGCAAGTGCTCCAATCCTGGAAGAATGCTCTGACTTATGTTTCTCACACTGGAATTCCTTACACACTATTTCAGGCAGGAGAACATCTAGACTCTACCTGAATTACCCCTGGGAAGCGGGGAGCTCATCACTTTGCATTATGAGCAGCATAACTGCATTTATTGAGGATGAGTATTTATTGAGTATGCAGTGATTTAAGATCATTGTAATATAATGGTCTTAAACCAGTGCACACTCAATAAATACTTGAGTATTCCATTGTAACATAATTTTATCTTCATAACATCATTGTATTATGAATACTACTGTTACTACTTAGAAAATAAAGAACCAAGACCAGGCACAGTGGCTTACGTCTGTAGTCCCAGCTACTCGAGAGGCTGGGGCGTGAGTATCGCTTGAACCCAGTAGCCAGAGGTTGCAGTGAACCGAGATCACGCCACTGCACTCCAGCCTGGGTGATAGTATGAGACTCTGTCTCCAAATAAAATAAAGAAACAATGACTCAGATAAATTTAATAATTTTACCTAGGTCACACAGTTGGTGATTCAAATCTCAAAATTAAGTTTTTAACTAAAATTATCTAATATTTTTGAGAAGGTGACCGATTCAGTTTTTGGAAATCTCTAGCTGTTAGAAGGATATTTCTTCCTTTATTTAGTCAAATTATGCCTCCCTATAACTTTCCATCGTCATTTTTTTTCTGTTAATCAGAGCCACTCATAACATGTATTCTTCTCTATGAAAGCTGCTACAAAATTTGAAGATAATATTTAATAATGTGATATTATTTCTAGACTACTCTTTATTTTTGATGTAGACAGGCTTGTTAACATCCCTTTTAAAATGCGATACAAGATTGGCAATGGATTTTTGCAATATGACCCCACCAGGACAGTGTCTAATGAGTACTTTATTATTACTGACTTATATATATCACATTCCAGTTTTGAAGCCTGCTTCCTTTAGCTTAGTTGGTAACTGAGCCTTTCTAATAAGTTCTAGTTGAGTTTCATCTAAAACCCTATAGATTATGAAAAACAATCAGTTCTTGCATAATTTTTTACTTTCTTTGCTAAAAACAGTCCTACACATTTATTCCTATTGAATACAAAGAAGGAAAAAAAAACAGAGCAGAGCTTTATCTAACTACCTTCACAGTTAGGAAGGGCCCAACCTCATGCTACAAACACTAACAACTATTTGTCAGAATAAATTCCATTATGATCAAGTGAAAGAATATAGTTCTATTCAGCTCAGAAGCACACTGAATTGGCATGGCTGTGAAGACCCAGAGAAGAATTTGTTGAGAGAAGTCCACAATGGCTTCCATAAATGATAAATCTAGACCTGCATTTCTAAACATCAACACCTAGCCCAAGACAGAAACAGCCTTCATAAGTGAAATGGATCTCATCCAAAATAACGTCTTTAAGAAGTTAAATATTATTCTTAGTTACATCCAAGAAGATGCTGTGCTATTAAAATAAGACAGGATGATAAGAAACAAGAGGGAGTGAGAATAGGGTGTTTTGGGAACAAAAAAAATGTTAGTTTTTGGATTAAAATATCAAGAAAGCCAATGAATCATATTCTTGTACAGTTTATAGCTAAAAGAAAAATATAATAGTTTATTTAATTCTAGCTAGAAATTTTGAGGGGAAAATAAGATATAGTAAGATGAAGGATAGATCCAGGAGACCAAGCATTTATACAATTTGCAGAAGGTGGAAGCAACTGCAAAGATCAGCAAGCGTTTTCTATAAAGGTCCTGACAGTAAATATTTTAGGGCTCCTCAAGCCATATGACCTCTGTCATGACTACTCAAGTCTGACCTTGTAGTGTAAAAGCATCAATGAATGAGTATGGCTATGTTCCAATAAAACTTTATTTACAAAATTGGCTGTAGCTTGTTGACCCCTGAATGTCAGGAAAGAGGAAATAATAATCAAAAGCAACTTGTCATTATGCTTCTACTCGGGAGGCTGAGGCAGGAGAATGGCGTGAACCTGGGAGGCGGAGCTTGCAGTGAGCCGAGATCGCGCCACTGCACTCCAGCCTGGGCGACAGAGCGAGACTCCGTCTCAAAAAAAAAAAAAAAAAAAAAAAAAAAAAAAAAATATATATATATATATATATATATATATAGGTTTGGACTGAAGCAGACATGAATTTAAATTCCAGCTCTGTTGTTTACTTACTCTGTGATCTTTTTTGAGCAGATTCATCTAAGATGTGAGCTCATCTTTGTTAAGTGAATATCTTACATAGTATAGAACTAAAAGAAAAGCACAATAATAGTCTATAATATCAGAGTAGGAAAATTATATGTGGTATATAAAAGGCTTACCATTGTGCTGGGCTCAATAAATAAAAATGCCTATAACTTGAATTATTATTATTAGTGAAGGAATATATTTAATATATAAAACATTATTACAAATTAATAAAAAATATAGACATTCAAAAATTTTAATGGGATTAGAACCAAGAAACTGGCAATTACAAAAGAAACAAATTAAAATTTTAGTATAGTAAAAAGTTTAAATCTTCCAGGAATAAAAATAAATATGAAATAAACAATGATGTTCCTGATTTTATAAAAGAAATATTAAAACTTTTTTTCTATTTTTTGGTGTTGGTAAATGTATAAAGAAATAAACACTTTTGGCTACTTCTATGGGTGGTCAAAAATGGTATAATCCTAATTAAGGGCAAATTGGCACTTGTATTTCAAAAGCCACAAACGTGTATATGCCCTTTGAGCCTATAATTCCACTTTGAGAAATAGATCCTAAGAAAGTAATAATAGATGAGAAAGAATTTGTCTCAAAATATTTCTTACAATTTTGTTGGTACTCATTACCAACAATGATAAACTATTTAAATGTACAAGAATAGAGCTTGGTTCAATAAGTAAGCCATATGATAGAATACTTGGCAAAATCATTAAAATGATATTCTAAGATTTGCTTTTTTATCTTTGCACTTTCGTATTTTTATGATTTTTATAATATTCTTATGTAATAACAAAATAGATTCTATTAAAATAAATAAATGAAATTAGCATATGTATTAGAATTTCTGGTGGCAAAGGGCAAACCCAATATACCCTTTACTTAGTCAAAAAGAATTTAATGTTTTACTTTATTAAAAAATACAGAAGTGGATTAAATAGCTTGCCTTACTAAACATCTTACTAATCCCTTACTTTACTAAAAAGTAGAAGCATGGGTGGATTCAGGGTCTGAAGCAAGGTGTGACCTGAACCCAGTTCTCTCTGTCTCCTCAGCCATGCTTTCTCCAGGGTTGCCCTTCCTTCCTGGCAGGGGTTGTGAGGTGTGAGGAAAGAGAGGATGCCCAGTTTACTACAGGGCAGGCTTGTTCAAACCTGCAACTTGTCAGAAGGAACTTCCCAGTCAACCCAGTTAAATAACAACCTTACCTCCCTACACCTTATTCCTGGCCCCTGCTTATTACAATTGGGATTACAAATACTCGAATAATTATTCCTTCCTTTTCTTTTCTCTAGAATGCAAGCTCCCTTACAGTATTAATTTTTTGGTTTTTTTTCCTACTGCTAAATCTTTGATACTTGTAGTAATCCATTCTCACGCTGCTATAAAGAACTGCCTGAGACTGGGTAATGTATAACGGAAAGAGGTTTAATTGACTTACAGTTCTGCAGGGCTAGGGAGGCCTCAGGAAACTTATAATTATGGCTGAAGGGAAAGCAAACACATCCATCTTCACATGATGGCAGGAAGGAGAAATGCTGAGCAAAAGTGGGAAAAGTTCCTTATAAAACCATCAGATCTCATGAGAACTCACTCACTATCAAAGAACAGCATGAGGGTAACCAGCCCCATGATTTAGTCACCTCCCACCAGGTTCCTCCCATGACATGTGGGGATTATGAGAACTATAATTCAAGATGAGATTTGGGTGGGGATACAGGCAAACCATATCAATACTTAAAACTACACTTTGCACATTAAGTGTTCAAGAAAGACTCATTGAATAAATGAATAAAAGAATAAGGAACTAAAACCCTAAGTAGGAAAGCAAGTAAAAGGTAACATTTGAGGGCCTTTGCTCATTTAAAGAGCTTCCTAACAGAGACAGCTGGGTTCTAAGCGTGGCTAGGTCAAACTCTACCAACAATTATTAGTAGTAATAAAGTAAGTAGGAGATCACAGATGAAGTGGAAAAGTAGTAATTTTGCTTCAGAATCCCTGTAAAGGATGATAAAATTCAAATACCTGAACTCTACCACCAACTGCAAAATTAAAATCGAAGAGTTGAACTCGGGAATATGCATGTTTTTAAACTCCCCTGTGACTCTTGAGTAGAAAACACTGTGTGAACCCCTAGAGAAAGGATTGTAGTCTTTACAGGGAGCCTCTGGAAACATGGAAGTTTTGAAAATGGTCTGTGATCTTGTCTTTGTCCTCAGCAGAGAAGAAAGGTTGACAATCTGCTCCTCGGGGTTCAGATCTTGTGAAAATCAGTCCTTTATTTGCTTTGTTGAAAATCCATCCTTGCTATATTGCAGGGGCCAGGAAGGGCAATACTGGTTGAGATGGTGAAGGGTGGGAAAATTATATCAATTTATGGACATTCAAATAGGTTTGTAGTGACTCATGAGTGTTACTTACTTTAATCAAAGCATTTACCATGACAGTGGAAGATTAAATGGAACACTAATTAGGGAATTTTTAAATTATCTTCCTCTCAACGGCAGATGGGTTTTTAGCCCTGACAAGATCAATTGTATTCCCAACAAAGCTGAATAGTTGATGACTTGTCTATTACAGCTTTTCATTTGCAATCTGAAAGTATTCCTGAACAATCCATGTTTGTTTTGTGATTTTCCCCCTTCCTTCCTTTTGCGTGAAATTACAAGTCTTGTGAAAAATAAATCATTTCAATAATCAAGATAACTCAAGGGATGGGTTACTGAGCCTAACTAAGGGACTCTTGGTCACATTTCCTTAGCTCACAGGTACTGAATTTATTTTAACAGAGAACATCAGAGTTGAATGTTTAATAGAGGAAAATTCCGGAGACGTTTCCATCAGCCCCACTTCTAGCCTAGCACATGGGGAAAAAATAACTTCAGAAGAATGTGGAAAATAACATGAATCACTAGTTTTCCAAAGTGTGGTGTGTTCATATGTGTGTGTTCTTTGTATAGCTATATCACATAGGTACAAATATACATGTTTATACCAATGCACTTCATCTGTGTGTGCTTAGCAGCTCATTTCAAAATAATAATTAAAATGAGATAAAGGGCTAATTGAAATCTTTCTGGCCCTTTTGCCACTTGCTGCCTTGAAGTGAGCAGAAGAGAGACGTGAATCTTTTTTCTACTCTGGACTCAATCTTTGATTCCTGTCATGGTATTCACTTGATGTTTCTAATGTTCTAGTATTTAAAGATATGTTGATTCTAATGTTTAAAGATAAGTTGTTTGCTTGTTTTGATTTGCAAACACAAGTCATCTACTTCTAGTGTTCAATGAAAGAAATAGAAATTGTTCCAATACTGGAGGAAAAATTCAATGTGCTGGATATTCTAAGATAAATTTCCAAGGGAAATTGTGATTATACAATAAATTTCTCTTATCTACTAACTAGAACTTAACCATTCCTCTACACACACACACACACACACACACACACACACACACCCCCAAAAGGAGTCAAAATCAACTGTGCTTTTCAGTTCCAGTTCTTTCTTTTGACAATATTCACAGAGAATATTATTTATTTATAAGTATATCTGGGGGTGCTGGGGGGCTAAAACTCAATCTTCTGATATTATGAATATATAGAAAAAAGTTGATATCTAGGAGAAAAGATAAAGAAGATCATAATAAAGAGGTATTTGTTTATTTTTATTATGATTTTCCCCATCTTCAGGTCTATTTATCAAGTTTTAGAATACCAGTGTGCCAACAAAAGCTAGTTTTACTTCCAAGATTGGAAGCGTATTGGAGCATGGGGACCATATAGAACCACTTTTCTAGAGACTAGGAGGCCAACGAACCCTGAGTTGCTGAGAGAGGTTTCTTTGAAGAGTCCTGTCAAATAGATCATTAAAAAGCAGCCAGAAAATGTTCTGACCTCTTGGTGATTATTATTCAGAGGAGGAATCTTGTTTAGCTTCAGAGCAGAACCACTCACTTTTTCACTGTAACTATCTAAAATAAATATATTTTTCTAAACATGTTGACCTTCCATTCAAAGCAAAGGAACTTCTGGTGGCTTTCAAGGACATGGGGGTCTGATTCACTTTTTACATCATGGCCATATACAGAATTGACTTGATTTGATAAAAGAAAACAAGAGACTCACACAAAACTATTTTGGATCCTTCCCATTTGCTTTTTGAATGTCCTGGTAAATGGACCTGCTAAAAGGTCATTGACGTTAAAATCCACTGCAAGTCCATCCTGCCTCCCACCTGTTCCCAACCCAACTGATGGGTCACTGGAGCTCTGATGTGATGTGCACGTGGCCCACATTCTTCTGCTATCAGGCAGCTGCCTGCATCACAGCTGGCACCCTCGCAAAGCCCAAATCAACCTCTAAACCCTGCTTCTGATGGTTCAGGAAGTTGATATGCCATCTTTCTGCGTTGATTTTCAGAATGATTTCTATTCCCTTTTCAGTAAAGGTAATTACTGAGAAGTTTCTAACAATTTTCTTGCTTCCAGCAGTAAGCATTCTCATAAATTAGCTTTTCAAATAGGCTCTTAAATATTACATTTGGCCTAGAATTGGTGTCTGCTTCCCATGCTCAAGCTTAGGGTCTTTTGCCAAGCTCAACATTGTCACATTGCAAGAATGTTCAGGCAGAAATAGAGCTCCAAGTCAGCAATGCATGTGAACAAAAGGAAGCAGATACTTTATCTCACTGTAGAGTGTCCTTTAGGTTTATTCTGACTTATTTAGTTAAGAACTGACCTTTGCAAGAAAAAAAGAGAGATTTAAAATAAAAGAAAGCAAAAGTTTTTCATATAAAATGTTTTGTACTATTATGAAATTAGTAAAGCAAGTGCATTGATGAAATGTGGATTCACAAAACAAACAAAGCTCTTAGTTCTTAAGGTACCAAAACTGGCTCTAACTTACCCTTTTAGGAAGAATATGGGAAAGATCACAGATTCTAAATGAAATCTCCAAAAGCTGAATCATGGCCAAGCCAGGAGATCCGTGACTCCTCTCCCCAAAGTGCCACTATAGAGATGGATACATAAACACAATCAACCATTAAAGTGCTATGGGAATTACAAACACCATACAACAATCTGAGAAGTGTTCACTCACGAAAATCTGCTGAACTCTGGATAAGAAGAAGAGAGGGAATCTGTGGCATGCTGGGTGGCCTTGCTTCCATCTGACCCCAGCTTGGTAGGAATGAAGGCTTTGCCGTGGTGTTACGGGCCTTGAGAACTGGAAGCTTCTCTGTCCTAGTCAAAGGGACTCATTCACTTAGACCAGTGGACTTGGCCACACTCAGCGCAGCCTTGTTGGTAGAACTGGTTATTTTGAAGTTGGTCAAGTAGGGAGGGCCAATTGATTAACTAGCCTAAGGGTGCATGGTTAGAACAGCATACGCTAGACTGAGGCTACACACATGCGCACTAGAGTCAAGCGGGCACAAGCCAGCTACACACTCCTGTTTAGCCTTGAGGGTACACACATTTGCATAAGAGATGTGAATGGACCCAGTAGAAAGTAAAACTAGGGAAGAGTTGAAAACCTTCTGAACCTTAAATTCATTGTAAGGAACGGAAGCCTTACTGACTCAAGGTGGTGAGCACAACCCCTGCCCAGTTATGGACAGACACCAACATATGCAGACAGGGGGTTGACCCCTAGGAATTTAGAATTAAACGTAAAACTGAAAACTTTGAAAAATGAGCAAAGACATCAACAGTCCTGCATCATAGAGAGACAAATTTCACAGATTCACCCAGAGAAGTTACAGAAAAAAGAAAGAGAGAGGATTCATAGAGAAAGGATTAATGGAACTTGTCCCTATGGGCAGTCGACAACCATACCCCTACAGTGTGCAATCAAAATAAAATCTAGCATAGAAGGTCAGGAGGCTGAGGGAAGTTGCCCAAATAAAATGTCACAATCCTTTTCCCGATTTCTGCAACAAAGTCAATATTCAGATCAAAATTCCTTTGACTGAAGGAAAAGCCAGGTTCCCAGAAGGAAGGACCCTATGATGCCACATGGTAATGATTTCTCCAGGGGCATCTCTTGCCATTTGCTTGTGTAAACATATGCCGGGGAGGGGAGAGGGAAATACCTAAATTTTATTTAAGGGCTGTTGGAATTGCCTCAGCTAAAACGATTTGCTTCGCCCAAGGTCATTTCTCCTTCTTGGGTTAGTCCATATACAATGACTGGTCCACAGAGAAATATAAAAGCCACCTCACGCCAACTCATGAGAACCTTCAGAGTTCCCAGCAGTGTTGGCTGAGGCCTTCGTGGTGCCTGCCTTACAGCCTCTCCTCTCCTTCTGCCCAGTCCAGTTTTCTTACTCTTCCTTCCAAGAGTACATGGCAGTAAGTTTCCTGCATCCTGATCTCCATCTCAGAGTGTGTCTGCCAGGGAACCCAAATGAGATAATACACTCAAAAATGCTTTGTAAACTGCAGCGCTCTGTACACTTGTAAATTATTATATCTCTGAGCTAAGTTGTTTTATGTTGTTTTCTTGGCCATCTATTAAACAAAAATCTACCATGAACATGAAAACGGCTGCTAGGAAGACTTTAGGATTCTACTACTTAAGATATCCTTCTTAGAGTAAATAGAACTATGGCAAAGACTATCTTTTAAAATCCGGGAATGAAAGAATAGTAATGAGTTGTGCATCTCATTAACATTTTATGTGAAAAATTAATGCTCGCATATCCCCCAGTCTTTATTGCCTCTATAAAGAAGGCCATGCAGACCCCTAAATGGTGTTCCTGGGTGATTAACTGAGTATTTGCATCCTGCTAATCACTCACACTTGTACATTATGATACCTAAGGCCTTTTTGCTTTTAGAGTTCTAGTAAAAAAGCAATATAAAAAAATAAATGAAATAAGCTAGGGTGTCATTTACTTTTTCATGTTAAATGAGCCAGTGATTAGAAAAAAGAAAACTAGTTAATATTCTGTTCCTCCAAGATTTAGTGTGGGAATGCTTATGAAAATATGCCTTTGACAAAAATAGGGGTAAATGAGCAATTGAGGTTGTTGAAACTCCAGATTCCCCAGTGGGCTACACCACAAAAGGCTTTTATGCTTTTTTCCCTGGAGGCATATCAGTTGGGTTCCACACCTGTAAATAAAAATGACAATATTTCTGATACCAGAAATATAGGGGAACAAAACATCACTGACAGCATATTGTCTATAAAACAACTCAGACTAAATATTTAATGTTCTTTGAATAAATTAGTTGTCTAGGCCTGAATTGGAGATAGTCAGTTCCCCTGAATAATGTGCGTATATGAAATCCAATAAAGACGATCAACGAAAGTGTCTTATCTTTGGCGTCTACTAAGTTACAACCTCAAATGGTCACAAGTCCTAGCAGGTATAAAAAAACAAAGAAACAACAGCAACCAAAAAAAAAAAAAAGTGTGAATCAGACTGATTACGTAAGCAAAGTAATAGAGGATGGTGAAGTTTGTGGCTATTTAACTCTTAAAAGCATTCAAATTCCATATTTATATAAAATCGTACATACAAATAAACCACAATGGTAGCCAGAAGATCAGGGAAGCCACTTGCTGCCTGTTTTATATTATGATCCAATTTTTTCACTTAAAAAATACAATTTCAGGTTTACGTAGTAGGGGCATGGGGAAGAGACTTGTCAGTTGTTTATGCATCTTTCAAACTGTGGCAAATCATTTTTAGTATTGGTGGATATTTTAATACTGTCCCAACATACTTTTGAAATTTGTGGAACATTGTAGGTTTTTATATTTTAGAACTAAGTTTGGTTCTTATGCTAATTGCCAACTTTCTATTTCATTAATTTATTTTTAAAAATTAGTTTATATAACCTCTCTGTACTTCATGTCTCTTAGCCCAAAACATAGAGAATAACATAGACTTGGGAAGGTGATTTCATTGTGGGGGAGGTCCTGAGTGATATGGATAGGGCTCAGAAATTCCTTATAGCCAAGGTGGCCCAAAAACCTGAGGTCAAGGATACCTATTATTTGTGCGCTGATGCCTGTTCTGTGTTGGTATCCTGTTCAGTTTACCTACTACTTCTGCTACAACAACTGTTAACACCCAGTGCATGCAGAGTGGCTGGAAAGGGGGTTAACAGTTGCAGAAAGGGTAGTTAACAGATGCAGAAATATGTAATTAACTGGAAGCAAAATATAGTAAATGCATTAGCCAACACTGATTAGTTAGCTATAGGAGTTACCTTTAAAGTATCAACCTCATTTACATAATAGAGATAGGTAGGTTATCTCAGGACCCTATTTTATAGATGAAAACATCTAGAAACATAAAGCTTAAGCAATTTGTCCAAAGTCATAGATTCAGTTTAAAAAAGAAGCCAGGATTCAAATCCAGGCATTCTGACTCCATGGCTTATGCTCTTAGTCAATATAAACAACACACATTTCGATGATATTGCAGAGGAGTCACGAAGCTTTCCACAGTCCTTGGAAAGGATACAAGAGATAAATACTGACCTCAGAAAGTAAGAGTATTTAGGGAAAACCAGAGAGTAGATGATGTTTTTTATCTATTTTTCCCATCTTTTTCTGTCTTCCTAGATATATTCCAAATATCTATCTCTAGCGTCTCCAAATTAGAGCACTTGAAACTGCAGCAACTTGTATCCTTATTTAAATCTTCTTGATTCTACACTTCATTGTCCTAACATTCCCCTTTGACTTTAATAATAGCCTGTGTTTTATTAAGAATTTACCCTTAACGAGGCACTGTGCTAAATAGTTTCTACACATTAACATACTTAACTCTATGTTAATGACTCTTAATCTTTTTATTTCTTTCTCTTCCTACATATGAGCATTAATCCAAGTTTCATCTCCTGCCTGTGATTCAGTGATCACCTCTTTTAGTCTTTTTTCCAAACCTGCCTTCTAGCTCTATCCTGTCTGTTGGGCACGACCTCTACATTTGTGATCATCTGCTCCCCAAGTTCATCTTAATGTCAGGCTGGCAGATACTACATTTGTTTTTATCAAAACTGAACTTGTCTTCTTCTCACAAATTGTTCCTTCTAATGACTTTCAAATGACCATTAATGGAACTTCCATCCTTCCTTTCTGCCATCCGGAATCATCCTTTACACATTCTTCTAAGTCATGCCTCCATACGACTGGGAGTGGCTCTGAGTCCCACAGAGTCGTAACTCTTTCAGTACCCTTCTCAATCATCTCCTCCTCTTCATTACTCTTGTTATTACCCTTGCTCAGGCTCTAACAATTCTACAAAAGGGTCTCGCTTTTAAGTTTTCTAAAGTTCAGCCTTTGTTCTCAAATGCTTATATATTTGATAGTTTTACACACAGTAAGATACAATTATAAACCCATCGCTGATTTTAAAATGTCTACCAAATTTCTAACTACTCTAATATTTGAACTCAACTCGTCCCTCACTTACTTATTGTTTGCTATTCTTTCTGTTGTTTCTAATCATGTGTTTCATTTTCTAATACAATTTAATCACAGTTCCCCAAATAAGCCATGCCATTTTTTTTCCCAATGTTCCCTTGTTTGCCCTATTTCTTCTACCTGGATGCTCCTTTCCTTACTCTCCATCTTTCCAGGTCCCATTTATGTATTATGGAGAGTATTTGAAATACTCTCCATCTTTCCAGGTCCCATTTATGTGTCTTCCAGGAAATCTTTTCTGATTACCCCAAAAGAGGTAATTACTCTGTCTTTAAAACTCCATAGCATTTTAATTGTTTTCAAATGGCCCCTAGTGCTTTTTTAAAACATGTGTTATATTTATTTGCACATATGTTTTATTTCTATACTGAACTGTATGAAATTTTATAGTAATAGGCATCATTTCTTATATATTTTTATCTTTGAATCAGAGTCCTGGCTTGAGGAGATAGCTGGCACTCTCAATATGAGAGTGCTTGGAAAGGTGTGGGCAGGGTACAAAGAAACCACAGGGAAGACTGGCATTACCTTGGCTAATCACAGCAAAGCTGTTACCACCTCCAGGTTTTAGGAATCAAGGGAAAGGAGTAGTTCCTGGATGGGATGGGTGTAGCCTTGAGAGTTCCTGTGACCTTTAGTGCAGGGTCCACCCAGCCTGAGGCAGTCCTGCAGGGCAGCTCCAGCTGAAGTCAAGCCTGCCCCTTCACCTCCTCCCCTCAAATCTCCTGCTGGGGCTTTCATTGGCCAAAGGCAACCTGGAGTCAAAGGTCAAAGGAGCCTGTTGACTCCAGGCCCCACTCCTGGGATGATAATTGTGTTGAGAAAGTTGGAAAGGAGATCTGGAGGGCCGAACCGAAGAGATATAAAACAATCATTAAGATCAAACATTTACTGAACATTTGTCCAATACTCCTTCGAGTTGTAAATGGAACATTTGCAACTCATTTGCAATTAATGACATTTTGAGGTTGAAATATTTTTAAAGTTGTATGGTTCAGTTAACCTCCCTTACCAAGCATAATTTTTGCATTCTGCTCAATGCAGTGATAAAGAAATAGACTTATTCTTTTTTTTTCCAATATGTGTACTCTCATGATGTTTCTTAAGAATAAAATGACTTTTCAATATTGAACTGATGCTGACATAGAGATTATTTTTTCCCCAGGTTTATTGAGGTGCAGTTGACAGTTAAAAAGTGTATCTATTGGTATAGCCATTGTGAACAACAGTATGGAGGCCGCTTGAAAAAATTAAAAATAGAACTGCCATTTATGATTCAGCAATCCTACTTTTGGATATATATTGAAAGGAGATAAAATTAGTATCTTAAAGAGATATATGAACTTCCCTATTTATTTCGGCATTATTTAAAATAGCTAGGATTGTTTTCAAATGTACATTTTAAGAATGACAATTTTCTGGAAGAAAAAGGGCAGTGAAAAATGACCTACCTGGTTACTAAGTTTCACATATCTCTTGCCAAAGGTCATAAAAAATCAAGATTTATTTTCCTTTTTAACTTCTTAGTTACTTTGAACTTTCACTATGGCTATTTTTGTAGACCCCAAAATGTGTAAGTCAAAGAAAGAGCAATGGGACTTCTGATGTACAAGGATTCAGTCCGTTATTCAGTGAAGATTTATTCTTGAGCTTCTAATACTATGACTCATGTATGCATCTTTATTGAGAAGCTAGGCCTTTAAATAAAGAAAAGTCCCACACACACACACAAAACCGAAGACCACAAATGTAATGATGTTTAAATATACTATATATTATTTGCTATATATGATATATAAATATACATGTACTTATGTAGATAATATATAAAAGTATATATTCATATAAGCTAAATATATAAACATAAACTAATAATATATTTATATAAACAGAGAGCCACAAGGTAATTCAAAGGAATATCCCTATATGAAGAGTATATGATGTGATTAAACTGTCAAAATGAAGACAACTTACTTAATGTTTTATATGATTACAACTATGATGAGGACTGATTGTTTTCCTAGCCTCCAATCCAAGTTTGATTTTAGCCGCTCTTCAAAGACATTATTTTTCCTGTTATTATTATTTTGAATGGCGTTAATGTTGACTGGTCTTTATCACTGCCACTAGTTACTAATATGATCTTATAAATAAGAAAGCAATAAATGCCATGGGCT
Source organism: Homo sapiens (assembly GCF_000001405.40). Classification (NCBI taxonomy): domain Eukaryota; kingdom Metazoa; phylum Chordata; class Mammalia; order Primates; family Hominidae; genus Homo; species Homo sapiens. The sequence goes on along the minus strand of NC_000020.11, from coordinate 55,442,250 downwards.
CTACATATATAAATGATGCTAGTTGGGGGGTGTAGGTTATGACAGGATTCATGCTTCATTTTTAGATTTCTAGGCTGATACATTCTGTAAAAACAAAATAAAACAAACATTTCTAACTTTCATTGCAACTCTCAGGGTTCTAATTTATCATGGATTAAGTTATGTTCGAACATTTTTATATCTCTTCCCTTTGCTTTCCTTTATATAGAAGAACTGCAAACTCTTTCAATACCATCTAGGCAAAGAAAATCAGATAGTGATTTGATTGTCTTTGCCCTTGAAAAGCTCATTCCTTATAGCAGATAGCTGGTTGACCATCAAAGTGGCAGGACTGGCCAGGCGCGGTGGCTCACGCCTGTAATCCCAGCACTTTGGGAGGCTGAGGCGGGTGGATCACCTAAGGTCAGGAGTTTGAGACCAGCCTGGCCAACATGGTGAAACCCCGTCTCTACTAAAAATACAAAAATTAGCCAGGTATGGTGGCACTCACCTGTAATCCCAGCTACTCAGGAGGCTGAGGCAGGAGAATCGCTTGAACCTGGGAGGTAGCGGTTGCAGTGAGCTGAGATTGCGCCACTGCACTCCAGCCTGAGTGACAGAGTGAGATTCTGTCTCCAAAAAAAAAAAAAAAAAAGTGGCAGGATTTTCTTTCATAGTATAGAATTACGTTGGAAGAGTCTGAATTGACTGAATATGGACTGCATTCCCCAGGCCTTCTTGCATCTAAGAGGTGCCTTGTGACCAGTTGTTACCAATGAAATATGAGAAGTGAAATATGTAACTTCCAGGCCACAGTGGACAAGAAGAAGATCTGCTTTCTCCAAAACCCTAAAGGAAGGCACAGCCACAAGAGAGAAGGAACCTGGACCCCTGAATGACCAAGGGAAACTATCCATCTACCAGGAACTTTTGTAACACACTGTGACATAAGTGACCAAAATTTTTCTTTTGTATTATGCCTCTTAGATGATAATATATAAGTATTATGATATTGAAATATATATACCATTTGTATATGTTATACATATATATACAAAAAAAGATAACTGTTGCTTTTACTCCTACCTAATACATTGACATGAAACTGAAGGCAGTAGAGACTACAGAAAATTGTCTGGCACCCATTACCTTAAAGGGCTCTCTCCTGATTCTTAATTACAGCTAGAATGTGAATAGCTTGCAAGTGAGAGAGCAAGAAAGCCTATCAATTTGGTATTTAAGCATCAGTATTAATTATCATTTGAAGAAATGTGTGATTGTACAAATTCCTCAATGATGATTACAAAAGAGTTTGCATTTGCAAACAAATGCCTGTGCAATTTTCCTAGTAAGCACCACTTACAGAATTAGAAAAGTGTAGCCCTTGAAATCAGACAAGCAATTCATACAGTGATTTCTGTTTTGCTTTAAAAGTGTTCTGTGTTGTGACTACGTCCACTTCTAACAACTGCATTAGTCTCTCAAATTTGTTCATGTGAGCGTCACCTCTGTGTCTATCTTACCTCTGTTTGACTTGTACTGTTACTTTCTTGATATTTTTCCTAGAATAAACTCTCTTACAAATTTATATAAAATATCTCTTTTGACCCTACTGCTGCCATCAAAGATTGCCCCCATATATTCGCCCCCTTGTACTCTACACTCCTTAAGATATTTGTTTTTACTCCCTGTCTCCAATTCATCTCTGGCCATTCTCTTTTAAACCTACTTCCATGTGACTTTTGTCTTTATCATTTCACAAACCATTACATCTGTTCATGGTCTCAACAACTTCATATTTATAAATCCAAAGGTCAGTTTTCAGTCCTCATCTTACATGACCTACCAGCTGTATTTGACACAGCTGATGAGTATTTCCTTCCTGAAACGCTTTCTTCACTTGGCTTCTGAATCCCCACACTCTATAACCTGCCCTGTTCCACTGGTCACTCTGTCTGATTCTCCTTTCCCAGTTCCTCCTCTTCACCCTAACCTCCTTATGTCCAAGAGCCTCAGATCTGAGTCCTTCGTCCTTTTCTTTATCTGTACTTGTTCCCTTCATAATCTCATTCGGTTTCACAGCTTTAAATTCTATTTATTTCTAACAAGTCTCAAATTTATTACCACCTGCAAACTCTGGATTCCAACTGCTTGCTTGACATCTTGAGACAATTAGATATCTAAACAGACAAATGAGACTTAAAACATCCCAAGCAAAACTCGTGATCTACCGACACCTCTGCATAATCTGCTCTACCCACAGCTTGGCGCATCCTAAATGATTGCATTGTTCCCGTTGCTCAGGCCTAGAACCTTGAAAGTTTCCTTGATTTATCTTTCTCTCTCTCAATCTCACACCTTCCTCCCCATCTGTCAAAAAAAAAAAAAAAAAAGAAGAAAAAGAAAAACCCTGTTGATTCTGCCTTATAAATATACCCAGCATCATGGCCGGTCACGGTGGCTCACGCCTGTAATCCCAGCACTTTGGGAGGCTGAGGCGGTGAATCACGAGGTCAGGAGATGGAGACCATCCTGGCTAACACGGTGAAACCCTGTCTCTAATAAAAAATACAAAAAAAATTAGCCGGGCGTGGTGGCGGGCGCCTGTAGTCCCAGCTACTCCGGAGGCTGAGACAGGAGAATGGCGTGAACCCGGGAGGCGGAGCTTGCAGTGAGCTGAGATCGCGCCACTACACTCCAGCCTAGGCGACAGAGCAAGATTCTTGAAAAAAAATCTTGAAGCTCAACCTGACCATTTAAAATATGTCCTCTTTACTTTCCCTGCTATGCTTTTATTTTTTCATAGCACTTTTCAATCTGAAATATACTGTACAGTTTACTGATGTGTTATATCCATTCTGTATTGACTGTAGCCCTTGTTAGATATGCAAACTCCACATGGGCAAGGATCCTTTCAATTCTAGTTAACTTGTGCACGCTCAGCAGCTGAAATCCTGTCTAGAACAAGGCTCAATAGATATTTGTTGCATGAACTAAATACAGGAATGAAGCAAGTCTGTGTGTTATGTAATCCACTAATTCTTCCAAGACACTGAACTTAACTGACCATTCAGCTCATATGCTTTTTGAAAGAGTAAGAGCGGGTCATCTAAATATTTTGGTAATTTCTCAGCAGATTATGTGAGTAGTTCATGGTGTATATAGTTATTTAATAATAGTGATATATCTGATAGTTATTAAATATTGACAAATTCAAAATGTAGATAGGTTAATAATTTGCCTAAAGTAATGAATCTTGTAAAACAAGCAGATGAAAACTGCCTCTATGATCCCAATGCATTGCTTTTCAAACTGTTTGTGGTGGAAGATCATTTTTGTTAAAATCTCAATCCATCACAGAACAATACTTTTGTAAAGTATAATAAAAATGAATTGCTAGAAAAATAAAAATTTTAAAAGGCACAAACAACACAACCTCCATTTATTCAGTATTACATTCCACAGAATTGTCAAATTGCTATGAACATTTCTAAATGCTTACTTTCTATTTCTGCATTTTGCTTATGAACAGTAATGAAGAGTCGACATACTAGTACGAGTCCTGTAACCACACTTGGTGTACACCATCCTTAACTATAAGGCTTTCTTATCCTGTCCCATTCTGTGTTCTCTCTAGAAGGCTTCAAACTTTATACATGTGCATACTCTGTCACTACTACGTTGACATATTTCTATCCACATTAAATCAACTGCCTTGGGACTCATGCCTGTAATCCCAGCAATTTGGGAGGCTGAAGTAGGAGGACTGCTTGAGCTCAAGAGTTTCAACCTGAGCAACAAAGTGAGACCCTGTCTCTATAAATAAATAAACAAACAAACATACTAACTAACTAACTATATACTACTTAATCTAATACAAATAATGTGGTTGCTGGAAACATAAAGATCTAACAAAAACTTTTACAAGTGTGTTCCCCAGGCCCAAGATGACTTCTTCTTATGCTGACCTTGTCCCTTCTAAAACACCTTCCAGCACAGTTAGACGGCCCTGTGCCAGCAATCCTGCCAACTGAAGGGGCACTAGGCAGACCGGGCTTTTCCATCTTCTCGGTCACTCCTCTTGTCACGATGCTTAACAAATTGGCAGCAGAAGCAGCAGTGGTTTTCCTGTCAGACTTGTATCTGGGAGAGAGCACATTTCAGCGTAAATGAGTGTGTCCAATGGTCGTCCAGGAAACAGTTTTGCAATCTGTGTTTAATCAAATTCATTGAGTTTTCACAGCATTACAAGCAGTTCATTACTGTCATTTTCCCCACAGATGACTATATTCCTCTGCACCACTTACCCACTTAACACCTCCTGGCAATGGCCAGTGCCAGCCATCTGTCTCTGTGGTGCCAAAAGTAATAACTTCTGGTGCAGAACATGAACATTATGTTATTATATTTAATCTTTCCTCTGTGTGTTATCATTCAGCATAACCAACCTTCTGGATTATAGAGAATTAGATAGAAAATAATATTGCTTCCATATTGTTTTCTGCTCCTGGATTCTGTGGTTTGCTGCCAACAACCAGACACTCTGCGGACCTAAGGCAAACCATTAGCTGTTGTTACGATGCGGGTGCGTTGCTGAAGGCCTCGCTGAACTGGATTATGTGGAATGTAGAAGTAGCGCTGTCTGCTGCTGAACCTCGCTGCAATGGTTTGTGAGGTTTTTAGCACGAAACACCATTTAAAGCATGGCTTATCCAAGGTATTATTTTTATTCTCTCCATAACATGGGGTATTTATGTTCCATCCCGAAATTCCCACGTGTAAAGAGGTGTGGGGTGGATTGCATATGCTGAGCATAAATCCTGATGATTCCACTGTGAAATTTTGGGCAGATGAGCTGCAGCTGATGACATCAAAAAACCACTCAAGTCAGCAGAGAAAAACAAAAAACCCACAAGATTCTTATGTAGCATGTTGCAAGAAAAAGGTAGTGTTTGACCTAGGATTTTCACTTTTCAACTTGTAATGCAGGTGTTGTATGGAATTTTGTTCTCCAAAATTTGATGCAGAAGCATCCCTGAGTCTGAAAAGTGACTCTTCATTCATCCACCAAATATTTATTAAGTGTCCATTATGTTTTTATTGCCAGTATTTCAAAATGCCTGCTGTGGATTCAACGGGACATTAGGTTCATGGGTGTTATGAAAAGAAATTATTATATGGTCAATCAAATTTGTAAAAAAAAAAAAAAACCCAAACCAAACAAAAAAAAACTGAATTAAATAAAGATAACTGTGCTTTTTATAGCATCATTTCTCAAAACTGACAGTGGATATTAACAATCTCCAAGGAAGAATTTAAAGCATCGTATTAACAACAGTGTTTTGTTTAGTAGAATGTTCCTATTCTTTTATATTTTCCTACAGAATACCTCATATCCCTCACATTTCTCAGAATACATTTTGGTAACTGTACCTTTATGCTCTACTGCTCACTGAAGGTCTGTGTAACCCCTCTCCAAAACTTTTTTTTAGCCTTGTGATTTGGCAGGATTTTGTGATTAGCTTTGGCCAATGGTATTAAGCAAATGGAAGTGTAACAGAATGGATGTGACTTCTACAGGCTCTGTCTTCCCCTGTAGTGGTGACCATGGAAGGCACATGACAAGATGTTGGAGTCCCAAGAAAGGAAGGGTCTGGATTTCTTAGTCAGCACGGGAAGAGAGAGGCCTTGGAAAAGAACAGCGATAGAGTAGAATTTGCAGGAGTAAGAAAGAAGCTCCTATGGTTAAGCCACTGAGATGTTAGGGTATTGCAGCCCAGCATAGGCTATGTTTACTACTATCTCCGTGAGAAAACTACTGTGGTTAATGTTTTTTATCTGTGGTGTGGGTTATATCCACAAAAAGTAGTGATTGCAATTATCTTTCTGATCATTACATGTCCTTAATTTGTGTTAAGATTTTACCAACTCATCATTACTTAATAAGTATGTAGAAGAAGAAGTTTAAGAAGGTGGGAGGAAAATCAATACAAAAGTTGTGCTTTATACTAAAAGATTTCCAGCAGGTGCTGCATATGAAAGAGAATGTGCCAGAGCCCATGAGTGCCCCTGTGTATGAAACAAGAGTATTTCATTGACTCAGATAGAATTTTTTTCACTTAATTTATAAGTCTCAGTAAAAACATATATCCCCTTCACCTTCAAGGGAAGCCTTTGGTCCTGAAGGAATCTTCTGAAGAAAGAAGTCATTTTATCAGAAGCTTAAGTGTCTTCATTACAGCACCAACAAGATTTATTATGTTCATTGGTTGGCAGGACACTCTCTTGAGCTCCATGAGAATTTACATAATTTGTCCTCTGGAATTTTATGGTCAAAAGAAGCAGCACTTAACACACTCCCTCTCCACCCCACCTCAACACATACGATAAATGACATTCACGTGAGTAATGCATTTGCACTTTCAAACTCAGGGTTATGCACCATTTCCAGCAGAAAGTTGATCATTTTTCCCTTTATCTCCCACTCAAGAGACCTTATTAGAATGCAAACAAGTAAGAGGAATATTCAAAGCATAGCCTTGACATGCCCTATATGTTTAAAGAAATACTTTGTAAATTTTGAGATTTTAATTTTATAAGTAAAAAGTTACTTGGGCCTTGCACAACTGGTGACCATTATGTAATGATAATGATGGTTGATGATGGTGATGGTGCTGATGATGGTGATAATGGTGATGATGATAGTTAATATTCAAGGAGTGTTTTCTATATACAAAGGACTATTTCATATATATATATATATATAAAACACCATATATATAACATATATATAAAAACCATATATATATATATTTGTGGTATTTATATCAATTTGCTTAATCCTTAGTCCTCACCACAACCATCTAAAAGTGCATTATTATTTTGCCCTATTTTGCTTCCCTGAGGTACAGAGGAGCAAGTAATTTGCATAAAGTTAGGCAGCTGGTAATTAGCAAAACTGAGATTAAGTCATCTACCAGGGTGGCTTCAAAGTTCATATCCTTTTTTGACAGTATAAATATTATAATGTAATATCATAAGTGAATGTTAAGTGTCATAAATAGTATGTCATAATATTTATAGTTGATCACCACTAAGCATCCATAGACTGCCCTTAGTTTACTGCTAGATACTGGGAACTAAACTTTTCCAGTTTCTGGAGGGATTTGGAAGATTTACTATGAAGTCCTTTGTAACCTTAAAAAGTTATTTTAAGAAACAAAGACTTACATTTCAATCCCATTGAGGGAATGGCAGAGAAGAAAATAGCACACAGGTTATTCTTTCATTTTGTATAGGAGAATAGCTCTGGAATGAGGGTTTCAGGATACAAAAATATGTCTCTACCTCTTACTCTGCAAAGGCTCTAGTTTTCATTTAGTCATTCATCCACAATTATTAGTTAAGTACTCAGTCTGGGCTTGACACCATTCTAAGCCCTGTGCAGACAGTAGGAGACCAGACAAACCATGTCCTTGTCCTTATGATACTTATATTCCAGCAAGACGAGATGGTTAACACACCAGGACACAAGTTCATCAGAGCATTGATTTCATAGAACAAAAAATTACCTAAAGAAAACAATATAGGATAGTGTGAGTAACAGTAACTGTAGGTAAAGTAAAAGAAAACCGCCGGGCGTGGTGGCTCACGCCTGTAATCTCAGCACTTTCGGAGGCCAAGGCGGGTGGATCATGAGGTCAGGAGATCGAGACCATCCTGGCTAACATGGTGAAACCCCGTCTCTACTAAAAATACAAAAATTTAGCCAGGTGTGGTGGCAGGCGTCTGTAGTCCCAGCTACTTGGGAGGCTGAGGCAGGAGAATGGCATGAACCTGGGAGGCGGAGCTTGAAGTGAGCCGAGATTGCACCACTGCACTCCAGCCTGGGTAACAGAGCAAGATTCTGTCTCGAAAAAATAAAATAAAATAAAAAATTAAAAAAATTAAAAAAAAAATAAATAAAAAATAAATAAATAAATAAAAATAAAGAAAACCACAAGTCACTAAAGAAAAATGAAAGAAAGTTTTGGGCATAATGTTAATGGAAAGTATAGAAAACAATGCTCTAGCTATATTGTTATTTTATGATATGAAATTGAAGATGCACATAAATAATTGAAAGTATTGGTGTTTTCAGAATGACATTTGTGGGTAATTTTCTTCCTATATTGATACTATTTCAAACTAATTTTTACAATAGAACAACACATTTAAACTGTTTTTATTCCAAAATGAAGTAAAAAGCTTTAATACTATTTTAATAAAGAAAAACTAGGAAAAGCATAAAAATGAACAATAACATGTAATGTCAATATGGACTACTGAATTGTCATAAAATATGAGAACAATAATGATGATAAAGCAACCTAGGAATGTCTGCAATATACAGTAAGAAACGCAGAATACAAAATTATTTATGGTAGTGATTATCATAACCATATTTTACATGCATAAAACAAGGAGATGAACATTGTACAGACCATGGAGGTGGTTGAATAGTTAGGGAAATTGGATTGTAGACTATATTTTCTCACTTTTGATATTTACAAATTAATTAAAAATTGTTCAAATGATTTTTAAGCAAAGCAAGAACTTGAATGATTTTGAAATATCCTTTACCTACTTCACCGAGAGGAAGCAAAAGTTTTTCTAATTTGAATTTCATATGAAGTGCTATTCTACAAAAGTTTTAATATATGTTGCTCTTGAACATAGGCATCCTCAATTTCACATAAATTCATTTTCAATTCAGTAGTTAATCATTGCTAGAGAGACACATACTGTAGGTAGGCTACTTAATTCATCAGGGTTGATCTGTTCAAGGTTAGTTACAAGTGGTACTTGACTTTGTTTTTTCTGTTTATATTTTGTCCCTGTTGAAGTTACTCCCCTATAAATCTAATTTATAAGTTTTCTCTTCACTGCAGTGTCTGGAAAGGTGGCTAATTTTCTCTCCTAAGCTTGTGATGGCTACGCTTTTAGAATCTCTTCTGATTTTAGCCTCACTTTCCCTTTTCATTTCTTCATATACCTAACATCCTTTGTACTAAGTTTTTATACTAAGTCACTTGTGTTTTACCATCACCAGTAATCAATGGGTTTTCTGTGTTAGGATAGGTTTTCTTTATAGAATAGAAAACTTTTTATTCTCAGAAGCAGTTGTTCTTCAGCATGTGATCTGAGAGGGGTTTTTTTTGTTTGTTTGTTTGTTTGTTTTTGAGACAGGGTCTCACTTACCACCCAGGCCGGAGTACAGTGGTGTCATCACGTCTTACTGCAACCTCTCCATCTCCCAGACTCCAGCGATCAGCCTCCCGAGTAGCTGAGACCTCAGTCATGCGCCACTATGCCTGGATTTTTTTTTTTTTTTTTTTTTTTTTTTTTTTGGGGTAGAGACGAGGTCTTTCTGTGTTGCCCAAGCTGGTCTCGAACTCCTGGGCTTAAGCCGTCAGCCCGTCTCAGCTTCCTAAAGTGCTATGATTCCAGGTGTGAACCACCGCACCCGGCCCAATATGATAAGCTTTAAGGGGGTAGGCATGGGTCAGATCAGTGTTAGGTATGGATCAGATAAGGGGTCAGCAAGCTATGGCACCAGGGCAATATCCCACTTGCCCCCTATTTTTGTTGAACTAAGAAGGGATCATACATAGGAACACATGCAATTGATATGACAGGGAACACTAACTTCGATCCTAATTAAGCAAAATGTTATCCCCCAAAAAATTATATTTCTGTAATTATTAGTTGCATATTATAAAAAATTCACTCTAATACCTTATTAATAATGTTTAATGACAAAATTGTTATTTTCATATTGTATATTTTATCATTTTTTTTTGCCAAAATCTGTTATCTCTGTTTTGATAAAAGTACCTAATAATAGCTTTGATTTTGCCTCTTGGTCCATAAAGCTTGAAATATTTACTTACTGTCCCTACAGAATAAATGTGTTGACCCTTGGGTTATATCATGCCAACTACTGTGGGAAAACACTTCTTTTCTTTAACTTAATTCTGTAATTTTTTTAAAAAAAAATTTAATCATCCTAAGATGTTTTTATTTATTAATAATATCAGGTCCCATTTTGTCTTATAACAAATATACTCATTGTATGCCTATGTATGATATTGTTATTAGAAAATGATAGAAAAAAATTGCCCCTGAGAGAGAGATGATGTTGAAATTCTGAAGATATTTCTAGCTCTGTCTGGTTTTTCACAGTCCTGTCAGTCTCATTTCCAAAATCACATATGGACACATCCCTTTGGAGTTTGCCCACCACCAGGAATGGCATCAGCATCTTTCCAAACCTGAAGGCTCATGATTAGGACCAACTATGGGCTTCTCCAGCATTGATCACCACTTTACGTGAAGACCTTCACCATATGTGCTGCTTTCCATTTTTAGACATTCCCAGTGTGCTCTCATTCCAGATGGATGCTTCCCACATGCTCTTCATTGCACCCCAACAACAAAGCTTCCGGGACACTGTCCCCCAGCCCAGCACCTCTGTCATCCGTACTTTCACCTGCAGAGAACTTGCCGTTATGCCTCTATGGACATTATGTCTGTGAATCTACTCCCTCCCTCTGTCCATTCTGAAGCTATACCAGTGCCTCTTTCTCTGCCTGGAATGATTTATTCCCCATTCCTTACTGACAGTGGATATACTTCACCGCTGTCAGGTCTGGGTCTTCCCTCTCTCTCCCAGCTCTCACCACACAGACTGGGATCAGTCCTCTACTGAGCAGCCCATCAACAGCTAATTAAGTTGATGCTGTCAATCTGTAGCTACTGATAACCTAGATTAGAATCATCCAAAATGTTTATTTTTAAAATGTAAATTCTTGAGCCCTATATTACACATCCCGAATCAGATTATGGGAATGAAAGCCCAGAATCTGGCGTTTAGCATATTGCAGAAGTGTTTGATGTATTCTAAAACTGGGAAACATTTTCCTACTAGATTTTGAAAGATGATTTATAATTTCTGGATCTCTAGAGAAAATTATATATGGGCAAACAAATATGCATATATACACACACAAATACATATGCACATATATGTGTGTGTACATATACATACAGAGTTGACATAAAAAATAAACAGGAAATAAAAAAAGCAATAAAGCATATTTTATGTTTTATTTAACACATATTTATTAAGCATCTATTACTCTAGAAAGACACTGTTCTATGTACTAGGAATGGAAAGGTGAGCAAAACAGACAATAATCTCTGCTTTGTGGAACTTAAGTGCCAGGCAATCAACCAGTCAATCGTGGTAAGTATTTACTGTGTACTTGAAAAGTAATAAATACTATCTAGAAAAGCAAAATAAGGAAAAGGAATGGGCAGTTCCCATGTTAGGAATGGGGCTACAAGTTTAAGTGTGGTAATCTGCGAGTCTTTCTTTTCCTTTCGTTCTCCCTCCCCTACCTCTCCACCTCCTTCTTCTTCTTCCTTTCCTTTCTCTCTTGATTTGTAAATTCTTTCTTTAGAAGTGAGAAACTTGGCACTCATTATCTACAATCTATTTACTTATTTATTTAATCCTACTTCATACATAACAGGATTTCTGAATTGCTTACTCATACTTTTGTGAGAAACAGATTTACAAACTAAAGCCCAGCATGTTTCAACATTTCTTTTTGCCTTTAGCCTTATGATAGCCACTCACAGTTCTGTTTTCTAAAGTTACTTCAGTGAGTTATTTTCTTCCTCACCCCCTTCAATGAGGCGACATTATTCATTTGTCCGACAGTTAGCTTCATGTATTCCTATTTGTATTCTGTGCTGGATTCCTCTCACATCCTGTTGGTTTTTCTGTATGTTTGGTTCCATTTTTTTTTTTTTTCTTATATGGTTTTTTTGGTGTGTGTTTTTTTTCAAGATTCTAGAAGTCAAAACAATACCATAAGGTATACTTAGAGAAGTGTCTCCTCTCCATATTCCTGCTACCCTGTTCTCATTCTCCTTTCCAGCATTTTCCCACCCACCCCATGGAGATAACCAATCTATAATTTCTTGTTTATCCAGCCTGCATTTCTTTTGCACACATGAGCAGATGAATGTATATTTTCTTGTAGCCTATTTTTTTCTACTTGAAGGACAATTTACTATAGATAATTTTCTGAATTTTGCTACTTTCACCTGACAGTAGATTCTGGAAATCACTTCAAGCCAGTTTGTAGAACTCTGCCTCATTCTTCTTACAGCTGCACAATACTCCACTTTACGGATGTGCCATTGTTTATTCAAGTGCTCTCCTATGTACGGGCATTTAGGTTGTTTCCAAATGTTTGCATTATGATCAAGACTGCCATGAATAACCCAGTGTATAGTGTTTTCATATTGCTGGGAATGTACCTTCAGGGTAGGTTCCTAGAAGGGGAACTGCAGTGCAAAAGTTGTAGGCATGTGGAGTTTTGTTAGATTTTGCCGAATTCCTCTCTTGAGGGGTTGCACCGCTAGGTGTTCCCATCAGCAAAGTGTGAGAATTCCTGTCTCCCCATAGCCTCAACAACAGAGTGTATTGACACACGTTTAATTTTTGCCAGGCTGATAGGTGATAAATTGCATGTCAGTATTTTTATTTTCATTTCTCAAACTATGAGTGATTGGTCCTTCATATGTTTCAAGAACATTTTTGCATCTTTGTATGTTTCCGTAATTGTTCCTGTCATCCCTCATTTTAAAAAAATCAGATTTTTTTTCTTTTTGCCCTCAAATTTTAAGAATTATTCATATATATATATATAAAATGCCTATATTAGTGCTTCATTTGTAGCGTATGTTGTACATATTTTCTCCCAGTTTTCAGTTGTCTTTTGACTTCATTTTTGTTTTGTTTGCTTTTTCATGTAGTTATTTTTTCATTAGTAAAATATATCCATGTTTTCCCGTATTGCATTTGGATAGGCAGTCATAATTACAAAGTCTTTCTCTGCAGCATGGTTAAAGTGGAGTTTGCCCATGTTTTCTTCTAGTACTTGCATAGTCTCACTTTAAAAAATTTGGGTGTTATTTGGAGTCTATTCTTGTATATAGTGTAAAATATGGACCTAATTTTACTTTTTTCCAAGTGGCTACCCAGTTGCCCCAACACCATTTATTAAAATTTTCTTCTTTACCTCAATGCTTTGAGATGCTACCTTTATTATATAATAAATTTTCATGGATACTTGGGACTATCTGTGGGTCTTCCCTTCTATCCCACTGGTCTATTAGTTTATTCATGTACCCGAACCATGTTGATTTAAGTATAGTGACTTTATAGTGTGTTTTAATGTCTTCTAGGGCTACTCCGCCTAGAGCCCTGCTCTAGGGCTACTGTCTTTCAGAAAAGAAAGAACACCTTTCTTTTCTATTATTTTTTTTTTCTGGTTATTCATAATATTTGTTTTCCCATATGGACTTTAGTATCAATTTGTTTAACTCTGTAAAATAACTCACAAATGAGTAACTTAGGAAAAAGTTTAGAAGGAAATAAAGAAGGACAGAAAAAAATGGAGGATAAAGACAGGGAAGCCTTCCTCCTCAAGATTCTTATAACCCAGCTAGGAACACATCTCATCTCCTAGTATAGACTCATGATTGGACACCTACTCTATCCCTCCCTATGCTACACCAGGCACTGAAAATAGAGCAGTAAAATGAACACAGAGGGCGTTCCTCACCCTGAAGAGGTGGGCACAAGTCTTGGCTTGATTAAGCACAATTTGAAAATGGTCTACAGGCTTTTTTCTTTTTGCTAAATATTCCCAGGAGAGAAAATAGAGAATTTTGAAATAATGTCATAAAGTTCAAAACGGATCTCCATGTCTGCAGCTTGTCAAGTCATGCATCTCTAAGTCAGTCTTGACATCTTCCTCTTTCACTGCCAACACCTGATCAATCACTCTTGTCTGTATATTTCATTTTTGTAATATCTCTCCAGTCCACCCACCTCTTTCCAGCTCACTGTCACTCTTCCGGACCAGGTCTCCAGGCCAACATAATATTTTATCTGAATTACTACACTTATGTCCTAAGTTACCTCTCTCCCTTCCTCTTCCTGTCTCCCCTCATCCAGAATAATCTTGACAATCCTGAGTCAGATTCTGTCTCTCACTAGCTTCACACCCTTCAATGGCTTCTGACTGTTCTTGAGCGAATGTTCAAACTCTTTATCAAGCTTTACAAGGCTCTGCATTATCTGCTTCTGCCAGCCTCATGTTGCCACTCCCCTTGTCACTACGCAATTGCCACTCTGGCTTCCCTCCGATGTCTAGAAAGTACCTGCTTCTTTCTGTGAGTTATTCCCATGCCTGTAACCTCCTCTGAGTTCTACCCTTCTGCCTGGTAAACTCTTACCAATCCCCTCATCCAGATTTAAACATTCCGTCTTAGAGGAAGACTTCTCTGTCTTCCTATCCTTCATTTAGGTTTCTTACTCCTCATATTCATTGAACTGTGTACTTCCTGAGATCACTTAAAAACAACTCTAACATTCATTGATTGAAGGAAGAAAGGAAAGAACAAAGAAAGAAACAATTGAACTCAAAACTGAAAGTTTCCAACATTTGAGCAGTACCATGTCATCAGTGTTTTGGGTGATAGTGTTGATGGGGTAGTTGCTGTGGAAAATTGAATACAGTTTACTTACTTGCAGATAGACTCATTTAGATGTATGAATTTAAAATGTATACCTTTTTGTACTGTCTTCTATAATTACTGTGGTTTGGATTACAACTTGCCATTTGAGATTTTTATTTCAAGCACTCAAATAACAAAAGGCGACCATTTCTTACATTATCTCCAACACTGCCAGGTGTTCTTCCATCATCAAATTGTTAAAGAAAACACACAAAACATATGGTTTCCATTGCTCCCTGCATAATCTGGAGCTATAGAAATGCAGGATGCTCACGCTCTCAGCAGAAAGCAGTGAGCATGAAATATTCATAAGCTTGGTGTTTGTGATTATTAAGTAAAGGCCAATTCTCGTGAGTTTGTCATTTTTTAAAAAATATGTAGTTATTTATTAAGCAGCTAAATATTTGCTATATGATAGTTCTCATTATAATACTAGCTGAGACAGATTCCCTAAGAGGTATATGGAAGACTCTTGAAAATAAAGGACAGAAAAGCCTTAGGAAATACAGATGCATTCAGGAATCAGTACGACCAATACATATCATCTTTAAGGTTTTAAAAAGGTATCTGTCATAATATTTATTTTAACTTCCAGTAAAAAGGTAGAGCATGAGGCTTTGGGATTTGGGATTTGGAGACACTCAGATGTGAGCTAAGTCTTCCTCTGTCACTCACTACTTCTTGTGATATTGGGCAAGTTACTAAACTTTGCTTAGCATCAGTTTTCTTTTTCTCATCTGCAAAGTGGTAGCAGTAATTGCATGAGGCTCGTAGGAAGGTTGCCAACAGTATTGAGGTAATGCAATGCCAAGTATTTATCTCAGTCTTTCCCACATAATACATGTTTGATATTTTGTTTTTATTGATTATGGTATGTAATATTTTCTTTTGAAATTTGGCATTAGTTCTATACAAATGGAAACCAAGTTGGGCAAGTCCTGGGTCAAACACCTGCTAAGGTCAGAACTAGTGGAAAGAGTGTGTAGATTCCCAAGAGCAGAAGTTCAGAGATGGCTCTGTTACATCTTTCCTTTGAAACTTTGGGTAAGTCACTGGATCTCATATCCCTGATCTGTAAAATGAGGATAATGGTTGCTTTAATTGCATGAACTTAATGAGATCTTATAAATCAACATATTTTTAGCATTGTGATAATGTTTTTAAATGGTAGCTTTTTCTATTTAATTCTTTCATTTAACGAATATTTAGTGAGCACTTGCACTTTGATGGGGCCATTTTCATTTGGCTGCAAGAATAGAGATGCATTATATGACTTGTTTCAGTAAGTCCCATCCATATCTCCCTACTAGTAAGAAGAAAATTAGCTTTTGGTGTTTAAAAAGCCTATAAATCTACTACTATAAATTGATTAATTGATTTTACAAATATGTGCGGTTAGTATGGGTTCAAAAGCGTGGTGAAATATTCAAAAATTGAAACATTGCTCACAATGGCAAACTGTAGGAAAAAGTCTAAGACATCACTAACAGTGAACAAAATAAATCAATGATACATCCATGCAAAGGAATATTATGCAGCTCTTAAAAAGAATAAGGCATACCTGCATGAGAGGCATTATTTTCATACTGCAAGGTTATGCTGCAGAGTTGTGTGGGGCACAGTCTAGACTGCTTGAATTTGAATCACACTTCACTGCCTTCTGTGTAAATTTGTTCAAGTCACTTTCTGCATTATATCACCCTTTCCCTGTGTCTCCAACTGGTTGATACTTGCACCTCTCCCAGAAGTTGTAGGGATTATCTGAAAATAATTTAGAAAAGTGCCAGGTTTAGACACATACTCTATATGGGTTTGTTTGCTGCTGTTGTTATTATTATTATTGAAGTGGGTACCTCAAAAGATTTATTATTAACTAAAAATCAAAATGCATAATACTGTCCACATACTATATCCATGTATAAAAGTATATGTTAGAGGATGGAAAATATATGTTTAAATGGACAACACATATTTCTGGAAGAGTCTAGAAGAAATTCATTATGTTGCTATCTTTTTGGAGGGTAAATGGAAAACTGGGTGACATGAGAGAGAAGGAGAGAGAATTATCTCTAATTAGAAAATAATTTTAATCTGTTTAAAATATTTACCATATTCACATATCACCTCTTAAAAAAACAAGGACAATAAAATAAGTAACTATATGTAACCACATTATAATCCATGATTTTATATTTATGACATTTTTCCTGTCTGGGCCACATGGATGAGCTTAGTATTTGTCTTTTGTGTGTGTGTGATTATTGTATGCTTGCACCTCAGTCCTCCCAGGTTCATTTTCATCAAGGTAAACCAGGGTAAAAATTTCTAAGCACTGTTTAGATCTTCAACAAAACCTTGAATACTCTTAGAAATTAAATACCCTGAAATGAATTGGAGCATCTCAGAGCCCAGAAAGCATGAGTCATGGAGAATGGACTCCTCCAGCAACTCAAATCCCAGGCTCCTCAGCACTCATGACAGCTGTATGTGGGAGGCCCCAGAGGTTCGCCTGAAATAGGGTCAACTGGAGTCTGTCTCAATAAATTTACAAGCATGTTTTATTAAAAGGAGTTGCTTCTTCGAGGCCACTGCCACTATTAAAACTAAGAGGAAAGTTTTGAAAAAATTAAAACCACCCTCTCTACCCTCTTCGAATAGAACATCAATTTATGTAAATTGTTTTTTATAAGTAGCCTCCGAGTCACTTAAAACATTTTACTTAATCCACATGGGTGAAGCCTCAAGGTTTCCAGTTTTTGTGCTTCTGCTGGAAGGAAGCTTCTCAGTGTTGTGTGGTTTTCAAAAGGTGCTTGCACAGCTTTCCAAGAGGAATTGTCCACAGCAAGCAATCCAGAGCTGGAGACCTCAGTCATTGCAGCAGGAGGCTTATCTGACAGGCTTATCTGTACTTTTATCAGCAAGATAGGCGATCTTGGGAGCCCGTGTCTCAAAGCAGCACAACCCTCTCTCTACCATTTGCTGACATGTGTTTCTTGACCATGAAGGCAAAAAACACTGCCTAGGTTCTGCTTTCAGGGGAAATACACGTGACCAGAAGGAGGAGTTGAAGGTCCTTCTCTTTAGGGATGTACAGGAAAGGCAGCAAATCCTTGTCCTTTGCAGGAATATGCATGAGGCTCTTGCTGTGCCCTCTAATCTGAATGCCACTCCCTTTTATTCTGGACACAGAGAGCTTGGTAGTGATCATGGCTCTGCCTCTTACTAGCTATATGGCTTTCAGCACACTAGTTAACCTTTCTAGGCCACATTTTTCAAATCTGTAGGGTGGGAATAAATAAATTAATTTGACTAATATCTGAGTTGCTACTCTATGCAGGATTTGGACTTTTGCAGTACAGGAATAGTTACAGAGGTACAAAAGAGAGGTTGTTCAGGAAGCCTCTAGTCTAGGACTGTAATAAAATATTCTTCCTTAGGTTACTGATTATGACGGGATATTTCTCCTAAGGTTACTGAGGGTGATGGGCCATTCCCCTTACGGTTACTGACAATGGTGGAGTATTCTTCCTAAGGTTATTAAACACTTCTCATAAGATTATTGAGGGTGTGAAGGGACAATGTCTACCTACAAAATTAGTTGTGGAGACTTGGAGAAATGCAGGTCAAGCTGTCGGCAGTGCTGTCCCAGATTAGGCAGCGAGCAAGTGTGAACACTGCCCACCTCAGCCTAATTTCAGTTTCTCAGGGAAGTCCCCAACTGGTTCAAATTCTTCTACTCTGTGCTTTCAGAAATCCTGGTACCTCTTCTTGAGGGTCTTATTACATTTGCAATTTTATATTAACGTGGGTAATTATTCAATTTATTTCTGATTCTCCCACTAGATCTTAAGTTCCATCAGGACAGGGCTGCTGGCTTTTTATTATTCTTATTTGTCTCTATTTTCTCCCAAGGGCAGTTGCCCAATGAAGGCCTGAGAGATGTACATACTTGTATTTTTAATGAATAAATGAGCATATTGAGCAATATGTGCCCCCTTTTTCTCTCTCAATTTCATTTCAGAAAGCCAGAACATGTATTTCTCTTGCTTATCCCAGGCAGGATCTAAATATGCAAATATGCCACTTTTCTACAAGATAACTCACTGTGAGTCAATTGCAGGACAGACACAATACAATGGAGCCCGAATTTCTCAGGTAAGCATCGGCATTTTCTCCGACCTGGAACTGTTGCTTCATTTGCATTGTTAACTGTATTATGAATATGTTCAACTCCATTCCTGGCACTTGATGCCTTAATAGGCTTTCAAAGGGGTTTTGTGATGGAGAAATTGTCCTCCAAATTCTCTTGGTGGCCCCCTGCATGCTCTTTTATAATGTCTACCTGGCAGGTGCACTGGCCATACAATGAATTCAGCAATAATTACCTTTGAAATCCAAAACCACATACTGTTTCAGGACCCAGGAGGGATTTAGCTGAATGCCCATATTAGCTTGAAGCTCAGATTGAAGAAAAAAGAAACACCTTCTTTTCACATTTTAACAGCATTTGTGAAAATCCATGGGCATTCTCTGTGTGCCGTGACAGGGCACAGCTCCGCCTTGCTACCCCTGCCTTCCATACTTCTTTTCTTTGGGTTATTTTGTCTTCTCTAGAATCTTCTCGCATTCCATTTTCATTGTGACTCCAAACAGCATTTTCATTTTGGATTTATGGCAGCCCAAGTTCGTGTCAGAGAATAAAATCAAATTAACAGGGTCAAACATTCAGGACGACCAAGCCCAGGCATGAATGTGAAATTGTTAACACAAGGGCAACCTCTAAAGGTTTATGGAAACATAAGAAAGACAAATGCAGATGAGGACAGGCTACGGGACTGGCTGACCAAACCACAAGTTACCTGAAGGGCAATGCTGGGCACAGAGTAGGCACTTAGAGTTGTGTTTGAATGATTCTGTAGGGCGATAAATCATCCTGTTTTTCTCAAGACATGAATTCCTGTGCTAAAACTGGGAAAATCTCAAGAAAACTAGGACAGGTTAGTCACCTTAGATTAGCATACACTGACTTTGGGTTTTCTGATAGCCCAGACTCATCCTGCTTTCACCCTGTGATAACCATGGTCTCAGGCAAGATTACATCCACTTCCCTTCTATTCTTCCCAGCCATATGAGTTCAAAGCACATGTCCATATTGTGGACATATTGTGGACAGTGCACTTGGAGATGGAAAGGATGGGTGAGGGAAGAAAGAATTGATGCGTTTTGATATATCCAACATATTTTTTCTTCCCTTTTATTCTCTTTTCAGGCAAAGAAATGTGGATATGGACATCTAAGAGCTTTTAGAATATAATTTCAAAGGCAGGACTGATTCTGTGAAAAGCCATCAAATGTACTGTCTGACAGCTGTTCCTGCCCAGCAAATGAACAGGATACCTACGACACGGTGACTACCATGTCATCAGGGCCATGAGATGTACAGAGTTGACCAGGAAGCAACAGAAATGTAACTCAAAACCTCAAAACAGAAAACCACGTAGCCTATGACAGTGGTCGCTGGAGTATATATTTTACTCTTGCGGATTAGAAAAAAATCTCAAGCCGTCAAAGATAGAAAAGAAAAACTGGGGAAAACAAAGAATTGAAATCAACATATAAGAGACAAGACTACAATTGCTACATTTATAGTATTAGAAGGAAAAAAAAAACACTTCAAGGTGAGGGAAAAAAAACTGGATCAGAGTTCAGAAATCCCTCCAGGGCATGAGCAAAATGAAGTGAGAGACTCCTAGGTAGGAAGATAATACCATGCCTGAAGTTAGCAAAGTTCTAGACGTGATATAACAGAGATATCATGCAGTTGAAAAACAATTCCTGGGGTCACGTCATACAGATGGTTGCCCCACACCGCTCCAGGAATTCAAACCAAGACGGCATTCTGGGGGAGGCTGGACAAGGAACAAATGGCTCTGTTGTAAAAGTTAAATGAGATTCCATGCCTGCCACTCCAATGGCTCAGGGCACACCTCTAACTATTTTTTTTTTTTTATTTGAGGTGGAGTCTCAGTCTGTCACCCAGGCTGGAGTCCAGTGGTGTGATCTCAGCTCACTGCAAGCTCTGCCTCTCGGGTTCACGCCATTCTCCTGCCTCAGCCTCCCGAGTAGCTGGGACTACAGGCGCCCACCACCACGCCCGGCTAATTTTTTGTATTTTTAGTAGAGATGGGGTTTCACCGTGTTAGCCAGGATGGTCTCGATCTCCTGATCTCGTGATCCGCCCGCCTCAGCCTCCCAAAGTGCTGGGATTACAGGGGTGAGCCACCGTGCCTGCCCCAATTTGTTTATTTTTAATTGGTCCTCAGCAGCATCACCATAGGAATAGGAAAAACTAAAGTGGACCTGCGTCAGGACACCATCATCCACAAAAACCCAGCCTTGTTCCCTCAGGCTGCAACGGGCAGTAGGTTGGGGGACTACTTTAACAAGGGAAAACGATGGCAACAACGGACAGGCAAAATCTCCCATGCTTTCTGAGGAAATAGACGTAAAAAAAACATGGAAGAAAATATTCATTAAATTTTTGTGTCTTAGCAATTGCAGATATAAATTAAGGTGCATTTAAAATGCCACCTTAAGATGTCTGATGTGTCCTGGGTGGGATGAGTGTATGCATGTATCGCACCTTGTATTATGTAATGACTAGGCTGCTTGGTTCTACTGGAATATTCTGCCACACCCGTATTCAACATCCAACAGATCTGTACTGAACACCTGCTGTATACATGGAATGATTCTAAGTCCTGGGGATAGAACAGTGAATACAGCAGACAAAATTTCTGCCTTCATGGAACTTATATTCTTATTAGCAAGATAGAAAAAAATGTACAATATACATCCTATATAAGCACTATAGAGAAAATAAAGAATATAGCAGGGTAAATTAAACCACTTGTGATAGGAGCAATATTTGAGATAGGTCACTTAGACAAACCCTCTCCGAGAGGAATTGAGCCATGATACATATACCACCGTATATAAATACTATCTAGGACAGAGGGAATAGCCAGGGCAAAAGCCCCTGTGCTTATTATATTCAAGAACCACTGTGAGGCCAAAGAAATGACAGACACTTGGACCAGCATGCTGTCCATGGAGTTGTGAGAAGTGTTTAGTAATAAGTGAAATACATTTTGAAGGTAAAGTTGGCATAGCATGACTTCTTTCTTTCTAACCCAGAAACCCCACACACCAGATTTCCTTTCTCATATGGACATTTGTGACAGGCTCTCTAAATTGAATCCCCTTAGGCTATTAACTGAAAGGAGCATGGTGCTTAAAAAAGAGAAAGTAGAGAATTAGCTCATTATGTGATGCCTTTAGTATTTAATTCATTCCTGTGACCATTCTTTCACTCATTCCTCTTGAAAGCACTTGCTTAGCATCTAATACATCTTCAGCACCTGCTGGGCCTTAGAGGAGAAAAATGAGCAAGGCACAATCCCTGCATCCAAGGACACAATCTTGCTGATGAAGAAAGACTGACAAACAGATGATTACAGGACAATATGGTAAATGCAGCCATCATCATTTATGTGAATGCTCTACATGATTTGAAGATAGAGGGTCAGCTAGGGGACTCACAGGAAGTGAGAATCCGGATCAAATAACATCAATTAGGAAGAGAAGATGGCCTGGTAAAGTCAGGGAAGGAACCAGAATGGGAAGAAGGAGAGGAGTGAGGGAATTCTAGCAGAAGGAAACCTGATTAGAGGCATGAATGGGTTGTGGGGAGGGCATAGCACATACAGGGGATATTAGGTTTGGTGCTGCTAATAAAATGGTGTTTCTCATAATTAACAAATGACTATATGCCTTGCTAAATACATAGATTTTCAGATCCCTCTCTGGGAGATGCTGATTCAGCAGGTGCATGGTGGGAAGTGGGCGTGTGCATCTTCACAAGTACCAGAGGAATTGTGATCACTGGGAAGTCTGAGATTTACCGTATTAGAGGTTAAAGAGTTGGGGGTGGGCATGCAACTGGAAGGAGGGACCGGATTAGAAGAGCCATACATAGAATGCGTCATGGACAAGAACCAGGGAGTTTATTCTATGTGTCAACAGTTAAATTTCATAACACAATTTTTAAAAAAGAAGAAAGGGAAGAAAGGAGGAAGAGGTACATGTAAGGCAGAAGGAGTGGAGAATTCAGATTAGGGGATTAACACAGGATAATTATATTTCATTTTGGCAAGGAAGAAATAAACTAGAAATAACACCACCGCCCAAACAAAAAACAATAAAAATATTGTATTAGTTTTCTGTTGCTGCCATAACAAATTACCACAAACTTCATGGTTTAAAGTAGCACAACTTTATTATCGTACAGTATTTGTGATCACAGTTCGGACATGGGTCTCCCTCAGCTAAAACCAAGGTGTCGACAGGGCTGCACTCCATTCTGAAAGCTCTAGGAGGAACTTTGTTTCTTGCCTTTTCCGGCTTGCAGAGGCTGCTCTTATACCATGGTTCATGGTGCCTTCCTCCATGGGAAGCCAGCAAGGATGGGATAGATAAGTCCCTTTCACATCAGATCACTCTGATCCCCTTTCCATAATCACATCCCTTTCTCTGACGAAAACTGAGAGATGTTCTCCACTTTAAAGGATTCATGTAGCCCCATTTGAATAATCCAAGATAAATTCCCTGCCTCCATGGCTTTAACTTAATCCCATCTGCAAAGTCCCTTTGCCATGGAAGATAACACAGTAATCGAGCTCAGGTTCTGGGGATTAAGAAGTGGGTACTTGGTGTGTGTGTTGGCAGGGAGGAGGACAGCATTATTTGGCAAACCATAAATATATTAGATTGGGAAAAAATCTAGCTTCATGGAAACCCCCTTCCATTCTCCTTCGTTTCCTCACCTCACTTTGGACCTGCAATGGCCTCCTTAGGAACCAGGTGCCATCAGCATCCAGTGAAGGGTTTTAAGCTTAGAGTCATAGGATCTCATCTCTTTCAGTGAAGAAGAGGATTCTCCAAGTATCCAGTTAACTCATACCTTATATAATTATTTAGAGGTGATTTGATTTTTTAAAATTCCCAATTAAACTTGGCAAATTTCTCCAGTATTATTTTATACTCAGCGTAAGTTGATGTCCTTAAGAATGAAGCTTTCAGTAGCTTTGCCTTAGACAGTCTATGTATTTCACATTTGTAACAAGCAGTAATTTTCCAGGTGAAATTTATGCATAGGTGATTTTACCTTTTCAAGAGGACGATTTTGCAAGTTTGTTGGTGCAGACAAATAAACAAAAGCTGGCCTGTGCAAGTATATTAGTCCCTTCTTCCAAAGAAAAAAAAAATGTCTCACTGCATAATAAATGAATCTAAAGGGAGTGAAGGAAGCTTCATTTAGAGTCAAGAAGGAGCACAGATACTTGACAATATTTAATAGCTGAGAGAAATGACTGAACTCAGCACAAAGCCTGCTGCCTCTTCATCATTCCAGAGTTTGCAAGCTTTGTTACATTCCTTTATGACAGATGCGGTTTTTACTTTTGTGGCTTCCTTTGATTTTGTTTCTAAGTAATTTTCCCCCAACTCCATACTTCTCTTAAGACTCCACAAAGTTACCACTTAGCCCAGAAGTCAAAGAGAGAGTACAAGTGAAAGAGAACATCTGGTTGTCCAAGCCAATATTACTGGGCTTAGCTGTTTGGGATTCAGCCAAAGAAAAGAGAAGCAGAAATGAAGGTCTGTGTTCTGTGTTTCCTCAATTTTTTTTCTGTTCTAGCAGTTGTCTTCTGAAGGAATGATAGAAGTCCTTTCTACATAGATTCTGCAGAATGAACTACTAAATGTTTTCTCCTCATGGAAAATGTAACTTTTTAAAATAAAAAGTATGACAGAATACAAGAAAAGATATTATTTACACTGCTACTACTCATAATTAAGCACTTGTAATAGTTGATTTTATGTCAGTTTGACTAAGCTAAGGAATGCCAAGATGGCTTATCAAATATTATTTCTGGGTGTGCCCATGAGGGTATTTTCAGAAGAGATCAACATTTGAATCAGTAGACTGAGTAAATTAAAAAAAAAGTTTAAAACAAAGATGTGTAGTACATTGTTTTCTCTAAATCAATAATGCTCATTATAAATAAATAGTCTGTGAAAAAACGAAAATATAAAATTTAAAAATAGCTCCAAATTCAACCACGCAAAAATAGCATAAGTAACATGGCACAAACAGCATTCCAAGTATCTTCCTATAAACCTACATGGATAGGTGGTTGAATGGGTTAGTGGGTGATGATTGGAAGAAAAAAAAAGAAAAGCTCCAGGGAAATGTTATGTTTTGGATGATTTTAAAATACAAAATATTGAATATTTTGTCAAATTTAACAGAATAATACTCAATATAAATATAGTTATTTAAATGAAAATAAATGATTCTACCCTCCAAAATATAGTTTCTCTCATCTCCCCAAAATTTAGAAAAAAAATTGTAAATGACACTAAGAATTTGTAGTTATTTTAACCTACAATTTTACAGCTGTGATATATTCAACTGCATAGTTAAGAAATCTACCTGTAATCCCAGCACTTTGGGAGGCCGAGGCGGGTGGATCATGAGGTCAGGAGATTGAGACCATCCTGGCTAACAAGGTGAAACCCCGTCTCTACTAAAAATACAAAAAATTAGCCGGGCGCGGTGGCGGGCGCCTGTAGTCCCAGCTACTGGGGAGGCTGAGGCAGGAGAATGGCGTGAACCCGGGAAGCGGAGCTTGCAGTGAGCCGAGATGGCGCCACTGCAGTCCGCAGTCCGGCCTGGGCGACAGAGCGAGACTCCGTCTCAAAAAAAAAAAAAAAAAAAAAAAAGAAATCTAACACTTCTTTTAATTTCCTCTGAAACCTTCTAACTTATTATTCATTACAGTATTTTTACTTTTTCAGTTTTATTATTTTACCTACTCCAAATTTTATAGTTATTATTAATTTGGTATTTACATTTGAATCAATACACACAGATATACATTTAGTGTTGACCATCAATCAGTTCTTTTGACAATCCTGTTTGAAGTTTTTTATTTAGATTAAAATATGAAATGGCTGGATGGTATTGCCAAGTACCATCCAGCAATTTTATATTTTAATCTAAATAAAAGTTTTAGTTTTTTCAAGAAGGAATTCCGAACAACTCAATTGTGTATAATGTTCTTGCCTGGCATCCTCCTTCAAAATTTTGCTAACGTCTCCGTTTTCCTTCTAACAACCTACACCACCTGTTACCACTAGGCCCTGGCTGCTTGCTAATGCCACCAGCTTCCATTACACTTGGGATTGACAGATTCTGAAACACATCTTTCTTCAATGTAGAGTTTATTCTTGCTCCACTTATAGTCTATACCTTATTATGATTAATTCATGAAATCATTCATTTGACAAGCTATGGAGTGTGTACCACATGCCACACACTCTAGGAAGCAGTAGGCATACAGAGATAGAAATGACCTTGGTCAGGTTCTCAATAAGACATCATCACCTGGTGAGGATGACACTCAAGTAAAACGGAAATGATATTACATTAATAAAGAATGTTATGTTATTGGGCATATAATAGAGATATCTAGAGGGTGCTGGGAGAAAACAGGGTTTAGTTTCATACCTGTTTTTTCTTATAATCTTTTATAATCTCACATAAAAAATGTTTTGATGTTCTGGGTTAGATGGTTCTTTGTTACGGAGGGCTGTTCTGTTCATTGTAGAATATTTACAGGCAACACTGGCTTCTACCCACTGAAAGACGGTAGTACCCGATATGCCAGGGGGAACAAATCACTGCACACAAGAACACTGCCTTAAATCAACCCTCCCTTTGAATCACCTCTTTTTTGTTTGGTTAATTGCCTTACAAAGTGGAGACATCTGGTGGTGAGTTTAAGTTTATCTTTTTGAGTCACTTACTCACATTTCATTATTCACTTGAAATGTGAGGAAGGTAAGATGAATGAATTTATTATCTTTAAGCATCCATTCTGCTGTCACCCTAAGAAACGACATTGTTCTAAGTCGACAGCGAGGGGGTCCAAATTTTCTGATTATCAACTGTGCTGTTCAGCAAATCAACAGCACAAATGTCATGTCTAGAATTTTGAGTAATTGTATGCATTATTTTTGAAAAATATCTTTATTCTGTTTCTCTAATTAAATACATCAGTTAATTTTTAAAAAAATATCCCCCAGAGAGTTCACTGATTCTAAAAGTGGTGCAAGGTGGGGCTGCTGGCAAACAGATAATCTTCAGTAGATAGATTGAATTCAAGCGTCCACATTCTTGACACCTACAAAATAATTTTAGTAAAATATAGCCTGTGAGGTTTCATTCTGACACATGTGGATGGAAATTAGAAAAAAATTATCTAAATGTTTAAATGAAAAACAGCATTTTGACACATTGAAGCATTCACATCATGTGTTTTACAGGAGTTATTATTTTAACCTCATTTTTCCCTTATAAAAGTACTCAAATTGTTTATGATCATTTTGCAGCTAAGCATATAAATCTGTAAGTATATTTGTTGGACTAGAAGTTATGAAAAAGTGAGAGTGTATTTATTTCACTGACTTTCATTTCACAGAGTCAGAAGAAATTATCCAAGGCCAAATTGTGAATTTATTTAACACCTGTTTAGAACAGTGTTCTGTGTGCTTTATAATACTACTTCATTTGATTCTTCTATCAATCCTCAGAGATAGTGCTTATTTTTATTCTCATTTATCAGATGTGGAAAGAAAAAGGGAGGTTAAGTGACCTGTCCAATGTCACATGACTAGTGAGTAGCTTAATCAGGATCTCAACCAGTCACTCTGACCCCAGATGGGTCTCTGCTATTTATCACTTAAGACTATTTCTTAACAAAAAGAAGCTAAAGTTTACATATAAGGAATAAATCAACTAGAAAATACATACACACATGCATATATATGTACATATATATGATTATAATATTGCTTTTACTATACCTTTTTAATGTCTAGACACACAAATACCATTGTGTAACAATTGCCTACAGTATTCAATACAGTAACATGCTGTACAGGTTTGTATCCTAGGAGCAATAGGCCATATACCATATAGCCTAGGTGTGCAGTAGGCCATTAATCTAGGTTTCTTTCTGTAAATACACACTATGAGATTCAAACAAGGATAAAATTGCCTAACAACATGACACATTTCTTAGAATGTATCCCCATCATTAAGCGACAAATGGCTGTAATTAGTCCAGCTTGGGGAAAGTTGGAAAAGGTCACTTCCATGTGATCAAGAGTAATCTGGAAGCACCCAAAAATCTTAAAAGTACATGCCCATGTTAATTCTTCTGCTAGTGAGGTAAATGCTACAATTGGGACTAAGGACAAGTTTTTCAGCTTGTTATTGACTCAAGGCAATGGGTCTTCCATGCTTTGTATGGTAGACAAATAATTTTGTAGCAGTCAGATCCTCACATATATCATTAGGCCCCTGGCAGCAACTAACAATATAGCTAATAAAGTCAATAAATATCAGTTGGTTTGAATTAATTTATTTGCACAATGTGTTAAGATTCAAGATAGTATAGTGGTCTAATCAAACTTTTTTATTTCTCGTAAGTATAGATTTGCAGAGTTGTGAAGAATAATAGGGATATTTCCCCTGTAACATTTACCCAGTTTCCCCTTTGGTAACATATTGCAGATCTGTAGGTCATCATTATCATAACCAGAATATTGACATTGATACAGTCAAGATACGGAACAATTCTATCACCACAATACGGCTGTTTTATAACCACATCCACTTTCCTCCCACAAATATAACCCTTCATAACTCGTGGCAACCACTAATCTGCTATCTATTTATATAATTATGTACTTTCTAGAATGCCATGCAAATGGAATCATACAGTATATAGGCTTTTAGAACTGTCATTTTTCACTCCACATATTTCTCTAGAGATTCATGCAGGTGGTTGCGTGTATCAGAAGCCCATTTCTATTTATTGATGAGTAATATATAAGGGATCCACCAGTTTGTTCAACCATTCACCTGTTGAAGAACATCTGGGTTATCTTTTATTGGGGACTATCATGAATAAAGCTACTATAAGCATTATGTACAGGTTCTGATCTGATCATGTTTTATTTTCTCTGGGATAACTGTTCAGACATGCAATTACTGCTCATATGGTGGTTTCATATTCTGTTATTTAAGAAATTCCACTAGCAATATATGAGTGATCTAGTTTCTCTGCATCTTTGCCAGTATTGGGTTTCATCACTGTAAAATAATAATTAATCACTGTGTATAATTTATCACATTGTGTTTTTAATTTCTATTTTCTTAATAAAAGCAAATTTTATGTGTTTATTTCTCATTTGTATATTCTCTGGTAAAATGCATCACTGTGGTTTTTGGTCCATTTTCTAAGATTTTTTTTAATGCTAAGTTTTGAACATTCAGTTTTGAACATCCCCATCATTTGTCAGATGTGACTTGCAGATATTTTATCGTGGTCTTTAGCTTGTCTTTCCATTCTCTTAGGATAGAATTTTGCAGAACAAGAGTATTTAATTTTGTTGAGGTCCTATTATCAATTTTTTCCTTTCATAAACTGCTTTTAGTATCAAGTCTATATAGCCTTTTTGCCTAACTCTAGATGTTGAAAACTCTAGATGTTGAAAATGTTCTATTTTTCTACAAACTGTATAGTTTCAGGTTGTACATTTAAGCCTGTGATTTTAATTTTTGTAAAGTATGTGACTTAAGTCTGAGCTCATTTTTCACTTGTTGATATCCAATTAGCTCAGCATCATATATTGAAAAGGCTCTCCTTCTTCCATTGAATTGGTTTTGAACTTTTGTTTTGTTTTGTTTTGTTTTGTTTGTTTGTTTTTTTTGTTTGTTTTTTTATTATACTTTAAGTTTTAGGGTACATGTGCACATTGTGCAGGTTACATATGTATACATGTGCCATGCTGGTGCACTGCACCCACTAACTCGTCATCTAGCATTAGGTATATCTCCCAATGCTATCCCTCCCCCCTCCCCCCACCCCACCACAGTCCCCAGAGTGTGATATTCCCCTTCCTGTGTCCATGTGATCTCACTGTTCAATTCCCACCTATGAGTGAGAATATGCGGTGTTTGGTTTTTGTTCTTGCGATAGTTTACTGAGAATGATGATTTCCAATTTCATCCATGTCCCTACAAAGGACATGAACTCATCATTTTTTATGGCTGCATAGTATTCCATGGTGTATATGTGCCACATTTTCTTAATCCAGTCTTTTGTCCAAAATTGTTTCACATATGTATGTGGGTCCATGACTAGACTCTATTCCATTTCATTGATCTGTGTGTCCATTCTCTGCCAATATCATACAGTCTTGATTACTCTATGTAATTCTTAAAATTGAGTAGACTAATTCATCTCACCTTATTTTTTGTTTTCAAGATTATTCAATATTGTCTAAATCTACAAAAAATTCTTGCAGGGATTTTGGTAGAAATTGCATTAAATCTGTATATGAATATGGATGATACTGACATCTTTACTATTGTATTCATCTGTTTTCACATTGCTGATAAAGACATAGCCAAGACTGGGCAATTTACAAAAGAAAGAGGTTTAATGGACTCACAGTTGCACGTGGATAGGGAGGACTCAAAATCACGGTGGAAAGTGAAAAGCACATCTCACATGGCGGCAGACAAGAGAAGAAATGAGAGCCAAACAAAAGGGGTTTCATCTTATAGCACCATCATATCTCATGAGACTTATTCACTACTATGGGAACAGTATGGGGGAAACCACCCCCATGATTCAATTTTCTCCCACCCGGTCCCTCCCACAGCAAGTAGAAATTATGGGAGCTACAATTCAAGATGAGATCTAGGTGGGGACAGAGACAAACCATGTCAACTATGTTGAATCTTCTAATATGGGCATGAAGTTTGTCTCTCCATCTTAATCTTGAATTGCATTTTTCAGCATACAACTCCTACACACGTTTCACTAGATTTCCACCTTAAGTATTTGATTTTTGAGCAATTATAAATGACATTGTATTTCAAATTTCAGTGTACAAGTGCACATTACATATATAAAGAAACACAAGGCCAGGCGCAGTGCCTCACACCTGTAATCCCAGCACTTTGGGAGGTCAAGGTGGGTGGATCCCCCAAGTCAGGAGTTCAAGACCAGCCTGGCCAACATGGTGAAACCCTGTCTCTACTAAAAATACAAAAATTAGCCAGGCATGCTAGAGGGCAACTGTAATCCCAGCTACTTGGGAGGCTGAGGCAGGAGAATCGCTTGAACCTGGGAGGTGGAGGTTGCAGTGAGCCAAGACTGTGCTTCTGCAATCCAGCCTGAGCAACAGAGCTAGACTCTGTCTCAAAAGTAAAAAAAAAGAAAAGAAAAAAAAAGAAACACAACTGATTTTTTCGGTATGTTTATATTGCATCTTGTGACCCTGCTAAACTCACTGACATATTATAGGAAGTTTCCCTTTTTTTCCCCATTTTTGTAGACACCTTGTGATTTTCCACTTAAACAATTATTTTATCTGAAAATACAGAATGCTAATTACTTATTGCTTTCTCATATATCTGCTTTTTATTTCTTATTCTTGCCTTTTTGATTAGCTAGAGCTTACAGCACTGTGTTGAATTAGCAGGGTTAAAGCTAATATCATTGTCTTCTTCCTAGTCTTAGAGAAAACATTAAGTTTTTCATCATTAATGTAATCATTAAGTTTTTCTTTATTATAGCTGTAATTTGTTTTTTTTTTTTTTTTTTTGAGAAAGAGTGTCACTCTGTTGCCAGGCTGGAGTATAGTGGCGTGACCTCTGCTCACTGCAACCTCCGAGTTCCTAGTTCAAGCAATTCTCCTGCCTCAGCCTCCTGAGTAGCTGGGATTACAGGCACGCACGACCACATCAGCTAATTTTTGTATTTTTAGTAGAAATGGGGTTTCACTATGTTGGCCAGGATGGTCTTGATCTCCTGACCTCATGATGCACCTGCCTCGGCTTCCCAAAGTGCTGAGATTACAGGTGTGAACCACCGCGCCTGGCCATAACTGTAAGGTTTTTAAAGGTTTCTATCAAGCTGATGATATTCCCCTTTATTCCTATTTTTGGGAGATATTTTGTCGTAAGCAACTTTTGAATTTTGCCAAATGCCTTTTCTGCCTCAGTTGATAGGATCACAAGGGTTTTCTTCTTTAGTCTGCCAGTATACTGAGTTACATTAATTAATTTCTGAAAATTGAACCAGCTTTGCAACCCTGAAATAAGCCTTAGTTGGTCATGGTGCATAATTATTTTTATATATTGCTGGATTATGTTTGCAAATATTTTGTTAAGGCTTTTTGCATTTATATTAATGAAGGGTATGGGTCTGTAGTTTTATTTTCTGTATTGTCTTTTATGTAAGTCTATTTATGTTTTCAGGGTAATATAAACTTAATAAAATATCTGGGAAATTATTCTCACCTCTTATGTATTCTCAAAGTGGTAGTGCAGAATTGGTGTTAATTCTTCTCATAACATTTTGTAAAATTCTCCAGCAAATTGAACTGGACCTAAAGACGTATTTTTTAAAACATTTAAATTATGAATTCAATTTCTTAATAGTTACACAGCTATTCAAATCATCTATCTCATATTGAGTAAGATGTAATATTAATAATTTGTATTTTTAAGAAACTGGTTTATTTTATCTAAGTTATATTTATGTGTGGAATACATCGCAATATCCCCTTACTATTTTTTAATGTCATCAGGGTCCGCTTATTGGATCTATAGTGATCCATAGAATTTTTTTTTTAGCAGTGTGTTCTTTAGTTTCCAAGTATTTGATGAATTTTCTGGTATGTATTTGTTATTGATTTCTAGTTTGACTTCATTGTGGTCAATAAATTCACTCTATATAGTTTCAGTGCTATTAACTTTGTTGAGACTTGTTTTATGTTCACAAACATAAGGCATCTTGAGATAGGAATACGTTAGGTATCCTAGGATATGTTAGGTAGCACTTTAAAAGAATGTGTATTCTTCAGTTTTGGGGTTAGGTGTTCTATAAACGTCAATTAGATCCTGTTGCTTGGTGGTATGGTTGAGTTATTCTACATCCTTGCAGATTTTCTGTCTAGTTGTTTTATTAATTATTCAGGTAAGGGTACTGATGTCTCCATCTATAATTGTAAATTTGTCTCATTTTTCATTTCAGTTATATCTTTTTATGTTTTATATATTTTACAAGTTCATTGTCTATGTGCATATACCTTTAAGATTGCTGTGTCTGGAGAATTGAGAGGAGAAGGTGGAGCAAGATGGCCAAATACAATCCTCCAGCAATCATCCTCCTCCCTGCTAAGAACACCAAATTGACCAATTATCCACACAAGTAAGTGCCTTCATAAGAACTAAAAATCAGATGAGTGATCACAATACCTGGTTTTAACATCATATCATGAAATGAGGTACTGAATATGGTAAGAAACACAGTTTTAGATCACCTTCCCCCATCTCTCAGCAGTGGCTATGTGGCACAGAGATAGAACCTGTGTGCTTGGGGAAGGGAGAGCAAAGATTTGTAAGACTTTCCATTGGAACTCAGAGCTGTTCTGACTCGGTGGAAATCAGCAAACAGCAAAATTCAGCCTACATCCACAGAGGGATCATTTTGACCAACCTTAGACAGAGGAGAATTGTCCAGCCCAGTGGTCAGAATGTTGAGTTCCTCCTAGCCCCATCACCATGGGCTAAAGCACTCTGGGGTTCTAAATAAACTTGAAAGGAAATATAGGCCTCAAAGACTGCAAATCCTGGGCAATTCCCAGTGCTGGCTGTGCTGGGCTTGCAGCCAGTGGACTTGGGGTGCTCATGCCCTAGTGAGACAATAGCTGGGTTGGCCATGGGAGTGCTCGTGTTACCCTCCCCAACCCCTGGCAGTGTGGCATATGGTTCTAAGAGAGAATATTTCCCTCTGTGTGGGGTGAAGAGAGAAAAGAGTAAAGAGAAATTTGTCTTGCAACTTGGATAACAGCTCAGCCACAGTAGAATAAGCCAGGCAGAATCCAAGGCCCCTATTCTAGGCCCTAGGTCTTAGATGACATTTCTAGATACAACCTGGGCCAGAAGGAAGCCTTCTACTTTGAAATGGAGCAATGAGTCCTGGCAGGATTTAACAGCTGTCAACTGGAGAGCTCTGGAGTTTTAAATAAACATCAGCTGTAGCCAGGTAGTGCTTGCTGAGGGCCCTGGGTGAGACTCAAGAGATGTACTAGCCTCAACCCAGCACATTCCCAGATGTAATGGCCATGGGGAAAGATTGCTTCTGCTTGAGGAAAGGAGAAGGAAGAGCAGAGGGGACTTTGTCCTGCAGCTTGGGTACCAGCTCAAACCACAGTGGGGTAGATCAGCAAGCAGGCTCCTGGGGTCTCCAATTGAAAGCCTTGGCTCATAAACAGCATTTCATCACTTGCCCTGGGGAGCCCACTACCCTGAAGGAAGAGGCTCACGCCTGGCAGCATTAATTATAAGCTGACTGAAGAACCTTTGGGCCTTGAGTGAACATTGGCAGTAGCCAGGCAATACTCACCATAGGCCTGGGGCAGTGGTGATCAGAGGTAGAGAGTCCTTTTTGAGGAAAACAGAGAGAAGAATGAGAAGGACTTTGTCTTGCAACTTGGGTGCCAGCTCAGTTGCAGTAGAATAGAGCAACAGGTAGATACTTCGCATTCCCAACTCCAGGGCTTGGAAATCAAATGACATTTTTGGACCTGCCTGGGCTAGGGGTAGAGAAAGTTGCTGCCCTGAAGAGAAGGACACAAGCCTGGTGCATTCACCACCTACTGACTGAAGAGCCCTTGGGCCTTGAATGAACATTGGCAGTATCCAGGCAGTGGTTATTATGGGCCTTGGGCAAGACCCAGTGCTGTGCTGGCCTCAGGTCTGGCCCAGTACATTCCCAGTGGTGGTGGCCACAAGGGTGTTTGTGTCACCCCTCTCCCAGCTCCAGGCAGCTTACCGTGGAAAGAGATATTCCATTTTTTGGGAAGAAAGTAAGGGAACAGAACAAGAATCTCTGCCTGGTAGGCTGGGCGTGGTGGCTCACGTCTGTAATCCCAGAACTTTGGCAGGCCGAGGCAGGCGGATCACAAGGTCAGGAGTTTGAGACCACCCTGGCCAATGCGGTGAAACCCCATCTCTACTAAAAATACAAAAAATTAGCCAGGTGTAGTAGCAGGCACCTCTAATCCCAGCTACTTGGGAGGCTGAGGCAGGAGAATAGCTCGAACCCAGGAGGCGGAGGTTGCAGTGAGCCAAGATTGCGCCACTGCACTCCAGCCTTGGCAACAGAGTGAGACTCTATCTCAAAAAAAAAAAAAAAAAAAAGAGAATCTCTGCCTGGTAATCCAAGGAATTATCTTGGATCTTGCCCAAGACCACCAAGGCAGTACATCTATGAATCTATAAGAGTCACATTGTCACAGAGGATACTCCCTAATGCAGTTGTTGCTACAGTGACCAAAGATTTGGATTACAACACTCAATTCCCTTTAAATACTTGGAAAGCCTTCCCAAGAAGGATAGATACAAACAAGCCCACACTATGAAGATAAGAATAAACACGTAACTATTCAATGCCCAGACATTGAGAAACATCCACAAGCATCAAGACCATTCAGGAAAGCATGGTCTCACAAAACAAACTAAATAAGGCACTGATCCCAGAGTGACAGAGATACATGACCTTTCAGACAGAGAATTCAACATAGTTGTTTTGAGGAAGCTCAATGAAATTCAAAATAGCACAGAGAAGGAATTCATAATTGTATTAGATTAATTTAAGAAAGGAATTGAAATAATTTTTAAAAATCAAGAAGTTCTGAAACCAAAAGTTTCAAAGGATAAACTGAAGAATACATCAGAGTCCCTCAACAGAACTGCAAGCAGAAGAAATAATCAGTGCGCTTGAATACAGGCTATTTGAAAATACACAGAGCAGACAAAAAAAAAAAAAAAGAATAAAGCACACATACAATATCTGGAAAATAGCCTCAAAAGGGCAAGTTTAAATTATTGGCCTTAAAGAGGAAGTAGAGAAAAAGAGAGATTGAGTTAGAAAGTTCATTCAAAGGGATAATAACAGAGAACTTTCCAAACCCAGAGAAAGACATTAATGTTCAAGCACAGGAAGGTTATAGAACACCAAGCAGACTTAACCAAAAGACTACTTCAAGACATTTAGTAATCAAGCTCCCAAAGGTAAAAGATAAAGCAAGCACCCTAAAAGAAGCAAGAGAAAAGAAATAATATACAAAGGTGCTCTAATACATTTGGTAGTAGAGCTCTCAGTGGAAACCTCACAGACCAGGAGAGAGTGGCATGACATATTTAAAGTGCTGAAGAAAAAAAATATTTTATTCTAGAATAGTATGTCCTGTGAAAGTATCCTACAAATATGAAAAAAAAAAAGACTTTCCCAGACAAACAAAAGCTGAGGGATTTTATCAACATCAGATCTGTGCTATAGGAAATGTTAAAGTGCGCTCTTTAATCAGAAAGAAAAGGACATTAATGAGCAACAAGAAATCACCTAAAGCTATGGTATATAACTCACTGGTAATAGTAAGTATACAGAAAAACACAGAATATTATAACACTGTAATTGTGATGTGTAAATTATTCATACCTTGAGTAGAAAGACTGAAAGATGGATCAAACACAAAAAAATAAAAACAAAAACTTTTAAAGATATACACAATACAATAAGATAGAAATAGAAACAACAAAATGTTAAAAATATAAGGGGATGAAGTTAATGTGAAGAGTTTTTGTTAGTTTTCTGTTTGTTTTTGCAAAATCAGTGTAGTTGTCTTCAGTTTAAAGTAATGAGTTATAAGATGTTATTTACAAGTTTCATGGTAATATCAAATAGAAAAAGAATGATACACAGAGAATGAAAACTAAAAGTGAAAATGTACCAACAGAGAAAATAACCTTCATATGAGGAAGAAAGGAAGGAATTAAAGAAGGAAGAAAAGATCACAATACAACCAGAAAACAACAAAATGGCAGGAGTAAGATCTTATTAATAATAACATTGAATGCAAATGAACTAAACTCTCCAATCAAAAGACATAGAGAGGCTGAATATATATATTCATCTTCTCTGACCACAGTGGAATACAACTAGAAATCAATAACAAGAGGAATTTTGGAAAGTATACAAACATATGGAAATTAAACAATATACTCCTGAATGGCCATTGGGCCAATAAAGAAATTAAGAAGAAAATTGAAAAAGTTTTTGAAACAAATGTTATTGGAAATACAACATACCAAAGCCTATGGGATACAACAAAAACAGTACAAAGAGGAAAGCTCTCAGCTGTAAACACCCACATCAAAAAAGTAGAAAAACTTCAAATAAACAACCTAAAATGCATCTTAAATAATTAGAAAAGCAAAAGCAAACCAAACTTATAATTAGTAGAGGAAAAGAAATAATGAAGATGAGGGGAAAATAAATAAAATTAAAATGAAGAAAACAATAAAAAATCAATAAAACAATAAAAATATCAATAAAACATAAAGTTGGTTTTTGAAAAAAATAAACAAAATTGACAAAATTTTAGCTAGAGCAACTAAAAACAAAGAGAAAACCCAAATAAAATGAGAGATGAAAAAGGAGATGTTAGAAACAACACTGCAGAAATTCAAATGAACATTAGAAATTACTGAGTAATTATATGCCAATAAACTGGAAGACTTAGAAGAAATGGATAAATTCCTAGACAAATAAAACCTACCAAGATTGAACCATGAACAAATCCAAAGTCTGAACAGACCAATAACAAGTAATAAGATTGAAGCCATAAGAAAAAGTCTCCCAGCAAAGAAAAGCCTGGGACCCAATGGCTTCACTGTTAAAATTTTACCAAACATTTAAAGAAGAACTAATACCGATTCTACTTACATTATCCCATAAAATATAGGAGAAGGGAATACTTCCAGACCCATTCTACAAAGCCAATATTATCCTGCTACCAAAACCAGATAAAGATAGATAGATGATAGATAGATAGATAGATAGATAGATAGATAGATAGATCATAGGCCAATATCACTGACAAACACTGAAGTGAAAATTCTCACCAAAATATTTGCAAACCAACTACAAGAAGACATTAAAAAGATTAGTCATCATGACCAACTGGGATGTATCTCAGGGATCCAAGGATAGTTAAACATATGCCAATCAATCAGTGAGATACATTATATAAACAGAGTGAAGGACCAAAACCATATTATCATTTCAATTGATGCTGAAAAAATTCAACATCCCTTGAATCACTTAATAAAATTCAACACCACTTCATGATTAAAACCCTTGGAAAACTGGGTATAGAAGGAACATATCTCAGGACAATTAGAGCCATAAATGACTGATCCACTGCTAATATCATACTGAAGTGGGAAAAACTGAAAGTCTTTGCTCTAAGACACAGAACAACAGAAGGATACTCACTGTCACCACCGTTATTCAGCATAGTACTGTAATTTCAAGCTAGAGCAATAATGTAAGAAAAGAGATAACAAGTATTAAAATTGGAAAGGAAGACATCAAATTATTCTTGTTTGCATATAATATAATTTTATATTTGGAAAAATCTAAAGATTCCATCAAAAACAATGGGAACTGAAAACAAATTCAGTAAAGTTGCAGGATACAAAATCAACATACAAAAATCAGTAGTATTTCTATATGCCAACAACAATTCAAAAAAGAAATCAGAAAATGAATCCCACTTACAATAGCTACAAATAATAAAAATAAGAAATAAACCTAACCAAAGAAGTGAAAGATCTCTATAATAAAAACTATAAAACCTTGATAAAAGAAATTAAAGAGAACACACAGAAAATGGAAAGATATTCTATCTTCATAGATTAGAAGAATCAAAATTGTTAAAATGTTCATACTACCCAAAGAAATCTGGAGATTCAATATAATCTACATCAAAATATCAGTGACATTCTTCACAGAAAAAGAAAAAAAATCCTAAAATTTATATTGAACCATAGAAGACCTTGAATAGCCAAAGCTATCCTGAGCAAAAAGAACAAAACAGGAGGAATCACATTATCTGACTTCAAATTATGCTGCAGAGCTATAGTAACCAAAACAGCATGGTACTGGCATAAAAATAGACACATAGACCAATGGAACAGAATGGTGAACCTACTAAAAAATCCATACATCTAGAGTAAACTTATTTTCAATAAAGGTGTCAAGAACATACAATGGGGAAAGAATAGTCTCTTCAATAAATGGTGCTGGGAAAACTAGACACGCATATGCAGAAGGATGAAACCATACTCCTATCTCTCACTATACAAAAAATTCAAATTGAAATGGATAAAATACATAAATCTAAGACCTCGAGCTATAAAACTTCTAAAAGAAAACATTTGGAAAATTCTCTAAGACATTGATCTGAGCAAAGATTTTTTGAGTAATACGCCCAAAGCACAGGCAACCAATGTAAAAATGGACACATGGGATCACATTAAGTTGAAATGATTTTGAGCAGCAAAGCAAACAATCAACAAAGTGAAGAGACAACCCACAGAATGAGAGAAAATATTTGCAAAATGTCCATTTGACAAGGGATTAATGACCAGAATATGTAAGGAACTCAAACAGTTCTATAGGAAAAAATCTAATAATCTGATTAAAAAGTGGGCAAAAGGTCTGAATAGACATTTCTCAAAAGAAGACATACAAATGGTAAACAGGTATATGAAAAGGTGCTCAATATCATTGGTCATCAGATGATGTGGTTTAGCTCTGTGTCCCCACCCAGATCTCATCTCAAATTGTGATCCCCACATGTCAGTGGAGGAGAACTTGGTGGGAGGTGATTGGATTATGGGGGAAGGTTCCCCCATGCTGTTCTCATGGTGATGGCTGAGTTCTCAGGAGATCTTATGGCTTAAGGGTGTGGCACTTCCTGGCTCACCCTCTTCTCTCTCCTGCTGCCATGTAAGACATACCTTACTTCCCCTTCACCTTCTGCCATGATTGTAAGTTTCCTGAGGCCTCCTCAGGCACATGGAACTGTGAGTCAATTAAGCCTCTTTTGTTTATAAATTACCCAGTCTAAGGTAGTATCTTTATGGCAGTGTGAGAATGGATGGATACATCAGAGAAATGCAAATCAAAACTACAATGAGATAACATCTTGTCCCAATTAAAACGGCTTTTATCCAAAATACAAGAAACAGCAAATTCTGCCAAGGATGTGAAGAAAAGGGAACCCTCATACACTGTCGGTAGGAACATAAATTAGTACAATCACTATGGTGAAGAGTATGAAGCTTCCTCAAAAAACTGAAAATAGAGCTACTATATGATCTAGCAATCTCACCACTAAGTACATATCAGAAAGAAAAGAAATCAGTGTATCAGAGATATACCTGCACTCCCATGCTTATTGCAGCACTATTCACAATAACCAAGATTTGGAAGCAACCTAAGTATCCATCACAGATGAATGAATAAAGAAAATGTGGGTACACATACACAATGGAGTACTATTCAGCCATAAAAAGAATGAGAGCCTATCATTTGCAACAACATGGATAGGGATGGTTAATGGTTATAAAAAATATAGTTGGCTAGAATAAATAGGAGCTAGTATTTGATATTAAAATGGAGTGATTACAGTCCACAGTAATTTGTCATACATTGTAAGATAACTAAAAGGGTATAGTTGGAATATTTGTAACACAAGGAAACAACAAATTCTTGAGGTGATGGGTAGCCCTCCCCCCAAAAAAAGGTTGCTATTGCTATGTCTTCTTGGTGGATTAACTCTTTTATTATTATATTATGTCCATTTCTATCTCTAATTTTTTTTGTCCTTGTATTAATTCATTCTTGCATTGCTATAAAGAACTATCCGAGACTGGGTAATTTATAAAGAAAAGAGGCTTAATTGGCTTATAGTTCCACAGGCTGTCCAGGAAACATTGCTTGGAAGACCTCAGGAAACTTACAATTATGGTGGAAGGGGAAGCTGGCACATCTTACATGGCTGGAGCAGGAGGAAGAGAGTGAAGGAGGAGGTACTATACAATTTTAAACAACCAGATGTTGTGAGAACTTACTATCACGAGAACAGCAAAGGGAAACCTGCCCCCATGATCCAATACTTTTCACCAGGCCCCTCCTCCAACATTGGGGATTACAATTCGACATGAGATTTGGGTGAGGACACAAATCCAAACTATAGCATCCCTGATCTCTTTTTCGATATTAATATAGCCACTCCTGCTTTCTTTAGATTAATGTTTGCACAAATATCATTTTCCATCCATTTATATTCAACTTGCATGTATTATTTTACATCAAATGAATTTCTTATAGACAGTATGTAGTTGGGCCAAATTATTTAACTTACCTTGACAATGACTTCTCATTGGTACATATAGATCATTTACCTTTAATGCAATTATTGATATGTTAGGGCTTAAATCTGGCATTTTAATAATTTG
Source organism: Homo sapiens (assembly GCF_000001405.40). NCBI lineage: Eukaryota > Metazoa > Chordata > Mammalia > Primates > Hominidae > Homo > Homo sapiens. The sequence goes on along the minus strand of NC_000020.11, from coordinate 55,401,047 downwards.
TTTTTGTTCATTCTTTTTGTTTGTTTCTGTTTTTCTTCTTGATTCCCTGTGGTTTATTTGAACATTTGTTAGAATTCCATTTTGATTTATATATAGTGTTTTTCAGTGTAGTTTTATGTAGAACTTTAGTGGAGGCTTTAGGTATCACATTATACATACATAATTTTATCATAGTCTACTGGTACTGTCATTCAAGGAAATCCATTCAAGAAAATTATTTAAGAAAACACAAAAAACTTACTTTTATGTTCTTTTTCATCCCCATTTATAATATTACTACCTAACATAGTTTCTGATATACATTTAGAACCATGTCAGACAGTGTTATAATTTTTGCTTTCACTATCACTCATGATTAAGACAACCCAAAGGAGAAGGAAGTCTACTGTATTTATCTATATCTATATTTCTGCTTACTACATTAATTCTTCCCGGTATTCTGAGATCTTTCATTTTGTCATTTTGTTTCAGTTTAGAAAACCTCCTTTAGTCTTTATTTTAGAGTAGATGTGCTGGTGACAAATTGTTTTCTTTCATCTGAGAATGTCTTAATGTTCTCTTCATTCCTACAGGATATTTTTGCTAGATATAGGATTCTGTGTTGACAGTTCTTTTCTTTCAGCACTTGAATGATGTTGTGTGACTTCCCTGTGATCTCCACGGTTTCTGATGAAAAATCAGCAGTCATCCATATTGCTTTTCCTCCCCTTGGTAAGGTGTCATTTCTCTCTACATTAGATCACTATAGTGTCTTGGTATGGATTTCTGGTCTTGGGCTTTGCTCAACTTTTTGTAGGCAACCTGAACCTGTAAGTTGTATTTTGCAAAACTGGGGAATTTTCAGTGATTATTTTAGTACTTTTTCAGCCCTTTCTTCTCTTTCCCCTCCTTCTGTGACTCCTATGAGAGTTTTGGCCTTTTTATAGTCTCACCAGTCCATGAGGCTTCGTTTTCCCCATCCCCTACCTCAATTTATTTTCTCTCTTTTGTTCAGATTGTGTAATTTTATTGTTCTCCTTTCCAGGCTTCCAGTTTCTTCATTAGTCCCACACATTCTACTGTTGAATTCAATGGAGCTATGTGTTTGCTGAGAGTTTCTGTTTCTGAGCTCAGGCATTCTATTTTTTTCATTTGTCCCAAGTATATTTGTAATGGCTTGTCGAAGCATTTTTATGATGGCTGACTTAGAATATTCTTCAGATAATTCTACCATCTCTGTCATTTTTGCACTGGGATCTATTAATTATCATTTTTCATTTAGTTTGATATCTTCCTGGCTTGTTGGCATGACTAATTTTTTTTATAGAAAATTGGATCTTTTGAATATGGTATGAGTCTCTCTATATTATTTAAGTCTATTGACTTAGCTGTTTGTGACTTTTGTTTTTGTTGTGTTTTGTTTTGTTTTCTGATACCACTATGGCAGGGGAAAGGGGCTTCCATCTCATCACAGCCAGGTGGGGGTAGAAGTCCATGTTCCCCATTCAGACTTCATTAATGTATTGGTAGGAGGACTGCTCATGTTGATTTGCAGAGTTGGGTATTCTAGTTTCCCACCAAAACCGCACTGAGAGTTTACTTGGCTGAGAGGGTTTGGAGTGTCACAAGATTGCTTCCCACGTGCCATCCAATTAACACTATGTTGGAGGATGGGTAACCTTTTTATTGCTGGATGGTGGTAAACGTCCAAACTTTCCACTAGGCTTACTCTGTCACCACTCCAGTTGGGAGGAGAAATACCTTTGCTGCAGAGTGGAAGTAGAGATCCAGGACCACCATCCTGGTCTCCTCTGACACCATGGGGGTGGGGCCGTTACCATCATCTGGTGGAGAAGAAAGTCCTGCCTTCTACATGTTTTTTATGGCATCACTGTGGCAAGGGGTTATACCTAGTTGCAGGCTCTCAAAAATGGATATCCAGGATCACCACTCACATTTTTCTGGTCTAGATGGGAGTAAGGCCACAGTTTTTTATATGGTACTTAGTTTGACTAGGGCACTTGTCTAAAAGTTTTCTATCTTGCTAGGCTGCCTCTTACCTAGTCCTTTAGCTAGAGAGAGACAGAGAGAGGTTTTTTTTGGGTGTGTGTGTGTGTGTGCATATGTGTGTGTGATCTTTTCCACATCCCAGCTTCTTCAGCTCCAGGTCTGGGATATATGAGGCAAAAAGGAAACTCAGGGATCTCACCATTGTGTCACTGCTTGCATCCCCAGGTCCAAGCTGATCTGTATCCTTTTTAAACTTTCAGGGCCTTCTTATATTTGTTTTATATATAATGTCCAGGGGTTTTAGTTGGATTAAAAGGAGGAATGGAAAAAATATGCCTATTTTATCTTCCTAGAGGTAGTAGTCCAAGTATAATTTTGAAGGTAGAAATGTACTGTCTTAATTTCTATATTATGCACCATGGTTGCCTGATCAACAGTTATTCTCCATATTCTTGGTAAGAGAGCTCCAATTCATTTGAGGTGTCTAGGAGTAATTTATTCAGCCCCAGGGGAAGAATCATGATTATTTTAAGATAATCTGTAGTAATATCAATCCCATTTCTTACTCTTTTAGTGATATGCCAGTGATCCAGATATATTGGGACTCAAGAGAAGTATTCTAGAAAGCTCCTGAAAAGAGGTTCATCTCTGATAAAAAGAGAGAAGACTTGAAGACAAGTCTGTATTTCTCGTACTACTTTTAGACACTGTCTTGTAAAAGATGCATGGCTTGGAGCTGCAGTGGCCGTCTTGGGAACAAGAGGCAAAATATCACATGTGTTCTCAAGATGTCAAAGTGAAATCATGGAAAGGTCTTGGGTATTTAACGGCATTGTTAAGTTGCAGAATATTACTGTATCTATTTCTTCCAGACTCCTTATAAAGTGAGGTAATAAAATGATATTATTTTATGAGCAATTTGATTTACAAGCAGAATCATCATACCTTACGTATTTAAATGTGCAATAACTTTGAGAAACATATATGTCTTTAAATATCAGATTAGACCACTAAGGAATGGCCTCTGAAAACTAATTAAAATAAAATCTTCAAGTTCTATAAACTGGAGAAAGGAGGAGAAGAAGGAAGATAAGGTGGAGAGGGAACATGTATTCGGTTCTTACTATGTTCCATGCACTGTGCCTAGAGTTTTAAAATATATATATTTTAAAAATTTTAGAATAGTTTCTCTGGATAGAAAATTTGCACAGATAATATAGAGAAGTCCATATATGCCACATCCAGTTTCCTCTATTGTTGACTTCTTACATTACCATGATATATTTATAAGAATAATGAACTAACACTGTTAGATTATTATCAAGTAAACTCTATACAATTTCCATACTTTATTTGGATTTCATTAGTATTTACCTGAGGTCCTTTCATTGTATGAGATCCCATCTAGGAAACCTCATTATATTTAATCATCATGTCCCCTTAGGCTCCTCTTGACTGTGACAATTTCTGTCTTTTCTTGTATTTGATAATCTTGACAGCTTTGAGGAGTACTGGTTGGGCTTTTTATAGAATACCATCTATTTGGGTTGATTTGATGTTCTTCTAATAATTAGACTGAAATTATGGATTTTGGGGGAGCAAGACTGTATTAATCTGTTTTTCATTGCTATAAAGTATACCAGAGGCTGGAAAATTTATAAAGAAAATGAGTTTATTTGGCTCATGGTTTTGCAGGCCATACAAGCATGACACCAGCATCTGCTTGGCTTCTGGTGAAGCCTCAGGAAGCTTTTACCCATGGCGGAAGAGAAGAGGAGCTGGTGTGTCACATGGTAAGAGAGGAAGCAAGAGAGAGCATGGAAGTCCAACTCTTTTTAACCATCAGCTCTCATGTGAACTCACTGCCACAGGGTAGGCACCAAGCCATTCATGATGGATCCACACTCATGACCCAAACACCTCTCACTAGGTCCCACCTCCAACACTGGGAATCACATTTCAACATGAGATTTGGAGGGGACAAACATCCAAACTACATTAGACCAAACAGGTGAAATGTCATTATTCTCTGATTATATCAATGGTGCATACTATCTACATGATTTATCTTGGAAGATATTGATGTTGACCTTGATTACCTGGCTGAAGTAGCATTTGTCAGGATTCTCCATTGTAAAATTACTTTTCATTTTCCTGCCTTTTATACTGTACTCTTTGGGGAAAAAAAAAGGCACTGTAGGCAGCCCACAGCTAAAAGGGAGGGAGTTAGGTTCCAACTCCTTGGTAGTGGTTGGAGAGCGGTGTGGCTACATAAATCACTTGGAATTCTGTACATATGCCAAGCATTTTAACTCCAATGTCTCATTTAATCCCCATCATAACTCTATTATTATTCTCATTTTAACGTGACAAAATGTAGACACTGACAAGTTAAGTTACTCACCCACACTTACAAATCAAGTAGGATTCACACTGAACTCTGGACCCCCCTTCCCATTATATCACATTGCCATGCCCAGCTGAATTATACCACGGAGCAGCTGGTTCAGGTCTGTACCTCCATTAACTTTGATTTCTGCCAGATGAAAATTTCCCTTCCCAACAGCACACACACACACACACACACACACACACACACACACACACACACACCCCACTAGAAATGTCAGGGATTAAAGTACACTATGCATCTCCTGATTAATCCAAGGTTGACATTTTTATCATGTCATTTCACTGGAACATCTCAAGATATTGTATATCTCCTTAGTAGTCCAACCCTAAGATCTAGCTGTCTAACTTGGTGTTATAATTAACTTACGGTGGAACTGAAGTTATTTAAAGACTTCGGTTGGTTTGGGTATTGTAGGTTTAGAGCTTGAGGTCTAAATATGACAGTGAAAACCATAGCTAGTTTTCACTGATGCTTTATGAATCTCTGAGTGATTAGTTTTTCAGACTTCCTTGTTTTAATGGACAAAAAAAAAGCTCCTCTGCTTATTTCACTCTCTAGTATGACTCCTAGGTCTGAGATGTATTTTTTTTTTTTCACCAGATGCTCAATACATGACTACAAGATGCAATTTCTTTTGGCAAGTAGACAGAACTTCTTCACCTTTAATTTTCAGACTCATCCTACTCACCTGATGTCCTCCCTCATTCTCATAAACATTAATCTCTATATAACATTTGCATTCACATTGAGGTAGAGCACCTCTTAAGTGGAAAGTGTAGAGACTATAAACAGTGTAAGAATCATATTATTATGGCAAAAGTGACATGAAATGTCAATCTTGGTTTGAAATATGCGTCATTCCTCAAAGTTATAGTTAGACCAAGGGCTCATCATTTTAATATCTTGAATACAATTCTTACTTGTTGCTCCTTGAGGGCTACTATGTACACAACAGTGTAAAGCATTGTTGTTGTTGTTGTTTTACTTTTCAAAGGTCTTTTTCAAGACTCTTTTTGTTTACCACAACAGCCCTGTAAAACATGAAACAGGGATTAGCAAGAGTTTGTCAACTCTAAGTGAACATCCAGATCACCTGGAAACTTTAAAATGTTGCTCTATTGGTCCCACCTTCTACAGAGTCTAATTCCATGGGCTTTGTGCATATGTTATTTCTTTTCCAGGCATAATTCTTCCCTCTTTTCACTGACTTGCCTCTTTTTTGCCTCATTCCTGACATCTCAGTTCACCTTTCATATCCTCCAGGAATATGCTCCTATATGTTGGCTGGTGCTATTGCATGCTCTCCTTTGAAATGTTTATTTTATTATTACTTATATTTTAATATAATGAGTCTTTATGTTTGTCACCCCTAAATCCTGTCATGGATATGTGACTTTTGTTCCCCAGTTCCTAGCACAGTATCTGGGACATACTAGGTGCTTAGTAAACATGTGCTTAATAAAATATGCTGAATGAATTAATAAATCAATGAGTGAATAATAGGCCTGAGACAAGGTTTGGGTAGCTGCATTTCTTTTTAACAGGTACACACAAATGACTCTGAATTGATATTTCCTGTATGTGAAATAAGATGAGAAAAAACAAGGTGCACAGGAGAGAAGCGTTTGGGTCTAAGCTATACAGTAAGGGAGAAGCACAGGTGAAGACAATGTTCAGATTCAGCTGCCTCTCCCAGAATCCATTGCTGGATTGTTCTCTGTCTCTGCTTGCATCCTTTCTCATCCTGTGCAGCTTTCTTCTACTCCTCCAACCGAGGGAGGAGACCTCTTCTATGCTCTTGGAGAATGCTTTACGTGTTTTCATTAAATACTTATCACATTACATGAGGTCAGTGAGCTGCAAACCTCACTAGACAGTGAACCACAAGAGAATAAAGAGCAGGTACATTACTCATTTCTGTATCCTCTGCATCCAGCACAGTGCCTGGGGTGAAATATATCCTTAGGCAATATTTGTGGGCAGATAGCCAGATAGCTGAACATCAGTGATAAATATAGCAAGTTGCCAAAGTAGAAAAAGCACTTTATAAGTAAATATTTTGGACTTTTTAAAGTGATCACTTGTTTCTATGAGAATTGAAATTCACTGGAAATAAAAATGTAGAATAATACGCAAAAATGTGTCCATTACAGGCAATCACATATTTATGTGCCTAGTAATCTACCAGTTTTCAACCTCCATCAGATCGATTAGTAATGCACAATGCCTTATCAAAGGCAGAATGGCTGGGCCATGTGAATATACTTCACAAGAAGATCACGTGTTGAGATGGTACAAATGTGATGTTCTCAATATGATTTCACAGGCACTTCAACCTGATCTTTTGAAGTTACGCTGGCTTAATATGGCAAACCCCTGAGTGGCTTACACTCTGCAAGGTGCCTGTGAGTGAGTTCAAATCAGCTTCTGTTTCAGGTGAGAAGGTAGTTACTTTCTTGGAGAATCCCTCAGAGCACTGCCAAATGGCCATGGATGTCACAGGTATTGGCCGTAATGCGTAACAAGGATAATTTGCATTCAAAGGGCACTTACTGACAAGATCTCTGTTAATTCTCCTAATAGATTTATGAAGCAGGTATTATAGTCAAATATCATCATATCACAGAGAAGAAATTGTGGTTCAGATAATTTAAGGATCTTGCCATGATCATAAGCTAGAAGAGATAGAGTTGGGTTTTAATCCAGCCAGTCTGATTCCTAAACCCATTGATCTTAACTGCCATGTTAACCTGCTTCTATGAATAATAACCAATATGTTAGCGAATAAAAAGAAGAGAAAATGAAGGAGCCCCAAATTTTATCAGACACAGAGAATATTAAACAATATTCTTCACATTTAAGTAACCTAGTAACTAGTAAATAACATATTAAGTAACAGAGACCGAAGTAAATCCAAGTCTTACTTTTTTAAAGGTATACCTGCTTCTTTCCCCAATACAGGCTTCATACAAGAATGGCCTAGAGATGATTTTCTCTCTCATACATAATTAAGGTGCCCCATTAACTGATGTGTTGGAGCAATATTAAAGACATGTTCAATGTTCAGGTAAAGATTTCCCCCAATTCAAATCGAGTGTACATTTCTCCCAATCTCCACATTCCAAATGTTTGCCTGCCTTCCACAAATCAGTTCAAGCTACAGTTCTCAGTTCTCATGGCTGAAATATTGTGTCAGATTGACATAGCCATAAATGCAGTAACTACCAAATTTATAGAGCAGCAAAGAAGGCCAGTATTCCAATTATCAGTGAACCAAAGAAACCATCACCAATAAAAAAGATATAGTGAAAGGTGTCTGATGAATGGAATGGGTGGGGGCAGTGGTTAAATGAAGAAATAAACGCCCAAGTGGTTTTGCCCTCTTCTGGCCATATAATACAAGAGGACTACAACATTCACTGATTTCCATGACATCAAAAAACAGCAAGGCTTTCTGCCTAATCTGACCTGACTTTGAGAGGTACTTAGTTCACTGTGTCCTGCTTTGAGACTTTGAGGATAAGCATTATCAAACAAGCACAATTTACCCTGTCTCCTTAGAAATAATGATAAAAATGTTGAATCTTTATTGGCCAAATCCTTGGCCTTTTGATTCCAGGTATTTTCTTCTTTGTGGCAATTATAAAAGATGTACCATGGGAAGACCTTGTGATCACTCCCTGGCCTCAACTTTAGATTAGGGTTGCACCCCAGATAGCTCTTAAATTTGTCTTATTGATCAAGCACTGAGCTACTCTCTAAACTGTTTCTGAACCTATTGACATTTGAAAGTAAGTTGACTTTATGAGGTGATGAGTTCTCTAAGCGTAATACCCTGCGTCATGAGGTACTTGGGCTTATCTGTCCTAGCAAAAAATCATTTTCAGTCTTCAAGGACTATTCCCGGAGATATCGTGAATAATTCCAAGTCTCTCCTCTGAATGTCCAGGCTCCCCATCTGTGCTCTACTGGAATCTGTCAAGCTCATCGATTTCACTTACACACAAAACCCCTAACTAGTTCTCTTACATAGTCGGGGTTTAAGGGGCAGTCAGCTTTAGGACCAGTTAGTAGGATCACAAACAAGGGTTTTTCCAAGGGATTTGAAAATAGTAAGAGGATAGGAAAATATAAGAAGGAAATAATAGTAGAGAGGTAGGGGAAGACAAAGTATCTCTATTAGTTAGGATTCAGTTAAGCAGTTAATACAGGAAAAAAAAAAAGTATGAGTAGCTTAGAAAAGATCATATTTAACTACCATATCAAATCTCAAGAATCAGTGTTCCAGGGCTGTGACAATGCTGTATGGTATCAGGTGCCCAGACTCCACTCTGTTGCCTTTTATTATCTTACTCCATGGTCCTTTTTACTTCCTTTTCCTATGGTCCAACCCCATGTTGGTTGAGTTCTGGCTATCAGACTTGCAGCAAGGTGGAGGAAAGGAGGTGGAGGTTCTTTTTTTCTTCCATGTGACTCCCTTTTAGGAGACTTCTTGCACATTGTGGTTATTCCCTCTGCTTATATTCCACTTGCCAGAAGTTAACCACATCAGTGCACCAGAGGTGCAGTGTAGACACTTCAGGCAGCCATGTGCTCTGATTATATCATCTATTACTGGGGAAGAAGAGGATAGCAGATTTTGGTAGCAGCTAGCAGGGGTGGTGGGAGAGACTCTGAGAAAATACAGATACTAATATTTTCTACCCAACTGTAACTGAAGAAGAGAAGGGAAACAAAAACAAATGAAGTCTATTTATTTTTTCAAAAGATTAGAGATAAGAGAAAAAGATTCTGACTCCATCATCTACCTGATTCACAGCCATCTCTCTGCCCTTGGTTCTTTGCGATATCTCTAATGACCAAGTAGTGAAGACTCTTCTTCAGCTTCCACTAACCTGAATGATTTTTGTTGAAATTAGGAATATAAATCATTCTATTACAAAGATACATGGACGTGTATGTTCATTGCAGTACTATTCACAATAGCAAAGACATGAAATCAACCCAAATGTCCATCAATGATAGACTGGATTAAGAAAATTTGGTACATATACACCATGGAATACTATGCAGCCATCAAAAGTAACAAGATCACATCTTTTGCAGGGATGTGGATGGAGTAGAAGCCATTATCCTCAGCAAACTAATGCAGGAACAGAAAACCAAACACTGCATTATCTCACTTACAAGTGGGAGCTGAATAATGAGAACACAAGGACACAGGGAGGGGAACAACACACACTGAGCCCTGTTGGTGGGTGGGGTTGGGGGAGGGAGAGCATTAGGAAAAATAGCTAAAGCATGCTGAGCTTAATACCTAGGTGATGGGTTGATAGGTGCAATAAACCACCATGGCACATATTTACGTATGTAACAGACCTGCACATCTTGTACATGTACCCCAGAACTTAAAATAAAAATTAAAATAAAAAAAGAAATCTTCAATGTACACAGTCTCCTGATCTTACTGACATTATTTCTTTTCCAATACTGAAGAAAAATAATGCTGCCATATGACTTCAGGGAAAAGGATTGCTTGGCTCATTCGTGTGAGGGGAGGAAGGGGTAAGATTGTAGAAATTCTCATGTCGACCTTGGATACTTTGCCAGACAGATTCTGGCCTGTGATCTTGGAGAGACACCTGTGCCCTTGGGCAGTCAGCATGGCGACGGAATGGGCCTCACATAGGTCTTATCAGCAGTGGCTTGGCAAAGACTTCCCTCAAGATGCTGGTTGGGCTAGATTGACTGACAATTGTACAAGTTCCAGACATTCTTTTTTTGAAAATCACAAGTACAATTTAGGCTTAAATAAAAAAGAGAAATTCAACTTTGATGTCTTCTGTTTAACCTCTGCTAGTTGCAAACTGCTTGGAACAAGTACCACACTAATATAAACATGTTCAATATCTGTAGACTAAACTTGACTAGGCTCCTTAATAATAAGCACGTATTTATTCCTAGTGGTATTACCAGCTATTAGAATAATGCATGTCATACAGTAAGTGCTTAATAGTTTTTAAAAATTTGGTATGCTGTAGTCATTGAATCAAGACACTTGCCTTAATATACATTATCAAGGGAAAGTGTCAATTATGCAAACATTCTCGGATAGTAAACCAATAGATAAAAATAAATTAAAATATTCATTCAGTAGTTTCTGAATATACATTCAGAATAACAGGCAATAAAAATCCAGTGAAGACCCAAAAAGTGTCTGCACAGGAAATTTGTGGTCACATTTATGCCTTATTCCTCAACCAATTAATTTTCTAGCTCTATTTTTAAATACTTATACTTCTAACCCATAGTATCGTTTTAAAAGTAAACTTAAACAGGAGTTTTAATCGATGGCTTTATGATGGACATTATGAATTTCTTATTTAATCTTGAGAAACCATGCAAATATATGCACAATATATTTTATTGTTCAATGTTTATGGTGATTTGCATAGCCTTATGTTTATTCATGTTACCATTTACAAAACTCATTTGTTCAGCAAATATTTAAGGCCTTTCTGAGTGCCAGGGACTATGGATATTGTGGGAAATAAGACAAGCCCATATTCACCAAGTCACATTATCCCACAGGGAAGTCAAGCATAAAAACGAATTATAGGTGATAGAATGGTAATGACACTATGATAGAATTTATTCACAGGTGATCTAAAGAAATGGGGGTGTCTATTTATTTTGTTTTCTCCAGAGACACAGCTAAGGCCCAACCTAGATGATTAGGTGCTAATGAATGATTTCTGGTGGTAACGATAGACTTGACTTGGAAAGCATAAGATAGATAACCCTTATTTTGGAGCTCTCAGTACTGTCAGTGCAGAGTGAATTTCCCCAGCAAAAGCAAGATTCAATTGAAGAAAATTATTGTTCAGTGAACTGTTGCTCAAACTTGACCCACAATCTTGCAGCCAGGATTGGCTCACTTCAATATCAGATAGAACTTCCTATACAAAAAAGGACTAAAAAAATCCCTTAGGCATCGTGGTTCTTTTCTGTACTCATCCAAAAAGAGAATTTGCCTGTATTTTGAAATGTCTTTGAATGACTGGAAAGAACTAGTAAGATTCATGCCACTGAAAATATGTGCAAATTGTTGAGATTATAGAGGTTAATCATTATTCCAGTGCTCATTGAATCAAAATGGACTTTTCAGTGCTGTGCCATGTTTGTATTTAGGCTGTTCTCTATACACACTGAAAATCCAGTATTCATTCAAACCTACATCTAGTGCCTCTTACTTTTCTTAGCCTTTCTTGATTTTCCAAGGGAAAAGTAGAAAATGTTATTGTTTCTTCTTCTTATTATTATTACTATTATTTTTGAGACAGAGTCTCACTCTGTCGCACAGGCTGGAGTGCAGTGGTGCGATCTCGGCTCACTGCAACGTCCACCTCCTGGGTTCAGGCAATTCTTGTGCCTCAGCATCCTGTGTAGCTGGGATTACAGGTGCCCGCCACCATGCCCAGTGAATTTCTGTATTTTTAGTAGAGACGGGTTTCACCATGTTGGCCAGACTGGTCTCAAATTCCTGACCTCAGGTGATCCACCCGCCTTGGCCTCCCAAAGTGCTGGGATTACAGGCATGAGCCACTGCGCCCAGCCTGTATCTTATTATTGACTTTCTTATAAAGTGATATTCTACCAATAATTGGTAATTAATTTTCTCAACACATTTATTGACAACTACCATATAGTAGTTCGGAAGGATACAGTGGTGACTAAAACAGGTAGTGCCATGGGCCTCATAGACTGACATTTTAGGCCACCAATATATAACTTAATAATTAAATAGATAAGGTTATATAAACAATGGATTGCAGCAAAGCAAATAGAATGCAATAGAGAGTAATGAATGGGTGGATAGAGATTGGAGTCAGGGTTAAGACTGATTTATAAAGGAGAATCAGGACGGGCCTCTCTGGGAAGATGAAATAGATTCTAGTTCACTCACACAACTTTGATCACCCCTACTAAACTATACAATTTTTATATCCCAACATTTGGCCAATAGAAAGGACTCAATAACAATTGTTGAAATGAATCCTGTGGGATAGCCCATTTTCTCAGTGGTGTATAGCAGAACTGTGGGATGCAAGGCAGAGAATGATGAACCATTCAGGCCTGGAAATGTCTCCTCGTAGAGCTACAGTACCAATTATTTATTGATTTATATTATGTGTTGAGATTTGAGAGATAATGGATCGTGACACTTCTTTCCCTCTGAGTTCTGAACCAACTGAAAAATAAAGGGAGGAGTCACACATATGGAAATCAAAATTTCAGCCTCTTTATTCGTTTTTTACAGTAAATGTCTTTACATTGGGAAGTTTTGCTTCAATCTGCAGCCAATGTCAAGCTCTGTAGTGCTTCCTGAGCCTAATCCTTGGGATGAATTATCCCAAGAAGAGTTTCGGTCTCAAGAGCAAAAGAGACACTCCCGCAGACACCCAAAGTCACTTTCTTATGCCGTCAGCTGTTGTCAGTGGGCACATATAGGCCTAATAGTTTACCCAAGGGTGCTTGCAATATGGAAGTAGAAATGTAACCAACACACAGGCAAATTCAAGGAAGAAAAAAGAAGCTGAATCACATATGCTTAGATCCAAATGGCACCAATCTAATAATTGTGGAACTGGATAGTAGGCCAGAGACTGCTCTTCTCACTACTTTTGAAAAAGGTGAGTCTTCTACTTAGGGCCAAAATAGAAACACAGAGAAAAGTGGAAAAGTGGAAACTGTTTTTCCTGCTGAATATTTAGTAGCACCAATAATAAATGATCTATTCTGAAGTCTCAGATGTCTTGGGCATTCTGCAGTACCTTCCAGGTATATTTTTCCCTAGGTTTATATTTATAAACTATAGGTGTGTTGTGGGGATGATCTGAAAGAAGTTATCCTGCCACAGCCAGAAGCAAAACTCTCAGATTTTTTTTTTTTCTTTTTTTTTTTTTGGAGACGGAGTCTCACTCTGTCACCCAGGCTGGAGTGCAATGGTGAGATCTCTGCTCACTGCAGCCTCCGCCTCCCAGGTTCAAGGAATTCTCCTGACTCAGCCTCCCGAGTATCTGGGATAACAGGTGCTCGCCACCACACCCGACTAATTTTTTTTTTGTATGTTTATTAGAAATGGGGTTTCACCATGTTGGCCAGGCTAGTTTCCAACTCCTGACTTCAAATGATCTGCTCACCTCGGCCTCCCAAAAGGGCTGGGATTACAGACATAAGCCACCATGCCTGGCCCAGCTCTCAGATTTTTATAACTTTTTGTTTTTATTTTTTAAAGAGTGAAATTTATTCCTCAAAAAAAAAAGTAAAACAGAATCCTAGCGTGCTAAATACATAAAAAAATCAGGAGGTCCAGTTCAATCGGGATGAGAATACTCAAGGTCTTCTCATTTAGCCATCCCTTCATTTTTAAACATAAGCTTCTGAGCTTCTCTTAAGAATTTTAAGACACGGTGAGAAACACCTTGACTATCCTAGATCCAGGTACTTACAAGGATCATTTACCTATTTAAAAAACTCTCACCCATCAAATACTATCTGAATTGCATGTGAAGTTATTAATGCACAAGAAATAATGCATAACTAAAAAAATAAATAAGTCTATCCTCTGTTTTCATTTTTGTGCTCATTCCCATTGACACTCTCATTTCATTGTAAGCTCTAAGTGTACTCACCAGTTTCTATTGCCTGAACATACCTTGTGGCTTCAGCCTTTGCCCATGATGAGTCAACTTTCTGGAATATCTTTCTCCCTCTAACCTGCTTAAGAAGTTCTGATACATCAGCAGGCCTTATGAAATCTTGCCCTCTGTGCAGCCTTCCTGCTCCCAGCCTTCCTTAATGAACTCAGTAATTTCTGTATGCCTAAATTCACGATCATCTTATAGTGGAATTTTCAGCTCACATTGTGGTCTTTCCACCCACACAAGAAAAGACTATTGCTCCTTTAATGTGCTCCTAAAGATCTCTTTAGACTGGGTTCCTTCCCATCACTCAGATTCAGCAACACTTTTTCAGGGATGCCTTTTTCGATCACTAAACAGAAAGTAGCATTCCCGTCACTTCATCAAGTGGCTTGTTTCATGGTCTTTCTAGCGTTTTTATTTTCTGGAAAGCAGATATTAATTTACATGTCAATCTTCCACAAACTCCATGAGAACACGAACCTTGTTTGCCTTGTTCACTGTTTCATCCTCAGCAGCAAGAATAATTCTTATCACACAATAGTGCTCGATAAATACATGTGAGTAAACTATATATCTCTTAATCATCTTTTTATCCATGCCTACGAGATGGAAGGAACCTACTGGGATTCACTGAATGACTGAACAGGTGGATGAAAGACTTGTCTATGTGGAGATAAAAATGAAACAGAGAGAATCAGAACTGTATATACATTAATAATGAAGATTTCAGGGTCAAAGTTTGTCTTTGGTGATGAAAGAGGCCTTGAAAAATCGGTCAGTGAGGCATACTTCTCCATGAATCATGCATTTCCTCTCTCAGGCATTCCTGCAAACTAATGATCTTTTAAAATCCACTATTGAACAACTGTCAATGTCTCAAACACGTGCCTCTAAATCCCTGTAACGGAATTTAGAGTGAATTTGTATTTGGCATTAGAAAATAAAAGAAAGTAGAATGTTAAGAAAGTTGACATTTCCATCATGAAATTTTTTAGATTAGATGTGTTTAGTTCAAAGTCTTCTGCAAATTCTATCAAATCTAACAGTTTTATAATTTCTTAGGTATTAGATTTTTCTCCAAATAAGATCAAGGTAGAATACAAACTGGGCCCTGGTGAGAAAACCGTTTATGTCCCTATGAGATATCAATTTCTCCTTCACACTTTTGTTGCAGTTTGATGTCATTCATTCCTCTCGTATCACATTTGTCATAACAAGGTATTTAGCATAGACATTTACGACATAGAGCCGTGTAGCCATTGGCTAGGTTAAGATGACACCCAGTGGTGTTGGTCTCTCAAAGACCCTCAGGGGGAAGCTTATTGGTTGACTAACAATTTTAGATTAAAATAGGCTGGATATTGTTTATAAATAATAATACACATTATATCACTCTGGATCCACTGAATTCATTTATGAAAACCAGTAAGAATGTGAAGTCAGTATCTGCCTTCCTTCTTTTTTATTTTTACTTATTTTCATTAGTCTGGTAGCAACTGTGGTCCACCTGAGGAGGCTATTGGAGTGGAGTGGAATGAGAAGATAGTCTGGTAAGCTTTCTCACTGTCTGAGAATGGACAACCAAAAATGGAAAGGGAGAAAAGCTAGAATGAACTTTGCATGTTGGCTGGAATTGGAGGTATTTACATAAACTCTCGCCCCTCCTGTCCTAAGATCACTGGCATCCCAGTAGTGATGGGTGCAACTATGTCCAGGTCTTGGACCATTTCTCTACTGGAAGCAACCAGGCCTTGTCAAGGACACAGTCAACTCCCAGGTCGAGGTCCGGAAAAGAATAATCCCAAAGCACTTTGTTGTACCAGAAAGTAAGGAAGTCCTCAAAGAATGAAGAAGACTTGTAAAAAAAAAAAAATACAGACAGTTTGAAGGGGTTCTCACTGGATACAACCTGGGACTGTTTAATCCTCAAAATGAATAAAATACAATTTTAAGAGATTATAACTCACTAAATTAAACAGAAATCCACAAGTTTATACTAATATGAATAGATGTATGAATAAAAAGGGGGTGATGTCCTTCTACACAATAGAATGCAAACTAATGGCTGTAGAAAATGATGAAATAGAAAATCTAAATTTTACGGTTATAATCATGGTCATAATTGATTCAGAAAAGGCATATCAATGCTGCTAAAACCAGTGGTGAAAGTGAGAAGAATGGAGTTTTGTTTAGTATCAAATTATCTCTCCACAAAATATTATGAAATATAAGGGGTATATAACTTTCTATGGGCACCAAACTAGGCAGGCCCCATATTAATGAAGGGAACAGAATTTACATCACCAGAAGTGGCACAAACATGCCTCATCAGCCATGGGATAGGGTACAAGCTGCAGAAGAAAACACCATATCTGTTTTAATGTGTTTTTGTTTTATGTTTTGTTTATGTTTAATGTGTTTTAATGCATTAAAAAATGCATACTTGAATCTAATCACGAAGAAAACCAGAGAACCCCCAGCGGAGGGTCATTCCACGAAATGACTGGCATGCAAACTTAGAGAATGAAAGTCCAGGAAGTTCAGGAACCAGTCCCAGATTGCAGGAGATCAGAGAGCTGACAACTGGGTATCATGTCCGATTCTGGGTTTCATTCTTTTTCTTCAAAGGAAATTAATGAGACAATTAGAGAAACTTAAAAAGAGCCTCTAAGCAAAGGGTGTACGGGAATTCTGTATACTATTCTTTTAATTTGTCTGTAACTTTGAAATTGTTTCATAATTATATATACACTTCTATGTGCTAGGGACACTTATGATAAACTGCTCTTTATTTTGTATCTTTTACAATTTCCTGTGTGTATTTTCTCCTGTTTTGAACCATTACGCAACAAACATTTATTAGATATATTGTAGTCATCCATTAACATCATAATTATAATTGAGTAAACATCAAATTTATTACCATGTCTTAAAGCATGACTTATTAGCCCACCTCTCCCCACCCGTCTTGTTTTATCACACGTTACTCATGCTTATCTCCTTCCCGTACTATAACTTATGTTAATGGGTCTCTGCAGATACTTTTCCTTTGCCTGGAATACTCTTCCTGTTGTTTCACATGGCTGTCTTGTACCCATCCTTCCATTCCTTCAGTTCTCAAAAAAAATCACATATGACCTTCTAGCTATCCCATCTCTTAAAAATACCACCAATTATCTCCACAAAATCTTATTACAGTTTTATCCTGTCACAGGACCTGAAGTATGACTCCTCCATAGAGCTTCTCCATCTATTCTGTTTATTTGCTTCTTTATTCAGCTGTTTGTTTTCCATTTCACTATGTTTTAAGTTCCATAAGGAGAGTGATTCTGTCTTTCTTGTTTACAACTATATCTTCAAAGCCTAGCATGATGCTTGAGTGTTAGGAGATACCTGATAAATATTCGCTCAATTAATCAAGTCTGCACCAGCATGCATGAGATTTGTCATTCCCTCTCTGCATTTGTTTCACTCAACTCTGTATCTCTAACATCTAATTACACGTTCAACACATGTTTGATGAATGAATGAATGAATGAATGCATGAAGAAATGAATGACAGAAGCTTGGCCTGGGATAATGAGGCAGTGGTTAACTAGAAGAAATAATTGCCAGTGGTTGTAGTTTCAGTCAATTAATTAACTCAAAATTTTATATATTTTTAGGCAAATTTAAGGGGACATGCTGCTATTTTTCTCAGATGATCTCATATGAATGTTGTACAATCCTCTGTTGAAGGAGAAAGGTAACAGAGAACACATAGCTCATCTTTAAGTTCAGACATACAAAAATATCATAACCTTAAAGTTCTGAAAACATCAATGTTCTCACTTTAAAAATGAGGCCAAGATGTCAAAAGTATCTGATGGCAGGGCTACAAATGTATTTTTTATTTTGTTCAGTACTTTTACAATGAGGAATAAATTCACAGGACTCAACAGAACATAGTTTAACAAAAGAAAAAAGTTGTAAAGTACCTTAAAAAATCTAGACACCTTATCCAAAATTTGAGATATGCACAGTTTAGAAAATACGTCAGAAAACACATAGAGTAAGTTAAAAAGTCACTCAGTAATGATTCATTGAAAACTTACTACATGAAAGGTCTAATGTAGGAACTTTGGATATGTGGGGAGACATGTGGAAGAGACATTAACAATATGACCTTAGTTCCTGGATCCAAATCCTGGGCTTCTCAATCATGTGAGTGCACATGTGTGTGTGTATTTAACATGTTTGAATTGGATTTCTGTCATTGACTTTAAAGCCATTAAAACTATTCTGTTCCCATGGTTTGGGTGTGAGGTTCCATTCTGTGCCAAATAAAAGTCTCCTATCATTTTTCTAGCAAGTGTGTTCATAGAAGTTAAGGCCAATGACTATAGAGTGGAAGAATCTTCAGTCCAATATCATGGTTGGAAACTTGGTCACCAGAGTTGGTGTTTGCTGTGTCACACTACATATGGGTAGGAACAGGATTATAACCATCCCCTGTACCTCCACAGATTTTAGATCTAACTCTCAATCTTCACAATTTTTATGCAAAGAAAAGTAGAACAGAAAAGACCAGCAGACAGGTCAAGGTTTTTGTTCAAGTTTGCTGAATGTAAACAGGATAATTCCAGAATTTGACCTATGCCCATCAGTCTACAGGTGGTGTTTAATTCTGAAACCACAAAACCTTCTTACTTACTTACAAAACCGGGATACCCTCCATGTAGTGAAACGTTGAATTGCTATTTGGATTAACCTTGGCATCTTCTGTGAATGTTTGCCACGACTGTGAGAACCTAGGCCCTTCCAGCCAGACTGAAGGTTACACATACTGAATGTTACTGGGTGGATACAGTGAGATGATCTCAACCAGCAAGGCCAATGGGGATCACTGAATTTAAAAAATGTCAACATAGTGTTGGAAGTTCTGGCCAGGGCAATTAGGCAGGAGAAGGAAATAAAGGGTATTCAATTAGGAAAAGAGGAAGTCAAATTGTCCCTGTTTGCAGATGACATGATTGTATATCTAGAAAACCCTATTGTCTCAGCCCAAAATCTCCTTAAGCTGATAAGCAACTTCAGGCAAAGTCTCAGGATACAAAACCAATGTACAAAAATCACAAGCATTCTTATACACCAACAACAGACAAACAGAGAGCCAAATCATGAGTGAACTCCCATTCACAATTGCTTCAAAGAGAATAAAATATCTAGGAATCCAACTTACAAGGGATGTGAAGGACCTCTTCAAGGAGAACTACAAACCACTGCTCAAGGAAATAAAAGAGGATACAAACAAATGGAAGAACATTCCATGCTCATGGGTAGGAAGAATCAATATCATGAAAATGGCCATACTGCCCAAGGTAATTTACAGATTCAATGCCATCCCCATCAAGCTACCAATGCCTTTCTTCACAGAATTGGAAAAAACTACTTTAGAGTTCATAGGGAACCAAAAAAGAGCCCACATCTCCAAGTCAATCCTAAGCCAAAAGAACAAAGCTGGAGGCATCACGCTACCTGACTTCAAACTAAACTACAAGCCTACAGTAACCAAAACAGCATGCTACTGGTACCAAAACAGAGATATAGATCAATGGAACAGAAAAGAGCCCTCAGAAATAATGCCACATATCTACAACTATCTGATCTTTGACAAACCTGAGGAAAACAAGCAATGGGGAAAGGATTCCCTATATAATAAATGGTGCTGGGAAAACTGGCTAGCCATATGTGGAAAGCTGAAACTGGATCCCTTCCTTACACCTTATACAAAAATCAATTCAAGATGGATTAAAGACTTAAATGTTAGACCTAAAACCATAAAAACCCTAGAAGAAAACCTAGGCATTACCATTCAGGACATAGGCATGGGCAAGGACTTCATGTCTAAAACACCAAAAGCAATGGCAACAAAAGCCAAAATTGACAAATGGGATCTAATTAAACTAAAGAGCTTCTGCACAGCAAAAGAAACTACCATCAGAGTGAACAGGCAACCTACAAAATGGGAGAAAATTTTCGCAACCTACTCATGTGACAAACGGCTAATATCCAGAATCTACAATGAACTCAAACAAATTTACAAGAAAAAAACAAACAACCCCATCAAAAAGTGGATGAAGGACATGAACAGACACTTCTCAAAAGAAGACATTTATGCAGCCAAAAAACACATGAAAAAAATGCTCACCATCACTGGCCATCAGAGAAACGCAAATCAAAACCACAATGAGATACCATCTCACACCACTTAGAATGGCAATCATTAAAAAGTCAGGAAACAACTGGTGCTGGAGAGGATGTGGAGAAGTAGGAACACTTTTACACTGTTGGTGGGACTGTAAACTAGTTCAACCATTGTGGAAGTCAGTGTGGCGATTCCTCAGGGATCAAGAACTGGAAATACCATTTGACCCAGCCATCCCATTACTGGGTATATACTCAAAGGACTATAAATCATGCTGCTATAAAGACACATGCACACGTATGTTTATTTTGGCATTATTCACAATAGCAAAGACTTGGAACCAACCCAAATGTCCAACAATGATAGACTGGATTAAGAAAATGTGGCACATATGCACCATGGAATACTATGCAGCCATAAAAAATGATGAGTTCATGTCCTTTGTAGGGACATGGATGAAATTGGAAATCATCATTCTCAGTAAACTATCGCAAGAACAAAAAACCAAACACCGCATATTCTCACTCATAGGTGGGAATTGAACAATGAGATCACATGGACACAGGAAGGGGAATATCACACTCTGGGGACGGTTGTGGGGTGGGGGGAGGGGGGAGGGATAGCATTGGGAGATATACCTAATGCTAGATGACGAGTTAGTGGGTGCAGCACACCAGCATGACACATGTATACATATGTAACTAACCTGCACAATGTGCACATGTACCCTAAAACTTAAAGTATAATCATAAAAAAAAATGTCAAGTGCGCGGGTCTAACCTTTCATTTATATTACACCCTCCACAGGTAAGGTTTAGACATGTGGACTTTCCAAAACTCTATAGATAATTTCACACAAACACTAAAGTTTGAGGACTTCTCATATAGAATTTCTACATTTGCTATATCGTAAAAGTCATCTGGTTGGTTGGGGAGGGAAGCATCAGGTATGTGAAAAATGCATATCCCTGTAACCTACTCTAGACTTGGTGAATCAGATATCTAAGGCAAGAACCTGGGGAATCCGTATTTGTAGTAGGCACTTTCAAGTGATTTTTAGGACTGGGCAAATTTGGTAAACACTATTGAAATGAAAAGAGGATAAATACAGAAGTCAGACTTGGATTCAAGAAGAATAATAGGCAAAGGGTAGAGAGCACTTGCTGTGTGTCAGGCACTGCTCTAAACACTTTGCAAGTATTTACTTACAAATTTACTCCCATAACAATCCTATGAATCCCATTGTGCAGATGAAGGGACTGAAGCATGGAGAGGCTGAGGACTGGCACAGTCACACAGCCATAAACAGCAGTGCTGGGATTTGATCCCAGACCATTTGATGACACAGTCCAAACTCGTAACCACCATGTTGAAGTGTCTCCTGGAGGTAAACAGTTACCTGAGCTGGTGATTGGAGATCATATCACAGGAGTGTAGAAACAGCATTATAATCATCCCATAGATCTCAACTGTTGTCTGTCAGTTGTGTTAATTATAAGCAATTTATTCAAACGTTTTGGGCTTCTATTTCTTCTTTTATACACACTGACCTAGCAGAGGAATTTGAGGATTAAATGTGAACATGCCTGCCTCACACACACTAACAATAATAACTACTAAGATATTGTTTATAATAGTCAAAAACCTCTTGGCATTTTTGTGCATTTTCTCAACCGCAGTACAACTCCATGTGGAAGATATTATTACTCTCTAATTTTAAAGACTAGATGATCTATGTGTGTTTTTAGATTTCCTTATAGTTGCTACATTACAATTTTCTAAATATGTTTCTAAAATTTATAAAGCCTGCAGGTATCAGGCACTGGCAATGCCCTCCTGAGTTTGTGTCATTTTGTAAAATGTGAAATCATTCCCTTCACACCAACAACAGTTAAATTACTTGCAAAGTGTTTAGAACAGTGCCTGGCACACAGTAAGTGCTGTCCATACTTTGTCTATTATTCTCCTTGAATCGGAGTCTGACTTCTGTATTTATCCTTTTTCCATTTTAATAATGTTTAGTAAATTTGCCCAGTCCTAACAATCACTCGAAAGTGCCTATTAAAAATATGGATCCCCCAGGTGCTCGCCTTCGATATCTGATTCAACAAGTCTAGAGTACGTTACGTGGGTATGAACAACACAATTTCATGAGGTAGATATTATTACTGTTGAATTTTAAAGATGAGGAAACTGAGGAACAGAGAGGTCAACATATCCAAAGTTCCATAGCTAGCAAGCAGTAGAGCTGGGTCAGCAGGTGCCTGGTGACTGTTAAAAAAAGTGACATAAATCGTTTAAGTGGTTTTAAAATACCAAACCCACAGGGGCCAGGACCCAGACCCAGATTCTCAGTACCTTTCCTTTCTTTATTTTCCAAGAACTCTAGTAGTGAAATAGTAACTTAGCTTCCAGCCTGCATCTGAGTATAGGAACAGTCTGCCCTCTGGTATCTGTGTGGCTCTCTCTTCATCTGCTTTAATATCCTGCTTTTCACACATATTATAACTTTGAAAAAACTGAAAGTTTAAATATGACCCTTGTTAGTGGAAGGTGGTTCTAAGAGCTTAAAAATGAGAGATGGCAGCTGGTTTTGAATTTAGAGGTGCCAAAGCCTGCGGGTGTCAGGCACCAGCAACACCCGTCTGAGTTGGCATCATTTTGTCAAATGTGAAATCACTCCCTTCACACCAACAACAGGAATATTCTTAGCGTGTGGATTTTGTTTTTTAAGTAAAAAGGGAATAAATCAGGCTATTTTTTTTCTTCTTCTTCTTCTTCTTCCAGTCGGAGCTGTAAAGTTATCACAGAGTGCTAGGTGACTTCTTTTGAGGACCAGAGGGAGAAGTCAGCATTTTGGATTAGAAGTCAGAAGACCCTGCAGTGACCACTACAGGTCTTTACTTCCTAGGTCGTCAGTTTCCTCATCTGAATAATGAGAGGTTACGTTGTTTCCTGAGGCCTACTCATAGGGTAGCTGTAGGGAGAGTTTTGCCTTAGACCACAATGCACTTATGTATCCAACTTAGGTGTGTTTTAGTTTTCATTACAATTGCTATGTATCTATTTTCTAAATATATACAATTTACAAAGAATAAATACGTATTTGTGTGTATATATATGCGTATATTTTCTGTCTTTTCATGCCAGCTTCCTAATTAAGATGGTACTTAAGCAACATGCATTGATGATAAAGATCTCCATGCACTGGTGTCTTTGAGATATATCCAGTATTTTGTGCATTTATTTGAGATATTTTTTGGAACCATTCTATCAAAGACTATGCTAGGAAACTTTGCTTGTACTTAGGTTTCCAATATCAAGAAACATGTTGCTTTATTTATCTTATAATAAATTGTTACTACCCCTGACCCAATATATCATTAATGAGAACTTTATAGAAATTAAATTTCCTAATAAAATGAGAACTTTACAGAAATTAAATTTCCTAATAAATCATTTTTACTATTTTTTCACGAGCTAATTTTCTACATGTGCTTGAAATATGGTTAGGATTTTTGTTCATTTGGAGGAATGTAATGATTAAGAGTAGTTTTACAAAGTGGAAGGAGAGGTGGTTCTATCCCAGAAAAAAACTCAGGCTTAATATTTGCATTGATAATCGTTTAAATGGCCACTTTCTATTTTCACTCGTAACTTTATAGCAATTTTCTGTCTTTTTATGTCAACTTGCTGATGAAGATGATGCATAAGCCATGTGCCTGATGATAAAGATTTCTTGTACTGTTATCTTTGAGATTTAAAATCTCGTACACCAAAAAAATACAACACAAAACAAAAAAGACACATCCAGTTGCACTGGCACTTATATTAGAGATTTATCAAAGAGGTAGTGATCTAAAAATAGAGTTCAGTAAAAGCTCGACATCCAATCTTCTGAGAAACAGATAAGCTTTAGCTCTTTAGAGATATATAGTCAAACATTTTGTCTTGAGTTTTTTTAATCTAACAAAGGCGGGAAAATGGAAACATACAGTGCCTTAAAGCAAGGGTGGGGAAGTAGCATTGGGATAACTTTTGTCTGGAAAATAAGCTTTACTTTTGTTAAAATGGACTCTTAAATTTTGAAGAGTGGGAGAAATAGTTGTCTAAATACTCACACCTTTAAGACTCACTGAAAGGTAACATTTGCCATGTGTGCCCAGGTAACTACAACGTGGGCTGATGACACTTCAGTCTTCAGTCTGTTGCTGCCAGGGGACACTGTATCTGTCAGCGTTCAATTCAATAAGTAAATAAATATGAATTTATTACAAGTATGGATTTGCCCCATGCAATGGTGGGAGCTGGGCAGGCAGCCTCTCTAGTCTATTGTATGAGACTGGTGTTGTTGTCTGCTAGACAGGAAGCTGGGTCTGGGAAGAAAGCCGGATGTAGAATCAGGAAAAGCAGGGACAAGCTGGAAACTACAAGCTGGATCTAGAGCCCACGGAGATAGACAGAAACCCACGTTCGCTGTTGTTGCCTGTGACCATGATGACAAGAGTGACCTGCAGCAGCCGGGCCCTTCATCAAACATCTGAACTCACACCTGGCCCAGGAGTCAGAGAAGCTGCAGGAGGAGCCAGGGGAAAAGGAAACAGGTGCAGGCTAGCCGCTGTCACAGGCAAGCCCAGAGGTGAGTCAGTGGATAGTGACCATGTGTGAGCTGCAAAAGCGCTGCAGATTTACGCCCATCCTCCAAATCCTTCACAAGAGCCTCTTGTGGCCCATCTCGTCCAGACATTTAGAGCGAAGGGGATTAGGAGAAATACCAGCCAGTCTAGCCTCGTGGTTTCTTTTAACATAAATCTATTGTTTCCTCAAGTTCCAAAGTAGTACAACAATCTATAGTCAGATCATTTGCTCAGAGTGAAATGATCAAAATATTTATCAACTATATCACTGGTCATTTCTCTAGTTTAAGTTATGCAATAGATTAAATGTCTTTATGCCTTCATCCCACTCATGTAGGAGAAGTCCACTCTTTATTTTTTCCAAGTCTCGATCCCAGGATCTTGCAGTTTTGGCTTGTGAAAGGTGATAAGATGTCGTTCTCCTTACAGCAGTAAAGCAGACACGCTGTGTCTCTGTGTTATTGCTCCCCAATGAGGAAAGTCAGAAGTCTAGTGGAAGATGCAAAAAAATCACACAGGGAACATTCATCTGTCTGCTGCGCTCATGATGCCTCAGTAGCTGGATTAGAAAGGGAGCAGCTCACTTGCTATATCCCCTGGCATGAAAACTTAGGGGTTGGTGTTGTATCTGGGACATTAGTTCTGATTCCTCTTTTCTTTAGAGTTAGTTCCCTTCAGGGATTCATGCTTCCTGTCCTGCCAGCAGGTCCCAGTCACAGCCCCAGGTTCTTCAGGCTTGGACATAAAGGGAAATAGTTTGAATTGTTATCCTTTTACTAGAGCAAGCCCTTGGGCTCCTTATGCAAGTTTGTCCACTTTCTCCCAAAATGATAAGATGGAGAAAAAAGAAACTTCACCCCAAGCAAACGAATGCTACTATCTATAGAAATGGAAACAAGAAGGCACTTTGCAAGTGCAAGTTCCTTTATTTAAATAAATAAATGAATAAACACAAATTAAAGTTCTACCTCACTGGGCATCATGCTTCAAATGATACCAGGAAAAGAGAAAAGAAATCACTTGGAAAGGTTATTTTGTTAGTAATTTCAGCTGAGTGTTTTGTATTTGAGGTTTACTGCAACCAACAGAGATTGCAGTGGGTTGAAAATTACTCATTGCATGCAGGAATAATAAAATACCTTTCTGCTAGCATGTATATCACACTCACTTATCATTATCAAATCTGGGCACTGCCAGATATAGCTAAATTTAACACGACAAACAACTGATGGAGAGAAACATCATCCTACTTATGTTCTCCTTGTGTGAACCATGATTCATTAAGGGAAAACTAAGGGTCACAAAAAATTGTTAGTGCAGTGCCAGGCTTGGCTAAAAATTCAAAGAATGGATGGATGGATAGATGGATGGATGGATGGATGGATGGAGGGATGAATTGATAAGTATATTAAATCACCAGTGTATTGTTGTAAGAACATAAAGGAATTGTATAAGATTAGAATTCATATGACATGGAGGGAACATATATTGAATGAAGAATATTGAAATAAGAGTTCTTTTTGGGAAATCCCCTCTCATTTGAGGGGGATAGTCTTAGCATATAAAGAATTAAAGTGACCTCAGGGAAAGTAGAGAAGAAAGGAAAATGTGGTTTTGATTTTAGGTTTTTTAATTTTTTAATTTTTTTTTTAATTTGTACATTCAATAGACCGAAAACACAAGGGACATGATTAGAAAAAGTACTGTAGTCTTCCTTAACCACTTGTTCTTTCAGACAGTGTGAAGACTGCTGTGCAATCATTTCTGCATTTTAAATTTTCCCATTCTTGATGAAATCATATTTCCTAACAGTTCATAACCAAGTCTGTTTAAATTTTTTTCATTTCTGCAAAAAAAATCACCTTGAAAAGTGAAATATCTTGAAAATTAGCTTAGAAAATGTTGCTATAACTGAGAAGTACTTATTGTACTTTTTAAGCCATTTAGTTCACTACCTTTGGGACCATTGAAGAAGAATTCTCCTTGTACTTTCAAATATAATGTGGTACTGTGTTTTTATCATCTTTGGCAATTCACAAAGAAAAAATGATTCAAACAAACATTAAAAGTGGTTTTCATATACTAGAAGCATAATTAAATGATTACGACTGTTTCTCATACGTATATGTGAAAACTTCTTTGGAATCATAAATAAATTTAAGAAGAATCTTACCAGTTCAGTTTTTTCTTTTTTATTTAAAACATCTGCTATAACTATAAATCATAACTTTTAAAATAATAGTTCTACAGTAATCTTTGCATCCCGAAGCTATGGTATTCTACATCATAATGGCTATGAGATATCTTACATTTATTAAGTTTGAGAAAATCAATAATCATAGTGATTGACTGGTGAGAATGTGAGAAAAATAAAAATTATGACTATGGCTAGGTTCTTACTGATGAGTTCAAGAATCTGGAATAAAAAATGACGAGGCACTGGGGATAGGCAGGGGACATGTCTCATCTACCACTGCAATCTATCGACTTCAGTATTAAGGGGTTTATTTTCTGTGTTCTTGCCACTAGAAACTGAACATGGTATAACGCACATTTGGCTTTGAGCATTTGTGCAGTGGACAAAATGCACAAAGTCCATTCATTTAACAAATTAAATAAGTATTTATTAAGACCTTACACTGTACCAGATACTATGCAAATGAATACAAGAAAGACAGAATTCCCCCTCTCATGGTACTTATATATTTAGTGGTAAAGACAGACATGTAAACAGTCAGTTACAATGTTCTATAGAAATGTGGTGAAGATTAAGGAAGTATGAGGTCATAGCGTATGAGGATGGGCACCTAACCCAGGTTAGGGATTTAAAAAATAATTCCAAGAGGAAGGAATATCTACATTGAAACTTCAAAGAAGAAGGGGAGATGTATGGTTAGGAAAGAGTGTTCCATAGATAGCAAGTGAATGCATCAATGGCAAAATGAAACATAAGGCATTAGAGGAAGGGAAAGAACTTTACGGCCAGAATAGCATTGCTCTTATACCAAAACCAGACAAAGGGACTACAAAAAAGCAAGAAGGAAACAAACAAACAAACAAAACTACTGGCCAACATTCCTGATGAACATAGATGCAAAAATCTTCAACCAAATACTAGCAAACTGAATTAAATTGCATATTTAAAAGATCATTCACACGATCAAGTGGAATTCATCCCTGAGCTGCAAGGGTGGTTCAACACATGCAAATCAATAAATGTAATACATTACATGAACAGAGTGAAGAATTACATACAATCATTTCAATATATGCAGAAAAAGCATTTGACAATGTTCAACATTCTTTCATAATTGAAAAACACTCAACAAATTAGGTATAGAAGTAATTTACTTCAGGACAGTAAAGGTCATATGACAAACCCATAGCTAACCTCATACTCAGTGGGGAAAAGTTGAGAGATTTTTCTCCAAGATACAGAATAAGTCAAGGTTGACCACTCTTGTCACTTCTATTCAACATAATACTGGAAGTTTTAGCCAGAACAATTGGCAAGAGAAAGAAATAAAAGGCATCCAAATAGGAAAGAAAGAAGTTAAATTGACCCTGTTTCCAGACGGCATGGTCTTATATATAGGAAACTTTAAAGTCTCCACCAAAAAACTATTAGAATTAATAACAAGTTCAATACAGTTGCAGGATACAAAATCAGCATTAAAAAAATCAGTATTGTTTCTCCACACTAACAGTGAACTATCTGAAAAAGAAGTCATACAGACAACCCCATTTATAACAACTACACAAAATTAGATACTTAGGAATACATTTAACAAAGGAGCCAAAAGATATGTATACTGAAAACTATAAAATATTAGTATAATAATTGAAGAAGACACAAATAAGTGAAAAGATACTCCATGTTCATGAATTGGAATAATTAATGTTGTTAAAATGTCCATACTACCCCAAGCAATCTACATATTCAATGCAATTCCTATAAAAATACTAATGGCATTATTCACAGAAATAGAAAAAATAATTCCAGAATTTGTGTGGAACTACAAATACCCCAAATAGTCACCACAACCTGGAGCAGAAAGAACAAAGCTGGAGACATCAAACTACCTGACTTCAAATTTTCTACAACAGTATAGTAGGCAAAAGAGCATGACACTGATCTATTTTAACATAAAGACAAACACATAGACCAAACGGACAAAATAGAGATCCTAGAAATAAGACAACATTGACTGATTTTTGACAAGTTTTCCAAGAACACACAATGGAGAAAGGTCCGTCTCTCCAATAAATGGTGCTGGGAAAGTGGATACCAACATACCGAAAAATGAAATTAGACCCCTATCTCACACCATATACAAAGAATAGACTCAAAATAGATTAAAGACTAATATGTAAGACCTGAAACTAAAACTACTGAAAGAAAACACAGAAGAAAACCACACAAGTACTGGTGAGGATGTGGAGGAAAAAATGAACCCTGCACACTGTTGGTAAGAATGTAAATTAGTATAGCCATTATGGAAAACAGTACAGAGGATGCTCAACAAATTAAAAATAGAATGGCTATATGATCCAGAAATTCTACTGCTGGTTATGTATCCAAATGAAATGAAATTGGTATGTTGAGGAGGTGCCTGCATTCTCATGTTTATTGCAGTATTCACAATAGCCAAGTTATGGAATCAACCTAAGTTCCATCAATGGATAAATGGATAAAAAAAAATGTGGTGATAAACAAAATGAAATTATTTTAGTCATAAAATTATTCAGTCATTTAAAAAAGAAGAAAATCTTATCATTCGTTATAACATAGATGCACCTGAAGATATGATGTTAAATAAAATAAGCTAGGCACGGAAAGACAAATATTGCATGATGTCACTCGTACGTGGAATCTAAAAAAGTAGATTTTGTACAAGTAGAATAGAGTGGTAGTTACCAGGGGCGAGGGTGGTTAGGGTGGAGGTGCTAGGGAGATTCTGGTTGAAGGATACACAATTTCAGTTAGATAGGAGAAATAAGTTCAACAGATCTATTGTATAACATGGTGACTATAGTTAACAACAATATATTATATTCTTAAAATTATTGAGAGTAGATATTGTGTTCTCACCAAAAAAAGGATAACCTTGTAAGGCAATGTATTTATTAATTGGCTAAATTTTGTTCTTTCACTATATATATGTAATATATATATGTGTATATGTAACCACAGCATATAATATATATATTCACAACATATATATGTGTATCTATTCACAATACATGTGTGTATGTAGATTTACAACATATACACACACACACACTTCAAAACCTTATACATGGAAATACATTCAATTTTATATGTCAATTTTTAAAAGTAATAATAATTTTAGAAGTTCATAGCCAGGACTTCTACAATAAGGGTGGAAAATGCTAACAGCTCAAGAGTGTGAACAGTGAGGTAAATGGTGGCTCAAACACAAGAATCTGGTAAGCTCTGCAGTAGGGTTTGGGCTTTATTTGAGGAGTTTAAGCAGTAATAAGGAAAAAATAAGAGCAACTAACATTAATATGGCACTTACATAGTATGCTTTTCATGTATTAACTCACTTAATATTATAACAACTCAATTAGGTAGAAATCATTATTATTATTCTCATTTTACAATAAAGAAAATGGATGCATAAAGAGGTTAGGTAACTTGCTCTAAGTCCTCAACAGCATAGCCAGAATGAAACTCAGGTAAGCTGGTTTCATAATTTATGCCTTAAACTCTTTACTAAGTAACTTGCTCTGAGTACTAAACGGCATAGCCAGAATGAAACCTAGGTAAGTCGGCTCCATAATTTACGCCTTAAGCTCTTTACCATACTAGGAACCGGGAGTGGCATGTTCAGATTTTTATTTTTGAATATTCACCTCGTTTTGCAACATTGAGTTTGGATTGAGAGTTGACAAGAAAAAAAAAACAGAAGACTATTGGGAAAGCTAGTGAATAGATTTAAGAATAGACGCCAGAGATTGGAAAACCCTAGTGGCAAAGGCAGTTGGGAAAAGTGTGTATATTTGAGAAATACTTAGAATGTAAGTCCTGGGTTGTGGTGACGCATGGGATGAGGTAGTGAAGTCAAGCGGGATGCTCTGGTGCCTGGTGGGCCACTAGATGACTGTCGGTGTTCTTCACTGAAATGTGGAACACAGAATTTTTAAACTGGTCTTCCTGCTTTTCTTTACCGCACCCCCCCCCAACCCGCTTTCCTCTGCTTCTTCTTTTCTCATTTTCCTTCCTTTCTTTCTCCCTCAGATTTTTAATATTTATTTTTCAGAGTAGTGACTGAGTTCAGTTGTTGGCTCACTGAATTCTAGATGGCAGTTAAACTTCCAAATGGAGAAGAAATCATTGGACTGAACTAAATAATTTGAAGCACAAACAAGACAAATGGGGTGGGGTGAAATTTGAGAACAGGCACACATATGTAGTAATTTAAACCATGGACATGAATGAAATCACCCAGAGAAAGGAGATAGAAGGAAAATAGCAACTAGATTGGAACCTTGATGTTCAAAATCCAGTATAAAATGCTAAAGTAGAATGCTGAATTCCATGATTAACAACTTCTGTTTTAACAGCAGGATTTTTCAACTTATTGAATGAAATTTGAGAAGAATAAACTGTGGAGGAACGCAAGATAGGGTTAACCAAATTGAACAACTTTGGCTCCTCGGTGTGCATTTTATCCTTCTTTCCATGCTTAATATTCAGTGAGGACAACTAAAAGGTTAACAGGCTGCTATCTAGGAATGCTTGGGCTTATGACAGACTAGCACTCAAGTGAATTTTGATAAAATACTTCAAATCATAAAACACATATGCAACAGAGACAGAGGATATGGGGTCAAAATGACCTAAATTTAAATTCCAGCGCCTTCTGTTAGCATTTGGACGACTGCATGATGACATCGCTTCAGTGAGCCATAAGCCATAATTACTTGTGAACCAAGACAGTAAGACCTGCTACCATTACCAATGCAAGCATAAGTAAGTTAATGTTTGTAAAGTCCTCAATAATTGTTTGCTGGCTTTTTTTCTTTTCTTTTTGTAGAGCTACCAATATTTTATTAATTCTGCCTTTTCTGGTAATTCAGAAGAAGAACTGTTCTGTCATTTAGGAAAACAGGGCTCTATTCTCTCAGGAATGTCATAAAGAATGGTTTAGGGTCATAATTTGAACTCATAAAATCAATAAACTTGTAATTGCTTGGCTTAAAAATAATTTTCATTACTTTAGATGTTTAATTCAGAGGAAACAATGGCTTAATCTTCTTTTAAAAAGAGGCAGGAGGAAAAGGGCCACTCAGGCTAAGAGTATTTCTCTTGCAAACAATATATTTTTCAAGGTTAGACTTACATGTTGATATTTTAATGAGAACAAAAACCCACTAAGGTATTTTTTAAGTAACATCTTGCAAATGATTCAATTTTGAGTATTAAATGTACTAGTCTATTTTCAGTTCAAGCAGGTGAGACAAAGAAATTTGACATTGTAAGAAAGTTTTGCCATAATGTTATGGCAGTTGTTAACTGTCTCTTAGACAGTAGAAACACAGAGCCTTCTGCCTTTATACTAACTCTCTGCTCTCTGTTTTTCTAACAGTCAAGAGCACATTCCCTCCTTCATTCATTCCACAGGACTTGGAAAATAAAAACCTAGGTATATCTGAAACCCACATAAACTTCATGAGCTCATTAAACTTGGAGTTACTAGCATCTAGATATATAAGTAGGTATTGAGGACCAGCTCTGAGTCATGGAATCCATCTCTAAACAGCCTAGTGATTAAGAACCTCAGTGTTCTCATTTAGAAAATGGTGGAAAGGGGAACTAATATTGCAAATCCGAAGGATGATTGGGCAATGAAGCACTGAGATTATAATCTGGCACTAGTGTGATTATTACGAACACAAGTTAATAAAAATGTATTTTGATGAATATGAGGGTAAATGAAACACACGTGCATTTGATGTCATGTGTGCCAAATGTCCAAATTGTATCATAAACGTTGAGGTGAAAGAACACTTTCATACATATTTAATATTTCTCATTTAATATTTAAAACATTTTGTTAAGGTATGTATATTAATATTCCTACTAAATGCATCATTGTTAGAAATCTTTATATTTAGCTTGCTTTAGAGAACATAGTAATATAGAATAAATTAAATGAACCTTAACAGGTTGCTCTGTATTTTCATGCTAAAGGTGAATGGGAGGAATCACTAAACTTGGGTATAAAGTTTGCTCTCCTAACAGAATACACGAGTTCTAAATATATCTGAAATCCAGGATTAACAAGTAACTGGAACTTTCTTCATCTCTATGGACAACACAATTGAGTTTCAAGATTGTGTATACAAAATGTCTTATTTGGGGTTAAATAATGTCTTAAGAATGATACTTTCTGGTTCATTCCTTTTTGAATGTAAATTTAGACAGAGTAAAATGCGCAAATATTAAATATAGAGTTCAATGAGATTTCACAATTGCATACATTCATGTAACTCATATCTCTTTTGAGACACAGAACATTTTTGTCACCCCAGACACTTCCTGTGTCTTTTCTAGTCTATTCCTGACCACTAACTCAGAAGCAGTCATTGTTCCAATTTTTGTAAAACAAATTTCTTCTTTCTTATTGTTGAGTAGTATTTTATTGAATGGATATACCACATTTAAAACATTTTTATTCTTCTGATGATTGATATATGGGTTATTTCCAATTTGGGGATATGAGTAAAGTTGCTACGAACATTCTTGCATATTCATTATACGAACATATTTACTCTTGGACAAATGCCTGAAAATTGCATTGCTAGGTCCCAGAAGTGGTATCTGGTAAACTTTATTAAAAAGTGCCAATCTTTTTTCAATGTAGCTGTGCAGTTTTACACTGTTTCCAGCTGTGTATGAGAGTTTTGGTGCTACATACCCTTGTCAACATTTGGGGTATATGTGTGTGCGTGCCTGCATATGTGTTGTAATTTAAGCCATTCTAGTATGTATGCAGTGGTTTCTCAATACAGCTTTAATTTGCATTTCCCCAATGACTAATGATGTTGATTGTGTGTGTGTGTGTGTGTGTGTGTGTGTGTGTGTGTGTGTGTGTATTGGCCATTCTGCTTATCTTCCTTGTGAAATATGGATTATTGCATTTATTATTAGTTTATCTTTTTATTACCATCATAAGATTTCTTTATGTATTCTGGATTTTTTCTCCATGCATACATATTAATTTTCTTGATAATATCTAATGAACAGAAGTCAAATTTATTGTTTCTTGTATGATCAATGTTCCTGAGTTATAAGAAATCTTTGCCTAACTTATAGCCATAAGGATATTTTCTTATGCATTAGTTTAGAAAGCTTTACAGTTTTAGCTCCTACATTTAGGTATATATTTATCTTGGCTTAGATTTTTGCATTGAAAGTTAGGTAGGCATTGAGTTTCATCTTTTGTTCTATGCGGTTATCCAATTGTTCCAGCATTCTCTTGTGAATAAACTTTCTTTTCTTTATTGAAATGTTTTGGCATCTTTGCCAACAAATCAATTGACCATATGCATATGTGTCTATTTCTGGACTCTCTATTCAGAGCTATGAATTCATTTGTCCAGCTTTGTGCCACAACTGCACTAGCTTGACTAATGTAGCATTATGGTGAGTCTTGAAATCAGGTAAGGAAAAGTCTTTGCTATCTTTTTAAAAGATTGTGTAGTTCAGGTCTAGGTTAAGGTCTAGGTATTTTGAATTTCTATGTAAATTTTGGAATCCATTTGTCAAATTAACAGAAACAACAACAACAACAAACATTTGCTGGAATTATAATTAAGATTTTGGTGAATCTATAGATGAATTTAGAGACAATTAGTATTCTTTTTTGAGAGAATTAATATCATAATGTCGAGTTCAACCCAAGCCTTTGCTACATCTATTTATTTAACTCACTTTTTTCAGCAATACTTTATAGTTTTCAGTATAGAGATTTTGTACGTCCTTCATAAAATTTATCCCTAATTATCTTATGTGTATTGAAGCTATTGTCATTGGTATTTTTCCAACTTTTCACAAATATATAAACATACTTTTTTGTATATTGACATTGAATCTTGCAATCTTGTTAAATCCCATTATTAGACTTAGTAGTCTTAGAAATGTCCACATAAAAATTACGTCATCTGCAAATAATATTTTTACTTATTTTTTGAGTTTTTATAGCTTTTATTTTTTACATTTATTCACTTTTTATGTATTTATGCATGTATTTATTTTGACTTTATCTAACTGGCTAGTGCTCGGTACAATGACAAACACAAGTACTGAGAAGAGACATTTATGCATTGTACCCAGTGTTAGAGGAAACTTGTTCAATCTTTCACAACTAGGTATGATGATATCTGTATGTTTTTCTTGGATTTTCATCAGGAAATCTTGCAGATTGAGGAAGTCTCCAATTCTGTTGTACTTTATCTATTGTGATGATTATATGATTTTCCCACTTTTTTGTTAATGAGATAAATGAGATTTATTGATTCACATATTTTATTTAGTTTTATGGTTCTATCAGGTGGAAGGATAATTCTGATAAATGCTACCCACTATTTTGTCATGATTGAAATTAGAAATCTCTTATCCACTCTTCTGTGTGGAATATCACGTTTATGACTAAACTGCTAAACATTTCACAATAAATATGATAACAATAGCAGAAACAACAACCAATGTAGGTGGAATACTTGCTGTGTGCTTATATTACACATTATCTAATGCAATACTGATAACAGCCTTACAAGGTAAGACTTATTAGGTTATTTGAGACATGTTCACTCTAAGACTTCATTCAGAATGAGTAAGTATTTTGCTCAAAGAAATACAGCTGCAAATCAAATAGCCTGATTTCAAAATGTCTTATCTCTTAAACATACTTGTTGTAACACAACATAATACTTTTCTTTATTATCTTTGTCACCAAAGTTCTTTGAATTTCTCTACCGCTGATGTTCATAGTTTGGACTATTCAGCAAGATTTAATGGATACCGACTATGTATGCAACATTGGTGAGTAATGTACATCTCTCTTTTTCTAACCCTTAAATAAACACCTCTACTGGATGTGACCTTTCTTTTAGAAGATTTCTTTGGACGGTTGCCACATCTTCCTCACTCTGGGTACATTAATTCTCATTGTAGACAGATTTTGTATCAAAATATCTGCCCAAATGCTGAGTTTGACAGCCCAACCTTCATTTTTCATTTTGGAGCCTTGGCTTATAGATAACATGAAATATGTATAGTATGGGTATTTTACACAACTCAGTCATAGTTCTGTACAAGTAGATGCATTCTATCAAAAAGATACTGTCTCACCCAGATAGATACAAAATCTATATTTGACAAGCCTCAACCTCCCTTTTACCCTAAGCCTTCTCATTCATAGAATGTTCAAAATTGATGCAAGAAATTATGGTTTCATTCCAAGGAACTTTAAAAGATTGCCATCTAAATGGGAATAAATACAGAGAAACAGCACCCATGAGCTACAGATAACTGGTAATCAACAGGTAAAGGATTCAGCTAAGTAATTCATTAAACATTTTCTGAGCATCTGCTTTCCTCTTTTCATTAATTATTTAACAAATATTTATGGAGTGTCTACAATGTGCAAATAACTTTGCCAAGCATTGGGAAAAACAGTGATTAAAAGATAAATATGGTCCCTACCCCCAAAATAACAGGTCTTGCAAGTACTATGTACAAAGCTCTAATAGATTCTGTCAGGTTGTTGGTTATGATGATGGTAGCATTATCAAAATCACTAACATTTAATATGTGATTATGAGGTTCTAAGCTCTGGGTTAATGGCATATCTTAGGGAGGACTCAATTTTAAGGAGTAGGGAACTGAAGCCTAAATATAAGCTAACTTGACCAATATCACATTCCTGTAAAGTTTAGGTTAATACCTGGTCATTGAATAGGTTAAGATTCTGTTTTCTTAATCACCGCACTTCAGGATCTTCATAAGTGATATATGTAAGAGCCAAGCAGACAACTGAATTGCTTGAAACCTATTTTATTTATAGAAATCATAAGCTGAAATCTCCCTAGAAAAGAGTACTCTCCTTGGAATCTCCATGTTTTTCCTTCTCTTCAGGATCTTTTATTCCCTTCTTTCATTTTAAAACTATCCAAAAGCCTTTGATTGCATGAGAATCAAATCCAACTTCAGTCAATCACCTCCTAGGCTTTGTGTAATCTCCTTCTCCACTAACTCTGACTTAGTCACAATTAACTTTGCCTTTTGCCCCTTGGATTTGAGTCACAACGGCCTTCTCTTTGTCCTCCAAAGTGCCCCAGGTCCCCTGGCAGTTTCTGTTTCTCCTGCTTGGCACATTTGGCATTGGTTTCAGTGTGGCTGATTCCTCCTCACCCAGGTCTCAGCCCAAAAGTCACCTCCCCGTTGAGTCTCTCCTGTGACCCCACCTTTACCCTACTCATTATTTTTCCATTAAACATCACTTTACTGTTTTTACTTTTTAAATGTCAATTAATATCTAAAATGATCACTTACCTATTTGCTTATTTGTTTATTATCTGTTTCCCCAACCTGTGCATATAAGCATCATGAGAATGGCTACTTTGCCTTATTCTCGGTGCTAACTCAGTTCTAATGCTTGGCACATAAAACATGCTTAATACGTATTCTTTGTTTCTATGAATGGATGAATGAAAAAACCTGGGGCACTGGGTGGACTGCCACTTCCCTGCCTGCTCTATTCTGCTAAGAGCTGTTCTTCATTCCCTATAGCATGGCTAGCAGATATTCCACCAGTAAAAGACAGAACATTGGCTGTAACTAAAGAAGTACTCAAATCAAAAGTGAATACCTAGTAGAAAGTAGCTTAATGCTGAAAGTATTATTTTTCTAAAATGTCAAGATTATATCATAACTCCACACACTGTTTCAGACATTCCCATACAAGGTGGACACCATAATTTTCAATCGACACATATAACTATGAGACATAAGACCTGCACGTTTTCTTATGAGTGAGGACGTCAACTTGTAGACATGGCTACACTGGCCTTCTGTACTGGTTTTATCACTGCCCACTCAATGTGATTGAAACAGAAAAACAAATCACCATCAGGGAAAGCCAGGAGAAATATATGCAAATTCTTAACCTCACCAAGCAAGGTCCAAAAAAGTCATGGACCCACAAAGAATCAACTGTGTGAGCTGTAGCTGGGAGGTCAACTTCATGAGAGCTGGATAGATGATACCAAGTGGAAAATTTGCAGTTCATTGATTGTTAGCTAGGTGCACAGCATCTGTTGCCATATGCTGTTTCTTATATCCGAAAGTCAAAAAAGGCCAAATAATTTACAGTAGTTTCATAATCAGTATTTCTTATGATTCTAAAACACCAAGCCTTTGGATTCTCTGGTATGGCTAAAAATCTACTGATTCTAAAATTAATACCAGCAATATTGGTTGAGTAGTTTAATAAATAAAATAATTTACATGCATTATCTTATTGATGTTTCTTAGTAGTCCTATTTTTTTTAACTTTTTACTTTGAAATAATTGTAGACTCACACACAGGTACAGAAGTAGGACAAAGAAGTCTTGGTACTTATCACTCAGCTTCCCCCAATGATGATATGTTACATAACTGGAGTGCATTTTATTAATTAGCACATTGAAATCAGTTAGACTATTTATCTTACTCAGATTTCACCAGGTTTTAAAACGTATTCTGTATTAGTTTTCTAGGGTTGCTGTAACAATGTACCCCAAACTGTGTGGTTGAAAACAACAGAAACTTATTGTCCAGCACTTCTAGAGGTTAGAAGTCTAAAATCAGCGTCAGATCCATGATCCTTCTGAAAGCTGTAGGTAATCCTTGCCTGCCTCTTTCTAGTTTCTGGTGGTTTGCTGGCAGTCTCTGGTGTTCCTTGGTTTGCTGCTGCATAAGTCCAGTCTCTGCCTTTGTTATGTGGCATCCTTCCTGTGTGCCTCTGTGTTCAAATTTCCTTTTTCTTATAATGACAGCAGTTATGTTGAATTAGGGCCCATCCTAATCCAGTATGACTTCCCTTCAACTTGATTATATCTATCTGCAAAGATCCTATTTCCAAATAAAGTCACATTCGTAGGTACTCAGGGTTAGGACTTCAACATATATTTTTAGGGGGACACAATTCAACCCAGAACACATCCATTCACCAAAACCCCTCTCTTTGGTTGTAAGAGATGGAGTTCTTAGTATGTTGCCTTATCTTATAGATGGGAAAACTAAGACTTAGATGTATAGAATAACCTGCCTAAATTTATGCATCCCACAACTGGGGGAACCTAGATTCCAATTCAAACTGTTTGACTGCAGAGTCTGCCCCACACCCCACAATGAAGCTCACACCTTGCTCAGAAATCACAAGAAATTGAGTGGAAAGTGAAAGAAATGCAGATCCAGCCCGAAACATCAGACAATAGATCCTAGGGACTTGGCAGTTTTCAACTGGGGCAGTATAACCCTATCACCCAATCCTAGTAACACTTGGGAGTATATAGGGTGGTTCCTCATGATAAAAGCTGGATGTTATTCAGGGTCATTGAGAAACAGAGTAAACTTGTAAAAATTACTGGTGCCCGATATCCTGAAGGGAGACTGTGTAAAATTGCCTTTGCTGAAGGAAGACTGGTTCTTCTGCCATTTGGTGCAGGGGGATAAAGGTATGAAAAGTTTGTTCATGCCCTAGAGCATTGCTACTTAATACAGACTAGTCCTTCCTATGTGCTAGTTGCACCTCTGTTGATAAGTTGTCTTTACCGCTTTGTTCTAATGAGATCAGCATCTTTGATGCCTTCTACCTGTCTTCACCTTTTCTCTTTGTGCCTTTACTCACCATATTTGTTTGTCTTTTATCCCTTTTGGGGATGCCCTTTCCAATCTTTTTTTTTTTTTTTTTTACCTGAGTCTCATTCAACCTTGATGATTCAGCACAAATCCCATCTACCCAAGTGCACTAATTCCTTGGTACCTCTCTTGCATAAAGTCCTAAAGCAGAGTTAACAACACAAAATTTAACATCTCATTACATCCTTTCTCATGTTGTTTTCACAGATTCATGTGTATAGGTCTCATGTTCCCAATTAGATTTTAAACTTGTTCATCACTGGGACTCTGAACTATTTTTTCCCCAGGTCTCCATAGTACTGAGGACACTTCTGAGAACATAGACAAGAATTTTTAGAATCAGGGGCATCATCTAGAGGAGTTTTCTCAGGGAACCCTTTTGGGTCAGCAGTCCAGGATGTTTAGAACTCATCGATATGCAGAATGTGGAATTAGGAAAGGATTTTCTTGTTGTACTGGAACTACTCTGTTCTTTAGTATATCTTCTGTAAACTAACAACTAAATTTTGCATAATAAAACATTGCACATAATAAAGTATAAATGAACTTAAGCAGAATATAAAAATAGTATGCAATTCTGCTACCTAGTACAGCCACAATTTTTGCATATATTTCAAGATATATATATTTTTACTACCACAAAATGGGAATAAATTAGACATGCTTTTTGTATTTAGCTTTTTCTGCTTCATATTTTCTGAGAATCTAGTCATATTAGTAAACATAATAAATACATTAAAAATATGTACTTTTTAACAGTGTACCCTATTTTATGATCGAAACATCATTTGTTTTGGACATTTTACTCATTCACTTATTTTGGCAAATATTTATCAGTTACCTGCTATATGGAAGGCACTGTTCTAAATGCTGGGTTTATGATTTGAACAATATAAACCTCCTGCCCACCAGATGCTTAAATTCTAGTGAGGAAGTGCTTCCTTGTTTCCTATCAAGACTCTACTTCAGCGATCTCAATGGGGGAGAATTGCCCTCCAGGAGCTATCTGTCTCCAGTGAACAATGGACAATGTCTGGGGAGGTTTTTTAGTTGTCACAACTTTCTGGCCATGTAGGAGTAGGAGACTCAAGGGAGAGTTTGCTACTGGCGTCTAGTAGGTAGAGACCAGAGTGGCTGCTAGACACACCACGATGTACAGGATAGTCCCCCAAAATTAAAAAAAAATCTATAATATATATTATGTATATAATTATGTAATATATTCTAAAATGTCAATAGTGCCAAGGCTGAGAAACACAGCTCTACTTTGAGGTAATATATTTTTCGTCAAAAGAAACACACTTACAATTTAAGATCCTTGTGTAGACATCTTAATATGTCTAGATGCTTTGCTAAGAATTGTGTTCTCCTTACTACCTCTATCAACCTCTTCAAGTCCAGAGGCATCCAGATACAAAATACTCTTTAAACAAAAACAAGAATGTTAAATAATAGAATTTTAAGCACCGAAAAATTGACAAGGATGGTGAATGGGTAGAGAAATTCAAAAGGACTTGTTATTTTAGTACTCATCTTTTGGTGTCCATTTAGTACCCTGAATTGTGATTCTGAAAGTGGGGACATTGTTTGAAAGTTATGGTGTGGTAAGTATGATTTCATAACAAGAAAACGAACTCATGTCCTCTTTTTCCTTATTTTTGAGACTTTTTTTGAAATTTCCTTCAGAAGAAGAGTATCCACCTGAATGTAAAATCAATGTTTTACATT
The DNA here is from genome assembly GCF_000001405.40 of Homo sapiens. Lineage (NCBI taxonomy): Eukaryota > Metazoa > Chordata > Mammalia > Primates > Hominidae > Homo > Homo sapiens. The sequence goes on along the minus strand of NC_000020.11, from coordinate 55,359,450 downwards.
TTAATGAAGAATAGTAATTTCATATGTACTTTGAACATACATTTTGTTTGACCTCACTGGAAAGGGGACTGATAGTTTACAGAAGATGTGGTGAAATTACATAGGTTATGAACATATGCATGTTCACATTTTATAAACTTATGTATGCAGGTAGGAATGATTTATGGATATATAGTTTGGTAGACATCGATGCATCTTTGTAATAAAGTCCACCCTAAAACTTTGTTTTTGTAGGCCGGGTAGGTGGGGGGCAGGTAGTGTAGGGAAAATTAAGTCAGAAGACAATATTAACACAACTAGTATACAATTTTTTTACAATCTGTCAAAAATTATGACTTACAAGAATTTATCATTTTCATTTTGTTTGCCAACAACTGGTGACTTCTTACATTGCCTTTATTGATTTTAAAACATCTTAACATACACAGTTGAGGCATCTGTGAGTAAAAGTCAATTACATAAACACAGAAAGCCACCATCATAATTTAATAGTGGGATATATTTGGGAATAGGAGTTGCTACGCCATATTCCTTTGTGTCAAAATACATATTTTTGAATGGTAAACAATTCTACGTAATTATGGGCTAGAATACATAAGAACCATAAAATGAATACTTCATAGTACAAAATAGTCAAGTAATATTCTCTATTCTCCACTTCACTGTGGTCAGTAACATTGCTATGATGGAGTTCTTATGTGTAACATATAACACAGCCTTTCTAATTTTTCAAACTTAAAAAATTCAGTGTTATGCAGTAGAAATCTCTACTATTCAACTACCTTAATTGATCATTCTGTTTTCTAAAGAAATAGTGTATTTTATGGCTAATGAAATAGCATGCAATTATCCTCTAAAACTGAGTGTATTCTTGCATATTTGCACTTTATATGAGCTTGATGTTGTAGAATATGACCTTGGCAAGTTGTTTATATTCTCTAAGGCTCATTTTTTCCCAACTGTGAAAAAATTTAATGGGAAGAATTGTATGCATTTCTCAAATTTGTTATGTTTATATAAACTACAATAAATGAAACACTTTGGCACACTCAGGAGTGTATAGACTAGAAGTACAGCCATATAGTTATTTTTCTTTAAAATAAAGTTGTAGATTGTTTGCATTAAACTGATACATATCAGCACTAATAAATCTCAGAAGCACTATGCTGATTCTTAAGCAGGGAGAGAGCAGGGAGAAGGTTGATTGGGCAAGACATTTCAAGAGAACTCTAACTATGTGGGTAATGAAGTAGGATGGTAAGTTTCACAAGTAAATGTTACATTATTCTTTGTAATTTGTTGCATACCTTCATTAAAAAATATAATTGAGTATCCAATTGAGCCTACTCCCTAATTAGCGATCATCAGAAAATGGAGTTATTCTCAAATATTTCTGGCATCTTTATTTCCATAGTGCACAGCACCTTTCACTTCATCGGTACCCCCGTAAGCAAAGTTTTAGCTCAGTGCATGTGTTTTTGTAGGACTATGGGTGAAGCTTAAAATGTTCTTCATATATTGTTCTCTGTGTCTGTTTACTCAGTAATTTTTATACCCAACAAGATGATTTTCTTTGTTGAATGCCATTGTAAGGTTTTTCCCCTCCATTTATCTGTGTAGCTGTGTGCTTATCTATGTGTTTACCTTTTGTAATGCCCCACAAAAGCTCTTGTCAAGCAGGAGAAATCATTCTGCATTTTTAATATAGTGAGAGAGAATAGTGAGATTCTTGTCAGTCACCCAGCTATGGACGGGAGGTTTCTGGAATTTCAAGTCTATGAGTTACCTCCAATTCACATATTTTTGAAACCTTTGCTAGACCTTATTTACAAGTTTCAGAAAGGTCTGTTTTAGATTGGCCACAGTACTGGTTAAAGAAGAAAGATCTTTGCAGAATCCAAGTATAATGCTTATAATATTAGAGAAGATTAGCTTCAAGCTAATATTTTTAATCTCTATTTTTTTCAAGCAGTTCCTCAAATAAACATTTGACTGATTGACAATTAGTAGGTGTTACCTGCTAGTTTGAAAACGAATTTTAATTTAACCTTCACATTGTTGAAGAAAAGTATTACCACTCACTCAATAATTAAACTTAATTGGTCTGAGGATTTAAATGCTGTCTGGACACCAAACATTTTAAATCGTGTATATTTCACTACTTTAAATCAACTCCTGAGACCACAACTACTAAATATATTTAATCAGCTTGTGCTATGCCTCTATAAGAAAGTGAATTTAATAGCCCAATTGCTGATATTTGAAAATGAAAATCAAAACCAAAGGTAAAACAATATGTTTTCTGTACTGAGTTCTGAACTGTACATATTATATTTTTTATTCTAGAGCTTGACTATCTGTACTTTTTTCTTACCTGTCTTTTAATCAGTGCCATCATCAACTGTCTACCCATCATAATATCGACCATTTATTAAACATATTCCATGTTTCAAACATTCAGGCAAGTTTTTTTAAATCTGCATTAAAATAAGCCTCACAATGCTATTTCGCTAAAAATCTTTTTTTTTTTTTTTAATTATACTTTAAGTTCTGGGACACATGTGCAGAATGTGAAGGTTTGTTACACAGGTTTACACGTGCCATGGTGGTTTGCTGCACCCATCAACCCATCATCTACATTAGGTATTTATCCTAATGCTATCCCTACCCTAGCCCCCCACCCCTCTAACAGGCCCTGGTATCTGATGTTCCCCTCCTTGTGTCCATGTGTTCTCATTGTTCAATTCCCACTTATGAGTGAGAACATGCAGTGTTTGGTTTTCTGTTCTTGTGTTAGTTTGCTGATAATGATTTCCAGCTTTGTCCATGTCCCTGCAAAGGACATGAACTCATCCTTTTTTATGGCTGCATAGTATTCCATGGTGTATATGTGCCACATTTTCTTAATCCAGTCTATCATTAATGGACATTTGGGTTGGTTCCAAGTCTTTGCTACTGTGAATAGTGCCGCAATAAACATATGCGTGCATGTGTCTTTATAGTAGAATTATTTATAATCCTTTGAGTATATACCCATTAATGGGATTGCTGGGTCAAATGGTATTTCTGGTTCTAGATCCTTGAGGAATCGCCACACTGTCTTCCACAATGGTTGAACTAATTTACACTCCCACCAACGGTGTAAAAGCATTCCTATTTCTCCACATCCTCTCCAGCATCTGTTGTTTCCTGACTTTTTACTGATCACCATTCTAACTGGCATGAGATGGTATCGCATTGTGGTTTTGATTTGCATTTCTCTAATGACTAGTGATGATCAGCTTTTCTTCATGTTTGTTGGCTGCATAAATGTCTTCTTTTGAGAACTGTCTGTTCATATCCTTTGCCCACTTTTTGATGGGGTTGTTTGTTGGCCTTTGTCAACAAGGATAATTATTTCAAAACAATTATGTACTCTTCCTTATTTTTATTTTTTTTTTAAACCTTTGTCATCCTTTACCTCCTTGAATAAGCACATAGTTTACTATGGCACACATATCCACATTGCAATCCTCTATTCCCAACATAAATGTATTTTCTTTTAGAAAATCTCTGTTATTTAATTTGATAATATGCAGACAGAAACCTAGCCATGCTGAAGCTTGTGGAACCCTTTTTGAGTAGTTTTATCTGCATTTGGAGAGAAGTGGGGTCATGCTGAACTCTCTCTCTTCTGTAACAGAGAGTTTGGGCATTTCTCTCAAATGCAACCCAAGAAAGTTAATAAGAAGAGTGACCTGATTCATTATGACTTTGGAAAATCTCACTACTGTGTGGAGAATATAATACAATATGAGAGTAGGGAAGTCAGTCAGTTAAGCTCCATTGAAAAGGGTGACCACAGAAGTGGCATGTGTTTCAACTAAATTGGTAGCAATGAACACAGATGAAATAGAGTGACTTGAGACATATCAATGCAAAATATTGCATATTGCTAATCTTTGTTTGTAGACTGCCATTCTCAACCACTTTGGCAGGCCATTTTAATTTCAAAGACCATGTATCTTTATTTAAAAGGTTTATTTTTATACCATTGGGCCAAATTCTGTGGCAAAGTAATGCACAGAAATGTTGTGGCTTCCTTACAATCTTAGGATCATTAGAAGAGAGAAAGTCTCTTTAACAAATATTTTCTAGAAGCCAGTTCTACTAGTTTCATATCAAAGTCCATTGTTATCCATAAAGCATAAAAATACCAATACATTTGATCTTGATATTCCAGTACATAGGCTCCATGTTTGTGCTGAGCCCCTGTGTATAATTTTCTTAAAAATTTTACAAGTGGAAAGCATCAAGCCACTTCCTCACCCATCCTATGTGTTAAAATCAATGTTGTAACAGGCATCCTTGGATCAGATACCTTCTGGCTCTTGCTGTCTTTGTTGCCTGCATACTGGAAGATAAGGATTTGGCCAACTAGCAAGGGATTGCATAGGGGAGCTCACAGGGTCTCATTCCTGCTTGGCAGTGTTTGAACACTTGGTGTCATTATGCGAGTTATCAATCAGCAGGCAGCTGCTTTTAGGAATTCCAGCCGGTTAGCAAACATTTGCACTTGTGGCTTCCTCCCTGAGCGTGCTGGACCCAGGGCCCATCAGACAAGAGAACTGCACACACAGTCACTGCCTGCTGCACAGGACCACTCAAACAGCTGTTCCAGCTGGTGTTGAGATGCTCACCTGGCAGCCCTGTTGGAGTTTGGAGGGAGATGTGCAGATTAGGGTCTGTTTGCTCAACACAAAGGGCTTTCTGTGAAAGGACTGTGAGGAGGTAGTGGAGAGAACAGAGGAGCTGAGAATAAATCTAACAAAACATTCCTTAATAAAATAAACCAGGTGATTGCAGACACAGGAGTGTGACAAGACCATCCTAACACAAAATGCAAAAAAGGACAAATAAAAACCATTTGGATCCTGATGGAATGACAGAGGCTAGCTAGCTGTATTAAAGGAAAAGGAAGCAAAAACACTCACTCTATAGCCAACTAAAAAACACTCATTAGCATATACCATGTGCCCAGCCACCTGAGAGATGCAAAATGGGGAGTTATGGCTCAACAGGCCAAGAGATTTCAATTTTTTTGAGCAGATAAGACAAACCCATGGGAAGCAGGTAGGCAGAAAGACAGCTTCCTATCACAAGCTGAAATTTAATGCATGTATCTTTTAAGGGGGAATGAGAATTGGGATTTTCTAACTACGTAATTTTCTGTGAGGGAGGTTCTCCAGGCCTCTCAGCAGACGCAACTGTGCAACTCCTGAGTTTAAAAGCCGGGGTGAGAGGTTTGCAGTGAGTCCAAATAAGTGTGAAATACACCGGGTTTTAGAGTGTGGGCACCAGAATTCCTTGGGAGCTTTGAAAGACTTCACTGAATGAGAATCACACAGTTGTTACAATGAAGAGTGTGAGATAGGCCTGAAATCTGAATTTTAAGCAAACAGCTCAGATGTTTCTAATATAGTTAGCTTAAAGCCTTTACCCTGAGAAACACTGCTTTAAAGATGCAAGGAAGCAAAGGAAATTCAGACTAAAGTTTTCCTGTATTACAAACTTGCAGCTGCTCTGTGATGAATTCATGGAACTGCATTCAAAACTGTGTTGTTTGTTTATGTGCATTGCTTTCTTGGGGGACAATGTTTATAAATTTCACTATACTCCTCAAAGAGTTTGTCCACATTTCCACTCTCAGAGTTAATAATCTCTAAAGGTCTTGTCTTTTCTTTTTCTTTTCTTTTCTTTCCTTTTCTTTTCTTCTTTCTTTCTTTCTCTTTCTTTCTTTCTTTCTTTCTTTCTTTCTTTCTTTCTTTCTTTCTTTCTTTCTTTCTTTTCTTTCTTTCTTCCTTTTCTCTCTCTCTTTCTCTCTCTCTTTCTTTCTTTCATAAAACCACTTGTTCAATTTCTCCATCCTGTATCTAAACCTGGAAAATCCATTCTACTTACTTCTGTGGTTTCTACTTTTGTCATAACCTCTCCAAAGTTAAGAGTGCAACAAATCACTGCAACTGCTGGTCTTTCAAAACCTAGACATTTACTTACATTATAGGACTCATCACATTCCATTATGATTAGTTGCTTTTCCCCATGGAAATCTGAGGAAGCAAAGCGCAGGGATTATGCCATAGAATTACTCTTGCTGTTTTGTATAACCATCAGCAAACATGGATGTGGTGCACAGAAAGTATTCAATTCATAATTTCTAATAGCTGAACAAATGAATATGTGTGTATGCTTAATATTGAGAAAGAGAGAAATACAGAACTGAGGACATTTGTTCTGTTTTCTTCTTTTCATCTGAAACTATAATTCAAGAATAGTTTGGTGTTTAAAACAAACCAGGGTCAAGAGGCTTTAGTAACCTAGCTAGGGTTTTTTTTTGTTTGTTTGTTTTTGTTTTTGTCTTGCGGTTGCAAGATTTAATAGAGTGAAGACATAGCTCCCATAGAAAGGGAGGGGACCCAAGGAGGGTAGCCCTTGCCAGCTCGAATGCCTGGGTTTATATCCGGACCATTGTCCCACCTTCTGTGCTCTCAGGCAATAGATGATTGGCTATTTCTTTACCTCCAGTTTTTGCCTAATTAGCATTTTAGTGAGCTCTCTCTACTATCTGATTGGTCGGGTGTGAGCTAAGTTGCAGGCCCCGTGTTTAAAGGTGGAAGCGGTCACCTTCCCAGCTAGGCTTAGGGATTCTTAGTCGGCCTAGGAAATCCAGCTAGTCCTGTCTCTCAGTGCCCCCTCTCAACAGGAAAACCCAAGTGCTATTGGGGAGGTTGGCTGATGACCGCTCTAACTGCTTCCTGCTGAATTGGGGCATAGTAGGTGTTGTGCAGTTGAGATTTCCTCAGGAGGGGTGCCTTTGATGTCATTAACATCAGAGCATGGGCTAGCAGGCTGGTCCAGGGGTCCGTGGTAGATTTAGTCATGGACTGCATCTGGGGCTCCATTTGAAGAATGATTTGTAGCTTTACAGCTTCAATTTTGGAAGAGACAAACTTAACAAGGAGGTTAAAGATACAGGGTCCAAAGAGGAATAACAATATTATAGCTGCTAGAGGTCCTAAGAAGGGGAGAATCCAGGGCATCCATTGGCTGACAAGGCCCCAGGGTCCGGTGTTTTGAAGCTCCTCTGCTCTGCGTTGTATTTGATCTCTAATTTCTTTAACTTTCTCTGTGACGATTCCGGATTGATTAACATAATAACAGCATTCTTCCCCTAAAAATAGACAGGTTCCCCCTCTTTTGGCGGTTAGCAAGTCTAAAGCTCTTCGATTTTGAAGAACTACTGCTACTAGGGAGTTAAGTTGATCTTGCAAGGTGACTAGGGAGTCAGCAACCCATTCCATGTCACCATTTAGTTCTTGAGATAGTTTGTAGTAGAACTGAGTAGAGGTTGTGATACCGCCAATGCCAGTACCTAATCCGCCTAACCCTCCTGCTCCCACAACAAAAGTAAGAATGGGTACTCTTTTGTTGCGGGGCTTAGGTACGACATGATTGTATAAATCCTGTTCAGTGTAGATGGTCATAGGGGGCACTAAGAATGAGAGGAAGCATATAGATTCTGATGAGCCCTTGAAACAACGATAGGCTGAGGTACCACAGACAAAAAATATTCCTGAGGGTAGGCAGACTATTCGTGTGGGATGACTTACCCACCTGATGCATTGGGAGTTGGGTGTGTCTATAGTATTGCTAAATTTTACACAGGTGAGGTTTGAGGTATGGGTTATTTCCAGATTGGAAACAAGAGGTCCTATTAAAATGGAAGTGGTGTTTATTTCTGTGCTGAAGTTGTTCCATTGTTCAGGTACAAGGATTGAAATGTATGGCCTGAAGTACAGGGGGAGGAACATCCAACAGTTAGTAGCGTTTTGGGCCGAGACCTCATGGAGCCCAGTGAGGGTGGTATTAAATAGGCTGACCAGGTGAATATAGGTATGGAGGGTTTCATGTAGTTTTGAGAGATCTAGTCCTTTGTAGGAGCCAGGGGTGCTATGTACCTGGGTCAGTCGGGAGATTACTTCCTTTATGTGTTTTTCTCTTGCCTGATCTTGAACTCCACCCCCATCAGACATACCAGTATGGGTGAAGTAAGTCCAACAGACAGTGGCTCCAAGTCCTCCAGGACAACTAGGATTAATCATTTTCCCTGTCCAATAATGAGTATTTGCATGCATGCAAAGAGTGGCAGAGTTATAGCAGTTGTGGGCTATATGGATGTGGGCAGTGAAGGTAGGGGTTCCCGTCTATTTCCCTTTCCTTTCCTTTCTGATGGCCCTGGCAGTGTAAGACTGCCACCTCTTTAGGTTTCTGTACAGACAGTAATAATTTCCTAATGGCTTCCTGATGTTTGATAAGTGTTCCTTTGGAAGTTAGGAATTCCCTTTCTCTCCATATTGTTGCATGGGCATGGAGGACTAAGTAAGCATACTTAGAGTCTGTATATATATTTACCCTTTTTCCTTCTCCTAATTCTAGTGCCCGAGGGAGGGCTATTAGTTCCACCAGCTGAGCACTAGTTCCTGGAGTGAGGGGATTTCTTTCAAGTATTCCATTATCACTGACCACTGCATACCCCCCTTTTTGAAGTCCTTTTTCTACAAAAGAACTTCCATCAGTATACAAGCTGAGGTTGGGATCAGTCAAGGGAACCTCTAGAAGGTCCCCTCGAGTGGCGTAGGTTTGAGCAATTACTTGTTGACAGTTATGTTCTATCTGTTCTTCATTGTCTGGAAGAAATGTGGCTGGGTTAAGAGTTGCACAAGTGTGCAGTCACAGCACTAGCCCTTCAAGTAATAGAGCCTGATATTTAAATAAATGGTTGTCTGACAGCCACAAGTCTCCTTTAGCAGTGAGTATGCAGTTCACATCATGAGAAGTCCACACAGTAAGATCTCTTCCCTGTATTATTTTAACTGCTTCAGATACTAAGACTGCTACTGCCGCCACTACCCGTAAACAATGAGGCCAACCCTTTGCCATTACATCAATTGCCTTACTCAGGTATGCCGTGGGTTGCAAGCTCATCCCTCAGACCTGTGTAAGGACTTCTAGAGCTATTCCTGTTTTTTCTGTGACATATAAAGAAAACTCTTGCCCCGTTGGCAAGCTTAACACTGGGGCTTGGGTTAGGGCCTTCTTTAGGGCCTGGAAAGCCACTTCTGCTTCAGGTGTCCATCTTAATAAATGGGTATTGGCTTTCTGAGTTTCCTTAATTAGTGTATATAATGGTCTGGCTATTTCACCGTACCTGGGAATCCATACTCGGCAGAAACCTGTTATGCCAAGGAATCTCTTAGTTGCTTTAGGGTTTTGGGATAAGGATAAGCCAGTAAAGACTGGATATGTTCCTCACTGAGGGCCCTGGTCCCTTTGGATAATTTTACCCCTAAGTATTTAACCTGCTGTGAGCAGAGCTGAGCCTTTTGTTTGGAAACCTTGTAGCCACAGGTAGCGAGGACATTTAAGAGCACTTGGGTGGCTTGATGGCACTCCTGTTGGTTTCTCAACGGGAGGCTAAAAGTAAATCATCCACGTACCAAAGGACAAGAGTGTCCAGGTATGAGAACTGGCTCAAGTCTTGGGCTAATGTATGGTGAAATAGATGGGGACTATCCCTGAACCCTTGGGGTAAAACAGTCCAGGTGAGTTGAGACATTGGGATTGAAGGATCTTCAAAGGCAAACAAGAATTGAGACTCAGGATGTACAGGGATGCAGAAAAAGGCATCCTTAAGGTCCAGGACTGTAAACAACTCTGCTTCCTCTGGTATTTGGGAAAGCAGAGTATAAGGGTTAGGTACAGCTGGGTATAGAGGGACAATGGCCTCATCGATAATCCTGAGATCTTGCACCAACCTCCACTGTCCATTGGGTTTCTGTACTCCTAAAATTGGAGTATCGCAGGGGCTATTGCATGTTTTTACTAGGCCTTGCACTTTTAGGTCCTTAACAATCTTTTGGAGTCCTTGTTGGGCCTCAGGTCTAAGGGGGTATTGCCTTTGGTAGGGAAAGGAGGCAGAATCCTTTAGTTTAACTTGAACAGGATGGGCATTCTTTGCTCGTCCATATTGTCCTTCTGTTGCCCAGACTTCAGGATTAATTCCTTCCTTAAGCAGGGGACAACAAACAGGTGTTCCTTCTCCTATGTTCAGGTGTATAATGGCCCCTGCTTTTGCTAGAATGTCTCTCCCTAACAAGGGAGTGGGGCTTTCAGGCATAATTAGAAAAGCATGTGAAAAGAGTAAAGTTGCCCAGTCACAACTTAGTGGCTGGGAGAAGTTTGTAGTGACTGGCTGTCCTAGGACCCCTCGGATAGTGACAGATCTGGAGGACAGCTGCCTGGGACAGGACAGTAAGACTGAGAAGGCTGCGCCAGTGTCCAGGAGACAGTTAGCCTCCTGGCCTTCAATGGTCAAGCATACCCGGGGCTCTGTGAGAGTGATGGCATGGGCTGGCACTTGCCCCGGGCACCCTCAGTCCTGCTGCCTAGCGAAGGTCTTTACAACGTAGTATATTCAACTGGAATCACGGCACCTTCCCTTCCAGTGATGCATGGTGTCAGCTAAAACAGGGCTCTATCATCAAATATGACATTAATACAATTACCAGTTACAGCAAGACTCAATGTGGAGAGGTTTGTTTCTGCAATGGCATAACTAACTCCACCTCATAATGGGAGAGGCAGCTAAACATTCGTGCTCCCAACTTTGACGGTTGTCATGCAGAGACCTCCCTGGTGGAGGAACGACTGCTAGTAATCATCACTGCCCCCCATGCTTTCCTCAGGCCTGCAAGGCATGCTTCCTCCCCCACAAGCCCTGTGTTTTCCCCAAAACACATTTATTTTCAGCTGTGGAAGAAACTTACTTTCCTTCAAACAGAGAGCTGCTTCTGGCTGGGGGCTTTTAGTGGATGAGCAAGAGCTATAAACAACTCCTCATCCCCTTCGCCTGTAATCTTGGACTTTCAATCACTCCGCTGCAGCATTAGAAGCCTTCAGATTGGCAGGAGCAATGACTACAAACCATGTTTGCAGTCACCAAATAATGAGGCTGTTTGTGAGACTGACAAGAGTAGACTTTATCGGCACTGCTTCTATCGTGCGTTTGAGATGGCATTCACATTTCCAGAGAGGAATAAAAGAAACCATCTTGGAAATGTTGGGGGCCCCATGTAAAAAGACAGCTGTTCTCCTTACTGTTGAGAGACAAATGGCTGTAATTGCAGCCCTGTGTGTCACAGATATTTCTACTGAAGCCGATGATGGTAGAATTCTGGGGAGAGCATTACTGTGGGTAGAAGAGACAGCTGAATGGGTCACTTGAGAAAAGCCAGTAGTAGCTGATAGAGTTGAAGATGGCTCTCAGTCCAGGAAATAAGTGTCTTATAATAGAAGAAGCAAGAAGTAATTAAATTGGATAAAATTGGTGGTTATTGAACTTTAGTATCTATTTGTTGATTTTTTTGTTTATTAATTTGCAGTACAATTGGCTAAAATACTTTCCATTATTAATTCGTTTTATACCTTTGTTCGATTTGTTTTACAACTGATTGTGGTTGTTGTCATGGTTTATTAACCAACAAATGACATAGCAGAAATTTCTTCAGATTTAAGGATCTGGCAGGCGAATCTATCTCAGGTTAGTGTTCGTTAATTAATTAATTAATTAATTAATCCACTCATTCACTTTAAAAATTCAACATGTATTTACTGAGCACTTCTTCTGTTGTAAGATTTCCTCTAGATACTGTGAATATAGTTGGGAATGAGATAAGCATAGGCCTGACTCCAAAGATGTCACCTTATCATCAGAAAAGACAGACAACAAACATGTAAGTTAGCATAATTGCTAGGAAAAAAATAAAACAGGAGATGTGATAGTGACTGGGACTGGGAGGGCACTTGAAGAGTCAGTGAAGGTTCTTCTTAGAAAAGCTGAGATCTGAAAGGTAAGGAGGCAGCCATATGATGACCTAGAGAAAAAATTTTAAATCAGAAGAAACTGTAGCAAACTCAGTCTGCAGGATGGTTATGAACTTGAAGAACTCAAAGAAGAGTACGACACTCCGTATGACTGGAGAGAACTCAAAGAAGAGTACGACACTCCGTATGACTGGACAGAACTCAAAGAAGAGTACGACACTCCGTATGACTGGACAGAACTCAAAGAAGAGTACGACACTCCGTATGACTGGACAGAGTGATCTAGAGAGTAAGTTGTATGGGATAAGGCTGAGAGTGGGGCAGAAGCTGGATCATATAGATAGGGCTTATAGGTCATGGCAAGGGGGCTTGAGTTGTGCAACAAGTGAGATGAAAAACCAGTAGGGGATTTTAAGCAGGAAAGTTGCATAATCAAATTTAAATTACCATAAGATCGATTATTGCAGCTTAGTGGAAAGGGACTAGAGAAGGAAAGAACAGAAAAGCAGGTGGATGACTCCGGACACAATTGTTGTTGTCCATGATAGAGACAGTGGTGACTTGAACTAGGATGTCAATAGTTTAGACGGAGAACAGAAGATAGATTCAGAACACATCTGAAGTTATATTCAAGAGTACTTGCTAATGGATTTTATGTTGAGAATGAGGTGGAAGAATCAAAGATAAATCTTGATTTATCTTTCCAAGTTTTTAGATTCATCAAAGTTGCGTACCGCAAATTCAGGTTTTCCTTAGCCAACATTTCTAGGGTGCTCTTCAGTGTGTCTTTGGACTGATTTGGGGGATCACAATTATTTCCTACATGCACAGCTTTTTGATGTGAAGAAGAGGAGTGACACAAGCAGATGGATAACTTATGCATGTAGAGTTGGCAGAAATTATATATAGTTGGTCCTCATTATCTGCAGATTTCACATCCACGAATTCAACCAATCTCAGATTGAATTTATTTTTAAAAAATTAAAAAAACAATAAAAATAATACAAGTCTTAAAATACATTGTAACAATTATTTACATAGCATTTACATTGTATTATGTATAAGTAATCTAGTGATGATCTAAAGTATACGGGAGGATGTGTGTAGGTTATATGCAAAGACTATGCCATTTTACATAAAGGACTTGAGCATCCATGAATTTTGGTATTTAGGGTGGAAGTGGATCTTGAACAAATGCCCCATAGACACTGAGGGAGAGCTGTACATCAAAATGCAGGTGGATATGGAGATGAGAGAAAATTGGTTCTACATGATCACTGCAGAGTTACTACTTCTGCGTACCGTTGTTGAAAACCATGAATAGTGATTCTATGGTATTCCTCACTTCTAATATTTTGTGATTTCATAGAAATTGAAAAGAGGTCCATGAATTAGAGTCATGCAGGGCAGGAGTGTATAGGTTAGTTAGGGTATGTTCAGCTGCATATTGGGGACCCAAAATAATAATGACTTGAACAAGAACCTATTTATTTCTCCCACATGTAATTGTAGAAGAATAAACAATCAAAAGATGATATGGTGATCCCTGTTAGGGAGCCAGGCTTTTTCCATATTCTTTCTTCATCATTCATAAGATTTTATCCCCATGCACATAGCCCAAAACGGTACACCACTATGTCTGTATTCCAGGCCTCAGAAGAAAATAACACTTTCACCTTGAAGGTGTGATCACTAAGTTGCACAAAACAATTTGACCCATTCCCTGATGATCAGAATTTACTCACTGGGCCACACCTAAATGCAGGTGAGACAGAGTCTACTGTATGTATGTATGTATGTATTTATTTATATTCTGGTTCATTCTTTTGCTTTGCAGTGAAAACAAACTAACCAACCAACAGTATTCTCTAAAATAAGTCTAGAAGGATGATTATAGGGTTTAGGCAGTAATAAATCTCTGGAGGTAAGATAGGGGAGAATCTTCCTTTTCCAGGGGACAAAGGAAACAGCCCTGACCACCTTGTTTATTGTTTACATATTTGGCATATTTTTCTTCCCTTTAGAATGGAAGCTCATGCAAGTAAGCCTCTTGCCCGTATCCCCAACCCTTTGAGCAGTATGTTTTCATAATACACACTCAACAACATTTTTTACTGAAAAGATGAATGAATGGATGAATAAATGAACATTATTTAGTCTATGAAGAATACAAAAAAAAAGTAGATGATAGCTGAGGATTTATTTGTTCATACATTCATTCTTTTCCTTTAGTTTCTTTGTTATTGTACAAAACAGAGCCCAGTTCTCTCACCACCCACTTCTAACAAATCTGGCTGGAAGAAGGAGGGAGAAGTAGAAGTAGACATACCCCTTTGTGTGGAATATCTGAGAGAGGAGAAAAGTTGTGCTTCCCTAAGGAGACGTGGGAAGCAATGGTCCTAGTGCATAAGAGGTACTCTTGCCATATTATTAATAGTTGAATATTTAAGGAAGCAATATATTTTATAAAAAGAGGTAGGTAGAAAGAAGAAGGCTCCATGGCCTCACAGGATAAGAGAAATAAGAAATTTGATTCTCCTTTGCCTGGGGAAATCTCCACTTAAAAGACATATTAGGACAGGCGCGGTGGCTCACACCTGCAATCCCAGCACTTTGGGAGGTGAAAGCGGGTGGATCATTTAAGGTTAGGGGTTCAAGAACAGCCTGGCCAACACAGTAAAACCCTGTCACAAGTAAAAATAAAAAAATTAGCCAGGCATGGTGGCGGGTGCCTGTAATCCCAGCTACTGGGGAGGCTGAGGCATGAGAATCATTTGAACCCAGGAGGTGGAGGTTGCAGTGAGCCGAGATCATGCCACTGTACTCCAGTCTGGGTGACAGAGTGACACTCTATCTCAAAAAACAAACAAACAACAACAAAGATCTCAAAACACATTTCCCCTTCCTTTTAACTTCTAGTTAGCTGCATTTTTTTCACATCTTCTCTTTTCCTTCTCTAAGTTAGAGTCTTGTGGGGCTCAAAAACAGTGATTCTCTTGTTCTAGATAAAAGTCAGCTCTTGTAAAAGCAGCTGGGATTCAGCCTTCCACCTGAGCCTCCACCACTGCAAACAGTAGAGCCCCCCCGCCCCAGGAGAAAGCGCCTACGGGCAAGGTAAATTAAGGAGAAATCACATCTTATGACGGAAAACTATCCCATCAACACCTTTGCTAAAGAGTTTTCATAGAAGAGAGACTTCACAATAAGATATCTGTGGGAAGATCACTCTGTTATCTAGAGAGGCTATGCATGGAGTCTACAGGAAAATAAAGAGTCTGATACCAGAATGTCAACCTACATTTTTATCCATCAGTCCAGGCTGATAGGAACTTTTCATTAGTCTGTGTTCTGCCTTCAGTCTTCATGGATGATGTAGTTGGAGTAAGAACATCCAAGTTTCTTAGAAACTGATGTGTCCAATCCTTAACTCTCTCCGATGGCAGACTGGAGAAATTGACCTTCCCTGATATAGGTTTAAGCCTTATTCTAAATATTCAAACTCGAAGGTCATCATGTTCTTCTGGCTGGTCCTGGCCATTGCATAGACACAAATCAGCTGAACAATACTTGGATGTCTGGAATCCTCTGGCCACTGTATGTTGTTGATAGGAAGCCTTCTGCCTCTCTTCTTGCCTTGCAACACATACATAGTTATATGGCCACAGTGTGGCTTTTCTGAGAACCATGAGATTTCACACAGGGTTCCCAAGGTACCAATCACTTGTGTTGTCATCTTAGATGCTACTATATGCCATCAACCTCATCATAATATGAGCTATGTGCTGAAATATCCCTCTAAATTCTTCTTTCACCTTTTAAATATTTTCTTTTGTCTTACATGTGCTAGACACTGTGTGAGATATCATAAATACTGAGGCAAACATGCCCCTGCTTTCAAAGAGGATGTGGTTTGATGAGGAACCAGAGAGGAACACAGAAATAGGCACTTACGGCAAGTGATTAAGTAGATTTTAAAAGGAAATCAGAATTCTACTGGACTTGATAATGACATTCTCTAGGACCTGTATCTGAGTAGCTTGGTCTAGTTCACAATACAGATACTATTCAAATAATGTAAGGAAAAAGGAACCAGTACTAACCAGTCATCTTTGTGCCAGACTTCAATTGTTTTAAGATGATAAATTTGTGCTCAGAAAAAAAGTCTATCTATTTTATTTTTCCATCCTGGTATAAGTCAAGGTATATCACAACTTTTAAAAAGCATGTGTATGAAGGGCCAGCCTTCAGACTGAACATCTTCACCAGTTCTTCTCCCTGTTTATGCTACACCATCGACGATCTCCAAGATTCACTCTCTCCTTCCCCTCTTTCTTGTTTTCTACCGGAGCAATTTCCCTAAAACACACATTAAATCATAAATGCGGAATGGCAAATTGCTCGTGCTTTAAATAAGAGAGAGAAGTCTGCCCACTCACTCTCTTGTTCCAATCCTGAATACAGCCAACAGATGGGTGATGTAAGTGAGTGCAAAGTAAGGCCCATTGTCACAATGGCATTGTCTAACACTGACAGTGTGTCCCAGCACAGCACTCAAACTTTCACATTTAGTGGGCATTTGGGTTCCTCCCACTACTTT
Organism: Homo sapiens; assembly: GCF_000001405.40. Lineage (NCBI taxonomy): Eukaryota > Metazoa > Chordata > Mammalia > Primates > Hominidae > Homo > Homo sapiens. Next base: position 55,342,931 of record NC_000020.11, on the reverse strand, counting down.
TTTGTTAATTGTCACTGAAGATTCTCTGTGTCTAAGAATACAAGAAGTAAATTTCAGCTACTAGGAAAAATTGCCCACCTACCAGCAGCTACTTTCCTACTCTGTCATGCTACCGGGAATGTTAACGCCCTGACTCTTTCCTTTCTCCTCCCTTTCAAAGACAAGGCACAGACTCACTACCTATGCAGTTCTTTATCATTATTATTGCAATCATTAGTAATAATAGATTGGTGTTGCAGAGTGCCTTTCTTAACAGCTTGAAGCACTTCCATTTGATATTAACTCAATTACCCTCTAGAGTTATTATTATTTTTTATTGAAAAGATATCCTAATGGTGTAGCAGGTAGTGGGGTAATAAAAGAGATGAAGGGTTTATAAATAGATTCCTTGAAATTTTGAAATTACATTATTTACAACAAAATATATTCTTCCCTCTGCATTGCCACTCCATGGCCAATTTTCCATTGCAATCAGATGCTATTCATTTCTTTATACATCACATTTCAAGAAGTGTTAACATGAAATGTAAGTATGGAAACAAATATCTCTATCTTACTCCAATTGTACTATTTTCTTTCCACTTCCACGTAAATGGGGATTATCTTTATACTCAATAGTCTCAGTTTCAGAAATGATGTCCCATAATAATGCTTTCTCTGGATTCACTTTGCATCTACCATATTTATTTTCACATATCCTTTCGGCCTTAAAAGATCCAACAATGAGCTCATTAAGAATATATTTAACCTTTATTGTGCTCTTCACTATAATTATTATTTTTCCTTGCTTTACTTAAGGTTCCTTTAAAGTCATCATGATTTTATTCTTCCATAATTTGACCACAGTTAATATCAATTTTCTTATTTTTTATGTACTTAATACTATTTTCTAGTCAAGTGGACTACATACCTACCCCCCAGTAGTCTTCTGCCCTCGTGTTCCTGTACGATTTGTTGGCTTTCTTCCCTTACTAAGATGTTCTCTGCCTCCCTCCTCCATCTAACTTGCCTTCATCACTCCCTTTCCTCTTACCTCTCCTAAATAGCATTTATGATCTATCCTCTCGAGGAGAAGAAAATCTTATCTTCATATAAACAATGGAAGGTCCAGGAATAAAAACAGTCACAAAATCCAAAATATGAAAGCAATACAATTCAGAACACACACACACATTTCATATATATGAGGGAAACAAATATATATATTTCTGTGATACATATATCACAGAATTTATTTAGGTGCCTTGAGTTAAATGCACCTAAATAAAAACAGAGAAACCAGAAGGTGTAGAAACCTTCTCTGAACTTCATTCCGTTTTTTAAAAGCAGGAGATGAGGTTCCCATGTGAAAGATGTTCTCCACATACTAAAAGTAGAGTAACATTCTTATCATCAAGTATGTGACGTTGAAGCAGAGAGAAATCTGTGCAAACAAACCTTGTAAACTAACCCTTATCTTCCTAGTCACTTCTCTACCCTGTGTATTACCCTAACCCAAGCTCCTTTTCCTTATCACATTTTTACAGTTTCCTACTCTTGCTACAATTCAGTATCTAAGTGTTTGACCCTAACTGCTTCTTTAGGTCATCATTTCCTTATGAAGTCCCCACTGCCATGTAAAACCTGCATTAAATAAATTCGTATGCTTGTCTTTTGTTGATCTTAATTTAATTCTCAGGCTCAACCAACAATAACAACAAAAACAATAACAACAAAAACCCTGAAAGAGAAGAAGTAACACTTTTGCCGTATACGTACATACATACCTCACAGGAGCAATTCCAGAAAAATCCAGAAGCCTGCAGTCTCCTCTGTGAGATACGCTGACTGGTCTGGATAATCCCTACATCACGTTTCCACTTCAATGTGCTTGGTTTCAGAAAAGAATTCCCTGACTAGGTCACTACCCCCTTTAATGAGCTGAATTATTTGAATGCCTCAGAAATCCTTTATACAGGATCATCAAATGTTAAGACCAAGCGGGAGAATCCCCTCTAAGATGTCATATGGCTGGCAGGGATGTGGCTTCTCCACACATTTCATTAAAAAACAAATGAATTTAACGAAGCACAAAGCAGAGAACATAAAATAAACTTCCCACTGATTGTCAGATAAAAGGAAAAACACTTGCCAATTGACATAAAACCATTCTCTGCTATTGAGAAATAGAAAACCTGGTAGTTTGAAGGAAGGTGAGAGGCTACCTGACTCATTCCCTTTGTGATTCCTGGTCCAACTCCAAGGCTCATCTCACCCAGAAATGGGCAACTACCAGTCTGTTTCTAAGATGAGCAGGGGCAATAGACCCCCATGTTCCTGAAGGTAAATAACTGTTTTTCTACAATCATTTTAGGAGTAGAGCCTCCAATGCCACCTTTCTGGTAGCAGAGGCGGCCCACACTTGGTGGCATCCTAAATACGTGAATTCGGGGGAAAGTCACAGCAGATAAAGAGATTGGTGGGGTAAAGTATACAGGCAGGCATCACAGCCACCAGAGATGAAAATCTATACAGGATGCTAGTATACCAGTGGAATAAATGTGAAATTTGGTTCCAGCAAACTCAACTTGCCCTTATAGGTCTATTTCCCCAACCAGTATAATGTCCTACTCCCACTGAAGTACATAATCATGTGTGATGCTGACCCCTTATTATATTGAGTAATTTTGCAAACATACATGCAAGTTATGTGGTATAACTTGATTTGCACTAATCCTGGTTAAGCCACCCAAGGTTCTTTGAAAGATTAATCACAATTAGTTGAAACCCTGAAGCCAAATAATATGTGACATTGTAGAGTTTACTAAATTTTAAAATAATAAATTTTAAAATAAATAAATTTTAAAATAATAATAGTTACACTGTATTCAGTGCATACAATAAATCCCATTATTCATTTTATTATTAAATTTTTTTAATAATATTATTATTAAATTATTATTAAATTATTAAAATTTTCTACCTTTTTACTTTTGCCTCCCAAAAAGTTGTCTCATTTGGAAAATTACACACACAAAAATTTGAAAAAATCAGCACAACTGAAACATGGGCAAGTCTTCCCTCTATGATGCCCAGAAAGAAAACTGAAAGTGGAAACAAGACTTTGTAACTATATCAATGCTACATCTGTCCTTAGTGAGTATGAATAATACACATAATTGAATAATGAGTGATGGAAATCTATAAAGCGAAAAACAGGTTCCAATAATTTTCTAATAATAATAGTTACACTGGGCCAGGCGTGGTGGCTCACGCCTATAATCCCAGCACTTTGGGAGACTGAGGCGGGTGGATCACGAGGTCAGGAGATCGAGATCATCCTGGCTAACATGGTGAAAACCCGTCTCTACTAAAAATACAAAAAATTAGCCCGGCGTGATGGTGGGCGACTGTAGTCCCAGCTACTCGGGAGGTTGAGGCAGGAGAATGGTGTGAATCCGGGAGGCGGAGCTTGCAGTGAGCCGAGATGGCGCCACTGCACTCCAGCCTGGGCGACAGAGCAAGACTCCGTCTCAAAAAAAATAAAAACAAAAATAAAAAAAATAAATAATAATACTTACACTGTATTCAGTGCATACAATAAATCCTTTATTATAAGCTTCAAGGAAGAGGAATTCTAATTTTATTAATAAAAATGATTTCTCATCACCTCTGATATACAATATTTAACAAAGACTTAAAGAGTAACTATCTGAAACGTCCCTAAATTATTAGCCTAGCCAGGGAACCCAAACATCAACTCAGACCCTTTAAGCCTGGAACCTAATATATAAAATCATTTGCGGAGCATGCTGGGCATTGTCATTTTTGCTTTTTCTTGCAATGTAAGAACCACAGACTGCTTAACATTTTGAAGAAATACATTCCTTTAGAGAGTAAGAAGCCCTGACAACAGGAGCCAAGAAGCGACTGCTTAGTCTAACCCATTAAATAAATCACTGGATGCGTAAGGTTAGGCAAAAAACTCCTATTTCAATGACTTAACACAGTTAAAATTTCTTTCTCCTTCAGTCCACAACCTACCACAGTATTCCTTGTTAGGTGCACCTTCAGGAAGTGCTTGCCATGCAGTTGTTCAGAAATCCAGGCTCCGTGCATCCAGTACACTTGGCCTCTCGGTCTGGAGTCCTCTCCATTCATCTGGCAAAAGGAAAAAGCAAGAAAAAAAGCGTAGAAAAAATTTACAGAGCAGGCATGGAAGTGGTATGTATCAAGTCTGAGTACATTCTATTGGCTGTATGTAACGGCACGGAATGTTGGAAAATGTAGCCTGTCTGTGTGCCCATGAGCAAAGCTAAATGTGTTCAGTTAAAACAAACAAACAAACAAACACACAAAAACAAAAACTGGCTAGTCCCCACCACCCTGGGAGACTCCAGAGATTTTTCTATGGGATATTTATAACCATTTCACCCATCTTAAAATCCAGTAGGTTCTAGTATGAACCACAAATAGGTTGAGAAGGAAGGGAAGGAGAATTCATGCAATCACCAATCAAATACGTCTCCTAGAAGCAAGAATGAAGAAATTGGGATGAAAGCGACATGCAGACTACAACACCAATTTCACATGCTTATGGCAAGTAAACTCATATGGAAATGTTTATTCTTTCAGCTAGAGAAATAAAAATAAAAATGAAACTTCATTTTCAACTATCAAAGAGGAAAAAACAATCCCTTAGTATTGGCTACAGTTTAGTGTGAAGAGCATCTTAAAACTACTTGGGAAAATCAGTTGGAAAATTTTTCTGGAGGGACATTTTGCCTAAGTATCATTTACTTTAAAACGTGTATTTTATAGCTATTCTTCCAAGCCATACAAGGAAAATAACCAAATACATAAGAAAAATATATATGTAATAATTACACATGTGAAAAAATTAGAAAGCAACATACATGTTAAGTGATAAAAATATTTTTCAATGGAAGAATGTTCATATCATAATATGATATAGAAAGGGATATTACTGACTTAATATTATATCAGAAATAACTTTCAATGATCTAGAAAATGCTTATGTATACTTATCAATTAAGAAAACTGATTTAAAAGTACTAAATATAGCATGATGCAAACTTGACAAGCAGAAACCATATCACTAGGTACTGAGAATATTGGAATAATATCAACCATATGTTACAGTTAAAGGTCATATATTTTTATTATCTTAATTTTTAGTCCCTCGGTCTCACATTTTTCTTTTATTTTTTATTTTTTTTGAGACGGAGTCTCGCTTTGTCGCCCAGGCTGAAGTGCAGTGGTGTGATCTCGGCTAGCTGCAACCTCTGCCTCCTGGGTTCAAGCGATTTTCATGCCTCAGCCTCCCAAGTAGCTGGGATTACAGGCATGGGCCACCACGCCTGGCTCATTTTTGTATTTTTAGTAGAGACGAGGTTTTGCCTTGTTGGCCAGGCTGGTCTCGAACTCCTGGCCTCAAATGATCTGCCCTCCTCAGCCTCCCAAAGTGCTGGGATTACGGGTGTGAGCCACCATGCCCAGCCCATTTCATTAATTATTTAACAAATATCTCTTCAACTTCTGCTATGTCTCACAGAATGCACACCACACAGGCAATCAGCATCAGTGAAGAAGAGAGTTGTATTTTAGGCCTTTATTGAACTTCAAATTTTAGAGTATTTTCAGCCTAAAATATATGCTTTCCTGAAAAATAGGATAAGCCTTCCTTCGGGTAGGCCTTACCCTGTGGAGAAATTCTGAGGATGACTCAAATATATATGTGCCTTTGTGGGTATTATTTTTTGTGTGTAATATGTGCAAATGTACACATCAATTGAGAAGCAGTTAAAGTATTTAAAATGTTTCAGTGTATTTATTCACTCTTTCAGCAAATTTATAATGTCTACTATGTATCTGATTCTATTTTGGATTAGTGAAAGAGATTCAACTTTTTGTATATTAAGAGCTGTGTCTAGAACAGTTGATTGCAAACACTTACCGACATTTGTCTGCGAAATGTGAAAAGAAAAATTATATATTTTTTCAGAGTTTTGTGTGTGTGTGTGTGCATGCGGGCATGCCTGTGTGTGTGTATTTTGATGCTAAAACATTGTTACCAATTGCAATCACTCCTAGAAGAAAAAAAGTATTATAAAACTGACAAACTGTTCCAAGTTCTATATAGTGAAAACTACGTAAAAATGAAATAAATCAATAAAGACAAGGAAATAAATGGAAAGATTTTCTGTGTTTCCAGAATGGAATACTCTACCTAGTAAAGATGCCAATTCTTCCTAAATTGAGGTATAGGTTTAACATGTTTACTTGTAGATACAGATAAGCTGATTCTAAAGATCACGGAAAGGCAAAGGAATTAGACTAGCAACAGCAATTGTGTAAAGTAAGAATTAAGTAGGAGAATCACATTACTTGATTTTGAAGACTTCCTTTATAGGTTCAGTAATCAGGAATATTGTATTAGTAAAAGAATAAATATATAAATCAATGGAACAGAATGGAGAACTCAGAAACAGTTCCACACAAGGATGAGTCTTGACAAAGGTGCAAAAGCAATTCAATAGAGGAAGGATAGTCTTTTCAACAAATGATGCTTGAATAATTGGACATTTATAGGCATAAAAATAATCTAAAACTCATCTATGAAATAATTGACTTGAATGGCTCATAGATCTAAATATAAACGATAAAATTATCAAACTTTTAGAGAAAAACATAGGAAAAAGTTCTCATGACCTAGGATTAGGCAAAGAGTTCTTATATAAGAAACTAATGTCATGATCCATGAAAGGGAAAATTAATATATTGGACATCAAAATGTAAAACTTCTTCCATACAAAAGACCTTCTTACAAGCATGAAAATAAAAGCCAAATACTGGGAGAAAATACTCGCAAATCACATATTTGCAAATATCAGATACACATGACTCACATGCCTAATATAAAAAGAACTCTCTAAACAGTAAGAAAACAAGCAATCCAATTAGAGAATGGGCAACAAACTTGAGCAGACACTTCACCAAAGATGATATATGAGTAGCACATAAGCACAAGAAAAAAATCCACATTATTAGTTATTAAACATGCAAATCAATCCAAAAACAAGACACTCTGCAGTCCTACTAATATAGCTAAAATTAAAAATATATATACTGGCAACACCAGATCCGAGAGCTCCAGAGCCCAGGATCTCTTCTATGTTGCTGCTGAGAATGTAAGATGATACAATTACTCTGGAAAAGAAGTTAGTAGTTTCCTATAAAATCAATCAGATACTTAATGACCCAAAAATAGCATTCCTGAACATTTATTCCAGATAAATGAAAATTTGTGTTAACACAAAATCCTATACACTAAGTTTATAGGAACTTTATTTGTAATAACAAAAAAGCTGGAAACATCACAAATGTCCTTCATTGAATGAATGAATATACAAATTCTGATGCTGTATATTTATCCAATCATATCCCTCTCAGTGATAAAAAAGAAAGAAAACTATCAATGCTTGCAACACATGGGATGCATCTCAGGGGAATTATGCTAAGTAATTTTCTAAAGGCCGGTAGCAAGTGGTTACATACTGTATGACTCCATTTATATAACATTATCTCAAAGTGACAAAATTGTAACGGTAGAGAACATTCGTAGCCTCTGGGGAAAAGGATATGGGATGGGGTATAGCATGAAGGAATATCTGTTTGGAAACAGATCAGTTCTGCATCCTGATTATGGTGATGGTTATGAATCTTCATACGTAACAAAATATCATAGAACTATATACACGCACAAAGTGCATGAAAACTTTGATGAATCTAAAATAAAATCTGAATTAGAATTAGTAGTAATATAGCATGTAAATTTCAACTTCTGATAATATACTATAGTTCTATAAAAATGCTATCATTTGGGGAAGCTGGAGGAACTCTGTACTATCTTTGGCAACTTATTGTAACTCTTAAAAGTATTGCCAAATAAAAAGTTATTTAAAGTATATTTTTCTTTGGAAAGTTATGACAATAGTATCTCTATCTATCAATAATCTATCTATCGATCTACATCTTTTTTAAAAAGCTGAGAAGGAAACTGAAAAGTCTGAAAAGAAATCGTACAGCGGATGCCGATTGTTTTTCACAAATCCTAAACTCCATCTTCCAGCCCTTTGTCTTTCTGAAATAGTTAAAACATGATGATCCCATGAAAGTAACTAAAGTAGAATGTGATGATGAGGGCATGGACCATATCTGTTTCCACTATCTGTCAACTAGTACCAGATGCATATTAGATGCTCACTTATAAATGGATGAATGAATAAAAAAATGAGTTAAGGCTTCTGACTTCATGTGCAATTAAGACAAAATAAGAGTAATCAAGGGAATGTTTTCTTTCTTTGGGGATTTCCTGACTGAGACTCCTCAGAAGACACAGGCATGGGTGTCTTTTCCCTTTTTCAGAAAAGCCAAAAATTTCCTGTCAATTATTAATAATAAATGCTAGCAGAATTTTGGATGAGGCTTATTTAAATATTAACAAAACAAAAATATCTTAGTTTGATTTTTTTAATAAAATTATGCAAATTTTAAAAATGTGTGAAAAAGGCACCTTTTTCTCGTTTTCTTTAACTTTCCTTCTGTCTTTAATTTTTTTTCTTTTCAAAAAATGCTACTCCTACAATTATTATTATAAGAAGGAAAGCACAATTCTAGACTCTAATCAGAAATGCTTTCATTTTTGCTGGTACCTCCAAAGTTTAAAAGGTATTTTAACCTCTAACATTCCTCAATAACACACAGACTCTAATTAGCTAATTGGGAGTATTAAGAGCATTTTAAAGTAATTGAAGTTGTAGATACTCTGCAGTAGCATTGCCAATATATTTTCCCTGGGATTTATATTAATGTAAAAAGAGCCAATTACAGATAGGCAGAGCTTAGGGGGAGTCGTGCTGCCTTTCTGATTAGTCATCAGTCTGGAGTTCCTAGAGCTCTAGGTAAAATATAGTGAACACATCTCAAAAAGGTACAAGAAGCAGATGGAGAAAGGAGATCAAAATGAGAGACACGGCTTTGAGGGTTCCAGGCTGGGTAGTTCTAAGCTGCTTTCAAAGTGTGCAGAATGAATAGGAGGAATGCCTGATGCTGAGCACAGCTGGGGAGAAGGTGGGTCTTATCTTTTTAACTCTTTTCACCCAACTCTGCTCCATTCATCTGTTGAACTGTAGCTTTTCTGTTCAAAATAAATTTACAAACTCAGAAAGACTGACATCATTTCCACACATATCTGTCATCCTGAGTCTGTTCTCAGGATCCAGACAGCTGCTATCGTTTTAGCGGTTTAAGATACACAAAACTTGCATGTAGAAAACACATGAATTGCGTGTGAATACTACAAGAAAAAGCTTAACCAGAGAGATTTATCAAATAAGGGTCTACAAAGTCGCTATGTCGGAATTTCTTCTCTTGCTTTTTACAAAGTGAGAATTCTGGACCTCACCCCATAGCAATGGAAGCAGAATCCATGGACTGAGGTGCAGCAATCCTCATGTGTAACACATAACTGGAATAATTCCTCGGTACTGTAACATGCTGCATTACTGACTTAATAAATTGATTTCTCCCTATTTCAAAGGTGTGATTCAGTTAACACAATTTATGTTTTCATCTTCAAATAATCAACAAATATGAGCACAAGTACTGACCACTCTTTGGCAATTGGTAATTATTAGGAGAATATGGAAGGACTCATTACTGTCTCTACTTTTCATACTCTGGGTTTCTAGGTCTCATACCGTCTCTGGGATTTAAATACCATTATTAAGTCACAAGCTACATTTATATATTCGCACTTAACTTTTCCCTGTGGGCTCTGGCTCCTTTACTTACTGTTTCTAGTAGACATCTCAAATTTTAACAAACCCCACACCCAATTTATAATTTTTCCACTACACCTGTTCTTCCTATGATCTTCCTCATCTCATAAATGGTTAACTATGTTCATTCAGTAGTTCAGGCAAAATCTTGGCAACATTGTTGACTCCTCTCTATCTTTTCTGTTTTTATATTCAGTTAGTCAATGCACTGATTATACACCTTAGACTACGTCTGTCATCCCTGTGTTTTTGTTAATAGCAGCCTCTTTCACTCTGGAAAGGGTCCCTGGTTTGGGTCACTGAATTAAATGTCAAAGACAGTTGTCTCTACCTGCAAAACTCAACTAGGATCTGGCCCCGTTTTGTATCTCCATCCCTATTGCCTCTGTCCACGTCATTGTCTCTTGTCTATAAATGTAGTGGCCTCTTGCTCGCACACGTGTTCTCCACAATCTTCACATCACTTTATGAAGCAGTTAATTTCCAAATGAGTGCAAACTGGTGACTCAAAACAACAAAAATGCATTCCCTCACAGTTCCACAGTCTAAAAGTCCAGAATCATGCAGGTGGGGCCCTGGTCCCTCTGAAGGTTCTAAGGAAGAATCCTTTCTTGGCTCTTCTAGCTTCTAATGGTTGCTGGCAATCATCAATGTTGCTTCTACTGTAGATGTGTCACTCCAATTTCTGAGTCCTTCCTTACATGGCTTTCTTCTGTCTGTGTCCAAATTTCCCTCTTCTTACAAGGATGCCAGTTACATTGCAATGGGCCCCTTTCTAATCTAGCATGACCTCATCATAACTTGGGAACATCTGCAAAGACTCTATTTCCAAATAAGTTCACATTCACAGGTACTAGAGGTTAGAACTTGTACATATCTTTTGGGGGGACACAATTCCGCTCACAACAGAAATACATTTAAAATGTAAGTAAGCACAAATCACTCCTCTGTCTCAAAACCTACAACATCTTTTACCTCCCTTAGAATAAAACTTCAACTCTGACACTGGCCTGTATAATCTGGTCCCAAGCCACCTCTGATCTCATCCTTTTCACTTCCAGCCCACTTACTCTGCTCTAGCCATCCTTACCTCCTTACTCTACTTTGCTTGTGTCAAGAACATGACCACTTGAGGCCCTTGCCCTTCTTGTTTCTTCTATTAAAAATCTCTTCTGCCAGATACCTACAAGGTCCAAAACTTTACTTTGCCAGTGAATGTCATCTCCCTTTCCATTTAACCAAATGCTGGGTTTTCGCATGGGTATATCTTCTGTGTATAGAGCTTGGCAAACACTATTCATTAAAAAAAAAAAAAAACTGAAAGGATCAAGAGAGAAAAAACATATATCTATTGATTCAAGATGTTGTGTTAATGCCTGAAGAAAAACATATTATCTCATTTAATCTCAAGGCAAAATTGAAAGTTGGATATCATTATCTTCCTTTTACAGAGAAAGAAGCTGAGATTAAGAATTTTTAAACCTTACCAAAGATTACCTAGCTCAAAAGTGACAGAGTCAAGTTTTTTTTCCAGGTTTTTCTATGATTTCACAGTTGTTCTAAATATACTCTGTGCTTAAGAAATTAAGCAGGTGACCAGGATTTTGTAAGAACATGAGTTGAGGAAGTTAATTGTCACATAATGAACTTGAAACATGAATGCAGTGATTGAGTTCTAACATTTATGAGGCATTTCCTTTTGTTTCTGTTCACTCATCTGTCAAATGGGCTAAGAATATGTGTCCTTTTTGGACAAAACGTATGGAAGAGGTAGGAGATAAAATGGATATTAGAAATAGGTTGTATACGTAGTTTAAGAAAAATCTCTCCTCAAATTACTTACTCATTATAAACAGAAAGAAACATAACTTTATAGTGGAGAAATTTGTTGGATACTCCATAATCTTGACACCTTCTTAACCAATATTCAGGTGGTGATCAATGTTGCCGTCAAAATTGAAACAAACGAATATCATGGGCATCCTAACATGATGCGATAAATAAGACATAAGAAAATGTACAAAAATGCATAATCTGAATCTATTTATGCAGAAAATAAGAAAACCCAAATTGAGTGACATTCTACAAAATAAACTAGCTTGTACTCTTCCAAAATGGCAAGGTCAGAAATGACAAAGAAAGGCAATGCGACTGTTCAGCAATAAAGAATTCTAAAAAGAACTGAAAACTGAACCCAATGCATGATACTGAATGTGTCCTCAACCAGGAAAAAATAGCTTAAGGATTTATTGGGGCAATTAAAAAATTAACTAGACTGTTGATTACATAATAGTAATTTATCAATGTTAAATTTCCTGATTTTGATCATCATACTATTGTTAAGTAAGAACTGTTCCTGTTTTCAGAAAATACACACTGAAGAATCTAGGGGAAAAGCCACAGTGTCTTTAAATTACTCTATAGAAAAAGAATGATGGATCTAGTAGGGCAAAATACAAACAATTGGTAAATCGAGTAAAGAGTAAAGGAACACTTTCTGTACTAGTCTTGTGACTTCATGTAAGTTTAAAACTATATAAAATAAGGTCACAAATGATCATGTTTTTAAGAGTCATTTTGCACTTATTTAAACATGCAAAGAGAAAATTCCTAATTGATATATTTCACCAGTGTGGCTTGCAAAATGTCAAGAAGAAGAAAAGAAAATCCAGGAAGAAAGACAAAGCTCTGTTCATTCAGACAGCCAGCAAGTATTTTCTGCCTACCCTACTGGTTTTAAATAGCTTATCCCATTACAGAAATGTTCCTCAGCTTTGAAATTATATAGAAAGTTCTGATAAGTGGTCAAACACTTGTTGCAATCAACGTAGGCCGAGATTTCTGACACTTTGCCTAATTAAATCAAGATATACTAATTATTAATGAACTGTTACTTAATCAAAAAGCAAATGGAGACTATTTAATTAAATAAGGTGTCAATGGAAGGAAATGGTCCTTGTGAAAATATAGTGACTGGAATCAGCAACGTAGCAATAGTCACCCAGAACCCAACCCATTGGGGGTGTGGCAGAGTATGCCTACAAGCCTATTTGAATGACAGCCTTCTAGACAGTATATTACTGCCACTGCAATACATATATTGAGCAATAATGGGTACATGTCACAGAATGTTTTTATTTAACTAATTACCCTGAGTCTGATTCCATGCTCAACTAATGTCCTGCTGGTTTTAATTTCTCTTCCCTGTTACATATTTAGCTTTATAAAAGGAGTTGGTCAGTGTAGCTCAAATTTTATGCTCAACTAGGAAGTTATTTTTCTTACCGACAGTTAAGAAACCAGCATTCTAGTTTATGTAGTCCCTGTGAGTTGGGTTGGCACAAGCCATTATCATAGAGACCAAATGTCTCCTGCTGCAATCAAAAATGAGGATTTTAGATGGGAAATTCTAATGATCAGCCCCTGGGCCACAGCGATTTTTTTTTTTTTTTTTTTTTTTTTTTTTTTTAGGGCAAAGTCACCATGAGGCCCTAATTAGGCAGAAAAGCAATCTCCCCCTGTTTGTGTTATGTAGTAGAAAACCATGTGGGTATATTTTGTTCTGTTTTCTGGTAACAACAATCAGGCTATCCTCTGGGAAACTATTCATCTCCCATCTCTATTTTACAATTTAGATTCAGATGACATATAGTCTAATTTCAAGCCGAGCCAATTCTATTATCCCCCTAGATTGAGTAAATGAATGGATGACTATCCCAGCGAAGTCCAGGAGCATTTTCTCCCTGACTTTCATTATGATCACTAGGACACACACACATTCCTTCCCTGGGGAATGCCTGGAGCTGCTGGTAGCTGTCTTGCCACAGCTTGAGACAAGCCTGTTTCAGGATGAAGCCCACACATGGAAAACAGGGCTGGAAGAGGGTAAGGCACAAATTCGTGACAATACCATGTGTGCACCTAGATTTGCCCATTCCAAGATCTTTCAAATACGCAAGTCAATAAGTCCTTTCAATGGTTTATGACTGTTCCAGTCAGATTTCTCTAACTGTAATAAATAAATTTCTCTCTGATATATACCTTCAAACTAAAAATCTCTGAAACCATATGTTTGAAAATAAAACCACTTTAAAAATCAATTATAACGTTAGTGTCTTCCAAAAAAAACACATTCTAATTACTTTCTAATCAGTACTTGGTATTTATTAAAATTAAACGTAAAAGAGAGAGGGCCTATTATCTTCCAGGGCATTCTGAGAAGATGGAGGGAGGGAGGCCTTGTGGTTGAGGCAAAGCTGTACGTTTACCACATTCTACTTCTTTAGCCTCCTGAGAACACAGCCCATGTGTAGTAGCGATAACTAGTAATCACCATGTGTGATTCTCTCCTCCTTCCTAGGCACATGTGAAAACAACCTCCTTAGCTGCCATGCAGGTGGGTGGTTTCATGTAATTATTTCTAGCCAAAAAATAAAAATTGTGGGCACAATGAGGTCTACCACGTCTCAGTTCAGGGCATTTAAAGCTGGTGTATATCTTTATGTTGTCTTTCACTTTGAGAATAACCAGGGGGACCACAATGTGGATCCAGGAGATAAAAGCATCATGGATCCTTGAGAACTGCATGGAGGTGAGCTTCCCTAGAGCATTACTGAAACAATGCCCTATAGTATAAAGGGCTGGAGTCTCTGAATGATTTTTGAGAGTAGAACCCCTTCTATCTACCACATTCCCCTCTACCACAACTTGTATTAAACAATGATGTGAACTATAATTAAACTAATCTGGTGTTGTCAGTTTGACCAGCTAGTACATTATAACGAATAAAGCCTGGAGATTCTTGGATATAAGACCATTGTGTAAAAGGACTTGGGATTATGAAATGTGTGGCTATGATTGGAGTTTACACAGGTTGGATTTATCTTAAGGGGAAATCAATCAGTGCTGATGATGATGGGTTATTTTGGAATACAAATGAATAAGACCTGAGTGATCTTACGGGGCTTTGCACCTAATGTGAACTGTGAATTCTTAGTGATGAAAACAAATCAATGAGTCCAAAGGAGCAGCAGAGGATGTAGCAAATTCCAACCAAGGATAGCAAATAGATTTCATCTCTGGGAACAATACTGAATAATTAATTTGGCTGCCTGGACAAGTGTTGAGTTTGAATCAAAGGCTGTACTAAATTTTAGTGAGAAAATGTATGCTAAATGATCACCAGTGTCTGCCATAGACAAACGAGTGGGGAAATGGAGACACCCTTGATCCACACCTGATATTTCTGTTCTAGAGGTCCCTGGGGCTTCTTGCACAACCAAGGGTTCCCAGAGTACCTGTTGGGTTCTCAGGTAGAGAAAGGATTGAAAGCATCTTCCATAAGTATGGGTAGAGGTTTGAATGGATCCATATGACTGCAAGAATTTAAGACATCACATAGAGACAGAAAAAGCAGTTTGGGTCTCAAATGGAGCACTCATAATAACTTTACACCTGTCATAGAGAAAGAAAGTGGTCTGCCTTACCTGGAATGTACTATGCATTGCAGGAAAGGAGGCCCCAGGATGTATGTGGAGGAGCACTGCTCCTCCAGGCAGAGGTCTATTCTGTTGCTTTATCTTCATATATCCAGCATCTATACTATGCCTATTAATAAATACAAAAATATTGGCCCTCAGTGAATATTCTTTGAATAGAGAAGTGAATGAATGAAGAATGACAGGAGAATCTGTATGACAATAGGTAGTGGGAATCTAAATCTACCTGCATAGATCATGTTTTGAGGATGATACAACAATCAAATAAAAAATAAAAGAATTAAAGACATTGATGGAAGCCCAGAACCTTTTGTAAATCCTTGCTAAGTTTGACTTTTCCTGATTTGGAAAGAATCATCCATTGGAGGCATGCAAAGTGCCAGCAGCAGCAAGAGCAGCAGAACGCCAGGTGTTTTGCTTTGCCTTCGGCTTTGCTGACTACGGCTGTAGGGCATTTAGTGCTTGGAAAAGACTACTCTATGTGTTACTGAACCCACCCGAGAGACCCTCCTCTCTCTTCCTTCTTGATCAAAAAAATACAGCCTTAGCTCTAGTTTCTGAATTGGGTGACATTTTCTCATCTCTATTTTCTAACAGAGCTGAGAAAGCTATACCATTAAAATTGAACCAAACAAACAGAAAAGCTTTAGCTCTGCTCCTTTCTGATGTGGCAGCAGAAGAGGGAATGTCTGCATGTTTGTTGCTGCTTTGACTGCCTTCTATCTGCTTGGCGTGGCTTTATACATGTGATTTATCAGACTTGAGCACTAATAACTGATTTGGAATTAAGAATGAACAAATCTACATTTGCTTTACAATAATATAATTCTCTTTAGCACTAAAAGATAGATATAAAAAGAGAATTTGTGGCCATGGTTCCCAAACCCTGGGACCACCATGTTGTGTCACCTGAATCCTATGTCAGTGAAGCTATTTTTGAATGTAAAGAGCATGAGCCATCTTTGACAGTTGCATGGACAGATGTGTTTCTGTACTCACCAGGTGCAGTGTTTTCAAGCTGTACATTAAAAATGCAGTGCCTTTCAGTAGCTGATGTTTTCTTTCCCCACTTTGAAATGAGATGTTAGGCTGAAGTTCAAAAAAAAATTCCCAGAAGAATAATTCAGGATGAATAAGCATTTTATTGGTCTGTCTACACAAACTGGAGCCCATCTAAATAAGATATTAATGATGGCTGAGTTTGAAGTCACAAAAGAAGCTGTAGGATAGGTATTTTCATGAGCAAGATTTCCAACACTCTGGGGTCATTGTAGGAGCAATGAAAATGGTTGGAAATGGACAGTTTCCAACTGCAAAGGAATACCAATAAGAATGATGACTTGCAATTCGATGGTAATTTTCTTGAGAACATGCTCATATATCTACTATTTCCTTTCATAACCTCACAACATTGTGGGAGTAAGTAGGGCAGATATTATCCCCAATTTATAAGTGGAAACTAGACTCAAAAAGTGAATTTGACTCAAGGACATATTTTGAATCACAATAGAGTCTATACTTGAAAATATTTATCTTGACTCTCAGTGGAGTGTTCTTCTGTCTGCCAAAAGACATCATGAAACGTGCTAAATAAGAAGATTAAGAACACATTACTTAATACATAGAAGCTTTAGTTGTAATGACAAAAATGAACCCAAAAGTATAGTATGTTAAATACTTTGAATGGTGTATAGAGAGGTACTGAGACGTTAATTAAGAAACACAAGCAAGGAATCATACAATGATGTATAAAACAAATAAAAGGAAGTTGTGTGTTTATACATGAGTTAGAGTGTTGCTATTCCAATTGTGGTACACAGACATTCAGAATGTGATATCCCCTGGGAGCCCGTTAGAAATGCAGGAACTCAGCCCCATCCCACAGTTTCTGAAGCAGAATTTGTTTGTTTTTTGTTTTTTTTTTTTCTTTGAAACAGTGTCTCATTCCATCGCTCAGGCTGGAGTGCAGTGGTGCAATCTTGGCTCACCCCAACCTCTGCCTCCTGGATTCAAGTGATTCTCATGCCTCAGCCTCCTGA
The DNA here is from genome assembly GCF_000001405.40 of Homo sapiens. Lineage (NCBI taxonomy): Eukaryota > Metazoa > Chordata > Mammalia > Primates > Hominidae > Homo > Homo sapiens. The sequence goes on along the minus strand of NC_000020.11, from coordinate 55,325,552 downwards.
GTAGCTGGGATTACAGGAGCACCACCACCACACCCGGCTAATTTTTGTATTTTTTTTAGTAGAGACCATGTTTCACCATGTTGGCCAGGCTAGTCTCGAATTCCTGACCTCAGGTGATGCGCCCGCCTCGGCCTCCCAAAATGCTGGGATTACAGGTGTGAGCCACCCTGTCCAGCCAGAATTTGCATTTTAAAAAGCTACCCAGGTGATTCACATGCCTTGAGAATTCAGAATCACTGGGGTAGAAAATATGTAATGCTTGTTATCCCAAGATAAAGTTTTTGATTAAAAAACAAGTAACTCTAAGGTAGATTTGGTTTAACTCAATGATAACGAATATATAATATGTTACAAAAATATGGGGGAGTTGATATCACTTAAATTCAAGAGCAGTGCAGTTTTTGTAGATTACATTTCCAGTGTATTTCAATGTAGATTGGTAATGCTGACTGAGGAATGGATATCTTCAATACTTTGCACTACAGAAACCCCCAGGAAGTGAGATGGAATCCCAGAGAAAAGGAATTGGGAACTCCCGAATTGCTTAAAATTAAATTTCTACCACCTGGCAGAAAGAGGTCCCATAGCAGAATATAATTTTACATATAAAAACACTATACATAAGATTCCATCTCTTTTCACTTTTGAATTGGTAGCTGAACAATTTTAACCACTAAATATGGGTGTCTCATGGTACCAGGAAAAAGAAATGGAATGAGAGAACTGGAAGCAGGGGTTCCTAGTTCTCAGGATGCCTCTTCTTCTAATTGCCTTTACGATTACATTTGCATCATTCTCTTCTGATACAGAGCTTCTCTGTTCTCCACCTCAAGTCCAGATGTCAGAAAATATGGTCTTTGGATGCATCGCAGTTCCCCAATGGAAACAATTCCCAGACAAGTGACTTTTGTCACTTGTTGTTTGCCCTGTTGCGGTCTTTTGCCTAATTTTGGTCCAATTAATTTTGGCAAGTAAGGGAGAATCTCACATATCAATTTATAATTATAAATGTTCCTGCTTTATCCATATAGATGGAGGGGAGAAATGAAAGACGTGCCCAGAAGGGAAGGGCCAAAGTGCAGATCTAACAAGGGCCCATTATATGTAATAAGAATTCCTTTCTAGCCACCATTTACAAAAAAGTCACCGTACGTACTGAGAATGTAGCATGGAATGAAAATTCCAAAGGAGCAATGGCTTAAATCCATATCGTTCTAATCAACTGTGTTTAAAACAAATACAAAACTGTGTGGAATCAACAGTTCAGAGCCCGTATGGCAATGCCTGCTTGTTGAGAATCCATAATTCCATCTTCCTGATGGTTGTTTATTTTTAGCAAAAAGGTCCGAGAAGCTTGCTGGACTCACCATACCATCAATATCTCAGCCAGCAGGAAAGACACAGGGAACATAGAAAGGCTTGCACCAAACTGAGCAGAAATTTACATTCATGACAAGTGCCTACATCTTTTGCGAAAATGTTGATTGTCTGGTCAAACCTAGCTGCAAGGCAGGTTGGGAAATTTAGTTTTAATTCTGAACATAGTCCCAACTAAAACTGTGTGCGTTAGGAAGGTACAGTCATTATTAGCACAGATCTGAAGATGGTATATTGGGGAAGCCCAGACATTTCTAAATTAATGGTTCCTCCCAAAATAGATATACTGTATTCAGTTTTACATAGATCTTCTTTTTCTGAACATCTTTATGTAAATATCTTGGACATCTTTTTATGAAGGTATTATTTGGATATAATGCATCTAATGGAAAAATGCTATACCCCTGAACTAGAGGTCAATAAACTTCTTCTGCAAAGGGCTAGATAGCAAATATTTTAGAGTTTGTGAGGCAGAGGGGCTATCTTGCACCTGCTTAACTCTGCTCTTGTAGCACAGAAGAAACCATGAACAATAAGTGAATGGATAGGTATGGCTACATCCCACTAAAACTTTAGTTTGTTGACCCTGCCCTACACAATATCATCTATCCCTCTCTTACCTATAATCTGACCAGTCAGTTAGCAGTGTCGGAAGAGCAGAGTATGTGCAGAATAATGAAAACGTAGAAACAACCTAAGCAACAGATTTTCCCACAGATCCGTAGTTGAAGTACCAGCCAAGCATTATCACTCAATGCCCTTGGAGAAAAAAAAAAAAATGACATTAAAGTGGCCTAAGCGGCTTGTAACAATTTATCAGCTTTGGATTGCAAAACTTATATGTTCTGTAACTGCATTACTATGTTGCTTGTACTAATTTAACTCTATTTTTTTAAGGAAAATCTGTAAAACTCATATGTTCTGTAGCTGCATTATTAAGTTGCTTGTACTAATTTCACTCTATTATTTTTTAGGAAAATCAGCCATCTTCCAACAATGGCAACCAAAACAACAAACACCCCCTCCAAAAAAAAATCCTATACTATTTGTTTTATCTTAAGCCTTTTTCAGTGCATGTTAAGAGATTGATTAAAAAGTCTCATAAAAGACTTCATAGCTTATACACAAGTAGTCTTCTCCTTCATGGCTCAGCATGACCTTTCCTCAATACTGATTGACAAGGTAAGTGTTCCAAGGTGGATTTATTATAGCAAATGCCAATTGTAAAATGGTATTATTATGTAGAATGCGAGCTGTTTGGAGTTGGAGTGAGTAATTTTGCTCAAACAGCATGCTCGAGGCAGGTTGACAATAGATTTAACATGAGAAAAGCTGACTGTCCAGGAGGATTATGAAAATGCTTTTTGTTTTCTATATATGAACTCAATGCTGCAATACATTATTTACAAATTACTATTTTATTATCTAGAAAGGCTTGTGGGTAAATGGTTGCTGACCAAAGTTTGAGTTGAATGCCTTGTTTTGTCCATTATTCCTCTGAATTATGTGAACCTTATTTTATTTGTGAGGTTAAAAATGTACTTATGAAAATAAAAATCTCTGGACAACACTAAAAATCCAAATTCAAAGACTATATTATTTGTTCCATGAGGATGAACAAACAGGCTTCTGGTTTCTTATAATCTGAATATGCATTTTATGTATTACCTCAGATTCTTAAAAGTATATTTACTGGTAACTGCGCAGCATAGATACTTCGGATTTCTTGACATTCTTTTTCAGTCTCTTGTCTGTAATAAAAACTGTAATGTACAAACTCAGGGACATACCCAGCTACGTGTTTATCAAAAATTGGTTTTCACATGAAATTTTCACTGGATATCACTGTGTATATATACTTTTAGTTGGTGAATGAAGCAGATCAAATCAGACTTAAAGTATTTTTTCAGACCAAAGTATGCTGGATGCTATTTCTTAAACAAAACACAAGTAGTTTTGTACCAATAGTAGCAGAAAAATGAGATAAATTAATAGTCTAATATACTTAAATAGAACATCATCATAAGTGATCTGGGGTTTCTATTTTTTGCAATTAAATTTCATAAGAATTACATGTATTGGCATATATCCAATATTGTTCTTCAGAATTAGAGTAAATTAATAAACTTGTAATGGAAATCAGCTTAATTTACTAGATCAATAGAGATAAAAAGGTACTTATAAATAATTATTTTAAAACGCACAGTATAAATAACGTTTTTGCTTGACAATTGGATATTGCATATACAAGCTTCCCTCAATGTTGACTGACATTTAACTATTCTAAAGTGAATTTAGTATAGTAACTTGAAATTTTAATATCTACAGTAGACTTTTCTAGGGCAAACCTTTTGAATAAACACTTCACAAAAAAGTTATATGAATGGTCAAGCATTTGAAAAAATATTTGGCTTCAAGAGTTATCGGAAAAATGCAAATTCAAATCACAATGAAATGCCGCTCACTGCACACTCATCAGAGTGGCTGAAAGTGAAAAGATTGATAACATCAAGTATTGTTAAGGATGTGAAACAACTGGAAATTTCCCATATGTTTTGGGTGAAAATGTGAAATAATATAGTCACTTTAGAGAAAAATCTGGCAGTTTTGTGTGAAACTAAATGTATACCTACACTGTGGACCACCAATTCAACTAAGTATTTTCTCAAGATAAGTGAAAATATATGTTGACAAAGAGAATGCTTATAGTAGATATATATACACATATATAGTAGATATATATATAGTAGATGCTTATGTTAACAGGAATGCTTATAGTATATGTGTTCATAATAACCCCAAAATGGGAACAACCCAGATGTCCACCCATAGGAAAATGAGTAAAGAAATTGTGGTTTATATTTACAATGGAACATGTCTTAGCAATAGAAAGTAAGTTATAATACACCCAGTGAATCTCAAAGCCTTACTCATGAATCTGAAAAATATCGTGCTGAGTGAATGAAGCCTCTGCAAGAGAGTACATAATGTCTGATTCGATTTATATGAAATCCAACTTATATTAAATTACAGGATAGAAAAAATAATCTGTGATAAAAATGGTGTTTGATTCTGGGGGTGGTTGTTTTGACAAATACATATTCCTGATAACCCAAACCCTATCAAAATGTACACATATGATGACCTCATTATCACCGTAGAAATGAGTGGATGGATACCATCATATGGAATAGTGATTTTGAAATAGTGTACAATATGTCATTGATTTCTTAATCTACATAATGCCAAAATAAGTAGTATATTTACAATATCATAGACCCTTTAAGCATAATAGTTTGGGAACAAAAACAACTGAGCACATAATTTAAACACAGGGATAGGATGCTGAGAAGTGTGCCGTATTCCGAAAATTAGTTTACTAACCCAGCATTTATTATGCCTTGAGTAAAAGTCAGAATGTTTTACAAATGATATTAAGAGAATCAGTCAGTTAATCCAGAGTAAGTGACAGCATGGTTAAAGTAGATTTACTGCTTTTTTGAGCTTGCTCTATTTTCTTGGCCCTAAGAGATTGTTACAAACAAATGTTCACATTTCCTAATACTGTAACACTTCATAATATGTATTTTTCTAATCCAAGTATATTTGTAACTCATAATTCCTAAAATAAAATGTTATAATTAGAGTGGATACTTAAAACCATTTAGTGATTTTAATAGCCATGCAGTCAATGGTTTTCTAGCAGTACATATCTTTTGAGTGATTTGCAAATAGGTGGGGAACAAATACATGTAGTTTACAAACATGAGGGGGCAAATACAAATATGTGTTTCCTGTCACAATGTCTGGGGGGTGGCACTGCTATTACTGGGTGGATTCAGAGATTCTAAATACCGTATAATCTTCACATCTGTCTTGCATGGCAAAGCACCCTTCCACCCAAAATGCTAATAGTGCTTCTTGAGAAACATTAACACTGACTCTGCCTCATCTAACTTACCTCTAAATATCAGCTTTTTTAGCCACTGCAAGGCTAAGACTTGGATCTCCTCTCTTCTCCACTTACACTCACTCCCTGGGTTATTCAATTGATCTCATGGCTTAAATGCCATCTAAATGTTGATGATTCCTAAATTCATATCTTCAGTCTAGAAACCTCTTAGAAATGAGCCTATATGATTGAACTGCCTAATGGGTATCTCCCACTGGATGCAAAGAAGCATTTCAAAATTAATATGTCCAAAATAAACTCCAAATCCCTCAATGCCCACATCTGCTCCTTCCCAAGTGTTCACCAACCTCATAACTGGTATCTCCATTGGCCAAGTTATCAGACCCAAGATTTGAAGTCATCCTAGAATCTTGCCTTTGTTCTGCAAACCACAACCAATTAATCAGCTAATTCTATTGACCCTTGGCCTTCAAAAATATATCCTGAATCCAGCCACTTCTCACCTCCACCACTCCTACCACCCTGGTAGACTTGGACAACTACATAGGCATGTCACTGAGATTCCTACTTCCACAACCAAAATTACACTTTAAAATAAAATCTAAGGCTGGGCGCGGTGGCTCGCACCTGTAATCCCAGCACTTTGGGAGGCCGAGGCGGGTGGATTACTTGAGGTCAGGAGTTGAAGACCATCCTGGCCAACATGGTGAAACCCCATCTCTACTAAAAATACAAAAATTAGCCAGGTGTGGTGGCACATGCCTGTAGTCCCAGCTACTCAGGAGGCCGAGGCAGGAGAATTGCTTGAACCTGGCAGTGAGCCAAGATGGCACCACTGAACTCCAGCCTGGGTGACAGAGTGAGATTCTGCTTCAAAAAAGAAAAACAACAACGACAAAAATCTACTCACATCACTTCCCTACTGTAAATCCTTCAATGGATTTCCATTATCTGAAGAACAAAATCTAGCCTCCTTATCACAGCCTGCAAGGCTGTGGGTGCCTGATCCCTGGATGCCTATGGAACCCCATCTTTTGTCAACATTTTCCTTGCTCACTGCCTCCCAGACACAGTGACCTCCCTGCTCCTCCATGAACCTCCTCAAATCCATTCCTGCCTCAGGGTATTGATGTGTTCTGTGTCTGTGTTGCTCTTTTGATTCTGGTCTCATTGTAAAGGTTTTCATTATCATCATATTTAAAATAGCCATCTCCGCAAGTCCATACTCTCCCTCCTTATCCCGTTTCATTTCCCTTTGTAGAACTTACCACTATTTGACATATTATTTATTCAGTTTTCATTTTGCTTATTTGCTTGTTTTTAATCTCACCACCAGAATCAAAGTTTATAAGAGCTAGAAACTGGAAGAAGAAATATAATAGTTCTTAGTACTTAATCAACGTTCTGGTATTTGTTGACTCTGTGAATTAATAAGTAAGTATAGTTATACCCCTAAATTTTTCCTATTGGAATCCTTTAAGAAGACTTAAAATACAGATTTTCAGCTCCGAAGCCTAAAATAAAGAGCTTACCTCAATGCATGTCTTGGGTCTAGTATTTAGGCAGGGTTTGAAACCACTAACGTAGTGTAATACCCTATTTGACACAGCAACCACATCTGAGTATTCAGATAAATAACCATATAGAAGCTGATATGTCTACAGTATTCTATCTTCCTATAACTGTATCTGTTAATTTGTTCATCCCATGATAACAAATGGTTTTAATTCTTGACTACTAGATACTGGAATATTTGTTCTGCTATTTAGATTATGTTAACACATTGCCTTTTGATAAGTTCTTTCTCTTTTCCTATCATAGGTAATTCATTGTGTGGATATTCTATTACTCTGTATGCATCTTCCTATCTGATATTGCTGAAGCGAATTCCTCCACCTTTATGTATTTGTTTCTTGCTCTGAGAAAGGTTCAGTAAGGCAACAGTCAAAGAAGAAAAGAAATAATCTTTCTCCAAGTGAAATCCTCTCCTTCTAGCCAAAGTGTCATTGCTCCCTTTCCAGGAATTGAAATACAGTCTGTGTAAAAGGGGGCTTTGTCAACAAGCTGCATACCTGGCATATTTTTAAGCATCTTGAGAAGAAGGTAATGGAGAAATACATCAGCTCAATCCTCTCCCAGGCTGTCCAGCATAGATCGCTGCAGAATTGGTCATTAGTAAATATGCAAAATTTTCAAACAGTTAAAGAAGGTTTGGCTGCTTTGAAAAACTCAAATTTCATGTTCAATATTTTCTGAAAGCCTTGAGTAGTAACGTTTACTTGATCAGATATGTTCTCATTGCAAAGAAAAATGACAGGATTGGAAGGATTAGAACAGCACTGCAATGACTTGTGAGATTCTCAACTTGGCATTTCATTATTTAGATGCGGTTGCCTAGGACAGAAGAGACCCTCCTCTCTATGAGATTACTGTTGAGGTGAAATCTACCACAACATGGCTACCATAAGATGATTAACATTCAGAAAGCATACAGGTAGTATGTTCAGATTTAGCAAATTAAAATTTAGAATGAATTGTTAAATTAGAATTTCAGTTAGCTTTTTTTTTAGTATAAGCATATTCCATGCAGTATTTTAGATATATTTATACTAAAAATATTTTTTGTTTATCTGGAATTCAAATATAACTGGGTGTTCTGTATTTTATCAGGAAACCCTACTTCTAAGCAAGAAAAGTGATACTGATTCTATTGTGAGATAATGTTTTAAACTCCTGAAAAAAACTGTAGTCAAAACACAGGCAGAGTCAGGGCTCAGGTGAAGTGACGAGTCACCTAGGACACACAATTTAAGGAGTCTGTCGCTCGTGGTTGCCCAATTGCAGGTCACTCCTTGCATAGCCCTGTAAGTAAATACCTCTTTAAAGTTTGCATTTTAGGCACATCTCTTGCCTCACTCTGTTCCAGGTTTGGACACAAGTTTGTAAATCTTTTTTTGTTCTCTTTTTCATACTCAAAGATAGAGGTAAAGCTGAGTGAAATATAACTTTATTCCAATTCTTATTGGGAAAGCTTTGATTTCATTCTAATGTTCACTTATGGATAGAATTTGTTATCATAGAAATGATAACAACCCCCCTTGTTATCATAGGGATGAGAGAAGGGAAACATGCATTCAATTATTTAACAAAATATTTTTGAAAATCCATAAAATATTACACATTCAGTTCAGAACTGAGAGAATATAGCAACAAATGAGCACAGAAGAGCTCCACATCCATGCAGCTTATAGTCTAATGGAGAAGATAACCAAACCAATGAAATGAAAAGGAGTAATATGGTAGAGTATGATGCAATAAGATGGTAGGAGTAGGGGTGAAATTTGACCTGTGTCATAAACGTCTCAAGAAAGAAACATTCAGGTTCCAAAATTAAAATGAGACTAAAGCCAATGGGAAGGGGGAAAGTTTTGTGATTTTAAGGATGAGGAGGACATTTGGGCAGCTGCAGCAAATTAGCAAGGGGACAAAAGTATGAGATGAGATTAGATAGGTCCACCAGACCAAGATACAATTCACATATTCCCAGACTTTACATAAAATGTAAAAAAGTAGCTACTGTGGAATGTTAGGCAGGGAAGTTGGGGAAAAAATGAGAGTCAAAATACCAGGAGATAAAAATTTCCATTATTTGGCTCCCATTTCAAACTTGGCTAATATTCCTCATACAGTCCTTCAGTTGAGGTCTGAAGTCCTGCGAGAAATTTCACCTAAAAAAGAAATGTCCTGGGTGGGTACAGTGGCTCATGCCTGTATTCCCAGCATTTTGAAAGGCTGAGGTGGGAGAATTGCTTGAGGCCAGGAGTTTGGGACCAGCCTGGGTAACATAGCCAGACCCTGTCTCTACAGAAATAAAAATATTAGCCAGGTATCGTGGTACATGCCAATAGTCCTAGCTACTTGAGAGGCTGAGGTGGGCGGATCCCTTGATCCCAGGAGTTGGAGGCCGTGGTGAGCCATGATGGTGCCACTGCACTCCAGTCTGGGTGACCAAATGAGACCCTGTTTCCCAAAAGAAGTTTCTCATGAAAAAAGCTTTAATTCTGGCTTATTTCATTTAACTTTTGACTCAATTTCCCATGGCTGTGCGTCACTCATTTATTAAGAAAGGAAAAAGCCAACCCTGAGAACAAAAAAATAAAATAAAGTATGTATGCCCACATTATCTTCTCTTGCTTCCACTGCAAACTATTGCACTCAGGTGCCTATCATAGACATAACTTTCGGTTTTAAGGAAACAGAAATAAGATATGAAGTACTGGATGAAAAGAAAATTTGTGCTTAAGTTATAAGGTGAATAACAATTCCAGGCTAGATAATTTCTAATTTCTTTCCCACATGAGATGTTGTAAAGGAGGTTTGGGACTTTCTCTTTATCATGGTTGCATAAGCTCTAGCTTTAGTGGCTTCCAAAGCACTCTCTAGGAACATGTCTCAAAGGCATAGTTTCACTGGAAAATTATTATGGAGAAATGAAGAAAACACCCTAACAAGATACAGAAATGACAGAAAATAAAGATTGAGTTCCTAATGACATAGTTGAGAGAGAATGAAGGAGAAGAAAGAGGAAGAAGAATGATGAACTTTGGCCAGTTATGAATGAAAACTCAACTCTTTGAAAATATGCAATTCCTTGATATTGTCAGTATAGCAAGTGATATAGTTTGGCTGTGTCTCTACCCAAATCTTATCTCGAATTGTAATAATCCCCATATGTCAAGAAAAGGACTAGGTAGAGATAACTGAATCATGGGAATGGTTTGTCCCATGCTGTTCTCACGATAGTGTGTTCTCACGAGATCTGATGGTTTTATAAGGGGCTTCCCCCTTTACTTGGCTGTCATTCTCTCTCCTGCTGCCCTATGAAGAGGTGCTTTCCTCCATGATTCTAAGTTTCCTGAGGCCTCCCCAACCATGCAGAACTGTGAGTCAATTAAACCTCTCTTCTTTATAAATTACCCAGTCTCAGGTATGTCCTTATTAGCAGCGTGAGACCAGATCAATATAGCAACCCACATTGAACCAGTAAGGAATACATAAAAGTGAAAGTATTAGCATGAGAATAACAGTTTATAGGCAAATACTTTCTTATGTGTATAGTATGATAAATAATATTAACATTTTGGGGAAAAAATACCTTTAAAAATAAAAATAACAATATGGACAAAAAACAGTTTGAAAGATGTTTTTGCTGTAATGAGTTCAATTTTGTCCCCCTCCCATCCCCCCAAATATATGTGAAGTCCAAAGCCCTGGAAACTGTGAGCTTATTTGGAAATAGGGTCATTGCACGTGTTATTAGTTAAGATGAAGCCATGCTGGAATAGGATAGGCTCTTAATCCAATAAAACTGGTATCCTTAGAAGAAGAGACACAGACACAGATGCTTAGAGAACACTGGAAAGAGAGGCAGAGATTAGAGTTATACAGCTGCAAACCCAGGGACACCAATGATTGCTGGCAACTGCCAGAAACTGGAAGAGGTAAGAAAATATCTTCATCTACAACATTCAGCAAGAATGTGACCCTGCTAACACTTTCATTTCAGACTTCTGGACCCCCAGAACTGTGAAAAAATAAAGTTATGTTGTTTTAAGCTAGCCAGTTTGTGGTATTTTACTATTGTAGTCCTAGGAAACTAATACAACTTGCTTTGCTGACTTTCTCTGGTCATCAAGCCAAGACTGTGGTATTTTCTTATTTTTTTTTTTTTTTTGACAGCAATGAGTTAAGAAGGAAGGAGGCTCCATGACGTCTGTGCATTTATGAGCACTAGAATAAGCTCTGTTAAGGACACAGGTGAAGCTTGGTCAAGAGAAACCTAAGTTTCTACCAGCTGCTATTTCTATTTGCTCTGGCACTGAGTCTTCTCCTTGAGACACTAAAATAAGAAAAAAAAAACTATTTAACTATGAAATAAACAGCAGTTAAAAAGAAAAACATACGAATTAATCAGTTCCACCTTGGTGAAAGCATTGGAATAAGTTTGGCAAGAGTTTATTCCAATGGTGCAACTGTGGTGGTATGCATTTAGTTGAATACTAAGAATTCAACTAAAAGACATTGAGTTGCATTAGTATCTACTAATTTACTAAAAGACATTCAGTTGCATTAGTATCTACTAATTTACTAAAAGACATTGAGTTGCACTGGTAGTGTGCCACAAAATGCATACTACTGTGTTTGCAATGGGTTGAATTGTGTCCCCAAAAAGATATGTTGAGCCTGTCTGCTCAAGAGATTCTCAAGAACTTTTCTTAGCTCATCTAAATATGAATCAGTAAACTCATGTTTTGCAGACTTACAATGTCGCCTTCATTCTACCTAGGGACTTTCAACTGGCAGATAGTGAATTTCCTTCTCTGGATAGCCAGTGTGAATTAGCTGGGAATATTGGCTATTTTACAAGTTCACCACTGAAACTGCTCTCTGGCCTTGCTACAACCAAGGACTCTGAGCCCACCTCAAGGAGTTAGGAAAATAGAATAAAATAAAAGCAAGGGAAGCTTGCAAACTAGGCACTAATGATTTTTATTGATGTTAATTCTAGTGATATGTAATATTTGAAGGACTGGGTTATTAAACATCAAACAGCAAATGCTGTTAAAAAAGTGCTTTGTAAATAACTTAATGTCTTCTAAGTAGATTTTGATGGTTCCCCAGATATCAATTTTATATATTTGGTCCCACACATTAACTTTCTAAACACTCAGTAACATTCTACTTTAAGATTTTTATGGGATATTTTTTCACCAGAATAATCATTTTGTTTATGATGTTTAAAAGTTTCAAAATCCTGAAATCATTTTGAGAATGTCATCTTATCATCAAATGGATGATACTGGATGGTATTGGAAGCTTAAACTACACAGAAAATAACTTTAATTATATTATTAATCATTAGTAGATACTGAAGGAATTGTAGAAATTCAAAGCAAAAATGTAGCACAGGTTATGTATAAGTTAAAATATGAGGCGTACTATCAGTCAAGTCTCTGGTCCACGACATTACTTCCATTTCTAGATTACACGGGGTAACAAGGACTAAGCTTAACTTCTTGCTAGAAAACTAGACAAAATATATAAAACTGTTTAAAGACAATGGAAGAAATGTCTATTCAAATTCTTTCCCCATTATTTAGTTGCTGTTGTTTGCTATTGCATAGTGTAAGTTCCTTATGTATTTTGGATATTAATTCCCTATCAGATATATGTTTGAAAAATTTAATTCCATTCCACAGTTTTCCTGTTTATCCTGTTTGTTTTCTTTACCACGAAGGGTCATTTTAGTTTGATGTAATTTTATCTGTCCAGTTTTACTTTTGTTGCTTGTGTGTTTGTCATATACAATCAAAAATTTCCAAGACCAATGTCATGGAGCTTTTCCCTTAGTTTTCCTCTAAGGTTTCTATAGTTTCAAGTCTTTTGTTTAACTTGTAAATTCACTTTGAATTTACTTCTATGTATGGTGTAAGATAAGGGTCCAATTTTATTCTTTTGCACACAGACAGCCGGTTCTTCCAAGACCATTTATTGAAGAGATTATTCTTATCCCATTGTGTATTCTTGGCCCCTTTTTTGAAGATCAGTTGAATATGTATGTGTGGGTTTAGTTCTGAGATCTCTATTCTGTCACTTTTGTTTATATGTCTGTTTTTATGCCAATATCATACTGATTTAATCTTGGAGCTTTGTAATGTATTTTGAAATCTGACTTTGTTCTACCTTAAGGTTTATTTGGCTATTTGGGGCTTTTGTAGTTATAAATAAATTTTAAAATTGCTTCTATGTATCTGTAAAAAATGCAGTTAGAATTTTCATAGGTATAGCATTGAATTTGTAGACTGCTTTGGGTAGTATCAATAATTTAACAATACGAACATACAATGTTTTCCATTTATTTGTGCCTTCTTCGATTTCTTTTTATTACTAATTTGTGGTTTTCATTGCACAAGGCTTTCATCTTCTTGGTTAGGTTTACTCCTATGTATTTTATTATTTTTGAAGCTGTTGTGATAACTCAGTAGCAAAAAAAAAAATAGTATCCTTATTTAAAAAGGGGGAAATGACTTGAATAGGCATTTCTCCAAAGAATATATACAAATGGCCAACAATTATTTAAAAATGCTCAACATCACCACTCATCAGAGAAATACAAGTCAGAAGCAGAAAGAGATACCTCACACCTATTAAGATGTCTGCTATTAAAAAAAATAGCAAACTTTCCCAAGGATGTGGAGAAATTAGAACCCTTGTACACTATTGATGGGAATGTAAAATGTTGCCAACCACTATGGAAAACAGTATGAGGGTTCCATGAAAAATTAAAAATAGAATTACCACAAGATCCAGCAATTGCACTTCTGGATACGTATTCAAAGGAATTGAAAAGGGATCTCAAAGAGATATCTGCACTCTCATGTTTATGATAGTATTATTCACAATAGCCACAGTATGGAAATACCTGAAATGCCCATTGACAGATGAATGGATAAAGTATGGCATATACATATAACTCAGAAATCTACATAGGAATCCTCTTAAGTTGTAGGTTATTAGGTAATATATACAAACAATGAAATTCCACAATGCTGAGAAATGAACAACTCAAAAATTGTAAACCAAACCATTTCTAGAGCTAACATATGGTAGAGAGACATTTCAGCACTGAGGAGCCAGAATGGAGAGTTCTCAGGAAACACCTGGGACATTCAGTGGAGAACCAGTGGGATTATGCCTTAGTATGGTCAAACTGTCCTTGGAGTGATGGCCACAGAAGATCTGCTATAGCAAAGCTTAAAGAAAGTACTTAAAGGGACAAGATAGGACAACTAGTATTTTAACTATCTACTTAACAAGCTCAACATGCTTTAATTTATTTTAATTCATTTTTTAAAAAAAATTTACTTTAAGTTCTGGGATACGTGTACAGAACATGCAGGTTTGTTACATACGTAAACGTGTGCCATGGTGGTTTGCTGCACCTATTGACCCATCCTCTAAGTTCCCTCCCCTAGGCACCCACTCCCCAACAGGCCCCAGTGTGTGATGCTCCCCTCCCTGTGTCCATGTGTTCTCATTGTTCAACTCCCACTTATGAGTGAGAACATGTAGTGTTTGGTTTTGTGTTCCTGTGTTAGTTTGCTGAGGGTGATGGCTTCCAGCTTCATCCATGTCCCTTCAATGGACATGATCTCATTCCTTTTCATGGCTGCATAGTATTCCATGGTGTATATGTGTCATATTTTCTTTATCCAATCTGTTACTGATGGGCATTTGGGTTGGTTCCATGTCTTTGCTATTGTAAATAGTGCTGTAATAAACATATGTGTGCATGTATCTTTATAGTGTAATGATTTATAATCCTTAAGATATATACCCAGGAATGGGATTGCTGGGTCATGTGTTATTTCTGGTTCTAGATCCTTGAGGAATCACCACACAGTTTTCCACAATGGGTCAACTAATTTACATTGCCATCAACAGTGTAAAAGCGTTCCTATTTCTCCACAGCCTCACCAGCATCTAATTTTTCTCAACTTTCAATAATCGCTATTCTGACTGGCATGAGATGGTATCTCATTGTGGTTTTGATTTGCATTTCTCTAATGATCAGTGATGTTGAGCTTTTCTTCATATGGTTTTTGGCCATGTAAATGTCTTCTGTTGAGACGTGTCTGTTCATTTCCTTTGGCCGCTTTTTGATGGGGTTGTTTGATTTTTTTTCTTGTAAATTTGTTTAAGTTCCTGGTAGATTCTGGGTATTAGACCTTTGTCAGATAGGTAGATTGCAAAAAATTTCTCCCATTCTGTAGGTTGCCTGTTCACTCTGATGATAGTTTCTTTTGCTGTGCAGAAGCTCTTTAGTTTAGTTAGATCCCATTTGTCAATTTTGGCTTTTGTTGCAATTGCTTTTGGCATTTTTGTCATGAAGTCTTTGTCCATGCCTATGACCTGAGTGATATTGCCTAGGTTTTCTTCTAGAGTTTTTATGGTTTTAGGTTTTACATTTACATCTTTAATCCATCTTAAGTTAATTTTTGAATAAGGTGTAAGGAAGGGGTCCAGTTACGGTTTTCTGCATATAGGTAGTCAGTTTTCCTAGCACCATTTATTGAATAGGAAATCCCTTCCCCATTGATTGTTTTTGTCAGGTTTGTCGAAGATGGTTATAGATGTGTGGTGTTATTTCTGAGGTCTCTGTTCTGTTCCATTGGTGTACATATTTGTTTTGGTACCAGTACTATGCTGTTTTGCTTACTGTAGCCTTGTAGTATAGTTCGAAGTCAGGTTGCATGATGCTTCCAGCTTTGTTCTTTTTGCTTAGGATTGTGTTGACTATAGGGGGTCTTCTCTGGTTCCATATGAAATTTAAAGTAGTTTTTTCTAATTCTGTGAAGAATTCAATGGTAGTTTGAATAGCATTGAATCTGTAGATTACTCTGGGCAGTATGGCCATTTTCACGATATTGATTCTTCCTATCCATGAGGATGGAATGTATGTTCCATTTGTTTATTGTCCTCTCTTATTTCCTTGAGCAGTGGTTTGTAGTTCTCCTTAAAGAAGTCCTTCACGTCCCTCGTAAGTTGCATTCCTAGGTATTATATTCTCTTTGTAGCAATTGTGAATGGGAGTCATTCATAATTTGGCTCTCTGCTTGTTTATTGTTGGTGTAAAGGAATGCTTGTGATTTTTGCACATTGATTTTGTGTCCTGAGACTTTGCTGAAATTGCTTATCAGCTTAAGGAGTTTTTGGGCTGAGATGATGAGGTTTTCTAAATAAGGAAATATGTCATCTTCAAACAGAGACAACTTGAATTTCTCTCTTCATATTTGAATACGCTTTATTTCTTTCTCTTGTCTAATTGCCCTGGCCAGACCTCCCAATACTATGTTTAATAGGAGTGGTGAGAGAGGACATCCTTGTCTTGTACTGGTTTTCAAAGGGAATGCTTCCAGCTTTTGCCCATCCAATATGATATTGGCTGTTGGTTTGTCATAAATAGCTCTTATTATTTTGAGATATGTTTAATCAATGCCTAGTTTATTGAGAGTCTTTAACATGAAAGGATGTTGAATTTTATCGAAGGCCTTTTCTGCACCTATTGAGATAATCATGTGGTTTTTGTCTTTGGTTCTGTTTATGTGGTAGATTACATTTATTGATTTGCCTATGTCAAACCAGCCTTGCATCCCAGCGATGAAGCCAACTTGATCATGGTGGATAAGTTTTTCGATGTGCTGCTGGATTCAGTTTGCCAGTATTTTACTGAGGATTTTTGCATCAATTTTCACCAGGAATATAGGCCTGAAGTTTTTTTTCTTGTGTCTCTGCCAGGTTTTGGTATCAGGATAATGCTGGATGAGACGAGTTGCAGGATAATGCAGAATAAGATGAGTTATGGAGGAGTCCCTCCTTTACAACTGTTTGGAATAGTTTCAGAAAGAATGGTACTAGCTCCTCTTTGCACCTCTGGTAGAATTCGGCTGTGAATCCATCTGGCCCTGGGTTTTCTTTGTTGGTAGTCTATTAATTACTGCCTCAATTTCAGAACTTGTTATTGGTCTTTTCAGGGACTCAGCTTCTCCCTGGTTTAGTCTTGGGAGGGTGTATGTGTTCAGGAATTTATCCATTTCTTCTAGACATATTTGCACAGAGGTGTTTATAGTATTCTATGATGGTAGTTTGTATATCTGTGGGGTCAGTGGTGATATCCCCATTGTCACTTTTTATTGTGTCTATTTGATTCTTTTCTCTTTCATTAGTCTAGCTAGTAGCCTACTTATTTTCTTAATTTTTTCTAAAAAACAGCTCCTGGATTCATTGATTTTTTGGGAAGAGGGTGTTTATTTCTGTATTTCCTTGAATTTTTCTCTGACCTTATTTATTGTCTTCTGCTAGCTCTTGGATTAGTTTGCCCTTGTTTATCTAGCTCTTTTAATAATGATGTTAGGGTGTCGATTTGCGCTCTTTCTAGCTTTCTGATGTAGGCATTTATTGTTATAAATTTCCCACAGCTTTCTCTGTGTCCCAGAGACTCTGGTACATTGTTTCCTTGTTCTCATTGGTTTCAAATAACTTCTTGATTTCTGCCTTAATTTCATTATTTACTCAGGAGTCATTCAGGAGCAGTTTGTTCAATTTCCATGTAATTGTGTGGTTTTGAGTGAGTTTCTTAATCCTCGGTTCTAATTGGATTGTACTGTAGTCTGAGAGACTGTTATGATTTCATTCCTTTTGCATTTGCTGAGGAGTGTTTTACTTCCAATTATGTGGTCAATTTTAGAATAAGTGTCATATGGCATGGAGAAGAATGTATATTCTGTTGATTTGGGGTAAAGAGTTCTGCATATATCTATTAGGTCCACTTGATCTAGAGCTCAGCTCAACTACTGAATATCCTTGTTAATTTTCTGTCTTGTTGATCTGTCTAATATTGACAGTGGGGTGTTAAAGTCTCCCACTATTATTGTGTTGGAGTCTAAGTCTCTTTTTATGTCTCTAAGAACTTGTTTTATGAATCTGGGTGCTCCTGTATTGGGTGCATGTATATTTAGGATAGTTAGCTCTTCTTGTTGAATTGATCCCTTTGCCATTATGTAATGCCCTTCTTTGTCCTTTTTGATCTTTGTTTGTTTAAAATCTGTTTTGTCAGAGACTATAATTGCAACCCCTGCTTTTTTTTTTTCTTTCCATTTGCTTGGTAAATTTTCTTCCATTTCTTTATGTTGTGTGTGTCTTTGCATGAGAGGTGGGTTTCCTGAATACAGTACACCTATGGGTCTTGACTCTATCCAATTTGCCAGTCTGTGTCTTTTAATTGGGATGTTTAGCCCACTCACATTTAAGGTTAGTATTCTTATGTGTGAATTTGATCCTGTCCTCATGGTGCTATCTGGTTATTTTGCACACTAATTGATGTAGTTTCTTTGTAGTGTTATTGGTCTTTATATTTTGGTGTGTTTCTGTAGTGGCTGGTACCGGTGTTTCCTTTCCATAGTTAGTGCTTCCTTCAGGAGCTCTTGCAAGGCAGGCCTGGTGGTCATGAAATCTCTCAGCATTTGCTTTTCTGGAAAGGATTTTATTTCTCCTTTGCTTATGAAGCTCAGTTTGTCTGGACATAAAATTCTGGGTTGAAAAATTATTTTCTTTAAGAATGTTGAATATTAGCCTCCACTCTCTTCTGGCTTGTAGGGTTTCTGCTGAAAAGTCTGCTGTTAGTCTGATGAGCTTTCCTTTGTAGGTAATCTGGCCTTTTTCTCTGGCTGCCCTTAACATTTTTTCTTTCATTTCGGCCTTGGAGAATCTGATGATTATATGTCTTGGGGTTGATCTTCTCATGGAATATCTTAGTGGTGTTCTCTGTATTTCCTGAATTTGTATATTGGCCTTTTTATCTGGGTTGGGGAAGTTCTCCTGTATAATATCCTGAAGTATGTTTTCCAGCTTGTTTTCATTCCTCATGTCTCTTTCAGGTACTCCAATCAATCGTATGTTCAGTCTTTTCATGTAGTCCTATATTTCTCGGAGGCTTTGTTCATTCCCTTTCATTGTTTTTTCCTTAACCTCATCTAAATGCCCTATTTCAGCAAGGTAGTCTTCGAACTCTGATATCCTTTCTTTCACTTGGTCAATTTGGCTATTGATACTTTTGTATGCTTCACAGAGTTCTCATCCTGTGTTTTTCAGCTCCATCAGGTAATTTATGTTCCTCTCTAAACTGGTTATTCTAGTTAGAAGCTCCTTTAACCTTTTATCAAGGTACTTAGCTATTTTGCATTGGGTTAGAACATGCTCCTTTAGCTCGGCACAGTTTTTTGTTACTCACCTTCTGAAGCCTACTTCTGTCAATTTGTCCTTCTCATCCTCTGTCCAGTTCTGCACCCTTGTTGGAGAACCATTGCAATCATTTGGAGGAGAAGAGGCACTCTGCCCTTTGGGGTTTTCAGCATTTTATCATTGATTCTTTCTCATCATAATGAGTTTGTCTAGTTTCGATCTTTGAGGCTGCTTGACCATTGGATGAGGTTTTTGTGGGGACTTTTTGTTGTTTTTGATGCTGTTGTTGTTGCTTTCTGTTTGTTTTTCTTTCAATGGTCACGTCCCTCTTCTGTAGGGCTGCTGTGGTTTTCTGGAAATTCACTTCAGGCCCTATTCAACTGGTTCACTCCTGCACTGGAGATGTCACTCAAGGAGGCTGGAGAACAGCAAATATGGGTGCCTCTCCTTGTTCTGGGATCTCTGACCTATGGGGCACCAACCTGATGCCAGTAGGATCGCTCCTGTATAGGGTGTCTGACAATCCCTGTTGGAGAGTCAGTTGGGTGGCATGGGGAACAGGACCTGTTTAAGGAAGTACTTTGACTGTCCCTTGGTGGAGGTGGTGTGCTTTGCTGGGGGTAAACCCAGTCATCTGGGCTGCCTGGATTCCTCAGAACTGCCAGGAGGAAAGGCTAAGTCTGCTGGTCCACAGAGACTGAGGCCATCCCTCCCCCTAGGGGCGCAGGCCCAGGGAGATCAGGGTTATGTCCCTGAGCTCCTGGCTGGAGTCATTGGAATTTGTGCAGGGAGGCCTCACCCAGTGAGGAGAGATGGGTCAGGGTCAGGCCTGAAAAGGTGCTGTGGCCACAGTCCTCCACAGCTGGTATGGGCTGTGTACGCACACACAGACCCTGCTGCCACCACCCTGATTAAAAGCTTTTGCTGGCATTCTTTTCCCCCTTAAGAGTATTTTTGCCAGAAGACCAGAAACACCTCAGCCCCTCCAGCATAGCTGATGCTCAACCTTAAGGGGCCAAAGAACAAACCATGGGCCTGGCATGCAGCCCAGGAGTAGTGAGCTGAGCCTTGGCCCCTTGAAATCATCCAGAAACAAAGCCAGTTGACTGAACCCAACGTACTCCACAGTTAGACCTGCAAGGACATCAAAGCCTGTAAAAGCAAAAAGCCCCATACAAAGGACAGCAACTGCAAAGATTAAAGAAACATCAACCCACACAGATGAGACAGAATCAGTGCAAGAGCTCTGGCAACTTAAAAATTCAGAGTGTCTTCTTACCTCCAAATGATCACATTAGCTCCTGGAATAACAGACATAGAATTCTGAATCTCGATGGCAACAAAGATCATCAAGACTCAGGAGAAAGTTGAAACCCAATTTAAGGAATTGAAGGAATCCAGTAAAATGATACAAGAGCTGAAAAACAAAAATAGCCATTTTAAGAAAGGACCAAACTGATCTGAAAGAGCAAAAATACTCACTACAAGAATTTTGTAATATAAGAATTTCATAATACAATTGGAAGAATTAACTGCAGAATAGGCCACACTGAGGGAACAATCTCAGAGCTCGAAGACTGGTTCTTAAAATCAACTCAGTCAGAAAAAAAATAAGAAAAACATTATTTTTTTTAAAAAGAGAATAAAAAAGAATGGACAAAACCTCTGAGAAATAAGGGATTGTGTAAACAGACCACCTGTAACACATTGGTATCCCTGAAAGTGAGGGAGAGAGAGAAAGCAAATTTGAGAACATATTTGAGGATACTGTTCTTGAAAATTTCCTCAACCCCACTAAAGAGCTCAATATTCAAATTCAGGAAATTTAGAGAAATCACAGCGAGATACTATGCAAGACGACCCTCCCCAAGACACACACTCATCAGATTCTCCAAGTTCAGTGTGAAAGGAAAATATTAAAAGCACCTAGAGCGAAGGGGCAGGTCACCTACAAAGGAAACCCCATCAGCCTAACAGAGGACCTTTCAGCAGAAACCCTACAAGCCAGATTGGAGGCCTATAGTCAGCATCCTTAAAGAAAAGAAATTTTAACCAAAAATTTCATAGTCAGCCAAACTAAGCTTCATAAGTGAAGGGGAAATAAAATCCTTTTTAGACAAGCAAATGCTAAGGGAATTCATTACCACCAGACCTGCCTTACAAGAGGAGTGCTGAACATGGAAACAATGAACCATTACCAGACACCACAAAAACGCAGCAAAGTACTTAGACCACTGACACTCTAAAGCAGGAGTCTCCATGTTCTGGGCCATGGACTGTCGGTATCAGCCTGTGGCCTGTTAGAAACTGAGCTTCACTATTCACATTAGCAAAGACATAGAATCAACCTAAATGCCCATCAATGATAGACTGCATAAAGAAAATGTGGCACATATACACCGTGAAATACTATGCAGCCATAAAAAGAAATAAGATTGATCATGTTCTTTGCAGGGACATGGATGAAACTGGAAGCCATTATCCTTAGCAAACTAATGCAGGAACAGAAAACCAAACACCGCATGTTCTCACTTATAGGTGAGAGCTGAATGATGAGGACATATGGACACATCGGGGGGAACAACACACACTAGTGGTTGTCAGGGGGTTAGGGGAGGGAGAACATCAGGAAAAATAACTAATGGATGCTGGGCTTAATACCTAGGTGATGGGATGTTCTGTGCCACAAACCACCATGGCACACATTTACCTGTGTAACAAATGTGCACAACGTGCACATGTACATCTGAACTTAAAATAAAAGTTGAAGGGAAAAAAAGAAACCAGGCTGCACAGCAGGAGGTGAGTGGTGGGCAAGCAAATAAAGCTTCATCTGTATTTACAGCCGCTCCCCATTGCTTGCATTACTGCCTGTGTTCTGCCCCCTGACAGATCAGCAGCAGCATTAGATTCTCATAGGAGCATGAACCCCATTGTGAACGATGCATATGAGGGTTCTAAGTTGTGTGCTCCTTATAAGAATCTAGTGCCTGATGATCTGTCACTGTCTCCCAACACCTCCAGATGGGACTGTCTGATTGCAGGAAAAGAAGCTCAGGGCTCCCACTGATTCTGCATTACAGTGAGTTGTATAATTACTTCATTATATAGTACAATGTCATAATAATATAAATAAAGTTCACAATAAATGTAACGCACTTGAATCATCCCAAAACCATCCCCCACCCAAAACTATGGAAAAATTGTCTTCCACAAAACCAGTGCCTGGTGTCAAAAATATTGAGTACTGCTGCTATATAGCAACTACACAATCAAGTCTACAAAACAACTAGCTAACAACATGATGATGGGATCAAATACTAACCTTAAATGTAAGTTGGCTAAATGTCCCAGCTAAAAAGCACAGAGTGGCACGTTGGATAAAGGAACAAGACCAAACTGTATGCTGTCTTGAAGAGACCCATCTGATATGCAATGACACCGAGAGGCTCAATGTAAAGGGATGGAGAGAAATCTATCAAGCAAATGGAAAACAAAAAAGAGTAGGGGTTGTTATTCTTATTTCAGACAAAACAGACTTTAAAACAACATGATCAAAAAGGACAAAGAAGAATATTACATAAGGATAAAGGGTTCAATTCATTAAGAAGACTTAACTGTCGTAAATATATACACCCAACACTGGAGCACCCAGATTTATAAAACAAGTTCTTAAAGACCTGCAAAGAGAGATAATCACACAATAATAGTGGGAGACTTCAATGTTCCACTGCCAGTATTAGACAGATCACTGAGGCAGAAAACTAACAGATATTCAGGACCTAAAGTTGATACTTGACCGTTACCTTGGCGATGAAATATTCTGTACACCAAACTCCCGTGACACAAAATTTACCCAAGTAGCCAACCTGCACATGTAACCTCTGAACCTAAAATATAATTTCGAAAAAATAAAAAACTATAAAAGCTATTCTCAGATTTCAGAAGATAACAACTACTTTGGATATTCAAGACTTACACTCTAATGTCAACTTAAATGAAACTAGTTTTTACAGCTGTAGTTAACTTTACCTCATTCCTTGTGCTATTCCTACTCCAAGGACATCATGTAATTAAAGCTAACACTTTTAAAGCCTGTGACATGGTGACTAGTTTCCAACTTAATCTCACTCAGTCTTCATAAATACCTTATTGAATAAATATTATTTTAATTCTCATTTTACAGATAAGAAAGAAAAATTTCCAAACAGTTAAGCAAATTGACTAATGGGACAGAACAGAGACTAACAAAATGAAACCTGTATCTTTCATCTGGAGCTACTTAACTGTTTTTCTTTGCATCTGCTCCTGCTTTTTTTCCAGTGTAGTCTTCATTAAATTAGTTAGTTGTTTTTTTGTTGTTGTTGTTTTGTTTTGTTTTGTTTTTTTCTTGAGACAGGGGTCTCCCTATGTTGGCCAGGTTGGTCTTGAACTCTTGGCCTCAAGCAGTCTTCCTGCCTCAGCCTAACAAAGTGCTAGGATTACAGGCATTAGTCACCACACCTGGCCAATTAGTTAGAGTTTTTTTTTTTTTTTTTTTTTTTTTTAACGCAAGTCTGACCTTTTCCCTTACCCATTTAAAACTCTGTGGCTTTCTAGGCCTCTCATGATCCTGGCTTTCCTCGCCAACCTCATCTCAATCCACGCTTATTTTCATCCTCTGAACTTTAGATGTGCTGCCTTCTTTCATGCTCTCAAAGAAAGCTTGATCTGTTAGGCCATGAGCGCCTTTGCACATGCCATTCCCACTGAAGGGGACGTTCTTTTGTCTCCTTCCACACATGCAAGCACCCCACTTGCCTAGACCTCTCTCAATACTTCAAGTCTCAACACAAATGCTACTTCCTCAAACAGCCTTCCTGCTTCCCCAGTCTAGATAAGGTAATTCAAATTATTTTTCAAACCAAACTATACTTTTTGGTTATAATTATGTATATGTGTGTACTTTATTGTTTGATTAATATCTTTCTCTCTCCAATTAGACTATAAGCTCATGGGGACAGAGGCTATTTTATCTCTAATGTCCACCATGGTATCTTATTCATAAATATTTTTAAAATTAAGTAATAAGGAAAGGAATAGCAAAGTAGAGAAATGAAGGACAAGAAAGGAAGAAGTATGTGAGGTAAATGAAAGAATGAACTCAAGCATTTATGAAACTGATTCAAGATAATAATTTGATTTACATCAATTTTTTTTATCAGCAGTACCTTTAACATACTTCTAATATATTCCAGTTTATATAGATATTTTGAGATACCAATCTGACATATAAAATGATTTCAAATGTGTACTTAATGTCACCAAAATGAACAGAAATTACTTTTTAATTTAAAATTTCTGAATTCTGAAAGAAGCAACATCTCACCAACCAGGTCTCTTTATTTAAAAGCTGTCTGGTCTTAGAATTGAAAAAAATAGAATAGTGAGATCAGACTTTTAAAATGATTTATTTTATTTAATTTTGATGTCCTTCTGCTTTTCTAAGCTCTACAGTTTCAAGATATGACTATTACCAAATCTTTTCAGCTTTCTCTGCTCTAGATTAGCTTTGTTTATTTTGATCCACCAAAGTGATTTCCTCAGAATGCCATCACTGATGTTAATACAATCAATTGCAGAGGATAGCAGGGCATTGGGAATGGTAGGCATTTCTTATTGCCTGCATTTAGCAATCTATTATCCAAAGAGTCTGACAATTAGCGAAGCTTCCTAAATACATTAGTATGTCCCCAGCCCAAGGTAAAGTTAAATATGCAAATATTATTATGTTCCATATAATAGTTCTGCGGATATATCTATGAGACACAAATTTGAAAACTTTTAAACCATTTCGACCCAATGATTGACTTGCCTGATTTTTGTCGCAAACATGGCTGTACTAGGGGGCAAGAACTAGGTAGAGAAGATGGGGCTTTAGAGGCGCCTGAGCACATTTGACGAGCTATTTAGTGTTCCTTCTTTTGGTAAACATCCCATTCATTTCATGTTGATCCAACGAATTGAAAATACTTGTACCCGTAACCCCTTATCACAAGGGTAGACACAGAACCCTAACAAGGCCCAAAGGACATTTGTGTATTTCTGGGAAGGGATACAGAGCAGCACTGAAAAGAAATTGACCATGTGATCCCACTACTAAGGTCCTCTAATTTTACTGATCCTTTTATCTTATGAGACATGCTTTTTCAGCACTTCAGTTTTGTGACCTGTTCAATAGCTTTCTAACATATCTCTTTTATGTGGTTCCTTTTCAGGAAGGTAAAGCTAAATTAGTCAGAGCTGGATTTGGCTGCTTGGAAAAAAAAAAAAAAAAAGGAAAACTGAAACACAGACACTGAAGGAAGCCAGACATATCTGGATCAAATCTGGATTTGCTGCTTTCTAGAGGCATAATGCTGTTGCAGTCCTTGTTTCTTAATTTAGGTTTAATAATCTCTCTCTCTCTCAATGAATTTATTGAGATATAATTTACATACCACAAAACTCATCTGTTTAAAGTACATAAATGAATGTTTTACAGATTTATATCACTATAATCTAATTTAAGAATATTTTCATGCTCTAAAAAGAAATCTTGTGCCCACTAGCAGTCACACCCATCCTCCTTTTATTTCCCAACCCAGCAGCCATAGGTGACTATTCATCTACTTTCTGTTTTTACAGATCTGCCTATTCCGGACATCACATAAATAAAATCATAACATATGTGGTCTTTGTATTTTTAAGTATAACATTATGTTTTTGAGATTCATTCATGCTGTGGCATATATCAGGACTTCATTTTTATTGATAAATGGTACTCGATCGAATAACTATACTGCATTTTCTTGATCCATCAGTTGATGGACTATGGATTTTTTTCACATTTTGCTATTATGAATAATTCCACTATGTACGTTGATATATACAGTAATTGTATGGGCATATGTTTTTGTTTTTCTTGGTTAGATGTCTAGGAGTAGAATTGGTGGGTCATATGATAATCTTATGTTTCACCTGTTGAGGAATTACCAAACTGTTTTCCAAAGTGAGTGTGCCATTTTAGATTCCCACCAGAAATGTATGAGAGCTCCAATTTTTCTACATCCTAACACTTTTCACTGTCCGTCATTTTCATTACAGCCATTGTGTTGGAATTGGAGTGGTATCTCGTTGTGGTTTTGATTTGCATTCCTTAATAGCTAATGATGTTGAGCATCTTTTCTCATGCTTATGCAATTCAATATATCTTCTTTAGAGATATATCTAGGCAGATTTATTTGCTCATTTTTTTAAAAAAAATAGCTATTTGTCTTATTGAGTTAAAAGAATTTTTGATGTATTCTAGATACAGGTCCCTCATCAGTTATATGATTTGCCAACATTTTCTCCCAGTCAGTAAAATCATGTTTTGTAGTGCAAAAATATTTTAATTTCCGTGAACTCCAATTTATTTTTTTCTTTTATTGCTTTTGCTTTTAGTATAGTATCTGATAAATTTTATGAAGATGTATTCTCATGTTTTCTTCTAAGAGTTTTGTATTTTTGACTCTTACATATAGGTTTGTCATATATTTTAAATTAGTTTTTTATATATGGTATGTGGTTGGGGTCCAACTTAATTTTTTTTTTTTTTTTTTTTTTTGCATGTGGATATCCAATTGTCTGGGCACCATTTGTTGAAAAGACTCTTTTTTTTTTTTTTTTTCTCACTGAATTGTTTTGGCATCCTTGTTGAAAATCAATTAGCCATAAATGTAGGACTTTATTTCTGGACTCTCAATTTCATTCTATTGATCAACAGGCTGTCCTTAGGCTAGTATCACATGATCTTGATTATTGTTGCTTTGTAGTAAGCTTTGAAATTGAAAAGTGAAAGTCCCCCAGTCTTGTTCTTCATCAAGATTGATTTGACTATTCTGGGTCCCTATATGAATTCTAGATCTACTTGTTAATTTATGCAAAAAGGCATGGGAGATTTTGATAAGGATTGCGGTACATCTGTTGAGAATTAGGCGTGTATCGCTATCTTAAGTTTTCCTATCCGTGTACATTGAATGACGTTTCATACGTCTTATTTAATTTCTTCCAACCATGTTTTGTTCTTTTCAGTATAAAAGCCTTGTACTTCTTTTATGAAATTAATGTGTAAGTTTTTTACTCATTTTGATGCTATTGTAATTGGCTTGTTTTCTTAATTTCATTTCTGGAATGTTCATTACTAGTATACAGAAATACAATTTTTTATGTTGATCTTTGTCCTGTAACCTCACTGAACTCATTTATTTGTTCTAGTAATTTTTAGTGGATTCCTTAGGTTTTTCTATATCTATAACCTCTTATTATCTGTGAGTAGAAATAGTTTTTCTTCTTACTTTCCAATCTATGTGACTTTTATATTTTTTTCTTGTTTATTTCCCAAACTAGACCCTCCAATAAAATGTTGAATGGAAGTGCTGACAGCAACCCTCCTTATCTTGTTCCTGACCTGAGGGAAAAGCATCCAGTGTTTCACCATTAAGTACGACGTCAGTTGGAATACCTCTCTTCTTATATTACCAAAAAGTAATAGATGGTATGACATATGTAAATTATCTACTACAAATTTTTCAAATACAATATGTAGCAGTTATTAAAATCCATGTTGTTAAGACTGACATTTAATGATCCCCTTTCCCCATTTAGCTTATATTTTACCCATATTCCTCATTGACCAAACACCAAATTTTAACTCCAAGTAATTTACCTAGAACCAACCTATCACCCATTTTAATACAATTATTTGTTTCATTCCCTTAGCAATCATTTTTGAGCACAGACATTACGTTAGGCAAGCATGTCATGTCGGGGCTGGGGGTACAAATGTGATATTAAACAGATTAGCTCCTACCTTCTTGAAGATGAAAGCCTAATGGTAGAGATAGTTTATAAGCAAATCAGTACAAGCAAATCATAATTGTAAGTTTTTATAAGAACTATGAAGAAAATAAAGACATGACAATGGGGAGAAGACTCACATGAGTCAAAGTTCAGCAAAGGTCTGTGGAAAGACCTTAAAGCAAAACTAACAGAATAAGAAGATGACAACCATCAAAAGAGCAGGGTAAGAGAAGTCCAGCCAGAGGGGCCTGAATGTGGGATAAACCGAATGCAGTGAGAACTCAATATGTAAGAAACTAAGAAATGTCCTGAGTAATTACGGAGTAATGAGCAAGGGAGAAAGTGGTGAAATCAGTCAGCAGAACCATAATATAGGGCTTTGAGGCCATGCAAGAAAATTCAGTGCACTTCAAAGTAGAATAAGGAACTGCCAAAGGATGCAAGTTGAAGAGTAGCATGACTCTTCCCTTGTCTAAAAGTCTCTTTCTCTTATATGGATAATGTTTTTTTGGGAAAAGTGCTAACAACCATAGTGTGTGCTCAGTTAGTAGGCTAATACAGGCATCTGGTCAAGTGTAGATGTTTTTACAGGCTGGAAAGGTGGCAGCAGTGTTGGAAAGAAATGGGTGGATCTGAGGGACCTGATGATCAATTAAATGGAATAAGGAAAACGATGCAATAGAAAGTAATAGTGACATCTACAGAGGTGAGGAAAAAGGAATGTGTTTAAAGTAAACAAACTGTCTAATCTTGCCCTTTAGATCTTTTCTCTCCTGAACAGAAATCCCATATTATTCATTTTTGTATTTTGTCTCATGTTAGTATTCCTTAGCTCTCTTCTTTGCAATTTACTAAATCCCAGCATAAACCAACCTAAGTAAAGATAGAAATTTATTAGGTTACTAAAGTACCTTGTCACTAAACAAGCTGTGGAGGGGCACAGGGACAGTAATGCATCAGAGCTTCAAACGCAAATGAAAACCGAAGCTTGAACGCTTTCAGGAGTCTACAGTATGGTCTTTTTCCTTCATAGGTGTTGATTTCATCCATTGCTCTTTTACATTTTTGCAGACCTGCTTTTTCCACATGACAGGAAACATGAACTATATCAACCCTTTTGCATTTTGTCTCACACTACATGTAAAAACTGGTACTCACAGATTTAGATAATGTAGCCAAAGCAGTGAACTGTGGTGTCCATATATGATTTCCTCTTCAGCATTATTTCCCCCTAAATTTTCCCTACCAACTATGGTTTGATTTGTCTTACAAGTTTAATTCACATTCTGTTTCCAAATATGAGATTGTATAGTACCATATTGAGCGTATACCTAGCTTCAGACCAGAACACAGATAAACGTAAATTAGCTTACATCAATTGGCACATCCCACCCACTCATCTCAATCTTGGACATAGCGATTGGTACAGGAAGGCACGCATGGCCTAATTTGAACCAATATGAAAGGATGGATGCCAGTTTTATTTCTTTTGCCAGTTCATATTTGGAAGCTACTATAAGGTTCCTTATTTCCGTGGAATGTAAGGTTTAAGAATATGAGGTTTGAAATTGCTGCATCATTTGGTGTCATAAGGAAAAATGTCTTGTGAGTTGTGGGGATCTATCCAGTGGAGTTGTAGACTGAAGCTTACATTATGGAAGTGACAAAACACAGACAGGGAGAAACCAGGTTCTGAACAACATCTTGTAAGTTTGTCATTCCTAACATGAATCCAATACTACTTTGGAACTTGCACTTACATGAACCTGTGGATTTCTTGTATTGTTAAAGTATACATTAGATTTAGTCCATTGTAACCAAGAGTCCTGTGTAATAATACAGATTTAACTACCTCAGCTGTCTGGCTCTGAAGTCCCAAGATCTTATGAATGGGACTCACTAGCATGAGTCAATTCTTGCAACAGTTAGCTATCAACAGGCTAATAGAGTAGTGTAATAATACAGGAGCCTCCGCAGGGACCATGTTTTTAGGCCTTTAAAAGATCTGGTTACCAAAAGATGGTGATGACTGGTCTAGGAATACAATATCATAGCTACCTGCCGCTTCCTTGGAGAGTTGCTTAGCACACTGTTTTATCCAGGACACTTCAATAAAAGATTACTAAATGACGTCCTTTGGATATTTCTCTCTGGCTTCACTAAACTTCCCTAAAATTGAATGACTCCCACACACAATTGTAAGTTTTGCAACACTGATATCAGAGATAACTATGTTTATGCTCCAAATGTAGTTGTCCATCTTCCTGACAGGTGAGACTCCATTTCCCAGTCCATTAAACAGGAATTTTAACAGTGAATTGTTTTTATGATTGTTTAAGATAATCAATAAGATTAATCTTAATCTTATTGATTAAGATTAATCTTATTGATTAATACACTATAAGTATTTGCCACATAATAAGCAATCAGTAATTGCTGGTGTCTAGTTTTATCAGTCCATTATGTTTTTGTAATTGCTCTATGACATAGGCATATGACATATGGAATAGACAAAGAAAAAGTTTTATATAAATGTATACTTAGTTGAATAATGATAATTTTTATCTCATCAACGGTGCTTTTGGTTTTCTTCATTTTGTCATAGACCCATTGAGGGAAGGGGATGATACATATTTGTACTTCCAGTACCTAAAACAGTGCCATAGTATATGTGTCTGCTGAATCAATCAATAAATTAATAATGAGATCATAAATAAAAGTTCATAATTCATATTTTTGAGTGCATATGTATATGCCGGGAACTAAGCTAGTTTTTAAATAATATTATTTTATTTAATCTTATCAACAGATTTGGAAACTCTATAAAGAAGAAAGCAGAGCCTTAGGTGGTCCCACCTCTTGTCCAAGATAAAGTCACTTACAAAAGAATGCTAGAGCCAGGCAGACCTCATCCTCTCCCCACCTTTCCTATTGGCTTCAAAGCTTAGATTTTGCTAGGAACAAGTAAATGATAAGATTCTCATAATGAAGTGATATCATATTTTAACCTTTTGGTTTTTGTTTTTTACTCACAACTTCTAGCCATACCAAGCATACAACATAGAATCAGCCATTGATTGAATGATTGATTGGCTGATATATTGGTTGGCTCAACTTGCGTTGATGCATACAAATGAAAGTGTGAGTTGACTGTGCTGGAGTTAGTTTTATCATAAGCATTGACCAAAATCAGAGGGGAAAACTCTTGACTTCAGCATTAGAAATACTAATTTTGTAATAAACAAGCTATAAAAATAGTCTAATGTGCCACTGTTTGTTATTTCAACTTAAAGCCTAAGGGAAAAAAGTGACTAATACTTCTCACTATATTGAATACACTCAAGCATGTTTTTACATCTAAATCCACTTTATTTTTTCTAAATAATAGATGACCAGTGACTTTTAAAAGCACCAAAATGTCAGTATAATTATTTAAAATCTTACAAAATTTGTATTCTTTGTAGAATATAAGAGCATGTTTAAATTGCAAATGAAATATTTTAGAACTTGTAGATCATCTTACCCTTTCAAAATGTCCTATATTTCTTATTCTTCAGTGTTGAAAATCCCTGGCTCCTCTTTTCCTGTCACCACTGTGGGATAAAAGAATTCTGGCTATGAACTGGTCTTACCTGCAGAATCCATTAAAGTTTAAGCCTGTGCATTGCATCAAGCAAGTAATGCGTTCATTTCCCAGAGCAGATCACAACTCTTTTGTGTCACTTAATACAAGGGGAAAAATAAAGCAGCAAACGAGAGGAAGAAGCAAAATGGTTTTTCCAGCGAGAATCTTCAGGTAAAGGGTTTGGAAGTCAGATTTCGCAACAGCATGAAGGATGCAAGGTAAAGATGATGAGTATTGTATTATGTTCACTCACTGGAAAATCGTATTTCTAAATTCCAAGAAATAATTCACAGTAAATAGAAATGCAGAGAAAAATCAGAAGGAAATATTCATGACCCCTCTTATGAATACTTTAAATGATTTTGGGAAGTAAATTTGGAGGTAGTCCTGGGACCAAGGCACGTACTTATTCTGTTCTAAGTTTTTCAATCACTTTGTTTTTGCATGTGTTTGCTTTGAAAAACAAAAACAAAACACAATATAGTCAGACATCTAGATGGAAATGTCCCGAAGGTTTACTTTAGGAATAGGTATAATGTGCCTTCTCATTGGACTCACGTACACATTCCAGGCATGGCACTCTCAGCAGAAGGGTCACTACCTCCCCCTGGGGAAGGCTACTTGACTATCCAAACTGATGAATTCCACCCAGCCCAAACTGTCTCTCCACCGTCCAAGCTCAGACACATGCTCGTGCCACTGCCTTGAAACTGATTTGACTAGGGGTTACTGCATCGTACCAACAAGCCTCCAAGAGACTACTGGGCTTTGCCGGAATGGCAATGTTTGGATTCAAATGAGAAATAAAATTTTCAAGGAGACAGAATTTTAGCATCGGCTTCACTGCATGTCCTTTCCCTGTCAGCAGCTATGCCCAAAGCAGAAAAATCACAAGATTCCGTTTAATAGCTCACATTGCCTGATGGACTTACCTTCAGAATGAGACATAGCTTCTCTCAGACAAAAAGATGTTACCATCCTTTCTCCAGGATGAACGTTTGTCATTTTCCTCCGTGGATGTCTTTATTTTTAAACCTCATTGTGGTCCATGAATCCTTTGGATTCCTTATTTATACACGTTACTATCTTCAATCATGTCTTAGCTAATTTAAATTAGATTTTACCTCTATACAATCATGGGGGAAATATAGCCTGGATTAAGGCACAGAACGAGAGTCACAACTTCGAATAATGACCCAAATCATGTTGATTTGCCCGATATCTCAGTAATAGGAGCTTCTGCACCTTCCATATTGTTCTAGTCATGGCTGGATGTTATTCAACATTCTTTCAGCAATTTTGTTAAACATGCAAAAGGCAGCATTCTTACATTTGTGGAACTCACACACATTGAATAGTGACACAATATCCTATCTAATAAGGAATAAAGTACTGGGAAGGGGCATTCATGTATTCGGCAATGTTTATTGAATACTTACTAAGTGCTTGGCACTATTTTTGGCACTGGAAATGCAGCAGTGAACAAAATCAAGCCCTGACCTCATGGAGTTCAAATTCTAGTGGGTAGACCATGATATACAAGTAAACCAAAATAATTATAACAAAATGTAAGGCCATGAGAGATAGTATTAAGACAAATAAAGCGAGGTAAATAAATAGAAAATGATGAGAAATATTCTACCATATAGGGTGATTATGGAGATTATCGATGGGCAGAATTATTAGTAAGGCATATTTTGCCTCAACCTTAAAAAAGAACTCATTAACAATCCCAGCAAGAGCTGTCTGGCCACAAAGCACTTAGCCTCACCTGGCAGTGAGCTTGACTCAGGTGAAGTGGTGTGGAGTGGATGTCCCATGATTTTAAATGGATATGCCGTCTGACAGCAGTTTTCATGTTAGCCTGTTCCAAAATGCTGAAATGTTTATAATTTCAAAATAAATGCAAACTGACAACTCTAACCAAAGCTGGAATCTTACCACAGCTACTAGGCAGATTTTTAATTAAGTTCCATTAATTAAATATATTTGGCACAGAGATGCATTGCAAACGATTCTAACAGACATTTAACCACTAGGAAAACTTACCATCGTCAAAGTTGCTTTCTTTTCTCCTCTACTGTCTACTCTCAGAAATAGAAATACAAAGTATTGGAAAATAATAAATAGTAGCCCCTTTGCTATTCTCTACAAATATATTAGGTTATGTTTGCATTCCCTTTTCTTTCCACCATACCTACATGTTATTTATCATCAAATAGGAATATTACTAATATATTGACTTTATATATTGTGATCGTTAAATGAAATATGTGCAAAGTATTTCATGCTGTGCCTGCCACATACTAAGTTATGGTATAATATTGCATAAGTAGCATCAGTTCACTACTCTACCCTGTATTTATGCCCTGTGCCATGTGACTGTGTAGCTCCTTCCATAAAGTTGTGGCAGCTATTTCCCCAGAATTTGGCATAGCCTATTGCCGTGATTTGGCCAACATAATGTGGCAGATATGATGGTATACTAGTGCCAAGCCTAGCCCTCAAGAGGTTTTGTTGCTTTTGTTTTCTCTTGGAACTCTGCCTCCACTATGAGAATAAGCCCAAGCTTATCCTTGTGGTAAATAAGAAACCACATAGATGAGAGGTAAGTAGAACCCAGCCAAGCCTTCAATCAGCCAACAGACTGCTTTAAACTGACCATACACACACAGGCATATGCAACCCAGCCAGTCTCAATCTGCCAAGTCTAAGTCAAATATATAGGACTTCCCAACCAACCTGTAGATTTATGAGAGTTTTTAGCCCAATTTTTGTTTTTAATCCAATAAATATTGGGGTGTTCTGTTATACAGCAATAACTAAACCATATGTGCTCAATACATGTTAGCTTTCATAATCGTCATTATCATTCTCCTACAAATATTGACAGATATTGGAGTTCGTGCACTGCATCAGAGGGTGTATCATATCAAGAAATGAAACACTCAGGATATAAAACTTATGTGATGGAGATTACTGTTTGTTAACATGTTCTTCTAATTTGTAGTGGAATTTGAAAAATTCTAACACTCAGATAAGATATTAAATCAATATCTACAGGATTCTGGACTTACACAAACACCTGTGCCCATAGTTATTTTCTTCAGATTTTGTGAGTCTAGGCACATTGTCAAGGAACGTGCATCCATGGCATAACCATACTTTTTAGTAATCCAAAAGTTCTGTTTCTTCGTCAAAAAAGCACTATGTGTTACTTGGACAGTTTACCACTTGGACATGATTGTACAAGTCTTATTCCCAAGTATGTCTTTTAGAAAATAAAAATCTTATTAAAATTGACAGTGGGTAAACCCAAGAACAAATGAAATATTCTCTTAGTTGGTAATTATACTTTCGTAATAGCTTTCACCTTATTAAAGTTAATTTATTGGAGAAGAAAATTACATAAAGCCAATTAAAAATAGAATCAGGGGAGAAGAACATAAACCTTCAATTCTTTAAGAAGAGGTGGTGGCCGGGCCACACCTATAATCCCAGCACTTTGGGAGGCTGAGGTGGGCGGATCACGAGGTCAGGAGATCGAGACCATCCTGGCTAACATGGTGAAACCCCATCTGTACTAAAAAAAAAAAAAAAAATACAAAAATTAGCTGGGTGTGGTGGTGCATGCCTGTAGTCCCAGCTACTCGAGAAGTTGAGGCAGGAGAATCACTTGAACCCAGGAGGCAGAGATTGCAGTGAGCCAAGATCGCGCCACTGCACTACAGTCTGGAGACAGAGCAGGACTCCCTCTCAAAAAAAAAAATGATAAGAAGAAGAAGAAGAGGTGGTTTCTAGGCAGTCTGGAATGTAATAACTAAAGTAATTTGCCTTTTGGGCTATACTTCTTCTGTATTTAGCATGCATTATTTTGGTAATCAAACAAGTAATTGTAAAGCAACTATCTACAAATGCTTTATCAGGCAGGTTTCTGAGTTTCAAGTTACAAAAGTCATTTCTTGGTTACCTATGCATAAGGTGTCTACTGACTGACTATTGACTGGCTCACAGAAGTGAAGGGAATTCATTGCTCAAAATTCAGCATCCCAAGAGGGAGTCTTCAATTGCTTGAGCCTAATTCACAGGCCCACACTTACTATCTGTGAAAGGGATAAGAAATACATGATTTCTTCATGCTTCTCAGATAGGAGATGGGGTTCTCCCTCCCACCAAAGCCTCAAAATGAAGAGTTATAGAAAATGAAACGGGTTTGGAGGTTTGGATACTGAGAATCAAAGTTTTCAAACACTATGTCTTTTTAAAGGTGATGTTTTTATCATATCTGCATTTGAAAGATTTTATGCAAGAATAACAGTATTTCATTTAAAAAAGTAAGCAAAATGATTTTCTAATTCTATAATCAAAAATGACACCTGTCTGTCAGCTAGCTGTTCATACACACGCGCACATACACACACACACACACACACACATACACAAACACATACAGAGTAAGGCATATAAGCTAACAGAATCAGTCACTCTCATATGTATTTCTGAGATGGTTAACTTCGAATGTCAAAATTTGTTTTTAACATGAATTTAATTCAAATCCCAGTGGTCACTCTGACATTCAAAACATGAGAAATTGCTCTTCACTGTGGGGGAACAAAATGCTTGCTGCTCTCTGGTAGAGTGAGTATTAATGAGTGAGGGTAGCTAAAGGAATTATAAATCTTTTGATTCTCTTTTCTGAAAGAAACTAAGCTAAATCATTTAGTAAGTAATTTCAAGTGACCCTGATTAACACAGCCTTTCCCTCTCCTGAAGATATTTAAAATCTCCTGAAGCCCTGCCTCCAAACATCAGCAACAGAACCTATTTCCAGATAAAAAAAAAAAAATACACCATTAACTTAATCCAAAAGAAAAGAAGTCGTCAGTCTCTTTTCAAATAAATTAGGTCTGTTAGCACCTTTCACATTGCCAATTCTTGTTTCCAGTCCTTGCTTTTAGATGTTTGGTTTCTGCAAGAGGTAATAGATAGCAAAGTCCATGAAATAAATAAGTTGTTTTAAAGAGGGAATTGTAGAGCTTTATGCAATCCTTTTACTTCTGGCCACTAGAAAGAACATTCTTTATTGAATGAAAGGACCAGGAAACTAAAATCCACAGATAATACACTGATCTCAGTCTGGTTATTAGGCTTGTCCTACAATACCCTGCATCCTTTCTTTAACCAGTGAGAGGTGAACCATCTAAAAGGGTCTCTGAAATAGAGAAAATTATACTGATTTAAGTTTCTTCAGCTTTTCTGTGTACTCCCCTTTCCTTCTGAAAATTACAATTGGGAAGTAGAAAGGGGAAAGAGAGAGGTAAAGAATGCAAACCTGGTCAGGCGCGGTGGCTCACACCTATAATCCCAGCACTTCAAAAGGCCGAGGTGGGCAGATCACTTGAGGTCAGGAGTTCAAAACCAACCTGTCCAACATGGTGAAATTCCATCTCTACCAAAAATACAAAAATTAGCTGGGCACGGTGGCACACACCTGTAGTCCCAGCTACTCAGGAGGCTGAGGCAGGAGAATCGCTTAGAACCCAGAGGCGGAGACTGCAGTGAGCTGAGATGGCAGTGCCACTGCACTCCAGCCTGGGCAACAAAGTGAGACTCCATCTCAAAAAAAAAAAAAATGCAAACCTGATTTAAGTCAGAGTACACACTAAGAATGAAATCCTGAGGTCTAAAGAGGGAAGTGCAGATGGGTTGGGGCAGTGGGGCAAAGAGTGTGGGATTGAGTCAAAGGGTTTGGTTTCACATCTCAGCTTTACCAGTTTTTGGAAGTGTGACTATAGGCAAAATTTGAAACTCTTTTGTACCTCAGTTTTCTTACTTGAATATGGAAATGCTAATGCATTTAAAATGCATAGCATGGCACGTAAAACATAAGAGACTTTCATAAATTTTAACTGCTATATTATTATTTATACTATTTCTACTAGCTATAGGTAGAGACAGGAAAGAGCCCGACAAGAACAAGATGCTTTCCTCATTCACCAGGAAAAGAACATCAACAATTCTAAAATTTAAGCCCACAGGAGGAGGTGCGTATAAGCCACAATTATCTTCCATTCTAATGACTTTAGGAATGGGGAAATGTTTCTCGTAATGGAAAGTAAGTTCAAATATCCAGCTGGTAAGACTGTTGATATGTACTTACAATTGCATGCTATAGATAATTGCAAATGCTGTCATTACGTTAATAACACACAAAATTCCTAGAGCTACTTGGATTCTGGTAGCAGCTGCAAGTGCCATCAGCTCTCTTCATTGTATCCTTGGTTGGAGGTGATGATTTTTATACTATATTGAGCAACCATTTTTGCATTAAATGTGATTTTTTAATCAAACTGAATGTTTTAATAGAAGGTGTTAGCTATTGGAACACCGTGGTGGAAATATACATAAAACTAATGCTAAGTATGAAAACATGATGGGAATTACCATTTCATGTATCACACACTGTGTGGAAGCAGCTGTGTGGGCCAACATGTGTCCAGTTACTCAAGCTTTCCATTTGGACAAGTAAAAGATGTCTCAAACATTATATACAAACTGATTTTTGGTTTTGGCCTCCTGCCTCCCAAACCTGCTTTCCTAACATGTCCTCCTCAACTTGATAAATAGTAACTCCATGTTCCTAACTACTGGGGCCCAACTTTGATGCCCTAGTTTTACTTCCAAGCTCACATCGAGTTGGTCAGCAAATCTTGTTTGCTTTATCTTCAAATGTTATCTCACCACTTTTTACCAATCTAGTCCAAACTGTCATCATTTCTTGTCTGTATTATTACAATAGTGATAATAATAATAACAAATAGGCTGGGCGCAGTGGCTCACACCTGTAATCCCAGCACTTTGAGAGGCCAAGATGGGAGGATCGCCTAAAGTCAGGAGTTCGAGACCAGCCTGGCCCACATGGCGAATCCCCGTCTCTACTAAAAATACAAAAAGTTAGCTGGGCATGGTAGCAGATGTCTATAATCCCAGGTACTTGGGAGGCAGAGGCAGGGAGAATCACTTGAACCTGGGGAGGCGGAGGTTGCAGTGAGCTGAGATTACGCCATTGTACTCCAGCCTGGGCAACAGACTGAGACTCCGTCTCTAATAATAATAATAATAATAACAAATAGGTGGACAGTGTGATATGTGTCAGGTAATATTCTACATATTTTACATATAACAATTCATTTGATTCTCACCACAATACCATGAAATATGTACCGTTAGTCCCATTTTGTAGATGAGGAAACTGAGGCATAGGAAGTTTTACTAACTTGCTCGAAAATGGTAGAACTGGTCTCCCTGCTTCACTACTGTCCACCTCCACCACTCTAGGTCTATTCTTTTTTTTTTTTTTTTTTAGATGGAATCTCCCTCTGTCGCCCAGGCTGGAATGCAGTGGCACGATCTCAGCTCACTGCAGGCTCCGCCTCCCGGGTTCACACCATTCTCCTGCCTCAGCCTCCTGAGTAGCTGGGACTACAGGCGCCCGCCACCACGCCCAGCTAATTTTTTGTATTTTTAGTAGAGACGGGGTTTCATCGTGTTAGCCAGGATGGTCTCGATCTCATGACCTCGTGATCTGCCCACCTCGGCCTCCCAAAGTGCTGGGATTACAGGCCTGAGCCACCGTGCCCGGCCCACTCTGTTCTTAATACAGCAGTCAGAGTCCCTATTTAAGTCTCATCATGTCAGTCCTAAGCCCAGACCTCCCAATGTCTTCCCTTATCACTCAGGAAAAAAACCCAAGCCCTAAGAAAGGCCCGTGGAATGCTAAATGACCCCATCTCCTACTACTTTTTATCCTGTTCACCCAGCCCATGCATAATACCCACATTGCCCCTTCGTCTCCAGGTCTTCACCCAAAGGTCACTTTCTCATTGAACTCTGCCTTGAGAACTCTTAAAATTTGCACCACTTTTCACCCTAAAATTCCCAATCCACATATCCTGATTTATTTTTCTCCTCTGCACTTGCTATTTTGTAACATGTTATATATTTCACTTCTCTGTTTTATTTATTGCCTTTCTCCCCCTATCAGCTACAAAAGGACACCAATTTTTGTCTTCATTGCTATATCCACACTGCCTAGAACGGAGAATTAATACATATGTGTTGAATAAATAAGTGTGTCTTTTATAAAATACAGCAATTATCTTGTCTACAAATTGTTTATATAAATGCATTGATTATATTGGTGAAGACTTTGTAAAGAATTGTAAAGAATGCATCTATCTTTGTGATAGCTATAAAATGGATTAGTGGCTTACACACATTGCCTTTAGAGAGAATATAGCTCTGCTATGGTTTGGATGTGTCCCTTCTAAAACTCACATGTTGCCAATGTGACAGCTTTAAAAGCTCGGGCCTTTAAGAGGTGATTAGGCTATGAAGGCTCCTGATCATGAATGGGATTAAAGCTCTTATAAAAGAGGCTTCCCACAGTGTTGGTTCACCGGGCTCACCCTTTCACATTCTACTAGAAGCAGCATAAAAACCTTCACCAGACACCAGCTGCTGATGCCTTGACCTTGGACTTCCCAGCCTCTGGTATTTTCCCACTCTCTTAAAATTTCCCAGTCTCTGGTATTTTGTTATGGCAGCACAAATGGACCAACACAAGCCCACTCCCCTCTCTGCCAGTCCTGTCCATCATTAACTTAGCATGTGCTTTTGTATTCTACCTCATTTCTTCTGAGACAATTGGCTGTTCTGTTTTGTGCCCTCTTTTCCTCCCCAGAACTGCCTTTTAATTCAGTATCAATCTGATTTTGCTGTATGAAAAGACTGGTAAATGGAGTTTCACCCAAAGCAATTTACAAGCAACCTTTTGCACCCTAGGTCTGACCCATGGGAATGGGATGTTCATCTCTAAATAATCAGGAAATAACAAGAGTGTGAATTCACTTTCTCCCAAGAGGATTCTGAAAAGCTGGTCTATTCAATCCCCATTTTCTATTTCTATAATCTTCTTTCTCTGGTATTACATATCTTTGGGTGCTTTAGTAATATTGTAATTACATCAACATCTTCCTTCCTAGCCAGGAAGTGGCTTTTACTAACATTATTTTCTTTAAAATATACTAAAGTTAAATTTGTACAGAAAATTTGAATGTAGGTTTTCATTTTCAAAGGCTAATGCATAAATTTGCTTTATTTTTAAGCTTGCAGCATCAGTGTATGATAAAAGTACCCCACACACACACTGAATTTAATGCTTGTTGGAACTCTAGAAATCTCTCACATTCACATTATATAAAAGATCAACAGAACAAACCAAAATAAACTTAGATTTCTTTTGCTTTTACTTAACTGTCCATATACCATTTAAAGCTTAGACTTTAAGCTTAGACTTTTGCTCATTTATTAATTTATATTATATTCATAAAAAATCGCAAAGATCCGTTACATATACTACCCCTAATAGTCTTCATTTTATTTTATTTATTTTATTTGTTTGAGACAGGGTCTCTCTCCGTTGCCCAAGCTGGAGTGAAGTGGTGCAGTCTCGGCTCATTGCAACCTCCATGTCTCGAGTAACTGGGACTACAAGTGTCCACCACCATACCCCACTAATTTTTGTATTTTTAGTAGAGACAGGGTTTCACCATGTTGACCAGGCTGGTCTCAAACTCCTGACCTCAGGTGATCTGCTGGCCTTGGCCTCCCAAAGTGCTGGGATTACAAGTGTGAGCCACCACGTCTGGCCCCTGGTGGTTTTTTGAAATGAAATTAAACTAAGCTATAACATAATGTCCTGAAGTCTGCACATGTATTAATTTACTGGAGTTATTGTGAAGACTCTTTTCTCACATATCAAAGTATCTTAGGGGCAGACAGTTTTGTATTACATGCACTTTCATTTGTATCTTAGCAACATATTAAGAGAAGAAATCCAGTTGTTACTTTTACAGTTTCTTGGACTATCTCCACTATAATAAAAGTCAGAAAAAAACCCTGCCAAATGCACTCGTACAAAGCTATTGCATTTAATTCCTTATATTAACTAACTGTATACATTGAAATTTTTGTTTATATGAAAATAGAAAATTCCAAATTTCATCATAATTACAGTATAACCTGAAAGAAAAAATAACTTTTTAAAAAGTGATTTTATTGTTATGAAGAGTTTAAACCTCCAGTTCTTATATTTTACTATATGAAATATTCAGAAATTTTTTATTTCAGTAAAAGCCAAAATGAAAAGTAAGAAATTGAGATCAAACCTAGTCATCTGCAACATGTAACACCAACCAATTGGATTGTCAGCTTTTTTCCCCATGTAAATCATCTAGGTCTAGTTATAGATAAACAAAAAAATAGTGTTAATTTATTGGCTAAGTCGAGAATGTAATAGGCAGGGATATAGGCTTAGTTTTTTGGGCATAAACATTAGATCAACAAAAAGTTTTTCATTTTCTATTTTACTTGCTACATGATATTATTTTAAACTTTTTATTATTCAATACAATCAAAATTAGTATATGCAATAGACACAGGCACTGAATATGGTATATTATGAATTTCATTAGACACTTTACATTTACTCCTATAAAGTGATTTCATGAGTAATACTTTACTTTCCTCTGGATTTGGTATTTATTTCCATTAGGAAATAGTTAGCTTTTTTTACTGTTCATGAAAACTTTCAAGCTGTACTCAAGGTAAGTTCACCTGCGCTGAATGAATGTTATTTATATGCACCTATGTTAATGATCCCAAGTATTCTGATGTTCTCCTCAGGATGTTAAAGAGAAGAATCCAGAATGAGAAAGTAGGAGCAGGGAAGGAAGAAGAGGGGGAGCCAAGAGGGTGTTGAATGGACTGCTCAAGTCAGGGGGTCACTAGTTAAGATATAAACCCACTCATACTAACTGAAGGGAGATTTATGTTAACGCCACTTGACACTAACAGACAGCAAGTACTTCCAGGATTTATCAGATATTGGAATTGGAATTTAGAAAGGTGCCAAGGGCCAAGGCACCAGCACTCTCACACCACCCTACTTTCTAACCAACAGGGAACACATTCGCTTGTGTTTTCACTTCTCTCCATAGGCACATCTTTCACTCGACCATAGACACAAATGACATCCAAATGGAGATTCCAGCATGGCGCCACGT
This sequence comes from Homo sapiens, assembly GCF_000001405.40. Classification (NCBI taxonomy): domain Eukaryota; kingdom Metazoa; phylum Chordata; class Mammalia; order Primates; family Hominidae; genus Homo; species Homo sapiens. The sequence goes on along the minus strand of NC_000020.11, from coordinate 55,282,849 downwards.
AGACTTACCAGTCCAAAAAGCAATCCCTCTTGAGACGTAGGCTCCGGACCTCTTGGTCCATACTTCTAAAAGAGGGAAACCCAGCTCATGGGTGAGTTGTTTTTGTTCAGTTTAATGTTATTTTAAACATTCTAATTGTAGGTTTCAGTGCTATCTCCTGTGGATTTAATGTGTATTTCTCTAAAGGTTAACGATGTTAAGCATCTTTTCATGTGCTTATTCATACAAAAAATGTTTGTTCATGTCTTTTGCCCATTTTCTAGTTTTTAGTGTTAAATTTTCTGGTTTTTGTATAATCTTTGTATGTTGCTGTTACAGTTTGAATGTTTCTGTTCCTAACCCAAAAGTAGGTTGAAGCCTTATCCCCTAGAGTGACTGTATTTGGAGATAGTGCCTCTAAGGAATTAGGGTTGAATAAGGTCATAAGGATGAAGCCCAAACTGGAATGCATTAGTGCCAACATAAGAAGAGATGTCGGAAAGCCTCTCCCTCCCTCTCTCTCTGTCTAGCTCTCTCTCTCTTTCTTCTGTCTCTGCATGTACACATAAGAATGGTCCTGTGGCCATAGAAGGGGACAGCAAGAAGGCTAGCCTCATAAAATAAGTTGGGAAATGTCTCTGCCTTTTCTATTTTCTGAAAAAAAAATTGTGTAGAATTTATGCTAATTCTATTTAAAATGTTAAGTAGAATTGTCCAGGGAAACTACAGTACCCCAAATATTTTTTTCACTTCAGTTTTTCAATTACAAATTAAATTTCCCTAATAATTATAGGACAATTACATTATCTATGTCATATTAGATGAGTTGTAATACTTGATGCTTTTTGAGGAACTGGTCCATTTTATCAAAATTGTAAAATCTCTTTATTGTCATATTGTATTTCTTGACTATATTTTCAATGGTTGTAAGATCTGAAATGATACCATCTCTTTCATTTCTGGTATTGGTGATGTATGTCTTTTAGCTTTTTATTTTTGTCAGTTTTAATAGAGGTTTATCAATTTTTTTTGTATATACACACATACATGTAACATCATTGTCTACTGATATTGAAGTTTTACCGCTTCAAGTGAAATGTAGCAACATAATTTTCATTTGGTCTCCTTATCCTTTTAGCTTTTTAATATAATTATCTTAACTGTTTCTTTTGTATACATTGAGTTCCACATAATAGATGACACTTTTCTTCAATCGTCAAATATGATTTAAGAAACTCAAGAGAAGCAGGATACTGAGAAATAAGTCTATGATACCTACTTGTGTTTCTACCCATTGTGACGTCCATTTATCCTTTTTGGAGTTACTATTCTTTTCCTGTTATTATTTCTGCTCTTTCTCCAGGGAAGACCAGCTCCCCACTCAGTCTAGAAGATTCTGCACTGTTATGATCATTGTACCACCTCCTACTCCCTCAACCTGGCCTTCACCCTACCTCTCTCAAAGCAGTTGAATCCCACTGACACTACCCCAGCAGAAAAACTGGATCAGATCATACTGCCTGGTTCCTCTAGGCTAGGGATAGAAAATCAAGATCTTGACTCAACCCTCCAACACAACAAGGGGGTGTGGTGGTGGGAGGAGGGGGGGCAGGGGGTGGTATTGGAGCTTGCAACCTGCTTCTCTGGGGCAGGAGGCTGGGGATTAAACATTAACTTCCTGCACAGCCAGCCTAAAACCATGGTGGTGAGGATGGAGAAGCAGTTTTCCCATTGGTGTTCAGTTTTGGTAGGGGAGCATTTGTCAAAAAGTTTTTTCTATTATTAGGCCACCCCTTTTCAGTCCTCTGGCTAGGAGGAGAGTTCTTAGAGCTTTCTGTTTTACATTTTTGACCATTGGTGTTTCCAGGTTGGAGACTTTTGTAGTGTCCTGGCTGTGCACTTGGGAGACAATAAGGAAACCCAGAGAACTCACCTCTGTGTCATTCTTCAATTTCTGCTGTCCCCATATAGCCCACCACCTTCATCTTTCCATTTTCTAGAGAATTCCTGTACTGTCTGTTACGTTATGTTTGGGATATTTTAGTTGTGAAGGGGAGATCTGAAAAGGAAAGGGACTACTCCCTCCTAGTGGAACCAGAACTAATCAGCTATGTCCTCCCTCTCTCTCTTTTTCTCTTTCTCCTGTTTCAAATAATTTATTGAATAAACTGGTGCACTATCCAATAGAGCTTCTCGCAATCTGAATTTTGCTGATTATAACCCTGTGGTGTTTTTTTACAAGTCCAAATGTCCTAAAGATTTTCTGAAAATTGGTATTTAGATCTAAAGTCTTGATTAGATTCAAATTCAATTGTGGGGGTAGTGACCGAGGGGAGGACACAAAATAATTCACATTGGGGAGGAACATAACTGGTTGCCACTAGATGATTCTTGTCTAAATCTGTTAATTCATTAGGTGTTGCCATATGACGATATTCTAAATCCGTCATTCTTTACTTATTCATTAGCCAATGCACTATCCAAAGAAAATTTTTCATTATTGACTACGGTTATCCTAGGTAGCCTAAGAGAGACATCTTTCTCATTCTTTTTTCTATTACTCCATTTTGTGGATATACCACAAGTTATTTAACAAGTACCCTGTTAATAGGCATTTAGACTATATCAATTCATTAGTTATTAAAAAAATGCTGCATTAAATTGCTTTGTTCAAACCACTTTTTGTATTTTAGTTATTACTTTTGGCTTAGAGTCATAGAAGTGATTGTCAAGTAGAAGAATAAATCCATCCTTGTCTTCCTAGATATTGCCATCTTCCTCTCCATGTAAGTTGTAGCACTGCATTTCAGGCAGGACAATTCTAATAAAAGAGTGTTCATGGGAAAGAGTTCTAAAAAAAAAAAAAAGTGATGGAAAACTAGAGAAGAAGGGGATTATGGGGCAATGGGAGAGAAAACTGGAAGAGTTTCAGGATGGCCACAAAGAGGAAGTTTATAGCAAAGGAAATTTAAGGAAATAAGGAATTGCCCAGCAGATAATTAAATCTCAGAAACAGTTAAACAAGAAGGAGTAGAAACTCAACTAAACAAGAATATTACAAATTATAATCATTATCAAATACCGGCTTAATCCTTCTAACATTTGTAAAAAGCTTTTGCATCAAAAATCACATCTTTAGAGCAATTCCTGGAGGTTGAAGGGGAAAACTAAAAGAGAGGTAGGTGAGTGATTTGCTTAAAATTATGCAAATAATCCAGTCATTGCAATTGGTCTTAACTGCTGGGACAATCATGATTCAATGGTTAGTTTGGGAGAGTGTTTTTATTTTTAATGAAAAATGGTAGGATTTGTAGTTGAATTTTAGTTTGAATTTGTAGTTGTAGGCACTGTTCTCCTTATTAGGTTATTCTGGGACATTAATAACCTGCAGAGCAACACTCATACAAGCTCAGCAAAAAGCACAAGGAAACTCCCCAAGATCATTGTTGAGTAAAATGTAACCCCTACTTAGGCTCTGACAAGTAAAATATATACTCAGTGGATCAGCAGTACAGACTCATAATTATATTGGTAAAACAGTTCACTTCAATTATTCTTATTACTGGTCTTTAGTTATTGAATAAAAAGTAGAATCTGGAGAAGCTAGAAGCTTATCTGTCTAGAATATTATAAATTTTATTGTCCTGTTTCTTTACATGCAGATTGCTTACTGTCATGGTGTTTATCTGAGAACAGAGGATATAATTTAAATATATATGTATATATCTTAATAGGAAGGGGACTACTCGTGTGTGTGTGTGTGTGTATATATGTATATATGCGTGTGTGTGTGTGTGTGTGTGTATATATATATATATAATTCCAAAATCCACAGTTTAAAACACTCATTTTTGATCTCCAAATTTTATAGGTCGGATGTCCAGCAGGCTTGGCTGGGTACTCTGCTGAGGGTGGAGGGTGCCACAGGCTGAAATCAAGGAGTCTGGAGGCTCTAGGGAAGAATCTTGCCCCATGCTTACTCAGGTTGTTGGCAGAGTTCACTTCAATGCATTGTACCAGTGAAGCACTCTTTTCCTTACTGGCTGCAGTCAGGGCCATTCTTAGCTTCTAGGGATTACCCACATCGCTGGGCTCATAACCAACTCCTTCCATCTTCAATGCCCAAAATGTTGGATACAGTCCTGCTCACACTCTGCATTGCTCTCACTGACCTTGTTACCTTATTTCTTCTACTCTCTTCTTTCCCCACATCTCTTTCTGATTGTATCCTGAGAAAGTTCTCTGCTTCTAAGGACTCAAGATTACATTGAACCCACCTGGATAATCCAGGAAACTATCCCTGTCTTAAGGTTTATAACCTTAATTCCATCTGCACAATCCCATTCACAGAGGTATCTAAGTTAGTGTTTGATTGAGTAACCAGAGATAGAAATCGTGAGAAATTTGTAAAATTATACCTGCCTCGACCAACATGCATATCATGTCTTATTTTTTTTTTAATTCATAGGAATCACAGGGTCTGGACTAGGTCTCTATATCTCACTTTAAAGTTAATCAAAATACAAAAGCAACTTACTCAGCCAGGAAGTATTGATTGAGCACCTGCTGTACGTCAGAAATACTGTTCTGGATCCTGTACTCACAAAAACAACAACAAATGGGCCTGCTTCATTTGTTGTTGTTTTTTGTGAGTACAGGATCCAGAACAGTATTCAAATGGCTCTGCTTTGGGGTTGCAATCCTAGTCTCTGATAAAACAGACTTTAAACCAACAAAGATCAAAAGAGACAAAGAAGGCCATTACATAATGGTAAAGGGATCAATTCAACAAGAAGAGCTAACTATCCTGAATATATATGCACCCAATACAGGAGCACCCAGATTCATAAAGCAAGTCCTTAGACACCTACAAAGACACTTAGACTCCCACACAATAATAATGGGAGACTTTAATACCCCACTGTCAACATTAGACAGATCGAGACAGCAAGCTAACAAGGATATCCAGGAATTGAATTCAGTTCTGCACCAAGCGGACCTAATAGACATCTACACAACTCTCCACCCCAAATCAACAGACTATACATTCTTTTCAGCACCCCATTGCACTTATTCCAAAATTGACCAACAGTTGGAAGTAAAGCACTCCTCAGCAAATGTAAAAGAACAGAAATTATAACAAACTGTCTCTCAGACCACAGTGCAATCAAATTAAAACTCAGGATTAAGAAACTCACTCAAAACTGCTCAACTACATGGAAACTGAACTACCTGCTCCTGAATGACTACTGGGTACATAACGAAATGAAGGCAGAAATAAAGATGTTATTTGAAACCAATGAGAACAAAGACACAACATACCAAAATCTCTGGGACACATTTAAAGCAGTGTGTAGAGGGAAATTTATAGCACTAAATGCCCACAAGAGAAAGCAGGAAAGATCTAAAACTGACACTCTAACATCACTATTAAAAGAACTAGAGAAGCAAGAGCAATCACATTCAAAAGCTGGCAGAAGGCAAGAAATAACTAAGATGAGAGCAGAACTGAGGGAGATAGAGAAACAAAAAAACCTGGAAAAAATCAATGAATCCAGGAGCTAGTTTTTTGAAAAGATCAACATAATTGCTAGACCACCAGCAAGACTAATAAAGAAGGAAAGAGAGAAGAATCAAATAGATGCAATAAAAAATGATAAAGGGGATATCACCACCGATCCCACAGAAATACAAACTACCATCAGAGAATACTATAAACACCTCTACGCAAATAAACTAGAAAATCTAGAAGAAATGAATAAATTCCTGGACACATACACCCTCCCAAGACTAAACCAGGAAGAAGTTGAATCCCTGAATAGACCAATAACAGGCTCTGAAATTAAGGCAATAAGAGCCTACCAACCAAAAAAAGTCCAGGACCAGACGGATTCATAGCCGAATTCTACCAGAGGTGCAAAGAGGAGCTGGTACCATTCCTTCTGAAATTATTCCAATCAATAGAAAAAGAGGGAATACTCCCTAACTCATTTTATGAGGCCAGCCTCATCCTGATACCACAGCCTGGCAGAGACTCAACAAAAAAAGATAATTTTAGACCAATATCCCTGATGAACATCGATGCAAAAAATCCTCAATAAAATACTGGCAAACCATATCCAGCAGCACATCAAAAGGCTTATCCACCACAATCAAGTTGGCTTCATCCCTGGGATGCAAGGCTGGTTTGACATAGGCAAATCAATAAATGTAATCTACCACATAAACAGAACCAAAGGCAAAAACCACATGATTATCTGAATAGATGGAGAAAAGACCTTTGACAAAATTCAACAGCCCTTCATGCTAAAAACTCTCAATAAACTAGGTATTGATGAGACGTATCTCAAAATATTAAGAGCTATGTATGAAAAACCCACAGCCAATATCATACTGAATGGGCAAAAACTGGAAGCATTCCCTTTGAAAACTGGCACAAGACAGGGATGCCCTCTCTCACCACTCCTATTTAACATAGTGTTGGAAGTTCTGGCCAGGGCAATTAGGCAGGAGAAGGAAATAAAGGGTATTCAATTAGGAAAAGAGGAAGTCAAATTGTCCCTGTTTGCAGATGACATGATTGTATATTTGGAAAACCCCATCGTCTCAGCCCAAAATCTCCTTAAGCTGATAAGCAACTTCAGCAAACTCTCAGCATACAAAATCAATGTGCAAAAATCACAAGCATTCCTATACACCAATAACAGACAAACAGAGAGCCAAATCTTGAGTGAACTCCCATTCACAATTGCTTCAAAGAGAATAAAATACCTAGGAATCCAACTTACAAGGGATGTGAAGGACCTCTTCAAGGAGAACTATAAACCACTGCTCAACGAAATAAAAGAGGACACAAACAAATAAGAAGAACATTCCATGCTCATGGGTAGGAAGAATCAATATCGTGAAAATGGCCATACTGTCCAGGGTAATTTATAGATTCAATGCCATCCCCATCAAGCTACCAATGACTTTCTTCACAGAATTGGAAAAAACTACTTTAAAGTTCATGTGGAACCAAGAAAGAGCCCACATTGCCAAGATAATCCTAAACCAAAACAACAAAGCTAGAAGCATCATGCTCCCTGACTTCAAACTATACTGCAAGGCTACAGTTACCAAAACAGCATGGTACTGGTACCAAAACAGAGATATTGATCAATGGAACAGAACAGAGCCCTCAGAAATAATACCACACATCTACAACCATCTGATCTTTGACAAACCTGAGAAAAACAAGAAATGGGGAAAGGATTCCCTATTAAATAAATGGTGCTGGGAAAACTGGCTAGCCATATGTAGAAAGCTGAAACTAGATCCCTTCCTTACACCTTACACAAAAATTAATTCAAGATGGATTAAAGCCTTAAATGTTAGACCCAAAACCATAGAAACCATAGAAGAAAACCTAGGCAATACCATTCAGGACATAGGCATGGGCAAGGACTTCATGTCTAAAACACCAAAAGCCATGGCAACAAAAGCCAAAACTGACAAATGGGATCTAATTAAACTGAAGAGCTTCTGCACAGCAAAAGAAACTACCATCAGAGTGACAGGCAACCTACAGAATGGGAGAAAATTTTTTGCAACCTACTCATCTGACAAAGGGCTAATATCCAGAATCTACAAAGAACTTAAACAAATTTACAAGAAAAAATCAAACAACACCATCAAAAAGTGGGCAAAGGATATGAACAGACACTTCTCAAAAGAATACATTTAGGCAACCAACAGACACATGAAAAAATGCTCATCATCAGTGGCCATAAGAGAAATGCAGATCAAAACCACAATGAGATACCATCTCACACCACTTAGAATGGTGATCATTAAAAAGTCAGGAAACAACAGGTGCTGGGGAGGATGTGGAGAAATAGGAATACTTTTACACTGTTGGTGGGACTGTAAACTAGTTCAACCATTGTGGAAGACAGTGTGGCCATTCCTCAAGGATCTAGAACTACAAATACCATTTGACCCAGCCATCCCATCACTGGGCATATACCCAAAAGATTATAAATCATGCTGCTATAAAGACATATGCACACATATGTTTATTGTGGCACTATTCACAATAGCAAAGACTTGGAACCAACCCAAATGTCCATCAATGATAGACTGGATTAAGAAATGTGGCACATATACACCATGGAATACTATGCAGCCATAAAAAAGGATGAGTTCCTGTCCTTTGTTAGGGACATGGATGAAGCTGGAAACCATCATTCTGAGCAAACTGTCACAAGGACAGAAAACCAAACACCACATGTTCTCACTCATAGGTGGGAATTGAACAATGAGAACACTTGGTCATAGGATGGGGAACATCACACACTGGGGCCTGTCGTGGGGTGGGGGGAGGTGGGAGGGATAGCATTAGGAGATATACCTAATGTAAATGAGTTAATGGGTGCAGCCCACCAACATGGCGCATGTATACATATGTAACAAACCTGCATGTTGTGCACATGTACCCTCAAACTTAAAGTATAATAATAAAAAAAAAAACAAAAAAAAATGGCCCTGCTTCATGAAGCTTACATTTTAAACTGTGAGGCTACCACCAGAAAACAAATATAAGAACAATTAGGCAAATAATAGGAGAGATGATACAAAAAATTTAGGAGCGAAATAAAGCATGCAAGGTTGTAAGGAATAATAGGGAACTGGAATTCCCTGTTTTATATGAGGTAGTTTGTAAAGACCGTGTTGATAAAGTGACACAAGAGCTGAGAGCTGGAAGAATGAGGGAGGGAGGCACATGGGATTATGGAAAATGTGCTTTCTTGGATGTGCAAAGGGTAAAATTTAGAGTCCCTAGTCAGGAGAGTGCCTGGGGTATTTGAGGCAGAACAAAGCTGAAGTTGAGTGAGCAAGAATTTAAATGGTCAGAAATAATGTCAGAAATGCTGTGGGCAGCCCAACCACAATGCTTTAGAAAGCTCTAAGGATTTCACTTCTACTCTAAGTAATATGTGAAATCCACGGAGGAGTTTGGAGCAGAGAAGAGACGTGAACAGGCAACTTTTTTGAAACGATCACACTGTCTGTCATGTTGAGCATAGACTACAAGTGGGGAAAAGGGAAGATCAGAATGATCAATAAGATAGTTAACTAAATAATCCAAATTAGAGGAGATAGGGAGATTAACAAGGATGGCAGTAGTGGAGACGGTAAAAAAAAAAAAAAATCAGATTCTGGATATATTTCAAAGGCAGAACTGGAATTACATAGAGAGAAACCAAGGATGGCTCCAAGATTTTTAGTCTGAAGAAGAAGAGAGGTAGTGTATGAAACGCTATGATACCCTACACAGATCCTTCTGTTGGACTAAACAACTTATTTTCCTCAAATTCAAGATATGTTTCTAGCAAACAGCCCTTAACACTCAATGCTCCAGGGAAATTGACCTCAGCTGAAAATAACTCCCTTGCTCAAGCTTATACCCTTTGGCCTGCAGTGTCAACCAATGACTGGTTGATGTGGGCATTGGGGGATAAAGCTCAGCACACCCATTTCAACTAAGGATGATTCAGAAGAGTCAGAGTTCTCTGCAATGTGAGATTCTGTGGGGTCAGCTAAGGTCTTTGCTGAGGATGCATCTTAGCCCAGCTTTTCTCTTTGCCCAGTCCTCTTCCTTCTCTCCTTCAGGGAGGATTTTGAAAGCACTCCCTGACTAAACTTCCTGCACAACAATCTCTATCTCAGAGGCTGTTCCTCAGAAAATACTCAATCTGCAATAGATTGAGTTGCTATTTACTGAAATGGAGAAGACTATAGGAAGAGCAGGTTTAAATGACAGATTCAGAAGTGTGGTATAGGAACATTTTAAAGAAGTGTTGTAAATAAGGCCCAATATTTATTGAACATTTACTATTAAGAGACATTCTTCTCAGTGTTTTACACGAATTAGTTAAAAGAAAAATTCTAAGGAAGATAAAATATCACCTATGTTTCCAACCACTATACTATAATGCATTTTTAGCAAGCAATTCTATGCAAGATACACATGAACCATACTTTGATAAAAGAAAAATAATCTACCCTACTTGTTTTCTAAGTCCTCTGATTACTCCAAGGTGCCTTCCAAGACACCTACTGATCACCAAGTGGTAAATCTATTTCACTTACAAATATGCACCTTATATATATCTTTCTGGTACCAAATTTGTCCTGTCTAATAAACATTTGTTGTATGGTTGCATGAATAGATGTATGGATGGAAGAATAAAAGAAAGAATAAATACATAATGAATGTATGAGGGTATCACTTATGCAAGGGCATGAGGGCATAACAGAGCACAACAGACTATGGAAACTACAGTAAGTTTGGCATAATAAGATCAAAGCGTGAGGATTAAAGAGTAACAGGAGTTGAGCTGGACAGTGATGTAGTGATATTATCATAATGGGACAGATTTCAAGTTGGCCAGTTTCTCATTAAAAGTCACAGGATAGATATAAATACCTAATAATTAATGTTTGGTTACAGTGATATTCCAGCTTAACTAAGAGTAGGGGATTTTTCAGTATATTTGCAGAAGGTGCAAAAGCAATTCATAGAGAAGACACAAAACACAAGGAATCAGACAAAAAACAAAATCAAAATCTAGAGTTGAGTTGTTCAATACAATCATTGCTAGCTTTATGCAGCTATTTAAACCAAAATAAATTAAAATTTAAGAAAATCAGTTTCTCATCTGCACTGCCTATATTAAGTGCTTAATATCCACATATTTCCAGGGCTACTGCATTGGGTACTGCAGATTTCCTTTGTTTTCTTGTTCTGTTTTTTTGTTTTTTTTTTTTTTCTTAATAGAAATGGGGTCTTGTTATATTGCCCTGGCTGATCTCAAACTTCTCCTGGCCTCAAGCCGTCCTCCTGCCTCATCCTCCCAAAGTGCTGGGATTATAGGCATGAGCCACTGCACACAGTCTGGACAGTGGACAGGGCAGATTTACAGTCCATTTCTATCACCATAGAATATTCTCTTGGACAATGCTAAAATAGAGTCATAGGTACTGCTTTATTGCTGGATAAAAAGCCTCATTTTTTGTCTAATGGATCATTTAGGACTCTTTTAGTTGCAGGTAACAGAAACCAACTTCCTCTAATAAATAAAAATGGAGAGTTTTACTTTAAATATAAAGTAATAACTCTGTTCAAGAAAGAGATAGAGCTAAGTCTCAGAAGGAGCTTGCAACCTGGAACTACTCTCTTGTGTTTCTGTCTCTGATTTCTGCTCTGTTACATCATTCTTTCTTTTTTTAGTGATTTGTGCTCTCTACTTAACCCCAGCTCAATGTCTGACCTTTTGCAGTCCACACTCCAAGTTCTCAGGAAAAGGACTCAAGTGACACTGATCAGATCATGTGACCGTTCATGGTCAAATTAGCTAAGTTTGAATGTGGGAGAAGCAGACCGGGGAAGGTCACAATATAGACACACCTGCTGGAAACACAGCCAAACATACTGGGGGCCAATGTATCTAGAAGAAAGGTCATTGTTTCCTGGGAAGATATTTTAGCAGTGACTAAACTTGAGTTAACTGTTGTACATCCAAATCCTTCTATTGCATTTTATTTTGTCTCTACAGCTTCTGGCTTACATTTTTGATTTGGAGTACCTTGGTGATACGGTTGTGGTATGTGTTATCCCAGGTGGGTCAGGGATCCACAGAAAACTAATGCAATTTTATAAAGGGGCTACATACAAAGATGTGGGTAAAGTGTAGGAAAACCACAAAGGAAGGGCAATGGGTAGTGAAGCACACTGAGGCTAGCAGCAGAGGCTCTCCATTTCACTATAGACTTGATGGGGCAATTGGAGGAAGATTCCCAACCCCTGAGAGAGAGAGGACCATGTGAGAAGAAGAGCCCGACAGGAGCTCTGATAAGTGACAGAGGAATGCATCAGCCCACAGAAACCCAGAAAGCAGGAAAATGGAATAAATGCCCTGTGCATTTCTGATCTGCTAGACACTTCCCATTAGCTGACTTCAACTGTAAGCCAGAAAGCAGGGAACATTGATGATTTCCATACCAATTAACCTCCTAATGAGCAGAGAGAATGGTTAATAAAAAAGGTTAACAAGTAATTGGCATGGGGTGAATACACTCTATAACACACCTTAGAAACCACTCTGCAAGGCAGAATGTGGCTGAACTGGACAAATAAGCAAGACTCTTTCTCCTCCAATGACCTAAGGTTTCCATTTTTAAGTTTCAGCTTCTGTTGAAAAAAGAGTTTCAGGTTTTTAGCCATGTTTATTTTTAAAAAATAAAATATTTTAAAAAGCACTATATTCTTGAGCTTATCTGAAAGAAAGCAAATGTGCAATGGATTTTATCTGCTGAGTATGATTTTCAGTGAATTGCAGCTTTCCTACCCTATCTATTTGCAATGAGCAAAGTGAACAAGAGAAAAGAAGCTGGTCTGTCTCCATTGATAGGAGACAGGGTAGGATACGTCACGGGCAAGTTTGGGTAAGACACAGGCCTGGTTGCTCAAGGACAGCTGGTAGCTTATACCTGAAAAAGCTTTCTGGTGACAGATTAATCCCAATTACCAAGCTGAGCTAGAGATGCTCTTGTGTTTTTTGGTTTTGGATTTTTTTCTCCTTTGCAGCCTCAGGCTATTGTGTATTTCAAATGACATGTTCATTCAGGTCCTTGCCTGCTGTCAGTCAAAGAGAATTTAGTAAGCTCACTCTTGGGTTCTTTGGCTCTAATAGGTAACCTAACAGTTACACTTTATTTAGAGTTTTCAATTATGTTTTTCAGAGGTCTCTTGGGACTTTTGGAAAAATGACTGGTCAGAGACTGATCATCATTAGACAGGATGTGGTTGACCTCCTGGTGGTGGTGCTGGGTGAGAAATTTGTGTTTCAGCAATAGTGTGGGAAAAGGATATTTTAAAGGAGAGTAAAAAAGAAGGCGAACAATTTTGTTTTCTACTAAAAATATTGCCTTTGCTTTGGGAATGAAATAAATTCTTCTGCTCTCTCCCGTTAGCTCCTTTTCAAAGCAAGAAGTTGTATAAAGGGAAACTACCTTTATACAATATTTGAAACAATTATTTTCAAATTTTTTTATTTTTAGTTTACATTTGTTTATATAAATATTTGATGATTTTGCCAAATGCTGATCCTGCTCCAATTACAATCTAAGAATATCAATATTTATTTGACTTATTAATGAAATTCTTCCTTCTACAACTATTATCTACTGAGGTTTATATACTAAGTCATTAAATACCGGCATACTGAAGGCTGGTTTCTATGTCTTCCCTTCCTCTATGTATGCATAGGTAAACATCATTCACAATTATGGCTTCGATGACCATGTCTAGTTGAGAGCTCTCTTTAGACTTATTATTCCACTGTCTGCTTGTCTTCTCTTGTTTGTCTTTCAAAAGCACCTCAAATTCAACACCTGGAGCAAAACTCATGATCCTACCCTTGCTCCTTATTCAATGTCTCTCTTCTCAGTGAAAGTTATGATTATTTTTCCGGTTGTACAAATCAGAAACCTAGGAATAACCTTAGCATCCCTTTTTGGCAACTCCCTTCTAGTACCCCCAACCACATCCAATTCATCACCAATTCCTATCTATCTTTTTTGAAAAAAATATTTCTAGATAGACGTCTATCTCCAGCAATATCCTAATCAAAGTCACAAATCAGCATTCAGCTTGGTCTCCTGCAATATCTCATAATTCTTCATTTCATTCTGTCCTTCTTTCAATCTACTTGTGATCCTCAAAACAAAGGGCTCTTTTGAAAACCAAGGCTTATTATAATTAGGCAAATACTACACTCCTGCCTTTAATTGCATTTAAGTCAATGTTTATCTGGGTTTTGCTTCAGTGGGTTTGCATTGCTTATAATGATAACACAAATCTTCTTAATACAGGCTACAAAGTCCTGCTTGTTCTGGCTCCTGTCTACCTTCCAGAAGCTTCTTTCTCCAGGCTGGCCCTTCCTCTTGCCAGCCAGCCACATGATGTCTTTGGCCACAGGTTCTTTGCATCTGTGATTCCTTCTGCCCAGGATATTATTTTTTCTCTCCTCTTTATCTCAAACCAGTCTCCTGAGACCGATACAACTTAATCACATACTACTGTTGTGGAATCTCATAATTGTTGTAAGTCTTCATTGCTGTGATGATTGCAGTTGGAATTTTATCTTAATTTCATAATTAGCTCCACGAGAGTAGAGACCGTGTCCGCTGCATCTTCAGCAATGTGCACTTAATAGGAACTCCTTGTGCTTCAGTTTCTTCTTCTGTTAAAAAAAATAAGCATGTGTGCTTCACAGGGTTTTTAAAAAGTATTCAATGAGTTACAGCAACTTGTTAGAAGTGTGCCTGAATCATACGGAAGCATTAATTCATGAGTAACTATTGTTATTGTTTCTGTTGTTTTATAATCCTATTCTCCAAGGCTTTACAGTTTGTAAAGAGTGGCTCCCCCACTTATTTCAAGAAGACTGAGAGGTTGAGTGACTTTCTAATTTAGATGCCATGTGAGACACTCTTAAATCAGACTTTCACAGCTGAATTGAAAGTTTGGGTCTAAGCATCACCCTCAATTGTATGCATGCATTTCCCCTAAAGGCTGGCTTTGGGGAGTTCAACTGAAGCATGGAAATGTAAAACAACATTTTTTTTCCTTAATGGGAAATTCTGCTCTGCTGTTTAAAGGTGCTCAGAACTGATAAACACAAGATGCCGTATCAGGGTATGGTAACCAACTTTGCAGACAATAAATCATCAATTATATTTTTAACCTGAGTAATTATGCCTTTTTGTTTCAAGCTTCTTGATGTTTCAAGCTTCTTGATGTTTCAAGTGCAAGCTGAGCCATTTTAGGAGTGAATTAAAAAGAATCAGTTACAAATTGTTACCTGTTTACTCTGAAGGGAAAATTGCTTTGGAAACATGGCTGGTCTCACAGCCCAGAAAGACTGATGGAAGAAAAAACAAAATACAAGCAACAACAAAGTCAACATGCTGTGGTTGTGTAGAAGATGCTGTTGATCTCCTGCCTGGATCTATTTTGCTATAATTGAGATAGTAGGAGGGACTTGACTCCAGAGACCAGCAAAAACAGGTCCTGGGCAGAACCTTACTGAAAGCAGCTTTCCATAAGCGGTGCTCACCAGTGTGCCATGTCGGCTTACCATCACCATGGCAACACCTGGATGTTACCGCCCCTTTCCATGGCAACGACCCCACAACCTAAAAGTTACCACCCTCATCCTAGAAATTTCTGCATAAACCACTCCTAATTTGCATATAATTAAAAGCAGGTATAAATAGCAAGTACAGATCTGCCCCTGAGCTGCTATTCTGGGCACGCTACCTATGGGGTAACCCTGCTCCTCAAAGAGTAGTACCTCTGCTGCTTCTGTGCACTGCTGCATCAATAAAAGTTGCTGTCTAACACCACCTGCTCACCCTTGCATTCTTTCCTGGGTGAAGCTAAGAACTTTCCTGGGCTAAGCCCAGGGGTTGCCTGTCCTGCATCAGAATGGTGCATCAACTTCCAATTTCCAGGCCTGTGGGGTGCTCATAGCTCATGGCTACACTCTTCCCAGGAGACTTTCTCTGCACCTGTCCTGGAAATCCCTGTCAGGTCACTCACGGCTGGTAGCTGACTCAGGGGTGCACAAACCCAGCCCCCTTTTCTCAAGCTGGGACAACTATGTGGTACCATTATGCTCCAGAGTTCCCTATGGGATCAGGCTAAGGCTAAGCTGTACCTGGAGCCACATTTTTATTTAGCTTTTTTCTCTGCTCTCTCCTGCTTCCTTCACATCCTTATAAGCTTCTCCTGAGTACTCCCTCAATACACCAGAATCTGTCTTAGATAAAATTCAAGAAAGTCTGCCCAGAGTCCCACTGAGATCATTTCAGCCCATCACTCAGGTAGAGCTAAACATAGAGAAGGTCTGAGTTCTGTACTGGTGAGTTCGGGAAGGAATCATGATGAACACAAGCAAAAATCAGAACTGAAAATGGAATCAGGGTCTGCATGAAGCCATGACCTACTGATAATGCATCTGTATGATCTGATTCTGGTGATGTGAACCAGAAAATCTCTTTGAACTCTTTGATCTAAAAATCTATATTGTCTTGTGGAGGACTGACTGGGGGGAAAACCTACCTGTAGCTATTTTTGTTGTTTAGATCCTCTGTGCTTTGACTGGAAAAATAGGAGTTCTCCTTGAGTAATAAAACAAGTAAGAAGACTATAAATGTAGCCATTAGGGACTGTCTCAGCAAAAGTGATTTTCCCAGATTGAATCAGCAGAAAGTGATCATTCACAAAATCTGGCAGATATGAGTCAACCCTTGTTTAAAAGAGTACCAATAACTTTCAGAATACATAAAATACAGCAGGTAAAAAAAATCAATGAAGAGCTATTTTTTACGCCTTTGTGTTTGTAGATGTTTAAAGATTCTGTAGCTATGATGATGCCTTTGAGCAGCTTTTAATAAAAACAAACATCTCTCCCCAGCTGTATTTTAAAGCATATTTTTCATGTATTGGAGCATGTTATGATCCATATAGTATAGGTTTAATTTTTCTCCAAACAATGATTGAGTCAGTGTCAACTGCTGAGTATTTTTCCGTTGATTTTTTGTTATTCAACTTATCCTCAGTGTCTTGAACCTAGCGAAATTTAAAACTAGCTTTACAAAAAGCTGTATCTTTTGCCCTAAAGGCTTAAGTAAAAGTCAAGTCTTATCCCCAAAGCATGGTCAACAATTACCCTAAATAGGGGTTATAAGAACTATCAAAATTTGCTAACCACATGGGAAAAAATTTCTGTGTAGAAGGAAAACTGATAGAGTTTCTTTGTATATGTATTTTAGAACCATAGAAATTTTGTTTGAATGAAAATAAAATAAAAACTCAGATCATAAATATCAGTATGTCACTCAGGATAATTTTCACTAAAGGGTTTATGTTTAATTATTTGTTAAACATTTAATTGGCCTAGAACACAGTTCAGTTCACAATAGGTGTTTACTAAATACTGGTTATTTGAATAAAGAAATATCCCTACTAGATCGTAAGTTCCAATGAAAGAAAGGATTGGATTTCTTTCATTCAATGTCGATGTCACAGTACCTGGCATATAGTAAGTGTTCAGCAAGTATTTGCTGAATTCATAAATTTTCCTGGGCTCTGAGCATAGAATGGAAAACAAATAGGAAAAGGTCCCCGTCTCTAAGGAAGTTGTTAAATCAATGAACAACATGTGCAGTGGATCATTAGCTTTTGACTTAATGGAGGCAAAAGCAAAAAAAATAAAAAGATGTTTAGAATGAACGGGCACCCACTCTGAAATGAGACATAAATATGTTTAGCTGTAAATGGCTAAAAGCCTAAGTGTGTGCAATTGTAAATATTGTTCAGAGTTATCTGATGTCAATTTCTATTTTTTTCTCCTAAGAATCTGGGATTAGAAAATGTTTTCTGTTCTCATGTGGTCGGATCTGTTCTATTGTCTTCTGAAAGCCTACTTCATGGTCCACACCTGACACCTCTCCATGTCACTGGGACTGGTTGATGGCTCTTCTCCAGAATAGATTATTATATGCTCCTTTTTCTCACATCCTGCTACTGCCATTGCCTCAGAATTCCCTTTGGCTGCAATTTTTATCAATTGGTCTCTATGGAACTTTTGCCCTTCCATCCCACACTGTAAAATGCCAGAGTAATTGTTAACCCAGGGCCGACCTTCACCTATTTGCATGCTTCCATAGCCAGTACTCTTGTCAGAGCAATTTATTTCCTCCAGTTATTGCTTTCTCTTTGTTCAGAGAATAGAGGAATGATTAACTCATTCATACTAATGTATTACATTTTTTTCAGCAACCTAAGAATGGGTTATCCCATTATTTAGCTACATGACACTTCCTGTAGACCATCATTAAGTATTTCCTGGACAGGATAACTATAATCTGATTACACATTTCATGCCTGAGAGCTGCCAGACTCTCTGGAACACCATACCTGCTGTCACGAATGCTTCCCTCAGTCCCAGCTTTCTGTGCTGCCCAGGTCTTTGGCTGCTCCAGATCTCCCAGGTCTTGCCTAAAAGCTCAGATATCTAGTGACCCTCTGACCATGTTCCTTAACATTTGTGACTTTATGGCCCCTGAATCATTTACATTTACATAACATTTTAAAATGATTAAATTTAATAATTGGAGGGCAGATTACTAGTTGCTAAGATTTAAGGGGTGAGACAGGAGGAAGATGGGTGTGGTTATAAAGTGACAACATGAGGTCCAGGCATGGTGGCTTACCCCTGTAATCTCAGCACTCTGGGAGGCTGAGGCGGGCAGACGGATTGAGCCCAGGCGTTCGGGACCAGACTGGGCAACATGGTGAAACCTCACTCTACAAAAAAATACAAAAACTGTCCAGGTGTGGTGGTGTACTCCTATAATCCCAGCTACTTGGGGGACTGAGAGGGGAGGATCAATTGAGCCCAGGAGGTCAAAGCAGCAGTAAGCCATGATCGTGCCATTGCACTATAGAACCTGGGCAACAGAATGACACTTTGTCTAAAAAAAATTAAAATAATAAATAAAAATTTCAACATGAGGGATTTTTGTTTTTGGTATTGGATCTGTTCAGTATCTTAACTATGGAAATGAGGAGGCTAGGTGAACAGGAGGAGGAGCCAAGAGTTGACTATTCTTGCTGAATATAGATCTCAAAGCAGAAATTCCATAGCTCAGCAGAGACACCTGAAGGCTTAATTCCATCATCATTCAGTAAATTACCATTTATGAGGAATGGATTATCCTCAAATTTAGGAAAGAGAGCTTCTCTTCCATAGCTGAATATTTCCCAAAGAAACATATTGCCTTAGTGAAAGATTGGCTCTCCCACTCAGATAAATTCACTGGAGGAATTTTTATTTTCATATTTCTAGTCCCTGAAAAGTATTGTTCTGGTGTCTTTCAAATAGTTTTACAGAATAAATCCAAAATATAGTCAACACCATCATGTTGCTGCTCAGTATTTAGATGGCTTTTGTCCGTTTGCCAGCCCTCTACGATAGAGAGCAAACTGACTGCAATTCAACGAGTTCTTTGATGATAATTGACTGTTTTGAAAATATTGTTGCCTGACAAAGAGTGCTGTATTCTAATTTAGATTCCACTGCTAATTAACTCACTATCTATAGGCAAAACATTTGACCATTTGGAATCTGGGGCTCCATGTTCCTCGTCATGAAGGGAACATGGTATGCTTTGTGACAGCAGGCAATTCAGAGCCAGATAGAAGTGGGTTTAAATCCCAGTACTGTGAAGTTAAGTGACTTCGCACAGCTAGGAAAATCAGAGAAGTTGCTTAAGTTCTCCAAGCTCTATGTTATTAATGAAGGATAATAGTTCCGTTACCTTGGGGTCATTATGAAAATGATGATGATATTGCATGTGGAGTCCCTGACACACAGGGGCTCCTAACAAAAGAACTTCACCCCATTTCTGCCCTGGAAGTATTTGGGCTAATGAGTTAAATGTTTTGAGCAATTAATATAGTACTATGCAATGAATTAGGTGTTTTATACATAAAATAACAGTTAATCCTCCAAATAGTTCCAATGAATTAGGTGTTTTATACATAAGATATCAGTTAATCTTTCAGATAATTCTGCAATGCAAATATTCCCATCTTTACAATTGATGAAACTAAGGACTAGGGAGGTTAAGTAGATTAACTACAATGATACAGCATGTGTGAATCAGAGCTCAAAGAATAACCAGGTCCATTTACCTAGAGTAGTAGACAACCTCTAGGAGGCTCTGCCTGCAATTTCATAAGAACATTGATTTGAGGTTCTTTGGCTTGCAAGGAGAAGAAGGGAGGGAAAAAAGAGAAGGGTAGGACAGGGAAGGGAAATGTAGGGAGAAGGCAGTGTTCTCTGTTGCTGGATGCTGGTAGCACTAAAGAAATTCTACTAACAATGGTTTTAGAAATAGCATATCAGTGGTAGATTAACATAAAAAAAATTGACACAAGTGTTAATGTTCAGAGGCCAGGTTAATTCCTTCAATCCTTCTTTCACCATGAGAGCTTTGGCTCATGGAAAAGTGGGCAACTAGGAGAAAGCAAGCAGCTTGCAGGGGACTAAATCATTTTTCATGAGCTAATTAACCAGAAAGTATCAACAACTGGTTCTCCCTTCGTCAGGCACATTACTTTCATAATGACATATTACTATTGGAGAAATTAGATAAGGAACACATGGGGTCTCCATGATGAGGAACATGGAGCACCAGATTCCAAATGGCCAAATGTTTTGCCTATAGGTAGTGAGTTAATTAGCAGTGGAATCTAAATTAGAGTACAGTACTCTTTGTTAGGCAACAATATTTTCAAAACAGTCAATTATCATCAAAGAACTAGTCGAATTGCAGTCGGCTTGCTCTCTAGCATAGAGGGTTGACGAACAGACAAAAGCCATCCAAATACTCAGCAGCAACATGATGGTGTTGACTATATTTTGGATTTATTCTGTAAAACTATTTTAAAGACACCAGAACAATACTTTTCAGGGACTAGAAATATGAAAATAAAAATTCCTCCAATGAATTTATCTGAGTGGGAGAGAGCCAATGACTGCTTTCATGAATGACTCCAGGTATAAGACAAGTACAGAAATATGAAAATAAAAATTCCTCCAATGAATTTATCTGAGTGGGAGAGAGCCAATGACTGCTTTCATGAATGACTCCAGGTATGAGACTGGACAGGTCAGGATGGATGCTACTAAACCTCCCACACTTTGCAGTCTCTCCAGTCCCTTCATGTTCATCTCCTTGCCAGATCTTCCATTGTGCCCACCCCAGAAAACACAGATGCCTACAGCTCTGTCCTTTCCTGACTCACCTCTTACCACTGTTGCCTATATCACTTCTAGTGCACAAATAAATTGCATTTAGCATCTTCCTTCGGTTGTTTGAAGTAGTTAAGATTTACCCTTCTTTCCCATGCTGCTGCAAGACTCTTACATTTAGAGGCTGTACCTTATTTTCTATTCTCAAAGTCATGGTTGTAGAATGATAGGACACAGTAGATATGCAGTTATCTTCTCCTTGAATTAAATTATAAAATTACAAAGCCAGTGCCAACATTAAAAAAATAGTAATAGCAATAACTTTCAGAGCAATGGCTAGAAGACACTAAAATATTTTGACACTAAAATATTTTCAAATGCTAACACCCTTATTATTAATGACTAATAACATCATATTTGCTATTGGGTATAAATACTGGACATGACCCCTATAAACATTTATCATTGCCATCTAGCACATTTAAGGAAATCAACAAAAATGTACTCATTTTTGATATCCTTATCTCACGGAATATAGGGGAGCACTTATGTAATCTATGGTAATTATCCATTTGTATATTCTGTTAATTATTAGGCAGCTACATACCAGTAATAAACAAGTGAAGGCAATATAGTTCCTGTCCTCAATTATAGATTATGAGGTGAAGACAGACTCATAACTGAAAATAAACACGGATGTTTTACACTCTGACCACTCTGGAAAACAGGAGTTTACTGATTCAAAACTTTGATAAATCTATAATTATGTATCCTTTTCAGATATATTAAACTAAAGGAATGCATCTTTTCTCATTCTATTTGACTCCAAATCAGTTCCATTTCTGCAGTAATGCCAGGGAAAAAGAAAGCATTATTCTCAATGTTTTATTAAAGGCACCAACATTGCTGTTTTTCATTACACAAAGCACTTGGGGGGTACGTGAAGTATGAATGCCAACAAAGAAAAGCCAATTCTATTCTCTGTTCCATTGATCTGCAAGGAAAATAATTCCAAAGACATGCTGGTTGGGGAGGAAAATTGTACTTCCCGTGTTAGCTTTATAATAGTATTTCTAAATAGAGTCATCTACATAAGCACCATTCCCCAAGATGGATTGGCTCATATTTTCATGATGAAGTACAATTTCTCTGAGAGTGAGAATATGGTCTTGGAAATCAACTCAGAGAACAAAATGGCCTTTCGAGCTTGTAACCTGGTTGTCAGACTTCCTTGTCTCCTTGAATGCTATGAGACACGCAAAAATCAAAAATCATATTTCATCTAGCACAGACTGCTATTATTACTTCTATCTCTATTGAAACTTCATTATGTAACTTGGAATGTTAGATATATTGTTAAATAATTAGAAAACATCGTTGAAATTCAAAAAAATGCACTAACAAAAGTGTTATGAACATTTGAATGTCATAAATATATGTAAATATGGAGCATACATATGCAGTTCAATGATTTTTACAATTTTGAAAAAAATTACCTTAAGATAAATTAATGGAAGATTATTATAGCTTAATAAACAGCACCTATTAAGAACTTTGATAGCTTATTGGGAAATTTATTTTTAAGATACATGTATGTGCTTAGGACACAGTCGTCGGTAATTTTATTCCTCTTGGTTTCTATAAACTGCAACCAAACAAGGAGCTATCTAAGGCAAAGTTTGGGGAGAGAAGTAGAGAAAACAAACAAATGGCTCCTTTTATTCTTAACTCTGGCACTAATGGTGGGGCCATAAATTGACACAACTCTTTTGGGAAAAGATATGACATTGTCTGGCAAAAATTGAAGATGTACATAATTTACAATCTGAAATGTATTGTGACGAAATTTGTTTACAAATGGACTCAGCCAAGATTATTTATAGTATACTGTTTGTAATAAAAAACAAACAACTAGAAATAATCCAAATGGAGCTCCAACTGTAGCCTGGATATTTCACAATTATAGCATATTCAAAAAATAAAAATCTCACAATAAAATTAATAACCTGGAGCATGGGCCAGCAAGCTTTTTCTGAAAGGACTAGGGAGTGAATATTTGGGGCTGAGAATATTATGTAGGTACTTGTATAACTATTATATTTATATAACTTTAAAAAATATAACCATTTAAATGTGAAGAGAAAAAAATATCCTTAACTATCTGTCCATACGAATAATCAAATAAAATAAATACAGGTTTCTTGCTAGATTTGGCTCATGGGCTTTAGTTTGCTAATCCCTGGCCCAGAGTTTCTCACACTGACATAGATAAATCTTTAAAACATAATGTTGAATGGTAAAAAAAAGTAGTTGAAGAAGAGTACATGATGTATAATTCCACTTATAGAAATTCTCAAAGCATATAAAACTAAGCAGTATGTTACTTAGAACTGTGTAGACATGTAGTATAAAGAAAACAAAAGGACAATGAATCACAAACTTTACAATAGTCATGGCCTATGCGTGGGGAGGAAGATAAGTGGGATCTGTAAGGGTCCTGGGAGGTAGGATTAGTGACGTTTTCTTTCTTTAACTACAGGATGAGCATAGGGGCATTTATGTGTTTTTTCATGACTTACATGTAATGTAAACATCCTTTTGTATATATTAATAACAATTTTAAAATGCAGGTGAACTATTACTTTATGAATATCATGCTAAATTCAAGTAACAAAGTACAAAGTAATTAGATCACTAATCAGAGAGATCACTGCATACAACAACTTATATAGACAAGACTTTTTGCAATAAATCGAGATGGGAAACTAAAAAAAGAAAACAACAATAACAAAAAATGTTTCACTATGTATTGGAAACTTTGCCCTAAAATTTCCAGATAAGGAAGGCAAACAACATCCCTAGGCCCACACCCGATGGCTGAATCACCAATGGGCTGGAGCTTCAAATTCCCCTTGATCTGCTCTTGTTTTTTCTGTTCCAATGACAACTTTGAAGTTGTCTCAATATCAAGTTCTGGCAACATTTCTACAGGTTAAAATAATAATAATAATATAATATAAAGAGAAGACAGTACTCTCCTTTGGTCCACAGAATGGTATCTGTGATGATTTCAATCAGGGCTTACATTAACTTAACGAGGCCATTGTACCTTTATCATCCTTTTATCTCTGCTCTCTGACATTCATTCATAAATAGTGACATGAACAATCAGGAGAGGCTTTGTGTTCAGAGGAACGGGGGGGAAAGTCTGGGACAGTGTACTTGATCAATGTCACTACTGGTGTCAAGAGATGGTCATTACTGCCAGGTAGATTTATTGCCTAGGTCAAAGCAAATTACTTTCTCCTCCTCTAGCCTGCCTACTGAGGTTTTTAATCTTTCTCCTATGTGTTGTCTCTCTTGTTTGGGGTTAGGCTATGAGTACCACTAGCATTTTTTTTTTTTTTTTTTTGGCAGTGGTAGGTAGGTCAATTAACATGATGATTGACATATTAGAATTCATCAGTCCATGAGAGATGCATACAACCATTGAATTAAACAAATAAATTCTCAAAACAAGCAAACTAATAAAAACCACCCTCTTTTATGCAATCTCCTCTCCAAAATTTGTGGCCACTCCTTTACCAGGTATTCACCTACAATGATCATGTCTGCCTCTATCAATACCATTTAATTTATAATCATTCATACTGTTGCATATAAATAGGTATCTATTACATTTTTTAATATATTTGTTCTATGTTCACCTACTTCAGCACTGTTAATCTTCAATAGCAAGCTCCCAACATACAGTGACTCTATCTGTGATTTTCTACCATAGGATTTATTCTATAAATACCCCTTTTGCAAAGATGAGGGCATCTGAAGTGCTCGAAGACTTTCTGAGCCAGGGTACACAAACTCAAGGGATTACATGCACAAGCTGTCCCATAAGCAAGTCATGTGGGCTGGGGGCTAAGAGGAGAACACAGACCTCATCAAAAGGGGGCAGCTATTGTTTGACTCCAGTGCTGGAGTCAGACTTGCTATATGTGCTTACCGTTCAAGAGGAGGCAGAAATTTATATTTTTAGGCAATAGTTCTCATTTTTAAAAACATCAGGGAGGTTCAACAAAGCATATGACTTTCAACTTCTCGGAGCAGCTACTTTTCAACTTCTGACCCATTATTAAATGTTTTCTACAGTTTTCTTGAGCTATTGTATAACTCTGGAATTTATTCCCTAACTCCTTCTACATTTGACATCCACACTCAAGGCCCTCCTCAAAGGTCAACTCCTGGTCATTCCTTCTGTAATATATCTCAAGTACATCATAATTGCCTGTTGGTAGATGTCTTACCAATGTTTCCTTGACAATTATGTGCTTATCTGCCTGGACTGTCCCTCCACCAGAAGCCTTGGTCATCAGGGCTGTGTATGGTTCATCTCCTTAGCTTTGTACCTGTGCACACTGGAACCCACTCATGGGTTCAGTATGTAGCTATGAAGTTCCTGCTATAAGCCAGGCACTGTAATTGATGCTGCGAATGCAGCAGTAAGCAAATTGAAGTCATGTGCTTATGAAGCTCACATTCAAGTAATGGAGAGAAAAAAAAAATGAAGAAAGGGGCACATGAAAAGAGAACACAGAGCTCTTAACCTAGTACATAATAACCAAAAATTGTCTTCAAAAATTTCTTATTTTTATGCACATGGGCAATGTTCAGAAAGAGAGTTTGTACCCTACTATTTGATAGCACAACAGGGTGACTATAGTCAATAATAACTTAATTGTACATTTTAAAATAGCTCAAAAAGTATAATTGGATTGTTTGTAATACAAAGGATAAATGCTTGAGGGGGTGGATACCCCATTCTCCATGATGGGATTATTTCAAATTGCATGCCTGTATCAACATAGGTACCCCATAAATACACACACCATATACTCACAAAATTAAAAATTAAGACATTTTTAAAAAGAAAGAGAATTTGTCTATAATTATAAAGGAATCACAAAGGAATCCATGACCTCAAATAAATAGAAACAAACTACCCAGTATCAACACTGTTGTAAACAGAAAGTAAGACACCTGCTCCTTCACTTCACGTCACTTCAGCCTTCTTAAGTATGGAGCAGTCCTCTCAACCAGCTACTTCTTAGTAGTAAGAACTTGGACTTACATAACTTATTTACAGTTTTCAAAGCACATTTCCTTGCATGATTTATTCTAGCCCTCATAAAAATACTGTGAAGTGGTTATTGACGCTTCGGGGCTTTACAGTTGAGAAACTGAGGTTCAGAGAAGTTAAGTGGCTTATATCAGAGACACATGGCTTGTCTGGAGCTAATTCATGACCCAGCATCTCATTACATCATTGCATTACCTCAAGTTGCCTTTGCGACCAAACCACACCACTTCCCACCCCAAGTACATGTCTTCATGTGGGAGTCATTGTGGATGAAAGATGCAATTTCAATATGATAAATTTTTCTACCTATCATGAATGAACCCAGCTTTGTTTCTTGCTCATGCTTAATTCAAATTTATTATTTTTTTCACAGGCTCAATTAGCTGACCTACTTACCATTTACTTTCTCCCTTCCCAAAATTAGTGTTTAAAAATCTTGAAAGGAAATACCTCAGATAACCTGGAAAGATTTTTTTTTAAAGTAGTATGGAGTCTCAGAACTGAACATAGATCTAATAAATGATAGCAGATAGTTCTTGGGAATCAGTATTTTTAAGAAGTTTCATAAAAGAATGTTAATGCAGCCAGTTCATGGACCAGCCTTTGAGAAACTATGCTTGAATCATATATTCATAAGCTTCATCATTTTTCAACAATGTCATGAGCCTCAAACTGAGAAACCTATTCTAATAAGGTTGTGAGTAAACCACTGTGAATTTCTTATTGAAAACATTCTCTTTTAAAAAGATAAATTATGTACACACTACACCACACACACACACACACACACACACACACACACACATTTTTTAGAGAGACAAAGGCTCTATAAAAATATGCTTATAAGGATGGCTCATGCCTGTAATCCCAGCACTTCGGGAGGCCGAGACCGGCAGATCACTTGAGGTTAGGAGTGCGAGACCAGCCTGGCCAACACAGTGAAACCCTATCTCTACTAAAAATACAAAAATTAGCCAGGCATGGTGGCACATGCCTGTAATCCCAGCTACTCAGGATTCTCTTGCCTCAGCAGGAGAATCAATTGAACCCGGGAATCGCAGTGAGCCAAGATAGCACCACTGTACTCCAGCCTGGGCAACAAAGTAAGACTCTGTCACAAATAAATAAATAAATAAGGAGTAGCCAATACACTTGTAGCCAAAACCAGATTCAGGTGTTTGACACTGGAGAGCCAGAACTCAAGAGATGAGAGTTGCGGGGAGGAAAAGCAGGTTTATGTGGAAAGCCAGCAAACCAAGAAGGTGAACTAGCATCCTAAAGTACCATCTTAAGTCAGGACAAGGACAAATTTCAGGCTGTTTTTTGTTTGTTTGTTTTTGTTGTTGTTGTTGTTGCTTTGAGACAGGGTCTTGCTCTGCCACCCAGGCTGGAGTGCAGTGGTGCTATCTGGACTCATGGTAACCTCCACCTCCTGGACTCAAGCAATCCTTCTGCCTCAGCCTCATGAGTAACTGGGACTACAGGCCCATACCACCACACTCAGCTAATTTTTGTATGTTTAGTAGTGACAGGGTTTTGCCATGTTGGCCAGGCTGGTCTCAAACTCATTACCTCAGGTGGGCCACCCGCCTCGGCCTCCCAAAGTGCTAGGATTATAGGCGTAAGCCACTGTGCCAGCCAGGCTCGTCTTACATTAAGGGAAGGGGGAGGGGAATGGGGTTGGGTTCTGGACACGATCAACAATCACAGACATCTGGGCACCAGTGAGGGTCCGGGGGAGCTGGGAACTTCTTTGTCCCTGGTCAGGTCCCAATGCTCCTAGAAAGTTTCAACAAAGCAGTGCTAGTCATTTACTACATACTTTTCCTTTAATCCCAGAGTTAGTTTCCAAAGACTACATGATTGCATCTCAGTGCTCTAAAATTATCCCAGCTTACATTCAGAAATGGGCAAAGGCCCCATACACAAAAATGGAGCTACTTATGGTAGCCCTTTTGCTGTTACATACTTAATTCTAAAAAAATTAATATATTTAATGTAAGATAATTATACAAAGAGTTACTTTTGAAAGAGAAATCACAGGAAAGAACAGTCACCAACGTAACTTTCTTCTGTTTAGTACATAAGAGTTGAGATAAATCTCATGGACTGTAGAGGGATGAAAATGTCTCTTCTCCTTTTCTGCCTCTACCAGGAGAAACCTGCACATAAGAAAGGCCAGATGAAGGGAGGGTTTTTCACTCATTGCTTGGAAGCACAAAGACGGACATTTAGATTAGCCAAAGAGATCCAGAGATATAACTCTCACTATGATCATCAACTGGTAAGCTAACAATGATATAATCATTTCCATGAGAGAGAGGAGGAGGAAAGCCCTAGGAGATTTTAACCCTAAGTGCACAAAGCAGCCTGAGTGAGTTAGAGATGGGCAGCCTGGGGGAGTTAGAGATGGGCAGCCTGGGGGAGTTAGAGATGGGCAGCCTGGGGGAGTTAGAGATGGGCAGCCTGAGTGAGTTAGAGATGGGCAGCCTGGGGGAGTTAGAGATGGGCAGCCTGGGGGAGTTAGAGATGGGCATACTCTCCAGGCCCTCTAAGTCAGGTGAAATGTGTTCTGGATGTCAGTGCTCTTTGATTGCAAATGACAGAAACAAAACTCAAACTTATTTCAGCAAAAAATGAAACTCAGTGTGTTATAGAACTGAGGAGTTTACTTCAAGCACAATTGCCTACAGTACCTCAAAATAGTATATTTTTTCTCCCATTCTCTTTCAGCTCTGCTTCTTTGGACCACTTAGTTGTATTCTCTCCTAGTATGATACTTTCTCCATTCATCTGGGAAGATAGCCAAAATAACTCTTAGCACACACAGTTATACCACATAACACAAGCACTAGAGACACTGGAACTCAAATTCCAGCTTGAAATATTCTAGATAAAGACAGATTGGCTTGGCCTTGGTTACTTGGTTACATCCAAATAAATAAGTTTCTATGACTGCCCTAGCCTGTGGCTGACTAACTTCTGTGGCCTTAATCAGGACAATATAGGGCGAGAAAAAAGTCCCCATAAAGCAGGAATACAGAGCAGCTAAAAAAAAAAAAAAGGAGATGATGAAAATAAGGTTCTTTTCTATATCTGTTAAGAATATTTGAATTGTGGTAAAGACAGCGGTTGAAAGTTAATGCAAACATGATGTAACTTGCATGTGTGTTTATATCTTTTAAATTCATAGTATAAACAATATCAGTTGATGTGTACAAGTTGAAAACTTATGAAAAATAATGACTTTTTTTAAAGAAGAGTTAGACAACCAGTTTGGAATGAGTTGAACCCATCCTATTTTGATTGCTCAGAGAAGGGTGCCCATGGCAGGTGGAAGCTACTTTAAGAATCAGTCCTACAGAAAGGAGGCAGTTCTCACTCATGCATAAATGCGTTCATTCATTCATTCATTGGATGGACAGGACAAATGGCACTAACAATTGTGGCAGGACTTAATTTATTACTTTTAGGATATGAAACATTTGCAAACCTTAGTGCTTTGACTATTATTAACAATACAGGAGTAGTTAGGGTGGCAGCAAAAAATAAGGCAAACTTAACAGATCCACACTGTAAAGAGAGGACAGAACTTCCAAAGGCTATGGGTGATGGCTCTTGCCATAATGGCATTTTCACTTCTACTTCAGGCGATTATTTATAACCATAGGTTGGCTTCACTTTTATAACATCCTCTTACTGACTTACGTCTGGATCAGGGTTCACAGTGTCCCCAATTTGTTTTCTGGCTTTTCTTGGGAAAAATTGCATTGTGGGATGACCCATTTTTATCAGCCTGTATTTATCCCTGCGCAGAATTGTTCATCCTAGGAAATGCCTGAGGGAGTTGGAATAATTCTCTAAAGAATAAAACCGTACAGACTTTTTCTTTGACAATACCCATAGTACAGAGGTGTGGAGAAGTTATTGCCAGGCGGTGCCAAAAGATAAGGTCAGGAACGGGCATTTATTCATAAAAACAGTAGCGAGGTGGTACGGATTTATTATTTCTTAAGGTCCCTTGGAAATGCATGACAATGCCTCTAACAAGCATTCTGTACAAGAATGTCAGCAAACACCGCACAGGAAACCAGGGCTTTGGTCTCAGACTGCTCCTGGGAGGTGTTTCTGAAGCTAATGGCTTAAGTACAAATCATCATTGCATGTGAGGTTGCTGGCACTGCTTCACAGAACTCAAGCCCCAGGAGAAGCAAGTCTCCTGTCCAAAGGACATTTTCCCTTCTGTTATTATAAACATACACACAGGCATGTTTGAGAGCAAGGGATAATCTGTGGAGTTTTATAATGCTAAAAAAAGAGGAACTTTGCAACTGGAAGCGTTCTATGAAAGGCATGGATAATTTAACACGAATTTCTTCTCATGCAAAAGGATAATTGTTGTACCTTTCTTACTTTTTTATGTGTATGTGTGTGTGTGTGTGTGTGTGTGTGTGTGTGTGTGCTTACAGTAAACTTTTTGATAAATATTTTTGCAAAGATATGAACTTTGGGAATGTATCCATACTGAAACATGGCATCCGTATTTTAGGTCTTGTTTACATTTGGGGAATGAATTGAGCAATATATACAATATTGCATTTTTTGAGAAACTCAGATTTAAATCACTCATAAATATTGAGTTATAAAAATCATGGAACCTGGAGAAAATAACAAGAGAGGCTAAATGTTGATTGGCAAAAAGAGATGAAAAACTCCTGACTTATGAGTAACTCAAAAAAGGAAGCTTTGAAAAATGGTCCAAATTTTCAAGGAGGCTAACCAAGTGCCAAATCAATATGCATAAATTCAATACAATGCACATTTCAGAGTGACTTGAAGCAACGTTTTCATCCCAGGAACTTCAAAAATGTCAACTGCTAAAAGCAAGGCATCATGGCCTACTTCCTGACATTATTATGTAATTCATGTGCTGAACTTTCACCTCAAAAATGGGAAGAAGAAACAAACAAACAGGTAATTTTCTGAACTGATAAATGCTAACAATCAAAAGCTCCCAGTAAGACTCTGTTGAAATCTCAGGCATTTTTAACAAGGTAAAAATATGATAAAATTTAAATGGTACTGGAAGCTGGAAATAAGGAAATATTAAGTTCCAAGGTCAAGAACTGGATTTGCTCCCTCACTCTCTTCAAAAGAGACGCCAGGGTTCAGAGCACTAATGCCAAAAAGAAGGATCGGTTGGAAAGCAGAACCCAACTAAACCCTTGTAATCTTTCCTCTAATGGGTATGCCTTTTTCCTCTTAAATGTATATTAATTTATAAAGCACCCTTTTTAAAAAGCAGGCATTACCATGGAGACAGTGGATGGGAACCGTTTTTCTCAGTCATCAACACTTTGCTGTTCTGTCAATTTAGCATTGTGTGCGTGTGTGTGTGCATTGTGTGTGTGCACGTGTGCGTGTGTGTGCGTGTGTGCGTCTGCATGTGTGCGCGTGCGTGTGCATGTGCGTGCATGTGCGTGTGTGGGTGTGTGCGCATGTGTGTGCACATGTGTGCGTGTGTGTGTATGTGTGCATGTGCATGTGTGCTTGTGTGTGCATGTGCGTGTGTGTGTTCATGTGCGCGCGTGTGCGTGCGCATGTGGGTGTGTGTGCGTGTGTGTGTGCGCGCAAGTTTAGTCTTTTTAACTGGAGAGTAATAGCCCCACATTTTATTTCTGTTGAAATTTCATCCAGACTTTTAAAAGTCCATATATATCCTACATTACTGGACTTGTTTGTTTTATGAAATTGGCTAAGGAATTTGTCCAAACAAATTACAAACAACAACACCTCTGACATAATCAAGGGTGGGCAGATTCATTTTCTACAGAACACAGGTAGGCAGTATAAACTAGCACAATATAAACTAGGCAATATAAACAAGGAAAATGTGGAGACCTACATTTCTGTGTCCTGTATACAGAAGTCAGTCCCTTCTGTGCAATAATCTGCTGTCTTGCCATGTTGTGTCTCCCAGCGTTGATAGAACAGATCTTTAAGATAGGAAAAAAGTTATTCAGAACACATCTAACAGAATTTTCTCAGTTTTCCTTGCTGATAACAAATTCAAACCTTCAGATAGCGGTCACATCTGCTGGCCAGAATTTGCAACTTCAGGTCACTTTCCAACTTCCAGAAAATCATTTTCCTATCTCATTCAAAAAGAGAGGATAGAGTCATTCCTGGTCTATGTAAAGTAATTACTATTCCACTACTCATTGACAATAGTGTTAAAGACGTTAGAAATATAGAACTAAGGAAAGAAACAGAAACAACACAATTTTTTTTTTTGAGATGGAGTCTCGTCCTGTCGCCCAGGCTGGAGTGCAGTGGTTCACAACCTCTGCCTCCCGGGTTCAAGCGATTCTCCTGCCTCAGTCTCCCAAGTAGCTGGGATTACAGGTGCTTGCCACCACACCTGGCTAATTTTTTGTACGTTTAGTAGAGACGGGGTTTCACCATGTTGGCCAGGCTGGTTTTGAACTCCTAACCTCGTGATCCGCCCACCTCGTCCTCCCAAACTGCTGGGATTACAGGTGTGAGCCACCGCACCTGACCACAAATCAACTTTCAAATGGAATTCTAGTTAACATTTTCATAAATTCACAGTATATGTTTTTGTTTCATACATTCATTTAACAAGAATTTATCAGAAGCTTAGATACTGTTGGGTAAATGCAGGGATCGTGGAATTGTTTTTGTTTGTTTGTCCATACGGGATCTCATTCCATGTTGGCAAGCTGATGGAAATGATCCAACTGAACTAAAAACAAAATTATGTCTTGCCTCAGCGGAAACTGAAAGACTGCATCTTATTAAATGTGAAACCTATCATTTTCTCACAGACAAATCTCCCAGAGTACCTCACCCTCTCGGATGCTATTTAGGTCCATTTCTAAGGTTTCTCATGGTGAAGGGCCTAAGGCCTAGATGTTGCAGTACTTTTTCCTTCCTCTAGAATCCTCCTCCTAGGTCCCCCTATTATTCTCTACTTTGTTAAATCATTTTTGTCAAGACAATTGAAGTTAGTAGACTTAGATGTAGCAGTTTCAGGTGAAAGGGACACATTTACTTTCTCACATATATCAAGAGGACCAATTTTCCCCAGCAGCAGTCTGCTAATAAAATATTTTCTCTCTTCACTAAATGCACATAAATACTTCTTCACCAGTAAAAGGTTTAACCCTTCATCCTATTTAAAGCCTGGGGATTGGAGGTGGAGAGTAGAAGGGGGATGGAAAGTTGCTAGGAGCAGTTTCAAAGAGATGGCTTACTTCAGAAATTAATTTAACATAAACTTAGTTTTTCCATTTTATCCTGCCCTTTTTTTAAAAAAAAAAAAAAAACAACTTTCTTTCTGTTTTCTTAGCATGCCTAATACATTTTTTACTAGAGGTGGCAGAAGGGAAAATTGAAGCTGTATTATTATTATTATTATTATTATTATTATTATTATTATTATCTAAGTTTACTTTAAGTTCTGGGATACATGTACAGAATGTGCAGGTTTGCTACATAGGTATACAAGTGCCATGATGGTTTGCTGCACATGTCAACCATCATCTAGGTGTTAAGGCCCGCACGCATTAGGTATTTGTTTTACTGTTCTCTATCTCCTTCCCACAACAGGCCCAGTGTGCGTCGTTCTGCTCCCTGTGTCCATGTGTGCTTATAGTTTAACTCCCACTTATGAGTGAGAATATTCTGTGTTTGGTTTTCTGTTCTTGTGTTCGTTTGCTGAGAATGATGGCTTCCAGTTTCATCCATGTCCTTGCAAAGGACATAATCTCATTCTTTTTTATGGTTGTATAGTATTCCATGGTGTATATGTGCCTCATTTTCTTTACCCAGTCTATCACTGATGGGCATTTGGGTTGGTCCCCAGTCTTTGCTGTTGTAAACAGTGCTGCAATAAACATACATGTGCATGTGTCTTTATAGTAGAATTATTTATAATCCTTTGAGTATATACCCAGGAATGGGATTGCTGGGTCAAATGGTATTTCTGGTTCTAGATCCTTGAGGAATTGCCACACTGTCTTCCACAATGGTTGAACTAATTTACACTCCCACCAACAGTGTAAAATCATTCCCATTTCTCCACAGCCTCACCAGCATCTATTGTTTCCTGACTTTTTTTTTTTTGGAGACAGAGTCTCACTCTGTCACCAGGCTGGAGTGCAGTGGCACGATCTTGGCTCACTGCAACCTCCGTCTGCCTGGTTCAAGCGGTTGTCCTGCCTCAGCTTCCCGAGTAGCTGGGACTACAGGCATGTGCCACCATGCCCAGCTAATTTTTGTATTTTCAGTCGAGATGGGGTTTCACAGTGTTGGCCAGGATGGTCTCAACCTCTTGACCTCATGATCTGCCCACCTCGGCCTCCCAAAGTGCTGGGATTACAGGTGTGAGCCACCGCGCCTGGTCTTCTGACTTTTAATAATTGCCATTCTGATTTGCATGAGATGGTATCTCATTGTGGTTTTCATTTGCATTTCTCTAATGACCAGTGATGTTGAGCTTTTTTTTTTCCTATGTTTTTTGGATGGATAAATATGTTCTTTTGCGAAGTGTCTGTACATATCCTTTTTGATGGGGTTGTGTTTCTCTTGTGACTTTGTTTACATTCCTTGTAGATTCTGGATATTTGACCTTTGTCAGATGGAGAGACTGCAAAAATTTTCCCCCATTCTGTAGGATGCCTGTTCACTCTGATGCTAGTTTATTTTGCTGTGCAGAAGCTCTTTAGTTTAGTTAGCTCCCATTTGTCGGTTTTGGCTTTTGTTGCAATTGCTTTTGGTGTTTTGGTCATGAAATCTTGGCCCATGCCTCTGTCCTGAATGGTATTGCCTAGGTTTTCTTCTAGGGTTTTATGGTTTTGGTTTTTACATTTAAGACTTTAACCCATCTTGACTTAATTTTCATATAAGGTGTAGGGAAGTTTTCCAGTTTCAGTTTTCTGTTATGGCTAGCCAGTTTTCCCCAAACCATTTATTAAATAAAGAGTCCTTTCCCCATTGCTTGTTTTTCTCAGGTTTGTCAAAGATCAGATAGTTGTAGATGTGTGGTGTTATTTCTAATGTCTCTATTCTGTTCCATTGGTCTGCATATCTGTTTTGGTACTAATATCATGCTGTTTTGGTTACTGTAGCCTTGTAGTATAGTTTGAAGTTAGGTAGCATAATGCCTTCATCTTTGTTGTTTTTGCTTAGAATTGCCTTGGCTATACGGGCTCTTTTTGAGTTCCATATGAAAGTTAAAGTAGTTTGTCCTAATTATCCAAAGAAAGTCAATGGGAGCTTGATGGGAATATCATTGGATCTATAAATTACTTTGGGCAGTATGGCCATATTCACAATATTGATTCTTCCTATCCATGAGCATAGATTACTTTTCCATTTGTTTGTATCCTCTCTTATTTCTTTCAACAGTGGTTGGCAGTTCTCCTTGAAGAAGTCCTTCATGTCCCTTGTAAGTTGTATTCCTAATTATTTCATTCTCTTTGTAGCGATTGTGAATGGGAATTAATTCATGATTTGGCACTCTGCTTGTCTATTGTTGGTGTATAGGAATGCTTCTGTTTTTTTCACATTGATTTTGTATCCTGAGACTTCATTGAAGTTGCTTATCAGCTTAAGGAGTTTTGGGGATGAGACGATGAAGTTTTCTAAATATAGAGCCATGTCATCTTCAAACAGAGACAATTTGACTTCCTCTCTTCCTATTTGAATACCCTTTATTTCTTTCTCTTGCCTGATTGTCCTGACCAGAACTTCCAATACTGTGTTGAATAGGAGTGGGGAGAGAGGGCATCCTTGCCTTATACCACTTTTCAAGGGAATGCTTCCAGCTTTTGTCCATTCAGTATGATATTGGCTATGGGTTTGTCATAAATAGCTCTTATAATTTTGATATATGTTCCATCAATGCCTAGTTTATTGAGTTTTTAGCATGAAAGGATGTTGAATTTTATTGAAGGCCTTTTCTGCATCTATTGAGATAATCGTGTGGTTTTTGTCATTGGTTCTGTTTATGTGATGGATTACATTTATTGATTTGCATATGTTGAACCAGCCTTGCATCCCAGGGAGGAAGCCGACCTGATTGTGGTGGATAAGCTTTTTGATGTGCTGCTGGATTCATCTTGCCAGTATTTTATTGAAGATTTTCACACTGATGTTCATGATGGATATCGGCCTGAAGTTTTCTTTTTTTGTTGTGTCTCTGCCAGGTTTTGATATCAGAATGTTGCTGGCTTCATAAAATGAATTAGAGAGGAGCCCCTCTTTTTCTATTGTTTGGAATAGTTTCAGAAGGAATAGTACCAGCTCCTCTTTGTACCTCTGGTAGAATTTGGTTGTGAATCCATCTGGTCCTTGCCTTTTTTTGGTTTGTAGGCTATTAATTACTGCCTCAACTTCAGAACTTGTTATTGGTCTATTCAGGGATTTGACTTCTTCCTGGTTTAGTCTTGGGGTGGTGTATGTGTGTAGGAATTTACCCATTTCTTCTAGATTTTCTAGTTTACTTCCATAGAGATGTTTATAGTATTCTCTGATGCTAGTTTGTATTTCTGTGGGATCATTGGTGATATCACCTTTATCATTTTTTACTGTGTCTATTTGATTCTTCTCTCTTCTTTATTAGTCAAGATAATGGTCTATCTATTTTATTAATTTTTTCAAAAAAACAGTTCCTGGATTCATTGATTTTTTGAAGGGTTTTTCGTGTCTCTATCTCCTTCAGTTCTGCTCTGATCTTAGTTATTTCCTGTGTTCTGCTAGCTTTTGAATTTCTTTGCTCTTGCTTCTCTAGTTCTTTTTTAATCGTGGTGTTAGGTTGTTGATTTCAGATCTTTTCAGCTTTCTGATGTGGGCATTCAGTGTTATAAATTTCCCTCTTAACACTGTTTTAGCTGTGTCCCAGAGATTCTGGTATGTTGTCTCTTTGTTCTCATTAGTTTCAAATAACTTCTTAATTTCTGCTTAATTTCAGTATTTACCCAGGGATCATTCAGGAGCAGGTTGTTCAATTTCCATGTAGTTGTGCAGTTTTGAGTGAGTTTCTTAATACTGAGTTCTAATTTCATTGCACTGTGGTCTGAGAGACAGTTTGTTTTGATTTCCATTCTTTCCCATTTGGTGAAGAATGTTTTACTTCCAATTATGTGGTCAATTTTAGAATAAGTGTCATGTGGTACTGAGAAGAATGTATATTCTGTTGATTTGGGGTAGAGAGTTCTGTAGATGTCTATTGGGTCCACTTGATCCAGAGCTGAGTTCAAGTCCTGAATATCCTTGTTAATTTTCCGTCTCATTGATTTGTCTAATATTGACAGTGGAGTGTTAAAGTCTCCCACTATTATTGTATGGGGGTCTAAATCTCTTTGTAGGTCTCTAAGAACTTGTTTTATGAATCTGGGTGCTCCTGTATTAGATGCATGTATATTTATGATAGTTAGCTCTTCTTGCTGCATTGATCCCTTTACCATTATGTAATGCCCTTGTCTTTTTTTGATCTTTGTTGGTTTAAAGTCTGTTTTATCAGAGACTAGGATTGCAACCCCTGCTTTTTTTGCTTTCCATGTGCTGTAAATTTTCCTCCATCCCTTTATTTTGACCCATGTATGTCTTTGCACGTGAGATGGGTCTCCTGAATACAGCACACTGATGAGTTTTGACTCTGTTTCCAATTTGCCAGTCTGTGTCTTTTAAATGGGGCATTGAGCCTGTTAACATTTAAGGTTAATATTGTTATGTGTGAATTTGATCCTGTCATCATGATGCTAGCTGGTTATTTTTCACATTAGTTGATGCAGTTTCTTTGTAGTGTCATTGGTTTTTTTTTTTGGTGTATTTTTGCAGTGGCTGGTACCAGTTTTTCCTTTCCATATTTAGTGCTTCCTTCAGGAGCTCTTGCAAGGCAGGCCTGGTGGTGACAAAATCCCTCAGCATTTGCTTGTCTGGAAAGGATTTTATTTCTCCTTCGTTTATGAAGCTTAGTTTGGCTGGATATGAAACTCTGGGTTGAAAATTATTTTATTTAAAAATGTTGAATATTGGCCCCCACTCTCTTCTGGTTTATAGGGTTTCTTCAGAGAGATCCATTGTTAGTCTGATGGGCTTCCCTTTGAAGGTGACCTGACCTTTCTCTCTGGCTTCCCTTAACATTTTTTCCTTCATTTCAACATTGGAGGCTTTTACCTGGAGCACAGATTAATAGCTGCTGAACACAGAAGCAGATATTTCAGTTTCATGGCAACTTCTGACTCTGAATCATGACTGTGATTTATTCACAGTGTTATTGTGAACATATTAGCTTCTCCAACATTTGGGTAAAATATGTGGAACGAAACACACTGCGCACTACAAAGAACACATTGAAAAAAGGACACTGGGTTGTCATCATTTCAAGTGTCTTTGTTGTTTTTTGAATAGGTACTATGGACTAGCAGAGAGATAAAGATGCATGACCCTACACATACACAGATACCATGAGGCATCCCAGATATTTCAGACCTGAAAAGCATGTAAGAGACTATTCGTTATCTCTCATTTTAGAAATACAGAGATTGAGGTCTAGAGAACCAAGAGTCACATGGATAGCTAATAATAATAACTTGAATAAAATCCAAAGTTTCAGAATTCCCAATTCACCAAAGCTGTGCCTAAATTAAATATGTAAAGAAGAAGCAATGGTAATAGTAATAGAAAGAGCCATAGCACAATAACAAAGAAACATTCTCGATGTAGCTGTTCCAGGCACCATGCTAAGCCCAATGTGCCTTGTCTCTTCCAACGTTCACAAGGTACTAAGATTATCCCAATATTATAGTCACAAACTGAGTCTGGGTGGGTTAAATTAATTGCTAGCATGCCACACAATTTTCTATGACTCCAGAGATGAGGCTTCACAAGTTACATAGGAAATCTTGGCTTGAGTCTGTACTTCAGATTCATAAATATGACAAAGAGTGATGGTAGTTCAAATACCTTTGACCCATGCAATTCACAATGAATCAATATATGCTTAAATGCTGTCACTTAATACTATAGAAGACAAGTTTAGCAAAATTTAACACTTAAAAAATTTTGTCTAACTTCTCTTTCCTCCTAGATGAAATCAAATAATTGATTAGGCTCATTAGACTCATTTTTATATTGAAGAATGAAAATATAAGCTTTCTTTTGCAATATAGATATATTTTCTCATAAGACAGCATAAGCCTTTCTCCCAATTATGGTTCACCCAATCTATTAGTTGGCCAGTGTTTTTTGGGTACCTCCAGTATGAATTTCCTTACCCCATTGAATTCTCAATCACAATATGGTCAGTACACTTCCTATACTGTGCTCTTCTTTTAATGCTATTTTAGGTAGACTCCTTGGGTATGGTAGACTTGCATTAGAAATTTGGAGTAGCACCGAACAGATGACATCTTACAAGTATGTGTTTGTCCACACTCTCCTCATGCCATAGGAAATCTTTCTCCAGTTACCTAAAGTCATGCTACTCTTCTCGTCTTCCTCCAAGGAATTTTCTCCATTCTTAGCTTTCTATTTTCAGAATTTGGGGCCTCCAAATTTTTGTCTCCCCTGTGCAAAAAGGACAAGATTCAAAATCCCATCTACTTTAGTATTATTGTGTTTACATTTGCAAGTGGCAGAACACCCAGTGAAAAATGACCTCAGGAAAAAAAAAAGGAATAATTGTTTCATATAACCAAAAAGTTCTGGAGCACAGCTGGTTTCCCACAGAACTTGAGTACAGAGGGTCAAGTGGTGACTGAGACCATGTGCCCTTTTTCCATGACTTCATTCTGGTTCCTCTGTATTGCTTCTATGTTTAGGCTCCATGTGATGGACAGTAGCCTCAATCCCCATAGTCTATGTTCATGTAGGAAGTGAACTGGCCATGTTATGATTGAGACTTCAGTGGTGAAAGGAAACTCATACTAGAGGCACCTAAAGAACACTGGACATCTAATAGATTGGTTCAACTCTCCATTGTACTTAGGAGAAGTGCTCATGTGGTCTTGTGGGAAAACATATCTATATTGCAAAAGAAAGCTTATATTTTCACTTCTTCAATACAAAAATGAGTCTAATCAATTATTTGATTTCATCTAGGAAGAAAAATGACAAGTGAGACAAATTTTTAAATGTTAAAGAAATTTTGCCAAACTTGTCATCTCTTGCCATATATATTAAGTGATAGCATTTTAAAATGTATTGATTCATTCTGAATTCGGTGGAGTCAAAGGTATTGGAACTACTATCAATCTTTGACATATCTATGAATCTCGGGAACAGTCTCAAGCCAGGATCTCCAATGTAACTTGTGAAGCCTCACCTCTGGAGTCATAGAAAACTGTGTGGAGTGCTGGCAATTAATTTAACCCACCTAGGCCCAGTTTTCTGACTGTAATATTGGGAAAATCTTAGTACCCTGTGAACGTTGGAAGAGACAAGGCGCATTGGGTTTAACATGGTGCTACATGCTGCATGGACTGCTACATAGAGAGTGTCTCTTTGTTATTGCACTGTTACTCTTTCTATTACTATCATCATTGCTTTCTCCTTACGATGAAGTGGGAAAGAAACAGGGCCTTTTCCAATGATCCTATAAGAGTCCTGAAGTTTGTTCCTATTGGACTCACCATGACCAATGCAAACAACCATGTTAGCCATGGCTTAAGCCCGAGTAACTGCCTCAGCCCTAGGCAGGCAAACAGCAGGATCACAGAAATAAAAAGT
Organism: Homo sapiens; assembly: GCF_000001405.40. Taxonomy (NCBI): domain Eukaryota; kingdom Metazoa; phylum Chordata; class Mammalia; order Primates; family Hominidae; genus Homo; species Homo sapiens. The sequence continues at coordinate 55,242,106 of NC_000020.11, read as the reverse complement.
TAAGGGGTACCCCAGATAAAGTTTGGGGATATTGTCAGAAAAAGTGAGAGGTGGTTTTGCTGAGGCAATAACAATAGAATACTACATGATTTGTCTAAATTTTCTTCATGTTAGACTAGCCTGAGAGTAGGACTTATGTTCATAACCAACGTAGCCCTTGTATTTCTCACCCAACAAAAAAAGAAATTCTCTCTATAATAAGAGGACTTCTGCATTAGCCTTACAGCTCAACCAGCTCAAACTTCAACTAGCTCTTAAAAAATAATTTATCTCTTCCCGTTATATTGAGAAACTTTCTAAGGTAATATAGAGAGATGGATTTGTATGATTCTTTAATGTTCAAGTGCATGGACAAGCTGAGTGGAAGCAGGCCAAGCACTGCCTGATGGAGAGTCTGTTTTAATGGGTTGATAAAAATGATTTGCAATTTTTTTTAAATTTTATTATTATTACACTTTAAGTTTTAGGGTACATGTGCACAACGTGCAGGTTAGTTACATATGTATACATGTGCCATGCTGGTGCGCTGCACCCATTAACTCGTCATTTAGCATTAGGTATATCTCCTAATGCTATCCCTCCCCCCTCCCCCCACCACACAATAGTCCCCAGAGTGTGAACCATTGTGGAAGTTAGTGTGGCGATTCCTCAGGGATCTAGAACTAGAAATACCATTTGACCCAGCCATCCCATTACTGGGTATATACCCAAAGGACTATAAATCATGCTGTTATAAAGACACATGCACACGTATGTTTATTGCGGCACTATTCACAATAGCAAAGACTTGGAACCAACCCAAATGTCCAACAATGATAGACTAGATTAAGAAAATGATTTGCAATTTAAGCACAGCTTCTTTGCAGAGATAGTAGAGGTTGGAAGGAGCTGTTGCCATTATTTGAGGGTGCCCATAAATTAATATTTAAACCTGTTTGGAAATTAAGTTCTTGTTTTATGTTATGTTTAAAAATTGTGACATTTATCAGCAAAATGTATGACTGGTTTTATTGGAGGTTGAATTTTGAAGGTTTTATAAGTTATAAATAGTGATTATATATTTATAGCTTATATATCGACAGGATTTACTGTTATTTTTCCTTTATAACTACGGTAAGAATTTTTGGGGTAAAATACTTAAGAGGTGCATTGAGTAATTAAATGATATAATGAATATGAAGCACATTACATGGTTCTTGAATCAATATTCTTTAGGTGAATTCTTGCTATTGTTAAAATGATGATGATGATGATGATTATGTAGGTTGGAGATAGAGGTATTATACAGAATTACTAAAGATTAGTTAATAGCAAACATTTATCAAGAAGTCCAAGTGGATAAATGAGAGGAATATAGCTCTATTACCCTTTTGCTGGAATATAAATCAAAACTCAAGTGTAAGCGTGTACATGCATATACCATATACATATATGCACATGCAAGTACCTTGTGTTCAAAGTGCCAATAGAAAGCTGCATTAGTCCATTCTCACACTGCTATAAAGAACTACCTGACACTGGGTAATTTAAGAAGAAAAGAGGTTTAATTGATTCACAGTTCTGCAGGCTTAACAGGAAGCATGACTGGGAGGCCTTAGCAAACTTATGATCATGGCAGAAGGTGAAGGGCAACAAGCACCTTCTTCACATGGTGGCAGGAGAGAGAGAGCCGGGGGGAAGTGCCACACATGTTTAAACTATCAGCTCTCATGAGAACTCACTCACTACCATGAGTATAGCATGGGGGAAATCTGCCCCCATGATCCAGTCACCTCCCACCAGGTCCCTTCTCCAACACTGGAAATTACAATTTAGCATGAGATTTGGGTGGGGACACTGAGCCAAACCATATCAAAACCCTAACACCCAAAATATAAAATAATAATGTCTAAAATCATCCTCTCGTGGCAGAGCACAGCACTAAACAGTAAGTATGAGATTGTCACTTCCTCACGGTGGTTTTCTTAACAAAAATGAGAAGCCACAGGCAATAGAGATGATAAAAGGTAAAATTGTATTTTACCAAAATTCTAACATATTAGAACATATATTGATTATTATGGTCCATCTGGCACCAATATTTTTTTCTCTGCCATGGCATGATTTTTTTCAAGGTTGAGTTAATGGCATTCGGAGCGACCTGGATAAGATTGGAGACTATTATTCTAAGTGAAGTAACTCAGGAATGAAAAACCAAACATTGTATGTTCTCACTCACGTGTGGGAGCTAAGCTATGAGGACACAAAGGCCTAAGAAAAAGACACGATGGACTTTGGGGACTCTGGGGGAAAGGAGGGGAAGGGGGTGACAGATAAAAGACCACAAACTGGGTGCAATATATACTGCTCAGGTGATGGGTGCACCAAAGTCTCACAAATCACCACCAAAAACTTACTCACCTAACCAAATACCGCTTGTTCCCCAATAACTTATAGCAATAAAAAAATTAATAAAAATATATTTTAAAAATAAAAATAAAATAAAATAAAACTTCCATTGAAAGCTCTGCACTTGTCTACAGCTGATCTGGGTGCAGCAATTTTGGCACCCATCAGGTACAAAGTTTGCTCAACATTAACTTTTCAGTAAGAATTGTATGTAAGCTGAGCCAACTGAGTTATCTGTGGATTTGGCTATAGTTTGTGCTGTTAATCATCAGCCTTCTTCAAACAGGGAACAAACAAGATGAACCATTTCCTCACAAATTGATGTGAATGGTCTGCCACCACAGACTTCATTTTCAACATTGTCTTATCCCTTCCTAAAATGAGCTATCTATTTGTAAACTGCAGATTTATTTGGGGCATTGTCCTCGTGAAATTTTGTAAAGCATCAATGATTTCACCATTCTGCAACACAAATTTCACCACAAATTTGATGTTTGTTTTTGTTTCAATTTTAGCTGAATTCATGTTGCCCGAAAAGGTGCTTTTTTTTTTTTTTCAATCTTATGTCTGTAGGGGCGCTTTTCAAACTGATATCTTATTCTTCTTAGTGTCTCAAACTAAATCTTGTTCACATGTGTTATAACAAGTTAGTACAAGGTAATTTTGGTGCAAAAAAAAAAAGAAAATCCATGCATAGTTTTCTCATAGTACTCATCTTCTATGAACTTTTTGAAGGCCTCTTGTACTAATCAGAGAACTCAAATGCATTTCTGGCACTATTAAACTTCTTACTGCTAAATGTAAGAGATAATGTCTTATTTTCCTTCCTGTATTAATGTCTTATTTTCTTTCCTATCTGTACTAGAAACTTGTCACTGTCAATGACATTCTTCTCCTGTCTTAGGAGAAGTTTTCTTGGTACAACGAACCTATTTTTTCCCTGAATACTCTGTTTGCCCTTTCTCAGTGTTGTTTGCAGAGATTTCTTCTACTCTACTTAAATGGTTGTAGGCCTCTTCTATTCTCACTCTACATACTCTAACAGCCTCAGCTACATCCACCTTTACTACCACCTGTTATAACCTGCTGGCTTCTCAAGGCTTTAACCACCTATTATAACCTGCTGGCTTCTCAAGGCTTTATCTTTTAACCAGATCACTCCCCTGAGGATCAGCACCTCCATCTGCCTGCAAGCCATCTCTCTTTTGAGGTCCCAGAAGGCTGCTAAAACACAATGTATCAAAAGATCAATGCCATCTTTTTACCCATTCCATATCCCTTTCACTAGTCCCTCCCTTCTGGTGTCCTTTATAATGGTTAATACCTTAGCTTTATTCATTTGCTCGAGTAAAAGACACGATCATCCTTTATTCCAGTTTTTTCAATAGTTTCTGATCAACAGCTTTGCTAAACACAAAATCCCCTGAAATTCTGATTTAGGAAACCTGAAGTTGGGCTGAGAATCTATGTATTAAAGACTCATTTTGAGTTATCTTTATGTTTGGAAAGGTTTGAGAAATGCTGTACTCTTTCCTCTCTCTCTCTTTTATTAAATTGATAACAAAATCCTATATATTTAGATTTCTGAATAGCTCTTGAATCCATTCACTTTTCCATTTCCATGATACAAACTTCAGTAAGGCCACTGTCCTATGTTGCCTAGATCATTATGTTTCCTACTTAACTTATGTCTTTTGCAGTGTGTCCCTGCCTGCCACTCCCAGCTCCTGTCCTTTCTCATCGCCCATCTCTTTCTTGTTCCTCTGCCAGACTCTTTCCACTCACCAGTCAGGTATGAACCTAGATATTAATTATTCTGAAAAGCCTACATTGACCTCCTAGCTCTGGAATAAGTGCTTTCTAATTATTTGCTTAAGACAATTGTTTTTATTGCAACACAGATGAGACTCTTTTGTTTTTTTGTATATTGTTGACTTTTGTCATCAGATTTGAAACTCTGTGAAGGCAAGAGACTGTTGCAATCCTCATACCTTGCAGAGTACCTGGCACATGTGAGAGGCTTGCCCCACATATTAACTGAATTAATCAATGACGTTATAAACTTGGGTTATTCATACGCAAAACTATGACTGAAGGTATCATCAGTTCATTGGCTGATTAATGAACACAGACTAGATTTGCAAATTTAAAGGACAAATCAGTAAAAAGTAAAAGATCCGGAATTGGATGCATAGAAACAAGTGTCCTAGGACTGGCATATTTGCATACTATTTCAAGATTACAGAACATTGACTCCAGAATAGTATAAAACCCATTTCACTTGTGTATAAAGACCCTTTGGTAACCTCTGGGAAGACATCAAGCACAGATTTACATTATTTTTTTACTTAAGATAATTGCTATTAAAATAAAATTAATCAAACATGCTAGGCAAATGCCCCTTACACATATTTAGATTTTGAAAACTGCCATTAAACAGATGAGAATATAATGGAAGTGCACTTTAGCATAATTGCCATTAGCACAGCTAATTGTTTATATTCATTTAAACTCCAAGTGTATAACTATTCCCTTGCAGTATAGTCATTCCAGTTCTGACCAGAAAAGGCATCAGTAAAAGAGAATTTTAAAAATAGAGAATTTTAAAAATGCTATTAGTTTGTGATTAATGAAAACTAAATTAGAAAAGACTTCTCCATCGAGGGAATATTTCCAAACCCATTTCATTAAGCCCTGATCCTAAAGCCAGACAAAAACACAAGAAAACTACAGACCAATATCTAATAAACATACATGCAAAAATCCTGAATAAAATGTTGGCAAATCAAATTCAACAACTTATTTAAAATATTATACAGTGTGAGCAAGTGGGATTTATCTCTGGAATGCAAGACTAATTTAACACACACAAATCAATCAATGTGATATACCACATTAGCAGAATAAAAGATACAAACCACATAATCACCTCAATAAATATAGAAATTTGACAATGTTCAGCATCCATTCATGATAAAATCTGTCAACAAAATGAGTATAGAAAATAGTTGTATCAACGTAATAAAGAACATTTATGAAAAACTCCAGTTAACATCGTACTCTATACTCTCTGGTATAAGGTAAGGATGCTCACTCTTGTCACTTCTATTCAATGTAGTACTGGAAGTACTAGCAAAAGCAATCAGACATGAACAAGAAATCAAAGGCATCAAAATTGAGAAGGAAAAAGTAAAATTATCTCTCTTTGCACATGACATAATCCCATATATAGAACGCCCTAAGATTTCACACACACACACACACACACACACACACAAATATTAGACTAATAGACAAATTCAATACAGTTGCAGGATAAAAAATCAACATACAATATTAGTAGTGTTTTTTACACTAAAAATAATCTATTCCAAAAGAAAATAATTCCATTTATAATAGCATCAGAAAATAAAATACTTAGTAAGAAATTTAACTATAGATAAAAGATCTACATACTAAAAACTATCAAATACTGATGAACGAAATTAAAGAGAAAAATAAATGGGAAGAAATTCTATGTTCATGGATTGGAAGAATTAATATTGTAAAAATACTCATATTATCCAAAGATATCTATAGATTCAACAAAATCCCTATCAAAATTCCAATGGCACTTTTATTACAGAAATAGGCAAAAAAAAAAAAAATTGTACAAAGCCAGAAATGAATCATGAATAGCCAAAGCAATTTGAGGAAGAAGAACAATTTGGAGGTTTTGCACATCCTAATTTCAAATTATATTACATATGTATAATAATCTAAACATTATGGTACTGGAATGAAAACAGATATATAGATCAACGGAGCAAAGTCAAGAGCTCAGAAATAAACCCTGGCAGACATAGTCAACTAATTTTTGACAAGAGCATCCAAAATACGTGATGGGGAAAGGATAGGCTCTTCAATCAGAAAACTGGGTGTTCACATGCAAAAGAATAAAATTGGACCACTGTATTACACCATACACGAAAATAAGCTGGAAATGGATTACAGCATTACACCTAAAACCATAAAACTCTTAGAAGAACACACAGAGGAAAAGCTTCATGACATTGGTATTGACAATGATTTATTGATATGACACCAAAAGCTTAAGGCAACAAAAGCAAAAACAAATATGTGGGACTGCACTGGACTAAAAAACTTTAGCATAGCAAAGGAAACGATCAACAAAATGAAAGATATCCTAAGGAGTCTGAAAACAAATTCTCAAATTATATATGTAATAAAAAGTTGATATTCTAATTATATAAGAAACCCATGCCACTCATTAGCAAAAAAAATATAACCCTATTAAAAATGAGCAAAGAACCTAAAAAGACGATTTCCCAAGAAGACATACAAATAACCAATATGCAAATGTACTGAACAACACTAATTATCAGGGAAATGCAAATCAAAACCAGAATCAGCTATCACCTCACGCTCATTAGGATATCTATTATCAAAAAGTCAAGAGATAACAAGTGTTGCTGAGGTTGTAGAGAAAAGGGAACTCTAGTATTCTGTTGGTGGAAATGTAAATTTGTACAGCCATTATGCAAAACAGTATGGAGATTTATTAAAAAATTATAAATGGAACTACCATATGATCCAGCAATCCCTCTTCTGGGTATATACCCAAAGGAAACGAAATCAGTACCTCAGAAAAGATTCCGTGCTCCCATATTCCTTGCAGCATTACTCACAATGGTCAAGATGTAGACACAACCCAAGTTTCCTTTGATAGATAAATGGATAGAGGTATTGTGACACAGACATATGTATGTTAGGATATATATATATATATATATCCTAATAATGTCCTTCAGGTTTATTTGTGTTGTCACAAATTTCAGGCTCCCATCTTTTTTAAGACTGAACAGCCTTACTCTATGTGTGTATAAATATATATATAGGTGCAGTGGCTCATGCCTGTAATCCCAGCACTTTGGGAGGCTGAGGTGGGTGGATCACGTGAGGTCAGGAGTTTGAGACCAGCCTGGCCAACATGATGAAACCCCTCCCCTACTAAAAATACAAAATATTATCTGGGCGTGGTGATGGGAACCTGTAATCCCAGCTACCGGGAAGGCTAAGGCAGAAGAATTGCTTGAATCTGGGAAGTGGAGGTTGCAGTGAGAGGAGATTGCACCACTGCACTCCAGTGTGGGCGACAGATTGAGACTCTGTCTCAAAAAAACAAACAAACAAACAAACAAAAAAATATATATATAAAAAGGTGTGTGTGTATATATATTGTGTATTATACATATATTGTTTGTATATATACATTGGGGGTGTGTATATGTGTGTGTGTATATATATATACATACACACACCATATATATATAAATATATTATGTGTGTATATATATATATATATATTTACACATACACACACATAAACACAGAGTAAAGTTGTTCAGTCTTAAAAAGATGGGAGCCTGAAATTTGTGACAGCATGGATAAACCTGGAGGACATTATTAGTGAAATAAATGCTGGACACAGAAAAGTCATGCTACATGATATGACTCATTATGTGGAATCCAAAAATGTCAAATACGTACAAACATAGGGTAGAAGGGTGGTTTCCAAGGATGGAGAGGTGGGAAAAATGGGAAGATATTGGTCAAAGGGCACAAAATTGAGTTAGGTAAGATAAATACATCTAGGGATTTAATGTACAACATGAGGGCTATACTTTAAAGAATACTGTATTATACATTAGAAATTGCTAAGAAAGTAAATTTCAGGTGTTCTCACTAAAAAAAAATGAAAATAAAAAAGGAGATGTGAGGAAATGAATATTTTAATGGGACTGACTACAGTAATTATTTCACTACATATATGGGTATCAAAATTTTGTACACCTTAAACACATGCAACTAAAAAAAGGGCTTCTCCAGCATAAGTTGGTGTCACCCAAATGGTATGGCCCAACAGCTTCTCCATGTATCTGCTCAAATACTAAAATATAAAAAGATACAGCCGGGTGTGGCGGCTCATGACTGTAATCCCAGCACTTTGGGAGGCCAAGGCAGGTGGATCACGAGGTCAGGAGATCGAGACCATCCTGGATAACACGGTGAAACCCCGTCTCTACTAAAAATACAAAACAAAGTTAGCCAAGCATGGTGGCACGCACCTGTAGCCCCAGCTACTCGGGAGGCTGAGGCAGGAGAATTGCTTGAATCTGGGAGGCAGAGGTTCCATGAGCTAAGACTGCACCACTGAACTCCAGCCTGGGTGACAGAGCAAGACTCTGTCTCAAAAAAAAAAAAAAAAGCAAAGATTCAGCAGCATTTGGAACAGTGAATAACAATTACCTATATACAATATACAAGTACCCTGGCCACCATTTTCATTTTGAAAAATAGTTGGAAGTGTTCCAAACAGAACCACTGGGGAAATACACACACACAGATATGGACACCACTTTCTCCAAATTTTTATTTCTACAGCAGGCGCTTCTTTCCCACCAGGATATCAACATCCACACTGCTATATTAAAATCTACAGAAGGTTCAAAAACAATTTTACTTGTCCATCATCTTTCTTCCCACCCAACACACAAATAGACATCCACAGATCCTATGTCTAAATATGTTACAGTTATAAGTTCAACTAACATTTCATTAAATGAAATATATTTGATCTTTCTATTTTGACAAGTATGTAGTCTGAATAACAATGTTTTAAATATTTAAATTCAAAATTTTGTATGATTGAAAGTTGGCAAAACAACAAAAAGTACTAAATTTGATTATTATTGTACATGCCTGAGTGCCATGTTTGGACAAGTAATGACAAACAGGTATGTGTTGCTTAACAATGGGGAGATGTTTTGAGAAATGTGTCATTAGGCAATTAGTGATTGTGTGAACATCATAGAGCATACTTACACAAACCTAGATGGTGTAACCTACTGTACACTTAGGCTATACGGTATAGCCTACTGCTCCTAGGCTACAAATCTATACAGCCTGTTACTGTACTGGATACTAGAAGCAACTGTAAGACAATGGTAAGTGTCTGTGTATGTAAATATATCTAAAAATAGAAAAGTTACAGTAAAAACACAGTATTATAATCTTGTGAGATAGCAGTTGTTTATGTGGCCTGTCAACCAAATGTCATTAAGCAGCATATGACTATACATAATATTTTTTGTTTGAGTCAGGGTCTCACTCTGTTGCCCAGACTGGAGTGCAGTGTTCTAGAAGGATAGTAGGAATTTAGAAAGCATGGATGGGGTCTAAGGAGAGCATTCCAGGGACCAGGTTGGTGTGATCATAGCTCACTGCAGCCTCAAACTCCTGGCCTCAAGCAATTGTCTCACCCCAGCCTCCTGAGTAGCAAGGACTACAGGTACATACCACCAAGCCTGGCTATTTATTTTTTTGCAGAAATGGGTCTTGCTATGTTGTCCAGGCTAATCTCAAATTCTGGGCCTCAAGGGATCCTCCTGCCTTAGCCTCCCACAGTGCTGGGATCACAGGCATGAACCATAAATTGCCCAGCCATAAATTCTTTTACATTTATAAAATTTCATATATTTTTTCTGTCCTCATTTCAGAAAAAAATCACAAATCACATTGTTATAATCCAGATTTTTTAAAAAAACATTGTTTTAAATTATTAAAATGATTTCAATATTAAAGGGTAAAATACAGATTAAATGAATTTGAAAATTGGAATCTAAATTATCTAAATAAGGTGAACAAATGTGACAATTCAACTACTAGAGGCATAGTGTACTGGACCCTGAGTGTAGAGTGAGCAGTCACTTAGTCTAGAGTGGGAGAATCAAAGAAAGAAAAATGAGTATCCAAGCCGAGCTGTAAAAGCTATAACGTTTGGCTGAGCAAAATTGTATGCATGGTAGGGAGGCCACTGAGGGATCAAGGCTGGTAGTAAGACTGTAAAGGTCAAAGGCAGTATGATAGAAATAAATAATTTGCACTCAAAATGTACAATTGTTTTATTGAAGGAAATGAAAAAATTCACTGTAGACAATGCCAGCTTTCTATTCTAAATATTGTTAAACAGGATTTAAAACAAAAGGAAAAATATATTAAAATATTTAAAATAGAAACATAAAAAGTACTTTTAAGAATAAAAGATGTCACATGGAATGGCGGAGATGCACCCTGAATGGAAAGAGGAAGAGATGTGATCAAATGTGGAAATGTAAAACAGAAAGAGCCTCAGTTAAAGACAAGAGGAGGTTTTGTATGTGAAGAAGGGGCACTCAGAGAACCGGAAAGATTGTGTATAGATAAAAGAAAAACTATAAACTGTATCTGTATAATTGAAATATATAATGCCAAATTAAAAAAAAAAAACAATAAAAAATAAACATGCTTCTGGATAGGAAGATATGACATTATATAAACATCATTTTTATCCCCCAAACTTAAGAATTTAGCTCAATTTCAAGTAAAACCTTAGCAAGTTTTTTTTAAGAACATGAATGACAAAACTCTTTATGTGGAAGAATAAATATATGAGAATCACTGAGATGTGGTATAACAAGGGGTTAAAACGTATTAAAATAAAAATAATTTTAGAAGTGTATATCACAAGCTATAACCTAGGAAGGTAAATCACTAGCAAAAAGGAAAAGGCCCAGAAAACTAACAAGTACACATGAGAACTTAGTATATTAAAACATAATATTTCAAAATATTTGAAAATTATCAGATTACTGAGTTACTATTTCAGGAGGAAAATTGGTTAATCACTTGCGAAAAAATAACAAGTTCCCACTATACACAAATTTCAGCAGTATTTAAAAGTAACATACTGAAAAAGAAAACAAGAACATTACCAGAAATATTATAGCTAAATGTTTATATAATATTTTATTAGGCAAAATAATAAAAGGTATTTTAGGCCTAATATTCAAAAATAAATCTTGAAGTTAAACAAAAATATATACTGGACTATATGAAAAAATTAAATGATTTTATAGCAAAAATACTTTAAATAGGTGGCAAATGACAAAATATTATGTAATACAAGCAAAGGGTATTCTTCCTGTGTAAATATCTTATAATAAGAGGACACGTCAATATTGGGGGAAAGGTATGAAAAGACATCAGTTTAACAAAAGCAATTGTCTAATACTTCCAGGGGAAAAATTGTTCAACCTAATTAACAATAAGACATGATCTGGAGCTAAGATTACAAATAAGTAATATCATTTGATGAATTTTAAAATAAGGCAAAAAGGCATGTAGCAACGATACCAGGGGTCAAATATACACAGAATAGGAACTTCAGAAGGACAGGAATGATAGGTGGACAGGAAATAACAGAACAAAAAGTAGAATAATATTTCTATACATTAAAACATCAAGAACAACAACATCTGAGTTTTCAGATCTAAAATACCAACTTATTTATTTAATGGAGATAAAGTTGTAGACCTATACATGGGTCAAATCACGAGAACTCTGAAATTTGTGTACACTGTGTAAGCTGGGTTAAAGACTTTGGATTTTTTAATTAAGTCTGATGGGGAGCTAGTCAAGGAAGATGCTAAGCAGAAAGTAACATGATACATATTCTATTGTAGCAAAATTCATAAAAAGAGACTCTCATTGAGACAAATCAGGTGAAATTTCTGAATTTCAAGATTAATAAGCTTAAGGAAAATATTGGAAAACAAATAGCAAATAATTGAGTGTTTATTTCTGAGTGTGGGACTTAAAAGTAATATTTATGCTTTGTACCTTTCCGTGTTTTCAAAATTCTCTACGATGCGCACACACTACCTTTTAATCAGAGCAAAGAAAAAATGGTATTTTTTCATAAGATCACACCAGCTCATATCTATTAGCCACTTGCACTCAAGTTTTCCCTAAACTATTATGCTATTATGTTAAAGCTATTTGTTAACATTTCATTGTAAAAAAAAAAAAAAAAAAAAGAAACCATGAATAGGTATTTAATTGCATAAGGGATTTGTACTGAAACCATTTTAATAAATCAAGCTTGGAACATCTGCAAACATTTATACCTAAACTACATATTTGAAGGAACAACAACTAAAAACACAAAAGCTCAGAATCAAAATAAAGATAAAATATTTCAACACAAAACCTGCTGCCAAAATCACAGTCGAAAATCACTATTGTTTTACATGCAATTCTGATTTGTCCAATGAAGTACTGGTTGTCTTGATGCAAAATAGCAAAGCAGTCCAAGTAGAAAAACAATGTTTTTCTCCAACATGTATTCAATGAGAAAAATCACAGAAATCAAGGAGAATAATATCACATGGAATGTTCTTTGGTTTTCAAACAAAAGCATATTGCCACCATTCTCAAAAACAACAGAATACAATTGAGCTGACACACCCATGAACCATCACAGGGAGAAGATGCCTTCTACGTATAATTGATACAAAATGAGCTCCTTATTCTTGATTTGAAAGTAGAGGTACAAATAGTCTCCCGTGTTTATCACAGTATATATGTTCTGTAAAATACATGATGCACTTGCTTGATCAATTTTTAGTATTTTTCTCTCTCTAATTCTTTTTCTTGAACATTTATTGAATAAATTAAATAAATAAATTGTGGGTAAAGGAATAGCAATTTGCTTGCTAAACATAAACTACCCTAATATTGCTAATGGTTTTCATACACTCATGAACTTGAAAATATTAGTTGGTAATGTCAGTAAATTAAAGTATAGAAATCAATGCCATTTCTTAAAAGGGTAATGGTAGAGTTACCTTATAACCCAGCAATTTCACTCTAGGCATATATCCAATTGGATTTAAAACATGTACACAAACACAAACACACACAAACATATACATGCATTTACTGAAACGTTCATAGCAACATGATTCACAATAGAGAAAAGGTAGAAATAACTAAAACACTCATTAACTGATGAAGCAATAAACAAACTGGTATATTCACATTGTGGAATGTTATTCAGCTCTAAAAAGGAATGAAGTAATATTATGTGTATATATGATGCATGGATAAAACTTGAAAGCTTTATTAGTAAAAGAAAACAGACACTAAACCTGAAGGTTGACCAGAGATAGACAGAAAATCTGCTCTCTTCATCCCTGTCCCTACAAAGGACATGAACTCATCCTTTTTTATGGCTGCGTAATTGCCAGGACAGAAAACCAAACACCACATGTTCTCACTCATAGGTGGGAAACGAACAATGAGAACACTTGGACACAGGGTGGGGAACATCACACACCTGGGGCCTGTTGTGGGGTGGGGGGAGGGGGGAGGGGGGAGGGATAGCTTTAGGAGATATACCTAATGTAAATGACAAGTTAATGGGTGCAGCACACCGACATGGCACATGTATACATATGTAACAAACCTGCACGTTGTGCACATATACCCTAGAACTTAAAGTATAATAAAATAAAAAAAAGAAAATCTGCTCTCTTTAGAGACACAGAGTCAGGAACACCCAACAAAACTACACCTGAATTTCTGACTCAAAAACTTTCTAATGTTCTAAGTAACTTGTTACACATGAATATACAACTAATACAGTTATCTATTATTTTATTCATTGTAACATTGTTCATAATAAAGATTTTAGAAGTCGAAATGTTTATACATGTTGAATATATAAAATTTAATATACATATATTCAGTGAAATAGATATGCATAACATTAAGAATTATATTTATTTGTTGATATTTCTTATAGGAAAAAAGATGCAGAACAATTTGTGAAAAAAAAGAAAAAGTAATGTATGTACACACAGCAAATATATGCATAAAATATCCCTGGAAGGATAATAGTAATTTACTGAAATTTGTTGATTCTCTTCCAGGGTGGCTGAGAGACAAAGCTGAAAGAAGACTTTTCACTCTAATCTGCATGTTTATTGCATTTTCAACCACTGGAAAATATTAGTTTTTTAAAAAAATATTCATTTCTGCTACCAGAAAGGCAGCATTAGCAATTCAGGCAATTACCCTCTATATACAACAAGCATACAAATATACAAAATTATTTTAAGAAGAAAAACTTATTACAGGGCACTGGAAAATAACTAGACACAGCAACAACTTGCGAAGTGTTTACTCATGGGCAACCCTGTTGCTACAAGTAAGGATAGTAGATTTGTGGCCATCTTGCCTGCAGGCATTTCTGTCTCTCCCAGCTTGAGCAATACAAAACTCAAAGTTCTACTAGCCAGAAGTAGTGGCAGGTAGCAGAACAGCTGGAAATGTAAATTGAAGTTAGAGAGAGCTGTAGAAGGGCTGAAAGAATATACTCTTCATACATTTCTACCTGATTTTTAAAATAATGTATACATGGAAAGGAGGGAGTCTGGTAAAAATTCAAAGCCCTGGGACACTCAGGAATCAACCCACACATCTAAATGAATTCCTCAACCCACATAAAACTTAAGCAACAGTGGGTAAAGGATTTACTGCCTTCATATTGCTGAGCACAACCTCTGTCCACATCAGTGGTTGACTGCTAATTACAACAGCAAAAGGGAGAGAACTAGGGAGCTAGTAAACAAATAAGCAAACAAATGAAACTTCAGTATAGATATCTGTGACTGCTCTGAGTGAAGGAGACAGACTTTACAGTGTGAGACCAGGCAAAGTATGTGCCTACAAAGAAAAACATTAACAGTCCCTGGAAGAATAAAACAGAATCCAGAGTTGCAACAATCTGTTGTCTAAAAAGTGTAGCTTAAAATAAAAAACAATTCGACTTGTAAAAACACAGAGAAGTATTTCCCATGCTATGAAAATAAGAGGGCAATAGAAACAGAGTCTAAGTGGGACAATATTTTGGACTGTGCAGATGAACACTTCAATGCACACATTAAAATTATGTACAGAGAATTAAAGAAAAATATGTTCAAATAATTAAAGAGATTATGACAATGATAAGTTAATAAATGAGAACTTGTCACAGAGAAGTGGAAACTATAAAAAATAAACAAAAAATTAGATCTAAAAAGAACAATAATAAAAATTTCAAGAAATGTATTAGATGAGTGCAAGAGCAGACCTGACATAGCAAAAAATCAAGAGCTTGAGTATAGAATAACAAAAATCATACAGTCCAAATAACAGACAAAATATATTGAAGAAAAATGAACACAGTATTTGAAACATGAAGGACAATACTAAATATCTAAACATACATATGATTGGAGTTCAACAGACAAAGAAAGGGTAGAAAAATTATTTGAAGAAAACATGGTAGAAAAATCTTCCAAATTTGCTAGAAAATATTAAGGGCAGCCAAGATGGCCCAATAGGAACAGCTCTGGTCTACAGCTCCCAGCGTGAGCGACGCAGAAGATGGGTGATTTCTGCATTTCCATCTGAGGTACCGGGTTCATCTCACTAGGGAGTGCCAGACAGTGGGCACAGGACAGTGGATGCAGCGCACTGTGCACCAGCTGAAGCAGGGCAAGGCACTGCCTCACTCGGGAAGTGCAAGGGGTCAGGGAGTTCCCTTTCCTAGTCAAAGAAAGGGGTGACAGACGGCACCTGGAAAATCGGGTCACTCCCACCCTAATACTGCGCTTTTCCGAAGGGCTTAAAAAACGGCACACCAGGAGATTATATCCTGCACCTGGCTCGGAGGGTCCTACACCCAAGGAGTCTCGCTGATTGATAGCACAGCAGTCTGAGATCAAACTGCAAGGTGGCAGCGAGGCTGGGGGAGGGGCGCCCACCATTGCCCAGGCTTGCTTAGGTAAACAAAGCATCAGGGAAGCTCGAACTGGGTGGAGCCCACCACAGCTCAAGGAGGCCTGCCTGCATCTGTAGGCTCCACCTCTGGGGGCAGGGCACAGACAAACAAAAAGACAGCAGTAACCTCTGCAGACTTAAATGTCCCTGTCTGACAGCTTTGAAGAGAGCAGTGGTTCTCGCAGCACGCAGCTGGAGATCTGAGAACAGGCAGACTGCCTCCTCAAGTGGGTCCCTGACCCCTGACCCCCGAGCAGCCTAACTGGGAGGCACCCCCCAGTAGGGGCAGACTGACACCTCACACGGCCAGGTACTCCTCTGAGACAAAACTTCCAGAGGAACTATCAGACAGCAGCATTCGCGGTTCACAAAAATCCGCTGTTCTGCAGCTACTGCTGCTGTTACCCAGGCAAACAGGGTCTGGAGTGGACCTCTAGCAAACCCCAACAGACCTGCAGCTGAGGGTCCTGTCTGTTAGAAAGAAAACTAACAAACAGAAAGGACATCCACACCAAAAACCCATCTGTACATCACCATCATCAAAGACCAAAAGTAGATAAAACCACAAAGATGGGGAAAAAACAGAGCAAAAAATTGGAAACTCTAAAAAGCAGAGCACCTCTCCTCCTCCAAAGGAATACAGTTCCTCACCAGCAAAGGAACAAAGCTGGATGGAGAATGACTTCAACAAGTTGAGAGAAGAAGGCTTCAGATGATCAAACTACTCCGAGCTACAGGAGGAAATTCAAACCAAAGGCAAAGAAGTTAAAAACTTTGAAAAAAATTTAGACAAATGTATAACTAGAATAACCAATACAGAGAAGTGCTTAAAGGAGCTGATGGAGCTGAAAGCCAGGCCTCGAGAACTACGTGAAGAATGCAGAAGCCTCAGGAGCCGATGCAATCAACTGGAAGAAAGGGTATCAGCAATGGAAGATGAAATGAATGAAATGAAGCAAGAAGGGAAGTTTAGAGAAAAAAGAATAAAAAGAAATGAGCAAAGCCTCCAAGAAATATGGGACTATATGAAAAGACCAAATCTATATCTGATTGGTGTACCTGAAAGTGACGGGGAGAATGGAACCAAGTTGGAAAACACTCTGCAGGATATTATCCAGGAGAACTTCCCCAATCTAGCAAGGCAGGCCAACATTCAGATTCAGGAAATACAGAGAATGCCACAAAGATACTCCTCGAGAAGAGCAACTCCAAGACACATAATTGTCAGATTCACCAAAGTTGAAATGAAGGAAAAAACGTTAAGGACAGCCAGAGAAAAAGGTCGGGTTACCCACAAAGGGAAGCCCTTCAGACTAACAGCGGATCGCTCGGCAGAAACTCTACAAGCCAGAAGAGAGTGGGGGCCAATATTCAACATTCTTAAAGAAAAGAATTTTCAACCCAGAATTTCATATCCAGCCAAACTAAGCTTCATAAGTGAAGGAGAAATAGAATACTTTACAGACAAGCAAATGCTGAGAGATTTTGTCACCACCAGACCTGCCCTAAAAGAGCTCCTGAAGGAAGCACTAAACATGGGAAGGAACAACTGGTACCAGCCACTGCAAAATCATGCCAAATTGCAAAGACCATCGAGGCTAGGAAGAAACTGCATCAACTAACGAGCAAAATAACCAGCTAACTTCATAATGACAGGATCAAATTCACACATAACAATATTAACTTTAAATGTAAATGGACTAAATGCTCCAATTAAAAGACACAGACTGGCAAATTGGATAAAGAGTCAAGACCCATCAGTGTACTGTATTCAGGAAACCCATCTCATGTGCAGAGACACACATAGGCTCAAAATAAAAGGATGGAGGAAGATCTACCAAGCAAACAGAAAACAAAAAAAGGTAGGGGTTGCAATCCTAGTCTCTGATAAAACAGACTTTAAACCAACAAAGATCAAAAGAGACAAAGAAGGCCATTACATAATGGTAAAGGGATCAATTCAACAAGAAGAGCTAACTATCCTAAATATATATGCACCCAATACAGGAGCACCCAGATTCATAAAGCAAGTCCTGAGTGAACTACAAAGAGACTTAGACTCCCACACAATAATAATGGGAGACTTTAACACCCCGCTGTCAACATTAGACAGATCAACAAGACAGAAAGTTAACAAGGATACCCAGGAATTGAACTCAGCTCTGCACCAAGCAGACCTAATAGGCATCTACAGAACTCTCTACCCCAAATCAACAGAATATGCATTTTTTTCAGCACCACACCACACCTATTCCAAAATTGACCACATAGTTGGAAGTAAAGCACTCCTCAGCAAATGTAAAAGAACAGAAATTGTAACAAACTGTCTCTCAGACCACAGTGCAATCAAACTAGAACTCAGGATTAAGAAACTCACTCAAAACTGCTCAACTACATGGAAACTGAACAAGCTGCTCCTGAATGACTACTGGGTACATAACAAAATGAAGGCAGAAATAAAGATGTTCTTTGAAACCAACGAGAACAGAGACATAACATACCAGAATCTCTGGGACACATTCAAAGCAGTGTATAGAGGGAAATTTATAGCACTAAATGCCCACAAGAGAAAGCAGGAAAGATCCAAAATTGACACCCTAACATCACAATTAAAAGCACTAGAAAAGCAAGAGCAAACACATTCAAAAGCTAGCAGAAGGCAAGAAATAACTAAAATCAGAGCAGAACTGAAGGAAATAGAGACACAAAAAATCCTTCAAAAAATTAATGAATCCAGGAGCTGGTTTTTTGAAAGGATCAAAAAAATTGATAGACCACTAGCAAGACTAATAAAGAATAAAAGAGAGAAGAATCGAATAGACACAATAAAAAATGATAAAGGGGATATCACCACTGATCCCACAGAAATACAAACTACCATCAGAGAATACTACAAACACCTCTACGCAAATAAACTAGAAAATCTAGAAGAAATGGATAAATTCCTCGACACATACACTCTCCCAAGACTAAACCAGGAAGAAGTTGAATCTCTGAATAGACCAATAATTGTAAAATTATTGGCTCTGAAATTGTGGCAATAATCAATAGCTTACTAACCAAAAAGAGTCCAGGACCAGACGGATTCATAGCCAAATTCTACCAGAGGTACAAGGAGGAACTGGTACCATTCCTTCAGAAACTATTCCAATCAATAGAAAAAGAGGGAATCCTCCTTAACTCATTTTATGAGGTCAGCATCATCCTGATACCAAAGCCTGGCAGAGACACAACAAAAAAAGAGAATTTTAGACCAATATCCTTGATGAACATTGATGCAAAAATCCTCAGTAAAATACTGGCAAACCGAATCCAGCAGCACATCAAAAAGCTTATCCACCATGATCAAGTGGGCTTCATCCCTGGGATGCAAGGCTGGTTTAATATACGCAAATCAATAAATGTAACCCAGCATATAAACAGAACCAAAGACCAAAACCACATGATTATCTCAATAGATGCAGAAAAGGCCTTTGACAAAATTCAACAGCCCTTCATGCTAAAAGCTCTCAATAAATTAGGTATTGATAGGACATATCTCAAAATAATAAGAGCTATCTATGACAGACCCACAGCCAATATCATACTGAATGGGCAAAAACTGGAAGCATTCCGTTTGAAAACTGGCACAAGACAGGGATGCCCTCTCTCACCACTCCTATTCAACATAGTGTTGGAAGTTCTGGCCAGGGCAATTAGGCAGGAGAAGGAAATAAAGGGTATTCAATTAGGAAAAGAGGAAGTCAAATTGTCCCTGTTTGCAGATGACATGATTGTATATCTAGAAAACCCCATTGTCTCAACCCAAAATCTCCTTAAGCTGATAAGCAACTTCAGCAAACTCTCAGCATACAAAATCAATGTACAAAAATCACAAGCATTCTTATACACCAATAACAGACAAACAGAGAGCCAAATCATGAATGAACTCCCATTCATAATTGCTTCAAAGAGAATAAAATACCTAGGAATCCAACTTACAAGGGATGTGAAGGACCTCTTCAAGGAGAACTACAAACCACTGCTCAATGAAATAAAAGAGGATACAAACAAATGGAAGAACATTCCATGCTCATGGGTAGGAAGCATCAATATTGTGAAAATGGCCATACTGCCCAAGGTAATTTATAGATTCAATGCCATCCCCATCAAGCTACCAATGACTTTCTTCACAGAATTGGAAAAAACTACTTTAAAGTTCATATGGAACCAAAAAAGAGCCCGCATCACCAAGTCAATCGTAAGCCAAAAGAACAAAGCTGGAGGCATCACGCTACCTGACTTCAAACTATACTACAAGGCTACAGTAACCAAAACAGCATGGTACTGGTACCAAAACAGAGATATAGATCAATGGAACAGAACAGAGCCCTCAGAAATAACGCCACATATCTACAACTCTCTGATATTTGACAAACCTGAGAAAAACGAGAAATGGGGAAAGGATTCCCTAGTTAATAAATGGTCCTGGGAAAACTGGCTAGCCATATGTAGAAAGCTGAAAATGGATCCCTTCCTTACACCTTATACAAAAATTAATTCAAGATGGATTAAAGACTTAAATGTTAGACCTAAAACCATAAAAACCCTAGAAGAAAACCTAGGCATTACCATTCAGGACATAGGCATGGGCAAGGACTTCGTGTCTAAAACACCAAAAGCAATGGCAACATAAAGCCAAAATTGACAAATGGGATCTAATTAAACTGAAGACCTTCTGCACAGCAAAAGAAACTACCATCAGAGTGAACAGGCAACCTACAGAATGGGAGAAAATTTTCGCAACATACTCATCTGACAAAGGCCTAATATCCAGAATCTACAATGAACTCAAACAAATTTACAAGAAAAAAACAAACAACCCCATCAAAAAGTGGGCGAAGGACATGAACAGACACTTCTCAAAATAAGACATTTATGCAGCCAAAAAACACATGAAAAAATGCTCACCATCACTGGCCATCAGAGAAATGCAAATCAAAACCACAATGAGATACCATCTCACACCACTTAGAATGGCAATCATTAAAAAGTCAGGAAACAACAGGTGCTGGAGAGGATGTGGAGAAATAGGAACACTTTTACACTGTTGGTGGGACTGTAAACTAGTTCAACTATTGTGGAAGTCAGTGTGGCCATTCCTCAGGGATCTAGAACTAGAAATACCATTTGACCCAGCCATCCCATTACTGGGTATATACCCAAAGGACTATAAATCATGCTGCTATAAAGACACATGCACACATATGTTTATTGTGGCACTATTACCAATAGCAAAGACTTGGAACCAACCCAAATGTCCAACAATGATAGACTGGATTAAGAAAATGTGGCACATATACACCATGGAATACTATGCAGCCATAAAAAAGGATGTGTTCATGTCCTTTGTAGGGACATGGATGAAATTGGAAATCATCATTCTCAGTAAACTATCGCAAGGACAAAAAACCAAATACCACATGTTCTCACTTATAGGTGGGAATTGAACAATGAGATCACAGGGACACAGGAAGGGGAACATCACACTCTGGGGACTGTTGTGGGGTGGGGGGAGGGGGGAGGGATAGCATTAGGAGATATACCTAATGCTAAATGACGAGTTAATGGGTGCAGCACACCAGCATGGCACATGTATACATATGTAACTAACCTGCACATTGTGCACATGTACCCTAAAACTTAAAGTGTAATCATAATAAAAGAAAACAAAAGAAAAAAAAAAGAAAATATTATTCTACAAGTTCAGGAAGCTGAAGAAAATCTGAGTAGAATGAGCCCACAAACTTGTCACCTAGACATTTCATATTCAACATGCTAAAAGCTAGTTTAAAATAAATATAAATAAGTAGGTAGGCCAGTGCGGTGGCTCACGCCTGTAATCCCAGCACTTTGGGAGGCCAAGGCAGGCGGGTTACAAGGTCGGGAGATTGCGACCATCCTGGCTCACACGGTGAAACCCTATCTCTACAAAAAAAATACAAAAAAAATTAGCCAGATGTGGCAGCATTTGCCTATAGTCCCAGCTACTCAGGAGGCTGAGGCAGGAAAATAGCTTGAACCCAGGAGGCAGAGGTTGCAGTGAGCCAAGATTGCATCATTGCAATCCAGCCTGGGCGACAGAGTGAGACTCTATATCAAAAAAAAAAAAAAAGTAGAAAAATATTTAAGTGACAAGGAAAATTAATCACAAAAGACATGTATCAATCTTAGATGGATATTTCTAAGTAAAAGACTCTAGTCTGAAAAGTTTATAGTATACTGTATGATTCCAATTTACAACATTCTGGAAAAGGTAAAACTGTAAGTATAAAAATCATATTCGTTGCCAGGGGTTCAGCAGAAGGTGAAGAAGGATTGAATACATTAAGCACAGGAAACTTTTTATGGCAGTGAATCTATTCTGTATATGATACTGTAACTGTGGATACATGTCACTATGCATTTGTCAAAGCCCATAGAGGTTTTCAGTGCAAACAGTAAACCTTAAGGTATGCAAACACAAAAATCATTTAGAAGGTCAGGAGATCCCAGGGTGGAATGCAGAAAGTGACAAAAAAATTTAATTATATTATGTGTATGAAACAATTCACTGATGGAGTGGGGGAAAAGGTACTAATCTACGTAGTTTTGGAAATAAGTCTATAAGACTAAGAGAGAAACTTGATATAATCTCTGGAGTGTAGTATGAGATATGGGGTAAAAATTGTAATACTTCTGTGCTTCTAGGCTGGAATTAAACAAGTAAATAGATGGTAGATGGTTGAGGCTAGATCTCTCACTGTT
Source organism: Homo sapiens (assembly GCF_000001405.40). Lineage (NCBI taxonomy): Eukaryota > Metazoa > Chordata > Mammalia > Primates > Hominidae > Homo > Homo sapiens. The sequence continues at coordinate 55,219,225 of NC_000020.11, read as the reverse complement.
GGAATGGGAAGTTAGCAATAAGCAAGAATAAGAGACTAGAATGATCCATATTTTAATGGATTAGAATATGAGACAGCATTCTGAACCCATGTTTAGCTTAATATATAGATGTTTACATGTAAAAATATTTACAGATCTATGTATAATACATGTGTTAGTGAACACATATTATTTCCTTCCTCTGCAAGCTAAACTTATTGACACCCCAGTAACATTGAGCACACCTAGTGCCCAGATATTGGTTTCTAATACCATCATCCAGTAAAGAAAAACAGAATTCCTTGGAGAAATTGATTCTAGGAATTGGGCAGAAATTATATAAGATGAAACTGTTTCATTTTGTAGTGCAAGAAAGTCTAAAATTTATATAAAGATAGAAATAAAATAACAAAGCATTTTTTTAAAGTTAGATGACTTACCTTATATAATTTAATTTTACTATGAGGATACAGTAATTCAAATAGATTGCTACTGGTGGAAAGATAGACTTATAGATCAATGAAATAGAAAAGAGAGGTCAGACATTGATTCTCACATATATAATGACTTCATTTTTTGACAGAGTTGCCAAGCCAATTTAATTAAGGAAGAAAACTTTTTTAACAAAATGGTGTTAGATTAACTAGATATTCTGATGAGAAAACAATGAACATTGACCTTTTCTTCAGTCATACACAAAAATTAATTCAAAATGTATAATCTAAAACTGGAAAACCTCTACAAAAAAATGAGAGAAAACCTTTGCAGCTCTGGGGTAGACAAAGCTTTTAGAACATAAAACATATAAAACTAAAATTTAAGAAATTCTGAATGGGACTTCACCACATCTAATGTAAAGAGGTAAGGTACAATATGGAACTTTTAGTTGGATACAGTTCTTTGCTCTAAATAAGAAACTGTTTAACATGCGGGAATAGCTGAGGTATATTACAGGGAATATTAGGTCTGTTAAAGAATGTGTAAGCGGATGCTAGTTGATAGAATTGAATAACCCTAACATCTCAGTGGCTGAGTACAGTAGTTTTTTTGTTTTCTGTGTTATTTCTCACTCACATAAAAACCAATTTTGTGTGTGTGGAAGGGTGGTTTCAAAGTTCTGCTCCAATCAGGAATCTAGGCTGACAGAGGTTGTGTCATCTTCAACCTACAAACATCAAGTTCACTCTGGTGTTTAATATTCAGGTAGCAAGCAGTAAATGAAGGAAGGGTCTCCCATGAGAGGGTTATAGGGACCATGCCTGAAAGCTGTGGTATCACTTCTGCCCACTTTCCATAGGCTGAAACTCAGTCACATGGTCACACTTGTTTCAAAGAGGCCTGAGAATTGTAGTCTAGCTATCTCGCTAGGAAGAAAATGACTTAGCTTAGTAAACAGTCAATCTCTGCTACAGAGAATACAGTGAATGGATGTTGTTTTTATATACTCAGAATTTATTTTACTGTTTTCTGGTTAGAGCAACTGAATTTTATTTGAAACAACACAGTATCAATCTATGTGTTATGGATGGGGACTCACAGCATCACATTATTTAAGTAAGTCAATCAGAGTCAATGATCCAGCCTGGAATTATGTCGGAACTATGGAAATTTACTAAGCTGGCAGTATATACACATGGAGCTGATCATGACCATCTTCATCCTACTAACAGAGGCCTTGATTTAGCAGGAATGCAACAAAGATGAAAAAGAGCCAAGAGAGATGGAGAGAAAGAGTTCAGATGATGTCATTTGAGCTGCTAGATCTAGTTCTGTCTGAAGCAAATGGTATATTGGAACTTTAAACTTACATGAACCAATAAATTTTCTCTTTTAGATTACAATGATTTAAAACAGTTTTCACTCATTGAAAACTAAGAGTTCTTATTGATGCAAGATGTTATTGGAGCAAGAATCCAGGTGGGGAGAGAGTCGAGCAAAAGCTCAATACCTTGATTAGGTCAGAGAAGCTAGTGGCCAGACTGGGTTCAAGATCATGCTTTACTTCTAAATGGTCAATGGCATGAAAACTTGGAACTGTATTACAGGGCAGATGTCGAGTCTGAGAGACACATCAAACCACCTGGAACTATTTAGCTTCTGCTCATGTGAACACCCGGTGATAAAGTTCACTCTAGAGACATGGAATCAGAACATTCTGATTTATCTCACTTAATAGATAAAGAGCTAAGGCGTGATCTTCATTTGTTCAATGATGAAGCAGGGCTGGGAACTGCAGCCTTCAAACGAAGCCAAGTTCTTCTCCCTTTACAGCAACTTACGGGCAATTGCACAGCATGGAGAAAATCTCACAATTTTTAAACAAATTCTTGTAATAGGATGGTATTTCCTGGAGAGTTTGAAATTATTATGTGTTTATCTATACTGAGAGAAGTTAATTTACTAACCGTCACTATTTTCTACTCTTGATCAAATGATACTTGGCTGGGGTGATTTAAATCGGAAATTTCACTCTGACTCACAAGACCTGTTCCAGATGCCAGGGAAAAGCAATTTAAAAGAACCAACTGTTTGCTCTCCCTCTATAACAAGGAAAAAAATAATGATTCATAATCGAAATGGCAACTGACCATGCTAGGGTTCACTTTTTTTTTAAAGACAAATGAACAACTAATTAGTCATCATCTTAATCACTAACATTAAGTTATTTAGGCTGTTGATCCATTGGTGCCATTCTGATGGCACCTAATCAGACTTTATTTTGTATACATCCAGCTCCTATTTGCAGAAATGTGCTATAATTATGCCTTTGGATAATTTATCAGCTGGAGTTTCCACTGCCTAAAAACACTAATATGATACGGTCACTGTGTTAAGGTCTATTTTGCTGTTTCTAACTACCTTTAGTGTGTTTCATATTACAAATTTTTACAGGGGTTAAATTCATTTCTAAAACTGGGATAGTTATTATGATACATAAATTAGATGTTGCCTGTTACTACTGAACAAGAAATAGGCTTTAATATATTGGGGACCAGGGTGTCTTTTACTTGATTCTTTTTATTTAAAAATACACATTCTTCAGAGAGTAAATAATGTTTCATTCAAGATATTCATATCCTGTCAAACTCTTGTCAAGATAATTTCCACTCAGTGAAAATATAGATGGTTTTTATATCCCACCATTGTTTTCTTAAGTCTCTGAGACTAAGCAAGTTATGGAATCAAAAATGTATTTGTACTTACTAATTTCTTCAACAGGTATTTATTAAACAAGTAATATGTGCTATACACTGTGATCCCTGCTAAAAAGAGGAATTTTTAAAAAATAAACACTATTCCTATTGGGAAAATTGTGATAGGGCCATAGAAACTTTCAGCCATGAGGGCTATCAATATATAAATATTCTTAAGAATAAGAGAATTATACCTACTTCATAAAAGAGGAAAGGCCTACTGAAATAGTTGTACCTTTTATACAGGTAATGAAGCACACTTTTTTCTCTTTTAGTGGCAATACTATAATTGTAATAAATGCATTATCAATGCTTTTGCATAGACTGTTATTTGCTAATGTTGATGCATAATTTGTAAGGAATAAATTATTCCAATAAACACAAAACACCTATTGTTTCCTAATGGAGTCACAAGGAAATAAAAAGCACAAATTTTATTGTTGACAATGTGTAATTCCCATTTCTGTGAACTCTGTAGCATCGACATGTTTTCAAGTAAATCATGTTCGTTAAATAGAAATGTCTTTTCAAATTATCAACCAATCATTTCATCATGTGTTTCCTTGTGGAGCCATTCAAGAGATTGTCCTGAGAACTCATCTGAGAGAGTACTGCATATTTCTGAAAAGTTCATAATATAAGAAAGATGACATGTTAATAACCTCTATAAATAAAAGAGGAATGCTGAAAGTTGACATTCTACCTATTTTCTGTGAGGTCAGGTAACACTCCGTGTCAAGGGAGAATACCAATTTTCCAGGATTGTTGTGTGAGATATTAAAAGACAGATTAAGGATATTTTCATGGAAATATTGGAAGAACCAGAGTTTCCTTTCAAATTACTACCTACCAATAATATTATCCCCTTATATTGAGGTCTATTTCTGAAATAATATCAAAAATAGATCATAATGGGTAAAGAACAGAAGATTTATATAAAGTAATCTTTTTCTTATGTCAACCAGAGCTGTCACTTGGCAATGAACTACCTCAACGTACTATCAGTTGGCTTAGCTAAAAAATACGACACAGAGAATAGAGAGCTTCAAAACACAGCATTTCTTCTTTCACCACATTCGTTCCTCACTTTGACAGTAACAACGGTTGAGTCTCAGTTTTGGAACTGGGCATCTGTAGTAAATAAATGTTACATTTTGTTCCTTTGGCATCTACTACATCCCAACCTCTGGCACCACGATTTTCTTCTCTCGGCCCATGTTTGACATTGTTTTCATCCTTGTGGTCAGTGAAGCTAACACTATCCCCATACATCCCAGGACTGAGCAGGCATTTTACACCCAGGGACAGAGTATTCTGTTCCTACTGGTCACCTGGACCCTTTTTAGATGGCCTGACCTGTCAATGAAGAACTCCAACTTATGAAGAACTCCAACTTCAGTTGGAACTACTGAGGAATGGAATCTGTCTTTCCACTAGGGTTTCTGAGAATATGTTTTAGTCTGTTGGGCTGCTATAACAAACTACCATAGACTGGGTGTTTTAAATAATAAACATTTATTTCTCACAATTGTTGAGCCTGGAGAGTCTAAGATCAATTAGCAGGCAGATTTGGTGTCTGAATGAGGACTCACTTTCTGTTTCATAGACGACCATCTTCTGGCTATGTTCTCACATGGTGGAAGGGGTGAGGAGCACCTCTCAGGCCTCCTATATTAGGCCACTAATCTCATTCTTGAGGGCCCCACCCTCATGACCTAACAATCTTTCAAAGGCCCCAACTCCTAACACCATCACATTGGGGTTAGGATTTCAGCATATGAATTTTGGAGGGACATGAACATTCAGTCTATAAAAATAAACCATAGAATTTAGCGCCATTGCATTACCACATGGGACATGCTTGCCTTAGAACAAAACTAACATAGTGAGGAACAGGATTCAGAGGTAGAGAGAAAAGTCTTGATTTGAAGCTTGATGCAATTTTTATATGGACCTTTCATTTATTTAAACTAATAATTATTTTTAATTAATTAACTATTATGGAGCGCTTAAGCTAGATTGCGTTGACTGTCTTTTTTTTCTATTTGCAAATGAGCCTGAAAAATACAATATATGAGTGTCATAATCCAGTGAAAAATAACGTTAAAGCCTGATTAAAGGGGCACTGCTTGAGGAATCTGGCTACCAAATGTTCAAATACCACGGCTGCCACTTACTTACTGGATGACCTTGCGCAATGGACTTAACCATTCTGAATTTGAGATTCCCTACATAAAATGTATAGACCCCACCCCTTCAAATTTTCCTTTGCTTTTTCCTCAAGTATTTTATTAGGGCATAGAATGTGGCTGAGTGGCACATGTTAATATATGTAAGTGCCTCCCTCTGCAATGTCCTCCAGAAGGCACCGTTACTATAGAATACAGTATAAGGAATATTGACACCATAAATTGCATAATGAAACAGCCTTGGAGTGGTATATAAGACCACCTAGCACAGTGCACTCACAAAGGTTTTATTTCATGTGATCATCAGAATGTCAGACCTGGAAGCAATCCAAACGATCATCTCATTTAACTACTTCACCTTAGAAATAAAAAAACGCAAGCTAAAAAAGGGGAAGGGAGATAATTATAAAATCATATGGCCAGTAACTGGCAGAGATAAGCTTAGATTTCAAGCTCCCTTCTTCCTTATAGAACGTACTTTTTATTGTACTCTTGTAGTTGCAAAAATTAGGAAGGCAATGGTGTTACACTTAACAACAAGATCTGAGCATCTTGGTTTAGAATACTGCCAGCTGGCTTGCTTATTTCTAGAGCCACAAAAATATATTTTAAAAAAAGATGTTGGACTAACCTTTTGCAGGTGAGGTTGAGTGGCAGTTGCTGTGCAACTCAACAGGGAAGATTTGCAATCTGCAAGAGTTGAGTGGGAAGCAACTGATCTGACTGAAAGTTGAGGTCTCAGTGAATAATTGAAGGGAACAAAAATCAACCAAGTCTGTCTTTGATGCATACATTATCATGGAATACGAATGACAAAGAACATTTAGGTTTTAAGAATTTGGGGGTCCATGTGTTCAGCCACACTATTTAGATAATTGTTCTTATATTGATTTTTATTAAATTTGTAGACACAGACCCTCACATATAAGAATGATACTGTCTTTATGATATTTTTACTTTTCCACATTGAAATTTAATTCAATATTTAGACCAAAAGTAGGGTCAACATAATCCCAAAGCACTGTCCCATATGTTTCCTTCAAAAACAATAAAACACACAAATTACTACCGCTAATGAAAAACATCAGCCCAAACAATATTTGTAACTCCAGCAAGAAAAAGACAGAATTTTATAATTTTAAATAATCATCTAAATATCACAAGTAAATTTAGATATTTTTGAAACACAGCATTTTCTTAAATTTTAATACAAATGTTTAAACAGCCAACCATCTAATAAGTTTGGAAATATGCAATTGCTACTATTTTTCATCATCTCCTTTTTATGATTCACTTACCCTCTTGTACTTTGTTTTCCTTGAAAAGTACCAGGAGTTCTTTGTGCCTTCATTAGTTACCCAAAGCCCCAGTGTCTTTCCCCCACTGTGTTTCCACTCTTCAAATTGAAAAGCCTCATTAATTGAGCTTTGTTTTTCTTCAACATTACATCAAAACCTGTCTATATTAAATCCAGTTCCCACAAGAATGTATTATCATCTTGGGATCTCACAGAAAAACCAGCAAACATCCAAGAGGCAAATATCTAGCTCTTGGGAAGATACTAGGTGGTTCTTCTCTGTCTCCTGGTTTTTAATTTTCAGTGTTAGGTCACTTCTAAGTACTAATGACAATAAATTACTTCTAAAACTTGATGTTCTATTTAGATTCTAATATATGTGGGACTTGACACTCTTTAAAAAATCATTGGTAAACTAGGTGTCCTAAAAATCTTCTTCTACTGAATACCTAAAACTCTAGAAAAATACATATGAAAATACCTTTTTGGCTGGGTGCAGATCACGTCCAGTAATCCCAGCACTTTGAGAGGCTGAAGTGGGCACCATCACGAGGTCAAGAGATCGAGACCATCATGGCCAACATGGTGAAACCTCATCTCTACTAAAAATACAAAACTTAGCCAGGTGTGGTGGCACGTGCCTGTAGTCCCAGCTACTCGGGAGGCTGAGGCAGGAGAACCGCTTGAACCTGGGAGGCAGAGGTTGCAGTGAGCCAAGATCGCACCACTGTACTTCAGCCTGGAGACAGAGCGAGACTCCGTCTAAAAAAAAATAAAAAATAAAAAATAAAAATAAATACCTTTTTAAGCACATGGTTGTGATACGAAGTGGGCATACAGTCAGAAGGGCACTGATGCAGGCACCTGCATGAAAGGCTGCTGCTTATCTCATGAGTCACAGGAAACATTCAGGTGCGAGGGCCCTGAGAAAGATGGAAATTAGCCTTAGTCCCACGGAAAGCAGGGAGTTGGAGCAGAAATCCTTGCATTATCCAAGTCTCCAATGTTTATATCTTGACAAGTTAAAATAAAGAAAAACCCAGCCCATTTCACAAAAGGAGCTGTCAAAGACACCTGTCTGTGTTTTGACTCTACCTACAGGAGAAAAAATGTTTTTCCTCAAATGTACAATCACCAAATGGCACTCAGATTTAGAGTTTGGATTTACTTTTTCTGTGTGATCAAATGATTATTTTGTTGTTTTTGTTTTGTTTTAAATTTTTATTTCAGTAGCTTTTGGGGTACAAGTGGACTTTTGTTACACGGATGAATCACACAATGGCAAATTCTGAGATTTTAGTGTACCCATCACCCTGGTAGTGTACATGTTACCCAATATGTAGTTTTTGTACCCCTAGCCTCCCTTCCACCCTCCCCCTCTTAAGTCCATTATATAACTCTGTATGCTTTTGCATACTTATAGCTTAGCTCTGACTTATAAGTGGGAACACTTTTTTTTGGCTTTCCACTCCTGTATTACTTCACTTAGAATGATGGCCTCCAGCTCCATCCAAGCTGCTGCACAAAAGACTATTTCATTCCTTTATATGACTGAGTAGTATTCCATGGTGTATATATAGCACATTTTCTTTATTCACTCATTAGTCAATGGGCACTTATGTTGGTTCCACATCTTTTCAATTGTGAATTGTGCTGCTATAAACATACATGTGCAAGTGTCTTTTTATTATAATTACTTCTTTCCCTTTGAGTAGATATCCAGTAGTGGGATTGCTGGATCCAATGGTGGATCTACTATTTGTTCTTTTAAAAAATCTCCACACTGTTTTCCATACAGGTTATACAAATTTACATTCCCAACAACAATATATAAGTATTCCTTTTTCCCCACATCTACAGCAATATCTATTGAATTTTTAATAATGGCCATTCTTGCAGAAGTAAGGTGGTATCTCCTTGTGGTTTTATTTGCATTTCCCTGATTATTAGTGATGTTGAACATTTTTTCATGTTTGTTGGCTATTTGTGTATCTTCTTTTGAGCACTGTCAATTCATGTCTTTTGCCCACTTTTTGATGTGATTATTTGATTTTTTTTAGTGATTTGTTTGAGTTCCTTGTAGATTCTGGATACTAGTTATCTGTCTGATGTGTAGTTGTAAATATTTTATCACATTCTGTGGGTTCTCTGCTTACTCTGATTATTACTCCTTTTGCTTTGCAAAAGCTTTTTAGTTTAATTAGGTCCCTTTATTTATTATTGCTTTTGTTGCATTTGCTTTTGGTGTCTTAGTCATGAATTATTTGTCTAGGCTGATGTCTAGAAGAGTTTTCCCAGTGTTATCTTGAGAATTTTTATGGTTTCAGGCCCTATATTTAAGTTTTTAATCTATCTTGAGTTGATTTTTTTGTATAAGGTAAGAGATAGGGATCCAGTTTCCTTATTTTACATGTGGTTTGCCAGCATTCCCAGAACCACTTATTAAATAGAGGATCTATTACCCATTTATGTTTTTGTATGCTTTGTCAAAGATCAGTTGGCTGTATGTATCTGGCTTTATTTATTGGTTCTCTATTCTGTTCCATTGGTCTATGTGTCTCCTTTTACATCACTACCATACTGTGTTGGTAACTATAGCCTTAGTATAATTTGAAATCCGGTAATGAGATACCTCCAGATTTGCTCTTTTAGCTTAGGTTTGCGTTGAGTATTTGAGCTCTTTTTTGGTTCCATATGGGTTTTAGGATAGTTTTTTCTAATTTCGTGAAAAATGATGTTGGTATTTTGACAGGAATTGCATTTAATCTGCAGATTGCTTTGGGCACTATGATCCTTTTCCCAATATTTGTTCTTCCTCACATGAGCATGTGTTTTCATTCGTTTGTGTCGTATCTGATTTCTTTTAGGAGTGTTTTGTAGTTCTCATAGAGATCTTTTACCTCTTTGGCTAAATATATCTCTAAGTATTTTATTATTTTTTTTGCAGCTGTTATAAAAAAGACTCTATTCTTGATTTGATTCTCAGCTTGGTTGTTGTTGGTATATAGCAGTGCTAGTGATTTATGCACATTGATTTTGTTACTTGAGACACCGAATTTGTTTATCGAACCTAAGAATCTTTCGGAGGAGTCTTCAAGATTTTCTAGACAAACAATCATATAATCTGCAAACAGGGATAGTTTGACTTCCCCTTTTCCAATTTGGATATCCTTTATTTCCTTCTCCTGCCTATTCGCTCTGGCTAGGACTTCTAGAACTATGAGGAATAGAAGTGGTGAAAGTGTGCATCCTTGTCTTGTTCCTGTTCTCAGGGGGAATGCTTTTAATTTTTCTATATTCAGTAGATGTTGGCTGTCGGATTGTCATATATGGTTTTTATTATTTTCATGTAAGTCCCTGATATGCCTCATTTGGTAAGAGTTTTTATAAAGGGATATTAGATTGTGTCAAATGCTTTTGCATCTATTGATATGATGATATGGTTTTTGATTTTAATTCTGTTTATATTATGTATCACACTTATTCAAAATTCAAAAACCTTATATTTGATGTCTAATTTTTTTTTCTATTTGTTCTAGTCTATTGTTAAAACTTTACACTGAATTTTGTAATTCTCTAAGTGTGTCTTTCATTTCCAGAAGTTCTGATTGGTTTTTCTTTATATCTGTCTCTCTAGAAATTGTTTTATTCATATCTAGAACTACTTTTAAATTTTTGTTTATGAGAGTTTTTACCTTACCCTGGTATCTCATTGAGTAGCTTAATATGGGTAATTTATAAAGAAAAGAGGTTTAATTGGCTCATGGTTTCACAGGCTTTACAGGACGCACAGCTGAGGAGGCCTCAGGAAATGCACAATTGTGTTGGAAGTTGAGGGGGAAGCAGGAATATCCTACATGGATGGAGCAGGAGGAGGAGAGAGCAAAATAGAAGGTACTACACAGCTTTAAACTACCAGATATGGTGAAAACTTCATCACTATTATGAGAACAGAAAGGGGGAAATCTGCCCCCATGATCAAATCACCTCCCACAATGCCTCTCCTCCAAGACTGGGGATTACAAGTCGACATGAGATTTGGGGGAGGACACAAATCTAAACCATATTTTACCCCTGTCCCCCCAGTCTCATGTTTTTCTCACATTGCAAAATATAAGCATCCATTCTCAACAGTCCCCCAAAGTCTTAACTAATTTCAGCATTAACTGAAAAGCCTAGAGTTGAAAGTCTCATCTGAGACAAGGCAAGACCCTTCCACCTCCGAGCCTGTAAAATAAAAAACGAGTTAGTTACTTCCACGATACAATGAGGGTACAGGCATTGGGTAAACATAGCCTTTCCAAGAGGGAGAAATCAGCAAAAACAAAGGGGCTACAGGCTCCATGCAAGTTCGAAACCTAGCAGGGCACTCATTACATCTTAAAGCTCCAAAATAATCTTTGACTCCATGTCTCACATACAGGCCACACTGATGCAAAGAGTGAGTTTCTGCAGGGCGCAGATCCCATGGTTGCTCTCAAGGGCTGGCATTGACTGCCTGCAGCTTTTCCAGGCACACAGTGCAAGCTGTCAGTGGACCTACCATTCTGAGGTCTGGAGGATGGTGGCCCTCTTTTCATAGCTCTACTAGGCTGTGCCCTAGTGGAGACTCAGTGTGGGGACTCCAACCCCACATTTCCCCTCTGGACTGCCCTGCTAGAGATTCTCCATGAGGGTTCCACTCCCACAGAAGACATCTGCTTTTATGTGTTGCATGACCGTATCAAAACATCTCATGTGCCCCATAAATATATACACTTACTATGTACCCACAAACATTTAAAATGAAAAATTATTTTTAAAAAGAGAGCTTTAGAAAACTTAAAGATATAAACAGATCTAATACTGATAACCAGAATGTCAAAGCAATAGAAAAATAGGACAAATAAGTTGACAGCAGGCAGGATAAAAAGTTTTACATGTTTAATCAGAGTTCCAGAAAGAGAAAAATGAAGAGAATTAGAGAGGGAGTACATGAAAAGAAAAATTCTGAGAATTTTCCAAAAGCCAGGATTGACATAAATTATTAGAACCATTGTTGTAAAACAACAGGATATCAAACGCTAAAAGAAAATTATAAGAACATCCAGAATAAATAGAAAAATCACCTGCAAAACAAGATTGAGTATACTGACAGCTGACTTCCTCACAGCTGTAATGGAAGCTAGAGGACATATACATGTATCTTTGAATTATGACCAACAACAATAACGTTACTACTAATTTGTAATTTATACTCAGTGAAATAAACTCTCAAGAATCAGGGTAAAATAAACACATTCTCAAATAAATAATCAAAGTATTTACTAACATAAGACCATCACTTCTAAGAGATAACTTTTACAAAGAAAGAATATGATCTGAAAATAAAGATCTGAGAATCAAAGTAGAAGAAACAAACAAACAAAAGACTCTTGTAAACTTGTAGGCAAATTTACACCAAAGTAAAAAAAATTTGCATACATACAACTATAGTAATAATATACAATTGTTCAAAAACCCACAAAACTAAAATATTGATCATCAGCATATGCTTTGAGAAGGAAATTATCAGAATTACTGAATTCTAAGCCTGTTCTGGAGTACAGAAATGAGACTGATTTTACATTTAATTATACATGAATGTCAAAATTTCAAGGATAAAACCAAACAGAACAAAAAGAGAGTAATTAAATTCTAAACCAGTAGAATAAAAACTGTTAGAATAAACAAGAAAAAAACAAGTAATCCAATATGATAAAAAGAAGAAATGAGTTCTGAAACTGAATCAGTAATCAAAAGCCTACCAACCAAAAAAATTTCTGAACCAGATGGATTTACAACCAAATTACATACAAAGAACTAGTACTAATACTACCAAATTACTCCAAAATATTGAGGAGGAGAAACTCTTTCCTAACTCATTCTACAAAGCCAGCATTGCTCTGGTACCAAAGCCTGGCAGAGACATGATTAAAAAAGAAAACTTCTTCAGGCCAAAAACCTTGATGAATATAGATGTAAAAATTCTCAACAAAATACTAGCAAACAAAATCCAGCAGCACATCAAAAAGTTAATTCACCACAATCAACTAGGCTTTGTTCCTGGGATGCAAGTTTGGTTTAACATATGCAAATCAATAAATGTGATTCACCACATAAACAGAATTAACAACAAAAACGACATGATTATCTCAAGAGATACAGAGAAGGTGCTCAGTATAACTCGGCATCACTTCATGTTAAAAACCCTCAACAAACTAGGTATTGAAGGAACGTACTTCAAAATAATAAGAGCCATCAATGTCACATATACATCCTCACCACAGCCAACATCATACTGAATGGGCAAAAGCTGAAGCATTCACTTTGAAAAATGGAGCAAGATGATGAGGCCCATTCTCACCATTCCTATTCAACACAGTACTGGAAGTCCTAGCCTAAGCAATCAGGAGGAGAAAGAATTAAGAGACATTTGAATGGGAAAAGGAGTCAAACCTTCCCTTTGCTGATTATATGCTTCTATGCCTAGTAAACCCCATAGACTCCACCAGAAAGCTTCTAGAACTGATAAACAACTTCATAAAGTTTCAGGATGCAAAATAAATACACAAAAATCAATAGTGTTTATATACACCCATATCATCCAAGCTGAGCCAAATTGAGAATGGAATGCAGTCCTATTTATAATAGCTACAAGTAGAATAAAATACCTAGGAATACAGCATACCAAGGAGGTGAAACATCTCTACAATGAGAGTTACAAAACACTACTGAAATAAATCAGAGATGACATAAACAAGTGAAAAAACATTCCATGTTCATAAATGGAAATAATCAATATTGTTAAAATGGACATATTGCCCAAAGCAATGTATGGATTCAATGCTGTTCCTATCAAGTTACCAGTGACATTTTTCACTGAATTAGAAAAAAGCATACTAAAATTCATACTGCACCAAAAAAGAGCCCAAATTGCCAAAGCAATCATAGGCAAAAAGAACAAACCCAGAGGCATTACACTATATGACTTCAAACTATACTAAAAGGCTACTGTAACCAAAACAGCATAATACTGATACAAAAACACACACATAGATCAATGGAACAGGATAGAGAACCCAGAAACAAAGCCACAATACAACCAACTGACCTTCGACAAAGTCAACAAAAATAAGCAATGGGGAAAGGACTCTATATTCAATAAATGATGCTGGGATAAGTAACTAACCATATGCAGAAGATTGAAACTGGACTCTTTTCATTCACCATATTCAAAAATTAACTCAAAATAGGTTAAATACTTAAGCGTAAGACCTAAAACTAAAAAACCTAGAAGAAAACACAGGAAACATCATTCTGGACATTGGTATTGGCAAAGAATTTATCACTAAGTCCCCAAAAGCAATTGCAACAAAGACAAAAAAATGACAAGTTGCACCCAATTAAGCTAAAGAGCTTCTGCACAGCAAAGGAAACTATCACCAGAGTAAACAGATAACCTACAAAACAGGAGATAATATTCATAAACTATGCATTTGTCAAAGGTCTAATATCTAGAATCTATAAGAAACTTAAACAATCAAACAAGCAAAAAACAAATAACCCCATTAAACAATGAGCAAAGACATTTCTTAAAAGAAGACATACATGTGACAAAAAATATTTTTAAAAATGCTCATTACCACTCATCATCAGAGAAATGCAAATCAAAACCACAATGAGATACCATCTCACACCAGACAGAATTGCTATTACTAAAAAGTCAAAAAAAAAAAAAAAAACCAGATGCTGGCCAGGTTGTGAAATAAAGGGAACACTTATACGCTGCTGGTGGCAATGCAAATTAGTTTATCTACTGTGGAAAGCAGTTTGGAGATTTCTCAAAAAACTTAGAACTAATATTCAACCCAGCAATCTCACAATTGGGTATATACCCAAAGAAAAATAAGTTGTTCTAACAAAAACAACAACAACAACAAACACATGCACTAGTATAACAGTGTTATTTACAATAGCAAAGACATGAAATCAACCTAGGTGTCCATCAACAGTGTATTGGGTAAAGAAAATGTGGTACACATACACCATGAAATACCATACAGCCATGAAAACGAATGAAATTATGTCATTTGCAGCAACATGGATGTAGCCAGAGGCCATTATCCTAAGCAAACTGATACAGGAAAAGAAAACCAAATACTGCATGTTCTCTCTTACAAAAAAAGAGAGGTAAACACTGAATACACATGGACACTGAGACTGGAGCAATATATACTGGGGACTGCTGGGGGGTGAGGGAAAGGGAGGTAGGGATTGGAAGGCTACCTGTCAGGTACTGTGCTCACTATCTTGATGATAGAATCATTCCTAGAGTAAGCCTCAGAGACATACAATTTACCTTGTCACAAACTTAACACATGTACCCTCTGAACCTAAAATAAAAGTATTTTAAAAAGGAAACAGCCAAAAAATTAAAATAGGAACAATTGAAAGAATAAAATGAGATGGAGAAATAAGTCCAAATATATCCATAGTCACAACTTTATATAGACTTACTAATCATTTTATTAAGGAAAATGATTGCAAAACTGTATTTAAAATATACAATGATATACAGTTAAAATGAGATAGACTAAAACATAAGAATAAGTTTGAAAGAAAAAGAATGAGAAGAGATATAAGAGAAACTATTAACCAAAAAACTGATGACAATATATCAAATAAAGTAGGCCTTTGGGCAAAAAAACATTATTTAAGACAAATTGCACCAGCACACAATTAAGTAAGTTTTCAATTTGCCAAGAAACTATGAACCTATAAGAAGTTGAAAATTATATGTATCCAACAACATAGCTTCAAAACATACAAAGCAAAATAAAATGGAGCTATAAAAATCAAATGATAAATTAAAAGTAAATATGATCATATGGACACATAGTGAACCCTGGGCCCAGCAATTAAATAGCACACATGGGTTTTCCATGGAACCCATTGAGGATATTTTAAAAGCAACCAAAATATTAGAACTTATGAGATGCAGTATGAAAGAAATTAGGAGAAAACATATAGGGTCAAATTGCTTAAATAAGAAGAATAAAAATTAGTAGGTTAAAAAGCCTAAGTTAATTAAACAGATATTAACTATGTAATAAAGAAGAATATCAATACCACTTGGGAAAAATAAATATCCTTAGGTTTTTTAGATAAAGGAAAAATAAACAGGGAGCTGCAATAGGATTTTATAACAATTAAACAGGTGATGGATATACAGATATTTATTTTGCTTTATTGTATATACTTGTATATATTGAATATCCAATAGTAAAACAAATTTAAAGTGACAAATGTTTCCTAAATGCATACAAGCCTTGTTTCTTCTTGTTTTTTTCTTTAAAAAATATTTTTTAATAAAAATTTCTACTATCTTAGCAATGCCACACTCTTTACATAATTATAACTTATACAAGAGCTAGCCAGTTAACTGGTAGATTCTTTCTTTCTGTTCAAAACTCCTCTTCCAGTTTCTATGACAAGTCTCTCCTATTTTTCCTCTTTCCTCCTTCCTTCTCAGCCTCCATTGCTCTTTCCTCCTCTTCTACCTTCTCCACAGAGTTGGAGGTTCACTGAATCTACCTCCTAAGCTTCTTCTCATTTCATTTCTCTGTGATCTTTTTTCCTTTTTTTTTTTTCTGATGTGGAGTCTTGCTGTGTTGCCCAGTCTGGGGTGCAGTGACATGATCTCAGCTCACCTCAACCTCCACTTCCCAGGTTCACGAGTTCTCCTGCCTCAGCCTCCGGAGTAGCTGGGATTACAGGCGCCCACTACCGCACAAATTTTTGTATTTGTTTTAGTAGAGATGGGGATTCACCATATTGAACAGGCTGGTCTCAGACTCCTAACCTCAAGTGATCCGCCTGCCTCAGCCTCCCAACTTGCTGGAAATACAGATATGAGCCATTGTGATCTTATTAAACAAATTGAACATCATTTATAATTTAATGACTCTGAATGGTCTGATTTTATTCCAAGTCTCTTCTCTGATTTATTCTAGCTTTCCCCAAGATGCAAAGGGATTTTTTTTTTTGCCACCAATATCTAGACATCTACTGAAAACATTTCTGAAAGTCTAAGAATAGAAAATTGTCAATGATCTGAACAAAGAAAACACTGCTAGCAATCAAAAAGGGAGTGTGAGATTGCCATATCCTACTTTCTTAAATATTGTTTTTATTTCTTTTCTTTTTTTCTGACCTTTAAAAAATATTTGTATATCACCCAGCAGTCTTTCAGTATTTAGACACAAGAATTTTAAGAATTTTAAGTCCATAACTTAAATTTGCAAATGCAACTGGAAGGTGTTTTTTTCAATTTTTTAATTGACAAATAGTAATTGTATATGTTTATGAGGCACAATGTGATATTTTGAAATATGTGTACATTATGGGATGATTAAATCCAGATAATTAATATATCTATCACCTCACATAATTTTTTCATGTGTGATTCTCAGAAAGCATTACATTTAGTACTCTTCCTAAAAAAAAACTCAAATAATTATTTCAATCTGGCATAAAGAAATAATTTTGTAAATGAAGTTAGGAACAACAAAGTAATCTTAAAAAACATTGCTCAGTTATTTTCATATAGTAGTAAAATTCACTGAAATATTAAAATGATTATTTAAAAATATATGTAGAGAAAACTATAATAGCATTGTTTGACAATAGGGATAATAAAAAAATTTCAAGGGGGTTATCCTTTAAATAATTAAGAAATAATATTTTCATCTTGATTTTATTTTGTTTCACAGTGAATAAGAAAAGACTACTCACATAGAAACAGGGCAAAGTTTCAAATCCCTAGATTAGTAGAAAAAGAAATTTGAAAAAGTCACAGAAAGCATTTGAAAACAGAAACAGAAATGAAGAAAACAGTGAAAACTTAAAAGAAGTTCATACAAACAAAATCACACCAAATATCCTCCTTTCGTAAAGCTTCTTTCACTCAGAATGTTTTTAAATTCCACCTTGCTATCACGTGTTTCTCCAGTCTTTTTACTGCGGAGTACCATTGGTTGGTATGATTGGTTGGTATGATTGGTTGGTATGAATACCACAAGGTTTACTTATTCTTTCTCCTGTTGATGGTCACGTGGGATTTCTCCAGGTTTGGACTGTTGTGAGTAAAGCTGCTATAAATATTCGTGTACAAGTCCTTTTGTGAACATGTTTTCAGTCTTGGGTGAATTTCTAGGAGTGTCATTACTAGTTCCCAAGGTAACCGTGTGCTTAATTATATTGGAAACTATCAGAACTTTTTATCAAAGGGGTTTTACCATTTTACATTCTAACCAGTGGTGTGTGAAAGTTTAAGATTCCCCACAGTCTCATCGACATTTATTGTTCATAATCTTTTCAGTAATAGTAACTCATGGGTGTCAAATGTTATCTGCCTTTGACAAAGAATGCATCCTACCTGTGAAGTATTCTTGCTAGCTAGCTAGACAGATGCACAGATATGTAGACAAATATATATATATACATATGACACAGAAAAATATTAGTCTCCATTGTGGAAATACAGTCAACAAACACAATCCTACACTGTGGGAAATTTTAAGGAAAAAAAAAATCCAGTGTTGTTTCCTCAACAAATTGTCAGGCAAGAGTTGTGGGAGTTGGAAAAAGGAATCTATAAACTAAAAGGGTTAGGAACATAAAAGACATATTTAAAAATAGAAGAGTAAGGACCTGATTACCATAAGTCATAAGAGTAGTTGTGACAAAGATTCTTTGCTTGACCAAAGTTAGGTCCTTGAACTTTCTCTTAGGCCCATCTGGATACTTCTTTGTAAACTCCAGCTTTAGCAAGAATCCTTTTAAGTTAGTTTAGCAAGAACCTCCCACTCTCCATATTTGATCACCCTCAATATTGAATCAGGTTCTTCCTCCTTGGAGTATTCTGTTCTCACACTGCTATAGAGAACTACCTGAGACTGGGTAATTTATAAAGAAGAAAGGTTTAACTGACTCACAGTTTCACAGGCTGTACAGGTAGTATGACTGGGAGGCCTCAGGCAACTCATAATCATGGCAGAAGGCAAAGAGGAAGCAAGCATGTCTCAGCATGGTGGAGCAGGAGAGAAAGAGAACGAAGGGGGAAGTGATACACACTTTTAAACAACAAGATCTTAGTAGAGCTCACTCACTGTCATGAGAACAGCAAAGGGGGAAATCTGCCCCCATAATCCAATCACCTGTCACCAGGTCCCTCCCAAATTGGGCATTACAATTAGACATGTGATTTGGGTGGGGACACAGAGCCAAACCATATTGCTCCTCTAGCATCCCCCAAGCGGTGTCTAATCACCCTGGCTTGTCTTCAGCAAGAATTCTGTTAGGACAGGTTAGCCAGAATCCCCGGGACCCCTGATGTTTCCTCCTGATGATTTTCCATCCACTGATTTCCACCCTGCTCTTTGGCAATAACTTCCTACTGGCCTATGCAGTATTTGGAATTAAGCCCTGTTGTATGTCAAAGTTTCTTTACCTTCATTACAATCGTCTTGAATAAAATCTGTTTTCACCAATTTAACTGCTCTGGGTTTTCTTGGACTGTTATAACGCCATGACTCAGAGAGGATCGGGTCCATCATTGACTCCAAGCCTGCTCACCTAAGGATCTCTAGTGTGCACCTCTGAAGACTTTGTTCTAACTCTTGATTTATTGGGGATCCGCTGGTGAGTCCGACTCCTGAGCCCGTGGCTCCAGATGGCAGTCCATGGAAACACGGTAAGTACAAATTCTAATTCTGAGAATTCTGAATGAACTCTGGAAGCTGGGTTTAAGTCCCAGATAAAAAGAGCCTGGGCGCAGTGCTAGTCTTCTGCAGTTACAAGAAGCTAGTCCCTGTAAGGAACACGAGGTGTGTTAGAGTCCCAACTTCTTCCGTGTGTAAGTGTGAAGGTACCATTGGCTAGGACATTAGAGCTTTTCATTTGATTGAAATCTCCCTTTTTGACTCCTGCTGACTCTGTGCTTCACCGACTCTGTCTGCTTCCCTTCTTGTTGGCATGATTTTACTAAGGATACTTTGAAACGTCAAAGGCCTCTTTGGAAAACTTGCCATCTCCCCAGACTGTCTACCCTTAGGCCTCTTCTTTCCCATTGCTTCTGCTCCTCCTTCGTTCTACAACTGTCCATCTTCCCTTCAGTTCTAACTATCTGGGACTTGAATCCAGCTTCCAGAGTTCACTAAGACTCACAAGAATCAGAATCTCTCCTTACCTTGTATCAATGTATGTGATCTGGAGCACTGGCTCAGGAGTAGGACTAACCATGGATTCTTAAATCATAAGGAGTGAAGACAGATCCTCTCATATGTCCTCCTTCAAGTCCCTACCTTCTTCAGCCCTTTGCTCAACCCATTGGTCCTATCTCTTCCCATTCAGGCTTCCAATTTCCCTCTGTCATTTGGCCTTTAGGCCCCTAAAGGTTGCAAGAGACCCAGGGGCTCATGATCTCAGGGAGCCCTGAAAACAACTATCTGTGGTTTTGATGTACAGGTATGACTAACAATGACTGACAGAATTCTGTGTTCACTCACCACTCCTCTGTCTTTAAAAAAAAATTATTTTCAGAATATGTTGCTCTTTTTTATTATTGATTTGAAGATGCTGTTTATATTTTATGAATGCTAATATTTTTGGTTACATATTTTGAAAATATTTTCTAATTATGTGATTTATCTTTTCAGTTTTATAATATTTTCTGATAAAAGGTCATCTTGCATGTAATCCAACATACTAATATTTTCTTTATGACTTCCCATTGTCATCATATTTATAATTTAAAAATCTATATTCCAATGTCATAAAATACTCTTTTAAACCTTCTTTTAAAAATTAAATTATTATCTGTTATATTTAAACCATATCTTTATCTGGAATTGATTTTTGTGTCTAGTGTGACCTTGAGATCCAATTCTATATGGTTCTCTAAAGAACTGACATAGCATAATTCATTAAATAGTTCATTTTTCCTGCAGACATCTGCAAGCGAGGCTATGTAATACATAAACTTTCACAAACGTGTAGTTATGTTTTGTGACTTTCCATTTAATTCTACTGGTTTACTTGATCATACCAGGTGTACATATATTTACAGGCTAAATTTTTTCCTTACTTTTATTTTATGTTCGGGGGTACATGTGCAGGATGTGCAGGTTTGTTAAATAGGTAAACATGCATCATGGGGGTTTGATGTACAGATTATTTCATCACCCAGGAATTAAGCCTAGTATTCATTAATTATTTTTCCTGATCCTCTCCCTTCTCCCACATTCCACCCTCCAATAGGCACCAGTGTGTCTTGTTCCCCTCTATGTGTCCATGTGTTCTCATCATTTAGCTCCCACTTATAAGTAAGAACATGCCGTACTTGCTTTTTTGTTCCTGCTTTAGTTTGCTAAGGATAATGGTACTGGTGCAAGACACATAGACCAATGGAACAGAGAATCCAGAAATAAGACTGCACACTTACAACTATCTGATCTTCGACAAATATGACAAAAACCAGCAATGGGGAAAGGACTCCCTCTTCAATAAATGGTGCTGGAAGAACTGGCCAGCCATAGGCAGAAAATTGGAACTGGGCCCCTTCCTTATATTATATACAAAAATTAATGGAAAATAAATTAAAGGAGAAATTATTTTAAAGTGAGGGAACACATGATCTCAACTGACTGTAGATTATTCCAGTAAAAGCAGAAAATACATATAGAGAGAATAATTCCTGTTTCATGTTTCAAAAACTAGTTTATCCTTTAGAAAAAAAAACTTGAAAAAATGACACGCATACACACACAAAACCAAAGTAATGTTATCACTTTTATAAATACGGAATACTTATAACTAAATATTAGTCCACAGAATCAGCACTACAGATCAGAAAACATATATGCTAACATTATCTATTTATCTATCACCAAGTAAGGTTTACTGATGGCCTGCAATCATAGTTTACAATAATTACATCCATAAATCTATTTTATCACATTAGAAACTCATAGTATACAGTCCATAGATTAAAAAAATTAATAACATTTAACATCCATTTCTAATAGTAAATTATATTAATAAACTAGAAATTTAAAAATTGGTTATTTGTGATGAAGAAAAATCCATCTGAAATCAACAGCTGACATTGTACAAAAAAAAAGGTAAAATGTAGAGGCATCCTGATTAAGGAATGAACATCCAATTTCTGTTATCATTAATTTAATAATGTTCTGAAGTTCTAGCCAACAGAATTTTTGTAACAACAGCAATAAAATGTAATAGATGAAATTATTGCCAACGATGAGACAAAATTCTCATTATTTTTAGAAGATATTATCAGTCTTGATAAAAATAAAAACACAAGAGAGAGTCAACTGAAAAACCACTTTAAAAATGGGAACTTTAATAATTTTACAGGACTCAAAGATAAATATAAAATAGCAGTAACATCTCCATATACCGCTAATCACTAGAAAGAGCTGATGGGGATAAAGGACACCCTTTAAACAATACCAACACATTTAAATATTCTTGAATAGTATTAGCCCTGCGTATGTTGAGCATATGTCTATGAACTCAACCAAACCGCTATGTAGTACAAAAAATAATAAAATAAATGAGAAATGATTACCCCCATATTAGTCCATTCTCACACTGCTATAAAGAACTGCCTGAGACTGGGTAATTTATAAAGGAAAAAGGTTTAATTGACTCATGGTTCCGCAGGGTTAGGGAGGCCTCACAAAACTTAGAATCATGGTGGAAGGGGAAGCAAACATGTCCTTCTTCACATGCAGACAGGAAAGAGAAGGGCAGAGTGAAGGTGGGAAAAAGTCCCTTGTAAAACCATCAGATCTCGTGAGAGCTCACTCACTATTATGAGAATAGCATAGGGAACCACTCCCATGATCTAATCACCTCCCATGAGGTCCCACCTCCAACACGTGGGGATTATAATTCATATTACAGTTCAAGATGATATTTTGGATAGGGACACAGCCAAATCACAGCACCTCCATCCAACTCTAAATTTCAACAGGTGTTGAGAGCCAAGAAAAATTTTAATCTATAAAAGAAAAAATCTTTTACCTATAAAATTACTGGAAATCCTTTAAAATTTAAAAAAATGAGCACAGATGCAAGGACATGGGTTTCATTTACTGATAGAATCATATTTAACATAGCATTTCTGGAGCGTATTTTAGAAATATAGAACATAGAACTTGGCAATGTACATGAATTTTTATTCTGCTGTTCATTTCAAATATTTTGCCACAAAGAAATAATCACAGATGAGGACAAATCTTATCTATTAGGTTGTCATTAAGTGGTAATGAATAAAAACGTTTGGAAAAATGTTTTTGGCCAACAAAAAATATTGGACCTATTTGATATTTGATATGTACAATCTGTAAAGGATTGATTAAGCAAACTGTAGAATGGAAAATGTATTGTGGAACAGAAAACCAAATACCACATATTCTCACTTATAAGTGGGAGCTAAATATTGAGTCCACATGGACACAAAGATGGGAACAATAAACACTGAGGATTCCAGCAGGGGAAAGGGGAGAGAAGGAGAGCGATAATGATTGAAAAACTGCCTACTGGGTATATGTAAAATGGAATACTATATAGTTATTTTAAGTAAACTATCAATTGATTTCACATATAGAAAATAAAATGGGTTATGCTCTGAGTGTATACCAATGATGAAGATCCTGTGTAAGTCTTGAATACAGCCAGATTTGAGTTTGAATCCTGTTTTACTCTTTGCCAGCCATATGACATTGAGAAAGTTAATTAACTTTTCTGTGCCTCAGTTGACTCAACAATCAAAATAGTGATATATCATTGGGCTAACAAAAAGATTAAAATATACAGTATCTTTATATAATTAATGTCCAATATTGCAAAGCTGTCATTACTGTCATTTTCATTAATAACTTATTATATGATTAATAATTGCATAATTAATAATGCATTTATAGTAGTGTAAGGAACAAACCATATAATGAATCACTAAGTTACAAATATATAGATGTGTAAACCATAATAAAATAATGATACACATATTTTTACATTTCCTTGTAAAAAAGTATGAACTGTCACATTCTGTAGCCCTAAGTAAAAGTCTCAGCAATTTTCCCCAAAGTGTAAATTGTGTCAGCCACATTATCTGAGTATTATATAACAAACCTAGAAACTAATGTAAAAAGATTAAATAACTAAATTCTGCCAGCCTTTGGGAAAACAAGATACGGTTAATTTACTATTGAGTAAAAGGAGTAATTAAAGTTGTATTCAGAGGTTATTTAGAAAATAATAATGAAACACTAAATAACAGAATTATGGAGTATGCTCAAAACTGCAAAGTAAGGCAAATTCAGCATCATGTCATTTCATTATTACATAATGAAAAATGATAGTAAATATACTAAGGTGAAAAGCAATGACAATGGAAATTAATGAAAAATAGGGAATGAGTCAATTTAAAAGCAGAATTTTAATTTTTAAATTTTATTTTAGATTCAGGGGTTACACGTGTGAGTTTGTTGCATGGGTATATTGTATGATGGTGAAGTTTGGGCTTCTAACCATGCTATCACTCAAGTAGTGAACAAAGTATCCAAAAGGTAGTTTTTCAACTCTTATCCTCTCTTCTCTCCCCTTCCACCTGTTGGAATCCTTAGTGTTCATTGTTTCCATCTTTGTGTCGACGTGTACCCAATGTTTAGCTCACACTTCTAAGTGATAAAATGTGGTATTTGGTTTTCTGTTCCTCATTAATTTACCTAGGATAATGGCCTCCAGCTGCATCCATGTTGCTGCAAAGGACATGATTTCATTCTTTTTTATGGCTGTGAAGTATTCTTTGGTGTATATGTACCCCATTTACTTTATCCATTTCACCATTGATAAGCATTTGGGTTGATTCCATATCTTTGCTACTGTGAATCGTGCTGTGATAAACATATGAGTGCAGGTGTCTTTTTGTGAGAATAATTTATTTTCTTTTGGGTATATACCCAGTAATGGGATTGCTAGGTTGAATTGTAATTCTGTTTTTGTTTATTTGAGAAATCTCCAAATTGGAAAAGTAGAATTTTAGAAAAACATAGAAATCAGAGAAAACACTGGAGTTAATTATTATATTTAGGAACTCGTTCTTTATACGAATTAATTCAGTGTTTGTAATAGGCCTTCTAGCCTAATTCAGAAAAACAAAGGTTAAATCACAAATGAAGAATATTAAGATGGATAAGTGAGATAGGCTTTCAGATAATAGATATAATATCTAAAGTGTGGCTTTCCATGTATAAAATTGGGGTGCAGAGCCTGCCTTTCTAGGAAAATAGAAATAGCCAAAAGTGACTCAGGATGTAGCCAATCCAATAGAACACAATAGAACAACAGCTATAATGAAAGCTTTTTTTGTTTGTTTGTTTGAAATGGAGTCTCGCTGTGTCGCCCAGGCTGGAGTGCAGTGGCACAATCTCAGCCCACTGCAACCTCCGCCTCCCAGGTTCAAGCAATTCTCCTGCTTCAGCCTCCCAAGTAGCTGGGATTACAGGCACACACCACCAAACTCAGCTAATTTTTTTTATTTTTAGTAGAAACGAGGTTTCACCATGTTGGCCAGGCTGGTCTCGAACCCCTGACCTCGTGATCTGCCCTCCTCGGCCTCCCAAAGTGCTGGAATTACAGGCGTGAGCCACCGCACCCAGCCATCAAAGCTTTTAAAAGGTATCAGATGATTACTGCTAAAACTCATCTCTGGGCTCAACTCATTTTTTTGGTTCTTTTATTCAATATTCATTTAGTTTAAGAAATATATTTTTGGAAACTTGTGAATGCCAGATGTAGCTCCAGGGTCCAGGAATACAGACCTGAGCAAATCTCTACTTAAATATGAGAGACAAAAACCAAATCGATCTAAATGGTCAGGTGAATGCTACCTAGGAACAAATCAGAGAGGAGGTAAGAGTGAAGGAGAAGAGGAGTGGCAGTGAATACATCATCCTGTTGTTATTTATTTATTTATTTTTTCTTTTCTTTTTTGAGACAGAGCCTTTCTTGCTCTTTCACGCAGGCTGGAGTGCAATGCCACAATCTCTGCTCACTGCAACCTCCGCCTCCCGGGCTCAAGCAATTATCCTGCCTAGCCTCTTGAGTAGCTGCAATTACAGGTGCCCACCACCATGCCTGGCTAATTTTTGTGTTTTTAATAGAGATGGGGTTTCAACATGTTGGCCAAGCTGGTTTCGAACTCCTGACCTCAAATGATCCACCCGCCTCAGCCTCCCAAAGTGCTGGGATTACAGGTGTGAGCCACCACGCCCAGCCCAGCCTGTTGTTCTAAGACCCTCACTGCATTACATAGTAGCTGTGTGAATTTGGGCAAGTTATTATTTCAAACATTCGCAGCTTTTCTTTCTGCAAAACGAGATTAATAGTATTTACCTCGCAATGTTGTTGTGAAAAGTACGTGCATTAACAGAAAATCGTTAGAAAAGTGCCTGACATATAACAATCCTAGATACATTAACTTAAGAAAGATGAGAAGTTCTCCTTTATATAGTGTGATGCTTTTCAGGTAAGATATCCCTGAAGGATAGCTGATGGCGATCTGGGATGAGTTCCAGGATAGAGAAGATTTGGTACAAAGTCCCTGTGGTGAGAGGGTGCTTGACATAGAACAGAAACCACAAAGGGAACCAGGAGAGGTAGCAGAAAGTGAGTGAGATGAGGGAAGACCAGATAAGGAGTAAGTGAGCAGCGGTGCAGCTTTTAGAGAGGGATAAGAAACTTTGGTGGGTCCTCAGAAGAGGCGTGTGATCTAACACATGCTGCAGGTCCCATGCTGACTGCCCGCTGGAGAATATATCACGGGGAACCAGGGATGGAAGCTAGGAGAACAGCTAAATCCAGGCAAGAGATAATGATGGTGCTTGGACAAGGGTGGTAGCAGTAGCTGTTCATTTAGACTTTCCAAGAAAAGGTACTTTCCAGGTTATTACTATTTTCTATACCCTGACAAAAAAATAGAATTTTATTTCAATTCAACTAGAAAGACCTAGTATTTCTAGATTGCCAAAATCTAAATAGTGAAATAGTGAAGTAGTGTGCACATATGTATGCACACATACAGACACACCAACTATAGCCCAATCTCACTTCAAAATGTATGACCAAAGTAGAATATAATTATAAGTTAAATATTAGCATATTCCTACCAATTGTACCAAAAATACTAAGGTAGGAGGCAGCACTTGACTCTAGAGGTGGGGCTCAGACTCTTCAGACCAGATTGAAGACTGAGTGAAACAGGAAAGAGGGAAAAGCATCTCTCCATGAGACACACACCCCAGTGTCATGTCAGTTTACTGTTGCCATGGCAACATTCAGACATCACCACCCAAAAGTTATCATCCAAAAAATGTGATCTGGGGTCTGTAATATTAAAAGTGATTTTTCTTATTTTCTTCTTTTACCATATTTTTCTATACTCAGTACATATTACCTGTGCAAATTTTTTAATGATTGGCAATTTCACATTACTTATCAATAATTTAGGTATGTCTATATTTTATTCCAGCAGTTTGAATATCAAAAATGTATTCTGAGGTAAAAATCATAGCTGTACACAATAATTTAGCTTCAAAGACATGCCTTGAAGTATTGATTATATTATTGAAGAATTAGAAATGATTTAAATGTCTAACCACAGGAGGCTCTGTAAATGAATTTTGATTCATCCAGACAATGAAATTGTGTGTGTATGTGTATGTGTGTATGCCTGTGTGTGTGTATCATAGAAGATCACTTGTCTTAATAAAATGCCTTCAATATATTGACCAAGAAAAAATAAGTTAATTTAGAAAACACATTGAAATCATAACGTAATTTCTATTACACAAACTTTTTTAAAGTAACTAACGGCATCTATACCAAAATACAAAGGAGAAAATGTCACAATTTATTCTTTCTGTGTTGTTAGTTTCTACTGAATTTATAATATTTATTATTTGTATAATATAATAAAATATTATACTTAATTATTTTATTATTTCTAATTTGTATAAACTAGGAATATAAAATTTCCTGAAATAGTAAAATTACTAAATATATGGCTTTATACTTGTAGAATGGATAAAATTTTTATACTCTCTATTCCAATAACAACACTTACATAAGAAAAAGAATAGAAAGCTGAAGGAAATCGCTGATAACACAGAATGTGTCTCTATTAAAGCCAAAGACACTGAAGTAGACTTATCAGTTTGTAAACTGATAGTACATAAAGTAAAAGTTATAATTTCTAGTTGGGGGTCCGTGGAACAGGAGCTGATATTTTCAAATGTACACCTATTTGGAATTACACATTTCCAAATTCTAGGGACTGTAATTATGAAATCAGAAAAATCTCAAAACCTAGAATAAATTTTCTCCAATTGGAAGTTTAAAGGGATGGATTAAACTCAGGAATCTCAAAACTAGCAACATAATTTTTTAAAAAAATCTGAAAAATCTTCAGTCTTCTCCACAGTTATAACGTATTATACTATGCATTCATTCACCAAGCCACCAAATATTTCTTAATCATAAGTTTGAGGTAATAGAGCTGTAGGTGTTATTGATATAAAATAAATAAATGTGTCCTCCCCAATGAGTTTATAATTTAATAGGAGAAATAGCTAATATCCATACAGTTCTTTATGTTACATGTGCATTTATAAGCATATCAGAATGATATGTAATCATCTCCCACTCACCTGACCTTATGGAAGTCTTCCAAACCAGTAAATTCACTGGTCTGTTATAGTTTCTATTCCACTTGACCTCACTGATCGCTTTCTACCCTTCTTGAAACACGCTTTTCTTTTTGCTTCTAGGCCAGTGAATTCCTTGGTTTCTACCTAGTGGCCTCATGGACTTTGCTAGCTTCTGTTCCTCTTCCCATCTTCAGGGCTCTATCATGGGCTGTTTCCCCTCTAACTTCACATGTCTTCTTTGGTTATCTCAATTACTGCCATGACTGATGACTCCCAAGTCTCCATCTCCAGACCAAAGCTCTCTAGAACTGAAAGCTGACTGCTTATTTGACAATCTCGTTAAGTGTCTCACAGGCACCTCAGAGTTTATGCATCCAAACATAAAATCATCTTCCAAACTAATTCTACTTCAACATTTCAGATCTCAGCAAACAATACCTTCATCTGTTGGGTTGCTAAAGTCAGAAACCGAGTCATTCTTGACAACTTCTTTATGTCTCCACCTCGATTTACAGTCATCAATTCCTGTCAAGGCAAACTCCTACATATCGCTCAAGTATATCCCTTCTCCCCAACTCCATTGCAATTTCCTCGACCCAAGCACCATGATCTGGTACACGGAATTACTGTCAGAGCCCTGCAACCATCTGAGCTGCTTTCGCTCAATCCATGCTCATACCTCATACACATTCTGTGCCATAAACAATTCAAAACTCACTACCAGCTACGAAAATGAGGAGAACACATATGCGTCTAAAATGGATGCGCATGGGGGAGAAGGAGCTGAGAACGATGTTTGATTAACAAACCAACAGGGTCTGGGTCTGTCAAGGCCATAATGAAACTTACTACTATAATAATCCTTTGAATAGTAAAAATTGCATGCAGACTACAACACTAGCTCTCAAACTTAGGCACTCTTTGGAATCAGTGGGGACACTGAAAAATGTCTGTGTCTAGATCCAACTCTTAAATATTCTGATTTCATTGAGAAAGGCACTGAAATTTTTATAGCTCTTTAGATAATTTTAACATGTGATAAAGTTCAAGAACGACTGATCTGCAATACTGCTGAGTCTTTGCACCCCCCTACCCTACCCCCACTACCATCTCTGCTCAGGACCTTCCACCACCCATTGAATTTTACTTTTTCTTTTTCTTTCGCCTCTCAAGAAAATCTATCAGAAGGTAAGATTTGTTTTTATCCTGTTTACCTTGATAAGATTTTTTTCCTGGGATATGTACACAGTGTTTATTAAAAGGAATTTCTCTCTAAATTTTGGTAGTCTGATAAAAGAGAGCACTTGGGAATGAATTTACAAGGCTCTAATCTGGGATTTGTCAGCAAGAGAGAAAAAGAGTAAAAGGTTTCCATCAAATGATAACCTTGTAACCTCAGATCTCCAAATCAGCTTTAGCCGATGTAAAAGGGGAAAAGAAATATCAGGAATAATTATAACATTTTAGGTAATGCCACATTAGTCTCTCTGTCTGTAGTATTTTCTTTTTCCTTCCACATTTATTTAAGGTACATGACATTTTAGATGGAATAAAATTTACTCAAATAAATGGATTATTGTCATAGGAAACAAGGTTTACTTATTTGTAAATCATAGAATATTTTGCATAGAACCTTGCAACCCAGATCTCCAAATCAGCTTTAGCCAATGTAAAAGGAGAAAAGCAGTATCAGGATTAATTATCACATTTTAAGTAATGCCACATTAGCCTCTCTGCCTATAGTATTTAAATTTTCTTTCACATTTATTTAAGGTACATGACATTTTAGATGGAATAAAATTTACTCAATTAAATAAATGAATTATTATTATATGAAACAATGTTTACTTATTTATAAATCATAGAATATTGGGAGGGAAATGTTACAGAAAGCACATTTAAGATACAAGATTTCTCTGAACACTGATGGGAGCCTAAGGTTACATTGATGGTATTCCACTAAGGTTTTAACAACATAACTTATTCATGTACGCCCTTGGCTATTTTCTAGACTATACTTCCCCAAAGATAAAGAAATATGAAGAAAACCTTTGAAGAGCATCAGGTCATAATAGACAAAATGTCTTATGCTACTGATGGATAGCTATAAGGTTATAACACAGCAATGAAAGACTCATAATGGCTACAGCAGACATGCAGAGGAGAATTTGACAGGATCCAGGATTACTTGGTCATATTAAAACAGAAACCCAAATATAAATGGGTAATGTTAAAATTCAAGAAAAACAAATGAATGTGGTGACAAAGGGCACATAGCTTAGAGAGTCACAAGCTCACTGGTGAATGACAGAAGGAACAAAATGTAACCTTGTCTGTAAATAATCTGAAATAACATTTGCTCTAGGACCAGCCAGTGATGGAACATTCTCTCCAGAATACAACACATTCTCCCCATAGGTAATGGGGTTTCATGAGGAATGACATATTCTTAGATTCTCAGAACACATAAAGACACTCTTTATTGAAATCATAAGTGAGAGTCGGCTGTGTTCATACAATTCAACATGAATAGGAAACAGATATCTTTCCAAGTAATGTAAGTCAATAGGACAATTTAATTTTAAAAAAATCTACTCTTGTAAAGTGAGCCATTTTTCTGACAGTGCAGTCACCATTGTTCAGACAATCTGAGTTACAAGAAAATGTCTTTATCCTTTTGATCGGGAGGCCCTACCCTCAGCAGAATTTGGGAGGATTCTCTGTCTACCCTCGGTTGTTGTTAAAGTACACATCATTTTGTGATTCGATTGCAGCCCTGACACGCATTCTAGCCTGATCTTTTGGGGAAAGTAGACTGGCTCCCTTGAGCAGGTTCTTCTACCAGTTATGGTAAGTAAGCTTCATCACTGGAGCTAAGGCATGTGCTATCTGAAGAATGGGGTTGAGAGGTAGACCTTATCTAGACTCAGGAGCAGAGTGTCCAGTTGATTAGTGATGCCTGCCCGGGGCAAGGACGAGTACGTGTGCTTCCCTGCGCTTGCTATTCTTCCACCATTTAGAAAGTGGATTTCTTGGACCCTAGAAACTTTAGGAACACTGGGTCTGAGACATGCTATCCAAGGTTTTGCCTATAGATCGATGACTCAAGCATTTACTGGGTGTGTGCTTCAGCATTCCAGTAATGGTATGATTACCTTTGTTGTCCTAAAAGAAAAGATCATTTCTCAGATTAAAAAAAGAAGAAAATGCTTTAAAAGAATGGAGTCAAGCTGCCAATCATTCTGGAGAATTTCTATCTGTGACTTTATATTACATATTTTATGCCAATAATTTAGCTTTCACCTGAACGGATTATCTTGGATTCTGTTCTGACTTACGCTGTGTGAAGTTCACACATTAGGAACAGCTGCTGACATTTCTACATCCAGCTGTCCCAGACTACATCCTAAGACTCTGGGAATTTTTCCTGTATGAATTACTGACCAGATTTGCAATTTAAATTTGAGAGAAATAGTCTAAATTTACCAACGCCATCTTTACCAACCCTGGCAAATAGTAGACCCCTAAAAACTAAAAAGATAAGATGTCACATCTGTTTTCAGTCTTAGTCCCAAAGGTAGTTTATCTCAACCAAGTTCTACATCACTGAGAATAAGTCAAGTAAGAAAGTCCCCAGAATCCCACAGTAGGGTAGTCAAATTTAAGCTCATGCCACTACCACCAGACTTGCTTGTTGGATTAGACAGGTGTTGGCATGAATGCAGTGAGCTTTGAACATCTGAATCTCCTTAATAAAGATGCTGAATGGTTATATTTTGAAATTTTTTATCCCAAGATATTCATGTACCTCCTATAACAGCTATATCTAATAAGTAGTAAATTACACTATTTCTGCACACTAAAAGAAAATAATACCAGATTTAGCTTGAAATTGTCTTGTAAATGCAATAATTATTATATAAGCAACTAATTCCTTTCCTGTGGCATGGAACTTGTTGGGTAAAAGTATGCTCAGATATCATGCTTAAGAGAAATAGTTGAAGATTACATTTAAAAATGGTCTTTATATGTATCTGCTGACTAATTCAGTAATAACTGCAAATGATAAATTATGGGTGGTAAGAAATTATGGCTAAATAACATTAAATTTTAATTTTTGGTTTAGGGGAATGTAGTTTCATACATTAGCCAACATAAATTGGAATTTTCTTATTTCCACATGTCTTGGTGTATAACTCTTTCAACTAATTTGCCCAGAATGGTTTGTGTTTTGTTTTACTTTATTTTCTTCCCTAAAATGACTTGATAGACTAGGATTTGAGCATCGGTTTTGACACCAACCACTAAATGGTGACATCACAACTTTCAACTTTTCTTGTCTTTTTTCCCATGTGTGACATTCTGAAAGTTGTCATCACCTTGGCCTATGATTGCTTGTGGGTCTGAATTGCTGATTTAAGCTGCTTCACAATAAGAACTTTATCTATATCTTCAGGACGTCACATTCTTTCATTCAAAATATGTGTCCCTCTGCCTGCCCTGGGCCAGGGACTACTCTGGATGTGGACCTAGAACAGATTACACATTTGCCCTCATTAGGCTCCTATTCTTGCACCTAGCAGACACTTGATCAATATCTATTATATGAGTGATTGTGTTGGTCTATTTTAGATGCCTCAAACTCAAGGTTTCATGGAGGGTAGGCAGGAAGCATGCAGGGCTGTCAGGATGTAGCCTGATTCTGGCAACAAGAAATCACATCTCATTTAAGGAGGGAAGTCCTAGCTGATTGCTAACCTGTTAGAATGTGGCCCCAGTATTGCCTACTCTTCCATTAGTAATTATAAGGACATATAATTATATATGTGATGATTCCAACAACTAAAATAGAGAATCCTGGAAAGCCTATTCTAGGAAGAAAGATGTATATGGGCCATCCTGGTGGCAATGCTTTAGCAGGCCACTGGAAATATTGTAAGAAATTCCAAATAGGAGCCTTTATTTATTTATTTATTTATTTATTTATTTATTTATTTATTTATTTTGAGATGGAGTCTCGCCCTGTCACCTAGGCTGAAGTACAATGGCGTGATCTCCGCTCATGGCAACCTCCGCCTCCCGGGTTCAGGCAATTCTCCTGCCTCAGCCTCCTGAGTTAGCTGGGATTACAGGCACCTGCCACCATGCCTGGCTAATTTTTTTTGTATTTTTAGTAGAGACAGGGTTTCACTATGTTGACCAGGCTGGTTTCGAACTCCTGACCTTGTGATCTGCCCGTCTTGGCCTCTCAAAGTGCTGGGATAACAGGCGTGAGCCAACGTGCCCGGCGGAACATTTATTTTTAATATGCATGTTTACCATGGCTAAATCATCCATTCCTATGATTTCAATTACCAGGATAATGACTTTAAAATACAGGCTCCTGGGCCGGGTGTGGTGGCTCACGCCTGTAATCCCAGCACTTTGGGAGGCCAAGGCAGGTGGATCACAAGGTTAGGAGATCGAGACCATCCTGGCTAACACGGTGAAACCCTGTCTCTACTAAAAATACAAAAAATTAGCCGGGCGTGGTGGCGGCTGCCTGTAGTCTCAGCTACTCAGGGGGCTGAGGCAGGAGAATGGCGTGAACCCAGGAGGTGGAGCTTGCAGTGAGCCGAGATCGCGCCACTGCACTCTAGCCTGGGTGACAGAGCGAGATTCCGTCTCAAAAATAAAAACAAAAAATAAAATATAATAAAATAAAATAAAATATAGGCTCCTGGCAGGGTGTGGTGGTTCACGCCTTTAATCCCAGCACTTCGGTAGGCCAAGACGGGCAGATCACCTGAGGTCAGGAGTTTGAGACCAGTCTGGCCAACACGGTGAAACCCTGTCTCTTCAAAAATACAAAAATTAGCCGGGCAGGATGTCAGGTGCCTGTAATCCCAGCTACTCAGGAAGCTGAGGCAGGAGAATTGCTTGAACCTGGGAGGTGGAGGTTGCCCTGAGTGGACATCATGCCATTGTATTCCAGCCTGAGTGATAGAGTGAGACTCCATCAAAAAAACAAAAAAAGCTCCTATCTGTAATTTCTTACACTATTTCCAGTGGTCTGCTAAAACATTGCCACCAGGATGACCCATACACATCTTTCTTCTTAGAATACGTTTTCCCAGATTCTCTCAGTTGTTGGAATCATCACATATCACCACAGAAGTCGAAGTTTTGAAATTTACCCATGATTCCTAGCTCACCTTTATTCCCCATGTCTAACCAATCACCAACGCTACCTATTTTACCGAAAAAGTGTTTGTTTTCCATTCCTCTGACAACTTTCCTAGTGGCAATCATCATTACATCTCATCTTAAATATTTCACCAATGTCATAATTGGTCGCCCTGCCTCCAGCAGGGCCCTTGTGATACAGTTTTCTTCTCTCCTTTCCTTGGCCATCCCCACATAAACGATCAGCCACCCTTGTGATTAGTTTGAAATGAAAAGCCAACTAGGTGATGATCGGGCTTACAATTGTTAAAATATCTTCATCAACTATAGAACAGAAACTCTCCTTTGGAATACGACACACAGGCCCTCCATAGTCTAGACACTTTCTCCACCCCTATCCTCACTCTTACTGCTGTGAACTCCATTGCATCACACATTAATGTAGATTCTACACTCAAATATCAAATGCACACAGCACACATCATGCTGATTCAAACCTCTCTGCAACCTTTTCTTATCCTACTATCACCACAGCAATTTCTCATAGTATCTCTTGTCATCCTTTAGATGTAACTCAGGCTACTTATCCCAGGATGTGTTCTCTCACTCCAAAATATACCACATCTTCTTAATGATGATTTTT
Organism: Homo sapiens; assembly: GCF_000001405.40. Taxonomy (NCBI): domain Eukaryota; kingdom Metazoa; phylum Chordata; class Mammalia; order Primates; family Hominidae; genus Homo; species Homo sapiens. The sequence goes on along the minus strand of NC_000020.11, from coordinate 55,183,940 downwards.
AAAAGCAGTATAGCATGATGGAGATATAGCTTACAAACCATAAAATATATCCATTTGAGTGAGCAATTCAATGATAATTAATAACTTTACAGGACTGTGCAACTATCACCCCATTCTAATTTTAAAACATTTTCATCACCCTCAGAAGAAACCTCATGCTCATTTGCAGTCACTCCCTGTTCCCATCCCCATCCCCTTCCCCATGCACCTGCTAATCTACCTTCTATCTCCCTGAGTTGCCATTTTGAGGGGGACATTTCATATCAGAGGGATCATGTGGCATGTGGGGTTTTTGTGTCTGTCTTCTTTCACTTGGGATAATGTTCTGGAGGCTCATTTGTGCTGTGATGGTATCAGTACTTTGTTCCTCTTTATTGCTGAATGCTGTTTCATTGTATGGATTATACCACATTTTGCTTATCCATTCACCAGTTGATGGATATTTAGATTGTTTCTACCTTTTAACTATTATGAATAGTACTGTTAACTGATATTCTCAAATAAGTCTTTATGTGGATATGTTTTTATTTCTCTTGGGTTGACACTGTCTTAAAATGTCTAACATTTTAAGAAACTGCCAAACTGTTTCCAAAGTGGCTTCACCATTTTACATGCCCAATGGCAAAGTATGAGTTAATCGTGACTTCAACGATTATATGTATTGCCATTTCTGTACTGTAAGTTACATGCTTATGAAAAGTATCCAGTATTCCTTATTGTATCCACTAGACAGCACCTGGCTTCATAATATGGGCTCAATGGTGGTCATTAAATAAAATAATAAATGATGCTACTTATGGTGCCTATCTTACAGAATTTACCGTAACATAAATCACCATTCAGTACCAAAACTTAACTTGCCACTAGCCAGATGTTAATACATCATTATTATTTGATTAAGCCTCAGTTAAGGAAAATATTGAGAATCATTTCTTTCTAAGAGTTTACAGTGCAATAATAAGACAATGATTGTACTCTCAAGAAATTCATGCTCTTGAGGCAGAGACTACATATGAAATAGAGGATTTAAAACTGTGTTCCTTTCAGCAGATAGTTCAAGGATTGTGCAAGTGTTTTATTTAAAATTCATTAAAATATGATTAGATTATTTTTTAAATATAATAATATATTCTGCCCCATCTAATATTATATGCCAAGGGATAACATACTGAAACCCAAAAATGTACTCACTCATATTGTCAGGTTAATTTATTTTATGCAACTCTGGGAATAAATTTTTTTTACTATCATTGTGAATATATTATCATGGTTGCATTTTAGCAGAAACTGAGTCATGCAGTTATACTAAAACTCTAACTTTATGCAAAATTGGAAATAATTTTAATCTCTCCAAACTACCTTTTATTAAGAATCATACAATATCAAAGCTTGTCTTGAAGGAATTTTAAATCAGGCTTACTTGTCAAGATAAATCTTGTATATAGAAGATGTTCTCCATATAGTAGGCATAATGAGAACTTTTGTAGTGCTACACTTTCCTTTAATATCCAAGCCTATACCAGACCACAGACAGCTGTGTAAGCACATTCAAAACCAGATCTTATAAGGCAGTATAAGAAAGTAAATGATATATGGCAGCTACATTCACTTAAAAACCCAGCAAGTATAGCCGAGGCGGGCAGATCACAAGGTCAGGAGATCGAGACCATCCTGGCTAACATGGTGAAACCCCGTCTCTACTAAAAATACAAAAAATTAGCCAGGCGTGGTGGTGGGCGCCTGTAGTCCCAGCTACTCAGGAGGCTGAGGCAGGAGAATGGCGTGAACCCGGGAGGCGGAGCTTACAGTGAGCCAAGATCACGCCACTGGACTCCAGCCTGGGCAACTGAGCGAGACTCCGTCTCCAAAAAAAAAAAAAAAAAACCAGCAAGTATATTATTGGCAATATTGGAATAGGATGTATTAGACCAATAAAACTTCCAAAAACAAATACAAACTTTGAATTTTAAAAAATATTTTGAAGGAATTTGTGACAGATAGATAATATAAGAGGCTACAAATTCTTCCCCTCTTGTGTCCACAGCCTTGTAATATGATGCTATAACTCTTCCCTTCAAAAGGTGGAGTCTATTTCTCAACTCTTTGAACATGGCTTGGCTATGTGACTTGCTTTTATCCTACGGGACATTAACAAAGTGGTACAAAGAGAGGCGTGAAAAGCACTTGTTCATTAAGACTTACCCTTTTGCTATTTTGAAATACTGTGATCGTCAGATGAAGAAACTCAAACCAGCTTGTTGGATGGGAGACATATGGCCTATTTGCCACTGTTGACAACCTGCCACCAGCCAGATATGTGAGTAAGAGTATCTGAGACAATCCAAACAGCAGCTCTCACAGGTACACAAGTGAGCCTGGTAAAAATCAGCTGAGGCAACTCAGATGAAAACCTCCCATCTAACACACAGAAGGGAGAGCTAAGTGAACAGTGACTGTTAGAAACGACTAAGTTCTGGGATGTGTCTGTACACAGCACTATATAACTAATACCACAGGAGAGAGAAAAAAAGAAAGGTAGAAATAGAAAGAGATAAAACCTTGAAAGAAGGGGTTCTATTGGGTGAGATCTATGTTTATATGTTTTTTGAGGAATCAGAGCTATTAGTTGGAAAAACCAGCGTAGCTGGAAATGGGGGAGTCACCAATTCTGTATCAAACCTGCCTTAAATTACTTATTGACTTCCAGAATGTCCAAGTGAAGATCCCAGCAAAAAATACCCATAAAGAAAAAAATTTAGCAGACTCCTGCCCAATGTTGAGGAGATAGAGTTTTGAGTTAAAATCCCGCTAAATTCGAGAGGCATAATACATACTATGGCTTTTTATTCAAAATGGTCATGCATGCATTAAAAGTAAGGACCATATACTAGGATTAAGGGATGTACCTTATGACTAAGTTTAACAGCGATATAGTTCCACAGCTTTAAACTACAGCTGCACAATATCAAAGAGATCTTCCACTAATTTAGTGGAAGTTTGCTAAGGCAAAACTTTCAGATTCATTATTCTTTGGAAGATAAGAGAATTTAGAGCTTCCACAAAGTATTATCCACAATACCCACTAACAATAAAAAATCAATAGATTTCTGAAGACAAAGAAAACTGTGATTCAGAGTCAAAGGAAAAATGAAATCAACAGGAAAAAAACCTACTCATAGATGACCCACATATTGCAATTAGCAAAGAGTTTGGTGATTTTAAAAATGATGTATCAGGATCCAATCAGCAAACAGAAACCATCTGGTAATTTGAATATGAAAACATCAATATAAAGAAATTATTAAACTTTAACAAGAGACTTGGGTAAAAAGGGATTGGCTAGTAATGCATGAAGATAATTCTAAAGAATGCAGAAATAACAAATATAAAAAGTAGCCACCACTTCTTGGGCTGAGCTAGAGTGTTGATAGAAGAGTTCCTCTACACACAACGGCTGTGACCTTCATTAGAGGAGCTGGGGTCATGGTTTCCTGGAGAACTTTGTTGATGAGTTGCACAAGTGGGGGCCTCTATGAATCTCTCTGGGGGTGTCAGAGTAAGCTGTCTACAGGGCAGTGTCATGCCTTAGTACTCACTGCAAAGCCACCTGAGGGGGTGCCGGAGGAAAGCTGTTCACAGGAGATGCTACATGCTACTGGTTGCTTCATGTCATACACTGCAGGAACCAGAGCAGCAAAACCACATGCCCTGCAGCGGCTGTATGCATTGCTGAAGCTGAACACAGCAGAAGCACTGCATGCTGCAGAAACTACTGAGAGAACATGCCAGAACCAAGAGGACAAACTGCTTTCTCCCTCAGTATCACTCCAGGTGTCTCTACTGAAAAAGCTTAACATAGTATCAGCCGGCAAAGGAGAAAAATCTACAGGGCCCAATTCCATTATTACAGAGCAGACACTGAAGGGTAGACTTGGGCTGAAAGGTGATAATTGGCACAGATGATAAAATGACCTACAGAAAGAAACTGATTTATTGCAGGAAAAGATGGAGAATTTCAAAAGAGAGAAAATTTGGGTGTTGAAGAAAATTAAAGTCCCTAAATATCAATTAAACTATTTAAATTTAAAATTTTAAATATGTTTGGGTATCAAAAGGGCTTAGTGTTAGCATTGCTGTAATTAGAAATGTATAAATATTATATAAGTGAAATCAAAAGTGTAGACTAATTAAATGCTATATTTAATTCATTTTTGTATTTTGAGGTTCGGCAAAGGATTTTGTTTAAACTTTCAGTTTCGTTACCTAAAATTTGAGCATCCTGGAAGTAAATACTTTCATTAGTATAATGTAAATATTTTTGTTGTTTTAAGTAACTAAATCATTGGAGCTTAACAAATGAGGCTTAACTGATTATTGTTTGATTAAAACAGCTGTTTATTTGGTTTTTTAAATTGTGTAAAATGATCGTAATGGTTTGATTTTCTATTGTTGTATTTGATTTTTAGTTGTTTAGTTTTTAAATTGTTTTTACTAAATTCAATGAGAAACTGAAAGTAAAGGGTCTGTTTCAGTAAAGTTTCCTTAGTTGCAACTTATTAAAATAAAATAAGACGGGGCTCGTAAGTTGGAAGGGAAAGCCATCAAACCAGACTTGGAAGAACCAGGCATAAACATGAGGACTCATTCAATAGTCCTGAGCTCAAACCATTTCTTCATTCATGGTACAACTCCAGTTAAGATTCAGAGTCTAGCAAATAACCAAATTGACTAAGGTTAGATCTTCTGACCTTCTCAGGTCCCTACTAAGGTTGATGAGACTATGACATTAGCTAAATGAACCTTCAAGGATCCCTTCTTCTCTTGCAATGAAATAACAGGTTCATGAATTTATCTTGATGGCCAAAGTCAATTTCTTAAAAATAAATTGGGGTTTGGCTGCCCAAACATCTCTCAATATCCTCTACAACCATGTTTCTCAACCAGGAGTGATTTTAGACCCAAAAGACAGTTGGAAAGGTCTGTGAGATAAATTTGGTGTCCTGACTAGTGGTTGGTAGGAGCTTCTGGAATCTAGTGGACATAAACCAGAGATGCTGCTAAGCATCCTACAATACACAGGACAGCCCCTCACTCCCTCCCCATGTATCCAACGGTTATCCAGTCCAAAATGTCAGTAGTGGTTGATAATCCCACCCTATGGATACACACTAGAATATAGATACAGCATAAAATTCTAATCTCTTCATTGGAAGGATTCAATTGATGCAGGCTACACTGTTGGGTGGATTTGTTCAATAAAAATAGTCTTTTTATTGAATACCAGGAAACTCCACCCTTCCAATACAGAACACAAAAGCTGGCCATTTGGCCTTTGTCTGCCTTAAATGCCTCTTCATTTTTATCTCTATTTACATTTGCCTTTGGCTTCTTCTAAAGTGAATGAGGGAGTATATATCAAATCATGCACAAGCTCATCTTTTGAGATGAAGTTTGCTTTAGGATAAGATTTCCAAATCCCATAATATATCCCGCTAGAACCTCTATTAACACTTTGTCCATAGCGAAGTGTTTGACTGATAAATATTGGAGTAAGATAATTTTGAGCTGCTTAAGATATCTCCCAACACTTTAGGAAGAAAAAAAAACTGAAAGCTGAAACCTGACGTCGAACACCCTGCATATGGCTATTTATACATGCAAATAAAAGTCATGACATCCAGAATCTTATCTGGATAATTAAATATATTTTTGCCTGCATTATCTACATAACTCAGGTATAGTTGTAGATGAGTTTGGACAGATAATTATCCTGTATGTACACTTCTTTTACTTGGGTAGAGGCAGCCTTTGTTCTTGAGCTGTTTCCAGTATGACATTTTAAAACCATACCTGAGTAGTAGAGAGGTTGAGGGGGTTTCACATTTACCAAAGCTTTGTTTTCTTTGTTCTTCCAGTTCGTTTCATGCACAAGTTGGTCTAAAGGGATATTTTTAAAACTCCAACAGTCTCTCTGGCCATTTTTGTGACCCAGGGAACTTGTCTGCTACTAATCTCACATGGAGATAAAAAGCCCTCCTGCTGTAGCTGGCCTGCTCCATGTCATGGATAAAGTTAGGTTGAACTGACAGCTGAGAGAGAAACAAGTTGGGGGAGAAAATGCCTGTAAGAAATCCTCCCAGAACCTGGACACAGAAGACAGACATTAAACACATGCATCCCAACATGCCCTATGTCACAGCCCTGGTCCAAGCTGGAGCTGAGTCCGGCCCACAGACGGAGCCTTGAAACCCTATGTCAGATCTTATGAGTCATTTCCTTAAATAACTTCCCATCAATGATATACTGGTGCTGCAAGTCCAGCTTGATGGTGCTCCTGTCAATTTCCACAGTCACATTCATTCTCTCTCTCTCTCTCTCTCTCTCTCTCTCTCTCTCTCTCTTGCTCTTTTCTCTATGGGACACTTTTCAATTCCTTGAATTTGCTGAACTCTTTCTTGCCTTACATTCTCTTCTCCTGATAGTCTTTTTGGTTAGCAAGGACTCCCCCTTTCCACCCCACTGCATTTCACCTGGACAGCTCCTGTTTGTTCTTCAAGCCTCATCCCCTACTCTCAAATTGCAAGTGGAACACTTCGACTGCCTAAGAGTTCTGGGCCACATAGTTGACTCAGCTTGCTCAGCCTCTAGGGATGGAGGATGAAAAGTGTGCCTGCTAAGCGCAACCAAGCCCAATATCTTAAGGGATGGCCGCCTGAAGACATCTTGTACTTGGAAGACCCAGCACCTTAGGGTCCTGTCAGTTTACACTTAGTAACTTAGGGACCTCTGCCTTAGGGGCCCTGCTTTATGCTGACCCTGAGGTCAGCATAAAAAAGAGATAGTTACTAAAAAAAAGAGGTAGTTGAAAGATATATATATATCTTTCAACTACCTCTTTTTTTGTAAGTTTGGTGATTTTTGTGAAACAGGAATTACAGGAGAAAAAAATTTAAGCTCTCTCCTGGGACACTAAGATAGGATGCTCTGATATATATATATAAAAAAAACTACTTTGCATTTTATTACAGACTGGATTCTACAGATATGTATACCTGTCTTTCCCCTCTGGTATTCTGAACTGCTATGCTAGAATGGCCTGGAAATTCTAAGTCAGGAAAATGAGACGTAAGGAAAGAAAACCCTCTTGCATTGATGCCTTATCCCACTTTCTCAGTGACGGGGCCAGGGTGAGTCCTGGGTGAGTCCTCTGGGGCAGGGGGCGCTTACCTTCCAGGAGTCCTGGGTTTTGCCTGTCCTGGGCTCTGTCCAGCTCTGCCTGTCTACCCCAGCGATCTCTACTGCCCCTCATGTTTGCACGTACCAATACTGGCGGGTCAGTGGAGAGGAGTGCAGCCCCTTCAACCTCTGGACTCTGAGTGGTGATTCTGGGAGCGTCTGTTGGTCTCCAGGCACAAACGTCAGCTGGGCTATTGGTACAGCCTTATTGATAATGTTTAAATATTTAGATATATGAGATGTGGGCTCATTTGTATTCTTGCCTTGGGCTCTGCAAATGTTGGAGGCAGACCTACTTTGCTTATTGATTTCATTCTCTTCAAATGAAATTAGTTCTTCATGTGGCTGAAGGAAGTGCCACTGGCACTTCTAGGTTCACATCTTAGCAGGGCTGCAACTAGGCTGTGGCTAGAGAGGCAGACACACTGGGTAGAAAATTTAAGGAGACACTTATTTTCAAGTATCAACTTTGCACTTGCACGACACTGACAGTCAATGCCTCCTTAAATTTCATGCCCTAAGCACCCTGGGTTACTCATTTTTGTCCCCAATCCTACATGTTAATAACAGCACAATCAGAGAAGGGCGTAAAAGACATTTTCTCACCTTCAAATAATTTTGAACACTTCTAGGAAGGGCTTTCATTGGCTTGGCTTGGGTTATGAGCTAACTTTTGGTAATAAGAGGGAGGTACTATTATTGGCCTAACCTGGGTTACATGCCCACCACCATAGTAGTAAATGGGAGGAGATCGAGGTAAACATTCCAGAATAAGGGAGAAGGAGGGCTTTCAGGACAAAAGAGAAAGGAATAGCCCCCATAGTGGCTAACATCAGATTGAACATTTGACGAGCATTTACTGATAATCTGCTATTTTCCATAGCTAATAGCATAGGGCTATATGTTCCATATATTGTGAGCTATTTTGAAGATTATATAAGAGATTAATATAAAGAGGTTAAACTAGTACTAGGCATAATGCACTTGCTCCATAAGTGCTACCAGTAATTATAATAATTGTAATACGTGATCTTGGTATACAATGTACACAACTTAATTTGGGGTAGCCAACTACACACACACACACACACACACACACACACACACCCCTCTCAAGGTTAAACTTGGGTGGAAGAGAAAAAACGACTGCCACTGAAGAAGGACACCCTCTGTTCCTAATGAAGGCTCAATAGGCTGGCATTCCAGAGAATATTGCCAGTTTACAAGGGCAATAATGAGCTCAGCATTCTGCTAATATATGAGAGACAGAGATTAGTTATCTGGCTTTGCATTTAAGCCAAAACATAACTCCATGGCACATTAATTTGACATTGAGCACAGCTTTTCAATTAACAGTCACTGTAAGGTCCACATTGTAGGAATTCAGCAGTATATTAACCTGAACTGCCAGGCCTCTGGTATGTCATGGACCACAAATTTAACATGGCACTGGCATTTCAGATGAAGAGGCAGAATCAACGTGAGCGCTACTTGCTGTAAATTCGCTGCATGTCCAAGAAAGTGCATGTGTTAAAGGTTATTAAATCTAAAATAGCAATGGCCACATGCATTGTTGCATAGCAACTACCGAGTACAACTGCCCTTCCCCCTTTTTTCTTATTACACACAGAATATCTGGGACTTATAACAGGGGTTTGTATAATTTCTCTTCTAAAACCACAAGGAGGTTTCTTAGAGTTTTCAGAACAAAGGTGTCTTCTTGGCAGACATTCAATAACTTGAAAGAGGCTTATTTTAATGAGCTCCATTTATGCTATTGGACACAGAAAAGGTTGATTTTCACAAGCCTTTCAAACTACAGTCATGCCCTGGCAGTCACTGTATGAAGGTTTTTTGCCTGCCTTCATATTTATCTAGCTTATGCTCAGTTAACAATGAGTAAGGCTTAAATAACTTGGCAACACCTGGATTTAAAAATTTGAAGATTCATCTTTGGACACATGTGCCAAGTTTGCTTATTCTTATAAACTTTTCCAGATAGGTATGATCAACCAAAAAAAAAGGAGATACCACTTCTGGTACCACATTTGACACCGGGTAGGTGTTTTTTTCCAACACCAACTAATTCTCCAATGTCAACTTGGTGTCCAACAATTCTATTCAATTCTGACACTAACTATCTGGACTGTACAGATTGCTCAAGTCCCACAAGTTGCCCTCAATTTAGATGCTGGCTGCAAACAGGGTACCTAGGCTCCTCACACTTCTGCCTGGCCAACTACAAGTTCCTGCATTTCCATATCAGTCTCCCTTCCCTCCTCCAGTTTGATAGTTTACAAGAATGACTCACAGAACTCAGGAAAACACTGCATTTATACCTAGTGGTTTATTATAGTGGATGCAATTCAGAAACACACAAAGGGAAGACATATATAGGGCAAGGTTTGGTGGGGAGAGACGCAGAGCTTCTTCCATGCCTCCTAGCACTTTGAGGTGCTCACCAACCTAGAAGCGCTTCAAAACCCTTTTAAGGGTTTTGATGAAGGTTTCATTAGGTAGGCATGATTGATTACATCATTGGCCATTGGTGACTGATCTCAATCTCCAGACCTTCCCCCTTCCCCCAAAGGGGGCAGGGTGGGGCTGAAAGTTTCAACCCTTTAATCTGGCAACCAGCCCCCAATTCTGAAGCTATTTAGAGATCCTTGCTAGGAACATTCAAAAGATACTATTATCACTCTGGAGACTTGAAGGATTTTAGGGGCTTTGTGCCCAAAACTGGGGTCAGAGATCAAATATTTATTTTTCACTGTGCCACAGTTATACTCAACTTGCCTTCACCTCAGATACTTTCTTTGCCCTTCACTGACATGTTTTATTGCCCTGACCCCATGGACCGCATGCCCCAGGCTCCCTAGATGGCTGGCTTCCAGTTGGGTTTGCCAAAGGAAAGTACAGGAAAGAGATCCAAGGGCAGGGGAGACAGAGGTCAGGATGTGTTTTTCCCAACTACTCACTCTCATAGTCTGAGATGAAAATATGTTATCCCCTGCTTCTTCAGGTCCAGGGTGGTAATGACTCTTCACTGTTGCTAGTCTCAGTGCTTTAAATCCCTGCCAGTTCCCTGCCTTCTGCCCAAATTTATTTAGTTTCTTCACTAAAGTTTATTGAACTCTCTGAGTTGGATCCTGTTTTCCACAGGCAGAACCAGATACATAATTTGCAGATTCTAGGGCAAAATGAAAATGTGGAGTCTTTTATTCAAAAAGCCAAAAGTAAGTGTAGCTAAAGGTACTTAACTATGAAGCTTTTTCTGATATTCCATAATCTCTCCTTTGACTTGTCATAGTGTGTTTTTTCATTTGTTATTTAATACTATTTGAAAGGAAAATAAAATAATCAAATAAAAATTATTAATATGAATTTAACTATTCTTTTTTATATTATGCAATGACAGTTTTAGATGCAAATATTTGAGCATTTAGCTTCTATGCAGAACCACCAAAATTATTACAAAATTTGTATTTTGTAGTTAATACATGCAGATGTAGTTTGTTCTTACAAGGATAGCGGATATCACTGTAGGAAACTACCTCACTCAGCTGTCTTTATTTCAAGCACATGCTCTACCAATACCACTTACTTTCAGTTTACTGATAAGTAAGAAGGGGCAGGAAGGAAAAGGAACTATGCTTTTCCCTGTCTTTCTGTTTCCTTCTAGGTCATCATTTCCATCATGAGTGTTTGTCCAGTTCAGGAAAGTAACATGAATAAGAAAAGTTGTGACAGGATTCTTTGGTTCTTCATATTTCTTACGTCAACCTAAATAACAAATACAGGCAGGGTGTGGTGGTGAGCACCTATAGTCCCGGCTTCTTAGGAAGCTGAGGGAGGAGTACTGCTTGAGCCCAGGAGGTCCAGGTTGCGGTGAGCTATGATTGCATCACTGCACGCCAGCCTGGGTGACAGAGCAAGGTCCAGTTTCAAAATAAATAAATAAATATAGAGTGAGACTCTCTAAAAGAAAATGATGTTTATTTGGGAAGAGAACCTTACAATGGGAGTGCACATGTCATTGTAAATAATGTGCTTATTTAGGGAGGCAAAGAAAGACAAAAGTTTTTAAAGAAAAAATGAAGAGGATTACATAATGGTTTAAAAATAATTATCCTTGGCTACAAGAATCAATAACAATGATGACACCAGTCTGAGATTGGACAGGCAGCTGTTGGACAGATGTGCTTGCCCAGTTATTTCTTGTGTAAGGTTGCAACAACCTTTGTGCAGGATTTTGGTTTCATTAGAGTTTTCTGTGATAGTTTTGTGAGGCATACAAGTATAAGACCCTTCTCTTCACAGCCTTCTCAGATCCTGTTTGTCAGGGTTTATAAAAATACTAAGGCCTTCATTTTTTTTTTTTTTTGGAAATAGGGTCTTTTTTTAATTACACTTTTAAGTTTTAGGGTACATGTGCACAATGTGCAGGTTTGTTACATATGTATACATGTGCCATGTTGGTGTGCTGCACACATTAACTTGTCATTTAGCAATAGGTATATCTCCTAATGCTATCGCTCTCCCCTTCCCCCACCCCACAACAGGCCCCGGTGTGTGATGTTTTCCTTCCTGTGTCCATGTGTTCTCATTGTTCAATTCCCACCTATGAGTGAGAACATGCGGTGTTTGGTTTTTTGTCCTTGCGATCGTTTGCTGAGAATGATGGTTTCCAGCTTCATCCATGTCCCTACAAAGGACATGAACTCATCATTTTTTATGGCTGCATAGTATTCCATGGTGGATATGTGCCACATTTTCTTAATCCAGTCTATCATTGTTGGACATTTGGGTTGGTTCCAAGTCTTTGCTATTGTGAATAGTGCCGCAATAAACATATGTGTGCACGTGTCTTTATAGCAGCATGATTTATAATCCTTTGGGTATATACCCAGTAATGGGATGGCTGAGTCAAATGGTATTTCTAGTTCTAGATCCCTGAGGAGTCGCCACATTGACTTCCACAATGGTTGAACTAGTTTACAGTCCCTCCAACAGTGTAAAAGTGTTCATATTTCTCCACATCCTCTCCAGTACCTGTTGTTTCCTGACTTTTTAATGATCGCCATTCTAACTGGCATGAGATGCTATCTCACTGTGGTTTTGATTTGCATTTCTCTGATGGCCAGTGATGATGAGCATTTTTTCATGTGTCTTTTGGCTGCATAAATGTCTTCTCTTGAGAAGTGTCTGTTCATATCCTTTGCCCACTTGTTGATGGGGTTGTTTGTTTTTTTCTTGTAAATTTGTTTGAGTTCGTTGTAGATTCTGGATATTAGCCCTTTGTCAGATGAGTAGATTGCAAAAATTTTCTCCCATTCTGTAGGTTACCTGTTCACTCTGATGGTAGTTTCTTTTGCTGTGCAGAAGCTCTTTAGTTTAATTAGATCCCATTTGTCAATTTTGTCTTTTGTTGCCATTGCTTTTGGTGTTTTAGACATGAAGTCCTTGCCCATGCCTATGTCCTGAATGGGATTGCCTAGGTTTTCTTCTAGGGTTTTTATGGTTTTAGGTCTAACAGTTAAGTCTTTAATCCATCTTGAATTAATTTTTGTATAAGGTGTAAGGAAGGGATCCAGTTTCAGCTTTCTACTTATGGCTAGCCAGTTTCCCCAGCACCATTTATTAAATAGGGAATACTTTCCCCATTTCTTGTTTTTGTCAGGTTTGTCAAAGATCAGATAGTTGTAGATATGTGGCACTATTTCTTGCTATGTTGCCCAGGCTGGCCTCAAACTCCTGAGCTCAAGCAATCCCCTACTGCAGCGTCCTGAGTAGCTGGGACTACAGGTTAGCTTAAATGACTCCATTTTAATTCTAACCACTTTCATGATTAGAACACCATTGGCTTCTTTCTGAGACAGAGGAAAGTTCTGGCTTAAAGAAAAAATGTGGCCTCATGGCTCTTGCTACATTAATCATAGCTGTGACCTAGTTACCTTGTCCAGTAAGTCCTCACTTGACATTGTCCATGGGTTCTTAAAAACTTAGGCTTTAAGTGAAATGAAAATCTGACCATAGGCAAATTTATATAAAAGAGAGTTAAGTTCCTGTGACCTATTACTTTGTTTACTTATTTTCTCTCTGTCACCCTAAATGAATACATGTTTCTTGAGGACAGAGATTTAATCTATCTCCTTCTTATTCCCTACACTAACCCTCTGCATAGAGAAAAGCATCTGGCATGGTACTATTTCTTGTATTCATGTGGAATGCATAAATACTAATTGGGACTGCTAATTGCCATTAGCATTCGCTAAATCACCCCGTTTGAGGAAGGTTCAGGATTGAATGCTTTCATTCTTTTTGAGTTGATATATAAAAGGAATTAAAGATGAGATGAATTAAAAACAAAGGTCAAACCTAAAGTGAATAAAGCAATCTCCTGATAGTCAAGTAAAGTTAAACTTGAGGGAGATATTTTGGACGTAATACGATTCTTGGTCAACAAATTTACAGGGACCTTTTTGACTTTCTATAATTTGTGAATAGCATGAAGAAAAACCCAAGTGTCCCCAGGGTGAGAATTATCCCATTAATTACATCATTCCCTTCCACTTTCTCAAAAAAAGGTTTTCCAAAGGAGAGAAATTCTCAAGAGAATCATACCCATTGGGTCTCCTCATTCCAACTTATAAGCTATAAAGTCAGAGTGACTATGTTTGTTGGTAGAAAACCTCTGTATTATCTACACTCTCACTGGCTCACTATGAGAATAAATGGACATGCTAATTAAATATGCAGTTGCATATTGGACTGTAGCCAATTGATAAAAATGCAGGCGTCAGCAGGCAGCAGATAATTATCACTGATGAGAACCTATAAACATTGTTAAATTTTTGATTTGACTAATAAAATATCAAATTGGTCTCAACACCCTGTATTCTGCATCTGTGATTATGAACACCTTCAGACATAGGACGGTGTATTGGTTAAATAATAACCTAATATTTACCTCACATTTTACCATTAACAAGCTATAAAATTGAATAAAATATTTATTTTCAAATTTGATGTCACTGTCCCTTAGTTTTAACAGATTCTATCTTGTATTATAGCACAGGAACATGTGCTTATATAAATATTGCCAATGTAAATTAGCAAAAATAAAAGAATGATAATTTATATTATCACCACCCCCAGATAATTACTTTAAAAATGTATTCGTACAGTCTTTATTCTGTATGCATTCTTCAAAAATTATATCAAATTTCACATCTTTCATAACCTGCTTTTCTCAAACTACAATATGTGATAAACACTTCTCATTTCATCATGTATTATTCCATAGGCTTTAAAGTGGGTTCCTATTACTACATGACATGGGTATGTATGATTTTCAAGTCAGTTCTTTGTGGCTAGGTATTTAGCATGTTTTCATAATTTTCTATTATAAATAATACTACAAGTAAAATGTAGAAGAGTACCTTCATGATCTGAAGGTAGGCAAAGATATTTTCAACCAGACATGAAACACATTGATTATAAAGGAAAAGACTATTCATCAAAAACATTATTTAGGGAGAAAATTTCAAGACTCAAAGTGAGAGAACAAATTGTTATTACTTAGCTCTGAAAAATACTTTGTGATTCAAATATATAAAAATCAACAACACATCAGTAGGAAAAGCAAGAGACACCCAGCAAAATATTTGATCAGGTAATTCACAATGGAGTGAATCCTGAACCACAGTGCCTACAAAGACACTCAACAGGATTGTCATTAGGAAAATGAAAATTAACAGCCAATAGGATGTCTAAAATTCAAAAGACAGAATACACAAAATGTTTGAAAAAGCACGGGGGTGTCAATTAGTAAAACCACTTTGGTATTACCTATTAAAATTGAACATATGCATATACAGTAACACAGCAAATCCACTCCTGGCTATATGCACGCAGCAGAAAAAATGTCAACTATGTTATGTGTGTACAATGGAATACTATGCAGAAATGAGAAAGAACACATTACTTTTCCATGTAGCAGTATGGATACGTTTTATAAAATTTATAAGTGAAAGTAGTAGATATTAGAGTTTCCTACTAATTATTTTTATTCCATTTATGTAAATTTTAAACCATGCAAAACCAATTTATGCTGAATAGAGTCACAGTATGGTTACTTTTGGGATGGAACTGATGGGCTTGGGACTTGAGGAAAACTTCTGGGAGGCAGAGTTGTTCTGTATCTTGAGCTGGGTGAACACATTTATTCACTTTGTGAAAATAATTTGAACTGTGTACATCTGATTTGTATACTTTACTGTGTATATATTATGCTTCAATACATTTTAGAGAAATAATACTGCAATTAATATATCCTTAGCTGTATGATTATATAAATCTATGATTATTTGGAGGGCATGAATTCCTAAACATGGAAATTCACTATGCATTTAGAGTTTACAATCTGCTACTGCTTTGTTTACCAACTTTCTAGTGGACAATTTATTTATTTCATGACAAAAAAAGGGAATGGAGATCTTTAAGTGTTCGAAGATTTTTTCTTTTTTACAAAAGTTCAGGTATCATTTTTGTGAAACAGATGCTAAAATAGTCTCCCTTCCTGACTCCTCTCAACAGAGGTCTCAGGTATATTTTCTTACAATAAAACAAACAGCTATCTTTTAAAAGCTCTAACTCCCTAACTAAATCATCAGAAGAATGATTAGCAAATTACTGGAATGACTGTAGTTATAATATCTCATTCTATTCCATGGCTACCATGGAAATAGTTCTACTATTGTTCCCATTGTATAGAGGAAAATGAGCCTTAAAATCTATACATCAAATACCTGGCAGAGACAGAATACAATCCTAGGACTTGGTGAATCCTAGAGTCAGGTTTTTAGTGGCCCTTAAGATGATGTCATATTACCTCATCTAACAGCATCTCACTCTATATCTATGCCTTTCCTTTACTTGAAGCATTGGATTAAAAAAAAGAACTTGCAACTGTACATTTTTCTCTGTCTTTTTGAGATGTAAATCATCTTTCAGCCTCTTGCCATTTTTACAACCCAGAAATCCCTTTCTCAAGGGCTTGGGAGTCATTTCTTGGAAATGCTATCATTACAAAAGATGAAGACCCTATCTCCTCCTCCTCTCTCTGGGAGGGCAGGATCCTAACTTAGATAAGTGCCAATTAGCAAAAACACATAGCCTAATGATTTTGATCATCCTTGGCCCTGAGGCCCCACATTGCTTTCCCCATAGTTCACCTCAATGCTTAAAAACTCTCCCACCTTTTGCTTCAGTGGTGTTGAGTTCAATCTCTCTTCCATATTGCAATAGTCTTGAATAAATCTTCCTTGCCTGTTTAACTTATCGGGTGCAATTCTTCTCTGAAAGTTTTTCTCAGTAAATGTTGATGTCCCAATGTTTGGATAATGTTGGGAAGAAAGTCGTGCTGGAATGTATATTGAGAAAAGGTGGGATGTAGCAAAAAGAAATGTAAATAATTTATTTAGAAGGAATTATTTCAGAGCAAAAACAAATAAACAGGGTTAGAGGTGCCTACCTCCACAGAGTTTCTCCTGAGAAGAGATCTTTGTGGTCTCCGAATCCGCTATGAAAAAGCTCAGGGTAGAGATAGAAAATAGAGGAATGCAAGCAAGGGAAAATTTTTGAAAAACTGGAAATTGCAGTGCAAAGAGTAAAAGTGTCATGGGAAGAGGCAATGTGCCTTTGTTACCTGAGCATTGCCAATCATTGCTGACCTTCCCAAGGGTGGCAGCAATGTTGACGAGAGGCTCTGGGTAGTTGACTCAGCAACAGGGGCATGTGAGCACCAGATGCACCTGCACCACCAGGCCAGGTGGAAAAGAGGCTGGAGGGGTCATTTGATTTAAGAAGTAAGCACTCATCAATTATTACTCAGCAATTGGAGTTTGTGGCTAAGCATACAGCATACACAGTAGTAACGCAACCTAGAGGAAAAAGTAAGAATCTCTGCTCCTTTTTGCTGCACATACATTTCATCAAGGTAAAGCATTTTAGTGTTTTATGCTGTTTAAAGTGGCTAAACATACCCCAAGCACAGCTGAAGTGTTCTGACTGGCTCTTATGTTTCCTCTTTGAGAATAATGCTTTATTCTCAATACTCATTATTTTTAATTGCTCCTTTCAGGATTCTGAAACCCTTTCCTTGGACTCCTCATTATTCATCTCAAAGTACAATCTGATTTGCTATGTTGAAGGTTTTTTTTTTTTTTTTTTTTTTTAAAAAGAGCCCAGGTTCCATAATTTGAAAGATCAGATCTTCTACCAAAGACTGCTACATTTACAAAGCCCAGCAGGCTGTGGTTTGAAACACAGGAGAGAACTGCATAGGGCTGGAACAAAGGCAAACAGACCACCTACCAGCTAGCTCTGAAAGAAGACAGCCTCTCCTCCCATTTACTCTCTCACGGGGCCTGCGGTGCTAATGTGGATTTAAACATAAGGGTCAGACATTCTCCTACTGGCCAGAGCTTTGCAGTTCCTGGCTTCCTGCCAAAAGGTACTACTGAACTACTGCCCTTCAAGATGAGAGAAGGGCATAGGGAGGCAAGACTGGATGGAGGAGATTCAAGGATATTATAGAGAAATGTACTATGTGTAGTTTGGGGTATTTATGGGGCTGGTGGGGAGAGAGACAGCAACAGAGAGACAGGATATTTACGTAGACCAGTGTCTTTTGTTCCCCAAGAGACATTTGGCAAGGTCTTGAGATTTGGGTTGATATCACCGTGGTAAAGGAGGAAGATGAAGTGCTGCTGGCATTTAGTGGGTAAAGGCCAGTTGTGCTGCTAAACATACAATGCACAGGATACCCCTCTCTCAACCATAAAGAATTACCTCGCCTAGAACGTTAATGATACCAAGATTGAGAAACTCTGACATAGATTAAGCTGGCACTTAATGTCCCCAGTTTCAAGATATGTTACAAATGTTTGCACTTGTAAAATGACTGGGACATCTGCTAGAAATAAGAATTAATAACACAATAATAACAATAGCAGTTAACATTTATGAAGCCGTTATTAAGTGCTAAGTATTTTGTATTTGTTAGCTTATTTCCTGCTCACACAACAAATCATGGATACTATTTAACATATTTGAGGTACAGATGAGATAACTAAAAAATTTTAAAATTATAATCCAGAAAAAAATGTATAATTTTCTCCAGGCCACACTGCATTCACATGTCAAAATAGAGTCTTGGCCCTATCCTCTGTTTCTTATTGCTCCATTCTTTTTCTAAAACTAATCTTTTCCACCATTATGCTATAAATAGATAATAGAGAATTACGAGTGAAAGGGCAGGAAACTTAGATATGTTTATAGTAAGTAAAGATATATGAGTTTGACAAGGTTACTGCGTATGAGATCTCTGTAAAAAAAATCCTATGCACTAGCAATGGCCAAAAATAAAATTTAAAAAGAAAACATTCAAAATAGCAAGTAAAATTATGAATATGTGAGAAAAAAATCTAAGAAAAGAATTTATGTCTAATATATGTAAAATTTCAAATTGTTATGAACAAATCAGGTAGAAGACCTAAATAAATGGTAAGATATAACATATATATGGATAGAGAAAAATCATTAGCATAAAGATGTTAGATGTCTCCAAGTTAAACAAATTTTAATGCAATTTTAGTAAAAGTCTCTATAGCATTGTTCTTATAATTTGACAGACTAACTCTAGGAATTATAGGGGTCATACGGAAAACCAAATGCTATGGTTTGGATGTGATTTGTCCCTGCCAAAACTCATGTTGAAATTGCATCCCCAATGTGGCGGAGTTGAGTTGGGAAGTGGAGTCTAGTGGGAGGGGTTTGGGTTGTGGGGGTGGATCCTTCATAAACGGATTAATGCCTTCCCTGGGAGTGAGTGAGTTCTTGCTCTCTCAGGAATGACTTATTTCTTTGAGAGTGGATTGTTAAAAGAGCCTAACTTCCTTGGTTTCTCTTTTTTTTCCCTCTCTGGCCATGTAATCTCTTTGCACACACCTGTTCCCATTCCTTTTTCCACCAAGATTGGAAGCAGCATAAGTCCCTCACCAGAAGCAACAACTCAGACAGGTATGTTCTGGCCACCAGAATCATAAACCAAATTAGCCTCATTTCTCTATAAATTATCCAGCCTCAGGTACTGTGTTATGGCAACACAAAACAAACTAAGACGCCAAATTATCAAAGTAGCCAAGACCATTCAGATTAATAAGACAAAGTGATTTTTTTTTCCTGAATCCAGCTACAAGAACTATGAGTGCAGTACTGGCTTGGAAAGAGATAAAAGATTAATTGAATAGAAAATGGAGCCCAGGAAAATATCCAGACATATTTTGAAGTTCAATGTCTGATACTGAACTGTAATTGCACTCAATGGTATTTAGAACATTAGTTATCATTTAAAAAATAAAGTTGAATAAACAGACATAGAGGAATTGAACTTCATCTTACAAGGAAATATATGGAACTATATTTGTGATTTGGAGGCAGAGAAGAATTTTTAATGTAAAATGCGATAAAACACAAACCATATCTTATATATCATATATTAAATTGACTACACTAAAATTAAAATATTCTGTTTATCAAAATATGTCTTAAAAGTTTAAAAGTTTGCTCTCACTTATAAGTGGGAGCAAAAGATCAACTACTCGTGGACACAAAGATGGGAAAAACAGACACTGGGGAATACTAGAGGGGTGAGAAAGAGGAGGGTAAGAGTTGAAAACTAACTACTGAGTACTATGATCACCACCTGGGTGATGGGATTAATCATACTCCAAACCTCAGCATCACTCAATATACGGATGTAACAAATCCACACATATGCCGCCTAAATCTAAAACTAAAGTTGAAATTATTTAAAAAGCTGGGTTAATTTTATTGTAATTGGAGACATGCACATTAAAATTGAAGTGAAAACCCATTTTATATCCTACTAATGAGCAAAAAACCTTTAACAGTCCAAATACCATCTATAGGCAAGGATATTACACTGGGAAATTCGTATACGCTGCTGGTAGGGGTGTAAATTGGTACAAATACTTTGGAAGTCAGTTAAGTAATATTTAGTAAAGCTGACATGAATATTCACAACTCAGCAATTGTCTTCTGAGTTGTTGATCCTGAATTAAAAAAAATTCAAAAATGTCTGTAGCAGCATTTGCATCATAGAAAAGATATCAAAAAATTAAAAGCCCATCAATAGGAGAATGGATAAATTAAGTTGGGAGTATTCACACATTGGAATAGTATACAGAAATTAGAAATAAGTGACCCAAAGCTTCATGTATTAATAGTATATTTTTCAAAATGTCAAATGAAAAAACTGCAAGTTGAAGAAGAGTATGTACAGATTATGCCATGTATACATATTAAAATATGCAAAACTATTTCATGTATTGCTGAGGAAGCTTACTTCTCATTAGGAAAAGTCTAATAATGAAAACAAATCCAGTGAATATCTCTCAGTGTGTCAAGGCAGAGAGAAAGAAGTGATTCGTGAACACAGAGACTTCAACGGGAAGGACAATAATTTATTTTAGAAGTCTGGTAGACACAGAGGTGTTATTATTTATACCTTAAAAACTAACATCTAAAAATGTGCACAATGAAAATTTTAAAATCATCCCAACCTCCTCTACTTCAATGACATCTGCTGGGCAGTGATGTGGGGAGAGCAGCATGCAAAAGAAAAATTTTACTGCCATTTCCTTTGCTTTTAGAAAAAGTGGCTGCTTTAGGCAATCAACTTTGCTTAGCTTTACAGGTTTTTCCGTGGATGAAGCTGACAAAGAAGGTGTGTACCCACGCGTTATTCTCAGACTTGATTCTGACCTTGGTTAGAACCCCCTTCCATGAAGTTCAGACGGACTGGCTGTGTTTTGTCTTTTGCTTCTCATTATATAATGTCTAATGGATATTTCCAAAGACAGTGACTCCATAACCCTGTTGGAGCCTGAGACAAAGGAAAAATGTGTACTTTTTCATACAGTTATCAAATATCCTCCCATATTTCAAAGCAAGTAAAAAAAGTTAATGAAAGCTGTACAACAATAAGAAAAAACCACGATGACATACAAAGCTCTGTGTGCCTGATCTGTTCCCACGCCATTGTCAATTCCCAAGAGCCCACCAGTGGGGGATGTGATGGTGAATGCAGGCCCAGGAACCAACTGCAGGCTGCGACAAGACGATAATGGCAGCTCATGAAATCGTTTGTCTTTATTTTAAATATGTAGCTTGTTCATCATAAATTTTTGCATTAATTTTGATTTTTAAAAATGATTTCATTAAGTATTATTTATCTGGATTACTGAGTATTTGGTGCTCCTGAAATTTTGTGCTGCGGAGTGAACACTCGCTTGCCTTACCTTAATCCTGGCTCTATCAAGGATCCCTGTTTTCTTTCAGAAGAGAGGGTCTCCAGCAGCAACTAAAAAGTCAAATATACTGTACCCTGTTCTGATCTAAAATACGTCCTGTCTGAATTATGCTCCTCAGTCTGGCATTCTCTCCATGAATACTGAAGTCTGAGTCCAGTGGCTAAAGTCACCTTTATCGTCAGTGATTTGAGCTACATTTGCAAAGGGTATATCATAGCATATAATTGAGTAGATATAAAATTCAAATAATTAAATTCAATTAAAGCAGCATTTATAGAGTGTCTTCCATGTATAGGACACAGGAGTGAAATTTTTGGCCAGGAGGCAGGGCATACAAGGTTATACTGGGGCATTATAGTCACTGTCACAAGGACTCTCTCAAGACACTCATATTGTAATGGGGAAAATGTCTTCAAAAATTCTAATATATTTATGGTCTGTAATTCTCTGATTCACACCAACCCCAGCCCTTGTCTTAAAGTCTATTTACTCCAAAGATCATATACAACTTTCTTAATGTAAAAATAAAAGAAAGCAGTTACTCAGCAAATATTTATGTGGCATTGATATTTTTCAGGAGTATTTCTGGACATAGGGTATAATAGCAGAGAAGACCTTAGAACTGCTAGTCAAATGAGGGATAAAGATAAACCAAGAAAAAATAACATATAATCTATCCGTACTTTGATAAGAGAGGTAGCAGGTACCAGGTCAATGCCCAGGGTAGGCTCCAAACCCAGGTTTGAAGGAATGTCAGGAAAGTATTCCTAAAGGCGGTAAAGATCAAGACTTGAAAAATCCATAGGAGTTAATCACCGGAATGGCTGCTGGGCAGGAAACAGTTTTTTAGAAGGATGATTGACATGTGAAAAGGCCGAATAAAGCAACTGAAAGAAGCTCTTCCATTGCTTAAAGTATGTAGAATATCTGCAGAAAGTGAGAAGAAATCAAGTTGAAGAGATAAGAAGGGTCCAACTGTGACACATAGTGCCATGTTGAGTCTGAAGTTTGGAATTCATCTCAAGGAAACTGGAGCCACTGGAAGATTGTTAAACTAAGGTGGGGGTTAAGAGTAGGAGGTAACATTGTTAGGCTTGCTTTTTGGAAAGATTGCTCTGAACGCATTTTGGTGGTTTGGCTTCATGTTACTCTAGTCATTCTTACCTACATTCCAGTAAGGATGACTGGTTGCTGGCAATCTTCCTTCCAAAGGATTGTGGTGTCTGTAATCAGGATGTGGGAGTGGGAATTGAAGACATGGAAAGAAATCCATCAACTGCATTATACAAGACATTAGATATGTGGGTGAAGGAGAGAGTTTATTTCAAGGGTGACATCAAGATTTCTGGTTTAAATAGCTCAGTGATTATAGGTATTATTCACTAACATAAAGGAGCAAGATTTTAGAGGAATGCTAATGAGTTCACTTTAGAATATGGTGAGTTTTAGATACCTGGGAAGGTGAATGTTAAACATGCTGGTGGATATGCTGATGGGTGGTTTAATATGTTGGTCAGAGATATAAGTGACTGGATATCATTAGCATATAGACAACACTTGAATAAATGGAAGAAAATTATCCTGCCAAGTCCTGGGATTTTATAAAATGAGAACAGACGAGGACCTGGTACAAAACCCAGAGAAATATCAAAATTTAAGGGTTGTGATTTAAAGGGTGATAGGGAGTATTCAGAAGTGATTTTAAAAAAAGAAAAGAATATCACAGCATCTAAGGAAAGATAGTGTTTCCAAGAAGGGAGTGATACCTATACCATGAAGGGTTAACATAGCAGGCAGGTGCTTTCAAACCCTACACATTCTAAATAAAGGATTGACTCCAAACTGGCTTCTAGGAGGTTGCCTCTGAGCCCTGGGAATATCCTGCCTGTTAAGAGTGTATTTGTGTATCTGAGACTTTGGGTCACACCAGATGGTTGGTGCTAACAGTATGATTTACGGTGAACCCCTATTTTCGTGTGTCAGTGCCTTTGAATAATGTTGTATTTCCTTGACCTGTGGCAGGATATAGAGAGGAGTTGGAGGCTGAATAGCTAAGGTCAGTCACATGGGTCCTCCATTCCTATGTGACTAATCTCCAATAAAACTCTGACATTAAAGTTCAGGCGAGCTTCCCTGGCTGGCAGCACTGCACACATCACTGCTAGGAGGATTAGGCATTGTCTGTGTGATTCCACTGGGAGAGCATGGCTGGATGTTTGTGTCTGGTTTCTCTTGCACTTAGTCCTTTGTACCTTTTCTTGGTTGATTTTAATCTTTGTCTTCTTGCTGTAACAAACCATAACCATGATTATAATATATCATATTAGTAGAATAAAGGACAGATGTCGACATGACCATTTCCATAGCTGCAGAAAAGGCATTTGACAAAATCCAACGTCTTTGTATAATAAAAACACTCATCAAATGAGAAATAAAAATAACCCCTTACAAGTGGATAAAGAGTATCCACAAAACCCACAGCTAACATACTTAATATCAAAAGGGTGGATGATTTTTCTCTATGACCAGGAATAAGACAAAGATATCTGCCTTCATCATTTCTATTTAAAGGTGAACTAGATATTCTAGTCAGGAATATTAGTCAAGAAAAAGAAATAAGATGCACTCTGATGAAAAGCCAGAGTAAAATTTTATCTATTTGTAAAGAAACCCACTTTTAGGAAGACAAAGTCCATTTTCCTGCATTAATTAAAACTAAAAATGATGGACATTATAAATAAAACAAAGTAGTAAAACTATGAATGGTAGAGAGAAGGCAGACAAACTAGGGATCTTGGCACCCAAGAGAAAACAAGGCGGTGAGTTCCCTAAGTTTTCTTTTTGACTCATATGCAACAGACTTGTTGCTGAAGAAACTGCAAATCCCAAAATAGCAAAGACACAGGCAAGAAAAGTCCCAACCAAAGCCTGCTGTCTCTGGCCAAAGGATGGTGGTAGGAGCAGCCAAACAAGACAGAAAACTTTTAGATAATAATTTCTCTACTCCAGCCAAATACCACGGAAAAAAACTCTGTCTTCACTCCCACTCAGCAGCGAAGGCCAGGTGGGGAGCCCAGACTTTCCCACTCAACAGGTTGTAATAAGGTACCGGAATACCCCACCATGGTGATGTCAAAGAAGACCAAGTGGGAGGCCAGAATTTTCATCCCTCTTCTTCCTGCAGTGTCAGTGGAGACTATGTGGGGGGCCTGGACTTCCATCTCCACCTGAAAATAATGAGGCACCCCATATTCACTTGGCTGGACACTGTCAGAGGCCTACTAGAATGTCAAAATTTTCACTACTGGTGACAGCAAGGAGACCATCTGCATTCAGGGGTACCACTGGAGACCACTGGGGATCATTCACATGGCACACCTTCTGTACCAAGCCAAGGATGTATCTGTAGAGGGCTAGTGGGGAGCCAGAACCCCATCCTGGTCCAGCTTAGTTATCAGTGAAGGCTGAGTGGGGAAACCGGACTCTTACCTCTACCTGGCAGTAATGAGGTAGCTTCCCTTTTTTGCCTGCCAAAGAAGTGGCAGAGGAAGCAAGCTAAAATGAGACAGTTAATTTAGATTGAGAGTTTCACAACATTCCCCAAATGGCCAGGTTTCAACTGAAAACACCCATCATTCTCAGAAGCAGGATAATCAAAATGTGAATAGAAAGGGGCAATAAGTGCCAAAACCAAGATGAAAAAGATGTTAGAATTATCTCACAAAGATATTAGTCATCATAAGAATGCTTCAATGAGCAACCGCTAACATACTAGAAACATTTTTTTAAATAGAAAGTTTCCTCAAAGACATAAAATGCCTAAGCAAAGAACTAGATATATAAAGAAAAACCAAGTGAAAATGTTTGAATTAAAAACGTAATAACCAAACATTTTTTAAAACTCAGAAAATATACGCAACATCGGGGGAGAAAAACATGAAAGAATTAGTAAACTTAACAAAAGAACAATAGACATTACTCAATCTGAACAACAGACAGTAAATAGACAGAAGAAGCAGCAGCTTTGGGCATCTGAGGAATCAAAACCAAACATTTCACTTTTAGGTCATTTGAGTCCCAGAAGAAGAGGAAAACGGTGGAGCTGCAAAAGTACTTGAAGAAATAATGTCTAAAAAATTTCCAAATTTGGTGAAAGATACAAACCTAAAGTTTCCAACAGCTAAGTGAACTCCAGATAAGATTAAAACCAAAGAAATCCATACCAAGACATACCATAGTCAAATTTCTGAAAACCAAAGACAAAGAACAAATCTTAAAAGCAGTAAAAGAAAAATGTACTTTATGTGTAGGTGAAGACAATTCAAATGACTGTAGATTTCTCATGAGAAATCATGAAGGCCAGGGGAAGTGACACAATATTTTTCAAGTGTTGAGAGAAAAGATCTGACAACAGAGAATCCTTTATCCAGGGAAAGTATCTTTCAGGAATTGAAGGGAAATCATAACATTCTCAGATGAAGAAAAACTAAGAAAACCTGCCACCAGCAGCTCTTCCCTAAAAGAATAGCTAAAGGAAGTTATCAGAGAGGAAACGATAAAAGAAACTTGGAATATGAAGAAGAAAGAACATGATAAGCAAAACAAGGGTTATAGAATAGACCTTACTTCTCCTGTAGAATTTTCTAAATTATATTTGATAATGAATGCACAAATTCTAGCATTGTCTGATGTGCTTCTAAATGTGTATAGAGAAAATGATTATGAGAATTATATTATAAATGGGAAAGGTAAAGGGGCATGAAGGCAGGTAAGGTTTGTGTGCTCCACCTGAACTGGTAAAGTAAGATGATTCGATTGTGATAAGCTGTGTATATAGAATGCGATACCTAGAGCAACCATGAAAAAAGCTGTACATAAAGAGATACACTGAAAAATACTATAAATAAATCAAACAGGAATTCTAAAACTTAAATGTACCAGTAACTCATAGAAACGAAGGAAAAAGAAAAGAGAGCAATGTAAAAAAAAGGTAAAGACTTGACAATCATAAAATGAAAAAATAATAAATCGCATTTTGTCAAAATTTAAAACATCTTTAAGTCATCTATAAATGACTGAGAGGAAATATTTGCAAATCGTATGTGTGACATTTTAGCATCTAGAATATATCCAAAACTCTCAAATCTCGAGTAAAAAAACAATGCAAATAGAAAATGAGCAAATACATGAAAAGACAGTTTAATAAAGAGGATATGTTTTGATTATGGCCATTCTTGCAGGATTAAGGTGGTATCACATTGTGGGAGCTAAGCTATGAGGACACAAAGGCTTAAGAATGATGCAACAGACTTTGGGGACTTGTGGAGGAGAGTGAGGAGGAGAAGGGATGAAATAAAATGCAGTGTATACTGCTCAGATTATGGGTGCACCAAAATCTCACAAATCAACACTAAAGAACTTACTCATGTAACCAAATACCACCTGTACCCCAATAACTTATGGAAAAATCAAATTTAAAAAAAATGTCAAAAAGAGGATACACTGAGGGCAAATAACCCATAAAAAGGTGTTCTACAACAGGAGCTATTATGGAAATGCAAGGAAAACTACAATGAGATCTTCCCACACACCTATAAGGATGCCTAAAACAGAAATAAAAATAGTAACACCACCAAATGCTGGTGAGGTTGAAGAGACTGGATGAATCACCCATTGCTGGTGGGCATATAAGTAGGTATAGCCACTTTAAAAAAGGGTTTTCCTCTTAATATAGTGATGCTATTGACCTTGGAAATAGTAGTTTCAGTAGATTGGAGAGAGGGGGACAGAAGACAGTAAGTTAAAAAGAAGATATTGAAAGTTGTGGAAGTATAGAAAGTGATTATAGATATTTCTTCCAAGAAATATGTAAATTTGGGGGAAAAAAGGGAAATTGGCTCTAAAGGAAAGGAGAGACCAATATCTGAAGAAAATATGGCATTGGTAAAGAGTCTTCCCTTTTTCTTTAATCTTTTTCTAATAAAGGAGACTTGACTATGTTTACATGCCAATGGGAGAAAGCCCTGGGAAAGGAGTTCGTAATCCAGTGGAAAGATAAGGTGAAGATGAAGATTGAAGGAAATGATACTGAAAGAATGTGGTAGTGTCCCCTTTGCCTCTAAACAAGAGACAAGAGGATGTTGTTTCCCTGACTCTTGAATTACAGGTGGAAATTAAAATTTCCTTTTTAAGCTAAGAGAAAAGTACTTCTCCCTCTGGTCTTTCATTACTTCTGATTACTGTCAACGTAATTTTTACTTCATTTGAGTAAAGAACCTTTTTTCCCCATCTGTTCTTTATTTCATATCATTAATGAATCACAACTGACTAGCATGGAACTTTTCTCCTCTGGTAGTGGTGTGTGTCTTTACCTACATAACATTGGAATTGTCCACCTCTCTTGTCTCCAAGGAAGATGTAAGCTATTATCGTTGCCACTGACCTTTTAGAATGAAATCGAACTTGAGAATTTATGTTGGTCTCGTTTGCTAGAAAACCACCTCCCTACTGGTGAGTTGTGAAGCCCTAAATGCTGGAATTGTGGGTTAGGCTAAGGTTGTACTCAACTCCTTTCTCCATCTCCCATGAAGAGCACAGTTGGTTCCAAAAGGAAATCACAAGAATGTTTTCACTTTCCTGAGTTCCCCCAAGTTAACTCAACAGTGCCCATCCCTCCTGTCAGAATACCCACTGTTTGTTCAAGGAATATAATTGCTTGAACTGTGAACCTTGTTTCAGGTATATTACATTAGTAAGCTTAATAAGTTCCAGGCTGGAAGTTCTATTTTGCCCAATCTACACTAATCATAACTCAAAAAAGTTCAAAGCTCACACAACAGGGCAAACACTGTATGCCAGCTCCTGTACCCTGATGGTTACAATAATTATGATGATGATTATGATGATGATAGTAATAATCCTTTATACTTATATTCATAAGTATACTTCATAATTTTTCAAATGCTTTCAAATACATTATTTTATTAATACCAAACCATCACTTTCTTATAATGTTGTTTCATTTCAGAAGAGATATAGTCAACAGGCTGTAAAAAATTACAATTTCCAAACCTATCTGATGCTTAGTTCTTGGGTCCATCTTGAGTAAAAGATGGAATTTAGTCCATAGGATAAATGTAAATCACTTATAATGAACCAAATGCTTAAAAAGTGTATTCATTGGGCCGGGCGCAGTGGCTTACACCTGTAACCCCAGCACTTTGGGAGGCCAAGGCAGGCGGATCACGAGGTCAGGAGATCGAGACCATCCTGGCAAACACGGTGAAACCCCGTCTCTACTAAAAATACAAAAAAAAAATTAGCCGGTCGTGGTGGCGGGTGCCTGTAGTCCCAGCTACTCGGGAGGCTGAGGCAGGAGAATGGCGTGAACCCGGGGGGGCAGAGCTTGCAGTGAGCCGAGATTACGCCACTGCAGTCCAGCCTGGGAGACAGCGAGACTTCATCTCAAAAATAAATACATAAATAAATAAATGTGTATTCACTGGCTGGGTGCAGTGGCTCACCCCTGTAATCCCAGAACTTTGGGAGGCCAAGGTGGGTGGATCACGAGGTCAGGAGTTCGAGACCAGCCTGGCCAACATGGTGAAACCCCCTCTCTACTAAAAATACAAAAATTAGCTGGGTGTGGTGGCGGGTGCCTGTAATCCCAGCTACTCAGGAGGCTGAGGCAGGAGAACTGCTTGAACCCAGGAGGCGGAGGTTGCAGTCAGCCGAGACTGTGCCATTGCACTCCAGCATGGGTGACAGAGCAACACTCTGTCTCAGAAAAAAGAAAAGAAAAGAAAAGAAAAAATAAGTGTATTCACTGAACACATAACTTCCTAAAACATGATGCTAATTAGGTTGTGTATTAGTCTGTTCTCACGCTGCTAATAAAGACATACCCAAGAGGGCATAATTTATAAAGGAAAGAGGTTTAATGAACTCACAGTTCCATAAAGAGGCCTCACAATCATGGTGGAAGGCAAAAGAGAAGCAAAGGCACATCTTACATGGTGGCAGGCAATAGAGTTTTTGTAGGAGAACTCCCCTTTATAAAACCATCAGATCTCATGAGACTTATTCACTATCATGAGAACAGCATGGGAAACACCTGCCCCCATGATCCAATTACCTCCCACCGGGTCCTTCCCACTACACATGGGAATTATGGGAGCTACAATTCAAGATGCGATTTGGGTGGGGACATAGCCAAACCATATCAGGTTGGGAGCCAAGATCATGCCACTGCACTCCAGCCTGGGCAATAGAGCGAGACTCCATCTCAAAAAAAAAATAATAATAATAATAAAAATAATCAGCAACTCCTTTTACTTGTTCAATGTTAACTGACTATTAAAAGCCTAAAAATAGGGTTTTACTTGTTCAATGTCAACTGATTATTTTTGTATTTGAATATTTCCACTTTTGTTTACTCCATAAAAATAAGAAGTAGGTTTATCTAGGTTCATCTCCATTCTTCCCATATACTCATTCCAGTACTCAACTCCAGGCAGGCTATTAGTTCTTCGAGCTATTCCTCCTTTCTATGTATTTCATTTCCCTTGCTGGAATGCAAGAAAGAAGAAGGAAGAAGGAAGAAGGAAGAAAGGAAGAAAGGAAGAAAGGAAGAAAGGAAGGAAGGAAGGGAGGGTGGGAAAAAACGAACCACCTTCCAATAACCTCAGAATTATTCCCTTGCAATTCTAAACTACAAAGAGAGCAAACATATGATGGTTGTCTTACTTAGTCACTCTTTTTGGGATGACTAAGAATTCTTCATGAATTTATAACCCAAGTACAAAAGGGATCTGCCCTGTGGGAATGAGACAAGTACACTTGAAAGTCAGTTATTTTGAGAATATTTAAGAATACGTTCCAAGGCAATCTCAAATCCTGAGGATCACTTTCTGCAAGTGTTGGCAAATACTGCTGACTTTGTATTCAGTGGGCCAAAGATCTTCATAGTTCATAATCAAAACACACAAACATACACACATACATCCTAGAATAACTTGCCTTTTACATTAGACCTTTCTAATTATGTTTTCTTTCCAGTCTCCAGACCTTCAGATGACCTAGCTCATTTATGTCGTTTTCCCTTTGAACATAGATTCTTCTTGTTTCAGTATATCTCAGGGGAAAGCAAACTTTCTGTAAATAGCCAGACAGTAAAAATGATAGACTTTGAGGCTCACACAGTTGCTGTCACAGCTACTCAATTCTGTGTGGTGGCATGGAGGCAATCACAGACAGCATATAAACAAATAACTGTGGCAGTGTTCCAATAAAACTTTACTTATGAACAGTAAAATTTAAAATGCATATAATTTTCATGTGTCATAAATATTATTCTTGTTTTTACCCAGTGATTTACAAATGGCAATAACCATTTATTTGAAGTGTTCACAGTTCTTCAAAAATTGGACTCAGGGCAACTTGGCTTGTCAGCTCAACTTTTCCAATCCTTCTTATAACCACACATCTGACTTATTTTAAAAGCAGAAAAGTCAAAAGCAGAGGAACCAAAATTTAAATTCAAGTATCCAATATTTCATTGTTTATATTTTTCATATGAAAGATACAGTTTTATGATAGCAACAAGATCTTTTATTTAACTCTGTGTTTCAAGTGGGCATGTATTGAATTGAACATGCTTTACCTCTAAAACAATTCTAGAGATAAATGAACATTTTCATCTCAGATCATGAAAGTATATATAATTGTTCAACTTCCATACCATTTGGTCCAAATTTTTGTTTTATAGAGTTGGAACTGAATGTTTAAAGAAAATAAAGAGCTTATCCAATGCTACATTGATAGCTTGTGTTGAAAATAAAATCTCTTCTAAGATTTTTCATTTTTTTTTCTAAATGCTCTATTACTGTCCATAATGCTGACACAGATGAAAGACCACCAACATTTTTGGAAATGGAATAATGGTACATCTAAATTATGTTACTGCTCCAAATACTAGTGCAGTTACTATAGAATGGAAGAAATGTAGCTTAAGATTGGAGCATAATTGAGAAATTATGGCATTATTATTATTTTACCAATATACTATTTTGCCTGTACTAAAAATTTGTAACTCAAAGACTTAATACAAATCGCTAAGAAGTAAAGGATTGCCAAGTTTATTCATACTGTGGGGTCATCACTGAATTCTGCAAGGCTGACTTCTGTGACCTGCATCAGCAGTACTCCCTTGCAATCTAGCCTCTAGTTGGATTTAGCCAATAAGAGGCACAAAACACATACTAGAACAAAATTAGAACATTTTAAAATCTAGTGCCTTCATGCTAAGTTTGGTATGTATTGACTGTGTTCTTCCACCTAGGAAGAGCAGCATTTCCAAGACTGATCTGCATCTGGAAATAGCTCTCTATTAGAGTTCCTCAGAGAAATATAACTGGTAGGAGATTATGATAAGGAAGATGTAAAAGATGAGGAGGGAGGGGGAAGAAGAAGAGGGAGAAGAAGAGGGAGGAGGAGGAGGAGGAGAAGAAGAAGAGGAGGAGGAGGGGAGGGAGGGGGGAGGGGAGGGGGAGGAGCGGCAATGGAGGAGGAGGAGGAGGAGGAGGAGAAACAGTAGCAGCAGCAGTAGGAGGAGGAAGAAGGAAGGAGGAGGAGGCGGAAGGAGGATAAGGTGAGAAAAAATATGTACATAAAGAAATATATGCATATACACACACACACATACACACACATATATATATAGAGAGAGAGAGATTTATTATGAGGAATTTTCTCATGCAACTAAGAGGGCTGGGAATTCTCATGATCTGCCTAATGCAAGTAGGAGATTCAGGAAAGCTAATAGTATAATTTAGTTCTAGTGCAAAGGCCCAAGAACCAGGGCATCCAAATTCCAGTCCAAGTGCCAGAAAAGATCAAATGAGATGTTCTAGCTCAAGTCGGCAGGCAGGAAGCAAAAAGGGTAAATTTATCCTTCCTTAGCTTTTTGTGTCATACAGGCCCTCAATGGATTGTAGATCGCATGATATCCATTCACACTGGGGAAGAAAATCTACTTTACTGAGTCCACTCGATTCAAATGCTAATCTCATCTGAAAACACCCTCAGAAACACACTCAGAAATAATGTTTAATCTGAGCACTCTATGTGTCTAGTCGAGACATAAGCTCCCTTCCGGTGGTCCCTCATATCTAAAGGCGCATAGGTTCCTGGCTTGGTGAGTCCTTGAATATTTCTCTTACTTATTGTTTCTCTCTAATCTGCCTACACCTTTGCATTAATAGTTCATTCATTAATTCCTCTCTAATTACCTCTTCCAAGTAGACTGTCTGTTCCCCATCAAGACCTATTCAGATACAAAGCCAGGGAAATTATAGATTCAGAATACACTCCCGTCATTAAAAAATAGAAATAAACTACAATTTCATACTCTAATAAAAACATAGCAAACTATCCTAATCATTCATCTTCATTTTATAGCTTCTGTTGAATCTTTCTATTAAAGTTAACCATGACACTAAAACTCAGTATATATTTTTTCTATATATGTGTGTATGCACATCTATAGAATTCAGAGTGTTAATTAAATCACAGGATACTAAATGGATTAAAAAACAATAAATATCAATTGTTACATAGTAAATGCAAAAATAATAAAACCATTATTTACTCTTTAGTAATTCCTTTCCCTTTATAGATGGAATGTGACAATTGATTGCTTTAAAAAAGAAGCATCTGTCTCTCCCAAGATTATCCACCTATTGTCAGTCTCACAAAAGAAACAAAAAGACGACCAGAAATGAGTGAAATGTTGAAACCCAATGCTTAGGTTACAGCAATAAAATCTTCTTAAACATTAAGCATTGAGGAGTTTACACTTACTCTCTACCTAGATGTATAAAGCTTTGGGATAAGACCATAAACTAAGTACAGGTATATTGAGTCAGAGACGATAGTCTTTACGTCTTTAAAATTCTGCCTTCTCTCTTATTTGTGATGTTGTCATAGCATCTGATTTCCATCCAAAGAGTCTTTGTCACCCACAAAACATCTGAGTTACCTTATACACACTATGAAGATCATCAAGAATGGCCTTGTGACACCAAGGAAGCAATATTTGATTCAGCCAAATCTGCTTAGTTCTAGTCAAAATTAAGCTATCCCAGACCCCTTTGGGCATTAGATAATTATTTTTGGAATTGTGTCCTTTTAATTTTTCAAGTTCCTTTGATCACACAGTGGTAATGAGTGACAGAGGTGTGAAATGGGAAAGCAGTAATTTTTGCAAATGTGCCTTTTCCTCATTTTTCAATTGCACAGATATAATTATAATGTAAATATGGAGTGTAGGGATAAGAGTAATGGTGTGTGTTTATGAGTGTTATAAATGAATACATCTGTAACTGCTTGGTCTCCTTAATGTAAACCTGCACACAGACATGTACACACACACCAAGAAGAACTACAGATTTGGCTTCAACAGCCTCAGTTGTTGCTTGTACTTTCTTGCAGAGGAACCAAAAGAGTGAATTTTGTCACCATATTACTACAAAACTTCCTAGAAATTCCTTCGGGTGTTTCTTTTCCGAAAGTTTCAAGTAACTCAGCAGTTATTATTTAGATTTTGTTTTTGTTTTGCTGTCTTTATTTATGATTTATTTATCAGTGTGTTCCAAGCCTTGCACTGGGTGCTATGGCAAAATAGTCAGTGAGACAGTCACAGTTTCTGCCCTCACAGGGCTTGTATTTTACAAGAATGTGAATTATTTTGTGAATATTCTGAACTCTGAAATGCCTCTCTGTTATCTGGTCTGCCATCAAGGCCTTTGCTTTTTCTCAGGATGTAGCTTTATGATATTTCTTCTAGTGAGACACTCGCCTTCTTCCTCATGTCACCAGCACTGCCTCTGTCTTGATTTCTCTTGCCAGCCTTAAAAAGGTGGTCAACCCACGGTAACAAAGGGGACTTTATGGGAAGAGAAAGAAGAAAGAAAGACTAGAAACACTTATCTTTGAATAGTTCCTTTCTTCTTGACACATGTATAATAGTTAAAATTTATATTAAAACCAACCTCCAAAGCACTTTATTAGATCTACAGACTATGCTTTCATACAGACAGATGTAGCCAGTGATATCCAGTAATTCCAGTTTGTTCAGATTAAGCTGAAGTTCCCTGAGCCTTCATGGTTTCAATTCCTTTAAATGTATAGGACTCAACAGCTAAGAAACTGGCTCACTGTTAAACGCTATAGTAATGAGGACATTCCAGGAAGCTGTCTGAAGGATTCTGAGGATTTGGTCCAATAATGCAGAGTCAATTCAAAAATGAACTTCTCTGAGTCTCTAAAAATACTTTCCAGTATGTAGGAAAAAGTGGAATGATGTAGAAACTGTAAATCATCGATTAAGTTGTGAGCATAATACCTCTGTTTTGAAGGATTAAAAGAAATAAAGAAATTAAGGGGAGGCGTCTTTCTCAAAATTGCTATTAGGTTGGTGCAAAAGCAACTGTGGTTTTTGTCATGACCTTTAATGGCACACACACACAAAAAACAACAACAACAAAAAAAAACATGATTACTTTTGCACCAACCTAAATATATTTAGAGAATATTTGGTATGACACATGCTGGAGTTCTGCTGCTCTGTGCCCTGACATTGCCCAGAAGCATGTAGCTCCCTTGCCCATGGTGGAGAGCTATGATTTGCTTGCTCCTCATTTATTCTGGTGAAGGAAGCCTTCTTCTACAGGTGATTATTTGTTAAAGGGCTCCAACAACCCACCACAGAATTCTTCTATGACTCAAACTAGCCATTACATCAACCGTATCATGAGCACTAACTTGCTTTTGTGTCTTGGGTTTGTTGGTTTGGTTTGGTGCCGCTTTTTTGCCAAGCCTGAACCTGTGATTAAACACAGCCCCTGGGAATCCTTGCATTTTTGGTTATTGTTTATCTGTTTTTAAATAACTGAACTCCATGCTTTATTTGATTTTCACTAGTATTGCCACTAGTAGTCTTTTTCTGTTCTAAGATCTTCTCCTCCTCAGGATTTCATATTACATTTAGGCATCTTATGTCTCCTTAGGCTTTTTTTGTCTGTGAGTTTCACATATTTTCCTTGCTTTTCATGTCTTAAATAGTTTTGAGCATTATTGGTCAGGTATTTATTAAAATATCCTTCAATTTGGGTTTGTCTGATGTTTGTTGTTTTGCTTAGACTGAGTTATGGGTTTGTGGGAAGAACGCCACAGAAGGGAAGTGCCCTTCTCAACACATCATATCAAGGGTATGTACTATCACTATGACTTATTCTATAGGATGTTAATATAATGCACTGCATATGAATGAAGCAGTTTTGCCAGGTTCCTGCACTGTAATGTCAGTGCCTCACCCTTCTGAGCCTGCTTTCCATACTCTGCTCTTGGAAGCAAGTCAGTAAGTGCACACCATGCTGGGGGAGAGAGGGAAGTGGGATTTTCCTGGGATTTTGAGCAGAAAGAATAGTGGAAGTCCAGAAATACAGAGACCATCTTTTCCTCCATGAGGAGAAAGAGGCTGCAAGATACTGAGGCAGAAGAGAAAGATGAAGGAAAGCATGCATTCTCAAGGACATTACCTGGAAAATAAAATCCTGCTGTGCTGAAACCAGATTGATTCATAAATTTGTATATATATAGGTAAAATTTGACTATCAACACTGGAAATTTATTTATTTATTTATAGTTGGTTGGTTCTAATTTAAATCCACTGAACCCACATGTTACATTTCAATATGTCCCTTAAATTTCTTTAAATCAAGAACTGCTTCTTCATTCTTCTTCTTTGCCATTAATTTTGTTAATGAAACTGGGCTATTTATCCAGTACTGTCCCCACATACCGGATTTCACTCTCTGCTTCCCCATGATGTCATTGAATGTAACTCTGGTCAGAGGTTTGATTTATTTGGGCAAAAATAAATAATAAATGTACAAGTATCATTGCATAATTCCATCAGGATGCACCTAATTAGTAGTGAAATCTTATTTATTTATTTATTTATTGAGACAGGGTCAAAGAAATAGGCTGGAGCACAGTGAAGTGATCCATGCTCACTGCAGCCTCAAACTCCCCTGGCTTAGGGGATCCTACCACCTCAGCCTCCCAAGTAGCTGGGACTACAGATATGTACCACCATGTCCAGCTAATTTTTTGTGTTTTTTTGTAGAGATGGAGTTTCACCATGTTGCCCAGGCTGATCTCAAAACCCTGGGCTTGGGCAATCTGCCCACCTTGGCCTCCCAAACTGCTGGCATTACAGGCGTGAGCCACCATGCCTGGCCTCTTTTTAATATATTAGCGGCCATTTATGACCAATACCTAGATTCATTATTTTTAATGACTTATAAAATGTTAATATAATAATTCTATAGTTCCTTCTTATCAGCTGAATGTGTCTAAAAAGGGATTTTTTTTTCTTATAGATTACAGGGTTACTCTAAGTTGCTGTTTGAATAGAAGAGGCAGGTTAAATGCTTGATTTTGCCATTAACTTACATATTTTTAGAAAATTAAGTTGGCTTCCTAATATTCTGTAAAGCAAAGCAATGAGAGTTTTAAAGTATCATTATGAATTCATGGATTTTTAACATATTTAAATTTATTGCATTTATTATCCATATTGACACTCAAATTCTTCTATCTGTAGTGTATTAAGTTGGCTCCCAAATACCTTTTCTTTGATTATTATTTTTGTATAATTTGGTTCTTTAGAAAAATTCAAAGCAGCTTCATTGAGATATAATTCACATACCTTATATTTTGTCCACACAAAGTATACTATTCAGCGGTTTTTAATATACAATTGTCCCTCAGTATCCATGGGGAATTGGTTCCAGGAACTCCTGTGGATCCCCAAATATACAGATGCTCCATTCTCTTATATAAAATGGTGTAGTATTTGCATATAACCTACGCACATTCTGACATACACTTAAAATCATCTCTACATCTTATAATATCTAATATAGTGTAAATTGCATGTAAATGGTTGTTATAATGTACTGTTTAGGGAATAATGACAAAGAAAAATATCTATAGAAGTTTAGTAAAGATGCAACCATCCTTTTTTTTCTGAATGTTTTCAATCCTTGGTTGAATTCACAGATGCGGAACACAAATACAGAGGGTTGACTGTATTTACAAAACTGTGCGACCATTATCAAAATCTAATTTTAGAAATATTTTTGCAACCCCAAAAAGAAACTCTATGCTGATTAGTAACCTTTCTCCATTCTGCCTCCTTTTACAGACCTAGGCAAATATTACTCTACTTTCTGTCTCTAAAAGTTTGCTTATTCTAGACACTGCATATAAATAAAATTGTACCATATGTACCTTTGGGACTGGGTACTTTTACATAGCATAATATTTTCAAAGTCTATTTATGTGTAGTCTGCATCCATACTTCATTCCTTTTTATTGCCAAATAATATTCCATTATATGGACCTAGCACATTGTAGTCATCCATTCATCAGTTGACAGAGATTTGGGCTATTTTGAATAATGCTGCTGTGCACACTTGTGTACACATTTTTATGTTAACATATGTTTTCACTTCTCTCGACTATATACCTATGCATGGAATGGCTGAGAACTACCAGATTGTTTTCCAAAGTGACATACCACTTTGCATTCCCACCAGCTGTGTATTAGGATACCAATTTCTCCACATCTTTGCCAACACTTGTCATTATCTGTCCCTTTGATTTCAGTTATCTTACAAGTTTTGAAATGACATTTTATTGTAGCTTTAAGATAGTATTTCATTGTTCATATACTTTAGTTAATGGAAATTAACTGATAAACTCTCAGATACCTAACACCACATGTATTCTTTGCCAGCTAGAAATATGAGGCATTCCTACTACTTCTCATTACATACTCAAACTTCTTGGTAATTTTTAAACATATAATAAAACAGATATAAAATCATCCTTGATTTAATCTGGGTTTTGATTACTTTGCAATCTTGGAAATTTTTCATACTTCCATATATATGTAGCTATTTAATAAGGCATTAACTGTAGGAATTCTAATAATTTAAAAGACACTTATATCAGGTAGTAAAGACACAATATTAAAAAGTTCAATTAGGTCTGAGGTTTTATAGACCATGAATTAATGGCATTGGGGGCCCCACAAAGCTAATTAATTTGCTTAAAGTAGTTAAACAAGAATATGGCCAAGTCAAGACTACCTTTAAAATGATTAAAGATGCCAGCGTGACAGGGCAATGTGATTATACAACTAACATGCCCAGAATGCAATTGTTAGGGTGAGGTCATGGTTTTGCCTTGAACTGACAGATTTGGGAACAGAAAATAGGCAAATAAGGGGGCAAGTAAACCTAGTTGAAGATCAATGAGAAAGGTACAACTTCTGCTTCCAGTTAGGCATTTTTATTTAAAAGACATCAATACTATTGGTTAGCATTTTTTAGCAATGCCTTTGAGCCAGACTATGTGTATTAGTCTATTTTCATATTGCTATAAAGAACTGCCTGAGACTAGGTAATTTATAAAGGAAAGAGGTTTAATTGACTTCACAGTTCAGCATGGCTGGGGAGAACTCAGAAAACTGACAATCATGGTGAATGCTGAAGGGGAAGCAAGGCACCCCCTTCACAAGGCGGCAGGAAAGAGAAGTGCCAAGCAAAAGGGGAAGACCCCTTATAAAACCATCAGATTTTGTGAGAACTCATTCACTGTCATGAGAACAGCATGGGGGAAACCACCACCATGATTCAATTACCTCCACCTGGTCACTCCCTTGACACAGGTGCATTATGGGGATTATAATTCAAGATGAGATTGAGTGGGGACACAAAGCTTAACTGTATCACTCTGTTATACATATATTATCTCATATCATCATCATAACTACCACATTATATAGGCATTAGCCCGATTTTACAGATTTGAAGACTACTGAAACTTAGAGGAGTTAAGTAACTTCCCAAAGATCACACAACGAACAAGCAGAAGAACCAGAATTAAAATCTGGATCTTGCTTTCTTGGAGGTTGGGCCTCCCTCCCTGCAGCCAGTGCATATCTGGAGAGCCCCCTCTCCCACTAGGAGATGGACACAGTGATATGCCTAGGATCTTGCTGATCCCCAAACCACTTCAATGATATGAGAGAGAGTGACGGGCTTGAGATCACGGAGTGTGAAGAATAAACTTTGGTCTTTATCTAACACTGGTCTTGCCTCAAGATGAGGAAATCCAACACCCATAAGTTTTTTCACTATGTGTTGGCACTGTGTTAAGAACTTTACATTTAAAAATTTACTAAATCTTTGCCATTAGGTAGGCACTATTAGTATTTCCATTTTAGAGATGAGTAAGTGGAAACTCAGAGGTAAAGTGAAATCTGCAAATTCCCACAGGTACTAACTTAAGTGGCAGAACTATTACTTGGGTGGATACCTGTCTGACTCCTTTACAACCTTACACATTCAGATATCAGTTCAACCCTCACAGGTAATTGGAATGTAAACAAGCATAATGACACATCACATTTTGTGCATACTCAAGTTCCTCCTCTGTAAAGGAAGGATAATAACTTCCAAGCTATAAGAAGTCTTGGGTAAGGTTAAATTACACAATCTAAATCAATGAACACATCAATCAACTACTTTCAGTGATCCTGAAATAAATGTTCTGTTCCTTTTGAATATATGCCATTTCAATCACTCATTCATTCATTAACAAATGTTCATTGAGTGACTCTACGTAAGCAGACTACAATTCACTGTGTTAGTAAATAAAGCCTGTGCAGATGATTGGAAAACTTATATTTCAGTTCCCCTCTCCCTTACCTGAGCAGAGGAGATTAGGCTAAAGAACATTCTCACTTTTTATTAAATAAAAGAATGAATAATATTCTGAAAGCTATGCTTGAGAGACAGTACAGTGTAGAGAAGGGGTGGTGGACAATAAAGTAAGATACTTTCGGCAAGTTATTGAAACTTTCTGTTTTATTTTCCTTATCTGTAATATGTGAATGAAAACGAAGTGCATTGTAGTGGGAATTAATGAGTTAATACATCTGAAGCACTTCGAAGAGTGAGTGACAAAAAGGTAATTGCTCTCTCTGTCACCTATTAGAGCTACTGCCTGGGTTTTAGACCCAGCGCTGCCATTTTCATGACATGTGATCTTGAGCAAGTGACTTCTCTTTTTCGAGTTTCAGTGTCTCTGGCTAAAAACTATATTGATAAACCTTAAAAAGTACTCACTGAGCAATTACTCTTTGCCAGAGATTCTTCTAAGCACTGGAGATAAGGTCACAAATAAGATATACAAGGCCCTTGCCCTGATAAACTTGGCATAATTAGAAAGACAAAATAAGCAATGAGCATATAAACAGTGAACTACTTTCTTATGAAATGTGTACAAACATAACAAATCCAGGATGATGCAGGAGAGAATCAAGGGTTGGGAGTTGGAAGAAACTTTCCATAGGGAAGATCCCTCCTTAACCCCAAGAAATTTTTGTTGAGA
Organism: Homo sapiens; assembly: GCF_000001405.40. Taxonomy (NCBI): domain Eukaryota; kingdom Metazoa; phylum Chordata; class Mammalia; order Primates; family Hominidae; genus Homo; species Homo sapiens. The sequence continues at coordinate 55,142,778 of NC_000020.11, read as the reverse complement.
CAAATGATAAGATGAAGACAGCCATGCAAAAATCTGGGAAAAGACCATTCAACCGGAGGAAACTGCAGGTGCAAAGGACAAGCAAACAGGTATTTTGCTTTGTAAAAAGAAAGCCAAAGTGTGAAGCAAGCTTAAATTTACCTCCTTCTTCTTCCAGTTTCTATTGTATATATTCAAAAAATCTCCAAGCTTTAAGATGTAATTGACAAAATAGTGTGTATATATATATATACCTTTATATATATATATCTTTATATATACCTTTATATATGTATATCTTTATATATATACACACACACACACACACATATACGTGTATATACACAAATATATATATATATATATATATATATTTTTTTTTTTTTTTTTTTTTTTTTTTTTTTTGAGAGAGATTCTCACTCTGTTGCCCAGGCTGGAGTGCAAGTGGTACAATCTCGGCTCACTGCAACCTCCACCTCTCAGGTTCAAGCAATTCTCCTGCCTCAGCCTCCCGAGTAGCTGGGATTACAGGCATGGACTACCACACCCAGCTAATTTTTTTGTATTTTTAGTAGAGACAGGGTTTCACCATGTTGGCCAGGTTAGTTTCGAACTCCTGACCTCAGGTGATTTGTCCACCTTGGCCTCCCAAAGTGCTGGGATTACAGGTGTGAGCCACTGCGCCCAGCCAAATGATTTATATTTATGGTGTACAATGTGATGCTTTGATGTATGTATGCAGTTTGAAAAAATTAATTCAAATGAATAAATATATCTACCACCTCACATACTTATCTTTTTTTGTGGTGAGAACATTAAAGATCTACTGTGTTAGCAACTTTAAAGTTTACAAGATATTATCATTAACTAGCATTACCATGCTGAACAATAGGTCCACAGAACTTGTTCATTCTAACTGTAAGTTTATTTTTCACATTTTAATACTAAAAAAATTATAGCAATTTTGCAGTATTTATTGAAGGTAAAGTGAGACAATGTAAATAAAATATCAATTATGGGATTTGGATATATTAAGTGCTCAGTGTATGTTTTCACCCTCCCCTTAGTTTGGGTTGGTGTTAATAACTCATCGTCCAGCCTAGAAATGGCACATACTACACCTACATTTTACAGAGAACAGGCTGGTATGGTGCTTTTTTTTATTTTGTGAGTACCACTTATTAACATGCTAGGAGGGAAGCTAAATGACTGAAATCTCTTTGTGATTTGTCTTTCCAATCCTGTTCTGATTTAAAGGTTTAATTCCCAACCCTGTCATCATCTCCTTTTTAAAGTTTCTTGCTTAAACTGGCACAAAGTCAAATGCTTCTAAAAAATGAATAGGTACCAGAGAAAATAAAATTAGATGTCAGTGCATTAAACCTTTTTCTCTTCATGGCTGGTCATCACAAAATATCATAAAATCTGTCATAATAAAGGGCAATACCTTATAAATGAGCTGAAGAGGCATAAAAGGATGAAGATAATTTATGTTCAATCAGCCAATGGGATGAGCAAGTTGTTCCTTTGACAATACTCAACTTTTTGTTGTTTATGGACAGGTGAGTGTAACACAGAAAGAGCTCAGGAAGAAAAGCTAAAGAATAGTGAATTAACCATGTATGCAATGATTCCAGATTGACCTGTGACTTAGGAAGAATTAATACTTTATCTTTAGGGTTCAAAAAAGCCATCATCTGGCATTTCTGTTAATCTCTACATTTCAACACCTCTTGAAAAGTCATGGTATTGAATGCTTTCAATTTTAACATCATTTTGCAATGCCTAACAATAGGTAACAATATCTCACTCATGCTTTTATTGTGATTCGTCTGATAATGGCAGTAATAACCACTTATTGAGTGGTAGCCACATGTCAGGAATCTTATGAAAGACCTTCACATTTTTGGCACAGAGAGCAATGACCGCCCACTCTCTTATTTGTTCCCCTGCACCTGCTAACTTGATGACAGTTGGGCAAAGCCACATGACTAGTTCTGGCCAACAGCTGTGATGTGGGTCACATCAGACTAGACAGTGAATATAGGCAGCTCTCCAGTTGCTTTCTTTTTCCCTACGTGCAGGGGACTCTTCAGCTGTGAGAGCCTTAATCAGCCCAAGCCTGTGAGTTATTATATGGGGCAGAAGCTCTGCCAACTGTATTAAACATGAGACATAGTGACAAATAAATCTTTGTTGTCTTAAACCACTAAAGTTTGAACACTCAAATGTTACTGAAGCATAACCCAGCCTGTCCTGACTAATATAATAATATAAGATAATTGAATTCCTCCAAACAGCCTTGAGGAAAGCACTGTGCCAATCTCTTTTACAGAAGAAGAAACTGAGGCACAACCAGTAACTTACTGAGACTTAAACCGTTGTTAAGTGGAGAAGCTTAAAACTGATACCAAATGTGAGGTTATAGAAACTCAATTCCTTGAAAAGTGATAGGATGATATTTATTTCTAGATTGCCGTGGTTCAAATCTGGGAGCAGGCCAGAATTAAGAAATCTCGGATGGATTACTTAACCTCTTTAATCCTCACATTTTCTCAGCTAGAAAATGATGGCAATATTAGCATATGTCTAACCAAGTGTGTTATGAGAAGTAAGTAAGAGTGTTGATAGATGGTAAACGCATAGAATTGTGGTTGGCATATAAAGTTCAATTATTACAGCTTTTGTTAACCATATCTATCAAAGGACCAGAAATAAATCATTTTTCAAAGGAGAACATTCTTATGTGCTGGAATCCCAAGCCTCTATTATGTTACAAATTATGCAACTGAGGCCCCAAAAGTTTACTAAGTTCTTCAAGGCCACAAAACAGAAGAAAACCCAGGCCTCATTTCTTCACAGTCTAATGAGTTTTCCACTTCATTTTTCCCACTCTAATGAGGTCAAAGTAGAGGAAGAAGACAGGGATAAAAATTTTTCATCATTTTCAAACTGATCTGCATACGGTTGGTTTCTTCCTCTTTCCAAAAGTGCTGATGAGCACCTTGCTTATCATCTTAAACAGTGCAGTTTTATGAAATATAGCAGACCAATGGAAAGCTACACTCAAACTAATGAAGGAATTAATTGTTGCTGGCTTGAAGGCAATGCCCTCTTCTCCGTATGTCTTCAGTGTGGCATTTTAACACCCAGAGAGTTTTGCTGGCTATGTTAAGGTAGTGGTAAGGTAGTGGAAGTTCAGCATCCCAAATAATGTAGTCTTCTTTAAGAAAAGACAGAAGGGAGGGAGGGAGGGAGGGAGGGAGGAAGGAAGGAAGGCAGGAAAGGAGGAAAGGAGGCGGCAAGGGCAGGGAAGGGAAGGAAAGGGAAGGGAAGGGAAGGGAAGGGAAGGGAAGGGAAGGGAAGGGAAGGGAAGGGAAGGGAAAGGAGAAAAAGAAGAGAATGAAACCAAGGATGAAAAGAAAGAAAAGAGAGAGAACAATACTACTGTCACTGATGCTCTTCTGTAGTGACAATGTACCTTCTAGTCTGATGTTGGAGACAAATCTCTAACGGCAGCTGTTACATTGCTGTTGTGGGCGTTTAAACACTTCAAAGATACATTAAATCTTTACTATACCTGTAGTTATGTAAGTGACATAAATTAAAGAAAATTTTCTTTGGCAAATACTGTAACACTTGTGAGTTGCCTGCTTCTATTTTTTCTCTTTCCTGGTATTAGCTGCTCAAAAGATTGCAAAGAATTTACTTCATAATATAGCATTTTATTTTACTTTTTTCCCCAAAATTAGTCTACTGCCTGTTTCATCATGTTGACAGCCTGTTTCTCCATGTCTGGGAGCCTTCCCTAAAACTATCATCACACACTATCTGTTTAGATTTATATAAACAAAGAGACAGCTATTAGACACCTGGAATAATGGAAGATTTGAGCTGAACCCTGTTCAATCTCTCATTTTCTTCTTTCAGCTGCTCCCGCAGCTGACATTTACCACTGGTGAAGTTGACATTGTTCGGAGAAAACTTGATTTCAAAACTGATTCCCAAACTATGGTAAAAGCATTACTTGGATCCCTGGTATGTGATAGGGTCTATTTTGAGAAGACATTTGAAAAATGATGAAAAAAGTTCACACTAAATTCACACAAGACTTGAGCCTCATAAAATAGTCAGAATGACAGCTAATCAGTTGTTTAATTGTTAACTTTTCTCCTATGTGTCCTGATATAGTATAAATGCATAGAGTTCCTTGATTCAAACATGTTGATCCATTCACTTACCAGTTATTCACAGAAGCCCTGCCAGATACCAGACACTGAATTAGTCTCTTTAGATTTAAAGTAAGAGAGAGCTACCTGACTTTGTGAAGCCCTCATTCTAGAGAAAGAGAGACTGATAAGGTATAAAACCATAGTTTGTTCATTCAAAAAGTAGTTAATATGATGGCAGGAATCAAATAAGGCAGAGTAATTATAAAATGATAAAAGTTGTTAAGGAAGAGTCAATTAAGGGCTCTGTAAGGAGGAATGTTTGAGTGGAAATCATGAAAAGGATGCATGAAGGGCTCAGGAACACATAGGACCCCTAAGGAACAGGATGGGTTAAGCCCCAGGATAGGGCTATGGGATGGAATCAACAGAATCAGTGATGTGGTTGGCAGTTACACCTATTTCACCTGCTGAGAGCTCCCCGCCTCCTTTAATTTAGCGAGGTATGTGAAATGAGCTCAAGTTGAAATTCAGATTCTGGGTGTTTTGAGAACTGTGGTTTATTTGATAGAGATTACATATTAGGTAAGTTGTTTGCCCATTGTTCATTCATTCAGCAAATATTTCTGAATGTGTACTCTGTCCTAAACTCTATAGTTGTGTCTCTCCAAAAGTGCATGTGTGGCCCCTTATGGGATCTTTAAAAATGCAGATTCTGGACATGCAGAGGAAGGATTAAGGAGCCTAAGTCTCTTTACGTAAAATCTGGGAAATGAAATCTTTGAACAATATGCCTAAAGGTGGTTCTTCTTTACACAGAAGCCTGGGATCCACTGAGCAATAACATATTTTTCGTTCATTTGGGAAGAAGAAGGAATCCATGAAATTAGTGGAGGGATCTGCAGACTGGAGTTTTAAAAGGCACACAGTAAATATTGCATGCATGAACTGGAGTCCAATCATATCTCACCCACCAACTCATCTGTGGTTGTGGGTAAGTTACTTCTGAAATTCAGTTTCCTCAATTTAAAAATGGGGTAATATTGTTACCTATACATTTGTGTGGTTGTATGGCTAAAAGGAAATGATCCATCTTAGCATCTGGCATATAGTAGGCATTCAATAAATGCTTGTTTTTGCCATTTCAATTTTTCCTAGAACTCTCCCTGTTTACGTTCATTGACAGAGTGTTAAAGAGAGATGTTAGAGGAAATATAACACACACACAAATTACATAAGAATATTAGGCTGTAAAAGTTAGGATATAAATAAAGGGAACATTACTGGTAATAAATATAACTCTTCAGTTATCTTAAAAAGTCACTGCTTTAGAGACCCGCCTAAATATATGACTCCACTGTATGGTAATTTCAGGATTTGGGATTCAGAATTTAGCCAAGTCAGTAGCATATAGAGTAAGCTCTTACCATTTATCAAAGCAGTTCAAAACTCTGCCCAAAATAAATAAATATAATTTAACTTTATAATGTAAAAAATCAACCTTATGTTAGTATTTAGTAACTTTCCAAGACTCAGCACATTTTCCATTGCCATCTTACTTGTTTCCTTGATTATTTTATAACCTTAAATTGTCTCTATTTAATAGTAGGTAAATAAAATTGAATTTATAAAAACAAACAGAAAAAAAGTGGCTAGAAACGCCATAGGGTCATTTCACAAACCTGAGTTACATAATTGGTCTTCAAAATCTCTCCATATAACCATCTGGAAACATGTGTCTAACACCATACAAAATCATAGCCGTCTTTCATCCATGGTGCGGAAGGAGCAGGGAAAAAGGAGAGGTGCACCCCCAGATGAGCACCACCTTCTCCTGTCTCACCCAGATCAGATAAGACCATCTCCATTTTAAAGCTAACACCACTCAAATCCATAGTTTACTAAACTACCACAGGATTATTTAAAATCCCCATATGGCCATCCCATTGCCTAGCATAATACGATTTAACAATGATAGCAAATAACTTATGAGCATGCACGGGAACTCAAAAAGGCAAATGGAAATGTGGTAGGACTCAAAGCTGCAGCTTCAGATTGGCACTGTTACTTCCACCCACATACCTTTGGCCAAGAAAGTCATGTGGCTAAGCCCACTGGGAAAGAAAAAAATGCTTTGTGCCCACTGCCTTAAATGTGGCTCTGATAGAAGCCACCTGATAAGCTTCTCCACACCAAGCTGGCACCACCACTTCAAAAGTGCCTCAGCCAGGCATTAACAATACTGTGAGGTATAAATTTTCCAAGCAGACTCCAATTCTCATATAATGGAACTATTAAAAGGCAAGCAGGGTAACCCAAGCAAAGAGGCTGAAGTAAAATATGCCAACCACCTGTCAGGCTAAAGAACATGGCAAGAGAAGGAAGGGTCTGCAGCCAGCAGGGTATCAAGCAGGTTATGACATCCATAGAGTGCCATTGGGAAGGCCGCCCAAGTCAAGTTCAAGAAGTCACTGGCAGAAGACTTCTGCATCAGATTCCAGAAGATTATACAATAGTCAGAGGCCACCAGCCTAAGGCTGTCAGACGTTGGCTGGCACACAACCAAGAAGAGTTCAGCTACTTCTTCACTTAATTTGTCAAGTACACACACGTTCCCACTCTCTAAACCTGTATAAAATCTTAGAGCAAGAAGCCAGAAGAGGCTGAGGTTAATTAAGAGATGAAGTGATCTGAGCCAAACAAAAGTTTATTTGCTAAATAGGCCATTTAAATATTCATATAAAATTATACACTTCGTTTTGGGGATTTGGACAGACAGAAAATCAGTTATAAAGAAAACAAATTAGGTATATTTCCCACTAAAAAGCCTAGTTGTGGTGTGAAAGAATTTGGTTGTCTTACAACTAATGAATTATTCTGTTAATATCTTACATTATTTCTGTGATAAGTACTCTTATAATTAATATAATTTGTATATGAGGAAGCGAGGTGTAGGGTTAAGCATCTGCCAGAGTGTTTGGTTACAAAGAACAGAATTCATTCAAGATGGTTAGGCAGAAAAAAAACTAACACATGGAAGAGAATTTTTGGAAGACCATGAGGAATAGGCTCTTAGCTAAACTTCCAAGAGAAACTAACAGAACCACACATCATGCTACCCTTTCTGCGATCAGAAAGCTGCTTCTCCCACTCCCAATCACAGAATCCCACAGCCTCTTCAATCTTCCAGATCACCAAAGTGAATACTGCATGCCCTGATTATTTTCTCGTGGAATTAATATCCAAAATCAAATTTCTCAGAGTTTGATTGGTGAGCCTAAATCATAAATAAATTCCTTAACAATAAGAAAAGATATATGTATATTGTACATTGTAAAGGCAGGAATTGCACTGCGGGAAATTATTAAAATGTGGAATCCTCAAAAATTATGATTACCCACAATGAAAAATGCTCATGACTGTAACTTGCCTCCGACTGTAATGTTTCCACCTAGGGATTTCAACAATACAGCCCGTGAGCAGGTTTCACTATGATCGGACGCTGACAACCCTTGTAGCCATGGCTCATATCTGCCCCTGTCTACAGGAAAGTGGCCGTTTTCCCATAAGCCATGCTTATGGTAATACTAGGAATGCCTTCTTGCTTTTGGTAATATTAGGAATGCCTCACTACCACCTCCCACACCAAACATGGATTTTTTTTTTTTTTTTTTTTGCCTAAAGTTTGTGCAACCTTTAGGGTTCATGTCTTCCAGGAAAGTTCACCTCCTTCAGGAAGGGTTAAGTGTTCTATCTTTCTGTGTTTATTTTCTTTTCCTTTTTTTTTTAATACTTTAAGTTCTGAAATACGTGCACAGAACATGCAGGTTTGTTACATAGGTAAACACATGCCATGGTGGTTTGCTGTACCCATCAACCTGTCATCTACATTAGGTATTTCTCCTGATGCTAACCCTCCCCTAACCCCCCCATCCCCCAACAGGCCCCAGTGTGTGATGTTCTCCTCCCTGTGTCCGTGAACACATCTTTCTGTGTTTCTTTTTTTTTTTTTTTTTTTTTTTTTTTGAGACAGAGTCTTGCTTTGTCGCCTAGGCTGGAGTGCAGTAGCATGATCTCGGCTCACTGCAAGCTCTGCCTCCCGGGTTCATGTCATTCTCCTGCCTCAGCTTCCCGAGTACCTGGGACTACAGGTGCCCGCCACCTTGCCCGGCTAATTTTTTGTATTTTTAGTAGAGACAGGGTTTCACCATGTTGGCCAGGATGGTCTCGATCTCCTGACCTCGTGATCCGCCCACCTCGATCTCCCAAAGTGCTGGGATTACAGGCGTGAGCCACCGCGACCAGCCATCTTTCTGTGTTTCTATAATGTGGTTAAGTATATTCTGTCACTTCCCTTCTGGGTTATTTTCTAATAATGTGTGTGTGCGTGTGTGTGTGTGTGTGTGTGTGTGTGTGTGTGTGTGTGTGTGTGTTCCAAATGCAGATTGAGATCTTTGAGGAAAAAGGGTAATGCATTTCTTTAAAATTATTTTTATTCTCAAATCTGATTCTAGTGTTTGACATATGATGCTACCCAATCAATATTACTGAAAGAACTATATGGAACTTCAATATTGCTTCTGAACATGGTTTGAAAACATCAGGCTAGGAAGGAATTATAGAGGTCTTTGGGAGGTGATTAGGTCATGAGGACTCCACTCTCATAAATGGGATTAGTGCCTTTATAAAAGAGGCTGGAGGAAGCCATTCTGTCCTTCTCCCATGTGAGAATTCGGTGAGAAGCCATCACCGTTCAAGCAGAGAAGGAGCCCTCACCAGACACCAAGTCTGCTGGTGCCTCAATCTTGGACTTCTACACTCCCATAATGGTGAGCAATACATTTCTGTTGTTTGTAAATATTACCCAGCCTAAGGTATTTTGTTATAGCAGTCCTAAACCCAAATGGACAAACATGTTCACTCTACCAAAATAAAACATGTCTCAGGTGAAGAAACTAAGACACAGACATTATTTCATTTAGTCGCTGTGGAATGGACCTGTAGGCAGTAGGGACAAATACTTAATCTTTCAATAAACAGCCTCTTCCATAATCCTGGCTACATTCACATGATTAATTTGTGGACCTTCGCATTTTCAGAAGATGTCTTCCCCTGTGTGTGTGTGTGTTTCACTCCACATGCTTTTCCTACAACATGACTGGCTCTCCTCCAACCAAGGATCAGGATAGCTGTTTCTTTCTCTTGAATTTTCTCAGGTGCATGTTACTGCTCTGTCCAATAGAGCATGATACAAATGATGCTATGGAACTTCCGAGGCTAGGTCATATTGTGGACCTAGCTCTCTCTCGCTGACATACTACTTTGGAACCCAGCCACTGAATTGTGGAAGCCCCAGATTAGACCCTGGAAACCCTAGCTGAAGTTTCAGCCAAGAACTAGCACCAGACACCAGAAGTGTGGGTGAGCACGCCTTTGGACAATTCCAGCCCCTAGTTGATACTAAGTGGAGCAGAGACACATTCCAGCACTGAGCCTTACTGAAATTGCAGGCTCATGAGCAAAATAAATGCCATTTATTACATGGCCAAAATAACATAGGAATTCTACTCATATCAACATTACCTCACTTTATCCAAAATGAATGGTTATCAGAACCCAAAAAGGAGTTGTGACATAATTAAAGGGATCTGAAGACATCATCTTATTAATGCCCTAAAGTTACTTGATTCCAAGCTCCAAGTTACTCACGTTCTTAGATTGATTTAATTGTTCCTCCCTTCCCCATAAAGTTTACATACTGCTATTATAGCAACAATCACCTTGTATCCTCTGTGGCAGTTGCATTTCTGTTTATTCCCACCGGAATATACTCTTCAAGGATAACAAGTAAAATTTTCATTCTACGCCATCAAGCATAAGGCTTAGAATATAAGGGCACGAACTGCTGAGTCACTTACAAAATACGGGTAGTCCTAAAGCTGAAATCTCTTCACCAGAGCAGAAGATTTGAGGAGTGCGGTTCTGAAAAGAATATGCTGAAGGGTCAGAAACAGGTGGGTCGAATCCCAGTTTTTCATCTTGGCAGCTATGTGGCCTCAATAATGCAATTTAAGCCTTATATGCCCCAGTTTAATCATCTGTTAAATGGGGTTAGCAATAATAGCTCATACTGTTGATCATGAGAAGGATATATGACAAGACATTTACAGTTCTTTGTAACTTATTTGGGACCTACCAAAGAAAATATTATAAGTAGTGTGTTAATGTACACACAGAAACATTAACTTGTGAGTTCCACAGATCTTGGGGGTTTCATAAGAAGATTACTGAGAAATCTAAATAACCCAGTATATAAAACTCTGCATAGCAAAATACCTGATACATAGTAAGATGTCCGTAAGTATTAATTATCAATGTCATTACTTTATGTATCACATATACTGATATTTATCCAAGCGTCAATCTTGCCTTCTTTCTCAATAATAAAATTTCAATTTTTGTTTGTGGAGACAGTGTATCCAGGTAAAAAGGGCATTTTGCAGTCTTCCTCGCTGTTTATGATGGCCAGGTAATTCAGTTCTCTTCAGTGCAGATGTCTCCTGGGGACTTTTTGGGAAAAGTAGTAATCTCATATTCTGTGTGAAAAGGCAACACATCCAGCCCAAAGTGTATGCTATCAGTCTCACTTGTAGTTAAGGGTGGCTGTGAAATACAATTCTGTCAATTTGGACATATCACATTTCTCCTGGGTATCTGAGAAAAATTTGCCTTTCCTGACATGGACACCCCTTCTTCCTTACTATATCCAGCTTATTTCTACTCAAAGTGTGCCATAGCTTGGGTAACTCGGGCAGCAGACTCTGCGACTGAGATTAGTATGCAGAGAGCTTGTTAGGAGTTCTCATAGGATCAAAACTTGAGGAGCAAAGAAAGGAGAGTATGATTGGGCACAGGAGGGAAGAGGAGAGGTAATGCAGTGTGAACAGAAAGTTCAGACAAAGCTACAAGGCGCTCTCGAGATAAGATGACCCTTCAGTATTATTCCATGTTGCACAAAAAAGACTGAGCTCTATGCCAATCACTTATTGGATGATGCCATTTCAGAAAATGGGCATGGCTTTGAGCTAAGACAATTCTTGTGAGGGGCTGACATCTGAGCACTTTAGGCTTGCAGTCCCCCAGAATGGAAAGCTGAGCAGAGCCTCACAGCCTCACAACATCCAGAGTGACTGAAATATGAGGCTGGAGGTCCAGCAGCCATATTGAAAGGGTGAGGCAAGGCCAGGTGCGATGACTCATGCCTGTAATCCCAGCACTTTGGGAGGCCGAGGTGGGCAGATCACCTGAGGTCAGGAGTTCGAGACTAGCCTGACCAACATGGTGAAATCCCGTCTCTACTAAAAATACAAAATCAGCCGGGCGTGGTGGCAGACACCTGTAATCCCAGCTACTCGGGAAGCTGAAGCAGGAGAATTGCTTGAACCCAGGAGGCAGAGTTATAGCGAACCGAGATCATGCCATTGCACTCCAGCCTGGGCAACAAGAGCGAAACTCCGTCTCAAAAAAAAAAAAAAAAAAAGAAAAGAAAAGAAAAGAACAGGGTGAGGCAAACAAGTGGAGATGACAGCCATATGCTAAGCCTGGGTGGGCAGAAAGACAGGAGGATCTTGAGACACTGATAATATTGTGAAGTCATTTCACCAACCCTGGACTCTAGGTTTCTTATTATGCCATAAATGTAACTTACTATTTTCTGCAATTAATATATATATATATATATATATATATAAAATACATTAATGTTATCATTTTTTGCCAAAAACACATGTATAATAGGGAAAAGAAAAATATGAGTATATTTGCCAGTATTTTATTTTCCAAGATCCACTCTATGTCTCTCTCCTTGCAGGCAATAGTTTGTGTAGATACTAATATACTATTAATAATATCTTTTTACTTCTCTGAGAAGTCCTCAAAGTCTCTCTCCATTGCGACTACTCAGCACCCATGGTATGCCACATGCATGTCAAAGATCGTGTATATTTCCTTTTGCACTTTTTTCTGTACTCACTCTTGTACTCCCTTATTGTTTCCTGTGTATCAGCCAGGTCTTCCCCCAATTCTACCACTGTAAGTCATCTGAGAACAGGTTTTATATCACAGATTAAATTTGTGCCTTCCTCAGCTTAAATGTATAGCAATATAGAGTATATAAAAGTGATTGATCAATGTTTGTTGTAATAAACTACAGCTTTAATAGCACAATTGTAAATATATGTTAGATCTTCAATAATATGATAAGTAATAAGGTATTCTGTCTCTTAAAAGAAACAGAATAAAAGGAGTATAGAATTAGATCGTTTAATCCCCTTGGAGTGAGCCTTCATTTAATGAAAGCAGGCTGTATTTGGGCACCCTACTCCCCTCTCCTGGGGCCTAAACCATCCAGACTGAATATTGTGCTTTGTTTCAAATGCCCTTTGAGAGCAAAAGGAAATCAAAGGCAATGACCCGATGTGCTCTATAAATGATCAGTACAGAGTTCTCATCAGTAGTGAATAATGCACAGACAACAAGGAGGGGTGGGGAGAACATTTGCTTCGTACATATGTATGGAGGGTGGCTACTCCGCAAGGGTCCAAGGACAAAGTGCTATAAAGACCTTCAGACAGTGCCCTTGGCCTGCCTTTTCTCAACTGTTCCTTTTAAACTAGATATGAGAACTTACCAGATGACTCTGAGTGCCTAAATTTGTAAGTGAACAAGGCAGAAGGTGAACAGCAGGGTGCCTACTTCAGTACAGGGGCAGCCAAGGACAAATAGCCTGAAGCTTTTGATCGTGATATCAACAGCAGCAAACCAATAATCTTTAGCCAAAACCCATTTGCCAATCTCGCTTGCCAATTTTATTAGCCCATTTCTGCAGAAAATATGGTCTGAAGTGACGCTTCCATGCTAAGGATTTTTTGGGAGGTATAATGGTTGAGAAGAAAAAAGGGAAGAAAGAGAGAGAAAGGAAATCCAAACTGGCAAGTAAGTTTTCAAAAACAAAATATGTCAGATAAAGAAATCAAGCAAAATGGGTCAGATGTAGAAATTAAGAAGGAGTACTGTAGATTTCCTGAATGTCTTGTCATAGTTTAAAATTTTAATCTTCCCACCCTTCAAAAGCTATACTTAGAATATTTGGCATGTGGCTTTTAGTTTAGGGTTAAGGAAGCCTGTCCAGAGAAATCTGAGTCCTACAATAGGGGAAGAATTTAGTGATAGATCTGGGAGAGAAAGAAGAAACCAAGAAGACTGTCACTTTTCTGGATGCCACATTCTGGTGCTCAATACAAAATCTCCTTTTACAAGACATTATATATATAATATATATAATATACATATATAAAGATATATGTCATATATAAAGTACATATATATTTATATATAATACATATAATATATAATATATATAAAATACATATATAATGCATATGTTATAATACATAACATATAAATACATATATTTTATGTGTATTAGACTGATATATACATATTAGAGTGATATTATACATAAGATATTATGTGTAATATATATTCTATATGTTATTTATATGTAATTATATATTATATAATATATAAAATACATATGTGTATGTTACATACACATATACATGTGTGTTTTATATATTAAAGTGATATATATGAGTGTTATTATATATTTATTTTATATATTTCATATATATATATAAATATATATATATATATTAGAGTGATTGCCTAATCAAGTATACAAACTGGCCAAATTGTGATGATTAATATTGATTTGCTACAGTTGATACTATCATAATCCAAAACATTATGCTATTTGGCATAATATTTTTAAAGTGCTGAAAGAAAGTAACTATCAACCTAGAATACAAGCCTAACACCCCTTAAAAATAAAGATGCATACTTTTACTTTCACCAGTGGCACTTTTACTTTCACCAATAACACATTTACTAATTCAAATCAACCCTCCTACTGAGGATGATAAGAGTATGTCCAACAAAGGACTCGTACCCAGAATATAAACTCTTAATTAAAAAAAATTCAATTAGAAAATGGAAATAGGACTTGAACAGGCACATTACCAAAGGGAATAATAGATGGCAAATACACACATGAAAATATTTTCAAGATCATTATTCATTAGGGAAATAGAAATTAAAGGCACAATGGGATAACGTTACATACCTAGTATAATAGCTAAAATTAAAAGACAAATATTGAATGCTAGCAAGGATGTAGAAAATTTTAACCTATTGACTGTCTCTTTCCTTTTTCAGCTGCATTTTTCTATTAAGTTGACCCATTGTTTTTTAAAATTTCAGATATTATATTTTTCAGTTTTAGAATTCTCATATGGCTGTTTTTAATAGCTTTTGTTTCTCTTCCAATATTTCCTATCTTTTCATTACTAGAAGCAAATTTTATTTATTTTATTAAGCAAAGCTATCATAGTTTTTATTACCCTTTTGAAAAACAACATCTGGGTCATCTTGGGGTTGATCTCAGTTGAATGTCTTCTAAAATTGAGCAAATTTGAATTGTATCCAGCATGTTGTGAGACTCCGAAATTTGCTATTTTTCTTTCTTTCCTTTTTTTTTTGAGATGGAGTCTCCCTCTGTCCCCCAGGCTGGAGTGCAGTGGTGTGATCTTGGCTCACTTCAGCCTCTGCCTCCCAGGTTCAAGCGATTCTCCTGCCTCAGCCTCCCAAGTAGCTGGGACTACAGGCACGCCCCGCCACACCTGGCTAATATTTTTTTGTATTTTTAGTAGAGATGGGGTTTCACCATGTTGGTCAGTCTGGTCTCAAACTCCTGGCCTCAAATGATCCACCCTCCTCAGCTTCCCAAAGTGCTGGGATTGCAGGCATGAGCCACGGTGCCCAGCCTGTTATTTTTCTTGAAAGGATGTTCATGTTCTGTTTCAGCAGATAATTAATCTGGTAGGGCTTAAATTGCAAGCTGTTTCTGAGGCAGCAGGCTAAATTTTAGTTTAATTCTTTTATTTTTAGGTATTCTTGTACAAGCACATGTGTTTCAGGGAACAGCCAGAGATTTACGGAGAGGGAATTTCTGCATAGAATTTGGAGTCAGCCTTCTTTGACTGGTGTATTAGTTTGCTGGGCCGCTGTAACAAAGTATCACAAACTGGGTGGCTTAAACAACAGAAATGTATTGTCTGGAAGCCAGAAGTCCAAAATCAAGAAATGAGCAGGGTTGGTTCCTGCTGAGGGGTGCAAGAGAGAGTCTGTTACATACTTCTCTTCTAAGTGATTCCTCACTTAGAAGATGATTCGCCAGCTGGAGATTCATCAGCAATCTTGGTGTCCATGGCTTGTAGATACATTGCTCCAATCTGTGCTTTCATCTTCACATGGAGCTCTCCTTGTGGCTTCACATGGTCTTTTCTCTGTGCATATCTGTCTCTGCATCCAAATTTCCTCTTTTCATAAGGACACCAGTCATATTGGATGAGGGTATACCCTAATGACCTCATTTAAACTTTATTATCTGTGTAAAGACCTTATTTTCAGATAAGATCACATTCAGAGGCAATGAAGGTGAGGACTTTAACATACATATTTTTAGGAGACACAATTTAACCCATAACAGATGGATAAAGCACAAAGGGCCATGTGAACTGGTCCTTTAAAGCCCTAGAAGCTGCAAAAATCAACCCAGGAGGGAGCTGGAGGAAGGCTTTGCCATTTTAACTTCTCTCTGCTACAACGTGGCAGAAGAACAGCAGTCAAGAGGTAGTAGAGCAAGGTAGAAAAAGACTAGATCATGCCCCTGTTCCCTCTTTAAAACAAATCTGGCCTTTTGCAGAAGGAGCAAAAGGCAGAAAGTATCATGACAAAAAACACTCAGTTTTCAAATTGGTGTTCCTAAAGTAAATGTTTCTATTTGTATATCAAAATAGTGTATCTATTGTGTGAAGAATCTACTTTGACCACAAGAATTCAATTTTTTGATGCAGTAATTCATTTCAGTACTAATTATAAATCTGATTTTGCACACAGATTGTAATTAGCCTCATATCTTTAAATGGTTACCAAAAAGGTGTTTAGGAGAATATTGCTAGAATTTTTGTTCCAACCCAATAACAAGTAATTTACTTCCCAAGTTAATTTCCCCTTTGTTTTTAGCCTGAATATAGAGGGACAAAAGGAAATGTAATTCCCTTTGATACATGAAACACATTTACTTAGCTTGGGCCTTGACAAACCTTCATTAAGATCTGTGATTTAAAGATGCCACAAGCCTCTTGACAAGTGTTAGCTGAATTTACAGCATTCTATCAGATAATACTGAAACGTAAGGTGCATTATTATCATTTCAGAGGAAATATTGAAACACTCAGATATAATTGATAACTTATTTCCTTGGGAGTCACCTGTAATTAACATTCTCATAGGTAACTCCCTGAACACAGTGCTGTTGAGTTGAGATTTCCAAGAAAGAAGGACATTATGTATATCAAACTGCTTGGTCTACAAAGGTTCATTTGAGGCATCATAAACCCTAGAGTCAGAGATTCTGTAACTCAATATGAACAAATAAGAGAGAAACCTTGGATAAATTCAGAAACTGCAATGCAGCATCCTTAAGCAATTATGTCCTGAATTTCCCTAATTCCAGGAAGTTTTGATCCCTTTTCTTTATAATGAATACATTCAGCAAGAAGAGTATAAATAAACTACCTTTTGGACACTGTGTACACCAAAACATAAATGAAGTCAAAAGTGTTTGGCTGGAAAAAATATTTTACATAATAATATTTACCAATGAGAAAGTTCCATGCAATGCACACAAGGGGTAACTATTTTTGCTGGATGAAGTGACTAAAGGCTTCTATTTTTTGGGTGCTACATAATGAACACTACAGTCGGGAACTTCCTGGAAGGGCCCAAACTGTAATCTTCTAGTTGCAATTTGGAAGAAATGGATGTATTTTTTATATATCACATATTTAAATTAATAACGTTTTGGAGAACAGAGTTGGAGATTCTATTTGAAATAGCAAGAAAACATAACATTTTTCCTAGGAATGGTTATAACAAGCAATTACCTGATTGCTCTGAAAGAACCATGAAACTTTACAGAAGGTCATAAAAGAAAACTTGAATAAATGGAGAAATATATCATAGTCCTAAATATGAAGACTAAATGTTGCCAAACATGACATTCTTTCTAAATCAATGCGGGGTTTAATGCAATGCAATTAAAAATAGAGTGGACTATTCTTTTACCTTGGCAAAGTAATTCATAAGTTTATCTACCAGAGTAAATGAGCAGGAATATTGAAGGAAACTATGCAAAAGAATGATACTAAAATCAGGACTCCTTGTGTTAATGATATAAATTGCAAAGTACAGTAATGAAAATAGCGTGGTGTAAGTAATATTAATAGCTAATAGGAACTGAACCTCAGAAACAGACACAGGAATTTAATAAATAATAAATGTAGCATCACAGATTAGTTGGAAATAAATGCTAATTCGATTACAGAGAAGTTAAATAAATTTTGGAATAAAGGCTCAAACAGAGTTTTATGACAATTCTTAGCCAAAATAAAGATAAAATAGATATTTGATATATGAATGTATTAAATATAAAAACAAGTGTCATCAAGATTTTAGAAACTCTAAAGCTATATTCGTCTGATTTTCATAAAAGCAAAACTAAAATTAATCACTAGGAATACTCAGTACAATCTATTGTGCCAAAAATATTTTCTAATCAACAAACATGTAAGATTTGGAAGGCAAGGAGCATCTTTCTGACTTCTTGATGGTCTTGGGACAAAAGTCTATCACTCAGATTCTCCCAATTTCCCCTTACAAAGCCTTAGAAGCCACAGAAAATAACATTAAAAACCACGACAGCCAACTTATTACTAGAATCCTAGAGAAAATTTTACCAGGGTATTTAATTTGTAGAACTAAAATGTCAAACACAATTGGCAGCTGACCCTGAAACAAGCTTTGTTCTTTCAAAAAGAACAGGCTTCCTAGCCCAAATGACAGCAGAGTTTGGTGCAGGAGTGGTGCCAAATGACACTTAGCACGTCCCCCATGCCTGTCATTTATTCAGAAATCCAAAGTTGATGCCAAGCAGGACACCAGGCATTGCCCTCCACCCCGGCTCCTTGGATGGCCCTCCACCAAGCCCACTGTGATGAGACCGTCTTCCAGAGAACCACGGGAAATTCAAGAGAGGCAGCTGCCCATGTCTTTGCATCCCAGGAAATTCTGCAGTAGGGCTACTGAGGCCTTATTGTCATTTCTATGTAAGGAGGTCTTCATTATCCTATATTAATTATTATCAGAAAAAGTCATAATATAAAATAAGTCCATGGATAATAGGAAACAAATTTTCACAGTGTATGATAATGAAGTAATTTCATAGGGACTTTATCTTGTGAAATACAACCACAATGTATCAAGATAATGCATAAATGTTATAGTAGAAAAGGTAGAATGTTTTGGTTAATAGTTTAATGTTCAAACTAAATTACATTACAATTGCAGCCTGAATTTTATGTTTGACATTCACAGCAAGATCTTATAGTAGGATCTTGTTTTTTTTTTTTGAGACGGAGTCTTGCTCTGCCTCCCAGGCTGGAGTGCAGTGGCGCGATCTCGGCTCACTGCAAGCTCCACCTCCAGGGTTCACGTCATTCTCCTGCCTCAGCCTCCCGAGTAGCTCGGACTACAGGCACCCGCCACCACGCCCAGCTAATTTTTTGTATTTTTAATAGAGACGGGGTTTCACTATGTTAGCCAGGATGGTCTCGATCTCCTGACCTCGTGATCCGCCCGCCTCGGCCTCCCAAAGTGCTGGGATTACAGGCTTGAGCCACCGCGCCCGGCAGTAGGATCCATTTTTTAACTAAAATGTTAATTTGACAATAATAATCAATTCACTTGTACCGGTAGAAATAATACAGAGAGATCTCATGTAACGTTTATTCCTAGTTTCACTAAAGGTAATATCTTGCAAAGCAATATCACAACCAGGATATTGACTTTGATGGAAACCACTGATTCATTTGGATGTCTCCAGGTTTACTTGTATTCATTTATGTGTATGTATGTATTTACTTCTGAACAATTTAACACATATGTAGATAGAAGCATGTGTTCATCACCCTGTCAAGGTACAGAGTAATTTGATAACCGTAAGAATCCCCTGCTCCTGTTATGCTTTGTTAACCTCTCCCCTCCCCCACCTCCACTGCATCCTCACTCTCCCAGCCTCTGGCAGTCACTAATCTGTTTTATATTTAATTATTATTTTTTTCACTTCAAGAACATTATATAGGTGAAATGTTATATAAGTGGACGCAAACTATGTGTATCATTAGTTTTTTTTGTTTTTTTTTTTTTTTTTTTTTTTTTTTTTTTTTCACTTTACTGCTGGGTAATATTACATGATATGGATCAGGGTCTCCAACCCCCGGGCCATGGACTGCTATTGGTCCGTAGTCTGTTAGGAACTGGGCAACACAGCAGGAGGCGAGCAGCAGGCTAGCAAGCAAAGCTTCCTCTGTATTTGCAGTCGCTCCCCATTCCTGCATTACCATCTGAGTTCCACCTCCTGTCAGATCAGTGGTGGCACTAGATTCTCATAGGAACGCGTGAACACTATTGTGAACGGCACATGCAAGGGACCTAGGCTGCGCATTCCTTAGGAAAATCTAATGCCTGGTTTCTGTCACTGTCTCCTGTCACCCCCAGATAGGACCATAGTTGCAGGAAAACAAGCTCAGAGCTCCCACTGATTCTACATTATGGTGAATTTCATAATTATTTCATTATATATTACAATACAAATATTAGAAATAAAGTGCACAATAAATGTAATGTGCTTGATTCATCCCAAAACCATCCCCCACCCCGATCCATGGAAAAAATTGTCTTCCACGAAACCAGTCCCTGCTGCCATAAAGGTTGGGGACTGCTGACATGGATGTCTCACAGTTTGCTGAAGGACACCTGGTTGCTGCCAGTTTTGGGTTATTAGAGATAAACCTGCTACAGACATTTTATACAGTATTTGTGTGAACATAAGTCTTTATTTCCGTGGGACAAATGCCCATGAGCACAATTGCTGGTTCACATGGCAATTGCATAGTTAGTGTTATAGGAAACTGTCAAGCTCTTTGTCAGAGTAGCTGTGCCATTTTAGACACCCACGACCAAGTGAGAGTCACTAGGTTTCCATGCATCCTCACTGGCATTTGTTGTCAATTATTCGTTTTTAAAATTGTGTCTGGTCTGATAGGTAAGTAATACTTTATTCTCTATTTTTCAAAATTGCCCACTTTATTCTTTAATTTTCATAATTGTTTTATTCTAGGGCCTGTAACTTTAGATATACCTTAGAATAAGCTTATCTATGTACAAAAGACTTGCTTGGATTTTGATAAAAATTGCATTAAACCTTTAGAACAATTAGAAAGGAAGTGACATGTTTATATATTTGAACCATCTAATCTATGGAAAAATAGGACTCATTTTTGCTAACATAGCTGTTTAACAGTTTTCTCAAGACCCTCTCTCAATCTTTTCCTATGTAAATACTTCCTCTTGAATTTTTATCATGTTAACTATATATATTTACTTTTTTATTGCTAATAAACTAGTCTAAAATGAAAGATCCTAATTTGTTATAATTTTGTTTCTATAATATTCATTCTGTAACACGATTTTTATCTACTTTATTAAATCCCAAATCTTACAAGATTCTAAAGTTTATTCTCTAAAGATGTTGATTCATACCTGCACTATGCTTTTGGGATTCGCACATCCAAAAAATCCAAAAATACCCCAAAAAATAATCACATGACCCAACAAAGGAGAAACTGCAAGAGGACTACACAGTGAGTGGGGTTAACTCTTCCTGATCACATGTTAATTGTCAGGGGTTGAGTAGAAACCTTGGATTTAGAAGAGATCACTGTTCAAGGACTGTTTCTTAAGCTTTTTGTGGTGAAGGGCTAGTTTTTTCTTCCTCCAGTCCATTGATAATCAATAATTTTACAAAATGTAATAATGCCACCACAAAATCAAATAATTATATAAGTGCCCAAATGTTTATTCCTAATTTCTATACCTTTCTCATCTCAGGCTGATGATAAACAGTTCACAGACCAATATGAGCATCTGGACCAACCTTTGAGAAACACAGAACTGGAAAACTTTTTCATTCCATGACGACTTATAATTTTCTTACACAAGTCCTATGGTCTCTTGAAGTTTAAATTACTGTATTTCAGGCACCGATTTCTACTGTTTCAAAATGTTAAAAAGCCAGTGGAATTTGGTGAAAATTTTACCTCAATCCAGCCAAGTTGATGTAGATGTACCTCTGGGAGACTAGGACAATCATTTCCAAAGTGGGCACATCATCAGGGTAGTAGAGATGATTAAAAAAAAATCCCACACAATTGTTTGAGTGCTACTTGTCTAGCTGATGCTCAGACGTCCTATTATTTGAAATTTATGATGAGAAAAGAATAGGAGAAAAGAAGAAGCACCTGAAGTCATAATGCATAGCATACTCATGCTAGGTAAGTACTAGATGCCACTCTGCCAATTTGTTGCTTGGATATGACAGCAGAAATCATGCTGCCTAGACTTTCTTGGAAACTATTTTGTAATCTTGCACTGTAGATAGTGAATACTGTCAAGGGTAATGCAATCACTTGTCTGTTGACAAACATTGAGTTCCAGCAAAATTTTCTTTCTCCCTGGGGGAGTAAAGAGATAGAAAATAGAAAACATGAGAAATAAATATTATTCTGGTCACTCTAGGTAGAAAACCCTTCATATATTAAAATAAATAAAATCCAAGGTTTTCAAAAAATTTGTAAGAATGAAAATGAGATCTCCATAGATAAAAGTAGTTTAGGACATGTTAGGTAAATTGCAACAGAAAACCAAAAAATGGCTTTTAAAGTAGAAAACAGTTCAAATCTCATTGATAATCAAATAAATAAATATAAATATGACAATATTTTGTTTTGCCTATCAAACTGTCAATTTATTTTTGGAATAAAATAGAGTGTTTGCAATAATACATATGACAGGTGTTTTAATTGTTAATGATGAATGTTGAAAAAAATCCTTCTTAGTGGGAAATTATCCAGTCTATTAGACAAATAGCCTTATACATACTTATTCCTTTCGCCAATAATATGAATTATGAACTAAGAATATAATCAAAGAAGTACAAGAGTATTTATATACAATGTTCATATTTAACTTATTTATATTATTAATGTATTAGAAATATTAATAATCATCAATGTGCTCAACACCACTAATCATCAGAGGAATGCAAATCAAAACCACAGTGAAATATCATCTTACCCCACTTAGAATGGCTATTATCAAAAAGACAAAAAGTAACAAATGCTTGTGAGGATGCACAGATAGGGGAATGCTTATTCACTGCTGATGGGAAGGTAAAGTAGAATAGCCATTATGGACAACAGTAATGGAGGTCCCTAAAAAACTAAAACTAGAACTACTATATGATCCAGCAATCTCACTGCTGTGTATATGTCCAAAAGAAGGGAAATCAGTATACTGAAGATATATCTACACTCCCATGTTTATTGAAGTACTATTCACAATAACCAAGATACCATCGACTTAAGAATGGATAAAGAAAATGTGGTATATGTACACAGTGGAGTGTTATTCAGCCACAAGAAAGAATGAATTGTCATTTACAGCAACGTGGATGAAACTGGATGCCATTATGTTAAGTGCAATAAACCAGACAAAACACTGCATGTTCTTACTCATATTTGGGAGCTAAAAAGGTAGCAAGTAGGATGGTGATTACTAGAGGCCAGGAAGGGAGGGTGCAGGGAATGAAGAGAAGTTGGTAAATGGGTACAAAAACACAGTTAGATGGAAGGAATAAGGTCTAGTATTCAAAAGCATAGTAGGAAAATCATAGTTAACATCATTTATTGTATATTTTGAAATAGCTAGAAGAGAAGAATTGTAATGGTCTCAAAATAGACAAACAAAAAAAGATAAATGTTTGACATGATGGGTATTCCAGTTGCCCAGATTTGATCATTACATATTGTATGTATGTATCAAAATATCATGTTACCCCCAAATATGTACAATTATGATCTATCAATAAAAAATAAAAATATTAATATAAATTTTGACACATTCATATTGTGAAATATTACGTGTTAATTAAATGCTACTTTTAAAATAGTTTTGTGAATTGGTATAATGTATACAATATAAGGCATTCAAAAACAATCAGGATAAAAATCCTCAGGATAATTTTACTTTCAAAACAAATTTAAATATGAAGAAATGTTACATACAATGGTAATGATAGTGCTGTTTGCAATGATAAAAAATGAAAAAACCCTAAACCTTCAATGTGTTGAATTTATGTGTTCATTTAAAATCACGTTAAAAGAAAATTTAATGGATTGTCAACTTGTACTTACTATATATTCAGTAAAAAAGGCAGGATAATAAATTCTATGTAGAGAATGTTTCTAATAACACTTCAGGACTCAGTTCCTCAATTTCTGGCATTGAGTTTACTTCACTAAAGGATCAAGGAAGGTTTTCTGGAGAATGCATAGAAATTGATTCCTAAACATAGATGCATCTGTGTTTTCCCTCATTGTACTGCAGAAATATAATAAATGGACAACTTTTTTTGCCTAGTGCTTAATTTCATATGCCAGTGTTTTTTATTTTCTTTTGCATTCTATTCTTTCAGTGCCTTTTAAAATTTTGACAATGAGTGTATGCTAGCTTAATGACCAAGAGAATAGGCTCTATATGTCATGTGTGTGTGCTTATGGGTTGTGTGTATATGTGCATGTGTGTGGGTGTGTGTACTCTCCAGAATACTTATTTATATGTACACATATATGTTTTATTTATATTAATCTCCTGCTACCTGTCACTTTTTCTCTCTCATTTACCTATCATCTGTCTCTCTTATCTATCATCTATCTCTCTTATCTATCTATCTATCTGTGAGCTGCAGAAGATCAACATACACACATACACATGAGCAGACACTCTTTATGTTTGCTGTGCTAGAGTCTATATTTGTGGCCACTGTTGTTGGTTACAAAATTGGTATGTATTTCCTTATAATCCTAAGTAAAATCTCTTGAGTTTGGGGGGTTTTGTTTTTGCTTTTTGTTTGTTTGCATGTTTGCATGTTCTTTGAAAGAACACTTCTTTGTGTTCTAAGGATATTTTTTAAAAATTCAATTATTTCTGAAACGCTGGTTGGGGAATACTACTGGGTAATTAATAACAACATGTACATAGACAAACACTGGAATCTAATTTATTCAGTAATGTGACTTGAAATTGGTAGCTAATTTTGACTACATTAGGTGCACTTCTGTATTCACAATTCTAACCCGAAAACTTAGTTGGAAGGCATTACATTTTTATTAATTCAAGAAAACAAGCTTTGCATTTGTCTTCTTACTAGCTGAAACACCGGGCACAGTGGCTCACACCTATAATCCCAGCACTTTGGGAGGCTGAGGCAGGCGGAACACGAGGTCAGGAGTTCGAGAACAGCCTGGCCAACATGGTGAAACCCCATCTCTACTAAAAATACGAAAATTACCTGGGCATGATGGTGAGGGAAGAGAGAGACCCTCTCATATGGTTTTATATTGTTTTATGCTCAGTACCTGTTTTAAGAAAAAAAAAAAAAAAAACAAGGAAGTGAAATCAAAGACAGGCAGCCCAGTGCCAGGGCCAAAACCAGGCCTGGGCCTGCCTGGCCTAAACCTAGTGGTTAAAAATCAACTCATAACTTAGAAACTGGTGTTATTCATAGATTCCAGACATTGTATAGAAGAACATTGTGAAACTCCCTGCCCTGTTCTGTTTCACTCTGACCACCGGTGCATGCAGCCCCTGTCACGTACCCACTGCTTGCTCAAATCAATCACGACCCTTTCATGTGAAATCTTTAGTGTTGTGAGCTCTTAAAAGGAACAGAAATTGTACACTCAGGTAGCTCGGATTTTAAGGCAGTAGCTTGCCCATGCTCCCAGCTGAATAAAGCCCTTCCTTCTACAACTCCATGTCTGAGAGGATTTGTCTGCCACTCATCCTGCTACAATGGCACCTGCCTGTAATCCCAGCTACTCAGGAGGCTGAGGCAGGAGAATTGCTTGAACCTGGGAGGTGGAGGTTACAGCGAGCTGAGATCACGCCACTGCACTCCAGCCTGGGTGGCAGAGTGAGACTCCATCTCAAAAAAAAAAAAAAAAAAAAAAAAATTAAAAAAATAAAGTTCCCAAACTATGGAGTCACTCTATGTTGTTTTTTTTTTCCTTGAAAAATAAACCGAAAAGTTCAGAAACAACAACAACAAAAAATGATGGGAAGGCAAATTGTAACCTTGAGCTCTATGTATTAAAACTACATTTGACATTTTGTCTTAGTCTATGAAGATAAAGTGGAGGTAGTATTCATTCCATTAGTTGAAGGTTTCTCGGCTTCCACAGCTCTCTGTTTAAACAATCAAAAATGTATTTAGATGTTGTCAAATGTCTCATGAATAGGAGCATAAGATCACTTTCAGCTGAGAACCACAGAGTTAGCCCATCAGTCAGTCTCTAAACATTTTGAGATCTTACTTTGCATCCATCATTGTACTGAGTGCAGAAGACAGAGCAAATAAAATGCAGCCTTGGCTTCAAGAAGCTCGACTTCTAGAGACATGAAAAACAATCAAAGAATGAGTGTGGCATTGTGTTTGCATCATTAAAGAATCACGGAAGGTTTTCTAGAGAATG
The DNA here is from genome assembly GCF_000001405.40 of Homo sapiens. NCBI lineage: Eukaryota > Metazoa > Chordata > Mammalia > Primates > Hominidae > Homo > Homo sapiens. The sequence continues at coordinate 55,116,797 of NC_000020.11, read as the reverse complement.
CAAATGAATTGAGTCCTGAAGTATGACTAATATTTAACTTGTATACTCATCTTCATAAAGCCATCTAAAGGAGTGTAGAAAGGCAAGGTTCAATGAATGATCGAGGTGTGTTAGGAGAACAGGGCGCTGAATGTTAAAATGGAGCAAGCCATGTTGGAAATTGAGATTGGACAATTTCATTCACAAAGAAATTACTCTAAAACCAATAGTAAGTGCATAATAGAATAAAGAGTGAATGGGAAGTCAGCAAGTGCCACTTGGCAAGTAAGAACATCTCAGTTCTGAAATGTGAATTGTGTTATACAACTGCATTCAATTACATTGTTTCAAAAATCAAGGAATGGGGCAAACTATTTTACTTTAAGAAGTCCCTGTCTTCCCTTTGTCATTTTTTTTAAAGAACTTTTGGTGCTCAATGTTCTTTAAGAACATGTAGACCACAGACAAATTAAGTTTTCTTTAAAATTTATTAACATATGACTATATTTATATTCTGTTGACCCAGGTTATAGGAAGAAGAGAAACATTAGAAGGAAAACCAATTATCTGCTCTGTGACTGTGTTGATCCATTTAATACTAATGTAATTTGAATACATTGATTCAAATGAGCAAATATCTTAGAAGCTTATCATGTGTCAGTCAGGTAATCTCGGGAAGGAAATGTTTGAAATACAACCTCTGACCTATGGGAATATTTAGTCTAATAAGAATATTGCTAGAACAGAATCAGTAGTAACAAACTTTTTTTTAGCTAATATTAGGTACTGGACAGTATACTAAGGTCTAGGGATGTAAAGATAACACAGTCCTCACCTATACGTGCTTGCTGGCTGGCAAGGAAACAGACGTCATTGAAAATCTGAAAGCTGTCCATGGAGCCAACAGGGAGAAGTCATAGAAATTTATTCTACTACCCCAGACCCTGAAAATCCTCACCATCCATAAAGACTGGATATCTCCATTATTTCCAGAAAATTAAAAATCAAGAGTTGCTATCTGGGTGAATTAGATGTTACAGTTGCTCACACTTCATATAGGCATTACAAAGACTGCTTACTATGAGGAATACACACAGGGAAACCTCAACTTTGTTGCTCCCAAACCCTGAGAGTAGATTATATCACATTGCTAAACTCACTCAGTGGGGGGCTCCCTGCCACATCCATATCATCCACATCAGTGATGGTCCAGGCCTAATGATTGGATAGGAAGTCAGAGACTCAGACATTAGGCTGTGGTCATAGTGTGCAATGAACATGTCATCCAGTTCCTGTGACCCCAGTAATCTCAATTCTTATCTTACACATGGGGATACACACAAAAATGAGTATGAGTACATCACATTGCACAGATTCATGAGACCCATCTTCATCAGAAGAGAGCTGAGGTTATGATATAATCACATGAGAAATTAAACTAACAATGAGCCTTCAACTTCAGATCAGAAAAATCTGAAATTAGTATATGTCTGACTGCAAAGTTGAGTTGAAAGAAGCCAACAAGTAAAGTAAGATCCCTTGATAATTTTGGCTAAGTCAGTTACAAGGGAACAGAAGGAACTTCATGAAGTAGTCCATTGGAGGGAAGAGAACTGAGTCTTGTGTTGAAATGTGATCATTCTTATTACATTGCTTTCTCATTAATATTGTGCCAGGCAAATAAATCTCTTTTGTGTCCATTTTAAGTTAAAAAAAAATTCCCAGAGGGCCCAGAAAACAAATAGCATGGAATCATATGTAGATTTATGATGAAACAAATAAACCATAGGCCTAAGGACCCCTCACGTTCATGGACCTCTCCAAGAATCTGAGAAGGATCCCAGAAAAGCATTCACATGATCATATGCTTTCGTTACATCTGTAGAATTTGGGTGTTTGAACTAAAATCTATTGTCTACCATCGTTTTTTATTCTGACTTCCTTTTCATCACATTTCCCCTTGTGTAGGGCAGATTTGAAGTGGCTTCCTCTTGGGAATCTCTGCTAAGTAGAAGTACTAATGGGAATGCATTTAATTAGGGGAATATATTTATTTGTTTACAGCCATTTCCATGTGTGGTTAAAGCATTGCTAAGTCTCCAAAGTTTGTGAATGGCTTCAAGGAACTTCTCTCCCTACTACTGTGCCATCTCATCTGGTGCACAGAAGAGAGCATTCTTGCAATATAATGACACCTGGCACAAAAATCATTTGGGTAATGAAGGAGAAACAATGTTTACAACATAGGGAATCCAGTAGCAGACCATGTTAGTGTGTCCCTTGACCTCTTCAGATCCCATTTTACCATTTTATACACTGCCTCCTTTGGTATGGGGAGCCAGGCATGCCTTGGCTGGGTATACAGCCAGTTTCTGACTGGCCTGCAGTAGTATGAAAATTTAGCTCCCCCTGTACCTGGCCAAGACGCTGCTGAGATCAAGATGGCTATCCTCTGGGGACTTTGTCTGATATCCCAGGCGTCCTTGGCTTTCTTCTCTCCCCTAGGAGGATTTCTTTATTTAAGTAACTTATAGGAAAAAAAAAAAATGAATGTTGGAGTTTGTTCCTGGGAAAACTGATTTAATACAAGCCAAAGGTTATCTGGAATATTTCTGGAATTTTTCAGCTTTCTGCAATTATCGTTCAATATTTCTTCTATTTCTGTGAATAAATGTTTACTCTTGTGCCTAAGTTTATAATTTTATACTTTGTTTTTCTTCAAGAGGAATAGTAAAATTATATGATTCAATTCCCACTAAGCCTTGATCTGCCATTCATGGAGTACACTGGACCTGGGGCATCATCTATATGTGGTTTTGATGAGTAAGAACCTGAAACAAGAGTTAAGGAGATGAAACATCAGTCCTTGCAGAGCCAATGTCATGAAGGACGAGCATACACTCCTCAGTGACACCAGGGAAACAGTCCTTGGAAGTTCTAATCCAAATCAATGTGATTGATGACTCCTAACTTACAACATATTTTTTTTTAAACATTATGTTACCTGAATGATTATTTGGTCAATTATTTAACTAACCATACTCAAGAAGAAACCAAAGAACACTCAGATTACAGAAAGCCAAACTCAGAAAGATCAGTGAGAACAGGCTTGATGGCAAGGAAATAAAGGTAATTGATTATCTTCTAAATTTAATGATTTAACACAATCTATGCAACCAGTTTTGCTTAAAATCCCGAAGTTCTGCCAATGTTTAATATTTGACATTACATATCCTCTGAATTAGAAACACAAGATACCCTATTCTGAATATCACCTTCTATACTCTACCTTCCAAGTTTATAATTAAACATTTTTAATATTTCATAGATAATATTTTGTCTGAGACATCATAGTACACTTAAGTTGGAGTGACTTACTAACCTGATTAATTTCCAAAACAAATATTTTCTCTCTTATCTATGATTTAGGGAATATTATATAAATTATGTGATAAAAAATTTTAAAATGCAACCCAAATCATGTGATTCTGCAGAATGGTTGAAGTATGATAACTTTAATATATTTTATAAATGTTCATTAAGTGTTCTAATGCTTTAAGTCATTTATTTTAGTTCTAGAGAGAAATCATTTAAGAAAAATCTTTATATGGATAATCTTACATTTCTTTATATAGAGATTTATAGGTAATCATGATTTTTATACTGTATTAAATTGTTTTATAACCTATTTAAAAGTTATTTTATCTATTTTTGTACACCTAATCATTTTTCTTTGCTTTCATCTCTTTTTATAATGTATTCAATAATTTTTAACACAAGTATCCCAGTACTGCTGTCTAATTTTATATTTCACCATTACTTCTTTCTGTTTTTTTCTTGGTCTCTTTGTTGTTAACTTATTTATTGTATCTTTTACTTGCATAGTAATACAAATGTTTAAGGTTATAAATTTTTCTAGGATCACAGTTTTTACTCCTTTAAATATTTTAATATATATTATTCTCATTATTATCTTCCTATAGTTGATTATGACATTACTTCTTTATTCTTCAACCCAAAAATTGTTGAGAATAATTTTTTTCTTTATGGTTATATATTTTGTGTATATATATATACACATACATACACATATGTACATATATGTATATACATATATATATGTATGTGGTTTTTACTTAAGTTATACTGGATTGTGACTAGTAAAGGTAGCCTATAGGATGCTGATTGTTGGGGATCTCTTGAAATTTGCTTTGAATCTATGAGTGTTTTAAAAGATATTCCATGGATTCTTACAAAGGATGGGGTAGAATTTGGTATTATTTCACAAAAGTAACCCTATTTCATTTTTCTAAATCCCTTATAGGGTTATATATTTTCTACTTAGTTTCTCAAGTGGTTTCAAAAAGCCTGTCTTCCTCTGTTTCTTTTATTCCATAATACTTTTCAATCAGCTCAGATTTTCGATCAGAAATTTCTATGTATTTTTTTAACTCTTGGATCCATCCTCACACATCTAATTTTTTTACCTTACTATGTTTTACCCTTTTGTCTTTTAGTTTCTTAAGTTTACCTTGTACTCTATTGGTTTGATTTCTGTAATATCTAACACAGCATTTTATGTATGAATGGATGGTTTAAATTTAACAATTTTTAAACATTTATTTTAAGTTCAGAAGTACATGTGCAAGATGTGCAGGTCTGTTCCACAGGTAAATGTGTGTCATGGGGGTTTGTTATACAGATTATTTTATCATCCAGGTATTAAGCATAGTACCCATTGGTTGTTTTTCCTGATCCTCTCCCTGCTTCCATCCTCTACCCTCTGATAGGCCCCAGTGCGTGTTGTTCTCCTCTATGTGTCCATGTGTTCTCATCATTTAGCTCCCACTTGTAAGTGAGAACATGCAGTATATGGTTTTCTGTTCCTGTGTTAGTTTACTAAGAATAGTAGCCTCCAGCTCCATCCATGTCCCTGCAAAGGACATGATCTCATTCTTTTTTATGGCTGCATAGTATTCCATGATGTATATGTATCATATTTTGTTTATTCAGTCTATCACTGAGAGGCATTTAGGTTGATTCCATGTCTTTACTATTATGAATACTGTTGCAATGAACATATTTATGCATGTGTTTTTATCATAGAATGATTTATATACCTTTGAGTATACACCCAGTAATGGAATTGCTGGGTCAAATGGTATTCTGTCTTTAGATCTTTGATGACCCCTTCCTTATGTCGTATACAAAAATTAATTCAATATGGATTAAAGACGTAAATGTAAGACCTCAAAACATAAAAACCCTGGAAATTTAAACAGTTTGAATTTCACCTTTGCATAGTGCAATGTCCTTGCTAATCCTTAAGAATGTAGAGTAGGATTTCTATATAATGTTCTCCCAATTCCAATCAAAATTTGAGCAGGTATCTTTTGGATAAATTTACAAGCTAATTGTACAATCTATGGAGATATCCAAAGGATCTAAAATACTCAAGATAATCCTGGAAAGGATAACAAAGATAGAGAATTTATACTGTCATATTTATGGACTTACTCTAAAGCTAGTTATTGAAAACATGCTATCAACTCAAAAGTAGACAAACAGAACAAGGGAATAGAGAGTCCATAAACAAACACACAGATGTAAGGACAAAAGTAACAAAGCAGAGTAGAGTGGACAGTCTTTTTTTTTCCAATAAATCAAGATGGGACATTGGACATCTGTATAGAAATAAAAGTATATCTTCCATCCCTACCTTATTCCATTTACAGATGTTATTTGAAGAGAATTATAGATATGAATATGAAAGGTAAAATCAAGAGGTTTGCTATAAAATAGAACAGGGCATAATATCTTCATGAAATTAAACAGAACCGACAAAAGTACTACCCACAAGGAAAAAGGTTGATGGACTAAATTACATTAAAATCAGAAGCATCTGTTTATCAGAGACATATGTAAGAGAATGAAAAAGCAACTACAGTTTCAGTTCCAACAACAACAAAAAAGAACTTGCAAGTTATCACTTCCATTCTCCTTACAATAAAAAAAAATTGCTGAAAAAACTGAAAATCAACAACTTTTCTTACTATATCAAATATTTGAGATCACAAGACAAACTGCCACCCAAAAACTTGCAGAGACAGGTGAATACAGAGACCAACAACTTAATAGGAGCAGAGCTACAGATACAGTAATTGGCAGGAACACTTCAAAGACAATTGACAAACTGATGGAGATTGAATGTGGATCAGCTTGAGAATTATTAAGTCTTCAGAGACCAGTCTTACTAGGGCCTCCACCTTTCATGTTTTAACTTTAAGAACCCTGTTCATAGGTGAAGATTACAAAAATCTTTGTCATGCTTCAGACAGAGGGGAATGTCACCATTTTGAAATACTCCCAGAGCACCACATGAAGGCCTTCCCTCAAGAAAAACTGCATTTCCAGACTATCATCTGAATTAAGGGAAGGACCAATAACTCTAGGCCATTTTCACCTCCCTATGTCATGAAAGGCGAGAATTTTAAAAGGCTACAAAATACTTTAGAATATCACAGCCTAGTGATTCAGGCCTACTAAAAAATAAAAGATTTATTCTTAACATAGAATGCTTCCTTTCCCAACATCTCACCACCACATCAATAGGTCTTCAGCATCATAATAGTGTTCTGCAGCTGAAAGAGTATCAAGACAAAGACTCAATTTAAGACGGTGTTCTTGCGGAAATCAAAAAACAACAGAAAAGGGAAAATAATTAGGAAATTGGAGGAAATGGAAGACCATGGCACTTACAGTCAGCAAAAACATCAGCTCCTGGCCAGATTAACATAAAGCCTTACACTAAAATACTGATTATTTCAGGCCGGGCGCGGTGGCTCACGCCTGTAATCCCAGCACTTTGGGAGGCCGAGGCGGGCGGATCACGAGGTCAGGAGATCGAGACCATCCCGGCTAAAACGGTGAAACCCCGTCTCTACTAAAAATACAAAAAATTAGCCGGGCGTAGTGGCGGGCGCCTGTAGTCCCAGCTACTTGGGAGGCTGAGGCAGGGGAATGGCGTGAACCTGGGAGGCGGAGCTTGCAGTGAGCCGAGATCGCGCCACTGCACTCCAGCCTGGGCGACAGAGCGACACTCTGTCTCAAAAAAAAAAAAAAAAAAAAAAAAAAATACTGATTATTTCATATCTTATTGCTAGGTGCATTATCAAGCTTTCGCCATGAAAAACAAACAAACGAAAGGGCAAGGCATTTTAAAAGAAAAAAAAAAAAGCCCAGAATCTGAAAAGACCATGGAAGCATCAAAACCAATTTCATATATGACACAGATTTTGAAATTTTATTGGATACAGAGTTTAAAATAACTATGGAAAAAGCAGACGAAATGCAAGAACAGATGGTAATATAAACAGAGATGGAAACTGAGAAAATAATGAAATCCTTTTCATGATAAAAATCAGAAACACCATAACAGAAATGAATAATGGCTTTGATAGGCTCTTCTCTACACTTGACACATCCAAGACTACAATGAACTTGAAGATATTTCAGTAGAAACTAGCTAAACTGAAAAACAAAGATAGCACAAAAATGAAAATAAACAACAAAAACTGAAACAGCATATCCAATAATGTGGATCAATTACAAAAGAGGTAACTTAAGTGTAATGAGAATACTAGAAAGACAAGAAAGAGAGAAAGAGATGAAATATTTAATAGTATATGTATATACCGTTATAGATATGTGTATATGCATATATACATAGAAATGGCTAGGATTTTCCAAAATTAATGACAGATAACAAATCACATTTCCATTTAGCTAGGGAGCGTCAAGAAGGATGAATACCAAATAGGTAGACCTGGGCATATCATATTCAAACTTCAGAAAGCCAAAGACAGAACATTCTTCAAAAGAAGTCAGAGAAAAAAAAAAATTACCTTATCTATAGAGGAACAAGGATGCAACACACATTAGACTTCTCATCAGAAACCAAAGAGGAGAGTGGCATAAAATATTAAAAGTATTGAAAGAAAGAAAAGAAAAGAAAAACACCAACTCAGAATACCGTATCTAGTGAAATTACCCTTCAAAAGTGAAAGAGAAATATTTTCTCAGAAGAGCAAAAACGGAGAATTTGTGACAACTAGATCTATCTTTCAAAAAAATGTTAAAAGAAGTTTTTCAGGAAGAAGAAAAATTATATAGGTCAGAAACTTAAATCAACAAAAAGTAAGAATATTAAAAAAGACAGAAATTAAGGTAAAATAAAGTCTTTATTTTTCTTATTCTTAATTGATTTAATAGATAACCATTCAAAGTAATAACAGCAGCAATGAAGTAGGTGATTACAGCTTACCCATGAAGCAAAACAATGTTATTTGAAAATTGACTTAGATAAGTTATAAACAAATGTTCTAAACTGTAAGGAAACTACTAATTTTTTAAGAGGATAATTAATATACGAACAGAGAAGATAAAATGGAATCATGTAAAATGTTTCATTAAAACTGGAGAAGGCAGAAAAAAAGGGGAAGATTTTAAAAAAAGCAAAAATAGGCCAGGTGCGGCGGCTCACGACTCTAATCCCAGCACTTTGGGAGGCTGAGGCTAGTGGATCACGAGGTCAAAAGATCAAGACCATCCTGACCAACATGGTAAAACCTTGTCTCCACTAAAAATATAAAAATTAGCTGAGCAGGTGGCACATGCCTGTAGTCCCAGCTATTTGGGAGGCTGAGGCAGGAGAATCTCTTGAACCCGGGATGCAGAGGTTGCAGTGAGCAGAGATTGCGACACTGCACTCCAGCCTGGCGACAAAGTGAGACTCTATCTCAAAAAAACACATAAATAAAATAAAATAAACAAATAGAAAACATTTGCAAACATGGCAGATATTAGTTCAACTACATCAGTAATCACTTAAAATGAAGATGGTCTAAATATACCAAATGAAGACTCTCAGAATGGATAGATAACAAGACCCAACTCTATGTTGTCTACAAGAAACCCACTCTAACTGGAAAGATGTATAGAAATTAAAAATAAAGAACTGAAGAGAGGCACACCATGTTAACACTAATCAAAAGAAAGTTGGGGTAGCTATATTGATTTTGGACAAAGCAGAATTCAGAGCCAGGAAAATTATCAGGAATAATGAGGGGCATTAGATAATAATAAAGTAGTTAATTTTCCAAGATATAATAATCTTTCATGTACATGTCCCTAACAACAGAACATCAAAGTATGTGAGATAAGCCCTGATAGAGATGCTAGGAGAAACTGATAACTTCTACTATTATGGTTGGAGACTTCAACATCCCCCATCAGTAATGGACAGGTCAGGTAGAAAATCAGTACGGGCATAGTTGAACTGAGCAGCATCAACAACAACTGAATCAAATTGGCGTTTATGGATAACTTCTTCCAACTACAGCAGAATACACATTCTTCTCCAACGAACTGGAAGGCTTCACCAAAACAGATCACATTCAAGGCCATGAGCCACATCAAAACAATTTTCTTTAATGGAAATCATACCAAACATACCCTAAGACAACAATGGAATTAAATTATGTATCAACAAAAAGATAGCTGGAAAACTGCAAATAGTTGGAGAATAAGTAACTACTAAACAACACATGGGTCAAAGAAGGGTCTCAAGGGAAATATATATGTTGAACTAAATGAAAATAAAAATACAACTTACCCGAGTGAGTGTCATACAAAAAAAAAAAAAAAAAAGGGGGGGCAGTGCTTAGGTGGAAATTTAGGTGGAAATTCATTTATCTTGAATGCATATATTGAAAAAAAGAAAGGTCTAAAATCAATAATCTAGGCTTCCGTCTAAGGATAGTAGAGAAAGAAGAGTAATATAAACCTAAAGCAAACAGAAGAAAATAAATAACAAAAATTGGAGCAGAAAGTGATGAAATAGAAAATAGGAAACCAATAGAGAATATTAACAGAAACAAAAACTGTTTCCTTGAAAAGATCAATAAAATTGCTAAATTGCAAGACATCATCAAGATGGTGAAACAGAGGCTCTCAGTGCTTGACTCCTGCACAAAGAGAGACTAAAACAGTAAGTAGACAAAGGTACATCCAGTAGGACATTTCGAGAGAATGCTGGAATCCAGTAGGTAAGGGACATTTCTGTGGCTTTCAGACCCAGTGAGGCAGCTGACCAGATTGATTTGGGAAGGAAGAGGCTCCCTATTTCATGGGAGGGGTAAGTGAAAGATCCTCAGCAGTGCACATTCCTGCTGCAGATTCCCACAGTCCTAGCTGCAGGAAATTCCCTGGGTGCCAGGGACCCTGAGCCCAGTATAGTGGGATGTCGGGAGTCCACGTGACTGCATTGCTCCAGAGAGAGCAACACAGCGTTATTTTGACAGCAGATCCAACAGTGAACTACATCCTGCCTTGGGGCCCAAAAGCCCCTGCTTTCCACATCCCTGGGGCCTCACAACACTCTCTACCTCCACTCTTAGGGCTGCAGAGCGCCGCTGGCTGGACCCAGTGGTACTGTCCAGATATTGGCAGCAGAGCCCATGCTGTTGCCTATGTGCCAGTAAGCAAGTGGTTTAGCATATCAGGGAGGTGCCCCCAGGACACAGGGAACAAAGTGTGTGCTCCCCAGCCTGAGAGCAGCCCATCCACTGTTACCACTACAGCAGCTACCCCATCACCTCCAGCAGCTGGGCCACTACTCACTCGTTACCTACAGCCAGGGACCAGGGAGCCAGCCTGCCTGCTCCACCAAGGACACTGCTGGAGCCCATGCATGCTGCCTTCCAGGGACCCCAGGACTGTAACACCTGGCCTGCAACCACCACCACCACCACCACCACTACCACCTGTACCCAAACTCCCTACCTGGGGACTGAAAACTGGCCTGCTCTGCAACCCTGTCCCCTGAAAAGACTCACCACGGCCTCCATAAACAATAGAAGCCTAAGCTACTAAGGAACTTGCAGACACTGTTAACAATGAGTACAACCAAAGTAATCATAAGGAGACTATACTGTGGGGCCCAACCAGTACCAAAGCAAAGCACCTTACCAAATCAACATTATAGGTTCATCCAAAAGAGAGACTTTCCCCATGGAAGCTATAATATCAAATTGAAAGAAGTGACAGCATATTAGTCCATTTTCATACTGCTATGTAAAAATACCCTGAGACTTAGGAATTTATAAAGAAAAAGAGATTAATGGACTTGCAACTCCACTTGGCTAGGGAGGCCTCACAATCATGGTGGAAGGTGAAGGAGGAGCAAAAGCAGGTCTTACATGGCAGCAGGCAAGAGAGCATGTGCAGGGGAACTGCCCTTTGTAAAACCATCAGATCTTGTGAGACTTATTCTCTATCACGAGAACAAAACGGGAAAATCTGCCCTCATGATTCAGTTACCTCCCACCAGGTCCTTCCCACAACATGTGGGGATTATGGGAGCTACAGTTCAAGATGAGATTTGGCTGGGGATGCAGCCAAATCATACCAGTTACACCAGATGTGCAGATACCAATGCAAGGACACAGGGAACATGGAAAAGCATGGAAACACTGACACCTTCAAAGGAACACAATAGTTCTGTAATGAGTTCTCAGTGGCATCTTCTTCCACTATAAGGTTGTTTGATTTACATGGAAAATCTGCTGTTTAGTGTTGCCACCTTCATTAATGATCTTAGCTAGAGCTTCTGAATAACTTGCTGCAGCTTCTCCGTCAATACTTGCTGCATCACCTTGCACTATCATGTTTTGGAGATGGCTTCTTTCCTGAAACCTCAAGAACCAATCCTGGACAGCTTCAAACTTTTATTGTCTGGCTAATTAATATAAATCCTGGCCAGCTTCAATCTTTTATTCTCCAGCTAATTAATAGAAATTAGCACAAACTTTGAGGAAATTACACACAATATCCACTCAGCTGAACACATGCAAACCTGCAACAGGCAACCTCTGAGACTGCTCAATGACCCTCACCTTCTGGAACTTGTGCCCCTATATACTTGTGGTAAACTATCCCTTGAGTGTAAGCTGTAGCCCGTGACTTACTTCCAAATAACAGAATGGAGCAAAAGTGATGAATGTCATTTCCAATATTAGGTTACAAAAATATTCTGGGACTTCTCCTTCTGGGAAGATGGAATAGATGTTTTTTCCCCTATATGTTCCACTAAGTGAAACTAAAAACCTAGGGTACTGTTTACAAAATAAACCTAAGAAGACCCTGAAAGGCAGAGAGAAGGCAGACCTGCTAGTGACCTGGGTACCCACAGAAAAACATGGTAATTAATTCTCTGGGTGTTCCTTTTGCTTCATGTATCCCATGCTTGAGGCTGAAGAACCAGCAACCTAGAAATGCCAATAGGCACAGACACAATGAAGCCCTGACAAAACCTTGCTTTCCCTAGACAAATGAAAAGAATAAGGGCAGCCTAGCAAGACAGACAGACAACTTTTAGATACTATCCACTCTACTGCAGCCAAGCATCACAGAAAAAAAATACAGTGGCCCATCTCCACCCCACCAGCAAAATATTAGACTTCTACAGTTCACACGCTATAAGAAGTCAGCCCTAACTCCCCATTGGAGTGGTGGCAGAGAAGGCCACGTACAGGGCCAGGACTTGCATTCCTATTGGCTGGTAGCAAGGCTCCACACTGCAGTGTCAGTGGAGACCATGTAGACCGCCTGGACATCCACTCCCATCTGGCCGTAACGAGACTCCTTACCTCTCTTTATGTGGGTGGCATTAGACAAGGCCTAGAGAAGAGTCAGGATTTTCACCACTGTCCAGAGGTATGGGAGAAATATAGGGGATATATCTTATATCTCCCAGCCAACCAAGGATTGTGGAAATTACTGGGAAGTCATAATCCCCATCCTTACCTAGCAGCAATGAGGAGCTCCCCTCAGATGTCAACGAAGACCACTGGGGGAACATGAACTTGTATCCAACATGGTGGTAGCAGAATACACCCTACACCCCACCCCTTCCCCTGGTAAAACAGTGTCAGAAGAAGCCACATAAAACACAAGGCCTACGTAAGATCCAGAGACTCATAACAATATTTAAAGTATATAATGTCTACTTTTTCAAAAAATCAACTTTTTGTGTCATTGATCTTTCATATTGCTGTTTCTTTTAATCTCTATTTCATTTATTTTTCTCTGATATTTATTCTTTCCTTCTACTATTTTTTGGTTTGGTTTGTTCTTTCTTTTTTAATTCCCTGAGGTGCATTGTTAGGTTGTTTATTTGAAGTGTTTCTACCTTTTTGATGTTGGGATTTATTGCTATTGAGAGAGAAGAAAGGAAAAAACCCAGGCAGTTAGGGTGGGTCCTCAGCTGAATTCTTTCAAATAAAAGAACAGCCTGCAGGCATAGATAAGGGAACTCTCACAGTGGGGCTTGCCAAAGACACGCCCACAGCCACACAGATAAGAAAGATTATAGAGGTGACTTTCCGGGAAGTGCCCAGGATGGAAAATTCTTCCCCCTACACATGTTCAGTAAGGGTAATAAAGAAATATGGAGTAAATCAAGCTAAGGGTCCACATGCACATTAGGAGGACAGGGTGAAGCTACCAGAAATGCATGCCTTATGCAAATGAGACACCCAGCCCTCATTGGTTTCTTATAAAAGCTTTTGCATTCAACTGTGAAAATGGAAACCCTCTTCTGGGTCCCCTCTGTGCAGTGAAGAGCCTTCTTCTTTCACTTATTAAACTTTCCCTCCAACCTCACCCTTGATGTCCATGCTCCTTAACTTTCTTGGTGGTGAGACAAAGAACATCAGGCAATGAGATACTGCTACATCGTGGTAGATTGGCGAGGCTATAACACTAACAACTTCCCTCTTAGAACTGCTTTTGCTGTAGCCCATAGGTTTTAGTATTCTGTGCTTCCAATTTCATTGGTCTCAAATAATTTTTTTTTTTTTTTGAGATGGAGTCTCGCTCTGTCACCCAGGCTGGAGTGCAGTGGCACAATCTTGGCTCACTGCAAACTCTGCCTCCCGGGTTCACACCATTCTCCTGCCCCAGCCTCCCAAGTAGCTGGGACTACAGGTGCCCACCACCAAGCCTGGCTAATTTTTTGTATTTTTGGTACAGACAGGGTTTCACCATGTTAGCCAGGATGGTCTCAACCTCCTAACTTCGTGATCCGCCTGCCTCAGCCTCCCAAAGTGCTGGGATTACAGGCATGAGCCACCATGCCCAGACAAAAGAATTTTTAGATTACCTGTTTAATTTCTTCATTGACCCATTTGTTGTTTAGGAACAGGATGTTTAATTTCCAAAAAAAACAAAAAAAACAAAACAGTAAGATCTCAAGCAAAAGATAACTAGAAGATGCTAACACCAAGATGACAATTATGTTAGAATTCTCTGACAAGGCTTCTAAAACAGCCATCATAAAAATACTTTAAAAAGAAATTGCAAATATTACTGAAATAAAAATTAGTATGTTCCAGCTGAGGACTAAACTCTAATTTTTTTTTATCTTGCCCAAATTCCTATTTAAGGAGTCTGGGGAGTCATGCCCTACAAATCATTAAATTCTCATTAGATGGGTTTTATTTAACCCTATGTATCTGACTTACTTTCCAATCTGACTCTGGAATAACATTATGTGACAAAGAAGAAAGTCAAAATATTTTACCCCAAAAAATGTTTCTTTGCCATATCTTGAAATGGCTATGCAAAGCTGTCCATTGTCAGGGGAAATTTACATCTGTGAAGAATCTCTATTAACATAGCTAGATCCTTTTCTTCCAGGCTCTCCCAATCCTAAAGAGATTAACCAAGAGTCTAGCACCTTTTAAAGATCTGAATAGGAAACATTTGTCATCTACTGTCTCTAAGGGCAGCCACTATAACACCTCAAAAGAACCTTGGTCTCCACAATCTTTTATCTTAAACTGAACATTTCCTTTCTGTGATCCCAGGTCTTTAGATAAACTCAACCAATTGTCAACTAGAAAGTGTTTAAATTTACCTATAGCCTGGAAGCCCTTGCTTTGAGTTGTCCCGCCTTTCTGGACCAAACCAATGTATTTCTTAACTGTATTTCATTGCTGTCTCATGCGTCCCTAAAATGTATCAATGTATAAAACCAAGCTGCACCCCAAATACTTTGGGCACATGTTCTTAGGACTTCCTGAGGGCTGCGTCATGGGCCATGGTCACTCATATTTGGCTCAGAATGAATCTCTTCAAATATTTTACTGTTTTCATTGACACAGCAAAGAAATAGAAGATACAAAGCAGAACTAAATGGAAATTTTAGAACTTGAAAAATGCAACAACCAATTTAAAAAACTGAATGGGCAACAGAAATTAACCAAGCTGAACAAAAAGAGAAAATATGCAGAAAGAAAGAAAGAAAGAAAAGAAAGAAAGAAAGAAAGAGAAAAAATAAAAGAAAGAAAAGCATAGAAAAAAGAAAAGAGAAAAAAGAAAAGAAGGAGCACAAGGGACCAAACGAACTGTAACAAAAGATCAAATATTTGTGACAATGGAGTCTCAGAAGGAAACTAGAAAGAGGGCAGGGCTGGAGAAAGACTCAAAGCATCAAGATTCATCAGAATCTTGATGGCTGAAAACTCCCCAAATTTGGCAAAAGACATTAACCTAGAGATACCGGAAGCTGAACAAACTCAAAATAAACCTGGAGAAATCCATACAAAGACACATTATAATCTAACATTAGAAAACTGAAGAAAAAAGTTTGAAAGCAATAAGAAATTAACAAAAAAAAAAAAACCTTGCTTATACAGGGGCAAAACAATTTGAATAGCTGTATAAAAGGAATTCTCAAAACTCAAAAGTAGAAAACAATTCAAAAAGAAAATGGGCAAAAGACATAAAGGGACATTTCCTCATAGATGCTCTATAGATAACAAAAACCCTCAAAAAGATGTTCAACATCATTATTCATCAGAGAAATGCAAATTAAAACTACAATGAGATACCACTGCACATCTACAGGATGGCTAAAATAAAAAAAAAAATAGTAACAATGTCAAAGGTGAAAAAGGATGTCAATAAACTGTATAATTCATATAATCTTGGTGGGTTCAAGTGGTGTACCCACTCTGGAAAAGAGTCCAGGGGTGTCTTTAATAAACTAAATGTGTAACTAACATATAAACTGGCAATTGCACCTCTTGGCTTTTATTCCAGAGAAATAAAAGTCATTGTGATGGTTAATGTGGACTGTGAACTTGATTGGATTGAAGGATGCAAAGTATTATTTCTGGGTGTGTCTGTGATGGTATTGCCAGAGGAGATTAACATTTGAGTCTGTGGACTGGGAGAGGCAGACTCACCCTCAATCCAGTTGGGCACCATGTAATTGGCTGCCAGTGCGGCTAGAAAAAGCAGGCAGAGGAAGGTGGGATGAGCTGGCTTGCTGAGTCTTTCTGCCTTCGTCGTTCTCCAGTGCTGGATTCTTCCTGCCCTTGAACACCAGACTCCAGGTTCTTCGGCCTTTGGACTCTTGGACTCACCCCAGTGGTTTGCCAGGGGCTCTCAGGACTTTGGTCACAGACTGAAGGGTACACTGTCGGCTTCCCTACTTTTGAGGTTTTGGGGCTTGGACTGAGCCACCACTGGCTTCCTTGATCCTCAATTTGCAGATGGCCCTATTGTGGGACTTTTACCTTGTGATGGTGTGAGTCAATTATCCTTAGTAAACTTCCTTTCATATATACATATATCCTATTCGTTCTGTCCCTCTAGAGGACCCTGACTAATACAGTCATATTCTCACAAAAACCAGGATATGAATGTTTATAGCATCTTTGTTTGTAATCACCAAAAATTGGAAACAAACCTACATTAGCTTTCTATTGCTGCTGTAGCTAATTATTACACACTTCATGGCTTAAAATAACACAAACTTATTATTATACAGTTTTGGACGTGAGAAGTCCTAAAATCAAGTTGTCAGCAGGTGGACATTCATTCTGGAGACTCTAGGGGAGAATGAAATGCTTCCTGGCCTTTTCCCGTTTCTGATGATACCTGAATTTTTTTGGCCTCTTGGCCACATTGCTGCAACCATTGAATTCGTGGTCCCATCTCTTCTTCCTCTGCTTCCTTTGTGAAATCTTTTTTTTTTTTTTTTCTGACTCTGGGCTTCCTGCTTCTCTCTTAGGAAGATCTTTGGATTATATTTATCCCACCCAAATAATCCAGGATGTTATCCCCATCTCAAGATATTTAATCATATCTGCAGTGTCCCTTTTGCCAGGTAATGTACTCAGATTCTAGGGATTAGGACATGGATATCATTAAGTGGCCACTGGCCTCTCCAAAGCCAGATGTCCCTCAGTGGCTGAATGGGTAAGTAGAGTGTAGTACATCCACTCCAGATAAGTCTAGTCAGCAGGAAAAAGAACGAAGCTGTTAATTCATGGAACAACTGAATGAATATCCAGAGAATTAGCCGAATGAAAAAACCAATGCCAAAAGGTTGTATACTACACAATTCTTCTTACATAGCTTTGCTGAAATGACAAAACTATAGAAATAGAAAAGAGAGTAGTAGTTGCCAAGGATTAAGGAGGAGAAGTTGGTAGGAAGTAAATGTATCCGAAGATATCAAGGACAACATGAAGCATCTTTCTGGTGATGGAAATATTCTGTATCTGGACTGTATCAGTGTCAATATCCTGGTTTGATATTTTACTATAGTTGTGGAAGATGTTACCACTGGGGGAAACTGGGTAAAAGCTACACAGGATCTCTCTTACAACTACATGTGAATGAATCTGCAATTAATGATCTCAAAATTAAAAAGGTTAAATATTTTTTTAAAAAGACTTTGTCATTCATCTTTCTTACTCTCTTGGTGTCTTCAGAAATCCAGCTGCCATGTCCTGAGCTACCCTAAAGGGAAGGCAATATGGCAAGGAATTGAGGGAGATTTCCATCCTACGTCCAGAGAGGAACTAAGTTCCTTGGTCCAACAACCTGCCAACAGCTATGTGTACAAGCTTGGAAGCAGATTCTTCTTCCGTCCAGCCTTCATATGAGACAGCACCTTCAACCAACATCCTGACTGCAGCTTTGTGAGAAAGCCTGAGCTAGAGCAACCCAGCTAAGGTGCACACAGATTCCTGATGCAAAGAAACTGTGACAATAAGTGTTAGTTGTTTTAAGCCTCTAAGTATTTGGGGTCATTTTCTATGCAAGAATACAAAACTAATGCAATGCCATATGATTAAGCAATGATACTCATAGGTGTATATCTAGTATACATATGTGGAACGTACACTTGGTGCACATAGCTATAGCAGCATTATTTGTAATTTAGTGTTCATATTAACATCATTCATAATAGCTAATAACTAAAAACAATGAAAATATTCATCAAAAGTATAATAAATAACCTTACTCTTTTCCATAATAAGGCATCATTTAAACAGATGCTTTTCTCTTCAGTGGGTGATGTTTGCTTGTTACTTTATTTTTATAACAGAAGTCATTTAATATCTCCTACTGTCTTAAATTCAAACATATTAACAGAATTTAAAAGGTTCTCCTTTTGTCATTGTAGCCAGATACAGCCAAAAGGAATGTATTTTTTATTTCTACAATATATGTACTTTATATATACAAACATTATATAATGTATATGTATAAACATACACAAGTGTACATGCATATATAACGTGTGTGTATAAAATGTATGAGTGGGTATATTTTCAAATACAGAACAGATAGAAGAAAACTGCTAGTGTTAACCCTTTTCAATTATACTTAATAAAATATCTGAAGTACCAGGATCATATTAAATGTAAATTTTCAAGAACCCCACTCCTGAACTGTATTTCTGTGGGTAATTAGCAATTCAAGTAAAACACAGAAATAGCCATAAAATGAAGCTCTGCTGATATTTACCAAGTTATTTATGAAACTAGCTTCCTTAAAGCTCTAATCCATGCTTCTCTGCACATCTGTTTTTCTGGTCACATGCATTTTATCACTTTCTCACCACTCTACCCATGCCTTAGCACCTGAAATACCCACAAGGGATACCACCTGCCAGAGTGTTCTCTTTTTCATTGCCAGCCAATTCTGGTTTTTCTAAAGTTTCTTCCCAGGACACATCTGCTATCTTTTCTATAGAAGTCCTTTAATTTTCACCCAAACCCTGAATCATAAATACAAGTACTGAGGCTAGGCATGGTGAAACATGCCTATAATCCTAGCACTTTAGGAGCCTGAGGCAGAATTGCTTGAGCCCAGGAGATTGAGACTAGCCTGGGCAACACGGCAAGACCCTGTCTCTATAATTTTTTTTTTTTAAATTAGCCAGGCGTGGTGACATGCATGTGTATTCCCAGCCACTTGGGAGGCTGAGGTGGGAGGATTGCTTGAGGTCGAGGCTGCAGTGAGCCATGTTCACACCACTGCATTCTAGCCTGGAGGACAGAGTGAGGCCCTGTCTCAAAAAAATTAAATTAAAATAATAATAGTAGAAAAATTGTATAGCATGCTCTTAATTCCAGGAGGAAATGACCATGTAAGATATATTGTACAAAGATACCTAGAGACAACAATGATCACCTAAAATTGGACAGCCTTTTTATACCAAAGAGTCAGCATGCCGCAGTGGATGGGATAAGAATGTAGGCAGTGGACTCAGACTGCTAGCTGCTCTTTGGGCCACTTGTTTAACTTCTCTAAGCCTCAGGTTCCCCCTTGGAAACATGAAGCCAATAACAGAATCTATCGCTGAAGGCTGTGAGCAATAAATGAGAGATTGTCCATGAATATACTTACGCACAATGCCTGAGATAAAGATATCATTCAATAAGGATCAGCTTCCATTTTAATTATTTTATGTTACCATTGCTAGTGTTATTCTTATTTTCCATAGACTTCTATCAATCTAGATTACTGGATTCAGATAGCACATATGTGATGCTTCTTTTGTTCAATTACCCATCGCATCCTTAAATAAATATTTTTGAGCAGCTTCCTTGTTCCTAACATGATGCGTGGTTCTAAAAATATAGACAAGTGTGGTCTCTGCCCTGTTCAGAACTTCGCACCATTGTTAGTTTGTTTACAATGAGACAGTATAGTCACATAGAGCAGTCAGCCCGTTGTTACGCTTTCTCAGAGAGGTTGAGAATATGCTTGAAAAAGGAAACAGATTTTGTATCCTATGTTAATAATTATGCTCCTGCTGCTGCCTGGAGCTTGATGGTAAGAAGTATGCAGGGGTCATGGTCAGATTCAGCCCGAGAGAGGGCTGCATGTTTGATGCCCATCACAGGCTCAAGAGGCAAAAGCGTCCGTGCCTTTGATACGTGTTTACTATATATTTATTGACTGACTGCATGGATTTAAAAATACATGAAGAATCTGGTGATTGTATAATTCCAGATTAGCTCTTAGTGGGATTTGTCATTCCATGAAGTTTAAAGAAAACAAAATTAGTCGCATGAACCCCAGCTGTTGACATTTTCCCCTGCTTCTTGGCGCCCTATTATCTCAGCTGGTCTAGGCATATCTCAGCAATTTACCATAGTTCTGCAGGCAGCTCTCAGGCCACTTAAGCTGACACTTTGAAATATTAGTGGGGAAATGCTGCAGGTGCAATGAGCTGGCAGAGATCCAGCAGCAAGTTTGCATCAGCCCAGAATTTTAAAAAGTTTTGTGGACTATCCCTTATGTTATTAAGCTGTTACAATTAGAGGCAAAAATCCTATTTCATTTGGCAGGCATCTTGTTTCATCTGTAAAGCACCATCATTCTCCCAGAGAAAAAGAAGGCATTATTTCTAGAATTCCATTGTGGATGTGATCATCACTGTGCCTGCTATCAGGAAGCGTTCACAACAAAAGCTGTATGTGGCAGCTTGACAGGACAGAGAACACTTCTGTGCCCACCAAGGCAGCTCACTCAGGATTTTCACTGCTGAGAATGCTTAGAATGATTCAGATACCTCTAGTCTCTCGCAGACAGCCTCACATGTAGCTCTCTATGGGTACTTTCTTTTTCTCTAGTACTTTCATTCATATTACTCTTATTTTCCTTACTATATTGTGATAATCTCTTACACACCTGGATTTTAGGTAAAATGATTAGCTAAGATAAGATGAAATCACATATAATCAGAATCACTTTTCAACCCTCTTAATATTAGATGGTATTAAGGAATGATTATAAATGTTGTCAGAGGTAATATGGGAATGGTAGT
This sequence comes from Homo sapiens, assembly GCF_000001405.40. Lineage (NCBI taxonomy): Eukaryota > Metazoa > Chordata > Mammalia > Primates > Hominidae > Homo > Homo sapiens. The sequence goes on along the minus strand of NC_000020.11, from coordinate 55,095,619 downwards.
TATAGAGGAAGAGAAAGTCCTTTTATCAGCTAGAGATGCATACTAGAGGGTGTATACACAAAATAACATGACATCTGGGATTTGACTTAAAGTAACACAGCAAAAGGTAACAGTGTAGAAAGTAGGTAAACCAAGATTGAAAAAATATTGATGTGGATAATTATTGAAACTGGGTAATGGATATGAAGGAGTTCATTATAATATTCTCTCTACCTTCGTATATGTTGGAAAGTTCATATATTCAAAATATAAACAATACTTTAAGCGACCACTTAAGGACTCTGTGTGTGTGTGTGTGTGTGTGTGTGTGCCCGTGTGGGTGTATACATACATAATTATTTCATTCATTATGTTCATTGACATTTGAGAAAAGTAAGCAACAAGAATAACAGAGCTGTATACAGTTTGGGTGTTCTCAAAGCCCATAGTGGCAAATCTGGTATGGGGTTGTTTCCATTGGGTTCCTGTCTGCTATTATGTTTTGCTCCACTTTGGTTTGCTATTAAAACCCTGTTGTGTCAATTCATGTTATGATAGATCTTGTTGCTGCTGAGGAGATGAAAAGTGATCATTTAAGTGAAAATCCAGAGCCTGGTACACAGTGGCCATGCAGCATATATTTACTAAACTTGAATTTGCATCTTGATGCGTCATGCTTATATACTTGTCAGGTTCACGACTGCGCCAATTGTCACGCCCAGGGTCACATTCCAGCTCATGCTGAGGTCTGAAGGGAGTGGGTGGATGAGCAGGTAACTGAAAGAACACTCGGGGGGCCGTAGACAGGGGATATGTAGTTTTGTTCGGCACCACTCTCATCAGTAGCTCCCTCGCACCAGTTCTCTCACACTGTCTGCCCTGTCTCGGCTGCTTAGTCCGGCGGCTCCCACACACATGGCCGGCTCTCCCTTGCATTCAGGGTCAGCAGTTTAACTCTTTCTCTGGACACAAGCGAGCCCAGCTGTGTCCTGGCTCACCCTGTCCATCTGCAAAGATGGACAGCTCTGACTCTCTCTCTCTCTGGACACAAGTGTGCCTGTACTGTATCAGCAGGGCAAATATACGTTTTACAGACGATAGTGGCTTAGAGCCAAATGATGAGCCTTCCCATGTTATGGCTACATGGCTGTGATAACAAGTGGAGCTATGTGCCTGCACTCTAAATTCGCTGAGTCACTCTGGATGTAAACATCCTACCTCTGCCTATCTTTGACCAAAATACATCCATTACTTTACAGTACCCTTTGTATTTATCAAGCTGTAGAGAAGAACATGGTCACCTGATTCCTGCCTTTCCAAGTATAATACTGAGTTACCCCCAGGTATTAACTACCACCTTCATAACTTTGGGCCATAGAGCTACTTACTACTATTAGAGTTTGGGTTTTAAAGTCAGAGTTCAAGACGTAGGTAAAATGATGTACCTGCAGGGTGATCCCTTTTTGGCTTCGCACATGGCCAGGTAGAATTAAATAGGTTGTATTATAGACTCTAGTCTTTGGCACAGACCCACTGAAAATGGGTAGCAAGGACAATTTAAGTATTAGGGGACTTAGCCAAAGTCTGTAAGAAATTTGATAGATTCAGAAACAAATGTAAGTAACCACTACAAAAACTATACAAAAATGATATATGTATATTTTTTTGAGACTGAGTCTCACTCTATTGCCCAGGCTGGAGTGCAATGGTGCCATCTTGGCTCACTGCAATCTCTGCCTCCCAGGTTCGAGCGATTCTCATGCCTCAGCCTCCAGAGTAGCTGGGATTACAGACTTCTGCCACCACACCCAGCTTATTTTTGTATTTTTAGTAAAGATGGGGCTTCACCATGTTGGCCAGGAAGGTCTCGAACTCCTGACCTCAAATGATCTGCCCTCCTAGGCCTCCCAAAGTGCTGGGAATACAGGTGTATTGACCGCACCTCGTCAAAAATGTTATTTTTTAAAAAATAAGAGACCATTGAAAATGGAATTCTAAAACATGTTCAAGTAACACGTAAGTCAGACAGAAAATGGAAATATCAGTAAAAAAGAGAACAAACTGAAAATGAATCATATATGGTAAACTTAAGCCCTAGAATGTCTATACTTACTTTAAATGTAAATGGAATAAATATACCAATTAAAAGACAGAGGTTGTCACTGTGAATTAAATAACAAATAAAAACAAAAATGTGACCCAAATATATGCTATCTACAGGAAGTCATTTCAAATGTAATGATGTAAATAGGTTGTAGATACATTTGTAAAATGTAATAAGGCTCAGCTATAAGAACGAACGAGCTATTGAGATACGCAATGACCTTTTTGGACTTCAATGGCATCGTACTTACTGAAAAAAATTAATCTTGAGGTTATGTACTGTATGATAAGATGTAAAATATTCTTAACAAAACTATAGAGATGGATAACATAATATCTGCTAGGGGATGGAGAACAGGAGAGTAAAATGGGGTGGGTGCAAATACAAAGAGGTAGCATGAGGGAGTTAATTAGTGGTTGACAGAACAGTTCAGTATATTGATTGTAGTAGTGGTTATACAAATCTATACATGAGATAAAATTGCAGGCTGGTGCCTGTAATCCCAGTACTTTGGGAGGCCGAGGCAGGAGGATCACCTGAGGTCAGGAGTTCGACACCAGACTGGCCAACATGACGAAACCTTGTCTCTACTAAAAATACAAAAATTAGCCAGACATGATGGCATGCATCTGTAGTCCCAGCTACTTGGGAAGCTGAGGCAGGAGAATATAGCTGAGGTAGAGGTTGCAGTGAGCCAAGATAACGCCACTGCACTCTAGCCTAGGCGACTGAGCAACATTCCATCTCAAAAAAAAAAAAAAATTGCATAGAAACACACACACACACACACACACACACACACACACACCAAATGAATGCAGGTTTAGAGAAATGGTAAAAATTGAAAAGATCTGGTAACAATAATATACAAATAAAAAGTCTTGGTAACAATAATATACAAATACCAAATTCCTTGTTTTGATATTGCACAGTGGTTCTATAAGATGCCATAACTGGGGTGACAGGGTAAAGGATACATAGGACTATGTACTATTTTTGTAACTTCCTAGGTCTATATTTCTTTTAAAATAAAAATTTTAGGAAAAGCATGTCTGAAAACGTGTTAACACTTGGCCCAACAAAAGGGATGTCTTTGTCCCTACTTTTGAACCTATTGAGTCCTTGTGACTATCGTGATGAACGAAACATGGCAGACATGATGCTGAATGACTTCTGACTCTATGTTAGAAAAGGCCACACAGCTTCTGCTGATTATTCTCATAACACCTGATCTGCGTGCCTTCAGTTGTCATGTAAGAAGCCTAAGAATCCTTGGACCACCATACGTAGGTCTCACTTGGAGAGATCACAGAGAGGAGAAGGAGATGCTAAAGAAGCCTCAGCTCTTCTACCTCAGCTTTTTAATTATTTCCAGCCATGGTACTAAATAGTTTAGTGAAAAGCTTTTGAGATGACCTCAGACCCAGCCAACATCTGACTGTAGGCACTTGAGAGCACCCACACTACCTGAGCTCAATTAACCCTCAAAACTGTAAGCAAAATAAATTGTTGTCATGGTTTTAGGTCACTTTTATTTTTGGTGGTGGTTTGCTATATGGAAATAGCTATCCAGAACAAGAGATAAGACAAAAAGTGTTCAAGGTCACATTAGTGAGGAAGGGGCCAAGTTGCAAAGGGAAAATGAATGTGACACACCTCATCATTTTTGGTTGGGGATTACAATTAAGCACAATGTTGCTGCTAGCTGGTCTTCTCCAAGGCCTCTAAGCCTAGCAGGGACATCTCTGCTTAAGATTCTGCAAGTTCAATCTTTTGGTCGCAATTATAGCTGAACTTATTAATATTCTTTGGTAACTCTTGTTGTTTATTCTTACCCTTGCTCTTAATGAGAAAGTAGAGAGGTCTCTGGTCCAGACCTCAGAATGACCTGTGATCTAGATAGCTCTAATGTAGTCAGAAATTTTTTGGTTTATAAATGAAGAAACCTAACTCAAAATGGCTTAAATTAAAAATCAATCGATTAATCAGTAATAGTACTATTTCAGGCTACTGAAAATTCCTAAAATTTGACCCAGAGCCTTAATATTATCATGAAAAATGAGTATTTCTTTGTTTCTTCTTGCCATTGATTGCTATGCTGGCTTCAGTAGTAGGTGGTTTCTTAGCATATAGTCTCTGGTAGTTCCAAGACTACACCCAACCAGCTCAGCAACCCTAATGGGAAAGAGAGCTTCCCTTTATTAATAGTTCTAGGTCAATTCCAGGAACATCATGTCATTGGCCTAGCTAGGGCCACTAGAATGAACCTAATTCAATCACTTAATTGACCAAACCTGGGTTCCCTGCCAACTATTGGAACTTGGAGCTTGATGGCAGGTCCCAGGCAAACTCAGGTGGGCCTTGCCTGAGCCATATGCACTGAGAATTAAAAAGGCTATTTACTTAAAGGAAAATGGAGGTGCTATTGCCATATTAGAGATGAGGTAGAAACCGTACATGTCAACAGGACCCTGTGGCTTCACATATCTCACCTAAACTTCCTGGGCCCCTGTTTCTTCATTAGTAAAATAAGAGGAGAGATCATTTGATTGCTAAATATCTATCCATCTTGGAAGTTTAATGATTTACAATGATGCAGCCTAAACTTATTATTGTGGTAGGACAAGGAAAACTACTTGCTTTTGATACCATAACGTGATGATTTCTGCCACTGCAGACTGTCAAAAACAGGAAGAGGGACGGTTTGATTCTGTAAAATAAAGCCAAGAAAAGAAAAATCTGAACCTCTTCTTCTTGCCTCTCCACTTCTCCCTCTCTCCTACAACAGTCATTCAAAATAGATCACTTGACAGGATTGCAAATCATGCAAACTGTTCAAGGATCTGTGGTGACCCCCAGTCATCATCTGATTGTCGAGGAGTAGAGCCTAGGAAGAATTCTTTCATTTTCAGTATTTGTTAATGAAGCCTGTTTTGATGGACAGCCCCAAGCATTTTGGTGTCATGACTCTACCATAAATTTGAAGCATCCAAGCACTGGCCGGCTGATTTAATGAGGCATGGTCTTGGAAATGATCACCAGGCTGAGAGAAGTGTCATGTGAAGCTGGATGACTTAGAGTCCTGCCTGCCACCAGGAGCCTTTGGGGTGCATGCAAAGCAGCTTGATGCTATAAACGTGGACAAGCAGAAAGAAAGTGGTCAGATTACCACTTCTTTAGAAATGCAATTAGCCTTCCATTGCTCCAGCTGCCACTGAATTAATGGGTCTCTTGTTTCATTCACACCTCGGCTCACCCTGAGGTGCCTGCACCTAGCTGTGGAACAAGTTCACACCATGCGCTTTCCAGGTGCTGAGCAAACCATTTGCACTTGTCACTAGCATTTTTACCTGTGACTTGCTAAAACACAGAATGGAATGTTGCCTCTCACATTTCTCTAAGAGACACAGATACAACTTCCTCCCTTGCTTATGACATTGAAGTTTCTTTGGACCTCTCACCTGTACCTCTGAATTGTGATTATCCACTGGAATGTACACTAATTTGCCAAGTTCTGCTGGAATTCTCATATTACTTCTTTTTTTCTTGCCTCGTATTACCTCCTTATGGCAATAATAACATCAATAACAATATTCATGAAATAATGAATTTTGAGCGCTCAATATGTGCTAGCTACTGCTCTGAATGCTTTACATGACAGATCTGATTTAATTCTCATAACAACTATTTTCAACATTTTACAGACAAGGAAACTAAGTGATATGGTTTGGCTCTGTATTACCACTCAAATTTCATCTCACATTGTGATCCCCATGTGTTGCGGGAGAGACCTGTAATCCTCACATGCCCAGAGAGGGGGGTGATTGGATCATGGGGAAGGTTTCCCTCATACTGTTCTCATGATAGTGAGTTCTCATGAGATCTGATGGTTTTATAAGGCAGTTTTTCCCTACTCTTGCTTGCTTCTCTCTCCTGCTGCCTTGTGAAGACGGTGCTTGCTTCCCTTTTGCCTTCCACCATGATGGTAAGTTTCCTGAGGCCTCCCCAGCCATGTAGAACTGTGAGCCAATAAAACCTCTTTCCTTTACAAATTACTTAGTCTCAGGGAAGTTCTTTAAGGCAGTGTGAAAACTGAATAATATACCAGGAATTAGATGATTAGGAAATGAGCCCAAGAGTATGCAAAGGAATCAAATACTATCTATTTGATGCCAAAAAAAAATATTTAACTCAGCACCCTCTATTTGCTTCCATTGCATTGGGATATCAGAAAGATGGAAAATCCTCTTTCTGGTAGAAACAAACCTAAGACAATAGACTTGGTATTGGTAGCTCTAAGGTCAGCAACCACATTGCTAGAGAGATTGGAAAGTTAGGATTTCTGTGACTTTGGGAATTTGAGGGTAGGCAACTTTGGCCTTGACAGCAAGAGCCAGAGAGGTTTCTGTCTGGAAGAACTGGGAGGTTTTGTGCCTGCCCTGTGACACTGATGGAGCTGATTATAATTGGTACAATCCTTGGGCTTCCCAGTGTCTCTCCTTCTGGAAGCATTAGGAACCAGAAGGCAGAAGAAAAGAGGGGGATGTGGCCCAGCAAGTGAAGTCAGTTCTGTGAGGCAGAAAGTGGTACCACAAGGATTCTCTCATGAATCTCTGTAGTGCCAATTAGTTCTCAGGGCATTTCCAGGACCTTAGGTCTTACTTAACTTCACTTACCTATTCTCAGGCCATTTTGGGAATTTCAAAACTCAGTATGATTCTGGTGAATACGAATCCCAATTTCAGTGCTCTTGCTAGAAGCTGTTGTTTCTAAAACTTAAGGAGACACAGATTCGTGATGTCCTTTATTATTTGTGGGTATCATGCAAAAACGATTGTGTTTTTTCTCCTCTCTACTTTTACAAAGGGTGCCCATCATTCAATCATGGCTGAAGTTCAACTGCTCCCATGAAATCATCCCTGCTTACCCTAGAACATTGGTCTACTTCAGTTCTCAAATTTTTATACCGCTTCTGTCTGTGCCATAGTATAACACTATTGCATCTTGCCCTGATCTGTATTCTTGGGCGGTTACACTTCCAAGTCATCAAATTCACTAATTAAATTTGTGGGGCTGTATGATATGAAACTTCAATGCATTTTTTCGGAGGTCTCAAACTGAAAGGATTACAGGCTTTTTAGCAGGTAAAGCAGGCTGGGCAAATACTGCGGCTACCTGGCATTGGCTGCTACTCCCCATCGGGAAATTATTTCCAGGTCAAAATACGAGACAAGGTGATCTCACTCATATGTGGAATCTAAAAACAGGAAAAAAAGAGAAACTATCTTAGAAGCAGAGAGTAAAACAGTTGTTACCAGAGACTGAGGAGGAGAGCAAATGGAGAGGATGAAGAGAGGCTGGTCAATGGGTAGAGAGTTATAATTAGGAGGAATAAGTTCTGGTGTTTTGTTGCACAGTAGGGTGACCATGGTTAACAGTAAGGTATTGTATATTATAAAATAGCTTGAAGAGAGGCTTTTCAATGTCTTTGTCACAAAGCAATGATAAGTGTATGAGATGATGGATATGCTGAATACTCTGATTTGATCATTATACAACATATATATGTAACAGAACATCAAATTGTACCCTATAAATATGTACAGTCACAATGCGTCCATTTTTAGAAAAGGAAAAAAGATATAGGACATTGTATGAAGTAGCCACTTCTTACATTTTTTTCAAAAGCAGTCTATAAATTCTAATTGCGTGAGACAGAGAGACATGAATTCTCCCAATTTAAAATGATGTTCCCTAATTTACATTAAAAAAAACTTGTGTGGGCCATATAAAATGTCCATAAAACAATTTTGGCTAAACAGCTACTATTTGGGCTCAAAGACTACACAATGAAGTATTATCTTTAGGGTTAATAACTTAATTGGCAATTGTTTTTTGAGCATCTTCAATATTCCAGAGACTAGACTCTTTTCCCTAACTACTTGGGCAAAATGTCCAACTTTTTTTCCGGTTGAATTTTCTCATCTAGAGAGTAAAGGATATTCTTATAGCCAAGGCCACATGGAAAAAAAGCAGGGATTAAATAAGAAAATGTATGTAAAGGCTGAGTACAATGGCTGACATATAGAAAATACTAAATAAACAGTAGAAATAATTAGTACAACATGTATAGTAGTATTTGTCATTACCTTAGTAAAGCAAGTATAGTAGTATTTGTCATTATCGTCATGATCATATTGGAAATAAAAGTTGCTTTTTATTGAATGATCACTAATTATTTTCAAAAACTATGAGAAAAGCACTGTGAGTAATTGCAGTGGGGATAATGGCAGTAGTGACTAACAAATAAGCATCTGTGATGTAGAAATAGCAGCAGTAATAGAAAGAGCCAAATATATACATATTTAATGATATTTAGTATCGATAGCTGGGAAAAAAGGTGGTTCACCCCATATATTTTTCATATATTCCTCTTACCACTGTCAAGAGTCTCTATGACATTGCTGAGCACATAGCAGGTCAATAAATACATGCTCAATTGGTTGTTTGTCCCTAGAAATGCATTAGGAGTCTAGTTTTATTCTGTTCTATTTATTTATATCCAGGAAAGATTTATGGCATCTGGCTCTTTCTATATGCCCTCTGATAAGCCATCCAGCTACACCATTGAAATCTTCACCTAGGAAGAAATTCTCTCAGGTCTCAAGAACAGAGAGAGAAAGCTTCTCTTCACCTCTACAGCAGGGGAATGGTGTCCTGTTGGGGAAAACTAAGAACACCAACAACTAAAAATTTTTTTAAAATAGCTGAGTATAGAAAACTGTGTCTTTTAATGCCAGGAGCTGTCAGAGAGATGCACTGGTGAAATCTTTCACACATTTTGTCCACACAGCAAGATCATTTGCTTGGCTGTCTTATTGCCCCAGCTGTGAGAGATCCTCATTTCCTCCTTGCTGAGGCCACAGCCAGATGGTGGCGGCAACTCACTACACCTCTGTGACCTCCCTGATGCAGAAGAAGTCACCAACCATGCTCTGGCCTTCTTGATTCCTCATGGTGGGGTTCCTGACCTTGTCTTGGCAGTTGCAGGATTCAAGGCAAGGCATACTTCATTTAATACAGGTCTCTCAAGGGGACTCACCTCTAGACATAAGAACCAGATGGATGTTCCACCCTTCAGGATCCAGACACCATGAAAGCACCAGACATTCAAAACACTTTCCAAAATCGGTGAAAAAGGGATTCATATTTCAGTTTTGCAAAGACTTTGTTTCATTGGCAAATTCAATTTTATTAGCTCACTTTGGAGGCAGCTCTTGAAAAGAAAAATTTTAAAGAGATAGATTTGTAAACTTGATTTTTGTTTGTTTTTTGTTTGTTTGTTTGCTTGTTTATATATTTTTTGAAGGGTCTTGCTCTGTTGCCCAGGCTGGAGTGCAGTGCGTGATCACAGCTCACTGCAATGTTGAACTCCAAGGCTCAAGTAATCTTCCTACCTCAGACTCCTGAGTAGCTGGGACTACAGGTGTGTGCCACCATGCTTAGCTGATTTTTAGTTACTTTTGTGAAGAGATAGGGTCTCTCTATGTTGACCAGGCTGATCTCAAACTCCTGGCCTCAAGTGATCCTCCTGCCTCAGCCTCCCAAATATTGGGATTATAGGCATGAGCCAACATGCCTGTCTCTAAACTTGACTATTCATGTCAAGTGACTACCTTATCATTTAGACCTCTCTCCATTTCTCCTCAAACTTAATAAGAGCCAAGCTAAAAAAAAAAAAAATCATTTTCTACTTTCAAATCTGTTTTTGTCCTTCATTCACAACGTTCTTATACCCCTAACTTCCAAGTAATAATTCTAGGAAGCATTATCTTTCCTCGGTTTATGCCCACATCCAATATCAATCACTGAGGTTTGTTGAGCCTACTACTTACCTCTCTCTCCATTCCAAAGCATCAGTATTGCCCAGGCCTTTTAGTCTGTTCTACATAGCAGTAGACTCCAAAATGACTTTTACTAAAAAGCAAATCTGACCTTCATCTTCAAGGTAAAATCTCCTCAATAGTTTCCCATTGCCCTTGGAATAAGACTCTGAACTATTTAGCATGGCTCACCATACTCTTAGGGATTTGACCCACATCTACCTCTCCAGCCTCATCTTGGTTTCCTTCAGATTCTATACACTGAACTGGACTATTATTAGGAACTGCTAAGGGGCCTCCTGACAATTGCTATCACCAACTTGCCAGTCATGTGTGTGAGCCCTATTGAAAGACAATCCTTCAGCCCCAGTCAACTAATCACAGATTCACACACACACACACACACACACACACACACACATCAGATATATATATACAATAAATACATGTACATGACTAGTCATATATATATACACACATATGTACACACACAATATCCTTATGTAGTATATAATCATGTGTATGTATATATATAGTTGTTTAAAGCCACTGAGTTTTGAGATAATTTGCTATACAGTAATAGATAACTAATTCAACTTACATAACATTCATATGTGATGTGTTATTCTAAATACTCTGCATATTGTCACTTATTTAATCATCACTATGACTTCCCAAAGTAGTTATTATTATTGTTCCCATTGTTCAGATGAAGAAATGTGGGTACTAAAAGATTAGAAGTGATTTTGCTATTATCAGAAAGTTATTAAATATTTGAGCTAGAATTTGGAAACAGAACTTATGAAATCTGCCACATTCCCATCTTTTGTGATTATAATTTGGGTCTTTCCAAATATAATTATATAGACTTATCTTCATTAAAAGCACTGCTCACCATGTTTACTTTTTTACTATTCAAGAAGAACCTGTTTAATCTGTTTCCCTTGCCCTGAGTAGCCTGAAAGGAGTGGCAAGCAACTCCATCACTACACCAGATGGCTGAGAAATGTCCACCCCATTTTAGTATATTTTGCAAGTATGGCTTGGATACCTAATAACTGCTTATATCCACCATTATCCTACCACCCCACTTATCTCTGTCAATTAGTAACTATCCCTGAAACTGAAACGAGACATTAACAAGACAACCTACAGTTAAGTCATAGCCAAACAAGGAAAAAAACAAAAAACAAAAACAAAAACAAAAACGAGAAGAATAAAGAAACACGCCACCCTGGCTAACACGGCGAAACCCCGTGTCTACTAAAAATACAAAAAATTAGCCGGGCGTGGTGGCGGATGCCTGTAGTCCCAGCTACTCAGGAGGCTGAGGCAGGAGAATGGTGTGAACCTGGGAGGTGGAGCTTGCAGTGAACTGAGATCTTGCCACTGCACTCCAGCCTGGGCGACAGAGCGAGACTCCGTCTCAAAAAAAAAAAGAGAGGGCCGGGCGCGGTGGCTCACGCCTGTAATCCCAGCACTTTGGGAGGCCGAGGCGGGCAGATCACGAGGTCAGGAGATCGAGACCATCCCGGCCAAAACGGTGAAACCCCGTCTCTACTAAAAATACAAAAAATTAGCCGGGCGTAGTGGCGGGCGCCTGTAGTCCCAGCTACTTGGGAGGCTGAGGCAGGAGAATGGCGTGAACCCGGGAGGCGGAGCTTGCAGTGAGCCGAGATTGCGCCACTGCACTCCAGCCTGGGCGACAGAGCGAGACTCCGTCTCAAAAAAAAAAAAAAAAAAAAAAGAGAGAGAAAAGATACACGTCCTGTCTCATTTGATAGATTCAGTAATGACTTGCACTATGAACAGTACTTCCAAATAATTCCCAACTAACAACATCACCTAGTATAATGACATTCATAAGCTCTGGGAACTTTAAAAAAGACCTAAAGAGTCATTAAGAGACCATAATCAACCTTGAAACAAGGTCATCTATGCTGCAGATTCAGTCTCCCATAAAAAATCTGGAGCAAAGCTACTTGCCTAGACAGGCTATAATAACAAATCAATCGTTTAAATCTGTAGATGTTTAGGAAACTTTCTTGTCTTGGTGCTACCATTGCCAATATCTGAGTATGTTTCATTGAAAACTCTTTTCTTTCCTTGAAAAGTACAATAGAATTATTTTTTTCAACTAAAACTCTACTTTCAGTCTTTTCTGAAATACCACATTTGATTGTTTTTACAGACTCTACTTTTGGATTACAACTTATTGAATACATTTTTTAATATGTGAATAGAAATTTATTCACATATTTAGACACTACATTTAGACTTTATTTTATTTTTGCTTTATTATTTTTTTTTTTTTTTTTTTGAGACAGAGTCACACTCTGTCACCCAGGCTGGAGTGCAATGGTGCAATCTCGGCTCGCTGCAAGCTCCGCTTCCTGGGTTCAGGGGATTCTCCTGTCTCAGCCTCCCAAGTAGCTGGGATTACAGGCACATGCCACCACGCCCGGCTAATTTTTGTATTTTTAGTAGAGACGGGGTTTTGCCATGTTGCCCAGGTTGGTCTCAAACTCCTGACCTCAGGTGATCTGCCCGCCTCAGCCTCCCAAAGTGCTGGGATTACAGGAGTGAGCCACCACACCTGGCCTAGACTATATTTAGACACTAACTTTTTCCCTAAATTCTGCTTTGTTTAGGTTCTTCATTTAGCTCTTTGATTAAATGCTACCTTAACAGAAGGCCCTTTCCTATCCAGCCCCTATATGGTAGCCCTTCCACCCAATCTCTCTTTAATACTTATTTTACTTTATTTTTTGTTATAGGAATTATCCACATTTAAATTTATATTGATTTGTTTACTCATTTTTTGTTGTACGTATGCATTATGTATATGTAGGTACATATATATATCTATATATGTATATACACATATTTACACATACATATACATATATACATATATGTATATATGCCTATATATAGTATTACATATACATACATACCTATACATATACAGCACTAAATATTATATACATATATAGTATTACATATATACATATATGTAGTATTATATGTGTATATGTAGGTATATATACAATACTTACAATACTATATATGTATATGTAGAGATAATACATATATATGTATAACATATACAGTATCATATATATGTTTATGTAGGTATATATATCTAAATACCTATATATACATGGGTATACACATGGGTATATACACTCACATATATGGAATACTACATATATAGGTATATAAATTTCTATCTTTTCACACATTAAAAAATGTGAAATTTTATAGATATAGAAAATTCTATATATAAAAATTCTACATATGTAGAATTTTATATATATAAAATTCTACATATGTAGAATTTTATATATATAAAATTCTATATATAGTATTACATATATGTATATATAGGGGTGTGTGTGTGTGTGTGTTTGTATGTAGTATTACACAGGAAATGAACTGCAAATAGGCACTATCAGTTTTTAGTTTGTAAGAAAGAGAGACTCTTTGCACCAAAGGGTCTTCTTTGCCCCTCCATTTAACAGAGACAACAGAGAAAATGTGGCCAGCAGTGTAGCAGAATGCTGCTTTCCACAGTGATGCTGCAGACTTCAACAGAGAAGGGGAGTTGCAGCAATGTTTAGCTCTTCCTAAAAAATCCCACAGAAACATCGACATCACTGTTCATGATGACCAATGAAGGCTCTAAAAGGAAACCAACCTATCAGACACATAGGAAATGAACAACGTAATGCACCCAGAAGAGAAACCAGATTTGGTCAGTCCCAACAGGATTCCACTAGCCACACTGGTTAGACCCATGAATCTCAAATGCAAGTTACCCTGAGAGTAACCAGAGATGGGCTAAGGGATCTTCAAAGCTGTAGGAGCATCATGTTTCTCCCTGGAACTTTCATTTTCCTTAATTTTATTTAGTATTAAAACAGAAACCCATTTTTTTAATTTTTAAAGTAACTTTAGAAGTATTTCTATATTAAAACAAGGAAAGGTGCAAAACAACCTCTCATGGAGCTTTCAAAATTACATGTTTCAAAGAACCCCTTTGAGCTATGTGCTAGCATCCCCAGCTAATTTCTATTATTCATATAATCCTTCTTCTTTTCATACACGATTACCTAAGTCAACTGCTTTTCATTAAGCATATGCAAGGCCCAATGCTAAGACATTGTTAGTCTCTGCTATGGCAGTGGTTGTCAAACTTTCCCATGGAATCATCTGGAAGGTCTTGTTAAGCATAGATTCCTAGGCTGTACCTCCAGAGTTTCTGATTTATGAAGTCTGTAGTGGGACCACTTGCATTTCTAACTTCCCAGGTAAGGCTGCCGCTGGTCCAGAGATCACACTTTAAGAACGACTACTTTAAGGAAAAATTTAAGCAGCACTAGATTTCAAGGAAACTAATGAATGGGTATGTCATTTTGTAGATGTAAAAACTAAATCATAGAGAGGATAAATAATTTACCTGTGATATGCAACTAGTCAATAATTAAAGTTATTATTTTGATCTTTTGCATCTTGCCTTACTTTAAGATTCTCTGAACACGAAATTGAAATGAGATGTTTTTGAGTAACACATCTATGGACCACAATTTTATTCCCTCTTTGTGCTAGCAATCCAACTGCTAAACTTTCCTTCTATAAAACTTTTTAGGAAACCTTTGGTTCAATAAAACCAAAACAGTGTTACACTGAAAGGCAAGCATGTCATGACCCCTTATTTTGGCACCTGTATGTAATAACTGACAAGACCAGAAGCAGAACCCAAAGACACACTTATCAAAAATGAGCAAATCGCGACTCAAATGAACAATGAAAGTTTAACTACTGAGAGAAAAATGTAAAACCTAAAGCTATGGTTGTAGAATGAGCGGGATGTGAGATTGAATTTCAAAAGACATGAGAATTTTACAAACAAGCAACACCTCTGTCAGTTCTTATCACCAGAAATCATTCCAATGACATTTAATAGTGAACTTTGGCCCAAAAATAATTAATGCTATTGCAAAAATAGTTTCGAAAAGTGGAAAGCTGATGGAAAGTTAAGCTAGGCAACTATACCCAGTAATTAGTGTGGGAAATGGGACCTCACTTTTTCAAAAACACTTTGGTGCACATGTACCCTAAAACTTTAAGTATAATAATAAAAAAAAGGATCAGTTTACTAAACAGAATAAGCATGATTAAACTATGCAAAGATAACAAAATTTATCTAGGTGAAATGATGATTTAAAAAATATATCTGAATTAGTTTTCTATTGCTGTGTAAACATTACAATAAGTTTAGTGGTTTGAGACAATACCCATGTATTATCTCACATTTCTATAGATCAGAAGTCTAGCCAGCCTTGAGGATCTCTCTGTTTAGGGTATCCCAAGGCCAAAATCAAGGTATCAGCAGAGTTGAGTACTTTTCTGAAGGCTCTGGGGGAGAATCTGCTTCCAAGTTCAGTTGGGTTATTGGCAGAATTCAGTTCCGTTTGGTCACAGGACTGAGGTCTCCATTTTTTGCTGGTTGTTAGCCACAGTCCATTCTCAGTTCTTTTTCTTTCGAGACAGAGTCTTGCTCTCTCACCCAGGCTGGAGTGCAGTAGTGAGATCTCGACTCACTGTAACTTCCACCTCCCGAGTTCAAGCAATTCTCCTGCCTCAGCTTCCCAAGTAGTTGGGATTACAGGCACCCACCACCATGCCTGGCTAATTTTTGTAGTTTTAGTAGAGGGGGGTTTCACCATGTTGGCCAGGCTGGTCTGGAACTCCTGACTTTGTGATTTACCTGCTTCGGCCTCCCAAAGTACTGAGATTACAAGCATGAGCCATGGTGCCCAGCCCACTCTCAGTGCTTAGTGGCTACTTTCCAGTGCTTGTCCCCTGGCATCCTCTGTCTTGGCCCTGGAAAATCCCCCTTCTACTGAATCCTTCTAATGTTTTTAAACTCTTTGAATTTCTTTTTTGCTGTCAGCTACAGAAAATAATATCTAATATTTAGTGAGTAGCTAAAGGGTCCCAGCCTCTGTTATAAACTCTTTCCATACACTAACTCTTGAATCTTCATAGCAGTCCTATGAGGAAGGTGTTATTATCAATCCCATTTTACACACAGGTTAAATTAAACCTGCAAAGGCCATAAAGTTGGTAAGTGGCAGAACTGGGCCTTCAACCCAGGCAGCTGACTCAAGACCATGGCTGTTAGCCACTACACTGACCTGCTTTTGAGAGACGTCCACTAATTTAACCACATATAGGATTTATGTGATTAGACTGATCCTGCATCGAGAAATATCCATATGTTAAACTAAACTAATTAATCACACTTTTGAAATTTCTTTCATTATATAATATATAAGATAATCACCAGAGTAATACTAAGGAACAAAGGACCATGAAGAAATCTACCTACCACAGTTTTTAACATCTGCAAGCATAAATGTGAGCACACATGCATTTTTGCACACATGCATTGATGCTTGCAGATATCCATTAAAAGAACAATGCATTTAAATATAGGGGAAAACCCACGTCATCAGTTGATACCACTGAAAGATCAGTTCACACATAAGAAGACCTAATCTACTAGATCTGTAGCCATGCCTGAATTGAGCATATATATGTGTGTGTGTATACATATGTTTGTGTATATAGTATATATGTATACATATATATACATGCATATAGTATTACACAGGAAATGAACTGCAAATAGACACTATCAGTTTTAGTGTGAATAAGAAGAGAGTCTGTAAGACTAAAGGTGAAACAACCTGTACATAAGGACTGTACTCTTGTTGATAATGTTGTTTTACAGGTGAACAATTCTGAAACTGCTATATAGGTATCTTGGCAATGGACAATTATACAAATGGACAGCAGATGTTAAGGACCAGTTTTCTCACAGTTGGAGAGAGAGATTTCAGATAAGTAAGGGAAGAAGGCTAGAATGATCTGTGAAGTAATGGATTAGAATTGGAGAAATCAGGATAAACTTAGGTTTAGCTTAATATAGATATAGATAGTTACATATAGAACTGTTTATAGGTCTGTGTATATACACAAGTTAGCACATATACATGTACATATTTTTTGCTCTGTTAGCTGAGAGGGTCTAAAAACAATGGCACTTCAGTAATAACAGACTGTTAGCATCCATTCTTTGGTTTCTAATATGATTCTTTAACAATAATAAAAAAAATAGGGTTTCATGGGGAAGTAGATGATTCTAGAACTCAGACAGGAAATACACAAGATGAGCCTGGAGCATTCTGTAGTTCCAATGCGTAAATAAATGCCTAAAAAATTAACAGAAAGGAAAAGAAACCACATTTGTGGGGGTCTGTCAAGAAGACACAGAGATCGGCTAAAAATACTCTCAATGGACAAAGCTGAAAAAATTTGAGCAACAAAATAAAGTAGGACTGAATTATAACTCAAAGCATAAAATAATATCCATGAATTCATACAGAAATAAATGATTTAACATAAATAGGGGAGAAAATAAAATAAATAAAAACAGGTGAGAAAAGGTAAAATCTCCTATGCAGAAGAATTACAAATGATTTATAATTCTTCACTTTCAAGGTAGTGGAGCATAATTCCTCACTCCATAGTGTAGTCTGTTCATAGCAACTTTCTCCCAAAGAGTAAGGTATGAACAGGGGGAGAGAAAGAATGACTTGGCGGTGGTGAAAGCTGACAAACACCACCTCAGCAAGGTGATCAAGCTTAACCTCAACTGTAATGAATCATGTTGGTAGTATCTACCCATGAGATGATGTGATGAGAATGATGTTTTACCTTTGTGGTCTTCCTCTCTATAACCAGTAGCCCTAGTCCAGTCGTGAGAACAATTATCAAGCAAATTATAATTGAGGGACATTCTAACAAATAGCAGACCAGTATACCTCAAAACTGTCAAGGTCATTAAAAACAAAGAAAGACTGAGAAACTGTCTCAACCAAGAGGAGCTTAAGGAGATAAATGAATACCTGTAGTATTTACATGTAGTATTTTAGATAGAATCTTGGGATGGGGCATTAGGTAACAAGTCAGGATCTCAATAAGCTGTAATCTTTAGTTAATAATAATGTATCAATATTGATTCATCAATTATGACAAATGTATGATACTAATTTAAGATCTTAATACTAGTAGAAATTAGATAAGGGACACATAGAAACTTTATGTACTATCTAATTTTTCACAAATCTGCATCTATTTGAAAATTTAAAAGTTTCTTTTCAAAAAGCCAACTGGAGTCAAGAAAATAAGATTAAATACTAAACAAATTAATATCAAAATAAAATAACCGAGCTCAAAAAGATATCCCATAATGCAAAGAAGAAGAGATTGAAATGAGGAAATTGATGATATTCAATGTGAAAAGCAAGAATTTTAAGAAATATATAATATGAACTCAAGATGGAGAGAGTAGAGCACAAAGGAAGAAAAGCAATAATTAAAGTTTTACAGGAAAGCTATATAAATTTAAAGTCCATGTTTTATATAATACATTTTTTCAGTTATTTTCCTTAATTCTGAGGATTTGGCAAACCTAAGGAGGTCTGTAACTTCTGTTATATATTCATAAGGTAGAAAGAAGTTAGAGGAAAGGGAGAGAAGCAAGAGAAAAATAAAAGAGCTAAAGGCAAGGAGAAAACAAAGATAAAAAATTTATCAGGAGTAACTGCTTTTTGTTAGAGGAACAAAAAATGATCTAAAATGCTTACCATTAAGTTTTGTGATAAATGCAATAAAACATGTTCTTTTAATGATCGCCATTCTAACTGGTGTGAGATGGTATCTCATTGTGGTTTTGATTTGCATTTCTCTGATGGCCAGTGATGATAAGCATTTTTTCATGTGTTTTTTGGCTGCATAAATGTCTTCTTTTGAGAAGTGTCTGTTCATGTCCTTTGCCCACTTTTTGATGGGGCTGTTTGTTTTTTTCTTGTAAATTTGTTTGAGTTCATTGTAGATTCTGGATATTAGCCGTTTGTCAGATGAGTAGGTTGTGAAAATTTTCTCCCGTTTTGTAGGTTGCCTGTTCACTCTGATGGTAGTTTCTTTTGCTGTGCAGAAGCTCTTTAGTTTAATTAGATCCCATTTCACACCAGTTAGAATGGCGATCATTAAAAAGTCAGGAAACAACAGGTGCTGGAGAGGATGTGGAGAAATAGGAACACTTTTACACTGTTGGTGGGACTGTAAACTAGTTCAACCATTGTGGAAGTCAGTGTGGCGATTCCTCAGGGATCTAGAACTGGAAATACCATTTGACCCAGCCATCCCATTACTGGGTATATACCCAAAGGACTATAAATCATGCTGCTATAAAGACACATGCACACGTATGTTTATTGCGGCATTATTCACAATAGCAAAGACTTGGAACCAACCCAAACGTCCAACAATGATAGACTGGATTAAGAAAATGTGGCACATATACACCATGGAATACTATGCAGCCATAAAAAATGATGAGTTCATGTCCTTTGTAGGGACATGGATGAAATTGGAAAACATCATTCTCAGTAAACTATCACAAGAACAAAAAACCAAACACCGCATATTCTCACTCATAGATGGGAACTGAACAATGAGATCACATGGACACAGGAAGGGGAATATCACACTCTGGGGACTGTTGTGGGGTGGGGGGAGGGATAGCATTGGGAGATATACCTAATGCTAGATGACGAGTTAGTGGGTGCAGTGCACCAGCATGGCATATGTATACATATGTAACCTGCACAATGTGCACATGTACCCTAAAACTTAAAGTATAATAATAATAATAATAAAAAACATGTTCTTTTATATTCCAGAGAATGTTCAGTAAAGATTTGCATCACTGGTTCATGTATTTGAAGTGAAGCGTGTTTGTGTATTAGCATGTATGCAATTGTGTGGCAGATGCAATACAATACTAAATCAGGCTTAAAGATGAGTGCAGGATGGCTCATCTACATTCAGGTTACATTATAAATTGAGTAAAGCAGGTTTTAAAGTGGCAGTTACATCATAAGCCTAATTTAATAATCATAATAATTAGAGAAAAATGTCAATAGATGGATATATGTATATTATGATTGACTATATTATCAGGGATGGAATTACAGGTGATATTTACTTTTCACTATTTCAAA
This sequence comes from Homo sapiens, assembly GCF_000001405.40. NCBI lineage: Eukaryota > Metazoa > Chordata > Mammalia > Primates > Hominidae > Homo > Homo sapiens. The sequence goes on along the minus strand of NC_000020.11, from coordinate 55,075,514 downwards.
CTGGATCTAGCAAATATGTATTACATTTATAATCAGGAGTACTAGGAGAAGTACTTGAGTTCAGAATATCTCCTCCATGCCAGGACTCCCACCAATATATAAACTCCATATTTCAAGTGGCATAATTGCCTAAAAAGAAAATCAGCCTCCAGCCAAGCTAGTGAGAGGCATAATGATAAAGCCTGTACTTTTAGAACAGCTGATAAACTCTTATGCCTATGAAAAACTGGGGTCCAAGAGGCCATTCCTCCATGATGAGAGACATCCAATGTTAACCTGTTTCTTGTGTGTGTGTGTGTGTGTGTGTGTGTGTGTGTGTGTGTGTGTGTGTGTGTGTGTCAAATGATCCTTTACTGAAATATTTTCCTTTGTGCTTAACTGGCTGGGCATTCCACAGCACCACTGTTGATGTCATCTATGATGTCATGAGGGTGGCGGCCATCAACATTACAGCCCACAGACTGGGCAGTCCCCAGGATCTCTTTAATGGTTCCAGAGAGTTCTCTGGCTAAGGATCGGTGCCGCATCTGTCGAGCAATGTTGACGATCTCATCAAAAGTGATATTCCCACTGTGTTTAATGTTTTTCTGTTTCTTTCTGTCTCTTGGTGGTTCCTTGAGGGCTTTGATGATCAGGGCAGAGGCAGAAGGCACCACCTCAATCTGGGCCTGTCTGTTCTGAATGGTCAGTTTCACTGTAATCCTCAGGCCCTTCCAGTCACCGTTGCCTTGGCAATGTCATCACCAACCTTTTTTGGAGACAGACACAGGGGGCCGATCTTGGGGGCCAGGGCAGAAGTGGCACCGACTTCACCTCCGGTGCACCTCAGGTATACGACTTTGATCTCGTTGGGGTCGAACTTCGGCGGCATGGTGGAGGCGGCTGGTGTCGGATGAACCCGGATTCGGGACGACCGAAGAAAGTCGCACCTTGGCCTCCTCCGAGCCCAAAGCCGAAAGCTAACCCCCTGTTTCACAGAAAGAGGTTTTGCTGCTTGGAAAGGAACTTCACTATCTCCACCTGTGCCTCTTGGTGTCATGTCACAGTTTCTCTACAACAAGCACGTGCATCCCACTGCACTGAGAGAGAGTATGATTCAGTCTTCACTGTGGTTTTGGAGTGTCTGGAGTCTCCCACCTCATGTTTAATGACTCTTCTGTCATTTGCCAAAGTCCTGCCACACCTGATTTTCACTCTGTTCTCTGTTTTTCAAACACACTGGTTCTTTCCTTTCTCAGAAAATGATTTTTCTCTACCTGAATTTCTCTTAGCTTTGCTGATTTCTTTTCCTCTCTCAACTCTCAACTTAAATCCTATTTTCTGAGAGATGTTTTCTCCAAGCATCATAAATTGTGTTCATTACCCAGTTATTTTTTATCATACACCCATTTTATATTCCTTCACAAATTAAGGTAGAGGCCATGTGTCTCTATTGTACTATGGTATTGTCAGACATAATAAAGTGCTAGGCCTTTTTAAAGAAAGAGGGTCCTTCACAGAAATAGAGAAAAACAATCCTAAAATTTTTAAGGAACCACAAAAGACCCCAAATAGCCAAAGCAATACAGAACAGAAAGAAAAAAACTAGAGGCATTACACTACCTGTCTCCAAAATATACTACAAAGCTATGGTAAACAAAACAGCATAATATTGGTATAAAAACAGATACATAGACCAATGTAACAGAACAGAGAACCCAGAAATGAATCCACGTATTTTCAGCCAACTGATTTCCGACAAAGGTGCTAAGAGCATGCTTGGGAAAAGGACACTGTCTTCAATAAATGGTGCTGGGAAAACTGAATATCCATACGCAGAAGAATGAAACTAGATCCCTCTCATCGGATACAGAAATAAACTGAAAATAAATGCTTAAAAGTAAGAACGAAAACTCTAAACCTATTACAACAGAGGAAATGCTTCAGGACACTGGTCTCAGCAAAGATTTTATGGCAAGACCTCAGAAGTAAAGGCCACAAAAACAAAAACAGACAAATGAAAAACTTCTGCACAGCAAAGAAAATAATTAACAGAGTGATGAGAACCTGTTGAATGGGGGAAAATATTTACAAACTATTTAACTGAACAAGAGACCAATATTCAGAATACATAAAGAACCCAACTCAAAGCAAAAAACCAAAATAATCCATTAAAAAGTTGGCAAATTATTTGAATAAATATGTTTCAAAGGAAGACATAAAAGTAGCCATAATATATGAAGAAATACTTAACATCACTAATCATCATGGAAATATAAATCAAAACCACAGTGAGATATTATCTTAATCAGTTAAAACAGCTATTATCAAAAAGACAAAAAATAACCAGTGCTGGTGAGGAGGCAGAGAATAGAGAACTCAACTGTTGGTGAAAATGTAAATTAGTATAGCCATTATGAAAAACAGTGTGAATGTTTCTCCAAAAGTTAAAAATATAATTACCATAGTCCAGTAATCCCACCAATGAGTAGGTATCCAAAAGAAAAAAAAATATATATATATATTTAAATGATACCTACACCCCCATGTTTATTGCAGCACTATTCACAATAGCCAAGATATGGAATCAAGCTGAATGTCTATCTACAGACAAATGGGTAAAGAAAATGTGAAATACATGCAAAATGGAACATTATTCAGCCAAAAAGGAAAGAAATACTGCCATTCCCAGAAACCTGGATAAGCCTAAAGGACAGTATGTTAAACAAAATAAGTCAGGTACAGAAAGATAAATATCCCATATTCTCACTCACGTGTGGAAGCTAAAAAAACGTTGAGCTCATGGAAGTAGAGAGTAGGACTGTAGGTATTAGAGACTGGGAAGGGTAGTGGGAAGAGAGGATGGAGACAGGTTGGTAAAGGGATACAAAATTACAGCCTGATGGCAGGAATGAGTCCCCGTATTCTGCAGCACTGTAGGGTGAATGTGGTTAACTATAATTTACTCTATTTTTCAAAAAGCTAGAGGAGAGGATTTTCTATGTTCACAACACAAAGAAATGATGAACATTGGAGGTGGTGAATGTGCTAATGATATTGATTGGAACATTACACATTGTATACACCTAACAAAATATCATTGTGTATTCTGCATATATGTAGAATTATTACACGGAAACTAAAAACAAAAGAAAAAAACTGGACCACAAAGAAATTGAACCTATAACAGTAACCTCTGTAACACAGTGATGCTTCAACAAATTAAGTTTAAAAATTACTTCCTAAAGAAGGCTGAATTTGTCAAGCATGTATTATTTTCTGATGGTGACCACAGAGATAACTAAGCTCCCAAAACTCTCTCTTTAAAAAATCAGTATAAAATCAACATTGCTCAGCTTTATCACTGTTTCCCAGCGCTTTTCATATATGTAGAGGAAAAATTTTAAAATATTGTAAATCAAAAAGATGTCCTGTAAAATCCTACCAACTAAGGGAAATCGCTATTAACATTAAGTGCATTTTATTCCAGGCTATCAGGCAAAGTAGCACTGTGGTTAGATGACTCTTTATCTTCCCTTTTGTCTTTCTATCTATTTAGGTATCTATCTATCTAGCCATCCATGTTCTCTGCATAACACACATATTCACACATGTATATGTATATATCACATTAGTGGTAGCATACTATTCAAACCATTTTATAACCCTTTTAAACTGAAGAATATGTTTATTCATACATTTATTCTATTGATTTACTAAAAAAAATTTGAGAACCTAGTATATGTCAGGCATTATTCCAGATACTGAAGAATAGTAGACAAGACAGCTTCTTGCCCTGGAGATGATTATACTCTGATAAAGGAGGACAGAGCATATGACATCAATAAATAAAGAAGATCAGTTTGCAATGAAATAAGACTACAAGATAGAGAGGTTATTGGAGGTGGAGGTCCTGGGTCAGGTGGCCAGGGATGGTCTCTCAGAGGAGATAAAGTTTGAGTTGAAAGCTGAATGATAAGAAGAAGTCAATAGTTGAAAGAGTCAATGAAAAGCATGCCAGCAAGCATGGGAGCAGAATTGCATAAGCCTTTCAGTGACATGGCAAGCGATATTCATCTCTGAAGAGTTTTATTATTTACTACATTCTGTTTCATTATATGGATGTCACAGTAGATACTGTGAAACATTTAGGTTGTTTCCATTTTGAAATCATGATCATGCCTTAAAAGATAAAAAAAAATTATGTTCACTTTCAAACATTAAAATGGCATTGAAAGTTTTATGTTCTTTTATGAAAGATGCTGATAATGAAGTGTTAAATGAAAAAGCTAACAAATAGCGTGTACAACCAGACTGCATACTTGTGAAAACAGACATGTAAAAATGTGCATTTATAATGAAAAGATAACTCATGAATAGGATAAAATATTAAACTAAAATGGTAACATTACTTATCTCTGACTGTTGGCCATACAAATGTAGCTTCTTATTTTGTATACTTTGAGTTTTCTAAACAAATATTTTAAAAATAACTTTAAAGGAGAGAAACAGATTACAAAATAGTATGTAAGTTATTCTACTTTTTATTTAAAGAAATTATACATGTCTTTATTCCTTTCGAGGCACTAGGTGTGTTTATTTGTGTGTATGTAGAAAGTGTTACTTCTTAGTTGTAAGACTGTGAATAACTTTATTTTTCTTGTTTGACCATAACTTTCTATAATGTAAAAATGTATCAATTTGCTGATAGAAAACATTTAAGTAAACATTTTATCTCATGGTAAAAAGAAAATTTATATTTATTAAAGTGTTCTAACATGCTGAAAATATAAAGAAGCAATTAAATGTATCTCTGTTATCAAAATTAGTTTTAAAACGTATAGCTATTCACATACAAAATAGCAGCTAATTGTAAAAAAATTTACAATTGTTATATGAAATTGTTTATATGATGGAAACAGCATGAATACATATTTTTGTGATACATATCAGTGGTTCCAAAACTTTTTCCCTAAAGGGTCAGATAGTAACTATTTTATGATTTGTGGGTCATGTGGCCTCTCTTGCCCCTATGCAATTCTGCTATTATAACACAAAAGCAGCCATAGACTGCCGTGCTACAATAAACCTTTATTTGTAGACTCTGAAATTTGAATATCATAATTTTGAATATAATTTTTATTCCAGTAATATTATTTAAAACTTTTTTCATGTATTAAAAATATTAAAAAAACTACTCTTCACTCACCAGCAAAAACAGGTGGTAAGCTGGATTTGGCCCAGAGGTCAGAGCTTAATGGTTCATTTATTTACATTTTCCAACTTATTTTAAATATGGCATGACTCACACATCAACATTCAGTCTCTGCCAACCTTGAGTGGCAACACCATGCCATTTCTCTATCTGATCTGAAAATAAATGGCAGATTCTGTTAGATATGCATCCATTGAATTTCCACAGGCATTAAACTGAAATGTCCTTCTCAGTATCAAACCAGATTTCGATTTTATCCTGAAGAAATATTGCTCTGGCAGAGAACAGAGTCCTTAAATTTTCCAGGCTATACCTAAGGGGCAGCTTTTAAAGTAACATTAAAGTCAATGGGAATTTCCCAGAACAATCAGTGTGTTCTCAAATAAAAAACCGTTGGCAGTGGGTTAACTGAAATGGCTCAATGGTATAGGAAAGACATTAACTGTGCAAAGGATTTCCTCCAAATCTCAAGTAAATGGTGTGTGATGGTAACATCTAACAATGCACAGATTATCTGGCATTTTTTTAGACTGCCTTAAAACACTCAGTTTCACATATATCTGTACTGCCCACAGCATAGGCAATGTCCAGCAATTGAAGTGTGGCAAATGCCATATAAATACTGTTACTCTGATTTACAAAAAATGTGCATTCAAATTTACAAGATAAAATATGGCAGAGAAATAGCCACTGATCTCAGAGAAAAGTATGTTTATGGCTAGTGAAGACAGTTATAATTCAGGACATTTAATTAAGTTCCAAGGCTTCTAACAGGTAGTTATTAATTGCAATGAAAATGCTTCATAAACCATAAATATTTTTAAATTCAGTACCATTTTTGTGCAAAAGAAATTGGTTATCTCTAAGATTGTAGTAGTTTGCCCTTTTCCTATTCAATAAAATACCATGAGCATCTCTTGGTATACAAAAGCCCTGGGAAACAAAGAATTTAAATACAAATTTCCACTTTTGCTTTCAGATTTTTTTCCGGAGTAATTTAGTAGACAAAACACTAAGTTATAGAGTGATTAAAGAATGAAGTGCTTTTTCTAATTATATTTAGTATACATTAGATAGCTGAGTTTACCATGTTTTCTATTTCAATCATTCATAAATAAGCTGATATGATAAATAGGCATGCCCCAGTACTTCGTAATTTTACCCAAATATAAATTCATGTCTAGGTAAAGATGAGGCCAGAGGACGGGATCCTACTTCTCAAATAAAGACATCCTCCAACCCGGCTCAGTATCACATTGGGGTTTTGTCATTTTTTTTTCTAGGTTATATTTACATCAAGTGTTTTAGATCAATATTCACAATTATTAAAAAAATTGTAAAAATGATCAAGTAAGACTTAAAATTGTACTAAAAGATTAAATGGTGATTAATTTGTGAAATGGTGGCATGTCATGGAAAAACATGATACTTAGTGCACAGAAAATTCTGGAATATAAGAAATTCAACAATCACTTCAGTATTTATGGATTTGAAAAATGAGAAATGGCTTTGGGGACTATTACTGGTGAATGTCAAAGATCTGCTACTCAACAGAGAATGTTATGATGGATAGATATTGGGATTCACAATCATACACATATATAGTAGATGAATACATCAACAGTGCTATACGTTGGCAGGCTAGTCAAAGTCACACTGGCCAGAAGATATTCCTAGCAAAGGGTAGGAAGCAAGGTTTTGAAGTTCTTCAACTTCTGCTTTCAATTCCCTCTGCCCAAGTTATATTTTTACATTTTGTAAATAAAACAGTTAGATGTCTATGTCCTTTTAAGGATACGCATACACACACACACACACACACACACACACACACACACACGTGTAATATACACTATTTATAATATATACCATACCGTGACAAAGTGGGGTTTATTTCAAGGATGCAAGTCTAGTTTAATATTCAAAAACCAATAAATACAATTTACCACATTAACAGGCTAAAGAAGAAAAACCATGTAATTATATTAATCAATGCAAGAAAGAATTTCACAAAATTTAATACTTCTTTATGATAAAAGCTCTCAGAAAAATAAAAATAAATGGAAACTTACTCAATCTGATAACTCATGATTCCTAACATTCTACAGCATACACTTTCCATTTTCCTTCCCCAAATATACCAAAAGGTGTAGTTTCTTCCACAAATGAAGCCCTTAACCAGCTTTCAAAATATGCCAACAACTTAGCTTTAGTGATGAGTAACTCTTTCTTCCCAAGTGTTGAGGAAAAGCAGGAATATTTAAACAAAATTTTATAAGAGGAACTGTACCTAAATTGAGGAATTACTATAACCAAGAAAAAACGGTAACTTTGTATTTATTTACTGAACTTTCTTTTGTTCTCTTTTTTTCTCATTTATAAACAGCCTTTAAAATCAACTAAGTATTTTCCTTTAAAAAAATTCTTAAGCTTACATTTATTTTTTTTCTTAAAGATTTAAGGAGAGATACCATTTTGGGTTTAATTAACATAATATCAATAGAAAACAATACCATGTACTATGTTTATTGAAGTGCTTTAAAATAGCAAAACACTGAACAGAATAAAAAATTCTAATAATGAGGAGGGGCCAAGATGACCGACCAGAAGCAGCTCTGGTCCGTGGCTCCCACCAAGAAGAACAAAAACAGTGAGTCAATCCTGCCCCATCAACTGAGGTGACTAGGCAGTTGGCACAACCCACACAGAACAAGGAAAAGCAGGGTTGTTCGATGGCCCACCGGGGAGTGGCATGAAACCAGGGGAGCCCCCACTCCCAGCCAAAGGAGGCAGTGAGTGATTGTGCTATCCTGCCCTGGAAACCATGCTTTTTCCACAGATGTCTGCATCCCCAGTATCAGGAGATCCCCTTATGAGACCATGAGGGCCTTGGGTCCTAAGCACAGAGCTGTGCAACCCACTTGGGTTGCAGCCAGCAGCAACAGGCCGGACACTGCCTAAGATGACTAAGTTCCTGAAGGGAAGGGCGGCCACCATCACTATGGCTCCAGTGGGTAGGTTGTTTTCCCTGGCTGATGCTGGGAAGACTGGGTGGTTTGGACCCAGAGGAATTCTCCCCAGTGCAGTACAGTGGCTGTGACAGATTACGGACAGACTGCTTAAGTTGGACATAAATTCATCCCTCCTCACTGGGTTGGGGCCTCCCTGCAAGAATTTCAGCAACTCCAGCCAGGGGTTTAGGGACAGAACTCTGACATCCCTGGGAAGGGGCCTCTAGAGGGGAAGGGCAGCCAAGGTGTCCCAGTTCAGTGGACCTAGTCTTTCCTGTCTGCTGGCCGTCCAGAGGAGGAGGATGATTCTCCCCAGTGCAATATGGGCTCCACCAAGGTGCAGTCAGACTTCTTCTTTAAGCAGGTCCCTGAACCTGTGCCTCCTGACTGGGTGAGATCTTTCAACAGGAGTTGCCAGACACTTAATACAGGAGCATTCTGGCTGGCATCAGATTGGTACCCCTCTGGGACAGAGCTCCCAGAGGAAGGAACAGGCGGCCATCTTTGCTGTTCTGCAGACTCCACCAGTGATACCTCCACGTGCGGGAGGGACCCTGGGGAATTTTTTCTGTAGCGGTCCCCCAGCAAACTGCAGCAGCCCTATGGAAGAAGGGCCTGCCTGATAAAAAGAAAAACTAATAAACAGAAGCAAAACCAACACCAACAGCAACAACAACAACAAAAAACTCACAAAAACCCTATGCAAAAGTCAGCAGCCTCAAAGATAAAAGGTAGACCAACAAAAATGAGAAAGAATCAATGCCAAAATGCTGAAAACTCAAAAAGCCTGAGCACCTCTTCTCCTCCAAATGATTGCAACACCTTTCCAACAAGGGCATAGAACTGGGATGAGGCTGAGATGGATGAATTGACAGAAGTAGCCTTCAGAAGGTGGGTAATAATAAACTTTGCTGAGCTAAAGGAGCATGTTCTAACCCAATGCAAAGAAGCTAAGAACCATGATAAAACATAACAGGATCTGTTAACCAGAAAAACAGTTTAGAGAGAAACAGAAATGACCTGATGGAGTTGAAAAACACAACACAAAAACTTCACAATGCAACCACAAGTATCAATAACTGAGTAGACCAAGTGAAGGAAAGATTCTCAGAGCTTGAAGACTATCTTGCTGAAATAAGAGAGGCAGACAACGTTAGAGAAAAAAAGAATGAAAAGGAATGAACAAAGCCCCTGAGAACCACAGATTGTGTAAAAAGACAGAACCTATGACTAGAGTACCTGAAAGACACAGGGAGAATGAAACCGAGTTGGAAAACATACTTCAGGATATCATGCAGGAGAACTTCCCCAACCTAGCAAAACACGCCTACATTCAAATTCAGAAAATCCAGAGAACCTCAGGAAGATATTCCATGAGAAGATCAACCCCAGGACACACAATCATCAGATTCCACCAGGTTGGAATGAAGGAAAAAATGTTAAGGGCAGCCAGAGAGAAAGGCCATGTCACCTAAAAAGGGAAGCCCATCAGACTGACAGCAGACCTCTCAGCAGAAACCCTAAGAGCCAGAAGAGATTGGGGGCCAATATTCGACATTCTTAAAAAAAAGAATTTCCAACCCAGAATTTCATATCTGACCAAACTAAGCTTCATAAGGGAAGTAGAAATAAAATCCTGTTCAGACAAGCAAATATTGAGGGAATTTGTCACCACCAGGCCTGCCTTGCAAGAGCTCCTGAAGGAAGCACAAAATATGGAAACAAAAAACTGTTGCCAGCCACTAGAAAAATACACTGAAGTACATAGACCAATAACACTGTGAAGCAACTACATTAACAAGTCTGCAAAGTAACCAGCCAGCATCATAATAACAGGATCAAATTCACACATAACAATATTAACCTTAAATGTAAATGGGCTAAATGTCCCAATTAAGACACAGAATGGCAAGCTGGACAAAATGTCAAGACTGATTGGGGTGCTGTATTTAAGAGACCCATCTTATGTGCAAAGACACACACAGGCTCAAAATAAAGGGATGGAGGAAAATTTACCAAGCAAATGGAAAGCAGAAAAAAGCAGGGGTTGCAATCCTAGTTTCTAACGACATAGACTTTAAACCAACAAAGATCAAAAAAGACAAAGAAGGGCATTATATAATGGTAAAGGGTTCAATTCAACAAGAAGAGCTAACTATCCTAAATATATATGTACCCAATACAGGAGTGCCCAGATTCATAAAACAAGTTCTTAGAGTCCCACAAAGAGAATTAGACTCCCAAACAATAATAGTGGGACACTTTAACACCCCACTGTGAATACAGACAGGTCACTGAGACACACACACAAAAAATAACAAAGATATACAGGACTTGAACTCAGCTCTGGATCAAGTGGAACTAATAGATATCTACAGAACTCTCCACCCAAAAACAAGAGAATATACATTTTTTTCAGTATCACATAGCGCTTACTCTAAAATCGATCACATAATTGGAAGTAAAACACTCCTCAGCAAAGGCAAAAGAACGGAAATCATACAAACAGAAACACAGACCACAGTGCAATCAAATTAGAACTCAGGATAAATAAACTCATTCAAAACCACACAACTACATAGAAATTGAACAACCTGCTCCTGAATGACCTATGGATAAACAATGAAATTAAGGCAGAACTCAAGAAGTTCTTTGAAACCAGTGAGAACAAAGACAATGTACCAGCATCTCTGGGATGCAGGTAAAGCAGTGTTAAGAGGGAAATTTATAGCACTAAAATGTGCATATCAAAGAGCTAGAAAGATCTCAAATTGACATCCTAATATCACAACTAAAAGAACTGGAAAACCAAGAGCAAACAAACCCCAAATCTAGCAGAAGACAAGAAATAACCAAGATCAGAGCAGAACGGAAGGAGATAGAGACACGAGAAACCCTTCAAAAAAAATGAACCAATCCAGGAGCTGTTTTTTTTTTTTTTTTTTTTTTTTTTTGGAAAATGTAATAAAATAGACTGCTAGCTAGACTAATGAAGAAGAAAAGAGAGAAGAACCAAACGGACAAAATAAAAAAATGATAAAGGGGATATCACCACTGACCCCACAGAAATACAAGCAACCATCAAGACTGAATCAGGAAGAAGCTGAATTCCTGAATAGATCAATAATGAGTTCTGAAATTGTGGTAGTAATAAATAGACTACCAACCAAAAAAAGCCCAGGACCAGACAGATTTACAGCTGAATTCTAACAGAGGTACAAAGAGGAGCTGGTACCATTTCTTCTGAAACTATTCCAAACAATTGAAAAGGAGCGGCTCCTCTCTAACTCATTTTATGAGGCTAGTATCATCCTGATACCAAAACCTGGCAGAGATCTAACAAAAAAAAAAAAAAACGAAAATCTTCAGCCCAATATTCCTGATGAATATTGGTGCAAAAATCCTCAACAAAATACTGGCAAACCGAATCCAGCAGCACATCAAAAAGCTTATCCACCACGATCAAGTCAGCTTCATCCCCGGGACGCGAGGCTGGTTCAATACACAGAAATGGAACTAAAGACAAAAACCACAGGATTATCTCAATAGATGTGGAAAAGGCCTTTGATAAAATTCAACATCCCTTCATGTTAAAAACTCTCAATAAACTAGGTATTGAAAGAACATACCTCAAGATAATAAGAAACATTTATGACAAACTCACAGCCAATATCATACTTAATGGGCAAAAACTGGAAGCATTCCCCTTGAAAACTGGCACAAGACAAGGATACCCTTTCTTACCACTCCTATTCAACATAGTATTGGAAGTTCTGGCCAGGGCAATTAGGCAGGAGAAAGAAACAAAGCATATTCAAATAGGAAGCGAGGAAGTCAAACTGTCTTTGTTTGCAAATGGCATGATCCTATATCTAGAAAACCCCATCATTTCAACCCAAAAGCTTAAGCTGATATGCAACTTCAACAAAGTCTCAGAATTCAAAAATCAATGTGCAAAAGCCACATATATTCCTATACACCAACAACAGACAAGCAGAGAGCCAAATCATGAATGAATTCCCATTCACAGTTGCTGCGAAGAGAATATAATACCTGGTAATATAGCTAACAAGGGAAATGAAGTACCTCTTCAAGGAGAACTACAAACCACGGCTCAAGAAAATCAGAGAGGACACAAACAAATGGAAAAACATTCCATGCTCATAAATAGGAATAATCAATATTGTGAAAATGGCGATACTGGCCAAAGCAATTTATAGATTCAATACTATTCCCATTAAACTACCATTGACATTCTTCACAGAATTAGAGAAAACTATTTTAAAATATATATGGAACCAAAAATGAGCTTGTATGGCCAAGCTGATTCTAAGCAAAAAGAATAAAACTAGAGGTATCACACTACCCAACTTTAAGCTATATTTCAAGGCTACACTAACCAAAACAGCATGGTACTGGAAAAAAAAACAGACACAGAGACTAATGGAACAGAATGGAAAACTCAGAAATAAGACTAGACATCTACAACCATCTGAACTTTAACAAACCTGACCAAAACAAGCAATGGAGAAAGGATTTCCTATTTAATAAATGGTGCTGGGAGAACTGACTAGCCATATGCAGAAAATTGAAACTGGGCCCCTTCCTTACAGTTTATACAAAAATTAACTCAAGATGGATGAAAGGTTTAAATGTGGGCCGGGTGCAGTGGCTCACACCTGTAATCCCAGCACTTTGGGAGGCCAAGGCGGGTGGATCACCTGAGGTCTGGAGTTCAAGACTAGCCTGGCCAACATGGTGAAACCCCGTCTCCACTAAAAATACAAAAAATTAGCCTGGTGTGGTGGTGGGTGCTTGTATTCCCAGCTACTCGGGAGGTTGAGGCAGGAGAATTGCTTGAACCCAGAGAGAGGAGGTTGCAGTGAGCCAAGATCATGCCATTGCACTCCAGCCTGGGCAACAAGAGCAAAACTCCATCTAAAAAAAATTAAATAAATAAATGTAAAACTCAAAACTATAAAAACCCTTGAAAATCTAGGCAATACCATTCAGGACATAAACATGGGCAAAGATTTCATGATGACAATGCCAAAAGCAAATTCAACAAAAGCAAAAATTGACAAATGATATCTAAATAAACTAAAGAGCTTCTGCACAGCAAAAGAAACTATCATCAGAAAGAAGAGACAACCTACAGAATGGGAGAAAATTTTTGCAATCTATCCATCTGATAAAGGTCTAATATCCAGAGTCTACAAATAACTTAAACAAATTTACAAGAAAAAAAAACCCATTAAAAATTGGGCAAAGGACATGAGCAGACATTTCTCAAAAGAAGACACTTATGCAGCCACAAACATATGAACAAAAGCTCAACATCTTTGTTCATCAGAGAAATGCAAATCAAAACCACAATAAAATACCATCTCACACCAGGCAGAATGGCAATTATTAAAAAGTCAATAAACATCAGAGCTGTGTGTCTGAAAGAAAAAAAAGTAAAGAAACAACAGATGCTGGTGAGGCTTAGAGAGAGAGGAATGCTTTTACACTGTTGGTGGGAGTGTAAATTAGTTTAACCATTGTGAAAGATGGTGTGGCAATCAATTCCTCAAAGACCTAGAACCAGAAATACCATTTGACCCATCAATCCCATTACTGGATATACGCCCAAAGGAATATAAATCATTCTGTTGTAAAGATACATGCACACATATGTTCACTGCAGCATTATTCACAACAGCAAATATATGGAATCAACCCAAATGTCCATCAATCATCGACTGGATTAAAAAAAGTGTGGTACATATACACCATGGAATACTATGCAGCCATAAAAAGAAATGAGATCATGTCCTTTGCAGGGACATGGATGGAGCTGGAAGCCATTATCCTCAGCAAACTAACAGAGGAACAGAAAACCAAACGCTGCATTTCTCACTTGTAAATGGGAAGTGAACAATGAGAACACATGGATAACAGGGCAACAACACACACTGGGGCCTGTCTGTGGGGGATAATCGGCGGAAGGAGAGCATCATGAAAAATAGGAAATTCATGCTGGGCCAACCCATCACGTGTTTTTCTATGTAACAAACCTGCATATCCTGCACATGCACCCAAGAACTTAAATGAAAGAAAAAAACAATTCTAATGAAAGAGATGTTGTTTTATCTCTCAACCAGATACTACCACTATTGAGAAAGAAAAATGTTATGAAATGTTAATGAAAGATAGTTTCTAATACAATTCATAAAAGTGTGTGTATAACATAGTCTACATTTATGCAAATGAGAAAAATTTGTACACATACATATTTATAAAAGCACATACACATAAAAGGAAAGAAAAGCTAGAAGAATCTACATCAAATGATACAATATTTGACTAAGGAAAAGGCTATGCACTGCTTTATACTTATTTTATCATTCCATTTTATTCTCCAAATCAATAAACATGTATTACTCTTATATGATGGGGGGAAAGTTACTTTAAAATATTAGTAAATAAAATATTACTAAGGTGCAGAATACTTGAAAACCCATACAACCAAAAACAATATGAGTTCAATTTCCTGTTAATCAAATATCCATTGGTATTTCATGATGAATTATAATCATACATTTTAGGCTTGAGAGAAAACCGAAATTAAATTCCTCTTGAACTTTACAGAACATGGTTGAACAGACAGAACTGAAAGTCCTTTAAAATGACAGCGATAGGGATGGACCAAACAGTCGAAACTCCACCACGTCTCCCTGCTTAAACTTTCTCAACAAAGCCCTCAACTTCCCTGCGTCAGAGGAGGATACTCCTTTTTGACACGCATATCAGTGTCAACAATATCATTAGAACAACCAATGCTTTTGATGAGCAAATTTCGACTGATGAATGTGCTAGGTTTTTACCTTGATACTGCTTTCATTTTCTCCTAAAACTGCTAAACAGGAGAGTAGCAAAGTGTAGCAAAGTGTACCAATCAACCTCAGCTACTGATAATCAAGATGTATTCTGACATGATTGAAGAATCTTGGCACTGTGGGCCAGCAATTTGTTTCCTGTGGGAAGTCTCCTCAATGAACTACGTGTCCTTAATTGTTTTAAATCCACTTTCTTTTTTGATTACAGTGCATCAAAGTTTCTTCTGGTCCTTTGATTTTTATCCTTCCTCTATTCCATTAGTAAACATGAATATTATTCTGTTTCACAATCTGAATTTCAAAAAAAAAATGATGTATTTGATTTCTCTCACCAATATGCTACCATCATGGTCAGAAAAATACCACCATACCACTGAAATGCAAATTAAATGAAACCTTCTCTATGGAAAAATAGAAGATTGTCTCACATTTATTTAACATTTCACTTCAGAGAAATCCTAAGGAAGGGACATGCTTGGAGCTGTTCCCTAGTCACCAATCTCATACCCTGAGAGCAGTCATATATTTTCAGGATTAATTTTTGTTATTGCTGTCATCTTATTTGTCCATAATTCTCCATTTGTATTTTTCAGCCGAAAGGAATAATGGAACGTAAAGCCAAGTGAGAGAACCTCGCACAAAGAAGGTGTATAGAAAATATGACTGGAGCCAAAGAGGGGGCATGTTTTGTCATCCCCAAACCATACCACGGAGACGACCTCTAACATGACCTGCTATTTAAATGTTTATGATAAATTTTAAAAGAAGAACAACATGAAAAAAGAACCACTCTTAAAATCATAATATTCTTGGCCGGGCGCAGTGGCTCAAGCCCGTAATCCTAGCACTTTGTGAGGTCGAGGCGGGCGGATCACAAGGTCAAGAGATCAAGACCATCCTGGCCAACATGGTGAAACCCCGTCTCTACTAAAAAAATACAAAAATTAGCTGGGCATGGTGGTGCACACCTGTAGTCCCAGCTACTCAGGAGGCTGAGGCAGGAGAATTGCTTGAACCCAGGAGGTGGAGGTTGCAGTGAGTTGAGATCGCACCACTGCACTCCATCCTGGCGACAGAGAGAGACTCCGTCTCAAAAAAAAAAAAAAATAATAATATTTTTAGGCAAAAACTTAGATCCTTCAAGACCTAAAGCCACAGTGGTCCTCTTGCCTTCAAAATTCTTTCCTATCTTCCAATGTCATCTCCTGCTTCTCCCTCTCAATCTCTATGCCAGGGGTCAGCAAATTCTGTCTGCCACCTGGTTTTATAAATAAAGTTTTATTGTAGCACAGTCATACTTATTTGTTTACACATCGCATATGGCTGTTTTCATGCTTCAACAGTAGGGTTGGATAGCAGATACCATATGGCTTACAAGGCCATGAACATTTATAAACTTTCTTAACTCCTTCTCTAAGCTCTTACCAAATGTGTTTTTTGAACTTCTAGCCACAGCCCTTCTGAGAATCCTTTCCCCTAAAATACACTTCCTCCTAGCGTGCTGTATAGCTAATTTCTCCCTATCTTTCAGGTTAATTTTTTAACATCTCTATCTTTTCCAAATTACATCTTACGTGTCATTTGCCTCAAAGCCCTTGCCATAATTTATATTTTTAATTGATTGTTTTGCTTCTCATCTAGAATATGTTATCCTTAATTTTATTTCCAATCCCAGCTACATATTTAGCATATAGGCTGCTTATCAAATATATGTTGAATCAAGGCTAAGTACAGTGCAAGGACTCAATAAAGAGTTAGGGGTGAAAGCCTTGGATGATACAGTAGCTCTCCAATAAATATGTACTGAATGAAAGGAGGACAGAAAAAAGCAATAAGAGGAAAATTTGCTCCATGATAAATATAATAGCTGTGTCTTTATCTACGAATGTAAACATTTTCCCCAGACAATGGAGCATAAGAGCTTGGAGTCCCAGTTTCCTTTTCTGGCACTATCACTTGCTGTCTGACTCTAGACTGGCCTCTGAAGTCGTTCCTGTTTCAGAATTTACATCTATAAAAAGAGAAGTTTGAAATAGAAGATTCAAAGTCCCTATGATTTTTAATATTTGATGATTCAATAAAAACTCAACATGATTTTTATAGGCTAGTTTTTAAGCACAATGCAGTAGACAGTTCTTGTTCTTGGCTGTCCCATTTGTTTGAGACTTGATTTTCCTGTGGGGTACCATGTAAGTCCTGTGAGTTAACCTTATTATGCTCTAGCTCTGGCTGTGGGTACATGAAATACATTTGATTCATCAAAGGGTTCCATGACTTGAGCATATTAATTGGGTATTTTATGTGTTTAACACTCAAGATAGGCCAATGAGACTTAATTCTAGGACTTCAGATAAAATAATCAAAAAGAGAACTCACTTTCTGTTGGCATTATGAACTGTAAAATAATACAAATCTGTCGCTGCAGGAAGCCACCATGTGGAGAGAGCTGGGCGATGCAGGAGGCCAAAAAATAGAGTGGCTAAGTTAAGAGACAGCAAGGGAAACACATTATCTAAAAATCCTAAAATCCTCTGGAACCAGCCATCCCTGAAGCATAAAACACATTGGACTGTTAGTCATGATGAATTTAGTTTCTTTTACTTTAAGCCAGAGTCCTGGACAACACAATCAGATTATTTCTGCTTTCATGCACTCAAGGATGCATGATGTTTACATCTTTACTCCCTGTTCGTCTCTTCTCCTCCCATTCTCGTTGACAATTCCACATCTCTGACATCTGATCACCAGCAAAAGCTTCAACCAATGGAAGATATAAAACTGGACATAGAAAGAGATAGTTCCTCATTCTAAGAATTTGGATATTTATCAACGGTGATTATCTTGTGTAAATCATTAGAAATAATTGAGTTGCTAGGAAGAAACTTACTATCACTGTGCCACCAATGTCTCATGAAAATGAGATGGCTCTAGCTCCATTAGGTTTAAGCTGAGATAAAAAGTAGCCTAGGATGTTTACCTTTCTAACTTTAAAGAGACCCAGTGGAGAGAAATCAAATCACACTGTGATTATTGAACATTTCAAGCACTGGAAACCACAGGCTTGCTGAGCTCCGAATGTTCTGCGTTGAAAACTTATCAACACTTAACTAGTAGAAGTAGAGACTGACATACAATTAAATTTAGACTTCCTGGTCATGATATGGAAAAGCAGGGATCTCATGAGACCTTTCTTTGTATAGTTCAAATTTTACACATTTTTTCATCTCATAATTTTCTCATAATTTTCTGAGTTAAAGAATAATAACCTCATTATACAGATATGACACACATAAGGTTAAGTGGCTTGTAGAAGAGCAGCAATTCTTAATATCTTGTTAAATATTAAGAATATCATCTGAAGTTTAAAAATTAGATTAAGATTATGAAAAACTTGATAAAACCTGTGGATATTCTTCTCAGACAACATTTGTACACATAAGTAAAATCTGATACAAAATCAGAAGTCATGGATCCCTAAAGCCCAGTTTTTGTCAGCCACTGAAAATTTCAGGATTTTTTTCATAGTGTAGCAATATTGTGGAAAAAACAAATTCACCCTCCCTGAAGGATCAGTTTCACTAATAATTTCAATGGTTTAAAAAGCCCTGTGCTTTGAAGGAAACCAACCCTGTTACACTACTCATATCTCATAGTTGTCCAGAGGTCTTTCTCTAACAGAGAATTATCTCTAGGGATGGTTTTTATCTCTTGGTCACTAAATAACATAGCAAAGTTCTGGAGGAGTCAATGAAGGAAGACAGGAAAAGAAGCAGTAATATTGGACCCAAGCTCAGTTATGATTATTGGACCCATGTTTTTCATAATATTGGACTCTTTGGAGTACCTAGATTGTAAGAAATGTTAGCCACAAAGAAATCATAACTATTGGCTCCCCTTCTAGAAGTCTACCATATGATGATGGCCATTGTTTAATAACCTGAATACATATCTTCACTGAGATGAAAGCTGCATATTAAAATTTAACTAAATGCAAAGTTTATTCTCATCAGTAAAAACATGTAAGTCATGTCCCATTATTCCTCCTTTTATTTTATTGTTTATTTTTATTTTTTGAGATGGAGTTTCCCTCTTGTTTCCCAGGCTGGAGCGCAATGGGGCAATCTCGGCTTAGTACAACCTCTGTCTCTCAGATCCAAGCGATTCTTCTGCCTCAGCCTCACAAGTAGCTGGGATTACAGGCATGTGCCACCATACCCGGCTAATTTTGTATTTTTAATAGAGACGGGGTTTTGCCATGTTGGTCAGGCTAATCTTAAACTCCAGACCTCAGATGATCCACCCTCCTCAGCCTCCAAAAGTGCTGGGATTATAGACATGAACCACCAGGCCCAGCCAACCATTATTCTTCCTTTTTAAAGTGAAAATTGCAGTTGTTCATTAGTCCACTTATCTAACTATGGCTTAGCTCTGTGCCTCTCAAACATTTTAAATTTCCAGTGCCTAGACGTTGAAGAAATGAAGAAGTAAAGAAGGAAGGAAGAAAAGGAAGAAGGGAGGAAAGGAGGGAAAGAGGAGATGGAAAGGCAGGCAGGCAGGAAGGAAGGAAGGAAGCAAGCATCTGTGATATCTTTGCAGAGGCTGAAATAATGAATGAATGAACAAATGCAAACATCTTTTCCTTACTGTCAGTGTTTAGTAGCTAGCATTTATTGAGCTCTTACTATATACTAGACATTGTGCTGCAGGCCTTTGATGCATTTTATCATTTCCTGTTTATAATAATCAAATGAGGGAGGTATTCACATTTTCCACGCTGGACAATTTAACTCACATAGTCAACATTACAAAGTAAATGGCAGATTGTGATTCAAATTTATGTCTTAGAAAATATTTTTAGAAGTTTTCTCTCTGACATGGGTCCAATATTACTGCTTCTCTTCCTGTCTTACTTCATTGACTCCTCCAAAATTTGATGATGTTGTTTAGTCACTAAGAGATAAAAAACATATCCCCTATGGATAATGCTTTATGAGGGAAAGGCCCCTGGACAACTATGAGATATGAATAGGGTAACACGGTTGGTTCCCTTCCAAGCATATGGCTTTTTAAACCATTGAAATTATTAGTGAAAGCTGATCCTTCAGGGAAGGTGAATTTGTTTTTTCCACAATATTGCTACACTATTGAAAGAAAACTCTGAAATTTTCAGTGTCTGACAAAAACAAGGGCTTACTTTTCTCATTCATAGATTTCAGGTCTGTGGGGTTTGGCTCATTTGCTTGGGCTGGGTTGGGCTGGGCTCTAGGCTGTGGGTTGGGTTTAGTTCTACTCTGCATGCCTTCAATATTCAGGGTCTAGCAGCTGCCCACTGAATGTCCTTTTCATGGGAGATCATGGGAACACAAGAGAAAAACACAAACTATTCAAATACATTTACAGCTTGGTTAGTACTATTAACCTTAATATCTCCATAATCAAAGCAAGTTATTCAGGCAAGCCCAGTGTTAAAGAGCATGGAAATATACATAATCTATCATTAAGTCATAGTAAATGTAGGGAAATGGAATTCCATAACAGGAAAGAGGAACCAATTGGAAACCATAATGAAATCTACTACAGGAGGTCGAGGAAGCATTTTTGAGAATTTCCATGCGTCTCCAGTACAATTTGATCAATTTAACTGGATGAAAAGCTATTAAAGGGCTATTTGATATTGCTCCTGAGTATCTCCACAGTATTAATTCTTCCATGCATACTTTCTGACAAATAATTTCCAGCTCAGTATGAAATGACTTGCACATTAAGGAATGCATTTGGAGGCAGGAGGGAGAAGGTGCTTATAATAACTTCCACCTACATTACCAATTAGTCACTTGGAAACAATACAGTATAGTATTTGAAAGATTGACTTCTTGAGTCAAGACAGCATTTGAATTCTGACTCTGCCATTTACTAGTTGTGTTACCTCTGTCGGGTTACTTAACCACCTTAACTAGTGCCTTCTTTTTGCAAAATGGAGATAATGATATTACCCACCTTTTATGCCAGAATAATGTCCCCCAAAAAGGACATTCACCTCCTAATCTCTGGGACCTGTGAATATGTGATGCCACGTGGCAAAACGAGCTTTGCAGATATAATTGAATATACTAATCAATGATCTTAAAATAGAGAGATTACCCTGGGTTATCTGGGTTGGCCCAATCATGAGTCCTTAATTAGAGAGAACTTTCTGCACCTGGAGGCAGGGCAAAGTGGCAGTAGTCAGAGAGATTCCAAGCAGAAGGCTTTGATACTCTAGCTAGCTCAGAGATGCAGAGGGGCTACTTGCAGGGGCTGGACAGAGGCTTCCATTAGTTAAAGATGGTCACAGATGACAGCCAGGAAGGAACCGGGGACCTCAGTCCTGTAACCACAAAGAACCAGATTCGGTCAACACCATGAATGCGCATGATATCAGGTTCCTTCCCCAGAGCATCCAGTTAGGAACAACGCACTGCAAACACCTTGCTTTTAGTCCAGCAAAACGTGTGTTGGACTTCAGACCTACAGAACTGTGAAATAATACAACGGTGTTATTTCAGGTCAAAGTTTGTGATAATTTGTTGCAGCAACAATAGAAAACTGATACCCAACCTCATGCTATTGTGGTGAGAATCCAATGATGTAACAGGTGTACAGCTCTAAGTATCTGTTAACAGTTTTATTTGTGTGTGTAATTCCTGCAGATTCTTACTCTTTAAAAACATCCAAACTGGAGTGCAATGTCTCAAACTCTCCTGGCATAAAAATATCATTAGCAGAAGTTTTTTGGGTTCTAGCTAATTAGATATGATACCTAACAAGCAGTCCACTTTCTGTATTTGTGTGCACAAAGCCGTCTGCTGCCTGGATACTACAGAAAACAAGTTGCTACAAATCCAACCACTGTAACTTCTCATTAAGTTTCCCTGGTGACTGGCCATCAGTAAAAGCCTTTCTTTACCTTGAAATGCAAATGTTAACATTTCTCACCAACAAACCATGCAAGATAAGATTCTAAATTATGGTTACAGAACATAGGAGAATGGGCAACCTGATTTTCTACACCATTCCTCTCCTCCAAAATCTCCTTCTCTTCCCATGTGATTCATTAATTATTTTAGTTTTTCTCCCCTAAACACCTTTCATAGGAAAGTTGAAAAGATGAATTTGGAAAATCTAGAGTCAGAATAATTTGATTATGAAAGGAAAACACACACACACACACACACACACACACACACGGAGTCAATAAAGGCAAGTTTGAGAGCCAAGAATACTTGGAAACCAGATTATTCGTGTCTTTCTGCAAACAGGTGCATTTCATTTGCATGATGCAGTAAGCATCTCAAACAGATGGGTAATCATGTGGGAGAAATGGCTATCGATAGCCATGCATAGGAAAGAAAATGGAGCTGCTGGTGTTGTGTTACCTCTTCAATCCAGCATTTTGCAACCCTGATTTTTTTTAATCCCACCACTATATATTTTAGTAGAAGGAAGCTACTTGTTTTTTGGGGGAGTGGGGCATCAGAAAAATTGTGCCAACTCACATCACCCCACATTGAAACGTCTGGTGTGTTTGGTAAATAATGATGATTTCAGAAACGACCTGCTGCTCCGAGTGGGATTTAAGCAAATCTCCTTCTTCCTTATTTAGCAAATTATAATTGTG
Organism: Homo sapiens; assembly: GCF_000001405.40. Taxonomy (NCBI): domain Eukaryota; kingdom Metazoa; phylum Chordata; class Mammalia; order Primates; family Hominidae; genus Homo; species Homo sapiens. Next base: position 55,052,771 of record NC_000020.11, on the reverse strand, counting down.
TTGGGGCTTCCAGAGGGCCAGGAAGGGATATTGAGTCATACTAACCAAGCCTGCAGCAGCAACAAAATCATAGTGGGGAAGTGCTACTAAAAGCTTTCATTTTCTGTTACTCTTACCTAAGTTACCACAGTTTGGGCCTGGACAAACAATTGCCATGGCAACCATTATCTCCAGCAATTTGTATTCCTTGCTCATTTTTGTTCCACTTTGACAAAGCATTAGTCTTTTCATGTTCAATTTATTTTTTACCAGTCAGTTATACTCACATATGCAGCCTTGCTTAGCATCCCCTATCACATTGATACATTTTTTTTAATAGCCTGGTATTTGGCCATGCAGAATGAAAATGGTTTCTTTTGTTAACTATGAATTAAAATGTACCTGCTCACAGTTCTGCTTTTATCGCCAAAGTTTCCTTCAAAATGATTGAAGAAGATGGGCTGTCTTGAGGTACCATCTCCCAACTCTTTGTAGTTAAGAACTGGCGGACAGAGCTGGCCTGATCCAGACAACTTTTAAGGATGAAATTGAAAGTAAAAAGGATGGATGCCTAACTAGATTCCAGTAGCCTTTCCTCTAATCAAAGTACCAGCCTTATGGATCATTGCTCTTTCTGGCCCTGAACCTGTCTCTCTCTCTCCCTTTCAAACATAAAAGTACAACGTGCTGAGATTTGTCCCTTTAAAGGCCTTTAATATCAACTTTCCTGTGCTTTCATGAAAAATAATTACACATGCTTCTAATCCTTTACCTTACCAAAAATTTTCTTTGGTCTCTAGTGCTATGATTAGAACATAGGAGAATAAATTTGTAGCTCTTTTCCTGCTGGATAAATTAAGGGTCCTCTACAAGCATTTCTCCTCCCAACAGACAGCAAGGAAGTCAGTTTTATTTGCTACCAAAGGCTGTGGCATAGATATATGTTTTCATGTGTGTGTGACAAAAAACATCAAGCATTATAACTATTAATTGCTAATTATAATGCTATGTGCTTTATCTAACTCAACATAAGTCTTGCAATCTTTATTTTACACAGGAGGGAAAAGGAGATTTAGAAAGATGAACTAACCTGGTCAAGGTCTCATAGGCTGCTAAGTGGAAGAGCTGATACTTATACCCAAACACTGAAGCACTGTTGCAGTTGGTTTTAAATGGCAGCATGTTTCTGAATCACATGGAAGGCTTGTTAAAACTCAGATGACTGGGATTCTCCCCTCTCCCCTCTCCCCTCTGTTTCTGAGTCAGCGAGTCAGGAGTGGGGACCTGAGAATTTGCATTTCTATCAAGTTCCCAGGAGATGCTGTAGTAGCTGGTCAAGATCCCACGTGTTCAGAAGCACTGCACCATTGCATACTTAATTAAACCGTATTAGATATTTTAATTAAGCATACGATGGTGCAGAGCTGACTGCCATCACCTTCTCAGAAATCAGCTTTTCCTGCCTTCCATTTCTTTTTTCTTTTCTTTTTTTTTTTTTTTTTTTTTGAGACAGTCTCACTCTGTCACCCAGGCTAGAGGGCAGTGGCGCGATCTTGGCTCACTGCAATATCGGCCTCCCAGGTTCTTGCGATGATTCTCCTGCCTTGGCCTCCCGAGTAGCTAGGATTACAGGTGCCTGCCACCATGCCCAGCTAATTTTTGTATTTTTGGTAGAGATGGGGTTTCACCATGTTGGCCAGGTTGGTCTTGAATTCCTAACCTTGAGTGATCCACCCGCCTCAGCCTCCCAACGTGCTGAGATTACAGGCGTGAGCCATCGTGCCTGGCCCTGCCTTCCACTTCTGAGCATCTGGTCTCCAATCCACAATTCTTGATCATTTCTTCTCCCTCCCAAGTCTACCCATTTTATCATCTTTCCATCTACATCTTTCCATCTTCATCAGTGCTATGCTGGGACTCCACCAGGGGCTCATCTACACAGACTTCCTAACTGGCCTCCCTGACTGGTAGGTCCTTCCCGCTTCCCTCTCCTTCCCATCCCCTGCACTCAGGCTAAGTTATATATTGTGAATATGAATCTGATCATTTCTTTCTCATGTGTATTTTCTTTTATTAGCTTTCTTTTGTCCATAGAAAAAGTCCAGATTCCCACACATAGATTATGAAACTCTGAAGGAATACTCTTCATTTCCAGAAGAAATGATAATTATTAGAATAGAAATTTTAAAACATAATCATTATTATTTAATTTTGACATCAGTAAATGTTACAGCAAAGTACTGGTTGCTAGGAAAGTGTTAGGAATATTTCATTTCATCTGGGGTTAGGGGCACAGGTCTGGGTGGGTTTCCTTGAAGAATTCATATTTAAGCTGAGACTTGAGGGATGCAAAGGAAGGAGTGGAAGTAGGTAAGGGTTCAGGGCGATAGGCTCCCAGGACTCCAGGGAGCTATGGAAAGGGTGCCTCCTGTACATAATATTATTCTTCATGTGAATGGTACTTCTAAGTTCTGTAAAACTCTGGCCCTGTGAAGAGAAAGGACATTCCAGGCTGAGACCAGCATGTAGAAAGTCTGGGATAAACTTTAAGAAGATATGCTGATCTCAAATACTGGCCATGTTAATTGCCATTTTTTAATTGCTATTTGCCAGTTTATTTATTATGACAGTGTTTTCCCAAGCACTTCAGAATCTGGGGAATTTTTTAATAGCCGAATTTCTGATACCATACCCAACAATACACACACAAAGGACAGTGGAATAAGAATCTACAAAGGTAGGGCTAAAATAATTATTCAGATTTTTTAAAAAAAAGATTCAGAATCCTGAGAAGATTCTGATATATCTAATTCCTAGAATGAAATTAGAGAAAATCTGATGCAAAATATGTTTAAAAAAAAACCCTACCTAAATCTTATATATTGCTAACTTTGATTTGTTATTATTTTTTTAAGTGTTTTTTACAACTATATGCATGAGGAATATTGGTCTATAGTTTTCTTTTCCTTGTACTGTTTTTGTGTGGTTTTGGTATGGAGTAATAATAGCTTCATTAAATTAATTGAAAAGTATTACTATATTTTTCAGTTCTAAAATTTTCATTTTTTTTTGTACAACTTCCATTTATTTGCTCAGATTTTCTAAATGTTATTTATTTTACACGTCCACAATTGGTCGTTAAAGTGTTTTTCATGGTCGCTGCTTTAAAATATTTGTCAAATAATACTAATGTCTCTGTCAGTCAGTATTGACAGCTATTGATTATCTTTTTACATTCCCCCTCCAACGTTCCTGGTTCTTTGAATGACAAATTGTTTTCAGTTGAAACCTAGAGATATTGGGTATTGTTTTATGAAGGTCTGGATATTATTAATATTTAAACCTCTATTTTACCTGGCTTGACACTGTCCTGGCCACAGAAAATGCCACCTCATTATTATCAGATTAAGGTAGCAGTTCTGGATCCCCCTTCAACCTCCATTGACATCTGAGAGGGGTAGTTCCTCCTTCCCGCTGGTGGGAGGCAGGAGTTCCAGCTCCCCATCAGGCTCCCACACATATCTCCATCGCTGGGAACAGTCTGAGTCCAAGAAAGACTTTTATGTAACCAAATGCGTTTCATTTGAAGGACAAAACAGGACTGAAGGTAAATGTGGAAAAGAAAAACGAATGATATCCAACAGAGAGTTTAAGTAAGAGAGAACATACACCTGTTTAGATTCCTTTGGCTTTCAATCACTTATTTTTCTAAAGCACAGCAAACACACACACTCCATAGTTACATGAACTATAACTCTGTAAGTGTTGTTCCTTGTGTTCTATTTTGTAATACTATTTGTTTAAAAATTTGTTTTGGTAGTTTCTGCATCATTTGGTAGTGTCTATACAGTTTCTCACAGAAAAGAAATAGCATAAATGACTATTGAAAAAGGCTTCAATACTACAGAAAGCTGTCAGAAATAGCCTATATCCTTGTTTTAAAAACTCTATTTTTTCTGTCCATATATATATAGGGGGAGCATCCAATGTAATTGCATGCAGACGTCTGGACTGAAGAGAGCTAGAGACAAGATTATTTGAAGCAGACAAATAGTTGTTGGATTTTAGCCAAAGATCTATTAACTCATTGATTTTTTTTCTGAAAGCATCACTTCTTCTTATAATGTCTATTTTCAACTTGTTCCTTAAATATATTTTGTGCTCAAACAATAAAGTCAGAAGTCACAGACAAGGGAGAATTGGAGGTTGGGTCACATCACGCAAATTGAAAATCATCATGCAATTTCCCTTCTGAAGGAGAAAATGTATCCCTTTGAATGGGCTTTTTGACAATACCCTTGACCATATAGCAATAGAGTGATAAAACATAGATTATTTCTAATTTATTGCACACTCTCCCACATACCATGTACACATCCTGGCAGAAAGTGTGCATTTTCCATCTTCAATAAATATGAGAAAGGAGCCTTTTAAAAAGTAGTTTCAGTGACAATTCAGGCTCAGTATTATTTATATGTATAAATTTCACTGGACTAACAAAGAAGTAGTAGGAAAAGCCAACTGCAGTAAATAAGTTTTTATCATTCTATCTGCTCCTGATCAGATATTGCATTAATGTGAGCTAGAAAAAATTCAATAGTGAGTTAACATGGAAGTTTCTAACTCACTGTAATCATTATAAAATGATCATCTCCAGAAAACGGTGGCTATTTTTGAATTAGCTAACCAAAAATCATTATTGGCTGAATTGAACTAAAAAGCAGGGTATAATTCATATGAAATATAAAAATTATGCCATTTAGAACACATCTCTAAACTGACAAATTCTAGGGTAAATACTGATAGTCCATCATTTGAGGCATCACAAAATTGTATTGTAGCAATTACCTTTTATTTTCCTTTTTTAAAAAACAGCTTAATTAAGGTAACTGGCATACAATAAGATGAACATAAAGTTGTTGATATATTTGACATATGCACACAACAATAAGTCCAAATAATGAACATTTCTGTCGTGTATAAAAGTTACTTTGTATCTCTTCATAATCCCTCTTACCCATCCCTTTTACCACCATATCCCCAGGTAACCCAAATTGATTTTCTTTCACTATAGTTTACATTTTTGAATATTTGATTTAAATGAAAATGTTTAGTATCTATTCTTTTTCATCTGGCATCTTTAGCTTAGAATTATTATTTATGATGCATCCTTGTTGTAGCATATATCAATGATACATTGCTTTATATTGCTGGGTAATATTCCATTCTATAGCTATACTACAATTTGTTTAGCTATTCACCTATTACTGGGCATTTGGGTTGGATTCATTTTTTGCAATTAAAAATAAAGCTGCTATATACATTTATGTACAATTGTTTTCATCATACTATGCTTTCGTTTATCTTGGTTAACACATGGGTGTAGAAAGGCTGGGCCATAAGACAGAATTTTTCAAAACCATTGTACTATTTGACATTCTCACTAACAGTGTATGAGAATTTCAATGCCTCTGACCTTAGATGCAAAAATTCTACATAAAATGTTGGAAAATCAGATGCAACAATATATAAAAAGGATAATGAATCATGTCCAAATGGAGTTGATCCCAGAAATGCAAGTTTGATTTAACATTTGAAATTAATCAATGTAGCTGACCTAGTCAATTCATTTATTCAACAAATATTAACTGAACACTCACCAAATGCCTGAAACTAGAGTAGACTCTGGAGATGCAGCAGTTCAAAATGAGTTACAAAAATATATGCCTTTGCAGAGGTCAAAAGAAAATAGAATCAGAAATATATTAACAAGAGAAGTGGATTTTCAAGTGGTAAGAGCTGTGGATATAAACATGACAGGGATTGGAGATGGATGAAGTGGTTGTTCATTTTGATAGGGTAGACAGGAAAGTCTCCATAGATAAGGTGATATTTGAGTAAAGACCTTAAAGAGATATGGCAGCAGATCATGTGGATATCCAGGAAAAGTGCACTCTAGGAGAAAGGGACAGAAAATGCAACATCTTTGAGGCCAAAGTATGCTTCTCTCCAGTTTTACTGAAGTAGAGTGATCCAAGGAAAGAATAATAGGGAGAGATATTACGTAAACAGTGGACAGTGAAATCATTTGAACCCATGTAGACCACTTAAATTATAAACCTTGAGAATAAGTTGAACAGAGGACTGGCATAATCTGATGTATATTATACAGTCCTCATTCCCTTGCTGCATTGAGAAAACGCTGTAGGAGGCTAAGAGTAGAAAATCAGGAAGAGCCCCTAAGAGGTACTGAAAGAGTCCTAATAGGAGATGACTGTGGCTTGCATCAGAGACTTTGCAGTAGGAATAGTAGATATGGTGAGATTTTAGATGTATTTTGAAGGTAGAGCCAGCAAAATATTTGCTTTCAAATTGGATGTAAGTTATGACAGAATGTGAAAAAAATTCAAGGATAAGACCAAGGTTTTTGTTTTGTTTGGTTTGGTTTGGTCTGAATATCTGGAAGAACTGACCCTTATTTACTGAAATAAGAAAGGATAAACAGATTTTGAGGGAAGAGCAAGAGCCCAGTTTTGGACTTAAGTTTTAGAGGCATTTGAGAGACTGGGATGGAGATGTTAAGTAGGCTGTTGGATATTCAAAAACAGAGAAGTTTGATTTGGTAGTATGCAATATATAGATGATATGCCAAGCTGTGAAACCAAATTAAGTAATTTGGGGAGTGAGTATTCATAGAGATGAGATGAAAGAAACAAGCACAAGAAACAGAGAAGTATGAGGCAATGTGACCCCTAATACATTGAAACAGAGAAGTGCCTTGAGGGATAAACTAATGAGTAAATCTTGAGACCTCCAACATGTGAAAGTGTAGCTGGTGACAAATAATAAAAAAAAGAGAGTATACTTTCTCTGAAGCCACATTTTTAAAAAACTGCATCAAGAAGTGGAGAGCAATCACTTTTTCTTCCAAACATACCATCAAATATATTGCAAACCTGATTAGGCATCTATCTTAATACAGTGCTAAATAGATGGAAATTAGTATGTTTCACTATGTAGGGAAGACAGACTTTAATAAGGTTTTTATGATCCCTGACCCTGGCATTCACACTTTTCTTTCAACACTGTAATCCTCCCCTCTCAGGTGTATATAAGACCTATGACCTATGATCTTCGCTAGCAGACTCACTCCTCCTCTTCTGCTGGCCTTGTAGAAGCAAGCTGCTGTATAGCAAACTCCCATGAAGAGGGTCACCAGGCAAAGAACTGTGGGTCTCCTTCAGGAACTAAAGTGGCATTGGCTAATGATCAGCTAAAGTCTGAAATTCTCAGCCCTACCGCCCAAAGAAAATTCATTCTGGAGCAACTTGAGTGAGTTTTAAAGTGACCACTTCTACAATCAAGCCTCCAGATGAAAATGCAACCCAGTTGATACTTTGATTGTAGCCTGTTCTAACACTGATGTAGATAACACATCTAAACTATACCCAGATGTTCCTGACCCACAGAAACTTTGAGATATAGCCCTGGTTCAGGACTGAATCTCTAACCAGAGTCTGTCTCCATTTCCAAATGATTCTTCTGCCAAGAATACCCAGGTTTATTCTGCTTGGGAGCACAGCTAAATTGGCCTATACTTGGTTGTCCTTTACAATACTAACCCACCTGCTCATGTCAAACCAAATTTTATCTTTATGTGCATTCCATTCGATGGCTTGAATTCAGATGCATCCATTGGGCTAAGATCATGACTAGGACTTGTCTCATTTGTAAGAGTTTGACCCACAGTCTGTGTATTTAGTCCATTCTTGTATTACTATAAAGAGATACCTGAGACTGGAAAATTTATAAAGAAAAGAAATTTAATTAGCTAATGGTTCTCCCAGCTGTACAGGAACTATAGCACTGGCAGCTGCTTCTAGGGAGGCCTTAGGAAGCTTACAATCATGGCAGAAGGTGAAGTGGGAGCTTGAACATCACATGATGAGAGCAGGAGCAAGAGAGCGAGGTGGGAGGTGCCACACTTTTAAATGACAAGTTCTTGCGAGAAATCACTCACTATCATGAGGACAGCACCGAGGGGATGGTGCTAAGCCATTCATGAGAAATCTTCCCCTATGATCCAGTCACCTCCCACCAGACCCCACCTCCGACATTGCAAGTTACAATGCAACATTAAATTTGGTGGGGACAAACATCCAAACCATATCAGTCTGAAACCCTTGATATTATGTCCTGCCTCCTAACTGATTGTCTGAGTAACTTTAGTGCCACTCAAACTAAAAGACCTTGAACAGTGAACAGTATGGGAAAGTGGAAAGTATATTGGCTAAATTTAGGGTCAGATGCAATTCCTTATCCATCACCTACTGAGATATTAGGCATAAATCATTTAACCAATCTGAGCTTTAGTTTCTGCATTCATAAAATGAGGGAAACTAAGTTTATTGTAAGAGCTAAATAAGAAATGTAAGTGAAACGATTATGAGATTGACTGATAGACAGTGGATACTCAATGAAAGTGTTGATTTTATTGACTCATTTCTTTTGTTTTAGAATTAAATGAACTAGTTTTTTGAAGATACACAATACTTAATGGAGAAGATTATATAGTTTATTGTTCCAAATATATCTACTAAGCTATGGATTTATATTTATAGTATCCATTAAATTGTGAAAAAAGAAGTTATTTTGAGTAAAATAGAAAAAAACATCATTAGAGGCTTGGAACATTTATTGTTTGCATGTAAAGTTAGAAATCATCATCCCATCAGTAGGACTCATTTGACACCCGCTGATGACAACTTCAGTGGGTTTTACCAGATTAAATTCAAGGGTATAAATAAACTTAAAATGTTCTCAGGCAAGCTTTGATCCAGAAGGCAAAAAATATATATATATATATGTGTGTGTGTATATATATATATATGTGTGTGTGTGTGTGTGTATATATATATATATATATATATATAGTTTTTGGATAATTGATACAAATTAAACTAAGCTTTCAGTCAATACTGTAATTACCAGGGCAATGAACAGTGATAAAAAGAATATATCTCAGTGCACATGAATTCAAGTTAAGTTTCATAGTACAGCTCAGAGCTACATGTATTCAAATGTCAAGTAAAATGCAGACAGAACATTTTCCCTTACCCATCCTGTATGTCTTAGCTTTCATGAGTTGGATGTCCCAATTCTCCTTTACCTAATTTTTATCATCATTGAACTTTTAGTAAAAATGGGTCCATTGACCTAACATTTGACCATGTTTAATAATTTATTTTTTAATTTAAAAAGTTGCATGTATATGTGAAGGACAGAAGACTTTTTTGTGTAATATCCTATATTCCCCTAAGTTTTTGCTTCAAAATCCATGAGAAGGAAAGTTATTTGAGGGAAGGGTTTTGTTAGCTTATTCCATGTTATATTTCCAGCACATAAAATTTTGCTGGCAAGTAGTTGTTTTATAAGGTTTAATTTTTTTTTTTTTTTTTTTTTTTTCAGACAGAGTCTCACTGTGTCACCAGGTTAGAGTGCAGTGTCATGATCTCGGCTCATTGCAACCTCTGACTCCCTGGTTCAAGTGATTCTCCTGACTCAGCCTCCCAAGTAGCTGGGATTACAGGCACACGCCACCACGCTAATTTTTGTATTTTTAGTAGAAACGGGGTTTCACAATGTTTGCCAGGATAGTCTCAATCTCCTGACCTCGTGATCCACCCGCCTCTGCCTCCCAAAGTGCTGGGATTACAGGTGTGAGTCACAGTGCCTGGCCCAGGTTTAAACATTTTTTTGATTGTGGGGCACAATACACTAACACTTATATAGGTGAAAGTCATAACTTGTTGTTACATATAGCTGCAAGGTAGAGAAAACTGCCAGGCTGGACCACCAAGGTCATGCACATGGGACTGGGTAATAGCAAGCTGGAGCATGAAGGGACAGCTTACTTATGGCAAGCAGAGTGGGTTTAGCAGGGTTTTGCAGGTTCCCTGTGAATTGGCTAATTTAAATAATCTGAAGAGTTTTGGAATATAGAGACTGTCTCTAGTTGTCCCTAGTTGTATCTGGCTGTATTAGTACATTTCCAGGCTGCTGATAAAGACATACCCAAGACTGAGAAGAAAAAGAGATTTAATTGGACTTAAAGTTCCACATGGCTGGGGAGGCCTCAGAATTATTCGGGAGATGAAAAGTAGTTCTTACATGGCAGTGGCAAGAGAAAATGAGAAAGAAGCAAAAGTGGAAATTCCTGATAAACCCATCAGATCTCATGAGACTTACTCACTATCACAAGAATAGCATGGGAAATACTGGCTCCCATGATTCAACTGCCTCTCCCAGAGTCCTTCCCACAACACATGGGAATTCTGGGAGACATAACTCAAGTTGAGATTTGGGTAGGGACACAGCCAAACCATATCATTCTGCCCCTGGCCCCTCCAAATTTCATGCCCTCACATTTCAAAACCAATCATGCCTTCCCAACAGTCCCCGAAAGTCTTAACTCATTTCAGCATTAACCCAAAAGTCCACAGTCCAAAGTCTCATCTGAGACAAGGCAAGTCCCTTCTACCTATGAGCCTGTAAAATCAAAATCAAGCTAGTTACTTCCTAGATACAATGGGGGTACAGGTATTGGGTAAATACAGCCATTCCAAATGGGAGAAATTGGCTAGAACAAAGAGGTTACAGTGCCCATGCAAGTCTGAAATCCAGCAGGGCAGGCAAATTTTAAAACCTTGACTTCAGGTCTCACATCCAGGTCAGGCTGATGCAAGAGGCGGGTTCCCATGGTCTTGGGCAGCTCCATCCCTGTAGCTTTGCAGGGTACAGCCTCCCTCCCGGCTGTGGCTTTTTTAGGCACATGGTGCAAGCTGCCGGTGGATCTACCATTCTGGGGTCTGGAGGACGGTGGCCCTCTTCTCACAGCTCCACTAGGCAGTGCCCCAGTAGGGACTCAGTGAGGGCTCCGACCCTACATTTCCCTTCCAGACTGCCCTAGCAGAGGTTCTCTATTAGGGCCTCACCCCTGCAGCAAGCTTTTGCCTGGGCATCCAGGCATCTCCACACATCTTCTGAAATCTAGTTGGAGGTTCTCAAACCTCAATTCTTGACTTCTGTGCATCTGCAGGCTCAATACCATGTGGAAGCTGCCAAGGCTTGGGGCTTCCACCCTCTGAAGTCACAGCCTGATTTGTACATTGGCCCCTTTCAGCCACGGCTGGAGTGGCTGGGACACAGGGCACCAAGTCCCTAGGCTGCACATATAATGAAGACCCTGGGCCCAGCCAAGGAAACTACTTTTTCCTCCTGGGCGTTCGGGCCTGTGATGGGAGAAGCTTCCATGAAGGTCTATGACATGGCCTGGAGACATTTTCCCCATGTTCTTGGGGATTAACATTAGGCTCCTTGCTACGTATGCAAATTTCTGCAGCCAGCTTGAATTTCTCCCCATAAAATGTGTGTTTTTTTTAATATATATCACATAGTCAGGCTGCAGTTTTCCAAGTTTGTATGCTCTTCTTCCCTTATAAAACCAAATGCCTTTAACAGCACCCAAGTTACCTCTTGAATGCTTTGCTGCTTAGAAATTTCTTCCGTCAGATACCCTAAATCATCTCTCTCAAGTTCAAAGTTCCACAAATTTCTAGGGCAGGGGCAACATGCCACCAGCCTCTTTGCTAAAACATAACAAGAGTCACCTTTGCTCCAGTTCCCAACAAGTTCCTAATCTCCATCTGAGATCACCTCGGCCTGGACCTTATTGTTCATACTGCTATCAGCACTTTGGGCAAAGCCATTCAATCAGTCTCTAGGCAGTTCCAAACTTTTCCACATTTTTTATCTCCTTCTGAGCCCTCCAAACTGTTCCAACCTCTGCCTGTTACTCAGTTCCAAAGTCACTTCCAGATTTTTGGGTATCTTTCCAGCAACATCCCACTCTACTAGTACCAATTTACTGTATTAGTCTGTTTTCATGCTACTGATAAAGACATACCCAAGACTGGGAAGAAAAAGAGGTTTAATTGGATTTACAGTTCCACATGGCTGGGGAGGTCTCAGAATCATGGTGGGAGTTGAAAGGTACTTCTTACATGGCAGTGGCAAGAGAAAATGAGGAAGAAGCAAAATCAGAAACCCCTGATAAGCCCATCAGATCTCATAAGACCTATTCATTATCACAAGAATAGCACAGGAAAGACGGGCCCCCATGATTAAATTACCTCTCCCTGGGTCCCTCCCACAACATGTGGGAATTCTGGGAGATACAATTCAAGTTGAGATTTGGGTGGGGACACAGCCAAACCCTATCACTGGCCCTAGGGTAATAAGGGCTGGTGCATAATGGGCTAAGAGCCTGAGAGCTTGATAAGGGATGTTAGTGGAGTGTGGACCTAATCGGCTGCTAAAGAAGTGGAATTAACCAGCTTCTAGCAAGGGACTCAGAATAGGGTCAAGACAGCACTACAACTGACACATAGGTTGTTTTCATACCTTGGATATTGTGAATAGGCTGCAATGCACATGGGCATGCAAATATCTCTTGGAGATACTGATTTCATTTTTGAGTATACACTCAGAAGTGGGATTGCTGGATACTAGCCCTATGTTTATTTTTGTGAGGACCCTATTTTGAACAGTGGCTGCTATTTTATACGATTTTCCGCAGTGGCTGCACCAATCTACATTTCCACCAATAGTATACAAGGGTTCCCTTTTCTCTACATTATCACCAAAACTTGTTATCTTTTGTCTTTTTGATAGCAGCTAAAAGACAAAAGTACCCCTATCTGACAGGGGTACACTGATACCTTACTGTGGTTTTGATGAGTGGATAAAGAAAATGCAGTGTGTATGTGTTTGTGTGTGTGTGTGTGTGTGTGTGCGTGCATGCATGCGCGCACAATGGAATACTATTTGGCCTTTAAAAAGGGCATCCTGCTATTTGCAACAATCTAGAGGAAACTAGAAGACATTATGATAAGAGAAACAGGCCAGATACAGAAAGACAAATACTGCATGATTTCACTTATATGTGGATTCTTAAAAAGGCAAACTCATTGAAGCAGAAAACTGAATCGTGGTTGCCAGGGACTGGAGTGTAGGGAAAATGGAGGGATATTGCTCAAAGGGTACAATGTTCATTCATGCAGGATGACAAAGTTCTGGAAACCTAATGTACACTATGGTGATCACAGTTAATAATACTGTATTGTGTACTTGAAATTTGCTAACAATGTTAGTCTTAAGTGTTCTCACCATATGTAGTAACTATGCAAGGTGATGGATATGCCAATTAGCTTGATTGTGGTAATTATTTCATAATGTGTACATATATCAAAACATCAAGTTGAACACCTTAAATAGCTACAATTTTTATTGGTTGAGTATACCTTAATAAAGTTATAATAAAAGAAAAATATTTATAAGTTATTCAATACATTTCTTAAATGAATAATTTAATGTTTAATGTAATTTATAATTCATTTTTGAAATCTAAAAGTATTTCACATTCAATATGCTTAAATTCTATACTTTTAGTATATAAATATGGCTTCATAAATATTATTAGAAAGAACTTGAGAACAACATTATGCAATATACTTTTAAGTTATTATTTCTTACATATGGCCATTCCCAGGACTATTATTTCAGATAAACTTTAGAATAATTTTCTTGAGTGCCAAAAATCCCTTTGGAAGACCGCTTTGAATTTAACTCAATTTGCAAATGAAGATTATCATTTAGTGATATTGAACCTTCTTAAGTTCAAAGAATGGTATGCATATCTGTATGTATTGCTGTGCAACACACAAACCCAAAATTAGTGACAAGCAGTAATAAAAATGCATACTTCTCAAGATACTGAGTTGGATGAGTAAAACTGGGAAATTACCTTACCTCACAAAGTATCTTCTGGGGCTGCTTGTGGGCTACATTCAGCAGAGAGTTTGGTTATCACTCTAAGGTCTGCCATTTAATGGTGGCTATCAGCTAGAGTTTCTTAGTCTTCCTCCAGGGGGTCCCTCTTTGCCCAAGGGCCTCTTCCTCATATGTCTTCACCAATAAACAGCATATTCTTTGTTATAGCTGGTGTGCATGAGGGCAAGCCCTAATGAGCAAAACCTTGTGTCTGTGCCAAATTTACCAATATCTTATTGGCAAAATCATGCTACACGACCAAATTCCAAGTTAAGGTAATGGACAGAGAGACAACTTCTAGATGTGAGAATGGTGGCAAGGTAACATTGGAAATAGGCATGGAACTGAAACAGGAAGAATTTATGGCCATTAAACAGTCTATTGCATTGGTCACTCTGGCCCAAAATGATTCATATTCCTCCCACATGAAAAATACACTCATACACAGGACTTCCAATAGTCTCATCTGTATCAAAAAATCAGGCTCAGCCTCAAAGTTCAGAATGTCATCTACGAACAGATATAATGAATTTTCCTTAGGTGCTGCTCCTCTTGATCCAGAGAGCTGTTAGAAGTTGTTGGGGTTTTTTGTTTGCTTGTTTGTTTTGTTTGAGACAGAGTCTTATTCAGTCGCCCAGGCTGGAGGGCAGTGGTGCAATTTTGGCTCACTGCAACTTCCGCCTCCCAGGTTCAAGCAATTCTCCTGCCTCAACCTCCTGAGTAGCTGGGATTACAGGAGCCCACCACCACCCCTAGCTAATTTTTGTATATTTAGTAGAGACAAGGTTTCACCGTGTTGGCCAGGCTAGTCTTGAACTCCTGACCTCAGGTTATCTTCCTGCTTCGGCCTCTCAAAGTGCTGGGATTATAGGCGTGAGCCACCGTACCTGACTGGTCCAGACCTGTTAAAAGTTTTCTTTGTTTTTCACCTCCAATATAGTGGTGAAACAAGACAAAGTAGCAAGACAAAGTAGTAGACAAATACATATTCTCATTTAAAATGAGAAATAATGAAAAATAAGTAGTAGTAATTAATCATTAACAAATTTGAAATCCACTAGGCACATGCTACTAATTTTACGTGCTCTAAGGTCAGGAAATATTCTACGATTAGGGCCCAATTCTGTACCTTGGGTGGGGTTGCCAAATATTATTAATGATCGGGCATGGTGGCTTATTCCTGTAATCCCAGCACTTTGGGAGGCTGAGGTGGGAGAATCACTTGAGCCCAGGGATTCAAGACCAGCTTGTTCAAAATGGCAAAACCCTGTCTCTGCAATTTTTATTTTTTTAATTATCTGGCCATGATGGTGTGTGCCTTTAGTCTCAGCTACTCTGGAGGCTGAGGTCAGAGTATCGCTTGAGCCTGGGAGGTTGAGGCTGCAGTGAGCTACGGTAGCGCCACTGCACCCCAACGTGGGTGACAGAGCAAGACTCTTGTCTTGAAATATATATATATTATTATTATTGAATTGCCAACACTTTTGGCTCAATCTTCTAAGCTACTTAATAACTTTGGGAATTTTTTTGGGGGGAGAAATCTTGTTGGGGTTCATTTAAGGCCCCAAATAACAGGCATTTTTTTGAAATAATTTCTCTGTTTTACAAATATCATGATTTTAAGTGATAAATTCCTTGAGGTTTTCTATAACCATTTTGTCTAACTGAGAGGGTTGACTATGCACCACTTCAAATCTTTCTGAGCTCTTAAGAATGGGTATTAGAGCTAAATTCTTGATTGGATCTTTACCCTGAGTCTATTGGAGGATGCTTTGCCATCTGGAGAGACTGCCCAGAGCTCTGTATGCTTCCTCTAATTCTGATTAAAATCTAAACAACTCCCTTTTTTACTTCATCTCGTATTTCCTGTATTTTATCATATGTAGCTAAAAGAAGCTAACTGGCCATTTTCCAACATTCTGCTAGAAATCTTATTAGCAGGATTCACAAGTTGATTAGGTACTTTTACTTTTGTCTTCCACATTATTGCCAAATGCTACGCGTTAGGAGACAGGCAGAACTCATCTCCAGACCAGACTGAAGACACAACAAAACTGAGAAGAGGTGCCAAGAATACCTCGGGTTGCTCTGGCTGTCCATCACCGTAAGGCACTCCCCCTGGTGCCAGGAGTTTACTAATGCCATGACAACACCTAGAAGTCACTGCCCCTTGCCATGGTAACACCTGGAAGTTACCGTTCATTTTCTAGCTATTTCTGAATAACCTGCACATTAGTTAGCATGTCATTAAAAGTGGGTATAAAAGTTACAGCAAACCGCGCATAGGCTGCTACTCTTGGTACACTGAATATGGGCCAGCCCTGCTCTGCAGGAGCAGTCACAGAGCTGTGACATTGCCATTACCTCAATAAAGCTGCTTTCTACCACCACCGGACTCACTCTTGAACTTCTTCCTCAGTGAAGTCAAGAACTTGCCCTGCATCATTGGTGAGCTAGTCAGGAGAGAAGAGAAGATGGTGGCAAGAGAGACGGCAAGAGACAGTGAGGCAACTGGTGATCAAAGCTACAAGAGCTGTCACATTAGGGCTGTAACTTCAAATAGCTGCTAATGCTGCAGAGGCTGTCACATTAACCAAAAGCTCTTTCAGGGAAACTATCTTTTCTGGCAGGCAGTGGAGCCGAGCACATGGGCGAGTGGCTATAGTACTGCTGCCTCATGTGAGATCCTTGCGCTCTCACCAAAAGGCTGCAGGCCTCCACATCAGTCCGCCAAAGCAGCTGAGCCCACCCAAGCCAGGGGAGTCCGAGAAGACTCTCACCTGGGTCCCACATGGAAAACCTCATTCGATGCCATTATGGCTCCTGTGGATGAAGGAGTGTCCCCTCTGCCCCTCCCTCCTGTTTATTCCAGTGAGCCAGGGAATATACCCTCTGGCTAGGTGGCCAGTTTAAAATACCCCTTTTTTGGGTGCCACAAAGTACATCTCTTTCTTGGTTCTTTCCCCACTAATTCCATTTTATTGCTCGTCAGCCATTTTATTTTGCGTTCTGAAATGTATGTGGTTTTTTTAGCTTTGACTCCCTGTTAGCTATATTTGGGCAATTGTTTAAGGCAGGACATTTGGTTGTAAGAAGTCATCCATTGTGTTGCTCCTGGGACACCAGAGTCACACTGTTCTGTGACCCCAACTTGGCCTTGGGGTTCATTGTTGGCAACCCCACAGATGCCCCAGAGTTTTTTGCATTTGGTGAGGAAATCCTCATTGGCCAATACTTGGGTACTCCAGGTTTTTCCGCCTTGGTACTGCTGGCTGATCCAGATATCCTGAGGTTTTTGGCATTGACATTACCTCTAAGATTGTGGGTTATAGCCCCTCCCCCTTGGGGAACTTGGTCTTGCCCTTTCTGCTCTGTAAGTTAGAAATAGTCATTTTCCATAGCAGCCAGTTGTGGGCTCCTCCCAGTGTGCTATCTTCCTTTCATTCCAAAAACTGCCTTGTTCAACCTTATCTTGGTCAAGGGGACTGGGAGTTCCTGCACCCCTGGGCTAATGGATGACTACACACAAAGACAAGTGGCCGCCTGAGCATTTTTTTTAGTGTCTTTTCTACTGGGTAGATTATCTGTGAGTCAGGGCCTCTGAGGTCTCCCTTTGAGCATGCTGCTTACCTATTCCCTTCCTCCCTTCCACAATCACCTTCTGCTTCTTTTAGCCCCTCTCTGCCTAAACTAAGAGACTTTCTTCACTTTTTCTGGAATTCAGGCTCATCATTCTGCTACCCATTCATACAGCTCATAATCCACTTTTGTAATGCTTTGCTGCTTATATTTACACCTGTTTTGCAGGATGTGGGAATTTAAAAGAGAAAAGTAACTAGGCTTTTGCTGGACTTAGGCAAACGAACAACTCCTATAGAGATCCTTATTAGACATGGAGATGACAGTGAGCATCCCAGAGGACTCGCCACTAGGATATCTTTTAAGTAACTGGAGTAAATTTAAATTAGACAGTTTAAAGAGGAAAAACTCCTTTTTTATTGCAACACTGATTGTGTCCAATATAAATCAAAGAACCAACAGATTTGGCCTTGACAGGGTTCTTTATGCTATAATACTATTTTGTAATTGGACTTGTTTTGTAAAAAGAAAGAAAAATGGCGAGAAGTTCCTTATGTGAAGGTTTTTATGGCACTCAACCATGATTCTGACCTAAAAGACAGTTGCAGAATGTGTCTGTCTCATGATCTTCCTAGGCACCAAGAAGCTGCACCAGATATTCTAGATGACACCCTCTGAAGTACTCCCCCAAGAAGGCCTATGACACCCTGCTTAGAGCCTCCTCAGTTTTCCAGTTCCGATGGGGACCCTGTCGGTTCTCTAGTGCATCAGGCACCCCTCCCCCTTATCCAACAAGCCCTATTATACCCTGCAATGCACAAGGAAGCAAGCCCAACTGGTATGACCAGGAACGGGGCCCCATATCAGCCCCTAAAATCAAACTTGTGTCCATTGTGAGAGGGTAGTTGATGGAGATGGGGGAACAATCAGAGTATCTGTGCTATTTTCCATGATTTATTTGACTTTATACAAGGGAAACTTTAGCTAGTTTTCAGAGGATTCAGGGAAGTTCATAGAGTGGTTTGTTAAGTTGACCATGTCTTTTGATTTAACTTGGCATGACACGCAAATATGTTATTATCAACTTGCTGTACCAAAGAGGAAAAGCAAAGGATTCTAGGTACTGCCAATGAGCATACAGATGAAGGGACCACTTATTTCCAAGGCCGTGCCACTTATCATGGGGGAGGAGATGCAGTTCCAGACCTAGACCCTCAATGGGATTACCAGAGGGGTTCTCAACATCTAGAATGCAGAAATAACATGTTTACTTTTTTAATAGAAGAGATTAAAAAGTGTGTGGTTAAGCCAGTTAATTATGACAAAATTAGAGAAGCAACTCAGGGAAAGATGAAAATTTCTCTCTGTTTCAGGGCTACATGGTTGAGGCACTCAAGATATACACTAATGCAGACTCAGACTTCTTGGAAAGACAGGCTTTCCTGGGTATGCATTTTATTACTCAGTTTGCCCCTGACAATGGGAGGATGTTACAAAACGAAGCAATGAGACCCCAAATCCCCATGAGCCAACTCTTAAACATGGCCTTTAGCATTTATAACAATAGGAACAGGGCACAGGAAGAGGTGAAAATGAAAATAATTGGCCTAATAGTACAACTGTTAATGACTGCTTTAAGTCTCTTGCTGCCTCAGGTTTACCTATCCCAAGAAAATATTGTAAGATCTGCATCTAGGGCGCCCACACAAGAGCCACTGACTCACTGGCCCCTGGGCCAAAATCAGTGTGCTTTCCAGAAGCAAGACGGCCACTGTAGAATGGATGCCCCAGGATTAAAAGGGAGCCTGAGCCACTCAGACCCATAAGGGCCAAGAGAATAGTGGATTCATAGGGCTGGAGGTCTTCTATGGCTTACACTAGACACCTTACCTTCTCAACAGAGGAACCTCAGGTAACCCTTGATATGGCAGGTAAAAAATACTGAGTTCTTATTGGATACAGGATCAGCCTACTCAGTTCCAACCCATTTCTCAGGGCCATTATCTTCCACTTATGTACCATAAGGGGGACTGATGACCAGCCAAAAATTAGAAGATTCACTAACCCCCTTGGTCACACAGAGGGACCATACATTTTCCCATAGGTTTTTGCTTATATCTAAATGTCCTGTTTCTTTACTGGGAAGAGACTTACTTTCCCAATTACAGGTCACATTTCAATTTGGAAAGCCTCATAAGAAGGCAACAGATCAGGAAGGGATATTTCTCCTAGCTCTAAATACATGCCTTAACACGATAAGGAAAAGACCTCTCTTCCACCACCTATTGCTTCTCAAGTAGATCCATTTGTTCAGGACATGGAAGTTTCTGGTAGAGCTGTTAATGTACCCCTGATTCAGGTTATTTTGAAACCGAGTGTTAAGTATCCATGGAATAAACAATATCCTTTGAGAACTGAGGCTTAAAGGGGGCATCCAGCCCTTGATAAGAATGGTCCTAAGGTAAGGATTACTACAATCAATCCTGTCAGTCCCCACATAATACCCCCATTTTGCCTGTAAAGAAACCAAATGGGGAATATAGATTTCTTTAGGATCTGAGGGCAGTTAATGAGAAAGTAGTCCCAGTCCACTCAATAGTTTCTAATCCTTACATGAAATTGACCCAAGTTCCTGAAGATGCTCATTGGTTCATGATATTAAACATAAAGACATAAAGGATGCTTTCTTTTGTATGCCTTTTCATCCAGGCTTCCAGTATATTTTTCCTTTTGAATGGACTGATCCAGACACCAATGTTGCATCTCAGCTTGGCTATATATCCTTCCTAGAGCTTAGGGAAGGACAGTCACCATCTCTTTGGCAATGCATTGGAAAAAGAATTGAGGGAACTACAGTTAACAAATTGATATCTCTTGTAATATGTGGATAACCTATTGATTTCCAGCCCTACTATGGAAGAGTCTGACAGGAACATAATCTAGATCTTTAATTTTCTAAGAAAATGAGTGTATCAGTTAACTCCTGACAATCCCCACATTTATGTCCAAAGGGTCAAGAATTTAGGGTATGTGCTCACTTCTGGGACAAGCACCTTGGCCTAGGAGCAAAAAGAGGCCATCCTGGCACTCCAGCACCCTCAGACTAAGAAACAGTTAAAAGCCTTTTGGGAAATGTCCAGATTCTGCCAGATTTGGCTTCCATTCTGTGCAGCCCTGAAAGGGAGTGATCACAAGCCTTTGAATTGGGACAAATCCTGCCAATAGGCATTTTTAACTCTAGAATAAAAGCTGAGAATATTCTCTGCTTTGAGACTCCCAAACTTAGAAAAACCCTTTACTCTCTATGTGGATAATGAACAGGGGATGTCATTGGTTATTCTAACTCAAAGGCTCTAGAATAATTCTAGACCAGTGAATTACTTTTCTAAACAGCTGGAACAGATGGCAGCTGGGTGGCCAGATGCTTGCAAGCTGTGGCTGCCACCATTAGTAAAAGAAGCCAGTAAGCTTCCCTTGGGACAACAATTAGACATCATGACTCTCCACCAAGTATAGGGGGTCCTGGGGGCAAAAGGATACCAATGACTAAAAGGGGGCTGGGTACTTAAATATCAGGCCCTTCTGCTTGACACCCCAGATGTTACTCTTAAAGCATGTCAAGTTTTAAACCCTGTGTTCCTGTTGTTGGACTTCACATCCCAGGAAATAGATCTCCAACTCATTCACTCCTGTATGGAAACTGTAGAACAAAACTACTCCAGCAGCCTCACCTCCAAGATGAGTCCCTACCTAAGCCTGATGTTGGGTGGTTTACAGATGGAAGTGGTTTTATTAATGAGGGAGTAAGAGAGGCAGGTTACGCTATGGTTATCCAACAAGAAGTCATTGAGGTCTCAGACTTAATTTAACTCTCAGAATTAATTGCTCTAATTAGGGTACTCTGGTTGGGAAGAGACTTAAGGGTGAATATATTTACTGATTCCAAATACGGCCTCCTGGTGTTCCATTCTCATGCCGCCATATGAAAAAAAGGGGGGATTATTAGCAGCTAAAGGATCCCTCATACAACATCACTCAGAGATCTTGGAACATTTAGGTGCTGTCCAGCTCCTAAAGGAGATAGAAGTTATTCACTGCAGGGGACAGCAAAAGGGAGACACCTCTATTATCAGAGGAAATTCTCTGGCAGACAGAGCAGCCAAGGCCACAGCTAAAGAAACACCAGTATTACAGGCCGTTTCACTAATACCAGGTATTCCACCCATGTCAGTGGCACCATAATATACTCCCAAGAAAATTAAATGGGAAGAACAGAAAGGTTTACAAAAGCACTCCTCAGGATGGTCCCTAGAAAGCAACAAACTGTCTTTTTCTGAACATGAGCAATGGAAAATTATTAAGCATTTCCATGACTCCTCACTTTTGGGATGAGACTCCCTATTGAAATTGATTTCCCAAATATTCCTGGGGAAGGGACTACTCCAGACTAAAAAAAGTATCACTAAGGCCTGTGAATTCTGTGATTGTAATGACCCTGGATGCCACCCCATACCCTCACCCCCACTTAAATCTGTGCAACACTGAAGAATAAACCCTGGGGAAGACTGGCAAATAGATTTCACTCAGATACCACCTTACATAGAACTAAAATATTAGCTGGTGTTTATAGACCCTTTCACCAGGTTGATAGAAGCTTTTCCACAAAGAACAGAAAAGGTGTTGAAGTGTCTAAATTCTTCCTTAAAGAGATCATTCCAATGTTTGGATTACCAAAATTTTGCAAAGTGATAACAGATGGTACTTCACAGCTAAGTTGACCCAGCAAGTTTCTTCCACCTTAGGTATTACCTATCATCTTCACTCCTGCTGGAGACCTCAATCGTCAGGTAAGGTAGAAAAAGCTAATCATGTTTTTAAAAGGACATTAGCAAAACTCTGTCAGGAGACCTCAGGGGCCTGGGTTTCACTCCTACCCATATCTCTTTTATATGTAAGGATAGATCGAAGAGGAACCTTAAAGCTTAGTTCATTTGAAATGACTTGTGGAAGACCCTTTTTTAACTTTAGACCTTCTGTTTGATGAAGAGACACATAGAATGCTCACTCATATTATCAATTTAGGCCAGGTTCAAAATGCCCTTTGAGAATATGAAAATGTAGCACTGCCTTCTCCCGTAAGAGAAAGAATTAATTCCCCCATTCAACCAGGAAAGAAAGATCCCCGAGGATCAATTACAACAAAATGAAAGGGCTTCTGAAATGTTTTGGATCTGTGCCCCCACCCAAATTTCATGTCAAATTGTAATCCCCAGTATTGGAGGTGGGGCCTGGTGGGAGGTGATTGGATTATGGGAGTGGATTTCTCATGAATGGATTACCACCATCTCCTTGGTCCTGTTGTGATTGTGAGTGAGTTATCATGAGATCTGGTTGTTTAAAAGTGTGTGCCACCTCCCCCCCCCCTCAGTCCTGCTCCTGCCATGTAAGATGCCTACTTTCGCTTTGCCTTCTGCCATGAGGCAAAAAACTCCCTCAGGCCTCCCTAGAAGCAGGTGTTGCCATGCTTTCTGTACAGCCTGCAGAACCGTGAGCCAATTAAACCTCTTTTACTTATAAATTACTCAGTCTCTGTTATTTCTTTATAACAATGTGAGAACAGACTAATACAGCCTCTATGAGGTGTTGTTAAGTACCCCCACTTCTATTCAACTTCAGAGATTAACTGGTTAGGTGCATTTATCTCTGATTAAACCTGTTTCTTACAAGTCACAAGCACAAAAGGAGGTTGATACCATGATCTAGGGACCTCCACTGCCTATCTAAAAGAATCAACATTTAGCTGGAAGTGGTAACAGGATGCTGTAGGTGGGAGAGGAGCATTAATTTTTCTCTTCTCCCTGAATGTAATACTTCTTATCTATCACTTTGGCCAACTGCCTCCTCCTGGGAAACACCTCTTTTGTCCTTGTTAGATGCAGAGGCCACTCTAAAGCCCAACCAGACATCACACTGACATTGTTAATCCTCTTTGCTCTCCCAATTAACCTAATCCAGTGTGGGTGGGAACAAAACTCTATAGTAAATATGCCTGTAATCCCAGCACTTTGGGAGGCCAAGGTGGGCGGATCATGAGGTGGAGACAATCCTGGCCAACATGGTGAAACCCTGTCTCTACTAAAAAATGATGGCATCAGCGAATGATCTTCATGGTTGCTGGCTTTGTCGTCAATATCCCCAGGATAGAGTTCTACCTTCTGACCCATCCAGAAAATCTCACAGCCCTCTCCAGACCTCCTAACTAACCATAATCATCCCTTAATCTCCAGACCCCATACTTGTTAGGTGGAACTCTGCCCCACCTAATGGATTCCACATGACCACTCCCACCACTGCCACTATTACCCAGACCTGGGAAGCTGTGTATCTATATCTCCTTTACACTAATGATTCTATCTTTTGCGTAAACTGTTGTGTTAATTACACAAAACAGAAGCTTTCCTATGATGCTCTGATCCAACCCTACATACCAAGTTCCTAAGGCCACAGTGAGGTAAATGGGATTCCACCTGTGAGTGAGGAAACCATATATGGTGCCTTCTCCAAGATCAGGACATACGGGGGGAAAAACACTGCCCAATCTGGGAAGGTGAGAGTACCACCCCATTCTGGAAACAAGGTGTGTTCGACCATCCCCATTGAAACATGAGATGAATATCTCTATAGACCAAACTTGGCAGCAAAAGACAGACATCACATCCCATAGGGCCTCCATTTGCACCCTACCTGGGCACATTTTTGTTTGTGGCCATGAGTGGAAAGAAGATACACCCCATAACTGCCCCCGATTTTCAGAAAGCACCTATTCTTTTAGGAGTAGCTTTCCCTTGTATATCAAAAACTTGGAACAGGAGCAGATGTTCACTGGCTATTCTTATCCTTCCAGGGGTCACTGTCTATAACCCCATAAGACCCAGGAGTACCAGAAATACATGAGCAGTAAAATTAATTCTGGTGGGAATCAGGGTGGCAATAGAACTATTGGCCCCTGAGGTGGCTTTGCCTACCACAAGTCAACTCTACAGAACTTGACTCAAACCCTTGAATCATTAGCCACCAACACAAGTCAGGCATTAAAGGGAATTTCAAGAGTCACTAGACTCTGGCAAATGTAGTCTTGATAACAGACTGGCATTGAATTATTTACTTGCTGAATCAAGTGGAGTCTGTGGAGTTATTAATAAAACCTGCTGCATGTATATTAACAACTCTGGGCAGGTTGAGGCTAACATTCAAAAGATCTATGAGCAAACTACCTACTTACATAGATATAACCAGGGCACTGACCCAACTATATCTGATTGACTATCAAATTGCTCCCCCAAATCTCATCTGTTTTTTACCTCTCCTAGGACCTTTGGTAAGTATCTTGTTACTACTAATTTTGAGCTCTTGCTTGTTTAACCCGTCAGTAAAATCTGTGTCTTCCAGATTACAACAGGTCCATGTAAATACAATGCTAGCACAAGGCTTCTGATGCATGTCTTCTTCTGACCTAGAGAATGTCAAAATCCTGCTTTTGGGCCCCTTAGATAAGGCATACAGAGATTTTTACTCCTCCAATTCTAGGCAGGGTCTACACCCATAAAATCAGCATGAAGTAGTTACAGAAGTTGAATCTCTGCCCTTATGCAATCCCTTTAAATTTAGGGAGGAATATCTATTCTCTGAGGGGGGAATGAGGTAGGAGGAAGGCAGGACTCATCTCTGGACCAGATTGAAGACAGACCAAAGCCAGGAAGAGGTGCTAAGCACACCTCAAGTTGCTCTCGCTGCCCATCACCATAGGACACTCCCACTGGCACTATGACAGTTTACGAATGCCAGAGCAACATCCAGAAGTTACCACCCCTTGCCATGGTGACACCCAGAGGTTACAGCCCATTTTCTAGCTATTTCTGAATACTCTGCCCCTTAATTAGCATGTCAGTAAAAGTGGGTATAAATATGACTACAAACCACCCATAGGCTGCTCTCAGTGCACTGCCTTTGGGCCAGACCTGCTCTTCAGAAGCAGTCACAGAGCTGTAACATGGCCACCACCTCAATTAAGCTGCTTTCCTCCACTTACCAGCTCACTCTCGAATTCTTTCCCGAGCAAAGCCAAGAACCTGCCCTGCATCAGTTACACCGCTAGATAAGAAGGCTGCTCTTTCTCCAATCTCCAACAGTAATTTCCAACAGCCACTCTGAGTTTTCCTGCTTTGGTTGGGAATAAATTTGTTTAAAAAAACATAAAAAGCCCCAACCATAAAAATCAAGTTAAGAGTGTATACTCATGAAAAGATACAGCATTCAAGCCATTGAGAAGAAGATATTGGCCACTCATATGACTGCCAAAGGACTCACATCAGAGTTATGTAAAAAAAAAACCTCCAACAAACCAGTAAGTAAAAAGATAACCTAGTAGAAACATGGGCGAGAGGAACAGGCAGGTCAAACACAAAAGAAATCTAAATGGCAATATAAAATGTAAAAATATGCTAATTAGCAATCACAAAAATGGATTTTAAAACATAATGAAATATCATTATATGATCCTTACAAAGGCTAATATTAGACTGACAATAACAAGTGACAATATGGAGTGAAGCCAAATGCCGTAAACAGGGGGAGGGGAGGTAATTTGGTAAACTATTCTAGAAAATTTTGCATAATACATTAAAATTGAAGAAACATATATGCTACTACCCAAAAATTCCAATCAGAAGTATGGATCCAACAGAATATTCATTAGTGTTTTTAAGAACCTCAAACTGGAAACGATGCAAATATCCAAGACAATTGTGGTATAATTACACACTGGTACCCTATACATCCATTCCTATAGAACACACAACAGTTACTCTAAACAACAGTGATGAAATTCATACACATAATATTCAGCGAAAAATGCTCAATATTTTCCAACTACGTTAAAAAAAAAAGGAACTCAATGACGCTTTAGGTTTTCAAGGAGGCATATGTAGGCAGTAAAGGCATGAAGGAAAGAAAGGAGGCAATTACCATAAATGTAGGAATCTAAAAGAGCTGGGTGTGCTGCATCAGGAGAGCTGATTGGGGCATCTCAGCTCCAGCCTGGTAGCTTGAAATCAGCCATGGTCGGCATATTCACATCACATAAATCAGCAAACACTACAAATCTGAGTTGTTGTCTTTTCCAGAGAAAGGGTAGCTAAACATTTATCAGCATTCCACGGCATCAAAGTCACCATAATGGTTACATTTAGTGGACAGAAGAGGACACTTATTGGGACCTGGAATGCTTAGATCTTCCCAGATGTTGGAACTCACATTGAGGTTATTAGCTAAAGCTTGTAATATGCTTCCTAGACTTTATGTATCTATTTTCTTCAATGAGAAGAAAATGATGGAAACTTACTAGAATAGACCTAAATAAAGAGAACAAAAATCATGTCTCCAGATGGAGAAAGGCTTACCACTTTATCAGTCAATGATCTCACCAAAATATAAATTCAAAGTCATATCAATAAATATCACAATGTTATTTTTGAACCGTTTAAGCAGATTACAAAGTCCAAAATCTAAAGAATAAACATAATTTGAAAAATAGTATAGAAAGACTCATACTATTAGATAGCTTCATGTCTTACAAAGAAATATGAAATCAAGCAGTATAATATTGAAAGGGTAGACAAAAAAAGATCAAATGGATTAACTAGAGAGTCCAGAAATTGATTTCTACTAACTTTAGGTTTCCTGGTTCTTAGAGTAAATTAAACAAGCCCACAACCTCATCTGATGGAGAACAGACAGACCTAGGACACTGGTGCCCTCAAGCAAGCATTCTACCTCCATCTTTTCACGTTTATAGAGGGTCTATTTCCAAGCAGTTACTACCTGATACCGATTTAATATTTATTCACTGAAGAAACTGAAAATGCCAAGTAAACAAAAAGAAAAGGAAAAGAAGAGGAACCTTCATGCATCATTAAAAGAATATAAACTAAGGCAACAACTGAGATGCTTTTGCCATTATGTTGGCAAAAACTAAATGATTGAAAATGTTCAGCACTGACAAAGATATAAGGAAACTCATCCTGATCTAAATGAATCACTATAAACAGTAGAGACTTTTTAGAAGGCAATGGAGCAGTCTCTAACACAATTTTTTGCAAGTTCTTTTCATAAAAAGACTGCTTTTAAAAATCTCTTCTAAGACATATAGCACAAGTGTACAAAGAAGGATCCCCATCAACAACATAATAGAAATTTTTAAAATGACCATATGAACACTATCAAATTTTATTATGCATGTTATACTTTGAGGTAGGTGCTATCATTTCTCCATTTTATAGATAAGGAAGCTGAGATATAGAGATATTAAGTGAATTGTTTCAAGGTTTCAAAGTCATTACTACAACATCATTTAAAACAGTAAAATGCTAGAGACAATATAGATGTCCATTTACAGAAAAGTGGTTAAACAAACTACAGTATGTCTGTACTCTAGAATTCTACAAAGATTTTCAGGTGGATAAGATTAGCTTATATGTACTCACTTGAACAGATTTGTAAGACAAAATAGCTTGCAGAAAAATATTTATAATATAATCCCATTTACAATTTGTGTGTGTGTGTGTGTGTGTGTGTGTGTGTGTGTTGGTATGTCTATCTTCCCCCTCCATGTATATGCATAAAAGAACAGAGACAGGTACTTCAGAAACATTAACAGTGGTTACTTCTGGATGGGACAGGGAGAGGGGTGGATAGAGAGCTTCAGAGACATGGATGTTAAATCACATTTGTCTGTGTTCATATGCGGAGATATTTGAGACTTTAATATAAAAGTGTATTCATATATTACATATTTTTTTAAAATTAAGGACGAAAAGTAAAGCAAAACAATTCTAAGTTGCATTCTGGTATCTTTGCTGTAGATCATATTCTCTAAGACTAAAGTTACTTTTTTCAAAGATTCTAAATCAACTGCACTTTGATAGCACAATCTGTTTTTCTTAATTTGGAATCTAGATCCCCTAGGTGTTTATATCATCAGTCTTTGAAGTAAGCTCTAGGACTGTGAGCAACAAGGTATGAAGAAAACAAGGCAGACACAGTTCCTCTTCAGTCACCTCTTTCATTATTTCTGTGAGTTAGAACAAAATGGTGGTACACATAAACATGAAAATTATGTGACCCAGATTTTCCAATACCAAAGTTCCCTTCTCTTAATGGTAACATCTCTCAGGGTGGGAGCTCTCATTTACTCTTCAGAAACAATGTTCCCTGTTTACAAGTGACAAATTTTACCACTCATCTGTGGGTCCCCTATCCCTATGGATGCATTATCCCAGCTCACAAACTACAAATTTACTTTTCATAAAGAAATATGGAATAGCTACTCTTGCTTCAGTTCTCTCTCAGTGGGGAAGAGAATATCTACAATAAATGTAACAGATCAAACCAGTAGGTTATCTGGAAAATAGTCTTGAGATTTTTCTGAGGGAGACTGCCTCTCCCGAGCTGAACGTTTTGAAGGAAGTTAAACAAAAGATTTTTGAACAGAGGTTAAACTGACTTCATCACAGTGAAGTGCATGCCATCGTGAAATGAAAAAGAAAAACTTCAAATTGTGTAGAAGTGTGAGAAATAAACATTAAAAGTTTAAGACCTTCTTTATGACATATTTACTATCATTCAAGGGAAGAAGAGGGAATAGGAGCTGAAAAGCAGGTACTAGATTTTGGAATATGATGTTACATGTTTCTGTGGGAGTAAACTCCATATTAACTGACACCAATAGTCACGCCTTCTGGATTCTGATTTGAGCAGAGCCTTTCTCCTTTGAGGAGGTGCCCTAGTACTCCAAATGGATATTCAGGCAAATGGAGAAGAGTGTGTTCCTAAAGAAAGGCTCAGAAAGAAGGGGCACATGTCCACAGAGAACTTCTCAGAAGTAATCTTGTTTTACTACATTTCACTTGAATTGAATTGAACATTCTAAGACACACTGGAAAGATTTCAGTGTGTATATCTACCAGAGGAAAAGAAAATAAAGAACACTTACAAGTGATGCAAAGACGTGGAATCAACCTAAATGCCCATCAATGATAGACTGGATAAAGAAAATGTGATACATATATACCATGTAATACTATGCAGCCATAAAAAAGAACAAGATCATGTCCTTTGCTGGGCCATGGATGGAGCTGGAGGCCAACATCCTTAGCAAACTAACGCAGGAACAGAAAACCAAATACCACATGTTCTCACATATAAGTGGGAGCTAAATGATGAGAACACATGGATACAAAGAGGGTAACAATACATGCTGGGGACTTTTAGAGGGTGGAGAGTCGGAGGAGGGAGAGGATCAGGAAAAATAACTAATAGGTACTAGGCCTAATACCTGGGTGATGAAATAATCTGTAAAACAAACTCCCATGACACAAGTTTACCTGTGTAACAAACCTGCACTTTTATCCCTGAACTTAAAATAAAAGTTAAAAGAAAAAAAAATGATACAAGACAAAAATCAGGTCTTAGTGTTTTATGTAACCTTTAATTTGTGCAGAAGGAAATGAATATAATGTGTGTGTGTGTGTGTGTGTGTGTGTATACATATACACACACACATGCAAAACTATACATGTAATTGATCTGGGGTGAACCTGGGCATCGGGCCATTAAACGTTCTCCAGACAGTTCCAATGTGCAGCCAGGGCTGAGCACCACAGCTCTTACTAGATATCCTACCTCTAACAGCTTTCCTAGCCACTCCATGCATCTATAACAAGGAAGGAAAGAAGGAAGGAAGGAAGGAAGGAAGGAAGGAAGGAAGGAAGGAAGGAAGGAAGGAGAAGGAAGGAAGGAAGGAAAAGAGAGAGAGAAATACACAAAATTATAAGCCAATGATTATTCAAGAAAATAATATATTTTCATTCTTTTAAGAATATATACTTCTATGGGTGCTTTTAACCTTTGCTGTGTTTTTATTTTGTATTTTTCACATTTTAATAATGAACTATGTTCATTTTTATTATCAGAAAAAAAACTTTATACACCTTAAAATTTTATCTTTTTCTTTAATTAGTTATTTTTCTATACAGGGTACTAATAAATTA
Organism: Homo sapiens; assembly: GCF_000001405.40. Classification (NCBI taxonomy): domain Eukaryota; kingdom Metazoa; phylum Chordata; class Mammalia; order Primates; family Hominidae; genus Homo; species Homo sapiens. The sequence continues at coordinate 55,022,217 of NC_000020.11, read as the reverse complement.
TACTTTGTATCCATGTTTATATGCTCAAGGTCCCTATAATCAGAAAAATAATATGAAAAATAATTTCTTAAAATTTTATCTATCTCAAGTACTCAAAGGTTGCTTTCTTTTTAAAGAAAAACAGTTGTGAATATTCTTATAAAATTCTGTAACACAACTGCTCAACTTGATTAAATAATTGTCTCTTAAATCAGTGATGATGCATTCAGTATTTGTGTTTTTTTTTGTTTTGTTTTGTTTTGAGATAGAGTCTCACTCTGTCGCTCAGGCTGGAGTGCAGTGGCACAATCTTGGCTCACTGCAGCCTCCATCTCCTAGGTTCAAGCAATTCTCCTGCCTCAGCCTCCCACATAGCTGGGACTACAGGCGCACACCACCATGCCTGGATAATTTTTGTATTTTTAGTAGAGATGGGGTTTTACCACATTGGCCAGGCTGGTCTCGAACTCCTGGCCTCAAGTGATCTGCCTGCTTTGTCCTCCCAAAGTGCTGGAATTACAGGTGTGAGCCGCCACGCCCAGCCACATTCAGTATTTGTTAACAGTACAGGGAAACACTGTAAGTGGGATATAAATCAGTAAACCTTTTCTGGGTGATAAGTCGCTATAATGATTAAAATTTCAAATGCCCTTGTCATTCAACAATTCTACTGCTCAAAATTACTATTGGTCAATCTCATAAGGATGTGCATTACAGTATTGCTTTAATAGAAATATCTGGAAATTATTTGAAATAAAATATTCATCAACAAGACAAACTGCAGTTTATGGAAAAAATAGTAAGACATTGTTAAAAACAACAAACTATATTTATGGGTGTATATGCGGGAAAGTCTAAACTGAAAAAAGCAAAGTTCAAAATAATGTATGCTATATGACCTCACTTATGAGTATTTAAAAGAAACAGAATATAGACAGATAAAAATACATATAGCTCTACATAATGGTCTCAGTAATTTTTCCCTAAAATGAATCTCAATAAATTAACAGCAGTTTATAATAGAGGGGGATAGAGAAGATATAAATTAGGATAAATTTTAGTATCTTTTATTTTAATTAACACTTTATATTTTATGTATGTTTTTTTGATATGTACTTTTTATTTAATATCTAAAAACTACAAATATTTAGGAACTTAAAGGAGATGGATAAAACTAAGGGAACATGTGGCATTGGTGAGTCTATGTGCATATACACTCATTTACCTACATAAACATGAATAATATATATGTGTATGAATATATGAAAATTACATATGTGTATATACATAAGGGTGTGTTCATATGCATATATAGGAAATACACAGTGCATAGCTATCATTGAATTATGATACCAGTTCATATTTAATTCAAAATTTTCCCTATGAAAAACTTATTTTCATTCATTCCCCATCCAACAAAAAGCAATGTCTAACTCTGCATGGAAAAATGTATTTGGATAAATGTGCCAAGGATTAAAATATTATGGAAATTAATTATTACCTTCCCTGCATTTTATTAATCTGGACATTTTCTCACTTGAGAACACATGATGGGCTGAATTTATGGTATACAATCCTGTTTCAGAGAAATAAAGCATCTTAGATTATATCCTTTTTAATTTATTGAAGTATAATGGATAATAAATTATTTAGTTTAATTAAAACCTCTTTATCAGATGGGCATTTACCCATGACATTGTTATGCACAACTGATGTTACTGCGGAAGACATCATTTCCATCTCTTTTCTCATTTCATTCACGGATTCCTTTAACTGCATTTCAAATTACATCTATTTCCACAAAGTCATACTATTTCACAAAGTCAGATATTTGTGCCTACTCTTTTATGTTGGCATTTAAGTATCCCCCTCTTCCATTTGCCTTAATCCTTTTCTCTTGTTTTTGAATGGAGAAATCAAGGAACATTAAAATATGACATTTAATGGGTTTAGAATAGACTCGCCTGGCTGGAATCCCAGCTGTGCACTTGAGAAAATGATTTACCTTCTCTGAGACTCAGTTTCCTTCCTCATTTATAACATGGGGCAAATAATAGTTTTGAAAATACGGTGAGGTTATACATGTGAAATAGCACCTTTCCTAGCATCCGTTAAGAGATAAGTTTGATATAATTATTTTAATCAAATTTTACTTTATGTCTTAACATGCTTTTTCATTTTGAGGATGGAAGGATAGAATGTTATAATGCAAACCTACCTTTTAACACTAAAATTTCAATCTGAGTTTAGCAGTTTTACTGGAACATTATTAGGATTTTGGCATCACAGTGTAATTTCTTCTGAGCACAGGGATTCCCTGAATTCTCAAGGGCTCCACTTCCCCTCTTCTTTCCCTCCTATTACAAGTTCATTATATTCTCAATTTAAATATCATTTTAACTGCTGCAATTTCAAAATGTTGCCATATTCTTACGCTCGTTATTGAAGTTTTATAGGAAACACAAAGAAATTAATGAAATTAAGGTGTACACAATCTATATGGTGCCAGAAATGAATATTTTACTAAAGATTTTGTGGAGAGCAGGGAAAGTAATTATAATACATACTATATGGCAAAAAAATAGTATTCAATTTCTCATTTTTAAAACTGTGTTTTTCCCCAGAAAGTTTTCTCTTTAGCAGCTTTATCTTTCTTCTTTCCCTTCTGAACATGGTCTGGGAAAAAAAAATCTATCTCTTTATCACATCTCTTCAGGTCCCATTTAGCAAAACAAAGTTTCATAATTGGCTAAAAGCATGTCATTATTTTCCTTCAAGCATGATTTCTGGATCCACCCACAGTAATGATGTTAGGCACTGCTATCTTCCCACATTTCAGGATGTATAACTAACATGTTTTAATTCTTTACACTTTCCCCTTAAAGAAAATTCATCCTAGGTCTCTTTTTCTTTGTTCGCAAAAATTTGAACATCAAAAACAAATGACTGCCACTCATTGTCAAATATCTGACTGCCTACATACAAAGAGAGAAAAGTTATTAATTCCAGGCAATGTCGTATTAGTAACAATGGTGATGATGACTGTGATGGTGGTAGCAGTATACCAAGAAGAAAGACAGAAGACCAAGATGGTAAGCATGGCATAGGCATTATCACCCTTAATCGTCACAACTGATTGAATAGGTATTGTTGTTTTATCTACATTACTGAGGGTGAAGGCAAACCTTAGAGAAACGAAATCACTTGTGTGAATTCACACAGCCAGTGTTGTACCTAAGTAAATGCTGGGTCCAAAGCCCAGGCTCAAAACAAAATTGCACATTATATTGACTCCTTAAAATTATGGCACATGTATACATATGTAACAAACCTGCACGTTGTGCACATGTACCCTAGAACTTAAAGTATAATAAAAAAATTAATAACTAAAATAATAAAATAAAGTAAGATACATGATATTCCCTAGAATTGGTTTCCATTTGCTTTACTTCCACTCTACTCAGTAAGCATGTATTGTGCAACTATGATATGCCAAACACCCAACTAGGTGTTGAAAATTCAAACAACAAACAAAAAACCCTGGGCTTTATTTATATTTTTTCTTTCTATTCTGCTTACTTATTTCCCTAGTCTTATGTTGTTTTCTATGTCGAATTACTTCTTTTGCATTGTTGTTCTTACTGTTCGGGTGGAAATAAGAAATAAAAAGGGTAGAAATCAGATTTAAATGATCATGTTTATATAACGACTCATCTTTTAAGCTTCTTCCAACCCCCCATCAATTTACAATTTCTAGTGGATCAGATTGTTCTGAAAATAAGCAGATAAGATGTCTAAGCAATAGTGACCATTATAGTGAAAGTACATGATATTCTTGCTATGGTTTGCTTTAGATGGTAGAGGTGGGTCAAATCAATTTCTTAAACATGGGAACAACTCTGAGAGAAAAGGTAAATATATGTCATCGACGTTTGCATGCCATCGCATCGAACCACATTACTTAACTTTGTATCCACCTTCTAAGATAGGTATGGCTATTTTCATTGCTTAGACATGAAAACAGGACCAGAGAGATTAAGTTATGGACTAAGGATCTCAGAGCCACAAAGATGTATAACTAAAAAAGTAAAGCCACATTTTCTGATTCTAACTCACCATCAATGGCCTGTCTTCAAAACAACATTACAATATAGAACCTTGTGTCCATACCATACAGTTCTGCACAAATGACTGAAATTATTACTTATAGTAGGAATTCTTTGTATAATGAGATTGAAAATTAATCCTTCCCCATCCCCTGCAGGACCACTTTTTTAGCTTATGGCTTGTGATTGTCTTCTTGCACAACAGGTCACATCTGTTTTATTTGCCACTGTGTGTTGTGTACTGGATCCAGTGCCTGCCATATAGGATACTCAGTAAATATTTACTGAAAGCTTGGATGAAAGAAGGATGGATGAATGGCAAGCATTTACATTTTCAGATTGAAAGTTGAGAGGAAGAAGGCAAACACAAAATAATAAACGATGTAGAGAATTATTGAATGGGAAGATTACGGAGGCTCTGACAACAGCCTGGTAGACTATATATTCTCATAGAACAAAAGCCATAAGCTGAAACTGAAAACATCACAAATAAAACATGTAAATCAGATTGTGGAATGGGAAAAATCCAAACATAAATGTCATAATTGAGATACTGAGCATTTGGCCAACAGCAAAGTGATAGAACCACACGCAAGATTCCACAATTAAGCTGAGGACCTGGAAAAAAATTGAGTTTGCGGTTTTTTGGAATTACTGTTTGTTTTTTTGTTTTGTTTTGGTTTGAGTTTTCATTGTTGTTGTTTTTAAAGTATCATCTAGGTAAAGCCTTCTGTTTTTTATTAAGAATAAATTCAAATTCTCCCTGAAAAAATACATCCTGGATGTAAGCGCAGTTTCCCACAGTTTAAGATCAAATCCATATGAGTTTGGAGTCAAAGATCATGAAATATAAAAAAAACTACACAAGTAAATGTTAATACATGCAATAAATAATGGAACTAGGCACAAAGAATTTTACATAATAGATTTATTAAAAATCATAAAAGTAGGTATTTACAAAAAAGTTTAAGGACATTGACAATAGAAAAAAATCCTTCAAAGAAAAAAGAAAAAAAACATTCAGAAGGAGAAGCAAACATTGCTAAGCAGACTACAAAAGAAATTAGGGATTTAAAAAATTTAAAGAAATTCATTAAAATTTAGAGGAAAAGAGTGGTTATTTACACAGAAAACTGGGCATAAATGAAAAAAAGTATTAGTGAACAAGAAAATCTGAAAAAAATACTCAAAATGTAGGCCAGAGGTGGAAGTTACGAAAAAAAGGATTAAGGGATGTGGAGAAGGAATGAGTCTAATATTCATCTAATTGGGGTACCAAAAGGACAGAATAGAGGGAAGTTATATAAAACTACTTTGAGATATAATACTATATTCTACTACTAACAAAAGATAGAGAAATATACATAAAAAGAAACTCACATGGACACAATTGTAGGAGACCAGAGAAGACTAAAGATACAGGGAAGATCTTAGTAGTGGAACTAATTCCCAACTGAAATAGCTATTATTATTAAGCAATATAATCAAGAACAGAAGTGAAGTCATTTTTATATAATCAAAGACAAGTAGGTACAAATGTACTGTTAAAATAAAAGAATAAGACCTAGTGTTCCGTAGATCAGTAGGGTTACTATAGTTTACGATAATCTACTGAATATTTCAAAGGAGTGAAAAGGGAATAATTTGAATGTTTTTAGCATAAAGAAAAGTAAAATATTTAAGGTGACAGATATCCCAATTACCTTGATTTGATCTTTACACATTATATGAATATATTAAATTATCACATGTACTCTGAAAATATATATCTATTATTCTCAATTTTTTAAAAAAATTAAAACTCAAAGAACTTTCACTTTAAAATACTGTGCTTTAAGTTATTCCCCAGAAGAAAGATTGGAAGAGCAAGATGAATTAATGAAAAAATTAATACAGGCAGGTATAGCTAAATAAACATTGTCAATATAAAATAACAATGTCTGATTTATTGCATTAAATGATGAAAATAACATGCTGAACAAAGGCATATTTACTTGAGGATGCAATCAGAGTTTAAATACTACAAATTCCTATAATCATTTGGGAAGGCCTATGATATCAATTTTAGAGTTAAAATAGAATATATAACTTCCAATATAAAAGAAAAGAAAAAAATGGAATATGAATATAAAGAAGCATCAATGCATTACGGTAAAGGTAGGAGTAAGAAAAAAAGAATGTTATAAAAATTAGAATCAGAGATACTAAAAATCACTATGAGATAAATCAGTTTATATCTAGTAATATGCACCAGAATGTATAGGAAATACCATAAATGCTAAAAAAAAAAAAAAAAGCTAATATTAAAACTAAATTTTGCCAATGGCTCTTGATATTTGGGGAGAGTTTTTTGAAGTGTTTATTTATGGCACAAAATGTAAATTATCTTTTAAATGCTAAGCAACAACAGAAAGTAACATTGACTCAACTTTTTTGTGAAATAGGCACTCTACTCTGTGTTTAATTAAAACTCTAATCCTCACAACCCTTGGACCAGCATTTCCATATCACAGATGAGATGACAAAGGCATAGAGCAACTGGGAATGGAGGAGCCACTGAAATGCGAAGTCTGACCCCAAAGGCTGCATGAACCAACTCCGCTCTGCTGCCTCCATTTTTATTTTATGTGAATTGCTGAAAGTTCAAAACCACCCCATACACACAGGCAAGGATGGTGGTGTTAGATCGGAAATTACCCTGCTTGATTGAATTCAGAAGCTCCACACAGGAGAAGAGACTTACAGAAACAAGCACACTAAGCAGCAGCGCAAAATAAAATAAAATAAAAATAAAAATAAAATAAAAAACTGTGCACATGCTTGTGCCTCTCCTTGTGCCCAGAGCTGCATGATGTACAACAGATGTGTGTGAGTCACTCATGCACTATCTTGAGCACCAACATAAACTGGCATTTCTTTGTATTTAAGGGTGGTTCCCTTTTGTCACTTACAGAAATCCATTTAGTCTCTCTCTCTTTCCTCCCTAGCCCTATTTTCAATAGCTCAGCTCCTGCCATGTATAAGGAGATAGAAAACATTTGGAAAACCAAACGATGATCCCATCCAGGTCACCAAGCCAGGGTGAACACAACTCAGTGTAGGAAACATCTCCCTTAAAATCGTAGACCATACACTGCCACACTTGCTTCTAGGTGATCATTATAGGAGGTGGGGTTGAAACTGTGCAGCTTAACCAAGTTCATTTTCAGAGCACCACAAGGTCTTGTTTTGATCTCAGACAAGCCTGACAGGGGACTACAAGTGGGAAAATTGTTTTCAAAGATGAATGTGAATTTATCAATATGTTCTCTAAGACGAGCATGTTTTCACAGGTGGTAGTTTAGATGCGGTGGGGCAAAAGGTTGAGGGTTCAGAAAATGGAAAGGAAAAGAATAAACAATAAACCAGGAACATAATTTACAATTTTTTTTCAAATCACCATTTCACATTCTTTGCTTCAGATGATATGAATAGAATGGCGATCCCCTTGCAGAAGTGTTTTGTGTTTGAGGGGATGGGAGTTTTTTGTTTGTTTTTTACCCCCTGTGTAGATATAAAATTCAAACAAAACTGGGAGTTAGTGATGTAGAATAATGGATAGCTTTTCCATGGGCTTCTCTCTAGCCAGGCACAAATGTCTCTAGTGCTGCGTGGTCCTGAATAACCCACTCTGTTCACATTATTTCCTTCCTCTGTTCTCTTGGTATTTCTCCAGGAAATATCACTATTTCTCTCTGCTTCCTTCTGCCTCTTTCCTTATCGAATATGCTTAATTTGTGGTCCCAGTCTGCTTTCGTGGGCCACATTTTCCCCCAAAATCAGTCAAATGATTGCTTTCTTAAAGAGCCTTCTGCTACAAAAAGAGCTCTTCCTGAGCTGACCCTTGAGGGAAGGACAGAGAAGAGTGGAAAAAACCCTGGGTGTCAAGAGTTCCTCAAATCAGGTTTTTAATAATAAGTTGCCAAAATCTATACCTACAATAATGGCTGATTTAATAATTTTTGCTGCATAAAAATGTTAATGTAAATATTCAATAATTCTTATATGAATATATTTATATAGAATATAAATATATATTATTATAATATATAATTTAATAGAAATAAATAATTCTAATATAAATATAAGTTGCCACATATTGATCTGGTAGGCATAAGCTAAATCCATCGTACACTTTATTTTATTTGTTCTTCATATACATTCTATGACCCTTGCTTTCCACATTTAATGCATAGGGAAACTGAAGCTTAGAGACATGAATTCATCCTTGTTCATGCAGCTGCGAGATGGTAGAGACTAGATTCAAAATCAGACAGTGTAACTGAAGCATCAATGCTTTTACCAATGGGATGCACATCTTACGAGGTTGGAAGGTTTATAAGTGCTATATAAGTTTAAAGAGAAGAGGGAAGCAGAAAAAAAATATATGTATATATATAATTTATATAATTTACATAGGTATATATAATTTATATAATTTATATAGGTATATATAATTTATATAGATATATAATTTAATATATGTGTATATAATTTATATATGTGTATATATAATTTATATGTGTGTGTATGTATATATATTCTTTTTAACTGAGCACCTACTATGTTCCCAGCATTGTACAAGGGACTTCTGATGTGATGATGTTATTGCATGGAATACCACAAGCCTGGGAGAAAGGAACTATTGTATTCACTTTTAATACATGAACAAAACAAGGTTGAGAAATGTTAAGAAACTTGACTGTATCACATAACTAAGGAATATTCAATACGGAAGTGAAAGTCAGTTCTATCTGATCCAAAGTACAACCTTCACTTTCTTTTTCTTTTTTTTTTTTGAGACAAAGTCTCACTCTGTCACCCAGGCTGGAGTGCAGTGGTGCGATCTTGGCTCACTGCAACCTCTGCCTCCTGGGTTCAAGGGATTCTCGTGCCTCAGCCTCCCGAGTAGCTAGAATTACAGGCAGCTGCCACCACACCTGGCTAATTTTTGTATTTTTTTTTAGTAGAGTTTGGGTTTCACCATGTTGGCCAGGCTGGTCTCAAATTCCTGACCTCAGGTGATCCACCTGCCTCGGCATCCCAAAGTGCTGGGATTACAGGCGTGAGTCACGGTGCCCGGCCACAATCTTCACTTTCTAGTCTGAGGTAGACTAGTGTCGTGGACAGCCTCTGACATGGCCCCCAGTGATTCCTCATCTCCAAGTACTCATACCCTTGTTCAATTTCCTCGTTTTGAATGTGATTTGGACCTAGTAACTTACTTCTAATGAACTGAATATGGCAAATGTTGTGGAATGTCACTGGAGGGATTAGCTTACAAAATAGACTATGACTTTGGTCTTGTTTTCCCCTCTCATGCTCTCTCTCTCCAAACCCTTGTTCTGCGGGGGAGCATGATTCTATGCTGTGAGTAGGCCTGTGGAGGGGCTCACATAGCTGGGAACAGATGATGCCAGGTAGCAGTAAAAGAGAACCTGAGATGGGCCAAGAGCCACATGAGTCAGTCTGCAAATGAATTTTCTTATTTTTCAGGTAAGTGAGCTTGGAAGCAGTTTCTCCTCAAGCCAAGCCTTAAGAAATCTGCAGCCCCAGCCAACACCTGATCACTACCATATGAGATGTCCTGAAACAAACGCCCAGCTAAGTTCTGCCTCATTCCCTGACCCGAGAGACTGAGATAATAGCTGTGTATTGAGTTAAGCCACTACAATTCAGATACAACTAATTTCTTAGACAGTAATAGATAGCTAATATATATGGGGTGGATGAGTGAAGGAAAGGGTTGAGGCAGGCAATGCATTCTAGAAAGTGTCCATTCCTTCTACTGGACGCTCTGCTTTAAATTCCTTCTGGTGCAAGTCTGGCTTTTAAGACCAAAACACCCAATAATCAAATGAATAATTGAATATTTTATATTCATTTGGGTTCTCTAGTTTTTTATTAGGATTCTTACACCTCTGGAGGAATTAAAGCTTTGGGTCAGTCATTTTCATCAATTCTACACAGCAGAATTTAGCCTCAGAGAACAGAAGTTCTGAATTTTGGAAAGGAGATGTCAAAGAGAAGCATGTTTAAAGTTAATAAATTGATCTGAACTTCTGCAGGATAGATTCTATGTTATGTAACTAAAACTTTGTGTTTATTGAGTTACATTTACCTTAAATAATGTACTGTTTGCTCAATACCGGGCCAGAAGTAAACTATTCAAATATTAAAACTATATTTGATTCACTGTGCATTTATTTATTTTAATTGATGATTGTAGCACTGTCCTACTTTGCAAGTGAAATGTCTATATGAGCCAGATCCCAAATCAGTCAGACTTCTCACAATATTGAGACAAGTTTGCTACAAACTTCTGAGAAAGTGGAAAATAATAAGCAACTTACCAAGAATGTTATTCAGGTGATATCAAGGAAACAATTGAGATCCATTTTGAAAATACTCAGATAATTTGGCGGAGCGCAGTGGCTCACACCTGTAATGCCAACAGGAGTTCAAGACCAGCCTGGATAACACGGCCAAACTCCATCTCTAAAAAATATACAAAAATTAGCTGGGCATGGTGGCGTACAGCCGTGGCCCTGGTTATTTGGGAGTCTGAGGCTGCAGTAAGCCAAGATCGTGCCACTGCTTTCCAGCCTGGGTGAAAGAGTGAGACCTAGTCTCAAACAAAAACAAAAAAAAAACCCTCAGATATTGATATGCTACAATTTGGAGAGTTATTTTACAAAAAGGAACGCAAATCATGGTGCTTATGCCAATATATTGAACCAGTGGACTGCTGAAACCAGGTCTTCTCAAGATTGTTGGCCTGAAGCCTATAGCCATGTAGAATACTAGGTAATAGCATCTAAGGGCATTAAAAAAAAATTTAGTACATATATAAAGGATTGACAGACAATGAGATCAGCAGGCTTGACCTGTCTGAGATTGAACTGGAGATTGGGAAGAGGGGATGTTCCTTTAAGAGGTCTATCACCCTGGAAAACTATAAAGACTTGTCTAGGAAAACCATGAGTTGGGAAGCAGGGGGCATGCACTAGATTTAAAATACTAGATTAAGGCCTGCCTTAGAACTACAGAAATTCTAAGATGCAGATTATTTGGCAGCCCCAAACACTGTCAGTATCACTTTCATTTATCTTTCCTGCCAACCTCCATTTCTCCTTTCAAATCAAAAGCTAAAGTAAGACACACATTTGGGGGAAAGTTGTCAAAATTCATTTTATGGAAATGTGCTACTCACAAGTATCCTTTGATCAGCAGCAGCATCTTTTGAAATTGAAATTGAATAGATTATATAGTGATCCGCTTCCTCTCTCCTTCTGAGTTAGGCCTGAAATAAATTGGAAATAAGGTGAAAATACAAACTTCTTTTGGTATGAGCTTCCCTAATACTAGTTTCACCCCATCTTTGAACAAGAAATGTGACAAAGCTGCTGGCAAATGTGGCTTTAGAAATAATGGGCATACTTAGCTACAAGAAGTTGCATTTATAAACTGTTGCCATAAAATTTGTAATTAAACTAAAAACTTATGGATGTTTTGGGAATGTGGATTCCAAGACTAAATCATGCCAAACTTCTAAAGGATTAGACAGCTATCTTTGGTTTTAGTATTCCCAACTATAGCAGTCAGCAAGTTTGTAGAAGCATAAGTCAGACTCCCTTAAGCAAAAGATAAAATAATTGAAATAGCTGAAAAAGGCTAGGAGGGTAGGCCTACCCTTCAACATAGGTAGGTCTAGGACTGTAACATTCTTATCAGATGCCTAGCTCAGATCCTCTTCTTTATTTCTCTCCCTCCATCTTTCAATTCCCCTTTTGATACTGTTGTCATTGCTTTCACTCAAACTCTTCCCATCTTACAGAAGCTAATGCTCCAGAGTGATCTTGTCACAGCTTCTAGTCTAGTAGAATGAGCAGCCTTCTTCCTGGTGGCTTCAGCAAGCACCAGGAGGTCTAGGCTCCCTGGACCACCTTGCCTGTACCTGAACCAAATCATGTAGGCCTGGGAGGAGAACATTGCTGATGAGCCCGCCTTGATTACATACCCACCCTGAAAGTAAAGAGAGAATGATAAAGATGGTCACATCTGAGTCTGAGTCACATGGACTGGGACTTGGGGAAGGTGGGTCACCAAAGAAAAAATGAAGGGATGTCCTAGAATGGGAAATAAAATCTGAGCAGGAAAGAATCAACAGATGTCCACTACACTGCCCACCAACCCAAAATTCTATTAAGCAGTGTGCATTTTCAAAATATAAAGTGTATTTTAAATTCCTCACTAGATGGAAAATATTGTGATGCCCTCCCTTTTCTCAAAAGTGATGAGAAACTAATTGGTAGACATTTATCACAGATGGCAAATTCCGTTCTAAGTGAAATGATTTTTATTGGCAACATACAAAGTGCCAAAAAGTGGACGAATCACTTAAAACTGATTCCTACCACCCATCTGATTGGCAGTGAAAAACAATTTGATCAAAATCTGTGATGTGCTTGAGAAACCATTCTGTGAAAAAAAAAAAAAAAGAAAAGTCAAATGAATTTTCTGAAATTGCATCCGTGTGGCTAGAACACAGCCATGCTGTATAGTAAGCACATAAATTCCCTTTCCAGAGACCCTCTTTTGTAATCTCTAGTGCTTGGCTTCAATATACCTGGGCCTGACAGCACAGGAAAAATCCAGGTTTCCTTAAAGCTCAACAACAACCCACATCCTAAAACAGAACCTCCATGAAATGAGAAAATTGCTTTGAAACAGCCATTGTGGACAAAGCATTTGATTTATATGGGAGCGTCTGAACTGAATAATTGGTTCAGTCCCTAAAATGAACACACAAAAAAAGGCCATTGGCAAAGGATGGTAACAAGTTCTGCCATGTCTTCACGGTCATGTCTATAATTTAACACCCATCTGCAGAAACAATTACAACTGCAAATTAACAGATGGCCCTGTCCATGTATACAGAAGAGTGATTCAGACTGAAAAACAACAGTTTTATACAATAATTGTGTGCAATAACATTGACTTCAGAAAAGTTAATATACATTATTTTTTCAGCTGCTTAAGTCCATTATATAGCATTAGTCAATCATGATTTATTGAGTGCCCAGTGGGCACCAGGCATTGAAGTCCTAGCAATTTAAGACAAAGACACTTGCTACATGGGTTTGCATATCAGTGAGAGACACAGGATAAAGCAGTAAGCAAATAAAGAGTGTAGTAACTTCAGATAGCAATAGCACCCTTAGGAAGAAAGCACAGGTTAGTGGGAAAGAGAGGTAGTGTGTGTGAGTGTAGATATTGGGGTGGAGGAAAATAACCTAATGTAGAACCGGTGAATAGGGACAGGCTTTTTGAGGATGTGATTAGAATGAAGGGAAAAAGCAGAATCAGAGAACTTTCAGGGGGAAATTATTTTCAGGAGAGGAGTGGGCAAGTGCCAAGGTCTGGAAGGCACGTTGAAGGAAATAAATGCATTTTCATTTCTTTAATTACCCTTATTTTCAAATCAGAATAAACCATTTTAATAGATTTTCATTTTTTACATAAAGCTTTAAAAGGAGATTTGTCCTTTTCTTTGCAAATATGTAGGTCACATTTGCCAATCTTTAAATGGTTTCATTTTTGCAACAGAATGTAAACTCCTAGTATATTTTAAATGTTCATACTAAAAAATGGTAATTATGTGAGTTAATATTTAATTAGCTTGATTGGTCATTCCACAATGTATATGTATTTTAAAACATCATGTTTCACACCATAAATATATATAATTTTTGTTTTTTAATTAAATCACTAAAGTAAACTTTTTGAGGTCACAGATTCTTTTTAACTGTTCTGTCAACTACTATATTCCCAGATCTTAGTAGTTCTCAGCACATAACAGGCATTCAAATACCTATTGATTGAATAGATTTTAAAGTATCAAATATTGCGAAGTGTTTAAGAAACTGAAACCTATTTTTGTGATGCATGTGCAAGAGTGTTTTATTGACAAAGGAAGAAAGGAGAAAAAAAGAGCTGTAAGCTTTGTTTGGTTACATGTTGGGTTTTACACTTCATTTCTGATGCCAACTTCAGTACCCAAGTAGATTAGAAATGAGCTGAAGAGCCCACGCATGCACCTGATAGAAATTCCCAGTGATAGAACTTTCCAGCATTCGAGCACTCACCGCAAAATATCGCTTTTCTTTTGCAACCATTTTTTATTATTTGATATCCCAGAATGCACTTATTCAACAGATATTTGAGTGTCTTCTGTGCACTGGATCTTTCTAAGGTCTTATAATGTAACAGCTAACAAACAGTGGAAAAGAATCCCTAAACTCAAGGAATTTACATTCTGACATGAAAAAATGGAATTATTTGCAGATTGGCAAATGTGATCCACAGGTGTGGAAAATGCAGAGCTGAGCGACAGGAAGTCAGGACAGATGCTGCCTATCTACACTGACTTTCAGGTGCCCTGGGCACCCCATGAATGCCCCCCAATATCCCTGAAATTCACCCTTTAGACTGAGCAAGGGAGGAGAAGTAATTCTTGCTATGCTTCTCCCTTTAGTACCCAGGATTATTTCACCATTCAGAAGAATGTGCAGACACAATTGACATGCTTAAATCGGGTTCTCTAAAGATTTGTGGGGAGGTGATCTATTAAATGTGCCCCTGGAAAAACTGGTAGTGAGGAAGCTGAACTGGGAATAGAAGGAGCTGGCAAATGGGCAATATCAAGTAAAGTCCCACGGAAAGTAGCTTTAGCTTAGTCTTGCAAGTCACATCTGAGTCCCTTTAATGGGGATAAGGCAGATTGATCTCTATACCATCAGCCATTGGTTGATAGTTAGAATGATGAGATTACAGCTCATCCTGTATTCAGGCAGAGCAGGTTCTTCATGATGAGAGTAGAAGCACACCGAGAACTCTTGTGTAAAAATACGGTTAAGAAATCCAAAGGGTTACAGGCAGAGTATTTACAGCATCTCCTATGGCAGTGGTTCTCAAGGCACCAACAGCATTAGCATAAGTGGGGGATTTTTTAAAATGCAAATTCTAGGGAGTCAGCCCCACATCTACAGAATCAGAAATGCTGAGGATGGGACGCAGCCACAGTATGTAAACCAGCCCTTCAGGTGACTGATGAATGCTCAAGTTGAAGAGTGACTGTTTTACATGCATTGGGTCTTTCTTGCTCATCTTCATCTTGATGGGGATCAAGTAGAGTGATGTCCAATTGAAGCTGAACAATATGTACCCGCCCAACCCCAGTGTCCAGGCAAACTCTCCAAGTCAACCTGGTCCCTAATTTAACACCTTTGCAACCTGGCTGTTTCTGATGCAAAGTGCCATCTGAGAATCATAAGGACTCCCTTGTCCCTACAATTAAAACAGCATCTCATTGAGTACTGACCCATCTTCCATGCCCATTATACTACAATACTGTCTGAGTGCTATGCCAGGAATTAGAATGATGATTCTTTAAGATATAATGAATATAACCTGTATCCCCTTCCTGAAATATCATTTCATAAGTAACTCTAGATATTGGAGTTTAAAATATATTGTCCTTTACAAATACAGGAAGTCTTCATTTCCTTAAGATGTCTGACATCCATAGATATTTTTATACATTGTAATGAAAATCAAATTGTGAAGCAGTGAAACATAGGAAATCATTGTATGGATTCATCCTCAGATAATCTGAGCTTGAATCATGCCTCCCATCTACCAACTGTGGACTTTGGGTTAGTTACTTAACCTCTCAAGACTGCATGTTTCTTATTTCAGAGAAAAATTAGGCCTACCACGTAGAATTGTTAGGAAAATTATAGGAGGTGAAATTTATAAAGCCCGACACCTAGATCATAGTAAATATCCCAAACCTTCTCATTGTCATTATTGTCATAATATTGTCATTGCCAGGTAAATTATAATATCTTCACTTGAGTAAAATGTATTAATATTTGTCACTGGAAGTTGACAAAATGGGCATTAAAAAATCTGTTAACAGTTATCCCTAAGATACTTTTCTTAGAAAGCATTTTCTGTCCTTTCTGACGACAGGGTGTAGAAGAAAAGAGAAAAAAATCACAGCAGATCAATTTCTAAGTAATTACTTTGGATCATTTCTTCCAATAATCTCAGCTAATTTTGTTAGGCTGTGCATCACAAAGCTTTACAATTTAGAAAACAATGTCTCCTCCAAATTCTTCTTAGGAAAAGAAACCAGAAGAGGATCATCTGCCCTTGGTGGAGTCAGGGAGCAGCCTTTGTGGATAACAGGGGCCATTCCTAATACCTAATTCCAAATGGGGTTAAGACCTTCTCCCTAGCCCATAGTTGTTAGACTCCTCAAAGAGGCAAACAGGGGATAAATTGTGCATGCCGCATTTGTTAACAATGGAAAGACCCTTGAGTTTAGTCCAGATGTCAGATGTGGTAAAAAAGAGAGAGAGAGAGAAGCTCATTTTGATTTTTTCCTAACAGAGACAATGGGAAACCAGGACTGAGTCTTTGAGTGACTTCCTTGTATCAGCTTACATTACGTTATGATCCCTGTGACTTTTTTCCATTAATGAGTTTGGTATTACCCAGCTTTTGATCTATGCTGGACTTCTTACTGTTTTTCCAAATAACAAGCCTCTAGAGTTTTATTACCATCCAGCCTATCCATAATGCATTTAATATCATTTCCCCATCCACACCACCTCTACCCATATTATAGTTTCATAGAGAAGTGATTTTCTGTCTCTAAAAATAAGTCTCCGTACTTAGAATTACATTTTTCAGATGACAGTAATCCAGTAATCACTTCTAGGAACCCAGATTTGTAGGGCAACATAATATCATAATTATTATATACTTAGATATGGGGATGATGAGAAGGAATGCAAATTTCATCATTTCTGATAGCTCAGTTCCAATAAAAGTTGACATAAATTAAAGGTGAGCCTGAAAGGAAAGCAATTTGGGTCTTTTATCTCAGATCAAGTTCTCCCCGATAGAAAAAAATTACCTAAAAGCTTCAAAAATTAAGAAAATGTTATTTTATATATATTGCATCAAAGTTCCTTTCCCCTCCCCATTTCACTTAAGAATAACACAGACAAATCATTTTTTGGTATTATAAAATGACTTCAAAGAAGGCAGTCATTTTCTCTACTTTTTTCTACCCCTTCCACCTCTATTTTATGTAGGCTAGTGTTTATCATAATAAGGTGGTTTTCTTTATCTCCTGGAGGATGAAAAAAGGAAAGTCTTTTCTTCATTATTATACTTGTCTCTATTCTTTTATTTTTTTCACTCACAACAGACTGCAGCTTTCTTTGCCTGAAGGAGGTAGGAATGCCAAACGCCCTTGGAGTACCGTATCTGTTAAATTGCATCTACTCATCAGTTAGAGCAAGCACAGGCATCATGCATTGAGATTAAAAGTTTCACTATAAGAAAACCCTTCTATCTAAATTCCTGAGAAAGAGAGAAGAGAGAGAGTGACAGCAAGAGGGAGAGAAAAAGAGAGAGAAACTGTCAAAGCATAAAATGTATTTGACTAAAATATAATGCAATGTTTTATGTGACAGTAAAATTATATCCTGGGTTGCTTCCCCAAGGACAGTTCACTTAGAAATAGTGCTGAAAAGTCAGTCACTAGGAAAAATATTTCCATCTTTATTTGAAAGATTAGCACCTTGTTCTTTTTTGTTGCCAAATTGGAAATAAAACCAGTTTCCTTGGTTTGCATAAGGTACGAAGGAGGAGAAATGTGATTTTATGTGCTGTATCCTGCTGACATTAGCTGTGTCTCTGATGTCAAACCAGCTCCCTCCACTGGGCTAAAAATGACCACAATCATTGGCATGGTAGGTTTTCTATCTGCAATGTTCCTGATGTGCTCTGACCTGGTTAGTCTCAGGGCTAACAGTGTTATCAGTCTCTGGTGTGTGTATTTGGACAACAAAATGCATTAGATGGTGCAGAAGCAAGCACATTTCCACGCAGGGTGGTGTAAAGGAGACAATGCATTTTTTATTCTTTCCACATCTGGGTTGGTTCATGTTATGGATAAATATAAGCGTACACAGAAAAACTGGACAATGGATTTTAAAATCAAGATATAAGAATGTACCGATTAAAAAAAAAACAGAAAAGCTAGGCACAGGGATGAAAATAGATGTTGGCTTTGAAACATTCAGTCTCTATATATGATGATGTCTACATCGTAAGATTGTTGTCCAAGCCTAAATTACGCATTATTTGAGTGAGCTGCTGATATAAAAATGGGAGATAATTGAATGATTGGGGGTGGTTTACCCCATGCTGTTCTCATGGTAGTGAATAAGTCTCACAGGATCTGATAGCTTTAGAAACTCCTTTCGCTTGGTTCTCGTTTCTTCTCTTACCTACCACTATGTAAGACGTGCCTTTTGCCTTCTGCCATGATTTTGAGGCCCCCATAGCCACGTGAAATTGTGAGTCCACTAAACCTCTTTTTCTTTATAAATTACCCAGACTTGGGGATGTCTTTATCAGCAGCATGAAAATGGACTAATACATGTAGCCTCAGATTCTAGGAACTTGGCAAACCCTATTTGAAGGTGGGAGTGAAGATGGTGGGTAACTTGACTTTCCCTGTAATTCCAGCATAAGTCTAGAGACCAGTGTCATTGGATCAGAAGCATAGTATATTCCCTTGAACAAATTACTGTGACTCTGACTGGCCAAGACTTCTTCCCATGACCCTGCCTAGAACTAGGGACTGATCACTCCCCCAAATGCAATGGACAAAGGATGTGAAAGGGAAGCACCCTCCAAGGAAAACTGAACTGCTGTGATCAGAAGAAAGGAGATAGACGCTGGGCAGGGCTCCACTACAAAATGGCTGCTGGAATAAAGAAGAAAGCTCTGAATAGATCAAGACGCACAACTTAGTGGTGAGTAGAAATCAGAACATTTGAGGTAGAAAGAATAACAAATGCAAACGCTGGGGTCAGAAATGAGCAGTCTATATGCATGAGGTGAACAGAACAGCTTGAAGTGGCCTGTTTGGGAAAATAATGAGGAATTAGGTTGATTAGGTGGGGCAAGAGAAAAACTAATTAGTATCAAGACATAAAAGTGAGGTTAAGGAATCTGGATTTAACACAATTAGCTATAAAGAGTATCTACATAGTTTAGCAATGGATTTAGGCAAAAGAGAGAGGCAGGGTTAAAAACTGGACTTGTTTTTCAGAGAGTCCTGAGCAAAAACTCCTGCAGTGAAGCTTGTATGGGCAGATGATGGATGAAGACATGTTAAAATGATGGCAGGGGGACACACAACAAAGAAACAGGAGGCTGTGTTAGTCCAGAAGTCATGGAGGCGACTTGGCTGGATTTGAGGCTGAGACTTACCTAAAGTGAAACCTGGAAGCTACTCTCCGTATCACTGTCATCCTCTCCTCTCTCTCCACTTCAGCCTGAAAACCTGCAGAGCTGCCTAAGGCCCTTTGTGTAGCGGTCCAAAAACACACAAAAGAGAAGTTTCAGTTCAGCTAAGGCTGAGAATGACAGTTTTTTTTTCTTTTCTTTCTTTCTTATTATTATTTTTTATTTTTTATTTTTTGAGATGGAATCTTGCTCTCTCACCCAGGCTGGAGGGCAATGGCATTATCTTGCCTCACTGCAACCTCCGTCTCCCGGGTTCAAACGATTCTCCTGCCTCGGCCTCCCAAGGAGCTGGGATTACAGGCTCCAGCCACCACACCTGACTAATTTTTGTAGTTTTAGTAGAGACAGGGTTTCACCATGTTGGCCAGGCTGGTCTCGAACTCCTGACCTCAGGTCATCAGCCCGCCTCAGCCTCCCAAATTTCTGGGATTACGGGCGTGAGCAACCACACCCAGTTGTGAAGGACATTTTCATTCTCTTCTATCCACCATCATTCTCTCTATCAATTTGCGGAATTTGCTGGGTAATGTTTTATTGTCATCGTTTAAGAAGGGAGGAAACAGTATGCATCTATTCCCCCTTATGAAGCTCTTAAAAATTATGGTTCTAAAATTATTTTGAGACTTTCCATTGGCTTTCTCATATTTTTAAAATGTAAATGTTTTAGACAGCTATTTAGCAATAGAAATGTAGTTAGACTCTATTTGAGCCAAGGTAGGAATAACAAGGTTTAAAAATATTGTATTGGGATTAATTTCAATGCTTTGCCTAAATTAGAGAAATGTGTTTTCCAAGGTGTGTTCTGCAAAACACCACCTCCAAAATATGTGAATAAATATTTTATGATCATAGAGCTCTGTGGTTCAGTACTACATTCATTCAAACTTTAAACATTTCTCTAGGATGCAAAAATTTATATTCATTATGAATATCCAAGTGATGGGCATGGTTTGTAGCATCTTTTAAATGTATTGCTCCCCAGTATCCTAGTCTTCCATAGAGCATCTAATGTAGCTAGTGTTTCCACAGAATAGGCCTTCAAAAAATGCTTTTCTAGAATATTGTCCCTTCTACGTATAAAAATTATATAGAATTTGAAAATTCATAAAATACTATTTTATCAAGAATCTTTGGGCAAATAAGACTAACAGGAAAATCTCAGACTAGTCTAAGATTACATTTTTTAATGTTCTAATGAAGTAGTGGTTACATTTTCACTCTTTAATGAAGTCATTCCTAGAATAGTCAGATATATGGCAAATGTCTAGCCAAACTAGAGTTTTAATATTAGAATCCAGTGGCATTAATCTTAAAATGATCATGACTGTAAGGCAGTCAAATTACAGCCCCGTCCAACGTGCCAAAAAGAGTTACCAGTCCTTAGGGTAGTGTCATAGGCTCTATGCCAGCTGAATATATATTAAATGAGACTTGAAAAAAAACTAAAGACATTTCACTGTGCAAAATTATTTTAATACAAAATCTAAAATTATTTTTGGTGAAAAGAAAGCAAGAAAGCAAAGCAATGCTTTTTCACCCATTTCAAATTATTTTACACTATTCCCTTCCTTATAATATGGATGTGTATGGAGAAATGGACAAATGGTGATTTGGAGACGGAATGCAAATGACTAGTCAGCTTCAGATAATATGACAAGTTCCTCTTGACTCCTTCTCCCCTATCACTCAAAAAATTGTTGTGGTGTTTCTCTAAGAGAAAAATAGACTTCCACCAAGGATTAGTTTGTAAGTCAACACTCATAAGGATTGAAGAGTGTTGTCTATTGTGTATCCTCATTATCATATTGTTTCTGTAAATCTTATTCTCAAAACCAGAAGTCAAAGACTCAATGGTAGAACCTCAGAGGCCATTTCATAAGGGGAAAGCAGAAAATTTCTTCTTCTATTTGTAGAAATACAGTGATTTACTTTGTTTGCAGTTTTATATGGATTAGGTTGAAAACATCCATATGATCTTTTGGAAATGAAGCTCTTCTTTCTGAAAATAGGTTTCTTTTCAGCATAATTGTCTTAGTTGGAGGGTGAAGAACAGAAGCTTGAGAAAGCAGGTAAGGGTTAAAGCAAAGCCAATGGACAGAACCAAACATGAAAATGAGAATTGGGTGTAGAGGTGAGCAAGGGTTAGAATGCTCTTGGAATCAAAAGTCATATTGATACTCTCTAAAACATCTTCTTGAATATGAAATATGCATAAAGTTTAGACTACAACATTTGAATAGGCAAGAGAATATACTAGAATAAATAACTCTTATCGGCTCCCCTACAAACCCTATAATATTCTGGTTCAGCGTTTTAGTGTTTTCATAGTATTTATGTTTACTGAAAGTTTAAAAAAAAAAAGATCATCAGGATACTATGAGTTAGATTTAAAGTTAGATCTGTTTTCCTCTCCAAGCATACGAAGTTAAGCACAGATGTTATTCAAGAATTAAGGCAAGGCCCAGGCAGGCAGATCATCTGAGGTCAGGAGCTCGAGAGCAGCCTGGCCAACATGGTGAAACCCCATCTCTACTAGAAATACAAAAATTAGCCAGGTGTGGTGGTGCATGCCTGTAGTCCCAGCTACTTCAGAGGCTGAGGCAGGAGAATCCCCTGAACCTGGGAGGCAGAGGTTGCAGTGAGTCGAGATCGCACCATTGCACTCCAGCCTGGGTGACGAGAGTGAAACTCTCTCTCTCAGGCAAAAAAAGAAAAAACAAACAAACAAACAAAACAAAAACAAGAATTAAGAGAGCATAATAGCCTGCATGCTCTTTTATAGATCATATTGATGTATAAGACACAGGTTGATATATCATATTGTGGCAACCATAACTAGCTGCCAATCTAATAGTCATTTTTATCTTTCTTTCACTAATAATAGATTTCCAGTCTTGCTTAGGCAAACGTTGTATTGATGAGCAAAAGAAAATTATTTCCTAATCTCTCCTTGAGGTGTCAAAGCACCACAGTTCCGTCCAATAAAATAAGCAGATGCCCCATGGTGGCGGGTGCCTGTAGTCCCAGCTACTCGGGAGGCTGAGGCAGGAGAATGGTGTGAACCCGGGTGGCAGAGCTTGCAGTGAGCCGAGATCGCACCACTGCACTCCAGCCTGGGCGACAGAGTGAGACTCTGTCTCAAAAACAAACAAACAAACAAAAAAAGCAGATGCCCCTATGACAACATCCCTTCTCAAATAAAGAGGCATATCCCATTTTACCCTGTTTACTTCTCTCATCCAGGGTCATAGAAGATCAGTACATACTGATATCTACTGATAGTACAGATCAGTACATACTGATATCTACTGATAGTACAGATCAGTACATACTGATATCTACTGATAGTACAGATCAGTACATACTGATATCTACTGATAGTGCATATCAGTACATGCTGATATCTAGTATCAGATTGATTCTGTGGCTAGAAACAAAAAATGTAAGGTGATTTTTGAACACATTTCTTGCCAAGAAGTAAGAAAGTATTCAGAAACTGATGAGAACATGCCAACAGCACGTAAGAACAAGTTTGATGTCAAATCTGGCAAATTTTGAGCAGAGCAATGAGTACTGGCAGAAACTGATTGAAATATACTAAATAAAAATGAACCCACGCATCTACACTAATACATACACATACGTATGTACTTTCATGAAGGAGGAAAGGAGGTGTTTTTTGGCAGTTTTATTTGTTTTCCAGTAGAATACTCACCATGCTAATAAATATATTAGTAATGAAAGAGTTAGAAATAAATCATTTTGCAAAGACCATAACAATAACTGATTCAGGCAAAAATCAGCAATGGAGGTCAAACTCTTTGCTGTGGACAGGACCTTTATGCGTCGAAGGATCTTCCATAGATGACTTAGTAATTACAGTAAGGTATGAGTGGTAACTTTACAGTATATAAATTTGGCAGGCACCATCTGAAACAGGTGAACAAAAGTAACCTACTCAACAAGGGCTCATCGTATGCTTCCTGATGTAATATATTGAGGAAGACACAACTTCACTTATACCGTCTATCTGCTAAAAATGCACCACCTAAATCCAATCATATAAAAGAATCAGAAAAACCAAAATTAAGGGACTTCTACAAAACAACTATCATATAGTCCTCAACATTGCCAATATAAACAACAACAACAAAAGGTTGAGAACTGTTTATTAATTAAAGGAAACTAAAGGGACAATACAGCTAAAGGAAATACATGACTACGGATTGGATCCCAGAACTGGAAAAAAGTATTGCCTGTAAAGGACATTATTGAGACATTATCTCGAACATTTAAATATGAAGTGTGAGTTTGAAAATAGAATCCAAACAATGTTAAAGTTCTGAATTTGATAAATGTACTATGATTTATGTAAGAGAATGTCATTTTACTTAGCAGATACAAGTTGAGCATGTAGTTTGGAAGAATCATGATGTCTGCAAATTACTCCCGAATGGTTCATAAGAGAGCAAGAGACAGAGCAAGAGAGAGAGCACACTAGCAAAAATTAACAATTGGTAAATATAGGTGAAGGACAATATATGTGTTATTTATTATGCTACTTATTTTTTAAATAAACTTGAGACAAATTTTGATGAACAAGATATTAAGAGGCATATCATGGGTTTCAATGGCTTTTATTATAAATGGAAAAATAATTTTAAAAGAATAGATTACCTAAAGAAAACAAGGAAAGGTAATAAAAATAATCACTGATTACTGCATTAGAAAAATAAATGATATATAAACTTAAAGGATGATTTCAAAACAACTATTTAAAAGTTTTTTGACATAAAAGAGGGGATTAAGGAATTGAAGGAACTTAAATTTGAGGTAAAATTAAATATGGAGGAGCTCTTAAATGTTGTGGAAAATATCCAACTCTCTGCTAATAAATTTGAACATACTGGTTTCACTCATTCATAAGATAATATAAATTACAAAATTCAAATTTTTGTGATATAACATAATTTATATTATGATGTAAATTATAATGTACAATATAGAGAGACAAATATACAAATATACAGGATAATATAAATTACAAAAGAACATTGATCTCCATTATAGGAGGTGTTTCAGAAATGTTTGAAAAATATTGATTCAGTCATACATAAACATACTCCCTATACGAAACCGCACAAAAATAAAATAAGAAGAGCACAGACCCAACTCAGCTGTAAATACATTTAAAATCCTAATAAATCCTTGGCAAATTATATTTAGTAGTATTTTAGAAGAAAATAAATCATAACCAGATAGGACTACATTGAGGAGTCATGAGTGGTTTAGGATTAAAAATAAATTTAATTTTACATAAATTATATCTCAATAAATGTAAACTATTTTAAAGTATGATATACTCTAATATTTGAAAATATATAATCATGTCAGATATGTATGTATACAAATTATATATTATATAACACATATAGACAAATAGACTGCAAGGAAATATAAATAAATGGTGATAGATTTATGAGTGATGTTTATTTTTCTTAGTGCTTTTTTGTAATTGTCAAATCATCTACCAACAATACAAGACAGCATCATAATACCATGAAGAAAAATGTATATACCCCTATTCAGATCATCAATAGGAATTAATGATAAAAGAAGTATGATTTAGAAAAGCAAGCCCACAGTTTTTACCAATTTTGTTTTGAGAGTGTTTCGGTATATAAGCCTTTTTGTGAATTTGCCTCAAGACCAGAAAATGCTACCCGATCATTGGCAGCATCAAAACCATAAAATGAAGTAGCAATCTCAAAACTGCTGCAAATCTTGTCTTACACATTGTCTTTATTTAGTTATATTTGGTGCTTCATACGATCTTCTAATGACAGTTAATCACAAGTTGATTCAAGTAGAAAATAACATCAGTGATTATTTTCCCCAAAAGCTTCCCAATTATTTGTATAATGGTTAACAACTTATACTCTGATATCTCAAATTAAATTTTCTGCTTTTTACAAAGTACATTTTCTTAATGAATTTGGGGTTACATTATTCTGCCTGAAACAAGTCCTACAAAATTTGACAATTTGAATTTAATAAATCTTGTTTTGTCATAAAATTGATACCTCCTTCATTTAAATTTAAAGATTTGATATCAGACATCAATTCTCATAAGTAATTAAGAGGAAAAACTGATGTTGTTCTTATTGAGATCCATATTTTATTGACTGAGTTAGTGTTACTGATACATGGCTATTGAAATCTCTTTAGAGCATATATGTATTATATATTAGCTACATCGAACTTATTTTTCCTTCCTTATGAATAATAGAGAAAAGAAGTAACATTTAATATTACAAAATCATTTATAAAATATTTCTGGTTTATGGATATGAAGAGCTTGTTTGGAAATTTACTGAATTGGAATTAATTAGTATTCTGATTTCATTCCTAATGTGCTGCTGCTCTTTTGTTTGAAAATAAATGAAGAGAAGAGAAACTGAGCTTTTAAGGCTGATCTATTGACAGTCTAATTAATGTGCTGGGCCATTTCATTAGCATTCAGATGTTTTATGCAGACTGACAAATCTCTTGTGATTGCATGACCTGCTGGAGGATTGAGAATGTAAAGGACCACCCTTGCAAAGAGGCCAGGGCAGTACCTGAAGGTCCAAGATTTTAAAGATCCTAGGGAATTACAGCTCATGGGTGCTGAGTGGCTGCCCATCCAAGGCAGGTGTCAGTCACCTGAAAGTCATCCTGAGGACAGATTGTGGCCTTTCTTAAAGTAAATTAGGAACCATTGTTGGTGATCTGTGGTGAAAACTGAAAGGAGTTCTAGTTAATGCCTTCTTATAAGGATAATCTAGAAATGGCTGGATTCATGTCACATACAATTAGATATTATCCACAGGAAACACACAGAGTAAAAGCCGGGTGGCAGCCCCTACATAGTCTGCCCTGCTGTGACTCACTACTTGACAACAGCTGAGTCACCCCGTGCGGATATAACAAGTTCGTAAGATGTGATTCTAGTTTATCTTCTACTTCATTCTCTCTTCTAATGTTTCTTCCTCCTCCACCTTCATTATAGTTAATATTGCTTACATATGTCATCTAATAGGATGTCTTCCTACGATTCTATATCCAATGAATTGATTTTCATCCTGCAATAATATTGAGCCAAGCATTACTGTGTCCCAAGCACCAGAGTCACAGGAGCAAACAAAGAAAAAAAATCTCTGCTTTTCTAGACCGCCAATATAGCTGGCAATATTGTCAGCAAATTAGTAAGCAGTACCAAAGGAATCACAAATTATCTTATGAGCAAAGAGGAAAACAAACAGGTTGTTATGCCAGAGGATAACAGGTTGAAGCTTTATATAGGCTCTCTTCCCTGAAGGGCTGACATTTTAACCTAAGACTTGGGATGACAGGAAGCTCACCGAACAAAGATCCAGGGGAGGTCTTCCTTTAAGAGGGAACAACAGGACAAGGGGCCACGGGACAGCAGAGAGCTTGATGCGCTCAAGGAAGTGGCAGAAAGCCAGTGAGAGCCAATGTGTTTAACAAGCAGCAAAGGGCTGTAAGATGAGGCTGCAGAGGAGCCCCACCAGCTCCTGCAGAGATTCGTCAGCCACAAGAAGGTATTAGGATCTCATTCTACACACCATGGTTTTATTCAGGGAAGTTATTTATATATTTAATATTTGCATATTTTCTTGTAAAACATAGATATTCACATACAAATATTTGTATATTTTCTTGTAAAACATAGATATTTATATACAAATATACATAAATATGTAATGCATTTATATACTATCTATAGAAAGATACACAGGGCATCCAAGTATAGATTAATTATTAGAAAGCATGCATTGTAAAAGCAAATGCAAGGCAAGAAACAGAACCCTGCTTGCACCCCAGAAAACCCTTGCCTGCTCCATCACACTCAAAGCTACCTTCCCCTACTCTGGGATCTTGGCCACCATACCAAAAGACACACTCCTGAATGCCATAATCCCAAATGTTGGAATCCCAAAAGATGAAAATTTCTATGGTCTAAAATCTCAAAAATCACCATCCCAAAAGATCGAAATCCTAAAAATATAATTCTGGAAAAAACAATTTTAAAATTCTCTAAACATTTATCTACATGTTTTAAAGGGGGAATTGTTTGAGAAACATAAAAATATGACAGGACACTTCGCAGGCCACTTTACACAATAAAATAGGCAATAATAGCATATATAGTTTTCCGAGCACAAACACTCAGATATACTAATGACAGTTGCCTGCTTATAACAGTTATGAGCAGGTGAACCATATTCTTAAATAAATAGGTCATGGAGAGAGGCTGGGAGAGGTGGCTCATGCCTGTAATCCCAGTATTTTGGAAGGCCAAGGCAGGCAGATGACCTAAGACAAGAGTTCGAGACCAGCCTGGCCAACATGACGAAACCCCATCTCTACTAATAATACAAAAATTAGTCAGGTGTAGTGATGCATGTCTGTAATCCCAGCTACTTGGGAGGCTGAGGCAGGAGGACTGCTTGAACCCAGGAGGTGGAGGTTGCAGTGAGCCAGGATTGCACCCCTACACTCCAGCCTGGGCGACAAAGTGAGACTTTGTCTCAAAAGAAGAAAAAAAAATACCATGAAGGACAACCTAAGTATTTTGAGGGGATTCATCAACAACTGTGACGGGTCTCCACAGCACATGCAATCAATCACCTAAAGAGCTGAGATCTTGAAAAATTTTATCTTTCACAGATGTGAATGTACAAAAAGAAGATGTCTTCATTTATTGGGAAAGTTCCAACATTTTTACATTGAGAACCAGAGAATCCAATGGTGTAACTCTCAGTCCAAGGTGTAAGTGCAAAGGCTGGCAAGCCTGGCGTTATAATGTCGAAGGCAGCAGAAGAAAATTGGCCCCAGCTCTCAGAGACCAAGTTACTTTCTGTATTTGTTATTTTTAGGGCCCCTGCCAGTTGGATGGTGCCCACCAACACTGAGGGCAGATCTTCCCCACCTAGTCCACTCACACACTAATATCTGGAAACATTGTCACAGACACACCCCAAATAATGCCTTACCAGATATCTAGGTATTCCTTAATTCAAGTGAGGTGACACCTAAAATTAAGTCCACAAACCCACCCCTTGTCAACTTGGCCCCCATGTGCATCTCCTTAAACTATAATTAATTTTCAAATTAAAAAAAAAAACAAGGTAATAGTTCCCCTTAACATCAAACAGCTAACAATAGCTATCCTGGTGACCCCTGAAATTGCACTAATCCCTTGCTGAGAATTCACCTTTCATGATTTCAATTTTCAGAATTTTAATCTTTTAGAATTGTAATTTTGGGGGATTTAGACTTTATAGTTTTCAGCATCTGGGATTATGGTGTTTGAAACTGTGTCTTTCCGAATTATGAGGGGCACCACCCTCCCCCCATGAATAACTGGTATTTTGACTTTTACGGTAATACTGGTTTTTTTTTTCTTCTTTGTTTTTTATACTTTTCCCATCTAAGTTTAGATTTCTAAACACCATAACTTAGCTTTCCAGGTTATTAAATGTTACATAAAGAAATTATTCCTCGTATCATTTTGCATCTAGCATCTTTTGCTAAATACTACTGATACAACTTTAATATCACTTTAGAAATTCATCCATGTTGTTTCTTTCATGTTTCATGTACCTGTAATTTGTTCATTTTTTTTTTCTTTTTGCTTTATAGTGTCTATTGTGTCTATACTTCAATGTTTGTCTTCATTCTATGGTCAACGTGCATTGGTTTGTTCCCAAGTGGATCTATTGTGAACATTGCTGACATGAACATTTTTGTACATGTTAACTGTTGCTGTTGCATACACTCACTTCTTCTTCTTCTTCTTCTTCTTCTTCTTCTTTTATTATTATTATTATTATTATTATTATTTTGAGACAGAGTCTCACTGTGTCAGCCAGGCTGGAGTGCAATGGTATGATCTCGGCTCACCGCAACCTCCACCTCCCAGGTTCAAGTGATTCTCCTGCCTCAGCCTCCCGAATAGCTGGGATTATAGACACGAGCCACCATGCGGGCTAGTTTTTTGTATTTTTAGTAGAGATGCAGTTTCACCATATTGGCCAGACTGGTCTGAAACTCCTGACCTCAGGTAATCCAACCGTCCTGGCCTCCCAAAGTGCTGGGATTACAGGTGTAAGCCACTGTGCCCGGCCCACTCATTCTTGTTGGTAAGTCTCTGGAAATAGAACCATTGCATCTCTTTAACAGGCAATGCCTCTTCAAAGTGGTATTGCCAATTAAAATTTACTCTCCCAATGTCTGAGATCTTATTGCCCATAGCTTCGCTATCAATTGGTATTGCCATTCTTTTACATTTCAGCACTTTTAGCAAGTTAATTTTATTTCTTAAAATGGTATTATAGATGTTGTGTAATGAAACAAAGTAAAAGAGGTATGCCAGATAGGTTCTAAGGATGGAACTAACTTGTCAATAAATTGGATATAAAAAACTTTAAAAAAGGGAAATGCCAAAAAACGGCTTCCATATTTCTATTTTTAAATAGTGGACGATGATAATGCAATTTCTAAGACAGAGGGATTGGAACTGAACAGAGTTGAAATTGGGGGGATCATCTAGTTTGTTTTGATGTTTCACGTGTGAGATGTCTATTACGTATCTACGAAATGTCAAATGCATCTTTCAGTAGATAAGCCTGGAGCTCAGAGGAGAGATCATCAACAGATACATGTGTTGGCGAATTGGGGAAATATATCATTAGGGATAAATATAAACAAACAAGGGAGAGGGATGAAGACCTAGCCTTGAAATTTTAATATTTTGAAGATCTTATGGAAAAGAAAAAGCCAGAAAGAAGTAGCTAGAAAGGAAGAGAGAAAAACTGAGAATATAGTTTTAAAAAACAAAAAAATAAGAAGGCATTACAGGGAGATATTGGTAAACTTTCCCAATTGTTGCCAATAGGTAAGTAAAGAAAAAAAAATATTTTCCAGTGGATTCGTCTACACAGAGATTGGTGATTTGGGGGAAAATGGTTTCAGTGGGCTGGCAGGAAGATAAGCATAATTGTAATGGGGTACAGAAGGACTTTAGAAAATGGAGACAATATGTGTAAAACATTTTCAAGTCTGACTACAAAGGAGAGAAGGGAAATGGGTCAAAAGCCTAAGGAGAGAGCAGGTCAAGGCAAGTTTTTGTAAAGATGTTCTGATATAATGATCTAGTGGCAAGTGAGAAATTGAAGATGTAGAAGAAAGAGGAGAAAAGAAAGAGAAAATGTCATCGTGAAGGACAAAGGCCATGAAGGTCCAGATAGGCAACAGCAGACTTGCTTAAGAGGAGCAGGGGCACATTTTTTTTTCTGTGGCCAGGTGAAGATGGAGAGTAATAATGCAGAAAGAGGGCAGAGATGAAGGAGAGTAAGGGAGAGCATTGATGAGAGCTTCCATTTTCTGAACAAAGTTTGAGTGAATTTTTCAGGTTGTTGAGAGGAGATATGAGACTAAAGAGATTTACGAAACAAAACAAAATTCTTACCTTAACCAGGAAAGCATAATAAGACTGAAAGCTGCATCCTTATGTTTCCTGCAAGTATGAACTAAAGATCAATCACAAAGATTGATCCTCTCCAACAATGTTCAACTATTAATGTGCTTGTAGGAATGTGGTTAGCTATGTTAGCTACTCAAAAAAAAAAAAAAAAAAAAAAAAAAACAGAATAACTGACACACAGCAGGTGGTGCAAAAATAGAGATTTCTTTTTCTTTCACATAACAGAGATATGCACTTGCTGGTATTGATTCACCTGCTAAGTAATACCCTCAGGTTGCAGGCTTTTTGTATCTTTTTCTGCTGCCATGCTCAGCAAATTGGTTTTCGTATTCATTACATCCACATTCATGGCCAGAATAAAAAAGGAGGGGCCTCACCTGCTTCAGTAATTATCTTTTAGGAAAACAAAAGATTTCCAAGAAACATCCACCAGATTTCTATTTTCATCTTAGTTGTGGGGCATGTAACACATAGCCAACCCTAGCTTCAAGGGAGGCAGGAAAGCCAGCATCTGAAGGTTGTTGTCCTGAACAAAACCATTGAAAAGTTAGTAAAGAAAAAATGAGAAAACAACAATGTATTTAAACAAATAGCTGTGTCTGCCACATTTGAAGATAGTGAATATTTGGATTCAACCACATTGGGGTTTACTAAGTTAATTTAATAGAGGAAAAGAGAGAAAGGATTAATGATCTCTGCAAGACAGTGATTATCTGCACTAAAAGGATAAAATTGGCCACTACAGAGGGTACTGAAAATGACAATAAAACCTTGCGGAGGCTGACAGCAATTTGCAAAGAAGAATTTATAGACAATTTTTAGTTAATGCCTCTACTTTTGATAAGAATAAACTCACTTGCATATGTAATTTCTAGTATTTGTTGTTTTTTAAAGAATAAATCTTCCAGAACATATTTTAATCTAAAATAATGATCAATTCAGTCAAATTTAGTCTAATATAAAAATTAGACTAATTTTTAAATGCATTTATCTGAGAAATTAAAATACATGCCATCATGCTATAATTTCTTTTAATTAATTAAAATGAAATACAGTATTTATCTGTCTTCAAATTGTCAAATTGTCACAGGGCTTCTTTTGGTGACCCAGACTATTTTTATGACTTTGGATGGCTTGATTTTTTTTTTTTTTTGGGACAGAGTCTTGCTCTGCTTCCAAGGCTGGAGCAGCAGTGGCGTGATCTCAGCTCACTGCAACCTCTGCCTCTAGGGTTCAAGCAATTCTCATGTCTCAGCCTCTTGAGTAGCTGGGATCACAGGAGTGTGCCAACATGCCTGGCTAATTTTTGTATTTTTAGTAGTGATGGGGTTTCGCCATGTTGTCCTGGGTGGTCTCAAACTCTAGGGCTCACATCCACCAGCCTTGGTCTCCCAAAGTGCTAGGATAACAGGCATGAGCCACCACGCCCAGCCCTGGGTGGATTTTTGTACACTAAATAATATAGAAGTTCTAAACTCCATCTAGACAAAACCAGTACTACCAGTAGGCAAGTGAAGAGCTTAAGTTAAAAAAAGAATAGCATTTGATTATCTCTACTGAATCATCTAATTGCTTGCAACCATTCATGAATAGACAGATTATCTGTGCCACTCACAACAGTAGTATCATCTAAGCAAATGCTGAGAAGCTCTTTAATATCCTGTGTATTTGTTTCTCTTTGACCTATTATTATGACTATTCCTTGAATAATATGCCACCAAAATGGTTTTAAAAAGAGAAGCTCACATGAAAATTGTTCCCTCTCACAACTTGTTTATAGGAAACCACAAACTCTGTCAGATACACACAAATAAGTAGTGAAGAAATTCCAAGATTTAGGAAAGTGATGATAGTATTTTATCCATAGTACCCACATTCCAAAGAGTTGCTTCTAGTTCTCTGGAAGAACAAACACATCTTGCTACAGCCTGGGCCTACAGACGGTGTAATAATAGTAATGGTAATGATAGAAGTGAACATGTATTGAGTACTTCCTATGTACCTGGTACTCTGCTGGGCACATTGCATGCTTGTCTCATTCAGTCCTCACAACAACCTTTTGCAGTTCATATGAGAATCATTCTTGTTCTACAGAGAAAGATGAGGCTGGTAGAGATTGACAAATGTTCCTAAGATGACAAGAACTAAAATGCAATGAAGCCATGATTAAAACTCTGGCAGTCAAATTTCAGAACCTATGGTCTTAATCACAATTTTGCCCCTACCCCATCCCTCAATCTATAGATGAAATTTCCATCTCCAGATCATTTTTCTAATCTGCCTATGTCCTAATTAATTTTCTGCTGCTATAATGCCACAAACTGGGTAATTTATAAAGAAAAGATGTGTATTTAACTCACAATTCTGGAGGCTGGGAAGTCCAAGATCGAGGGACTGCATCTGGTAAAGGCCTTCCTGGTGTTTGATGATGTAGTGAAAAGCATCACATGGCAAGGAAGCATTTGAGAACACAAGGAAATTGGGCCAAACATACCCTTTTTATCAGGAACTCATGCCCACAATAGCTAACCCACTTGACAATAACAGCATCAATCCATTCATGAGTGCAAAACCCTCATGACTTAATCACCTCTTAAAGATTCTGCCTCAGCCGGGCGTGGTGGCTCACGCCTGTAATCCCAGCACTTTGGGAAGCGGAGGTGGGTGGATCACGAGGTCAGGAGATCGAGACCATCCTGGCTAACACGGTGAAACCCCGTCTCTACTAAAAATACAAAAAATTAGCCGGGCGTGGTGGCGGGCGCCTGTAGTCCCAGCTACTCGGGAGGCTGAGGCAGGAGGATGGCGTGAACCCGGGAGGCGGAGCTTGCAGTGAGCCGAGATCGCGCCACTGCACTCCAGCCTGGGCGACAGAGCAAGACTCTGTCTCAAAAAAAAAAAAAAAAAAAAAAAAAAAGATTCTGCCTCTCCACACTCTTACAATGGCAGCTAAGTTTCAATATGAGTTTTGAGGGGATATTCAAACTATAGCAGCGCATGTTTTAAAAAGATACACAGTGAGTGAGATTCACTTAGCTCCACATCCAAACTCCCAGTTGCCCAACCAGGAGAGAATCACACACTTCCTGAATTACTCAGCTCTCTAACCTGCTAAAGTCAGCCAGGGACTGTCAGACTCCTGTTTCTCTGCCGTCTTAGAAATAAATTCTCAGAAGAAATATATTCAAGAGAGAAAGAAAAAACAAAAACAAAATCTTGCTGAAACTTAAACCTTTACAGATTTACAAAATTAACATATACAGCATGGCATTCCAGAAGTAACTTCATTCTAAGAAGAAAATGCTAGCATTCCAAGTTACTTGCCACCACTTGACGATGATGATGATAACATGCCCCTTTTGATTTTTCTTCCTTTTTTGTTTTAAGAAACAGGGTCTTACTCTGTCATTCAGGCTGGAGTGCAGTGGCACCACCAAATCTCACTGCAGTCTTGAACTACTGGGCTCAAGCAATCCTCATGCCTCAGACTCCAGAGAAGCTGGGACTAACAGGCATGTAGAACCAGGCCCAGCTAATTTTTAATTTTTTTTTTTTTTGGTAGAGACTGGGTCTCATTTTGTTGCCCAGGCTGATCTCGAACTCCTTGCTTCAAGCAATCCTCCTGCCTTGACCTTCCAAAGTTCTTGGTTTACAGGCATGAGCTATGGGCACCTGGTCCCCTTTTGATTTTTCTAACATCCCTTTATTTGAATTTTTGTGAGTTCTGTGCATTATCTCCCTCTAAGGGGAATGACATAAAAATCACATCATATATCCCCCACATACTGATGAAAGGATACATATCACTGGTAAATTCTAGCATTGCTTCATAATATTGGATTAAATGACCAAATGCAAAGGTAGGCATATATTTCAATAGTTCTTCATTCCTTTAGCCATTTGTTTCCAAACTGGATATGCCATTTACATTTAGACTAGCTGCCCATTTTCATTTTTCTTCAAGTGCTATTAATGGAACAGCCCATATAATAACTTTGATTTTTCCTGAGGATCAATCTTTGCTTGTTAAGGGGGAAAGTTGCCAAAACCTACTGCATGCTAAATTAGTATCCAAGATCTTATGATAAACTTACAGTAGATGAAATTGTTTTATTTCCTGTTGCTTATCTTAACAATATGGTATAAGAATGGCAGTATGAAATACTCAGAAAATCCCACTATCAAAAGAGCAGTTTTTAAGAAAAACAGTAATGTATTCCTGACCTAGTTTACCAATTTATATTCTGATTCAAACAACCAAATCGCATAAATAAATTTTTATGAAACCAAAATACAAAGGATTTACTATTATGAAAAGCATACTCTCTTTGCTAATTACTAAACATTATTGAACCTGTCAATTAGCAGGATATCTATTATGAAGGTTTGTAAAGGCAAAACTGAGCACCACAAAATGAAACAAAAGCAAGGTAATTTAAATTATGAATTATGTGTATAAAAACAAAAAAATCTTTGTTTATTCATGATTTTTAACTTTTTTTTGGAGAAGTGGTTTGGTTAGTGCCCTGAATCACCCACACATATGTCATATTAAAAAGTATAGTCTGTTCTGCAATAGCTGCCTCTGTGAGGTACACGAGCTTATATGAGGATAATAAATAAAGCATGATGTTAACACACAGCTCCAGTGGACTTACACCAACAAAACTGCACATGAAAAGTTGAAGAGAAATACAAGATGCCCATTCAATCCAAGTTATTCTGTATCCTCGATTAAACTTGGAGATCTGTCTTGGAAATGATTTTTACATGGTCCTTCCTGCTCTTTATGCATTTCCTCATCTATTAATTTTGCACAATCCTTTCTTACACTTTCTTCTAATAAGCTGTCTTCACGTTGTATAAAAGATATAAATTCCTATACTTACTGTATTATTTCTTTATTAAGATGTAACATTTTTATTTATGCAAGCATTATTTTTAGGATTATTGTTATTTTTATGGCCTTTCTGATTATGTAGTTGCATGGTTTGAGTGGTTTGCCTAACATTATTTTTCCCATAAGCCCTGTTATTTTTACCAAGTAATTCTGCAAGGTTTTTCCAGAACATATATATTGCCATATAGCAATATATATGCACAATGTCTGCTGCATATAGATCATATAAAGACTTTGGTGAGACATTTGCCTTTTCTCCAATTTAGAAATACTGATACCTTTCCTAAAGAATCAGTTTGTCTTTAGCTTATAAGCACTGAAAACTATGTAATTTTCCTTTTTGTATAAGTTGCCTGTAGAGAATTTGGGGGCTCACTCTATCAAGTGTATGGAACTTGATATGTTTTCATATTAAACATATCACTGCTTCCCTCCAGTTCTTTTGTGTTGATAATGGTGGATGTTGGTATTTTGCCTTTCTTCTCCTATGCCTTTTATAATCTTGATGCCAATTATGTATCTTTCTAAATTGCCATTAATATTGTCTAAGGAAAGAAGTTTTATACATACACATACATATCTACACATTTCTATATACACACATTCACATATGCATGTATACTTAAAACTGTACACATATACAGATAACTATGTTCTGTTTTTAAAATTATTTTGTTATTTAAAGTTGAATGTAAGTAGCAGGTGGAAAAAGCCTAAAATAAATTACTTGAAATTAAGTAAATAAGACCAATGGATTACCTGCCTCTCTACATCTTTTACGTTGGTTGTTTTGGAGTTGTAGAAGGAATGTCTCTTTGCCCCACTAAGATACCATTTGTCACAATGGAATAGTACCAACATTTCCTACGAGGCATTCGGGATTCATTAAGAAGTTAGCGCAGCCTCTCAAAGTCCCTAACTCACCCCCAGCGAGCATTAACAGGCTGAGAGAATCTGAGTCAGCAAGTCATAAACTTTGTGTATACACAAATAAGAAGGAACAGTGTGTTCTAGTTGTAAAAAGCTAAAATATTACCAAGGCGTATGATAAAAGAGCTTAAGAAACTTCTATCATCTCCATTACACAAAAGTCCAAAATGCAAAAGAGATGTTGCTTGAGCCACGTTAACATGGGATGAGACTGTAAATTTCATGATGTATTTTACTCATTCATTAAACACATATTTATTGCAGGCTGTAATGGTGTACACACTACTCTGTTGATGCCTCACCTAGAATCCCTTTTCCAGAAGGTGAACCCGTTCCCCAGGTGCTGTGAATTTTGCCTACTGATAGCTCACAGCCATTCTTGAGAATTGCCCTCAGCTGATGGGAGCCACCTCCACTGACTTATACTGAAGGAAGGCTCACTGGCTTCAAAGTGGGACAACTGTTTGATTAAATATATGCACCAGATCTCCCCTATGGGATTAGGCTGAGGCTAGGTGACCAACAGTTCTGGTTTTCCTAAAAGTGCCCCAGTTTTAGTACTAAAAATTTTGGGAAACCCTTTAGGCATAGGTAAAATGGGAGGGTTGATCACTCTAGAACTGACTCCATGTCCTTCTTATCAGCTTCTTCCCCTGCACTGTCCCACATCTCTCAGTTCTCTTCAGAACCTCCCCCACCCCCCATAAAGCATTTGCACAAGAAAACTGATCTCCAGCTCTGCATCTGAAAACCCTCACCTCAGACACCTGTTTACTCTGTGCCAGGGTCACTTTGAGGTGCTCAGCAAGACAGGCAAGGTTACCGCCATTAGAGAACTTACATTGTATTGATAAAATAGTTTTAGATAGATGCTCCATAAAGAAAAATAAACAAGTGAACCACATTAAGTAGAGTGGTCAGGGATGGACTTCTTGGGGAATAACAACTGAGCTTTGACCACAATGTTGAGAGGCATCCAGCCATGTGAAGACCTAGGGGAAGAGTGCTTCAGGCAGAGACAGCAGCAGAAGCAAAGGTCCTGGGGCCGAATGTGCCTTGTTTGCATTAGTGGGGAATCCTCCTTTTCCATTTCTGATGTTCCTTCATTGGTATAACTTCTGGCATCCCTCTATCCCCAAGTCTCTTTGCTTGAGAATAAGTGCAGAGACATCTGAGTGGTAAATTTAGGCAGAATAATTGTGAGAGAAGAGAGACCCCCTCTCATATTGTTTTATATTCAGTAAAAACAACAAGGAAGTAAAACCAAAGACAGGCAGCCCGGCGCCAGGCCTGAAACCAGGCCCGGGCCTGCCTGGCCTAAACCCAGTAGTTAAAAATCAACTTATGATTTAGAAGCTGATGTTATTCATAGATTCCAGACATTGTATAGAAGAACATTATGAAACTCCCTGCCGTGTTCTGTTTCTCTCTGACCACCGGTGCATGCAGCCCCTGTCACGTATCCCTTGCTTGCTCAAATCAATCACGACCTTTTCATGTGAAATCTTTAGTGTTGTGAGCCCTTAAAAGGGACAGAAATTGTGCACTCGGGGAGCTCGGATTTTAAGGCAGCAGCTTGCCGATGCTCCCAGTTGAATAAAGCCCTTCCTTCTACAACTCAGTGTCTGAGAGGTTTTATCTGCGGCTCATCCTGCTACAACTGTTCATGTTTAACTGATTTGCATCCTTTGTCTCAGGACCCAGCTCCATGCCCTAAGGGAGTAGCCTCTAGTTCTGCTTCTTCAGAGACAGCTCTGCCCTCTTAGGGAAGGAGAAGAAGGAGCCCTGCCCTGATATGCTGGTTTTGTCTACCCAACCATGAGATTTAGAACTAATAAGCTTTCTTGTCTGAATAAGCCTCAAGCAAGTCTTCCAAATCAGCCTCTGTAGGAATCAAGGTGATATTTTGACCTTTAGCTATCACTCCGTCATTTCATTTTGTCCTCAATTTGTTTATAACCTAGGTGGGCAAGGGTGTGCTGTTTCTCAGAGGCCATATTAACACTTAATTTACTTTATTGAAGATTATTCAAGGTGGTCGCTTAGACAAGAGAAATGGTCATAGTGAATCTCTCAGTTGAAAATGAGATAAATAAGGGAGCTATTTTTTAGAATAGTATCAACAAGTTTGCTTCCATTAAATCCAGGAAATTAAAATTGTAATAAATTCTGTTGTTAGTATAAGATATCTGAGCCTATATTAATGTTATCCGTTTTAATACACCCACTTTTCAATTATTCAATATATTTTCCACAACTTCAATGTTTCAGAAAAAAAAAATAACGATTAAAAACTACATTGGCAGGGCACAGTGGCTCACGTCTGTAATCCCAGAGAGACCGAGGCGGGCGGATCACCTGAGGTCAGGAGTTCGAGACCAGCCTGGCTAACATGGTGAACCCTGTCTCTAGTAAAACTACAAAAAATTAGCCGGGCGTGGTGGCAGGCATTTGTAATCCCAGCTACTCAGGAAACTGAGGCAGGAGAATCCCTTGAACTGGGGAGGTGGAGGTTGCAGTGAGCCAAGATTACATCATTGCACTCCACCCTGGACGACAAGAGCGAAACTCCATCTCAAAAAAATAAATAAATAAATAAAAAATTAAAACCTGAATATGGGTACATGTAATTCCCTTCACCTCAAGATCCACTGTGGCTACACAGAACACTGATCTGTATTTAAAATGTTGGTAGGTTGTCCATCATAGATATTTTTGCATTGATACTTATTTTTTTAATACTATATTAAATGTGATTTCTCTTGATTACTATGTTTTTGTGTCCCCTTAAATTTTGTGCCTGTGGTGAGTGCCTTACCAGGGCA
Organism: Homo sapiens; assembly: GCF_000001405.40. Lineage (NCBI taxonomy): Eukaryota > Metazoa > Chordata > Mammalia > Primates > Hominidae > Homo > Homo sapiens. The sequence goes on along the minus strand of NC_000020.11, from coordinate 54,982,488 downwards.
CGAAACTTAAGGTGGGAGGTGGGGTGAGGGAGAAAATGTAAAGTGATGTTTCCCTTGCCTCACTCTAAGCCTAGCCTCCCACATCAGTGTGTTCTAAAAGTGTGAGCTGAATTTAGTGAGCCATGTCAGAAAAAGGTGAGAGTCAGGGAGGCAGGCAAGAAACAGATTACAAAGGAACTGTATGCACGAGTTGGAACTGAGATTTTATCCTAATTGAACTTGAAATCCAGTAGCATGTTCTCTGAATCTCACTATAAAGTCATCTCTGGTTGTAGTAAAGTCTTTTAAAAATTAATGTCTCAGATTCCCCAATGCCCAGTGAAAAAGTTGATCAAAAAGTTCTCCAATTTATTTTCAACTTAAAACCCTATGGTTAGTCAAATATCTACTAGTAATGTCTTTTCAATAATGCTTTCCTGTGATACTCTCTATGATTTTTTAAGACTTGTCTTACATCTGTACAATTCATATGACTTTGAACATGTCTAGAAGTACAGAAAAGTAGGAAAAGAGATTAAAATTCAAAAGAAGATCCCAAGTACCTCGGAAGTTAACTATTCATGAGAGAAGAAAAGGCAAAGCAACTCTTGGATTATTTTCACAAAAGAATTTTCCTCCCAAATTAGAAAAACAATCATGTTTACCTGAGCCAAAATTTGCCCTATATAATACCATCCTCATCTCTTTGTTTCATAAGACTATCAAAAAATATCTTATAGTAAACAATTATCAGGAAATATGGCTATAGAACAATGCTTGATTCCATCTTCATTATTAAAGAGTCAGATAATGAGATTTAATTCCTACCATGTAAGTATTTTAATGACATTAATAGGAATATTCCTCATATTGTCATTCATGTTCATATTTTTAAACATACATGAAACAGAATTCAAACTTTTGTTGGTATCTTTAGGAAATTTCAAAATCAAATGCCCGTGAGAGTTAACAAGTAACACAAATATTTGCCAAGAGAGCCAAGAGGGAGTGTGGTGACTGTGGCAAAATGGAGGTGTACATTTCCTTTTTAGAAGGAGCTGCTCAAAATTCTTCTACAGAAAAGCTAAACTTTTTTTGAAACAGGATCTCCCTCTGTCACCCAAGATAGATTGCACTGTTGTGATCTCGGCTCACTGCAGCCTCGACCTCGGGGGCTCAAGCAATCCTCCCACCTCAGCTTCTTGAGTAGCTAGGACTACAGGCCCAGGCCGCTATGCCCAGCTAAGTTTTTTTTTTTTTTTTTTTTTTTGAGACTAGGTTTTGCCATGCTGTCCAGGCTGGTCTCAAACTCCTGGACTAAAGTGATCCTCCTGCCTCAAACTCCCGAAGTGCTGAGATTATAGGCATAAGCCACTGCACCCAGCCCAAGCTAAACATTTTTGCAATAAAATCCAGTCTTCCTATTTGTTAATGTTGACAACTAATTCATTTTTCAATGCGGCACAAGCCAAACAAACAAAACAAAAAACAAACCACATCTTCCAGAGTATTTACAACTGCTCGCCTAGGGTTATGATTCTGAACATGCATCTTTGTGCTGAGCTGAATGAAAATGTTGCTTTCAAAAAGGATGCAAAGGTAAAAAGAACCAATGGACTCTAACAGTGCTACTTTTCCCACCTCACTTCTACTTCGTATATGCTTCTCACTATCTGCTATAACTGAAAATGCAAGTAAGGGAGCTTGTTAAACAGTGGCTTTATTTTTACCAAAACCTTAATTCAGTATACTTTGGGTTGTAGCCAAAGGCTAGCTTCAGAATTCTCATGTGAAGGAAAGTTCACGGCCTTACTAACAGCTGTTTTCTTCCCCAACCTGAGAGGCTTTTTTTTTTTACCTACTCTTGGGTATTCATCTCTACTCTGAATTTTCTCCATTATCATCACCTTGTTACCCAAATCAAGGCCACCTTTTCCTCTGTTCTAGCCTTCTCTATCTCCATCTAGTGGCCAGAGATATCTTTTTCAACAGCCATAGTTCTTGATTGTATACAAGATAGTAACTTATGCAGAAAAATTAGTTAGAGGAATGTTGAGCACTTGCCAGATGGACAGAAAGGCTGGGGAGCCAGGGTGGAGAAATAAAGCCTCAAAGGCAGACAAGCCACAGGACCTATTGCCAAGGAAGACAAGGCACAGGACCCATTGCCAAGGAAGACAAGCCACAGGACCCATTGCCATGGCCCAGGAAGAGCCATTTAATTAGGACTGTGCAGTGGGAGGAAATTTTCTCCTCTGCTGTGCTCCCTTACTCTCCTCCAGGTTCAAAGCTCTGGAAAGGGGCATAGGACTGACTAAGCCCTGATCTTGTGCCATGCTTCTCTCACTGTAAGTGCCTGAGAGAGAAGAACTCCACTAGGAGAAGGAGACAGGGGGTGAGCAGTGATTCCCAGGACTCATACAGTGGATAATCCTCCCAAACACAGGAAGAAGGTGAGCTGCTAGGTAGCCAAAATATGACGAACACCTTATTCAATCATTATTCTACAGCGACTTCCCATGTCTAAGAATAAATCTAAACTCCTAAACAAAGCCCTGCAAAAACTGGCCTCTTCCTAACTAACTTATCCTCTTATCCTTGATCTATGGTTCCCAACTATAGTGGCCGCAAGGTTCTTAGGAATATGCCTGCTTCTTCCTGCCTCAGCTCCTTTATGCACACGGTTCCCTCTGTCTAAAATTATCTTATCACTTTTGCCCACCATTCTCATGCCTGGATCTACATTACCGAGGACTCAGCTTCAGTATCACCACTTTATGAAGGTTCTTCCAAGCCACGCTATTATAAAGTGCTTAGGATTGCCACAATGCTCCCTTGCAGCTTCATGGGTTTTCTTCACATGTTTTACATCAGTCTGGAAATATCTTTGTGTTTGCTTACTTGTATGCTGCCTCTATTCCTAGAAGTCTGCAAACTCAGTGAGATAAAAGTGGACCTTTCCAGGCTTCTGTTCTTTTTTCTATGGCACCTAGTATATTACTAGGTACAGAAAAGATGCATAGTAATTATTTCTTGACCACATAAAGGAATGAAGTTTTTCAGGTTTGCTAAAAAAAAAAAAAAGTAGGGCATTTAAGTAGCCCAGGATTTCAAACTGTGTTCTACAGAGTTGCTCCATGGATTGCACAGAAGGGGAAGAAGGTGGGGAAAGCTTCCTAGACCCCACTTCCACTTACATACAGTGTTTCTACTTATATGGCTTTTATAATTTAAGCTTCTCTGGAAGATTTCTCTTAAAGAATTTGCATCTAAGTGAGGTCTGACAATGAAGATTTAACTAGAAAAAAAATTACTCAAAGAAGTTAATACTTTGATGTCTGATATATATTCTAGGTGGTGATGAATAGCATTTATAGATCATAATTCTTACAATTGACTGATATCTTTAATAAACCTTTTCTAGAAAAGCATTATTGCTGGAAAATCTCTATGAATGTTGACCTACATGTGAATCTGTTTAAAATGTTTCTGCATATGTTTGCCTTTAACCTCCTTATGGTTTATGTGACTGCCTGATGAAGTTTTGTGACCACTAAAAAAAAAAAAAAAAAAAAAAAAAAACAATTAAAATTCAAATCTATCTCAGTGCTTTCCAGGTAGAAGACAGGCTTCATGGGAACAGAGACCATGTTTATTTGGTTCACTTCTCTATCTACTATCTTTGGAATGTGAGTGCCACATTGAATGTGGCTCATAAATACTGGATGAAGAAGAGCTTGAAATAGGTGAAGAGGGTGCTTATAGGTAAGAGTGACAGTAGAGGCCTGGCACAAAGTCTCAGAAATCAAGTGATCTCTGAGTAAATATACTAAGTATAACAGTAACCAACTTTTACACTGTTGGAGAAAGGGTGTACACACATGAAAAGGGAGAAAAGTTAATTAAACTTTATAAATATATATACATACCCAAGCTGTGTTCTCTGAGAAAGCCAGTATATTGATAACTCAAAACCAATCAGCACAATTAGAGTCCAGTTCTTGGTTTCTAAATACCATTCTCTACCAAAAGAAATCAAAGCTTCTTAGAATAAAGCCTGATACCAGGGCTGGGGCAGAACTAGGTAAGTACAGAGTGTTTTCAGCCAGAAAATAAGAACGTTCTCAGAGAATCATAGCTGTGACAAATGAAACTGATGTCAACTTGAAAGGGCTTCCAGGATGTCAAATAAATTTAAACATCAAAATGGATAATGATAATGAATTTTATCAATTGAACAAAATACGAACTCATGAGATTTTGCCAATAAAAATTAATGAGAAAGAACAAATCTTCCTATAGTAGAATGTCAATAGATATAGACAGAATGATGGAATTAGACAATCATCATTTAGCAATCATCATAGTAATAGTTTATCCAAGGGATATCAATGGATATAGAACTAATGAGTAAGAATTTCATGAAGAATTGGATTTTTTTTTTTTTTAAATTGGAGACAGGTTCTCACGGTGTCATCCAGGCTGGAGTGCTATGGTGTGAACATAGCTCACTGCAACCTCAAACTCCTGAGCTCAAATGATCCACCTGCCTCAGCTTCCTGAGTAGCTTAGACTACAGGCATACACTACCACACCCAGCTATTTCTTTTACGTTTTGTAGAGACAGGGTCTTGCTATAATACCCAGGCTGGTCTTGAACTCCTTACCTCAAGTAATTATCCCACCATAGCCTCCCAAAGTGCTGGGAGTACAGGTGTAAGCCACTGTACCTGGCCGAGGAATTAGATATTTACGTATTCTCAAGTTACCTTCCCATGACATTCATACTAATTTCAAAAGGAAAAGAGCAACTTCCATTGGAGAAACTGGGAGGTGATCAAAGTGAATTTCAACACGAATGGGAAAAGTCAGGATCGAATGCCACCTGATGGAGTGTGTGACACACATGCGGCCATCACAACTGGGACCTTCTTGCCCCAAATGAATAACCTGGTCCAATTATGAGGAAATATCAGACAAACTTAAATTGGGAGACATCCTAAAACATAGATCATCTGTAGATTTCCAAACTGTTCCATCAGTGTCATGAAAGTCAAGGAAAGACTGAGGAACTGTCCCAGTTGGAAGGAGACTAAAGACACATGACAGTTCAATGCAATGTGTGATCCTGGATTGGATTTTTTGTCATAAATAACATTATTGGAACAACTGAAGAAATTTGAATGGGGTGTATGAATTAGATGGTAGTAATATGTCAATGTTAATGACCTGAGTTTGATGGCTGTATTGCAGTTATGTAGAATAATGTCCTCGCTTGTGGAAACACACACTAAAATATTGGTTGGTGATAGGATAGCATGTGAGCAACTTGCTCTCAAATGATTTAGGGGAAAAAGTTTCTTGTATTAAGTTTTTTTCTAAGTTTAAAACTATTTCTAAATAAAAAGAAGATATACCAGGGCTGCTCTACATTCTCTGAACATAGTAGCCAGTATATTGGTTCACAAAATTCAAGACAAAGTAAAACAATATAGGATTGTTTTCATACAAGGACGTAAGAGGCTCCTTAATTGACCAACTATTGTTCCTTATACCTTAAAAATCTACCTCTCATATAGAAAATATGTACAGACCATCTCCTCTGCGGTACTCACTGTTCCAAAGATGGGAGATAACAGAGTGAACAAAATGAGCCCAGTTCCTGCTTGCATGAAGTTTGTCTTTTTGCTAGAAAGTTAAACATTGGGCAGGGCGCGGTGGCTCACGCCTGTAATCCCAGCACTTTGGGAGGCCGAGGTGGGTGGATCACGAGGTCAGGAGATCAAGACCACGGTGAAACTCCGTCTCTACTAAAAATACAAAAAATTAGCTGGGCGCAGTGCCAGGCGCCTGTAGTCCCAGCTACAGCTACTCGGGAGGCTGAGGCAGGAGAATGGCGTGAACCCGGAAGGCGGAGCTTGCAGTGAGCGGAGATCGCGCCACTGCACTCCAGCCTGGGTTACAAGGCGAGACTCCGTCTCAAAATAAATAATAAATAAATAAATAAAAATAAAGTTAAACATTGAACACATTTTTATCAGGGAGTGGGTAGAGTCACACGTGCGTGTGTCTGTGCGCACGCACGCACCTGTTCCTGAGTACTATGACAGTCTATTGAAGAACTCACACATAATTTTAAATGAAAAATGAATAAGAAAAAAGAGGTATGCTTTCCCTTTTTCTCTCTCTAACCACCCCCACTTTCTTACTTCACCAACCTTTATGTGCTGTTAATATGATTTAAATAATTCAACAACAGAATTTTTAAAAAGGAAAAAAATGAGCCAAGTACAGTGGCTCACACCTGTAATCCCAACACTTTGAGAGGCTGAGGCTGGAGAATTGCTTGAGCCAAGACGTTCAAGGTTTCAAGGAGCTACGATTGCACCACTGCACTACAGACTGAGAAATAGAATGAGACCTTATCCTCAAAAGTAAATAAATAGAAAGAAAAGTGTCTGGTAAATTCTTAATTTTTTAAAATGTGGATAGACCTTTGACCATTTTAGTTGAGCTTGGAGAAATTCATTCTGTAGAGAAGGCATCATCCCCAAAATATTGACTCTGAGACCACTTTCCAGGATGCTTAGGGGTAAAAAAGCATTTGATCAAGGAAAACATATTTAATTAGTTTTCTTTTCGGTTAAGGAGAGAATATAAAGCAAAGGGAATTGAGACCTAATGCCCTCTTACTATTTTTGTTGGAAATAAGGCACTGTGGGAAAGGTAACATTACAGACTGGAAATTCCTTTGAGAAATGAGATGACAGCTTCATAAGAATGACAAGTAACAAAGGGAGCTGCATAATCTTGTGGTCTGTTCTGAGCTCCATGCACAGGATAATGCAGCTCCTGATACTGATTGCACATCTTATGATATATATCTATTCAAGGTTGTTCCAGCATTTTTGTTTCATTTTGTTTTAAAGCTAGAATAAGATGATATAATGTCTTTATTCTTTGCATATAAGAAGGAAATATCAAGACTATTGGCACTAGGCTTCTTTTTGTTAGGTTTTAATTGATCTGGTCTTCATTGTTTTTCTGATTATACAAATAATGCATGTTCACTGCAGAAAATTTGGAAAATACAGAAAACCATTTTAGAGAAAGAAAATATTCATCCACGAGACAGAATGAGGACCTCCTTTTTAGGAGCCTGCAGACCCCCAAGCATGGAAATAAAGGAAAAGCCTAAGTTCCTTCAAGGAAAATTCCAGGAACCTAGCTAGACCCAGATGTGAATAAGCAACTTGTTAAAGCATAGAGGTCTAAAACAATAGTTAACGAAGACAGAGTTCCAAAAATGTTTGCTTTCCCCATAGAAACCAGTGATAACATGTTAACATTTGTCCCAGAGTTGTTTTTCAGAAGCTTAAGGCCCCACTGAGGACCCCCATGAAATGGACCCACTAGCACATAGACCTCAGCTATAAAGACACAAGCACAGGTATGTTTATTTCAGCACTATTCACAATAGCAAAGACTTGGAACCAACCCAAATGTCCAACAATGATAGACTGGATTAAGAAAATGTGGCACATATATACCATGGAATACTATGCAGCCATAAAAAAGGATGAATTCACGTCCTTTGTAGGGACATGGATGAAGCTGGAAACTATCATTCTGAGAAAACTATCACAGGGACAAAAAACCAAACACTGCATGTTCTCACTTATATGTGGGAATTGAACAATGAGAACACTTGGACACAGGAAGGGGAACATCACACACCAGGGCCTGTCATGGGGTTGGGAGAGGGGGGAGGGATAGCATTAGGAGATATACCTAATGTAAATGATGAGTTAATGGGTGCAACACACCAACATGGCACATGTATACATATGTAACAAACCTGCACGTTGTGCACATGTACCCTAGAACTTAAAGTATAATTAAATATATATATATATATGCACAAAAAAACAAAGAGGGAGGTGAAGACTGAACCTTAACCATCGTCTTTTGTTCTAAGTTTCTTCCTTGGAGAAAGTCACAGCCGCTAGACAGTTAACAGTTTTCTACTGACCCCAGATTTTTAAACAAAGCTTCTCTTCCGTAACCAATTGCAAATCAGACAGTCTCTGAATCTACCTACCACCTGTAAGCCCTTGCTTCAAGATATCCAGCTGTTTTAGGCCTAAACCAATGTGCAACCTCCGTGTATTGATTTGTAATTTTGCCTGTAGCTTCTCCTTTCCTGAAATTTACCCCTGCACTACACTTTCCTGCAAGCCATCGGGAAGGTCAGGATTTGAGCACTTTGTGGCCCAGTCCTCTTTGTTTGGCACCTACAATAAAGGCCTTCCTTTCTGTCACTGCAAACCTCAGTGTGATGGGTAAGTGTCAAGTTGAAGGATGCAAAGTATTGTTTCCGGGTGTGTCTGTGAGGGTGTTGGCAGAGAAGGTTAACATCTGAGTCTGTGGCCTGGGAGAAGAAGACCCACCCTCAATGTGGATGGGCACCATCCCATTGGCTGCCAGTGCGGCTAGAAAAAGCAGGCAGAAGAAGGTGGGATAACCTGGCTTGCTGAGTCTTCTGGCTTTCATCTTTCTCCCGTGCTGGATGCTTCCTGCCCTTGGACATCAGACTTCAGATTCTTTGGCCTTTGGAGTCCTGGACTTACACCAGTGGTTTGCTGGGGGGTCCTGGGCCTTCAGCCACAGACTGAAGGCTGCACTGTTAGCTTCCCTACTTTTGAGGCTTTTGGACTCCAACTCAGCTACTATTGGTTTCCTTGTTCGTCAGCTTGCAGACAGCCTATGGTGGGACTTCACCTTGTGATGGTGTGAGTCAATTCTCCTTAATCAACTCCCTTTCGTATATACATATATCCTATTAGTTCTGTTCCTCAGGAGGCTGGCTAATACACTCAGTGTGGGTATCTGGTCTTACTGTGCCAGGCAAGCCAAGCCTAGCTTTGTTCCACAACATCCATGCTATCACTGGATCACTGTTAGCATTTTGGTGTATTTTTACCAATCATATACAAACACATATACTACATACACACATATTATACATGTGTACATATGGACATATCTGTGTACATGTAAGTGTCTGATATGAAACTAAATTCATAAAACTATTATCACACTCTTGTACGCACTGGTGATGTGCTTTTGAAATTACAGAAGAGTTCATTGAATACATGTAGTATAATTATTTCAACTTAGCTTTTATTTTTTGGACATTAAAGTTTTCTTTAGTTTTCTTATTGTAAACTAATTGTTTCAAATTTTTCTTATTATAAACAACGCAGTAATAAGTACAGAAGTATACAATTTAGAACATTATATTTTACTATTTTTATGGTAAATTTATTGAAATGGAATTGCTGAGCCAAAGATTTCTTTTTCTCTGAAAATTATTTCTCCATTTTATTCCTCATTTCAATATTATGAGAAAAAAAGTAAGTGGAATATTAAGTATTTTGAAAAATTTGGCAAATATCAAAGTGTCAAATTATTGCCTGTTTCTTGCTGACCTAATGCCAAGTCATGGAAAGCCCATAAGTACCAAAATTACTACAGAGACTTACAAAAATGTGTACTTAGAGAAAAAGGAAGAGACAGAAAGAGAAAGAAATGAATTCTAACTTCTCTATGTTCTCTATGGTGAATTCTGTATGAAGAAAGAATTGTAAAGAGTTTTAGGAAATGGACTGAGAAAAGATGGAAACCACCAATTAAGTGCTGACCATCATATGACATACTTTTTTTTTTGAGATGGAGTCTCGCTGATACGATGTATTTTTTAAAAAATATATATATGGCAGGACATTTTAAGATGAATAGGCATGAATGAATACATTTAGGTAGAAAACAATTTAATTTTGTCGACCAGATCTATTTTCAAAATTAAAAAAAAAAAAAAGGCAAACACCAAATGTATTTGAGTTCTTAAGGAGTCTCCTTTCTAGAATTTTAAAAAAAGGCTTGGGTCTCATTTCATAGCATTCTGAATCATAATAATCACAGCAGTCAACTTGCTTTGTCTTTAGGCACTTCCTAAATTTGCTGCCTTCAGCTTTTCTACCTTAAAGCTAATAATAATACAGTTTTTTAAAAAAGAACATTTAGGTATGCATTTTTGTATTTATCTTTGGGGATATGGGTTCAGTCACAATGACTGCCTTTTCTCCACGCCATCCTTTTCCCAACCAATCCACACATGATTGGTGTAGGTCTCCAGCCACTTTATTTGCTATATTGAGTTCTGTTCCTTAAGTCATACGTGACTAAACCTCAGTGTTCAATTGGGCTAATCTAGATCTATCCATCACTTCTCCGAGAATTTGGAAGGAGGGCCAAGAGATTCAATTCTCGTAATAGAACCAAGAAGGTATCACATTCGGGAGACGTGAAGCAGCCCTCCCTGTTCCATGCTGTAGCTGTGGAAGCAGCTGGAAAGCAAAGCCTTGCTCAGAGAATAGAGGGAGGCCGAGCTGAGCAGGGAATAGAGCCAGCGCCACACAGCCTGAGTCCAGCACACTCCTGCATTATCCCTGCCTGTGGCCACCACCAGAAAACCCTCAGTCTTTCAAAGAGATCCTTCCTTTTGTTTAGTTGTTTCAAAGTTCTTAGCTATAAAATAGTAATAATAAAGCATTATTCTCCCGATTCTACTGCTGAGATAGCTAAGTTTGAAAGGGGCCTATCTCTTGCCACACCTATGGTAAGTGGTAGAACCAGAATTTTTAAATTTTATTTATTTATTTTGAGACGAAGTCTTGTTCTGTTGCCCAGGCTGGAGTGCAGTGGTGCAATCTCGGCTCGTTGCAACCTCTGCCTCCCAGGTTCAAGCGATTCTCCTGCCTCAGCCTCCCAAGTAGCTGGGATTACAGGTGTGGGCCACCACGCCTGGCTAATTTTTTGTATTTTTAGTAGAGACAGGGTTTCACCATATTGGTCTCAAACTCCTGACCTTAAATGATCTGCTTGCCTGTGCCTCCCAAAGTGCTGGGATTACAGGCGTGAGCCACCACGCCCAGTGAAGAACCAGAATTTAACTCATGTGTTCAATCTGATACTTGTGTCTTATATTGTTATCGTATGTACATCCTGTCACCTCCTACTGTAAGGCCCTTGTGATGGTTAATATTGAGCATCAACTTGACTGGATTGAAGGATGCAAGGTATTGTTCCTGGGTGTATCTGTGAGGGTGTTGCCAAAGGAGATTAACATTTGAGTTGGTGGACTGGGAGAGGCAGACACACAACTCGATCTGGTTGGGCACCATGTAGGCAGCTGTCAGTGCAGCTAGGATCAAAGCAGGCAGAGGAACGTGGAGGGACTAGACTGGCTGAGTCTTCTGGCCTCCATCTTCCTCCTGTGCTGGATGCTTCCTACCTCAACATCAGACTCCAAGTTCTTCAGCTTTTGGACTCTTGGACTTCCACCAGCAATTTGCCAGGGGCTTTCAGACCTTCAGCCACAAACTGAAGGCTGCACCATCAGCTTCTCTACTTTTGAGGTTTTGGGACTTGGACTGGCTTCCTGGCTCCTCAGCTTGCAGACAGCCTATTGTGGGATTTCATCCTGTGATGGTGAGAGTCAATTCTCCTAATAAACTCCCTTTCCTATATACATATATCCTGTTAGTTCTGTCCTTCTACAGAGCCCTAATACCACCCTCTATAGTTAATGATAATTTTTTTTTTTTTTCCTGAGACAGACTTTGGCTTTTGTTGCCTGAGCTAGTGTTCAATGGTGCAATCTCAGCTCACTGCAACCTCCACCTCCCGGGTTCAAGCGATTCTCCCGCCTCAGCTTCCCGAGTAGCTGGGATTATAGGTGCACGCCACCATACCCGGCAAACTTTTTGTATTTTTAGCAGAAACGGGTTTCACCATGTTGGCCAGGCTGGTCTCAAACTCCTGACCTCAGGTGATCCGCCCACCTCAGCCTCCCAAAGTGCTGGAATTACAGGTGTGAGCCACTGCACCCAGCCGTTAGTGATGAATTTTTAAATTTATGTTCATAGATGTGTGTGTGTGTGTGTGTGTGTGTGTGTGAGAGAGAGAGAGAGAGAGAGAGAGAGAGACAGAGAGAGAAAGAGAGAATATTACTCTATGAGACCACTGTAGGGCTTTCCACCTTCGTGAAGGCAAAGCATCAGAAACAAACAGGCCAGGAGGTGAAGCCTGGCAAGGGAAGGTAATGGCAGTCTGGGTGAACACTGAAGAATCGGCCCCTACCTATTTGAACACCAAGTCCTAGGGGCCTTCTGCTCTGCCTTGTCAACTCTACCATCCATGAGGCATACCACAGAGGTGACCTTCGTGACATTTAATGTGGCCACAGCCTAGATACCAGCAAGTCAGATGATACATTGGTGGGTTTGACCTCATGCATGCACACCAGCTGTGGCGGGACCAGTGCATTCTGGTGGAACACACCTTTGCTCCTTCTGTCTCATCCATCTTAGGAAGAGCTCTAAGACATGGCAGCATGGTAGGTGATACAAAATCAATGAGATAGACAAGAGGCCACGGAGAAAGTGGCTGTTCCTCATTAATCATGGAACATATGATTCATCTTCAGTTGTATCTTTCAATTACTTATATTTGCTAGAGATACGGATACCAAAAAAAATTAAATTTCTCTTAATTTTATGGTGAGGAAAACAGTGCAGGGACAAATTGGGCTTTGGCCTCAGGATTGAGAGTGATTTGAAGAATTAGTAGGGACTGAGGTGAGCAGAAAAGCGTAGAATCCATTTAAATAGAAAAAGTCCTAATAAAATACCAGCAGTTTTTACCATAGGGAAATGTGGCATCAGTATTACCTGATCTTCCAACTGTTCTTTTTTTTTTTTTGTCTTTTCTGATGGCATTATTGAGACTAAATTAACATAGCATAAAAATCACCTGTTTAAAGTATACAAATCCATGGTTTTCAGTGTATTTATAGAATAGTGCAGCTATTACTGTAACATAAATTGAGAACACGTTCACTATCACACACACAAAGTTCCCATTTCCATTAGCAATCACATTCATTTCCTCTCACATGAGAAAACCTCTAATCTATTTTCCGTCTCCATTCTGGACAATGCGTATAGGCAGAGTTTTCTGACTGCTTTCCCTTAGCATAATGTTTTTGAGGTTCACCCATGTTATAGCAGCTACCAGTATTTTAAGAGCAGCTAGCAATACATATTTTTATGCAAACTCTCTGCATTGTTAAATGATGGCCACTAATTTAAAAGCCCAGTACAGTCAAAATAAAAGATATGTGAGGGTTGATCTGTTTTGTAGGCCACTATTTCATGATTTTTTTTTTTGCAAGTATAGGTATTATAGACTCACATTAAACAACCATTGATGTCACAGGCTAACTACCTCTTTTTCCAATGAGTGGGAAACAGAGGACAGGTGTGGAAGGGGACTGTCCTGGGCACAGGTAACAGGGGGCACACAGTGATTACAGATAATTTTTAAAGGATAATGAAATGACTACAATTTGATCTACTTATCACCATGCCAAAAATTATGAACAATATCAGTGATAAGAACAATCCTTCCTCAGAAACATATTTTATTCATCTTATTTCTAATCAGTTGCAGTAGTTACCACTGAGTTTTATTTAATAATGTATAAAAGTTTCAGATTATCACATTGCTGCTACTTTTTCTTTAATAAACATTGTTTTGTAAATGAAAGTTCATTTGGAAAATCCCTGTTCGTAAGTTGGCCCCGCACACATGTAGACTCAATCACATGCATTTATTCCAAGAGCAGAGTCTTAAATATTTGGATGCCTTCAAGCTTGCTTCAGGCATAGCTTGTCCCTCCAACCACAGTGGAACTACACCGTTCTGCGTTTAAAGAGTAGATGTGAAATAAACACTGAGACCCCAGAGATTATAATAAAGAAACGGCAAAACATGCGACACTTTAAATCTGCCTTTTTATATGACTACTTGGAGCTTTTGTGTTTAAAATTTTTATACCTTGTTTAACAAACGCTCTAATGGTATTTGATACTGAGAAAGACAAATATCTAGGCACAGGTTTTCCCCTTTTAAAAAATGCATTAATGTCATTAAAACTATTACTATCTTACTATGTATATAAAAATTATACATTTACATACATTTTTGCTGGCATGTTCATATAATAAAAAACATAAAAGAAAAACTTCCCTGTCTGCATTTCTTTAGACCATTATTTTATTTGCTTCATTTCCCAGTAGTTACTGGAAAAGTTTTTGTCATATTCAGGGAGGGAGTGATAAAAAATGAGAGTATCAAATTTCCTAGTCTGTATAAACTTCTTATACACGGTATATAGCTAAAAGCATCTGTAGATATGCAAGAAGTGGGGTATAGAAAGGTCAAAGGTACTCTAGGGTTTTAAGTCTGAGCAAAGGAAAGGATGGGATTCCCACTTAATGACATGAATAAGATGCAGCAATTGGAGCGGGTTAGTGGAAGGGTCAGAAGCTGTCTTTGAACCTGTTCAGCTTGAGACGCCGTTAAGCATGTGAATGCAAATAATAAAAAGTGAGAGTCGATTTCTAGGGCATAATCAAGGCTGGAGATACACATTTGAGAGGCATCAGCACACACAGCATATTTAACACACCCAATCATTCAGAATGTGAGTGTTGACAGGGGAGGAAGTGGCCAGCAGCTTCTCGGGGCTTTCCTATTGTGAGATATTGACAACTGAGTCAGGGCAATCAAAATACACAAACTCAAAATCAGTGATGACCTAGAAGCCAAGGGAAGAAATGACTCCAGAATAGAGTGAATAACTGGCCAGAATGTTGCAGATTGGCTACGATGGGATTGGGGATTAACTACCAGTTTTAGCAATTTAGAAGTCATGATGACCTTGACCAGAGCAGTTTTGTGGAGTAGCAGTGATAAAAGTCAACTTGGAATGGAGTCAGGATGAAACAGGACAGAAAAATGTGATGGCAGCAAGTATAAACTATGTGTTCAAAGAGTTTTGTAGGTGAGCAAAGAAATTAGTTATTGGAGGGTCGAAGATATAGGGGAGAAGGAGGAAGATAATACAAAATGATTTTATAAAATATAAAATGATACATCAATGAGAAATGTATTTGTTCATTCATATGATTAGTAATTTTAAAAACTGCTTGTGTATTAGATAGTTTTCCAGTTATCTCATACTTAACACACTGCCCCGAAGTTGGTAGTTTAGTGTTTTGGTTTTATGAGATGGATGAAACTCCAGCACATGTATATGCTGAGGATAACTGTCTAGAGATGGGAGAATATCATTGATGCAGGAGAAAGTGGGAACTTTCACTGCATAATCAAGAGAAGGGATCAAAGTAAATGATGGCATAAAATTGTACAAGTGGTGCGGTGTGTTCTTAGTGTGAGACCAGACAGCCACTCTGCTTTTCGATCTGGCACCTTGAACCCTTGGCACGTGCCTCACGCTTTCAGACAGCTTCCATGTCACCCTCCTCATGTCTTACCCCTCCACAGATAGCCTGGGAACCAGTGTCCCCACTTCTAGAATGCATTCCATGTAATGTTCAATGAATTGGAATCTACTTCTAAGACCTACAAGATCCTCTTCCCAGGCCAACTTTCCAGAGGATGAACCACATTTCTAAGGGTTGCTCTTTGCATGACAGAGGGGAATGGATCTTGAAAAAGAAGACGTCTAGACCTGAGCTGGGATCTCTAAGCATATTCGTCCTTCAAGCCCTGCAAAAGTTAGCTGCAGGCTCGCAGAATCATTTATCTGCAGTACCTGGATGAAAGGTAGAGTATACAATTGAAGAGCCTGTCAGTTAGTAGGTGACTGGTATTAATATGTGGAAGCTCTCTTATGATTGCTTTTTTATAAATAAAATAAAAAAGCAATATCATCAGCCAAGTTTGGGGAGGAGATTTTGCAGGTTTGAGAGGAAGAAAAAGGTCCCAAGAGAATGGGAGAGTTAATGGACTAAAGAAAAGATGCAGAAAAATCAGCAGCAGAGGGCCCATTTGGGGTTAGCAATTCTACATTTAACGTCAGGCCAGGTAGTAGACTGTGTTTAGACATGAAATAGGCAAAAGTTGGATTCAACCTATGATGCGGTTCTCTCTGATGTGTATAATGAAGGGTGAGAAATTTAAGGGCATATGTAAAGGAAAATTTGTATGTATGTATATATTGGACTTTGGGATCTCAGCTGGCTAAGAAAGGAAGAGCAGATTTGAGGGGTTACAAGGTTACAAACAGTGGTGGTCTCAATGGTTTGTAGGTCATGTTGGGGTTGAAGAATTGTTGGGAACCTAGAGGTGATGACTGGAGAGTGGGACTCAGGAGTCCGAGAATAAAATGCTGTTTTTCTTTATTGGCAATGACAAGTCCAGATTATAGCATGATAAAGAAAACAAGATACTGAAAATCATTGAGGAAGAGTTCATTGAGAGTTCAGGGTAGTGAATGCTTTACTTACATGAATATTGAAATTACCAAGAATCATGAAACAATGGCAGAGCTAACTAAGTACAAAAAGCAAAGTGCACAACAGGTAAAGAAGCCCTCCAATGAGCAGAAAATGACAGATATTGCTATAATCTCAATGTTTGTGTCCCCCTTAAAATTCATATGTTGAAACTTAATTCCCAGTGCAATAGGATTAAGAGGTGGGGCCTTTAGAAGGTAATTAGATCCTAAGGTTGGAGCCTTCATGAACAGAATTAGTACCTTATAAAAGAGGCCTGAGAAAGCTTGTTTGCATCTTCTGCCTTGTGAGAACACATAGAGGGCATCAACTGTGAGGCAGAGAATGAGCCCTCAACAGACCCCAAATCTGCTGGCACATTGACCTTCCACTTCCCAGCCTCAAACATGTGAGCAATAAGTTTCTGTTGTTTATAAATTACCAGGTTTAAGATATTTTGTTATAGCAGCCTGAATAGACTAACACAGATGTGCTATATATCTGTTTCAGCATAGCCTGTATAGATGTGCATACATAGTCCATACACAAGCTCGTACGTCATGTTTAGACTAATTATGGAAGGAGACACATGAAATTGTGTCCAACATCACTCTGACAATGGGGTCTGGAAAACTGGAGGTTCAAGGGTGGCAGGAGTCTTATGTTTTCAGAAGATAAAACTTTTGCATTGTCATAACCATTGTATGACACATCTGCATTATTTCTTAGTACAAAATGAAAGAAAACTAGTTAATAAAAAATATTGATCTTAGCTGGCCTTATTCAGTCAGATTTGCTTTTCTTACAATTCTCAAGAAGTACTCAGCCCTTTAAATGGAGCCAAGTCTTGAGAACAAAACTCTCAGAGTAATCAGGACAATTAAGATGTATTTAAACATGTCTGGGTTGGGGAAAAATGGATTTTTCTTGCTGCTGGCAATGTGAACAATAAAAGTCCTATTCTCTGACCAACTTACTTGAGAAAGCCTGAGTTTTGATCAAAGACCAAATAATTGCAATTTAGCTACCCAATATCTGCTTGATGATTTAATTAACACAATGCTCCCTTAACAAAATTTAACAACATTATAAAGCTGCATTGATGGAGTGCAGACCAAACTGTCACAGAAAGCCTGCCGAGAAACTTGGGCTTAGAGACTATATTCCAATTTCATGCTGTCTCTCACATAAGAATAGTTCACATGAGTGTTCTAAGATGCTCACCATTTACTAACTGGGAGAACTCCTGCAGCAAGGTTAAAGGGTGCAGCCAATGGAGTGGCAGGAGAATCATGCTAAAGTAGACAATGGAAACTACACTTTGACTCAACTGAAGTTATTTCCTCACCTCTGAGGGCAATCCACCGCATGTGCTAAACTTGACTTCAAGCAGTCCCTTTAGGAATTCACAGGGCTAATTATCATTCCTAGACATTAGATCAAGTCTACAAATAGCCAAGACCATTTTCCCTGTCTCATCTTCCAGTACATTTCTCTCTGAAAGTTGGAGAGTGGGCCTTTCTTCTTCTTCTTTTTTTCAACCTTTTGAGTTGGAAAAGGGAATTTAGAGAAAATGTAAACAGAAGTTATTGAAATAAAGATAGTGGTCCAGTGGTGACAGCTTCATTTGTACAATAGCAAAGCAGGTCATTTTGAGGAGTAAACTAGGCCAAGTACAAAGTAATTCATCCATTTCTCTCTACATCCACTGTCACCAATGTAGCCAAAGGGAGTGGACGTGAACCCCTGGAAGATGGAGTACTCATGCTTTGTTTAAAGAGATAGCCACTATGTGTTTATTGCCATACGTTGCAGAGTAGCCTGGCTTTGCCCCTGTAATCTTGGGAAAGTTCCCCTAGACAACCAATTCTTCTCCCAGTGTGACATTTTAAAATGTCAATCAATATTAATAGTTTCTACAACTCAACCCATATCCAGCTCTTTATTGGTTTCCCATTACTCTTAAGGTACATTTCATGTTCCTTAATATGACCTTCAGGCTCAGGAAAGCCTGGCCCTACCTATCTCTCCAAGGTCATCCTAAAGTCTATCCCCTCCCTCACTATACTTCAGCCAAGCCAGCCTTTTATCCCATGCCAAATTCTTTCCCATGCCCAGATTTTGCACATGCTGTTCCTTTGTTTGGAATCTTCTTCCAAACAAAATCACGATCTCTAGCTGGCAAATTCTTACCCATCTTTCAGTTTTAAATCAAAAGATTCTTCTCAAAAGGTCTTTCCCAAAATCTTTATTCTCATGCAGATTCCACCATTCTTCTCTCTCCCTGAGCTCAGTACATTGACCTAGTAGCATGTACCACAATTCGCCTATTAATTCATCAGATGCCCAACCCTCTCACTAAGCACAAGCTCCATTAAGCAGATGACATTTCCGTTTCGTTCATTATCCAACCCAAGGATAGACACAAAATGGTGCTCAAAAAATAGTCGATGAATATATAATGACAATAATTTATGAAACATTTACTATATGCCAGGCATTATTCTAATAACAAAACAAAAATGAATCAGACAAAGGTCCTGCTCACTTAGGCTATAAACTGTGAGAAGGTAGGCATCATAGTGCTATTTGTTTTAAGCTATCTGGTCCAAAAAACTGCTGAGGAGTCTGGCATTTCAATTATGCAAACCAATACATAAAATTAACCCAGGCAAATGAGCATGATTTCCAAACTGAACAAAGGAGACTTGTCTTTCTTTCTGACATCCCTCTATCCTGGGATGGCCAATACCTGGTGAGGGTGCTGATTATCCTTCTCCCTAGCAATGCCAGACTCCATTAATTGATTACAGCACTCTCTGAGCTGGGAATTAACTTCGGATTCATTTTCGACATAGTCCAGGCAGATACTCATCACCCACTGATTGTAGTTGGCATGAGAGATGAAACTGTCTTTCCATCCCCCTTTTCAGCCCTTAAAACTCATGAAAAACAGCCATGGTGTGAACTGACAATTGCTTGAAGCGAGCTTGG
The DNA here is from genome assembly GCF_000001405.40 of Homo sapiens. Classification (NCBI taxonomy): domain Eukaryota; kingdom Metazoa; phylum Chordata; class Mammalia; order Primates; family Hominidae; genus Homo; species Homo sapiens. Next base: position 54,963,088 of record NC_000020.11, on the reverse strand, counting down.
CCTCCTTTTGTCTCGGAGGCTCAGGTTTGCAGAGCACTTCAGAATGAACAGTTTAGGGCAGCACACTGAAGCCAAGTCTCCCAGATCCCAGTACTGCCCCATTCTTAAGCCTGGTCAAGTACTCTCTAAGTGGATTGTTTCCATAGTCTCTGTTTGTTGACTCTTTTGAGATTTTCTTGAGAATTTTGAAAAAGATGGACAACAGTCTTCCATAAAAATTATTCTAAAATATTTCTTATATTTTCATTAGACCCAAGAAGGTCAATCTTAAAGAAATGACTAATCCTTTAATTTTCAATTCTAAGAGGGCAACCACAATAACAGCTTGTTTATGATTCACATCAACTCATAAGTCTTCATTATTTTGAATTACTTATTCATGAACCTAATTATTCCCTAACAAAAATGTGTATAACTCAGCTCAGTAGGCCTCCTTCATTAAAGGATTTCAAGCCATTAATGGAAAATCCATAGAAAAATCAAGGGTGGACTCCAACTTCATGTGTTTCTTTTGTATTAGTACTTAAATTGTAAAGCACCTCTAATCATAAGTTACTTTACTCTGTGTGTGTGTGTGTGTGTGCATGTATATGTATGCATTCTTTAGTAGTAAACTCTCAGCTATAACTTCTAGAGATTTGCAGTTCTTCATAATGTATTCAAATAAATAAAAAGCTAAGTTAATATTTAATGGATTATTTAAAAGCTCTCATTCCAGAGAAATAAACATTTTCCCAAAAAATATGAAATATAATATTTAATATAATATTTAAATAAGTTAATATTAAAATAATGTTAAAATGTTGGCTATAAATAAGGCTTTTTCAAACACTAGAGGGTGACTCCAACATTGTGAGGATATGATACATTTGGAAAAATGTAAATTATGTAATTACAGTAGTAACAACAATAACATCACATTTACAGTGTTTATTACGTAATTATAGGCACCATGTTCATAGGTTACATATAACCCATTTTATCTATAGAACAGTTATGTTATTATTTCCATTTCATCCAGGAATAAATTGAGGCACAGAGAAGTTAAGAAAGTTGCCCAAAGCCACCCAGCTAGCAGGATTCACAGCTGCCAGACCCCTGCCCAAAAATACAGCTGGCAGATTCTAGCTCCAAAGTTCGTGTTTCGAATTTCTGCATCATTCTGTCTCTAATATTTGACACATTCTTTTTTTTAAGTAGTGACTCATAAGCACCGTTACTTTCTCTACTCTAGCCCCTTAATATTCCTTGTGTCAACAAAGACCAATGGGTGTTCTTACATGCAAACACTGATTGAGAAGTTCCATATTTCTCATATAAAAATAAAATAAAAAATCCTAAATTCATATAAAAATCCTAAATTCTAGGGCTATTGTTATCTACAGATTATAAAAATGTGTCATCTGTTGCTTCCTCTAGGCATCTTTTAACCCACTGGTGAGACTCCATCTAATGTCACAGACATTTGACACATGGCTTGAGGGAACTCCCTAGGAACAAAGTCCTCCTTACTTTGCCTATGTGGGTGGTAGAAAGTCCACTGTTCCTCTGGGTCAAATTAGCTGAGCTGAAAAGAGAATTCTATCCAAGGGAAATTAATTCAAAGAAGAGACAATCTCAACTTGCCACAGCTTCCTGTCCATGACTTTTTTGGGGGAAGGTAAGAAGAGGGTATTAAAGCAACTTATGGTTAAAAAATAAAATCACTATTATCTTTTGGTTCTAACATGAACCCTTTGTTCACAATTTATAAGGCTCATTTCTTGCCAAGAATAAAAATGAAACACATTAAAAAATAAGAAAATGGGGAAAATGTGAGATAACGTGAAAAATACAGAAATAATGGGCGCTTAAAAATGTTAGAGATGATTGAAAATTAGAAATTAAAATAAATATGAGATAAATCTGAAATATTTAAATCAATAGATATAAAAGGGTAGAAGCAATGGAGGGAAGTAAAATTAATCCTTGAGATCTAAATTCTCAAATCTATGATTAGGATTTAGAGATTAAGATGGAATAAATTAATTATTTAGAAGAATAATTTACAAGGCCCAGAAGAAATGAGATAAAAAAATGAAATCTTTTTAAAATCTTAATCTCTTCAGGGAATTGAAGAGATATAAAACTGAGAAATATTCTAAGATAAAAGATTTAACAACTAAGGTAAACTGAGTCAAGAATGAGCAAGCTAACTCCTAGTATAATTTTTATACTTGAGAGAACATCAGAATCACATACAAAAACAGACTGTTGGGCTCATCCTCGGAGTTTCTGATTTTGTACATCTGATTTAGAGCTTGAGAATTTGTATTTCTAACTGTCTTCATCTGTTTGAGCTGCTATAATAAAATGCCATAAACTGGATAGTTTAGGAACAATAGAAATATATCTCTCATTGCACTGGAGGCTGGGAAGTCCAAGGTCAAAGCACTGGTAAATTTGGTGCCTGGTGAGGGTCCACTTCCTTGTTCATAGGTGGAAATTTCAGCTGTGTCTTCACATGCTGAAAGGGGCAAGGCAGTACTCAGGAGTCTCCAATCCCAATCATGAATCCCAATCATGAGGTCTATGCTCATGACCTAATCATCTCTCAAAGACCCCATCTCCTAATACCATCACCATGTGGGTTAAGAGTTCATCATATAATCTGAGGGGACAGAAATATTAAGACCACAGAACTAACAGATTCTCAGGTGATGCAAATGCTGCTGCAGCTGCTGGTCCAGGGACCCCATTTGGAGACACACCGCCCCAGAGAATTTCTGAAACTTACCATCATGAGCCTATTAGCAACAGCATTTCCCAAAGAGCACAGCAATAGAAACAACTCTAATATCTATTGAAAAGACATTGGACAAAAATAATGTGCTATGATCACCCAGTGGAATTTCATACACTGGTAAAAATGAATGAACAATAGCTACAGATAATAAGATGACATAGATCAATCTTGATGAAAAGAGGAAAGTTGCAAATGACTGAATACTAAACAAAATTGAAGTGACTAAACAAATGTTATTTAAGGATACATGCGTATGTGGTAGAAATACTTTTTTTTAAATATAAAAGTAATAAACTAACAAATCAGAGAGAAACAGAATGGAACTAGGAAGGAGTGCTGGAGAACAGACTAGCATTCATGGTGTGGTAGTGCTTAGGTTGGGCAGTGAATTCACCTGTCTGCTTCATTATTTTTTTTAAACTTAAAAATGGCATTTTATGCTGACATACCTTGTTTTATTTTGCTTCACCTCATTGCATGGCACGGATATGGCATTTTTCACAAATTGAAGTTTTGCGGCAACCCTGAGTCCAGCAAGTCAATTGGTGCCATTTTTCCAACAGCTTGTGTTCACTTTGTGTCCTTCTGTCACCTCTTCATAATTCTCACAATATTTCAGACTTTGTCATTACTATTATATCTGTTATGTTGCTCTGCGATCAGTGGAAGAAGATGTCATCTAGGACTTTCATAGCTATTGAGCGGAAGTCAATGACTGGCTTCAGAGCTTCAAGGTACAAGCTGACTCTCTTATTAGGAGCGAATGTAGCTGGCGACTTTAAGATGAAGCCAGTGCTGACTTACCATTCCAAAAATCTTAGACCCCTTAAGAGTTATGCTAAATGAACTCTGCTTATACTCTATAAATAGTAAAACAAAACCTGTATGACAGCAAATCTGTTCACAGCTTGGTTTATTGAATATTTTAAGCCTACTGTTGGGACCTACTGCTTAGGTCAAAATATAACTGCTCATTGACAATGCACCTGGTCACCCAAGAGCCACTGATGATGCACAAGGAAATTAATGTCGTTTACAAACCTGCTAACAAAACATCATGCTGCAGCCCATGGATCAATAATTTTGACTTGCAAGTCTATAATTTAAGAAACACACTTTGTAAGACTGTAGCTGCCATAGATAGTGATTCCAGTGATGGGTCTGGGTAAAATAACTGGAAATCTTCTGGAAAGGATTCAGCATTCTAGATGTCATTAGGAACATTTAGGATTCAGGAGAGGACTCCAGAATATCAGCATTAACAGGAGTTTGGAAGAAGTTGATTCCAGTTCTCCTGGATGGCTTTGAAGAGTTCAAGATTTCAGTGGAGGAAGTAACCACTGATATGGTAGAAATAACAAAAGAACTAGAATTAAAGGTGTGGCCTGAAGATGTGACTGAATTGCTGCAATCTCAAGATAAAATTTGAATGGATGAGGACTTGCTTCTTATGGAAGAGCTAAGAAAGTAGTTTTTTCAAGATGGAATCTACTCCTGGAGAAGATCCTATAAATCTTGTTGAAATGACAACAAAGGATTTAGGATGTTACATAAACTTAGTTGATGAAGCAGAAGCAGAGAGGGTTTCAGAGGATTGACTTCAATTTTGAGTTTTGATTGTTGTCTTAAGAAATTTCCACAGCCACCCCAACCTTCAGCAACCACCAACCTAGTCAGTCAGCAGCCATCAACATTTAGGCAAGACTCTCTACCACTAAGAAGACTGCAACTCAGGCCTGGCGCAGTGGCTCACGCCTGTAATCCCAGCACTTTGGGTGGATCACTTTGAGGTCAGGAGTTTGAGATCAGCCTGGCCAACATGGTGAAACCCTATCTCTATCAAAAATACAAAACTTAGCTTGGTATGGTGGTGCACACCTATAGTCCCAGTTACTTGGGAAGCTGAGGCAAGAGAATCGTTTGAACCCAGGAGGCAGAGGTTGCAGTGAGCCGAGATTGTGCCACTGCACTCCAGCCTGGGTGACAGTGAGACCATGTCTCAAAAAAAAAAAAAAGACTGCAACTGCTGAAGGCTCAGAATATTGTTAGCGTTTTTTAGCATTAAAGCATTTTTAAGTGAAGACATACACACTGTTTTTCAGATACAATGCTAATGCACACTGATATAGTTTGGATATGTGTCCCTGCCCAAACCTCATGTTGAATTGTATTCCCCATTGGATTACAATTGGAAGTGAGACCTGCTGGGAAGTATTTGGATCATGGGGGCAGATCCTTTATGAATGGTTTTCACTACCTCCTTGATGATAGACGAGCTTTAACTCTGCATTCGCATGAGATCTGATCTTTTGAACATGTGTGGCACCTCCCCTCTGTCTTGCTCCTTCTTTCACCATGTGACGTGCCTACTCCCTTTTGCCTTCTGCTATGATTGTAAGCTTCTTGAGCCCTCCTCAGAAACAGATGCCACTATGCTTTCTGTGCAGCCTGCAGAACCACAACCAATTAAACTTGTTTTCTTATAAATTATTCAGTCTCAGGTATTTCTTTATAGCAGTGCAAAAACAGCCTAATACACACACTTCATAAACTACAGTATGGTGTAAATAAACCTTTTATACACACTGGAAGAAACAAAAATCTTGTGTAACTCACCATACTACAATACTCACTTTACTGCAGTGGTCTGGAACCAAACCCTCAATATTTCTGAAGTGTGCACATTTAGTCATACACCACATAAGGATGTTTCAATTAAAGGTGGATCTCACATGATAGTGATCCTGTAAGACTATGGTGGAGTGGAAAAACTTCTGTCACCTAGTGACGTTGTAGCCATCATCACATTGTAGTGCAATGCAGTATTCATGTGTTCGTGGTGATGCTCATGTAAATAAAGTTAACTGTGCTGCCAGTCTTAAACAAGATGTAGCACATGCAATTACGTATAGCACGTACTACTTGATAATAAATGATAGTTACTGGTTGATGTGTTTACTATACTTTTATGATGATTTGAGAGTGCATTTCTTCTATTAAGAAAAAAATGATAAGTATAAAACAGCCTCAAGCAGGTAGTCCAGAAGAAAGCATTGCTATCATAGGAGAAGACGGCTCAGCTCCATGTGTGCTGTCCCTGAAGACCTTCCTGTGGGACAAGATGTGCAGGTGGAAGATGGTGATCCTATGTAGGGCAAGGCTAATGTTCATGTTTGTGTTGTGGTTTTAAATGAAAAAGTTTAAAAAGTTTAAAAAATTAAAAAATAGAAAAGAGGTTATAGAATAAGGGACATAAAGAGAATTTTTTTTACCCTACTTGCAAGTTAAAGGAGAAAGTATTTGTGTACAACTATACCAAGTGTTTGTGTTTGCAGCTGTAGTACAAAAGAGTAAAAAAAGGTTTTAAAAATTTAAAAGTTTATCAGGTAAAAAGTTAAAAAGTAAGCTAAGGTTAATTTATTACTGAAGAAAGACCTTTTGGCCAGGCATGGTGGCTCACGCCTTATAATCCCAGCACTGTGGGAGGCCGAGGCAGGTGGATCACAAGGTCAGGAGTTCAAGACCAGCCTGGCCAAGATGGTGAAAACCCATCTCTACTAAAAATACAAACATTACCCGGGCGTGGTGATGGACACCTGTAATCCCAGCTACTTGGGAGGCTGAGGCAGAGAACTGCTTGAACCCAGGAGACTGAGTTCGCAGTGAGCCGAGATCGCGTCACTGCACTCCAGCCTGGGGGACAGAGTGAGACTGTCTCAAGGAAAAAAAAACCAAGATTTTAAAAAAATAAATTTGGTATAGTCCAAGTGTACAACATTTATCAACTCCATAGAGTGTACAGTCATGTCCCAGGCTCTCACATTCACTCACCCACTCCCCCAGGGCAACTTCTAGTCCTGTAAGCTCCATTCATAGTAAGTGCCCTACACGTATACCATACTTTATATTTTATACCATATTTTTACAGTATCTTTTATGTTTAGATACACAAACACTTACCATTGCATTATAATTGTTTACAGTATTCCATACAGTAACGTGCCATGCAGGATGCTAGCCTAAGAGCAGTAGGCTGTACCAGATAGCCTATGTGTGTGTGGTAGTCTATACCACCTAGGTTTGTGTAAGGGCACACTATGATGTTTGAAGCCACGTGCAACGGCACATGCCTGTAATTCTAGCTATGCCTGAGGCTGAGGCTCAGGCAGGAGAAGCACCTGGAGTTCGGAGACCAGTCTGGGCAACAGAGACTCTGTCTCAATTAAAAAATGTTTCAGCCAGACGGGGTGGCTCACGCCTGTAATTCCGGCACTTTGGGAGGCGAGGCGGGAGGATCGTGAGGTCAGGAGGTCGAGACGATCCTGGCTAACACGGTGAAACCCCGTCTCTACTAAAAATGCAAAAAAATTAGCCAAACGTGGTGGTGGGCGCCTGTAGTCCCAGCTACTCGGGAGGCTGAGGTGGGAGAATGGCGTGAACCCAGGAGGCGGAGCTTGCAGTGAGCCACGATCTTGCCACTGCACTCCAGCCTGAGCAACAGAGCGAGATTCTGTCTCAAAAAAAAGAAAAAAGAAAAATGTTTCACTGTGGTGTTCGAATGACCAAATTACCTAAGAACATGGCTGGGCATGGTAGCTCACGCCTGTAATCCCAGCACTTTGGGAGGCCAAGGTGGGTGGATCACCTGAGGTCAGGAGTTCGAGACCAGCCTGGCCAACATGGCGAAATCCTGTCTCTACTAAGAATTAAAAAATTAGCCGGGCGTGGTGGTTCATGCCTGTAATCCCAGCTACTCAGGAGGCTGAGACAGGAGAATTGCTTGAACCTGGGAGGCAGAGGTTGCAGTGAGCCGAATCATGCCACTGCACTCTAGCCTGGGTGACAAAGCAAGACTCCATCTCAAAAAAGAAAAACCCATTTCTCATTATGTATCTCTGATGCATGACTGTATATATGTATGCATACATATATATACACATATGTATATACAGAGACCCTTTTCTGATTATGTATCTCTGATGCATGACTGTATATATGTATGCATACATATATACACACATACGTATATACAGAGACCCTTTTCTGATTATGTATCTCTGATGCATGACTGTATATATGTATGCATACATATATACACACATATGTATATACAGATGACTCTTGAACAACACAGGTTTGAAATGCATGCATCCACTTGTATGTAGATTTTTTTTCCAACCAAATCTAAATTGAAAATCCCGTATTTGCACCATGTGAAAGCCATGCATATAGAGAGCCAACATTTCATAGAAGCGGAGTACAGGACTTGAGTATGCACGGATTTGGGTATGAAGGTATCCTGGAGCCAGTCCCCTGCATATAATGAGGGACAACTGTATTCTCTTTCATGTCATCAAATACCAATTTTTAAAAATATACTTATTATAATGATTAATTTTATGTGTCAACTTGGCTAGGCCACAGTATGCAGATATTTGGCCAAGCAGTAATCTAAGATGTTTCTTTGAAGCTCTTTTTAAGATAAGAATAGCATTTAATCAGTAGCTTTTGAATAAAGTAGATCACCACCCTCCATAATGTGGGTGGGGGTGTCTCATCCAATAAGTCGAAGGCCTTTATAAAAAGACTGAAGTCCCTAGAAGAAGAGAGAATTTGGTCAAAAGATTGTCTTTGGACTGGAGCTAGGTCAGCTTGTCCAAGGGTCTTCAGCCAGCTGGTCAACCCCGCAGATTTTGAACTTGCCAGACTCCAAATTGTGTGAGCCAATATATATACATATATATATATATATATATACACACACACACATGCACAAATATATATATACACACACAACAAAATATGTGTATATATACATACATACACACACATATATATGTGTGTGTGTACGTGTGTTGTATGTGTATGAATGTGGCTGGTAATATGGAATGCTATAATAAATTAAGGCTTCAATTCTAATCTGAATTTCTGCGCCCACCTCCGCCTGTCAAATCACACAGATCAAAGGTAGGAGGACAGGTTATTCCTCAATGGAAAAACAATTGGGACATTGCTACTAAAGGGGAGAATAGATGCTAGGCAGACTCTAATTAATTAATTATGATAATAAAACACAATAGTTATTCACTCCACAGAGTTATTCACTTTCCTTAGAGGTAGGACGAGGGACCATGGCTAATTCTGTGATAACTACAGCATAGCTGGCTGCAAGAACATTTCCTTCACAGCCCGAAGACAATGAGAATCATGTAAGTTTAGCATCAGATGGGCCTTTAAAGTTTAGAACATAATACTATCATCTTAGAGGTTAAGAAATTAAAAAGCAAGAATGTTCAAAATTGGCTAAGGGAAAATCAAATAAGTAAATGGCAAACTCAGGTCATTGAAAAAGCCTAATATTTTCATAGTTAGTAAAGAGCAGGAGTAAAAGGAAAAACAGATTAGAAAGGGGTGCTGTAAAGATGGGAGATGGGGAGAAGTATCTGTTGGATGAACGCATTTGAAAACTGCTATTTTAAACCCCTGAATGTTAAGTACTCTTGAGAAGCTTGAATTTGTAATTGTATAACTTTTTCACTTTAATGCATTTTCAGTTTCCATTTAGTTAAGACTTATTCACAACAGAACTGTTTATTTTGTCAGCTAAGGTCATAACAAATCCAGCTTAATAACATATACATCTAAATTTCTAGAGGAGGTAATTCACATTCATCCAGTACTATTTCACATTTAAAAGAAAAAAATCTGTCAGATTCAACTGTCTTCTCATGCCAAAAGTCAAATTTTCATGTTTTCATATGCTAAATATCAACCTCACTTGTATTTCTAAACTGCTTTTATTTCAGCTCCTCAGAGGGAGAATACAGCATCTAAAGATCTTATTTTTAATATAAATTTGATTTGATTGTGGTAAGAACACTTAACAGGAGATCTACTGTCTTAAGAGATTTAATTGTGAAATACATTATTGTTGACTATAGGTCTAATGTCATACAGCAGATCTCTAGAGCTTATTCATCTTGCTTTGATGAAATCTTATGTCAGTTGATTAGTAACAGCATTTTCCCTCCCACCAGACCTTGGCAACCAAGATTGCACTCTGGCTTATGAATGTTAGCATTTTAAATAGCCCATATAAGTGTAATCATACAGTATTTGTCATTCTATGACTGACTTATTTCACTCAGCATAATGTCCTTGAGTTTCACCTGTGTCACTTATTGCAGAATCTGCTTCTTTTTTAAGGCTAAATGGTATTCTATTGTAGGTATATACCTCATTTTTATTATCTGTTCATCTGTCACGGATATTTAAGGACTGTTTCCATGTCTTGACTATTGTGACTAGTGTTACATAGAGATCTGATTTTGAATTAAGCTATGGGTACACAAAAGCATACAGAATAGTGTAATAGACACTGAAAATTCAGAAAGGGGGAGGTTGGGAGTGGGATGAGGGATAAGAATTTACCTGATGTGTACCATGGCCACCATTTGAGTGATGGGTACACTAAAAGCACAGACATTGCCACTATACAACCCATCCGTGTCACCAAAAACCACCTGTACCCTAAAGCTACTGAAATATTTTTTTAAAAATTTTAAAAATAAAAAAATCTGATTTTTAAAGTCCTTATTTTCCTAGAAAATCCCTCTGGTTTATTTGTCTCTTCCTAGGACAATAAGTGCAGGAAGCATTTCTTACCTATTTCAAGATGAATATAGACTATAGCGCCAGCGTGAAGCAGCAGATTTTCTATCTCATTAATAAGCAGAGTGAAGCTTTTAGAAAATTCTACTCAATTCTCCATGTTGGGGGTAGATGCAAAATACAGCAGACCCTTAGCAATCTCAAAGGATATAGTTATAGACTTCTCAAATTTCTTTTATTTCATATGTTGCATTTGACTTCCTCCATAAACACCATAATTACAAGCTGTAATGCTTAATGGCTATTACTGCATGTGAAATAATAACAGGAAGCAAGAATGTCATGTTGAAGTGACAGGGCCACAAATTGAGTATGCTCAGGCCCTGACTTCAAGATAGATGACCCCCACGATGACCCCACATCTGCATTACAGCATAGGAAATTTAATTTTGTTTCTCAACATTTTTTGTATTATGAAATACCTCAAATAGTAGATCATAATAGAAAATAACATATCAAGCCTTAATTTACCCTCTACTCAGATTAATATGTCAACAGTTTACAATATTTGCCTCCATTTTTAAAAAAATAATACATTACAGATACAAGTCAAGTCTCTTTGTGCTGTATGTGGCAGATACGCAAATTGGGAATGAACACAGCTTACAGGCAAAGGGTCTTATTCTGGTACCAACATTCTGAGTTTGAATGTTGGTACTACATTCAGTGGCTCTGTGACCTTGGGTATGTTGTTTAGCTTACCTGTTCCTCTCTTCACCTATTAAAATGGGGATAATGATAATAATGGTACTTACCATTTAGGATTGTTGTGAGGATTAAACAAATTCACTTAGCATAATATCCTTGAGATTCATGTAAAGCACTGTGAATGATGTCTGGCACACAGGGAGAGAGCACGCTTGCTCTTCTGCTCATGGAGCCCATATTAATTTTTCATTGATGTTAAGGTGAAATAGAAGCTTTTGCCAACATGCTTTCCAAAGGTTCACCTTACTTCATATATCTGACATTTAAGTGTCTTACCTCTCTGAATGTGATTTAAAACTATGACTTGGACAAAATGTTATCAGTGAACAAAATATATCACAATATATCAAATAAACCTTATTTCAACTTATAAATGCTAGGAGACATTGAATAAATCTATTGCAGGAAAAAAATAAAATTTTGAGTTGAAGGAGCTACAAAATATTCTCACCTCATAACTCTGCAGTGCTAGTCAAAGAGAGTATAAAAAATATGTTTTATTCTATGTAAAGTTTTAAATTTGACACAAGGATAACAAATAAAGGAAGTAAATAAAACTGCAAAAAGAGATTTAAATAACTTAATGATAAATTAGAAAAATGTGCCTGTGATTACCATCCATTCCACCAGCATAGGTTATTATATTCAGAGAGACAAAAGCATTTAACATGCTGACAAATTTCATTTCCCTTCAGCTTTATTACCCAAATCACTTATAAACTGAGAAAATGTCAAGTGTCAAGTTTTTTAAAGAGTAGGCATAGGTTTTAAGCAAATTTGTGAAGTCACAACAGAAAGCCCTAGTGACTTCTAGAATTTGCTGACTGGATCTCTACGAAAACAATTTTGGGGGAAGGGGTTGCCATTTTCAAGAACTTCACTCTTTTGTTCATTTTCAATATTTTCAATTATTAATTTGTTCAACTGATCAGGCTGTTGAAGCTCACTGGTAAATGTTTCATTGAAAAAAGATAGTAGGATTAAAAACTATATATATATATAGTTTAATTGTAGACTTAGTGTATATTTTTAGGATTATCCAATTTTTATTAAATAAAATATTCGTGTAGAATAGAATATGCATTAGAAAATGCCTGCTCACTATAAAATATTGTAAGGCTAAAACCTGAAAGAGCATTTGTTTAATAAATGATTTTCCAATATGTAATGTGCCTTGGTGATTGTTGTAAACTATGGTACACTTTGTCTTACATTTAGAGCCATAGTTATCTGAAGAAAAAGAAACCATTAAGTTGACTTTACTTATTGGCATCCTAAGGCATAGACAAATAAACTTTCCAAGATTGCAGACATCAAATGTATAGTTAAGATGTAATTTGAACCCTAGATGACAAATGCCAATGTCTGTTTTCTTAACTGATCAATGTTTGCACAAGAATGAACAGTTTCGCAAATCATCGACACTGACATGAATGACATTTCATGATCATATCACTGTGTTCACCCATGACTGGATTGTAAACATTTCTACCTAATCAGCACACTCCTGTCAAAAATGGCCACTGATTATATAGAAACAGTGTGCCATGTAAATGTAGCAAATATTGTAGTTTAGCACTCTTAGTATGATGAATTATCTTTAACTGTAGTTTCTAATTCTGTCTAAAAATTATACATATTTCTCTGATGAATTCAGATCAGAAATACAGCAATATAAGTATAGTTTATCCAGTTAATTCATTCTCTTCAAACAATAGAAATCGTGAAAAATATCAATTCCCTTTTCTTGGTGACCTAAACTTGTAATTAGATTTTATACTTTTCAAAACAAAAATGGCAAACAAAAATAAGTGTCCAGTAAAAATAATGGAAATAAAGTAAATCTAACCGTTCAGAACAGGAAAAAAAGAAAGCAAATGGGAGGGAGAGGGATGGGGGAAGAGAGAGGTAGAGAGAGATAGAGGAAGAGAGAGCACAATGAAATAATCAATTTTTAGGCACATTAAATATGGAGGAACTGAAAATAATATTAAAATGCCTTTCTTATTATTGTACCTTATGTCACTAGAGAAAACAAATTTTGAAGAGAGAAAATTATAAGATGTTAACAGTCAATATTTTCTTTTACTCTTTGTATAAATTCTACGGAATTTTTACTAAATGGCAATTCAATAAATAATCAGAGATGACATACTATACTCCAAGTTACTACCTGTTTCATTATTCTATTATAAATTTATATACAGTTACATATGGAATGCGATAGAGTATAGCATGCATCTATCACATTCAGTATGTTTTTGTAAGGTGTGGGTATATAGGCACATGGGGGTAAGCATACAAAACGCTCTTATCAGTAGCATAGAGAACCTTTTAAGAGCTCAGTTTCCAGCTGCCCTCCCCTAGTAGTCATGGACCCACTCATCCTTCATCGTAAACATCTTGATTTGCAGTATGATCTGGACACAGCATTCCCTAAAATATAGAGCGAAGTCTGTATCACTAAGCCATAACCAAAATGATAAAGATGGAAATGCTGCGCATTTCCTTCGAAGATGTTATAAAGATATGTGAATTTGAGGATGTGGGCTTCTGCTAACAGATGTGCAAATATGATGATCAGAACTCAGTAAGCCATCTTGGACCGTGAATTTGAGAACCAGGGCTGAGAATCAGAGAAGCAAAAAGGGAGAAACGGCGTCAGTGCCTGACTTGCCGGAACACCCAACCAGTCTTGTCTTAATACCACTATCTGTCTTTTAAGTGAGAGGAATAAATATCTGTGCTTTTGAAGCGTGTGTGTGTGTGTGTGTGTGTGTGTGTGTGTGTGTGTGTGTTTCCCCTTTCAGTGGAGCTGGAAGGGGAATATTCTGCTTTGAGCAGGAGAACTAATTTCTATCTATATAGAAGTCAACTAATATTCGTAAACTGAATCATCTTCCTATTTGCTCTGGACACCCCACCCTAACATGATATGCTGAAGACAATGGCTGGGGCACAGATCTGAAACCTCCATACATAATTAGGATTTCCAGGAAAAAAAAATTGGGGGGGGGAAATGTTGTGGAATTACAGTACCAGTTACTCATTCATTCTTGAAAGAAATAGACAAGCATATTCTTTCCATAATGTGGTTTTATGGTGCCTTTTGATGAGCATTGCTTTTTTTTTCCTCCATATGCATTTATTTCTCAAATGGTGGAATCACAAATTTCTCTAAACTAGCTTGTTTCCTCTTCTATTGGTCTGTCCTCTTTTCCCACCCCACCTTACCTACAATGCAATTGATATAAATCAAAATGTAGAAATTCATCAAGGAGGCTATCCATTTCTGTGATATGAGTTTTCTCTTTAACCAAGGGAAGTACAATGTTATCACTGGCTTTGTTACTATTTAGCTTTAACACCCTGCTTCTTTTCTGGGGCAATTTTCTTGAGAATCTGCATGAACAACTTGAAAGTTAAATATATTCGGGAAGAGAGCAGATTTATATATAACTTTTCTTGATAGTTCTTCAAGAATGAAAAAAAAACTATTTGAATACACATGTCAATGCATTATAAATAGACATTTATTTCTGTGCCCCACAGAAAACACTCTAACTTCTCATAGAATTCCACTATTATTTCCAAGATATTTCTTACTGAAGCCTCCCATAACGTGACTGATGTTTAAAAGCCTTCATAGATTTTATGGCTGAAGACTGAGTAGCTACAGGGTGCAATATAAAGGTGTGTGGGGAAGTTTTGCTCGGAAAGCTTTTCCCACAAGTATATACATGGCTGCCCCTTCACCTCACTCGGGTCTGTGTTCGAATGTTCACCTTTTCTGCGAGATCTGTCCTGACCATTTTATTTAAAATTATAGCTCCCCATCTTCCAGCCAGAACTCTCAGTGCCCATCAACTAGCTCTTTTTATTTTTTTATAATACATACATTTACTTATATATTATTTTCACTGTCTATTTTCCCCTTCCCATAATAAAATGTAAAATCTATGAGAGCAGGGTTATTTTTTCACAAACATATTCCCTAGAAAACTCTGACACAGAGTAGGGGCTCTATATACTTTATTTTCTGAATGGAGAATATGAAAATCTATTTCAATAATTGTATTTTTCTAGGACTAATTGCAGAAAAATACTTGTAACGTCCAGAGTGTACTTTTATATTATTTTTATTTTTTAGAGACAGGGTTTCACTCATGCCCCAAGCTGGAATGCAGTGGCACAGTCATAGCTCACCGCAGCCTTGAACTCCTGAGCTCAAGACATCCTCCCTCTAGAGTTGCTGGAACCATAGGTGTACACCACCATGCCAGACTAATTTTTTAAATGTCTTTTAGAGATAGGGTCTCATTATGTTGCCCGAGCTGCTCTCTAACTCCTGGCTTCAAGCAGTCCTCCTGCTTTAGCCTCCCAAAGTGTTGAGATTACAGGCATGAGCCACCATGCCCAACCAGAGTATACGTTATAACCCACATTATTTTTAAAGCCAGATATATTTTTATTTAATCATTTTAAAAATTAAAAAAGTATCTTTGAGGTTTTATACTTAGACCCTTCAGAAAGCACTGCATCCTCTTCTGAAGGGAGTTTGCAGTTGAAAGTGAGGATACTACCCATGAATTTAGATAGGGAGGTTATCCTGGATTATAGAAGTGGAGCTAATGTAATCACATGATCCTTGTGATACAGAAAGAGAAGACAGATAAGCAGGATTGCATAGAAGAAAAGACAGGAGGTCAGGGAGATCCAGACCATGAGAAAGATTCTAGATGTGGCTTTGAAGATAGAAAAAAAGTGAGGCTATGAGTCAAGAAATGCAGGCAGCAACTAGAAGTTGAGAACAGTCCCCGACTGACAGCCAGCAAGGTAATGGGGACTTCAGTCCTACAACTGGTTGAGACCAACTTCTGCCAAAAACTTGAATGAGATTGGAATTGGATTCATCCCAGAGCCTCCTGACAAGATCACAGCCCTGCCAACCCCTTCCTTGATTTTTGCCTGGTGAGATTATATTTGAGAGAACCAGCTGAGCCAGAAGCATGTACTTTAGAAAGATCCAGCCCTTCAGATGCTTTGAGGATTGGCTTGGTTGTTCTTCCAGGAATTCTACTTCCACCTTCCATACTGATTGTCATCCAGGCCTAAGCCAATAAGAGCACATCACCTTCCCTGACTTCAGGGATTGGTTCAGGAAGGAGCATGTGCCCTAATATGGGCCATCTACATATGAAAAGATATTTTCTGAGTAAATTCCAATAAAGAATCTTGGAAAATCTAACAAAGCTGCCAGAAAAGGCATTTGCTCTTCTGATAATTATGAGGGTATGTGGATGCAAACCTCAGAAATGTTCCAACAATTCTTTCCTGCCAGGGAAGTCAAGGGTGACAAAGTAGAGAGGAGAACACAGCTAAAAGAATACAAAAAATTAATAATAATAATAATAACAAGAATACTGGAATAAGTCAATGCTGAAGGCTGTTCTATTAAATCTACTGTGAGTCGAAGGATATTGAAAAGGAAATCACCCCAAGGAGTAAAATAGTCAATTTAAATTTATTATGCAAATACTAAACTACATCTGATCGGCACATTAGAAAACGTCAATCCCAACTAGATATTTTAACATTTATTATCAAATTTAATAAAAATATTTACTACATTTATCAGAACTGAGCATCTCTTTTTCAGTGATTAAATGTAAATGGATTCAACTCTCCTGTTAAAAGACAGAGATTGGCAGACTATATTTTTAAGAAATGATCAAACTATATGCCACCTACAAGCAACTCACTTGAGATCCAAATACATAAATAGTTGAAAGTGGAAAAACATGAAAAGATCTCCTTGCAAATATTAATCAAAAGAGAGCAGGGGTGGCAATATTAATGTCAGATAAAATGAGACATTAGAGCTGGAAAGGTTATCAGAAACAAAGAAGAGTACTGAATAGTAATAAAATGTACAATGCAACAAGGAGATAAAGCAATTAATTATAAATATATGCACACCTAATACTAGACCATCCAAATAAACAAACATTTGACAGAATTGAAGAAATGATATTTCCAAAATAAAATTGGAGACTTCAATATTCCACTCTCAATAGTGAATAGAACAATCATACAAAATAAATAAGAAAATTAAAAACTTGGACAACACAATAAACCGACTAGATCTAACAAATATATACACAATAACAACATAAATTATGTATAACAGAATACACATTATTCTCAAATGTGCACAAGACATTCTCCAGGATAGAAAATATGTTAGGCCAAAAATTACATCTGTATCAATTTTAAAAGGCAGATATTATACCAAGTATCTTCTGCAACTGCAACAGGATAAAGTTATAAATCAATAAAAGAAGGAAAACAGAAAATTTTACAAATTTGTATAAATTGAGCAAAACACTCTTAAACATCCAATAGATCAAAGAAAAAATCAGAAGGAAAATTAGAAAATACTTAGAGATGAATGATACATAAAATACAACATAACAAAATATGAGTCACAGAGAAAGCAGCACTATGGGGTAAATTTATAGCTTTCAATGCTTACATTAAAAAACAACAAAGACCTTAACTTGACAAACAAACCCTACAACTTGAAGAACTAGAAATAGAACAAACCAAACCCATGGTTATCAAAAGGGAGGAAAATAAAGATTAAGCAGTGAAAAATGAAATAGAGAAGAGCAAAAAATACAGAAAGTGAATAAACCCAAAAGTTGTTTTTTCAAAAACAAGCTACAAACTGACAAACTTTTAGCTATATTGACTAATAAAAAGAGAAAGAAGACCCAAATTACTAAAATGAGAAATGATATTGAGGCTATTACTACAGATTTTACAGATTTTAAATCTAAGATAGTTATGAACAATTGTACGGCAACAAACTGGGCAACTGGTAAGAAAGATTGAATCAGAAATCAAAAATCTCCCAAAAAAGAGAAGCCCTCATTACTACCAAATATTTAAAGAACTGTCATTAATCCTTCTCAAATTTTGTCCTAAAATTTAAGAGAACACTGTCTAATTGATTCTATGAGGCCAGCATTGCCCTGATATCAAAGCCAGACAAAAAGCTATAGGAAAAGAAAACTACAGAGCAACATCCCATAAGAACATCAATGCAAAAATCTTTAACAAATATTATCAAGTCAAATTTAGCAGCATATTAAAAGGATTATACAACATGGCAAAGTAGGACTTATTTCTGGAAAATAAGGATGGTTCAACGTAAGAAACTGATCAGTGAAATATACTACAGTAACAGAATGAAATAACAAAACCACATGTCAACTCAATTGATGCAGAAAACACATTTGAAATATTCAACATCATTCACAGTCAACTGGTAGTCTGTTTTCTGTAACACTAGGTAAAGGTTTCTTTTTTTGGAATTTCATATAAATAAAATCACGGTTTTATGTCTGGTTTATTTCATTCAGCATAATGTGTTTGAGTTTTGAAGTTCGCCATGTAGTTGTATATATCAGAAGTTCATTCCTTTTTTAATGCTGAGTGATATCTCATCGTATAGATGAAGCAAAATCCTTTATTTCCTGTTGAGGAATGTTTGCACTTATTTCCATTCCTTGGATATGAATAAGGCTGCAATGAATAATCATGTAAAAATCTATGTTTTCATTTTTCTTGAGTAAATGCATAGAACAGAATTGTGGAATGATATGGTTAATGCATAAACTTTATATGAAACTGTCAAACCTGCTTTCAAAAGTGGTTGTGTCATTTTACATTCCCCCCAACAACATATGAAAGTTCTAGTTGCCCCATGTCATTGTTAACACTTAGTACTGTGTGTCTTTTCTAGTGTTAACCCTTCTAAAGGGTGTTTAGTGGTATCTCAAAGTGATTTTAGTTTGTATTCCTCTAATAAGAAATGATTTTGACCATCCCGTTATGTATAATATATATAGGCCATTTATGTATTTTGTTTTGTAAAAGGTCTTTTAAAATATTTTGCTCATTTAAAAAATTCCGTTGTTGGTCATCTTATTGAATTTTAAGAATTCATTTTTATACTCTAAATGTAAGATGTTTTCAAATACAGGCATTGCAAATATTTTTCCCCAATCTGTGTCTAAGATTTTCATTTTCCTAATGGTCTCTTTCAAGGGCATATGGTTTAAATTTTGAGGAAGTCCAATTTATCTTTTTATTTTCTAGTTTTTTGTGTGTGTTTACCCTATCTAAAAATGTTTTGCCTCTCCTGTGGTTATGATAATTTTCATCTATGTTTATGAAACTTTTAAGTTTTCTACTTTGGAAAGTCTATGACAGTATTTTTAACAATTAAACAATATGGCTTCAGGATTTTAACTTAAAATTTTATTTAAAAAATATATTTGTTTCTTATATAGTAAAGTCCAAAGTATGCAGCAGTACCATTCTTATGCATAATCTCTTAGTACTTAACTATAATAAGAAAATTGAATCATTTGTAAAAAAATTTTATCACATATTAATTCAAAAGATACATATACTCAATTTCCAGAAGATATTCCAGGTAATTTAGCTGAGAGTATGTATGTTGTACTTATATAGATATTTACAGCATCAGTTTTATTTCTATTTTGGCCAAATATTTATATAATTAGGCACATATCAAAAGGAAAGCCAATACAAGAATTATAAAGTCTGAAAATTTTTTAGTGACTGGGATGTTCTTGATAACTGATGACAATATGATGAAAAAACTTGAGAACTAGTAGGATTTGCTTTCCTAACTTCCCTGTTATACTTTTCTTCTCAGATAAAGCCTTCAGATTAATTTTGAGCAATAATTTTTGTACTTTAAGCATCACCAGCACTACCAACATTACCACACCCCATCCTACCACCCAAACTTTTGCCAACTCCAGTCATTTCATCAAAGGCACACTGAAGATAAAGCTGTAAACTATTGAAAATGTGGATACTACCATTGCAATTTTCTACTTTTCCTGAGCATTTGACCCACCTGGTGGTGGGAGGGAAGAGGAACAGAATTGTTATTTTTAGCATTTCTCAGATGATTCAAATGAAGCAGGCAGCTTCATATGCTATTGATGGATGGAACAATCTCTCTGTAGGCTCATTCGCCAAGAGATATTAGAATGTAATTTACATGTACGCTCTTTTCCAACTATTTCCCTTTTAGAAATGCTTTTTAAATTGAATTCTACATATGTATATACAGTGGTTTCACATTACAAAAGCAGTATTTTTTTGTTTCAAAAGAAAAAATAAAAATTGGGAGATAAAAAAGATCACGTTATTTGATAATGCTCGTCTGCTAATGCCTTAATGTTTGAGGTTTTTTCTGTTTTTTTATTTTTTTTTTTTGAGACAGAGTCTCGCTCTGTCGCCAGGCTGGAGTGCAGTGGCGTGATCTCAGCTCACTGCAACCTCTGCCTCCCGGGCTCAAGCCTTCCGAGTAGCTGGGACTGCAGGCACGTGCCACCATGCCCAGCTAATTTTTGTAGTTTTAGTAGAGACGGGGTTTCACCATGTTGACCAGGATGGTCTCCATCTCTTGAACTCGTTATCCACCTGCCTCAGCCTCCCAAAGTGCTGAGATTACAGGTGTGAGACACTACGCCTGGCCGAGAAATTGTTTTTTAAATTAAAAAGGGTTATTTATTTAGCAAACTGGTTACAGGCTGCATGTACTCTAAGTGGCGTTCCAGCAAACAGTAATTATGTGGTAACAATGTGACAGCCCTCAGACCTGCCATGGTTGTGCCCATTGTCTGTACATTCTTTGTGGATATGTCCACAGAGCTGGTTTTAAAAAGTAAATTGGCAAGGGTGAATTTAAGTGTTACAGTGGCAAAAAAAGAAAAAAAAATGTTAAATATCACAAGTGTAGAGAGACTCTACCTTTATCTGAGATAAGCTGATGCTTTAAGAAACAAAGATAAAAATCAAGTTTGGAAACAGGGCTTGGAATCAAGTGTAAGCCTGTCATAATCAATAGGGAGTGAACTGTGTCCTGTAAGAAAATGACTTTTGACAGGTGACTTATCTGAAATCTCCAGAGGTGTCTCTATGAGCCGCTTAAAGTTCATTTAATTGTCTTCATCAGATCTCCCTTAGCTCCTTCCGCCTTTCACATCACGGGTCTCCACATCTTCATCTCCTTTACTCTTCGTCCCTCTTTAACCAATCCAGTGAGTCCCTGTATTTGAATCATTGATTTGAGAAGGAAATTTCTTCCTGCTGTCATGTACCAAAGACAGTTTGGCAGTTGCTTTGAGACCAACAGATGAATTGTCCACATGGCTGATATGAATTTCTTCTGTAACATGCCTGGTTGGGAACCCAGAGAAACTGACAGTGCTCAGACCAGCCTCACTTCTGCAAAAACTCCTCTAATATGCTTTGATTTAGTGCCAGCCTCAGTATGTATATTGCACCCCAGGTGTGTTTTCTTTAGCTCTAAAACCTTCCGCTCTGAGCGGCAGACGACATTTCCTTTGACACAGTGTGACAACCCCTCATTGCTACACATATCTGTGTATCACTCCTGGGGGGCCCTGGAAAAATGGGGGAAGCTGGTGTCAATCACAGGCCTCCCTTTTGTATAGTTGATTTCTTTTGCCTGTTTAGTACCATTAAAACTGAGGATTTAATGAGACAGACCCCTCCTCTGCCCACCCCTAGGCCTGCCATCTTTGCTTTAATACAGAAATAGTTTTCATACCTTGTGAGATTGCCTACTGCTTTCAAGCCAATAAAGTGCTAACTACGTAGTAAGAGAGTTATCTGTTATCTAGCTAGTACCTAGTGAGGTTGTAAATTGTATCTATGTTACAATTCAGTGGTGCAAAAGTACTGCTCACTCTTTGGCAATAATTGTTTGGTCTCTCCTAATCCCAACCCCTCCCTTCTTCAGCTCCTTCCTAAGATTGTGTAGTAGGCAGAATTCTAAGATGCTCATGCTATATGAGATTTCTTACCTGAGATCAGGAAAGTTTGTCTCAGGTTTAAATAATTCCAATGTAGAAACTGAGGTCAAAAGAAAACACATCATTCTCAATAACTCCAGGGAAAAACCAAAACTGACACCCTGAGTCTGACTGTCGTATACCCATCCCTGAGCTAGTCAGTGTAAGCCAAGGTATTCATGGCCAGTTACAAATATTATGGATGCTATTTAGACACTAGCACGTATGCTTATGTCCAATGTGGTGAGCAGATGGTGCCTCGCCTATTTTCTCTCAAGCCTTACCCTTTTGGCGCATGCCAGTCTGAGTTTCAACTGCCAGAAACTGCATATCCTTGCTTAAGAACTTTCTCTGGCAACCAGAATCCACTCAGAGTTGCCAGAGAAAATGCAGGATGCACAGTTAAATTTGAATTGCAGATAAGCAAGAGGTAATATTTTAGTGTATGTATGTCACAAATATTGCATGGGCCATACCTATATAAATAGAAAAAAAATAGCTGTTCACCCAAAATTCAAATTTAACTGGGCATCTTGTACTATTAATTTTTATGTCTGGCAACCCTATGCACTCTGCCATGATGTGGTATGTCTGACATTGTACCCAGACCATGCCAGATAATTCTCACTTCTTGGAAAAAATCCTCAATAATAACTGACAGAATTTGTATAAATGCCCCAGTTATCTCATCCCTTGAATGGGATAACTCAAAGGTACATGTTTTACACTGGTTGCATTAGTTGCCTTTCTTTCCTATCCCTTCCCTCTTCCCTATCAGTGTTTTTGGGGATCCCCTCCTACTAAGACACCATTTCTCCATTCCACCCCACACATTTTTTTATTATTTTTATTTATTTTTATTTTTTTGAGACAGAGTCTCCTTCTGTCTCCAGGCTGGAGTGCATTGGCGCAATCTCGGCTCACTGCAACCTCTGCCTCCCGCATCCAAGCAATTCTCCTGCCTCAGCCTCCCGAATGGTTGGGACTAGAGGCACCCACCACCACGCCCAGCTAACTTTGGTATTTTTAGTAGAGATGGGATTTCACCATATTGGCCAGGCTGGTCTCGAACTCCTGACCTTGTGATCCTCCCACCTCGGCCTCCCAAAGTGCTGGGATTACAGGCATGAGCCACTGTGCCCAGCCCACCCCATACAGTTTCAAAAGGACTTCTCTGGCCCTATTGTTTCAATCACTAATATTACCTACCTAGTAGCCTGCAAATCATGGTGATCCCCTGTCCAGCAACAAGAAGGGCACAGGTGCAGCAATCTGTGGTCACTCACTCCTCGATCTTGACAGCTCTAAGACTGTGTTACCAGTATCATCCCTATTCTATAGATAAGAAAACCATCACTTATGGAAGCTGAATAACCTCAGTAATGTCACAAGGGTCAATTAACAACATACAAACTCAGATTTAGGTAACTTCCAACCTCATGTGCTCGAGCAATGCTGCTTCCCTGAGATCAAGAACAGTGTTTTACCTTATCTCACCTAGTGTTGCCCAGGCTCTCAGTAATTAGGGAGCTGAATTGAATATACTTACTTGATGTGAACATGGGGGAAACAGAATTCAATAAAAGGTATTAAAATAATGGGTTATCAATGCTAGGAGAGCATTCTATAAGCATCTGAAAGTGCTTATAGAAACAGCTTCCTGAGGCTTATGAGCACTGGAACTGTCTGACACAACCTGCCTTCTTATTTCAAGTTAATAAAGTGTACATAGAAACACATACACACATATTCAGAGGTATCAAGTGACAGTTCTCGGGAGAGGGACAAGAATGACTTTAATGTAGACAACACAACTGTTCCTCTCAAGTGCTGTTTCTTCTGGAATTAATATCTGAAGTTGTTCTCCTTTTGAAATCATCCCAATGAGTCAATCCTACAGTGAAATCCCTTAGTTTCTTTAGCAAAACCTTTCCTTTAATTGATTCCAGCTTCCTTCTGATAATGGCATCATTCAATCTGGGTCTCAAACTTATTGCTTATCTCTAATCTTCACAACTACATTGAAACATATGTTTAAATATCAGGCCAGTGGTTCTCTACCAGGGGTGATTTTAGCCCCAAGGGAATATTTGGCAATGTCTGGAGATATGTTTGATTGTTGCCACTCAGGCATGAGATGTGCTACTGGCATCTAGTGGATAGAGGCCAGGGATGCTGCTCAACATTCTACAAGACCCAAGACAGCCCTGCATGACAAATAACTCCCTAACCCAAATCTCAACAGCGCAAAGCTGAAACACTCTGAATTGGCTATGACCATCTTAGCATGTACTCCTCCACCACTTCTCGTGTCTTATCAAATTAATCTTTGGAACTCAATTTCCATTTTCACACCTTTAGGCATTCCTCTTTAACTTCTAAGCCTGAAATCCAGGCCAATAGTTCCTTTTTATCCCTCTGTGCTTATCCCTCTAATGACACATTATTTTGCTTTATATTGGACGAGATTTTCTTGGGTTCATTTGGATTGTGAGGTCCTCCTAAATAAGAATATGTTTCTTAATCATAGGTTTTTTTCCTAACTTATTTATTTGTTTATTTATTTAGAGACGAAGTCTCACTCTATTGCCCAGGCTGGAGTGCAATGGCATGATCTCGGCTCACTGCAACCTCCGCCTCCCGGGTTCAAGCGATTCTCCTGCCTCGGCCTCCTGAGTAGCTGGGATTACAGGCGCGCACCACCACGTCTGGCTAATTTTTGTATTCTTAGTAGAGACAGGGTTTCACCATGTTGGCCAGGCTGGTCTCGAGCTCCTGACCTCATGATCCACCTGCCTTGGCTTCCCAAAGTGCTGGGATTACAGGCATGAGCCACCACACCCAGCCTTTTCTCACATTCTTTAATGCAACAAATATTTACTGAGCCTCTACCTGAAAGCATCTGTGGTGAATAAACTCTTATTCGTGCTACTGGACTCCCAAGCATACAAGTGAGTAAAAAATAAATAAATGACTGACTAAAAAATAAATAAATAACCAGGTAACTTCCATTGAAGTTGCCCAAAATGCATATTAGTGGTTTTGGGGAAAAAAAGTCCTTGAACTGATTGATTGACTGATTGACTGGAGAGAGAAGGTTTCCGTTAGAAAAAGGAAGGGGTTATTTTTCTGGCAGTAACAGGAAAAAGTCAAGTGAATTCATCCAGGCTCAAGGAGGTCCATAGTTTGACTTTGGCTCCACAGTTGGCTTTCACAATGACACTTAGCCATTCCCAGACTCAGTTTCCATATCTATAGACTGCATATAATGTTAGATCTTATAGGGTGTCTGAGGATCAGACAAAATAATGTAAATAAAAAACATAACAAAAGTCTCTGGCATAGTCACCTCTCAATAAGTACCAGCAATAATTATTGTGAGAAATGGGAAAACAGATAGCTGTAGAGGGTGAAAAGGAATTGCGTCTCCCTCCAGTGGAAAATCAGGGTGTATTCAGTTGCATGGATCATTTATTGGTTTATTGATTTCAAGACTGTCTGCCTAACTAAACTGTTAACACCAGAGGAGTGGGGCCAGATCTCAATAATTAACTACTTACACCCAGCCTCTAGCCTCTTGTATGGCACATAATAGGTCCTCAATAATTATTTGGTGAATGAATAAATGTCTGTATATAAGAGTAAGATGACCGGGTAGAAGAGTTGTCCTGACCAGTTCTTATCATGTAAACCAGAGAAAAATTAGAAATAGAAATGTAATCTCTCAGAAAGTCATTAAAAAATAAGCTTACCATTAGTCATTATAAGCCCATTAGCAGTGTATTGTAAGTTTAAAAATTATGCAGAAAGTAGAATATTTTCAATGTTTAAATAAAGCCTTTTATGTTTATTAAATATAGAGTTATATTTAATCTTAGAAATACACATTCAGGAGTACCACCAAGAGGGAAGGAATCAGCCAACCCAGTAAGAGTTCACAGAAGTAAATAATTGCATGAATTTCTAAAAGAAGACACTGGCAAGAGTGTTATAACTGCAACTTTAAGTCCTTTTGTTGCTTCCTCACTTAACAGAAAAGTGGAAAAAAAATCACCCTTCAAAATTCATCATTTTGTGGCATGGAAGAGACAAAGTAGATAAATGTTACCTGAGCAAAAAAAAAAAAAAGAGAAGAATTTCAAGAAGTGGGGGATAAAAGACATTCACTACACAGAACACATGAAAAAATCCACTTCCTTGGGTGCTTGGGGGAGAATTATTCATTTTGGAGGCAAAGGATTAAAAAAATTAACTTCAGCATAACAATAAAAGAGAAGACACATTCACAGTTGTGTGAAATAAAAGACAAGAAAAATTCACACTTAGAAAGAAATAATAAAAAAGAAACCGGTATTTCACTTTCACGAAGAACACAGAATGGACATTCTCAGAAGAACTTGTGATTTGGGGGGAAAAAAGGTCAACAATTATCCATAGTATACAACAAATACTGAAGAGAATGCCAATAATTGGCATATTGATATGACAACTAAGAAATGTTTTCACATCTTTCAGGCTTATCCAAATGAGAAAGAAAAATGTAAAACTTCATACATGTAAAGCATTTACTCCACTCTTTGAAATGTGTATTTCAGACATGTGTGTATTTCAGAACCCAATCGCTTTCTGGGAACTCAGAGTGTGTCCTTTACAACTTGTTGCATTAGTATTACCTAAACCCAAATGTTGGAACCCTTATCTATTTTGAGCCACGAAGAAATTTGGATATCACTTAGCTGCAGAGACAGTGGGTTTAGAAATTGGGAGACAAAGGGGAAAGATATTTCCATTGTCTGTGCACAAATTCAGGCTCTTCTCTCCGCAACACAAAAGAATTTGTGAGTGAGTCTAAAGTAAGAGTGAGCAGGAGAGTTGCCTGCACAGCGAACACACACACTCTGACAGCGGATCAGAACGGGCTGCTCAGGGTTTCTGTGCTTCTGTGAATTTGGGGACTTTCCCTTCCGTTCCTCTACCTCTTTGCTGTAGGATTTTGTCACTACAAGCTCAGGATGTCGTCTGGGTACATGTGGGTGGTTTGTTCTTTCTATCAATTTGACAAGTTTCTTGTTTTCTGCTGAAGGAGGCTATGAACACCCTATCTAACCTACCTCAATGTGAGATATTAATTATATTCAAATCTCAATTAAATTTAGCATCTTCAAAATTTCATAGCAGGAAAATCATATATTTGGCCAATAATCATGCTTCTCCACACCCACCCCGACTCGTGGTTTCTGCCCTGTTGTGATTAGCTGTTAACATTTTCTCTCCACACTTCCCACCCTTCATTCTCTCACATTCCCAACTTTGCTGTTAATGTCACCTTTCAGATTATATTGAAATCTCTCTGAGGACTCACAGAAATGGGTATCCACTACAGCACTCCGCATACAACTTTGCATATAATAATATAAAGTATTGATTTTATTTGACTTTTTTGATCCTTAAAATCTCCAAAGGTAGTCTTAGAGATTTATACGTCTTATGAAGGAAATATATGACACATTATCTATGAGAGGTAAATGGGAAAAATAAATCTATGCGAAGAAAGAAAGAAATAAGACATCTTCACCTTCTTAAAAAAATAACATTTGAAGTTGCCTGTGAAAACTATTAAGGGCGTTATCGTAAGTTATTTAAAGGAATGACTTTTATTTGAGTAATCAGGAATGAGTCATAAGCTCTCACAATTCCCTGTAGGAAAATGGACCTAGAATTCTTTTTCAAAATAATCTTTTCTTACAGTAGTTGCCTTATACCCCCAAATAGGTAGGTGAGGAAAACATTCAAATGTCTTTGAGAACTCACTTCCCAAAGGAATGGTGAATATTGTAATGAAAATGTTTTAAGTGTCCTTTTTCAATTCTGAAAAAAAAATAATTTAAGCATGAAAGTTCAATATAATTTTTAATTGATGGATGTTTCCATATGAAGGACATTAAAACCAGAGCAATACCACAAACAGAAGTGTCTATGTTAAGTGGACTTTCTTTATATTATTATTATTATTATTATTATTATTATTTTATTATACTTTAAGTTTTAGGGTACATGTGCACAATGTGCAGGTTTGTTACATATGTATACATGTGCCATGCTGGTGTGCTGCACCCATTAACTCGTCATTTAGCATTAGGTATATCTCCTAATGCTATCCCTCCCCTCTCCCCGCACCCTACAACAGTCCCCAGAGTGTGATGCTCCCCTTCCTGTGTCCATGTGTTCTCATTGTTCAATTCCCACCTATGAGTGAGAACATGCGGTGTTTGGTTTTTTGTCCTTGCGATCATTTACTGAGAATGATGATTTCCAATTTCATCCATGTCCCTACAAAGGACATGAACTCATCATTTTTTATGGCTGCATAGTATTCCATGGTGTATATGTGCCACATTTTCTTAATCCAGTCTATCATTGTTGGACATTTGGATTGGTTCCAAGTCTTTGCTATTGTGAATAATGCCGCAATCAACATACGTGTGCATGTGTCTTTATAGCAGCATGATTTATAGTCCTTTGGGTGTATACCCAGTAATGGGATGGCTGGGTCAAATGGTATTTCTTGTTCTAGATCCCTGAGGAATCACCACACTGACTTCCACAGTGGTTGAACTAGTTTACAGTCCCACCAACAGTGTAAAAGTGTTCCTATTTCTCCACATCCTCTCCAGCACCTGTTGTTTCCTGACTTTTTAATGATTGCCATTCTAACTGGAGTGAGATGGTATCTCATTGTGGTTTTGATTTGCATTTCTCTGATGGCCAGTGATGATGAGCATTTTTTCATGTGTTTTTTGGCTGCATAAATGTCTTCTTTTGAGAAGTGTCTGTTCATGTCCTTCGCCCACTTTTTGATGGGGTTGTTTTTTTCTTGTAAATTTGTTTGAGTTCATTGTAGATTCTGGATATTAGCCCTTTGTCAGATGAGTAGGTTGTGAAAATTTTCTCCCATTTTGTAGGTTGCCTGTTCACTCTGATGGTAGTTTATTTTGCTGTGCAGAAGCTCTTTAGTTTAATTAGATCTCATTTGTCAATTTTGGCTTTTGTTGCCATTGCTTTTGGTGTTTTAGACATGAAGTCCTTGCCCATGCCTATGTCTTGAATGGTAATGCCTAGGTTTTCTTCTAGGATTTTTATGGTTTTAGGTCTAACATTTAAGTGGACTTTCATCTGCACCTCCCTTTACAACTAACTTTCTCTCTTCCCTCCCTCCCTGTTTTCCTCCCTCCCCGTCCCTTCCTCCTTTCCTTCCCTCCTTTCTTCCTTCTTCTCCTCCTCCCCCAGCAAGGAACTATTCAGTTCAAAAGCTCAACAATGCTGAGGTTGATAAAGTCTACTTTAAAGTACTACTAAAATTTGTAGCAGATACTACCATTCTCCCAAAAATATATTAACAAAATACATTTCCAGTTATTTTCCTGTACTATACTGCTAGCTCTACATCACTGTATTAGAAGGAGATAATGTAAGAGCATTTACTGGGACTCGCCTTTTATGGTCCAGCGACATTGCCTTCTGAGTGATACAAGCTGATCATTTTATTGATTTTCTCCTGATTCTGGGACTCTGAGAATTGTAGAATGTGCTACTGCATGTGGACAAATCACAATCAAATTTTTCAAGTTCTCAGCACCTGCAACCTTCTCATTAGATTTAAACTGTTAAATTAGACACTCATTTTTTAAAGAAGGCAACCCATGAGAATAAATGTAATAATAGAATAAATATCTCTTTAAAATAAAAACATGTAAACTAAGCTCAGTTAAAAAACAACAACCTCTTATGGGAACATTTCTTGACTCAGGCAGGGAGGTAGGTAAGGGAG
This sequence comes from Homo sapiens, assembly GCF_000001405.40. NCBI lineage: Eukaryota > Metazoa > Chordata > Mammalia > Primates > Hominidae > Homo > Homo sapiens. The sequence goes on along the minus strand of NC_000020.11, from coordinate 54,933,168 downwards.
TCAGCAAAATTAATATCAGTGTGAAAATAAATTGCTACATAGCTCCCTTTTCCCTTAGAGATTGACGAGAAAGTGCACATAACTAAGACTACAATAATATTAAAGTTTGCAAATTTAAGAGCCGGTAGCAGATGCCTCTATTTAGCAAAATAGCTTCGTGGGTCATAGGAGGGGATTGAAGAGATTGTATTCGTCAGTATTCTCCAGAGAAACAGAACCAATAAGATGTGCGCGCACGCACACCCACACACACACGATGCACACATCAGTTGGTTCATGATGCACAGCAACAGATACAATCAACAAAGTGAAGAGACAATCCACAAGACGGGAGAAAACGTTTGCAAACTATCCGTCTGACAAAAGATTCAAAACCACTATATATAAGAAGCTCAAATAATTTTATAGGAAAAAATGTAATCCGATAAAAAAAATGGGCAACAGAGCTGAATAAACATTTCTCAACAGAAGGCACACAAATGGCAAACAGGCCTATGAAAAGGTGCTAAGCGTCATTTATCATCAGAAAAATGCAAATCAAAACTACAAAGAAATATCATCTCACCCCAGTTCAAATGGCATATAACAAAAAGATAGGCACCAAGAAACGCTGGTGAGGATGTGGAGAAAAAGGAACCCTTGTACACTGTTTGTGGAGATATAAATTAGTACAACCACTATGGAGAATAGTTTGGACATTCCTCAAAAAACTAAAAAATTAGTTAAAATTTAAACTAATTTAAATGTTAATCTCACCCCCCTACCAAAAAAAAAAAAAAAAAACCTCACAAAGACCCAGTATAAAGCTTGCTTAACTATCTGGGCACCTCATGGCCTAGTTAAGTTGACATGTAAAATGTGATCCAGCAATCCCACTGCTGGGTATGTACCCAAAAGAAAGGAAATCAATTTATTGAAGAGACACCTGCACTCCCATGTTTACTGCAGCACTATTCACAGCAGCCAAGATTTGGAAGCAACATACGTATTCCTCAACAGAAGAATAGATAAAGAAAATGGAGTCCATATACACAATGGAGTACTATTTAGCAATAAAAAAGAATGAGATTCTGTTATTTGCAACAACATGGATGGTGGTTATTTTGTTAAGTGAAATAAGCTAGCCACAGAAAGACAAACTTCACATGGTCTCACTTATTTGTGGGTGCTAAAAAAATTAAAACAATGGAACCCATGGAGATAGAGAACAGAATGATAGTTAACAGATGCTGGGAAGGGTAGTCGGGGGAAGTAGGAATGGTTAATAGGTACAAAAATATATTTAGAGAAAATGAATAAGATCTAGTATTTGATAGCACAACAGTGAACTACAGTCAATAATACTGTTCATTTAAAAATAATTAAAAGAGTATAATTGATTGTTCTTATCACAAAGAAAGAATAAGTGGTTGAGGTGATGGATACCCCATTTACTCTGATGTGATTATTATACATTGTATGCCTGTATCAAAATATGTTATGTATCCCATAAATATATACACCTCCTGTATCCACACAATTTACAAAATAAAAGAATTGGCTCATGGGATTATGGAGGCTGGTAATGGTGCAAGAGACCCAGGGAGAGACAATGCAGCAGATGAAGTCTTATTAGTCAGCTCAGGATGCTATAATGAAATACTGTAAACTGCATGGCGATGGCTTAAACAAACTTTTATTTCTGATAGTTCTAGAGGCTGGGAATTCCAAGACAAAGCACTGGCAGATTCAGTGTCTAGTGAGGGCCCAACTCCTGGTTCATAGACAACAGTCTTCTAGTGGTGCCCTCACAAGGTGGAGAGAGGAAGCAAGCTCTCTTGGTACTCTAACGGGACACTAATCCCATTCATGATGGCTCCAGCCTGGTGATCTCATATAATCCTAGTAACCTCCCTAATTCCTTCTTCCTAATACCATCATATTAGAGTTTTAATATATGAATGCTGGAGAGTTCAAGCATTGGGTTTATAACAAATCACAAAGCAGTCAGCTGGAAAAATCTATTTTACCCGGGAGAGGATTGGTCTCTGTTCTACTCAGACCTTCAAGTGATTGGACGAGTCCCACCCACATTATGGAGCACAATCAACTTTACTGTACTGACTTAAATGTTAATCTAACTCATTGTTAAAATCTACTAATTTAAATGTTAGTCTCACCCCCCAAACACTCACAAAGACCCAGAATAAAGCTTGACTAACTATCTGGGCACTTCATGACCTAGTTAAATTGACATGTAAAATTTGCCATTCTAGAGACCTTCTTTCTATAATGGACTGGTCTGAAAAGGTAGAGATGTGAGAACTACTGTGCAAGGAGAATTCTGAATTTTTTGTCAGCTGATGGCTGTGTTTGGAGAGAAAGAGTCTTATGAAGGGGACCCAAACAGAAAATAGAATGCGGGTCACATGTTGTCCACACAGGGAGGCTGGGGAAAAGTTGATCAGGGAGAAATTGGTGATGGTGAAAGAGGCTGAATTATCTTCAGTGAACAAGGTTGTATAATACTCAATTTTATGCTATGCTTCAAAGTAATCTTCCATTAACCACAAATCACAAAGAAATGCCTACTTAACACAGATATTTACAATCATGTTTTGGGGAAAATTTTTTAAAAAAAGGTTGGTCTTCTCCTTTTGGGTCAGATGATCCAGAGAAAGAGAATAATATATTAGAATTGGAATGAGATTGAGAATTCAGTGAAAGTACAGAATAAAAGTAAGTGTCGACTGGAGCGTCCAGAGACAATGAGAAGGAGATTTTGGAAACATAGTCATTATAATTACACTGTTACATACAAATGGGAACGATGATCTCAAATGATTGGACATCTAGGGAAAATTGAATGCTGGCCAGTCACCCCTGTAATCCCAGCACTTTGGGAGGCCGAGGCAGGCAGATCATGAGGTGAGTAGATCGAGACCACGGTGAAACTCCGTCTCTACTAAAAATGCAAAAAATTAGCCGGCCACGGTGGCAGGTGCCTGTAGTCCCAGCTACTCGGGAGGCTGAGGCAGGAGAATGGTGTGAACCTGGGAGGCGGAGCTTGCAGTGAGCCGAGATTGCGCCACTGCACTCCAGCCTGGGCAACAGAGCAAGACCCCATCTCAAATAAACAAAACAAAACAAAACAAAACAAAACAAAACAAAATTGAATGCTAACACTGGATTACATGTAGCTCTGTAGAGACAGATGAGATGCTTCAAATTAAATAATTTTAATCTGCAAGACAAAATCTGTAATTAAAAATCTTTTATTTAATAATATTTACTTTGATATGTTACAAAAATATTCATGGGCTTTGTAATAACTATTAAATATACTTTGATTAATGTTTTGGATTATTTGATTATTGATATGGTCATCTCCCCAAATCCTAAAATACTGGAAAATTATAACAAAAAATAATAAATGGTTAAAAGCTACATGATTGTAGTCTATAAATTTGCAAGTCAGTGCTAAGACTTAACAATAATATAGATGGTTTAAATTATTTCTTGGAAATAGACTAAAGATAAATCCTCTTTAGAACTAACTAAAATATTTCTTTTTATTGTCTAATCTGTTTTTCTTTGTTTTTTTAATTTAATTTTCGGTGATCATTATGTTAAATAAAATAAGCCAGACACATAAAGGCAAACATCACTTGTTCTCACTTATTTGTTGGACCTGAAAATCAAAATAATTGAACTCATGGAAATAGAGAGTAGAAAGATGGTTACCAGAGGCTGGGAAGGGTAGCTAGGGTTGGGGGGAGGTAGGGATGGTTAATGGACTTATAATCGCTTTAAAAGTCTGTTCCTTCACAATGCTTAATGCCACATGTGATAGTAATTGAATTAGCTAAAAAATTAGAGTGCCTAGCACTCTTACAAATGCAACACAACATACATATAATGCTTGCGTATGTATGTATGTATATGTCTATACACGCATATAAATTGATTTCTAAAGTCAGGTTGTATTCATAAGCAGTGAGAAAGTAAGTAAAATCATGTCAAATAGTTCATATCACAGCATCCTATTATCTTATTATTAGACATGAGTTGTTACAGTAAATATATAAATATAATGGATAATGTCACCTCAATATATATATATTAAAATATATATTATTATGTGTCTGTATGTGTATGTATACAGTTAAATCACATTTAACTCAAATATGAATTATGTAAATTTGAAATATTGTGATATTAAAATATTAATGAATCTCAACTTAGGCTCAAAATTTTAAATAATGTGAATATCTCAAGAAACCATCAGCACTATCATCTTAGAGCTGGTTGAATGAGTTGCAAATCTAGCTTTTATGCTTGCTTCATGGTTATCCAACTCTCTAGCTGGTAAACAGAAATGAGTGCCAAACTTTGGACAGATTATATGGACATAATGTTTTTAAAATAAATTCCTATAAATGAATTCGTGACTCTTTTGATATCACTTAATATAGACTGTTATAATTTAAACTCTTTTCAGATCTCATAATGATGCATTCCAAGTATCCAATAAGGAATGTTTGTTTTGTGCTAACACTAGAAACCATACCTGAAAATAAATGATATTTGTTGTGATAACTTGGCACAACAAATTTGATTTTAAATTGTGATTCTAAATAATCAGAATGATATGCCATGCTGTTATATAATTCACAGCTTCTCAGAGGTCTGAAAAAAACTCAATAAATAAAATCAAGAAAAAATTTTTAAAACTTTTTAAAAAAAATAAGTGATATGCTGTGCTATGATCTTAAAGAATGTTATGTAAAATATTAACAATCATATTGTAAAAATTTAAAGCAACAATGACAAATCATATGCTGCAATGGTTGCAGAATTATATGATCTGAAAATATACTCCCACACACTTTACTTTTATTCTTAGTGCAAAAATAATCTTGAATTGTGTGATTTGGGGATCACGAAAGGTCTTTAGGAAAACATTTCTCATTAAATGTCATTGTACTACATTAGCTAACAGAATGTGATTAACTTCTTTTAAAAATCTACATGCCTATGAGTAACAATTACAAGTTTAGCTTTCACCACTTCCATTTTTATCTAAACTTCAACTTTTTTAAAAGATGCCCATGTAAAATTATTTTTAAAAAATTAGCAACTAATTGGCCATAAATCATGAATTAGTAAGTTACGATACATCTGACCAATAGAATAATATGCAGCAATTGAGGAAATTGATATAGGTTAATATATATCAAGTGAATAAAAATGTATAACAATGCAAAAATTAATCAATCCAACAAAAGGTATGCCAATCTAAAGAGCAGCACTTGGGTGAGTAGGAGGGGTAAGGCAGCATGATGGAGAAACTTGCATTTTCCTGTGTAATATGTTATTTAAATTAATGTACTCATAATAAAAATAATACAGGTAATATCACCAAAAAAATCTCATAATTTACTTATAAGTAAACTTGCATATTTTTTAAAACTGGCTTCTAACTTCTAGTTACACATAAGTGAATTAAATGTAGGCATTTATTTCTGCTCTCCAAAAACCCCACTAAAACAGCAGTAAAGTCATTTCAAAAGGCATACACTTATAAAAACAAGAAGAAATAAAAGAAGAGCAAAAGAAATACGTTAATCAAATTTGGAAAGTAGAAAGCTGGTGAGCAAGTGGCAACAACATATCCAACCTAAGAGTACTGAAAGTTAAGAATCTATGATGAAAGGATACCTGGTGTCTCTATAAGCAAGGTGTGTGGGTAGGGCTAAATACAAAAAGATTGGTCAAAATTTATTGAAGAACCAATTAAATATCTTAGTGTTTTTTCTTATCTCCTCACAAAAACGTTATTAGATATAAATTTTCAGGTTAAAGTTTATATGAAGAAATATGAGTATAAGCATATTATTTAGGAATGTTGAAGTAAACATAGGAAGGAAAAAAAAGCTTGAAAAGCTGAATATGGCTGGGCAATTACACATCTGTAATCCCAGCACTTTGGGAGGCCAAGGTGGGAGGATGACTTGAGGCCAGGAGTTTGAGACTGCCCTGAGCAACATAGCGAGACCTCCACCACTAGGAAAAAAAAAATAGCTGGGCATGATTGTATACACCCATAGTCTCAGCTACTTATGAGGCTGAGGTGGGAATATGGCATGAGCCCAGGAGGTTGTGGTTATAGTGAATTGAGATTCTACTACTGCACTTCTCAGTGAGACCCTGTTTCAAAAAAAAAAAAAAAGAAAAGAAAAACTGAATATGACTTTTTCCTGGAGAGCGGGTATAAAGAATGGAGCAGGGAGGCAGACTGCTGTTTCATGTTACTTAAAAGAAAAATTTTGGCTTTTGTTACTTTTAAGATATTTGCATGCATTACTACTTATTTTTAAAAACTACCTACATACATACATATGACTATTTCGAATCCATAATTAGGTAAAAATAAAAAACTATATACATAAATTATATTCACAAATATAAAATTTAAAGCAAAAAATTTCAATTCTTATTTAAGTCGAGTAAATTTCAACATATTATGCACGCTGGTTTTCAGATTAACCATGATAAAAAAAATGTCTTTCCTTTTCTTTCTTTTTTTTTTTTTTTTTAAAGACGGAGTCTCGTTCTGCTGCCCAGGCTGAAGTGCAGTGTTGTGATCTCAGCTCAGTGCAAGCTCCGCCTCTGGGGTTCATGCCATTCTCCTTCTTCAGCCTCCCGAGTAGCTGGGACTACAGGCACCTGCCACCACATCTGGATAATTTTTTGTATTTTTAGTAGAGATGGGGTTTCACTGTGTTATTCAGGATAGTCTCGATCTCCTGATCTCATGATCCACCCGCCTCGGCCTCCCAAAGTGCTGAGATTACAGGCACGAGCCACCGCGCCCAGCCAGAAAAATGTCTTTCTATAACCAACATTAGATGCACAAAATGAAATAAATATGTATTCAAAGAGTTCTTATATTAAAAATTTTGAAACCACTGTACATGTATACTGGGAACTGAACAATTAGGTAAATGGATGGTGGATGGTGGGAGCTAGCTTCCTCATGGTTGGAGTAGAATATACAGATAGGCAATGGAAAGAAACAAGACTGATCCACGTGGTAATGGATAACAGTTGAAGACATCAGTATGAACTTATGCTTAGTTTAATATTTATACACAGAGGCTTACATATAGAAATATATATATTTACAGCTTAGTATACAAATATATATTTCTTTGCTCAGTCAGCTGAGATCATTTAAAATAAATGACATCCCAGTAGTAATGAGCACAACTAGAAGCCAGATATTGGTTTCTAACGCCATGCCTGAAAACGAAAGCCAAGTTTCCTCAAATAAATGGCTGGTAATAGTACAACGACAATTAACATACAACATGAAGCTCATGCAGTACCAGGAAGTAACAAAGTGCTACACACACACACACACACACACACACACACACACACACAGATGGAGACGTGTCAAAGGGACACAGTGGCTAACTAGAAGAGCTGCCAAAGGCAAACCTGGAAGAATGAATTACAGCAGTATAGTAAATAAGTCATATTGGATTATAGCCCAAAGTATAAAGTATATGTCTGTGAATCCACACTGATGTGGACTGTTGAGTAAATGACTACCTCAATGAATGCATGAATAAACAAACAAATACACAGGAGAGAAGAGGTAAATCTTCTGTGCAGAAGAATTCCAAATAATTGATGGAGAAACCCTGCCCTCAGTGAGGTGGAGCATAACGTCCTACTAATTAAGAATGAGCTGAGCATGGTGACTTTCTTCCAATGAGTACAATATGGAAAGGAAGAAAGGAGAATAACTGTAAAGTGGAGAAACCTGAGAAGCATTCGCTCAGCCAGGTGATCAGATTTAACATCAACAATCATGAGTCATGTTGGTGATCTGTACCCTGGATATGATGAGAATGACAATTTACTTCTTCCTCCCCCAAATCTAAAACTCCAGTATAAACTATGAGGAAAACCTCATGCCAATCTAAATGGAGGGGGTATTCTACCAAATACCATAGTCATGTACCTCAAAACTCTCAATGTCATCAAAAGCATAGAAAATCTGAGAATGTATCTCAGCCAAGAGGATCCTGGGGAGACAGAATGACCAAACGCAATGTAGTACCTTGAATAGGATTCTGGAACAGAAAAAGGATATAAGGTAAAAACTAAGACAATAAGAATGAAATATGGACTGTAATTAATAAAATATTAACAATATTGGTTTACTAGTTTTGACAATAACTTCACAATAGTGTGCACATTACTGTACAATGTTAATCAGGGAAACTGTACTTGGCATATACAGGAACTCTCTGTGCTATCTTCACAGTATTTCCCATAAGTCTAAAATTAAATCTAAAATAAATGGTTTATGAAAATATATAGTTTTAATAAACCCACCACAGTGGCTCTTTACTCTCTAATTACCCCCATGATGTGACTGATGTTCCAGATAAGTGAAGAGTACCATGTCAAAAACATTTACTTCCCCATAACATAGAACTTGGATAAAGCTCTCTTTCCCTGATGATGGTACCTATATTTACACCCATAAAAAACGTTTCATAATTATACAAATTTAAAATACTCAGAGAATGGTCAATAGAGGAATTTCTCATAATTAGCCAAACCCAGAACACCCAAAGTATGGTTAATTTTCAAAAGAAAATCATTCTTCTACACATTTGAAAACTCCTGTAAACATATTCTGAAAAAAAAGGTTATTGACTGTATAAACTAATAATTAACTCTGATATAAAGCAAGTCCAAATTTTAATTCTTTGATTTTATCATTTATACTAAGTAATTTCAAATTTGGTTTAAAATGTGCCATTGGTAGCATTTTAAAAAATAAAGGTGCAAATATTCGGTATCTTGTAGTATCATTACAGCTGTGAAAGAGAGGAAAGCCACACAAAGGGGAACATTGTCAAAGTCAATATTCAGCATTACTAATTCCTGAAAGGGTGAGATGCTCTCATTCAAGGTGTAAATCAGCATATTAAATGTAGCACAAGGCTAGGGTGTCATTGATAATCTCCATGTTGCAAAGCCCAGAGTCACTATTCTTTCTCCATCAAACTCAACTTTGCAACTGCATGCCAGGTAATTAGTATTTCTTCCCTTTTCCCTCTTCATACCCTTCTTGGTGATGCCAAACTTGGCCTGTCACCATTTACCATGCTGGCTTCACTTTTGTAAATTCCTTTGCTGGCTTCTCCTCCTATGCCCAAGGCTTAATTCTAGGGTTTTTAATCATCTTTGTATGCCCAGGGCTTAATTCTAGGGTTTTTAATCATCTTTGCTCTTCAGTCTCTTCTCATCCAATTTCATGACTTTACCCCATATGGATGACTCTCTAATCAATAGCCTAAGCTCTCACCTGTCTCTATTGCATCCACACTTTCTTATTCAACCATGTGCTCAACAATCTCACTTGGAAGTCTAGTAGGCATGCCAACTTTCATATAGCCAAAAATGAGGTGAAAAGTTGAGTGAAGACCCATTTCAAAATGTCTTTTTGTATCCCAGTAAAGCTAGCATCATCATTCTGTTGTTCCAACCAAAAACCTAAAAGTTATTCTTCTCTTTCACCCCCATATCTGATTTGTCAACAATGCCAGCCCATTCTACCTCCAATCACATATACCCCAAATCTGCTCAGTTATCTCCAGCTCAATGACACCAGCCTAGTCACTGACATACTCCTCTTGCATGACTGCAGTCATCTCCTGTTTGCCTCCCTGCCTGCACACTTGTCAACTGTGTCTGCATTTTCTATATTCTAAGATGTACATTTTTTTCACATGTAACACTTCTGAAATTGGAATGCATTTTACAATCAGTTGATGATACTTTAATATTGCACTAGTTCTTTTTTTCCTTTCAAATTTTAACATCTCAAAAACAAGAGTGGCTATTATAATCAATTGTATCTTAATTTTGATGAAATATATGGTGTATATATCCTCCACACCAATGTAAGAATAAAACATTTAAAATGAAAATCAGATTGTGTCTCTCTCCTACCAAAACTGCTCCAATGGCTTCCCACTGCTCTGAGAATAAATAAGAAAATAAAACAAAATATAACCTCCTTAACATGCCCTATGAGGCCCTTTGTTATCTGACCTCTGCATAGTTCCCTGACTTTATGATACTTCCACACACCCAAAGAGTCTTCATGGCTCAGCCACATTGGCCTTCATTCAGTTATCTTGTGGGATCACATTGGCCTCCATTCATTCATGGAAACTGCCAAGCCCCTTCCGACCTTGGGGAGTGCCTTTCTTTGCTCTTTTATCATTTTAAATCTGGTTCTTCATGTCAGCCATGTCCTAATGCACGTGTGGCCTTCTTGGCCACGTGTTAAGTGTAGCCACTTTTCATCATTCTTCTGGCAAGTGTTGTTTTCTGCACAATACCTAATACTCCATAAATTATTTACTTACTTATTCATTTGTGTATTGACTTTCTTCTCCATGAGGCGGTAACTACATGATGAAGGGGAAATTTTCTGTTGCATTGCCTGATCCAACATGCCTAGAACTATGTCTGGCCAATAGATGAAACTAATAATGCTTGTTGACTCATTTATAAATAAAATAGATAACTTTCTTGAATCCTTGGAAGCAAGCCTGTAAAAAAATTTATCTTTGGAAGACAGCATGTTGTGTTGAAAAGGAGAGCTAAGAAATGTGGCTTCAAGGTTTATCACTGCCAATCACAAGTTGTGTGATATGTGCAAGTAACTGGATCATCTAAGTCTCCACTTTCTCATGCATTAGTTGGGGAATTGTGTTATTTAATATATCTCCCAGTTGAGCTAACAGGAGAATAAAATGAGATGGTGTGTATACAAATTCACTGACGTCATTCACAAAGCACATTTCATGTTATCACACTATCAGTCTCCATTGAATGTCATATCCATTGTTATATGGAACTTTATCTCCACCATGTCAGTATTCAGCAGACAAATATAAACTCAAAGTGCACCCAGTGACCAGACTTCAGTTTTTAGTACCATTCTCTAATAAAAGGAATGAAGATTCCTCAGAGAAATGGCTGATTCTAGGGCTGGGGCAGGGAAAGTTCAAGGCGAACCAGCAGCCTCTTACAGTGCCGTACGTTAAGAAAGGGCTCAAAAAAACACAAAACGATGGGGGCATATCATCAAAAGGTCACAGGAGCCAGCTGAAAGAGCTCCCAATGGCCAAAGCTGGAACTACTTGAGCAATACAATAAACAATATAGTATTGATTATAAGCCAAAGTATAAAATAAAAATGCATAATCCATACTAATATAAATGAGTGAATAAATGAGGAAAAAGAGACAAATTATTTTACTGAAGAATTATAAATAATATGTATAGTTATCTTCCCTGTAGGAAATAGAGCTTTATGCCCTCCCTGAACCACACACGACTGAGTACGAACTAAACTCAGTGACCCACTTCCAAAGAGGGAAAAGAGAAAACAAAGCAACTTTAGAAACCTGAAAACACCACCTTGCCAGGTAGGTCATCAAGGTGAATATCTCGACAATCTTACGTGAATGCCACATATCCTTTCATATGATGGGACAAGAACAGCTTTGCACGAAGGACTTTGCACAAGGGGCTTTTGGGTGTCTTTTTCCAAAACTCTAATCACGAGAAACATCAGAAAATTCTAAATTGAGAGACAGCTCACTAGATAACTCACCAGTCATCCTGAAAACTGTACAGGTCTTAAAAAAAACAAGGGAAATGTGAGAAAGTGTGGCATAGACCAGAGGAGACTAAGGAGACATGTTGACTAAACACAATCTGGGAAACACGTGAGAGGAAAAGCTGGTGACATCCAAATAAAGTCCGGAGTTTGGTTAATGGTAACGGACCAATGTCCATTTCTTAGTTTTGACAAATGGACCATGATCTGTGAGAGGATAACAATGGGGGGAGGGGGGAATTAACAAGCTCTATGTGAGTATTTTAAAATAAATAACATTTCTAGAAAATGCCAGTCACTGGGCTCGGTAATTGACATCCAAAAAAGAGACTTCCCTCCCTCACCAAACTCCTATATCACGAGGGTTGGCACTGTGCTTAGCTAAAAGCCTGTCTTTCCCATTCTCCCTTGTGGCTCCTAGCCGTCTCTCATAAGTCATGGCCACGCAGCAAGATGTGAGCCCACATTATTTGGAGGAACTTCCAGGAAGTTTTGCAAATGAGGGACAGAGAGCTGGGGAAAGCCACTTTTTAGACTTTTTCTTCTTCCTCTTTGTAGCTGCCTGGGATGTGGATAAAAAGGCTAAAGTTTCAGGAGCCATTGTGCATCATACAGTGACCCTAGAAAAGGAAGAGTGATGCTGAGAATAGAACAGCAGAAAGATAGAAGGAAGCTGCATCACATAGAACTGTGCCGGGCTGCCACGCCAGCTCTTAGCTGGCAGGCTCAGTCTTGCTGTAACACGTGGGTAATAAGGAGTCTGACTCTATGTTTTGATGTCTGACTGCTGACAGCTTTGAAGCCCCATCCTTCCTACTTTGCTCCTGCCTATATCTTCACCGTCTGATAGGAAAGCCTCAGTCCTCCCACTTTCAGCCTCTGCCTGGAGATGCAAACCATGCAAGCCTGTGTCTGTGTAGGAACCTTCACTCTGGCCCCACCCTGAGCCAGAAGAGAAACCCAGGCCAGTCGCTATCCTGGCTCTCAAGCCATTTCCAGCCTGCTTGAGAGGCCTGCCCTGCTCTCCTAGAGACCTCAGTTATATAAGAAATTAGCCTTTCCACACCCTTTGTTTAGCTTTATTAAAATATTCTTGACAAATAAAAATTTTGTATACTTAAGGCACACAATGTGATGTTTTGATACAAGCGTTCATGGTGGAATGGTTACTATTATCAAGCCCATTAACATATTCATCACTTATCAAAGTTAATTGTTTTGTGCTAAGAATACTTAAGATCCCCACTCATTTCATAAATACAGCTATAATCACCATGATATTCGTTTGATCTCCAGAACTTTTTCATCCTGCGTTACTGAACCTCTGTACCCTTTGTCAACATCTTCCTTTTCTCCTCCCTTTGCCGCAGGCAACTATCATTCTACTCTCCGCTTCTGTGAGTTTGCCTTTTTTAGTTTCCCAGATAAGTGAAATCAAACCACATTTGTCTTCCTGTGCCTGGCTTATTTCACCTATGTCCAAACCCGCCTGCTGTGTGTGTGGCATCATTAGCCTCAAAATCTGAACCAAACTTTGGGTGGGGCTCCATCTACCTCTGCTGGTGACCACAATAATGTATTTTTCAGCCACTTGGCATTTTGGGTTTCGAAGATAAGTAACTTGTGTATCTCCTGATACGCACCAGACATGCACATTACCTCATTTTATTATGAAGAAAACAACAGTGAAGTAAATACTTATGGCAGACAGAATTCTAAGATTCACTACATATTCTCTGCTCCATGATAATCCCTTCTCCCTTACTGTGGACCAAACCTGCAACTTGCTTCTAAACAACAGAATATGGCAAAAGTGAAGGAATCTTAACAGATGTAAAGTCCTGAATCAGTTGACTTGTTATTGAAAAGGGAGAATACCAGGAAGCTAAGTTTGTTTGTTAGTCTGGAGGTTTAGACAGTGGAGAACCTTCCCTCCTGGTTTTGTTTTTTTTTGTTGTTGTTTTTTTTTTGAGATGGAGTCTCGCTCTGTCACCCAGGCTGGAGTGCAGTGGCACGATCTCGGCTCACTGCAAGCTCCGCCTCCTGGGTTCACGCCATTCTCCTGCCTCAGCCTCCGGAGTAGCTGGGACGACAGGTGCCCGCCACCATGCCCGGCTAATTTTTTTTTGTATTTTTTTAGTAGTGACGGGGTTTCACTGTGTTAGCCAGGATGGTCGCGATCTCCTGACTTCGTGATCCGCCTGCCTCGGCCTCCCAAAGTGCCGGGATTACAGGCGTGAGCCACCGCGCCCGGCCCCTCCTGGTTTTAAAGATGTGAGTTGCCTTGTGGCTAGAGGGATCATGAGAGAACCACATGGCCAAGACCGCGGGGGCCTTCAGGAGCCATTTGCAGGCCCCAGCTGACAGCCAGCCATCAAGTGGGGGCCTCAGGCATACAACCAAAAAGAAACAAATTCTGCCAACAATCGTGTGACCTGGGAAGAGGACCTCAAGCTCCAGATAGAAGCCGGCTCAATTGTCACCTGCATTTCAGCCTTTTGGGAGCTTGAGGAGAGGACCAAGTTTACCAGATGTACCCAGAATTCTGACCCACTGACACTGTGAGATAATAAATGTTGTTGGTTAATAACCACTAAGTTTGTGGTTATTAGTTATGCAGAATAAAAAACTTAAGCAATACTAATATTATTTTCATTTGAGATATAGCAAAACCAGGAATTAATGGAGAACTTTGTAATGTCCTTATGAACACTAATGTTAGGAGAAAGTGCTGGGATTTTGAAATTGCCTTTGAAAAAATTATAACAGTGATCATTTGAAAAATTATAACAGTAAGAAAGATCTGACCTAACCGACTCTTTGCTTCTAACCTCCAAGCTGCCCTTGTTCTAACTTTGGAAGGAACTCAGTTTGTATTTTGACTTTGAAACAAAGATGATAACAGCTTTTTCCCAAAACAAACCTCCTTCCTGCCTGGGAACCAGACTGCCTTTATAGGACTAACAAATTAGGCACAAGATCTGCAAGTTCCCTAATTACTCCTGCAGATAACATCACTGTTGCAGAACCTAAGATTAGCCTTTTGAGATATCTTTTCAGGATTTTGCATTTCTGATCATGAATGGCTCCACTCCAGACTTGCTCACTGGTCCTGTGGCCCCCACCCAGGAACCCAGTCAGTGCAAGATGACAGCTTTGACTTCCTATGATTTCATCTCCAACCTGACCAATCAGCAATCTTTACTCCCTCTGCCCCTACCTGCCAATCTATCCTTTCAAAATCGTAGTCTCCAAATTTTCGAGGAGACTGATTTCAGTAACATAACTCTGGTATCCTATTGAGCTACCTCCACATGAATTGAATTCTTTCTCTATTGTAATTCCCCTGTCTTGATAAATCGGCTCTATCTGAGCAGCAGGCAAAATGAACCTGTTGGACGGTTACAATTGGAACCCAGGGATGTCTTACTTCAAGTCCATCCTGTTTAGCACTGTGTTATTCTACCTTTCTGATTTGCATATCAGTAAATTCTGAGATCTTCTGGAAAATAAACCAAGTCTTATTCAACTTTGTATTGTCTATGACACTCACACTGTGCTGGATTTTTAGTAGATGTTCGCTAAATTCAATGCACAGTTTTAGAAATATGGAGCATCACAGACAAGCAGGCTAATTTCCAATAGCCCAATAGTCAAATCTCATTCATCTTATCAGGACCTCTCAGAAAAGTTTTCAGAGACAGATTTGTTAAGGTTAAGCACTTTTTATCTGTTCTTAAAGTGGGCGGATATTTTACATGCAAAATTAGACTATGACATGAAATTTTCACAAAGCTTTTCATTTTTGCTTAGCTCTGTTGCCTGACTGCACAATCTGAAATTAGATTTGTTCCTTTTGTGTGCATCCCAGGCTGTCATTTCCATGACAATTATTCACTGTTTCATTTTGAAGATCCATCTATTCTATCTCATTGAGAGTTGGTTCTATTTCCATTTCTACTGTTCTGAGCAACATCATTTGAAAATAACCACAAATTTGAATATTCAAGGTAGACAAGGGAATATGGTCCTACATTATACCTCTTCTTATTAAATAAATGCCATGTTGGTAGCTGATAACATTTGAATATTTGTTCCCTCCAAATCTCATGTTGAAAAAGCAATCCTCAGTGTTGGAGATGGGGCCTAGTGGGAGATGTTTGTGTAGTGGGGGTGGAGCCCTCATGAATGGCTTGGTGCCTTCCTTGTAGTAATAAGTGAGTTCTCATTGTATTCATTTCCAGGAGATAAGATTGTTAAAAACAGCCTGGCATCTCCTCTCCTCTCTCTTGTGCCCTTGCTCACCATGTAACACACCTGCTCCCCCTTCTTCTTCCTGTATGATTGAAAGCTTCCTGAAGCCCTCACCAGAAGCAGATGCTAGAGCCATGCTTCTTGTCTGCAGAAGGCAAATAAACCTCTTTTCTTTAAAAATTACCTAGATTCAGGTATTCCTTTATTGCAATGCAAATGGAATAATACAATAGCATATAGACTAACCAGAAAATATGAGGCCATAATCTGATCTATTTTTGTGGATAATTCTGACCAATGTATCTCCCTGCCTTACCTCAACTCCTCATAAAATAGCACCTGGGCTATTGCAACTACCTCTTCCTCCCTGACATTCCATAGTTATTCTACTCTGTCTGCTATGTGGTTTACACTGTCACCACAAAATCACTTAAAATGCAGACCTAATGTATTTCACGAATCACCTAGGAGTTGCATGAGATCAAGTACAGCCATCTCTAGGTTTGCTAACAATTATACCCTGGGCACCAAGCACCATGCCTGGTATGAAATTGGTAGCTAAATAATATCTACTAAATAAATAACTGAATGTATACATGAAAATTACTCTTAAAACCCCTCAGCAATTTCTATTTATGCTTAAATCAGGCATCATTTTCATTCTGGAATCTTATCAAATGCCAAATATTTTTATTGGCATATATATTTTATTTCCTATTATTAGTTGTGGATGATTGGATAGATGGATGGATGGATTAATGAATGAATGGTGGATGGATTTGGGGCAGAAGCTTTTGCTCCTTTAATACAAACTCATCGAGAACAATGACTAAATTATGAAAAAAATGAAAAAGTTCAACTCTTTCCTTCACTCTGCATGGACATTTGCAGCTTAGAGATCATAATTATCCTCATTTTTTAGCCCCAAATCACTGTCATGGTGAGTCATTTTTACACAATAAACACACAACTCCCGTGCGCTGTCACAGCCTGACTAGATGATAATAGGATGATTCTAATGATGAAGATTACACTATTACTTATCAACGTCTTAGATCTCTTTGAAAAAATCTTTGCAAATATCATCTCACTGAAATTCTCACAAAAGCACTACAAAGTGTCGGTAATTATGCCCATTTAGGAGATGCAGAAATCAAATCTAAGAGAAGTTTCATCATTGGCTCAAGTTTATATAGCTAATTACCTAGATGCCAGAGCAGAGGCAAGATCTTAAACCAATCTCTGCTGCAGCTCTCAGTTCTTTCCATAATGCTATCAAGCCCTGATAAATCAGACAATGTATAAAGAAAATGGCGGTCTACAAGATAAAACACATGTACTAATAATATATGCTTCAGCAATGTTTTTCTTCTACAAATCCAAGGATTTTCACATCTCTGTGTCATTATGATTGCTACCTTTCCTCACACCTGGACCCATTTGCTTCATGCCTGGTTATTACATGTTGGTGGCATTCCATGTCAGAAACTGGCCTCTGACCTGCTCTCTCATCCTCATGTCAGAAGGGAAAAGGTCATGTCTTAGTATTTGTTATAAATAAAAAGCAGCATAATGTATCAATGATAGCTTGGGTTCTGAAGTCAGATTCCTGGGGTAAAATCTCAAGAATCTGCTAACTTAGTCATTTTATCACCCTGAACTTTGTGTTTTCTTATCTTTAGAAGAGAACAGTAACCATACCCAAAGCAATAAGTTATTATGAGGATTAAATATACTGATACATATGAAGTGACAGAAGGATTCAATCAAGGTGAACTACTTTTATTTTTACAGACAGACGACCTCACTGATAGTATTTCTGTGAAGTTCTACTTTGTTTTTCTTTTAAGCCATTTGCATAAAGTGATACATTTGTCAACAATATTCATTTGACATCTTCTTGGCTACAGATGAAAGAAGATGGAGTTAGACAATTACCTGTGACAGCAAGCTCTTCTGTTGACAGATCCTCAGATTTATTGCTCATTTCAGGCCATGTGTGCCCTGGTAACCATCTCCTTTTCCAATGCCATGCGCCCAGAATTAAAGCAATGAACATGATAAACAGAAGCTCAGCTTGTTTTTATAATGACAGAAAGATCCAAATGAGCCTTTGTCTCTTATTAAAATCAGCAGATTTTGCCCTAGAGTATTAAAAGTTTTAATCCAACATTCTGCTTGCCTGCAGGCAAGGCATTCTGTTAGGTAAAATAAAAACACAACATTTCAAGCTCTGCTCAGAATGTGATAAATCAAGATTTTAAACAAAAATGACAAATGTTGTTTCTTTTCATAAAAGTAATTTTGAAGCCCAACTCTGTAATTGCCTCTAGATATCTTATTTCTTCATGTACACTTTCTAAGAAACCTCAGAATGTGTGTCTCATTACTAATAAATTTTAAAGACAAGCTCAGTTATCCCCTAAAATACAGACTCATCTATTTCTGGTGAAGGACTGTATGAGCTTGATGATTTACTATTTACTAAAATCACAGTGGAGAAAATTCAACTTGTTTACTCTCAATTAAAATTAACCGAATACACCTTAAAATCTTTTCTTTAAAGTTCTTTCTTGAAAATGCAAAATCTCCCAAATTGTTGGTCAGCTGAGAAATCTAAGGCATAGCATCAAGATGAGACTGCTGGCGTTCAAATGCAAGCTGAGTAACACAGCAAGAGTCTCCATCTCCCTCTGGAATACATCATATATTCACCTTCAATGATGGACATTTCTGAAGACTTGGGAATTGATCTAAAAACAATAACGGATCCACCTGGTATGTGTCTAACGGGAGAAAACGGGAAAAAGTCCAGTCTCCCCACGTTTAAGACAACCCTTAGTGGTCCCTCCCTTCCTCTACCATGGGAGAGTCATGTTTGACTCCTCCCAATAATAAGCAGCAGTGCTTGCATCCAGCATCAGGCAGACTTGTCCTTACATGTGGATGCTTTAAGAATCATTTCTGGCCGGGCGCGGTGGCTCACGCCTGTAATCCCAGCACTTTGGGGGGCCGAGGTGGGCGGATCACGAGGTCAGAAGATCGAGACCATCCTGGCTAACACGGTGAATCCACGCCTCTACTAAAAGTACAAAAAAATTAGCCGGCTGTGGTGGCGGGAGCCTGTCGTCCCAGCTACCCGGGAGGCTGAGACGGGAGAATGGCGTGAACCCGGGAGGTGGAGCTTGCAGTGAGTCGAGATTGCGCCACTGCACTCCAGCCTGGGCGACAGAGCGAGACTCCATCTCAAAAAAAAAAAGAATCATTTCTGCAACGTAATTAAAAGACTAATCTAAAACATGAATTAATAAAGCAAATAAAGTGTCAGCATCAGAAGACTGTCTTTTCCATGTTAACATCAACATGGGTAAGACTCTTTTGCCCAAGACAATCATATTATGGGACCATTGATGAGCCATGAAGTTCTTCAGACTTTATACATTGTGTTCACTCAAAATTTACCAGAGTTTTGCTAATTCCAGTTGTATATCTATATCCCTAACACACCCATAACTTTTGGAAACTAAGCTAATAAAAGTTTATTAAAGAATATTTTTCCCTTCATCAAGGCTCTTCCCAAGCATGATATAAATTTTACTTTATTCGAAGACTTACATGTGAATTGTAAATAAGAATATGAACATAAGGAAGAAAATACAAAGAAGCAGACAAAAGAAACCAAAATTTAACCTTCATTTTACAACTCAGAGATAACCACTGTTATTTCTTTCCTTTCATCCTTTCTTCTGTCTGTCCTTCCTTCTTTTCTCCCTCCCCCACTTCCTTCCTTCTTTCTTTAGTAATTAGTCCCTACATCCCAGAGTCAGAACTCACCAACCTTGAGCAACTTATATTCCTCTATACAGAAAGTACCCATCTCACAAAGGCATTATGAGTATTAAGTTACCACGAATCAATTTTAGAATAGCTCCCAGTAAGTAGGAAGCACTCCGTAAGTGTCACTTGTAATATAGTAACATGTTATACAATAAAATCACACCACACATGGTATTCTGTTATATGCTTGCCTCAGAAAAAAATACATCATCAATAATTTCCAACTTCAATTCATATATTTCTACATTTTAAATGTGTCAATAGTCCAATACACAAACACACACACCACTCTACTCATTTAATTCCCTGTTTTGCATATTTGGTTAACCTCAGTTTTTCAGTATATATAACCTTCTAATTGCTCTATAATCAGAAATCATAAGAGACCTAATTAATTCACATCTTCTTTATTTCAGTCCTACTGTATGAAAAATCTCGCATGAACAGAGATGAATGAGATCAGCAATGAATAAGAAGAAAAGGACCTCCAAGGTGGACCAGCTTTCCAAAGCCTCGAGAAGGAGGGCAGTTTACAGGAAATTATAATATGTTTGAAATTAGATATATTGCATAGGTTTTCCCTCGTGTTGGCATGCAATCTTGGTCAGATTACTTAAAATCTAAGTTTCCGGATCTCTTCAACAAGAATTCAGACATAAAGTAAGAGTATTGGCATAAAGATTACATGAAAGAGTACATAAACAAACACTTTATAACTATGATGTATGGAGTGAATATGAACTACTGCTATTGTTATGTACAGAGCAAGGAAAGTATTACTTTGTGATTATAATGTTGGGACAAAGGATTCACTTTTGATTTTTTGTTTCTTTTTCTTTAAAATGCTGATTATCCAAAAAGTCTTTCCCTTACAGTTTTTAAAATCTATTTTAAATACATAAAGAGCTTCTGTGACCAATAATAAAATATTATCAATCCTATAGAAAAATTAGGCAAATGAATAATATAATTCGGAGCTTACAGGAAATGAGGGCCAAACGGCTTTTAAACATGAAAAGTCATTCCACCTCATTCAGTTAAAAAAAAAAGGGCAAAATAAAACCTCTATAAGCTATCACTTTTCATTGATTAGATTGATGTAAATTTTAAAAACTTCATAATATTGTTTTGTCTAGGGTGTGGGGAAGGGAATTTTCATAAACTGGTGATAGATGTATCAATGGCTACAATTTCTTTGGGAAAACTACAGCTGTCAAATTTTAACATAAGCATAACTTTTGAACCAGTGTTTCGAGTTCTGGGCTTTCATAACAATACATGTACAAAAAAAAAGATAGTCTGTAAGAGAAAAAAGTTAAAAACAGCCTCATGACCCATCAACAGATGATTGGTTAAATGAAACATGAGAGATTCTTATTTGGACAACCATGTAGTCATTATGAAGAATGAGAGCACATCAGTACAAAGAAAACAAAAACCCCAATATGATAACAAAACACGTTCATTAGAATACTAAAATGTAAAACGACTGATAATATCAAGTGCTGACAATGATATGAAACAACAAGAATTCCTAAACGCTGCTGTCGAGAGTGTATTTCATAGTACCATTTTGGAAAAGTCCTTGGCAATATCAATACGCCTACTACACTTCCAGATATGTACTGAAAATAATTAGTGTCTGTGTTCACCAAAAGATATGCAAAAGAATGTTTCCAACAGGTGTATTCACAAAAGCCAAAAACCAGAAACAACCCCAATAACCATAAACAGTAAAATGGAGAAACTCTGGTTATTCCTACAATGGAACACCACACAGAAATCAAATAAAACCCTGATTCATTCAACAAGAGGAATGACTCTCACAGACATAACGATGAGTAAATAAAGCTAGGCACAACCAAGTCCATGGTGATGCTTTAATTATGAAGAAGTTCAAAAAAAGGCCTGTCTGATTGGTCTATTTGTCTGGGCAATAATTTTCTGTACACAACCCTCAAAACACAGGCAACAAACGCAAAAATACACAAGTAGAATTTCACCAAACTACAAACACAAAACACAAGCACAGCAAAAACAAAAAACAAACAAAAGCAATCCACAGAGTGAAGAGACAACCTATGGAATGGGAGAAAATATTTGCAAACCATGCATCTGATAAGTGTTAACATCTGACATGTATAAGAAACTCAAACAATAGCAAGAAAACAAGTAACTCAATTAAAAATGGGCAAAAGAACTCAATAGACATTTCTGAAAAGAAGACATTCAAATCACCAATAGGTATTTGAAAAAAATGCTCAACATGATCAGGGAAATGCAAATTATAACCAGAATGAGATATCACCTCACATCTGTTAGAATAGCCATTAACACAAAAGAAAGATAACAAGTGTTGGTGAGGATGTGGAAAAATAAAAGAATGTTTGTACATTGTGGGAATGTAAATTACTACAGCCATTATGGGAAGAAGTATGAATTTGCCTAAAACAACTAAAAGTAGAACTACCATATGATCTCGTCATCATAATAATGGTCATATTCCCATAGAAAATTAAATCATTAGTCCAAAGAAATATCTGCACTCCTGTGTTCTTTGCAACATTATTCACGATGACCAAAAAATATAATCAACCTAAACATTCATTGATGTATGCATGGATAAAGAAAATACAGTGTATATATACAATAGAATACTTTTCAGCCTTAAAAATGAAGGAAATCCTGTCATTTGTGACAACACGGTTAAACCAGGAGGATATTACGTTAAGTGAAATAAGACTGGCACAGAAAGACAAATACTGCATGATCTCATGTATGTGTGGAATCTAAAAAAGTTGAACTTATAGAAGCAGAGAGCAGAACTGTAGTTACCAGGTTCTCAGGCAAGTGCAGGTTTGGGGAGATGTTGGCCAAAGAATACAAAATTTGTTAGGAGGAATACATTCAAGAGATCTATTTTATACCATAATGGTTAGAGTTAATAACAATGTATTGTATACTTCAAAAGTACTAAGAGGGTACATTTTCAGTTATTTCACTACAAAAGTAAAGTAAGTATCAAGTAATACATATGTCAATTAGCTTGATTTAATCATCCCACAGTGTACACACATTTCAAAATATCATATTGTAAACTATAAATATACACAATTTTGTCAATTAAAAATAAAGTATTAGGCTGGGTGCAGTGGTTCATTCCTCTAATCCCAACACTTTGGGAGGCTGAGACAGGAGGATTACCTGAGCCCAGGAGTTTGAGACCAGCCTGGGCAACAAAGTGAGACTCTATGTCTACAAAAATAGAAATAAAAAAATTAGTCAGGAATGATGTGGTGGGTGCCTGTGGTCTCAGCTACACTGGAGGCTGAGACAGGAGGATGACTTGAGCCTAGAAGGTTGAGACTGCAGTGAGCCATGTTTGTACCACTGCACTCCAGCCTGGGCAACAGAGCTAGACCTGTCTAAAAAAATGAATGAGTAAATGAATAAATAAATAAATAAATAAATAAATAAATAAATAAATAATTAAAAATAGGCCAGGTGCAGTAGCTCACTCCTGTAATACCAGCACTTTGGGAAGCCAAGGTGGGCAGGTTGCTTTGCGCTCAGGAGTTTGAGACCAGCCTGAGCAACATGGCTAAACCCCCATCTCTATAAAAAATACAAAAATTAGGCAGGTGTATTGGCGCATGTCTGTGGTCCCAGCTACTCAAGAGGCTGAGGCAAGAGAATCGCTTGAACCTGTGAAGAGGAGGGTGCCGTGAGCCAAGATCACACCACTGCACTCCAGCCAGGTTGACAGATTAACACCCTGTCTCAAAAAATAAAAACAAAATAAAAGTAAACTGTATAATAAAAGCAAATAAATAAATAAGAAGTTCATTGTATTAGAAAATACATATTAGCTATTTCTAAAATATTTTCATTTTGTTCGCTTAGCATTTCATGAAATGTAGGAAGAAAGACCACAGTTTTTCTGAGTTCTTTCTTATTTTCTCACTGGTTTGATCAGTTTTTTTAAAAAATATATTGTGGGTACATAGTAGGTGTATATATTTATGGAGTGCATGAGATATTTTGATGCAGGCATGCAATGCATAAAAATCACATCAGAGAAAATGAGGGTATTTTTCACCCAAGCATTTATCCTCCGTGTTACAAACTAGCTAATTATACTATTTATTTTTAAATGTAAAATAAATTATTTTTAATTGTAGTCACCCTTTGTGCTGTCAAATACTAGATCTTATTCACTCTATCTAACCATATTTTTGTGCTTATTAACCATTTCTCCTTCCACCCCAAACCAACTCCCCTTCTCAGCCTCTGGTTACCATCATTCTACTTCCTATCTCTATGAGTTCAATTGTTTTAACGTTGAGCTCCCACGAATAAGCAAGAACATGTGATGTTTGTCTTTCTGTGCCTAGCTCATTCCATTTAGCATAATGAACCTCAGTTCCATCCATGTTGTTGCAAATGACAGAATCTCATTCTTTTTGTTGAATAGTACTCCATTGTGTATATGTACCCCGTTTTCTTTATCCATTCTTCCGTTGATGGACACTTAGATTGATTCGAAATCTTGGCTATCATGAACAGTGCTGCAATTAACATGGAATTAACATGCAATGAACATGGGCATACAGATAACTCTTCAAAATACTGACTTCCTTTCTTTGGGGCATATACCTAGCAGCAGCATTGCTGAATCATATAGTAGTTTAATTTTCAGTTTTTTGAGAAAACTCCAAACAGTTCTCCTTAGTAGTTGTACTAATTTACATTCCCACCAAAAAGGGTTCCCATTTCTTCTCATCCTCATCAGCATTCGTTATTGCCTGTCTTTTGGATGAAAGCTGTATTTACTGGGATGAGATGATATCTCATTGTAGTTTTGATTTGCATTTCTCTGATAATCAATGATTGTTGAGCACCTTTTCATATACCTGTTTGCCATTTGTATGTCTTCTATTGAGAAATGTTTACTCAGCTCTTTTGCCCATTTTTTACTCAGATTTTGAGAATTTTTTCCTACAGAGTTGTTTGAGCTCCTTATGTACTCTGGTTATTAATCCGTTGTCAAATGGATAGTTTGCAAATGTTTTCTCCCATTCTGTGGGTAGTCTCCTAACTGTGTTGATTGCATCCTTTGCCATGTGGAAGCTTTTTAACTTTATGTGATCCCATTTGTCCATTTTTGCTTTGGTTGTCTGTGTTTGTGAGGTATTTTTAAAGAAATATTTTCCCAGACCAATGTACTGAAGAGTTTCCCCAATGTTTTCTTTAAGTAGTTTCATAGTTTGAGGTATTAGATTTAAGTCTTTAATCCATTTTGATTTGATTTTTGTATATTGTGAGAGGTAGGGGGTCTAGTTTAATTCTTCTGCATATGAATATTTAGTTTTCCCAGCACTGTTTATTGAAAACATACATACATCCCAAATGTATGTTCTTGACACCTTTGTCAAAAATGAGTTTAATGTAGATGTATGGATTTCTTTCTGGGATCTCTATTCTGTTCCATTAATCTATGTGTCTGGTTTTAAGTCAGTACCATGCTGTTTCGGTTACTATATCCCTGTAGCATATGGGTGGTCAGGTATTGGGATTTCTCCAGTTTTCTTTTTGCTCAAGATAGCTTTGGCTATTCCGGGTCTTTTGAAGTTCCATAAAAACTTTAGGATTTTTATTTTTTCTATTTTGGTGAAGAAAGTCATCAGTGTTTTGATGGGTCTGTCATAAATGGCTTTTATTGTGTTGAGGTATGTTCCTTCTGTACCCAATATTTGAGGGTTTTTACCATGAATGGATGTTGAATTTTATCTATTTTTTTATTATCAATTGAAATGATTATATGGTTTTTGTCTTTCTTTCTGTTGATATGATGTATCACACTGATTGATTTGTATATGTTCAACCATCCTTGCATTCCTGGGATAAATCTTACTTGCTCATGATGAAGGACCTTTTTAATGTGTTATTGGATTCAATTTGCTAATATCTTGAAGGTTTTTGCATCAATGTTCCTCAAAAATATTGGTCTGAAGTTTTCTTTTTTAGATGAGACTTTTTCTGGTTTTTGTATCAGGGTAATACTGGCTTCACAGAATGAGTTTGGAAGTATTTGCACCTCTATTTTTGTGAATCCTTTGAACAGGATTGGTATTAGGTGTACTTTAAATATCTGGTAAAATTTAGCAGTGAACCCCTAAGGCCCTGGGCTTTTCTTTGTTCAGAGACTTTTTATTATGGCTTTGATCTCATTACTTGTTTTTTTTTATTATTATTATACTTTAAGTTTTAGGGTACATGTGCACATCGTGCAGGTTTGTTACATATGTATACATGTGCCATGTTGGTGTGCTGCACCCATTAACTCGTCATTTAACATTAGGTATATCTCCTAATGCTATCCCTCCCCCGTACCCCAACTCCACCACAGTCCCCGGTGTGTGCTGTTCCCCTTCTTGTGTCCATGTGTTCTCATTGTTCAATTCCCACCTATGAGTGAGAACATGCGGTGTTTGGTTTTCTGTCCTTGCGATAGTTTGCTGAGAATGATAGTTTCCAGCTTCATCCATGTCCCTACAAAGGACATGATCTCATTTCTTTTTATGGCTGCATAGTATGTCATGGTGTATATGTGCCACATTTTCTTAATCCAGTCTATCATTGTTGGACATTTGGGTTGGTTCTAAGTCTTTGCTATTGTGAATAGTGCCGCAATCAACATACATGTTCATGTGTCTTTATAGCAGCATGATTTATCCTTTAGGTATATACCCAGTAATGGGATGGCTGGGTCAAATGGTATTTCTAGTTCTAGATCCCTGAGGAATGGCCACACTGACTTCTACAATGGTTGAAATTGTTTACAGTCCCACCAACAGTGTAAAAGTGTTCCTATTTCTCCACATCATCTCCAGCACCTGTTGTTTCCTGACTTTTTAATGATCACCATTCTAACTGGTGTGAGATGGTATCTCATTGTGGTTTTGATTTGCATTTCTCTGATGGCCAGTGATGATGAGCATTTTTTCATGTGTTTTTTGGCTGCATAAATGTCTTCTTTTGAGAAGTGTCTGTAATGGCAAAGAAGTTAAAAACCTTGAAAAAAAATTACACGAATGGCTAACTAGAATAACTAATGCAGAGAAGTCCTTAAAGGACCTGATGGAGCTGAAAACCATGGCACGAGAACTACGTGACGAACGCACAAGCCTCAGTAGCCGATGTGATCAACTGGAAGAAAGGGTATCAGTGATGGAAGATGAAATGAATGAAATGAAGCAAGAAGAGAAGTTTAGAGAAAAAAGAATAAAAAAAAAAAAAACAAACAAAGCCTCCAAGAAATATGGGACTATGTGAAAAGATCAAATCTACATCTGATTGGTGCACCTGAAAGTGACAGGGAGAATGGAACCAAGTTGGAAAACACTCTGCAGGATATTATCCAGGAGAACTTCCCCAATCTAGCAAGGCAGGCCAACATTCAAATTCAGGAAATACAGAGAACTCCACAAAGATACTCCTCAAGAAGAGCAACTCCGAGACACATAATTGTCAGATTCACCAAAGTTGAAATGAAGGAAAAAATGTTAAGAGCAGCCGGAGAGAAAGGTCGGGTTACCCACAAAGGGAAGCCCATCAGAATAACAGCTGATCTCTCGGCAGAAACTCTACAAGCCAGAAGAGAGTGGGGGCCAATATTCGACATTCTTAAAGAAAAGAATTTTCAACCCAGAATTTCACATCCAGCCAAACTAAGCTTCGTAAGTGAAGGGGAAATAAAATCCTTTACAGACAAGCAAATGCTGAGAGATTTTGTCACCACCAGGCCAGCCTAAAAGAGCTCCTGAAGGAAGCACTAAACATGGAAAGGAAAAACTGGTACCAGCCACTGCAAAAACATGCCAAATTGTAAAGACCATCAAGGCTAGGAAGAAACTGCATCAACTAACGAGCAAAATAACCAGCTAACATAACTGTTATTGGTCTTTTCAGATTTTAGATTTTTTCATGGTTCAATCTTGGTAGATTTTAAGTGTCTGGGAATGTACCCATTTCCTCTAGATTTTTTCAATTTATTGGCATATAATTGTTCATAGTAGCCTCTAAAGATCCTCGGAAATTTTGCTGTTGTAATGTCTCCTTTTGTACCTCTGATTTTATTTATTTTGGTCATTTCTCTTTTATTCTTAGTTTGGCTAAAGGTTTTTCCATTTTGTTTATCATTTCAAAATTTCAACTTTTTCTTTCCTTGATCTTTTATGTTGTTTTCTTTGTTTCGATTTCATTTCCTTCTGCTCTAATCTTTATTATTTCTTTTTCTCTACTAATTTTGGGTTTCTTTCTTCTTGCTTTCCTCATTCTTATAAGTGAATAATTAGGTTATTTGAGTATTTGAGGTTTTTCTACTTTTTCGATGTAGGTGCTTATAGCTATAAACTTTCCTCTTAGTACTGCTTTCAGTGTATCCCATAGGTTGTGGTGTGTCATGTTTCCATTATCATTTGTTTCAAGAATTTTAAAATTTCTTCTTTTAAAATTTTAAAATTTTCTTTATTGGCCCACTGGTCTTTCAGAAGCACATTGTTTAATTTCCATGTGTTTGTATAATTCCAAAATTTCCTCTTTTTATGTGTAGTTTTATCTCATTATGGTCAGAGAAGGTACTTGATATAATTTTATTTTCTCTGAATTTTTTAAGACTTGTTTTGTGACCTAACATATGTTCTATCCTTGAGAATGATCTATGTGCTGAGGAAAAGAGTGTGTATTCTGCAGCCATTAGATAAAATGTTCCATAAATATCTATTAGGTCCATTTGGTCTATAGTGCAGGTTAAATATGATTTTTTAAAATTGATTTTCTGTCTGAATAATCTGTCCAATGGTGCAAGTAGGATATTAAAGTGTCCAGCTATTATTCTACTGGGGTCTATCTCTTTTATAATAGCTCTAATAATATTTGCTTTGTATATCTTGGTGCTTTAGTGTTGGGTGCATATATATTTACAACTGTTATATCTTCTTGCTGAATTGACCTTCTTGTTATTATATAGTGACCTTCTTTATATCTTTTTATAGTTTTTGTCTTGAAATCTATTTTGCCTGAATTAACTACAGCTATTCCTCCTCTTTTTTGGTTTTCATTTGCACGGAATATCTTTTTCTATCTCTTTATGTTCAGTCTATTTGTATCTTTATAGGTGAAGTATGTTTCTTCTAGGCAATGGACAATGGGGTCTTGTTTTTTAATTCATTCAGCCTCTCCCAATGTCTTTTGATTGGAGTGTTTAGTCCATTTACATTCAATGTTATTAATGATGAGTAAGGACTTACTCCTGACATATTATGATTTGTTTTCTGGTACTATCTTCTTTCATTGCTTCTTGTCTTAATTTTAGTGAAAGTGATTTTCTCTGCTGGTATGTTTCAACTTTTTGGTTTTTATTTTTTGTGTACTTGCTGTATGTTCTTTTGATTTGAGATTACCATGAGGTTTGTAGATATTATCTCATAACTCACTGTTATTTTTTATTATACTTTAAGTTCTAGGGTACACGTGCACAACGTGCAGGTTTTTACATAGGTATATATGTGCCATGTTGGTGTGTTGCACCCATTTACTCATCATTTACATTAGGTATATCTCCTAATGCTATCCCTCCCCCACTACCCCTACCCCACGAACAGACTCTGGTGTGTGATATTCCCCATCCTGTGTCCAAGAATTCTCATTGTTCAATTCCCACCTATGAGAGAGAACATGCGGTGTTTGGTTTTCTGTCCTTGCAATAGTTTGCTCAGAATGATGGTTTCCAGCTTCATCCATGTCCCTACAAAGGACATGAACTCATCCTTTTTTATGGCTGCATAGTATTCCATGGTGTATATGTGCCACATTTTCTTAATCCAGTCTATCATTGATGGACATTTGGGTTAGTTCTGTCTTTGCTATTGTGAATAGTGCCGCAATAAACATACATGTGCATGTGTCTTTATAGCAGCATGATTTGTAATCCTTTGGGTATATACCCAGTAATGGGATGGCTGGGTATTTCTAGTTCTAGATCTTTGAGGAATGGCCACACTGTCTTCCACAATAGTTGAACTAGTTTAAAGTCCCACCAACAGTGTAAAAGTGCTCCTATTTCTCCACATCCTCTCCAGCACCTGTTGTTTCCTGACTTTCTAATGATCGCCATTCTAACTGGTGTGAGATGGTATCTCATTGTGGTTTTGATTTGCATTTCTCTGATGGCCAGCGATGATGAGCATTTTTTCATGTGTCTGCTGAGAAGTGTCTGTTCATACCCTTAACCCACTTTTTGATGGGGTTCTTTGAATTTTTCTTGTAAATTTGTTTAAGTTATTTATAGATTCTGGATATTAGCCCTTTGTCAGATGGGTAGATTGTAAAATTTTTCTCCCATTCTGTAGGTTGCCTGTTCACACTGATGGTACTTTCTTCTGCTGTGCAGAAGCTCTTTAGATTCCATTTGTCAATTTTGGCTTTCATCGCCATTGCTTTTGGTGTTTTAGTCATGAAGTCCTTGCCCATGCCTATGTCCTGAATGGTACTGCCTAGGTTTTCTTCTAGGGATTTTATGGTTTTAGGTCTCACATTTAAGTTTTTAATCCATCTTGAATTAACTTTTGTATAATGTGTAAGGAAGGGATCCAGTTTCAGCTTTCTACATATGGCTAGCCAGTTTTCCCAGCACCATTTATTAAATAGGGAATCCTTTCCCCATTTCTTGTTTTTGTCAGGTTTGTCAAAGATGAGATGGTTGTAGATATGTGGTATTATTTCTGAGGGCTCTGTTCTGGTCCATTGGTCTATATCTCTGTTTTGGTACCAGTACCATGCTGTTTTGGTTACTGTAGCCTTGTAGTATAATTTGAAGTCAGGTAGCGTGATGCCTCCAGCTTTGTTCTTTTGGTTTAGGATTGTCTTGGCAATGCAGGCTCTTTTATGGTTCCATATGAACTTTAAAGTAGTTTTTTCCAATTCTGTGAAGAAAGTCATTGGTAGCTTGATGGGGATGGCATTGAATCTTTAAATTACCTTGGGAAGTATGGCCACGTTCACGATATTGATTCTTCCTATCCATGAGCATGGAATGTTCTTCCATTTGTTTGTGTCTTCTTGTCCTCTTCTATTTCATTGAGCAGTGGTTTATAGTTCTCCTTGAAGAGGTCCTTCACATCCCTTGTAAGTTGATTCCTAGTTATTTTATTCTCTTTGAAGCAATTGTGAATGGGAGTTCACTCATGATTTGGCTCTCTGTTATTGGTGTATAGAAATGCTTGTGATTTTTGCACATTGATTTTGTATCCTGAGACTTTGCTGAAGTTGCTTATCAGCTTAAGGAGATTTTGGGCTGAGACGATGGAGTTTTCTAAACATAAAATCATGTCATCTGCAAACAGGGACAATTTGACTTCCTCTTTTCCTAATTGAATACCCTTGATTTCTTTCTCCTGCCTGACTGCCCTGGCCAGAACTTCCAACACTATGTTGAATAGGAGTGGTGAGAGAGGGCATCCCTGTCTT
This sequence comes from Homo sapiens, assembly GCF_000001405.40. Classification (NCBI taxonomy): domain Eukaryota; kingdom Metazoa; phylum Chordata; class Mammalia; order Primates; family Hominidae; genus Homo; species Homo sapiens. The sequence continues at coordinate 54,901,844 of NC_000020.11, read as the reverse complement.
GTGCCAGTTTTCAAAGGGAATGCTTCCAGTTTTTGCCCATTCAGTATGATGTTGGCTGTGGGTTTGTCATAAATAGCTCTTATTATTTTGAGATACATCCCATCAATACCTAATTTATTGAGAGTTTTTAGCATGAAGGGCTGTTGAATTTTGTCAAAGGCCTTTTCTGCATCTATTGAGATAATCATGTGGTTTTTGTCTTTGGTTCTGTTTATATGATGGATTACGCTTACTGATTTGTGTATGTTGAACCAGCCTTGCATCCCAGGGATGAAGCCCACTTGATCATGGTGGATAAGCTTTTTGATGTGCTGCTGGATTCGGTTTGCCAGTATTTTATTGAGGATTTTTGCATCGATGTTCATCAGGGATATTGTTCTAAAATTCTCTTTTGTGTTGTTGTGTCTCTGCCAGGCTTTTGATATCAGGATGATACTGGCCTCATAAAATCAATTATTGACTGGAATAGTTTCAGAAGGAATGGTACCAGCTCCTCTTGTAGAATTCTACCTCTGGTAGAATTTGGCTGTGAATTGGTCTGGTCCTGGACTTTTTTTGGTTGGTAAGCTATTAATTATTGCTTCAATTTCACAGCCTGTTATTGGTCTATTCAGGGATTCAACTTCTCTTCGTTTAGTCTTGGTGGGGGGGGTGTCTGTGTCCAGGAATTTATCCATTTCCTCTAGATTTTCTAGTTTATTTGCATAGAGGTGTTTATAGTATTCTCTGATGGTAGTTTGTATTTCTGTGGGATCAGTGGTGATATCCCCTTTATCATTTTTTATTGCGTCTATTTGATTCTTCTCTCTTTTCTTCTTTATTAGTCTTGCTAGCAGTCTATCAATTTTGTTGATCTTTTCACAAAACCAGCTCCTGGATTTACTGATTTTTTTGAAGGGTTTTTTGAGTCTCCATCTCCTTCAGTTCCGCTCTGATCTTAGTTATTTCTTGCCTTCTGCTAGCATTTGAATGTGTTTGCTCTTGCTTCTCTAGTTCTTTTAATTGTGATGTTAGGGTGTCAATTTTAGATCTTTCCTGCTTTCTCTTGTGGGCATTTAGTGCTATAAATTTCCCTCTACACACTGCTTTAAATGTGTAAACTGATAACAAGTTAACACTGTTTGCATAAACAAACAAGCTAAAAGAAAACTAATGAAAACACTACACTTCATCACCCAACTTTTTAACTTCTTATTGATTCTAATGATACTTATATTTTATTGTATTGTCTGTGTCTTGAAAAGTTGTTCTTATTATTTTTTATCAGTTCATCTTTCAGTCTTTCTACTCAAGGTATGAGTAGTTTATACACCACAATTACAGTGTTATAATATTCTGTGTTTTTCTATGTACCTAGTATTACCAGTGAGTTTTGTAACTTCAGATGCTTTTTTTATTGCTCCTTAATATCCTTTTCTTTCAAACTGAAGAACTCCTGGTATCATTTCCTCTAGGACAGGTCTGGTGCTGATGAAATCCCTCAGCTTGTGTTTGCCTGAGGAAACCTTTATTTCTCTTTCATGTTTGAAAGTTATTTTCACTGGATATACTATTCTAGGGTAAACGTTTTTTCCTTCAGCACTTCAAATATGTTATGGCACTCTCTACTGGCCTGTAAGGTTTCCACTGAAAAGTCTGCTGCCAAACATATTGAGCCTCCATTTTATGTTATTTGTTTCTTTTCTCTTGCTGCTTTTAGGATCCATTCTTTATCTATGATCTTTGGGAATTTGATTATTAAATGCCTTGAGGTAGTCTTATTTGGGTTAAATCTGCTTAGTGTTCTATAACTCTCTTGTATTTCAATATTGATATCTTTCTCTAGATTTGGGAATTTCTTGGTTATTATTCCTTTGAATAAACTTTCTACCTCTATATTTCTCTGTACCTCCTCTTTAAGGCCAATAATTCTTAGATTTGCTTTTTGGGCATTGTTTTCTAGATCTCATAGGTGTGCTCCATTCTTCTTTACTCTTTTTTTCTTTTGTCCCTCTGACCATGTTTATTCAAATAGCCTGTCTTCAAGCTCACTAATTCTTTCCTTTGCCTGATCAATCCTGCCGCTAATAGACTCTGATGCTTTCTTCAGTATAACTAGTGTATTTTTTAACTCCAGAATTTCTGCTTGATTATTTTTAATTATTTCAATCTCTTTGTTAACTTTATCTAATAGGATTCTGAATTCCTACTCTGAGTTATCTTGAATTTCATTGGGTTTCCCCAAGGCAGCTAGTTTGAATTCTGTATGAAAGGGTGCGTGTCTCTTTCTTTCCAGGATTTGTCTCTGGTGCCTTATTTGGTTCATTTGGGGAGGTCACTTTTTCCTGAAAGGTTTTGGTGCTTGTGGATGTTTGTATGTATCTGGACATTGAAGAGTTATATATTTATCCTAGTCTTTGTAGTCTGGGCTTGTTTGTACGTGTCCTTCTCGGGAAGACTTTCCAGGTATTTAAGAGAATTCGGGTGTTTTGATCTAAGCTTTTTGTCATCGCAGCCATATCTGTATTAGAGTCACTCCAAGCCCAGTATTCTGTGGCTCTTGCAGACTCATAGAGGTACCACCTTGCTGATCTTAGATAAGATCCACGAGAAATTTCTGTATTACCAGGCAGAGACTAGTTTTCTTCTTTTACTTTCTCCCAAACAAATGGGGTCTCTTTCTCTGTGCTGAGCTGCTTGGAACTGGGGGAGGGGTGACAAAAGTGCTCCTGTGGCCACCGCCACTGGGATTCACCTGAAGTTAGTACAGACCTGGGTCAGACCTGAAGTTAATACAGCACTGGGTATCACCCAAGGCCTGCAGGAACAACTGCCTGGCTACCATGTATGTTTGTTCAAGGCCCTGGGACTCTACAATCAGCAGATGGTGAACCCAGACAGGCTGTGTCCTTCTCTTTAGGGCAAAGAGTTTCCACCAGTCCCAGGCAGGTATAGAGATACAGTCCAGGAGCCAGGGCCTGGAGTCAGAAACCTAAGGAATCTACCTGTACTTTATTCTACTGCGTCTGAATTGGCACCCAAGCTGCAAGACAAGGCCCTTCCCACTCTTCCTTTCCCTTTCCACAGGCTAAGGAGTATCTCCCCATGGCCACTCCCACCCCAGGCCCATGGCAAGCACTGCCTGACTACCACTCACGTTCACTCAAAGCCCAAGGGCTCTTCTGTCAGCTTGTGGTGAATGATGCCAGTCCTGGGTCTTACCCTTCAGGACAGTGGGCTCCCCTCTGACCTAGGGCAGGTCCAGAAATGCTGTCCAAGAGCCAAGGCCTGGAAGCAGAGACCCCAAGAGCCAGCTTGGTGCTCTACCCCACTGTGGCCGAACTGGTACCTCAACTGCAAGATAAAGTCCCTTTTACACTTCCCTCTCCTTTTCTCAAGCAGAAGGAGATTCTCCCAATAGTCACCAAAGCTAGTAATGTGCTAGATCTCACCAGAAGCCAGCACTTCTCAGAGGCTCACCCGAGGCCTACGGTGTGAACTACCCGGCCACCACTGCTGATTATTCAGGGCCCAAGGGCTCTTCAGTCAGCAGGTGATGAATCCTGCCAGAACTGGGTCATTCCCTTCAAGACAACAGGTTCCCTTCTGGCCCAGGGTGTGTCTGGAGATGTCAAGAGGGAGCTAGCACCTGGAATGGGAGACTCATGACTCTGCCTGGTGCCCTATCCCACTGTGGCTAAGCCAACATTCAAATCGCAAGACAAAGTCCTCTTCACTCTTCCCTCTCCTCTCCTCAAACGGAAGAAAGGATTCTCCTAGAACTATGAACTGTGCTGTCTGGGGTTGGGGGAGAAGTGGTGAAAGCACTCCCGTGGCCACCCTAGCTGGTGTCCTAACTGGGTTGCACACCCTGTCAGTCCATTGGCTCCAAGCCCAACACAGCACCACGACTCGCCCAGGAATTACAGCCCTTGTGGCCTAGACTGCCTGTCAAGTTTATTTAGGATCCAAGGCCACTTTAGCCCACAGTGGCAAGGCTTACCTGAACTCAAATTCTGACTTCCGTGATGGGCAGTTCTTCCCTGGCTAGGGCTGGTCTAAATCTTCTCTCCATTGATGTTGGCTGAGTTCTACCCAGTGCTGCTTTCCGTTGTTACAGGGCAGTCCTGATTTCCAATGCTAAGTTTCACAATCACTGTGCTCTCTCTCCTCTATGCACACAGATTCTCCATGCCATGCAGCTGCTGCTGAGGGGTGGGGGAAACTGGTGACATCAGCTTTTAAGACTTGTCTTTCCTACCCTCTTTAGTGCCTCTTTCAGCGATGCAGAGTTAAAACCAGGTACTGTGATCACTCGCCTGATTTTTGTTTTTTATGAAGGTGCTTTTCTATGTAGGTAGTTGTTAAATTTGGTGATCTTATGGAGAGGATAATCAGTGGAGGCTTCTATTTGACCATCTTGCTCCCGACAGCTAGTTTTTGAAAGAGGTTATCATTTTGTCTTTGGGATGACAATTCTGAAGATTCAAGTGAAGACCCTGTAATGTCAGTTATTTCCATCGAAAGCACTGCCTGATTACAACATTTTGTTTTGCTTAATAGAGGGGAAAAAAAAAAGCCCAGGCCAATGTGTGGTAATAGAAGTCTGAATAATGTCTACCTATGATTACACAAGTCATTACTTGCAAAAGTCCCAATTCGATTTTCCAAAAACCATTTACCAATATATACCAACCTTTGTTTTTCAAAAGTATTTAGACTGTTAGATTCTGGACCACTTCAGAATATAATTATAGAAATTTTCTGGTGAATATGTCAAGCGTTGATTTTTAGAATCAACTCACTGGTAAAAGTCTGAGAGAGCAAAATTATTGCTGTAAATAAGCGGAACATCAGAGGCAGTGTCTCCAATCCACATGAAATAGGTAACTTGAAAAATAAATTATAAAGAAATAATCTGACCACACATGGCAGAGGGTATTGGTATAGTCTCATTCCCTGAGATGATGATGTCAAAAAACAAAACCCAGTAATAGAAGGAAAAAAATAAGTCCACAAAGAGAAAATGGAAAGGCAAAAATCAACCTGTGGAGAGTAAGATAAAATAGATTAAATGTCTAGATCCAAAAGTACAACAGAGTAACCTATTGAGCTTACTAAAAATAGATAGTCCTAGGTTTCACTTTAGAAGCACTGAAACAAAATATCTTGAGTGGAATCCAGGATGTGATGTATGGGGTACCTGTGTGTGTGTGTGTGTGTGTGTGTGTGTGTGTGTGTGTGTGTGTATCTGTGGCTGTATGCATGTACATCGTCGCTATTTTTTTGTTCACCACCCTGAGAACCACACTAGTGGTTCTAATATGGTCAGTGAAACACTGGCATTCATGAGTTTGAGGGTCACTGGCTTAGGTTGTCCTTTACTTTCTGTGACACACATGCATCTTTCCAGGAAACAATCAGTATGAGGAAAAATCAAACCTGTTTTGATTCTTGATTTTTTTAAATTTTTATTATTTTATTTTTCCATAAGTTATTGGAGTGCAGGTGGTATTTGATTACATAAGTTCTTGAGTGGTGATTTGTGAGATTGTGGTGCACCCATCACCTGAGCAGTACAAACTGTACCATATTTGTAGTGGTTTATCCTTCGGCCCTCTCCCATTCTTCCCCCCAAGTCCCCAAGTCCATTGTGTGATTCTTATGTCTTTGCAGCCTCATAACTTAGGCATATGAGAACCTACGATGTTTGGTTTTCCATTCCTGAGTTACTTCACTTAGAATACCAGTCTCCAATCTCATCCAGGTCCACTGCAAATGCTGTTAATTAATTCCATTTTATGGCTGAGTAGGAGTCCATCATATATATAACACAGTTTCTTTATCCACTCGTTGATTGATGGACATTTGCGTTGGTTCCACAATTTTGCAATTGTGAATTGTGCTTCTACAAACATATATATTCTGTCATTTTCTGTCATTTTTATTGTTTCAAATTTTTATGGTATTTCAACAGTTTTGGGGGCACAGCTGTTTCAGGTTACATGGATAAGCTCTTTAGGGGTGATTTCTGAGATTTTGGTGTACTTGTCACCTAAGCAGTGAGAAGCAGTTGAAGGTAGCAAGAAGTGTTAGATCTCTGGAGTAAGACTTTGGCTTAAAACCAGACTCAGTCCGCCATTAGCTACGTGTCCTTGGTAACTTGCTCGCCTGGAAATGGGAATAATATTGCAAGAAATAAAGTTCATAAAATGCCTAGCATACAATGAGCCCTCATGAAATGTCAGCTGTCATTTTATCTTTACACATTCTATCCACAAATACATAGGCATTTTGTCCAGATAATTCAAGAGGGGACTAAGATGTCTGTAGGTTTCAGATGGGCGTTTTCATGTGAAAAGTGGTATATTTCCATTTTCCATATGTAGTCTTCAAATCTTCATTTCACTTTGCTTGCATCACTCCTTTATTGGAAACTGAGTCCTAGAAGGAAGCTTCATGATAGATCAAGCAAGCTCATGGCTGTGTCCCAGTGCCAGTACAGCCCGACACAACACAGAAAAGGCTCAATAAACATTTGTGGAATATGCAAATAAACAAAATGATCTATCAAGAAATTGAAAACGTAAGTATTGTCAATTCATAGGACATGTGGGCCACTGTATTTTCCCTGAGAAGTCTGATGAGTGAAACAAAAGAACCTATGTCAAGGATAGTTAGGAAGATCAGGTTATTAGTATGGAAGTTCAGGAGAATACAGTGGAGTGTCTTGGGTCTTGTCTAATTACACAGTTGAGTTTCTGAGCACTCTATCACCTTTTGCTTCATCTCACAAAGGAATAATGACATAAAGTACAGCCAATGTGAAGCACTCTGGCATAAGATTTTTCAGTGACAAAATTGAACACAAAAAACTTCAGTAAAAGTGTGTAATGAATATTCCATAAACAGAACTGGTGTTGCTGAATTAAATATTTAGTAGTATCTATTTTCTGAAAAAAAAATACATTTGAAGGCAATCACATTAAGAAAATGGATACAATTTCAGGTCAGTTAATCAGAAAGATGAACTGAGTTGCCCAAGGTCACATTCTCCAAATTTGTTACTGTGGGACAATAGGACAAAACCCCACCTGACATTCAGTTTATTAGCAGTAGCAACAGTAGTGTTTTTGGTTTTGCTTTTGTTTTTTTCAGACGGAGTTTCGTTCTTATTGCCCAGGCTGGAGTGCAATGGTGCGATCCTGGTTCACCGCAGTCTCCGCCTCCCAGGTTCAAGGGATTCTCCTGCCTCAGCCTCCCGAGTAGTAGGGATTACAGGCATGTGCCAACACACCCAGCTAATTTTGTATTTGTAGTAGAGATGGGGTTTCTCCATGTTGGTCAGGCTGGTAACAAACTCCCGACCTCAGGTGATCCGCCTGCCTAGGCTTCCCAAAGTGCTGGGATTACAGGCATGAGCCACCATGCCTGGCCCAATGCTAGTATTTTTAAAAGCCCCTGAACACTGTATTGTCCAGGGTAGAGTGAAGTGGCATGACTGGCTCACTACAGCCTCAACCTCCTTGGCTCAAGCAATCCTCCCATCTCAGCCTCCTGAGTACCTGGGACCACAGGCATACACCACCATAACCAGCTAATTTTTAAATTTTTCATAGAGATGGGTTCTCACTATGTTGCCCAGAATGGTCTCGAACTCCCAGGCTCAATGTGACTGTCCCACCTCAGCCTCCCAGAGTGCTGGGATTACAGGCCTGAGCCACTGCACCTGGCCAACCACCATGCCTGGCCACATCCAGTCTATATTGCAAGCTTTGACTCCCTCTCACAAGCATACCTTTGAAAAAGTGTGCGAGAAACTCTGACAGGTACGATAAGCCCTAACATGACAGAAGAAACAGTGATGTACAACTATTATGGTATTTTCTATAAATCTCTTCATATCCTGAAACTTTCAAAGCAAACATTTCAGGAAATCAAGTGAGAAAGTCACTTTCTGAAAAGACATTTAGGAGAGGCATAGTGGTTCATGCCTATAATCCCAGCACAGTGGGAGGCAGACAGGGGAATTGCTTGAGCTCACGAGTTTGAGACAAGCCTGGGCAACATAGGGACCCTGTCTCTACAAAAAAATAACAATTAGTCAGGATTGGTGGCACATGCCTGTAGTTCCAGCTACTCAGGAGGCTGAGGTGGGAGGATCATGACAGCCCAGGATATCAAGGCCACAGTGAGATAAGATTGCACTAATGCACTCCAGTCCAGTGCAGGTGACAGAGTGAGGCCCTGTCTCTTAAAAAAAAAAAAAAAGCCATTTAGCCTAGCACCACCACCACCTGCACATACCCACACACCCCCTGGAACCCCAGGGTTACACTGACTGTGGTCAGTACATCAACATGAATGCCTTTGGAAAGACATCCGAGATGGCTGCCACAGTGACTGAGCTCACGTTCATTTGGTGAATGCTCACTGAGGAGGGTGAATTAAGTTCTTCAGACCCGAGTGATAAGGGGGAGAAAGAGATAGATAAGAGTTCTACTTTTATAGAATCTACATTCTAATGGGGGGAGGAAACTATAAACAAATATACAATAATGCAATTTCAGATATGAAAACTACTCTGGCCTGGCGCGGTGGCTCACGCCTGTAATCCCAGCACTTTGGGAGACCGAGGTGGGTGGATCACGAGGTCAGGAGATCGAGACCATCCTGGCTAACATGGTGAAACCCCATCTCGACTAAAAACACAAAAAATTAGCCGGGCGTGGTGATGGGCGCCTGTAGTCCCAGCTAGTGGGGAGGCTGAGGCAGGAGAATGGCGTGAACCCGGGAGGCGGAGCTTGCAGTGAGCCGAGATCACGCCACTGGACTCCAGCCTGGGCGACAGAGCAAGACTCCGTCTCAAAAAAAAGAAAAAAGAAAACCACTCTGAGAAAAACACAACAGGGCACAATTGTAGAGAAGTGGAGGAGCCGTGTCTCAGGAGGCTCAGAAGCTGATTGAGGTTGGGGCTGGGTTTTCTGGGACAGGAGGTTTCCTTGAGGAGCCCTGAGGAAGTGACTTTTGCTTTGAGATCTGAACGTCAGTAAGAGCCAGTAAGCTGAGTAAAGATAGAAGAGTGTTACAGACATGGAGAACAGAAGGAATTAAGACTAATGAGTTGTATCAAGCTTGTGGCTCAGTTCCAGGGATCAGCAAAGTTTCTCTATTAAGAGTCAGAGAGTAAATATTTTTGGCTTCGGATGCAGTAAAATATCTTTTGCAACAAAGCAACTCTGCCACCTTAGTTCAAAAGCAGCCATAGGCAATATGTAAATAAAGGGGCTTGGTCATGTTCCAATAAAACTTCATTTATGAAAAACAGGCAGCAGACCTAATTCGGCCCTTGGACTGTGATTTACCAACCCTAGCCCTATTCCTGATGATAGTATATTGTGTATACTTCACTCCCCAAAAGTTTGAATCATGTGTCTACTTGTCTATCAATTTGTTAAGCTCCAAATCCCCACATTTTCCAAACTCCATTGATATATAAATTTTAATTCAGCCTTATTTTAGGCTGTTTCCTTTTTGTACTGATGCCAGAAACTAAGATTTTATACCACGTATTAACAGTAAAAACCACTTTTATTTATATGAAAAATACCACCATCTATGGATAATTAATATGCCAACAATTTATAGCCACTGTACTGCATGATGCATTATAAAACAGGAATAAAATCACCTATAGTGATGTTACAGCTCAGAAGAAAACCGAAAAAAATGCTACATGGCCAGTTTTTTAAATGATAATTTTGCCTTTTATAGACAATTTGCTGATTCACATTTTAATTGTTCTATAAATCAGTTTATCTCCCTTCTGAGCTCCCTCTCACATATTTTCTCTTGAAGTGATAGGAGCAGTCAGAAGAGAAAAATAGAAATAGAGACGCACAGAGCAAAACCACAAAAAACACCTACTAATAAAATTATTCAATATATTGGCAGTCTGTCTGAAATATACAGTCTTTTATCACTGAGGTTGACCTGGATTTCAGAAACATTATGTCACTGTTACCATCATTTTTCTTGGTTAGAACTGCCAAATTGAGCAATGTAATCAGTAGCTTATATTTTATTTTCCATCTTAGACTGTAAACAGCTTGAGAGGAGAGAATTGTCTCACTCATCACTTTATCAGCCACAGAGCACAGGAGAATAATTTGCTCATAGCTCAATAAATATTAGTTCATTTTAATTATTTGCATATTAGTTCATTTTAATTATTTGCAGTTAGGGAAATAGAGAATTCTGATGGAATTAGATGTAGATGGAGAAGTGAAGGAGATTCTGCCAGCGGGTCTACAATGGGCCTTTGAAACCTGCTGAGCCATGCACGAATGGTATATTCATGAGGAGTCTCTGTAGACCAGACTTCTGAGATTGATATGTCTTGGATCTTTGGAAACTTCATCCATGTGTCAAGTCTTTAATTCAAATTGCAAAACCAATTCCTTGAGCTGGAATAGTCACAAAAGGCTCACTTACTTTGAACCTCCAATGTTCTGAATGATGAGTTATCATAGTACTTAGCAGCTTACAAAACTCTTTTATACATATTAGTTCATTTATTTTTCAAAGTAACCAGTGAGGTCAATACTCTTATTAAAAATCATAATAAGATTTCTATTAGTAGCAGTTTTTTTTTGCCGATACAATTACTATTATTCTCTAATTCAGTAATTTACTCAGGATCACAGCTATTTAGTGGAGGTACCAGGTCTTCAAATCAAATAGAGAGTAGAAGACTTGTCAAATTGCAAATAAAGATAGAGCCACCATGAAAATGACAAAATTTATGATTGCAAAATTCTTTCCAGTTCTTATTACTCCTTTTAGTATCTTTTTCTCTTTTTGTTTTATTTTTCCGGAAAAATAAATCTCGACTTTTTCATTGAATTCACATTGCTATTTACTGTAAAATAATCTGTAATTATTAAAGGCTTATAAATGCAGTGAATTTAGTATTTAAAGCTTTATCCACAGCTTCCTATTACAGTTTGCATTGGCACATTTTAAGGGAATTAGAAACAATATATTTGTGTTGCAGGTACTGGTGGATTATCTGCAATATTCAATTTCTTTCTTCCACATTAGAGAAACTTCTGAATTTTAGAGGTGAGCATATGGTAACCCATAATTTAAAAAAAAAAGTTTATGCTTCCTTCATAGCTAGCTATGACCAAATGAGCAAATTATGGATAAATGGGATGTCGGGACAAGCATCATAGAGCATCTTCTGGGAATTTTCTCTAAATGATAGCTGATATTCATCCTTTGCCTTTTTTCTTATCTGTTCTTTCCTTTTTCTACTTCATAGAATACAGATGCGCTAATACTTTAGCCACAGTTTCATACCATGAAGTCCAGGACCTCTCCTACAAAATAATGAAGGCCTGAACTTAGGTCCCTAAGGTTTCAAAGAGCAGAAGTATGACACTAACCTTTCATTGAACACCTTGGATGTTCAATTAATTGAGTATCCATTAGAGAGGAAAACTTCTGTTTAATGTACTGCTATTTTGGCCTTTGTTATTCATAGCCAAAACTCACCCCAAGTGATGCAAATACCCAGCAGGTTTATCCCTTTTCCAATCGCTTTTCCAATTGCAGATGTTTATGTGTGAAATGGTATTTAGGAGGGATAAAGAAAACACGTCATGATCTCTAACCACATTAAACATATCAAATATAGATATATTGACAATGCCACAAGATGTAAAACTTTTTTTTTTTTTTTTTTTTTTTTGAGACGGAGTCTCGCTCTGTCGCCCAGGCTGGAGCGCAGTGGCGCGATCTCAACTCACTGCAAGCTCCGCCTCCCGGGTTCACGCCATTCTCCTGCCTCAGCCTCCTGAGTAGCTTGGACTACAGGTGCCTGCCACCACGCCCTGCTAATTTTTTGTATTTTTAGTAGAAAACGGGGTTTCACCGTGTTGCCAGGATGGTCTGGATCTCCTGACCTCGTGATCCGCCCACCTCGGCCTCGCAAAGTGCTGGGATTACAGGCGTGAGCCACCGTGCCCGGCCGATATAAAACTTTTAAAACAGGTCTTACCAACTTCATAATAAATTATTAAGGGTGTATAAATTTTACTAAAATGTGAAAGATTGTCTTCTGAATTAATTTTCTACTGATACTAGTTACAATTTATAACTACAATCACATAAATTTAGGGATATTTGAGAAGAAAATCCATAGAAAAAAATTAAGACATTAAAATTACTACAAAATGCTTTACTACCCTGCCAAAACAAGATTAAACAAAATAATTTGCAGACTTCAGATTTCAGATCTAATGGTTTTGAATTTGATTGACAATACATAGAGCTGTGAGTTGAATTTAACTGACAATACGTAGAATTGTGAGTTGAAAGTTGGAGGTATCCTTGCTAGAATTCCCTAAATTGTTCTCTACTTCCCCTAGGACCACTGTGCAGGCACAATTCAAGACCTGATTTTGTCCTAAGATATGAGTGTTCTCAGTTGAGCAGAGGACGCGGTAAGGGGAAAAGTAACATCTCAAGGATGGTAGTTGCTCCCTTAGCCGGTTTGCAACCTCCCTTTCAAACCTGATCGTCCACGATATGCTAGGCTCAGTGATGGAAGCTCAATACTTGCTCATGCTTCACAGCCTTTGGTTTCCTTTGCTTGGGATGTTCTTTCCCAGATATTTGCATAACTGCTTCCCTCAGGACTTCGTTCAGGACTCAGTTCAAATGCCAGTTCCTTAAAAATGCCTTCTTAGAACTTCCTAAATTAGTGCCACTTCTCTACTTGTATTACTTTCCGGAGCATCACTCTGTTTTGTGTTGTTTTGTTTTGTTTTTATTTTTGTAGTGCCCATAACCTTCTGAACCTATCTTTTTCTTACAACCACTTTATTGTTTATCCTCTGCATTCTCTCATTCATCCACATCTGTCTGACTTCTGCAGTGTTCTCAGACACAGTATCTGGTACACAGTTAAGCCATCAACTCATATTTGTTGAAAGAATACATAAATCAGTAAAACAATCATTGTCTCTTTAATTCCTTCAGTGTTTTGAATGCAACATGCTATTTTTATATTCTAGAAAAATCTGATAATATAAAAAACAGCAAAAACAATTATGAGGAATTTATAAATGGAGTCTTCAGGTAGAAATCCTACCATCATTTCACCCATGAATGGCACCTGTATATGCTGTAAATGAATTAGAAAGCAAAGGAAAATTAAATACAGCTCACCTTTTAATCTCATGGATCCTGCAAAGTTATCTTTAGATAGCACAGTGATGAATTAATTGGCTGGATCCTCCTAGACAACTTCATTATTTGTTTTTGTCCTTTCTTTGGATCTTAGGGACTTAGCTATATTTTTCTATATCATTTCTGTTGCTGGCAACCAGGGAAAACGTACATGAAATATAATGCAACAGCAAGCTGAAGAGGTGACAAGCAAGTTGCAGAATCATCTTCCGTGTCAAGTCACCAAAACACAGCTGGACTTCTCTTCATTTTGAAAGGCCATAGTTGGCATTTCAACAGATAGAACTTAAAATAATTTATTCACAAAATAAATATCAATATAACTCCATGGCAACTTTTGAAAACATCTTTGGTGTTCATACTGAAACTACAGACACAGTGATGTGAAAGGTAGACACTTACTCATTAATGTTAAAGTGGAGGTTCATCTTGCATGCTTGTCTAATTTATTTGGCCTGAAAGCTTTTAACTTTTAAACTGAATCCAAGTGTGAACACTTACAATTTAGTGCCTCTTTTAAAACTTATCTGTTCAGAATGCATGAATATTCCTCCAGCGAAAGGGATAATAGGAAAGTAAATTAATTATATTTTAACTTTCCAATCTCATTTTCACTTTGCAAGAACTGTGCAGGATAACTATTAACCTTCCATTCTAAATGAAAAATTTAAAGAATTACCATCAGGTAATTTCAAACTACAACAAAGAGAGACTACATATCATGGATCCTTTCTTGCCAAAAATATCATCCTGAAATGTACACTGACTTAGCATCATCCAGGAATACTTTTAATAGCTTTTTTTTCAATCTTAGTCACAAGTATTCAAGCAGGGGTGCTCATAAAATTTGCAGTTATCAAAGTTGAGGAGTTTCAAAAATAAAGCTTGTTTGAATCAACTTTCTTTCCCCCCCCCAGCTAATGTTGAAAATAATTACATCTATGCCTGTCTAATCTAAAAATTTATTCATTAGACAATACATGTAGATTTACTTAGTTTATTTAAACCACTTGCTTTTTTTTTTAATTTCAAGAGGCTATTTGTTACCCTGTATGGTTTAGAATCTACAGATTTGAACTTCTCTGATTTATATGCCATGAGGATCAGATTATGCCACTTCCCAGCTTAAAACCCTTCAAGGATCCCTTTTGCTGTGGGGATAAAGCTTATAATCTTTAACAAGCCAGATCAAACAGCAGCTCCCCCTCTGCTTTTATCACTCCCTGTTCTCTTCTTCACAGTCTTCATTCCAGGCGGCACCATGTCATGGATATTCAGTGTGCTGTGATCTGGACATTTTGCTATTTTATTTTCCTTTTCATGCTATATTGGTGCAGAGGGAGGACACCTCTATTCACGTTATGATTTTCCTTTTGTCTCCAGTACGTTTGTAGCTCAACATAGCATTTCTTAATTTAAATGTTTGATATTTTGTTCATCATAGATTTTTGCAATACTTTTTGTTTCTAACAATATTTCATTGAGTGTTATCTGTCTTGAGTCTTGCTTTTTATGTACCCTCAAAAAGTGGTTCCAAGGAGAGTGAGGTACCCTAGACCTTGCCCTGTCTACTCCTCACATTTCTCTCTATACCCAATATAGATATATTGATATAGAAGACCAATGGTTTCCCTAACCCTTTGTAGGGAAACCCTGCCTTCTAGGAAAGGGGAACTGGGTTTTAAGTCAATGATACGATAACCATAACTCCCACATATACAGCATTTGCTGTGAGCAAAGTTCTAACAGTAGTAACACCACTGCTCCTCAATGAGGGAAACAACTCAGTGAGGCAGAACATCAAGTTCACTTCTTCACTTCAAGTATACAATGGCTAAACCCTGAGAAACACAACAACCTTCCTCAACATCACACAGCTTTTAGCTTTGAACTTGGAAAATCTGGCATCAGAATTCCTACTTGTATTCACTATACTGTCTCTCAGTGATGCCAGCTCTTGTTTAATGAACAGTTGAAGTCTCTCTAAAAGGAAATAAAAAGAATAAACAGTCCAGGCATGATTGCTCATTAGACTAACAGATTAGATTGCCCACAAAGGGAAGCCCATTAGACTAACAGCGGATCTCTTGGCAGAAACTCTACAAGAAGAGTGTGGGGGCCAATATTCAACATTCTTAAAGAAAAGAATTTTCAACCCAGAATTTCATATACAGCCAAACTAAGCCTCATAAGTGAAGGAGAAATAAAATACTTTACAGACAAGCAAATGCTGAGAGATTTTGTCACCACCAGTCCTGCCTTACAAGAGCTCCTGAAGGAAGCACTAAACATGGAGAGGAAAAACCGGTACCAGCCACTGAAAAAACATGCCAAATTGTAAAGATCATCGATGCCAGGAAGAAACTGCATCAACTAATGAGCAAAACAACCAGTTAAAATCATGACAGGATCAAATTCACAAATAATAATATTAACTTTAAATGTAAATGGGCTAAATGCTCCAATTAAAAGACACAGACTGGCAAATTAGATTAAGAGTCAAGACCCAACACTGTGCTGTATTCAGGAGACCCATCTCACATGCTAAGACACACATAGGCTCAAAATAAAGGGATGGAGGAAGATCTACCAAGCAAATGGAAAACAAACAAAAAAAAAAAAGCAGGGGTTGCAATCCTAGTCTCTGATAAAACAGACTTTAAACCAACAAAGATCAGAAGAGACAAAGAGGGCCATTACATGATGGTAAAGGGATCAATGCAACAAGAAGAGCTAACTATCCTAAATATATAGGCACCCAATACAGGAGCACCCAGATTCATAAAGCAAGTCCTTAGAGACCTACAAAGAGAGTTAGACTCCCACACAATAATAATGGGAGACTTTAACACTCCACTGTCAACATTAGACAGATCAATGAGACAGAAAATTAAAAAGGATACCCAAGAATTGAACTCAGTTCCGCACCAAGTGGACCTAATAGACATCTACAGAACTCTCCACCCCAAATCAACAGAATATATATTCTTCACAGCACCACATCACACTTATTCCAAAACTGACCACATAGTTGGAAGGAAAGCACTCCTCAGCAAATGTAAAAGAAGAGAAATCATAACAAACTGTCTCTCAGACCACAGTGCAATCAAACTAGAATTCAGGATTAAGAAACTCACTCAAAACCACTCAACTACATGGAAACTGAACAACCTGCTCCTGAATGACTATTGGGTACATAACGAAATGAAGGCAAAAATAAAGATGTTCTTTGAAACCAGTGAGAACAAAGACACAACATACAAGAATCTCTGGGACACATTTAAAACAGTATGTAGAGGAAAATTTATACCACTAAATACCCATGAGAGGAAGCAGGAAAGATCTAAAATTGACACCCTAACATCACAATTAAAAGTACTAGAGAAGCAAGAGCAAATACATTCAAAAGCTAGCAGAAGGCAAGAAATAACTAAGATCAGAGCAGAACTGAAGGAAATAGAGACACAAAAAAACCTTCAAAAAAAATCAGTGAATCCAGGAGCTGGTTTTGTGAAAAGATCAACAAAATTGATAAATCGCTAGGAAGACTAATAAAGAAGAAAAGAGAGAAGAATCAACTAGATGCAATAAAAAATGATAAAGGGGATATCACCACCGATCCCACAGAAATGCAAACTACCATCAGAGAATACTATAAACACATCTACACAAATCAACCAGAAAATCTAGAAGAAATAGAAAAATTCCTGGACACATACACCCTCCCAAGGCTAAACCAGGAAGATGTTGAATCCCTAAACAGACCAATAACAGGCTCTGAAATTGAGGCAGTAATAGCCTACCAAACAAAAAAAGTCCAGGACCAGACGGATTCACAGCCGAATTCTACCAGAGGTACAGAGAGGAGCTGGTACCACTCCTTCCAAAACTATTCCAATCAATAGAAAAAGAGGGAATCCTCCCTAACTCATTTTATGAGTCCAGCATCACCCTGATACCAAAGCCTGGTGCAGACGCAAAAAAATGAGAATTTTAGACCAATATCTCTGATGAACATCAACACAAAAATCCTCAATAAAATACTGGCAAACCGAATCTAGCAGCATATCAAAAAGTTTAACCACCACAATCAAGTTGGCTTCATCCCTGGGAGGCATGGCTGGTTCAACATATGCAAATCAATAAATGTAATCCATCACATAAGCAGAACCAAAGGCAAAAACCACATGATTATCTCAATAGATGCAGAAAAAGCCTTCGACAAAATTCAACAGCCCTTCATGCTAAAAACTGTCATAAATTAGGTATTGATGGGATGTATCTCAAAATAATAAGAGCTATCTGTGACAAACCCACAGCCAATATCATACTGAATGGGCAAAAACTGGAAACATTCCCTTTGAAAACTGGCACAAGACAGAGATGCCCTCTCTCACCACTCCTATTCAACATAGTGTTGGAAGTTCTGGCCAGGGCAGTCAGGCAGGAGAAAGAAATCAAGGGTATTCAATTAGGAAAAGAGGAAGTCAAATTGTCCCTGTTTGCAGATGACATGATTGTATATTTAGAAAATCCCATCATCTCAGCCCAAAATCTCCTTAAGCTGATAAGCAACTTCAGCAAAGTCTTAGGATACAAAATCAATGCGCAAAAATCACAAGCATTCCTATACACCAATAACAGACAGAGAGCCAAATCATGAGTGAACTCCCATTCACAATTGCTTCAAAGAGATAAAATAACTAGGAATCCAACTTACAAGGGATGTGAAGGACCTCTTCAAGGAGAACTACAAACCACTACTCAACGAAATAAAAGAGGACACAAACAAATGGAAGAACATTCCATGCTCATGGATAGGAAGAAATGATATCATGAAAGTGGCCATTCTGCCTAAGGTAATTTATAGATTCAATGCCATCCGCATCAAGCTACCAATGACTTTCTTCACAGAATTGGAAAAAATTACTTTAAAGTTCATATGGAACCAAAAAAGAGCCCACATTTCCAAGACAATCCTAAGCCAAAAGAACAAAGCTGGAGGCATCACGCTACCTGACTTCAAACTATACTACAAGGCTACAGCAACCAAAACAGCATGGTACTGGTACCAAAACAGAGATATAGAGCAATGGAACAGAACACAGCCCTCAGAAATAATACCACACATCTACAACCATCTGATCGTTGACAAACCTGACAAAAACAAGAAATGGGGAAAGGATTCCCTAGTTAATAAATGGTCCTGGGAAAACTGGCTAGCCATATGTAGAAAGCTGAAACTGGATCCCTTCCTTACACCTTATACAAAAATTAATTCGAGATGGATTAAAGACTTAAATGTTAGGCCTAAAACCATAAAAACCCCAGAAGACAACCTAGGCAGTACCATTCAGGACATAGGCATGGGCAAGGACTTCATGACTAAATCACCAAAAGCAAGGGCAACAAAAGCCAAAATTGACAAATGGGATCTAATTAAACTAAAGAGCTTCTGCACAGCAAAAGAAACTACCATCAGAGTGAACAGGCAACCTACAGAATGGAAGAAAATTTTTGCAATCTACCCATCTGACAAAGGGCTAATATCCAGAATCTACAAAAAACTTAAACAAATTTCCAAGAAAAAAATCAACCCCATAAAAAAGTAGGTTAAGGACATGAACAGACACTTCTTAAAAGAAGACATTTATGCAGCCAACAGACACATTAAAAAATGCTCATCATCACTGGCCATCAGAGAAATTCAAATCAAAACCACAATGAGATATCATCTCACACCAGTTAGAGTGGTGATCATTAGAAAGTCAGGAAACAAGAGGTGCTGGAGAGGATGGGGAGAAATAGGAACACTTTTACACTGTTGGTGGGACTGTAAACTAGTCCAACCATTCTGAAAGACAGTGTGGTGATTCCTCAAGGATCTGGAACTAGAAATACCATTTGACCCAGCCATCCCATTACTAGGTATATACCCAAAGGATTATAAATCATGCTGCTGTAAAGACACATGCACGCGTATGTTTATTGCAGCACTATTCACAATAGCAAAGACTTAGAACCAACCCAAATGTCCATCAATGACAGACTGGATTAAGAAAATATGGCACATATACACGATGGAATACTTTGCAGCCATAAAAAAGGATGAGTTCATGTCCTTTGTAGGGACATGGATGAAGCTAGAAACCATCATTCTGAGCAAACTATCGCAAGGACGGAAAATCAAACACCACATGTTCTCACTCATAGGTGCGAACTGAACAATGAGAACACTTGGACACAGGATGGGGAATATCACACACTGGGGCCTGTGGTTGGGTGCGGGGAGGGAGGAGGGATAGCATTAGGAGATATACATAATGTAAATGACTAGTTAATGGGTGCAGCACACCAACATGGCACATGTGTACACATGTAACAAATCTGCACACTGTGCACATGTACCCTAGAACTTAAAGTATAATAAAAAATAAATTGAGGCATGGCAAGAGAGATTTGGATGCATAAGCTGCAAACATTTGGGTGGATGAGGGCTGAGCAAGTGGGTTGGGATTGGGTCCTGGGATGTATTCCCTGGGAGGCAGCCCACACTACCAACCAAGTACTGACTGACTGAATCTAAAGACTCTCTGCTGAAATGCCCAGGAGCTTCACTGGAGCAAGAACCTCACATCTATCACGTGCACTCAGGTGTGGCCCACTTCCTCCTGCTGTTGGCATAGGATGGAGACTCTGCCAGCGCCAGACTTATCCTGCCTTCACTCAATACCAGTCTGACAGTCCTGAGTATGTCCTTTACGACGTTCCAGAACTCATGGAAGTCCAAAATGGGGTTTGTCTTGAACATGTGGGGATTAGTGGTGGTGAGATACCCCTACCCTTATATGTAGAAGTAACTAGAAATACCAAGATTCCTGAGCTGAGACGTTGGGTATTCATCCTATGTTTCCACTGAATATTTCAGATCCTCTAAAGAACTATTCTTTTTTACCCTTGGATTTCTCATAAGGGGCTTCAAAGCCTCAAGTATACTTAACCCTTTGCTGTCCCCTCCTTCCCAATCCCTGCTACTCCTGGAGATTTTGTATCCACATGAAATCTCAGATGCCATTTCCCCCAGAAAGCTCTGGCTTTCCCCCAGATGTCTGGCTATTGCTCTAGAATAGAAGTCAGCAAATGAGACTAGAGGTCTGCAGATATTTTTGGCTTTGCACACCATACAACCTCTGTTAAATGGAACTCTGCTGTTGCAGTGCAAAAGCATCCATAGACAATGTGTAAAACAAAAAAAAAAAAAATGGTATGGCTGTGTTCCACTAAAATTTTACTTACAAAAACAAGTCATTGCCCAGATTTGACAATTGGGCCACAGTTTGCTGACCCTTGGTCTACAGTATAAACTCTGTGAATGTCTTTTTTTTTCCCACCATTTCATCCCAGAACCTATCATCATATTAGGTTATGGGAATTCAACGTTGTTCATTGAATACATGTTGGATTATTTACTTAAGGTATTGGTTTTCCCTCCTTTGGAAGGATCAATACATTGCAGCTTCTGTGTCAAAACCTACCTCATTGTCAAGAAACAAGATGGCATTTTGTAAATATGTTTTGAAGTCTATTATAATTGCTAAGCATAAACCCTCTAAACAGACATATCTGTGTTCATACTGTGTGTCCTTAAAAATTTATTTAACGCCTCTGAATCTTGGTTAGCTCTTTTATAAAATGGGAGTAATATTATCTAACTTTTCAAGTTGTTGTGAGTATTAAATGACATGATTTATATGAAATGCCTATATTGGATTTCTTACATGAGTAATCCAATTATTCACATAATTTTGATTACATGAGTGGAATCACATTTTGATTACATGTAATCGTAGTACTGTCCTAAACAAAACTTAACTGTGCCTCTCCAAATTAAAAAAGAAAGCCAAGGAAAGAATATAAGAAATAATAACACCTCTTCATTAGCTGGACTGAACTCATCTGAATCTTACACCCAGCGGTGTCAATGCCGAAAGGCCTATCGTCAGTACTCGAATGCTTCCGTAGGGGAGGATGCCTCTCCAAACATCAATGTAAACACTTCACCAGCGAGAAGATCAACCCTTACTTTGTATTTAAACATAAATAGAGGCACTATTTCCAGGTAGCTTAAAGAACTTTTTTTTTCCATCACAAACACACTTCATCTTCAATGTCTGAGACAATGACTGTGAACATCAATGTGAAGAACCATTTAAGAGTGAGAAAAGCCACCAGTGGGAATCTAGAAGCAATGTGAAATTGAACTCTTCACATTCGAAATCTGTAGGGAGGGTTTTCATGGAATTGAAGCACGGAATGAAAGGTAAAATGAATGGTTTTTATTTTTATGTTTTTATGTAAAACCTATCATTTAAAACTTAACTGGTAGCTACTTTACATCGATCTTTGCCACAACGATCTGAAAACAAACATTTCACATTTAAATTGAAAAAATAAAAGATAAAGTTTTGGCAATATTTTTCAAATATTATTTCATTGTATTATTTTCCTTTTTATGTGTACATTGAGCAAGTATTTATCACCTTACACAGTTCTATGCGTTTTAGAAGATGCTTAATAAAAATTTATTAAATTTGCATAAAGAGAAAAATAAGACATTATACCTGTCCTCTAGGAGTTTATAATCTAAAGATATCATACTAATAATCTTAAGATTATAATCTCTTAGATTAATATAAGAGATTAGATTATGTTAATTGTAATCTAAAATTTTGGTTATATTAATTACAATCTAATTCATTGTAATCTAGATTATATAAATATAGTATCTTGTAAATCTAAGAGATTATAATCTAAAGAGAAAAACACTGGAAGATCATATGAAAAAGGCTCACTGTTTATTGTTACACACTGCAGCCAAACTATTTATGAAGAGCAGCTGTGATTATGCATGCAGCCTTATTCTCTCTGTACCTTATCTCTTTGTTCATCTCTCCATCTATTTACCCACTGCTATGATTACTTCTTCAGGAGTGCACCTTGCACTTTAGTAATAGTGACCACTGAGTCCTGGGATCACTAGAAAGAAGGCAAGCATTGGTATGGCAAGTTGGGAAATGATGAATCCTTATAAAGAGAACAAGATCTTATCTCAAACATACTGATATCATGATTCCCAAGAAGATCGTTCTCCTAAGAGTGTATTATGCAATAATTTGTCAACCCCAGTTCCCTTCAAACAACACCACAGAAACCTGAAACCTTTTGGAGAAAAGAGAGGGACCAGTAGAGTTATTAAATTTAGGAGTTCAATCCTTAAGCTAAAAAAACTAGAATTTTAAAAATCAATTATTTAACCCAGCTCTGCCCTATTATATACCCCAAGGCCCCCATGTAAGGGGAAGACATGGAAAGCCAGAGGTTAAAGTGGAGATAGAACAAATATCTCAGCTGACCGAGGGTGGTGGCTCATGCCTGTAATTCCAGCACTTTGGGAGGCTGAGGCAGGCGGATCACGAGGTCAGGAGATCAAGACCATCCTGGGTAACACGATGAAACCACGTCTCTACTAAAAATACAAAAAAATTAGCTGGGCGTGGTGGTGGGTGCCTGTGGTCCCAGCTACTTGGGAGGCTGAGGCAGGAGAATGGCGTGAACCCAGCAGGCGGACCTTGCAGTGAGCCGAGATCACACCACTGGACTCCAGCCTGGGCGACAGAGCGAGACTCCATCTCAAAAAAAAAAAACAAAAAACAAAAAACAAAACAGAAAAAATATCTCAGCTGAAATTTCTTAAGGTCATATAAACTTATTGACTGTAAAGAAAAATGGAATGTTTTCCTGATCAAGAATAACCTTTCGCAAAACTTTGGAATCTCTTCTCTCAAAGGGATTTGAGACAAGCCCCGGCTGAATCACACTTCAAATTACCTCATTCTCATCAGAGAGCTGCTTGAACATCATATTTACTACCTTCTTTCTTGTGGTGATGTTTTTAGCTTGTATTTATTAAACTACGATTTCTCAGGGTCGGGCTTGGAGCTAAGCACTCTACATTTTCTACTCCATTTCCCAAGTCATTCTTCATTTCTACTTTGATTTTACAGATGTGGAATCTGAGGTTCAGATAAACGGGTAATTTACCTAAGACTATAAAGCCAGCTAAAAGCTAACAATCAAGTATGTCCTTAAAATCAGGGTTTTGAAAACAATTCCACACTCCATGTAGCTGTAGAATTCTTTAGAATCCCCTCAGTGACTTTTTTTTTTTTTTTTTTTTTTGAGACAGAGTTTTGTTCTGTCTCCCAGGCTAGAGTGCAGTAGTGGAATCTCGGCTCACTGAAACCTCTGTCTCCCAGGTTCAAGCGATTCTCCTGCCTCAGCCTCCTGAATAGCTGGGATTACAGGTGCCTGCCACCATTCCCGGCTAATTTTTGTATTTTTTTATCAGAGACGGGGTTTCACCATATTGGCCAGGCTGGTCTCTAACTCCTGACCTCCAGTGATCCACCCATCTCGGCCTCCCAAAGTGAGGCGTGAGCCACCGCGTCCAGCCAAAACCCTTCAGTGACCTTTTGACAGGGAGTATGAGAAGCCACCAGTGCTCTTGACCCTGGTGTCTGCTTCTGCCAGGACAACCTGCGTGTCATCTGTTTTATGTACACGATGAGTGCACAAGAAGAGCTGTTCAAGAAAAGAGTTCATGCCTAAAATACATTTGGAACCCATGGATCCATTTCATCCTTCTAACTTTCTAGAAGGAAAAACTAAGGGTCAGAGAAGTAAAAATTTGAATTGGTCATCAATGACTGACACAAGTGCAATCCTAGGAATACCTAACACTTACTGCGTATGTACACTGTGAAAGCATTACCCTAAGGTATTTCAATATACTCACTCATTTATTCCTTATGAAAACCCTATATTTTTCTAGAGTAGAGGAGTAGACTTGTCATCATTTGTATTTTCTATTTGAAGAAATAGATGCTCAGAAATTTTAAATAGCTTGACCAGATCACATAGTCGTCAGAAAGAAATAGAGTTGAGTTTCAACCCAAAGAAGTTAAGCTTTACACTTTAGGCCCTTAACTGCAACTCGATACTGCCTCTGAAACCTAGACTTAGGATTTCAGTCATGCCTGTTTTTTTTCCTGTTGTAAGATACTGCTTCTATTTGCTCATTAAAATTGAGTTGATTGACGGATAAAAGATGCCCATGAAAGTCAGCTGATTCATATACTGCCCTTTCCAATGCAGAAAAATCTTGTCTTCCTTCTGCTTAGGCCACATAACTTTTAGATCTCTCCAATATATCTAATTATTTCCTATATAAACTTACACCAAGATTAAGACCATAGCAGAATCAATCATCTATGAGTTCAGCCCATGGTTGTTTCTACAGTTGAGTAGCACCACCTCATCGCCCATAATTTTTCTAAGCCCTTTTAAAAAAATGTAGCTAGCATTTCATCAGTTGAAGCATTCTTGCCATAATTCCCTATGAGGCCTGTTATTCAAAAATTATTTGTACCTAGCACTGCATGTTTAGTGGTTGGCAGTTTTAAAAGCAACTATTTTACATGAAAAGACTGGATCAAATATCAGTAAACTCCTCAATCACATAATTTATGAACAGTATTTAGAAGTGAAAAATTTCAGATCAGCAGGCATGTTCCACCTGACTAGAACCTAGAAAGGGTTTACTTTAGAAAAAAACCCAAAGGGTATTTTATAGAAAATTTACTTTGCTTTTCATCTTTTCTCAAACATTCTGGCCTGTTTGCGAATGGGAAAAGGTTTCTATGCATCCTGCCTTTTAGCCTTTCTGGATAATGTAGATAAATTGAATCTAGTAGTCAAAGGGAGCCAAAACAAGTTAGTATCTACCCACAAATGAAACAAACATGACCTAGGCATTACCATTCAGGACACAGGCATAGGCAAGGACTTCATGTCTAAAACACAAAAAGCAATGGCAACAAAAGCCAAAATTGACAAATGGGATCTAATTAAACTAAAGAGCTTCTGCACAGCAAAAGAAACTACCTTCAGAGTGAACAGGCAACCTACAAAATGGGAGAAAATTTTCACAACCTACTCATCTGACAAAGGGCTAATATCCAGAATCTACAATGAACTCAAACAAATTTACAAGAAAAAAACAAACAACCCCATCAAAAAGTGGGCAAAGGATATGAACAGACACTTCTCAAAAGAAGACATTTATGCAGCCAACAGACACATGAAAAAATGCTCACCATCACTGGCCATCAGAGAAATGCAAATCAAAACCACAAATGAGATACCATCTCACACCAGTTAGAATGGCAATCATTAAAAAGTCAGGAAACAAGAGGTGCTGGAGAGGATGTGGAGAAATAGGAACACTTTTACACTGTTGGTGGGACTGTAAACTAGTTCAACCATTGTGGAAGTCAGTGTGGCCATTCCTCAGGGATCTAGAACTAGAAATACCATTTGACCCAGCCATCCCATTACTGGGTATATACCCAAAGGACTATAAATCATGCTGCTATAAAGACACATGCACACGTATGTTGATTGCGGCACTATTCACAATAGCAAAGACTTAGAACCAACCCAAATGTCCAACAATGATAGACTGGATTAAGAAAATGTGGCACATATACACCATGGAATACTATGCAGCCATAAAAAATGAATGAGTTCATGTCCTTTGTAGGGACATGGATGAAATTGGAAATCATCATTCTCAGTAAACTATCGCAAGGACAAAAAACCAAACACCGCATGTTCTCACTCATAGATGGGAATTGAACAATGAGAACACATGGACACAGGAAGGGGAACATCACACTCTGGGGACTGTTGTGGGGTGGGGGGAGGGGGGAGGGACAGCATTGGGAGATATACCTAATGCTAAATGATGAGTTAATGGGTGCAGCACACCAGCATGGCACATGTATACATATGTAACAAACCTGCACATTGTGCACATGTACGCTAAAACTTAAAGTATAATAAAAAAAAAATAAGAGACTAAAACAAACAAAAAAATGAAACAAACATGAAATGCCATGAATTCATCAACTGACTGTGCACCAGTGCGCAATCACTAACATTTTATCAGATCTGCAAATGATGCCACCATAACAATATTTTTACCATAAATCAAACCCTAATAAAGGTATGAATTTAACTTGTGTTTTAATTGTCTGTGTGATGCCCAAGAAATTGTCCACGTTTAACCACTCATGGAAAAAGGTAAAAGTCTGACTCCCCCTCTAACCCCATCTTGAATTGGCAAATTGTTCAACTGAGACCAAGTGTCTTTTCTGGTAAAATAAATGATGCATCCAGTTTGTAATCCTTTTTTATTTTCTTAATAATATTGGCAGAAAACTAATTCTAATGTTTAAAATGTAAATTTGGCTAAATAGGTTCAAATAAAATGTTTTACTTTATATTTCAAAAGAAAATGAGACTGTTTTCTTTTTTAATTTTTTCATAATTAACACACATTTTCCCAGAATAATTATCTATTTTTCCAGTATGTTTTCCAATATTCAAGAAAGATGATTATGAGCGTTGCCTTTTGTTTATTACTTGCAGGGTATTTCTCTGTCACCCCAGTAGAGTTGAGTTTCAGAATCCTATTAAAATAATATTTTTGATTTCTGAATCTGCAGACACGGGAAAATGGGATTAAATCCCAGAACATATAGCATGTCAGCTTTACGATGTTTCAAGTTAAGTTCATTTCATACTAATTAACGGTAAAATTTCCTACTTTGATCCATACTAGTGCATTTTAATGAACAGTGTACCAGAATTCTGCTTGTAGAAATCAGTAAGAAAGCCAAAGCTGGTGACTAGTAACAATGAACTTTGTGGTGAGCTCTTGCGAGTGAGTATTCACAAATTCCTTGGAAAGTTGGGGGCAGGACAGTTCCTTCAGTTCAGATCCAGCCACTACCCCCTGCTTCCACCTTTTATATTTTCTTTTTTTTCTTTCTTTCTTTCTTTTTTTTTTTTTTTTTGAGACGGAGTCTCGCTCTGTCGCCCAGGCTGGAGTGCAGTGGCGCGATATCTGCTCACTGCAAGCTCCGCGTCCCGGGTTCACGCCATTCTCCTGCCTCAGCCTCCCGTGTAGCTGGGACTACAGGCGCCCGCCACCAGGCCCGGCTAATTTTTTATATTTTTAGTAGAGACGGGGTTTCACCGTGTTAGACAGGATGGTCTCGGTCTCCTGACCTCGTGATCCGCCCGCCTCGGCCTCCCAAAGTGCTGGGATTTACAGGCATGAGCCACTGAGCCTGGCCTCATCTTTTATATTTTCTAGCCTGTGGCAAATGACATTCTGAAGATCTGAGAAATAGTGAGGACATCGCATCCACAGTATGTTTGACACATTGTCAGTTTCGACATGGTAGACTGATTTATATAGGCTTAATCATTGCAGATAATGCAAAGTCAGGCGTGAAAAGGGAAACATCCAAATGATACTTCAAACTTTCCTTCTGGGTGTTTTTGTTTGTTTCTTCTTTTATATTGTGGTAAAATATATATAATGTAAAAGTACCAATTAACCCCTTTTTAAAGTTTACAAATGAAGTGTCATTAAGTACATTCACAGTGCTGTGCAATCATTACTACCATCCATCTCCAAAATGTTTTTGTCATCCAACACAAAAGCTCCATCCCCATTACATAATAACTCCCCATGCTACCCTTCTCCCAGCCTTGGTAGCCTATATTCTAGTTTCTTTCTCTATGGATTTGCCTATTCTAGGTACCTCAGAGAATTGGAATCACACAATATTTGTAACATTTGTGCTTTTATTTCTGGCTTATTCCACTTAGTAAAATGTTTTCAAGGTTTATCCATAATGTAGAATGTATTCGTACTTCATTCCTATATAGAGCTGAATACTACTCCATTATATATGCCATCGTATGTGTAGATATATTGTTTATCCATTCATCTGTTGATGGGCATTGGGATTGCTTCCACTTTTTGGCTATTATGAATAATGCTGCTATGACATTGGTGTACCAGTATTGAAACACTGTGCTTTTTAATCAGCAGGCATACTTGGTATTTGAACTTATCTGAAGGAATTGACTGCTTAGGAATTATTAAGCTCAATTATTCTCTTAACCTTCCAATTACCACTAAAAACATAATAAATTGATAATTATGTAATAGCACAGGACAAAAATTAGCTAGGACTTGATACATTCCAGACCCATTTTAGATATTTTGTATGCAGCTTCTCATTGAATACTCCCCAAACCCTATCAATCAGGAGGTACCATTTTTATATCCATTCTACAAATGGGAAAACAAGCAGGTAGAAGGTAGGTTTCTTTGCTCAAGATAAAATAGCTAGTGATTGAACTGGGATTAGAACCCAATTTTGTAATTCTTGAGGCTGTACTCTTACATTTTATGCTTTACTGGCATATTAATTACTAAAATATAAATTGCTTTAAATGCTGATTTTGCAATGACCAAAGAGTAGATTACAGATGACAAACAAGTCTGTGAAGAGGAAAGCTAGCTAGTGAAATTTCTTGCAGAAAACAGGTGAAATTTAAAATGGAATGAAAATGTAAAGAGAAAAGATCAAGAAACAGGACAGCAAATCCAACACATCCTCTCCTTCTTCCTTCCCTCCCTCAGTGCTCTCCTCTCTTCTTTCCTTTCCTCCTCCTTCTTTTCCTTCCCTGTCTTCTCTCTTGCTGTTTCTGTATCACTTTCTCTCTCACATCTCCACATACACATATCAGAATGCTAAAAGAAGGTAAGAAAGAATATGGAAAAGATGAAAAGTAAAAACAACAACAACAAAAAGAAGACAACTCTTCTGAGATGAAGGAAACTTGTGTTTGTCATAGATAGCTACCCCATCTCCTACTCCCCAATTGTATTGAAGACAAGATGAAGAAAGAACAAGTAACAGGGAGAAAGGGACTCTACGCTGGGAAAGAAAAGCTGTCTAAAATTCTCAGTCAACATGCAGCCTATGTTTCAATAGCCTGATATTCACCACAAGGCCATCTTGAAGCTGAAGGGATGCTAGAAAATATGGTAATTTTTGTTCAAAATGGACCCACTTACTTCCAAAAGAAAATTAGCATTCTATTAGGGAAAAAAAACAGAGAAAATAGATATTTAGTAAGTAACAATGATTAACAGTTAGGAAACAACAATAAAACAGTATTTTTATCAAAGTGTAATAGGAAATCAAAACATAACAAAATCAATAAAGAAGAATCTTAAAATGCAAAGAGGAATGAAGTGAAATAAATTAATAGCCAGAAGCTATCAACGTCTAACAGATAAAAGAGTAGCTAAAATATCAACAAAATCTTAGATGATTTAAATAATATAATAATATTGTTTTAACCATTATAATTGCAGTCTATGAAGAATAAATCTAAGAATGTTTTTAAAATTTTTTAATATATCAGTCCAGAAAGAAAAGTCTCAAAAATATTTTTTAAAATATATCAACTACAAATTGTTATCTGACCACAACACAATAAAACATACATTTTAAGAGGAGGTTAACTTGCAATTCATTGGAAAAAGGATAGTTTTTTTCAACAAATGGTGCTAGAACAATTGTCTATACACAAAAACATTTAGACATAGATCTTAAAACTTACACCAAAAATAACTCCAAGTAGATGATAGACCAAAATGTTAAATATGAAACTATACAATAGCAAGAAAGAACCACAAAAGACAATCTATGTGACCTCGGATTTGATGGCAAGTTTTCAGATTACCAATAATGAAAGCATGATCAGAAGCCTGATTAAATGTGCTTTTGATCATGCTTTTATTATTGTAATCTAAAAACTTGTGATAAATTGAACTTTATTAAAATTAAAACATTTTGTGCTATGAAAGACACTTAGAGAATGAACAGACAAGCCCCAGAATGGGAGAAAATATTAGCAAAACACATTCCTGATAAGTAACAGTTATCTAAAATATACAAAGAACTCTGAAAACTCAACAATAAGAAAACAAACAACTCAATTAAAAAATATGCAAAAGATCTAAATAGACACTTCACCAAAGAAAATGATGACTGACAGATTAGACAGGTAAGTGAGTAGATTAGATAGACAGACAGATAACAGATACATAGCAAATAAGCATATGGAAAAATGTTCAATTTCATTTGTTATTTGTCACTGGGAAAATGCAAATTCAAATAATTTGATGCCACTACATACCTATTAGAGTGGTTAAAAAACTTGTAGAGCAACAAGAACTCTCATTAATTGCTGGTAGGAATGCAAAACGGCACATCCATTCATTTTGAAAGACAATTTGGCAGTGTATTACAAAGTAAAGTATACTCTTACCATACGGTAAAATATCAATTTTATTCTCAAATAATTAAAAGCAAGTGTCCACACAAAAGCATGTGCATGAATGTTTACAGCACCTTATTTTTTTAACTTTTATTTTAGGTTTGGGGGTACATGTGAAGATTTGTTATATAGGTAAACCTCTGTCATGAGGGTTTGTTGTACATGTTATTTCATTACCCAGGTATTAAGGCCAGTATCCAATAGCTATCTTTTCTGCTCCTCTCTTCCCACCCTCCCCACTCAAGTAGACCCTGTGCTTGTTATTTCATTGTGTTCATAAGCTCATATCATTTAGTTCCCACTTATAAGTAAGAACATGCAGTATTTAGTTTTCTGTTCCTGCATTAGTTTAGTTTGCTAAGGATTATGGCCTCCAGCTCCATTCATGTTTCTACAAAAGACATGATGTCACTCTTTTTATGGCTGCATAGTATTCCATGGCTTATATGTATCACATGTTCTTTATCCAATCTGTCACTGATGGGCATTTAGGTTGATTCCGCATCTTTACTATTATGAATAGTGCTGCAGTGAATATTCCCATGCCTGTGTCTTTATGGTAGAATGATTTCTGTTCCTCTGGAGATACACCCAGTAATGGGATTGCTGGATCAAATGGTAGTTCTACTTTTAGGTCTTTGAGGAATCATCATACTGCTTTCCACAAGGTTGAACTAATTTACACTCCCTCCAACAATGTATAAGGGTTTCCTTTTCTCCATAACCTCACCAGTGTCTGTTATTTTTTGACTTTTTAATAATAGCCATTCAGACTGGTGTGAGATGGTATCTCACTGAGATCCTGATTTGCATTTTTCTAATAGTTAGTGATACTGAACTTTTTTTTACATGTTTGTTGACCACATATATGTCCTCTTGTGAGATGTATCTGTTTATGTCCTTTGCCCACTTTTTTAATGGGGTTGTTTGTTTTTCTCTTGTAAATTTAAGTTCCTTAAGATACTGGATATTAGACCTTTGTCAGATGCATAGTTTGCAAATATTTTCTCCCATTCTGTAGGTTGTCTGTTTACTCTGTTGATAGTTTCTTTTGCTGATAACACCTTAATGTGTAACTATCAAAAATTAGAAGCAACAAAGATGTCCTTCAGTAAGTCATTGGATAGATAAACTGGGGCACATCCACACAAAAAAAGCAACACACTTTCTAAGAAAAAAATGAGTCTATGCAACCCATAGCATGTTGTCCATGAAGGGATTCAATAATAACGCAGGTGACTGTTGTCTCAGAGACATTTAAAGGCAAGACATAGAAAGAACCTCCATAGTGCTGAGTTTCAATGAAGTCATTTTCATGATGACATCACAAACAGAAATCGATTTTTTTCCCTACTAGTTGAATGACAATCCCCTCTGTCCTTCCAGCACACAGTGGATGATCTGCTGTTAGTCACTGCCATATAGTAAGAACTCATGAAGAAATGAAGGGTTCATATGAGAGAAACGAGGCAGCAGCAGTAAACAAACAGCTGTCATCAGAGCTAAGAAGGAAAAGCAAAGTCTTCAATGATTGTGTTCCCATCAAAGGCACAAGAAAAAAGTAAATTTTATTCCCAGCAAGACTTAAGGGGAAGATGGACAACTCGGCACAGACCAGACCCAGGATAAAACCAGCACAGGACACACGGGCAAATCAGCACAGGCCCTGAATTATACCTTGGAAACATCCTTTAAAATACTGTTCTCAGTGGTGGGTTGCATGCATTCTAGAGCATGGTAGAGAACAGTATTTTAAAGGGAGTTTCCTTTAAACACGTGTCTAAAAGACGTGGGAAAAGAAATGCAAGAATTTCTTGCAAAGTTCAGTATTAAGAGCACGGGCTGCCTAGGGTTAGTCCTCCCTCTATCACTTAATAACTCTGGGACTTTGGGCAAAGCATGTAATGTTTCTCATTATATTTTCCTCATCTGTGAAAAGTGAATAGTAATAGTTTTGACTTCACAGGTTTTCTGTTAGGATCAAATGTATTACACATGCCAGAGCATTTAAGGCAGTGCTTGGAACACATCAAGCACATAAATACTAGTGATTACTATTATCCTATTTATATTGAGACTCTGAGCATATTATTTAAATTTAGTTTTCCCTCTGTATACATACTATGTTAGTTCCATAATGCATACATATGATTTCTAAATAAACATACTGGGGTACATTCTGGGGTGCAGCAGGTAGGATGGAAGTATCTGGAAATTTATGTCCCACTTGCTGTATTTTTCATAGTCTGTAACTTCTAAAATGAATTACATGTGTAAATTGTGAATCATTTATGTACTATGTGTGGACTTAGTAATTTTTAACCAGTTCACAGCTGACTCTGTGAAATCTTACTTTTAAACCTCCTCCAGAAGGAGAAGAGACAAATTTTCTTAGGGAAGGATTCTAAACAATATGAATATATTACCCCTACCCCTCAGAGATTAAGTTTAATTCAGTCCTGTCATCACCACCATCATCACTTCAAGTGTGGACTGGACTTAGTGAGCCACTTCCAAAGAACAGAGTATGGAAATGGAAAAAATAGGAACTTTACATCAGACAAACGCAGCACACCAAGTGATCAAGGTCAACATCACCAGTGATAAGTCATGTTGATATCCCGTATTCATGACATAATGTGGTAAGCACACTTCACCTCTGTGGAATTCAGAATTCATTCCCAAATATCACAACCCTAGTCTGACATTTGAGAAATATCAGAGAAACCCAAATTGAGGGACACTCTTCAAAATACCTGACTGATACTCCCCAAAACGATCAAGGTAATGGAAAACAAGGAAAGTCTAAAAAACTGCCCAGACCAAAGAAGAGTGAAGAGACATGATAATTAAATGCAGTGTGGTATCCTGGATTGAATCCTAGGACAGCAAAAAGGACATTAATAGAAAATTAGCAGAATCAGAATAAAGAGTTAACATAGAATCTAGAGTTTAGTAGATAACAAGGTACCAGAATTCATCTCTCAATTTCAACAAAGTTACAACAGCTATGTAAGATATTAACTTTAGGGGAAGCTGGAACTCTATTTGTAAAATGTTTTTGCACATCTAGAATTATTCCCAAATAAAAAAAATTTTTTAAAATAAATGACTTAAAATATGATTTTTTTAAATCCCTCTAGGTCTGGATAGTATTGCATTGTGTAGATCAGGTTTTGACTATATGCCATCAAGATAAACTATTCAACAGCCTATGTCTAAATTGTGCAAAACTATATCATTAACATTAAGGTGTTGGATTTGTCCTTGGATTCACTTCAGGTATGTTTACATGCTAGTTTGAAAAATAATTAAAAAAAACAATCTTTAGTGTTAAATCCAATTAGCCAACTGTGATTTAAAGAAATAATCTGGGGCTTTTGGTAATAAATAACTATATCAATTGATCTTGCAACTTGTTTTAGCATTATGTTATGATTTTCCATGTACGTTATGCTTCGTTGATTTTATTATAAAATTGTACCTGAATTCTAAGGTATGCATTAGTAGAACGGCAAGCCATTTATAGGTAAATGAAAAAGTGACCTCTGTAGAACAGTGCTAACTTTCAGTAGAAATAGCAGGGTCCCAAGAGTCATAGAAAATTTTTATAACACCAGAAGTCCTATTTGAATATTATCTATTAATAGTTATATTTAAAGGCCTGATACACTGTGATAACTGATATTCTTTAAGAAAAATTGTGACATTTTAACTAGAAAAATGTGAAATGTGGGAGGGAAAATAAATACGTCAGTGTGATTCAGTCTATCTGCCTAGATTTAAGAGAACCATATCCTACTAAAAAGTAATAATAACCTTTTCCCTTTACATTTCCCCCTTTCCTCTATCTGTTACTCTCCTAATGAATTGTATTTCATTGTGGCTTTAGAGTTTTCTTCTCCTTTATGGGCTGGCAGGTATATGCAGGGCATAAAAACAAGATTACAACTCTAATGAACCCTTTTTACAGTCAACTTAGCTGAAATCGTTTAGAGAAGGATAGAGGAACCTGAAGCCTCAGTTGAATTGTTTAAAGTTCTGAGACACTCTGCTCCCTTTTTCAGAGCACAGGTTTGCATTCACTGGCTGTTCTCATCCTACAACACTGTGGTGAGTTCTGTGGGTATGAATTCTATTCTAGTAGACTTGCTATAAAAAAGGACACATTTTTATTTTTCCAAACAGAATTTAGTCTAAATCCAAAGCATCTCCTGGTTGGGCTGGTACATATTTCAGTGTCAGAGTTACTGGGGCTCCACCACCCTTCTCAGTTGTTAGTGGGGCTCTTTCATTAAAAAAGAGTTTTGATCTAAATGTGAAGGTACCACCCAGACATTTCCCATGGAGGTCCTTAGAAGTCCGTGGGACACTGTACAGGATGGGAGCCTGAGCAGGAGTGAGCTGGAAGCTGGTTTGCTCAAACTTGCAAGAACTGACTGTTAAATTTTCTGGTATTTTGCAAGTTGGTTGTTAAAAACATCTATTATCCCAAATTAAATAATGTAAACTTATAATTAAATAATAATAAAAAATATAATAAATATGCAATACTCATTTCCTAATTATTTTTACTAGATTTTATGATTATTGCACTGTGTTTATTTATGCTTATTTTATCTGCACGATGGGAATACTATATGGTGGAGTTCACATCACATTTCTTCTCAACCCAACATTTAGTGCTGTTACGTTGGTGGCTTGAAGTCAGTGATGGTGAGAGTATTTACACCATGGAAACTGGCAAATACTCCAAATCAGGTCGTGATTTATTGTCTCGTCGATTTCGAGACTTAACATAGAACCAGTTGTTAAACATTTACTAGCACACTTTTGGACATAAGACCTATAACACAGAACAGCAGCTAACTTCCTCCAGCCTTTCTTGGTCCTCAGTCACATAAAATTTTCTCAACACACCTTGATTGTTAGATTAATTGACTGATTGATTTTTTGAGAGAGTCTCACTCAGTCGCCCAGTCTGGAGTGCAGTGGTATGGTCTTGGCTCACTGCAACCTCCACCTCCCGGTTTCAAGCAATTCTCCTGCCTCAGCCTCCCGAGTAGCTAGGACTACAGGCATGTGCCACTATGCCCGACTAATTTTTTGTATATTTTTAGTAGAGATGGGATTTCACTATGTTGGTCAGGCTGATCATGAACTCCTGGGCTCAGATGATCCATCTACCCCGGTCTCCCAGAGTGCTGGGATTACAGGTGTGAGCCACCATGCCCAGGCCCAAGACACCTTGATTTCAAAGTTCTTCGACCCACCTTTTCCCCCCAGATTTATCTGTCCCAAACCCTCCTGAAGGGCCATCCTTCATAATTTCCTTTAAGTGGAACTTTAGACACAAAACCCTGGTATTTATTCTTCAAGGTGGAGATAAGTAAATAGACGCTTAAACCTGTCAGATTGCTTTGATTTTTCTTCATGTTCTTTTTGCTTTTGGTTTTGGTTTTGATTTATCCATCCTAACTAATTATGTTATAGGATATTAGAGACTTTTCTAATCTTAAAATTCCAATCTACCATCACAGTTTTCTTCTGCAAAATATTTTGGAAGGCACGGTTAATTTCTCTCTCCCAGTCAATCCACATCCTCCCCTTTTCCTAATTATCTGTTAGTGTATTGGTACATTAATTAAGTGGTTGAAATTTTCATGTATGGTCCCTAGATGCCTGAATAGATTGAACTGAGAAAACTGAGCACTGATCACCAAATACTACATCAATGTAGTGTGGGAGAAAAGGGTGTATGCTAAATTTTTATGCATTGCTTCTGGGTACATCTTTATAATTACACTTACTGACGTCACAGTGCAATGGTTCTTATCGAGGGTAGTGGGAGGATTTTGCCACACAGAGAACATGTGAAAAGGTGGAGACATTTTTAGTTGTCACGGTCTGTGAGGAGGGGCCTGCTACCAGCAGCTAATGGAAAGAGGCATGGGATGTTGCTGCACAACATTCTACAATGCACGGGACAGCCCCACAACAAAGGATGATCTGGCCCAAAATGTCAACAGTGATGTGATTGAGAATTTAATCTTGAAATAGAAGACTAAATATGTGCTCTCATGTAAAAATATATATTATCTATTTATGACAGTTTCCCATTCATTGTTCCATTGTTGTCTTCCACTCTTCACATCTCTGGGCTGTGTAGAATCACACAGAGTTTCAGCCTCCTGAAAAAACCTTTTGAGAAAATGATCCTTTAGAATGATTTTAGCAAGAGGACCCAGGCTTCCTAGAGATCACCCATCTAACTCTGAAACTCTATCCATATGTGCCTAATCTCATCTGCTAAAAATTTTAAATCTGTGATTTTGAAAAATGTTACTAGATACCTGCTTTGGTTTAAATGATGGTATCTCATCTAAAATTTATGTTGAAACAATCCCCAATGCAACAGTACAAAAAGGTGTGTCCTTTGGAAGTTGATTAAGTCACGAGGCTCTGCCCTCATGAATGGGATTAACATCCTTATAAAAAGGGTCTGGGATTAAAGGGAACACTCTCTTGCTTTTTCACCTTCAGCCATTTAAGGACACAATAATGGCACCATCTTGGAAGCAGAGAGTGACCCTCGCCAGACGCCAATGTTAGTGCCTTGGTTTTGGACTTTCCAGCCTGTAGAACAGTAACAAATTTCCCTTCTTCATAAATCACACAGTCTAGGTAAGGCATTTTGTGATAGCACAAATGGACTAAGACAGTACCCTCTTTCAAAATGACAGAATTAACCATCCATAAGTGCTGACATTGAAGTCACTCCCTTTACAGGTATGTTGTAGATGTAATCAAAGCAATGACCCCTTTACAGATGCTGGTAAAACACCTAAACAATTACAACAATTGCAATGTAACAACTGAGGAGACCTCCAAAAGTGTTGAAATAACCACAGAATGTACATATAACAGAATAGATCCAGCAGTTTTCTGGAATATAGTTCTTAGCATGCACCAGCACTAAAATTGTACATGATATCAACAAGTCAATTTACTGAAATTTTAAATCAAACCAGTATTTTTGTTGTGCTAGTGCAAAGTGAACAAAATGGATTATTAGTTTCTTTCTTCATAGTTCAACTTTTTTTTTTTTTTTTTGAGACAGAGTGTTGCTCTGTCGCCCAGGCTGGAGTGCAGTGGCACAGTCTCGGCTCACTGCAAACTCCGCCTCCTGGGTTCAAGCCTTTCTCCTGCCTCAGCCTCCCGAGTAGCTGGGACTACAGGTGCCTGCCACTGCGCCTGGCTAATTTTTTGTATTTTTAGTAGAGACGGGATTTCACCGTGTTAGCCAGCATGGTCTCGATCTCCTGACCTCGTGATCTGCCTGTCTCGGCCTCCCAAAGTGCTGGGATTACAGGCATGAGCCACCGCGCCCAGCCCATAGTTCAACTTTTTACCCTGTCTTGGAATTCCGATTTGTAAAAGGATGTGGACATTTATATGGATATTTCTAAAGGGTACTTCTCTGATGGTAGATATTTTATGTTGATGTCACAACTATGTATTTTTAGTTAAAAGAGCATTGTAAGCCAATTGTATGTTTCAAAAATAACTGATATTGTTAGCAACAGAACTACAACATTAGCCTCTCCATTACTTAGACATGAATAAAACTGGAAACATCAGGACTGTGTGAATTGAATATTACTGAGTGTACAGTGTCATTTTATCTTTTGATGGTGAATCAAAAAAGTAAAAGTAGGCCAGGTTATAAGAGTTTGTCTGTATGCGTGTTTGTGTTTCCTACCACAAAAGTGATTGCATTTTCTTCACATGATTCCAAGCCTCATTAACTCTGATTTTCTCATTCATCTCAAATTGCTATATTTATTATAATGGCTTAACCCAGCTGAGGTATTCTCCTTATGGAAAAAAAATCATCCCTGATCTTTGTCACTGCCATGTGGCAAAGTATAAAAGGCAGGCTGTAAAATTCAATTTCTGAATCAGTGCATATCCTAAGTTGACTCGGCTGCATAAACAAAGCTGATTGGGACACCACCAGTCATGCACCCAGTGTTTATTTAGACAGGATCGGATCAGACGCATTGTGTATTAAGAATGGTTAGACAAGTATTGCTTCTCCAAAGTCTCTATTTATCAACACAAGAATTACCCAGTCAGGATAGAGAATATTTTTTATCGCCAGTCTTATCACTATGCATTGCAGTACGCCACAGCTGAGGAGTAGCAAGTTCCGTTTTCTGCCACAGCTGAATTAATTTTCTTAATATTCAAATTTGATTTTTCATTACACAGAGTCAGGCTGCACAATGAAGACCTTGCCCTCCCTAACATGCTCATATCAATTCCTTTCAAATAGCTCAGATAACTGTGACTTCAGAGAGACTGTTTCAAGTTTAATATCCTTGAAAAATCACCTGAATGAACAAGACAAGACATGAATGCCTCCCTAACAGTGCTAGGAACCAACCTTGGAATTTTGGAATCAACCTTTAGTCTGTAGATATTTACACTTCATTTTCTAAAACACATAACAAATACAAGGTTGAAACAAAAATCTCACTGCTTTCCTCCAATTTTTTATTATGTATCCTGAATGTAGATGCATGAAAAGATAATAGGTTTGTCATGAAAGCCTTGAAAGGCAAGGTGAGAATTACACTATTTTAAAAGAACTCCAATCATAAAAGCCTTGTCTATGGTACAAGAATTGTTTTGAAAGGTACAGGAACTGCATCACAATCCATTTGCATATGTGTTGCTTCTGGACCTTGAAGTAGGGATGTGATCAGCTGTCAATCAACAGTTACTACTGAATCCTTCATATGTCCATCAAAACCTGCTAGGCTCTGTGGAAAATTCAGGAGTGATAAAAAAAACAAGTGGTGTCTACTCACCAAGAGTTGATAAATTGGGTTGGGGGAGATATAACACAGAAACTAATCAATAAATAAAGCTGTATATGATCAGGCAATCAGCACCAGAGCTCATTATCCTGTTTGCAGTATCTTATGAGGGTTTTGAAATAACACAAAGTATATGGAGACAGCAAGAAGACTGGGAGATTATAGCAATAATTTGGCACTAAGCAAGTTACTGGATTAGGCAACATCTGGAAACTGACTGAAACCTGACTTGACAGAGCACTTCCCAGGGATTATCTAAGCCTCACTATTTCAATAGCTTATCCCAGCTCCTCTCTATGACAACAGAAAGGGCCACTGTTATCTGGGGACTTCATCTCTTTCTCCTTTTATGAATAAGTTCAGAGTGTGCCTTAAGATCCTCAATTTTCTAAACTTTACATAGAATTAGGACTGAGTTATTATAAGAGGACACGGGGGAGATAATCAACATCAATTAGTTGGGGGTAACAGGAATAAACAAAATATAAACAGGGAATCATTACCAAACATAGGGCCATTTGAAGCTACAGAGGGGAAATTGTTAGATAAGGAAGGAGGCAGACTCCAAAGCTGTCTGCCCTTTAGCCCAAATCTCTTTGAAAATAAGATGCTTTAAGATTAATATTAAGCTTTTGGAACATTAGCCCCCTGTGATTCAAAATCATTAAGATTCTACAACTGTGCTAACTATTACAGCACATTTACATGAGAGAGAAGTCTATGAAGAAGGAGGAGATGGTGGAGAGATAGGCAAGTTGGAGAAAGAAATCAACATTCATTGAGCAATAATTGTTCTGTGTCTAAAGCCATGAGCTAGGCATACTCGGTGCTTCATTGACTCCTCCCATATGCAATGTGGAATGCCAACATCACTATTCTTTCAAATGGCAGAGGTGACACTCAGAGAGGCTGAGGTCACAGGCCAACCCTCAACCAGCTAAGATTTCAGCTGAGGAACTGGAAGATAGATATAAGATGAGGGACATCAGATCAGCCTTCCAAAATAAAGAGGTAACAAGAGAGGTGTTGGGGGAGGGTGTTCTCAAGATGTGGGAACTGCCAGCTGCTGAAGCCATAGCAGTCCCCTGTTCACTCTCGCTAATACCTGTCCCTAAAAATCCATACACAGTAGGTGTATGTCAACATTTATAATGCTCAGAGACCGTCAGAGGTATACAGGTTTTTGTCTTGTTTTGTTTTGGTTTTGATTTTTAATGAACAGCTGGGTTTATTTTCTTCAGAAGAGATTATCAAAGCCTTTCTCGAGGCCTGAGTTGCCTCACAAAAGCTCCCACTTTTCCTTTGTGTGTGTGGGTCTCTCTCTGTATCCTCTCTAAGTATATGCTCCTCCTCCTCCTTCTCTTCTTGGCTCTCCCCAGCTCACTCCCTTTCTCACGTTCTCCCTCTCCCTCTCTGTTGCTCTACACCTCTCATGCCTTTCTCATTTCTTTCTCTCTTTTCCCTTTCCCCTCACCTCTCCTTTCCTTTTCTCTTGCTATTTTTCTGTTTCTCTGTTTTTCTTCTTCTGTCTTGCTCTACCTAACTCGTGTGCGTGTGTGTGTGTGTGTGTGTGTGTGTGTTTGCCTGACTTCATTCTTTCCTGTCTTTCTTCTAAGTAAGCCAAAATCATCTCCCTTCTGGCATCGTTAAACATGGAAGAGAACAACAGAGAAACAAGATCAGGGCACTGGAAGTGGGTTTACCATCTTCCTACCATCAATGATGTGTCCCTGTTGTAGCCAATGTCTCAGAGCGGTCCTGAGTCTCATCTTTTCATCTGCAATATCACAGAGGGGAATAAAGAATAATAAATGAAAAACACTGGCATCTCTATCAATCACTCAGAAAATAAATGAGGGTTAAAATGTCTGCCACTTCCTAGATAAAAGGAAAAATTAATTAAAACAAAATGCAGATCACAACCAAACTTCCACACGTTCCTGTGTGCATGCCATGAGAATCTTCACTGGAACATTAAAGAAGGAGGAAAAACAATGTACAACT
Source organism: Homo sapiens (assembly GCF_000001405.40). Taxonomy (NCBI): domain Eukaryota; kingdom Metazoa; phylum Chordata; class Mammalia; order Primates; family Hominidae; genus Homo; species Homo sapiens. The sequence goes on along the minus strand of NC_000020.11, from coordinate 54,860,385 downwards.
CCTGTTTAAAACTTTTCAGGCTAAATATCATAAGCAAATACACATGTTTGTAATTCATTAAGAGAAAACAAGCTAGTTTTAAATAATGCATTTCATAACTTATGCAAGTTTTGTTTGCACCATGATAAAAATCTTTTTCTCAGAGGCACAAATTAAAAATAAGCCATCATTTGCATTATATCTACTTTCTGATTTTAAATCCATTGTTATCTAAGAGCTGATACTTCCATTTCTCCTATTTAATTCAAACAGATAGGCAGAGTCCCTGCTACAAAACATCCTCAAAGATTAAGAAAAGGCACTGCAAATATCAGATCAATTATGAAAACGATGTTCTGATTAGATGTCATTTGAATTGCACTATTATTCACCAAAGGATATTGTAGGCAAGCATTTGTAATAGGGGAGGAAATGATTTGGAATTGCTAAAGATTAGGAGGGCTTGAAAACAAGCCTTTATTGGCCTTTGAAGCCTTGGGAAGAATGTTTGCTCTTCAGGTGCCCGTGTAGCCCTGCTCTGGAGATCTTCTCAGATGCTGTCCTACTGCATTGTCCAAATTAAACAGAGAAGTCACCATCCTTTCCTTGGGGTTGTGCTACTGTCCAATGAGTGCACAGCAAGAGCAGTCCTACTAACCCTACATAACACACCTGCCCCAACTAGAGCTTTGCTTCACCTCGGTGCAGTTTTTGCAAAAAAGGAAAACCTCTTTTTCATGAAATAAAATGAAATAAAACAATTAAAAAATAATAGAGAGATCAGAACTTCCCACTAGAGCCATTAGATTCAAAGCTAATCCTAGAATCTCAGCATGACAACCAATCAAGTAAAAGATTAACGCTTTTAGACCACGTTTATAATTTTCTCACTGAGGCACCAATGAATAGTCCTTAATGAAAAGTTCTACCTATAGGTACAAGTCTTTACAAAATAAAAATAATAATTTTTTTAAAGTCACCTTAGCACTCACTTGCAACCTGAATTTGGGAGCAGTTTTCCATAAATATACTACCCTGTGTATGATGCATCTATTAGAAAATTTAACCTGAATATTTTTCTCTTTTTTTCCAGCCGGCCTCCTTCCATCTCATTTTCCCTTTCTTTCTTTCTTTCTCTCTCTCTCTTTCTCTCTTTCTTTCTTTTTCTCATTACCTGTGTTCTTTCTTCCACAAAAACGTATGGAGCCCCAAGTAGAATAACAGTATAATGTAGCGATTAAGAGCAGAAGTTTTGGAGACAAGGCAAGTATCTTGCTGCCACAAGCTAGACAATACTTGATAATAAATTACCCTAGAGCAAAGAAGAATGATGAGATGCAGAGGAAATTGTAGAGAGAGGGGAGAGAAACTAAAGCTTGATGAAATGATGCAATCCCCTAAATAGAACTGAGTCTGGAGTTTTCTTAAGTTCTGTGTGCTCACAAGTTACCCTTTTAACCCATTTTAAGTTGTGTTTGTATCACTCACAACTGAGTCCAGATTAGTAAAGTGTTTTTCTTCTACCAGAGAATTTAATATACATATTTCCTTCATTGACTCAATAAATACATACTGTGTCCCTAATATATTTTTGGCCCTTTGTGATAAAGAATGGCAAGATTAATAAGATACAGCCATTGCTGGGGACATAGAGACACACTTGCTCTGAACATGTAAAGTGCTGTGAATATTATAGGTTCATCCTGGGAAGAATTATGCTATGAATAATAAATATTTTTCCTTCTATTCAATGACAGAGTACTATTAGTACCCTGAAGTGAAGAGACTGAATATACAGGGGAATACTGGCCAGACTGTCTATAAAAATGGAACTCTGACCCACAACCAGCAACAATTAGCTCAGGAAACCAACCTACTATCTATAGTAACCAGCCCAGGAAGTCAGACTTATGTGTACCAACCAGCTCAAGAAGCCAAACAATTAATCCAAAATGGCCAAGACTTGATAAATAACCAAAAAAAAAATCCCAGTATTCACCCCTGCTTTCAACTTGTGATCAACCAGAGAAAGCCAAACATGTACCACTAACCAATCATGTAAGCTACTAATTAGGCTGCCTACAAGTGGGTTCCCTTGCAAACATACTTGCATCAGGGTCTTTCCCTTACTCCATTATACACCTGACCCATTTCTCTGCCTGCCTTTGAGTCTCTGCCAAAACACAAGTGATGATAGCTGATTCCCTTGCTGTAAATAGCAAGCTCTGAATAATTGTTCTCATTGGAGGCAGGGGCCTTCATTTATTTTCACAAATTGATGAGGTAAGAAAGAAATCCCTATAACGCTATCTACCCAATAACACCTTCAGTGAAATACACCCTATTGACACCAGAGCAGAGCTGTTCCTTAGCCTCACATTTTGTTTCCATTCGTTTTAGAACTTAATCATACAGAATCTATTACTGGAATTTCACTTTCCATATCTAAGCATATCTACATCTCAATCAGGTATTTAAAGTTCTTTTTCCTTATTCACAGTCCTTTGAATGGTATTCTGTGCCATTAAAAGCTTCAAAACCAGGTAAAATTATGAATCTCATACAGATATAACATTAACCCACATTAAAGATTTTATTCAATATTCATTGATTAAATAAGGAAACCAGGCAAATGTTGTAACCCAGATCCATGGAGAAGTCAAAAAAGCACAAATATGTATAAAGTATTAAAATGAATATTCAAATGAGCAGCAAAACTAGCTTTTTTTTTGGGAAAGAAGAGCAGGATTTATTTACATGTCTATAGACAAGTATTATTTTGCATTTCTAACAGTTATCCACAACTTACAGAATTGTAGAATAGCGCCCACAGAATCAGAATCAGATAACCCAAAAGGATGTACTCTGGATAATGAACAATTCTCATTGAAGCACAAATTTTTCCTTTAGAACTTGGTGAATTGTTGTTTTGTATTGTTTTATATGATTGTTGGTCAGGTGCAGTGCAAGAGGTAAGACAGGAGAGGCTCAGGAAAACAAATTTCACTATATTCACAGGTCCTAGAGACAGGAAGCATCGCACACCTTGATGGACCACATGGGAAAGACACTAGGGAGGCAGAAGAGAGGAGCAAGGGGGAAGCCGATGGCCAGAGCCTCCATGGGGGTTTCTGTGGGAAAGGCAGGATGGGGTAGGATAAAGCTTCGGATCAGCTGGTTTGAATAATATTTCTGGTCTCTAAGGTATAGGGGTCATCCCTAGTTGTTGGTACTTCTCCCTGGCATTACTAAGGCAAGGAATATTGCCTCCTGGGATGTACAAAGCATCTGAATTGATTAGTTCACCTATCAAAGATATGTTCCTGGCTGAGAGTTGCTGTCTCTAAGAATTGGCCAGCCCTAGGCAGGTAGCCTCTCCCTAACCAGAAATGTTTTCTAAGATGTCAAAAAAATCATAATATACAGAAAATTTAAAAATATACATGTAGTACAATAATCAATATGAACACTGATGAAAATAATAAAAGTTCACCATTTATGAAGTGCCTATCATTGACCAGGGCCTGTGCTAAGCATTTGGCAAACCCCATCTCATTGAACCTATGCAATGACACTATGAGAAAGAAACTATCATCTCTGCTTCACAGATGAAGAAACTAAGACTTAGGAAAGCTCGAGGTCACATAGTTAATAAAGAACCAAAAGTGTAAGGAATCAAACCCAGAAATTTAGGGTCTGTAGCCCAAAATTGACAAGCAAGCTTTCGTTGTCAGGGGAAGAGGGCACTGTGCTTAAGATGATGTGCTTAAAGAATGATGCCATTGTGTTTAAAAGACGATGGATACATTTTAATATAGCTGTTTCATTCACATATGTTAACTGCAGGATCCCCTGAAAGGGTTTGAGTTTGTGATACTTCCCTATACTACCATACAAATGTATGAACACCACATATTAGTCAAAAAATTTAATTAAAAAATGCCTCGAGTCTTGGGGGAGAAGAGTTTGTGTGCCGGTTGAATGAAGATTTCCAAAGACCAAAAACTAAAAGTATTTTTGATTCTTCCTTTTCCCTCCAATCCATATCCAATGAACATTATAAGCTCTACATTATAGTATGAATGTAACAACAATATGCACCAAATCTCACTCCAGGCAATCACCACTTCCATCAAGTCTTTGTCACAATAAATGCCAGCAGAAACACAGAATTCCTGCTCTTTCTGCAGCAGGTTGCAATGGCATCTGACTTCCATTTGGCTTTGCCTTCAAGAAAACCTTTGGGAGCAAACAGACATAATTTCCCTAAGCAGGCACAGAAAGGTAGCTTAGCAAACTAAAGACTGGACTTAATGGATTAAGCATGTGGCTTAAGGAGACTTAAATCTGACTTAATGATATTGCAAGTCCCTAGAGCCACTAGTTCAAATTCTGACTAAAGCTTTCATGGTTATCAGAAAATGCCTGCAAATTTGCTTTATTCCATAGATTAAGGGTAAACCTCAGAAACTTATTTACATGCCCCCTATTTACAGGCTGAAGATGAATTTTCTAATGACAAGCCACTATCCCTCAGGACAGCCAGATTCTAGCTGCAGGCCCCATCCTGTCCCTAAGGGACAATTTCAATAACATTGGAATAAGAGCTCTTCCTTCCCCCATCTCACTCTCTCAGCCCCTGTGATCTTTGCTCAAATGTCATCTTCACAGTGAAATCTTTACTTAAAACCTTTTTAAAAAAATTGCCACCACCTTCATTTCCCTATATTCTTTCTCTGGTTTGTTTGTCTTCACTGCTCCTATCACCACTGAATTTGCTACATATTGTATGTATTTAAGTGTCTATCTCCCCATCAAGAACAAAACTCAGTAGGGTCAGGACTGTATATGCTTAACTCTCAGCTATATAATGAAAGTTCAGAACAAGACCCATCACATACTGAAGGTTCAATACACACATTTTTTAATTATTATTTTTTTGAGACAGAGTCTGGCTGTGTCACCCAGGCTGGAGTGCAGTTGCAGAATCATGACTAACTGCAGGGCTCCAGGGATCCTCCCACTTCAGCCTCCCAAGTATCTAGGACTATAGGCCTGTGCCACCACACCTGGCTAATTTAGTTATTTATGTATTTTTAAGTACAGAAAAGCCCTCAAAAATGTTGCCCAGCCTGCTCTCGAACTCCTGGGCTCAAGCAATCCTCCTGCTTCAGCCTCCCAAAGTGCTGGGATTACAAGTGTGAGTCACCGTGCATGGCCCAGTATGCTCTTAATAAATACATGAATTTCAGTAAATGGCTCCATCCGGAGTCCAGTTATTGAAGACCAAAAACTAGGAGTATCCTTGATTCCCTCAGCTCATATCCAATCCATCAGCAAATGCAGTTAGCTCATAAAAATAAATCTAATCTCATTAAAATAAGTGTTTCACATATCCACCAGTATCACCCAAGTTCAAGCCAACCTCATTATTGACCTAGCTACTGTCATAATCTTCCATCAATTCAAGCCATTCCCCACTCATAGCCATATCAGCTTTATTATTATTTATTTTTCACAAAAAAGTCATTGTATCATTTCTATACTTAATACCTCCAGTGGCCTTAAAATCAAATGTAAACTCCCTAACGTGGCATCCAAGGTCCTGCATGATCCATGCCCGCTGACTTTCTCCCTTCCCCTACACCAGCCACACTCTGATCTTAGCTCACTCATAACTTGGGCAAAGTTCTATCTGCCTTAGGCCTTTGAATATCTGTAGTCTTTGCTTAGAATATCTCCTAGGCCCTACCCACTTCTAATTCTTCTAAGCTACATTTAGACGTTACCTCCTCAGAGAAAATTCCCAAAATTCCTTATCAAAATGCCCACCTTCTCCAACCAGGGGTTATTCTCCCTCTGTTTCCTCCTTGTTTTCTTTATAGTACAAATCACGGTTTTTGCTGGCTTTTTTCTGTTTATCTTCCTCTTTAGACTTTAAGTTCTCCAAGAGATCAAGGCCAAGAGTATCTCTCCTCATTGTCTAACATCGCCTAATATATAACGGGAGTTTAATGTCTACCTGTTGAATTCATAAGTAAATAAGTAGGCATGAGACTAGGGTGAGGCACCTAGGGCAATTGGTGGTGTTCACTCTCAGGATTTTACGAGTGCAGGGATGGCACAGGGTCAACCCCTGAGAGTGGAATCTTCTGACATGTTGTTCTGTAGGCACTCTGCTTGTTTTGTCTCTGTTTCTGCCCTAAATCATCATCAAATCACCCTTAGCACTCACCTGACTTTGAATCTCATTTCCAGTTTCCTGCTTCATAACAAAAAGTGAGCCCTTATCTTATTTCCCTTGGCCAGAGCCCCTAGTCCAGTGGACAAGTTCATTTAGAATAGGGGCCATTCTAATTAAGTGTCTTTTGATTGCAACCAATATAAATCCCCTTGAGCAAGTTCTGGTAGTCATGTGGTCATTGTAAGTACAAAACAATTTGATGACTATACAGCAAAATAACTAAAATACAGTGGTCTCACCATAGAAATGGAATAATGAAAGTTTGTGCTAACTTCTCCATTTTCTAGAGCTTGCACAATATTTCTCACCTCTGCTCCTGTTCACGGATCTATTCCATTGGTGTCTTTACCCACGCCTCTGTGTAGGCCTTGTACGTGGTTCTGCGCAGTCCCACAGCACAAGCCACTGCATCTTTTCAATTCAACTCACTCTCACTTTCTTAAATACTAATGCAATATCTTTTAGCTCAGATTCTTTAACAGGGGTACCTGGTTGGTCATTGACCATAGAGTGGATTGTCCAGCTTTGGGTCATGTGTTTCTTCCCTGTATGTTAAAAAAAACAGAGCAGAAACTGGTTTTTGGGGTTTGAAGGAAACTGTTAGACCCTCGTCATTCTTTCCATGGATAGGCAGTTTCCTTCAGCATTACCAGTTTTTAGAACTGGCACTCTCCACTGGCTGGCCAGGACTTCCACCAGTGACCTCCTCTCAACAGGACCTGCTATTCTACCTACTTAATTTTCTCATTAGACTCATTCATATATTTACTCAATAAACACTTATTGAGAGTTTACTATCTGCTAAATCCTCTGCTAGCTTGGGAGCACAGTAGTCTGTCTTCATGAAGCTCACTGCCTAGTGAAAGATAAACTCCGGTTCTCCCTGTGGGAGGGAGGCAGGTCCTGCAGTATAATAACAGATAATGGGAACCAGCCTTAGTACAGGCATGTGAGATGAGACAGGGTGATTAATCTTGTTCCCAATTAACTTGGAACCCAGAAATAACCAAGTCATGGCCACTTGTAATGATGACTGTCTTTAAGACTATCTGGAATATGGACAAAGGTAGATTCTGTTGGGAAGTCAAACCAAACACCTGTGTAATTCTTACTCTTTGTTTTGCAACAAAACTGCCCTATGCTGGTAAGATTCAACTACTGTATGTAAAGAAGTCTTATGATAATACTGATATCGATAAACAAATGTATTGGGAGATAGAGTTAAAACCTCCTTGGGACATCATAGCTATGGAAAATGACTGGCCTGAGCAGGTTAGATAATGCAGGCCAGATAATCTAGCTAACCATCACTTTCTATGTTAAACAGCTCTGCACAAGCTAAACATAAGGTACAAATATCAGTAGATTAAGGAGAAAAATGAATAATCAAATTAGTGCAAGAACAAAAAAATGTATAATGGTTTCACAGGGCAAACTAGTTGTTTCTTTAAATTTACCCCTACCCCTCTCTGGCTTCTCAAAATGTTAGGCATATTTGTGTTGGTACTATGCTTTATCTGTTGTACAAATGCTACATCAAATGTCAATGCTCAGACAGATATGAGCATTTGCTGTAAGTGGTTTGTGGCCAGAGAACAGGGTCTTTGAAACGATAACAAATACAGATATTGGTCTCTGACCCCAGTTCCTGACACAGAGCTCTTAAAACTTGTAATTTTCTGAGTGACAGGAACATCTGACACTTCTAAATCCCTTCGAATTTTCTCGTTGATAGGAGTGTCTTTTGTTCTACTGAAGCAATTGGTGGTGGGCTCTTGGATGGGGGAATGGGGAGGAAGCTGGTCACCACAAAGACCAAGCCATAATTAGAAGCTTGGGACTTTCAGGTCCTCATCTACTCTATCCTCCAGGAAGGAAAGAGGGGCTAGAGATTGAGTTACTATTGTTCAATCATGCCTACATGAAAAACCGTCCATAAAAATCTCTGAACTATGGGGCTTACAGAGCCTCTGGGTTGGCAACCCAATTGCATGCTGGGAGGGTGGTACAACCCAACTCCACGGGCTGGAAGCTGTTGTCCTTGGGATTCTTTCTGGCCTTGTCCTATGCATCTCTTCATCTGTAAACTTTATAACCTTTAAGCATACATTAAACCAGTAAATGTGTTACCCTGAGTTCTGTGAGCTGTCCTAGCAAATCAATCAAACCGAATAAAGGGGTCATAGGCACCCCCAAGCCAGTTGGTCACAAGTACAGGTTATAACCTAGGGACTTATGATTAGCATCTGAGATGGCAGGGATGGGGAGAGGAGTAATTTTGTGGGACTGAGCCCTCTACCTGTGGGATCTGACACTACCTCCAGGTAGATAGTATCAGAATTGGGTAAAGTTGTAGGGCACCAAGTTGGTGGGTCCTGTCAAAAATTATTTTTTGTGTGGGGAAAAAAAATCCCACACGTCTGGTGTCAGAGGTGTTGTCTTGACTAATATGTGAGAGGAGAAGAAAAGGTTTATTTTTTCATTGGAATAACCATCCATTTATATCCCAGGGAAATCAGTGAGCTATGGAAACACATAGATTAGTAACTTAAGCCCAGCTGAGGGGCAGGAAGAATGGAGGAGTTGAGATAGAGATCTTATCTAGGGAAAATGACATCTAACTGGAGACCTGGGTTGGCAAAGAAAAGAAGAATGGGATGGAAAAGGAGGCTTCCAGAGGTGAAAAATGCTATCTGGGAAACTGTGAGAAATTCACATGGACTGCTGATATTGGTGACCAAATGTATTGGGAGATTGAGTTAAAACCTCCTTGGGACATCGTACCTATGGAAAATGACTGACCTGAGCAGTAACTGAATCTACCCAACCATCACCTAATTTCTGTGTTAAATACTTCTGCACAAGCTAAACATAAGGTACAAATATCAGTAGATTAAGGAGAAAAATGAATAATCAAATTAGTACAAGAATAAGAAAATGTTTATAACAGCTTTACAGGGCAAACCAGTTGTTTCTTTATGTTGTTACCCATGAAGATAGCATGGGATCATCCCAGAGAAGTGAATGCCAGAGGTCAGCAGGACTTAGGAGCCAACTCAAGAAACCTGATTTTGTTGTGAGGGAAAGGAACAGACATCAGGGTTTTAATTAGGTCAGTAACACTGTCCTGCTACTTTCTTCTGAACCCACTGCTAGTCATCAGCTCCATGCCCAGTCTCTGGATTCTTACCTGTTCTTAGTGCCAGTGAGTGGTTGATGCTCTCCAGTGAACCTAACACTTTCTATGTTCTCCTCCTATTAGTGGCAGTCTTAACACTTAGCTGAAGAATTACATAAACAGGAATTCTAATTCCCATTTGAACTTGGACACATTACCCTACCTCTTTCTGAATTTCAGTTTTCTCGTAATTAAAATTAGGACCTGTAATCTCTCCTCAGGGTTTAGACTAGACACTATATGTAAAGAGTTGAAATAAACTTGGCATGTAAAAGATCCTCAATAAATGATAATTATCAGTCAGCCTACATTATTGCTGATGGCTGTTATTGTTGTTTTTATATATGAATAGAATCAAAACAACTGCTGGAATCATCAATTTACTTCCAGGAGCAGAAAAAAAAATGGGGTTACAGTTATTCTCACAACAACAAAATGTGTGTGTGTGTGTACACAAAATCAATGAACTCATTGGCTAAAGCCAAAAATAAATGGTAAATAAATGTTAACATATGCAAATCATGAGTCATTAAGATAATTCAAAGAAATAGTCTTTTCAATGACTATGTCTTGTTTTCTCTCAATTATCTGTCATTTCATACATTTTGCCTTGAATAATTGCTTCAATTCTTGCTAACATGAATATATAGAGAAGTGTGACTACAAGGTATCTCTAGATGATGTTCGCCAGGAGTTCAATAGTACTCAAATTATGTTAACCTAACCCAGACCCTTCCAATGATTGTTTTGCATTCGGTTAATTTATTCTTTGCTGTGTCTCCACTTAAGTGTAACTCCCTACTGCTTCATTAACAACTGCAGCTGTATCACGACCCGAGCATGTTAGCTTAATGGAAGAATCTATGAAAAACGGAACAGTTTCTGGTTGGCCTGGAAGTGAGGTACCTCTGAAATTCATTCACTCAGTTGTTCACTCATGCCACGAAAACATAAGCACAAATGCCTCATTTTTGGTATCTCCAAAAGTAGACCCTGAGATAAAAAGGATGTAAGTGCAGATTGATTATTTGGGAGATAATTCCAGGAAGCACAATGAGAGAGTGAGGAAAGTGAAGAAAGCAAATCAGGGAAGGGAAAAATGTCAACAAAGCATAAGGCAAGGAGCAAGTTCCAGCTGTGGGCACCTGTGGTTAGGTGTTAATCCATTTTGCGTTGCTATCAAGGAATACCTGAAGCTGGGTAATTTATAAAAACTGGGTTTATTTGGGTTATGGTTCTGCAGACTACAAGCATGGCAACAGCATCGCTCGGCTTCTGGTGAGGCCTTAGGAAGCTTTTACTCAGGCAAGAAGGCAAAGGGATAGGAGTGTCACATGGTGAGAGAGGAAGAAAGGAGAGAGAGGAGGTGCAGACTCCTTTAACAATCAGCTCTCTATGAACTACAGAGCAAGACTCACTATTACCATGGAAGGGCCCAAGCCATTATGAGGATCTGCCCCCTCCACACTGGGGATACATTTCACATGAGATTTGAGGAGGCAAACATCCAAAGCCTATCAACTCCCCAGAGACCCTCTGAGAAATATGGAGAACACAGTTTCGAGTCATCCTACTGGAAACTGGGCAGACTATGTCATTTACCCACTATCTTCCATCTCTCCATTGATTGACGGTTGCTCTCCAGAACATGACATCTACCACAATTCTTGATTGCATCTCCATCTGGCCCAGCAAGCTCCAATAGTGCTGGAGAAACCATAAGGATAGAAAAGTGTTTGCAGGTGCCAGGGGTTGAAATGGGCAGTTGTGGGGAGGGCATCTGCTGTAAGGTGGCAGCTGCTGTAATGAGTGAATTAATTCCTACATTTAAATGCTTTACACAATGCATGGCACAGAAGAAGTGCCATATAACTTTAGCTTGTGCTATATTGTTTAGTGTGCTAGGCCCTGCTCTAAGTACTTAGGATGTGGAGGAGAATGTGGCCTTGTTTCTGACCTACACAGACTCATAGAGCTATGCTCCATTTCAGAAGCACACACTTCTCAGAGAAGAGTGTCCAAATATTTGTATATTGACTGTAATTCTAGAAGCACAGTCATAATTAAGGATTTTTGACTGCTGAATTCATTTTTTATTTCTATTATATCCTTATTGCACAGTAGAACCAGGGCTCAAATGAAGAAGAAAAAGGACTAAAGCATATATTATTTCTTCTCATGCCTCATGAGAAAAACAAAGGAAAAAACTTCAGAACTTGCAGACCTTGCTTGTCCCCACTTTGTGTTTCAGAATGCAAAAGTTACATTTTGGGGTCCTAGATATGAGGTTATCTGAATCCTTTAAAAACATGCTCTAAATTTCTCTTACAGGAACATCTTTCTGTAATTCCATTGTGCATTATCTTTAGACTCATAACCCTGCAAATATGATGCAGAGGAGAAAAGCAAAACAAACACACAAAACATTCACTTCTGACACCTGGTGTCTATTCAGAGGGTTCGTATCTGATCAGAATTAGTGTGACAGATGGAGCCAAATGAATAATGACTGCTACCTTCCTGGAATTATTTCAGGTTATTCTGCCTCTCCAGCCGTACATTAAGAAGGATATAATGGGAAACACATGCACAGACACACAGACACACACACACACACACACGCACACACACACAGTATAATCGTTTATGAAGAATGACAAGTTAGGGAAGCCATGACTGCAATCTAGCGGACCTAGAGTCCACTAAATTATTCACTCCCATTTCTGGTTAAAACATCACTTCCATGTGCTTTGTAAACTCCCCAATATAACTGCCCGTGTGTATTACACTTCACTGGCCTTCAAAGTCAGCTTTTTCCAGAAATTTGAAGGCATCTCTTTTAGTATCTGAGTCATATCTAATGGCCTTCTTTTCTGCAAACAAACTGTGTCTGTGTAGTTAGGGTAAGCTCTGCATTAGAGACATTATTCAGACACCTTGATAGAGACTTAAAAAATGGATAAGCTGGATTTTCCAAGCTGTGGAAGATCTTTCAAATGCATTTTATTTTGATTTTCAGATATTCATCAGCCATGTTTCTGATTTCCAATACTTTATTGATCGCTAGGTATCTGTTAAGTAGCACCCTATAGGTTTTCTGATTAGAATCAAAGCTCATTTTGGAGTTATCTACTAATTACTTTGTGCAATTGGCTGTTAATGCACATTAACTTTTTTTGAATAGCTAAAAGGAGTGAAGTGGCCAATGGATACAAAAATGGAAGCATATGGTTATGAATCTTGTTAATGAACCAAAGGGTTCACATGCTTTAATTGAGAGAGGGCTAATATTAAGGTTTTAAATGAAGTCTTTGGAGCAGGAGTTAAACCTCAAATGTTCTAGTTTAAATTTAAAGAAAATGTCCTCCATATACCTTTGCCAATCTGAAACAATGAAATATCATTTATAGTTTATCATGAGCAAACCTTAATGTTTTCTTTGTTTGAAGTTTGTTTTTATTTAATTAAAAAAATAAAACACAAACTAGTCCAAATTTTTTTCCATTAAAATTAAAATAGTTTGTTATTTATCTATTCCATGACAGATACTCCTTAAGAATTTTCACCCCTCATCCTCTGCCCCCACCCCCAGGCTTAGCAAAATCCAGTTCAACTAGAAGAAAAGATGTAATATTTACAACAACTAGGCCTTCTTTGCTGAACAATGACTGGCATTTTGGACTAACTTTTCTTGAGACAAAGCCATTTTAATACAGTTCACTGAGCTTTCTTTTTATATTTAAACAACCAAAAGAGAATAATTATTTCCATGTCACAATCCTTCAGGCTCTACACATACTCGATAGCATTTATCTCTACAAATTATATAGTCAGCATTTAGACATAGAACCTGGAAATAGGATGTCTTGTCTCTCATCCCTAGATTATATATGCCGAAAAGATACGAACAGAAATGTCTTGCTTCCTAGTGCCTAGAAAAGTTGGTGCTGAACAACTATCAGTTGAACGAATGTTGGCTGAAAGATTATTCCACTTTAAGATACACTTGGCTTCTAAATCATGAGCATAGACAATCTTTCTGTGACTCAGCCTCTTAAAGAAAGTAGTATTCATATCTACCTTATATTGATGTTTCGAGAATTAAATGAAACATAAGATATTAAACACTTGAAAGGTGCCTGACAAATAGTAAGACTTCGGTAGTTGTTACATATTAAATTCTTATTTTTGTTGCTATTATTAGCATCTTCCAAGCATTCATCCACCTAGTTCTGATATCAGCTGCACCCTACTTTTCCTCTGGGGAAAACAGCTCTTTTCCCTCTTCTTGTAATTCTTGAGTTTTGGGTGGGCCATGTGATGGTTAATATTGAGTCTCAGCTTGATTGAAGGATGCAAAGTATTGTTCCTGGGTGTGTCTGTGAGAGTGTTGTCAAAGCAGATTAACATTTGAGTCAGAGAACTAGGAGACCCTCAATCTGGTTGGGCACCATCTAATCAGCTGCCAGCGCAGCTAGGACAAAAGCAGGCAGGGAAATGTGGAAGGATTAGACTGGCTGAGTCTTCTGGCCTCCATCTTTCTCCCACGCTGGATACTTCCTGCCTCAATCACTGGACTCCAGGATTTTCAGCTTTTGGACTCTTCGACCTACCTATACCAGCGGTTTGCCAGGGGCTCTCGGATTTTTGGCCACAGACTGAAGGCTACACTGTCGGCTTCCCTACTTACAAGGTTTTGGGACTTGGACTGGCTCCCTTGCTCCTCAGCTTGCAGACAGCCTATTGCGAGAGTTCATCCTGTGATTGTGTGAGTCAATACTCCCCAATAACCTCTCTTTCATATATACTGTCCCTCTAGAGAACCTTGACTGATACAGGCCACTAGCCTAACTCCTTCCAGCTTGAAAGGAGGCAGGAAGCCCAAGAGTGCCAAGTACAGGTGCTCTATTTCTAATGTGACAAAGCTAGATTGGGTCAATATGAGCCAAGTTGTTCTGATTTAATTGAGGCCAACAGAAGGTGAAGCTGACCTTAGGATGACTGATAATATGGAGAAAGAGAGAGACAGACAGACAGACAGAGGAAATAGGAGAAGGAAGAGGAATCGGAGAGCGAAGGAAAGAGGAGACGAATGGAATCACTTGAGCCCCTGAAACTATCAGCATATCACGTAGATTTACATAAGCTGGTAATGTTCTTAAATTCCTCTTTATCATTTTTTTTAGTGAGTCTGAGTTAGATTTATATCAGTTGTAACCAATCAAAAGCCCTGACAAATACAACCATTTTCTTTGTCTGCAAAAGAAAGGAGTTAGACAGAAGTATCTTCATTGAAGTTCTACAATCTTGCACTTTTATGACAGTAAACTCATTCTCGGGGACTCAGGAAGTTTTCTTCTGATAGCCAGAAATCACTTGCCGAGTCTGTAAGGAGACTGCCATCCTCAATTCCTAAGGGTGACTGGGGTTGCAGTGGGATCACCTATGCTAAGAGTATTAGAACACTTTCAAATACCAAGTCCTCTTTTCAGGTCAAAGGGGAAAATTTGGATAAAATGGCTATGCTTCCTATTGAGAAAAAGTAAACTTCATAGTAATGCAGTAGGAATGCAAGAGGTCTAGTGTATTAGTTTGTTCTCATGCTGCTAATAAAGACATACCCAAAACTGGGTAATTTATAAAGGAAAGAGGTTTAGTTGATTCACAGTTCTGCATGGCTGGGGAGGCTTCACATTCATGGCAGAAGGTGAATGAGGAGCAATGTCATGTCTTACACGGCAGTAGGCAAGAGTGTGTGCAGGGGAACTCTCCTTTATAAAACCATCAGATCACATGAGACTTACTATCATGAGAGTAGCACGGGAAAGACCCGCCCCCGTGATTCAATTATTTCCCACCAAGTCCCTCCCACAACACATGGGAATTATGAGAACTATAATTCCAGATGGAATTTGGGTGGGGACACAGCCAAACCGTATCACCTAGAAAAATGTGAAACGCCTTCTGTGCCTGGGCATTTCACAAGGGGACACTCTTATCTGTTCATGCTGGGTTTTCAGAACAATTGTGGAAAAGCAGACATTGATGAACTAGAGCTATAGCAAGCTGTCAAGTGATGTCTTTTTTTAATTTTCCGAATTTAGAAGAACCACCTATCTATCCGTTCTGTGGTGGCCAAAAGAGAATGGCAGTCGAATAAGCTGAGTTCTAAACTTGGCATAATCATTCCAAAGCCAAGTAGAAGTTTAGGTGAATCCCTTAAGGTAGGAATTCAGTTTCCTCACCTGACATATATGAAAGTTGATATCTAAGATCCACTCTGGCTCTTAAATCCCACAAGTCTATGGGATCCTAGAAAATTTTAAGGGTATGCAGAACCTCATCATAAAGAGGGATTATTTGAGCTGAGAGCTATAATAAAGAAAAAAAGTGCTATCATTTTGCACGTTAACACTAAAAACAAGATTTGACAAGTAATCATGGATTGGTAAACTAGAACTGTCAGAGAGAGACAGCTAATAAGTTTTAAAGAGGCGTTACTTAAAGACCTTCATAGAAAAATGCCCCCTAGGAGAGCTTCAAAGCCTGGAGATTGAAACTTATAATATTCCTTGGAAGAGTGTGATTTTATTTTTTAAGTGTTTTAAAGGATTTTTTTTCTTCTCAGTTTTTGGAGATGTATATTAGCAGAAGACTATGCTTACATAAGAGGCATTGAAAAAACAGAGAAACCGCTTTCTCTTCAAGCCACCATCTCATCAGGTTTTTCCCCCCTCTGTTAAACTAAGATAAAGGTTGAAGGGATCGTAGAAAGTGAAAAGGTGCTGGAAAAGTTCCTCTTTCAATTAGACTCTTTATCAGGGACTCCGGCCACATTTAACGTGGTAATGTTCTTGACTTTAATGGGGCAGACCCAGCAGGGGGAAGAGATTTCCAGTTAATGACTCCAGAGTCAGGTCTGCTTTTATCTCCCGACTCCCAGTCACAGGCTCACCCTGTACAGATGCTGATGTGATTCTATAAGCAGCTTTTACATTTTATTCACTTCATACTTCCTGAGAGTCCATCTCCATAACACAGATGGTTGGGGAAGTTATTTATTAAGCAAGCCTCATGGAAACGGGGACTTGGAAATGTGATTTCCATTGGTTGTAAAAGCCAAGAATGTCAATATTCATTATCCTGGTTTAGCAGGAAGCTTTTTTTTTTTTTTTTTTTTTTTACAATTGCCCCAATGATCCACCTTAACAAACATACAGTATCACAGGAAAAGTTTAAGCAGAGTAATTAACATATTTAATCAATTAAGTCTGAAGAAATAAAAAGGAAGGCTCTTTCTCTCTTATCATAAATCAATTGCCCTGGAGACTTGGATGAAATGACTTTGAATGGTTACTAAATGACTCTTACCAGATGCTACAGAGCGCACTGGAAGAAATTAAACCAAGCCATTTCTAAGTTAAGAAGTGTCCCACTTTTAAGCCTAAAAACTAATGCAGCTTTGTTTTCCTGTGTGTCATGAACCTATATCTGTTCCCATTTACTTCAGCATATAATTTACATATCCAATTCTATTCTGGTAATCTCTGGAAAAAATGGTTTCTAGGTTCCATATAAGTATCCATAAATACCTATCACAATCAGAAATTAAATCCGTCATCTATGAAACTTCATAACAGAGGGCCCACCCTTCCTATACTGTAATGTGAAATGGTTAGGTTGCAATAAAAGACCTTAGCAATTTGTTTCTTCTAAAAGGGCATGACGGTAGGGCTTTGTGGCCAGAGAAAACATTTTGCAGTACCTTTAAATCTAATCACGTTGACACCCAGTTATTTTTTCATATGTGCCAATAGACTGATTAATTTGATTATCAGCTCTGGATATATCCTGTCACTTTAAATATGAACCCAGGGTTACATTAAACAGATGTAATTGGCCTTCATTCCTGGCCCACTTATTCTTATATAGGCTTTTATTTTTCAGCAAAGAGTACAAGCAACATCCACAATTCCATTGTGTCTGAAAAAGAGAATACATGTACACAAAAGACAGAAAATACCTAGTGACCAAAGGTTTCCACACAAAGCACAGTTGTCCTTGAATATTATCTTCTACTTCCACTTCTACTACTTCTACTACTTCTACTACTACTACTACTACTACTACCACTACTACTACTACTACTACTATTTATTTATTTATTTAGAGACAGAGTCTTGCTCTTTTGCAAGGCTGGAATGCAGTGGCCCCAATATCCGCTCACTGCAACCTTTGCCTCCCAGGTTCAAGCGATTCTCCTGCCTCAGCCTCCCAAGTAGCTAGGACTACAGGCATGCACCACCACACCCAGCTAATTTTTATATTTTTAGTAGAGACAGGGTTCACCATGTTGGCCAGGCTGGTCTCAAACTCCTGACCTCAGGTGATCCACCCTCCTCAGCCTCCCAAAATGCTGGGATTACAGGCATGAGCCACTGCGCCCAGCCTATCTACTACTATTAATAATGAATCAATAAAACAATGACCTGTAGAAGCCAAAATTCCTTAATTATTTGTAGATAACAGTTTCATTCTTTTCTGATGTTTTTTATTAACTGTGGTTTACCATTGTAGTTGTATTACTGGTAGTACTAGTAATAAGAAAAAGAACAAGAAAAAAGACTGAATATTTTGCATTTATTAGATGCTTTTTCATACATCATCTTCTGATTTTTAGAATGACCCTGAGAGCCAGATACTATTTCTATTATTTCAAAAATGCAGAAGTTGAGATTCAGAAAGCCTAGGTGGATTGCTTAGAGATAGTAATAGCAAGTTATGTAACAAAACACAAGATTTCCAAGCTCATTTTCTGTCTTCAAGACCATGTGGCCATTTAAGCTCTGCAGTGTGTGGGCCATAACACAGGGCAGGAGTGAAGTACAGCAGAGGATGCTGGTAAAAGCAAGGACTTAGGAGTCTCAAAGACCTTCATTTGGGGCTTAGCTCTGCCTCTTACTAGCTGAGTGGTCCCTATAGGTGATTGCTCTATGCCTCTGTTTGTTCATCTCTAAAATAGACTTGTTAAGATTAAATAAGATGATGCATGCCATCAATGATAGACTGGATAAAGAAAATGTGGTACATATACACCATGGAATTCTTGCAGCCATAAAAAAGGAATGAGCTCACCTCCTTTGCAGGGACATAGATGGAGCTGGAACCCATTATCCTCAGCAAACTAATGCAGAAACAGAAAACCAAACACCGCATGTTCTCACTTATAAGTGGGAGCTGAACAATGAAAACACATGAAGACTAGGAGGGGAAC
This sequence comes from Homo sapiens, assembly GCF_000001405.40. NCBI lineage: Eukaryota > Metazoa > Chordata > Mammalia > Primates > Hominidae > Homo > Homo sapiens. The sequence continues at coordinate 54,841,710 of NC_000020.11, read as the reverse complement.
AACACACACTGGGGCCTGTCGGGGGATGGGGGATGGGGTTGGGGGAGGGAGAGTGCAAGGAAAAATTGCTAATACATGCTCGGCTTAATACCGAGGTGATGGGTTGATAAGTGCAGCAAACCACCGTGGCACACGTTTACCTATGTAACAAACCTGCATGTCCTGCACCTGCAACCCAGAACTTAAAATTTAAATGAACATAAAGGGTTTGTCTTAGTAATTGTTTAACAAGTGATAACTTTAGTAATAATCATATGCTCTTTAATAATTATTTAATATAATTTTTATTAGATTATTAATTATTAAAAAGTCACCTAATCATTATTAATAGAGAATGGTAATAACAGAAGGATGGCACCAGCTCTTGGAAAATACATTCATGGCAGGCACAGAAAGGTGGGTATTAAGTCATTCACCTTCAAGATCCATCCCTGCTGTTACTAATTCTGTGAAACCTTCTCTCATTGCACCCAACTGAGTTGGTTTGCACCTCCCCCAATATGCCACAGCTCTTTTTCAGTTCCTTCCCCTGTAGTCTTTAATATGTTCTATCGTAACATGGTGTCTCTTCTGTCTTATCTTCCTTCTTTAGACAAAGAGCTTCCCATAGACAGGGATCAAGTATAACTCATAAGCTTATTTCCCCTATCCCAGGATAGTCCCTGGCATGTGGCAGACACTTGGCTGAATGTCCATTTGAATTGATTAGAGATGACTCCATGGCACCAATTACAATTGCTGCACATGGGAGCGGCCTGAAGTTTGGAGCATTAGAAAAACTTTCAACTGAATATTTTACAGGGTGGTTGATAAGGAGAAAAGAAACCAGAAAAGCGTAGCACATGGACAAGAAGGAGGATGCTACAATTTGTAAAGTGGTATGAAATATGAAACTAGCATCATGGACAAGGGAGGCAACACACCAAAGCCAAGGTAATGTTGTGCTCAACGAGAGAGTGGGCTTGGGCTCTGAAGAGAAGGGGCAGATGATGTCATGGTAACTAGGGGAATGAGGATAACGGTGATGCTGTCAACACAACTGGGGGACAAGAAGAGAATTTGCAATGGGTGATTGGTTATTACGGCTTTCAACATTATCATTGTTTCTTGAATGATATAAATAAGTCTATGCCTATTTTTTTCAGAATCACTATGAAAACTTACATCAGCTTAAATAATAGACAATAATACTAACACAGCAAATAATTATCCTAAACATAGACTCTATACAAGAAGCTCTGTTTATCAAGCCTTTTAGATTATTCTCAAAACCAAAAGTGTTCCCACTCATTGTGTCCTTGAAGTTTTTTCCGTTAAAAATTATGCTCATCTTGAACTAAGCCATAGAGGTAATAGGATAGAGAAGCCGTATTCTTCCAATATTATCGAATGAAACAGTAAGACTATTATTTAGACATTTTAGATATCACTCGCTGTCTCAATTCTCCACCCCTCAAATTGTATTGTTTGAAAGAATAACTGATTGAAAACTTTATTTGGAAATATAAGCATGTAAGTTTTACTGTAGCTTAAGGGAGATTAGATAGCAGTAAAACATTATCTGTCTCTGATCAACTATGAATAAATACAATTGTAACACTACCCGAAAGCAAATATACTAGAAAAATAAAAACAGTCCCACCCAGCCTACAGAGAGTTAGTTTACAATGTCATGAATAACTGATCAAGCTATTAAATGAAGTCGTTCACAATTTAATGGTTGAGAACAGGATTATCATTAAACAACAGGGAAATCATCCATTGTATACTCGATGTGCAAAATTAAAAACGAAACGTTTTCTTTTAAATTGTTAAATTGATGAAGAGTTAGAAAGAAGAATGTAGAAAATTGACCAATCTCTTTTGTCAGCATCCATAAGCCAACTGGTAGGGAAAAGAGAACTTCAAGCGCTTTTCTTTTCTGCTCCCAATGTAAGAAGCAGCACATTTCACAGCTGCTTAATAACATGTTTTCTCAATGTTTCTGAGTAATGAGATTGTCTGGGCAAGGAAAATAGAACACCATGCTCTAGCAAGAAAAGATGACCAAGTATCCATAGCCACTGCCAATCCTCCTATTTTCTACTCCTACTCAAAGCAGGGCCCAGCAAAAGCAAAACGGGATATTCATAATGAAACACCGGCCTCCACTTGCTCATTAACACAGGGAAAACCGTCTGGGCATGCACACTTTAAAATCACTAAGAAAAAATCCTTTGACCTCAGCCACATGTAACTGGAAAGCTGCTGATGGAAGGATCATCTAAGCAACTTCAGTCTTAGGGAAGCCAAAGGCTCTGAGGTAGAATGTGCCAAGGCTTCCTCCCCCTGGCTCGCTCTTCAGTCTTGCTCAGGAGAAGGAAGCCAGTTCTTTCCTCTGAACACCATGGCTCACCCTCCTTATGTTTCTGCAGCATCCCTTATGCTTGGTTTATAACTGCAAGGTTCCGACTTAAAAAGGAAAAATAACAAGCGCAGACACAAGCATGAATGCAAAAACACTAGCATCTATATGGCATAGAGACACATACATCTACATATTTACACCCCTGTATATGTGCACACAAACATACACAAGCAGGTGAATGCAAATACTATATATACACATATATGTATACGTACCTGAATAAGTATACATGCATGTACATATATAGAAATATATACAAATATGAATACATACATGCATATGAATCTACATATAAGCATGCATATACACAGATAAATATGCATATAAACACATGCATGCATACAACATATACTACATGCATACAAAATACATATAAGAACACTTATATACACCAAGGTATCCATAAAACATGTCCATCTATAATACATGCAGGTGTTTATGTGCATATCATGTATATATGTATATATATGTGTATGTGAACACACTTAAACATGTACAGGCATAGGTAATATAGGCAATATAAAGCTCACAATAACTAGTATGGTTTACAAAACACATGAAGAAGAAATATTTCTCCTGAAAGCTCAAATCTATACACTTATATATCAAACAGATATTGTCCCAGCTGGAGCAGAGAATGAAATAAAGAAAAAAAAAAAGGAACATGAAAATCATACCTCTGTATGGTCCCCAAATATTTTTTTAAAAATGGGCCTAGAGAATAATGAGTTGCGAATAATTCAAGCCATAAATGCTAAGTATTTTTAACATGGGCCCCTTTGCAACCCAATGAAGGTTTGTGCCTTTTGCCCGGGGGAATAAATGTAATACACACATAAGGATGTATACAAACTCAGTCTTTCCCAGACCATCCAAAGGTTAATACTCTTGACTGAGAGGTATAAGTAGATCACTTTAACCTCAATTCCCTTCCCAGAAGAAGAGAAATTTACCAGAAAAATATTGCTCATAGTGCAAGCGCCTTCATTTGAATTTTTGAGTCCAAATTTTACTTGTTACAACTCTCTGGTATTGAATTACATAAAATACACTCAGACATATCAAGCTGGTTAGTAATTTTTAAAATATAAGACTAGAAATTGTGGTAGAATTTCTAATTTGAATTTATAACATTTGTTATGAACCTGAAAAAGAGAAGTCAGATGTCAGATGTTCCATATAAGCAGCTTACATAGGATCTGTATATTGAAAGGTATTTTATAAACTCAATATTAAGTTACAGCTGCAAAACACATTTAGACTTATCTATGCGGGCAAATCTTACATTTTGGAAAGGGCACTAGGCAAATATTAGTATCTGCAAATGCAATTCCTTTCTTTAGATCAGTAAAACACATCTCTTTACTTTTGAAATTTGGATCTGATTGTACTTCAAAGCCTTTCTCTGGGAGACCTCTAACTTGAAAGAGAAATCAAACCATTCAGGCACAAGAGAAAAAGATTTTGAGATGAGATTTGAAAAGAGCCACAAGGCAGAGCCAGTTTTCAGGGGAGAAATAACCAAAGGGCACCTCCTTCTGACTTGACTGCTGACACCATCTGTGATTGCCAATTTCAGAAGGCAACAACAAAAATCTCTAACCTCAGAGCAGCCATCGTTCTCTCATCCAGCTACATAGTAAACCATATGAGTATGAGGAACAACAGAGAAACAGAATGCCTTTAACTTGACTGCTTAAGAAAGAAGATGCAGATAGATGAGGAAAAACGTTTTTTTCCTAGTGAGGAAAGAAACTTGGAGGGGCCACCTGCACGAGTCATGAACTCTGGAGTATTTTAGCTTGATGTTAGCATATCACTCAATCTCCCATTCTCCTTCACTCTTGCCAGACAGGTATCTGGAAAGCAAACATACATCCGCGACCCAGATGTAATGAAATGCAATTAAGAATTTATCTTTCTCTGACAATTATAAGAGCAATCTTCAGAGGAAACCATCTAAACTTACAAGGATCCTACTTTATCTTAGAGCTCCACTTTAACTAATGGTTTCTAAATTACTTGAGTGGAAAATTAAGAATGCAAAACTTCACTTAAGGATGAATTAGGAACAAAATTTTTTTTCAGTAAAACTTTCATTAAGGAAGCCAGGTACACATACATTTAAAATACACATCTATTTCTCTAGAATATAGGTAAAGAGATAAAGCGATCTGTTTGAATTATGACATCTGGAGACAAGGCTGTTTAGAATTTTTAAATGGACAAATGTAGTATTTTTAAAAATCATGGTTATCCAACATTGAGTTCCAAATGCAACCTCTTCCCCCTCCCCACTTTCTCCTTCAAGGTCTAAATGATTTCTGCTTCGAAAACCATTTTGATTTGGAGGGGGGTGAGGGGAAGTGGTGCTATACTGCCATCATAACTGCATTGGGAAATTGACAAATAGAAGGCAAAGTGTAAAAAGAAAAATGCCTTCAAGACCAGTGCTTCTTAAACTCTAATGCGCATATAAATCACCTACGGATCTTGTTAAAATGCAGACTCTAATTTAATGGGTTTGGGGAGGCGCCGAGATTCTGCATTTCTTCTTTTTCTGTTTTAATTATTATTATACTTTAAGTTATAAGCTCCTGGGATACCAATACTGCCCGAAGTCCCAGGACCACACTTTGAGGAGCAAGGAACTTGGACAGCCTGCCTTCTGTCTCAGACTACCTTCTTCACATCACATATAAAGAACAATAGTTAAGTACATGGAAAGTACTTTTCGAAGCATGCTCAAGGGCCCTAAATTCTTGGGACACTTGGTGAAATTTTACCCTTATGCACTCAAGAAAGCATGTTAGATGGGAAATTGTGACAGAGTTATAGTTACAAGTAGAATCTTGAGTTGTCAATAATTTACAACAACAGAAGTGAATCATTTGCCAAATGTACCACCTTATCTATTATCGCCAGCCAGTCCTGGCTATTGCTATTTAATCCTTAGGAGAATTAAAAGCCACTGTTTAATCTGTAAATAAAACTTTTCTGCTGTTTACCCTTGGGTAGCTCTTACAGAGTTGCTCACATAGGAAGCAGCTCATACATGAGTCAATGCTTCAAGTTGCAATCCAACACCCATATGACAATTAATGTGTTTCTTTAAAATGTGAGGGATTCTGGCTGCGCGCGGTGGCTCACGCCTGTAATCCCAGCACTTTGGGAGGCCAAGGTGGGCAGATCACGAGGTCAGGAGTTCAAGACCAGCCTGACCAATATGCTGAAACCCCATCTCTACTAAAAATACAAAAAAAAAAAAAAATTAGCCGGGTGCCACGTGCGCACCTGTAATCCCAGGTACTCAGGAGGCTGAGGCAGGAGAATCGCTTGAACCTGGGAGGTGGAGGTTGCAGTGGGCAGAGATTGCACCACTGCACTCCAGCCTGGGCGACAGAGGGAGAATCCATCTCAAAAAAAAAAAAAATTGAGTTTTTCTTTTTCTACAGTCTCTTCATAAGCACGACCTGCCTTTTCTAGCCAGACAACGCACCAGCCTGTCTTGTCTTGGTCTTGGCTTCAGTTTCTGGAGGACGGCAGCTTCCTTGTGGAACTTTCTAAAATACACATACCCACAATGAATTGTGTCTATAACCCTTAGACTATTTTAAAGGCAATCCACTGTAAAAGTACCCTCCAAAGTTGGTAAAAATTTCTTCTGCAACTTACAGAGACAAATACTGAGATTTAATTGCACTTATTTCTTAATTTATTTCCCAAGTATTATTCAATGATTTTTGTGACATTCTGATGAGAACTATTGTTTTAAATAAGAAAATAAGATATTCCATCATAATTGTCTATTGAATTAAGTTTGACAATACAGCATTGGTCTGATATTAATATGCCCAAGCCTGGCACACAGTAGACACACACACACAGAATTTGATTATTAAATAAATGTGGTAACACAATAAACAGTATGACCTTAGAAAACATCACTCAGTAAAACACATTCTCACTTTCATGAGAAGTATACTTGGCTGTAATTCATTGAATTAATCCAGACTTTTCACTTAGATTCATCATTCTTAATGCAAGAGGCAGTGAGCAGGAAATTAAAACAACCTCCTCCAGTCTTTTGTTCTAACTGTGTTACTAGAAAATTGACACAACAATTCAATGAAGATATGTTTATCCATAACAAAAGGTCACAAACTATGGCTTGTGTCAGTGGTCAGCTTTCATTCCTCATTTTAAATCCATTGTGTTATTATATTGTATTTAAACTTAAAATAAGACAAATAGGCTGCAATTTGAGGTAATGAAGATGCCATAAACGTATCTTCCTTTATCACACTGCGAAGGCACAGTGCTAAAAACATTAAAGCAAGGGTCGTCTGGTGTGTGGTCAATGGAGCATCCCAGGAGTTCCATGAAATGTAACCCAAAGGCCATTGGATGGTTGGAAACCATGTCGGATAAAAATGATAGAAAATAAAAATAAAATCCAGAAATGGCAATTTTAAAGAGAATGAGGCAATTGTTGATACAGGAGACTAGACAGATATTTAGTCATACTGAACATTTTTCATTCTGTGTCCCTGTATAACCAAAATGACTAGTCAGTGGCAAGTGCCAACTACAATGATCACAAAACAGAAGCAGTCACAATCTTTTCCTCCACTTCTAGAGATGGAATTGTGTTCCCACTAGGCATGATGACATGGTATGAGCACAGCTTGTGCTACCTACTCTAACAATCAGACAAATAAAATAAAAACAGGTAAAGGTACTTGACATGAGGGTGACCCTGAAACATCTCTCCTCCTGTGTAGTGCTTTCTATTTCTGTTCCTGGCACACTTTCAAACACATCATTTCTCCTCCTCCTTTCCCCTTCTCCAGCTTGTAGAGGGAAGGAGAATTCTGACCTGTGCTTCTCTGAGAAGAATCCAGGTGGCTCTCGAGGTAAAACTGACACATTATAGCCCTCTCAACTCCACAGCAAATCCATTTTCTGAAAGGATCAGCATTTATTCAAGGTCAGGAACTATGCAAAGAGGGGAAAAATGTATTTATTTGCTATTTTGTGAGGTTGGCCTCTTGTCCTTGGAGAAATTTTTTAAAAACCCACTCTGAAGAAACACTTCAGAAAACCTTTGTTCGGGAAAGAATTTCTTTTTTTTCTTTACATTTTTATTCTGGTTTTTGCTTTTGTCCACATATGTATCATGGTTAAAAAAAAAATAAAAATAAAAGATTGAAAGCAAAGTAATAAAGCAGCCTTTCAAGATTTGGGCTGGGCAAGAAACGTGATTAGAGCCTTGAGAAACATATGTTAATTTTGTGTGAAAATTGACCATTGGGGTATTTTATTAAATTATATGGTTGGATTGGTTAAAATTTAGTGCCCTTGAAGTGCTGAGTAGCCGGATATTTTTTTCATTTTCACTAAATGTCTTCAGCAACTAAATGGCATGGGCAAAAGCAGGTAAATGATCCACCACATGGCAACACACACAGGCAGTTTCTAGAAAAGGAGGTAGCTATTGCTGCAGGACCTTTTTCATGTCCACCTTCCCCTTCTAAGGTGAAGAGCTGACCCACAAGGTGAATTTCTCTTAGTGCCAAACATTGTCGGTACGATATTGGACAGGGGGGATACTGCCTTTACAGGGTTAGCTCATTTACTGTGTGTATTAGTTGGTTTTCACACAGCTATGAAGGACTACCTGAGACTAGGTAAATTATGGAGGAGAGGTTTAATTGACTCAGTTCCACAGGCTTAACAGGGAGCATGACCGGGAAGGCTCAGGAAACTTACAACCATGGCGGAAAGTGAAGGGGAACCAAGCACCTTCTTCATCTGGTGACAGGAAAGAGAGAGAGAGAGAGGGGGGGGGAGACAGAGAGAGAGAGGGAGAGAGAGAGACAGAAGGGGAAGTAACACACTTTTAAACCATCAGATCCAGGGAGAACTCACTCACTGGTAACAGCAAGGGGGAAGTGTGCACCCATGATCCAATCACCTCCCACCAGGCCCCTCCTGTAATCCAACATGAGATTTGGGTGGGACACACATCCAAACCATGTTACTGTGTGCAATTCAGGTGAGGGAAGGAGAGGTTCTGATGATTGCTGAAACAGGCACAGGGACATCCATGAAGTGGGACATCCATGAAGTGGGGCATCATAAAGGGCTCAGAAATTATACACCTGTGGCTTCCAGACAGAATATTGTCCAGCAACAAATGGAGGGGAAAATAAAATAAAATTAAATCTCATTTTGCTTGAGAGGTATGTTAGCAGTCATTTGAGAGGGACTGAAAAGATTCTCATAAATCATCAGAAATAATGATCATTAAACAATGTGCATGCATCTTGGTCCACATTTTAAACCATATGCTATTTTGAATGTTAATATAATGTAATCTCATAAGGAGATATTATGGGACATCTTAAAATAACCAAGTCAGAAATGTAGGCACCTTTATTTTCCTCACAATCCAATATTCAAGCAAGTCCAAGTTCCACTGATTTTATTAAATTTGTCTTCTCCTCCTTCCTACATGTGACTGCCTGGTTCAGGACTTCATTACTCCTTGCCTAGGACTAGTGCAATGGCCTCCTACTTGCATTCCCCATTACACCCTTCAGGGCTGGCCATTTTGCCAGTTTTGTCTGCCAAGGAGGAGGAGAGTCTGCTATCCAGCCATGCCTGTATATCGAAACACCCCCCTCCCAGACTACCCACCCCAATCTCTGTTTTGTGAATCCAGGTGCCAGCCTCTACCATCTCCCTAGGGGAAAGGCCACATTTTTTGAAAACAGTTATCAGTTGCTCAAAGTGGGCTAATGTTAGCCCTACTCACTATCCATCAAAGCATCTCTTCTAAGATGCCATCTAGAGTTAGCCTCTTGTTTAAAATCTTTCAAAGGCTTCAGACCACTGTTCTTAGGATAAAATAAATAGAATCCATGCCTGTTTTTAACATAGCTTATAAAGCTTTTCAACACATTTGTCATTCATGTCTTCTTGCATTTACTCACTACTAAGGCTACAGTCATATGAAACTAACTTCATGTACCCAGCCCAACATATTGCCCCATCACTCTACTCACAACTCTTTCCCCAAACTTACACCTTGAATATGTACCCATCAACACACTTATTGGATGGGCATGATCCATGCTGAATTCATCTTAGAGCTCCTATTGTCTGGTATGGGCCTTGGCGTCCAGGAAATTCAATTAATAGTTGCCAAAATTGTTTTAATAGGACATCAAAAGTGATACACTTATTCCTCTGCTGATGTTCCTGACACCATCTCTAGAAGTGGAGAGAATTGACTGGAGAGGTGGTAGGCTGGATTTTGAAGATTTATCCACTGACACTTATATTAAAAATCTGCCACTGAGAGGGAATGAGAAACGTATTAGTTGCATTTACTCCACTGTGACTTTAAATGATATCCTTGTCAAGAAAAAGCATGCAGAGAATTACTTAGGATAAAATTATAAAAAAGATTCAACCATTAGCAAGAAGTTAATTTTGCTTTCAAATACTTGGTTGACTTTTAAGTTTATTTTGGTACATCCATATATCTCTCTCTGGCAGTAAAACTTCAAAAGAACCATGAAGTGTGTAAAAACTATAAAGGAAAGTTTTCTATGGTGGAATATGCTGGCCCTTGTGTGCAAATGAGTACACACACACACACACACACACACACACACTCTCGGGTCATACTGGTTTTCCAGGTCATGAAAATCTTAGCATTAGCATTCCTATCTTGCACATTCTAGGTACTCAATGAGCAGAAATCATATCCCATTGGTGCTTAAAATCCTCCAGTGGCTCCTCACCAAATCCCGAGCACTACTTGCCATATCATTCATTATCAGGATCATTCTGACTGCTCCAATCACCCCAAGCACCGTGTTTCTGCCTGCACTTTGCTCTGTGTCAAGAAGCTCCTTTCAATCCTCCAGGCAGGCCACCCTCTCTACCTCCTCTGCCATTACCTTTCTCAATACCAAAGCCTGTCTAGGATACTTTTAGCTTTCAAAATGCCACTCTGCTATTACCTCCTCTATAAAATCTCACCAAAGTGAACATGTCTTACTTTTGTTTGCCAAGTACTCCTTTTCCTTCTTATTTTTGGGAAAACTCATTCTCCATGGCTTGGTTGGGACTCTATACCTACACCAGCATAGCCTAAGCCTGAAAATCAGAGAGTCAAACCCTGGACTCCTTTGGTTGGCTCATCAGTGTTGGGAAGAAATTAATAAGAGTTATAAAAGACGGCCTTTATCTCAGAGGAACTAGAGAATGGGAGGCCAAATGAAAAATAGGTGTAAAGAACAAGGTCACTCTCAAGGTTATTTCTGAGGCAAGATTTTGGTCTTCAAGAACAAAGCAAAGGTACTACTCTTGGAACCAGAGCTAGAAGTCAGAAAAAGGCTCTTAAGGATGATTTCATGTGCAGCTATTATGCTTAAGATCTGGAGGTTCTTGTGTTTCCCCAGCCTGGGGTTGCACTGAACCCAGAGCCTAAGCCAGAGGTGAGCCTGCTCAGGTCAGCCAAATGACTTTGCATTGGGGACTGACAGGTTAAAAGGGACACAGCAGGTCCTCACAGTGCAGCAGAGCACAGCATAGCAGAAAACGAGCAGGCTTAAGAGACAGATGGGCTCTGCAACTTTCTAGCTTTGTGACTTTGGGTAAGGTATCTAAATTTTCAGAGCCTCAGTTTGTTCATCATTAAATGGAGATAGTAATATTGACCCAGCAGAGCTGTTTTGAGGATTATAAATGATATGAATGATTATAAATGATATAGATATATACAAAGCTCTTAACCCCGTGTCTGAAGCAAAGTAGAGTTGCTGTAAATCCTGGTTTTCACAATTATAGCACTTAAGGAAGAGTTTTCTCAAAGTGTGGTCTGCCTGAAGACCTATTAAAATACAAATGTCTGAGCCCCAGGATCAACTGACTCAACCAAATGGGTCCCACAAATCTGCATTTTAACTTACACCCCAGATAATTTTTAAATACCTTGGATTTAATTTTCTAGGTGATTTTTTTTTTTTTGAGACAGAGTCTCACTCTGTCACCCAGGCTGGAGTGCAGTGGCAAAATCTCAGCTCACCACAACCTCAGCCTCCTGAGTTCTAGCAATTCTCCTGCCTCTACCTCCCGAGTAGCTGGGACTACAGGTGCACACCACAATGCCAGGCTGATTATTTTATTTTTAGTAGAGACGGGGTTTCACCATCTTGGCCAGGCTGGTCTCGAACTCCTGTCCTCATGATCTGCCCGCCTCGGCCTCCCAAAGAGTTGGGATTACAGGCATGAACCACCACGCCCAGCCTAGGTGATTCTTAAACAAAAATCATAAATCAAGGAACGCTGAAATATCCTGGAGACCCAAGAAAATAAGACATAGCAGGGAAGAGTAGTGGGCAAGAACGACAGGACTTTGAGGCTTACTACTTCTGTTGAGAATAACAATAATAGGATCGGTCAGAACAGCAACAGAGGCAATAACAACTACAATAAAAACAATACAACAGCAGCAGCAGCATTAGCAGTTACAAAATACTGTTTGCCAGATTGCTCTAGAAACTTTACATTATCAATTCCTTCAATCCTCATAATAACCCCATGAAATAAGTCTCATTATTATCGTCACATTTCAGATGAGGAAACTGAAGTTCAAAGGGATCAAGTAACATAGCCAAGATCACACAGGGAATTAATGATGAAGGCATGAATCAAACCCAGGCAGGCTGTTTGCAGAGGATATGCTGTCAGCCCCTGTGCTGTGACAGAGAAAAAGACACCTCAGTGCTGCCACAAATGCTATCCTCAGCCCCCTAGTGCTAGCTAAGTGTGTCACTATGAACATGAGCATCCGGCATCCCGCTACATGTCTGCATCTTCTTTCACCCAAACAAACACAATTGCTCACCTATTGCTCACAACTGCTCTGGCCCCATGTGACGGCACTCCCCTTCGCCACATGAATCTGCTGTCTGCAAGCCCCACTGGGTCAGGGCCATGCCTCTCTCATTCAACGAAGTATCCCCAGGGACGAGGATATGCAACGTGGGAGGGACTCCATCAATATATGTTGAATAACTGATGCTCTATAGTAGGCGCAGAACTCCAACTCCTTCTAGTTCTTTAAACTATAAATAAGAACAAACTCTTGCAACAACATTTCCCACTCTTGGAAATTTTTCAAGCTGCCTTATATAAATGTCATCTAAATTATAAATGCAATTTCCCAATCCCCCACTCTGGGCTAGACAAATCTTTAGAGGCTCCCCTTAATGATAAATAACCCTCTACTTAGAACCACAGATAGGCTCAGTTGGCATCTATTGCATGCCAACTGTATGCCAGGCACTATGTGGGCACTTTCACTAGTGTTTCCCAGAGCATATCACATAGTAGGTGCTTAATCAGTATAGATGGTACTACTTGAATTATGACTGACTTACATCCAGATAAATCCACTGTGAATGCAAATATTGTAAGTAAAATGTGAGATTTTGCTATATTTCCAGGTTAAAATGGGTTTCTCCACACGTAGCCCCATTGTAAACCAAGGAGTATACTGAATGCCCTGTCGCTTTTACACCAGTGTAAAGTTGAAAATCACAAGTTGAACCATCATAAGTAGGGAACCCATGTATATGATAAACTCTCTGAGGTTCAAATTAGGGCCCCTCATTGAATAGGAGACAAACTGAGGTACAGATGATTTAAGAAATTATGCGACTCAGATCCAGCACTTCAGTGGTTAAGTCCAATGCTCTCTTCACCACGTAACAGGGAGATGGTTTGATAAACAAAGGGTTTAACACGACAGCACTGCAAGCTTTGAGTAAGTCTCATAACTGCAATGGTTTATATTGTTTTTCATGCCTACATAGCATGAGAAATTTATTACAAGCTAACAGCATCTTATATTTTCTTAGTACTTATTGTCTCTTGACTAGACTTCATAGGAATTAATTTTAAAAGAGCTTTCTTTGAGAAAGATGTCAAGTGATTTATTCAAATTCCCTGTCCATGTGCTCTATACTACCTTAAATTTACAAAAGTTTCAAATGTAGAGAAAACCACATTTAAAATTTGACAGGGAAAACAGCAAAATGATATTTGACGAAGTTTTATCATGACATTAATTCATGGATGATTTCTCAAATACTGATAATGGGTCACAGAGGGGACTATAAGATTTGGGAAATTATGACTCCTGCCCTCAAGGAAGTTACCAAAGAGCAGGTTCTAATAACAAGGACTCACATTTATAAGAACACAGAGTGAGCTCCAGGCATGGGAATGCCCTTGGTCTCCCTTAAACCTCACGGCAGATATTATATCCTGTGCAAAGACTGAGGCTCAGAGAGGCTAAACAACTTACCCAATATCACGAAGATATCACAGGAAAGAGCTAGCATTTGACTCCAGAACCAAAGTTTTCATCATTATTCTATTCTGTCTTTGGATAAAGTACATAAACCAATACATATAAGAAGCAGCTGAATGAGAAGGATACTACCAGAGGGCTGCAAACAAAAGTATGAAAAAATAGGAGTTAAGTCACCCTGAGAAAATTAGAAAAGACCATTGCAGGGGACAGCTTTCGACATGGTGCCCAATGGTCCCCACCTAGTATTCAGCCCTTGTGGGGTTCCCTCTCCTTGAGTGTGGGCTCGACCTAGTGACTCTCTTTTAATAGCTAGAATACAGCAGAAGCAAAGGGATGTCACTCGTAGAGCAGGTTACAAAAAGCCGTCTCTGTCTCATTCTCACTCGTCCTCCTGCAGGAGCACTCTCATGAAGCCTGCTGCCATGTTATGAACTGCTCCGTGGAGAGGCTCATGTGGAAAGGAACCCAGGGAAGCCTCTGGCCAACAGCCAGCCATGAACTGGAGCCCTCAGTCCAATTACTCCCAAGGAACAGAATCCTGCAACAACCACGTAGTAAGCCAGGAAGCACGTTGTCTTAGTCAGTTCAGGCTTCTATAACAAAACATCATAAACTGGGCAGTTTAAACAGCAGAAATTTATTTTTCACAGTTCTTGAGGCTGGCAAGTCTAAGATCTAAGCGCTGGCCAATTGGGTTCCTGGTGAGGGCCCCCTTTCTGATTTGCAGATAGCCACCTTCTTGGTGTGACCTCACGTGGAAGAGAAAGAGACCACCGTCTCTCCTGTCTTTTCTTACAAAGGCACTTATCTCATAGATGAGGGCTCTACCCTCAACCTAACTACCTCCCAAAGATCCCACCTCCTATACCATCATATTGGGGATTTGAGCTTCAACATGTAAATTTGGAGGGGGGACATGAAAATTTAGTCCACAGGACACATTTTTTCCAGTAAAGCCTTCAAAATAATTTAAACCTTGTAGGAACCCCTGAGCTGAATGATCCAGCTAAGCCACACCTGAATTCTTGACCCACAGAAGCTTCACAGTAAGAAAGGTATATATATAGCCACATGATTTGTTTTGTTATGTTGTGTTTTTAATTTTTTAAAACAATTTGTGGGTACATAGTAGGTATACGTATTTATGGGGTACATGAGATGTTTTGATACAGACATGCAATGTCAAATAATCGCATCATGAAAAATGGGGCCACATGATTTGTTACTGGGGTAATTTGTTACTGGGGTAATTTGTTACACAATAGTTAACTAATGTGATATATGGAGGAGGCATGCTGTGAATGTGTTTGCAGCCCAGTTTCTATCCCTGGGCCCCCCTCTGACTTTAGCTACAGCTGCATTGAATGGTGCCATGAGCACTCAGGCCCTCCTCTAACTGGCAGAGTCCCATCTGGAACATGCACTGTGCCTCTTTCCACTTTTTGCACCAAAGACTGCTTCATCACTGAAGGATCCCTAGGCTAGAAGAGCAGGGAATTTGATGCCCCAGGAGTCACCCACACAGAAGAAGACGGGAGCAGGTGAATACATGCCCAGGCTTCACCCTTCAGACAGACATTTCTAGAAGACAGAAAGTCTTTTTAGGAGACTGTCAATGAGCCAGTAGGATTAAGCTGTCCTTAGTAACAGCAATACCTTGATAAAGTGTGTGTATATGGCCCTTGTTTCCCTTCCGTGACTCACTTCCCTTATTCCCCATTCCTGTTTCCCATGATCACCTCCCAAATAAACTGCCCGCATTCAAAGTCTTGTTGTAAGCTCTACTTTTTGAGAAACCATACTAATGACACATACGATTGAACTGTTCATGATAGTGGGATTTCAGTGAGGAAAATGGTTTGTGGTAAGCAAAGAGGGTAGAGAAGGGGAAGCGTGGCTCATGTTCAGGGGATGGCAAGTGATGGGGTTTGCTTAGGATGGAGTTTCCAAACCTGCCTGAAAGACATGGGACACTTGTTACAATGGAGATTCCAAGTTCCTTTTCCTGGAGAATCCGATTCCTTGAAAGAGGCCTAGGAATCTGTATTTTTAACTCATAACTGTCCCAATAATTTTTTAGCCTTCACATTTAGGAAACAACAGGTAGGTAAAAGGTGAGCATCTTAGGAGCAAGCAATGTAGGAATAGAACAAATTTGGTCAAAGTCATACTGATGAAAAATCTCTAAGTCTTTCTTAAAAGACTGGAATGTATCCTGAAAGCAATAGGAAGCCATTGGAAATTTTTGAGCAGAGAACTACGACAACTGAGACATGATGAAATGATTGGGAACAACAAGACATAGATTTCCTAAGACAAAAGTTTAGATGAGATACCATATTAGAAATATGAAGGCCAATAAAAAGGTTATTGCAAGTGTTTAGGTGACGTTGAATAGGAATTCAACTGAAATAACTAATTTTAAAAAGGAGGAGGTAACTTTTCATGAAATAAGCCTGAAATTTAAATTAAATGGGCTTGTACATTTCCCTCTTTGTCCTGCAGATTGCGTTTATAGGGCCTCTGTGCATTTCTTTATCATTCTTGGCACGCAATATTAATCTCTTTCTGGTAATTAATTACCATTACATTACTCTCAAAGTTATAGAATTTTCTTAGGGGAAAACTCTACTGTGCACTTAAGAAACGGATGATTATTTATGTAGCTGGACCTCTTGGAAACATTTACATTTTTCTTTTATGATGATTAAAGCCTAATGCAAATAGAGTTTTTAACTTAGGTTCCAAACATATTTTTTATGTGTATAATTGGAAGTTTGACACTTACCTGAGTGTTAGTTTAGAAATGAAGCAGATTTTTTAATTAAATCAAATCAGAAATTCATTACTGCCTTAAAACAAAATGTTACAGCAAAAAGAAGGAAGGGAAAAAGGCTAATGTAGTCTTTTGTTTGGGTTGCATTTTGGCTGCATATTTGTTTTTCTTTTGGGCTAAAGGATTAAGCAATATCTACCACAAAATATAATCTACATTTTCAACAGTGGGTAATTAGATTATTGTTATTATTTAATAATAAATTATATTCTTTCCCTCTCTCTCTCTTTACCCACTGTTTCTCTTTCTTCCTCCCTTCCTCACCTTTCCCTCTTCTCCTCCTCTCTCATTTTGTAATAACACTTGTAATTATAGGGCACAAGAACATCCAATTAACCTCAACTGAGATGAAGCATCTCTCTTTGTAACACACAGATCCCATGTACAATGTAGGAATATGGATTAGGGATTATGGAATCAACCCAATTAGTTTCTATCCCAGCTGTGATGCCTGTATGCTGCATGCACATAGAAAATCTTAGTTGCTGACTTCATGAGGTATTTATAAACATTAAAACAAACAACATAGATGAGACTCTCAGAAGAAAACCTGATGGCTAATAAGAACCCATTTAAGAAGTACTCTGTTTTTTGTTTGTTTGTTTGTTTTTAGAGACAAGGTCTTGCTATGTTGCCCAGGTTGCAGTGCAGTGGCTATTCACAGGCATCATCCTTGGAGTGCACTGCATCCCCCAACTCCTGGCCTCGTGATCCTTCCGTCTCAGCCTCCTAGGTAGCTGGGATTATGGGTATGCACCAACATGCCTGGCCCTCTGTCAACCTCACACTCATGCCACAAAGGAGTCTTGCCACCATCTCTGAGGCATGCAGTGGAGGTGGAAGTGTGGGGACACATGGATCCTCCACAGACCTCTTCCAGCTGCCTTGTTCATAGACTCCTCTCCATCACCCTCATGAATAATATTACACCCCTTATTGTCAAGCATTCATTGTAAGTCTGAAGAAATTGAACTGTGTTTACTTACCACAGAATAAGGGAATTTAGATGTTATACAACTCTCTAAACTTTTATTAGCATTGAAATCGATCATGCTTCCTTTTTTTCTTGGTTGATTCAGAGGATACTCTTTACGAGAGATTACTTCATTTATATGCTGTTATGAATGGCTGAGAGGATACTGAAATTAAATAGCATCTTATTTGCCCTTTCAGAGATTTTTTTGGGAGTGGGGGCAGCAGGCACCAAGATATTGCTATTCCTACAGTCTCATTTGATTATCTTTACAACAAAGGCACAGAAGAAAGCATCCAAAACTAAATGAGGAATATTTGTTTCTTCTTCTATTGCCTTAGGTCACCCAACTGTAAATGCAGATAGTCTCACAAACCCATACCTAGGAGGCAGACTAGGCAGTTTATGAATGGACCATTATTAAGCATTTCATGAGATTTACAGAGAAAGAAACCAGAAGATATTTTAAAAAGAAAGAACAAGCCAGAGAATTAAAGAGAGAGCAAGAAAGAGAGAGATGATGATGGTGCTCAAAAGGAAAAAAGTAAGCAGAACAATTCATTTTGGATATAACATATCAAGTTTAATTAATACCAAGACAAAGCATTAACTGGTGAATTCAGGCAAGTATGTATTTAGGGAATCAGCCAAGAAAACATGGATAAGCCTTCATAGTGTTTATATTCATGCAACCACAGAAGTTAGATGAGCCAAGAACCCAGTTGAAATTTAGTCAAATGAAGTGAAGAATATAACTAAGACCAAAGGCAACCCTACTAGTCCTGATGGCCTCAGAAACCACAGGCTCTCTTCATGTAAATGTCATAGTAATAAAAAAAAAGGCATGTGCAAATCAAATTGACATTATTCAAGAAAGACTAGCACATGGTACAATGAGGAATGCACTCATGGGGAATGGTCCAGAGAGGAGTCTGGGAGATATATCTACACCGGGCAGAGAATGAAATTATGGGGTGGGTTGGGGGAGACTTGGGTTAGAAATATAAGTGATTGGACTAACCCTAAAAACTTAAGAATGTTTCTGTTCTGAATGCACATCAATATCAGTGTAGTCAGGATGCATAAAATAAGTGTTGGCAAATCAGTGGCCTTTGCTTCAAGGAAGCAAAATATCAGGTCTGGAAAATGCCAGGGGTCATTTGACTAGGATGGCAATTTTGCTTGGGTAACTAGAAGTTTTTTCATTCTCCAGTCTGAATATTCTCTCCGGCCCACTCTCCAACTGATGACTAGAATAGACAGACAGGGACGTCAATGATCACAATGAAGAGAGACTGGATAGAGATTTGTCTTCTCTTCCCAAACCTTCCCTTTTGGCAAAGAATGTGCAGTTTTCTAAGATGAAGCATGATGAATGTGGTCATAAGTATGGACCAGGCCTGGAGGGTGAAAGGAAGGGTACCCTATGGCTACCTGTGCACATCTGGCAGCAAGATGTGAAAGTAAAGAAGCCAGAATGAAAATCTGCCCATGTTTTCAGCCAGGATCTAAGATCTTGTTTCAGATTTCATTGATGTTGAGTAATCTTGATGGATTCAGGGATAAAATATTCCAACACTCACGTTCCATGAAACGAATTCTCTGTTGACACATGTAATGTGTCATGAGAGAGTGTTGCTTTGGGAAAACAAACAAACAAAACTAGAAAAGAGGAGGCAGAAATGTGGGATCATTTATTTGGGGCAACTTCTTCATCTCTATGAGTTTGTAAAATAATTCCATATACTTGTTACCATAGCTTTCCTACATTTATTTTCTTTTGAAGACTTTTTGAAAGTTTATGTCTACTTTTTTGCTTTAATAAGGAAAGCAGAACAGTGAGTCCCTGGATATAGAGATGTAAAAGAGATTCTGATGAAGAAATGTACACAGAAGTGTAGCTTCCATCACAGGGAAAGAACAAAAGGAGTTTATTTTGCATTATACTTTCTTTCAACATGGAGCCCACCATCAAAATAAACCAGATTCTGGTTCTAAATAACAAATTTAACATAAAGAAATCAAAGTTTGGTTTT
Source organism: Homo sapiens (assembly GCF_000001405.40). Taxonomy (NCBI): domain Eukaryota; kingdom Metazoa; phylum Chordata; class Mammalia; order Primates; family Hominidae; genus Homo; species Homo sapiens. The sequence goes on along the minus strand of NC_000020.11, from coordinate 54,822,060 downwards.
CTTTTTCTTTGTCAAGTCACACCTATATTGACTTCTGCACATCTTTATGAAAGACATGCTAATAATGAAAGGGAGACACCAGGCTATGATAATCCAAAGGTTCAGCTTTTCTCTCATAATCCTGTAAGCACGGGGATTGCTTATTTTACCAGCTAAAAAAACATAAAGCACAATATTGGTGCAGCCTTTGCTGTTACCAGGACATAGAAAGAAAGGGAATAATATTCCTGAAAAAAAAATGCCATAGTGTGTTTCCAGGTCAAATTGGCAATAGGTAAGCAAGAGCTTACCTATTTCCCTACATTCCTTACTCAAATTCCCATTCAAATGACCCAACGCATATAAAAATTGAAGGAAATCTATTTCATATCAGAAACTGTTAAGAAATTGGCCAGGGGGTTGCAATTTTTAGAATGTCTAGCAGCACAAATTACAGCTAATATGTTATATAATAGAAAGGAATCACAAACAGTGAGTAACCTCACATATGAAAGAGAAGTCCCCAAAATGGAAAAGACTATGAGAAGAATCCATGTAAAGGCACAATTGGGAAAAGCCAAGCAGTGGAGACCAGGAAGAATCAAGCAATGTTGCTTAGGGATGGGGTGGAGTTAAATTTTAAATTTATTAGTGTAAAAAAATAAGGCAACATAAGTTTGCACATACTTCCAGATCATGTTTTGTTTGAAAAGCATCATATGTAAAAGAAGGAATAGGAAATACTTGAACAGAGAAATACATAAACATACACCCCAAAGCAGAGATAAAAATGCTAAATGTGGGCCGGGCACAGTGGCTCACAACTGTAATCCCAGCACTTTGGGAGGCTGAGGCAGGCAGATCATGAGGTCAGGATGTTGAGACCAGCCTGCCCAACATGGTGAAAACCCATCTGTACTAAAAATACAAAAATTAGCTGGGCGTGGTGGCAGGTGCCTGTAATCCCAGCTACCTGGGAGGCTGAGGCAGGAGAATCACTGAAACCCAGGAGGTGGAGGTTGCAGTGAGGCGAGATCGAGGCCACTGCACTCCAGCCTGGGCGACAGGGTGACACTCCGTCTCAAGAAAAAAAAAAAAAAAAGCTAAACCCAACTTCATTATGGAAAATATAAAAATAGATTAAACCACTTCATTAAAAGACAAAAGATCCTAGTTGCAATGTTTTTAAAACATTGAACTAAATAGTAATTACAAGAAACACAGCTAAAATAAAATTATTGAAAATTATTGAAGAGGAAAACAAGACTAGAAATCATTTGTTGAGCACTTAATGCTTAGCAGTCACTGTTCTAAGTATTGTTTATTTTATATTAATAACAATTACAAAAGGTAGGGACCTTTTATAATCATTTTACAGCTTAGAAAATAAAATCACAAAGAAGTTAAATCACTTTCTTAAAGCCACACAGTGGCTCAGTGGTAGATCCATAATATTCCTGCCTCAGAGGCAAAAACAGACAAAACATAATAGGCAAATTCAAATTCAAAAAAGAAGCAAAGGCATGCAATGTGAACATCAAGAGTACCATTTCTCCATTTGTTTGGTGGTGAAATATTTAAACAGCAAATCATATACACTCTCTTATAAAACATTCAGTAAATATTTGTTTATTGCTGAATGAATGCAAGAATTGATCAACTATATTAGTCAGAGATCTCCAGAGACATAGAACTAATAGGAGATATATATATACATATGTATATCTCCCATATGCATATATAGGAGAGATATCTATATCTTATATACACACACATATAAATATATATTTATATAAAAATATATAATTATAAAAATATATATTTACATGTAAATATGTTATTTACATGTAAAATATATTATATATATTTATATATTATATATACATATATATTTATAAATATAAATATATTTATATATTCTATGTATATATAATATATACATATAAATATATATATTATATATTTATATATAACACATACATATAAATATATATTATATATGTATATATAACACATACATATAAATATATATAGTATATATGTATATATAACACATACATATATAATATATATTTATATGTATATATAACATATACATATAAATATATATTATATATGTATATATAACATATACATATAAATATATATATTATATATAATATATACATATAAATATAAATATATATTATATATAAATACATATTTTGAGGTAAAGTCTGGCTTATGGAGATGTGTATGGGTGACAAGTTGACAGAGTTGAACTTGTGATGATTAATTTTATGTGTTAATGTGACTGGGACATGGGGTTCCCAGATATTTGATTAAACATTGTTCTGGATATATTTGTGAGGGTGTTTCTGAGTGAGATTAGCATTTGAATTGGTAGACTGAGGAAAGCAGATGGCCAGTGTTCTTAGTCCTCATCCAATCTGTTGGAGGCCTGAATGGAACAAAAGGAGGAGTAAGAGAGAATTTGCTTTCTCTGCCTGACAGCTTGAATTGGGACATCAGTCTTCTCCTACCCTTGGACTGGGACTTATACCATTTACATCTATAAAATATATAAATATAATATATATTATATATTATAATTATAAATATATAAATACATATTAAAATATATAATTAAAATATATATTAAAATATATAAATATATTATATATTATATATATGGACAGAGAGAGATTATAAGGAACTGATTCACATGACTATGAGGCTGAGAAGTCCCATGGTCTATGGCCTGTAAACTAGAGACCCTGGAAAGCTGGTGACATAGTTCCAGTCCAAGTTTGAAGGCCCAAGACCAGGAGAACTGATGATGTAAGTGGTGGTAGAAAGTTGGTGGTGTAGTTCTAGTCCAAGTCCAAATATATATATATAATATATATTATATTTTATATATTTTATGTATATTTTATATAAGTACTATATATTTATATATTATATATTTTACATATATTATTTTATATATAGTCCAAGGGTAGGAGAAGACTGATGTCCCAATTCAAGCTGTCAGGCAGAGAGAGCAAATTCTCTCTTACTCCGCCTTTTGTTCCATTCAGGCCTCCAACAGATTGGATGAGGACTAAAAACACTGGCCATCTGCTTTTCTCAGTCTACCAATTCAAATGCTAATCTCACTCAGAAACACCCTCACAAATATATCCAGAACAATGTTTAATCAAATATCTGGGAACCCCATGTCCCAGTCACACTGACACATAAAATTAATCATCACAAGTCCAACTCTGTCAGCTTGTCACCCATACACATCTCCTTAAGCCAGACTTTACCTCAAAATAAAGGCAATAACAAGGTCATAATTCCACCAAACATGATATAACTATCCTGCATACAACTAAAAACACACTAACCCCTTCCCCAGAAGAGGAGGCAGAGTCTTTGAAATTTACTCATCTCCTTTATGTCTTGTAACTGAAATACTATGATTGAAAATTAACAATACTTAACTATGATATTAAGTCAATACATCCGCTGTTACATGACGAAAGAATCAGAGTGAAAATCAAAGATATTTTCTTAATACATACAAATATAAATATACCTAAAACATATTCACATTCTAAACAAAATAAGGGGGACTATTCATAACAATTACAATACTCTTTTTTCTGTAACTGGTCACTTGTAGCTGATATTCATAACTACCCTCTTCCACTAGTCATTCTGTATTCCTTTTCCCTTCAGCAAGCACCTTACTTGGTCATGGCTCTTCCCCTGGTAGAATGACCCAAATCTGCATTCCTGAAGGGTCTGAGCCATTAGTAGTCCTTCCTGGATTGGGTTGTTGTAGCTTTCCATTGATTATAATCACAAGGTATGGTAATACGCAGTGACACACTAAGGGATCTCTTAAAATTCAAGCATGTTCTTTCTTACCTCTATTGTGGAGTAACAGTTGAATTTCTCCTCTGTAGAGAGGATTAGCCACCTCACCCAGCATAGTATTAACTCACTTCTCTGCCTATTGATTCAGAGGCATGAGAAGCTCAAAGGGGCCAGGTGACAGTCTTAATTTCCAGTTCAACTGAACCATTTTTGTGTCTCCTGGTGAAAGCATTCTTCCCTTTGGAACTGAGACCTCTCGGTCATCAGAGCCTAGGGTCATGAGAACGGAAAGCAAAAATTTTGCTTGTGGGTCACTGGGGGTGATAGTGAGTGAAGCCACTCCTATTTCCACCTTCGATCCCTGGACTCATGAATCCTAGCTATTGGAGAAACAGCACCTTATAGTGGACAGTGATTCAGAGCATATTCAGCCATGTAGAGAATCTTGCCCATGCCTCCTGAGGTACTGCCACCTAGCTGGTGCTATAACTGAGTCTTCAAAAGGACATTCCACTGTTCCATCAGGCCAGCTGCTTCAGAATGGTGGAGAACATGGTAAGACTAGTGAAGTCCACGAGGCTGGGCCCACTGCTGCACTTATTCTGCAGCTAAGTGAGTTCCTCAGTCTGAAGCAATGCTATGGGGAATACCATGATGGTGAAGAAAGTTTTATAGTTATATTTTTCCAGCTCACTTACATCTCTTTAGCAAGGAAACCATGAACATACAGAATGGTCACTAATCATAGACTCGAACACTTGGAGGCAGTTGAAAAATCACCCAGTACTGGAAACTTCTTTACACCATCCCCAACAGTGAAACCTAGTCTGTGCTCGGGCACTTCCAAGCAGAAGATCCTCACTACCCCAGCTGCAGCTTCTGTTCAGCTTTTGTGAAGCACTAGTTATTTGAGAGTATGTCCTTTCATTTCAAATTCTAATATTAGCTATGCATCAACAAAAGTCTTTGTATTTATCTAAGTGTTCTTTAACCTATTAATTATAACTCAGGGCAATGAGTTCCATAAACTTACTACCTATTGTGCAAAGTAAGACTTTATTTAAATTTTTCCATTTCCTCATTAATTTAATATCTAAAATTACCTCTCCAGTTAATGTATCTCAATGTATTTACCCTCTACTGTCAGAACTCTCAAATCAGTGTTTTCATTCATCCAAAAAATAAAGAAGCAGTATTAGGACTGTCATATTAGGATAAAATTTAGCAATATTAGAATTATTACTACATAGAAGGGTGCAGTGGCTCACACCTATAATCCCAGCACTTTGAGAGGCTGAGGCAGGCAGATTATGTGAGGTCAGGAATTCGAGACCAGCCTGGCCAACATGGTGAAGCCCCATCTCTACTAAAAATACAGAAATCAGCCAGGTGTGGTGGCACATGCCTGTAATTCCAGCTACTCGGGAGACTGAGGCAAGAGAGTCACTTGAGCCCAGGAGGCAGAGGTTGCAGTGAGCCAAGATCATGCCACTGCACTCCAGCCTGGGTGACAGAGTGAGACTCCATCTCAAAAGAAAAAAAAAGAGAATTATTACTATATAATAAACTATTAAACTATTATAAAAATCAAAACAACATATAATAGTGCAAACATAAGTAAGGCATAGTTACGATGCATTTTGCATCTAATAATCTATTCTCACAGTGACGATACCGTGGATCCTTGACAGAATTATGAAAGTTATAAGGTGACAGAAATGTATTTTACAAATAACATAATAGCTTATATATGGTGCTGATCCAAAAATTACTACCAATTTAAGGTCTTAGATCTTTGAATTGTTGTGAGAATGGATAAAATGTTTTGTATCACAACTACTTTAACATTAGCAGGCTTACATCTTTAACACAAATTGAAAAATGGTGAAATATTTTTTTCTTTTTTTATTATTATACTTTAAGTTCTGGGATACATGTGCAGAACATGCAGGTTAGTTACATAGGTATACACGTGCCATGGTGGTTTGCTGCACCCATCAACCCGTCATCTATATTAGGTATTTCTCCTAATGCTATCCCTCCCCTAGCCCCCCACCCCTGGCAGACCCTGATGTGTGATGTTTCCCTCTCTGTGTCCATGTGTTCTCATTGTTCAACTCCCACTTATGAGTGAGAACATGCAGTGTTTGGTTTTCTGTTCTTGTGTTAGTTTTCTGAGAATGATGGTTTCCAGCTTCATCCATGTCCCTGCAAAGGACATGAACTCAGCTTTTTTTATGTATAGCTGCACGTATTCCATGGTGTATATGTGCCACATTTTCTTTATCCAGTCTATCATTGATAGGCATTTGGGTTGGTTCCAAGTCTTTGCTATTGTGAATAGTACTTCAATAAACATACATGTGCATGTGTCTTTATAGTAGAATGATTTATAATCCTTTGGGTATATACCCAGTAATGGGATTCCTGGGTCAAATGGTATTTCTGATTCTAGATCCTCGAGGAATCACCATGCTGTCTTCCACAATGGTTGAACTAATTTACACTCCCACCAACAGTGTAAAAGCGTTCTTATTTCTCCACATCCTCTGCATCATCTGCTGTTTCCTGACTTTTTAATGATCACCATTCTAACTGGCGAGAGATGGTATCTCATTGTGGTTTTGATTTGCATTTCTCTAATGACCAGTGATGATGAGCTTTTTTTCATATGTTTGTTGGCCGCATAAGTATCTTCTTATCAGAAGTGTCTGTTCATATCCTTCGCTCAGTTTTTGATGGGTTTTTTTTTCTTGTAAATTTATTTAAGTTCCTTATAGATTGTAGATATTAGCCCTGTGTCAGATGGATAGATTGCGAAAATTTTCTCCCATTCTGTAGGTTGCCTGTTTATGGTAGTTTCTTTTGCAGTGCAGAAGCTCTTTAGTTTAAATTAGACCCCATTTGTCAATTTTGGCTTTTGTTGCCATTGCTTTTGGTGTTTTAGTCATGAAGTCTTTGCCCATGCCTATATCCTGAATGGTATTTCCTAGGTTTTCTTCTAGGGTTTTTAAGTTTTTAGGTCTCACGTTTAAGTCTTTAATCCATCTTGAGTTAATTTTTGTATAAGGTGTAAAGAAGGGGTCTAGTTTCAGCTTTCTGCATATGGCTAACTGGTTTTCCCAATACCATTTATTAAATAGGGAATCATTTCTCCATTGCTTGTTTTTGTCAGGTTTGCAAAAGATCAGATGGTTGTAGATGTGTGGCATTATTTCTGAGGTCTCTGTTCTGTTCCATTGGTCTATATATCTGTTTTGGTACAAGTACCATGCTGTTTTGGCTACTGTAGCCTTGTAGTATAGTTTGAAGTCAGGTAGCGTGATGCCTCCAGCTTTGTTCTTTTCGCTTAGGATCGTCTTGGCTATACAAGCTCTTTTTTTAATTTCATTTCAAGTTTAAAGTAGTTTATCCTAATTTTGTGAAGAAAGTCAAGTGTAGCTTGATGGGGATAGCATTGAATCTATAAATTAAAAAGTAAAAAGCATATACAAAAATAAACAAATCATAATTTAAAACTCAAAAGAATTATGATTCCTTGTTAAAATACGTGGAATACAAGCTAATTGAACAAGCTGAATTAACATAACTAAATTACTTCAGTAAAAGGTCAGACATGTAAATGTCATGAGTTTTTATGTAGGAATAGCCCAAATCTATCTAAAGGCAACAGGAACCATGTATGACTTATTCATAAACAAATGAAAGAATACATGAATGAACAAACGCTTCTTTCACTTTCTGACAGTCCAACTTGATTTTTTTTTTTTTTTGAGACAGTCTTGCTCTGTCACCCAGGCTAGAGTGCAGTGGCATGATCTCGGCTCACTGCAACCTCCGCCTTCTGGGTTCAAGCAATTCTCCTGCCTCAGCCTCCCAAGTAGCTGGGATTACAGGAATCCGCCACCGCGGCCAGCTAATTTTTGTATTTTTAGTAGAGATGGGGTTTCACCATCTTGGCCAGGCTGGTCTTGAACTCTTGACCTCATGACCCACCAGCCTCAGCCTCCCAAAGTGCTGGGATTACAGGTGTAAGCCACTGCGCCTGGCCCCAACTTGATTTTTTTAATGTCCAAATTTAATACCTATTTTGTTATTTATGAAAAAAAATCAATTAAATTCAGAAGGTAAAAATTTCCTGGCCACAGTAACAAATAATTTTAACTAGAAATCAGTAACAAAATAAAACTCTTACATTTTTGAAATCCAATAAAACACTTCTCTAAATGTCGGGGCAAAAATGCAGGTACATATATAAGAATATAATGACTGTAAGAAAAGATAGGGGCCAAGTGTGGTGGCTCACCTTGTAATCCCAACACTTTGAGAGGCAGAGGTGGGTGGATCAATTGAGGTCGGGAGTTCGAGACCAGTCTGGCAATGTAGCTAAACTTCTCTACAAAAAAAAAAAAAAAAAAAAAAAGGAAAAGAAAAGAAAAAAGAAAAAGGAAAACTAGCCAGGCATAGTGGCAGGCACCTGTAATCACAGCTACTCAAGAGGCTGAGGTGGGAGAATTGCTTGAACCCAGGAAGCGGAGGTTGCAGTGAACCGAGATCACACACCTGCATGGCAGTCTAGGTGACAGAGTGAGACTCTGTCACACACACAAAAAAAAGAAAAAGAAAAAGAAAAAGAAAAGCTTGGAAAGCTAAGAACTACATACGAAAAGACTTTAAAAACATAGAGCCAACAATTACTGTTGGTACAGTATCCTAAAGAAAAAACAGTCATGTTTGTATGTGATAATTTTCTTTCAAGAACAAATAGTACACTCTGGTTTATAATCTGGCTGGTAATACACTCTGGAAATAATACAAATCTGTAATAATAAAGGACTAATTAAATAAATTATGCTGTATTTTTATAATACATTTTTAAATAGGGTAAAATTCTATATTTGATACAATTAAAAAGGTTAAAGCAGCATGTATATGAACATGATATAAAGTAGCATATCATATGAGGTAGGTAAGAAAAAATATGTATATGTCTACATATAAATGCAATGAAAGAATGGCATAGGAACTGATAGATATTAAGAACATATGGGGTGAGTTTTCAGTTTTACCAGTTTTATGTGTATGCATTTTTATGTATATGCAGTATTAAATAGTTGGAAAAATATATTAAATATATCAACATTTTTGTGATCCCTTGGGTGTATATCATGTTTTTCTAACATTCTGCATATTGTGTTTCAGTAAAGTCTTCAAAATTATTCTCAAGAGCTATCTATGACAAACCCACAGCCAATATCATACTGAATGGGCAAAAACTGGAAGCATTCCCTTTGAAAACTGGCACAAGACAGGGATGCCCTCTCTCACCACTCCTATTCAACATAGTGTTGGAAGTTCTGGCCAGGGCAATTAGGCAGGAGAAGGAAATAAAGGGTATTCAATTAGGAAAAGAAGAAGTCAAATTATCCCTGTTTGCAGATGACATGATTGTATATCTAGAAAACCCCATTGTCTCAGCCCAAAATCTCCTTAAGCTGATAAGCAACTTCACCAAAGTCTCAGGATACAAAATCAATGTACAAAAATCACAAGCATTCTTATACACCAACAACAGACAAACAGAGAGCCAAATCATGAGTGACCTCCCATTCACAATTGCTTCAAAGAGAATAAAATACCTAGGAATCCAACTTACAAGGGATGTGAAGGACCTCTTCAAGGAGAACTACAAACCACTGCTCAAGGAAATAAAAGAGGAGACAAACAAATGGAAGAACATTCCATGCTCATGGGTAGGAAGAATCAATATCGTGAAAATGGCCATACTGCCCAAGGTAATTTACAGATTCAATGCCATCCCCATCAAGCTACCAATGACTTTCTTCACAGAATTGGAAAAAACTAATTTAAAGTTCATATGGAACCAAAAAACAGCCTGCATCGCCAAGTCAATCCTAAGCCAAAAGAACAAAGCTGGAGGCATCACACTACCTGACTTCAAACTATACTACAAGGCTACAGTAACCAAAACAGCATGGTACTGGTACCAAAACAGAGATATAGATCAATGGAACAGAACAGAGCCCTCAGAAATAACGCCGCATATCTACAACTATCTGATCTTTGACAAACCTGAGAAAAACAAGCAATGGGGAAAGGATTCCCTATTTAATAAATGGTGCTGGGAAAACTGGCTAGCCATATGTAGAAAGCTGAAACTGGATCCCTTCCTTACACCTTATACAAAAATCAATTCAAGATGGATTAAAGACTTAAACATTAGATCTAAAACCATAAAAACCCTAGAAGAAAACCTAGGCATTACCATTCAGGACATAGGCATGGGCAAGGACTTCATGTCTAAAACACAAAAAGCAATGGCAACAAAAGCCAAAATTGACAAATGGGATCTAATTAAACTCAAGAGCTTCTGCACAGCAAAAGAACTACCATCAGAGTGAACAGGCAACCTACAAAATGGGAGAAAATTTTTGCAACCTACTCATCTGACAAAGGGCTAATATCCAGAATCTACAATGAACTCAAACAAATTTACAAGAAAAAAACAAACAACCCCATCAAAAAGTGGGCGAAGGACATGAACAGACACTTCTCAAAAGAAGACATTTATGCAGCCAAAAAACACATGAAAAAATGCTCATCATCACTGGCCATCAGAGAAATGCAAATCAAAACCACAATGAGATACCATCTCACACCAGTTAGAATGGCAATCATTAAAAAGTCAGGAAACAACAGGAGCTGGAGAGGATGTGGAGAAATAGGAACACTTTTACACTGTTGGTGGGACTGTAAACTAGTTCAACCATTGTGGAAGTCAGTGTGGCGATTCCTCAGGGATCTAGAACTAGAAATACCATTTGATCCAGCCATCCCATTACTGGGTATATACCCAAAGGACTATAAATCATGCTGCTATAAAGACACATGCACACGTATGTTTATTGCGGCATTATTCACAATAGCAAAGACTTGGAACCAACCCAAATGTCCAACAATGATAGACTGGATTAAGAAAATGTGGCACATATACACCATGGAATACTATGCAGCCATAAAAAATGATGAGTTCATGTCCTTTGTAGGGACATGGATGAAACTGGAAATCATCATTCTCAGTAAACTATCACAAGAACAAAAAACCAAACACTGCATATTCTCACTCATAGGTGGGAATTGAACAATGAGATCACATGGACACAGGAAGGGGAACATCACACTCTGGGGACTGTTGTGGGGTGGGGGGAGGGGGGAGGGATAGCATTGGGAGATATACCTAATGCTAGATGACGAGTTAGTGGGTGCAGCGCACCAGCATGGCACATGTATACATATGTAACTAACCTGCACAATGTGCACATGTACCCTAAAACTTAAAAGTATAATAATAAAAGAAAAAAAAACTTAAAAAAAAATAAAAAAGAAAAAGCCAGCCTTGTCATATAATTAAATATAGCTTCTTACCCCTCTTAAAAAAAGAAAAAAAACTCACTGCATGGTAATTTTTCAAAGAATGTAAAAATTGTGAGTTAAGTTATGTAAATAAAGGGTGAGTCTCCTAACCAGGAGTTATTGAAATAAACTGAATAGCTCTCCATAGTTACCTCTGAGACTTGTTTTTTAAAAGACAAAGTATGACAGATACATGCAATTTCATATCTTAACATATTTCTTTAAGAAAAAAAGCGTGTTTTCTGCCTAATTTAAGATACTTATTGTGCTGTAATTGTGAAGTTTGCTTTTTATTTTTAAAGAAATATCTTATCACCTTTAAATTTAAAATCATTTGTTGATAATGGAAGTACTTATTCCTGTCTTTCAGTGTCAGCGTCCCCGATGGCATGATAAAAAAGTTAATTCATAGCACCTCAGCATTCATAATATAATAATTAGATTCAACATTTACACATATTTTTGAAAAATGCATTTATGCATAAAATTAACTTTGTTCAATTTTAATTATATGTTGCATTCTTTGTATACATAATTATTGAGGTATATTGTTCAGTTCCATAAATCAACACCTGAATACCATGACAACAATTCAAAGTATGATCAAAAGGGACAAATGAGGGTTCATATGATCCAGAGAAAGAGAACCTCCTCCGGGCTTCAAGAAGGTGGTCGTATATACCATGTATGGTGAATGACGTCCAGAGTTTCCAAGGATAAAGATAAACATGACCTGTTCCCACCCTAGTTCATTGTCACCTCTTTTACACCAAAAGGTCTGCAGGGTGTGGTCACTGTTTCTTTTGCGCCATTTTGGGGTGGAGAGGGTGGACGTGATGAAGCCAATAAGGACTTATACCTTCTTGTGTTGTGTTTTTTTGCCCTTGCACCCGAGTATGAAATAGCTTCCAGGAGCTCCCGCTATAAGCTTGAAAGAGCCTGTGTGATTGTGATCACATGGTGACAACACTCAGAATCTAAATTGGATTTCTGTTGTATTCTCACCACTCAATTTGTTTTTTAGCAGTTTAATGGGTACATTTTAGAGTCCTCCATTTTGTGTGCAATCAGATCCTCCCCTTCAAATGCTGTAATTAACGTCACTTAAAAATAACTTGAATAAAATATTGAAACCTCAAAAATTAAAAAAAAAAATAAGGAGATGAGGACAAAGATGTGACATACAGATCCCGGGGTGGGTTAGTGAGTTGAGAAATGTATTCAGTCCACAGAAAGTTAGTACTTTTGCCTGACCCATGTGATTTGAAAAATATATATATTGACCATACAAGAAAAGTTTAAATGAAGAATATAACTAAGACAGTATTTTCAACAGCTTTAAAGAATTAACTCAGATGATTTTACTCAGTCTTGTAGGTGATGGGGAGTCACGATGGTTGTTTTAACAGAAAAGAGACAATATATTATATGTAACTTCATTAGAAGGATATTTATTTTGCAATGTACTAAAAAATATCAAGGAAAGAAAGCCTAAATTTAAAGTAGCCCATTGAATCATGACTCTATTACAGTGACTCTCAAGCTTTAGTGTGTGGATCAGAATCACCTGAGACATTTGTCATAACACAGATTGCTTAGATCCCTTCTCCACAGTACGAGATTCAGTAGGTCTGGGATAAAAGCGTGACAATCTGCATTTCTGTAAGTTTCCAGGAGGTGCTGATACTGCTAGTCTGGGGGCCGCCACCTGGAGAACCACTCATCTAGTAGCTTCTAAGAGCTAGCATGTTTCTTTAGGATAATGTTGATCTAGAAATGACAGTAAATCCAAAAATGACTCAATTACACGAGTTTATTTTTCTTCCTTAAAAGTTCTGGAGGAACATTTCCATGGCCAGTGCAGTTGCTCAAGATTGTGACTAAAAATTGAGGCTTCATCTCCATTTCAGGTCTGTATGGCATGTGGCTTATGGTTCCTCATGGTTTCAGAATGTGTGCTGTAACTCTAGGTATTGCATCCTTGTACCAGACATTAACAAGGCAAATAAAGTGTTTTCTCCTAGACAGGCTTTTTGTTTTTATTTAGGAAGGACTGTCTTTGCCAGGGATTTCTACCTGTATCTCAATAACCAAAACCGTGCTACTGGATCTCCTCTCTCTAGCTCTAAAAGTGGTTGGATAGAAAGCAAAGAAAATTATCTGGCTGGCACATTATTTTCCCTGAACAAAAATCAGGATTCTGCTAATAAAGGAATGGAGTGGTCATGGGCATTAGGTAGGCAACTAGCAGCCTCTGCCTCACAGAGGCATAGAATGAGATTGCAGATGGGAGAGATGAAAGGAAGAATGTGCAGATCTTGAAAACTGATTTCTATCTTCCACATTCTTCCAACCTCAGCTTAAGTACATTTCCTCCAAAAAGACTTACTCAACCTACAACTCTCCAATTAAATTAAAGGCTCTTATCAGTAGCCCTATGGCAACTGGCATAATTAATTACCAGTTAATTCATTGAGGTACAGCATTCAGAACACCCAGGGAAGATGGGGCTCCCTCCTATGGAGAGCAGCAGATCTGGCCTTACGTAGACTGCTTTCTGAGTGGTGAACTGCTTTGGGAAATCCTCCTGATGAGAGTGTTGGAGCCTGAGAGAGAAGTGGTAGAGAGGCTCAAGGGCTGGGTACGAAGGAAAAGCATAAGATGGATGCTCTGCCCATGAGTAACTTTCATCCATTTATCTCAGAAGAAATATTGCATCCATCAATAAAGAATGTGCTGCTACATAAAAAGAGCAATCACAACATTTTTTTAAGATAAGAGATTTTGAATTAAAAATATGACATGGAAATAAACAATTCTGAGACTGAGAAATAAAGAAGAGTAGAGTTCAGAGCCATATTAATGAGCTAGAAAAAGCTAGATAAAGTTGAACAAGTTTTCTACATGAGAGAACTAAGAGGAAAAAAGATCAAAATAAAAGAGAAAAGCTTAAAACATGAAGAAAAAGATCGAAGAGGCCCAGAATTCAACTAATAAGAGTTAGAAAAGGTAGAGAACTGAAATAATGAGGGATAGAATATAATCAAAGAATAATAGAGTAAAATCCTTAGATGAAGAAAAATGTGGTATAAGCCCTCAGCCTGAAAGGACAATTTAAAGTATCAAGTAGAAAGAAATATATAATACACTCAGAATGGTAATGAAGAAGATGATTATGAAATATTTACTGGAAAGACAAAACACCACCAAACAAAATCGCAAACAAAAGAAAAAAACAAAAAAACATTCTACATCTCAAGGCTGAGTCCAATCCTCAGTGTTCTGAGGGGAAAAGATATTGAACTCAGAATTCTATAATTAGGCAAATTGATTATAGAATTTTATAACCAATCAAATTACCAATCAAGGTCAGAAAGTTATACTCTTTGGGTGGAAGTTAGAAGTGAAGGTGCTAACTACAGACTTTTTTAAAAGTTTTTCTCTGGGAAATTACATAGGAAGAGATGATAGGGTAAAAACAAGCTCGTATTTGATTGAATAAAAGATTTTTCACAGAAAGAGACATTGAAGACATGAGGTACAGCATGGTTCAGTGGAAAATCTGAATCTAGCTATAGATTTGGAGAAATGTGCATTGAAATCCTGACTCCACCACTTATTATTATTCAGGTGAATTTAAGGAAGATACCTTTTTATCCTCAGTTTACTAATCTGTGAAATGGAACTGATAGTGTATATTTAAGGATGCTGAGAGAAAAGCAAATCATGTATAAAAAATTCTAGTAACACACAGTCCCTGACCTTCAAATTATACTGGATATTTTATGATTTTCAAAATTAATGCAGAACTTATTACTATATTATCTCATTCTTGCCCAATGAGCATGTTTCTTTCCCAAACACGGACCTTCCTATTTAGACACAGCAGCTACTGAAGTCCACACCTGACCCAGAATAATCATCACCACTTATTCACCACGAAGCTGGCAGCATGTATGCCACCAAATATTAATGAGAAGAGAATCAGGCTTGTGGCTGTATCCAAGAGCACTTGGGATGGAAAATTAATCTTGGAGCATACATCAGAGTGAAGGGATCTTGCAGAGCAGAGTGTGGCGCTGACTACTTTGGGAAAACTCTGTACTTTCTACTTATCAGAGATGACAAATGAGCCTGGCATGAAATATGTCTGTCAGACTTTTAGCAACTTGACACTGAGCACCCAACTCTGAAATGTGATAATTATCGATCAATGTTGAACACAATCTGGAGTCCCAGAAACAGATTGTCATTTGCAGATTGCAGTCGACATAAGAAATTCATGGATATGAGTTTTTGGTGCATACACAAAACTCGCATATGTCCTTTGCTTAAAAGATGCATCCAGGGGCTTCAAATTCAGAGGTACAACTAAGAGGGCTTTCAGGCATTCAGAAGGAAGGACTCTGTGCCTTTTTTCCCCTTGAGGGAAAAAAAAAAAAAACTTCCACTACTCTTTAAAGGATGTTTATTTGTTTATTTACATGAACTACAGTGGGAAAATTAATTAAATTAAAACAACAATAATAGCAGCCATTCATTGAGCATTCACTGTATGTCAAATGCCCTATTAATCTACTTATCACATTTAATCCTCCCAGCAATTCTATGAGGTAGAAATTTCTATTTCCTTTTGGTAAAAGAGCAAACCAGCCAAGGACAGAATAAGGAACCGAGGAAGGAATAAGGACTCTGGCTACAGACGGTAGACTTGGGCCTGGATATGTCTGACTCACAGCTTGTGGTTCTAATCACTGCATTATATGACTTTATTAAGATATATTCTACAATAAAAAGCCATTTTCCCCATGGTAATAACCAAACACAAAATACAGAACATAGTGACTTCCCTGGCCCATAAACACTTAATTTTAGTAATATAAATAATCTAAAGTAATTTAAATCTGTTTCATCTTTTGAAGAGCTCTTTAATATGTTATTATATACCATTAAATGGGTACAAAATATATTATTCAGATCAAGGGATACAGCTTAAAATAAAAATGTATCTTGGAGACACTAGCTCTCAGATGGGACTTCATTTGGAAACATATTGGGAGTCTACTTGAAAGGCACTGCAATTCTGTAGCCGGTATAACCATTCTCGGAGTTAGAGTGATGTGTCGGTCCTTTTCCATTGATTGTTGTATCTAGTATTCACATCACAGCATTTCTTTTTTTATTATTATTATTTTGAGATGGTGTCTCGCTCTATCACCCAGGCTGGAGTGCAATGGCGCCATTTCAGCTCACTGTAGCCTCCACCTCCCGGGTTCAAGGGATTCTCCTGCCTCAGCCTCCTGAGTAGCTGGGATTACAGGCATGCACTACCACACCCAGCTAATTTTTGTATTTTTGGTAGAGGCAAGGTTTCACCATGTTGGTCAGGCTGGTCTCGAACTCCTGACCTCGTGATCCGCCCGCCTCGGCCTCCCAAAGTGCTGGGATTACAGGCGGGAGCCACCGCACCTGGCCACATCACAGCATTTCTAAGCAATAAAAATCCACAGCACCATTGTCCCCACTCCATTTGATCCACATTGGAATAATGTATGAAGCTTAAAGAATACTAATACCTGAATCCCACCTCTAGATATTCTGATTTGATTGGTCTGAAATGAGACACAGAAATTAGTACAGTTTCGAAGCTCTCCCAAGAGATTGCAACGTGCATCTTAGATTGACACTTACAGATATTAAATGAAATGAAAGGAATGAGGATAAAATGTAGAAAATGGGCAAAATAGAGGAAAATACCCTTGCTGCTTGCTCTCCTTCGAGTTTAGGATAAGATTTGTAAAATACTAACCACTTACTTTTCCCTAGCATTTTTCTTCATCTCTCCTGCCCTCCCAGCTCCAGTGTGCTTTTACAACTACAAATGGCCGCCCTTGTGTCTCTTTCTGAAAACTGCTCTTGCCTTCTGGAGCCACTTGGCCCTCTAAAGCAGAGAATGAGAAATGTTTTCTGTCTCTCCAGGGGCAGCCTTTAGCCAGTGACTGACTGGTGCAAGACTCTGGAAGCCCAGAGTCTTTGCCTGAGGCTGGGATGACTCTGAGGCATAGTCCGCAATCCCCAACCCCTTGCAAGATCAGGCTGAGGCCACCTCTGTGGGATTAGACCCCCTCCAGTTGCTATTCTGCTTTCCTCACTTCCTTACCGGTTTCTCCCGGGAACAGCTCCTCTAAGTGACTTTCTCATGGATCTTCATCTCAGGATCTGCTTCTAGGAAACTTGACCTGAGAGAAAACCACAGTTCTGTCTCATGCAAACCTTTTTCTTCAGTTAGTCCTATTTCCTCGTGCCACAACATTTCCCTTTCAGAGACAAAGCTCTTTGGGCCCTTTCAAACCTGCTCTGTAGCCATCACCCTGGTTTCTTCCCTCATCAATCCCTGCCTCACTCTTTAGGTTTCAGCAACAGCAGACTACAGTTCCTGAAGACAGTGCATATTTCACGTGTCCATGTTGCTCCTCATGCTGATTTCTCTGTCTGGAGTGCCCCCTCTTCCACCTGGAAAACTCCTATTTGAACTGTAAATCACAACCTTCTCAAGAAGTGTCTGAGTTCTCTAAATCATCAAACTCCCACCCCTCAAAAAAAATCACCCATTTCTACAGAATTTAATCCTTCCACCTCTATGCTCTGATCCTTCCACCTCTGTTCTCTGTAATCACTTTGTACATACGTAGCTCCACTTGGGTATCTAGTATAATTTATTTTAATTCATTTACCTGCCTTTGCTGTTGGACAGGAAATTCTCCCTCGACAAAATGTACTTGCTCTTATGGTCCTTGGTGCATAGCAAGTAATCAGTATCAAGTTCTACTGTTTTTCTCTTCAATAATGTTTTCCATCATCATCCAAACTGACCAAATCTTAATAATTAGCCTTAAGTACACTCCAGTGATATAAATATCTGTTGCTAAACATTCAAATATATGCAGATGTTTCTTTTCTCTGTAAATTTTAAAATTCTGGAATTCTTGTTATCTGTGACTCTCGTTTTGCCATTTCCTCATATGACTGTCCATTTCACCCCATAACAGTTTTGCGCAATTTGCTTGCATCTATTTTTAGTGCCCCCTCAAGATCGAGAACTGTCATCTTTGTTCCTTCTTGATTGCACTTAATAAGTATGCATTGAGGCCAGGCACAGTGGCTCACGCCTGTAATCCCAGCACTTTGGGAGGCCAAGGCAGGCAGATCACCTGAAGTTGGGAGTTGGAGACCAGCCTGACCAACATGGAGAAACCCTGTCTCTACTGAAAATACCAAACTAGCCAGGCCTGGTGGCGCATGCCTGTAATCCCAGCTACTTGGGAGGCTGAGGCAGGAGAATTGCTTGAACCCAGGAGGTGGAGGTTGCAGTGAGCTGATATCATGTCACTGCACTCCAGCCTGAGTGACAGAGCGAGACTCTATCTCAAAAAGAAATAAATAAATAAATAAAAAGTATGCATTGAGTTAGCAAATGAATAAAACAGATGAACAAATGCAAATTGTTTTCCTGATAATGTCAAAGTTCTTTGAATATTCACTTATTACTTCCAAGTTTTGTCCTCAATAGTGAATACTTTATTATAGACACTCAATAAATATTTGTTGAATTGAATTATTAAGTCTTTTAACAGTCAATTTCCACATGAGTTGATTCCATACTCCCTTATTTTATAGGAAGCGGAGTGTAAATTATGAGGATCTGTCTAGAAATTCAAAAAACTTCAGTGAAAAACTAAAGATTAGAGATCATGGCTTTTGATTCATGACCAAGAATTTACTCCAAAAAGTCATTCAGCCTCTTTAAATTATATATAGTCAGCTCCCCATTATACTGCATAATATTAACCTAATGTATTATTCATAAGAACCTTGATTTACTGTCCTTCATTGATTTCCAGCTGGTTATCATATTGCCAACATCAAGGCTAGCCCTGAAGAGCTTGCATACAGAAACGATATGAGGGTATCTGAGCTTATGTCCTCAAAACAAGTAATATATGGAACACCTACTATGTGCCAGGCATTGTGCTGGGGCTGGGTGGTTTATTTACATAAGCTCATTTCATTGCCAACAAGCTTTTGAGAAAAGATTCTATTATTAAAGTGTAGGTAATTAGATAACTAGATCCAATAGGAACAAGATAGTATTGATCTTGTCCACTACTCTATCTCTAGGCCTGGAGTATTGCATGTTGGATAGTAAGTGCTCAATAAATATGCACTCAATGAGTGAAATTAACAGAGGTTGTGAAGTTAGTAATGCAGAAGCTGGGATGTGAACCAAAGCTCCTTTCTTTTCCTCATATGTCTTCTATTATTTTGCACCCCAGGGTATGCTGATCCTTGGACCAGCGTAAACAGCATCCCCTGGGGAATTACTAGAAATAGAGGATCTTGGGCCCCACTCCAGAACTACCGAATCAAAATCTGCATTAAACAAGAATCCCAAATGATTCTTGTGCACACTGAAGTGCAAGAAGCACTGTTGGGGACTTGTTTTATAGTATACATCCAAATTCTGCAATAATTATTCTCGCTAGTATTGACATTTTTCTCTCATTCAATGAACGCGAAAATCAAGGACTAAATTGCTGACTATTAAAAAGTTTCATGATCAGCTGGGCATGGTGGCTCACGCCTGTCATCCCAGCACTCTGGGAGGCCGAGGCGGGTGGAACACAAGGTCAGGAGATCGAGACCATCCTGGCTAACACGGTAAAACCCCGTCTCTACTAAAAATACAAAAAAAAAAATTAGCCGGGCGTGGTGGTGGGCACCTGTAGTCCCAGCTGCTCGGGAGGCTGAGGCAGGAGAATGGCATGAACCCAGGAGGTGGAGTTTGCAGTGAGCCGAGATCATGCCACTGCACTTCAGCCTGGGTGACAGAGCAAGACTCCATCTCAAATAAATAAATAAATAAAAAGTTACATGATCAATATAACAGCTAGTGATGGGGTGCTCCCACTGTGCTAGACACTGTATCGGGAACCAGAAGTAAAAATACCAATAAGGACACTTTCTTCCCTTAAGGATCTCAGAAGTTAGTGCAAGAATTTGTAATTTGGAACCCATGGAATGGCTCCCCATATCACCTGCAACCAGCCTTGTCATTACATAAGCTGCATTTTGCATTGTGTGTGTGTTTGAATGTGAAAAAGTGCAGATTTTTCAGGTATAAAAATCCTTTTGCCAGGATTTAAAAATGTAACTGTAACTCGCTTTTTTAGTATCAGAAATAAAAACAGGAATGGGCCACTACTGTTGGCATAAATTAAAATCACTTAACATTTGGACTTGATTCTAGTATAACAAATATGTATAACATATATACATATGTATATATTATATATGCTTATAAATTTATATGTACAGATATATTATGTATTTTTATAAAACATGTAATATATGTTTATATGTATCTAAATATACATATATTTAGAATGATAATTACTAACTGTCATGGTAATGAAATAAGTTAGTAAAAGGGCTTTAAATAGTGCTTGGCATATACATAGCAGACTCTCAATAAGTATTAGATATTGCTGTTGTGTTATTATTCATAAGCACTAATAGCTAAACATATGCTCATGTATATAACATAATACATATTCATGCCTGATGTTTGTACTGTATATAAATATATCTGAACATTTACCTATATTACATATATACATACACATATATGTATATGCTATATATATCCATGCATATACACATACATGTACACACATGCATATATGCAGACACACAGACATACACACAAAAACAGTCTTAACCGAGCAATAAAAATCACTTCAATTTCTAATTTTGCTAAATTTTTGCACATTTCACGGTAGCCGGCTCACTGTTTCTTAAGTAGCTCTTACTTGTAGTTTTCAAACTTTCAGAATCCATCAAAAAAGTATCCTCAGGGTTAGGGTCCACATAACTATAATTTCCAACAGGCCCTGAGAATATGTAGTTTTAAAATGAACTCAGGTGATTGTCATATTCAGCTAAATTTGGAAACAATTGTTGTAGACTGACCCTTCTCAAATTTTAACATCCCTGCAAATTAGCTGGCAGCACTATTAAAATTCAGCTTCTGGTTCAGAAAGTCTGGGCTTTGCCCAGATTCCTAACAAGCTGATGCTGGTGTTGCTTATCTGTGCAACAAACTTTGAGTAGCAAGACCCTGTATCACTTGTTTTAACATAATTTTCAGTAAATTCTATGGCTCCAATTTTAGTGCGCTCTAAACCTAGAAACAACACACATCATCAGTTTGAGGATCAAATGCACTTTTTAGGACAGAAGTATTCTGGGCTCATTGGAGCAGTTGGATATTTTTTTGCTTCAGTCGGTACTTCCTATGAACCAAATGAAAACAAGTTATGCATTCCAGGCAGGAGGACTGTTCCATGTCTTTAATACCAATTTCCCTTTGTAGCCTGCCAGCATGGTTACTTCATAGAACACAAAACGATAATCTAAATGTTAACAAGTTGTCATTAAAGAATGATAGCCGTTTTCAAAGTACAAGTAATCCTGGACATCCTATAAAGGGGTGATGGAAGACATGATATTTTATTCATCCCAAGACTTCATTAGCAATTCTTCTTTAAGGCAGCTGGGACTCTAGCACCTTATCTGAAAAGCTTTGCCACAGACTGGTGTAGTAATTAGTTAAACCTAAAAACTGTGAGGATATCACGGCAACAGGTGAATTGGGTGTGAAGTAAAAAAGAACTTTTGAGTAGAATCGTGCAAAATTTATTTTACCAACTGCACACAGACATCACATTACTGCTGGAGGCATACTGACATAGGAAGCTACATGCTCATTGTACAGAGGTAAAAGAAGCAGGGTTCAGGAAAGAGATCTAGTTTGCAAAATGTGCTGTCAACATTTCCAATAATTACATAATAATTATTATTATAATAACAGAAAGAGCTACTGTATCAGTCCATTTTGATACTGCTATAAAGAACTACCTGAGACTTGGTAATTTACTAACAGTTCAGCATGGCTGGGGAGACCTCAGGAAACTTACAATTATGGCAGAAGGGGAAGGGGAAGCAAGACAGGTTATTCACAAGGCAGCAGGAAGAAGAAGTGCTGAGTGAAGCATGAAGTGCCCCTTATAAAACCATCAGATCTCATGAGAACTCACTCACTATCATGAGAACAGCATGGGGGAAACTGCCCCTGTGATTCAATTATCTCCACCTGGTCTCTCCCTTGACACATGGAGATTATGGGGATTACGGGGATACAATTCAGGATGAGATTTGGGCAGGCATGCAAAGCCTACCCATACCAGCAACAATCACCAGATTTGAAATAATCCATATGAATTTTAAAGTAGATTTTTCTAATTTTGTGAATAATGTCAGTGGCAGTTTAATGGTGATAGCATTGAATCTACAAATTACTTTGGGCAGTATGGCCATTTTCATGATATTGATTCTTCCTATCCATAAAAGCATGGAATGTTTTTTTTTCCATCTGCTTGTGTCCTTTCTGATTTTCTTGAGCAGTGGTTTGCAGTTCTCCTTGAGGAGGTCCTTCACTTTCCTTGTTAGCTGTATTCCTAGATATTTTATTCTATTTGTAGCATTGTGAATGGGAGTTCATTCATGATTTGGCTCTCTGCTTTTCTATTGTTGGTATATATTAATACTTGTGATTTTTGCACATTGATTTTGTATCCTGAGACTTTGCTGAAGTTGTTTATTGGCTTAAGAAGCTTTGGGCTGAGACAATGGGGTTTTCTAGATATAAGATCATGTCATCAGCAAATGGAGACAGTTTGACTTCCTCTCTTCCTATTTGAATACCTTTGTTTCTTTCTCTTACCTGATTGTCCCGGCCAGAACTTCCAATACTGTGTTGAATAGGAATGGTGAGAGAGGGCATCCTTGTCTTGTGCCAGTTTCCAAGGGGAATACTTCCAGCCCATTCAATATGATATTGGCTATGGATTTGTCATTAATGGCTCTTATTATTTTGAGATACCATCTCAGAATGGCAATTATTAAAAAGTCAAGAAACAACAGATGCCAGCAAGGCTGTGGAGAAATAGGAATACTTTTACACGGTTGGTAGGAATATAAATTAATTCAACCATGTGGCAGACATTGTGGTGAAACCTCAAAGACCTAAAACCAGAAATTCCATTTGACCCAGCAATCCCATTACTGGGTATACACCCAAAGGAATATAAATAAAGTATAAAGATACATGCACCTGTGTGTTCACTGCAGCACTATTCACAATAGCAAAGACATGGAATCAACCCAAATGCCCATCACTGATAGACTGGATAAAGAAAATGTGGTACACACACACACCACGGAATACTATGCAGCCATCAAAAGGAATGAGATAATGTCCTTTGCAGGGACATAGATGAAGCTGGAAGCCATTATCCTAACTAACACAGGAAAAGAAAACCAAACACTACATGTTCTTACTTATAAGTGGGAGCTGAACAATGAGAACACATGGACACAGGGAGGGGAACAACACACACTGGGGCTGGTCAGGGTGGTGGGGTAGGGAGAGCATCAGGATAAATAGCTAATGCATGTGGGACTTAATATCTAGGTGATGGTTTGATAGGTGCAGCAAACCACCACAGCACATGTTTACCTACGCAGCAAATCTGCAAGTCCTGAACATTTATCCTGGAACTTAAAATTAAATTAAAAGAAAAACAATAGACAAGGAAAAATAAAGAAATAATCCAACTATTTCCAAGTAATTTAACTTACTCTCAAAATGAAGCTCAAGAATATGTACAGAAGTGCAAAAATATGGACCATCCAACAAGGTAAAATTCACAATGTCTAGCATATAAGACAACCAGACATGCAAAAAATCGAAAAACCTGACCCATAATTAGAAGTAAATTTATCAGTTCTCCCTAAATCAACCTAGAGGTGATACCAATGTTTAGAATTAGTAGGCAAGATCATTAAAATTATTATACTAACTGTATTCATCTGAAAAATTATGCATGTGAAAGATTTTATGAAGATCCAGGCTAAATTTATAAAGACAAAAACTACAATATTTGAGATGAAAAAAGACAATGCATTAGGTTAGGAGTTTAGGCACTGCAGAAGAAAAAATAATGAATTTGGAGACCTATAAATAGAAATTTACCTGAAATAAAATACAGAAAGAAAGATTTGTTTAAAAAAAAAACTTAAAGTACACTAGAGAGCTATGGAACAATGTAGAGAAAGGGGAAAAATAAGTACTTGAAAATCTAATGGCTAAAAATTACACAAATCTGATGAAAACAAGAAACCCCCAGATCAAAGCATCTCAATGAATCCCAACCACAAGAAACATGAGAAAATTACCCAAGAGAATATCATAATTAAATATCTGAAAACTGATGATAAAGAAAAAAATTTCTAAGTAGCCAGAGAGAAAAATAAATATTTGATACAGAGAAGCAAAGGTAATGTTGATAGCAGGTTTCTCATCAGGAACAAGGCAGGAAAGAAGACTGTGGAGCCACATCTTTAAAGCAATAGGGCAGAGGAGGACACTTAAACTTAAATTCTATATTGAGGAAAATAAATATCTTTCATAAAAAAGGTGGAATAAAAACATTTTCAGACATACAAGAGCTGAGTTTTCAGACATGCACTACAAAGGATAAAAGTTTTTCAGACAGAAAAAAAATTATGCCAGGTAGAAGCAAAAAAAAAATGAAGAACACTAGAGATGGTAACTATATAGGTAAATATATCAGATTCTTATCATTTATTTTTATTTTTATTTTTTTAGATGGAGTCTCACTCTGTCACCCAGGCTGGAGTGCAGTGGCATGATCTCAGCTCACTGCAACCTCCGCCTCCTGGGTTCAAGCGATTCTCCTGTCTCAGCCTCCTGAGTAGCTGGGATTATGGGCACCTGCCACCACAACCGGCTAATTTTTGTATTTTTAGTAGAGACGAAGTTTCACCATGTTGGTCAGGCTGGTCCCGAACTCCTGACCTCAGGCGATCCACCCGCCTCAGCCTCCCAAAATGCTGGGGTTACAAACATGAGCCACCATGCCCAGCCTCATTTAAATTTATTTAAACAATAATTAACTGTTTAAACAAAAATAATACCAATATATTATGGTATATATAAAGCATATGTAAGTAAAATGTATACAATTACTTTAAGGAAAGGAGAACAAAAATGAAAGTATATTATTATACAGCTTCTACACATGATGTAGTATACTATCATTTGAAGATAGATTGTGTAAGTTAAAATTAAATAAGATGTATTCTAAAGCAATGACCAAATAAACCAAAAGTTATAATTAACAATCTAACATGATATATGAAACAGAATAAAATCTTCAAAAATTTCTTATAAAAAGTAATCCGTGGATTTTAAAAGGTTATAGAATGGACCAATATACAAAAATCAATGGTATTCTGCTACAAAAGCCTATTGTATTTCTACATACTGGCAATGAACAATCAGAAATTGATACCTTAAAATAACATTTGCAATACCCTAATATATACATTACTTAGGGAATAAGTCTAACAAAAAAATGGGTAAAGCCTGTACACTGAAAACTACAAAACATTGCTGAGATAATTTTTAAAAGACAGAGTAAACCACATGTAGGCACATTATAATCCAGTTGCTGTAAACCAAAGCTATAGAGAATATTTTAAAGCCAGCAAGAGAAAACACACATTGCATGTAGAGAAACAATGATAAAAAACGTGATCAACTTTTCAGTAGAAACCAATGAGAGACAGAGAAAATGAAAAGACGTGTTTAATGTTCTGAAATAAAAAAGACGGATAAGAAATCATCCAAGGTTTATAAACCTTCCAAAAGTATACTTCAAAAAATAGGTATGAAGCAAAGGGTTTTTAGGTAGGAAAGCAATGGAATCCATCCTCAGCGCATTTGCACTACAAGAATGCCAAAGGAAATTCTTCAGACTAAAGGAAAGTGAAACCAAATAAAAAGTTGAATCTGGAGGAAAGGGGGAAAAAAAACCTGTTGAAAAAGATAAATCAGTTAGTAAATATAAAATGTTTTTGTTCTTCTTGTAATTTCATTAAAGACAATTACCTATTTATAGCAAGAAAAAATAACATCATTATAAGATAGGCCTTATAAGTAGAAGATATGGTAATAATAGCACAAAGAAAGGGGTGATGGGTAAACGGAATTGTGTTGCTGTAATGTTATTACAGAGGTAAGCACTAAGCATCAAGTGTGCAGGATGAAGTGTTATAATACCGATGTTAAGTTGACTTGTATAAGAATGCATAGTCTTAGTCCTAGAACAGGCAATAAAAAATAAATAAAAATAAAATAAGGTAGAGGGAAAAAGTTAATTAAAAAAAAATATAGGATGGGGAGGGCCAAGAAGCAGCCAGTGTGCACTGCTGTCACGGAGAGGGGAAAGAGTAGCTGATAAACATTAGCTCTTCAACTGGACCATCCAGATGGACACATTGGAATTCATCAAGGAAACAACTCAGCTCACGGAGGACCAGGAAAGGACGAGCACGCACCCGTGGGGAGAGGCACGGAGACAGGGGAGGTCCCCCCACTGTGGGAAATGGTGAGTGATTGAGTCCCGGAGACCCACACTTCTGCTATGGACCTTTGGAACTCTGAGCTCAGGAGATCCCCTGTGAATGCCCCCACGGGGCTGCCAAACTGACGTGGAGAGCCATATGGAGTCTCGGCAGAGCTGCCACTCAGGCACACATGAAGTGCTAAGGGCCTTGGATCCCCAGGCATCGTGGCATTCGCAGCTGCAACCCTGGCAACAGGGAAAGTCAGGGTCCCTCGCATACCCCCAGAAAAGCGGCCAAATCCACAGGGCTGAGCAGCCATGGACTGTACTTCGCAGGATAAGGCCCACTGGTCTGGGACCCTAGCATGGCCACACCAGCCCTGCCTGGGCTGTTGGGCCTGTAGGACTCTGCACTTCCCTAGGATGGAGCTCCCAGAGGGAGAGGTAGGCTGCTAGTTTTGCTGCCCTGCAGCCCTCACTACTGTTGCCCTCAACATGGTGCATGGTGGTGAGAGACTGGTGTAGACCCTCAGCACAGCACAGCTGCCCCGCAGAAAAGCAGCCAGACTATTTTCCACATGGGTCTCCATTCCTACTTCTCCTCACCGGACAAGGCCTCTCCACCTGGGATTCCAGCACAACTATCCTTTCCCCGTGTGAACACTTCCATAGGAGGTGGCTCTGCATTTCTTTGAGGAGGAAATCCCAGAGACAACCTACTGCCCCTCTGCCATTGCAGCTGCAGTGGTACCACTCTAAGCACCTTTGGGCTGAGGAAGGAACAAAAGGCATGATCGCTACTATGGCACCTCCAGCACACCACAGCCATCATGCAGAGAGGAGCATAGTCTCTCCTCCCTGTGAGCTCCTACCCCTCACTCTCTACCAGGCAGGACCCGTAGCACAGGACGGCAGATCAGCTGTACCACTCCCGGCTGAGCACACCCAGTGGTGGTGGCTCTGTGTTCCCCCTGGGAGGGGCTCCCAGAGGCAACGGACAGCTCCTCTGCTACTGCCACAGCAGCACTTCTGCCTCTGCAGCCCTTGGTCTGGGGAAGAAACAAAGAGCCTAAGGGCTTCACTCAAGCTTCCAGCACACCATAGTCACCGTAAGGAGAGGAGACCAGTCTCTCCTTCCCATGGGCACTTAAATCCCTA
This sequence comes from Homo sapiens, assembly GCF_000001405.40. Classification (NCBI taxonomy): domain Eukaryota; kingdom Metazoa; phylum Chordata; class Mammalia; order Primates; family Hominidae; genus Homo; species Homo sapiens. The sequence continues at coordinate 54,794,089 of NC_000020.11, read as the reverse complement.
CTGTTGACCAAGCAGAGCCCCCAGTTTGGGCCAGCAGCACAGCCAGCCCACCCTCCGGCTGAACATTCCCAGTAGCAGAGGCTCCACATTTCTCTGAGGTGGAGCTCCCAGACACCCTCTGCCACTGCCTCTGCAGTGGTGCCGCCTTGGCTGCCCTCAGACTGGGAAAGGAGCAAAGATCCTGAGTGCTTTAACCATACCTCCAGCAAGCTGCTATTGCCCTAAGGAGAAAAGGCCAGTCTGTCTCCCCTATAAGCCTCCTACCCCACCTGCTTGTCACCCGGCAGGGCCCCCCTGGGCCCACAGTGCAGCCACCCCACCCCGGGCCAGTCACACTGATTGACAGCGACTCTGCAGCTCTCTGAGGTAGAGCCCCAAGAGACATGTAAAAGGCCCTCCGCCACAATCAGTGCCGAGGTCCCTTACCATGCTGTCTCTGAGTTGAGGAGAGAACATAAAGCCTGAGCTCACCTCAGAGCCACAGTAGGCAGCCTAGGAGTGCCAAGCTGAGATCTGCAGCCAGCACATGAGTGGGAAAGGAGCCCATACTTTCAGAGCACTGCAAGAGAGCACAGCTATAACTGTGAGGAAATACAGAGAAGCCATGTGGTTGAGCAATTGGTCCCTACCTAGGGACCAATATGCTTTAAGAGCCATCTACTGAATCATAGCCCCACCTCCAACATTAAAAATATTTTGCTGACGTAACCCCCCTGTGAAGCCAAGGGTAAGAATTCAGCTACAATTAAAGGCCCCGCGAAGCCCTGGCCCTCTAAAAACATCCAGAAAGGAAGTCTACTGGCTATACTCAAATTACACTGCAGTTAAAGGAACACCAGCCCACACAGATAAGAAAGAATCGGCACAAGAACTCTGGCAACCCAAAAAGCCAGAGTATCTTCTTTCATCCAAATGACCATGCTAGTTTATCATCAAGGGTCCTTAAGCAAGCTGAAATGGCTGAAATGACAGAAATAGAATTTAGAGTAGTGACACGAAAGCAGGTCATTGAGATTCAGGAAAAATTGGAAACCCAATCCAAGGAATCTAAGGATTATAATAAAACAATCCCAGAGACAAGAGATAAAATGTTCATTTTAAGAAAGAACCAAAGCAATCTGACACAGATGAAAAACACATGACAAGAATTTCATAATGCAAGCACGAGTACTAACAGCAGAATAGATCAAGCTGAAGAAAGAATCTCAGAGCTCAAACACGGGCTCTCTGAACCATCTCAGTCAGACAAAAATAAAAAAAAAATGAAAAAGAATGAACAAAACCACTGAGAAATATGGGATTATGTAAAGAGACCAAATCTATGACTCACCAGTATCCCTGAAAGAGATGCAGATAAGGCAGCAACTTGGAAAATGTATTTCTGAATATCATCCATGTAAACTTCCCCAACCTTACCAGAGAGGTCAATGTTTAAACTCAGGAAATGAAGATAACCCTTGTGACATACAACTTAACAAGACCATCCCCCAAACACATAATTGATCAGATTCTCCAAGGTTGAAATTAAAGAAGAAAATGTTAACGGCAGCTAGAGAGAATGGGCACAACTCAAAGGTAACCCCATCAGGCTAACAGTGAATTTGAATTCTTCAGCAGAAACTCTACAAGCTGGAAGAGATTAGGGGGATATATTTATAATTCTTAACAGAATTTCCAGCCAAGAATTTCATATCCAGCCAAATTAAGCTTCATAAGTGAAGAAGAAATAAGATTCTCTTCAGACAAGCGAATGCTGAGGGAATTTATTACTACCAGACCTGCCTTACAAGAAGTCCTGAAAGGAGGACTAAATATGGACAGGAAAGACCATAACCAGCCACTACAAAAACACACTTAAGTACATACACCATTGATTCCATAAAGCAACCACACAAACAAGTCTGCATAATAACCAGCTAACAATATGATGACAGGATCAAATCTACACATAATCAATATTAACCTTGGATGTAAATGAGCTAAATGCCCCAATTAAAAGGCACAGAGTGACAGCTGGATAAAGAGGCAAGACCCAGCAATGGTAAGCTGTCTTCAAGAGACACATCTTACATGCAATGACACAAATATGCTAAAAGTAAAATTATGGAGAAAATTCTACCAAGAAAATTGAAAACAGAAAAAAGCAGGAGTTTCTGTGTTAATTTCAGAAGAAGCAGACATTAAAACAACAAAGATCAAAAAAGACAAAGAAGGGCACTACATAATGATAAACGGTTTAATTCAACAAGAAGATCTAACTATCCTTAATATATATGCACCCAACACTAGAGCATACAGATTCATAACACAAATTCTTAGAGACCTACAAAGAGACTTTGATAATCACACAATAAAAATGGGAGACTTCAACATCCCACTGAGAGTATTAGATTATCAAGGCAGAAAATTAACAAATATATATTCAGGACCTGAATTCAACACTTGACCAAATGGACTTAATAGACATCTACAGATCCCTCTACCCAAAAATGACAGAATATAAATTCTTCTTATCACTACATGACACATACTCTAAAACCAAACACACAATTGGATATAAAACAATCATCAGCAAATTCAAAAAACCCATAATTATACCAACCAACCGCACTCTAAAAGCACAGGACAATGAAAACAGAAATCAATACTAAGAAAATTGCTCAAAACCATGTAATTACATGGAAATTTAACAATCTGGTCTTTAAAAACTTTTTGGGTAAAGAATGAAATTGAGGAAGAAATAAAAAATTCTTTGAAATTAATGAGAGTAAAAATGAAAAATATCACAGTCTCTGGGACACTGCTAAAGCAGTGTTAAGAGAGAAGTTTATAGTGCTAAATGCCCACATCAAAAAGTTCAAAATAACTCAAATTGACAACTTAACATCCCATCTAGAGGAACTAGAAAAACAAGAGCAAACCAACCCTAAAAGCTAGCGAAAGGCAAGAAATAACCAAAATTAGAGCTGAATTTAAGGAAACTGAGACATAATAAACCATACAAAAGATTAACAAATTGAGGATTGGTTCTGTGAAAAAAACTGATAAGCTAGATAGTCCGCTAGCTCAATTAATAAAGAAAACAAAAGAGAGAAGATTCAAATCAACATAATTAGAAATGAAATTAGAAATGACAAAACCACCGACCCCACAGAAATACAAGTAACTATCAGAGACTACGATGAACACCTCTATGCGCACAAACTAGAAAATTTAGAACAAATGGATAAATTCCTGGACACACACAACCTCCCAAGACTGAACCAGGAAAAAATTGAATTTCAGAACAGATCAATAACCAGTTTCAAAATTGAATCAGTAATAAAAATCCTACCAACAAGAAAAAGCCCAGGAAGATAGATTCACAGCCAAATTCTACTAGATATGCAAAGAAAAGCTGGTACCATTCCTACTGAAAATATTCCAAGTAATTGAGGAGAAGGGACTCTTCCATAACTCATTCTAGGAGGCTAGCATTATCGTGATAGTAAAACCTGGCAGAGACACAGCAAAAAAAGAAAACTTCAGTCCAATATTCTTTATGAACATGTATGCAAAACTCCTCAACAAAATACTAACAAACCAAAAAGCTAATCCATCACGATCAAGTAGACTTTATTGCTGGGATGCAAGTTCAACATATGTAAATCAATAAATGTGATTTAGCAAATAAACAGAACTAAAAACAAAAACCACATGATTATCTCAATAGCTGCAGAAAAGGCTTTCAATAAAATTAACATCCCTTCGTATTTAAACACCCTCAACAAACTAGGCATTGAAGAAACATACCTGAAAATAAGAGCCATCTATGACAAACCCACAGTCATCATCATAACGAACGGGCAAAAGCTAGAAGCACTTCTCTTGAAAACTAGAACAAGACAAGGATGTCCTCTCTCACCACTCCTATTCAACACAATATTGGATGTCCTAGCCAGAGCAATCAGTCAAGAGAAAGAAATAAACGGCATCCAAATAGGAGAAGAGGAGGTCAAACTATCCCTGTTTGCAAACAGTATGTTTCTATAGCTAGAAAACCCCACGGCCTCTGCATAAAATCTCCTTGATCTGATAAACAACTTCAACAAAGTTTCAGGATACAAAATAAATGGACAAAAATTAGTGGGTTTTTTTTATTATTTTTTAATTTTTTTATAGAGATGAGGTCCCGCTATGTTGCCCAGGCTGGTTTCGAACTCCTGGGCTCAAAGGATCTGCCTGCCTTGGCCTCCCAAAGTGCTGGGATGACAGGCTTAAGCCAACATACCCAGCCAAATCAGTGGTATTTCTATTCACTAACAATATCCAACCTGAGAGCCAAATCAAGAATGGAATTCCATTCACAATAGCCACACACACACAAAAATAAAATACCTAGGAATACAGATAACTAGGAAAGTGAAAGATCTCTATGATGAGAATTACAAAACAATGCTCAAAAAAAATCAGAGATGACACGAACAAATGAAAAAAAATTCCATGCTCATGGATAGGAAGAATTAATATTATAAAAATGGCCATACTGCCCCAAAGCAATTTATAGATTCAATGCTATTCCTATCAAATTATTAATGACATTCTTCACAGAATTGAAATAAAACTATTTTAAAATGCATATGGAACCAAAAAGAGCCCAAATAACCAAGGCAATCCTAAGTAAAAAGAACGAAGCCAGAAGCATCATATTACCTGACTCCAAACTATACTACAAGTCTACAGTATCCAAAACGACATGATACTGGTACAAAAACAGACCCAAAGAACAATGGAACAGAATACAGAGCCCAGAAATAATGGTGCACACCTTCAACCATCTGATCTTCAATAGCATCAACAAAAACAACCAATGAAGAAAATACTTCCTATTCAATAAATTGTGCCAAAGTAACTGGTTAGGCATATGCAAAAGATTGAAACTCGACCCCTTCCTTACACCAAATACTAAAATCCACTCGACCGATTAGATAAATGTGCAACCTAAAAGTATAAAAACCATAGAAGATAAGCTTAAAAATACCATTCTGAACATAGCAACTGGCAAAGATTTCATGATGAAGATGCCAAAAGCAATTGCAATAAAAACAAGAAGTGGGCCGGGCGCGGTGGCTCACGCCTGTAATCCCAGCACTTTGGGAGGCCCAGGCGGGCAGATCACGAGGTCAGGAGATCGAGACCATCATGGCTAACACGGTGAAACCCCATCTCTACTAAAAGAAAATACAAAAAATTAGCCCCGCCTGGTGGCGGTCGCCTGTAGTCCCAGCTACTCGTGAGGCTGAGGCAGGAGAATGGCGTGAACCCGGAAGGCGGAGCTTGCAGTGAGCCGAGATCCTGCCACTACACTCCAGCCTGGGCGACAGAGTGAGACTGTCTCAAAAACAAACAAAAAAAAGTGACAAATGGGACCTGATTAAACGAAAGACCTTCTGCACAGCAAAAGAAACTATCCACAGAATAAACAGACAAACTACAAAATGGGAGAAAATATTTGCAAACAATGCATCTGACAAAGGTCTAATATCCAGCATCTATAAGGAACTTAAATCTACAAGCAAAAACAACCCCATTAAAAAGTGGGCAAAGGACATAAACAGACACTTTTTAAAAGACAACATACACGCAGCCAACGAGCATATGAAAAACTACTCAACGTCACTAATCATTAGAGAAATGCAAATCAAAACCACAATGAGATACTATTATTGTGATGTTATTAATTGAGCTAGCGGAACAATATTGTGATGTTCCCTTTCCTGTGTCCATGTGTTCTCATTGTTCAATTCCCACCTATGAGTGAGAATATGCAGTGTTTGGTTTTTTGTTCTTGCGATAGTTTACTGAGAATGATGATTTCCAATTTCATCCATGTCCCTACAAAGGACATGAACTCATCATTTTTTATGGCTGCATAGTATTCCATGGTGTATATGTGCCACATTTTCTTAATTCAGTCTATCATTGTTGGACATTTGGGTTGGTTCCAAGTCTTTGCTATTGTGAATAATGCCGCAATAAACATACGTGTGCATGTGTCTTTATAGCAGCATGATTTATAGTCCTTTGGGTATATACCCAGTAATGGGATGGCTGGGTCAAATGGTATTTCTAGTTCTAGATCCCTGAGGAATGGCCACACTGACTTCCACAATGGTTGAACTAGTTTACAGTCCCACCAACAGTGTAAAAGTGTTCCTATTTCTCCACATCCTCTCCAGCACCTGTTGTTTCCTGACTTTTTAATAATTGCCATTCTAACTGGTGTGAGATGGTATCTCATTTGTGGTTTTGATTTGCATTTCTCTGATGGCCAGTGATGGTGAGCATTTTTTCCGTGTTTTTTGGCTGCATAAATGTCTTCTTTTGAGAAGTGTCTGTTCATGTCCTTCGCCCACTTTTTGATGGGGCTGTTTTTTTCTTGTAAATTTGTTTGAGTTCATTGTAGATTCTGGATATTAGCCCTTTGTCAGATGAGTAGGTTGCAAAAATTTTCTCCCATTTTGTAGGTTGCCTGTTCACTCTGATGGTAGTTCTTTTGCTGTGCAGAAGCTCTTGAGTTTAATTAGATCCATTTGTCAATTTTGGCTTTTGTTGCCATTGCTTTTGGTGTTTTAGACATGAAGTCCTTGCCCATGCCTATGTCCTGAATGGTAATGCCTAGGTTTTCTTCTAGGGTTTTTATGGTTTTAGGTCTAACGTTTAAGTCTTTAATCCATCTTAAATTGATTTTTATATAAGGTGTAAGGAAGGGATCCAGTTTCAGCTTTCTACATATGGCTAGCCAGTTTTCCCAGCACCATTTATTAAATAGGGAATCCTTTCCCCATTGCTTGTTTTTCTCAGGTTTGACAAAGATCAGATAGTTGTAGATATGCGGTGTTATTTCTGAGGGCTCTGTTCTGTTCCATTGATCTATATCTCTGCTTTGGTACCAGTACCATGCTGTTTTGGTTACTGTAGCCTTGTAGTATAGTTTGAAGTCAGATAGTGTGATGCCTCCAGCTTTGTTCTTTTGGCTTAGGATTGACTTGGCGATGCGGGCTCTTTTTTGGTTCCATATGAACTTTAAAGTAGTTTTTTCCTATTCTGTGAAGAAAGTCATTGGTAGCTTGATGGGGATGGCATTGAATCTGTAAATCACCTTGGGCAGTATGGCCATTTTCACAATATTGATTCTTCCTATCCATGAGCATGGAATGTTCTTCCATTTGTTTGTATCCTCTTTTATTTCCTTGAGCAGTGGTTTGTAGTTCTCCTTGAAGAGGTCCTTCACATCCCTTGTAAGTTGGATTCCTAGGTATTTTATTCTCTTTGAAGCAATTGTGAATGGGAGTTCACTCATGCTTTGGCTCTCTGTTTGTCTGCTGTTGGTGTATAAGAATGCTTGTGATTTTTGTACATTGATTTTGTATCCTGAGACTTTGCTGAAGTTGCTTATCAGCTTAAGGAGATTTTGGGCTGAGACAATGGGGTTTTCTAGATATACAATCATGTCGTCTGCTAACAGGGACAATTTGACTTCCTCTTTGCCTAATTGAATACCCTTTATTTCCTTCTCCTGCCTAATTGCCCTGGCCAGAACTTCCAACACTATGTTGAATAGGAGTGGTGAGAGAGGGCATCCCTGTCTTGTGCCAGTTTTCAAAGGGAATGCTTCCAGTTTTTGCCCATTCAGTATGATATTGGCTGTGGGTCTGTCATAGATAGCTCTTATTATTTTGAAATATGTCCCATCAATACCTAATTTATTGAGAGTTTTTAGCATGAAGGGCTGTTGAATTTTGTCAAAGGCCTTTTCTGCATCTATTGAGATAATCATGCGGTTTTTGTCTTTGGTTCTGTTTATATGCTGGATTACATTTATTGATTTGCATATATTGAACCAGCCTTGCATCCCAGGGATGAAGCCCACTTGATCATGGTGGATAAGTTTTTGATGCGCTGCTGGATTCGGTTTGCCAGTATTTTATTGAGGATTTTTGCATCAATGTTCATCAAGGATATTGGTCTAAAATTCTCTTTTTTGGTTGTGTCTCTGCCCGGCTTTGGTATCAGGATGATGGTGGCCTCATAAAATGAGTTAAGGAGGATTCCCTCTTTTTCTATTGATTGGAATAGTTTCAGAAGGAATGGTACCAGTTCCTCCTTGTACCTCTGGTAGAATTCAGCTGTGAATCCATCTGGTCCTGGACTCTTTCTGGTTGGTAAGCTATTGATTATTGCCACAATTTCAGATCCTGTTATTGGTCTATTCAGAGATTCAACTTCTTCGTGGTTTAGTCTTGGTAGGGTGTATGTGTTGAGGAATTTATCCATTTCTTCTAGATTTTCTAGTTTATTTGCGTAGAGGTGTTTGTAGTATTCTCTGATGGTAGTTTGTATTTCTGTGGGATGGGTGGTGATATCCCCTTTATCATTTTTTATTGCGTCTATTTGATTCTTCTCTCCTTTTTTATTAGTCTTGCTAGTGGTCTATCAATTTTGTTGATCCTTTCAAAAAAACCAGCTCCTGGATTCATTAATTTTTTGAAGGGTTTTTTGTGTCTCTGTTTCCTTCAGTTCTGCTCTGATTTTAGTTATTTCTTGCCTTCTGCTAGCTTTTGAATGTGTTTGCTCTTGCTTTTCTAGTTCTTTTAATTGTGATGTTAGGGTGTCAATTTTGGATCTTTCCTGCTTTCTCTTGTGGGCATTTAGTGCTATAAATTTCCCTCTACACACTGCTTTGAATGCGTCCCAGAGATTCTGGTATGTTGTGTCTTTGTTCTCATTGGTTTCAAAGAACATCTTTATTTCTGCCTTCATTTCGTTATGTACCCAGTAGTCATTCAGGAGCAGGTTGTTCAGTTTCCATGTAGTTGAGCAGTTTTGAGTGAGATTCTTAATCCTGAGTTCTAGTTTGATTGCACTGTGGTCTGAGAGATAGTGTGTTATAATTTCTGTCCTTTTACATTTGCTGAGGAGAGCTTTACTTCCAAGTATGTGGTCAATTTTGGAATAGGTGTGGTGTGGTGCTGAAAAAAATGTATATTCTGTTGATTTGGGGTGGAGAGTTCTGTAGATGTCTATTAGGTCTGCTTGGTGCAGAGCTGAGTTCAATTCCTGGGTATCCTTGTTGACTTTCTGTCAGGTTGATCTGTCTAATGTTGATAGTGGGGTGTTAAAGTCTCCCATTATTAATGTGTGGGAGTCTAAGTCTCTTTGTAGGTCACTCAGGACTTGCTTTATGAATCTGGGTGCTCCTGTATTGGGTGCATATATATTTAGGATAGTTAGCTCTTCTTGTTGAATTGATCACTTTACCATTATGTAATGGCCTTCTTTGTCTCTTTTGATCTTTGTTGGTTTAAAGTCTGTTTTATCAGAGACTAGGATTGCAACCCCTGCCTTTTTTTGTTTTCCATTTGCTTGGTAGATCTTCCTCCATCCTTTTATTTTGATCCTATGTGTGTCTCTGCACATGAGATGGGTTTCCTGAATACAGCACACTGATGGGTCTTGACTCTTTATCCAATTTGCCAGTCTGTGTCTTTTAATTGGAGCATTTAGTCCATTTACATTTAAAGTTGATATTGTTATGTGTGAATTTGATCCTGTCATTATGATGTTAGCTGGTTATTTTGCTCGTTAGTTGATGCAGTTTCTTCCTAGCCTCGATGGTCTTTACATTTTGGCATGATTTTGCAGCGGCTGGTACCAGTTGTTCCTTTCCATGTTTAGTGCTTCCTTCAGGAGCTCTTTTAGAGCAGGCCTGGTGGTGACGAAATCTCTCAGCATTTGCTTGTCTGTAAAGTATTCTATTTCTCCTTCACTTATGAAGCTTAGTTTGACTGGACATGAAATTCTGGGTTGAAAATTCTTTTCTTTAAGAATGTTGAATATTGGCCCCCACTCTCTTCTGGCTTGTAGAGTTTCTGCTGAGAGATCTGCTGTTAGTCTCATGGGCTTCCCTTTGAGGGTAGCCTGACCTTTCTCTCTGGCTGACCTTAACATTTTTTCCTCATTTCAACCTTGGTGAATCTGACAATTATGTGTCTTGGAGTTGCTCTTCTCGAGGAGTATCTTTGTGGTGTTCTCTGTATTTCCTGAATCTGAATGTTGGCCTGCCTTGCTAGATTGGGGAAGTTCTCCTGGATAATATCCTGCAGAGTGTTTTCCAACTTGGTTCCATTCTCCCCATCACTTTCAGGTACACCAATCAGATGTAGATTTGGTCTTTTCACATAGTCCCATATTTCTTGGAGGCTTTGCTCATTTCTTTTTATTCTTTTTTCTCTAAACTTCCCTTCTTGCTTCATTTCATTCATTTCATCTTCCATCGCTGATACCCTTTCTTCCAGTTGATCGCATTGGCTCCTGAGGCTTCTGCATTCTTCACATATTTCTCGAGCCTTGGTTTTCAGCTCCATCAGCTCCTTTAAGCACTTCTCTGTATTGGTTATTCTAGTTATACATTCATCTAAATTTTTTTCAAAGTTTTCAACTTCTTTGCCTTTGGTTTGAATTTCCTCCTGTAACCCATAGTTTGATCGTCTGAAGCCTTCTTCTCTCAACTCGTCAAAGTCATTCTCCGTCCAGCTTTGTTCCATTGCTGGTGAGGAACTGTGTTCCTTTGGAGGAGGAGAAGTGCTCTGCTTTTTAGAGTTTCCAGTTTTTCTGCTGTTTTTTCCCCATCTTTGTGGTTTTATCTACTTTTGGTCTTTGATGATGGTGATGTACAGATGGGTTTTTGGTGTGGATGTCCTTTCTGTTTGTTAGTTTTCCTTCTAACAGACAGGACCCTCAGCTGCAGGTCTGTTGGAGTACCCGGCCGTGTGAGGTGTCAGTCTGCCCCTGCTGGGGGGTGCCTCCCAGTTAGGCTGCTCGGGGGTCAGGGGTCAGGGACCCACTTGAGGAAGCAGTCTGCCCGTTCTCAGATCTCCAGCTGCGTGCTGGGAGAACCACTGCTCTCTTCAAAGCTGTCAGACAGGGACATTTAAGTCTGCAGAGGTTACTGCTGTCTTTTTATTTGTCTGTGCCCTGCCCCCAGAGGTGGAGCCTACAGAGGCAGGCAGGCCTCCTTGAGCTGTGGTGGGCTCCACCCAGTTGGAGCTTCCTGGCTGCTTTGTTTACCCAAGCAAGCCTGGGCAATGGCAGGCGCCCCTCCCCCAGCCTCACTGCTGCCTTGCAGTTTGATCTCAGACTGCTGTGCTAGCAATCAGCGAGACTCCGTGGGCATAGGACCCTCCGAGCCAGGTGCAGGATATAATCTCCTGGTGCGTCATTTTTTAAGCCCATCGGAAAAGCGCAGTATTGGGGTGGGAGTGACCCGATTTTCCAGGTGCCGTCTGTCACCCCTTTCTTTGACTAGGAAAGGGAACTCCCTGACCCCTTGCACTTCCCGAGTGAGGCAATGCCTTGCCCTGCTTCAGCTGGCACACGGTGAACTGCATCCACTGTCCTGTGCCCACTGTCTGGCACTCCCTAGTGAGATGAACCCGGTACCTCAGATGGAAATGCAGAAATCACCCGTCTTCTGCACCGCTCACACTGGGAGCTGCAGACCGGAGCTGTTCCTATTCGGCCAACTTGGCTCCTCCCCCCTCAAACTGTCTTTATTCCCAGATGACATACTCACATACAAAATAATTTCTTGAAAAAATTTTAGAATTTTGATGTGAATTTCAAAATTGTGATCAGTATTGCTGGGTACAACTTTAAATTTTCAAAAGTATATCATTTGCTAGTAAAATGAATAAAAGTGACATTTAGAAAATATCAGTTGTAATACTACCAAAAAACAAAATGCCTAGAAATAAATTTAGCAAAATATGTGCCAAACCTCTGCCCTACATACTGAAAATGCAGAGAGAAACTCATGATGATCCAATTGAATTGAGGGGTATGCCATGTTTCTGGATTAGAAAACTCAAATATTATTAAAATTCTATTTTTCCTACATTTATAGAATAAATTATACTGCAACCAAAATCCCACTAGATTTATTTTCAGAAATTTACATTACACCCTTACAATTTATGTAGAAAATTCAAGAACCAGGAGGAGACAGATCTAACCAAAATAATAATAATAATTTGGATTAAAATTCAACAGTATTTTTGGTTAGTTGTTTTTGTCTAAGAACTTGTAAATGCTCCAAATTCATAAAAATATTTTCTGTATTCTTCTAGAAGGTTTTAACTTTTATATTTATGCCTATAACATATCTCAAATTAATATTTAGATATGACATGAGATATGAGTTGTGGCTCATTAAATTTCCACATACATATCCAGTTGTTTCAGTATGGTTTGTGGAAAAGATTGGGTGTTTCCTATTAAAAGTGAATGCACTTGTGAGGAGTTCTCAATACTTATATTTGCAAAGGACTATAATCCTGAATATATAAAGAACTACAACAATTCAATATATTTTTTAAAAAACCACCATCCAAATAATAATGGTCAAAAGACTCAAATCCTTCAAAAAAGAAAACATATAAATGGTCAATAAGCATATAAATATATGTTTAGCTCCATCATTTACCAGGGGAATGCAAATTAAAAGAATAATGAGATACCACTGCACCCACTAGAATTCTCTTTCTTAAATATATATCAGAAATAATTTCCACATCCAGAAATTGTAATATATTTTACAATTGATGTTTCCTTATAATTAAAATTGACATTTAAAAAAATCTTAGTGGCACATAAGGTAAGTCTGTATATTTTACTAAGTGTCATCTTAGACTTGTTGGAATATTGCTTTATTATAAGTCATTCTTTCCTTACTTTTCCTTTTTCCAAATCACACTGTCCTATTGAGTTTCTCACAATATCCAATAGAATATAGAGTCTTCTGTTCCCAATTCTGCCTCCCTTGTTCTTAACAGCTCTGTGACAACCAGCTCACGTGTCTTAACATGACAGAATGTTCTAACTTATTATTTTATTAATCATGTTATAATCCCAGCTTCAAAATGGTTGGACATGTCTTAAAAGCAAAAAGAAATTCAATTGCATATTCTAAAGCAACGAAAAGAGTATAATTGGATTGTTTGCAATACAAAGGATAAATGCCTGAGGGGATGGATACCCCCTTTTACATGATGACATTATTATGCATTGCCTGCCCGTATCAAAACACCTCATGTACCCCATAAATATATATAGCTACTATGAACCCACACAATTAAAAAGGAAAAATAATTATCGCAAAGATTAATACAGAAAAAGTAATTTGGAAAAACAATGAATGACAGAGACAACATTGATCACCCATAGTCCTGATTCTGCTAATTCAGCATTCAGTATGCCTTCCTTAAAAAATGGTAAATCCCTAATTATCAATGGCTGCTCAAGAGGACTTTTTAAATGACTGGCAATAATTAATAAGTCTCCTTTCAATCTCATTTCACATGAAAGAGTGGGTGGAAGCCCTGCCAGTTTGCACATTTCCGTAGTGTGCATATCAAAAACCTTTCACACCTTCAGAAATGCTGACAAACACCCATCTCGTTTTCTTTTATATAGACTCCTCCTCTCTCCACCTCCTTCGTTCTATGCTTCTGTAATTGATTCATCATTTCAGCGCCCAATTGAAGGGCTATAAACTAATGAAAGCTAAGCTTAAAATAATTAGTTAAAACCTAAATATATTCCTGTTGACAATGTAACTAAACTTCAAGTACTCCCTCTTATACAAGTGTTGGCAAAATATTCCACCCAGAATTACATTTATGAACAGTGCAGAATAAAGTGACGGATTAGCAATATAATGGAGAAGGGGTCAGGGAAGCTTGTGGACCTTTGCTCACATAGTTAAGATTCTGGAAATAACAGGAGAGAGTATATTCCTCAGACATAAACACATACAATGTGTTTGAAAACACATGAAGAATAAAACTACTTAAAAATCATTGCATGTCAAAGAAAATGTATAAACCTGGACTCATGGGATGAAATCTTTGCTTTTGACTTACTGAATTTTGTGCTTCCTAGGAACTTTTCATAAGAGATGTCATTTAATTGACATTCCTTTAAGTCCACTCTATCCTATGTGAATTTGACTCTTTTCCTCCAAATTATAGAGTAGACCAGCAGGAATATAAGTTTGTATACCCTCAGAAAATGGCTTGCAAAAGGAGAAAAATCTGTTTGTCCATAGAACATGAATTTTCCAGGCTTCGCTGACATGTAGAAATCAGTAAGATCACATATATATTCTAAAAACATGTAAACTCTATAGTGATTTCTGTGTGCTACACATTCATCTAGATATTTTACAAATGTTTAATCCTATGAGATAGGTATTGCTGTTATCCACATTTTACCAGTGAGAAAACTGATCTATGAAAGATATAATTGATTTATGGCTGGATGACAAAAGTTTTAACCTTTTTCTCTCAGGTACGTGGACATCTGGCTTTGAGTCTTGGCCAAGATAGGGGCAGTGGGCTTTGTGATGTTTTATTTAAAATCAAACTTGAGTTGCAATTTCTAAAAGCAGTTTTTCCCTGGTGCTTTGCAGCTGGCCAAATGAGTTAAGCTGGCTTAGCTTAAAACCCTAGTGGAAACTTCTGTTTTGAGCTCTCCCAAAGCCAAGATTCTACACACAAGGCTTGGTGATTTAACCTGAGGAGACGGCAGTGGGAGCTTGTTCCTGGATGTCTCTTGGACCTCAGTGCTTGCCTGCACTCCTCTTGCTGCACTATATCATTTTCCTATAAGTAAAAGCTTTACAGAAATATGACCTGTGAGTCCTTTCAAATATCTGATCTTGGGGAATCTTTACATGAGGCACAAAAGTTAGTAACTGACCCAATTTAACAGGCTAGTTAATGATAGAACTGGGTTTTGAACTTAAGCAATCTGTTTCCAGAATCTCTGGTTTCCAGAACAACTGGAACAATGCTATGCCACTTGTCACTAACATTGGCTACCCACATTAAAGTAGAATAAGGACCTTGGTGGACTTCCACCTCTGCCGTTTCTCAAGTGTTCACAAATACTGGGGAGCCCTTAGAAGTGTTTCAACTAAGCTTGGAGTTTGTCCTCTAAGGTTCTTCTATACCAGTCTCTTTGTCAGTATCACAGAGGTTGACAGAGTTCTAAAATATCCACTAAGATTTCTCAATTCCCTGGGCTGCAAGACCTGCATGATCTCTTGGCTGTATATAGTGTCTTTCTCTGTGATCAGGTTACATTATACATATGGCACGGTTGACTTCAACACTGGGAGGTGATCCCGGTGGGCCTGACTTAATCAGGTAAGCCTTAGAAACAGAGTTTTTACAGATGGAGGCAGTAGGGGTCTCAAAGAGGGACAAAGCAACAAGAAGAGAATAACTTTGGACCCTTTTTGGTCTGGATATTTTTCAGAGATTTACAAACTTTACTAACTTGCCTTTATCTGCCATTTATCTGCCTTCCTCCAAGTTGCTACCACTAGAGACTCAAAATTATTTTGACTTGTTAATTCTCTAAAAAGTTACTATCTTTTCATTGAAGATGCTGAATAAATTAAAATTAAAGGCCACCTCTTGGAGAACTACTCATTCCCTGGATGTCTCCCACATGTATGTGAAATAGACATGTTCATAAACTTCTGTTTGTTTTTCTCTTGCTAATCTATCTTTTGTTACAGGGGTCCATTCCCACTAAGCACCTGTGGAGGTTATTGCTCCTCTATACCCTCCTGGACTTCTCACCTGCAGAAGTGTGAGCTAGTAAATGAGTGTTTTGTTAAACTTCTAAGGGCATGGCGACTTATGCAACACAGAAAACTCATGCAGTCTCTAACCCATAGTCACTTGAAGGAGAACTTCCTCCCTGAGAATGCTATTTTGTGCTCACTGTGGCATCTCCTGGAGCTGCACAGCTGCAGAGCACCCAAAGGGGTAAACCAGGCTGGCTTCCTACAGTCATCCCTGGGGCAGAGTCTCACTGGACTCTTCACAGAAATGAGAAATGAGAGAACCTTCTCATCACAAGTCTATGAATTCCTCTGTCACCAGGGCCTGAGAACTACTGTCTATGCCAAGCATCAGCCAGGCTCCCAGAGAAAGCAGCCCTGGCAACCTTAAGTTTTAGCTCTGTCATTCCACAAGGCTCAGACCTTAGTCCCAAACCTGGCTAAAGACTTGAGAGCCTATCGTCTTCTACTTCCTCTTCTCTCCTCTCCCTCACCTGGCCATAGCCTCACAGCCAGAGACCCAGTCCCTAGATGGTTATGGAACTTTCTGAGTAAGACAGTGTTATGAACTACATGTCTGTACTCATCCAAAATGTATATGTTGAATTCCTAATCTCCAGTGCGATGACATTTGGAGGTGGGCCCTTACGTTTCCACGAGGTTTTAAGGGTAGAGCCCCATGGTGGGATAAGCGCCCTTAACTAGAAGAAGAGACCAGAGCTTTTTCTCTGTCTTCCGTGAGAAGATATAGCAACAAATCATCTGCCAACCAGGAGGAAGACCCTCACCAGGAACCAAACCAACCAGTACCTTGATCTTAGACTTCCCAGTTTCCAGAACTCTGAGAAATACACATATGTCGTTGAAGTCACCCATTCTATGGTATTCTATTATAGCAGCCTGAACTACGATAAAGAATCTCTCTCTCAAGAATCAGAAAAAATAATTATTGGATACTATGCTTAGTACCTGGGTGATGAAATGGTCTGTACACCAAACCCCCATGACAGAAGCTTACCTATAATAACAAATCTGCACATGTACCCCTGAACCTAAAGTAAAAGTTTTTTTAAAAGGAAAAAAAATATTCTATAAGCCTTAGGCACTGTGTTTTCTATGCGTATTGGACAAGTCAGCTCTGATTTCTGAGTGTTGGGATTAACTGCTTTTTATGTCCTTTTTCCCTATCTGCATTTTCTAAATTTTCAGTACCTAAGATTATTTTGTTATAATGAAAAGCTATTTGAATAAGGAAATTGGTAAGCATAAATACATTGCCTAGTTTACGCAATGCCAACACACAAAATTGAGAGCAAATGCAGCCTCTAGGGTCAATACTGTATGGCAACTATAAAGTTTCTCATTGGGTACAGTGCCATTTCCATGTCACTGCCAGCTAGACTATCAGATGGCCTCCTGCTATAACTGACCAGCAAGACAAAACATCTGGTTTACAGAACAAAGCAGCTCTCGGGCTTACCAGAAAGAATAGGTCCATATCCAATTCTTCACATACAAAGATGACACCCACAACCCACACTGGTGGATGTGCACTGGGACCTCAAATGCTTTCCACACTCTCTGTCTAGGGGGGTCCAGCCTTTAGAACCATACAAACAAGTAAAACTCAACATAAAAGAATTGCACACTATCCTAGTACTATAGATTAATAGTAAGTCTTGAATCTTCTGATGTACATTTTCCAGCTTTTTCTTCTTCAAGATTGTCTTTACTCTTCTTGCCCCTTCGTATTTCCATGCATTTCGGAAATTAGCCTGTCAGTTTCTAAAGTAAGTAAATAAATAATGCTAGTACTTTGAAAAGAATTGCACTGAATCTGAAGATTACTTTGGAGAGAATTGACATCTCTGCAAGTCTTAAGTCTTCCAATCCATGAATGTGGTCTAGCCCTCGATTTATTTAGATTTTAATCTCTTTCAATAATAATATGCCATTTTCCATGAAGAGGTCTTACATGTTTTATTAGATTTATTGCTAGATATATGCTGATTTTAAGCTGTTGTAATTGGCAAACATTAAATACATTAATTGAGGGGGAAAAAAAAACCTCACTTTTTTTACCGTCAGGCTGCTGAAGGAATCAGATGAAGGAGTAGGGAGTCAACTACTAACTTGAGGAAAGACAGGGACCAGACAGCACGCTCATTTAGATCCCTGGACCCAATCATCTAGATAAGAGCCAATACATTTCTTTGCTCAGTTCTCTTTGAGTTGGGTTTTTGTCACGTACACTGAGAAAGTTCTGACCAAAAAGCATGGCTCTTTTGTATAGATTTCTGCTGGCCTCCTTATCCAATCTCAGCTTCCCTTCAGTCATAACTGCCCTCCCTTAAGTGCCCCCATCCCATTTTGACTTTCTGAAAGTGTTGGTTCACTAATGGGACATTATTTTTAGCATCTCATGCAAGTCCCTGCTGACTGCTTGCTTTATGGCTGACAGAGCTTTTTTCTTTTTTTCCTCACTATATATTTTTTAATGCTCAGCAGTCATTCATATATAATCTCTCCATTACCCCAAATATCAAGCAGATAAAAGTTTCCCAATGCCTTTAATTAAACTTCATGAACTACTTTTTAAAGCACTTTAACCACCCACCACAGTCAAATATTTTATGACCTTTCAGGGGCAAGAAGTGCGAGAGAAAGGAAGATGTAGAGGTGTCATAAACAAACAATCGCCCTTAGCACTCGATTCTGGGAGATGAGACTGTCAAGGGAGAAATAGTATATATAAAAGTAAAAAACGATCCTGATATTGGTGCAAGAGTATTTGTGTTGAACTTATACTGGAGATTTGGAAAAGTTCTATGAAAGGCCTTCAATGGGGAAGAAATGCCACCATGTCCAAGAAGTTAACTCTGCAGATGTGCTTTTTGCATTAAAAGAGAGTTCCTGCTTATTGGGTGACTCTGAGAAAGTTGCCAAAGAATCTTAATTCCATTGAAACTTCATCCATTGAAGCAAAGTTGAAAGTACACTATAGGTGTGCATTAGTATTATAAAACTCAAGATAGAATATAATAAGGATAATTCTCATCTCCCCATCTTCATATAGCCTCATTTATTGGACGCTTAATAAGTGACAGACACGGGGACAAACACTTTACATTTAAATCACACACAAATCTGAGACAGTGGGTAATATTAATAGCCTCATTTTGCAAGTTTCATGGCAACATTAGAGCAAGTTAAGGCATTAATCACAGTTAGCTAGTCTGTGCCTAAGTCATTTAACCTAAGTTTCTGACTCTGCAAACCTTTTGGGGAGAGGAGATCCTTTCACATTTAAAATGTATAGATGCAATACAGTTGTTTCCTAACTCAAACCCTTCCCTTCTACACATACCTGCATACATACTCACATACACATACGCACACACCTACATGCAGATCCACACATACGAATGTGCTCACACAGACTTTCCTGCCACCAGGGCTCTGATTTTGTTTATCTTCATCTTTTGTGTTCTAAGAAAGTGACCCCAGCCAGAACTTCAAGGATAAGCATTGGTTCATTTGAACCAATCCTGCTAATTTCATCCCCCTTCCTTGATTGGCTTGAGAAGTCGTCTATGACTCAACTCTATTAAATGAGATACAGTGAAAGTACACTGTCAGAGCTTCTTGGAAATGTTTCTTAGCTCTTAAAAAAGAGAAAGAGAGATGCAAGGGAGAAGCAGGCCCTTCCTTCTGCTTCTGAACAATGATGTTTGTTCAAGAGCTACGACAGCCATTGTGTGACCATGAGGGAAGTGAGACGGCATGCCAAGGATGACACAGCAGAAAGTCAGAAAGGAGCTGGCTTCCTGAGAGCCACCACTGAGCCTCTGAGCCAGACAAGCTTGGTGCTGCTGCAACTTCGGATTGTTTGAAAAAATAAATTTCTTTATTCATTGTAAATTGGGTCTGGTGTGGCTTATAGTCAGAGACTTCTAAAGACACCCCCGATATCTCATCGCATCATTGTGAGAACTCCAGTACATGAAATACTCATTGATTTACATTCTTTCCCTCCTGCTCACTTTTGACTATTTCTAGCCTGTAGGTCCCATTGGCTTGTTATTCACTAAAATCATTTTTTCACCTAAAAAAACTAAAGGAACACAATAATCTCAATGAACTTGATGATTAGATTATATTTTTGTTCTTTTGTTTTGAGACAGAGTCTCTCTCTGTCGCCCAGGCTGGAATGCAATGGTGCCATCTTGGCTCACTGCAACCTCCGCCTTCCAGGTTCAAGCAATTCTCTTGCCTTAGACTCCCAAGTAGCTGGGATTACCGGCATGTACCACCATGCCCAGCTAACTTTTGTATTTTTAGTAGAGACAGGGTTTCACCAAGTTGGCCAGGCCAGTCTCGAACTCCTGACCTCAAGTGATCCACCTGCCTTGGCCTCCCAAAATGTTGGAATTACAGGCGTGAGGCACCGCGCCCGGCCGAGATTATGTTACATAAGATGGCAGCACCCATTTTGCTGGATTCCTTCATTCTCATTCTGACCTTGAGAAAGCACATAGCCATGGCACAGAATCCCATATGACAAGAAACTATGAGAGGCCTCAAGGCGCTCACAGTGACCTCCAGATGACAACCAACAAGAAACTGAAACTCTCAGTACCGTATATGCAAGGAAATGAATTCTGCCAACTGTGTGAAATTAGAAGTGGACCCTTCCATAGTTGAGATTCCAGATGAGTCCACAGCTCCACAGACACCTCTACTGCAGCCTTACCGAGGATCCAATTAAGTTGTGCTAGAACTGCTGACCCGTGGAAACTACAGGGTGATAAATATGTATGATTTTTATTTTATTATTATTATCATTATTTGGGGCAGAGGGGATGAAGTCTCTTCCTGTTACCCAAACCAGAGTGCAATGGTACACTCTCAGCTCACTGCAACCTCCGCCTCCCAGGCTCAAGCAACTCTCTTGCCTCAGCCTCCCGAGTAGCTGAGACTAGAGGCACACACCACCATGCCTGGCTAATTTTTGTATTTTTGGTAGAGACAGGGTTTCACCATGGTGGCCAGGTTGGTCTCAAACTCCTGACCTCAAGTGATCCACTAGCCCCAGCCTCCCAAAGTGCTGGGATTACAGATGTGAGCCACCATGCCCAGCCTATATGTATGATTTTAAACCACCCAGCTTGCTGTAGCTTGTTATGCTGGTCTCAAACTCCTGACCTCAAGTGATCCACCACCCTCAGCCTCCCAGAGTGCTAGGATTACCATGCCAAGCTTATATGTATGATTTTAAACCACTCAGCTTGCTGTAGCTTGTTATACTGTAACAGAAAATGAACACACATTCCAGTACTTTCACAATCTTGAAAGCCAGCATTCCTTACATATTGTGCTTTTGGCATCTCAATCTAGTTCCCACCTTAAGATAACACATTTTTTTAGCCGTAGAGTTTGGGAGGGGGATTTGACAAGAGCTGAGCTGTATCTTACTCTGTTCAATTAGGCTGGTCTTATTGTTTTTTCCCTATATAAAGCATTAAACACAGAATGATTATGAGCATTTAGTACTTAGTAACTTCATTAAGCTATTAATTACCCTTTCTAGTAAGCACAAGTTTCTTTAAAATGCCAGTCATTCCTGGGTTTTGTCTATCATGATTTGCACAATCCTCTCATTTATACAGCCTAAGAAAGTACCAATTCTTTATTTCTTGCCATCTCTCTCAGTTCATATAGAAAACTGGTGTTCAGATAAAGAATTCAACAGTGATCATGGCACAGCCTACAACAGTCAGGATTTCCAAGCTCTTTTTTTTTTAATGTTAAAAATTTCAGAAGATCTGTAATCAGAGAAACTCGAGTTTAATTCCATCTACTCTATAACTCACAAAGTGCATGACTTTAGAAAATGATTTTCTCCTGTGGTCACTTATCTGAAAAATTGGGAGATTTATAATACCTACCACATGGATATATTTTAATGAAATAATGCCAGTAAGGTTCTTAGCACAATATTTGGCATGGAATATTCATGTCCAGTAAATAAGTAATATAAAACACTTAAGAAAAATCAACTATGTTTTAGGCATTGAGCAAAAAGCTTTACTTACACATTACTCCATTGAACTTCCACTACAAAAGCATATACCCATTTTACAGATAGAGCTATGAGTCTCCAGAGAGAGCAAGTAACTTGTCCAATATTCCCCAGATCATGAGTGATTCAGACAGAAGCAGTTAGATACTAGAGCCAACTCTTACCAAACACACCACGGCCCCCTCCCCTCTCTTCCTGCCCACTGCTAACTTGGCTTCTTGGCAAAGATTTGATTTTCCTGCACTTTTTTTTCCCCCTGAGAATGGGCCTATCTACTAACAGTAGGTGCCCTGTATTATCAGGCTATGATGCAAGCAAGAAATGTCTCAGGTTGTGTTTTGAGATTGTGCTTTGCTATAAAAGTAACACCCATCTTTCCTCTCTTTTTTTCCTTCCTTTTCTTTTGAAAGGGAAAGACTTGGGCTTCTTCCCAATTCTAGCCCTGTTCATGTCATCTGACACATTCTTCAAAACAAGTCACAAAATATGTGCTCCTAAAGTCCCTGGGTGCCTCCGATGAAAGATGGTCACCTTTACTCCTGACAAATGATTGTACTTCCTTAAGGAGACCGTCCTCTCCTTTCTCCACCCACTACCACCAGCTCTAATTCAGGACTAACACTGATGCGAAGGAGGAAGATGAATCCTACCAATATCATTCTATCCTATAATGATTTGCATTTGAATAAACAGATACACCTAAATGAATTTTGAAGAACAAAAATATGCGAACCACTGAAGTCAGAAACACTAAAATATAATGATTATAAATGGGAGTAGGAAGAGGGTATCATCCAAATGAACATATGTTAGTCATGAGTTTCATATACATCAGAAATATTTCTTTTTACTGCTCTGGCCCACCGAGGTGAAAAATTGATTCATCTGTTCTGCCAAGGTGCATTGTGTCTGTCCTCCACAATGCATTGGTGATCTTAATTGATGTAGCATTGCCTGTCTCAGTCACAATCTCAGTTCTATTAAAGTATTATCTGCTGTAAGAGGATAAGAAAAACAATCTACAGGTGTTACACCAAAGAACTGCATTCATTTGTCTCTCCAACCTGTCCTCAAATCAATCCAGTGGTTTCTTAGTCTTGCAGGACTAAATATTGCTCACTAGAATGAGGACATTTCCTTATGAAGTTCTACTGATCAAGCAAGATGGAATAGTTTAAAAGGCAGCTGGAGTATTCTCCCACAAAAATTAAATTCAAACTTTGCAATGAATATCTGCAGCTTGTTTCTGCAGCATTCACTTCTTTTTCCAGCCATGCATGGAAAAGGGCATCTCCATTGATCATTTTCACTGTGCATCATAGAGGAGAGCTCCATTCTCAACCCTAGGACTAAACCAATCAATCCAACAACTTGCCCTGAGAACGTTCAGGAAGGGGCGTGTTACCTATCTGGACCAATCAAAGTGGACACTGGGGGTTTTTTTTAGAGAAATATTGGAAAAAAAGATCTTCGCTCTTCTCCACCGAATTCGATCTTAGAAGGATTTAGCCCTAGACTGTTCTGACAGCCATGGTGCACATAGAAAAGGAAAGCTAGTTGGCCTGGCGCGGTGGCTCATGCTTGTAATCCCAGCACTTTGGGAGGCTGAGGCAGGCGGATCACAAGGTCAGGAGATCAAGACCATCCTGGCTAACACGGTGAAACCCCGTCTCTACTGAAAATACAAAAAATTAACCAGGTGTGGTGGTGGGCGCCTGTAGTCCCAGCTACTTGGGAGGCTAAGGCAGGAGAATGGCGTGAACCCGGGAGGCGGAGCTTGCAGTGAGCCGAGATCATGCCACTGCACTCCAGCCTGGGCGACAGAGGGAGACGCCGTCTCAAAAACAAACAAACAAACAAACAAAACAACGACAACAAAGGAAAGCTTGCCTGGGAAGGAGTTAACAGAGAAGATACAGAGTTGAGCAATGAAGAAAGTAAAGCAAGCACCTCTTGACACTTTGAGCCCCTGCTTCCAGCCTTACCTGAAGCTAGATCTGTCCCGTTCTATTCAATTGTGTGATCCAGTCAATTTCTTTCTTTTTCAGCTTAGAACAAATTGGAATGGATACTTTCATATTTGCCATCAAAAGCAAGCTAAAAGATATTGTCTCAGGTAGTTGATTAAAAAATTTAGATAATTTTCCTGTTCATTTTAATTTTAAAAATATACAATAAAATAAAGAGAGTCCACATTGCACATATGATAAACTTGGCTAGAAGCACTTTTTTATCAGAGGCTCCCTAACCTAAGCCCTGACTGTTTCATCCATCTGGTACATATGACCTCATAGAGTAATGGCTATGAGAGCTTGGGCACTGGAGCCAGACTGGCTGGATTCAAATCCAGCGTCACTACCCACTAGCTGTGTGACACTAGCAAAACCTTTTTCCTCCCTGCGCTTCTGTCTTCCCATCAGCAATGAGCACAAGAAAAGATATTCCTCCTAGGGGTATTGTAGGTATACAATGGGATCATTTGTGAAAAACCAAGAGCAGTGTCTGGCGTGCTCTTAACATAAGTTAATAAAATGCCAGTCTGAAAATCTCACTCACCTGAGAATTATCATACGTCTCATAAATGTTCTGTATAAACCTACATGAATATATATCAACTACAGACACCAATTTTCAATTTAAAAAAAAGAACATGTCCCTCCCTTTTTAACATCACCTCTTCTTCTGCTAGGTCCACACTGTCATTTTGCTGCACGTGGTCCCTCATCCTAAAGTTACATCCATAAGAAGCACTTTGGAATTGTTTTCCTGCTTCTCCCCATCCTGCCTGAAACAAGTGAAACACAGGCATCTGCAAAGCTGATTCACATGTATGTGAAATTAGTTGGTTATAATTAATGCATTGACACTGCTTGGCATACGTGAGTGTGTACGTATGTGTGTGTGTGTGTGTGTGTTCATTTTAAAGAAATGAAGAACATGCCTTAACATAGAGAACTAGATCAACAATAGATTCTGAGGGACCAGAAATTGGCTAGTAGAGCAGGTGTTACATGGGAATAAAAAAAAAAAAAAAAAAAACTGGACACAAAGAGGGAACAAGAGACACTGGGGCTGTCTCAAGGGTGGAGAGTGGGAGAAGGGAAAGGAGCAGAATAAAATAGCTATCGAGTACTATGCTTAGTACCTGGGTGTTGAAATAATCTAACCCCCATGATACAAGTTTACCTGTATAAGATCCTGCACATTTACCCCTGAAACGAAAAGTTTAAAAAAATTAAAAAGAAACAGAACTTTTTAAAAAAAGATACATAATACCAAAATATAATAAACAATTCTGCTACAATGTTTAACTCTTTAAAGGGTCAACTGGGTATATGATCCCAAAAGAGAAGTTTCTAGTTAAGGGGCTTACTTTGCATAGCCTTTCATTAATTATAATATACAACAAATATCTAACCCAAACTTGTGTGATGGAAACTCATGTGACAGACAGTGATAGAGGGAGAAGATACAAAAATTAATAATATATGAGTCTAATCATAAAGTTGTTCCCAGTTCAGTGGGAAAGATAAAATCAAAATAATTTAAAAGCAATGCAATAGTTTATTGCAATAAATATAATCTGATTCACATCCAAGATCTGTATTAGATGCTGTTCATACAAAGATGAATTTTCACATACGTCCTATCCTTGAAGAACTGACAGCTATTCTCTTGTGACATATGTAATATGGGAAAGTGAAACGTAGTATACTATTAAAGTAAAAAGAGAAGGAAGTAGTTAATGACATCTCTGAGGAGGGGGTAGGTTAGAATAGAGCCAAATTCTTAACTGATTTCCACTCAATACTTTCTGGGTACAGGCGGTTTGAGAAGTTATGGGTGATCTCGTGGTATTAGTCTGTTTTCACGCTCCTGATAAAGACATACCCGAGACTGGGGAATTTACAAAAGAAAGAGGTTTAACTGGAGTCACAGTTCCATGTGGCTGGAGAGGCCTCATAATCATGGTGGAAGGCCAGGAGGAGCAAGTCACATCTTATATGGATGGCAGTAGGCAAAGAGAGAGCTTGCGCAGAGAAAATTCTGTTTTTAAAACCATCAGATCTGGTGAGTCCTATTCACTATCATGAGAACAGCATGAGAAAGACCACCCCCATGATTCAATCATCTCCCACTGGGTGGCTCCCACAACACGTGGGAATTATGGGAGCTACAGGATGAGATTTGGGTGGGGACACAGCCAAGCCATATCACTCGCACTAATTAAAAGTATAATCATGAGTGGATCCCAGTGTTTAGTATGGCCCTTAATAAATGAGTCTGAGCTTCACATTCAGGGCACAACCATGTTTCTTCCGATCTTTGTGAGTGCAAGTTTTATTGCCTGAGAAGTGGTCGTTAAATAACTTTCTGAGACAACACACTCATGGAAACACTTGGATATATCTTTGGTGGCATATTCATTGTTTATCCACCACTCCAGAGCCTACCCAGAACTTCCTTTCCTCTGCCTATCTTCCAGTGGAGAAGCCAATAAAAATCACATGTTCTCTTCCCAGTCATTTTCATAACTAAAAGTGAGCGTGTGGGGAAGAAAGCCTGAGCTGAGGCTCTGCTGCTCTTTCTTAGTCCATGACATCAGAGTCCCATGGTTGGCTTTACACAGGAGTAAGAGCTAGACTTGTAGCACCTGTTTTATACTGGAGAGAGATAATTTCCTCAGAGTGGGCAGTTAATGATATCCTCCAAAAGTAATGAATGGGGATATAGAGGCTTGAGTATATTATTTAATGTTGAATGAGTAACCAAAGAAATAATTTAAAAGAAATATAATCAATAAAAATGTGGGAAGGAGAACGTAAGTGAAGCAAATTGCTTATCTTCCACAATGAGTGTCATTCCACTATGAGTAACATTCTTGAGGCTGATAAATCAATAAATAGAGGTACAAGTAAATACAAGTTCGTGTGATGGAGGCAAACACCAGAAAAACTAAAAACCAAAATAGTAAAGGCAACCCCAGCATAATAACATTCAGAGTGAGGGCAGGGAGGCAGGCTTTCACTTTGCATTTCATATTATTTGCATTTTACTGCCTAAATGCCTTTCCTCTTCATCTTCACCTATAAAGATGATAGGCACAGTGAAAGATCATCTTCAATGCCAATGTCTGTCCTATCCCATCAGAACATATCAGCATCCCCTCTTCTGAACATGTGACTCAGCTTTGTTTTTACTTATTTTTACATGCAATCAAGTATTTTAATCATTTGTGTGTGTGTATAGTAATTGTAAGCTTTTTAAAAATCAATAGCCATGAGTCCTTTGAAAAGAGTATATGCTCAGTTAGTGTTGTAGACATGAGACACCTGTGTTCTAGAGACAAGATACTGATACAAGCACGGGAATTTAGCTTCCTTGCACCAGATGCCTGTATTATCTGTCTATCCTACAGTAGATTTGGAAGGAAGGAGGGAAGGAGAGAGGAAGGGAGGATCGGAGGAGGGGAGGGGAGGGAGCCAGGCGGGGGAGGGAAGGAAGGAAGGAAGGAAGGAAGGAAGCAAGGAAGGAAGGAAGGAAGGAGGGAAGGAGGGAAGGAGGGAAGGAGGGAAGGAGGGAGGGAGGGAGGGAAGGAGGAAAGGAGGGAGGGAGGAAGAGAGGGAGGGAATGTGGAAGTTCTGGAAAATGAGAAAAGTGCTATCACATTTAAATTTTTAAGAACTGTCTTCCACACAGAGGTCAGAAAGTCCCAGTTAGATGAAGCCATAGAGGACCCACTTGCAATCTCCCATCCTGTGAAAGAGAAAAATGCTAGAAACTGGACATTCTCTAACAGGTGGATGTGAGCTTCCTTTCATAGAAAACAGCTTCAGTGAGCAGTAAGGCAAGATCACAAGACATCTCCCAGAGGCTGAGTATTGCAGCAGGCAGAAAACTACTGAAATCTAAGAATTCTCTACAACATAAATTGCGTAAATAAAATTAAATGTTTACCAAAAAATAGGACAATGTGTTGCCAGAAAAAGTCTTGGCTAAAAAAAGTTCAAACTCATATAGATTACAGTAATTCGTTTGAGCAAACTTATTTTAACAGTATAATTGAATTAGTTAAAACTTCATTATTTTTAAATCAACTTTTGATGAAATAAATATTTTACAGAAAGGCAAAAAAGAAAAGAAAAACTTGGTATCTTTGTAAATCAGTGAGCAAAGAGGAACATTCCCTAGACTATAAGCTCTGGGAGTACAGAGCCTGAATCTGTCTAATTCATTCTAAGTCTTTTGGTGCTGGACCAAATGACCTGCACAGACTATGCGTTCAACAAAAAGTCACTGAATAGACACCTGACACTTAATTCAAATTACTCATGATTTACACACTGTAATTCCCATGTGAATGTGGGAGAATGACTGCTTATATGCAATGGTGGAAATATAATTTGATACAAACTCTACAGAGGTCAACTTCGTGGTATGTATCAAAAGCTTTCAGCCAGTGTGTGTTATGTCATCACCACCACCATCTTTAACACATAAACTCAACACCTTTTAGCTGATATGCCAAGCACTGTGGCCAATACATCATAGGCATCATTTGGTCCTCATCACAGCCCTGCCTGCTAGATTCTCATGTTACTCCCGTGCTTCTGTACAAGAAAACAGATCCTTGGAAAGAGACAGGTACCAAATTGCCCAGCAAGCAAGTGGCAGAACCAAAATTCTAACCCAGCCCTTTCTGATTTGAAACACGAACTCCTGACCACTATGATACATTGTCTCTATATGGACAATAGAATGCATTTTCTTTCATTTTGCAATACCTCTACTAGTAATTATACCAGAGTAAACAATTATGCCTCAAAAATGTAGTGAAAGTGTAAGTTTTATTTAACATTTTTGCCTTGTCCTTTTGCATTTTATTAAAAATACATAACTTGAGCCTTTGGTTCACATCTCTTTGCAGAAATTTCATTTTTCACTCAATACTTTGGAGAATTTTTGAGGCAACAGAACAGTTTGAAATTAAATACCAGTTACCAAATCTATTACAATCTACTGGTGATCCACACTGTTAGCCCCCAGTGGTCATCTCTCTTCTTGGGTCACAATGCCACCCTAATTCTAGAAAAATCTCCTTTCATATCAAGTCATTTCCCTCATTTCTTCTTATATTGTCATCTATAGAGCCCCCACTTTCAGTGAATAGACCAATCGGTGAACTGACTTTCAATAAATTGCCCCATATCTGTTACTCTAGGGCCACCAAGGGAAAAAAATCGGTTTATTATGCAGAACAATTTACTTTCTTCAATTTAATCACTCTCTTTTAGATAGATTGTGGGATAAGTGAAATAATTTATGGTATAGGAATACAAGAGAATGCTAGTGAGCAAATCAAAATTATATTGTACAATAACAGTTAAGAGTCTGGCAAGATATTCAAGATATATTGAGGGGAAAAAGTTTACAAAAATAAAATAAAATGTATTACACCATTTCAAATGAAAAATTTAAGTTGCACTGGTATTTGTAATGATATACATCAAAGTTTTTGATATTATTTTCTGCATTGTGGGATTATGGGGTATTTTTAAACTATAAAAAGATATAGATGAATACATACATACAATCGCATGCACAGGTAAAACCCTGGGGAAAAAATATCTAATTTTCATTAGATAAATTAATTTATCTAATAAAGTATCTAATTATTCTAAAATAATTTTCTAATTATATCTAATTATTCTAAAATAATTAGATAATTATTCTAAATAAATATTATAGGTCACAGAGCATTCACAATGGCAAGGACTTCTGTCTATTTTATTTACTTCTCTATTCCAATTTCTAGAATGGTCCCTGAGATATAGTGGGCACTTAATATCTATTTTTGAGGGAATCGGTGTGTGTTCTTTTGCAATGTAAGTCAAAGCAAAATAGGTTATTTTTTAATTAAGTGATGCTGAGAAAAGTTCTCATCTACAGACTAAAAGAGTCGAATGTCTGTATCATACCATGTGCCAAAAATAAGTTACAGAGAGATAAAATGGTTGGATATAAAGTATAAGTCCCTTGTCATACCTCTAATCTATTTCTAATAAAATCAGAATGATCTTTCTACAACACACATCTGATTTTATCACTCCTCTGTTTAAAAACTTTTAAGGGTGTCCAACTGCATTGGAATTAAAGTTTAAAATGTTAAAAATACTCAGCATTTTACTGAACCAGGCCAGTTTTGCCCATCATGCAGTGAGCCAATCACTGAGAAGATGAGTTTTGCAGCAGAGAAAGGGTTTACTCACAAGGCAACCAAGCAAGGAGCCGGGAAGACAGGCCTCAACTCTGCCTCCCTGAATATAGGATTTCAAAATATTTATGGGCTGAAAACAGGGTGGTCTGAGGCATGGGGAGAGATGGTTGGAGGTAAGGGAAAGTACTCAGTGATCTGTGTAAGCATAGTCAAACTTCCTGGCTTTTCATAGGATGCATGTTCACAAAATGGTGTTATTATCATAATCTAACTGTGGAGTTTTTGGCTCTCTGACATCAAAAGGTCACCCACTGGACACTCACACAGGCCCAATTGAAGGGTCACTGGTCTCAACTGGCTTGAACTGGAAAAGAGCTAACACCAAATTCCTGCAAAACAACTTAGGCAACTGTTACTGAGGTGCCCCATACATCAAAGATGTCATCTATAAGGAAGCTGGTGGGAATTTAGTTATATAGTGTTTAGCTACATGACTTTTAGCTATATGGGTCTTAAAATCAACTAAAAGCAAGTAAGTGAAAAACAAGTGAGGCAGGTTAAGTTTGGTAAGCCTAACTGGGATAGCCCTCAGTTTTTAGTACATCCTAAAAGCCTGCCGAGCCCTCCAGCTCAGCTTGTCTTCTCTCTCTCCTCCAGTGGCATGTGAGACTGAGATATTTCCCTCCTTTCAAATTCTAGATTCTCAGTCTTAGGGACTTCCTACAGTTTCCTTCCTTCTGAAATGCCATCTTTGCCCTCAGAACAATATTCTCATAACTAACCAATCACTGCTCACCTTTCAAATGTGACATTCTGGATACATATGTGGTCTCAAAATACCTGCCCACAAAATACCTACTTATTAAAATTGGAAAAAATAGAAACTCTACAGTGGCTGGCATTCCCCACCACCCCCACCCTTTTTGTTTATTTATTTATTTATTTATTTATCTATTTATTTATCTATTTTGAGACAAAGCCTCGCTCTTGTCGCCCAGGCCGGAGTGCAATGGCGCGATCTCGGCTCACTGCAACCTCCGCCTCCCAGGTTCAAGTGATTCTCCTACCTCAGCTTCCGAGTAGCTGGGATTACAGGTACCTGCCACCACGCTCAGCTAATTTTTGTATTTTTAGTAGAGACAGGATTTCACCATGTTGGCCAGGCTGGTCTCAAACTCCTGACCTCAGGAGATCTGCCCGCCTCAGCCTCCCAAAGTGCTGGGATTTTGGGCGTGAGCCACCGTGCCTGGCCACTCCTCTTTAATCAATTGCTCAAGCTTCCTGAGAGCATGCACTGAGAGGGACACAGCATGGCCTCTGCACGGTCCTTGCCACAAATGCACATCAAACCCAAACGAGGGGACGTTCTACACCCGGTACTCTCTAAAAACAGCAAAGTCATGAAAGGCAAAGAAAGATTGAAGAACTCTTCCAGATTAAAGGGGATGAAAAAGACAGGACAAAGACATGCAGGGCAGAATTCTAGATTGAATCCTGGACCAAGAAAGGACATTAATGAAAAAACTGAAAGAATCTGAAAAGGTCTGTTGATTAGACAGCAGCATTGCTATTATTAATTTCCTGATTCCATAATGTATACTCTAGTTATATAAGAGAATATCCTTGTTTTATAGAAAAAATACCAAAATATTGATAAGTGAAGTGGTATCATATTTGTAATTTACCCTCAGACATTTGAAAAAATAAAATAGAATAAATAAGTATGTGTGTGTACACACACATACATGCTATGGGGATGGGGACAGATTATAAAGCAAGAAGGGTTATAAAATGTTAATATTTAGGGAATCTAGGTAAAGGGCATATGGGAAATTTTTGTTCTGTGTTTGCAGCTTTTTTTTTTCATTTGTCACTGGATTCTTTTTTTCTTTTTTCTTTTTTTCTCTTTTTTCTTTTTTGAGACGGAGTCTCACTCTGTTGCTAGGCTGAAGTGCAGGTGCCGTGATCTCAGCTCACTGCAACCTCCGCCTCCCAGGTTCAAGTGATTCTCCTGCCTCAGCCTCCCGAGTAGCTAGGACTACAGGCATGCGCCACCACGCCAAGCTAATGTTTGTATTTTTAGTAGAGACGGGATTTTATCATGTTGGCCAGGCTGGTCTCTGTCTCTTGACTTTGTGATCCGCCCACCTCAGCCTCCCAAAGTGCTGGGATTACAGGCGTGAACCACTGCGCCTGGCCATCACTGGCTTGTTTTTAATGTTTTAACCTTTAGCCTTTTACAAGTGTAATCAACCAGATAAGAGTAGTAGGGAATATTTCCCAAAATGTCCCATGTAAACTCAAACACTGGGTTCAT
Source organism: Homo sapiens (assembly GCF_000001405.40). Taxonomy (NCBI): domain Eukaryota; kingdom Metazoa; phylum Chordata; class Mammalia; order Primates; family Hominidae; genus Homo; species Homo sapiens. The sequence goes on along the minus strand of NC_000020.11, from coordinate 54,761,799 downwards.
CTTCGGAGTAAAACAGGGTCTTCACTGTTTATAAGGTTATTCCAGAGTTTTGAAAATTCACTCTCCATTTGTACCCTGTGTTCCTCTATTCAATATCAGCTATCACAATCAGACACAAAATTTGAGGACTGCAGCTTTTTTAAAGTAAAATTTTATTTCAAGATAATTGTAGATTCACACGTAATTGCAAGAAATACAGAGATATCTCTTGCACACTTTACCCAGTTTTCCACAATAGTAGTATCTTGCAAAACTATAGTACAGTATCACAACCAGGATATTGGCGTTGATAGTCTAGAGACTGCATACTTCCATCAACACAGGGATCCCTCAGTGCCCCTGCATAGCCACACCCCTCTTCATTCATAGTTCCTCTTTAACCCCATCAGTCACTAATCTGTTCTCCACATCTACTGTGCTCATTTCAAGAATCTTACATAAATGAAGTCATACGGTGTGTAAGAGCTTTTTTCACTTAGCATAGTTCTCCAGTGGTTCATCCAGGCTGTAGTTGGTATCAAGAATTTGTTTCCTTTTATTGCTGAATAGTATTCCATAGTAAAGATGAATGGATTAATGAGAGTTTCCTTGACCATTCCTTGAAGAATATTTGGGTACTTCCAGTTTGGAGCTGTTATGAATAAGCTGCCATGAACATAAACGTACAGGTTTTGGGGTAGAAATAGGTCTTCATTTATCTGGGATAAATACCTGGGTGTGTAATAACTGGGTCATATGATAGTTGCAAATTGCTGTTATTTTCTGTTTTTGTATTTGAGACAGGGTCTTGCTCTATTGCCCAGGCTGGAGTGCAGTGGCACCGTCACAGCTCACTGCGACCTTAACTTCTTAGGTTCAAGTGAAACTCTGGCCTCAGCCTCCCAAGTAGCTGGGACCACAGGCATGCACCACCACACCTGGTTAAGTTTGTTATTTGTAGAGATGAAGTCTCGCTGTGTTGGCTAGGCTGCTCTCAAACTCTTGGGCTCAAGTGATCCTCTCTCCTCGGCCCCCCAAAGTGCTGGGATTACAGGTGTGAGCCACCATGCCTGGCTGCAAGTTTTTTTTGTTTGTTTTGTTTTGTTTTGCTTTTTTAGTGGCCAAGCTGTTTTCTAGAGTGGCTATGCCATTTTATATTTCCCTCAGCAATGTACAAGTGATCCAGATTCTCCCTCTCCTTGCCAGGATTTGCTATTGCCACAATGTTGTGTGTGTGGAATCTCATTGTGGTTTTAACTCGCATTTCCCTGAAGAGTAATGCTGAACATGTTTTCATATGCTTATTTGCCATCTGTATATCTTCTTCATTGAAATGTCTCTTCATGTCTTTTGCATGTGATCTAATTGGATGGTGTACTTTTTTTTTTTACTAAGTTTTGAGTGTTTTTATAGATTCTTAATACTACTCTTTTGCTGAATATATGGTTTGCAAATATTTTCTCCTGCTTATCATTTCACACAAGGCAGTTTCCCTCTTTCTGAAATGCTATCCCTAAAATTAACAGGTAATTTTGATGAGAAATATTTCTAATTTTGATGAGGCTCAATTTATCAACTTTATTTTTCTGGATTGCCTTTTCAGTGTTAAGTCTAAGAACTTTTTGCTGAGACCTAGATCCTAAAGATTTTCTCCTATATTTTTCCAACAGTTTTACAGTGTTACATTTCACATGATCTGTTCGGAGTCCATTTCTGTATAAATATGAGGCTTGGGTCAGTATTTATTTTATTGCATATGGATGTCCAATTGTTGTAGCACCATTTGTTGAGAAGGCAACCTTTGAGAAATTCCTTGTTCACGTTGGTTAAATTAGTTGGGTAAGGACTTCTAGTCTTGCCTCAGATCTTTAAAGATCTTGGAACATATCACTTCCACACTTACAACAAGAAAAAGCTGAACAAACTGTAAATGAACAACCTTCATTGAACCAAAGAACCGAGTTCTGAGGGCAAACCACAACCACAAAATTTAGAGATACAGATGAACCCAGACAGTCGCAGCTGTGATCTGCTTACTTACAGCAGAAGCCACTGCAGCCATAAACTGATAGAAACACTTAAATAGCCATTTTGATGAATCTTGGGTAGCTGAGTGTGGGCTACTCTGAAAATGAAAAATTCTATACACCACAGTCTTGACGGGGGAGCGGGGCAGGAGCCTATAATTTTGTGGATGCTGGCTCAGTAACCCTCACAGGTTTTCATGATGAAGAGCTGAAAAAGATCCCCTGTGGCTCTGGCAGGGGAAGAAGGTTAATCATACGGAAATACACCTAGAGCCTCCTCTTTAACAGGAGGAAAGGCTTTAACTCTCTCACCTGGGAGAAGAGGATTTTTCCACTTAGCTGTGCCCCTTCCAGTCCCAACCTTTGGGTCTCATCTAAGGGAATAGAAACCTGAAGAGGCACCTGTAGAGGTCGCATCCCAGAGACACTGGCCACTAAAAGACGGGTTTAATTGTAAGGTTATTGACCCCTTCTCTTCTCGTAGACGTTAGAGATACATCAAGAGGACTCCATGTAATAAGAATGGTATAATACTAAAAGAGCTGCAAGAGGCAGACTCTTTCTAAGCAGAAGTATTTAGGGATCCCCCAAACTCAAGAAAGGAGGAAAAGAAAAAGGAAAAAAGGAAACTATGGGAATTTAAGGCCTCTGACATATTTAGATGTAGCAAAAATTTAACACAGCCCAACTGGTAGGAAAGATAACATAAAACTTTATACCATGGGCCTATTTACTACAGTTTCTTTTACCAAATACAGGATATCTGACTTTCCACACACACAAAAAAATTAAAAGGTATGCAAAAAGGCAAAACCAAAAAAAGCCTTCAGAACCAAGTAAGCCAAAACAAGCGTTAGATGGAGATTCAAATATGCCACAGATGTTGGAATTATCAGAGAATTAAAAAAATAGGATTAATATATGAAGAGCTGTAATGAGAGCAAGTGTTCAACATGCAAGGACAGATGGATGATGTAAACAGAAAGATGGAAATTCTAAGGGAAAAACAAAAATGCTAGAAATAAAAAATGTTGTAACAGAAATGAAGAATTCCTTTGACGATCTCATAAGCAGACTTGGTACAAACAGGAAAGAATTTGTGAGGCTGAAAACAGCTCAACAGAAACCTCCCAAACTAAAGTACAAAAGACAAAAAAATAAAAAGAAACAGAACAGAAAATTTAAAAAAAAAACTCGAATAATTTCAAAAGAAAAAATGGAGGAGAAGAAATATTTAAAGTAATAATGGCTGAGAACTTTCCAAGATTAATGATAGGCAACAAACCATGGATTGAACAAATTTAGTAAACACCAACAAAACAAATTTCAAAAATGTAAGTACACCTTACATTAAATGTAAGTATTAAAATTGCAGAATACCAGATACAAAGAGACAATCTTGAAAGAAGCCAAAAAATAAACTCTGACGTTATATGAGGATAAAATGTGGAAATTATCAGATTTCTCATCAGAGGCCATATTCAAAGTATTGAACAAAAAACTCACTTCTAGATCCAGTGAAATTATCCTTCAAAAGTGAAGAAGAAAGATTTTCAAATAAACAAAAGGATGAAGGGATTTTATCACCAGCAAAATTGTCCTGGAAGAAATGTGAAAAGTAGTTCTCCAGAAAGAAGTAATATAGGCCAGAAACTCAGACCTACATTAAGAAAAAAAAGAGCATCAAAGAAGGAATAAATTAAGATAAAATATTGTATGTGCTTATTCATAATTTAAAGGTAACTTGCTTTTAAAATAATAATAGTAATAATGTACTGGATGATTATAGTATATGAAGTAGTAATATGAAATGTCGGTCACCCCTAAGGAATGGGAGGGAGGGATTGGAAATGCTTCGTTGTAAGGCATCTGTAATACACAAGTGGTGTTGTTTTGAGGGGGCACTTAGATTAGATTTAAATGTTTCTTTCAAATTCTAGGGTAACCACTAAAAATTTAGATAGAAGAACAGTGGAGATACTCAGAAAAAATAAGATGGAATCATGCAAAATATCATTTAAAACCAGAGAAGGCAAAAAAAAAAAAAAAAAAAAGAGGGTAAAAAAGAAAGAACAAGTGTAACAAAACAGTTACAATCATACCAGTACCAATCCAACTATAACAATAATGGCTTTAGATGTGAATTGTTTTTCTGGATTTTAACCATTCTACTGCATGTGATGGTATGACATTGTTGTTTTAACTTGCAAATGACAATTGTTATTAGGTATCTTTTTATATGTATATTTGCCATGTGTCTTTTTTGGTGAGGTGTCTGTTCAGATCTTTTGCTCATTTTTAAATTGTTGGGGATTTTTCTTATTGTTGAAGTTTAAGAGTTCTTTTTGTATTTTAGATACACATCTTTTATGAAATATCTGTTTTGTGATTATTTTCTCCCACCCAGTCCATGGCTTAGCTTTTCATTCTTTTAAGAGTGACTTTCACAGAGGAGGGCTTTTGTATTAATAGAGTCCATTCATCAATATTTTTCTTTCACAAATTCTGCTTTTTTATATATATATACTTTAAGTTCTAGAGTACGTGTGCACAACGTGCAGGTTTGTTACATATGTGTACATGTGCCATGTTGGTGTACTGAACCCATTAACTCGTCATTTACATTAGGTATATCTCCTAATGCTATCCCTCCCCACTCCACCCACCCCACAACAGGCCACGGTGTGTGATGTTCCCCACCGTGTGTCCAAGTGTTCTCATTGTTCAATTCCCACCTATGAGTGAGAACATGCAGTGTTTGGTTTTCTGTCTGTGCGATAGTTTGCTCAGAATGATGGTTTCCAGCTTCATCCATGTCCCTACAAAGGACGTGAACTCATCCTTTTTTATGGCTGCATAGTATTCCATGGTGTGTATGTGCCACATTTTCTTAATCCAGTCTATCATTGATGGACATTTGGGTTGGTTCCAAGTCTTTGCTATTGTGAATAGTGCTGCAGTAAACATACATGTGCATGTCTCTTTATAGCAGCATGATTTATCATCCTTTGGGTATATACCCAGTAATGGGATGTCTGGGTCAAATGGTATTTCTAGTTCTAGATCCTTGAGGAATCGCCACATTGTCTTCCACAATGGTTGAACTAGTTTACAGTCCCACTAATGGTGTAAAAGCATTCCCATTTCTCCACATCCTCTCCAGCACCTGTCGTTTCCTGACTTTTTAATGATCGCCATTCTAACTGGTGTGAGATGCTATCTCATTGTGGTTTTGATTTGCATTTCTCTGATGGCCAGTGATGATGAGCATTCTTTCATGTGTCTGTTGGCTGCATAAATGTCTTCTTGTGAGAAGTGTCTTTCACATCCTTTGCCCACTTTTTGATGGGGTTGATTCATTTTTTCTTGTAAATTTGTTTAAGTTATTTGTAGATTCTGGATATCAGCCCTTTGTCAGATGGGTAGATTGTAAAAATTTTCTCCCATTCTGTAGGTTGCCTGTTCACTCTGATGGTAGTTTCTTTTGCTGTGCAGAAGCTCTTTAGTTTAATTAGATCCCATTTGTCAATTTTGGCTTTTGTTGCCTTTGCTTTTGGTGTTTTAGACATGAAGTCCTTGCCCATGCCTATGTCCTGAATGGTAATGCCTAGGTTTTCTTCTAGGGTTTTTATGGTTTTAGGTCTAATGTTTAAGTCTTTAATCCATCTTAAATTGATTTTTGTATAAGGCGTAAGGAAGGGATCCAGTTTCAGCTTTCTACATATGGCTAGCCAGTTTTCCCAGCACCATTTATTAAATAGGGAATCCTTTCCCCATTTCTTGCTTTTGTCAGGTTTGTCAAAGATCAGATGGTTGTAGATGTATTATTTCTGAGGGCTCTGTTCTGTTCCATTGGTCTATATCTCTGTTTTGGTACCAGTACCATGCTGTTTTGGTTACTGTAGCCTTGTAGTATAGTTTGAAGTCAGGTAGTATGATGCCTCCAGCTTTGCTCTTTTGGCTTAGGATTGTCTTGGAAATGTGGGCTCTTTTTTGGTTCCACATGAACTTTAAAGTAGTTTTTTCCAGTTCTGTGAAGAAAGTCATTGGTAGCTTGATGGGGATGGCGTTGAATCTATAAATTACCTTGGGCAGTATGGCCATTTTCACGATATTGATTCTTCCTATCCATGAGCATGGAATGTTCTTCCATTTGTTTGTGTCCTCTTTTATTTCATTGAGCAGTGGTTTGTAGTTCTCCTTGAAGAGGTCCTTCACATCCCTTGTAAGTTGGATTCCTAGGTATTTTATTCTCTTTGAAGCAATTGTGAATGGGAGTTCACTCATGATTTGGCTCTCTGTTTGTCTGCTATTGGTGTATAGGAATGCTTGTGATTTTTGCACATTGATTTTGTATCCTGCAACTCTGCTGAGGTTGCTTATCAGCTTAAGGAGATTTTGGGCTGGGATGATGGGGTTTTCTAAATATGCAATCATGTCATCTGCAAACAGGGACAATTTGATTTCTTCTTTCCTAATTGAATACCCTTTATTTCCTTCTCCTGCCTGATTGCCCTGGCCAGAACTTCCAACACTATATTGAATAGGAGTGGTGAGAGAGGGCATCCCTGTCTTGTGCCAGTTTTCAAAGGGAATACTTCCAGTTTTTGCCCATTCAGTATGATATTGGCTGTGGGTTTGTCACAAATAGCTCTTATTATTTTGAGATACGTCCCATCAATACCTAGTTTATTGAGAGTTTTTAACATGAAGGGTTGTTGAATTTTGTTGAAGGCCTTTTCTGCATCTATTGAGATAATCATGTGGTTTTTGTTGTTGGTTCTGTTTATATGATAGATTATGTTTATTGATTTGCATATGTTGAAACAGCTTTGCATCCCAGGGATGAAGCCAACTTGATCATGGTGGATAAGCTTTTTGATGTGCTGCTGGATTCGGTTTGCCAGTATTTTATTGAGGATTTTTGCATCGATGTTCATCAGGGATATTGTTCTAAAACTCTCTTTTTTTTTGTTGTGTCTCTGCCTGGCTTTGGTATGAGGATGATGCTGGCCTCATAAAATGAGTTAGGGAGGATTCCCTCTTTTTCTATTGATTGGAATAGTTTCAGAAGGAATGGTACCAGCTCTTCTCTGTAACTCTGGTAGAATTTGGCTGTGAATCCGTCTGGTCCTGGACTTTTTTTGGTTGGTAGGCTATTAATTATTGCCTCAATTTCAGAGCCTGTTATTGGTCTATTCAGGGATTCAACTTCTTCCTGGTTTAGCTTTTGGAGGGTTTATGTGTCCAGGAATTTATCCATTTCTTCTAGATTTTCTAGTTTATTTGCATAGAGGTGTTTATACTATTCTCTGATAGTAGTTTGTATTTCTGTGGGATCGGTGGTGATATCCCCTTTATCATTTTTTATTGCATCTAGTTGATTCTTCTTTCTTTTCTTCTTTATTAGTCTTGTTAGCCATCTATCAATTTTGTTGATCTTTTCAAAAAACCAGCTCCTGGATTCATCGATTTTTTTTGAAGGGTTTTTTATGTCTCTATCTCCTTCAGTTCTGCTCTTAGTTATTTCTTGCCTTCTGCTAGCTTTTGAATGTGTTTGCTCTTGCTTTTCTAGTTCTTTTCATTGTGATGTTAGGGAGTCAATTTTAGATCTTTCCTGCTTTCTCTTATGGGCATTTAGTGCTATAAATTTCCCTCTACACACTGCTTTAAATGTGTCCCAGAGGTTCTGGTATGTTGTGTCTTTGTTCTCGTTGGTTTCAAAGAACATCTTTATTTTTGCCTTCATTTGGTTATGTACCCAGTAGTCATTCAGGAGCAGGTTGTTCAGTTTCCATGTAGTTGAGTGGTTTTGAGTGAGTTTCTTAATCCTGAGTTCTAGTTTGATTGCACTGTGGTCTGAGAGACAGTTTGTTATAATTTCTTTTACATTTGCTGAGGAGTGCTTTACTTCCAACTATGTCGTCAATTTTGGAATAAGTGTGATGTGGTGCTGAGAAGAATGTATATTCTGTTGATTTGGGGTGGAGAGTTCCATCGGTGTCTATTAGGTCTGCTTGGTGCAGAGCTGAGTTCAATTCCTTGATATCCTTGTTAACTTTCTTTCTCATTGATCTGTCTAATGTTGACAGTGGAGTGTTAAAGTCTCCCATTATTATTGTGTGGGAGTCTCAGTCTCTTTGTAGGTGTCTAAGGACTTGCTTTATGAATCTGGGTGCTCCTGTATTGGGTGCATACATATTTGGGATAGTTAGCTCTTCTTGTTGAATTGATCCATTTACCATTATGTAGTGGCCTTCTTTGTCTCTTTTGATCTTTGTTGGTTTAAAGGCTGTTTTATCAGAGAGATGGGGAGAATGGAACCCAGTTGGACAACACTCTTCAGGATATTATCCAGGAGAACTTCCCCAACCTAGCAAGGCAGGCCAACATTCAAATCCAGGAAATACAGATAACGCCACAAAGATACTTCTCCAGAAGAGCAACTCCAAGACACGTAATTGTCAGATTCACCAAAGTTGAAATGAAGGAAAAAATGTTAAGGGCTGCCAGAGAAAAAGGTCGGGTTACCCACAAAGGGAAGCCCAACAGACTAAAAGCAGATCTCTCGGCAGAAACTCTACAAGCCAGAAGAGAGTGGGGGCCAATATTCAACATTCTTAAAGAAAAGAATTTTCAACCCAGAATCTATATCCAGCCAAACTAAGCTTCATAAGCAAAGGAGAAATAAAGTTCTTTACAGACAAGCAAATGCTGAGAGATTTTGTCACCACCAGGCCTGCCTTACCAGAGCTCCCAAGGGAAGCACTAAACACAGAAAGGAAAAACCAGTACCAGCCACTGCAAAAACATGCCAAATTGTAAAGACCATTGATGCTAGGAAGAAGCTGCATCAACTAACGAGCAAAATAACCAGCTAACATAATAATGACAGGATCAAATTCACACATAACAATATCAACCTTAAATGTAAATGGGCTAAATGCTCCAATTAAAAGACACAGACTGGCAAATTCAATTAAGAATCAAGATCCATCAGTGTGCTGTATTCAGGAGACCCATCTCACAGGCAGAGACACACATAGGCTCAAAATAAAGGGATGGAGGACGATCTACCAAGCAAATGGAAAACAAATTGTGCTTTTGGAGTTGTATCTAAAATTCATCACTAAACCCAAGTCACATACTTTTTTACTCATGTTTTCTTCTAGAAGTTTGATGGTTTTGTCTTTATGTTTAAGACATAATATTATCAATTTTTAAATTAACTTTTGTGAAAGGTGTAAAATTAGTGTCTAGATTAATTTTGTTTGCATATGGATGTCCAATTATTCCAGCATTGCTTATTGAGAAGACTATCTTTCCTTTATTGACTTGCTCAGATAATCCAAGGAACTCACCACCATGTCATTTCTTGGCCCCAAAATTCCTAACCTTTATGTTTCTTTCTCCACCTTGCAGAGTTTTCTTGTGTACATTTCACATATAATGCCCAAAGTTTTTAGTTGTACTTAATGACAAGAAGAGTGAAAAGTGTATCTAATTCTTCTGTCTAGAAGTCTGCAGTTGCTTTGTAAGTCTGAAATTATTTCAAAATAAATAGAAAAAAATTAAAAGGCAACAGGAATAACATCAAATTATATAACAGAAATATAGTATCCTTTGCTTAAGAACTTTTCAAACACAGTGAGGGTAAGAATTGAGGATTTTAGTTAAAGCAATGTGATTTGAAGAAATTGAGATATTTGCAATAGTTTCCTAGTGATGCCATAACAAGATACCACAAAAAGGGTGACTTAAAAAGTAAAAATTTATTATCTTTTTTTTTCTTTGAGACAGAGTCTCAACCTATTGCCCAGTCTGGAGAGCAATGGTGCAATCTCCACTCACTGCAACCTCCACTTCCCAGGTTCGATCAATTCTTCTTGCCTCAGCGTCCTGAGTAGCTGGGATTACAGGCACCTGCCACCATGTCCAGTTAATTTTTGTATTATTAGTAGAGATGGGCTTTCACCATGTTGGCCAGATTGGTCTCAAACTCCTGACCTCAGGTGATCTGCCCACCTTGGCCTCCCAAAGTGCTGGGATTATAGGCATGAGCCACTGCGCCTGGCCGAAAAACTAGACATTTATTATCTTGCAGTTCTGAAGGCTAGAAGTTCAAAATTCAGATTCTGGCAGTGTTGGGTCCATCTGGAAGCTATGTGGAAGAATAGTCTGTTGCAAGCCCCTCTCATAGCTTCTGGTAGCCTAAGACATCCCTTGGCTTGTACATGGCCTTCTCCTTGTGTCCTCTTGTCATCTTTCCTCTATGAAGACTTGTATCCTAACTACCAGTTGTACTGGATTACAGGTTAGTCTAATGACCTCACTTTAATTTGATTACCTCTGTAAAGACCTAAACAAAGTTACCTTCTGAGGTACTTAGGGTTAGGACTCCCACATGCTTTTTGGAGGAAGATACAACTTAATCCACAACAATATTCAAAATTCCAAACTAAAGAAAATCATGCACACATTAAAAACTAAAGAAGTCTTCTTCAGTGAAATCTCACTTGATGCTGCAGGTTATGTTCCCCCTCATGTATAATGTCTTAGCACCCTGTACTTTCAATCACCATGTTCATCAAGTTATAACTTTGTCATCTGAAGAATGATGAGGTTCCTAAAGTTGGAAAGGAGAGCTGTATTTCTCATAAAGGGTTGCAGCTCGCAGAGTGGCCATTCTGACAGGCTGGGAAGCACAGCTTCCAACAAGATACTGGAAACAGACTTTGAGGGAGGGACAAAGGGAATAGAGATTTATGCTGAGTGGAATGGCTTAATATATATATTTAATAAGTGATATGGTTTGGATATGTGTCCCCTCCCAAATCTCGTGTCGAATTGTAATCCCCAATGTTGGAGGAAGGGCCTGCTGGTCCGAGGTGACTGGATCACGGAGACAGATGCCCCCCTTGCTATTCTCATGATAGTGAGTGAGTTCTCATGAAATCTGGTTCTTTAAAAGTGCGTAGTACCTCCCCCTTCTCTCTCTTCCTCCTGCTCTGGCCATTTAAGACACCTGCATCCCCTTCACCTTCTGCCTATTGTAGGTTTCCTGAGGCCTTCCCAGCCATGTTTCCTGTACAGCCTGAAGAACCATGAGCCAATTAAACCTCTTCCTGTATAAACAACCCAGTTTCAGGTATTTATTTATAGTGTGAGAACGGACTAATACAATAAGCTATAGGAGGAGTCATGAATATTTATGTAAGGAGAAATGTCCCATGTGCAGTTGAGCTTCATACCCCTTCAAGAGCCCATGCAGATTGGCCAGAACCACTCTGTGACTGGTGGTCTCTTATCAGGAAGGAATGCTGGTCAATTTCATAGTCTTGAAACCATAAAAGAGGGGCAGCACCAGCCTATTGGTTGATAGCTGTGGCAGAGGCTTTTAAAAGGGCTGGTTTCTATTTAGCCCTTATGGAAGAAAGCCTAGTCATGGTTAGCAAGGGAGAGGGAATAAAGAGGTGCCTCTGACCTCCCATTGCATCTTGGCTGGGAACTCTGTTTTTGAGCTTTCTCTGGGGTCCCTTTGGCCAAGAGGGGGTCCGTTCAGTCAATTGGAGGGCTTAGTACTGTATTTTTATTTCTCATAGCCAAATGCATTAAGGATGCAAGGAATCAGAACTTCTCTAATACAGATGTTTCTTGTCTTATGATGGGGTTACATCCCAATGAACACATCATCAATTGAAAATATCATAAGTTGAAATTGCATTTAATACACTCAAGCTATTGAAACATTATCACTTACCCTAGTGTACTACTGAGGCTCAGAAAGTGATACCCCAAAGATTGGCACATGCTGAGATGCCTTAGAAGTTGCCTCAGAATCAAGGTCTCTCTAACCTGGTCTTTCCGACCCCAACCAAGTTTAAGAAAGGACTCTCTCTGAAATTTCCTTACCTGACCAAAATGTTTTCTTCCAAAAGAAATGCGATTGTCTTAAACACCCTCCCTCAGGATCTCATCAAGTTACCAGAAAAGATCAACCACCAGAGGAGAGAAGCAACTGATAGTCATCACTTCACCCATACAGACTTTTTATCTATTCTTCAGAGAGTAGCACCAAGAGATTACCTGGGGGGCTTTATGTGCATTGTAAAACAATCTTTTTCCTGTGCAGCTCCATCCCTCATCTTCCCTTAATGTCTGCCTCCCACCTCCCCAGACCATTCACTCCCTAATGACTTACTGTCCCTTAAAAGAATCATCTGTGTTCCCCATCTCCCCACTCCCATACAAGAAAGAGTATAAAAGCTTCTGCATCACATTGGATTATTGGATAATCATTCTCCTGTGATTCCCTCATGCTGTACACATGAAAATAAATTTTTGTATGGATTTTCTCATATTCATGTGGTTTTTGACAGTTGATTTCCAGCAAATCTCCAGAGGGTGAAGGAGGAATTTTACCTTGGCCCCTCCAGTTTCTTAAACATGCTCAGAACATTTATATTAGCCTACACTTCAGCCAAATCATCTAACATGTCAAAGTTATCAGAACAAAGATGGAGCAACTAGTGTTTAAAAAAAAAAACCAAACCCTGACAAATAGAGCCCAGGAAAGGCCATGAAGGAGATTTCTCATGCTTGTATGCCTGATAACAAAAACTATCAAAAAAAGCTCTGCAAAAATTTCAACCTTACAGAAAGGCCAACAAAACCTTGTACAAAAAAAAACAATTCTGCAAGAACATCTGCCCAGCAACTGCCTGTCCAACCATAGACTGCCATAATGCTTGTTATGGGTCTTTGTAGCCAAGCATAATAATTTCAAAACAATTAGGTAATCCTCCTCAATATTTTCTTTAAAAACCGTTGTCTTCCTTTACCTGAATACACACATAGTTTATGAATATATGAGTATTACATGAATACACACATAGAATACGTGAGTATTCTCTTTGCAATGCCCTACTTCTGAATAAGAATCTTTTTCTTTCAGAGAACCTCTCTCTTGGTTATATAGATGGACAAACACAAAGCCTATTTTATAGTAAAGTGTTGAGTATCTCATGTAATTTGTTTAATACTGTACTGAAAGTGAAAAACAGATTGGAGTGAAAAACTGACTACTTAATGAAATCTACCACAAACTTTGTAAAGATAATTGCTTTTGTTCAAACAAATATCCCTTTATATAGCTCAATCTGGATTTTTCTTTTCATGGTTATTTATAATAAGAAAAATAAACAACAAACAATACAGCAGAAACTAAATCAAATAATAAACTGTGCACTTTGGAAAACTGTTTGGAGCCTCTACTAAGGTAAACATACATATTCTGCAAGCTAAGAGCTCCCTTCGTGGTTGATGTGGTTTGGTTGTTTGTTCCCTCCAAATCTCACATTGAAATGTGATTCCCAATGTTGGAGGTGATGCCTGGTAGCAGGTGACTGGATCATTAGGCTGATCCGTGATGAATGGTTTAGCACTATCACCTAGGTGGTAAGTGAGTTCTTACTTAGTTAGGTCACATGAGATCTGATTGTTTAAAAGAGTCTTGGAATTCCTTTGCTCTGTCTCTTGCCCCCACTTAGACCATGTGACACACCTGCTTCCCTTCACCTTCCACCGTGATTGGAAGCCTCCTGAGGCCTCACCAGGATCCAAGCAGATGCCAGCACCAGACTTCCTGTACAGCCTGCAGAACGATGGGCCAATTAAAGCTCTTTTCTTTATAAATTATACAATATCAGGTATTCCTTTATAGGAACGCAAAAACAGTCTAACACAATGGGTACATAGTTAAGTCAGTACAAACGTCCACCAGAAGAAATGTTCAAGGATGTTTATAACAGAATTCTCGTTATAGCCAATGCTGCTGGAAATCTTTCCAAATGTTCATCAATAATAGAATTGTAATCAATTTATGCTATAAAATACTAGTCAGCAATGAAAATGAATAAAATACTACTACTACAAAAAACAGTTATGAATCTCTCATAAATGTGATATTGAGTAAAATAAGAGATACATAAGATCATATGCTGTATGAATCCATCTATGTGAAGTTCAAAAGTAGACGAAATTAATCTGTCACAACAGAGTTCAGAATAGTGCTTCGTGTTCAGCAAGGAGTGAGAGTATTCACTGGCAAGGGGCACGTGAAACCCACTAGAGGACTTTAACTGTCTGTCAGTCACACACAGTACACAGATGAAAAAAATGCATCAGGATGTACATTTGATATGTGTGTACTTTACTACACATAGGTTATGAAACCACCTTTTGCAAAAATCCTGACAGTGAGAGAAATCTGCCATAGCTGCCTCCATCTTGTTTCTAACCTCAAAAGCTAACTGCCTTTGTTAACTTTAAAACAAAGATAACAGTCCCTTCCCAGATCTAATGCCTTCCTTACTGGGGGACTGAAACCGACTTTGTAAGGCTATTCAAAGGCCACAAGGTTAGGATTATGGGAGAGGCCTGATGTCTACTAAAATGTAAGTGTAGTTAAAAGATAACCAGCCATTGTTTTCTAGCTTGCTTTTCCATAGTCCCTTCCTGCTCAAGTCATGCAACCAGGGGTTACAAGATTTGTAACATCTCCAATTGCTGTCATAGATAACATCACAATTGCCAAAACCTAAGATTGGTCTTTGAGATACTTTTCAGATTTTTGCATTCTGGCGTCTCACTGGCTCCACTCAGACCTGTGACTCACAGCAAGGAACTGAATCCCACCTGGAAACACCCACCCAGAAACTGACTCAGCATGCAAAGACACTTTGTACACACCTATGATTTCATTCCCAACCAAGGAACAGCACCCATTCCCTAGCCCCGTGCCTGCAAAATTATCCTTAAAACCCTGGCCTCTGAGCTTTCAGGGAGGCAGATTTGAGAAATGTCTCCTGTCCTCTTGCTTGGCTGACATTGTGATTAAACTCTTTCTCTACTGCAACACCACAGTGTCATTTAATTGGCTTTATCTGTGCAGTGGGCAAGAGGAACCCATCAGACAATTGCAGTTACATTGCAATAAAAAAGAAAAAAAAACAATAAATTGTGATAGATACTAACATGTAATACTATATAGTCATTATAAATAATGTGCAAATGTAATAACAATATTAGGAACTTCAAGTGCAAAAAGCTTATATGAAAGAAGTAATCATTTTGGGAAAAATGACATAAAATTCAGCAATTTGTTATTAGTAACAATTTGGGGAAACAGGATGATTATGGATGACTTTATATTTCTTCTATGAAATTTTCTGTATTTATAAAAAAAAAAAATTTCAGGCATTTTTTTCAGGCATTTTTCCTTAACAGCTTTATTGAAATATAATTTACAAGCCATATAAAATCCTTGATTTTAAGTGTATGACTCAACAATTTGTATTGTATTTACAGAGCTATACAACCATTACATTAATCTAATTTTAGAAAATATTGCATCACTTCAAATAGAAACCCTGTGCTCATTCCCACCCTGGCCCTAAAAAACCAATAATCTGCTTTCTATCTTTAACGCTCTGCCTTTATTTCCTATAAATGGAATCATGCAATATGCATACCTGGTCTCTTTCACTTAGCATAATGTCTTGGGGGTTTGTACATGTAGTAGCATAAATTAGTTCTTTCTTCCTTTTTTGGACAACATTATTTCATTGTATTGATATACGACATTTTGTTTATCAATCCAATGTTTGATGGTATTTCGGTTATTTCTCCTTTTTGGCTATTATAAACAAAGCTTGTAGGGATGTTCACGTGAAAATCTTTGTGTAGCCATATTTTTCCGTTCTTGTAGATATATCCCTAAGAGTAGAATTGCTGAGTCATATGGTAATTCCATTGTTACATTTTAAGAAACTTCCAAACTGTTTTCCAAAGTGACGCCACCATTTACATTCCTACCTGCAGTGTATGTGAGCTCCAATTTCCCCACATCCTCACCAAATCTTGTTATTGTCTGTCTTTTGATTACAGCTATTCTAATAGGTGTGAAGTAGTATCTCATTGTGCTTTTGATTTGCATTTTCTTTATCACCAATGACGTTGAGCATCTTTTCATGTAAATACTGGTCATTCGTCTATTATATCTTCATTAGGGAAATAGCCATTCAAAAATCCGTTGCCTATTTTTGAAGTGGATTGCTTGCTTTCTCATTATTGAGCTGTAAGATTTCTTTCTGTATTCTGTATACACATCCCTTAGATATTGATTAGAAAATATTTTCTCACAGTCTGTGGGGTTTTTCTCTTTCTTGATTTGTGTCTTTTGAAATGCAAAAGTTTTCTGATAAAATTTCAAGTATTTTTAGTCAGAAAAATATATATAATTCAGAATATAACTATTTGGAGAAGGTAAATGCAATTAAAACTGTATTTATTACATACTCTACTTAAGATCACAGAAATGAAGAAGGTAATTGATACACAGTTGTAACAGAAGTGGTCGTAAATAGTATGTAGCATTACTATTTATAGACACACTTATCTGACGTTGATATTTTCCTGCCAGTTAACAAGTGGCTTAACCCAGTTAAAATGTCAGTTTTAAGTTGACCAGTGGAGTGGCATTAATGGTGACTATTTGAGATTCTATTAAGCCGGTAAAGGCATATAATTGAAGTCCACTAACACCTTCTTATTAAAATCTGAATATTATCATACCAGGAATCTTTTTAATTCTCATTAGGTCATTTTTTGAAAAAGTTCATATGATGTAGGAAAAAACTACATTTCTCCCATGAAGATATTTAAATTAATTCTCCCAAGGCTTTTAGTTATTGCTGCTCTGTATTTTTTTGCAAATTTATTCTGAAATAGAAAATTGCAAATAAATACCTGGTCAAAATAAGTATATTTCAAGTCCAATTTATGAAAGTCTCAAGGGAGACAATGTTATTTACTTTTTTAAAAACGAGTAACAAACTGATGTCTCAAATACTTCAGTTATTTTCAGAAAAGAATATACATTTAAGAATTTGAGCAGCGAAAATAATGTAAAGTGGATGTTTAAAAACACATTTAGAAGATCAGCCTTACAAATTTTTTTTCTTAAAAGAATCATCTTGAATCATCAGCAAAGAAACAAGATTGCAACCCAATTTTTTTTAAGTACTTGGGAAATATAGAACTAAGCCAATGTTAACTCCATGGAGGGGTCATATAATGCCAATAGTTAGAGGAAATACTGACGACCTGGAGGTGGTTTTATTCAGAAAAAGGATACTGTGCCCTACAGATGAAAATCAGATTAGAATTCCACTAGGAAACTGTTAAAATGAGCCCATCAATAATTTATACACTAAGATGTTCAATGAAATATTTTATTTTAACAAGGAACATTTGGTGTTGCATGTTTAATAAGGAACAAGCATATTTGGATATGTTACAGTGTCATCTTACAGTGGCCTGGTTTTTCCTCTTCAAATATTTATTACTAAATTATTGTACTCATCTAAACTGAACATCAGTTTATAAAGTCCCAATTATAAGAGTAAGTATTTGAGGATAATCCCTGTATATTTGCTGACCTGGCGATATAATATTTGTTCAGAGAGGCAAAGTGGTTATTGGTCTAGGGTATGTATTTTAAACATCTGAATTTTAAGATAAATTATTAGAACTTTTCCTCTATTCCTTATTGGTAGCTGTCTGTTGAACAAATCCCATGTAGAGCATCGATCCTGAGTATCCTTTTTCATCCATGAATTCAACAAATTTGGAAAATACTATGTGCTTTAACTGCGCATGTTACTATCACTTGTTGAGGACTTTTTCATGTATTATGTTAAGCACTATGTATATATTCATACAATAACCCTGCATGAATGAGTTAAGTGCTGTTATTAGCCTAACTTCACAGAGGAGGAAATTGAAGCGTAAACTGGCTCAGTAACTTTCTCAGGAGGTCATGGACAGTAAATAAATGGTAGAGCTGGCTTTTTGTCTTTAGAGTCTAGCTCTTAACAACCAGACTATACTACTACTTTACTACATATATAAGTGTCTTCCAAGCAAATGCAAGTCTACAATCCTTTATCTAAAACACAAGGGACAAAATTTGATTCTGCATTGAGAACTTTTCATTTATTTATTTAATCTATTATTTATTTATATTTTGTTAACAGTGTTTTAATTGACAAATTATAATTGTATGCATTTATGGGGTACAATGTGATGTTTTGATATATGTAGAAAGATAATGTAGTTATACTGTGAATCGATCATCTTACTACTTATGCAGTCAAATGTAGGGATGACCAGGATAGATAGCAGAATGACAATTTATTAATTTCAGAGAAAAAGTCCAGCTGTCAAATGAACAATACATGGGTCAGTGTACTGAGACGTTACCATTGCTATCAAGTAAAAGTTAAGCTCCATGCAAAATCAAGTCAAAATAAAAATAATCAGAATCAGAAAACATTTTATGAATATACCATGTAGTTTGTGTATACACATTTACATTCATATATATATTCATACCATATACATTTAGTTTACATATATAGTTTATACTCTTATATAAACTGGAATTAATCAAAGGCCATTGGTTGAGTCTTCAACTGCTTACTTAGGAATCATAGTATCATTCATAAATATGCAACAAACATGTAGAGCTAACCGAATCAAAAATGCTTTAGTGTCAGCTAATATTCATTCATTAATTCAATCAGCATTGATTGAACTCTAACAATATGTAGAGGCTGGGGATACTATAGTATATAACAGGACATACTGAATCTGATAAAGATATAACCTGATGTTTGACAAAGCATAAATCAATTCCTTCCATGATAGGTATTGTTTTACTTATTTAATAAAGACTTAGGTAAAAGACACTGTACTAAATGTTTTGCAAATATTAATTTGCTTAATTATTACAACCACCTAATGAGGTAGGTGTTATCCTAATCAGTAACTAGCTTAACATCATACAACCAGTCAATAATAAAGCTAGGAAACCAGTCTCTATAACGCCATAGGAATAGAACTGTAAACCCTCTTGGTCCCCTTTCTCATCCCTCCCCACCCCCTACCCCCACCCCCTCCCCACACACACACTTCATCATCTTCATAGAAAAGCACAAGGCCCTTGAACTGAGAGCTCCTCTCTCCAGGGCAGCATTTGGGAGCTGCCCATATTTCTCATGAACATGCTTTTCCTATGCCTCCTCTATTCGTTGACATTTTCTTTATTAAATAAAGTATATCAGGGACTTAATCTGAAATAATTTAGCATTTTTTCTGCCCTGATCAACATCATGTTGATTTTATACATTAAGCAGGCATGGTTAGTTGTGTCCAAGTATTTTTTCTCTGACTTTGTTCTAAGTAGTGATGTGCTTAAAGATACAGCTCCTCAAACTTTTTGCAATAAGGCATAGACCCATGACAATGTTCTCATCTATAAAAGGAAATGGGAATGTATTGCAGCCTTCATGAAAAGCTGTCATTTTCCTGAAGAAAAGAGATAGACTTGGATAGCATTTAAGGTAAGTGCCCTTTGCCTTTCTCCTGCCTGGAATGCACACCCAATGGCGGTAGCTTCAACAGCTGTGCTGAGACCAAAGGTAAAAGCTACATGGCAGAGGAAAGCAAAGCAAAGCTACAGATGCAAACTGAATCTACGCCAGAATCACGGAGCTACCTTTTCACTATTGGATTTCTTCAGCCCACTCACTATGTGAAAAAATAAATGCCCATTTGGCTAATCCACTATAGTAGAGTTTCTCTTACTCACCTGAAAACAATTATATATAATAAACTACTTTTCAATGGGAAATTATTGATGTCATTTCTTCATTCTCAGTGAACAACTTACTCTAACCATTAAGCATTCATAGTAACTTTTTATTTTTGAGATGGTCTTGTTCTATCACCCAGGCTGGACTGCAGTGATGTGATTGTGGCTCACTGCAGCCTTGAATTCCTAGGTTCAAGCAATCCTCCCGCCTCAGCTTCCCGGGTAGCTGGGACTACAGGCACATACCACCACATCAGGCTAATTAAAAAAAAAAAAAAAATCTTGTATAGACAGGTTCACACTATGTTGCCCAGGCTGGTCTTGAACTCCTTGCCTCAAACAGTCCTCCCACCTCAGCCTCCTGAAGTGCTAAGATTACAGGTGACAGCCACCATGCCTGGCCCATTTACAACAAATGGGCAAAATTGTATTAAAGCATGAGGTATATATATTAAGCAATTACATGCCAGCAACAACAAAAAAGATTACTCAGATTGCCTTCCCTATTTTTTCTCCTACTGATTCTTCCTTCTGGTTATTTTGCTATTTACTACATTTTACTAAATTACTGCTAGAGAAATAAAACATTGTCGTTTGAATGTAGGCAATTTTGTTATTGATCAGTTATTTGAAACAATGGTGGCCCTAAGAATAAAAATGGAGGCAGTGGAGACTAGGACTTTGACACATCCATGGAATAAAAGCAAATTGTGCAACCCTAATCTCAGATATCTGATTTGAATTCAAATAACTTGAGCTGTTTCTTAAGTTTATTTTTTATAAAAAGGACTGTGGGGTTTTCAAAAGGTAGCACATTGAAGTAATTTCTCAGTTTTTTAAAATCCCACTCATTAATTTTCAAGCATCTTTGGCTCAAAACCAACAATTTCCATAAATTCAATCTTCATTCGTATTATAAGTGGCTTTGCAGCAATGATGAAGGAAAGACTGGAATAGCCAACGGTCCAGATTATTGAGAAAGGTGGGGTGGCATGAAAAATGGTCACTGGCATATAATTTCACTTTTGAGAAACAGAAAACCTAGAGGGAAAAAATACAGACACTGAGGCCTCTGAACTGCCTCAGAAAGAGAAAAACAGTTTAGATTGCCCTGCTGCCGTAACAAGTAGCAGAGTTTATTTTTTTTTCTTTGTTTGCAGACTGAGGTCTGCAGAAAATAAATATCTGTAGCTGAGGGCATCTAGAGATAATGAACATCCAGAAGTGTGACTATACCCCAGGGTATTTTGGGAATCATCTTACTGACAGAAAAGAAAGGAGATAGAGCCGCAGAAAAAAAATTGTAGCAGTGGTGAAACAAAGGAGCGGCTACAAGAAAGAGCAGTGGACTAGTGAGGAATAGCATTTCCTCCCCACTCAGCAGCCACATCCTCTCAAGGATTATTAAGGAACAGTTAAATTCTACAGTATGCCCTTTAGCATCAGGAATGCTAAGCAAGCAGAGAAACTGTTGCAGTTCCACAAACTTGAGCTACATCTCTCTTCATTGTCTTCCTTCTGCTATATCCCCTTGTAGGGAGCACAGTGAGACCATCACACGCAGGAAAAATTGTTTCTTTTCTTTTTTTTTTAAGAAAATACCGACCATCCTGGCTAACAAGGTGAAACCCCGTCTCTACTAAAAATACAAAAAATTAGCCGGGCGCGGTGGTGGGCGCCTGTAGTCCCAGCTACTCGGGAGGCTGAGGCAGGAGAATGGCGTGAACCCGGGAAGCGGAGCTTGCAGTGAGCTGAGACTGCGCCACTGCAGCCCGCAGTCCGGCCTGGGCGACAGAGCGAGACTCCGTCTCAGAAAAAAAAAAAAAAAAAAAAAAAAAAAAAGAAAATACCTCTAGTGAATGGTAGAGAAAACTGGTGTTCATACCGGAAAACTCAAGTCAGTTATCTTCCTTTTTTATAAATTATAAAAATTTAATTTGGTTATTTATTTGCTTATTTTGTACCCTAAAAAGCAAATTTTGAATGTTCCTGAAGTTGAGATGTAGTCATTGCAAAAGGGTGAAGTGCCTGATGAATCAAGTAGGTAATTCAACTGCCTTTATTCATTCACATATGAATGTATTGGTTCCACAAATGTCTGTTTAGTATCTCCTATGCCTAAATCTCTATTCCAGGTGTTGGTCCACACAGACAGATGTACTGGACAAGGATACTGCCCTCAAGATGTGAAGGTATAGTAAAAGGCAAAAACACATGTCTATTTACAAGGAAATATACAAAGTAGGGAAAGACTTATGGCACAAAACTGTCCAGGGAAACAGAAGGAGAACACTTCTTGCCATGAGATAAAGGAAAACTTTAGGGACACATTGTGTCAATTTAAATTTAACGTTTTAACTGTAGAATTTAATTATGATGACAAAGGGGGAAGAGAAAGAAGACAGTAAGGTAAGGCATGCCAATTGCAAAGTGTATTGTTCCCATGGAGAAAAGTACGCATGTGTCTGGAGAGTAGCATTCATCAAAAGCCAAAAAGTGAAATGATTTCCCATTATTCATTCATACAGAGCCACTGTTATAAAGTTTGCATATCAACATCCTTTCATTGACTTGATATTTTTGATACAGTAACTGATTTTTAAATATCTATGTTTCTAAACTATTACAAACAAACCAAAATATAAGTATTATTTAACACAAATAGAAAATAGACATAAAATTAAACTGAAATAAAGCAATGTGATTAAATTCTCCCTAGGTTGTATTGACTGCCTAAGCTCAATCATCAGTGTTAAAAATGGAGATTAAGAGATAAAGAGGGATTAATACCTTCCAGTACCAAAAAATAATAAGTATGTTAGGTAATGGATATGTTAATTCGCTTGATTTAATCTTTCTACAGTGTATGCATATATCAAAATATCACATTGAACCCCATAAATATATACAATTATTTGACAGTTAAAACATTTTTTAAATACCCACTGGAACCAAACTAAGAGTTTGACCTTGACAAAAAATCAATTTATCATCGTTAAATGCTACTTAATGTTATGTCTGTGTTCCGTGAAAACGCAGCTCATATTTACCAAAATATAAGTGGCACACTTTGGAAAAATCAAGCTACAGAAGCAGGCGGACTTAGATTCAAATTCCAGCCCTACAATAAAATAACCAAATTATCCCATGGGCAAATTGATAAACTTTCCTGTAAAAGATAGCTCTTCTCTCTCCCCCCACCCCCATCTGTCTCATATATATGTATGAGGATATATAAATATTTATTCAGAGACATATATAAAAGAGAGTGAGAGACAGACATCCAAATAAATATCTATATCTTATTCTGTGTGTGTGTGTGTGTATACACATATACATTTATATAACATATACATAATATATATATACGGAGAGAGCGAGAGAGATGCCTATGTATACAGATATAGATATATCTATCTATCTACACCCAGATAAAGAGATTGCCATATACTTGGTATGCCATATAGAATTGCAAACAAAGTAAAAGTTGGAAACCAAATCATGGTAGTTCAAACATCACTAAAATTGTATATTCCTGAAGAAAAAAAATTATATCCTAACATTAATATAGTCTCAAAAACATTAAAAAAACAAATTTTTTAAACTTTTAAGTTCAAGGGTAGTACAGGTTTATTACATAGGTAAACTTGTGTAATGGGGGTTTGTTGTACAGATTATTTCACCACCCAGGTATTAAGCCTAGTACCCATTAGATATTTTCCCTGATCCTCTCCCTCCTTCCACCCTCCACCTTCTGGAAGACCCCAGTGTGTGTTGTTCCTCTCTATGTGTCCATGTATTTTCATTTAGCTCCCACTTACAAGTGAGAACATGTGGTATTTGGTTTTCTGTTCCCGTGTTAGTCTGTTAAGAATAATGACCTCCGGCTCCATCCATGTCCCTGTGAAGGACATGATCTCATGCCTTTTTACAGCTGCTAGTATTTCATAGTGTACATGTATCACATTTTCTTTATCCAGTCTATCATTGATGGGCATTTAGCTTGATTCCATGTATTTGCTACTGTGAATAGTGCTGCAATGAATATAAACATGCATGTGTCTTTATAATATGATTATTTCTATTCTTTTGTGTATATACCCAATAATGGGATTGCTGGGTCGAATGGTATTTGTCTTTAGGTCTTTGAGGAACTGTCACACTTCTTCCACAATGGCTGAACTAATTTCCACTCCCACCAACAGTGTATAAGTGTTTCTTTTTCTCCACAACGTCACCCAGCATGTGTTATTTTTTGACTTTTTAATAGCCATTCTGGCCAGTGTTAGATGGTATGTCATTGTGATGTTGAACTTTCGTGCATATGATTGTTGACCACATATATGTCATACCTTGAAGTGTCTGTTCATCTCCTTTGCCCACTTTTTTATGGGTTATTTTCATGTAAATTTGTTTAAGTTCCTCATAGATACTGGATATTAGACCTTTGTCAGATGCATCGTTTGCAAATATTTTATCCCATTCTGTAGGTTGTCTGTTTACTCGGATAGTTTCTTTTCCTATGCAGAAGTTCTTTAGTTTAATCCCATTTGTCAATTTTTGCTTTTGTTGCATTTGCTTTTGCCATCTTTGTCATGAAATTTTTGCCCATGCCTATGTGCTGAATGGTACTGTCTAGGTTGTCTTTCAGGGTTTTTACAGTTTGGGATTTAACTTTTAAGACTTTAATTCATCTTGAGTTAATTTTTGCATACGGTATAAGGAAGGGGTCCAGTTTCAATCTTCTGCATATAGCTAGCCAGTTATCCCAGCACTGTTTATTGAATAAGGGATCCTTTCCCCTATTGCTTGTTTTTGTCAGGTTTGTCAAAGGTCAGATAGTTGCAGGTGTGAGTCTTATTTCTGGGTTCTCTATGTTGTTCCATGGTCTGTGTGTCTGTTTTTGCGCCAGTACCATGCGGTTTTGGGTACTGTAACCTTATAGTACAGTTTGAAATCAGGTAGTGTGATGCCACCAACTTTAAAACATACAAATTATCTTGCTTAGTGGCAAAAGGAATACAAAGTGTCAATTAAATTTTAAACTCATGAAGATTCCAATCTAAGTGTTAATCAATATGTATCATTACATATATAAACATATATAAATTTATTTTAATTTCAAAAGATTTTGGAATAGGTTATATCATTGTCTTATCAAGCACATGTTTAGAAATCTTAAATAATGCTTTGTCTAATATTTTCCAGGTGAAAAAGAAACAATCAAATAACTAGCTGGCATCTATGTACCTCATCAAGCAATAATTTGTCTCTTTTTTGGGCGGGTTCCCCCAGAGATTTTACTGTTCTGTTTTTAGTTTGGTAAAATGACTAAATATTTGGGTATTCTGGCAAAAGAGCATAAATGACTGCTGTTGACAGTCAAGACTCAATTATCCATATGCAAATAATTTTTGATGTATTCGTTATCCCAGTCTGCCATTATCCTTCTGCCAAACAGTTTTCTAGGCCAATTTCCTCCACTGCTGATTGGGATATACTTAGGAAATTCACACTTGTTTCAACATAAGCCTCAGCAAATTCTAATTAGGTGAGTCTGCTGAAACAAAACAGAGTCAAACTAAATAATGCATTCCACAACCAAGTATCGATTGTAGTGGAGGATATAAGCTTGCAGGCCGCTATCCACTGGCAGGGATACATGAAAGCTACATTTAATCTTCATTTTATCCTTGAGTATATATGAACATAAATGGAGGAATAAAGCACTCCATTCTCACATTTGCGCTTCCTATGCTAAGTGTTCATGTAAAAAAGATAGTTAAGAAAGTATTCATATATCCTTATCATCCATGGTATTAATAAAGCTGATTTGCCATTCTTGCCTTTCGTTATCATCTCATTATGGAAATCATGCCATTCTCGACTTCTATTCACCTTCACCTCTTTCTCGTGAGAAATGAAAACAAAATGGGTACATCCTACTGTGATGATGTGAGTTTATGGCTCACATGATAATCAGTAGTTGGATTGTCTGTCTAGTGGTTCTAATTGAAGAGAAGTTGACACCACCCTTAATAGGAAACAATGTATCATTCTCTAATTATAGCAACTTTCATTTTCTGAGTATTTATTATGTGCCAGATACTTTGCTAAGCATTCAAGTGAATTATCTTATATAACACTTACAACAACACTCTAAGGTAAAAACTGTAGAAATCATCATTTGACAAATGAGGAAACAGATTCAAACATCTTTCCCATGCCCAAAGACATAGTAAGAAAGTGGCAGATGCATGACTTAAACCCTGGCATGCCTGACTCCAATACCCAGTTTCTTCATCACTTTACTCTTCATCTCCTTTCCCATTTCCAGATCCATGGACACCATAACACGAAACCATCATAGACTGGAAACATTAATGAAGATCAGCAACAGGTAAACTCAGAGGCTCACATCCTCAAATTTGTGATTGAAATGTCAAGCCCTCACAAAGCATAGAAACAGAAGCTGGAAATTATCTGGTGGCTGGAGGACAATGGGATAAAGGCCAGAAACTGGAAGATCATATAATCCTCCATACAGATTTCTGTGTTGGCTATCTCAAGGTCGCTGCTTAATTTTGTTGTCTTTTCTAATTTATTTACTCAAAAAAGGTCACTTCAAACTCAATGTCTGCTTAGTGGTGACATACTGACTTTTAGCAGAATTTCCAACTGGATTGACTAAAGCTTGAGAAGGTCAATGACAATGAGTCAAAGGCCTTGGCCACACTGAAGTGGAGACTGCATTTAGCTCTCACTGCTTTTTGCTTTTATTAATCACATCCACTATTTGTTTAGCTTAATACTGTGATTCATCAGACAAAATTCCTTATGTTAGGCTGAATGATTAAAAGATTCAATACTCCTTCCCATCTAACTTCTGCTATAACCAAACTGTAATCAAATTTCAATTAAACAATATCCATTGGAAAAAAAGAAAGTTGATTTTATGTAAGAGTTGATTATCCCTTGAGAAGTGGCCACTCTACCTCTCTGAGTCCATGTGGTTTGAGTAATTCCCACCCAATTCTGGCAGCTGAGTGGGTGAAGAAAGATGAGACATAGGACCCAGCCTTGCTCAATCAGCGTTTTCCATTCCATGGTCATACCAATGGCTTCAAAGATGGGTATATGACCCACACGAGGCAATTATACTCGATTTTAGGACTTTTGCTGAAACTTTTGGAAACGCAGCTGCATAACAGGATGGCGAAATGTAATCTTGGAGCAGCTGATCACCATCCTGCCCCCAAATGGAAAAAGACTGCCCAAGAAGTCTCTTGGGCACACACGTGACACACACACACGCACACACACACACACACCAGGGCAAAAAGATATAGAAAAATCCCTATAATGCTACTTGAGTCCATAGATTGAGCTGACATTATGTCTAACCCTGAGTCTCTTGAATTATAAAAGACAGTGGATTTTTATCTTTTTTTTTTCCCTTGGGCCAGATTAAGGAGGAGATTCTGTTTATTGAAAGCAGAAAAATTCTGACTAATAACTAAAATAATTTTAGCTTTTATCCTTTTTAAAAATATTTCTAAGTGAAGATTTCTACTTTGCTGCCATAATAAATATTAATATCATAAATTGTCTTACAAAGTTAGGATCTTACACAGGATAAAATCCTATATCTCAAACTGATAGATGAGGGAGGAGGAGGAGATTGGCTCCAGTTTTTTTCTGTTTTTCTTTTTCTTAGTTCTGAAGCAGCTCTGGAAGTAAGGACTTTTGAAATAAATATCAGGCATGCATTTATTTCTAGTCACTTTCCATTTTCTATAACAATTGAAGAGATTAAAAAATGTTTATACATCAACATATAATTGCTAAATAGCTTTTCTGAATGGTAGGAACAGAGGTAATTTTGTTAATAGTTCTTGAAAGCCTATCTTCTTGTTAAGCAAAGCTAGTTTACAATGAACCTGATCTCTCCTCTAAGCAATGTGATCCCACCCATGCCTCAACTTCCTAAAAGCTAGATAGACAGACCCCTGTCATATCTAATTTGGTGAAAAAGAAATTAGAAGAAGATATAGTACCAGCCAATCACCTTGGGTCATATAAAAGAAGTGACCACTCTACCTCTCTGAGTCTAGGTGGTTTGGGTAAATCCCACCCAATTCTGACAGCTGAGTGGGTGAAGAAGGATGAGACATAGGGCCCAGCCTTGCCCAATCAGCATTTTTCATTCCATGAACTTAATTCCATTAAGCCATACTGATGGCATCAAAGATGACCATAAATCTTTTTTCTAGGCAACCAAACCAACAATTGAAAACCAAATCATCAACAAGACAAAAAAGAAGAAAGAAGCTGTCTGAGATAATTATTTGGATGTTTGATCATATAAATGTAACAGAAGCACAGATTCCCTGACCCTCAGTGGCCTCAGGGACCATCTGGCAATGCCTTCATTCTACTTTTTCTCACTCTATTTTTCAGCAGCAGCAGAAAAATCTTTAAATCAAATCAAATCATTACATATCCCTATTGACAAAGACCCAACACTTTCCCACTATGCTTAGGATAAAGTAAAATATCTTCAACTGAATCTATTAGACAATACATGTTCTGCCTCATGCCTACCCATTTTCTGCCTCTCTCTAGACTATCTGATGGTTTTATTCTCTGATTTTTCTCATTTTCTAACACGTCAAGTTCCTTCCAGCCTCAGGCCTTCTTTATCTGTTGCCTTCTCCGTTTTTAATTTTTTTTAGCCATTTTTCACCTGGTTAAGTCCAACTCCTCCCATGAATCTCAACTTACAATTTACTTAGAAATTTTCTTTAGCATGGATAAAATAATTTAGATCCCTCTTATATTTTAATTCAACATTCTCTATTTCCATTCCCAACATTTTATATAATCTTTAATTATATATTTAACATGTACATTTTCTTTAAATATTTGTTTTCCCACTAGTCTTTAAGCTATGAGGTCAGGGGCTGTGTTTGTTTTATAACAAGCTGAAAGTTCTGATGTACGGTATGTGTTCAATGAATTTGTTCAAAGAATTATCAAATAACTGAGAATATCTAAGTATCTTGCCCTTAGAGCTAAAAATTTGTTGATGTTTCCATATTTTGACCCATAGTGTCTTAGTTTGATTTTCTATAATAAAATACCATATAACATTTATAAAGTAGCTTATAAACAACAGAAACTTATTTCTCACAGTTTTGAATACTGCAAAGTCGGAAATCAAGGCATGGGCAGGTTCAGTGTCTGGTGAGGGGTCATTTCTTGGTTCACAGATGGCTGTTTTCTCCCTGAGTCCTTATGGGTGGAAGAGCTGAGGAAGCTCTAGGGTTTCTTTTTTTTAGGACACTAATCCCATTCACAAGGGTTTTACCTGCATGACTTAATCACTTCCCAAAGTCCCCATCTCCAAATATCATCACTTTGGGGATGAGGTTTAACATATGAATTCTGGGAGCACAGAAACATTGACTCCACAAAACATAGTATTTTAATATCTCTTTAACATGTGTTTATAACTAGTGAAATATGGGTGTATATACGTATGAATCATAATTATTTGTATATAACTATAATTTATTTTCAATTTTCTGCTGATTATGTTAATGTTCAACTGCACATTGTAACACATCATACTGTGAAATGAGATACAAAATAAAACAACTGAAAGTATCAGAACTGTGTAAACTATATGTTATTTTGTGTACTAGTGTTTTATATAGGCATGTACATACATATGTGTATTTATATATACATATATACATACATACATGCCCATCTAAATATTCATGTATAGGTATAGTGAGTGGCAATGTAAAATATATTTCTTGTCATGAATTGTAATCAAAATGCTGGGAAAATACTACACCATGTTTATCTTTCAAAGATGGGGCCTCATTAGCTTCTAATTGTTTCTTAGTATCTTTTTTTTCCTCTAGTCCACCAATGTATTTAAAAATGTCATTGTTCAGTAACTTTTTTTTTTTTTGAGATGGAGTTTTGCTCTTGTTGCCCAAGCTGGAGTGCTGTGGTGGGATCTCGGCTCACTGCAACCTCTACCTTCTGGTTTCAAGCGATTCTCCTGCCTCAGCCTCCCAAGTAGCTGGGGTTACAGGCACCTGCCACAACGCCCAGCTAATTTTTGTATTTTTAGTAGAGACAGGGTTTCACCATGTAGGCCAGGCTGGTCTTGAACTCCTGACCTCGTGACCCCTCCCCCCACCTCGGCCTCCCAAAATTTTGAGATTACAGGCGTGAGCCACCTTGCCCAGCCCCTATCTTTTATTTTGCATCAATTTGTTACCCAAGATGGTAGAATTAATTTGGAATTTACAGCCAACTAAATTTGGATTCAAGACCTAGTTCCTTGGCTGGGCACGGTTGCTCACACCTGTAATCCCAGCACTTTGGGAGGCTGAGGCAGGTGGGAGGCATGAGGTCAGGTGTTCAAGACCACTCTGGCCAAGATGGTGAAACCCCATCTCTACTAAAAATTAAAAAATTAGCCAGGTGTGGTGGAGGGTGCCTGTAATTCCAGCTACTTGGGAGGCTGAGGCAGAGAATTGCTTGAACCCAGGAGGCGGAGGTTGCAGTGAGCTGAGATTGTGCCACTGCACTCCATCCTGGGCAACAGAGCAAGACGCAAGACTCCATCTCAAAAAAAAAAAAAAAAAAAAAAAAGACCCGGTTCCTCCATTTTGCCAGTTTTAGAAATTTAAAAAAATAATTAAACCCCTTTGATCTTCAGTTTCTCAATTTACCAAATGAGAATCATCTTAGAAACTTTAAAAGATTGTGGAAAGCTAAATAAAATAGTAAGCTCTCCGAGGATAAAGACCATCCCTGTTTTATACACCTCTGTATTTTCAACACCTAAAGCAATGCCTGACACAAAACAAGCACTCAATAAATACTGGTTGGTATAACTATAATACATGTATAATCAAGCACAGTGTCTGATATACAATACTTAATTAAAATATGAAGAATTATTCCTAAACATTAATAGCAAGGGTGTTACTTTAAGTCAAATAATGGACATGAAAAATGGGAATATTTATCCGAAAGAGAAGCACTGCTTACATTCTATGCAAAATTTAATAATGGAAGGTATACAGATTCTAGGAATAAACAGAGAATACCAAAACCAATACTTGAACTCTCTCTATATACGGACATTGTTTAAATAGATATCACAAATAGCAAGAACCGTAATACAAAGCCCAAGTTATCAAATCTATCCAAAGGCTTAAAAGTTCTAAATTTTCCATTTTCTCCAAGAAATTATATACACACATAAAATTTGTTTATATACAAATGATACATATATACACACACATACATGTGTATACCTCCTCTTTCTTGTGTATACACACACATATAACAAACACACACTAAAAATTTACTTCTTTCAGGCCCTCAGAGAAAGACTGCCCACAGAGAAACTAGTTCATAGCTTAGGAGAAAAAAAAAGTGTGGACATGTAGGTCCAGGGAACAAGTACTTCTTGGGTGAGGTTTGGGAAGACTAAAAAAAGAATTATAAACGAAAGGAGAATAAAAGCTTGCACTTAAAAATCCTTTAGGAACTTGACTTCTATTTCCAAATAGTCTTATGTTGCTATGGTTTTCAAAAGTCACTATTTCAGAATCTGTCAGGTTTTAATTAATAAATTAACTGGACTCTTAGTAGAGGCCAATATTCAATGAAAATGAAAGAAAATTAGCAGAAAGAAAATTACCTTCACAGAAGGTATTTTCTAAAACCAAACCATCTGGATTTAAATTTCAGTTCTGACACTTATAATAAGTGAGACCGTAGGCAAAGCACTTATCCTAGCCTGGTCTCAGATATCTCATCTCTAAATGGGTTACTACCAATGGCTTGCAAGAAGGATAAAATGAGAGAATCCAGGTAAAGCCGTAAGCTTAGGAGTTGGCATGGAGGAAGACTCAACACATATTTGCTAGTGTTATTACTGTTATAATTATGATTATCATTATGAACCCCTTTCTTCTAATCTGATGAATCTGAAGTCTTACAGTATTAATTTAGTGTTTTCTAATGAGTAATGATAAAAAAAAAATTAAGCCTCTTGTAATTTAGACTATGTCTCCTCAGGTAACCAAAAAAAAAAATTTAAAAGTATCTGGAGAATTCATTTAAAGTAGCAAACAAATGAGACTCATTCAAGAGATCAGCTCTCTTTCTCCACATATAACATATCTAAATTATGTGGACACTAGAGAATTCCCACTAACTTCCCATTCATTCTTAATTTTGCCTTTGGAGTCAGACAAATTTAGATTGATTCCTGATTTCACCACTCTCTAGCCATGTTACTATGTGCAACTTCATTGACTTCTCTGAGCTTGAAGGCCCTCAACAGCAAAAATGGGATAATAGTAATGTTTTTCTTCATGTGCTCCAAGAAGCAGACCCTGAGCTACAGCTTTGAGTGCAGGTTATATGGAAAGAGTTGAGAGCACCAGGAGGAAGTGGAAAGGTGGTAGAGGGAAGGAAAGGCGGCCAGCAGACAGTGTGATGTTAACTCTGCTACCACAATGGGCAACGGAAGCTTAATCCCTTAAAGGAGAAATGGTGCTACTGCAAAACTCAAGCATGAGAATCACCCTATTCTCAGGAAATTTGTAACTCATGAAAGTCAATGGGTGAGGGCTGCTATCCAGGGCTATTAAATCCAAGCCACATCTGGCTGGCTGAACACTCGTGTGGGCAGCAAGGCTTCCTGTAGTTGGTTGTGAAGGTTAGGGATGGGTGAAGAACTCTCACACACAGAGAAGGCTAGAATATGCCAAAAGATCCAAGAGATACAGGCATGGAACTGAGAATGTGTGCGGTAAAAGGGAACAACCTAACGAGGCTTTAGGGAGGAACAAGTGAGATGTTGCATAAAAAGCATTTAGCATTGTAATTAGTAAAGTGCCTAGCACATAGTAAGCATTTAAAGAATATTAGCTTCATGAATGTGGCAAAAGAAGGAAATGTTGATCTAGGTTTTGGACCCCTTTTAACGTAGGCCAACGTAATTTATTTTCTGTGTGTCCAGTGTAAAATCATTCTCTTGTGAAACCTACAAAACCAATATTTTTAATAGAACACACCTGCTGGGTGCAGTGGCTTACACCTTTAGTCCCAGCTATTCAGGACGCGCAGACAGGAGGATCACTTGTTGAGGCTGCAGTGAGCTACAGTTGCACCACTGCACTCCAGCCTGGGTGACAGGGAAGCAATAGAGAGAGAGACCTCATTTCTAAAAACATTAAATAAATAAATAAATAAATAAATAGCACACACCTTTCTTAGCTAAAACATATCTCCTTTAACGTTTCATTATACATGTATGTCTAAATTTAATGTTTTAGTTTCAGTATACTGGGAGATCTAAGTTCGAATTATATTCAATTCAACACTGCACTTATCTGTTGAGCACCTACTATGTGCAAGGCAGCATGCTAGGTATTAGAGATACACATATGAAGAAGACAAAATGCATCAAAATGCATATGTTCTTTTTTTTTTTTTTTCTTTTTTTTTGAGACGGAGTCTCGCTCTGTCACCCAGGCTGGAATGCAGTGGCACAATCTCAGCTCACTGCAAGCTCCGCCTCTTGGGTTCACACCATTCTCCTGCCTCAGCCTCCCAAGTAGCTGGGACTACAGGCTCCCGCCACCACGCCTGGCTAATTTGTTGTATTTTTTAGTAAAGATGGGGTTTCACCGTGTTAGCCAGGATGGTCTCAATCTCCTGACCTTGTGATCCTCCCACCTCGGCTTCCCAAAATGCTGGGATTACAGGCGTGAACCACCGCCCCCGGCCAGAAGACAAAATGCGTATGTTCTTAAAGAGTTATCCCTAATGATATATTTTCTTAAAAACTTTCAGTATGATGGGTGATGATTGATATATGCTATCTCCATTAGTTTCTTCTCTTTCAGAAAAACTGACTTTTAGTAAATACCACAAGAATAGTTTAGCTACAAAACATTTTATTAATATTAAATGATTCAAGGAGCCAAACAATTGCTTAGATGCATTTTAAGCAAAACTTTACCAAGCACAAAATTAAACCTATTCTGTTATCAAAGCTTACCTTCTCAACATCATTAAAACCAAATAAGCAAAAACACTATTTAAGGTGCTTGTGGGATTTTGTTAGGTTAAAAGATAATAACGATAAAACCTGATATTTGAATTCAATTGTTAAGAAAGTAGACGTCTCTGCAGGTGATGTTGTTTATTTTTTTATTTCTCAGAAATTCAGCTTATTCCTGTTACTAGTCAAATAATTCTAAAATGTTTATTTGAAAACGAAACCTACAAAAGATTTTTCAGTGTGTCATTTGAGCTGACTGAGGGTTTCAATATCATGAGGGCAAACACCCCAATGTTCAAAGGAGAAAAACAATGAGGATGGTAAAAAGCATATGGTTAAATGTGTCACTTGCTTCTGGTAAGGATCAGAAATCAAAACCGCTTTCCTCAATAATTTTCTTAAGAAATTGGAGAACTCAAAACAGGGAGAAACATATTATGATCTGTTCAGATTCAGATCAGAAATGTTCATATTTCAAACACTTCACTCGCTCTTGTATCAAGATTATATGAGCTGTAACTTGGCTGAGTGCTCTGGAGAGGGAAGATGGAAGAGCTAACACTTTAGAAATAGATTCAATAGATATTATTTCATTTTACCCACAAAACCGTTTGAGAGATCAAAACTTTTGGCCACCTCTTTGTATATAAAATGCTCAACATGTTTGGCCTTGAATTTTAAAGAAAATGATCCACTGTTTTTACAGTAACCAAAGTTGCATTTTCTCTACTCCTTAGCAAGGCTTGAGCAACCAGGAGCAGGAAGTCGAATAAATTAATGCAGAAATGGCCACGCTGCAAGGGACTCAGGCCAATTTAAAAAGCCACAAAGAGACAAGAGTTTCATCATCTTTCATACAAGATTTCCTCCAAATGGTAGTTGTCAGCTGCAACAGATGAAGCCACATGTCTGAACAAATCCTTATATTTACAACTCACTCCATCCTTTCTTCGAACCATACTGTGCCCTCCACCCAGATTTCTTCTCAACTTTTTTCAACCTTCTTCTGAGGCAGTGTTGGCTAGAAATCCATGGCTCTGTGGAATTACAGTCGACTGACTTTGCATTTGGCTTTTCTCATGATCATATTGGTAAAGGGACAGCAGGGGGCACGCCATGACAGGCCAATGGAGAGTGGGCTGCACAGTCTAAGCTTAATTCATCGCTTTTTCCATTTGGTTAAGCCACTCTCTTACCACAATGAGACTATAATTACTCCACAGTCTCCTCTTTTTCATCTTGCTTGTTTTTCTCTCAGTGTCTAAGTCACAAATATTCTCTTTAACTCCCTGATTTTTAGTTCAATTAATTAACATGTAAAAATCCCTAAGCATATTTAATCTCATAATTATAAAATCTCATAATTTACTAAATCTCTTACCAAACAACAACTCTATTGAGAACCCCACATGATGGGAACTGTTCAAAGAACATCCATGTGTTCAAATAATTACTTCTCAGAAAAGTCCCGTAGGGCAGTCACTAATATTATTCTTGTTTTATTGAATAGTATACAGAGGGGTAAAGAGGTTAAGTAACTCTCAGTAAGAGTTGGCATTGGGATGCAAATCCAAGCATTCTAAATGCAAAATCCACTTAATTACAATATTTACATTACATATATTAAATCCCTTCACTCTAATACAAAAATAAAATTCTAAACAGCATTATTCATCACCCCATAGGATACCTGGGAATCTTGCGGAGGTAAGCTCTGGCAGTACATTTAGATAGTTTAAAATCAAATGTGTACAAGGTCATGTCTAGGCAGGTAAACTAGGGGTGGCCACCGTCTCCTGCACCAATCATTGCCTCTTTCCTCCTCACCCCCTTACTCTACAAGCAGAACCTTCCCAGATCATTTTCTGAAAAGCTCGTTTCCAACAACCCCTGAAGAGTGAGTGGCAGTGGATTGGACCTCACTCACATAAGATCATCAAGGATCCAAGTTAGGTCCACCAAATTCTCTACCACAGAGATCGTGGAAGTGGGTTTAAGAGACTCACGTGGGCTCTGAGATTGAAAGGGGATTTATGAGAGGGTTAGGATAGCTTTTTTTTTAACCTGTTTAACTCTTTTAGAATTTATTTTTTTAATTGACAAATAAAAATTATGTATATGTACAACATGATGTTTTGGTATATGAATCACTGTGGAATAGCTAAATTAAATGATTAACATATGTATTGCCTCATTTTGTGGTGAGAACTTATCATTTTTGTGGAAGAACACTTAAATTCCACTCTCTTAGCAATTTTCAAGTATACAATATATGGTTATTAAGTATAGTCACCATGGTGTACAATAGATCCTTGAACTTATTCCTCTTGTCGAACTGAAATTTTGTATCCATTGACCAACATCTTCCTAACTCTCCTTCCTGTCCAGCCTCTGGTACCCACATTCTACTCTTTGCTTCTGTGAGTTCAACTTCTGTAGATTCCTTTTTTAAGTGAGATCCTGAATGGTACTGCCTAGGTTTTCTTCTAGGGTTTTTATGCTTTTGGGTTTTACATTTAAATCTTTAATCCATCTTGAGTTAATTTTTGTATAAGGTGTAAGGAAGGATTCCAGTTTCATACCATTCAGGACATAGGCATGGGCAAAGACTTCATGACTAAAACACCAAAAGCAATTGCAACAAAAGCCAAAATTGACAAATGAGATCGAATTAAACTAAAGAGCTTCTGCATACCAATAGAAACTATCATCAATATGAACAGGCAACCTACAGAATGACAGAAAATGTTTGCAATCTACCCAGCTGACAAAGGTCTAATATCCAGAATCTACAAGGAACTTAAACAAATTTACAAGAAAAAAAAACAACCAACCCCATCAAAAAGTAGGCAAATGATATGAACAGACACTTCTCAAAAGAAGACATGCGGCCAACAAACATATGAAAAGAAAAGCTCATCATCACTGGTCATTAGGGAAATGCAAATCAAAACCACAATGAGGTATCATCTCACACTAGTTTGAATGACAATTATTAAAAAGTCAGGAAACAACAGATGCTGGCAAGGATGTAGAGAAAAAGGAATGCTTTTACACTGTTGGTGGGAGTGTAAATTAGTTCAACCATTGTGGAAGACAATGTGGAAGACAGTGTGGTGATTCCTCAAGGATTTAGAACCAGAAATACAATTTGACCCAGCAATCCCATTACTGGATATACCCGAAAGATTATAAATCATTCTACTATAAAGACACATGCACATGTATGTTTATTGCAGTATTATTTACAATAGCAAACACTTGGAACCAGCCCAAGTGCCCATCAATGATAGAATGGATAAAGAAAATGTGGCACATATACACCATGAAATACTATGCAGCCATAAAAAAGAATGAGATCATGTCCTTTGCATGGAAATGGATGAAGCTGGAAGCCACCATTCTCAGTAAACTAACACAGGAACACAAAACCAAATACTACATGTTCTCACTCATAAGTGGGAGTTGAACAATGAGAACACATGGACATGGGGAGGGGAACATCACACCCTGGGGTTTGTCGGGGGGCAGTGGGGAGGGACAAGTGGAGGGAGAGCATTAGGACAAATACCTGATCCATGTGGGCCTTAAAACCTAGATGACAGTTTGATAGGTGCAGCAAACCACCATGGCACATGTATACCTATGTAACAAACCTCCTCATTCTGGACATCTATCCTAGAACTTAAAGTAAAATTAAAAAAAAAATAAATTTTTAAAAAGTGAGATCATGCAGTGTTTGTCTTTGCCCCTGGCTTATTTCACTTAACATAAAGACCTCCAGTATCAATGTTGTCGAAAATGACAGGATTTCTTTCTTTTTTAAGGCTAAATAGTATTCCATTATGTAAATGTACCACATTTTCTTTATCCATTCATCTGTTGATGGACACTTAGGATGATTCTACAACTTGGCTGTTGTGAATAGTGCTGCAATAAACACAGGAGTGCAGGTATCTCTTCACCTACCAATTTATTCCTTTCAATACACCCAAGAATAGGACTGCTGGATCATACAGTAGTTCTATTTATAACTTTTGAGAAATTTTCACACTGTTTTTCATAATGTCTGTACTAATTTATATTCAGGGTGGCCATTATCTGCCAAGTGCTTGAAGAAACAGAAAAGGCCTAACTGCAGAGACAAGGAAGAATAAATTACATCAACAGAGATGAATAGAAATGAGATCGCACTTGACTCTTGAAAAATGAAAAGCATAGTTTTAGTTTTTAAATTCATAATTTCCAGTTCCAGTCCCTTGAACCTGTGTGTATTTGTGGCTCCTAAATTCTTAAGACATCCCAATCCTCTCAAATAGTTACACACACACACACACACACACAGAGAGAGAGAGAGAGAAACACACATACTTTTTTTCTAAAACATAATCAAATTTCACTAAGTCTCTGTTACTTGGAACCAAAAATTACCAAAAACAAGAATGAAAGTTGTCATAGCATAAATAGCAGTGAAGCCAATTCTTTGTGGAGTCCAGCCATCACAACAAAGATGATACATTAAAAAACTCAAACACCCCGTAATTTTATGTGTTTGCCAAATATCCCACTGACCCTTATTTCATAAAATAGATACATGCCCTTCTTTTGCTTGCACTGGTCTGCTGGGGCAGAAGTCTCTAGGATTGGCTTCAGCATCATAAATTAGGGCTAAGAAATGATAGAACATCTAGTAGACCATGTTAAAGTCATAAAATTCAGAGCGTCAACATCTAGTAAGCCAGAAATCTGAAATTAGGGATCCAAGTTAATCACAAGAATCCTATGATCCAAAGCCCTATGAAAAAAACCCTATATGTATCTGGTTTAGAAAATGTTATGCACAGGTTACCAAAGGACACCTGCGGGGTGAGGGACATGTGGTCCCCCTATAAATGTAAACTTGTGTTAGGAGCCGAATGTGGTTCTTTCCGTCATTAAATGGTTACATCATTGACTAAATAATTACTTCCATACCAGATAATGTGTTAATACAATGTAAGGTAAGCACTATGACTTTGAGGATAAGGGTGCAGTTCCCCAGAGCCAGATGGATGTGATATTGATAAGGTTGCCCCTGGGTAGCGGTACAACCTCAAGAAGTTGCTCAAGGACTTTGATCCTGTCTCCTGGCTCTAAAATTAGCACAATGTAGCACCCTTTTCATAAGTTTGTTGTGAAGACTAAATGAGATGATGCTTTTCAAGTTCCTAGGGAAACCCCTCGTGCAGAGTAAGCGCTTCTTAATGTGAGTCATCTTCACCAGCTGCCCTGTTAAGAAGTCCCCGCCACTTTTCATTGTCATTTATCGAATTCAGGAAATAAAAATTGCTCCTTTTTTTTTCTTTTTTTTAAGATGGAGTCTCGCTCTATCGCCCAGGCTGGAGCGCGGTGGCACGATCTCAGCTGACTGCAACCTCCGCCTCCAGGGGTTCAAGCAATTCCCCTGCCTCCACCTCCTGAGTAGCTGATACTACAGGCACATGCCACCATGCTCGGCTAATTTTTTGTATTTTTAGTAGAGACAGGGTTTCACCGTGTTAGCCAGGATGGTCTCGATCTCCTAACCTCGTGATCCTCCAGCCTCAGCCTCCCAAAGTGTTGGGATTACAGGCATGAGCCACCAGGCCCAGCTGCTCCTCTTCTCTTAACCCACTTATTTCTATCATGGTTTATTTGTTACAAACATGTCTTTTCTCAAGCTAAACATTTAAGACCAAAGTCTTTCTTTTTTTCTTCCCTTTTCATGCAGATCCTATTTCCTACCACCTCAGATCCTGGATTCCCAGAAACATGGGCTTCATAGGATTAAGAAATCCTTGAGAACTTATGTGGAATTAAGTGGGCTTTCTTGTTCTTTCCTCCTTTGAGAATGCCTCCTGCGATTACATCGATGCGCCTTAGCTCATCTTGTAAGCAAATGTTGAGTAGGTTAACATACTAACCTTATGATGTGGGAGGTTTGACCTCTGAAAGCAGGAAACCTGAACCCACTTTGTTATATGAAAGGGGAGTACTGACACTTGGTTCAGGTTGCCCTTGGGACCTACAAAATTGACCTGAGGGCAGGAACTTCCAGAACACAGAAAAGACATAATTTTAGAGCCTGTAACCCCCAGATGTTGTTGACTATGTTCAAACTTTATCTTACAAAATAGCTTTCCCGCATTTCTGTAGGTGATTCATAGATATCCTGTGGTTTTCAACACTTTCCGTCGTTATTCTGAAAACCAGGTGTGAGGTCATATGGCAGTTACACTATGACATTTTCCAGTTTTAATCTCCAGCATACTCCCTAATTAATATAAAATGCTTAATAGGTGAGAGGATATTTTCTGTACTAAACCAGTGGTAATCATTTCAGTCATCCATCCCAAATCATGTTTGCTCTCACTCTTATGAATTAACTGTGTGCTTCTTCTTCTTCTATGGTTTCAAGACAAAAATCATTTCTCGGGCTTGGCACAATTGAATATGAATTCTTGATGTGAAATCTCTTGCTTATAAGCTATATAAATATTAATACCTTATCCTCGAAACCAGGCCCCGCCATTCAACATTCATCTGCCTACAATTGTTTAATGCCTTCAGAAAAGTAGATTATACTGAGGAATTGATGAACAAAACCAAAAGTAGGGTAGGGCTCCAGTGGGATAATTTCATTTCTGGAAACCAAATAACCAAACACTCACTAACTTAGGAGTTCAAGGTTGTGAGCTCTGATCATACCCCTGCAGTCCAACCTGGGTGACAGATCAAGACCCTGTCTCCTAAAAAGAAAAAAATGCACAGGTACCCACACACATACACACATTTGTAAATGCTTAGGAAATAATCTGGAAGGTTCCATATACCAAATTGTTAGCAGTGGTTTTCTTTGTAGATTAAAATTGTGTGGAAGCGATTCACTTTCTGTTCGTCTTTTATACATTTTTCCAATGTAATAATGTATTATGAAAATAAAATCTAGGACATATTCAGAAACAAAGGGTTAAGTATTTTATGTGCAATGCAATGGCTTTGAAAAATACAACATATTCACACTGGTCTATATCATCCTCATCATCATGATCCTCATCATCCAATTTATTCCTATTTTTTGCTTGTATGCCCTACAGTATTGAGTAAATTCTGGATCATACAGCTAAGAAGATCCAAACACAAACAATGTTTTAAATTTTCTTTGCAAACTCTAGCGAGTCTTTCTTCAACTGACTCATTAAAAAATGTGAGAGTGAGGTAGTAATTAAATTTGTTTCAACGTTGAAAAATTAGGCCTATCTACTGAATGCTTGATACTTCAAAATAAATACAGAAATGAAACAAGAAATTACAGCCTAGTAATTGCATTCTTACATGCATACCTGGAGAAGCTCTCACACATTCCACATAAAGAGGTCTGTACAATCATAATTGTTGCATGATTTCTTGTAAGAATGAAAGACTGTAAACAACTTTTATAAATATCAATTGAGAGATGTATTAATTCTTTGTGATATGTTCTTACTATAGTATTACTGCATAGCAATGAAATGAAATAGAGATTATTTTAGCATGAATAAATCTCAAAAAAATAGAGGAAGCTTCAGAAAGATACACGTAGCAAAGTATTATTTACGTTAATTTTTAACAACAAAAATACTACCACTGGCTTGTGAAACATAAATTTGTGTTAAAATACTAAAATGATAGATGCTTAAGATACACGGCAGCTTCAAACTAGCCTTACTGAAGGGAGGGAAGCTGTGGCAGATAGAGAAGGAAAGGGAATGGAGGAGGAGTCACTGTATCTGTAGTGTTTCATTTCTCTAAAAAGTTAGGTAAAAATCTTTAAAGTTGATACCTATTATGTCTAGATAATAGACACTATTCTCTGGGTAATATATACCGTTCTGTGTACTTTTCTCTATTTTTGAGATATTTTATGTATAAAATATATACATATGTAAATGATGTTATATACAATATGTACATATAAAAATACATATTTCTAGATATTTATAAATGAATACTTGCATTAAATATATATTTATATATGCATATAAACTATATGCAAATGTAAACATGCAGTGTTATATATAGCTTATATAAAATATATGCATATATAAACTACATAGAGATATTTGTAAAAGATTGTTTATATATAAAGTACATAGCATTTATTTTGTCTATCACATATGTTGTAAATTTAAAAGATAAAACAATTACAGAAGACACATAGACATTGTAATCAGATGAAAAATAACAATAAACACATGGTGATAAATAAGTGAATAAAATGGTATGACAGCATTTCAATATATGATGCATTTATTTGTTATCACCTGTCTTTGCATAGTAAATAATCATCAGTGCATATTAGTTCTGAATTAGGGTACATTTATGTAACATAACAATTTATGTAATTGGAAATGCATAGTTTTATATTTTTAATTTTTTAAAGACTAGGGCAGAGCTTCAATACTCTAAATGAACAATGCATTACAAGAAGCTCAGATAGATGAATGAGATGCCAGGGAAGGTTAATTCTGAGCTCTGCACGACAGCAGCAATGACAATCACAAATGAGAAGTGACATTCATTTTGTGTGTTCTATGTGCTGAATACATTTCCAAGTGTTTTACCTATTTAAGTTCATCCACTTCTTACATAGCTACCTGAGTGAGGGATTATTATTGCACCCATTTTACAAGTGAGGCGATGCATCACAAAGAATGCAGGTTCCCCGGGTGGCAGAGCTTGCAGTGAGCCGAGATAGCACCACTGCAGTCCGGCCTGGGCGAAAGAGCGAGACTCTGTCTCAAAAAAAAAAAAAAAAAAAAAAAAGAATGCAGGTTCCTTGCCAAGTCACCCAGGGAGGGAGCGCTGAAAGTAGTCTGTGGAGCAGACCTTATGGCTTTAAACTCTATGTTCTTTTTTTTTTTTTTTTTTTGTTGTTGTTGTTGTTCTGGTTTTTTTGTTTTTTGTTTTTTTGGTTTTTTTTTTCTTTTATTATTATACTTTAAGTTTTAGGGTACATGTGCACATTGTGCAGGTTAGTTACATATGTTTACATGTGCCATGCTGGTGCGCTGCACCCACTAACTCATCATCTAGCATTAGGTATATCTCCCAATGCTATCCCTCTCCCCTCCCCCCACCCCACAACAGTCCCCAGAGTGTGATGTTCCCCTTCCTGTGTCCATGTGATCTCATTGTTCAATTCCCACCTATGAGTGAGAATATGCTATAAAGACACATGCACACGTATGTTTATTGCGGCACTATTCACAATAGCAAAGACTTGGAACCAACCCAAATGTCCAAAAATGATAGACTGGATTAAGAAAATGTGGCACATATACACCATGGAATACTATGCAGCCATAAACTCTATGTTCTTAACTAAAGAGTGAATTTGCCAGCAGTGGTTGATATCCTGGTATTCTCCAGTGGGTTCGAGTTTGTCTAAGACACACTTGTGTGTACTTGCTGTCATTGGTGTTTTCAAACTAACTCATACCAGTTTTTAAAATAAAATACAGCAAGTGTTCACAGTGCCC
Source organism: Homo sapiens (assembly GCF_000001405.40). Lineage (NCBI taxonomy): Eukaryota > Metazoa > Chordata > Mammalia > Primates > Hominidae > Homo > Homo sapiens. The sequence continues at coordinate 54,718,425 of NC_000020.11, read as the reverse complement.
CTTCAGCAACACAGAAGAGCTTTAGGGTTCCACAGAAAAATATTGCAACCCATTGTGAGAACCCTTTGGTGTCTGGGAGGTATAAATCCTGAGACGTTCATGAATCCCATTTGCAAGAATTCCAATTAACATAGAACAGTCTCCCATAAGGCAAAGACAATCGGAGCATTGGAGTAAACCCTGAGCTTGAGCACTGGTTGGCCATATTCCAGAAAGAAAAAGTTGCTGCATATTCAGGCTTTCTTCATGTGGATTGCAAAGGCCCATCGGTATGCAGTCTCACTAGGCAGCTGAGATCACTCATTTTCCTCTGCACCCCAGGCTCACAATGTTCAAAAATCAAATTCCAGCTTCAGTGAAACAGCCAATGGCTACACACCAAGGCCCTTTGGAGTGGCTTCCTGCACCCTAGAGTCTTCCAAGTCTTAGGAGAAAGCAGTGTGCTCAAGGTTACCCCAGGTGCAACAGACACCTTGAAAGAAGAAAGGCAGGCAGCCCACCCTTAGCAGTTAAGCAGAGCTCATGGACATCAGGACACTGTCATTCAGAATCCTTAAGATAATCCCGTGGCAACAGAGCACTCTCGTCTTGGTTGCTCAGTCCTCCTGGGAACTAACCAGGTCATCTTCTAATAACTATGGATTGCTGACACTCTCAACTCTTCTCTCAATCCCATGTCCCCTGTCTTTTTGTGATGGGTCTTACCTCTGCTACTCCACTTTTATCTGATGTCCCTCTTTGTCATAACAAACCTTCTGAGAGCAACAACCTAATTGGACCAGTCACTCATATCCCAAAACAGAGCAGCCTTCTCAGCCAGAGGCCCTCCCTAAGGCTACTGGCCATCTCTCCTGACTTGGCTTCTCCCTGGGTGACACAGTTTGGCTGTATCCCCACCCAAATCTCATCTTGAATTCCTATGTGTTGTGGGAGGGACCTGGTAGGAGGTAATTGAATCATAGGGGCAGGTCTTTCCGGTGCTGTTCTCATGATAGTGAATAAGTCTCACGAGATCGGATGGTTTCATAAAGAGGAGTTCCCTGCACAAGTTCTCTCTCTTTGCCTGCTGCCATCCACGTAGGACATGACTTGCTCCTCCTTGCCTTCCACCATGATTGCGAGGCTTCACCAGCCATGTGGAACGGTAAGTCCATTAAACTTCTTTCTTTTGTAAATTGCCCAGTCTTGAGTATGTCTTTATCAGCAGCATGAAAACTCACCAATACACTGGGTTTACATGAATTTAGGAAGTTATTTAACCTATTTGTGTCTCAGTTTCCCTGGATATAAAAGGGGAGTTTTCAGAGCATATTCCATTAAATAAAATGGCATGGAGAGGCATTTGGAAGAGTGTCCAGTTAGTACATGCATTTGTTATTCTGTGCCTATGCCCAGGTTACCCAGGCTTGTCCCAGTTTATATTGATTGTCCCAGTGTGTGATTAGTCAGAGTTCTTTCACAGACCTCTTATGACACCAGTGGGTAACAACAAGCCACTAATGTCCATCCTCCAAGGACAGCATTTACTATACAGAAGAAACAAAACTACATTTATTCAATAGGATCATTTGAGATCTTTTTTTTTTTTTTGATCCTTTAAACTTCTTTGTTACCACCAAATTCAGGTTGCTTTTGTTTCTCTTGGTTGAACTGGAAAACTGTAAGCCATGGCTGGATTCACTTGCTTTTTTGAAAGATTAGCACAGGCTCTTCCTAAGGCAGAGCCAAGATCTAGATGACCTTTCTCCCAGCCCTGGGCTTCTGCAAGATGAGCATGTAAAAAATCAAAAGCCGAAGAGTAAATGTAACTCGACAGTTTCTCCATGTGAAAGGCTGAGAGGTACTCTGAGCTATTTTTCAACTCTTAAGGGCCCCTGACTCCCAAATGGCCAGATCTGTGCAAGACAATCTCATTTGACACTTAGCTTGCCATGGTCCTTTGGGTCGAAAGAAGTTTCCAGAAAAAGATCAATAAAGTCCCAGCCCTCATGCCAAGATTCAAGATACCAGGGTGAAAAGAACCATCTGTACCTCTTTATTGAACTGGGGAAAAGTGGCAGAAGGAGGAACTGGCAGCTACATCTGTTGCCTAGAATTTATTAAGCTGGCGTACACATATATAGAGCCTGAGAGTTTATTTTTTTCTTATGACTGACACATGCTATAAAGATATCCTACATTTAATGGAACACAATAGAAGTGTTCACACGCTCCAGGAATAAATTTCATGTACCAGACACATTTCTGGTGGGGGTAGGGGGTGGGGTAAGCAGGTCCTCGAAGCAAATATTCAGCAGCTAAAAGAACTGCTAAAATAATTGAAACAAGATATTTTTATGTGTCTTGAAAAAAGTATTGAAAACATCATGCATTATTTTTTAAATGGTGTATTTTGTGTGTGTGTCAGCTGAAAACATTTTCTTCATACTGCTGATAAAACAACAAGCACCACAACAAAAAGTAATCCCTCCCAGAATCAAAGGCATACGGCATAAGAAAGTCTGATTACCGTGTCTAGCTCTCAAATTTGTATCCAAAGATTGCACTCTGCAGTACATTTACACTATCTAAATTCAAATGAACAGAAATTAAATACAATAAATTTGAAAAGCTAACTTTCAACCATTGTTTTGTGGCTCTGACATTCAGCCCTTTTCTGTGTTAATTGTTTAGGTCTTGAAAAATTCAAGCTAAGAATATCCTTCAGTGGAAAATTTAAAAGAATGACAAAATCTTATTATGAAAGTCAGAATGCTGAAAGGAGAGACTATTATTGAACTGTTTAGGATATCATTTGAGTTCTTAAAAGAACACTCAAAATAACAGTTGCTTTAAATGCTGAGAGATGAGAAAGAGAGCAAGAGAGATGAGAAAGAGAGCGAGAGAGAGAAAACGTGCACAATTATGAGGAATTGGCTCACTTGATTACAGAGGCTGAGAAGTCCCACAATTTGCCCTTTGAAGCTGGAGATCCAGGAAAGTGGGCACTATCATTTAGTCTGAGTCCAAAGGCCTGAGAACTAGGGGAACTGATAGTGTAAATTTCAGCCTAACGGCAGGAGAAGATAGGATGAGATGCCCCAGCTCAAGTAGTGAGGCAGGAAAAAGGGGGTGAATTTATTTCCCTTTCCCTTTTGTTCTATTCAGTCCCTCAGTGCATTGGATGATGCCCACACAAATCGGGGAGGGCCATCTATTTTACTAAGTCCATCAATTCAAAGGCTAATCTCATGCAGAAACTCTCTCACAGACATACGCAGAGGTAATGTTTGATCTGGGCACCTCCTGATGCAGTCAAGTTAACTCATAAAATTAACCAACAAAACTCGAAATAAAAATAGCAAAATAAAAGCAAAAGCAGCAGGAGATGACAGCAAACAATGAGAAAGTGCTGCTTGAATAAAGGGAGTTGGGAATTCAGACTTACAGGGCTGGGCTAATAATCGCATCTGGGGCATAGTGGATAAGTGGGTATCTCTGGGACACAGCCTGTCTTCCACACCAGCTCACCACTAACTGTTTGTGTGTCCTTTTGCAAGGCAAGATTCCACCCAACTTCCCTGTATTTTTACTTGCAAAATGGAAAAAATAATAACTAACTCATACAGTTTGCTGGATATTTAAGTAAGAAAATATAGATAGAGCATTGACTCATTAATATTTTCCAATGTGAGGGAAAATAGGCACCGTCAAACACTGTTGGTGGGAGTGTAGAACCTACAACATTTTCATAGGGCATTTTGAGAGTGTCAAACAATTTTAAAAGGATGTGATAACCGTTGACACAGGGTAAATTCATCTTATCAAAATACTGTCAAATGACAAAAATATTTTGGGAATAAGGATAGTTATAGTATTAAGGGTAATATTTTAAAAACAAAATTATCCTAAATTTCTTTATCAATAGGGAATTAGTTAAGCAAATTTTGTCACAATGCTAAGTAGTAAGAAAAATGAGCTAGAACTGCATTACTTTCATAAAGAAAATATTGAGCATTTTAATTTTAAATTATATATGTATATTGATATAAAACACAGAATATACAACATATGAGCATGCATTTGTTTCATGCTTGAGAAATATTCTGTTTGGCAGTTATATATGACAGGTATAATATTTGCATAATCCTAGAAAAATCTCTGGGAGGGTAGACACAAAAAATGACTAATGGAATTATCACTTTCTTTCATATTTTTTTCCTTTTTTGTTAAAATTTACTTAATTTTTTTATAATTTAAAAAGCAAAAGATAACACAGGAAATAGAGGTTTTTGACTAATATTTTACAAGGCATTCAAAACTTACCAGTCTAATAAACTGTATTTCCCTAAAGTTTAAAAGAAGTAGCCTATACTTTCTTCCAGTGAAGGGCCCTTATCTAAAGCTATAAATCTGCCACAACTTTCTCAACTAAAGGTCTGTCAAGAATTCTAGTATCACATTTACCGTTTCCCGATATTTTCCAAGTCAACTTGACTCTAGACTGTAAGTCTGTGGAGTTCACTTCTCTACCTGTTTCTCTCCATGACGCTGGGAAAATTGCACTGTAGCCAGGAGAAATCAATAAAAAACTTCTGGCCAACCACAGAAATTCTGTTATGTTAGGTCTTAGAGGCAACTCCTACCATGAAATGAAATGGAAAAATAAAAACGAAAAACCAGCTTCCTAGTTTTTTCCCCAAACCTCATTATAGATTATATTTTATTTGACATGTGGCTGAATATTGACCTAAACTTAATTTAATGAATCTGATTTTTCAGATAATAGCATTTCCAAGGTGTTTTGCTTTATTCATTCTGCTCTATCTGGTCAAAATATGTTTCCTAAAATCAAGCTTACATGATTAGTTCCTGTCAAAGGAACACTGAACCGATACAAGATAGAATCTTTGAATCTCTTCATTAACAAGCACAGAAATAAACAACACTACTTCAACATTAGAGTTAAATAATAATTTCTCTTCTTTAATATGGCTTCTAATCTGACTTTTAAGAGGACTAAATTCAAGTACTAATTTAACAATTGGCTTTACTGGAAATCAAAATGGTAACAAGATTCCATAAAGTCATTACAGAAACCATATAAATATATATTTAAGGCATCCCCAAATTAATAAAGGTGACTAGACACAATAAAAGAAGATGCTGTATTAGTTTGCTAGGGCTACCATAACAAAATACCATACCCTGGGTGGCTTAAGCAACAGAAACCTATTGTCTCACAGTTCTGGAGGCTGGGAGTCCAAGGTCAAGGTGTTAGTGGGCTTGGCTTCTGCTGAGGCCTCTCTCCTGGGCTTGGAGATGGCCACCTTCTTTCTGTGTCCCCATGTGGCCTTTCCTCTGTGCTCAGGCATATGTGCTGTCTCTTTGTGTGTCCAAATTTCCTCTTCTTATAAGGACACCTGACATGTTGGAATAAGGCTCCCCTAACAGCCTCATTTTAACTTACTCACCTTTTTTAATGTCCTATCTCAAGTATAGTCAAATTCTGAGGCACTTGGAAGTTAGGGCTTCTACATATGAACTTGGAGGGATGCAATTCAGCCAATAGAAGATAAATACAATACAAGCACTAAACATATCTTGTTGGCCTCACTTCCTTCAGCAAGATACTAGATTTCTGTTTGGAGTCTACTTTTCTCCACTTTCGGTCTACCTGGATTGAGAAGAGATCCAGCCTGACTTCAGCACACCACATTCTCCAGGCCACAGTCAGATGTTCAAGAGTTAATCCAATCCAAGTAGATCTCAGGAATTCTGCAGGAGTAAGTGGAGTGGCGACTGTTTCTGGCTAGACTTTATCTATGAGGTTGTGCTGCAGCCGATTTGTCATCAGTGAAGGAGAGCCTAGAGCGAGGAGGCAGGAGGCCAGGTGCACCACGTGCATCCTAACCACAACATCAATCCCACTGAAGGAGGCAATAAGAGTTGGAGAGAAAGAAAGTTCTATTGACATCATCTGAATCCAGCCACATGCCTGAAACCAGCATGGCCCTCAGACTTTTCAGCTATGTTTTCTAAAGTAAATTTGGGTTGAGTTCTTCTTTGTCTTGGAGCTGAAAAGTCCCACTAATCTAAAAGATGCCCTACCTTATGGAGATGTTGAAACTTCCTTAGTATTTGTACTGACATTTCCTTTCTTGAAAACAAGAGAAAAAAGATTGATGACATGTCTCTGTCATAAAATAAGTTTTGGCATTAGGCATAAGAAGTACTACTAAAAGTTCACTGTAAAAGTCACTTTGACTTCTTTGAAGCATGTAAGAATAAGTTTCCCATCTAAGTAGGAGGTATTGCCAGGTATTGCCTTCACGAAACTAATTTTTTTGAGACAGGGTCTCACTATGTTGTCAAGGCTGATCTCAAACTCCTGGGCTCAAGCAATCCTCCCACTTCAGCCTCCCGAGTATCCGGGACTACATGCATATGTCACTAAGCCTGGCATTCACTGAACTTTAAGAAATTCATGACTCACGATCTTAAGATATTCTGAGGACCATTTTTGCTTTACTCAAATGGTGATCATTGGTCCTCTCAAATGGTCAGCACTTCTGTAATTCCCCCTAGAGAGTATATAATGAATTACAATTCTCTGCATAGCATAGCAACACGTTATTCTCTCATCTGTGATCAACATTTTGGCAAGGGGTTCCAAATACCTGGAAGCCACCATTCCAGAAACTGCAGAATTGAGGATACCATCTTTAAAACTGAATTTGCAAATTGTGCACAAACTTTTAAGCCATTGCTTTGGAAACTTAATGAAGATAAATACCGTTGGCATCTCAGTGTTGCACTCAACTGGCAGGACAAGCCACTCTGGTGCAAGCCAAGCCCCGAATGTACATTAGGTAGGGGGTTTGTTTACTATGTAGCTCAACCTATTCAGAATGCTTCCTTGACATTGGCGACGTCTCTAAGAGAAGGAAACCCCAAGGCAACTGGCTTCTATGGCCTTAAAAAATAAAACAAAATAAAGATGAAATCCTAGAGTCTCTGCATAATATATGTGTGTTAGAGAGAAAACACACGCATTAAACTGCAGCCTTTCAGAACATGATGTCACAAGTCAGATCCTATTAAAGGAAGTAGAAGATGAATGTTTGCTCCAGGCAACTGGAAAGAATCAAACAAAAAATACATTGTAAATCTTTCTACTGCGTGCCTAAATTGTAAAAGATGACTTTCAGCATCATCCAGACTTTTCCAATGAATAACTTCTTCTCAACAAAAAAAATCCCAAGAAGACAGTAAATATAAAATATGGGTAGTCTGATGAGCTAAGGGAGACTTGAGCGTGTGATAAAGTTGAGTCCTCCGATTGAAATCTAACTGGGTCTTGAGGATGATGTATGGGCAGTAACCAGGAAGGACTCTGTTGGAACCGACCTCAGGCAGTGGAGAGGTGGAGAATTTGGAGGAAGAACTTAACTCACATAAACAACCCCACTGAACACTTTATTTTCTTTAAGAGTGGGGAAGTACTTATGTCATTTCCGCCAGCTAGACTAATTGCATGATTACAACAGCTCTCCACTTCACTTAGGCTCCTTCTTGGACCTAGAGCATCGGTTTCATTAACTGTAAATGTTGTTAACAGCATTTCATTTGGCAGAGCCTTAAACAGATTAAAATTAAGAACAGCATTGGGCATGCCTGCAGCACAATTTCAGGGACAGATACAGATGCAAGGTTTGCATCCTGTGCCACTGGTGTGTGCAAGAGAAAGAGAGTGGCCAGGAGGATAGATAAAAGGGCCTCTAGCAGTTTGATACATGCAGAAGGAAAACCCTTGTTGGAATAGAACCAAGAACCAAAAATCAAAGCTACTGCATAATTTCAAAATATTGCTAAATGTCTCTCATATATTATACACACAACATCTTTATACATCCGGGCAGCCAGCCACTGCATATGTCTTTACTTCCATGAGTAACTACAGTGCAGCTTAGGGACTGTGGAGCAAAGGTAACAAAAAGGTGTGGAACAGAAGAGGAGCATAAAGGAGCAGGCGAAAAGGAAATACATAGAGAATGGAACTCTAAGAAAAAAAATGGATGGAAATTGAGAAGGTTGTCAGTAGGCTTTATTAAGTTGTGTTTGCCATGTCTCCACATTAGGAACCCAAACTCTATTGGGTTGAAATTAATGAATGACTGCCATATTGAATGGTAGAGATACTGAATATTAGACAGAGGGTTAGTTTGAATTTAGAGTGGGAAATTAATGTTCCAGTTTATCATCCTAAGATAACAGAATTAGCCTCATCCCACAGATATATTGATTGACCTTAACATCTTTTGGTCGAAGGAATTCTACATTATAGATTTTTATATAACATTGATTACAGTAGTTTTCTAAATACTAGCCTTCAGATTTTAGAATTGCTGTTGTAAGAGAAGATTCTGAAGGACTAGTTTTTACAAAACTCCCAAGGTTTATCCTAGGAAAATCAGAAGTATTTTAAAATAATGATAAAATATTAAAACATTGACAAACTATTAGGATTTACTATATGATATTTGATTTAAAAAAGTGACATATGATGGGGAGAAGTCAGAAAACACAATAGTAATGATAAAATATTCAAACCCCCAAAATTTGAAAATCTTCTACAAACTTAGGCTGGGAGGGAACTCTATAGATTATCTCACTCAAACATGACAAATATTCTTCAAATCCCGTGTCAAATCTATCTAATTCTGAGTCTATTTCTGTGTTAAAGATTCTGAGGCTGATTAGATCCAGGAATAGTATAGTCATGAATATAGGGAAGGTGACAGCCCCACCTCATCCCCAATTACAAACATATTTCTGTTAGAGACAAACTGAAGCCCTCATCTTCAAAGAGGTTAAACAATTGGCAAAATGCTAGAAAGTGAATTACTAGAAACTCCATCACAAGATCCTATGTTTCTTAATATTCTTATTATCATCAGTATGGTATGTGTTGCCAAGCCCTATTGCCTCTTACATTGATGGTCTGGTAAATTTAATATACAGTTGGATGAATCAACTGAATACTTAAAACTGCAGATGGCCCATTATGAATATCCTAGCAGTTTGTGAAAATTTGACCCAACCAAGCTGTCCAAAGACATAATCTCACTGGGCAAAATGATTATCAAAAATGCTTCCAAGTTATCATCTTGATGAGAAAAATTTTCAAATCACAAGTGAACAGAATTCTTCCTTTACTTCACAGTGTCCTAAATTGCAACACAAGGTGTTGGAAAGAGAAAAGAAAATATACCACATACCTTTATAAACATGTCAAATCACTGGCTAACTGTGAGTTTACAATTAACTACAACCACCTAGTCTTTTTTGGAAAAATAACACATACTACCCACTCACCTACACTCAACCCAAAGACAAAAGCAGTTATGCTAAGTTCTTTGCCATCTATACTTATAAATAAAAGTGATTGTTTCAACCTAAACTTTTGTTTTTATGCCTGCTTTATATTGTCTTTTTGGTTTTGGATTCATAATTTTATAATCTGGGGTATTTTTAACATGATTCTTTTGGAATCTGCTTTGGTGTGAATGTCCACTCCAAAATTGATTTTGAAATTTAATTTTTATTGTGACGGTTAAGAGGTGGGACGTTTAAGAGGTGATTAGGTCATGGGGGCTCTGCTCTCATGAATGGATCAATGCCATTATCTCTGGAGCAGGTTATCAAAGAGTGGTTCTAGATACAAGGATGAGTTTGTCCTCTTTCCCCCTTGCTCTTGCACACTCCCTTACCCTTCTCCCTACTGCCATGGGATGATGTAGCAGAAAGGCCCTCACCAGATGCAGTCCCTTGACCTTGGACTTCCCAGCCTCCAGAACCATGAGAAATAAACTTTTTTTTTAATAGGTTATGCAGTCTTTGGTATTCTGTTCAGCAAAATGATGAAGACAAAAGCCCTTGTTAAACAGTCATTTGAAAATGTGAAGTGGCTTTAGTATTCAAGTTAACAGTCAGGCAGAAAGCAATTTAGAATGCTGAGCTGGCATTTAGGCATCCAAATTAATATTTAGCATCATGATAAGGTTTGACAGACTCAGTGGAATATAAACTCATCAATTAGTATACTTGAACATTGTTAAAACAATTATGACCCTATATAATTATGTTATTATTTAGTCAACTTCTTTTTTTTCAGTAGTGTATGTTGAAAATTTTGGCCTACTATTTTCCTGCATACTCAATATACCCTATATCTATGCCACTTATGCTATTTAAATAATGTAGTCTGCCAATTTTTTTAGAGTTTGATATTTATTTTTGTCATTCACTCTAGGGAGTAATCAATTCTTTGTGTCTCCGCTTGTTTAATAATGTGTTCCAATATATTTCAGTGATTGATCTCACACATTCTGGTCTATGGTTCCCAGAAGTGACAATTTACCACCTTTTACAACATTAGTACACAAGTTTGTCTCCAAATTTGATCCTTCACTCAGCCAATACCATCTGTTATGGTTTGTTGGTTCCTTAGTCATATCTCCAAGCTTTTCAGCATGCTAGTATATTTCATTTAATAGAAAATTTCATCACCACATTAAAAATGACTAAGTGATATTTCATTTCAGCATCATCAGACTGTGGCCCACAAGCCTACTTTTTCCTGTTGCATATTTTTAGAGGGATTAAAACATACATGTTTTAAAAACATTTTTAAACGGTTGAAAAAATAAGAGGCCAAAGAACATTGCATGACATGTGAAAATTACATGTAATTCAAAATTTAATGTCCATAAATTAAGACCTACTGGAACAAAGCCACAATAATTCATTTCTATATTGTCTACATCTGCTTTTCTTCCACAGCCGCAGAGTTGAGTAGTTGCAACAGAGACCATAAGGCTTGTAAAGCCAAAAATATTTATACATTGTGGGCCTTTACAGAAAAAGTTTGCCAACACTTGAGTTATCTTAATGTTGTAGACACAACTTTAATTCACCCATTAATGATGTTTGCTTGACACTTCCAGACTGATGATCAGGTTGGTTGGGAAAGAAGATTGAGATAAAATGATGACTGAATGTCCATGCCATTGTGAAACTTCTTACCATGCCCCTAAGAGATGTGTTGCTTTTTTTTCCAATTTATCTTCTTGTCTGACTTATCACTATAAAGCATTTTTCCCTTTATATAATATTTCCACAAGGTTTAATGGATCATGACCTTTAGCCTCCCTAAAACTCTTCCCATAGTTCTGTCACTTTTTTTTTTTTTTTTTTGTATTTGGCCTTATGTTCTTCTCCTTCTCTCCTCTGCTCATGTTGGCAAATACATCACAAATCTACCTGCCCACACACATCATCTACTTCAGATATTTCCTTTCCCACATGCCCAGATGATGAACATGCTAAATTTAAATAACTGAGCATCTTCTTTTAGTGCCATTATACTTTCAAATATCTTTTCAAGGGAATTTACTATTTCTACTCTTTTTTTTAAATCTGATTTCGTAAAGGCAAGTATAGAGATCGAACCTGTTTGACACCAGCCCTTCACTCTCCAATTCTTCATCTATAGTAGGCACTGCTAATATATGAGGGTGCTATTCCTCCAGCCCAAATGTCATCTCAGACCTCTGCTTGAGTAGAAGAGTGAGAGACCAAGCAGAGTCTGGGAACACACCTGGGTTAGTCTCATAGTCCGAGAAGCAGAAACCTCTCATTCAAAACTGAAACCAAGCCCATTTCTTCTAGGAAGGAACCCATATGATTTATTAAAGGTTGCAAATTTTCTGAATTACACGTCCAGTTCCTTGGAGTTATCTACCTTCAAGAGATGAAAAATGTAGGGAAAAATGTCTGCTCTGGACCTGCTATGTGGTCAGTGGAAATTTTAAATATCAAAACATAATTTGTTAGGAATACAACATTTTAGCTCTCACTTTAAAAACATGAGAAAATGCATCCTGTTAAGAGACTTCTCCCAGGTTGCCTGTTATCTTTTCTGGTGAAGAGGAAGGAAGACATGTTAGGAGGAATAGATGCAGGTTCCCAAGACATTCCTGGGAAAAGAAGTCACCTAGCTGGCCATCTGAGTGGTATACCATCTGCCTTGAATAGCATTTCAGAAAAAATGAATGGCAAAGATTCCCTCTTGTTCTTTTTTTTTTTTTCTTGTTTTGGAGACAGTCTCACTCTGTTGCCCAGGCTGGAGTGCAGTGATGTGATTTTAGCTCACTGCAGCCTCTGCCTCCCGGGTTCAAGTGATTCTCATGCCTCAGCCTCCCGTGCCTCTTCTTAAATGTGTCTACCATAGATAGATGTATAATACACTCACTAAAAGGTGCATAAAGCAAAAACCTTACCTATTACTTAAACACATGAAGTTGCTGTTATTCAACATTATTTGACTGTCATAAACTGTAATTTTATGTTTTAACCTAACATTTTAGAGTGATACAAGTTTAAAATATGATCAAACCTAGAATCATTATGAACTGAGCTCAAAATGAGAAATCCTGATGACAGCAATATTGAAATTTTTTAAGCCAAAGAATAAATTTGGAATCCCTGTTTGCTATCAGTGTTTTTCTTTTTAATAATCCAATCTGGCTGGGTGCGGTGGCTCACGCCTGTAATCCCAGCACTTTGGGAGGTCGTGGTGGGCAGATCACGAGGTCAGGAGATCGAGACCATCCTGGCTAACACAGTGAAACCCTGTGTCTACTAAAAATACAAAAAGAAAATTAGCAGGGCGTGGTGGCAGGCGCCTGTAGTCCCAGCTACTCGGGAGGCTGAGGCAGGAGAATGACATGAACCTGGGAGGTGGGGCTTGTAGTGAGCCAAGATCGCACCACTGCACTCCAGCCTGGGTGACAGAGCGAGACTCTGTCTCAAAATAATAATAATAATAATAATAATAATAATAATACAATCTTCATTCATTAGTATTGAAAAGATCCCCTTGACTCTGTCAGTTTAATTATTCCATATAATAGTTTTTCTAAAAAAATACAAAGCTTGTAGTTTATTTGGGGGCCCTTGTTTAGATTTTTTTAAATATATCCTAAAAAGTGATTAGAGGCCTTTAGATGCAGTTGTATCCTAATGAAAGGCAGCACTTATTATTCTTCCAGATCTCCATGAGATAGCCAAGAAACCAGAATGCTGATTCAGATTTGGAAATGAAGAAAGTTGTCATCCAAATCCCCAGACTCCCCAGAAATTACTGTGAGAGAGTAGATACAAAAGCTTTATAAAGCCATTCCCCTCCCATGAAATAGTACATTGCCTTGGATATACTAGGAGGAGATCCTGGAAACAAATCACTAGCAAGAAGTCATATCATGTGCATGTTTAGTTTCAAAATGTAAATATGCTTGCTGGACACAAGATGAAGAGAAGGGGCTGGGCGCAGTGGCTCACACCTGTAATCCCAGCACTTTGGGAGGCTGAGGCAGGTGGATTACCTGAGGTCAGGAGTTTGAGACCAGCCTGACCAACATGGTGAAACCCCATCTCTATTAAAAATACAAAAATTAGCCGGGCGTGGTGGCACACGTCTGTAATCCCACGTAGTGGGGAGGCTGAGGCAGGAGAATTGCTTGAGCCCGGGAGGCAGAGGTTGCAGTGAGCTGCGATCATGCCACTGGACTACAGCGTGGGCAACAGAGTGAGACTGTGTCTCAAAAAAAAATAAAATAAAAAATAAAAAAATAAGAGAAAGAAAGATAGCTAGTGGGGGAGGAGATAAAGGTACAAAGAGAGAAAGAAAATAAAGAAGGAAGGAGAGAAAAGAAGGATTAGATGAGTCACAGTGTCTAAAGAAACTTAAAAAAAAAAAAAAAAGTGGGTCCTGTGTTCCTTCCAGTGAAGAAAAACAAAACTCTAGAGGAAGGATATTGGCAGTGTGATGCACCAAGCATTTTGACACAAGTTACCCAATAGGTGATAATGAAACAGCAACAAATTACTGGTCCCGGTGTACCTTGATGCTCAGAGAAAAATGATGCCTCGGTGGTTCACAGGAGGGTCAGCTGACCAAGTCCAGATGTTATCTAGTCTCCAAGGTGGTCACATTATCCAAAACCGCAGATAATGGTCTGAATTCTAAAAGGTGGAGACTGAAACCAAGATTCTTGCTTTCTTTTCCTGCCAATCTGACAGAATGGGGTTTCAGAGTCAGACATTAAACTGACCTGAAAAACTGACAGTTAACATTCCTGTACAGCTGAATGTGTAGACCAGGATTAACACCAGCTACAGTCAGAAGGCATACATGGTGACATGCCGGTTGCCTCCCGCTGGAACTTACTGTAACAAACTTCATGGCCCCATGGCAAGACGACTTCTAGACATTGAGGCTAGACAAAGAGAAATTTCATGTGGTGCCAGAATGTCTCTTATAAACAGGCATCCTAAGTAAGAAGGATGCCTCTGAGACATGAGCTTCTCCAGAATAGCGACCCACCAAAACAGAACGACAGGAAGGAGGAGGGGCCCTCAGGATGAGCAAACAGAAAAGCTCTCTCTTCCCATGAAGTGAAGCACATGACCAAAAAAAGTTGACTTTCTGAACTAAATTTATACTAGAAATACATTATTTTAGAACATGTTTTTGGATCTATTGACAAAATAAAATAAAGAACAAAATATGACATCTATGGAACTTAGGGCATACAGTCCAGAAAAAAAAAAAAAAAAAAAAAAAAGAAACACTTTGAAATCAGGAAGCATTGCAAGTAAATTAAGAAATTTGCTAAACCAAGAAACATAATAGATACAAAGAAGAAGAAATTTGCTAAACTGAGAAGCATAACAGAGGTATAATAGAAGCATTGAAGGGCATATTGGCTACTGTAGAAAGATGAATTAGCGTGGTAGGAGACATATGCAAAAACTTTACTTTTAGGATAAAAAATGCATTAAAGGAAATGAGAGGGCAAAAGGAAGAGAGAGAAAGAAAGAGACAGAGAAAGAGGGAGACAGAGACAAAGAGAAACAAAGACAGAAACTTGAGAAACAGGTTGAAGAAGCTCAAATACAGTATGGAACAGAGAAAGACGTTGGAGCTAAATTAACAGCTACCGGAAGACTAAAACAATCTCTTCTAACCAGATGGCTGACCATTGCCGAACATCAAAAGGCTCCTTCCAACTGTCAAGTTATTTAATAAAAAGATTCTAATACCTAGGCCTATTCTGGTGGCTTTTTTTTTTTAATTTAGAAAAGGCCTACGAAAATTCAAAAACTAAAAAATAACTTGAGGATTCCATTTCTACTACTAACAGGAATGTTCCTTTTGGATCAAACTAACATGTAACAACTCTAAACTTTCTTTCCAAGTATAATAAACAACTACTTGAAGGCAGTGGAGAGTAACCAAAAGTGTTCCCAGGTAGAGTATAGAGTATAATGATGTCTACATCTTATGTTTTTAATTACATAAAAAATAATGTAGATCAATAAACAATGAGATGAATAATTAGAGAAATATGTGACAAGGTGAAAATAGAAAATGAATAATTAGAGAAATGTGACAAGGTGCTAATTGTGGAACTAGTTGCTGAAAATACAGGTGTTCATAATTCTTTCAACTTCTCTCTGGATTAAAAAATGTCATTATAAAATGTCTAGAAAAACATAAACTTAAGAAAGAAAATAAAAGATTAGATACAATTTTTTTAAAAAAATGAATCACAAAATTTTTACATAAGGACCATCTAGAGTTTTGAAAGAAAAGTATTATGATCAAGGAAATATTTGGTCAAAATTCATTAAGGGAAGATGCTGGAAAGATTTCTACTTTTTGGCATCTGTGAATGTTATTTTCTACCATATAAAGATATCCTTAACAATTTAATTTCAAATTTAAGATTTGTCGGCCGGTCGCGGTGGCTCATGCCTGTAATCGCAGCACTTTGGGAGGCCGAGGTGGGCAGATCACGAGGTCAGGAGTTTGAGACCAGCCTGGCCAACATGGTGAAACCGCGTCTCTACTAAAAATACAAAAATTAGCCAGGCATGGTGGCGGGTGCCTGAAATCCCAGCTACTCAGGAAGCTGAGGCAGGAGAATTGCTTGAACCCGGGAGATGGAGGTTGCAGTAACCCGAGATCACGCCACTGCACTCCAGCCTGGGTGACAGAGCAAGACTCCATCTCGGGGGAAAAAAAAAAGATTTGTCACTGTCCAGAAAAAACTATATATTTTAAAAAGAGGAGAATCCAGGACTGGTCCAGTGGGACTCAGCCTTTCAGTGTATGAACATGGACTTGGAGGCAGATACATCTAGAGGGTTAAAGCCTGGTTCCCCATTTCCAATTGACCATGAGTCAGTAGAAGACCTGCAGAGTCTGTGATAAGATGGAGAGTTCATGAGTATCCTAAAGATATACACATTCATTGGGAAAGGGCAATCTACAGGGAGAAATCTCTTGTGAGCAGCGTGCAGGTTCAGAACCCATGGGACTCCTGGCTGGGTTTAATCTTCTTTATTATGTCCTGCCACCTCACCATCTCTCTGGTCTTGCTACTCTCTGAATGTGTTCTCATTCTTCGTGGGCAATGTCCAGAGAAGGTCTGACACAGATATACACTTCCATCATAAAAAAGGAAAAATGAAAGGGCAAGAACAGTGTTTTCATTAATGAACTGGGAAATGGGGAAAGGCTAGCGACATATATATTTTCTTTTTTTTTTCTTTTTGAGATGGAGTCTCACTCTTGTCGCCCAGGCTGGAGTGCAATGGCAGATCTTGGCTTACTGCAACCTCTGACTCCCAGGCTCAAGCGATTCTCCTGCCTCAGCCTCCTGACTAGCTGGGATTACAGGCACCCATCACCGTGCCCAGTTAATTTTTTTATTTTTAGTAAAGACAGGTTTCACCATGTTGGTCAGGCTGGTCTTGAACTCCTGACCTCAGGTGATCTGCCCACCTTGGCCTCCCAAAGTGCTGGGATTATAGGCATGAGCCACCGCGCCTAGCCGACATATGTACTTTATATGTATTTATTAATTGTAATCTTCACTTGATTATGATTCCCTCTGTCAATGAGTCATCCATCCATCCATTACTTATTATAATCTGTACACTGAAGGGAGTATTGGATATATAAAGTGGAACTAGACACAATCTAATTGTCAGGCAGCTCTCAGTTTAGTTGTGGCTTTGAGCATCAAAAAAATAATTTAAATAAAAATATATAAATGCATTTTATATATATACACATATGCACATACACATAGGCATATACTGTGATGCTGGAATATAAAGAAAGCAAGAAATGTCTTAGCGTATATAGAAAACAATTGAAATATTAGATGTGGAAAATGGAAAATAGACACTTCTGAAAAAGGAATCATCATGGGCTAAGCAACACATACCTGACACAGCTTGTGGTTGATGGAGCCTGAGGAATTTGAAAACTATAAAGCAGACAGAGAAGTTAATAGGTAGGATGGGGCTAAGACAGAAAAGGCTGCGTGGGCCCTCAAAAAAGCTTTATGAAACAGAACCAATGACTTGATTTGTTTTTATAAGCAGGGGATAGAATACAATCAGTTGGTTTGTACAAAGATAACTTAGTTGGAAGTGGGGAAGATGTATCAGCAAGTTTGCATTAAATGGGCAGAACCAGGAAAACAATTATTCCATCTAATATGTGAAAATATTTGCTAGATACATTTTCTTACTTGGACATTGACAGGACAACTGAGAACCAGTTAGATCTTGGGGAGAATTTTAATCTCCCTAAAATGTGTTAATGTGTCTTCCCATCAGAAAATGGGATATTAAATGATTGATTATATTAATGAATTATTCTGTCCTTGTGCAGCTATCAAAAGGCATTTCTGAAGCATATTGCCATTTGGGGGCTCACAACAAATTACTAATGTATTATCACCATGCTGTGGTAGCCACTTCTTCCCCAAGCGCCAGCAAAATTCACATAGGCAACATGTGCTTATTCTACCAATGATGCCTGGAAACCAATACCAGGGAAGAAATATAACATGAAAATGTAAAACGATTTAGAAAAAAGTTCAAAATAATTTAATTAACATTTACCATTTGCCTTCTGGCCCCAGATTGTGTTTTTGATGTTAAAACGTATACGAATAAGCAATGAAAACACAAAATATAACTTGGAGCAACCAGTCCCCATATAGACACAAGGGCGAGGAATATATATCTCAATGTATCTCAAGGGCCATCCCAGTCCTGCTAGGCTGTACCATCACAGGCTGAGATGCGAAAACAGAATGCATGCTATCTAATGCAACCAATCTTCAATTATCTGCTCTAGCGGAAAGGATAATCACCTTTCATGTTATATTGTAATTTACATCTTTACACTCTGTTCCAACCTGTCTGTGGGCAGCTCAGGTAAGGAAAGAAAATCATCAGGAAGTAAAAAGAGCATGAATTTTAAAGACAATATTTGAAGCTTCCTTTACCACTGGCATCTGTTGTTTGTGTCTGCTAATCCTCATCACCCTTCTTCTAGCTATGTCACTTTGATTTTTCTGTTATCAACCACCCTTCCTTCATGCTTTGTCCCTACAGATGGTCCTTTCAGGTTCACTCTCCCCTTTCACTTCCCAACTCCAGTTCTGTGGATGGTAATGCAACTTAATCATGATCAATATACCATTTACCACGGCTGCAAAATAAATTTGCCCCAAATTCAGTGTCTTAAGGCAACAACAGCATCTTTTGTTTTTGTACACAGATGTGCAACTGGGGCTGGCTTTAGTGAGAATAGCTCATCTCTGTTCCACTCAGCATCAGCTGGGGCAGCGTGAAGGCAAGGGCTGTGGTCATTCAAAGTCGTACTCACTCACAGGTCTGGTCATTGAGGTTTGCTGTCGGCTGAGACCTTAGCTAAGTTTACTGCCCAGAACATCCACATGAAGCCTGTCCATGTGGCCTGGGTTTCCTTACAACATGGTGAGATTCCCAAAGTGAGTGCTTTAAGAGACAGAGGCCCAGATGAAAGGAGTCTGGCATTTTGTGACTTAGCTCAGAAGTTGTGCAGCCTCACTTCCACCACATTTTCTTCATTGAGAAAATGACAAAACTGCACCTGATTCAAAGAGAAGCACCTACCTTTCAGTAGGCTGTGACAAGGCTTTACAATGTTATCAGACCCGATTATTGTTGTGTCCAGTTTTGGAAAATATCATCTGCCACATTAGCATATTGCACCTCTTTGACCACACACCTTGGTTCAGGAACTAGAATTCCACTCCAAGACCAAATCCTAAGACTTTTCTTGGAACTGTTGTAAAATAAGTGCTCTTTTTCTTTAGATATGCAGAGAGGCTAGGTGGATATTGGAGCTTCTGATGAAATGTGCATGCTGAATCAAGCTAATATAGAAGAATCAAGAAATACAGAAAGACAGAAATCTAATAACATGGTCCCTGGGTCTATGCCTGAGCTTTTCAATTTTACAAACCAACAAATTCCTTTTATTTTCTCAATCTAGTTTGAGTTATTTTTCCCTCTTGTGACTAAAGTATCTTGATTAATAAAACCATTTACCAGGTGAGTAACTTCAAAGAAGATATTTAACTCAAGTTTTCATTACTTTCCTGCAAATGGGGGCTGGGGTACATATCCATATCACCACTATCACGTGGTGTTCTTTAGAGGACATTGTAGAGAAAAAATAGAGTTTGTGTAAATTAGTCATTAAAAAATGGCACTGACTTTCAGGTGTATCCACAAGAACCACCTTACCTCCCTTCATTCAGAAAACCTAGACTGAAATACATAGGAATCCTAAAGACATCACAGTTAAGAAGGGAACTCTTCCACACATAACCATAAAACCTGAATTGCTCAAAATGCTAAAAATCGAATCTAGGTAAGATACATTATGATTCAGAAGGTAGGTGTGCTTTCTTCACCTGCTATACCATGGGAGCAGACATCAAGGCTGCCTTGTTCATACCTATATCATCAGTTCCTGGCACAGAGCTTGCTGCAGTGTAGGGTGATCACACATCAACAGAATCAGTTAGTATAGGTAAACCCTCAATGAACTCATTGAAGACTATATTTTAGAAGAATAAGATCCCTGACAAGAAAATCAAGCTGCAGTTAGACTTGCTCAAAATAGAACTTCCAAGGAAGCTCTGTATGTTTTTTATCTCTGTGTCTTCTGTCCTCTCTACCTATAGTCCTGGCCAATAAAAAGTCTTCTCTATCATTCACTTTTTGATTAAATACTCTTTGGATATCTGCCATAAACCAGGCTCTGAAAAGGACCCTGCCATGGTAATCTCTTAGTAAACCAGGTTCACTGAAGTTTCACAAACTCATGGGTTGGCCATATAAACCAAATTAATTATTTGGAAAGTGGACAGACACAGTGGCTCCCACCTGTTGTAATGCCAGCACTTTGGGATGCCGAGGCCAGTGGATCACCTGAGGTCAGGGGTTTGAGACCAGCCTGGCCAACATGGAGAAACCCTGTCTCTACTAAAAATACAAAAATTAGCTGGGTGTGGTAGTGCATGCCTGTAATCCCAGCTATTTGGGAGGCTGAGGCAGGAGAATCACTTGAACCCGGGAGGTGGAGGTTGCGGTGAGCCAAGATCATGCCATTGCACTCCAGCCTGGGCAACAAGAACAAAATTCCATCTCAAAAAAAAAAATTGTATATTATGAATTCAGTCAACACCTGGCTAACTATGCTGGATTTTTGACCATAAAGAAAGGTGTTCCAGAGATTATAACTGGCTGCCCCCAGGCCACGTCTATTCTGAAGCCATGTTGGTTTGACCTGCATGGTAACAGGTAAGGAATATCACTTTGACTTTAACAGGTTGTCGTCAATATTAGAAAATTTCACAGAAAAATCCATATTCTCCAATTATCTTAAAAAATGAGAAGACAAACTTCTTTCCACATTTCTAAGAGGCAATAATCAGCTGGATGCATGTAATGCTTCCTCTATTTAAGAGGGAGGTCCTCTTTGCCACCACCTTGCTTTATTCATTTAACTTAGCTGCCAAGCCCCAATAAGTATTTCAGCTCACAGTTCCCACCCCTCACACAGGAGATAACACATGCGGCAGTTGAGTACATGACCTCTGAATTCACAGAGACCAACGTTTGCTTCCCAACTCTGCATTGCGCTAGCTATGTGTGGTTTTACCTCTAGAAGCCTCGGCTATCCTGTCTCTAAAGTGACAGCAATACTAGAACCCTCTTCAGAGGTGCTGAGAAGATTAAATGAGTGAATGCATAGAATGTGATTAAGCAAAGTAACTGACACATGCTGTATTAGCCCATTTTCATGCTGCTGATAAAGATATACATGAGATTGGGTAACCTATATAGAAAAAGAGGTTTAATGGACTCACAGTTCTATGTGGCTGAGGAGGCCTCACAATCATGCTGGAAGGCAAAAAACACGTCTTACATGGCAGCAGACAAGAAAGAAATGAGAACCAAGCAAAAGGGGATACCTGTTAGAAAAACAGTGGATCTCATGAGACTTATTCACTACCATGAGAACAGTATGGGGGAAACTGCCACCATGATTCAGTTATCTCCCACCAGGTCCCTCCCACAACATGTCAGAATTATGGGAGCTACAATTCAACATTAGATTTGGGTAGAGACACAGCCAAACCATATCACCAGCTAAGCTTTCTTTTTTTTTGAGATGGAGTCTTTCTCTGTTGCCCAGGGTGGCACATTCTCGGCTCACTGCAGCCTCCTCTTCCCAGGTTCAAGCAATTCTCCCCCCTCAGCCTCCTGAGGAGCTGGGATTATAGGCACACACCACCACACCTGGCTAAGTTTTTGTATTTTTAGTAGAGACGGGGTTTCACCATGTTGGCCAGGCTGGTCTCAAACTCCCGACCTCAGGTGATCCACTCGCCTCAGCCTCCCAAAGTGCTGGGATTACAACAGGCAGGAGCCACCGTGCCTGGATGCTTTCTTATTTTTAAAATAAGTCTTCATTAGGCAGTACATTAATCAGACGGAGCTGCACAACAAAAGTACTACAGACTGGGAGGCTTAGACAACAAAAATTTATTTTCCCATAGTTTTGGAGGCTGGAAGTCCAAGAACAAGGCACCAACAGGGTTTGTTCTTGGCGAGGGCTCTCTCCTTCGCTTGCAGACAGCTGCCTTCTCACTGTGTCTGCACAGGTGTTCTTTTCTCTGCCTACACACTCCTGGTGCCTCTTCCTCTTCTTCTAAGGATACCAACCAATCACTTCTGTTGGATTAAGGCCCTACTCTTTGACCTCATTTACCCTTAACTGACCCTTAAAGGTCCTGTTTCCAAATATAGTCACACTGGGAGTCAGGGCTTCAATCAATGTATTTTGGGGGGACACATTTCAGTTCAGAAGAGGCATATTAGCCACAAATTCTTAACAATGTGAAAAAAAGTTTACTGCCCGAGGAATTGATGACAAACTTTGAAATGCACATAAAGTAGAAGGAAATACAGTGCTTCTGCTTCTCTCCTAGAAATATTGTTTTCAGTGTGTACAGGGTCCAATTCCTGGTATGAAGAGTAATACAAAGGACATGTGGTAGGGTGAGGAAGGCTAAGGGGTCAGAGGTTCAGTAATCACTCACTTCAGGAGGGAGGTAGCTGGGCTTTGCAGACTCAAAAAATCCACTCAAATCAAGGAGAGACAGCTTTTAGAGAAAAATAAGGTAAAAAAACAAAATCTAAAACTAATGACTGTAAAAGGTAGTTTAAAGAAGTCAGAAAATAAAAATGCTTCCTTTTTTCTTTTTTACTTTCTAGACTGCATCTAAAAAGAAAAAAAAAGAAAGAAAAAATAGGCATTGAAAAATGTATCTCTTCCGTGTGAAGTCTCCACTAAATACTGACATGGTTTGTCAGTGATACTAATAAGAGTTAGCATTATTGAGCATCCTTGATGTAGCAGAAGCATCTTATTCAGCCTGTAAACCTTACTGCAGTAATACTGTAGAGTCATCATTATCATGATTGTTTAAAGGTAATAAAATGTAGCACAGGTACAGTTAACACATTTGCCCAACTGACTTAGCTAGAAAAGTTTGAGTCCCAGATGGAAACCCCAACACTATAGCTCTAGGACTCATGCACTTAAACAACTCTGTTCTTTTCAGGAAGACACTCTCTAGATTCAGCATGGGGCCTCTTGAAGATGTAAACATTGTAGTAACAAGAGGCTGCAGAAATAATGAGGTCAGCTATGGCCTCTTGAGCCAGTTATAGCTGGGAAACTGAAAAAAAAAAAGGCACCAGATTTATTTCTGCATTTTTTGAACATACAAAGTGACCCTGTGTTAGTGCCTAGAAATGAAGTCTGCATCTACATATACCAAAAGTTCTAAGGAACCAGGCATTTGTATTTAATGTCCTCAGACACCTGTTTCTAATTTAAGTCAACTTTTTAAAAATTGGCTTCACTGAAAGTCTTTGAAACTGGATATGTGAAATTTATAGATTATGCGATAAAGAAAAACAAATCTTATGACTGAAACTTATTCTTAGTTTTAAAATAATCCTGCTCAGTTCTAGAAATTGCCACAGAAGTTTGTGGATCAAGGGCTCTTCTGCCTGAAGATACCTGGAAGAATAGAGTTGGTCTTCTCATAACACTATTTTCTACAGCCTGGTATGGTA
Source organism: Homo sapiens (assembly GCF_000001405.40). NCBI lineage: Eukaryota > Metazoa > Chordata > Mammalia > Primates > Hominidae > Homo > Homo sapiens. The sequence goes on along the minus strand of NC_000020.11, from coordinate 54,694,809 downwards.
GACTGAAAAATGGCTCCCCACGGATATCCAACCTTCAGAACCTATGAATATGCAGCCTTGCATAGCAAAAGGGACTTTGCCAATGGGATGAAGTCAATGATCTTGAGATGAGGAGTGATGTGGTTTGGCTCTGTGTTCCCACCCAAATCTCATCTTGTAGGTCCCATAATTCCCAGGTGTTATGGGAGGGACCTCTTGGGAGATGATTGAATCATGGGGGCGGGTCTTTCCTGTACTGTTCTCCTGAGAGTGAACGGGTCTCACAAGTTCTGATGGTTTTAAAAATGGGAATTTCTCGGCACAAGCCTCTCTTTGCCTGCTGCCATCCATATAAGATGTGACTTGCTCCTCCTTGCCTTCCGCCATGATTGTGAGGCCTCCCCAGCCATGTGGAACTGTGAGTCCAATTAAACCTTTTTCTTTTGTAAATTGCCCAGTCTCAGGTATGTCTTTAACAGCAGTGTGAAAACAGACTAATACAAGGTTATTCTGCATTATCCATATGGGTTCAATGGAGAATCAGAGGCAAAGATGAACAACTAGAGCAGAGGTCAGAGACAGAGAGATTTGAAAGGTCATGGCTCTGAATATGGAAGTGGCCTCAGGTCATATCAGTGCAGGAGGCCTCTAGGATCTAAAAAGGCAAGGAAACTGATCTAAAGCCTCCAGAAGGAACACAGTCCTGCTGACACACTGGTTTTAGGAGTTCTGACTTCCAGAACTTAAGATCACAAATCTGTGTTGCTTTGTCATTAAGTTTGGTATGATTTTTTTTTTTTTTTTTACAGCAGCAATAGGAAATTAGTATGCCTGGTCATAACCAAATCTTCTCTGGTGCACTGTGTATTAGCTATGCAAGTGCCAGAGCTGTCTCATACTTAGTTTTTTTCTTCTATTAAAATAGTGGAGACATTCTTATGTCACAGGACAATGGTGAAGGTGAAATGTTTCAAGGTAGACCTGGGACAAAGTTAATTCTCTCCTTTGCAGTCACAAGCAGTGCTCAGTTAAAAAGAGGTCTCCTACCTCCTCAATCGGCCTTTCTTTCTTTTCTACAACTCAGTTTCTAATGAAGCTGCAAGGAATGAGAGGGGAGAGAACAGAGATTTCTGAATTTTGTTTCATTTACCGGAACTGCTTTGATGGATTCTACCCTTTTATTTCTTTTTGGAGCAGTCCTAGATAGGTATCAATAAGAATAAAGTCAGAGATAGGTTTGTGCAAACAAGTAACAGGAAATCAACATTTTATTACATATAAGGGCACACTAATGCCGCCTAACAACTGCCACCTGAACATTCAATATTTGTGCAAAGTGCCTCAACATAACTCAGCAAGTGGACACCTGGCAGCTTATTTAGGAACACAATCACCAAGCATGGAAGGTGAAGCTAGAGAAAGAAACCACCTTGCCAGCAGCATTCCTGTTGCAGCCTGCTGAAACATCTTCCTGGGCCCTCCGGTCCTAAAAGTCTCTCCTCAATCTTGGGGATTCATTTTGATTACATTGCTTTTTGTCCCTGCATCCAATTTATGGTACCTTTCTAGCAGAAGTTGAAGTGACAAGCTCAGCTCCAGCTGCGGTACCCTTGCATCCGGTGACAGCTGACAAACAGCGGCTAAAACTTTCCTATCACAAAGTTCATTCCCTCCTGATGGCTCCATTGTGCTTTAATGCATAGCAAACGGAAATCACGAATAGAAATGTCGCCCAGGCTCTGCAAAATTACATTTTATTCTTTGGCTCGTCTCTCTGATAACTGTTTTTGTTATCCTATTAACCAGATGCAGACAGATTACAGAGTCATCAACACAATGCTTATATTCTTGTACCTTCTTTTCATGAAAACAGTTTTTACTCCCTTTCTTTGTGTGAGGCAAGAATATATATTAAAAATTTCAGGTACCTCTGCTGCAAAAATGCAAGGAGGCCACAATTAAACTTCACTCAAGGATATTGATATGTACTGGAAATTGCAAATAAGAAGCAAAAGCAACACATGATATCATGGACAAGGAATCGGGATTGCAAATAATCTGAAAGTTGCATTCTCTGTAACTTGGACCAGACCAAAGCTATGACTCAGTCCTCTTCATATGGTGGCATTTCTTTTTGCTTTGATTCTGACTGTCTGGCTCACAGTTGTAGTGATAACAAAAGGCTTGCAATTTAAAAGCAATGAAATTCTCAGTTGATAGGGCCTGGGAAGCTACAACCTGCAAATCTGATTGTGTTACAAACAAGTTCACTCTCAAAAAAGGCAGCAGGAAACCCAGAAGCTACAGCTGCCCACCAACCAACCAAAGCACCGCTGAGCTCCACTTCTGCAAAGATAATTAAACTGTAATTAAATGCTCTGTCCCACTTTAAGCACTGGATCACACAATTTAAGCACTCTTTTGCTGGGATTGGACAGTCACGTGTACTGCTGAAAAAAAAAAGACTTTGGATTGATTTTGTGTCACTGTGTAAACAAGTAAATGAAATAATCCATTTGAGAAGCAAATGGCAGAAGTAACAGACCTACTCTGCCCCAAACCAAATCTAAATGAAATTTACATTGCATACGGCCATTTAAGAACACCTCCAAAAATATAGGATAAAGTAGAGCAGGGGAAAACCCTCCCTGCCAGGGAGGGGTTGAGGGGGTTGACCCTGAGAACAACCTATAGGACCTTCTTTGCCAAAACATGAACACATATGTGCATGCATATATTTGCAGTCGCAAGTATGCACACATGGACACACATCAGTGCATGTGCTTTTCCTCTGGTCTCACAGAAGATGGGACATTGCTGTGACTTCTCCTAGAATAATTCTACCCAGTTGCGGCATTCTAGCTTCTCCTCCCTGGCCTCAACATTTGGGCTTGAACATTCATATCTCACTGTCCGTGGATCTGCTTCTTCTAGCTCCAAAACTCAAGTGTTTATTGTAAGACTATAAGGAATGGATATATGTCATTAATTATAAAAGGACACACACCCACACAAATACACACACACACACACACACACACACACGTGAAGAAGAGATTATTCCAAGTATAGATGTCAGGTTCTATTTCAAAGGCTTTGTAGACTCAATGAATCTTCATAACAATCCTACAAAGCAGGTTTTACCTCTGATTTTTGCCTACATGTCACCTTGAAGAGGACTCCTCCAGCATCCTCCCTAAAGCAGCATTCTCAACCCCCATCATGTTAGTCCTTCCCACCAGTCACTAGCAGGCATCATGTTACCTGTGTACTTATTATTTCTTTATTGTCTCTCTCTGACAGTGGCACATAAAGTTCTTGAAGTCACTGGCTTACTTTATTCCCTGGGTATTAGTTGACTCTAATGAATTGTGATCCTGTGGCTTCAGTATACACAGTAACTTGCCAAAAATAGCTCACAACAGATCTACGATCGAAATTTGAGTCCATCTGAATCAGGCCTGAATCTTCAGCCAGTATTTTCAATCACAAACCAGACAAAAACTTTCTTCCCTGAAACATGATCTGCCACTTCCCCACAGTTATACTTTTAATAAAGTTATATTTTTAGTAAAGAGTTTTACAACAGTCAAGAAGCAAGATTTTGGCCGGGTGCAGTGGCTCATGCCTATAATTCCAGCCATCTTGGGAGGCCAAGATGGACATTTCACTTGAGGCCAGGAGTTCGAGATCAGCCTGGCCAACATGGTGAAACCCCATCTCTACTAAAAATACAAAAATTAGCCAGGAGTGGTGGTGGGCATCTGTAATCCCAGCTACTCAGGAGGCTGAGGTAGGAGAATTGCTTGAACCTGGCAGGTAGAGGTTGCAGAGACCTGAGTTCGCACCATTGCACTCCAGCCAGGGCGACAAGAATGAAACTCTGTTCCATCTCAAAAGGAAAAAAAAAAAAAAGCAAGATTCCACAAGGTCAGAGATTCAAGCTCAGTATTCAACTTGTGGTCGTCTTAGTCTCTTTCTAGATGGATATCTATATATCTATATAGATATATAGATATATATATATATGTGTGGCCATCTTCATCCCCTGCCCATATAAAACCCAAAACAGTAAATCAAAAATTGTCGGAAAAGTAAAACTGTCAACCCCAACTATGTCAGACCTGTCCTCAGATTCAATCTAAGGCATTTACTCCACGTGGTTTATAAGCAAGATATCTCCACAAACCTATTGAATGATTTCTCCTGATACTGGAAGGGATTATGATAGATGGGGAAAGTTGAGTAAAAAACAAAAATTAAAAGTAGGCAAACAATGTTTAATGCGTAATGAGAAATTCAAGACTTTATGAGGGAGAGAAAGGCTTTTCAGTATCACTGACTTGCAAGTAACTCTGACACTCAGAAAACAATAAAACAAAACAATCACCAAATAAAAACGTATTTCAAAACCAGGCTTAAAAATACCACTTGAGGTAAGTAAGTTCTGGAGATCTACTATACAGCATAGTGGCTGTATCTAACAATACCATGTTGCATACTTAAGATTTACTAAGGAAGTAAATCTTATGTTAAATATTCTTACTAAGAAAAAAGAAAAAAACAGCCATGATCATAATCTATGTTGGTGTTGTGTGGGAAGTTAAAAATAAAAAATAATAATAATAGTGATCAAGGGGACAGGAAGAAACTTTGGGAGATGATGGGTATATTCTTGACCTTGATGATAGTGATGGTTTCATGGGTGTATACTCGCCTCTAAGTCATGGAGATATATAAATTAGACATGCACAATTTTTTATATGTTAATCATATCTCAATAAAGTGGCTTAACATGTAATATATACCACTTAAGTCTTCTTTAGTACAATTTGTACTTAAGGGAGATATAAATGCATAAAGAGTATATATCAGTACACAGACACTATCATTAGATCTCTGAGACCTGAGAGCCATGATCCATAAGGCTGATCAAGAAGATACTACAAGCCTGGGGCCAGGCGCAATGGCTCATGCCTATAATCCCAACATCTTGGGAGGCCAAGGCAGGTGGATCATTTGAGGTGAGGAGTTCGAGACCAGCCTGGCCAACATGGTGAAGCCCCATCTCTACTAAAAATACAAAAAAAAAAAAAAACCCGCATGTGGTGACTCATGCCTGTAATCCTATCTACTCAGAAGGCTGAGGCAAGAGAATTGCTTGAACCTAGGAGGCAGAGGTTGCAGTGAGCCCAGATCAAGCCACTGCACTCCAGCCTGGGCAATGGAGTGAGACCCTGTCTCAAAAACAACAACTACAACAACAAAACAAGAAGGTACTACAAGCCTGGCATGGTGGCTCATATCCCAGCACTTTGGGAAGCTGAGGTGGGAGGATCACTTGAGCCCAGGAGTTGGACACCAGCCTCGGCAATATAATGAGACTCCATCTGAAAAAAATATTTAAAAATTAGCCAGATGTGGTGGCATACACCTCTGGTCTCAGCTATTCAGGAGGCTGAGGTGGGAGGATTGCTTGAGCCTGGGAGGTTGAGGCTGCAGTAAGCCATGATCATGCCCCTGGGCTCCAGCCTGGGCAACACAGCAAAACCCTGTCTCAAAAGAAAAGAAGCATAATATACAAGCTTGTGATGATGCTGAAGATACTATTGCCACTAAGGATAAACTGAAAATCACAGCAAACATTCAGTACATTAAGAGCTATTTGCCAGGCGCCAGGCTAAGTAATCTATATGTATTATGCCATTAAATGCTCAACAAGATCAGCATTATTTTTAAATCTTTGTACAGAGAAGGAAACTGAGGTTCAGAGAAATTGAGAAATTTCCCAAGGTCACACAGCCGATAAGTTGTAGAGCGCAAACCAAACCAAGTCTGTCTCCTGATCGCTCTCAAGCACTTGTCTGTGCTGTAATCTACTTGTGACTTGTAAGCAAACACATGATTCTGTATTAAATAAGTGTAAACAAATCATTAAACCTTAAATCTTTCTAAATTAGCAAGATAGATAAATTAGAAAAATAATACCAAGGAAATTAGGGAGCTGATAGTCTCATCAACTGCTGTTAGGAACGGGGTATCTACAGGCTTTGTGCTATGTAATATATAGCCACATCTAGTCATATTTACATGTACTTATCATTTAACCTAGTAACCTGGTGGTAGGACACACCCTGAGGTGGCCCCCAATGAGTCATGACCTTATATAATTTCATCCTTTGTGAGATCAGTCAGATCAAGTTACTTGCTTCTCATCAACAGAATATGGCAGAAGTGATGGAATGCCATACTCATGCTTAGATTCTGTTATGGTACATGATGCTGTATCTTGTCTTGCTCCCACATGGTGCTGGGTATGTAGGAAGCTGGGTGACCACCTTACATGCTGATCCAGCTTATGGGCCATGTAGATGGGGTAGTTGTCTTTTTGTAACTATTTTTCTACTTGCTGGGAAGGACTCAGGCTTTTAGGGAGGTTTCCTCACCAATACCTTTCCTTGGCCTAGATTCCTAAATTTATATCTCCCTGGTTCACCTCCAAAATGTAGGCATATAATTCATGTACACAGGGCTGTAATGTAGTTTTGATGTAGAGATTTAGAGCCAGGGGACCTCAAGATCATTACAGGCAAAAGTCACATTCTGCAGAAGAGGAATTCAAGAACTCAGTAAGCTGAGCAGTCTAGGTGGGTGGCTCACACTTACAGTCCCAGCAATTTGGGAGGCCAAGGCAGGCAGATCACCTGAGGCCAGGAGTTCAAGACCAGCCTGGCTAACATGATGAAACCCTGTTTCTACTAAAAATACAAAAAATTAGCCAGGTGTGGTGGTGCGCACCTGTAATCCCAGCTACTCAGGAGGCTGAGGCAGGAGAATCGCTTGAACCCAGGAGGCGGAGGTTACAGTGAGTCGAGATCATGCCATTGCACTCCAGCTTGGACAACAAGAGTGAAACTCTGTCTCAAAAAATAATAATAATTTAAGAATTAGCCAGGTGTGGTGGCACATGCCTGCAGTCCTAGCTACTAAGGAGGCTGACACAGGAGGATCACTTCAGCCCAGGAGTTGGAGGCTTCAGTGAGCTATGATTGTGCCACTGTACTCCAGCCTGGGCAATATAGTAAGACCTCGTCTCTAAAAAATAATCATAAGTGGAACAATTACAAAGTTTAAGTGCATGACTTCTGAATTTAGACTCACCAGGTTTACATCTGAGTTGACCACCTACTGCTGGCCTGACCTTGGGTGAGTTTATTAGGTACTGTAAGGTAGCTCAGTTTCCTCATCTATAAAACTGATAGTCCTTGATTCAAACCAAATCAACAGATATTCATTAAGCACTGTGCTGGCATAGAAGTTATACTGAAGAATAAACGAAGGAGTTCTTGCCCTTCGTGGAGCCTAGTGGACGTAGTAATACTTACCTCCTAGGTTTGCCGTGAAAATTAAGTGGAGAATACTAGTAGAGTGCTTAGATCAGTGTATGGCATGTAATACTAATGATTATAATTATTATAGTAATAAAAATTTTATAATCATTATTATTATTGTCATGATTATTGTTTAATAACATATAACCACCACATAATGAGTTAGTTTAAAAATCAACTGAGTAATGTATGTTAAATACTTAGTAAAAATATATAGAAACAATTCAATATATTTTATCTACTATTATTATTAGGTTAAGTGGTTTTGCCAAAGCCACAAATTATCGTCAGTGCTGAGTTGAGAATTTCCATCATAGGCCCGTACCATTTTGCAGACTTAACAGTCTGTACTATGATTATTTAATTTCCAGACTGTCTTAGTCCATTTTCTGTTGATATAACTGAATAGCTAGGACTGGGTAACTTGTTTAAAAAGAAGTTTATTTCTCACAGTTCTGGAGGCTGGAAAGTCCAGTCAAGGAAACATATCTGGTGAGAGCCTTCTTGCTGGTGGGGACTCTCTACAAAGTCCCGAGGTGGCACAGGTCATCACATGGTGAGGTACCCGTGAGAGACAGCCAAACTGGCTTTTATAACAGGTCCACTCTCGTGATAACCAACCCACTCCCATGATAACCCATTAATCTATGAATGGATTAACCCATTCATAAGGGCAGTGCCCTCATGAGCCAATAACCTCTTAAAGGCTACACTTCTTAATCCTGTTACACTGGGGATTAAGTTTCAACATGAGTTTTGGAGGGGACAAACATCCAAACCATATCACTGACTCTCTCCGCTATTCAACCTTGAGTTGCACAGTCACGTGCTCTCTGGCTCAGACTCATGGAGCCAGGCCTTACATGGGATTTCTGCTCACTAGGGCCTCAGCACCAAAAGTCACTAAGGATAGTAACACTTATGTGTGAAAACAAGCATGGTTTTATACACCTTCTGGTACTTTTTGAGACACTTTATGTCATCATCTATTTATTCAACATTTATTTAAACATTTTTGTAATCTCTTATAGGCACAAACCACCCCCCACAAGCTAAAGCAAACCCATAACAACTCTTCTAAACCCATCTCCTTACCTGTTACTATAACTAACCTACCACAACTTCCAATTATTTTGAAGTGTGTCTGTTTACTTTTTTTTTCCTGTTTTCCCCAAAGAATATATAACTCACGATAAGGATAGGTAATACTTATGAATAAATACGCCCTCAGCATGTGGCACATAGTGGGTGAATTACACCATAAGTATTCATGAATTGGACAATGTGCCAGGTTCCTGCCTTCAATGAGGTTAAATTCTAGTGAAGGAAACATTATTGATCCACACTACAACATGCAGTCACTGCAAAAGCAGCAAACGAAAGAAGCCAGATGCAAAAGACCATGTATCATAAAATTCTCTGTGAAATGCCCAGAATAGGCAAATCCAGAGCAATGGAAAATAGACTAGTGGTTGCCTGGAGTTGGGGGTGGGAAGAAGGATAGACTATAAATGGACAAGAGGTATTTTTTGGGAGTGAAGCAAAGCATTCTAAACAGAGATTATGGTGATGATTGCAAAACTCTATACATTTACTAAAAGTGGGTATAGTATATATTTACATAGTATATATTTACACAGTATATACGTAGTACATATTTATATAGCATATAAATTATACCTCAATAAAGCTGTTTGGAGGAAACAGACCTTCAACAACTAATTACTCAACTATTCAGTTGATTCCAGTTGTGATAAGTTTCATGAAGGCGAGGTCCACCATGCAGAGAAAGCATAGAACGGGCTTCAATGTCCTGCCATCTGGTCAGAAAACGTGTCTCTGGAAAGAGCTGCTTGAATTAAATTCATTGCAGAGGTGGGGGAGTTGGGGAATCACTAAGGGTAGAAGACTCAGCATGTGGGGGCTCAGGGATGAGCCAGAGCCAGGCAGTGTGAAGTGGGGGAGGAATGGAGAGAGGAGTGGGACATCCTTGTGGCTGAAACAGACTCCACAGAGGAGGCAGCTCAGGTGAGCCTGAAGAAGGGTGTGGCCTGACAACCACCAGGTACCCTTTAAGGACTTAGAACTTCGTCATTTAGGCCTTTTAGGACCACCACCAGTGGCTGTAGCAAGGAGAGGGGATTAGAGCCGACAGCTGGGCAAGAGTCACTGTAGTGACTCATGAGGAAGCTGTTGTGGAAGCCAACTTTTGATTGAACTTTTGGTTGTTTCTTTCCTCCGTATTTAGCTAAAATGATGGGATTTTGCATAGGTTCCTGACAGAGACTGTTTGATTGATGTTCCATACATTGCTGATTCAAATCACATTAAGAGGAAATCAGAAGTGTCCTGTTATGCAACTTTGATTTATAAAACATTTGAATCCAGGTGAACTTGATTGGAGAAGCCTTGGGTTTATCCCCTAACTAAAAGATTTCAAAGAAAAGCTCATAAAACTCCTCCCTGCATCTATAAAAATACTTTCAGATGAGTCCAGTTTCACCAGTAAGTTACGGTCAACTTTTAATAGATGGTCGATTAAGAGGATACTTACGGTAGAACAAATAGATTTGCAGCCAACTTTTAAAATTTTTGGCCAAAAATACCTGAGCATTTCCCTGATGTGGACAAACTATGCTCCACAGAAACTTAAAAAAAAAAGATTAGTTAAAATAGAATCTGAAAATCTGTTTTCAATAAGAGCTATTTTTGCAGAAATCTCCATCTTAAAAACATGTCCACACATGCACGCATGCACACACACACACACACACACACACTTTCTATCTAAAACATCCTGCGATCTTATTGTGAATCTCCTCTTTAATTCTCCATGCTTCTAAAAATACACGTAGTCCTTCATTAACACCAGAAGGCTCTCTCCTGAGTCATTTTACATTTGTGGAGAAACGAGCATGGTGTGTAATGATGAACACCAGCCCTTCCCATGTGTTCTTATGGAGCAATACATTTATCAGGACATCTGAAAAGTCATTTTGCCTTGCTCAGGTGATCTGTTCCCTCTCCAGCCTTCCCCCTACCATCTCAAGCATCTCTGCTATTACCTCCTGCCTAGGAAAGGGAGAGTGTAAGTTACCACACTGCTAAGACATACAAGGGAGCCTATGGGGTGTGTCAGAGCCTCAAAGGGTTTCTGGGCTCCCATTTTTTCTTCCACAATGAGTTTACTACTTTCATAGATAAATAAATTGAGGAATAGGGATCTGTGTGTAGCAAAGCTTTAATGAAAAGGGGGCTTATAGACACTGACTCCAATTATTTTCAAATGATATGTATAACATACACCTAACTGTATGTATATATGAATATATATGCATACCTAGATATATACACATAACTTCACATGCGTGTGCTTGCATGCACACACACACACACTCACACACCATGTTCTCCATTAGAAAAAATGAGAAAAATAAATGAGCCTTTGAAAATGCCAAAGTACTAGATCATACCTCTTCTCAAAACCCTCCAGAAACCTCATATTGCACTCCAAACAAGACACAAAAGCCCTACCAGGGTTTGCAAAGCCCTATATAGCTTCCTTGTTCCTACCTTCATTTCACCAGCATCCTTTTCTAGCAGTTTCTCCTTGCTACCTTCATCACAGCTGCACTGGATTCTTTGCTGTTGCTCTAACGCATTCCTCCTAAACCTACCTCGGGACCTTTGCACTTTTTGCTCCCCCTGCCTGGAATGTTCCAGCTCTTAAGAACTACTTGGCTCACTCCCTCAGCTCTCTGCTCAGGTTTCCCTGATCACCCCTTTCCCTCACTTCATTTTTCCCCTAGCCTTATTGCTACCTGACACATTATTTAGGTACCATTTATTACCTGTACCCACTCCCATTCTAATAAATTGCCCATGGCAGCAGGAACATTATCTTGCTTATCTTAAATCCACAGTGCCCAGAAGAGTGTCAGGGAGGCTCTCAAGGTTTGTTGAATGAATGAGGCTCAGCCTGGTGCAACTGGACTAGACTACTGCCAACCACAAAGCTCGGCACAGGCAGGGATTTGAAAATGGCAATTCACCCATCCCCCCTGCCAAGAGGGAAAGACCACACCTGAGCCTTGTAGCTGAACCCAAGCTCATGCCCTGAAAGTAAAATCATGGGTAACATCGCAGTCCAGAACAGACAGCTCAGAGAGCCAGCCGCTTTGGCAAACAGCCCTTTCAGTACAGCCTGTTTGGGAAGTTCTAGATGCCAGATTATTACCAAGCAGGCCAGTGAGATCCTCAGACCTGCAGGTATGTGGTACCCAGTGAGCAGGGGTCAGTGGGGCCTCCCCGCTAGCTGGCTGCACACTCCTTTGTACTGGGGAATGCATCCCTGGTTTTCAGTCTTGGCATTTCTTGCTAGGAAGGTCAGCTGAAACCTCCAGAAGCTAGACCCACTAATAACAAACACAGAGGCACAAGTTGAGCAATAAACTTGACCAGCTGATTGCAGACAAGGAGTCTTATGGGCAAGGTGCACATCAAAATTACAGTCAGGAGGCAATAGTTGAAGCTTATGGGCAGAATGCGACAGAGTGGAGGATGCCCATGCCACCTGGGCCCGCCCTGTGACTGCCCAGCAGAACCCCCTGGGACAAAGAACGGTGCCACCTCTCTCCAGCCAGATGCTAGAGGCAGGTCTCCTGGTCTGTATCTTTCGCTCGCTCTCCCCATTCTTCTACCCCTCCCCACCCCAGCAGGGTCCAGGTCTGCTCAAAGAAGGGGGTTTTGGTGCAGATATGCAGACAAGAAGCAGGCTTGCCTGGATTTTTTTTTTCCAGTGGGAGCTCCAGCAGGCTTGGAAATAGCTGGTCCCTAGCATCACCTTTCCATTCAATAGCAAAGCAGTGGAGGAGAGAGGGAGAGAGATGGAGAGACACTGGTCTGTGAGGAGCCAATGGCGAAGGGCAAGAAATGCTCCACAAACGAAGAACACAGTATTTATTCCCACTGGGGGAAGAGAAGCAGGTTCTGAATATACACAAATAAGAACCAGAATTGGGTAAAGCAGTGAAAAGTAGGAGGAAGAAAATAGAATTGGGGCTAGGAGGAGGATCTCAGCCCCCCAGTGCCTTGTGCAGGAGAGAAATGAAGCACAGGTCAGCACATGTGAGCGGTATACACGAAGCAGATCACTTTAACACTCATTCCTGACATCAAAGGGGATGGAGCGAGTCCTGCTGCACACTTTGCACTTGCTGGCCTCAGACCAAGCACTTCTCAGGCAGTTCCTCACCCCCGGCACAGGAGCTGGCGCCCATCATCCTTCCCACGTCAAAGAAGAGGGCACAAAGTCAGAGCCAGCCAGGGACAAGCTGAGCTGAAGAGGCAGAAGAAAGATCTGCCTGTTTTCCAGAAGAGCCGCACCCATCTCTTGCCTTTTCAAGTGCCTTTCCCCTGCCCCCTGAACTTATTCTCCTTCTTTGCACAGCTCCTGCCCAACCTCTTCCTTCATGCTGAGAAGGATGACGGTGAGAAAAAAACATATGGTGCCCAGAACAGTCCTATTTCTCTTTCTCAAGAGAAAAGCTGCAGGGGAAACAGGGGACAGGCTTATCCAGCTTCCTTCCAGAAGGGGCCAGACCAGTGCCTGTGTAAGCAAGAAGAAAAAAAAAAAAAAGGAAGGAGAAAACAAAAAGAAAATAATTTCTGCAAAGAAATTTGGACCGTTAGAACTGTTACTTGCTGTGAGGGCTGGCAATGCCCTCCTAAGGAACTGTCTGGATTCAATGCTGTGTTTTTGGAGTGGAAAAAAATCTACATGGGGTCAAAGAAATAAATGACAATTTTAAACTCTGCCTGCTGACTGTCCCTCCTTCTGCGGCCACAGCTGGTCACAGCTCTGGCTTTTGTCCCCTGCTGACTGGCCTCTGACAAATCCAATGCCCATTCACCTCTGGCTGGGTGCTCTTGGGCTGAGCTTCTGAAAACTTATCTGTTTAAAATAGTTCCATATTCTATTTGTTATAAACAGGTTTTCTGCAGCAGGTCTTCTGTTGAAATCCATATGCCTTGAGAAGCTGGAATATGGAAGAGGAAGCTCATTTTTTTTCTCCTCACTCTCAGCATAGTTCTCTGACCACCTATTAACTCATGCTTCTTTTCAGCGATGCTTCCAGAGACAATCCTTAGAATAATACAGATGTTCTCCTTGTATACAGTTTGCCTAGCAACCGCAGCAGACATAAACATTACGGGCTTGGCGTGGCACAAACTGAAGTAAGTGCCATAAGATAAATAGGAAAGGAAAAGTGTGTAAGCTGTTTTTATTTTATTAGCTTTAATAAACCTAGGCTTAGGCGGGGATCAGACAATCCAGCCAGCATCATTAAACAAAGAAAGTTGCTCATTTTTTTGCGCCTTTTTTTTTTCCAAATGAGAACATCGCCACCTGGCGGGAAATGTCTTCACCAGCAATTTCTGAAACAACGCAAAAGACAAAATTAAACCCAAACCTGACCACAGAGGTTAGCTGCCGGCAGCGAGAACGAACTCCAGACAATAGAAGGAGGTCAGGTTTCAAATTACTCGCTGACCTTTTAGAGTCCCTTATATATATCTGGTTCCCAGGAGATCAATCTCCTACAAACTCTTTGTTCTACTACAACGCTTGTCTTTCCTAGATATGGTCTTCCAGAAACACCTGTTCTAGCTGCTACTTACTCCTATTTTACCTATTATTTAATGGCTCGTACACTACCCACCTTCTTGAGTTCATCAAAACCCCCACATCTGTTTGCTTTCTCCCTCCTGTGACGTTCTAATACTCCGTGCATGCCAAAAGATGGACAATCAATAATCAATCAATCGATAATGATCAATAATAATTAATAGGAAAAAGATTTCCCAGTATCTGTTGCATAGGCAAAGGGAGATTAAAAAACAATCTGCTCATTGCTCCTGAGCTATTGGAATTTTCTCCTTAACTAAGGTATGAGCTCCTGGAGCTCTTAAATGTCTATGCCAAGGTCTCAAGCCAGAAGCCACAGCGACAATCCGGCCTGGAGATAGGTGTGGTTTTGACGTGCACACTGTAAAAACAAAACAATATCCATTGTTTCAAAATCAGATTTCACATAAAAATGTGGATTATCACAATTTCTTTTCTTTGTTTTTAATTTTTAGAGACGGTCTTGTTATGTTGCTCAGGCTGATCTTGAACTCCTGGGCTCAAGTGATCCTCCTGCTTCAGCCTCCCAAGTAGCTCGGATTATAGGCATGTGCCGGCAACCCCACCTCAGGATTTCTATAATTTCTAAAAACTCTTAATACCTGCCAAAGCTGACTCCACAGGGAGCAGACTTGTTCCCATTTTTCCACAGTCCCCAGCATATTCTGTTGTCTCATTAATGCTGAGTCTGAATTTCAGTTGTTGCTCTGAGCTTTTTCTTACATTTGAGAAATATGTTTTATATCTATGTCTCTACTGAAAGTAGGAAATAGTGGCCGGGCGCGGTGGCTCACGCCTGTAATCCCAGCACTTTGGGAGGCTGAGGCGGGCGGTTCACGAGGTCAGGAGATCAAGACCATCCTAGCTAACATGGTGAAACCCCGTCTCTACTAAAAATACAAAAAAAAAAAAAAAATTAGCTGGGCGTGGTGGCGGGCCCCTGTAGTCCCAGCTACTCGGGAGGCTGAGGCAGGAGAATGGCGTGAACCCAGGAGGCGGAGCTTGCAGTGAGCCAAGATGGCACCACTGCACTCCAGCCTGGGCGACTCTGTCTCAAAAAAAAAGAAAAGAAAAGAAAAAGGAAGTAGGAAATAGTAATAGCCCAAACAGAGCATATATTCAAAAAAATGATGGCAGAAAGCCTATTTCTTGGGAATCATATCCATATAATACACACACATACAATGCACTTTATTTCTTTGTGTTAACGCCTCTGTGAGCATTTGAATTCCCAAGCCCTGGTTTGCAGTAAGAAGCTCTATACCTCCCACAAGAGTTTTGTTCAAAATGCTTTCCCTGCCCAGCCCAGGCCTCTGCTCCTTCCTCGCTTTGCCTATGCAACAGACACTGGAAACTCTTTTTCTTATTTATTCATTGATTGTTATTGATTATTATTGAGGATTGATTGTACAGATGGGGTCTCGCTTTGTTGCCCAGGCTGATTTCAAACTCCTGGCTTAAGTGATCCTCCCATCTCAGCTTCCCAAAGTGTTGGGAATGCAGGTGTGAGCCACAACCATTTTTATCTTGTCTATTCATTTATGTATTATATAAATTAATTCTCAGTAAGAATTAGCTATTGTTAAAACTCCAAGGATGCAGCTACATCGCACTTTTCCATCGCTCCTGCTTGGAATGTTCTTCAAGATTGCACATGAGCTAGGTGCGGTGGCTCATGCCTGTAACCCCAACACTTTGGGAGGTCCAGGCAGAAGGATTACTTGAACCCAGGAGGTCAAGGCTGCAGTGATCTACGATCATGCCACTGCACTCCAGCCTGGGTGACAAAGCCAGACCCTGTCTCAAAGAAAAAAGATTTTATATGACACCCTCTTTCCCCAACACATAAAAACACTCCTCCTCCATGTTCTACCATTTGACTATAACTTTTTCATGAAACTTATTACTGTCAGATATTTCTTTTCTTATTTTAAAAATCATTCCGTGTTTCATTTTAAAACCATCAGTTATTTCTATTTGATTATTTGTTTATCATCTGTCTCACTGGAGTGAAGATATCCACAAGAATAGGAAATTCCTGGTACTTTGCAGACTTCAATAAATATTTCTCAATAAATGAATCTAGGAATCTTTTTTTTTTATTATTTCACACTAGAGAAGACAAGGAAAGGAGACAACTCATTCCTGCATAATTCACAGAGAGAACTTAGTATCCCACACCTGAGGTCATTCTGACAATACCAGTTTGCTATGACTGCAGCAGTGAGAGAAACATCCTTACTCAAATTTCAGTTGCTGCCCACCTGTCTGTGCTTACTGACACTGCAGCAGAGCTGTGCTTCTGCTTGCCTTCTCTATGAAGGTGTGTGCAGCTGCAGTATACATCAATGTCTTCATCAGCTCACTATGCACTGGAGAACCATGAGCTCAATGTTTAATGAAGATGAACGTATTTATTTATTTATATGCTCTCTTTCCAAAAAGGATAGAAGCAGAATGTTAATTGAATGAAAGGAAACACAATTCCACTTAGATTATTTTTTCAGACTTAGGGATTAATTTTTTAGATCAATTAATCAAATTATCGAAGTAATGTATTAGTACTAATTAGAGATTAAATCCCTTTGACTTAAAACGATACCCCCTTTTATAATGGGTGTCACCTCCATGTCTTCTGTCTCAAACAGGGACTTCCAGTATTGCTGAAATTTTCTGTGCCCTAAAAGTTGAAAAGAGTTGGCTAAGGTGCTGGACCACAGAGGACAATCAAATGAAGCAGAAGTTATCTCAGTGGTACCCAACAGCCCCTTCTTAGTGCTTTAGCAAAGGACCCTAGGACCTTTGCACAACCCAGCTGATGTGGGAGCCCTGATGGTAGCTGATATCCATTTATCTAGCCATCCAGCTGGATGGGGGCCTAGACAGGAATTTCATTTAATTGGAAGGAAAGTTAAAAATGTCTCTTTCTGGTCTGTCCAAGCTTGCAGACTGAGAGCCATCCCTACTGTACAATTTAACCAGGACAGAGGTATGTGGAAACCCACTCCCACCCTAGCCCTTATTCCTCTGTCATGTCAACAGAGCCAAGTGCCAGGATCAGGGACATGGCCATCTCCCTTGGGAAAGGGTGTGGCTTTCCATTTGAGAGGGACAGAACTGTGATGCCGGGCTGAGCAGAAGAAAATCATGTCCAAGCAACCACCACATCTCACCTGGAAGACCAGACTTGCCTCCTCCCTGATCTCCAGGCTGCCACCCTCTCCCCTAGGGGTTCCTCTCCACAAAAGAGGGATCCTTTTAAAATCAGGCCACCACTCTCTCCTCCTCAAGCCTTCCGGTGGCTTCTCATCAAACACAGGAAAAGAAAATCCCTGTGGTCCTCACAGCAGCTGGCACCTGACTCTTTCCACTTCTGCCCCTTCCTCTACAGCCACCCTGGCCTTCCTGCCCTAGGACCTTTGCTCTTACTGTTCCTTCTACTTGAAAAGCCCAGCCCCTCAAAACTTCTCCCAGCCCACTTCTTGTGTTTTTTTTTTTTTTTTAATTTTTTTACAGATCTCAGGAAGGTCTTTCTTGGCCAGTTTATTTAAAATAGTCTTTGCCTCCCATCTCTGCCACACTGCCTACCCTGCTTTACTTCCTCCATAGCAGGAATCACACTTTGCACTATGTTAAATATTCGTTTGAATGTTGTCTTTTTATCCCTTAGAATATAGCTCTTGTAGAGCAGGGCCTTGATTTTGCCCATCGTTGTTTTACTAGAAAAAGGCCTGATATAGAGAAGGGTCCCAATAAAACCTATCCAGTCAGTGAATCCATCTATCCATCCCCCCACCTATCCATTCATTCATCCAGCCAGACAGCCAGCCAGCTTCCAATGATTTCAGTGGTCTCAGTGGGATATTCAAAGAGATAGTAAGCTCACCATCACTGGAGGCATCCAAACGGTGTCTGCATTACCCTTGGCAGAGTTTTATAGTGAAGATTAGAATATTTGATATACCAGGCACTGAAGGGAGGTTTTCTGTGCTGAGATCCATAGACATGTACATGATTAGCCTCAGAGGGGTCTGTGATCTTGTAGATCATCTTACGATTTAATGTGCACAGCTGAATTTTTCCAAAGAGTGTGTTCGAGAAATATTTGCCAACAATTCCTCAGTTGTGGAGAAGTGGGAAATGCCTTCATGAAGGTTCAAGTCTAATGAGGACAATGGAAAGTGAAGAGACAAAAAAAAATTGGGTTCACTAGACAAAGGGGGCCATGGCAAGGGACTCCCACTCAATCTTGAGATTCAAGGAATTAACTTTTGAGACAAAACACAAGGAATGGTTGGGACTTAACCAGGTGAAATTAGGAATCAGGCCGGGCGCGGTGGCTCACACCTGTAATCCCAGCACTTTGGGAGGCCGAGGCGGGCGGATCACGAGGTCAGGAGATCGAGACCATCCCGGCTAAAACGGTGAAACCCCGTCTCTACTAAAAATACAAAAAATTAGCCGGGCGTAGTGGCGGGCGCCTGTAGTCCCAGCTACTTGGGAGGCTGAGGCAGGAGAATGGCGTGAACCCGGGAGGCGGAGCTTGCAGTGAGCCGAGATCCCGCCACTGCACTCCAGCCTGGGCGACAGAGTGAGACTCCGTCTCAAAAAAAAAAAAAAAAAAAGAAATTAGGAATCAAAAAGGTTAATATCTAGTGACCTAGAAGACTCTATCTAAGAACAGCAGAAGAGGATGCAAGATATGGTGTATGCCCATAACAGCCCACCTCTGCAGCCAGGACCCAAACTCTCAAGGGCCAACTCTCTTTGCTCTGAGAGGTCAGAACAATCATTTTCCCATAAGTCAGAGCTTGACAACAGTCAAGATACCAAATAGGCCTACAAGAGCAGCGTCCACAAAAATGCATCACTAGTGTTCAGTGCCAGCAACCAATCTGTCCTTGTGCAAGTTATTGAGGACATGAAAATATCACAGGGAGACCCGAGCTCCAAGCGCTTGAAGCAGTCACATTATTATGCACTGTTCAAAGCCTTGCAGAAACAAAACTGAGACCATTCTTTGCCATTCCGTGTGAGCACAGTTTTTATTTGTAGAAAGTATCTAGAGCCCCAGACGTGGAAAGCTTACCATTTGCTTAATGGACTCTCCAGCCTACAGAAAAGGTTTTATACAAGAGGACCCCATTCCACTGGGTTCAAACAAGAGGACCTTATTGAGAAGACTGGTTACACATAGACCTGCTGAAACCCATGAGCACACAGTGTTTCCCTGAACTCTCTAATCTAGAGAGTAGTCTAAGATAGTGCTCACCAGCCCAGTGATTTGGAAAAGTTTAAATTTTCTGTCACTCATGTTTCTTATCAATAAAATGGATATAAAAGCATTACTTCCCTATTAAGTAGTGGTGAAGAATAAATGATGTGTTTTGCATGCATATGCACTATTGTCAATTCTTCCTCATCCAACTCCTCCTCCCACTTTTCCGCTTCTGGGTCAGCTCCTAAACCACTCTCCAGGCTCTATATAAAACATATTTAACATATTAGACACCTCTTACACTGGAACCCAAACTAGCTACCTAATTGGTGGTATCCCATGCAAAATCAAAATGTAGAGCCAACAGTTCAATTAATAAGAAGCTCAGGTTAGCGACATCAGAGCATTAAATCAAGCATAGGGCCTTTCTAAGAGCAGAGCCCTGAGTGACTGCATGGGTCATATATCCATGAAGCCAGCTCTGAATGGAATAGCAGGTTAATCATATTAATGTTAATTTTACAAAATGACCTCAACTCCTACTACCCCTGTTGACATCTTACTTTGGGGTTAGAGTCTGTTGTTGTGTCTATAATCTCATTACAGCCTTATAATACCCAGGGAATGTGTACTATTATGCTTCCTAGTTTACAATGAAGAATCTTGGTTGCAAAGGGTTGAATTCAGTTGAGTAAGTTGATCAAGGTAACAGAGGTTTGAGATTCAGTTCTTTGTGATTCTAAGACTGTAACACTAACAGGGGTCATCTCTTTAGGCTCAGCTAAATAATCTGACTCATAAGACTACCAAACCTAACAAAATGCTTGGCACATATTAAGGTATTAGTCACATTTGAGGAATAAATAAATGCATGAGTGAATGTATTATATATGTTACTCTGAGCTTTCTTAACTGAAAGGATGTGATCCCTTAATACATTGAATTAGTCTATTTTCACACTGTTATAAAGATACTACCTGAGACTGGGTAATTTATAAAGGAGGTTTAATTGACTCACAGTTCTGCATGGCTGGGGAGGCCTCAGGAAACTTACAATCATGGTGGATGGGGAAGCAGGCACATCTTACATGGCAGCAGGTGAGAGAGAGAACGAGAGCAAGCACAGGGGAAACTGCCACTTATAAAACCATCAGAACTCATGAGAACTCACTATCATGAGAACAGCATGGGGGAAACCACCCCCATGATTCAATCACCTCCCACCAGGCCCTTTCCTCGACACATGGGGATTACAGTTCAAGGTGAGATTTGGGTGGGGACACAGAGCTAAACCACATCATAAATTATCATTCCCTGCTCCCCTGGGAAACTTTGGCTTTCAGCAAAACAATAGGTTGAGAAAAGATGAAATGGAAGACACAACAGGAATATATTTGAGAGATTCAGACATTCATAGTTTCCCCAAATTATCTGAATGCATAGTTAAATGGTGTGTTGAATGTGTTTAGAGCTTGAAACCACCAGATTTCTTAAAGCAATTGCCCCCGCCCACTACCAGGCACACTCTAGGCATCCAATCACAGGTCAGATAAGGAAGGGAGTACCCTGTCATTAGGATGGTCCCATGAGGATTTACCTCAATGCTGCCTCTTGAGCTACGCCCTGTCCACACAACAGGAAAGTGGAAAAGATTTGGCAATCATAGAGTTAATTTGTTCTGTGTCAACAAGGCAGTGTCAAGAGGATCATATTCCCATCCAGGGTAGAATATTATGGCACACAATTCTCTCTGGTGCCTCTTTAAAAATTCCTGAACCAGGCAGGAGACAAATGGGTTGAAATGGGCATATTTGATAGAAGAGGAAATGAAACCTTAGTTATCTGTCTGCTGTAGAAAAGAAGCGCTGATATTTCTCAAACAGGCTCTAAACAAAGTAACACAAGGAAAGGGTCTTCTTTCCTACTGGCAACTTTGCATTAGGGTGTTTTCTTATCACAGTGGGATCTATCATTGTGTTTGCCTCAAATTCACTTGGTGTGTTTTTCCGTATGCGGTAGAAAAATAAAAGTAAGACTTTACATAAGACATTTACATACAAATTATATTTGGCACTTTTATAACGTACTACAAAATCTTCAGTGCACTCTGATGAGGCACAGTATAATATTATAATGGGGAAATGTGCATTTTTCTAATAACCAATTGATTTTTTTCACAGATTGATCTTCAAGGGAGTTATAATAAGGCAGAAAAAAAAATCCCCACAACGACAACAAAAAACCATGTTTGAAATCCTGACAGCTTCTTCCAATGAGAGTTGAATAAGTGGGTCTTTGAATTAACCGATGTTACACTGTTCTCTGATTGCTGTGTGTGGGGAATGCATTTTACAAACAGTGATACAGAACAAAGTCATTAGAGAGGAATGATGGAATCTCATGGTCATGACTGTGGGAAGAAGCATGGGGTCTTAATTACACGCAAGTGAAAAGGATCGCTCTTTTGCAAAGATTGAGGACTGTATTCCTAGAGGAAGCCACCTTCCTGATCCCAGTGTTCCACACAGCAGTAGAGAAGGTAACTGGACTGTGCAATAGGCAAGCAACTCACAACCAAATGGAAGGTGATTTAAAAAAACAATATTTACTGAGTGTCAAACATGAGCCAAATATTGGGTTCCACATGTATCAATTTCTATAGTCCTCATAAGAGTGCTACCCCACTACAGAAATCACTTCTACATCACGGGCATTCAAGTTGTTGATTAAATACATGATATTAATCAATCCATTTTATAAAACTGATACCCAGAGAAATGAAAGAAGTTGTGTAGTCATGCCGGGGTTCAAACCCAGCTCTGTCAAAGGCTGAAGCCTTTCCAGTGCCCCCACCTCCTCTGCTGAATGCAGATATATGTTCCTTTATCCAGAGAAGGAAGAAATTGGAATGGAAAATTAACAAGAAGAAATGAGACCAATTTCTTTTTGACATGAGGAGGTATCCTAGGCTGTATAAATTCATGGGCTATAAATACTGTTGCCTTTATGGGCCCCTTTTTCCATTAAAAGGTCTTTAAAATTATATTATATGGCTGAGTTGGTATAAAGACAAAATCCAAAATGAATTTTTTTCTTCTGATTTTAGAAGAAAGTAAAAACATTTTCATGGATCTTAAAAGTACCATGAAACTGGGCACAGTGGCTCATGCCTATCATCCCAGCACTCTGGGAGGTTGAGGTGGGAGGATCACCTCAGACCACGCAGGGAAACATAGGGAGACCTAGTCTCTACAAAAAATAAAAAATTAGCTGGGCATGGTGGTGCACCTGTAATCCCAGCTACTCAGGAGGCTGAGATGGAAGGATCGCCTGAGCCTGGGATTTTGAGGCTGCAGTGAGCCGTGATCCTGCCACTGCACTCCAGGCTTGGTGACAGAGCAAGATCCTATCTCAAAAAAGAAAAAGTATCATAGGTTCCAGGCACCGCACTTACTGTGTCTCACAGAGAAGGCAGCCCTGACACTGGTGTGTAAAAACTCCATTCACTCAAAGAACCGTGCACACACACACACACACACACACACACACAAAACCTGTTCTAAATCCACATATCTGCCAGGTTTTGCTGTTCACAATGTTTACAAAATACCATGGAAATAAACCCCTATTGGCTGTTAGGATTCTGTTTGATTGCATATACTGGAAACCCATCTATAATGGCTTAACCAAACAGGAGATTTTTCTATGACATAGGTCCAGATGTGGTCATTCGCAGTTGGTACAGCAACTCATGGGGAGTCATAAAGGACCCACACTCTTGCTGACTTCCTCTCTGGCATCATTACCAAGCCTCTTTGCTCCTCGCGGAAGCAAGGTTCTCCACCTCTGAGCATCCTATTTGCATTCCAGGCAAGATGCAGGGGAGAGTGCTAAGGACGGAGGACAAAAACCTTGACTTCTAGAAGCTTTTTAGGGAGGAGAGGGGTGGAAGGACGTCTTCTGCAGAGACTTCTGCTTATATCTCATTGGACGTAATTGAGTCCCAGGATACCCCAGATCTGGAAAAGTATTTTCAATTAGAATAATTGCTTCCCCAAACAAAATCAGGGTTGTTAGTAAGAAAGAACATGGAGAATGCATAGGCAATTCAGCAGCGTCAACTTCAACAACCATAATTTATCTAAAGCAAAATGATTCTCTAAATGCACGACCAAATCTTTGAAAGGATCTCAGATCAGGAAAGTTTCAGCCTAGCAGAAAACTGGGAGACTTCTTAGATTTTCACCAGTGCAAGATAATCCAAGCCACTCTGCCCTCTGTTAGTGCCTGGGAAAACTGAGAAGTAGATATAAAATTACGCTTTCCATTAGCTAATAAGTCTGTGGCACCCGTTTCCCCAGGCTGCATTCGTTTATACAAATCACTTGTTTTCTAGTGTAAGACAATAGAGTTGTCTTTTCTGGGTCCATTAAAATAGGTATCTCATTCACATCAACTTCTCCCTGGAGAAATCTTGTCGGCTTGCTGATGTTTACCTGAAGTACTGTTCCCTCAATAGAAACACGGCGTATGCCGCATGATGCCTCTTGCTGCTCTGCTGGCCTGGCGATCCCAAACCCAGCTGATTGCTGCCTCTCCTATAGGACCGTGAGCATGATGGAACCCTTGCTACTGAGCACAATTCTTTGTTTATAAGCTTCCAATTGTTTATGTTTTTATATTTTTTATTTGTACACATGTATGGAGCACATGCAAAATTTTGTTACATGTATATAATGTGTAGTTATGAATGGTATTCAGTATTCAGGGTGTCCATTATCCAAGTACAATACATTTTTAAGTATAGTCACTACTCTGCTATTGAATAAATAATTTCTTCCATCTATCTTACTATGTTTGTACCCTTTAACCCACTTCTCTTCATCCTCCTCCCCAATCCCACTCACCCTTCCCTGTCTGATATTTATCTTTCTACTCTCCACCTCCATGTGATCAATTTTTCAGCTCCCATATAAGTGAGAACATGCCATATTTGTCTTTCTGTGCCTGGCTTATTTCACTTATGATAATGACCTCCAGTTCCATCCATGTTGCTGCAAATGACATGATTTTTTTTCCTTTTCTTTTTCTTTTTTGAGATGGATTCTCGCTCTCCTCTGTCCCCAGGCTGGAATGATCTCGGCTCACTGCAAACTCTGCCTCCCAGGTTCAAGCAATCCTCCTGCCTCAGCCTCCTGAGTACCTGGGATTACAGGCAATCACCACCACTCAAGGCTAATTTTTGTATTTTTAGTAGAGATGGGGTTTTGCCATGTCAGCCAGGCTGGTCTCAAACTCCTGACCTCGGCCCCCCAAAGTGCTGGGATTACAGGCATGAGCCACTGCGCCCTGCCATCATTCTTTTTGAGGGCCAAGCAATATTACATCGTATATATATATTCCACACTTTCTTGATACATTCATCCACTGAGGGACATTTACATTGATTTTGTATCTTTGTTATTGTAAATACTGAGCACAAGTCTTGGTAATGAAATCACACAGTGTTTGTGGACAAAACTATGGACAGGACGCAACAAAATATTGACTGTTGTACTGGGATCTGACTAGTGCGACCACGTGTCCCAGTTTGCCCAGTACAAGGGTTTTTTCCCCAGCCTTGGGATTTTCTATGCTATAAGCAGGAAAGTCCAGGGAAAGCTACGATAAGTTGGTCATGGTGAGAACAATCTTTATGCAGCATTGGCTTCGAACCTATCTAAAATAATATCATTAATAGAAACTAATGTTTATTGAGTGATAGCCCTGTACCAGGCACTATCCTGAAGACTTTACATTTATTACATTTATTACACTATTTAATCCTCGCAAGAACATTATTATTATTATTATTATTTTTTTTTTTTTTTTTTTTTTTTTGAGATGGAGCCTTGCTCTGTCGCCCAGGCTGGAGTGCAGTGGCTTGATTTCGGCTCACTGCAAGCTCCGCCTCCCAGGTTCACGCCATTCTTCTGCCTCAGCCTCCGGAGTAGCTGGGACTACAGGCACCCGCCACCACGCCCAGCTAATTTTTTGTATTTTTTTTTTATTAGAGACGGGCTTTCACCATGTTACCCAGGGTGGTCTCGATCTCCTGACCTCGTGATCCGCCCTCCTTGGCCTCCCAAAGTGCTGGGTTTACAGGCGTGAGCCACCACACCCAGCCAAGAACTTTAAAAGGAAGGGATGATTGCTATTCCCATTTTAAAAATGAGGAAACAGAGATGCAAATTGTTTAACCTACCTAAAGATTAACAGTAGAAGCAGCAGAGCCTGGACCCAAACCCAGGCAGGCTGGCTCTGAAACACAACCTCCTTACCAGGACTCAGTGCTGCCTCACTCAGATCCCCCAGAGATGTTGGGCCATGTGAGCCGAAGTCCATTTGCTGCTTGGGCAGCTGGTCCCCTACTCCTCCATCTGCTGTTATCTGCTGATATGCGACAGAACTTTCATTTTATGACGGTAAAAGAGAAGGGGATTCTTGGCCGTGCAGAAGCTTTTTAACTTGATATGATCCCATTTGTCCATGTGACTTGTAGATGTAGACACTGTATTTGTTTCTTTTTCTTGCTCTTTTCTTAGAGACAGGGTCTCACTATGTTGCCCAAGCAAGACTCACAACTCCTGGGTTCAGTCCATCCTGCCTCCTCAGCCTCTGGAGTAGCTGGGACAACGGGTGCAAGCCATTGCAGCCAGCCGGGAAGGGACATTTTATTCATGAGTTATTTTTGTAGTTTTCAACTGGGGAAATTTTGTTTACGGTGATTATACCTGGTGGGGGTGCTACTGCCATCTAGTGGGTGAAGTCCAAAGATGCTGCTAAGCACCCTGCAGTGCGCAGGGCAGCCCCCGCCGCAGAGAATGAGCCAGCTCAGGTGATCAATAATGCCGAGGGGGAGAAAGCCCACCTTATCTGACTCCTCACAAAGTCCTACAAATCACTATTTTACAAAGTAGGAACCTGAACCTCAGAGAGACCGAGGTCCCGCTAAGGGTCAAGGAACCTGTAAGCAGCAGAACAGGAACTGGAGTCCGGGTCTATCACCCAAGCCCACACTCTTTGCTGCCCAGTTCTGGACAACTTTATATCCTATCTGTGGGCAGAAAACACACCTTTCTGCCTGCTCTGACTTGCCGCATCCTGTGGCGGGATTGGCATTTAGTACTTAGTACTTGTCCATTAGCAATTTGATAATCTAATAACAGCCAAGAGAATACATAGTTATATTTGTATGCCAATCCTTCCCCTTCTCCAGTCTTATCAGCCACATGTCCAGGCTGCTTCTTAACTGCCCATGGTTTCAACTTTAGCTTCTATTCTCACCAGTTATGAGAACTTGAACTTAGCTTCCCCGAGCCTCAGGCTCCTCCCCTGTAAAAGGCAGATGTGCTTTCCTAATAGGCTTGTAGGGAGGATTAAATGAGATAATTCCTCATCACCTTCTGTGGCACAAAGGAGAACACACAATGATATATCAGCTCTTGTCATTCCAATTTCTAGTCCTCTGGACAAAAAAAAAAAAAAAAAAACTGGCTCAAATAATAGGTGAAAGTTGTTTCCATTTATCAGTGATGAATAGAGCTTATATTATGATTCAGGACACAGAGAAATATACATGAAGAGATACACACTGAAAACAAAGTTTCACAAAACATACTCACCATTATCAAGTGTGATTCACTCTGATATTTTCTGTCTTATTTAGAGAATGATGGTTGCAACACATTAAATTGATTTCACCCCACAGTTTTAAAAAGAGTACATGCTGTATAATTCCATCTATATAAAATTCTAGAAAAGACAAAACAATTGAGTGAGAAAGCAAATAAATGGTTTCCTAAGGCCAAAGGGTGGGGGGAGTTGATTATGAAGATTTAGGAGGAAACTCCTTGAGGTGATGAAATGATCTAAATCTTGATATCTTGTTTGTGACAGTGGTTATGTCACTGTGTACCTTTGCCAAAACTCCTCAACTACACTTACAAAAGACCAGATATTATGTCAATTAGAACTCTATGAAGCTGATTGTTTAGAAGAGCATTATGATAGTAAATGCCAATGTTTTATCCTATCTGATTTGGAATTTTTTAGCATTGAAATGACATAGTATAGGAAGTAAGTATTTAGGAAGCCAGGAACCCTTCACTATTGATCAATCCTCAAAATTGATAACTGATGGTGCTCAGAAAACTACCCCAAAATCTGGCACCTTAGCACTTGTGAAAACAGTAGAAGCAGGAAGGTATCTCTTACTTTCCACCTCATCTTTCCTGAAACAGGACATAAAACCTAGGAAAGTCACTGACATTCTCCTTCCCTTCTCCCTCAAAGACCTGATAGGAGGGATGTCACACAGAGAATCCAAGAAGAATCTGAACAAAGAGGCCTACCTAAGTTCCTCCCAGTTTATTACCATTGGATCACATTTTTCTTCCAATTATACTTCTATGTGACTGTCCATAAAAATATACAGGTTTTCCTTTTTCTAGAAAATCTTTATTTTTGAAATCTCCTGTGTCATGTAAAACTTTAAGGTCTTCATTTTGAAGCCTCTTGTGTCACATTAAATAAATTTGTATACTTTTCTCTTGTTAATATGTCTTTTGTGACAGGAGTCTTAGCCATGAACTTCAGCACAGGTAAGGAAAAGAGATTTTTTTCCCGCTACATAGCTGTATTTGTCCATTTTCATGCTGCTGATAATGATATACTTGAGACTGGATAATTTATAAAGAAAAAGAGGTTTAATGGACTCACAGTTCCAAGTGGCTGGGGAGACCTCACAATCATGGTGGAAGGTGAAAGGCATGTCTTACATGGTGGCAGACAAGAAAGAATGAGAAGCAATGAAAGGAGTTTGCCCTTATAAAACCATCAGATCTTCTAAGACTTATTCACTACCCCAAGAACAGTGTGGGGGAAACCACCTCCATGATTCAAATATCTCCCACCAGCTCCCTCCCACAACACATGGGAATTATGGGAGCTACAATTTAAGATGAGGTTTGGGTGGGGACACAGCCAAACCATATCAATAGCCATTTTTTTCAAAACCGATAACATTCTTGAGACCAATTCTATGAAAGATCCTATCTGAGGGCCTTATTATTTCATGAAGTAATCCTAAACACATTCTAAGTTAGGCATTGTTTTAATTATCTGAGAGATGAGGAAACAAACAACAGTTAAAGTTACTTATCTAAACTTATGCAGCTGATAAGTGGCAGAAGGTGAGATTCAGACTTAGGTCTGAATCTGAATTCCATGACACATAGTTTTAACCTTCAGGGACACAACCTCCCATGAGGAAAGTCTCTATTTTCTATTTCCCTTTAAGTTCTTTCTCTAAGTCACTTGACTTCAACAACCATTTGTCATTGCTTAAATGTTGCATCCAATCTGCTGCTGCCACTTGAAGAGATAACTTTCCTGTTTTGACAGATGTTAGATGTTACATATCAAATAATGTTACAGCACAAAAGCAATAATTCCATCAGTTTGGTTTTCTATAAGAAGGTTGATTCATAACCAAAAACCAAAAACTATTTTAAGGGACCTTCATGCAAAGACTAAGGTCACGGCATTTTCAGTCTTTCCAGATAACTGTGATCAAGTTTCACATCTATCAGTCTATTAGTAACATCTGGACAAAGGTATTTACTGGACTGTCAGGCTATTATGAAACTCCCCACACTGTTGGTGCTAAAGAAGATGAATTAAGGGGTCAGAGCTTTAAAGTCTCAGGGAAAAAAAAAAGGAGTAAAAATATTAACTGATTAGAAAAGCAGAATTAATGGAAGAAAGATCGCCTTACCCTACCCTGGGAATCATATGGTCAGTAGGTGCCACCATGTTACACAAGCATCACTTTGTCTCTCTCCACTTATAAAATAATATTATTAATGGCTAATATACAATTAACAATCTCCATAGCAACCCAATTTAACTTGGAGGGTTTAAATGGAAGGCCTACTGCTGATTTTGGCTCACTGACATTTTCTTCTATTCTCTGACCTACAAGGTATTAACCAACACAAGATTCTTTTTCATTAGTTTCAATTCTTAAAAACTGGGACATTGCACACACTAGAAGTTCTAGCTTCTAATTAATCAAAAACACAAAAACAAAAACTGAAGATTTAGAAACTTTGGGACCCCACATTCCCATATAGCCTCATTTGGCCGGATTTGAGTGAATTTGCCCATTCGACAGGGGCTCTGCTCCCCAGTCTCCATGGACCCCACTGCCCTCCAGGTAGGCCCAACCTCACACGTGGACCATTTCCTACCCAGCCACCATACGCATTTGAACTTGGCCCCTGGTTGAAATATAAGAATAACTAATTTTCTTAGTTAAAATAAAAAAAAGTATTCTGCCTCTTACTAATGCTGATGGATGGCTCAATTATTACTTAGATGCTTGGCCTTAAAAAATGATGGGCCAAAGTTGTCATAATGAAAAACTCACTTATTTTTCCCACTAGCATGCTCTGGGGGAGTAGCCAGAATTGCCCCATTGTACAGCAAGGAACACCAAGGCCAAGTAGAATAACGAGATTTCACAGTGTGGTAGAAATAGTGCCAGTTTTAGAATTCTGACTGGCTCAATTCAAGACCATTCCTACTTCCTGGCTATCAAAATTTGAGTGCTTCCCCCCTCTCTCAATTTCCTCCTCTGAAAATAAAATACTCACGCGTACATGAGCATCAAGTAGGATTATTAAAAAAAAAAAATCTCTGGAACAAAGCGCCTTCTCAGTAAGTACTAATTCCCTTTGTCCCTCCCCTACAACATGGAATTTATGGGTGTCTTTACGTATAAGACCATGAGCATCTTTTATTTTATACATACTCTTTCATTTCAGTCTGCATGACATGATGAGGAGAGGCATTTGATTTGGAACGAACCATAAAAGCACCTCACACCTGATCATCTTACAATTGCCAAAGAATTTCCATACAGATAACTTCATTTGATCTTAACTAGCCTCTGAGATAGAATAGTAGCTATCATTTTACAGATGATGATATTGGATCAGATACCCTGCATTCCAGCTACCTATGGAATTTTTCCAATTCTGACTCTTGCTGTGTCGGAGTCTCGCTCTGTCGCCAGGCTGGAGTGCAGTGGTGCCATCTCAGCTCACTGCAACCTCTCCCTCCCAGGTTCAAGCGATTCTCCTGTCTCCACCACCCGAGTAGCTGGGACTACAGGCATGTGCCACCAAGCCCAGCTAATTTTCATATTTTTAGTAGAGACAAGGTTTTGCCATGTTGGCCAAGATGGTCTCGATCTCCTGACCTCATGATCTGCCTGCCTCGGCCTCCCAGAGTGCTGGGATTACAGGCGTGAGCCATCGCGCCCAGCCATGACTCTTTCTTATAGTACTAGTGGGGTGTACAAAATGGTAACCCCAAAATCTGGCACCTTGGATATTGAAAAAAGAACAGAAGCAGAAAGATCTCTCTGACCTTCTCTTGTCACTTTCTACCCTAAAGCAGGCCATAGAAACTAACATTCCCCTTGTCCCTTCTTCTCTGAGGGCCATAAAATCCAGGAAGGTCAGTCTCTACCTTCTCCTTCTCTTCTGCCCTGAAAATCCTCTTGTGACAGATGTCCTGCCCTATACCCAGAGGGAAGGAACATCACACAGGGAAACCAAGAAGAATTGGAACAAACAGGCCTTGCTAAGCTCCCCTGAGTTTATTACTATTGGATCACACCCTTTTGTCCTCCATTCATACTTCTTACTATCTGTAAAAATAGTTTTCCCTGGGTCTGTGAGTTTTTATTAATCAAGTTTCCCATGTCAGGGAACGTTTCTATTAAATATATTTATTATGCTTTTCT
This sequence comes from Homo sapiens, assembly GCF_000001405.40. Classification (NCBI taxonomy): domain Eukaryota; kingdom Metazoa; phylum Chordata; class Mammalia; order Primates; family Hominidae; genus Homo; species Homo sapiens. The sequence continues at coordinate 54,663,679 of NC_000020.11, read as the reverse complement.
CTTGCTAATCTGTCTTTTGTCATAGGGGTCTGAGCCATAAGCCTAGTGATAAGTGAAGAAAGATTTTTTTTCTCCCCTATAGCTCCTTGAAAGGCATTTAAAAAGTTATTATCACTACCAAGCTGAGAAAACAATCAACGATCAATGTAACACAACCACATTATAACTGAGAGGTCTCTCAGAGCACAAGTCTTTCCTCCCACACAACAGTTCCTAAAGTGGCGTCCTTGGAATCTCAACCCTAAAAGATATTTCAAGGAAAAGAATTCTCCAATGTTTCAAAAACTATTCTAGGATCTACAATTTAGTTTAAAATAGCAAAGACGACAAAGACACTAATTGGAAATTTACATTCCAGGAGTTGTGAGTTGGCATTTGGTAAAAGAAAAACTCAAACGAAACACAGGAATCAAAACTCCTTACTCCAGAAGTGGCTTCTGCTATTTTTATTCCTTGTCAACACCAGAAGTTTGTTAATGAAAAAGTGGGTTTTAGAAGTGCGCTCTTGGTGAATAAAGGGTATGCAAGGATAAATGGAATAGCTAGAAACACTGTGGACATTCCCATTCTTTGGGGGATTACGGAGTACAGCTCCTGCGGGCCCCAGCAAGTACCTTCACTTGCAAAATGGTGCCCTCACAAGCTTAGAATTCCCAACTGGTCTTCATTTGAACTCCTCCACCTCCAGCTGGAAACTCAGCTGAATGTTACTGCCAGAATATTGTCCTATCGGCCTCAAGAAATCTTTCCCATGCAATGCAAGCAGAACATCTGAAAGTACAGAGAGCTCACTGCTCAGCCCATATCACTGTCTTTGTGTCTGCTGACAAATGGTTATTAGCAAGTATCTGGAAATGTGGTGCATTTTGCACTGGAAACCACTAATTGATGGCCATGTTTGAGAGTAAAGGCCTGTCCTCACCTCCTAGTTATTGGAAGCTACTGAATTATTTTTAATTATTTTTCTGAGTCCCAACAGGAAACAAGAAACTACTGATGTAACAACCACCAGTCAAATTGGTTGCAAGAAAAACACTGCATCTTTTATATGCATTGGACCTACTGTTTACTAAATGTAAGGCTCCAACAACTCTGCGAAGTACTTGGTTTGACTCAACACTTACCAAAAATTCACTTAAGAACAAACTTTTTTTCTCCCCGTCTTAGGAACCTCAATTGGCATCTCATGGAACACATTTGGGGAAATCCTAGACTAGCCCTGTCTGACCCTCTCACTATTAACTGACATTTCCTCCAGGCAAAGAGAGGACCAGAATTAGACACTGGCTTTTATGTCTTCAGAGCTGAGTTCTTCCTATTGTTGTCTGCTCTTTTCTTCCTTCTCCAAGTAAATCAGAGGATCATCAGAAACCCTATTGAAGCCTCCCTCGGACGGCACTGTGATCTTTATCTTCAAAGCCATCCTGCTAGGGCTCCGCTTGAAATTTGCATGACAGCTGAAGGAAAATAAATTGGGGGGCTGGCTCCCTTTGATAACCAAATGATCCTCTTTCTTTCTTTGTTCTGAAGGTACAACTCTAAAAGGAATTCAGTGATGAGGAAAATAATTCTATAGCATTTAGCTCTGTGCAGTCACTGTGACTGGCTTGAGGATTTGATTAAAATAGGAACCCTGTGGCTTCTGTCCTCAACCGAGGTCAATTATTAAATGACTGGACTGCGAGTTTTAAAAGGCGAGCATCAGTCCTGGGTGGGAGCCACATGAAGAAGCACAAAAGAGACAGAAAAAGTCAACGAACAATCCCCAGTCCCGCTCAGTTGCCTTCTTCTCAAGGGGCACCTTCAGGACAGGGCGGCTACGGAATCAGGAGACCCAGTGTAAAATGAAAACGTGAACTTCCTGTTCCAAAAGCAGGAAAAAAAGTGGGTCAAAGGAACTAAAATACAAACATTTTTCCTTTCTTCCTCTCAACTTGTCATTGTAGGTTTTTTATTGCTATTTGATGTCATAAGTAAAAACAAAAAACTGAAATTTTAAATTATGGGCATGAATTTCACCATTTACCTTTATATTGTATAATGTCCTTTCTAAATGTTAATATAAGAACATGTAATTCATGTGCTGAATCACGAAAATTACACAGCTCATTTTTCCTAGCTCATATACTTGCTTATGTGTTCTCTTCTTGCCAAAACAGCAGAAATGCTGCATAGAACTACCCCACTTCTTTGCATCTCATTACTTGATACATGCATATTCTACCGACACTCCACTGTCAGAGTCATTTGAACCAGAGCAACTCCATCTTGAATACGAGCTGGGTAGAATAAAGCTGAGACCTACTGGGCTGCATTCCCAGATAGTTATGGCATTCTAAGTCACAGGATGAGATTGGAGGTCTGCAAAATACAGGTCATAAAGACCTTGCTGATAAAACAGGTTGCAATAAAGAAGCGGGCTAAGACTCATCAAAACCAAGGTGGCGATGAGAGTGACCTGTGGTCGTCCTCACTGCTACACTCCCACCAGCACCATGACAGTTTACAAAATCCATGGTAATGTCAGGAAGTTCCCCTGCATGGTCTAAAAAAGGGGAGAATCCTCAGTTACAGAAATCACCCACTCCTTTCCTGGAAAACTCATGAATAATCCACCCCTTGTTTAGCATATAATCAATAACCATAAAAATGGGCAACCAGCAGCCCTTAGGGCTCCTCTGCCTATGGAGGAGCCATTCTTTTATTTCTTTACTTTCATAATAAACTTGCTTTCACTTTATAGACTCACCTCAAATTCCTTCTTGTGTGAGATCCGAGAACCCTCTGTTTGGGTCTGGATTGGGACCCTTTTCCAGTAACACTACCACTGGCTTACTGATGAACAAGGAAGGAAATCCGGGTTGCTCCAGATTTGCTTTTCCTTCTGTGTTGTACGAGGAAGCAATGTACGTAAGAAAGGTTGAAATAGGCTTCCTCAGATGTTTATATTTCTTAGAATGCCATTGCCTTCTTTCTGCATTTGAAGCAAGCTCTGATTCAAAGGAAAAGCCGCTTCGGGGCCGTGGCCCCTCTTACTCAGCGACAGAGGTGACATACTTCCCTTTTGAACCCCAGGTATCTGAGACAGGTCTCAATTTAGGAAGTTTATTTGGCCAAAGTTTAGCACACACGCCCATGACACAGCCTCAGGAGGTCCTGATGACAGGTGCCCAGGGTGGTCAGGGCATAGCTTGGTTTTATATATTTTAGGGAGACATGAGACATCAATCAATACATGAAAGATGTACACTGGGGCCGGGTGTGGTGGCTTACACCTGTAATCCCGGCACTTTGGGAGGCCAAGGCAGGTGGATCACGAGGTCAGGAGTTCAAGACCAGCCTGGCCAACGTGGTGAAACCCCGTCTCTACTAAAAATACAAAAAATTAGCCGGGCGTAGTGGCGGATGTCTGTAATCCCAGCTACTCGGGAGGCTGAGGCAGAGAATTGCTTGAACCCGGGGAGCGGAGGTTGCAGTGCGCTACTGCACTCCAGCCTGAGTGACAGAGTAAGACTCTGTCTCAAAAATAAAAATAAAAAATAAAAAAAAAAAGTACACTGATTCAGTCTGGAAAGGTGGGACTTGAAACGGAGAGGGGCCTTCCAGGTCATAGGTAGGTAAGAGACAAATGGTTGCATTCTTTTGAGTTTCTGATTAGCCATTCCAAAGGAGGCCATCAGATATGCGTTTATCTCAGTGAGCAGAGGGATGACTTTGAATTCTGTCTATCTTTTGTCCACAAGGAAATTCCTAGGGAGGGAAGTATGCAGCTGTTTTATCTTAGTAGCTATCATTTTAGGTATAGAGTGGAAGTTAGGTTTGCCCTAAGCAGTTCCCAGCCTGACTATTTTTCCCTTTGGCTTCATGATTTTGGTGTCCCAAGATTTATTTTCCTTTCATAGTTTGTATTTGCGTTGGGACTCACTGCCACGCACCTCAGGTCCCCTGGAATTCTGTGTTCATGGGGCATCGTGAATGCTACATGCAAATAAAGCTGCAAGGCGCTCACTCAGTCTGCAGATATCTCTTCTGCTCACAGGCAGGCTCCATTATTCCATCAGACTTTACTTATAAAACACAAGTTCAAAGAAGGAAACACTGAGAATTTCAAGAAGGTTACAGCAGAGCATTAAATCAAGTGTGGGACGCTTCTGAGCATGGGGACCTGTGCAGCTGCCTGGGTTGCACATCCATGAAACCAGCCCTGCTTGTGTGTCCTATACAGGGCTAGGCACTCAAGCCACAGAACCTGCATCTCAGGGCTGTCCCCAGGCAGAAGGCAATGCAGAGCGGGAGCTTTCCTGCTTTCCCTGTTCATGGTGCCCTTAATGTCACAGTGATACTTCTCCTAGTACTCTTAGGCCAAAAGAAATATCTAGCAGTTCCATTTATTAAGCTGTTAAATCCAAACAATGTAATCAGTATTTATTTCCTGATACATTGGTAGCCATTAAAACAACACCTACGTCAAAAGAAAAAATACTTGTATTTCATTCCTAAGTAACTATAATTACTTGTTCATGTTGTCTCTGTGTGTGTGTGTTGAGCATTGTGGTCCCTCAAACCTGGGAATCAGATTGGACACCACCCCCCTCATCTCCTGATCCACATTGATTTTCACAGAGTATTTGCTTTTTTAATCAAAACAACGGCCAAAGACCCAGCTTCACAAAAAATGTGGTATCATGAAAATGAATTTCGTGTGATATCATGTTAAAACTGAACATCCTCAAGCCAGTAATTCCCAAGGGTCCAAGAGATGTTGAGAATCGCTATTTCCTGCAAAAATGAATGTATCCACAGCATCTCTGTGAGTTTACTGTGGTCTTCTGGGGTACCTTGGCACACCACTTAGGAATCAAAAGTACAGAAGCGTGTGAACTCTAGAGCCAGACTCCTGGATTTGCAGCCTAGCTTCTAAGCCCTGGAGCCAAGTTGCTTTAAGTGTCACTGCTTTAGATTCTACAGCATGAAACGCAGTAGTAGGGGCTAAAAGGGGGGACACCTTGCAGGGATGGTGTTAAGCATTATTGCAGCACATGGTGGGAGTTCCAGGAATGGTACTAGCGCGTACATCCCCAGCACTTATCCCTATATGACTTATCTGAGGAAAAAACTACTCTGCCTTACAACATGATTTTATAATGTATTCATTGCTATCTCACTTTCCATTTATTTACTTATGAAATGAATATTTATAAGCCATCTGCTAGATTAATTAGGCGCTTCATTTGCTGCTGGTGTTACAAAGCTAAACCAAATAGATATAGCACCTGCCCTCAGAAAGCTTGCAGAGGCATGGAGACAGCAGAGATCACAACCACTGCACAAAAATGTAAAACAGTTATGAGTGCAACATGTGCAGTGTTCAGAGTACTTTAAAAACATGTAGCTGGGCCAGGCACGGTAGCTCATCCCTGTAATCCTGGCCAAGGTGGGAGAATTGCTTGAGGCTAGGAGTTCGAGATCAGCCTGAGCAACACAGCGAGACCCCATCTATACTTTTTTTCTTTAATTTAGCCAGGTGTGCTGGCATGCACGTGTGGTCCCAGCTACTCTGGAGGTAGAGATGAGAGGATGGCTTGAACCTGGGAGGTGTAAGTTGCAGTGAGCCATGATTGTGCCACTGTACTCCAGAGTGAGACCCTGTCTCAAAAACAGTAAAATAAAACAAAACAAAATAAAACCATATAGCTGGCCACTTCTTCTTCCTCTGGCTTGGAGGTCTCAGGGAGGACTTCTGGGTGCCTGGTGCTTAAGTTGAAGTCTGAGAAAGTATCACTTTTGAAAGAGTGGAGGATTTTTGTAGGCAAAAGAAACAGAAGATACAATGACTCCTGCAGTGAGAGGGAGCAGGCCCTGTTCAGGAAATGGCTAAATGTTCCATTACAGGGAGAACATTAATTTCACAAGTAGTACATGTGGCAAGACATGTGAGCAGCAGCCTGGAGCCTGGATGATCCATTGGTTCGTTTGAGGGTGGGGATCATATAGAGGAGAGCTTGGCCAAACTGCCCTGCAGAGGGCATACGGTCCCTGTTGCAACCACTCAAGTCTATTGGTGCAGCACAAAAGCAGCCACAAATAATACTTTAACAAATGGACATGGCTGTCTGCCAATAAAACTTTATTTACAATAGCAGGGAATAGGCTGGCTTTGGCCCTCAGACCAGAGTTTGAAGACTTTTGTTATAGAGGCCTTCCATTGTTCCTCATCTGTCTTGCTACAGAAGTAGGCCTAGTGAGGTAACTGTCTACTACAAAAACAAACAATTAAATCTGGTCTTTGGCCTTTTAGGGTTTTCTATGTAAACAAGCAAATGTAAATGTAGCATAGAAACACAGAGAGGAGCAGTCATGGTCTGATAAAATTCAGAGCTTAAATGAAAATACTTGCAAACCATGCATCTGACAAAGGGCTAATACCGAGAATCTACAAGGAGCTCAACCAACTCAAAAAGAAAAAACACAAATAACCCCATTAGAAAGTGGGCAAAGGGCATGAACAGACATTTCTCAAAAGACAACCAAAAGCAGCCGACAAACATGAAAAAATGCTCCACATCACTAATCACCAGAGAACTGCAAACTAAAATCACAATGAGATACCATCCGACACCAGTCAGTTGGCTATTATTAAAAAGACAAGGCTGGGCACCGTGGCTCAAGCCTGTAATCCCAGCACTTTGGGAGGCCAAGGCGGGCGGTTCACAAAGTCAAGAGATCGAGACCAGCATGGCTAACATGGTGAAACCCTGTCTCTACTAAAAATACAAAAAATTAGCCAGGCGTGGTGGCAGGAGCCTGTAATCCCAGCTACTTGGGAGGCTGAGGCAGGAGAATTGCTTGAACCTGGGAGGCGGAGGTTGCAGTGAGCCGAGATCATACCACTGCACTCCAGCCTGGGTGACAGAGTGAGACTCTGCCTCAAAAAAAAAAAAAAAAAAGACAACAGATATTGGTGAGGATGCAAAGAAAAGGACACACTTATACACTGTTGGTGAGAATGTAAATCAGTACAACCTCTATGGAAAAAAGTGTGGAGATTTCTCGAATTCAAAATAGAACTGCCATTCCATTCAGCAATCTCACCACTGGAATCTTACCCAAAGGAAAAGAAATCACTACATTAAAAAGATAATTGCACTTATATATTTACTGTAGCACTTCTCATTATAACAATGTCATGGAATCAACCTAAGTGTCCATCAACAGATGATTAGAGAAAATGTGATATACATATATATTCATATATATCACATAGATAAAGAATAAAAATAAATTATATAAGTGCATACCATGGAATACTATGCAGCCATTAAAAAGAATGAAATTATGTCTTTTACAGCGACATGGATGAAGCTGGAGGCCATTATCCTAAGTGAAATACTCAGAAACAGAAAGTCAAATACCTCAAGTTCTCACTTACAAGTGGGAGCTAAAAATGAGTATACAAGATCATACAGGGTGGAATAACAGACACTGGAGACTTCAAAAGTGGGAGGTTGGGAAGTGGGTGAGGTTTGAAAAATTACTTATGGGTATGGTGTTCACTATTCGAATGATGGGTTCACTGGAAGCCCAGATATCAGCACTACGCAATAGTGAGGCAACAAAACTGCATTTATACTCCCTAAATCTAAAATAAATACATAATTTCAAAATGCTGTTATTTTGAAGAGAACAATAAAATTGATAAATAAGCCATACTAACCAAGATAAAAGAGAAAAGATACAAGTTACTAATATCAAAGATAAAAGCCAGGCCATCCATATCCGATCCCATGGACACTGAAAGGAAATTAGAAGATTATAAACTCCATACCCACAAATTTGATAACTAGATCAGTTGGACCAATTAATTCCTTGAAAGACCCAATCTACTAAAACTCGCAAAAGGATGAAATGGAATACCCAATAACCTTCAAAACATTTACATATTGCAAAACATTATGTTTAGCCATATTAACTTATTTAAACTAGTGGGTCCAGGGGTTCCCGATTTGTCAAGAACATTTGAAAATGGAAAATATTTAATTTTAATACATGACTCATTAAGTCAAGGAATCGATCCCCACTGTGGGATATCTTTGCACAATGGGTACATTTATAGAGAATGCAGGCAAAAATGATACTATGTTCATGGTTAAAGGAAGGCATAATTGTTTTAGGTATAGTAGCTTCCTCTAAGATCACAGGGGGTATCAAATGTAAATGTTGTGGTATCCCAAGGTATTATTCTTATTTGAGCCCTGTATTAAGGAGGTGGACATTTCCCAGTTGATGCATTTCAACAGATGTTGAAGTTAATTCACAACCTATTTTGTAGAGGCATAAAACTCAATCACCACTCATTTTTGTTTTACATATAACCTTTATATATGTAAACTTTGGCTTTTCAAACAAAAAATACTAAACCTTATCTGTATTAGTCTGTTCTCACACTTCTACAAAGAACTACCTGAGACTGGGTAATTTATGAAGAAAAGAGGTTTAATTGACTCAGTTCCACAGGCTTAACAGGAAGCATGACTGGGAGGCCCCAGGAAACTGACAGTCATGGCGGAAAGTGAAGAGGAAGCAAGCACCTTCTTCACATGGCGGCAGAAGAGAGAGTGAGAGAGTGAAGGGGGAAGCCCTAGACACTTTCAAACAACCAGCTCTTGTGAGAATTCCATCACGAAAACAGCAAGCGAGAAGTCCACCTCCATGATTCAATCACCTCCCACGAGGCCTCTCCCTCAACACTGGGAATTACAATTCGACAAGAGATTTGGCTGGGGACACAGAGCCAAGTTATAGCATTACCCATCTGCAATATCTGTAAATCCCCCTAAGCAACTCCTGCTTTTCTGTAGAGGACAGAAAGCAGCCTCACCAAAGGCCAAAGATAATAAATTTGTTATTATAATAAAAATGAAAGAACTTGGAGAAAGGAAGTAAGACAGGTTGGCTGGTGGCTCAGTGCTGATGCCTGAGCTAGAGCAGCTGGATTCTCGCTTCCTTCACTTCCTCACCCTGCCTGCCTTTTTTGCAGTCTCTGCTTTGCTTTCACAAGCAGCCCCTGGCTGGCGGCTCTTTCCTATTAAAAAAAACAGTGTGGGAAGGCCTCAAACTTCAGGCATCTCAGAGAAACAAAGAAGGTCAAACCAAGTCTCCTTATTAGTTGTTATAGCAACAAAGAAACTATTGCAGCGACGTTGAAAATGCCTCCTGGAATCCCACCTCTGGAGCTGCAATTACAGCACATCTCCCCTTCCTGTGTGTTATCCCAGGTACGGAATCGCGTCTTTACCTGTGTGCCAGAATTCTGCATCTCCTGACAAGGGAAGCGTCTTGGGCAGCCCACTCGAATGGAGGCACTGGCTTGGCTCTACCACCTGACTTTTCACAGGTGTCTTGGATAAAAGCGCATTGTCAATTGCCTCCAGGTGCCTCAAGTCTTACCTGATGGGTACTCCCTGCATTTCTGTCTCCTTGAGCTTTCTTAAAATGAGATTTTATGCCATTTACCAAAACCTGCACTGGAGTTACCTAGAAACACTGATCGAAAATGTAAATTTATGGACTCCACCCTAGATCTAGTGAATAAGTGTCTTTGCCAACATTTAAGAACTGCTAGCTTAGAGAGGGGAGTGTGGGTGATGGTACTTTATTTAGTGCAGATCCAGGCAAAAGATTATCACTTGGTCCTGCCTTGGCTGAATCAAATCACAACAGATTGATCCAATGAGTTTGCAGTGAAATCAGCCAACTGTTGATTTTCATGAGAAGATGGGCAGACTTACCTTTGCCCAGTATTTAATCTACAGAATTTAAAACCTGAATATCAAAGGGAAATTTCCAGTTTGCTGTCTTAATGGAAATCTGAACATCTATGTGTTTTTTTCCAGGACCAAAGGAAAGATTTTCTTTAATATAGTTTATACAGTATTTCAAGCTCATAAAGTATTCTCTTTCTCAAAAGTCAAGATTGCCCAAAGAAGAAATAATAAAATGTCTTCTCATACAAATGTATGTTCTTGTTAGTTTTTCTGTTTCCTGAGCAATTGGCTTACAAATTGAGTCTGTGGATCAGGCATGGTGAAGGCAAACACACTTTTCCTGTATACATCCTGGCATACCCATATATACTGTTAAATAAGTACTTGGAAAATGAATGAATAAATTTCAGAAACTCAAGCAGTCTTCCTTGAGAGCATTTTAATCACTACTGCAATATCCTGCCTTAAACTGGGTAAAAAAAAAGATATTTTTAACAGAGTTGAGGATGCAAAGAGGAATATGAGATTTACTTCCCTGCTCCCCCATCCTCACCTCCCACCAAAAGAAAAAAGTTGCTTTTTCTAATATGTAATTAAAACAGAAACATCATAGTTTAGCCTCCAGACCCCAGTTTATTTGCAAGTTACCACGAATGCTTTAGAATTTAGTGTGCATTAGGTAAAAATCCACCACAGCTTTGAAAAACTTTCTCACACTATGTTCACTACTTGAGGTAGGGATTTAGAAAAAAATCGAAATCACTTCAAATTATCACTCCCCTTATTTAAGGCCAGATAGTAAAGTATTTAAATTTCTTATGTTTTCTACCTGAAACTGTGAAATTAATATAAGATAGCATTTGAGGTTTTTATTTTAGAGCAGGGGATCCAGAAATAAGAGTCAACTCTGCCACTTGTATTTGTGAATAAAGTTTAATTGAAATAGCCATGCCTATCTGTTTATCTATGTTAAAAGCAGGCTGGGCACGGTGGCTCACACCTGTAATCCCAGCACTTTGGGAGGCCGAGACAGGCGGATCACTTGAGGTCAGGAGTTCAAGACCAGCTTGGCCAACATGGTGAAACCCCATCTCTACTAAAAATACACACAAAAAAATTAGCCGGGCGTGGTGGCACGTGCCCGTAATCCCAGCTACTCAGGAGGCTGAGGCAGGAGAATTGCTTGAACCTGGGAGAGGGAGGCTGCAGTGAGCCGAGATGGTGCCACTGCACTCCAGCCTGGATAACAGAACGAGACTCCATCTCAAAAAACAAAACAAAACAAAATACAAAACAGTCTATGGTTGCTTTTGCACCGGAAGGCAACAGAGACCATATGACCCAGAAAGCCTAAAATATTTGCATCTCAACTCTTTACAGAATAAGTTTGCTTTCCCCTAAGGAAGCCAGCCTTAGGGATTTACAAAGCAGATTTAGGAATCAGATTACCTGAGTTCAAACATGAATCTATCATTTAATAGGTAAAAGATCTTGGGCATATTAATTACATCATTTAGATTCCTTGAGCTCGGTTTCCCCGTCTGTAAAATGAAGATAATTATACTTACCTCATGGAGCTATTGGGGCGATTGAGATAATACCACAAAAGCACTTAGCGTTGTGCCCGGCCATAAATAAAAGCTGATAGCATAACCGAATCGAATGCTCTTTTCTGTCAATACGTTTCTTTTCTTAAAAATCCTCAAAGAGGTTCTCACTTCTAGTTACCTACATTCAGCAACATTTCTTTTCACACTCATTAGCTTGAGGCTTGCTTCAGTAATTTTAACTTCATTAAAATTATAATTATTTCTTTAATTCCATTTCCTTTATCTACTTCTTCAACGTAATTCTCCCATTGGCTGCCAAGGCCCTGGGAATCATGGAGAATCTCTGATGAGACAGTCTTAGAGAAAGAAAATAAATAAGAACCAGATAAAGTCAGGAAAATGAACAGTGAAGTAATTATCAAATGTGCCTGGCAAACCAAATTTTTAAAAGACAAAAATGAAGACCCCTGAGAGAAGTAGGATCAGCTAAAATTGTGTGAAAAGTAGCTACAGAGAACCCAGAGAGAACACACATGCATTTCGGGGAAGCCATTAGCACTAAACAATTTATATACCCTAATCTACTAATTAATTGTTAGTTGAATTCAATCCTTTCCCCAGTATTTCTCAACCGCTTAAAAAACATATCCTGAGCAGCAGTGTGCTAGGAAATCCCAGCTAACTCAGATCTATAAAACTATGCATTGCTTATCTGAAGTTCAAATTTAATTGGGTATCCTGTATTTTATCTGGCAAAGAGTAGTGAACCAGGCAGGCGCCATCCCTGCTTGCTCTGCAGCTTTAGAGGAACTCTAACTTTAGGTGCTCACAAAATTCAACTCACATCCAGCACTGACCTTCTCTTTAGAAGTTCATGGCCACTGGGGGCCCATTTGGCAGGTGTCACTGTATGATATTTCCAACTTGATTTTCTTGTGGCACTCTTCTGGAATTAAGGTCTTTGGCAACAAAGACTGTCTTTTGATTTCTACATCCCTGAACTCCAGTACAGTGCCGGAAACTCATAGATGCTCAATACAGACCACATTAATGAATGAGTGAGCAAATGCGTGAATGGTTGGATTCATATTAGACACAACACACAATACACTCACAGCTCACATGCAAAATGTCCACACACCCTTCAGAAATACCTAGGATAGAGAAAAACATGTTGCCAGAATCCAAAGAACATATGGGTGAAGAATGATCTTTTATTTTCAAATGTTTTATGAAGAGACTCCGAACAAAATAAAGGCTTTCAAAAAGGGGGGTAAAGGGGTGAGGAAAGCATGTGAGAGAAACTGTAACCCTGTAAACAACACTAACGGGTTCTTTGAACAAATAGTTTTGAACAGAACAGATAAGAGTGAGTCGAAGCACTGATTTAACTAATTGGTGATATAATCAAATATAATTTCCAGTAGTTAATCAGAACCACAGTAATAATAACTGAGGAATAGGGTGTAAACAAATAACAAATAATTAAAAGCCATTTTATTGTCAATACTGACTGTCATACAACTGAAACACTTGGAAGGAAAATCACAAGAATCCACAAAAGGACAGATTCAGAGAAGTGCAAGGGACAAAGTATCTACAATAGAAAATCATTTCGTGACATTGACTTCTTTCTGTCCAGCTGTAAAAGAGGGAACACAGAGTCAATATCTATAGAGCACGTTTCAATTACACTAAGAATTTAAAAAAGAAAAAGAAAATAAAGAAAATTATTGTATTGCAGAGTTTTCCAATGACCACACAATTAGCCAGGACTTTAAGCTTCTTCTCTTGGTCGTCATTTCCCTTGCTGTCATTCTGTGACCTCCTGGGTGAATCTGTGGCTGACACATCACAAGTGTGTTAACAATTCTTGGCAGTTACTGTCAGTGCTCAGATCTGTAGGCTGGAAAAGTCTCTGTTCGATGAAGCTTCAGAGGGCTGGAAACATCTTTTCCAAAAAGAATTTAAAATCAACAGTTACATTTCAAGAAAGCCCACAATCAAATTAGGTGGCAACAACTTTCTCTATAACAGAAATAAGTAAATGTACTTAAGGCAGAATTTTTTCCAAAGGCCTCTCAGGATGATATGTAAATGAGTCACAGAGATTGCATGATTTACGTATCATTTGCATGTGGCCTTTGGGCTGAGCCATGGTCAGTCCATTAGCAATTATTTTCTTCCTTAATTTTTCATCTGCATCAATCCCCATATCCAGGGTATTCAGGAGAAATGAGATAGAAACAGAACTATGGAAACTTTTAGCTAGAATATTCTGGAAACCTGAGCAGCAATAAGGCAGTCTTATGCTTATACTTTGGTAATCTTGTAAATGTTAAGGAGAACTTCCTAAAATTCATTTAGCCTTTATTATTTCAGGTTTAGATTTCAGACCAAACAGAGTTTAAAAAGTCAAGAAGGCAACACACAAGATCCCTATTAGCCCCCTTTGTGACATATTAATAATATAAGGGTTGTCAAGCATTTTCTAGAAAGAGCCAGACACTAAATATTTTAGGTTTTGCAGACCATATGGTCTCATTGCGACTACTGAGCCCTGCTGCCTGTAGCACAAAAGCAGCCACAGTTAATATGTAATGAATGTCGTCCTAATAATGCTTTATTAATGAAAATAGTCAGCAGGCTGGATCTGGCTCACAAGCCATTGTTTGCCAATCCCTGTAGATAATGCGTCCCTGATTTAACAAAAACTAGAGGTTCTACTGCCACCTGCTGGCCAACGGTTACCGCAAGCAAAGAAATGTACACGGCTAGGTGAAGATCTCAGGACTCACCGCAAAGCCTTTGGAACAAACTTCCGCAGCCTTGGTGAGTAAATGTGTGGATCAAGCAGGCACAAGAAACAGGATTGCAGCCAGTGGAGCATGTCCGCCCCACCCACACACATTCAAAACAATGTTGTTTTTATTTTATTTTATTTTATTTGTATGTATTTTTTTTCGCCCCGGCTGCAGTGCAGTGGCGTGATCTCAGCTCACTGCAGCCTCAACCTCTTGAGCTCAGGTGATCCTCCCACCTCAGCCTCCCAAGTAACTGGGACCACAGGTGTGTGCCACCACACGTGACTAATTCTTGGATTTTTTGTAGGGAGGGGGTCTCGCCTACATCCACCAGCCATGTGGCCTGGAGTAAGACCTTAACCTCCAAAGGTCTCTGTTTCTTCAGTCATTGAAATGGAGACCATAGTCCCACTCTCACCAACTCCCATGGTTGTCAGGAGAACCCCATAAGGCTACATGGAAGACGCCTGGTTCAGTGACACAACTGTTTAGTGCCACTCTTTGATTTCCTCAAATTATCTTAGGTCCGATCTATGATATAGGTGCCTAGTTTTTCTTGTTTTTGTTTTGAAACAGTGATGCTATCTTCCAAGGCAATTCCCACAGAAGAGTTCGGAAAACACTGGAGCAATGAAGCACCTTGGCCTAAGGGTAAAGATTGCTGAGATGATAACTTTGAGAAGGAGGTGAGAGAGTTAGAGGAACATTGTACTGAGGCCAGACACTCCGGTGCTCATGTGCAACGGCCTTGGGGCTAGTCTCCCACTTCCTCTCCTGTTCTCTTGCAATCCCTTGAATGAAAATATCGATTAAATCTGACACTGCCATGCTGAGGACCCTCTAATGCTTCCCCTCACACTTAGAATAAGCAAGTCTTGATTACCTGTATTCACCACCCCGGCTGTCTCTTTATGTCCCTTAGGCACCAGCCACACTGGCTCCTTCCTGATCTTTGAATGCCCGCAGCTCATTTCTGACTCAGGGCCTTTGCATTTGCTGACCTCTCTATGGAGAATGCCTTCCCCTGGCTCTCGGTATGGCTGCCTCTTTTAGACTTAAGGTCTTGGGGTGTTGCAGGGGCTTCCACTGACTACCCCATCTCAAGAAGTCCCTTTGTCAGCATCTTCTCAAAACCAACAGCTCTGCCTCACTTTCTTTATCATAAAAACTTTCTTTTCCACTGTTCCATATACCAAATCTGAAATTAACTATGTCTGCTTGATTATGGATTGTGACTCTCCATTAGATTATAAGCTCCGAGAGGGAAGGAATATCCCTGCCTAGGAGTCCCAGGTATGTCTGTCATCTAGCACAGCGCTTGGCCTAAACTAGATGCTCAATAAACGTTTACTGAGTAAACAAAGAATGGATGGATGGAAGAATGAGAGAGAAAAACCTTAAAATCTTTGTTACTTACTAGATAGGTAGTCTTGGACCCATTAATAACCCTTCAAATTCTCAGTTTCCTAACAGCAAATGAGAATAAAATACCCTTTCGGGCAGCTGTTTTGGGATCTAAATGAGATCATGTATGTTAGGTCCCAGCGGAAAGCTGGTACACAGTAGGTCCTCAGAAAGAGTAGCTTTTAGAAAGACCCCATTGAATATGGCTTGTCTCCCTCGTAATGATGAAATCTGAGATTTCAGCACTGCACTGGTGGCACGTGAATGCTTATTCATATAACAAGAAGGAAAAGAAGTTTCATGTCCAAATAGATGTGCAGAGCTTTGGTTTAAACAAGTTTAATCAGGTTTTTCATTGCAGGGCATCTCAGAGCCCTGAAATTATTGATTTGTTTTCTGACTCTCCATGAGAACTTAACATGTAGCATTTCCCCCAGACGCGTTTGACCACAGTAACCTTTCTTAGGGGAAAGGTGCTGTCTACCAGAGTTAGCTTTCCAAGGAACATAATTTGGGAAATGCTACTGATGTAACTGCTGTTATTTTATCCAATGCATTCCTAAAAGAATCCAGTGAATAGTATTCAACATAAACTTGTTGATTGCTTCTGTAAGTTTCTTCCATAGTTTTTTTGTTTTTTTTTTTTTTAACTGAGACAGAGTTTCACTCTTGTTGCCCAGGCAGGAGTGCAGTGGCATGATCATGGCTCACTGCAACCTCTGCCTCCTGGGTTCAAGCGATTCTCCCACCTCAGCTTTCCGAGTAGCTGGAATTACAGGCGCCCGCCACCATGCCCAGCTAATTTTTGTATTTTTAGTAGAGGTGGGGTTTCACCATGTTGGCCAAGCTTGTCTTGAACTCGAGATCTCAGGAGATCCACCCAACTCGGCCTCCCAAAGTGCTGTGATTACAGGTGTGAGCCACCACGCCCAGACAGTTTTCATTATAAACCTACTTCCAATGTTGATTTTGTATCTGCATAATCATAGAAGAGAATTTCTATGAAAATTTTAAAACGACGTGGGAGAAGCAGTGAAGGTAGATTAGGTATGTCTTGTGTGGCACGTGTCAAAACCAGCCACCTCCCTTTCCCCACCAAAAACTGTAGTAAAATGATAATTCCCAAATCAACCAGCAGGGGGCTCTCGAAGACTACATTTGAAGAAAATGACCATTATTCTCAAACCAATTTGTTAAATTCCTCCTTAAGGGTCTGTATGATTTCCAACCTTAACCTCCAGATTTGCCAGAAAAAAAAAAAAAAAGCCTGAAATTCATCAATGTAGGTGAATTGGCCAGAGGAATTACAACCCATAATCATCAGCAAAACAAGAAGAAATTAAAGGCTCTGTAACTTCATCATATGGCACACCCCAGGCCCCCAAGTCATTAACTTTTCCCAATCCTATTTCCTTTTTCTAAGGGGTATGAAAAGTAGGGGAGAGGGAAGGTAGGTAGTATAGGTAGAAGAATAAAACTTTTTTTTTAAATGTACTTGTTTAAATAGCCACTTTTGATAAGCAAGATAATTTTAGGTACTCTGTGAACATCTTTTAAATCTTCAATACTTATTATTTATTTTATTGTCTATTAAAAAGCATAACTAGCTGGGTGCAGTGGCTGATATCTATAATTCCAGCACTTTGGGAGGCCGAGGCAGGAGGACTACTTGAGCTCAGAAGTTTGAGACCAGTCTGGGCAACATAGTAAGACACCCTCTCTACTAAAAATAATAAATTAGCTGGGCTTGGTGGCACACACCTGTAGTCCCAGCTATTTGGTAGGCTAAGGCAGGAGGATCACTGGTGCCCAGGAGGTTGAGACTGCAGTGAGCCATGATCGCACCACTGCACTCCAGCCTAGGCGAAGAGCCAGACCCTGTCTCAAAAAAAAAAAAAAAAAAAAAAAACAGTATAACCAGTGGATATAACAGTATTAAGGTAGTAAAATATGCTTTTTTTAAAGAAGTATATTAAAATAGAAGAGAGTAAAATCGAGTAACATTCTGGTATGTATATGACAAAAATTGTGATGATATAACTCAAATATTGCAAACATTTTTGAAGTTTAAGTGAGAATCAGTGGCATTGTGACAACCCAATCTAACTCACTCTCTCTGCAGAGAAATCTTGGAAGGTAAGCTTATTTGTCAATTATTAATTCAGTCGTTTGCTCAGCTGCTCACAGAGGCACTCAGTATCTTTTTTTTTTTTTTTTTTTTTTTTTTTTTTTGCAGCATCTGCTATGTGCCATGCTCTCTGCTAGTGAACAGAGCACAGAGTCATGAAAACTAAAATGTAAATACCCCCAGTGCTTTCTTAACATTATGCATTCTTTCGACAAATCCTGATGGAAGGCATACAAGGTGCCGGGGGATAAAATGATAAAGATAGAAGGAGGCACAGCTCTCCTGCCCTCCTGTACATTATTGCTTCCTGGGAGAGCTGACCATGAGTCAATTGGCCACATAAATATGAAATGAAAACCGGCCATCATCTGCATCTTATGAGTGCACGTCATCAGAGATGTCCACTCCAGTTACAAGAAAGTCCTGAGGGCTTTCTTGGAGCCTGAGGGGCGCTGGAGGTGAGACCTGGAGGTGAGCAGGAGTTAACTAGGATGAGGGACGGGCGCAGCATACAGGAAAAGCTGCCTGGGGGAGAAAGGACCAACAGCAAAGACTGAGAAAAAAATGCTGTTGTGACCAGGGTTCAGAGCGGGCATGGAGGACTGAGGGTTCAGAGCGGGCATGGAGGACTGAGGGTTCAGAGCGGGCATGGAGGACTGAGGGTTCAGAGCGGGCATGGAGGACTGAGGGTTCAGAGCGGGCATGGAGGACTGAGGGTTCAGAGCGGGCATGGAGGACTGAGGGTTCAGAGCGGGCATGGAGGACTGAGGGTTCAGAGCGAGCATGGAGGACTAAGGCCATAGTCTTCCATGGTCATTCATTCATTCTTGCATTCAATTATTCAGCAAATTTCTGCACGTAAACTACGTGTAGTCCAGTGCACTCTATTTCCAGTTTGGTGGTCTTGTACCTCATCATTAAAGAGTTTTTTTGCGCGGAACTTGCAGTGAGCCGAGATCGCGCCACTGCAGTCCAGCCTGGGCGACAGAGCGAGACTCTGTCTCAAAAAAAAAAAAAAAAAAAAAAAAAAAAGAGTTTTTTTACAAGTATCCCCCACAAAGGCGCATAACATAATAAGCTATTCTTATGTACTATGAAATGAAAAACAAAACAAAACAAATATGTTTGAAAGGATAGGTTTAAATAGAATTTTTTTTTTTTGAGATGGAGTTTTGCTCTTGTTGCCCAGGCTGGAGTGCAATGGTGCAATTCTGGCTCACTGCAACCACCGCCTCCCAGGTTCAGGTGATTCCCCTGACTCAGCTGGGATTACAGGCACATGCCACCACGCCCAGCTAAATTTTGTTTTTTTTTTTTTTTTTTTGAGACGGAGTCTCTCTCTGTCACCCAGGCTGGAGTGCAGTGGCGCTATCTCGGCTCACTGCAAGCTCCGCCTCCCGGGTTCACGCCATTCTCCTGCCTCAGCCTCCCGCGTAGCTGGGACTACAGGCGCCCGCCACCACGCCCGGCTAATTTTTTTGTGTTTTTTAGTAGAGACGGGGTTTCACTGTGTTAGCCAGGATGGTCTCGATCTCCTGACCTCATGATCCGCCCGCCTCGGCCTCCCAAAGTGCTGGGATTACAGGCGTGAGCCACTGCGCCCGGCCTTGTATTTTTTTTAGTAAAGACAGGGTTTCACCATGTTGGCCAGGCTGGCCTTCAACTCCTGACTTCAGGTGATCTGACCGCCTTGGCCTCCCAAAGTGCTGATATTACAGGCGTGAGCCACCACGCCTGGCCATTTTAAGCAGATTTTTTCATTGTTCATGTTGTCCACACTATGGGCTGTTCTGCATCATGCTTCAGAGACCACTTCTCTAGAAGAAGAGCTTACTAGGATTTGCCTAAAGTCATTCAGCAAACCTGAAGCCATGGCTTCTGGCCTCAGTCCAGGGCCCCATCCACCAAAACATTGGCTCCTAGACCTGAGCTCTCGGGAGAATCACCTGGAGGACTTGTTCAAATACAGGTGGCCTGGCCCCACCCTCAGAGCTCCTGATTCAGTAGGTCTGGGGAAGGGCATGGAAATTTGCATTTCTAGCAAGACTTCAAGTAATGCTGATGCTGTGATTCATCAGTCCACTACATCATTTCTTGTAGCCTGGTCCCTGGCCCCTCGCCCAGACCCTGTGTACGGTCTGTTAAAAGTGCAGATTGCTCAGCCACATCCTATGCCTTAAGATCTAGAGTCTCTGGGGATGAAACCCAAGAATCTTCATTTTAAGTGACTTCCCCCCGGACACTGTGATAGATACAAATATCTCTAGAGCCATACAGATATTTGGCTCTACAAAGATTAAGTGCCTCGTGTGTGAGGCCTTGATGGGGGTCCTACCTTTGGAGGAAGGGCACTAACCAGCTGGCATGCAGCAGCTGCGAGTTGAGCTGAGCCCCCTCCCCAGTACTCCCAGGCCTGGCCCACACCCTGGACACAGGTAGCCCCACGCTTACCTTGCAAGCGGTAGAGCTGTCCCGTGCTGTGCTGCCGTGTGATGTGCTGCCAGTAGGCGCTGCGAGGCAGGGGCACCATGGTGCTCAGCGAGGCGGCCCGCTCACTCATCTTCATCTGGAGCTGCAGCCAAAGGGAAGAAAGTTGTGCGTCAGCAACACTGGGGCCGAAAGTGGCCTGACTGAGGAAACAGGAGAGCATGGAGTAAAAGAACCACAGAGCTGGCCAGGCTGCAAATCAATGAACATCGATTGAAGGTGGTGGGCATGGTGGCCAGCTACTGTTTTTGCTTACTTAGCACCATCCATTCTTTACCCTGCTGGCAACAGTGCCTTGATGACGTTCCTTTGGGGAACTTCCCTCCAACCCAGCTAAGTCCCTCTAGTCCCGGTGGGGCTGATTCCCCCATTCACTTTAGGGTTGGGCTGGTGACCCATGCCAGACCACTCCGAAATAATTTACTGAGACATTGTTAGCATTTTTGTGGAAGAGAGAATCAGCAGAAGTAAGCTAAAGATTTATGACTGTTTTGTTCATTGATCTATCCCCAGAGTGCAGAATATTGCCTTGCATGTAATAGATATACAAGTAACATGTGTTGAATGATTTCTCGTGGAGTTGTTAAGAGGCTGGAGATGGGACTGGAGCCTATCTTGGAACTACAAAGGGACCACGTGACAGTGAGTAGACACCATTCAGAAGAAGACAGCCAAGAAAAGCAGAGAGATCTTCACACACTCCACTGAGACCTTGGATCCCACTGAATCCAGAGGCTGGCCCCAGACTTTTCAATTGTATTAGCCATTTCATTCTTTTCAGTTTGGGGTTTTTCTGTTTTGTTTTGTTTTTGTTTTTTTTCAGATGGAGTCTTGCTCTGTCAGCAAGGCTGGAGTGTGGTAGCACGATCACAGCTCACTGCAACCTCCGCCTCTGGGCTCAAGCAATTCTCCTGCCTCAGCCTCCTGAGTAGCTGGAAGTACAGGTACATGCCACCACGCCCGGCTAATTTTTCTTTTTTTTTTTTTTTTTTTGTATTTTTAGTAGAGATGGGGTTTCTCCATGTTGGCCAGGCTGATTTCGAACTCCTGACCTCAGGTGATCCACCCACCTCGGCCTCCCAGAATGTTAGGATTACAGGTGTCAGCCACCACACCCAGCCTAATTCTTGTCAGTTTAAACTGACTTGTGTTGGGTGTTCTGGCATCAGAAAGAAAAAATAAAAGTCTGTTTGAACAAGTATTGTCGACAAATCATTGTTCCAGACATTGAGGGAGGAAAAAAGATGAAATGGCTTTTGGCAGCAGGCAACTCTAAAGACACAGTTCTAGTCCCCCAGATTATCAGAGAGCAGTCAACAGCCTGACCAACCACATCGGGGAAAGAATTATACAAAAGAAGGAAAGTTTCAGAGAGAAAAGAGCCTGTAGGATGGGTAGAATAAAAGGAAAGGTGAACGGGGTCAACGCATGCAAGAAGAATGGGGGTGCAAGTGGAAGCAGACCTCCAGGCACCCCCGTATCTGAGCCCTGGTCTTAGACACAATCATGACGCAGGTTGATTATGCCATTGTGTAAGAAGTGACTATTTGCAAAGTTGAATTTCCTGGATGCTTGAATATCAAATAATCCATTCCCATCTTTAAAAAAATTCACCCACAAAGATTTATGCAAGATGTTCATTGGGAGGTAATTTCACATTGGCGAGAGCTGACGGCTATTTAAGTATCCTCCCATTCAAGGCCCAGTTAACTACACATAGGCACAATGTAATACTTGGCAAAGATGGAAGATTTACATGAATTGGAAATGAAACATTTATATGTCGTACCACGAAGGAGACACAGGGGGTTACAGACCTAGTGCAATGTCATTTTAGTTGCTCATATGAAAATTGTCGAAATTATACACCTATCCATTTGGAAAGTATAAGAGTTTGATGAGATGATACCTACTTGGACTTACCTAGTAACAAATAGGTAAAGGGGAAAAATGGAGATGGAGATGATGATGATGATGATGATGATGATGATGATGATGATGATAATTAGAAATTGCAATGCCCATGTTAGGATTTTTTTTTTAAAAATTTCCAATCTCTTAAAGAAAAAAAAGTCTCCACTGTACACATCCCCTCAGCATGGTAGTTTCAGGCATAATTCACTCAGTAAAGCCAAAATAATAGGAGGCTTCATATGTTGAAGACCAAAACTCATTGTAGTTCATGAGATTCAACTTGAAAAAAAGATTATAATATTCACTCAAAAGAAAATTTAATTTGTATGCATTGAATTTACATTTGCTGAATCGAATTCCCTGTCCCTATCATAATTCCACAATTACCAAAACATGCCCCCAAGTGGAATCACACAGGATTAGATTCCATGAGGATAACTTTTCCTAAAAATAAACTTTTAGATGAAAAGGTCCAAAAGCTAAGTACTAAGCTAGTAGAAAAGTTCTGCAGCTGTTTCTTGTTTTTAATTTTTAAAATGTATTTTTAATGGACAAATAATAAGTATGCATATTTATAGAGTACAATGTGATGTTTTGATCTATGTACATACTATAAAAAAATTCATTTGAGCTAATTAACATATCCCTCACCTCGTCAGCTTCTCATAGTGGTTATTTCTGTATACATGAAAGTCTAAAAAAATCCAGAACGATTTACCAGTGACTTTTAGTAACATTCTATTTCATTTGCATGGAATTCAAAAAATAAAAGAAGGAAAAGAACTCAATTTAGAGGTAGGGGTTATTTGATTTTCTTGATATAAAGAGATTCTATTTAATTTAACAGAAAATTTCATATAAAGAAAACATTTGTGGAATACTAGTCACTTCAAATTATTCACTACTTCACTGCAAATATATTTAGGCAGCCCAGCATGATTTGACTGTATTTTCAGAAAGCTGATTTGGGATCAAGAGTGAAATGACAGCAACGCCGCGTTTTGAAGAGGAGAACGGTACAAAGCCGGGCTCTCTAGTTCTTTCTCAACCCTTTGGAAAAACATCTAATTTTATGAAAGAAGCATTTTAATTGTCTTTGGACAAAAAGAAAAGCCTTATAACAATGCAGAAATGTCTGCATAATTGTGTCAGGGAGAAAAGACGCAGGAAGTCATTTGGTGAGAATCCAGTAGGCAGGTTTCCGCTCCCTCTTCTGTGACGCCCTGAGTCCCTCTATCCTTGATATCAACCACCAGTGGAGGGCCACAAGTGGCACTGATGTACCGCCCTGGTGGAAATAGCAGTTAGCACTCATGTTTGGAAGAGTTGAAATTGGGTTACCTGGAGCGCCGCAGGTCCTCAAATAACGTCAATGCATTCAGCTTTGTTTCATTACAACTTCAATGTGAATATAGAAATCTGTTCCTGGCAGGGTCACTGTCTGTGTCGATTTGGCACGTTCTCCCCATGCCTGCTTGTGTTTTCTCTGGGTCCTCCGCTTTCCTTTCATATCCCAAAACTGCCTGTTGGCTTCACTGGTGTGTCTAAATGGTCCCTGTCTCAGTGGGTGTGGGTATGGGTGAGTGTGTCCTGAGACGGGAGGGCATCCTGTCCAGGCTGGGTCCCATTTGGCACCCAGAGCTGCAGAGATGGTGGGCTCTGGCCACCCGTGACCCTGAACTGGAACCACTGGGTAAATAATCGTCTTGTTTTGATTAATCTTTTCTCAAATGTACGTATAGCTCACATTTATTTCAATGTGTAATATTAGAAGTGTTTTTGTCTTTATCTAGAAGTTTGGTAATGTTTTTGTAACCAGAAATATGCCATAGGAATTTAACTCTTCTTTATTTCAATCAGCCTACGGGAAAATTGGTTTTGCTGTATGTCCTTCTGCTAAAGCCACAGAATCTATCAACAACATTAAATGAGGATTTAGTGTATTTGGAGAGAAGGATTACAGTCTTCCTACTTAAAAAATATATTTTTATATAGTTTTTTTTTTACAATAGATATAATATCTTCACATTAACAAGTAAAAATAAAAATTACCCTGAGCCATAGAATTGTAAAGTATGGGGATTTCCCCTGTAAGGTGACACAGAAGTTCTTGAAAAACCTCCCATTCACAAAATTGTGGGAAAATTCAGGGGGTGGGTTGGCCATTCAAATGTATGCCTATTTACAACCAGAGTCATTGTTACTTTGGGGGATAGTTTGCACAGCCCAGCTAGACTGGAGGTTGATTTGGGGTTATAAAAAATGTAGAAAACACTTGATTGGAAGTGCCAGCTTGAGGAAGTCCAGGTGACAGAGGTAGAGAAGGGGCTATTGCAGAAAGCTGGCAATGGTGGCTGTGCAGCCACATGAACAGGAGCTGAGCAAGACTGCAAAGGCTGGGCACACCCCTTTATAGGGAGGGAGTCCAGGGACTTGTGCTCATGGTTCATCTTCTGGAAGAGGCCATGCCTGTGCACCAGTCTGTAAGTACCTTTTCCTATCCAGCTTAAGGTTACAATTTCACTCCTTCTAATCTGGGCTTCCCTTTCTTAGAAAAAATTGCTTAGGAACCAACACAACCTTAATATTGTAGTGAATTTCCAATTTTTCAAATACATCTGAGCTCAGTGGCAATATAGAAGTGGTGTGGCTGGGCGCAGTGGCTCCTGCCTGTAATCCTAGCACTTTGGGAGGCTGAGGTGGATGGATCATGAGGTCAGGAGTTCAAAACCAGCCTGGCCAACATGGTTGAAACTCCGTCTCTACTAAAAATACAAAAGTTAGCCAGGCATGGTGGCAGCGAGCTGAGATCATGCCACTGCGCTCCAGCCTGGGCAAAAGAGCGAGACTCAGTCTCAAAAAAAAAAAAAAAAAAAGAAAAGAAAAGAAATGGTGTTATGGTGGAACAAACTGTATACTACACGTGACCCATACTCCTGACCCCGTATAACCTACTAAAATCATGTCCCTGGACTCTATAAAAAACAACCACAAAAATTACAAATAACCCATTTTGTTTCCTATGTCAGAAAAACTTAAAAGAATCATGGAACGTTAGAGTTGGAAGAACCATGGGGGACATCCAGCCTAGTCTCCTGAGTTAACCGGTCAAGGGACTATATATCCTCATGCTAACGGCCAAACTTCTTAGATTGGGGGGCTCTGATCTTGACACCCTTCCCTTCTCAGGCCTCAACATAGCCTAAACCACACCATTCAGCCCAGGCATTTCCAAGAGCCTGGAAATCCATTGCACATCTGCTCCTAAGCCCAAAGGTTCTCCCCATTACTTATGTGGTTAAATTCTACCTTCCCTTCAGGAGTCAGCTCAGGAATCACCTCCTTTAGATACTCTCCTGATGTCTCTTCTCCTCCCTTAATAGGATCAGGTGCTTCTACCAGATATCTCATCATTTCACTGTTTTGTGATAGTCACTAACCTAGCCTTCCTTCTGCTCTAGACCATGAACTGCTGAAAAGTAGGGATTATCTTTTTTTTTTTTTTTCGAGACAGAGTCTCGCTCTGTCACCCAGGCTGGAATGCAGTGACATGATCTCGGCTCACTGCAAGCTCCGCCTCCCGGGTTCACACCATTCTCCTGCCTCAGCCTCCCAAGTCACTGGGACTACAGGTGCCCGCCACCACGCCTGGCTGATTATTTGTATTTTTAGTAGAGACGGGGTTTCACCGTGTTAGCCACGATGGTCTTGATCTCCTGACCTTGTGATCTGCCCGCCTTGGCCTCCCAAAGTGCTGGGATTACAGGCGTGAGCCACCGCGCCCGGCCAAAGTAGGGATTATCTTTTATCTCTGTATCCTATTCCCAGCACCTAGCTAGAGCCTTCAGAGGCTTAACAAATGTGTGATGAATGAATGAATGAATGAATGAACCCAGGATTTGCCTAAGTAGCAGAAAATTGTCTTCAAAAATAAATCCTAACCAAGCTATCAAATTAGAAGCACTGTTAGCCCAAGGCTGAATTCATGCTGAAACTTTAGGTCCCGGTTAAATTAACATGGCTGTGACTGACTGTGGGGAACGTGGCAATAAGACTACTTCACTCGACTTTGCCATTCAAGTGATGAGCAGAAGCAGGACCTTGGGGAAAGATCTTTCTTATGTGTATATGCACAATCATTTAGGACTATCCAACAGCAGGGGAGTTTAGCACTGAACATTTATTAATTCTATTAGCAGTGTTAGCTCAAGATCCCACAAGAGTAGAAAGACAAGCCTTTGTGAAAGTCAAACAAATGCCTTCTTGTACTTCAACACTTGAACTTTCCCTCTAAACAGCATGAATGCATGCAGGTCTCTTCCTAACCTGGCCTAAGTGAGTCAAGATGCTGCCTGGTGGCATAAAATACTTAAAGCAATCAATCGACTTATGTCATCAATTGGGTTCTGAATGCACAAAAAGCATCATGCTGCTGGGGAGAGAAGCTAACCATGCAGTACGAGACCCATGTTACAATGTAGAAGCAGAAGACGCTTTGCTTCATGGGAGTTGCTTGGGCTTACAGGTCTCTTTTCTCATGGAACTAAGAGACCTGTGATGAAACTGTATACAAATTAACAAAAATATTCAGATTGCTATAAAAAGAAGAATGAAGTTCTGATATGTGCTACAACATGTATGATTCTGAAAACAATGTGCTAGTCATGAAAGTCCAGGGATTATGTTATTCCATGCTATGGTTTGAATGTTTGTCCCCCCCAAAAGTCCTGTTGAAATTTAATTGTCTCGTGACTGTTTTGGGAGGCGAAACCTTTCAAAGGGGCTGCCATTATCTTGGGAGTTCGTTTGTAACCATCTAATGAGTTATTCCTGCCCATTGCACAAATAAAATCAATTCATGGAGATCATGGCATTGCAGTAAAGAAAGAGCTTAATTGATGTGAGGTCAGACACACCACGTGGGAAATGGAGTTATTAGTCAAATCAATCTCACCGAAGGCTCAGAGGTCAGGAGTTTTTTAAAGACAGTTTGGCAGGCAAGGGGTTAGGGGATGGGGGCTGCTGATTGGTTGGAAATGCAATCATAAGGGTGTGGAAAATGGTCCTCATATGCTGAGCCCACTTCTGGGTGGGACCACAGGACTAGTTGAGTTACAGGTCTAGTGGGGCCATCTGGTTGTCAGAAATGCAAAAATCTGAACAGCCATCTCAAAAGGCCAATCTCAGGTTCTGCAATAGTGATATTATTTGCAGGAATAATTGGGGAAGTTGCAAATCTTGTGGCCTCCAGTATAATGTCCGGTCATTTTTAAACTACATCTAAATCTTAGAAGAACTGAGGCCCCTCTCATCCTCCTAACTTGGCCTTTCATTAATTTTACAAGGGCAGTTTAGTTTCAGGGAAGGGCTATTATCATTTAAACTATAAACTAAATTTCTCTTAAAGTTAGCTTGGCCCATGCCCAGGAATAAATGAAGGCAGCCAGCCTGTGAGGCTAGAATCAAGATGGAGTCAGCCATGTCAGATTTCTTTTACTGTCATAATTTTTCAAAGGCGGTTTCAGGTGTATTATTGCAGGAGTAGGTTCATCCCCTCTTGGTCTCTCTTCCGGCCCTCTCTGCTCTTTCACCACTTGATACTTTCCACCATGTTATGACACAACAGGAAGGCCTTTTCCAAGATGCCAGCACCTTGATCTTGGACTTCCCAGCCTCTAGAACTATAAGAAGTAAATTTCTGTTCATTATAAATTACCCAGTCTTTGGTATTCTGTTATAGCCGTAAAAATAAACTAAGATATTCCATTTACATAAAATGTCCCAAATAAACAAATCCCTAGAGAGAACATAGATCAGTGGTTGCTGAGGCCTAGAGGGTACTGTCAAAAATATTTGAGAAGATTTATTCTGAGCTAAATATGAGTGACCATAGCCCATTGACAAAGCCCCACAAGATCCTGAGAACATCTGCCCAAGGTGGTTGGGCTACAGCTTGGTTTTATATGTTTTAGGGAGACATAAGACATCAATCAATACATATAAGATGAACATTGGTTTGATCCAGATAGGTGAGACAACTCCAAATGGGGGCTTCCAGGTCATAGGTAGATTCAAAAATTTTCTGATTGGCAATTGGTTGAAGGAATTTATCGAAAGGCCTGGAATTAACAGAAAGGAGTATCTGAGTTAAGGTAAGGGGTTGTGGAGACCAAGGTTTTTATGATGCAGATGAAGCCTTCAGGTGCCAGGCTTCAGAGAGAAGAGATGGTAAATATATCCTATCAGAATTAAAAGGGCACCAGACTCTTAGTTAATTCTCTCCTGGATCAGAGAAAACACCTGAAAAGGGAAGAAGATTCTCTACAGAATACAGATTTTCCCCACAAGAGACAGCTTTGCAGGGTCATTTCAAAATATGTCAAATAATATATTTTGGAGTAAAATACTTAAATGTCTTTCAGGGCCTGCTATCTCTCATGTTAGTATCTTACTCCTACAAAGAGTCTGTTTTGTCAGTCTTGAGGTCTCTGTTTTAATGTTAATGCTGGTCAGTTTTGCCTGAACTCCAAAGGGAGGAGGGTATCATGAGGCATGTCTGACCCCCACTTCCCATCATGGGCTGAACTGGTTTTTCAGGTTAACTTTTGAATGTCCTTAGCAGAGAACAGGAGTTCTTCCAGTTGGCTGAAGAGCTTAGAATTTTATTTTTGGTATCCAGGGGTGATAGCTAAAGGAGGTGGGGTTTCTTCTTAGGGTGATGAAAATGTTTTGGAATCAATTGTGATAGTTTCACAAACCTGACTACATTAAAACCATTAAATTGTACAGTTTGAAAGGGTACATGTATATGGTATGGTACGTGTGGTATGTTCATATCTCAATAAACCTGTTACCAAAAAAAAAAAAGCAGATAGTAGTATATGCCCTGAAGATTATTTTAAAAGCATGATATTAATCCCGGCACTTTGGGAGGCCGAGGCAGGAGGATCACGAGGTCAGGAGATCGAGACCATCCTGGCTAACACGGTGAAACCTCATCTCTACTAAAAATACAAAAAATTAGCCGGGCATGGTGGCGGGCGCCTGTAGTCCCAGCTACTCAGGAGGCTGAGGCAAGAGAATGGCGTGAACTCGGGAGGCAGAGCTTGTAGTGAGCCGAGATCGCACCACTGCACTCCAGCCTGGGTGACAGAGGGAGACTCCATCTCAAAAAAAAAAAAAAAAAAAAAAGCATGATATGATGAATTAGTTGAGTGGCTACTTCTGGTCAAGCAGCCCCAGAAAAAGTAACATTGAATGAAGACCTGACCGACAACTGGCTGAAGCATGGTCCCCTGCCCCCGCCCCCACCCTGCCGTCATTATTGTCATTAACAGCACAGTAAAAGCCTTGTAAAAACTTCCCAATACTCACAGTGAGTGAAGGGCTGATTGCCAAGGCCCTTTCCTCATAATGGTGAGAAAATTCTATCAGCCCTCTTGGGAGAGAAAAAGATTCTAATGACCGGACCACTGCGCATAGCTTGTCACTGAGAAAAGAAAAACAACTGTCTGCCATACCTGCCAAATGCATTTCTGGTTTCCCAGTTCCTCATTTGGTTTCGCTGACACTGACTTGCTGCTGGTGCACTTCTTTCATGAGTCTGAGACCAGGAGTGCAGAGCAGTGGCAGGTCTTAGCCTCAATACTGCACCATATTGTCCTTCTCTGGAATCCAACTGTTTTTATGGTAGAGCATTGTGTTTTGCAAAATTGAACAGCACGACAGGATGTAATTGTTTTCTGCGACAGTCAATCATGAGTACCATATGCCGTCTTTGTGACATCAGTCTGGATTCATTCAGAAACGAGCACAAATCTTCACTATGGCAAAAAGATCAGTACCTCAATACCTAATTCCATCCTCATCAAGCTCTTAAATTTTCATCAGGTTGCTCCTTAAAGTATTAATAACTCAAGTGGGGTCTTTGCCAATAACAACTCTGCATATGCAAATCGTATTGTAATTTTCCTTTCATTCAACCTGGGCCCTAAAGCGACTGAATAAAGACACTGTCTTGATAAGATTCAGCTGAGTCAGAAGCCACATCCACGCCTGAACACATTCTCAACCTGAGAAACTTCCAATTCTAATCATATCTTCCGTTTCATATATGTAACCCAACTAATTTTCTATCAATATTTCAAGCACAAAACATGGGCAAAGTTGAGTCAGAAGGGACATCTCAGTCCAAGAGAGAAAGAATAAAACCACATTCCAAGTGAAGCCAGCCTCTGAATACCTGCTTTTCTCATTCTGCTGAAATCTCGGCTCTCATCTACACTACCCTCCACATTCACTGCCATTCTCCAGGTGGCTTCCTGAACAATATCTTTGGGTTCTGCCTACTTATTCTCTTGTGAAAATAATATTTGAAAACATGATCTCCCTATGCTTTCTGGGCCCTGGGTCAGCAGTTCAGCTATCCAACGGCAAGCAGAAGCATTACCTGGAGGGTTTGTTCAAATGCAGATTCCTGGCCCCACTCCTAGAATTTCCAAGGGTGGAGCCCAGGCATTTGTTTTTTTTGTTTTTTGTTTTGTTTTGTTTTGTTTTTGAGATGGAGTTTTGCTCTTGTCACCCAGGCTGCAGTGCAATGGCGCGATCTCAGCTCACTGCAACCTCTACCTCCCGGGTTCAAGCGATTCTCCTGCCTCAGGAGAAGCTGGGATTACAGGGACGCACCACCACGCCTGGCTAATTTCTGTATTTTTAGTGGAGATGAGGTTTTACCATGTTGGCCAGGCTGGTCTCAAACTCCTGACCTCAGGTGCTCCACCCGCCTTGGCCTCCCAAAGTGCTGGGATTCCAGGTGTGAGCCACTGCTCCCGGCCAGGAATTTGTATTTTGTAACAAGTTCCCAGATGGTTTTGATCTTAATGATTTAGGAACCATGCTTTGAGAATTACTGTCCTGTGCTATTTATTACCTTTAGAACAATCATTCTGGGAAATTTTCCACGGTGGTAAGAGCCCACGTGAAAGTCACAAAATCTGAGTTAAAGTCTAGAATCTGCCACTAATAGCTGCATGACCCTAGGCTCATTATTTAATCTCCCTTAGTCCTCAATATCTGGTCAGTAAAAAAGAGAGAAAATAGTTCTCGCTTTGCAGCTAATTCTTAGGCCACGCATAATTTATTGTGGAGTTCCATGGTTATTGCCAATATTTAGAATTAGCTCTATATCATGATACTGTCTTTAACAAGAATTTCTGAACAAGGTCATAATAGAAGCATTCATATTTTCTTTTCAAATCTAAATATCTGATATTGGACTGTTTTTCTAGCTTGAGGGCAGAAACCTTAAAATATTTTTAGGCAACAACGACAAAAAGCCATACATAAAACCACCAAATAATATGCTTAGAGAATACATTGAATCACCTGGTTTCAGTGAGTGTACAATGAATCCAAGGAACAAGCCTGAGTTAAGATGTTACTATAGGCATGGAACCATTGCAGGAACAAGAAAAAAGCAAAAAAGCTCTAAGCCCTCACATTCAGCCACGACCCCTGCAGGGAGTTTACAGTCTCCAAGACAGCTCTATCTTTGGGTCTGGTAGTATTTTGCCTGGCACCAAAAAGCGGGGAGGGGTCCATGTTTTTGTGATATTTATTACCCATTACCATTTTGTTGTTGTTGTTTTGTTTTGTTTTTGAGACGGAGTCTTGCTCTGTTGCCAGGCTGGAGTGCAATGGTGCAATCTTGGCTCACTGCAACCTCTGCCTCCCGGGTTCAAGCGATTCTCCTGCCTCAGCCTCCCCAGTAGCTGGGACTACAGGCACGTGCCACAATGCCCAGCTAATTTTTGTATTTTTACTACAGGCGGGGTTTCACCATGCTGGCCAGGATGGTCTCGATCTCTTGACCTTGTGATCCGCCCACCTCGGCCTCCCAAAGTGCTGGGATTACAGGTGTGAGCCACTGCGCCTGGCCTATTACACATTTTTTAACATGTAATAAATTATGTTCTTCCTTTTGCTATATTTTTTATTATGTTCATAAAATACAGGAAAACATATAAGGTAGATTTTAAATCAACCCGTATCCATTACCCAGAAAAACAAAACAAGGAAATAAAAACCACTTTTGACATATTGGTATATTTTCTCCCAGCCAGATAGCCTGGCTGGCTGCCTGCCTCCCTCCCTCTCTCCTTCTCTCCCTCCCTTCCTTCCTTCCTTTCTTTCCTTTCTTCTCTTTCTTTATTTTTTTGACAGGGTCTCACTTTGTTGCCCAGGCTGGAGTGCAGTGGCAAAACATGGCTCACTGCAGCCTCAGTCTCTTGGGCTCCAGTTATCCTCCCACCTCAGCCCCCCGACAAGTAGCTGGGACTACAGGCATGTGCCACTATGCCTGGCTAATTTTTGTATTTTTTGTAGAGATGGAGTTTTGCCATGTTGCCAGGGCCAATATTTTTTAAAAGGCACATACATAATGTATATTTAACACAAATTGGATAGCGTACGTATTCTCATGCCATTTTCTTTTGTCATTTAGTATATTATGAACATATCCTAACATTCCTAAATACTGTCTTCTACAGCATCATTTCAATGTCTGGATCTTAGTCCATCCTTTGGCTCTATCATACTTTGTTTGTTCATTTCCCTAACCACTGTTTAATTTACCAGATGAGACAGTAAAATTAAATTCTGACCCAATCTCCTCTGTAATATTTTTTTTTCCTGCTGACCACAATTTTCATCCTGGGACCTACTATATTGAAGACTGTTCTGATAACCGGTTTTTAAATGAATATTAGAATTTCATTTTAATTTGCATATTACAATAGATTTTAGACTGACTCAAAAATTGCTTATGTTGCTGCTATATCAAAAAAGTAGATGAGTTGGCAATTTCATTTTTATTCTTACACAGAGAAGTCTTACCTTCACATTATTGTGTAACAGACTAATCTGTAGCCAATAAGAAGAGAAAAGGTAAATCTTTGTGCAGTGATATGAAACGATCGTAAAAACAAGGAAGGGAATTATTAATCTAAACAGATTCACAGAGACAGCTTGTCATTCAGGCGGGTTTAAATACCATCTATCTACAACCTGACAATTCCCAGTTGGAAATCAGCAACCCTTATCTCTCCCCCAAATCTCAGAGTTGTGTATTAAGGAGACTATTTCCCACTCCCACCCGGATGACCGGTAGGCATCTCCCGTTTAACATGTCCTGAACTGTCGCTCCTCATACTCCTCTCCCCTCAACCTCTTCCCCTTCCGAGTACAGGTTTCCTCCATTCTACATGTTGTTCTGGTTAAAACACACACAGAAACAACTACAATCTTGAGATTGACTATCTCCTCTACTCTATAAGACTTCTTATGTATCAGCAAATCCTATTGGTCCAATCTTCAAAAATATACCCAGGATCCACCACTTTCCCTCACCTCCATCACCACCACCTTGGTCCGTACCCCGATGCTCACCTAGATACTCAGATGACTGCAGTAGCGTTTAACTCATCTTCTTGCTCGTACCCTTGCTCTGGGCACCCCCAGTCGTTTCCAAACAGCTTCCAGGGTGATCAATTCGAAAGCAAACTTAGCATATCACCCTTTCTCAAAACCCTCCAATGACTACGCAACTCTCCCCAAGGAAAATCCATAGCTCATAGCTACAGGGTCTGACAGGACCCGACTCACAGTTCCTTTCAGAATTCACCTGCTATGCTCTTCTCCTCATTTCAGCTGCTCCAGAATCACCAACCTCTTTGCACATGCACACGCAAAGCACAGACTGCCTCAGGGCTTTGGCACTTAAAGGCTCCTGGGCCTGAAGCACCTGGCCCTTAGGAATGGCTGTCTGCCTGGGTATCACTTTACCAGAGTGACCATTCCCGGTCATTCTCTCTGTCTTACACTGTTGTCTTCTTCATAGCAACTATCAGTTCTTGATATATATTTATATATTGATTGTTGATTGTCTTCTCCACCCACAGCAATGTAGTAAACTCCTTGAGGACAAAGACTAGTTCTTGTTCTCTGTTGTACTCCTGCTTCTTGGAACAAGGCCTTACAGAGAACAGGTACTTATATGTGTAGAATGAATGAATGTATTCATAAATATGTTTTATATCTATTAAACAATTTATATTCTGGAAAGATTCAAAGGAATCTGGTAAAGTGCTTCAGAGAATGTAAACTGGGTGTCTGGGACGATGGGACAGAGACTTGTTTTATAGAGTATGTTCTTTTGCACTGTTTATATTTTATATCATGTTACCAATAGAATCTTTTAATCCAAGTGCTTTATTTTGAAATTAATGCATCTCAAAATAAATCACAGCTTCCTCGCTCACTTGCACAGTATTCTATTCACCGGTTTCAAGGACTCTGTATCTGTGGATGAGGCACTGAGGGATATGTTAAGTGCATTACTCCTCTAAGCGCAATCTTATAAAGAGGAAATATCTTCCCACTTCATACACTGTGGTTTTATAAGTCCTGCCCCCAGCACTATCCCCAACCCTTTTGTTTTTCTCCAAATGACACTAGAAAATGAAAACCAGGGGAAATTCAAAGGAGAGCAGCAGAGTCCTCAAAGAAACCAAACATAATTTTGAGTCTCTAGAAAGAAGTATTCAAAATATTTCATGAATATTAAGTATGCTTTTAACTCAATCTTAAAATGTTCCCTGCATTTCTACAAGACTCAGACCAAATGGTCTCCCTTAAAAAAGAATGATGATCATAGATAATCCATTTTCTAAAAGACATTAAAAATAAAAAATGTGCTTGTGCAGTGTGTAATCTATTTACCAAGTCTGAAAAGTCGGTATTTCTGAGGTTTATAAAATACCTTCCTAAAGTTCTCACAAATGCATCTTGTATGGTTTGGTGAGGGGCATAATTTATTGAGAAAAACACATTAGCTGCATTTTGGGGGGCTCGTTCTGCTTGACGGAGCAGGTTCATTTAATCGATACAAACTGCGTAATATACTAATTGCTATGCTAAGTGGCAGTAACCAGTTCCTCTGGAACAGAGATGCAGATGTTATTGAACAAGTTTTGTGATAATCGTGGGGCAACCACGTGCTGATGAGAAGAGTAAGTCATTCTTAGGGCATACAGACAGAGTCCTGTGCATCAGTTCTGGTTCCTCCTCTTTCCTCCATCTGCTGGATTTGCTGCATTCCTCTTTGTGTTACAGGAAGAATGAATTCTTTTTTTTTTTTTTTTTTTTTTTTTTTTTTTTTTTTTGAGACGGAGTCTCGCTCTGTCGCCCAGGCTGGAGTGCAGTGGCGCGATCTCGGCTCACTGCAAGCTCCGCCTCCCGGGTTCACGCCATTCTCCTGCCTCAGCCTCCAGAGTAGCTGGGACTACAGGCGCCCGCCACCACGCCGGGCTAATTTTTTTGTATTTTTAGTAGAGAAGGAAGAATGAATTCTTAACAGGATCCAATTTTCTCCAATGAGAGAACATAATCACTTACAACTTGTTCTTGTTTCCCTAAACACTCGCAACCTTGTGAACATATAGTGCTAACACACACTAAAAGCTGGCTAGCGCCGATGTGATGAAACAAGTAGAAAAGTATGCCTGAATTGACTCTGTTCTCAGCACAGGATGTGATTACTGATCAGTGAGTATGTCTCACTGTGAACCGTTGTATCATGAAGGGTGGAGAAGCACAAGGTGCATGCTATGATTTCTGTAGCTCCCATTCCATCCCTTGTTTCTTCTTGAGACGGTCACACTTCTTGAGACTATACATCTTTTTGTTCTTCTCAGGACTAAGGGGCCAGATCCTGAAATTCACTCCAGAGCATCGGTTCTGAAAGCATGTTACCTGGTCTAGCGACCTCAGCATCGCCTGAGTACTTATCAGAAATGTGCATTTCAATGCCCTGCCCCAGGCCTGTTAAAACACTCAAGTGGAACCCCGAAATCTGTGGCTTTACAAGCTTTGTAGGTGACTGTGATGCACACGTAAGTTGGAGATCCACTGCGTCTTTCTTTCCCGTACCCTTACCCTGTCACCCTGACCCACGCCACAGACACATTTACCCTCAGACCCTAGAGGCTCTCTCCGCTTTCAACCTCTGACAAGTTTCCCAAACCTGTTTCTTCCTTTCAGTTCCCAGTGAGTATCAGTCCAGGGCTTTTGGTTCCCGTCCTGACTTTCTACTTAACTAAAGGGTGACCCACCGAACCTCAGTTTCTGCCATTATGAAATGGATCTACTAATATGTCCAATAAAATGCAAGATACTCCAGCATTTCAAAAGACAAGGCAGCAACACTGATTTAAATATTTTAAAAAGCGACTTAAATCCTTTAATTCAGCAATCCTACTCCCGAGTTTAGAAAACTCCATTAACTAAAGTTCACAAACTCAATTCAATAAGGTTAACAATCTATAAGAACTGTGTACAAGGATAATTGTTGCGGTATTGGTTTTGATGTTGTTGTGTTGTTTTGTTTTTTATTTTCAGGGACTCACTTCACAGTCAAAGAGTATTGTTTTAATGGCAAAAAATCTGATATTCTTATACGTACGTTTAATAAATTATGTTACATCAAGACTCTGAAATATCATGCAGCCATCAAAAAGAATGAATAGGAACAAAGTCGGCAAACTTTTCTGTTTTGGACCAGATAGTAAATGGCTTTGCAGGCCACACCATCACCAACTACTCGACTCTGCTGTTTCAGTGTGAACAACAACTCATAAATGAACAGGGAGGATGTAGCTGTGTTCCAATAAAATTTAAATTATAAAAACAGTCATAGGCCAGATTGCACCCGTGGGCTGTAGTTTGTCAACCTCTGAATTACAACTGTACTACAAGACTTCAAACTATTTCCATTAAATGTTTACTGTTGAACGGAAAAACTAGGGGTTAGTCGTGTGTTGTGATCACAATTTTGTAAAATAAACAATTGCATCACGACACCCATCTTTTGTATGTATCTGTGTATGTGTCTATGTATATATGTAGATGTGCATATCTGTACAGGATAATATGGGTACACAGGAAAACATGGAAAGGTACATGTGAACTTCTTAACAAGGTTAGGAATTGCTAATAAAGAGACAGGAGGGGGAAAATGCATGTAAACAAATTATAAAAAGAAAAAATAGAGCACTAATCATCATCTATATGACCATAATTTTGCAGTTAGTTAAATTTTACAGACATGTGTTTATGTAAAAATAAATAAGATTCAAAAACCAGTCCCTATCTCCAAGGATAGTTGTGAAAATTGAAGGAAATAAAGCACGCAGACTCTCAGCAAAGAGCCAGATGGAGCCACTCATTCCAACTCTAATTATCCCTCAATTAGAAGAAGCCTCCTAACTGGGTTTTCTGCTCACATGCTTCCTACCTAAAAACCTCCGCTCTTTCCCTCACCCCTTTCGATGAATTCTGCACTCGGTGTTCTTCGGCTCATTCATTCCCTCATCCCATCCATGTATGTACTCTGGGCATCATTTATAAGCCACACACTGTGCCAGGGTCTGCAAACTTAAAATGAATAAAAACTTTCACACTTTCTCTGTCCCCCAGGATTTTAGAGTGTCTGGTCAGACAGCTAGTTGAAAGCCAAGCTTTGGATATATCATTGTCTGCCTCCACAACGGTGCTCCTTCCTCTAAAAAGGAGAGAAGACCCTCCTCGCAGCA
Source organism: Homo sapiens (assembly GCF_000001405.40). Classification (NCBI taxonomy): domain Eukaryota; kingdom Metazoa; phylum Chordata; class Mammalia; order Primates; family Hominidae; genus Homo; species Homo sapiens. Next base: position 54,625,981 of record NC_000020.11, on the reverse strand, counting down.
GCGTTCTCCTTCCTGAAGGCAGAGATTTCTTGTATATGCTCATAGATGTCGTGCCCACCATGATTCCTGGCATATAGTAGGCATTTAATAAAAAGGGATTGGATAATTGAATTATGGATGGATGAATTGATTGAAGAAATGAATGAATCATTTGTGTGAATGGGGATTCCCTATAATCTGCCTTCCCTTGCCATTTTATTCTCCCACTACAAGTCAGTAATAATAACAGCTCAGGTTGCTGCTATATTTAATAGGTACCAGGCACTGTGCCAAGAAATCACCTGCCTTATCTCACCTGGCAAGTTGTGAACTAATATAATCCACACTTTGTAGAAGGGGGAACAAGTACTAAGGGTGGTAAAGTTAGTAGCCCGAGGACCCTGAGCTGGTAAAGATGTCCAGCCAGGATATAGGACCTGGCCTCTTACTCCAGAGCTACAGTTCATAACACAATTCTACATATTTCTCATAGAAAGTACTGAGAGTATTATACAGATCCTAAAGGATGGACTCAAATCTACTCCGTTCCAAATGATAAAAGGCACCTTAACTGTATTTCCAAAGCTTAAAGAAATGGCAACTGGCCAAACGTCTAGGCTGCAAGGAGATGACGCTGCCCCCACCATCTGGAAAAACAGGAGATTAGAACCTCTATGAGGCCCTTGGACCCCCACTGTCCCAGGGGCCTTCTTTCAAGTGGAAATTAACGATCTGCCAAACATGTGGTCTTCCCCGACATTCTAATGAACCAGTCCTCATGGGCTGCCTAATTCTGATTCCAGCTCTGACAGATGTTTGGCAGGAACCACCCAAAGAGCTGTCTTTACTTTCTCCAAGTCCTCTCTTTTGTTCTGACATTTGGAGGAAAAGTGATGGGTACTCCTATCATCCAAATGTTACCAAGGTATCACAGAATATTATGAAACTGTCAAGAAAATAGAGTGAGTAGAGGCTTACTTCCTCGATGTTAGAAAAAAAAATGTGGGTAAGAAAGAAAGACCGCTTTCCTGCTAAGGGAAAAAAAAAAACATGCAGCAAAGACACTACACAGTGAGCAGACTCTGGCAGAAACAATGCCTCCATTGTGGCTTACAGCTTTGACAAAGCAGACTGTTAGTGAAATCAACCATTTGGGGCCAAATTTCCAAGTGCAGCATGTTGCCGAGCACCAGATGCACTCAAATGGTTATTTTCATGGGGAATGAAAGTGATTTGCATCAATTTATTCGGAGCCATCTGAATTCTCAGCCACATGCATAAAACAAATTCACTGCTCCCTTTGCCTCCGGTAACTTTTTCTGCCTCCTTACTAAAAAAATTCTCTCCCCCACCTATACATTGAAATAGATATCCTTAGGGACTGAGTTTTCTGTGGCCTTTTAAAGCAGACTTGCCTGGAACCTGTGCCCTGTTTGGGCATTAGGAGAGAACTGGACTTGGTATTTTGGCTTCGATTTTTCTTTTTCTCTTGGCTCACACAATAACTTATTTGATCCCTATTTTGTTCATTCAACAAACCTTTAAGCCCTGTGCCAGACCCTGAGCTTATTACACACCCATGGGGCCTTGTCCCTGCCTTCCAGAGGTTTACAGGCTCGAATGGAGCTGCCACTTACTCAGAGGTCAGCTTTTAAAGTTAATGCATAACATAAAAATCACATATAATCAGATTGTCCCTTTAAACACTAGGCTCACACTCAGTGGAAGCAGGTGCTTTTGTGACAAGATGCCAAGCACATGCCAGGGTGAAGGGGTGGGCTGCTGGGCAGAATCGCCTACACCATGTATTCACATATTGTTTTCTTGTTGCACTTTGCTTTACAAAGCAGGTATAACTGACTGTGCGTATTTCTGGAATTCCTGCTGAGTACTAGGCTATGAGCTGCACAGAAGACAGGGGCCTTACCTCATAGTCACATGTGGTTGTGCTTGCTCTATTCTTTAATACTGCACAAACATCATCAGGGTCTTAAGGAAACAAGAGCTCTCGGCTCCATCATTCAAATTCCTGGTGTTTCCTGTTTATATCCCCATTGCTTCAAGGTGAGTCTCTTTCTCCTCGCCCAACTCATATTGGTTTGTGTAAGTAAGAAGGAAATCACTGGCCGGGTGCAGTGGCTCACGCCTGTAATCCAAGCACTTTGGCAGGCCAAGGTGGGTGGATCATGAGGTCAGGAGATCGAGACCATCTTGGCTAACATGGTGAAACCCTGTCTCTACTAAAAATACAAAAAATTAGCCAGGCATGGTGGTGGGCGCCTGTAGTCCCAGCTAGTCAGGAGGCTGAGGCAGGAGAATTGCTTGAACCCAGGAGATGGAGGTTGCATTGAGCCAAGATTGCACCACTGTACTCCAGCCTGGGCGACAGAGCGACACTCCATCTCAGAAAAATAAAAATAAAAATAAAAAAAGACGAAATCACTGTAATAGTTCACATGTGTTGAATCTTACTATGCCTCGTCTCGTTGCCTTACATGCACTAGCTCATGTGAACTAACAAAACCAGGCAGAGACATTAGTATCACCCACTTATTACATATGATGTGAACAAGGCAAACAGAAGCTGGGTTGCACAGCTCATAAGCGATATTCAACCCCAAACACACAGACCCATCCAATTCTGGCCCAGCTTCAAGCAGAACCTGTCTATCAGAAGAGCAAGCGTTCTCAACCTTGGCCCTATTGACATTTGGGGCAAGCTCATTCTTTGTCGAGGGCAGGGGGGCTGTCCTAAGCATTGTATGGAACTTACAGCACTCCTGGCCTCTATCCACCAGATGCCAATGGGACCCCATTGTTGACAGCCAGAAATGACTCCAGATACTGCCAAATGTCTCCTGGGAAATAAAACTGCCACTAATTGAGAACCGCTGTTTTAGGGTGACTACGCGTTCCAATTTGCTTGCTCACATACTGTTTATGTATGTTCCCCAGGCATAACTCTTCACTGGGGCTGGCTTCACAGGAGTACAGTGTGTGCAGTCATACGGGGCTCTGTGCTTAGAAGGGTCCTGTACTTGATTTCATGCCCTGCTACCACCATTTCAAAAATCTTAAGAGTTTTTAAACTTACTCCTTGACTTCCCAAAACAGATCAGAAACTGCACTGAATTGATTTCTTTCTTCTCTCAGTCCTCATCACTATTTCTATCTCTCTCTTCTTTGCCATGCTCGACACTGGGAAATAGGATTACTCACCACCGCCCACACGGTCAAGCAGATGCACGTGTGATTTTATGCTCTGAAGTGAACATCTCCAAATGAGGGAAGGGTCGTGGCATGACAGGCTGCCTTGCCGCCATCAAGGTCGCAATGTACTGCCTACTGACGGAGCCCCCATCTCAAGTATTAAAACTAGTTTTCGAGTTTATAAACAAAGCCACGATCTGTCAGCAAAACAAGTTGTCTCCTTTTCCAATAGAGGCATAGCCACGAGTCAACCAACATCCCTGGCACCGTGACAGGAGCTCCCAGCTCCAGGGAGGAGCTGTGTAAGCTAAGGCAGCATTTAATAATCAGGTGAAAGCACTATTAAAACACACCCCTGCACGTTGCAAGTTATTACGTTGTTATAAGAGACTGAAACAGAAGTGCTGAGAAAATGAGATTTTCTTCCCCTAATACACAGGAACAAAGCCATCGCAAATTTAAGGAAGAAGCCTGAGTTTCATCCACATCTATCCTGTCTGAATAAACAGTTTGGTCTCTGTTAAATGTCTATTAGTAAATGTAGGTTAATCTCATTTAGCTCTTTTTTTTATTTTATTTTTTTTATTTTTTCTTTTTTTTTGAGATGGAGTGCTGCTCTGTTGCCAGGCTGGAGTTCATGGCGTGATCTCGGCTCACTGCAACCTCCGACTCCTGGGTTCAAGCGATACTCCTGCCTCAACCTCCCAAGTAGCTGGGACTACAGGCATGCGCCACCACGCCCAGCTAATTTTTGTATGTGTAGTAGAGACGGGGTTTCAGCATATTGGTCAAGATGGTCTTGATCTCCTGACCTCGTGGATCATCCTGCCTCAGCCTCCCAAAGTGCTGGGATTACAGGTGTGAGCTGCAGTGCCCAGCCCATTTAGCTTCTTTTAATTTCTAAAGAATTCATGAGTAAGTACAGCATAGTGGTGCAAGTGTGGGAACCGGAGCCAGTGGCCACCTGGGTTTAAAGCTTGGCTTTATCACTTCCTATCTGTGCATCCACACTTCAAACTCCTAAGCCATAAAAATGGGATGGTAGCACCCTTTGATACAGTATGTTAAGGCGTTATCATCTTTAATCGTGATTTTTTTTTTTTTGAGGCCGAGTCTCGTTCTATTGCCCAGGCTAGAGCGCAGTGGTGCAATCTCAGCTCACTGCAACCTCCACTTTCCGGGTTCAAGCGATTCTCCTGCCTCAGCCTCCCAAGTAGCTGGGATTACAGGCACCTGCCACCATGCCTGGCTAATTGTATTTTTAGTAGAGACAGGGTTTCACCATGTTGGCCAGGCTGGTCTCAACCTCCTGACCTCAAGTGATCTGCCCGCTTCAGCCTTCCAAAGTGCTGGGATTACAGGCGTGAGCCACCGCACCCAGCCAATCATGCATTTTTATGTACTTGAAGTGAAAGAACCCTCCCTCTCTCTTACCAGTTGAATCAATTACATTTGCCATATGCCAGAAACTCAACCACTGTTTCTTTTTCCAAAAATATATTATATAGCCATGATTTAAAACTGTTAAACAAAGAGAAAGACATAAAGTAATACATGAAAGCCTCTTCCCAGACTCTCCAAATCATAGTCTTGCTCCCAAAGGGTAGCCAACACTAACACATCCATTTGTACCCTGCCATAAGTTAATTTTCTGCACTTATAATAGCGTTAGTGAAGGTGTCAGAATCCACCTTGAGATCTGCCTCATATCCATTCATTTCCTTTACACACGTTGATATGATTATATATGACTCTCTTCATGTGGTCATTACTATACATGAATCTCCTCTATTTCTAGTTAGCTGCCTCATGTAATTCTTGTTATATCATGTGCCATAATCTGTCCCCTTGTGGTGGACACTTAACTTCTTTCTAGTTATTTCTGCTCTTACAAATAAGCTCCGCAAGAATGGGAACTTCATCTTCTTCAGAGCCATTTCCCCAGCACCTCGTATACTATCTAGTGGGCAGCAGGGCTCAGCAAATACTTGTTAAAAAGAGGAATCTAAGAATAAAGGAAGGAGTCCTCCCGTGAACATTTGTGTACGCATCATCTTCACTTCTGCTAGTATACGTCAGAGTAAATTCCTAGAAGCACTACTGTTGAATAAAAAGATGTGTGGATTTAATTTCAATAAATATGGTCATCCAAAGAGACCATAGCAAATTGAACCCACAGAATTACACTGTTGCATAAGGGGTATATTTAAAACTCCTTATTTAAATGGTAAGCTCCTTTAAAGATGAAAACAAATGCCAGGCGCTGTGGCTCATGCCTGTAATCCCAGCACTTTGGGAGGCAGAGGCTGGCACATCACTTGAGGTCAGGAGTTTGAGACCAGCCTGGCCAACATGGTGAAACCCTGTGTCTACTAAAAATACAAAAATTAGCTGGGCATGGTGGCAGGTGCCTGTAATCCCAGCTACTTGGGAGGCTGAGACAGGAGAATCACTTGAACCCGGGAGGCGGGGGTTGCAGTGAGCCGAGATTGCACCGCTGCACTCCAGCCTGGGCAACAGAGCAAGACTCTGTCTCAAAATCAATCAATCAATAAATAAAAGATGAAAACAAATTATGCTTTATTATATATTCTCCATAAGATCTAACACATTGCTTTGCAAGTAGCAAATAGGTATTTCATAAAAGTTTTTTGAAGGATAATTAATATGCCAGGATATAAAAAGGGCTTAATTCAGGAGGGGGAAAATGATAATTGCTTTAAGCAGCACATTTTAAAAAATCCATAAGTTAACCCAATTAACCAGAGCCCATAAATAGAAGAGGGAAAGACAGATTTTCTTGTGGTGGGGAGGTACAAGGGAGAGTAGGAGATGCTGAGTTGTGAAAAGAGCGTTTACACACATAAAACTCCACCATGCGAGGGTCTACTTTAGTGTCTGAATAGTAATGAAATTGACTCTATGATTTCTTTGATGCCTTCTATATCTAAGAAAGCCAAATGTGTAGCATATTGCGTTTAAAATTAGATTGAATATAAATTAATTTGATTTCAAAAATTATGGAAGAATGCCACTTGAATTCTACAAATTCATTAGCAAATTGTATTTGCAAATCCCAGCTTGGAAGTAAATCAATCCTTTAAACAAAGAAACACAAAGAAGTGACAAAAAAAAGTTCAGATTGAACTCTCAAGCCTGTGTGTAATCAGGACTCCAGAGTACAGGGCAGAAGTCACCCAGGGGCCTGAACGTCCCCCTCAGTGGGGCCCCCTCACCCCACCCGGAGCCCCTGGAAAAACCTGTTAAAAGCAGGCATTCTTCACCTTGAGGCTCTCGCCTTGAAGGAAAGTCTAAAAATGACAAGCCCAGTCGTGGAATGAGGAATATCCCACACACTGCCACGCCTTGTTCCAAAATTAGACTTTGTCATAGACACTGATCTCAAAGGTGGCAAAAATAGCTATAGCTGCTCAGGGGAGTGCCTGAGCTGTCCTGAAGTTTTGCTGCGGCTTCTCCAGCAAGGCAGCTGGCAGCTGGTGCAAGACAGTCCTCGCCTCCCCGCCTCATTCACAGTTAGTGCTCCACCTCATACTCCAGGCCCACCCCCACTTCTTCCAGCACCCCCTTTAGAGTGAATAATAACAATGCATTGAATTTTTAAAGTGGAAATGTAGACGAGAAATAATAAAGTGGCAAGACTGCTATCTAAAGCCAAAACTACACAAATAAATGAGATTTCATTTAACAGTGATTTTTCATATATATATATATATATATATATATATATATATATATATATATATATATAATTTATTGAAACAAGGTCTTGTTCTGTTGCCCAGGCTGGAGGGCAGTAGCACTATCATAGCTCACTGCAGCCTGGATCTCCTGGACTCAAGTCATCCTCCCACCTCAGCCTTCCCAGGAGCTAGAACTGCAGGCATGCACCATCATGCTGGGCTAATTTTTAAATATTTCTAGAGATGGGGTCTCCCTATGTTTCCCAGGTTGGTCTCTAACTCCTGGCCTCAAACAATCCTCCTGCCTTGGCCTCTCAAAGTGCTAAGATTATAGGCATGAGTCACTGTGCTCAGCCCTAACAGTGATTTTTTAAAAAGATATATTATACATTGATAGATGCTTCTGAAAGGTACTCTGATTATCAAGGTCATTTGAAAATGCTGAGACCGGCCAGGTGCAGTGGCTCATGCCTGTGGTCCCAGCACTTTGGGAGGCTGAGGCGGGCAGACCACAAGGTCAGGAGTTCAAGGCCAGTCTGGCCAACATAGTGAAACACCGTCTCTACTATAAATACAAAAAATTAGCCAGGCGTGCTGGCAGGTGCCTATAATCCCAACTACTAGGGAGGCTGAGGGGGAAGAATCGCTTGAACCCGGGAGGCAGAGGTTTCAGTGAGCTGAGATCATGCCATTGCACTCCAGCCTGGGCTACAGAGTGAGAGTCTGTCTCAAAAAAAAAAAAGGGAAAAAAAAGGGAAAATGCTAAGACCATGCTCAGTGGGGACATAAGAGCTTTAAAACCCTTCAAAGGAGTGAGGCATCATGGCCAGAGGTAGAGTTTTGGAACCAGATAAAACCACCCTGCATTCCTGGCTCCAGTAGTAATGAGCTACGTAGCTGCAGACAAATGACTTCGCCATGCTGAACATCCCTTTTCTCATCTATATCATAGGACAGTGATTCCTTCCAGGTCAGGGATCATGAATATTCTTTTCCATTGTAAGCCCTGTAGGAGCATAGGCCTCAAGTGTCTACTTGCCACGGTATCCTGCCACACAAAACAGAACATAGTAGGTTCTCAATAAACATGTTTAAATGGTCAAATGAATGAGAGTGAACAAATGAATCTACCTCAGAGTTATTGTGGTGATTAGAGAAAAGGCAAGTAAAGTATCTGCTATATTGTAGGAGGCCTGAAAAATAACAGTGGCTATTATTACTAAAGAGTTGGGCATATAGTAGATGTTCAATAAATACATCGTATTACTAGCAAGTGCCATAAAGTAGGAAAAATATTTAAAAGTGAAAAATCAAACCACTAAGTAAATATTATTCCAGAAAGTTTCACAGTGCAGGGGACAGACACTGAGGTGGCCCCATGATCTCATCCTCCTGGTGGGCATACCCTTGTGTGGTGCCCTTCCTTTGTATGCACAGGGCTTATGATTTGCTTTTAGTCAACAGACTGGCTGGGTACAGTGGCTCATACCTGTAATCTCAGCACTTTGAGAGGCGGAGGAAAAAGGTTTGCTTAAACCCAGAGTTTGAGACCAGCCTGGGCAACATTATAGGGAGACCTCATGTCTACAAAAAATAAATAATAAATAAAAGGAACCAGACATGGTGATGCATGCCAGTAGTCCTAGATACTCAGGAGGCTGAGGTGGGAGGAGGTCGAGGCTGCAGTGAGCTGTGATTGCACCACTGCAGTTCAGCCTGGGTAACAGAGCAAGACTCTGTCTCCAAAAAAAAAGAAAAAAAAATCGACAGACTATGGCAGAGTGATAAGATGAATAAAATAATCCTTCCATGATTGTGATACATAGGATTGTGCCCTCTTGCTGGCTTTGATGAAGTATGTGGCTGTGCTGGCAAGGTCCATGTGGCCAGGAGCTGAGAGTGGCCTCTGTCCAACAGCCAGCAAGAAACTGTAGCCCTCAATCCCACAACCCCAAGTAGCTAAATTCCACCAATAACCATGTGAGCTTGAAAGTGGATCCTTGGCTGGGCGCAGTGGCTCACGCCTGTAATCCCAGCACTTTGGGAGGCCAAGGCGGGTGGATCATGAGGTCAGGAGATCGAGACCATCCTGGCTAACAAGGTGAAACCCCGTCTCCACTAAAAATACAAAAAAATTAGCCGGGTGTGGTGGCAGGCGCCTGTAGTCTCAGCTACTCGGGAGGCTGAGGCAGGAGAATGGTGGGTGAACTCAGGAGGCGGAGCGTGCAGTGAGCCGAGATAGCGCCACTGCACTCCAGCCTGGGCGACAGAGTGAGACTCCTTCTCTACACAAAAAAAAAAAAAAAAGAAAAAAAAAAAAAGAAAGTGGATCCTTCCCCACTTTTACCTTGAGATGAGACTGCAGCCCCAACAGAAACCTACATTACAGGCTTGTGAAAAACTGGAGAGGAAGGTCCACTATGCTATGCCAAAACTCCTGACCCACAGAAACTGTGAAATAATAAATGGATGTTGTTTTAATGGTGCATAGTTTGTGGTACTTTGTTACATGGCAATAGAAAATTAATTTATATAGTAATATAGACATCAGTTAGCCACAGCATCAGTAGCAAGGTCCCAGAGAAAGATGTGTGAGGACAGACACTACTGGGTGTATCTAAGCATTGCCTTGTCAGGATGCAAGATCAGCACTGCCAGAGCTTTGCACTTTTCAAGAAAATATAAAAATCTGAGATTTATGTGTTAGCTCTCAATTTTTAAATGTTGGTCACTAATTTGGAGTTTTCAGAATAACAGTGAGTTAATCTCATGTAGGATAAAGAAAACGTGTCTAGGGGCTTGATTCAAAGATACAGTGTAAGGCAGGGGTTATGTCAGCACACCTGTTCCAAATTTGAGCCCTAATACCTTCTAAGCTGGTGGTTTGGGGTCTTCAATGCAAGAGTTTTCATGAGGTTTAGAAATTACACAAAATGTCCTTAACACATTGTCTGTTACAGAGCAGAGATATAACACATTCTTGTTTTGTTATTATTATTATATTAGTTTTCTATGGCTGTCGAAACAAATTACCAGCAAGTGGTGGCATAAAACCACACAAATTTATTGTCTTACGGTTCTAGAGGCCAGAAGTCCCAAATCAGTTTCTCTTGGCTGTGGTCAAGGCATCAACAGGGCTGGCTCCTTCTGGAGGTTCTGGGGGAGAACCTGTTTTTATGCCTTTTTTTTTTTGAGATGGAGTCTCGCTCTGTCACCAGGCTGGAGTGCAGTGGCGCAATCTTGGCTCACTGCAACCTCCACCTCCCAGGTTCAAACAATTCTCCTGCCTCAGTAGCTGGGACTACAGGCACACGCCACCACGCCCAGCTAATTTTTGTATTTTTAGTAGAGACAGGGTTTCACCATGTTGGCCAGGCTGGTCTCAATCTCTTGACCTCGTGATCCACCCACCTCGGCCTCCCAAAGTGTTGGGATTACAGGCATGAGCCACTGCGCTAGGCTGTTTTTATGCCTTTTCTAACTTCTCAAGGCCACAAACATCTTTTGGCTCACAGTCCCTTCTTCCACCTTCAAAGCCAGCTGCGTGGCATTTTAAAATCTCCCTCTCCACCCCTTCTCTATCTCTGTCTCTCTGCTTCCACCATTGCCTTGCCCTCTGTTTGACTCCTCTTGTTTCCCTCTTCTGAAGACAATTGTGATTATATTCGACCCACCTGGATAGACCAGGATACTGTCGCCATCTCAGGATCCTTAACTCGATCACACCTGCAAAGTCCCTTTTGCCTTGTAAGGTAACATTCACAGACTGCATAGATTAGAATGCGGGCGTATTTGGGGAGCCATTATTCAGCCTCCCACAACTGTTACTATTATTATCGGACCCACAGGCCCCTTCTTTATGAGTTTTGGGATTGAGGGTCATAAGGCTGACTGAAATCAATTCACTCCAGGCTGTAATTTCAGCCTGGTATTGGCCCCACAGTGCAACATTCTGTCTGTAGACACACTCTTGGGAATTTTACAACAGTGACAGTAAACAATGAGTTAGGACTTCCTAATAGTGAGGCTATGGCCAGATATGAGTTTTGCCGTCTTTCTCCGGTTATGAACTTGGCCATCTCATAGAAGCAAGTCAGCAGTCATATAAAGGCAATTCCTAGTGGGGAATGTAGCCAGGGCTATGTGGATCCACTCTTAATTACCAGAAAAGGCAAAACAATAACCGAGGCAGGGTGAGCCAGTAATGTTGCCTTCATTTGTTTTATTTTAGCATGGTATCCCCTAATCAGAGATTGACTAAAGTACATTGATTTTAAGCTTTTCACAATCCCTCGTTTAACTCCTTAAGATTCAGATCCATGTTGAAGCTTACTCATTTCCATCTATAACAGGATGCCGTGGCTTTAAAAATCACATTTATTTTATAGAACCCATTAAGCATACAGCAAATTAAGAGCAAGTGACATTATTTTCTAGTTAAATTTGCAAAGGGATAATCCAAACGATTTACTCATATTCCTGATTAATTTTTAGCGGAAATAATGAGGAGGTTGTAAATGGAAAAACATGTGCATGAGCATGCAGAACCCGCCTTTCAAGTACAAAACAATTTATGCTAATTGATGGCTCTACGAACAAGACAATCTTAGACAAACTTCTTCAGGTGCCTAAAGGGATCTAATGGAATAGCCGCACAACACTAATACAATGACATGTTGCCCTGTAAGTTTTCAGTGACTTGAATTCTACTTCACAGCTCGCTCTCACTCTCTCTCGCATTCCCCTCCCTCTGTCTCTCTCCATCCATCCACTGATGTCTCTTTATTGAAATATCCAGAATTTCTAAGTACATGGGAAAATAAATACCAAGATTGTATTAGTTCGAAAAGAAAGTCTTCCTGGAAGGCTGCTTGGAAAGAAAAGCAAATCCTTAAAAGCATTCTCAGACTTTGATTCAGCAATCAAGTTTTAAGAATTTATCTTAAACAGATAGTCATTGATGCATACAGACTGAGCATCAAGCTGATGCACAGGTTTTTTGTTGTTGTTTTATGTATACATATAAACTCAAATATAAATATATATAACCATATATATAAATAAATATATATAACCATATATATATGTATATATATTAGAGATGGGGTCTCCCTTTGTCACCCAGACTGGAGTGCAGTGGCGGGAACCTAGCTCACTGCTGCCTTGAATTCCTGGGGCCAAAGTATCCTCCTGCCTCAGCCTCCTGAGTAGCTGGGAGGACAGGCACAAGCCACTGTACCTAACTAGTTTTTAAATTTTTTGTAGAGACCAGATCTTACCATTTTGCCCAGACTGGTCTCAAACTTCTGGTCTCAAGTGATCCTCCTGCCTAGGCCTCCTAAAATATTGGGATTACAGGTGTGAGCCACCGTACCCAACCTTGATGCATAGTTTTAAAAATCTATGAAATATCCATATAATAAAATAGGACCACAAAATATGATGTTGCAGATGATATTTAAAGAGACAATATATAGACATTTTCTTGCAAAAAGCTAGCACAAGCAATGTATTCAATATAATTCTATTTTCTACATCCACCTAGTTAAAATACTGGAAAGCTACCCACTCAAAAGTGAGAAACAGGTATGTTCTTGTGTGGCGGGCAGAGGGATGACTTACTATGTTCTTTTTGTTCTGCTGTGTTGTCTACAATTTTTCAATAATGTGTAGATTCCTTTTGAAATAAGAAAATAATAAATATAATGATTTCTTATAGTTTCTTATAGTAGGTTCTAATTCTCTAAAATCTATTAAATTATATCATTCCCCATTCCTTCTCAATCTAATTTTACATTTGCTCTACTTAGACATTTAGAAAGAGAGAGAGATGGCGAGAGAGAGAGAGATGGCGAGAGAGAGAGAGAGGTGACGAGAGAGAGAGAGAGAGAGAGAGAGATGAGGCGCAGATGTAAATGGGCTTAGATGTTGTTACTAGATAATCCTCCAGCCATTTTCATCAGCCATTGCTAGGATCAATCTGGACCAACCAGTCTGCTCAGCTATTAACAGCAATGCTAATGATGGCTCAGCTATTAACAACAGTAATAACAGCTACAGTTCATGGAAAGCTATATAATGAGCTCTGGGCTGAACATGTTATGAGCATATCTCACTTAAACTTTAAGAGGGGTCTTTAAGATAAATACTATTACCCTTCCCATTTTACAAAGGAGAAAACTGGAGCTCAGGGATATCAAGAACTTTGTTCTCCTCCACAAAGCTGGAATGTTTCAGAAATGGTGTTGGAACTAAGTCTGGCTTCACGGGCCATGATCTTGAACACTGTATGATGGCACTGAAATTTATCTCTGTTTTATCTGTTTCTACCCCTAAATTAGTTATATTAGTCACAGTTTTCCAGAAACAGAGTAAATAGGATATATACACCAAGATATGCAGTCTGAAGGCCTGAAAGCCAATGGTGATGGTTTCTGGTCTGGATTTGAAGGCCAAAGGAGACCAATGTCCCAACTCAAGACCACAAAGAGAGCTAATTCTCTCTTACCCTCCTTTTGTTCTATTCTGGCCTCCATCAGATTGGATGAGGCCCACTCACATAGCAGAGGGCAATTTGCTTTACTCAATCTATCATTTCAAATATTACTGTCACTCAGGAACACCCTCAGAGACATACTCACAAGAAAGTTTAACCAAATATCTAGGCACCCTGTGTCCCAGTCAGGTTGACATATAAAAACAACCATCAGAATCCCTTAATTCATTCCAGGCCTCCTCAGCATGCCCACGTCCACCACCTCTGAAATCATACACAAGTCTTCAAGCCTGGTTTCTCGCAAATGCTTACGTCAGCACTGGCTCACGGGGGCAGGCACTTGCTCTTTTCCAAGTATAAGCTCTGTCCTGCGGCCCAAATCCAGCCTGCTGACTGTTTCTGAATGACCCATATGCAAAAAACAAACAATGAAAAAAACCTGCACTTTTTAATGGTTGAGAGAAAATCAACAGAAGAGTAATATTTCCTGACATGTGAAAATTATATGAAATTTGTATCTCAATGTCCATTAATAAAGTTTGTTTTGAGACATGGCCATGCTCATTTGATTACATCTTTCCAATAGCTGCAGCTGTGCTACAAGGGCAGTTAAGTACTTGCAGGCCATGTTAGTCCACAAAGCATAAAACATTTACTGTCTCTTTACAGGAAGATTTGCTGACCCCGGCTCTAAAATCCCGGATTGCTGCCTATAGACGTCATTTGGGAATAACCCGGGGCTGTGTTGGAACAGATCACATTACTGGCATGCTTTGCCCCTCCACTCTTTAAATCCAACCACCCCACATGTTTCAATCATAAAGTTTCAAACTACCCTAATCTTGCCAACGCAATTCCTTTTTGTTTTGTATATTTCCTTCCAGATGTGAAGCTCTATATATACATTTGCAGCCACAACGCATGATGTGCATTACTTAAGTGTTGTGCATTCATTTATGATTTATGATTTCATGAATTTACCCTCCTTAAAGAAAAAACTCATGAACATAATTATTATTATTTTTTTTAAATTTTTAGGCAGTGTCTCTCTTTGTCACTCAGGCTGAAGTGCAGTGGCACAAACTCGGCTCACTGTAGCCTTCACCTCCTGGGCTCAAGTGATCCTCCTATCTCAGCCTCTTGAGTAGCCGGAACTACAGTCGCATACCACCACACCTGGCTAATTTTTGTATTTTTGTAGAGACAGGGTCTCCCCATGTTGTCCAGGCTGGTCTCAAACTTCTGGGCTCAAGCAATCAGTCTGCCTCAGCCTGATTACAGTTCTGGGATTACAAGAGTGAGCCACCGCACCTGGCCTCATGAACATAATTATTTATGTAATCCAAGTCCCCAGCACAGTGTAAAGCAAAGAGTAAGTGTTCTGAGGGCATGTTTATGTGTGCTATGTGTTTATGTTTGGGCATCTTTATATACCGATGACTGTGAAGAGATGGCACACGCATGGCTGTGGGTAGCAGTTCACCCGCAGACAGGTTCTCTTTGACCCACAAAGTGTTGCACTCTTAACTAGAATTAATTTCCAACAGTTACCAACTAGCAGGTATTACATATAGACTCAAATCTTTGGCTTCCCTTGAAAAATCAAGGGATCTACCTAGATGGATGTCACAATCTCTTGTTCTCATGTCAACAGTTGTCTGGTCTTGGGCTTTTGACATTTCACTCCAGTTTCCCTCAGCCCTCTTCTTTCATTTACATTTTTCTCTCTGGCCCCTGTTGACATTTGAAATAACTTCTGACATAGCAAGACATATCTCCATAGGTAGATGATCCACATGGTTGTGTCTATAGATGTCTGTACACACGCAAATTAGTTTTACACACCCTTACGATTGAGTTGTAAAGTAGATAATGGGGATGTATGGCCAAGGTATTACCAACGGCCCACATCAGGCATTCTGGAATGCCATTTAATCCAAGTGATACACTGTTGAGAAGAGGAATCAGTCATCTGCTCAAATAATGCTGACCATATTTTCCAGCACAAAAATGACCCAATTGCTTTCTGCAGTGATAGGCACTGGGACACGAGGAAGAAATTCCAAACGTACCATCGAGTTTTTCACACTCTGTAGCAAGCGCTCGTGCTGCTCGGCTATGGCCAAGGCAGCAGAGTGGACTTTCTGATAGATGGCCTCCCCGTCTCGGGTCTGAAAGATAAACAGCCCTTCACCAGTCTCACACATCCTGTGAAAACAAAAACAAAACAGCTTCTGAAAATCCAGCGCCTAGAAGTTCAATGCACCAAGATCCTGGCATACTCCATTAGGCTGCGCCCATTTATTATTTTTTATTCTTGTTCACATTTGTTAAACAAAGTTAACTAGAATCGGAATGTTCAAAGTGTTCAATTAATTGTTATTAACAAGGGCAGGGGACCAAGGGACTCCAGGCTAACCTGTGCTGAATGGTTTTATCACAAAGTAAAACAGAAATTTTTTTTAAAAAAAAGCTGTTTCTTGATTTGCAGTATAATAAATACTTCACCTTCCCTATCCTTCACCTTGCCACTCTCAAAGAGAAATACCTGTGCAAGCGTATTCCTTTGTACAGTCTGTGAATAGCTCCTCATCAGAAACTGCCAGCGCAGAGAGACAGAAAGATTCTATGTCTCTTAGATTCTGTTCTCGCTTTCCCTACAGACCATGACTTTAAGGATTCTTTCCTTCCTAAAATCCTAGATCAAATATTACTCCAGCTTTCATTCAATGTGATGGATCAAATGCAGTTAATTTTTTTTTCAATGAGCATGACTGTGCTGAATTAATATTTGGAACATTAGAGAAGTTCTTCACGGAAAGTTGTATGGTTTTGATAATTAACATCAAGTGTTAAGAAGAACGGTATCTGTACCTCAGATGGTAAAGGTAAACAAAGAGAAATAAATTTCATTAATAAGGGAAGACTGGTACACACAATTAGGCAAGAAACAAATAAATGCTTTTTACTTAAATATATTTTAGTATATGTATGTGTATATATATGCTCTCTATATATTTTAGTGTGTGTATATATATGCTCTCTATATATTTTAGTGTGTGTGTATATATGCTATATATATATTTTAGTGTGTGTATATATATAAAACTACACTAAGATATATTTAATTATTATAAATATTTTTAAAGAACTTGGACAAAATCATATGCAGGGATATTAAAAGAAGCTCTGAATTTGATACATACATATGCCAACAGTAAACTAAGAGGTTGTTTTGTTTGCTTGCTTGTTTTAAAGAGCCGAATTATTCTAAGACACAACGCCACTCCTTCCATTTCAGAATTTCTTGCTGAAAAACTGAACGGTAGCTTCAGTGCCTGAATTTTGCTCCCATCTAAAGAACTGTTTAACACAGCATAGAAACTAAGCAAATTCTCAGCCTAAACCACTGTTATTTTTTTTAGTCTAGCCCAGTCTATGCAGTTAATGCAATAATACGAGGAAGATGTATCTAATGTTTCGCAGTTGGCCCAGTACCACAGCCAAATGACAGCCTTCTATACATATGGCATGGCCTAAGTAGTGGGCCAAAACCCATTACATTTGAATTAAATTTCATGAATTTTATGAATATGAGCCATGTATGAAGAAACAGAGGGAGTTTGGGTGTGGTGGCTCACACCTGTAATCCCAGCACTTTGGGAGGCCAAGGTGGGCGGATGATCTAAGGTCAGGAGTTCGAGACCAGCTTGGCCAACATGGTGAAACTCTGTCTCTACTAAAAAATACAAAACTTAGCCAGGCATGGTGTGGGGGGCACCTGTAATCCCAGCTACTCTGGAGGCTGAGGCAGGGAGAATTGCTTGAACCTGGGAGGTGGAGGTTGCAGTGAGCTGAGATCATGCGACTGCACTCCAGCCTGGGTGACAGAGAGAGGTGCCATCCCCCCACCAAAAAAAAAAAAAAAGAAGAAGAAGAAATAGAGGGAAAAACATGAAGGCTCTTTCAATAAGCTAATCTAAAGAACTAGCTCATGAGGTTGATCATGTGATTTTAATTATTAAGTCATTTTAACCCAAAGAAGATCTGAAACTGAAATTCAAGGCATTTTCAGTAAAGTCCCATTTCTTCCCTGAAGACATCTTAAAATACTTAAACCCTTTCTACTTCCTCTTCCTTATTTAAGCCGCCATACAAACTTGACTCTATTGTTTGGCATCCAATTCTGTAAGGTTTTGTTTTTCATACATCTTTATTCCATCAATTAGGAAATATTAATTTGTCAAGAGAAGGAAGTAATCTTAATCAATTCTTTAAGAGGAAAAAGTGGCCACTGGTTTCCCCTGGGGCAGAGGTCACTGTATATTTATTTACTTCCTTAAATGCCAACCTTGGTTCCAGAAGTAATGAAGGTACCTGTTACTCAGAAATACTTGTAGTGTGACAGATTAATACCAAAACTTGCAGCTATGTTTCTCAAGCTTGGACAATCTAGTTGCTTTCAAAGTCTTTGTTAACTGCAACCCGCCGTAGGAAATGTAGTTTAGATTTTTAGCCAGTATACCTATCAATCTATCATCAATCTATAACATGCTATTATTTTCTATTCTATCTTATTTGTAATACTAGTGGTGGAATGCTTAATTTATATCATAACCCATTAATTAATTTTACTCTTGGAAAATCACTCTTACCCAATGCCCACTTTGTTTTGTTTTGTTTTGTTTTGTTTTGTTTTGTTTTGTTTTGTTTTAGATGGAGTCTCGCTCTGTCGCCCAGGCTGGAGTGCAGTGGTGCGATCTTGGCTCACTGCAACCTCCACCTCCCGGGTTCAAGCAATTCTTCTGCCTCAGCCTCATGAGTAGCTGGGACTACAGGCATGTGCCACCACTCCCAGCTAATTTTTGTATTTTTAGTAGAGGTGGGGTTTCACCATTTTGGCCGCTGGTCTCGAACTCCTGACCTCGTGATCTGCCCACCTCTGCCTCCCAAAGTGCTGGGATTACAGGCATGAGTCACTGCACCCGGCCCCCAATGCCCACTTTTAAGAAACATAATAAATCCACAACCTTCCCTTAATGACATTTAAATCTCTAAATAAATATTGTTATCAAAAACAAATGAAACCAAAACTATAGGACTAAACATTCTTCTTTAATGTACATGGACTTCCCTCTCCTCTGCCTGAAGATCTGGAACACACACACACACACACACACACACACACACACCACTTACCACTAACAGAAAACAACAGGAGACACAACCTCAAATTCCATTAGAGTTCAGGCAGAGAACGTGAATGCATAAAGGTGCTCAAACTCACTATGACCTAGGGTAGAGGTAGCGCAGCTAGCAGAGAGCACAGGTCCTGTCTAAGCATGGTATCCAGAAGTCAGCCCTAGACAGGAGTCTATGTGGGGGAATGGGGAAATACGCGTCCAAGGTACTCACAGTTTCTGATTGTTTAGACAGGTTAGATAGCTGACAGTAGGTCACAAAGCTGGTGAGATGGCAGGCCAGCCAGGTGATCCCTGATCAAGCTCCTGCATTCTATTATGTTTAAGAGAAGCAAGACTTCTTGACTTTTATGTGAAGTCACCTGAATTTTATATGTCAGCAACTTGTTTCATTTTCTTTTTAAGTTGTGAGAGTCAAAAGGCCTTAATCAACCAGATCTGGCCAAGAAATCACCACTGTGCATTAAAGACACAAAATGCATTAAGAGCTCTAAATAGAACAGAAATGAGGCCTTTGGTGTAAATTGTTAGGACTTTTGCTCCTATTGCTCAAAGCCATGTGTCCTTCATTGGACAGCCTGACCCATGAAGATGCTAATGACCACAAACTGACCTTCAGATGCTCTTCCATCAGGTCTCTTCTATACTCTACCCACAAGTCCTTTTATCTTATCCACCCCTCCTAATTGATGTGTTTGGAACCGTTTCATAAGCAGCTTTACAACACTCTAAAATGTTACTACATGCCTCCATCAAAACCATATGATGGGCTAACTCCCCAAGGCAGTAAGAAGAAAACAAACAAACCAAAAAAAGGAAGTGAAAAGAAAGGCACATCAAACAGGCTAATGGTCTTACATAACCTCCTACAGCCATGTCTGCTTCTCGTCTCCAGAGAAAATGCAACACAGAACAAAGATGTTCTAATGGGTTTACCCTTTAGCAGAATAGCAAAGCCACCTGCTTTAACTTCTGTTGCTCCCGATTCCTCCTTTCTCTTTACCCATTGATTTTTACCCTGGATGCTCTTCCTGTATCCAAAGTGGCCCCAAGTGGCCCAAACACTCCGTACATTAATGGAAACCAGTGGATTGGAAACCCAGAGAAGGTTAAAAAAAAAGTTTAAGTTAGGCCTTTCTAATTTCCTCTGTGATGATAAGGATTCAAATATAATAATATTGCTGCCATATAGATGCAGGTATAGTTTTGAGTTTCCCAATAATTGCCTAAATGAAATGCCTGTCACTCCGAATCATGGATTATTCAATTATTCAAGAATTCAGAAGGAACCAATAGCTCAGAAAATGTTGGGAAGGATTCATTCTTCCACCTACCAAAGGCAACATAATAGAATGCAGGAGCTTGACCAGGGATCACCTGGCTGGCCTGCCATCTCACCAGCTTTGTGACCTACTGTCAGCTATCTAACCTGCCTAAATCTGCATTTTTATATGTAAACAAATGTAATGCTAAGAACTCTCACCTAGATTTACTGCAAGTATTAAATAGGATATGTAGAGTACACAATTACATCTTGAAGTAAAGAGAGCTTCCATTACTTTACCAGAATGTAAGCTCCCTGTAGACGGGGATTTTGTTCTGATATACTCGCAGCTTTTCCACTAATGCCTAGAGCATGGCTTGGTTTACATTTCATGTTCAATAAATAACTGTAGAATGAATTGTGAAGCAGAAGGCAGTGCTAGGAAAAGCATCACCGGGAACCTGACCCAGGCTTCCTTGAGCAACTTTTACTGACACTGAGAATTCATTGAGTTACCCTGGGGAGGGGAGTGGTTTGAGAAAGAAGGCAGGAAAAACAGCCTTGACAGACAGAACTGCACATATAAAGCTTTAAGGTGGGACACAGGTAAGTGAAGCCAACATGTTGGGGAGGTGGTGGGAAGAGGGGTAGCCTGCGGGGCTGAGCCCCCAGTGGACAGAGCACAAGTGTGCATGTGCTGGGACTGTGATCCTGGGTACTGTGAAGATTCAAGACCAAGACACTATGGTTCATATGCACTGAGTGCCCAACTTCAGAAACTCTGTTCTCTCGTTTTGCCCATAACATTGCACACTAACATATCTTATTAGAAAAATACTAATGGGGTTGAAATTATGAAAACTAAAATAAATTATCTCATGGTAGACAGAATGAATAAGTAAACATTTGAAATCAGTAAGCCAATAAGTTTCATATTTTCTTGCTTCCAAGATGTATTCTGTGCACATGGCTCTCTCTGTCTCTCTCTCTCTCTGTGTGTGTTTGTGTGTGTGTGTGTGTGTAGAATATATGGACACTGCCAAAAGCAGAACACATTTTGACCTCAACGTGTGTGTGTGTATACGTGTGTGTGTGTGTGTGTGTGTATATATATATATTTTTTTTTTTTGAGACACAGTCTTGCTCTGTTGCCCAGGCTGGAGTGCAGTGGCACCATCTTGGCTCACTGCAACCTTTCCACCTTCCAGGTTCAAGCAATTCTCTGCCTCAGCCTCCTAAGTAGCTGGGATTACAGGCACCTGCCACCACGCCTGGGTAATTTTTATATTTTTAGTTGAGATGGGGTTTCACCATCTTGGCCAGGCTGGTCTCGAACTCCTGACCTCGGGTGATCCATCCACCTCAGCCTCCCAAAGTGCTGGGATTACAGGCATGAGCCACCGTGCCCGGCCAACATGTATATTTAAGGTAAGCTTTTCTTTTTCCCTACCCCTGCCAAGGCAGCTATTAAATCAATGTTGTATTTTACATTTACAATTACGTTATAATTGAAAGAATAAGGTACTTGTTACACCTATCAGAGACAAAGCATAACAGCCGCTGTGAAGGATGTAAACATAGGCTTTCTCTTTGAGGAGCTGAGAATTAATTTGGAGAGACAAGATCTACATATGCAAAACATTTGAGAATAATATCATGGTTGCATGAGCCATACTGATGCGGCAATTAAAAAAGGAAATGTACAGTTGAGAAGAGGGGTGGGTGTCAGCGTTGGGAAAATGAAAATCTGGAATCCAAAAACCTGAGAGAAACAGATCCGAAGCACCTGACAGAGAGGGATATAAAATTAAAAGTAAAAAAAAAAAAAGCACAGAATGTTTACTTTTGTCTGTGAAAGTGAGGCAAACTAAAAATACAGTTTGAGGCCGGGGCGCGGTGGCTCATGCCTGTAATCCCAGTACTTAGGGAGGCCGAGGTGGGTGGATCACTAGGTCAGGAGATCGAGACCATCCTGGCTAACACGGTGAAACCCCGTCTCTACTCAAAATGCAAAAAATTAGCCGGGCATGGTGGCGGGCGCCTGTAGTCTCAGCTACTCGGGAGGCTGAGGCAGGAGAACGGCGTGAACCCGGGAGGCGGAGCTTGCAGTGAGCCGAGATCGCGCCACTGCACTCCAGCCTGGGCGACAGAGCAAGACTCCGTCTCAAAAAAAAAAAAAAAAAAAAAAAATACAGTTTGAACAAGTGGAGTACAATCCCCTCCCCCTCCCCCTGAGGCTATAGCAAGGCCAACAACACTATGACAAGAAAACGTACTTTCACAGACATGAGATGAAGAAGCAAGAGGCTTAGCCACGTAGGTTCTAGGAGTTTCATTGTGAGGAATAAATTTGGGAGGAATTTCTAAGGAGCTTGTAATACGGACTTGATCTCAGCTCTACTAAAGTCAGCAACACTGACGTGGTCTGATCGTGCTTTGTTATTAGGGCTGTCCTGGGCGTTGTAGTTTACTGAGCAGCATCCCCGGCCTCTACTCACTAGATGCCAGTAGTACCCTGCAGTTTAACAACCAAAAGTGTCTCCAGACATTGACAAGTATCCCCAGTTGAAAATCATTGAAATAGACCAAAATGAGGACAAGGGAGAACCCAGGTAATGAATACCTGGTAAGAGGTTTTCTATACAAGGCAGTGTCCGAGTTTAGGGAACTGTTGCTTCAGTACAGACTGGGATGACAAGGACATTCTGTGGTTGACTATCTTTGTTGTCTTTCCTGTTCCAATCACTGGCATTGCTGCCTGGTTGATCTCAGCTTAAGACAAAGCAGCAGTCTATTCTCCTAGTGCCCCGTGTGTGTACTCGCTGGAAATCAGGGGAATCTGGCCCACCTGCTACTGCAATTGTTTTCCTAGCCCTTTCTATGACTGGTAGGGTGAGAAATGGGAATTGATGTGAGATAACACATCATGTATCACTTGCCACTCAGGATTCTGAGCATGGGACAGCTGGCGACATCCATCATTCACAAACAACTTTCATGATGGTTGTCAAATCTTTGTGCCACCTACGTGATTCATTTTTAATCAACTTGCTTTATTTTCCTTAAACGAATATATTTTTGTAAGTTAGAATCATCACATCAATAGCAAACCAGTATCCCCTGTTATAAATTGAAAGCAGACTTAAAAAATACATTAAAAGTCTGGGCGCGGTGGCTCATGCCTGTAATCCCAGCACTTTGGGAGGCCTAGGCGGGTGGATCACAAGGTCAGGACTTCAAGACTGCCTGGCCAAGATGATGAAACCCCATCTCTACTAAAAATACAAAAATTATCCAGGCATGGCGGTGTGCGACTATAATCCCAGCTACTCGGGAGGCTGAGGTAAGGAATTGCTTGAACCCGGGAGGTGGAGATTGCAGTGAGCCGAGATCACGCCACTGCACTCCAGCCTGGGCAACAGAGAGAGATTCCATCTAAAAAAAATACATTAAAAAATTGTTATCAAATTCTGCTACATCCTCTTGCTGTCAAAGATTTGAGCTAGAAGTTTGCTCACTTCTTAGTAACACAGGTACATTAGAAAGTTTTAGAGATGTGTGTCAGGCATGCGGCATCCAACTGAAATGTTTCTCCATTATTCAACCAAAAAGATCAAAAAGTAAATGGAAAAGAAAATGACTATCACCGTGAGACTCATATTTATTTAACATCGCCTCTACTGCCCAAAATCATACCACATTTTTGGAAACACAGGTCTAGTTCCTAGAGCCCTGCTCCAGGTGATGTGGAGCTATGTCTGGAAGATAAGAAGTCTCAATCCCAGCTCCCTCCCATGATGCAATCACGACCCTGGACAAGTGCCTTGACTTCTCGAAGTCTCCATGACTTCATATTTCAAATGTGAATAACAAGGTTTCCCAAACCACACAGAATGGTGAGAGATTGCATTTTGTATTTAGCAAAGGATCCGGCATCAAATAAGCATTTAATTAGAATTTGTTGTTGTTGCTATTTTAACCCTTTAAAACGTCAAAGCCAAAGAGAACAGGACTCTTTGGAAAACCTCACGAGAGAGGCACAGCCACATATTTGCCTTGAAGGAAATGCGGGCAGCTGCAACCCAGAACAGCAGTAGGGAAGCAAGAATGACTAAGAAGTATGGGAATGGAACGTGTGTGACTGGGAGAAAGAGTGATGTGGAGGCTCATGGGTGGGTGAAAACAGAATAAAATAAACCTCTTCTTTGAGAATGAAAATATGAATTTGGAAACAGGAATCGCCCTCTAAGAAAAGGATCAGCTTTAATTAAAGAAAAACTAGGATGCAAAAATTGGGTGTTTTGTTTCTCCAGCTCCAGTGAAGTACAGTGTCTGTGCTGGAGGATTAGCACACCTTATGAGATATAAAGCTTCCTAGCTGGTGTGCAGGGTGAAGAGAAAGGCCCCAGTGCAGACTGTGCAGGGCCACACTGTGGCCCTCCTCCTGCCATTTCATCATCACTAGCACAGGTTTCCTAACAGCCAGAGTCCCCTCAAATGTGCACAGAGACCTTCGCTATCACTTTTAGATGTAAATTCTAATACTTACTGCCTGGACTTGAAGGTTGGTGGAAAAACCAACCAACAAACAGAAGAATAAATTAATTATCTGTAGTCATAGAACAAAGCTAGTATAACAGACAGTGGTTGTTTATTAATTGTATCTGTTCTTTATCACTTATGATGTGCATAAAGTCAAAGGAAGATCACTTTTTTCCATTTTTGCTTTATGATATGATCTGTCTCCTTGTGTGAAGAAAGCATTTTCACACATTCTTCCTGCAATAGCAGTTATAAGAAATGGGTTGGAATTAGCAGTGCTTTTAACAGTTCTAAACTCAAACACAATGTGTAGCTTTACTAATCTCTGACAAGATGAAATGGCAGTTTAGTAAGTGGGGTAAACTGCTGAATGAGCCCTGAAGTTAACCTTTCCAAAACTGACCTCTGGAAAATCCTCAGCCCCAGTGCTCACTCTGCACCCTTTCTCTGCAGTCTTAGCTGCTCCTGGAGGGTCCCTAACACTTCCCTTTCCCTCTTAGCCCACATCCAGTCTGTCAGTAAATCCTTCTGGCTTTAGCTTAAAAACCTATCATCATCCAAGACTTAAGACCATATTCACTGTTACCCACATGGCTACAGCCATTCTTGTCCCTCACATGAGTACTACAATACCCCGTAACTGGTTTTAGCCTGAGAAAGTCTTAAAGAAAAAAAAGATTATGTCACTTCTTTGCCTAACACCTCCAGCATAGAGAAGAATTTAACCTCATCTAAAAATAGCCCTTTGCTAGGATCTCCTGCAAGGTAATGTTTGCCTGCCTGGAAAACTTGAGCTAGACAGGAACAATATAACTCAAGATAACGGCTTCAGGTCATGTGATATCAGTCAGCCTGGAGACTGAGATCCACCAATCAATCAATCAATCACACGTACATACTGGAGCCCAGTAAAATCTTTGTGAGTGGTGGCTTAGGGGCATGTAGGTAGGCAATGCTCCATGTGTAATGTCACATGCAGGCAGGAGGAAAGCAGCATGCCTGGATTCCACAGGGAGAAGATAACAGAAGCTCCACAATTGGTACTTCTCTGGACTCCATCCTCCCATGCACTTCTTTGCTTGCTTGATTTCAATCTATATGCCCTGCTGTGATAAACCATAACTGTGTGTTTAATAGCTTTTGGTGAGTTCTGGGAGTCATTTTAGTGACTTACTAAATCTTAGGGTAGTTTTAGAAACCCATGAACTTGCAGTTGGTGTCAGAAGTGAGAGCCATCTTGGGGACTTGCTCAAACTCTGTAGTTGTCCAACTCTACACAGCCCCTGAGGGCTCCCCATCAGACTAAGACTAAAAGCCAAATTCTTCACAACCACCTTCAAGCTCCACATGGCCTGACCCCGCTGCATCTCCACCTGTGTCATGTGGCTTCCCATCCATTGATTCTGCTCAGACACATCAACCTCCTGGCTCTTCTTTGAATACTTCCTCTTCAGCATCTTCTTCCATCTTCCTTCTGGAAGGAATGCTCTTCCCCCAGATTCTTACATGGCTCACACTCTCACCTCTTAAGATTACGTACTCAGTAAAGCCAGTCCTGCTCACTCTCTTTAAAATTGCACCCCTTCTTTGGCACTGTCTATCATCCTTCCCTACTTTATTTTTCACTGTGGGACTCAATCTAACATCTATTTTACCTTTTAAAATGTTCATCATTGTCTATATCTCTCTCTTCTGTTGAGTAAGTTGTATGTTGTTTTCACTGCTACATCTGCAGTGCTTAAAACCACACCAGGCATTAGGGTGCACTAGGTGAATATTGCATAAAGGAAGGAATGATTCTTTTTTACTAGCCCTTTCTAGAATTCCAAAACACCATCTCATATAAAGTAATCACAAACACCAGTGGGCCATCACCTACATTAAAGATGGCCACAGACAAGGTATGTTGCTGAGTGCCTAATTTTGCCTCAAAGGTCAGAAAAAAGTCATCCTTTCTTTCAAGAATTTTGCATGCTATTTAATAAAATCACAGAAGCTCAGAGGTGGATAGGATCTAGCTAAGCCTCTTAGAATGGTGGCCTTGTCTTGTTTGTCTTCATACCTCTCACTTAGCACACTGTGTGGTAGACAGTAGACATGCAATAATGAAACATCTATTAAGATGATTATTAAAGAGGTTACTCCGTGGAGTAGAAAAGAGAATGCTCCCTTCTGATTTCATACATGCCTCTACTATTGGAATATTTATAATGTGTGCATTATCTTTGTAATTAAAATTATTTTTGAGGAAAATGCTAATGAATAACAAGTGGCCATTTAAATGACACAATGTTTGTTCCCTTTTTCTTACAAAAGAAGAGGACTTTACTTCTCCTGAGCAAACTTGTGTTAGATCCAGCACATTTGTATTCTAATTGTCATACTCAACATAGTTGGGGGAGCTCAGCATACTGGATTGCTTACTTGCTTTAAATTCTTCAATAAGGATAAGTGTATGCTCTGTAAAACATTCAGAAATGAGAGATTACTAAGAAGCTACCTAAGAAGATAAATTGGGAATATGTAGCTTTCAAATATGCAAATACACATATATTTCAAATATTCAAATAAATAGAAAATATTCATAAGCTATCAAAACAATTGTCATTTTACCTGTAAACTCACCAATTAAAGGAGTAAACAGTTTTTTTCTTGAATGAAAAGTTATTTCACCAATTAGGCTGGTTTTAGGGTGAAATATACAAAAAAACAAATTATTTTCTAAAGCTGTTCAGATGCCTTCATATCCAAATAAATAAAAATCTTTTTCAAAAACCGCTTGTGAACTCCATTTAAGGAAAAGTATTTGTATATGCAATTTGGATTTTCACATATTTTTGGCATACCTAAAAGTTTCTCTTAAAACGATGTCAAAAGCACAAGAGAGACTCTCTCCAGCTGGTAAAGAAAGGCACTCATGTGCGGTAATTATTTAGTACGTTCTGCCAAATGTCACCTGAGCTTCTCTGGCTCCTGCAGGTGCGAAACCCAGGGTATTAATTTAAATCAGTCAGGATGTAAGGCAAGTCTGACATTGAAGCATGCTAACTCAGCAGCAAGCTGTACAGTTAACAGAGAAAGGGACTGGACACCTGCCACCCTTCTCTACACAATCACATTGCAAGAATGGTTCCAAGGGAGATTTTGCTGCAGTTAGAACTTCATGTCAATTGGATCTTCCCATAAAAAATTAGTGCCCCTGCCAGTCTGATGTGCCGTGAGGTTTCAGGGCTTTGAAGTGGAAAGAAACAAACAAAAGACTAAGAAAACTTCAAACAAAATAAGCAATATGTCCATTAGCCCCCAAGATAAACTAATTATTCTCTGTCTCCAAGGGTAATTAATTGTGCAATTTCATCTTATTAAAAAATGTTATATTCTAATTCTGAATTTCCTCAAAAAATAGAGAATATGGTCAGATTTTATGATACCAGGAGGAGAAGGAGAAAAACACTGTGCAGAAGACCCTAATGACCTATGATCCACATAGTGCTGCCCTGGAAAGATGTATGTGCCTACACTCCAAACTAAGAGAACATACAGGGGGTTCCAAAAAGTCAAGTCAAACTAAGAACATTTATACCCCAGTGCGCAGCTCAGGAGGCATATTTACATCACCAGCATCTTTGCAAGTCTGTGGCTTATTGACAGATGCCTTCCTCACATTGAGGCAGCTTCAGTGGGAAAGGATAATATGCTCACAAGATCATCCAAAATGGATTTAGCAAGCTTTGGTTATGTAAGCATGCTTTCTCTCCCTTAGCTCTGCAGAAGTTAACTAAGAACCAGGCTAACCTCCAGTAGAAGGTGAGCCTTCTTAGAAATCTATGGAGTTTGGAAGTAAAAGATGCTTTCTCTCCCTTAGCTCTGCAGAAGTTAACTAAGAACTAGGCTAACCTCCAGTAGAAGGTGAGCCTTCTTAAAAATCTATGGAGTTTGGAAGTAAAAGATCTGAGCGTGAGTCCTGAATTTATCAGCTTTGTGTCTTCGGACCTCTTGCCATTGCCCAGGTTTCATTTTAAGAGGGAAATAACTGTATCCCCTAGTTTGTATGATAATGAGTAGCTCAAATGAGGTAATGAGCCTCTTAGTACAGAGGCTTTCATATAGTAAGGGCTCAGTAAATGGTAGTGATGATTTTCAATGGCTCATACACCTGCTAGAGTAGGGTTTCTCAACCACATGATTAGACCTGATAATCCTTTGTTGTCAAGGACTATTCTGTGCCTGTAGCAGCATCTCTGGCCCTTTTATGCACTAGATGCCAGTAACACCCCCTGCCCAGGTTGTGACAATCAAAAATGTCTCCAGACATTATCAAATGTCCCTTAGGAGCAAAATCACCTCTAGCTAAGAACCACTGCTCTGGAAATCGGCACTATTGTGAGTGCAAATGTCAATTACAGTCAAATAGCCTCTTGACCTTATTTGTTTTGAGCAATTATTAAATGCTATATTGTACATATTTTGTTAGTTTTTAAAAGCCTCACCTCCACTCCTCTTCTGATAGCAACAGTACCCTCTTCCTGCCTTCAGTGAACCAACCTCATTGCATTTGTACCCTGTGAGCTTTGTGTAAAGTGCAGTGCTTGACACATAGTATATATAATGACAGCAGAGAGTAGTAATATATCTCTCTTTTACTGAGATAGTGTGGGGAGATCTCAAAGCTTCTGAAAGTCACCATATGGAGCTAGAATGAAGCTATTTTAGAAGAAACAGAACTGTCACATAAAACCTGGGATTATCATTTGGACACTGAGCCAAGCCAAGCCTGAAGCCATCTTTACTCCTCAGACTTTGAGTTTATGGAAGTCAATGAGTTTCTTTTCAGTACTAGTTTGGGTGGATACAACTGCCTACTACATTCAGGCACTATTCCAGGTGTCTTTACATGTGCCTTTATTTAATCTTCATAGCAATCTTTTGAGATAAGTAATATATGTGTTCCCAATTTACAGGTGGCAATGAAAAAAAGCTCGGTGAGTTAAGTGACATATCCACGTTCCCACAGCCAGTATGTGATAGAACTGTAATTTTACTTCATTTCCTCCAACTTCCAGTTCAGTCTGTTACACATGCCCCACTGTCAGCTTTGGTGGGGTGAAACGGAGCCACTGAGCAGGAATAACACTCAGTTCTAGTTCTAAGAGAGAGGCTGAACATGAGCAGAACTTTGTCCAAGAAAGATTCCCTGTGTTCTAGAGGATATTGTTAAGTTTTTGCAGATGCATGTTGGATATGTGAAAACTACTTGCTTAGACAGACAACTCCTGCTCACTTCTCGATGTGAGAGAAGGGGAAAATTATACTGGTTGATATAAAACTGCTTTGTTTCAACACATCCAAAAATAGCCAAGGAAAAAACTTATCTTCACTAATAAAGCAAGGCAGACATGAAACCTTCACGCTTGGTGTGGAACACGAATGATCTTATTATCCTGAGCATCTTGATGGTAAGTATAAAAATTTATCTTTATTTGAGTTTCAAGCAAAATATAAAATAGTAATTTTACCTTGCATTTAACACTATCCTGCAAGCTTATGTTCTGCTCCAAAAGTAATCATAATAGAATACCAAAGATACTATTTAGGAGAAGCCCAGCATCCTTCCAGGTCATCTACATGCATTTCTGCCTTTACCTACAACAAACCTGCAAGAAAGTTATTACTCTGATCAACTTACAAGGAAAGTTAAGAACTTTGTCCAAGGTTAGCAGCTAGCAAAAAATAGAGATTACTCAGGGTCTCTCTAAATTCTGAATCAGTACTTTGTATACTACACCAAGCTGTTTGAGAAGTAAGATGCTAAGCATACAACTCCCACACTTTCCTTTCTGACCATTCAATCTCAAGTTTGCACCAGCCCTGCAAAACATGACCAATGCATAAGAAATAATGCTATTCAAAATCAATAAATATTCTATGTCCCTACGATATTGGAGATATAACATTGAGTGGCCTGGGTTGTGAATATTATAATCATCTAACCAGTGGAGTTCTTGGATGAAATAAGCAAATGGATGGACCATAAAGGGGTCATCAAAGTCATGGGATAAAACACTTATATCTTCCAAGTCAGCATGTTGGTAAAGACCATTGAAATAGTTCTCAACTTTGTCACCCATATATCTTTTCATCCACCATTGTTTCACTTGAACTGGTTCAATATCTCCCACATCCATACCTATCTCCTCTATCCTACCGTGCACAATGTGATCAAAGTGACCTTTATAAACTTTTTTTTTTTAAATGGAGTCTCGCTGTGTCACCCAGGCTGGAGTGCAGTGGCAGGATCTCAGCTCACTGCAAGCTCCGCCTCCCGGGTTCACGCATTCTCCTGCCTCAGCCTCCCGAGTAGCTGGGACCACAGGTGCCCACTACCACGCCCGGCTAATTTT
Organism: Homo sapiens; assembly: GCF_000001405.40. NCBI lineage: Eukaryota > Metazoa > Chordata > Mammalia > Primates > Hominidae > Homo > Homo sapiens. Next base: position 54,595,187 of record NC_000020.11, on the reverse strand, counting down.
TTGTATTTTTAGTAGAGATGGGGTTTCACCGTGTTAGCCAGGATGGTCTCGATCTCCTGACCTCGTGATCTGCCCGCCTTGGCCTCCCAAAGTGCTGGGATTACAGGCATGAGCCACCACGCCCAGCCCTTTATAAACTATTAACACAATTACATCACATACACACACACCCCATATACACACATCTCATACACACACAGAGACTCAAACATACCAGCCTCCAAGTATCTATGGTTTCCTACAGCACTTAGGAGAAATATCGAGGTCTTTTAAGTAATCACCTAAATCCTTAGCAGTTCCGTTAGATTTCAATATGAATAAATTAAACGTTTGCAGGATATGTACAGTGTTCATTTTATACCTGGAAAATTAATAAGATAACATGTTTTCAAGTTTAAAATAGATATGAGATACTAATAAAGTTTACTAAGGTTTTGATCCTCAAACATTACCATAAAAAGCTATACTTTTTTTCTACTACTATTTCCTGTAAATGGTAAATAAAAAAAGATTTTAAAATATTAATAATTGAATAAGTGCTGCCCAAAACAGATCCAAAGAGTCTTGATCAATGCAGAATTCTCTTACACATCAATATGAAATATGAATGGAGATGATATGAGAGGTACAGTCATAGAAAAGTCTATTTATAAAACATTTTCAATACTTAGATTTCACTGGTTATCGTTAATGCATAAATAATTTCTGAGACCCAAAGGGAAAAATATACCAACCTTACCAAAAAAAATTATTCATTTTCTATAGGGATTTTCTTTTGTCATTGTTGTTTTCTTTTGAGACAAGGTCCACTCTGTCGCCCCAGGCTGGAGTGTATTGGCAAGATCATAGCTCACTGTAGCCTCGACCTCCCAGGCTCAAGTGATCCTCCCACCTCAGTCTCTGGAGTAGCTGAGACCACAGGTGTGTGCCACTATGCCTGGCTAATTTTTTTTTCATTTAATTTGCTTTTATTTTTTGTACAATATACCCAATGATGAATAGGTATTCTTATTTTCTTTTTTAAAAAACTTTTGTTTTAAGTTCATGGGTACCTGTGCAGGATGTACAGGTTTGTTACATAGGTAAATTTGTGTCGTGGTGACTTATTGTACAGATTGTTTCATCATGCAGGTATTAAGCTTAGTATCCATTATTTATTTTTCCTGATCCTCTCCCTTCCCCATCCTCCACCCTCAGATAGGCCCCATATGTGTTGTTCCCTTCTATGTATCCATATGTTCTCATGATTTAACTCCCACTTATAAGTGAGAACATGCAGTATTTAGTTTTCTGTTCCTATATTGGTTTGCTAAGGAATTAGGCCTCCAGCTCCATCCATGTCCCTGCAAAGGACGTGATTCATTCTTTTTTATGGCTGCATAGTGTTCCATGGTATATATGTACTACATTTTCTTTATCCAGTCTATCATCGATGAGCATTTGGGTTGATTCCATGTCTTTGTTATTGTGAATAGTGCTTTGATGAACATACATGTGCATGTGTTTTTATAACAGAAACATTTTGGAGAGATGGGGTCTCCCTGTGTTTCCCAGCCTGCTCTCAAATTCCTGGGCTCAAGCAATCCTCCTGTGTTGGCCTCCCGAAGTGCTTGGATTACAGGCATAAGCCACCGTCCTGGCCTGGGATTTTCTTATAAGAAGAATAAATAAGTAATTCTCACAAAATAAGAACATTGCTCTCAACATTAAAGGTTTATTTTTTGTGATAACTTTTATAGTCTTTGAAAGATTCACCAACTTGTTTCTAGGTACTTAAAAATAAAATAGACCAGAAAAGAACTGTATGAAAAGTATAAAGTAAAAAACTTTGCAGACAGTTGTAAGAACATCAAAGTGATCATATTTCTGAAATGTAAATTTTAAATAATTGGGCTTTGATTATTTAAAATGTAATTTTTTTTTTTTTCTGGGAGACAGAGTCTCGCTCTGTCACCCAGGCTGGAGTGCAGTGGGTGATCTCAGCCCACTGCAAGCTCCATCTCCCAGGTTCACGCCATTCTCCTGCCTCAGCCATCTGAGTAGCTGGGACTACAGGTAAAATGTAAATTTTAAATAATTGGGCTTTGTTCATTAAAATGGAATTAACAGATTAGTTAGAGGGGACCACTACTGTTATCCATTCACATGGATTGGGGTATTTAGAACTTCAGTTTTTACTTTCCTTATATCAAGAGTCATATTCCTGTCAGGAATAACTGTCTGCTTTTACAAGCAATTTTTATTTAACATCACAAGTTAATGGTTTTCAATTTGAGTGTAATGTCAGGCCATATACAGAAGAACTTATATTTCTTAAAATTTAGGCATTTAAAATTCTAAAATAGAAAATTTATCTGGCCGGGCGTGGTGGCTCACGCCGGTAATCCCAGCACTTTGGAAGGCCGAAGCGCGAGGTCAGGAGATCGAGACCATCCTGGCTAACACGGTGAAACCCCATCTCTACTGAAAATACAAAAAAATTAGCGAGGCGTGGTGGCGGGCACCTGTAGTCCCAGCTACTCAGGAGGCTGAGGCAGGAGAATGGCGTGAACCCGGGAGGCGGAGCTTGCAGTGAGCCGAGACTGTGCCACCTACACTCCAGCCTGGGTGACAGAGCGAGACTCCATCTCAAAAAAAAAAAAAAAATTACCTGCAGTGTTCCCAAACGAAGCCTAAATTCTGAGGGAAAACTGAAGGACAAGGAAAATAGGATTATGGCTAGAGGAATCTTTTTGTAGGTAGCAACCAATCCATATACTACTGGCTTGGTTACTATACTATCTGGTTAATCTCTCCCAGATTAACCCCTAAGAGGAAAAAGAGAAAACCCGGAAAGTGCTTAGTCGGTATCACAAAGAGCAAGTTTTAGCATTAATCTCTTTCAGTATTCATGAGAATCCTTACACTGTAAGCCAAATAGATGGAACTCAAGAAATTGCAGCTGGTAAAAACTCCATGGGCCCTCATATTAATAATCTACCACAGTTAGCTCAGATGAGGAAACATATGTGAAATAATAATATGGAAGTTTTCCAAAATCAAGAAGCTGGCCTCTGTTCAGCTTGACCCAGGAAATGGTACCTTTTTAACATTTTTACCTGGATCAACTTCAGTTTGTGATATGGAATCAAACTGTGTAATGAAAATTTGTACCATGTGTGTGAAACATTAAAATCTTCCACAGGGGAGAAAAGCCATGTTGAGTATATAAATATTTCACAAGACCCCTCATATTATGTAATCGCAACTCTATGAATTTCCTCAAGTGTACTTCAGCTGGATCTCATATGTAAACCTACCGCCTCATATGATGCGAGCATGGTAAAAATGAACACACACACACACAAACAGAAAAATAGTCATTAAAAGTCATTAAACTCACCTCCCTGCCTCAAAAGTGAACCACGTAGTATCACGTCCATACCGCCGCAGGGCGCTTAGCGGCCAAGAGATGAGTTTGACTCTGGGATTCTGGACGTCCCAAAGACAGATATACTCATATGTAATCTGCAAGGCACATTCGCCATGTACATCTAAGTTAGGAGATGGCATCAAATACACATTGAATCTCTCTGGGAGAAAAACAAAAGGTTAGTCTAAAATCCCCAGGAATAAAACATCAAAGACATTGTAGGAACATAGAGGCATTTAAAAACAATTCAAGTTCACATTCTAGATTTCGGTTGCATATTCAGAAAGATAAACCTTTCCTATTAATTAACAGTCCCAGAAAATAATTTCTTAAATGCAGATCCTATTAAATAACATAATAATGATACAGCCTGTCAACATACACTAAGCACTATTTACATGAGCGAAGACCATTTTTAGAATTTTTAAATTTGCATAATAAAAATGTATATGCCAATAAAAGACTAAAGCAATACAACCATTAAAAGCAATTTTTTTTTCCTGCCAAGAACACATTAACTAGATCCACACTTTTGTGCTCACAAAAGATGCAGGTGCAAAACAATTATGTCATGGTTCCATGTTATTAAAGTTATATTGATCAACTTGTAATTTCTATAACTAAATGAATAAAACTGTATTTCAATCATTTAAACAAAATGCCACAGTAATACTATGCACTTAACTGGCCAACAATTTGGGAAAATGCCAATGCATATATTTGAACTAGTTTCAACAAAGAACTTCCTTTAGCCAAATAGTGGAAAGAAATATTCATTGCATATTTGGATGATTGCTAAAATGCAACCAAAATTATTCTACATAAACTGCTTGGCTGATTAACCTAATTTTCATCCCTGCAGATACAGTCACCATATTTCTGTTATATTTCTGGAAAATTCATTAAGAAGTTTTTGAGTCAAAGTCTTTCAGTGAAAAATGAACAAAAATATTACTATAGCAAACATATTTCCACCTATGCATCATTATGGTAGATTGCCTACATACGACAATGTGGCATTAACAATTTTATATTAGTGGTATTCTAAATACATTGTTTTATGATAAGATAGTCATTTGAATTTTCATAGATTTTAGTTGAATTTAGTAAATAGTAATGCTGAGATAGTGTTCATGAAATGTGTTCCGCGATCTACTATTCAAAAATTTTTAATTATTTCATATTCTCAATAAACAAATATTTGTTGATTTCTAGTAATCATATTTAAAAATGTATTCTAATTGAGCATATTCCCCCCCCTTGAAAGTTCCAAGTAAGAAAGACTGTCTATATTAAGTAAAAAGTAAGAGAGATCATTATCAATCTATTTGCTTAGAAGTTCTCTGAGTCCTACCTCACTCAAGAATAACAATAGGGGAGAGATAGGGAAAAAATAATAATAAAAATTTAAAAAGAGTAATAGCAATAATGGTGGAGTGACCATTTTAATTACAATCATTTGAAGTCATACTAATTAACATTGGAAAGGGCCTGAGAGGACACAGTTGAATTTATAATAATCCCTGATACTTGTAGACCAGAGCTATTATTTCCATTTAACAGAAGAGGAAACTGAGGCACAGAAAGCTGCTGTGGGAAAGGTATCTCCTACGCACCGCCAATTTTTAAATTCAGATTGTGGTGCTGTCAGGATACTGCTTCCCCAAATACAAATTTGTGAAAAGTGCTGATCTGAGCACTCTAGGTGAAAAAATGAATCATAATCAAAACCTGCCAGGTTTTCTTTATGCTTGGCTCCTAGGTATCCTCTCTGCCTGGGGTGTCCTGATTTAGTGAACCAGAGAAGGAGGAGCCTGGGGATTGGTTGTGTAACCCCGTCAATGACTTAACCTCTCTGTAGCTCAATTTTCCAATCTACAAAGAGGCTCCTCTGAATTACCCAGGGCTTCTAGGTCTCGGTCAATAACATTTCCATGGAGATGGGTTATGGCAGATATGGTGCATCCAAAGAGTCACAGATTGTAAATGTGTCATGAAGACATAGTTCCAATTGGGAGGGACAGCATTTTTTTTACTAACATTGGAGTGTGCACCTACAGAAAAAGTCAGTACAATTCCATCTCTGCCATGTCCGTAATCAAACCAGATGACCCACAGACCTTTCCATGGTGACATGCCCTCATAGATCAAGTCAGCCTACAGCAGAACTCTGTGATCTGATCTACCCCGTCCCCAGGCTCAGCTGTTAGGAGACAAAGGAATGATTCCTCACATCCAGGTTTGTTCTGTAAATCAACACTGATTTTTGCTGAAGTGTTCATGAATATTTTAGTCATTATTATTTTAAATTATTGATTCCCAGATTGACTGCTGAGCTCAGAGTTGGCTCAAGTGTTTCAATAAAATATGTATTTTTTTAATTACAGATTTTAGATGGGTTTAAATTTGGTGAAATAGTCATAAAGTTTGAATTATATTGAAAACATTGGAAAGTTGTTGATAACATTTTAAGTGAAAAAGGCATGACCAAAAAATGCCCATGACATTTTAAAATCTGTAAACTGTAATATAGGTCCAACGGTATCGTCTAGAATCAAACACTAGTGAGCTAACAGAATTGAAGGAAAGTCTTTACGTCCTCTAAATTTTAGTTTCCTCATCTGCAAAACGTAGGAAGTAATTATACCTACACCATAGGGCTGCTATGAAAAGTACAATAAATAATCTGAGATGAGTTAAGCATCTTCCACCAAACTGGCACATAGCAGGTTCCCCAAAATTTCTAACTGATATTATTAATGTAGATACATTCATGTTATGAATTGGAAAAAGAATAAGAAAAAAATACACTGAAATGTTAACACAGGTTGTGGATTAGATAAAAGATTACTTATTTCTTTATACATTTTTATACCCCAAAAACTTTACATAATGAAGATGTCTTATGTTTTATCATATGGAGACAGAAGCAGTTTTGAAAGAGAGAGGAGAGAATTTTCTTTACATACCACTCTGTTCTCTCTCAACCCCAGTGGCCAGTAAGTCAGGCTCTCCAAGGCTGATGTCATTGATCCGTGTTCCTACACACTCCATCTGGAGTACTTTGCACCACTCATCAGCCTCAAGATCTGTGGAAATGTCAAAAAGATTAAACTGTGTGCCCAGCATCCATTCAGAATCTAAAAGCAAAAGCCCCCCAGCCCTGCCTGAGACAAACCTGATTCGCAAGCAAAAGTCTTGGAGGTATCGTCATTGAAATAAATCCCTATGGCATGTTTCTTGGTGCTTTTTGGCAATCGAGCTACGTTCTTCACATTATTGAGTTCTGTAACCTGAAAATGAACAATTAGAAGTTTGACACACTCCCTGAATGAATGTCTCCAGTATACAACACCAAAGGTGAGGCCCGGAAATCAGTATGGCACAGCACAGCTGAGCACAACCTGTTGAAAAAGTATCTACATCTGAAAGCTAAGATGTATTTAAGTGAGTTTAGTATTATCTGTAACACACCGCAAGGATGGTTAACAAATTATCTTTCCTTATTAAATTTTCTGAAACGTATTAAGTGGAACAAGCTTAAAACTTCACAGAGGTAGAACATTTTGGTTTTTCTTTTTTCTTTAGTTTTTCAAATCCTCCCAAAGACTCCACTTGACCAATAGTTCTTATGTCTGTTTCGGTCTCTGTGGACAGCCTTCTTTCTCAGCTGGCTGCAAAAGCCTCCAAATATTCCATCCCTTCAGAGTATTCCCCATGTAAGTGTCTTAAATACATCAACCCAAGGAAGGGAAGGGAAGGAAGAGTGGTCCAATTCATAACTAGATTATTTCACTCTTTACCAGTCAGAGATACAGCGTCAAGAGTCTCAGAAACGACCCCTGACTTGAGGTCCAAATCATAGAAAGTACATAATGAATTTGGTTTTCCAAATATTTTCCCACTGTCTCTAACTTACTCCTAGCTCCTCAGTGGTTACAGGGCCTCTGTTTTAGGCTCTGAGAACACTACCCAGTGGCGCCTTCTTCCTAGCAGGGAGGAAAGCCATCCCCACTAGACGTTCTCTCTCTCCTCCCTCTCTCCCATAATTCCTTGGCTCCTTTAACACTTTTGTAAACCCCTCCCTTCCCACAAAGTGTCTTGGCTCATTATATTTCCACAGTGGTCATCTCTCATCCAGTTACATCCGCATCCTCAGCTGCATTGGAGGTTTGGAATATTTGGGTCATGCCTGAGCGAAGCCTTAGGTGGCTTCAGGGTAAGTATTTACAAGATCAATAGCTTTTCACACTGACAAGTTTAACCTCCCTTTCATATATCTCTTTTGTGCTGTTATACAAAAGAATCCACTTTCCATCAATCTTTGCCTGCAATGATGTTGTTCCGTTTCTCTCGTCTGTTACTCTAAATTCAATAAATGCTTAGCTCAAGCAGTAGGTGGGAAGTGAAATAAATATCCTCCATGCACAACACTAATCTGATTATTTCATTTCTCTGCTTCTTAATCTCCATCAGCCCTTTTCATAGTATAAATGCAAATTTCTTAGCATGAAATGTCACACCACTTCTCCTCAAAAAGTGCCCAAACCGATCACGTCAGTGACTCAGCACCATGTATCTTATTCTCCAACTACACCAAGTGCCTCAGGACTCACCAGATACAACTGTTGATGTGTTTGTTTATTTTTATTTTTTGCCACTACCCCAATTCAAGCCACTATCATCTTGTCACAACTACTTATTGATCTTTCCACTTCCATTTTAATCCCCATTAATGCATGCTGCACATAGCAGATTTTTTTTTCAAAACATAAGTCTTGAAATATTACTGTGCATAAACAGAACACTTCAGTGACTTCCCATTGCACGTGGGACAAAAGCCTGCATCCTTAGAATGACCACCAAGACCCCCTGTGGTCTTGCCCACGCTATCTCACCACTGTCCTCTCTATACCTTTCCCATGTGCTCTATGTCTCAGCCACCGTGGACTTTGTTCAGTTCCCAGAAGACACTGTGGTTCTCCTGGCACAGGGCCTTCTCTATCTCTCCTTACCTCACTCCCATTCCCACATGGGTCTCAGTTTAAATCTCAGTTACCCACAGAGGCCCCACTGGACACCTCCCATCCTAACACCTAGTCAGTCTCAAGGCTACACCATCCAATGATGTCCTATACCTTTCCTATTTGTTATTGGTTTCACACCCATCTTGCCTGAAAAGTGAGAGTTACATAGGGCAGGAATAGTTTTTGTTTTGTTTTGTTTTTGCTCTGCTCATCATTGTGCTCCCTGAGTCAAACACAGAACCCCTCACATATTGAGAACTCAATAATTATAAGTGGACTATATGAATGAAAGACCCAACTCACCCATAAATTTACTTGTATGGTGCTTCTAGAAGGCAAATGCCTCTCTTTCCTGCTTCTTTTCTCCAGGGAAATTTCACTTTTCCCCCAAGGTCCACTTCCTCTAGGAAATGTGCCCTGGCCTTAGTGTCAACTAACATTTCTCTTCTCTCTATTCTCATAAATGCTGCATGAAGCTCTACTGTATTATTTGTTGTCTCTCTGCAGCACCCAGCTAGACTTGAGTTGCCAGCAATGACTTACTGAAGGGCTGAATCAATGAAAACAATCATACTGATGCCAACATGCATTGGTCCCCACACATATGCCACATAACGTGCCTAGTTTATTGTTGTTGTTTGAGATGGAGTCTTTCTCTGTTGCCCACGCTGATCTCAGCTCACTGCAACCTCCACCTCCCAGGTTCAAGCGATTCTCCTGCTTCAGCCTCCCGAGTAGCTGGAATTACAGGCGCCCACCACCACACTCAGCTAATTTTTTTGTATTTTTAGTAGAGACAGGGTTTCACCATTTTGGCCAGGCTGGTCTCAAACTCCTGACCTCAGGTGATCTGCCCGCCTCAGCCTCCCAAAGTGCTGGGATTATAGGCGTGAGCCACTGCACCCGGCCAGCATTTTTATAGAGACTATCTCATTTGATCTTCATAAAAGCTCTGTGAAATAAATATTACTATTATCACCTTTTTCACAGATGAGGAAACTAGACTGCGAAAGGTTAAAGTCATACAACCAAGTTCACAGCTTAAAAAATGAAGCAAACTAACCCTAAAGCCTGTGCTTTTAATGCATCTGAAACACTAATGACTAACTAAACACTTTCAACCAGAGGCTCTTTAGCCCCTGAAAGCCACCTCTCATTTTAAGACTTCTTTCTTTTCAACATGGTTAAAAATTGAGGTGGAGGTAGAGCACGTGTGCCAACTTTATTCTGACTCTCTAGTGAGACATTATGTAAGAGTAGTCCACCCCAGCCTGAAACACAGCAATGACTTTGAAACATGTGACTTCATTACCTATCCATTAAGGGCAAAGAGGAAGAGATAGTCACCTGAAATAGTCAGGAAATGTAGGGGGAATTGTATGAGTCAGAACACAATTACCCATTTAGGAAATTGGTTTAGGAAATCAGCAACTGAACACCCCCGCTCAGGAGAAGCAAATGACCATTCCCAGAGCAGCCAGGGTCATAATTTTATGGGTCAAAGGACAATCAAATTTTAAAGCAACGGTCTCTGTCTCTACCTCAGAACTACACCTAGTGGGCATGTGCACACACACACACAACACACACACATACACAACACACACAAGCCTTGCAATCTACACTAATTCATAATGTGATAATGGAAACTTCCTCAATACACATGCTAAAGTATAGTAATAATTTAGTAATTTAGTAATAAAGTAAAGTAATACTTATGATAACTAAATTTTGCAGAGATATTTACAAGTCACATAAAACTTTTCAAAGATGTATTTATTTCCACTATCATTCTATTTTGCAAATGAGAAAACCAAGGCAAGACATAATAGTCCTCTTACAAAGAAATCTGCCTTATAAGAAATGCTAAAGGAAGTTCTTCAAGTTGAAATGAAAGGACACCAGATAGTAACATGAAAGCAAATGAAAATATATAATTTACTGGAAAAGGTGTGTGTGTGTGTGTGTGTGTGTATATCTAGATATATATACACACACACATATTATAGTGTATATATATATACACACACACACGAGTACATATTATAGTACTATATATATATACACACACATACAAATATATATTATAGTATATATACATATATACAAACACACAAATACATATTATAGTACTATAACATTACATTACATGTAATGTTACGAATATTGTATAAACAGCTTTTAATTTTGATATAGAAGTAAAAAGATAAAAGTATAAAAACTATAAAATTATGTTAATGGATACATAATAAAAAGATGAAATTTGTTACAATGATAACATAAAGGAGTCTGGTGGAATAGTTCAGCTTTTGTATGTGATTGAAGTCAAGTTGTTATCATCTTAAAATAGATGATCATAACTATAAAATGTGTTATATAAGCCCCACAGCAACCAGAAAAGAAATACCTATAAGAGACACACAAAAGAAAATGAGGAAGGAATCAAAATATGACCCTAAAGAATTTTTTAAATCACAAATACGACAGCAAGAGAAAAAGATAAGGACAAAAGAGCTACAAGAAATACAGAAAACAATAAAATGATAAAAGTAATCATTTCCTATCAATATTTATTTATTTTTATTATTTATTTATTATTATTTTTTAAACAGAGGCTCACTCTGTCACCCAGGCTTGTGCACAGTGGTGTGATCTCAGCTAACCTCTGCCTCCTGGGTTCAAGCAATTCTCCTGCCTCAGCCTTCTGAGCAGCTGAGACTATAGGTGTGCACCACCGTGCTCGACTAATTTTTTTTTTTTTTTGTATTTTTAGTAGAGACAAGGTTTTGCCATGTTGGGACCTCAAGTGATCCACTCGCCTCAGCCTCCCAAAGTGCTAGGATTACAGGTATGAGCCACTATGCCTGGTGCAGTAATTACTTTAAATGGAGATAGCTTAAACTGCCCTATCAAAAGATAAATTAAAAACCAGGTCCAACGATATGCTGTCTACAAGAGACTCACTTTAGATTTAAGGACACACATAGGCTGAGAGTGAAAAAATGGAAAAAGATAACCCATAGAAACAGCAGTCAAAAGAAGAGTAGGGGTGGCAATACTTATATCAGATTAAATAGGCTTTAAGTCAAAAACTATCATGAGAGACAAAGAAGGACACTATAATGAAAAAAAGATGAATTAACTAGTAAGATATAGCAATTATAATATATATGTATCCCATACCAGAGCAACCAAATATATGAAGTAAACATTGATTGATAGAATTGAAGAGAGAAAGAGAAAGCAACACAATAATAGTAGGAGATTTCAATACCCCACTTTCAATAATGGATAGGACATCCAAAGATTATATAAGAAAGAAAACAGAGTGCTTGAACAACACTGAAGACCAATTAAACTTAACGGACAAATACAGTCAATAGCAGCAGAATACACTTTCTTATTAAGTGCACATAGGATAGATCATGTGTTAGGTAACAAAACAAGTCTTGACAAATTGAAGTATCTTTCCTTACCACAATAGAATAAAACTAAAAAATAATAACAGAATTAAGTATCTTTCCCAACCACCACGGAATAAAACTAAAAAACAATAACAGAAGGAAAACTGAAAAAAAATCACAGTATGTGGAAATTAAACAGCACAATCTTAAACAACCAATAGATCAAAGAAGGAATCAAAAGGGAATTTGGAAAATACCCTGAGCTGAATGAAAACAAATACACAGCATACCGAAATTTGTGTGAGGTAGCAAAAGCAATACTAAAAAAGAAGATTATAATGGTAAATTCCTACATTAAAAAAGAAGAGATACCTCAAGTAAACAACCTAAATTTACACCCCAAGGAACTAGAAACAGAGCAAACTATGCCCAAAATAATAAGAAGAAAGGAAATAATAAAAATTAGATTAGAACTAAATGAAATGGAGAATAGAAAAGCACTAGGAAAAACCAGTGAAACCAAGAATTGGTTTTTGAAAGATCAATGAAACTGACAAATAGCTAGGTTAAGGAAAATAAGTGGAGTCTAATCAGAAATGAAAGGAGATACTACTTCTGATGCCACAGAAATGAAAAGGATTATGAGACTACCATGAATGATGATACACCAAGAAAAAGTCAACAGCTTGGATAACCTAGAAGAGGTAGATAAATTTCTGGAAACATACAACCTACGTAGACTGAATCATGAAGAAATAGAAACTTGGAACAAACCTGTAACTATTAAGGGATTCAATAATTAATCATAAATCTTCCAACAAAGAAATACACATGATCAGATGGCTTTTTGTGTATTTCTTTGTTGGAAGAAATGTTGGTGTATTCCACAAAACATTTAAAGAAGAATTAATGCAAATTCTTCTCAACCTCTTCAAAAAAACTGAAGAGGAAGGAACGCTTCCAAATTCATTCTGTGAGACCAACATTACTGTGATACCAAAGCCAGATATAGACACTACAAGAAAAGAAAAATACTGGCCAATATCACTGATGAATATACATGCAAATTTCTCAATAAAATACTAGCAAACTGAATTCAGCAGCATATTAAATGGATAATATATCATGATCTAGTGGGGTTTATCTCTCAGATACAAGGGTTCTACATAGCAAGATGGATACACCACATTAACAGAAGAAAGGATGAAAAGTATATCATCACCTCAACAGATGCAGAAAAGGCATTTGACAAATTTCAATACATTTCATGATAAAAACACTCAACAAAATGGGAGTAGAAAAAAATTACTTCAACATGATGAAGACCATATACTCAATGGTGAAAAATGAAAACATTTTTTTTTCCTAAGATCAGGAGCAAGTCAAAAGGTGCCAACTATCACCACATTTATTCAACAAGGTAATAGAATTCCTAGCTAGAGCAATTAGACAAGAAAGAGAAGTAAAAGGCATCAATATCTGAAGAGAAGAAGTAAAATTATCTCCATTTGTTGATGACATAATTTTATATGTAGAAAACCCTAAAGATTCTATCTACACACAAAAAAAGTTAGAACAAATAAACAAATTCAGTAAAATGGCACGATACAAAATCAACATAAAAAATCAGTTGTATTTCTATACACTAACAATAAACAATCCCAAAAGAAAATTAAGAAAATTATCTCACTTACTATTGCATCAAAAAACCCAAAATATTTAGGAATAAATATAACCAAGTGGATGAAATATTTGTACACTGAAAACTAGAAAACACTGAAGAAATTCATTTTAAAAGACACAGATAAATTGAAAGGCATCCTGTTTTCATAGATTGAAAGACTTAACATTGTTAAAATTAACATTGTTAAAAAAAAGACTTAACATACAATCTAAAATGATCTACAGATTCAATGTAATCTCTATCAAAATCCCAGGAGCTTTTTTTTTTTTCAGAAATAGGAAAAGCAAAGCTAAAATTCATATGAAAACACAAAGAACCTTATATAGTCAAAACAATCAACATAAAAGAACAAAGCCAGAGTTGCTTCAAAATATACTACAAAGCTACAATAATCTAAATAATATGGTACTGGCACATAGGCAAACATACAGACACATGGAACAGAAAGAGAACCTGGAAATAAATTGATGCTTATACAATAAAATGGTCTTTCACAAGGGTGCCAAGTTTATACAACAGGAAAATGATAGGCTTTTCAACAAATGATGCTACAAAATCTGTATATCCATATGAAAAATAATGAAATTGTACCCTTACTTCACCATAAACAAAAAATCAATTCAAAATGGATTAGAGACTTAAATGTAAGACCTGAAACTATAAAACTCCTAGAATAAAACAGAGGGAAAAGGCTTTATGACAGTGGTCTTGACAGTGATTTCTTGGATATGAGACCAAAAACACAGGCAATGAAAGCAAAAATAGACAAGTAGGACTACATCAAACTAAAAAGTTTATACATAGAAAAGAAACAATCAACAGAGTGAAAAGGCAACCTATAGCATGAGAAAAATATCTGCAAACCATATCCTTGATAAAGGGTTAATAGCCAAAATATATAAGAAATTCGTATAACTCAATAGCAAAAATAATAAAAGTAAAAATAAATAAGCCAATTTTAAAATGGGCAAATGTCTATTCAAAGATAGACATTTCTCCACAGAAGACATACACTGACCAATGGATATATCAGAAGATTCTCAACATCACTAATCATCAGAAAAAGGCAAATGAAAACCATAACCACATCCTCCTATCTCTTAGGATGGCTATTATCAGAAAAAAACAACCCCACAGACCTAAAAGATAACAAGTGTTAGCAAGGATGTGGAGACATTGGAAACTTTGTGTGCTCTCGATGGGAATGTAAAAAGGTGCAGCCACTTAGGGAAAGAGTGTGGAGGTTCCTCAAAAAATTAGAAACAGAACTACTATATGATTCAGTAATCCTACTTCTGAGTATTTATTCAAAAAAATTGAAAACAAGGTCTTGAAGAGATCTTTTCACTTCCATGTTTATGGCAGCATTATTTACAATAGTCAAAACAGGGAAATAACCTAATTATCCATTGACAGATAAATGGATAAAGAAAATGTGGTGTCTCTTCATATTCTTTGCCCACTTTTTGATGGGGTTGCTTGTTTTTTTCTTGTAAAGTTGTGTGTGGAACATATACACCATGCAATATTATGCAGCCATAAAAAAGGATGAGTTCATGTCTTTTGAAGGGACATGGATGAAGCTGGAAACCATTATTCTCAGCAAACTGTCACAAGAAAGAAAACCAAACACCGCATGTTCTCACTCCTAAGTGGGAGGTGAACAAGGCTAACACATGGACACAGGGAGGGGAACATCACACACCAGGGCCTGTCGGGGGATGGAGGGCTAGGGGAGGGATAGCATTAGGAGAAATACCTAAGGTAGGTGACAGGTTGATGGGTGCAGCCAACCACCACACCACGTGTATACTATGTAACAAAACTGCACATTCTGCACATGTACCCCAGAACTTAAAGTATATATATATAAAAAAAGAAAATGTATACATATACCATATACTATTATCCCACCCTAAAAAAGAAGGAAATTCTGTCATATGCTCCAACACGGATGAACCTTGAAAACATTATGCTATGTGAAGACAATCACGAAAGGACAAATACTGCATGGTTACCACTTATATGAGGTTATCTAAAGTAGCTGAACTCATAGAAACAGAAAATAGGATGGTGGTTTCCAGGGACTGCAGGGAGAGGGGAATGGGAGGTTGCTGTTTAACGAATATAGAATTCTAGTCACACGTGATTTAAAAAAGCCCTAGAGATCTGCTATAAAACAATGTACATGTAATTAACAATACTGCACTGTACACTTAAGAGTTTGTTAAGTGGGTAAGTCTTATGTTATGTGTTCTTTAACCACTGTGCCTCACCCCCTGCCAACACACACACACACACAAGCACACACACAACTTTTAGGCAGCAAAAGATACTCAGAATTTTAAAATATTATTTTCTATCCATTGTATTTTTTTATTAAGTTAATTTCTATTCATGGCAAGTGATACTGTTCTTGTATTAATGGTAATATGGTAATAAGAAAAGTTTTCTCTTATTGTAAATTTATTTAAACAAAAACCAACCTGATTTAAAACAAAATATTCGTAAGAGTAAAGATGATACTGATTATGGCAAAAAATAATAAATAAATGACAAATGCCTAAAAGTCAGGAAAGATACTGTTAATCTAATACTACTGCTATGAAATTGACTTTTCTTCATATAATTTCCTACTGAGTCAACAGTACAGCATACAAACAATAATGTCATATAATCACCCAGAACAAGTCTCATTTGCTTAGCAGAGGAATGACAATAGATTTTAACAGAAACTGGGTGATGATCTGATTCCCATTTGATATCTTAAAGACCACTCATCTCAATAGGGCCATTTGTTTTCCTTGTGCTTTTTTGCCCATTTCATGATTGTATTCCGCAAGCAACAAAGAAAATAAAGCATTTCAAGCTCCATGACTGAAACCTGAAATATGTCTGAGAATTATGATTTAAAGGACAAAATAGCTGTTGCAACGAAACAGGAGACACAATTATAAATTTTCTAAAGGAGATGCAATTATAAATTTTCATTACTAACAGAAAGAGTTTTGATAACAGAAAAGAAGAGAAGTCAAATTTTATTATTAAAAATGGTATGTAAATAGAGTTATTTATTTTTAGATATCCTTGCACACGATCTTTCTGCCAAAACAACAGCAGGCCAAGTTAGAAAATCAAAATAACTTCTGTGTATTTTCTGGGCTGTTACCTGCCTGGTTACTCCTTCAAATTAATCATTTGACTCTTCTCAATTCCTCAACTTTCTTTTCTTTTTTCAGGATATATTTAGGCTTAGGTTCCAGAGTTCTTTCTCTTGAAATGGAGCTAAAATTTGTAGCTATCAAAGAAGACCGGAAGTGTCTATACGGCTTACTAAAAATGTCAGTATTAGGACCTTTGAAATACTTGATTTTCTCAAAAAAATGGGTATTAAATTTCAAAATCCCAGCTTAATTCTATATTTAATCTGATTTTTGACATCCTGAAGTAATTTCTTACAGAAATTATCATAGGCTACCTCAGAATTCACAGCACATAGTGGTAAAAGATAATGAACTTTGGGAAGGTTTTTAATGCATGAAGTATACTTGTGATCCTGGAGGTTGGAAAAGATTCAGTAAAGATAAAGTTTGGCAAAAATGATTCTCTCCCTAGGATTTGGGGATATGTAAATCAAACCAAAGGCACATTCTGCAGCTCACAGCAACCTTCATTTTTTGTCCTAGATTGAGTTATCTATCAAGAATCATTCATTCCCTCTCAGCCCTTGCAACTGTTTCCTATGACTTTGGACTTGGCCATGCAACTTGCTTTGGCCAATACAGTGTGAGTTAATGTGCTTTAAGTGCATGTAATTAGGTCAGTCCCTCCCTCCTTGAGCTTCAACTCTCCACCATGAGAACAACATTGCCCTCCTTCCTGGATTTCTGAACACAGGTGAACCTCAGCTGAGTTGAGATGCATTCAGTACACTCACAGCCAATCAATCCAGACCCCTCATGTAACAAGAGTGAGAGATAAAGATGTGTTGCTGTAAACTGTTAAGATTTTGGAATTATTGCCACAGCAGACATTGGCTAATACACCCTCTGTTTGATTTCCTTTTGGCCAAGGATTTTCATAGAGTTTTCTCTCAAATCCCATTGTGTAACAATATTGCTTCTTGTATGAAGACCAGATTTCCTAGCCAAATTCCTAATAATCAGGAAACTGTACTAGAACATTGGCTATCAGTTTTATTTTAGCAGTTGAATCATTTTTTCTTTTTAATTTTCAAAGGAAATCTAACACACTGACCCATTATATGGATGCGGAGCTAGTATAAGGAAATAAAGAAATGAATTCCACTCGAATCCTCTTCCCAATAGTAACAATTATAAATCTACTTCTCAAGAAAGAAGCCTATTCACTTTAATCAAACACAGAATACTGAATGATTTTAAAGTGATACTAAATTCTCTGGATGATATAACATCCTTGGTAAACTATTATTAAACCCATTACAAGGATCAATAAAGTGAAAATCAAAGAAGTAACTTAATTATAATTTCATAGAAAGGAGGGGATGGAGCCATACTCAAATCTAGAACTTCCAGCTTCTAAAACAAGTATGTTTTTCCTAATACTACTCTCCACAGCAAGTGTTCCTTAAAAATCAAATAATAACATATGAATGAATCCCTGACAGGCTCAGTAAATGAGCAAATGAATAAAATTAAAGATGCAAATGGTCTTAGAGACAAATATGTTAAAGAATATTTCTGAAAATCATAAACTGCATCTTTAAAAGTACACCACTTGGAAATGCGAAAAAACGAATGCAAATCTTAATTTCTAAGTAAAAATAAAGTACTTGTCAATTCAAAAGAAGGCAGCCTGAACTAAACTCATCTTTCCTACTTGGACTTTAAGATGTGAAAGAAAACTCAGCTTCTCAAAACCACTTGGTTTTATGTGGGTACATATGGCACCATGGTTTAAAGCCCACGCAGGCTGCCACTCAAATGAAATTTAAGACACACAGCATAGGAATCGGCATGCCAGGTCCTGTGGCAAAGCACATATAGTAAAGAACAGAAATCTCAAGACCGCAGTTCAGTGAATCTTCACTCGTTACACAACTGTGTGGTAACCATATAGAGGAACATATAAAAAGAATTTCAGTCAATTCCACCCCTTCCTGGTCATTATGGCCCACATATAAAACTACCATTCTGACCTCTATCACCATTGATTATTCCTTCTTTTAAAAACTTTTTATATAAATAGAATATCATATTTTTGTGTGTGTGTCTGGATTCATTCGTCCAATATCATGTCTGTGAGATTCATCTTTGCAGTTGAAGATATAAGAAGTTTTGGCTTCTGAGCAGTAGTCTTCTATGTGAATGACCATTTTATTTATTTAAAATTTATTTTAAATTTTTATTTGCTTTCATCTTATATGTATCTCTTATAGAAACATATAACTGATTTTAAGAAATACGAAGTTGGATTATTATACTTTTATCCAATCTAAGGCATCGTCTTTTGATATAGATGTTAAATCAATTTAAACTAATTATTATGACTGACATTTTGGGAATATTTTCAGTCCTCTTTTATTCTTTCTAATTCTTTTCATGCTTCATTTTTTTAAAAGGTATTCTTTGTTTTCTGCCTCTGATCGTTTCTCCAGGAACTCTGTGTTCATGATTTTCTTTTCCAAAATTTTATTTTTAAGATTTTCAAATATGGAAAAACTAAAAGAATGATGCAACAAACACTAATGTATCCTCTACTTAGGATGAACAATTATTAAGATTCGCTACTTTTATTTTTGGATTTATCCTCTCTTTATATATAAATGTAATGAGTGTTCACATGCATGTGCATGTTCACACACGTGCACACACTTGCTTTTGGTTAAATGATTTGAAAGTAAATTATATAGTTTATCTGTACAACTCCAGCAAATATTTCTTACAAATAACACAGTTGGCCTGTAATCCCAGCACCTTGGGAGGCCAAGGTGGGTGGATCATTTGAGGTCAGGAGTCTGAGACCAGCCTGGCCAACATGGTGAAACCCCACCTCTACTAAAAATACAAAAATTAGCTAGGCATGGTGGCGGGTGCCTGTTGTCCCAGCTACTCAGGAGGCTGAGGCAGGATAATCACTTGAACCTGGGAAGTGGAGGTTGCAGTGAGCTGAGATGGCACCACTGCACTCCAGCCTGGGTGACAGAGCGAGACTCTGTCTCAAAAATGAAATAAAATAACAGGGTTGTCTCACATCACTTCAAAGCCATTTACACAACTAAGAAAATAGGCAATAGTTCCTCATATACTTAACTTCCATCCCATATCCAAAGTTCCCTGAAAGTCCCCAAAATGTTTTCTAAAGGTGTGTGTGCCCATGCCTGTCCACCATCACTCCAATCCAGAATCCCATGAGGATTCATGCCTTGAGTTTCTTTGTAACTCTGAGTCTCTTTAATTTAGAAAAGTCCATATTTTGTAAATGATTCCTGCCTGTTGAAAAGATCGTGTTAGTTTTCTTGCAGAATGTTCCGTGTTCTAGATCTGTCTGTTTTTCCACAGTGCCCTTAATTTTTCTATTCCCTGTGCTTCTTCTAAAATGGAAGTTACATTTAAAAGTTTGATGAGATTCAGATAAACATTTTTGTTAAGAATGCTTTATAAGTGATGTTGAGGACTTCACATGGCATCGCTTCATAAGGCAAAGAATGCCAGAAAATCCCTCCATGAATGAGGCTCAGCTTGATCACTTGGAGGTAGCTGCCATTTCTGTTTATAGTAAAATAGCAATTTTCCTAATTGTCATTAGAGCCAGGTGATGTTTTGGCATCACCTGACTATACTGTTTCCCAACCATTTCAGCAAACAGTCTTAGCATTCATCTAAGGCTTTCCTCTGCATCAAAATACTATTTTTTTAATCCCCCAATTTGTCCTCCTAAGCCCACATGTCTATGATTGCCAGGTTCAAGATAAACATTGACTGAGGACATTTTTCCTGTTTCTACTCCACAATGCTTTTCACTAATATAATCTGCAGAGATCCAGATTATTACTAGAGTCACTATTGCTATTCAATTTAATTTCAAAAATGTGTAACTACTGAATTTAGTCATATGAGCAAGTTCAACTCTTTAGAATTTACTCTGCCTGTTTAGCTCACATCAGTGCCCACCACATAGTCCTTGTACACACAGACATCCTCATCCTCAGCTTTTAACTCAGATGTGTCAATAGGTGAGCTGCTATACACACTCAGGTAGCTTCCTCAAGAAAGGAACAGTGGCATTAAAATGTCACATCATCGTCAGTCTCTTCATGGGTATCTCAGCAGAAATAGCCAGCTGGCTGTTATCACAACCACAAGTTCAAACTGTACTTATTAAGGATATGAAGAAAACCAAGCAGAGGTGGATACAGGTGTCTATCTAGTCCTATTGAGAAGGGATATGGGTGATGCTCTGCTTCTCAGGCCTTTTGGCGGCATTTGCATTCCATCATTAGCTGGGCCTTCAAAACCTCCCCAGGCAGCACAGCGTCCTTCCTTCAACAGAGACTTGCAGCAGATGGGGAAGGCGGTCCGGCTCGCCTTTCCTGGAGCAATGCAGGAAATGACAGAAGGCTACTTTGTCAGTGATGTGCTTTTTGGCTCCAGCATGTGATTATGTTGGATGGCACTGCCTGAAAAATCAGTCTGAACAAACTTTGATTCTCTCTTCTCAGGATATATTCCAACTGCATGTGTTCTTCCCACACGCTCTGAGTTCCTCTAAAAGAAATGGCTCTGTTTGCATAGTTGGAAGAATTAAAGCTGCACACTGAAGTTCTGCTTATCTAGTGGGCAGCTCTTTGGAACTTTCAGGAAGCTCCTATATACCTCTCTGCAAACATGGCCTTATTGTGATGCTAGAGGTCATTACGTGGAAGACACTCTACTGAAATGAAGTCAACGCACAACCAACGTTATTATCCTTTTTTTTTTTTTTTTTTTTTTTGAGATGGAGTCTCCCTCTATAACCCAGGCTGGAGTACAGTGGTGCAATCTTGGCTCACCGCAACCTCTGCCTCCCAGATTCAAGCGATTCTCCTGCCTCAGCCTCCCAAGTAGCTGGGAATACACGCATGTGCCACCACACCCAGCTAATTTTTTGTATTTTTAGTAGAGATGGGGTTTCACCATATTAGCCAGGATGGTCTTGATCTCTTGACCTCATGATCTGCCTGCCTCGGCCTCCCAAAGTGCTGGGATTACAGGCATGAGCCACCGCGCCTCGCCTAACTTTATTATCTTAAAAGCCCAGCTTTATTTTATCTTTAAAGCCCAACTGAAATCCATTTCATTTATGTGGTCTTTTTCTGTCACTCCCAACAAGCATTCTCCCTGCTCCGGGCTTTGCACTTGCTCTTCTTTTGCCTGGAAACACTTCCTCTAGCTACGCCATTGGCTCACTCTCACCCTACCATCAGTGACTTGCATATTACCCTCTCAATGAGACCATTCCTGATTATTCTGCTTAAAACTGCAACCCTCTCCTTCCATACTTCCTATCCTCTATTCCTGCTTTAATTTTCTCTTTGGCATTTATCAGTAACACCAATACTCTACATATTTTGCTTATATATATTCCTTTCTGCCTCCCTCTATTCCCCACTGCAGTAGGGTCAGGATTTCGTCTGCTGTGTTTGCCACCAAATCCACATTGCCAAAAACCATGCTTTATACAGGGTAGACCCTCAGTAGGTGCTTGTTAAAGTTCTACTTCCAGAGGTGAATATTGGCATCATCCACACTGTAAAAGCAAGAAGGCTGAGAGGCACAGTGATGTCATTAACACATCCATGGTTGGACCATTCCCAACTAGTGGCAGAGGCAGGCGAACTCCAGAGAATGATTATTTAGACCAAGTCTGCACAAGTGCAACAGAAGCATACAAAGGGAAAGATCTAATAATCTGATCTATATGGTTCCCAAAGGTCCCAAGACCTACAAAAAAAAGGGGGCTGCCTGCGTTGCTTGTGGGCCATTTGTAGAACCTTAAAAAAAAGATATTATGATAGCATAATAACAATAATAGCGGCAGTGGCTGACATTAATTTTTTTCTTAATTATATGCTAGGTATTACGTTCTGAACACCTCATATCAATCATGTCATTTAATTTTTTTTCCAATCTAACTGGCTGGCACTATTGTATTCCCATTGTACATATAAGAATGTTGCGGCCGGATGCGGTGGCTCACGCCTGTAATCCCAGCACTTTGAGAGGCCGAGGTGGGCTGATCACGAGGTCAGGAGATCGAGACCATCCTGGCTAACATGGTGAAACCCTGTCTCTACTAAAGAAATACAAAAAATTAGCCGGGCGTGGTGGCGAGTACCTGTAGTCCCAGCTACACGGGAGGCTGAGGCAGGAGAATGGCATGAACCTGGGAGGCAGAGCTTGCAGTGAGCCAAGATCGCGCCACTGCACTCCAGCCTGGGCAACAGAGCGAGACTCCGTCTCAAAAAAAAAAAAAAGAATGTTGCAACATAAAGAGGTTAATTTGTTCATACAGACGGTGAATAACTGAGACAGTAATTCAAACACAGAAAATTGAACAACTCTTTACTAAACCACCAAATGAATATAGAGAAAAAGGTCAGAGAGGCCATCATTTCTGAGTTAGGCCTCGTTAGTCCTAACATGGGTCTCGAAGGATGAGCACGGGTTTATGAGGCAAAGAAAACAAAGATGAGCTTCCAGGCAAAAGAAACTACACGTGTGCAATCATAAGACAACAGAGTTTGGTATGATGAAAACGTAGGGAAGAGTGATGGGAGGAAGTTGGCAACAGGAAACTGATGAGCATGAGGCTGGAGCAGACGGACCAGAGCTAGATCCTAAAGGGGCTGGTACGCTGCACTCAGGAGTTTAGGGTGAATCATAAGATCTGAAGAGTGCAAATTAAAAGGCTTAAGCAGGCAAATGGAACAGTCATATTTATGCTCTAGAAAGATGATTCCACAGGCCAGTGGTCCTCAGTCTGGGGAAGATTTTGCCCACCCCCCTTCCCCAGAGATACTTGGCAATGTCTGAAGATATTTTTGGCTGTCAGAATTGAGAAGATGTACTGGCATCTGGTTGGTCAAGGCCAAGGATGCTGCCAAAGGTCCTACAACGCACAGGACAGCCTCTCACAACCAAAATGTCAACAGTGCTGATGTTATATATAGTAAAAGTGGACAATGAACAAGGCAGCTGCCTCATACAACTATAAGAAGCACCACTCAAATGGAATCTCTCAGAATGGCACCTCCTGGATTTGAGCCTTGTCCAGCTGGCTTGGCCACACATGTTGACCTTTAACCATGAGAAGGATGGGAATGGGACCTGAGGGCAGGAGAGGAGGTCCTGAGAGCGAGGCAGACAAAACAGCAAAAAGCAATTAGGACTTTCACCTAGGTAAGAATAAAGAGGAATAAAAAAGCAGGGAGATATTTAAGAAATAGTTAATTACTATGCAGTTCTTGGTTTCTAGCTTTCTGAGTATCAAATACACAAAGTACTGTGATTCCAACAAAAGAAAGAAATACTCAACACTCTCCTAAATTACAGATAAATCTTTATGCCATCCAATTAAGAATTTCCAAAAATGGACTGCCAAATTAATTTTTCTGTTTAAAGCCATACTCCAGATGTCTTATTCATCATAAATGATAGTATTCATTGAAATAAATGTTTAACAGCCAACAATTAACAAAGTGGTCATACTTTAAATGTTTAATTTGCTACCGATATAGTTTTGCATTAACAACTTGGAAAACCATTGCAAATTACACAATTCAATTTTCCAAATGGATTATTTTGTAACTAGACGGGAAACTGTTGAAATTTCTTCTGCTGTTTCAAAAAGATTACTACAATGGGATTTTTAAAGGCACATTCCCTTCAGGAACTGGCATATTCCTGTCAGAATTATGCAATTAATCTGCATTTTGTGGGGATATCAACTATGTTTCTGACATGCTGCAAAGTCAAAAGCCATTTAAAAAAAAAAGGATCAGATTTCCAATTTTTCCCTTTCTTTTGCTGATGGTAATTTACAGATGATGATTTATTTATGTTTACCAAGTAAAAACAAGACTGCTACATAAAAGGTAATTTTCCGCCTTGCTTTGTAGGTTGTATCCTAATTATTTTTTCCCTTGTGGGACTGAATGAATTAAGTGAGCAATTCACTTTGTATATGCAAATTGCAAAGCTCTGCAGAAGCTTCAAATTGTTTCATTCTTAAAAAACAATTTAATTATCCTACCATTATCCTACCGAAAATAAAGAGGCACAAGCCCCTTTAACTTTTGTACGTTGTCTTCAAAAATAAAACTAACATGAAAACCATCCATTTCTGAGTCCACAATGTTTCTGAAGTGTTAGTAAATAACCCAATTAAATTATAACAATTATTTTTATACGATTATGTTTAAATGGCAGAGTACTCTAAAATACTCTAATAAGCATTTCTATTAGAAATTTCCAAAAGATGTTGTATAATGTGTTACAAAACTTTTAACCTTTTCATATTATCTTTTCTAAAAAAATACCAATGGCTTAAATATACAGTGCCAGTGAGCAGGGAGAAGCGAGCAAAGAGAAACATGCTCAGTTTTCATCAAAAATTTTATCCACAAGACATTTCATCCAAGCTCCTCCCAGGACCCTTGAACATAGCAGTTTAAGCAAACACTTTTATTAAAATTTTCTTAAGAAAGAACCAGTCTAGACAGTTATATTCCAGTCCCCATATACATGGTTTCATTCCTTCCAAAAATATCTACATGCCCTAGGTCACTTAAAATAGGGACTAGCGCCTGTCTGAGTTATAAATGTGGACGTCTCCTTGAAGAGTGGCTCTTTATTTGTCCATGTGAAATAACTAAAATAATCCATTTGTGCACCGTGCATTCTTTTAAAAATGCTTAAGTTGAGAAGTTTGCATCTGAAATTTACAGAGAGAATGGAATCTGACATGAGGGGGACTTTCATAAGCTGTCAGTGGGTGTATGATTTTATATAACCTTCTTAGAGACATCCTGGCAGTAACCAGAAAAAAACTTAAAGGTGCAGGCTATTACCTGATACCTCACTTCTAAGACTGTTTCGTCCACAAACATTAGTCTGAGCACATAAAAATAGATGCACACATTCTTTACTGTAATAGAATTGGTATTAGCAAAAACTGGAAACATTTTTGTCCACCAATTTGGGTATGCTTAAACAGATTATGGTGTATTGATATTAAACAGTACGCTAGAGCTGTTAAATTAAGGAGGTAGAGCCATTAATTACTGACTTAGAATTATAGTCAAAACATGAGGAAAAGGGGACTAGGGCAATTCGTGTGATCATATAATTTATCTCATTAACCACAATATTTTGAATATGAAAGGAACTGCCACTATAATTTACGCAAGAACCACAGGCTCACCAAATGTGTCCTACGGAAGCCTGAATTTATGAACTGCTTAAATATAATATGTATAATATGTAATGAATTACTCCATTTTACCTCTAAAACTAATTTATATGTGTGTGAGAATATGTTTCTGTGTGTGCAGACAGAGTAAAGAGTTTGAAAAATGCACATTAAAC
The DNA here is from genome assembly GCF_000001405.40 of Homo sapiens. Classification (NCBI taxonomy): domain Eukaryota; kingdom Metazoa; phylum Chordata; class Mammalia; order Primates; family Hominidae; genus Homo; species Homo sapiens. The sequence goes on along the minus strand of NC_000020.11, from coordinate 54,569,052 downwards.
TATTAGCATTTTTTTCTGACGGCAGGGACTAGGGTCCAACATCAGAATTTTTTTTTTTTTTTTTTTTTTGCGTTTTAGTCCATACATTTCAGAAACGTTTATTTATTTATTTATTTATTTTGAGATAGAGTCTTGCTCTGTCGCCCAGGCTGGAGTGCAGTGGCGTGAACTCGGCTCACTGTAAGCTCCGCCTCCCGGGTTCACGGGCCATTCTCCTGCCTCAGCCTCCCGAGTAGCTGGGACTACAGGCGCCCGCCACCACACCCGGCTAATTTTTTGTATTTTTAGCAGAGACGGGGTTTCATCATGTTAGCCAGGATGGTCTCGATCTCCTTACCTCGTGATCCACCAGCCTCAGCCTCCAAAAGTGCTGGGATTACAGGCGTGAGCCACTGCGCCCAGCCAGAAACATTTATATTTGTTACAAAAAACATGCTTTTTTTAATAACTTAAAAAATAAGAAGTGTAAAGAGAAAAAATAAATCTGCAAAAAAATGTAAACCGATTAGTAGATTTCCATCTTTTGTCAATAGAATTTTTTGGGCATTGACTGCCTTGGCTAATAATAGCCTGTGATTTCTCCCAAACGGAAAAACTATCTGACAAACTTTTCACCAACTTGAGAAAACCCACCCTTTCCTTTTGGCATCATGTACAAAGAGATTATATGTGTACTTGGATTATGTTTAAGTGTTTATGCACATATGCATACAAATGTGAAACTGGATAGATTGTATCTTAGAGGTATACGCTATTAAGAAATTCATGTAAGAAACACATGAATGGAGGAAAAACATCTACAATCAATTCACTTCATAAGTAAAGTTTGGTTTTGTCTTGTTTTTCTTATGTCATTATGTGTATTGTGTGTTTCTTCAGAATATAACTAAGCTAACAAAAAACAAATAGTCCAATGACAGACTAAACAAATTAAACTTTTATAAACTGTTAAAAACCTGATGCTCTTCCCAAAATGCAAAGACAATTAATCATTTCTAAGATTAGTTAAATAATTGTGGGGTAGGAGAGAAAACTAGATGATTGTTTTGTCATATCATAGGCCAAAAATGACTGGCTTATACAAATTAGATACTCAATTTTAAAAACCTTAAAATTTAATACAAATTAAATGAAATAATCAGGTATAAATGTAATAAAACACATAGGATTTGAAGGCTGAACATTAGAAAATGCTGATGAAATAAATTTTAAAAAGCCTCTAACAAATGGAGAATCATACCATGTTCATGAATGGACTTAACATAGAAAAGATATCGGTTCTCCCACAATTTGCTCTATAGGCTTAACATAACTCTCAAAATCCCAACAAGGATTTTCTGTAGATATAGACAGGCTTATTTTTAAGTTTTATGGAAAGGCACAGCCACTAGATTAGCTAAAATAACTTTGAAAAAGAGAATAAAGTGAAATGAATCACTCTACCCAATATTAAAGATTACTATATAGCTACAGTAATCAAGAGAGTATGATATTGGCAGAGAAACAGATATACAGATCAATGGAAAAGAATAGAGAATCTAGGAACAGACTCACATAAATATGCCCAAATAATTTTTGACAAAGGTAAAAAAATCAATTCAATAAGGAAAGAATAATTTTTTTCAACAAATGATAGTGGAATAATTGGACAATCACAGGGAAAAGAATTAAATTCAATCCACATTTCACTCCTAATACAAAAATTAAACTCAAAATGAATCATATTTAAATGTAAAACTTAAAACTATACCTTTTTTCTTAAGAAAAAAACAAGAAAATCTTTAGGATTGAACTTCAGGCAAGGAGTTCTTAGACTTTACACCAAAAGCATGAACAATAAAGGTAAAAATTCAGAAATTGGGTCTCATCAAAATTAATACTTTTCTTCTGGAAAAGATCCTGTTAAGAGGGTGAAAGAAAAATCTATGCACTGGGAGAACATATTTTCCAGCACAATCTGACACATATATATACACACATACACGCACACACACAAACGCACACACTCCCAATACTCAATAGTAAAAAAAAAATAGAAAATAGGTCAAATACATAAAGAGACATTTCATAGAAGATATACAGAAGCATGTTCAACATCATTAGCCACCAGGGAATGCAAATTAAAACCACAGTGAAATGTCACTATTAGAATGACTAAAATAAATCCCAGTGCTTCGGGAGGCTGAGGAGGGAGGATCCCTTGAGGCCAGGAGTTCAAGTCCAGCCTGGGCAACACAGTGAGACCTCATCTCTACAAAGCATTAAAAAATTAGCCAAGCATGGTGGTGCATGCCTGTAGTCCTAGCTACTTGGTAGGCTGAAGTGAGAGGATCTCTTGAGGCCAGGCCTTCAAGGCCGCAGTGAACCCTAATCATACCACTGCACTCCAGCCTGGGTGACAGAGCAAGATCCTGTCTCAAAAAGAAAAGAATGACTAAAATAAAAATAGTGACACCACCAAATGCCAAATGCTGGTGAGAATGCAGAGAAACTGGATTACTCATATACTGCTCATGGGACTGTAAAATGGTAGAGTCCCTCTGGAACACAGTTGGACAGCTTTTTACAAAACTAAACGTGCAACTACCATATGACCCAGCAATTACTTTCTTCAGAATTTATCCCAGAAATGGAGAGGAGGGGGGACAACTTATGTTCATTCAACATGAACTTGAATATTCATACCAATTTTATTTGTAATGATGAGAAACTAAAAACGACCCAGATGTTCGTCAGTGGATGAATGTATGCAAACTCTGGGAATGTATACTATGGATTACTACTTAGCAGTAAAAGGGAATGGACTATTGCTATGCACAGCAACTTGGATAAGTCCCAAGGGAGTTATGTTGCGTGAAGAAGGCCAATCCCAAACGATTAAACATTCTTGAAAAGAAAAAAAAAACTGTAGAAATGGGAAACAAATTAGTGCCTGCTGGGGTGGTGGGGTGGGAGGACTGGAGGATGTGATTATGAAAGGGCAACACAAAAAGTCCTCTTGCTGATGGAAATGTTCAGGGTTTTTTTTTTTTTTTTGAGACGGAATCTCGCTCTGTCACCAGGCTGGAGTGCAGTGACGTGATCTCCACTCACTGCAGCCTCTGCCTCCCGGGTTCAAGTGATTCTCCTGCCTCAGCCTTCTGAGTAGCTGGGACTACAGGCACACACCACCACGCCCGGCTAATTTTTTTGTATTTTTTAGTAGAGACATGGTTTCACCCTGTTGGCCAGGATGATCTCCTGACCTCGTGATCCGCCTGCCTCGGCCTCCCAAAGTGCCGGGATTACAGGCCTGAGCCACTGCGCCCGACCATGTTCAGTATCTTAATGTGGTGATGGATACAAGAACCTACAGGTGACAACATGCACACAATAAGTTTCTTGGAGCTTAAGGTATACTAGCAGTAAACAAATATACATGTAGATTATGTTTTCTTAAGAGACAATGTTAGAGAGACTATGTTGAGACTATGCTGCTCAGGCTGCTCTCAAACTCCTGGGCTCAAGTGATCCTCCCACCTCAGCCTCCCAAAATACTGAGATCACAGGCGTGAGCCACTGCACCTGGCCAACATAATTTCAACAGTGAGAAAGGCTATCTACTTAATATATGGTAGTTTTTCTTGTCCATAGTTTCTGTTTCAGAGGCTTCAGGTTACCCACAGTCAGCTGTGGTCTGAAAATAGGTGAGTATAGTACAATAGATATTTTGAGAGAGAGAGGCCACATTCATATAACTTTTATTACAGTATATTGTTATAATTGTTCTATTTTATTATTAGTTATTGTCAATCTCTTATTGTGCCTAATTTATGAATTAAACTTTATCATAGGTATGTATGGATAGGAAAAAACATAGAATATATAGGGTTGAGAGGTATACACAGTTGCAGCCATCCACTGGGGGTCTTGGAATGTATCCCCCACACATAAAGTGAGAGTACAGTACTAAAGAAATGTGATTCTGAGAAGCATGGAGTATTCAAATAAGGCCCTTTTCAGGCAGTGAAATTGAGCTAATCCCTGAAGGAAGAGAAAAAAAATGGGGGAGAGCTCAATAGAACAAAGGAACAGAAACTGCAAAGGCTTTGAGACAGGACAAATGAAGGGAGGTCATTGTAGCAAAGTGACAAGTGGCATGGCAAGTCGGAGAAATGTGCTGGAGCAGAATCATACAGGGCTTAGGAGACCAGGGTATTGGCAATGAGCTTTGATATAATTCTAAGGGTGACGGGAATCCTCAAAAAGAAGAAAAGAAATATTGCAGAGGCACAGCTTTGAAACTACCTTGTACTTGCAACTCACAGGTGATATCTGATCCAACGTTTGTGACTCCTGCCCCCGTAGATGTTACAACATGGGATTGACATCACCTTTGACCTTGTTTCAACCATGGTCATACTACATGGTATATGTATTTTTTTTCTCTCTCTCTGATTTTGTTCTTTGTGTTTTCTTTGAAACCTGTCATTCTGGCATATAAAACATTCAGCTTTCCAATCACAATTAGGGTACTCTTACAGAGGAGGCATAGACACAAATTTGTCCTTGATGGTTTCAATGGTGTTGACCAAAATAATATTTTGGGAAGCATATGTGTATCTCTAATAAAAATCTTTTTTTTGACGGAGTCTTGCTTTGTCGCCGAGGCTGGAATGCAGTGGTGCAATCTTGGCTCACTGCAAGCTCCGCGTCCCAGGTTCATGCCATTCTCCTGCCTCAGCCTCCCGAGTAGCTGGGACCACAGGCACCCACCACCATGCCCAGCTAATTTTGTTTTTTGTATTTTTTTTAGTAGAGACGGGGTTTCACCGTGTTAGCCAGGATTGTCTTGATCTCCTGACCTCATGATCCGCTCACCTCAGCCTCCCAAAGTGCTGGGATTACAGGCGTGAGCCACCGTGCCCAGCCATAGAAGTCTTATTATAGCTGAAGTATTTGTAATGTTTTCATCACAATGAATGTATCTATATAAACTATAAATAACTGAAAGAAAATAGGAGTCTAGGTCCAACGCAATAAAGTATGATGATAGTTTTATTTGTAATTTACACATATTAAAATAGTAGACCTACTAAGTATAGTGCCACATGTTGCCTCCTGGGAATACCATTGCTTTCTCTTTCTAGCATTAGTTCAAGGGGTAAATAAGAGATTTAAAAAAAATTTTAAAGGCAGCTTTCAGGCCAATCACCCGGAGAGATATTCAATTTATACTTTCTTATATTTTAAAATTACAGTTAAATATTGAAAGTGTTCAACTAAAAGATCTTTGCTTCCAGTTTCTCTCGAAACAATGGAACGTGTGACAAGAGCGAGCCCACATTGCTGTAAGACAAGAATCTGGTATTGAATAACATGAAAGTAAAAAAAAAAAAAAAAAAAAAACCTGACAAATAGAGAAGAGAAAAGCAAAGGGGACAGGCAATAAGATCGTTAACAACTGAGACTGATATAAGAATCAGTCTCAGTATCAGAACATTTATGGGGAAGGGCACAGAGGTTTAACCATGTTATTGAATGTTCCACATACAGTAGAATATTTATTGAAAGTAATGTAATTGTCACAATTTGTAAGGAAGAAGAAAGAGTTGATGAGATTACATAAATGAGCCAAACCATTAACTTTCTAAAGGGGAGGAATCTGTTGGTAATGTTGGAAGTTAATAAAACAAGAAACAAAGTTATAAACACATCATTGAGAGTTACAGAGGCAACCACCAGGAAAATGAACACCAGGGAATGACAATGGTGATTAAGCCTCGGGAGGTGAATTCGTTTCCTAGAGTAGGGTTGCAGTAACAAAGTACTAGGTGTCTTGCACAACAGAAATGTATGCTGTCACAGTTCTGGAGGCCAGAGCCCAAAATCAAGGTGCTGGCAGGGTTGGTTCCTACTGGAGGCTGTGAGGGAGAGTCTGTTCCATGCATCTATCCTACGGTCTGGTGGCTGCCGCAGTCCTTGACACCTTTGGCTTTTAATTGTATCACTCCAGTGTCTGCCTGTCTTCACATGGCTTTCTCCCTGTGGGTCTGTGTCTCTTCTTATAAGGGTACCAGCTATGGGACTGGGGTCCACTCTAATCCGATAATCCCACAGCAACTTGAATACATTACAAAGATCCTAGTTCCAAATAAAGTCACATCCACAGGTACCAGCAGTTACACCTTAGGCATATATTTTTGGGAGGTCACAATTCAACCCACAACAGAAGGGTGGGAATAAAGTAGGCACTGCTACTTTTCATGATAAGCGCTTCAATACCATTTGATTTTTTTTTTAACCTTCTGTATGTTTTAGATTGATTTTTTTAATGTAAATATGCGTACAAATGAGGCCTGGCACAGTGGCTCGTGCCTGTAATCCCAGCACTTTGGGAGGCCAAGGAGGGAGAATCACTTGAGCCCACGAGTTCGAGACCAGCATGGACAATGTAGCAAGACCCTGTCTCTACAAATAATAAAAAATCAGCTGGGCATGGTGGCGCACGCCTGTAGTTCCAGCAACTCAGGAGGCTGAGGTGGGAGGACTGCTTAAGCCCAGGAGGCAGAGGTTGCAATGAGCCAAGATAGCACCACTGCACTCTAGCCTGGATGGCAAAGCAAGACACTGTCTCAAATAATAATAATAATAAATAAAATTTAAAATATGATGTCATTATCTCTGTTATTAGAAGGTCTTCTCCATAAGACAAAACCATGCATGTGCTCAGATGACAGAGAATTTGGCATGTGAGTCACATGGCCCTTTTAATTCTCAATACACCAGGGTTCCCTAACATTTCTACTATGCAATACTAGTATAAGTAGGCCAAGAATCATTTCCTGGGAACCGTAAGGGCCTGTAGAATCCAAAGTACCTACTTTGCATGAGACACTATGTTGGAAAGATAGATACAAAGATGAATAAAGCATGGTTTCTATCTTCAAGAAATTCAAATCCAACGGACAGTGACCATGTCAGGATACTCCTGGCTGTGAATAACAGAATTCCCTACCCAGAGTGCATTGGATGATGAGGAAATTTTACTACATCTCTAATAGCTAGGACTCTGGTGCACACAAGAGAAAATCCAGCATTATAAAGGCTTAAACGTGGCCAGGCGCAGTGGCTCGCGCCTGTAATCCCAGCACTTTGGAAGGCCGAGGTGGGCGGATCACCTGAGGTCGGGAGTTCGAGACCAGACTGACCCACAAGGAGAAACCCCCATCTCTACTAAAAATACAAAATTAGCCGGACTTGGTGGCGCATGCCTATAATCCCAGCTACTTGGGAAGGCTGAGGCAGGAGAATCGCTTGAACCTGGGAGGTGGAGGTTGCGGTGAGCCGAGATCGCACCATTGCACTCCAGCCTGGGCAACAAGAGCAAAACTCTGTCTTAAAAATAAATAAATAAAGGCTTAAACAAGAAAGAAGTTTATTCCTCTCATATAAAACAAATCCAGAGGTAAGTAGTCTTGGGTTGCCCTGGGGTTCTACAGTGTGAGGGAGAACAGACCAGCCCTGAGCACCCAGTTCCAGGCTTCACCTGTTGCTGGGCTACCCTCAATCCATGAGCTTTCCAGTATCATGGGCCAAGATGGCTGACGCCCATTTTCGAATCAGTAGGAAAGAACAAGAGACGAAGAAGGGTATGTGTCTTCTGTGCTTATTCCCCTGAGGCCAGGAATCAGTTGCAGGAACATATCTCTCTGCACAGGGGTCTTTACTATGGGTTGCCTTGTCTCCAACTAGAAATCAGACATCCATTACCAAAGAAGAAGGGATCAGCCCCAAATGGACAGAACCTGCCACCACCATGAAAATAAAGCCCTGCTTTCATTGTGACCAGTGCATCCAGGCAGAGGGGGCCCAGCAGATGAACCACCTCAGGGAAAGTCGAGAAGACTCTTGGGGAGGTGAAGACAGAGCAGAGACTTTGAGGGATTGATAAATGTTTGCCACATGGACCACGAAAGAAAAGGGGTCTATACAGCGGGAGTGCTGCATGCAAACCTGGTGATGGATTGATTTGAGAGGGAATATGGAAGAGAGTAAGTCAAAGACAACTCCCTGGCTTCTGCCTTGAATAACAGAATGGATCCTGATGCTGTACAATGAGCCACAGAAGCCCATAAAGAAACCAAGCTCAGGCCGGGCATGGTGGCTCACACCTGTAATCCCAGCACTTTGGGAGGCCAAGGTGGGTGGATCACTTGAGGTCAGGAGTTCGAGACCAGCCTGGCCAACCTGGTGAAACCCCGTCTCTACTAAAAATACAAAAAATTAGCTGGGCATGGTGGTGGATGCCTGTGATCCCAGCTACTTGGGAGGCTGAAGCAGAAGAATCACTTGGACCCAGGAGACAGAGGTTGCAGTGAGCCGAGATCGTGCCATTGCGCTCCAGCCTGGGCAACAAGAGCAAAACTCCATCTGAAAAAAGGAAAGAAAGAAACCAAGCTTGGGTAGGAAAGAGTTCAGTCAGTTTTGAACGTGTTTCAGGAGTCTTTGGCACTCTGGTACTGACTCATACTTCCTTGACTAGAAAAAAGTACTTAAATTGGAAAAATAGGGTGTTTTGTACTACAGTCAACCTCTTTTATCTAATTTACCTAAGCCTTAGAAATGTGGATATGGAATTATTTATCACCTGGGAAAAACATCAGAGTAATAATCCATCATTTAATTTATGGAGATGTGAAGAGTCATGTCCTCTTTGGCATAAGCTTAGGAAACTTCTAGAATATGGCATGGTGGGTAGTTTCTTACATGAGGAGGGGATGACTCCAAAGTAAATATCTGAGTATTGAAAGAGGGGGCTGTGACATTTTATGATTTTGAAAAGACATATTATAGACAGCTGTATCGGAAGAGGAAATGTTTTAGATGAGGAAGAAACTGTGTAAAAAAAGAATGAATCATTAGTACAGAAAAGGTTATCACACACACACACAGATAAGTTGGATGAAATTCCAGAGAAATAAATTTTAGGACATTAGCTCATTGTGCGGAAGCTAGAATCCTATTTTTGCAGAAACGAAGAACAAGGTCTGACATTGAGCTTAGGAGATACAAATGACCTAGTCACTATAAAGGGTAGAATGACAGAACAAATAAGACCAAAGGTGTTTGGGAGAATAAAAATAATAATGGCAATTAATCTCTACAGTTAGAGAGTTGTTCCCTTTTCAAATACATTCACGTTCATTTAATACACACATTAACCCTGATTTAGATAAAGTAGAAACGATCATCCCTAGTTGTTTACTGTTGAAACAACAATAAGTTAACACATGAAAGCAGCAAATCCCAGACTGTGTTCCCTAGAATTAAATTTATTTGTTCCATGGAACACACGATTAAAACAAATAGTTCCATGGCCCAGCTGTTTTGGAAATGCTGACTCAAAGTCCCTCCAATTTCTTAACTGTAGGACTTTTCAGAGCCCATGAGGGGCTGCAGTGGGTTATGAATCTCAAAGATGGGGCCATAAACGTTGCAGTTGCCAATTTCTTTGACCACACAACATTTAATCATGAAAGGCTCTTTTGACACACTCTTTCGTTCACATTTTGGGAAACATTAAACACAGGATTTGCTGGACTTGTCCTTCTGGTCCAAGGTGAACCGAATCCCTGCAGACTCAGCCACATGTGATGATGAGGAAGCAAATGTGTGACTTGCCTTGGAGGCCACCTTTACACAGAAAGAGGATGACTTGTCAGACATATACGGTGGCAAAGCTGGGATTAGAACTCAGGCTACCTAAATCCAGGACCGGCATACTTCTCACCATACCATTTGCCTTGGTCTCAAAAGCGGTCAATGGTCTTCCTTCCACTCTATTTCCTCTCAAGTGTTACTCATCTTGAAAAAGTAAAACTATGCACAGAAACTTTCATCCCCTTCTAATTAGTATAAGCAACATTATTTCCTGAAGGAAAACATGGAACTAGTGTTTAACAAGGTCAGAAACTATATTTAAAGTCACTGGAGTCTTACTATTGTGGGAATTACAGTTAATCAAATTTGCAGCCATCTCTGACAGCTATGGGTGCTTGAGGGGTGCTTCGTGGAGGAAGTAAGAAATAAAAAATAAATTGTTCTATATGTGCATTATTCATATGTTTATTTTCCAATTTTTGCAGGAGTGTACTTCGAGCTACATTTTCAGTGAGGGGGTACCAAATTTTAAAATTCTACAATCTTTTTCTTGTGTTGAAACTTCTAAAAAGAGTCAGATATGCAAAACTGGCATTTTTTTCTTAATAATATCTTTAAAAATAAAATGGGAGAAGTACTGTGCTCTTATAAAGGCTAAGATTTCCTATGGGAGGGATATGTCTGCATCCACCACACCACCTCCGTATTGATCAAATAGCATGATGTACATTTCCTCATTTCTTTTGGAAACGGCTTTATTTATGTTAGAATAAACTCTAAAATTTGGTCACGGTGTGCTACTTATAACCCCAGTATTTTATTATCAAGATTCATAAATTACACAGCATTTAGATGAAAAATGCATATCTCAGAATTACTCCAGCTTTTTATGTGCCCCGAGAGATTAATACTAAATGTATCAGATCTAAAAGAGTAGAGGATGAATCAGCTACAGGAATTCATCAAGGGCTTGGAGGCTAAATGTAGATAATTCTTCCATTCTAATGCTTTGAACTTTGGTTAATGATTATTATAGGTGAAAGAGAATGTGGCTTACCAATTTCCCCAAAGATTTACATATTAAATTCCAAAGCCAGCAGGTAGAAGTCTGAAATAGAGCAAGTTTGTCCTCAACTTCCCTTTATTCATTTCACATTCAAGCAAGAGCTTTTTCATCCACTTTGGTTTTATATTTTTCTGTCCTCCTAAAACATCCAAATCCTGGCTTTTTCTGCTTCCATCACTGCCCACCCTATTTTCTCCAAATCAAAGTTTCTTTTTCTGGTTTCAGATGCCTCAAGTACAGATTTCTTCTGGTAAACTAAATAAAAGTATGACACATAGACATCTGTATGTATTCCATTTCCTCTACTGATAACATTTCTTGCTTTTCAGCCAATACTTTTAAAAGTGTTCACTATGTGTTAGATTCTGGTAACTAATAGTGAATCATGTCTCCCATCCCCAAAAAATCCCTGTCTTTGTAGACCGTATTTTATGCGGGGAAGAGGGGAAGACAATAGGAAACAACCAAGCAAGTGTGTTATGTTCTGGTGCCTCCTGAGAAGAGCAATAAGAGGGATGTGGAAGGCAGTGAGTAGGTGGGTTCTATTTCCAACAAGGGAGTCAAGAAATGGCCTCTCTTAGAGGAGCAATTTGAGCAACGCACTGAACAAAGTAAGGGAGCGAGCTCTGTGGGTACCTGGGGGAGAGCATTCCAGGAAAAGGGAAGAGCAGGTATAAAGGGCAGGAGGTGCTTGGCATCTTCCAAGGAAAGAGAGGAGCCCAGGGCACCTGGAGAAGAGGAAGGTGGGATTAAGGAAACTCAGAGATGAGGTTAAAAGGGCAGCAAGAAATCAAATCGCGTGATCGCATTGACCAGGGACCCTCATCCCTGGGCAGCAGATGGGTACTGGACCAGTACTGGTCTATAGCCTATTAGGAACCCGGCTACACCGCAGAAGGTGAGCAAGCATTCCTGCCTGAGCTCCACCTCCTGATTCTCATAGAAGTGTAAAATCTATTGTGAACTGTGCATGCTAGGGATCTAGGTTGCCTGCTCCTTATGAGAATCTAATGCCTAATCATTTGAAGTGGAACAGTTTCATCCCGAAACCAATCCTGCCCCCAACCCCGTCTGTGGAAAAATTGTCTTCCCTGATACCTGTCCCGGTGCCAAAAAGGTTGGGGACCACTGGCATAGACCATTATCAGACCTTGGCTGAGGGTGTTGCAGCAAAGAATATCGTGATGTGATATAAGTGTTTCGAACAGACTCTAGAAGCCCAAGAATTTGGCAGCCCACTGCCTAGGACCCCAGTAGTAGCAGTAGAGACTGTGAGCTGTGTTCAGAGTCTCCATACATTTTGAGCATACAGCCAACACCATTTGCCGATGGATGGGATTTGAGGAGTTCCTATAATGTATTCCTCATTTATCTTCTTTCTTCTCTTAGGTATGTATAGGTCTATCTGTAACATAGCCTATTTCTTATTTTTTCTACATTCAGAAAGGTTGGCATATGGAATTGTGAAGAATTAGATGTTTGGATTGTGAAGAACCAGACATATTTGGAACTCTACCAAGACAAAAAAGGACCAAAAGGCCACACACAATGACCAGACAGTACAGAGCCTCAGGGTGAATTGCAAAGTTACAGACCGGCTAAGGTTCTCAAGAGAAGACCTGATGTGTAACTATACTTTCTGGCCACCTAAAGCTCTGTCTGTGTCTAGATGATAAGCCAAACATCTTCCTGGGTATTTTGATTCTCTTTTAAGAAAAGGCTGTTCTAGCAAAAATAAAGCAAGTCATCCTTATAGCATTGCTCGCCATCTTGTTATAAGGGAAAATACTGGATACATGAGGGATAACTGGGCCATAATACATCTGGTTCAAAATGACTGGATACAAATAGTTTAGAGTGTTATAAAAGTGGAGAGTTTGGCTCAAGATTATTTGCAGAGTTCAGAGTTATGCTATCACTGGCTTCATGGATCACTGTGCCTAAATAATACATTTTCAATTCAACAACTCCTCCCTGAGAACAAAAAATATATATATTTGAACAGTGTCATTTCATATTTGGCATATGACAGATAAATGATAGAGGAAATCTGGACTCAAAAAGGTATAAGTGGGTTCTCCATTGGAGAGAAGAAAGGCTGGGAGTGGGAGAAGCCTTGGAATGTGGAACTGCTTCATGGGGTGACAGGGAAATGAAATGCATGGAAGACGCCACCCTTGACTCCCTTCTCTACCTGTCTCAAAAGCTTGTTTTGTGCTTATTCTTCCCTTATGTACATACAGGTGTGCCTATAAAGTATAACGTAGTCCTTATTTCTCTAATTTGAGAAGAAATGCAGCTTCCCCATTGTTTTCATCATCATATAAACCAAAGTGTCATCATAGACCCTTTATAAGGTGTCGAAAAGTCACTACTTTTGGAGAATTTGCACAAAAGGAAAAGCTGTTCACTTCCCCCACCTAGCCAAGTTTCTGTTCTAATAGATCAACTGGTTTCGCATAAAATTTTAAATGGCAAAGAAGCCTGGCCCCAGTAAATTCTCACCAAATGAGGCTTAAAGAATCTTCAAGATGGAAAGCCAAAATTAAAATGTTCTATCATAAAAATAAGCATAGTTCCTTCATAGACAAAAGAGTAGTATTTTCTCCATATGAAAATAACCAGAGCCTCGGAGGAGTGTTAACCATGTGCTTTCACACGTTTTCATGAAAAAAGAAAATACATAGGCTGCGTGTTAACAAGGACCACGGAAATATACTGCCATGTAGAGGGAAATATTTAGCTAATTTGTGAATCCACGTGGTAAGTAAATCTTGTACTTACCTTAATGAGTTGTAACACACAATGACTATTTTTATTGAGAAAATCTCACTACTACTAAGAAAATTTAGTCATCAAACTTAAAGAAAACAATAAATCGGTAGAACTTCCTCTTCGTCCACTGTTACCTGTTTTCTGCTTCTTCCCCTCCCTTCTCTCCCCACATTCCCCAAGCATTGAATGAGTGTCTTTCTGCATCAGGCAGTGTCTGAGACACAATGAGATCCAGTCCTCATCCTCTCGGGGCTTCAGTGTAGGGAGTACAACAACATGATAAGTCCCATAGCAGAGACTGGAAAACAGCAAGAACAGCTACAGCAAATAGCAGGAAACCAGAAAAGTGACTTTACATTAGTCAATTACTTGAAACAATTAGCAAGCAGATGTTATTTTAGGGGTGTTTTGTCCTTGGAAAAGATATTGCTTGTACCTTTGTTAAATAATTCAGGCAAGTTTTCAGTCAGTAATTCCAGTTGCCTCCCTGTAAATAGATTACTGGAAAGCTACAGCAATTGAGTCTTACCTTATGATAACACCTGAAATATGCAGCACGTTCATCAGAAAATTTCTCCAGTCTTTTTGGACCTTTGCTTGAAGCTTTCTTGAATACTAACCAGCATCGCTGATAAATCTGGAAGGAAATACAAAGACTGAGCTCAGCATCTCCCCTGACTGACATTTGCATTTAAATGTTTTCTTTTTGATGTTTTCACCTGTGAAATATTTGCAAGCCAGAAATGTGATGTTGCTTTGTGAAAATAAAGTTTTAAAAATCAAAATTGTTTCCACAACGGGCATATTATGTGTCATTCAGACAATTACTGGAATCAAAAGAAAATAAGTATTTGAAGATAAATTTCTTCATGCTTTGATAGCAATATCACTAGGTATATTTCAGAAAAAAGTCCCAGAGATAAAAATCCCAAATGTACAAATAAAATAGGCATTCAAGGAACATGCTAGAATTTCAAGTGCAATTAAATCTGAAAACCATGGGCTTGGTCTATGCTGAAGATCTCATTGCCCATCCTAGAATCTGGCAGCTCATGGTTGTCGTGATATTCCTCATAATGGATGGTGAAGAGTTGGACCAGACACTAAACTAACTAGCTAATAATTGGCTGATTAACACCAACCAGATTCTTGCTTAGGATATTCAACCCAGAGACTTGAAGATTACTACCAGAGGTGCAGACCAAATTGAAAGGTCAATGCTGGTAGGTTTAAACAGAAGTTGTTGGCCATGTTGAATCACTTGCAGGAGAGTTAAGCTGTGGAACCTGCTACAGGGAACTAGATCATTTCTACTCTAGGTAAAAGAGACATTTTAGTTCTTCACAATCTTTCAATTCCTAATACTGAGATCTAGCCTTTCCTCTGGGTTTCTTGGAAATCATCTATATCCCCAGGAACCCATCACCATCAACATCACTGCAACTTTTAATTAAGCTAGCTTGAATGGGGGTCTGATTCTAGCAACCAAAACTATCCTGAAGAAAATAACTAGTAAAAGGTACACTAGCACATTAAAATATTAATAATGCCAGAGAGAGAAAATGCAAAGAGCTAATGAGCATATGAAAAACAATATTCTCCAAAAGCAAAATAAAATGAGACATTTTTAAACCTAAAAATTACTAAGTATAATTTTTTTTTTTTTTTTTTTTGAGACAGAGTCTTGCTCTGTCACCCAGGCTGGAGTGAGGTGGTGCGATCTCCGCTCACTGCAACCTCCGCCTCCTGGGTTCAAGCGATTCTCCTGCCTCAGACTCCTGAGTAGCTGGAATTACAGGCAAGCACAACTAGGCCCAGCTAATTTTTGTATTTTTTTAGTAGAGACCGGGTTTCACCATGTTGGTCAGGCTGGACTCAAACTCCTCACCTCATGATCCACCCGCCTCGGCCTCCCAAAGTGCTGGGCTTACAGACGTGAGCCACCGCGCCCAGCAAATGAGTATAATTTAATAATAATAGTTACTGATGGCAAATGTCTGAGTGGCACTATTATACTCGACTGGTCATCTTTAAAGGTCGCTTGACAATAAATAACCTAAAAAGAATAGAAATCAGGCCGGGCGCGGTGGCTCACGCCTGTAATCCCAGCACTTTGGGAGGCCGAGGCCGGCGGATCACAAGGTCAGGAGATCGAGACCATCCTGGCTAACATGGTGAAACCCCGTCTGTACTAAACATACAAAAAGTTAGCCGGGCATGGTGGCGGGCACCTGCCGTCCCAGCTACTTGGGAGGCTGAGGCAGGAGAATGGCGTGAACCCGGGAGGCGGAGCTTGCAGTGAGCCGAGATGGCGCCACTGCACTCCAGCCTGGGCGACAGAGCGAGACTCCGTCTCAAAAAGAAAAAGAATAGAAATCTATCCTTAGGAAAAAACCCAAAACAAAATGAATTCCATATTCAAGTGCAGACGGGTGGCTGCTCTTCAGTCATGATTATCCTCGATCCTTAAATTACCTCCAATTACCATATATATGTGGTTTTGTATATTTGACCTATAAATAAATTTTATGTACTACAAAGTTTAAGAACCTCTGAGCTAATAAGAAGAAACAAAACAAAGTCTACATAAAATATTTGGTCCTTCAAAACATAGTCAATTTAAAAACCTCTTATAATTCTATCAGTACCTGGCAGATGGGTGAGGAATTCAAGTTAACTACTACTTGTCTGCAATGTTTATATATTCCATTTTTCTCTTCTGTCTCAGAAACTTGAACATAAATTAACTGCTTTGTTCAGGGTGAAAAAACGAAATCCACTCTACTCCGAAGTTTAGTTCTAAATAAAGAAGCTAAGATATGTGTCTGATCCCACCGAATGTACAATAAAATGTTAGCAGCATTATTTACAATAAAAAAGTCAGGGATTACTCAAATTTCAACAATAAGGAGTGACAAAGTAAATTATAATACTTCTACAATATATAATGTAATATATCTACTTATCTATAGAGCAACATTAGTAGCTATATAAAGTAAATGGTACACATATAGTAAACATGTAGTACATATTACGATACATATAGAATATATCTATAATAAATGTTATACATCTGTAAGATAACATAGGTAATTATTTTATAAAAAATAGTAATATAGATAGTGTACATAATATTTATATAGTAAATTATACTACATCTATAATACATATATTATCTGTCTGCAGGATAACATAGTTGGTTCATTTGAAACAAGTTTCAGAAGGAATTTCCAAGGACATAGAAAAGTGTTCATAATATGTTATTGTGGGGAGGGGTGAAGCAGAATATAAATTTTCATTTAGGTCATGATCTCCACTATACTAAAAATGCATTGGAAAAAGACAAAAAAAAATGTTAACAACGTTTTCTCTGGATCGTGAGAATAGATTTTGGGTTTTGTTTGTTAGTTTTTGTTTTGTTTAATAAAAGTTAATACTGTATGGCTGGGCAAGGTGGCTCATGCCTGTAATCCCAGCACTTTGGGAGGCCAAGATGGATGAATCATTTGAGGCCAGGAGTTTGAGACCAGTCTGGCCAATATGACAAAACCCCATCTCTACTAAAAATATAAAAATTAGCTGGGAGTGGTGGCACATGCCTGTAGTCCCAGCTACTCTGGAGGCTGAGGCACATGAATTGCTTCAACCCAGGAGGTAGAGGCTGCAGTAAGCCGAGAACATGTCACTGAACTCCAGCCTGGGCAGCAGAGAGAGACTACCAAAAAAACAAAACAAAACAAAAAACCTGTAAATTAAATGAAAGAGGATTCTGTTATTTTTTAAATACCCAGAGGTATTAGTATAATTAGTCAATTCTATTGGTTTTCATCCTGCACAGTTATTAAATCCATCAAGCAATATAAAAACACAGATACAAAGGTGGAAAAGCAATTCAGTGGAAGAAAAGCAAACTTTTCAGTGTACAGTACTGAGGCAATTGGACATCCATGGAGGGGGGTGGAAAAATCGTCGACTTAAACATTAAAACACTCACCTTATATAAAAATAGCTTAAAATAGACCTAAATATTAAATAAAATGATAAAACTTAAATATCAAATAAAACGATAAAAAGAAAATGCATGAGATCACAGTCTGGAGAGAGTTCTTAGACCTGTTATCAAAGGCATAATCCACAGAGGGAAAATTTGAAAAACTGGACCTCATCAAAATGAAAACTTCCGTTATGTGAAAAACTCTGTGAAGAGGATGAAAAGACAAGTGAGAGACTGGAAGAAAAGATGTGTAAACCACATATCTGACAAAGAACTGGTATCTAGAATAGGCAAAGAACCCTCAAATCACAACAGTAAAACAAACAAATAATCTAATGACAAAATGGGCAAAAGTCATGAACAGACATCTCACCGGAGAGGGTGCGCAGATGTTCAAGAAGCACATGAAAACATGTTCAATATCACTGCCTCTGAGGGAAGGGCAAATTAAAACCACAATGGCTACCAATACACACCTATCAGATTGGCTGAAATAATAATAATACCACCACCACCAAATGCAGACAAGGATGTGGAAAAATTGGATGACTCATACATAGTTGGTGGGAATGCAACATGGTACAGCCACTCTGAAAAACAGTGGTAGTTTCTTAAAAAATGAAACCAGCATCATACAACCAGAAGTTTCATTCTTAGGAATTTATGACACAGAAATGAAAACTTTTATCCCCACATAAAAAAAAAATCTGTATATGAATATTTATAGCTTTATTCAAAATAGCCGAAACCTGGAAGCCTCATAATGTGGAAATCCTTCTGTGGGTGAATGATTAAACGAACTGTGGTACATCCTCCATACAATGGAATACTACTAGCAATAAAAAGAAATTGACTATTAATATCTGCAACAACTTGGATAAATCTCTGTAAGAATTATACTGAGTGAAAAAAACAGCCAAATCTAAAATGTTACATACTACATGATTGCATTTGTATAGCATTCTTGATGTCACAAAATTATAGAAACGGAAAACAGATTAACGATGGTCTGAAGTTAGGAATGTGGTGGTGGAGGAGAGAGGGAGCCCAGGGATGTGGATTTGGCTGTAACAGGTTAACATCAGGGATCCTTGTGGCAATGGAACTGTTCTGTAGCTTGACTACATCAATATCAATGTCAATATCTTTGTTACGATATCATACTGTAGTTTTGGAAGACTTTACTACCAGAGAAACTGAGTAGAGGGTATAGGATCTTTTTGTAATATTTCTTACAATTGAATGTGAATTTACAATTATCTTGAAATAGAATGTTTAATTAAATTTTTAAAAAGACAGTAAGATGTACAGATATTAAAGCAAGATCTTAAAATTACAGCCTAATCTAACATATGTCATCTACATTCTTCTCCAGTCCTTTTTTTTTTTTTTTTTGCCATCCAATCACAGTCTAATTAACGACCAGAGTGAGTAACTTTAAGAAGGCAAGTTACAAGAGCCATTGGTAAGAGTTCAAGCACAAAATCCTTTTCAGGTGGAGATTCAGCCATGAAAATGAACATTCTCAGTACTATGGTTGTCAAGGAGAGTCCTATCAACATCTTGCTTATGTCTGAATAACAGATGAGACGATTGGCTCCCTTGAAATATTTCCACCACCTGAGAACTGTAATTACAGTGGGAATGAACGTCACTCTGCTTCTTCAAATAAAGGATGTGAAAAATAAGTTTCTTGCTGTCATTCTACTATTGGCAACCTCTTGCTTTTGTACATGCCCCAAGAATGTGTTCAGAAACTGAACATGCTAAAGGTATGCAAAAATCATGCCCACTGCAAGAAAAAATATCTTCACCAAGAAAGATATTTTACATTTCCTAACTATCCCTCAGTTTTCAGACCCAAACTTCAATGACAGCATTTCTAACATTTTTTAAAATGTGTTCATTTTCTTCACAGTTTTTGCCTGGCTTATGTCCAAAAGCTGCTGAATGCAAGTTAAAGGTTCTTCAATTTCAGCATGCCTAATGATTTCCATTTTTGACCCATCGGTATTAAGTCTAGGGGACTTTTTTCTCATTTCTTATTTTTCTTTTGATTTATTAAGTAGTAAGGACAAATGAAAATACATTGGTTCATTAGAAGATAAGGAAAACTCAAATTTGGTTTATGAACAGGCAGTCTGTGATGTCAAACTATAACATACAAACACATGGTACAAAAGCAGACAGTACCAAAGTTGAGAGCAATGTGTGCAATCAAGATCTTTCCTTTATTGTCATATATCATACCTCAGTGATTCTCACTGTTTGGTCCAGCATCACTCAGGATAATTGTTAAATATGCAGATTCCTAGAGACTAGCCGAGGTCTACTGAGTCAAAACCTCTTCAGTTGGGACCAGACAAATTTGCTCTTTACCATGTTTTCAGGTATTTTATCTGTAATTTGCAAGTCAATCCCATAAATATTTATAAAGTACTTTCAGACGACGCTGTGTCTCCCTCTTGGGGCTGCCGACAAAGACTTCTAAAAGTGCTTCCCGATGCGGGCATCTGAGATGGGTGGCTTGCAAAAGGTGGCACATGGTGGCCTTTGAAACAGAGCGGCATGAGCTGCCATCTTGAGTTTGAGAGAGAAAGTGAAGGAGAAATGTAATCCGTTAAACTAAACTCCCAATTTCAACTGCCAGCACACTGTCCTAAGAACACGAGAAGAGCCACCAATATCCAGAGGACTAAAAGCTTATCCTAAATATCTCAGTATTGTTTAGCAAAAATAAAACAGGAAGACTTACTAAATATGATAGCATGTGGGAACTACTTGGGTTAACACTGGCATTGTTTCAAAGAATGACAGTTTGAAAATAATCCCATTCGCTTAAGAGTTTAGGGCAGTTTTTAAAAATTAATTCATTCAACTGTCTTTATATTTTATGTAACAAATCTACTTGTCATCTATAGTATTGTTTAGTTAACATTTTTCTTTAAATTGACTTTTTAAACTAACATTTTTATTTAAAAGAGAAATCTTTTATTCGAACTATAATAGTTTCACTGGCTATAAATAGTAGTTAATCCTGGCTGGGTGCAGTGGCTCATGCCTGTAATTCCAGCACATTGGGAGGCCCAGGTGGGTGAGTTGCTTGAGTCCAGGAGTTCAAGACCAGCCTGGGCAACATGGTGAAATCCTATCTCTATAAAAAAAAAAATACAAAAATTAGGTGTGGTAGTGCATGCCTGTAGTCCCAGCTGCTTGGGAAGCGGAGGTAGGACAATCATCTGAGCCCAGGGAAGTGGAGGCTGCAGTGAGTCAAGATTGTGCCACTGTACTCCAGCCTCATGACAGAGTGTCAATAAATAAATAAATAAATAAATAAATAAATAAAAGATAGGTAATCCTAATGTAAATACACTGTATGAGAATTCAATGATAGTATAACTTCCATGTTGAAATAGCTCACCTCCTATACATCATGTTTCTCAATTTTACCACAGTTGACATTTTGGGCCAGAAAATTCTTTCTAGTGGGGGGTTATCCTGTGCATGGTAGGATGTTTAGTAGCACCTCTGGCCTCCACCTGCTAAATGCCAGTAGCAGATTCTCCCACCTCCACTGAAAACCAAAATTGTCTCTAGACATTGTCAAACATCCTCTGGGGGGCAAAATGAGGACCACTGCCACAGCTGAATGCATGCTGATCTGAAATTGTATATTTGAAAAATATGTGTCTTTGTGAATATCTTCAAAGCCCCTGATTTGAACAAGTCAATCCCCACAGGCCACTGTCAAAGCTTAAGCAGATAAGCACATCACACAGTTCTAATAAGCTGGGTGGAAAGACAGCAGATTTAGTAGTTACATGAAAATCTCATTCAGCATGTACTTTGTTGTTGGTGGTGGTGATTTTATTATACCTAATTTTCAGCCTTAAATTGTCACCAATCCATGAATAATTTCTTCTGTTTTTCCTTTGTCTTTTCTTCCTTTAAAATTTGATACCCTTAATAATTGCTTAGCCCTGGTTTAAAATCTCTAACATTTTTTATTGGCTTCTTTTCCTAGCAAAGAATATTCTGGTAAGTTCACCAAAATTTCCAGTTCTAAGAAGCAGCTGAAACAATTAAGAATTTGCTTAGAATTCCTAATTTTACTATAATAGTAAGCCTTCACAATGTCTTAAAGAGTAACAATTATACTTCTAAAGGATTCAAGGACTGTTATGAAGAAAATAGCAAATTTTGGTCACAAAATTCCTGTTGAAAGGAAATAGTACACTGCCTGGGGCTGTTTAGGCCTTTATAATCTACCACAGGAGTTGGCAAACTTTCTGTAATGAGCCAAAGAGTAAATGTTTTAATCTTTGAGAGCCCCCAGGTCGCTATTGCAACTACTCAACTCAGCAAATATAGCATGAAAGCAGCCACAGAATATATGTAAATGAATGAGTGTGGATACCTTCCAATAAAACTTTATTTACAAAGCCAAGCAGTGGGCCAGATTTGGCCTGTGGACCATAGTTTGCCAACCTCTGGTCTACGGTAGTATTTCTCAACTCTTTAAGCTCAGATCTCATAGAAATCTGTTTGACAAGTCTCTCCAGGGAGAAATGGAAGTAATTATGCCTTCTGTGGAATCCCTATACATTCCACATCTCCCCATAAGCCAAGATTCTACTCCAATAAAACTCTATTAAAATGTTGACTTGAGGCTTTTTCAACCCCCTCCACCAAATGTCTGGTCTCCCTGTCCACCATTGGGGAATCACTGTTCTACAATTAAGGTGGATGCCATCCTGAAGAGCACTTTCTCATGCAGATCCATTAGCATCCCCATCTCTTGCACTGGGCTGCAGTTAGGTTTCTATAGTTATTCTATGAAGTTAAGGTACAATTTAACTAAGTAGGTGAAAATTGTTTTCCATTTTGCCAGCATTCCCTTTCTGTAATCACATTGACTTTCTCTTCTCAGAGCATTCTCTCCAAACTCTAAAGATATATATCAATGAGAACACTTGGACACAAGGTGGGGAACATCACACACTGGGGCCTGCTGTGGGGTCAGGGGAGGGGGGAGGGATAGCATTAGGAGATATACCTAATGTAAATGACGAGTTAATGGGTGCAGCACACCAACATGGCACATGTATACATATGTAACAAATCTGCACGTTGTGCACATGTACCCTAGTACTTAAAGTATAATAATAAAAAAAAAGATATATATCCTCACAGTGCTGACTGAATTAGCCTCAGTTCTCATGTGCTACTCCTATTGGCACTTACTTTCCAAAGCAAATCAAATATTTTTCTCAAGCAGGATGTTAATATTAATGCCTAGCATTGGCTGAACTCTTTTTCTGCGCACTGTGGAATGCTGAGCCTTTTATATGCATTATTTCAATTAGTCATCCCAACATTCCTGTTTGGCAGATTCTATTATTATTCCTATTTCACAGATGAGCAAATTTTGTTTTTAGTGAGGTTGAGCATCTTACTCAAGGTCAAAAGCTAGGAGAAATATGCCAGGATTCTAACTTTTGTTTGCCTGAATCTGGAAAATAAGCTCTTAACCACTACTCCAGGAATTTTTTCAGCAAAGTTGGACTCTTAGGGATGCATAAACTCAGGCTGATGGTCGATCCATCTGTAAGAAGTTTATTTTCATGCTTATCATAATCTAAAAAGAGACACTTAGTTGTAGCCATATGCTGTTTCATCTGGACGACTACTTTATAGATAATCTATTTCAGTGTGACATTTGCGTTTGTGATTTTAAGTTCACTCACTGGCACTAAGTGTTCACCCACAGTGATAGTTTTGAAGGGAGTTTTTCTGAAACTGGGTTCTTAAGACACTAATCCAGGACTCCATGTATCCTAGCAATCTGCAAGAAGTATTTGCTTTGAAAAGAACTCCATATTATCTCTCCTTCAGTGATAGCATAGTCAGTGTCTTTGACAGAAGTGCAGGAAGCCAAGCTAAGTATTTTTCTAACTACATTAGAATTAGATGTTATCTCATACAACTTCTCAACTCTTCTTGGATTTCATTGCTTCTCTAACTCTCAGCCTTTTGCTCTTCCTCTGCCATGGTGGTGGTAAACTAGTGTTCAGGCTAAATGACTCCCTGCTGGCCTGGACAGTCCACTATCTGGGGCTGACCAGTCACTTCTCCATGAGTGCCCAACCCTCCAATTTGGCTGACACTATCCCCTTAGAGTCTCAGTCTCCTCTGTCACTTTCAGGCTTTTCAATAGCCACAGAAAATGGTGTGGGTTGATATAATCTGGAAGTCAAGGGTGGAGATGTTAACCAAGGAGAACCAGGAGATAGGAGTTTGCCCCACAGGTAATGCCCCTCCATCCTATCTGCCATTGTCTGCAAATTTCTCCTTCTGCAATATAAGAGTGAAACCATCTTTGCAAAAATTATGACAGTGAGAAAATTAAGACAATGAAAGGGATTTGATCTAATCAGCCCTCATCTTGCCTTTAATCTCAAAACTGCCCTTAGTCATTCTTGGGCTTGGGCCAAGCTAACGTTGGGAGAAATTTAGTTTATAGGTTAAATGATAATCACTTTTCTTCAGAACTAAATGGCCTTTGTAAAACTTATGAAAGACCACCAGGTTAGGAGGATGAGAGGAGCTATTCTGCTAAGATGTAGGCATAAAGAATTACCAGCCATGATTCTGGAAGTCACAAGATTTGCTGCTTCTTCAATTACTCCTGCAGATAACACCAGTACTGTAGAACCTAAGATTGGCCTTTTGAGTTGTCTTCTCAGGCTTTTGCATTGTTGACCACCAATAGCCCCACCCAGACCTATGACTCTTGACTCAACTGATCCTGTGGCCCCCACCCAGGAGTGGACTCAGTACACAGGACTGTTTTCCACACTCCTGTGACTGCATCCACAACCAATCAGCAGCACCCATTCCCTTGCCCATCAAACTATCCTTGAAAAACCCTAGCTTCCAAATGTCCACAGAGGCTCCGGTCTCCTGTTCAGCCAGCTCTGGGTGAATTAAACTATTTCCCTACTGCAATTCCTCTGTCTTGACAAATTGGCTGTACCTGGGGAGTGATTAAAATGAACCCATTGAGCAGTCACAAGGGCATTGGCCTGGATGATCTCTGAGGCCAAGAAAGTCAGAATTTTCCATCCTATGAATGACTGTGTCATGACAGGATTTCACAGTTGGTGCTTGAAGACTACAAAAAGTGATTTCTAGGGCCTCCCCCAGTCATAATATACAGGCTGCTACCAATTCCACTTACCAAAATAATGAGCTGGGTCAGAATCATGTATTTTATGAAGGAAAAAAAATCTTTTTAATGAGTAAACAACATGATTCTATGCCTAAGATTCATATATACCCTTCATTTGTAAGGAAAGAAAAGCCAATTTGGAGAAAATTGAACAGTGGATATCAAGATATATTTTAAATTTACTGTAAAGAAAAATACCAGCAAAAATGGGTTAGTTAATCATGAAGTAAAATATGTATAAAGAAGATTAAAAATCCTTAAAAAGCATCCACAGGGAATAAATTAGCTAAGCCAACCCTTTCCTGGTGGTGAAGTAAATTAGCACGGCCTTTCTAGAGGCAGAATTATATCTACACTTTGACCCAGAAATACTGCTTCCAGGAACTTCCCTTTGAGGAAATAATTAAGGAAATATGCACAGGTATGGGAATAGGGCTCTCTGGAGAAAAACTGGAAATACTCTAAATGTTTCAGAGGACTGGTTTAATTAATCATGGCAAATGTGTAAACTAGAGGTTTCCATCATTAGAAATGATATTGTAAAATAATATGTATACCATAGAAAATGCTATTTGTCAGTTATTAAGTACATAAAGGAGGTTGCCCCTGCTTTTTAATCTGTTTCTCTTCTAGTTTATATACATATACACTCATTCTGTAAATTAGGCGGAGGTTGCAGTTGCTCATACAAGATTTGAGCTATACGTAATCCTCTCCCTTCCCCTCCTCTCTCTCCTCTCTCTCTTTCTTTCTCTCTCTCACACACACACACATACACACACACACACACACACACACACACAGCAATTCTAGGGAATAATCTGCACTTCAATGGAAAATTGGGCTTTCTGTAGCAAGTACCTTTTGAGAATTACCTGCTTTTGATTCTGTGGGAGCTATTCTACTTCTCTGTAAGTTGTAGGTAAGTGAAAACAATGCAAAATTATTCTAGTCTATAAAGATGCAAATTATGTCCTGTCTAGTAGAGGTTCAACTGAATCCCACCCACCCCACCCCCCACTGTCCACGAAGCTAGATTTGCCTCCTTTTGAATATTCATTTCATCATTCGGGATATATAAATGTATGAGTTCTTTGAATTACCCTTTGAACTAGTTATAATATTCAACGTTGTTCCTTCATTTAATTAATGAGTTAAGTAGAAACTTCAACACATCTTCATTCTACATTTGTATAAGAGTCATAATTTTACCTGTTTTGAAAATTATCTTTTAACACAATTCATCAGTCACCAAATTCTGTGTATTTTTACCCTCTAGTTAAACCAGGAATATTTATATTTCTCTGCAAGGGACTCTACTCTACTCTAAGCTACTTACTCTATGCTACTCTACTCTAAGCTACCAACTCTATGCTACTCTACTCTAAGCTACCATCTTCTGAGTTTCAGAGGGCTCCCTGTTTTATTCTTGCTACATTGCAATCCATTTTCTACCTAGCATCTGGGGTGATTTTGGCAACAGTAATCTGAACACATTGCTCCTTTACCTAAAGTGTTTCTGTGGCTGCCTGATGCCTTTAGGGCAAAAATCAATAAAAATCAACGTCTTAATAAGACATTCCAGAACCCTCAAGAACTGGCACCTCCCTATGTTGTAACCTATTTTGCAGTTTTCTTCATTTTACATTCTTCTTTCATAAATATATGTCCTGTAGTATGTGTTTTTCGTATAATAAAAATGAATATATTATTTTGAAAACATTCTGATGGAATCAATATCTGCCATGAACAGCTCAGAGCATTCTTGCCACACACAGGGAACCCTTCCTTTGTCAGTACAAAGTTGACCAGTGTCAACCAAGCAAGCGCTAAAACAGAAAGTTATATATGCTTTTCCTTCTCTGTCTCCAATGCCT
This sequence comes from Homo sapiens, assembly GCF_000001405.40. Taxonomy (NCBI): domain Eukaryota; kingdom Metazoa; phylum Chordata; class Mammalia; order Primates; family Hominidae; genus Homo; species Homo sapiens. The sequence goes on along the minus strand of NC_000020.11, from coordinate 54,542,467 downwards.
TTCTCTTCTCCAAAGCAGAAGCACTGCAGAAAGAAGCCATAATTTGTTATATTTATTTGTCTAGCTTCGATTTCTAACTAGTTTTATAGAAAAAAGTAAAGACACTAAAGAAATGCCAGAAAATCTAAAATACTGGGTGAGCATTCTATTTAAACAAAAATTTGAGAGCTGATATCATTCTTTAATTCATTCAACAAATATTTATCAGGTGCCTACCATGTGCCAGGCATTATTTAGGTACAGGGGCTATGGCTATGAACAAAAGGGAGAAAATCTGCTGTCTTTGTTGTGCTTTCATACAATCAATAAGATATATATGCTTACATGCGTGTGTGTGTGTGTGTGTGTGTGTGTGTGTGTGTGTGTGTATCTTATAATATGTCTCATGGTGTGATGCACCACGAAGGGAAATAAACCAAGGACAGTGATAGGAATTGCTAGTGGTGGGTATTGTGATTTTAAATAGGGTGAGGGATGATCAGGGAAGTTCTCATGAAGAAGGTATCATCTGAGCAACGACTTGAAAGAGACAAGGCAATCAACAGAGTGGATATGTGAGGGAGGTGGGCTCTAGGTGGAAGAAATAAATGGCCTTGAGTCAGACACATGTCCAGCATGTTAAAGGGAGAATAAAGAAGCTTGAAGATAGGAGAAGAGTTCAGGGCTGGCAGTGGTGGTGAGCGTGGGTCAGCACGGTCAGACCTTATGGGTTTCACTAAAGTTGTTGGCTTGGCCGGGCACGGTGGTTCACACCTGTAATCCTAGCACTTTAGGAGGCCCAGGCAGGTGGATCACTTGAGGTCAGGAGTTCTAGACCAGCCTGGCCAATGTGGTGAATCCCCCATCTCTACTAAAAATGCAAAAATTAGCCGGGCATGGTGGTGCAAGCCTGTAATCCCAGCTACTCGGGAGGCTGAGGCAGGAGAATCACTTGAACCTGGGAGGCAGAGGTTGCAGTGAACGGAGATTGCACCACTGCACTCCAGCCTGGGCAACAGAACTAGACTCTGCCTCAAAAAAAGTAAAAAATAAAAATAAATAATTGAGTAAAGATGTTGGTTTTTTCTCTGACTGAGATGGGAAGTGAGACGAAGCATTGAATGGAAGTGATATAATCCAACTTCAGGTACCGTAGGGCAGGAAAGGCGCAGGTCGGGGAACCAGTTAGAGGGGGTCACAACAAACATTGCAGGGGGTGATACTGACTTGGACCACGATGAAAGTGGAGGAGAAGTGGAAAGTGCTAAGAATCTGGACATATTGTGAAATTATAATCAACATGATTTACTGATGGGATTGAATGTAAGGGTAAGGTTAAGACAAAAGTCTAGGATGATTCCAAAATGTTTAGCTCACGCAAGTGGGAGAATGGAGTTTTCATTAGCTGAGAAAGCCTGGAAAAGGACGAAGTTCAGTAGGGAGGTGTGAAGTTTGGGGATGGGGATATTGAGCTTGTCACACCTATTAAATATCTAAGCCTGTATAAAAATTATATTTAATAGCATAATGAAGAAGTAGTTCTGTATACATTGTGTATATGAGACTATATATACAAGATTTTATTGCACTCTATAAACACAATAATATTATCTTCCCTATAGGGCTGTGTGAGATTGAATATGTCAGTGCATGTAAAGTACTTAGGGCCAGGCACGGTGGCTCACATCTGTAATTCCAGCATTTTGGGAGGCCACTGTGGAAGAATTGCAGGAGGCCAGGAGTTCAAGACCAGACTGGGTAACATGGTGATAACTCATCTCCAAGAAAATAGAAAAATAAAAAAATTATCCAGGTGTGGTGGTGCACCCCTGTGGTCCCAGCTACTTGGGAGGCTGAGGTGGGGAAGGATCAATTGATCCCAGGAGGTTGAGGCTGCAGTGAGTCATGCTCATGCACTGCACTCCAGCCTGGGCAACAGAAACCCTGTCTCAATAAACAAATAAATAAATAACATACTTAGCATATTGCTTGGTATATAGCAAACACTCCATAGTGGTTAGCAGTTCATACCATCCAGCTAGGTGGTGATTTGCATGCAAACAAGGGCAACACATTTTGTTTCCTTCATTTACTCATTTATTCTGCAGATATCTACTGAGCACCAATTACAAGACAGACACTGTCCCAAGCAATGAGGAAAGAGCAGTACAGAAAGCAAAGTCCAGAAACTTTACTTTCTATTACGTAGGGACAAATAACAAGGCACTCCAGGCCCTCGCACAACACCAGGTCTGTGGTCATAATGGTGATAGACTATCTATGCAGAGCACTCATTTTGTGGTATGCACCCAATAGGTATTTTTGTAGAGTTGAAAAAAAAAAGCAATGATCTCCCTGGGGCTTCCAAAGGGACTTAGAGAGGTGTTCTGAGTAGTCACCAAGACTAAGTTCCAGTTGCTTAGCCTACCCTATATAACTGACCCCTGCTTACTCATTAGGCCTCATATCCCACCACTTCCTACTTCACTCATAATAGGCCAGCCTCCAAAGTGTTATATTCTTCTCTGACAAGAGATAAGAGAATATTTCCTCCGCTGCACTTCACGTGGTTGACTCCTTTTCCTCCTTCACGTCTTAGGTGGAATTTCTCTATCAGTTAGTTATTGTTGCATAACCAATCATTCCAAAGCTTAGCTGCTTAAACAACAATTTATCGCTTCCCATGAATATAACTGTTGATTGGGCAGTTTGGCTGATCTGACCCGGCTTCATTAATCATGGCTGGGTTCATTCACACATGAGCAGTCAAGTCCTGGGTTGTCTTAAGGTTGCCTGGAATGACTTAGCTCTGTGGCTCATGGCGTCTGATTCTCCAATAGCCTATCTGGGGCTTATTCTTCTGGAGCAAGCGGGAGCCCATGACAGCAAACAGACATTGAAAATGCTTTTCATTTTTCAACTAATCTTTTTATTTGGAGATAATAGTTGAGTCACAGGCAGTTGCAGCAAATACTACAGAGAGATTGTAGCTACTCTTTCTCAGTTTCTTCTAAGGGAAACATGCCCCAAAACTATAGTATAATACAGTCAGGATACAGACATTGATACAGGCAGGATTCAGAAAAATTTCCATCATGAGGATCCCTCACTTGCCCTTTCATTACCACAACTACTTCCTTGCCTGCCTTAAGCCCTGGAACCACTAATCTGTTCTCCACTTTTTTTTTTTTTTTTTTTTTTTTTTTTTTGGAGATGGAGCCTCGCTCTGTTGCCCAGGCTGGAGTGCAGGGGTGCGATCTCACCTCTGCCTCCCGGGTTTAAGCAATTCTTCTGCCTCAGCCTCCCAAGTAGCTGGGACTACAGGCGCAGGCTGCCACACCTGGCTAATTTTTGTATTTTTTAGTAGAGACAGCGTTTCACCCTATTAGCCAGGCTGGTAGGCTGGTCTTGAACTCCTGACCTTGTGATCTGCCCGCCTTGGCCTCCCAAAGTGCTGGGATTGCAGGTGTAAGCCACGGTGCCCGGCCCTGTTCTCCTTTGATATAATTTTGGCATTTCAACGATGTTATATGTGTGTAATCATACAGTATGTAACCTTTTCGATTTGGCTTTTTTCATTTAGCATAATTCTCTACAGATTCACCCAGGTGATGATATTCCATTGTACTAATGTAACACAGTTTGTTTACCCATTTGGTCACTGAAGGACATCTAGGTTCTTCAGCTTCTGACTGTTATGAATAAAGCTGCTAAAAACATTCGTACACAGATTTTTGTGTGACCATAAGTCATTATTTCTCTGGGATAAACTTTACCACCCTTCACATAATTTTACTTCTCCTATTTATCATTGTCCTAAATATTTTTTCTATATCCAGTTAGAAACATAGAAGACAATGTTATAATTTTGCTTCAAACATCAAACCTAATTTAGAAAACTTGAGAGGGGAAGGAAAACGTATTGTGTTTACCCATATTTTTGCTCACTGAGTTCCTTCTTTCCTCCTGATGTCCCAAGGTTCCTTCTTGTATTGTTTCCTTTCTGTTTAGAAATCTTAATCAACTATTTTTTAAGGTAGATCTGCTGGTGACAAATTCTCTTTATTTTCTTTCATCTGACAGTGTCTTGATTTCCCCTTCATTCCTGAAGGACATTTTTGCTAGGTATAAGATTCTGGGTTGACAGTTCTTTTCTCTTAGCACTGGATGAGTAAACTTCCTTCTGCCAAATCTTTTCAGCCATTATTTCATTGAGTTTATTAGGTCCTCCCTTAATATCAATAGGTTCTTGGAAACTGTGACTTAAAGCAAAAAAAAAAAAAGTGCATAATAAAACCAATTTTTTTCTCACCATAATAATGAAACGACATTACTCAAGAACTTCTTGTTGTGGCCAAGTGCAGTGGCTCACTCCTGTAATCCCAACACTTTGGGAGGCCGAGTCGGGAGGAGGATGAGGTCAGGAGTTCAAGACCAGCCTGACCAACATGGTGAAACCCCGTCTCTACTAAAAATACAAAAATTAGCTGGGTTTGGTGGTGTGTGCCTGTAATCCCAGCTATTCAGGAGGCTGAGGCAGGAGAATTGCTTGAACCCAGGATGCAGAGGTTGCAGTAAGCTGAGATTGTGCCACTGCACTCCAGCCTGGGTGACAGAGTGAGACTCTGTCTCAAAAAAAAAAAAAAAAAAAAAAAAAGAACTTGTACATCATTTCACTTAAAGTCACAGTTTCCAAGATTCTGTCAGCAATGGTAGATGAGGACTTCCACACTTTTCAGTCCCATGTCTCTCTCCTCTCCTTCTGGGCCCTGTTGACATGAATGTTAGATCTTTAGTTACAATGCCACAAGGTCCCTGAAACTCTTGTGATTATTTTTCCAGTCTATTTTTTCTCTGTTATTCCAACTGGATGATTACTATCGGTCTATTTTGCCTGTGTTCTCTCTATTCTGATGTTGAGCCCATCCAATTTCAATTATTGTATTTTTCAGTTCTAAAATTTCCATTTGGGCCTTCTTTCTATCTCATTTCTCTTGAGAACATTTTCAATTTTTTTCCTCATGCTTCAAGCAAGTTTGTAATTGCTCCTTGGGGCATTTTTATCACAGCTCTTTTCATATCTTTGTCAGATAATTCTATCACCTCTGTGTTGGCATTCATTGTTTGAGAGCTTCCTGATTTGGTATAATAAGTACTTTTTATTGAAACCTAAGTATTTAGCACATTATGTTATGAGGTTCTAGATCTTAAATAAATCTCTTTCAACAGGATGCCTCTAATGTTGCTACAACAGGAGAAGGGGTAGGAAAGTATGCCTTCTTGTTGCTGCTGGTAGAAATCCAGAATCCCCAGAAAATCATACTTGATACTTGACGGGGCCCCTCATTATTGATAATGATACTTGACAGGCCCCCGCATTATTGCTGGGTTGGGGTGGTAGGGATTCTGTCTGCTCATGCGGCCTCCACTGGTTCTGCAGTAGGAGTGGCCTCATTACCACTGGGCAATGCTGATTCCATTAGGTCTCCTCTGACACCACCCTAGTGGGGAAGGAAGGAGCACCTCATTCCTACTGAGCAGAATTAGAAGTCCAGGCTTCCCATGTGGTCTCCGCAGACACCATGGTGTGGAGGACTTGTTACTGATGGGTGTGGATGAGAGTCTGAGCTCCTGACTCGGCCTTCACAGACATCATCTTGGTGAAGTATTGGGATAACTCATTACAGTCTCATGAGGGTGGAAGACTAGGTCCCCCACTTGGCCTTCATTGGAGAGGGTGGGGCCACAGTCTCTTCTTTAGTGTTTGAATGGTATAGAGCAGCTCTTATCTAAAAGTTTCTTGCCTTGCTAGGCTGCCACACTTCCTGGTCCTCTGGCCAGGGAGAGCAGGCTTTTGCTGGGACTTTTTTTTGTGTGTGCCTATTGGGGTTTCTGGGTTGTTGGCTTCTTTACCTCCATGTGTGGGATCTATGAGGCAAAAGTTAGTCTGGCTAACTTCTTCTCTCCACCTTTCAGAGTCTTCTTAGGTTTGATTTACATGCAATGTCCCAGCTTTATAGTCTCAGCGAGAGGAGTAAGAAAAGGCACACCTACTCACTGTTCCCAAAAGTGGAAGCCTGTAAATACTTTTATAAGCCATTGCTGTGTCAAGTTTGCTAATATTTTATCTCACATGGTTAAACCCAGAGTCAGAGTTGATGGAGACAATAAAGTCACAAAGCAAAGATTATGGCAGTGACTAAGGCCACTGATGCACTCACAGTCTACCATGATGTCACCATCTCAGAGACACATTCCCATCTCCCAAATCTAAAGCACCCCCTAGGCCTCCACAAATTGACCTCAAGTCAATACCTTAAATTATTTTGCTTACTGATTTGTCTGCATTTTTAGTTTTTGCCTTGGTCTTTAGAATATAAAAACACACTATATTTTATCTGAATCACTTTGAATCCTCAAGGCCTGGAAGAGTATTATGTTCTCATTTCTTTATTTTTGAATGGCTGAGTGAATAAACAAATGAGCAAAAAAATGAGTGGGCAAAAGTCATACTGAGAACTCATGAAATTCCCAGAATTTCATAAATGAGGCCCTTGGATCAAAAGCCTCAGAATAGGCCTGACATTTCCAAACATGCCTTAACATATTTATATAAGAGGTTTATTATTTTTTTTAAAAAGTCCAGAATATGTAGAGTACAAATATTCAAATCATACTGAGAGACATTGTTTTAAGAGAAACATTCTTTTAAACAATTGCTCCACACATTTTTCCTTAAAAAGTTCATTGTACCAAGTGCTACTTTTTATACCATGGAGAAGGGCTCTGCTGGCCATTTGTCACATCAATGTTTTCAAACATCAGTGAGTTTTGTTCTAAAACCACAGAACCTCAAGATGAATAAATTTCCATATAGATAAAACAAATATAGAATATATTTGTTAAAAACAAGCTGTAGCAAAACTGGAGATATATCACTCTACTGTGGCAAAAAAAAAAATCCCAAATTAGGGATTTTGCATTAAAAAATGTCTGTTCTGAAATTGAATCACTGTAATAATTTCACAAGGAAACATTTCAGCAAGGTTCAGTCTCTCAACCTCCACATTATTGAAGCAACATTCAGTAAAAGACATTTTGTGAGAAGGCTCAGTATAGAAAATTAGAATGTCAGTCTCAAAGAAGGGAAGAGAAATGAATTCCATGGTTGAGAAAGCACTCTTTAAAAAAAAAACCCACAAGGAACAGATGTTGCCAGAAAAGGGCAGAAGGGGAAGAATAATTGTCATGTGGTAAAAAAATTTAAGCCAAGAATTTAAGGGAAGGAAACCTGGGTGGCCATAGAGGAGACAGTTGCAGATTTTCACAGATAACTTCCAGGAAAGAAACATGTTTTCGGCTGGGTGTGGTGGCTCACACCTTAATCCCAGCACTTTGCAAGCCTGAGGCGGGTGGATCATGAGGTCAGGAGTTCAAGACCAGCCTGGCCAAGATGGTGAAACCCTGTCTCTACTAAAAATACAAAAACTAGCCAGGCGTGGTGGCACATGCCTGTAATCCCAGCTACTCGGGAGGCTGAGGCAGAATTGCTTGAACCTGGAAGGTGGAGGTTGGAGTGAGCCGAGATCGTGCCACTGCACTCCAGCCTGTGCGACAGAGTGAGACTCCATCTCAAAAAAAGAAAGAAAGAAAGAAAGAAAGAAAGAAACATGCTTTCAAAATCAATTCTTGTTGTGAAGAGATATGAAAGGGACAGCATCTGCAAGGTGTTTTTGTTGTTTGTTTTAAGGATGAGAGATATTAAGCACTGTCAGCACACTATTTGTAATATATCATCATCCTCCTCCTCACAGATCTTCACTGCTTAGTTGACAGGTATTCAACTAAGTATTTCACGTGTATGCTTTCACTTAAATGTCACCCAAACTGTGTGAGCTAAGACCTGTTAATGTCCAGTTTATACAAATTAAACAACTAGGACTCAGACACTTAAGCAATGTGATCAAGGTAACACAGCTAATACATTATGGAGTCACATTTGAAATGTGGCAGTGGCACATGCCAGTAATCTCAGGACTTGGGAGGCTGAGGCAGGCAGATCACTTGGGCCCAGGAATTCAAGACCAGCCTGGACAACAGGGCAAAACCCCATCTCTACAATAAAACACAAAAATTATCTGGGCATGGTGGCGTGCGCCTGTAGTCTCAGCTACTCTGGAGGCTGAAGTGGGAGGATCACCTGAGCCCAGAGGGATCAAGGCTGCAGTGAGCCATGATTGCACCACTGCACTCCCGCCTGGGCAATAGAGTGAGACCCTGTCTCAAAAAAAGAAGCAAAAAAGATTTGAAATCAATTTCATCTCTCTCCTAAGCCCTGCTTTGCACCCTGAGCTCAAATTCCCAAGGTTTGATCAAAAACGAATCTTTACCACCATCCATGTTTTATAATGGGTAGTCCAGCCATACTGGCTATTTTCTTTTTGAATTCATTCTTCAGGAATTTACTCCTGACAATAAAGTAATACTTTAATAATCCACTAGAAAAATAGTCAAAAATTAGATAATTATCAAATAAGTTATAGTATGGTTGCTGTCTATAAATACTGCTAGCTGAAAAAAATGATCAGCATTTTGGGAATCCACTTTCTCTAAAATTACAATATTAATCAAAAATATAATTGTCCTCCTAGAAAAAGCAGTAATTTATCTTCTGGCATCAAGCAAATAATAAACAAAATCAGAAATAAAAATATTGTTTATTATATCACAAATTTAATATTAAGAGAGGTTCAGCTTAAGCTCTAAATATGAGAAGCTTGAGATAGAATTAAAGTAAAAAAAATACTGTCATTCTGCTTTGAGTAAATAACTTACCCTTTTGAGCTTCAGTTTTTCCATCTGTTAATGATGATAATGGTAGTGCAGAACTTACAGCTATGTGTATAAGGTACCCAATACTTAGTGCTTAATAAGGTTAGCTATTATTTTATTATTATGCATTCTTTTGTTAATTGGATGTTTTATTATTTTATTATTTGTATTAATTTAACTACAATAGGTTAGAAAAAAATGTTTAAATTTCAAATTATTGAAATGCTGTGAAATGGCCTCTTATAATACATCATCCAGTTCATAAACACAATCCATATAGCAATGACACAGGACTATAGGTGAAGAATACTATTCCTTTATGCTTACAGCAATAGCTCTCAACTAGGAGTGATGGTGTCCCCCAGTGGACATTTGACAATGTCTGGAGAAGCTTTTGGTCATCACAACTGAGAGGGGTTTCTAATGGCATCTCATGGGTAGGGACCAGGGATGCAGGCAAATATCCTACAACGCACAAAACAGCCCCCACCAAAGAATTTTCTGCAACAAAAATGTCAATGGTGTTGAAGTTGAGAAAAGGAAGGCATTAGGCAAAGAAGAGGATTCTCAAAATTAAAGCCATTATCCCAGATTTAAAAGGAATAATTAATCAGAATTTGGTCTACTGGATGAGGCAATGTACAACCAAAGTACTTGTCACGTTGGAAACCAACAAGATGACAAATTAGAGTGGCAAATGCCTTAGGATCAGGTAGACATAGATATCAACTTGTTTATCAAGCCAAGACATACCAGTTGTCCCAGGAGGATATACTTGAAATTTTAAAGCATTTTCAAACTTAGGTAGCACAATTAGCTCTGGGCCAGGAGGTCAGGACAAGGCCTGAGGAAATGCCACTCAGATCGCAGGTCTCTGAGCCTCCTGGTATCTTGCCCAAACTTGATCCTGGCTAGCAAAGTCACTGCCAGCAGGCAGACATAGAAAACAAGAGCAAAAGTGACACGGTGAAGATCACTCAGTATGAAAAGAAACAAAACAGAGGCTGAGAACAGCAGCAGTCCCGGCACATAAAGTCTTGAGTCTGCAGGCAACCTACAAGACTTGTGCCAAGCTGTGAAGATATACCCACCTCCAGCCTCCCACACACCAGGCTCCTTTCTTTCCTGAAACTATTGCCACCTTCCCCACCTTCTTTCTTGCACCTGGGCGCAATGCATCTATGTGGAACAATCTTCCCATTCCACACCCTTCCACTTGGCTACTTATCTTTTATGTATCATGTTACTTGTTCTAGGAAACCTCTCCTAATGCCTTCTTCTCTATAAACACAGAATAGGGAGAAGCATATACAATTAAAGTCAAGAACACAACCTCAGGAGCCCACCTGCCCACGAGCAGGTTAATTCCAAAATGTACATGCAGTGTGGCCTTGGGCAGGTTGTTTAACCTCTCTGTCCTTCATGAGATAATTGTAATCCTATCTACCACACTGGGTTGTCGAGAGGGTCAAATGAGTTACTACATTTAAATCACCTTAGAACAAGGCCTGGAATATAAGTGTTTAATAAATGAGAGATGCTCTTACTAGACTCCAACTTCCAGAGGTGGAGGGTATTTGTCTATAGCCTTCATTACTGTATCCCCAGCTCTAGCACAGGGATCACCATACTGTAGGTATTCAACAAATGCTTGCTGCATAAATCAATTACATGAGAGGCCCCTCTCATCCACACTCAGAACACATGACCTTTCTCCATCATAAACAAACTACACTTAAAGTAATTGTTTGTATAATTATCTCTCTTTAGACTGTAAATTCTATGAGGGGCAGAGCCTGCTTTATGCACTGCTCAAATTATAGTAATTGGGTCATGGTGAGCACAAAACAAAACAGTTTCCAAGTAAAATGAAGAAATAAATGAATCCCCAACTTAAAGAATACATAACATCAGTAGAGCCAGTGGCATTCACATAAATCTTTCTTTGCGCTTTCTTGGAAACTTTGTAAAGTTTTACTGGATTGCTTTTTCAAAGGATATGAAGAAAGTGAGAGCCTTTCCCCTAGAAACTAATTGGAACCTGACTTCCCCAAGACTTTGTCTCCAATAGTAATACGTGGAGGCAAGAGACTCAACTTCTATCTTCCTTGTATCCAAAGACAAAAAGAAGCTTGTAGGAGGTTGCTGAATATTGCAAAGCCCTGGAATGGCATTCTTACTCTGATTTGTTATAAAATGAGAGAAGCTGGTGATTTATTTCCTCTATAATATCAATTTATCCTTAGGTGTTCTATCTATAGTGAATTTTACCCAAACTCACTCAAAATTGAAAGACTTCCCTGGCTATAAACTAGGTTCTTGACGCTTTAGTCTTTTGGAGCTCTGGGGTTCTATGACTAAAATTGAAATTGACTCAAGATTCACCTGAGTGAGAATTTTAAGCTCCAGTGAAAGGCTTTTCCAATACCACATAATATATGAAAGTGGAGTGACACTAACAAACGTTCAGAATATAGTTTCACAGACATTCATGATGGACCACAAAGGCTCTAAGCAAGCAACATAATCCAAGCTTGGTAAGTTGTGAATAACATTCTCCATAAGACAAAAACAAACCAATTACTGAGGAAAGTCACAACTATTCTTTATAATTGGTCCAGACAGAAATATTGCCTCAAGCTCTTCATAACACATAGGAGTGTGGTTCAGACAGTCTCCATGGAAGGGCAACTTGACAAGAGTGTTCCTCATAATATACACATCTTCTGATCCTGCAATTCCGCTCACAGGAACTTAGCTTACCCCTTTATTCTTATATTCTTATGTGGGTCATATATATTCTTACATTTGGGAAATAATGGGTGTACAGGGTATTGCAGGGGTGAAAGGAAGCTTCCCTTCACCCTCTAAAGGCTGTCTTAAAAAATCAACTCAAAAAAGACAGATTAATAGGGGAAAAGGCATACAAATTTATTAACGTGCACATGGGAGAGAACCACAGAGTGAATACCCCAACTACCCGATGGGGTGCAGAAGCTTATAAACCATCTTGAGGTTACAGAAAGAATGAGGGCTCAGGATGGCCCAAATTAGGCTAGGCTGATAAACCAGGTTAGACTGGCAAGACAGGTCATGGGAAGTAGAGAAGAGGAGGCTTGGTTAGCAAAGGTGGTCTTGTGTAAATGAAATCAAACAGGTAGCAGCCCTCAGAGAGAAGAGATAGTAAATGTTTCTTCTTTAAAGGTGTCAGACTCTCAGTTAATCTTCCGTAGATCAAGACAAGGGTAGGGTTGGCTGCCTCAATGTAGACTCTCTACAGATGCAAATCTCGCCCATAGAAAACAGCTTTGCAGGTTGCTTCTGTCTGCTGGCCCCCTGAACAGCCATCTCAAAATATGTCAAATAAATAATGAGTAATAGGGCAGACTCTCAAGCCAGAATAGGCTTACAGAGACTTTAGCATAGCCACATAGTAAAAAAGGATTTATAGACACACACCAAATAAAGGACAAAGAAACAAAAGTGAGATACAGAAATAGCCAAATTGGTCACACCATGGCACTTGTGCATGATTTAAACAGTTGGTCATCTTTGATTAGCCAAAATTCAGTAATTGACACAAGAGTAAACTACAGTTGACAAAAAACCTTTAGGCTAAACTTAAAATATATAAAAAGAGACAGTTGTAGGCTAAACTTAATTTAACAAACCCAAATGTATAAATGGATGAATAGATAAACAAAATGTGGTCTATCCACACAATGGAATATCATTTAGCCTTAAAAAGGAATGCAGTACTAATGCATGCTACAACATAGATGAAACTTCAAAAACAATGTACTAAGTGAAAGAAGCCAGACACAAAAGACCATGTATTGTAGGATTTCACTTATACAACATTTCCAAAAGAAGCCAATGCATGAAAACAGAAAGTGGATTTGTGGTTTTCAGAAATTGATGGAAGGGAAAATGAGAAGTGACTACTGTTAATGGGTACGGGAATTCTCTATGGAATGATGAAAACGTTCTAAATTTACATTGTGATGATGGTTACACAACAGTGTAAATATGCTAAAAATACTGAATTATACACTTTAAAAGGATGAATCTTATGGTATATGAATTATATCCCAATAATGCTGTTTTTTTTTTTAAAGTCACCCTTATAAACTTGTTGTTGGGGGTAAAATTCAAAATAATTACAGAATGCCTGGCACATGCTATGCCAACAATAAAATCATCCTCATCTTGCATTTATTGAGCATTTATTAAGGGACAGCCTGTCACCTAATCAGCATTATCTTCTTTAACTCTTATAACAATTCCATGATTTATAAAGGAACTATTATTAGTAGTAGTATTTCAAGGTGAGAAGTTGAGGTTTAGAATATTAAAACTGCAATTGAAGAGCAATTATTGTTCAATGGAATATACTACTTCAAGAAAGCATTCCATATATTTTAGTCTTATTATTATAATTATGTCTATCTTCCTTAACACCCTAATGCCTTTGCATTTAATCATTAGAAGGCTAAGTGACAGCCAATAATTAGCATTTGTCATTAGAACTGTATCTCTGCAAATAGTTTTAGTAGAGATAAAAAGACCATGAAATCCAAATTGTGTATGCACCTGGTTGTCTCTCCCTGCTCAGGACCCAGAGAACAGTCATGCAGGAGGTGATCCATTCAAAGATGCAAAGATGCTTTAACATCAAAGAGTAGGTCCAAGCAAGATAGAGAATCATCTTTTCTATCATGTCGCTAATCTTGGACTGATGACTTACCACAACTCCACTTAGGTTTTCATTTCTTCTTTAAAATATGCATCCCTCTGCTTTTTTTTTAACTCATTATTTTAAAATACAACAGTACAAAAGTATATAAAGAAGAAAATGGAAGGGTTCCCGCTCTTCATCTCCACTTCTAGTGACCAAAGGAAGCCACTTGCAGCAGTTCCAAAAAGCTGCCTCCCAGCAGTCATTCTCTTTTTATTTGGCAGTACAAAACCCTCGGCAATGTGCCAGCTGAGGGACTGTATTTTCTATTCTTCCAGGTAAAGCCAAGTGACCAAATATTGGCCAAGGAGATATAAGAAGTTTTGTGTGAGCTTTCCAAGAAGGCTTTTTTAAAATGAGAAGGGACAAAATTAGTTTACTCTTCTTCCATCCCTCCTTTTTCTGGTCATGAAGATACATGATGCGTGGAGCTTCAACAGCCATCTTGGACCATGAGGTAACCTCTAGGTGGGAAGCCGTATACAAGAATGGTGGAGCAGACACATGAAAGATACCAGGTTTCCTGTTGACCATGGAACTACGATACTAACTTTAACTTCTTTCCCATGAAAGAAAACTAAACGACCTTAATAAGCTACTATTATTCTGAGTTTGAGGGTATCTGCAGCCAAAGCTAATTCCCATAGAGATATAATTCTATCTTCCTATTTATCTATACATGTATGAGTTTTTGTTTGGTTTGTTTTGTTTTGAGACGGAGTTTCATTCTTGTTGCCCAGGCTGGATGCAATGGTACGATCTCAGCTCACTGCAACCTCGCCCCACAGGTTCAAGTGATTCTCCTGCCTCAGCCTCCTGAGTAGCTGGGATTACAGGCGCCTACCATCACGCCCAACTAACTTTTTGTATTTTTGGTAGAGACAGGGTTTCACCATGTTGGTCAGGCTGGTCTCAAATACCTGACCTCAGGTGATCCACCCATCTCAGCCTCCCAAAATGCTGGGATTACGGGCATGAGCCACCACGCCCAGTATATGTGTGTATTTTTAAAAATTAAGAGGATCGCATCAACTATGTATTATGTTCCACAGTGTTCTCCTTTACTCTTCCTGTAGAAAGCAAATCAAAGGCAACTTTCCACTTAATATCCATAGCCCTAACTATTTTTTTCTAATGCATACACAGCTTTCCACTGCAAGGATACACCAACCTTAAATCTTACTGGTGGACACAAACTGGTTCCCTGTATTCCTTTGCCACTTTGTTGAATTCTTGTTTAAAATGTTCTTTCTTTCTCAAATCCATTTCTACTCACTTCCACCTTCCCAGGGAAGTAAGTTTTACTTTATTCTTAAGGAAGCAACTTTGTTTCCCAGCTTCCATTTTGGGGAAATAACAAAAAGCTCTCTGGGGTTGACCTCCCTCATAGTGGGAACTGAAGCATGTATCACCTAATAGCACACAAACCTGAGAGGTTTGCTCTTCGATTTGAATTTAGCTGTGGATGCCATAACAATATATGGTTCTGTGAAAGCAGCGAGCTGAGGGCTGTTTCCTGGTAACAGCCAGGGAATTGCAAGTGTAAGGAAGCTTCATAAAATCCTAAGCACATGAATGTACGCTTGAAATGTATCTCCATTAGTCAAACCATAAAATAGCTATTAATTGTAGAGGAAAAAAATTGAATTTAAAAAAAACTTTTAAAATGGCCATTCTCAAACAGAAGGTGAATTCTGAACGAAAGATCCTGAAATTTGCCATTGGAATTAGAATTGCAATTATATGGGTCAAACAGACCCCATATATCATTCAAAATCCATGTTTTCAGGCAAGTTGCTCAAGCTTTTAATTTTAGACAGAAATATTAAGGAAATAACTTTCGTGAATTGTTCTTTCCTCTAAAACTACAATTATCTCAGTATCCTTATCAGACCTCTACAGAAACCTCAACTATTTTGAACCACTTCCCAGTAAAATTAAACAACAACAATAAACCAGGAAAATTGTACCTCAATATGTAACATGGACTATAATAACTATAACCTCATTGTTTCATAGATATTACCTCCTTCTAGTTAAGCAATTGATCTTAAAGCATCTCCACCTCTGAATAAGAAATTGCACTTTTCTTTCTCTGGTATTCAGAAAGGGAAAAAAAGACTGCTTTTCGAAAACAGACAGCCCTACTCTTTTCTCCGGGAGTTCAGACACAGCCATGTATATAAAGAGATACCTATTATTGGAAAATGGAGGTGTTCCAGGTATTTCTGAAAAAAACACACAGTTTAATTACATGGCTCTAGGGAACTTCTAGAAATTGGACATCTTCTTTGTGTTCTTAAATTTTGGGGTTTTTAAAAATCCCATATACTTGGTTTCTGCCAAGTACTCACTTGGTTCATAAGCAAACCAAGAGTCTGCAGCAAGAAAGTTCAGTTTGGGTCCTAAGAAGACAATCACAACTCCTAATGTTCTTTAACATCAGACTTGTCAGCTTCCATGTTTCCTTTCACTTGCCAGCCAGCACCCTGGGTAGCCAGCTCTGGATCAAAGGACACAAATACATTTCTTTCCTGAATATTCACTAGCTAAAACTCCATGGATCCTGGCGCCATGCCGTCGTCGTCCCAGCTTTGGGGCCTCACCCTTCACAATGCACAGAAAAGACACCCCTCAGACTGAAAGTGCTCTTTAAACAGCCTGTCTTTATCCAACATTATGAATAGAGGAAGGAAGAAACAGCTTGGCAATTCTGAAATCTGACCTCATCAAACCTAAAAGAGAGGAATGCAGGAAATAGTTAAAAAAAAAAAAAAAGAAAAATCTTGGTTTACTTTCACGCAGGCTTCTGGGCCAGAGATCAGAGAAGGGTGAACCTTAATGGGAGAGGCAGCTAGACTTAAAGAGTAAAACTTAGTGAGGGAAAGTGGTTGCCACAGAAAATAAACTATGCAGCCTGTCACTGGAAGCTGGCATGAAAAAATATCACACTCAAGTGCACAAATTTAAAACAAAAAGTCTATTTGTGTCTCAATGTTTGGCCCCGAATCTGTAGGCAAATCTTCCAAATACATTGAATCAGCAAATGGGAAGCATTAGAAGGCCTGAATACAACTTCTAACAAATCCCTCTATCATTTCAGCGGAGATCAAAGGATTGCCTAAATTACCTTTGCAAAACCACAAAAATTTTTTCATCGTAAAAATTGGCAGTAAAACATGGTTTACTTTCAAATGGAGAATAATGATCAATATTTAGTAAAAGCCTAAAATCTGGACTTCTGCATCAATGTAGCCTATTTAACTCTCCCAGCTAATATTATTCTTGTCTCCATTGTAGAGGAAGAAACTTCCAACAGGTTGAGTAACAGGCTTTAACATCTCAAGACCAGATCTGCATCTAGATTTTTCCATATTCTTTCTTACCTGTAGCCTTAAGTGTCTCACAATTATTATCAGCTATTCAGAAATAAAGTGCAGTAATAAAAACTAACAAAAGCACCATATGTTACTTGCTCTTTAGGGTACTTCAATGGATGTTTTCTCTGACAGTGCATATTCCCTGCATAAATACGTTCAAAGGATGCATATTTGAAAATAAAATAAGAATTTTAATGTTCAAGTCCAAAAGGGAATTCATCTTGACCCAATTAGTATATTCCCATTTGTCCCTGTAATATTGTAATATTCCTCTGTACCCGCTAGTTAATCAGGTGGGTAATTTAATGATTTTCAACCAACTAAGAGGACAGGACTCCACGTTCTCCTGCTAGAGCTCAATAGTTTGTTAGTCTGTCACCCACCCTTGGGGAAGACAACTTCCTTTCAGGGCAAGGACACTCATAATTAGACCCACTATAAATAACACAAGTGCTCAGAGCAATGCCACTTGGATTATTTAACATGTGAGCAGGGTAAGAACTTCCGCCTGCTCTCCCACTGGACAGTGACCATCACCCGCTTGGGAACACCCTCAAATAATGTTCTTCTCCAAAGGGCTGTCCTCTGGCTGAAAACAAATCACAGCCAAGCACTATAACATACAAGCTGCAAAAAGTGACAAAAACTCAACCTTTTCCATCCCCCTTTTAAGGCCTGATTTTTAATTAAAGAAAGACTGGCATAGATCAGTTTCAGCTATAAGCTCAAGAGCATGCAAACTGTCTTAGTGAAAATTAGTTACCAAGAAAGAAAAAACAAATTAGGAGAGGAAGAATATTAAAACTTCAAGAAATGCTGTATGTTCTAAGTTGGCTTTAATAGTCAGAGAAAGCTGAGTTTGAAAGCCAGCTGTCCTTCTACTGTGTGACTTTGGGCAAACACATTCTCTAACTCCTCTTGGTCTCAGTTTTTCCTATTGAATAATGAAGGAAATACAACCAACATCTTCATAGCTACCCCACAGTATGGTTCCAGGAGAGAAGGCAGGTCCTGAGGCATACAATAGGCTGTTTCAGTGTTAGTCACAGCTAATAGATTTTCCTAAAATCAGATAATTCGAGAGGAGCCTGTGGTCAGAAAAGCAGAGTTAGGAGTTTCCAGGAACTGTTCAGTTTCAAAGGGTAAGTCCTGCTCATGTTCATTGCATTCTAATGGGCCATTTAACAGCATATATCTGTTTATGTTGTCAAGTGAACCACGCTGATTCTGAGAACAAAGGGGCAAAGTGAGAAACATCCCGAGTTGGATCTTTACCTGAAGCTAAGCTGCCCCTCACTTCATCCTTCTTTCGCATTAACACCCTTCTGTTTCTCCAATCCCAGACTTCCCCAGCACAATCTTTCTCCCCTCCTCCACCACACTACTTTTCTCCCCTCAGCCTTCCATCATCTCACAGTGGGAGGGCATAAACGTTGGGCTAGAACTGGGAGATGCATGGAGTAGGGTGAGAGGTGAACAGAGTGAACCATTGTTAACCCCCATTTAACAAACGTTTAGTCCCAGAACAACTTTTCAAGCCTGCTATGAAGGAGATTCACAGAACAGCATCCACAGTTTTCAATTCTGCAGGCAGAAAAAATTCAGTCCCTGATGCTGACCTTAAATACATTTCTTTGGCTGGGCGCGGTGGCTCATGTCTGTAATCCCAGCACTTCGGGAGGCCAAGGCATGTGGATTACCTGAGGTCAGAAGTTTGAGACCAGCCTGACCAACATGGTGAAACCCCAACTCTACTAAAAATACATTTAGACAAATGTGGTGGTGCACACCTGTAATCCCAGCTACTTGGGAGGCTGAGGCAGGAGAATTGCTTGAACCCAGGAGATGGAGGTTGCAGTGAGCCGAGATTGCGCCATTGCAGACCAGCCTGGGCGACAAGAACAAAACTCCATCTCAAAGCAACAACAAAAAAAGGCAGTTATTTATTTATTTGATTTGGTTGATTGAATTTTTTGAGACAGAGTCTCACTGTCACACAGGCTTGAGTGCAGTGGCATGATCTTGGCTCACTGCAACCTCTGCTTCTCAGGTTGAAGCAATTCTCCTGCCTCAGCCTCCAGAGTAGCTGGGATAACAGGCATGGGCCACCATGCCCAGCTAATTTTTGTATTTTTAGTAGAGATGGGGTTCACCATGTTGGTCAGGCTGGTCTCGAACTCCTGACCTCAGGCAATCTACCCACCTTGGCCTCCCAAAGTGCTGGGATTACAGGCTTGAGCCACCATGCCCAGCCCAAAAAATAAAGTTATTTAATTAATAGTTGTAATATTTCTATTGGAGCTTTGAAGTTAAGTGCCCTCAAAGAGGCCAAGTTTGATGGTTCCTTTCAGAAAGCTTAATGCATTTCTGACTTTGGCACTACAATGGCCAGGAATCAAATGTGTTAGAACTTTCTCCCTGAAGCCAATAGGAAATACAAGCCTTTCTCTTTGTAGCTATCATTCATTCATTCAGCAAATATTTTTGAGCACCTATTATGTACCAGACATACTTTTTTTACTCTAATAGGCTTAGAAGGATTACATTTGCCAAGGTATTTTGGCTTACAACAAATGGAAAACCCACTCAACCTTACTTAAGAAAAGGAGAATTTGTTTTCAGGACAGAGGCAAAGCTCAGAGAATTTTCCAAGAAAAAGAAGTAAAACAAAGTATCATGAAAAAGTAAAAATCCAACCAGAAAGCTCTTCAGAAAACAACTTTGGGCCAGGCGCGGTGGCTCACACCTGTAATCCCAGCACTTTGGGAGGCCGAGGTAAGTGGATCACTTGAGGTCAGGATTTCAAGACCAGCCTGGCCGACATGGTGAAACCCTGTCTCTACTAAAAATACAAAAATAAGCCAGGTAGTGGACGCCTGTAATCCCAGCTACTTACGAAGCTGAGGCAGGAGAGTTGCTTGAACCCGGGAGACAGAGGTTGCAGTGAGCCAAGATCACACCACTGCACTCCAGCCTGGACAACAGAGCGAGGCTCTGTCTCAAAAAAAAAAAAAAAGAAAGAAAGAAAAAGAAAAAGAAAACAACTTTGTTTTCTCTCCTTCTCTGTCTCCGACCCTCATGGAGCGTGTTTTCACTCATGTCTGCCTCTACCTATGGTCTTCCTCCATGAAGTATTGCATTAATTAATGTCCAATTTAATTCACGTAAGTAATTCATTCAGTAAGTACTGATTGAGTGTCTATGGCAAGCTTGTCTAACCTGCGACCCATGGTCTACATGCAGCCCAGGATGGCTTTAAATGCCGCCCAACACAAATTCGTAAACTTTCTTAAAACATTATGAGATCTTTATGTGCTTTTTTTTAAAGCTCATCAGCTATCGTTAGTGTTGGTGTGTTTTAGGTGTGGCCCAAGACAATTCTTCCAATGTGGCCCAGGGAAGACAAAAGATCAGACACCCCTGGTCTGTGGTGTATTAGGCACTGCTTGGGGTGCTAAATGAGACCAGTAATAAAACTGGCAAAAGTGACTTGTTTCTGTAGAGCTAAGTTCTTGCAAGTGGGGACAGACAACACCCAAGAACAATATGAAGCAGTTTGGCTGGTGTGATATAACAAGAAACATGTATTTCATCTTTGTCCCTGGTTCCAGCACAGAGACTCCCAAACCCCTGGAATGTCCTGAGTGACAAAAGTGACTGGAATTTTAGGAGTGTCTCTTGTGATTCAAAACTAGCCCCTTTCAACCAGTCTTGAGTTTATGATAATGAGGTGACTCTCAACTGGGCAGAAGAACCAACGTTGTGATTGGAGAGTTGGAACTTTCAGTCCCAACCCCAGCTGGAGAGGAGCTAAAGATAGAGCTAATCACCAATGTCCAATGATTCAATTAATCATGCCTAAGTAATGAAATCTTCATAAAAGCACCTAGATGACAAGATCTGGGGAGCTTCCAGACTGGTGAACACACTGAGATCCTGGGAGGATGGCATCCCTCAAGAGGACACAGAAGCTCCTCACATCACACCCCATACCATATACATTTCTTTTATGCCTGTTCCTGAGTCGAATCCTTTATAATAATCCAGTAAATATAAGTAAAGTGTTTTCTTGAGTTCTGTGAGTTGTTCTAGTGAATTATGAAACCTGAGAATGGGAACCTATAAATTTCTAGTCTGCTAAACAGGTGTGGGTAGGCTGGGACCCCCTTGTGGTTGGCGTCTGAAGTAGGGACAGTCTTGTGGGATTGAGCCTTTAACCAGCGGGATCTCTACAAGCTCCAGGAGTTAGTACCAGCATTGAATTAACTTGCTGAGCACTAATTATTATTGGAGAATTGGTATGGAAAAAGAGAACAGCAAATGTGATGTCAGAAGTCATGTCATTAAAAAAAGGATACCACAGCTGGTGAAAAGTGACATGATACCAGATAACAGATGGTAAGTGCCATGAGGGAGAGAGGTGCTGCCTCGAAGGTTGCTCACAGGTCCCTCAAGCAGGCACCATTCAACCAGAAGGCCAGGTGATGTAAGGGAGCAAGCCGAGCCACAAGCAGGGAAAGATCATTCTTAGGAGAGGGTAAGTGCAAAGACCCTGGGGCAAGTGTGTCTACCATAATTAAGAAAAAGCAAGTCAGCTTACAGAGTAAAGGGAAGGGTGATAGAAGACCACATCACAGAAGGATGCAGACACACAATCATGGGAAACTTCAGAGGCCATGAAGGACTCTGTATTTTATTATACGTAAAATATAAGACATGTAGGTTTTTTTGTTGTTTTTTGTTGGTTTGTTTTGAGACAGGGTTTTGCTTTGTTGCTTAGACTGGAGTGCAGTGGCATGATCATAGCTCACTGCTGACTCAACCTCCTGGGCTCAAGCAAGTCCTCCTGCTTCAGTCTTTCCAAGTAGCTAGGACTATAAGCACACACCACCACACCCAGATAATTTTTTATTATTATTTTTAGTAGAGATGAGATCTTGCTGTGTTGCCCAGAGTGGTCTTAAACTCCTGAGCTCAAAAAATCCTCCTGCCTTCACCTCCCAAAGTGCTGGGATTATGGGTATGAGCCACCTTACCTGGCCAAGACTTGCAGAATTTTGAGCAGAGGAGTGGTATGATCTTACAGTCTCAAAAATCACCTCAATCAAAAATGGGCAGGGGTAGAAAAGGAAACAAGTTAGAAGGTGATTGCAATAGCCCAGGTGATTATATATGAAATCTTGACCTAGAGTGGAAACAACAGGGGTATCAATCACTATATCCAGATGTGTTTTGAACACAGAGCTAATGGAATTTGATAAGGGGCTTAGAATTTGCTAATAAAATGTGAGAAAAAGAGAGAACTCAAGAGTGACTTAAGGTTGATAACCTAAGCAAGTGGAAGATTGGAGATGTCGTTTACTGAGATGACAAGGACTTACGGGGAGGGTTTAGGGGGCAGGATTAGGAGTGTTCTACTGAGTTGCCTTTGGTTCAATCAACTGTGGCAAGGATGTGGAGGGGCCCAATAACATAAGCATTGCAACAAGAGTTCAAATGTTCAGTGAAGCTGCAGGTCAAGGAGCAGTGGTGGGCAGGTATGTGCACCATAGAGGTTAAAACACACTTGGATGTCGAAGACCAAAACATTAAGACAACAGGATTCTCTTTTGAGAATTTGAAATGAGGTGTTACTAAAAGCCTGGAGTCAAATTTGCCACAGATAATCTACAATTTCTAATGCATCACATCTCCTTGAAGCTTAAAGAAGTATGAATTCAAGGATAAAATAAGACAAATTGGGTATCTCATAGCATAGAGCCAAATTCACAAACATAGTTATTGAATGCATCATTCTCTTTTGAATGAATTTGTATGGCATCATATTTAAACAGCTTATTTCTCTTTCTTTACTGAATCATAAGATAATGATATTATAGACTTTAGTGATATTTGTTTAAAAATACAAGCTAGTTATTTGAAAAAAATGAATATAAGCCTTACTCAAACTTGAAACTTTGACCTAAATGATGAAACTATTTTTGCTATTCTGTAGAAATTTTAAAAATCTTGGCATTCCCTCATCTTCAGTGATATGGGCAATAGTAACTTTTGCATCCTTATAGAGGAGAATAAACCATTTCATCATTTCAGAATGGTTTTAAATTTTAAAGGCAATAATAGAATCAATAACTATTATAATTTATAAGTTAAAAAAGAAATAGATCTAATACCAATTAAATATCTAATAGTTATTTAGCATTTACTATGGAACAGATGCTAAATATTAAACATACATCATGTCCCTTTTAATCTTTATTACACCTGAATTCTTGATACAAGATAACGCAGTTTAAACTACTAGAGCACAATAAAACATTAACTGAGACACAATATATATTAAAAGTATTAAAGTTAATCAAACTTATGTTGGAGCATTAGGTGATCCTGGACATGTTAAGCAACTCCACAAGCCTCAACTTCTCATTGAAAATAGGGATTATGTAAAAGTGCTCCTATTTCTTCACATCCTCTCCAGCACCTGTTGTTTCCTGACTTTTTAATGATCGCCATTCTAACTGGTGTGAGATGGTATCTCATTGTGGTTTTGATTTGCATCTCTCTGACGGCCAGTGATGATGAGCATTTTTTCATGTGTCTTTTGGCTGCATAAATGCCTTCCTTTCAGAAGTGTCTGTTCATAACCTTCGCCCACTTGTTGATGGAGTTGTTTGTTTTTTCTTGTAAATTTGTTTGAGTTCATTGTAGATTCTGGATATTAGCCCTTCATTACATGAGTAGATTGCAAAAATTTTCTCCCATTTTGTAGGTTGCCTCTTCACTCTGATGGTAGTTTGTTGGTGGTTCTGTAAACTAGTTCAACCATTGTGGAAGTCAGTGTGGCGATTCCTCAGGGATCTAGAACTAGAAATACCATTTGACTCAGCCATCCCATTATTGGGTATATACCCAAAGGATTATAAAGCATGCTGCTATAAAGACACATGCACATGTATGTTTATTGCGGCACTATTCACAATAGCAAAGACTTGGAACCAACCCAAATGTCCAACAATGATAGACTGGATTAAGAAAATGTGGCACATATACACCATGGAATACTATGCAGCCATAAAAAAGGATGAGTTCATGTCCCTTGTAGGGACATGGATGAAGCTGGAAACCATCATTCTCAGCAAACTATCACAAGGACAAAAAACCAAACACCACATGTTCTCACTCATAGGTGGGAATTGAACAATGAGAACACATGGACACAGGAAGGGGAACATCACACACTGGGTCCTGTTGTGGGGTGGGGGGAAGGGGGAGGGATAACGTTAGGAGATATACCTAATGTTAAATGACGAGTTAATGGGTGCAGCACACCAACATGGCACATGTATATATATGTAACAAACTTGCATGTTGTGCACATGTACCCTAAAACTTAAAGTATAATAAAAAAGAAAAAAGAAAATAGGGATTATGATAGTAGCTACCAGAGGGGGCAACTGAGAATGCTATGAGGTGATGCATGTAGAGTACTCAGCACAGTACTGGCAAGAAGGAAGGGCTTAATAACTGTAAGGCTGAGTCCATTTGGGCCTCTATAACAAAACATCATAAACTGGATGGCTTATAAACAACAGAAATTTATTGCTCATCTCTGGAGGCTGAGAAGTCCAAGATCAAGGCACTGGCAAGTTCAGCATCTGGTGAGGGCCCATTTCATGGTCCATAGACAGCAATCTTTTAGCTGTGTTCTCACATGATGAAAAGATAAATGACTACCTGGGGGTCTGTTTTGTAAAAGCACTACTCCTATTTGTGATTCATGACTTCATCACCTCCCAAAGGCCCCATCTCCTAATACCAAATCCTTGGGGGTTAGGATTTCCACATTTAAATTTGGAGCGGGGGGTGCATAAATATTCCAGCCACTGCAGAGACACTATCATCACCACCAACACTATCATCATCACTTTATCATCTCCACCAGCACCTTCATCGTTATTATAAAGCCTATAAAAGAAAACATTATTATTTTATTTTACTAATAAGGAAACTAACAGAGAAATATTAAACAAATCACCCAAAGCCACCCAGCTTACAAATGGCAAAGTCAGCCTTTAAACTAAAACATATGAAACCTCAAAGACTGTATAATTCAAATTGCGTGACTCCAGCATACACAGTGGTTAGGCTACAATTTTATCCCATGTTGCCTACATCATGATGCTTTAGTTTTATTTCAAAATTTAAGCTTGTTATAAAACTTCTGTAAAATAGCATCTGATTCTTGTGAGAATCCATACCTATGCCGATTATTCAGATGAAGAAAATGAAGCTAAGCTAACCCAAATAGGTTAACCAATTGCTGATAAATCTTGGCAAGAGACAAGAAGGGGTTAGAACTCATGTATATGAAACTCAGGGGCATGACACTGCACACAGGGTGGGAAGTTATATTTGAATCAAATCAGCTCTGCTAATTCCTTAGGGATTTTGCACACAACATTATTTTCAAACTCTCAAATAAAAAAGGGAATGAAAGGATTACTATAGAACAAAAACATCAACCCGAGATATGTTGCATTTAAAAGCAATAAGCATGGCTTTCAAGGAACTCGGTAACACGAGGGACTCTGAGCCCAGGAGACAGTTTGTAGAAACAAAATTGCTTCTGAGAAAAACCTGTTTTAAATTCAGTGTTGCAGAATAAATGCATAGATATTAAAGACTTAATTGCTAGTTTAGGAGCAGGTCTACCCCCTAGACTGTAAATTCTTTGAGGGCAAGAGCTAAATTCAACTTCTATATTCTCAGGTCTAGCAAAAAGCTTGACTTTTAGTACCTATTTAGTAGTTGAGTCAATGAGTTAATGTTAATTTTTACATCGTATATTGCTAGGCTATATCTTGGGTCAGTGTAAAGCACACATCTGGGGTCAAACTGTCAGAGTTGGATTCCCATCACCATCATTTAGAGGGACCTGAATTTTGGGGAGCATGAGCACTTAGCACAGGATGTTATAAGGGGAACACACAGTTCAGATATGATAGCATACTCTACCCACAACCCAAGGAAGGCAAAATGCCCTTAAAGCTAGAGTATTTACAAAGGGTTAAATTTAAATTATTTTCTTCTCTCACTATGCCTTTCCATCTGTTGTAAAAGCCTCTTTAAGTCAGGCAGAGCTACAGAATACATATACACATACTATCTGCTAAGAGGCAATCATTTCAACAACACTGCTCAGTTTTTTTTAGACTGAATTAGAACCCCAATTTGAATAAAACAACCCCCACATCATTTTCAAATTCATATTTTTTTCTTACTGTAATTAAATATGTATCTGTAGCTGACAATGATTTCTCCCTATGCATATTTAAACATAGTTTCTCTTCCCACTATAACTGGATTATATAACCAGATACACTTCTGCCCACTTGAGGAATTATATACGGGGAAATGAGAATATGGGACCCAGATTCTGAGATGCTTGTCTATCTTTAGCCTAAGGGTACACGACACACTGCAAGTGAACATTTTACTATTATACACATTTCTCCTTTTGCTTTCCCTGTCCACTTTATGAGTCAGAAGTAACCAGAGCCAGAAAGAGATGGATCGAATCAGGGACTGCTGTCAGCTAATGCCTTCCCCAATTACTGCAGCATCACAGAATTGCATAAAAGCATACGTTGAACATTCATGCCATCACCTGGCAAAACCGGCTGATGGCCAGTAATCTTATTTATTATTAGTCTACGTTTCTGGGTAGCTAGCATCTCCCCAGGAGGTACAAAACCCATCTTTGCGTACTCTCTTTAGTTGGACTATGCCACTTTTCATTGGTAACCAATACAAAAAAATGATTTTCTTCTTGGTAAACAAATTAACTCTCTGAAATGTATTAATCAAGAGAGAACACAAGCTCAAACAAATTTGCATCTGAACTGACATTGGTAGGATGTTCCCTGTTTTAAGATCTCAAAGTAAGGATTTAGTAATGAATAGCAACAAGATGTACTGTGGTAGACAAGAAAATGTCCTCCCAGAGATATCTACGTCCTTGGCTTATAAAATCTCCATGTCCTCACAAAACTCAGCAAAGTTCAACATTGAGATAATCTACAAATTAGTTACAAACCTGGACTGACTCAGGAAAATAAATGGTGGTTTCAATTAGATTTTCATCTTGTTCATTGGTTGTTTCCCACTAGGTTATAAGAAGCAGAATTAAGAAGAGAAATAATTCAGTTATAAAATCAGTCATAACTGGCCGGGCACGGTGGCTCATGCCTGTAATCCAGCACTTTGGGAGGCCGAGGCGGGTTGGATGGCCTGAGGTCAGGAATTCAAGACCAGCCTGGCCAACATAGTGAAACCCCCGTATCTACTAAAAATAGGAAAATTTAGCTGGGTGTGGTGGCGGGCGCCTGTAATCCCAGCTACTCGGGAGGCTAAGGCAGGAGAATTGCTTGAACCTGGGAGGCGGAGATTACAGTGAGTCAAGATCGCACCATTGCACTCCAGCCTGGGCAACAAGAGTGAAATTTCACCTTAAAAAAAAAATTATAACTAATACATATCTCAGAGCCTGAAGTTAGGTCCTTAGAACAGTAAGATTATTTATTTTCTTTAAAAAAAGAAAAAGAAAGAAATGAAGGAAGGAAGAAGAGAAGAAGGGAGGGACGGAAAGAAGGATGGAAGGAGGAAGGGAGGGAGAAATGGGGGAAGGCAGGTGAGCATTTTGGTAATTCAACTCCCTGTGACATCATTCACTCAAACTATTCAGCATAAGCAAAGATTAAGTGGAAGATGATTTCCTTGAACTTGCTTCTAATTGCCTCAGACAGGGACCTACATGTTTCTTCTAACATCAGTTTTACATGACCTCAAGTCCCAAAGAGACACCATATTCCTCCTCCTTTTCTCCATGAAGCCATCTCCAATTGCTCTCCCCTGATTGCCTTTCTGTAGCCAAAAAAAAAAAAAAAAAAAAAGAGTAAAACTTCTCTCAGTAAGCTAGTAAAGCTGTAGTTACTAGGCAACCCTCAATATATATTAAAATAACTTGAAGTTCCTCAGCAAGAGGAAGGAATATTTAACAGCCCATTAAATGTTGAATTTTTAAAGCACACCTGAACCAAAGTTAGCAAGAAAAGAGATCTCCTGCCATTTCTGGAATTCTTGGAATTCCTCTTCTGTCTGAAAACTGAAGCATGACCTTGGACTCCTACAAACTCTTAACATATTTTGACAAGTGGAAAAGGCAAATTCTCACGCTTAGTACATATAGTGCTGGGAGGATGAGGGCTTTGCAGAATTATTCAGAATAATGAAAGAGGAGAAAAATGTCAAGTTGGCATCTGTCAAACCAGAAGATGTGACATCCCAGGGGAGACTCCAAAAGGAGCCCTGTATTCAGAGCCACATGTCCCTTAACTGGAGCAGTGATGGCTTAGGAGGTACCAACGACTTTGTCAAGAAATCAGAATCCAAAACCACTTCGGACTTCCCAGCTATTCCCTTGAATTGCATCCTGCAGTGCACAATGAGTACAAAAAGTAGGGTGCAGCTATTGAATCCCTTCAGAATAAGTAATCTGAATCTCAAAATTCCAGATGGGAGGTAATTCCAAGGTCACCAAAACCACACAAATTTCTCTCTGATAATCTGTCCTAATTCAAAAAAACTTTACAAAATAAAGGCCCACAGCCCCTTCCTCTGCTAAAATTTAATAATTCTCAGCACCTAGAAAACTGTTCTCGTATTTATTCATTTATTCAAAATTCTTCTCCTGAAAAATAATTGTGTTTTCTTTTTTACCCTATTCTGCAGAAGACAAAGGATAGTCAACATCAGCTGTCTAAAATCCCTTCATATATTTGAAAACTATTAATTAGCCAATGCACAGCCCACTCTTCTTCAACTTTAATAATCTCACGTTTTAAAAATCTTCCTTTGACAGTCTTATTCTCTAGTCCTTTAGTGACACACTTCTGAATTACTTTCAACATCTCCATGGTTTGTTAAGTGAATAAATGAAAGCAATAAATGACCAGTGGTGGCAAAATGGTGGCCTACAAATGGATGTTGGGTTTTTTTTTTTTTTTTTTTTTTTTTTGCTCAGAGTATTTAAAGCAAACAAGCAAACAA
This sequence comes from Homo sapiens, assembly GCF_000001405.40. Taxonomy (NCBI): domain Eukaryota; kingdom Metazoa; phylum Chordata; class Mammalia; order Primates; family Hominidae; genus Homo; species Homo sapiens. The sequence goes on along the minus strand of NC_000020.11, from coordinate 54,513,430 downwards.
AACAAACCAATATTTTAAGACAAAATTTTACGTAAAAGCTGATTTCCAATTTTGTTTTTAAAAATTGGAAAAACTGGTGAAGCTGGGTCCCAGGCTGAATATAAAAAGTGACTGCTTAATTCTCACTAAAAAGCTCAATTAACTACTATGAACAATGTTTTTCTAATTAGGAATTGCATTCAGCTGAATGTAACAGAAAACTAATTACTATGTCTTATTAGCCCATAGTTCCAAGATGACTGCTCAATCTCCAGGAGCATCCCTGGGTACACTCTAGGAAGAGGCAAAAGACAAGTTGCCAACATATTCTGCCCCTTATTAAAGGGCTTCACCAGAAGCCCTATCAGATGACTGAGCATGAGCTGAGGAGCTGGGAAATGTAGTTATTTTAGCTGGGTATCACATGACCCCAAACAACCCGAGGATCTGCTGGTGTATAAGGGGGAAAAAGCCATCAGTGAGATGCCCAGCAGTGTCTACAAAACAAACCTACATCATGAGTTTGTTATGAGGAAATAAGAGTTGACGCAACATTTCTGAAACATGCTTAGGCCCCCACAAATGTTTGCTCTTGCTCCTCTCTGCTTCCTTTACTCTTTGCACCCTTCTTCCACTCCCAGCTGCCACGTGCTCTGGTGATGGGCTTCCCCAGAACCACATTACAGCAGCTATGTAGTGACTGAGGCCGAAGACTAATATACACCATTGAAATGGAGTTTATCCTTCATAGCAAATTTCTTTTTTTAACAAAAAGTGTTTTCATAAGAGTAAAGCAAAGTACAACATTTTAACATAAAAGAATACTACTAAAAATGCCAAACTTTCTTATCAAAACCCATGTTTTATCACCCTCACTGTCCCAAAGGCAAATAATTAGTGGGCCTATAATTAGGCCCACTGTAGGCTGCTGTTACCATGGATAAATAAACTGTGTATAAATGACAAAGTCAACTTCTTAAGTTGACCCCCAATATGAGAAAAAAATCACAATGCATATTTTTAACAAATTGTAACTGTCCAGGTCAGTCAATGCCTTTTGAGTTCCTGCTAATCATCATAAATGACATGATGGTCTGAGTATAAACAATGTATTGCAATATTTATGGGACCAGCAGAAAATCTAAAAGACTGCATTATGGATGGCTCTTTTCCCTTGAGAAGGATAATTCTTTATTTTTTCTTTATTCTCTGAATAGGTATATTTTGCAGAAAGAAAACTTTCAGGAAATAGGAAAAGAAAGGAAGCAGATGTCTCCACATTCATAGGTGAGTCTACTCATTATGTATTCAGTAGTCTAGTGGATTTCTACTGCTTGTGTCATGGGGCATCTGTTCTTTCACACAGGTAAACAGCACTCCACATTTCCTTGGTGAAGCCACCTCTGCTCTGTTGGTGTGTATAAGGTAGACACAGCCACAGGTTCAACAGAGAGCAAACTGAATGGCCTGACCCAATCCTCCTACCCCATCATCTAAGCCACAAGATTCATTCAATGGTGGACATGGGACCTAATTTTGGCCAATGAAGGCCAGGCTTAAAAATGCTTCTTCAAAAGTTAGGAAAAAGAAGTACATTCTCTCCCTCATTGGGAAAGAATCTGAAAGGATATGAGTTTTAAAACTGCTGCAGTCATCTTGCAACCCCAAGAAGAGACTGTATGAGAATGAAGGAAAGAAAAGCCAAGAGAGAATCAGGTCCCATCAATGTCACTGACTCCAGCAATGAGCCATTCCTCAAGTCAGGTGCATCCCTGGGCCTTTGAATCTGATAAGCCAATACCTTCCTCTTTGCTTAGTTTGGATCGAATTTTCTGCCATTTGCACCATCACCAATATAAATTGCAGCTATGAATGTTTACCTAGTGTTAGTTGACAGTGAATGAACATTAAGCCAACGGCTTTTAAATTCTCCAAGAAACTATGTATAACAAACTAGCATACTAGAAACACATTTTAAAAAATTATCAGCTATCTACCACCTTTTCTACTTTACTTTCTTTGGTTCATCTTTTGGTAAGGCCAGAGAAAATATCTGTTTTATGAGCATGAGGAAGTTAAGCAGGTGACTTCACCTTCCTAAACCTAAGTACCTATTAGCAAAGCAATGTCAATAACTTTTATTGAGCACCTACTATGTATCAGGCACTATGGTATCCTGCTTGATACAACAGCTCTATGTAGTATATCCCCATTTTAAAGATGGGTAAATGTGAGCATCCAGGAGTTAGTCCACTTGCCCAAAGTCACAAAGCTAGGAAGTGGTCAATGCAGCATTGATACCCTGGAAGTGGAAGTGTGTGACTTAAAGCACCCTCATTCTCCAAAGTGATGCTACCTAGCTCATGAAGTCAAGGTAAAGCTTAATAAAAGCACATGAAAGTGTTTAGCTCAGCATTGAGCCCGTAGAAAATAATAAATGGTAGCTATTACTGCAGTTGTGGTTGAAGCCTGGTGATGTGGGTTTGACTGTCCTCAGATGCAAATGCTACTCTGTGTTGTCCTGCTGAGCACCACGGACAGTGTTGATCAAACCAGCCCTGCGGAGCCCTCTGGCTCATTCCCATTTTAATGAGCTACTCTTTCAACTCCAGAGGCGCAGGAGTGAAATCAAGTGGACAAATTTGTAGATGGGGTGTGCTCCCAATAGCCGAGCAGGGAGAGTAATTTCAGCCCAGCAAGCACACAAGGCCAGGCAGCCTTCCAAGCCAACACAACCCAGGGCAATGTAAGGGAACTCAAGCAAGGCAGCGGGGGCTGGGCCAACTGCATTCCAGTAGAGCGGGAAGGAGAGTTGTTCTTTCCAAAACTAGGCCATGGGATCCTATGTTGAATTTATTTTAAAACCCCCCACAACATTTCTCTCAATGTTTCAATAATATTATCAGTTTTTCCAGTTAGTCATTATTATGTAAAGTAATTTTCTGAGTATACATGCCTGGCTGTGGTTTAAAGAGATTGGCAATAAAACACCTCTCTTAACAGTGACTAAAAATTTAACATAAAATGGTTTTCTTCTCTCTTTAAATCTAATAAAAAGCTAAAAACTGTACAAGTACAAAGATTAAAATCAGCTGTTTTTAAAATGTTATGCTATTTAGTGTACATATATTTTAAAATTAAGTGTCAAGTGTGACTCTTAATTACTGAGGATTTGTGGATAAACAGCCCCTTCTAGGGTGAGTTTGCTTAACCAAGGAAGGGAGAAAGGAGAACCTACAGTAAGAAAAATGAATAGCTTTGTTTATTATAGCAGCAGATTTCCCATATGAATAAAGAATGCAAACAAAAAAATGTAAGTCGGTATTTTTTTAATTCTTATTTTTAGTTCTGCGGTACATGTGCAGGATGTGCAGGTTTGTTACATAGGTAAGCGTGTGCCATGGTGGTTTGCTACACCCATCAACCCATCACCTAGGTAGTAAGCCCAGCATGTATGAGCTATTTTCCCTAATGCTCTCCCTCCCCCCATCCCCCCACCCCAGTATTTTTAAAAGCATATGTACTGCCGTCTGAAAGCCTCCAATGGACATTTCCAGATCGCAGTGTAACTGGGTGGTTTTTAGTCGACTAGCTCCCAGGCAGCATTAGTTTTCGGGACAGGTGGAGGCAGGGGTCAGTGTGAGCAGGCAAGCAGTCTGTCCTAGAATGAAATTTCTCTCTGTGATTAAAGCTTGGTCTTTACCAGCATGAGTTTTAACTTACAGAATTTAATTAGAGAAGTGGAGAGGAGAGAAAGGAGAAAATTCTACTCAATAATAAATGCTCTCATCACTATCTTGCTTGAAACCCTTTCATTTGTTCCTGCTTTGCAGATGTTAAAGATAAATAAGATGAGAAAATGAATGTAAAATGCTTACCAAAATACTAGACACCATCTCTTGCTTAAAACCCAGCAATGGCCTCCCATCATATATGAAAATATATTAAAATCTTTCCCAACTGGGCATAGTGGCTTAGATCTATAATCCCAGCATTTTGGGAGGCGGAGGTGAGAGGATTGCTTGAGGCAAGGTGTTCAAGACCAACCTGGGCCAAAAAAGCAAGACCCCTGTCTCTACAAAAAAATTGTAAAATTAACCAGGTGCAGTGGTGCACGACTGTAGTCCCATCTACTGGGGAGGCTGAGATGGGAAAATCGCTGGAGCCCAGCAGTTTAAGGCTACAGTGAGCCATGACTGCACTACTGTACCCTTGCTGGGTGACAGCACAAGACTCCAGCTCAAAACATAAAAATTAAAATTAAAATTAAAAATTAGGCCGGGTGCGGTGGCTCACACCTGTAATCCCAGCACTTTGGGAGGCCAAGGCAAGTGGATCACTTGAGGTCGGGAGTTCAAGACCGGCCTGGCCAACATGGCAAAACCCTGTCTCTACCAAAATACAAAAACTAGCTGGGTGGGGTGGCGTGTGCCTGTAATCCCAGCTACTTGGGAGGCTGAAACAGGAGAATCGCATGAACCAGGGAGACGGAGGTTGCAGTGAGCCGAGATCGTGTCACTGCACTTAAGCCTGGGTGAGACAGCGAGACTCTGTCTAAAAAAATAAATAAATAGCTGGGCACAGTGGCTCACACCTGTAATCCCAACACTCTGGGAGGCCAAGGGGTGCAGATCACCTGAGGTCAGGAGTTCAAGACCAGCCTGGCCAACATGGAGAAACCCCGTCTCTACTAAAAATACAAAATCAGCCAGGTGTGATGGCACATGCCTGTAATCCCAGCTACTTGGGAGGCTGAGACAGGAGAATCACTTGAACCCAGTAGGCACTGGTTGCAGTGAGCCAAGATCGCGCCATTGCACTCCAGCCTGGGCAACAAAGAGCGAAACTCTGTGTCAAAATAAATAAATAAATAAATATAAAAATTAAAACATTCCCAAAGCCTGCAAGCTCCTCATGAGGTAGCCCCTGCACAGTTCTCAACACTCCCTCACCATCACCTTACCCACTTCCTTATTTCCACCCTCCAGATATAAGCTCCTGCCATCTCGTATGTGTGACAAGCATCATTATATCCCCAGCCCTTTGCCTGTGCAATTCTGTCTGCCTGGAACAGTCATTTCCAAAGTAAAATGCAGTGGGATAAAAGAAAAAAATAATGAAACTTTTATTTATGTGTGGTGGGGAGGTGGGATAAATAAGAAAAATTGTAGTAAAATAATAACACTGCAATACATGGTTTGATAGCAGTGCACATGTATAGGAAATAAACACCTATACAAATACTGGGAGTTCTACTTTTAATTGCATGCATTGTATAATCAGAAAAGTTTGAAGTCTATGGGTCTAAAACACCCCCTGACTCTGAAAACCCCGTCTAAACCCAACTTTGGCATGGGTAAGTCCTCTTTAGGACACATTTCCTCCAAGCCATCTTCGAGCTTCTAAAGCTAGACTGGATGTATTTCTCATGGCTTTGTGCTTACATGCTTGCTGTTAACATTCTACTCTCTGCATAGCAGTCAGTGATAGCTTAATCATATCACTTCCCTTCTTAAATCCTCCACGGGTTCTCAATACACTTAGAATGCATCCACTCTCCTCATCATGAACTCTTTAAACTCCTACCAGAACTGGCCCCAAATAATTCTCCATTGTGATATGACTATCCTTTTTCTTCTCTAGGGTGTGGCCCCAGTGGCTTTGTTGATCTGCTTTTAATTATCATAAGAAGCCCATTCCTGCCCTAGGTTCTTTGCCTAGTTCTATCTTGTACCCATGAGGGCTTCCTTCAAATTTCTCATGGCTGGGTCCTTCCTGTCATAAGATCTCATCTTCCCCTGACCATTCAGTCTAAAGCAGACACCTCATCATTCAACACCTGCACTGTGCAATGTGACAACCACCATCAGCAACATGTAGCTTTCAAGCACTTGAAATGTGGCTAGGCTGAAAAGAATTGTGCCACAGGGCGTAAAATACCGGATTTTTGATGCCTTAGTAGAAAAGATAATGTAGAATGTTTGATTAATAATTTTTATATTTTTATGGGTTAAGATGATAATGTCTTGGATATATTTGATTAAATAAAATATAGCATTAAAGTTAATTTCACCTATTTCACTTTATTTTTTAATGTGGCTTCTAGGAAATGTTAAATTGTACATGTGGCTCACATGTGGCCTCTAATTATGTCTCCATTGGACAGTGCTGCTGTAGAACATATATATTTTTATTTTCTATGTAGTTATTACCTCGACCTATCATTTTCATTTATTTATCCCCACTCAGTCCCCCTTGATCTCCTTAAAGGCAGGGTGTTCTTGTTCATACTGTATCCCAAGTACTTTCCAAACTCCTGTAACGTGGTAATAAGTACTCAAAAAATATTTGTGAAACAAATGACTGATTTTATAGAATCCTTTATGTTATACTAACAGCTGGTGTTTACTGAGCACTTAGATGCATTATCCAAATAAAGTTGATGTTCCTATTTTATAGATGAGGACAAGGATATAGATAGATTAAATAAACTGTAAATGGCTAACTTCAAAGAAATCATGTTTAGGACCCAGGCAGAGTCTGTGATTCCCCGAAAGCTGCACTGCTTCAGAGCAGTGACCTCGCGTATGATCGCCAGGTGTTTCTCTATCTCCCCATGAAGACAGAAACCAGAACTCAGTCATTGTTTCTACAGTGCTGCCACATAGCAGGTATTCAAAAATATTTATCAAGCCAGGAGCAGTGGCTGATACCTCTAATCCCAGCACTTTGAGAGGCCAAGGAGGGAGGATCACTTGAGCCCAGGAGTTCAAGACCAGCCTGGGCAACCGGAGAGACTCCGCCTCTACAAGAAGTTTGTAAAAATTAGCCAGGCGTGGTGGCACCTACCTGTAGTCCCAGCTACCTGGGAGGCTGACGTGGGAGATCGCTAGAACCCAGGAGGTGGAGGCTGCGGTGAGCCATGATAGTGCCACTGAACTCCAGCCTGGGTGACAGAGAAAGACCCTGTCTCAATAAAATACATTAAAATAAAATTTAAAGAAATAAAATGGCATGTATTGAGTAAGCCTTCAGTAATAATGCCAATCATGGTACAGCCAACATGTATTGAAAATTTACTACATGGCAGACATTGTTCTAAACAATCCCACCCCGATGTCTAAGGGGCAGCTCAAAATTAACATCTTTGATTCTGACTCTTAACCTTGACCCCAAAACTTGCCCTATCTCTGTTTCTTCCACATTGCAGTTAATGGTAATCCCATTCCTGCAGTTGACCAAGTCAAAGTATCAAAGTCTTCCTGACTTCTCTCTTTCTTTCCTGATGCACTCCAAATCTGTCAGGGAATTCTCAACTCTCTGTTTTTATAATATAGGCAGAGCTGGGCTGCTTCTCACCACCTCTACAGCTCTAACCCCAGTTCAAGCTGCCACTCATGGCCGCCATCTGCAGCCAGAGTGATGTTTTTAAAATGCAATCCAAAGCACACTATCCCCAGCTCACAAGCCAGTAGTGCCTTCCTTCCCATGAAGAACAAAATGCAACATCCTGTCTGTGGCCAAGGAAGTCCCAGCTCACTGAAAGCATCTTCAGGTCTCTCCTCTCCACCACCCAGCGGGCTTTGAGTACACTGGCCTCCCTGTTGGTCTCTGAACACTCAGACACACACTCTCACCTCAAGGCTCTTGTCCTTTTATGCTGGCTGTTCCTTCTGCCTGGAACCCTCTTCTTCATGTGTCCACATGGCTCTGATGTCATGTTACTCTTTCAGTGAAGGTTCCCTAATGACCCTAATTAAAATTGCATCTCCCACCCCCTATACTCTCTCTTTCTCTCTCTTTCTCTTTATTTCCTGCATTTCCCCCTCCATACCACTAAATCACTTTACATATATTTTACATTTTGGGGGTTTTCTTTTTGCTTTATTATCTGTTTCCCTCCTTGAACTGTAAGCTCCATGAGGGCAGGGACTTTTGTCTGTGTTTCTTCACTCTTATAGGCTCAATACCTCAATATAGCAGCCCATAAACATTTGGGAATTGAATTTATAGGTATTCACTTGTTTAATCCAGGGGTCAGCTAACTTTTTCAGTAAATACCTTAGGCTTTGTGAGCCACAGGGTCTCTGCCACAACTGCTCAACTTGCTGCTGCGAGGTGTGCAAACAGCCACAGATTACATGTAAACTAATGGGTATGGCTGTGTTCCCGTGAAAGTTTATTTGCAAAAACAAGCAGGAGAGAGGGGCATTTTGGCCTTTGGATCATAATTTACCAACCCCTGATTTAATCCTCACAACTACCCAGTGATTTGGAGCCTATAATATCCCTACATTGCAGGGACTTGAAGTGACTTCCCCAAGGTCAAACCACTGGTAAACTGCAGAACCAATTCAAACCTGAGCAGTGGGGTGTGGGATGAGGCACAGATTCAAGGATGGAGGGGATCCAGGAGACACCACTTGGGGAATGCCACCGGGACAGATATGAATAGAAGCATCTCAGTGAGAAGCCAGCCCCTGGTGCTTCCATCCACAGTTAGTAGGTCTGCCAGAAACTCAAAGTCATGAGGTCTCTTTAGCTACACAAAATTCTCCAATGGGTACTGAGATGGCCAAAACACCTTTCACAGATATGAGCCAAACTATGCTTTTTTCTCACCTACCACCTCAAAAGCCAACAAGCCTTTGATGCACACAACATTTGTCTTTGATGTGTGCCCATGACAGGTCTTCAAAGAGCTCTGTCTACAGATAAATAAAATCACTCTTTTCCCTTCTGTCTACCATATGATCATCTAGTTCATCATTTCATTCGTTTAAGAAGCAGAAATGCAGATAAGGCCAAGGATAGCATGACACCATCTCCAATCACCCCTGTATCCTCCTTCAACTGAGAGAGAAGAAGAAACTGTATTGGGAGAGGCAACAAATGGCACAGAACCTCACGTTGAGAAAGATACTCATTTTTCATGTCAGTCCTTCTGAGTGAGTCAAGGAGAAGTTCCATTCAGTGGGTAACAATAATTTTAAACCCCCCCTAAAACTTCCAGATCTTGCTTTTCAACAAGAGAAAGCCTCAGGCTCAGTGCCTTCATTGAACAATGTGTCTAATATTGCTTCATTTTCATTGTATTTATTTTTAGTTATCTTTTGCAGTGGATTTGTATTATATCAGCTCAGTTAAACTAGAACTATTTTTCAAAGAATTGCTTTCCTTGCACAGGTCAGAATTAGGGTGGACCGCGAGATCTAGAAGGTGGACAAAGGTAGCCTTATTGTAGGATGTGGGAAGGTTAGGGTAGCCATATTGAGGGTAGCCAGATCTGGAAGGTGGACAAAGTTAGCCATATTGTAGGATGTGGGAAGGTGAAGGTGAGCTTCCCCGCTGGAAGCTCAGGGCAGTGCACACTACTCTCACTCATGCGCACTGTCTCTGATGTGCTGGTTCACCAGGGTGGCATGGACAACAGCTGGGCTGCAACTACTTTAACTGCTTCCAGATCCTCCTTCAGCTCCTCAGAAACCTCGGCCAAGCACCTGCTTAGCTCTTCTCCTTACAAGATGACCCCATCTTTGAAGTTGGTGGATTGGGGGCTTTGAAAATCAGATGCTTCTAGCCCATCTTCATAGGCTGCAGTTTGTCTTCAATCACCTCATTTTATGTCCATCTTCACTTCTGATGTCAGGTTTCAGCACTAGGAGCACCTAGACCCTGCAAACCAGGTTCCTACAAGTGCAAAAGAAATAATCCCCAAAATCCCCAAACCAAACCTCTAATTAAATATCTTCCTGTGGTTCTTCTTCTCTGAAGGAGCTCCAATTTATGCAGCTTCTACTCATGGAAAATAATATTGGCTTTTTGTTAATGGCACTGCTATAAAAATCCAAAAAAAAGAAAAATAAATTATTTTAGTGAAGTAGTAAGTGAATAACAGTGAAAACTATTCACACATATGACAAAGACTGTGAAGAGGATGAATAAATGACATTTGGGAAACACTTCATTACTTTTCCATTTTTTTAAAAAAAATCAAGAATAAAAGCAACAAAACTATGAATTAGATCCAACCAATGAACACGTTCCAAGGCCAGGTCCACTTTGTGACTTCCTGCATTCCACCTGATTATACTACTTTTCCAATACCCCAGTCTATAAAATTATTTTTTAAAAAAATCCATGTGTACTCATATATTGAAAATGGCAGAATAATAAAGAAATATACTTTGATTTTTAATTTTATAGTTAATATTAATTTTTTGAAAAAGTAATACATTCACATGGATCAAAATTCAAAATTATTTCAGAGGTATATATTAATTAGCCTGCTTTCCACCTCTATTTCCTACCCCTGCACCAGACCCAGTCACTGACTTACAACTAAATGCATTATTTCCTTGTGCAAACACAAGCACATATATACAAATACAAATATACAGTCTTACCCCCACTTCTTACACAAAACATAGTATTCTGTGCATACTGTAGATCAATATTTCCAGATTATAACTTGAAGAATATTTTTCAATAGCCATAGAAACTTGCTCCACTTTAATTTGCAATTCTAGTTATTAAGGAAAAAAATCTAAGTGAAAGCAACTTATGTAAAGATATGCATTGTAGTACTATTTATAATAATGATAAAATATAATCAACAAGAATTCAAAATTAATAGAATATCTAACACAATGAAATACCATGCTGACAGGAATAAAAAAGAAATGTGGCCAATCTTTAAGTAATAATTAAAAGAGCTTTTTGAAATTTATTAAGTGACACAAGGTAGTTAGAGAATAATGGATAGCGCATATATACTATTTTTGTGGGGAAAAAATGCGGTGTACACACACATGACATATATACAAATATACCTATATATGTATATGCTGATATATGCTTGAAATATGGCTGAAAGAGAAGAAACTATAAAATTGATTGCCCTCTTGAGGAGAATTGGTGGCTCTGGGTAGACGGGTGAGAGAATCTTTCCTGTATACCCTTTTGAACTTTTAATTCTTGAATTTCGAGCCATGTGAATGACTGTAAAATTTTTAATAGTGTTGCTATAGTAATCCTAAAATGACTCATTAAATGAGTGCATAGCAGAGCAACGATACTAACCATTCATCTATTTTCTGGTTTACTCTGATTCACCAGTTATCTCCTGGTACAAAGAATTACCTTATACATAGAAGATACTCAATGAAAAGTCGTTGAATAGATGAATGAATGTGTGGTCTACATGGATCCACAAATGAATGTAAATGCATTAAATATACCAAACTACAAGAATGACTAGGTCACTGGTATAATGGTTATTAAATTGGTCTCAATTATTATTGTAGTTTCTGATAGGCCATATACATACCACAAATAGCCAGAGATGCACGTTCTGTCAGTACAGAACTGACTCAAATGAGCACGCTCTCTCTTTATTAACCTTCCCAGTATTGCAGTGGAGGTAGACAACTTTATCAATGGCATATAATTGATAAAGAGCATAAGCCACAAAACCAAATTCAATGCTTTCCATTGTTAGCAAGCATAGCAAGTAAATTACATTCAGAGTATTAACCGAGGAAATAAAATTTGCTCAAAAGTCAGAAACCAATATTAAGTGTCTTCTTTCTAGTTTCAGAACAAATGAACTAAAAATGTTCATTGAAATCATTTGGTGGCATTTATTAATGTGCTGAACACAGCACAGCTCACCATTGCTAAGTCATATTTAAGTTTTCTTTGGTTACAATGAAATACCTAAATGAGTTAAAGAATTTACAGAGACTCTAAATTATGGAAGTCACAAAACACTGTATGTATCTTCATGCTAAGGGTCGAAATATACACATTGGACTCTACATATGACTTTGTTTTATTACTTAGTTTGGGATTCTGAGCCACATCCTATAACCAGTGCATGGATGACTGCAAAACAAATAGAACATCAGCTACCTCTGTGGCCCACTGCCAGATTTATTTTTTCTTTTTCCTTTTCTTCTTTTTTTTTTTTTTTTTTTTTTTTTTGAGAGTGAGTCTCGCTCTGTCACCCAGGCTAGAGTGCAGTGCCGCAATCTCGGCTCACTGCAAGCTCCGCCTCCCGGGTTCATGCCATTCTCCTGCCTCAACCTCCTGAGTAGCTGGGTCTACAGGCGCCCACCACCACGCCCAGCTAATTTTTTGTATTTTTAGTAGAGATGGGGTTTCATCGTGTTAGCCAGGATAGTCTCGATCTCCTGACCTCCTGATCCACCCGCCTTGGCCTCCCAAAGTGCTGGGATTACAGGCGTGAGCCACCGCGCCCAGCCCCACTGCCAGATTTCTAGCCTTAAAAACTGGCTGTAATGTAAATCGTAGCCCATAGGGAAGTTAATTTGTAATATGTATTAAGAGCCATAAAAATATTCAAACTCTCTAACTTCATTATCACATCCATTCCAAGGAAACAATCTAAAACATGGTCAAAGTTACAAGCCTGAGTGTCACTTTTAGTTAAAAACAACTTAAATGTTTTTACTATCAAGTAAACTACGTACCTAGTCATCATAGACTTCAAACTCACAGTTTTAAAGTTAAAATGATGATTTGGGGAAGTATTTACAACATAACAAAATACATTTAAAAATATACACGGCCGGGTGCGGTTGGCTCACGCCTGTAATCCCAGCACTTTGGGAGGCTGAGACAGGCGAATCACCTGAGGTTGGGAGTTCGAGACCAGCCTGACCAACATGGAGAAACCCCATTACTACTAAAAATACAAAATTAGCCGGGCATGGTGGCACATGCCCGTAATCCCAGCTACTCAGGAGGCTGAGGCAGGAGAATCGCTTGAATCCGGGAGGTAGAGGTTGTGGTGAGCCGAGATCGTGCCACTATACTCCAGCCCGGGCAACAAGAGTGAAACTCCATCTCAAAAAAAAAAAAAAAAAAAAATACACTGGGTATGACATTGTAAATATGTGATCCTTGTAACCATGTGAAACTTTCAATGTTTAGGAGAAAAAAATAGGAAGAAATATACCAAAATGATAATTTTGTATTGGGGCAGTAGGTTCATATTAGGTTATTAAAAGGAAAATATTATAAAATTCAGCAAAACAATGACAATAAAAAGAAGAAAAATGTTTATTGACATCTATGTGGCCTTCCCTATTTTTTTCGTGTCCAGTGTTCAAATTTAGTTTATTATATTGGTGATGATCTTGGTTATTAAGATTCTTCTAAAGATTCTAACTATGGAATTTAGCTTTAGTCTTTTTTCCTAAAGAAATAAACCCACAAAGAGTGCTCAAACCCCTGCTGCATCTTCTTCCTTTGTTTTTTCAAGTCAGTTGTATGGCATTCACTTTAGTTTCCTTAAAATCCACTTTTTAACTTTTTCATTTAGCAACTTCTTGAAGTTTCTCCTCATTTGCAGAGGATCAGGTAAATAAAGCAGTTTGAGAACATATCTAAAAGAGACAATCTTCAAGTGGTAACCTGGGGTATTCACCTAGCCCTGTTACTAATATTAAAATTACAAGGATTGGCTACAGGACTATGCATCAATATAGCAGAGATTAAGCAGAGAAGGCATGGATCTGAGCCCCTCGCTCCTCCTGTTCCGAGGTGAGCAATCTTCAGTGAATTGTGCATCCCTCCAAGCCCAAACTTCTTTACCTGTAAAATGAGTTCAGTGACAACACGTCAGAATAGACTGAGATTCCATTGAATCCCAGATTTAACCATTATGCTGTATTGCTACTTGGTCAAGTAATGTGATTAACCATAAACGGTGGATGTGAGCATCTTGTTTGTGTAAATGTGATTGATTAATCTGTGTCTTAACCTTACTAATGTACACAGAGATGTTTTTAAATTGGCCATAGAGACAACATAAGTGAAACACAGAGCCTCCCACTCAGTAATAATTCCACTATTATTGGCTGCATAGCAGTACAATAACTGCCATATTAGCAGAACATTCACAGACGCAGTCTTTGTGGGTGATGCCTGATTCACCCACACTTCCTCATCCATCCAGCATTCTGATGAGACTTCTAGGTCTGTCTGTATCAGGGTAGGTATAGGTAACAGAACTAGCATGGACACCGGTACCACAAATACAAATTCAAACTCTATCCAATCCTTTACCCTGTCTGTAACTCTGGACAACTTCCAAATTCTTGGAGCCTGAGTTTCCTGAAAACTTAAATGAAGTTAATAACACATGCCTTAAAGGATTAGTGAAAAGAGAATTAAAAAGGATGAATACAGAAAATCTAGCATGGCATGTAAGAATCCTCCTCTCTCTCCCAAGGGAGTAACAGCAATGTTTAAACCTTATCCCAAGAGTTAAATTAAGAATTAATTAAACATTCCCAAGTTCAAATTCTAGGTTCATCTCTCTTGACCATGTGGCCTAGGACAAGCTTTGACAGTGCTCTGATCCCCAACTTCTTCATCCATGAAATTGGGGTCACCGGTAGTAACTGTTTACCCTGTACAAGCATATAGTGCTGTACAGAACCAGCTATTAGTCAGTGTCCCATTATTATTAATTTCAAACTCAGAATGCTGATGCATATAGCTCATATCTGTCAATATTTCCATATTTCTATATTTGCATTACAAGTGACTGCCCTTAAATGACAGTTAGATGGCTTTATTCTTCCACAGGGGAGAAAAAAAGTCTTTTTTGGCTAAAGAGTGAAAATCTGCAAAAATACTAGCTTGTGAATAAAATAAGCTCAATAGAACATGATTTTCTCCTTCCCCACTTTCTATTATTGTCCTAAACAAAACATACTCTTTATACAGTTCACCAGGATCGTGGCCCTTAAATATTGAATGTAATTTTGCTACGTAACAGCAAACACCAACACTTGCAGTGTGACAAAAATTAAAAGTAAACAAATTATCAAGGTACATTTTATTTCCAAATCAGCTTGATTTACTCTGAAAACATGACCCAACTTCCTCTTCCCAATTGCTCAATCTGACCACAGTCTCTCACTGACCCAAGCTGCAATTCTTAAATATATGAGCAGATTAATCCAAATCCCATCTTTCTCTCCTTTGACAAACTAGAATTGCTATTGTTCCCTTGGTAAACATAGTAGGATATGAAATAAGACAATTTAATCCTCTAATTTATGACAATGGGAGAGATGTTGCTGAAAACCCTGAGCTATCAGTGCTTTTAATTAAAACAACATTAGTAATGGTCACTAAAGGAAAATATATTCCATTGTAAATGTCAAGATTTACACTGTCTCTGACAATGACACAATAATTATGCTAAGGTGCAGAAAGTAACACCGCCTCACTAATTCTCCTGCAACACAAAATATACAGTGAAAGTGACAAATGGATTAATTTACATATGGATGAACATGATCTGTTGCTCTCCAAGGTCCCAAAAGATACATAAGAGAAAAATTTAGTGATGTTACTGGATGATGTCTTTTAAGACAACACAATACAATATCTGAGTATGTACCCTTACGACATAGAGAAGGGATTTTCAAAATATTTTAACTTAAATAGATTCACTAAAAGAAATCACCTTCCAACCACTGTTCCTTGTCTCTGGTCAATTAGGGTCATAATATTGTTTTCATTGTATTACAAAAGGTAAGAATGTACACTGTATAAATGAATAAATAATATAGATTACTAGATAAGCAGATAAATAAATACAAAAGCACAAAAATACAAAAGCAAATGACCACTCAACTCACTTCCACCCACTTCAAGGAAAACACAGTTCCTTTATCATAGTTACTATTAGAAGTCTTTCCTTTCTTCATTTTCCTACAAGCATGCAGAAATATATATGTGGACACATTTGTGCCAGAATTCCTTTTTTTCTGACACTCACTTTTTTCCTCCTACTCCACAATATGTCAGGACAATTTTCTACAAGATATAGCAAATGGAGTAACATAGAATAGAGCAAAACATGAAAACCTCAAACTCATTAGTGGATGATGTTTTTAATCTTATAATAGATTATGCCACCTTTTAACCTTCCACTCCTCCATTTAGAAGATGTTACCTATGCTTATGTTACACAAGTTTACACTTCAATTACAAGAGTTCAGAACTAGATATTCCAAAAGTAAAGTAGCTGCATGTTGTTCAAATGTAAGACTGTTTAAATTGGCATTTTAAATGGATGACAATTTTAGCCTGCATAATGCATGAAGCAGTGTCTCTACATTCGGGTTTGTAATATTCATTCATTGATTCATTAAGGACCCATTATGTTCCAGGGCTCAGGAATCCAGGTGAACAACCAGCCATGGTCCGCAACTTCAGAATCTGCTTTTCAAAGTAGCTAATGGGTTATGAAAAGGCTCTACAGCAACTATTTTATTTAATGTTCAAGACATCCCTGTGATTCAGGAGCCATAATTATTGATATTGTTTAACTGAGGAAACAGAAATTAGGAGAGGTTAAGTAACGTGTCCAGAATCACAATGTAGCCATGGTATAGAAAGATCTGTCTGTCCACCGCCTCCCACAGAGGTTTATGCTCTGAGCCACCAGGTTATATGTTTTACAGCTTAAAAATGTGGTTACTAAGAGGCCAGAATCTTAGAGAAATCATGAAATCTCACTTGCCCTCAGTTTCCCCATCTGTAAAGTACAGAATTGGAGAAGTTAATATCGAATCTCTCTGTACTCTAAATGTCGATTTATGCTGGTTCATTTTTTTCTTTTTTTTTTTTTTTTTTTTTGAGACGGAGTCTTGCTCTGTCGCCCAGCCTGGAGTGCAGTGGTGCGATCTCGGCTCACTGCAAGCTCCACCTCCCGTGTTCATGCCATTCTCCTGCCTCAGCCTCCCAAGTAGCTGGGACTACAGGCGCCTGCCACCACGCCCAGCTAATTTTTGTATTTTTAGTAGAGACGGGGTTTCACCGTGTTGGCCAGGATGGTCTCGATCTCCTGACCTCCTGATCCACCCGCCTTGGCCTCCCAAAGTGCTGGGATTACAGGCATGAGCCACCGTGCTCAGCTCTTTTTTTCTTCTCAAGGATTTCAAAACTTGAACTGATGTTATTCATCCAATATGCTCTCCCTTAAATTTAATATGATCTTCACTTGCATGCCTCTCTAGATCAGAGAATAGTAGGAAACATTTTTAATAACCCTTATATTCTTCCTGTTAGTCTTTCTCCAGCTAATATGCCAGTGCCTTTCTCAGCCTACACCTTTGTAAGATAAAAGGAGAAACTGGTATTTCTAACTTTGTATTCATGACACCTATTTAAAATCAAGATCGAATTCCCTAGAATGCATGACCTTAACTTGCAGAAAGTTGACCCATTCTTGAGTTAATATTAGAGCAATTAGTCTAACAAAAGGTCTTTTCTTCATCTTTATAATATTCAACTTCATCTGTGTCTGAAAACTAAGCTTCAAAATTTAATGCCAATAAAACGTCCAATCTCCTTCACACACGCTTGATCCTGTGCCTGTCTCTCTAAAATGAATTTAACTTCAGAAATTTACTTCTGTATGATAAAGAACTTTTGCAGTCCTATGTGTAAAATTGTCAGTCTCACTTAGAGGTACCCCAGAAGCCTGGGAAATGTACTTCTTTCTAATTTTTTTTTTCTTTGAGATGGCGTCTCACTCTGTTGCCCAGGCTGAAATGCAATGGCATGATCTCGGCTCACTGCAACCTCCGACTCCCGGGTTCAAGCCATTCTTCCACCTCAGCCTCCCAAGTAGCTGGAATTACAGGCACCCACCATCATACCCGGCTAATTATTGTAGAGATGGGGTTTCACTACGTTGGCCAGGCTGGTCTTGAACTCCTGACCTCAGGTGATCAGCCCACCTTGGCCTCCCAAAGTGCTGGGATTACAGGCGTGAGCCACTGCGCCCAGCCACTTCTTTCTAAATCTTTAATCAATCTCAAAATATCTGCTTGTGAGCGTAACTTCTATAATTCCATCTATTATACAAATATTCCCCAGAAATGTATAGCTGCCCAATGAAATTGACAGTTATGAGAAAAAATTAAAATAAAATTTTCTCCCCTCAGTCAGTAGGCTACTTGATGGCCAAATACCCTGTTCAGGATTAAAGTGGAATCAATCCCACAGACAAAAGCATCTCTCTTCCCTCTGGCTACAACGAGCTATAACCAGCATTCCCTTTTTATGGTGATATAAACAGGTACTCAGGAAGAGCTGCTATTAGGCCATTGAAGCAAGAAAAGCTAAAGTAACATTTCTTTAAGGCACAGAAATCTTGCCTACTGTTTGGAGCTTCTTCCTCCCAGAGAAAAACACAGTTGGTACTAACCCTTTACCCAGTGCAAATTCAATGTAATGAACCAGTTAAGGTATTTTCTTTTTTATTTTTTTTTCAGTGTATGAATCTACTGAGGAGATTGGGGCATTTTAACAACATAGTAAATAAAATATGATCTACCAAATTTCCATTTTACGAAAATCAAATTAAAGAGCCATTTTAGTTTTGAGAACATTGAGTAAAATAAAGGGAGAACCATGGGCCAAAAAATCAAGCCAGATTCTTGAAAAAGGTCTTAAATCCCTCTTTAGAAGGTTGGTCTAGAGTTGCAGATTTGCAGTTACATATCAGGTTGCTGGAGACTGGGTTTTCCAGGAACAGGTTCCAAGAAGGAGATCTGCATGCAGGGTGTTCACTGCGGAGGGCTCTCAGGATCAGCACCTTGGAGGGAGTCAAGGGCGGGCACAGGTCAGCTGTGATGTACTCTCAGCAAGGGCTTCAAAGAGTTTTTTCAGTGTATGAATCTACTGAGGAGAGTGGGGCATTTTAACAACATAATAAATAAAATATGATCTATCAAATTTCCATTTTATGAAAATTAAACTAACGAGCTATTTTAGTTTTGAGAACATTGGGTAAAATCAAGGGAGAACCATGGGCCAAGCTACCTTGCCTAAAGGTGCCAGCCACCACACCCAACTAAGTACCAGCTCAGCTGCAAGCTGTCACTGAGTCACACTCCAAGCAGCTGGTAGAAGGAATGCTTCAGTCATTAAGACAGGGATGGAGATCTGGGAAGCAAACTATTAAAACCATGCTCACCACACAGGTCTAGCTCAATCATAGTCAATCTTCCCACAGTTAAGCAATGGATTCTGAAATGTCAAACCCAATAGGAAAGGCTAAATATCCCCAGATGAATGAGTCTTGCTAAGGTATCCAACTGCAGTTTTGAAGGAAATCGGTAAAAGTGTAGAACATCCAGCTCCTTCCCAGAAGGTCCACTGAACATTAAGAGTACAACAATAAAGCGAAGAGCTGAGAGGAATTCTTTAATTCATTCACTCATCATTCATTCAACAGATAGTTATTGAACATTTAATATAAGGGAAAAAGCAAGAAGTGAGACAAGCTGTGCCCTTGTGAAGCTCACAGGCTAGTGAGGCTAAAATCATCAAAACAACACTCTCAAAACAAGTATTTTTAAATAGCCATGAGTATTATGAAGAAGTAATATAGGGAAGCACTGTCCAATAGAATTCTCTACAATTATAGAAATATTTAATTTTTAATTTTTATTTTGAGACTTGGTCTCAGTCTGTCACCCAGGCTGGAGTGCAGTGGCATGATCATGGCTCACTGCAGCCTCCAACTCCTGGGCCTAAATGATCCTCCCACCTCAGCCTCCTGAGTAGTTAGGAGTACAGGTGCCAGCCACCACACCCAACAAAGTTTTTTTAATTTTTGTAGAGACGAGGGTCTCGTTATGTTGCCCAGGTTTGTCTCAATCTCCTGGCCTCAAGCAATCCTCCCACCTCAGCCTCCCAAAGTGCTGGGATTACAGGACTGAGCCACCGCATTCAGCCTAGAAAAATATCTGTGTTGTCCAATATGGTAGCCACTGATGACTATGTACGTGGCTATTTATCACTTAAAATGTGGCTAGTGTGACTAAGGATTGGGTTTTTAAGTTTATATTTAATTTTAATTAAATTTACATGTCCACATGTAGCATGTGGCTACCCCTACCATTTAGACTGGGATATGTCAGAAAAAGATTTCCTGGATTTTCAAGATGAGCAGTAATTAGAGAAACTAAGAGTAAGGGGAAGAACTTGCTAGTCAATAGGAAGAGCACATATAAGGATGGTGACAAAGGAAAGCGCGTGCCTACTGGAGGAACTAAAGGTGGTGTGTTGGGCTCATGCACTGATTTTGGGTAGTATGGTGTGACACAGCGAGTGAACGCAGCAGGCTCTGGGTCACACAGTGTCCTGAGTACATTTCAGAGATATTCATGTGCAAGGGGAAGGCACAGGAAAGTTGTAAGAAAGGTAGGATAGAATTAGATTCAATTTTTAGGTAATCAATTTGCCATAAAGGGAACAGATTTGGGGAGTGGGGGATTGAGCCAAGGAGCAGAGGGACAAACACATCCCTTTTTTTTTTTTTTTTTTTTTTGGAGGGGGACAGAGTCTCACTCTGTTGCCCAGGCTGGAGTGCAGTGGCTCAGTCTCAGCTCACTGCAACCTCCGCCTCCTGGGGCCAAGCAATTCTCCTGCCTCAGCCTTTCGAGTAACTGGGATTACAGGCGCCCGCCACCACTCCTGGCTAACTTTTTTTATTTTTAGTAGAGACAGGGTTTCACTATGTTAGCCAGGCTGATCTTGAACTCCTGACCTCAAGTGATCCACCCCCCTTGGCCTCCCAAAGTGTTGGGATTACAGGCGTGAGCCACCGCACCTGGCCAAGAACATCCTTTAAAAAGTTGTTCTCTCTGTTACCTCTGATCCTAAAACACACACACACACACACACACACACACACACACACAAAGCCACACTCTTACAAGCACTCTTTACCAGAGTGTACCTGGTACAACCTCTTTGAAGAAAATTTGTTTTATTCCTCAAAAGTGTAAATGTACACAACTGTGTAAGAGTAACTCTTTTTTTTAGGACTTATCTTAGAAATACAGTATCATGTATGCGTGAGTGTATACCCAAGGATGTCACTACCTCATTGTTTATATAGCAAAACCTGGAAACTACCTAAAAATGTCCATTGTTAGTGGACTACATTAAAGAAATTGTGACATAGAAAAAAATGAATATTGACCATTCATAAAAATTTTTGAAAAGTGTTTCAACATACGTTAAAAGGGACAAAGTATATAATAGGATTGTATAATATGAACCCATGTGTGTAAAACAAATTATATATATACACACAAGTACACGCACTTTTATGCTTGCCTCTAATAAACGTCTCTGTACTAATATACAAGAATCTGCTAAGAATGACTAACCCCAGGAAGTGAGACCAGTCTGGGGTTGGAGAAAATTTTTCTCTTCATTCTATCCTTTTTTGCATTGTTTTCTTTCTCTACCATGTATATGTAATATAAAATACTGGTTAAATTAAAAGAATTTATATATATGACATATGAATTTATATATATGATATATATGTCATATATACATATGATATCCTTTGTTGTAGATAGAGTGGGTCCATTTTCTTTCTTTCCCTCCCTTTGTCTTTCTTTCTTTTTCTCTTTCTTTCACTTTCTCTCTCTTTTTCTCTCTTTCTTTCATTTTTTGCCATTCTTTGCCAGAAATTAAACTCTGCTTTTTCTAATATGAGATCACTCTTGGAATCCAAAGTAAAGAATACATTCAGTTGTTTGGGATCTGATACAAGTCATGGTAATTTTGGAGAAAAATCCCAAGTTTTCTCAGCTATTTTCCACTCAGGAAGCCAATGGTGGGATGCTGCGGAGACCCACTTGGGACTGAATAGAATGTTTCGGGTACTTGAGATGCTCTTCACAACCACAGTCACCCTTCCTGTGCAGAGGTGAACAGCTGGTGGGGGAAGGAGGGCAGGCATTTCCGTCTCCATCTTCCGCAGCGGAAGCCGAGGTGTAAGCAGTTCAGTGACATGGTCTGCTCATAGCAGATGGCCGGCAGTAGGACAGGGGTGAAAATTGGGCCCTTCTCACCCTGGCCAGGTTTCTCTTCTACCAGTTTGGCCTGTCCTGGGGACTGCAGCTGCGATACTGCAAAAAGGCTACAAGAATCAAGAATCACACAATAGAATTCCACAAACCTTTTGGAATTTCTTGACATATATGAATATGAGTATGTATTCTATGCTAGGGTGACTTGCCTCTTTCATAATTTAACATGCAAGATGTTATTTCAGGTTTTCAATTATTCACTTAAATATTTATTGAGCACCTACTGTGTGCTCAGATACTATTCTAGCCACTAAGAATTCAGCCATGAACAAAACAGAAAAAGACCCGCTCAGTGCTTGTGGTTACTAGAAGAAACAAGCAACAAAGAAATGAATAATTTAAGAAATCATTACAGTTGTGAGGCATGATTCTGCATGCAATTAAAAAGGAGTGAGACAGAGAATACCTGAAGGAGACCACCTAAGATTGGATGGTCAAACAGTTCCCTGGGCAGGGGACTTTTGACCTGACAATGAAGTCAGAGCCTGCCATGGAAGAACGTTACTGACAAAGGGAAGCGTGAGATGGCAAAGACATGGACGGAAAAGAGTTCACCATTTGAAGAGTGAAAAGTA
This sequence comes from Homo sapiens, assembly GCF_000001405.40. Classification (NCBI taxonomy): domain Eukaryota; kingdom Metazoa; phylum Chordata; class Mammalia; order Primates; family Hominidae; genus Homo; species Homo sapiens. The sequence continues at coordinate 54,490,923 of NC_000020.11, read as the reverse complement.
GATGCTATAGCCAGAGCTTAGAGAGAAAGGAAAAGAGGCTGGGCGCGGTGGCTCACGCCTGTAATCCCAGCACTTTGGGAGGCCGTGGTGGGCGGATCACAAGGTCAAGAGATCGAGACCATCTTGGCCAACATGGTGAAACCCCATCTCTACTAAAAATACAAAAATTAGCTGGGCGTGGTGGCATGCGCCTGTAGTCCCAGCTACTTACTCGGGAGGCTGAGGCAGGAGAATTGCTTGAACACGGGAGGCGGAGGTTGCCATGAGCCAATATCGTGCCACTGCACTCCAGCCTGGTGACACAGCAAGACTCCGTCTCAAAAAATAAAAATAAGAGAGAAAGGAAAAAAGAGGCTCAAGATACCAGATACCCAGGAACAACATAAATGCAACATTCAGAAATTATATCTAGCACTCAGTACAAAGATTCACATCATCCCCTACCCTCCCACTCCTGCCACATGGCTAGACACACTTGAAGCATTTTATAAGATTGACCAAGAATATAGACTGAGCTGTATTAATGAATATGTATTTATCTGATTAAATTTAAAATATATGTATGTATATACGTATGTATATGTATATATGTATCATTTCATTCAACATAATATTTATCAAAAGTGCAAATTCATAATTTAATTTTTAGAGAAAAAATACAGTAACAGTTAACATATAATTTATCCTATCTTTTAGGTAAAAGATTTCCATTGAGCCATTTCCCAGGAAGGTGTGTTTTAAGACAGTAAATTATGATTTATATGTTTGTAAATGCTCACTAAATAACTACTTTTTGAGTTGAGTAAATATTACTCTTAAAAGAAAAAAGCCTGCACAACTGAAAAGATTCTAATTATAAAATGCCTTGAAACTCAGCCACAAGTTAGGGAAATCTATACACAAATGAGTCCATTTCTCACCTCGTAGACTAGCAAAACGTTGAAAAGGCTCTCAGGCCTAATGTGACAAAATGAGAGGAAATGGGCTTTCTTGTCCACTGCTGGAGAACATCCTCCAAAGCAACTTTCATGAAATTCTACATGTGAATACCCTTGGAACAATAAGTCCCACTTCTAAGAATTTATTCACCTTCAGGCTCTCCAATGGGTATGATGAGGGGTGGTCTATAGCACTGTTTGTAACAGAGGAAAAAAAATGGATTTACCCCAATGTTCCATGAAAGAGATAGACGTTGGATTCGAACCCAGGTTCTTACACATAAGGCTGTGTGAGCTGGCCAAAAACTGAACCTCTTAGTATCTCAGTTTCATAATTTGTAAAATGGGCATAAAATAACACCTACTTTATGCACATATTTAACAAAAAAAAGGAAGGAAGGAAAGAAGAATAAATAAATAATCAAATAAAATATATAAGATATATCCATACAGGGGAATCCTATCGAATTATTCAAAACTATGATATATCACTAAATAAGAAATCCATGGCTCAGAAGACTATATAAGTATAAATTGCATGCAAACGCACATACAGACACACACATGCACACAAGCCCACACACACACAAAACTACTTATATATAGACTATTCTGGAAGAGACTATTCACAGTGGTTGCTTCTGAAAAAGGGAACGAGATGATTCTAGGAAATGGAGATGAAAGGAAACTCTACTCTTTGGTGTATAAACTTTGTATCCTCGAATTTTGTACCAAGGGTACATATTACCTACTCCAAAAGAATTCAAATAAAATTTAATTTTAATGGAGTAAATCCAAACCTTTGATATTAACTGCTGTATTTCCTGATGATGAATTTGCAGATTATATATAAACAACTATGAGAAATTCTAAAATGTTCTACTGTTCAGAAGAGAATCTACTGCAAAATGAGATGGGATATAGGCACAGTTTTCTATTTGTCTTCTTACATCTGAATACACCATTCCATTCTTCTGACAGGAAGTAAAACCATTCATCCATTCAATCAACAAATATTGAGAATTTACTAAGGACTACGACCTGGGGATACAGCAGTGAACAAGATAGCCAAAGTCCCTGGCCTCAGAGAACTTACTGTCAGATGTAAATAATTTGTAAAATGGGCATAAAATAACACCTACTTCATGCACATATTTAATAATAAAAGGAAGGAAGGAAGGAAGGTAGGAAGGGAGGGAGGGACGAGGGGAGGGAGGGGAGGGGTAGGGAAAGAGGGAGGGAGGGAGGAAAAGCACATAAGCAAATAATATATGGAAGGGAGGGAGGGAAGGAAGGAAAGAAGGAAGGAGGGAAGGAAAAATACATAAGCAAATAATATATGTAAGATAAAACTTATGTCTCTTAGAGTAAGTTCTATGAGGCCAGGGACTTGGCTATCTTGTTCATTCCCTCTCTTACAGAAGAAAAACAAACAAGAAAAAAATGTATATAGAAACAGAGAAACAGAAAGAGAAGAGAAATAAATGGCACAAAATAAAGAAAAATTGTTAAGTTCTATACATGGATTTAAATTACGTGATGTTCTAGAAGGATGTGAGGAGTCAACTTAAATGTTGTAGTCAAGGCAAGTCATTCTGAGGAAGGAATATGGATGCCAAGAGACAGCCAGCCAGGAGAAAATCAGACGTTAAGAGCAACCAGTTAATGGAGAAGATGGATTCAAACCAGTGAAGACTTCTCCAAGAGGACAAACTCTCTGGGAAGGGTTGCTATCCAATCTCACTTTACACCACACTGAATTAATGGATGCTGAAGACTAGACTACGTTCGTGATAACTTCCAGATTTGAGGCCACTGTTGGTGGAATGGAACCCAGACTCAAAAAGTGGCTCTTACACAGATTAGCCAACATATCTGCACTTTGGTAGACAGAAACCTGGAAACTGAGAAATTAGTATAAAGAGTCAATTTTGCTAGGGGATTCAAAGAAGTATGATTTCTTAAAAGTTTGGAAAATAAATTTCTTTTATTGAATGAATGTATGGTGTTAAGATAATAAAATGAATTCTAAGAGTTGAATTGCTCTTCTAAACATGGAAACTTGTATTAAATAAAAGAGTTAGTCCATTGACGAGACTTGCTAGTTTCTCTTTCTGTTAATCACAGCAGTATCCATTGTACATCCGAATGAAGGGAAGAAAAAATAAGGGCTTGGGCAAAACCAAAATAAGGTTGTACAGTTTTTGGGGGGTGAGAAGTGACATATACATGGTGATATCAGAGGAAAGTCTTGTAAGAGGATGGTATTGGGTACATGGGAGTTTTTTCCCTAAGCACCTAATTTTTAAGTTATTTATATAAAATGATGACATTTGGCGGCTATAAGTAAAGAAATTTTAGAAAACCTATTTTAAAAAATAAGTACACTGGTCTGCAGTTTCCCACACTTCAGTCCTGCACCCTTTGGATTTGCACTGCGTCTGTGTACCACCACCTACCTCCAAAATTTTTGTCACTGCATGGTCATATAATACCTGCACTGTAAGTTAACATTAATTAAGTTACTTTGCTTTTTTAAATAAATAAGCTTTATTTAAAGAGGAAGCACACATTCTTATCTGAAATTGGAAACCAGTATCACTTGAGAGAAAATGTCAAATTTAACATAATATAAAGTTAATCAGTGCAATGAAACATGACGCTGTGAGCTGAACACTCTGCACCTAAGTCAGGATGGTCCTCTCTAGGAAAAGACCTAGTAGTCACCAACTCTTTGAGTTATGTTGGACAATAAATAATACTTTTTCTCATTTTATGATTGAATGCTGTTTACTACCCTAAAATTATCTCTCCAGATATATAAATCTCACATTTGGACAAAGCTGTTAGAGTTAATAGGCAAAAATACTGTGGCCAGTCTTATAATCAAAGTTCTGCCATTTTGGCTAATATATTCAAGTCTTTATGTTCTAAGATAGGATTTCACTGGAGGCTCCTAAATAAACCCAATATTACAAAAATATATCATAGAAGACAACAGCAAGAGGAAGATAGAATGCAACCTTTTTTTTTATTATCAAAAACATGACTCTTCCGCTGGAATATGAGTGAATTAATTTCCACCAAGGCCATGGTTCTCACAGACAATAAACTAAAAATATCATTTCAACCTCTTACCAATAAAAAATAAAAATCAATAGTATGACTCACTGAGTTTCTACTATGAGTCAGGCACAGGATTAAGAGCCTGGTATATTCATCTTTCGTATATTATCCTCATTTTTCATATATAAGTAAGGTAAAGATCAGAAAGAGTAAGCAATTTTCCCTAAGGCTACAGAGCCAATAAGCGGCCAAGCTGAGACCCAAACTAAAGTGTGAGTCTCAAACTTCTGCTATTTCCACCACAAAAATAAACTAATGCACCAATTAAATCGTGTGTGTGTGTGTGTGCATGTGTGTGTGTGTAAAATGAGAAAGTATCCCAGAAAGATTTCTAGTAGTTATAGACATTATTTTAAAATTTATATTAAAAGGTAAAGGAACTAGAATAGCTAAAACAATTTTGAAAAAGAATAAACTGAGAGGGATCAGTGTGCCCTATTTCAAGACTTATTGTATAGTTACAAATACAGACATATATAGACATATATGTCTATATATACAAATACAGACATATATAGACATATATAGACATATCACTGTACATATATAAGGCATATAGAACAATGGAACAGAATAGAGGACCCAGGCGAAGACATGAAAATGCTCAATGAAGAAAAGACAACCTTTTCAAAAAAGTGCTGGAGTAACTGTACATCCATAGGCATAACCTTGACCTGAAATGCACACCTTATACAAAAATTACTCAAAATGGGTGATGGACTTAAATATAAAAGATAAAACTATAAAACTTACAAAAAAAATTGAAACATCTTCAGGATATTAGGCTGACAAGACAAGACTGAAAGAAGATACTTGCAAACCACTTATCTAAAAGGGATTGATATCTAGAATATATGAAGAACTTTCAAAACTCAACCGTTAAAAAATAAGCAATCCAGGCATTTTACTGACATGGACGGCAAACAGGAACATGAAAAGATGCTCAACATTGCTACCCTTTACAAAAATGCAAATTAAAACCACAATAAGATACCACGACACATCTAGAAGAATGGCTAAGATAAAACACAGTGATGACACCAAATGCTGGCAAAGATGCAGAAAAACCGATTCACTCACACATTGCTAATGTGAATGTAAAATGGTACAACTGTGAGAAAACGGTTCAGCAGTTTCTTTAAAAACTAGACACAACTACTCTACAACCCAGCAATTGCACTCCTGGACATTTGCCTAGAGGCACGAAAACGTATGTTCACGTGAAAACCTCTACACAAATGCTTATATGAGTATATCAGCTTCATTCATGATAGCCAAAAACCAGAAACAACCCATGTCCTTCGACAGGTGAGTGTCTAAACAAACTACGGTACCTATTGTACATACACACCATGGTACACTACTCAGCAAGAAAAAAGAACAAACTTATACACACAACAACCTGAACGAATCTCAGGGGATTATATTGAGTTTTAAAAAAGCCAATCCCCAAACATTACATACTGTATGGTTCTTTTACATTACATTCTTTTTTTTTTTTTTTTTGAGACGGAGTCTTACTCTTGTCACCCAGGCTGGAGTGCAATGGCACGATCTCAGCTCACTGCAACCTCCGCCGCTCACTGCAACCTCCGCCGCTCACTGCAACCTCCGCCATCCGGGTTCAAGTGATTCTCCTGCCTCAGCCTCCTGAGTAGCTCTCCACCATGCCCGACTAATTTTTGTATTTTTAGTAGAGACAGTGTTTCACCATGTTGATCAGGCTGGTCACCAACTCCCGACCTTGTGATCTGCCCGCCTCGGCCTCCCAAAGTGCTGGGATTACAGGCGTGAGCCATCATGCCCAGCCTACATAATATTCTTTTTAAAAAATTCTGAGACAGAGTCTCATCTTGCTCTGTCGTTCAGGCTGAAGTATAGTAGTATGATCAGAGTTCACTGCAGCCTCAACCTCCCAGGGTCAAGTGATCATCCCACTTCAACCTCTCAAATAACCAGCACTACAGGCGTGTACCACCACACCTGGCTAATTTTCTATTTTTATTTTTTGTAGAGACAGTCTCACTATGTTGCCTGAGACTAGTCTCAAACTTCTGGGCTCAAGTGGCCCTTCTGCCTTGGCCTCCCAAAGTCCTGGGATGACAGGAACAAGCCACCAAGCCTGGACTCCATTTACATAATATTCTTGAAATGACAAAATGACAAAAGGAAAACAGATTAGTGGTTGTCAGGGGATTAGGGATATGGAGGACAGGGGCAGGAGGGGCAGCTATATAAGAAGACTGTGAAGGATCCTCCAGGGGATGAAATGTTCTATATCTTAATTGTATCATTGTCAATATATTGGTTGTTATATTGTCCTACAAATTTGAAAGATGTTACCATTGGGGGGAAAGTGGTTAAAGGGCATGGAATATCTCTCCATATTATTTCTTACAACTACATATGAACATAACAATTATCTAAAAATAAAACTTCAATTAAAATAATGAAATATTGATCTTAACTTTTTTTTTTTTGAGATGAAGTCTTGCTCTTTTTCCCCAGGCTGGAGTGCAGTGGCGCAATCTCGGCTCAATGCAACCTCCACCTCCTGGGTTCAAGGGATTCTCCTGCCTCGGCCCCCTGAGTAGCTGGGATTACAGGCACCTGCCACCATGCCCAGCTAATTTTTGTATTTTTAGTAGAGACAGGGTTTCACCATGTTGGCCAGGCTGGTCTAGAACTCCTGACCTCGGGTGATCCACCCGCCTCGGCCTCCCAAAGTGCTGGGATTACAGACGTGAGCCACCACACCCAACCTGATCTTAATCTTTAAGAAGGCATAGCAGGTGGAAAGTGGGAGAGGCTGGGGCAGGGAGGACCAGACTTCTCTAAGAATCTCATACAAGCTGCAAAGCATTGTCTCAGAAAAGTCACCTGCATCCTCTCACTGGAGCCTAGTTAACAACTCGGCTTAAGAACACAAGACAACCAGTTAACAATTTTGTTCTCTGGGATCCAGGGCATAAACAGAGGGTGAGAACACTAGTGAAATAAAGGCAGCCCCCACAACTGCTCTGCAAAAATCAGCTTCCAAATACTTATCCAAAATGTAGCCATCTGCATTCTAGAAAGAAGCTATTTTAATTTAAACATTCACATATATCATGTGGCATTTCTAAACTCACAATTTTATTTTGAATTTCACAGGAACGGGGGGGTCGCACCATAATCTCTTCAAGGCTTAGAATCTCCAAAGGTTTAATTTCCACCCTACTAGGATCAAATTCCTAGAGTAAGAGAAAAATCAAATTTGCCCTTCCTCATTTCACAAAAATAGAATAGAAAAATATCCTCAGGCATCTTTTCACTTCAATATTTGACCTGTTACTCAGATTAATTCCTCTTTAACTATAGTGAATACATTAATCTCTTGTTAATAATACAAATCAAAAATTAAATTGTCAACTCCTTGAGGATGGTGATTGTATCTGCCTTATTTAAGGTGGTTAACACTAATAGGTACTCAAGAAATATTTGAGGAATGATAAAACAAATGGAAGAAAATATATTCCAATGAAAACTAAGTTCTTAAAATACCAAACGATTCCCCACAAAAATTACAAAGCTGCTTTAAAAATAAATATTTCTAGTCTTCTAATAAATATGATTTCAAAAATACATTGGCAGATGTGGGGACAATCATATCACTAATTTGGTTTATGTCTATATACAAAGTCACTAAATTGGCCACTCTGCTTAAATCAGTTTTGGGGATGATGATGTAAAGGCTGACTTTATGCACAATTAATCGTCTCATCCACATGGACAATCAGATGAAGACGACTGAAATACCAGCTGGAAAGCCCTTCTGACATGGAAACCATGTCAATGAAGCTGATTCAAATGAAGCCAAAATAACTGAGTCGTCCCAGCTGATGCATGTATATATATGCAGTCTATCTGGCCATAAATTTCCCTACTGGTAAAGTTATCCCAAAGCCTCTTGTTCTTAAAGAGTAACTAAACTTCACATATCTTACTGAATAGTTGCATGAGTTCATATGTGCATATATGTGCATGTGCATACATATACTTAAATAACAATAGCATATGATGAGGCCGGGCACGGTGGCTCACGCCTGTAATCCCAGCACTTTGGGAGGCTGAAACGGGTGGATCACCAGAAGTCAGGCATACAAGGCCAGCCTGGCCAACATGGTGAAACCCTGTCTCTACTAAAAATACCAAAATTAGCCAACTGTGGTGACATGTGCCTGTAGTCCCAGCTACTCAAGAGGCTGAGGCAGGAGAATTGATTGAACCCAGGAGATGGAGGCTGCAAGTGAGCCGAGATCACACCAGGACACTCCAGCCTAGGCAGCAGAGCGAGACTCCATCTCAAAAGGAAAAAAAAGGAGTATATGAGTTTATTCTATCTGTATAATTTTCATACTACGATTATGACTTTGTCATGGTACCATAAAAAATGCATGGATTCCTGAACATCTAAATCTAAAATCCTCAAATGAAACATGAAAGCGTTTGTGGCATACCAGGTCAGGTGAAACTATAAAATGAAAGAATTAGAAAATGTTTATTTTTAAAACCTGGCCGTGAGCTGACCAATTTTTAAAATTTCTTCTCTACCACAAAAGAAAACAGTCCCCAAGTTAACAAAAATACCTCCTAGTCCAGTGAATTCACTCGAATTGGAGTTACATGAAGAGGCATTTCTCCTTATTTTATATCTCTACCATTTGTGTAGAATCATAAAAAATCTTATAAAGGCGAAATCTTATAAATTCCTTCTGTATCAACCATCAATGCCAAGCAACATTTGGTACTTGTACTAAGTTTGTTTTCCTAACTAAAAAACAAGTTCTTTGAGGATATGAACAATTGCAGTAGAAACAGTGAAATAATAACCAGTTAAGTGTCATTGTCTCTAACCACACTGGAAGTAGGAGTGAGAGCCCTAATAAACATTAATTGGGTTTTTACTGTGTCAAGCACTGTGTTAAGCTCTTTATGATCATCATCTATTAGGTGAGTAGTAAGAGTCTCCATATTTTTACAGAAGATGGAGGCTTATAAATATTAAATAACTCACCAGAAGTCACATAACCAGCCAGTGAGTTGGGATTTTAACGCAGTCACATGTCAGAGCCTATGCTCTTAAGCCACAACACAGTGATGGGGTCATTAATTTATTCCACAAATCTTCATCAAATGCCCACTCTGTGCTGGGCCCTGCACTAGGCACTGGGGGACAGCTATGATTAAAGAAGAGAGAAACAAGTCCCAGCCCTCATGTAGCTTCACATGTCCTTGGCAGTACATAGGCAATACAAAGATAAATGAAGGAGAGGGTAATAAGTCTAGGGAGAAAAAGGGGCAGGGAAAGAAGGAAAGGAGAGGGAGAAGAAATAAAATAGAGTGGTCTGAGGCCGGGCACGGTGGCTCACGCCTGTAATCCCAGCACTTTTAGGAGGCCGAGGCTTGTGGATCTCAAGGTCAGGAGTTCGACACCAGCCTGGCCAACATGGTGAAACCCTGTCTCTATTAAAAATATAAAAATTAGCTGGGTATGGTGGTGCATGCCTGTAATCCCAGCTACTTAGGAGGCTGAGACAGGAGAATTGCTTGAACCCAGGAGGCAGAGGCTGCAGTGAGCTGAGATCACGCCACTACACTCCAGCCTGGAAAAAAGAGCAAGACTCCGCCAAAAAAATATAGATAGATAGATAGATAGATAGATAGATAGATAGATAGATAGATAGATGATAGATACATGATAGATAGATAGATGATAGATAGATAGATGGTAGATGATAGATAGATAGATGATAGATAGATGATAGACAGATGATAGATAGATGATAGATAGATGATAGATAGATAGATGATAGATGATAGATAGATGATAGATGATAGATAGATAGATGATAGATGATAGATAGATGATAGATAGATAGATGATAGATGATTGATAGATAGATAGATAGATAGATGGAGGCCTTAAAGGCCTCATTGAGAGGGTAGGAGCTGAGAAAAGGCTGAAGGAGGTGAGAGAGCAAGCCAGGAGGAGGTAACTGGGGAAACAGCATATTCCAAGCAGAGAAAACAGTGAACGAGAGGGTTCTGGGGCAGCATAGGGCCTCATGGCCCATTGTAAGACTTCTCTGCAGTATATGGAAAGTCACCAATGGTTTTGTTACCAGACAGGGGTTCTCATCCAGACCCCAAGAGAGGGTTCTTGGATCTCTCACAGCAAAGAATTCAGGGCAAGTCTGTAAAGTGAAAGCAAGTTTATTAGGAAAGTAAAGGCATAAAGAATGGCTACTCCATAGACGGAGCAGCCCCGAGGGCTGCTGGTTGCCCATTTTTATGGTTATTTCTTGATGATATGCTAAACAAGGGATGGATTATTCATGCCTCCCCTTTTCAGACCAAGGGTAACTTCCTGACGTTGCCATGGCATCTGTAAACTGTCATAGCACTGGTGGGGGTAGCGCCACGTAGCAGTGAGGAAAACCAGAGGTCACTCTCATGGCCATCTTGGTTTTGGTGGGTTTTGGCTGGCTTCTTTACTGTAAACTGTTTTATCAGCAAGGTCTTTATGACCTGTATCTTGTGCCGACCTCCTATCTCATCCTGTGACTTAGAATGCCTTAACTGTCTGGGAATGTAGCCCAGTAGGTTTCAGTCTTGTTTTACCCAGCTCCTATTCAAGATGGAGTTGCTCTGGTTCACACGCCTCTGACAGCTTCAGCAGCCAGGTGACATGACCTTTCTTACATTTCCAAAGGAACACTTTACTGTATTGAGAAGGCACTAGCGGGAGCAAGAGTGTAGGCAGGAAGTCAAATGAGAAGACTGTTGCAATGTTACAGGGAGGAGATGAGGAGGGTTCGGACCAGGGTCGTAGCAGTGGATAGCGTGAGGTGACAGCCGGATTCTAGATATATTTCAAAGATACAGCCCACAAGATCTCCTGATGGATTGCCTGTAGGGGTGGGAGATGAGGGGAGAAGAGTGAAATGACACCAAGGTTCGCTTGTGATTTTTACCTTCGCAACCAAAATGCTGGGACCTCTAGTGGCTAAGATGGAGAGGACTCTAGGAGCAGCAGGTCTGTGAGTCATCCAAGTGGAGATGTGGGATAGACAGGAGAATTTACATGAGTGGAGGTCAGAAAAGAGGTCCAAGCTGCTAAGTCCTTGGTAGACAAGAGCACAGAAATGTCACTTAAAGGCAAGTAACTGAGGGATTGTGCGTAGATAAATAAACCCGAGTTTCCGTTCTGAAACTTGCACTGTGGGCAAGCCATGACAATGATTGATTGGAAAATCATCTCCATTGCAAGGAAAGAAACGAAGTGAGAATTGTTATATGATGCTATCTAAGTCACACATTCAGCAGGTTAATGTTGTACAAATTGCCTGATTTGCCTCTCCCCTAAAAAGAAATTTTTAGTGCATTTAATCGATTACTCAAATAATTATGGACAGCTGCTCCCCTCCTTCCCCCAGCCCCTCAAATAGTAACGTCGACATTCCTGAACAAATTCAGTACCCAGGGCACAGCTGGAGACCTCCAGGAAACAATGGGGATTAAGCTGGGGAATACAGATGTGAAGATACTGAAACTTTTGAGTTAAATGAATTATATTTCATTAAGCTTTTTGATGTCTAAAGAAGAGAATAAATCTATACATATTTGATTGCTTAATCATTTAAACTCTTTAGGATTTCAAATGAAGGTGACCACTTATCTGTGACCCATTTGAATGGGAATGTTTTTAGAATGTTTCCTGTCCTGTTAAAAAATCACATATATAAATATACGTATATTATATATTATACAATATGTACATAGGTTGTATGTATATATTTATTCCTATGTATAAAAATACACACACATACACATATATGTATATAATTTGTAAAAGTTTCATCCATTGAAAAAATCTGGAGCTGCATAAACATTTATGCCTTTGTACACTTCTACATAGAAAGAGAAGGAAATAGATAATTCCTATATCCGTCTACCAATCCTAACTCATCTTTGATTAAAGAAAATGATACAAGCAGAATCAATGTTCTAGACTTTCATTGCATTTTCACAAATATCTTCTTTAATGCTCCCAAGAACATTAAATAGTGTTCATTGTACAGACTAGGAAACTGAGGCCAAGAAAGGTCAAAGGTCAACAAGCAATAGAAGCAGAATGCGTTCCCTTCTCCTCTTTCTCCAAATCTGAAGAAGCATTTATTCCTTGGCACCAGGAACAGCTGCTTACCATGAAATGTTTTTGTATTTAATTATAAACCGTCCCAAACATGGTCTGGATTCCATTAATAAATGCTGTTGTATTAGTTCCTAAAGGTTATAAATGGCAAGACCATCCATGCACTATATAGTTCAGCACATATTTCAACATGAACTTACCAAGTGTCTACTCTGTGCTAGACAAAATAAATGCCCTACCTCTCTTTGAGACTGGCACATATTCCTAGAAGATACATGTCGCATGCTGTTCTAGACTATATGTAGCCTAGATTAATACCGCTAACATTCCTTACTGTGGACATAGGGTCCCCATGCCAATTCCGTACAGCATCCTTCACCAATATTTGCAGCCTCCATTAAAACTTTGGTTTGCACTGTGTTCTGGCAACTATGTAATCAGCCTCTTTTGTAAATCATACCATAAGAATATTTTAAAAATTAACTGGTGAGAAAACCAATGCTAACAAATAAGACCAGATTTACTTGATCATATTTTTGACCTTTTCTCTCCATGAGCAATAACCATAATTCAATAGATATTCTGAAGTCTGAACGTGAACACAGACAAAAAGAATAAATCTTGAGAAAGTATACTGCTCATTAGCATCCAAAATGCTGTAAAACATAAAACAAATACAAACTAAATATTTCTGTTCCTTCTGCTTCAAATATCTGTCCATAAATGTTGGCACACACATAGGGCTATGTTGTGTCAATTGTAATAATCTAGAAAAAATAATCTCAGTTACCACAAACAAGAAAGTGATGGTAACCAGTTTTTCAAATAAATTACCATGTGTCACAATTTGGCATAAACTCTGATCCTTATGAATAATTCATATTTTGTGCATTAATAATGCATGTCCTCTTCCCATTGGAATGCTCCCTAACACAGAATGGATGTCTCATACCAATTCCTTCCATTGACATGATGGAGTAAAGCTAAATTAGAATGCTGGGTTTTTTTTTTTTTTAACTTAACTCCCCTTAAAATTGTAACACTTGGCCAGCCTATAAGCATACCAAAAATAGAAAGTTCCCATTATTGTTTGCCCCTTACATGGGAGTCACTCAGTAAAGTACCCCCAACAATGGGTGCTCTTGAAGATGAGAATATTTGCATAGCAGAAAAGAAAACCAAGGAAACTTTGGCAGAGCTGATGGAAATGGTGAATTCTGTTACATTTCTCCCTAATTACATATGTATATATTCACAATAACACAGGACATAATCGCTAAAACATGGTCACCAGCAGGGGAGAAAAAGAAAAGAAAAAGACCAAAACGAATTAGGCAAGAGTTTTATAATAATTGCGGATGTTCCTCCCCACAGGGCTTCCCTCCCTAGCTGAGTTTACTACTGTGAAATTTCTTTTCAGTTTTCAGTAAAAGTATCTGGCACATTAAAACAGTCCAAAGACCAAGTAAGAGAAAGATGCCAAATGACACATATTTCTAAAGAAAGCTATTCAATTTACCACTCATTATCAATGGCGGCATTCCACACGATTACTGACATTATACTTATTTCAGGCATTACACCAAAGGATATTTTCTCCCCCCGCCCCCGCCACCTCTCCACCCCCACTTTTCACCCCTTATGTCCAAACGCACAGGATCAACTAAAACAGCGACAACACTTGATAGGAGGCAAAGAGAAATGAGGGACCTAGTTTGAAATTTTTAGGAAATAAAAAAATCGTTCCAGTATCTTCCCTCTCCCTCAAGAATTCTTCCACCATCATTCAGTCCCAAGGAGAGGAAGGGTAGGTTCTCTTTTGAAGCCTCCTCCAGCGAAGAGCCAAGAGAGAAAGGGGCGAAAGAGAGGGAGTTTTAAGGAAGGAGCTAGCCTGTGTCAACATCTGTCCCAAGTGCCCTAAGATTCATTCATTCTTCCTTTCAGGACATATGTAGGGAGCACTTGCGCTATGCCAGGTATCAGGTTCCACGTAAATAACCCTTCCGTGGACCTCCAGGGTGTATTCCAGCAACAGAAATCCACCACCCCGGCTTCGAACCACGGAAAATCCAGATTCAAGTATCTACCCAAGTTGGCCCCGACCAGAGGCCAGCCCGCACCGCCTTTGACACGACACCTGGGACAGAGGTGGGGGGATCCAAAGACACCTTACGCTTGGCAGAAATCTCTCCCTGGGGTCAGAGGGTTCGTGACCTCGTTCACACCGAGTATGCGTGTCCTCTTTCTCAACCAGCCGATCCATCCCCCGGAAAAGTTAAGTTGGCGGCGAGTGGGAAAAGAGGGGAACCGGGGGCATCCGGCAGGCACCCCCGCCCGGGCTTCTCAGCTCCAACTTCCATGGCTACCGAGAAATATTTATTTCGAGTAGATGGGCTCCAGGGGCTACTGAAGCCCAACACGCGGCCACCATCAGAAAGCCAAGTCATCCAAGAGATAAAGATAGATCCATTACATACCTAGACGCTGGCCTTACAGTGACAGCCCCGGAGACGCGGGTTTCGGCTGAGAAAGCCACCGCGCAATTCTCCGGCGCGCGGCCGGGGACTCTCCGTCCACCCTCCAGGGATGCTGGCTCAAGAGAGAGACAATCGAACCGGCGAACAGCAACACGGAGAGGATCGATACTCACCCCGAGGCGTCTGCTCCGGATCCTCACGTACCCTTGCTTCACTATGTCATTAAAATTGGAAGCCATCCCAGACAGCCGGTGACCCCCCCTTTACCCAAGAGCGCGCACCCGAAGTGGCTCTGGGGAGGGTGGAGGGCAGGGTCAAGACAAGCAGTCGGTGGGAGAAAGTTGGAGAGGTGAAGCTGCTTCGGCGGCGCTGGGCGAGGCTTTAGAAGGCGCACATCACTTTCTCTGTCCCCCCAACCCTGACAGTGGGCGGCCGGCTTGCAGCCACTTTCGGGGAGCGCAGAGCGCGGCGCGGGGAGGCGAGGCTGGAGCGCCGGCGTCAGCTGACTCCGCGGCCGGCCTGCCAGGAGGAGGAGCGGCGGCGGCTGAGGGATCCAGCCCTGCCTCCTCCCGGCCGAGAAGGAGGAGAAGAAGGAGGAGGAGGAGGAGGAAGGAGGAGGAGGAAAGAGGAGGAAGGGGTGGGGGGCTAAGAGGAGGAGCCGCGCGAGTCCCAGCACTGGGCTGCGGCCACCCGTGAGCAGCCGCCCTGGAACGCTCCCCGCGCCTCCCACCCACCTTTCCCTCCCCGCTTCCCCTTCCGATCCCTCCCCTCCTGGCGGACCCGGAGCGTGCCCCCGCCACCCCCGCACCTCGCCCACAGCCTACTGAGATAGCGCTCGCTCTCCTCGCTCCAATGACTTATTTTAGGAGGAGAGGAAATTTCACTTTTTTCCAGCCGCCGCCCACCCCGCCTCCCCCTTCAGCCCCTGCCCTTTCCCCGAGAAGGGCCGATTTTGCGTGTGTGTCTGGGGAGATGGTGTTGCCGCGGCTCGCCTTGACCTTGGCATCTGAGGAGAGGGATATTGTCACCGCTTAAGCCAAATGCTTCCTTGGGTTTCCTTGTGTCAGGGACCTAGCCCTCGCTGGTATCATTTGCCACAGTTTCCCTGTTTCAGCCTCTTTCCCGCCGGAATGTGTTTCCCAGGGGGCTGAGACTTGGCCTCATCACTGTCTGTCCCCAAAGCCTGACCCCAGAGCAAGTGCTCAGTAAATCCTTGTGGTTATCAAGATGGCCACCTAGGTGCCAGGCACTCTCCAAGCCTTTTGCATGGATTGACTCATTCAAACTCCCCTGCACTTTTTGAGGTAGGTGCCCTGTTAATGTATACACCAGGCCCATATTTAATTAAGCCTCCTTAGCCTGGCAATAGAGCTCTCATTGCCATTATGAGATACTGCCTATACAATAAGATGAAGAAGGGGACTGAATTTCACACTCACCTGCCCCTGACTGCATTACCTCCCTAAAGCATACTTGATTGATAATTGCTAACACACATTGAGCACCAGTGTGCTGGGCATTGTGCTAATCTTGTTAAGGGAATAATGAATTAGGCACCAGCATCCACATTTTACAGACTTGCTAAGGTCTCACAGCTGGCCACTATCAGAGCTAGGATTGAAGGGAGGTGTGTGTAGTGCCCAGCTCTGCTCCTAAACATTCTCCTATTCCTCTTCTGAAGAGAGGATCTCACAGAAAGAGAGGTTACTAGTTGATTTCCAAGGAAGATCTTTCTAATCATTTGCACTATTCACAAAGGCAAAGATAATCATCAGAAATTAGACAAAAATTCTTACTCACTGGGAAGCGACAAAGCTAAAGCTAGAGATCACTGCTCAGAGCCATTGAGAAGAGGATTCAGTTAGTAGTGGATTGTTTGACCTGATGACATCCACAGGTCTTTCAACTCTAAGACGATATGAATCTTCCCATTCTCACTGGGAACATTAGCTTTTAGTCACCTTGGCTTGATGAGTTTCAGTTAAAGAACAGAAACCTCCAAGAATGTGTCATAGGAGAACCGAGACTAAATGGGGACAATCAAAAAGGAGATATTCTGGCAGGGAGAACTATTTTTGCTACATAGTAAACCATCTGTCTTCATGTTGCCATTCTATGGAAAATGATGTTTTAATTTTAAATCTCTCACCAAAAGAGATGAAATGGTAAAATCATTTGGAGAGCTCCTTTTGAAGGATTGGAACTTAAAAAAAAAAATGCTGCCCATGGTTGCTGTAAAATAGAGGTGTTCATGGAAGGCATTTATCTAACACATCATTTATAGACCAAGTCCACAGTATTATAGAAACAAAAAATGAAGAAATTAAGGCATAAGGAGCTTGAAATGAAGGGCCCACAATAACGGAAATAATTACTGACAAAAACTGAAGGCGAGAAATCCATCCCTTGATAGTTAATGCTGACTATAATCAACATCCATAGATAATTTAACTGGAGCTGAGGAAACTAGAATCAAACCAGAAAATATCAAACTAGACGTGAAGGAACAAATGATTTCTTTTTTAAATTGCAAGACTGAATCCAATATATGGTTTTGTTTGGTGAAATCCAATTGACATACATGCAAAACGTACAGACTGTGATATACTATTCATAGGACATTTACACTTGTCCAAATTGTGCAATACAAGCCCTGGCAGCAAGAGCAAAGAGACTGGGCACAGTGGCTTACGCCTGTAATCCCTGTAATTTTTTGGGAGGCCGAGGTGGGTGGATCACCTGAGGTTGGGAGTTCGAGACCAGCCTGACCAACATGGAGAAACCCCGTTTCTACCAAAAATACAAAATTAGCTATGTGTGGTGGTGCGTGCCTGTAATCCCAGCTACCTGGAAGGCTGAAGCAGGAGAATCACTTGAACCTGGGAGGTGGAGGTGAGCCAAGATTGCACCATTGCACTTCAGCCTGGGCAACAAGATCGAAACTCTGTCTCAAAAAAAAAAAAAAAAAAAAAAAACATTAAAAAAAGAAAAAGAAATGGAAAAGAACCATTCACAGAGGTAGGCAATGTAAGGGGTGCTTATAGAGTTCTACAGTGCACAACTTGCCTAACCATATGCTGCCGAACAAATATACTATCACACATGATTTAGTTTTACTGGAAATGTCTGACAAGAAAAAATACTATTTCGTTCCGTGTTTTGAACTCAATTTTTGAATATTTAGAGCTTCTTATTTGTAGTATGCATTTCTGTTTGTTTCCTCAGCATCCAGAGTTTGTTCTTCCCATAGTAGTCACCATTTTCACTGAGTGTACTCACCCCTGTTTCCAGCTCACGTGTGCAGCCCTGTCCATGGCCTTTCTTTGGACAACTAGTGGTTGGTGATTGGTTCAGATATGGGCACATGACCTAAGCTGGCCAATTAATAATGAATTGGGTTACTTTTACTGAATACTGGGAGGAAGACTCACACTCCAGCTGAAATGGAATCTGGATGGAAGAGGCCCAGGAGCTGCTGGCACAAATGGTGAAACCCCAGGGGAGGGCTTATCGAAGAGTGAAGGCCACGCTAAAGGAGCAGAACCAAGACATAAAGAGAAGCAAACCAGATCCCGACGATCTGATTTGAACCCCTCTTCCAGCACCCCAGGAAGTTATTTAAGTAGATTTGAAGATTTTGTAACAATTAGACCCCAAAATATAATGATTTAAGATGCATAAAAGTTTATTTATTTTTCATGTAACAGTTTATCCTGGGCAAGTAGGACACTTAGTCCTATAAGGATGCCCAGGGATCCAAGCTTGTGGTTCAACTCTGGCACCTCAGGACACGGTTTTTCATCCTTGAGTCTAGTCATTGTCTGATACAGTTTTTCTGTGTCCCTACCCAAATCTCACCTTGAATTATAATAATCCCCACGTGTCAAGGGTGGGGCAAGGTGGAGATAATTGAATCGTGGCAGTGGTTTCCCCCATTCTATTCTTGTGGTAGCAAGTAAGTTTCATGAGATCTGATGGTTTTGTAAAGGCAGGAGTTCCCCTACACAAGCTCTCTTGCCTGCTGCCATGTAAGACATAACTTAGTTTCTCCTTTGTCTTCTGCCATGACTGTGAGGCCTCCCCAGACATGTGGAACTGTGAGTCTATTAAACCTCTTTCCTTTATAAATTATCCAGTCTCAGGTATGTCTTTATTAGTAGCATGAAAACAAAGCAACACCCTCTCATTTCCCAGGAAGTGGGAAGAAAACATGGAGGGAAAATAACCTTCTAATAAAAATATGATCCAGATGTGTCAAACATCTCTTTTTCTTGCATCGCGTGGACCAGTGTTTTGTCACATGGCCACAGCTGGCTCCACAGGAAAATGGAGAATGAAGTTTTCATCTGGGCATGGTCTGTTACTGAAAGAACAAAATGAATCCATAATGGGCAGGTCCATTAGCACGCTCTACCTCACCAGTGCCACTCCTAGACTATTTAATTGCACAAGCTAAAAAATTCCCATTTTCGCTTAAACCAGCCCAAACTAAGATATTCTGTCACTTACCACTAAAGGAGTCCAGCCTAAGGCACCATACTGTGACTTGAAGCCCAAAGAATCGCAACTAAATTGGGTACAGATACATGTGTAAGGCTCAGATGACTTGAGAAAATTCCAAAATTTTCTGTGGCATTTCCATAACGCTATGGACCAACAGAAGTAAAAGCAACCGCAGCCAACTGATCCACCTCTGTTGTTTGGGAATTGCTACACCAGTCCCAACAATGAGTGATTCTCGTGGCGTGAGTGCTGAGTGCAGCCCCAGTCACTCTCACCACAGGCTGGACAGCTGATCAAGGCTGGGCATTCTGCGTGCCTCACCTGGCATTGGCACAGGGATGAGCATGTGACCTAGAAGAGCCAATCAAAGTCTTCCCTACAGTAAACAGATGAAAACATGAGGGCCCTACTCCTAACAGCTTTCAGCTAGCCCTGACCATCTTGCCTCCAAAATGAGAGACTGGCTGAGAATAAAGTGAAGAAAGAAGAACCAGAGACAGATCTAGAGATAGAACCATGCCTGAAGCTAGAACTACCTCTTGGACTTTCAAGTGGCATGAGCCATTTTACGTTCTGTTTTATTTATTGGAGCCTATCTTATTTGGCTTGTAGAGAGCACACTCCCCAGGGCTGGGACTAGGGTAGTGGGGGTGAGGCACCTAGGGCATAAAATTTAAGGAGGCACTTGCTGTCAGGGCTTCGTGAGTGCTGAGCCTTCATTGGCATGACCCTGAGAGTGAGTGCTTCCTTAAGTCTTGCACTAGGCCGGCGCGGTGGCTCACGCCTGTAATCCCAGCGCTTTGGGAGGCCTAGGCGGGCGATCACTAGGAGATCGACACCATCCTGGCTAACACGGTGAAATCCCATCTCTACTAAAAATGCAAAAAATTAGCGGGCGTGGTGCTGGGCGCCTGTAGTCCCAGCTATTCAGGAGGCTGAGGAGGAAAATGGCGTGAACCTGGGAGGCAGAGCTTGCAGTGAGCCGAGATAGCGCCACTGCACTCCAGCCTGGGCGACAGAGCGAGACTCTGTCTCAAAAAAAAAAAAAAGTGTTAATTAAAATGAAATGAACGTGAGTTTAAAAGACAATACACATAGTGGTACTCTTTTCTTATGTGGTCATCTTGTTGATAGGATACAAAACTTATAATGCATTCAAATAGAACCTTCTAACCATAGCATTGCAGAGCCAGAAATTAATCCAAGAGTCATTGTCTACCACATTCAAAACAGAAATCCACTCCAGCTTAAACATATGGACAACTTTTGCCCCGCTCTCTGAATTTCATTCAGCCCATTATCATCCTTATCATTGTCATTATTCTTCTTTAGCTATTGAGGGCAAGAAATTATGTACAAAAATCCAGAGGCTTCTACACTTCTCTAGAGCAGGTAATGGGCTCCCAAGCTTCACCAAAGGAGGCTGTGTTTTCATCAAGTACCACAAAGCACCAAAGCTGAAGCTGGAATGGCACTTCTCCAATACCCTTACCAAAAATAACTTGAGCTTTGGCCCTGCTGCCTGCTGCTTTCAGTGGGAGTGTCACAGAAACATATGCAGCCTTTCCTCTGGAAAGGTGAGACGGTGCTCATGAAAATGACTTGGCTATCACTAACAAGGGAGGTTGTTTGTTCTACAGCCAGCTCTCCCCTCTACCAGTCCTTAGCCAGCTAAAGAAGAATGACTTGGAAGATGACATCAAATCAGGTAGGAGAGCTTGGGAACAGTTCTGCTTCAGTTCCTCATTGCTTCATTCCTTCCTTTCTGCATTCAACAAATACTTATTGAGCATCTGCTATGAGCAAAGATTGTCCACAATAAACTTTGGCACACGCAAACATGCACACACACACACACACACACACACACAAACGGATAAAAAAGGTTCCAGTCCCCATGGAGCTTATGTCTCGGTAGGAGAGAGAAAAAATAAACAAGAAAATAAACAATGTAAATAGCTATACATGGTGGTGAAAAGGAGTCAGCAGTGTGCTATGTAAGGAGTAAGAAAGAATTCTACTTCAGATAAGAGAGGGCCAGGGAAGACTTCTCTGAGGAGGTGATATATAAGTTAAGAGAGGAAAGATAAGAAGAAGCTATGGAAAATGTCAGGGGAAGTGCATTCCAGCTAGAGAGAAGGGTGCTTGAAGGGTTCAGGCCAGCTTGCAGGAAAAAGCTTGGCGAGTTCAAGGGGCTGTGGGAAGGACAGCATGGCTTAAGCTCAGGGAGGGAGGGAGTGCTGGGAAATGTAGTCCTAGAACCAGGGAGGAAGGGGCAACGCAGTTCTGGTCCTTGCAGGCCACAGCAAGGAGATTGCATTTTATTTAAAAGAATGAAATCAGGAAGTGGCATCTGATTTATATTTTTAAAAATATTAGCCTGTCTGATGAATAGAAATGAATTAGAAGGGATTGGACTGGAAATGGTGAGATCATATAAAAACCTACATCTAAAAGTCATTACCTGAATATCTTTACAAAAAGACAAATAAAACTGCTGATGAGAATGTGAATTTATATCCATTGATATACCCGTTTTGGAGCAAAAGTAATATTTATTTTTAAAAAACTAAAAACTTTAATAATTGCCTATCCTTGGTCTTCAACAATACCATTTCCAGACATGTTTCCAAAGGCACAAATATTTAGTTCTAAGAATGTCCACTGCAATGTTGTTCATGATAAACAAATGGGAAAGTTTTGTTTGTTCTCAGTTTTGCCTTGGAGTTGATGCCCTATAGGTAGCAGGTGAATGAATAAAAATTTTGCTCTTTCTGTCATGGAGATTTTGTGAATCCATTAGAGAAGGTCCATCTGCAATTCTTTTTTTTTTTTTTTTTTTTCTTTTTGAGACAGAGTTTTGCTCTTGTCGCCCAGGCTGGAGTGCAATGGTGCACTCTGGGCTCACCACAACCTCCGCCTCCCAGATTCAAGCAATTCTCCTGGTTCAGCCTCCCAAATAGCTGGTATTACAGGCATGCGCCACCATGCCAAGCTAATTTTGTATTTTTAATAGAGACAGGGTTTCTCCATGTTGGTCAGGCTGGTCTTGAACTCCCGACCTCAGGTGATCTGCCCGCCTCAGCCTCCCAAAGTGCTGGGATTACAGGCGTGAGCCACCGTGTCCGGCCCCATCTGCAATTCTTTTGTCAGTCTGGCTACTCTTTTACCTCCTCCACCTCCAAGATCCCAGTGCCCCAGATGGATGCTGAGTTCCGTTTGCACTTCTGGGTGGTCCTCTTGGTGGCATCTATTCTATGATAACCTCTAGTTGTTCCCTCTGTATGTTTAACCAGCCAGAGGAAAATCTCACTCATTGTTGCCATTGTACATGGACTGTCAGCTCTATTCTAAGGCTCTTTGCTCTGCCATAGTCAGGGCAACTAGCCAACCCACAGCCTCCACATTTAGACTCCTAGCGGATGGGTCTGGCACTTGTCCCTGTGTCCTCAGCACATGAGGAGATGCACATCTGGCCTTCTGAGTGATTCTCTTGAAAGCGGCTCCATTCCTTTAAGGTAAAGGGCAAGCTCCCCTGTCTGTCCCTGTGGGAAAGAGAAGACCAGCTCTCTGCCAAGAAATCTTCCTCTTTAATCTCTTTACCCACAATGTCTTATTTAGGCTGGAGGTGCAGGATCAACTTATGCAGACAAAACAGTTTTGAACTACTATTTTTGGCAATTTCTGCACAGATGGTCCAGCACCTTGCTTTAGAGTGTTTTCTAAATGTTTTTGCCCCCTGGGCCTTTAAGGCTTCTACTAAAATGAAATCAACAGGAAGAGTCACATTTACCATTCTGTTACAAATCCAAATCATGGCCACTAAAATGAGTGGGAAAAATTTCACTTATTTGTTCACTCAGCAGATATTATTTGAGCTACAATTTGAGCCAGGCATGCTAAGTACCTAGGTGTCAATAGAGTAGAGAGAAGGAGACCAGACTCTCCGCCCTCATGGAGCTGGCTGTCCACTGGGAGTGAGAGATATTATAAGAATAGTCTGTTAAGTGTAAAATTATGCACGAAGGAAAATTACAGGATATTATGCAAGGGCAGAACAAGAAGACAGGACCTGACCCCTTTGGAAGGTGAGGGATGGAGCAGTTAGGGAGCTGAGCTGAGAAGGAAGAGGTGCTGTTGTCTAGGCAAAGGTAGAGAGGGTGTTGGGATGCCATAAACAATGGAATAGCGTATGGTAGAGCAAGGTCAGGGTGGCTGGAACTGGGAGAATAGCAAGATCCCTACGTTATAAATTATCTATACAGTATGGTCCCATTTTTAAATAATGTGCTTTTTATGACCAAAAAATCTGAATATCTCTACATCAAATATTAGCAGCAGTTATTAATTATTGGTAGAAGTAGTGGAGATTTTCATTTTCTCCTGTGTGATTTTTTAAAAATAAGTTCCAAATGAAATTGTTAAGAACCAGAATGACTGTTTCTTTCTGCACAAGTGGGTCTCACATCTTAAGTTTTATGACTAAGGACACAAAAACAAACATATGCCTCCAGTGAACTTGATGGGGATAACCATAAAGACTCTTCTGATCATTAAACTCTCCCAGATATTTTCTGAGTTTCTTTTCTGGTGAGAAGAGCCCTCCTCTCTGCAGGTCACTGCAAAATGGATCCAAAAAAAAATCTAGGCTAACACACAAGAAAAAGACCAGAGAGAAGTAACTAGATAACACGGGTATTTGGTATTTCTAAGACCCTTTTTCAAAACGAAGCATGCATCTAATGGTTGTTGCAGGAAGATTAGAAGTCAATATTCCAGAGGACTCCTCAGGGCTGTTCTCCTGGTTCACCGAATGACTTTGGGCAAGCCATTAATTTCTCCCTGCTTCATAACCTGATCTGGAAAACAGAGATAAATGGGACCACCCTTATTGGTACAGTCTGTTGAGGTCCCTGGATAAAATGTGTGAAGAGGGCAAAGTCTTATGTTCAAAGTGCTCTGCCAATGTTAATTAATCCTCACAGCACCCTCAAGCCCTGTAATATTATCCACATTTCACAGCTCAGGGACCTGATGCAGAAAGACTAAATGGCTTGTCCAAAGACAGAAGAAGACTGCTTCAGTTTGGGGATTAGCATTCAGCAACATTGCCATCTCCAGAATAAGCATTTTAACTTCACTTATAAAATACCATGTAATTGTGTCTGGAATGTTTTTATTTTGAAAACTTAGTTTCTGTGTCGATGAATTATAGGCTGGTAAAAAGCCAGACACATTTAAAATGTAATGCGACAGACCCATTTGCAATTTTAGGGACTCCTTTCTTAGAGTGGTGACTATAATTAGCTAAACATGTGAATTCCACTCTTATCTCATTGGCCAGAACTTAGTCACATGACCTCATCTTCAGAGAGGTGGCAAAATGTGGGCTTTATGCAATGCAGCCATGTTTGGGAGTCTATTGCAAAGGAAGAAATACTGCTGCGTGGGGAATGGATGTGAGAGAACCTAAGAAGAAGATGTAGTGACCAGTTAGGAAGCTACTGAGGGGCAACAGCAGCCCTAACCAAAATGCCCTGATCTTAACAGGCCTAAAAACAAATTCACGATCCTCCCAACCTGATTCCCCATCCAGTATTGCCAATTATATCACTTAGTATGTTTTTAGCTGGAAAATAGCATAAAGCTCAGGCACCAGAATCTCAGATCAAAGGCATTTATTGCCGCCTTTTATAAAATCTAAGATGCCATCAATTTTAAGATGCACCTCCATTTTATGCACTAGTAAGAAAAAAAATACTACTAACTTACTTTTTCATATCAATGAGCAATTATACTTTTTGAACAAACTTCACTGAGATATAATTGACATACAACAATCCGCACATACATAAAGTGTAAAATTTTATAAGTTTTGGCCCATATATATATATACCTGTGAAATCACCACCATAATCAAGATAATGAACATATCCCTCACTTTCCAAAGTTTTCTCATGCCCCTTTTTAGTCTCTTTCTCCATCTCACCAGATTCCAGTCCCTAAGCAACCACCAATCTGCTTTCTGTCACTATAAATCATTTTTGCATATTTTAGATTGCTATAGAAACAGAATTATACTTACATATTCTGTTTTATCTGTCTCCTTTCAATCAGCATTATTTTGAGATGCATCCATATTGTAAGTGTACCAAATAGCTCATTTTTGTTGTTGTTGGGTAGTATTCTGTTTTACAAATATACCACAATTTGTTCATCCTTTTGCCTACTAATGACCTTTTAGGTTGTTTCCAATTTTAGGCTATTGTAAATAAAGCTGCTGTGAGCATTCATGTACTAGTGTTTGTACAGATGCAAGCTTTCTCTTCTCATGGGCAAATACCTCAGTGTGGAATGACTGAATCATATGGTAGTTGCTGTCTTTCAAGGCACTTGTCCATTATTTCGAGATGCACCCGTGACATCTCAATGATGAAATTAAATGAATCAGTAGCAGAAAGATATGTGGAAAATCCTCAAGCCAAATAATATACTTTTAGTAACTTATGGGTCAAAGAAGAACTCAAAATAAAAAATACACTTTATGTATGTGCAGATTGGTGTATGTCAATTATACCTCAATGAAGCTTGTTCAAAAAGTGTAATTGCTCATTGATATGAAAACGTTAAGTTAGTGGGTTTTTTTCCTACTAGTGCATAAAATGGAGGCACATCTTCAAATTGTGTTTAGAACTAATGTATTGGCATAAATTGTTCTAAATACTATCTTATTATCCTTTTATATATGTAGAATGATGGCGGCCATCTCATTGACACTGGTAATTTGGTTCTTCTCTCTTTTTTCCATGTGCTACCTGCCTAGAGGTTTATCAATTTCATATTCCCCAAGAACCATCTTTTGGTTTCATAGATTTACTCTATTGGTTTTCTTTTTCCTATTTTGGTGATTTTCACTCTGATTTTTTTTTTTCCTTTCTTCTGCTTGCTTTTTGTATGATTTGCTCTCTTTTTGTAGCTTCTTAGCATAGAAGCTGAGGTCATTGGAGACTTTTCTTCTCTGCTAATACTGCCACATAGTGCTAAAAAATTTCCACTAATTACTGCTTTAGTGGTATCCAACAAATTTTAATATATTGTATTTCCATATATGAAGTTCAAAATATTTTCTGTTTTTTATTTTGAATTCTTCTTTGACCTGTAAGTTACTAAAAGTGTATTATTTGGTTTGAGGATTTTCCACATACCTTTCTGTTATTGATTCATTTAATTTCATCATTGTCAAAGAAGATATTTTGTATATTTGAGTTCCTTATTGAGACTTTCTTATGATCCAGAATATGATCACTCTGGTAAGTATTCTGTATGGGTTTGAAAGAAATGTATATTCTACTGTAATTGGGGGCAGGGTTCTATAAATATCAGTTAGGTCAAGTTGATGATTTTCTATCTACTTGTTCTGTCAATTACTGATAGAGGCCTGTTGGACTTGCTGATTCTAAGTGTGCAATTGTCTATTTCTTCTTGTTATTTTTTGCTTCATGCGTTTTGAAATGCTGTTATGAGGTGCATAAACATTTAGAATTGTATGTCTTCTTTATTACTATTTCTGCTAATAGTCTGTGCTCTGAAATCTTTGTTGAATATTAACATAGTCACCTCATCTTCCTTTATCTAGGGTTGGCCTGTATATCCTTGTTCATATGTTTTTCATGTATTTGTATCTTTTCATTTAAAATGGTTTTGTGGTTGATTTTTGTAGGTATCATATAGTTGGGGCTTCCATTTTTATGCTATCTTGACTATTTCTTTTGAGATACTTAGACCACTATAATTTAATGTAATTATTGATATGTTTAATTTATAGTTAAACAAATAGCAAGAACAAATCTTGCTATTTGTGTTCTACTTGTTCCATCTATTCCTCTTTCTCACTTTCCCTTTGTCTTCCTTTTTAAACATTACTTTAATTTTTTATTATTCATTTTTATTTCCTTAGTTGGTTTATCAGCAGTAAATATTTGTTTTGTCATTTTAGAGTTTGCATCTCTTCTTTTAGCTGAAAATACACATGTCCCCAGAAGCCCTCTAACACATACCCCTTACATACTTTGTAGCCTCGTGACTACAACAGAAGATGGAGAAATAACTATTTTGCTGTGTTTAGCCTCTACAATGAAAAAAAAGATTAATGACATTGCGAACATTAAGAAAAATTGCATTTTCTTCATGACATCTTACTGACATCAAGGATGATTTTTAGGTAGCTAGCCAATGATGCCAGCCTCATCTAAATTCATAACTGCTACTAGCTTCTATCCACCTCTACAATCCAGAAAACCTAGGAGCATCTCATATACTTGCCTATTTTTCAATCATCACAAAATCTATCATCAACTCTTGTTTACTTTTATTCCTCAAATACTCTTTAGACACTTCCAATTCTACATATTTCTACTTCCCTAGACCGTGATACTACCATCTCTTGGCTGGAAGAACAATTTACTTTCTCTTTACTAATATGACGTATCTTCAGTTCATTCTCCATGGTTCTGCCAGTGATCTTTTCAAACAATAACCCTAATTACTTCCCAACACTGTTTAAAACATATCATTGCCTCAGATGTATATTCATAGCATGAAACACAAGACTTCTCCCTGGTCCTTCTAGGACATCTCTCTCTTCTCAGCTCTGCTCTTTCCTTTCTCCATGTGACCTTTCCATAATTCTTCATAGTCAACATTGCCCTTTATCACAATAAGACTGTGATAGCCATGTAGTTTCCTTTAGGAGAATCTTTGGTAACATCCTCCAGCTGCCACATCTTTGGGTCCACTGTGCTTGTTCACGTCAGTCAACACTTTGACTAGGCTGCTCTCAGCCTAAGATAGAGTACGGCAGGATTACCAAAATCACCAATTTCTGCTCAATTCAGACCCTGTCTAACGAACAACTTTGACTCAGGGATTTCCTTTGGCCTGAGAATTTCTTGGCTCTCTGTTGAGGTCTGAAGCTCTTCCTACCCATTCCTTCCTTCCCTCTCTCCCTTCACAGATCAGATCAGTGTCTTGGTCTAAAGCCTTCCCCAGTCTACTCCTACTTGCTCCCTGCAATGATTAATTTTATGTGTCAACTTGACTGGGCCTCAAGGTGCCCAGATATTTGCTTGAACATCATTTTGAGTGTGTCTGTGATTGCATTAGTTCGTTTTCACACTGCTGATAAAGACATACCCAAAACTGGGAACAAAAAAAGGTTTAATTGGACTTTACAGTTCCACATGGCTGAAGAGGCCTCAGAATCATGGCAGGAGGTGAAAGACACTTCTTACATGGCAGCGGCAAGAGAAAAATGGGGAAGAGGCAAAAGAGCGGAAACCCCTGATAAACCCATCAGATCTCATGAGACTTATTCACTATCACAAGAATAGCATGGGAATGACCAGCCCCCGTGATTCAATTACCTCCCCCTGGGTCCCTCCCACAATACGTGGGAATTCTGGGAGATACAATTCAAGTTGAGATTTGGGTGGGAACACAGCCAAACCATATCAGTGATGGTGTCTCTGAATGAGATTAACACTTGAATAGTGTTGATTGCCTTCCTTAATATGGGTGGGCCTCATCCAGTTAGTGGAAGGCCTGAATGGAACAAAAAGGCTGAGTGAGAGGGAACTTCTGCCTGCCTGCTGAGCTGGGACATTGTTTTTGTTTGTTCGTTTTCTGTTTGTTTTTTCCTGCCTTCAGACTCTTCCTGGTTTGCAAACCTGCTGGAGCTACACTGTCAGCTCTCCTGGGTCTCCAGCTTGCCAACTGCAGAGCTTGGGACCTGTCATTGTCTTTAAACATATGAGCCAATTCCTTACTGTAAATATAAACATGTAAATATATATCCTATTGGTTTTGTTTCTCTGGGGAATCCCAATTAATACGTCCCCTGCCTTCACAGGTGTTTTCTCCAAATAGGTCCCTCACATGTTGAGTCTCATCTTGGCTTTTCCTTCTCAGAAGACCCAAACTGGTGCCAGGACATTTTAATATGCTACTCTCTATGCATCCAAACTCTTTCCACTCTTCCTCCTCAAACCCCTATTTGCCTTTCACATCCCAGCCCTATTATCTTTTCTTTATGGATGATCTTTCCAACCTCCTGACAAGATCAACATTTTCAACTCAATGCTGCCATATCATTATGCACTTCTTTGCAGCCCCTAACACAGGTGTGATTCTGTATTGATTTAGGTGACTTTATAATGAATGACTTTCTTTCTCATTAAACTCTACATCATGTTTCTTACTGTTTGTTTGTTTATTGCTTTTTGTTGTGTTTTTAGCTTACCATTATGCCCCTAGGCCCTAAGTTCCTGGCATATAAGGTGCTCAATAAATATTTAGTGAGTCAATAAATATCATTTTGTGCATGGGTCTTTTTTTCTGTTCTAGAATAAATTCTAGGGTATGGAATTTGGGGTCAAAAGGCAAGATAAAACCCCTTGTTTAATGTTTTCTTCATGCCATAATCTTTCTTCCTTGGTTTTTATTTTCTAATTTTTTAAACAAAATTTACATACAATAAAATATAAAACAATTACATCTGCAATGGACAAGTTGTGACAAGCATAAAGCTATGTAGCCAACACCTCAATCAATATCTAGAACCTTTCCATGAACTCAAACATTTTCCCCATGCCCATTTCTAGTCATCTGCCTCTCACCCCAGGAGCAAACTGCTGTTTTAATTTCTACTGCTACCAATTGTTCATCCTAGAACTTCATAGAACTGAAATCAATGAAACACAGTATTAATGAACAGTAGTTACTCTTTTTTTTTCTTTGCTTCTTTTTATCAGCATAATGTTTTTGAGAATCATCTATGTTATTATGTATATCAATTATCTAATTCCTTCTGACTGTTATATAGTGTTCCATTGTATGCAGACACCATAATTGTTTATACACTCTCCCAATGATTGCATTTGATTGTTTCCAGTTTTTAGCCATTGAGAATAAAACTACTGTGAACATTTTTATGCAAGTCTTTGTATAAATGTTTTTTCATTTCTCTTGAGTAAATTCCTAGGGAAAGAATCGCTGGGTCATAAGGTTTATGTTTAACTTGCCTGAAACTGTCAAATAGCTTTTCAAAGTGGTCAGCAATTACAAGAGGTCCATTTACTCATATCCTTACTAGCATTTGGTATTTTCAGTCATTTAAAATTTTATCCATTCTAATAGCAGTAAAATATACTTCATCCTGGTTTTAATATTTATTTCTCTGATGCTTAAGGATATAAGGCACATTTTTATATGCTTATCATGTAACTGCTCAATGAGTTATCCTTGCTACTGCCCAGATACAACCAATTTATCAAGACAGGGGAATTGCAATAGAAAAATAGTGTAATTCAGGCAGAGCCAGCTGAATGGGAGACTGGAGTTTTATTACTCAAAGCAGTCCCCCTGAAAATTTGGAGACTGGGATTTTTTTCAGGATAATTTGCTGGGTAGGGTGCTAGGGAGTGGAGAGTGCTGATTGTTGGGTTGGAGATGAAATTTCAGGGGAAGTAGGTTCTTCTTGCTGTCTTCTGTACCTGGGTGGGATCACAGAACTGGTTGAGCCAGATTACCAGTCTGGGTGGTGCCAGCTGGTACATCATAATGCAGGGTCTGAAAAAAATATCCCAAGTACCAATTTTCAGTTTTACAACAGTGATGTTATCCCTAGGAGAAATGGAGAAGGTTTGAAATCTTGTGACCTGTAGCTGCATGACTCCTAAACCATAATTTCTAATCTTGTGACTAATGTGTTAGTCTTTTTTTTTTCATCGTATTCTTTTCTTTTTTATTTTTATTTTTATTATTATTATACTTTAAGTTTTAGGGTACATGTGCACAATGTGCAGTCTTAAAGACAGTCTGGTCCCAAGGCAAGAAGGGGTTTTTTTGGGAGAAGGGCGGTTATCATCTTTGTTTCAAAGTTAAACTATAGATTAGGCTCCTCCCAAAGCTGGTTTGGCTTACGCTCAGGAATAAACGAGGGTAGCTTGGAGATTGGAAGCAAGGTCAGATCTCTTTCACTGTTAGAATTTTCTCACTGTTACACTTTTTGCAAAGGCAGTTTCAGTCAGACATTCCTAAACCACAATCTCTCCATGAAGACACAGACCACACTGAACTACAGAATGTTTCACAAAAAAGTCTGCACTCAATCGTTGTGTTTAACGCATGATGTTATTACAGTTTTCTGATTTTGGAAGGTAGCTGTTGTCCTAGCTACCTTAGAGGCTGAGATGAGAGAACTGCTTGAACCTGGGAAGTCGAGTCTGCAATGAGCTATGATCACGCAACTGCACCCAGCTTGGGCAACAGAGTGAGACTCTGTCTCAAAAAAACATAAAAAGAAGACCTCAGAATTAACAAATATCAATGTTTTGTCATATTTATTTCCGATTTTTGATTTAAATAAAATGTTACAAATAAAGTTAAAATTACCCCATATTTCTCCCCAGTCCATTTCCTTCCTTCTCAAGTAGAAACCATGATGATGACTTCATGCGTATCTTTTCAATCCAACATACAAATAAAAATATATATGGTGAATTATTTATGTATTTAAAAAATCATATATTTCTATACCTATTTGACTACAACCTACCTTTTCCCCCCTCCTCATTCTGTAGAGACCTGCACTGGTTGAATACAGGGAGATCTAGTTCATTAAACTGCTGAATCATACTTCATTATATGACAATAACATGTTTTATTTCTGCTTTCTCCATTGATAGACGTTTAAATTACTTCCATTTTATCCCTATTACAAGCAATAGGTCTTACATTGTTATGTCTAAAATATGGAATAAGATCATCACTGCAATAATATCTTTCTAAAAAATATCTAAAACCACTGACAGTCATTGACAGTATCAGAATTCTTAAAAATACAGGTGCTCGTGGGCTTTTCTAAATGAAATCAAATACTCAATAGACCTTCTAAGACACTAGTGCAATAAAAAGTCTATTTTGCAGAAACTCTACAGGGAGAATAAAAACTAAACTAATATATTTTAAATATTTCTTTGATTTCCCCTGTAAGCTTCACATTTTAACTCTCACATCAGTCTATGTAAATAACTGTAAACATATAACTATGACTGATAGAAACAAGAACATGTAGGACATTGCATTAGTATTTTGGTGGTGTGAAAGGTAACGTTTGGCCTTCCTTTTGGAGTGGCCCCAACAAGATCATATTCCATTGGCACACAGAATAAAATCCACACTCATCTCATGACCTACAAGGGCACAAATGCCTGGGTCCTTATCCACCTTCCACCTTCCTGATGTCATATCCTCCCTCTTGCCCCTGGTATTACCTTCCTTTCCATTCCTGAAATACACCAAACTCACTCCCTCTTCAGCATCTTAACATGTGCTTGTTCCCCTCTTTTGCATGCTCTTCCTGCAGGTTTTCACATGGCTGCCTCCTTCTTTGCATTTAGGTCTCAGCTTGCATCATCTCTGAGAAGCATTTCTTGACCTCTGAACCCAAATTAGCACCCTCCCTCCAACCAAGTCACTCACCTTCACAAAACTTGTATTTTTTTCAAAGCACTTATCACGAATTGAAATTATCTTGTTTAATAATACATTAACATATCTCCTGTCTGTTCTCCACCTCCCCATCAGACCAAGTGTGAGCAGGGACCTTTCCAACTTGTACATCAAAGAGCCTCAGTTCCTAGGACAACCCCTGGCATTGCTGAATGGATGGATTGATGGGTGGATGGATGGATGGATGAATCAATGAATGGAATTAAAGCAACACAGACAGTTCTTGCAGTCTATTATTTGATATTCTATGTGCCCTGAGATGTTGAATGAATAACAGAAACCTAAAATAATATCTATATCATTATCATCTCACTTTTTTTTTTTTTTTTTTGAGATGGAGTTTCACTCTTGTCATCCCGGCTGGAATGCAGTGGCATGATCTTGGCTCACTGCAACCTCCACCTCCCGGGTTCAAGCAATTCGCCTGCCTCAGCCTCCTGAGAAGCTGGAATTACAGGTGCTCACAACCACACCTGGCTAATTTTTGTAGTTTTAGTAGAGACGGGGTTTCACCATGTTGGCCAGGCTGGTCTCGAACTCCTGACCTCAGGTGATCTGCCTGCCTCGGCCTCCCAAAGTGCTGGGATTACAGGCGTGAGCCCATGCCTGGCTATCGTCTCACTTCTATCTTCCTCCAGCATAAGCCACTTGTGAATAAAGATTCTTCCTCACTGCATTGCCTTACACTTACATAGTTAAATGCCAGTGTTAGTGTTCAAGATGGACCTATTTCCATAAAGGCATTGTATACTAGATGAAGAAATCAATCCAAACAGATAAGCAAAAACAACCAGCAGCTACGGTTTTGGGAGTCAAACATTTTGTTGGAATTCCTGCGCCACCATTTCCTGTGTCTCTGAATCAGCGGTTCTACTGGGGGCAATTTTGCCACTCAGGAGACAGTGGTCGGGAGATACTGTGGTTGTCATTACTATGGAGGGAGAGGAGCTACTGGCCTCTAGTGGATAGAGGCCAGTGATAAAAGAAAAACTTCAACCTGATTAAAGTTTAATGGAGCTATGAAGATTCATTAATTGGGCAGTCTCCTGAGCTACAGTTTTCTCAGAGACTCCAGTGTAGCAACGTGACGGAAGATTTATGGACAGAAAAAGGAAAGTGATGGGCAGAAAATGGAAGTGAGGTAGCCAATCCAGAAACAAGTGGATGGGTTACAGGTTGGCATTTTTGCCTTATTTGAACATGGTTCGAACAGTTGGCTACAATTGATTGGCCAAAACTCAGTGACTGGCACAAGTGTAGGTTACGGTCTATTTATATCTGCATTTGTTATAGTTCACGATGTACAGAAAAACCTTTAGGTGGAACTTAAAATACATAAGGAGGCAGCTTGAGGCTAAATTTGATTCAACACCAGATATGCTACTAAACATCCAGTAATGTGCAGGGCAGCCGTAGCAAAGAATTATCTGGCACCAAATGTCAATAGTGCTGGGGTTGGGAAATCCTGCTCTAAACAAATTACTACTTTCTCATCTGTAAAAGGTGAACAAATATTGTTAGTCATGTAAGATTGATGTAGAGATTAGTAAAAATGTGCTTAAGGCACCAAGAGCTGGGCCTTGAGCATGATAAGTCTGCAAATAATCATTGCTTTTGTTATGAGCATTGAATATGATACTGATAATTACTTGCTTTTGTATCTCACTGGCATGTGGCTGCTTCTATGGCAATGAGTGTTTCGTTCTTTATCATTGAGTTTTCAGTCCCTGACAGAGGGCCTGGCCCTTAGCAGATGTTTAATAAAAGTTGCCTGAATTAACTTAAATTAAATATTTGTTGTTTCAAACATCTTATACTTTCCTCTCATTTCCCTCTCTAAAAATTAGTTTGACCACTATATGCTCAAATTTCTTATTTTTTTATTATTATCAATCTTTATGACCTCTTAAATCCAGGACTGAATTATAAGACATCAAAATTAATGATCGGGACCCTTAACTATATCTGTGATCATATTCTCCCTTCTTCTCCATGGCTTTCTAGATGTAGCACACCGACTTTCCTGCTCTTTCCTCACAGGCCAAACTGGACCTTTGCAATCCTGCTAGCCAGATGTTCTTCTCCCCTGGAGAGCAACATGAGATTTTAATATTCATTTCTCTGTGACCATAGGGGTTGAGCATTGTCATTTATATACTTTCTAAATACGTTTTATATTCTGTGGGATACTGTTCATGTCTTTTGCCAGTTTTTCTATTTATTTATTTTTTGTTATTTATAGAAATACTTCATTGATATATACTATAGGTAAAATTCACTATAAAATTTTTTATCACTTGTAAGTGTTACAAAAATCAGCCAGCCATGGTGGCTTACACCTGTAATCCCAGGACTTTGGGAGGCGGAAGTGGGTGGATCCCTTGAGTCCAGGAGCTCATGGGCAACATGGTGAAACCCCATCTCTACTAAAAATACAAAAATTAGCAGAGCATGGTGGTCAGCGCCTGTAGTCCCAGCCACTTGGGAGGGTGGGGCAGGAGAATCACTTGAACCCAGGAGGTGGAGGTTGCAGTGAGCAGAGATCATGCCACTGCACTCCAGCCTGGGTAACAGAGTGAGACTCTGTCTCAAAAAAAAAAAAAAATAGTGTTACAAAAATCTTTTCTCTTTTTTTTAATGATGTATTTTAATGAACAGGGTTTAATTTTTATCGAAATCAAACTTACCAATCATTTCTTTCATAGTCATTTTTGAGCCTTGTTTAATATATTCTTCAGTATCCTAATGTTATAAAAATATTATCCTGTATTCTTCCATAATTTAAAGTTTTTCCTTCCTACACAAGTCTTTAATTCATTGGGAATTATTGTTTTATTAGGAAAGAGAGGTGCCATGGAAGAATGGAATCCAATTTCATTTATTTCCATGCGGAAACCAGTTGTAGCAGCCACCTTTCCATGTTTATCTACAATGTCTCATTGGTCATAGATCAAGTGTCCACACACAGATCTGTTTGGGGACATTCGGTTTTATCCCCACTTCCTTTGTGACCATAGCTTTCTATTGTTAAAGCAAACTAAATGTGGCCTAAGAAGGACTCTGTACTTCTATATTTGAGTCCTTGTGGATGAACTGCAACCTAACTTAATAGGTAGACAAGATTGAAAACCTAATTGAGGAGTATGCACCTGTAACAATAGCTGAGTGTTGACCAATCCCAGCAGCCATGCTTCAGCTACGCATACACTGCGAAGTGTTCAACCTGTGTTCAAATAAATAAATAAATAAATAAATAAGGTGTAACCAACCCAGTTGTTTCTGTGCCTCACTTCCAATTTCTGTTTGCCACTTCCTTTTTTGCTGTTGTCTGTAAATCTTCTTCCAACATGTGGCTGCACTGGAGTCTCTCTGAATCTGCTGTGATTCTGGGGGCTGCCCAATTTGCGAATCATTCATTACTCCATTAAACTCCTTTACATTTAATTTGGCTGAAGTTTTTCTTTTCACACTATTGTAGGAGCTAAGAGAAAACTTCCCCTTTACCCTCTGAAGGTTTGCTGAAAAATCAGCCCACAAAAGGCAGATTAATAGGTGAAAAGGCATACATATTTATTAACGTGCACATGGGAGAGAACCACAGAGTGAATACCCCAACTTGCCTATGGAGTTCAGAAACTTATAAACCATCCTGAGATTACAGAAAGAATGGGGGCTCAGAGCATGGCGAAAAACAGGTTATGCTGGTATATTAGTCTGTTTTCACCCTGCTGATAAAGACATACCGAAGACTGGGTAATTTATAAAGACAAAGAGGTTTAATGGGCTCACAGCTCCATGTGGCTGGGGAGGCCTCATGTTCATGGCAGAAGGCAAAAGGCACATCTTACATCACAGTAGACAAGAGACAATGAGAACCAAGCAAAAGGGGTTTCCCCTTATAAAACCATCAGCTCTCATGAGACTTATTCACTACCATGAGAACAGTATGGGGGAAACCATCCCCATATATCAATTATCTCCCACCAGGTCCCTCCCACAACACATGGGAATTATGGAAATTAAGATGAGATTTGGGTGGGGACACAGCCAAACCATATTAGCTGGTAAACCATTTATAGTGGCAAGACAGGTCATGGGAGGCAAAGAAGAAGAGGCTTGGCTAGCAAAGGTTGTCTTGTTGTGTAAATGAAACCAAACAGGTAGCAGCCATCAGAATAGATGGTAAATGTTTCTTCTTTCAAGGTGTTAGACTCTCAGTTAATCTTCTCTAGATCAGGACAAGGGAAGGGTTGGCTGCCTCAATGCACATTCTCTACAGATGCAAATCTCCCCACAGAAGACAGCTGTGCAGGTTGCTTCTGTTTGCTGGCCCCCTGAACAGGCATCTCAAAATATATATATTTTAGGGTAAAGTATTTTGATTTCCTTCAATATCATTTTTCCTCCTTCATTCAAGCCTTCTCCTGCTCATTTTTTGTTTGCTTGTGTATGCAGGCTCTATTCCTTTTTCTATACCTTAAATGCTGGTGTGCTTTGGGGTTTGGTGAAAGTGCTCTTAGATTTTCTCACTCTACACACATTCTCTAGGATTCCACTGCCTTGTAGAGGCATCGGCTTCCCAAATACATTTCTGAACTGTGATTTCTGTCAAAGATAAACAAAGCTGGAGACTAAAGCGGTAAGGACAGATTTTAATAAATAACATATGATTGCAATCAGAAAGAGGGTCCAATGTGGACTGAACTCAACTTTGATTTGTGCGGAGGTGACTGGACATTTTAAAGGGAGAATGAAGAGTAGAAAGGGGAGGTGGGGGTGGCTACAGTAGGGTCAGGGAAGTGAAAATGACAGAGAGTTGAATGTAAATGCAATTTGGCCAGCTGAGTCTGTTAGCTGCCAATTGAGGAAATTAGGATTCTGTCCTCCCACAGAGCCTGGGAGGCAGAGGCCCTATCCAACCTGATGATTACATTTTTCAAAGGAATGGCTTTCAGGTCTTTGAGAAAAGCACTCCTAAATTTAAGGAGATACACATACATCTCAAAGGGATGGAGAAAGGATTCACAGTTGGAAGTCCTTTAAGTAACTACTATAAGGAAGAAAGGTCAGGTGCCTATATCAGGTGTTAGGTAGGACAGACAGTACATTTTTCTGGTAGCTTGGAGCTTTCCTAGGCAGGCACTTTAGGAAGGGCTCCGGTCATGGTTTGGGTGCAACCTTGAGCTGTTAGAAAGGATGTTAGTGTTGGTTTAAGTCTTTTAGTTGGGGAGAAGGGTGGATGAGATGGTTTGTGCTGAGAGTCGGCAATTTTTATAGGCCAAGGTTGAGGCCTGGTAGAGAAGAGGGCTCAGAGTGTTAGTGGTGGCAAATCCTGCAGGTCTGCAGCAACCTCAATTCTTGCCTCCTCAGAAGAAGAAATTCAACCAAGAGGCATAGGGAGAATGAGAGACTGAGGCAAGTTTTAGAGCAGGAGTGAAAGTTTATTAAAATTTTCGGGGCAGGTATGAAAGGAAGTAAAGTATACTTGGAAGAGGGCCAGGCGGGTGACTTGAGCGAGTCAAGTGCACTGTTTGACCTTTAACGTGAGGTTTTATATATTGGCGTACTTCTGGGGTCTTGAGTTACTTCTCCCCTTGGGGTAGGCTGTCCGCAAGCGCATGCGCAGGGGCTGCCAGTACTGGGGAGGGGCCACGTGCACAGTGTGTTTACTGACATTGTGCACGTGCTCACTTGAGGCATTTTTCCCTTACCAGGTGGGTGTTCCTATAAGGTTATAGACCAGTTAGACTCTACCATTATCCCACTTAGCGTGCATGCTTGAGCCTGCACGCTACTCCTGAGATTTTATCAGGAAGCTAATCACCAGTTTCAAGTTTTTCTGTCTCCTGGGAGATTGCCTTTCCCGGGCTCTGGCTGCAAGAAATTATGTATTTATTTATTTCTTTCTTTATTTTGGGACAGACTCTCGCTCTTTCGCCCAGGCTAGAGTGCAGTGGCGCGATCTCGGCTCACTGCAAGCTCCGCCTCCCGGGTTCACGCCATTCTCCTGTCTCAGCCTCATAAGTAGCTGGGACTACAGGTGCCCGCCACCACGCCTGGCTAATTTTTTGTATTTTTAGTAGAGACGGGGTTTCACCGTGTTAGCCAGGATGGTCTCGATCTCCTGACCTCGTGATCCGCCCGTCTCGGCCTCCCGAAGTGCTGGGTTTACAAGCATGAGCCACCACTCTCGGCCAGAAATTATTAGTTTAGAGAGACGGCTTAACAACTGCCTGACTACCACCTGATGGGCGCCTGACATTCCTGGTTGGGGTTGAGGGTCGGGGGGCCTCTCCTGCCCTGCTCATGTCTGCCTAACTACCTACCGTAACAAGAGGACCCTGGCTAGAGTTTGGTCAAAGAGTGAATCTTTGTCACCTCTCTCTCAGGTTCCACAACCCTATTTATGGTAATAGCAGCCCACGTATGCTGAGTACATACTGTGTGCTGAGCATGATCCAGGAGTTTGCCATGCACTTGCTCATCAAATCCTTCCAGCAGTCCCGGTGGCAGGCGGGCACCACCATTATTGTTTACGGTCACCAAGGAGAATGCGTGGCACAGAGAGGTTAACGTCTCAAGCCCTTGCGTGGAGAAGGAAGGGAGAAGGAAGGTCTCACTACATGAGACCTTGTGGAGTGTACATCCTGGACCAGCGAGCTCTGCTGATTCTTCCACAGCTCTGTCTACATGCCCCTCCGCCCTCTCAAACTCAGCCCAGATGTTCCAATATAAATGACTGTTAATGAGGTTTTTTATTGTCCTCAGAGGGATTGAGTATGAATTCTCACGTACGTATGCACGTGTGTGTTTGTGTGTTTACAGGAAAAAATAATATCCAGAGCTCTGCTTCCTTTCATTTATTTTTGGTAATATTCAACTTACGGAATTTACAAATTTACAAACCTTGTGACAAAAGAAAAAATGAGGGCAACTTGAGTGAAAGATAGAGGGAACCTTTCTGTACTATCTTTGCAACTTTCTGCAAATCTGCATTTCAAAATAAAGTTTTTTGTTTTAATTGGTTGTTCCTTTTAACTTCAACTGCTAAAAAACAATAGTATAGCATTTATTGGTTCTGCAAAATCTGCCTGTCACTTCTAGGGAGTCTTGGAAGGATGATTGCTTTCATTTCCAAACTTAATTCAATACCTTAAAACATTTTAAGCTGTATTTATAAAGGGAATATATTCAATTTCCTTCTTAAGTACTTCAACTGTCTACCTTAGCGTATAGAATCTTCCCTAATACAAATAATTTTTATGTATTTAAAAATGGGTAAATATGTGAGCCTAAATATTTCTTAAATATCTCAATGCTTAGTAACATTCCAATTTAGTCAGAAGCCTAAATCAATTCTTCACATACCCTTTTGTGTATGTGTACGTATATGTGTATGTATGTGGAGTTAAAAAACTTTCACTGAAATGGACTAAATTCTTTGATTTTAAAAGCCTAAATATGTAACAAAATGTTAATTCTATAGTTTTGACTCTACTTTGCCTATCTATACCCTACATCTATAATTCTAAATCTTCCTGGATTCCACAAAGCATACCCTGTAAGTACCAGCTCAGTTCATGCAAGGCATGAGGTCTTTTGCTTCAGAAGTTCCCGTCATCACTAATTACTAAAACAAAACAATGATTACTATTATTCACATTAGCTTGACAGGTGGTCTGCTTCTCAGGCTGGAGGTTCCTAAGGCCCAGGGTGCTGGTTGATTCTTATCAGCAACTTTCCCAGCGTCACTGAACCCCATGTTAGAGTTTCCATGTCACGGACCCCACAGAGGAGCCAAAGAGATGCTCTTCCAGGTTGCTCGCATCATGTCCCTGGATTCAATTTACATTCAACGTCCTCATTCTTCTGTTGCATTTCAGAAGTCTGCACCACCCACTCAACTTGCAGTCTGATTGGAATTTGCATTTCTCTGATCCTTGTGCTGGGGC
Source organism: Homo sapiens (assembly GCF_000001405.40). Classification (NCBI taxonomy): domain Eukaryota; kingdom Metazoa; phylum Chordata; class Mammalia; order Primates; family Hominidae; genus Homo; species Homo sapiens. The sequence goes on along the minus strand of NC_000020.11, from coordinate 54,450,161 downwards.
TCAGAACAGGATATCCCAAAATATGGCACCTTGGCATACTGTGTATTTTAAGCTGAAGGAAACTGAGAAACCTACAAAAGCAGGAAGGTCACTCTGACTTTCTCCCACTTTTCTCCCCCAAGGTCGTAAAAAGAATCCTCTGACCTACTTCTTCTGAAAGTAGAACAGAAGGTTCTTACTCCAGGGGGGTCCTGCCCTATACCAGGAGAGAAGGAATGGCACAGACCTAGGCCAAGAGGAATCTCAACAATCAGGGCTTGCTCCCGGGTGTGGTGGCTCACACCTGTAATCCCAGCACTTTGGGAGGCTGAGGCAGGTGGATCACAAGGTCAGGAGTTCGAGACAAGTCTGGCCAACATGAGGAAACCCCGTCTCTACAAAAAATACAAAAATTAGTCTGGCGTGGTGGTGTGCGCCGTAGTTCAGCTACTTGGGAGGCTGAGGCAGGAGAATAACTTGAACCCGGGAGGCGGAGGTTGCAGTGAGCCAAGATCACACAACTGCACTGCAGCCTGGCAACAGAACGAGACTCCATCTCAACAACAAGAACAAAAAAAATTCACGGCTTGCTAAGTTCCCTGAGTTTATTACCATTAGATTCCACCCACTTTGATCCAAACACACTTCTCCAAAACTTCCACTCTCTTCCTCAAAATAGTTTCCTTTGTTTCTTTGGATCTTCATTTCTGAAGGCTCTCATATCATGTAAACTTACATTAAATAAATTTGTTATGCTTTTCTCTTGTTAGTGTGTCTTTGGCTATAGGAGTGTCAGCCGTGAAGCTCACAGTAGATGGGGAAAGGTAATACGCTTTTGCGCCTCTACTGGAAATCTGTAGCTGTTTGCTGTCTGGGTCTAAATACCAGTGTATTTGTCAGGATCCTGAATTCTTGCACATGCTTTCTCTCCTTGAACCAAACAACTCTCAATGATGTTCAGAATGACATCCTTTTTAACTTTGTTTTCTCACATTTGATTTGGGAGGCCGTCTTCTGATACCTTCTAAGCCTCCTCCAAACTTACTGTTCCCTTTTCTCCCCAAATTTACTCAGCCATTCTCTACCCACCTCTTAAGTCATTCACTCAATAATTGACATCTCTTAGTGCTTTAGACCCAAACATTTTTTTTTTTTTTTGAGACAGGGTCTCGTTCTATCACCCAGGCTAGAGTGCAGTGGTCCAATCACAGGTCACTGAAGCCTTGACCTCCCAGACTCCGGTGATCCTCGCTCCTCAGCCTCCTGAGTAGCTGGAACTACAGGTGTGCACCACTATGCCCAGATAATTTTTTTAAATTTTTAATAGAGATGGTGTTTTAATAGAGATGGGGTTGTCCAGCTGGTCTTGAACTCCTGGGCTCATGCAATCCACCCACCTTGGCCTCCCAAAGTGCTAGGAATATAGGCGTGAGCCACTGCACTCAGCCCATACTCATCCTTAATTCCTCTTCCTCCCACATGCTCCCACTCCAACACTTTTTGATTTATGTATTTTGATAATTTTTTAATTTCATGCATAAAGATACATGGCTCTATATTTCTACTCAGCGGTGTAACACCAAAATAAAACGAACTTCCTTTGCAACGTTAATAATTTTTGCTTTGAATTCTGCTTTTTAAAATTAATTTTTCCTCTTAATGTTTTTCTGATAACCTGGCAAATCTATCCTTTATTTTCAATCCCTAGGTATCATTTTTATAGTATGTTCTCCTTCAATTAGTGTATAATTGTATGTATCTTTTCACTGGATAGTTTAATCCATTTTTATTTTTAACAGGTATTGGTGTATTTGGTCTTTCTGTTGCCCTCCCAATTTTTTCTTTCTACTTTTATGCTCATTTTATGTTTCATCTTTCTCCTTTTTTCTATTAAAGGCATGTTTTCCTTTTTAATTTTTAATAATGCTGATGTTAAAAAAAATGTTGCTGACTACTGGTACCATCTACATCCGTACAACTTACTGTTCATGTTAACGTGACATTATTATGCATTATAATTCTAGGCAGGAAATTCTTGCCCAGAAAAAATGAAGTTGCACATAACTTTATTGTTTATTTCAAGAACTTCCTGAAAATCCATTATCTGAACAATAGACTTCACCTTGTTCTCTTCAGAACAAGGAACAAGTGCCCCATCTCGCTATTAAACCAGGGATTGCTCAAGGGGTTTCATCCAATGATTGATTGTCCGTTTTTTGAAGATTCACCTCAAAATTGCCTCTCCACATCCATCAGTTCTCCACTGTTATATCACAGACTCCTAAATTCCAGTCAGGCACCCGCATAGCAAGACTTACCTTAAATCAGACCACTGAGACCCCACAGGTATCCCACTTTCTAGATATCATTTAGATATATCCCACATTTAAGTTTCCTCTTTACAGATGCTACTGAGACTGTCTTCTCATACTGCAGTCAACAATAAACTTGACTCTTCTTGAGCTATAGGTTATTTTGATGATCTCCTTAGGGAGTTAGCAGTTAACACTTTGACAGGGACACACTTGGATCCCAGAGACAGTATAAAGATTAAATAAGGCTGAAGATATTTGAGATTCAACAAATGCAGAAAAAGGAAAAGCCACCTAGGAGCTTCTTCTCTCATGTAAATCAAAGCAGCAACTTCTGGGAAGCAAGGCTGCCATGAATTCTTTTTAGAGTAGATCTAGTCCCAGGAGGGAAAACCTGCACAAAACCTATCCCAAATCCTTTCTCCACGGGAGTTTCATGGCCCTGAAGTAGATAAGTCCACTCATTCCTGTGTAAACAAGTATTTTTAAAAACGTTCTTATTTCCTGTTCATTCTCCTGAAAATCCAAAATGTCATTTGTTTTTCCATAAGTGCCTTTCTCTCCCTCCCCTTTATCTATTAAGACAGTATTTACTTCTGAAATTTTAACTGCCTCTTTGAGTTACTTGTCTCTGAATTTGTTTGCGTGTGTGCATTGCATGCATAAATAAACTGTTTTTTTCCCCTCTTGTTAATCTGTCTTTTGTTAGTTTATTTTGCAGGTCCTAGCGACTGAACCCAAAAGAGTAGATGAAAAGTTTACTTCCTCTCCTTCAGCCTATTTATATTTTCCAGGCACTTCATTCTATAATGTTATGACAATGTTTTAATCTATTCTTCATGTTTATGTCAAAATTTTTTCAAGTCTCACGTTCTTACAGAAGATGAAAAATCAAGCAACTTTTCTTTAACCTTGATCCTACCTCTTTTCTAGATTTCACTGATATGATATGGAATTATAATGATAAAGATGATGATGCTTTTATATCACACCTGCTTTCTCAATAATTATTTTTGACATTTGTATTTGGTTTTGTAAGTATATAAACATATATGATGGAAAATTAAGCATACTTCGTTTTATGCCTACCTCTTCTAGTATCTATTGCTATAATCTGATATTTTCTTTTTATTATTATTATTTCTTTTTTTTGAGACAGAGTCTCACTCTGTTACCCAGACGGGAATGCAGTGGTGCAATCTCTGCTTATTGCAATGTCTGCCTCCCTGGTTCAAGGGATTCTCTTGCCTCAGCCTCCCGAGTAGCTGGGACTGCAGGCGCGCACCACCATGCCAAGCTGATTTTTGTACCTTAGCAGATATGGAGTTTCGCCATGTTGGCCAGGCTGGTCTCGAACTCCTGACCTCAAGTGATTCACCCGCCTCTGCCTCCCAAAGTGCTGGGATTACAGGTGTGAACCACTGTGCCAGGCTCAATTTGAGATTTTCAGTCCATAAATCTATTATTCATTTTTTCCCTGTATTTTCTTTTTGTTCTCAAATTTTGAAACCCAAAATTCTTTTTTGTTCACTATTATTATAACATTTAATTAAATCCTACTATTAAATTATATCTTATATCTCTCCTGAGCACTTCTAGTTTTTCAATACTGCCATTTTCCTTCTCTGAAATTCTTTTTTTTTTTTTTTCAACAGAGTCTCACTCTGTCACCCACGCTGGAGTACAACCTCCATTCCCTGGGTTCAAGCGATTCTCATGTCTCAGCCTCAGCCTCCTGAGTGACTGGGACCACAGGCGCATGCCACCACGCCCTGCTAATTTTTGTTTTTAGTAGAGATGGGGTTTCGCCATGTTGGCCAGCCTGGTCTTGAATTCCTGGGCTCAAGCTATCCGCCCACCTTGGTCTCCCAAAGTGCTGGGATTGATTACAGGTGTAAGCCACCATGCCTGGCCTTGCAATTATTTACTTTGATGCTTTCTTATGAACAGCAGGAGGGTGTCTACTTTTTCTTCAGGAAACATACCTTTATTTTTCTGCCAGGAGAATGACCTCATGAGTTTTAATGCAAATCAGACAAAGGCCATGTGAGGTATACCAAATTTAACCAAATATCATTATAAACATCTCCATCAGTTGTATAGATTTGAGAATATTATGTTAAAAAGTAATATCGTAAAACTGAAAAGTTTTATCCTTGGGAAGAAATTATATTTATGTCTTCAAAATTCCATCAAATTCTTAAGTCTGAGTTAGCAAAGGACAATGTAATATGCTTCAAGAGGTTGGGGGGAAAAAAGCAAAATCAAATAAAGTGACCAACTTTCTTGAAAAACTAGAAGAGTTACAGAGAGATAGAGCCTAGTGAATAGACTTAAGAATTAGTGAACGTGTATAACTTGAATTTGAGAAAATAAAGTAATTGGCTACATTCTGAAGTTATGGAAACGGGAAAAGAAAACTATAAAACAGTGCTCAGTGAGTGTCAGCAGGATAGCCAGTAAAAGTCCAGGAAATCTTTTGCTGTTCTGGATGAAACCTCTGGTCATGAATAAATTCAGTTAATTGGAATGGTAACTACTTTCCTTAAATGGCAACACATCTCTTGCATTTTAAAATTAAGCATAAAAATTATGACTAACAAAACCATAGTAATACTATTTTTCTGTAAATAGTAAATGTGGGCATACTGTATGCATTTGAAATATTTTAAGAAATTTAAAAATTCCTATATTTTTAATGATCGTCATTCTAACTAGCGTGAGATGGTATTGCATTGCGGTTTTGATTTGCATTTTTCTAATGACTAGTGATGATGAGCTTTTCTTCGTATGTTTATTGCCTTCATAAACATCTTCTTTTGAGAAGTGTCTGTTCATATCCTTCACCCACTTTTTGATGGGGTTTTTTTTTTTTCTTGTAAATTTGTTTAAGTTATTTGTAGATTCTGGATATTAGCCCTTTGTCAGATGGGTAGAGTGTAAAAATTTTCTCCCATTCTGTAGGTTGCCTGTTCACTCTGATGGTAGTTTCTTTTGCTGTGCAGAAGCCTTTTAGTTTAATTAGATCCCATTTGTCAATTTTGGCTTTCGTTGCCATTGCTTTAGGAAACAACAGATGCTGGAGAGGATATGGAGAAACAGGAACATTTTTACATTGTTGGTGGGGGTGTAAATTAGTTCAACCATTGTGGAAGACAGTGTGGCAATTCCTCAAAGATCTAGAACCAGAAATACCATTTGACCCAGCAATCCCATTACTGGGTGTATACCCAAAGGATTATAAATCATTATACTATAAAGATACATGCATATGTATGTTTATTGCAGCACTGTTCACAATATCAAAGGAACCAACCCAGATGCCTATCAATGATACACTGGATAAAGAAAATGTGGCACATACACACCATGGAATACTATGCAGCCATAAAAAAGGATGAGTTCGTGTCCTCTGCAGGGACATGGATGAAGTTGGAAACCATCATACTCAGCAAAGTAACACAGGAACAGAAAACCAAACACTGCATATTCTCACTCATAAGTGGGAGTTGAACAATGAGAACACATGGACACAGGGAGGGGAACATCACACACTGGGGCCTGTCAGGGGTTTGGGGGATAGGGGAGGGATAGCATTAGGAGAAATACCTAACGTAGGTGACAGGTTGATGGGTGTAGCAAACCACCATGGCACGTGTATACCCATGTAACAAATCTGCATGTTCTGCTCATGTATCCCAGAACTTAAAGCATAATTTTTAAAAAATCTCCAAGTTAAAAAGAACACATATTTTTATAACTTTAAACATTGGTCAATGAAAAAGACTTGGTAAATATTCAGAAAGCTGTTTTTATTAAGCCAGGCTTTTAAAATCATTAAAGAGAGCAAATACATTAAATTTATAACAGCTGTTGAAAATGTTATTGGTGTTTCAGCTTGTAAAAGGAACCAAATATTGTCAAAGCTCCCTTGAAAGTGACTGTTAAAATCTACTGAATATACAAATGGAATAAATTTGTGAACTACACTGAAAGGTTAAAAAAGAGCTAGTTTTACTTTTACATTTATAATTTTAATAAATTGAATACTAGTTTTTAAAAACCTTCTGAAAAGTATTTTCTGTATGTCCTAGCCATTCTTGAGTGCAACAAAAACCTCGCATGAATATATCCTTCTTTTATCAATAATGTATTTAGTCCTTAAACACAGATTTATTAAGTGCCTAGTTCATGTAAAGGGCAAGACACTGGGAATAGGGCAGGAAATGAGGGAGGGTTACTAGCAATATCTTCACACAGACACACATTGTAACTACAATTACATAGGATAGCTGTCTCCCTCCCCACAAACTGCCTGTTTGTTACCCTTCCTTTTTCATCAGATGGTGGTAGAGTAATCATAGATTTGGTTTGGATCTGGCTAAGAGAGAGATAAATTTAGGATACATTATTTTTGGTTTTAGTGGGATATATTTAGGTGATTCATAGTTATTGATGTGTTCACTTTTTTGCTAACTGTTCTGGTATAGAAATTGCCTATTGAGAGATTCTCAGTGCCTACTAGGATGACTATCCTGGCATCATGACATGAATATGCCAAGTCTTTTGCCTTGGGCAGAAATTACATTTATATATTTAAAATTCCATTAAACTCTTAAGTCTGAGTTAACAAGGGACAGTGTAATATGCTTCAAGAAGTGGGAGAAGAAAGCAAAATCAAATCAAGTGACCAACCTGAGTGAGAGGACAGAAATTATATCCAAAAGAGATGTGATCCTGACCCCAAAAGTACAGGGGACATGGAGGAGAAATGACATTTGAATGTTCACAGTCAGACGCTAGTGTATGGAAAACCCTGACACAAAGATCTCTATTATTAGGAATCGACAAGATAGCATAAGTGACAATAAATGCACCACACATTTTCATTTCTCTTTTGTTGAGAATTATGAGAAACGGAATTTCAGAATCCTTGAATTTATAGTGTACCATCCTCAAAGTATGAGTGCCACCATATTAAATCTCATCTCAGCTTATTTGACACATCTTGTCCTGATGAAGTCTCATGGATCCAGACAGAACAGCGCACAAAACTGCCCTCAAAATACAGATCACCAATCATAGTAGAAGAAAGACGGAGTTTGCTTTCGATTCTCCCTCTAGAAAATCTTATAAAATAATTGTCACATGAAGAAATGATTAAAAGGTATGCCCATAAAAAAGTAGGGGAAAGGTACTGCAGAGGCTTGGGTCATAATTTACCAAAAAAAGAATAATATGCCATGTTTCTAGACTTTGTAACATGTGGTTATCAACTTTAAAATAAATTGTAACTTGGGAGTTATGATTTTTTATGATTTATGATTTATTAAATGATTTATTTTCTCACTCTACATAAAAATTTGTTCTGTGCTGAATTCTGTATTCATTATTTTGTATACTTTTCCATTTTAAAGAGGGCTGTAATAATTGTATCAGACAACAATAAAGAGAATCTGTCACTAGTAGTGGGCCAAACAGCTAAAGATCTCAGGTTCATAGAACATGTTATTGTCGTGGGAAAGTACCTGTCTTTTGAAGAGTAATAGCAATTTGTTTGGGCTTATAGACTTGCTTTATTCTCTTTTTTTTTCTCCTAAATATGTAGGCATCATTTCATCTAATTCTGGAAGTTAGTATTGCAGACGGCTGGTATAACAGGAAAGATAAGACACCATAACCAGGAGGAGGGGGAGGGCATTGTGAAATGAAAAAATTGGGTTTCCATGGAAGACTATGCATGATCTGTAACATACCCTTTTGGGTTATCAGAGTCTAGCTCTATTCCTTTACTTTGAGCTATCTTACAACTCTATAAATTGCAGGTAACCAGTAGATATGCAAAGTATGTCTTATCTGGTGGAGGTCCAAATTGTCTCCCCTCCCACCCTGGGAGAAAACAGTTTGTGTCATTGTTGGCAATTCATCTTGATATTCCTTTACTCCAGATAAATTGTGTTGTTTTGACTTTCCCTTCGAGCCAGTTATAACATCAGCCTGGATCCTTATTTGAGTAAAGTAAAATATTTAACACATGTTCATTTTTACATCTATATAAAAGCTGTGGTTTTATCTCTTCCTAAAAATGATCTTTTACCAATGGGAAGGCCTGTCTTAAGTCCCCCACTCCTAGAAGTCCCAGAAGGCGCTGAATTTTATTTCTTTACAGATAATTTGATTTTTTCCCTCTAGACACTTAAGTAATTTTTCTTTATCTTTGAAGATATGAAAGTCACCATAGATAAAAGTTATTAGTTTGTGGCAATGTGTGAATTTTAAAATATAGTCTATGGTCAGGCATGGTGGCTTATACCTGTAACACCAGCACTTTGAGAAGCTGAGGCAGGAAGATCAATTGAGGCCAGGAGTTTGAGATTAACCTGGGCAACATAGCAAGATCCTTGTCTCTATGTTTGTTTAAGAAAACAAGAAAATTAAAAGTAGTATACAATCTCTAGTTTAAGACAAGGCAAAAAACGCACTTTGATTTACTATTTTGAATTCTCTTAATTAGTGCTATTTGTGGATATCATTAAATATTGTTGAAATTGAAACAAACTACTGATTTTTCATGTCAAAAAATTTTAAACCATCTTAGAGTTAGACAAAGCCTGAGAGGCAATGTACAATCCCACATTCATGTGCACAGTTCTTTTACCTAACGCCCATTGGGTCTATTTTGATTCTTTCCAATGATATTATCATCATCTTAAATTTCAAGGAGATATAAAATGTCTGATGTATAATATGATATTATTTTGATCTAAGAATTGTTCAAGCAGATTATCTGACATTCTTGCAATATTGCCAGCAAAGCTTATGTGCCTTGTAAGAATGCAGTTTACAGCATTTTTAGGCTTAAGGTGTCATATCTTTAACATGGTCAGGCTGTAAGTTTAAATAATGCGAGATGCTTATTTTCAGAAAATCAATGCAATGCTTCCACCCTGCTGTTTTTCTTCATCTACCCAAGACATTTTCTGTTTCATTTGCCACTTAAAATTCCCCCTCATAAAAAAGGAAATATATATTTGTTTCTCTGAATCAAATCATATGTTGCAATACATCAAGACTGAATCAATTCTATAGCCAAGAATGGTCAGAGTTCAAAACTATTTGGCAAAAGCTATCTTGATATTACCCACAACTCTAGAACCTGTCTTCTTTAAAAAGAAGAGTTAATCTTCTTTTTAAAATGGAGACAAAATTCTCTAGATATATAGATAGATAGAAGTACAGAAATTTAAACATGGTAACAAGTAAACTGAAAATGAAATAAATACATTATATTTATTTAACTGTAAAAAAGACTGAAGGTTATATACTAAACACAAAAAAATTTATCTGCAGATATTGAAATTAAAGATTATTCCAATTTTTATATTGCTACTTTTCCACACTTTACATTTTGTATAAAAAGCTCAGATTAATTTAAAATAAGAAAAAAATAGGCCAGGTGCAGTGGTTCACACCTGCAATCCCAGCACTTTGGGAGGCCACTGCATGAGAATTGCTTGAGGCCGGGAATTCAAGACCAACCTGGGAGACATAGAGAGACCGTACCTCTACAAAAAAAAATACAATAAAATAATTAGCTGAGCATGGTGATATGCACCTGTAGTCCTAGCTACTCGGGAGGCTGAAGAGAGAGGACTGCTTGAGCCTGGGAGGTGGAGGCTGCAGTGAGCTGTGATCACGCCACTGCACTCCAGTCCGGGCACCAGAGTGAGACCCTGTCTCAAAAATAAATAAATAAATAATAAGAAGAAAAGCAAATAGCATTAATGAAATGAAAAAAAGTTTTACTCTACAACAGTAGAGTCAAACTTCTTTGCAGGACATAAAGAAAATATCTACACATGGCCCAGCCTGCTTCTCTGTCCTCGTCTCTCACTGACCCACTTTCCTCACACGTCTCAACTCTACACTCCAGCTACACAGAGAAAAATAACATGGAATCTATACTCCTTGGCCTTTTCAGAGTGATATGGTTTGGCTGTGTCCCCAAGCAAATTTCATCTTGAATTGTAGCTCCCCTAATTCCCACATGTTGTGGGAGGGACCCGGTGGGAGGTAACTGGATCATAGGGGCAGTTTCCCCCCATACTGTTCTCATCGTAGTAAGTAAGTCTCAGGAGATCTGATGGTTTTATAAAAGGAACCTCCTTTTGCTTGATTCTCATTCTCTCTTTGCCTGCCACCATTCGAGACATTCCTTTGCTCTTCCTTCACCTTCTGCGATGATTGTGAGGCCTCCCGAGCCATGTGGAACCGTGAGTCAATTAAACCTCTTTCTTTTATACATTACCCAGTACTGGGTATGTCATTATTAGCAGCATGAGAACAGGCTAATACACATAGTCACTTTCCCTGATTTTGTTTCTGCCTGAAGAAAACCTTTTCCTTATTTTTGTCAATGGCATGAGTTGTAACCACAGCATTTTTGCATCACCTCTTCAGTGGAAATTATCATAGCATGGCTGTCTCATTAACATATACTCCCCACTCACCTGTGGCATGGACCACTTCTTATATATCCTAGCATTTCTGATGTCTGTGTCTGACATTTAGTGTGCCCCATATTTGTTGAATAGATGAGTCAATGAGCAACAAAATCCAAAGCAAGATTATGGGAATTTTTTTCAGCATGCAAACCTTACTTTTAAGAGGCCTGAGTGTACTTCCTGCATCCTCCATTAAATTGTGGTCTGAATTGTCATTCTTTTCTATAAGTTTGGTGAAAAAAAATATATAGATAGTCTGTGTTGATGAAACCTTCCTTTTCTTCCAGAACAATCAAAAGAAACACTCCTTTGCATCTCTGGGGAGAAACAGGTTTTCTCTTAAGTGTCCAGCCTATAAATAAAGAAAGCAATTTGTGAAACTTGCTGCAGAATCACATCTAGGTCAGAAATTATGATCCTTTTGTGTATATCTCACTTACTTTGAAGTTACTTACTATTTTGGCAAAAATGCATCTTTGGAAGCTTATCTCCTATATAAAGGAAGATGGTGGAGTCAGCATTAAAGAATTCTAGGCTTCATAAAGACTGTCTCGTGAATTGGTACTCATCTTTTGGATTAATCTGGCAGTGATATGTTAAATAATTACATAGCACTTTTTCCTCAAAGCACTTAAATCTCAATACTTTCCCTTAGTACCCCAATGAAGAAGGCAATTTTATCATCCTAAAACAAATAAAAATATGGAATCCTTGTGTTATGGGTTGAATCATGTCTTCTGAAAAGAGAGGTTAAAATCCTACCCCCAGCACATCAGAATGTGACCTTATTTAGAAATAAAGTCTAGGCTAATGTCCTACCTCCAACAATTCAGGATGTGACCTCATTTAGAAATAACATCACTGTAAATGTAATTAGTTAAGGTGAGGTCATAGTAGGTAGGGTGGGCCTTTAATCCAATATAAATGGTGGCTTTATAAGAAAAGAAGAGACACAGAGAAAGAGACACACAGGGATAAGGTCATGTGACAACAGAGGCGGAGATTGAAGCTATGGATCTGCGAGCCAAGGAATGCAAGGATTGCTAGCAAATACCAGAAGCTAGAAGAGGCAAGGAAGGATTCTCCCGTTGAGGCTTCGGTCAGAACGTTGCACCTTGATTTCAGACTTCTGGGCTCCAGAACCATGAGACAAAAAAATGTTATTGTTTTAAGTCACCCAGTTTGTGGTACATTGTTAAGGCAGTCCTAGGAAACTAATACATAGGGATAGATTCAGCCCATTTTGCAGGATTTTATATCTGATGATTTTATATCTAGTTATTGGGGAAAATAAGTCTGAGTCCAAGTCTTCTGTTCTCTGAGCCTGTCTGTGTTTGAGTAGGAGACAATTATCACTCTCTAGTTATAATTCTCCTCTTTCTGCTATAATTATAAGCCATGACTGTTTAGTGCTGTGAGCTGCAGGAGGTGGAACATAAATTTGTAGAGAGATAGACTTCTCTATTCCCTTAATTTCCCATTTAACCTTTTGCAAGGTTGATCTAAGAGTCAAGAACAAACCCAGTAGGGTTAAACTAGGCTATAATTTTGCATTATCGTTCATCTAGTCATTCATCTGTCCTGATGTTCTGTGAAGTAGAGATTTCTGCTTATTAACCTTTCAGCAAAAGCAAGCCTGACTTTTTGGTTAGAAGCTAAAAATATTAGGAACAATTACCTTAAATGGCACTGCATTTCAAATCTAGGAATTTGGCCTTGTAGATGTTCTTTAAGTGGTCATTTGTTACCTACAAGATGGAATGGAGATGAGAACAAATGATGGACTAACACGAATAAAATCTACAGATGCAAACTAGGAATTAATTTAATGCCTGTAAGTGATCAACTTGTGACATTCACAGAAAGCAAACACTAGCCATGGGAGACAGAAGAGAATCCTGGCTAAGAGTCTGGAGTCTGGAGCCAAACTTTCAGTTTAAAAATCCTGGTTTGACCCCTTAACAGCCTTAAGAACCTGGACAATCCACGCAACCTCCATGTGCCTCAGGTTTCTCGTACATGAAATGGGAATAATAAGAGTTCCTACCTTATAGAATTGTCATAAGCATCAACAGTTCTTAGAATCTAGTTCAAGAGAAACAAATTACTGATTGTACTTTGGTCCTACTCCATCCCAGGCAGAAGTAATCACCAGAAATGATTTGCAACTCCATCCCAAACTGAGGAAGGACACAGGACACAACTCCAGAGGTGGGACCCAGACACAGAACCAGATTGAGGACTATCTAAAACAGGGCCATGGCAGAAGCAACTTTCCAATCAGACACACCCACCAGTGTGCCAAGTTGATTTATCATTGCCATGGCAACATTCAGAAGCTGCTGCCCCTTTTCATGGCAATGACCCAATGATCCAAAAGTTACTACCCCTTCCCTAGAAACTTCTACATAAACCACCCCTTAATCTGCATGCAATTAAAAGTAGGTATGGCCTGGCATGGTGGCTGTTGCCTGTAATCCCAGCCCTTTGGGAGGCCGAGGCAGGTGGATCACCTGAGGTCAGGGGTTTGAAACCAGCCTGGCCGATATAGTGAAACCCCGTCTCTACTAATAATAATACAAAAATTAGCTGGGCGTGGTGGCGCATGCCTGTAATCCCAGCTACTCAGGAAGCTGAAGCAGGAGAATTGCTTGAACCTGGGCGGTGGAGGTTGCAGTGAGCCAAGATTGCGCCATTGCACTCCAGCCTGGGCAACAAGAGTGAAACTCCATCTCAAAAATAAATAAATAAATAATAAAAATAAATAAATAAATAAAAGTAGGTATGAATATGACAGCAGAACTGTCCTGAGCTGCTACTCTCTGCCTACGGGGTAGCCCTGCTCTGCAGAAGCAGTCACAGAGCTGGAACGCTGCTGGAGCTGTAACACTGCCTCTTCAGTAAAGCTGTTTTCTTCTACTTCCGGCTTACCCTACAATTCTTTCATAGGCAAAGCCAATAACCCCCATGGGCTAAGCTCGCCTCTGGGGCTCACCTGCCCTGCATCAAAACTATCTAAAGAAAACTCACCCAAACCTGCTCTTCTGACAGCAGCTCCTCAACCATGTGCTTCAAAAAGCCCACCAATCCTTCAACTCCACATATCCCCAAACCCTTAAAAAGATGAGCCCCAAACCCTGCAAAGTGCAGCCTTTTCTGCTTGCTCAGAGAGAGACTAAGCCTTACCAGAACAGTTCTCCCTTGCTTAGCAAGCAATAAATTTAGCCTTTTGTTTCAGATATCGGGTGTGGCATCTGCCTTCAACATTGTAAGGATAAATTATTGAATATAGATAGATGATGTTGATAGGCAGCTAGATGGATAGATGTTTGGTAGGTCCCATAGAAAATGCCTGGTGTATAGCAAGCATGCAATAAATATTTATTACAGCTATTACCAATTATAGTGCCCCTGACCTACTGGATGGACCAGCAGAAGGAGAGACAGGAGTACAAGATGGTAATCTGGTAATCGGGAAGCAGGACCACCTTTGTCCAAACTCCAATTGCCACTTAACAGCTATTTTTATTTATTTATTTATTTATTTATTTAGAGACGGAATCTTGCTCTGTCACCCAGGCTGGAGTGCAGTGGTGCGATCTTGGCTCACTGCAACCTCCACCTCCTGGGTTCAAGCAATTTTCCTGCCTCAGCCTCCCAAGCAGCTGGGACTACAGGCACGTGCCACCACGCCCAGCTCATTTTTTGTATTTTTGATAGAGATGGGGTTTCATCATGTTGGCCAGGATGGTCTCGATCTCCTGACCTCGTGATCTGCCCGCCTTGGCCTCCCAAAGTGCTGGGATTACAGGCATGAGACACCGCGACCGGCCTTAACAGCTATTTAAATGCAAGCAAATTACCTATGACCCATAAGAGGGGTTGGCAAACGATAGCAGGCTAAATCCAACCTGCTGCTTGTTTTTGTAGACAGAGTTATATTGTTTCCATAATGTCCGAGGCTGCTTTTAAGGTACAAAGGCAGAGTTAAGTAGCTGCGACACAGACTCTATAGCCCACAAAGCCTAAAATATTTATTATGTGGCCCTTTGCAGAAGAAATTTGCCCTGCTTTATAAACCTCAAGTGCCATGTATGGAAATGATGTCAACAACAGTCTCTCCTTCAGAGAGAGGCTGTGAACTGATGTTCAGTGAAAGAGTATATGTCACGTGCATAGGAGAGCACTTGGCAGAGTAAACACTGTTTCAAGAATCAGAAACCAGCCAGCCAAATCAGTGGCAAAAGCTACCTTTTTAAGAAAAAATGAATTTCAATTATTTTAGATGAGGCATGACCCTTGAATTTGGCTACAAGCCCCACCTTTTCTCCTTTCTTTAAAATCAGGTTGATTTCCACCTGCCTGGCTACTGTAGCCATTTAAAGACAAACATATGGATCAAAATATTAGCCATTGCTATTATTCTCTTCTTCTTTTTGGGGAGTCAGGAGGGTCAGGGTAACCCCTGGAACCAGGATAGGTTTAGAGAGACTGCCCCTTTTTTTCTTCTAAGGGGTCACTTAAAATCTCATGAATGCTCATTTCTAATTCTATGCCTACTTTTTTTGGTTGTTGTTGTTAAGTATCTCACTCTGTTGCAGGCAGGAGTGTGGTGGCAAGATCACAGCTCACTGCAACCTTGAACCCCTGAGCTCAAGTAATCCTCCCACCTTAGCCCCCTGAGTAATTGGAACTAGAGGCGTGCACTACTAGGCCCATCTAATTTTTTTTTTTTTTTTTTTTTTTAGTGTTTAGTAGAGACAGGGTCTTGCTCTGTTGCCCAGGCTGGTCTCTAACTCCTGGGCTCAAGCAATCTTCCTGCCTCAGCCTCCCAATATGCTGGTATTATACGTGTGAGCCACTGTGTTTGGCCCTAAATGTCTTTTTTAAAAAGAGAACAGTTTGCACATAGTAGAAGCGCAACACATGCAATTTAAGTTAATTAACAGCCAGCACCACTCACATGTCTGGCACTGTTCTAGGCACTGGGGAGAGTAACGTTCAGTAGGGTGGGTATAGCAGCCTCCCCCGGGGAGAAATATCTGAGCTGAGTAACTTGTGGAAGGGGTGCAGAAAAACATGTTGCTGGAGTCAAGGCCTGGGGCTGAGTGAGTTTGACCGCTTCAGCGAAAGGCAGTAAGTCAGGGGCAGCTGAAGCAACAACACGGAGAGTGTGACGTGTGACAGAGCCAGGCGAGCCAGGGGACCCTGGTGGGGTAAGGGGCTGGACTTTTCTTCTGGGTACCATGAGAAACTGCCAAATCTTTTAAACATTAAAAAAATAAAATAAAAAAAGAGAGAGAGAGATTTGACTTACTTTCTTCAAAGATCTCTCTGGGTATTCTTTGGAGAATGAATGAATGAATGAATGGTAGCCAGTTTTCTGTGTTCATTATTAAAAAGTCAACAGGGAAGGGCTTAGCAACTCAGCTGAAACCAGGAGGCACAAAAAGCCCATCTGAACCTTTCCCGTGGGGAGGGCCGGGTGTCCTCAGCTACTGTGTGCCAGACACGGAAAAAGAAAACGCCAACTGGGCGATGAGCCGACGTGGAACTGCAGCAGGTGGTGCAACCCTCCTTCCAAAACGTTCTTTTAAAAAATCTGTTGTGCAAATATTTAATTAAACTCTTGCGGTTCTAGCTAGAAATAGCCACATCTACATTCAAACATGTGGGAATCTTTCAGTGTCTACTTTAAAAGAATCTAGACAAGAGATCCTTTCCTATCACATGTTTTTGTGAATTCTAGCAGGGTAGGATGTACTTTGATGCCCAGAAGGCCTTGGCATTGCTTTTAAAATTAAATAACCATACAGACTGGAGCTCTTTGGCTGGATCTAGACGCATAATTGGTCTGTCTCATTTTGACTTGCTTGCCCAATTCATTCATTCAATTCATATTAGTTTGGCTATTACATATTTTAAAATAGTCACAATAAATGAAGTATCGTACTAGACACATCACATTACATTTTATCCTAACAAACCCCTAGTATTATTAATAATATTTAAAAAGGAAATATCACCATTTGCAACAACATGGATGAACCTAAAGGATGTTAAAGTTAAGTGAAATAAACCAAATACAGAAAGACAAATACAGAAAGACTGCATGATTTCACTTATTTGTGGAATCTAAAAAAGTCAAACTCATAGAAGCAGAGAGAAGAATGGTAGTTGTTGGGGGAGGAGGGAAGAAGGGAAAATAGAGCGATGTTAGTCAAGGGATACAAAGTTTCAGTTAGGCAAAATGACTGAATTCTGGAGACCTAAGGTACAGCATGGTGATTGTTGTTAACTGGTGACTGTATTGTATAGTGATCCTGTTGTATAACTGAAATTTGCTGAGGGTAGATCTTAAGTGTTCTTGCCACCAAAAAAAAAAAAAAAATGAAGAAAAAAGAAAGAAAATGGTGACTATGTGGAGTGATGAATATGTTAGTTAGCTTGGTTGTGGTCATCATTTTACAGAGTATGAATAAATCAAAATATCAATTTGTATAACTTAAATACATCATTTAAAGCCATATGTACAATATGTATGTAATTATTATTTGTCAATGATATCTCAATAAAGCTGGAAAAAATGCAAATGAATGAAACCATGAGAAGTGCTTAAAATCTTTCTTCTCAGGAACGATTAGATAATAGTATCATTAGTGTCAGCTCATCATTATTACTGCTATTACTGCTATATTGTTTTTGCTGTTACTAAGTCAATCAGTAGATGATGAAACTAAGGCTCAGAGATATTAAGGAACTTTCTGAGGTCAAACACCAGGGTAAGAATGGGAATCTCAGACTCTGACTAGAACCTAGAGCCATACTCTCAACCACCAGAACCTACTGGATCTACAATAATTCTCTAGTTTAAGTATATTGTAATTTGGGCCAATATTTGAACCAGTTGCCTATATGGATCCATCCTTGATGTCCCTTTAAGATTTACTACATACAAATAAGCACACACACACACACACACACACACACACACACAGCTGTCCACATAAAAACACATTCATAGTTCTAGGTACACTTAGGACTTTTAATAAATGACAATAATAGATTATGTGATAAGTGTGCTGTGTTTGGTAAGTAAAAACACCAAGAAGTTTTTTTAAAGCCTTTAAAAAATACATTACAAACCTAATAGTGTACAATAATTCTCAATAAAAAATATCCCATGATTATAATTCCCATTCATAACAATAAATTTTTTAATGTTGTCATTGTCATTTCCGTAGGGGAAAGACCTTATGTGCAAAAGCCTGGAGAATTTTCCAAGGATGTTTTCTGATTAATGTACAATTTTCTTTTTTTCCTTCTCTTTTTTTTTTTCAACAAGGTCTCAGGAAAGCAAAATAGGAGGATTATTTCAGTAGGAACATATGCAGAACTTAAAAATCTGCAAATTACTGTCAATATGGTGAATATTATTAAAAGGAAGAAAATAATGCTGACTAAACCTGCAAGCAAACAGACTGTGCTGAATACTGGGCTGTGTCACCCACTGGGAAACGCAGCATTCATTTTGCTTGTTTGGGATTTTTGTGACAGGTTCCAGGCACGCAAACAGCTTTCGCTCCACTACCTTCTACTTTCTGCCCATTGACAGCATATGCCACGAGAACCTACTCCCTGCTCTGTTCAGTGACTCAGGAACACACCAGGCTTGAGTCAGATTGCAGAATCATTCCCACTTGTCCTCTTTTGTGCTCTTTATTTAAAGTTCACTGAAGTAGAGCTGTTTGCCAAATTAATTGGCAGGCTCTGTATCCATCTTCAACCAGGCTGTTGTAAACGACAGAATCCTTTTCATTGTTATCCCTGGATAACAACCTAGGAAGCCACCACTTGCTTTAGTGATGATGGCAAGCCGGGTCATCCTGCTTCCTCAATGCCCTTGTCTAAACACCAGAGAGAAACTAGGGTAGAAGGAGGCCAACCCAAAAGCCAGCAACTTTTTTCCTACATCACATTATGCTATGGTCTGGCTGTTTGTTCATGTATTCATAGTCACATATTCATATATTCATATTCAAAATTCCTATGTTGAAACCGAATCACTAATGGGATGGTAGAAGGAGATGCGGCCTTTAGGAGGTAAGTAGGTCATGACGGTGGGAACCTCGTGAGTTAGATGAATGTCTTTATATAAGGGGCCCCAGAGACTCCCTGGCTCCTTCCATGAAGTGAAGACACAGTGAGAAGATTGTGCCTATGAACCAGGAAACGGGCCTTCATCAGACGCTACATCAGCCAGTGCCTTGATCTAAGACTTGTTAGTCTCCAGATCTGTGAGAAATAAAAGTTTGTTGTTTATAGCCACCCAGTTTATGGTATATCGTTACAACAGCCTGTAAGGACTAAGACATAGAGCCTCAATTTTATTCAACTGTCTGGCAGAGATTCCTCAGGAAAGAGAGAAGCAGACCCCAATCTAAGGGTGATCATGTGACCCAGGTGTGACAGAAGAGAAATAAAAGCAAAAATCTCTGCGGGGGCGCTGGGATAATGAGTTTCCCACCAGATAAGAGGATAGAGTTGGAAAAGAAATACTCTGCACCACTCCTCCTTGCTTTCAAATGTTTTGGTTAAAGATACCGTGCTAAGAAGTGTCAGGACTATCTTGTAACTGTGAGTGGAGGGTTTAGAGAATTACAAGAAGCTGACCTGGAGCCTAAGGTTGAACTACTGAACCATCACCAGCAAATCACCTTTCTCTAGAACTCTGTTTTATGTGAGAAAGTAAAACACTCCTTTTAAGAGCCCAGCAAGTGAATATGCTTACTGGTAGCCAAAATAATTCATGCTCTTTTTTTTTTTTTGAGACGGAGTCTTGCACTGTCACTCAGGTTGGAGTGCAGTGGCGTAATCTCGGCTCACTGCAACCTCTGCCTCCCAGGTTCAAGTGATTCTTCTGCCTCAGCCTCCTGAGTAGCTGGGACTACAGGCGTGCGCCACCACACCTGGCTAATTTTTGTATTTTTGGTAGAGACATGGTTTCACCATATTGGCCAGGCTGGTCTCGAACTCCTGACCTTTTGATCTGCCCACCTTGGCCTCCCAAAGTGCTGGGATTACAGGCATGAGCCACCACACCCAGCTAGAATTCATACTGTTATACCAGTAGAGTTGACCCTTGAACAACACAGCTTGAACAGTGCAGGTCTACTTATTCGTGAAATTTCTTCTGCCTCTGGCACCCTTGAGACAGCAAAACCAACCCCTTTTCTTCCTCCTCCTACTCAGCCTACTCAGCATGAAGATGATGAGGATGAAGATCTTTATGATGATTCACTTCCCTGTGATGAATCGTCAATTTATTTTCTTTATAATTTTCTTAATAACTTTTTTCTCCAGTTAGCTTTATTGTAAGAATACAGTATATCATCCATATAACATACAAAATACATGTTTATGGACTGTGTATGTTATTAGTAAGGCTTCCAGTCAACAGTAGGCTATCAATAGTTAAGCTTTCAGGGAATCAAAGTTATACCTGGATTTGTAGCTGCACGGGGGGTCAGCACTCCTTACCCCCCTGTTGTCCAAGGGTCAACTGTACTCTGATTTCCTGTCGTTTCCTGCCCTTTTCTAAAACCGTGTGAGATTAAATTTGCTGCAATTTCTGGTATCGATCCCGAGGAAGTGGCTCTTCCGAAGATGGCTCTTTTCCCTCTGAGGTGAGCTGAAAGTCTGAGCGGGAAGGAGCAGTGGCCACGGGCTCTGAACACTCCTGCACCTTCCTGCCGGCCATGCCAAGAATGCAAGGCCCTGACTGTTCTTGACCCAGGTAGCTTTTGAGGTTTCTGTTTGCAGTCAGAAACTTGGAGGGATGAGGTAATCTTTCCTCCTAGACAACAAGTAGGCTTACTTACTGCTCACTATTGTAACAGCAGTGAATTCCTCAAGCTCAATATTTCTCAGTTGCAATGCAAACCTGCTTGGTCCCCTCTATGCAGACAACCCTGGTCCTCCCAACCATGAGACTTGGAGGGCAGTAGGAGCCAACACAAACATGAGGCTCATGATATTTACCATGCATAATACAGTCTTTTGTTTCTGACCCAAAAGCATCATGTCTTCTGCCAGCTGTATCAGACTTTGTCTACAAGTAGGATAAAACCTCAGACCCTTTATAGTCTTGACAGGCCTGTGGAGCAAAATTTCCTCCTTAGATGAGAGTCAGATGCTTTCGTACCCTGAGCCTGTGGTCTTCACTCCCAACATCCCTTCTGTGAAAATCTACAGCATCTGTTTCCTTGAAGTCATTGTAATGGGCCACTTAAGAGCATATTCTTTGAAGGTTCACTGAGTTAGTGTAGGATCTGCCACTTACCAACTAGACGACCATGTGAAACTTTTTAAATATCTCTCAGCTCTAATTTCCTCATCTGAAACATGGGAATAATAATAGTACCTTTTCAAAATATCATTGTGAGTTTTAATATTCTTCATGCACGAGTGCAACATCTAAATGAATTGTAAGCAATCTCTATGGCTTCCCTTAGGTCTAAACCACTGCATCTCTTTCCTATCTGATGGCCACAGTCACCTGACCAGTCTCCCTGGTTCCCTCTTGCCCTATATTGATTCATTTTTCACACAGCAGCCAGAATAACATTTTAGAAATTAGATTGTGTCTTCTCGCCCCTAATCCCTCCAACAGAATAGAAGTACATGACAACTCCTAACTGTGGCCTTTGAAACCCTACATGTTTTCCCTGTGTATCTTTTCAGCCTGATCCAAAAATCTCCCCATTTTTATTCTGCTCCATGAACAGCCCAAATTCATCCTTGCCTCTGGGCACCTACAATTTTTTTTTTTTTGAGACAGAGTCTCACTCCATCACCCAGGCTGGAGTGTAGTGGTATGATCTCAGCTCACTGCAACCTCCATCTCCTGGGTTCAAACGATTCTCCTGCCTCAGCCTCCTGAGCAGCTGGGAATACAGGTGTGCACCACCATGCCCAGCTAATTTTTTTTTTTTTTGTATTTTTAGTAGAGAGGAGGTTTTGCCATGTTGGCCAGGCTGGTCTTGAACTCCTGACCTCAAGTGATCTGCTCGCTTTGGCCTCCCAAAGTGCTGGGATTACAGGTGTGAGCCATTGTGCCTGGCCTTGCTCCTACTATTACTGCTATAAAGAAGGCCCTCTCTGTGGATCCTTGCATAATTCACTACTGTTCATCATTCCGGTCTATGATAAGATGCATTCCTTTGAAAAGACTTCATCGTATTGCTCTATCAAGATTTGTCCCTACCATTTATTTTATATCTTTGTTTTTTTATGGAATTACCCAAAATTATTACGTTGTGTTTACTTAGAAATTTTTATTTTTGTTTTTCTCCTTCCAATTAGGATGTGAGTTCTTTTTCTTGTTAATTGCTGTAACTTTTGCACTAAGAAGGGTGCCTGGAAAAGCTATATTGCTAAATGAATAAATGAATGAATGAATGAGTTATGCTTATACCATGAGGATATTAAAGAAGCAAATGTTTATACTCATTAAAAGAAGCAACAGTTTATGAACATTAAATGTCTCAAGGCAGGACTTTGCTACAAAAACTGATAATCCCCAGGTCTTTCCCAGATCCATGTTTATTTGTAGAAATCCAGTGGTTTATGAACAATATTATACCTTAACATTTTTTGCAATGTTTAAACTACATATATACCGTATTGAGGGAATTCTTACACCTTAAAACATGACCCTTGTGAATTTAGCCAAAAATTCCCTGGAGATGGGATTGTTTTTAATCATACACATGCCTCTGACATCTGTGCCCACAAGGACTCAGGCTCTGTGGATTGCAGAACACTCTGATAGACTCAGAAAGCCCAAAAAACATCTAGGGAAATAAACACGTTGTTGACCTAAATACAAATAGTTTTTTTCAGAATATGGGCTTTTCACAGGCATTTATGGCTCAAAATGACATTTCCTATGTATAGTAATGTATTTCACAGGAAATGCCTAGTTTTAGGACTATCATCTAAAATGCACTTTCCTTGTCATTGGAAAATAGCTTTATGTGTAGGGGAGGGGGTTTAAAAAGTCATGACACCCTGCAAGATGCAGTTTTTAGTCTTGATTCTTACCAAATATTCAGTGCCCAAAATATATTGTTTTAATATCCTAGGGGAAATCTGGCTAGATATTTCCTATTACAACTTTTCTGCAATAACCAGGCTTTGGATGCTAATGTATTAATGTAATGAAACTACACGCTGGTTTGTAAATGTTCAGTCTATAAGCAGCTTATTACCAGTTCATACAAAATCTGAAAGAATCATTGCATTCTTCACAATGTCTATCACAGTTATTGGCCAAGAGTGTATGTTTCTTAACACAAATGTATTAATGTATTGGTTATAAGAATAAGAAAAATATTTTTATTATGAAAAAGCAATATGTTAGCATTAACCTATCATATAGAAATGAAGGCAAATTCGAATAGTCTATTTTAGTAAGTGTATCATATTGAAAAGAATAAGAGAGGCAAGAAGAACTACGCAGGTTAAAAATAGGCGTTTCTTTTTCTTTTTTTTTTTTTATTTCAATAGGTTTTGGGGGAACAGGTGGTGTTTGGTTACATGAATAAGTTCTTTAGAGGTGATTTCTGAGATTTTGGTGCACCCACCACCTGAACAGTACACCTGTACCCAGTGTGTAGTCTTTTATCCCTCACCCTCTCCCACCCTTCCCCCCAAGTCCCCAAAGTCCATTGCATCATTCTTATGCCTTTGCGTCCTCATAGCTTAGCTCACACTTATAAGTGAGAACATGCAACGTTTGGTTTTCCATCCCTGAGTTACCTCACTTAAAATAATGGTCTCCAACTCCATCCAGATAGCTGCAAATGCCCTTTTTTTGTTCCTGTTTATGGCTGAGTGGTATTCTATGGAGTGTGTGTGTATGAGTGTGTGTGTGTGTGTGTGTGTGTGTGTGTGTGTGTGTATATATATATATAATCACATCATATTTTCTTTATCCACTCATTGATTGATGGGCATTTGGGCTGGTTCTATATTTTTGCAATTGCAAATTGTGCTGCTATAAACATGTATGTGCAAGTGTCTTTTTCATATAATGACTTCTTTTCCTCTGGGTAGATACCCAGTAGTGGGATTGCTGGATCAAATGATAGATCTACTTTTAGTTCTTTAAGAAATCTCTGACTGGGTGCGGTGGCTCATGCCTGTAATCCCAGTACTTTGGGAGGCCAAGGCAGGCAGATCACCTTAGGTCGGGAGTTCGAGACTAGCCTGACCAACATGGAGAAACCCCATCTCTACGAAAAATACAAAATTAGCCAGGCGTGGTGGTGCATACCTGTAATCCCAGCTACTAGGGAGGCTGAGGCAGAAGAATCGCTTGAACCCGGAAAGCAGAGATTGTGGTGAGCCGAGATCATGCCATTGCACTCCAGCCTGGGCAACAAGAGCAAAACTCCATCTCAAAAAAAAGAAAGAAAGAAAGAAAGAAATCCCCATACTGTTTTCCATAGTGGTTGTACTAGTTTACATTTCCACCAGCAGTGTAAAAGTGTTCCCTTTTCCCCAAATCCATGCCAACCTCTATTCATCTATTTTTTAAAAATTTGAAACTATGGCCATTCTTGCAAGAGTAAAGTGGTATTTCATTGTGGTTTTGATTTGCATTTCCATGATAATTAGTGATATTTAGCATTTTTTCATATGTTTTTGGCCATTTGTATGTCTTCTTTTGATAACTGTCTTTTCATATCCTTAGCCCACTTTTTGATGGGATTATTTGGCTTTTTACTTGCTGATTTCTTTGAGTTCCTTGTAGATTCTGAACATGAGTCCTTTGTTGGATGCATAGTTTGCTAATATTTTCTCCCACTTTGTGAGTTGTCCGTTTACTCTGCTGATTATTTCTTTTGCTATGCAGAAGCATTTTAGTTAAATTAAGTCCCATCTATTTCCTTTGTTTTTGTTGCATTTGGTTTTGGGTTGTTGGCCATGAAGTCTTTGCCTAAGCCAATGTCTAAAAGGGTCTTAGATTTAAGTCTTTGATCCATCTTGAGTTGATTTTTGTATGAGGTGAGAGATGTGAATCCAGTTTCATTCTTCTGCATGTGGCTTGTCAATTATCTCAGCACCATTGTTGAATAGTGTGTCCTTTCTCCACTTTATGTTATTGTTTGCTTTGTCAAACATCAGTTGGCTGTGAGTATTTGTCTTTATTTCTGGGTTCTCTGTTTCTCTGTTCTGTCACATTGGTCCATGTGCCTATTTTTATACCAGTGCCATGCTGGTTTGGTGACTGTAGCTTTATATTATAGTTTGAAGTCAGGTAATGTGACACCTCCAGATTTGTTCTTTTTGCTTAGTCTTGCTTTGGCCATGTGGGCTCTTTTTGGTTCCAAAAACTACGGGCTTATTTCTCTTTTATTTAACGGAAGGCCTGAAGGTAGATAGTCTAGATAATGCAGATTATTCTTACATCTCAGTCTCCTATTTTTCAGTTTTTACTGTTTCTAATGTATGGCTTTGTTCTCAAGCTTGCATCATGATAACTATATGGCTGCTGCTGTTCCAGCCATTACATCTACATTCTAGCAAGGAAAAAGGAGAATGGACAAAAGAGTACTGAAAGTTAAGTTCTTTAGGTGTTTCTTAGGAAGTTCTAGCCAGAGACTTCCATTCGTAGCTCACTGGGCCTGACCTTGCCATATGGCAAGACCTATCTTCAAGAGATGATGGGAAACATACACTTTTAGTGGATATGTTGTTGTCCTCATCAAAACCATGGCTTGTCTTAGTAAAAAAGTAGAGTTGAAGAATTATTGAGCAGGCCACTTCTGCCCTAATAAGGTATAATAAGCCTCAATTTCCTTTAATACTGAAGACAGACATACAAGATTGTTTGGATCAGAAATGGAAGATAAGCATTTTATATGGTATAATTTATTACTTTAAATTCCTGTAACACTATAGATTTATTCTCAAATACTTTGAAAAATCGAACACTTAAATTCAGGGCTTTTATCTAAAACATGGAAATGGAATAATGGAGCAAGTCAAATATCAATATTATCATTTTAGCTGTTTAATAATGATGGCTATTGAATGCTAAACATTTAATAGTAAAGGTAGTATGATATGGAAGTTACTACTAAATTATTAGATATTGTGGCCCACCTGGTGAGCTTAAATATAATTTTAAAAATAAATCTAACAGTGAAAATTATTTAGAAGGGTTGATTTTGAAAGTGGACATTGTCACTCAGCACCATTGATTGGATGGCGATCATAATGGTGGTGGGAATGATGATGCTCATGGTGGCAGGTGTGATGATGAAGATGTGGTGTTGGTTTCAGGTGTGGTGGAGATGGTAGCTAACATAAAATTGGAGCCTAATATATGCCCATCCCTCTTGTAAGCACTTTACACATACCACCTCATTGAAGACTCACATCCATCCTGTGAAACAAATAAAATGTTTTACTCCATTTTATAGATGAGTGAAGAGAATAAGTAATAACCCGAGGATATTTGCTTAGTTAGAAATTGAAGTCTGACTCCAGAGTCTGGCTCTTAATTCCCATATTATACTACCTCTCTGACGGGATGAGGAAGGAAAGAGCGAAGAGGATGATGAAGATCTGAACCTTCATCACAATCTACCAATCTAAATTGGTAGATTTTTATCCATCTTGCTCTGCCCTCACTTAAAGACTCGTCAAGACTTGTCTGCCTTTCCCTGGTACTGGAACAATAAGAAAACCCATAGATGAACCAGGTCAAGAGAGAACCTTTATTAGTGTGTATATGAAGACACCAAATGCATCAAGAAAGACAACATATGGAGAACCACATTCTGGGATTGAAATTGGTGAATATTAGGGCCCTTTTTGTGGTTTACAATAACCAGTGAACACATATGGTCCTTTTTGTGATCCCTTTCAGATACAAGGGGTCTTCAAAAAGGTCATGAAAAATATGTATTATGAAAAAGCTATGTATGAATTTCAATTTTTTTTTGCACCAAAATAAAATTGTACTAATTTGTTATCAAATGTCTGAACGGGATCTATTTGGAGGCACTAAGAATGGTAAGACATCAGTTTGAAAAAGAGCCCCATCAGAGAAACATGAATTCTGCTAAAATTGAAGCAAGAACAAACATTGATCATAAAGCTTCTGTGGAAGAATGGTGAAATCACTGATGCTTCATGCAAAGTTTATGAGGACAATCCCCTAAAGAAATCAGCAGTTTACAAATGGACAAGTTGTTTTAAGAAAGGACAAGACAATATGGAAAATGGAGCCTGCAGTGACAGGCAATCCACATCAATTTGCAAGAAAAACATTCACCTCATTTGTGCCCTAATTGAAGAGGACTGACGACTAACAGCACAAACAACAGCCAACACCATAGACATCTCAATAAGTTCAGCTTACAAAATTCTAACTAAAAAATTAAAGTTGAGCAGACTTTCCTCTCAATAGGTACCAAAACCGTTGCACCCAGATTAGTTGCAGCAAGAGTAGAGATTTCAATGAAAATTTTAAACAAGTGGGATCAAGATCTTGAAGCATTTTTTGAAAGAATTGTAACAGGAAGTGAAACATGACTTTAAAAGTACAATCCTGAAGACAAAGCACAATCAAAGCAATGGCTACGAAGAGGTGGAAGTGGTCCAGTGAAAGCAAAAGTGGACCAGTCAAGAGCAAAGATCATGGCAACAGTTTTATAGGGGATGCTCAAGGCATTTTGCTTGTTGACTTTCTGGAGGGAAAAATAATGATAACATCTGCTTATTATGAGAGTGTTTTGAGAAAGCCAAAATTTTAGCAAAAAAAAATACCCAAGAAATCTTCACCAGACGGTCCTTCCCCATCAAACTAATGGTCCTGTTCATTCCCCTTATTTTAAAAAGGCAATTTTTAAAGACTTTCAATGGGGAATCAACAGGCATCCATCTAAGAGTTCTTTTTTTTTTCTTTTTTTTCTTTTTTTGAGATAGGGTCTCACTCTGTCACCAAGCTAGAGTCCAGTGGTGTGATCACAGCTCACTGAAGCCTCAACTACTTGGCCTCAAGCAATCCTCCCACCTCAACCTCCCAAGTAGCTGGAACTATAGGCACATGCCACCATGCTCAGCTAATTTTTTAATTATTGGCAGAGATAAGACTTCACTGTGGTGTCCAGGCTGGTCTCAAACTCCTCGGCTTGAGCAATTCTCCTGCCTTAGCTTCCCAAAGTGCTGGGATTACA
This sequence comes from Homo sapiens, assembly GCF_000001405.40. Taxonomy (NCBI): domain Eukaryota; kingdom Metazoa; phylum Chordata; class Mammalia; order Primates; family Hominidae; genus Homo; species Homo sapiens. The sequence goes on along the minus strand of NC_000020.11, from coordinate 54,422,111 downwards.
GGCATGAACCACCATGCTCTGCCAACTTAGAGTTCTGATTTGGCTCTTCTGACTTTTACCTGTTGCCTAATCTTTATAAAACCTGTAAATGGTACCCACTTTTCTTCAGTTAATAATGTAAAAAAGATTGCATTGATATGGTTAAATTCCCAAGACCCTCAGTTCTTTAGGGATGGACTAAATGGCTGGTATCATTGCTTACAAAATTGTCTTGAACTTGATGGAGGCTATGTTGAAAATTAACGTTTGTATTTTTTATTTTTATATTTTAATTCAATTTTTCCATAAACTTTTTGAAGTCCCCTCATATTTAGAACATCCAAAAGTCAACTTTGTATCACAACTAGGACATTATTGCGATGGGCACTGGTTTTGAGGAGGGAGCAATATTTAAGCAAGGATTACTTTTTGAAGTAGTTTATTCATTGTTGTGTTTATACTATATAAAATTATTATATCACTTTTACTTTCTCCTCAACCACAGATTCCTGATAAAGAAATCTCAGATATGACATGTGAAGATCCTCATATGTTAATGGAAAATAAGAAACTTGTTTTTAACTTGCATTGTTTGATTAATAATGTACCATAGATATGTTCCATTTTATTATATATCATTGTACATAATCAATATTGTATATATTGTGAGCTAATATATATTGTGAGGATATACTATTATACATTTAACAATGCATGCTGCTAGACTCATTGACTCTAAAAAATTAAGTTGTTATTAATGATGCTGCATTACATACATTTATAATTAAATCTTTGCCCAAATCTTTAATTATTTTAGATAATATGTTTCTGAAGCATGAAATTATCATGGTAAAGGATTTGCGTGTGGTAGGAAAAATTCTAAATACGTAGTTTTAAATTAGCATTTATTGAAAAATTGCCTTCACAGACTTCATAGCTGCACTGGAACTTGAATCTCAATTTATCATCATTGGCTCTTCTATCCCAGCTACGTATTTTTGCTACAGAAAATGGAAGCTCCTCAGGCCGGCTATCCTCCTGTGAACACTTTTTATCCAAGTACTGTTTTATGTTTCTCTACCTCCTTCTTCTTCCCCTCTTCCAAAACCTTGCGCTCCTTGGAAAACCAGTTAAATCACTACCATGCATCCCCCTACTTCCTCAATCTACCTCCTTATCATCTGTTCTATTTATTGGTATCAACTGGAGTCTTTGTATTTCTGTAGACCATTGAAGGAGAGTGATACTTTCTTCCACACCCCAGTTTCCACAGGCCAAGCCATGGCTCAGCACTGTCCTAGCCTCTCTCCAGCCATTACACCACATCCAGATGTAAAAGTACCCTTTCCTTTAGGAGTCATAGCATCTGGTATCTGTCCAATTGTCTCACCTTCTTTCCTTAATAACCTTGCCTCACACAGAAGCCAGAGTCATGTCACTCTTTGTCTAAAAAACCGGACGGCCCCCATTACCCACAGAGTAAAATCTGAAATCCTTACCACGGCCGGTGAGGCCCTAAAATATTTATGCTCCATTCTCATTTATTGTTATTCTCCAAGTACACTCCAACCTCAGAGCTTGAAGGTCACACTTTCATCTGCTGGAACACACTTCTGACAGATGGCTCACTCTCTTACCTCCTGAAAGCCTTGGCTTAAGCATCCTCTTATCATAGACATCTCCTCTTTCTACCCTCACCTCCTTCTCTGCTTTTTTATCCCCACTTTATTCTTTTTCATAGTCCTTGTGCCCCCAGCCAACCCACGGCATGTATGAAATGGCACTTATCCATGAAAGCAGAAGCATTTTTTTGTTTTATTCAATGGTGGATCTCCAGTGTCATCAGTCTCTGGCACAGAAAGGGTGCCAATCAATATCCATTGTATAAATAAATGAAGAAATGGTTATCTACTTATCCTATGGCCTCTCATCCACACTTATTTTACATTTTGACACTCTCTCCCTCTCTATGCTATAATTACCTTCATTTTCTTGTCTTGCAAAATAGACTATATACTTCCTAAAGGTAAGGAGTCTATTCTATTTTTCTCTCATCTAAACTTAGGAAGAACCTGACACATGAAAGATACTCGGGAAAATATTTGTTGAACTGAGCTACTCTCCCTTTCAGACCCTTTCTTATCTTCCCTGTTCTACTCTTCCAATTTTGCAGAGAAACTAAAGCCCACTGAAGTTCAGAGAATTTCCCAAGCTGGTGAATGGCTGAGCCATGACTTTAAACTCAAGTATTGCTCCAAGTCTAGTTCTTTTTTTTCTTTTAATCTTGTTTTTCCTACTAATGGCCTATCCTAATCTTGAAGTGATATATATAGAAGCTTCTAGCATTATGCACATGCTGTGAATGTTTGAGACCTTGGGATCCTTAATTTGTCAAATGTTTGGAAGAAAAATATACTGCTCTAATTATAGAATGCAGATGGCTCTTTGAAAACTTACAAACTATGTCATTTAGCAAAGTAGAACATAAGAGAAACATGCTTTATAAAGTGGCCTTATTTTCTTAAAGGGACAATTTTTGTGAATCTTACTTCAAAAGACATAAACAGGATGCCTACACAATCTTGATTATAAGAATACCTTAAGTAATCCCATTAAACACTGGTTACAATAATTTTAACCCTCAATTATAAAAGTGGGTCTTTCTAATTATAGGCAACATTCAGCATTTGGGACCAAGTTATTGCTGGTTATGTAAGTTGCAGATCCAACCAAAGCCAAATATACCCTAGCTGGATTTTACCCCACATTTTAAAATTTCCAATTATATTGTGATAGCATCAGCACTGCCCTCTGCAAAAATTTAAAACCTCCTGGCTCAAATTAACCTACAGGGAAACTTCCAGAAGCAAGGGAAAAAAATGTGAATGAGGACGTGCTTCAGTATCAAAGCCAAATATCCTGAGGAAAAGCTCTTAAAAACACAAGTAGCCACGAACAATGGGATTCTTTATTTCTTTATGAATTTCCTAGAAGTGACCCAAAGTTTCCCAGTTCTTCCATTTCCTCTACGGAATGCCCAATAACCATAACCATCATAGTGAAACATGTTATCACAATTCCCATTTCACCCACAAAGCATGGCACAAAGAAAGTGAAGAGAGTAAATAACTGAATCAATTAATTAATTCCACAAATATTTATTGAGCAGTGAATAAGACCAAAGATCCTACCTTTGGGTTGGTGCCATGCACCTATAATCCCAGCTACTAGGGAGGCCAAGGCAAGGGGATTGCTTGAGCCCAAAAGTTCAAGACCAGCCTAGGCAACACAGCAAGACCCTTGTGATGGTTCATACAGAATGTCAACCTGATTGGATTGAAGGATGCCAAGTATTGTTCCTGGATATGTCTGTGAGGGTGTTGTCAAAGGATATTAACATTTGAGTCAGTGGCTTGGGAAAGGCAGACCCCTCCTTAATCTGGATGGGCACCATCTAATCAGCTGCCAGTGCGGCCAGGATATAAAGAGGGCAGAAAAACCTAAAAAGGCTAGAGTGGCTTAGCCTTCCAGCCTACATCTTTCTCCTGTGCTGGATGCTTCCTGCCCTTGAGCATCAGACTCCAGGTTCTTCAGCTTTGGGACTCGGACTGGCTCTCCTTGATCCTTAGCTTGCAGATGGCCTATTGTGGGACCCTGTGATCATGTAAGCTAATACTACCTAATAAGTTCGGATATATATATATATATATATATATATATATATATATATATATGTCCTATTAGTTCTGTCCGTCTAGAGAAACCTGATGAATATAACCCTGTTTCAACAACAAAAAATAAAACCAAAGATCTCACCTTTGTAGAGTTTATATTCTAATTGTCATTAACTGATTATAAAATCCACTCAAGAGGATTTTAAAATTAAGCTTGTCAACTATCTAACATGGTGAAAAAAAGACTGATGCTTAAAGTATAAATTCACTAGTTTCCCAACATTTTGGATGTGAAGTGACTTCAGGTGTTGAACTTTTTTACAAAAAACTAATGCCTTTGTTTTCATATGTATCTGAAAAATATTGTTTCTCCTTTTAAGCCAGTGACATATTATATTTGTATTAATTTATATATAATATATTCACATATATATTTACATACGAAAGGAAAAAAGAGGACGTTTCCATTTAAAGAAAAGCATTAAATAAGTAAGAATAGAAATAATATGATACATGGATATGGCAAAACTTGGGAAGATGACACATAAATGACCAAAGTTTTGCAAAGACTAATCTCTTCAGAAAGTGATTTTAATGTACAGAGTTCCAAATTGCAGGTATGCAAATGCTTGACATTAGAAAAAACTGCTTAACTCTAGAGGGCTTATTTTATCAAACACAAGAATTCATATATATATATGAACATATACATATGCGTATATGTTGAAATAATTATGCAATATTGATTAGGGGCTTATTACATTCCAGGCATTGCTGTAAGCATTTCACATATTTTATATCCTTAATACACACAGCAAAATTATAAAATAGATAAAATTATTGCTTTCATTTTGCAGTTTAAGAAACTGGCACAATAAGAAAAAGTAATTAGAAGTGTAAGAATTAGAAAAAAGGAGGCAAAACTATGCCTATTTTCAAATGATGTGTTTTTTTTCCAGAGGTGAAAATACTTTAAATTTTTCATTTCTTAATTTTTTAATTTTAGTTTTTATTTATTTAGAATTTTAACTTTTATTTTAGATTCTGGGGTACATGTGCAGGTTTGTTACCTGGGCATATTGTATTACTCTGAGGTTAGGGGTACAATTAATCCTATCACCCAGGTACTGAGGGTGGTATCTGTTCATTCGTTTTTCAACCGTTAGTCCCCAGTTTCCATCATTGCCATCTTTATGTTAGATGACATATTTATATATCTGGAAAACCTAAACACAACAGTGGAAAATTTCTACAGACAATAAAATAGTATATTAAAGTAGCAGGTATAAAATCAACATACTAAAACCAATAGCTTTTACATGTACAGCAGGTCTTTGAATAATGTTGTTGCTTCCTTTAGTGCTGTTTCGCTATGTTGATGAGAAAAAATAATCAGTTCCCAGCTGGGGCCACTGTCTGTATGGAGTTGGCACATTCTCCCTGTGTCTGCGAGGGTTTTCTTTGGCTACTCAAGTTTCCTCCCACGTCTCACAGCTGTGCTCATTAGGTGAATTGGCCTGACTATGGTCCCAGTATGAGTGGGTGTTGGGTGTATGTAAGTGCGTTCTGTGATGGGATGGTGTCCTGGGCAGGTTGGGTCCCACCTGGTGCCCTGAGCTTTGGGGACAGGCTCCAGCCAACTGAGACCCTGAACTGGAATCATTGAATAAATAATTGTCTTACTTGTTTTTATTAATCTTTCTTAAATGTATGTATAGCTCACATTTGTTTCAGTGCTTAATATTAGAAATGTTTTGATCTTTATTTTGAAGTTTGGTTATGTTTTTGTGACCAGAAATTTGCTGTAGGAACTTAGTCACCATTTATATCAACCAGCCTATGATCAAATTGGTTTCATTATATGTTGTTTCGGTTGAAGTTTCCAAGAACCTACTGATGATACTAAGTGAGGACTTACTGTATATAAGTTGATAAACTGTAGAAGATATAATGAGAGAGAAGAAAAATAAAGATAAATGAGTGAATAACATAGAAGTAAACTTAACAAGAAACGTTCAAGAACTATTAAGAAAACTATAAAATACTCCTGAAGGACACGAAAATTAACTTGAACAAAAAAAAAGAGACAGTGTCATTTGAAGAAATGGTATTATAAAAATGTCAATTCTCTGTAACTCGATTTATAAATTCAACAATCATTCCAGTAAAAATACAAAAACATTTTTTGGAGCTAGACAAGTTTATTATAAAGCTTATTTGGCCAATCAAAGAAGCAAAAACCATCAGGAAAACCCTTAAAAAAAAAGAATAATGGTGGAATGGGAAATAGCCAGTCCTACCAGATATTAAAACATATATAAAGCCTTTCCAATAAAACAATGTGATATTGGTGCATGGGTGGATATAGAGAACAATGAATCAGAAGAGAAATCCAGAAATTAATCCAATTGGATAAACAAATTTAGTACACACAAAAAAATCAGTATTTTAACTCAATTGGGTAAAAAGGGATGTTTTCATAAGTGATGTTCAAATAATTGGATTACTCTATGGAAAAATATAAAGTTAGATATAATTCTCAAACTGTGTGCAATGATGATTTCCAAATGGTCAAAGATTTACATGTAATGAAAAAAATGAAACAATACAAATATTAATATAAGGAAACATTGATGAATCTCTCTATAAATTATGATAAAGGTTTCCTAATAATAATTCAAAGTCCGCATGCAAAAAAGGAAAGGACTCTGAATTTAGTTACTTAAAAATAAACTTTTGCACTATAAGCAAACTAAAAATGTAAATTACAAAACAGGAAAAAAATATGTGCAATTTATATACCCTTAAGACAGAAAAAGACTCTAAAAAAAAGTTCAACAATTCTATGAGAAAAACAAGCAATGGATATGAACAGATGGTTCACAGTAAAAATACAAATATACTTTAACATAATATAAGGTGCTCAAACTGGACTCATAAATAAGACGCTAGTTAAAAATCACTTGGAAAGGAGAGAATCAATAGCAGATCTGTGACTCCCTGCCTCTCACTCTGGGAGGATTAACCTTAAACAGATCTCCTTTTAAACTTTCTAAAGCTTTTACCAAGATACACCAGGTTTGTCTACCATGTTTGTCATAAATGGCCCAGAATTTATTAACATATAGAGCAGAGCTAGTGGCAGAATGGAAGCTGGGTTGCATAGACTGTCTCTCTGCATGACTAACAAGAGAATAAAAACAAAGAAGCACCAAAGTGTTTAAAGCTTCCTCTGAGCTGATGTATATCACACGTATTGTTAGTATTTGTCTTACTTTGACATCAAAACATGTTCCAATGTGAGAAAGAGAACTATTTTTCTGGAAGCTGCATCTGATGGGTTGGGGTCCCTATAGAGAAGCATGCTGTGTCTTTGTTGCTACTTGCTTTAGTTTTTGAATCATTAGTGTAGTCTAGTGGTAGGTAACATCTGACTTGCTTGAGTTGCTCTGACAATCTGCCATTTTGTGGTAAAGGAGATATTATTGCCTGCCTATTAGGGTGACAAAAATCATCTCTTGGTTTTGCTGTGGGGAGAGAAGCATGTTTAAACGTTGCTGGTTAGAAAACAAAATGGTATGTGGAATGTAGCAAGGTAGGACACAATTATCTATGCAGCTACCCTTTGATCTAGTGCTCTGCTCCCTCTTTTGGGAATCTATCCAAAAAATATAGCTCTAAAAATATTTTTTAAAAAGCCATATGTACAAGGCTATTCATTGAAGTCCTATCTAAAACAGCAGAAGATTGGGAACAACCCATACGTCCACTGGTAGACAACCAATTTAATAAGCAGTGGAATGTGCACACCATGTAGGACTATGCAAATGCTTAAAAGAGGGGAATATCTTAATACTCTTCCATGGAGTGATTTCCTGAATATATTTTTAAGTGAAAAAGCAAGGTATAGAACAGTATATAGTATCCACATATTATCTAAGGAATGGGCATTATACAAATGCATATACACATTTGTTTATCTTATAATCAATGAAAGGACAAATTAGAACATGAAAAATAATAGGTTATCCATAGGGTAAAGGAAGAAACGGGTCAAGAGGCAGAGATGTAAGCTAAACTTCCCTGAGTATGTCTTGATTTAAGTTTCACAGTTTTAAAACAAAAATGAAACAAATACTTAAAAAAAGCAATCCCTAAAATAAAAAGTGAAATAAAACAAGTCAGCCTAATGGGTATTGATTGGTATCTCAACCACTCAGAGAAAAAATATTTTAAGTGACTTTAAAACATGGTAATTTGATTGTATATCCTTAATAGGTTACATTATAAGGGCAAAATTATTTTAGTAATAACTGGTATTTTTTTCTCTCTCACACATATATGTCTATGTGATTAATCATACATATATACAAATGATTATAGTGGTATCATTCTGACACACATTCACATGCATGCACATATATGATTAATCATATGCACCTGGATACGTAAACATGATTAAAATTAAAGAATAAGTACTGGACACCTAATACATAACATGGTGACTATAGTTAATAATGACATACACTTCATATATGCTGAAAGTAGATTTCATGTGCCTTCACGCACACACAGACACGCGCACACACACACACACAAAATAGGTAACTATTTGAGATGATGGTTGTGTTAATTAGCTTGATTTTAGTAATCATTTCAAAATATAAATGTATATCAAAATATCAAGTTGTACACCCTAAATGTATGCAATTTTTGTCAATCACACCTCAACAAAGCTGAAGAATTAAAACAAAAAGGTAATTATGTTAATATCATTAGGAACCAATTTTTCTAGCATAAAAGTAAAACTACATGTTAAATCAAAGAATCAAGTAATAACCTTGAAACCATAAATTTAATTTGCTAATAGCAGTAGAAACCCATTACGCATTTTTTTCTTAGGAAGCAAGCATATTTCCTGTCTCTGCCCAATGAAAACACCAATAAGCAAAGACCAGCTCTGTATTACTAGGTAACTCCAGCACCTAGACTGTGCTCTTTGAATGTCATTTTCCTCTGAGAAGAACCAGGGCTCTTGGGAGAAATGGGGGATCCTGGGTCTGGGGCAGTGAAAATGTAGGATGAATTAGAAGCATCCTGTAGGGTAGGAAATCCAGAAAGCTGTGAGACTCCTGAAATTATGTCAAAAAGACTCAGGAGCCAACATGAAGGAGCTCCCCTTGGCCAAAGATAAAAAGAACTGAGTCTCAAAACAAAACAAAACAAAAAGAAGATTGAAAAACAAATGTGTTAAAAAATACACTCATAATACAGTAGTCCTCCCTTTTCTGAAGACTATATATGCTGTTGTTTTCATCTGATGACCAAGAGGGCTTCTCAGTTACTCAAAGGGTCGGGGGACAGTGTGAAGATGCTGGAAAAAGGGATAATTCACAACTGCCCAGGATGGAGCCGAAACAGAATGAGATTTCATCACACTCCTCATGGGAAGCTCCTTCATGTTGGGTCCTGAGTCTTTTTGACATAATTTCAGGAGTCTCACAGCTTTCTGGGTTTCCTACCCTACAGGATGCTTCTAATTTATCCTACATTTTCACTGCCCCAGACCCAGAACTCCTCCTTTCACTGCACTCCTCAGAACGGTGTGCAATTTAAAACTTATGAATGGTTTATATCTGGAAATTTTCATTTCCAGATCATATTTTCAGATCAAGGCTTAATATGGGTAACTGAAACTTGGAAAGTGAAACCACGGAAAAGGAGGAGAACTATTTTATTACTAAAAAATAATGCTAAGACCAAACCAACAAACCAAAGAAACCTAATTTGTCAACTTTTTGGAATTCCAGTGAATAAAGACGGAAACAAACATGCATTTGTCCTGCTATCCAGGTGTGGACTGTATCTCAAGGTAACCATACAATAGCTCAGGGGAGGTTTTCAGCACAGAAGGGTTCCAGGCAGGTAACGCATGTAGGAGTTACCACCTTCCAACTCCTACTAAAATAGTAGATCGAGGGCTGCAAAAGTCATGAGGTGAAAAGCTAATGAGGAACACTTACTAATAGATGGATTGGGCTGACAATACTTAAACCCACTCATCAGCCATGGCCTGGAAGAAGCAGAGCACCAGACATTCTGGGCCTCCTGGCAGGATACACATAGCACCACCTATGGCCTAGGTAGCATCCTTGGAGTGGGAAGAGGACTTGACTCGATTTTCAAAAAAATCAAAGGACAGAGTGATGTATTAAATGATACAGGGTGCAATCAACCAAATTCAGGATGGCGATTTTACAGAACAATCTAGTTGTCCCAACAAATAAATTGCAAGAGTGAGGGTTGGAGAGAGGGATATGAACTTGCACATTAAGAGAGATTTAAGAGACATATCAATCAAATGTGATGTGTGGACCTTGTTTGGATCCTGATTTGAAAGACAATGTGTATGATGTGATCGAGAAAATTGGAACACTGGCTAGTTTATAAAATTAAAGAATTATTATTTTTTGTGTGTGATGATGGTGCTATGGTTATGATAAATTTTAGAGGTACCCAAGGAAGGGCTGACAGATGAAAATAGTATGAAATCCAGAATTAACTTCAAAATAACCCAATAGTTGAGGCATAAAGGGGAAAGGGACGTCCTTTAAACAAAAACCACATTTGACCATGAGTTGATAATTACTGAATCTGGTTGACAGATACATGGGGAATTTATTACTCTCTGCACTTTGATGTGTGTTTAAAACTTTCCAAAATAAGCTAGTACACACATACACACATACACACATAGACAGAGAAAAAGGCACAAAGATGTTAACTAACTTCCCAAGGTCAAACAGCTAGTAAGTTCTAGACCTGTTAACCACTACGAAAATTAAAATATATGTTAAAATTCTTAAAAAATTTGAGGACAGTAACTAGGTCTTATCATTAAAAAAAAAATTACCGGGTCTTAGAAGAGTATTTGGCACAAATTTACCCAATAAAGCTTTGTTGCATGAAACATTGCCTGTGCCCTGTCTTGTTCTGAATAGGACTTTCCATTTATTTAGATCTTCTTTAATTTTTTTAACAATATTCATAGTTTTCAGAGAATAACTTTTGTACTTCTTTTGTTAAATTTATTTCTAAGTATTTTATATTTTTTGATGCTATTGTAAATGGAATTGTTTTGTTCATTTTCCCTTTGGGTTTTTAATATATAGAAATATAATGGACCACTCTGAAACCTTGACGGAAGTATTTATTAGTTCTAATAGCTTCTTGATGGATTCCTTAGGATGATAGCTCTACAAGATCATGCCATCTATGAATAGAGGTCGGTTTACTTCCTTTCTCATATAGATATCTTTCATTTCATTTTCTTGCCTAATTGCCCTAGAACATCCAGTGCAATGTGGGGTAGAAGTGGTGAGAGTGAAACACCTTGTTCTTTTAAAGATTTTAGGGAAAAGCATTGTCTTTTACCATTATAAATAAATTAGGCACAGAAAGACAAATACCACATGACCTCATTTATATGTGGAATCTAAAAAAGAACTTACAGAAGAAGAGAGTAGAATAGGGGTTGCTAGGACCGAGGTTAAGGAAGGAGTGTTTGGTGAGATAATGGCGAAAGAACACCAAATTTCAATTAAATAAGATGAATAAATGTAGGAGATCTAATGTACAACATGGTGACTTTGGTTAATAACAATGTATTCTATTCTTGAAAATTGCTAAAACAGTACATTTTAAGTGTTCTCACCATAAAAAAAGAGATAAAATATGTGAGGCAATACATATATTAATTAGCTTGATTTAGCCATTCCACACTGTGTAGATATTTCAAAACAACATGGTATACATGATGAATATACACAATTTTTGTCAATTTAAATAAATAAATAAATGTTAAAAAAAAACCTAAGATTTCCTTCATAACACACACACACACACACACGTTTTCTTAATCTCATTCAATACCTAGTCATATTCAAATGTTCCCAACTGTTCCCAAGTCATCCTTTTCAGTTGATTTGTTAAAACCTGGATCAAATCAAGGTTCACAATTTGCATTTGATTATGTCTCTTTAAATCTATAACAGGTACCCACTCCCTTCTCCTTTCTTAAAATAGCATGGAAGCAATTGGATCACTGGTACCTTTCCATTTTGTCATTAAGAATAAAATGCAAGGACCTTGTAATAATTTTCAATGGAAGTTATATTGATTTGAGTGATGTGAACCTATTCTAAAGTGAGGCATTCAATGCGAGAGGGTAAGGGAAATTAAAGTATCTTAATAATGGTGTGTATTATGTTGTGTGTTTGCTTGTTTACTATTTTTTAAATCTTATTTCCCAGTTGCCAGCTTCTGAAGAGCACTGGCTCTGTCTTGTGCCCTGATGAAAACCCAGTGCCTGGCACATAGTTGTTCAATGAATACTTCTTAAATGAGCAAGTGAGTGAGAGACTGAATGAATGAATGAGTTTCTCTGATGGGAGTATGGACAAAGTGCTATGAAAACACAGAAAAGTCCATTTTTATATAGGTCCCTTTTAAGACCAATAAATAAACTGAAGAACATAGATTATAGGGGCCATTTAAAAATTTTCCCTGCTTTGAAGGAGACGTGTTTCAAAGCAAAATGCCTCATACAGAAAGGTCCTCATTGTTAATAAGCCTATATTTGGATCCTTATTTAATTAGACGATGAGCCATGGTATTACATTTTAGGGTCAACTTCTTCTTTGATACTCATTTGGTCTTTTCATCCTTCTTGAACCTCTCCTACTTTGTATTCATCTTCCAAGAGAAAGAATTAAAATTCCAGCACTGTGACATGGACACAAATCTTTTGGCTTTAAAATAAGCCCTTTTGTTTCTGAGGTTCACTGAATAATGAAGAGTCCATATAGGGGATAAAAAGGCAAGACTTCTAGCTGCAGTTTTCCTCCAGGAACTGAAGCTCTCTCTCTCTTAAGTTAGACGTGACTAATGTAAAATGGTTTCTATGGCATTTAGGAAAAATTCAAAGTCTGAATGCACTCACATTACTTTATAACCTATCCAGCCATATACCTCCTGACAGAGCCCATTTCCCTAACATTAAAATTTAATATAACCATTACTCCTCTTCTCAATTTGGTGTTTAAAAATGTAAGCACTCTTATACTCAAGCTCTCATTAAACAATCCTTTCCAGTTTCATATGCTGTATATGAATCCTGGAAGTTCTTTTTTTCTTTTAGAATGTCGGGATCACTGGTACCTTTCAATTTTTTCATCAAGAATAAAATGCAAGGAACTGGTAACAATTTTCAATGTAAGTTATATTAAGTTGACTTTTGTGAACATCTTCTAAAGTAAGGCTTTGAATGGGAGAGGGTAAGGGAAGTTAAAGTGGCTTAAAATATTTTTTCCTAAGGCTTGATACAATGGTCACAGTTTGATTATTCCCCTAGAGACCTCGCCAAAGAAAACGTTGATGGATGTGAATAAATTTTGATGCCAGTAGCCTTCCCATCTCCATCCCCAATGGACAAATGTATTTTGTTGGTTGGTTGGTTGATTTTTGCTGCATATCACCTGTTCTCTGTTTATAGTAAAGTCCATGTTTTGTCCTTTGGAAAGAAATGCTCCGTAATCTAGTCCATTTGGTTTATGTGAGATTGAATCAATTTATTTTAGGGTAGCTCCAAGGGTAGTCATCTGACTAAGGCATGAATGATCAGAGCATTTTTTTCCACCTGGATACCACTTTTGGTTCAGGAATGTACATAAGCATAACCAATAAGTCACAACATAAAGATTTGGCTGAAATCATTACAAAAAAGAAATTCACTTTATAGTGTGTTACTATTTCTAACAGGATGGATGTCTAGAAGTGCTGGAGGACATTTTGCTGCAATGAATAAAAAGGCTGACTAAAGCCAAAATAGAAGAAAGCAAGGACAAGAGATACAGGTGGCTCTCTAATTACAGAGTCTAAGCACCTGGATTTAGCCATACCTGAAGATTATCCTGAACTTTTCTGTTACATTAGCCAATAAATTATTTCTGACAGAAGACAGTTTAAGTTGGGTTTTTGTCTTTTGAAACTGCCAGCATACTGACACATGTATAACACGGTTGTGTCAGTATCACTGGCCCAACTTTTGGAATTCGGGAAGAGGCCAGCAATTCTCACATTTACTGCTTGAAGAAAGGATTCTCATGGTGTTCATCCAACAGCAACAGCATTTTTCAGGAAAATCCATTGAGACTTAGTCTTTTTAGAAAGATCTAGTTCTTAAGAGACGTCTAACTAGACATTGTCTATTTTCCTTGTGTTTGACCTACTTCGTGGACATTCAAAAGAAAAATGTAAGTCTAGAAGCAGTAAGTTTCAATGGAATCAGCTCACATTCAAATCTATTTTCTTTTCTTTTCCTTTTCCTTTTTTTTTTTTTTTTTGGTTGAATTTCTTCTGCAGGTTCAAGCCAATTTTCCCAAAAGACCAGATTGGAATATCGATTTAGCACTCAGATAGGAAAGCCAGCCTTTTGCCAGGATGGCCAAAATACCATCTGTAGCAAATGAAATCTGATTGCTTTGCACAAAGTCTTCTAGATCCCAGTTTTTGGACAAGGTCTGTGAGGGTGAAAATGCATCCAGAAGCCAGACTCTCCTTAAATCACCCTCATTCTTGAGACAATGAGGAAAAGGGAAGAAAAAGTCCACCTACAAATGACAAATGATCAACACAGCTTGCTTGCTAAGTGAAGCTGACTAATCTATTACCTCTGAAATGATTTCAAGGTGTTACAGAATGAGCTTGCCCGTATTTCACATTTGCGGGGACATAAGGCAATAAATTCTAAGCATGCTTCATTGCCCTGTAATAAGTTACTCACATCATCTTCACACTAGTTGATTATTGATCAAATCGTTAGGTGACCATGATTGCGACTGCAAGCATATTTTTGCCAAAGGATATGCATCACAAAATGTTTTCACAGTAGAAAGACTCGAGGAAATACACAGTTGGAAGTTCCTGAACTCTGATGTCGGTGGAATAACACTTGATTTATTCAATCACAGCACATTATTTGCAACCTGTGTAATTTGCATGTCATATATTTCTACAGAATCCAAGAACATTCATGTTTTATCTAATTTATCTCTATAATTTCCCTGGCTGGAGAAAAGAAAGTGCTGATTGGCAAACCTGACCCAAATCATCATGTTTTGCAAATAAGGACCTCACTGCACAAAAAGGTGGATTAGTTTGTCCCAGGACATTCGCACACAAAATCTAAATTATCAAGACTATATTGAGTTTTTTCCTTCACCGTTGCATCTTAAAGACCCTGAAGTAGAAAATGAAGGCATACCTATTCGTTGTGGGTGGTAATTGCCAAGTAATCCCTCTCCCTTCATGCTGCATGTCAACGCTTCACTCAGAAATTTCTTAACAGTGCAGAGCAACACAACACACACAGTTTCTCATTATCCACGTACCCCTATCTGTGCTAGCACCTGGAGGTTAACAGATGAATGTGTCAAACCGCAGCTCTCCAGAGCCTCTTCTCATAATGGGAGGGATATAGTTAGACATATAAAAGATATAGCTAAATATGTAAAAATGTTGGCCCTGTCTTACACACTATTTCTTCATTTACTTAACAAAAAAAAAAAACAATGAATAAAAAGTTAGCAGAACTAATCTCCTCTTTTCTAATTCAAAACACTCAAGCACTAATGTGATCAAATTGATATGGAAACTTCTCCTACCTTTTTCTGTGCTTGTGCAAACGTATACAAACCTGTGTTGACTTTTTACATTTTCTCAATGGAATCATACTATATAAAGTGAAATTAAAGTAGCTTTTTTTTTTTTTTTTTTTTTGCTGTAGTAATATCATGGACATCCTTCTAAGCGTGTTTGGAGAAAACTTACCTATTATTTTTAAATTTCGTTTTATTCATTTTTTTATTTTATCGGGGGACAAGGTCTCACTCTGTTGCCTAGGCTGAAGTGCAGTGGCATAATCACTCCTCACTGAAACCTCAACCTCCTAGGCTCAAATGATCCTTCTACCTCTGCCTCCCAAGTAGCCAGGATGAGAGGCACATACCACTATGCCCATATAATTTTTTATTTTTTGTAGAGATTGTGGAGGGGGGTGTCTCTCTATGTTGCTCAGGCTGGTCTCGAACTCCTGAGTTCAAGTGATCCTCCCCACACAGCCTCCTAAAGTGCTAGGAATACTGGTGTGAGCCACTGTG
The DNA here is from genome assembly GCF_000001405.40 of Homo sapiens. Classification (NCBI taxonomy): domain Eukaryota; kingdom Metazoa; phylum Chordata; class Mammalia; order Primates; family Hominidae; genus Homo; species Homo sapiens. The sequence continues at coordinate 54,406,240 of NC_000020.11, read as the reverse complement.
CCTGGCTGAAAACTAACTTTGTAGATAGTTGCATACTATTGTATATTACAGATATGCTATGGTTAATTCAATGATCCCATAATTAGTAGACATTAAAGTTATTTTTTGTGTTTTTTCCCCAGTGATTTATTTCTTCTCCTCTTCGTCCTCCTCTTCCTCCCTCTTCTTTTCTTTATACCTCCAAAGGTACAAGGAAACATTTGTAATTGTATTTCCACTTAAGGATTTTCTCATTTCTGTTAAAAAGATTCACAAAAGTGAGATTACTGGCACAAGACATCTACTTTAAATCTTGATTTAAATATCTGTGTTACTTCACCTGAAGTCTTTTAATTTTTGGTAATATAATCATATTGTGGTCAGTTTATTTGGCTATTTTTATATCTCTTATTTCACTGAGTTTTCTTTTGATAAGAGACATCTGTTGTAACAGTTCAGCAATTCTTTTATGATGTCTGTTATGTTAGCAAATGCGTCAGTACTTAACTATGGCCCAGACAACTCTAAATGTACCCATCATCTCCTCTAACACTGTAACAACATGTGTGCTAGTAGTGTCTCCATTTTACAGAGAAGGAAAGTGAGAAAGAAACAGGCTATTTAATTTGCTGATGGTCATAGAGTTCATAAGTGAAAGCACCAGGATTTGTAACTGGGGGTATCTGGCTGAGCCCACATGGCTGCCCACTGGGCTACGCTACCTGTCAATAAGCAAAGAAAGGTCCCAGCAACTAGGAAGTAGAAAACCTTGGGTTCGGCTCTTGACTCTGCTACTTACTAGTCGCATGGCCTTCAGAAATTACTTATTATTTCTGAATACAGGTTGTCAAGCATTTCTAATCCAAAAATCTGAAAACCAAAATACTCCAAAATCCAAAACTTTTTGAGCACTCCTGCTCAAAAAGTCCTGCAAACCACCAGTGGAAAATTCTAACCCTGACCTCACGTGATGGGTTGCTGTCAAAATACAGGGCACAAAACCCAATTTGTTCAGTCTGCCATTGCCTGTTGTTGCTGTTGTTTAACAGCTGATCCCGGTTTCTGCTGAGGCTGCTGTGCTGCTTGGTCACCCCTAACACGTTATATTTTCACTGTATTACTGCTATGTCATATTTTTTACCATTGTTCATTCTCACGCTTCTATGAAGAAATATCCCGAGACTGGATAATTTATAAAGAAAAGAGGTTTATTTGACTCACGGTTCTGCATAGCTGGGGAGGCCTCAGGAAATTTACAATCAAGTCAGAAGGCACCTCTTCACAGGGCAGCAGGAGAGAGAATGAGTGCCAGCAGGGGAAATGCCAGATGCTTATAAAACCATCGGTTCTTGTGAGAACTCACTCACTATCACAAGCACAGAGTTGGGGGAAACTGTCCCCATGATTCAACTACCTCCCACCAGGTCCCTCTCATGACACGTGAGGATTATGGGGTTTACAATTCAAGGTGAGATTTGGGTGGGGACACAAAGCCAAACCATATCAACCGTTAAGAACTTACTGTAAGTGTGAGAAAATAAATGCATATCAGTAGCATATAAGTTCAGTCAGGAGTGATGGAAATGCTGAACAACCACAAATTGTCCACATGGGTGGCTGAGACAGGGACACCTTGCTTTCTGATGGTGCAATGTATGAAAACTTTGTTTTATGCATACAATTATTTAAAATAATATAAAATTATTTTTAGGCTTTATGTGTAAGGCATGTATAAAACATAAGTGAATTTGGAGGTAGACTTGGGTCTCTTCCCTAAGATATCTCATTACGTATATGCAAATATTTCAAAATCTCAAAAAATATAAAATCCGAAACACTTCTGGTCCCAAACATTTTGAATAATAAATGCTCAACCTGTATCAGTTTTCTCATATTTAATATAGACTCATAGCATCCTTCTTGAAAGGTTGTAACTGAATGAGGTCATGTTTGCAGAGTGTCTAGAACACAGTTCAGTAATTCTGTGTCTCTTGCCGCCCCCCAATTACCTTTTTCTGTCCTCCATTATTTCCCTTTATTCTTTCTTTGTATCCTTAGCCCCTTGTTCAGTGTCTGGCATGTAATATTCAAAAACTTTTTTTTTGTTTGTTTCTCTTTCTTTTCCTTGTTGACATCTCCATGTTTTCAGACTACTCCTCTGTCACTTGAAAGACATTCAGTAATTGAAGGCTGAATTTAGCAAACTTTGGTCTAGTATTCAGATCACTTGGAGAATTAAACATATCTATGTCCATACATGTGTAGAGAGGCCCATGCCTCAACCCTTGAGAGTTGATTTACTTGATTTAGTCTTGGTGTCAAGAACTTTAAAATTTCATCAGAAGATTATCACCTGTGCCCAGAATTGAGAAGTGCTGATCTGATAGAAGAGTCCATATTTCTTAGTCATTTTGATGGATCAGGGGCTCTTAAACTTGAAGTAGGTCAGAACTACTCACCAGGAGGACTTATCGGAACACAGCGTGTTTGGCCTCATCCCCAAAGTTTCTGATTCAGTAGGTCTGGGGAGGGACCTGAGACCACATTGAAACCAAGTTCTCAGGTGAGGGTAATGCTGCTGGTCAGGGTAACACTAAGAAAACCGCTGTGCTATGTTTCTGGGAGGGAGGATGATGCTTCATCCTCCGGGAACTCTGTGTTAGAATCTTAAGTCAAATAAAGAGCCTATTCTATGCTTCCAAAGCACTTCCTACTGCTTAGTTTATGCTTCCGTCATTACATTACCAGATTTGTCTGTTTTCTCAACTAGAATAAATTCTTCTCTAGTATTGAAACCATAACTTTTTTCATTCCTATAATACCCCCAAGGTTAACCTCACCACTGACAAATAATAGTAGGCAGTCCTAAGATGTCAAATGAATGGAAGATTTCCACCTTAAGGCAGGAACAGTGAAGGAAGTTCTTTTTTTTTTATTATTATACTTTAAGTTTTAGGATACATGTCCACATTGTGCAGGTTAGTTACATATGTATACATGTGCCATGCTGGTGCGCTGCACCCACTAACTCGTCATCTAGCATTAGGTATATCTTCCAATGCTATCCCTCCCCCTCCCCCCACCCCACAACAGTCCCCAGAGTGTGATGTTCCCCTTCCTGTGTCCATGTGATCTCACAATAGGAAGTTCTTAATTCATCACCAGATATTATCTCATTTGAATGCCACTAAACTCACTGAACTTCCAGAGTTTAATTACAGAGGCACACATAGTGGATAGAATAAAAATACTTGATTCCACATTACGTTCAACCCAATTACTAGTTTTCCTGGAATGGTGGTATAGACAGCCTCTGTTCGTATAATGAAAATTAATTTCACCCCTCCATAACAGCAATACTCAAAGACTGCATATTCCTTGTCTCCCTCACCATTTCATTTTAATTTAACAGATGTTTAATAGTATGTAATTATATCTCAGCACTGTTTGGGATAGGAAAATTAGGAATCCAATTTGCATTTTAGGAATTTGGAAACCTAAAATCTAATTCTCTAATATCAGATTTGGCCACATAGAATATGACGGTGATCATTTGACAATAAACTCTGGTATTTGTCTAGATAAATTCAAGAACTGGGCATACACTCATGTTTGAATTAATTGTTTTAGGTCACATTCTTAGTAGGGGGCACTTTATTTTTTGTCTGTGCCTTCCTATTCTCCAGTTTCCTTTTGGGAATCCATTTGTCCCATTTGTATTCAGTCTTGGTACTAGGATAATCTTGAGTTGCCTTTCCCTAAGGATGCCAGTATGAAAAAAATACCTTCTCTTGTTGGCATGGGATAGACCTACTTGCACATAAACCTCCACCACTGGGCACTCCCTCACAGGATTTTAATTTTAGCCACTGATAAACAGAGAGAAGAAAATGATGCTGGTATTTGAACCATGTCATTCCAGATGAAAAGTGGTTGCTAAGCTTCCTGCATCCTTGGACCTGAGACCTTCCCAAGCCTGGTATGCCACTTTTCCTTTAATTCTGTGAGTCCTTCAACTCTGTGGACCCACAGTCCTAATAAATTTTCTGGGGCTTATGTTTGCCATATCTTGTTTCTATTGCTTTCAACCGTAAAATTCCTACACAGACTGACTCAAGCACAAATAACTAATCTTATTTTTTCCTGCTTGCTAACCTCTCCAGACACACCCATTTTGGGCATTAACTAGGATTTTGTTTTTAGTTCTCAGATTTAAATTGTTTTTTAAAAGTATATATTTTTTCAGTGCTTCCATAGCTTTTTCTTTCAAGTGAAATCCCCCACCAAAATTTTAAGACACTTGTTTTAATTAGCCACATTACTATGACATATAATAATTTACATACATGAATTGTGCTATATTGAAACTTTGTGGCCCATCATATGTTTTAAAAAGAATACCTTTGTCCTTGTAGCAATTGTTCTTTTCTTCAGATTAGTAAAGTATATCCCATGATCTATGAGAAATACAATTTCTTTTTTCTAGAAAGCAAATATAAAAATATCTGTGTCACCAGAATTTAGCAGTGCCTCGAACATGCTCAAGACCTATATTTTGGGATGACTCAATATGATTTCAAGCAAGGATATTTGAAGGGATGTTAAAGATTAACAAGATCAATCCTTTACCTACCCATTTAGAAAGTGAGGTTTATGGGAGGCTGAGACAGGCGGATCACTTGAGGTCAGGAGTTCGAGACCAGCCTGGCAAACAAGGTGAAAGCCCATCCCTACTAAAAATATAAAAACTAGTCACATGTGGTGGTGCATGCCCATAATTCCAGCTACTCAGGAAGGTTGAGGCAAGAGAATCACTTGAACCCAGGAGGCAGAGGTTGCAATGAGCCAAGATCATGCCACTGCACTCCAGCCTGAGCAACAGAGCAAGACTCCGTCTCAAAAAAAAGAAAGAAAGAAAGAAAGAAAGAAAGAAAGAAAGAAAGAAAGAAAGAAAGAAAGAAAGAAAGATGAGGTTTAGAGTTGTTATTTTGCTTGTTCACCAGCACCTAAAACCACCTCCACAACCAACGTGGTCTTTAAGAGGATGAGCTTTGGCTTCTAATAGAGTTGGACACTATGTACATCACCTGAAACCTCAGAGACTCAATTTCTCAAATTTATAATGGGGCGTACGGTAATAAGAGCCATCTCTTTTAAGGTACAAAGTGTTAGCAGTGAACCAATCACATAATGAGTGCTAAATAAATAGTATCATTTTCATTGCTGCAATTAAGATTTTGATCTTTCTAATATTTGCTGCCCCAGCTAAGTTGCCTGAATGCAACTGCTACATTTTTCCAAATGAGATTTAGGAACTGTTTTATTATTGATGCCTTAATTAAACAGTTCTTAGTGATGTTGGCAGTTCTTGGAAATATGGAAGGATTGCATGCCCAGGAAAAACAAACTTGGCAGTTTCAAAATAGCACAACTGGCTGAGTAGTTTAAAGGAAGATATTAAAAGACACAAAAATGGCACAGGGTACTGATCAAATTTAAAGACTAAAAAGATATCAAAGGCATGCAGCTTGTAGGTTGTAGGATAAAACAAAGCATCTTCTGCTTTATAGGAAATCAAATAGATCAGGGATCAACAAAGTACGGCCAGTGGGCCAAATCTGGCCTCGCACCTGCTTTTGTAAATAAAGTTTTATTGTAGCACTGCTGAGTTCCTTCATTGACATATTGTCTATGACTGCTTTTGTGCTATAACAGCAAAATAGAGTTGTTGAGACAGGAAATGTGTGGCTGCAAACCCTAAAATATTTGCTAACTGATCCTTTGCTTGAAAGGTTTACCTAACTCTCAGCTACATAATTTATCCCCTTATGGGTTTAATGACATTTTAGTAGCTGCAAAATTTGATTTCTGTCAAATACATCAGCCCTGATTTATAAATGATTGCTTTTTCTCTGTCTGCACTTCTCCCTTTACATAGCATGTACACGTGTTCTCACGTATAACTGATTTGTCCTCTTACTTACATATGTATTTACAAGTCAATTTCTTTAGCTACCTGTTGAAACATCCTATAAAGATGGCTAAAGAAAATAAGTAGATTTGCAAACAGAAATAAGTGGAGCATGTCACTGGATTTTGGCTACTTCCCAGTAGGAAATGTTGGCCAATGTCATTACACATATGCAGCACAAAATTCTGAGGGTGGTAAAAGTCAGGTTTCAAAAGAACTAGACAAGTCAGGAAAGCCAATCTTAAATTTGTTATCCACACAATGGGTAGGTTCCATTGTTTGGATGGTGACCATCCAATGGTCGCAACCAAGGAGGATTTGACACAGGGATTTTATTACTTGCAACAAGTAAGGGGAACGCTGGGGATCGTTTCCAAAGCAGTGTCTCTCCCTGAACAACAGTGAAAACAGGACTGTTATCAGGCTGGTTAGCTGAGTCAATGCATGTAGAGGTGGAGTAAAGGCAGCCCAGACACAGTGCCCGACCATGTTTCTACATAAATGGCATTTATGTGTTGCATATTCCTTGTTTCTACATAAATATCATTTATAGAAAATAGTGAATGTTTCTACATAAATGGCATTTATAGAAAATAGTGAATTTTCTGTATAAATGGCACGTTTCTACATCAATGGCATTTATAGAAAATAGTGAATAAGCTACTCTCTGGGTGCAGATTTTCATATGGTAAGAGGAGAGTTCACCAAAGTTCATTTCCAACTCAGGCATCTTGGGATCCAACCATTCTCCCCCATCCCCACCCCACCAGGGTTGAACTTCTTTTGCGTTTTTTTTTTTTTTGTTGTTGTTGTTTGTTTGTTTTTGTTTTCGTTTTTGAGACAGAGTCTCGCTCTGTCACCCAGGCTGGAGTGCAGTGGCATGATCTCGGCTCACTGTAAGCTCCGCCTCCCAGATTCACTCCATTCTCCTGCCTCAGCCTCTGGAGTAGCTGGGACTACAGGCGCCCGCCACCACGCCCGGCTAATTTTTTGTATTTTTAGTAGAGATGGGGTTTCACCGCATTAGCCAGGATGGTCTTGATCTCCTGACCTCATGATCCGCCCGCCTCAGCCTCCCAAAGTGCTGGGATTACAGGCGTGAGCCACTGCGTCCGGCCAGTTGAACTTCTTTCTGGAAATTTTTTGAAACAAGAACTCAAGGTGCAACAGTTACAGGTGGTTACTTTTTCACAGTGTGTACCCCAAAACCCGGGTACCCTGGGTTACAAACTCACCCCAGGCTGTACCTCTTTCAAGGGAAGGGACTATGGCTATTTCACAATAGTTGTAACACAGGTCTACTGACTGAAAGAGATGATGAGTTGAGTATCCCTCATTCAAAATGCTTGGGCCTAGAAGTGTTTTGGATTTCGAACTTTTTCAGATTTTTAAATACTTGCATATACATAATCAGATATCTTAGGAATAGAACCCAAGTCTAAACATGAAATTTATTTTTTATATACACCTTAAACACATAGCATGAAGCTAAATTTATACAATATTTTAAATAATGTTGTGCATGAAACAAAGTTTGTGTTCATTGGACCATCTGAAAGCAAAGGTGTTACTATTTCATGTCAGTGCTCAGAAAGTTTTGAATTTTGGAGCATTTTGGATTTGGGAATTAGGGATGCTTAACTTGTATTTGGATGCAATCATCAGAGTATTTCAGTTGAGAGCAGCTCTTCCCTATTTCCCATATAGCAATTACCAGAACAAAACAGAAATGACCTCAGCAGCTCAGTTGGTCCCTTTCCTCATCATGTGGGGCAGCTGCCCTCCACCAGCAAGGGCAAGGGCCAGTGTGACCGCCTTTTCTGGGTACCCACACTTGGTGGATCCTGAGCTCTTGTCTGACATCGAAGAAGAATGAGGTCACATGGACAGTTGAAGGGTGGTGAAGGTGGATAATTTTACTGAGTGATGAAAACGATTCTCAGCAGACAGAAGAGCTGGAGAGGGGACAGGAAGGGCAGGTTGTCTTCCCCAAAGTCAGGTTGTCTCTTCCCTGAAGTCAGGTCATCTCCTCTCCTACTGACTGAGTCTAGGGTCTTTATAGGCACAGGATGAGGAATGCATGCTGATTGGTTTGTGAATATGCAAAAAAGTTTAAAAGGAAGACACCACTCAAAGGTGGGCATGACAGTGTAGAAAATCAATTAGGAAAGGGTAGGTATATGTAAAATAAATGAAGGGTAGGGATCAATCAGAGGAAAGCATGCCAAATAGGAGACAAGTTCTCAATCCAGACTCAGATTAATTTGCAGCTTGGCTTTTGGGCTTTAAACTGTCTTGGGTTTGGAGGTGGGGCTTCATCAGATACCCGCCCCATCTGCCTAGGCATTTGGCTGCCTCCTGTTGCTATCAGCTCTTTAAAAGAAGTTGTTGGCCGCATCCCTAATTTGCACTGTAGAGTACAATTAGGCATCCAAGCTTCAGTAGACAGTTTAGGACAGTCAGGACTTTGTGAAATAAAATGTCAAGAATGATTAAAAACAAAGAAACCATCTTTTGTCTTTCTTAGACTAGCAAAACTTGTAACAGCTGCAGGTGCCTATTGTTTGAGTCATAGCTACAGTTGCCATTTTCTCACTTTAGGTTTAAAAATATCACTCACTTCTGTTCAAAAACACAATAAATGGCAAGGCTGCCTCCTCATTCAGGGCTGCTGTGTGAGTAGATAACATGCTCACTTTCTCGATTATGGAAGCTTAGTCCAAGAGTGCAATTAGGAAAAAACCTTAATGAACAGACATGGTAATGAGGCTGACTCATTCTATAGCAACACAGAGGCAACAACAACAACAAACACAGCTGCTGAGTGTGATAGTGATATTTCTTATTTGTGAGCATAAAACAATATATAAAAAACATTGTCATAGATCAAAGTTGCAGTTTTTCAATTTTTTTTTCTTGTGTGTCCATGGAAAAATTGCTTGACATACAAAAAGTCTTGATGCATTAAGGAAGTTATCCATTTTAGAGAGACTTACAAAAAAGGTTAACATATTATATAAGTAATGTCCCTTCTAATGCTACTTCTGATCTTTTCCTCCATCATGACTATTAACAAACTTGCTAAGGTTATAGCTCAGTACTTGAGGACTTTGCTAAGTGAATGGCCACTGATATACTAAACAAATTGCAGCTCAAGTTTTAATGGATAGGAGCAGGTGGGTTATCTCTTTCAGATAATTATTATCTCATTTTAATTTGCATTTATTCAATCATCATGATTCTCCTTTATTTCTGTTTTATATTCCTCTGACAAGTTTTGGTTTTTAAAAAAATTTGGCCCAGCATCTTTCATAAATGTATTCCTAGGTATAACTTTTTTCACTTTTTTTGTTATTACTGTGAATAGGACTTTATATTGCATTATATTTTCTAACAATTTTTAGCACATAGAAAAGCTATTGATTTTTGGAAATTTATTTTACTGGCCATTTTAAAGAACTTACTTATTATCAGTTCAGTTTTTTTCTCACTTGCATTTTAGAAAGAAAAACAAGGACTCTGAAAAAAATTATAATTTTGTTTGATACTTTCTAATATTTATAAACTGTTTCTTTTTCCTTGTCTTATCATAAATGTGAATATCCTAAAAAATGATAATCATTATGTGAAGCCTAAGTTTACGGAATTTGATAGTAATTCATGTTTTTTTAAATGCTAGATAGAAATAAAATTGATAAATTCTGATCTGAAAGATTATTTTGGTGACATTATTTCTCTGCATCTCAAATTCTGCATTTGTAAAATGGAAATAAGAATTTATGATATTTTATTTCTGACGTTTTAGCTCACTATTAGATAAGTAAAACAAAACAATAAATATAGCTTTGCTGAATAAAATTATCAAAACATTAATTCTATGGGAAGGACAGACATCTGTGGAATACTGCATTAAAATGATGCTATTCTTCTGAAGCAAGGGTACCATGTTCTTTGAGATGTTATCCTGACAGTGTCAATGTTATTGTTAAGTTTGCAACAAACTGTTTCTCAAAAGTTCTGAAACAAATAGTATTTTTATTACTATTCTTTCTTTTTTCTATTCTTTTATCTTTTTTTTTTTTTCTGAGACAGGTGCTCACTCTGTTGCCCTGGCTGGAGTGCAGTGGCACGATTATGGCTCACTGCAGCCTCCACCCCCCCGGGGCCCAAGCCATCTTCACACCTCAGCCCCTGAGTAGCTGGGATCACAGGCTCATGCCACCACGCCCAGCAAATTTTTTGTATTTTTGGTAGAGATGGGGTTTCGCTACATTGCCCAGGCTGTTCTCGAACTCCTAAGCTCAAGTGATCCACCCACCTTGGCCTCCCAAAGTGCTGGGATTACAGGCATGAGCCACCACACCCAACCCAGATTATTCTTTCTTAAAAAGTTCTGACAAGTCATTTGCCTGATTCTATATATCCAGTGGCTTCCCCAGCGCTCACTGGGTAAAGTCTCAATGGAAAGCATGGAAGGCATTTTATAAGCTCATTGAAGCTATTTTTCTCAATGAATACTTTCTTTTATCATGACCATCCTGATTCCATCTCTCCACATGTACCATCTAGAAGTGCTGTTCACGCTGGGCATCTTTTAGATAACCAGAGTATCTAAAAGAAGTGCCAGTCCTCTCTCATCGTGCCCTGTTGTGGCTAGGCCTTTCATGACACACAATACAATGGAGCATAGTTATTTGTTCATGTTTTTTTCTCTCCCTCTAGAGAGTGAGCTTGAGATCGGGGACAATACCATACATATCTTTGAATCTCCAGAACTTAACACAGTTCCTAAAATATAATGTTCAATAATTTTTTTGTATAAAAAATATTTTTTATTGTCTCTGATAACATGGAGAGACTTCAGGGACTGTCCATGAGTAGGTAGTAGGTATCACTTCTAATCATAAGCACCAGGTAAGATGCATGGAACATTGTATAAAATATATGTTAACAATAGCGCAAAAAACGTGAAGCAGATAAATGGGAGTATACTGCTATAAGGTTATTTTATTATATTTGATGTGGCACAACATTAATTCAGAGTAGACCGTAGTAAGTTTAGTATAATTATTATAATTCCTAGAGTAATCCTTTTAAAAATAAAATTTAAAAGTACAGTCAAAAAGCCAATAGAAAAGATAAAATCAAATACAATTTAAAAAGTATGTGTTCAATCCAAAAGCAGGTAAAAATGGAAGAAAAGGGAACAAAAGAAAGTTGATAAAAATAGAAGATGAAGCAGGTTGGTAGATATAAAACTAACAGTATCAATAATTACATTAAATGAATGTAATGAAGTAAGCACACCACATAAAAGGCAAAGATTGTTAGATTAGATTTTCAAAAAGCGAGACAACTATATGTTCTTTATAAGAGACACATTTTAAATATAGACACCAGATAAACGAAAAGGTTTAAAAATAAAATACAGTGCAAGCACTAATCCTAAGAATGCTAAAGTAGTTACTATAATAATATTAGACAAAGTAGACTTCATGTTAAAGATTACCACCACAGAAAAAGAAGGAAATATTTTGTGATATGTGTCCATTCATAATGAAGATGCAGCAATCATAATACATACACACTTAATAACAGAGCTTCAAATTATACAAAGCAAAAACTAATTGAAATAGACATAAATTCACAGAGTTGTAGGTCTGAATATTCATTTCTCAGTAATAGATAAAAGGAATATTCAGAAAATCAGCAAGTCTTGAACAATTCTATCAAGGGACATAACCTAGCTAGTAATTATAGGACACTCAAATGAACAACTGCAGAATAGACATTCTTTTAAATGCACATAAAACATTAAGATATTCTATAGATTGAGACATAAAACAGTCTTAATACATATCCAAAGACTGAAAATATATAGAGTATGTTCTCTAGTCATAACAGAATTAAACTGAAGGTCAATAACAAAATGTATCTGAAAAAAATAAATATTTATAAATTGAATGACAAACTTCAAAATAACCTATGAGTTATGGAAAAAAAATCACAAGAAAAATGAGAAGCTATTCTGAACTCAGAATGAAAACATACCAAAATTTTTGGAATACATCTACTATAGTTCTTTGAGAAAAAAATTAAAGATGTAAATATTAATATTACAAAAGACAAAAATTTTAAATTATAATTGAATTTTCCAACTAAGTTATAAAAAGAGCAAATTAGAATGGAAATAAGTAGAAAGAAGGAACTAATATGTAAGCATTGAAATCGATGAAATGGAAAATGGGAAGCAATAGCAAGAATAAGCAAACCACAAGAACAGTTTTAATAAAAAAGAGGAAAGTTCCAAAATTAAGAATGAAGGGGGTACATTATGATAAAACCTACAGACATCTCTAGGCTAATAAGAAAATATTATAATCAACTTTATACCAATGAATATAACAACTTACATGAATTATCGAAATTACTTGAATGATATAATTTAGTAAAATGGATGTGAAAATAAACAGAAAAATCTGAATAGCCCTATATCTGTTAAGAAACTGAGTTGATAATGAAAACTTTCCCCAAAAGGAAACTCCTAGATCAAATGACTTCACTGGTGAATTCTTAACATTTAAAAAAGAAATAATACCGATTTAACACAAACACTTTCAGAAAACAGAGAAGAAAGAATATGCCCCAGCTGATTTTATCAGACCATCATATCCTTGAAAACAAAACCACATAAGGACATTATATAAAATGAAAACTCAGCCAGCACTCCATGTGAAAATAGATGGAGAACATTTTAATAAAGCATGGCAAAATCAGATTCAGCAATGTAAAAAAGAATAATACATCATGACCAAATGGAGTTTATTTCAGGAATACAAGATTTCAAAATCTGATGCAATTTACCACATTAATACAATAAAGAAAATTATATTCATAGATTCAGAAACATATTTGACAAAATTCAAAACTCATTCATGAAAAAATTCTCAGGAAACTAGAAATAGAAGGAAGTTTTTGCAATCAAAAGGCATCTATAAGAAACTCACGGCAAACAGTATTTTTAATGGTGAAAAACTGAATGTTGGCTCATAAATAAGCAACAAATCAAGGATGTCTATTCTTTTCACTTCGATTCAACATTGTACTAAAGATCCTGACCAGTGCAATAAGTGGGGAGAAAAATTTTCTCCCTACTTATTTAAAAGTTTATGAAGAAAGTAATACATCTTTATTTGCAAATGACAATTTCATATATGCAAAAAAATCTTAATGAGTTTAAAAACAATAATTAGAACAAGTAAATTAGGCAAGGTCACAAGATACTATGCCAATCTACAAAAATTATATCTCCTTATTGTAGCAAAGCAGAATTGGAAAATCAAATTTAGAGTGACAATAACATTTACAATAACATTAAAAAATACTTGAAGTTGGAGGTTGGGAGAGGGGTGAGGTCCGTAAAACTATTAGATACTATGCTTATTACCTGGGTAACAAAATAATTCCTACTACAGCAATCCCCCACAACACACAATTTACCTATGTAACAAACCTGAACATATACCCTGAACATAAAAGTTTAAAAAAAAAAAAACCACAAAATTCCAATGGATAAATTTAATGGCAGATACACAGAGTTGCATACCAAACAATGCTGAGAGAAATTAAAGGCCATCTGAATAAGGGAGAAGCATACCATGTTCATGGATAGAAATAAGCAATCTAGTTAAATGAACATCTTCAAAATGTATCTATGAATTCAATGCAATCCCAGTCAAAATCTCAGCAGAATTTTTTTGGTAAAACCTGACAATCTGATTAGAAAACCAAAATAGTTTTGAAAAGAATAAAATTAAAAGATCAACACTTCTGTATTAAAGTTAGATTAAGTATGGTATTTGCATAAGAATAGACAGATTATTAAAACAGAATAGAAACTCAGAAATAGACTCCATACATAATTTTCATTAAGACGTCAAAGCAATATACCAAGAAAAGAAATGTAATGGTGATAGGAACAAGCAGATAATGTGAAAACTAAAGCTATCAACCTTCTAGAAAAAAACCATTAAAACATTATTTGGAACCAGGTGGTAGGCAACGATTTCTTAGTTAGAACACTGAAAGCAACCTGGAGTATGCAAAAATTTCTAAGGATATAAAAATTATGTTAGGCTTCACCAAAATGAAAGACTTCTGCTCACTAAAAACTATTATAAAGAAAATAAATAGTTTAGGCCCAGACTGAAAGAAAATAATTGTAAAGCTTACGTATAACAGTAGGCTTGTATCCAGTGTCCAGCTATATTCGTACAAGTCAATAAAAGGACAATCACTCCAACTAAAAATTGAGGAAATACTTCAATATATCTTGAAAGAAAAGTATACAAATGGCCAATAAATGTGTGAAAAATTGCTCATTATCAATAGTCATCAGAGAAACACATAACAGAAGCACAGTAAGATACCACTGCACACACGCTATGGTGGCTAAAACTAAAAAGATGGACAGCATCACATATTGGCAAGGATGTGAAGCATCTGGACCTATTATATTGGTGTTGAGAAAGAGAAAGTAGTTAAACCATTTTGGAAAATGATCTGCAAATTTCTCATAAACTTACATATGCCTCTACCACATGAGACAGTAATTCCACTACTATATATTTACCCAGTAGAAGTGGAAACAGGTATTTGCAAAAAGTCTTGCACATCAATGTTTACAGAGATGACTTACTTGTAATAAAGCTTAACTGGAAACAACCCAAATGTCCATCAGTAGAAAAACAGATACACCAATTCATATAATGGAATACTAATCAGCAGTGAAAAAGGAACAAACTACTGTTACATGCAATCACATGTTTTAATCTGAAAATAAAACAGAAAACTTTTGGTGAGTGAAAAAAAAGACAGACACTAAAGAGTACAAATTGTGTGACTCCACTGACAGAAAGTCCTAGAATAGGCAAAATTCATTGATGGTGGTAGAAGTCAAATAATGGTTACTCTTATCAAATAAAAGTGGGAGGGCAGTGATTGAGTGGGAATAGGCACAATTTTGGGGGCTAATGGAAATAATCTATATCTTCATAAGTTGAAAGGTTTGAGGATTATATAAATATATACACTGAATTGTACATTTCAGCTGTGTGTATTTTATAATCTGTATAGTTTTCTATTAAAAATAACACATGGGGTTGCATAACTATAATATATCCTTTCTATGTGTTGGCTGTTGCTGTTAATTATGGGATAGTTTCTTGCTAATTTATATATACAAATTATAAAGTATGAAGTAATTATCATTTGTATAATTGCATATAAGTTATGAGTTATTTATTTACTCACATATTAATGCTTTAAAATACATGGATTGTTAATATATGCTACTAACATTGCCTAAGTTCACCAACAGTCTGCTTAGTTGTGAGTCAGCTTCATACACTCTGAAGATAATACCTAAGACATCAACAGCATATAAAAATGCATTTCACTCAATAGCTTTTCATAAGTTCAACAGAATCCTATTTATCTAGCTGTTAACTGAATCTTCTTTTTACAAAAACTTATCTGTTTTGTAATGGCAAATAAGTGTTATTCCATATTTTAGTATCAGCATCACCCAACCTTTAGTAGTTGTCGGGTGAAAGGCCAGGACTGAGATCTGGAGGAAGGAGTTCCCTGATCAATTAAGAATGGCCGCAGTGTGCACCTGAGCAGAAGCAGGGGAAATGGCAGGGCTGAAAGTATGCTGGGAGATATCGTTTGCCATCCTGGACTTATGTTGTCAAAATGTACAAAATAATTCAAATGCAAGTGCAAAACACTGAAAACACACCCAACGGAATTTAATCTTTCATTGATGATTCAAAGGAAACTTCAAGATATTATAAGATAACAGGCTCATCATGGACATGAACGGAAGAACTAATGAAACATTGTGTTTGGTTGAGTTCTGGGTAAGCAAACATTTGCTGTGTATCAAATGGCTGTGTGTTTAAATAAAAGTGCCTTTAATTGAGAAAGTATATACAGAGGAAAACATTCCCACCATTTTCGACAGCATCTGGTGCTCCTTTATGAGATTTCAGGAACATGAGGCAAGGCTTCTATGAGATGATAGGCGTTCTAACAGGTGAACTGACTCCCTGGACATCACTCTAAGCCTTAATGAGCATTACTTTATCTGCAGTGAACAGCAGGCGAATAGCTTTCTTACTCCCTACATTTCCAGCAGTTTGAATTCCAGATGTTGGGCGCTGCTCAGCGGGTTTTGGCAGCTCCGTGCATTTCTTAACAGATAGTCCTGCTTTCACTGCCTTGGAAAACAAATGAATTGGCAAATTTGCAATGCCATCTTTTCAAAGAAAATAAGAAGGAAAATGACTTGGATATTTACTAAACTGTTGGTTACAATTTCCATCATCTTTTCTCTGTTTCTAAGACTACGCATCACTAGGGAGAGAACAAAATAAAGGGACTGAATTCGCAAAGATCCAACAAAAATCCAGCATTTGGTTTCCTGACTTCAAGCCATCAAATGTAAAACTACACTATTATACTGCTCCTTGGAGAGAAATCAGAGCTAGGTTGTTTATCTGGGGGAGCCACATGTCTACTGTAATGACGCTTGGTTTACCAGAGTGCTATTTCACTTTTTTTCAGAAATTTATCCCAGTATGGAGGTGGGCATGATGCATTAATAGAATCTTATTTCCTCTCCCTCTCTCTTCCCAACCAGGCTTGCTATGTGGAGCTGAAATTATAGGCAGCAAATCTCCCTTTTCTCCAAACAGTGCTTTGTGGAGTACAAGAAGCTGCTAAAAAATGAGCAAATGTACATAAATCCCAGGATGTGAAAGATCATTGAATAAACCTTCTTAGTAGGGATATGATGGAGAAGACCCACAAACTTGAAAGACTAGCCAGCTGGTTACAGACTGGGTTCCGACACTGACTTAATGAAACAAAGATGTAACGTTGGTTGAGATTTGGGGCTTCAGGATCAGAGACCCTAGGATAATAGCCCAACACTGCCCCATCAGCTGTATGAGCTAATTGGCAGTTGTGTCCTTTGTGAATTGGGAATCTGCTATGCCTACCTCATAGGATTTCCAAAGGATTAAAACAGATCATGCCTGGGAAGTGTTTGCACAATGCCTGGAAGAGAATCAGTGCTGAGTAAATGAGAGCCACGATTTCTAGAGTTAAGCAAGTTATTTCTCCTTTCAGGATCGTGTGTGTGTGTGTGTGTGTGTGTGTGTGTGTGTGTGTGTGTGTGTGTGCACGTGCACGCATGTATGTGCATGTACCCAGATGACATTTCCACCCCCGAAATGTTCCTGAAGATCTCTAGAGGACCCTGTTGAGTCTCCTTAGTAAAACTACTAAGTACTAAGGTTTTGTTTTTGTTTGTTTTTTTGTTTTTTGGTTTTTTTGGGTTTTTTTGTTTTTTGTTTTTTTGAGATGGAGTTTTGTTCTTGTTGCCCAGGCTGGAGTGTAATAGCACAATCTTGGCTCGCCGCAACCTCCACTTCCTGGGTTCAAGCGATTCTCCTGCCTCAGCCTCCTGAGTAGCTGAGATGACAGACATGTGCCACCACGCCTAGCTAATTTTTGTATTTTTAATAGAGGCAGGGTTTCTCCATGTTGGTCAGGCTGGTCTCGAACTCCCGACCTCAGCTGATCCACCCACCTCAGCCTCCCAAAGTGCTGGGATTACAGGCGTGAGCCACCGTGCCCGGCCAAGCACTAAGTTTTTAGGAGACTCAACAGGGTCCCTTAGAGTGAGTGTTGAGGTTCCCAAGACCTTCAACCAAAACAGTTCCTCTTTAATGTTTCCACTCAACAGGTTTCTGCTGAATATTTCTTCTGAAGGTTATTCTGCTGTTAAGAAAAAGGAGGGTGGGGACTTTGAAAACCTGAGGTCTAGATTTTCTCCCAGCTTTATGATGTCTTTAAAGGCTGATTGAAGCCCTACTGAGCACCACCGTCTTTGTCAGACATTAAGTTTCTGAAACGGTTGATGCTTCCCTTGGTCTCTAAGCCCCAAAGCCATGTAAGGAAACCAAAAAACTGAGAGGTTGTATGTGACTACTGGGGCTGCTCACAGAAAGGAGGAGGTACTTCCGATAGAGAGAATCCAAGACAGATTCACAATAGAGATGACATTGCAATTTCCCATCATTAAAAATAATAACTAATAATCATCATTGGGGGATTAACTATGTGCCAGACATGAGCTTGATGTTGTACATGAATCAAGTTGTAGAATTCTCCAAAAACCGAATTGCTATTCCCATTTTAAGAGCTAAGAAAAGTGAAGCACCACTGCTCCAAGAGGTGGAGCCAGTATTTAACTAGGTCACTGGTGCTGAGTAAGGATTCTTATACACTGAAGCACGCAGCTTCTCTAAGGCTGCCTGACTTGAAAGATTTTACTAATTCTAAATGCGTGTTGTTTTTCACAATTTATATCTCAGAAATTGGGGTGCATCTTACATTCAGTAACATACTGTAGGTTTCTTGACAGGATTTTTTTTTCTTTCCCAGAAGCACATAAAACAATGGCGTGTCTTGGATGTCAAAGGCATCTTAATGAATTATGATGACATTGTGGCAGGAAGCTAAGGAGGTAGGACACCCCAGATAGACAAACCCACATATGCCACAGTACACAGACTGAGGTGGTATACTGTACTCAGGAAATAAATGGATTTAGGGGATTCATGGTCAAGGGCAAAAGTCGAGGCTACAAAGGCAGAATTGAACTGGAACAGAGCTTCACGACAGGTGTTGGTCAAGAAGATTCTTCTTTGCTTCCTTGAAGAAGAGTTTGGAAATACATGGGGTATTTCTTCCTTATCATAGTAATGAGGGTTCTATAAGCGTTTAGTGGAGACAAGAGGGGGCAACTGAGATGCAAGTGTCTTGCAATGCATAAAACAGTCTTGCCCAAAAAAGAATTGTCTCACCTTTGGCCTAACATTCAAATGCCATTCACAGATGACACACCTGTTTACGATTAATTGAGATTAGAACCTAAGTCCATTGACATAGGAACATAAGGTGTCTTTGAGGATTCTAATATTTGATGACTTTCTCAAATATGAAACTACTGTGTAACTCAAAAGAAACCTGGACTCTATCTCGTTGGAACTTTATCAACTTTTCCTCTTTAGCACAATCCTGTCACTGACAACCATGTGGATCACAGCGGTATTTAAATTGCCATCCATCGTGCCTGGATCAGCCTGTGCTGGAAGCTGCCAAGTCCACCATGCTCCCATCTATGGATGTGGGCGGCAAGAGATTTCACAGGACTTCTAATGCAGCTAAGTATTCATATTTCAAGATATATAGTATGTTATTATAATTTACATTATTTCTAATTTCCTTTATTACAGTTACAGGATTATGTCTATCTTATGTATATAGTTACATTGTATTATTTATGAATTTCATTTCATGAAAAATAAGAGGACTTTACAAATATTTATTACAAAAAGGTAGGGAGGGCCTGGGGTCTGAATGGGTTGTGATCCATTAAGCAAGATCAAGGTTTGAACATTTGACCAAGATTCAAATCTGAGAGGCAATCAGAAGGAATAAAAGGATTTTTGACAGATTTTACAAAGTTTGAAAAATACAGAAAAATATAGGAATAAAATAAGACTGCTAATTTTTTGTCACTTTTTTCCTATCCACATATATTTTTGTTTCTAAAAACATGTTGAAATTCTTTCATATAATTCATGTAATTAATTAATTATTCTCTTAAAATACCTCTTTTAGTGGATACATAACATTCCATCGAAAGTCACTTTATCTATTGATTTTAGGATACATTCAGAAGAGTTAGCTAACCTCCCAATATGTTTTGTAAAGAGTATATAATAACAGAATTTTAGTGCTGAAAGAGGCTTTCGAATTTTCCAAATTAATCTCCATATACTAAGATGAGGAAATAAAGGAGCAAAAGGGGTAAGTCACAGGGTCATTTACCAGCACAGCAAGAATGAGAATCCTGGTCTCCTGCTCAGGCTGATGCTGCTCTGTATTATTTTGTAGCTGCCTTCCCCGATGCGCCCTCTTGAAAGAGTTGACCCATGACTGGCATCTCCAGGGTGTATTTAATCACTTATTGTAACTATGGATTTGGCTCTCAACACAAACAAAAGCTGGACAGTCAATGGGGTGTGGAGCTAAAAGGCAATGCTTTCTGCTTTGGGAGCAAGACTTGTACAGATCAACAAGAAGCATTTCTTAGTCTCGGCACCCAGCAGGCCCAGCAGGAGTTCTTAATGATCGAGGCCAAATTGCCGTACTATTTCAAGAAAGTTTGATTACCAGGAACATATGGGAGGGCTGATTTCATATCAGATTATTTTGAGCCATAAAAAAAGATGGTAACAGCTTGACTTCAGACGTGATATGTAAATACACGATTCTGCAAATTATAATTGGCTTACGTGTTAAATGTAACACATTCCATTGTTTACATGCACAGTGCACATTCATAACGAAGAGTATCTATGACACTGAAATTCAACATAAGAGATGGACTTACAGTCTACGCTGCAGGTACAGAGTAAAAACCTCTTCAGGAGATGGTCAAACTAGGCACTTAGTAAGAATAAATACACAGCCCAAGTGACATGTCGGTTGTTGAGTGAGAGGAAGAGGCTGGGAGTGAGGCCAAAGGAGAAGGACAATCGGTATTATCTCAGATACAAGCCAGCATGGTGTCCGTGATAAGAGAAAACAAGGGGATCTGGAACAATCAAGGATCAAGGATAATCAAGGAAAACTCTGGAACAATGTAGTAGATCAAGGCTTCTACCACCAACATCTCTGCCTAAATGATTGCAGTAGCTTCTTGCTAGTCTCCCACCTCCTGTCCTTGTCCTCCACAGCAGGGTATGGGATCCTGTTAAAACCTAAGACATGATCCTTGGACTTAGGTTAAGGCAAAAGTAGAAGCGATGTGGTCAGCTTTCAGACCAATGTAGCTCAGAGCCAGTGTGCTTCCTCCCTGTCTTTCTTTCTCTGCGTCAGGAAGCTTGGAGACCCCAAGATCCAGATGCAAGAGGGCTGCCTGACTGACATTTGATCTTAACATGAGTAACACATACTTTTATTGTGTTCGGTTACTGAGATTTGGGATGTGTTTGGGGGGATGTATGGTATTTGTTACCGAAGCCTAACATAGGTTATCTTGATGAATACACCTGTTATTGTAATAAAGTCAGGGAAAGCCTTGATGAAAAAATTACCCACCCTGTAACACTGTTTCATGTTCCACAAGGAAAACTGCATTTCTTTTTCAACCGGTATTTTGTTCTGTAAGAAGTTAAATGTTTTATACACAATATGGGGAGGTGGATCCAATCACCACACCTCCCCAGGCATATTCTTCTTCCTGGAGATCTTGTAGAGATGCTCGTGCAAAGTCCTTTTGAAATTCAGCTTTGAAGGACAAGTGACGTTTATTTGACTGTTTTAAGTACTTTCCCGCTCTCGGCATTAAAAAGAAAATCTAAAGGTGCAAGTGTGTGAGATATTTCACTTAATTATTGATGGGTGCTGCTGAAGCCATGATCAAACAAGTCAGTTCAGCTCTGCTAAGGGAGGAAATATCTCACTGCAAAACAAAACAGAAACTTTTCTACACATCTTACATGGGCTGGGTATGAACATCCTTGAGCTGACTTCAACATTGGTGAAAAATCTTCAGATGTGCTCATGGTTAGGGCACTGTTGGTACTACTGAGAGACTGAGAAATGGGTGTCAGACCAGGCATCTGCTAGGAAGGAGAAGTAGAAATGATAATGATGATAGTGGTGATGATCATAGCTTGTCGTTGAAGAAGAAGAGATATAACAATCACATAATTACATTAATAAAAGTATGGCATTGGCCAGGCGCGGTGGCTCAAGCCTGTAATCCCAGCACTTTGGGAGGCCGACGTGGGCAGATCACGAGGTCAAGAGATTGAGACCAGCCTGGTCAACATGGTTAAACCCCGTCTCTACTAAAAATACAAAAACTAGCTTGGCTTGGTGGAATGCGTCTGTAGTCCCAGCTACTCGGGAGGCTGAGGCAGGAGAATCTGTTGACCCCGGGAGGTGGAGGTTGCAGTGAGCCAATGTCACGCCACTGCACTCCAGCCTGAGCAACACAGCGAGACTCCATCTCGAAAAATAAAAAATAAATAAACAAAAATAAAAATAAAAGTGTGGCATTGAAGTGAAAGAAACGTCATGAAGAAAAAGAGCACATTTTGTAAAAAAATCAAACCTGACCCAGAACAGGAATGGAGGATATAGTGATATCAGAGAAGACTTCCTTCAGGAAGTGATGTTGAGATGATCATTGAAACATCAGAAAGGACAAGGGTATTTCAGACAGAAAGAAGAGTATGTGCAAAGGCCCTGTGGTAGAAGGGAGCATACAGCATTTGAAGGACTCAAAACAATTACAGAAATATTACTTACTTTGTTAGTCAGGGGGTTAGCAGCAAGGGGTGTAGTTTGACATTAGTGAGGTGGGCAGCACGTGCAGGGCCCTGAGGTTGTGTTAAGAAATGTGGTCTTTGTTCTAAGAGCAACAGAAAGTAATGTAAGTGCTTCAAAGGAGAAGAGGGAGAAGAGGCTGGTGTGATCAGATTTGCATTTTTAAAAGAACACTCTGGCTGCAACATTCAATGCTAGATGAATCTAATTCCAAAGCCCATGCTTCATTCCAAGCCACCTCTGGCCTAAAGTCTAGGCAAAAAGGGTGAGGAAGGAGGGTGTGGCTTTTAAATAGAAAGGTTTGGGAAGTCCTAATGAGAAGACAATATCTGAACAAAGACCTAGAGCAAAGGAGGAGAAAAGCCTTGCAGAAACTAGAAGAAAAAAAAAAGACATTTTGAGGAGGAAATGGAAGAAGAAAGGTCCTCAGATGTTACTTATTGTAGGGGTGGATGCTGGAGCTGTTTGGTGGATCATGGAAAGGCTGAAAGAGAGAAAGTATACATTTGTATGGCTGTGCTGACAGTGGATCCAAAAAAATAATTAGCAGGATTTTGTGGTTAAGAAGGGGACCACTTAGCAACATGGCTTTGGAAGAGTTGGGATGCCCAGTGGCCACAAGCACAGGATTAGGAATCAGACAGTCTCAAAATGGAATTGTGGCTCTTTCACTCTTGCCCACCTTATATTTCTCGGAATCTCAGTTTGGGTGTCTGTAAAATGGAGGCAGTAATGACTGATCTCATGTAGTCATTGGGAAAATTAAGGAAGATAATGATGGAAAGTGCCTGAGCAGATGTTGCCAATGCCCTACCATATCACCTGGGCTACTGCACAGAAACTGAAGGTGATTATCCACAGTACACAGCTACAGCTGATTTTCTTCTCTCTGCCTGATAGAGGTCTCTGGCCAGTACACGTTCTTAGCCTGATCATTAGGCTGATCAGAAGGATCAAGACTGGAAAGTCATTTCCCAGGAATAACTTTCAAACAATACCCCTGTTTCCTCATCTCTTGGGAGACAAACACGGGTTGTGCTCTGATAGTCACCCAGAGGGTCCCAGCAGATTGAGCCCTGGTTGCCCACAGTGGTAACTTGCCCTTTATTGCACACTTTATATGCTTTCCTGCCTTGCAGGTCTCACTTCTCCACTTTCATGCAGTGTAACCTGAGATCTCTTCCAAAAAAAAAAAAACCTGCTCGTACTCAACTGCTTCCCTCAGGAGTAAATAAATCTGTGACTGTGTAGAGTACCTGGCAAGGAAAGCATTCAATCAAGGTGAATTTTTACAATTATTGCTACAGGAGTGAACACGATTTAAGGAACTGAACTCAGGATTATGAGGCAAGAGAAAGAGGAGCCTCATTCAGGGCCAATTCCATGAACAGAATCAAGAGAAATTTCAGGTGCTTTTGTCAGTAAACTCTGACTACACCAGGTTTGATCTGGCCTCAGACAGAAATGGTTTTACCAATAGGAAATTGAAGGTTGTACTCATCCTGTTAGCAGAATGGAAAGCACTCAAAAGGAAGAATCTAGAAAAACCACGGTGAAGACAAATTTAATACCAAAGACTTTGTCTTCTATTAAAAAAAAAAAAAAAAAAAAAAAAAACTCCCTACCCAAAGATCTCTCTCTATATATAGTACATAGATGACACCATCACAAAATAGGCATGTGTTTTCAATGTATATTCAGGCACTGATACAACAAATATTTATTGAGCATCTACTGTGGGCCAGAAACTGGTTTAGTCCTAAGAAGTTAGCAGTAAAAAAAAAAGGTGAAAAAAAAAGGAAGACAAAAAATTCCTGACCTCATAGAATTTAACATTCTAGATTGTGAAGACAAACAATAAGCAAAATAATTAAGTAAAAATTTGAGAATGTGAGAGAAAGAGAAGTTTTGGAGACAAATTAACCACAGAAAGGGAAAGAGGTGGGAAGGAGGAGGTTGGCACTTTTAAATAGAATGGCTCAGAAGGTCTTAGTGAGAAGGAAAGATCTGGATAAAGACATGAAGTGAATGAAAAAGAAAACCATTCAGACATCTGCAAAAAATAACGAAAACAAAAAGCAAAATTTAAGCCAAGGGAGAAGTAAAGCAAAGGGTCTGAGCAGAGAGAACAGCACCAGGTTCAAAGAACAGCAATGAGGAGGGTGAGGTGGAAGCATTTGGCTGCAGGGGTGAATGGAAGAATGAGAGCCAACAGGGGCCATGGCAGACAGAGGGAAGCAGATGGCACATTTATTTCTATAATGGATCAGATAGTAAATATTTTGGCTTTCTGAATCATGCAGTCGTTACTACCAAGACCCACCTCTACCATTGTAGCACACAAGCAGCCACAGAAAATGCATAAATGAATGGGCCTGGCTGTCTTTCAATAAAACTTTATTTATAGGAATTTAAATTTCATGTCATTTTCACATGCCACAAATATTATTGTTCTTTTGAGTTTTTTCAACCATTTAAAAATATATATTAAGTATACATTTCTTTTTTATCTACTTATTTATTATATATTTTTATTTTTTTATTGAGACAGGGTCTCACTGTTTTGCCCAGGCTGGTCTTGAACTCCTGAGATCAGGTGATCCTCCTACCTCTCTTGGCCTCCCAAAGTGCTGAGATTATAGGTGTGAGCCACTACGCACAGGCTAAGAAAACATTTCTTAGTTTAGCAGCTGTACAAAAAGAAAGAATGGGCTAGATTTGGACCGTGGGCTGTTAGTTTGCCAGACCCTATCATAGGACCTCATAGATTTCAAGAAGGCTTTGGCTTTTGCCCCGAGTAGGATGGAAAGGAATTGGAAGGCTTTGTGTGAAAGAGTGGCACAATCTGACTTAGGTTTGAGCAGAGGAGCTCTGCCATTTTTGTTGAGAGTAGGTTAAGGGGGTCAAGGGCTAACGAGATCTTTAACAGGCTTGGCACACATCTTTTTACACATCTTTTTAATTAAGGCTGCTTGCAGGAATTATCATTTGTGATTCCAAATGTGTATTTACAATTTCCACTAACGGACAATGAGCCCTCATGATTTTGACCCATTATAAGAGTGTTCAAAATAAACATGGGCTATCAAGAAACATATCAATAGATCAGATAAGAGCTCAGGGCAAAAAATCCCATTTATATTTTTATTTCGTAGCACTGAGACATAGTTATCATTGACAAAGAGAACTTATCTCTTACTTTGCATGTGCTTTTTTTTGAATGTCTGACTTCAAAGGCAATGCTCTTTGGTCATGTTTTTAATATCATTGTGTGTGCATTTAACTAAAAATCAAAGCTAACATGGAAGCACCTGATTCATTGAAAATGCATTGCCCAGCCACCTCCTCTCTCCCGAGCACCTTCTTGATTCTTTATTTTGTACAAAAACTGGGAGAGCTGTTACAAACATAGATGATATATAACTGAATGATTTCGGTCTGAAAACAGAATTTACCACAGAACTATAAAAATGGTGCTATTAGGGCAAGCTGTCAAGAAATGATTAATACTTCTAACTGGCTATCATTTTTTTTCAATCTTCACGCTTGAGTAGGCCATTAATCTGAAATTGCTACCACAAGTGTCACTTGCTTTGTTTGTCCATAGGGACCAAGATACCAAGATATCTTCTTTAGAATGAGGAAATATTACCAGACTAAGGTTAGGGCTCAGGTTTATGCCTTAGAGTACAGGTAATATGTGTGTTTGCATGCATGTGTGTGTGTATGTGCGCACGTGTGTGTGGGGGGCGGGTATGTAATGTTTCATGATGAACATGGGGCTGGTTCTTGGCAATTTAGTGATGTAACATTTTGTTCATGCCCCGATGTGGTATATGATTTCTGATTCCCTTCTATTGAATCAAGAATTGAAAAATGCTCATAAAAATTGAGCCTGGAGTCATGAACATTATTTTTCAATCCACTATGAGTAAAAAAGAAAAATCAGTTTATCTAAATATTTGCTTGTTTCCAAGAAGAACTTTATTAATAAGGACTTATATTAAAGATAATACAAAGATGAAGTTTAGAAAAAGTAGACACTGTTTTGTCACCCTTCCTGTGCTTCTAATTTCTTTAAAAAAAAATTCTGTGGTGCTTTTAGAGGAGTTAAGACCCAAGAACAACCATCATTTCACTATTACTAAATGTCTCAAATGCATAATCCCCACAGCAGGTGCCATGACAAAGAATGAATTGGCAGACATGTATGCAATAGAAGAAATACCCAACTTGTAATATTTCTAATCTAAATGCAAGAAAATACAGAAGAAAATAAATTCTAAGGTAAACCAGTTTTCTTATTGAAAGATAATAAAAAATAATAACAATAGTAACAAAATTCAGTTACATAATTGTTTCTACCATTGTGGACTTTGGCTTTCAAAAATATTGTGCATTTTAAGGGTTTCTCAGTGATGCAGACATGAGTGATTATATGATTCTGATCCAGGATATTTACTGAAAAGAATTACATCTCAGTCATCTCTGCCAATCGACCTGTAAGAGTAATCTTATAAAAAGATAACAGAATATAATGACTTTTCTGAGAGTTAGATTTTGATTATGTTTCTTTTTGTAATAATGTTTTAGCTATTTAATATGCTTAATAAAATATTGAGGTAAGCATGCTTTTTTTAAAAAAACTGTAATCTGGCTAGCTACCTGGAAAAAAGTGATAAGGAGTAGTATGGTTAAAATATTCCAGGAGAAGGCCAGGCATGGTGGCTCATGCCTGTAATCCCAGCACTTTGGGAGGTCCAGTCGGGTGGATCATGAGGTCAGGACTTTGAGACCAGCCTGGCCAACATGGTGAAACCCTGTCTCCACTAAAAATACAAAAATTAGCTGGGTGTGGTGGCGGGTGCCTGTAATCCCAGCTACTCAGGAGGCTGAAGCAGAATTGTTTGAACCCGGGAGGCGGAGGTTACAGTGAGCCGAGATCACGCCACTGCACTTCGACCTGAGTGACAGAGCAAGACTCCGTCTCGGGAAAAAAAAAAACCAAAAATAAATAAATAAACAAAATTTTATATATATATATATTTCCAGGAGATTTTAGTGTAGAAAGTGTATTAGGTAAAATTTATGGCTCAAAATAGCATCTAACTCTGGTCACAGTGGAGTAAATGTCACTGAAATTGCTCTCTACACTACAAAACTGAACCAAATCCATAAAACAACTGCTTTTGACACAAAAAAACAAGCACTGAAGGACTGTGATTCCTGTGAAAAGACATACAAACAAAGTGAGCTCTGTCATTGTCTGAATCTTATCCTTATAGGCACTTTCCGGACTGAAATTCAAGAAGGGAGAATGCAAAGAAGAGCATGATGATCTCAGTGCTTTGAGAAGATAGAGATTGGAGTTCAGAGGGGCTAAGGCTGCTGAAAGATATTGGTAGAGTTCCATAAAAAGGGGAGCTATGGAAAAAAAGAACTCCAGATATCTTCATAGGGGTTTAATTAGGCTTTGCTGAATAATGAGCTGTGCAAGTGTAGAGAAAAACTCTGCACAGCTGAACAAAAAATGACAAGGAATTATAAGATGAATGATGCTAAAAGCTGACTAAGATTGGGGCTCATTCAAATGCCTATCAGTCAGAATGGACAGTCATTGCTCATTACTTGAAATAGAGACCCCAGGAGACTCATACCTTAGTGATATAGCTAAACTTGCCCTACATCCATGCTGTTGGAGCTTTTAAAAAAAGACTTGAATATATTAAACTGATCTGTCATTTTCTTAACTGCCTGCCATTACAAAGCTTAACAATCCATAAAAGAAGACAACAGAATCCAAGGGTTTAACAAGATAAAAGTCACAATGTCATAATTGTCTGAATCTAATCAAATATTAGTAGGCATGCCAACAAGCAGAAAAATGTGACTCATAATCAGAAGAAAAATCAGTCAATATGGGCCGGGCACAGTGGCCCACACCTGTAATCCCAGCACTTTGGGAGGCTGAGGCGGGCAGATCACTTGAGGTCAGGAGTTGGAGAGCAGCCTGGCCAACATGGTGAAACCCCATCTCTACTAAAAATACAAAAATTTAGCCAGGCATGGTGGCAGGCACCTGTAATCCCAGCTATTTGGGAAGCTGAAGCAGGAGAATCACTTGAACCCAGGAGGCAGAGGTTGCAGTGAGCTGAGCTCGCACCACTGCATTCCACCCTGGGAGACAGAGTGAGACTCCATCTCAAAAAAAAAAAAAAAAATTATACGGTGACAAGCTCAAGAACCTCAGAAAACACCAATAAAGATAAACACAAGGAAAAGCAAAGACATATGATAATCAAATGTTTTAAAACAATGATAAAGAGATTATCATAAGAAGGCAGACGGGGAAAAGATACATTATTTATATAGCAGAAAAGATAAGAATTACCACAGATATTTTACCAGATATTTTCCAGGCCAGAAGACAAGAAATAACTTTAAAGTACTTCAGGAAACAAACAAACAACAAAAACCCTTGCCAACTAGGAATTATACATTCAACAACAAAAAAAAGAATCCCTTAAAATAGAATAAAAGAGAGACTTTCTCAGATAAATAAAAGCTAAGAAAATTCTTTGCCCACAGCCTGTACTATAAGAAATATTTAAGGTCGGGCACGGTGGCTCAAGCCTGTAATCTCAGCACTTTGGTAGGCTGAGGCAGGCTGATCACCTGAGGTCAAGAGTTCAAGACCAGCCTGGCCAACGTGGTGAAACCCTGTCTCTACTAAAAATACAAAAATTAGCCAGGTGTGGTGGCATGCACCTGTAATCCCAGCTACTCAGGAGGCTGAGGCAAGAGAATGGCTTGAGCCAGGGAGATGGAGGTTGCAGTGAATCAAGATCGTGCCACTGCACTCCAGCCTGGACAACTGAGCAAGACTCTGTCCCAAAAAATAGAAAAGAAATATTTAAGGGTAATGATAGAAGAAAATGGTAGTAGATGAAAACTTGACCTTGCAGAAAAGAATGACAAATGATGAAAATGCTATATATTTACTTGGCAAATACAAAACTTTTTCTTATTCTAGTCTACATAAAAGATAATAAACTGTTTAAAGCAAAAATAACAGTATTGTAATGTTTATAAAGATATATAATAATATATGTAATATTTATAAAAATATGTAAACATATTACATATTTATATGTAATATATGTAACATGAATATATACTTATGTTTATATGTAATATATTTACATTTATAAAAATTTACATATTTATCTTTATATGTAATATGAATATATATTTATGTTAGGTTGGTGCAAAAGTAATTGCAGTTCTGCCTATAATTTTTAATGGCCAAAACCACAATTACTTTTGCACCAACCTAATATTACAAATAAAGATATATAATGTTTAAAAATACATAAAATATAGAAGTAAAATATAGGACAACAATAACACAAAACATAGAAAGGAAAAATGGAACTATACTGTTATATGAAAATAGTATAATGCCAGAAGTGGTATAGTGTTATTTGGTGTTGGAATGTAAAAAGTTAAAGATGCAAATTTAAATTTAAGGGCAAACACTAAAAACATAAAACAAAGAGAATTAGCTAGTAAGCCCAAAGTGGAGATAAATTGGATTCACTAAAAAATACAGAATGAGGAAAAAAAAAAAAAAAAAAAAAAGACAAAGAAAAGATGAGACAAATAAAAGAGGATACAAACAAATGGAAGAACATTCCATGCTCATGGGTAGGAAGAATCAATATCATGAAAATGGCCATACTGCCCAAGGTAATTTATAGATTCAATGCCATCCCCATCAAGCTACCAATGACTTTCTTCACAGAATCAGAAAAAACTACTTTAAAGTTCATATGGAACCAAAAAAGAGCCCGCATCGCCAAGTCAATCCTAAGCCAAAAGAACAAAGCTGGAGGCATCACGCTACCTGACTTCAAACTATACTACAAGGCTACAGTAACCAAAACAGCATGGTACTGGTACCAAAACAGAGATATAGAGCAATGGAACAGAACAGAGTCCTCAGAAATAACACCACATATCTACAACTATCTGATCTTTGACAAACCTGAGAAAAACAAGCAATGGGGAAAGGATTCCCTATTTAATAAATGGTGCTGGGAAAACTGGCTAGCCATATGTGGAAAGCTGAAACTGGATCCCTTCCTTACACCTTATACAAAAATTTTTTCAGGATGGATTAAAGACTTAAATTAAATGTTAGACCTAAAACCATAAAAACCCTAGAAGAAAACCTAGGCATTACCATTCAGGACATAGGCATGGGCAAGGACTTCATGTCTAAAACACCAAAAGCAATGGCAACAAAAGCCAAAATTGACAAATGGGATCTAATTAAACTAAAGAGCTTCTGCACAGCAAAAGAAACTACCATCAGAGTGAACAGGCAACCTGCAAAATGGGAGAAAATTTTCGCAACCTACTCATCTGACAAAGGGCTAATATCCAGAATCTACAATGAACTCAAACAAATTTACAAGAAAAAAACAAACAACCCCATCAAAAAGTGGGCAAAGGATATGAACAGACACTTCTCAAAAGAAGACATTTATGCAGCCAAAAGACACATGAAAAAATGCTCATCATCACTGGCCATCAGAGAAATGCAAATCAAAACCACAATTAGATACCATCTCACACCAGTTAGAATGGCAATCATTAAAAAGTCAGGAAACAACTGGTGCTGGAGAGGATGGGGAGAAATAGGAACACTTTTACACTGTTGGTTGAACTGTAAACTAGTTCAACCATTGTGGAAGTCAGTGTGGCCATTCCTCAGGGATCTAGAACTAGAAATACCATTTGACCCGCCATCCCATTACTGGGTATATACCCAAAGGACTATAAATCATGCTGCTATAAAGACACATGCACACGTATGTTTATTGCAGCACTATTCACAATAGCAAAGACTTGGAACCAACCCAAATGTCCAACAATGATAGACTGGATTAAGAAAATGTGGCACATATACACCATGGAATACTATGCAGCCATAAAAAATGATGAGTTCATGTCCTTTGTAGGGACATGGATGAAATTGGAAATCATCATTCTCAGTAAATTATCGCAAGGACAAAAAACTAAACACTGCATGTTCTCACTCGTAGATGGGAATTGAACAATGGGAACACATGGACACAGGAAGGGGAACATCACACTCCGGGGACTGTTGTGGGGTGGGGGGAGGGGGGAGGGATAGCATTAGGAGATATACCTAATGCTAAATGACGAGTTAATGGGTGCAGCACACCAGCATGGCACATGTATACATATGTAACTAACCTGCACATTGTGCACATGTACCCTAAAACTTAAAGTATAATAATAATAATAAAATAAAAATAAATAAATAAAAATAAAAATAAAAAAGATGAGACAAATAGTAAACACCAACATGTTAGATTTTGACCCCATTATGTCAATGATCACATTAAATATAAATTGCCTGAGTACTCCAAATAAAGGCACAGTGTATAAGACTGGACTAAATTTTTAAAACATTTTTACATGTCACCTGGGGCCAAGGGATTGGCTCAACCTGCCTGCCACCACCAGTATCCACATGTACCATTTAGGGACCCGAGGACAGGTTAATCTTACCTGCTGCAGGAGCCTGTGTACATTGTGTGGGGACCTAGAAATCAATTTACCTCACCCATCACAAGCACCATCCACATACCACCTGGGGGCCTGAGGATAGGCCCATCTGTCTACCACTGGCACCACTGGTGCCTGAGGACCAGCTTGCCTGGTGTCCTCACACAGACAGCAAAGCCTCACCACAGACTCCACTAACAATTGCAGTCTGTCACTGGGGAACTCACAGACACCACTGATGTTAATTACAGCCAAAGAAATCATGATGAGACTATACTACTGTGCCTACCCAGCATTAAAGACAAAGCACCCCACCTATTCAACACTGTAGGTCCATCTATAGAAAAATGTTCATCCCTACGAAAGCCAACTCATAGAACTGGAAGAAGTAACTGTTATACCAGATGTCAGATATCAACGTAAAGACACAAGGAACATGAAAAAGAAAAAAAAAATGACACCTTCAAGAAATCACAATAATTCTCTGATAATAGATCATTTAAAAAGGAAATGTATGAAATACCCGAAGAAGTATTCAAAATAATGATATTAAGGGAACTCAGAAAGATATAAAAGAACATAGATGAATAATACAAAGAAATCAAGAAAACAATTTACAATCTGAATAAGAAATTCAACAAAGAATTATATACCATAAAAAAGGACCAAATAGAAATCCTGCACCTGAGAAATTCAATTAATGAAATAGAAGTACCGTCAAGAGCTTCAACAATAGAGTAAATAAAGCAGAAGAAAAAATTTCTGAACTTGAAGACAGGTATTTTGAAACAACCTAGTCAAGCAAAAAAGAATAAAAAAGAAATAGAGTGGAAAAGAAAAAAAAAGAATGAAACCTATGTGACATATAGGGCACAACAAAGTGACCAAATATTCTAATTATTGGTGTTCCAGGAAGATAAAAGATGAGCAAAGACATAGAAAACCTATATAATGAAATAGTATTTTAAAACTTCTCAAATATTGCAAGCAATATAGCCATCCAGACACAGAAAGCTAAAAAATTTCCAAAAAGAGTCAACCCCAAAAGGTCTTCTTCAGGGCACATTATACTTAAACTGTCAAAAGTCAAAGACAAAGAGAGACTTCCAAAAACGGAAAAAGTATCAAGCCATGAATCAGGGGATTCCCATCAGACTAACAGGATTTCTTGACAGAACTCTTACAGACCAGGAGAGAATGGGATGATATGTCCAAAATGCTAAACAAACAAACAAACAAAAAACCTGTCAGCTAAAAAATACCATTCCCAACAAAGCCATCCTTCAAAAATGAAAAAGATATAAAGTCATTCCCAGACAAGCAAAAACTGCTAGACTAGCCCTACAAGAAATGCTAAGTAAGTCCTCCACATGGGAGAAAAAGACAATATCTACCATCATGAAAATATAAAATTTACTTGTAGAGCAGATACAAAAATAAGAAAGAGAAAGGAATTAAATGTTTCACTACAAAAATCTCCAAATCATAAACATAAATAATAAAAGAGGAAGAAAGGAACAAAGGATATAAAAACAATCAGAAAACAATTAACAAAATGTCAGGAGTAAGTCCTCATCAATAACGAACTTGAATGTAAACAGTTTAAATTCCTCAACTAAAAGTTATAAACTGGCTTCATAGAAAACAACAACAACAAAAAACCAAGACCCAACTATATGCTGCCTGCAAGAACTCACTTCACCTATAGACACATACACAGAAAGTAAAAAGATGAAAAAAGTATATTTCATTTAAATGAAAATTCAAAGCATGCAGGAGCAGCTACACTTATATCAGAGGGCATAATTTCCAAGTAAAAAAATAAAAAGTAAAAAGAGACAAAGAAGATCATTATGTAGTGATAAACATATCAATTCAGCAACAGGATATAACCACTGTAAATAAATATGCACTTAACTGGAGTACCCAGAACTTTAAAGCAAATGTTATCAGAGCTAAAGAGAGAGAAGACCAAATTTAAAATGAAACATCAGACATAATCTGTCTGATGGGTCAAATGAAACTAACAGACATTTAAAGAGCATTTTATCTATCAGCTGCAGAATACACACTCTTCTCATCAGCACATAGAACATTCTTCAGGATAAATCATATGTTAGGCAACAAAACTTGTACAACAAATTTTTAAAACTCGAAATCATATCAAGTGTCTTCTCAGACCACAATGGAATAAAGCTAGAGATCAATAAAGGGGAACTTTGGAAACAGTACAAATATATGAAAATTAAGCAGCACCTTCCAGAATGACCATTGGGTCAATGAAGAAATTAAGAAGAAAATTAAAAAATTTTTTGAAACAAATGAAAATAGAAACACAATATACCAAAACCTTTGGGATACAGTAAAAACAGTGCTAAGAGAGATGTTTGTAGCAACAAATATGGACATTAAAAAAGTAGAAATATTTCAAATAAACAGCCTAGTGATACATCTGAAAGAACTAGAAAAGCAAGAAAAAACCAAACCCAAAGTTAATAGAAGGAAATAAATAATAAAGATCAGAGCAAAGCTAAACAAAATAGAGACTAAACAAAAGAAATACAAAGGACCAATGGAAAAAAAAATGTTGTTTTTTTTTTTTTTTTGCAAAGATAAAGAACAATGATAAACTACTAGCTAGGATAACCAAGAAAAAACAGAGAAGACCCAAATAAATAAAATCATAAATGAAAAAGAATACATTACAACTGATACCAAAGAAATATAAAGAATCATTAGAGACTATTATGAATATATGCTAACAAATTGGAAAACATAAAACTGGATAAATTCCTGGACACATACAGCCTACTAAAACTGAACTAGGAAGAAATAGAAAACTAGAACAAACCAATAACAAGTAACAAGATTGAGTCAGTAATAAAGTCTCCCAACAAAGAAAGGGCCTGGACCAAATGGTTTACTGCTGAATTCTACCAAACTCAATAGAGAAGAACTAACACTTATTTCTCTAGAATTATTTCAAAGAATTTAAGATGAGGGGATTGTTCCTAACTCATTCTTTTAGGTCAATATTGCCCTGAAAATCAAATCAGTCTAGGACACAACAACAACAAAAAGAAAAGTATAGATAATATCCCTGTGAAATCAGTTGGCCAAAATAGCCAAAGCAATCCTGAGCAAAAAGAACAAAGCTGTATGCATCACACTATCTGACTTCAAAATATACTACAGTGCTATAGAAAGGAAAACTGCATGGTATAGGTATGAAAACAGACACACAGACCAATGAAACAGAATAGAGAAACCAGAAATAAATCCACATATTTATAGCCAACTGATTTTTGACAAAGGCAACAAGAACATACATTTGAGAAGTGACATTCTCTTAAATAAGTGGTGCTGGGAAAACTGGATAGCCATGTGCAGAAGAATGAAACAACCCCTATCTCTTACCACATAGAAAAATTAACTAAAAATGGATTAAAGACTTAAATGTAAGACCCAGAACTATAAAACTACTAGAAGAAAACATAGGGAAAACACTTTAAGACATTGGTCTTGGCAAATATTTTATGGCTAAAACATCAAAAGCACAGACAACGAAAACAAAAATAGACAAATGGAACTATGTTAAACTAAAAATCTTCTGCACAATGAAGGAAACAATCAACACATTGAAGATACAACCCATAGAATGGGAGGACATACCTACAAAATATTTATTTGATAAGAAACTAATATCCAGAATACACAAGGGGCTCAAACAACTCAACAGCAAGATAATGAATAACCCCATTAAAAAGTGGGCTAGGGCCAGGCACGGTGGCTCACGCCTGTAATCCCAGCACTTTCGGAGGCAAAGGCAGGTGGATCACCTGAGGCTGGGAGTTCAAGACCAGCCTGACCAACAAGGAGAAACCCCATCTCTACTAAAAATACAAAATTAGCTGGGCATGGTGGTGCATGCCTGTAATCCCAGCTACTAGGGAGACTGAGGCAGGAGAATCGCTTGAACCCAGGAGGTGGAGGTTGCAGTGAGCCGAGATAGTGCCATTGTACTCCAGCCTCCAGCCTGGGCAACAAGAGTGAAACTCTGTCTCAAAAAGAAAAAAAAAAAAAAGTGGGCTAGAATTCTGAATAGACATTTCTCAAAAGAAGACATAAAATGGCCAATAAATACATGAAAAGAAGAAAAAGCTCAACACCACTAGTCATCAGGGGAATGCAAATCAAAACCACAATGAAATATCATCTCACCCCAGGTACAATGGATATTATTTAAAAGACAAAAAATAACAAATGCTGATGAGGATGTGGAGAAAGGGGAATTCTTATACACTATTGGTGGGAATGTAAATTACTACGGCCATTATGGAAAACAGTACAGAAATTTCTCAAAGAACTAAAAATAAAACTAATATGCAATCCAACAATCCCACTACTAGGTCTTATAGGTAAGAAAAGTATATCAGCCTATCAAAGAGATACCTACACCTCCATGTTTATTGCAGCACTATTCATAACAGACAAAATATAGAATAAATCTAAGTGTCCAACAATGGATAAATGAATAATGAAAATGTGGCATATATAAGCAATGGAATATAAACTTATGACTTATTTCGGCCAATAGAATGCAGCAGAAGTTATGGTATGTGAGTTCTGAGACAAGAACTCAAGAGGCCCTATTCACTCCTGCTCTTTCTAGGAGCCCTGCCTCGATTATGTATGCAAGCCTGGAATAGACTGTTGAGCGAAAGAGCCATGTGGGACGGTTGTCATGGATAACAAATCACATGGAAGAGAGCCCAGTTGTTCTGGCCAAGGCCGTTTTGGACCAACCTGCAACCAACAAACCCCTAATCATCCGAAAGAGCCCACCTGATCAAGCAGAACCATCCACTTGATCTGCGGTTGAAGAAGAAGTAAGCTTAACCGAGATCCATCCAATCCCACAGAGATCAGTAGAACCATGCAGCTGCCCATAGATTCATAGTAATATATGCTTATCTATTTGAGTTTGGAAGTGGGGAGTCATTAGACAGCAATAGCTAACTGATAGTTTATATTGATATTCGATATATATTACCGAAAATCTTGAATGAATTCTAATGAAATTATTTTTGACATATTTTCTTAAATCTAATGTTATCTTAACTACTCAAAAGAAATTAGAGAAGATAAGCCTATTAGAATGTATATTTCCAATTATTTTCTTTTTAAGGATATTAATAACGTTAACAAATGGTGCTTGAAAATGATCTTGTGGGGTTTTTCTCCCCTCTACTGGCTATTTGCATAACATTATAAGCAATCTGCCCCGTGTCTTGGAATTAGTGTGAATGACATGGTATAAATGCTTCAAAATCTTCCAAGTCTAGGCCTGAAAACCTGGCATCTTGCATCACAAGCAACGCTTCCTAGACCAAGAGGTTTTTTTCTGAATAGCAACTCTAGGAAACTTTCTTGCTTGGATCATGTTACCACGACAACAGTCCCACATGGCTTTTTAGCTCAAGTTCGTTCTTTTAATTAGAGGACTGAGATTCCTCTTCCTCTCCAACCACTTCCCCTAGGAAAATTTTCCAAACATTTCTGGCTCTTCTTTTACCTTTGGGTGTTTGCATGATGCGAGGAGGAATTTGCTAATTAGAACATCTTAGTGTTTGGTAACGGCTTTTGCAATTTTGAGAGAGCATTTGTAGAGCTGATTTTCTTAAGGTAGTTTTTTCCCCCAAAGTGGTAATCCCATGGTCTATGTCTATGCAACAACTTCCCTTTCTGCAAAAGGGATTTAGAAGTGGCCTCAAATAGGGGGCCAGGTATCCATATTGGCAAGGTGGAGTTAAGAGTGTAGAATCGTACTGAACTGCGATTCTTCCTTAACGCTGATGGCTACAGTATAATCTTTATTAATTCATTCAACAAATGTTTTCTGACCACATTCTAGCTATATCACCAAATATGATGATAAACTGGAGACTATAACGAACAAGACCCTATCTTCATGGAGTTTAAACTATAAACTACAGAATGTGACAAGTGCAGTATGCAGGAAAATCAACTTACCTATCTGGTTTGCATTTCCTGCCCTCTAAAATGACTTTAATCTTACTACTGCCATCTGTGCATCATGTGAGGTTTTGGTGAAGAAATTCTTGAAAACGTCCGTTGGGATTGTACTTAGCTATGAGGAACAGAAAACCTAAATAGAATTTTATTGTTCTCAGGTAACAAAAAATCTAGAAGTAGATAATTGCTGGTATTGTTTTAGTGGCTCCACATTGGGAAAGTCTCTTGACTTTTCCCTCAGAGTCGAAATATAGCTGCTTGTTCACAGCAAGATGAAGTGAATAACAGCCAGATTAATCTATCTCTTTTGTTAGTAAAAGAGTAAAAGCTGCTTTGGAACCTACCCCAATAACTTTGAATTAGATATTATGGTCCAGAATGCATCACAGGGTCACTGCTCGCTTTAGAAGAAGCTGTGAATATGCGTTCTTAGCTTTTCCAGCCTCTAAAGGGTGGGAGGAGAGGGTTTCAAATACATTCTGGATCTGCCAAACTAATGGGCTGGCCACAAACATTTAACTCAAGCATGGAATACAACTGGCCTTCAGTGCCTGTTAGTTATCTATTTCTTTACGTTTTCCTGAAGTTCTAGAGACAGAAGGATTTTCTAGATGCAGTAGGCTGATGCAGGGAGCCAGGAAATTGGATTTTCATTGACGCCATCAATTTAGGATCAGCCAGCAATTTTCTGGGACTGAGCATAACTGCTCAGAGAATTTTAAATAAAAAGGCAACTACATCCACATGATATGAGAAAATGTCATTTACAAGAGAAGGATCAATACTATATATAGATTAATGGTTCATGAATTGCAGATTGTGGACTATTTGGAAGCCTCAAGAATGTGTTGGGATGCTGCAACTGTGCGCACGTGACCTTTTAATTTCGTGTTTTTAAATAATAATACCACTTCCAAATTAACATAAGGATATGTTGGATTGTGTGGATGATTTCTGCATTAGTCAGATTAGATTAAGTTATTCTGCTACAACAAATAACTTGCAAATCTCAGTGGTTAACAAAGCCAAGGTTTATTGCTCACTGGAGGGTGAAGGGTTGGGTCAGTGATAGAGGCTGCTTCCTTTGTATGGAAGTATCTAGACATTTTCCCATTATGCACATTGGGTACTGCACACTGTTTCTTGTTTCTTCCATTCACATTTCATTTGCCAAAATGTGTCCAACGATACAGCTAGCTTCATGCAGGTGGGAAACCTGTGATCTTCCTGTATGTTTCAGAATGGGGCCAAGAACTGAAGATGTAGTGGTAGTAATGTCTGTAACAGTTATTATGCATGTAAGCACTATTACTCATTTTCAGTACCATAGTATGGTACTGACTGAGTTGAGATCAAGTAATGTTACCTTAATATTTTAGGGAAAGAAGTGGGCATAATGTGTAAATGATCCAGTCACACTAATAGGTGCTATAAAATATCATAGTACGCTAAGGAAATGAGCAGTTCAGATAGAAAAAACAAAGTGGTGGGAAAATAGAGTCATGACCTGGCATGAGCTACTACAGCCACGCTAAACTCAGAAAAAGCTTTGCTTCTAGCTGTTATTCCATTCACTTGTGAGCAGAATTTGGAATTCAGCAAAATAACATCATGTATTATATCATGTTAATGTTTTCAACTTTAGCTTTATTGGTTTTATGGTTTTATTTGACATTAACTTGTAAATTTCTTGTGCTTTTATAGTTGTATATGAGAAATAAAAATAAGATAACTGTCATGTTTATTAAATAACATAATAAAAGCAATTTAAACTAACACAAGGGGATCTACATCTTTTCTATAAATGGTCCCTAAATTTTCTAAAAGTTGGAGACATATTGCATAAATTGTTCAAAGATCACTCAAAATCACCAAACCAAGATCTCCTGAATACATTGAAATCCCTGTTTTATCATGCAATACAAGGCACAGGTTATGTAGTATGTAGAGCCCAAGTTCGAAGTTAAAAAGGCGGTTTAAATGCAAGTATCAGCATTTGTCATATATGGAAACTTGAACAAGTATTTTTTGCTCAAAAAAACTCTGAGCATGAATTTACACATGCCTAAAAGGGGAGTAGCAGCACTATGTGATTAACCAATCTCATAGGATATGGCAGAGATTGAATGAAATAACATATGTGCCAGGGACTACATGTCCTGTATCAATAACTGCATATCCAGTATCAACAGTAGCAGCCATCGTTATTGTTATTATTATTACAAGTCTCAGAGGGGGTGAAAACCTCTCAATGAACTCGTCTTTGGATGAATTGGACCAGCAGCCTTCTGATGGATGAATTCCATGCCTTCCCTCACGTCTAGAAATATATCACCTAGATTTCCCCCAAATAGATCAATAAAGCCCAAACTGAAGTGGAAATATGGCAATTTTCAGAGGTACTTAATTAAAGGAATGAGTCAAGTCAGGTCATTAACATCCTGCATTCAGAAGAAACAATCATTGCAGGAGTGGAAAGTCTAGCCCCAGAAATTACACAGAAAGCGTAACTGTTCTTTTCATGTTTCTGAAAAGTTGGTTTTCGAATTAGATCTTCATAACACTCTACACAATTTATTACTGAGCAAAACCGTGGTGGTTGGAAACTTTGATTTCACTGCTTCCTTAAAATTACTTTGTCCATTTTACTCTTCTGGGGGTTTCATGGAATTGTGAAAAGAAAATGTTACAAAGCAAAAACCAGAATTTAAAGGACTTATTCAGAAGAACTTCATGCTAGTGGAGTTTTTGTTGTTGTTATTTCTCTTCCCCTGAAAACATTCTTCTCTTCTATATAGCTGCCTTATGGAGCCACCGTGAGACATAATTCCACTTAGGTATATAAATATTTATAACTTAATGTGCAGAACACTGCAATAATAAAACGTAGGAACATTTTTAAAAACGTCAATGACTTTAATTTGGTGCTGGCAATTAGAATTTTCAAAACACAGAGGCTTTGAATATATGAGTACCTCAATTGATCTCCAATGAACCATCTTTCATAAGCATATGCATCTTTTACGCTTTGTAAACACCAAAGGTCTTGAAAAACAATTGCTCAACAAATATTTTTTTGATGACGCTTTCTCATTACGACAGACCCAAATCATAAGGTAATCATCAACTAATGAATCTCTTCCTCAGCTTAGAATTTTGGATGAAACTTTCCATGTCAAGAATTTTGTTCGTAACATTGAAACTCAAATAATTTTATGTATAAGTACAGCTTTCAAAAAGCAATTGGTAATAAAAGTAGCAAATGCTTCACATTATTCTCAACATAATTTTCAAATTTGATTTTCCAGTGTAAAACTCAAGGCAAAACAAAAACCAATCATCCAGCTAATTGCTGTGAAATACAAAGTCATCTTTCCACTGATTTATTTTGTAATATGGTTTGGTTTTATTTACCTGTGATGTACTCAAAACATTACAACTTGTTTATTCTTATGAAAATTAATAATAAATGGAGTCTTAATCTGGGGGCTAGAGAATCAGACTCCTTCTGGCTTGTTTACAAAATGATCTGTCATCCTTTCCTGAGAAGCAAGTAAAATGCTTGCTCAAAGGCTGAAAGAAGGTTGGTTGGTAATCTCTAACATGAGGAAATCTGTGCTATTCAATTGAGCCAGATAGCTGTTTCAATCACAAGTTGAACTTTGTAAATGAAAAGAGTTCAACTCTGCAAAATATTTGAAGAGATTTATTCTGAGCCAAATATGAGTGACCATGGCTTGTGATACAGCCCTCAGGAGACCCTGAGAACATGTCCTCAAGGTGGTCAGGGCTCAGCCTAGTTTTATACATTTTAGGGAGACATGAGACATCAATCAAATACATGTAAGCTATACATTGGATTGGTCCAGAAAGGTGGGGCAATTTGAAGCAGGGAGGGCCTCCAGGTTTTCAGTAGATTTAAAAATCTTCCGATTGGCAATTGGTTGAAAGAGCAATTATCAATAAAAAGGAATATCTGGGTTACGATAAGGGGTTGTGGAGACCAAAGTTTTATCATGCAGATGAAACCTCCAGGTAACAGGCTTCAGAGAGAATAGACCATAATGTTTCTTATCAGACTTAAGGTCTATGTCAATATTAAATGCTGGTCTGCTTTTTCTGAATTTCAAAAGGGAGGAGGGTATCGTAAGGCCTGCCTGACCCTTCCTTCCTATCATGGCCTGAGCCAGTTTTTCAGGTTAACTTTGGAGTGCCCTGGCTGAGAGGAGGGGCCCATTTAGATGACTGGGGAGACTTAGAATTTTATTTTTGGTTTACAACTTTTTTAAAAATAGTGTAAGATAGATTTGACTCAATAGTTATATTTCTCCCTTGAAATTGATGACAATTAACAAGATATTTTAATGTTATTGTGTCTAAAAATCTCCCTTTTCCTTGGTCACATATTACAATTCCAAATTCCTTCTTAAAAAAATAATAATAATTTGGAAAGTTCTGTTGCTAACAAGAAAGCGTTCAGGAGCCTATTTCTCCTGGGGTTCATAAATGTAAGTGAGAAAAAAAATTCACCTATGTTTTCATAAAGTCATTATAAAATAGCAAATTCTTCTGCTTGCAAAAGTATATGTTTAATTTAATATCATAATTATACAATTTAAAACTCACAAAGGCAGGATATTTTACACTCTTTTATTATAAAATATACATTGAGAAAAGTGCATCAAACATGTACTTACATATAGTTCATTTGTTATAAAGTGAACCCCTATGCAACCACACAGTCAGTGCCCCAGAAGCCCCTGTTTATCTTTTCTTAAAATTTATCCCAGCCCCTCCTACCCGCCATTAGCCTGACTTTCTGTAAAACAGCAAATTCCTAATGAGCTCTGTTGAGAGACTGCCATTCAAGTGACTCCTTAGCATTTCCCAGTTATCAACACCATGTTTCCGTCCAAAGGCACATGCAATTTTAAAAGGTTATGAAACTACCAGTCCAGGACATACTTCCATAAACTCATTCATTTCCATCCAAATGCTGGAAAACCATCCTTTAATCAGAATATATTGCACCGTGAGGTGACGGTGGATTTGTTATACTGATTATCACATTGCATTAGAGAGTATGTGTATGTGGAGTAGAGTATGGTCTTCCTTAACAGGTTATGAACCCCACAGAGAAGGATCGTCCTTATTAATCTTAGTCCACCTGGCTTCTCACCCAGCACCTGGAATAGAATGCGTATGCAAATGTTTTGCAAATGAAATGAGTCAAGAAATACTTATTGAGTGCCTGTTGTGTGCTAGGCATCATTCTAGGCATAGGGAATATAGTAATGAACAAAAGAAACTGGTTTCTTGCTGTCATTGAATCTATATTCTAGTGGAAATGACAGATAGTAAATTCTTAAATGAAGAAGAAAAAATATCACATAGTGATAAGTGTCCTGCAGAGAATTAAAATAGGATAACATGCAAGAGCACTGGTTCTCAAAGAATGATCTCCATATCAGCCACATTGGCATCACTCAGGAATTTGTTAGAAATGCTGATTGTCAGGCCTCACCCCAGATCTGCTGAGTCTGGAACTCTGGTGGGGGAGCCCAGCAGACTCTGCTCTAACAAGCCCTCCAGTCATGGGAAGATCAGGAGGGAAGCATTCCAGGCAGAGGAACCAGATAGTGCAAATCCCAAGACAGAAACACACATAGTTAAGTTCAAGGAAAAGCAAAAAGGCCACTGTGGCTGAAGTAGGGCAAGTAAAACCTGGAGTGGAACACTGGATTTGACAGATAAGGAGAAAAACCTCTTTTCTGGCCTTATAGGCCATGGCAGTGTCTTTGGATTTGATTCTCACATAGATGAAATGCCTTGATTCTCACAGTTTTAAGTAGAATAACATGGGTTGGCTGCTGGACAAAAAACTGAATGCATACAAAATGCATATATATGTGTGTGTGTGTGTGTGTGTGTGCATCGATGCAATATATATGTATATATGCAATACACATGTATATATATTGCATGTATAGTACATGCACATGTAAGTATACGTTATATATATAAATTTTGTATACATTATGTATACATGTAAAGTGTATGTGTGTATATATGTATATATACTTATACATGTATACATACATATACATATATGCAATGTGTGTATATGTTGTATGTATAGTGCATGCATATATAC
The DNA here is from genome assembly GCF_000001405.40 of Homo sapiens. Classification (NCBI taxonomy): domain Eukaryota; kingdom Metazoa; phylum Chordata; class Mammalia; order Primates; family Hominidae; genus Homo; species Homo sapiens. The sequence continues at coordinate 54,362,021 of NC_000020.11, read as the reverse complement.
ATATACATATGTATACTTATATATACTTCTATATATATATGTATACATGTAAGGGGTGTGTGTGTGTGTGTGTGTGTGTGTGTGTGTGTCCGTATAAAATTGTTAAGCTTCCTTTGCCCAAACAACTGTTTTTGTTTTTGTTTTTTCTTTTCCCCCAAAGCAAGTTGGTTTACTAGCTTGAGACAATCAGTTTGGAAAACAGTTTGATGCTACCACTTTCCATACTATGAGAGCTGAACTTGCTTTGGAGCAAGACCTCTGCGGTGGAAGTTATTCCTGGTTAGCTATCCCGTAGCTCTTGCAGGGTTTCATAAATACTGCCTGCCAAAGTACTCCTTATGAAACTGGCAGCAAATCTGTGGTGAATGGATAAAGAGGAAGGGTGATGCCAAACTAAGGAAGAACAGAGATGAAAAATATTTTGATTTCATTCATATGACATCATTTGGTTGCCATAATGCCAGATCTTGAGCTTTCAAGGGAAAGAGGGGGAGTACAGAGTTCCATGTATGAAATTTTTAAAAAAGATTTTAATTAATAACTATCAAAACTACCAGCTTATTACCATCACACTAAGAAAACTTAAAATTGCAAGTAGATAGTCAATAGGCCTAGCCCCCTACTAATGCAAAAATAATTAAACATGCTTATTTACTAAGAGCAAATTTATAATAACACTTAATGCCTTATTTTCCTATGCCATTTGTAATCATCTTTCACTAAAGTAGTTGCTATTCTTCCAAAATACAGCATCTCTCACACTATAGAAGGCAGAAGCATGGACAACTTATGAGCCTAGAAATCCTAATTTTATTCTGATAGTTGCTCTAATGAATAATTTACATACTAATGTTAATTGGATGAATCAATAATTTTTCTCATGTGGCAAGACTGTCATTAAAATAGTTCATCCTAAGGACATTGGCCCATTTCTTTGCAGGTCTATCTGGCAGTAGATTTGAGACACCATCAGTTTGTACCTCTTGTCTCTTTTCTAGCTCTGCTATCCATTAAAAGTAAATTCCAGCACGTTTTTTCCTTCTACACATTTGCATGTAAATTAAAGCTTTCTTTTAGTAGTAGAAAATTTCTCTCTTTTTATTCTAATTTACTGGCCAGTTAATAGGTTCTTGCATATTTGTTTTCCAATTCACGGTTCCACTCATTAAAAATAAAACCCTTTGAATGTTATTTGGTTAGAGATAACTTGAAAGAAATTTGTAAAAATAGTGTAAGTTTTTAAAAGATCATTTACTTTGATTGGAAGAAACACATGGAAGCATTTCAGAACTTCGTTTTTAAATAAAAAATTCAAAAGTGAAAATAAAAACTTAATTTATTGGTAAGCAAGTGGATTCTATTATTGCTATTACCTACTTTTTGCTTAGAACTTCATTAAATTTTCATTAATATTTTATACTGTCTCATAGAGTTATCCTAAAAAGAGGTCACTGCATTAAGGCCTATGCATCTATCATTTCTTGTTATATGATGAATAAATGATTTCTTGATTACCTACTACGATAAAAAAATAATAATCCCTGATGATGAGTTATTTACAAGCAAATTAGGAAGATGAGATAATTTCTAAAAGATAATGAATACCACGAGGGGGGATGTTACTATGCAATTTGATTTACAAACTTAATTTACAAATTTAATTACTGTCACTGGTCACCAGGCCCATAACCACAGCACCCCGCCCCAAAAAAAAATGCACTCCTCTCAGTTAAAACATTTTGTGCACGTTTCAATACATGTATAATCATTTATTTTATATATATAACACTGTTATATTGTACTATGCACATGTTTGACTAAATTTAAAATAGGACTTTTAAAATGATTTGATAAAGAGTGAAGTAACAAATATCTTAGTTATAATTTTATTTTATATATTCATGATAAAACATTCTTTTCCAACTAACATATTGTTAGTATTTTATGGGGAACAACATGATTGAATATGCCTTAATGTTTTTTAAAATGCAAGCTGAACCGTGATTTTAAAGGTCTAAGTTAAACGTTGGCTTTTTATGGCAGTCAAGAGTTACAAAGACATCTTAAAAAGATAACATGGACCCAAATAGAAGAGGGACATCAGTGGACATGTATCCTAAATGTTGATATTTATTTTCAGACCCAACTGCCAATTGTGCAGCATCGTTCAAAACTGGTAAATTTGCATCTTCCTCAATGTCAGTTCATTGTTTTGTAAATTAAATGACAAATGCCTTTTGGTTTTTAAACAAAAGGGTACATAAACCTACTAAAACTCTTCTTCAGAAAGATTTTTTTCGTGAGATAGAAATTCTGTTTCCCTTGGGTATATATCCAGTAATGGGATTGCTGGGTTGAATGGTATTTCTGTCTTTAAGTCTTTGGGGAATCACCACACTGTCTTCCACAATGGCTGAACGAATTTGCACTCCTACCAAGAGTGTATGAGAACACATGGACACATACAGGGGAACAATAAACACTGGGGCCTTTTGGAGGGTGGAAGTAGGGAAAGGATCAGGAAAAATAAATAATGGGTAGTAGGCTTAATGGTGATGAGGCCAGACACGGTGGCTCACACCTGTAATCCCAGCACTTTGGGAGGCCGAGGCGGGCAGATCACAAGGTCAGGAGATCGAGACCATCCTGGCTAACACGGTGAAACCCCGTCTCTACTAAAAATACAAAAAAAATTAGCCGGGTGTGGTGGCGGGCACCTGTAGTCCCAGCTACTAGGGAGGCTGAGGCAGGAGAATGGCGTGAACCCGTGAGGCGGAGCTTGCGGTGAGCCGAGATCGCGCCACTGCACTCCAGCCTGGGAGACAGAGCCAGATTCCGTCTCAAAAAAAAAAAAAAAAAAGTGATGATTAATAGGTGATTAAATAATCTGTACAACAAACCCTCATGACGTGTTTACCGATGTAACAAACCTGCCATGTACCCCTGAACTTAAAACAAAAGTTAAAAAAAAAAGAAATTCTGTTTCTATTTTTTATTTTTAAGGATATAGATCGGTTCCCTCCATCTACTCACCCACACATCCATTTTTAAAGGCTCCTCTCAACAAAACATGTTTCTTTTGAAGAGCATGTTGCTTTTCACTGTTAAAATATCGCCTTTACCTTGCATGGACATTCTAAGCTTCCCCACATGCCCCCAAATCTGAATTTCAGGCCGAATGTTCTGCCCGATTTCTTTTAACCTTGAAACATGGGTGAGGAATAGTTGACAGTAGGACTAGGAGCTGCACTGTGCTGGTGCTGGTTTGCTGTGTGCCTGGGCTTACGTTATCATTGCTATTTTCAATCTGCATTTTCTTTTCAGGAATCTTATTAAGTCTTCTGTAATTTTATGAGGGTATGTCTAATTAAAATGAGGTTGCATTGTCCACACATCCACTTCACAGTGCAAATGTAATCTGCAATGCGTTGCGTTGGGCAGCAGTGAATCAAAGAGCCCAGATGTGGCTAGGGACCACTCTGCACCAAGCAATTTCATCTCTTCTTTACTTCACCTTGCACAGGGTGCCAGATGAATGATCTCCTAGGCTCAGAACTGGGGGAAAACACCATGTTGACTTGTGTAATAATTATCGGCAAAGGCCAGTTACCTTCCTGTTTTATATAAACGTAAGTGTAAATAAAACTGCACTACTTTGCTCCCGCACCTCCCTGGCTCTCCTGAGTCTTTGTTAGGATGCTGTGTGTACTCCACTGAGGAGCTGTCATAGCAGAAGGCAGAGAAAATGGGCTTCTTTTCCTGGCTTTTGAATTTCAAAAACCTAGTTCTTGAGGGAAGAGAAAAGACTCTCTTCTCGCTCTGAGTATGAACCACAACTTGGGGAAGCAGATGACGAATAAAAGCGCAGCTTCCCCTCCCATCAGTACAAAACACTTCTTTAAGCAGTGGAAGAGAGACAATCAGAAGGGAATCAAGAAGAAAGGTGACTTCAGGGAGCCCCTGAGAGACAGCCCTGGGCCCTGCTCCTCAAGTAGATTAGTGGGATGCTAGAAAAGAGAGCACCTGGACCGTGGGACACATGATTTTTACCTTAGGCACACACTTCAGGACTCTAAGATGTAAATCCACTGTATCGTAATATCTGCACTCTTTTAAACATTTCCTGAAACTTCCTATACAGACGCACTGGAATTTTACTTTTAATCCTTTTGTATATGCTACCCCAAATTCCAGGATTCGGAAAGCAGGCATTAAACTCAAATAATTTGAAGACCACTTTAATACATTCTTAAAGCATACTTGTTAAATTATCAGTCAAAAACCATGTCTAATTTTAGTCACTTAGCATCTCTAAGACTCCAATGTTTAGAAAATCTGTAGCACGAAAAATCCATAATAAGAATGATTTGTGTATGGAAGATGAAGCATTGGGCAAAGGACTCCTAATTTTCATTGGATTGGGTTTGTTTTTAAACTTACAAAAAAACGGTGGGGGGAGGTAATAGATGTTGGGCTGAGGTATTTACCATGGACTTTTCTTTTTTGCTTTAATGCTAAAAATGATTAATCAAATTTGGCCAGTTAACATCATGAACATGTGATTTTCCTCTTTGCACCGGTCTCTTAGGAAACTTTAGAAATGCTACTTGCCTTGCAACCCAGTTTTCTTTACTAATCCGTCTTAATTGTGTCATCGGCCATGTAGCTAAATTGCCTGTGGACATATGTGATCACCAGGCTAACCTGTTCAAATGGCAGGTTAACTATGCTCTGTCCCCTGCATGATCAGCTACTCAAATGTGAAAGGATGTCTTTGCAAAATTGAAAGCATGCCACTCAAGTAAAATTAATGGATGTAAATATGAACTCTTCTGGACAAATTGCAAAGACAAATTGTGGGCTAGTGAAAAATCTTCAAAGTATCTTGCATGTTTGCTAGAAGATAATTGGAATGACCTAGCTACAGGGATGTTTTGTAATTGTTGCTACTGAGTAGTCTCTGAGAAGTCCAATAATATCCTCTTAAAACACACCAGAGAGCAAAGATGAACACCATCTGGCCTGCTTTCCAAAACAGTTGGTCATCACAGCTGATGTTAATTTGAACATTCATTTCTTCTGAAATGAGGTGGGGGCTGTATTCTTGCTCTCCAACAATGTCCTTAAGTTCCAGTCTTTGATTCATGCATCAGCCTTTCTGTTGCTGCCAATGTTTATTTTGTTTAAACATGAATTTAATTTAGCATATTTGTAATAACTAAGTAATTTATGCTCATAAAAATATTCAGATAACAAAGGAAAATAGAAAGAAATGAATAAATACTATCCATAATCCCACCACTCAGGAATAATGTTCTATTTTTACATGTCCATCTATAGGCCTATGTTTATCTTTCTAATTTAAATATAATTTAAATAAAAATGAAATTACATTTACTGGTTTTTTGACTTATCTTTACTTAATACTAAATATCATGAATATTTTCCTGTCAATAAAAATAAAATAGTAATTGTTATGGTTGTATAAAGTATATGGGTGGTTTGGAATATATTAACTAATCTCATATGGATATGCATTAGGCTATTTTTAAAATTTTTCTATATTAGGCATCCTTTTCTAATATTTATTTTTAATTTATTTTAATATTTTAAGTTCCAGGGTACATGTGCAGGATGTGCAGGTTTGTTACATAGGTAAACATGTGTCATGGTGGTTTGCTGCACCCATCAACCCATCACCTAGGTATTAAGCCCAGCATGCATGAGCTATTTTTCCTAATTAGGCATCTTTTTCTTAAAGCAAAATCAGCTCTATTGAGACATGTACAAACCACCTATTAATATTTGAAGCATAGAATTTGAGGAGTTTGGAAATATAAGCAAATATTCTATGTATACACATTTGTGCATGTGGAAAATTATTTCCCTAGCATAAATTCCTAGAAATGAAGTCATTGCTCTACAGTACATGTACTTAAGCTTTTTTTATACAAATTGTCAAAGTGCTCTCTAGAAATGCTGCACCAAGAAATACTTCTGATTCCTATGTTACTCAAAGAAATAGAAAATTTTAAAAATAGCCGTCGAGACAATTTTGGAAGGATTTTCAAAATGAGTCTAGAAGTCCCTGCATAATCTGGGCCCTGTCAACCTCGCCAAACCAATTATACACCCCCTTGTACGCTACATACCAGTAGATACTCATTTGTTCAAACATGCCCAGTTCTTTCCCTCTCGGGGCATCTTGCCAGACTTTCTGCACTGCTGCATCCCAGTACCCCACATGGTGGATCTTTGCATCATTCAAGCCTCAGCTTAAAAAATCCCCTACTCAGAAAGCCCTCCTGCCACCGGCCCATTTAATATCAGTTTTCTCATTGTTCTCTGTGTCTGAATCACGTTTGTTTTCTCTGAACATTTTGTACCATGTACAGCATTATTTGTTTATTTACTTAATTTTTTGTCTTTCTCAGTAGAATGTGAGTTCCATGAGGGTAAAGAAATTATGTGTCTTTAGTATATATTCTGTATTGAGTTGTTGAAAAAAACTAAAGGATAAATGAACAAATGGAAGATATTTACCAGTGTGTTTGTTGTATACATGCAATCAGCTGAACAAAATTTTAAAAGTTGATTGTTTGTTCTTATTTAATTGTTTGACTAACAGCATCTCAAATCCATAACTGCCAATTGACATAAGAATGATTATCTTAAATCTTATGTAAATGATTAAAACTGACATAAGAAAGTCTAGGGAACTGATGCATAGCCGAAGAAGAATATTAATTTTTTTTTTTTTTTTTGAGATGGAGTCTCGCTCTATTGCCCAGGATGGAGTGCAGTGGCGCGATCTTGGCTCACTGCAACCTCTGCCTCCCAGGGTCAAGCGATTCCCCTGCCTCAGTTTCCAGAGTAGCTGGGAATACAGGCATGCGCACCACCATGCCCAGCTAATTTTTTGTATTTTAGTACAGAAAGGGTTTCACCATGTTGGCCAGGATGGTCTCAATCTCCTGACCTTATGATCCGCCCACCTCGGCTTCCTAAAGTGCTGGGATTACAGGTGTGAGCCACTGCGCCCGGCCAGAAGAGTATTAATTTCTAAAATTTTCCTCATGTCATGTTTTCCTCTTCAAATGATGCCAATCTGGGCTCCCACCCTTCCTAAGACTCCACAGAAATTGTGTTGTCTCATTTATTGATGATTTCCTTGGTGCTAAAACTGCTGGACCTTCTCTGTCCTTCAATAGCAACAGATGACACACTGGGATGAGCCTGCTCCATCCTTCCCAAGACATTCTCCTTCCTTTACTTCTATTTTCTTCCTCTACTTGACCTTCCAACATGGCAGTGCTCCAAGAATTGGTCTACCCTCTTCAATTTTCTAGCTAGAAAGGTCTCATCCAGTCCATATGCCTAAAAATAACCTACCTGACTCTTAAATATTTACCTCCTGCCAAGTCACTCCACTGAACTCAAGATGCAATTAGATAGCCAATTGCTTATTTCATATCCAGCCATTATCTTAGTAGACACACTTAGTATGTGTGATCCACAGTTTGTTTCCAGCCTTTACCTTCATCTCACATCATGTGTACAAAGTGGTTTCCTTCTCAGACTCTACCGTCTTATTAAATGAAATTTCCATTCACATACCATCTCAAGCCTTGCAGTTAAGGGTCATTCTTGGTTCCTTTCTTTTTACCATCCACCTCAAACAACCCACCCTCACCATCTGTAAATATATATTTGAAATCCATTTGCTTCTCTCCATCTCTACTGCTGTCTTCTAACTTTAAACCATCATCACTTCTCACCTGGATTATGGAAATATCCTTCTAATTTTCAATATTTTCATTCTTACCTGCCTACGATGCATTTTCCCCAGAGAAATCGGAGGAACCTCTAAAAAATGCAGCCTACATGATGCCATTCCTCCTCCAAGAGCTATAAATACTGCTTAATTCTTGGAAAATAGCCACACTTCTGACAGGCAAGAACAAGGTAACTGCAATAGACATTTCCATCTAACAAGTGGAGGAATCAAAAGTATATAATAGTTACCAGTCCATAAAGACTCTAAAATTCAGGTGACCACGTGTTCTTAGGGCTCCTTACTCCCAAATCAGGATGCTCTTGGATTGGGATTCTTTTATGCTCCTTACCATGGTTCGCAAATATATTATTCTCTCCTACCACTGGGAAAGTCACCCTCTTCCAAACCCTCATAGATTATTCTTGGTACCTGCCATAGAACTTAAAATATTTTGTCATGAAACATATTTATATGTAAACCTGCCTGTGAGCAGGTACTGCAATTCAATGTTGTATTCCCCACTCCTCATGGAAAATAGAGACTTTACTAACATGGATACCCAAGACCTATTTACTGGATTACTAATTTTACAAAGAGTCAACAATTACCAAAAACGTTTCTATCTCAGAAGACCCATGCAAGGCCATAGGTTAGCACCTAGACGAGGAAAAGGAAAATGTCAGTTTCAAGTTGATATAAATTTCAGAAAATCTCTCCAGCCACAAAGTTCTTAAATTACTGTGTCAGGACAGAGTTGTAACTACTTCACTTCAATAACAGAGAGAAGCTCTCTTATTTGTTTCACAATTAAGAGACCAAAATAGCTGGTTGCAATGGCTCACACCCGTAATCCCAGGACTTTGAGAGGCCGAGGCAGGCAGATGGCTTGAGCCCAGGAGTGTGAGACCAACCTGGGCAACACAGCAAGACCTATCTCAGACAAAAACAAAAACAAAAACTAACCAGGTGTGGTGGTGTATGCCTGTAGTTTCAGCTACCCAGGATGCTGAGGATCACCTGAGCCCAGGAGGTCGAGCCTGCAGTAAGCTATGATCCCACCACTGCACACTGCACTCCAGACTGGGTGACAGAGAGAGACCCTGTCTCAAAAAAAAAAAAAAAAAAAAAAAATTAGACAGCAAAACATTGCTTTCTGCTATTGGCCAACATATACACATGTGGACATACACAACTTGATGAGTTGTAGATTGTAGAAGTCTGTCACCTACAACAGAGCTTGGAATACTTTTTTATTTACTGTGAAGAGTTCTTCTCATTAGGCTCCTGTGTGGTTATCAAATATTAACAATTATGAGACCTACAATAACAATAATCAGGACTCATGTAAATTTCCCATATGTAATTGATCAAATGTTTGTGTCTCCCCCACCAATTCCCATGTTGCAGCCTTGAACCCCCAACATGACAGTATTTGGAGACGGGACCTTTGGAAGATACTTAGGGTTAAATGAGGCCATGAGGGTGGGGCCCTGTTGATGTCAGTGCTCATACAAGAAGAAACACCAGGGCTGGGCACGGTGGCTCACACCTGTTATCCCAGCACTTTGGGAGGCTGAGGCGGGAGGATCACCTGAGGTCAGGAGTTTAAGACCAGCCTGGCCAACATGGCGAAACCCCATCTGTACTAAAAATACAAAAAATTAACTGGGCGTGGTGGCTCGTGCCTGTAGTCCCAGCTACTCGGGAGGCTGAGGCAGGAGAATTGCTTGAACCTGGGAGGCAGAGGTTGCAGTGAGCTGAGATCGCACCACTGCACTCCAGTCTGGGTGACAGACTGAGACTCCATCTCAAACAAAAAAAAAAAAAGAGAGAGAGAGAGGAGAGAGAGACACGCAGAAAGAAGCAATCCGGGAAGAGTCCTCACTAGAAATTCACCATGCTAACACCCTGATCCTGGACTTCCAGCCTCCAAGATTGTGAGAAAATAAATTTCTATTGCTTAATCCATCCAATCTACAGTATTTTACAGTATTTTGTTGCAGTACCTCAAGCTGATTAACCGACTATAAATCATTTTATTTAATGTAGTTAGCTGTGTGAGTAGGTATCACTGTTGGCATCTCAGGTTTTTGTGGTAAAGTAAGGGTCAAAGGATTCAGAAGCTGCCTTAGTTTACTCTGGATTAAGGTTTCCCAAGCTTAGCATCACTGACATTTGGGGAAAGAACTCTCTTTGTCAGGGAGGTGGGGCTACTGTCCTGTGCATTGGAGGGTGTTTAACAGCACCCTGGCCTCTACCCACTAAATACCAGCAGCAATCCCACCTCTCAGTTGTGACAGTCAAAAACATCTCCAGGCATTGTCACATTTTCCCTGGGTGGTCAAAATGATGGTGGGCTGAGAACCAGCAATCTAGACTATTTCCTGCTACCAGACACTTTGGGGAACACCAGTGTAGCTTATGTCTTCTTGAAACTAACCCATGTTGTTTGATGTTCCAATCTATAAAATCTATGACAAAAAAAAAAAAGAAAAATGAAAAAAGAACTTTACTGAACACTATGACTGTTTTGAGCTGTCACATGTCATTGGAAGGTGAAATTTGAGAACATCGTCCTTTATAATTCAATTTCCTCTGATCTGATGTAGTGAATCCATGGGTGGCCCTATCTTTGATGGTGGCACACTTCCAAACTCAAAGAAATCCATGTGTCATTGTGTTACGATGCCCTGTCACCAGTGCCCTTAAGCAAAAGAAAACTTTGGTAGCATTTCATGACAGACTCTAGAATGTCTGATTTCATATATTTTTAAAAATGATTGTGTCACAGTGGAATCAAAGTCAGCAAATAATTATATAGAAACTGTGGCTACTCCTGAAAAATATGACAACTTGCATTCTATGCATTATTTTTGGCTGTTTAAAAATTACATATAGTAGGATTTTAGCTATTTTTATCAAATTTACGTTTAGAAAAAGTCAGATATAAAGTCCAGATTTGCAACTGGACATTAGAGATTTGTCAGAAATTGTGAAACTCTACTATCAGATGGCTGTCTTTTTTTTTTTTTTTTTTTTTTTTGAGACAGTCTCGCTCTGTCACCCAGGCTGGAGTGCAGTGGCGCAATCTCAGCTCACTGCAAGCCCCTCCTCACAGGTTCACGCAATTCTCCTGCCTCAGCCTCCTGAGTAGCTGGGACTACAGGCACCCACCACCATGCCTGGATAATTTTTTGTATTTTTTTTTTTTTTTTTTTTTTTTTTTTTGCCGAGACGGGGTTTCACCATGTTGGCCAGGATGGTCTCGATCTCCTGACCCATGATCTACCTGAAATGGCTGTCTTCTTGATGTGGACATAACTTTACATAAGATTGCATCAGATTAGATGAAATTAAGCCTTCAATCATGCCATCTATTTTTAGTCACATTTGTGAATCCATTGTTAGTAATTCTGCCACCGAGAACTCCACAAATCCTTGGAAGACTGGAAAACTGAAATACACTGGAAAAACTTCAGTTTTGTTTCACGCAACCTCCAACATATATTAAAAGAGCAATTTCTGAATTTGAGAGTGGTGCCAAGTTCCTGAAAGTGTTTCATCATCCACTTCAGTTCTGACTACCAGTTAGTTGAAGAGTTATTAGAACCCACTTCCCTGAAGCAGGAGGCTCTCACTGCCTAGCAACACCACCATTTTGTGCTCAGTGGCCACAGAGGGATCATACTAAGAAAATTCTAGATTGAATATAGAGACGAAAGTTCACATTCTCTCAAACATTTATAACTGGCAAAAGCAAACGATATTTTGAACCAAACTTTGATAATGACCCTTCTAAAAAGACATGACTCATCTATGGAGTATGGAATTTGTTAAAGTTGTTACAAAAGTGTCTTTATAAGTTTTAGAAGAGTGAATATTTTCCCCTTCTTAAAACAATGAAAATCCACTAATACGTTATTGGGAAAGAAACAGCAAAATAATGTATAACTTCAAACTTCCCTTTTGCATGCCATCTGCAATTACCCTTCTCAGAAGAAGCCATTAAATTTTGGGGTGCTCTGATTTTTTAAAAAATGAAAATAGAATACTTGTGTATATGGCAATCCCTTGGTATCCACAGGGAATTGGTTCCAGGACACCCTCAGATACCAAAATCCCCAGATGGTCAAGTCCCTGGTACAAAATGGTATAGTATTTGCATATAACCTACACATATCTTTTGGTATATTTTAAATCATCTGTAGATTACTTATAATACCAAATATGACATAAATGCTAGCTAAATAATTATTATATCATATTGGTTTTTATTTATATTATTTTTGTATTGTCATATTATTGTTAGTATCTTTTTTTATTTTTTGAATATTTTTTATCCCCATTTGGTTGAATCCACAGATACTAACCCTGTGGAGGTGGAGAGCTGACTGTATACACATGCGTTTTAATAATGCAGACACTTTACTATCCCATTGCTATTTTTCTTGATGTTTTCATACAACTATACAACTTAGAAATATTTTTATAGCTCTATCTCATTATTTTATGGAATGGGGGTATGGGAATTGGTCATGTAATTATGGAGGCCAGGAAGTCCCAGCAACCTGCTGTCCGAAAGCTGGAGAGTCAGGGAAGCCAGTGCTGTCATTCAATCTCAGACGAAAGGCCCAAGAACCAGGGGAACTAATGGTGTAAGACCCAGGCCCAAGAATCAGGAGCGCTGGTGTCTTAGGGCAGGAGATGGATGTCTCAGCTCAAACAGACAGCGTAAATTTGTTATTTTGTTCTAAGCAGGCCCTCAACAGATTAGATGATGCCAGCCCAAATTGGAGAAGGCGGTCCTCATTACTCAGTCTATGGATTCAAATCTTAATCTTTTCCAGAAACACCCTCAAGAACATGCCAGAAATAATGTTTTACCAGCTATCTAGGCATCCCTTAGCCCAGTCAGGTTGACAAATAAAATTAACCATCACAAATGGAAATGCCATCATTTAAAAAAAAAAAAAACCATTATCCTCTTGATAGACATTTAGGTAGTTCATAAACATAAACTTGTTGTCTCTAACCTGCAGATATATCCAGATCTGAGCACGACTCTCCTCCTCCAACTGCACTATCCCTGCCCAACCTGCCATATGTTCCTGCTGGATGTCCCTAATGGCCTCCTCACTGGTCAGCCAGTTCAGGATTTTGTTTCCCTACTGTCCATTCCCCACTCAGCCACCAGAATGACCTGACTAAAACATAAGTCAGGTCACATCACTGCTCCGCTCAGAACCTTCCTATTCTTTCCCATCTTATTCCAAATAAAAGTCAAGGTCATCTCAATGGCCAACAACCCCTGTACTCTCTGGTCCCTCCCAGATACTTGGCACTTCTCTGACCTCACCTGATTCCTTGATTTTCCCTAGTTTACTGTGTTCCAGCCACACAGGCCTTCCTGCTTTTTCTTCAACTTGCCAGGAACTATCCTACCTCAGGGTCTTTGACCTTACTGTTAACTCTTCCTAGATCACACGCTTCTCAGATATCCACAACTCCCTCTCTTACCTCCTTCTGGTCTTTACTCAAAGGTCAATTTCCAAGAAGGCCTTTCCTGACAACTATATTTAAATTTGCTATATACTCTCTGAAAATATTCATTGCCTTCTAACAATTTAATATTACCTATTTTAACTTTCTTTCTTTTGAGACAAGGTCTCACTCTGTCACCCAGGATGGAGGGCAATGGCATGAACACTGCTCAGGGCAGCCTTGACCTTCTGGATTCAAGCAATCCTCCCACTGAAGCCTCCTGAGTTGCTGGGACCACAGGCATGCACCGTCATGCCCAGCTAATTTTTAAATTTTTTTGTAGAGATAGGGTCCCACTATGTTGTCTGGGCTGGTCTTGAACTCCTGGGCTCAAGCAATCCTCCCGCCTCAGCCTCCCAAAGTGTTGGGATTACAGGCATGAGTCACCACACCTGGCCTATTTTAATTCTTTATCCTGTTTATTGTCTATCTTTCTCAACAAGAATATAAGCCTCATGAGAGAAAGAAAAACAAATTTAAATGTTCACTTATAGCTAATTCCTCAAGGCCTTGAATATATAAGCACTCAAAAAATATGTGTAGATGAATAAATGAGTTACAAATAATGGTGAAATGTACATCCTTAACATTTATCCTACAATATTTGGGCAAAATGTGTAGAATAGATTATAAAAGGAATTATTAGTTCAAAAGGTAGATAGTTAAATGTTTATAGAATATTAAGGACCAATATCAGAGATATCAGAAATATTTTAAAAATTAAATATGAAAAACATTCTTGATAGTAGAACATTTAAAGAACAGTTGTTGGCCGGGCGTGGTGGCTCACGCCTATAATCCCAGCACTTTGGGAGGCCAAGGCGGGCGGATCACGAGGTCAAGAGATCGAGACCATCCTGGCCAACATGGTAAAACCCTGTTTCTACTAAAAATACAAAAAACTTGCTGGGCGTGGTGGCACGCACCTGGAGTCCCAGCTACTTGGAAGGCTGAGGCAGGAGAATTGCTTGAACCTAGGAGGCGGAGGTTGCAGTGAGCCGAGATCACGCCACTGCACTCCAGTCTGGCGATAGAAGAACAGTTGTTGGTAAGGGGCCCAAGCTGTACTCAGCCTCAGGCAACTGCATCAGAGAATGCAGTAGAATTCTTGCCATGGCTAAGACATTGACACATTTAACAGCCAGACTCATTCTGGTGTTTATTTCCCTCAATTTACTCATCAGCAGAGGAGTGAGCCAAAAAATAAACCAGAATAAAATCAAATGATTCTAAAATGTGTAAGCAATAACGGAAACAAAGGTCTCCATATCCTGAATCCAATGCTGTCACAGCTCAGTGGAGCTGTAATTTTTGACTATTAATCATTCACAGAAATTCCAATAGAAAGTCTTCATGGGTGTGGTAAGTGCCATGTTTATCAGCTCCTGTTTACATCTCAACCCTGTCAAGCTGCGAAAAAACACTCAACCCATCGAAGCATCCATTTCAAGCCAGACTCAGTGTCAAATCCAAGACTATGCAATTAAATATAATTAGGAGGAGCTCAACTCCAAGCCATTCCTACAATTCTGATGTCAATTGATTCAAATGCCATTGTATTTGTCATTGTAATTACATGATGAAACTTGCTTCATATCTGTGACCAAAGCACGCACATGCACACACACACACCATATATACATTCTACATGCTTTTCCTAACTTTGCTAGGCAGCCTATACATTTTTTTCTCTCTCAAGGCACCTTTCAGTGAATACTCAGAGGAAACTACAATAATTACATACAGGCAACGCGATTAGGGTAGAAGGGTTTCTAATGATTACCTGTCTTCTGCAAGAGTTAGCTCTTGGTGAAAAGATGAACACGTTTTGCTATTTTTCTGTGGGCAATTTTTCAAAGTTATATGTGCAATTTATGCTATTTGAGTATTTTAATGCACCCACTGGAAACTTGAGCACCCAAAGTTGACTCCATGACCAGAAACAAAATAAATGTGAAGCCAGCAAGAATGGAAGTGCAATAAACAGGGCAAAATCAGCTGAAAATGTGGATTACTGAAGATATAATATTAGGAGATTTTTCTTCATTCAGTAGTGAAGGGGTTAGAATATGTCACCCCAAAATATGCCACATTGGCGTAAGGACTATTTCAAGCAGAAAGCAATTGAGAAACAACAGATGCAAGAAACAAGCACTCTACCCTCCCCCATTGGCCTAAAATCAGGGCATAGATTTCCCTTTGTGAAAATGTTGCCACTTCCTCTTTCTCCTACCAGAAAGGGCACAGCAAGTGTTTAATCACCAGAGGAAACTCTAGACTATCAGCCTCCAGGGGAGTCTGCATAACAAACCTTCCTAAAATAACCCAGTCTTCCATTATTTTCCTCATATGTTTACCTTTCCACAATTTATCACCACTAGAAACTCAAATTTATTTTCTTTGTCTTGTCATTTCTCCACAATTTTTTTGGCCCTTTTGTTAAACTGGTATATACACCTCCAGGTCTGCCTACTTCTTTGGGTTTTAATTTCTATGAGGCCCTTCATATGCATATGAAATAAATCCTTTTTCCTGTTAACGTGTCTTTTAATGTTTAATTTCTAGGGTCCCAGCCACAGAACCTATGAGGGTTTTTCCTTTGCCTCTGCAACAGATAGTTGTTGTTCTGATACATGCCAGAAACTCTTCTAGGCACAAGGCTTGCCAAGTGAGTTCTGTGTTCAACCTGATTTGGCTACTCACCACTTGAGGGAACTTAGGCAACTTACTGAAGGACTTTTTGACACAGTTTGTTCATCTCTAAATGGTCTCATCTTTAACTATGAATACTTTCCTTGTACGGTTTTTGTGAGAATTCTTCTCATTATTAACTTACATTTATTAGAAGCATATGCATTGGTCACTGTGCTGAGTGCTTTGGAAGCTTTTTTTTTTAATTTTCACAACAATCCCGTGAAACTGACACTGTAACTATTCCTCTTTCACAGATTAAGACTTAAGATGCAGAAAAGCAAAATAAACCTCCAAGACTCATGCAGCTAGTAGGTGACAGGGCTAGGCGTGCACTCCATACCCTAAGTTCCTCCTCCTCTTGTTCTACTGCCATTATTTTGCACAGTGTCCATGCTTAATAATTAATAGCCCTCATTATTAGTATTAGTATTCTCTAGACTTTAAATTGCTTCTGCCTACCTCACAGGGTTGTTGATTTAACAGAAAACCTCGCGTAAGTGCAATGGATCTTTCCTATTTTTAGTGGCGTCTGGGTTAATTAGACTCTTAGTCACTAGTCAGTGTATTTGAGTTTTTGGAAATGACTCATCAAAAACATTTCTAAGCAGGATATTTGCTTGCAGCATTTTCATCAGACTGCAATTCTCTGCCCTGATCCTTCAGCCTGGCAAATGCATTCCAAGAAAAGTATCATATTCCAGGCTCCCTGAAATGAACCCAGTTCTCAACCAAAAAGAGCCACTTGCCTTAATCCCCTTTTAAACACTGAAAATAATTCATAAATAATGTATCTTCATATGTATTGGCTCTGATAGAATCTGAAATAAGTTACATATTTTTAAAATTAAAAAATCCCGAGCAAGGTTTTTCTCAATTCTGACACAATTGATCATTCCCTGTTGCAGGAGGCTGTCCTGTGCATTGCAGGTTGTTTAGCAGCATCTCTGGCCTCTACCCACTGGAAGCCACAGGCACAGCCCCCACCCCAGTGGTGACAACCAAAAATGTCTTCAGACATTAATGAATGTCCCCCCAGGGGGCAAACTTGCTTGCAGTTGAGAACCATTGATCAAGGGCAACATTTTGAAATAATTATTTTTAAGGCTTTCTATGAGATTTGGTATCAACTCTGCCCTGATGTTTCTATGTATTCTTGGTGGGGGACAATGACAACGTAATTGTAGTGCCACACTTTTATTTTGGACCCAGTATCTGCATATATAAATGTTTATATAGAATTTGTACTATTAACATCCTATCATGTACTACTCTACTTGAGAGTTATCCATTGAACCAATTGATGCACAGTCTTTAATCATAATATTTACTGAAAGTTTATTATATGCCAAGTACTATGCAAAGGTGTTTTATGTACCTTGTCTTAATCAATTTTTTTTGTGGTTTGTTAAATATTTTATTCTATTACATATAAAGCTGTGATTCACATGGAAATTATTTTGATAAAGAAATTATCAGGATTGAACTGAATTTTTTTTATTATACTTTAAGTTTTAGGGTACATGTGCACAATGTGCAGGTTTGTTACATATGTATACATGTGCCATGTTGGTGTGCTGCACCCAGTAACTCGTCATTTAGCATTAGGTATATCTCCAAATGCTATCACTCCCCCCTCCCCCGACCCCACAACAGGCCCCGGTGTGTGATGTTCCCCTTCCTGTGTCCATGTGTTCTCATTGTTTAATTCCCACCTATGAGTGAGAACATGTGGTGTTTGGTTTTTTGTCCTTGCGATAGTTTGCTGAGAATGACGGTTTCCAGCTTCATCCATGTCCCTACAAAGGACATGAACTAACCTGTTGTGGAGTGAAGATCATTGTCTCCCCATCTCTACAACGGAGCCAAAGTAGAGATAAGGAGAGGGAGGCTTAAATAGACTCAGTTAATTGCACAAAGCCTCACCAGTGGTAAAGGGCAAAGGCAGAGCTTAACCCTCAAGGCTTTCTAACCTCAAGGTTAGAGTATTAGCTACTAAGTATTAACTACAGTATTAACTACTAAGTTATATGGTACTTAGGGCATAACTTAGCCATGACATGTGACTCCAAAGATAAATAAGTGTTCATGGTTGAAGCAGCCTCTTTGAAAAACACCTACTTATTCCTTAAACAAGTAGTTAACAAATACTTAATTGTGTGGCAACAGTTATCCTAGATGCTGGAAGTACCAAGGTGGGCAGTGCAGAGAGGAACTCACACCATACAAAATCTTCCTGGTACAGAATCTGACTCACTATCCACTACATTGTCTACCTTGTGCCTGAACTTTTCTCAGTTTGGCAAAGGTCCGGTTATTCCCATAAGGACAAAGACATAACTATATCTCTCTTTAAAGGCTCTGAAAAGTCCTGCAATTAAGATAGTAGTTCGATGTTGGTTTCTCAATCTGCAAATGTGGATATTATCGTTTGGTATGAGTGTGCAAGAGGCTGAAGAAAATCTTAAAACACAAGCTTTGAGTAACCGGTTTGACTACGCTCCACAAGGTTTTTTCTTTCTGCTCAATTTCCAACTTCCACTTTGCATGCAACCATCACTGCACTTCTAAATGTTGATGGATGTACAGAACATTCTTTGCCAGAGACCCACTTGGGCACAGAAGTCTGGAGCAAACTAGAATATTTTATACACACACACAAAAATAAGACCTCATTCTTTCACAGGCAAAACTCCTCTGACGTCAATAGTAGGCTGGGAACAAAGGATGAAACAATAGATAGCAAATTTCAAGTAATTACCTAGCCAATGGCATAGAACGTGATTGACTGAGTCCTTGTGCTTGGCATGCAGATGATTAAATGAGTTTTAATTTGCACATCCAGTGGCAAGACTGCCAACGAATAAGAAATAGAAAAAAAGGAAGAGAGAGAAAGGAGAGCGAAGAAGGCAGGGAAGGAGGAAGGGAGTAGGATAGAAAGCGGGAGAGAGAGAGACAGAGAGAGAGAGAGAGAGAGAGAAGGAGCTCTCTATGCAAGTTCCCTGGAAATGTGGTTAACAGATTGCTAGCATACAAAACAAATAAAAATAAAAATAAAAATAAAAATAAAAATAAAAAATAAAGGTCAGCTAGATGGTTTTAAAAAGCTTTGTCAACAGATTCAAACCTGTTCAGGGACTCTGGGGTGGTAAAAGGGGGAAAATGATGCCCTCGCTATATCTGCAGAAAATGTGTGTTTGCATATTTACTGCTACAGGAATTTGAATTTCTTTTTATGCTATTTCCTAACATTTACAGATGGAGCAGAAGTGTGAGCAGTGGGGAGGCAATTTGTTTCTTCCTCAAAGGCTGCAACTCAATTCAGAGAAACAAATCCAGCTTTCAAGAGCAATTAGATTAAATTCACAATGGCTGCTCTGGGCAAGTTTGATTGTCTGCTGTGATCATTTCTTGTGCCATTTTGCAAGTAGATTGTGAAAAACAGCGATGTCATCACTTCTTCATAATGTTGTCTGAATAACCCTACCCCCACGATAATGTACTCATTGGTCAAATAAGTTAAAAAATTCTGCTTACTCTATTTGCTTCTGGAAAGTCACAATGTATGCTTGTATGTTAAAGGCTCTGAAAAGTCCTGCAGTCAAGACAGTAGTTTGACATTGGTCAATCAAGATTTGTCTAATCCCGTATGAACGCAAATGTTTTTCTGATAACCCATTTTGTTACATCTGACAGCATGGGTGTGCCCTAGAAATGTTTTAGGAAATGATGGATTATATGATTTGCTCCAGTTATCAATCACAACTTTCATATTCATTTGAAAAAATAGATCTAGACAGATTAATCAAACAAGTAATTATTAATCTGTCTCAAACGTGTATTTTCTTTCATGCATAGAAATGAGTAAGACTCATATAAATATGTTAGTTGTCAAATTATAATAGATTCCATTTATTGAGTACTCACTATGGATATATCAAGTATTTCGTTTGATCCTAATGATAACAGTAAGAAATAGACATTTTTAGCCATGTTTTATAGATGAAAAAACTAAAGTTCTGAGAATTTTAGTAATTTGCTTGCATTCAGCTAGGATATGGTAAAATCCACATTTGAACTCAGACCTCAGTTTAAATAATGTGTTTTTTCTGTATTGCTGCTTTTTCTTCTGCCTGGCATAGGCATTAAATGAGGAGGCAGGAATGAAAGGGAATGCTTACCACATTTTCTCTGACACCAGGTTTACCCACATCCTTTCTCATCTGATATATATTTAACATCTGGAATATCTGATTTTTACAATGAGGATAATGAGGTTTGTGGATTTCGAGAGCTGACATTTTATCCAGTATCAAAGTAGCTTTTGAGGAATATGATTAAAATCCAGACCCCTCCACTTTAACATTTTAATTAGGTAAAAATAAATAGTAACTTCATGACTATACACCAAATCAATGTAATATGCCATTGGTGTTAATAAAATCCAATGCCTGAGTCATAACTCTATGTAACTTAAATAATTCCACACTTTAGGAAATTTGTTTTATAATGTGCATTATAAAGAGATTAATTAACGCAAATTTTCCTTAAGTCTGTAATCACACAGACAAAAGGAAGATACTCTCTCAGTCTACATTTTTTTTCTGCTGATGAGGATGTTGGATAGATTTTTCAATTACCTGAGTTAAGAAGCAAGGCCTGGTCAACACAGTGACAACTACCTTGAACAAGGAGACCAAATTTATAGCAACCTAGAGAAGAAAACCACACAATAAGTATAAAGAAAGTTATCAGGGCAAAACATAATGAAACCTATTTTGAATTATAACTCTAGGCATCTATTAATCACTTATTGTCTTATATGTCACTCAAGAAAATGATAAATCCAGCCCTGTTCTTGGGGAGATTGCAATATATGAAGCGCTTCCTAGAGAACACTACCACTGGTCAGAAAATTTACAGTGTGGAATAAGCAAACCAAATATTATCTAAGAGGAATCTTGTGTAATCTTTGCTAGTTAGGATTTTCCTTTTTCTGGTAAAAGTACACTGAGTCAGCTCTGCAATGAGCGTACTTTCCCTGCTGGATAGAATATGGTAGAAATAACAGTGTCCTTCCTTTCCCTGGTTAAGGGATCTGGCCATGACCCAAGATAAGCTTATTGAACGCTGTTTCCTTTGAGTGTGGAATCTTGAAGGAAATGACACAGAAACAAAAAAGATCATAGGCTGATTAACTTCATCGCTGACATCCTAAAGTAACAGCCCCTCAGTTCTGGCTGTAACTCCCCCTCTCCCCGTGAGCTTTCTTTGCTCCTTGTGTTTTTCCAAACCTCAGTCTATGGCTTTCACTTGGATCCTTTTAGGTCCCTTATTTCCCTTGAATGAATTATTTTTCTGCTTAAGAGAGCAAGATACACTTTCTCTTGCTTGCCACCAAAGACCCATAATTTAAACAGTTTCAGATCTGGAACTTCAGAGAAGTATAATAATGAACAGGATAAAAACAAATACTAAAAGTAAACAAAGATAAGTCCATAGTCTGATTCCAACAAAATCATAGGCTAACCATAATTAGACATGTAGGGTAGGGAAGTATGTTAATATTTACATTGGACCAAGAAGAATTATGTCATAAGTTCTACCTCAAATGCCACTCAGAGGCAAGCACTTAGGAAGCACCCTCCTTTTGGAAATATCCATGACGTCCTGTGGGGCAAAATTTCAAGGGAGTATGGAAGAAAGAAGGAAGGAAGGAGCAGGCCAAATGGAGGTGAGAAAGGACTTTGAATTCTCTTTTTTAATGCTTTAATTTGACTTTCTTTTTCCTTTTTAGACACAGAGTATTGGTCTGTCGCCCAGGCTGGAGTGCTGGCATCATCATAGCTCACTGCAGCCTGGAACTCCTGGCCTCAAGACATCCTCCCACCTCAGCCTCCCAAATAGTTAGACTACAGGTATAAGCCACTGTGCCATGCTAGTGTTTTCCCTCTTTTTTTTTTTTTTTTTTTTTGGTAGAGATTGAGTTTCGCTTTGTTGCTCAGACTGGTCTCAAACTCCTGGCCTCAAGCTATCCTTTTGCCTCAGCCTCCCAAAGTGTTGGGATGACAGGCATGAGCCACCGTACCTGGCCTCAATTTCCTGATTTTAAATAGAAGTACACATTGTTAAAATATCAGAACCAAAGACTTTAAATAACAAGTAAAAGTCTACCTTGTTAGCTACCCCCTAGTATTAGTTGACTGTGCTGCCATATAAAATCTCACAGCCTGCATAGCTTAGACATTTGTTTTCTCATGGTTCTGGAGGCCAAATGTCTGAGATCAAGGTGTTGGCAGAGTTGGTTTGTCCTGAGTGCCATGGGGAAGGATTTGTTTTAGGCCTGTTTTCTTGGCTTGAAGATGGCTATCTTCTCCCTGTGTCTTCACATCGTCTTCCTGTGCATATGTCCGTATCTCAATTTCCTCTTCTATCAGGACGCCAATCATACTGGATTAGAACCTACTGCTTAATGACTTACACAAAGGCCCCATCTCCAAACATCATATTCTGAGATGTTGGGGGGTTGGGACTTTAACATGTAAATTTGAGGTGGGGGCACAATTCAGCCCATAACACCTGCCTTTTCCCATTGCCTATTCATGATCTCTAAAGCAGGGGTCTCCAACTCCCAGGCCGCAGGCTGGTACTGGTGCGACCAGTGCATGGCCTGTTAGGAACCGAGCTGCAGAGCAGGAAATGAGTAGCAGGCTTGCGAGCACCACCGCCTGAGTTCCACTTCCTGTCAGGCCAGCGGTGCATCAGATTCTCATAGGAGCAGGAACCCTATCACGAACTGTGCTTGCAAGGAATCTAGGTTGCTCCTTACAAGAATCAAATCTCCCAGCCCCAACTCCATTGGAAAAATTGTCTTCCATGAATCCAGTCCCTGGTGCCAAAAAGGTTGGGGACCACTGCTCTAAAGGTCATTGTTGTTCATTTCTTTCCATTTCAAAATTGTAGGTATGTGTCCACAAATATAAATAAATGTGTGCTTTTGAAAAAAGTATACAAATAAAATCACAGTATACTCATTTTATGAAACTCTGTGCTTTCCATTTAAAGCTATATTGCTGTGATATTTCTCATCTAAATATAGGTAGGTCCATGTTTTTCTTTTTAAAGAATGCTTGGTCTACTCCTTGACTTCAACCTTGATGTTATGCCTGGGAAAAGGTCTTGATCCAGGGCACATTCCCTCTCTTTTCCACTGGAAAAGGAGTAAGGCAGTTAGGTTTTTTTTTATTGCAAGCAACACAAAGTTACCCTAATCAACCTATTCAAAACATGTTAGAACCTACTGGAATCTCACTCACTCACTCCTCTCAGGACACTGGACAACGTGGATAGGACTTTGCAAGAACTAAGGCAGCTCCAAAAGGATAAAAAGGAGGACTTCCTGGATAATCCTGTAGAAGATGGTGTTTGTTCAGGGAGCAGCTGCTGAAATGAATGAACTCTAACTCTACACTCTCTAAGACAGTAACCACCAGCCACATGCAGTAATTGGGCATTGAAATATGGCTAGTCTGAAAAATATTAATACAAGTATGTATGCATGTGTGTATGTATGCTATTATGTTATACATATACTATCTCGTAAATCGTTTTTATAATGATTACATGTTGAAATGATATTTTGGATACATTGGGTTAAGTAAAGTATATAATTTAAATTAGTTAAATGTATTTCTTTTATCTTATAGTAGTTATTAGAAATTTAAAATTATATTTGTGGCTCACATTTGTGACACAAATTATATGTCTTTTGACCCATTCACTAGTCACGTCTCTTTCCTTGCTGAAAAGCCAAACTTCTGGTATGAAGAGTCCACTTGGCCAAGTTTAGGCCACGCGCCTGGTCTTCTGCCAGTGTGGTACTTGGCTTCTGGACACTGACATCTGTTTGTTTGCTTTTTTTTAAAATTTATAATTTCAACTTTTATTTTAGATTCAGGGGGTACATACGCAGATTTCTTATATGGGTATATTTTGTGACACTGAGGTTTGGGATACAAATGTCCTCATCACTCAGGTAGTGAGCATAGTTTCTCAACCCTTGCTCGCCACCCTCCCCCTCACTGTTGCCTATTGTTGAAACTCCTCCCTTATTGTGTCTATTGTTGCCACATTTACCTCCATGGGTAACCACTGGTAAGCTCCCACTTATAAGTGAGAAAAATGGAGTATTTGGTTTTCAATTCCTGCTTTAGTTTGCTTAGGATAATGGCCTCCAGCTGCATCCGTATTACTGCAAAGAACATTACTTCATTTCTTTTTATGCCTGCATAGTATTCCACAGATAGCATATATACCACAGTTTCTTTATTCAATCCACCGTTAATCGGCAACTAGGTTGATTCCATGTCTTTGCTATCGTGAATAGTGCTGCAATGAACATATAAGTGCATGTGTCTTTTCAGTAGAACAATTTACTTTCTTTTGGATATACACCCAGTAATGGGGTTGCCGGGTCAAATGGTAGTTCTAAGTTCTTTGAGAAATCTCCAAACTGCTCTCCACAGTGGCTGAACTAATTTACATTCCTATCAACAGTGTATGCATTCCCTTCCCTTTGCTTTGCAGCCAAATCAGCATCTGCTGTTTTTTGACTTTTAATAATTGACATTCTGACTGTTGTGAGATGGTGTCTCATTGTGGTTTTGATTTGCATGTTTCTGATTATTAGTGATGTGGAACATTGTTTCATACTTTAATTGACCACTTGTGTGTCTTCTTTTGAGAAGTGACTGTTCATGTCTTCTGCCCACTTTTTAATGGGGTTGTTTGTTTTGTGCTTGTTTAATTGTTTAAGTTCCTTATTGATTCTGGATATTAGACCTTTGTTGGATGCATAATTTGTTAATACTTTCTCCTATTCTGGAGGTTGTCTGTTTACTCTGTTGATAGCTTGTTTTGCTGTACAGAAGCTCTTTAATTTAATTAGATCCCACTTGTCAATTTTTGTTCTTGTTGCAATTAACTTTTGAGGACAGTCATAAGTTCTTTCCTAAGGTTGATGTCCAGAATGGTGTTTCCTAGGTTTCCTTCCAGGATTCTTATAATTTGAAGTTTTACATTTAAATTTTAATCCATCTTGAGTTAATTTTTGTATATGGTAAAATGTAGGAGTCCAGTTTTGTTCTTCTGCATATGGCTAGCCAGCTGTGCTAGCACAATTTTTGAATAGGAAGTCCTTTCCTTGTTGCTTATTTTTTTCATTTGTCAAAGATCAGATGGCTGTAGGTGTGTGGCTTTATTTCTGAGTTCTCTATTCTGTTCCATTGATCTATGTTTTTGTACCAGTACCATACTGTTTTGGTTACTGTAGACTTATAGTATAGTTTGATGTCAGGTAATCCGATGCCTCTGGTGTGTTGTTGTTTTTGCTTAGGATTGCTTTGGGTATTTGGGCTCCTTTCTGGTTCTATATGAATTTTAGAATAAATTCTAAATAATTTTCTAATGTCTGTGAAAA
The DNA here is from genome assembly GCF_000001405.40 of Homo sapiens. Lineage (NCBI taxonomy): Eukaryota > Metazoa > Chordata > Mammalia > Primates > Hominidae > Homo > Homo sapiens. The sequence continues at coordinate 54,336,534 of NC_000020.11, read as the reverse complement.
ATAATATTGCTAGTTTGATAGGAATAGCATTAAATAATGTTGCTAGTTTGATAGGAATAGCATTAAATTAAATAGGATTGCCTTGGATAGTATTGGAATAGCATTAGGAATAGCATTAAATAATGTTGCTAGTTTGATAGGAATAGCATTAAATTAAATAGGATTGCCTTGGATAGTATGGCCATTTTAACAATATAAATTCTTCCAACCTATAAGCATGGAATGTTTTTTCATCTATCTGTGTCATCTATGATTTCTTTCAGCAGTGTTCTGTAGTTCTCCTTGTAGAGGTCTTTCACCTTCTTGGTTTAGATGTATTTCTAGGTATTTTATTTTATTTTATTTTATTTTATTTTATTTTATTTTATTTTTTGACTGTTGTAAATGGGATTGTCTTCTTGGTTTGGCTCTCAGCTTGAATGTTATTATCTATAGAAATGCTATGGATAATAACATTGTGCATTTTTGTGCATTGATTTTGTATGCTGAAACTACTGAATTCATTTATCTGTTCTATGAGACTTTTGGCAGAGTCTTCAGGGTTTTCTAGGTATAGAATCATATCATTGGTGAAGAGGGATAGTTTGACTTTTTCTTTTCCTATTCGAATGCCTTTTATTTCTTTCTTTTGTCTGATTACTGTAGCCAAGACTTCCCAGCTTCTGGTTTAAGGATTGCACACAACTGGAGAAGTAATGTCTGAATGGAAATCGAGATGCTCACAAATAAGGAACTAATGTTGGGGGGGAATATTAAATGTTCAGTATTAAAAGATTAGTGACTGGCACCAAGCAGGCATTTTAAAATTATCTGTTAAATGAATGAGTAAACAAATATGGCACAGTCTTAATTACTTTCTGCATTCACATTGACCTTTATCGGGTCCCACTTCCATCCTGGACCTAGAAGAATTCACATTTCAAATTAGGAATCACTCCATGTTGTTACTTCCATGAATTACACATTTAGTGCTTTTTATCTGCACTATCATTTTGTGGAGGAGTGCACTGATTGCTATTATGACTCATTCATCTTGTTCATTGACTCAGCTAAATTTTATCGAGCTAGTCAAAACTAGTCACAGTCAATCCAGAGACCTCTTCCTTTTTCTATCTATACTCATGCCTTTAGTGATCTCATCCAGTCTCTTAGCTTTAAATACCATAGATCATATGATATTTAGCTTTAAATATCATATATATTAATAACTCCCAATTTCATGTCTCTAGTCCAGACTTCTCTCCCAAATTCTAGACTCATCCAATTATTCAACTGCCTACTTGGCGTCTCCACTTGGATGACATATAGGCATCTCGAATTCAATTTGTCCAAAATGGAAACCAAACTACCTCCTCCTACAGACTTCCCATTTCAGGAAATGGCAGCTTCATCCCTTCAGTTGGCCAAAAACCTGGGAGGCATCCCTGATTCCTTTTTCTTACAATCTGTATATAATCTACAGAAGATCTCGCTGGTTCTATGGTCAAACGTATCTTGAGTCTGACCACTTCTCACCATCTCCAACACTCAGCGCTGGTCTGAATGCCCTCATTTCTCCAGGATTGTTTCCTAACTGGTCTTTCTGCATCAGCCCTTGTCTGCTAATGATGTATTTTCAATCAGTTTCTAGAAGGTTCTTTTTAAGTCATAAGTCACGTTATGTCATTTGTCTACTTAAAACCCTCCAAGTCATCCCATTTCACTCACAGTGAAATCCAAGGTCCTGACAGTGGCTTTTATTGTCCTAAATAACCCAATACCACCCAGTCATTCCCTCTCTGCTCTCCTCCCCTTTTCCTTCTCACTTGCTCAGGCCTCTGCAGACACAGTGGCCTCTCCCACTCCTCAAATATGCCAGCACATGCTCACCTCGGTGTCCTTGCACTAGCCCTTTCTTCTCTCTGGAACTGTCTTCATCCAGATATACATGTCCATTACTCACTCCCATCAAGTCATTTCCCAAATACCCTCTTCTCAATAAGGATCTCCATAACTATTATGTTCATTTATTTACATTTTCAAAAAACGGTCAGCTGATCGAATAAAAGAAAGTAACAATGCCATGTATTCATCAAGACTTTTGTTGTTTAAAATATATGTATATGTATGCATCGTAAAAAAAGAAAAGAAAGATCAGTAGGCTACACATTAAAATAATAGGGATTATTTCTAGGGGACCACACTCTTCACCTCAGCATTCTTGATCACTTTTAACCTGCTTTATTTTCTTTTCCTTTTGACATTCTTCATTTTTGAACATACAATTTTATATGCACTAATATAGTAAGTTACTTACATATAGCTTTTTTTGCCTGATTTATCTTACTTCAATGTAATTTCTATAAGAAAATGGATTTTTTTCCTATTTTGTTCCATTGATAGATCCTAAGTGTCTAGAAAAAATGCCTGCCTCTGAAATGAAAGACCAAGAGTAGCTTCCCTCAAGGTATTTTCAGTCTAATGGTTTTCTTCCTGGAATGTGATCCTTTTATAAAATTACCTTTTGGTAATAATAAATTTTCATTCCTATTTAAGGTGAACTATACCTTAGCCATCCCAAGAGATGAACTGCTCAAGGTCATTTGAAGGAGAAAATGAGAAACATTTATTTATTTTACCCAAAGAAGATCTGTTGGCTGTTCTAAGTCCCTTTCTAAAAACAGAAGCCTCAGCCCCTCCTCTGTTTATATTGGCATGTGATGTAACTGATCTTAGTAGAAACTAGATAATGACCTACAGCATTATCGGGACTACATTGCTATATCTCTAACATGGAGAAAATGTGTTTGCATTTTATGATGCTGAATACTCACCCATTTCATGACCTTACTATCTGTTTCCATCTGTGGGATATTTTAAACGACCAAATAACATTAAAATCACCTAAAAGGGTTTCTTTATTAGTTATAAACTTTTACAATTCAATTTAAAAAGTTTACAGTCCTTAACACTGCAAGAACTGCCATTTTACAAAGCACCATCCTGTTCTTTATCACTGGGGTCTGACAGCAGCTCTGACCTTTTCAGAACATCTTTACTGAAAGAAGATTTTTTAAATAGATAATAAATGACCAGAGCTTTATTGATATTATAATGTGTAATAGTTAAAACAGGTTATAGTTATTAGACCATGGGAAATGATGCCTTATTATACAATCAACTGTTCCCTGTGTGCCAGCTTCTTTTACTGACAAAACATTTTTTCTAAGTTTTAAAACTTGCAGAGCCTATAAAACTGCACAGGAACAAGCTGGATTGCATTCTGCTCAACACATCATCACTGCAATTGTCAGCTAAATTCAAATGCTAGACCTGTTAGGGCCATTGCTGATCTCAGAGAAGGAAAGAACACAGCTGGGTGTTTAACTCCTGGAGTACTTCTGGGGTGGGGCTCCCTTTTAGGGGAGAGAAAAAAATCCTAAAATGCCAAATAAGGCTCATTTTCTATTGATGGTGATAAGAGGAGTGCTAGTCTAAGGATTTTTCCTAGGACACCTTTATTTGTTCAAAATTAAGAATTATAGCTAATGGAGGAAATAGGGTCTTTCTCTACCCCTTCCAGCTCACAGAAAATCTAATTGGTATCAACATCACTCTTCAGCTTGATAAGCTTAGGTTAGTCCTATTCATCCAGGAACTAATGTCATTTATAAGGGAGAATATAACAGGTGCTTCAATGTCCACCACTTCAAAATATTTTCTGCTCTATCCATGCCCTTGAGTCCTAATATGTCTTTGTATTCCTTACAGCACCCAAGACATAAATAGGATGCAAGAACTATTTTGGAAAGTTTAACCATTAAGCTGTTTGACTTAACTACTTAATTACTATATCTTGTCACAAGTATTGATAACAGGTAAAGTAAATTCTTCTCCTTGTCAAAGTTGTTTTGGACCTTTCTTGTTCTTCCAAATGAATTCTATAATACATGTTTTAGGTTCACTGAAAAAATCTTGTTCAATATCATTCCAACTAAAATGTCAATGAATAGATTATTTGGGGAAGAATGAGCAGCCTAACATTATTGAGTTTTCACATTTACAAATATGGTATCTCTCCATTAAATTCAGTTGGATATAGCCATTATATATCTGATTATACCTAACAATCAAATCCTGTTATCCCAAATTATAAAAACATATTAACCAGAAACTTGTACTATATAATACAATAATAAAGTCAATACAGGAATTGATGAAGACATTTTTGCTACACATCGATCTTACTATGCCAATCAGTATCAGAGTGAGATGCGGGACCTGCAATTCAATAATTTAATTTCCCCTTAAACAAGTTTCATTAGACAAGATGACTAGACTTTACCAGTTAACCTAAGTATAAATACAGATAATGTTGTGTTTGGCAAATGCTACTTTAAGAGGAAAAAAATGTGGTGGCCAAGGAAATGATGAGTTTTCTGAAATTGAAAATGAGTCTCGACTCTGTGAATGGTAAGGTTCTGTGTGTTAATGCTGTCACTCTGGTTAATTTTCTGAGAAGATAACTGCAAACTCATTTGTTAATCTTACTGACTACTGGGGTCACACCTTATTTTAAAAGTAAACAGCCTGTTAATTTCTTAGAGCAGTAAATGTTTCGCAGCTGCAGTTTAAAAAATTAACATATAACATCTCCAGAAAAAATGTATTGGAGCAAACAATCTCTGAACTAAATCTTCAATTCCAGAATCTTGTGGGAGTGGAGATTTCTATCTTGTGGTTCAATAAGTAATGGCATTTTCATTTTGTTTATCAACTTTGTTTCATCAAAAGGAAGAAAATGCAAAATTTAATATTGGGGATTGTTCAAAAGTTTTTAATAAAAAAATCTAAAGCCATAAGATTACTAAACATAAAAAAATAAAGAAGATAAATCAATGTATAATGTATATTGTATATTTATAAATAAATATATTTGTAGTTGTAATTTATTATGTAAATTATAGAAATCAGTAATGCAAATATCCAGCTTTTTACAACTATATGCTTTTCTGAATTCCACGAAAACAATGCTAGGTATTCTATTATAAATGATGAATGACAAATTATAGATGGATACATGCATAAATCTACAAATACGGAGATAGATGATAGAAACATAGATAGAGATACAGAGATAGAGGAATAGATGGGATAAATAGACACAAAAATAATTAAAACCAGGATTTGGGAAACATCCTACTAAAAACCGGTTGTGGTAGAAATATATCCTACTGGTCCTATTGCTTCTCTTTCTTTGGAGAATGCTGGCTGATGTAGGTTCTCAATATAACAGGCCCTCTGGCAACATCTGTGGAAAGAAGCTGAGTGCAAATGTGGACATGGAACAGGAGACAACTCCTTTACAGAATTATTGCAGAGAGCACAGGAACTTTCTGCAGAATGCAGAACGGGCATGTGACGAGCTGGAGCCAACCTCATCTTTATCTTAAGAAACAACGCCTGTAATCCCAGCACTTTGGGAGGCCGAGGCGGGCGGATCACGAGGTCAGGAGATCGAGACCATCCCGGCTAAAACGGTGAAACCCCGTCTCTACTAAAAATACAAAAAATTAGCCGGGCGTAGTGGCGGGCGCCTGTAGTCCCAGCTACTTGGGAGGCTGAGGCAGGAGAATGGCGTGAACCCGGGAGGCGGAGCTTGCAGTGAGCCGAGATCGCGCCACTACGCTCCAGCCTGGGCGACAGAGCGAGACTCCGTCTCAAAAAAAAAAAAAAAAAAAAAAAGAAACAGAGCGACTTCCACTGATTTCTGACTTATACAAACTTGCATGTATACTTTTGGAATGCATTAATCTTTTGTCTCCTTCGCCTCACTCCTAAATTACACTTGACCATGCTGAGAGGACAGGATTCTCAAAGGGTTTTTCTCCAGCCATTTTGTTTACCCCAAACCCTTGAGAAAGTTAATCTCACCAATCTCACCCTAGGAAAGAACTTTAAAGCTACCTTTTCACCCCATAAAAATCACATTCATATTTGAAGTTTTGACATTAGTAAATACTTTATTTCATGCTCCCCAGATCCCTTTTTTTGTTTTTGTTTTTGTTTGTTTGTTTGTTTGTTTGTTTGAGACGGAGTCTCACTCTGTCTCCCAGGCTGGAGTGCAGTGGCGCGATCTCGGCTCACTGCAAGCTCCGCCTCCCGGGTTCGCAGCATTCTCCTGCTTCAGCCTCCCGAGTAGCTGGGACTACAGGTGACCACCACCACGCCCGGCTAATTTTTTGTATTTTTAGTAGAGACGGGGTTTCACCGTGTTAGCCAGGATAGTCTCAATCTCCTAACCTCGTGATCCACCTGCCTTGGCCTCCCAAAGTGCTGGGATTACAGTCTTGAGCCACCGCGCCCGGCCCCATCCTTTATTTGTTTACAGAATTATTTATATACATTTGTCTCCTCCATTATATTTCAGCTCCTCTGGATGTGACCATGATGGGTTCATTTTTGTATCTCTTCCCTCAGCATAGTTCATGGTACATTGCAAGGGACCATAGATGACATTTATTAAGTCAACCCCCTATATGCATGAGCAAGTTTTGCTGCAGTTTTTCTGGCTAAGATTATGAAAAAGAGATGCTCAAGTTTTCCGAACTGGTTTCTACGTCAACACCTTCACACTGGTTCCCTAGGCCTGGAAAAATCTTCCCTCCATAATATATATTGGTTCTTTCCATCACCCTACAAGGTCTTTGCTTCAAAATTATCTCCTTAAAGAGGTCCTCCCTAACCTCATATCCAAAGGTGCTCCCCCTGAGCCCTACCCCAGGCCCACGCTACCTTTCTAAGCTGTTTCTTTTTCCTCCCTCTCATTTATTATTTCCTGGAATCCTGTTGTTTATATATTTGCATGCTTGTTTTATAGTCTTTTCCCTGTCACTGTAAGGAAAGCTCCCTACGTTCAGGGACTTACCTGCTTATTCAACTGGCGTGCAGCAAATGCTTGCTGAATAAAGGCGTGCAGCAAATGCTTGCTGAATAAAGGTTGGCTGTTCATGTCACTGGAGGCTTTATTTGGTCGACCTGTCTTAACAGATATCTAAGGACAACACGTATGTAGGAACTCCGACTATGTCAGGCACCGAAGGACACGGGGCTTTACACATTTCCACACATACATTCAATCTTCACCACAACCCCATGAGATAGACATTATCAGTCACATTTCATAGATGAGGAAACTTAGGCTGAAATACAGAGACAGCTAGTAGGCAGCAATGCTGAGGTTTGAGACTATGGGCTCATGGCATTGAAGTAAAATCCCACGAATTCCAACATTTATATTTTTTATACTAACAATTCAACAAAACTCATTCCCTTGCCCAAAGAAAATACCCTAAGAGAAATACCAAATAATTTTGAAAAAGCTCAACACTGACATAAGAACAACTATAGAATTTGTGAGGCCCAGTACAAAATAACAATATGGAGTTCTTTCTTTAAAAGGTATTGATAATTGGAAAATAGTGAGAATATAGCATTCAATATGGGGCCCTCTGAGAATGGGGCCTTGTGCTACTGCCCAGGCCCTGAGTCCCTGGTAACAGCCTCGGAAATATGAGCCTTTCATAGTGGTTAATTTGGAAAGGATGATATTCATATTCATTTGGAAATGTTTGTCAAAAATTATAGAAATATCTTTCTAACATCATTTCATGCTGTGTTTCCCCCTAGCACTATGGCTGTGTTGGTAAAACTTTGCAGTGATTTCAGAAACAGTCTTCTTATAGTAATTAGGCTCCTGAAATGTCTGTTTGGTTTCCAGTTTATAAGAAGCAGCAAGAAAATTTGATTATGGGTTTCTCAAGCCTGAACAGGCGTCAAAAGAATTTTTCCAAAGCAGGAAGTAAAACTTCTTGATAAACCCTCTCTCTTGGCTTCTGTGCTCGGGGCTCCTGGCTGTTGAGCTGTTCTCTGTCTGTCAACAACAGAGACTATGGGCTCATGGCATTGGAGTAAAAAACGTGAGGCTGGCACAGTGGCTCACACCTACAATCCCAGCACTTTGGGAGGCTGAGGTGGGAGGATTGCTTGACGCCAGGAGTTCAAGACCAGCCTGGTCAACATAGTGAGACCCACTGCTTCACCAAAAAAATTAAAAAAAAAAATTAGCTCAGTGTAGGGGTGTATGCCTGTGTAGTCCCAGCTACTTGTGAGGCTGAGGCTGGAGAATTGCTTGAGTCCAGGAGTTGAGGCTGCAGTGAGCTATGACTGTGCCATTGCACTCAAGCCTGGGCAAAAAAGCAAGAACGTATCTCAAAAAAAAAAAAAAAAAAAGGAATATGAGGGCATGAATTTATCTCTGCTCATTGTCTCTCCTTCTCTGTTTACTACTGTGTGGTTACTGCTTGCTGGAATGCCATCTCAGCCCCACTTACTAGAACTTTCTCCCATCTCTCTGTGCAGAGGTTCAGATGCCTCACCTGTCACCTATATGCTGTAGATGCCCATGATATAGTTTTAAATTCAATTTCGTAGCTATCTTTTGAACATGTCCACCTAGGTATCCCTCAGAAACCTTAAAACAGAAATGTATCCCCAGCATCCTTCTAACATCAGTATACAATAGATTCCCAGTGGATGTTGTGGAATAGAAATGAACCCCAAAATGCCCCCCTCCATTGACTTTCCAACTCATTCATTCAACACGTATTCATCAAACTCCTATGTGCTACTGCAGTGGGTTGAATACTGCTCCCTCAAAAAACATATCCACCCAAAACCTGTAAATACGACCTTATTTGGAGAAAGGGTCTTTATAGATATAACAACATGAAAGATCTCAAGATGAGATCATTCTGGATTAGAGTAGGCCCTAAATACAATAGCAGTTGTCTTTATAAGCAGTAGAAAGATGAAAGACACGCAGAGATACAGGGGAAAAGGCCATGTGAAGACTCAAGCAGATACTGGTGGGCTGTTGCCAGAATCCAATAATGCCAGGAGCCACCAGAAGCTGCAGGAGGCAGGAAGGATTCTCCTCTAGAGTCTTTGGACAGAACAAGGCTCTGCTGACACCTCGATTTCAGATTTCTGGCCTTCAGACTGTGACAAAATGTCTGCCCTTTTCAGTCATCAAGTTTGTGGCAATTTGTTGTGGCAGCCCTACAAAACTAATACGGCCATGCTCTCTCAGGATGAGACCACCAATACAATAAATATGCAGATGATTATATGATATGGTGTCTGGTTGCTCTAGGCATTATCAATAGGGAAGCTCGATAAAATTAAGGACACCCAGTTAAATCTGAATATCATATAAACAACGAATAATTGTTCGGTATAAGTGTGTCCCAAATATTGCATGGGACATACTTTTACTAAAAAATTATGTGCTCTTTATCTGAAATCCAAAATTAACTAGCCATATTATATTTTATTTACTAAATGGGTCAGCCCTAGCTATGAAGGGTGGTTATGAAAGGCTGCTCTGATGAGGGGATATTTGAACAGAGACCTGAATGAAATAAAAGTTAAACCATGCAACTGTCAGGGCAATAGTGTTTTAGGCCCAGAGAAGACTGAGGTCAAAAGCATGGGGTGGGGATCTGCTGGCTCTGTTTAACTTCATTCAAACATATTAACAGCAAGAAGGGAAAATCACATTCTCTGAAAATCTAACATTTTCCTGAACTAAATGGCAAGAAATCTGTGGTAAAGTATTCACCAAGCTATTGATCTCAGCTTTTAATGAGCTGGACTTAGATTATTTAGATGTCAAGCATGCCTGGTGTCCAAGTTTTATGATCCTCTTAAATAACCATAGGCGATCCGGCAAGTAATAAAACAATGCAAGACAGCATAGAACTGCCATAATAGGAAATGTTGGCATATAATTAAAGCAGAAGCTAATATTTATGTGATTTTCTCTAACAGATTCATTAACATTATCTTAAGCTAGTTTACTGACTTGTAAACTTCTGGTACTATTGGCATCCACTCAAAAAAAAAAAGAGGTTTAATTTAAATTTATTTATTTATTTTTTATTTCTATTTTTTTTTTTTTTTTTGAGGCGAGGTCTCACTCTGTCACCCAGGCTGGAGTGCAGAGGCACAATCAGCACTTAAGAAATCTTCCTCCTGAGTAGCTGGGATTACAGGCACACACCATCGTACCCATATAATTTAAAAAAATTTTTTTTGTAGACATGGGGGTCTCGCTATGTTGCCAGAGCTGGCCTTGAACTCTACGTCAAGTGATCCTTCCTTCTGCCTCGGCCTCACAAGGGTTGAAATTATACCACTGTGCCCAGCCAATCTTAAAAAAACTTTTAAGCATATTATTTATAAAAGTTTCAAACGTTTAAGCTTATTTTTCAATTTACAAAAATGCATGCTCATCTATACAGACACTAGCATGCAAATGTTCACAGCAGCGTTATTCATAATAGTCAAAAAGCGGATACCTCAAATTTGCCAAATCTAGTGAATAAAAACATGAGATGTTTGATTACATTTAAATTTCAGAAAAAAATGAATCTTTTTTTAGTGTAAGTATGTTCCAAATTATTTGGGCCAAATTAAACAAATCAAATGGGGCATTTAATTTTTGTATTTAATCTGGCAAGCCTATCCAAACATCCATTAATTGGTGAATGGATAAGCCAACTGTGCTATATCCATACAATAGAACATGCTTCAACCATAAAAGGGAATGTGGTACTGATACAAGCTACAACGTGGATGAACCTGAAAAACATTAAGGTAAGTGAAGGAAGCCACACACAAAAGACCACATATCATAGGATTTCACCTCTAAGAAATGTCTGGAAAAGGTAAATCTGTAGAGTCAGAAAGTAAATTAGTGGTTGCTTGAGGCTGAGGGTGGGAATTGGCATTAATTGTAATGAGGTACGAGGCTTTTTACTGAAGTGATAAAATGTCCTAGAAATAAATTATGGTGATGGTTTCACAACTTGGTAGATTTAGTAAAAATTATTGAATTGTACACATTAGTGGCTAGATTTTATGGTGAATTATACCTCAATAAAGATTTTTTTTTAAATACATGCTTATTACAGAAAGTCAAATGGTATAGATATGGAGGAAATGTTAAACCTTTCTGTCTCCTTCCTCCTTAAGAAAGCCAATATTACAACACAGTTTTGTGTCTCTCCTTCCACACATTTTTTTTTGGCTCATACAAACGAGAATGTATATAGCTTACATGCACATCCTGTACATACTAATCTGTAACCTGCATTTCTTATTTAATATGTCACAGAATACTTTCAGGTGAATCTATAAAGATCTAAACCATTTTGTTAAATACTTGCATAATATTTCATATAGGGATGTCTTACAACTTATTCAAACAGCCTTTCACTTATTGATGAAGATTTAGGTTTTATCTTTCACCACTTCTCCTTTCCTCCCTTCCTACCTCCCTCTGCCCACTCTCCCTCCACTTTTTCTCTGCTTCTTGCTTTTTCAAATTATACTTCAAAACCACACTTGAACATACATGAAAGGGAGTCACTTAAAATTAGCAACAGGTTCCAGGATGAATAAAGAATGTCAAGAAATGAAAGTATCATTAAAGGTCAAACATTTTTTCTCATATGAATATCATCCTTTTAGATTAATTTAGACTTCACATCAAATGATGAAAAGGTTAAATTATGCATCAAGCATCACGAACATTTGTTTTTTGCTTTAAACAATGTGCATTTGTGGCCTAGATACCAGATGAAGCATAGTTCTCAAATACAAGAGGCATGCACTGAGTTAAGTGTAAGGTTCTAAAATACAATGTCAATGGGCTGGAGATTCTCATTCTTACACCAAGAACTAGAGACAGGCATGAATAGCAGATTTTTTTTAAGTGTAGACTTGTTTATCACGTCTCTGGGCACACAGCTAAACTCATGGGGAAAGCTCGTGAGTTGTGAATAATGACCAAATTTATCATGAAATGGGTAATTTACGTGCATCATTATATCATTTAAATACATAGGAGGTAAATACTATGGTTCTATCAGTTTTCCAGCTAAGGAAACTGATGCTTGTGTTGCTTTGCTAAACAGAATCAGGTTTGGAACCCCAGTTTCAAATAACTAGCTTTCAGTGGCTACCCACTCTACTGCTCTGTGGGAGAACTGTTTTGGATAAATATTTCAAATAATCTTTCCTGCCCAAAGACGTAATGAGAATCTTGGGATACCAAGTTAAATAGATTATTCCTATACTTAAGTAGCAGAGTGTACAGAGAAAAACAGGAACACCATTAGAAAATCACAGCCTGTATAAGAAGGCAATGGTGAGTACTGAGTGCTCAGAGTAAAGTGAGCCAGTGCTAGAGCTTAGTGAATACTGACTGCTCACAGTAAAGACTCTGAGCACTCGGTACTCACTAAGTTCTATCATGAAAGGCTTCTGAGGTGGCTTCTGAGTTGAGTTTTTAAAGATCAAGCCATGTGCAACGAGAGGAAGGAAGATGGCATTCCCGGCAGAGGAAGCCACTTGAGAAAAAACTCAGAAGCCAAAAATATCCTAAAGGGCTGGAGGACTGAAAGGTAGATGCTCTTCCGGAGGGGAAGTCATGAGGCAAGAAGAGTCAAGAGATTCGTGAATCATGTGAGACACATTCAGCTGCAAGTCAAAAAAAAACAAAATCTAACTACATGGCGGGATTAGACAATAAGGAATTTATTTCATTGAACAAGAAATCTGGAGATAGGGCAGCTGCATGACTGGATACTTTGGTGTCCCAACTGTCTTTGCACACTATTTCTTACCATCTTTCTGTCCTAGCATCTTCAGGTGATTGGGGTTGTGCTCTGGCTTTAGATTCCTGAGTCTCAAGATGACTGTTGGAGTTTCAGGCATTTCTTTCCTTCATAGCTATATCCAGGGGAAATTAGGAAAACTCCCCTAAGTTGACAAAAACCATCCAAGTACATGAGCCCTTGTGTCCCTCTGTATAGAATTGGGTTACATACTACTGCCTGAACCAGACACCCAGAAAGAGAAGGATCATATCACAATTGGTTTGGGCCAGTCAAGATTCACCAGGTTTCCCCTAAAGGGCATGGCTAATGGATACAGGGGGGAAATGGGATTATGTTAGCCAGGCAGAAGGCAGTGATGAGGAGCTGTGCCACAATAATGTTGGGCTACAGCCAAGAGCTAAATTTAAAGTAGCTTGGACATTTCCACATAGCTCAGTTTTTTCTAAATGTCAGTGATGTGAAGGCTATCTTTGCAACCTCTTGCTATATTCATGCAGTATTAAATTTCACAGTTTATTTCCTTTACAACTTTTGCCATATCGTTAACTCTCTGTAACATTGCCTACTCGATATCTCTTTGTAAATTATTACATTTTATACATAAATTTTAAAAATTATATTATTCCCCAAATGGAAAGTCAGCATAACCTGTCATAAATCAAGGTAAATCAAGGGCCTTCAAAAAGGCCATGAAAATGTATATTGTGAAGGAATACACATGGATTTCAAAATGTTTTTGCACCAAATTAAATTTGTACTAACTTGTTAGAACATACCTAAACAGAATCTAGTTTGAGGCACTAAGAATGGTAAGACATCCATTTTAAAAGAGCCCCTATCAGAGAAAAATGAAATCTGCTAAAATTAAAGCAAGAGGAACCATCTTATTGATAATGAAGCTTGAGTGAAAGATGGTGAACTCATTGATGCTTTTTGAAAAGTTCATGGGGACAATGCCCCCGTGAAATCAGCAGTTTGGGAAGGGATAACTTGTTTTAAGAAGGAACAAGACAAGGTGGAAGTCAAAGCCCGTAGCAGTAGACCATCCACCTCAATTTGTAAGGAAAAAATTCCTCTCGTACATGCCCTAATTGAAGAGGACCAATGATTAATGGCACAGACAATAGCCAACACCACAGACATCTCAACTGGCTCAGCTTGCACAATTCTGATGGAAAAATTAAAGCTGAGCAAACTTTAATTGATTTTGGCACTCAATGTGTGCCAAAATCATTGTACCCAGATCAGCTGCAGACAAGAACAGGGCTTTCAATGCACATTTTAAACAAGTGGGATTAAGATTCTGAGGCATTTCTTTGAATAATCACAACAGGAGATGAAACATAGCATTACCAGTACAATCCTTTTTTTTTCTTTTGAGATGGGGTCTTGCTATGTTGCCCAGGCTGGTCTTGAACTCCTGGGCTCAAGCAGTCCTCCCACCTCGGCCTCCCAACGTTCTGGGATTACAGGCGTGAGCCACCACCCCCGGCCAACCAGTACAATCCTAAAGACGAAGCACAATCAAAGCAATAGCTACCAAGAGGTGGAAGTGCTCCAGCTAAAACACAAGCCAACTGGTCAAGAGCAAAGGTCATGGCTGTTTTGGGGGATGTTATTAAACAAAAATAATGCTATTAAATTCTAGCTAAAAACTGTTATTTGATAATGACTCTGAACATGGGTATTGCTCCCATTTAGTTAAAAGGGGACACAAATAACTCATAGGGAGGTTGAACATTGTATTAGCACAAAACTAAGATTTTCAATTTCTCTGATAAGATCCTGAGGAAAATATCACAAAAGAAATAGTGTTCTCATCATGTGAACTGATGATGATTAATACTGTGTCCCCTTAAAGAAATTCTGCATATTTTCCACACTTTGGTGACATCACTATGCAGGAAGGGATTACTGTTTAGGTATAAGCAGTGAGTGACACGGTCAGATTAGGGTGTTAGATTTTTTTCCCCCTTGGCTGAAGGGAAGAGGATGGATTGAAGTGGGTAGAAACAAGACCAAAAGAGGCCCATTAGAAGTTGCTGAGGAATCCAGGAGGAACAGTACAAATGAGGCACGTATAGTGAAAGGTTGGAAGTCAAGGTGGTCATGAAAAAGCCCTTCTGAAATAATTCCCAGAGCCACTCTTTAAAAAGATCATGATGCCAGTGGCTTCCTGTAGCTCAAGTTCAAAGAGACAGCTCTTATCCATTCAAGTTTATTATTTCTGTCTTCTGTGTTTGAAATCAACACCATCAGCAGAATTTTGGCATGAAATAAATTTCTATGAGCAGCTTGCAGTTACAATCTTGTAGAGAGTTTCCTAACTTAGGGAGTATTTTAAAAATAACCACCTACCAGTACCTTAAAAATCCTTCCTAAACGCAGACTATTTACAAATGCACAACATCACACATGAATAAGTGGCTTATTTGTACCCAAAATTCAATTACCATTCAATGTAGCATTATTTCTATGAGAAAAACAATCACAAAATATCTGAGAAAACAATTCTAAATAAATCTAAGATTTAATCAAAAACCATTCTCTAACAAAAGGCTCTCCTAAAGAACCTCTGACCAACAACATGGTCTATTACAGCTGTGGGTACTTTATTTCCTTTCTGCACATGCCTATAAAACAGTAGTTCCACTTTGTCTCCGGGGCATGAAAAATTATTAATCACTACTATAGAGGCCAGGACATAAAATATGTATAATCTTCATTCTCTTTTTATGATTTGATCTAAATCTTAATCAGGAAGTAAAGGGGCTCTTTAGCTGTTGATTTGGTCCTTTCAGGCAAAAGGAAAATGTACATGGTTTAATTTCACAGAAGCGCCTCCCATATATTTACCTACTACCACAAAGTGAAGAATTAATATCTCTAATACTGAATATCTGGAGACCCTGACTGCTATAACCAGCATCTTTTTGTGATCTATTTTAACTTTTATATATTTTAATATCCTAAGCTCAATGAGGTCAAAACCAAATTAATAATTCTTCTAATAAACCAGCCCTCCATTTCCTGCTGATAAGATATCTCCTTCAGTAACAATTATACTACTAGATTATATGTAATAATAACATGTAACTATCTATTCTGTGCAAGATTCTGTAATAAATGTTTAATTGTCATCTCATTTAATCATAACAGACTCAATGTGAAACTTACAATTTTATAGAAACCCAATGCTTAGAAAAACATAAAAAAAAAAAACTCATCCTACCAAGACAACATACATAGTAAAGTTGTCGAGTATCTGACTCAAAGCTTTAATCTCTAGTGGAATTCGTCGTATATTTTTAGCTTCCATTTCCCTGTTGGGAAAATATTGCCTACTTTATGAGTCAGAGCTTTCTTCTCATTATAGATACTGAAAATGTCAAATACTTTCCCAGAATCTGTAGCAGCTAAGACATGCTAGAATGCATATTCTGAGCTCTGTCATTCAGAGACACGCACTCCAGACTTTGAATTAAAATAGTAGTACAAGGAAGGTGTTAGTAACAAAAGGAAGGCAAGTGGTACTAGAGAGTAGTAGCTATATCCATTCTCCAGGAGGCAGCAGTTAATGGTTTTAGAAGCATCCCAGGGCCACAGCTGGTGGCACTGGTAGTACAACCTATGGTATCCATGTCCAAGCAGCCATGATAGTTGTATCATCTAAGGACTACTTTGGGGCATTATGCCTGGCTGCACAAACTCCAAACCTACTTCTTTGGCTCTCTCAGGGTATCTGTGAACTACCCAGCATCTTTTAGTACATTCCTTTCCATTTAAACCAAAAAGTGACGACTTCTCTTGCTTGCAACTAAGAATCCTGAGTGATAAAAGCTCTTAATACTTATCCAAAATTATTCCAGGGTTACTTTTATTAACTGCTTTCTGCCTTCTAATATTCTTTTAAAGTGTATTTTTGTGGAAAGCAAATAGTTGGTTTTTCCTTTTATTTGGTTTTAATCTATCGTGAAAAGGCCTTTCAAATAGACCCTTTAGCATTTACATTTGATGTAATTATTGATATGGTTGTGATAAGTCCACAGTTTTGCTATTTGTTTTCTACCTGTTTCGTCTACTCTTTGTACCTCTGTTTTCTTTTCCCTGTTTTCATCTGGGTTAACTGAATATTTGTTACCCATGTGTTCACTCATTTATTTTAGCATGCTATTTTATTTCCTCTATTTGCTTTTGAGCTCTCCCTGATTGATATATTTTTAGTGGCTTCCTTAAGTATAACAATATGTATTTTTCATTTATCATAAACTATCATTAACATTGTGTCACTTCATGCAAAATGTAAGAAACATAATATACTGGTATAATTTCATTTGCCACCTCAATTATTTATGCAATTATTGTCTCATATTTCACTTCTTCATATTTTTAAGCTATATTTTAATTTAAATAGTAGAAATAAATGAAATTTTGAAAAAAAGTTAGATTTTTGTATTTATCCATATATCATTTGTAGATATTTTTATTCATTCCCAGAGATATCATTTCCCTTTGGCCAGAAGAACTTTCTTTGACATTTCTTGCGATGCATGTCCATTTTAAAATCTAGAAGTATTTTTATTTTACCACCATCTTTAAAAAATGCTTTGTGGACTAGAGTATTGTATGTATAGTCTCTGTCTCTCTCAGAACTTAAAAAAGTCCTCTAGTTATTGTTTCTGATGAAAAGTCAGTCATCATTTGTAGCATGTTCTCTGATGTATGAATTGCCTTTTTCTGTGACTGTTAGGATTTTCTTTCTTTACCTTTGACTTTACATTTTTCTCAGTTTTACTATGAGGTGCTTAGGGGTGTGTATGTGTTTTATACTTATCTTGTTTGGTATTTACTGAAAGTCTTGAATCAATGGGCTGCTGTTTTCAACATAATTTTAAAATGTTCAAAATTTGAATATCTTCAAATAATTTTCTGTCCCCTTCTCTCTCTCCTGTCCCTATAGGACTTCAATTTTACTTATTAAAAACCATTTGGGACCACCTTAAAAGACACTGAGTCGTTTAATTTTTTTCTCTGTTCTTCAGCTTGGGTAATTTCTATTTAATCAAATTCAAGTTTATTTAAACTCCTTCTGTAGCACCTCATCTCTAGTTATGTTTATTCAGTGACTTTTTCATTTTAGATATTATAATTATTTTACTTTCAATTTCTAGAATATCCATTGGTATACTTTATTTTCTGTACTAAGTTTTCTCATATATTCACTCATTATGTTTATCCTTATTTAAAAAAATTGAATACATTAAAAATAGTTTCTTTGAAATCTTTGTCTACAAATTCCAAAATCTGGACCATCTTGGAGTATATTTCAATTGCCCACTTTTAATGTTGATAAACTTTTTTTGTAGAGGGTTAGATAGTAAATATTTTCAGTTTTGTGGGATTACAGGTTCTGTCACAACTACTCAACTCTGCCACTGTAGCACAAAAATAGCCATAGATGAAAAATGGCCAAAGTTTTATTGGCAATAGCCAATTAATTAAGCTCTAACCTTAATTAAATTGTTACAAATTTAATTGTAAACAAATGATCTGTGTTCCAATAAGACTGTAGCACTAAAACAGGTGGCAGATCACTTGGCTATCAGGCCATTGTTTGCTGATCCTTGCTCTAGATTTTAGGTGACATTTTTACATGTTTAGAAGTTTTGGATTATATGCTGGTCATTATGAAATGGTACATTTTGTAGGGAGTCTGGTTTACATAGTCATTCTGTTAAAAAAAAAAAAAAAGGTGTTGATTCTGGTAGGCAGTTAAATCACCAGTTCTGGATCCTATCAGGTTTGATTTTATGCCTTGCTAGAAGAGGTATAACTTGAATTTTTCCTTTACCATAGGATATATCCCTTGCTTCTAACCTGTGGCCTTTGGGGATCTCAACTGAGTACATGAAGTGATCAGCAAAGTGCTTCCAATCTAGCTGCACGAGCACCCCAATCTCTAACTTCACAGGACTGGCTCTGATATCTAAGTTACCCCTTTCCTTCCCTACATATTCCCCAGCTTCTAACTTGCTACTACTCTAGTCCAAATACTACAGCTACCTCTATATCAAATTCCATTCTCTGCCTCTTCAACTCAATAGAACTACTGTCCACTGTTTGGAACAGTCCATGGTCCATTATTAAGAACGTGCTCCCAGAAACAAAGCCAAGATGAATGTGTGCTCATCTAATGTGTTTCTCTTCTTTCAATCCTATATAAGTAGAGTATATTCATTCTACTTATTTTTACAAAGTTACCTGTAAAATGTGTTCTTCAGGAGGTATTCTAGAAGAAGACACTGTTATCCTAGGAGATGACAGCTCTATGCAAGTTATTGCCCCTGAAGACCTTCTAGTGGGACAAGATGTGGAAGCTAAAGACAGTAATGTTGATGATCTTGACCCTGTGTCGTCCTAGTCTAATGTGTGTGTTTGTGTCTTAGGTTTTAACAGAAAAGTTTAAAAATAAAAAAATATAATTTTAAAAGTAGAAAAAAGCTTATAAAATAAGGATATAAAAAAGAAATATTTTTGTACAGCTGTACAATATGCTAGTGTTTTAAGCTAAGTGTTATTACAAAAGTCAAAAATTTACAAATTTAAAAAGTTTATACAGTAAAAATTTTACAGTAAGCTAAGGTTCATTTTTTTGCACATTAGTGTAGCCTAAGTGTACAGAGTTTATAAAGTCTATAGTTGTGCCTAGTAATGTCCTAGGCCTTCGCATTTATTCACCACTCACCCACTGACTCACCAGAGCAACTTCCAGCCCTGCAAGCACCACTCATGAGTGCCTTGTGCAGGTATACCATTTTTTTTTATCATTTATGCCACATTTTTACTGTACTTTTTCTATGTTTAGATACACAAATACTTACCATTGTCTTACAATTGCCTACAATATGCAGTACAATAACGTACTATGCAGGTTTGTAACTTAGGGGCAATAGGCTACACCATAAAGCCTAGGTGTGTATAGTCTATGCCATCTAGGCTGCTGTAAGTGCACTCTATGATGTTCCCACAATGTTAAAACCGCCTAACAGTGCATTTCTCAGAGTGAATCCCTGTTGTTAAGCTAAGCATGACTATTTCACCATATCATAAGCTCCATAACCTGGTGACTCTACCAGTCTCTTGTGGTTCAGTTTTCTAGTGGCTGCAAATCTCAGGAATGTCCATTCTATGTGGACATTTTCTCTTATTTCCTGGCCAATTTGTGCTTGAGAGAGAATTGTTCCTTAGTCACGTCACAAAAAAGAATGAGCAAGGCAGTGATTAACGACCGTCATAGCTCCAGGATGGTCCCAAGCTGGTTCAATTTCACGTTTGTCCCGCCACACAGCCAGTCTTGGGGTGGCGGCCTTACCATCACTATCTCCCTAGGTTTGCAGAGATCCATCTCTGAATTCTTTGCTGATGGGTATTGGGTATCCTGAGATATCCACATGAGGGAATCAAATCAGACCAACCAAAGTATCGAAGCAGAAACTTTTGCCCTCCCAGTAAGTAGTCAATGAGCAAAGCGTTTGCAGGTGAAAAAGTGAAGACCCACCAGAATTAGTGTTCCATGAGAGCAGGCATGAGATCTTCCTTCAATAACCTCCAGGGTATGACTCAGCTCTACATGATAACCAATATGATCCTTTGCTATATTCACCCACTTGGATCCATGCACCCAGGTAATAAGGCCTCATTTTCCCTTCTGAACAGATTCCTTACTCTCTAAGCTCCTCCTTTTAAAATTACCCTAATTTTCTTGCCACCTCTCTCTGACTTGGAGAAATTATTTGCCTGCATCCACTCCTCTTCCTTGCTTTAGAAATGCTGTACCTCTTCTTTCTCCAAAATAACTA
This sequence comes from Homo sapiens, assembly GCF_000001405.40. Classification (NCBI taxonomy): domain Eukaryota; kingdom Metazoa; phylum Chordata; class Mammalia; order Primates; family Hominidae; genus Homo; species Homo sapiens. Next base: position 54,315,950 of record NC_000020.11, on the reverse strand, counting down.
CTGAAGCTTTCAGGATCAATCTGAGTCCTCCAAATCAGAACGCATTTCAAGATTTTGTTCTATAATTTACTTTGGATACAAGGAAATTTAAGAAATAATTTCTTCTATCTACTAAAGGGTGCTATGGAACCAACCCGCTGGCTCTTCTCCATCCACATTCTTTGCCTAGAGGAAATGATTTTACTGGGTTAAAGGGTCTTCCAAAAGAGGATAGTTTCAAAAAAGATGTTGAATTTTAGTCTGGAAAAATATTCACCAATTATAATAGCAAAATTGAGTTTTCTCCACCTTCAAATTTAAATGAGAGCCTTAGGAAATATAATAACACTGTACTTCAAACTTGATCATAAACAAATGGTTCTTATTCTAAAAAGACCTCCTCCTCATCCATACAATCCTCACACTCCCCTCCCGCAACACACAGACACACATTCACAACATCTGTCACAAGCGAAAGAATAGCATATAGATATATGATCATAAAGAATAATGCATTGATGAAAAATACGATTTCTATAGCACCTGCCCAACCTTCTCAGGTCTTGGCAATAGAAATAAATGGTAACAAATTGTTCTTTGGTGCTGAAGTCATAAACAAGCTAGAAGATTGGCTTGCCCTCCGTCTGCTCCTTAGGACATGTCTAACATTAAACCCTTCATATACTAGGAGTCTGATATCAAAAAATATATTTAAAAAGCAAAAAAAAACTGCAGGTAAAATAAAACAAATCCTTCATGTAGCCCTGAAGCTGAGTTCCAACACTTCTTCTGTCACAACTGTCTTCTGACAGCCTGAGATTTTTAGGGGCAAAGGAATTGTTCTGTATATAAAATAACAATGAACCAGAGTCATAATCTGGCTGTCTTTCTTATTTCTTATATTACATTCTTCATTCTCGCATTCTCTCGCACCCCAGAGTCAACCTACAAAGAAATTATCTTGGCTGCACTTTCAAGACATGTTCAGAATCTATCCATAGCTTTCATGTGTATCGTTATTGTCTTGGTCTAAAGCACCATCATGCCTTGCTTGGATCCTGGATTATTGTAATACATTTCCAAAAGGCCTTCCCGTTTCGACTCTTAAACTTCTACAACCCATTCTCTGAACAACAGGTATTTTAAACCTAAGACAGATCGTATCATTTCTCTGCTGAAACTCCAGCAATGGCTTTCTGTGTTACTAGAATGGAACAAAGTCCCCCCATTGCCTACGTGGGTTTAGGTGATCCTACCTTGGCTGGTTCACTGAGTTGATCTCCTACTACGCTCTTTCACTGCACCCTCTCCAGCTGCACCCATCCACGGTAGCCTGCTCGCCCTCCTTGCTCATGCTCCCTTGGCATACGTTTAAGTCTCTGTTCCAGGACGACCCTCCTAGAAGAGCAGAAGTAGCAGGAGATGTGGAGTCAGGGGTAACTTGCTTTTAACGCTGTTTCCACATTTTACTTGACCTTAAACAAAATACTTTCAAACCCTGAATTAATCTTCCACATGCTAAAAACAGACATAAGCATCTAGCTCACCAGGTTGTTGTGAAGACCAAACACAACAGTGAACATAGCACCTGTCACAAAACAGGAACCAGATAAGGTTCGATTTCAGTCTCCTTTTCAATGTCATTGATGATTGCAGTATTTCAAAAGATGGCATTTGTTTAAAACTCAATTAATTTATTTGGTAAAATCTTGATCAAAGTTATACCCTTCTAATGCAGAATGTCTCCTAACAGTACTTGACTGCTAAGAGACAGGAAGCAGCAGTGCGCTTGAGTTTAATTTAAAATATTTTTCTTAGAAAGGGGAGTTGCTATTTACACTGCCTTCCGTCCTTCCTTTCTTCTTTCCTTCCTTCTCTCCCTCCTTACTTCTCTTCTTTCTCCCTTTATCTCTTTTTTTTTCCTTTTGTCTTCCCTTATTTTCTTCAATTTTCATAACTTGCCAGGCTTCGGTTTTGCTGATTAGGTTTTATTCTCTTTAATCTGATAATTTAGTAAAAAGAAATATAAGCACTGCTAAGACCTTCTTGTTGTTATGTTACAAGGATGAACTGAATTTTCTGTTTCTTATTATTTAAATATATGTTTTTTTCCCCAGAAGATGGTTGAGGAAATTAAGCCATCTGCTCTTTGGGGAAAAACAAATCATTGAAAATAGCTTTCAATAGTTGGCAATGAAGTCATCCTTATGATTACACATTTTCATGCTTCTCTTACTAATATTTCTGATAACATACAGAATTATTCATTGAATCATAATCTATAATTATTACTTTTAAAATATAAGTATGACTCAAATCTAAACAAGCATCAAGTTGTTGAGTAATTTCTGCCTCCTGTGCCCACATTCTGAATTTGAGCTAATTGGATGATATGAGGCATGATTGTCCCAGAGAAGAAGATACAAAATCAAAATAATTGAAGGCGAAATGGGTGGTCTAAAATAACTAAATCAGGAGGTTTGCATATCAAACTACTTCCAGACTCATAAAGGAATGAGAGCTTTGGGATTAAACAAATCTAATTGCTATAGTCATATTGTATGCATTTGCAAACAAAAATAAAAATTATTCCCTTAGTTTCACACTTGAAAAATTATCTGATATATAGTTTGGCAATACATTCTCAAAGCTGCAAAAATGCACATGTCCTTTCAATTTTACTTTACACAATAGGTCTAATAAGATGGACAATTTTCCTACATGTCCAGCACTATTTAATAAATATAGCAGGGACCAAGACAGCCAAGGTCCCTCCATATTTAATTCTTATGAGAATCTAACATTCAAGTCATTTTTCTAAGAACAACTTTATGACAAAGTCTAAAATCATAAAAGGAGACTGATAAACTAATGTACTCTCATAAAAGGAAATATTATGACATTAAAAACTATATTGCAGAAGAGTATTAAATGACAGAAGAGATTAAAGTAGCTTCAGTAAAAGAAATAAGCTACAAAAGAATATGGCTTATACGATCTAATCCCATTTTCATTTTTAAAATCTATATCATAGATAGCCTCCTAAAGAGGCTATAAAAAATTACCACAAACTGGGTAGCTTCAAACAACAGAAATGTATTCTCCCAAAGCTCCGGAGCTTAGAGATGAAGTCAGTGCAATGGCAGATGTGGCTGCTTCTGGAGGCTCTGAGGGAGAATCTGTTGTGTACCTGTGTCCTAGCTTCTAGTGGGTGCCAGCAGTTCTTAGCGATCCTCGTGTGATAGATGCACCACTCCAATCTCTGCTTCCACTTTCACACGGTGTCCTTCATGCTGTGTTTCTTTCTGTGTGTCCTCTCCTCCTCTCAGAAGCACATCAATCATCAGATTAGGCCTGACCCTAATCAAATAGGACCTCGTCTTGATGAACTACATCTACAAAGATTCTAAGTAAGGCCATAGTCTGAGGTTCCTGATAGACATGAATTTTAGGGGTGCAATCTATTTATCTAACTGTCCAGCATAATGGATTAATGCTTGTATTAGTCATTTTCATACTCCTATAAGGAAATACCTGAGACTTGGTAATTTATAAAGGAAAGAGGTTTAACTGACTCACAGTTCTACGTGTCTAGGTGGCCTCAGGAAACTTACAATCATGGCAGAAAGAGAAGAAAGTACCTTCTTCGTAAGGTGACAGGAGAGACAGAGCGCTGGGGAAACTGCCACTTTTAACACCATCAGATCTCGTGAGAACTCCCTCACTATCACAAGAATAGCATGAGGGAAACCACCCTATGATCCAATCACATCCCACCAGGTCACTCCCTCGACATGTGGGGATTATAATTCAAGATGAGATTTGGGTTGGGACACAGAGCCAAACCATATCAATGCTACTATTGGAAAGACTTGTAAAAGATGATAGGTAGAGAGAGAGACAGAATAATTAGAAGGTGCTGTGGTCTGAATGTGTCCCCCAGAAATTCATGTGTTAGAAACTTAATCCCCATTGTAACAGCGCTTGGAGGTGGAGCCTAGTGGGAGGTGTTTGGGTCATGAGGTCTCTGTCTTCCCGAATGGATTAATGCCACCACTAAAAGGGCTTGTGAGACTGACTCACTCTTCTCTGTTCTTCTGCCATGTGAGAACCCAGCACTCACTCTCCCTTGCCCTTCTGCCTCCTGAATGTGAGGGGGCAGTTAGAAGGCCCCTGCCAGATGCTGGTGCCTTGATCTTAGACTTCCCAGCCACCAGAACTGTGAGAAATAAATTTCTGTTCTTTAGAAGTTACCCAGTTTATGGTATTCTAACAACACAAAATGAACTAAGCCAGAAATACACACTCTAAAATGTTAAACTTGATTATTTTGTGACGGTGAAATTACAAATAAGTTTTATTTCCTCTCTTTGCTTTTCTGCATTTCCTAATTTTTAAAACAATAAACATATATTCATTTGCAATAAGGACAATACTATTTCAGAAATTATTCTCATGATAATAAAAGATTGAAGGTCAGAGTTACTTTAAATAACTCGTATTTTATTTATAAAGAAAATTTTGAATTACTGCTATGAAGAGAAAGTAAGCATCCTTTGTCATCAGTAGAAGGTTTTTTAAAAATTAAACTTGGACACTCCACCTAAAAATCACTTTATGAACCATCAGTGGTACAGGTACTAACATAATATGCAGGAACTATTATTACTCCATTTTACAGATGAGAAAACTGGGCATAGAAAGGCATAATAATATCCCCAAAGTCATATATATATAAATAATATTAAAAGTGAGAAGTAACTTCAAACCCAAGTCCTGAATCACTACATAATCAAAGCAATCTTCTAAGAAAACCAACTGAACAGCCAAACAAACTTGATGGAAAAAAAGAAAAATAAGAAGTGGAGATAAAATGACTTGAGGTGGGATGGTAGAATGAAAATAAAGAGAAAACTAATCTAGAAATCTTGGTGTTATAGAGTAAACTGTGTTCCTTCAAAATTACCACGTTAAAGCTCTAACCCATAGTACCACAGAATGTAATTGTATTTGGAGATAAGGTCTTTAAAGAGTTCATTACGTTAAAATGAGGCTGTCAGAATGAATCCTAATCCAATAGGACTGGTATCCTTATAAGAAGAGGAGATAAGGATATTGAGGCAAATAGAAGGGAGGTCATGTGACAACACAGAGGAAAGACAGCTATCCAAAAGCCAAGAAGAGAAGCCTCAGAAGAAAGCAACCCTGACAACCAAGGAGACACAATGATCTCAGACTTTCAGCCTCCAGAATTGTGAGAAAATTAATCTGTTGATTACACTACCCAGTCTGTCATGCTTTCTTACTGCAACCCTAGGAAAGAAATACTCCAGAGGTACAAACTATTCTGATGAAATATCTTGACTTAGAAATTCATTTGCCAACTAGGTGCAGTGGCTCACACCTGTAATCCCAGCACTTTGGGAGGCCGAGGCAGGTGGATCACCTGAGGTCAGGAGTTCGAGACCAGCCTGGCCAACATAGTGAAATCCCATCTCTACTAAAAATACAAAAAAACTAGCTGGACGTGGTGGCGGGTGCCTGTAATCCCAGCTACTCAGGAGGTTGAGGCAGGAGAATCGCTTGAACCTGGGAGGCGGAGGTTGCAGTGAGCCATGATCGTGCCATTGCACCCCAGCCTGGGCAACAAGAGCGAAACTCAGTCAGAAAGAAAGAAAAAAAAAGAAAAGAAAAGAGAAATGCATTTGCCAGGCAGGGATTGAAGCAGGGGTGGAAAAGATGAAGGTGTCCAACAGAAGTGTGAAATGTAAGGACTTCTACTAGCAGAAAGGGCCTTCTACTGAAAAATAGGAGAGATGAGCTATTTTAGAAGTGCCAGCTGTTTTTCTTTATTATTATCCCTGATTTCTAATCTCTGTTGGGCCAGAAATTATTTCTATGGCACATGTAAAATTCAGTAATTTATAGAAGATTCTTTCATTTTATAACTGTCATTATTATCAAGTTGGGAGTGAATTTTCTACCTTCCAGAAGTTCTGAAACAATAATATGTGTTAGTCTTCTGACATTCACAAAATTCTCTTGCAAGTTTTTATTCTTTTTATTGGTTCTAATTATTTAAAAAATTTGAATCATTCAGAAAATACTTTTGCAACCATATACATACCATCAAAATTTAATATTTTATATTTTCTTTGGATCTTTATTTATTTACTTTGAGACAGAGTCTCGCTCTATCACCCAGGCTGGAGGGCAATGGCTGTGATCTCGGCTCACCGCAACCTCCGCCTCCCGGGTTCAAGCGATTCTTCCGCCTCAAGCCACCTGAGTAGCTGGGACTACAGGCGCCCGCCACCACGCCCGGCTAATTTTTGTAGAGACGGGGTTTCACCATGTTAGCCAGGCTGGTCTTGAACTCCTGACCTCAAGTGATCTGCCCGCCTCGGCCTCCCAAAGTGCTGGATTACAAGCGTGAGTCGCCGTGCCCGGCCTGGATCTTTTCTTTTTAAATAAAATAATAAATTACAAATACGACTTAAGTATTACTTCTCATATGTTTTTCTTCCTCCTTTACTGAGATGACTATTACACGTATTTCTAGACTTTGAGATATATATGTGTGTGTGTGTGTGTGAGAGTGTGTACATATAATCTTAAGCAATGTATAATATAATTTCCGGTTCTTTAAAAATGTAGACAAATGGGGTCTTTTGCTCAACATTATGTTGTTGCATTTTATCCTAGTTATAAATGTACAATTTACGTAGATCTGCTGAAACATAATCCATTGCATGAATAAACAAGTTTACTTCTCATTTCCCCTGTCGATGGAAAATTAGGTCGTTTTGCTTTTTTAGCTATGACAAACAGCTGCAGTGTCTGTCTCTGCATTTGTCTCCGTGTGCACATGCAAAAACAGAAGTCTCTTTTTAACTTTCCCCAACTCAGTTCACAAACTCTGGCCTTAAGTGAGAGTACCTCAGCCTTCACCATTCCAAATTCCCCCAGAAACAGCACTGGCCCGATTATGAATTTGCTAATCTACTAAATAGAGACAATTAAATCCACTTTTATTTGTAGCTTCAGCCCAGATTTGAAGCCAAGTCTCCAGATGTTGGGTGGCATGCATCATTTAATAGAAAATAATATGAAAAGGACTGTACTGAGTCCTTGGGTAAATGGGTTGATAATATGAGAAGGCAGTTATACATTCCATTAATCATTACATTGCTTGAGGGAGAAAATATAAAACTTTGCTTTGTTACCTATTCTCAAAGGGAATCGCGAATCCCAACTCCATTAAATACGGAAAACACTGCAAGGAAAGAATCTCGGTTGTGAAGCATAGTGAGAATTTCCACCAAGCACACCTAAGTTGTAATCACCTTTCTTTGAAGAAGCTGTTTTATGGGGATGAGTCAATGTCTTCACATTGAAGTGTCATTATAACATTTCAAGTTTCTTATGTTCGTGTTTAAATCCAGGGCTTTCACTTTTGAAAGAAGGCAGTGCCATGAAAGCTGTTTTCTCCCCACCTCAAGAAAAGTGACGCCATTACAATCACATGGTTGATTTAACCAGGTATTCATTCAAGCATATATTGAGTATTTATTATAATAATAGCTGTTTACTATTTGATTGAATGCTTATCGTATGCTAAATGCAATGATGCTCACTTTATATACATTATCTTATTGAATATTCAAAACCATCTAACAAGGTAGAAATTTTTATTCCCATTTTAGAGAAGAGGACATTGAGGTGCAGGAAGATTCAACAATTCACCCAAGTTCACACAGCAGAACTAGACTGCTAACCTGGTCGGTATGACTCCAGACCCCACTTGCCTTTACATCTTCTTTGGGGCTACTCTTTAAGTTCCAGAGATACAAAGGTGTATCAGGCACAGACCCTAACCTTGTTAGGCTCATGATCAAGTGTCATGAAAGGAGACGACCCCATGAGGAGAGGGGCCAGGTCTGCCCAGTTTCCCACCACATCCTCAACATTTTTGCATTACACTGAATGTAATAAGTGTTAATGAAGGAATGAATAAAGGAACAAATCAATGAATTCATGGCAGCATGATAAAGGCTTTCGTAAAATGGTAAAATGCGAGTCAGTGTTTGCAAAACGAAGTGGTGTGTCCAGGAAAAGCAGTCACGGCAGGGAAATGGCCTGTGAAGAGGGAGGGATGCAGGATGATGTGGCATGGCAGGAAGCAACGAGGGGGAAATCAGTCTGATGGCAGCAAACTAAAAAAAGAGCAGAAAATAAGGCTGGAGACAGAATTGAGAAGGATTCCTTGAGTCCTGGTAAGAAATTTGGAGTTGATCCTATAGAAGATGTTCTTAATCTGCAGTGGCAAAAATTACTGGGGATGTCTGTCTTTCTTGCCTGCTCAGCATCTATTTCCTCTTCTGATGTTGACACCCTGATTTTCAACCACAATCCAGCTTTCCCACTCTCACCCTGGGTGCTGCAGGCAGGGACAGTACACCACTGCTCACCTCAGAAGTAGACCTACGACCCACGCCTGGTCTACCAGCGCATCCCATTCTCCTGACCTTGGTCATTCATTGAGGAATGAGTGGATGACCCAAGCAAGCATCTCAGAGGCAATCTGAGGAATTCTCTCTGAACTACCGAGAAAGGGAAGTTCTCTTATCTCTCCTTCCTCCGGAGTTTTGGAGCTCAGAAAACATAAACCTGGAGCTGTCACTAAAAAGATGACCTTCCTGAGAATGAAAACAAAGCAAATAGAGAAACAAAAGTCTTAATCATATCCTCTGAGCTCTGGATCTGGCCATACCTGAAACTAGAGCCACCCCATTGACAATGCAAATATACAATCGAATAAATTTTCTTTTGAGATACTTGGAGTCAAAATAGTATAGCAGTTCAGTGTTCAACCTTGGGAGTCAGACTGGTTGACTTCAAATCTCACCCTCTGGCATGACTAGCAGTGAGATCTTGGGATGAGATGACACATATAAAGTGTCAGAACAGGGCCTGCATATAAGTAACCCTCAGTCGGCCTTAGCCAATATTAGGAAGTTAGTTTGATTAGCTGTGCTACAATTTACAACCAAAGGATACTTCAATGGTTAGTTTTATAATGTCAACCCAGCTAGGCTATCATTAGAAACACTAATCTAAGTGTTCCTGTGAAGGTACTTGAAGGAGTTAACATCTCCAATCAGTTGACTTCACTTTAAAGGACATTGTCTTTGATAATCCAAGAGGATTTCATCTAAATCAGTTGAAAGACCTCTGGATCAAAACTGAGGTTTCCCTGCAGAAGAAGAAATTCTGCCTCAAGACACAGGACTCAAGACATCAGATCCTGCCCTAGTTCCCCGTGTTCTGTCTTATCCTACAGATTTCAGACTTGCCCACTGATATAGTTTCGCTGTGTCCCCACCCAAATCTCATCTTGAATTGTAGCTCCCATAATTCCCGCATATTGTGGGAGGGACCCAGTGGGAGATAATTGAATCATGTGGGCAGTTTCCCCCATACTGCCCTCTTGGTAGTGAATAAGTCTCATGAGATCTAATGTTTTCATAAAGGGTTTCCCCCTTTCACTTGGTTCTCATTCTGTCTTGTCTGCCACCAGGTAAGGCGTGCCTTTCGCCTTCCACCATTATTGTGAGGCCTCCCCAGCCATGTGGAACTGTAAGTCCATTAAGCCTCTTTTTCTTTATAAACTACGCAGTCTCAGGTATGTCTTTATCAGCAGTGTGAAAACAGACGAATTAAGAAGGACACCAACCTTCTTAATTATATAAATGAATTCCTTGGATTCAATGAATATCTATCTATCTATCTATCTATCTATCTATCTATCTATCTATCATCCATCATTTGTTATCTCCCCGTACTGATTCTATTTCTCTGGAAAATCCTCACTGATACAGATGCTTACTAATTCCACTTTTAAAAAAAACAACTAGAAAAGAGAAAGTAACTAATTCATTTTTGAGCCCAAATGATCTCCATGAAAGCTAGAGCCCTCCAACTAAAGACTGCCAGAAAACAATTTTTGATTAAGACAACTACATTTTTTTCTGAATTTAACAAGAAATGATGCAGAAGGTGAGAAGCAGAGAGGGCAAATATGATCTGAAATACAATTATTGTTAGGGTTTAAGTTGACTATTGTATGTTAGCAGGAGATGGGAGACACGTTGTGTTTTTCTGGGCTCTTGATGATTTTCTTCGTGCCAGAAAACTGTTCATGTTTTTTAAACACTATAAAATGTCTCCCTTTCCCCCTCAGCACATGGGAAATGTCATCACACAAATGATCTAACTCCATATAACTACGCCAGAGAGATTGGAATTTATATTCATGAGGAACACACAGACACATAATTCATGAGTGATGCTGACATCAGTAAGTAATCAGAGGGCCTCGGTGGACTATAGATCAATTCTAAATCTTCGATATATTTAGTACGTGGTTGAGCTCTACAACTCTTCATCTTGAAAATTGTCATCGAATACATTGCATTCTGGGCTTGTAACTGCTGAACTATGGGGCTTCATGTTTATGGACACGTATGTGGCCTGTGTTTCATTATATTCGAACACTATGTTTTACCAATAATTCTGTAATGACCTCAGTACTTAAGGCCTTGTGTTGATTTATGGGGCATTCCAGATTCCAAAAGAAAACCTCCCAACCCCAGAAGGACCTGCCTGAATGGACACATTATTTTGCTGCTAACATTGGTAGGCATAAATCTCTTCCTTCTTAAATGGAAGTTTATTAGGGAGACATTAAGCTAGTTACTGCCCTGATAGAATCAATATTGTCTAAATATTTTGAGAGAAGATAAACAGGTGAGTAATTTATGTTGATATCATTGAGAAGACAAGACCTAGTATCTCATCCATATGTATAGTGCCATTGGATTGGCTAACAGTGAGAGCCACATATAGGCAAACTTCTTTATCAATAAATTATTCAATGGACCCCCCCCAAACTTAAAACTCAAATCAAGACTATGAAGGAATATCATTCGCTCACTCTACACTCATTTTGCCATTCATATGTACTTTGTTATCTGCCCTCAGGACCCTAGTAAGATGTCCATAATTATAATTGAATATAGATCTTAAATTTTTTTACATTAATCAGTAAAAAAAAAACTTCAATGAGTGTGCACAGGAGAAGACTACTGCTACTTGTGTTTAGGCAATAAATGAGAATTACTTTCTGATTATTCAATGAGATTTGTAATCTGCTAATTTGCTATTGGAGAAGATAGTATAACCAAATGCAGGTCTGGCCTCTTGCTGCTTGCCAAGTCCAGTTAACAAGAGGAAGGTTTGGTAGAAATTAAACAAGCTTTACTCCAGAGCTTAGCTGAGGGGAAACAGTACAGGCTCCTGCCTCTAAGGGAAACACTTCAGCTTTTGGGGCAGAAAGCAGGGGCTTTAAAAGGGACACTTGGTGTTGGGTATGGTGGCTCATGCCTGTAATCCCAGCACTTTGGAAGGTGGAGGTGGGTGGATTGCTTGAGCCCAGGAATTCAAGACCAGCCTAGGCAACATGGCAAAAAAAAAAAAAAACCATGTCTACAACAAATACAAAAAATTAGCCCAGTGTGGTGGCATGCTTGTAGTCCCAGCTACTCAGGAGGCTGAGGTGGGAGGATCACTCGAGTCCAAGAGTTCCAGACTGCAGTGAGCCATGATCGCACCACTGCACTCCTGGGTGACAGAGTGAGACCCTGTCTCAAAAAAAGGTGGATGGGGGCACTTGGCATGAGTGGCAGGCAGGAGAGAGAATGAGGAGGTGTGGAGTCCCCATAACTTGCTTCAATGTCTTACCCCTTAGATGGTCTGTCTGGCACCATCTTGGGTAAAGCTGGGCTATAAATTGACCATTGTCAATCTCATGGTAGGAGAGAATCCCTGAGGGTGCACGGTTTGGTCCAACATTTGGTCCTTAGAATTTCTAAGCAAACATATAGTTAGATAAGCTTGCCGTGCAGGAACTGCCTGGTGGAGAGAAGGTAACAGTTACAATTGCATTCTTAAAGAGCGAAGTAAGAGGTGAACACACAAGGAAAAACAGAAAAGGTAAAGATAACTTTTAGGAAAATGGGGCTCTCAGTTACAATAGCTGGTTAGACACTTCCAAATTAGTTTCTGGAAAAAAAAAAGATGGTTAGACAGTTCTAAATTAGTTTTTGAGAATAAGATTGACATTTAATATGTATGCTAATTGATGTCAGACATTTCATAAATATATACCAATATGGCCTCCAATAATAATGTCCAAATAATACTTTACACTAAGGCTCTTTTTGGTGAGTATGAGTGAGATTGGAGCAAAGTGAGTTAGAGGGTTCTATTTTTAAATCACCTATTAGAATATCTGGAGAGAAGATGTCAGATCCCCTCTCTCTAAGAGCTGTCTAAGCACAGGAGTGAGTCACCACAGCCATGTTTATATGGAAAGACCCTGGCCCTTGGCAAGAGCTGATTGGACTAAGAGTGGACCCCTCATGAAAGTTGTGCTAAGCAGTTTCTCCTTCCTAGGAGTGTGGAATAGGACACTGACATGTTGGTCAGCTGAAGGGAAAAGAGCTGGGAAACAATATTGTGCCATGGCAAGGGTGGCCAATTTTCTTTATGTAAAACGAAGCAGAGAAAACTGAAAAGAGAAGAAAAAAAGTGAAGCACAAATGTGTAACTACCAGACACCTGAGCCCCAGAGCGAGAATAATGAAAAAGACCTTCCTTGCTGGGCGCAGTGGCTCATGCCTGTAATCCCAGCACTTTCAGAGGCTGAGGCGGGTGGATCACCTGAGTTCAGGAGTTCGAGGCCAGCCTGGCCAACATGGTGAAACCCCGTCTCTACTAAAAATACAAAAATTAGCTGGGCATGGTGGTGGGCACTTGTAATCCTAGCTACTCAGGAGGCTGAGGCAGGAGAATCACTTGAACCCAGGAGGCGGAGGTTGCAGTGAGCCAAGATCACCACTACACTCCAGCCTGGGCAACAAGAGTGACACTCCGTCTCAAAAAAAAAAAAAAAGAAAAAGAAAAAAAAAAGGCTCTTCCTCTCTGCTTCCTGATGGCTTTTTTGTTCCTGGTTCTTGTTCTCCTGGAGGCATCGCTTACCATTTCCCTGAAAGTCTGGGACACTTGTGTGTTTTTACAACAATTTCACTTATTTTTTCCTAAGCTAATTTGAAGGAATTTCTATTACTTTCAGACAAATAAGCTGAAATCAAGAACAAACAGAGAAGGACAGGGAAGACTTTTATACCAATCAGTAAGAAATCATTGAAAAAACAAAGAGGGGGGGAAAAAACTCTTACTTTTATTTAAAGCCCAAAGAAATGTGGACACAAAGAAATCTAGAAGTAAAACCTCCACAGGGAATGAGCTCCTCCTAGATGAGCAAGGGCAAAGAATGTTTGCATGCTTAGGACCACTTGTTGGGGTTGGAGATAAGGCAGGCAGATGTGCTATAAGTGTGAAATACAAACTAGACTCAAAAGGCTTAGTACCAAAAATATGTGAACTATCTCAACAATGACTTTTTATATTGATTGCATATTGAAATTATAATACCTTGAATATATTGCATGTGATGGTTAATTTTAGGTGTCAGCTTGACTGAATGAAGGAATACCTAGAGAGCTGGTAGAGCACTATGTCTGGGTGTGCCTGTGAGGGAGTTTCCAGAGGAAACTGGTGCCTGAGTCAATGGACTGCGTGGGGAAGATCTCCCTCAGTGCGGGTGGGCACCATACCATGGGCTGGGGGCCAAGATAGAATAAAAAAGGAAAGGAAAGGATTTCTTTTCTATCTCCCCTTCAGAGCTGGGACTCTTTCTTCCTCCTGCTCCTGGCCATCAGTACTCCAGGCCCTCTGTCCTGGGTACCCAAGGATTTGTGCCAGCACCTCCCTGGGTCCTGAAGCATTCAGTTTCAGACTGAGGATTATGTCATTGGTTTCCCTGGTTCAGAGGCTTTTGGACTTGAGCTAAGCCATGCTCCCAGCATCCCAGGGGCTCCAGAATGTAGACGGACTATCATGAGCCTTCTCAGCTTCCATAATCCTGTAAGCCAACTCCCCTAATAAATTCCCTCTCATATATCTATATCTATGTCTATATATGTCTGTGTCTATGTCTAGATACACACATCTGCGTCTGTGTCTGAGTCTATATCTACATGTCTACGTGTATATCCATGTCTGTCTATATCTATGTCTGTGTCTGTGTCTATGTCTACGTCTACAGCTATATCTATGTCTGTATCTATATCTGTGTCTATGTCTGTATGTCTGGATTTGTGTCTGTGTCTATGTCTATATCTGTATGTGTCTGTGTCTATGTCTATATATCTATATCTATGTCTGTCTATAGCTACATGTCTGTGTCTATGTATATGTCTATATCTATGTCTATACATACACATTCAGTAGGCCCTCTGTCCCTGCAGGTTCCACATCCTCTGATTTGACCAACCACAAAACCACAATATTTGAAAGAAATTAAACCCCCCCAATACAACAATAAAAATAATGCAAATTTAAAACACAGTATAACAACTATTTACATAGCATTTAAATTGTATTAGGTATTATGAGGACTCTAGAGATGATTTAAAATACATGGGAGTGTGTGCATAGGTTATATGCAATTACTATACCATTTTGTATAAGGAACTTGTATGTCTGCAAATTTTGGTATCTGAGAGGACATCCTAGAACCAGTCCCCCACAGATACTGAGGGATGACTGTATATACATATCCTATCAGTTCTGTCTCTATGGGAATGCTGACTAATACACTGGGTTAAATACAATAGATATAAAAATTGATTTTACATTTTTTTTATGTTTTATGATGTGCCTGCTACAAAATCTAAATTTACATGGATGGTTTATATTTATTTTAGATAATGTTAGACAACAACACACAAAACAACCACCCTAAATTGTCCAACAAATCACTTATAAAATGCAACCTTCTTCCTCATTTAATAATTTTTATGCCCAAAGAAGAAGAAAAAACTGCAGATATCTCAGTACTTATAACATTCTGCCTTTAAGGTAACTACCAAATCTCTTGGGTAAACAGGGGAGGGGTGGGAAAGTCTACATTACCTGCTTGTCAACCTGGTTTGAACATTCATTTTAATAAGACTAATACACATGAATAGTTTTCAAAAATGTTGTTAAGGGAAAAATGAGCATTATAAAGAAGTTAAGTCAGCAGCTAAATAAAAATGCATATGAGATGGCTTTTCTTAACAGGATAGGACACACACAAAGTGTTCTTACATATGTTATCTTATTTAATGGTCTTCATAAATCTAGAAGACAAAGAGATAGTACCTTTGAAAGGCATCTAGACTGCAACCATTTCTCCCCAACTCTGCCCACTGGCAATACCCACACAATCGCTTTTGCCTTTCACCTCGGCTAATGCAAGTGTTGCTCCATTCAATGACAATTCATCCCTATTTGATTCCTTATTATTCATTTTTCACCCAGCAGCCACATTGATACCTTTAAAACCTAAGTCAGATGATGTCACTTCTCTGCTCAAAATCCTACAGTGGCTTCCTCGGTCTGTCAGATAAATTCCAGAATCCTTATGGTGAAACACAGACAGCTCTCATCATCTCGACAAACTTCACACTTCCCTTCTCATAACTCTTTGGGTTTGAACCACCTGGTGGTCCTTCTGTTCCTAAAACACATCAGACACTTTCCAATGTATTGCCTTAAACCCTGCCTCCGGGTTTCTGTATGACCCTGTGCCTTCTTTCCTTCAGAGGTCTGTTCTCAACAGAGCAGCCTTCCCTAACTTCTTATCTGAAATTGCACCCTCCACAACCCTGATAATGTTTCCTCCTAGCACATATCAACTGCCTTGTCGTATAGCTATGTGATTATTTTGTGCCCCCCACTAAAATGTAAGGGCATGTGAGAAGGAACTCTCTCTCTTGTTCATCACTGCATTTCCAACTTCTAGAATAGTATAAGACACAAATACCTGTGATAGGCACATAAATGAATGAACATTATATAAGAGGAAATTTAGACTTGGAGAGGTTTTTAAGTTGGTAAATGACAAATAAATAAATACGTGCAACTTAGCAGAAATATGGTATTTTACTATTTAAGAGCAAACTGGTAATCATGAGATAAACTTTTGATTGACCTTGAAATGCACTAACTCATAGGCTTAGTGACTGATTGATTGGTCCAAGTTCACAGTTAGTTTGAAACAAAGTCTTATGACTCTAGGTTTAATTGATCTAATACAAGGTAAACTAGAGGATTTACTACAATAGCAAATGAAAAAATCAATGGTCCATGAGTAATCCCATCTTTTTCTCATATTCACGCCTACTGGTTCCATGTATAAAATAACCGTATTACTTGCAGATAATTCAACAAACTTCACATTTAAATGCTTCATAAAACGGGTTTCAAAAGTTAAATGTAGGAGGCTTTTAAGATAATATACTAACAAATATCGTTGAGAACTAGACTCTAGCAGGAATCTACCATCTCTTGAGAAAGTCAAATAGCTTCTTGGATGTTCACCAGCTAAGTGTACAGAAGGGTACATATTTGCTGATACATTCCAGAGAAAACTATAGTGTGATTGTTTTCTGCTTTATTCTCCCTGCCAGAAATAGATACTTGTTTTTTGAGCCAGTGTGTTAATTACATAGAACAAAGAATTGTTGCTATTAAGCCTATGAGTTAGTGCATTTCAAGGTCCATCAAAAGTTTATCTCATGATTACCAGTTTGCTCTTAAATAGCAAAATACCATATTTCTGCTAAGTTGCACGTATTTATTTATTTGTCATTTACCAACTTAAAGACCCTCAAAATTGTGATATGCCTTCTAATTTATTTCACAATAAATTTATTGTGGTAGCCAGCCTCCAAGATGGTCTCAACAATCCCCATCTTCTCATATGTCAAAACCTCTCACATTGAATAGGGCTGACTAGGATATTGTAAAAAGACAGAGTGTGACTTCCGAAGCTTGTCATAAGTGAAGTTGCGGGTACCATTTTGCCCTCTTGGATCACTCACACTGGGGAAAGCCACATGTAATAACATGAGGATACCTAAGCAGCCCATGGAAAAGTTCTCATGGTGAGGAGCTGAGGCCTCCTGGCAACAACCTGCACCATGACCCTTCTTGGAGGTGAATCCTCCAGCCCCCATCGTGCCTTCAAACGACTGCAGCCCCAGTGATGTCTGGACTGGGCCTTCAAGGCAGACCTCAGCCAGAGACACCCATCTAAGCTGCTCTGGAATTTTTGACTTAAGAAACCATGTGACATAATAACTGTTTGTTGTTTTCAGCCACTGTTCTGGAGTAATTTGTTAGGTAGCAATAGATAACTAATACACTGTAAGTGTCTTAGAAGAGAGGGCACATGCCATCACTCCCTATTTGATGTAGGCAAATTTCTTATTGCTAACTACAAAATAGCTACAATCCCAACAGGTTGTAATTACAATCTTTAAGAGGATTGTTTCTCAAACATATTAAGACAGCCAAACCAAAGTCTATAGATGAGATTGATACTGAAAAGTTAGGCTTGGCTTGGTTGCTGTGTTGCTTCATAAGCACAGTGTGAGTAAAGCAAATCATTTTCTAGGCTGATTTATTTAATAACCTATAAAAACATAGAAGCCAAAAGTCAACATTTCACTAAACCTAAGTATTAACCTACAGCCCACTTTTGCTTTACACACATGAATTAGCTCTCTCTTTCCTAGATAATTTTGACCTTCATGACAAATTCTATTACTGGATTTTGAAAGGAATGATTTACCTTGGTGTGATTTCTTTTTTAAGTCTTCAAATTGCAAGACATTAAAATTACCCTCTATTGGAAGAGCAGGGGGTGGCTAATACCTGCTTACATTTCTCTTACTGTGAGCTGTGAACAAAGGACAATACTAATTTGTCATAGTGGATCTATACTGAGTGGAGAGATGTTTTTTCTTATAGAGGAAAAAAATGTCCCACAGAACTGGAAATTAATCCAGTTAATATGTTCCTATTGGCAAAATTCTTATTTCCATCTAAACAGATATTAAGAAAAAGGATTAAAAGGAGCAATTCAATTATGTCATCATTCTCATAGGAAAATCTAGTAACAATTGTGTCTATAAAATCAGTCGACTCCAGTTAAAATGAGTATTTGCATTTTATTAGATTCAACTATCATTATAGGGTTGAGTGTCTACAAACAGGAAAGAGAATATAATTCAGTTATTTCAGGTGACAAAGTTCAACTTTATACCTGAAATCTCTTTTGGAAAACATAATATTTGATTTTGGCTTTTAGAGCCAAAAGCTGCTTTATCTAACATATTTCTGCTTTCAAATTCCCTCTGCTATACTTTCTTCTTTTCAAATCCTTTGTTTAGGCTTGGCCCGAAAATATTATTTCCAAATATTAACTTGTAATCCCTTGTTTCATATATTCTCTGATTTTTTACAACAAAATATTTAAAATCTTAAATTTTTTTTTGATAAGCATTTCTGTCCGGAACAACTTATCCTATACTCATAAAAGCTCTAATTTTGAAAATATTCATTTGCTCACAGCTAAGTCCCTGTTTCCAGCACAATGCCCAGCACATTTTCTTTACTTTCTGGGTGCAGGGCTGGAGCAGAGTTCTCTCTCTCTTTTTTGTAGATAGGCATGGCTACATAACTGAATTCCAGACAATGGAATATGAAGGAAGTGATGTATACCACTTCCCAGTCTGCCCATAAACCTTCCCATATATCTTCCCTTCTTTGACTCATTCCAGATGAACCAAGCAACCTTGGAAGCCAGGTATTGCAAATGGTGTGAGAGCAGGATGTAAGGAAGTTGGATCCATGAATCCAGGACTTTAGACAAAAGCCATCCAACCAGGACACCTTTCCTGGACTCTTACCTAAACAAGAAATGAGCTTTTGTTGCATTAAAGCCACAGAGACTTGGGGATTGGGGGTTACATCTGCAATAGGTAGGGTTGTCTAAAGTTATCATAACTAAGACAGTACTGCACAAATAAATTTCCAAAGAATAAATATAGTTTTAAACATATAAATAATTATACAGTAGCTTCCATGTGCTAGACACTGTCCTAGGAACCAGGGATACAGCAGTGAATAAGACAAATTCACTGTCCTCATTGAGCTTACAGTAGGGGAAGGGGTGGACAATATATAAAATGTAATCCGTAAAATTATACAAGGTTGCTTGGAATAATAAGTGCTATGAAGAGGATCAAGAAGGGTAGTATGAGGGAGATTGACACAGATAAATACTTTTGATTGGATGGTCAGAAAAATGTCGCTCAGAAGGTGGGATTTGAACTGAAACCTGTAAATACAGAGCCAGAGTTTTCTAGTTGAAGAAGACAGCATACCCAGATGATATAGTTTGGCTGGGTCCCCACCAAAATCTCATCTTGAATTGTAGTTCCCATAATCCTCATGTGTCATGGGAGGGACCTGGTGGGAGCTAATTGAATCATGGGGGTGGTTTTCCCCATGCTATTCTTGAGAGGCCAGTAAGATTTCACGAGATCTGAGGATTTTATAAGGAGCTTCCCCCTTCAGTTGTCTCTCATTCTTCTCCTTCCTGCTTCCCTGTGAAGAAAGACATGTTTGCTTCCCCTTCCACCATGATTGTAAGTTTCCTGAGGCCTCTCCAGCCATGCTGAACTGTGAGTCAATTAAACCTCTTTCCTTTATAAGTTACTGAGTCTCAGGTATGTCCTTATAGCAGTGTGAGAACGGACTAATACACCAGGTGCTCAACTCTGGGAGGTTTCTGACATTCAAGGCAAAGGGGAAAAAAGTGAGTAGGAAGTGGCAGGGAAAGAAGTGGGAAGATGTTAGATATAAGATCAGGAAGATAGGAAAGACTCGCATTGTAAAGTTTCTGTGGTCATGCTAAGGAGTTGGGATTTTATTCTAAACATGATAGCAAGACAAAATTTCCCATAAAAGAAGCATCTTGTGCTGAGACATTATGAAGACATGTGAAAGATTTTCCATTAGGAACAAAATTAAGATTAGTAGATTCCTTGTCCAGCTCATACATCAAGGTTATCTCCATGTTTCATTGTCTTTGAGCTAAAAACTAAGAGGAATGGAAATGACTCTTGTCCACAGGAATGCCAACTATATTTGGTGGCATGCCATTGATTATTGTCCAGTGGATATTGACTAGTTTTGTATTTACTAAAGAAATTCATTTCAGCATTTGATGAGCTATATATTTGTCTGTTCTTTGGATTCTCCTTTGCACCAGTTGTAACATCTTATTGATTCCCTTATCAATTAATAAATGAAAGAAAATCTTTGACACATCTTCATTTTGTATTTGCATGAAGGTCAGGATTTTGCCTTTTTAAAACATCATCATTTAAAAGCATAAACACTCTCCACGATAGAATCATGTGCTACCAAACATTCAAACTACCACCCAATTTCAACATCCAGTTGTTGCCATTAATTAAGCAAATCGCCACAACAACATAGCTAATCCTATAACCTAACACACTAACAACCCCCACAAGCAATCTCTAAACTGCTATTTGTTAAGGTGTAAACTAGAGAACAACTCTACAACAGCTCCACATCCCTTTTACAGAAGATGCATTTTGCCTACCTACTTCTATTAATCACTTCTCACTATCCACACTTGTGATTGCACACTCCAAATCTCTCCTTCTCTTTACTAAATGACCTTGGTGGGGTATGGAAAAGGCATGAGTAGATCAAATGTGTGGAAGCTACCAGAAGGTGGTATATATGGAGATGGGTCACATGAAATGTTGTTTACAAACACCTGGGCTTCCTTTTCTCAGTTTTTAAACCAGGAAAAAAACGATCAATAAAATATGCCAAGTACATTTTGATAACTTGATCCCACTTCTCTGCTCTATTATAATATCTGCAAGATGTCAATTACTCTACTGAAATAGGATTATTTCCAAGTTTTACCTTTTTAGAGATGACTTCAGAAATACCTAGACATGCAGCAGATGTTGGTCAAGCCTCCAGAACATTAAAATGCCTGTGATAACTTTTTAGTGTGTTTTACAACTACAAATTCACAGAGTCAAAGACTGGAATGAGGGACTTGGAGAAGAGGGAAGTGGGAAAGTTGGGCACAAATTTCAGTTAATTAAGATGGGACAGTTCTAGAGATATAATCTACAACACTGTCCCATAGCCAACAATGGTGTATTGTAAACTTAAAAATTCCCTAAGTGGATAGATCTCATGTTAAATGTTCTTATCTCAATATTTAATAACATTTATTATAATATTAAATAAACAAAGTCACCTGTCCTGTTAAATAATAACCCTGATTCTGCTTGTATCACTTTTAATCTTGCAAAACATACAAGGCTATTTTAAATATTAATGAAAGCTGTAAGTCCATTATTTAAATTGAAATGTCAGGTGGATTTTTTTAATGATGGAAGCACACATTTCAGCAGCACATATTCAACGCACTTTTCTTTGAGATTTTACATTTCAGGCTGAGTTAGATAACTTTTGTCTTAAAAATGATAAAAGCAGGTGACATGCTGGACAAATGTATTAATTAGGACTTTTAAGGGCAAGTTATAGAAATTTGGCTAAAAATGGGTTAAGTAAAAGCTGGAATATTAGCTCATGCAGCAGGAAAACCAGCTTCAGGCATGGTTGTATCCAGGACCATCAGGTGTCATCAACATCTAGGCTCTGTTTTGCTTGTATTGGCTTCATTCTCAAAAAGTCTCTTTCTGTGTAGAAGTAAGTCTGCCAGCACACCAGGTTGATATCTCACCCAATAGTATAGCAACCCCACTATTAAGCATTGAATACTTAGAACACGTTTATAAAATCCTCATAATTGAAGTACCTCTATCAGAAAAAGCAATGGTTTTATTATCAAACATTTTCTATTGTTAAATGAACATTTAGCAGATTAACAGGCAAAAAAAAATCTATAATATACATTTCCAAATAGAAGTCTCAATAGAGAAAAAGCTTCTTTCAGAAAGTGAATAATTTCTGCTAAGGATCAGAGAGGACTTCTTTTTTCTTTAATTTCATTTCACTTAACCTCCAGGCATTTGGCCACCTCTACACAATCAGTGCTTTTGTTTTTCTTCTACTTTTAGTTTCAAGTCACTGAGCCAAAGCCCATGATAAATGACTATTCCATGACTCCCTGACTTCAATTTTTTGTAGATAAACAATTCCAGGATTTATGATTAATATACCTAAAATATTATAGAAAAGCACAACAGTGTGAGGAGGGGCGATGAGTTCTGACAATAAAAGAGGTGAAACAATTTGGCAAGCTCACTGGGTCTTGGCTGGGAGACATTTGGCTCTGAGCAGGAGTCATAACTGCCAGGCTAAATCAGGGCAATTATAGTGATGCATTTATAATAGCAAAGTCGGTTTCAATTCACAGAACAAAATCTGGGAAAACACACATTGTCCCTGACAACAACCATTTAGAGTTTTCACTCTTACTGGGTACCAATGTAAATATATATAGATATATTGGTTTGTATCTATACACACATACATACATATTTTTCCTATATCTCCATCAATTCCATTTTCTCTTTGCAGTGAGGTAAAAATGGCAGGCTGGAAACAGAAACGGAACGGGAAAGGATCTGTATAACCGTTTATTCTCTGAGCTTTGACCACATCTCCCAAATCTGATTAGATTTGCTTCTTATTGCCATCCAGACAAGATTTATTCTTATTTGAGGGCATACAGAGTGAGAAGAAGAGGAAGGAGAGAGAATGCAAGGATGGGAAAGTGTCAACAGAATTGTTTGCACTTCTCGAAAGTGAGGAGTGAAACTGAAGCTCCCCAAAGCAGCACTGAGTGGGTGACACTCCTAGCATTTTTCGAGCACTTGTGATACCTGGCTTTGCAAATGTGATTTCACTGGATCCTCTTGGAAAGCTGTAACAGACATTGATGGTGCTGTGACCTCTGAGTTCATCTGCAGCTGCAGAGGCCAGCTTTGTTCAGTCTCAGGTGCACCTCAAGCACCCCAGTTTCTGCTTCTGCCTCCTGAGAACAGGCTCACCTGGGACAAGCCATTGCGAAGGAATTACTACTGTTGAGGACACCCCTCAACCAATGGGGGACCTACCTCCCATCCTTCTAATGAACCATTCTGGGAGGCATTCCCTATGTTTCTCAGCAGGTTCTTGATCAAAATGCTTATGACTTTTCTTAGTCCTTTGTTTACTCTTCCCACTACTTCATTCTCAATACCAAGGATCCTCCATCCCTCCCTGCCCCCATAAACTATCTTCACCCAAATCCCTATCTCAGAATTTGCTTTCAGGGAAATCCAAGCTAAGGCATAAGCTTATTATATTTCCCACTTGAGAGATGAGGAAACTGAGGCTCAGAGAAATTTGGCACAATACTATAAAGCTGGTAGGGAACAGAACCAGGATTTGAGCCTAGACTTTGGAGGCATCAAAATGTGTGTGTTTATCATTACACAACGCTGCCTCCTGGAATAGAGTAACCCTTGGTTTCACCTCTCCCTCTTCCTTTAATGAGTCATCAAAAACACATAATTCATCAGGCCCATGTGTTAGAACCTTCTCCTTGTGTGTCTTTGAAGAGCTTCATGAGAACGTGTTTGCCTCATTGGAAAAATCCAGCTCGATGCTAAATTGTATAGAGCTAATGATGTTGGGAAATTCAGATCCATTCAGCCAGTCAACCAGTATTTAGAGAGGGTTTACAATGTGCTATGTGCTACAATACTAATTGCTAAGGGTAAATTAATGAAAAGGAGACCTACCTCTCAAGGAGATTGCAATAGAACTAATACTTATAAATTCACAGTACTGAGTGGTGAGGCTGGTTCATGCTTAAAACACGCAACTCATCCAGCTAGAGATATATCTGTGGGTTAGGTGGGGAGAGGGAGTCAGAATTTCCAGAGAAATACTTTAAAAACTTTTATGCGCATCCAAATCACCTGGAGATCATATTAAAATGCAGATTCTGATCCAGGAAGCCTGAGACAGCACCTGCATTTTAACAAGCTCCCTGCTGCTGCTGCTGCTGCTGTTGCTGCTGCTGCTGAGCCTGTGCCACATTCTGAACAGCAAGGCTTTGGAGTGCCTCTGGCCTGTGTCTTTCACAGCTTAATTACGTTTTCCCAAGGGGACATAGTTAATCTTGGTTTTTAGAAAGAGCCACCCTATTATCAAACACATTAGGTAGAATGAGATTAAAACTTACAAGAATTTAATTCAAGTAGCTCATCATTGGGTATTAACTTGGAAATAAATGTATAGGGAAGACAGTAAAAGTCTAAATGTAATGCTCGCACTAAGCACTTCTTTACAAGAAAGCAACTCATGCAATGGAGAGGCATGACTGTGCTTTTTCTTGCAGTGGTGTTTCAAATTGCTTTGCAAGTGACTAGCTTCTCAGAGTAGTCACCAGGCTGCAGGTTCCATGAATCCAGAGGCCATGTATATTTTGTTCCCTCCCTGATGTCAAACAGCTGCTGCTCCATAAATATTGATAATTAATAATGGTAGCACCTATTTTTCAGGGCTTAACTAGATACTGGTACTTAACACATAGTATATCATTTAATCCACACAACAACTCAACTAGTTAGATACTGTTACCAGAAAGGGGTTCCAATCCAGGCCCCCAAGAGAAGGTTCTTGGACCTCAAGCAAGAAAGAATTCAGGGTAAATCCATAGAGTAAAGTGAAAGCAAGTTTATTAAGAAAGTCAAGGAATAAAGAATGGCTACATAGGCTGCTTGACTGAGTGTACTTGTAGTTATTTCTTGGTTATATGCTAAACAAGGGGTGGATTATTCGTAAGTTTTCCAGGAAAGGGGTATGGATTTCCCCCAGAACTGAGAGTTCCTTTTCTTTTTTGACCATATAGGGTAATTCCTGGACATTGCCATGGCATTTGTAAACTGTCATGGCGCTGGTGGGAGGGCCTTTTAGCATCCTAATGCATTATAATTAGCATATAATGAGCAGTGAGGACGACCAGAGGTCACTTTCATCGCCATCTTGGTTTTGGTGGGTTTTGGCCTGCCTCTTTACCACATCCTGTTTTATCAGCAGCGTCTTTATGACCTGTATCTTGTGCCAACCTCCTACCTCACCCTGTGACTAAAACGCCTAACCTCCTGGGAATACAGCCCCAGTAGGTCTTAGCCTTATTTTACGCAGCCCCTATTCAAGATGGAGTAGCTCTGGTTCAAATGCCTCTGACAATACTACAATTATTCTCATTCTACAAAATAAGCCTGTCAACAAAGGCTCAGATTTAGGTAAACTGGAGCAAAGTAAGTAAGTCCCTTCAAGTAAGTGGCAGAGCCAGACAATTGACTTTGAACTCAGGCAACTAGACTTAAGAGTACACGCTAGTATTCAAGGATAACTTTTATAAGAGGACATAATCATGACACACAAATAAAAGATAAAATGTCAAAAAATTATGTAACGTATTACCTAATGAGAGAACGACTAGTTTTGACATGGTTCAAAAAGAATCTTTATAGTCAGATAAGGAAAGCAGAAATGAATTTACAAACGATTGCAGAACTAGCAAAAGCAGTCAATATCCACACAGCAATAATCAATTCCATTTTTCCAAACTCAATTTGCTGTTCTATGGACAGGAATTATTTGCATTTCTATCAGCTTTCTTACAGAGTTGTAAAATTGACGAGACCGTGGCAAACAAAGGCAAAGCTAGCCCAGTTGGATAGTCAGGACACCCACTGAATTTCAGAGTTTTTCACAATTTTCTTTATACTATTGATCATGTTGCTATATACTGTCTCTCTAAATAAGAAAAGTAAAAACAAGGGAGTGAATATTTGGAGGGAAGAGCTCAGTTATGGTGGAAACATCCTTCATTTCTAACACTGTATTTCTAGCACATAGTTAATGCAACGTGAGGTCTCAACAGGTACTAGTTAATGTTGTTGTGTTAATTCAGAGACTGACTGACCAACACTCTGGGCTATAACTCTCTGCCCCAGATTGGAGTAAAGAGGAAGTATAGTTTTGGCGATGGAGAAACTGCGTGTGATTGGCAATTTCATAAATATTTTTGGCCCAAATATTGATAGCAGCAAACTTCCAATTGACAATTCTTAGTGACACATTTTGCTCTGGACAAAACTCCCTGGTTTAACTTGTGCCTTTCAGTTTTTCTTTTTAACATCTTTAAATGAAAACAACTTGGCACAGTATACCACTGAAGTTCAGAGCTTGATATTGCCCCAACGGACAATCAGCTGCATTACCATTTGGGCAAGAGATCTCTGGGGTTGAGGGACCACAGTACAATAATGTACCTTAAAATGCCTTTGTTTCCTTGGTCCATCCTGAAGATATGAGCAATCTGAGCTATTAGAAGCAGCACTCCCTTCCCCCTTCCCCAAGGCCCCACAGAAAATAGTTCTCTTTGCATGGGAAATATGATGTATTTCCCAGACTAGTTTGCCCAAGAAAACATTTGATTGGAGCCACCCATTTACTTCTACTAGAACTAGCGCCGTTTGGAACACATTTGGGGAAATGATCCCTAAGTATGCCCAATAAGAAGGAACAGGTGAGGCCTACTTTTAAAATGTTATATGACTGGATGTCGTAGAAATCTACAAAGTGCCCTTCAGAATGGACCTGCCAACTTATATTCCCACCACCAGGATATCTGTTTCCCAAACCCTCGTCAACACAGCAATTGTGTATCTTCCAAGACAGTAAATTGGACACTGTGAGAATTCAACCCACCATTTTTGCATCTCCTTCATTTTTCTCAGCTCATCAGGCAAATCTATTTTTCACAGGAATAAACATGACAATTAAAAATTAACCTAGCCACCTGGTAAGCTGCTGCTCATGTGTCTTTCTGACAAGAACAGACTAGCAGAACTCATCTGGGAAGTAAGAGTATAGTTTATTAGAAATGATAAGTTGCGCTTAACTGGCTGTGAAGAGAATGGAGAATTTATTCCCTGTTCCATGATGGGGACATCTAAGTAGAACTCTAATTTGGCTTTCAAACAAATCTAACCATACCAAATTACCACCAAAATATCATAAAAGTTAGGTGCTATTTTTATATTTAGTTTCTACCAATTTATATTATACAACAGAATAAGATACAATGTGGCAGATTATAAAACACCACACATTTCTTTGCAGTTCTTTCATTGAGATATGCAGTCTATTTTTCTGCAAAAATACGGAACCAGCCCAAATGCCCAGCTATCTATGAGTAGATAAAGAAAATGTGAGATATAGATTTTATATATATATATATATATATACATACACACACATACACACACACACACCATGGAATACTACTCAGTCATAAAAAGAAATGAAATAATGGCATTTGCAGCAACCTGGATGGAGCTGGAGACCATTATTCTAAGTGAAGCAACTCAGGAATGGAAAACCAAACATTACAGGTTCTCACTCCTAAGTGGGAGCTAAGCTATGAAGATGCAAAGGCATAAGAATGATAAAATGAACTGTGGGGACTTGGGGGAAAGGGTGGGAGGTGGTGAGGGATAAAAGACTACACATTGGGGTAAAGTACACACTGTCGAGTGATGTGTGCACCGACATCTCAGAAATCACCATTAAAGAATTTATTCATGTAACCAAACACCACCTGCTCCCTAAAAACCTATTGAAGTAAAATTTTTTAAGAAGTTATGTCAGAAATGCAAATGTGGAAACGCCTATCAGTAAACAAGGCAAGTAAATTAGAGTGTAATTATTAAACATTCATATACTACACGAAAAAATGACTTTGATATACAAATTAAAGGACTCATTTGAAGCCTAAAGAAAAAAAGAAAGAGAGAGAGAGAAATGTGGCATCTATTCTCCATTCTCTTGAACGGAGAGGATATGACAATCTAACTTCGAGCCTAGGCCCCCGAGAAGCCCCACAGGTTCTGGTCTCAGCTTTCCAATGTTATTGCTGTGTGAACACGTGCAAGAGAAACTCTAGTAGAGACAATATAGATGAGAATGGAGAAGCCCCAGCCAACTGCCAGACGTGAATGAGGTCACGTGAGAGCACGCAGACCCAGGTGACCTGCTAACGGAATGCAAATGCCTGAAAGAGTCAAGCCAACACTGTGTGGAACAGAGAAGAACCATTCCAGCTAAGCCCAGCCCTAGTTTGCTAGCCCACTGAAGAGTGAGTTGGAAAAAATGATGTTTTAAGCCAAAAGATTTTGGGCAGGTTTGTTTATGCAGCAAAAGATAATGGATAACAAGTATATTTTAAATAAATTTTCATATTATCCCACTACAAATTCTCCATCTGAAGTTTAAAATACTAGCTTATTACTATAGAAATGTTTCTAAATTTCAAATTCAGTAGTCAAATAACCATTGTGAATTTTGATTTTGCAACTGATTGTTATCAATTATTTGTAAAAGAAGGCTTGTTTCAATCAAAGTATAAGCCATCTAGTCATGTCCACCTTAATGACATACATCAAAATTTTCCCCCTAAGTTTCAACTAGGGCAATCCACATAGAAATTTCATTTACTTCCTATGAGAGTAGGAACAGTTCCCTATCCCAAAACGGATTTTTCTGTTCACTGCTGTAACCCCAGCAACCTAGAATAGTGCCTGGCACATAATAAACACACAATAAGTATTTATGGAACAAATGTGACAGGTTCTCTAATATTTGAATAAATGACATGATATTATCATCATGTTCACAGAAAAGCCAGTCTTTTTTTGTGTCTAAAGTAAATGATAAAATGATATTCAATGTGTAAAAGCATATTCATTAGTTTCACGCGAGAGTGATTATAAGTTCTTCCACCGGTAGTTATGTAGCTAATAACCTGAGGAGTTAAGTGTAATTAAGGCATATCACTCTTGGGAAAAAAAACTAATATATTTTCCTGTCTCTGCATTTATGTTCTATTCATTAAAACCTTATAGTCCATTAGTCCATTAATAACCACAGAATACAAAAACAGTGATGTGTAGGTGATTCTGTACTCCACATCACTCTTTTGGTGAAAGCAATTAGTCACTGAAGTGACAACAATATTCAGCAGCCACCAGAGCAGAATGCTTGTTAAAAAAAAAGTTTAAAAGTAGGCAATATTAATAATTTACTATTGGTATCTATTGCATTCTGGAGAATATTACGACAGAAAGTAGGCCCTTGCATGTTGCATTCTGGAAAATGCTAACACAGAATCAAAAGATGTGATCAAGAACTAAAATAGAGTCATATTTGGGATTTATCATCTGTTTCTATTGTTGTTGTTTTAGTACACACAAAGCCACAATAAATATTCTAGGCTACATACATTTTTGCATTATTTGGGGGATATTTTATAGGATAATTGCTAGGGATGCAAATATTTGACATTTTTAGTTTTCAGTTCAGCTACTGCCAGTTGCCATCCCTGAAGGATGTATTAACTTGCTCTGTGCTATAGAATATCACATAGTCGTTAAAAAGATTAAGCAAGATTGACAGTTTATACAAAGACAATTGAAAAAGGAATCTGCAAAACATTATGAATAGTATGTAACAATGCTTATAAGAAATTAAAAGTCAATAATGATAGATAGAAAAGAAGAAAAAGACATATGTGCCAAACTATTCATAATTATTTTATTTGAAAGTTATTTATAAGGCACTAATATAATTCCACATTGTGCTTTTTAACCACATTTGAATTTTACATTACACATTTTTATTTTTGTTTCAATGGCTTTATTTTTCTTTTTTTGGTATTTTTCATCTTTAAAATATCTGACTCTTCTTAATAACCCACTTGTTTTAGTTGCAATTCTTTTGCCAAACAGCAAATACCCAACCGTTTCCTAAGTAAGCAAAGACATCCAGCTTTCCATTCCTCCTCTCCATCTATCATCTATTCAAACAACAACAAGTTTGTAGCTAGGTAGTTGTAGTCTTTGTTTGTGAGAGAAGGTGAACCAAAAATATCTTCAAGCTCCCAGAATCTCTCCCTTCTTTCCTCTGCCATCTTTAGCATTTTGGATTTTCAGCCTTACATTTGTTTCTTTATACACAAAAGATGCTTCCTCAACTCTAGGCTTCAAAAACTCCTGTGACCAAGTTCAAAGTGGAGTACAGAAGAGGACAACGATTCAACTCTTCTCACATTTCTTTTTTCTTATTTCAGGAACTTCTCCTTTTTTCAAAAGCCCCTTACCTTTCATGCCCAGGCTTGTGTTACATGACATCTCAACCAACCACAGACAAAAGGGAACAGGATTTCCAAGGCTTAATGAATTCCCCAATACTAGGCATAGAGAAAATAAATGGAGCTGTATTCGCAATGAAAAAGGAAAAGGGGTGGGTGGGCAGTGGACCAATGCCTGCCACTCCTCTTCTCATTTCAAGAAAGTGATTCACTCCTTTATTTCTTTGATGGTCGTAAACATGTTTCCTGAGTCATTATTTCCACTTCCTCACTTGTGAGTTCTACCATTTTATGGAACTTCTGACCATCATTCCTGGAGGTGTATTTTCTCATGTTGGTTGTAACTTTTATTTGGAACTTTTCTCCCTGACCTACTCATTCTCTCCAAGAGCCTAACTTCTTTTTTATCCTTTTGGTTGTCCTCTGAGCTATCCTCATCACTGTCTCTAGAGTAAATGTTGTTCTGTGCCTGCCCAGCAGCCATTTACTTTTCTTAGAAAACAGGGGAATCTGTCCTTCACCCTACGTGGATGTTATGCCAAAGCCCAGGTGCTTTCTACTGTGTTAGGCTTGCTCCTGAAAGAGCAGTCTCAGGGACAGGGGGAAGGTGAAGGTTAGAGCGCAATGGGTTATGGATGAGTAGAAGGCAAGAATGGAAAAGCAAATGTAGTTGTTGGCACTTTGCTCAGTGGCTGGCACATAGGAAAGCCTTTAGAAATGATAACTAATTGTGATGATGTGACAGCAGCGTGTAAATGTGGTTCCAAATTTAAATATTTAAAACTACATTTAAATATTTACATACTTGTTAATGGGTACAAAAGTACAGTCAGATGGAATAAGTTTGTGTATTTGATGATACAGTAGGAAAATTACAGTTAATCATATATAGTATTGATACAATACTATATATTATTACATCATACTGTATTATATTATAGTTAATAATTTATTGTATATTTCAAAATAGCTAGAGGAGACAAGTTATAATATTCCTTCCCAACATAGACTGGGTGCAGTGGTTCACGCCTATAATCCCAGCATTTTAGGAAGCTGAGGTGGGAGGATTGCTCGAGCCCAGGAGTTCAAGACCAGCCTGGGCAACATAGCAAGACCCTGTCTCAACAAAAAATAAAAAAATTATCCAGGTATAGTGGCACACACCTGTAGTCCCAGCTACTTGGGAGGCTGAGGCAGGAGGATCACCTGAGCCCAGGAGGTCAAGGCTATAGTAAGATATGCACTCCAGCCTGGGTGACAAACGGTGACCCTGTCCCAAAACAAACAAACAAACAAAAATGAATTTGTTCCAATACAAAAAAAAAAAGATAAATCTGTAAGATGATGAATATCCCAATTCCTCTGATTTAATCATTACACATTGTATACATGAATCAAAATATCACATGTACCTCAAAAATATGTACAACTATGATCAATATAAAAATACAACACATATTTACATATTTAAATATTTAAACTCTAGCACCTGAAAATTCTTTTTGTTGTAATGAAATTAGCTTGACATTAAGAGAAATTATGTGAAGTCTTATCAGAAGTACAGCAGTGCTTCTCAAACATCTTTCTATCACGGCACACACAGACGGTGATCATCTTCGTGAGGCCCACCGGGGTTAATGAGGGGGATTCTGAATTCTCCCCAAGGCTGCCGTGGCTGGAGTCAGTGTAGGGCCCCCAGACATCCCAAAGCTTCCCCAGCCATCGCAAAAGGCATCCCCATCACACAGGACACCAGCCAGAAAGTTCTGGGATGTGAGGTTTGAGTCCTATCTCCCTCTGCTCCCTGCTCTGAGCAGCTTCACCTCTCTAAGCCTCAGTTTCCTCATCTGTATAATGGAAACCATAGTGAAACATACTCCAGCAGGGTTTTGAAAAGGTTAAATAATAAAACAACTAAGATGTGTTAGATAAATAATCAGTACTCTGTATTTTTGTTATATCCTGGAAATTTCTGTTCAAGATGGCTCTGTATTGCATGAAACAAGGACTCTCTGAAGGCTGAAGAAGGATTCTTGGCATCCTAGCCATCTGAAACCTCAGTCCTAACCTTTCATACTGAATGCTCTATAGCTCAGCAGCATTTTATTTCTCTTTATGGATAAGACAACAGCACTTATCTGCCAGAAGCAATCATTTTAGCTATGACTTCAGACCCTTATGGCAATAGAAATGAGATCTTGGTAGATTTCAGTAAACACATAACTGTTGTATTTGTCCAGGGTTATACTTCAGCCCTGGCTTCCTTCTGCAAGCTGCTCTCGCCTCTTTCTGAAGCTATTTTTTCTTGAAACCATCTGTATGATTGTACGAGGAACAGCAGTGTCACCACAGCCCACCTTCTGGCCCATTGGTCCAGGGTGGGCTCCTGATTCAGACTGGAACAATAAGGCACCTTCTTTGGGAAACTGAGAACTAGACTGAGAAAGAGAAGCTGGACACACATTTCAGAAAAGAAGCTGTAAATTTGGGGAGAGCTCCCAGAGACCACACAGAAAAGGCCCAGGGATGCCAACAAAGGGGAGACCAACAGAAGACACAAGTGAATGGGCCAGATTTACAGAGAGGAGCAGGAAAAAAGAAGACAATAATGGTTATGGTGTATGATTTTCTGAATCCAGTTATCCCTGAGGCCTAGCCACATCCCTCTCCTGAGATTGTGTGGGATATCTCAGAATCCTTGTAATAAATGCTTCTTTTTGCCCAAGCTTATTTGTGATAGCTTTCTGTCATTTATAACCAAAGGAGACATGCAAGCTGTTGGAAATCTCAGGCCTATTATTTCCCATTAAATACATCTGTACGTCAGCGGCATTCCATTTCTCTTTATAGAGAGGCAGCAGCCGCCATCTGCTAGAGGCGATATATTTTAGGCAGGACTTCAGAACTTCACAGCAGCATAAATGAATTCTTCTTGGAAGATATATTCAGTGTGAGAGAGAGAATTAAAGCTATCTTGGTGTCTTCCTAAAAAAATCAACTGTCATACAACCTGCTACTCTCCAAAACACGTGCTGGGTGCTGGTATTTACATGCTTGAGTTTAGTAAGTGGAAAATTTGGAGACAGAATAGATCACGTTACTGTGTGTATGTGTGTTGTGTGAGTGTGTATGTGTATGTGTTGACGGTAAAGGAAGAGGTGGTGGGTTCAATGCAAGCCCCAGCTCATTGATTGTATAGATGAGGATACCAAGGTCAGAGATGAAATAACTCCAAGGAAAATCCAGAGTAAACAGAGGTAAAGAGGATGAATTTCACTCACTTATTCAAGACATATTTATTGGGAGTCTTTCCATCTCTGGGACTGTGCTCTGTCTTAGGTACATTCATATCGTTTTGTTCAACAAATATTTGTTGACCCCTTTTGGTATAAAGATTCCATGTAAGTTCTTTGGAAGATGAAAACATCGGAAGATAGAACCTCAAGGGTATGATAAGGAGGGAGAGGAAGACAATGATTCATGAGTTATAGCTAGAGTTACATGGTATCATAACACACCCATCTTGATGAAATGCCATAGCAAGTAATTGAAAGCTCCCAGTTGTGAAGCCCCTGCCCCAGCTGCTTTGCTGCCATAGTGGGAGGTGGGGTAGCATGACAAGCCAAGAACATGGGTTGTTATTTATTGTTACTTACAATTACTTACAGTTATTTACAGCTACTGTGGTTACTTGCAGTTGTTGACTGGCTTTGTGCTTTTGGGCTAGTTATTTGCCTTCTGTATGCCTCTGTTTCCTTAAGTATAAAAAGGAGATAGCAATAGAGTTGACCTCATGTGAAAACTAAATGAGTTTCTTCATAAAAAGCAAGTAAAATGTTGCCTAGGCCAGGTGCGGTGGCTCACGCTTGTAATCCCCACACTTTGGGAGGCCGAGGCAGGTGGATCACCTGAGGTCAGGAATTCAAGACCAGCCTGGCCAACATGGTGAAACATCGTCTCTACTAAAAATACAAAAATAGCCGGGCATGGTGGCAGGTACCTGTAATCCCAGCTACTCGGGAGGCCGAGGCAGGAGAATCACTTGAACCTGGGAGGCGGAGGTTGCAGTGAGCTGAGATCATGCCATTGCACTCCAGCCTGGGAGACAAGAGCGAAAGTCCATCTCAAAAACACAAACAAACAAAAAATGCCTAGAATATTCCCAGCACTTGCATAATAAATGCTAATTTTGTTGTTGTTGTCGTTGTTGTTACAAGGACAAAAATTCAGTGCCAGGCATTATGCAAGTTACTTCAGACACACCATCTCATTTCATCTTAACAATACTGGGGAATGGTATCATAATCCCTACTCAGAGACACTAGCTTGTCTGACAGCATACAACTGCTACCTGCAACGTACAAAGCAGAGATACAAATCCAGATCAGTCTAAACACAAAGAATGTACTTCTCCCACGCAAATACTTTAATCACAGATGCAATTAATACTGAAAAACAACGGACAGGAAACATGACATCAGTTGTTTTCGAGCCTAAGTGGATACCTACATCACCCAGGATACTTAATTTACAGATTCCTAATCCCCACCCAGACACCTAAGTTGGCAAATATTGAGTAAGCTGTAGAAATCTACAATTTTAACAAAAATCCCAGGGCTTTTGTTGAAGGGGTTTGCAGTTTGATTGATCCAGATTCAAACCTGAGGTTCAGAAGTTAACCTGTTCCTTCAGGACTTTATAGAGATAGCAGTACCAAATTCCAATCTGAAGTGTGGGAATGACCCCGACCTAGATAATGCGTAGATGAGATATTTCAGGCAGGCCCAATAGCCTGAACACAGGTGTGAGATAGAAGTGCATACAGTGGACAGGTGGACTACACTGACTACAGTAGTAAGAAGTAGTGGGAAATAAAGCTGGAAAAGGGAATAGGGGTCGAGTTGTGGGGAGGTCTCAAGCCATCATGAGGTACATCTGGTGTGATGATTATGCTCAGCTTGCAGACAGCCATTTCCAAATTTGGTGCCTGCATCATTTATTATTGTGATAATGCATTAGCTTCCTAAATGGTTTTCCCACTTTGCCTTTTGGTCTTCTACATCCATTCCCCAAACAGTAGCACCAAAGTCAATTTAAATAATATAGATCAAATTATATCCCTCTCCTTCATAATAGCTTCCCATTGCCCTAAAAATAAACTCTTCACCATAGTCTACATGGCCTGACTCCTGCTCCCTGGCCACCCTCATCTTCCAATACCTGCCCCTGTTCAATGGACTTCAGTCTTCGGCCTAATCTTTCTCTTCCTTAAACCTTAATCCTGTCCCCAACTCAGGGCCTTTTCCCCAGCTAATCCTTCACCTGCCAATCTCTCTATTCAGCTCTGTCATTGGGATCCCGTACAAATGTCACCTCTCAGAGTCAGTATTGATCACTCAATTGCAGGTTTAGCCATATACCTCCCATAACTTCTTGATCGCATCGCCTAATTTTTTTCCTTCATAACTTTTTTTTTTTTTTGAGGCAGAGACTTGCTCCGTCACCCAGGCTGCATTGCAGTGGTGCGATCTCAGCTTACAGTCACCTGGGTTCAAGTGATTCTCCTACCTCAGCCTCCCAAGTAGCTGGAATTACAGGCTTGCGCCACCATGCCTGGCTAGTTTTTGTATTTTTAGTAGAGACAGGGTTTCACCACATTGGCCGGGCTAGTCTTGAACTCCCGACCTCAGGTGATCTGCCTGCATCAGCCTCCCAAAGTGCTGGGATTACAGGCGTGAGCCACCGCACCCAGCTTCCTTCATAACATTGATCACCATCCATATTTGTCTGTTTATTTTATAGTCTGGCCCCCAACACCAATAGCACTCTGTGAGGAGTGACCTTGAATATTCTACTCACTGCTTGCTATGGTCTAAATATTTATGTCATTACCCCCCGCCGCCCCTGCCAAATTCATGTTGTAAAATGTTAACTCCCAATGTGATGATATTAGGAGTGAGGTCATTGGGAGATGATTAGGTCATGAGGGTAGATCCCTTAGGAATGGAATTAGTATCCTTATTTTTCAAAGGCCTGAGCTTTTTCTCCTTCCACCATGAGAGGACACATGGAAGACACCATCTGTGAACAAGGAAATGGGTCCTCACCAGAAACCAGATTTGCTTAGCACCTTGATGTAGATGTCTCAGCCTCCAGAATGATGAGAAATACATTTCTGTTGCTTATAAGCCACCCAATGTATGCTGTTTTGTTGTAATAGCCTGAATGGACTAAGATACTGTTCTATCCCTAGAACTTACAGCAATGCCTAAAACCTTGCAAAGGCTTAATAAATATCTGTTGCATCAATGGGTGATGATAGAGCCGGCAAATACTCTGAAGAAGCGATAGAAGTTGTGGGTTAAAAAACAGCAACTTTAGTATCTCCTGGCTGCTGCTGTAACTATGACGGTCTCTCTATTAGGATCCTTTAAAAAAAAAATCGAAGAAACTGTTTTTGTTATGTTAATGGAATTTAATTAAACTAATGATGTCTGATTTCCAACTATCTCAGGGCAGTCTACTAACCTTCTCCTGGCAGTTCAAATTGCTCTGAAGTATGAGAACGCATTTACAATTATTCTGACAAAAAGAGTTAATTAACAGAATACTTAATCACACATTTGAGTTTTAATATATCAGCAGTAGATGTCATTTTCATTAATATGCCCCAATATTTATATTTCTTGAGACTGAAAGAATGTTGCTAATGGGGGTAGAGAGGAAGAGATCATTTTCTTGTTGAGCAATGTCCATAAGATTAAGTACTTAGACTGCGGTAAAAAATGAATGCAGCAACCTTTAAATCCCTTCCATATAGACAAATGAATGTATTTTTCATAATAACGTTGCCGCAACTCAAGGCAGTATAGTGGATCACAGGGACTTTGCCTGTGAGTATCGGATTTACAATGCAACGTACCAAGCGGGGAGAGAAGCTATGACACGTTGATTATCAAACTAAAATAATATCACTTGCACTGCATCATTTGTACACTGGCAGCCTACACATCTCTCCAAAAATTATTTAGGATCAATGCATTATAAGCCTGAAAGGAACCACTTTCAGTATACCAACTCCCAGTCTCAACTGATTCTGGTTAGTAATGTGTAATGGAGGGTTTTCCAAATTCAAATGGAGAGAGCAAAATCTCACTTTCAATTCCAACTGGAGGCGCTGACATTTAAATCTGTCATGAGCAGTGCAGCCTCATCCTAATTGCAAAATTTCATGTGCTTTATTGTATTTAAATCTTAATTGCATATTTAATCATAGGAATTGCAAACTACTCACAGCAAAGCAGACACAGCGACTAGAGTACACTTGATGTGTCCATTAGGGACAAACGAGAATTCAGCATCTGTTTGGAAATGCAGAGAAGATGAAAACTTGGACCCAAACAAGAAAAAAAAAAAAAGGAAGGCCAAAGCTATCTGAGTTCTACCCCCCCGACACCCCCCACTATGATGATCACATTTTTTCTGCATTGCTTCTTATCAAGAGAATTCTAAAGCAACTTTATACTGAGGCTATACATAGATGAAATTAAATTCAGGTAAAAGCCATTTAAGTAGAAGGCCATTTGTTTCATCTGTCTTTTCCCAGCAGGCAAATTTACTAAGGTTTATAACTGCATAGAAAAAAGAATCAAGGTTTTAATGAGGTTTAAAAAAAAAAAAAAAAAGACCCTCAAACTGCAGGAATCTTATCTCTTAGCTCTCCGAACTTAATCTTTTTAAAGGCCCCAAGTCTAGAGTAGACCTGAGCTGGGACAAAAACAGTCAAATATACTAAATATAAAAATTTCCTCTAAACGACAATTAAACCAAGACAGTTTCATTTATCTGAGCTTATGTTTATTCATTTGTTCATTCAACAAACAATTATCAAATCCCTATTTGACAGGTACTGAAGATACAACAGTTAACATCATGGGCCAAAACCTTTACTTTTATAAAACGTGTATTTTAGGAGGATGTAGACAATAAATATAATAAGTGAATTTAAAAAGTTAGAAAGTGCCAACTGCTACAGAACAAGAAAGAGAGAGAGAAAGAAAGGGGGAAAAGGAAGGAAGGAAGGGAGGGAGGAGGATATTAAGAAAGTAAGCGGCTGGGCTCGGTGGCTCATACATGTAATCCCAGCACTTTGAGAGGCCAAGGCAGGTGGATCACTTTAGCCCAGGAGTTCAAGACCAGCCTGGGCAACATGGTGAAACCCCATCTCTACAAAACAATACAAAAAAATTGGCCGAGTGTAGTGGGGGCACACCTGTAGTCCCAACTACTTGGGAGGCTAAGGTGGGAGGATGTCTTGAGCCCGGGAAGTGGAAGTTGCAGTGAGCTGAGATTGTGCCACTGCACTCCAGCCTGTACAACAGAGCCAGACCTGCCCCGCCCCCAAAAAAGCAAGCAGTATAAAAGGGCTGGGAATGTCAAGAGCAAAGATAGGGTGCAGTTTGTAATGGACAATAAGGTATCTTGTCACAAAACAAATTACCCCAAAACTCAGCAGCTTAAAACAAGCACATATTACTCCTGATCGTTTCTGAGGGTTAGGAATTCAAGAGCAGCCTAACTGGGTAGTTCTAGCTCAGGGTCTCTCACCAAGTTGTGGTCAAGCTGTCATAGGGAACTGCAATTACTTCAAGGCTCAAATGGGACCAGAAAAACTGCTCCAAACTCAGTCATGTGGTTGGTAGGCCTGTTATTTACTAGCTCTTGTCCAGAGACATTTGTTCCACAGGAGAATTTTTGTGGTCTCTTTCATAATATCCTTTTTACTAGTTAATTCATGATGTAAAGCTGGGCTTACCTGGTGAACTAAGGTTTTCGAGAATGCTGACTTCTACATCGGGGTGTGGCCTAGGGACACAAAACAAGAGCAGCAAGTCTTGTTGGTGTGTAGTCACTATGTGCCTTGATGACTGAGTAGTCACTATCGGCTAAACACTGTACTAAGCCTTGTATTGGCGCTAGTCAATGTGATGTAGAAGCTCTCTAGGAGGAACCATCTTTGCATTTTATAGTTAGGAAAACAGACAGGGCTGACAAGTTTTGTCTGAGGTTACATGACTAATAAATGTCAGGGCTGGGACTCCCAACCCATACTAAAATATCTCCCTCAAATAAATGAACTGCATCTAGTTTCCATGGGATGGGACTTCTTTTTCCTTAAGTCATTCGCCCCAACTAAGCCATTTAGCAAACTAATTATTGTTACAAAAACAAAATTCTCACAGTTAACACTCTTATTTGTTTAGTTATAGACAGATAGATACATACACAATCAACATAATCATATATAGGTACACACACACACACACACACACACACACACAGATAACCAACAAAGATTCAAGGAGATGAAGCAAGATATTAGAATACCCTGCCAATGTTAAAAATCCTGCAACAAGAATTTCCAATTAAAAAGGTTCAAGCTTAAAAGAAATTGAGCTCATAATTCATTGTGAAAGAAGAGATATGAAACCTTGTAGCATTTTTAAAGAACACTTTTCTGGTGACAAGTACAATTTAAAGGATCTTATCAAGATAAATTTTTCTTGTTGATGATTAAACCTACGCTTCTAAACAGTTGGCTGGGGCATGGTACCCACATCAGGTGATAGATTTAGGACATTTATTTGGGTTCAATGTGGCAAAAAGGAAACATAAAATGGGCCTGACTATGGAGACACCTTCTTATTGGTATCCTTTATTGATACCTCTCCATAAATCACTCATAGCTCCGCTCAGTTCCACCCTTCTTGACTCATGAGAAAATCAATAACTTGTGGAGATAAATCACTTACTTAGCATAACTGCCATTGTACATTCCATGGTTATACAACAAAAGTGGCAGATAAATAACCAGGTTTAACTTCCTGAAGGAACTTTTCCTTCAAATCCTTTTTTACTAGTTACCAATTAAAAATACAGTTTATATCAGTTCAAAGACAGCAATAGCCTTGAATTCATGGGAAGGCAATGCCACAATTGTGCCAATCCATAGACCACCGAGGCATCTCCAGGTATCAATTATATAACAAACTCCAGGCCTGATCCTGTAACAGACACTGAGAAGTAAGAGACTGAGTTAAGTTAGCACAACGAAAAGAGAAAAAGCTCTGTCACTTGAAAGAGTTGGCTTCAATTCTGGTCTGGCCATTTAGTGACTGTGTGTGGCTTTAGCAAACGACTATGCTTGTGATTGCTTTGGTGTCTTCAGCTGTAACATAGCAATATTATAAAATACCTTGCAGAATATTTGTGTTGATTATAAACAGAGAAAAAGACAGAGCCTGGCCCATGGAATATGCTCCATAAAGGCAATTATTGTCATGGTCTTCATCATTGTTATCTGCATCCCTCATAAGGATATTCATCAAACGTTTGTGTACCTGCACTGTGCTAGCCAATGAGCTAGATGGTAGGGGACATGCACAGTACTCCAGATAATGGGAAATAATTATAAATTAATTAGGCAAAGAAAGTGAGGTCAAAGAGAGGCACACAGAAACTTAATAATTGTATCATTAAGAATACATATTAAACAGTGTTGAACTAACTTACATTCCCACCAACAATGAAAAAGTGTTCCTGTTTCTCCACAACCTCACCAGCATCAGTTGTTTCTTGACTTTTTAGTAGTCACCATTCTCACTGGCATGAGATGGTATCTCATTGTGGTTTTGATTTGCATTGCTCTAATGACCAGTAATATTGAGCTTTTCTTCATATGTTTGTTGGCTGCATGAATGTCTTCTTTTGAGAAGTATCTGTTCGTGTCCTTTGCCTACTTTTTAATGGGCTTCATTTTTCTTCTAAATTTGTTTAATTTCCTTGTAGATTCTGGATATTAGACCTTTGTCAGATGGATAGATTGCAAAAATTTTCTCCCATTCTGTAGGTTGCCTATTCGCTCCTCAAAGATCTAGAATCAGAAATACCATTTGACCCAGCAATCCCATTAGTGGGTATATACCCAAAGAAATATAAATCATTCTATTATAAAGATACGTGCATGCGTATGTTCATTACAGCACTATTCACAATAGCAAAGACATGAAATCAACCTAAATGCTCATCAGCAATCAACTGGGTAAAGGAAATGTGGTCCATATACACCATGGAACACTATGCAGCCATAAAAAGGAATGAGATCATGTCCTTTGCAGGGACATAGATGGAGGCAGAAGCCATTATCCTCAGCAAACTAAGGCAGGAACAGAAAACCAAACACCACGTTCTCACTTGTAAGTGGGAGCCAAACAGTGAGAACACATGGACATGGGTGGGTGAATAACACACACTGGGGCCTGTCAGGGGGTGGGGTGGGGGAAGGGAGAGCATTAGGAAAAATAGCTAATGCATGCTGGGCTCAATACCTAGGTGATGGGTTGATGGGTGCAGCAAACCACCATGGCACATGTTTACCTATGCAACAAACCTGCACATCCTGCACATGTACCCCAGAACTTAAAATAAATTTTTTTTTAAAAATACCATATTTCAGCCGGGCGCGGTGGCTCACACCTGTAATCCCAGCACTTTGGGAGGCCGAGACAGGAGGATCACGAGGTCAGGGGATCGAGACCATCCTGGCTAACACGGTGAAACCCCGTCTCTACTAAAAATACAAAAAAAATTAGCTGGGCGTGGTGGCGGGCACCTGTAGTCCCAGCTACTCGGGAGGCTGAGGCAGGAAAATGGCGTGAAGCTGGGAGGCGGAGCTTGCAGTGAGCCGAGATAGAGCCACTGCACTCCCGCCTGGGCAACAGAACGAGACTCCGTCTCAAAAAAAATAAAATTAGCATATTTCTTAAGTTGGGTGGTGAGGTCAAAGTTGTTCATTTTATTGCTATGTTTCATAATTTGAATATATTGAATACATGTTCTTTTGTATATTGTATCAAAGAGACAGTATGCAACCTGGCACTTTTTTATACCCAATAAACATTTTAGTTGAGAGGTAAATAATCTTTAAATTTATATAGTATTTTATATTTATAGTGGAGTCAACTCCTTGAGGGGTATAAATAAACTATTTTCTTCTGAGTGGTTGAAACCCTCTTTCCAAATCCCGTAATAGTTTTTCATAAATTCAAAAAAATTTTTTTTCCAAAGATGGTGTCTCGCTTCATCACCCAGGTCGTACAATGATTGCAATGATACAATCATAGCTCACTGCCGTCTCACCTACCTAGTTCACCTACCCTAGTGCTTGCCAGACATGTGGGCAAAGGTGCTTGCAGTGGTGAGAAGGGCATGAATAGCTTCTTATGCACCTCCTTGGCTGGAACGTTTCTGTTGTTGGGTTGTTGGGTTGTTGGGATGTAGGACAAGGATTAAGAGGGAAATGTCTCCTTGCTGGATAGACAGTCTCCATGCTCCGCTCTGTGGTGGCTGCTTCTCTTACTACTCTTCACTGGCTGTCAACGCCCTCTGTGTGGCAGCATTTGAATGGCTCTCAGGTCTGGGTGCTTTGCAAAGGTCTGTGGGGTCTTTTCACAACACTTATGCCACCTACCACTTCCCACAGATTCTTTTTCTAGTCGGCAGCCCTCACAGGAAGATATCAGTGGAAAAGTGCACAGCTGGCTTCCTTACTTCTTAAGGACATGTGAGAAACTCCCACATCTT
This sequence comes from Homo sapiens, assembly GCF_000001405.40. NCBI lineage: Eukaryota > Metazoa > Chordata > Mammalia > Primates > Hominidae > Homo > Homo sapiens. The sequence goes on along the minus strand of NC_000020.11, from coordinate 54,273,073 downwards.
TGTTGCATCATGCACTGGAATTGCAGGCCACCCCCAGTCTCAGCCCATGAGTTTTTTTCCAATCTCTTCACTACCCTCTTTAGATAAGTAGAGGCACAAAATCAAAAGTTTTACAGCCTAAGCAGTATCCTCCCAGGACATACAGTAGACTTCTTCTTATAGAGATACCCATACGATCAATGATTCTCGAACAACTCACTTGTTTGAATTGAGGGGAAAAAAATGAGGGTACATAGCACTTCTTGGACTTCAGGCAAAATTGCAGGTAAATAGGAAGAAAATCAGCTCCCCATTCTGCATATTGGGAATAATAAGGTCACCTTTCTCATGGGAGTGATATACATAACAAGGAAGATAAGGCAGAGAAGGTGCTTAGTAAATTCCTCCTATATAGTGAGGTAGAGGTGAGGGTAAAAATCATGATCGTGATTATTTGTTCAAAAGCCTAAATTCAACTGTTCTCTTCAAATAACTATGATCATAGCTCAAAGCGGAGGTGAGAGAAATACCACATTTTTACTCCATATCACTCCAATACCTATAAATCATAACACTTCTTTTCCTGCTAGTGCAATCACATTTACTACCTATCAGTGATCACTTTGAACTTGGAAATTGGAGGTAGAGTTAAATAGAAAAGTAGATCAAAAAAAATAAAGTAAATAAAAATTTGAGAGGAAAACACTAGAAGGGGAAGAGAAAGAGGTTTGTTGGGATGATTTTCCCATTTGTTGGGTTGGATACCCCATCTTTAAGCATGCTCAAATGAGTTTAACCACATTCTACTAATGAATACATTTCAGTTGATTGAAAACAAGTAGCAGAAACATTCTTTATGAACCTCTATTTAAGATATCCACACATAAGGCTCCCTCAGCAATTGGCCGTTCATTGTGATTAAATATATGGAGTGTAATAAAAACATGTGTGTCACTTTTTATGTTAAAAGCAATCTTTCCTTTTTAGCAAAATAGCATATTCAATTATCTCATTCAATAGATAAAAATGATTTCCAGCTTGAAAATAAATATTTGCTTTTGAAGATCACATTATGGAAAATCAAATTACATGCTTGTTTTTATTATTAACAAGAATAATTTCCAAAGCCCTGTATGTATTGCACCTGTCACTCTCCATATCCTACAATCAAATTTCCCTTTAAATCTCATCAAATAATTCCCAAAGTCATTGAAGAGGCAATAAATGAGGTTATGACACACTGCTCACAGAGAGCGAAATGTCTTTCATATATCTTTAAGTGGTTATTAATCTCTGAATTAGTTTAGAATACATTAACCTTCAAGGTAAATTAGATCAATCAGGAAAATGACTCACAAGAGCTGGACTGTCTTTTCTGATGCTGTTGTTTTCACATCCAGCTTATGTGGCAAGATGTGCTAGGCTGATGCATGGCTGTATCAGCTGCCATCACTCACCAGGCCTCCAAGTTGTGAGAGAGGGTTGTTATGTTCTGGGTCTATTTCTTCCTGGATGGTTGTCCACCTAGGCAGCGAGACTGGATGAGTAGACATGGACATATCATTACTTTAGTATAAGTAAGATGATTTGACAATTACCATGGGGGAGCAGCTTGTCTAATTCCTACTACCCTTGCTAGTGGCATTTTAGAGTTCTCTGCACAATCACTGTGGGATGAAAAAAGCAAAAAGTGACACCTTTTTTTAGAAAAACAAGGTAATAGGTTTTTTAAAGTCCTGAAGCAACTGAATCCACAATCTCCATCTTTTCTTTTTTATAAAAAGAACTATCTCAAGAAAATAATTAGAACTATTGAAAAATAGTTAAAAGTATGTGCCTATCATTTTTCTATGCAATAGGAGCCTAATGATGGTGATGATCATTTTAGTAATTCAATCTTGAGTTTATATGGTTGGTGATTCGCTCATCATAGCTTGGAATTCTCAATTACATTGCTCAATGAATAAAAAATATGTGGAAGCAAAACTGAGGGCATGAGAAGGGGAGCCTCCAAGTTGTTAACTTGAATGATAAATGTTAGGGAGACCAGAAGCCCAGTGTTGGGGACTTTTTTTTTAATTTTATTATTATTATACTTTAAGTTTTACGGTACATGTGCACAACGTGCAGGTTTGTTACATATGCATACATGTGCCATGTTGGTGGGCTGCACCCATTAACTCGTCATTTAGCATTAGGTATATCTCCTAATGCTATCCCTCCCCCTCCCCTGACCCCACAACAGTCCCCAGTGTGTGATGTTCCCCTTCCTGTGTCCATGTGTTGCAGCACTATTCACAGCAGCAAAGACTTGGAACCAACCCAAATGTCCAACAATGATAGACTGGATTAAGAAAATGTGGCACATATACACCATGGAATACTATGCAGCCATAAAAAATGATGAGTTCATGTCCTTTGTAGGGACATGGATGAAACTGGAAACCATCATGCTCAGCAAACTATCACAAGTGTTGGGGATTTTTGCCCAGCATCTTGGTGGTTTGCTCTTCTTGAGGTCCTGTAGTTTTATATATTATGGTGATTCAGAGTAGATTTAGCCCTAACAAATATTACTGTCAGTTGCCATTTTAGCTGTCGTATTGGCATCAAACATCCCAACTTAAATATAATTGAAGAGAAAATCTCAACATACCCTTCCAAAGATTTTTTTATCCCTCTTTTCTTTAAAATCTCCACAGAGAGAAATAAAATATCAAGGGGAGAAAAACTGCTGGAAGAATATTTGTTGATGATTTCAGGACAGGAAGAAAACTCCTTGGTCAGTGCTTCAAAGGAGCACATGGAACTATGCATTTATCCTTGAAAAAGGAGACAGCATGGTGGTAAAATAAGCCCAGGATTTAGTAAGTTATGTACATTTCGGAAATTTGTATTAAAAGATTTTGGAAATGTGACTACGTCAATACATGCGATGGAACCCTCAAATAACAATTATTACTGAGATTAATTTATAGCCATTAAAAAAAGAATTTAAAAAACAAGAAAAGAATCATGGTTATGAATATAGTTCTAGAGATATTTGAGAGAACTGGCACTTCTTGCATGCTATGCTGATCAGCTTGAAAGAATCACATAATTACAATATCCAATACAGGAAAAGGCATGGAGATGAATCTTAAGTGGTAAGAGAGTGAAGTGGTGCCTTTTGTTAATCTCTTCATAAAATGTTTCTTTTTCTTTTGTAAAAATGAAGCAGCAGTTCACAAAAATGGGAGCAATGCAAATAGCCATATCTTAGATGAACCTCCACTTTCCAGACGATAAAATATCCCATTGTTTTCTTTTCTCCCACTTCTTCTCAAATTAGAGAAAATTGTGAGTTGGGGCTTTGCCTTATTTAACAATGTATAAGACAAATAATTCTTTAATGATCTTGTTTCCAACATAAATACAGTGACTAACAAAGCATAGTGTAATTAAAAATAAGTAGGACATTTACTTGAAATAAATCATATTTTAATTGGTATTTTAATTGAAGGGATGTTAAATATAATGACAATATATTATTCCAGATTGTACTCTTTAGGCAAAATCCCATGCTACTCTTTGTTTGCTATTATTTGAGCCAATGACAGTGTTTTTATATTTGCCTTTAGTTGAAAATAACTGCCAGTATTTCATATTTAAAATGTAAGTAATGTAGTATCAGTGAACCAGTTTTGCCAAATTCTTTCCTGCAATTACCAGGAGGTACTTCTCTATGAGTTTCCTACATTTCTGCACATTCTGTAGTAGCTTTTGTTTCAGACGATTTTTCGGATGTTTGTATAGTGAAAGGCCTTGGAAGATAGAGATAGTAGCTCCCTTGGGGCAGAGGGCAGGTTTGTTTCCTGACCACTATAAGATAATGTCTCTCTCTAGGCAAAGGTTAGACTGCCCTCTTTACAAGTTTGGGATTTCTTAAACTCAGCTGTGCTCCAAACCTCCTGAGGCTGCAGCATCTACCCAGGCTGCTTCCCATCACTCCCAGGGAACTTGGAGAGAGGGCACCTGCAGCAAACACAATGATCATGCTGCCTGCTGTGCCTTGAGTAATACAAGCCTTTTGTCTCTGACCCAGGAGTTGCATGTTTTCTGCCTGCATCTAAGAAACTACAGCAGGCTAAGTTGTTAGCTTGCAAGCAGGATAAATATTTTTAACTTTTCAGAGTTCTTGGCAGAAACAAGAGACTTCTGCTGGAAAAGACAAGAAAAAAGAAAAAAAAGGAAAACATTGTCAGTTAACCAGAAAATGTCTCTTTATTAGGTATCCTCCAGCCTTGGGGGTGAGCAACTAAATGTATTCAAGGCGGGCAAAAGTTATAGGTTTGAGTATAATTGTGTTTTATTCCTGTTTCTTTTCCTGATATCTGCAGAACACACATCCTAATTCAGTCCTCTGAAGCTGTCAGAGCAGCTATCCATTACCACAAAAAGGGCTGTTTTTGAGAGATGAAACTCTTGACACCCCTAATGGATGGACACTACTTCCTACTTAGAAACGTGCTGGCCAAGATCAAAATGTCCATCCATTACATGCCAACTCTGCCAACCCGGCTCTGAAAATTAGCTTGGATGACATTAGTAGCTGAGATTGCAAGGCTGGGTGAGGAAGCTGAAAGGAAGCAAGGAAGGTGTGTAAGTGAACCAATAAACTGATAACCTTGTTTCTGCAGCTCTGGATAATATAAGTGCCTGAGATGCAGGATGCACATCTCCTCATATAGAAAAGGAGATTCCATAGACTACAAATCTTGGCTCACAGTGTTGTGTCTATTTATCAGGGCACTGGATGCCCACTGAGGCCATTTTCCAGATTTATGTGCCTCAAGGTCATGGAATCCTAACCATAAGAGTGATACCACTAATGAATTTCCTCCCACTGCCAGATTTTGCCCTTCCTACAAAAGCCATAAATTCCATAGAAGGCCAATGGAAATTCATGCAGAGAGGGACAGGGTGTTTCTCTTTGTAAACCTTGACCAAGTTACAGAAGCACGTTTCCCCTTTAGTACTGGATCTTATTCTAGAAGAAACAAAGCATCTCAGAGATTCCTCTTTGTGGTCCTACAAAAGCCAGGCAGCCTAAGCTGCAGCTCCCCTGTAACCGAAGCCAATAAATTAGTCCCAGGACTTGAAAGACTCTTGTTCTAAAACAAGCCAAGCAGGTATAACAGGACAGCATCTGGGGACTTTCCTTTTCTGCCCCAAGCCCAATTGGAAGCGTGGCTCAAGAGTTAAACACATCTCTGCAAAGGGATGCAACTCGCAATGCTTTAACAAGAAATGAGTGTATTTGACTGATGATTTCATAAGGAGGTAAGGAAGAAGAGCTACTCTGCCCAGCACTTAGTTAGAAATTCAATAGAATTTCTGTTCTCCCCAGGCCCAAGGCCCTCCCCTACCCACAGCCAGCCTTCTTCTTGCCACAATCCCTCAGCATGACTCACTCTTGTCCTGAATATTTGCTCTGTCCCTCAGCCTCCTTGTATATATGCCACCGGCACAATAGCTGCCTGGTTCAAAGCAGTAGAGTGACAAGGCACAGTTGTGACTAAGCAGGCAGGCTCTAGAGCCACTTTGCCTTGATGTTGTCACTAACAAGGAACAAAATCTCCTTGAATTTCAGCTTCCTTACCTAGCAAAGGCATATCAGAGTAGTGCCCGCTTCATGAGATGAAAGGTATCGATGCATGAAAATTGTTGGGCATGGACCCTGGCTCTCAGACAGCACTTGGTAGATGGGATCGTTTCTGGCTCAAACAGATAAGAGGGTGGCAAGAGGGTGAACTCAGTTTTCTCACCAAACAAACCAAAACTTTACTTTGCCATCACAACTGACTTTAACACCAAATTATGCCATCATGAGCAGGGATATATGACGTCCTTTTTCCCCCTCTAAATAGGAAGCAGTGGGGTACCTTTGAATGGTCTTCTCTTGGCCACAGTGTGTTTGTGCTGCAGTAAGAGTGAACCTGGGGTCTCAAGCTGGTTGAGAGAACGTGGTCACCTTGTGTCTTCAAGCGCAGCAGCATTTTCCCGCCACCCCTTCCCAGTATGACATACTTCAAGCACTCGGTAATTAAGAAACTGCTAATTACAGCATATGTCTCAGATGAAAGTTGCTGCATCTCACTAAGGGGATTTCAATTCCACCAGCATTTCCAACAATTTAGAGCTGGTAGATTCTGCAGACACCTTGGCTGGTTCTCCTGGATTCTTGATCTCAACATGCAAACCACATCGTCCCAGCTCTCTGGTAGAGGCAATGGATGGTTTCTAAATGTAAAAATTCAAAGGGATTAAAAAAAGATGTTTTATTTTTAAAAAATAAACACTTTGAAAAGTGATATTACATTTGTGTAATACCAAGTATTTAAATTTGTAGTCTACAAACATTTTTGATTGTACATTCCATTAATAAGAAAATTTCAAATGTCCATCCCCAATTCAAGGCTGTTTTTTAATTTATAAATTGTATGTTTTATTATACTAACATTCTATATTTTATAAAATACTCACAAATAAATTATAAAAAGATGAGATGGAAGATAAATCATTTTTGGTAAAAGCAAAGTTCGAATAAATATGCTTTCATTTTTTTTGAAGCTTGTGGTTTCATATTTTATGATAAAGCTATTCCAAGGTCTCAGTCTGAGTTATTTATTTCACTTCCTGTTTTAATGTCTGTAATGTGTGAAACAGTTCCAAACATAAAAAGGGCATTACTGATCACACTTAATGAAACTTAACTTTTGGTCTCTCTGACCAGTTATGGATAATTTTTGATGAAATACTTCTGTGCTTTCATTGGTGTTTTCTTCAATCCATAGTTTGTTTGGAGGAATTTTTTTTTTTTTAAACAGGGTCTCATTCTGTCACCCAGGCTGTAGTGCAGTGGTGCAATCTCGGCTCACTACAACCTCCGCCTCCTGGGTTCAAGTGATTCTCCTGGCTCAGCCTCCCATGTAGCTGGACTACAGGTGCACACGACCATGCCTGGCTAATTTTTGTATTTTTGGTAGAGGCAGGGTTTCACCATGTTGGCCAGGCTGGTCTCAAACTCCTGACCTCAAGTGATTCACCCGTCTTGACCTCCCAAAGTGCTGGGATTACAGGGGTGAGCCACCACGCCCGGCCTGTTTGCAGGAATATATCTAAGCCACTTGCTCATTTTATAAGGGTTAACCTGGCATTTTAATTCATAAACCCACTTAAACAGGCTCATGTTCAATAGATTTTGGTCTGTTTTATTCCCTCCAGGTTCTAAATTACCCAAGCAAATAGTAGGTACTCAATAAAGATTTGTTACATAAAAGTTTCAAAATGATTACTTTGAACTTCCATACTGAGAATATATTTCAATGGATTAGGAGAATAAATTCAAAGACAAGATACTAAGATACTGCAATTGTTTTAGCAAGAAATGATGGGATTTGCTATCCCATCTTCCAAAGATAGAGATGCTATCAAGGTATGGTTAGCATAAATAAAAATGGAAGAATTCAAGCCATGTTTTGGAAGAAGAGCCTACAGAATTGACTGATGCATTAATCAAAGATGTTCGTTGGATTACGGCTTGAGTTAACTGGTTTGTGGTGGCAGCATTTGCTGAGATTTGGACGAGTGGGAAGTAAGAGAAGAATTTATACTTATCACTAAGTTTCAGTGGTTGTATTTTTTAAAATTACCCTAAACCGTGATATTTCTCACCAAAATCTCTGCTACCAACCTAGTTAAAACTATCATTGTATTTCGCCTGATTTTTTGCTATAGCCTCCTAATTAGTCTGTCTTTATTCATTCTGGCCCCTGTATCATCTACACAGCAGATATAAAGAACGTTTTAAAATTCAGGCTTATTGAGCTATAATTTATCTCCAGTAAAATTTACCCTTCCAGGTGTACATTTCTATAAGTTTTGACAAACACACACAGTTGTGTAACTACCATGGCAATCAAGGTATAGAATATCACCGTCACTCCAATAAGTGCCAGAGGGAGTATAGTTGTTCCTCATTATTGATGAGAGATTGGTTCCAATCCCCACATCCTGGCATATACCAAAATCCCAAGATGCTCAAGTCCCTTATATAAAATGGCATAGCATTTGCATATAACCTACACACATCCTCCCATATCCTTTAAATTACTTATAATACCTAACACAAGACCTGCACAATACTTTACCCTTGTGACAAGTTCAAGTTTCACTTTTTGGAACTTGTGGAATTTTTTTCCTGGAATATTTTTCAGTCCTCTCTTGGCAGAATCCATGGGTGTGGAATGCACAGATATGGATGGCCAAATGTATTTTAAAACATAAATCAGATCAAGCCACTAAAATACTCAAAACTCTCTATTGGCTGCCCAACCATTGCCTGTAAGGCCCCAAGTACATAATCATGCTTGTAGACATGTCTCTGCTCATAATTCCTATGGCTCTACTCCTTGAAAACTATGCATCAGTCCAGCTGGCCTCCTTGTTACTCTTGGATATCCCAAGCCATTCCCACCTCAGGGCCTGTGCACCATCTCCAGTGATCTTCCTCCAAGATAGCCTTAAGGTTTTTTCTTTATTCCTTAACTTTGTTCTTGCTCCTGTTAAAGTAGCACACATGCATGCGCGCGCACACATACACACACACCCCTCCATCATGCTTTATTTCTTTCACAGGCTTTATCTTCCTAATTATCATCTACTCTTACCTGATAAATTATGTTCTTATTTATCTTTATTTGTCATATTTCTCCAACCCAACATCCACTAAAATGTAAGTTCCATATGAACAGAACCTTGTTTATTTTGTTCCCTGCTGTAGCTCCAGCACTTTGAGCAGTGCCAGAGACGTAGGGAATATTCAATCAACATTTTAATGAAAACGTAGACAGGAGGAGGGATGGAGGGATGAGTGAACTGACAGGAAGTAACGGAGTAGTCATTGACTTTGTTCATTAACGTGGCTGAATAAGCTCTTTCACATTCTTCAATCTGGTGGCTAGGCCAGATATCCACTTTAGAACTGTTAGGCAGCTGAATAGCAAGTCTTTCAATATTATTAAAGCTCATATCAAGGATATTAGATGAGCAACATGCAATCTAAGCATAACGTTTCCACTGTGGGGGAAAAACCTTTAAATTTCCATGTGTCTGCAGTACCAGATATTGTAGCAGTGAAAAAAAAATTGTCTTTAACACTAAATGTGCTTACACTTCATTTATCTGCTCTTCACAGTAATCTCTTTTGCTTTTGAATCTATCTTCTTTTAATATTATATTATCTGGCATTTGCACCTCCGAAACAAATAGGCTTACTTTCCCCCAAACTGCCATAATAAGGCTCATTTTATTGAGTATTTTGGAAAAATCCTCCATAGCAGTCCTCTTAATTAGGTCATGCGGTATAGTTTACATTCAGCATTTCACAGATTATGCCTTTTTATTTTCCCCAGAATTATTTTTGTTGAGCTTTTAAAAAAGACATTCTGTTGCCAAAGGGCCATTTGCTAACTATAATTACCAAATTTCCCCACTGAGTGCCCCTCTGGGAAAAGCTGTTCAATTCTATGGTTACTATTATCGCCCAGGTTTATTATTTCTAGTCAAGAATTTGTAAACTTAGGCAGATTTATTATTTACATGAACTGCCCAATGCTCAAGTATTTTAAAGGGGGGATATAATTTTTTTCAGTAAAATGTAAACAATATGACTAATGAAATCATTAGAAGGAAAAAGAGAAGAAATATTTTTCTCCGCCGAGCTGGAGAGAAGCATGCGGTTTCCTCCTCATCTACTAAGCACATACATTGTCCAAGGGAAACACATACAAAGCTGGGATTCTGAGAGCTGTGAGCCAAGACCCATGCATTGCCATTTCAAATGTCCAACCCTGAGGCCACATCTGAGCTCAGTTTCTTTTGGGTTGTATTTCAGATGCTATAGAAGTGGGAAGTTGTCAGTTTCCTAGGATTCTTAATACTGCTGTATGCTGGAAGGAAATAGAAAATGTTCTTAGTTTCCCCATTATGACTGAACATGTCGGGAGAAGCCAACAGCCCGAATCAGGTTCCCAGTTGTTATAATTATTACATCCAGATAGTGAAGGCAACGCCTCTAAAAAGAAAGATCTGATGATTTATTTGGCAATTTTCAATGGAAACAGGGTTGTTGGATTTTCTATTTCATACTGAAATATGAAAGAGAAGAAGCTGAAAAGAAGAAGGAAAACAATGACATGTCATTGTGAAATAACATGTGAATCATGTCTACACCACCCTTTAAAATATCCCTTAAATATCACTGTCCCATAGTCACACTGTTATTGAAAGTTTACATTTATAAACTTAATAGATTTCATCTGTGTGAGTGAGAAGGCGGTGAGCACCTGCTAAAAATATACAGGCACATACTCTTTGATGAATAAACTATTGCTAGAAATTTATTCATCAGATACACAAATTCCCAAGGATAAACTAACATATATATATTCAGGGATGTTGATTGCAAAATTGTGTATAAAAGCAGAACACTGTAAACAATTTAATGTCCAACAATAAAAGACTAGGGAAATAAATTCTGGTATATTCAAATACAGCTAAAAGATAGAATGAGATAATCTGTAAGTGCTAATATGAAAACATGTCCAAGGTATATTATTAAGTAAAATCAAACAACTTACAGTTCAGACAACAACATGAAAATGCTACTATGCTTCAAAGTCTGCAGCTAGATTGGCTTCAAAACCCACCTCCCCTACTTACTGGCTGTCTGACTTTGGGCAGTTGGTTTAACCTTTTACTGACTCAGTTTCTTTTTTGTAAAATAGTGATAATACCTTATAGAATTTCAAAGGTGTTGGTTAGCATTAGATTAGTTAATACATGCAAAGCACTTGGACATAGGTTCTATACATGCTTATCATCATCATGATCACTACAATTATGATCTAAAAAATTTTGTTTAAAAAAATAAAAACAGTATCTTCATGTCAAAATAGTTGTTTACCAATCTTATTTCTGGTTTAGGTTGAATTAAGATGCTATGGTTTAAATATATATATATAGAGAGAGAGAGAGAGAAGGAGAGAGGCATTACTACATTGTTAAAAGTGTCAAATATTAGAAACAAAGGAAGTGTCCATAAGTAGATGGTTTTTTAAAATTATGTCACATCCATATTACAAAATATTATATGGACATTAAAGTGATTGAATTATAATTATACCCATTGATGTGGAGGACAGGGTTCAAGGCATCTATGGGTAAGAAAATTAAGATGCAATATGTGTATACAATTCCATTTTAGTAGAATGAGATAATTAAATGTTCATTTATATATGTGTGCATGTGTGTATACATGAATGTATGTAGTTATACGAGGATGTAGACATGAGCATGAAGGAACTGTAATTCTACTTCCAATCAAGATAGAGTACCAGGAACTAAATTTACATTCCTGCCCAAAACAACCAAAAAAATAATAATGTAGGACATAATATATGAAACAATACTTTTCAAGATAATGGATATAAGACAACAAAAGACAATGGTCCTGAGAGATGGAAAACAAGCAAGGTGAGGCACACTATAGTTCTAGCTAACTGCCTTGAGAGACTGGCCAGGCCCTGGTACCTGAGGCGCCTACGGGAGCCAGGCAGACTCCCTGAGTTAAGGATACTTGGGGAGACCAAGGTGGCTAAAGCTCAGAGGACACAGTAGCTTTCTCAGAAGAGAAAGATGCACAGAAAAAGAACTTGGAAGACCTGCTGAGGGTTTCCCTCAAATATTCATTTATTAAAAAAAAAAATCAGTTCACACATGTTAGGAAACTACCTGAGGCCAAAGAGAAAATCATCTAAGAACATTAAAGATTACTGTTCTCAGCACTCATGCGGGGCTGGGGAATAGTCTCTATTGCCACCAGAAAAAAATGGGAAACCTCATGATTCATGGGGCGTGCGATAGAGTGCACAGAGGGTCTTGTCTCAGAAATGGGAAAGAATGAGCCCAAAACGGATAACTTCTCCAGGCTAACAGATCTGAAAAGCGAAATCTGCAGGAATCCTACTGCTTTCCAGGACAGGAATTCTCCCACCTGCAAAGAATATGTTCTAAGACCCCCAGTGGATGCCTGAAACTGGGGATGGTATAAAACTCTATATAGAATTTTTTTCTATAAATATATGCCAGTGATAAAATTTAATTTATAAATTAGGTACAGTAAGAGCTTAACAACAATAACTAATAATAAAATAGAACAATACACTGTAATAAAAGTTATGTGAATACACTCTCTCTCCCCTTCTCTCAAAATTTCTTGTACAGTCAGACCTCTGTAGCTACAGGTTCCATATACACAGATTCAGTGAACTGCAAATTTAAAATATGCAAAAAATAAATTTAAAAAAATGAAAAGCAACAATAAAAAATACAAATGGAAAAACAATATCATATAACAACCTTTACATTGCATTTACATTATACTATGTATTATAAGTAATCTAGAGATAAGGTATAAAGGAAGATGTACATAAGTTATATGCAAATACTAGGCCAAGTTATATGGGAGACTTGAGCATCCATGGGTTTTGTTATCTTTTGGGGGTCCTGGATCCAATCCCCCACAGATACAAAGAGATCACTGTACTGTACTGTAGATAACTGAAACCATAAAAGGCAAAACTGCAGATAAAGGGTAACTAGTATAAATAACTGTGTCCTAGAACAAAGCTTGAGAATTTTTGTTGAAAACAAAAATATTCACTACCCAAAAAGAGATATTGCACAATATCTGGCATGCAATAAAATAAAAATTACTAAGCATAAAATATTTATAATTTAAACAAAAATAATGCAATATTTTATATTTATATATTTCATTATATTTTATAAACATTATTTATAAGCATATATAGCTCTACACACTATATGTGTGTGTTTGTGTATATATCTCTAGTTTTTATAATATATGTATACATTACATGCATGATAACAATATCATAAAAGTCAGGTGGGGAGAAATAGAAGTAGACTATTGTAAAGATCTCACACTACATGTAAAGTATACTTCATCACCTGAAAGTACACTGTGATAAGTGAAAAATGTGAATTGTAAACTCTAAAATGACCACTAAAATAACAAAAAATATCATGGTCAATGAAACAATAAAGAAGACAAGTGAAAGTATATAAAATATACAATTAATCCAAAAGAAGGCAGGGAAAAAGCAAAAGGGAACAAGGAATAGATGGTACAATGGAAAGCAAATAGCAAGATAATAGATTTAACTTAATCACATCAATAATCACATTAAATGCAATCAGTCTAAATAGTCCAATTAAAAAGCAGATTGTTACATTAGATTTAAAAGTCAACACTCAAATATATGCCCCCTACAAGAAATGTACTTTAAACATAATGACACAAATACATTAAAAAGGATAGAAAAAAACATACCATGCTAACACAAGTGAAAAGAAAGTTGAAATAGCTAAATCAGAGTAAAGAATACTACTAAGAATAAAGAAGATCATTTCATTATGATAAAAGGGCCAGTTCATCTAAAGGACATAACAATTCTAAATATTTGTATACCCAATATCAGAGCTTCAAAATACATGAAGTAATAACTGATAAAAATTATCAGAAAATTGAAATCTACAATTAGTCAAAGATATCAATATCCTTCTCAATGATTGCTAGAACAAGTATATAGAAAATCAGTGAGAATACAGAAGATTTGAAGACAATCAACCAACTTGATCTAACTGATGTTTTTTTTAAAACACTGCATCCAACAACAACAGAGTACACATTGAAAACTTACCATGGTAGACATATTCTGAGCTACAAAACAAGGCTCAACAAATTTAAAAGGGTTTCATTCATACAAAACATTCTTTTCTGATCATAATGGAATTAAATTAGAAATCAAAATGATTTCTGGAAAATTCACAAATATTTGAAAATTTAATAACACCAAAGGAAAAAAAATCAAAATGGAAAGTAATATTTTGAACTGAATGAAAATGAAAACACAACAAAATGCATTTGTGGGATTTTGCTAAACCAATATTTAGAGGAAAATTTATAGTATTAAATGCCTATATATGTAAAGAAGAAAGGTCTATCTAAATCCATGATCATGACATGAATAGCTTTCAACATAATTATGCTAAATGAAATAAGCCTGGCAAAAATCATTACATACTATGAGTCATTTTATAAAATTTTATAAAATCCTGGAAAATGCAAAATGCTCTTTGGTGACAGAAAGCAGATCAGTGTTTCCTGGGACCTGTAAGAGGGTGAGAAGGGATGATAGGGAGGCGTTACAAAGGTGCATGAGGAAACTTTGGGGAGTGAAAAATAATTCCATTTTCTTGATTTTGGTGATTCATTCATAGGTGTATATACATGTAAAAACTTGGCAAATTTTATACTTTGCATATTTGTGTAGGGTTTTTTGTTTTAAAAATATACACTAGAAAAAATAATAAAATAATAATAAATGTTAAAAGTACATACTAGATATGAACCCAGGTTAACATAGGCGGGCCGCTGATATGTGAGGATGGAGGACCCAAGCAACAAAGTAAAATAAAAAGACTAAACTAAAGAAAGGCATGCATGACATGTTAGTATGCATGAATTTACATAAAATTATAAATGCGTAGGTGTTAATGAAGAAAAACATGTACTCATCTATTTTGTTTTGAAAGGGTCCAAATACACTTCTAAGCATCCCATAACCTCCTGAAGGACTGGTAACATAGTGATAAAACTGGCATAGCTTATGGAGTCCCTTTTATGGAGCAGACACTATGCTATATGCTTTGCATATGTATCCCCCCATTTTATTTCTACAGCAACTTTATGAGGTAGGTATGAATATTATCCCTATTTTCCAAGCGAAGGCATCTGCTAACCAGCCTAGATTTTTCTCAGTCACCGGCTTCCTACTTCATTCTACCACCTGTTCAATGCTTTCAGAGAACTATCTATGTTTATGAACGCTAATCCCTAAAGGATTGTATATGTGCCAGAATACAAAATTACCAACCATCCCACCCTCAAAGCAAAACTTTATTCTTAATGAAAAGATTTTAAAAGTAAGTAAAAAAGCATTTGGGCCAAATGGTATATATAAACTGTACAATTGAATGGTTCACTATGTTCATTTCTTATGTTAGCTATACATCCATTTAAAATCATACATAGAGAATAAAGTCAATTTGAAATATGATTCACTCTCTTACTGCATAAAATAACTATATTCAAGCTTCTCACATCAGAACCACATTTTGAGTGAACTGATACCCTGCCACTCAAATTGTCATCCCGAGACAATTCCCCAGGAGCTTATTAGAAAGGCAGCATCTCAGGCCCCAACCCAGATCCACCAAATCAAAACCTGCATCGTTACAAGATCCCCTGATGATTCCTGTGCACATTCATGTTTGAGAAGCACTGATTGAACACAGTGATTCACAGCAGATTGTTTTCATTTTTATTTAAATGAATGATGTTCCTCCAGGTAAGATCCTGCATCAAGTAGCCAATCATGTAACATTAGTAAAATTCTTTTTCCTTTATCTTGCAGGTAGATACTCCTGACCATCACAGAGATGCTTACAGCATCCACAAATTGCAATTGTGAACTCCTGCTGAGAATGACCAGGTCTGGGTTCAACGTCTTTGCCTCCTTTTCTACACATTGCATAAGGTTCCCCTCCAACACATCTCCCATTAGCATGGATTGCAAAAGCTTCAGGCAGCAGTGAGTCAACCATAGCTGCACCTGGGGAACAGAGAAAAAAAAATACCACTGCCCTGACCCCATTCCAAAAGGACTGAATCAGACTCTCTAATCAGGGGCTTGGCTAATAACCATAGTTAAGGGAAATAAAGTAATTCTGGTGCAACTTGACTTGAGAATCAGTTGTACTTCCATCTGGCTGCATAGTAGAATCATGTGGGGAACACGCCAATATCTAGGCCATACCCAAAAACAAAGCTATCAGATTCTCTGGGACTGAGGCTTCTGCAGTCATCATTTATAAATAAAACAAAAATCTTCAGATGATTCTAATCTGCAGCTAAAGTAAGCAACAAAGAGCTGTTCGTTGTGCAAAAAATAAAAATAAAATTAGAAAATATGTTTTCTGGAATATGAGAAACTTTGGAAAGACTTGGAAGTAAGAGGACTCCCTGAGGTGAGGGAAACACAAAAATTTGCCTGCTAGTTAGATATTTATGATAGATCACTGTATGTATCCAGAAAAATGTCTGGAATCAAAGTCAATCTTATGAACTCTCTCAGGGGAACCAAGGAAGTTTGGAGACTTTTTAATTTCTACCCTCCTTTTCTGTTGACAGTTGTAACCACAAGCATGATTGTCCTTTAATCATAAAAGGAAAAGAAAAGAAAGAAAGGTCACCTTGAGCCAGTGGGATGTGCTGGGTTTCCCTCCACCTGCCTGTCACCCGCAGCTTAATCTTCTTTGCCAACTCCAGAGCCTTGGCTGTTCCCACTAACAGCACCATGATTCTTATAATTCTTCCACCTCCTCCTCTCCTGCCTCTTAAAGCCCTGGCAATTAACCTCATGTCTCCATCCCTTAATTCCCATACAGATGTTGGCAATTGTCATATCTCCGGTGGAGCCCTGCAGTGTGGCCTCCAAGGTTCAGTCTTTCCACAAATAGTCTCTTATCAGCATATCAAGGTTGATCTGTTGAAATCTGGATCATCGTGCACCAGTGATGAATATTTCTAAGCATAATTCTTTTTCTGTTTTTATTAGAGACAGATCCTGTATTCATTTTCACTTAGCTTTTTGTCTGCGTTGTTGGCAGCCATTTTTTTTTTCACTTGGGAAATGATGCCAGTGGCAGAGGTTCCAAAGAGCACAACCTTCAGAGCACTCATTTCGTCCATACTTTGTGCATTTGCCCATTCATTCATTCGTTCATTTATACACCTTCATGGAGCATGTTCTCCAAGGCTGGCATTAGCTAAGTGCTTAGGCCACAAAGCTTAAAGACGCAATCTCTACCCTCAAACAGCTTACCAACTAGTGAAAAATTCAGACAACCAAATCCACAATTATACTAAAGGATGATTTACAATGAGAGAAGAAAATAGAAGCTAAGTGCCATCAATTACAGGCTGTGTGACCCTAGGAAATCTACTTAGCCTCTCCGTGCCTCAGGTTCCTTGCCAAGAAAATAGAACCATTAGAAGCAGATGCCATGAGGGTTGTAATGAGTACTAAATGAGTTATTATTTGTAAAGTGCTGTTAACTGTGTTTGGTACATGTGTTTGCTCAAGAAAGTAGATACAAAGCTGCCATAAACAGAATACAGAATAAAAATAAATCTGCATACATATTGTCAGTTAACTTTTGATAATGGTGCAAAGGTAATTTAATGAATAATGATTATGTTATTGAGCAGTCAATTCATACCTGGCGTGCAGAGAAGCCCCTATTATGGCACCAGCTTTTGAGACAAGAAAAAGCTTCACTGCAAGTTGACTGGCAAGGAGGTAGAGGCAACGCTGAAATTTGTCTCCCTGATCTGGAGGTGGGTCAAGCTCTATGACGTTCCTAACTAGTCCCAGGTGCTGCCAATGCAGCCAGCCTGCCTGGCTGGTGATACTAAGAGGTTAAAGCTGTTTTTCATTGGCATGTCTGGGCTATATGACTTGCAATTTTGGCCCTGTGCTATCCAAAACAACTTAAGCAATGGTTACTCGGTTTGAGCGGGCCCTGCAACTTACAATTGTCTTTTTAACAAATTCTGTTGGAACAGTCGGTCATCATATACAAAAATAAGAGACCTTGACTTATACCTCAAACTATGCACAAAACTCAACATGAATCATAGCTCTAAATGTAAAATCTAAAAAAAAACAAAACTGCTAAAAGGGAACTTAGGAGAAAAAAAATCTTTATGACCTGGTACTAGACAATTATTTCTTATGTAAAACACAAAAAGTACAAATTATAAAAGAAAAAATTGATAACTTGGACTTCATCAAAATTATAGGCTTCTGCTCTTTGAAAGAATGTTAAGAGAATGAAAAGACAAGCCACAGCTAGGAGAAAATATTTGCAAATTACAAATCTAATAATGGGCTTGTATCTAAAATATATCGAGAACTCTCAAAACTCACAGAAAACAGCCAAATTAAAACGTGAGCAAAAGATTTCAATAAGCGCATAACCACTGAAGATATATGGATGGCAAATAAGCACATTAAAAATGCTTGACATCATTAGTCATCAGGGAAATGAAAATGGCAATTTTTTTTTTTTTTTTGAGATAAGGTCTTGCTCTGTTGCTCAGGCTGGAGTGCAGTGGTACAGTCTTGGCTCATGGCAGTGTCCTCCTCCCAGGCTCAAATGATCCTCTCACCTCAGCCTCCTGAGTAGCTGAGACTATAGGCATGCACCACCATGCCCGGCTAATTTTTTTTTTTTTTTTTTGTACAGACAAGGTCTCACTGTACTGTCCAGGCTGGTCTTGAACTCCTGGACTCAAGTGATCCTCCCGTCTCAGCCTCCCAAAGTGCTGAGATTACCAGCATGAGTCACTATGTCTGGCCACCACTGACAATTTTAAGTGGTGGCAGAGAGGTGAAGTGGCTGGGACTGTCATCCATTGCTAATGGGATGGTGAAACAGCACAAGCACTTTGGAAAACAGTTTGGTAGCTTCTTATAAAAGTTAAAGATGTACTTACCATAGACCCAACAATCTCACTCCTATTATCCAGGAAAAACAA
The DNA here is from genome assembly GCF_000001405.40 of Homo sapiens. Classification (NCBI taxonomy): domain Eukaryota; kingdom Metazoa; phylum Chordata; class Mammalia; order Primates; family Hominidae; genus Homo; species Homo sapiens. The sequence continues at coordinate 54,254,301 of NC_000020.11, read as the reverse complement.
AAATTTATGTCCCAATGAAACCATGTATGCAAATACTTAGAGCAGATTTATTCATAATCTCCATCATCTCCAAAAACTGGAAGCAAACCAAATACCTATCGACTCATGAATTAAAGAAGCTGTGCTACATCCATACAATGGAATAAAAAGCAATAAAAAGAACAAACTATGGATACCTCCAACAACATAGATGAAACTCAGAGGCATTACGTGAAGCAAAAGAAGTTAGGCATGAAATACCACACACCGTTATATGATTCCATTTCTATAACATTCTGGAAAAAGCAAAAGTACCAGCTCAGAAACCCACCCGTCAGGTGCTCTCAGGTGTTCTCAGGGCCCTTGCCTCTTCCCCTCGTGTGAAGAGGGAAGGGGCTTAACTGCACCTGGGTATGAGAAAATGTTTAGAGGTGATAGAAATGTTCTTCATCATGAAGGTGGTAGTGATTATATGATTGTATACACTTATCAAAACTCTCAGAACTGCAAAGGGTAAATTTTATTATATGTAAATTATGTCTTGATAGACCAGATAGAAAATACTTACAAAAGCAAGACAGGCTTCTTGAAAAAAAAAAATAAAAATAAAAATTAGGCCAGGCACAGTGGCTCACGCCTGTAATCTCAGCACTTTGAGAGGCCGGGGCAAACAGATCGCTTGAGGTCAGGAGTTTGAGACCAGGCTGGCCAACATGGTGAAACATCGTCTCTACTAAAAAAACAAAAATTAGCCGGGCCTGGTGGTATGAACCTGTAATCCCAGCTACTCGGGAGGCTGAGGCAGGAGAATCACTTGAACCTGGGAGGTGGAGGTTGCAGTGGGCCGAGATTGCACCATCGCACTCCAGCCTGGGTGATACAGCAAGACTCCGTCTCAAATAAATAAACAAACAAACAAATAAATAAATGTGGTAAAATGTAAAACATTTACTATTAACACTTTGTGTGTGCTTAGTTTGTTTTTGTGATGTTTACACCACTGTACATTTGTCAAAACAAATAGAACTATCCACTTAACAAGAGTGAATTTTACTGTATGTAAATTGTACCTCAATAAACCTGTCTATAAAAAAAAAAAAGAATTTCTACTGAGAACTGAAGAAACCAGAAACCATCTCAGGAGATTTAGCAACTAGATAGAAGGCTTGCATTTCATTAAAAGCTGGATAATTGCTTGTGACTGGAAACTTAGGATTTAAATCCCAGCTACAAAGCCATGGAAAATTCACAGGTTTTTCCTTTTTTTTTTTTTTTTTTAACTTTGAAATGTTTCACATTGCTTTTGAAGAAACATACTTTTGGCCTAATAGTGTCATCCTTAGGCTGACATTTGCATTCCCTGAGCAGAGCTGACTAGGAAAAGGGTGAAGAGAAAGTAAAATAAGCCAATATTTTACTAGGATTTTTAAAAAGAAAAAAAAAATGCTGTCTGATGGTGTCAGAAAGGCTTCTAGGAGGTGGTGCTGCTTGAGCTGGGTTTTGAAAGATAAGCAAACGTTATCTTTTAGGGATTGTCGTTTGGTGGAGGTTGTTGGTATACGACTTGAAATTTACCCAAAAAACTATATATTGAACACTTAACTTTGTTAGTCATTATACTCAGGCAGGGTCTCAGCCTTGGCATCACCGATTTGGGGCTGGGGAATTCTCTGATGTCAGGGACTCTCTTGTGTGTTCTGCAGGGGTAGCAGCATCCTTGTTATTACCCACTAGAAGCCAGTAGCACACCCCGCCCCACGTTGTGGCAACTAGAAAGGTCTGCAGACATTACCAAATGTTCCCTGGGGTACAAAATCAACACCACTACCCACTGAGTCACTGGTCTGGGGTCCTGGGGACAGAAATATGAATGAGACTTCTTGCCTAGAGATGTTGACGCTCTCATTGAATGTAGAAAAAAGTAAATAGGGAGGCCAAGGTGGGCGGATCACGAGGTCAGGAGATCGAGACCATCCTGGCTAACACGGTGAAACCCCGTCTCTACTAAAAATACAAAAAATTAGCCTGGTGCGGTGGCGGGCGCCTGTAGTCCCAGCTACTCGGGAGGCTGAGGCAGGAGAATGGCGTGAACCCGGGAGGCGGAGCTTGCAGTGAGCCGAGATCGCGCCACTGCACTCCAGCCTGGGTGACAGAGGGAGACTCCATCTCAAAAAAAAAAAAAAAAAAAAAAGTGAATAGAATTTATTCTAAGCTGATTTCACATTACTGGTTATTTTTAGTGTGTGTTGGTGGGGGGATGGGTGGGGGGATGTGTACATTTTAAATAAGGAAGACCAGTATGGCATGGTGGCTAGGCATGCAGGTCAACAGACAGGCTTCTGGGGTTCAAATCTGAGCTCTAACCGTTTAGTACATGTGTGACTTGAGGCATGTCACTTAACCTATCTATGCTCCAGTTTCCCTGTTTCTAAAATATGGGGCAGAAAAGAGAATCCATATCAGAGACTGTTGAAATCATTAAACAACCAAAGATCGAAAGGCGCAGCATCTGACACATGGTAAAAACTCCGTAAGTGTTATTGTTGCTGTTAATTTCTCCCATTTTTAAGGCTAAAAGCTCCTTGAAAGTCTGTAATAAGTTGTACATAATGTGCCTTAAGTATGGAAGATGCTTCGTAAATATTTGAGGTAAGAGAATTCATAAGTAAAAACGTTAGCTGGTTATAAGTTTTCCCACCTCCAAAACAGCCACAAGGTACTCACTAAGCAGAGTGGTGATGAGAATGGAGTGAAAATCCTTGTACTCAGCATGGTACCTGATACTAATAAATGCACGGTACATTTTAGTTGTTATTATTAGTGTTATTTCACTGTCAGTTATCAAGAGACTATCAGTCCAAGAGTTCTTAACAGGATAAGGTTTCTCTGGAAAAGATTTGCAGATTCTGAGACTTTTTTCCATAGATCTTATCTCTCAGAAGTGCCAAAAAGATTCCCATGTGATTGCCAAGGTCTGCAGGGAGCTGCATACCTGTGACGTCATTAATTTAAGAGGGAGGTGGTATTAGTTTAAGAGGTGGGATTGATGGCAACTGTGTTAGCATTAAGTGAAAATGCCCGCCCACTCAGACCATCTGTCTGTTTATGTTCCGGGTTCATTGAACACCATGGAGATGAAAGATTAAAAAAATGAAAAAAAAAAATCTGGCTACAAACTTTGGTGTCTATATGGAGAGCTGTCTATATGGAGAGCTGTCTCTCAACTCAAGTATGTTCTTGACATGTCTAGAGGTCCTGAGTTTCCTTATCTGAGGGTGGGAATGGAGGCAGGAGCACAGATGGAAGGGTAGGTAGAAGTATCAATGAGGACAGCTGGCATCTTTGCATGCTACGGCCTCTCCGTAGGACACCAAATTTCCAGTTAAAGTTCTTCATTGGAGTGACTCATTTAGTAACACTGGTTTTTAGGTTCATATTGTCTGAGTTCAACTCTTAGCTCCACCTCTTACTAGTTGTGTAATCTTGATGAGTGGCAAGTTCATCAAAAGATTCCCTCTCGAGGTGGGGGGTCAGCCCCCCGCCTGGCCAGCCGCCCCATCCGGGAGGGAGGTGGGGGGGTCAGCCCCCCGCCCGGCTAGCCGCCCTGTCCGGGAGGGAGGTGGGGGGGGTCAGCCCCCCGCCCGACCAGCCGCCCCGTCCGGGAGGGAGGTGGGGGGATCAGCCCCCCGCCTGGCCAGCCGCCCCGTCCGGGAGGTGAGGGGCGCCTCTGCCCGGCCGCCCCTACTGGGAAGTGAGGAGCCCCTCTGCCCGGCCAGCCGCCCTGTCCGGGAGGGAGGTGGGGGGGTCAGCCCCCCGCCCGGCTGGCCGCCCCGTCCGGGAGGTGAGGGGCGCCTCTGCCCGGCCGCCCCTACTGGGAAGTGAGGAGCCCCTCTGCCTGGCCAGCCGCCCCGTCCGGGAGGATGGTCGGGGGGTCAGCCCCCCGCCCGGCCAGCCGCCCCATCCGGGAGGTGAGGGGCGCTTCTGCCCGGCCGCCCCTACTGGGAAGTGAGGAGCCCCTCTGCCCGGCCACGACCCCGTCTGGGAGGTGTGCCCAGCGGCTCATTGGGGATGGGCCATGATGACAATGGCGGTTTTGTGGAATAGAAAGGCGGGAAGGGTGGGGAAAAAATTGAGAAATCAGATGGTTGCCGGGTCTGTGTGGATAGAAGTAGACATGGGAGACTTTTCATTTTGTTCTGTACTAAGAAAAATTCTTCTGCCTTGGGATCCTGTTGATCTGTGACCTTATCCCCAACCCTGTGCTCTCTGAAACATGTGCTGTGTCCACTCAGGGTTAAATGGATTAAGGGCGGTGCAAGATGTGCTTTGTTAAACAGATGCTTGAAGGCAGCATGCTCGTTAAGAGTCATCACCACTCCCTAATCTCAAGTACCCAGGGACACAAACACTGCGGAAGGCCGCAGGGTCCTCTGCCTAGGAAAACCAGAGACCTTTGTTCACTTGTTTATCTGCTGACCTTCCCTCCACTATTGTCCTATGACCCTGCCAAATCCCCCTCTGCGAGAAACACCCAAGAATGATCAATAAAAAAAAAAAATAAAAAATAAAAAAATAAAAAAATAAAAATAAAATTAAAAAAAAAAAAAAAAAAAGATTCCCTCTCCTTTTCTGTAAAATGGGGTAACACTACTACCTTCCACACTTCATTGCTGTGCCCAGTTATTTGAAAGCCAATCCCACGCTTCATGCCATTTCATCCCTGTGTACTCCAATATACATCTCTAAGCAAAACTGACATTTTCAGATATAATCATATTTCCATTGTCACACTAAGTATTAATAATTCCATTGCATTATCTAATATCCAGTTCATATTTAAATGTTTTCACCTATCTTGAAGGTGTCTTTTTGCAGACAGCAGATTTATTACTTGAAATATCCAATATGACAAAATAATTAAGTTGGCAGCCTTATGTCATTCTCCAGTAGTAAGAAGAAAATGCAGAGAAAAAAACCTAATTCTCTGAAATCCAAAAATATAGATGCCCTGCCTTAGAACACCTGGTTTCACCTGGCAGGTGTGCTGGCTCCTGATGACTTTTGCAGTATCTCTTTTTTTCTTAAGTTCCGGGATACATGTGCAGGATGTGCAGGTTTGTTACACAGGTAAACGTGTGCCATGGTGCTTTGCTGCACCTATGAACCCATCACTTAGGTATTAAGCCCCGCATGCATTAGCTATTTATCCTGATGCTTACCCTCCCCCTGCTCACGCCCCGAACCCAACAGGCCCCAGTGTGTGTTGTTCCCCTCCCTGTGTCCATGTGTTCTCATTGTTCAGCTCCCACTTATAAGAACATGCAGTGTTTGGTTTCTGTTCCTGCATTAGTTTGCTGAGGATAATGGCTTCCAGCTCCATCCAAGTCCCCAAAAAGGACATGATCTTGTTCCTTTTCATGGCTGCATAGTATTCCATGGTGTATATGTACCACATTTTCTTTATCCAGTCTATCATTGATGAGCATTTGAGTTGATTCCGAGTCTTTGCTATTGTGAATAGTGCTGCAATGAACATACGTGTGCATGTAGCTTTATAACAGAATGATTTATATTCCTTTGGGTATGTACACAGTAATGGGATTGCTAGGCCAAATGGTATTTCTGGTTCTAGGTCTTTGAGGAATTGCCACACGAAGCTCAAGATGATCACTTTCCAGAACCACGTCCAGGTCCCATGTGGGCCCTGGAGAGCCATAAACAAGAGTTCACCTCTGTATACCTAGTATCTAGCACAGCACCTGCCACACATAATAGCTAGTTAGGAAGTTAGTTTGTTTAACAAATAAACTAAGCACCTATGTGGTCTAAGACTGCTAGAGATACAAGAGAGAACCAAACAATTAAGATCCTTGATTCCATGGAGCTTAGGTTTTAGTGGAAGAAGAGAGACAATAAATTAACAAACAGACAAACAGATGGATGCAGGATGGTGATAAAAGCCGTGAAGAATAAAGCAGGGCAAGGAGTGGAAGGTGATGGAATAGGGGTGGGGGGATGTTAGGGAGGGTGGTCAGGGAAGGCCATGCTGAAGTGACATTTGAGCAGAACTTGGATGAAGCTAGGGAGGGAGATATGTGGATCTTAGAGATAAAAACATTCTAGGCAAAGTAAATATTTTGTGTTGAAATCCTGTGGCAGAAGCAAGCTTGGCATGTTCAAGGAAGAGCAAGGAGGCTTTGTGGCCAGGGCAGAGGGCACACAAGGGAGAGAGCTAGGAGATGAAGTCCGAAAGGTAGGCAGGGCCAGACCATCTAAAATGTGGATTAATAAATTTTCTCTGTAAAGGGTTAGATAGGAAATATTTTAGGCTTTGTGGGCCCCACAGTCTCAGTCACAACTACTCAATGCCACCATAGTAAAGGAAAAGCCAGCCACAAATCATATGTAAACAAATGGATATGGCTGGGTTACAGTAAAGCTTTATTTTTCAAATCAGTGGCAGGCCATATTGGGCCCTTAGTCCATTGTTTTCTGACCTGTAATACAGAGCCTTATAAGCCTTGGTAATTAGTTTGGATTTCACTAGAAGCGCAGTTAGAAGCCATTGAAAGATTTTGAACAGGAGACCACCATGGCTGTTCTTGACACACTGTAGACAAGCAAGAACGGGAGGCAATTAGAGGAGTATGTTATGTTCCAGGCAAGAGACAATGGTGCTTTAACTGGGTGGCAGTGGACTAAACAATGAGCAGTGCTCACACTCGAGGAATATTTTGAAGGTCAGACATAGCATTCCTTAATGATCAAGTGTGGGGTATTAGAGAAAGAACAATTGACTCATTAATGAAGACAGGATAATTTATCAACTTCTGAGAAGCAATGGAATAACTGCAAGAGTTCAGCAAAGGGGCTGAAGAAGACAGAATTTTATGGAAATATTGAAGGATTAGAAAGATCCCAGGGAGTTAATATGGCAAAGTAGTTAAACACAATGTATGAATCGGACCAGCTATTTTTCAGTCCTGGATTTACCACTGCTGTGTAACTTGGGCAGGTTACTTGACTATCCTAAGCCTCTGTTCCTTCTCCTGAAAAATGGAGATAATAATCAGATCTTCTTTAAAGGGTCTTTGAGTATTAAATAATTTCAAAAGCACTCTACGCAGTGTCTGTGCAAATTGGCACAATTGCACATTGATCTGTTGGCACAATCAATGTTTGCTATCATGACAGAAGGAGAAAAGGTGTCAAAGAATGAATACGGATGAAAAATTCTACACGTGTGTGAGAAAGAATAAAATGGGTTAAATTAAAGCAGTGCTTCTCAAACTTATTGAAATTCAAATTCTGATTCAATAGGTCTGAAGGTGGGTCTGAAAATCTGAGTTTCTAACAAGCTCCCAGGTGAAGCCATTGCTGATTTAAAGACCATACTGTGATGCTTAATTTTATGTGTCAACTTGACTAGGCCACAGGTTACCCAGATAGCTGGTTAAACATTATTTCTTGTGATCTCTGTGAGGGTGTTTCCAGAAGAGATTAGCATTTAGATGGTGGACTAAGTAAGGCAGATGCCCCCTCTAACATGGGTGGGCATGATCCAATCCATTCAGGCTCTGAATAGAACAAAAGGTGGAGGAAGCTTGAATTTGCTCTCTGCCTGCCTGCTTGAGCTGGAACATTGATCTTCTCCTGCCTTCAGCACTCTTGGTTCTGAGGCCTTCAGACCCAGACTAGAGTCTATACCATCAGTTCACTGGCTCTCAGGCCTTCAAACCATACCACTGGCTTTCCTGGGTCTCCAACTTGCAGACAGCAGAACTTAACACATCTCAGCCTCCATAAGTTTAAGTGATAATCTTGTAGTCCTATTTTTAAATTTCCCGGCTCTGATCACTGTTTTCAGCGTAGAAAATAAAGAACACTCCTTGTGTCCAGATTATGATCCCTAAAGATAATTTCCTATTATAAGGAGTTAGAAATCCTTAAAAGAAAATAGATAATTCTAGGATTAAGGCAGAAATGTACAAGACTATCCTGAATTACCTTGATATGCTAGAAAACAAAGAAGCTCTGGCCAGGAGTGGTGGCTCAAGTCTGTAATCCCAGCACTTTGGGAGGCCGAGGTGGGTGGATCACCTGAGGTCAGGATTTTGAGACCAGCCCGGCCAACACTGTGAAACCCTGTCTCTACTAAAAATACAAAAATTAGCTGGGCATGGTGGTGCCACCTGTAATCCCAGCTACTCAGGAGGCTGAGGCAGGAGAATCGCTTGAACCTGGGAAGGCAGAGCTTGCAGTGAGCTGAGATCACACCACTGCACTCCAGCCTGGGCAACAGAGTGATACTCCGTCTCAAAAAAAGAAGAAAAAAGAAAACAAAGAAGCTCCGTATGACTAAGTAAGATAATGAAGGAACTGAAAGCTGGAAGAGGGAATCTGTCTGCTGCTCACATTCCCAGCAACTGTGCAACAAGACCTTCCTGAAGTGGGATCTGGGTGGTACATCTCTACGTCAGCCACACAGATGAAATCATAAAGATGCAGAGGGCTGGAAATTCTAACAGATAGATGACCTAGTTTATTCAATAAACAAATAAGAAAAAAATGAGATGATTAAAAAGGATAAGAAACATATCCACCAATTGCTATGTATGAAACTGTTTGATTTGAAAAAACATACTGTAAAAATCATAAGCTAATCATACAAATGTGCACTATGACTAGATATTTGATAATATTAAGAAATTATAATTTTCAAGTAAGGAATATTGTATTTTTTAGAAAAGTATGTTGAAATATTTACAGCAGAAATAATATGATACTTGAGATAGGCTTCAAAATACACTGAAGTGGAGGAAATGGAGAGGAGAGAAAATAAAACTGGACATGAGTTGAATATAATATTTTGGAGGCTGGGTGATAGCTACACAGGGATTCATTATGGTATTATCTTTATTCTGTAAATGCTTACTATTTTCCATAATGAAAACTGTAAGAAAAATACATTAGGAGTTTCCAACGGTTCTTTGAGGGTAAAATTGCCTGGGTTTGGTGGTAGACTGGATGTTGGGAGCAGAGGCTGGTTAGAGATGGGATCATTTCCAGGCTTAACCTGAATAAGTACAACGTGCAGCTGAAATCTGGGGTTAGGGAACTTGCTCAAAAACTCACTCACAGGAATCCTTGAAAAACTAAAAGTAGAACTACCATTAGATCCAGTAATCCCACTACTGGGTACCTACCCAAAGAAAAATAAGTCATGATATTAAAAAGACATATGCACATTCACGTTTATTGCAGCACAATTTGCAATTGCAAAAATATGGAACCAACCTAAATGCCCATCAACCAATGAGTGGGTAAAGAAGATGTGGTATATATACACCATGGAATACTACTCAGCCATAAAAAGGAATGCAACTTGGATGATGCTGGAGGTCATTATTCTAAGTGAAGTAACTCAGCAATGGAAAATCAAACATTGTATTTTCTCATAAGTGGTAGCTAAGCTATGAGGACACAAAGGCATAAGAATGATATAATGGACTTTGGGGACCTGTTGTGGGGGAGAGTTGTGGGGGTGAGGGATAACAGGCAACATATTGGGTACAGTGACGAGTACATTAAAATCTTAGAAACACCACTAAAACTTATCCATGTAACCAAAAATCACTTGTACTCCCCAAAACTACTGAAATTTTTTAAAAACTCACTCTTGGATTTAAAACTTTTGAGATGCCTGTGATAGTACTAAGAGAAGATGTCAAACAGGCAATTAGGTATGACCTTGGAACTCAGAAGAGAGATACACCCAGGAGATATAAATTGGGTGTGTCAGCATCTATATGGTATTTAAAGCTCCTAGGCGAAGTGTGTATGAAAGAAATGAGAAAAGAAGCATCAAGACATAGCTCTAAATAACTTCAGTTTCTTCTTACGTTCCTGATCTTCATTTTTCTCAAATTTGAATTCTCAAGAAGTTGCAGAAAATCAGAGAGTTACCGTGTGTGTACCCTTCAGTCAGCTTCCCCATATAATGACGTATTTTACATAAATGGAGTACAGTGTCAAACCAGGAAATTGACACTGGTATTATAGTATTAACTCAAATATTGGCTTTATTCAGATTTCACCAGTTTTTACATGATGTTCTGTGTGTGTGTGTGTCTATGAAATATTATCACCTGTGTAGATTCATAATGCCCCTACTTTCTTTTTCTTTTTATTATTATACTTTAAGTTTTAGGGTACATGTGCACAACATGCAGGTTGTTACGTATGTATACATGTGCCATGTTGGTGTGCTGCACCCATTAACTTGTCATTTACATTAGGTATATCTCCTAATGCTATCCCTCCCCTCTCCCCCCACCCCACAACAGGCCCCGGTGTGTGATGTCCCCCTTCCTGTATCCATGTGTTCTCATTGTTCAATTCCCACCTATGAGTGAGAACATGAGATGTTTGGTTTTTTGTCCTTGCGATAGTTTGCTGAGAATGATGGTTTCCAGCTTCATCCATGTCCCTACAAAGGACATGAACTCATCATTTTTTATGGCTGCATAGTATTCCATGGTGTATATGTGCCACATTTTCTTAATCCAGTCTATCATTGTTGGACATTTGGGTTGGTTCCAGGTCCTTGCTATTGTGAATGGTGCCGCAATAAACATACGAGTGCATGTGTCTTTATAGCAGCATGATTTATAATCGTTTGGGCATATACCCAGTAATGGGATGGCTGGGTCAAATGGTATTTCTAGTTCTAGATCCCTGAGGAATCACCACACTGTCTTCCACAATGGTTTACAGTCCCACCAACAGTGTAAACGCGTTCCTATTTCTCCCCATCCTCTCCAGCACCTGTTGTTTCCTGACTTTTCAATGATTGCCATTCTAACTGGTGTGAGATGGTATCTCATTGTGGTTTGGATTTGCATTTCTCTGATGGCCAGTGATGATGAGCATTTTTTCAGGTGTCTGTTGGCTGCATAAATGTCTTCTTTTGAGAATGTCTGTTCATACCCTTTGCCCGCTTTTTGATGGGGTTGTTGTTTTCTTGTAAATTTGTTTGTGTTCTTTGTAGATTCTGTATGTTAGCCCTTTGTCAGATGAGTAGATTGCAAAAATTCCCTCCCATTCTGTAGGTTGCCTGTTCACTCTGATGGTAGTTTCTTGTGCTGTGCAGAAGCGCTTTAGTTTAATTAGATCCCATTTGTCAATTTTGGTTTTTGTTGCCCTTGCTTTTGGTGTTTTGGACATGAAGTCCTTACCCATGCCTATGTCCTGAATGGTATTGCCTAGGTTTTCTTCTAGGGTTTTTATGGTTTTAGGTCTAACATTTAAGTCTTTAATCCATCTTGAATTAATTTTTGTATAAGGAATAAGGAAGGGATCCAGTTTCAGCTTTCTACATATGGCTAGCCAGTTTTCCCAGCACCATTTGTTAAATAGGGAATCCTTTCCCAATATCTTGTTTTTGTCTGGTTTGTCAAAGATCAGATAGTTGTCGATGTGTGGTATTATTTCTGAGGGCTCTGTTCTGTTCCATTGGCCTATATCTCTGTTTTGGTACCAGTACCATGCTGTTTTGGTTACTGTAGCCTTGTAGTATAGTTTGAAGTCGGGTAGCATGATGCCTCCAGCTTTGTTCTTTTGACTTGGCAATGCAGGCTCTTTTTTGGTTCCATATGAACTTTAGTTTTTTCCAATTCTGTGAAGAAAGTCATTGGTAGCTTGATGGGGATGGCATTGAATCTATAAATTACTTTGGGCATATGGCCACTTTCAGGATATTGATTCTTCCTATCCATGAGCATGGAATATCCTTCCATTTGTTTGTATCCTCTTTTATTTCGGTGAGCAGTGGTTTGTAGTTCTCCTTGAAGAGGTCCTTCACATCCCTTGTAAGTTGGATTCCTAGGTATTTTATTCTCTTTGAAGCAATTGTGAATGGGAGTTCACTCATGATTTGGCTCTCTGTTTGTCTGTTATTGGTGTATAAGAATGCTTGTGATTTTTGCACATTGATTCTGTATCCTGAGGCTTTGCTGAAGTTGCTTATCAGCTTAAGGAGATTTTGGGCTGAGACAATGGGGTTTTCTAGACATACAATCATGTCTCTGCAAACAGGGACAATTTGACTTCCTCTTTTCCTAATTGAATACCCTTTATTTCTTTCTTATGCCTGATTGCCCTGGCCAGAACTTCCAACACTATGTTGAATAGGAGTGGCGAGAGAAGGCATCCCTGTCTTGTGTCAGTTTTCAAAGGGAATACTTCCAGTTTTCGCCCATTCAGTATGACATTGGCTGTGGGTTTGTCATAAATAGCTCTTATTATTTTGAGATATGTCCCATCAATACCTAATTTATTGAGAGTTTTTAGCATGAAGGGTTGTTGAATTTTGTCAAAGGTCTTTTCTGCATCTATTGAGATAATCATGTGTTTTTTGTCGTTGCTTCTGTTCATATGCTGGATGACATTTATTGATTTGCATATGTTGAACCAGCCTTGCATCCCAGGGATGAAGCCCACTTGATCATGGTGGATAAGCTTTTTGATGTGCTGCTGGATTCGGTTTGCCAGTATTTTATTGAGGATTTTTGCATCGATGTTCATCAGGGATATTGGTCTAAAATTCTCTTTTTTTGTTGTGTCTCTGCCAGGCTTTAGTATCAGGATGATGCTGGCCTTATAAAATGAGTTAGGGAGGATTCCCTCTTTTCTATTGATTGGAATAGTTTCAGAAGGAATGGTACCAGTTCCTCCTTGTACTTCTGGTAGAATTCAGCTGTGAATCCATCTGGTCCTGGACTTTTTTTTTGGTTGGTAAGCTATTAATTATTGCCTCAATTTCAGAGCCTGTTATTGGTCTATTCAGAGATTCAACTTCTTCCTGGTTTAGTCTTGGGAGAGTGTATGTGTCGAGGCATTTATCCATTTCTTCTAGATTCTCTAGCTTATTTGCGAAGAGGTGTTTGTAGTATTCTCTGATGGTAGTTTGTATTTCTGTGGGATCGGTGGTGATATCCCCCTTACCATCTTTTATTGCATCTATTTGATTCTTCTCTCTTTTCCTCTTTATTAGTCTTGCTAGCGGTCTATCAATTTTGTTGATCTTTTCAAAAAACCACCTCCTGGATTCATTGATTTTTTGAAGGGCTTTTTGTGCCTCTATTTCCTTCAGTTCTGCTCTGATCTTAGTTATATGTTGCCTTCCGCTAGCTTTTCAATGTGTTTGCTCTTGCTTCTCTAGTTCTTTTAATTGTGATGTTAGGGTGTCAATTTTAGATCTTTCCTGCTTTCTCTTGTGGGCATTTAGTGCTATAAATTTCCTTCTACACACTGCTTTAAATGTGTCCCAGAGATTCTGGTATGTTGTGTCTTTGTTCTCGTTGGTTTCAAAGAACATCTTTATTTCTGCCTTCATTTTGTTATTTACCCAGTAGTCACTCAGGAGCAGGTTGTTCAGTTTCCATGTAGTGGAGCAGTTTTGAGTGAGTTTCTTAATCCTGAGTTCTAGTTTGATTGCACTGTGGTCTCAGAGATAGTTTGTTATAATTTCTGTTCTTTCACATTTGCTGAGGAGTGCTTTACTTCCAACTATGTGGTCAATTTTGGAGTAAGTGCAGTGTGGTGCTGAGAAGAATGTGTATTCTGTTGATTTGGGGTGGAGAGTTCTGTAGATGTCTATTAGGTCTGCTTGGTGCAGAGCTGAGTTCAATTCCTGGATATCCTTGTTAACTTTCTGTCTCGTTGATCTGTCTAATGTTGACAGTGGGGTGTTAAAGTCTCCCATTATTATTGTGTGGGAGTCTAAGTCGCTTTGTAGTTCTCTAAGGACTTGCTTTATGAATCTGGGTGCTCCCATATTGGGTGCATATATATTTAAGATAGTTAGTTCTTCTTGTTGAATTGATCCCTTTACCATTATCCAATGGCCTTCTTTGTCTCTTTTGATCTTTGTTGGTTTAACGTCTGTTTTATCAGAGACTAGTACTGCAACCCCTGCCTTTTTTTGTTTTCCATTTGCTTGGTAGATCTTCCTCCATCCCTTTATTTTGAGCCTATGTGTGTCTCTGCACATGAGATGGGTTTCCTGAATACAGCACACTGATGGGTCTTGACTCTTTATCCAATTTGCCAGTCTGTGTCTTTTAATTGGAGCATTTAGCACATTTACAGTTAAGATTAATATTGTTATGTGTGAACTTGATCCTGTCATTATGATGTTAGCTGGTTATTTTGCTCGTTAGTTGATGCAGTCTCTTCTTAGCATCGATGGTCCTTACAATTTGGCATGTTTTTGCGGTGATAACGCCCCTACTTTCTAAGATCTAGTAGTATTTCAAGGAAAATTGAAATTCCCTTCTGATTTTTTTTTTTTTTTTTTTGAGACGGAGTTTCGCTCTTGTTGCCCAGGCTGGAGTGCAATGGCGTGATCTTGCTCACTGCAACCTCTGCCTCCCAGGTTCAAGCAATTCTCCTGCCTCAGCCTTCTGAGTAGCTGGGATTACAGGCATGCACCACCACGCCCGGCTAATTTTGTATTTTTAGTAGAGATGGGGTTTCTCCATCTAGTCTCGAACTCCTGACCTCAGGTGATCCACCCGCCTCAGTCTCCCAAAGTGCTGGGATTACAGGCGTGAGCCACCACGCCTGGCCCTGATTATTTAACTAAACGCAAAGGTTATTTTGCAAAAGCTATTTGAAATCCAGTTTTTATAAGTCTTTCTTACAACTACATTAGAAACAAAATGTAATTACCAGCTTCAAAATGAATTCACATTTGAGTTTTTATTTCCGAAAAACAAACTGGATGCCTAAATTACTTTTGTTTCAAAAACCATTTTTATTGTTTTGCTCTTGAAGCAAACCAAGTCTCTTTCATGTAAGCAATGAGAATTTCTTATGGTTTACCGTGACACACCACGTGTATGCTACCTGAAAAGTATCTTCAAATTCCCTTTCTCCAAGCTTCAGAAACACTAAACCACCTCTGGTCGCCCATGACATTTCTACACGTGGAAGTTCTCATAAAAGTGAAGGGAAAAAGGGAAATTTCAAGAGGTCCACCAGCATTTGTGACTTTTACAATCCAAACAAGCTCATTTCAAGTCCCACTGTGGTTACTCAAGCAGTGATTAATAAAGCAGTGATTACCTTCAGTAAAATAAATAGCAGATAATAAAGGAGATAATGGAGAAGATTTAAAAGCAAGAAAAGGAGGCATAGGGTGAGGAACTGAGCCAGCATGCTCACTACCAGTTCCAAAAAGAGGCAGAAAAGCCCGCTATTATAATTACAAATAACTTTTCGTTTTCTGAAATGAGTGCATTCTTCCTAGATATTGCTCTCCTAGATATCCAATTAGACAAATGACTCTATGAAGCATCTTAAAATCCTTCCAAAGTTTTGAGTGCTTAAGAAAACTCAGTATAAATATCCAAAAGATGAGGGTACATCTGTGCCTGTAAGTCCTGGCTCATCTTATTTCTTAACAGCTCTATGTTTCTTGTTTATTTTACAAATGGGCTCAGCCAAAGAGCACACATACAGATTCTTTGCATGCACACAGATCTGAATCCGAATGATTTCTGTTCCTTGAAGAGAAATATTTGGGGAAAATGAAAACTTAGTGATAATAAGTTAAATCTCAGAAATAGATGTTTATATTCAGACCTCATTTTATCTCTTTCTATCTATGTCTTTTTCTCTCTCCTTTCCAGTTTCCTCTCTCATCAACTCACCTTTGATCTCCAAAGATACAATCAATTACTGCTTTTTCCCTTAAATCAATATGTCTCACAAAAAAAAAAGGAAAATTGGTTTTCCTCATGGACTCTAAATCAATTACATTAAGCTGTGTAATACAAAGCATTCACATCCTGTTTAAAAGTGTTTTTTAAGATGTTTTCTGGTATAGTTGAGTCTTGAATAACTGGAAAATGTAATAAAATATGATTGCATTTTGTGAGCTTGAGCCAGTGATTTCTTGGTGTACAAGTAAAAACAAACATTTTCCATATGTATATTTACCCTCATGCTCATCTGTCCTTCTACTCTTCATGGTATCAGAGACACTGTGCGGTCAGAGGAGGTTTAGATGCTTTAGGACCATCACTGTGATTGCTGTTGCATTCCTGGCCTTTCTGTTCGTTTCTAGGATTGTTTTTAATGCATCTGATGGATATTGACAATACGGAAGCCATAAATGCTGAACTATGACTCTTCCTTTCCCCTCTGTCCACCTCTATAGGACTCATCATGCCACCATTTCTAAGCATGTTCTTTCTCCTGCTTCTTCCTCTTCTTGTAGTTAAATTCACATTTTAGCTGGAAGGACTTATAATTTCCTAAGGTCTTTTTGGCATTTTATGCTCTGTTAAGGGCTTTTCTTCAACCTTAATTCATTTCATTAGGAGGATAAAATCAAGCAATCCTTTATGAATAATTGGTGACTTAGGAGCAAGCCTTGAAGTGAGTGAGAAATTCACTGTAAGGCAGTGAAATAAGAAAAATACACTAAACCACATACTTTGACGCACTTTAAAGAAATCATCATAGACCAATAATATGGTATCTCAAAGGAACAGATCGGAATGACAGGGAAATTACTTTTCAGGAAACAAGGCAGTTATGACATTTATAGCAACCTTTATAAAGGTTTGTAGCACAAGAAGAGGAAGAAATTGATTCCCTTATTTCCATGTGCCTCATAAGTAACCTCGACGGAAAGGAAAGCACGCACAACTTCAAAAAGAGGAACACATTTTATTTCATTCCCAAGCATAAAGGGAAATGAATAACTTTCTAGCCAGTTACTCTTTTTTTTTTTTCTAGAAAAGCCAGAGTTTGAATAGAATCAAAACCATACTCACATGTAAAAGTGAAAAATGGTTGGGTTGCCTTGTCTCGGTCCATTTCTACAGCATTTTTCATCTCTATAAGTCCATTTTCTATCAAATTAAACGTGATCTTTTCTTTAGCCACACAGCCTTTCTTAATTCACTATTTCCCAATTGTTTCCTTTCAATGTGTCAATATGCTTTATACGTACAAAGCTGTAAAGCAGACCTTGTAAAATTAAGAGCCATTTCTTCTTTTAGCCAGAGTTTCGCTCTTGTTGTCCAAGCTGGAGTGCAATGGCGTGATCTCAGCTCACTGCAACCTCCATCTCCCGGGTTCAAGTGATTCTCCTGCCTCAGCCTCCTGAGTAGCTGGGATTACAGGCGCCAGCTAACACATTTGGCTAATTTTATATTTTTAGTAGAGATGGGGTTTCTCCATGTTGGTCAGACTGGTCTCGAACTCCCAACCTCAGGTGATCCACCCACCTCAGCCTCCCAAAGTGCTGGGATTACAGGCGTGAGCCACCACACCCGGCCAAGAGCCATTTCTTTAGTAGGTGAATCTTCAGTTCTGTTTCTTTTTTTTACTCTCAAAGTATATCCAGAAGTCTCCAAATGTTAAAAAGTCTTTTCAAATGAAATCAATAATTAAGTTGGTGGGTTTTTTTCTCCCTCAAATAAAATCAATGTTGTCAGCTAAAGAGAAAAAAAATCAATCAAATTTTGAAAAATAAATGCCTATACAGACCACACTGGGATCTTGTAAAACTATTTGCTTTATAGTCTTATTGGTTCTGTGTTTGCCTAGAGATTAAACTGTCCTGTAACACAGTCCTCTGAGTATAGAGGTGTAGTGGGCAGGCTCTCAAGGTGGTCCTCAATGTCCTGCCTTCTAGTCTCCTGGTATTCCTTCCTTTGGGTAATCCCCTCCGCGTGACTGTGGGCTGGACTTATCAGCTTGCTTCTAGGAAGAGAACATGGCAGAAGTGATGGGATGTCATTTTCAAAATGAAGTTACAGAAAACTTGTGCTTCCCTGTTGGGTGCTCTCTTTCACTCTCTCATGCATTGCTTGCTCTAGGGGAAGCCACGTGCCACGTCGTGAAACAGACCAGTGGAGAGCCCCATGTGAGTAAGCTTGGAAGCAGAGCTTCTGAGATCTGACAATGGCCACATATGTGAGCTGCGAAGCAGACCTTCCCGCAGCTGAGCCTTGAGATGACTCTGCCCCGTCTGACACCTTGAGTACAGTCTTGTGAGAGACTCTGAGCCAGAGCTATCCAGCTGAGCTGCTCCCAGATTCTTCACCTACGGAAATTGTGAGACAATAAATGTGTGTTGTTTCTAGCTGCTAAATTTTGGGGTGATTTGTTACACAGCCATAGATAACTAATACAAGATGTAACTGAATCCCTTGTGTGACGTCCAAGACATGTCAGCCGTATAAAGAATTCAACTATAAATTGTGTTGTTGAAAGCTTAAGGGTAGTTATTCATTGCACTGGTTTCCAAAGTGATGCAGTTTTGCTAGGTATTCATTTCCTTCTGATGCCAAGAATTGATCCCGTTTTTCACTTGTTTCAAATGAAAGATAAATATAGGAGGAGAGAGAGCTATAAAGCACTTTAAAAGGTTACACAAAAAACTAAGAGATAATAATAAAGCCCACATTTCTTCAATAGGCACAGTCCCAGAAAAGTGGTCCATTCTTTTTTTGCAGTTATATATGTTTTTAAAAAGTGCTTGCTAGGATACCTTATTGTAAATGTTGAGTTATATAAGAAAGCAGACTATGAAAAATAATGATCAAAAGAGTACACAAGACAAAAGCAAGAATCAAAATGATGGAAGACTCATATATTTACTCTCTATAAAGAACTAGACATCAAACATGTAGATATGTTAAGGCTTCAACATTTTGCAGTGAGCCCCTGACATCAGTTCCCACTTTCTCGGATAGTAGCCCATTCTGCTCTAGTTCATGGGTCAGGATGTGACTCCACTTACACCTCCGAGAGAAGAGCACATGACCTGGTCTCAAACCACCATATCTCTCTGATATGAATCAGAAATGGGCATGTGACTAAGCCAGTCCAATCAGAATGAATCTTTAATTTTTTAAGCTCTACAAGGTTTTCATTCTTTCATGTGGCCCAAACTTGGAAACATATAAAGATGGAGCTACTGAATCATCTCTCCATGATGACAGAAGGGCGTGGATTGGAGATGCTGGGCACTATTGAATGTAGTCTTAGGATGAAGCTAGCATAGCAGATGGCAGGAGGAATAAATCCAGATGACATTGTATGAGCCTGAATCCAGCCTGCCTGAAGCCAATCCTGCCTCTGAATGTTCAGTTATGCGTGACAATACATTTGCTTCTTAGCCTAAGCAAGACAGAGGAGAAATTTTTGGCTAGCTGTTTGTTTGCTTTAGATCACATTCAATAGAAAGTATCCTGATATCTTTAGATCCAAGCATTTTTAAATGCTGGCATTTTCACTTGACAGATATCCTAAAGAATTTGAGTGCTTCAGGTCAGCTTTCATCAAAACCTCATAAAATCTTTGTTATATGCAGGATCTGCCATTGCCAGCCAATGCCACAATGGAAGTGTATCTTTAATAATAATAATAGCAGCCACATATTGAGCACTTAATATGTATTGAGTACTGTGCTAAGATATTATATATGTTGTTCCATTGTTCTTCATTGTTCTAAAAGCAAGAAAGTAAAATTGTTAAAACACAGACTCTAGAACTCAACGATCGCCTCAGGTGTGAATCTTTTTTCTGCCCCTTTCACCAGTGTAATCTTTTAAAAAATCTATATGCCTCAATTTCCCTGTCTGTAAAATGAAGGGTGATGCTACTGTCTTCATCATAAAATTATGAGAATTAAATGAGTTAATATTAATAAAGTGCTTTGTGTAGAGCTCAGCACACAGAGAGCATTGTGTGTGTGTAAGCATTTCTTATTTCTTACAATAGAACAATGATACAGGCATTGTCATATTCATTTTCCCAATAAGGAAACTAGTCTTATTTGGAAGCCCTGTTGTATCCCATTAAGATGGCCAGTTTAAAATTTAGTTCTAGCCATATGTACAAAGCTGAAACTGGATCCCTTCCTTACACCTTATACAAAAATTAATTCAAGATGGATTAAAGACTTAAATGTTAGACCTAAAGCCATAAAAACCCTAGAAGAAAACCTAGGCAATACCATTCAGGACATAGGCATGGGCAAGGACTTCATGTCTAAAACACCAAAAGCAAGGGCAACAAAAGCCAAAATTGACAAATGGGATCTAATTAAACTAAAGAGCTTCTGCACAGCAAAAGAAGCTACCATCAGAGTGAACAGGCAACCTACAGAATGGAGAAAATTTTTGCAATCTACTCATCTGACAAAGGGCTAATATCCAGAATCTACAAAGAACTCAAACAAATTTACAAGAAAAAAACAAACAACCCCATCAACAAGTGGGCAAAGGATATGAACAGACACTTCTCAAGAGAAGGCATTTATGCAGCCAACAGACACCTGAGAAAATGCTCATCATCACTGGCCATCAGAGAAATGCAAATCCAAACCACAATGAGATATCATCTCACACCAGTTAGAATGGCAATCATTAAAAAGTCAGGAAACAACAGGTGCTGGAGAGGATGGGGAGAAATAGGAACACTTTTACACTGTTGGTGGGACTGTAAACTAGTTCAACCATTGTGGAAGACAGTGTGGTGATTCCTCAGGGATCTAGAACTAGAAATACCATTTGACCCAGGAATCCCATTACTGGGTGTATACCCAAAGGATTATAAATCATTATACTATAAAGACACATTCACATGTATGTTTATTGCAACACTGTTCACAATATCAAAGACTTGGAACCAACCCAAATGCCCATCAATGATACACTGGATAAAGAAAATATGGCACATATACACCATGGAATACTATGCAGCCATAAAAAATGATGAGTTCATGTCCTTTGTAGGGACATGGATGAAGCTGGAAGCCATCATTCTCAGCAAACTATCACAAGGACAAGAAACCAAACACCGCATGTTCTCACTCATAGGTGGGAACTGAACAATGAGAACACTTGGACACAGGAAGGGGAACATCACACACCGGGGCCTGTTGTGGGGTGGGGGGAGAGGGGAGGGATAGCATTAGGAGATATACCTAATGTAAATGACGAGTTAATGGGTGCAGCACACCAACATGGCACATGTATACATATGTAACAAACCTGCACGTTGTGCATGTGTACCCTAGAACTTAAATAAATATATATATATATATATATATATATATATAAATAAAAATAAAATATAGTTCTAGTCCTAAAGCAAAATGCAGTGATACTAAGGACTCTGCCACTCTTATCTTTATATCCTGGACATTAACTAGTACATTGTTCTGCCAGTGATCACTAATAGGATGCAGATATCTACAAAGAATATAAAGGCAGCCAATGAAACAAAGAATGCCGGCCTTAGAGTCAAGAGCCCTGGACATCGTGGTAGCTATCTATTGCTGTGTATCAAATTTCCCCAAACTATGGAAATAGAGTAACTTACAGTTTCTGTGGGTCAGAAATCCATGTATCACTTAGCTGGGGGCCTCTGGCTTAGGATCTCTCACAAAGCTGCAATCAAGGTGTTAGCCAGGGTTGTGGTCTCATCTGAAGGCTCCAATTCTGGGCTCACTCATAGTTGTTGTTGGAATTCAGTCCCTCCAGGGTGACTGGGCTGAGGGCCTCTGTTCCTTCATTGCAATGGTGGATGGCCTCCCTCAGTTCCTTGTCCCATGGGCCTCTCCAGCTGGCTTTATTAGAGCAAGCATGTGAGAAGAGCCAGAGAGAGAGAGAGAGTATGTGTGTCAGAAAAAGCGAAGGCAAGCATGATGGCAGCCACAGTCTTTTGTGACTTACACAGAAGTGACATCCATCACTTCTGCTGTGTTCCATTCATCAGAAGCATGTCACTAGGTCCAGCCCACGTTCAAAGGAAGAAGACTACACAGAGCCATGAATACCAGGAGGCAGGGGTAAGTGGGAGTCAATTTAGAAGGATGCCTACCAAAGACATGGAATTGAAGTTGACTCCTTCTTGCTCTTTGGCTCTGGCAGGGTTAGACATTCTGGGCCTCAATTCTCCAGTCTGTAAAATCTGTAATAAAATTCCCCAAGATCTGTTTCAGCTCGGACATGATTCCAGGAACCCCTGAAAAGGAACACTAAGCACACCCTAAAGGAGCACTTGATTTCAAAATGGCTCAACAAGCTCACCTGCAAAAATGAAAACCATA
The DNA here is from genome assembly GCF_000001405.40 of Homo sapiens. NCBI lineage: Eukaryota > Metazoa > Chordata > Mammalia > Primates > Hominidae > Homo > Homo sapiens. The sequence continues at coordinate 54,232,181 of NC_000020.11, read as the reverse complement.
TAGTTACAATTCCCCCTTTCATTAACATCACGTCTTATAGCCGCCTGTGTCCAGGAAAGCCATAGTAAGAAAAATGCTAGAATGTGCCATTGGCTCCACGTCCTCAGCCAAGAGGAGATTTTAGAAAAAAGGGGCTGTGTGGTTATAAGCTGGTTTACAGCATTTAAGAAAAAGGGAACATGAGTTTCCAAAATTTAATTGAAATGGGGAGTTTTATTAGTTTACCCTGAAGTGTCAATAAAAATGGTGCACAGCTGATGGTTTTCCTGTGATCCCAACAGTAGCTCTGTCTTGAGGTTAATAATCTTTTTGCTTTATGGACTTATTGGCAAACTCTCTGGTGACATTTAAGTTTGTTTGGATATTTTCTTGACAATTTTTTTTTAAATCTGCCCATTACTGTTTTTTCATCTTTTGAAGCAACTTCATATTTCTTTCCTTTTGTGCAATATTCTGCAATCTCTTTTAACCCATGATAGCAACTGGGAAAGACATAAACTAAAAAAATCACATTTAAACCATTCATTGATGTTGTAAAAAAAAAAAAAAAAAAAAATCCTTGCCGTAGATTTATTTACTTTTTGTGTAGGTTAAGGAAAGGGTTTCTTCCTATAGGTTGAAGATAGAGAACACATTGTTAAATAGTGTTGTTTGGTTAAAATTCCAAAGGAAAGATGAGATTTTCCTTTTTACTATTTATTAAAGGGCTTTGTTCAACCCTCACTGGTTTCTACAAAGGCTCAGATTCCCCTGTGAGTTGGTGGTCTGTGAACTGGGTTATGAATTGGCAGTCTGGGAACTGGGGTTTGCTGATGTTTGTCATTTTTTCCTCATTGTCATGTTCTTCTTAATGTCTTTTAAATCTTTGAATGATTCAGCAACATTTAGAAATTGGGAGATTTCACACAAAAGAATTTCAGATTACTGGCTTTTCTTGGACAGTCAGAAAGCTTGGCCAGTCTTGCCCACATTCCACCATGGCAACAGCTGGCTGAAGCCACAGGGCTGTTTCCTCCTCTTGTACGACACATCTTTGCCTGTCATCACCGTCTCCCCCACTGCCAAGTACTCTAAAAACCATGATATCAACATAAAATGAAAGACAACCTAGAAATTGCTCTTCCATAAAAGCCACAGCGACTTCATTGTTGAGACAATCAGGGTGGGTATAAAACTGTGGTCACCTAGAGAGTTCTGCTCCCTCTAAGCAAGATAGCTGTGACCAGCCCACCCTGCCTCATTCACTGATGTGAGCCCCACAGTCATCAGAGACATCTGGGTGAGATCCAGCCGTAGCTCTTCTGGTCTGAACACACCTGGGGTCAGAGTAAGATTATCTCATTTGGGCTGGGAACGGTGGCTCACACCTATAATCCCAGCACTTTGGGAGGCCGAGGCAGGCTGGATCACGAGGTCAGGAGATCAAAACCATTCTGGCCAACACGGTGAAATTCCATCTCTACTAAAAATACAAAAATTAGCTGGGCATGATGGCACACACCTGTAATCCCAGCTACTCAGGAGGTTGAGGCAGGAGAATCACTTGAACCAGGGAGTCGGAGGCTGCAGTCAGCCAAGATCACGCCACTGCACTCCAGCTGGGTGACAGAGTGAGACTCCATCTCAAAAAAAAAAAAAAAATTATCTCTGCACCCATTTTCTTTGCACTGATGATGGCTTTCCTGTTGGTTTTACATTCATCTGCTCTTCTATTACTGGGTCCTGAGAGCACTTGCACCCACCATTCTTGACAGAATGGAAAGGTGTGATATTGTCTTTGTGTTGTCCTGGTTTTGCATTAATAGCAGCCATAATGCCAAAATTAACTCATATGTTACACTTACCCATTGTCTTGTGCAGCACGCAGTCATGGTTAAGTGCACAAAATGAAGATGTGTAAGTATCCTGTTGTGTCCTCCATAACATTCAGAATGTGTTCAGTATACTACTTCAGTCCCCTGTTCTTATGTGTTTGTTTGCTTTTAAAGACCTCCATAAAAGATTGCAAACACCAGTTACTAGCTAAGAGCCATTCAAATCCCATGGACAAATACTATGTAAGTTGTTTGAGGGATTTTTCTCCCCCTTCAATGCTTTTTCAAAGGCCTTCTAGCAGGGTTCAGACTCTAGGCAAACAGGTAATTTAAAACTTTGAAGGAAACATGTATTCTATGCCATGGTTGCTGCTATCAGTCTCTATATATGTTTAGATTGGCTCCAACTGACCACTTTTTAAACTGAGACTAGAATTGTGTATTTTGAAAGCCTGAAAGCATGCTTCATTATTTACATCAGGCCTATTTAAATTCTAGCATTTCATAACATTTCATCAATTACTTCTCCTCAACCCCATTCCAAATCAGATAAAATCGCACAAAATAGCATTTCTATGAATTGCAGTCTCCTATTTTTTCTGGATCATTTTATGATTTTTTGTTAAATCAAAAACGCTTCACAATCACTTGAACCCAAATGACATTTCATGCCTTTGGCTAAATCATTTATGTATGGCTATTTTTTAAAAAAGAACAAGACAAATATAATCTCATCAACAAAGAATTCATCTTCAGTTGTCTTTTTCAACCACAGCCTCTTCCACTCCCCAGAAGAAACCCACCATCCTCACCCAGCACGTGACAATCTCATCTGCATTGAGGCAGGGCCTACTTCCCTGTTAGGCACAGGAGGCAGAATGCCTAGGGCCCATGGCACCTTAAGGGCCTATGAAAATGTTTAGTTTCTTTTAAAATCAGAAAGTAGGGTGAATATAATCCAGCCTGGGTTACATTTGCCTGTCCCAAGGCAGTCATAAAATATGCTTTTTAATATTTGGCTTATGAAAGAAGGGGCTCAGGCAGGCAAAAATACTCAACACCCATGAAAATCATAGCGTGGTGCTGCATTTAGAGTAACTATGTAAGTCACTTAGAATCAATTTGAACAATAGAACTCACAATCAAAACTGCACAAATGCAATGCCACTTAGCTATATGGCCTTGAGCCACCTCGTGGAGCCTCTATTTTTATTTTCATGGGACTGATCATAATAGATGATATTTATTGAGTCATTACTATGTCTTAGGCCTTGTGGGGGAATGCTCAGCATCTTATCTCACACAGTCCTCTGGCAAAACAATGACAGACGTGTCTTGTGCAGCACTGTAAGAAATGACTAACAGTAATTGTCAGGATACCGTGAGATTGTGCAGAGTTGCACTTACCAGCAATGTAGCCTTGGGCAAGGTATTTCCCTGCTCACAGCCTTAGTTCTTAATCTAAAAAATGGGGATAATAAAAAAATCCAGGGTAAGCTCTGGGGAGGTGACTTAGTTAGGATCATGTCAAATTCTCTGCACAGTGCTGGTGATTTTGTAAATGTTCCATATAAATAGTTGTTACTATTAGCCTTCACTAAGCGGTGACCTTTCCCTACCCTCCACTGTTTCTAAACTTCATATAAGTGGAATAATACAGAATGTACTATTTTGTGTCTGGCTTTTTTACTCAACAATATGTCTGTAAGATTCAGGCTTTTTTTTTTTTTTTGCAGTCATAATGAGATGTTCTTTTTCACTGCTGTGTTGTATTCCATTGTATGACTAGACCACAATGTATGTGTCCATTCTCCTGTTGATAATATTATTGTTTCCAGGTTCTGGCTGTTCAGAATAAAACTACCCAAGTAAGTCCCCACTTATCTGCAGTTTCACATTGTGAGATTTCAGTTACCCGTAGTACAGCACAATAAAATATTATTTTAGACAAAGAGATCAGATTCACATAAATTTTATTGCAGTATGTTTTTATAATTGTTCTATTTTATTAATCTCTTACTGTGTTAATTTGTAAATTAAGCTTTATCATAGGTATGGAGATATATATATATATGAAAAAATGGTATATATATAGAGTACCATCCATGGTTTCAAGCATGGCCTGGGCACATTATCCCCCTAGGGTAAACCAGGACTATTGCATGAGCATTCTTTAATACGTATTTTGATGGACACAAGTTTTCATGTCTATTAGGTACACATCTAGGAGCAGTATATTAGTCTATTCTCACACTGCTATAAAGGACTACCTGAGACTCAGTCATTTATGAAGAAAAGAGGTTTAATTGACTCACAGTTCTGCAGGCTTAACAGGAAGCATGACCTGGAGGCCTCAGGAAACTTACAATCATGGCAGAAGGCGAAGAGGAAGTAAGCACATCTTACCATGGGTGACTAGGAGAGACAGACAGCAAAGGGGGAAGTGCAACACACTTTGAAACCATCAGATTTCACGAGAACTCACTATCACAAGAACAGCAAGAGGGAAATCTGCCCCCATGATCCAATCACCTTCTACCCTATCCCTCCCCCAACGTTCGGAATTACGATTCAACATGAGATTTGGGTGGGGACACAAAGCCAAACCATATCAAGCAGAACTGTTGGATTCCAGTGTAGATTGAGCACTGTCGTGTGCTTGATTTCATGGTAGGCAGGGGCTGGGAAGATGGGAATAAGCAAAGCATTATCATGGTTCCTGATTTCAGTCTAATGAGGAAGACAAGTCAATAATTTGCAATGATCAATATAAATGTAATAGCTGTTCTTGCAACAAAGGAGAAGCATGTGGAACTATGAAAGTATATCTGGGGCTTTGACCTGGTAAGGATGCAGGTTCTATGACCAAAGGGTGCATAATAAACCTGGGGAACTGGCATAAGGCTGGTGTGGTTGGTGTGGAGAGCAAAGGGGAAGTGGAAAAGTAGATAGGGTTCAGACCAAGCAGGCTGTGTCAGGTGTTTTCATTTTCACTACTCTCACCAAGGGGGAGAACATTAATTTTTTTGGGGGGAGGGGGGAGGAGGTGGTTATCAAAGAAAGAGTAACATAATTAGATTTGCAGTCTGAGAAAGATTATCTGGCTACAAAAATGGATTGAAGGGGACGTGTGTGAGTAAGAATGGAGGCTGGGAGACCCATCAGAAGACACCAGCAATAGTCCAAATAAACACTCACTGCCTCTTAGCCCAAGGTGGTAGCGACAAGGATGGGAGAGGTGAAGCAGACCAAGATTCTTGGACATAAGTTTCATATTTTTGCATGAGTGTAGCAGTTCTTATGCCACTATCAGCTACTATAATTTGGACTTTATAAGTTTGAGTCAAATGATTTAAAACAATTATTAATAGATTATTAATTAACTGCAAGTCCTCTTCAGGTCAATTATTTTCCATCAGTATCACACCCTGAGAAAAGTTTAATTCAGTTTTCTAGTACACTTGCTCATCTGTGTTACTATAGGTTTTATCGAACTCTACCAATAATTCCAGCGTTACTCCAAGTTACAATAAGATTGTGAATGTCAGAGGTATTATTACAAAATTAATCAGAATTTATGGCTGTGGTGTTCATTGTCCCTTCCCAATAGAACCTATCCCTCCCCAATACTTTTCTTTCTTCCTTTCCTTTCCTTTTATAATTTTTATTTTTTGAAACAGGGTCTTGCTCTGTCACCCAGGCTGAGTGCAATGGCATGATCGTGGCTCACTGCAGCTTCGACCTCCTGGGCTCAATCAGTCCTCCTGCCTCAGTCTTCCTAGTAGCTGGGACCACAGGCATGTACCACACATCCAGCTAATTTTTGTGTTTTTTGTACAGATAAGTCTTCACCATGTTGCCCAGGCTGGTCTTGAGCTCCTAAACTCAAGTGATCTACCCACCCCTAGCCTCCATACTCCATATGGTGTATGGTGGCTCACCAAGCCTGGCCCCCAATATTATTGTGCACAGTGGTCAAGTTCAGAATTCCAGGTGTTCTGTGGGTATAATCTGATACCTTTGCTATCTTATAGGACTGAATTAAAATGGGTTCCTAGGAAGAAGGTCTTTTAATTTAATTCATAGACAAAGGCCATCATTATTCTGCTCTCTAATTCCTATTTGAAGAGAAATTCTGAGTTTGAAGTGACCTATGGACTGTCCTTGGATCTGGGAAGATTGTAAGAAGATTCTTCAATATTGCAATAGAATGGTTGGGAGGACAGATTGGAAGCCCCACTGTTTGGGTTTGAGTTCTGGCTCCTCACTTAGGGGCCTTGGAACTTTGGTCTGGGCTTCTGTTTCCTCATCTGTAAATGGACATGATGATAATACTAGTTTGTACCTTGTAATGATTAATGTATGTGAATACTTACCTAATGCCTAGCTCAGGGTACATAAGATATCTAATGCCTAGCTCAGGGTACATCTGTGGATGTTGGCTGCGTATTATCGGCCTCTTTCTAAATTATTTCCCTTGGATTTAGGTTAACTGTTTAATTGCTACAAGAATTGGCCATATGAATTTTGCTCTTGCCTTTGCTTTGAAGTCTTTGTTAAAGTTAGCATCTGATACATTGCTCAAAGTCAATGCCTAATGAGGGAAAATTTTTTTTAAGGTTTAGACCTCTGAAAGATGTTTTGTCTCCTGAGATATTCATATATAACACCCTTTCCAATGTGGTATTACTCATCATTTTTCCTTCTCTGTCTTAGCTACATAGAGGTTCAGAGTACATCAATCTGAAAGGTGGACTCTGTGACCAACTTATTCTCCCTTTCTTTTTTCCTAATCTATTAATGCTATATTTACATTTTTATATATACACACATATACTTTTATATGTCTATATGAGAACCGATCTGAAATTCCTTTGGATAAGTAACAGAACACAAATAAAATCATCTAACAAAATAAATTTCAAAAGTACAACTTGTGCATTCATTAACCACCCATTTGCTAAGTAAGCTGCAAAACTTGGGGCAGGTTAACGTCTCTAAACCTTCCTCTACTTCTGCACAATGAGGGATGGTAAAGAATCTACTTTAAAGGGCTCTTGTGAGGAAGGAATATATAAAAAAAATTCAGAAGACTGACAGCCTACAATAAGCACTCAAAGCTAATTGTTAACGTCGCCATCACTAGAGTTATTCCTAGATACCAGAATGGAGGATCAAAGAACTTAGTTACCAGAAATTTCTACATACAAACGGATGCTAATGACTGTTGCACAAACAATTTTCTATACCAAATCTGTAAGCCAACTTTTAACTTTTTGGTTGTTGCTGATTTTCTACTTTTAAAACTGGAGAGTCAGCTGGGCGCCGTGGCTCACACCTGTAATCCCAGCACTTTCGGAGGCCGAAGTGGGCAGATCACCTGAGGTCAGGAGTTTGAGACCAGCCTGGCCAACATGGCGAGACCCCATCTCTACTAAAAATACAAAAAAGTTAGCAGGACATGGTGGCATGGGCCCGTAGTCCCAGCTATTCGGGAGGCTGAGGCAACAGAATCACTTGAACCCGGGCGGCGGAGGTTGGCACTGAGCCAACATCATGCCTCTGCACTCCAGCCTGGGTGACAGAGCAAGACTCTGTCTCTATAAGAAAAAAACAAAACAAAACTGGAGAGTCACCATGATCCATTTTATGTCAAATGACAAAAAAGTAGTTGAATGCAATACAGAAATATCAATAACAATGCCACAGTAATGCACATTTTTCCTAGTTTGTTTGTGCCACAACAGAACTTTATAAAAAAACTTGTTATTGTGAAGAATTTCATGTACATAAAATAATTAATAATAAACATATTGACTACCAATAACTATGGACCCATGACCCAACTTAAGAAATAGAACATAAAGATTATTGAAGCCTCCTCCTGTTTTTGCCTACCCCAACTATATCTTCCTCCTACAGTTCATCACTATTCTAAATTTTTTTCTCTACCATTTATTCCTTAGGAGTTTTTGTAACATATACACCTAATTCTGTGTTTTCCCAGTCTACCGTTTGTATAAGCACTACAGCACCCCTTTCTTTCACAGATGTGCTCCAACTATTACCTCTTGTCCGTTGACTTTTCCATCATCTTCTTTCCTGGCTCCTTCTCATCTACTGTGTGTATTCATGTGTTCCCTAGTCCAAAAAAAAAAAAAAAGCCTTTCCATCTGCACCACAGTGACATTAAGTGATGCTCTGCCTCTTTCCCACCACTGTTAACTTTCTTGTAAAAATACTTTTCACTTGCTGCCTCCAAGTCTCACACCACCTACTGCTTAATCTTTTATAATCTGTTTACTACCAGCAACCGGAATGCTTCTAGCTACCCTCGATCCCTAAACTGGATGGGTCAATCTCTTTGATGCTGCCCTCTTTTGTTACCCTCTCCAGCACTATAATCTGCATTAAGAATTCTCAGTTGGTGCTCCAGTCTCTTCCCCCAACACCACCCCCACGCCCTCCAATCCCAGAAAGATGGAATGATTTGAACCCCACCAGCTCTTTCGCTGAGTCAGAATCACCTGGAGTGCTTGTTAAAACCCTGGGCCCTGTCTGCAGAGTTGCTATGAAGTCATCTTTGAAGGCAATGACCATTATGTTGCTCAATATCATTGCCCAGTGGGGGAATTTTTTTTCAGGGTTTAGTCCTGTGAAAAACTTGGCATTTCTAACAAGTTCCCAGGTGATGTTGGTTCCATGTTCACACCTGGAGAAACGCTGAACTAGAGAATTGTTCATGTATTTTTGATCCTCAGCACCTAATGTGTTCAGGCTTTTTCAAACCACACAATTATCACCCCCGAGAATCACTGGTGCCTGACGGGAGGGAGCTGATTCCTCAGGTGTGTGTGGAACTCAGGTGTGTGTGGGCTCAGATGTGGGAGGGGCTGAGGTATGGGGGTCTCAGGTGTGTGTAGGGTTCAGGTATATGGGAGCTCAGGTGTGGGGAGATCAGGTACATGGAGACTCAGCTCTGTGGGGAGTTCGTGTGTGGGAGGGCTTGAGTATATGGGGGCTCCAGTCTGGGGGCCTCAGGTGTATGGGGACTCAGTTATATGTAGGACTCGGGTGTGTGGGGCTCAAATGTGGGGGTCTTAGGGGTGGGGAAACTTAGGTTTCGGGGCTCAGGGTTATGGGAACTCAGCTTTGTGTGAGGCTTAGGTGTGTGGGGGGCTCAGGTGTGTGTGGGGCTCAGGTGTGTGTGGGGCTCAGGTGTGTGTGGGGCTCAGGTGTGTGTGGGGTTCAAGGGTATGGGGCTCAGGTGTGGGGGCCTCGGGTCAGGGGGTCTAGGGTGTTTGGAGCTCCAGTTTGTGTGTAAGGAGTAGGGGTGGGTTAACTCTTTTGAAGGAAATAAGGGCCTTCTTAGTCATCAAATAGAGCTCCATCTTCTCGGCTCTTATTGGCTTCGCCACTGTACTATTTGCTGTTGATCACACTCCCTCCTCCTTTCAGCATTCTCATCATGGCTTCTGGGATTCCACACTCTTGCGGATCTCCCATTACCGTTGCAGCTTCTGTCTCCTTTGCTGTTTCTTTTTCCTCCCACCTGCATTTTCCCCACGTCCTCTTCTTCGTGGCAAGCTACCTTAGCTGTCCAATGCATGGCACCAGGGCTCAGCAGCAGCAGCGTCACCTGGGAGCTTGTTAGAAAGGCAGCATCTCAGCCCGAGCCCACACGGAGCCAGAGTCTGCAGTGTCACAAAATCCCCGGGTGATTTTTATGTGCGTTAAATGTTAAGCCCTTCTGTAGGATGAAAAGGGTTCTCAAATATACCTCCCTAGTCCCGCATATCCTAAACTTCAACACACTTTTCCGGTTGCCAATTACATGTCTCCACGTGGCTGATGCCCTGGGAAGTCCAAGTGCTGATGCCAAGCTCGTGCCCTTCTCTCACCCTCCCCCTCCTCTGCCCTGCTTCCTGCAAACCAGACACTTCTTTCTTTCCTGCCTCTGCTTACACTACCAGCAGGCATCCAGAGATTACAAAGCAAATACAGACAGGCACCACGCAGGTAATATAAATGAGGGTAGTGGGCTAGGTGGGGACTGGGGTGAACTGGAGACAGCCTGCTTTGTCTAACGCATGAGCAGCTGAAGACTGCCTTTTAGAAATATGGTTTCAATGTTGCCAAACCGTGCATTTTTATGTGAGATCTCTGGATTTGATTGTGGCAACAAATTCAGGGTTTTTTTTTTCTTTGTTAAACTATAGAAGCCAAAGAAAACCTGTTGCAAGCTGTACTGGCCTGTGCTCAAAACCAACTTCTCTTTGGGTTTCTCCTTCTAGCTTCACCTTCGTTTCTCCAATCATTGACAAAATTTGTTCATTTCACCCCTTCTCTAAGTCCTGGTGTATCTTTTCTTCAGCCAACTGATTCGGCTCACCAGAAAAGGTACAATAACATCCAGTATTTCTACCTCCATCTTTCTACAGTAAAGCCCACCTAACAACTGCCAAATTATTAAAAAGTACTGCTCCTTTCTATTCAAAACCCTTTAGAGACCCCCTGTCGAAACCCTACCTCAAATGGCTTTTCCATCCCCTTGCTCCCTTACTTAGCCATGCTTTTGACTAGAGCTCACAAGGCTTGGACAAGGATCACAGTAGTTGTGGAGATGGAAAGAAATTAATGGATGTGAGAGATAATGAAACATTACAGTCAGCAGCAAAGCATAGCTGCTCAGAAGACTTCTACTACCACTTCCTGTGAAAAGCCTGCACATGACGTATCATATTATGCACCTGACTTTGCAACCTGGCAGTCTCAGGGCCAGATCTGTTGTGCAATTATCTGTTGTGTAGCCTGCACTGCTTTAAAAAACAAATAGTGGCCCAGTCTAAAAAGAGTGATTGCACATGCAAATCAAGATTCCTGCTTAAAAAAAAAAAAGAAGTTAGTGACAAATCCAGATCAAAACTTCCCTCTGTCGCAACTACTGGCTGAAGCTGACATTTCTTCCTTTCCCTTCAGATGCACCGCGTGCTGTTCCCCAGTCTTCAGCTAGCCCAGGGAAGTTACTATTCACAAAAATAAGCAAAGGCTTTAGAAATGAACTTAAAATGGGAATCAAATATTTGTAATGTTCTAAAATGTCACAGGTAAGTTAAGAAAATGAAGTTAGCAACATCACACGCTTCCATCCCACTGATGTTAGATATTTGGGTTTTTGTATTAGGTTTTCTTGATAATATGCAGGACAAAATTTGAAGTCCCAGTGAATTACATAGTTCAGTCTCTTGGCCCATGTCAGGCGAGTGTTCGTTGTTAACATTTCTAAAGGGCTAAACTTTAGTCGCCCTCCTATGCTAGATCTTCCACTGGGGGATCCCCAGACCTATCCATTCCCCACCCCTCCCAGGCCCTGCAGGCGACTGACTTCTATGGACCACCTCCGGATTCTGGTTGGGTTTGGCCAATGGTGGGACACAGGTGGATTTTGGAGGGAGAATGAGGTCAGGATGTCTAGTCCCCTGGCTCTACCACTGCAGGTATGACACAGGCTGGCTGTGTTCCTCCCCAGATGAAAAGCAACTTTCCCTGGTCAGGGAGTGAAGTGGGCAGTTGCTCTCTCCCCTGGCCTTTGAGGGTCCAAAAGGACCCTAGTGGTCACCCGGCACCATTGTTAACTTTGGTGAGAGTTTCCTCAAATTATTCTGATCTTATTTCCTGCTGCAACTTGATTGACTACCTCCCCAGCCTCAATCCTCTAACTGAACATTAACCAAATGGATGCAAGAAAAAAATATCCTTGCATTTTTTTGGTAAGAGTCATTTTCCAGAACTGGAATATCACTATTTGGGAAGATTTTTGCAGCAATTTAAAAATTTGCCTTTGGCCGGGCACAATGGCTCGCCTGTAATCCCAGCACTTTGGGAAGCCGAGGCGGGCAGATCACAAGATCAAGAGATGGAGACCATCCTGGCCAACATGGTGAAACCATGTCTCTACTAAAAATACAATTATTTGGGAGTGGTGACAAGTCCCTGTAATCCCAGCTACTCTGGAAGCTAAGGTGGCAGAATCGCTTGAACCCAGGAAGTGGAGGTTGCGGTGAGCCGAGATCGCACCACTGCACTCCAGCCTAGACAACAGAGTGAGATGCCATCTCAAAAAAAAAAAAGAAAAGAAAAAACTGCCTTTATAGTATTAAGAATTTTAGAAATTATATAATCATCTATCTTTAAGCCTGAATTCATGTTTATAAACACTGAACCAAAAAATACATATGCAGTTTAGCCTTAAAAATTAAAAATATTTCCTCTAAAATTATGTATATTTAATCCTAACAATCTCATTGTTGTGTTAGGATCCTTCCATTCACATTTGGCACATCAGTGCCATCTGCTGGAAAGTTAATACATTTAGGTCTCCCAAATCCCAAAATGTTTGTCTTTTGTGGGGGAGTGGGAAGAAATGCATCCTTTATTTAAGAAATAAGCCTTACTTTTACATACATAGCTGTTTAACTTCCACATCTTTATCAATATAAACCCCAATTAATTACAAAGCACTAAAATAAAATCTAAAATTTAAAACGAAAAAACACTAAACATTTCTTTCTGCACATCTCTTGGTTTCTAAAACGTTCTTCTGTGGTTCTGCCCTGTTTGTATAAAGCTCCACATGCCTCCACATGTTTAAACATTACCCATTCTTTTACCCAAATCTCTGATATTGATAGATATGTAAAAAATGTTAAATATGTATGTTTAAATATAATATGTAACATATATTTAAATAAAATATATACATATATATTTTGAAGTCTATGACAAAGCTTTAGTTGTGAAATAAGCAAGGATGCAGGATTGTACATCTTTTCATCGTGCTTTCCCCGTCATTAGACAGCAATTAAAATCAGACAGAAACAACATGACACAACTGTTAAATTTTCTTATGTGAAAATTGCAACAACAAATATTCTAAATAATATAGAAACATAAAAGATTGCTTAACTGATTTTAATAACATGACATGAAGCCCCTAGACTTGATATAATCGTTATGCAAAATACATAGGTGAATACTGTCTTCTTTTAAAAATATAAAATAAATAAGCAGACATGTGAAAATGGGCAAGTTTCCATTAAATAAATGAAAATTTTTAAAAAAGAAAGTTTTGCTTTCCATGTCATTTGAAGAAGGAAAATTATCATTTTAAACAATATTCAAGTTTATTAAACAAATAAAAAAAGTATTATAAAATGTTTAACTTTCATCAGCTTCAAGGTTTATGTTGCTCCCGAATTTTGCATACAACTGAACTTTCAAATCTGCTAACACTCGCTGAATTGATTCCACTCTGGATTCTAAGGCGTCAATTTCTTCTTGCAAATTTTTCTGGAAAAAAAATATTTTAAATTAATTCTATTCAATAGGATGATTTCTGAGCATCTGTGTCTGAAATAATATTTGGGAAGAATTTTAGGTCAAGAACCTTCTAAACTTGGACAGGCAGCTAAGTAACACTGATAATTAGATCTAAATGTCTGAATGTGGGCATTTTTAATTCATGGTCCATATCTGCTTATCACAGAATAAATCAAGTTTGTTTTCTCAGTTTCTGCTGATCTAAAAAATAGTAAAAAATTACTGTCTAAATTATTTCCTAACAAAGAACCAAATACAAAGACTTCTATAAATAGTTTATCCTGGGCCTGCTGGCTTCTAACCCAGCTTTTTCCAACAACAAAAATAACTATGAGACTACAGGAAATGATAGAAACTCACACCACCAACCACCAATAATTAAGAAGAACAACTTATGATCCAAATCTGGCAGAAATTTTCACTAACTTTGAGGCCTCTGGAGCTAAACTTTGGAAAAGAGTGGTAAAAAGTGCCTCATTTGTAAGAAAGAGCAGCTTTGCCCAGTGAAAACTCAGATATTTTCTAAGTATTTGAGGTGATAGACATGTTAACTATCTTGATTTAATTATTCCATATTGTATTAATAAATTATAACATCCCGTTTTACACCATAAATTTATACAATTATAAATTGTCAATTTATAATTAAAAAAAAGAAAATACAATTCCAAAGGACAATTCTTTCTACCTACCTATCTATAGATACTTAGCCTCTTCAATTCTAAAACCAGTTTTGTAATGTTAATGCTTCCCTCATTAATAGATTAAATAAATTTTAACATATACTCTTTGTTTTAAAAAAAAAAAAAAAAGCCATTAAGTTCCTTCCTGGCTAGGATCAAAACAATTTTTTTTCCTAAACATGACAAAAAAATATGAAATCACACAAACCAAATACCCACTAACATTAGAAACCAAAGAATATCTAATACTGACAGTGTTGCCGTTTTAGAAATCTAGCCAATGGTTCTCAAACGGTGGCCCCGAGACCAGTGTCAGGGACAAAATCACCTGGGAACTTGTTAGAAATACACATTCTGGGGCCCTACCTCAGCCCACCTGAAAGATCGTCTTTGGGTCGGGCCCAGCAACCTGGATTTTTAACAAGCCCTGTGGTGACTGTGATTCTCACGCATGCTAAGTTTGAGAATCACTGTTACAAAACAAGAAACAAAAATAAGACATATGGCTACTAGAAAGGGATAAATTCTAAATTTCTATACCGAGAAAACCTGGTTAATAAGTAAAATAAGACACTAGAAAGTCATTTTAATATCGCAAGTCCAATCATCTCTCTCTTTTCCAAAAATCTCTGAAGGCTCCTCTTTGCTCTGGGACGGGAGTGGGCAAACTATAGCCCACAGGCCCAATCTAGCCTGAAGCTTGTTTTTGTCAAGTTTTATTGGAAGACAGCCACGCAGATTCACTCATCTTGCTTTCATAGTAATTATGGCAGAGGCTGTGCAGCCCACAAAACCTAACGTATTTACTTCTGGCCCTTCACAGAAAGTTTGCTGACCCCTGCTAAGACAAAGTACAATTTCTTCAACTCAACTGACTGGAGTTCTCCAAGATGTGGCCACAATTTCAGGTGCTCCCAATCTCCAGCAAATACATCTTCTTGCAGGTCTATGTTTGCACCACCGTCATCCTATGGCCGTTCACACATGTTGCTTCTCACGACTAGAACCCCCCGCCCCCCGCCGCCCCTTTCTGGCTAATAGCCACTTATTCCTCAGCTGTTATCCCATCACTTTCCCTGGGAGCCCTTCCCTGACCCTTGATGTCCAGACTAGTGTAGATTCCTCTTCCTGTGTTCTTAAAGCCACCTCTATCCTCATATCACTTTCTACTCATTATCAGTTTTGTTTACTTTTTTTTCTTTCCATCTAGACTATATGCTCCATGCAGGCAGGGGCCAGGCAGGTTTTGTTGTCCCCAATTATCCCTAGTACATGGCAGAACCTGATACAGAGTAAGCACTCCATTCATTCTAGAATTCTAGAATGAGTAAAAAAAGAAAGGTTCAGCCGGGTGTGGTGGCTCACGCCTGTAATCCCAGCACTTTGGGAGGCTGAGGCGGGTGGATCACGAGCACGAGGTCAGGAGTTCGAGACCAGTCTGCCCAACATGGTGAAACCCTGTCTCTACCAAAAGTACAAAAATTAGCTGGGCGTGGTGGTGGGCGCCTGTAATCCCAGCTACTCGGGAGGCTGAGGCAGGAGAATTGTTTGAACCCAGGAGGCAGACGTTGCAGTGAGCCGAGATTGCGCCATTGCACTCCAGCCTGGGCGACAGGGCAAGACTCCATCTCAAAAAATAAATAAATAAATAAATAAATAAAATAAAATAAAAGTTCAGTAGCTATCTGTGTATGGGGCAGGGGATTCACAATAGCCACAAAAACCATAAGCTATCTGGGAATACTTCCAATAAAAATGTTTTTTAAATGGTTAAACAAATAAAAAGAACAAAAATCACAAAATTTGACCAAGAAGAAAAGATTTAAACATAAGGGAGACATATAAGATTTATGCATGGAAAGACCCAGGAGTGATAGTTCTTCTGAAGACTTACTAAATGTGGGTTTCATTCATACGAAGTTTTGCTTTTTATGACATTTGAAGAGAGACTATCATTTTAAGCAATCAGGTTAATTAGCAAAAGCATTAGGAAAGGTTTAATTGCCATCTGCTTCTCATAGACAAACAACGTGGCTGTCCCTCCCAAATAGTAAGAAGGCATGTGAACTGAAAATTTCATACCATGTATCAAATGTCTCAGATATTATCAGAGAACTCATATGCTGACTGACCCAGTAATTATATTTCTCTAATTATTTCCTCAAAACAATTTTCTAAATGTGAACAAAGATTTATGTAGAAGAATGCTCACAGTAACATTAGTACAGCAAAATATTGGAAACAAATTAATGCTAACAATAAGACCCGTGACCCCAATTGATAACCATCAACATGATATTAAACAGTCTTCAAAAACGATGTTTTTAAAGGCCTGTGTGCCAGGCTCAGAGCAGGCTTCCAATGAGTATCTGCTGGACAAACAAACATTCAATGAAACCAGCAAAAATGCTCCTCCTGGAACATTAATTGTCCCAACTGGGAAGCAAACTACACGGAGAGAGGCAGAGAGAACATAAAAGAAATACAGGAAAATGTTCACTATGAATGGTTACCTCTGCATAGCAGAATTACAGGGGATTTTTCTTTTCTGCTTCAATATATGCTATACCTTCTAAATACTTTTAGTTTTGAGCAAGGTTCTGGAGTCAGAAGACCACTGTCTATGTGTCACTTTGAATAAATCCCATAACCTCTCTAAGCCTCTATTCTTTGTCCCTAAATTGGGATAACAGGTCATCGTTATGATTCAACAAAATCCTGCTGGCAAAGCATTCGGAGCATGCCTGGGACATAACAAGGCAGTAAATATTAGCTATAGCTAGCATCTACTATTTCCCTACATCTATAATTACATGTTCTTTATAGTGATATAAATTCTAATTTCAGAATTAACCTTTAACATACCTTTGCTTCTTCTAACATTTCTTGCGTTTCTTCTTGAGAATGGCTAATGAAGACATCACCAATTTGATAAGGTATCATTAAGCAATCATCATCTGCAAGCATGATGTCATCACAAGCATCTTCTAGGTTTTGGAGTTGTTTCTATAAATGCAAAATGGCAAAGAAAATGTACTCAAAGTTCTCTGATAGAAGCTAAAGGCCAATTGTAATTTGGGGACAGCAACTCTCTGAGGGACCCTCTCACAAAGGTATTATTACCACATTAGAATAAGACCTTAATTTGTAACTTTTTAGAAGACATTTCACAAGCAAGCACTTAGAGCTACCTAAAGCTTTGTCCTCTGGACAATAAGCGCCCTGTGGTGGACAGCAGGCACATGGTCACTCAAAATTTCTTCTATTTTAACAATTTTTGACTTTGTGAATTCTGCCTTCCTACAAAAACAAAACCAAAAAAACCAGCCTACATTTCTCAGCCTTGCTTGCTGATAGGGTGTAAGTAAATCATGCGGGTAATGAAAGTTCTGCCAGCATGCATAAGTGATAATAACTTCAATTCCACCAATCAAATGCATTTGAGCTGGATTTCAACTCAAGGGGGACGGCTGGACACAGGCCCCAGATTTACTGGGGTAGGTGGCACTGGCAGCAGCAGCTTGGTGTTCCTAAGTCTGCAAGGGTGGCTTCCTCATTGGGAAGACAGCTGACTCTGGGATCAGTGGAGGCAACAGCTGTTCCACCGCCAGCCAAGTTCTCCGAGACTTGTTCCTGGAACCTCGGTCTAGACTCAAGCTCCTCAACAACTCTGTAAGTTATCGCATATCCCTTAAAAAAAAAATGACTTTCTGCTTAACTAGAGTGGATCGCGTCATTCATCTGCAACAAACAGCCCAGAGAAATATATATTCACTTGTTAACTGAGTTCAGTTTTAGTAGCTATAGTATAAAAAAATTTTATTCTTCTAATAATTATTTTCAATACCTTTTTTACTTCTATTTCTTCCTTCAGCTCTGTGATTCTACTTGTATTCCGTGCAAATTTGTTTATCTTTTGTTGATCTTCGAAAGTAACATTGACATCTTCTGCAGCCTGAAAGAAGTGTTTAAGTTTTTGTAAAATTTTAACGGAGAAGTTATCAGTTAGCTTTTTATATTTCTCAACAATAACTCAATAAGCCATTTGCACTCATATAGTCAAGAATCACAAGAAGTACAGAACATAACAAATGCCTTATTTTTTGCTCCACAAGCTTAAGGTTTGTTTGTAAATCTATAACCTTTTCTGATACTCCATAAAATAATTCCTAAGCTATAAACATATTGCAAACATAAAGAACAATTAATAAGTCCTTTTAAAAGGAAAGAAAAAAAGCCAACTTTTGGCACAGAGCAGAATTTCTCAAGTTGGAGCATTCTTTCATTAAGATGACCCAGGAAACAAAAAGTTACATGGTCAAATATATTGGTAAATGTCTCAGAGTAGTGTTTTTTTTTTCTTAGAGCTAAAACTTGCATGAGCTTACTGGCTAAAGGGTCACTGTACATTTCAGTGGCTCTATTCCATTCACAGCAAAAATTATGTTTATAATGTAGGACCTGTTTAAATGTCTTAATAAGGTCTACTTTACTAAAAAATGATGAAAATTGAATGTTTAGTATTTAAAAATTAATATTTAATGTGATTAAATTTACAAATTTGCAAATAAAGAGTACTTGGATAACATAAAGTACCAATGAAATAATAAAAAAATAGCTAACACTGATTGAATTTACTATGTGCCAAAACTTCCTAAGTACTTTATTATCTCTGCTAATCCTGCAATCCATCTTATTAGGGAGGATCACCAGCACTATTTTACAGATTGAGAAACTGAGGTACACTTTATATAATATGGCCAAAGCCACAGAGCCAGTAGGTGGTGGAACTTGATTTCAACCCAGGCAGACTGGCTTCAGAGGTCAGACAGGTCCATGAGTTCTCGGTAACTGAATGTGAACGTGCGTCTCTGTGAGTGTGCACGTGTGTGTGTGAGTGTGTACACAGGCTTAGGCACATCTGGAAGAGGCAGCAGGATGTCTGCTTTCATCAGATTCTCAAGGAGGTACCATATATTTTTAAAAAATAAAGCTAAAACATAAAACCAGACTCTCCTTAGGGTTTCCCTTCCATTTATAAAATGAAAACCAGAGCACCTGATTCTAGTTTAAAGAAGAAAAGATATTTGTGTGTGTATAAAAATAGTTCATACTGAAACACTACTTTTGGCTCTTTTGCAGTAACAGTAATGAGCTCACAACATTCACACTCCATCCCTGACCTGGTCTCTCATGACCATCGACTTAAGGTATGTGAACTTTTATTTCTCAGAGGTTGAAAGGCAGTGTCAAGCAATACAGAGCTCAGTGGTCGGAATATAACACAGTCCTCCCCTTTGTTAGGCTCTCATTCCAAGAAACAATTTCACATGCATTATGCCCCACCTCAACAACCCAGAAGATAGCCTGAAAAAATCCTTTACATCACACTATGTCTAGCTTTGAGTGTTCAACCGTATGCATAATTTTGATGAATATGGAAGTTGGGGAACACTGAGCTACGCTCAAGAAACCAAAGTCTATATCTTGGCACACAAGTCATTTTGCCTAAGTGAGAACTGTCAATTCCCTACGCAAATAGACAGCAGAGAATTCTGAAGAGTTCCTGTTTGCCTGAAGAGTATATGCCATTTTGTTTAAATATTGAACCCCCAACAGGCATTTATAGATGTATTTGTCTTGGTGAGGGCTCAACAGAGCCATTCACATGAACGGATCCAGTGCAGGACTGCCTGGCACATAACTAAGGCTAATACATGGTTTCTGAATTTGAATCTAAATCATGCTTGATCAGACTCAAACACATAGTTTCCAAAATGTGGTAGAGAGAATTTGGCTATCTGCTTTCTGTCTTTCCAAAGCAGGAATTTCCTGTTGTAGCCCCACCAAACCACAGGCATCAGCACACATGTGGCCCCTGGTATCCAGATCTTTACAGTGGTTTTCCCACTGGGGTTAAGGGCTAAAGTTGATGTGTGAGTCAAATATACTGCATGCCGCCCAGTGGAGTGCCATTTACAGCAGACAGTAAGATGTCAGTGCCTTTGATGGCTAACAGAGGCTTCTGTTTTAGTCTCACTGTCCTAGAACATTCCTACATTTCTTGAAGCTGCATTTTGGCAAGAAGTGGGTAATTTTTTTTTTTTTTTGGTGAGACAGAGTCTCACTCTGTCGCCCAGGCTGAAGTGCAGTAGCATGATCTTGGCTCACTGCAACCTCCACTTCCCGGGTTCAAGCCATTCTCCTGCCTCAGCCTCCCAAGTAGCTGAGATTACATGCACATGCCACCATGTCCGGCTAATTTTCGTATTTTTAGTAGAGAAGGGGTTTCACCATGTTGGCCAGGCTGGTCTTGAACTCCTAACCTCAGGTGATCCACCAGCCTCGGCCTCCCAAAGTGCTGGGATTACAGGCTTGAGCCACCACGCCCAGCCAGAAGTGGGTAATTCTTAACTGGGGGGTGGGGGTGGTCAATGGACATTGACAGGTCGATATACCCAGAGACTGTATGCAAAATGGCATGTATAGTATGTGCATCCTTCTGGAAGGTCTTCATAGCTTTCACCAGATTCTCAAAGGGATCCACAACCCCAAAAGGTTAGGAACTCCTGCCTTCAGGGAAACCAGCTGTAGCTACTCTCAAAGTCAGAAGAACTCTAGGAAGAACTCATATCCTATAGTATCTGAGGCAGCACACAGAGTGGTGGGAAGAGTCAGGCTGCAATCCAATCCAAGCAAACAGGAACCTTGGGCAAATTACCCAATTCTTTGGAACCACCTCAGGTTTCTCATCTGTAAAATGGAGAGGCTAGTTCCTACCTTATAGGGTTGATAAAATGAACATGTAGGAGAAAGCCTGATGATGGAGTCAGTCAAATGATAGCTAAGCATTTTACATCCTGAATATTGTTTATCAAAAATCATTACAAAGAACAGATCCAGATCTAGAAAGAAATTCTGCTAGGCCAAAGAGAAATATGCCTGCTCGGGATCCAAAGTAAAAATTAAAATTCCCTGGGCTCTTTTCTTGAGAACTAATATCTTACGGGATTAGAGGAGGAAACTGAACCATACTCAGTCATGCCTCACACCAAGTCTAGGTATTACACGGAGTCTGCACTGACAGCTGGGTCCCTAGAAATAAATTCTGGCCAATTTCAGTCTTTTATTTTTACTTTTAAAAACATATCTACCAAGTCTGTATGATGTAAACTTTTGCTTTGTATTTGTATTCAACCTTCTTTGTTTGTTTTTTTGTTTTTGAGACGAGTCTTGCTCTATCGCCAGGCTGGAGTGCAGTGGTGTGATCTTGGCTCACTGCGACCTCTGCCTCCCAGGTTCAAGCGATTCTCGTGCCTCAGCCTCCCGAGTAGCTGGGATTATAGGCAAACGCCATCATGCCCAGCTAATTTTTGTATTCAACTTTCATCCATGCAGTAGTTTATTTAACAATTACTGTTTCCTATACGCCATGCACTGTGACAAGAGAGCCACTATCCCACTTTCATGAATACAAATGGCAAGCATACATCCTGGTGGAGGAAGAGAGCAAAAAACAAGATGAACAAGATAATGTTCAATGGTGACAAACGTGATGATGAAAATAAAACAGCTTAGGAGTAGAAAGTTTTGGGGGCCTGGGGAGTGAAGGAGGCTTCTTTAGATAAAGGTCAAAGGTAGCCTCTCTGAGGAAAGGACATTTGTATATAGGATAATGAACAGAAATCAAAGTGCAGATCTCCTTATGGTCAAGAACTGGATCTTAGAAGGCAGAACTCTAGAGAGGAGAGGACTGAATCATCTCATCTAAACACTCTCCCCAGCAAAGTCATGACCAGTTGAGAGATACGATGTGTTACAAACGTAAAGTACTCCAGATTGTACGATTTGCTTTTAATTAAACTCAAAGGGCTATCTCTCTCTGTTTCACTCTCACTCACTGGCATACACATATGTTTTCTCCTAGTGAGGGCAAAGGGGAAAAGTGTACATGCAAGCTAATCTATCGGGAATTGTTCCTAACACTGGAAACATCTACAGGAGGACACTGCATCTATCATGTGACTCTTAAAGCCTCCAAAGTTAAAGAAGCTCCTTTATATTTTGGCCACCACCTACCCCTCTATAAGTTCTTTTCCCATCATGGCTCAAACTCTCTTCCCCTGATTATCTGCCATCGGGCCTTCCTTGTATTAAATGCACTCAGAGTCTCTGCAGATACTCCTCTCTAGAATGCTTCGCTCCCTATCCAACTCTCCCTTCCTTTCCTTACATAATCTCACAGATCTCAACTTAAATGGCACTTTCCCAGGAAAGTCTTCTCTGATCTCAAAACAGACCTCATTTTGGCCCTCATTTCATAAGCACTTTTCCTTCACAGTTCTCATCAGAGAAACTAGTTTTCTGTCTGACTATCTGAGTAATGCCTGCTCTGCCCTGGAACATACGTTCTTTGGGGCTATGAGATTAAGGGGAGAAGAGCTTTCTCACTGGTCACCACAGTTGTCTCCACTTAAAACTGAGACTACGCCATATTACGTGCCCCCGAAAATTTACTGAATCAATGAAAGGAAAAAAAAAGTTGGTAATTAGAAATTTTGCAATCAAAATCCAAGGTTCAAATCATTCTTCTGCCATTTCCTCTTCTACCATTTACTTCACCTCTCTGCACTTCAGTTTCCATACCTATAAAACGGAGTGAACCACAACTAGTATCTTCCAAGGAATTAAAGGCCATACCTAACACCAGAGGGCCCAATTTAACAAACTAGAGGTGAAGTGAATCTCACAAAGTTTCATACTTTTTTGAATCACCATGGCCCTAGACCCTACTCTGGGACACAGTAAGAATTTTTGGATGGCAGAATAGTAGGGTGAGCAACACATCCTGAGTTGGCTGGGGCTTTCCCATTTTTGGCAGTCCCTCAATTTCATATAAAAGGGGGCAATGGGTCACCCTACACCAGGCACAGATGGCATAGACTATGTGGTACTGGATAGGGGCAAAGCAAAGAAGTTCTAATGTGGTCTTAAAAGTGGAATGAACGCAAATCCCTCCAGCCAAGAGATTCTCATCAAAGACCCCCTATAGCAGTTTAAAACACAGACTCCGGAGTCAGAATGCCTGTGTTTAAATGCTAGCTTTGCCTCCGCGCCTGTTTTCTCATTGTTAAATAAGGATAAAAACAGTATCTCCCTCAAAGAACATAAAATAAACAATACACGCAAAACAACTTACAGCTGTACCTAGCACACTGTAAAGCTCCCCAAATTATCAGCCGTTATCTCCTTCCCCCTCTCCAATTTTCTTTTTCTTCTATCTGACTATCTTTACACATCTGGGAAGGCTCACGGGATTAAAAACCCCACATGGAAGTTTAGCCGGCTTAGTGGTTACACAGGCGTGCTTTGAGAAAAACAAAAACAAACCTGAGTTTGAACTCCAGCTCTGCTTCTTACTAGCTGAGTCACTTTAGGGCCTCTAACTGCTCTGTGTCTAAGTTTCTCTACCTGCAAAGTGGAGAGGAACCCATTGCACTTGCTGAGTTGCGGGGAGGATAACAGATAAACGGCCGGCTGCTGGGCCCGGCACATCTTCCATTCTCAATAAATACTGGTTTTAGCCTGAAGGACTCAGGGGCATCAAGCGTGGAAATGGGCAGCTCCAGGTTGGACACAGGGTCTCTGGGGCCTGCTAATCTGGGGATGCAGGAACCTGCTGTCCCCGTTATGAGCTGCGTAACCTCGGGCAGGTGACTCCCCATCTCTGGGCCTCAGTTTCCTCACCCGTAACCACGCTCCCAGCAGCAGCTACCCATAACCAGTGAGGCTAATGCGATCATGCCGGTGCAACGCCCGAGTCAAGGCCAACCACACTCAACGGGACCTTCGGCTTCCCACACCTCAGGGGCGAGGCCGGGGCTGCAGGTTCCTCAGACTCCCCGGGGGCACCCTCGGCATCGCGGGAGGCGGACCTGCGTCCTTCGAGGCTCCCGGCCCCAGCCCCGGCGCCCCGCCTCGGCTGGCCAGGTGCCTAGGAAAACGCTCAGGGCGCCAGGCGCGAGCAGGCCTTGCCGCGGGACCGCTCTCAGGGCCTCGGCCTCGGCCTCGGGTCCCACGCCGGGCTTCGGAGCTGCGCACCCCCAGCATCCCGCGCCCGGGCCCCAGCGGCCGAGATCCGGCGCCGCCCGAGCATCCAGAGCCCCGAGCTCCCCACTCACCGCCTTCTTCATGGTGGCCGCCATCTTGGGACTGGACTACCGCAGGCGGCGGGGAGGGCCGCAATGGCGCGCTTCGCCCCCGAGCGTTCTCTCGCTCCCGGTCGGCCTAGAACTCCCCGCAAAAATACAACACTGTCTCCACATTCCGTCCTCTTGGACTTTTGGCCAGTGAGTCCAAACGGCTGGGACGTAGGGAGGAAATGTGACCTGGAAGGACTTGGTACATGCCAATTAAAGGGACAGGCAACCCCCGTGGACCGACATAAACACGGGGGTGTGGCGAACGGCTCCGGCCGCGGGCAGCAGGGGGCGCGCCCAAGGCTCAGCGCGGCGGGGCCCAGCTGGGGCAGGATCAAAGGGCTCGGGGAATTTTTCTCCATCCGTCCCACAGACTTGCATTGAGAAAGCTAACCTACCTGTAAAACAGCTAGGAACGAATGGCCTTGGCAAATAGGGTGTGAGATTTATGTGCCATGATAATTCAGGTGGTGTAAAGGAGGTACTCCTATCTTTTAATGTAATTTTTTTTTAATTTAAATTCGGGGGGTATGTGTGCCGGTTTATTACATGGATATACTGCATGGTGCTAAGGTTTGGGTTTCTAATGATCCCGTTGCCCAAGTAGTGAACATAGTACCCCACAGGTAATTTTTCAACCCCTTTCCCCTGCCTCCTTCCCCGTTTTTGGAATCCGTAGCATTTATTGTTCCCACCTTTATGTCCACGAGTACCCAGTGTTTAGCTGTCACTCATAAGTGGGAACATGAGTGGTTGGTTTTCTGTTTCTGTGTTAATTCACTTAGGATAATGATGTCCAGCTGCATCCATGTTGCTGCAAAGGACATGATTTTGTTCTTTTTTATGGCTGCATAGTATTCCATGGTGTATATGGACCACATTTTCTTTATCCTATCCACCACTGATGGGCATCTGGGTTGATTCCATGCCTTTGCTGTTGTGACTAGGCAATCCTATTAATTAATTTACAGCAATATTACTGAACAATTACTGTATATTCTGACACTTGTGTCTCCCAATTAGTAATTTTTTTTTTTTTTTTTGCCTTAGGACCTCTTTATACTCCTGGAAATTACTGAGGACTCCAAAGAACTTTTGTTTATGTGGGTTATTTATCGATATTTGCTGTATTAGAAATTAAAGCAGAATTTTTAAAATGTATTTATTAATTCATTTAAAATAATATAAAACTCCATTCCATGGTAATAAAAATCACACTTTAAAAATAACTATATTTTCTAAGACAAAAATAAATTGAGAAGATTGTCATCATTTTACATTTTCACTGATCTCTTTAATATCAGGCTTAATGGAAGGTTACATTCTCATGTCTACTTCTGCATTCAGTCTCTCCAAATACACTGTTTAGTTGCCTAGTTGTAGGTATGAAAAACCCCAGCCTCATACAAATCATGTAGTTGGGAAAGGGAGGCCCTCATGGATCCCTGAAAAGGTCTCAGGGACCCCCGAGGTTCATGGGCCACAGCTTGAGAACTGCCCCTGACAAGCCTCCTCCTTTCTCAAAGTCCCAATTTCCTCTTTGGTTAAATGAGGGGAATGAGACCTTATAGCACCCTGTGCCCTCCCCACCGAACCACCTAGCCCGCCACGGGCATCGCCTGTTCTCCTGCCTATTCTGGGCTCTCCAGGCCCTTAGTATTGGGACTTTCCAGTGTGTAGCTCATATGTGCTCAAAAAAGTATTTGTTGAATAAAGATGTTTTTCCAGGGTTAAATCTTAGCACCGGGTCTGGCACATAGGAGATGCTCCATCAGTGATATCTGTTTATTCCAGAGCTCAATGTAAAAGCACTGCAAGAAACAAATGGTGGAGAGGGAGACAGAAATAAAGGGCAAAATTGTCACAAATGGTACCAAGTGCATGAAGGAGATAAATGAGGTGCTGAGGCAGAGCACAGAGGGGAGGGGTGGGGGCCAGCTCTGGAGCTGGCCTCTAAGCTAAGAGAAAATGGGAGGCCTCAGCATGGGGAGAGGAGACGAAAGTGGACCCCAGGGGTGGAGGGCTGAGAGGGAAAGAGCCTGGTGAGACATGGTAGAAAGGACAGAGCAGCATGGAGCGAGGCTGGGGTGCAAGGCAGGGGCCAGATCTGGGCATGTTTTAGAACTTGGTGAGGCCAAACTGGGGGAGGGAGAGAGAGAAAGAGAGAAAGAATTCTGACTTTTTCAAAGCTTTATTGAGAAATGGCTGAGTTGAAAGCTGAGGAACAGCGGAGCAGGAATTTTGAGGAAATGTAATTGTATGGTGGGGACCGAAAGTAGCATAGGGGCTTTGAGAGAGAGAAGCACTTCAATCCTCAGGTGCATAGATCTTAGGACCAGAAGGGACCTAAACTCTCACCTACGTTAACCTTTGCCTTTTGCTGAAGTATAATAATAATGAGAGTTCATATGGTTTGGCTGTGTTCCCACCCAAATCTCCTCTTGAATGGTAGCTCCCATAATTTCCATGTGTTGTGGGAGGGACCTGGTGGGAGATAATTGAATCATGGGGGCGGTTTCCTCTATTCTGTTCTCATGGTAGTGAATAAGTCTCATGAGATCCGATGGTTTTATAAGGGGTTTCCCCTTTCTCTCGTCTCATTCTCTCCTGTCGGCCACCACGTAAGATGCGCCTTTTGCCTTCCACCATGATGGTGAGGCCTCCCCAGCCACGTGGAACTGTGAGTCCATCAAATCTCTTTTTCTTTATAAATTACCCAGTCTTGGGTATGTCTTTATCAGCAATGTGAAAACGGACTAATGCAATAGTAACAGTAACATACAAAACTGACAGGGTACATACTATGTGGCCTGCACCTTGCTAAATGTTTTAATCCTCACCATACCACACAATATTGTTATCGATCATTTTACAGGAGAGGAAATAGAGTTTCAGGAGGACAAAGCTACTTGGCCAAGGCTCCAGCAGCCAGGAAGTACCAGAGCCTGGGTTCGAACTCTTGGTGAACCTGGCTCCAGAGACCACTCTCCTAAGCACCAGGCTTTACCCATCACCACAAGTCATGTATAAAGTCAGATGTGTCCCCGAGTGGGCAGCTCATAGTGGACATTGCAGCTCCTGTCACCTGACTTGCATGAGTAAAGTGTTTAAGACTCAATAAAGGGCTTACTGGAGCCAGACTGCCTGCGTTCAAATCATACCTGCACCACTTTCTAATTTTGATGTTAGACAAGTTACTTTCATGGCAAAAATAATAATGTGTCTCTAATAGGCTTGTTGCAAAGAGTAGAAGAGATAATACGTGCAAATAAAATGCATTGTAAGCTCTCAGGAAATGTTAGCTATGATTACTTTCTCAGTTCAGCCCAGTTGCGTCTGAAATTCCACTGCCCAAGTTATGATCTTTCAAATCTCCTCTTCAAGAACTCCCCTGGCTTGGTATTACTGCTAACTACCCCCATGGCCATGATTAGTGCTGCCTTTTGAGACTGTAGCATCCATTTCAGATGTGTAGAAATTGGAAAGCATCCTGGGGGAGAAGAATGACAATGGTTAGAAGCCATCCCAGCCGGAATCTTTAAAGCAGACCCCAAGGCAAAGGCCTAGATACTGCTTCTTCATTAAGGAGTACAATCCCAGGGCAGCCAGAGCGAGGAAAAAGCGGAATGAAGCAGGTCAGGGAAGGCAGCAGAGCCCATACCAGGAGGCCTCACCAAGCCGACCTTTGCTTGGTATCAAGCACGACTGGTTGCTCCCTCTCTGGGGACTGTCCTGTAAGAGGCTGTGTTAACCAGAACACAGGAGAGTTCAGCTGGGGAGAACTCTTATTTGCCAGTTCCTGCCTCCCATTCAAAGGCTGGCCCCACGGGGACCTCACTCCCAGACACTTCCAGGTTGCTCATTGAGGCTCCCATAATTTTTCTCACCTCAGCCTTCCACAGGGAAGCCCCCAGGTGGAGGAACAAGGTGTGAGGCTGTAAGCACGAGCCAACTGGACGGAGAGGCAGCCCTGCAAGTCTGCACACCATGGCCGGTGTGGAGCTGGTCACTGTGGGAGCTGCTGGGGTGGAGCAGGTGGCCAATGGCAGGTGAGAACAAAGACAGGTTAAACCAAGAGGCTTTAACATGACACATCCTTAGGTGCTGTCTAACACTGAGGCCCATAAAATCAGCCAAGAAGTTCAGGTTATAACATACTGAAGAGTCAGTGAATTAAATTCTTTTAGGACTTTAAAATTACATTGGACAAACCACAGAATGAGAGAAAATATTTGCAAACTAAATATTTAGTTTAATATTTAATTAAGAAATAAGGCAAGAAAAAAGGGATTAACAGCCAGAGTATATGAGGAGCACAAACAACTCAATAGGAAAAAAACTAATAGTCCAGTTTAAAAATGGGCAAAAGATCTGAATAGACATTCTTCTAAAGCAGGCATACAAATGGCAAATGGAGATATGAAAAGGTGCTCGACATCACTGAACATCAGAGAAATGCAAATCCAAACTCCAATGAGATATCAGCTCATCCCAGCTAAAAATTGCTTTTTCCAAAAGACAGACAATAACAAATGCCAGAGAGGATGTGGAGAAAAGGGAACCCTCATACGCTGTTGGTGGGAATGTAAATTAGTACAACCACTGCAAAGAACAGTAGAGAGCTTCCTCAAAAAACTAAAAATAGAGCTACCACATAATCCAGCAATTGCACTGCTAGGTATATAACCCCCAATAAGGAAATCAGTATATCGAAGAGATGTCTGCATTCCCATGTTTATTGCAGCGCTATTCACAATAGCCAAGATTCAGAAACAACCTAAGTGTCCATCAACAGACGAATGGATAAAGAGTTGGTGGGAGTGTAAATTAGTTCAACCATTATGGAAGAAAGTGTGGTGATTCCTGAAGGATCTAGAACCAGAAATACCATTTGACCCAGCAATCCCATTACTGGGTATATACTCAAAGGATTATAAATCATTCTACTATAAAGACACATGCACAGATATGTTTATTGCAGCACAATTTACAATAGCAAAGACTTGGAACCAACCCAAATGCCCATCAATGATAGACTGGATAAAGAAAATGTGGCACATACACACCATGAAATACTATGCAGCCATAAAAAAGAATGAGATCATGTCCTTTGCAGGGACATGGATTAAACTGGAAGCCATAATTCTCAGCAAAGTAACACAGGAACAGAAAACAAAATGCCACACATTC
Source organism: Homo sapiens (assembly GCF_000001405.40). Taxonomy (NCBI): domain Eukaryota; kingdom Metazoa; phylum Chordata; class Mammalia; order Primates; family Hominidae; genus Homo; species Homo sapiens. The sequence continues at coordinate 54,202,916 of NC_000020.11, read as the reverse complement.
TCACTCGTAAGTGGGAGTTGAACAATGAGAACACATGGACACAGAGAGGGGAACATCACACACCAGGGCCTGTCAGGGGTAGGGGGCAAGGGGAGGGATAGCATTAGAACAAATACCTAATGCATGCAGGGCTTAAAACCTAGATGAAGGTTGATGGGTGCAGCAAACCACCATGGCACATATACCTATGTAACAAACCTGCACGTTCTGCACATGTATCCCAGAACTTAAAGTAAAATGAAAATACAAAAGAAAATGTGGCACCTATACACAACGGAGTACTATTCAGCCATAAAAAAAAGAAAGAATGAGAGCCTGTCATTTGCTATAACATGGATAAAACTGGAAGACATTATGTTAGGTGAAATAAGCTAGGCACAAAAAGACAGATGTTGCGTGTTCTCACTGATTTGTGGGAGCTAAAAGCCTTAAAACAACTGAACCCATGGAAATGGAGAGTAGGATGGTTACCAGAGGCTGAAAAGGGTACTAGGGGACGGGGAAGTGGGAATGGTTAATGGGTATAAAAATTAGTCATCTAGAATGAATGAGATCTAATATTTGATAGCACAACAGGGTGACTACAGTCAACAATAATTTATTGTACATTTTAAAATAACTAAAAGAGTGTAACCGAGTTGTTTGTAACACAAAGGATAAATGCCTGAGGTGATGGATGCACTATTTACCCTGATGTGATTTTTTTTTTTTTTTTTGAGACAGAGTTTTGCTCTTGTTGCTCAGGCTGGAGTGCAATGGCGTGATCTTGGCTCACCACAACCTCCACCTCCCGGGTTCAAGGGATTCTCCTGCCTCAGCCTCCCGAGTAGTTGAGATTACAGGCTTGCGCCACCACACCCAGTGAATTTTGTATTTTTAGTAGAGGCGGGGTTTTGCCATGTTGGTCAGGCTGGTCTCAAACTCCAACCTCAGCTGATCCATCTGCCTTGGCCTCCCAAAGTGCTGGGATTACAGGTGTGAGCCACGGTACCCGGCCCCTGATGTGATTATTACACATTGTATGCCCATATCAAAATATCTCAGGTACCCCATAAATATTTATGCCTACTGTGTACCCACAACATTAAAAATAAATACATAAATGTAAATAACAATAATAAAATAAAATCAGATTGGTCCAAATGCTAATACATGTGCTGCCAAGAAACCCTGAGAAGCCTGCCTCATGCAGGGCCCACTTATTCATCACCATGCTTCCTTAATGTCCAAGTGCCTGGTTAGCTAGTCACTGAGCTGAGAAATTGCACCAGGAGACAGGGGCTCCAGAGACAGAAGGGCTAGGGGGCACTGTCTCCTCTAACAGGTGATATGGAGGTAGGGGCTGGATCCCTTTGGCTGGGCTCAAAGAAGCCATGGCTCCAATCGGATGCTCTATGAGGCTTTGGCTGCTCCATCATTATCATGAGATGGTGCACGCTTCTCCATGCATTAGTTCCCCACACAGACCATACAAAAGCAGAGAGAAAAGGCACTGGGCAGAGAGTCTGCGGGCACAGGGCAGTGTCATTGAATCTGGACAGAGGACAGTGGCGGCTCCTGGCAGTCTTGGTGCTGACTCAGCTCCCTCTGATGCCCCTATCTTCCCCTTGCTTTAGAGGTTTTCCTTCTCATTCTATTTCTCATCATTCTTGTCCCTCTCCTCTCCCCAGACCTTGCTATCCTTTGAGCTAATCTCTCTCCTAGCAGAAAAACTCGTTCTGCAAGTCCGCATGGTACAGGGACTTTCAAGTCTGCTGAGCATCTTCTCATTTCCTGATGTGGAGCATTTCCGACCTTTGTTTCTGGTCCTTTCTCCAGCTGGGGACTGTCCCTGGCTCTCCGGGGAGAAGCATGGGGTACAAGTGGAAGCATGTGGATCCTGCAGGTCAGGGAGGAGAATCAACAATGACCATTTGGAAAGACTTTCCCTTATGCCAGGTTGAAAACTGGCCTCCCACTGACTGGATCCAGGCTATGTTTTCTTTGACCCATATGGTATTTTTCTTTAGTGGAACCAATATTTGAGATTTTTAGTTTTGCTTGAGCTGGTACAATCAGCATCCTGGTGACATTGCACCTGTGTTTCTGCCTGATGGGCAGCTGCTGGTGCTGCTTTGGCCTGGCACATTCGGCCAGCAGGCTCTCTCCTGGGCCTGGCAGACCCCCCCACTCACAGAGCGCACACAGGTACATGTAGGGCACCTGCCCATCCATGTGCTCACCTGTGAGGCCCTCCAGGTATATGAACTTGTAACTCCCAGCCTTCTGTTTTAACATACCTAAATGAGAGCATTTATGCGTGTGTTTGTTTGAAATTTCTACCATGCTAGGTGCTATTGCAAGCAGAAAAATAAAGCAGACAAGGTGCTTGGCATCATGAAGCTTATGGTTGGCAAACATATGACCAAAGTCACAGCACCAGAAGCTGCAACCCTGGGGCGAGTCCAGGGGAGAAAGAGCTTGAATCTTGCTGGAGTGGTCCCTGAGGACTGTGGAATCAGTGGGATGTTGCTTGGACCAAGAAGGGCAGGTGCTCAGCATTGAGGGCATAACACTGAAAAAACAGACAAAACTCTTTGTCCTCATGTAGCTTACATTCTATTGATAGGAAAAAGATCATAACCAAAACATATAAGTAAATTATACAGTATGTTAGAAAGTTTTATTAGTATAAATGCTATTAATCGCTCCAACAAGAACTCATAAAATTATAATAAAAGACTGTGTGACTACCATCAGGAACACTCCGTGAGGAAGATATAAGGACAGAAATGGTCAGTATATTGACTGGAAAATGAAGAGAAAAAAAAAACCTGTTTGAATTGGTATGTAAGCTACAAAATTGTCCAGACATGTCCCAGTTTAATTTAGATTTTGTCACAAAGCGAGAATGAGGTTATCACATCATTTCCTGGCAGTACGCACCTGGGTGCCCTCCAAAACCTGCAACACCTGCTCCAGGCTCCTGGTTCTAAGATTTAAAAAGGAAACCTTGATCAGATTCCTCTTCCATGCTGGCCATGAGGAGTGAGAGGCAAGAAGGAGCAAATCCCCAGGATCACGCAGCAATTTGGTTTGGCGCCTGCAGAGGGCACCCGAGGAACATGACAGTGTTCCCCAGACTTAAATCATTCAAATCCACCTTCCGAATATTTTGCACTTCTTTTGAATCTTACTGTGCTGGGTAATGTTAAGTACTGTCAGTTTGTATTTAGCTAAACAATTTTGCAAATGGTTTTTCCATAACGCTGTTTGAAATGTTTCATTGTTTTCCCATTGCACTTAAATTTCTTACCAGGGCCTAGCCTCCCTCCCTGACCTTGTTTTGGACCATCTTTCCCCTCACTCACTGTGCTTCACCCTCTTGGGCCTCCATTCTGTGAATGCTACACGCTCCCTCCTGCCTCAGGGCCTTTGCACTTGCTTTTCCTGCTGCCTATGATGCCTTTCTCCTATTGTTCAGCCAGCTGCATTCTACCGTCTGCCTATCCTTAAGACTCAGCGTCTATGTTACTCCCATCAAGGAAGCTGCTATGATTTGAATGTGTCCTCCAGAGTTCGTAGTTGAAATTTAATGGCCAATGTGGTTTTACAATGAGGCGGGGGTCTTTAAGTCTGAGGACAGAGCCCTCAAGAATGGGATTGGGTCTCTTATAGAAGGGCTTGAGGGAACGAGTTTGTGTTGGTCCATTCTCCCACTGCTATAAAGAACTGCCCAACACTGGGTAATTTAGAAAGGAAAGAGGTTTAATTGACTCGCAGTTCCACATGGCTGGGGAGGCCTCAGGAACCTTACAATCATGGCGGGAGGTGAAGGGAAAGCAAGGCACCTTCTTAACAGGGCGGCAAGATCAAGAATAAATGCAGGAAGAACTACCAAACACAAAACCATCAGACCTCGTGAGAACTCACTCACTATCACGAAAACAGAGTAGGCGAAACCGCCCCCTTGATTCAATTATCTCCACCTGGTCTTTCCCTTGACACATGGAGATTATGGGGATTACAATTCAAGATGAGATTTTGGGTGAGGACACAGCCAAACCATATCAAGGTTCATTCTCTTCTGTTCTTCTACCATGTAAGGACATAGCATTCTGCCCTGCAGAGGACACAGCAACAAGTTGGCATCTTAGAAGGAGAGACTGGACCTCTCACCAGCCATTAAACCTACAGGTGCCTTGATCTTGGATTTTCCAGCCTCCAGAACTGTCAGGAATAAATCTCTATTGTTTATAAATTACCTAGACTCAGGACTTTAGTTGTAGCAGCATAGACTGACTAAGACACAAGCTTTCCTCAAACGCACCCATCTCCCAGACAAGAGCAGCATCCGCTGCCCCCTAAAGCAGCTTTCTACGCCTCCCTGGTATATTCCCTTTTGAATTCTGTGTCCCTGTTAAACTGAGAGCACCAAAGGAAACAGATCATGCCTGTTTTCTTCATCTCTGTTGTTGCGGCACCAACAGGAAAGTAGGTGCTTAACAAATGTTAACTAATGAATAAATCAATGCATGAATAAATAAGTGATAATGTATTTAGAGATTAATACAGTAATATATAATACAGCGTAAGCTGTTGAGGAATTCACTCCACTACAATGTACAAGAGTCCATAACTTATTGCATTCTTTTTGTTTTGTTTTGTTTTGTTTTTTGGCTAGGCCTAGTACTTACGCAAATTGTGATCATGTGGACTCATTGTTCGAGCAACACTCCTTTCTTCAGCAGATGGCACTGTGACCCCAAAATCTGGCATGTTATTTTTCTCTCTGCAACTCCTGAAGAATTGTCTACACGCTGCAAAGCAAGATGACACAAACCCAGGAAACCACTGCCTTTGGGCCAAAGTAGAATCATCTTTTGCTAGTTTGAATTCTTAACCGAATTTTTACCTGGCTAAAAGTACAGCATTTTTAAAAGCCCTTCAACGTATACAATGTTTTTAGACCTTTATAAAACAGACCATTAGTTAACCAACCCTATAAAGGAGGTAGTATTATCATTATTACACACAGATGGTATAACTGAGGCAAGAGTACGGGACATAATGTGCTCGAGGACACAGAGCTAGAAACAGTAGAGCTAGAGTTGAAACTGGCACCTCTTGCATTCCATGCTCTTAACCTTACATTACATTGCAACGGAAATGGAAAGAAAGGGAAGGGTGGGACAGAGATTGCAATGGAGGAATGAACATAACTTGGGAACTCCTAAGTTATGAGTTATTCGCAAGGTACAGAGAATAAAAAATAACACAAGAATTTTACTTCTTGTGAAAAGAACAAATTACAGAAGCTATTTTTGACAATAGTGAGTTTTTTTAGCTTATCCTTAAAGTAAACAAAAGTTTAGAGTTAATCATAACATATGTATACTATTATTTTTTAAGTTGTTCCTGCATCCAATGGTGACATAAACACATTGGCTCCAATAACAGAATGAGATTTCATTTCCAGGTAAAGATGCTACCTCGAGGCAAATTGAATGCTCAAATCTTTCTACAGGTAAAATCTTGTTTTAATAAAAGGCACTTCCACGTTTGTGTTTACACAATGAGCCTCTTCCCATATTCGGTCAGGTGTTATCTGAGCATACTGAAGGAGAGCTGAGGTCCTGGCTACGATGGATTCCATTTGACCTAATAAATGTTGAATTGCCAATGTAATCAGTGATTCTTGTAGCAGTGTAGGACATGGATCCTAGGAGAAGATTTCAGTACTTTGCGAGCTACCACTTGCTAAGCTCCGGAAAAGCTGTCTGCGAAGACATGAGGAGGAGGGGCAGTCCCTAAATTGTCAATGGCCTTAAAAAGAGGCTGTATTTCTCTTAAGCATTTAATATATACTTTGGGTTCTTAAATTAATTTTGCAAATTAATTCAGTTCAAACTATAGGTATAATTTTCATTTTGTAGGTGGTGAAAGGAGGCTCAGGACAATTGGGTAATGCCTCTAAGTTTCTATACCTTATATAACTGTTATCTGATAAAATAAGGATACAAATCGTAGTTATTCTCATCTACACTGTATTTTCCCATACCCATAAAAATTAAATATTATACTTCTCAAAAAGAATCCTGCCTCACTTCCTTTAGAACTAACTTTGTTCAAACAAATTTTAGTACCACCCAAGTAATTATGCTATCTAGTTATGTTTGTGAAACAAGTCTACATGTATTTTTTGCATAATTTGACAAGATATATAGGACAACATAGCAATGAAAACTTTTCTCCTTTTTATTTTAAGATCCCACTCCCCAAAGGGGGGGAACTGTATTAAAAGCACTTGAATAATGCATACATAGGGAATTAATCTATATAATGCATTATTTTAATAGGTTTATATCCAACTGTAACTCATCATTACAGACTTTATTTTGTAATAATCTCTTTGCTGATGGGGAATGGGAAGCAAAATTGTATTTATCAGACTCCACATTTGATTGGCTGCCCAAGAAGAATTAGTTCTCCTGAACATGTGGTGCTTGCCTCCCGACACCCATTTCGTGCTCTTCTGGCAATAGCCCTGATTTCAATGTGAGGACCCTCCCCTTCCTCCCTATCAGTCCATGTGATCTGGGTGGACTGTCATACCACCTTAGTGGTGGAGCCTGAGAACAGCCGTCAGCCATTCAGCAACTCATGGTCACATGACTGTTCAGGAATAAGCACAGAACCAAACTGAGGCCAATCAGAGCCTCAACTTCTGATTCCAATGGGAGCCAGAAGCCCTCTCTTCCTATTTGCTGTGAAGCTGTAGAAATGGCAGTTCTGGCATAGTGGCTGGTATCTTGCCATATCAGGAGCGAACTCATTTAAAAACGGAACCAACACAGAAGTGAAACTGAGGAACAGGGAGAGATAAAACAGGGCCTGATAGAAAGCATTCCCCTAGTCACACTGAGAGCTCAGCTAGCTGTCCCCTTGAACTTTTCAATGACTTGAGTCATTGAATTCATTTGCTTAGGAAAGTTTGGTTTAGTTATCTGTCACTTAAAATCAAAAGAGTGCTCACTGATGCGTCACGGCTACATTAACGTCTGGACAGAGCCTGAGACGAGGGCTTGCTGCAGGGAGTTCATGGTGGGAAGGGATCTGGGGAAGCTGGAGGAAACGTGAAAAAGGTGAAGATAGGAAGCTGTTCCAAGGGCTGCCACTGGGCTGATGACCCTGTGGGCCGCTGGAGCTTGCTCCTCCTGCAAACCCTCTGGTCTCCAGCACCTGTCCCTCAGAACTGTCCTCACTACAGAGACAGCATTTATCCACCCAGCCCCATTCAGCCAAGGGTTGCCCCGGTAGGTGTTACCTCTCCTGCACTTTCAGGTTTGGTCTTGCGCTAGATGGCTGCAGGTGCTGCCTGTGGCCAGTAGAAAAGCCCCAGGACATGAGGTACTACTGAGGTCAGGTTCACCTGGCCACAGCTGTTTGTCAACTTAATGCCAGAGCAACAAGATAGGTCAGGAGGACATAAGACAAGGCATCAAAGACGTCCAATGCTATTAAAATTCATTAGCATCACTGCACATTTGTTCCCTAAGATTAGACTTTATACATTTTGATAAAACTGGACAAGAACAGGGTTGAATCTGATGAAGCCCAACCAGGACTTAAATATTGATGTCTTTCACACACGATACTTACGACCAAATAAGTCCCCTTAAGGGAATTTTCTGCATCAAAGTCTTGGCAAATTGTCCTGCTGCAGAACCGGGTCAGACCAGCTGCACATGGGGAGGAGAGTTTTCCCTTGAAGTAAACGGATGGCCCCTGCTGTTACTCATTGCTGGAAAAATCAGCCTGAAAACAGCAAATGAGAGCAAGAGAGACGAACCTTCGATTCCGGTAAAGGAACACTCTCACCTTGACCCAGAGTTTAAGGGTAGGGTAGGAACATAATCCTGGCCTTGGCCTCTGACTCATTCATGCAACACATAGTTATTGAATGTCATCAGGAGCAACCACAGACTGTGAGGCCCAGTGCAGAACGAAAACCCAAGGCCTCTTGTTCAAACACTATTAACAATTTCAGGATGGCAACAGTAGAGCACTGAGTCATGTGCAGGGATCTTCTGAGTGCAGGACCCTGTGTGACCACACGGGCTGCATGCCTGCAAAGTCCGTCCTGTCATCTAGGTGTCACTTACTGTGCTAGGTTCTGGGCATACACTGGCAAACAAAACAGATATGACACCCACACTCAAAAAGCTTAGAGTCTAGCCTGGGGTGTATACGGTTCCCTCCATCAGTCTCTTTCCCAGATATCTTTCACAGCATGAGCACTCGCTATAGCGAGTTTGATTCACTATATGTATATATATATTTATATATGTAATGTATACATAAATATCTAAAATATATATTTATTATATATACATATACACATATAATATTTATATATATTTGTTCCATTTGTTTATATATATAAATATAGATATTTATTATATATTTGTTCCATCCTTATTCTCTCTGGGGGCACTCACCCATGCTATGCCCTCTGTTCTCTATAACTATATAAACTAATGTTTATATATTTATATTATATAAATATATGTAGATAAAATAATAATTATATATTATATAAATATATGTAGATGATATATATATAATTATATATTATATACACATAAAATTTTTCATGCAACTTATTCCCTAAGGCTCTGGAGTGCAGCTGAAGAATCAGTGATTACATTGGCTATTCTAATGCAGGGGTTATTGGCTATTCTAACGCAGAGCTATTCAAATGTTATCTGGCAATTTTGAAGAATGTCAGAAGTGTCTCCAGGAAGCAGGCGGATCTCTGAGGGGCAGCTTCCTATGGGATTGTCTAGTATAAATTTAACTATCAGCATTAACTGGGATGTCCAAGAGAGACACCAAAAAAGTTAGATTTACCCACCTGTTTGGGAAAGAAAAAATGTCTAAGCAATTTGAGCATTAAGAAATTGAAAGCAAGAATGTTGTTCAGATAACCCACAGGTATTTGAATGATACTGGCTGAATATCACTCTGTTTGGGTCTATTTTTTGTCAACCAAACAACCATTCGTTGAGGTTAACTTACTTCAATGTTGAATGTTAACGCGCTCTTCCCTCCACAGGTTTTTACCTGTCATATCTAGAGTTTTCTAGGATGCCACACCATGTATTCCAGAATAAGTCTTTCTGCTTCATTGGCTCCAGGTTTTTCATGATGTCCTTCACCACCTCTGCCACTTTGCCAAAAACTTCCTATAAGACCTCAGAGACAAAGCTTGGCTGATGGGAGAATTAAAGGGAAGTTCAATCAGAGAGTAACAGATACTGAGCAAGCTTAGACTTGACCTCAAGCCATGGAAGAGGCATGTTTCTTGATTGTCTCGTGATCTTCCACCTCAGCAACAGGAAACTCCACCTCTAGCCCCGGAAGCTGTTCCAGGGTCTTTGTGCCAAACTGACTTCCAAAATCCATTGAGTCTTCACTTACTATCTGGGGATTGGTCTATTCCTAAAACGATTAGCCGTGGGAATGTGTAGGGTTTACGGTTTGGATCTGAGACCATAGGTCAATCACACTGTAATTCATATCAATCATTTTCTCAAAGTATAGTTGTCCAATTTTAATAAATGTCATATGGAAGGTTGTATTCTAGGTACTTTTAAATCTCTCCTTTCAAGGAATTCAATGTCTTGGAATCCAATGCTTCCGTTGGGTGTCTTTGCCTGCAAGAAATTGAAACTAATTTGAACTACTTTAAACAATGAATGGTGATTTGCTAAGCAATATATGGGGTGTCTTATGGAACCTTTAGCAACCAGGATTCTAGTTTTAGGAAATCAAGTAGATTCCTTCGTGTTGAGGCAATTGTACTTTTAAAACATTTCTGCAAATTCTTTGATATCCTCCCATCAAAAGCCTACTTCCCTTCCTTTGAATATGGACTTATCTGGTGAGTCCCCTCTAACCAAAAAAGTGCAGCAGAAGCAGAAGTTGCCATATGACTTCCAAGGTTGGGCTAGAAGAGGTAATCTAGTTTTACCTTGTTCTCTCTGGGGGCATTAACCCTTGGTGCCCACCTTTTGTGCTGCAAGGAAGTCCAGGCACCCAGCAGTGTTCCAATCAATGGTCCCTGCTGAGACCCCAGCTCTCAGCCAGTATCAACTGCCAGACTTGAGTGAGGAAGACTTAAGGTGAATCTAGCCCCGGTCACCAACTCTCTGCAACTGCACAGGAAACCTCAGTGAGGAGATGAGAGTCATCTCCCAGCATGATGAGGTATGATAATAATAAAAGACTGTTATTGTTTCACACCACCAAGTCTGGAGTGTGATATATAACCAGAGCACCCCGGTAGCAATCAGGACCCCAGTATCAACTACAGAAGTGGAAGGGCACCAACTCGCTCTTCCCACTGCCAGCAGCCAGAGGGTGGGTAGATGACCTGGCGTCGATGGATCCACGGCTCTTAATTCTTCACAGCAGGATCCTCTGGTGGGGGGTTCTGGCCATGCATCAGTGGTGGGTTTCCGTTTTGGAATCCTCCCCACACCCCAAGCTTGATCATCTAGCCACACTTTTGCAAGCCTTTGAATGCAATACAATCTTTATGGATGAGGATAGCCGGGCCAGTTTCTGTTGCTTACAACTAAAAAAAGTCCAAATTGCTACTTGATCAGAAAGTGCCTTTGGAAGAGATTGCAGATGGAAACCATTAGGACATCAGACCTTTGCCTCATTTCTCCTCTGTGCTGTCTGCTCAACTGCTTCAATCCTCTTTACCTCTGCAAACCACCTTCCTCTATTGGCTTTAGTTATGTGTGGAGCAAAAATGGTCTCCCCTAGCTTCTGAGATCAAGAGGCCAGATCAGACGGATGAGCTGGATTTTTCTCAAATCCCAAATCAGTGCTTAGGAGTAAAAGTCTGATTTTTTGTAAAATTTTTCTCAAATCCCAAATCAGTGCTTAGGAGTAAAAGGCTGATTTTTTGTATTTTCAGTAGAGATGGGGTTTCACTGTGTTAGCCAGGATGGTCTCGATCTCCTGACCTCGTGACCTGCCCGCCTTGGCCTCCCAAAGTGCTGGGATTACAGGCGTGAGCCACCACGCCCAGCCCATTTAGCATATCGTAATCAATGCATGTTTAATCCCTTCCTGCTTTTCTAGAGCTTCCATAAGTTACTTACTTCACGTGAAGCATTTCTGCTGCCTTTCACATCTGGCTTTTCACGCTCACTTGCTTGTCTTTCCTTGTGGGATTCTTTGAGCCGTGATTCCATTCCGGGAAGTTCTGTGTTGGAGACTGTAATTACTGTCTTATACCTGGCATGCCCCTGTGTGTACTTCACAAGATTGGCATGCAGCAGAGGCCACCATCTTATAAATGTCACGAATGTTAGTTTCTTGAAAGTTGGTTGACAGAATAGTAGAGGATAGAACAACTGGGATTGGTCTCTTGTGCCTTCATTTATTGTCCTAGTTATAAATTTCCTGGGGCCAAACATGGTGGCTCACGTCTGGAATCTCAGCGCTTTGGGAGGCCAAGGTGGGAGGGATTGCTTAGGCCAAGAGTTCAAGACCAACATCGGCAACATAGGGAAACACCATCTCTACCAAAAATACATATATTTTTAAAATTAGCAAGCATGGTGGCACGCCCCTATAGTCCCAGCTACTCCGTTGGCTGAGGCAGGAGAATTGCTTGAACTCAGGTGTTCGAGGCTGCAGTGAGCTATGATCATGCCACTGCACTGCAGCCTGGGCAACAGAGCAAGACTTTGTCTTTAAAAAATTAAAATAAAATATCCTTGTTCATTTTACCTGATTAGAGAAAAAGAATTGGTCTATTTTTTTTTTTCTGAGACAGAGTCTCGCACTGTTGCCGGAGCTGGAGTGCAGTGGCGCAGTCTCAGCTCACTGCAACCTCCACCTTCCAGGTTGAAGCAATTCTCCTGCCTCAGCCTCCCAGGTAGCTGGGATTACAGGCATGTGCCACCACGCCCAGCTAATTTTTGTATTTTTAGTAGAGACGGGGTTTCACTATGTTGGTCAGGCTGGTGTCCAACGCCTGACCTCGTGATCTACCCACCTTGGCCTCCCAAAATGCTGGGATTACAGGCGTGAGCCACCGCGCCTGGCCAAGAATTGGTCTATTTCTAGCCCTTGGGCTATACCCATTAAGAGAGCAGAGGCTCATAGAAGGATGCTGTAGTTGGGAATATGGTTGCAGCAACTTCAAAGAGTTGCCAACTTTTTACTTTGTTAAGGAAGTGAATGAAATCAAAGAAGCCTAAATCTAAAATTAACAACATAAAAGCAAAGACTTTATACCATAAAAGGGCAAGAATAGAATAAAAAACAATCATTTCCAATAAAGTTGTATGGATAAACTTTTCCAACTTTTAAAATCCCAGGCCACTGAAGCAGGAGAAAGCCCAGTGACCCTTTCCAGTGGGCCTGACTTTGGGATTCACTCCAGGACACCATCTACTTTTCCAGAGTGTGGAGTTTTAAATGGGGCCAAAGAACATATGGATTCCATTAGAATTCTTTCCTCCTGCAATCAAAGAAGGGAGAACCCCTTCTGGTTTCCTGCAGAAGACAGAACATGTTCTCACATCTGAGAACCATGTCCTCCTGTGCCAGGAAGTTTTGGCCAGAAGCGAAGCAGAGCCTTATATTACCTGCATATATGTGCCAGGCACCCTGCTAAGTAGGAATACACGCAACAACATTTCAAGACTGGTAATATTCTCTTTTTTTTCTTTCACCAATAAGAAAGCCAAGACTGGGAAAGGTAATGCCACCTGCTCTTAGTTATAGAGGCTGATACAATCTGGAGCTATGATTTGAATCCAAGATTCAATTGCTTAAGTCCACTCTCCAAACCATTGCTTTTCTCCTTAAAGATTTAAATAAGGATTTTGACAACCAGGTGACATACACATTTCATTTTAGAGAAAAATTATTCTATAAAAGATGCTAGTTTTATTTTGGACCCTAGACTTGAGACTTCAGAAAATATAAACGGCCCTTTTACCTGAGTCATGGTAATAGTCTTATTGAATAACACAATATCTGAGTCACTTGGATTCATGTAGGAAAAAAACACATGGGAAGTTTTATTTCTGATTTACTGGTTTTCAAATCAAGTCACAAGTTTGGGCATGAGGATAATATTATTTTTCTTGGCGAGATGAACTGATTATGAGTGTAATATAAGTAAAAGTGATGGGGTTGACACTCCCAGGGACATTTTCAAAGGTGAAACTATGGACTCATTCATCACAAGTCTTCAGAACTTGTAAAGAAAACTTCTTCCTGTGGCATTCCATAAAATGACGATTTATCTGAAAGATAAAAGATAATTTCCCTTTGCTATCATCTCTTCAGATACTTTTCAACATCTGAGTTTTATTTCTCTACATCCATATGCAGCCTTGGCCTTGTGTAGGTGGAGGTCTCATTGAGTTCCATGAATACTGAGACTCCTCTTCCCCTAAAAATACCTCCTGATCCACTATTGATGCCTCAACTTCTCTTACCAGGAATTTCACAGAGACAAGGCTTCATTTGAGGATACGCCTGTGAGAGAAACAGATTTTGAATGAGATCAATAAGGAATTTCAGATTATTTTATGAGAGGTGGTTTTGAGAAAAGAAAAGGTAAGTGAGCAAGTATGCATCAGAGGTGAGGATAATATGTTAATAGACGACATTTACAGTGTATTTACTACCAGCCAGGCACTGTTCTACATGCTTTATATGAATTAACTCATTTAACCATTTTCATAGCCTTAGGATGTAGGTATTATCAAAATCTATATATTTTATAGATGAAGAAACAGACACAGAGATACTGAGCAATTTGCCCAAGGTTGTGTAGCCAGAAAGCTGGAAAGTTAGATTTAAACTCAGGTGGTCTGGATTAAATCAACCCCTTTTAACCACTGCACAAACCAGGCCAAGGAGATGAGGCCTAAGAAGTGCCGGATAGAGGCAAGACTATCACAAACGGAATGTCGGCGCATCAAAAACAACTTCTGACTCTGAACTCTATGGGGGACATCCTGCCAGCTCTGTGTTAAGATTTGAAAAGAAAATGGACCATTCTCTTATTAATTTAAAAAAAAAAAATCTGAACATTTAGCGAGTCTTTGTTAAAAGTCTGTTTACTGTCAGGGCTCAGCAAGTCCCGGAAATGAGCAGCTCAGGACCCTCTGAAGGTTTAAGAGAAGATGCCCTGAAACATCTGGGAAGAATACCGCCTCTTTTATTTATCATGTGGTTGCGATGGCCGCATTTCTTGTTTATGAAGAACAGATGTCTTTCGTGGTTATGCAGCAATGGAATTTGTTGATGGATATTGGGGAGTCCGTAGAATTGATAAGAAGGCTGGACAACCAGGCCTGAATAAATAAGCAGGCATCTAGGGAAATTAGGCAGCCAAACTGTGGCCAAAATTATACCAAAGGGAAAGTCTGGTTTGATTCATATTCATGGACACTATTACAAGCAATAACAGACTGCTGGCATTGGACGCTGAATTCTGTGGCTGCTGCCACCAAATGTATCTGAAGTCTGCAATGTTTCTTTGCACACTGAACACCTCCAGACAGAGCATGGGATTGGCTGAGGTTAGTCACATGATCTCTAGCCACTGGAGAGCTGAGAGCCCGGAGTTTTGAGCCCCTTCAGCTTCTGGAATTAGTGCAAATGTCTGTTTTAGGATTTCTCTAAATACTGTAGGTTCAAATGTTGGTCAGCGAAGGACTCAAGATAAATGTGTATTTTGGAGTCGTATTTGTCATCTAAATGTAAGGAAAACTCAATAATCAACAAAGGTATGGAAAGACACTATACTCAAGATGGAAAATGGGGGATTATGGTAAGAGCTGAATAAAGACAGGATTTAAATTCTCTGCTCTCAGAATTTTCTTATTTGTAAAATGGTGGTCAACCTGGTATATATGTCATGACTTGTGAAGATCTAAGGAGATGGTGAGAGCTTGGAAATTCACAACTTTAAAAAATTAAACCTAAACATTAGAAATACTATTATATATGAATTCCCCATTTCCACTAGAAGCAGAACTAACATGAATGAAGTTATGCAGCAGGGAAAGTGCCTTAAATTAGGATGGACTGAGAGAGATGTAGTGTTGAATTCTGAAGGACACCCAAATAATTGCTCTCCCTGTGAAACTGCATAGAAAATTCCACTCACATTCTTCAAACATCCTTGAAAATGTAACACCTTAGGCACTTTTTTCTCTAAAGCTAACCAGGTGGCTGTGACCCTTGGAAGTTGCTTCTAGGTGCATGCTTTTCAAGATATTATATAAATATTCCCTTCAGTAATCTTTTAGGCTGGGCGCGGTGGCTCACGCCTGTAATCCCAGCACTTTGGGAAGCCGAGGCGGGAGGACTGCATGAGGCAAGGAGTTCAAGAACAGCCTGGCCAACATAGTGAAACCCTGTCTCTACTAAAAATATAAAAATTAGCTAGGCTTTGTGGCGCACGCCTGTAATCCCAGCTACTCGGGAGGCTGAGGCACGAGAATCACTTGAACCCGGGAGGCAGAGGCTGCAGTGAGCCGAGATTGCACCACTGCACTCCAGCCTCGGCAACAGAGTGAGACTCTGTCACACACACACACACACACACACACACACACAAAAGTAATCTTCTCTTCTTCTCTCATGATGGAGGGTTCTAAAGACATATACATATAATTATGGTATAAAATTATACATATAAAAATGCCACCTGGCCAAAATTTCCACCACAAATTAACCTTCTCAAAACATCTACCATAAACATTTCTTATGAAACTAAGGAATTCCCTTTTCTCTGGCTTCAGTTAATTTAATTTTTAGTAATTTACCATTAGTAATTTACTGATATTTATGTGCCAATATTTATTGATGCTGTATATTCATGCTTTATATTCATGATCTTATTTAATTCCTGAAGCAATTCTATGAAGTAAGTACAGCCATTTCACAGAAGCCAAAATTGTGTCTAAGAAAGATGGGCTCACTTGCCCAGTCTCATACCTTAAAAGCAGGTTTCTCTCATTCTGGTCTTAACCACTACCTATGGAAAATGTAAGTAGCAGAACTAGAGAGCAAGTGGAATTCTTGCAAAAAAATCAGGAGGGTTTATGGAGTACACCATTAAGGGAGGCTGTGGTCTTTGGGAGTACTGAGTTTATTATTCACTCTGACAGATTCCCTCACCTACCAGGGCTCAAATGCTAAGGCCCTCAGGTAGCTACCATCGTCTTTTCTCCACAGTCGAGTATGTTCTGGAAATGGAAAGCTGCCGAATGTCCACGCCACTGGTTATCAACGCATTCCGGCTTGGGCATTATTTAAATGTCCTGTGTGGGTGTTTACCTTCCATCAAGTTGTGTTCGGGAGGAGAACTCTGTAGGGAGTGAGTGTCCTTTGGTAATTAGCACCCCGCCCTGCCCCCGGTTATTACTGAGATTCTTCTCCAAGGTCCGGAAAGCTGTCTCTATCTGTGCCACTGTGGACCCTGGGACTTCAGGCAGGACTGGGGGCCCAAGCTCCAGAACAGGGCAGGAAATTCCCTCTTGAGCCTCCATCACCCTACAAAGGCCCCTCTGCTCAAGGGAGCTCCCACCTACCTCTCCCTTTAGCCCTTGACTGCCTGGAGAGCTGGGTAAGAGCACACAAAGAGGGATGGCGAGCTCTCTGACCACCATGCACAGAGGCCCCCCCTGCACGTGGACCCACATCTCGAGGCACGATGGGTGGAATAAGTGTGGTTGACATCACTGGGTTGTGAAGTCCAGGCTCTAGACAGGCATCACCATATTGGCCAGTGATTCCCAAACCTGGCTTCCCCTCGATTTCCCAGGTAACTTTAACCAAATTCTGGCTCATAGAGACTCCAGACAGTCTCATGGAGTAGGTCTCAGGTAGGGGCTAGAAATCAGCATTAATAAAACAAAACACTGCCCAGGTGATTCTAGGGGCTCAGCTTTAGTTTAGAACCATTGACATCCGGCATTTGATTTGAAGAGAGATTTGGGGAAGATTTTCCTCTTAAAGGGTGGCGAGCAGCGAAAGTAAAAAGATCAAGCATCTGTTCCCTAAACAACACTTTTCACCAGAGTCAGGTCCCAGATTGTGAGGATGCCACCTTCTTGCCACAGGATGCATAGACCTTTTTGGGTCCTGTATCAGACATTGAGAAGGGAGCCAATGAAGCGAGCCAGGTTTGGCCTTTTGAAGGCAAGGTGACATATCTCTCATCCTAGAAACTGAAAATTGATTGCACGGGTACCTGTGTTGGATTATTTTAATAATGTCTGCAGAATTAGAAGGCTGTCTCCCCGCATAACACTTTTGCTTACTCATTGGTCAGCCCGAGCATGAGATACAGTCGGTTGTTCTTCAATTACAAACAAGAAAAGTGGGGATTAGGTGGGGAGGAGAGGCAGCCAGTCTGACATGGGCTGCTGCTATTGGCAACATGGACTAATATTAGTACAGCAGGGTGGGGATGCTGCTAGGAGATTGAGAAATTCCTGTTTCATATTTTCCTGGAAACATACGTTCCACTATCTTTTGGACTGAGAAGCACAGGTTATTACAAAAACAGGTTGGAAATGGCTTCACAGACATTCTGAATCATATGTGCCATTAAATCACAAGTGCGGGGGGCATGCATGTGTGGAAGATGTGTCTGTGGGAAGAGGTGCATGTGGGGGAATAGATATGGGTGTGTAATGTGGGTGCATGTTCGTGTTGGTGAGGAAAGTTGCATGGAGGTGTGCTTGCATGTGGGGCTGTGCATGTGAGGGCATGCAGCACGGGTGCCTGGGTGCACGTGTGGACGTATGGGTGTGTGCGCATGTGGGTGGGTCTGGGTGTGCCTATGCCTGAGGAAGGATTGAGTGTGCCTTGTGGTTGTTACAGATTTCCCACATAAAGGGAGCACACTGAGAATCTAACATGCTAGTGGAAATTTGAGTATCTGAGACTTCAGTATGCAAAATAGAATTTAATCTTGCTATATGAGACTTCTGGAGATCCTAATCATGTTAACCTTCCATCAAGAATGAGGAGCACAATTCTTGCCAGTTTATATCCCTTCACACAATCACAGCCCTGTTGAAAGACCCATTTTATCTCAAGTTTCTCTACGGAAGAGCTTTGCTGATGACAAATTCTTTTCCAGTAGGTTAGGGAGAAATCCAAGTCCCTGAGAAATCTTGGGGCACTGAGTTGGAATTCTCCTGGAGTCGCCATCTAAGTGGCCTTAAATTAACTAGGGCTTGTGGTCAGGCATTTTTCACTTCTGAGGAAAGTGTCTGATTCAATCCAAGCTTTTTAGCGTTGATGCAGTCATTCAATTTTCCTGTCTGGGAACAAAAGGTAATTGCTGGTGACTGATATTGGTCTTAAAGACAGCCTAGGTAAATGGGAAAATTTTGGGGTACTTTTTTCCAACTCTTTTCCTGGGTTGGTGTCTAATTTTTTTAAAGGGGCACCAAGCAATCCTCAAAACAAATCTTGCTTTAGTTTCCTTTTACAATATTGGATAAAGCACCCTTAGAGCGTGCTGTTAAGAGGATGCAACTGGAAACAAAACAAGAGGCCTGATGCTGTTCCCAAACTGCTGGATTAAGTGAAAAAGCAGACGAGAGTCCCAGAAAGGCTAACAGATGTTCTTCTGGCTGAAAGAAAGATCAAGTGGATCTTCAGTGGGAGGGAGCAGCACCAGAAAGGTTCAATAAATGGCTAAACATAAAAAGTTATGCTTCCTGTAATTCCTGTAATTTTCTTAAAAGGACTAAAGCAAAATTCACAGCATTGTAAGCTGGAATCTATAACGTAAGTAGAAGTAAAGGATATAATAACAAGAACACACAAAAAAATGGGATGCATAACTAGAATTGTACTGTTGAAGGCCATGACATCTTTTGACTCTAAATGGACTTTGATACATTCTGAATGCAAATTATTTGCCCTAGACAACCAAAAATAAACAAATAAGAGTTATAGCAAAGAAGACAATCAAATAAATAAAATGGAATGCTTAAAGATTTGATTAACCCCCTCCAAAAAGGCAAGAATAGAGCAATATTCTAACAGCAGTAGTACCAACAACAACAGAAGGAATAAATGGAAAACAACCCAGTTGATAATTGTAGAACACTACACTCAACAACTGCAAAATACATTTTCATTTTCAGTGCTCAGTGGCATATTCCCCCAGATAAACTAAGTGCTGGATCGAAAAAATAAGTCTCAATATATTTTAAAAGATTAAAAGCTTTAAGAGTATGTTCTCCAGTTACACTGGAATTAAATTGGAAATCAATAACCATACAAGATAAGATATCCATAACAGTGTCCAGATATTGGGAGCTTAAGAGCAAAACAGAATGAACAAGTGAAGTAATAAATATCATAGCAAAAATCTATGAAATAGTAAACAAAGAGAAATTTCATAAAGTCGGATCTTTGAAAAGATGACTATAATAGATAAACCCAAGGTAAGACTAATGAAAGAAAAAAAGAAAAGAGAAACACATACAAACAAAAACAATATCAGGAATAACAGAGGGGATATAATTACAGCTTTAACAGACATTAAAAAGATAATAAAGACATATGATAAGCAATTATATGTCAATGATTCAATGTCTTAGAAAAAAATGGACAGATTTCCTGAAAAATCACAACATAAAAACTGACTCAATAAATAGAACTCTGCACCTAATAGAATGGCTAAAATTTAGAAGATCACAAGGAGTGTTGGGGAGGATGTAGAGGGATCAGAACTTTCCTATGCTGCTGGTAGGAATGTGAAAAGGTACAATCACATTGGGAAACAGCTCAAGAGTTTCTTAAACAGCTAAACACCCAACCACAAGAGGAGCCAGCTATTCTACTCCAAGGTATTTACCCAAGGGTGGCACAACAGGAATAGGGGTTACACAGCCAGATGAAGCCAGTCATAGAAAATAGTTATTCTTTTTCATATCCAAGTCATGGGCGCGCATTTTAAGCCCTACAAGTTATGAATATTCTTTGTGGAAAGGCAGGGATACAGGCAGTCTCAATGTGAACAAGGGTGATGGCTCAGGAGTCAGGGATCCCCGGGGGTTCAAATCACAACTGAGTGCTGTGTGACTTGGTGTCCTCCTGAGTTTCATGATCTCGGCTGCATCTTTTTTAGAAGTTTGGTGGGAGATTTAAGTGAGACGAGATGTGACTGGCATGTGGACTCTCAATCTACATTAACTAGTCATTTCATTTTTCAGTACCTCAGAGTTGTTGGACACTTTGCTAATGACTCAGGCAGGCCACGTGTATTGAACATGCGTTCATCTCCAATAGAGATACCTAAAGGGAAAGACAAAGTAACAGATAGCTTGTGGTTGATTTGTGAAGGAAGCATATGTGATAAACACAAATAATACCAGATTAAAGCACGTGACATCAGATGGGCCATATATTATCAATTGAATAATAATAAGAGCTAATTTAAATAAGAGCCTACCCTCTGCCAGCACTGTGCTAAGTAACTGACTTATATTATCCTACTTAATCCTTACAATAACGCTACGAGGTAAATATTGCTTCCCCCAATTTAAAAAAGAATCTTCAGAGAGGCTCACACAGCTGAAAAGTGAAAAAATGAAGGTGGCAACCTAATCTGGAGCCCACGTGTGTAGCCACCACATTATGCCTCCAAACCAACAATTAAATATATTTTTGAAAAGCATACTGGATAGAACATCTATGTAAAATGAACAAAAATAAAGAAATAAAATACTGTTGATTTCAGGACTGGGATCTCTAGCTAGGTCCATGCATAATTATGCTCCATTAAATTGCTTGAGGCCAGAAAGATTATACCCTTTCCTAGTCCCGGATGATGTTTCTTATCATTAAAAATAAATAAAATCCAAATAGCAATATATAGGTTAGAATGACTATATCAGTCAGTATTCTTCAAATCGCAAGAGGAGAAACTCAGATCAAAGTGGAATAAGCAACATGAGGAATTTGTTGGCTCATGTACAGGAAATCCAGAGATGGATGAATGGCCCTGAACGATGGCATGAGGATCTGACATTCCCTTCTCTTCCCTGTCCTCCATCTCCTCTTTTAGTTTTGCTCTCCTTTGTGCTGGCTTTGCCGTGAGGCCAGCCTTCTCTACTTGGTGGCCCCAGCAAATCAAGGGCCTCAAGTAACCTTCCCAGGGGAAAGAGTCTTCTGTTTCCTAGTTGCTCCAGCAAAAGTCTCCACATTCACTCTGATCTGACTAACCTGGAACATGAGTTCATCCCAGGTGGATGCACTCAACTTTAGCCAAGAGGAAGGAATGTGTGGATTGGTCCTAAATCATGGGCTTTGCCTTGTAGGGTGAGATTAGCCTATGTGAACCACTCAGCAATCAGAAGACAAGATCTTGGTTGCTGGGCAGGTAAAACCCAAGGAAGTTCATCACACAGACTCCAGCTCTGTTTCATTTTAAACACATGATTTGAGAGCAAGTAGATTCCTCAGGGACAAGAACAGAGGCTAGCCATGTGCTTCTAACCTTGCAGGTGCTCAAGGGTGTCTGTGCTGTGTTTGGCTGATCAAATGGCCTTCAAATAACTTCTAAATGTAATCTGCAGTGTTTGAGAAATTGACCAACATTTACATTCTTCTTATGCTTAGCCCATAGAACCTTGTTGCACCTGTGAACTGGTGGAAATAAAGAAGGTAATCCTAATGACGTTATTCAGTTTATTTCTTATTTTAAGAGCTTCATGTCTATTTAGACTCTTAACTTTCACACCTGTGCCACTAAACAAAATGATCTTGAAAAAATAAAACACCTCTGCAATATGAAAGCATGCCAACCAGGAGCCATTTGATAATTAGATTTAGAGATGGGAGTAGGGAATATGACCTCTTTGTCTTTAGAATAAATATTAAATATATTTATGCATCTGATCAGCATCCTGTGTGCTATTCTCTTCGTGGTTCTCTTTACACCTTGAGCTCAAGATGCTGAGAGAGGCCCCCTGCCTCTTTTCCTCCAGGCGTTAGTGAAGCTGACCATTTCCCGCAATTTAAGTCTGAGCTCAAATGTTAGTTTTATGCCTATCTGAAATTATACTATTTCTTTGTTTACATGTGTGTGATCTGTCTTCCCCAGTAGAATTTGAGCTCCAAAAAGCTAGGTGCCTGGTCTGCTTTGCCCATCACTGTATCCCTAGTGCTAGGAATGGTGCCTGGCACATAGTAGATGCTCAATAACCGTCTCTGGACTGATTCCACTTCCAAAGAATTCTAACTGGACAGAGTATAAAACAAATCAATAAATCACTGGAAATTCACATTACATTTTTTTCAATGGAAAGTCCCATTATTCTAAAGGAATCTGTGAATATTCACATAAACAAGTAAGATCCCAAATTATTCCATGCAAGCTGCAATAGGACTGAACTCTGAGAAACTTCCTCCTCAATACTGTAAACACCACTGTTTCATATGGCACAAAAATCAGAAGGAGGTTACATCGCTGTTCTCTGTTGGTGAAAAATCAAGTAATAAAATCTGGATTGTGAGGGGTGTTTGGCAATTGCTACTGCACAAAGACTGCGTAAGTACTCTGCTAACTGATTTTTTTTTTCTCAAAGATGAAAGGACACTTCCAGACTTTTCTTGGCTTGTAATTGTTTTGTTTGCCACTTTATGTTCATAAACAAAAAACCGGATATCCCTATTCACTGCTGGAGTTTACTCATCTAACCACAGAGGTACTTTCCACCAGGTGCCTTTAGGTGCCAATTTCCTATCAAGGTGTATGCTTGTTGGTTCATATTAAAGCTCTGGCAAAAATGCATCCTAAGCTCAATCATGCTGCAGAATGCTGTCCAAGTCAACACCAATAAGATGGTATGTGGAGGCAGGATTTTGACATATAGGAGCAGAGCAAACTATACTTTGGGTCCAAATTAATCAACAATAATAATCCTGTCATGGAATTTCCCCAATTTTCACTCTGATGGTATTAGCCAAGTCATATCATGCAAGAAAGGATAAAATAGGTATCTATGTGATGATGTAATTTTAAAACTGAATTATGAAACATGTATGGCACCATTGGAACATTTAAAAAAATCAATGGATTTTTTCATTAGCTGGCTTCACTTGACTCTTAAATCAGTAGTTATACTACATCTATATCTTCCCAAATATTTTACACATATTAATTCATTTAATAAATTCTCTGTTTTCATGTGGAGATAACCTGTTAAAGAGTGCACATCTGTCTCACACAGATCTCTATTTTACTAGATATTTTGAAAATAGGAAAAAAACAAAAGAAAATGTTTCTTTATATATAAGATTTGCAACTAGACACACCTTTTTACCAGGAGCTAAGTTTAACAGAAAGATAGACTCAATTGAACAAGTACAGTTACAACAAGTAAGGCACTTAATCGCTGTTATTTTTGCAATAGTATTATTTGACAAACATTTCTTGGGTATACCTAAACTGATCTGGGCATAGCTATAGGTGCTAGGAATACAGCAGAGGGTAAGACAGACAGTCTTCCTGTCCTCAGGAAGCTGGCATCTTGAAGCAAGCTAGACTTTAAGTTACAGGGCAGTAACTATATAATATTATTATAATTATAATACTATAATAATATGTGAGAGACACTGTTATGATTTCTATTTTATAGATGAGGACAAGGAAACAATGGTAATATGTAACAGGGCAGATTCAACCCAGGTCTGGCTTAAACTCTGTAAGAAAGTGAGGTTTTGTCATTATAAAATGGAAAATAACAAAACCTACCTTACAGCGCTATTGTGTGGGTGGAGACAATACAATGTCTGCCACACACATAGTAGTTCCTTAATAAGTTATAATTTGTAGTAATGGTGGAATGATTGAGTGTGCATACTGTATTTCTCATCTCCTTTGCAATAAAGCAGCTCTTTCAGTGATAAATCTGTTGAAAAGTTCCCCCCACCCCGCCCCACCCGGAACTGCATTTTAAAGCACTTAAGGTCCATTTTTCCATACCTGTGATATAACTTTAATTTACCAACATGACTGAATTCTACTCAGAAATTATCAAGCAAGTACAGAGGCCAAACAGATTTTAGTGAAGACAATCGTGTTTTGTCTAATATTTTTAGTATTTATCTTGACCTTCCTGAGACACAGGTATAGTAAACTCCAATTTTACCATTAAGGAAACTAGACTCAGAGAAGTTAAATAACTTGCCCAAGATCACACAGCTAATGAGTGGTGGAGCCATGGTTTCAGCCCAAGCTTTTGAGACCAAAACTATCGTTTTTGTCATACAGAACTATTTTCTATATGACCCACACATAAAGCCCTCCAGGATTCCCAACGATTTCCTCAGAAAACAAAGAATACATTGATACTAACCTTTCTCCTTTTCACTTGGGAATGAGGAAATAATCAATAATCAATTTCCCATTATTTGCTTATTGGGTGCTGGCCAACATAAACAGCACTGTGTCATCTGCTTTAGGAGAAACAAAAACAAAGACAAAAAAACAATGCCTATAATTTCAAGAAGGTTTGTCTAATTGGGCAAAGAACTCCAAGACACATGTAATAAAGATTATGACCTTAATTATTTGACAGCCCAGTTCCTGTAGTTCTTAATGACATTAACAGTGAGCACATGTGCTAGGGACTTTCAGTGCTTTGTCATCCTCAGAAAAACCCTATGGAGTGGGAACTACTACCATGATCACCATTTTTTTTTTTTTTTTGAGATGGAGTCTCACTCTGTCGCCCAGACTAGAGTGCAGTGGCGCTATCTCGGCTCACTGCAACCTCGACCTCCCAGGTTCAAGTGATTCTCCTGCTTCAGCCTACCAAGCAGCTGGAATTACAGGCACCCACCACCATGCCCAGCTAATTTTTGTATTTTTAGTAGAGACAGGAGTTTGCCATGTTGGCCAGGTTGGTCTCGAACTCTGACCTCAGGTGATCCGCCTGCCTTGGCCTCCCAAAGTGCTGGGATTACAGGTGTGAGCCACTGCACCCGTCCTGATCGCCACTTTTGAGAAGAGGAAACTAAGGCTGAGAGAGAGACAAGTAAATTGTCCCTGGTTTTTCTAGCTGCTCAGTGGCTGAGCTGGGATTTGAATTCACCAGCATTTCATTGCTAATCTTCCTTTGGCTTTATTCAAGTATACAGTTTCTTGAGTCAGAGACATCTAAATTGCCTCCCTTCTATGGACTTTGAAAAAACCAAGGCATGCAATACAGTAATGCTACAAGGTCATATTTGCTGGGCACTTTACTGTGGTAGGAATTTTATTTGCAGTGTTCTCACAGGAGCCCCGTGAAATTGGCTATTGTTACTACTCCTGTTTCCATGAAGCTTGAACTTTACCGTGAGGTTGGAACCAACACTGTCCATTTAACAAATGCGGCAAGTAAGTCCTCCAGGTTTCCGCAACGGAAAGTGGATCTAGTACTCACGCCCCAGTTTAGGCAAAGTTTGTTGTGTTTGTTTTTTTGAGATGGAGTCTTGCTCTGTCGCCCAGGATGGAGTGCAGTGGCATGATCTCAGCTCACTGCAACCTTCACCTCCCGGGTTCAAGCAATCCTCCTGCCTTAGCCTCCCGTGTAGCTGGGATTACAGGCATCTGCCACAACATCTGGCTAATTTTTGTATTTTTTAGTAGAGATAGGGTTTCACCATGTTGGCCAGGCTGGTCTTGAACTCCTGACCTCAAGTGATCTGCCTGCCTCACCCTTCCAAATTGCTGGAATTACAGGCGTGAGCCATCATGCCAGGCCTAAGCAGTTTTAAGCACAAAACTATATTACTATTGCATATACTTGAAAGTGTTTTGTATTTTCCAGTGCAGAGAAACCAGCCCTTGAACTCCTACAGGCTCCTCCACCCCACCCTCATTATACATGTGTACACAGGTGTGTGAACTCACACACACATGTTGTCATGGGTGGTCCCTTGGTATGAGGGCTGAAGTCTAATTATCCATTCCAGGACTTGGTAAGATTTCCCAGAGCAAAACAGAGGGCCTGAGCCTGTCTCAGTAATGATGGCAGGCATTTATGAGGCATTTCAAGATCTCTCATTAGTAATTCCTGACAAGATCCCTATCCGGATGACTCATAGAGGCTAAGTAGTGAGTGAAGGATGAGGACAGATGAGGAATAGTGAATTCCTGGAAGCGGGATCAAAAATAGTCATTTTGAATTTAATCATACTTCTCAAGGACAGGTATGTATTGGGGTCAATGAAGTTTCAAAGAACTAGTCTTGCTTTCCTCTGCAATCCGGTCTAAAAATTACTGGGGATTTTCTCCACTGAACATGAGAAACCAATATCCCTGAAACAGGAATTTTCTTTTTAGCTATCATGTAACTAATGATTGCCCATATATTTAAATATCTATTTAGAGTATATAAAGCTATATAGCATGAAACTCTTAGAAAAACCTAGCAAGTCTGAAATTATTTCCTCTTCTCCTTGTGCATATCTGCCAAAAGAGAAGGAAAAGAAAGAATAATTGGGAAAATTACTCAATAGTTGAAATAACAATAGACCATTCACTGTGTCCAAGCACCTCACCAGAATCAAGGTACTCAGTAGTGAAAAACATAGACCTTCTGTTTAGAGCTATTTTTTTTTTTTTTTTTTTGACAGAGTCTTACTCTGTCGCCCAGGCTGGAGTGCAGTGGGGCGATCTCGGCTCACTGTAACCTCCGCCTCCCGAGTTCAAGCGATTCTCCTGCCTCAGCCTCCTGAGTAGCTGGGATTACAGGCATGCACCACCACACCCGGCTAATTTTTGTATTTTTGGTAGAGATGGGCTTTCACCATGTTGGCCAGGCTGGTCTCGAACTCCCAACCTCAGGTGATCCGCCCACCTCGGCCTCCCAAAGTGCTGGGATTACAGGCGTGAGCCACTACACTCAGCCAGAGCTATTCTTTTTCACCACCGTCAGCACATAAAACGTTTGCCTCACACTGCCCCACACATACTGACATGGTAGGCATTCTGATCCCCCCCACTTTCCTCTTGGTGATAATTCTCATTTAAGAAATACTTCCAATATTCTGAGACACTCTGGTTTAAGAAAAAGTGACATAACATAGCATGATGTATATGGGTGTACTATTTAGGGCCCAGCCTAGAATCAGAAAATATTGGGTCTGAATCCCACCTGAGCCAATGGTAACGTCTGTGACATTGGGCAAATTACTTAGCTCTGTAAGAGTCAAGGGTTTTTTTGTTTGTCTTTGATTTTTTTTTGTTTTTTATTTTATTTCATTTTATTGACATTGGGCTGAGATGAGAACTAAACGGAAAAAATGATGTAAAATGTCTAGCTCAGTGCCTGACTTATCATAAGCCCTAGAAAGCTTTCATGAGAATATTATATAACATATGGAATCTACATACTGTATGCAATCTATACTATATTATGTATATTTAGTGTGTATTGCATATAACATAATCTATAGTGTATGCTGTAACATATATACCATACAATGTATATATAAATATGTACAAGATTCATAAAGTTTAGTATATATCAATAGCTATTATTTTTATTAACATAAACAGTCATTAGCCCCTCCAGACAAATCAGAAATGATGGTGTTAAAGCTTAAGTTGGACTGCAAAAGATTTTTAAGAAACAAACTAGAGGCTTACAAAAGAATTTACCAGGGAAGGATTTGCCAACACTTGGGGCAAAAATGACTGAGACACGTAATTGAAAAGCAGGGCGAGGAAACAGAATGTCCCTCCCCTCCTCCCTGGCTGGTGGTAGTTTTGTATTGGATCAGGTTGAAAGGATTCGAGCCACTTTAAAACAATCAACAAAAATCTCCAACTTCCGTTCCTGAATTAGCAAAGCGAGTTCTACTCTTGCCAGCCGCGGTAACTCTAGAAATTGTGTATGTTTGTCACTGGACCTGCCTAGGACGCACCTTGGGGGAGAGGGGGAGTACTGGGGGCGGTGGTTTCAAGCTCTGTGTGCCCCTCCTTTGCACAAGGTAGTCGGTGTAGAAGAACAGAGGCGGGCAGTGGACATAGGGGAGGTGGCCCAGCCTGAATTCAAGCATCGTTGGTGCAAGCCACGCTCTCAAGGCGCATTTCCTAACTTCCTAAAGAAGTAACAACAGCAACTAACTTTTATTGACTGTTGACTATAGACAAGGCTTCGTTGTTGCCGCTTTACGTGCATTAATTCATTTAATCTGCAAAACAACCAAACATGAAACAGCAGGAAGGAAATTCTACAAACTCCCCTTCTTGCTCAAGTTAAGAAAGTCTCCTCTTCTGGTGCATTTCAGTAAGACTCAAATCCTCCCCACCCTGGGAGGCGCAGAAAGCCAAACTTCCTCCAAAAAAAAAAAGGCAAAAAAAAAAAAAAAATCACTTCAGTCCAGGCTGGGGGTATCTGGCTCCCCGGGAGGCGCCCGGGCTCCCCGGGGCCCTGGCAGACGCCGGCAGCTTTTCTGGGCCCGCACTCGGGGACCTCGCCCGCCCGGCATCGCGATTGTGCAAGCGCCGGGCGGCAACCACGGCCGCCGCTGCCGGCTCCTGCCCGCCGGGGGAGGGCGGGGAGGCGCGTTCGAAGCACACCCGGTGAACTCCGGGCTTCGCATGACTTCCTGGGGGTTATCTCCGGGGTGGAGTCTGCCGCCCCCACCCCACCTCCCGCGCCCAGCGAACATAGCCCCGGTCACCCCAGGCCCGGACGCCCTCGCTCACCTCGCTGACTCCATCCTCCTTCCACCCCCCCTCCCCTGGGTCCCGCGTCCCTCGGAGTCTGGCCAGCCGGGGGCCACTCCGCCCTCCTCTGCGTGCTCATTGGCCACCCAGGGCATGCTCTGTCTCCATAAATGCATGGTCCCTGGGCATAGGAACATGGAGAGGGACAGGAGGAAACGCAGCGCCAGCAGCATCTCATCTACCCTCCTTGACACCTCCCCGTGGCTCCAGCCAGACCCTAGAGGTCAGCCTTGCGGACCAACAGGAGGACTCCCAGCTTTCCCTTTTCAAGAGGTCCCCAGACACCGGCCACCCTCTTCCAGCCCCTGCGGCCAGTGCAAGGAGGCACCAATGCTCTGAGGCTGTCGCGTGGTGCAGCGTCGAGCATCCTCGCCGAGGTCCTTTCTGCTGCCTGTCCCGCCTCACCCCGCTCCATCACACCAGCTGGCCCTCTTTGCTTCCTTTTCCCAGAATCGTTAAGCCCCGACTCCCACTAGCACCTCGTACCAACCTCGCCCCACCCCATCCTCCTGCCTTCCCGCGCTCCGGTGTCCCCCGCTGCCATGAGCTCCCCCATCAGCAAGAGCCGCTCGCTTGCCGCCTTCCTGCAGCAGCTGCGCAGTCCGAGGCAGCCCCCGAGACTGGTGACATCTACGGCGTACACGTCCCCTCAGCCGCGAGAGGTGCCAGTCTGCCCGCTGACAGCTGGTGGCGAGACTCAGAACGCGGCCGCCCTGCCGGGCCCCACCAGCTGGCCACTGCTGGGCAGCCTGCTGCAGATTCTCTGGAAAGGGGGTCTCAAGAAACAGCACGACACCCTGGTAAACCCCTTTTCGCGCCCCTGACTCTCTCCTCCCTCTTCCGCCCTCCCAGTGGCGCTCCAAACCCTCCCCGACATGCGCGCCTCGGGCGCATGGTGCGCTTCGGCGTCTGGGCAGGGAGGGTCCCCGGTCCCCTAGGAGGAAGGAGGCGGGAGGAGGGAAAGCGCTTCGGGCACGGCGGAGGATGCGCGCTGACACCGCGCTGTGCCCGGCCGGCTGCAGGTGGAGTACCACAAGAAGTATGGCAAGATTTTCCGCATGAAGTTGGGTTCCTTTGAGTCGGTGCACCTGGGCTCGCCATGCCTGCTGGAAGCGCTGTACCGCACCGAGAGCGCGTACCCGCAGCGGCTGGAGATCAAACCGTGGAAGGCCTATCGCGACTACCGCAAAGAAGGCTACGGGCTGCTGATCCTGTGAGTCCAATCCGAGGGACCTGGGCATGCGGCCAGACCTGATGAGCCTGACGGCGCCTGGAAATTGTGAAGAGGCGGAGTTAGAGTTCCCTGGGGTTGGAAGCTTCTTACGTAGGGCGGATACCAAAGCCCCTCTCCCGTGCCATCGCAACCCTGAGCTCTTGTACAGATTAGAGTCGGTCCACGGAAAAGCCGTGCTGTGCACCCAGCACCTGCGTTCTCTCTGGCAACAGGGCAGGGCCACACCCTCCCATCAAAGAAACGCCAAAACAGGGTTGTACCAACTGTGGTGTTCAGACTCTTGGGCAGGATGAGGTTCTGAAGTCAGCGTACCAGGCAAACATCTTATACAAACAAAATTATCCCTTAAAACTCCCTGAAACACCTTGTAAGCTCAAAAGCGAGGAGTTAGCCTCTTTGGCTTTTTACAGTGACATTTTCTGCAGAGGATTGGGGGACATGCCTTATTTCTACTTGTAAAGGTGGAATAAGGAGGGATATCAAAGTTGTGTTTTAGGTCGACAAATGCTACTATGGGATGTGATTCTTCTGCTTTTTAGTTGTTAGCATTTAACAAGTTAGCACCTTTATTTACCCCCAAACTGTAATGCCTAATCGTTATATTTTCCAGGATATAATGACTGGAATTAAAAACCCTATTAATTCACGGTGCTTCACAGGCTGTATGGTCTGCTATGGGGCAGGTGCCTACAAGTGCACGATCGCAAAAGGCTTTTTATTACTCCAGTGACTCTCTGACTGTATGTTATTATTTGGAGGCGATGGCAAAATTCTAAATCTGAGATATTTTGTAAATATGAAGCCCACACCAATGAGTTGAAAGAAGACAAGATTCTTCCCTCAAACAGATCTGAGTTGCTGGTGATGGGGTGTTCACATGCCCCCTTTTACCGCTAGGAATTGTCCCCAGGCCTCCCAGCCCCACTCCCTGCAAGGACACCTCAAAATCCCTGAACCCAAATTATCTGGACTTCAACTTTTTGGTGCAATCTTTGACTAGGAGGAAAGGTGCTTTTTCATCCTATTGTCAAACTATTGTCAAAAGATGATCACTATTTTATCCCAAATATTCTGATGCTAATATTCTCTGGCTATTTCTTGGCATGATTCTCAGTGTTTGTTTGATTTTATGGTTCCTGAAGTTGCAGCTGGAGTATTTCTGCATCTCCTTCTTTTCTTTTCAGTGTGCTCTAAATGTATTCCTGCTTCTCTCACAGGGAAGGGGAAGACTGGCAGCGGGTCCGGAGTGCCTTTCAAAAGAAACTAATGAAACCAGGGGAAGTGATGAAGCTGGACAACAAAATCAATGAGGTCTGCAGGCTGGGGCCAGCTTTCCTGGGGCTCGTGGGGACATAGGGATATTGGTGGAGCTTCAAGTCACAGCTACAAAGAACAAAGGAAAAAAGAATGCAATTCGGGTGATTCAAAGTGGGGGTCTTCTCTTTCTCTCCATTCCTTCCTACAGCCTCCTCCCCACCAAACCCTTATTTCTCCCTCCTCCACCCTCTTTTAAAGTCATATCACAATGAGGGAGCAATGGAGAGTGTGGACTTTGGTATTCTACAGCCCTGGATTTGAACCCCAGCTTTCCACTCCCTGGCTATGAGACCTGGCTATATACCACTTACCTTCCCTAAGCCTCAGTTTCCCCATCTACAAAATGGGAGTAACAGTTCCCACCCCACGGGTTTGCTGTGAGAATTAAATGAGATAACATTGTAAAGTTCTTAAGTAGTGATATTTGAGCTGGGTTTTGCAGGAGGAGTCTGAAAGCAGAGAAAGTGGGGGAAGGCATTAAGGCAGACAGAGTAGCCTTCTGAAAACAGGGAGGCATGAAATGACGTGGTGTGTTCAGAGAATCGGTCATTTAGTGTAGCTGATGTGAGGCTTTCTCTGAAATGATACTGGATAGGTCTTAACAATATTTTTGTATTATACTAAGGTATTTGGACATTATCCCTTAGCCAGCACGGAGTCAAAGGGAGTTTTAAGCATAAAGTAATCTCTTTTTACTTCTGTTCACTTTGGATGTTTATTTTGAACTGGATGCGTCCCCAGATGGGATCATATAGGTGAAGGATTGCAAACTCAGAAGCTTCCAGGGCTCACATGACTAATATAAAATAATAAGGCAGACCCAGTAAAAATTTCAGGAAACGTGATAGTGCATGCCCCTCCCAGGAGGGACAGCAGCCCCAGTTCCAGCAAACGAATGCCATGTCAGAATGCAGACCTCATGTCACCAAGTCTCATAATTATTATTTACATTTTTAAACTAGTAGTGGTAAATCCATATGTTCATATGAAACCTCTTGTTTTTTTTAATGGTAACAAATTCAAAGAACTTTTAAATGCGCTATGCGGGCAAATTAAACTTGCAAACTAAATCCACACATGTGGGCTGTATGGCCACACCAGCTCACGGCAGGGTCCAGGATGGCAACTTATCAGCTCTGTGTGCATAAGTGAGTGACTTGGCCTCTTTAAGCCTCAGCTTTCTCATCTACTACATGGGAAATGAGTAGAGACGGTACCTACTACTACTTGGTTGTCAGAGGATCAACCAATACACTTCGTACAGTGTTTGGTACCATATGGACCTCATTAAATGTGAGGCATTAGTTATTGAAAACTCTGGTTTATGAAACTGGCATCCAAAGGTCTTATGTGACTATCCCAAGGTCATAGACTACTTAGGGAAGGAGCTGTGTCCAGAATTGGTAGATCTTCTGGTTCCAAGTTCAACATGCTTAACATAACCACCAACCAATAAAGAGACGTTTGCTTGCCCAGATGTGGAAGGGCACACCTCAGGATAGCTGCTGCAACACAATCCTTGAGATGCTGGGCCAACAGGGACAGTTAGCTGATTCCTTTGTGGTTTTATTCCCCCATTCTGATTAGAAAAAAAAAATGTTTTCCTTTTCTTAAATTGCCAGAATTATTTTTAGATCAAAAGCTGAAACTTAAGCTTCAGGGTGGCTTCAGGAAAAGCTCAGGAAATAACCCAGGACGAGGTCATTAGGGGATAAGGTGGGTTCCCAGGGAGAATATATAATTAGTGTGACTTCAGGATGAATAACATTATGGCCAGTGAATATGCGATGTAGCAAGACCTGAAGTTAGCTCAGTGAGCTTTAAAGTTTTGTTTTCCTTCAACGGCTTTAAAATGTGTCTTTTGCGGTTGTTTTCTTTGAAGGTCTTGGCCGATTTTATGGGCAGAATAGATGAGCTCTGTGATGAAAGAGGCCACGTTGAAGACTTGTACAGCGAACTGAACAAATGGTCGTTTGAAAGTAAGTTGTCGTCACAGACTTGCTCACTGATTTTGCAGGTGATTTTGCGGATAAAACATGGCTCTTTTGACAACTCTTTTGTAAACAGGCATTATTGCTGCCTAGGGAAAGGCCAGAGCAGCCCTTTTAATGCTTCTTTTAGGTGCTTAAGTTATGCCTTGAACTATGGATTGTTAATGAGTCATACAACAAACATTTGTTGAATACTTGCTGTGTGTCTGGCACTGTGCTAGGTACTAGGGATATGACAATGAATGAAACGCATAACCCCTGTACCCTTGGGGAGCTTATATGCTAGACAAGGTGACAGTCAACAAGTAAACACATTTTAAAATATACTCTTCCAAGGAGTAAAGGAAAAGAGAAAGGGAGTTAAGAAAGAACATGAAAGGCAGGCATGGTGGCACATGCCTATAATCCCAGGACTTTGGGAGGCTGAGGTGGGCAGATCGCTTGAGGCCAGCCCAGGAATCTGAGAACAGCTTGGGCAACACAGCAAAACCTTGTCTCTACAAAAAATACAAAAATTAGTCAGGGTTGGTGGCACATGCCTGTAGTCCCATCTACTTGGGAGGCTGAGGTGGGAGGATTGCTTGACCCCGGGACGCTGAAGCTAAAGTGAGCCGTGATTGTACCACTGCATTGCAGTCTGGGTGACAGTGTGAGACCCCGTCTCAAGAAAGAGAGAGAGACAGAGAAAGGAAGGAAGGAAGGAAGGAAGGAAGGAAGGAAGGAAGGAAGGAAGAAGGGAGGGAGGGAGGGAAGGAAGGAAGGAGGGAGGGAGGGAGGGAGGGAAGGCAGAAGGGAGGGAGGGAAGGAAGGAAGGAGGGAGAGAAGGAAGGAAGGAAGGAGGGAAGGAAAAGAAAAAGAGAAAGGAAAGAAAAAAGAAAAGAAATAAAGAAGAAAAGAGAGAGAGAGAAAGAAATAACATGAAAGAATGAAAGAGGGGCAAGTCTTTTTTAGTAAGAAGACATTTGAGGTAAGTCCTAAAGGAAGGGAAGGAGCAAATCATGAGGGTACCTGTGGAGGATTGTTCCAGGCAGCAGAGAAGAAAGTGCAAATGCCAGGAGGTGGAAGCATGAGCGCCGAGTTTGAGGAACTTCAAGCTGCTGGTGTGAGTGGATCACGATGAACAAGCTGGGAGGAAGGGGAGCCTGTGAAAGGAGATGAGGTCAAAAAGAAGGCAGGTGTCCAACAGGGCACAGCTCATAGGTCCTGGCAAGACTTTACCTCTCATCTGACTCAGATGGGGCAAGTAAGGGAGGGAGGACATGACCGCTTTCTTCAAAGATTACTCTGGAAATAAAGGGCAGAGCTCACTGCCCATGGGGGTGCAAGAGGAGAGCAGGCAGCTGTGATCAGGTGGGACAGCGCCTGGCTGAGGACATTCAGGGCTGTGGGAGAATCTGAGAGGGCCACCTAAGCCGGACATGGCCAGGGGTCGCTTCACAGAGATGGTGCCCCTCAGCTAAGTCCTGATGGTTGAGTAGGAGTTCACCAGGTGAAAAGGGAGGAAGGAGAGTGTCCCTGCAGAAGAAGTGCGGAATGACAAGCATATCCTGTAACAGAGGCTGGCAGAGGGCCAGCAGCCAGCTCATGGAGGGCTGTATGAGCGGGAGTTTGAATTTTAGCCTGTAAGTAACCGGGAGCTGCGGGAATGTATTCAGCAGCAGTGTGATATATGGGCAGATTTACTGGGAGGATCACTGTGGCTGCTGATGGGAGGGATAGAAGGAAAACCTATAACACTTCCATAAATTCAAGGTCAGAAATATTGCCATAAATAGATAAATATAAGTAACTTTTTTTAATTACTTATTTGAGACAGACTCTCACTCTGCCCCAGGCTGGAGTGCAGCGGCGTGATCTCGGCTCACTGCAACCTCCACCTCCTGGGTTCAAGCGATTCTCCTGCCTCAGCATCCTGAGCAGCTGGGACTACAGGTGCACACCACCATGCCTGGCTGATTTTTGTGTTTTTTAGTACAGATGGGGTTTCACCATGTTGCCCAGGCTGGTCTCGAACTGCTGACCTCAGGTGATCCACTTACCTCAGCCTCCCAAAGTGCTGGTATTGCAGGCGTGCGATACCACGCCTGACTAACTTTTGTGTTTTTTAAGTAGAGATGGGGTTTTGCCACCGGTTGGTCTCAAACTCCTGACCTCAGATGATGCTCCCACCTCCACCTCTGAGAGTGCTGGGATTACAAGCATGAGCCATTGTGCCCAGCAGAGTAACTAATTATTTTTAAAGTTCATGTACCATCCAGAGCTATCTCACATATTCCCAGTGGTGTACCTGCCAACCACTGTGGAACACAAATACGGGGAAACCTTGAAAGGCTGGGAAGAAATAAGTAGAGTTTGGAAAACATGGAGGTAGTTGGAAAAGCTGTGGGTGGGTGCTGACTAAGCTAATTGACTCTCACTCCTCAGGTTTATGATTTTAGGCCATTTGTTTACCTTTTTAATGCTAGTCTCCTACTTTATAAGTCAAGAGCCAATTATCCACCACTAAAAAGTTGGTTGCAGTAATCCTGTATAATTTTTTTTTTCCAGACTGTGTCACTCAGGCTAGGGTGCAGTGGCCAGTGGTATGATCTCGGCCCACTGCAACCTCGGCCTCCTGGGCCCAAGAGATCTTCCCACCTCAGCCTCCAGAGTAGCTGGAACTACAGGCACATGTAGCCATGCCTGAATAATTTTTTTATTTTTATTTTTTTGTAGAGACAGCGTTTTGCCATGTTGCCCAGGCTATTCTCGAACTCCTGGGCTCAAGCAGTCTGCCTGCCCGAGCCTCCTGAAGTGTTGGGATTACAGGTGTGAACCACCACGCTCGGCCCTGTGTCCTTTTTTTAAAAAAAAAAGGTTACAAGAGATAATTTTTAGGACAATGGGGAACATTTTAAAATGGGACACAGTAGATTTTTTATGGAATGGTCGCTAAGGTTCTTAGGGATGTTAATGACATTGTGGTTATGTTGGAGAATGCTTTATTCTTAGGACATTACTGCTAAAGTATTTAACGGTGAAGTGACCTGAGAGCTCAAAATTATTTTCAGATGCTTCAGCACACACAACCACGTATACACTTGTATGCATACATACACACAAAGAGAAAGAAATGGCAGCAAGATGTTGATGAGTTCGGGGGATTCAGGTATTCATTTTACCATTCCTTCAACTTTTCTCTAGGTAAAAAGTTTTGAAATGAAGAGTTGAGAATTTTATTTGTAAAAAGGTTCCTTCTAAATAAAATGATGAAATGGAAGGAAAAAAAACCCTATATGAAGTGCTAGCCCAGTACCTGGCGTGTAATGGGTGTTTAGAACATAATTATTCCCTTCCCTTCTCTTCCTCTGGTGAATGGCTTCCAATTCATTATGTCAGGAGATAGAATCCAATAAGTGACTCTAAAAACACAGCTGGGTTAGAGGCAGAGTGCAGACCCGACCCTGCAGCACCTTTGCTAGGGCCCCTGGATCTCCTGTGTGACTTGATCAGGACAGTGGATCTCTGATCATGACACTCTGAGGTGATGAGTCATTGGACCTGGAGATAATTTCTAGAAAAAGAAAGTGATGGTGTCCCCTTTCTCTCAGACTCTGCTTTTCCTCAATATTCTTGGACTGTTGCCTTTTCTCAGAAAATCCCACACTTTTAAGAGGCATAGAATTGAGTCTTTAATAACCAGCTAAACATAGACTCCAACTCCAGCATTGCTGTTTGTGTAAAGTGATGATTATTTTAAATGACAGGTATCTGCCTCGTGTTGTATGAGAAGAGATTTGGGCTTCTCCAGAAGAATGCAGGGGATGAAGCTGTGAACTTCATCATGGCCATCAAAACAGTAAGCAGCCTCTTTAAGAAAGCAGTTTTCTTGATTGATGTTTTACAGATCGATTTTTACAGAACTTCACAGTGATTCCCAAAAAATGGCATACACACATATTTTATTTCAATAGTTAAGTGTTCATTTTAATGTGCATTATATATTTTAGTATATTTATGTGCATATATGCGGCTGTCTCCAACCTTTTTGGCACCAGGGACCAGTTTCGTGGAAGACAATTTTTCCATGGACAGGGCAGGGTGGTGGGGCAGGGGAGGGAGGATCATTTAAGTGCATTACGTTTACTGTGCACTTTATTTCTGTTATTATTATATACTCACCATAATGTAGAATCAGTGGGAGCCCTGAGCTTGTTTTCGTGCAACACGAAAGTCCCATCTGGGGGTGATGGGAGACAGTGACAGATCATCAGGCATTAGATTCTCATAAGGAGTGTGGAACATAGATTCCTCGCATAGGCAATTCACAATAGGGTTCACACTCCTGTAAGAATCTAATGCAGCCATTGATCTGAGAGGAGGCAGAGCTCAGGTGGTAACACCTGCTGGCCCGCTGATCACCTCCTGCTGCGCGGCCCCGTTCCTAACAGGCCACTGACCAGTACTGGTTCACGGCCTGGGGGTTGGGGACCCCTGGATATATGCACGTAACATAAAGAAGCACATTAAATCCATTATTTCTTTGTTTAGGCAAGGTTAAAATAGCTATTTTAATTAAAGATCAGTTGATTAAAAATACTTTTTAAAAAGAGCCCAAAATTTTTCAGATTTTATCTTTTTGAATAGTTTGGGTGGCGTGTAGATAGGATAAACGCTGTGAAATTGGTTTGGAAATCACTGAAGTTTGGAAATTATTAGAAATTGAAGTGAATATGAAAGTTATCGTTTTTCCTCTTTTTTTTTTTTTTTTTACAATTAGGTCATAAGATTACAATTTTTATCAAACACATCCAGTGGAAAATCATCCCCCACATTACCTTCAATATTGAAAGGAGGTGGAGGTGGGGTACGGGCATTGCTCCCAGGACCGGTGCAGAGAGAGCCGGGGGTGTCCTTGTAATTCCAGCCTTTTAAAAAGTGCAGGGTGCTGCGGTTTAGAATGTTCCTCTTCCAGAACGAACATTGTCTTTGAGAGAAGGAGAATTCAGAATAAAAAGGCATTTGCATTTCTCTCAGATGATGAGCACGTTTGGGAGGATGATGGTCACTCCAGTCGAGCTGCACAAGAGCCTCAACACCAAGGTCTGGCAGGACCACACTCTGGCCTGGGACACCATTTTCAAATCAGGTAAAGGGCCGCCCTTCACAACCAGCCAGAACCAGCCCAGCACCCCCGTGTCTGGAGCTTCAGAGAGGAGGTCTGGAGTGATCTCCTGAGCCTCATCACCACATTTAGGTTTTGCAAACACAGGTGTTTTGGGGATTGCCCCAGCATACACAAATTCTAAGTAACAAGCTTTCTGTAGTCTTCTTTGGGAATTAAGAGTGGTTAAAAGTAAAATCTGGCCAGGTGCAGTGGCTCACCCCTGTAATCCCAGCACTTTGGGTGGCCCAGGCGAGCAGATCACTTGAGGCCAGGAGTTTGAGATCAGCCCGGTCAACACGGTGAAACCCAGTCTCTACTACAAATACAAAAATTAGCTGGGCGTGGTGGTGGGCACCTGTAATCCCAGCTACTCAGGAGGCTGAGGCAGGAGAATTGCTTGAACCTGGGAGGCGGAGGTTGCAGTGAGCCAAGACTGAGCCACTGCACTCCATCTTGGGAGGCAGAGTGAGACTCCATCTCAAAATAAAAAAGTAAAATTTATAGAGTCAGGGACTCCTGAGTTCAAGTTCAGCTCTGTCACTGGTTGTGGTGGCTTGGCCAAATGTGCAATCACCTTTTCATCCTCAGTTGCCTTGTCTCTAAAATGGACTAATAATTAATAATAATAATAAGAGAACCTACCTCAATGTAACTGTTTCTGGGTCTACTACAGATTACAGTTAACATAAAAACCTGGCATATCACAGTATCTCCGTGGACTAGATCTATTTCTGCCACATGACGAAGGGGAATATTTGATGCTAGGCATTGTTCACTTACACATTTAGTTAATCCTCACAACACACCTATAAGGTAGGTCCTTTTATTAGCCCTGAGAGGGGTACCTGAGACACATAGAAGTTAGCCAACGTTCCCAAGATTGCATGCTAGGTGATGGCAAAGCCAAGGTTTGAAGCCAGACAAGGAGCTTCCAGGACTCGAACTCTAACTGCTGTGCCATATGTGATCAGCATGATTATTACCATATAATGAGCCTGGTGGTTGTTTGCTTAATAGTGAGGGAGGTACACGCCTAGATTTTATGTTATAAATATTAGAAATTTTTACCATTATTGTCAACATGGATGGACACTCTACTTGTGCGTATGTATGTGGGGTATGTGTGCTTAGTAATATCTGGGTCCAAGTTGGATTCTGAAAGTGAACCCAAATCCTACCTTCTTTTACACTTTTTTCTCCCAAGATCTAAACTCTTACTACTCAAAACTATGACCTGCAGCCCAGTGGCATCAGCATCACCTAGAAGCTTATTAGGAATGCAGAGTTCCAGGCCTACCCAAGCCCTGATTCAGATTCTGCATTTTGAGAAGATGCCTAGGTGACTCCTATCCACATTAAAGTTTGAGAAGCCTTGCTCATGTCGGTATTGAAAAATCCTTGCCGACTTGACAAGAAGGCAATAATATAATTAGTGTGTGTAGCAAATTGTCAGTGTTCCTGAAAAGACTATTTAGATATTGCAAGAAGGAGTTTGGACTGAGGTTTTCTTCTGTGATTTTCCTCATCCCAATTTTCAGCTGACTTCCTCTCTTTCTTCTCTGCTCTAATAGTCAAAGCTTGTATCGACAACCGGTTAGAGAAGTATTCTCAGCAGCCTAGTGCAGATTTCCTTTGTGACATTTATCACCAGAATCGGCTTTCAAAGAAAGAATTGTATGCTGCTGTCACAGAGCTCCAGCTGGCTGCGGTGGAAACGGTAAGGGTGGGCTGGATTTGAGTTTGCTAAATGAACGGTCTGTACCATTTTTAGATGACAGATTTTAAATAGTAATTCATCTCATTCATTTCACTGGGATTCACTAGCATCAACTCCACAAAAATGAAAAGTCTCATACTAGATGCCACGGTGCCTCCGCGCACAGCATCTATGCCACGGTGCCTCAGCGCACGGCCTCATACCAGACGCCACGGTGCCTCCATGCACGGGCTTCTGTGCTTAAACTCTGGGTAGGAGGAGACTTCATGTGCCCCAGTGACAAAAAGCCAGAGTAGGATGTGATGAGTGCCATGATGTCCATGCAAACTGCTACGGGAGTTCAGGAGCAGTAAAGTTCTCTGCCCTGGCAAGATACAGAATCCAGATTTTTCAAAATTGGAAGTATTTTGTTCAGTTGCACATGTTACCCCAAAGTGCCTAACTGTGGCTGTTACTTACTGTAAAAAAAAAAAAAAAAAAAAAAAAAAAAAAAAAAGGCATACTCTCTTTCAAGCCAATAATATTTTTATCTGCTTAGAATTGTAAACAAAGTCCCAAAGAGTCTGGGACAAGTGGATTTTAACTGAAGCAAAACAGCTCATTGTAAAGACCAAAATTCTGTCTCTGATGTGGCCGATACTCCCTAGGAGATAGCAGATACTAAGTGAGACCAACCCCAAACAAATCCTGCCATAGGCATTCAGGTAGGTTTAATTGACTTGGATACTAGTTCGAGCTGTGATGGGAGTGGCGCACGCTAACCTCCTCCTAAGTCCAACATTTCATGCACCTTAAAGTCTCTAAGCAAAATGTAAAGCAGTTGTTTATTTTCCATGTGCTTCCCCTTCTGTGCTGTTTCTTGCCTGAAGTAAAGGTAGGGTTTTCTCTATCAGGAGATAGCGAGGTTCTCATTTCTCCTCCTGCTCCACAAGGCGGTTGAAAGTGGGAATCCATCCTCGCTCACTTTCCTGTTGAACTGCTTACCCTGGGTGGCTCCTTCCAGTGATCAAAGTACAGTGTCACCCATTATTCTTTTATTTTTTCAACTGGAACGTGACCTCTCTGAGGGCAATGGCTTAGAGTTGTCCACTGCTGTGTTTCCAGGACATAGAACAGTACTTGGCATCTAGTAGCGGCTGATAGATACTTGTTGAATAAATGAAGGAATTCAGGAACTATTGAGTGCCTACTGTATGCCTGGGACTGTTCCAGGTTCTTGAGAGACCACCATGAACCAGAGACAAGGGTTCCCACTCTCATGGAACTTGTATGCAAGTGGGGAAGACAGACAGTAGCCATGTAAACAAACAAATGTGGTCACTTTAGATAGTGGTGTGGATTGTGGAGGACGCCATCAGGATGGTGTAATATAGAGAGATGGAGATGATTAAAGGGAAGCCCTCTCTGAGAAAGCAGTACTGGAGCTGACTCTGGAATAATGAGAAGAGCCAGCCACAGAAAGACCTCGTGGAAGAGCGCTGCAGGTAGAGGAAACGGCCCATGCAAAGGCCCTGGGGCAGAAAGAGGGATGGAGCTACAGAACTAGTAAATGTGGTCAGAGCTGAGACTGGAGAATTGGATGGGCCATGTTAGCCAGAGCCTTGTGAGCCCAGCCTGGGTAAGGCATTAGATTTGATTGCACCTGTGATGGGAAGCTCTTGCAGCATTTTAAGCAAGGGAATCACCTGATCATTTATGTTTTTAAAAGTGGGCTCTGGCTGGTGGATGGAGAATAGACTTAGCCAAGAGAGTGGGTACAGCAGGCCAGTCAATGAGCTTGGTCTGTTCCATGGAGGTCAATCAAGGATAGTTTGTGCCCCTGAGGTTTTCCAGGCCACTTCCCCTCAAATCAGCTGCTGCAGCTTAGCCCCTGCAGTTTTCCCTACAGGCTCAGACTGCCTTACGTGGCTTTGGTAAAAGCTACAGTCATCTGCCCTTTGGAAACTCTATTTGGTACTTGCGGTGAGGGACTCACTGATATGGTTAAATCTGTTTCTTTTTTGGTCCTGGCTATTCTGAAAGTCACATTTGGAAAATCAGAACCATTTGAAAGTGTATCTAATTTGATGGCTACACCCTCTTCCTGTTTTGTAAATTAGACTCTTATAATAATGGCATCTACAGTTTATTTGCAGCCGAGGCTGCCAGTCCTCTGACATGAAGAAGACTGCCTTGGAGGCATCTTCTTCCAAAAATAATAAAATAACCATCATCTCTGAATGGTCTTGCACTTGGTGCTCATTTGTGTGAGTGGCACATGGCACTTAGCAACAGCGTCTTCATGTCTGCGGAGGTGGACACAATGATCATTTTCAGGAAATATTTGGCTTAAATTAGCAAAGTACGGCCTAAAAAATAAATACATATGACTACTAGTGGTGAATATTATGTAGCTTAAAGCTACATTGGCTGTTTCCACCAATATTTTTTCTCTAGTCATTGCCTGTGCAGAGGAAATAAAAGATGCCACTTAAAAGGGTGTGGGCCTTTGTCAGAAACTGTAGCTGGAGTACTCAGCTCAATGTTTGAATTTCTTATTTTTGGTGTTGGCACCCTCGTATGAGGGCTGTTTACATGTGGTTGTAACCCTCAGTGTAGGTAGTGCCTGTTTATTTTTGTGGTGACTTTTTAGGGTGTGGCCAAAGGAACTTTTAAATTTCAGAAATGCCATTTATTGTCCATTTCCACTATAACATTCTCTTAAAGCCTCTCATTAGCAACACCCTGAGGATCACCATCCCTCTCTGTTTACTCCATTTTTATATGAATGTTTTTTATATCAAGCAACTTTTAATTAAATGTTTATTTTGAGATCATTGTAGATTCACATTCAGTTCTAAGAAAAAATAGAAAGGGATCCCTTGCATCCGTTACCCAGTTTTCCACTAATAGTAATGTCCTGTCTAACGAGAAAACGTTGTCACAATCTGAAAATTGGCATTGATTTAACCCACTAATATTCTCATTTCACCAATTTTACATGTACTCATTTGTGTTCGAACAATTATTGCGTCAAACTGTATTTTAGGTCAGGCACAGTTGGCTCATGCCTGTAATCCCAGCACTTTTGGAGGCAGGCAGATCACCTGAGGTCAAGAGTCTAAGACCAGCCTAGCCAACATGGTGAAACCCCATCTCTACTAAAAATACAAAAATTAGCCAGGCATGGTGGTGGATGCCTGTAGTCCCAGCTACTCAGGAGGCTGAGGCAGGAGAATCGCTTGAACCCAGGAGGTGGAGGTTGCAGTGAGCCGAGATAGTGCCACTGCACTCCAGTCTGGGTGACAGAGTGAGACTCCATCTCAAAAAAAAAAAAAAACTGTATTTAAATGTTCTAAAGCAGCTGATTAAAGGATTATACTTTGATTCCCTCAGTAAATAATTTAAAATATATCCTTAATTGATATGTTTTATGAAATAAGTCTGCTTTTTTATATATTGGATTTGTCTAAAGGCGTAGCTATAAGGACGCGTGAAAGAGCTTCACTGATACATTTGCAGAATAAGGTGGTGGGCATCACCTTTTTTTCAGCTAATAGTGGTTTAATGCAGTTATTTACAAAAACTCAAGTTTATGTCCATTTGGCTTGCAGACAGCAAACAGTCTAATGTGGATTCTCTACAATTTATCCCGTAATCCCCAAGTGCAACAAAAGCTTCTTAAGGAAATTCAAAGTGTATTACCTGAGAATCAGGTGCCACGGGCAGAAGATTTGAGGAATATGCCGTATTTAAAAGCCTGTCTGAAAGAATCTATGAGGTAAGAGCCTATCTCTGAGCCAATATAAATGTGTTAGAACACTGTTCTCGTAAACACAAAACAAGTGGTCCCCTACTCATGGGCGGCTTCCCCTAGCTAATTAGAAACAATTATCACACTGCAAAAAAATCTTTGGAGCCATATTTCTTTTCTGGCACTCATTTCCTAAATCATTTGGGCAAATTCTATTAAATCTTGGAAAGCCAGTGCCCTCCCCTTTAATTCAATAATCTTGCT
The DNA here is from genome assembly GCF_000001405.40 of Homo sapiens. Taxonomy (NCBI): domain Eukaryota; kingdom Metazoa; phylum Chordata; class Mammalia; order Primates; family Hominidae; genus Homo; species Homo sapiens. The sequence goes on along the minus strand of NC_000020.11, from coordinate 54,158,719 downwards.
ACTCTAATGAACGCTGTAAGCACTAATTAAGATAGGGGCATGATTGAAGGTTATGAGATGGAGGCTCACAAAAGAGCTATATTATTATATAATAGGACACAGAGAAAGCTTTGCTTTTGAGCCTCTGGTATAAAACATTTTTTGGAAATTCTTTTTACATCCTTTTGGGAAAACAAAACTCACAACATTTTAGGATTAGAAGGATACTGTCAACTTTGTGAAGAGTAGATTGGAGAAACATAGAACAAACATCACGCTTCAAGGGCTAGCACGGAAACATACACATTTTAGTCTGGAATGAAGGGGGAAAACCAACGTTAACAGTTTACTAAACAGCCTTGCACTGGGGTTTTAACTAACTCAAGAAGATGAGAGGAACAAGAGATACAATTATTGAGAAGAAAAAAACAACTTCTTTAGGAAGATCTGTGATCATGCTGCCTCTTTGAGTATGCACTTGGGCAGCATTTATTTAATCCAATCTGCATTCCCATTGACACTTCAGAGAGAACTTAGACTGTGCTCACCTTTACATCTTTGATTTTATCTTTTCAGGCTTACGCCGAGTGTACCATTTACAACTCGGACTCTTGACAAGGCAACAGTTCTGGGTGAATATGCTTTACCCAAAGGAGTAAGTAGAATTTGTATATTCTATACCTTACAAAACCTTGGAAGATACACTTTGCAAATATTCACCAGATCTCCCTAGACTTTGTACTGGAAAATATTCATTTTGGGAATGCAGAGATGGTAGAGAATAGTTGACATGTTGCATAGTATAGAATTAGAATTCACGGCTATGGAGACAGAGACCTGCATTCAGTTTCATCTTTTATCTGTGTTGTCTTGAGTGAGTTACATAATCTCTGTGAGCCTCAACTTCGTCTGTAAAAGGGGTTTAATAACAGAATCTGCTGCGCAGGGTGGTTGTGAGTATGGTGCACAATTCTAAAGCCCTTTACCTATTTATTACCTGGCACATTTTAAGCACTCAGCGCATGTTGGCAACCATCATTATTATAAATTTGTGGATTTGGCTTTTGATTTGTAAGGTGACAACTTGTGTCAATTTTGCCATTCAAAGGTCTCTTCTGGTTATTTTAAATACTATGTGTCTCTGCATGTGTTTAGACAGTGCTCATGCTAAATACCCAGGTGTTGGGATCCAGTGAAGACAATTTTGAAGATTCAAGTCAGTTTAGACCTGAACGTTGGCTTCAGGAGAAGGAAAAAATTAATCCTTTTGCGCATCTTCCATTTGGCGTTGGAAAAAGAATGTGCATTGGTCGCCGATTAGCAGAGCTTCAACTGCATTTGGCTCTTTGTTGGGTAAAACCTTTACCGGTTTCTGCAATTATGTTCTGTGCTGTTTCACAAGGCAGAAGAAGAGAGGGGTAATTCTGTTTTTGTGTGCGTGTGCATTACAGATTGTCCGCAAATACGACATCCAGGCCACAGACAATGAGCCTGTTGAGATGCTACACTCAGGCACCCTGGTGCCCAGCCGGGAACTCCCCATCGCGTTTTGCCAGCGATAATACGCCTCAGGTGAGCATCTAGGCGGTTCATTATCCTCTGCAAGGTAGTGAGAATGACGAGGGATGAGCTATGCTGGGAAGTCAGCCAGACTGGGGTTTGAATCCCAGCTCACCTCTAACTTGCTGGGTGACCTTGAGCAGTTCCCTAAACTCTCTACTTCCTTTTTTTTTTTCATTTGTAAAATGATGACCCAAAGAGAGTGTATCACAAAAATTTAATATGAATACCAAGTAGTTATTCCTGAGCCTGGCATCAATTAAGTGTTCAGTAAATGCTAGCAGCTGTTCATGGTTTTTGCATGTGAATAGTAAGGGTTGGCAAACTTTTTCCGTAAAGGGCCAGTTGGCAAATATTTTAGGTTTTATGGACCATACAGTCTTTGTCACATCCTCTTAATACTACCTTGGAACATGAAAGCAGCCACAGGCAATTTGTAAACTAATGAGTGAGCTGATGTCCTAGCTTTCTATTGCTGCCACCGCAAATTACTAAAACTTAGTGAGTTACACGACACACATCTATTATCTTACAGTTCTATAGGTCAGAAGTCTGATGAGGCTCTTCCAGGCTAAAATTATCGTGTTGTCGGGGCTCTTTCTGGAGGTTCTAGAGGAGGATCTATTCTCTTGCTAGTTTGGTTGTTGGCAGAATTTAGTTCTTCATGGTTACAGGACTGAAGTCTTTATTTTTTTGCTGCTGTCAGCTGAAGGCGATCCTCAACTTTGAGAGATTTCCCATATTCCTTGGCTCATGAAACCTTCCCCAACTGAAAGCCAGTAACAATGGTTGGTTGAGTCCCTCTCACACTTTGAATCTCTCTTTCTTCTTACATTGCTTCTGTCTGACAAGATATTATCCAGGATCATGTCTCCCATCTCCAAGTTCATAAATTTAATTTCATCTGGAAAGCCCTTTTTTTCATATAAGGTAGTATATTCACGTGTTCCAGGGATTAGGGCATTCACATTTTAGGAGATCTGTTATTCTGCCTACAAAGGCTGTGTTCTGATAAATTTTATAAAAAACAAGCGGTGGACTGTATTTAGCCCTAGGGTCTAGGTTTGTGTTATGCAACCACATGTAATATAAATGTATATATTTATCAGCCTGTATTGAACACAATAGAATATTTTTTCTGCAGTATGCCATTCAATACTTTTTCTGACAATAGAGGAGTTCTCATGTTCCCTCCACAACTTTTGCCATGTCCATATACCAACCAGGTGCTATTTATTTCAATACTACTGAGTTATTTCCTTTAAATAACATAAGCCAAATAGCATATGTTGGCCTCGTCCTGAGTAATAATTTCCTTAATGAAATTAAGAGTTAGTAAGTCTAGTTATGTTCTCCTAATAGACATTACAATGAATTCAAAACTATTGAAGTGATCAAAAGTTAGCCTAAGAAGGCCCTAATTTTTTTTTTTTTTTTTTTTTTTGAGACAGTGTCTCACACTGTCACCTGGGCTGGAGTGCAATGGTGCAATCTCAGCTCACTGCAACCTCCGCCTCCTGGGTTCATGCGATTCTTCTGCCTCAGCCTCCCGAGTAGCTGGGATTACAGGCAGGTGCACACCACCACACCCAGCTAATTTTTTGTATTTTTAGTAGAGATGGGGTTTCATTATGTTGGCCAGACTGGTCTTGAACTCCTGACCTCGTGATCCACCCGCCTCGGCCTCCCAAAGTGCTGGGATTGCAAGTGTGAGCCACCACCCCTGGTGGTGGAAATAAGACATTTGTAACATATGGCTTTATAGGCTGACATGTCGGTGTTTAAACCCGGATTCTATCATTGTGTTCTTTTAGCAGCACCTTCTAGGATTTTCCTAGAAAAAAATGCTGTTTGCCAATGGCAAGTTAAGGAGCATTTGCTTATTGGTAGATTATTTAGAGAAACATGCAATTACAGATGAAATTTCTGAACAAGGCCCAAATGAATACATTATTATTCCTCCACCAAGTGTCTGATGCTATTATGAAATTTGTCAAATTCTGAGCATCCCAACCAACAGAACTGAATCAAGTAGGGTAAGGAAAGTATTCTAGCTGCATTGTGACACCCCAGCCTTCAGCAAAGAGCATGCATGTTTATCACAGTAAGCCACACCTTTTAAGTTTTAGCATTTTTTCTTTGGCTAATAATTTGTCTTGTTTAAATACACTTCTTTGATATACAATTAGGGTATACCTTTTTTTTTTTTTTTTTTTTTTTTTTTTTTTTTTTTTTTTTTTTACCAAGACCAAAACAGCCATTTCAACTTTTCTGCAAGAATGGTGCTTATGGCTTCTACGTTACCGGAAAGCAAACTTCAAACACCACACCATACAACAGCTTATAAAGAATATTTAGGCCCAGGTGTTGATACTTTTTCTTCTGCAAAATTGTTCCAGAAGCTGTACTGTCTTTCTAGATGGTGGTATTTGCTAACATCATATCCAACTCAGGGAAGCGGACTGAGTGCTGGGATCCAAGGCATTCTACAGGGTTCACTGCTGGTTTACACTTCACCTGTGTCAGCACCATCTTCAGGTGCTTAGAATGGCCTGGGAGCCTGTTCTGTCTTGCATCTTCCATGACATGAAAGGGAGGCTGGCACTTGTCAGTCAGGTAGAGGTTACAAACCGTTTCAGGCCCTGCCTACCACATTCACTGTTTGAATCTTTAATTCCCAAGAATAAGTTTACATTTCACAATGAATGACCTACAACAGCTAAATTTTCTGGGGCTGGGAGTAATACTGACAATCCATTTACTGTAGCTCTGCTTAATGTACTACTTAGGAAAATGTCCCTGCTTAATAATGTAAGCCAAGCTAAATGATGGTTAAAGTTATCAGGCCTCCCATGAAATTGCGTTCTTCCTGCATTGAAATAAAAACATTATTGGGAAACTAGAGAACACCTCTATTTTTAAAAGGACTTTAACGAAGTCAAACAACTTATAAGACTAGTGATTCACTGGGGCATTATTTTGTTAGAGGACCTTAAAATTGTTTATTTTTTAAATGTGATTCCTTTATGGCATTAGGGTAAAGATGAAGCAATAATTTTTAAATTGTGTATGTGCATATGAAGCACAGACATGCATGTGTGTGTGTGTCTGTGTGTGTGTGTCCGTGTATGTGTGTGTGGGTTCTAATGGTAATTTGCCTCAGTCATTTTTTTAATATTTGCAGTACTTGATTTAGGATCTGTGGTGCAGGGCAATGTTTCAAAGTTTAGTCACAGCTTAAAAACATTCAGTGTGACTTTAATATTATAAAATGATTTCCCATGCCATAATTTTTCTGTCTATTAAATGGGACAAGTGTAAAGCATGCAAAAGTTAGAGATCTGTTATATAACATTTGTTTTGTGATTTGAACTCCTAGGAAAAATATGATTTCATAAATGTAAAATGCACAGAAATGCATGCAATACTTATAAGACTTAAAAATTGTGTTTACAGATGGTTTATTTGTGCATATTTTTACTACTGCTTTTCCTAAATGCATACTGTATATAATTCTGTGTATTTGATAAATATTTCTTCCTACATTATATTTTTAGAATATTTCAGAAATATACATTTATGTCTTTATATTGTAATAAATATGTACATATCTAGGTATATGCTTTCTCTCTGCTGTGAAATTATTTTTAGAATTATAAATTCACGTCTTGTCAGATTTCATCTGTATACCTTCAAATTCTCTGAAAGTAAAAATAAAAGTTTTTAAATATTTGAGAGACTTCCCCTCTTTATTGCCTTTGTTACAACAAAATAAAAACAAATTCAAACTTTATTTTACTGGTAGAAAATTTTCTCATATGGCCTACAAGCCCTATATCACAAAATTTACCCTTAGATAAATCTAGACTTTAATAGCAGTTTTACTGAAAGTTTATTCTTGTAATTGCAAAATAACTTTCCATTTTGTTGCTGCTTAAATATTTCCCAAGTCCAGTTACTTCTATCTCTACCCCCTTTCCAATCACACAATCAGTCACACACTGGTTGTGTGATTGAAAGGGGGGTAGAACGGCCTGGGAGCCTGTTCTCTCTTGTATCTTTCATGACATGAAAGGGAGGCTGGCACTTGGCAGTCAGGTAGAGGTTACGAACCATTTCAGCCCCTGCCTACCACATTCACTGTTTGAATACTTAATTCCCAAGAATAAGTTTACATTTCACAATGAAAGACCTACAACAGCCAAATTTTCCGTGGCTGGGAGCAATACTGACAATCTCTTGCCTGGACCACTAATATCTCTAGTCTCTGCAGGAGCTCCCAGCTGATCTCAGTCCTCTCTTGCTTCCTTCCCCTCTGTTCTTTGCACACTTGCCTTACTGGTCTTTTCAAACCCAAACCTGATCATGCCTCATCCTGCCTCTGGGGCTTCCCATTGCTCTTACGTAAAGATCCGATTCTGCAATCCACACTTCCAGGCCCTATCAACTGAGGTCCCACTGATCCCCCAGGCCTCAGCCCACATCATCCACCCCCAGAGGCCTCTGGAACCAGGCCACAGTGGCTTCTGCCAGTTTCTGCTGTTCCTTAAATGCTAGCAAGAGGGTTCTTCCCACCGTCTCCCTCCCGGCATGCTCTTTCTCTGCCTGTTCTTCTCCTACGCACCATCTACGTCCACCCAGCTTTCATTTCCTGAAGGAAATCTTCCTTGATGACTTAGATCCCACAGGGGCTGTCCCCAGCACCGGGATTCATTAGGGTTGTGATTCCCAAGGAGACCTGTGCGACTGTGGGGACAGCAGGATGAGGAAGGGAAAGAAGCCAAACAAGCGTGTGGTTTTGAGTGAAGTTCCAGCCTCAGCCTGATCTCTGGGAGCTCTGGAGTGTACATTGCAGCTCAGTTTGTTCTCCTTGTGCCCAGGGAGCAGGGCTTCCACACTCCTTCAGTTCAGGCTGCACCTTGGGGTATAAACTCTAAGATACTTCTAGACTTTACATGTCCAGGCAAAATGGCTATAGTAGCCAGAAGGTAGTCTTTGAAGAAGGCTGCAGGTGCCAGCCATGAGGAGCAAAGCATGAAAAACCTGGGCGAAGGGCACAAAGACCGGCAAATGGGTGTGAGGAGCACAGGGTGGAGCAAGGGCCACGTCTGCTGCCCCTCACCTCCCTGAGCAGGTTGCCTGGAGCCGACACTGACATGGCCAATGTGGTCATGATGATAATAATATTTATTGACTGATCTTGCTGCCCCAGTCTCTCCTCTGTGCACTTGCTACATATGAATTCACAAATCCTTGTCACTGCCCTGTAAGTAGATGTGATCATTCTTCCCATTTCACACCTGGGGAAACTGAGGCACAGAGGTGCTCAGTAATCTCCTTAGAATCACAGTTAGTATGTAGGGAAGCCAGGATTCCAACAAAGATAGATTGGTTCCCGGACCTGTGGGATGCACGTCATGTACTGCTCATCTCTACTAAAAATACAAAAAATTAGCTGGGCGTGGTGGCACGCGCCTGTAGTCCCAGCTACTTGGGAGGAGAAAGGCAGATTCTCCTGAGGCAGGAGAATTGCTTGAACCCAGGAGGCGGAGGTTGCAGTGAGCCGAGATCATGCCACTGCACTCCAGCCTGGCGACAGAGCAGGACTCTGTCTCAAAAAATAAATTAATTAAATAAAAGTATACAAAATTGATGGGATTAGAAAAATCACTATTTGGCAACTAGATTTGAACCAAACCAAATGTATCAAATTTAATCTGTGGATTTGTAGTTTCCAGTATTTAGGGTAAAACCTCCCATGATTAGACCATTGGGTTGATGGAGTCCACTGTATTTTGTAATTGTCCTGGTGATTCTCCATCAGTCCCAAGAAGACTCTAAACAGAAAAGTAAATTAATTTCCTGTATTAACATGCTAAAAGGCACTCCCACCAGCGCCAGGACAGTTTACAAATGCCATGGCAACATCAGGAAGTTCCCCTATATGGTCTAAAAGGGGGAGGAACCCTCAGTTCCGGGAATTGCCCACCTGTTTCCTGGAAAACTCATGAATAGCCCACCCCTTGTTTAGCATATCATCAAGAAATAACTACAAGTCTACTCAATCAAGCAGCCCATGCTACTGTTCTTCCTGTGGAGTAGCTATTCTTTATTCCTTTACTTTCCTAATAAACTTGCTTTCACTTAAAAAAAAATTAATTTCCCATAAGTCTCTTAGGTTCTGCTCCACAAGTAGGTAAAACTGATCGTGTTTGTATTTTCAGATGGTGTAATTGTCTCATTTTTCCCATTTGGGCCCAGCACATTTCTTTTGACAGGTTCTGCCCCTGTAAAGGGAGTTGTTTGACTTTTGCCTCTCTGATTGAGGAAATAAGAATTTGGACACCATCCCTGCTCTATGCTCAGCACCGAGCTACGTACATTTCAAATTTTCTGATCTTCATGAGAACACTTGTGCATCGCATATGTTAACGTCCATTGAATAGCTAAGGCTCAGAGAGGTTAAGTAAACTCCCCATGTCACACAGTTGGGAAATGACTCCTCTAGAATTAAAACCTGGTGAAGTTAACAACTTTAAAATCTAGGGGTTTTTTGGCTGGGCACGGTGGCTCATGCCTGTAATTCCAGCACTTTGGGAGGCCGAGGCCGATGGATCACCTGAGGTCAGGGGTTCGAGACCAGCCTGGCCAACATGGCAAAACCCCATCTGTACTAAAAATTAGCTGGGCATGGTGGCAGGTGCTTATAATCCCAGCTACTTGGGAGGCTGAGGCAGGAGAATTGCTTGAACCTGGGGGGCGGAGGTTACAGAGAGCCGAGATCATGCCACTTCACTTCAGCCTGGGCAAAAAAGTGAAATTCAATATCAAAAAATAAAATAAAATCTAGGATTTTTCCTGCTATATCAGCATGAAGTTTAAGGGGTATGGAACTCACAGGTGTTTCATTAGCGAGAAAGCGCACTGGGGATTTAGGTTTGAAAGTCAACCAGAGTAAAAATTTCTTAGAGTTACGGTAAACTTTACATCCCTTCAATTATCTGTAAAGTATACCGTAAACACATAGTTTCATCCCTCATTAACCCATTTATGCCAGAGGTTGCAAATTTTTTTGTGAAAAATCAGACCTTAGCGATGACCTTAAGCAGTGGGATTTCAATAACTCCCAGAAGCTTAGCGTTCCACTAATGGAACACTAGGCATAAATGGGTTTTAATCCACAGAGGATTCCTTCCGGTGTTGGAAAAGCTTTCTGCTCTAGTGGGTGAAAACAACCTAAAGTAGTTGGCTTATGTCTAGGGGCCATGTCACATGAAAAATGCACTTCCTCAGATGCTAGAACCACACCAAGGGCATCAGGAGCTCACATTTTGAGATGTGCATGAGAAATAAGGCAAGAGGTGGATCTCGTTTCTCATCTTGCTGTTCTCATTGAGTGAGGGTGTTGGAATCACCTGGGCTACATCCTTCCATAGTCATCTTTCCACTCCAAGCATGGATGGTTGGATGTGCCTGGGTTAAGTGTGCATATAATGCAACCTCACTCCATCCCCTGTGTAAGTAATTTCCCCATAAATAATTCCTACTCTCCGGGGGAGCAGTACCTGGTCTGTAGAATCCCTGCTACAAACGTTGAGGAATTCCTTTGATCTCTCCATTTCCTCCTTCATTTTTTTTTCCTTTCTCTCTTTTTATTTTTCCCTTCCTCTCTCTCAAAAAAATTATTTGGACATCACAAAAGCCAACTGGACTGAATTCCATATATATTATTGTGTACTGGTTTCCCACAAATATCCCTGGAAATTTTGTTAAAGCTAAAATATGGAGTCAGCCTTGAGGGAGACAGAATAGGGACCAGAAAGGTGTCATAATAAGCTACGAGCACTGAGCAGCGTGTGTTACTGATGACAATCACAATTGCCCTGAGTCACTAAGCATCTACCCTGTGACAGGCACTGTATGACCTGGTAATCTAGAAGACCTTGGAGAGGAGGATTTACAACTTGGCACGAGTCCTGGGAAATTTGCCTAGCTTTATTGGTTACCATAAATGGTGGTTGTAAACATTACAACTAGGACAACCAGGTAAAAGGAAATATTTAATGAGTGCCTATGAAGATCTGTAAGCCAAGCATCATGGGTACAGGGGCAAACCAAAATAAACATGTCCCTGCTCTTACGCCATCTGTATCCTACTACGGAGGATGGGGAAGAACAAGGGGAGGAAATGTCAATCAAATAATCACAGAAATGCATATAAACTTGCTATTGTGGTGAGCTATGTAGGGAGTTTCACCATGTTGGCCAGGATGGTCTCGATCTCTCGACCTTGTGATCTGCCCACATCGGCCTCCCAAAGTGCTGAGATTACAGTCGTGCTGTCAGGAAGAATTAATTATTTATAATTTATGTCTATTTATGTCAGTGCGAGCTTGCAGATTCTTATGTTTTTGAATGGGTTATAATTTTTACACTGTCATTATTCATTTTGATATTCAGATTGCCCCAGATTTGATTAATGGGAGCCTCTTTAAATAGGTTCCTGTGCATTGTTGCTGGTTTTTTGTTTGTTTGTTTGTTTTGACATGTTGTTACCATTTTTGAGCACTTCCTGCTTTCTGGAACAATAAAATATTCCAGGCTGATCTTGTACTTTACCTGCCCCACCGTGGAATCATCTGTTTCTTCAAGAAGTCCTAATTTGTTTCAGTAGAAAAGAACATTTAGAAATCGAGATTTTGGCTCCTGGTGCTTGTTGCTACTGGGATGTTACTGCTTCTAGGCAAGCTCAGCATTCAGAGTTAAGACGTGTGTGTGTGTGTGTGTGTGTGTGTGTGTGTGTGTGTGTGTCTGTGTGTCTGTGTATGTAGAAAGAGAGAAAAAGAAGGACAAAACCAAAGTAGTAAAATGCAAATGCTTGAAGAATCTGGGTGAATGGTATATGGGAATTCTTTGTACTGTTCATGTAACTTTTCTGAAATTATGTCAAAATAATTTAAAAGAAAAATAGGCCTCCATCTCAAAAAAAAAAAGAAAAGAAAAGAAAAATAGGCAGTGTATCGAGGTGGTTAAGAACTGGGTGCAGGCCGGGCACAGTGGCTCATGCCTGAAATCCCAGCAATTTGGGAGGCCAAAGCAGGTGGATCACCTGAGGTCGAGAGTTCGGGACCAGCCTGGCCAACATGGTGAAACCCTGTCTCTACTAAAAATACAAAAAAATTAGCTGGACATGGTGGTGTGTGCCTGTAATCCCAGCTACTCGGGAGGCTGAGGCAGGAGAATTGCTTGAACCCAGGAGTCAGAGGTTGCAGTGAGCCAAGATCCCTCCATTGCACTCCAGCCTGGCAACAAGAGTAAAACTCTGTCTCAAGAAAAAAAAAAGAACTGAGTGCTGGAAGCAGATAGATTGGGTTTAAATCCCAGCTCCTCTGCTGTGTGGCATTGGGGAAGTGATTCTGACCTCTCTGTGCTTGAGTTTTCTCATTTATGAAACAGAAATAATGATCAAAACATATTTCATACAGTTGTTGAGAGAATCAATGGAAACAATGCACTAAAACTCTTAGAAGCTGTCTGGTACATGATGAATTCTCAGTAAATAGCAGGTATTTAAAGATTTACTAACATTTAACAGTTGTGGGATGAGATGCACCATCTCATATTTCTGGCTTCTGTGAAAAAACAGAGGTCCTGGTCTGTGTGGCCCCTGAGCCCACAAAGCCATCAGCTGGAGCTAATCCTTTCTGGGGCAGGGCCTGAGCTTCGGTCCCCAACATTGAGTCCTGACTCAGCCTCTACTCTTGATAGCACCTGGCACGCCTCATTTTCAACGTCTATTTTGCACGTTCTAGAAATCTATGAATTTTTTTCCTTTGGTTTTTAGGGCATCTCATTGCATTTCTCTAAAAAGCTGAAATGCACAAATATCTGATTAGGGCCACTAATCTATTTTGAGTATTTTAGTCCTTTTCTATAACCTGTCCCAACAATTTCTCCCATGGCCTTGCCAAATCTCTGGGAATCTTCTCATTTTTCAATTAGGCTTAGAGAAGTTAAGTATCTTGCTCAGGGAAATGCAGCAAGCAGGCTCGGACTGAAACCCCAGTCTGTCTGACTTCATAGTTCTTGCTCATTTCCCTGCACTTCTTGGTGCTCAAAGAACCTAAATGGGTCAGTCAATGAATCTATCAGCAAGTATTCAGGAGAAAGCTGTTGGTTGAAAGCCAAGGTGCCATTTTATGATTTGGCCTAATTTGTTGAGCTTTTCCTAATCTCCTGGGTTGGAAGTTGACCTAATAAGTGATTAATATCACTTATGCTTCTCCATGATTGTTTTGTCCTCTAGAACCTCCTTTATCAGCAATAAAATATTTGCAGAACCCTTAGTCATCAGGATGCCTTGCACCTGAGCTTCTCAAGTAGCATCAACTCCCAAGTACCAATGCTTTAGAATTGATTAGAAGATTTGCACAGAGGAAACTTTCTCCTCCCGAATCTGTTGTGCTTTCATAAAACTGGGTGTGCAATATATTTTGCACACATTGAGCAGAAAGGTAAAGTGATGAGGATGTCCCATATTGTGGGAGAAAAGAGATCAGGAAGACAAAATAAATATGAAGTTGAGAGTTGATGACATACTTGAAAAAGAAATGCTTTGCTTTTTCATCTGCATTTGTTTTCTTTTTAATAGATCAATTTTCCCCCTTCATTTTATGTATTGTTAATGCTTTTTTTCTGTTATGATTGGCCCAGATCTCTCTACACCAGGTGAAATCTACTGGAGACCGGTAGCGGTCCTCTGGATTGTGCCAACACCAATTGATTGGTGGCAGTTGCCTGAAACACAGTATCAAGAAACATTCTGAAGTTGAGTCCAAGCATGCCAGGAAAGAAGATCATGATCAATAGGCCAAGGGTGCCGGAAAAGGGATGTTCAGCCTGTGTTTCATCCGATATACAATATATTCTGGAGACCAAACTTGTAGTAGGATGGTGCAAAAGTAATGGCAAAAACCACAATCGCTTTTGCACCAACCTAATAGATCTGTAATAAGAATAACTTACATTGATTAAGGGCTGACTGTGTGATTGGCATTATATTAAGTGTATTACATTGATTTTTTTCAGCATTTTATTAAGGATGCTTATGTATAATCACAAGTTATACACAGGATGAATTTTCAAGGTACACAGACAAGTAATTTTTATTGCTGGTAATATGTATGTTTGCAATTATCTTCTGCTAATACCAGTTATTTCTAAAGTTCTGGTGCTACTACAAAATTTACTTGTAAATCAATTTGTTCAAGTTTTAAAAGATGATCCCTAAGTAAAATAATACGTGAATGATATTTTATGAGGCAAACAAAGCTTTGTGTAAATTCCTCCCTTTAAGTGTGGCGGAGCCTGTGGCTTGATTCTAACCAATAGAATATGTCGAAGGTGATGAGATGTCACTTGGTGATTACGTGAGAAAGGATTGTAATAGTCATCTGTTTTGATGAAGCAGGCAATTGTGTTGGGGAGGCCCTCGTGGCAAGAAACAGAGGGCAGCCCCCTTTTTTTTTTTTTTTTTTTTTTGAGACAGAGTCTGGCTCTATTAGCCAGGCTGGAGTGCAGTGGCACGATCTTGGCTCACTGCAACCTCCGCCTCCCGGGTACAAGAGATTCTCCTGCCTCAGCCTCCCAAGTAGCTGGGATTACAGGTGCTTGCCACCACACCCAGCTAATTTTTGTATTTTTAATAGAGATGGGGTTTCGCTATGTTACCCAGGCTGGTCTCCAACTCCTGACCTCAAATGATCTGCCCGCCTTATAGAGAAACAACGTAGCTGGATCAGAAATATAGAAACAGAACAAAAGAACAAAACAAGTATGCTTCCACTGTATTCTTAATAAGATTTCCAACACTAATTCCATCTTTTTTTTTTTTTTAACTTAGAGCTTCCGGAAAAATAAGCTGAGTCTGACTTTGGACAAACATTAAGTCAATTTGCCAAATCTTTCCAAGGTTCACTAGCGAGTGACCTGGAAAAAAATTCATATTAAGACTTTAAGAGTGTAGAAATGCCGGAAGAGCTTAAAATAGTTAACTTATCAACTAACCTAGAATGAATTTAGGATAAGCTATTCTAGCATACTTTTTGCTGGAAACAGAAAAAACAAAAAATTAGAAAACAACTTCGTTTGAAGACACAACAATTCTCAACTGTAAGGGTCAATATCAAACTTCTTAGGTAATAAATGATTATGGCAGTTATTCATATTTTGGCAGGTCCAATGAAATAACATTTTATCTCCAAATTTCTGAATGACTTTCATCAAGAGATCTTGGAATTGTTACAATGATCTTCTAAACTGAACTGGGTAATTTGCCTTCTTTTCCTATTTTCAAAAGTTTTTAGATTATCAGTACTGTAAAATTAGTTGAAAAACTCACCTATAAAAGTATACCAGTATGTACAGGTCTGGCTACATAATTTGCAGGGCCAAGCACAAAATTAAAAGGAGGGCTTCTTATTAATATATACTATAATTAATTCTATAATATATATTAATATATTAGTTAATAATATGTTACTATATTTTCATAATATAATTAACAGTTGATAATGTAACATATATTATAATTTATATATGGTAATATAACAAACTAATAATTTTAAGGCCAGGTGTGGTGGCTCACACTTGTAATCTCAGCACTTTGGGAGGCTGAGGCTGGAGGATCACCTTAGCCCAGGAATTCCAGACCACCCTGGGCAACATGGCAAGACTTCATCTCTACAAAAACTTCAAAAAAAAAATTAGCCAAGTGTGGTGGTGCACACCTGTGGTCGCAACTACTAGGGAGACTGAGGTAGGAGGATCACTTGAGCCCAGGAGTTTGAGGCTACAGTGAGCTGTGACACTTGAGCCCAGGAGTTTGAGGCTACAGTGAGCTGTGATCATGTCACCGGACTCTAGCCTGTGGGAAGAGTGAGACCTTGTCTAAAAAAAAAAAAAAGAAAGAAAGAGAAAAAGAATTTTAAGATAGTAGCAGCAAAGAATTAAACCCAAAGCCAGCAAAGAATTAAACCCTGAGCAAGGTACTTCTAAGCATGGGGCCGCCATGTGACTACCCAGCTCAGGTCCCCACCGATGGAGCCAGCGCTGGCACAGGCCTGCAGATGTTTGCCACCACTTCAGTTCCTTCATGGTTACTGGTTTATTTAGATTTTCTTCTACTTTCTGTGTCAGTGTAAGTAATTTACATTTTTTTCTAGAAAATTCTCAATCTCACTTAGACTTATAAACCTATTGGCACATAGTTGCTAACTGTATTCACTTACGATTTTTTAAAACATCTATAATTGTAGAAGTTTTTGCTTTATTCTTAGGATTTTTTTTTTGCTGTCTGTATCTCAACAAAAGCCTGTTTTTAGTTTTTTCAAAGAACAAAGGTTTGGCTTTTCTTTTTCCATATCATTAGTTGATGCTTTGATTTCTATTTTTTTTTACTTCTATTTTCTTTTTGTTTATCCTTCTTTTTAATCCTGGATCTCTATCACCTTAGAATTAAAAGTAGGGCTTGGGTGATGGGTACACCAAAATCACCATTAAAGAACTTACTCATGTAACCAAATACCACCTGTTCCCCAAAAACCTATGGAAATAAAAAATAATAAATTAAAATATAAATAGGATTTGGAACATTTCTCTTTATATATTACTTGTTTAAAAGACATATTTTTAGTTCCAAAATTATGGATGCAAATCATATGAATTAGGAAGGATCAAGAGCCTGGCAATGAGAGAAGACATTATCAGTTCCAGCCACAACTGTTCATGATAAGCTGTCTGCAACATGTTGCCACAGCTTCCAAATTCATACAGACCCATTCCAGGGGATAAGTGCCATTAACCTCACAATTGCTTGCACACATGAATATTGCTTAAGGGCAAAAATTTCACTGTAAATATAAACGAAAAATAAATTTAAGAAAATAATCATCTTAAAAAGCGTGATGTGAATTATTGAATTCACAGCTGTGAGTAGTGAACTGCCAATAAAACTTCATTTACAAAAACAGGTGGTTAGCCATCATTTGCCAATTGGATTTTTAAAATATTATATAAAAATATTTACCCTAACAGTACTGAGATTTTTGGCACTCTGCTAAATTTTGCCCCCAGAATGAGTGCCTCACTGGCTCTGGTGAGACAGCTGCACAGGCAGCTGGGAGATCGCTGAGTTCCACCAAACGCCACCTTGCAACTTAAATAATTCTAATCCCAACCTCAGCAAAATGCCAGAAGATCACAAATCATGGGCTTTGAGACTCATTCCCAAACCTTTAAATGGCAAAGATGTGAAACAGAAAAACAGAGTGATTTGAGTTGAAAAAAAAAAAACTCACTCACTCATGTAATCATAACAACTATTTCTTCAATGAACATTTGTAGAGCGTTTACCATCAGCCACTCATTGTGCTAAGCACATTACATTGTTATCTCTTGTAATTTCCATAGCAACCGTATCAAACAGGTGCTCCTGTTGTTCCCATATTTTAAAAATCAATGCTTAGAGATGTTACTTGGCTAGAAAGTGGCAGATTTGGGCTTCAAAGTCAAGGCTTCCTTAGGCTATACTCTCAACAGGTACTCCATCAAATGGCTTGTGACTCTATTAACTAAGCAAGATGCTTTATTCTGCAAGTCTTCATTTCTCCACAAAATCAAAAAGCATATCCTTCACCATTCTTCTTGTACTCACCGGAATACAGGAAAATAAAATGAAGCCATTCGGTGTAGATACAACGTAAGGTACTTATATTAGTTTTCTGCTGCTACGTAAGAAATTACTAACGACTTTATGACTTAGAAGAATGTATCACATACAACAGGGGTCACCAACCCCCAGGGCACAGACCAGTACCAGTCTGTGGCCTGTAAGGAACCGGCCACATGGCAGGAGATGAGCTGCAGGCAAGCGAGCATCACCACCTGAGTGCCGCCTCCTGTCAGATCGGGGCAGCATTAGATTCTCATGGGAGTGTGGACCCTATTGTGAACTCCACATGTGAGGGATCTCGGTTGTTGCTCCTCATGAGAACCTAACTAATGCCTGATGATCTGAAGTGAACAGTTTCATTCTAAAACCATCCCCCACCACCCCACCATTTGTGGAAAAATTGTCTTCTATGAAACGAGTCCCTGGTGCCAAAAAGGTTGGGGACCACTGGTCTACAACTTCTGAGGGCCAGGAATTTGGGTGTGGCTTAGCTGGCTAGTTCTGGCTGGGAATCTCTCATGAGGTTGCCATCTAGGTGTCTGCGTGAGCCGCTTTCATCTGAAAGCTCAACCGAGGCTGGAAAATGCCCTTGCAAGATGCCTCACTTAGGTGACAGACAAGTTGCTGACTGCTGTTCAGGGAGCCTTAGTTCCTCACCACATGGACCTCTCCATAGGGCTGCTGGAGCTTACTCACAACACAGCTGACTTCCCCAGTGAGAGAGATGAAAGAAAGAGAAGCATTCCCTCCAGATCAGGGTGTCTTAACCTCAGCACTAGTGGCATTTAGGGCCAGATAATTTTTCATCGTAGGAAAGCTGTCCTGTGCACTGTAGAATATTTCACAGCATCCCTGGCCTCTACCTACTAGATTCCAATAGCACCCTCTTTCAGATGTGACTACCGAAGATGACACCAAACATTGTCAGATGTCCCCTGGGGGATGATATCACCCTCAGTTGGAAACTACTATTCTAGATTCCTCTTTCACTAAAATTTTTCTCAGCTGGGCTATGTTAAAGTATCCTGCAAACTCCACTTATTGAAATGGGAATTTTAAAAGCATGTATTCATTCCACAAACATGTATTGTCTCTTTGGAGACCTATATACACAACGTAAAAATTGCCTACCCTGACAGTCATGAACTTTCCAAGATATGTAGGAATGGGTTACTAATTGTTGGAGATTAAAATCTGCACTATGGATTAGCAATGGAACAAAGAATTGGCTTGCTGGGCCAGATTATGAACGACGGGAGCAATTGGGTTCATTGTAACAAAAGGGTACAGTTTATAGAATGCATTCCATTTACCCAATTCAGAAGGAATTTTACCTGTCTTTGAAGCAAAGCTTAAGGAATGTATAAATTTCCATTCCAGTGTTGAAATTGTTTTGGGGATCGACTCATTACTAAAATATTTGCCTCGCAATTCAGACAGTTCCCATGGATTTTGTATCACCAGTCAGAAAGTCAACTGAGAAAAATGACTTGTGGTCATGATATTACTGTTCAAACCATGTTGTTGGTAATTCAGTTTTAATAATGGCTTTGGGAAACATGTTTGCCTCAACAAGTTAATGTATTTTTATTTATTATTAAATAACAAGGAATCTGTTGATTAATGGGATGTGCGTGTTAGGGGAGGAAAAAACAGGATCTTTCCTCTGCCCACCACTAAAGCAATTCATTTGAATACATTGATGGAAACCGTTCAAATTTCTAGTAGTTTCTGACAACTTAGAGAAAGGTAAAGTGCCAAGCTGAGTAATAAGGGCTACACACTCAGCATAGATGTTGACATAAATTTTGAACACTGTGAGAGCTGGTGCTCACATAGTCTTGTTCTCAGCTCCTTTGCTAGAAGCTAGCCTAATGCCCGGCACATAGTAGATGCTCAAAAATCTCAGCTGAATAATGAATGTTCTTTAAAAGTTCATTCATCTCATTTCCTAGAAGACTCACAAGAAATGAAATTCTGGAATAGATTTATACCTGTTTCTTACCCTCCACCATGTTCCAAATAATCTCTTCACACCTTTTGCTATAAATACCTGAATCATCAGTTCATTCATTGACTGTGAGAATTGATTAGATTTTGCGCTGTGATTGAACTTCGATGCCTCTGCCGAGCTGGCCCAGTGCTTGACTCACACGGCTCATGTAAGGATGAACGGTGAGCCTGCCAAATTCTACCAAGCTCAAGGGGAATTTTTTATTACAGGTCGAAGCATCTGGCATCCTAGTTATGCATGACCAGGGCTCAACAAGACCACCAAGTTCACTGTTCCTCCAACCTAAGCCAATTGTATGCTTGACCTCTCAGGAGTGTTAAGAGTGTCACCAAACTTTATGAAACACTTCAAGGAGTAGCTGTGCTCTGTATTACTAATAAAAGGAGTAATAGCAAAGGGAGTCATTGATAATATATACTGAGAATTGTTATGCTACCTATTATGGCTAAGTTTTTTATAAGCAGCATCTCACTTTAATCTTCACATTAATCAAAGCTGTGAGGTATGATTATCTCCATTTTTGAGATGAGGAGACAGAGGCTTAGAGAGGTTAAGAAACGTCTCACAGGTCACAGAGGCAATAAGAGGCAGACCTGGTCTTTGAACCCAATATTCTTTTTGACCCTGGAGCACGGGCTTACAACTATGATGATTTATGTCCCTAAATGAGTATCTGAAAACAAACAAACAAACATCAAAGTAGCAAACATTAGGTAAGTTTGAGTTCAAAGGTATGGAAAAACAAGCTGTCTTGATTTACTGATACAAGCAATCCTCACTTTAAATGGTACTGCATTAACGAAAACCCCCGCATACAGGAACCGCTCTCTCACTTAGCACAGCTCCATGGCGCTGTGGTCTCAATGTTGGTTTCCCCCAAAATTCATATGTTGGAGCCTAATACCCAATGTGACAGTGTTAATAGATGGGACTTTTGGGAAGTGATTCAGTCATGAGTCATAACCCCTCATGAATGGGATTAGTGCCCTTATGGAAGGAAGCCCAAGGGGGCTCCCTTGCCCCCGTCACTATGTGAGGGCATCTTTGAAGCAGGGAACAAGCTCTCAGCGGACACTGGATTTGTTGGTGCCTTGATCTTGGACTCCCCAGACTCCTAAGCTATAAGCAATAAATCTTGGTTATATACAAATGACCTAATCTAAGGCGTTTTGTTACAGCAGCCCAGATGAACTAAGACACATGATGAAGCGGTCAGGCGT
The DNA here is from genome assembly GCF_000001405.40 of Homo sapiens. NCBI lineage: Eukaryota > Metazoa > Chordata > Mammalia > Primates > Hominidae > Homo > Homo sapiens. The sequence goes on along the minus strand of NC_000020.11, from coordinate 54,139,215 downwards.
CAGTCACCACACAACTGTGCACAGTGCGTTCCAGTCTGCATGGATTTCAGGTATGCACAAAGCAAGAACGAAGTATACGAAACGGAAGAAAACCAGGGTGCAGTTCACCCAGGGGCATCTTCATCATCTCACCACGGAGTGGAAGGCATGGTATAACCAGCTAACAAAAAGTTCTCACATCTGAGATGGGTTGGCTGTCTGGAAGCTGATTCTGGTTTTGATTAGATTTCTCCTTTTAACTTCCATTATTTGCAGAAAATACCCTAAAAATAATTGTACCCAAGCATATGTCTACCTGCAACCGACTTTGTGATTCATCCCATTATATTTTGTATGTGGTTCTTATGTTTCCAGAGAGCCACAGTACATCACTGCATAATAATTGACTATTATTTTGAAGATGCACACACACATACACATACATACCCACTCAATTTTACGTATTCACTTGCTGACTTATTTTTCATAGAAGTTTGATTTTCCCTACTCTAATATTTGTTTTGTAACTTCGATACCATGCACTTCCTCCCACAGTTAGCTACTAGGAATATAAGGACTAGCAGCTACCAGATTATTATAATAGTCACCTAAGTCAGAGGTCAAAAAACTACCAGCTAAATTTGTACTGCACCCATATTTGTTTTGACTTTCATAGTATTCCCTTTACACAAAGCATGTGTCTCCAGTTTGTCACAGGCCCCTAAACTGTAGACATTTTTTTTTACCCTGAGCCTACTTGATTGTGTTTCTTGCCCACATCTGTAGATATTTGATTTTGCAAACAAGGCTTAATCAAGCATTATTAAGAAGTAAGTTTGTTGAACAAATCCCAAAATATTAACCAAAGAAAAACATTAAAGCAGATGGGAATTTTTTTTAAAAAAAAAAAAAAGAAGAAGAAGTCAAAAGTGTAGAGGAAAAATGAGATATTTTCTTTCTTTACTAAGAAGTTTATTATAAAATTTTTAATCCATGTAGCATAAATAATACACAGAAAGGCAAGCTACTTTCTGTCATAGGTATGGGTAAATTTTTGGAGCCCCTCTTTTATATTAGCTTATTTGAAAAGTCAGTGTCTTAGAAACTCAGGTTAAAACAATGCAGGGATGGATTAATCTAGTTATTCATTTTTGCAATTAGCCCTAAAATTTCAGCTGCTTTTTATTTTGAAAATTAACCACCAAATTATGGGTGGTTCTGCTTTGATTTTTATAACAATTTTCATAACAATTTTAAGGATTACATTGAATTTTCTCCTTTTGAAAGTCTTTGAATCAATCTGTTTTTCTGATATTAAACTGAAAATGAAGCAAAAATGAAGATGGAAGTGGAATGTGAAGAAAAAGAAAGAGAAAAAGTAAAAATGGATAGGAAGGAAGAGAATGAAAATGGAAGAGAAAGAAGGAGAGAGAAACAGGGAGTTAACACATTAACTGACAAAGAAATATTTGCTCAACACTTACTATGTGCTGTATACCATGCTAGGAGCTAAGGAAGTGTTCATCAGTAAACAAAGTCGTGGCTCTCTTGAAGTTTATACTTTAAAGAGGTAAGGGAAAAAAACAAATAAATATAAAATGTTCCTAGCCGTGATAAGCGTTATGAAGAAATAGAAAGTGGGTAAGGAAATGGAGAATATTGGTGGACAGGGATTGCTATTTTAGCTAGAGTGGGCAGGAAAGTCCTCTCTGACAAGGAGACATTTGGGCAGAAACCTGGATGAAATGAGGGAGCAAACCATGTGGATACCTAAAAGAAGGGCATTCCTCATTAAAGGAACAGTGAATGCAAAGGCCATGAGGCAGAAAGCACAGTTGGCAGGGTAAAAAAGGAACCAGGATGCTCGCGTGACTGGAGTGGAGGGAATACAGGAATAAGTGGTACAGGATTCTGTCAGAGGTGGCCAAGAATGCACTCATGGGGAGCTTTGAAGGCCAACGAAATGAGCTGGCATTTTATGCTTATCAAGAAGGGAAGCTATTGGTGGATTTTGAGTTACATGTTCTGGTTGCTGGGTCCGGAATGGACTAGAGGTGGGCAAGAATAGAGATAGGGAAACTAACTGGGGGATGATTATAATAGTCCAGGCGAAGGTGAATCAAGGCTTGCTCCAGATTGACAATGATGAAGATGGTGATAGATGCCTGAATTTGGGATGTATTGGGGAAGTAGAGCAAAGAGGATTCATTGATACTTGTATGTGAGACATGAGAAAAAGAGACAGATAATTAAGGATGATGCCAAGGGTTTAGCTTAAGCAACTAGGATCATGAATTTGCCATTTTCTGAGACAGGGAAGACAAGAAAAGAACTAGGATATGCACGAAGGATCATCATGAGGTCAGTTTAGGGCATAAAATATTGAGAAGTCTATCAGGCATTTGAGTAGAGAGGAAGGATTAACATAATATACAAGCCTGGCATTAAAGAAAGAGGTCAGGAATTGTTAGTGTATGTAGATATGGATGGTATACAGCCGCAAGGCTGGGTGACATCACTCAAGGCATGGAGCATCTAGAGACGAGTTTCAAAGACTAAACCCTGAGAAGCAATGGCCAGTGAGATGGGAGATGAAGCAAAAGAGAGTGCTGTCCTCAAATTAAGTGAAGAAATGGGTTCAAAAAGGAAGGAGTGGCCTACTGTGTCAAATGACACAGTTGACAGGTCAAGTAAGACAAGACTTGAGAGCTGCCCATTGAATTTGATAATATATAGAGTGCTTTTGGCCATAACCAAAGAGATGTTGATGGCATGGTAGGTTAAAGCCTTATTGAAGTGAGCTTCAGAGAAAGCAAAGGGGAAGGAGTAGAGCCATAGAGTAAAGACAATTCTTTTGAGTTCTGTAAATAAGATAAGTGGGATCAGCAAGTTTTTTGTTTCTTTGATTGGTTGGTTAGCTTTTATGATGGGGGTTATTAGATCCTGCTTCTATATGATGGGAATGATCAATAGAAAGGGAAAAATAGATAATGCAGGGGGAAACAGGTACAATTGCCGAAAGATCCATTTGGCTGGTGGAAAGGAATGGGATTCAGCATACAAATGGGAAATTAGTCTAAGCTTTTGGGTTGAATTGTGTCCCCCATCTACCTTCCCCCTTACAAAAAATGTTGAGGTCTTAACCTCCAGTCCCACAGAATGTGACCTTATCTGGAAATACAGACTTTACAGATGTAATCAAGTTAAAAGGAGGTCACTGGGGTAAGTCCTAATCCAATACGATCAGAGTCCTTATAAAAGGAGAAATCTGGATACCAGGACAGACGCACATACAGGGAAGACTATGGGATGAGCACAGGGAGAAGATGGCCATTTGCAAGACAGTTAATGCCTAAGCCACCAAAAAACAGAAAAAAGACCTGAACAGATCCTGCCCTAGCGTGTTTAGAGGGAGTATAGCCCTACTGACACCTTGATTTTAGACTTGTACCCTCCAGAACTGGGAAACAGTACATTTATGTTGATCTAAGCCATCCAGTTTGCAGTATTTAGTTATGGCAGCCCCATGAAAGTAATTGATATGATTTGACTATGTCCCCACCCAAATCTCACCTTGAATTATAACTCCCACAATTCCTCCATGTTGTGGGAGGAAACCAGTGGGAAGTAATTGAATTATGGGGGCAGGTCTTTCTCGTGCTATTCCTGCAATAGTGAATAAGTCTCATGAGATCTGATGGTTTTAAAAACGGGAGTTTCCCCGCACAAGCTCTCTCTCTTTGCCTGCTGCCATCCACATAAGATGTGACTTGCTCCTCATTGCCTTCCGCCATGATTGTGAGGCCTCCCCAGCCATGTGGAACTGCTGGGTCCATTGAACCTCTTTCTCTTCCCAGTCTCAGGTATGTCTTTATCAGCAGTGTGAAAATGGACTAATACATTAAAACACATACATAGAAGCAAAAGCTGACCATCTGTAGTGACAGGTGAGAAGGTAGAGTATATGGGTATAGCTGGGTTGGTAATTTGTTGGTGGAAGTATGTAGAATTGTTCTTCTGATAGCTTCTATTTTACTTTGGCCAAGAATGAGACCAGGTATAAAAGAGATGAAGATATGGGAAAGTCACCCTAGGAAAAGAATAAATTGCCTAGAGGCATGTAGAAGGATAGTCAGACAGCACTAAGGTTTCATTTGATGTCTGTGGTCATGAACTTAAAATGAGTTCACTCAGCATGTTGGTATGCTTTTCAATGGGTTAGATGTTAGCGCCATGCTTTAGATTTCTCAGGGCTGAGGTTTTGCAAGATTTGAACAAAGGAGGGTGATAGGGTGTGTTAGCAAGCCTCCGAGATGACCTGCCATGGTCCTTGTCTTCTGGTATTCATGCCCTTGTGTGATTTTCTCCTCTCCCACACTGAGTATGGATAGCCTTTAGGACTACTTAGATATTATGAAGACAATGATATATGACTTTCAAAACTAGATCCTAAAAGACATAGTGACTTTCACCTTCCCTTTTCTTGGCTCACTGTCTCTGGGCAAAGTCAGCCACCATACCATGAGGACACTCAACAAGTCCTATGGAAAGACCCACATGACAAGGAACTAAGGCTCCCTGCCAAAAACCAGGGCTAACTCTCCAGGCATGTGAGTGAGTCAACCTGGAAGTGAACCCCCCCAGCCCCAGTATGATCTTTAGATAACTATACTCATGAGATACCTACAGGCAGAATCACCCAACTAAGCCAGCCTGGTTTCTTGATCTACAAATGCTGTGTGAGATAACAAATTCTTCTTATTTTAAACTGCTAAATTTTTTGTTTAATTTGTTACACAGCAATAGATAACTCATACCAAAGGACAGGATATTTTCAAGGGAGTGATTTTAGTGATAAACCATGGATAAGGAGATGGATAAGGAGGGAAGAGAGAAAGTATAGGGAGGGAAGAGTGGAAGTATAGGGAGTGAAAACACAGTTGGGTGGATTATGATTGAACAAGATCCCAACTTCTCACCATGGCCCGCATAACCAGCTCCCATTGCTTTCTGACATAGTCCCCTATCCCCCACCCTCTTTCTCATGGAGCAGAGCCACACAGATTCTGTTGATGTTCTTGTTGTTTCTTTAATAAACCAAGCTCTTCCCTGCCTGAGGACTTCTTCCAATTGTGAGTCCTTTACCCAGAACACTCTTCCCTGCCTGAGGACTCTTCCAATTGTGAGTCCTTTACCCAGAACACTCTTCCTCTAGATCATTCCATTGCTGACTCTTTCTTATTCTTTAGATCTCAGGATAAAATTCACATATTCAGAGAGAACCACCTCATCTAATGTGGCCATCGCGCAACTCTCACAAATTATGTTACACCATCATCCCTTCTTAGCCCCTTCATATCCCATAGCACTGTCTAAAATTATTTTATTAGTTTGTCCATTTGCCTACTTATCTAGCTCCTCAACAAGAATAGAATAGAAAAAGGACCTCGTTTATCTTGCTCACTTTTGTGTTTTCAGGCATCTCAAATAGTGCCTTCATCATAGAAGGATCATCATAAATAGTGACTGTGTGAGTGGACAAATAAGAAGAAGCAAATAGAATAGCTTGAATCTGCTTTACACAACAGCACAGAGTACTGACAAGGAAATGCCAGTTAAACTGTAACTGAGCACAGTGAGAGAGCAGCCTCGAGTGGCTGAACAAAAGACACCTTTCACTTTGGAGGATCCCAAACTGCCATTCATGACTCAGCTCCGGGAAGGAAGACAAGCACAGCTAAACCAGATCCTGGCTTCTGGATGGAAATGTCACTTCAGCCACAGTAACAAGTATTCTGATATGACAGGAAGGAGGTGGGAAGGAATCCTGCATGTGACCATCTCTCTATCCCTACACTTTATCCAATCCTATTTAGGGAACTTCAGAAGCACCCCACTTTAGTTTGTCAGGACTTCTTCAGCCCTCTGAATATGGCCACATGGTGATGTCAGCGTTATCCGGGCAGCCATTTCTCCAGTTTTGTGGATCTTCAAAGAAAATTCCACTGAAACATGAGTGATCTCATATTCATTCGTTGCCATGCATTGCTTTATGTTCCATCCTAATTGGGCACTCTGAACCCAACATCAACACATTATTGGCAACTAAACCCACAGCAGCCTTGCCCCAATTATGAATTTATAAGCTTTTGACACACCACATGAGGCATGTTTAACCGTTAAAGACAAACTCAGGAACAGTTGGCTCTTATTCTCAGCTGCATGTTGCTCCATGACTGCAATTGGGCAACCCTAGACTTCAAAGGATGTGAAACCCGACTCCATCTCTTCGTGAATCACTATCCTTTCAGAGTAAATCCCAGCACATTGCAGAACCATTAAGACACATGTTTTATGTCTCAACCAGGGAAACAAATTCCTGTGTTGAAAATGAAACCATTTTCCCTCTTCCTGATGAAAGGTATGAGATCTTGTTTTGAAAACTGTTGCAGAGTAATCACAAATTCATCATCATATTTGGGAACTGGGATGATTCATAACCAGTCATTCTTAATAAGTGGCAGATTTAAGTAGCTCACAGTCAATTGTATAACAATTGGAAAGACTTCATTGCATCCAGCCTGAAACCACAGCTCTCAGGACAGGTCCCAAGAGTCACTTGAGTGGTGAAAGCAACACTTAGTATTGGACACTGGGCACAAATATGCAAATGATGGTTAAAGGAAGTGAAGAAATACACTATTTATAATGTTTATCACTTTTTTGTTTTTTTTTTCCTCTTCCTATATGTTGTAAGTAGTAAGCATTTATCTAAAAGAACCCTACCAAAAATCTTGTTTTCTTTTGATATTTAAGACCAATGCTCATATCCTGAAGAGGAAGTCCTGAGCAATTTTTCAAGTTTCAAAATTAAACCTGTCCTACCTGAATCTGACTCTTATTCACTAAAAAATAAAAAAGGACAGAAAAGAGCTCTCCATGATTCCAGTGGAAGTTTAGGGCCCTTATTAGGCTGAGAAAGGCTTCAAGAATCAGAGAGATACTGAGCAGAAGACAAAGAAGAAGACAGAAGACAAAGAAGAGAAAAGCAGGAGAGAGGAAAATGAGGAGAAGGAGAAGTGCTGAGCAGAAGAATAAAAGACAAGCCATGCAGAAGCAAAACAAAGCCAAAGGCGCTCCTTTGCTGACTGCGGGTGGATTCACTGACTCTGAGACGCCATGTGGCTCTGCCTGGAATCGAGGCTCTTGAGAAAGAATGCCCTAGTTGGAGGAGCGTGTCTGGGATCACATCAGCCCATCCATCTGTTTGTCCTCCCAACTAGATCCGTCTCTGCCCTCCTCTAGCCCCGAGAGGCTGCCTTCCACATGGGCATCACTGGGCTCCAGCTCCTTTGCCAGTGCCTACATTTGGGCTCAGCCAATGGAAGCAGGCACCAGCTGGATATCAGAGGCTGAGAAGTGAGAGAGATCAGAGCCCTGCCTCTATGGCCTCTCTGGCCACGTGTCTGGCACTGGCTTCCTTCCTCTAGGCTACAGCTCCTCCCAAAGGCCCCTCCTTCACTGCCTCAGTTTCACTTAGCATCTGCAAAAATTATTTCATCTTCTTGGCCCTTCAGGCTAAGCTTTCCTTATGACTTCGCACGGTGGTTAGTCTTGGGTGTCTCATCCTCCCTTGCTAGTTTTCTTAACCTACCCATGCCTTTAGAAATAGTAACTAAAAAAAATCTCTGGTTCTCCTCAAGGATCTAGAACCAGAAATACCATTTGACCCAGCAATCCCATTACTGGGTATGTACCCAAAGGATTATAAATCCTTCTAGTATAAAGACATATGCACATGTATGTTCATTGCAGCACTATTCACAATAGGAAAGACTTGGAAACAACCCAAATGCCCATCAATGATAGACTGGACAAAGGAAATGTGTCACATATACTTCACGGAATACTATGCAGCCATAAAAAAGGATGAGTTCATGTCCTTTGCAGGGACATGGATGAAACTAGAAACCATCATTCTCAGCAAATGAAAACAGGAACAGAAAACCAAACACCTCATATTCTCACTCATAAGTGGGGGTTGAACAGTGAGAACACGTGGACACAGGGAGGGGAACATCACACACCGGGGCCTGTCCGGGGGTTGGGGGGTTAGGGGAGGGATAGCATTAGGAGAAATACCTAATGTAGATGACGGGTTGATGAGTGCAGCAAACCACCATGGCACGTGTATACCTATGTAACAAACTTGCATGTTCTGCACATGCATCCCAGAACTGAAAGTATAATTTCAAAAGGAAAGAAAAAAGTCTCTGGTCAAACATCTGAATGGAATTCTGTTTTCTGCTGGGACTCTGAGCAGTACAGGAAGCAAGGACCTACCATCTGGTGCCCTCCTAGTAGCAGCTGCTCCAACTTTGGCAGATGTGGGGAACTTGAGATTTTCCACTCACCATCACCATCATCATCAGCACCCTGATCCGGATGTGGAAGGTATGCGTGTGTCTCTCCTAGGGAGGTTTGTGGGCTTGTTTTTACTTGGCATAACCTCTCCTCTTTCCAAATACCTTGGACCTCCCTGGTCTAAGCAGAAAGGGGAGAGAATTTGTTTTTCTTTTTGCACAAATAAATATAAAGAAAATGTGTATCAGGTAGATATGATAAGTGTATCCCACTAGCCATTGCCCAATCCCTTTTTCTTCTTACCAGTGGAATCCTAACTTCAGATATCAGGTTCTCATAGTAGGTACAGACCATCGGCATCCTTAGAGTTCGTGTCTTGCTTAAAGCCTTGGCCATCCCTGATAATTTTATTCCTCTTCATTCAGTAGGAGGCATATGATTTGAGTCTGGTCAGTGAATTGTGAGGGAAGGTGTTCTTAGGGCTCTGGGGTTCTCCTGGTTTTTAAAACGAAGACACAAAGTGAACTCCCGGCTTCAATGATATCAAAATGGAAAAAGAGGATGGAACTTTCCTGAATCTTTAGTGATGTTGGTTTCTGCTAAATTAACCATCCTCAGGGCCATCCTCCCTCTGCATTTCTAATTCTGTAGGATGATAGATCTCCTTTTGGTGTAAGTCCTTATGAGTCAATTTAGTAGTTATTATAGCTCAATTCATTCTGACACAGAGGCTCTCATTAGATGGTGCGCTGAAGTCAGGTGTGACTAGTCACATCACAGTTTTCACTTTAAAATAAAGAGAAACTCCGCATAATGCTGCATTTGGGTTAAAAAAGATCATAGTGGACACTGTTCTGTGCTGGCAGAACCCCTGTGTTACTGAATTCTTTCAATCTCCCCGCCTTCTGCTGTCACAATGTGTACAGGGTATACACTACTTACTCTTAACCGGTCATGTAAGTGACAGTGCTCTTGCCTGTGATTGTCTTAAGAAGGGGTAGGAAACTATATCCTGCCCCTATACGGTGTGTGAGGAGGACTTCTAAGGATCAGATAGTAAAAGGGGGGTTGCCAGAGACTACAGGGAGAGGAAAACAGGGAGCTACTATTGAGCAGGAATAAAGTTTCAGTTATGCAAGATGAGTTCCAGAGAGCTGCCACTGTTCAACATAGTATCCATAGATAATAATGTATTGTACACTTAAAAATCTGTTAAAATCTAGACTGGGTAAAGAAAATGTGGTACGTATACACCATGGAATACTATGCAGCCATGAAAAAGAGCAAGATCATGTCTTTTGCAGGAACATGGGTGGAGCTGGAGGCTATTATCCTTAGCAAACTAACACAGGAACAGAATACCAAATACCGCATGTTTCCCACTTATAAATGGGAACTAAATGATGAGAACTCATGGATACAAAGAAGGGAACAACCGACACTGGGGCCTACCTGAGGGTGAAGAGTGGGAGGAGAGAGAGGATCAGGAAAAATCACTAATGGGTACTAAGCTTAATACCTGGGTGACTAAATAATCTGTGAAATTAACCCCCCATAAGGTGAATTTACCTATATAGCAAACCTGCGTATGTACCCCGAACCTAAAATAAAAGTTTAAAAAAATGTTAAAATAATAGATCTGAGGTTAAATGTTCTTACTACAATTAAAAAAAAGATAGAGAGAGAAATACTTCAAGCAAAATTAAATAATTTAAAAATAGGTAGGACAAATTAGGCAAAGGGAAACATTAAGATAGAGAAGAAGAATGTAAGAACAACAGTAAAGGCAGTTTCTTTTATGAAGCATAGACTGTGTGCCAGACACTCGTAAACAGCTGTGAGCTAACGAGGAACGCTCTGTCAGTTATCTCGGATTTTCCTGACGGTCTCCCCTGGAGATGGGGATAGTTATCCCATCTTTCAGATAAGAAAACTGAGACTCTGAGTTGTATAACTCAAGGTTACAAAATAAATAAACATAACATATGTATAAGTACTTTGAAAAATGTAATTAAAGTTCTCTTTCCTGGACTTGGAACTTGCAATTCCTTCTCTGTGGGGTGTTCTCTCCTATCAGAAATTCCTAACTCTCCCACCCCGTCTTTACCTGTCCCGCTCCTACTCACCCCTCCGATCTCCCCTTAGCTGTCACTCCCTCCCTGAGGTCTCCCTGAGACCCAAGGTTGGGTAAGGCCTCCTTCTTTAGCATTTATCTTTCTGCATTTTCCTGTGTGCTCATCTGTGCCCCCACTACCACTAGACGAAGGGCTTCTGTAGAACAGCAGCCTTGTCTGTTATAATTTCTCCCATAACCCTAGTCCTTTGCACAGGTTATGTTTCAGAAAGATCTTCCAAGTAAATGAAAAAATGCGTCCGCTTATGATAACCAGGGAGAATACATCCTATCATATACTCTCAACATGAACTCATTCCCCTCTGGGAAAAAAAAAAAAAAAGGAATGAATGCCTATTTCCTATAGAGACAAATAAATGATGTCATCATTACACACTAATGCCAAGCTAGCAGGCCAGTTCCTTTTTTAAAAAGAAGACAAAGCATTCTACCAGACAACAAAACTGTAAGCCTTAATGCAATCTCTACAAATGACCTCTAAGAAGAAAGAAATAAGTTTTATGAAACAAAAAACACTTTAAAATAAAGCAAAGCCATCAAATAGGCCCCAAATCGAAAGATGTGAACCCCATGAAGCCTAAGCGGAATCTTAGGCCCTCTCTCTGAATCTCCTGCACAAACCCACATACTAACCCATTCCTCAAGCAAGAAAGAAGAAACCTAGAAACAGAAACCAAAAGATGGTGTTGAACTCCCCTGCTGAGGATTTTATTACCAAAGCACATAAACCAAAGGGCTTCGACAATACTGGTAAGATATTTTCTCCCACGTGTTTGATTTGCAGCCCAGTTACCAACTCCTGAAATCAATTATGGCCCAGGAATCACCATTCCCAAAATGAGTTGTGATAAAATTACTAGGGACTTTGTGTCCAGGCCGGGGGAAAAAAAAAAAAAAAGCCAAAATGAGGAAAAAAGTGTCCTCCTGTGAATGGGGCCAAAATTCCTTCTTAGGAGCATTTTATCCCAAGACATATGAGCTACTTGCCCATCAACCACAACCTCCACTAATGCTGCATTTGAACTCTCAGATTCACAGCATCACGCATTTGGGAATAGTTTATTTTTCCATGCTGGTAATTTTAAGGAAGACAATTTAAAAAAAAAAAAAAGAAACTAAAAAAAAAAAAAGAAACTTAAAAAAAATCCAATTGGCCAACAGTTAAGTGGTGGTGAAAATAGAGGAGAAATTTGAAGGCAAATGAAGTAACTACTTTGAGAAACAGTTCTGTACAAACCAAATACTATGCCTCCCTGGGTAGAAGACTTTTATGTGTTAGACAGAATAGCACCAAAAGGCTTCAAAAGCTTCTGATTTGACAGTAATAATATTTCTCTTGAAAAGGGCTAATGAGCTACTGCTACACACAGGAATCTTTGAGGCCTATGTCCCAAAGCTAGTTTCATCTGCAGTGACCTGAGAGATTGTTAGATAATGTCACAGTGTCCTCTGCTGTTTCCTAAATGTGGATTGGGATAATTAATTACTGAATATTGTGGTGAACGTCTTGATACACCTCAAGTAAGGAACAAGCTGCACACACAGCCGACTCCTCCAAGGAAACCCATATAAGGGCAACATTCCTGGCCTTGAGAACATCAAAATTTCTTTGCCCTCTCCTCTCTGTCCACCTGAGCCAACTCTGTAATATTCTATATGGGGTGAGGAATTCATTCCCGACCTAAAGATGATCAGCTCTTGAGATGAAATGTGCCAGATGAACATCCCTGCATTACCTCATCCTCCTTAGCTACCAGCTTTGCAAACCTCAAGGGATGATGTAGCCCTTAGTGAAATGCACCCCAGAGCACTACCTCCATGACCTCCATGACCATTTCCAGGCTGCTTTCAGTTATGGACCACCTTTTTTTTTTTTTTTTTTTTTTTAGTTATGGACCACTTTAAACACATGTGTTTTTTTCATTTTTTTCTCTGAGTGTTCTTCAACCTTCAGACACATATTGGCAACAATTAAAACACATATATCAATACCTTTTTGGGGGCAGAGAAATTAGAAGGTGCCAGTTTAAACTCAAGTCTCTTCCTTCACCTCCTTTCCTCAAATGTCATCATCTTTCCAAAATTCCATGCTGCTAAAGACATGACCAAGATACGGTTTCACATTTTAAAAAATAAAATGTGGGTCAGGCGCGGTGGCTCACACCTGTAATCCCAACACTTTGGGAGGCCAAGGTGGGCGAATCACCTGAGGTCGGGAGTTCGAGACAGCCTGACCAACATGGAGAAACCCCGTCTCTACTAAAAATACGAAAGCAGTCAGGTGTGGTAGCGCGTGCCTGTAATGCCAGCTACTTGGGAGGCTGAGGCAGGATAATTGCTTGAACCCAAGAGGCGGAGGTTGTGGTGAGCCGAGATGGTGCCACTGCACTCCAGCCTGGGCAACAACAGCAAAACTCCATCTCAAAAAAATAATAATAATAAAATTAAATTAAATTAAATTAAAATTAAAATGAAATAAAACGTGACTTGTTTCCTCAAACTAAAGATGTGCAGATCACAGATTGTTAAATCTTAGCTTGACACATCTTACCAGCAATTTTTAAAAATTATACACACACACACACACACACACACACTCCTTTTCCTTGATCCAAATGTCCGCACTATTTATTAAGAAGAAAATAAAATTATTATAAATATATATATACATTCTAACTCCAAAAGCATGAAGAGTGTAATGCATGACAAATAATTAGAATCATCAAGTCCACATGGATCTCAACAGGATTATATGTTCAGAAAACTCGTAAATGCATGTGAAGGAAGTGTAATCATCCACTGAAGTAGGTACTTTCATTATCCCCCTTTTACAGATGAGGAAACCAAGACAGAGGCAGAAGTAACCTACCCAAAGATACACAGTAGGTAAGTGGCAGAGCTGGGGCTCAGACCCCAGCAGTCAGGCTCCGAAGCCACACGTGTAATGACTACATTATAATGCTTTACTCCAGACAAGTGGTAAATAAAAGGATTTATTGAGCACCTACTATGTGCCGTGCACTGTGCTTATTGTGGGGAGTGTAATATGGACAGAAAAGCAGACACAGTTCCTGCCTCAGGAGAATGCTGGTCTTCCAACATCACCCAACCAGGAGTCCTACAAGGAGCTGTCAGCGCCTTTAGAGGGGCTTTTGTTCCAATTAGAAATGAAAGTCTGCTCTTTTTCTTTGAGACAAGGTCTTGCTGTGTTGCCCAGGCTGGAGTGCAGCGGCACAATCACAGCTCACTGCAGCCTCGACCTCCTGGGCTCAAGGGAGCCTCCTGCCTCAGCCTCCTAAGGTAGCTGGGACTACAGGTGCACTCCACCATGCCCTGCTAATTTTTAAGTTTTGTGTAGAGATGGGGTCTCACTATGTTGCCCATGCTGGCCTTGAACTCCTGGGCTCAAGCGATCCTCCCACCTCAGCCTCGTCAAGTGCTGGGATTACAGGCAGGAGCTACCATGCTGGCTCTTTGCTTTTTAGGGCTGCTCATACAGAGACCCATGAATGGGATGCCCTCTTTTGAGGATGACATTTTAAAGAGCATCTCATTGGCCCAAATTTGCAAACGATTTGAAGCACATGCTCCTCGCAGTTCATAATTCCCCTTTCGGGATCTCAGGGCACACACAGGACCTCCTCTCCATTTCTCTTGCGGTGCTTAGAAAATGAAAGCTACATTCCTCCCTTCAACAGCCCCAAACAGTACACTATCCACTTAACCAGTTACAGGATGGAACCACCTCAATGTATCAAGTAAATAACCTCAAGTAGATAAACTCTGAAATCCTTTGGAGTGATTAGCCTTAGAAGAACGTCAGGAATAAATTCATTTATTGATGAGGCCATAAAAAGCATACACTCCATTAAAGGTTATTCATTTCTACAATCTTAGGGCTATTTAATTCAGGATCAGAATTTCACAGGGCCTACAAAAATGGTTAAGACCTGGCCTGGCGGGGTGGCTCACGCCTGTAATCCTAGCACTTTGGGAGGCCGAGGTGGGCGGATCACTTGAGGTCAGGAGTTCAAAACCAGCCTGGCCAACACGATGAAACTCCATCTCTAATAAAAATAAAATAAAAAAATTAGCCAAGCGGGCACCTGTAATACTAGCTACTTGGGAGACTGAGGCAGGAGAATCGCTTCAACCCGGGAGACAGAGGCTGCAGTGAGCCGAGATCGTGCCACTGCACTCCAGCCTGGGTGACAGAGCAAGACTCCGTTTCAAAAAAAAAAAATGGTTGAGACCGGAAAACAAAATATTTCTAACATGTGAAAAGGAAATATCAATATCACATATAATAGATGTTTAATAAAGTATCTGCAAAGCAGAAAACTATGTCCATAATCAACTGCATACATATACATATGTGTATATGTATGTGTGTGTGTGTGTGTAAATATGATTTTGTGTGGGATGTGGTTGAAATCAAATCTATTAGAGTATGCAGTAGAACATTCAGATATAAGAACAACATGAGTTTGAAGAAAAGAAATTTGTGAAGAATAGTCAGGAAGTCTAAAACTTAACTGTATGTTGCATTAGGCTTCCGAAGAGCAACCCAAAGCAATTATTTTATCTTTCCTGCTCTTGGAATTTTTAAATGTTTCTTTCAATTACTTGTCTGAAGTGAGTGGCCCATTTTGCAAGGTAGCGTTCCCTTGAATTCATGCCCCGGGTATTTACTGAGTGCCTACACTGTTGAATGACAGTCACATTCCTCGTCAAGGCTTACGTCTAATCAACATCTTCAAAGCCCTGCTTGGTCTGCTCTGGCACCAGGAAGCAGAGACAAAATCAACAGTGTCTCCTTACCTGACTGGCTTTGGCAAGAGGCAACATGACTTTGCATTCCCCAGGGAGGAATGTTGCCCTCGCCCAAGAGCGAATACAGCCGGGTGAACCTGCTCACCTCTCAGCGCCCTCCCTCTGGTCTGAGTGATTCAGAGGGAGACCTGCCACGTTAGTGCTCCTGACTGGGTTTGGTGAGCCTGAGAAACAGGCAGCTTGCCCTTTGATGTGTCTAGACACAGCGATGATTCAGAGATCCCTCTCCAGAGTGCCCGTGAGGAGTGCTGGAAATGTCAGGAGGAAGAAGCCTGCCTTCATGAGGTCCCTGTTGAGCAAAGCAGGCCCCAGGCTGGACATCAATCCTCTCTAGTCACTCCCTCTCTTCCCCTGAAGGAACCAGATGATGAATCACCCACTGGAAAGGTCCACTTCTTTCCTTCCTAATAAACAAAATACAACTTTCAAACCCCATTGAAAAAGGAACCAGGCCTAGTTCCCTCTAACAATACCTGTTTACCTATTGATTTTGCCATGGCTCAGAAAATATGTATGGTGTCCTTAGGAGGACTAAAGTGGTTTTCATATGTAACTCACATCCCCAGGTTCCTTTAGGTGTTTTCTAGAGTAGAGGACCTTAGCCTGGGGAGTAAGGGAGGCAGAGAAGGCCTGAGCATCTCTGAAAGGCCGTCAAAATGTGCATGAACGTTCGTCAGGACAGGGTTTTTAGCTGGGGATTCAAAGGTTAAGAATCTGCTAGCTCTCCAGACTAACTGAGCTCAAAGTCTTGAATTTGTACACAGGGCCAGGCAATGTTCTATACATTCATTTAATCCTCCTAAGCAAGTTACGAATTGACACTGCTATTTCCACATCCCCGTCTTACCAACTCCACATTAAGCTACCAATAACAGTGGCATAACCAGGAATCCGAACCAGGCATGCTGGCTGTAGCATTCATGCACCTAACCACCGTACTGCTTAAATAAAACACAGATAAAGTGACTTACTTATCTACATTTTAGTTGTACCTAGTCTGAGTGAGAAGTTGGGAAGAAAAAGTGACTTCGACCAAGAAGAAATGCAGAATTACCTGGGCTGTTTGTTGATCAATCCACTAGGACATTTGGCAAATTTTCCCGTGCTTACTATCTTGTGTTTTGGAGATGTGTATGCATGTGTGTGTAGGTGCGTGTGTGTGTATATGTGTGTGTATAATTTGTGACCCAAATTTTAATAGGTGAAAAATCAGTTAGATTTCTATCCTCAATTATTTTATTATAATTTAGTTTCCTATTCTAAATAATTTGAAACATGGTAACTATTTTAGTAATTTTGGGGAAGACAATGTCTGTTCAAGGACTTTTTTGATTAGCATTTTAAAGTAAACATGTTTGTTCACTAAATAGGGAAACCCACAGTCTGGGGAACTGACTTTGTCTTAAATGATGGTCTTCACCAGAAACTGAAGTTCATGAGTTTATGAGTCATCTCTGGCTCATTCTTCAAGTTTGCATTAAAAGTCAGGAGAAAAGGCTTATAATCAGGCTGGGTGTTTTGCTGCTGTTTTTCTTGTTGTTTTGCATTAAAGATGCTCAAAATGAATTGAGAAATAAAATCAGCCGTGCATAAATAATGGGCTTAGCCTCCTGGTCAGTGTCATGTGCAGAGGCAGAAATGGTTCCAGTGGCTGACTTAGTTAGGGGAAGGAGTAGTATTTGGGCATTAAAGATTTACCAAATTGTATTTTTGCAATTCTATTTTTGGGGTTCTGCTGAGCAAAAAAAAAAAAAAAAAAAAAAAAAGCCCTGCAGCTCATGAACCTGGACTCTGAACATCCTCTCTTTAGTTTACTATAAAAAGAAAACTCTTTAATAAAAAACAGTGAACAGAACTGGGATGAAAGTTTAAGGTTTTCTTTAGTCAACAGCTTTCCTGTGGTTCCTGAATTTCTGGCTGAACAAGCACAAATTGGTGAATAATGGAGGCAACCAAAGTAAAATATAGGAAACCGAAGTAAAATATTAAAATATTGTCTTTACTGAAGGTCCTTCTTCAGGATAAAGAGTTAAGAAAATGATCACACTAAGCATTCCTTACTTAGGTAAACATTGACAGGAAGTGAGGTGAGAACTACCTTGTCAGAAAATGTGTGGGATGCTGGAAGATTCTTTAATGCAAGTCACAGACTGGCAGGTTCCCAGCCAAATGTGGACCTCACATGGGCTTTTTTGGCTTGCATGATGTGTTTTAAACTTTTGAATTTGTTGACAACTTTTAAAAATTGAGGGAGTGCATTCTCAAAGTTGATATTTTTCTCTTGCCTTCAAAAGTTAGACCTGTTGCCAGTCGGGCGCAGTGGCTCATGCCTGTAATCCCAGCACTTAGGGAGGCCCAGGTGGGTGGATCACCTAAGGTCCGGAGTTTGAGACCAGCCTGGCCAACATGGTGAAACCCCGTCTCTACTAAAAATACAAAAATTAGCTGGGCGTGGTGGTGCGCACCTGTATTCTCAGCTACTTGGGAGGCTGAGGCAGAAGAATTGTTTGAACCTGGTAGATGGAGAGTGCAGTGAGCCAAGATCACACCAGTGTACTCCAGCATGGGCATCAGAGTGAGACTCCATCCCAAAAAAAAAAAAAAAAAGTTAGATCTGTCTATGGTGGGCCCACTTTCTGCTTAGCACAGCTGGCTACAGCTGAGTAACAAAGCCCCCTTGGACGGGCCAGACCCTTGGCTTGTTTGCCTGTTTCCACCATTCCGTAGAACCTCCCACCTGGTCTATCTCACTCATGCAAAGCCCTAGCTTTACCTCATACACATTTGGAATTTTCATATGTGCCATGGCTATGGACCAGTCATTTCTTCACTGCAGTTCTTATTTTATTTACTTTAAAAAAAAATGTTTTAACTTGAAAACTAAAGGTCTCTTTAGTTCTATTCAGCTGTAAAATTCTATAAGAGAAGTACTTTCCTACCCTCATGAAAAATCTCATTGGAAAGGGTGGAAAAAGAAACTAACATTATTTTCCTCATGATTTCTGGGCCTAGAAATTTCTCTAGAATACTATGATTTGCATGTCTGAATCTTTTGTTCTTCTATTTCATCCTCTTTTATTCTTTTCCATAAAAAAAAAAAATCAGTCTATTCCCTGCTCCATCCCTCACACATCTTTGTCCTTTCTTCCTGGTGACATCTTCGGTTTCCAGACTGACATTGCCAGTCACGATGTCCAGGACCCAACTGATTAAAAAATTCTTATTTTCTTATATGAGCTATATCACTAAATTAATATTCTAACCTGATCTGTAAGAACTTAGCCCTGTTGGACTACAGATATGTCTACAGATGCCACCAGGGCACCTATAAGACAGGAAGACACTGTCTAGACACTCGCCTTCTGTTCAGAGCAGGCCATGAACTGGTGACCACCTGGGCCTTGTCCAGTTTACAGGCATGTATCATTCAGCCCCAGTTTGTAGTTTCAAAAATTGGAATCTATTACTAAGATTAAAAACATAAATGAGACATTTCACAAACAATCCAGATTCCTAACTACTGTTTAAAATGGGAGATGTGTCTGACATGGGCCACATCCCCAGATGGCAAGAATTGGCCAAGCAGCTTCCCCTTGAGATGGGTCTGAGCTCTCCAGTCTGCCACAGGCCCCACCTGGCTCGTTTGCCCATATATACCATTTTTCTAGCTCCAGAAAGCACTGGAATCTGATCTGCAAGTTCCCGTTTGGGTTTGAAATGCCACCGCACTTTAACAATGAGATGCAAATCTAATTCGCATTCAGTACCCACATCCTGGTGGTAAACGTGCATTCTAGTATTATTCCCATTTTACAGATGATAAAATGAGATTTAGAGAAACGAAATCTGTTGCCCAAGGTACATGCCTAGCAAGTAGACCAGCCAAGGCATATCTGACCCCAAAGCCCATTTCCTTTACCAAATGTGATGCTTTGTCCTTCTTCTCCCTGCCTTCCTCCCTTTTTGTTACTTTTTTTCCTTCCTTCCTTCTTTCCTTCCTTCCTTCCTCTTTCCTTCCTTCCCTCCCTCCCTCTCTCTCCCTCTCCTCTCCTCTCTCTCTTTCTTTCTTTCTTCTTTCTTTCTTTCATAATAGTGTTTGTAGAAACTGAATTGACTCAAAAGAACACTTGTATTTGGATTCTTGGCTTCTTCTCTAAAATTGGAACATTTGCCAGTTTGTCAATACTAAGCCCTCATTCTCTGACCTCCCTCCACTTCTTAGCAGTGGGCTGGAGCTGAACAACTGCTGTCCCCAGAGCAGGGGCGCAGCTTCCCAGGCTGCTGAAACTCCCATCATTTTCACACCTGACTTTCTTCAATCCATCATGTTCCTGACAGCACCCACTGCCACCAAGGCTGACTTCTCCATTAGGAATAGTGTCAGGACCCAGGACCACAAAAATGTTTTTATTTCAATTTATTTTAAAATCAGAAGGAAAAAGAAATATAATAATGATAATGAATACGTCATAATGAATCCAACCTGTATTTTTCTTTACGCCAATGCAGTCATTACATATAATTTCTTATTTGTTTTAACTGGAGGAAGTTTCAACGGATGGAGTATGTCAATTACTCTTCACATCAAGTTTAAGAACACAGGCCCTAGAGCCAGACTGCCTGGGTTGGAAACCAGGCTCTGCATCCCCAACCAAAGTGACCTTGGACAAGTTACTTAATCTCCTCATCTGTAAAATGAGGATAAAGTCATTGTCTCCTTTTAGACTTGTTCAAGGATTAGATCAGTTCATATACATGTAAAGCGCTTAGAAGAGTAAATGCTACATACATGTTTAACCTTATTAGTTACATTTGTATGGAATGAATGATTGTGTTAGCACCTCCCCCACAATTTATATGTTGAAGTCCCAACCCTCAATATGGTGGTATTTAAAGATGTGGCTGTTAGGAGTTAATTAGGGTTAGATGAAATTGTTAGGGTGAGGCCCTCATGACATTAGTGCCTTGGTAAGAAAAGACATCATGTTCCCTTTTGCTCGCTTGCTCTCTCTCTCCCTGCCACATAGCAAGAAGACAGTCATCTGCCAGCCAGGAAGTTATCCCTCTCCCAACCATGCTGGTACCTGGTCTCACATTTCCAGTTTCCAGAGCGATGATAAAAATAAATGCCTATTGTTTAAGCCACCCAATGGGTAGTGTCTTGTTATGGCAACCCTAGCTAAGACACATGTCCAAACACAAAAAACTTTTCTTTAGCTGTTAATATTTGATGACAACTGCCTAACATCTTTCTAACTCAGGGCTTTTCAACCTTGGCACTATAATATTATGGATCAGATTTTCGCTATTGTTGTGGGAGGCTGTCCTATGCATTGTAGAATGTTTATCAGCCTCCCCGACCCCTATCTACTAGATGACAGTAGTATTTCTCAGTGTGACACCAAAAAGGTCTCCAAACATTGACACACATCTTTTGCTGGGATTGGGGGTAGAATTGTCCTTGTGGAGAAGCACTGAGCTAATACATGTCAGTCCTGAAATATGCGGCCTAAGCAATCGACAGAGCTCAATGCCTCTAGCATCTACTTACCTTTCACTCGCCAGGAGTCCAAAGAGGAAATTCATTCTGTACATTAGATTTTGTTTTGTGTTCCCGCCTATTAGCAACAAGCATCTTCACTGATATATATTTTAGTTGCAACGTCTATGGAGAAGCTTCCTGACTTTTGATACTGTCATTCTTCATTATTAAAAGCAAGTTTTCATTAAGGTCTTGCTTTAGAATTACACAAAGGTCAGGTTTTATGTTTTTCCCTTGAGAAGCCCCTCAGAATTCCCACTGTCAACAGAGTAACGAAACTGAGGGGATCGGGAAGATCAGTCAGAGTCCCCCCCGCCACCCACCCACCATTCCCCCCACCATCACTTGCAACACAAAGAGATCACCCTATTCCTTCTTTGCTTTCTTTTCCAGCTATACTGTGGTGTGATTGACAAATAGGAATATTGAAGGTGTGCTGTTTTAACATATGTATATGTTGAGAATGATTACCACAATCAACCTAATTCACACACTAATCACCTCACATAGTTACCCATGTGTCAGGGGGTGGCTTTCAAATGTGTCCTAAAAGATGACACCCAATAGCAATGCAGGCACTCAAACCCCAGGCTGCCCTGTGTGTATCAAACCCTGGAGTGAGAGAAACAGTGATCCCAGAGGAAGTGGGCTGCTCCATTCATTCAATCCTCAGGAGGTACTCTTAGAAAAAATAACCTATATAAAAATTAGCCTGGTGTGATGGTGCAACCTGTAATCCCAGCTACTCAGGAGGCTGAGGCAGGAGAATGGCTTGAACCCAGGAGGCAGAGGTTGCAGTGAGCCGAGATCACACCACTGCACTCCAGCCTGGGAGACAGAGCTAGACTCTGTCAAAAAAAAAAAGAAAAAAAGAAAAGGAAACAAAAAAATAACCTAGAGGCAGTAAGGTGAAGTGGTTAGGAGCTCAGCTCCCCAGTCAGAGAGATGAACATGACACCTACTATCAACCTTCCAGTGGCTTCTCCATAAAATGGGAATGGTGTCATCCTTACCCAGAAGAATGGTTGTATGAGTTAAAGACAATTAGGCCTGCAATGCCCTTCGCTCAGATCTTTGAATCTGGTTAATTATCATGATAAGGACAGCAATACTAATAAACAGTATTTACTGAGCACTTTCTTTTTTTTATTATACTTTAACTTCTAGGGTACATGTGCACAACGTGCACTTTCTATGCACTAGGCTCTGCTAACTGCTTTGCATACATGCTGGCGTTTAACTCCTACAACAGCCCTATGGTAACTGTTATTACCAGACTCATTTTATGTAGGTCAGAAACTGAGATTCAGAAATGTTAAGTAATTTTCTCCAGGTCACACAGCAATTAAGTGTTGGAGCCAGGATTTGAATCTAGTGTTTGCCATCCTAACCACACCATTTATTCATTTCATGTTCATGAAAATGTTATCAAGTGGATACTATTAGTAGGCCCCATTTTACAGATGAGGAAACTGAGGCACAGAAAAATTATTTAACAGGTCACCTAGCAAGGTCAAAGTCAGGCATCCCTTGTCTGCTGCACTGGGCACCAGATGCTGTGCCGAGTCCTTGGTATACAGTCCTATTTGACCTTTGCAAACATGGAGAAATGATTATCACCCACATTCTAAACCAGGACATCAAGACTTGAAGATGCAGCATCAATTGCTTCTGGTTACACAGCATGATTGAGATTCAAATCCAGCTTTGGCTGGTCACAGAGCTTGTGCCTTAGCTGTTACAAAACCCAGGGGCCTCCCCGCCCTGTTCCAATGGTCAGGATCTCAAGCAGCCACTTCTCTCCTTTTATTTTATTTTATTTTAGAGACAGAGTCTTGCTCTGTCGCCCAGGTTGAGTGTAGTGGTGTCATCTTGGCTCCCTACAACCTCTCCCTCCCCAGTTCAAGTGATTCTCCTGCCTCAGCCTCCCGAGTAGCTGGGATTACAGGCATGTGCCACCACACATGGCTAATTTTTGTGTTTTTAGTAGAGACAGGGTTTCACCATGTTGGCCGGGCTGGTCTCGAACCCCTGGGCTCAAGCAATCCTTCCACCTTGGCCTCCCAAAGTGCTGGGATTACAGGCAAGAGCCACTGAGCCCAGCCTCTCTCTCCTTCTTTCAGGTCTCTTTCCCCCATATATCTGAAAAATTAAAATCTTTTAGGTCTAGCCTCAAACTAGGACTAAACTTTAATCTCAGGAACTCAGTTAAAGGTCACAGCTCCCAAGCAGGGGAACTGTGTGTGTGTGTGTGTGTGTGTGTGTGTGTGTGTGTGTGTGTGTAGTGGGGGTGGCGGGGGGGCGGCGGGGTCTGCCAATGATTGCCAGCTGAACTTCATCACCTCCACGACTCACTGCAAAGTCATTTCGCACACATATTGCAAAATCGAACACAGACATTTCCTTATATCCCTCTTAGGCAAACAATTTAAAAAAGAAAAACTTGCTTTCTTACCAAACATCTATAAAACTTGAAGAGAAACATATTCACCCATTTGAAAACAATTCCGTATGTTTAGGTGAGAATCGCTGGTATTAAAATAGCTGAGTTGATCAGTTATTTTGATAAACATGCCTTTAAAATTAATATTCTTACTTAACATTTGCAATAGCAAAGCCCAAGAAGCTCCAAGGTTGAGAAATACTTAAATCCAGTCTCATCCTCAGGATTTGGTCAGGGAAGCAGGACCAGGATGAGTGAGTTTGAAGGGGTATTTTATGAGATTAGGTTTTGTATGACTGTGGGAGCCGCTCCTGAAGTCAGCTGAAGTCAGCAGAACCGGCTGTCGAGAAGATGGGCATGAAGTAGGAAGGCTAAAGAACAGCATGAAACCTTCGTGATACACTGCAGCTGTGACTTTTCTCGTGGTCTCTGATCTCAACCACGCATGTGACCTGCATGAGCGGTGGAGCCTCCTCACCATGCAGTTACACATCTGCCTGGACCAGGATTTGAAGACCAGAAGGAGTTGGTCAACAGGGGCTTCAGGAGCCAGGAACGGAGCCACTGCCCAGCGCCAAGAAGATGAGCCTGCTGACCTGCCACAGCTTGCGGCAGCTGCGAACATGTTGGTTCCATGCTGACCCCCAGATGCTTCAAACTGCCGGCTCCTCACTTCCCTCTTCTAAGTCACGTGCACATTTCTCTTGCAGGCAACTCCCAGCAGGGGATAGAGAAGAAAGCAAACTCCGGGAAACGTAGTCCCACTTTAGCTAAATTGACATGGTGCAAATTCACCCTCAGGAGATGGGTTTCCATACTTGAACATTAATAATAATAGAAGCTAATGTGTTGCATCATTCATTCAGCCATCCATCCATCTATTTATTTGTTGAGCATCCCTTAGTGGGCATTGGGGAGGCACAGGTGAACAGAACAAGGTCACGGTTCCCATGGAGCCCCCTTCGTTTTTCTTCCAGATACTGGGTTTTCTGCTTTGAGATTCAAATGCGGCTTTGGCTGACCACAGAAATTGCCCCTTATCTGAGACAGAGCCTGCTGGCCTCTCCCTGGTCTGGTGTTCTGGATCTCAAGAGGCCACTTCTCTCCCTCTCCCGTGTCTCTTTTTCCCATACATCCCGAAACTTAGGATTTGAAATGGAATTAGATGCCTGACTTTGACCTTGGACCCAATCCTTCCCACCTCATCAATTTCTCTACAAAGTGGCCTAGCTGATACTTTTAAAACGTGGATGATGCCTCTCCCTGCTCTCAACACCCCAACGGTTTCCCAAACTCTATATGAATATAAAAGCCAATGTCGTTACCATTGAAAAAGGTCTGAAAAGCCTCCAGGGTCTGGCCCTGGCCCCACCTTGGTTCCCCACTCCAACTCACTCTCCACTCCCCACTCCAGCCCACTCCCCACTCCCAACTCCAGCCCACTCCCCACTCCCCACTCCAGCCCACTCCCCACTCCTGCCCACTCCTCACTCCAGCCCACTCCCCACTCCTGCCCACTCCTCACTCCAGCCCACTACCCACTCCTGCCCACTCCTCACTCCAGCCCACTCCCTATTCCAGCCCACTCCTCACTCTAGCCCACTCCCTACTCCAGCCCATTCCTCACTCTAGCCCACTTCCCAAACCAGCCCAGCCTCTTTCTTTTCCTTCACTGCACTAAGAGCTGCTGCCTCCAACTCTGTGCCCACCAGGTGCCTCTGCCTGCCCCACTCTCCCCCAAGAGTCTCACAGGGCTTGTCCTTGCTTTATTTCTTTCTCCACTCAACTGTCACTTCCTGAACGACGTTTTCTCTGCCCCCTCTGTAGAATCCTTCAGGATATTCCTCTCTCCTTACAGACTTCATTCCTCCTCAGGGCACTCAGCACTCAGCACTACCTGACTTGCTATATATATGTTTGTTATCCTTGATGTCCCCCATTGCAATGGGTACCCCAGGAGGGCAGGAACTTGGTTTTATGGATGGCAACTTTCCCCTACCTAACCCTGTCCCATTCCTTTGTTTTATTTCCTTCACAGCACTTATCATAATCTGGAATTGACTCATTTATTCTGATCATTTACATTTACATGTTTACTGCCTGTCTCTCCTCACTAGAACACAGGCTCTTGGAGATGGGAGAAGTCACCTGACCGATTGATCATGTGTCCTAAGGCAGAGCTGGCAGAGACCCGCCCTCTTAGAAAGGAGTAAAGAAGGGCCTTCCCAGAGAAAGACATACTCTAAGGCAACCCTTGTACCCAAGGAAACAATCATGGCAATAAACTTATTCCAGGGACTTGCATCTTGAAAGTTGCAAAGCCCCACCTAACCAAGCAGCCAAAATGCATATTGCCAATAAAGGGACAAACTGGCACTGTACACCCTGGAATATGATTCACCAAGAACACAATACTATTCCTACAGTTTTTCTGTCAAACTATTTAACCTGAATCTAATCAGGAGGAAAGAACCAGAAAACAAACACAAACTGGGGGTCATCCTACAGAATGACTGGCCTGTACTGTTCAAAATTGTCAGTATCAGAAAAAACAAAGGAGGGCTAAGACACTATTCTAGAATAAAGAAGACTGAAGAGAACTAATACCATATGTGACCCTGGATCCTAGGTCAGATAATTAACTGCTTAAGATAGCATTTTGGGAGCAATTGAGCAAATCAGAATATGGACTCTACTGATGATAGCATTGTAGCAATGTTAAATGTTTTTAACGTGATCAGTGCATGTGCTTATGTAAGAGAATACCCTTGCCCTTAGAAGATACATGCTGAAGTTTTTAGGAGTAAATGGGCATAATATCTGCCATTTATTCCCAAATGATTTAGCAGAAAAAAGTGTGCATATATTATATCATTATATATTACATATATTACATAATATACAGTATCTGTTATAAGGAGAGAAACCAATGTGCCAAATGATAACAATTTGAAGGATCTAGATGAAAAGTAAAAACGTATTTATATTGTTATTCTACTAACTTTCCTATAGTTTGAAATTTTTTAAATAAAATATTGAATTTTTTTTTCAAAGCATTATGGTATGTGGAAAACACTAAGAGCATTTGTTTTAAAAGGAGATGCATGAGGCCTGAGTCCCAAGCTAGAGCCAGGGCTTATCTACCAACAGGAATAGACAGGTGGGTGTGAATGAGGGTTTGTAGCCAGAGGAGGTACAAACCCTCACAAGCACCACCTCAGAGAGGAGGGGCCGTCATGGGAGAAGCCCATGGAGGAATCAAGCAAACCACTGGATAAACAGTAAACCCTTAGGGGAATTCATAATCTTGCTACTTCCTCAACTCTTACCTGGCTTTGAAAATAGACTGCAGGTAACAGGGAAACCCAACTACACAGGAGGGTTATAATGAATTTCTAAACACAAGGGCCTCGTGCCTAAAAACATCAATTAAGTTCCCTCAGTGGATTTCCATAGCCACTTGCACAAGGTCTAAATTTCTCAATCAGGTGGCAACCTGCCCGCCTTACTTTCTGTTCCAGGTTACAGCCTACTACTTGCATTCTCATACCCTAGGCCCCCATATCACACTAAACCTCTTCCAGTTCCTCCAAAGCAGCTGTCCTCTTGTACCTCTGTCTAGAACAATATTCCCCAAACCCGTCTTTGGGGCAGAACCAGCACTGGGACTTTTTGCTGGACTTAACTTCCAATCCATCCTGTACATACATGTGATCTTGATACAGGACAAGGGTGCAGTTTGTGTCACATGTGATGCCCTCATGAATTTAACATCACCCAAGCAGGTCTACACCAAGCTCAGACAGTATAGATGAGTCCACTGATGAATCCACTAATCACATGCTGGGGTGTCGTTACAATGTCAAATTGCCACATAAAGTTTAAACACTGAATTTCTGTGCCTATCTTGATGGGGACTGACGATAAACAGTCTGCAGACAGACACCAGTCTGTGGGCCACACTTCGAGAAGTAATGGACTAGAAGATCTTTTGCTACCTTCTTTACATGGCAAATTCATGTTCATTTCTTAGATCTCAGCTTAGCCCTCACCTTCTCCAGGAAGGCTTCTGATATGCTTTGGCTCTGGGTCCCCACTCAAATCTCATCTCAAACTGTAATCCCTGTAATCCCCATGTGTTGATGGAGGGACCTTGTGGGAGGAGATTGGATCATGGGGATAGTTTCCCCCATGCTTTTCTCATAATAGTGAGTGAGTTCTCATGAATCTGATGGTTTTATGTGTTGGACAGCCCCTCCTTCACATTCTCTCTTGCCTGCCACCATGTAAAATGTGCCTGCTTCCCCTTACACCACGGCTGTAAGTTTCCTGAGGCCTCCTTGGCCATGCGGAACTGTGAGTCAGTTAAACCTCTTTCCTTTACAAATTATCCAGTCTCAGGTAGTATCTTTATAGCAGTGTGAAAACTGACTAATACACCTTTATTCTATTTTATTTTATTTGAGACGGAGTCTCACTCTGTTGCCCAGGCTGGAGTACAATGGCTCAATCTCAGCTCACTGCAACCTCTGCCTCCTGGGTTCAAGCTATTCTCCTGCCTCAGCCTCCTGAGTAGCTGGGATTACAGGCACCCGCCACCATGTTGAGCTAATTTTTGTATTTTTACAAAATACAAAGAGCATTTGTTTTAAAATGAGATGCATGGGGCCTGAGTCCCAAGCTAGAGCCAGGGCTCACCTACCAACAGGAATAGACAGGTGGGTGTGAATGAGACTCGGGGCCAGAGGAGGCACAAACCTTCACAAGCACAGCAAAGCACAGCCTCAGAGAGGAGGGGCTGTCCTCTGTAGACCCTGTAGAGACGGGGTTTGACCATGTTGGCCAGGCTGATCTTGAACTCCTGACCTCAGGTGATCTGCCCACCTCAGCATCCCAAAGTGCTGGGATTACAAGCGTGAGCCACCGCACCCGGCCCACCTTTCTTTACTAACCTTTAGTCCAGTACTTCTCAGAATGAGGTCTACAGAACAGCCTGCACCAGAATCCCTTGTGGTGCTTAGTAAAAATGTAGCTTCTGGGCCCCAGCATAAACACACTTTATCTAAATCTCTGGGGAGTGCAGCCCAGTCATCTGAATTTTAACAAGCTTTCCAAGGAATACTAAGACACACTGAGGTTTGATAACCACTGCCCTATATGCTTAAGGCCTCCTCTATTTACCCACCACGACATCTGCCAGGCTTTTTTTGTAGTTACTACATGACTTTATAGCTCCCTTGCTCCACCATAAACTCCACGGGGTCAGGGGCCATATCATCTTTTCTTCTGTGTCCCTGGAGCCTAGAGAACAGTGTTTGGCATATAATAGATGCTCAGAAATTATTTCCTGAGTAGATTAATTATGAAACATTGATTGTAATCAGCAACGTTGATTATGAAACTCACCTTCCTGGGGCATATACCCTGATATGCATCACACCACAGGGCTTCTCAAATAGTGAATTTGGTGGAATCCCTCGATCATGATGGAATCAAGGCTCAGCTAGTGCAAGAGGCACAGACAAGAAAAATAAATGAGTAAAATGAAGAAATACAACACAACTCCTAGGTATTCCACTGCAAAAGAAGACTGAAAGAAAAGTCAAAAAATCAAAAGAATCCATTTGTCAAACAACACAGTCATACAAAAGAATGACTTCACCTCTTATGTAACAAAAAGGAAATATCTCCCAGAAACATTAAGTGACCAAAAAAAGCAAAGTGCTCACATAGTCTACTTAGTAAGTAACTACCTGGTACATGTATGTGCTTGTTTGTTTGCATATTCCTAATCTACACACTTTAAAAAGGCATAACACAGTGAAGGCCTCCATGGAAGGCCCTGGGGAAGATAGCCTTAGTAACTTTTGAACCATGTGAATGTTACCAATGATAAAGGAATGAAAATTAAGTTTTACAAAACTTGTTTTAAATTATGACAGTAGGGTCTTTCCTGATTTCACTGGAAGGTTACATAGAAGACTTGCTTTACAAATGAAATTAATAAAATAATAACAGTAATGATAATTTTTATTGAGCATTTATTAATTAATTTATTAATTAAGCTGGGAATATTATTGCTCAGAGGAGTAACTTGCATCAAGTTGTAGAACTGGAAAGAGCCCAAATTGAACTCACATCTCTCAGACACCAAAGCCCATGGGCTGATGACTACGGTTCACTCTTGAAGTGGGAAATAGAATTCCCTGAAGAGGGGGCTCCCCATCCAGCTTCTCACCTCGTCAGACCAACTGGCCCAAGAACAAAGATGAGAAATGCCTCTGACCACACAGTTAGTCTCAGATAATTCTAGAAAGCTATCACCACCATGGCTCCAGTACCCCATGGTGCTTTCTCAATTCCTCATATGAAACAAAATAAATAAGCTAAAAAGGAAAAAGGCTGTGTGTGTGTGTGTGTGTGTGTGTGTGTGTGTGTGTGTGTGAACACATGCATGTGTTTAAAACAAATAAACCCAGAAGTGGATGACTGGACCATATGGTAATTCCAGTTTTACTTTTTCCAGAAACTTCCATACTATTTTTCATAGAAGCTGCACACCATTTTGCATTCCCACCAACAGCACACAAGTGGTTTTTTTTTTCTTTTATAAAGGCTATCCTAACAGGTGTGAGGTGGATACCTCATGGCTTTTATTTGAATTTCCCTGATGATTAGTGATGAATATCTTTCCACATACCTGTTGGCTATTTGTATGTCTTCTTTGGAGAAATATTTATTAAAGTATTAGCTCGTCTCTTAATCAGGTAATTCTTTTTTGGTATTAAGTTGTAGAAGTTATATATTTGGAAATTAACTCTTATTGGATATGTAATTTGCAAATATTTTCTCCCATTCTGTAGGTTGCCTTTCACTCTATTATTGTTTCCTTTGATGTGCAGAAGATTTTTAGTTTGATGTAGTCCCACTTGTCTAATTTTGCTTCATAATAAGATCCAGCAATCCCACTTATGAGTATTTATCCAAAAGAATTCAATTCAGGATCTTGAAGAGGTATGTGCACTACTGTGTTCATAGCAATGTTATTCACAATTGCCAAGATGTGGAAACAACCTAAATATCCATCAAAGGGTAAATGGATAAAGTAAATGTGATATATATACATATATATATATATATATATTCCATTGTATGTGTGTACATGTATAATTATATTCCATAGACATGCACACACATACAACGGAATATAATTCAGCCTTTAAAAAGAAGGAAATCCTGAAATATGTGATAACATGAATAAACCTTGAAAACATTACATCAAGTGAAACAAGCCAGTCACAGAAGGACAAACACTGCATGTTTCCACTTATAAGAGCTAGCTAAACAGTCAAACTCATAAAAATGAAGAATAAAATGTAGGTTAACAGGGTTTGGAAGGAGGAGGAAATGGGAGTTGCTAATCAACAAATATAAAATTTCAGTTATGCAAGATAAGTAAGTCCTAGAGACCCATGTACAACATTGTGCCATAGATAACAACATTCTACTGTACACTTACAAGTCTGTTAAGAGGGTAGATCTCATATTACATGTTCTTATCAAAATAAAATAGAATAAAATAAAATAAACCAACACAACACAAACCATCTATGAGGAAGGATTGTTTTATGTCTCCACCTGGCTTTTTTGGAATGTAAGTTCTGTAAGGAATGCAAAAGCCCTTCCTGTCGAGCCATTTCATTGTTTAATTGTCATGGTTAGACATTTCATGGTGTGCTGAATTGGGAACTTTTAAGACATTATATACAACATTACATACTTCAGATTTAATGCATCTATTTCATGACATGCTTTGTGTTATTCACATATACACACACACGCATGGAGTCACCCTGCTGGATTTGTACCCGTTGACACTGATCTCATCTATGAACTGGATGCCTCACCCACCCTCCTGGTCTGCCTTGGTTGAAGTCACACTTTAACCGGAAGGTCACAAACTCCCCAGCCTCTCTGAACCTTTCCTCAATAGGTCAGTCATAATTCTGCAGGCACCGGATTTCCTCTTTAAGCCCTACCTATGCTGTTGATTACTTGAGCAAGCAGCAGAAACACTGATAAACAGCAGGGAAGGATGCCGTTTGTTCTCACCAACTGTCTCACCTCCTGGCCCTTCTGAACCCTCTGTGGGCCAAGGAGTGTGAATGAGTTGGCCATCAGGAGAGCTCGTGGAGTTTACACAGACTAAGTGGAAGCCTTATTAAATAATTAACTCAACTTGGGCCCCAGCTTGCACTGTATGACCTCTCATCTGAACCCAGCAGAAAACAAGGTCTAACACTGAGAACTGGAATCCCTAAGTCCAAGACCTCTTACAGAAAGTTTGTAGCACAAAAAATTGCTGTCCCCTCAAAACGTACACCTAGACATAAGGTGCTAAGTCTGTTGAAACTATGAAACAGATGAAGACAAAAAGAGGAGAGAAGGCAAAACAAGTAATAAAATGGGATTTTTTTACAATTATGAAACATTTCAAGCATACAAAAAAGCAGCCACCATCCAGCTTTGTCAAATCTTGGCATTGGTCATTCATGCCCCAACACGTTCATAAAAATCACATCCCAGATGCAGTTGAATTGCACTGCCTTCTTTTCAGCAAACCCATCTTTGTTCCTCCTTATCCAGAAACAACAGCCATTCTGAATTCAAGAATTTGGTATTCACTATTTCAAGCTTGTATGATATTTTTGCAATATATGAATATGTTCATGATCAGTTTTATGATACTGTTTGCAGATTTTATTCTGCATATATTTTCCTGTAATTTCCTTTTAATTCAATATTTTACTTTTATGATATTACCTTGCCAGTACTTAGAGCTCTAATTCATTTGTTTTATCTAGTTGCTGAACCTTCAGTTGGTTTCCATTTTTTACTATCTCAAATCCTTCTGCCACCAACATTCCTGCCCAAGTCTCCTTGTATACATGTGTGAGTCCCTCCAGGATATTAATTACTAGGTCACAGGCATGCACAGCCTCCTCCTTACTAGATCTTGCCAAATTATTCCCTCTCCATGGTTTTTGCAACTTCAAATGCCCACCAGTACTCTATGAGAGTTCCTACTCTGGTACAATTCAATATGATTTTATTCCAAATTTTTGGTTCACATGACGCTCTTAATGAACAGCTTTATTTCATTGGAAAAAGAATGAAAGCTATAGGTATTAACTTATGACTACATAATCTACACACTTTAAAAAGGCATAACAGTGAATTAATAGCTTAAGATTTATACCTATCCCATATACACACAATTATATTTATATTTTATATTAAAAGCATTATCTCTGAGATAGAATAACAGCTTCCTAACATACATGTCAATATAGTAATAATAACCATAATTTTAAAATAATAGCTAGCAGATTTTGAGTATTGACTGTGCAGGCAACACTGCATTCCATAAATATAATAGCTTGTTTAATCCTCACAACGACCTCGTCATTTAGAAACTATTATCATTGTTATTATTATTCATTATTATTCCAGTTTAGTAGAAGAGCTAACAAACCTTAAAGCAAATAAGCCAGTTGGCCAGAGCCACATGGCCAGGAACTGATGAAGACGGGATTTGGACCACTCTCCTCTAAGCTGTGTAACTTCAGAAAATCTGCTTTGTCTGCCCGTTTCCTTGCCTGGCTAATGGAGAAAATAGGACCTGTCTCTCAGGGATGAAACTGAGGCTATAATGCAAGAAGAGCAGTTAGAATAGCAACAGCACATGGTAAGCACTTTAATAATTAGTAGCTTTCACTATTTTTCAGTTTAGTAGTTCCATCATTTAAAAATATTATAAATAAAGATAATATTAAGATGAAAAGCAAAAATTGGAGACCTTTGCTGTCACAACTGTTTGGTGTTAAAGCTTCAAATATTTCTGGCTGCCATCTTCTCTCAACGTTTCCTAATCAGTGCAAGACTGTGCTTGCTTTGAGGCTGGCTTGTAACTGGCTTCACTAGTGACTCAGAACACCACGATCACTTTCCCCTTGATTCAAAATTAAATGCAATCCTTTCAAATCCAGAGATAAATAATCCAACTGAATATGTATACCCAGTTCAAAGGCAAGAGAGATAACTGAATGACTGCGTATGTCTCCAGAGGTAACAGGAAGTAGAATTTGCCTTATCCAAAATCCTAAGTCAAAACTAGAAAAATGTTGTTACTGTCCTCTAAAGAACCAGCCATTCTACATGACGTAGATATTAGAATCATAGAATTTCAGGTCAAGAGGAGCTTTGGGGATGATGGAAATAAAATGTTTCTAATGCATCTTTCAAATTAGTTTGGGAAACTCTCTACCACGCCCCTTCTAGGAGAGCTAGCACACACATTGGCACATTAAAGGTTCTGAGAAGTCTAAGGATAATAACAATAATCTGTTTAATTTGCTTTGCAATTGTTTCCCTAATTGGATCACAGCATGCTTTAATTATTAACCCCCTACACCCATCCTTTGGAACAAATACCCTGCAGACTTCACCTTATCTAAAAAAGCCTCATTTTAACACATTAGAAGACTGAGGCCCAGAGGCCAGTGGGAAGATGGTGAACAGAGTTCTTGGGTACAGAGTTTAGTACTTTCTTCATCATCCCACACATTTCCCTTTCTGGAAGATAGCAGCTACCCACCCCCACTGCTCCACTGCCCAAAAAAATCAAGTCACATTTCATACACAGCTCAGCATCCACGGTTAGAATAAATTGCTTTTTCCTCTTCTCTGCTACACCAGTGAGGATATTATAGCCATGAATACCTACTAAGCACTGAACTTAAATCATTCATTCGAGTCTTACAATCTGGCGGATATTATCCATATTTTATAGGTGAGCTAACTGAACACTAACATAAAAACCGGCAGAGCTGGCAACTGTCTCTTCCAAAACCTGCTCCTTCTATGTATGGCAGCAAACTGACTTAGCCTGCTGATTAGGGAGGATCAGGAAGGCTTATGATAGTTCCCTACAAAAATCAAAAGACTTTACAATTGCTTATTCGTTATTTTGCCAGGCAAAGAGAATATCATCTCAATGTATAGGTGTGACACATGTCCAGAAACAGTAACTCAATTCCAAAGCTTGACAAATTTAAAGGCAAGCTTAGCTCTTGCTTATAAATACCACTTTTCCAGCACGACAGGGACTATGTAAGCCATTTTATTACCATCTTCTAGGCCAGCTCTTTGCATTACATAATGATTTAATGTGCAACCATTGTGTTCCAACTTGAGTTTTGTGTTAGTCTATATTTGTACCCTGGTACCGTGTCCTAGCTGTGTGACGTTGGATGAGCTATAAAACCTCCAAGACTCAGTTTTCTCATCTGCAAAAAGAGCACTCGGCACAATGCTTGGCACATTACTGGCCTTCGATAAATGGTAGTTGTTTCTCCTTTTATGCACCTGGTGATCCTTGCTTCATCGTACTATCCATTTGGTTTTGTTCTCAGTGCCCCTGCCAGCTGGCATTCCCCCCCCACCGCCCAGTGGCTGGGCACTGACAATAAGAATGTTTTTCCATCACTACCAATCTAGACCAGTTACAGACTGGAGCATTTCACCTTCTATGCCCCGGTGACCACAGTGACCTGGAGAAAATGATTGCTCAAAAATCCTCAGTGACCTTGCCTGGGATGTGCCACATTCCCCACTGGAACACATGCATTATGGGGAAATCCTAGCAATGAACCTGCAGAAGGAAAACAAACTGTCAACTACTATCCAAAGGTCAAAAGAAAGCTCAGCGGTTGTCAGGTGCTGATCCTGTTTCTTTGGGAGTCTAGCACAGAAAGATAAATCTCATCTTTCATGAGCATGAATGCTCTATGCTTTCATTCATATATGGAAGCTAAAAAAAATGACCTCATAAAAGCAGAGGACAATAATGGTTACCAGAGGCAGGGAATGGTGGGTAGAGTAGGGGCAGGAGGGAAAACCAAGGTGGGTAAACAGCTAGATAGGAGGAACAAGGTCTAGTGTTCTGCAGCACTATAGGGTGACTATCATTAACAATTTACTGTATATTTTCAAATCACTGGAAGAGTGGACTCTGAATGTTCCCAGCACAGAGAAATGATAACTATTTGAGATGATGGATATGCTAATTATCCTGATTTGATCTTCTATATTGTATACATTCATCAAAATATCAAGCTCTAACCTATAAATATATACGATTATTGCGTCAATTAAAAATAATAATAAAAAAGATTAAAAAAGAGAAAGTAAACGTCACATTGTGAATGGTCTAGGAAAGCCACATGGCAAGGAACTGTGGGCGCCCCCTAGGGGTGGAAAGCTGTCCCTGGAGGACGGTGAGCAGAAAAGGGATTCTCAGTTCTACCGCTGCAAGGAAATGAATTGCGCCAACAACCAGTGAACTGGAAGGGACACTGAAACTCGGATCAGAGTGCAGTCCAGCCCACACCTGGATTTCAGCCTGGAGATCTTGAGCAGAAAACCCAGTTAACCCATACCCAGAGTCCTGACCCACAAAAACTGTGGGATTATAAATGTGTATTGTTTTAAAGCTGCCATGTTTGTTGTAATTTGTTACACAGCAATTTACATCTAACGCAAGAGCTGTGGTTCCCTAACCAAATTCCCTATATTTTTAAGAATACACATTTAATCAATTCATTAATGAATTAATTAAATGAATTAATTCATTAATGATTAATGAATTAATCAATTCATTCTGAAAAAGTTCATCCATTCCTACCCTTCACTGGCAATATTAAAAGGCCTAGGCCTTGTAAAGAATGAACACGTCTCACGAAATCTATTTCTTGATTCCCATTGCTGCTGCTCCACTCAACTGAGTGTTTTCCAAATTGCTTTCCCTGGAAAACTAGTTCTGCTAGAAAGCCATATGTCTTTTGAAAATTCTAATGCTCAACAAACTTTTTTTTAAATCAAAGGTAGGTTCAACAAAATAAAGTCTGTTGATTCCACAATTCCCAGGGCCTTTTATATGCTGGTATGTTCCATGTGAATTTCAAAGAGGAATAGAAAATACTCAGTTTTTCACAAGCAGAGAGCAGCCAGGAAGGTACTGACCATTCTTGAAAAAGATGATGCAGTTTTACGAAGCACAGTTTTGTAGATGTGTCTGCATTCCAGCATAATCTGATTTTGTGCAAGAAACTTCATTTGCCCCCCGGCTCAAGCAAAGGGACCTGCCTGTAGGTAAGACTCCATTGGGAGCCAGAATACAAAGCTGGATGCAGGGAATTCAGTCAAGGGGGAAATACAGATGTGAAGAGACCACTTTGACTCAGCATGGGAAATGCTACCATGTGGGGTGGACAGGGACCAGCAAGCAGAGGGAATGGGGTGAGTCCCATATGTGTGACTGCAGGGGACAATCGAGCAAGACCTTACCTTATCTGCCCCACCCCTTCCACCCTGCTGACCTCACCCACTGCATTTTTTTTTTCTCACCCCACTCCACTAGTCATCTTGCTCTTTCTGGAACTTACCAAGCCTGCTCACTCTCAGATCTTTGCACTCTTCACTGCCTTCTCCTGGAAGATTCTTCCTCTAAATATTCATATCATTTGTTTTCTCAGTTCATCGTGACCTCCAGACAAATGTCACCTCATCGAGGTGGTCTTCCCAGACCACCCCGTTCAGTTCCAGATCCACACCTTCTTTCCTGCAGGGGATTAGGCTACGTCCTGTAAGCCTCAGTATCTCCCCTGTACAATGGGGTGATTGGTATGGTTTGGGGATTAAATGATATGAGGTGTGGGAACAGGGCTTGGCATACAAAAGCCCCCTTTCCTCTACGTATGCCTTTCCTTCACTCTGCACTTTGATCATATTTGTTCTCAAGCAAAATGACTCAAGAAGCTGGGAAAGAGGAGTCCTGATTAACATGAAACCTCTTCCTCTCCATTTAATTCTTGGCAAGTTCA
This sequence comes from Homo sapiens, assembly GCF_000001405.40. Classification (NCBI taxonomy): domain Eukaryota; kingdom Metazoa; phylum Chordata; class Mammalia; order Primates; family Hominidae; genus Homo; species Homo sapiens. The sequence goes on along the minus strand of NC_000020.11, from coordinate 54,101,977 downwards.
ATGAAAGTAATTGGTTTGAATAAGCTTTAAAAGAGGAATGATGCCAGGTTCAGTGGCTCATGCCTGTAATCCAAGCACTTTGGGAAAACGAGGTGAGAAGATCACTTTAGGTCAGGAGTTCGAGACCAGCCTGGTCAACATGGTGAAACCCCATTTCTACTAAAAATATAAAAATTAGCTGGGCATGGTGATGCATGCCTGTAGTCCCAGCTATCTGGGAGGCTGAGATATGAAAATCGCTTGAATCCAGGAGGCAGAGGTTGCAGTGAGCCGAGATTGCACCACTGCACTCCAGCCTGGGGGACAGAGCAAGACTCCATCTCAGGAAATAAATAAATAAAGAAACAAACAAACAAACAAAAGAGGAATGAGATTAGTGATGGAAGGCTAAAGCGTTTTTGACTTTCAGAGCCACTAACAGGGTCAGTACTGTGCAGCTCAGTCAGAATGCGTGTGTTGACTTTCTGTCAGTGCCTCTGACTATTAGAGAAATAGGCGCTTGGGATTGAGAGGATAGAGGCAGACGAAGCACAGTCATGTGCCACATACCATTTCCAAGGACAGACCACATCTATGACTGCAGTCCCATAAGATTATAATGGAATCAAAATATTCTTATTGCCTTGTGTTTACCATACTATAATTTTTATCATTATTTTAGAGTGCACTCCTTCTAGCTATAAATTTAAAAAAAAAAAAAAACTGGAAAACAGCCTCAGGCAGATCCTTCAGGAGGTATCCAGAGGACGGCATTGTTATCATGGGAGATGACAGCTCCACGCATAGTATTGCCCCTGAAGACTTCCAGTGGGAACAGATGTGAAAGTAGAAGACAGTGCGATATTGATGGTCCTGACCCTGTGTAGGCCTAGGCTAATGTGTGTGTCTTCGTTTTTTAACAAAATGTCTTAAAAAGTATAAAAAGAAAAATTTAATAGAAAAAAGCTTGTAGAATAAATATGTAAAGAAAATATATTTCATACAGCTATACAATGTGTTTGTGTTTTAAGTGTTATCACAAAAAGTCAAAAAGTTTAAAAAACTAAAAAAATTATAAAGTAAAAATGTTACAGTAAGCAGTTAATTTATTATTGAAGGAAGAAAATATGTTGTTATAAATTTAGTGTAGCCTAAGTGCACAGTGTTTGTAAATTCCACAGTCCTGTGCACAGTCCTGTCCTAGGCCTTCACATTCACTCACTCTTCATTCACTGACTCACCCACAGCAACTTCCAGTCCTGCAGTCTCTATTTGTGATAAGGGCTTGATATGGTTTGGCTGTGTCCCCATCCAAATCTCATCTTGAATTGTAACTCCCACAATTCCCACATGTGGTGGGAAGAAACTGGTGGGAGGTAATTCAATCATGGGAGCGGGTCTTTCCCATGCTGTTCTCGTGATAGTGATAAGACCCACGAGATCTGATGGTTTTTAAAAACAGGAGTTTCCCTGCATAAGCTCTCTCTCTTTGCCTGCCACCATCCATGTAAGATGTGACTTGCTCCTCCTTGCCTTTTGCCATGATTGTGAGGCCTCCCCAGCCATGTGGAACTGTAAGTCCATTAAGCCTCTTTCTTCTGTAAATTACCCAGTCTTGGGTATGGCTTTATCAGCAGTGTGAAAACGGACTAATACAGTGCCCTACACAGGTGTATCTTTTTTTTTTAATCTTTTACACCATATTTGTATTGTACCTTTTCTATGTTTAGATACACAAACACTTACCATTGTGTTACGGTTGCCTGAGGTGTTCGGTACAGTAACATGCTGTACAGATTTTGTATCTTAGAAGCAACAGACCAAGCCATCTAGCCTAGATGTGTAGTAGGCTATGCCATGAAGGTGTGTGTGTACACTCTATGATGCTCCCACAATGATGACATCACCTAACAACACATTTCTCAGAACATACCCCATTGCTAAGTGTCACAGGACTGTAGCTGGTAGAGCAAGACCTGTGGAACTTCAGCCTGGGAAGAGAGATGCTTGAGTCAACCACCATGGCCTTACTCCTGGCTGCCTGTCTGTTTGGGGAGGGGAGAGGCTGATACAGGGCAGGAGTTGAGAGGATTGCGATGCTGGGGTGAGGGCAGCTGTGAAGTGCTGTGCATTGGGCGAGTGCAGAGAACTTTTCCTTCAGACACACAGAAATCTTCCCCTCACAGGAGACAGGCTGAGCTGTCTCCTCTCTATCACAGATGAAGCTGAGCTAAAGTACTCAATGCTCTGAGGTCATGGGTTACAAGGACCTTGCCTGGGGAGGTACAAGGTGTTTTGAGCAGTGCCCTCTGCCTGGGCCAGGGGTGTGACCCTGACTCTCCAGGCATCACTGCCAGGCTCTTCCCCCAGAAGCCCCCTCCTCAGGCACTCAGGGATGCCTTTCCATGTCCATATTCTATTGTCTTCCAGAATCCACTTCCCCTACTCAAATAAGAAGGAAGCTCTTTTAATCAGATCCAAGGGCATCAACACAGCTGAATTTGACTCTGAATTGGGGTCTGTGTTTTAATGATTTCACCATTACCATTCCTAGCAATAACTCCACAGATTTTCCCATTACAGAACACACAACCCTCAGAAGCTTAAACTATAGAGACATCCATTGTTTGCTTAACAAGAAGGCTGGAGCTGGGGGTTCCAAGGCCTTTTAATAGCTCTGTGGGTATCCAGGTTCTTGACAGTAGTTCTCTTTGCATTCCCCTTGTGGCCAAAGGTGGCTTCAAAGTCCAAGAAGTGCAACCTCTCAAAAGCATCCCAAGCAAGTAGAAAGGAGAGCCTTCTTTCTACGACAGTCAGGAAAGAAAATGTTTCCAGAAGCGTCCAGCAGACTTTCCCATATGTCTCATTGGCCAGATTGGGCCACCTGCTCACCCCTAGACCAATGAACAGGATGTCTTCCTTTTGCTCCCCAAACTCATATTCTGCTCTTTAATACCCTATGTAGACTGGTAAAGCCTACCTGTAAAGATTTTAGGGTTCCTGTATACCCGGATGGTCTCAGCCAATGGGGGGTGCCAGTTCAAGGTCTCAGGGAGAGAAGACAATGATGGGGAGAGGGGAAGGAGTCCCCTGACATCCCCCCTGGCTTGACCTCAGGCTGGATGAGGACTTTGAGATAAGGTCATTGCTCCTGTCAAGGACTCCCCAACTTGACTCTCTCCTAAATTCTCCTTTCTTGCTCCCTTAGGTCTAGAGTTGAAGGGATCCTTCTCACAGGGAAGGCAACTCAGGCTGTTTTCTGTGGTTACTTCACTCTTCCTTGCGTTACTACACATTCACATTCCTATAAATAGCCTATTTTCAGGAAATGCCCGTTAAATTACCTTATTAAGACTGTGCCATCAGTTGCTTCTTGGGTCCCCAATTTGCCACTACATGTCATTGCGAAGTAGAATCGCAGTGTAGACGAATCGTATTTCATTCCCCTGGGGCAAGGGAAAGAGCTTACTGTTTCTGAGAACAGTGTTTGTTACTCACCTGAAACTTGGACCCCTATCTGGGTCTGTTACCAAGAAGAATTTGAACCCGTGGCTTGAGTAGGCAATGAACAATTTCTGCCACCATCTAAAGCCACAGTTCTCTAGCTGTCATGTGTGTTAGAATCTTCTGGAAGCCTTGTTAAAGTTTCCTTTAACAAGGTCTGGAGTGAGCCTGAGAATCTGTCTTTCTAACAAGTTCCAAAGTGATGATGTTGCTGGAAAGGGACTGCACTTTGAGAACCACTGACGTGTACTTTAGACTTTAAGTCATCCTGGTGAGACTGAGTTGTGGGAATAAATTATCCACAGGTGAAAAGAGCCAGAAGGCAGGTAAGTAGAAAAAGAACAACAGACGACAGGGGGAGAGGAGGATGTGGAGAAAGTGAAGATCTCAACTGGATTTCTAGGTGCTGCTCAAGGCCACCCTCTGTGCGAAGCTCCCAACCCAAAGGGTCCTTCCCTGCTCTTGGCACTCAGGTGGCAGCACAGGTGTCCCACACTGTATGTTTAGCTGTCTGTCTCCAGTAGGCTTCAAGTAAGTTTTCTTTCTTTCTTTTTTTTTTTTTTTTTTTTTTGAGACAGGGTCTCACTCTGTCCCAGGCTGGAGTGCAGTGGCACGATCTCCACTCACTGCAACCTCTGCCTTCCAGGCTCAAATGATCCTCCCAGCTCATCCTCCTCAATAGCTGGGACTACAGGTGCACGACTCTATGCTGGGTCAATTTCTGTACTTTTTGTAGAGACGAAGTTACGCCATGTTGCCCAGCCTGATCTCAAACTCCTGGGCTGAAATTATCTGCCCGCCTCAGCCTCCCAAAGTGCTGGGATTACAGGTAAGCAAATTTTCTCAGGCTGGGAAATAGAAGAGTCTTCTCCACTTTCCCACCTGAGCAGCCGGCACTGCGAGGGGTATGCCCAATTGTCACTGAGAAAGGGAGCAGTGGAGATGGCAAAGGGGAAGAGAGAGGAGAATGAGAAAGGAAGAGAAGGAAAGAAAAAGAGAAAGAGATCATACAGGAGAATCTCCAGGAGAATCTCCAGGAGCTGATGAAAATGCGACTTTCAATCCAGCTTGTTTGGGGTGTGGCCAGAGACCATGCATTCTAACACTCCCCCACATTGATGTGGAACCACTGGTCCCTGGCCTGCACTGAGGTAGTGACACTCACCAAATACCCTCTCTTTACCTACTCACATTCACAGCAAATACTAAGACCTCTAGCACAGCGGTTCTATAACACAAGTGCACCAGAATCACTGGAGAGTTCTTGAAGACACAGATGACTGGGCTCATCCTTAGTTTCCAGTTCCATCCTGTGGGGTGGGACCAGAGAGACTGCATTCCTGACAAGTACCCCCAGGTGACACAAATGATGCTGACATTTTGAGAACTGGTATACTAACCAGCAGGACTTTTTTCTTGCAATTTCTATAGCATTAAGTGACAGATACAGCCTCTATTGATTCCAGATGTTAATGGTTTGGGGTGCTGATAAAAAAGAAAGCTATTTTTTTTCTCTCACAAAACCCCAGGCAAGAGGTACACCAGGCCCTGACCATCTAAAATATAATCCAACTTCACCACCTGCTGGTTACTTCAAGAAGTACATATAGTGGCTGAACATCCTGTTTGAAAACGGCTCATTGCAAATTAATCTTGGCAAACATAGTGCGATGCTAGACACTAACCACCACTATTTTCATCTTCATTCCTCTAGGAAATAAATATGATTTGGGTGGTTATAAAATCAGTCCCCCGATTCACGGATAACTAACATTCGGTAATATTTCCAATGTGCCAGACATCTGCCCTTTGACAACTGATGTACATGAACTCTACGGAAAACTGAAGTGCAGGGAATTTAAGTAACTTGCTTAAAGCCACACAGAGAGAAGTGGTGGTGACCAGGCGTGGTGGCTCATGCCTGTAATCCCAGCACTTTGGGAGGACGAAGCGGGCAGATCACGAGGTCAGGAGTTCGAGGCCAGCCTGGCCAACATGGTGAAACCCCATGTCTACTAAAAATACAAAAAAAATTACCTGGGCATGGTGGTGGGTGCTGTAATCCTAGCTACTCGGGAGGCTGAGGCAAGAGAATTGCTTGATCCCAGGAGTCGGAGGTTGCAGTGAGCCAAGATCGCGCCACTGCACTCCAGTCTAGGCGACACAGCGGGACTCCATCTCCAAAAAAAAAAAAAAGAAAGAAAGAAAAGAAAAAGAAAGAAAAAAGTGGTGGAGACAAGATTCAAACCAGTTATTCTGCACCCAGAGTCCCACTCTAAATCCCCAGGCTAGGGTACTTCCCCCCAAAATAGCTAGAGGTAATATCCACTTAGTAATTTTTTAATTAATTAGCTCATTCCAACCAGAAACATAGCATTGGAATATACTTTAGATACAAACTTGTTCACACATTTATTTTATACAGAAAAAATCTGGGGCACAGAGAGGTGAAGTGACTTGCCCAAAGCCACACAGCAAGTTGGTGACAGATCAGCAAAGTCGCCTAGGCTCCTTTGGACACAGCACACTTTCAGCAAAGTTTCCTAAGGGTTTGCAGGGCTCCAGCATTGGGCTGTGCCCTGTGGCAAAAGGAGAACTGGGAATGTGCCCCTGCCCCTGGACAATTAGAGGTTCTGATAATATTTGGGGGCTATGACTCTGGAAATAATGAGTCCACTCATTAAAAAAATATAAAGGGTCCTTCACATTTTCTTTCTTTCTTTTTTTTGTTTTTAAGACAGGGTTTCACTCTTGTTGCCCGGGTTGGAGTGCAGTGGCACAATCTCGGCTCACTGCAACCTCCACTTCCTGGGTTCAAGCAATTCTCCTGCCTCAGCCTCCTGAGTAGCTGGGATTACAGCTGCCCATCACCATGAGTGGCTAATTTTCTGTATTTTTAGTAGAGACGGGGTTTCACCATGTTGGCCAGGCTGGTCTTGAACTTCTGACATCAGGTGATCCACCTGCCTCGGCCTCCCAAAGTGCTGGGATTACAGGGGTGAGCCACCATGCCCGGCCTTCACATTTTCTATTCCACCATTTAAAAAATATGTTCTAGTCATTTGAATAAGCTATTAAGATTTCTGACATGTACTACCTGGATTATTATTTACTCAATATTTTTTCTGTAACCTATTCATTTTGTTTTTATTAGTTCTTGCCCTAAAGTAATAATATTTGTCCAATGAAGTGTGTGACATTACTTGATACATTTGTTGCTTGATTTATTCATTTAAATACATGGAATTCATCACACACCGGGGCCTGTCGTGGGGTGGGGGGAGAGGGGAGGGAAAGAATTAGGAGATATACCCAATGTAAATGATGAGTTAATGGGTGCAGCACAACAACATGGCACGTGTATACATATGTAACAAACCTGCACGTTGTGCACATGTACCCTAGAACTTAAAGTAGAATTTTAAAAAAAAATTTTTAATCAAAAATAAATAAATAAATAAATACATGGAATTCATTTGTGTAATGCCTAAAAGCATCCAGCTCTCCACAAGTTACATCTCCCTAACTCTGGGGAAAAGTGACCAGGTCTTCAGTTGCCCTGCGACCTGTCTTCCTATCCTGGCAATGATGTCTGCAGGTTATATGAAGTGAGGAAGTTATATTAACCCCACTTTTCAGATGGTATAACTGAGCTTATTAAATTTATGCCTAGTGTTCCATTATTGGAACGCTAAGCATGTGGGAGTTAGTTATATCCTGCTTCTCAAAGTCTGATTTTTCAAAGTTAAAAAATTGCAACCTCAGGCATAAATGGGTTAACCTCATTGAACCCCTGCTTTGCTGTCTGAAAAGTGGGGTTAATATCACTTCCTATCTGATACGCTTATTATTGGGATCGAACAAAATAATCCCACATCAGTATTTGCCAAGACGCGGTACAGCAGGCAAGAATCCCATCAGCGCCTGCTATTGCAGCGAGCTATTAGGATAACTCCTATGAAGCATTACGTTGTATCTTTTTCAAATGAAAGACCATGAATCTCAAAGCTAGTCATAAATGTGGCACTTCATGATTTTCTTTGACAATGTCAGCCTTTCTTCAGAAGATGGGACTTTGTTGCCCATTTCACAGCTAGACACACTGAGGCTTATTGGAACATCATCATAGTCCACTCCCTAAGGTATTTGCATAGCTCTACAGGAACGTGGCATTTTCAAATCTAATTATCGTAGGAGATTTTCATCCTAATTTATTACCTAAATATGTGGGTGGGATTTATGCTGTTATGCACGTGAATTTTTCCCATATCAGGAAACAAACAAGCCATGAATTCTTCATGCTGCTTCCTAAGAAGAAAATGGACTCCACCCAATTGACGATGGCCTCCTTCATCATTCGTAAAGGGCAATTCTCTTTTCCCAAGAATAGATTGTTCATGTGGAGAAAACAGAATTCATGAACTCTTCCATTTATGCAGGGGGAGGAAATTCAATTTGACTGTATTCTTTGGGCTTTCTATACCATAGATATGAAAATAAGGCAGCCCTCCGATTTCAGGGAGGACTTAGTGACCCAGGGAGTTGAAATAATTATACACAAACAGAAAAACAGGAATTATTAAAGCAGATTCAGATTCAAGCTACAAAGGCGACTCAATGGGAGTATTGTTCTTCTCTCCTTGAGGGAAGGTTGAGTGAAAGTGGATGGCACCAGACAAAATCAGAGAAGTGCACTTCATTTTTTCCTCCCCACAGCCAGTTCTGCAGCGGTATTACATACTTGGGAGCCAGCTGCGGAAGAGGCAAACAATGCTGCAATTGAAAGGACACTGTGTTTTGCACACATGCTTGCTTTAATAATATGCCTTGTGTTTCTGCTTGTACATATTATTTAATCTTCCCTGGTTATAAATGTCCCAGCAAATTAGCTAGTTTGCTTTGCAATCTCAGCCCCCACTAAAACAGGAAGAAGTAAGCGCCTGATTAGGCTCTTCCCTGCGGGGATTCTTAACCCTGGGTGCACACTGAAATGAGATGGGTAGACTTTAAAAAATGCAAAGTACCTACTGTTCTTTTGTAACTCCTTTTTTGTTTCTATATGATTTAAAAGTTAGGTTCATGAAACAATAATTATACGTCATTGTTAATGGGCACACATGTACAAAGATATAATCTGTGACGATAACAATATGGAGGGGGAGTGAATAGAGATGTCTAGGGGCAGACTGTTTTTATACTATTGAAATTAAGTTGGTATTGTTCACCAGGGTTTGATAAGTACAAGAAGTTAATTGCAATCCCCAAGATAACCACTAAGAAAATAACGAAACATATACCAAAAAAAAAAAAAAAATCAAAATGATACACTACAAAAAAAATCAACTAAATACAAAAATGGCAGTATTGTAGGAATTGAGGAACAAAAAGCATACAAGATATACAGAAAACAAACAGCTAAATGGTTGAAGTAAGTTCTTCCTTATCAGTAATTACTTTAAGTGTAAATAAATTAAAGGCACAGATTGGCAGAATGGATTTTTTAGAATAGTTCAACAGGTTGAGACTCACTTTATTTTTATTTATTTATTTATTTATTGAGATGGAGTCTCGCTCTGTCGCCCAGACTGGAGTGCAATGGCATGATCTCGGCTCACTGCATCCTCCACCTCCCGGGTTTAAGCAATTCTCCTGCCTCAGCCTCCCGAGTAGCTAGGATTACAGGTGCCTGTCACTACGCCTGGCTAACTTTTGTATTTTTTTTTTCAGTAGATATTGGGTTTCACCATGTTGGTTAGACTGGTCTTGAACTCCTGACCTCAAGTGATCTGTCCACCTCAGCCTCCCAAAGTGCTGGGATTACAGGCGTGAGCCACTGCGCCTGGCCGAGACTCACTTTAGATCTAAAGATAGAAATAGGTTGGAATAAAATAATACAAAGTACTCCTGCGCAGGCCCCAGTCCAGGTCTATGCAATTTTCATCCTCAGGACAGTGGCTCCAAGGACTCCAACATGCAGCCAGAATTCAGAACCACTGAGCTAGAGGCAGGTGGGTGGGCTTGAATGGCCGTCGTAAAATAATCAGGGAACTAGCTGGGTGTGAAGCACCCATCCTCAGAGGAGCACCGTGAGAGGCAGCAGGGCATCATGGTCAGTGCTCGGACATCAGAGAAGCCATTGGTTCAATTCCAACTCTTACTCTGATGAGCTGGGCTTCTTCCCATCTGTCTGTAACCTCCCCCAACTCTTTCTCTTCTATAAATGGAGAATAACAAGAACTCAGTTGAATAATGATTCATAAAAGCCACATTGTGACCCACAATAAATTATGTTTTAAATGGACCAGAATAGAATACAGTAGCATAGAATTGAATAGAATGTGTCACATGGAGTAAGTATAGGCAACTTTTTCAGATGTGTGTGTGTTTCTATAAACAGAGTTCTCAGGAAAAGTGATTGTCTTAGTTGTAACTTTTCCAAGAAGTTTGAAAGCCTCTGTTCTAGCCTGAAGAGTTGTTGTGAGGATTAAATGAGACAATGTTATGGTGCATGTCACAGATGAAGAACTAAATAGGTCAGATAAATAGACAGTCAGACAGACAGAGAGATAGACAGAGATAGGTAGATAGATAGACACAGATAGATAGCAATAGTTAGATACATACAGACAAAGATGACAGAATTAGATGGTAGACAGACAGTCTGTACCATAATATGTCTAATTCAGCATACAGGTGACAGAAACATCTGGATAACAGTGTGACTGCCTCAGCTATGTTACCATTAGCAGTAGAATTGAAAAGGCTGCACTCCAAAGAGAACATGATTCTCAAAGGGACTTGGACCTTCAATTAGTTCCTTAATATAGTAGATAGGAATTTGCTCCCCAATATTGAGATTCAAATGGCATCACATCTCTTCTTTTTTCTTTATCAAATGAATTTAGCTCCAAGACTTAACCAACTCAATTTCTGAGAATTTCCATTTTCATCTTGGTTGTGGAGTCTCTGCTTTTTCTATAATCATACAATATCAGAAAATAATAATATTATAACAGCTATTATTTAGTAGGTTTATTATTGCTAGGCACTGTGCTAAGCACTTTCACCATATTATATTGTTAATCGTATCTCTGAGATAGATACAGTTTTGACCCCGATTTTTGTTGGTTGGTTTCTGTTTTTGTTTTCTTGAGACAGGGTCTCACTCTGTGCCCAGCCTGCAGTACAGCAGCTCACCACAACCCCTGCCTCCTGGGCTCAAAGGATCCTCCCACGTCAGCCTCCTGAGTAGCTGAGACAACAGGTGCATACCACCACGCCCAGCTAATTTTTGTATTTTTTGGTAGAGACAGTTTCGCCATGTTGCCCACGTTGGTCTTGAGCTTCTGGACTCAAGGGATCCACCCCCCTTAGCCTCCCAAAGTGCTAGGATTACAGGTGTGAGCCACCATGCCCAACCACAGTCCCTATTTTTACAAATAAGAAAACTGAAGTTTCAGAGTCCCCGGGGAGTCACTATAAGGTTACAGTGGCTGTTTCTGCCCCTTTTGCCTGCTCCTGACTGGCGCTTGCACCATCTGCTGAACTCTGATGCTTCAAGTCAGCTCAGAGATGCTCTTCACAGATGACCTTTCCCCTGACCGTAGGCTGAGAGTCAGAGACTCACATTGCTGCTCCCAGAACCTCTGCACTCAGAAGCCTGATGCCACTACCATCCCACAGCTGCCCCCCACCAGGAAGACTGAAGGCAAAGGTGGTGCTGGTATCTGGTACCCACAGAAAACAGCAATCCCCCAAAAGAAGTGTTGTCCTTTTCTTGGTACTAGGCATTGCCATTTGTCTACCAGGTTGGAATCACTTCCCCTTTCTCAGTCACCAGCCCGTTTCCCTCCCTGACATTCTGTGCACCTCTATCTCCCAAGAAAAACCTGAACGTTGTCTTTTAAATGTTTGGAAACCTCTATCTTTGATCTTGAGACAAAAAAAGCTACTCCTCAGGGAAGGACAAATGGTGAACACAGATAGCTTGATGAACTTCCTGAGATATCTCTCATGGCTTAAAAACTCCCACATTAAAGGCATGTATCTCAATACATGTGTTTGCCATGGTAACAAATACATTGCAGAAGACACTGTTGGTTCCCCATTTCTTTACAAATAGACCCTGTTTATTCTTCCAGACAATGATGGATCCATCCCTAAGGGGATAAGCCACACTTGCTTCAAGCCAATTTGTAGTTTGTGGCAACAGGTTAAAATGTGCCAGTGATTTGTCTGCACGTGGGCAAGTCACCCAATTGGCTCAGGTGTGGCCAATGAGGAAAGGACAACTCTTAGAGTTTCTTAGAGACGTTTTCCTCCCTACATCAGAGAGAGCCATACAAGGAAGAGGACCCTTTCCCTTCCTGTTCTGGATGCTGCCATGTTGGGATGTGACATTTAAATTAGTGACAACTGCAAGATTATGAGCCCAGGACAAAAAGCCAGTGCTCTGAAGATAATTCAGTGGAAAGACAGGAAGATGTTCTTTCCTTGATGACATTATTAAGCCACTGTATCACCTTTGGGCTGCTGAGCTGTGGACTTCTTAAGAAATAAATAAGTGAACTTACAGTTTAAACTACTGTTTGTTGGGCATTCTGCTACTTGCACCCAAAAGTATTCCCTACAGATACATAAATCTTTCAGGCAAAGAAAAGAAATAAGTCATTAGAAGGAAAAAATGGAACAAACTTATTGAGGCCATCATGCATGACCTAGCAGTGTCCTGCTCTTTTCTACTTTTGATTATTTGCTTTTTCAAATCTGATCTTCAACAAGCTTAGTCCTCTGTTACACCAAACCCCTATTGACTCCAATAGGTTGGCTCCAGGTTCAAGAGGCTGAAGAAGAGACCCAGAGCCAGCAATCAAGACATGGGGTTTTACTGGGGACTTACGTACTGGGGAGAGAGTTCAGTGGCAGCGGACTGGACATGAGAACCACGTGGCCCAGTGGCGGTGAGCTGAGCAGAAGAACCGCAATAGCTTGCAAAAGACAAGGAGTTTATATAGCACTTTCATGTAGCACCCTCCCCCTAACAACCTCCACCTGGCAGTCATTCAACCCAACACTCAGGGCCTCAATCCCCTTTGTGGTCCATGTTCCAGTGGATGGCCCCGGGGCTCAGGTGTTCTTCATAGACAGGGAATGACTCTCTAGGCTGGCCACTTCCATATCCCCTATCTCGGAACACACATCGAGGTTCATCTGCCATACAGGGTCATTCTAAAGGTATGCTTAAGTTATTGCTATCAGGTGTGTTCGCCATAGCCCCATCCAGACATCCTTCGGGTCTAAAGAGCTTGGATAACGTGTTATTACTTATAAATGCAAAATCTTTGGGTCCTTTGGTGTCTCCAGCAATAATTTTCAAAAACTTTTCAGATGATTTTACAAGCATTCACTGACTGCTTAGAATATTCCAGAGCAATTCCAGGACATTGAAGGGACCAAGATGCATGAGAGATGTTCCCCATCCTCAGGGGCTTACTGTCTAGAGAAGAGGCAGGCATAGAACGAAATTGTCCAAAGGTAACATGGCAAGTGAGAAAAATTCCACATGAGCAGAGAGGAGGGACATTCATACTCAAAGCCTTCTCAGTTACCTCAGGGAATCTTCAGTATACCTCAGGTATAAAGCAGAAATGGTCAGATGAAAAGGGCATGTCCCATTCTTGGTAATATTAAAAGATCAATGAAGGAAGTTTCCAAGGTGTCCCTGGAGCACAAGAGGGAAAGAAGCACAAGCAAAGTCTTTGGATGAAAGGAAAGAGATGTGGAAAATTCCAGAAGATGAGCAAGGCTTGGATTCCTCTTCTCCATTTTAGCAATTGACCACAGAGCAGAAGCATCTGTCACCCTTGAAAAATCCCCCAAGGGAAGAATGTTAAAAGCCTGGCTACGGGCTTGAATTGGGAGCAAGGGAATGACCTGGGACTACCAACCATAAATTATAAATAGAATCCTTCTAGATTCTTATGATTCCCCCATCATTTAACAATTGCCTGGCTCACACATACTTTGACTGCAATTCTTTTATAATGGTTGGCCTTTGCTGATTTTATTTCCCCACAGAATGTAACTGAATTTTCACAGAAGTAACAACTCTCTTTATTTTTATCCTTACAGTTTACTGAATTAGGTATTAATTATTTCAATTGCCATTAACAGGTACTGCAGGCATAAGCAGGCATGGGAGCAAACACAACTGAGTTACTAGGCCTAAAAATCAACACGTCGATAAAAAGAGTACCCAGACCAGGGAATAGCCAATTCCCATTGACTGTCAGGGCTGTGAGCATCCTCGGGATGGAGTGGAGGAAAAGTCGATCCAGTAAAACTGTAAAGTAGAGGTGAATAATATGATCTATTTTACTTCGGCCAATCATTCTGCTATCTGGGCTTTACGATATATTGCCTCACAAAAGATATAGTGTTTTTTAGATCGCAATGCAGCATGACACGCTTGCTATTGTAGAAAATTTGCCCAACTTTAGTTGGTACTTTGAATTGCTAGCTCAACAGTTGATCAGTCTGATTGATCTTAATGGGACTAGCTTCTCCAGTGCCTCTGAATCCACGCAGCTCATTGCCCTCACCTCCCCTGCCGCATTGCTTCTGTGTGCCCCTCCTGGTTCACTTCCCACCCATCTCTGCTCTCTGTTTCCCAAGGCCAACATGTATGGATGATGGCAACACACAATTGATGTAGTGTTCTATCCTTGGGCTTCTGGTTGGGCTTGGCTGCTGAGGATCCCAGGTAGGAAATTATAGGAAGGGAGGAGAGTGAGGTAACCTCAGATTGGCAGCATCCTTAGACAGAAAATCCCTGTTCTGTTCTTAAAGCAGATACTGGGCCAGGTGCAGTGGCTCACGCCTGTAATCCCAACACTTTGGGATGCCGAGGAGGGTGGATCATGAGGTCAAGAGATCGAGACCATCCTGGCCAACATGGTGAAACCCCATCTCTACTAAAAATACATTAGCCGGGTGTGGTGGCGCACACCTGTGTTACTCAGGAGGCTGAGGCAGAAGAATGGCTTGAACCTGGGAAGAGGTTCAATGAGCTGAGATCGCGCCACTGCACTCTAGCCTGGCGACAGACAAAGACTTCGTCTCAAAAAAAAAAAAAAAAAAGTGGATATAGCTTTATCCCATGCTCTGTCTTTGGGGTCCACTGTTGCTACCCCTGGGTTTCCAGGTTATCCTGTCCTGCTACGCCCCACTCGAAGGTTGGTAATTAATCTGTCAGGCAGTGAATGTCCCTTGAATTATCCTCATATTCGAGTGTGTCATCTGTGTCATTTTGACCCTTGCTGATACACCACTGGATGGCTCTCATGGATTTCATCCACTGACTTATAATTCCACAGTCATAGAAGTAGAAACTGATGGGGAAGGACCCAGTGCCTGAAACACTTTCTTTTTAGTAATAGATATTGTCAAGGATCCAAAGCCACCCTTCAGAAAACAAACTTGGTGGCCAGGGTGTGCGATTGTTTGAGAAGTTCCCTACAACACATGCTCTCCGAACAGCTGTTCTTGGCTTTCAAACAGGGCAGTGTCCTTTTATGAACGTTTACACACTGTAACCCAGACAAGAAAAAAAAAATACGATTCCCAGGAAATTGGCAGTCATAAATGTATCATTCTAGGGTGAGGAAGCTGGAGGTCCCGGCTTTCAAAAATCTCTCCTCTTTTGGAAATCTAGAGTAGCGTTGAGAATGTGCTGAGTAATAAGAGCAGTATACATTACAGTAAGTTTATGTGCCAGGCATCGATGAAGCACTCACTGTGGGCCAGGCATGACGCTGAACGCTTCTTATGTTCTGCCTTACACGATCTTCTCCAAAGCCCTGAGAGCAGCCATTGCTAGTCATCTCGACAGACGAAGAATTTGGAGCTGAAGGGAATGAAGTGACTCACTGTCAGTCTCACAGGCAGGAAGTATCAAAGCCAGGATTCAAACCCAGGCCTGTCTGATTCCAGGGCTGCGTGTGCATGCCAAGAGTGGGGCAGGGGACAGGGGCTCAAATGCTGTCTTTGTCACGTAGTGCTTGGGTCACCTTAGGCAGGTCACCAAACATTCAGGGCCCACGTTTATAAAGTAAGGACAATAGGACCTGTGGCCCAGGACCGTTGTCAGAAGTAACCGAGGCCCCTTCTCCCACCTGCAGAGATTCCTATCCCTGAGTGGATGCTGGAGGACATGCAGGAGAAGGGCAGACGGCTGGGATTCCCAGGGACAGGGCTTCACTTTCCTCTTGCAAATGTGATTTCATAATTCCTCATTCTGGCCAACTCAGACCTTAAGTTGAATAATAATGACATAGAAGCAAACAACCACCATATATTTTATGACAGCACCTTGCCAAGCGCGTGCTGTGCATTATCTCATTTAAACCCCACACCATCCTAAGAGGGAGGAACTGTCATAGCCTCATTTTCACAGCAACTGGACTGTCAGAGAGGTTAATTAGCTTTCCCAAGGCTACACAGTGAGAAGATGGCAGAGTTCACATCAGAACCTAAATCTACCTGGCTCCTGCACCTTTGCTTTTAACCCATTTATGCCTGAAGTTGCAATTTTTTGAATTGAAAAATCAGACCTTGGCAATGACCTTGAGCAGTAGGATATAGATAACTCCCACATGCTTAGTGTTCCAATCATGGAACACTAGGCATAAATGGATTTCACTACTCTACACCTCTTTCCTATTTTTTAATTCTATTTAACAAACACTTCTATGCTTGCTGTATTCTAGGAACTGTTCTGAACACTTCAAATATTAACTTGTGTAAAAATTCCATGAGGTAGGTATATTATTGTGCCTACTATTACAGGTGGAGAAAACTGAGGCCCAGAGACTCTAAGTAACTTGCCCAAAGTCACACAGCCCTTCCAATTCCAACACACTTTTTCTTAAGTTTACAAACAAATCCAGTGTCAGGCACTACAACATTTTGAGAGTGACAGGTTTGAATTGCCCACCGAATTACTATTCCAAATGATGAGTGCCAACATGCTATGAAGTTGTATCCTATGTAAAAATGTGAAGGAAACAGATATTGGTTTCCAATGTTTAGCCTCACCAGAAAAAGGCTGGGGCATATGATGTCCCCATTGAGGATGCCAAGAAGACGCAAAAAGCAAACTCTGCACTGGTTTAACCTCAGACCTCCAAGAAAGCTTCCATAATATTTGCTGCAGGCAAAATAATTCTGCATTACAAGTCTGCCAGTAGGCAGCCTGGGCCAGGAGAAATGAGCTGGAGAAAAGCCCAGTCTCTTGTTCAACAGGGGTATGGTGAATATGTTGGGTTGACGACTAAAGGTTAATTGCTCTGAGTAATACTGTGGCATTTAGGCCTGGTACCAAACAATCTGGGACAATATTGACCAAGATTCAGTCAACATCTGAATGCAAACACAAATGAAAATCCAAGTCTTTAGGTAGGGAGAGCCCAAGCAAGGATCTGAATTCAGGAAGCTCAATCAGGAATGAGACAATCCCTTAAGAACCCAAAATGTAGAGCTTATATATTCCAGCACTGTACCATTAGAAACGCTATGGATGCTCGGCCTTTGCACATGTGGCTGGCTGTGTTGAAATCAACTTTCCTCTCCCTGCCAGACCTCTGGCTTTCATCTGACCAATGCCACCTTTTTATTCAACTCTCAATTTATAAGATGCTTCTTTCAGAAAGCCTTACTCCCCACCTCAGGCTGAGAGAGCACGTCTCATTCTTGGCCTCATATGCCCCCTTTATTTCCTGCTATTTGCACATTCTTTTCACTTTATACATACCTCTCTCCCTGTTAGTCTGTAGCCCAGATAGAAATTGTACTCTTTTTATCTTTGTATCCTTTTATAATCTTAGTACTTAATGCAGGGCCTGGCACATGGTGTGTGCTTAATAAATGTTTGGAGAACAAAAAGAATGGATGGATGGATGGATGGATGGATAATTGGATGGATGGTAGGATAGATGGATGGATGATTGAATGGATAATTGGATGCATGAATGGATGGATGAATGGATGTAGGGTGGATGGATGGATGATTGGATGAATGGATGGATGGATGAATGGATAGATGGATGGGTAGATCATTGAATGGATGGATGGATGGATGGATGATGATCAGATGGATGGAGAGAGGAGTGGATACATGGAGAAAGGGATGGAAGGAGAGTGGAAGGATGGATTAGTGAGTTGTTGGGTGAATGGTTAGTTGCATACCTGAATGAATGGGTTGGTAGGTAAGTGAATGAATGGCTGAGTGGATGGTTTAAGGGATAGATAGGTAAATGGCTGGAAACTTCTAGAAGGCAGCTGATAAAGGAGTGACAGGACCTTTCATCTTGTGGAATTCAAAGAAACCTAATCTTCTTCAGCTATAATTGGTCCATAAAATTCTGTACATCTATCACTGGAGAAGAAGGCCCACACCACATTTTCCCTTACTCAGAATGAAAGTTGTTTTATTTCTGGACTCTTGCCCTCCTTCAAGATGGTCTATTTACTAAGTAAATATGTTTCCTCTGGATAAAAATTCAGTTCCATGTAAATCACATTTGTGATTGATTCTGAATCTGGAACCATATCTCCCCTTGTTGCTAAGGAAAAAATAGCACTTCTCTGGAGTTTTTTATCCTTGTTCTCTGACAGGAGAATCATTTGTTTCTTAAGTTGTGGGAGCCTTGGGGCTTGAGGGGTGAAATCAAATCAACTTTGGTGGTTGATCTGAAGGATAGATAACCTCAAGCTCTTAGAAGTAATGTCCAAACTTCATTTGAATTTCAACTCTATATTTACTGGGTGTGAAGCTTGGCTAAGTTTCTTAACTTCACTAAGTCTTATTTTCATCATCTGTAAAAGGGGAACTAGGAATTATTGAAAAATAGTATACAAGAATGGTTCAAAAACTTGTGTCAGGGAACAAGAAAAATAGCATGGTGTGGTAATTGTTCAATCAGTGAGAGGCTGGTATAGTAGCTGGTTGGTGGAGTAACACAAGTAGTAATAAAAATATTTTCTTTTCAATTAATAAATGAATAACAGTCAGATAGTGTTTCACAAGTTATGAAATGCTTACCAGTGGTGATACAAAAGTTTGCACTGGGCATAAAGTGAACTTAAAATACTATTCAGTCACCAACTGAGAAGGTGAGGTAGTTATTCCCTTTGCCATTTTCTTTCAATTATCAACTAATGCTTCTGGATGTATCAAAGAGAAAGCCTTAGTTTGATGCCAGAATTTCTTTCTGGTGTTGTTTTTTTTTTTTTTTTTTTTTTTTTTTTGAGATGGAGTCTTGCCCCTATCCCCCAAGCTGGAGCGCAATGGTGCGATCTCAGCTCACCGCAACCTCCACCTCCCGGATTCAACTGATTCTCCTGCCTCAGTCTCCCAAGTAGCTGGAATTACAGGCGTGTGCTACCACGCCCGGCTAATTTTTTGTATCTTTAGTAGACATGGGGTTTCACCATGTTGGCCAGGCTGGTCTCGAACTCCTGACCTCATGATCTGCCTGCCTCGGCCTCCCAAAGCGCTGGGATTACAGGCATGAGCCACCGCGCCCGGCGATGCTAGAATTCCTTTAACATATTTTTAACAGAGTGAGCTGGCCTTGGGTGTGGATCTTAGGCAGGCAACAGAATCTAGCTAGAACGTAAGACCTTTCTTTACAGTTGTTACAGGTTTATTTTTTAATGTTACATTTTATTTGGGGGACATAATACTAATTTTCCACTTATGGTAGTCATAGTCAGTGTCTATTTTAGATACTTCAAATGAAATCGTGAGTCAATTTAAAGAAAATATGTTTTCGTTTATATGGCATGAGGAATGAGAAAAAAAGCTTCAGTGTATAACTAAAGTTTGGGAAGCCCTGCAGTAGGAGAGAGAAAACACAGATATGGCAAAACTGATCATGTTTAAATCCACCTTTGAAAAACTTGGTTTTTTTTCCTCAGTTTCTGTTTCAACCTCTCAGAGCACTGTGTGTTATTACTCCTCAGAGATGGCTTCTCATTTTCTCAGCTATAGTTCTCTAGAGAAGCGAGGATAACCCAGATGTCTACACACTATGTGAGGTGAGCTAGAAAATCTCCTTCTCCCAAGGGAAAGACAAACACTTGAAGCTCAGCTTCAAACTTCTACCCCGGGCGCAACAGGAAAACCAACGGACACCGCTTAGCAGCCAGGTCAGGGCTCACAAACTCAAGTGTCTGCAGGGGTCAGGAAGACTCAGGAAGTATGTTTGTTCAAAGTGGGAATTAATCATCTATATATATTTTTTAAACAGAGTCTTGCTTTGTTGCCTAGGCTGGAGTGCAATGGTGCAATCATGGCTCACTGCAGCCTCGAGCTCCTGGGTTCATGCAAACCCCCAGCCTCAGCCTCCCGAGTAGCTGGAACCATAGGCACGCAGCACCATGCCTGGCTAAATTTTTTTTTCAATATTTGTAGAGATGGGGGTCTTCCTATGCTATGTGATAAATATCAGGGCATAAACTCTCCAGCTAAGAGCATAGTATGTATTGGATGAAAAAATTATACTTGTTTTCAACACAGACATACTTTGTATTTTAAGCATATGCAACTACGTTTATATTAAATATTATAATTATGTTATATTAAATACATCAAACTTCTGTGAAATATATGTAACTTTTCATTTACAAGGATGCTTTTGCATTCTTATGAAGACATGGGATCTCTTATAGTGTTCTTTTTTCATATTTTGGTAGAAATAGTTCATGGTTCTTATAAATTTGCTCCAAGAAAAATGGCAGCACGAGGGTGAGGATAAATAGGCAATGGATGTGGGGCCAGCGGGGAGGGAGTGACGGAAACCAACATAAACTAAGAAACAAGTGTCCCTTTGAAAAGGCTGCCAACGCCTAGACCCAGGCGACTGTGATGTGACAATATTGCCAAACCTTTTAATTGACAAATGAGAGACTAGATCTTTAAATTTTTATATAAAGTTTCCTGATTATTAAACGTTGGCAATTGGCCAGGTATGGTGGCTCATGCCTGTAATCCCAGCACTTTGGGAGGCATAGGTGGGAGAATCACTAGAGCCCAGGAGTTCGAGACCAGCCTGGGCAACATAGGGGGATGCCATCTCTACAAAAAATGAAAAAAAAAAAAAAAATCCAGGTGTAGTGGCGTGCACCTGCAGTCCCAGCTACCTGGAAGGTTGGAGTGGGAGGATGGCTTGAGCTCAGGAGGTCCAGACTGCAGTGAGCCATGATGTTGCCACTGAACTCCAGCCTGGGTGACAGAGTGAGACCCTGTCTTAAAAAAAAAAAAAAAGAAAAGTTGGCAATTAATCCTCACTTGGAAAAAACACACTTCCCTCTAGCAACATCACAGAAGACTCATCACAAAGCTCTTGCCCCCAGCCCCTTCCTTTTATCTCTGACTTGGTGGAATGGGGAAAACTGATCTGCAAGGAGGCTGAGTGCTAGAAGATGAAAGGAACTGGGTGTCAAGAATCAATGGCTTTGGCATTTGACAAGAGATAAAGACAAATGTTCAGTCAACATGAGACAACACTTTTAATGTCACAGTCATGAAGGAAATGAAAATTACAACAGCAATCCTAATGAGACACCTTTTTAAAATTAAGCAAATACAAAATAATTTAACTGTTAACACCCAATTTTAACGTGGGTACAAAGAAACCATCCCTTTCACACGTTTGTTCATCCATTCATCCATCCATTCACCCATCCATGGAAGTGCCAAATGTAATTCTGAGTTATGGAGACCCAGCCTGGCCTCACGGAAGACCATCCAGTTGAACAGGAATTTGGCGACATGTATCAAATGCCTCTAAAATGTGACTACCGTTTGATCCAATACTTTAACATCTGGAAAATGCTTCTAAGGGAGAAGTCTAGGAAATCTGTCATGTTTATAATAGCAGAAGGTGTCAAACACTTAAATACCCAATATGGCCAGGGAGTTAATTCATCTCAGGTACTTAAACCCCTCAACCCCTATTTTAAATTTATTTGTGACATCTATGATGGAAAAAAAAAATTCCGGCTTTCGAAACAGTATTTCACAATGAGTAATATAGGTATGATATTGATACGGAAGGAAAGAAATACCAAAAGAGGATATTTCTTAGTGACAGGATTATAGATTATTATTTTAAATTTTATCCTCTGTGTGTTTTATAATAAATTTGTAATGAAAAAATAAAAAGCAGTTTTCAAAGTCTGGTTCTCAGAACACTTTGCACTGTTAAAAATTATGTAAGATCTCAAAGAATTTTTATGTGGATTGAGCGATACCTATTTACCACATTAAAAATTAAAACTAAGAATTTTAAAAATTTATATAATTTCATCTCAAAGAAATAAATCCCTTCCATTTTAACATAAATAACATTTTTATGAAAAATGATTTTTTTCTAAAAATTTTTCAACGAAACTATTTGTTTTGTTCCAAAACACAACAGGGCAAAAATAATGGTAGTTTTACATTTTTGCAAGTCTCTTTACTGTCTGCCTTAATAGAAGACAGCTGGATTCTTGTATCTGCTTCTGCATTCAGTCTGTTGCCATATGTTGTTTTGGTTGAAGCACACAAAGCAACTCCAGCCTCTTGCAGGTCTGTAGCTGGAAAAGGGAGAAGTATTTGAACAGCCTTTTTGGGTAATTGCAGGTAGTTTCTACACCACCACCAAAACCTGGCAAGTGATAGTTGCTCAAAGTTGGTTGCAGTGTGGAATCTGAAACCTATCACTGAACTTCTTTTTTTTTTATTTTTATTTTTTTTGTTTTTTGGTTTTTTTTTAGATGGAGTCTCGCTCTGTCGCACAGGCTGGAGTGCAGTGGCGCGATCTAGGCTCACTGAAACCTCCGCCTCCCGGGTTCAAGCAATTCTCCTGCCTCAGCCTCCTGAGTAGCTGGGATTACAGGCGTGTGCCACCACTCCTGGCTAATTTTTGTATTTTTAGTAGAGACAGGGTTTCATCATGTTGGCCAGGCTGGTCTTGAACTCTTGACCTCAGGTGATCTGCCCGCCTCGGTTGGGATTACAGGCGTCAGCCACTGTGCCCTGCCTGTATTGACATTCTTGAGCTCAGAAAACTCAGATTATTGTTGGACTCCTTCTACTCTTCCCTCCTTACACTCACTTCCATTGCCTACTTCCCCCACAAGAACCTTAGTAGGTGAATATTATTATCCCCATTTTGCAGCTGAAGAATCTGAGGTTCAGAGAGAAGTAGGTTACTTGAGGACACAAGGCAAAGCCAAGAGTTCAGACCAGGTGAGCGGGGCTGACTCCAAGTTCAATGTTCTTTCCACAGCTTTCTTTGTCTGGCTTCTGTCCAGACTCTTAGAGTTTAGTTGTTATGTCACCACCTGTATTTTTTTAAATAAAGTTTTATTGAAACACAGCCACATCCATTTAAACTTTGCCTTTGACTGCTTTCACACTACAATGGCAGAATTGTAGTGTGAAACAGAGACCATTTGGCCCACAAAGCCTAAAATATTTGCTATCTGGATCTTTCCAGAAAAAGTTTGTTGACTCCTGACCTAAGCCAATTACAGCAATCCTACTACCCTTTGCAGGGACTGGTTTGCGAATGGGAGTGGTGAGATCCAGTTCTGACAAGTGAGGCATGAAGAGAAGTCGATTACTCTGTCTGAGGCCTTCTCAAAAGCTTTTTCTCCCAGAAGGAAAAAAAAAGTTTCTATTTTTTCTTTTCTTTCTTTCTTTTCTTTTTTTTTTTTTTTCAACAATATCTGGGAAGGAAAGGTCTTTTGTGTCTATCCCTGCTCCGTGCAGCTGAAGTTAGGGGGAGACTGTGGTTCTAGAGCTGAGGTGGTCTTCTTGCTTTGATGAGATGAATACCTGAGTCTGGCAGAGGAGAAAATCAGAAAGAACCTGAGTTTCAAAGACACTGTTGAGCGGCTGCACCAGCCCCGGAAGCACCTTCCTGTGGATTTCCTGTTAATTAAACCGGAAATGCTCTTTTGGTCTAAGCTGCTGTCCATCACGTTTCCTGCTACTTGTGGCTAAATGCATCCTCTGTGGCTTGCCTGCCACCATTCCCTTCCCTCTAGTCCACCCTCAGCAATGCCCCCAACTTAGGGATGGCAAATTTACCAAATACAAGTACAGCACACCCAGTTAAATTTGAATTTCAAGTATATTTGAATTTCAACAATAATGAATAATTGTTTTTGTATAAGTATGTCCAATATTGTACATGAAACATACTTATGCTATGCTTATGCAGTATTTGAGACATACTTAGAGTAAAAAAATTATTTATTGTTGAATCTGGAATTCAAATTTAACTGGACTTGTATTTTTTATTGTGATAGAATATAAGGAACATAAAATTTATCTTTTTAACCATTTTAAATATACGTCTTAGTGGTATTAGGCACATTCTAAATACTGTGCAACTATCACTATTATCCATTTCCAGAACTTTTTCATCTTCCCAAACTAAACTCTGTACCCGTTAAACAGTAAGTTCCCATTCCCCTTCTGTCAGCCCCTGACAACCAACATTCTATTTTCTTTCTCTATGAATTTAAGTCTTCTCATATAAGTGGAATTATACAATATTTTTCTTTTTGTGTCTGATTCATTTCACTTAGCATAGTGTCTTCAGGGTTCATCCGTGCTATAGCTGTGTCATAATTTCATTATTTTATCAAGCAACACTACCCCAAATTCCTCACAGTGTCAGTATATTTGGTGACCCTTCAGGATAAAGCCCAGACCCCTAGCATGATACCCAAGCTCTTTCCCTGGCCACATTCATAGCCTTATTCTCAATAAAAATAATACTAAGTATTGCAATAATATCCTATATTCCAACTACTGGGCACCTGCTGATCCCAGAGCGTATGATGTATTTCCCTGCCTCTTTTCTCTCTCTGGAATTTCTATCATCCATACTCCAAGCCTCCTATCCTTGCCAATTTTCAGCTTTCCAGAGGAAGTGCACCCCCTGCAAAGTGGCTACCAAACTTTCACCCATCCTTCTACCCCAGTGGTTCTCAACGGGAAAGCTTTTGCCCCCTAGGAGTCATTTGGCAATGTCCAGAGACATCTTTTCTCATGGCAACTGGAGACATGCTCCTGGCACCTATGGGTAGAGACCAGGAATGCTCCAAACACCCTACGATGCACAGGACAGCCCCTACAGCACCGAAGATCCAGCCCCACATGGCAGTAGTGCAGAGGTGGGGAGACCTTGCTCTGCCTCAACCACCACCCTTGGCTTCTTCCTTTCTATATTACTTTTTTTATACTCCAATAATACTAATAATGATGAAAAACAGCAGTTACCTTCTGCTGCTGTACATCACAAGTTATGTACCAGGCTGTGTGCTAGACATTTCCCATACATTAAACGTCCCATCCCTATTTGGCAGTGAGAAAACAGTTCCAGGGAGCTTAAGGAATTTGCCCACATTCACATGGCATAGCTGAAGCAGAGCTGAGATCTAAACCTAAGACTGATATGGCAGGTACCATATTGTATTCAACATGCCATGAGCCATTGAGGCAACATTGACGTTGGGCTGGCATTCAGGTAGGCACTTAGGTTACAAATATAAATAAGACACAATTTTCGCAATAAAAGAAGGGTGCCCCGAGGTCAAGAGATCAAGACCATTCTGGCCAACATGGTGAAACCCCATCTCTACTAAAAATACAAAAATTAGCTGGGCGTGGTGGTGCACACCTATAGTCCCAGCTACTCGGGAGGCTGAGGCAGGAGAATCGCTTGAACCCGGGAGGTAAAGGTTACAGTGAGCCAAGATTGCACCGCTGCACTCCAGCTTGGTGACAGAGCAAGACTCCGTCTCAAAAAAAAAAAGAGGGGTGCCCAATAGTGGTGACGAAAATTAATCTCTCTGAATATATGGCTGCATCATGGTTGTACACATCTCTGTAGACTCAATGATAGCCAATTACAGTAATAACCGGTATTTCTGGTTGAGCCCTTAGTGTTTGTCAGCATCTGGGCTTGGTGTTTTCATTCCTCATGCCATTTTATCTTCAAAACAATCCTCAGGAGAGATGTTATTGTTTCTATTTTAGAGTAAGAAGATTTTGCACAACTTGATTTTGCACATGCTTGATTTTGCACAGCACAGAAGTATGAGCCAGAGTTCAAACTGGGGTGTAATTCCAAGGCCTTCTCTTAACCACTGTGCTCATCACTGGCCCCCTCACAGAGGTCAGTAAACAGCATATCATGATGGAGAACATGGTTTGAATCAGGGGAAATGGCAGGTATGGTCTTTGCCGATGACAGCAGTAAACCCCCATCCTATCTCCAGGGACAGGGATAGAGGTGAATACAAAACTGTGTTCTGTTTATTGCATGATATTCTCACACTTCAACTAGATTAGGAGGATTAGACTCTCTCCATGCACTACACTGGATGCATTCTCCATGAGAAAGCATCCAACGTAGTTCTCAAAATGTTGTGTAAGTTTTAAAATATGACCTAAAGAATCAGAGATTTGAAACAGAGATGCATGGTCAAGTAATCCACATTCAATGCAGTTTGCATGGGGTTTCTAGATTATTTGTGAGTTTTGTTACTATTTTTTATTTTCCTTTAATTATGTTGATATGTTTATGCATGTGTGTGCATATATATTACATATGCATGTGTAAATTTAGTTGTTAAGAGTGCAGGTCCTGAGGTCAGATGCTATGTGTTTAAATCCCAACCCTATCCTTAGTGACTGTGTCATTTTATTAAGCATACTGGGTGCCAGGCACTGTGCTAAGCATTTTCTGTGAATTATCTCATTTAATTCCCACACCAACTCTATAACTTGGGTGCTGCCAATAGAACCATTTTTAGGTCATAAAACGAAAGCACAGAAAGGGCAAACAACCTCCTCAAGGTCACACAGTGAATCAACTGTGAAACCAAAATTCTGTCTCAGGCTGAGTGATGCCAGACCCTGGGTTCCTAACCAAGACTGACCCTGAGTTTAGTCTTGAGAGATCTGCCCCCAGTGTTAGCCCATGGCTTAATTTAGCATAAGACATTGGTCTTCATTGAAACTGTTTCCTCCTCAGGCAAATAGATACTTCTTATGTCATAGGATTATAGTAAGGAGCATATCAGATAAAGCACAAGAAAGTGATCTGAAAAATGCCAAGTGATGGGTGGCATACAGAAAGACAAAGGTGCATGTCAGATTTCCTGTCTCAGCTGGAGCAGGGTGGGCATCCTGACTGGCAGGAGACCAGCTGTCACTGACAGGCCCTGGGTGCATGACCACACTATAATGGCTGGGTCATGCCTTCCGCTGGTTCAGTGATCAAAAACACAGCCAACATGGCTTAGCATGAGCGAGAAGCCTGGGTGGAGGACGGAATATTTGCAGAGAGGCAGGGGCAGGTCTGAAAGAGGGTCCTGGGGAGATTTCCAATTTCAGTTTTCCAATGACTCTTTTT
The DNA here is from genome assembly GCF_000001405.40 of Homo sapiens. Classification (NCBI taxonomy): domain Eukaryota; kingdom Metazoa; phylum Chordata; class Mammalia; order Primates; family Hominidae; genus Homo; species Homo sapiens. The sequence continues at coordinate 54,075,011 of NC_000020.11, read as the reverse complement.
GATTCAAAAACCAGCTCTATCCAGATTTTCAGGAAAGCAGTTTGATAACAGGAGATGACAGCCACATGTGCTTGTCAATATTTGAAGAGGGGTGGAGATCGTAAAGAGAGAAGATTAAGAGGCAAACCAAGTTGGGAGCATGATGGTGAGCACCACCTGAAGTCTGTGTAGCAAGGAGAAACTTTACTCTTAGTGAACTCCCTGCTTTGTCGACACCGGGAAGTAAATTCTTCCACCAAGAAGTTTGCACTTTTGAAGACTTGTTGCTACCTCCACCCAGGGCCCTGAGCTTGGTTTATTGCTCTACAGTTGCCATATTGAAAATCTTAACACAGCTGACCCTTGAACATCACGGGGATTAGGGGCATCAATCCTGTGCAGTTGAAAATACAAGTATAACTTCTGACTTTGCAGAAACTTAACTACTCATAAGCTACTGTTGACCAGAATCCTTACTAATAACATAAACATGTTTTCTATGTTTTATGTATTAACACGTTTTCTATGTTATATGTATTACATTTGTATATTGCATTCTTACAATAAAGTAAGCTAGAGAAAAGAAAATGGTATTAAGAACATTAAAAAGACAACGCATTCTAAGAAACATCATAAGGAAGAGAAAATATATTTACTATTCATTAAGTAGACATGGATCATCATAAAGGTTTTCTTCCTTGTCATCTTCACATTGCATAGGCTGAGGAAGAGGAGGAAGAAGAGGGGTTGGTCCTGTTGTCTCAGGGGTGGCAGAAGAAGGGAAAAAATCCATGTCTAAGTGGACTCATGCAGTTCAAACCCTTGTGGTTCAAGGGTCAGTTGTAGTGTTATCTTTGAACTTGGGTTGAGTAAGTAAAATCTGATGAGACAATGAAGCATAGTCATGAGATACAAGCAATATGCAAGTCTACTGTTCATTGCCACCTATTCACATATAACATCCATGATGCCCATGAGCAGAGAATGCCAGTGAGTTCATGACTATTCAGTAAGCCTCAAAGCAAGTAAAACACATGTGAGTTACAGCTGCAATTGAGTATGTGGAGGCACTGACACCCCAAGAGTCCAGGCTTTCCACGCAAATCAGAAATTATCTTCAATACAGAAAAAAGGCAGCACATTCTAAGAAACACAAACAACAAAAGAATCCTATCCTAGCCTTTCTTACCCAGGTTACCTCCCTGTAAGGGCCAACCACTTGTGCTGAAAATGATAACATAGCAAGACAGAAATATAGGGCAGCTTAGAGTTTCTTTTTCTTTTGATTTTTCCTTATTCATCAATAAACTGAAGATAGAGAGCATTAGTAGAATGGGTGAGTATCCAGAGGTAGAGTAAAAACAGTTGAATGATGACTTCTATGCAGCGTTTACACTGTTTTAGTGAGAACAGACTACGGGGGCCCCGTAACTAACTACAAAATACAAGTCGTATGATTTTGGTGATTCTGCCCTCGAGTTCATTGCATTTCAAACCAGCATGGCTTGATCTAAAGACGGATGGCAAAACTCACGCTGATCACTTACATTTTTATTTTTTCTTCCCTTAGAATGACTTCAAATAATAAGTAAAATACATGACAGGTAGAGAAAGAGACCAGGAAGGAGAGAAAACAGCTTTATGTTTCATACCTTTAACGGTACTTTTCCCTGCTTTTAGAACAAAGGGCTCATCGTTTTTGTTTTGCACTGGGTTCAGCAGATTATGTAGCCGGTCCTGCCTCATCACCACTCCTGACTACACCAGCTGATGCTTGGTGATGGTCTACAGTTTGCCAGACCCTTCATCACCACTCCTGACTACACCAGCTGATGCTTGGTGATGGTCTACAGTTTGCCAGACCCTTCATCACCACTCCTGACTACACCAGCTGATGCTTGGTGATGGTCTACAGTTTGCCAGACCCTTCATCACCACTCCTGACTACACCAGCTGATCCTTGGTAATGATCTACAGTTTGCCAGATCCTTCATCACCACTCCTGACTACACCAGCTGATGCTTGGTGATGGTCTACAGTTTGCCAGACCCTTCATCACCACTCCTGACTACACCAGCTGATCCTTGGTGATGATCTACAGTTTGCCAGATCCTTCATCACCACTCCTGACTACACCAGCTGATGCTTGATGATGGTCTACAGTTTGCCAGACCCTTCATCACCACTCCTGACTACACCAGCTGATCCTTGGTGATGATCTACAGTTTGCCAGATCCTTCATCACCACTCCTGACTACACCAGCTGATCTTTGGTGATGGTCTACAGTTTGCCAGACCCTTCATCACCACTCCTGACTACACCAGCTGATCCTTGGTGATGGTCTACAGTTTGCCAGATCCTTCATCAACACCCTTGACTACACCAGCTGATGCTTGGTGATGGTCTACGTTTTGCCAGACACACTGCTGAGTGCCCCCACCTGAATGATTTTTCTTAATCTCCTAAATCACTCATATCCCTAAACCTTATGTTTTTCTTCTGTAAAATGGGAGCAAAAGATCTTAATTTCACTGTGGACATAAATGAAATGGACGGATAAACACAAAAGGCTTTGCAAAGACTAATGCCATCCAAATGGCAGTTACTGCCATGTATAATTTAAAAGAGAGCAAGACAATGGGGAGTGTTAGCTCACGCCTATAATCCCAGCACTTTGGGAGACTGAGGCGGGTGGATCACTTGAGGTCAGGAGTTCCAGACCAGCCTGGCCAACATGGAGAAACCCCACCTCTACTAAAAATACAAAAATTAGCCAGGCATGGTGGTGCACACCTGTAGTCCCAGCTACTTAGGAGGCTGAGGCAACAGAATTGCTTGAACCTGGGAGGCAGAGGTTGCAGTGAGCCGAGATAACACCACTGCACTCCAGTCTGGATGACAAAGCAAGACTCCGTCTTAAAAAAAAAAAAAAAAAGAATGAACAAGTCCAATCAGCCAGGAGTTGCAGAGTACCTACTCTATCATAGAGGGATCCCCATCCTCGTTTTGCAGGGTGCCAGGAGTTGGGGATACAAGAATAGATGCAAAATAAACACAAAGGAGCACACAGCTGAGGGGGCTGACAGAGACTTAGGGAAGTACAGTAGCTTGCTCATAATTCCACAGCCGATCAGTAAGAATCAAGATCCGAGCCCTTGTCTGTCTCAACCCAGGGCCAGAGCTCAAGCTCCTGAGCCTCCAGGCTTGGGTCAGCACAGAGCGTGTGCATGGCAGCTGCTTAATAATTGGGTTTACTACATTCCAGATTGACATGTACAGTGCTGAGCTGGAATCGACTTTACAACCCTAATTACGGTGTGCCTGGTTGTGTATTCAGCATTTATTTAAATAGTATTTTTTTTCTTAAATGTTGATTTCTGAAAGAGGCCTTCCCCAGCTCTCTCTATTTCTCTCCCTTAGCTGCCTTGGCTTTTCTTTTATAATGAGAATCACACCCTGTAATTCTATGTTTATATTTACAGGATTCTATGTCCAATGACACTGAGTGCAAGAAGGGTAGAGACCCAGCATCTTTTACTCACCTCTTTAAACTCTGGCTTATATATATAGCCTGGTGCTTGACAAGTATTCATGATAGGGGTTAAGCTGAGTATACTGTTGAATAAAACCACAATAATTATTGGTCGCAATTCTCTTGAATGTCTTCTCCAGAGCACTAAGTAGTGTAACTTATCAAGTTTCCTTTCTTGCATTGGCTGTTAGGAAGCTCAAAGCCATATCTGCAAACCCTTCATAGCAAGTCTGTAAATCAACAAGAGCATTTATTTTTGATCCTGTTCTCATTTGATGTTCCAAATTTTGTTCTTCAATCTTCTTTTGTTACATGTTATTTCATGCTCTCATAATCTATTGTATATGTCCTTGTAAGACACTTTAAACAACATCCTTGCTTGAATTAAATAAATTGCATAGCCTGTCGAATTTCTGGCCTGCAAAGAAAAAGAATGCCCTTTCCAACATCATGGTATGTCTCCAGAGCAATAAACCACCCTCAGGTTACCTGATTTCTGGTGTCCAAACCCCTTTGGGAATAAGGTTTACATGACTAGGGGTAGTTGAGTGGATGAGAAGCTATTTCCTTCCAATTAGGTGGTTAGGTGGTGGTGGAGGTGGTGTTCTGAAGTCAGCAGACAGAACTACAAAATCTCACAGAACGTGTTTTCCCTGCTCTGACCATGACCTACGGTTACTGGGGAAGGAAACTGCTTCCCCAGGTCAACCCGGCAGCCTCAGTAGGTGAGGGGCACTGGGTAGAATACTTGGGGTGCCAGGGAGGCATTAATGCGAGAGGAGTCAGGTGCTCAGTTTTTATTGGAGTTGGGAGGGCAGCCCCACATCAGGAAGAGAACCTGTTTCTGCAGGATGGTCCGGGGAGAAGGGAGGACTCCACCCAGGCTTGTGTTTGCCCTGCTCTGTGTATTCAGCCAGCAGGCTCTGCACAAGGAAGCAAAGTGCAGGGAGCCAGGCTCCACCGACAGCCAGGCACTGGGCAGCACGCACTGGAGACCCAGGACCCTGTGCAGGAGCAGCTCCGGGTGACACGAGGGGACTGAAGATACTCCCACAGGGGCTCAGCAGGTAACTGCTTTCAGATCCTTTAGGCATGGCTGGAGGGTTTGCTGTTTGTGGTAGACGGTGTCATATAGAGGCCAGGGGTCAGACAGGGTCAAGTTTGATCCCAGCTCTGCCTTCTGTTCACTGTGTGGCCTTGGATATGTGTAAGCCTCAGTTCCACTATCTGTGAAATGGACCCAAAGATAGCACTCATCTCAAAGTTTTTAGTTTTACAAGGAGCAAATGACAATGTGGTCAGTGTTAGGCGCATAGCCACATAAATAACTCCTATTTGGTGGAACTATTGAGGGTCATTTCAAGCACAGGACATGGGGAGAAGTCACTGGATGGAGGGATAGGCTGTGTGATTTGGGGATCCGTCAGGGCAAGAATGCCCCATAGCCGAGTGGAATCTGAGCCTTCACCTCAGGCATTGCCTAAAGAAGTGGGAGGACAAGAAAAAGGACTTGTGGAGTGCCTTTTGTGAATCTTATTTAACGCTCAAGACCACCCTATGAGGCAGCTGCTGATTCAAATCCTGGCTTCAGGACCCCTGCTGTTTACATCTCCCTCTGAACCAGTTTCCTGCCTGGAAGAGTCATTGCGATTAGAATGCGGGTGCGCTGCAGCCACACCGCCAGATGCCAGCCCCAGCTCCACCCTGGGCTGGCTGGGTGCCCTGGAGCAGGTTCCCTCAGCCCTCTGGGCCTCAGTTTCCTCATCTGTAAAGTGAACCTAATAACAGTACTGAGATCAAAGGGCTGAGAGGACTCTACTGCCCGTAAATACCTGTGCACTTAGTAACTCTTAGCTGTGGTTCTTGTTTTCGCTGTTACCATCGTCTCCATTTTACAACTAGGAACATGAAGCTGGGTGAAGAGGGAGCTGCATCTGGTTCCAGGTCTCATGGAAAGGATGCTGTGGAACTGGAGTCCAGTCGGGCCTGGGATGAGGGTGCAGCCAGTGAGACTCTCACCTTGGGCACGAAATGTAAGGGATGCCAAAAAACTCAGTCATGGAGATAAACGGTATGTTAACACAACATTTTTAAAAGTCAGAATTAATGGCAAGACACCCGTGATGAACAAACTATGAACATGTTACAGAAAGATAAGATCAGGAACAGCGGTAATTTTGATTTTCACAAATTTCATGTTAAAATACTATTCATCTCCATGGCTGAGCTTTTTGGTGTCCCTTACATTGTTCCCCCGGAGTCCAGGGCCTGATCCGCCTCAGCCTCCTGGGGATCCTGAGCTGATCACAGCAGCTTCAGGCCCTGGGTGTATATACTCAGGGTATGTAGAGGGTGCTTCCTCCTAAATAAAGACAACAGACGGGGCGGGGCATGCTAAAGTAGTTTCTCATTTAAGTGAGGGTGGGGGAACAAACCAATGTCCCAAATCACAGAAGATTCTTTTTTTCCAAAGAGTTCTGGAACCCAGAAGGGTTTTGTTTTTAGGAAAAAGGCATGAGCTTTGGGAAAAGCAATGGGCCCGTTAAAGCCCATGGATTCTGCCTGCTTTACCATGACAAGAGATGTGGAGGGAGAGGAATTGAAAAAGGCTTTGGGTTGGGGGCGGGGGTACCTTTGCACCTTGCAGGCTCATCTGTCCTGCTGGAGTATTAGATGTGACTTGATTGTCTCTGTGTCTGCAGCTTCTCTTCAAGCCAAGTGCCCTGCCCTGAAGCAGTTCAGGATTTGAGTGCCTGAGTCACGTGGACCCAGGTTCAAACCCCAGGTGTGCCTCCCCGTAGCTTTCTGACTGCTACTCTTGGGCAAGTAGGACTAGTAAGGTGCCTACCCTCATGGAGGTGACGTTCGTGAGATGAGGGGATGGCATTGCTCAGCCTTGGTTTCTTTATCTGTGCAATCAGGGAATAATGGGACTCTGCAAGGGAAAAGGAGACAATGTGTGTGAAGTGCCTGGCACCAGGGTCAGGGCAAGGGTGAAGCCAGTGAGCACCTGGGGGATAAAATGCAGGGAGGCGCTCACTCTCTGCTGCCGATTCTGCACCAGAGATGGTTGCCTTCCTATATTTTGTGTCCTGCTATGCTCACCCTGGTGCTGCCTGGCACATAGTAAGCCTCCAATTAAAATTACCTGCGATTATCATGCACTTAACAATGTTTGGTGCAATAATAAGACTATGAGAGCGAGCTCTAAGATTTTTAGGATTACCATCCGTTTGTGCAAACATAATTAAGTACTCCGAAAGCAAAACATCAATCACCAAGCAGCCCTAAAACATCCAAGGTGATTTTGATCAAGGCACCCCTGCCCCTGGACCCACAAAGTCCCATACCAGGAATCAGGGCTTGGGCAGTTCAGTGAGGACTGGATTTCAGTTCCCTGTGTCCCCTTGTACAGGAGGCAACCTGTAGCACTGTACCTGGCACTCCTGATAATAGCTGCCGTGTTCCTAGCACTGTGCGGGCACACACATGGAGCTGCAGGACTGTGGGGCAGGCAAAGCGGGGTTGTTCTTTCCTCCTGCAAGGTCTTTACTGATGTTGGGGGCAGAGGGCTGGTTCTGCTGGGTGTGCCAGCCTGGCCATGTTGGCGTCACCCTCAGCTGAGCAGTGAGGAGGGCCCCTGGGTTACCTACATTCCATTGCATTGATCGAAGGTGTTGCTTGTTTACTTGGTGACTAATTCTGTCACCATTCCACCCTTCAAAACCACCCCCCCTCCCATTCAACAGTCGTCTAGCTGCCTGCTGGTGATGAAGTTTCAGAAGTGCTTTCTCCAGGCCAGCTTGCATGGGGTTTGGCGTTTGGCCTGTTTCCAGGAGGAGGGCCTATTATTAATCTGTAACTACAAGGAGGCGACATGGACCATCAATCACTGTGTAAAAGAGGAGGGATTTGAGGGCAGCTTCCAGGAGGCCAATTCACTCATGGATCAGAACACAGAACTAACTCAATTATAACAATAATAAGATAAATGAATAATATTAGCAATAACTAACGTTTACTCACCTGAGTACTGCCAAGCCCTGGCGCTAAATCCTTACAGTGATTATCAGTGACCCTTCAATTGTTCAATCCTCACTTTATTTGATTTATTTATTTACTTATTGAGAGAGTTTCATTCTGTCGCTCAGGCTGGAGTGCAGCGGTGTGATCTCGGCTCACTGCAACCTCCGCTTCCTGGGTTCAAGCGATTCTCCTGCCTCAGCCTCCCAAGTAGCTGGGATTACAGGCATTGTGCCTCCACATCTGGCTAATTTTTGTATTTTTAGTAGAGACAGGGTTGCGCCATGTTGGCCAGGATGGTCTCAAACACCTGACCTCAAGTGATCCACCCACCTCAGCCTCCCAAACTGCTGGGATTACAGGCATGAGCCACAGCGCCCGGCCTAATCCTCACTTTAGATTGTACCATATATATTCCTTGCCTAGTTATAATTTTCTCATTGCAAGAATGAATATGCAGGAAATATTTTCTATTCCATGTTCTATTATATTACATATAAATATTTCATAAAACTATAACATCACTTATACAGCAGAAGAGACAGTAGAAAGTATGAAAATAGAAAAGTTAAAAGTCTAAACTCTGGACTTGAGTTTGCGAGGGTTAAGTCCTCATTCTCCCACTTACTAGAAGATGATCTGTATTAGTCAGCTTGGGCTGTGGTAACCAAAACACCACAGACTAGGTGGCTTAAACAACAGTCATTTTTGTTTTCTCATAGTTCTGGAGGCTGGAAGTCCAAGATCAAGGTTCTGGCCGATGCATTTCTGGTGAGACCACTCTTTCTGGCTAGCCAACAGCTGCCTTCTTGCTGTGTCCTCACACGGTTGAGAGAGAGACAGAGAGAGCTCTTTGGTGTCTCTTTTTATAATGACACTAATTCTATCAGATCAAGGTCCACCCTTCTGATTTCATTTAGCCTTGATTCCTTAGAGGCCACATTTCCAAATGCAGTCATATTGCACGTTAGGGCTTCAACACGAATCCAACACGAATTTTGGAAGGACACATTTCAATCCATAGCATGATCTTAAGTGAGGAGTTTAAGTTCCCTGGGCTCAGGTTCTGCATCTGTAAAATGGGGACAATAAAAATACCTGCCTCGGCCGGGCCCGGTGGCTCACGCCTGTAATCCCAGCACTTTGGGAGGCCAAGGCGGGCGGATCACGAGGTCAGGAGATCGAGACCATCCTGGCTAACACGGGGAAACCCCGTCTCTACCAAAAATACAAAAAATTAGCCGGGCGTGGTGGCAGGCGCCTGTAGTCCCAGCTACTCGGGAGACTGAGGCAGGAGAATGGTGTGAACCCGGGAGACGGAGCTTGCAGTGAGCCGAAATGGCGCCACTGCACTCCAGCCTGGGCGACAGAGCCAGACTTCGCCTCAAAAAAAAAAAAAGAAAAAAAATACCTGCCTCATCGGGTTCTGATAAGGAAGCTGTGAGTTAACACAGAGAAGCATTCAGAGCAATGGCTGGCATAAGGTAGGCGCTACAAAAATATTAGGTATTACTACTGCTAATGTATGGTCCATTTTATTTACTGCTTATACTAACAGCTTATCTCTATTCCTCAGCTGCTGTGCACCAGCCACCCAGTTATACAACACATGGGCCACACCCTTCTAATCTTCACAGGAGCTCCACGCAAGGAATCTATTATGGTCCTTCCCTCCACCCCTCACTTCTCAGACACGGAGCCAGGGCTTATGCATATGGCCAGGGTGAGCCAGAGGGGAGCCCAGGCAGAGGGCTTGCGCTATTTCACCACCACAGACGAATTTACTCACGTGCTTTTCAGAAATGCAGATCCCTAGGTGACACCTGGCTACAAACACGAGGAGAACATCCCCAAGTCCAGGCACTAGAGCAGGGCCCCTCAATATCAGCACTAGCGACCCTCAGCAAAGCAGACAATTCTTCGCTGGGGGAAGGGGGCGGTCCTTGGCATTGCAGGGTATGTAGCAGCGTCCCCAGCCTCTACCCACCGGATACCAGTGCACGCCCCCCAAAGCTGAACCGTGACTATCAAAACTGCATGCAGGCATTTCCAAATGCCCCTTCGGGGCCAAAATCGCTCCTGACTCCAGAAACGCTGTGCTCCACTTATTGTGAGGGAGAAACAAAGAACAGCATATTTCCAAGGAGAAAACGTTTAGCAAAGCAATGTAAGTCATCGAGGAATAGGACAAGATATCCAAAATATGAAATATAGATATATAGTCCTGGAAAATTGGTACCAAAATAAAATACCCTAAACATTGTAAATATGTTATATATATAGTGTGTGTGAGATAGATAGATAAAGTAGATGATAGATAGATAGATAGATAGATAGATAGATAGATAGATAGATAGATAGATGATAGATAGATACTCATCATAAAGTTGAAATATTGTCAGTCGAACCATCATGAGTTGAGTTTGGGACATCTATATCACTAATAGCTACTAGGTGCTCGCCCTGCCAGGCACTTTCCCATCACATTTACCCCTTCGCACGGTACCACGATGTATCAGGACATGCCACTCAACCTCTCTGTGCTCCGGCTTCTCATAAGACAACTGGGAAAATAAAAGTACCTAACTCAGAGAGTTGTTGGGAGGACCAAGAGAGGCAAATATATGCAAATCAGAACTGCTCAGCACAGAGAAAACACTCTAAATGTGTTTATTATTGCCACCATTATGAATACTGTCATTTTCCACAAGAAAGATACTTTCAGAAGGGTCAAGTGCTTTGCCCAAAGCCTCACGATCGTGGGATTTTACGGATGCCTGTCTCACTCCAGATCTCTTGTTCTCAAGAGGAGAGAGGGGAACCCCAGAGATGCAGGAGAGCGAGACTGCGGAGGGCAGCCTCCACCCACCTCCGGTGGGGCATCTGGGCTTGCTTCTGAATAACCAGCTGGAAAGCCTGCCCTGCCCGCCAGTTCTGGGGGAAGGGAAGCTGGAGGCCCAGGACAGTTCTCTTGATTTGCAAGCTCACGAAACAGTGCGTCAGCAAAGCAGTGCCCCTAGAAGGGTTGTGAGTGTATTCAGGTGCCTGGGTGATGGTGGTCTGTGGACTCCGAAGCCTGAGCTATTCCTCCGTCTGAGAATCCGTGGGTTTGGTTGTCTAGGTCAGGGTAGGCAGCAGCCAGGAGAGTTCTGACCCCAGGAGACACTCACTCACTCACCCCAGAAATATCCAAAACAGGGGCTCTCAGCCATGGAAATCACCTAGAGATCTTGAAAGTACCCCGATGCCCAGCCCCACCCCAGAGAATCTGCTGTCATCAGTTTGGCAGGGGCCTGGGCATGGGGATCTCAGAACTCTGTGGGAGGTTCTCACATGCAGCCCAGTCTGGGCATGGGCCCCCATAACACAGGCAGGAGGCGGGGAAGTGAAGGGGCTTTCTCATCTGAACCTCCACAATCAACCCCCAGTGGCAAAGTGCCAAACCCTCAAACACAAGTCTAATTTCAAAAACAACACCCCTCCACCCACCATAGCTTCGTATGTTTAATGTAAAATAAGGTCATAAAGACAAAACACTCATATAATCAGTTCATGAAAGAAAGGGCATTTTAACACCCCATTCAAACTTTTTCTTTTTCAAAAATGAAAGTTAGCTCTTTCAATTGTACGTTTATCATGAAAAACTCTATCTGATTTATTTTTCTCCTTTTTGAGAAATGGGAGAAAACTATTACAGACAAGAATTACTGTCTGAACTGCCTTGAGCCTCAGTTTTCCCATCTATTAAACGGGGATTTAAAAAAAAGTCTCCACCCAAGTCATTCTGGTTTGCCCAGGGTTTTCCAATTTTAACATAAGAGTCCTGTGTCCTAGAGCATCCTCACTCCTGGAAAAAGCTTGAAGATGGTCACCATCACACTATTTTCTATAGGTGTCTGATCATGAGAATCACTGGGGCATTTGCTAAAAATACAAATTCCAGGGCCCCAAATTGACTTTTCGGTGAGAGGATCACAGGAATCAGAAATGTTGCTGGATTCCTCGGTAGAGTCTCACTACCGGGCACCTGTGGGAGAAACTGGCTTCAAAGAGCAAGGATCATACCCGTGAGAGTCCTACTCATGCTAACTCTTGTGCAGTCCTCTTTATGTGCCAGGCCCTGTTCAGGGCACTTTGCTTATATTCACTGGTTTGACTCCATACCAGCCCCTTGAGATGGAGGCTATAATTATCCCCATTTTTACAGATGAGGAAACTGAGGCCCAGCGAGGCTCAGTGATGCTCAGGGATTCCAAACTCCAGAGCCCACATTCCTATCCTATGTGCTACACTGATGTCTACATAGAGCTTCAGCACTGGGCTGGCATACGGCAAGCTCTCCATACAAGTCATATATGGTTATCATTATTACGAGTTCCAGGACCTTTGGGGCACTGAAGGAGTTGCCATCTTCTTGCCAACTGTGAACAGAAGGCTTCATTGCAAAACATCAAAATGCTTCTTTCAGCCTTCCCAGTTGTTTGGACCTAGTCCTGTAGGCTGAATTCATTTCTGCTAATATTGACATCAGCCAATAGATGGCAGTAACCTTTTGCTTTTGTCCCACCCAGATGAATCCTGTTCTTTAAAAGGTTGATGGACAGGCAGGAGCAATTTCACGACACATGCATTATATCTGCTGGTGGAGAGTGACAATATCTGAATCCAGGTTATCACTGAAAAAGACACGCCATTAGATTTTCCTTCTTTCAGGGCCCTTCACCTTGAAGTGGCCGAGAGGCTACTTAGGGTGTGCAATGATCAGAATAATGTAACCCCAACTCTGTGGGAAGAAAAATCTTCTCTCCTACTTCTGTACACCATGCGTCTTCCAGCACCAAGGTTTTTCATAACCTCAAGTGTTGATTCAAAGTAGCTTTGTTAGGATTGAATTTACATTAAATAGTAAGAGCTTTAAAATAAAGCTTGTAATCCTACTGTTAAAATAATTTTAAAACTTGTTAAAAGCTGAATTTAGATAGAGATACTTTGTGTGTATATATTCTTGCATGTGTATATATGAACGTATGTGTTTGCGCGTATCCTTGACTGAGACATTTAACCTGCGTGCCTCAGTTTCCACACCAGCAAAATTGAAATAATAATACCTCTGTCTTGTTGAATTGCTGCAAAGAGCAAATTAGTTTTACTGCAAATAAAGCTCCTAGAAGTTTCTCAACAGATGGTAAGCACTCACCAAATGTTGTTATTGTTATTACTCTATCATTTCTATGATTTTTTAGAGTTGTTGTCATTGTTTTTATACACAGTAGGCTCAAATCCTGGTAAACTTTCTGTAAAGAGCCAGATAGTAAATATCTTAGGCTTTGCAGGCCATAGGTGTCTGTTGCAACTACTCAGTTCTGCCATTATAGCATGAAAGCCATCATAGACAATATATAAATAAAAGGGCATGACTATCTTCCAGCAAAACTTTATTTATGGATGCCAAAATTTGACTTTCATATAATTTTCATGTGTCACATTCTATGATTCTTCTAATTTTTTTCCAACCATTTATAAATTTAAAACTCATTTTTAGCTCACTGGCCTACTAAAACAGGCAGTGAGCTGAATCCAGCCACCGCTGTTCTTTGCCAACCCTGGTCTTGAGGATTCAATATTATATTATTCATAATGTCCCATTAACAGACAGAAGCGATGATCTGATGCAAGTGTGTGAGTCACGGATTTTATAAATAGAAAATAGCACAAAACAACAAGTGTCCTACATGTTTTAACAGTGCTCAGCTTTATTATGTGGTATGATCAGAAGACATACAAAATCCCCAGATTTGGTTATGTATTAAATTCCTGCAAGAGAACACATGGTGAGATCCATGACCCTTTTTTTGGCCTCCTCAATATCTAATTGCTCAATGCGTCTACTACCAGGGAATAAAAACTCACACCAATGGCGAGAGATCCACAAGAATCCCTGGTGACTCATTGACTCCTTTCAGCCAGAAATCAAAAGTCCTAATTTTTATTCCGAGAGCCACTAGAGCAGATAAGCCAGAAGCTAGGTCTTTGGAGATGGGCTACATTGGAATTACATGTGCAAAAGAACTTTAGGTGGCAAGACAGCAGGCCTTTGGAGTGGCTGCAAGAGTCCTTGTGTAGGGATCAGATATACTAGGAGTCAATTCCTCACTGGATGTTTGCCCTTGGTGGGTCTTGGAGGTTCCATTCCTCCTTTTTAAGGGAAGCTAGTAATATGCAGAACATTCCGGTGGTTAGGAGCACAGCCAGACTGTGTTTGAATCTTGCTCATTAACTGGGTGACCTTTGGAAAATGATTTAACCCCCTCGAGTTTCGGCTACCTCATATGAAGAATGAAATCATGATACCTCTATCTCACAGGAGTGCTATAGGACTACATGAGACAATACAGGTGAAGCACTCCAAAATTAGAGCTTGGAATTGAGAACATGCTAAGTAATGATTTGCTATTATCATCATTATTATTATATATCATACATTATTATAACGAAGCTCTTCAGAGGTTTGGTGATGATGTGGTCATGTACCTAGGTCTGTGCCTCATATGTGAGAGATGCTATCAATCGTTATTCCCTCCATTGACTAACAATAATTAAGCTCCCAGTAAATGCAAACACACTGCTAAGATTAGGAGATACAAAATTGGGTGAAGGTAGACACTGCCTTTGACGTCAGGGTGCTTACAATTTCTTGTGGAAGGGAGACATAAATTAAATATTCAACTTTGCCCTTCACCTATGGGACAATAACCACATTAACAGTCATTTCAGAACCATCCTACCCAGCAGTGCCACAACCTGCCATCTCCCATATGATCCCATCTCACGTAATGTTATTAATTACTTTTATTCGACCAGGCGCAGTGGCTCATGCCTGTAATCCCAACACTTTGGGAGGCCAAGGCGGGTGGATCACATGAGGCCAGGCACTCGAGACCAGTCTGGCCAACATGGTGAAAACCCATCTCTACTAAAAATACAAAAAAAAAAAAAAATAGTCTGGTGTTGTGCCACGCACCTGTTATCCCAGCTACTCAGGAGGCTGAGGCAGGAGAATTGCTTAAACCCAGAAGGCGGAGGTTGCAGTGAGCCGAGATTGCACCACTGCACTCCATCCTGGGCAACAGAGAGAGACTCCGTCTCAAAAAAAAATTACTTTTATTCATAACTTAGAACCCTATGCATTTTTGTTTAATAAGCAGATATGTTTTGCTTAACATGAGCTAGACATTGTTCTAACCACGTCACAAGCATTAACTCATTGGGTCCTTATAGCAGTCTTATGAGGCACAGAGAGGCTAATTAACTCTCCCAAGGACACACAGCTACAAGGGGCAGAGAGAGGATTCATGCCCAGGCAGTCTTGCTCTAGAGTCTGTGGTCATAACCACTGTGCCATGCTGCCTTGAACTATCAGAAACAACCTCGTTTGTGGATTTATTGTTCCTATGTTAACTCTCTCCCTGTGCACCATACTTCAGCTCCATGAAGTCAGAGGGCCTTGCCTGTTTAATTTACAGCTGTAACCCTAGTGCCCAGCCCAGCAACAGGTGCAGAGCTGTGCTCAATAGACACAGTCATACACTGCATAATGATACCTTAGTCAATGATGGACCACATATACTTAGTGGTCACATGACATTATAATACTATGTATTTACTGGACTTTTTCTGTTTCGATATGTTTAGGTACACAAATACTTCCCAGTGTGTCACAATTTCCCAGAGTGTTCAATGTGGTTGCGTGCTGTGCAAGTTAGTGGCCTAGGAACGATAGGTTATACCATACAGCCTAGGAGTGTAGTAGGCTATACTATCTATGATGTTCATACAACCATGAAATCATCTAATGATGCATTTCTCAGAACATTTTCTCGCCCTTAAGTGACACATGACCATATGTGCTAAATCAGTGAAAGCATGAATATATACCCAAGTAAGTATATAATTACAAGCCCTGCTAAATGCTATGAAAAAAAAAAGGCCGTAGTGTAAAAGGTTTTAATAGGGGAATTAATTTAGTTTGAGAATCAGAAAAAAATATTATTATTTCAATTACCCTCATTCTAAAATCCTAATAGCTGTGACTTTAACTAAAAGAGAAAAAAATGCTATCTACACTGAATACACTTTTCATGATGATAAATATTTTCCCCTAGCAATGAAATGCAACTGAAAATTATGACTGCATTTAACTTTAATTCTGTTGAATACATGAGTCCAAAATCTCCTTTCTATTTCCCAAAATAAATATAAGCAATGATATAGTTTGGTTGTGTCTCTACGTAAAATCTTACCTTGAATTGTAATCCTCATAATCCCCACGTCAAGGATGGGACCAGGTGGAGGTAATTGGATCATGGGGGCGGGTTCCTCCACGCTGTTCTCGTGATACTGAGTGAGTCTCGCGAGATCTGATGGTTTTATAAGCATCTGGCATTTCCCCAGCTCGCACTCATTCTTCTGGTGTCCTGTGGAGAGGTGTCTTCTGCCACGATTGTAAGTTTCCTGCGGTCTCCCCAGCCATGCGGAACCATGAGTCAATTCAACCTCTTTTCTTTATAAATTACCCAGTCTCGGGTATTTCTTCATAGCAGTGTGAGAACGGACTAATACAAGCAATTTGTTCTGATCTCAGCTGATGATAATACAGCCATGGGCGGCTTGTCAGGCCTCTGCACCTTAGTAGCACATGTAGCTTCGTTTGGTTTTGATTTCTTTCTCTCTTCCTCTCTTTCTCTCCATTATAGGAGCAATGGGTAACCAAATGAGTGTTCCCCAAAGAGTTGAAGACCAAGAGAATGAACCAGAAGCAGAGACTTACCAGGTAGTGTAGTAACCATTACAGGGGCATCAGCAGAAAAAAAAAAAAAAAAAAAAGAACTTCCTGTATTTGACAAGTGTGTTGACTGAAGTCCTGGCTGCTGATTGATTGTGTCTGTGTGTGCAAGACAGTGGAGCGAGGATAACCTAAAAGGTGTCAGAATCAGCATATTAAATTCGTGCTCCAGCCCTGACTTGACAAATGCCCATTTGAGCCTGGGGTCCCCTCCGTGCGACGGGTCAGAGCTTCCTGTGAGTGTGGGGTCCCCTGAGCTGAGGCACCATGGTGTGCTCTCATAATAACTGGAGTCCACTCTTGGAGTGAGTTATTTTGGTTCTCCAAGGCATGATAGAAAACTGGGGAGTTTCTAGAAACACAGCCTTTAAGTTAAGTTTAATTTTTTGTGAGACACCCTTGTATCTTAGAGGTTCTTCCTTGAGTTCTTCTGATTTTCCCCCGAAGATTTGTCTCACAATGCCACGTGCTCTGTTTCAGGACAACGCGTCTGCTCTGAACGGGGTTCCAGTGGTGGTGTCGACCCACACAGTTCAGCACTTAGAGGAAGGTCAGTGCTACTCTGGGAAGGGCATCTACCCTCTCGTGGGGAAGGGGGGTCTGCAGATGCTGTTTACGGTGAAAAAAAAAAAAAAATGAAAGGGTCGAAGCCGCAGGCTCAGTTTGAAAATACTTGCGTTTGTTCCTTGGGCTACCATGCCCTGGTGGCTTAAGCAACAGAAATGTATTGTCTCACAGTGCTGAAGGCCAAAAGTTCAAAATAAAGTTGTCAGCAGAATTGGTTCCTTCTGCGGGTCATCAGGGAGAACGTGTTCCACGCCCCTCTCATTGGCTTGTAGATATGGCCATCTCCTCCCTGCATCTTCATGTCATCTTCCCTCTATGCATGTCTAAATTTCCCCTTCATCATATGGAAGCAGTCATGTTGGATTAGGGCCCACCCTAATAACCTCATCTTAACTTGATCATCTGCAAAGATCCTGTTTCCAAATAAGGTCACATTCACAGGGGGTTAGGACTTCAGCATCTTTGGGGGCAATATGATTCAGCCATAACAACAGATCTCTTCTGAGTGTGTGTGACAGCTGGAGGAGACTGAGGAGTTACAGCAGATAAGATAAAAGCAATAGAGTGAAAACATGAAGCTTGGCAGACCTAGGTTGCAATCTCTGCCCTGCAGATTACTGGCTGTGTGACCTGGAACAAGGCATCTGCTTTTCTCAGCCTCAGTTTTCTCATCTGTAAAATGGGGATAAAAGTACCTACCTCACAGAATTGCTATCAGGATTAAAGGAGGTTGTTTATTAAACATTTAACATAGTCTCCAGCGATATTTCATATATTCCTTTTCCCCAAATGTGCACAGCCTCTGCCATTATCAGCACTTAGGAATTCCTCAGAAGCTGATAAATTATAAAAGACAACAGAATTGTGTCCACATGAGGGCAGTGTTAAAACTGAGGCATATACTTACCTATTTGACTTTATCCTGGAGTATAAGACTGTATATTCAATGCTTCCAGGGTGGTCAGGCTCTACTATGTGACGGATACATATAAATTATGTAAGAAGAGGTAGTATAGCCCAGTAGTTGAGGGTAAGAATTCTGCAATCAGATTGCTAGCTTTGCCACGTACTAGCTGTGTGACCTTGAGCAAGTTACATAACCTCTCTGAACCTCTGGCTCCTCATCTGTACAGTGGGAATAATGACAGTACTTATAGCATAAGCATCTGATATAATGAAAGCACATATTACAGTGCCTGACTGATAATAAGTGCTCCTATCATTATCATATTATGGTTATGGTTGTTTTCTTTCACATGTAAGATTCTGGGCTTCAGTTTCCTTTCCTGAGTAATGAAGGAGGTATATTACAGCATTGGTTCCAAAGCTTTTAGAATTTCCTAGGGAATGTATTAAAAATTCCATGCCCTAGTCTCATCCCGTAGCTGCTATTCAGAATACCCTAAAGTTGGGGACTGAGAACCTGAACTATTGGGGGCTCTGTAGAAGGTTCTTTTAAAAAAAAATCATAGCTTTAGGGTACAAGTGGTTTTTGGTTACATGGATGTGATTATATAGTGGCAAAGTCTGGGCTTTTAATGTACCTGTCACCTGAGTAGTATACATTGTACCCAATAAGTAACTTTCACCCTCATTCCACTCCCACCCTCCCTTCTTTGGAGTCTCCAATATCCATTATGCTACCCTACGCCCCGGTATACACATGGCTTAGCTCCCACTTTCAAGTGAGAACATGCAGTATTTGGTTTCTGTCCTTAAGTTGCTTCACTTAGGATAATGGCCTCCAGTTCCATCCACGTTGCTGCAAAAGACATTATTTTGTTATTTTTATGGTTGAGTAGTATTCCATGGTGTGTGTGTGTGTGTGTATGTGTATATATATATTCAACACATCCACCACCATACATAGCTACTTTTTTGTTTTTGTTGTAGGGTGTGGTGAGGACCCTTACAATCTACTCTTAGCAAATTTCAAGTAAGCAAAACAGTATTATTAACTTATATTTACCATGCAACTTATTCATCTTATGAGTGAAAGTATGTACCTTTTGACCAAAATTTTCCCTGGACCTTAGCCCCTGATAATCACCATTTTACTCTCTGCTTCTATGAATTCAACTTTTTTAGATTCCACATAAAAGTGAGATCATATAGTATTTGTCTTTCTGTGTCTAGCTTATTTCACTTATCCTAAAGTCCTCCAGGTTCATCCATGTTGTTTCAAATGCCAATATTTCCTTCTTTTGTATGATTGAATAACTATTCTGTTGTGTGTGTGTATTTACACACATGTATATGTATATGTGTGTGTCCATATATATATTTCCTTTTTCCATTCATCCACTGATGGACACATAGGTCATTCCCATATCTTGGCTATTGTGAATAATGCTGCAATGAACCTGGGGCTACAGCTACCACTTTGAGACCCTTCTTTCACTTTTTTAGATATACCCAGAAGTGGATTGCTGAATCATATGGTAGTTGATATGGTTTTGCTCTGTGTCCCCACCCAAATCTCATTTTTAATTGTACTCCCATAATTCCCATGTGTTGTGGGAGGGACCCAGTGGGAGATAATTTTAATCATGGGGGCAGTTTCCCCCATACTGTTTTCATGGTAGTGAATAAGTCTCATGAGATCTGATGGTTTTATCGGAGGTTTCCACTTTTGCATCATCCTCATTTTCTCTTGCCACCACCATGTAAGAAGTACCTTTCACCTCCCGCCATGATTCTGAGGCCTCCCCAGCCATATGGATCTGTAAGTCCAATTCAACCTCTTTTTCTTCCTAGTCTCAGATATGTCTTTATCAGCAGTGTGAAAAACAGACTAATATAGTAGTTTTATTTTTTAACTTTCTTAGGAACTTCCATACTATTTCCCATAATGACTACGCCAGTTTACATTCTCATTTTGTCCCAATTTTTAATCGGGTTGTTTGTTTTCAATTATCTTCTTATGTTTAATATGGAGTGCAAGGGCAAGGAATGAATAGGGAAAAATTGTTGGGATTGAGAAAGCCTCTTCTCTATCCTTCTCTCCATCCTCCATCTCACTTTCTCTTTTCTTTCCTCTCTCACCTGTAATATATTTATGTTTTTTATATATTATGCATGTGTGTTAACATATATGAGATACACATATGCATAGGTATATCTCATATATGTGTATGTCTCACATACATGTATGCACATATTTGAGATATACATATATATATGCATATTTCATATATATGTATGTATATTACAAAGATGTTCCCAAAAGGAGGGAAATAGGTTTCTCTTGAAACGTAGGACAACAGTCTGAGACAGCAGTTGCCGTGTGAACACCTGCACATGACGAGGGAAAAGAAACACACATTTCTGAGTCATGGGTTATTTGTACCTCGCCCTCACACCTGGCAGTCTTGCTGTCAACATCCTCAGCTACTGCTGGAGAGTTTGTAAAGAGTCCCAGTTAATCCCGAGGTAGCAATTTTGCCTGTTATTCATTGACATCTTCAACCTGTGAAACTTGCTTTAGAGTGATTACCCCTTTTAAGCTTATTGTTGTCCTCATGCAGTTTTCCTAAGGTTATTAGCTAAGTTATAATTTTCAGTGCAGTTTTAAGGGGTATAAAAGTGAAATTCTGGGTGACCCTTTCTTGTCCTTCAGAGAGAATTATTTGACCATGTCTTTTGATGCACATTTCTATTGATCTCTATTGGTGTATACATATATGTATAGAGGTATAGAAAAGTCATTGGAAAAATATGTAAATAGAAATCTAGTTGACTGTTTGGTTTCTTTTTATCTATACTTTTCCTACTTACAAAAATTACAATTAAAACAATTCATTGGTGATACGGTTTGGCTCTGTCCCCACCCAAATCTCATCTTGAACTGTAGCTCCCATAATCCCCACGTGTCATGGGAGGGACCCAGTAGGAGGTAATTGAATCATAGGGGCATGTTTTTCCCATGCTGTTCTCATGATAGTGAATAAGTCTCACGAGATTTGATGGTTTTATAAAAGGGAGTTCCACTGCATATGCTCTCTTGCCTGCTGCCATGTAAGACATCCCTTTGCTCTTCCTTCGTCATCTGCCATGATTGTGAGGTCTCCCCAGCCATGTGGAGCTGTAAGTCCATTAAACCTCTTTCCTTTATAAATTACCCAGTCTCAGGTATGTCTTTATTAGTAGCCTGAGAACAGACTAATACCATTGGCATCCAATAATATTTCCTATGAAGGCTTATTTAGAAGCAGCAATGGTACCATGGCTAAGCAAACAGCCAAAGAGGCTGGAATGCTACATTGAATCATGGCTCCAATATGTGAGCTTGGGCAGGTTTCTGAGCTTCTTTGTTCTGTCATCTGTAAAATGGGAATTATAATAATGATAGGACCAAAGCTTCTAAGTTATTGTACGGTTTAAATAAGTTGATACTCCTAAAACTCTCAGAACAGTGTCTGGCATGTGGTAAACACATAAGGAAAGTTATTCTGTCTTGGATTTAATGTCAATTGACATAAAGACTGCCATTGCTATTTGAAGTTAACTGTATTATTTCTGCCTAACATATCTTTTGGAACTTTAAGATCAAAAGTTAAAACTAGTCTTTCCTACATCCCTTATGCCTTGTAAGTCTTTTATTTGTCTTTCGATACAATGTGAGAGATATCAATCAGGGAAAATACCTCTTTTAAACTAAAACATGAAATTACATTCTGTATCCTCCTAGAAAGAAATGTATCGTGTAGAGTGCTTTTTCTTAGTAAGAGCAAACCACCATGGGAATTTGATATCAAACAAACATTAAGTAATACAATCCATGTGGATTGGAGATCTTTCTCAAAAGTTTGGTATTATTATTCATCTTAAGTAACAATATATTAAAAAATCAAAATGTCTCAGTTTTTGCTTATGTTATATTTCTAGCTTAACTCACCAATTTTAGATGTTATTTGAGTGTCCCGTTTTGGAGTAGGTTGCTAATGATGTTAAAACAACATACCATGTGATTTACCTGCAATGCCACTAAGACAAACACATTTGCTTGCAAACTTTGGGTGAGAGGCTTATGTGCTTGTTCTGCCAAAATGCAATTGTTTAAATTAGTATCCTCAATTTGTCTCCATCCTTTTCAAATAGTTGTTTTATTTGAACCCAAAAATATCTTGAGAATTATTAGAGCAAAATATCTATCATTAGAAGAACGGATAATCCAATTAGGGTATATCCGTACAATGGTCTCGTAATCTGTTTGTACTGCTATAACAAAATGCCATAGATCTGGTAATTTATAAAAAGTAGAAATTTTTTTCTCTTAGTTCTAGAGGCTGGGAAGTCCAGGATCAAAGCACCAGCAGGTTCAGTGTCTGGTGAGGGCCCTGTTCTCTACTTCCAAGATGGCGCCTTGCTGTGCCCACCAGAGGGGAGGAATGCTGTGTCCTCAGATGGCAGACACGACAGAAGGGCAGGAAAGGGACTAACTAGTTCCCTCAAGTCCGTTTATAAAGTCTATAATTCCATTTATGTGGTCTTTGCCCTCTAAACTCAATCACCTCCTTAAGGCCTCACCTCTTAATATGATCACATGGTAACTAAGTTTCAACATATGAATTTTGGGGGACACATTCAGGCTATAGCAGATGGTATACTCCTTAGCAATAAATAAGAAGGAACTACTGATCAATGCAACAGCATGGATGAATCTCAACATTATTATACTACGAAAAAGAAGCCAGACACAAAAGGCAACATACTACATGATTCCACTTATATAAAATTCTAGAAAGGGCACAAATGTAGTGACAGAAAGTAGATCAGTGGTTGCTAGGGGCTGGGGCTGGTTGAGACACTCACTGCAGAGGGGCATCGAGAAACTTTGCAATGATGGAGAAGCTTTATACCTTCATCATGGTGGAGGCTACATGACTGCATATTTTGTCAAAATGCACTGAATTGTGCTATTAAAGTTGGTGGATTTTATTGTATGTGAATTATACTTCAATCAGATAAATCTGATTTTTGTAAATGCTGTTAAGGTACAATGAAGTTTTTTAAAAATCAGCATAGTTGGCTGGGTGCAGTGGCTCACGCGTGTAATCCCAGCACTTTTGGAGGCCGAGACAGGTGGATCACCTGAGGTTGGGAGTTTGAGACCAGCCTGGCCAACGTGGTGAAACCCCGTCTCTACTAAAAATACAAAAATTAGCTGGGCGTGGTGACACACGTCTGTAATCCCAGCTACTCTGGAGGTTGAGGAAGGAGAATCTCTTGAACCCAGGGAGGCAGAGGTTGCAGTGAGCCAAGATCGTGCCACGGCACTCCAGCCTAGGAGACAGACAGAGACCTCATCTCAACAACAACAACAACAACAACAACAACAAACAAAAAAAAAACCAGCATAGTCAAAAGCAGCTCACATCAACTAAAGAAAAAAAATAAATTCAATAAAGAATGGGGGGAAAGATCATTTGCTATGTTAGAAGGGTGTCTTCTGCTCAACCAGTTCTTTTGCTTCCTCTGGATTCATCACTGGGGGCAGGAGGAGTCTGCACAAAAGAAAGTAATGTGATGGGGAGGTGTTTTGTGAAGAGATGACATCTCTTAGCTATTTTGTCAGCCCATTCCTCCCATATACTGCCCAAGAGAGGGAGACCTCAGGAGACTGTCATCTGGTACCTCTTCACCTCCCCCCAATACATGTGGTATGTTAATTTATTGCATCTCATTGAATCAGACAACTTCAAGTAGGACCACACTTCACAGTTGAGCACATCACCCTCCTGTTGCGTACAGAGATCCCCTGTTTTGTTCACATGCAAACTTTGGTGGATTGTGAAGGAGAAACTCAATCTCCCATGGCTCAGAGATCAGGCAGTTAGAAAGGACAGAACATTTAGTCCCACACACCACTGTCAGGCCACACAAAATTAATCATCCTAGAAAGAGAATATGCTGTTCCATTTAGTGAAACATTACCACGGAGGTGCCACAACCCCTATTAATATGCAACAATCACTTTCCCACCAATAAGAAAGGAGAATGACGGCTGCTCCTTACCTTTTTCACTCAAAAGCTAAAAAGAGAAGAGAAAGCCTAAGCCTAGAGATTCTGGGAAGGAAATACCTAAAAAGGCTTTTTACCACCTTGAGAATATAGTTGTTTTCTAGTTTGTTTCTTTGCAAAAGACCCACCTAAAGAGATAGATGGCCAGTATTAGCATAAAACCAAGCTCTGTGAGAGTGCAGCTAATGCTGATGTGATTTAGTTAACATTTGTTCTTCAATAACAAAAACATAGTTTTAAAAGGCACATATGTTCTCAAGGGGGACCCCAGAGTCATCTTCTCACTCAAGCAGAGCTGAGGTGTTGGGGAGGGACGCAAGGGGAGGCAGAGCGTGGACGGCCAGGGCAAAGAAGGCAGGTGGGCAAGTGAGATGACACGTTGGCCTCGCAGGTGACATCCAGGACTAGACGAGGTAATGCATTAAGAGCTAAGCGCATCCCATTCATGAAATTGTAATATCACTGACGTGTATCTGTGTATGTACTGTATCTGTGCTCTATACGTAAAAAGAATGAGTTTTGTTCATCCTCTCCCATAGAACCATTTTCGCCCTCTTGGGATTAATACCATCCCCACTGAGAGTGCATACACTAGGGAGTGCAACTTACTTATGCAATTTCTTCATGTATGAGACCACAGAGTATTATAGCTAAGAGTCCAGCACAAGGCACGGTGCCCTTCCTCCCATCAAATGCTCACATCTAATCTTCAGCACCTATGAGTATGTGACCTTACATGGCAAAAGGACTTGGCAGATGTGACTAAGGAATGTGAGATGATGATATTATCCTGGATTATCCAGGTGGACCCAGTGTGATCACAAGGGTCTTCATGAGAGGGAGGCAGAAGGGTTGGAGTAGGAAAAGGTGTGATTATGGGAGCAGATGTCACAAAGAGAGAGAGGCTTAAAGATGCTACACTGCTGGACTGGAAGCTGGAGAATGGAGCCACAAGCCAAGGAATGTAGGTGACCTCTGGATACCAGAGAAAAGAAGGAAATAGATTCTCCCCTACAGCTTCTAGAAGCTGACCCATTTTTGACCTACAGGCTTCAGAACTGTAATATATTTGTGCTGGGGCATTTGGGATAATTCATTACAGCAATCGGAAATGGAACCATATCCTCTCAAGCATTGGACTCTAACAGACCCAAGCATAGGTTTTGGCTCTGCCACTCACTAGCTGTACAACCTTGGCAAGGAAGTTTATTCTGAGTCTCATCTGTAAAACTGGAATAATAGTATGAACTTTGTAGGGGAGCTCTAAAAACAGCAGCTGGCACAAGATAAAAGTGCTGAAATAAAGGAGTCCGGGCAAAACTAAAAGTAGAGGCTATTGGGATGGGTGCAGTGGCTCACGCCTAAAATCCCAGCACTCTGGGAGGCTGAGGTGGGAGGATTGCTTGAGTCCAGGAGTTTGAGTTCAGCCTGGGCAACATAGAGACCCCATCTCTATTTAAAAAAAAAAAAAAAGTAGAGGCTATTTTCATACTTATTCTTTACCATTGGCTTTCCCTGACATATCACCTGACCAGATTTTCCCACCTGCATATTATTTATGCCTAAAACTTCATAGATCTTTGGAGAAATAAAAATGCCTGATTTTTGGCCTTCTTTGATTCCTTTCTAGCAAATTTATGACATTAGTTCTCAGGCCTCACTGCTAACGTATGGCAGAGACTAAGACATGCCTTCCCTGCCAGGACACGTCATTTTCCAGAAACAGAAGGAATGTTTGACCTGGATAAAAGGTTTCTAAAATTAGTATTTTCCTTTTTTGCTCCTAGTCATTGTTCCTAAAAAGAATAGACTAATTTTGCTTTTCTTAAAAAAAAGATGTAAGTGGAATCATTTTATTGGATTGAAAATTCTAACTTGAGAAAAGTGCTCCTGCCAATAACATAATGAGTGAGAAGAGAAGCATTTGCCAATATCAATGCCTAGTCAAAGTGGAATGGGAGACCTGATGCCAAAAAGCATAGCTCCCTGATGTAGTAAAAAATATAGGCAACAGCACTTGTCTGGAAGGGAGCAAATACATGTGTTCTCCTAGTGTCCACTATTTCCCTCCAATTGATCTTATTTTTTATCTGTTTCCAAACTCAAGTAAAAGTCCCTGAGAGCAGGACGCTTGCCATCCTTTCTTGTTATGAGGGTCCCAGAGCTCAGCACAAGGCCTGAGATACACTAAAGACTTAGAAATGGTTGATCAATGAACAGTGGCATATTAAGCCAGTGGTAGCAGAGGAATAAAATAATAAGGCCGAAGGGCAAGTTCCCAGACTCTGCTGCACTCAGCTTCAAGGAATGCAACCCTGGATAAGTAAATAGCACTTTTAATTTGAGCAAGAAGTCTGGAGGTGGCAGTTCTAAATTTGGTACAGCAGTCTGACAGCCTCATCAAAACACCAAGTACATGAGCCAATTGTGTCACTCCTGCTCACAAGATGGCTGTCACAGAACCAAACATCACATCTCTACATCATGGGATCCAAAAGCAGGAGAGGAAAGGCCAAACTTTGCCACCATTTTTTTTTCTCCTTGTATTATGCGAGGAAGGAGGATCCTTCCCTGAAGCCTCTGCCACCATGTAGGCATCCTCTTATTGGCCAGAGCTACATCACATGGCCCATACCAGCTGCATGGGATACTGGGAATCAAGCATCTCTTTGAGATGCAAGTGAATAATAATAATACATGGTTGGGGCTGGAGACGATTGGCTATTGGGCAGGCCACAAACAGTGTCTGCCAGAGGTGATTCCAAAGAATTATTAGAATTGAGCAAAGGAAAGTAGTTCATATCCTCACTCTGGCCTTTCAAAAGACATTAAGGAGATCTAACTCACATCCTAAACACCACTTTTCTCTCTCCTCACATTGCTATATGTCTCTCACTCAAGAGGCTCCCTATCCTCAACTCTCCACCTTGAAACTCTGTGAGACACCCCATCCTCATGAGGTAGGGGAATAGGGTCTGGAGGCGGGGAAGCTAAGGACTTCCTAGAACTAAATCAAGCAGAAAACCCACAACTTTCTATGCTCAACTATGGATGTAACTGCACTTCAGCTATGGCAGGAAATATCCTCTTCATTTGCATAGGGTGTACACCAAGTAAATAACTTTGTAACTTCCCTTCATCCTCTTCATTTACATAGGGCATACACCAAGTAACCAATGGGAAACCACTAGAGGGTATTTAAACCCCAGAAATTTCTGTAACCAGCACTCTTGAGCCACTTGCTCAAACCTGCTCCCACTCTGTGGAGTGTACTTTCATTTCTATAAATCTGTGCTTTCATTGCTTTGTGCATTTTGTCCAATTTTTTTGTTCAAAACACCAAGAACCTGGACAACTCTCCACTGGTAACACTCACAGGCACTCTCCTTTCTTCTTTCCCTCCATTGCACTGTATCACCACTGAGTCTAAAGTAATAACAGAGAGTTCTGAACACTGGCTCTCCCAGATGGCCCAACAGCTCCTTGTGCCTCTGTCTTCCTTGGGAGTGAGCAAGAGCCCTGGGGAAATCTCATCCTTCTCAAACTCAGTGCTTTTTCTCACCAAAAAGTCTAGTGGAGAATTCCTGTTAGATAAAATTATCTTCCCTATTGCATTATTGTGGTTGATAGTCTCCAAAGATGCACACATACAACCCACCACGCAATAACCCATGCTTCCTGGTATTCACACCCCTGTGTAGTCCCCTCTGGGCTGGTCCTATATAACCAACAGTATGTAGTAGAAGGGATGACACAGGACTTTCAAGAAGCCTTTTAAGAAGACTCGGAGCTTCTGCCTTGTCTCTTGCAACACTAGCTCTGAGAAAGGCTAGACACAATATCAGAAGTTCTACCCTGAGATTGCCATGCTGTGAGAGAGCCCAAGCTAGTCACATGAAGAAGCCATGAGGCAAGAGAGAGGTACCCAGCCAGTTCCCAAATATTCCAGCCATCCCAGTCCAGGAACCAGACCTGTGATTAAAGAAGACATCATGGGCATTTCAGCTAATAGATGCCGTATGAGGAAGGACCATAGGAACCAGCCCATAGCCAGAACTAAAGCTCCAGACATATGTCCCTGTGTGAGCCGTCCCAGCCATCTTCATCCTTTCAAGGCACCCCAGCTGTGGCTCCAGACATCATAGAGCAGAAATAAGCTGATCCTATCCTCTCTCTGCCTGAATTCTTTTTTTTTTTTTTTGAGACAGAGTCTCACTCTGTCACCCAGGCTGGAGTGCAGTGGCACGATCTTGGCTTGCTGCAACCTCCACGTCCCAGATCAAGTGATTCTCCTGCCTCAGCCTCTTGTATAGCTGGGATTACAGGCACGTGCCACCATGTCTGGCTAATTTTTGTATTTTTAGTACAGACTGGTTTTCACCATGTTGGCCAGGCTGGTCTGGAACTCCTTGACTTCAGGTGATCTGCCCATCTCAGCCTCCCAAAGTGCTAGAATTACAGGTATGAGCCACTGCACCTGGCATCTGCCTGAATTCTTTTTTTTTTTTTTTTTTTTGAGATGGAGTCTCGCGCTGTCCACCAGGCTGGAGTGCAGTGGCATGATCTTGGCTCACTGCAACCTCTGCCTTCCAGCTTCAAGTGATTCTCCTGCCTCAGCCTCCCAAGTAGCTGGGATTACAGGTGCCCGCCACCACACCCAGCTAATCTTCTGTATTTTTAGTACAGACGGGGTTCCACTATGTTGGGCAGGCTGGTCTCAAACTCCTGACCTCGTGATCCACCCACCTTGGCCTCCCAAAGTGCTGGGATTACAGGCATGAGCCACCGCACCCGGCCCTGAATTCTTAATGCATGGAATCATGACCTAATAAAATGGTGGTTAAGTCAATCATTTTGGGGATGCTTGTTACACAGCCATAGATAACTGAAATAACTATTAGTATGCATTTTAATTCTTTGTATTTTATTTTTACATGCATATATACTTACATACATACCAATTAACATATATGAATAAATGCAATCATATTTTCTGTTATTGTTGTTTTGGTGAAACCTGTCTTTTTCTTTTTCTTATTGGCTTCTTCCTCATCTCACATCTTCCCTACCCCCTCCAAGGACACCCAAGCTAACAACCTAATATTTCTTCTTTCATATTTTTCTCTTTGTTCTATACTTTGTAAAAGACAAATCTGAGACACAATAAAATTTCAAAGAGTGTATCTGAATAGAGGCAATTCATTAATTTGAGAAAAGAAAACCAAAAGGGAATTAGTGTTTTGATGACAAAGCATTACATGCCAGAATTAAGGGAAAATGCAGAGGCATAATATAAAATGTGTTTGATGTGTTACAATTACACAGTTGCCTTATTTGATCATCTCATTGGAAGGTACCCAGTTATATAATTTTAAGTTTGTTGACTGTTTCTGATTGGTTGAGCTCAAGTTCTGTTTTTCTTTAGCATAGGCATTTACAAGAAACAGTTCGAGTTGTTTTGCTTATGTCTGCAAATCAAGCAAGGTTTAGCTCATTTATGTGGTCTAACAGGCTTTGTCCGCTCAGGGATTCTTCAGGTCTGGTCTTTATTTTAATTTACTTTAACTAGCCCCATACAGACATTTCCCAGCACATCCATTAATAGTGTTTGTTTTTTTTTAATTGTAATAATCTTCCCCATCTCAACTCCAAATTCAACTGGTATAACTTTAATTCATTTTTTTTAAAGCTACAATGTACTTCAAGGTATAGACATACTATAATTCATTCAGCCATTATGCTAATTTTGGGCATTCAGTTTTTTTCTTATTTTTCTCTGACAATTTTTACCTGGGCGTAAGTTTTTTGTTTTGTTTTGTTTTTTTTTTTTTTTTGAGATGAGGTCTTGCTCTGTCACCCAGCTGGAGTGCAATGGCATGATCATCACTCACTGCAGCCTTGACCTCCAGGGCTCAAGGAATCCTCTTGCCTCAGCCTCCTGTGTAGCTGGGATCACAGGCACACACCACCACACCTGGCTAATTTTTTAGTTTTTTTGTAAAGATGAGGTCTCCCTTTGTTATCCAGGCTGGTCTCAAACTCCTGGGCTCAAGTGACTGTCCCTCCTTGGCCTCCCACATTGCTGGGATTAGAGGCACGAGTCACAGCACTCCTCTGGCATAAGTATTTTTAAACTCGTAATGTTTATCCAATATTAAAAGTTATTTGGAATACACTTAGAAAATTTCTTTTTTTCTTTTTTTTTTTGAGACAGAGTCTCCTTCCGCTGCCCAAGCTGGAGTGCAGTGGTATGATCTCAGCTCACTGCAACCTCCGCCTCCTGGGTTCAAGCGATTGTCATGCCTCAGCCTCCCTAGTAGCTGAGATTACAGGCGCGTGCCACCGCATCTGGCTAATTTTTGTATTTTTAGTAGAGATGGGGTTGCACTGTGTTGGCCAGGCTGGTCTCAAACTCCTGACCTCAGGTGATCTGCCCACCTTGGCCTCCCAAAGTGCTGGGATTATAGGCATGAGCCACCGCGCCCGGCCGGAAAATTTCTTCTTCACATTTTTCAAAAATAAAACATTGGCATTTCTGTTTTAAATTTTTAAGGACTTTTTTGTACTTACCATGACAGATACTCTGGACACAACTTACTGTTCCATGACTCATACAGTCTGATTTTAACTGTCATGCAACTGCTGTTGAGTAATATGCAACTTTCTCTTTGCCTCTTTGGATGGAGAAGAAAACAAGGCAGCACAGTTGGGCTCCAAAGATAAAAACATGGGCAGGGTTTCAAGATCACTCATCTCTGTCTTGGAGGATAGACCAAGAGAGATAGGACAGACCAAGAGACAACATGAAAAAAACATGAAAAGAGAAACAGCATTGAGAAATAACAACAGCTGCACTCAATTCTTTTCCTCAAGGTGCATTTTAACCAGATCTTGAAATAGAATAAACACACCTACAATTCTAATCCTAGAGTGGACATTTTTTTAAAATCAGCTTTTCATATCCTTTTACCACACCAAAAAGAACTTACCAACAATTTTCATTTAACAAAAATAAAAATAATCAGCGAGATCAAAGAAATGGTAAGGTGCGCTTCAAGTTTCTGGAAGTTTATCAATAAAAGCAGCATACTGTATTAGTGGGTAGGATCCATTATATGCAAAGCATACCCCAAAGAGCAAATGTTTCTGGGAACAAGAACTGAAAAATGTAAGCAGAGCCTGCCTCCTTGTGTGGGTGCAATAGCAGTGCCCAATAGCAGTGACTCGCAGAGTTGTCCCTGGGCCAGCAGCATCACATCACCTGGGTACCGGTTAGATGTGCAGTTTCTGTAGCCGGAGCCCAGACCTCCTGAGTCAGAAACACCCCCTTCCCTGGGGGTGGGGCCCAGCTATCTGTTCCCACAACCCCTCCCGGGTATTCTTGCACTAGCTCAAGTCTGAGGACCATGTAAGAACTGGCTCAAGGCTCTGAATGAAATGGAGTTTGCAGGGAACTGGAAAGCGTCCTTGTTTATAGGGCTCCACACAGCTTCAAGGATGGCTGCCCTGGGAAACCCTGAGCCAATAATAAGATATTTCAATAACAGCCTGATTTTAGGACTTTTAAATGAAATTTCCCAATTCAAAAAAATATAAACACTGTGTTGGCCAAACCATCAGCAGACCTCATAGTTGGCAACCTCCGATAGTGTGAGGTTTATTTTTTTCCCTACCTCAAATCCCTCTAAAAAGATGGCTATAAAAAAAATCATCGTCATCATCATCATCATCATCATCATCATCATCAAGTTATCATAGCTTCAAGCAATGAAACATTGAAATCCTGTAACCAATTTCAGCTGTGCTTGCAGATTTGTGGGCTCTCCAGGCATCCTGCCCGTCACAATGTGCATCCCATCTGTGTTTTCCACAGAGAGGGACAGTGGTGGGATGTTACCAGTGGCTGGCCCCCTTTGCAGCTTTCTGTCACGTAGTCTTAAGCCAGTAAGTTGGCTATGTGGTTAATTCATGAGTCCTCTTAAAAATGCCTTCTGAGAGTTACATCAGCTCCAGGTGATATAAAAAGAAAAGCTGGATTTTCTGAATTTGCCAAGCAGAGGCTCAGACTCTGCAACATGGAGATGTCCCTAAGGCCATGACACTCTCAGCAAGCAGGGCCCACCTGGCCTATCAGCCCCTCCATTCAAAGCTGATGCTCATTGGTTAGAACCTGCCTCGCTGCTGGGCCAGCCCTAGGCAAATTGGGAAATAGGTCAAGTGTTCAGTCCACTTTGAATCCCACCTCTCATTTCTAGTTCCCTACTTTCATTTTTTCTTTTCATTATTTCTTCATTTCTTAATGGATGGGGTAGGTGCATACACATAGCAAACATTCTGAGCGATATACATAATAAGATAAGGCAGAGAAAAAATCCCCACCCTAACTCTGATGGCTCCCCAAGCCCCATCCCAAATTTCCTTCCTTAGAAGTAAATACTTTACAGTTTCTTATATCCAGAGGTATCCCAGGCATGTCTATTTATAAGTTGTCTCCTCAACCTCCCGACACCATTTTTTAAAAACAAATGGAAACATACTGTACGTGCTGTTGGGCACAGCTTTTTCTTTCCTTACTAAAATTCCTTGGGGAATTTTAATGCCTGTGGAATATTTCATTGTAGGGACATATGATTATTTATTTTTTTAAACTTTTATCTAGGTTCAGATTACATGTGCAGGTTTGTTATAAGGTAAACTCATGTCATGGGGGTTTGTTGTACAGATTATTTTTTCACCCGGGTACTAAGCCTAGTACCCACTAGTTATTTTTTCTGATCGACTTCCTCCTCCCACCCTCAAGTAGGCTCAGTGCCTGTCATTCCCCTCTTTGTGTCCCTGTGTCCTCAAGGACATATGATAATTTATTTAACCAGGTTTCTACTAATAAGCGTTTAGGTCATTTCCAGTTTTTTGCCACAACTACAGTAGTCCAGCAAATAGTTCCATACGTAAGCCTTTGTACCCCTATGCAATTTTATTTCTAGGATAACATTTTAGAAGTGGAAGTTAGACTTACAGTGTTTGTGAAATTTTAAGTATTAATAGATATTACTGAGCTATTTTCCAAAGAAGTGGCCAAATTACACTCCCACCGACGATCTATATGGCTGTTCTTTTTTTTTTTTTTTTTTTTTTGGGGGAGACAGAGTCTCACTCTGAACTCTGTTGCCCAGGTTAGAGTGCAGTGGCACAATCTCGGCTCACTGCAACCTCTGCCTCCCAGGTTCAAATGATTCTCCTGCCACCGCCTCCCAAGTAGCTGAGATTACAGGCGCCCGCCACTACGCCCAGCTATTTTTTGGTGTTTTGTTTTGTTTTGTTTTTTAGCAGAGACAGTGTTTCACCATGTTGGCCAGGCTGGTCTTGAACTCCTTACCTCATGATTTGCCCACCTCGGCCTCCCAAAGTGCTAGGATTACAGGCGTTAAGCCACCGTACCCAGCCACAGCTGCTCTTTTTTTATACGCTTTCCACTGGGGTCATCAATTGTCTCCTTTTTAACCAATTTGGCAAGGGAAAGCCAAGTGTCATAATTTTATTGTGCTTTTATTTTACTATTTATGAGGCCAAACATCTTTTCTTCTGCTTAAAAGCTGGCTGCATGTCTTTTCCTGTGAACTCTTCACTCCTATTTGTTGTCTGTTTCCTACCCCCACCCCTTGGTGCTGTGTTGCTGTTTATTTATCTAATTCTTCTTTTTACAAATTGAGGTACAATTCACCTACCATAAAATTCACCTTTTAGAGTGACAATTCCGTGATTTTAAGGATATTTGCACCATGTGTGCAATCGTTCCACGTCTAATTCCAGAACATCGTCATTACTCCAAAACAAAACTCCCTACCCTTTAGCGCTGAGTTTTTTCCCTATTCCCAGCCACTGGCAACCACTAATCTGTTTTCTGCCTCTATGGATTTGCCTATTCTAGACACTTTATATAAATGGAATCATACAATATTTTGCTTTTTGTGTCTGGCGTCTTTCACTTAGTACCATGCTTCCAAGTATAAAGCATGATATAACATGGATCGGTGCTTTGTTTCTTCTTATGGCTGATTAATACTCTATTATATGCAAATGCTAGATTTCCTTTTTCCAATTGATGGATATTTGGGTTGTTTCCACTTTTCAGCTATTATGAAAATGCTGCTATGGACATTTGTGTACAAGTTTTTGTGTGGCCATATGTTTTCATTTTCTTGCTTACCTAGGAATGGAATTGCTGGGTCTTAGGGTAACTCCATGTTTAACTTTTCCAGGAACTGTTAAACTGCTTTCCAAAGCAGCTGCACCATGTCACATTCCTACCAGCAATGCATGAGCATTCCGATTTTTTCACATCTTCCCTACCACTGGTTATTGTCTCTCTGATTATGGCCATCCTCGTGGGTGTGAAGACGTATCATGCTGTGGCTTTGACTGCACTTCCCTAATGAGATGACATTAGGCATCTTTTTATGAGTTCCTTGGCCATTAGTATATCTGCTCCAAAGAAAACACTATCATCCTGATTTGGCTGCTTTGCTGCACCCTGAGCCTCTTGTCTCTGTTTCCTGGCTAATTTTTCCAGAGTCTCAAAGTAATAATAGTCACCCTTTGGCAATCTTCTATGTGTCCTGAACTCAACCTGCCCCACAACCGTATCTCCACAGCTGACCCGTGGTGTCCTAACAACTGAAGCCACTGATAGAATAATAGGCCACCTCCCCTGGTAAGCTGCTTACCACTTAAAAGGTGCTTGAGACACTCATTGCTGCTGGAAATGTGAATCTGTAGAGCCTTTTTAAGAAAATAATATGGCAGTGTCTGTTTTTCAAAACTAAATGCATATTGATTTGAGGGTAACACTTCTACATCTGTGCCTCTATTCTATAGAAATATAGCACCAGTTTAGGATTTTTGAACACGAAAGTTTATTCCACTATAGTGGAAATGGAAAAAACAATGTGGAAACTACCAGGATATTCATTGATTAGGCAATGGTTTAAATATCTTTTGGTATATCCATACTGAGGAATATTATGCAGCTATTTTAGAAGATAAGATAGCTTTGGAGCTATTGACTGTGAAGACCAACTATAATGTACAAAAGTCATCAGAAAATATGTCTAATGTGATCCAATTTCTATAAAAACAACAAGGACAGATACAGTCCCTGTATATGTGTATCTGGGATGCTTATACGTGTTTGTGTGAGTATAAACAAAGTTCAATATGCCACATCAGGTTGCAGATGTTATTTATCTGGCAATGAGGGTGGAGGATAGAGACAGGAAAAACAAAGGGTTCAGAGAGATTAATTATTTTGGTTGTAAACACGGGTTAAATGTACATTATTATCAGATTTATAAAAAAAATCAAATGAAACATCTGATTTGTCTTTAAATGAAAATATATGCTCATGTTGGAGCAAAGGCTGGTTTTGCATTTGAATGAGCTTTGCATATTCCAGAGTTTTGTAGCACATGAATGACAGGAAATATATGATTAAAGAGAAGAGTGGAAATCTTGAGTGTCACTGTCAGTCTTGCCCCACAGTATCTGATCATCACTGTTGCTTTTAGAGGATGTTTTCTGAAGAGCATGGGGGTAGTAGTACCTTTGCCTACATTCCTTTGGAATCCAGCATTTCCATCACTAAATGTCCAGACATGTTGTATAAAGCTGATAGTCAAGAATTCTACCATGATGTTCCAAAATCCCATCCTTTTCTTTTATTTATGCTAGAATTTCTTGGCAAAGACATTCTGGCTTTTTAATGTACAGATGAAAAGCATGAAATGCGATCATTCAGTGAAAGTTTCAAATCTAATCTAACGTCTTCCTCCAAGTCATAAGTATCTGCCACGTGTACCCTGACTTTACGACCTTTAAAACAACAAATGCATTTGCACAACATAGAAAGCCGCAGTTGTTTGAAGTGTCATTTGACTCTTGCAGCATGACCATTGAAGGGTCATTTTTGCATAATTTTTTGAGGTCTTCATAAAGTTTTGAGTTTTCCCAAAGGCCTAACATAATCTTTTGATATTCTAATATAACTCTTTTGAAGAACTTACTGTGTTGTGTTGTCCACTTTTCCTTCTTCGGTGATCTGTGTTAACTTTGCCAGATCCTTGTCCAACCACGGTCATGTGTGTGATCTGAGCAGCTCACCAATGTTACAAGACTCTATAAACCCCTGCATCTTTTGCAAGATGTACAATTTCCCTTTGCAATTAGTGTGTATATGTCCACTTTATCCTGAATCCTGACAGATCAGGATATTGATGCATAGGACGGTGTTGCTTGCATAGGAAGAGATGATTCGGCGGTGAATAATGTTCATACATGGACACTTTGTAAATAAAATTATAATGATAGTTCCTGCTTTCCCCTTTAAACTGAAAGCTTGGAGGATTTGGATAATGTATTGTCAGAAAAAGAAATTTCATCCAGCACAACATTAGTCTCTTCTCAGAGACTCAGTTTCCCAACCTGTTCATTGGTGTGCCCTACTACAGTTACAATCATGGTCCTTTGTGGAGTGTTTGCTAGGCTGTGCCCCAAGCTCTGTGCTTGCTGCTTCACCCATGTTTCCTGGCTTAATCCTAGTGTCTAGCACTATGGGAACTGGAATCCAGCTGTAAGCAGAGCAGACCAAGTCCGGGTCCACTTGGGGCTTACAGGTCGTGGAGAGGAAACAAGTGAAGAAGAAATTAATGGGATCATTTCAGAGAGTGATGAATC
Source organism: Homo sapiens (assembly GCF_000001405.40). Classification (NCBI taxonomy): domain Eukaryota; kingdom Metazoa; phylum Chordata; class Mammalia; order Primates; family Hominidae; genus Homo; species Homo sapiens. Next base: position 54,038,315 of record NC_000020.11, on the reverse strand, counting down.
CTCTGTGGAGTCTAGAGAATAAACAGGAGTAAGCAGGAGGGGTTACTTCAGATGGAGGAGTCAGGGAAGGCCTGACATAACCTAAGTCTTGAATGATAAGAAGGTAACCATAGGAAGATCTTAGCGAAAATATTTCCAGATTGAAAGAATAACTAGTGGTGAGGGCTGCAGGTGGAAACATGTTGGTATGTTGAGAGGTGTGAGGAAAAACATAGTACGAGCTGAAGTTCTGGAGGGTGTGGCCCATAGTAGAGAGTTTGGATTTTGTTTTAATTTTGTGAGGCCCTTCTTTGGATGGTTTTATGCAAATGAATGACATAACCTAATTTTTATTTAAAACCAAAAATATATAGATATCAATGTTTCCCAGATGTGAGAAAACAGGGTTTTTTTCCCCCTCTTGTACATAGTTTTTTCTTGGGTATCCACTAATTCTATTAACTAAACTTTGTCTACTTTGTTCATCTTCCCTCCCTTCTATTTCTTCTTTCTCTTCTGTTCCTGCTTTGGTTACCACATGTTGTTGGGAGTTTGAACTTTGGAATCAGGCAAATGTGGGTTCAAATACTAAATCTACCAGTCATTAGCTGGACAACATTAGAAAACTGACTTGACTTTTCAGAGCCTCAGTTTCACGACCTGTAAAATGGGAGTGATGATAGTACCTAACTTGTAGATTTGCTGTTATACTTAAATAAAATGTTTCTTGTTATAGACATTTATCCAAATAAATAAATAATAAATAAACAAATGTCATACATAAATAAAATGCCTCTTGTTACACACATTTATCCTAATGCTGGGAAACAGTCAATGAATGTTAGCTATTGTTTTTACAGCTTGATGTCGTTAGGCTTTTTGTCCCCACCCAAATCTCATCTGGAATTTAATCCCCATAATCCCCACGTGTCAAGGGAGAGACCAGGTGGAGGTGATTGGATCATGGGGACAGTTTCCTCCATGCTGTTCTCATAAAAGTAAGTGAGTTCTCACAAGACCTGATGGTTTCATAAGGAGCTCTTCCCTGTTCATTTGGCACTTCTTTCTGCTGCCTTGTGAAGAAAGGTCCTTGCTCCCCCTTTGACTTCCACCATGATTGTAAGTTTCCTGAGGCCTTCCCTGCCATGCTGAACTGTGAGTCAATTAAACCTCTTTCCTTTATAAATCACCCAGTCTTGGGCAGCTCTTTATAGCAGTATGGAAATAGACTAATACACAGCTGTAGCAAGTGAAAGTTTTAGCTTTGGCACATGAAAAAAAAAAGATAATTCTTCCTCAGAAGTTTTGAATATTGTAATACAAACGTGTGTGTGTGCATGTATGTTTAAATATATAATTAGAACTCTGATGAAGCAGCTTGTTTTGACGAGAATATTTGGTACTTTGAAAATGATAAACATTTCTGAAACTTGCCTGGCCCAGATACTTATGTTTCTTAAGATAAATTGATTTATATCACTACTGTTTTTAAAAGTCTTTCTAGAAAACTCAAGTTTGTAAATTAAACTATTGGAATAATTCCTTTCCTTATGGCTTACATTTAAAAATACAAAATGGTAATTATATTAATAACATATTAGTATAACAAAAATAACTACTGTTTACCGAATACCAATCATCTACCAGCCTGTGGTAAGCACTGTATGGGCAATATTTCATTTAATCCTCAGAATTACCCTCTGAAGGAGGCACTGTTATTTTCATGCCAATTTGTAAGAAAACTGAGGCACAGAGACAGGAAATAACTTACCCGGGTTATCCATTTAAAGAGTGAGCAGTTAAGAGTCAAAGCCAGGTTCCTGTGATCCACAATCCAAGTTCTTAACAATTACACGAAGATGGCACTGGAAATAAGGTTTTAATCACATATACAGATAAAATGACTTTCTTTAAAAAAACATGCAGCACAAAATATTTTTCTGCACTAAGAAAATCAAAATTTTCAACTCTACCTTCTAAATATTTTGGAGCTGCTACTGTCATTCTTGATTTCTTTTTAATTTTCCTTAAATTCTTTGACTTTTTTAAAAATGAAAAGTAACATCTCTTTGGTATGTCATCTTTTTGCATTTTTTTAACTTTTATTTTAAGTTCAGGGGTACACGGGCAGGTTTGTTATATAGGTAAATTTGTGTCATGGGGGTTTGTTGTCACCCAGGTATCAAGCCTGGGTGATGAAATAGGTATTATTAATACCTGGGTGATGAAATAATATCTATTAATTATTTTTCCTGATCCTCTCCCTCCTCCCACCTTCCACCCTCCAATAGGCCCCAGTGTGTGTTGTTCCCCCTGTGTGGCCATGTGTTCTCATCATTTAGCTCCCATTTATAAGTGAGAACATGTAGTATTTGATTTTCTTTTTCGGCAATACTTTGCTAAGGATAATGGCCTTCAGCTCCATTCATGTTCCTGCAAAGGACATGATCTCGTTCTTTTTATGGCTGCATAGTATTCCATGGTGTATATGTACCACATTTTCTTTATCCAGGCTATCATTGGTGGGTATTTAGGTTGATTCCATGTTTTTGCTATTGTGAATAGTGCTGCAATGAACATACACATGCATGTATCTTTATAAAAGAATGATTTCTATTTTTCGGGTATGTACCCAGTAATGGAATTGCTGGGTGGAATGGTATTTCTATCTTTAGGTCTTTGAGGAATTGCCACACTGTCTTCCACAATGGTTGAACTAATTTACACTCCCACCAACAGTGTATAAGCATTCCTTTCTCTCCACTACCTCACCAGCATCTTATTTTTTGACTTTTTAATAATATCATTCTGACTGGTATTAGATGGTATCTCATTGTGGTTTTTGATTTGCATTTCTCTGATGATTAGTAATATTGAGCTTTTTTTCATATGCTTGTTGACTACCTGTATGTCTTCTTTTTTTTTTTTTTTTTTTTGAGACGGAGTCTCACTCTGTCGCCCAGGCTGGAGTGCAGTGATGTGGTCTCGGCTCAGTGCAAGCTCTGTCTCCCGGGTTCACACCATTCTCCTGCCTCAGCCTCTCCAAGTAGCTGGGACTACAGGCGCCTGCCACCACACCCGGCTAATTTTTTGTATTTTTAGTAGAGACGGGGTTTCACCGTGTTCTCGATCTCCTGACCTCATGATCCGCCCTCCTCGGCCTTCCAAAGTGCTGGGATTACAAGCGTGAGCCACCAAGCCCGGCCGATTTTTGTATATGTTGTAAGGAAGGGGTCCAGCTTTAATCTTCTGTGTACAGCTAGCCGGTTATCCCAGCACTTTTTATTGAATAGGAAATCTTTTCCCCATTGCATGTTTTTGTCAGGTTTGTCAAAGATTAGATAGTTGTAGGTGTGTGGTCTTATTTCCGGGTTCTCTATTCTGTTCCATTGGTCTATGTGTCTGTTTTTGTACCAGTAGTATGCTGTTTTGGTTACTGTAGCCTTGTAGTATAGTTTGAAGTCAGGTAGCATGATGCCTTCAGCTTTATGCTTTTTGCTTAGGATTGCCTTAGCAATTCAGGCTCTTTTCTGGGTTCTATATGAATTTTAAAATAGTTTTCTCTGGTTCTGTGAAGAATCTCAACAGTAGTTTAATAGGTATAGCATTGAATCTATAAATTGCTCTGGGCAATATGGCCATTTTAATGATATTGATTCTTCCTATCAATGAACATGGAATGTTTTTCCATTTGTTTGTGTCATCTCTAATTTCTTTGAGCGCTGGTTCATTATTCTCCTTGTAGAGATCTTTCACCTCCCTAATTAGCTGTTTTCCTAGGTATTTTACTCTTTTTGTGGCGATTGTGAGTGGGAGTGCATTCCTGGTTTGGCTCCTGGCTTGACTGTTGTTGGTGCATGGAAATGCCAGTAATTTTTGCACATTTATTTTGTATCCTGAGACTTTGCTGAAGTTGTTTATCAGCTTAAGAAGCTTTGGGGCTGAGACTATGGGGTTTTCTAGATATAATGTCATGTAATCTGCAAACAAGGATAGTTTGACTTCCTCTCTTCCTATTTGGATGCGCTTTATTTATTTCTCTTGCCCGATTGCCCTGGCCAAGACTTCCAATACTATGTTGAATAGGAGTGGTGAGAGAGATCATCCTTGTCTTATGCCAGTCTTCAAAGAAAATGCTTCCAGCTTTTGCCCATTCAGTATGATCTTAGCTGTGGGTTTGTCATACATGGCTCTTATTATTTTGAGGTATGTTCCTTCAATACCTAGTTTATTGAGAGTTTTTAACATAAATGGATGTCTAATTTTATTGAAAGCCTTTTCTGCATCTGTTGAGATAATCATGTAGTTTTTGTCTTTAGTTCTGTTTATGTGATGAGTCACATTTATTGATTTGTATATGTTGAACCAACTTGCATTCTACTTGATCATGGTGGATAAGCTTTTTGGTGTGCTGCTGGATTCAGTTTGCCAGTATTTTATTGAGGATTTTTGCATTGAAGTTCATCAAGGATATTGGCCTGAAGCTTTTCTTGTTGTATATCTGCCAGGTTTTGATATCAGGATGATGCTGGCCTCATCAAATGAGTTAGGAAGGACTCCCTCCTACTCAACTTTTTGGAATAATTTCAGTAGGAACTGTACCAGCTCTTCTTTGTACAACTGGTAGAACTTACCTGTGAATCCATCTAGTACTGGGTTTTTTTATGGTTGGTAGTCTATGTATTACTTCCTCAATTTTAGGGCTCATTATTGGTCTGTTCAGGGATTCAATTTCTTCCTGGTACAGTCTTAGAAGGGTGTATATGTCCAGAAGTTTATCCACTTCTTCTAGATTTTCTAGTTTATGTGCATAGAGATGTTCATAATATTCTCTGATGGTTGTTTGTACTTCTGTGGGGTCAGTGGTAATATCCCCCTTGTCGTTTCTGATTGTGTTTATTTGAATCTTTTCTATTTTCTTGTTTATTACTCTAGCTAATGGTCTATTTTATTAATTTGTTCAAAAAAAAAACAGCTCCTGAATTCACTGATCTTTTGAATGGTTTTTCATGTCTCAATCTCCTTCAGTTCAGCTCTAATTTTGGTTATTTCTTGTCTTCTGCTAGCTTTCAGGTTTTTCTGCTCTCAGTTCTCTAGTTCCTGTAGTTGTGAGGTTAGATTGTTAACGTGAGCTCTTTCTAACTTTTTGATGTGGGATTTAGTGCTATAAATTTCCCTCTTAACACTGCCTTAGCTGTGTCCCAAAGATTCTGGTATGTTGTATCTTTGTTCTCATTAGTTCAAAAAACTTCTTGATTTCTGCCTTAATTTTATTATTTACCCAAAAGTCATTCAGGAGCAGGTCATTCAATTACCATGTAATTGTATGGTTTCAAGTAGGACAGTCCTGTAGATATCTATCAGGGCCATTTGATTTAGTGCTGAGTTAGATCTTGAATATCTTTGTTAATTTCCTGTCTCAATGATCTGTCTAATATTGTCATGGGGTATTAAAGTCTCCCACTACTATTGTGTGGGAGTCTAAGTCTGTTTGAAGGTCTCCATAAACTTGCTTTATGAATCTGGGTGTTCCTGTGTTTGGTGCATATATACTTAGGATAGTTAGATCTTCTTGTTTAATTTAACACTTTATCCTTATGCAATGCCCATATTTTTTTCTTTTAACCTTTGTTGGTTTAAAGTCTGTTTTGACGGCAACTAGGATTGCAACCCCTGTTTTATTCTGTTTTCTATTTGCTTGGTAGATTTTTCCCCATCCCTTTATCTTGAACCTATGTGTGTCACTGCATAGGAGATGGGTCTCTTGAAGACAGTATACCAATGGTTCTTGGTTCTTTATCCAGCCTGCCACTTTATGTCTTTTAATGGGATCATTTAGTCCATTTACATTTAAGGTTAGTGTTGCTATGTGTCGATTTGATACCGTCATCATGATGTTGGCTGGTTATTTTGCAGACTTGTTATGTAGTTGCTTTACAATGTCACTGGTCTGTGTACTTCAGTGTGTTTTGTAGTGTCTGGTAATGGTCTTTCCATATTTAGTGCTTCCTTTAGGAACTGTTGCAAGGAAGGTCTAATGGTCACAAATTCCCTTAGCATTTGCTTGTCTGAAAATGATCTTATTTCTCTTTTGCTTATGAAGCTTAGTTTAGTCAGATATAAAATTCTGGGTTGGAATTCTTTTTGTTTAAGAATGTTGAATATTGGTCCTCAATCTCTTCTGGCTTGTAGGGTTACCAGTGAGAGGTCCACTGTAAGTCTGTGCTTCCCTTTTTAGGTGACCGGGCCTTTCACTCTAGTTGCCTTTAGCATTTTTTCTTACATTTCAACTTTGGAGAATCTGATGATGATGTCTTGGGGAAGATCTTTTTGTGGAGTATCTTACTGGGGTTCTCTGCATTTCCTGAATTTGAATGTTGGCCCCTCTAGCTAGGTTGGGGAAGTTTTCAGGGATGAACTCCTGAAATATGTTTTTCAGGTTGATTCCATTCCCTCCATCTCTTTCAGACACCCCAATCAATCATAGATTTGGTAGGCTTGATTGCTGTGTATTTACAAGTGAAACAGGGACTGACCAATTCCCTGGAATTCTCTCAAAGTCACTGAGTATGTATTCAATTTCAACTGGCGTAAGTTGGGGAAGAGTGATTTATTGGCTTATGTAATGCTAAAGTTCAGCTTCAGGCACAGCTGGATCTAAATGTTTAAATGACATGATTGGGTATCTGCTTCCTGGATTTCCAGGTTCTACTTTCATTTGTGCTGATTCTCAAGTGTACCTCCTATTGGTTTGCAACTCTTTTTTAATAGGAGTATCAAAAGTTACAGGACTTATTTTTATTAGTCTATCTTATGTCAGGTGCCCACCTAGGAGGTGAGCATCTGAGCAAAGGAAATAGAAGCCCCAGGTGATGGACTTGGGTATGTACCCACCTAAATTTGGAGAGCAGAGCTTCAGTTGCATGGAACGTATCACCGAAGAACTCTAAGTTCTTAGAAATTGTCAAAAACACTTTACCCATTCTCTGATATCAAAAGCTACTGTTTGGATTTGCTATAATCACTAAATGCACTGAAGTCTAGTCCAGATACCTGGATGTAAGGAATTTATTCTTTTTCAAAGCAACATATTGGCACTTTAAAATAAAAAAGGTTGTCCATGGAAAGTACTTTGTGTTTTTTGAAGACTTTTTCTCTGGCTATAACACTCTTACTTACCACTAGCTCCTTTGCTTTCCAGCCAGTGGGTAAGGAAGAGAGGAATTAAACTGAAAGATATAAGTTGGTGCTCTTGGCATTTTGAAAAGCCCTTCCCTGTTTTGAATCTTAGCATTTCCCTTTTTGTCAACCATACCCTCTTCTCCTGGCATGGACCATTCCCACAATTCATTTATATTCACTCTGACACTTCAACAGCCTTACTTGCTAACTTTACACCCTGATGCATCCATCTATCACTTACTTATTCTCCCTCTTTTTTTCTTCTTTAGTATAATATTTTCTATCATTATGAATTCCTGAATCACAGAAAAAAAGGTTAAGAAGAGCTAGAAGATCAATATGCTGGCAGGGTGATTTTCTTCAGGTTCAGGTTTATGAGAAACCCCTAACATTCATCCCTGGGCTTGCCCCAGACCATTTCTTCACTGTGCCTCAATGCTTAATCCAGCTCACTCTCCCCCCTTTTTTGTTTGTTGTTTAGTCTAGACACTGCGAGACACTAGAGTTGGGCAAAAACAATTGCTAATGGATGCATGTGTGTGTATGTGTGTGTGTATGTATTTCTCACTACATATTAATGAGCAGTATGAATAGATCAAAGAAATCTCAATTCTTCCCTTTATTTTTCTGTCTTCCTGCAAACAGATATTAAGAAGTGTCTGACTACAGATAGAGCAAGCAAAATGCAATGTTGTCAAAGGCATGAGAGAAACCTGAAAAGTTATCACAGTATCTGTCAATTACTAAGCACTTATTATGGAAAAGGCGTTGTGCCAGATCCTTTGCATGACTTTTCTTCTTTAAGCATTACAACAACCCTGCAGTAGGACTACCAATATTCCCATTTTACAAATGAAGAGATTCAAAGATCTTTAGTGATTTACTCCATATCACACAGCTTATCAGTAGAGAATCTTGATCTTTAACTGGGATCCCAACATTCTTGGTGTTCTTTTTTTCCTGAATATTTCACTGATTTATAGTAGGGTCCTAGAAAAGAAGGACCTTTTATAGTTAATTTAGGTCAAGGTAGAGGTCAAAGGAGAAAGGGTGGATGTTGGAAACAGTGCCCTTGCCTGGAGGGGTTGGAGCCTGTATCCACACACACAGTCTTGACCAGATAACCCTACACCTTTAATTCCACACTGGCCTGAGGTCTAATTTGCCTTCTTGTGTGGATATCTGCTCTTCCAGCCTTTCAAAGAGAAATTTTCTGAGTACTGTATTTTAAAAATCTTCCCATATTCTTAACAGTCTATGCTAATACAAGTCCCTGGTAAGACAGAGAGCGCATGAACTTAGAAGTCAGATTTCTGCCTGAAGCCAGACTCTGCTGCTTACTAGCTTACTGGGCAGCCAGGGGAGGGTGTACTGACCTCTCTGACTGTCAGTTTTCTCACTCATGAATAATGATAACTAATGTTTGTGATATTTATTAAGCACTTAATATATTCCAGGTGCTATTGTACTTGCTTTAAAACTATTAACTCATGTAATCTTCCTAACAAAATTACGAGATTTATTATCTGTCTCCTTTTACCAGAAAGTTGAGGCACAGAAAATTAGATAATCTGGATTCAAAAAGACATTTCAGCTCAGTGCCTCTCAAACGTAAGAGATTTTGTCCTCCAGGGGACATTTAGCAATGCCTAGAGATATTTTTGGTTGCCATGACTGGGAAATGTGACCGGCGTCTAGTGGGCAGAGGCCAGGATGCTGCTAATCAGCCTATGAGGCACGGGATGAGCCTCCCTAACAAAGAATAATCTGGCTTCAAATGTGAGTAGTGCTGAGGTTGAGAAACCTTGTTCTAGCTCCAGAACCCAAGCTCCTAACTGCTGTACTGCCTCCCAGTTGACATCATGACAATATGCTGCTCACGGAGTTCTTACACAGATAAAAGAAGATTAATTAACATTGAATATCACTCATTCCACACCTGGCAGCTAGTGACTTTCCATTAAGTAGCTTTCCCTCCTCACCAACCTTGCCTTCTCCTCTCCCAAGAAAAGCAGGGTCCAAGGAGATGTAGAGAGCTAACTTCTGCCTTTCAGAATGACCAGAGAACAACACAGTTCCAGTATGCAGTATGGCTTTTGTATAAAAAATGTCTGGAGTCCATTATTAGTGCCTGAATTTCCCGGCTTGGCTGAATAACCACTGTTTATGTTTGTGTTTACAGTCGACTTGGGAATAAGTGTCAAGACGGATAATGTGGCCACTTCTTCCCCCGAGACAACGGAGATAAGTGCTGTTGCGGATGCCAACGGAAAGAATCTTGGGAAAGAGGCCAAACCCGAGGCACCAGCTGCTAAATCTCGTTTTTTCTTGATGCTCTCTCGGCCTGTACCAGGACGTACCGGAGACCAAGCCGCAGATTCATCCCTTGGATCAGTGAAGCTTGATGTCAGCTCCAATAAAGCTCCAGCGAACAAAGACCCAAGTGAGAGCTGGACACTTCCGGTGGCAGCTGGACCGGGGCAGGACACAGATAAAACCCCAGGGCACGCCCCGGCCCAAGACAAGGTCCTCTCTGCCGCCAGGGATCCCACGCTTCTCCCACCTGAGACAGGGGGAGCAGGAGGAGAAGCTCCCTCCAAGCCCAAGGACTCCAGCTTTTTTGACAAATTCTTCAAGCTGGACAAGGGACAGGAAAAGGTGCCAGGTGACAGCCAACAGGAAGCCAAGAGGGCAGAGCATCAAGACAAGGTGGATGAGGTTCCTGGCTTATCAGGGCAGTCCGATGATGTCCCTGCAGGGAAGGTAAGTGTGCCAAGGTGTATCCACTTGGTTCTGAATGCATGCTCGGGGGCGCTAATGGGATAAGACCACTGCACATATGCAGTCACCCTGGGCCTAGGCAAGGTGGCAAGCTGTTGACCCCTCTAGAACAAATAGCACATTGCAGCAGAGTGTCATCCTGATGTTTCTCTGGGTAGAAACTTCTGTGTGAAGAACAATAACAGCTGTGGCATCTGTTTTATGTAAAAGAAAAGAGGAGGTGAGTTACATGCAGATGAATTTGTCCATCCATTTTTCAAAGGCGGAAGTAGACAGGTTGCGTTTACGATCAGTGGATTCTGGAGGAAAAGGCATTAGTGGAATAAAAATGATTCCTAAAAGATGTTACCTAGTCTCTGTAGTTTGTTGACATGCAGAGTTTTGTTGGAACACATTTCGTCCCTTACTGTTAATAGCCTGAATTGATATTTAACCATCTTTTGCTCTAAGGTGTGTGTTTGAATAAGGAGATTTTACAGCTCTGGGCAGACTCTTTTATGTAGTAATTCTTTTCCAACAAGTAGGAGTAATAAACCTTTGTAAAAACTAGGGGTTTTGGGTTTTTTTTTTGTTTTTTGGGGGGTTTTTTTGTGTTGGTTTTCAAAGAAGGTATCCTGGAATCAGTTGCTTTTTTTCCTGAGCGAAGAAAGGCAAGCTCTTTTTGACACTAAAAAGAGCATTTGCTTTTAACCTTGAGAGAGCCTGTTTGTATTCAAGGCAGGAAAAGAACTCCTTAAAAGAAGAAGGAAGTAAAACTTGATACATTATAGGTTTAGGGCATGCATTTCCTTGGTTAACAGACTTTTTAAATAACAATATTTTTCAAAACTTGGGAATAAAGTTAAGTGCCACTAGCAGACTTCAGAGCCAGGAAAAAATTGGATGAGCTCCAAATATATTTGTCTTAATACAATGCAACTTTGCACTTCCGAAGTGCTAATAATTACACTTGCTGTCATTTATTGAAAATGTTCAATGTGCCAGGCTCTACTCTGAGCACTGTACGTAAATTATTTTCCTTAATGAAAATAAGTATCACGTTAATCTATGGTTTTAATGCATCCAGGGTGCTACGAAGAATTACATTATGAAGGCTGGGCACCGCTGAACACTCTGGAGAGTTAAAATTGGGAAAAGATAATAGTCATCATGTGTTTTAGGCTCTTACTGTCAGCATTCTTGTGTTTTCTATACATTTTGATTCAAAGAGCTTATTTCCAACATTTCTTTCAGAGTTTAAACATTTTCCCTTCAAACACCCACTTTCCAAAATTCACCAGTTCAAGAAGCCGGTTGAATAACTTTCCGTATAATTTAAAATAAGTCTCCAAATGCACCAGGCATCTGCTCTTTACTGAGTGTGACACTGTACTAGGAACAGGTGAGGCACAGGGACCACAGTGAAGGGCGAGACACAGAGTCTCGGCCCTGGTGGAGTTTGCTGTCCAGTGAGAGAAGTGAATAAATAAACCTGCAATTGCAATGCAAGATGCCAAGTGCTGTGCTGGGGGAGCAGAGTGTGGGGGAGATGCCAGATGCCAGGAGAACTGGGCTCCATGGCCCAGGGAACATTCCAGCAAATGCATGAACCAGGACCTGAAAGTTACGTGCCCAGAGGCGGTAAACTAGTCGTCAATATTCCTGCATATGGGAGAAACTGTTTACTACTTGCGCCTGAGTGGAGAAACCATTCTCATTATTGGTCATAGGCTTCTAAGGCCATTTTGAGGTTGTGATTTTTTAACAGTCATGTGTTTGTTTTGCTTGGGCATCCAAAGCCTATCCATTGGCTCAGTTAGGAGAAGATTGAGTTATTTATGGGAAGACAATGAAGGAATGTGTTTTACTCATCTTTGGACAGGTGTCCGGTGACTCATCCAAATCCCCATCTTAATCAAGTAAACCAGTTCAGCATAGAATAGCCAGCCCTCCAATGTACTCAGCCATAAAACCTCGACACACTCAATCTATTTCTAGTCTAAGAAAAGTGAGGAAAAGTTTTGGAGTTGTGATTTATTAACTCAGCTTTCTTTATTGAAAAAGAACTCTTAGGGGTAGAACCTCAATTTGAGTGGAATGTGTTCCAAAATGAGATTTGAGTCAGAAAATGGGAGCTTGTGTTAGGAACATGGCAGGTATCTAATATAGCAAAGCCCTTGTGTAATATTTTCAAGTTATAATGATCTCTCAGAAGACCCAAGAATTGTAACTGTCTTCCTTTCTGAATAAGTGAATTCACTCCCTCAGATTCACCAGTGAAGTCTGCATCTGATTTTGTTACATGACAAATTTCCATTTTTTTCAGTGATATTGAAATTTGAAATACTGAGTGCCCACTTTGTACTATGTACATGAGAAACACAGAAAAGTTATGAAATAGCCATTTCTCCCTCAGCCTGTGAACTTATGGATATTCAGATGCATATGCCTGCAAAGGTTTTTAACAACAACAACAAAACAGCCTTCTGATTGTCAAGGTTTCTTTTCTGACTCCCGGCTGCATAGTTCTGTATTTAGGGGGAAAAAAGCAATTGTTCTATAAATGTAATGGGACAATCCAACCCTCAGAAAGTAACATGAATAAAACTTCTCAATCAGTGGCTTTCTTGGTGGGAGTACCACATTGTACATGGCTGGATGTCAGTGTATTGATTCAGAATTCTTAGGGTGAATTATGCCTTGGGCTCAGCCGCATCTACTGCCTCCCTCCAGCAGCCCTTCCCCCCATTTTTATGGCTTGCTCCCTGCTGGATTGGAATTCCAGCCACAAGCCCACAGAGCTGTGAATTGGGAGAAAGATGCCACCATTTCATCCTGGGGGAAACATACAAATCTTCTGTGTTTTCAGAACGACAATCTTATTTTTGTGCCTTATAAAACTACATTCAGGGCAAAGCATAATTAAAACAAGGCAAGAATTCATGAACAAATGAAGCGTTTACTACATAGGCCAAAGAAAAGATAAATTATATGCCTGAAAGGTTTCACTGAGCTGTGATTCATACAAACCAATGTGTTGGCAGGGATGAGGTTTTTTTCCTCTCCCCACAACAACTGAACCAGAGCTGTAAGATATGCATTTAAAAGATTCAACACACACACACACAAAATCACATAATGCAAACTTGACCTTTATTGGTTAAAAATAAAACCCACCACATTTCTGTTATCAACACAGTACTTCCAGAGTTGTGTTTGTGTTGAGTGGGGGTGTGGGGCGCATAAAGTGTTGCCATGCAGAGTTTCATAAGATGAAGAATGTCTTTTTTCTTTTAAAAGTGTAATTAAATCCTGCAATCGTTACTTTCGCACTAACCTTGTGCAAGGCATTTGAAAAATAAATCATGTTTCTCGTCTGTCAAGGAGTGTATAATCTAGTAAGAGACATAGTATTTTAAGAGACATTGTGATAAGTGCATCGGTCCTCAGATTGGCTCAGGCTACTAATAATAAGAACAATATTCTGTGTTTTCACTTCTCTTCTTTTCTCTCTTGAACACACTCCATTCAGGCTCTTGTCACAGCCACCATGATGTTTCAAATTCCCTACCATCACCCTGGCTGCCAAATCCTATAGGTCTCTATCTTTGTCCTAGTAGGTCTGACCTGCAAGTTGAATCCGACACAGTGACTGAGTGGGCCACACCTTGCTGTTTGAAACAACATCCTTCCACCTCCCTGGTACTCTTCCATCATCTCCTTTGCTGGATCTCACCCTCTAAATGTTGGACTTCCCCAGGGTTCACTTCTTGGCTATCTCTAACTACGCTTATTTCCTTGAAGGTTTCCCTCAGTCCCAAAGGTTTAAATACTGCTATGGGTTGACAAGTTCCAAATTTACATCTCTAGCCGGGATCCATCCCTGAAGTCCAGACGTGAGTCTCAGCTGCCTCCTCTTCCACATGTCTACTTGAATTTCTACATCCCCATTTGGCTGCTCACTGAGTATCTCAACCCTAATGTGTCCAGAATGGAACTCTTCATTCATCGCCTAACAATGACAAAAACAAAATGCCCACCAGTTTAATTCACGGGGTTTTCCATCTCAGTGAATGACAAGTTCATCCTGTCTCTACTGTTTAGTGGTAGAATTGGAATTAAAGAACTAAGGTCTCCAGAGTCCTTTCCTACATGGTATTTAGTAGTGAATTAAACATAAGCATCATAGTCAAGTAGCCTAGGTTTCCTCTCTACCTCTGTCACCTACTGGCTGTGTGATCTTGGGCAAGCTACTTCACCTCCTGAGCCTCAGTTTCCTCATCTGTAAAATGGGGATAATAATAGTATCTAGCACATTCTCACATTGTTCACACTTTTAGAAGTTAAATGAGATAGGCCATATAAAGTACTTAGCACAAATTGCATTTTGAAAGAAGAAAAAGAGAAATTAGCTATTACCAGTATTATGGGTTTTCTCCCTGTCTTCTACTTCACATTTTACTTTTATTTTTTGCCTTTCCCTTCCATAGTCCTCAACCCAAACTCACAGAGATAGCACAGTTGACTCTAATTTAAGAGTTGTATAACCAAAGGCACAAGTCCTAACTTGGGTGAGAAAGGTATAAAAGTTGTAAAATTATTTTTGAAACAATAGAAATGTTAGTGTCCATGCCCATAAGCCTCAGTTTCTTTGTCTGACATTTAAGGGTTTCCACAATGTTTCCTCTGCCTATTTTCCAACTGCATTTTCCACCCTTCCCTTAAATTTCTCCAGTCAATATGGCCAACACCTGACCTGTGCAAACGCCATCTGTCTCCTGGTATTTTCTCTGCCTATGTCCCTTTCTCTCTCTGTTTATCAAAAATTGACTTGATATTCAGTGCCAGGTTCTCCATGAAGCTAACCAGATATCTCCACTCTTGGATGATTTCGGACAGCATGAATCCCTCTCGCATTTTAAGTCAAATTCTGTGATTAAATCATTTTGTAGAAATCAGCTCATTGAGCCATCAAATCTTACCAGGGAATTCCTGTATTTTCACCATTTTACAGATGAAGAAGTCAACAGTTCAGAGAAAGCATATCACTCCTGACACACAGCTAAAAGGTGGCACAGCCAAAATTGTCCATCTCCAAAGCCCATAGTCTTAAATAGTCAACGTTTCTATTTTTGCCAATTATTTGAAACTTGTTCAATGAAGTTACAACTTGAGGCAATGAAATTCAAAGATGTTAGCATATGCAAAGTTGTAAATACCCAAAATCCCAAGTGAAAAATAAAAACAAATAAAAAGAATTACCGAATTTCAACATTAGAAGGCCAAGTGAATTATTAACTGTTTTTTATTTTGTGTTGTTTCTGCCTTATGTCCACAAGGCCATGCCTTTTCAACTGGTAAAGAGAACTAGCCACCCAAAAGACTTTGTCAGTGCAAAGGGAAAATCCATCTTACATTATGCAAGTTTTGGAGTAAACAAGGTCCTCAGCTATACCACTGGGATTTTGATGCATTTAGCAGTAAGAAACGCTTAATATGAGATGTTTGCAGTGGCAGAGGTGATGTGGAAGTGTTAGGAGCCTGGGTGACCTAGGTATGAGTCCAGACTCTACCACTAAATAGCTGTGTGGTTGAGTTAAATGACAATAATAGCCCCATTTTAAAATAATTCATTATTTCTAGGCTGTGCAGTAAGCATTTTGCATACATTATCTGTTTTTATTGTTAAAAAAACCCAACAAGGTAGGTATTTCTATTGCCATTGAACAGAGGAGAGAACTTGGGGAGAACTTAAGTTACCTGCGTTAAGGTCGCAAAGCTAATTAGTGGCAGAAGTGGAATCGAGATCCATCTGTCACCTAAGCCTGTTATACTCAATCATTTAAAAACCTGTGTTTTCATCCACAAAAGGAAGCTACTACCTGCCCTAGGGGTTTTTGTAAAGTTAGAAGATAATATAGGCCATCAGTAGTAGTCATGCTAAATAAAACTGTATATTTTCTAAATTGTTAGAAACTTAGAAATGAGTAATTATGAAATAGATCAAATGGCTTTTCAGAGTGATGGAGTTTGAATAGTGTATCATTTAGGGGTTGGTAATATATCATTTTTACTTTGGCTGCAGGAAACACACACACACACACACACAACAATCAATTAATAGTGGTTCACTTAACAAGGAGGATGTACTATTTCTTGCATGTAAAAAGAACCCTAGAGGTAGGGGAGTTCAGGTTGGTTCAACATCTTCACAGCCCCCACAAGCCCGCCTCAGTCTTTCTCTACTGGTGTCCTCCATTGTTGCTTAGTCCCTAGGCTTAGTCCCTTGTGGTTTTAACATGATTCCAAGTATGCAGGAGTACCTCTCTTTATTGTGCTTCACAGATGCTGCATTTTTACACATTAAAGGTTTGTGACAATCCTGCATCAAGCAAGTCTGTCAGCACCATTTTTCCAATGGCCTGTGTTCACTTTGTGTCTTTGTGTCAGCATTTTTTAGAGATAAAGTTTTTGTTGTAATTTTTATTTTAAGTTCTGGGGTACAAATGCAGGATGTGCAGGAGCCCGGGTGACGTGCACGTGTACCCCAGAACTTAAAATAAATGTGTGCCATGGTGGTTTGCTGCACCTATCATCCCATCACCTAGGTATTAAGCCCAGCATGCATTAGCTATTTTTCCTGATGCTCTCCCTCCCCCAACCCCCGACAGGCCCCAGTGTGTGTTGTTCCCCTTCCTGTGTCCATCTGTTCTCATTGTTCATCTCCCACTTATAAGTGAGAACATGCGGTGTTTGGTTCTCTGTTCCTGCGTTAGTTTGCCAAAGATAATGGCTTCCAGCTCCATCCATATCCCTGCAAAGGACATGATCTTGTTCCTTTTTATGGACACATAGTATTCCATTGCAGCACTATTCACAATAGCAAAGACATGGAATCAACCCAAATGCCCATCAACAATAGACTGGGTAAAGAAAATGTGGTACATATACACCATGAGACAAGGTATTTTTAAATTAAAGTATGTACTTTTTTTTTAGACGTAATGCTATTGCACACTTAATAGACTCCAGGACAGTGGAGAACTTTTATGTGCACTGGGAAACCGAAAAATGTGTGTGACTCTATTGTGATATTGACTCTATTGCAGTGACCTGGAATTGGACGTGTAATATTTCCGATGTATGTGTCATAATGTCCTATAAATAAGAAAGGAGTTTCCTAAAATTTATCCTCAGAGCCCTTTGGTGAAATTGAGTCACGTGTCTGTGTCAAGGTGCAAATAGCTATCAGCCAGCATTTTCAGTTTCTTCAGTAGAAAGAAGGCTCTTCCAGCAAAGAGGACATGCCACAGATAGAAACCAGATTTATCTTCTCTACCTAACATTGTCTGGAAATCATTAAGTGAATGGAGCAAGTAGAAGCTGCTACAGTATCCACCTATGGTAATTCATCTGAGTGTATCCATTACATTAGTTTTCTAATTTAACTGTGACCCCATAGTAAGAACTAGATTTTACTTGAGCTGATATACATGCGCATACATGAAACAAAGAATTCATGAAGTAATACTATTCTTGCAGCATGTAACACCTGCAGGGATTTTGTATTCTTTTCTATTCTGTTTGATTTGTTTACTGCTGGTTTTGACCCACTACCTTATTTTTAAATCTGCTAATGATCACAGTCTGAAATTTGGAGAACGCTGTTCTGTTATCTGACCACTTCGACACATTGAGACAGTTATCTTAAGAGACGTGACCATTTTTTATGCAACTGAGTATTCCCAATGCCTAGCACAATGGCTGGCACATGTTGGCATCCAATAATGTTTGTTAAATGAACCTGACAAGAATAAGGGTGGTACACGTCATGGTTCAACTTTTCAGACTGTTAGGATGTATTATTGCAACGTCATTATCTGCTCTGCCTAACACAAGTTGAAATAGAAAGTCATTGCAAAATATGTGGTGTATACGATTTCACTTAAACTTTAGAATCATAGTACAAGTCTACATTTGTACTATCTACTTGGTATTTTAAATTTGGTCTTTAACATGTCATGGCGTTAATCCATTGAAATATCTAGTAAATTGTTTTTTGCAATTAATTTGTAAAATAAATTTTGAGTTATCATTCCCTCTGGTATTGTCCCATCTGACTCGCCCCCTCAGAAGTTGTAACGGCTATAACTTATCAAGTTTACTAAGTCACGGAGAGGTAAAGTAACTTGTGCAAATCATAGTGCTAGAAAGTGGCAGGGTGGAAATTGGTCACCGATGCCCACACACTTAACCACTGTGCCTATAGGTTCAAAGAGATGAAACACTTTAAAACTTTTGAAACATCTTATATCTTTAAAAAATTCTAAAGTTAGTTGTATTAGTCAGGGTTCTCCAAAGGGACAGAACTAATAGGATAGACGTATATGTGAAAGGGAGTTTATTAAGGAGAATTGCCTCACATTATCACAAGGTGAAATCACACTATAGGCCGTCTGCAAGCTGAGGAGGTAGGAAGCCAGTAGTGGCAGAAGTTCAAAAGCCTCAAAAGTGTGGAGGCCGACAGTGCAGCCGTCAGTCTGTGGCCAAAGGCCTGAGAGCCCCTGGCAAACCACTGGTGTAAGTCCAGGAGTCCAAAGGCCAAAGTACCTGGAGTCTAACGTCCAAGAGCAGGAAGCATCCAGCACAGGACAAAGATGAAGGCTGGAAGACTCAGCAACCCAGCTTATCCCACCTTCTTCCACCTGCTTTGTTCTAGCCATGCTGCCAGCCGATTGGAAGGTGCCCACCCACATTGAGGGTGGGTCTTCTTCTCCCAGTCCGCTGACTCAAATGTTAATCTCCTCTGGCAACACCCTCATAGACACACCCAGAAACAATACTTTACCAGCCATCTAGGCATCCTTCAATCCAATCAAGTTGACACCTAATGTTAACCAGCGTGATAGTACTTTCCAAGTTGGTCTGTGGAACGTTAGTCCAATAAGATGGGCCTAGAAATAGGGCTCTGCTATGGAATAGTTTCAGAAAATCTATTTGCTTTATAGTCTCTACTGAAGATTCACAATGGACATCCACCTACTAAAGGCTCTGAGAAGTCCTGCAGCAAGCACGCCTGTTTCACTTTGTTTAACCAAGTGTTTCTCAAACTTAATCATCCATGTAGCTGTTGGGCCTCTAACAAGGTAGCTCAATTTTCCAAGGAATGGTTCTTCTAGAGAACGTTGAGCTAGGCATTTAGACCAGAAGTTGTATGATGTTGGCTGTGGGTTTGAAGAAGTAAAATAAAATAAAAAACATAAACCAGAAGTTGAAAACTAGCCATCTGTAGAAGGCCTCTAGCCAGAGATGCATCTTACTTGGCCTACATAGTGTTTTAAATAATATTTTAATTAATTAATTATATTTTTGAATTAACAAAGTTGATGATATTTTAAAGCAATAATATGTCAATACAATTCTATATTTCAGACTTCCCCATAATGGGTAGTTTTGCCCTATATTTCCAGACAGAATGTGAGTTGTGACTGTCCCTTAAGATGGGGCACCCACTCTCCAGTTCACCAAATGATTCCCAGCAGCGCAGCCATGTAGGTTGTCCTTCGTCATAACACTTGCATTGGTATTTTTCTTGGGTACAGTTGAGAATCAAGTAAATACACCCATCATGGACCACTTTACTTCCTTCATCCTTCATAGCACTTATCAGAATTTGAAGCTACTTAGATGACCATCTGTCATTCCAGCCTGAGAGTCAATCAGGCAGCCAGTGTTAAGCAATATATAAAAGGGGTGGGAGGCTGGGCGCGGTGGCTCACGCCTGTAATCCCAGCACTTTGGGAGGCCGAGGCAAGTGGATCACGAGGTCAGGAGATCGAGACCATCCTGGCTAACACAATGAAACCCCGTCTCTACTAAAAATACAAAAAATTAGCCAGGCGTGGTGGCGGGCGCCTGTAGTCCCAGCCACTCGGGAGGCTGAGGCAGGAGAATGACAGAGCGAGACTCTGTCTCGAAAAAAAAAAAAAAAAAGTAAGTGGATACTTTCATTTATTCATGCAACAAATATGAGTATTTCCTTTGTGCCAGGAATGATTTTAGATTCCCCAGCAGGTAGAACAGTGTACTTCATGGGAGCTTTCCTTCTAGTGGAGAGACCAACAATTTAAAAAAGAAAGAGAATTAACAAGCAAACACTTCCAGAGTTTAGAAAGAGCTCTGAGTGAAATAAACAGAGTTTTGAGATAGAAAGTAGACAGGAGAGTGAAAATCACAACTGGGTGAGGAACAGAAACAGAGAAGTGTTTAAACAGTCAGTGAATAGCATGTGACTTTTTCTTTCTTTCTTTGCACGGGCCAAACAATTCTTAGAAAGTCTGCAACCTAATTCTGGCAGCATTCAAAACTGTTTTCTCGCTTTGGGGAAGTGTTTGTTAAATAGATGACGAATGTGTTCTAGGCTGTGGATTATTAGTTTTTTGTATTTAAAGGCAGGTTTTCTGGTGTGGTTTTTGTTTGTTTTTTGTTTTTGTTTGTTTGTTTTCCGTAACATTGGGTATTTTTCCTTTAGTAAATGTGAAATGCTGTCACCAGTCTGGAAGGTTGTGCTTGTTAGGAACTAATCATGGAACAGAAGAATCTTCCACAAATCCCTTTTGCCCAGTGTGGCTTACCCTGGGAATCACTCTTCACTCACTCTGCCTGCAGCAGTATTTTTCCATTTTAAATCACACATATTGGCCGGGCGTGGTGGCTCACACCTATAATTTCAGCAGTTTGGGAGGCTGAGGCAGGAGGATCACTTGAGACCAGGAGTTCAAGACCAGCCTGGCCAACATGGTGAAACTCCATCTCCACTAAAAATACAAAAATTAGCCAAGCATGGTGGTGCACGCCTATAATCTCAGCTACTCAGGAAGCTGAGGCATGAGAATCGCTTGAACCTGGGAGATGGAGATTGCAGTGAGCCGAGATCGCACCACTGCACTCCAGCCTGGGCAACAGAGCGAGACTCCACCTCAAAAAAAAAAAAAAGAAAAGAAAAAAAATCACACATAAGGGAACTATACTTAAGAGTGTGCCAACTCATGTGTCCTTAGGACTATCCCCAAAGCAAAGCCTGCTGCCAAAAGGGAAACAAGAGAAGAACATTTTATTGCTTAATTCTCTACCCACATTTTACTTGCCATTGGAACTCAAGTTGACAAATTCACTTACCCCTCAAGCAGAGGAGTTGCTGAGGGAGAAAAGAGAAAATGTACACTAGCTTTATATGGGAAGCAAGTGTGCGTTGCTTTCTTAGATAGATTTCTTTCCCCCCTCCCCCTATGTGAACAACAGACAATGCTTTATTTAATCTTACAAATGTAACATCTCCACATCAGTTAATAACTATGGATTAATGATGATGTACCATGCTAAGGCCCTGGGCTAGACTTCTGCTACCCCCGTGTGAGATGAGCCTTAAGTATCCTGAGGTTATGTCCACAGGGTAGTAAAACAGGTAGTGATGTTGTGATTTACAGTAGAGAGTATCACACTGGATAATTGGTCCAACCCGGCTTGGTTCAATTAGTATAAGCAGCTGAAATTAACATTGCCTCTCTCTTCCCCAAAAGAGGAAGAAAAATGGCTAAGTGGAACATTTTTATATCTGTGTTATCCAGACTCAATTTCCATCTCAGAAAAGATGCCAGAGGACAATGGAAATCTAGATTTCTTGGTTTTATATTTTCATGTTATTTTATTTCCCTCTGAAGTCTTAGATAATTTCTTAATCAACTACCTGGACCACTAAGAAGCTTGTTTCCACCGTGGCGCTTTGGCAGTATGCAATTTTAAAGTCTTCAAACACACATGCTTTCTGAATGAGCAAATCTGCATTTAAGAATTTATTGATTGATAGGTCAGGAGGGTGACTATAGTTTACTGTACATTTCAAACTAGCTAGAATAGAATAAGTCGAATGTTTTTAGCATGAAGAGAAGACAAATATTTGAAGTGATGAATATCCCAAGTACACGAATTTGATCTTTACAAATTACATGAATGTATTAAATTATCACACGTACCCCAAAATTATGTACATCTATTATGCATCAATAAAAAATGTTTAAAAATAATGTATTGAGAACATGATCAATATTTTATGCATGGGGCTTTAAAAAATTTCCAGTATTGTCTGTAAGAAAAAAAGCTGAAATGATCCAATAGGTCTTTCATATTGATTGTGGCACACCCTTACACTAGACACCGTAAACGAGGGTGACATAAAAATAGAATTGGTCAGGTGAAGAAAGTGATAGTATAATGTTAAATGAGAAAAGCAGATTTCAAAATAGCATGCAGAAGAATCTCCTCTGGGTAAAAATGATCTCTGCCTTCCTGTGCCATAGCTCTGTCATCCCACCCAAAGAGCAGCGTGGAATAAAAAATTGCAAATTGTTGACAGCAGTTGACTTTCAGTAATAGAATAATCGATGCATTTCGTTTTATTCTTTGTTATCTGTATTTTCTCTTTTTTATAAAAGGAGCACTGTAGTGAACCACCAATCTAACTAAAAGTAAAAAAATGCCACCATCTAGGTAATTTCTCGATTCCTCCTCTAGACTGCATTAAGAGGCTGAGGATTCCTGAGCTGTGTTAATTAGAAATTGCCACAGGCTGCTAGCAACAGTTCAACAAGAGGTTATTTTCCTCTAACAATAATTTCCAAACTATGCCACCCAGAGCTTATGTGACAATTCATTGTTCAGAAAGAATAACAACTTTTTAAATATACTTATAGCTAATGTGTAATCATCTCCAGCAGGAGATCACAAAGAGAAATGTTGTCCTAAGTGGGCAGATTTGAAGCCCTTTCATAATTGGATTTCCTATGGTTGTGCTGTCTGTGTTCTTTCCCTGTTTTTGCCATGGGCTTGAAAGATGTGAATGCATTATAAAAAAAAAACTACTCATTGAATTTTTATCAGTTGATGTGAATTGGGTAGGAGTAGTGGAAAAAATAAAAGTACAGAATTACCTACATTAATATATATTTATTGACCTTCCTTCAGTGGCTTTGAGCACTGTAGTAAAACAAACTTAAAAAAAAAAAGAGTTTGGGCATGGTGGCTCATGCCTGTAATCCCAACACTTTGGGAGGCCAAGGGGGGTGGATCACCTGAGGTCAGGAGTTTGAGATCAGCCTGGCCAACATGGTGAAACCCCATCTCTACTGAAAATACAAAAATTAGCCGGGCATGGTGGCACATGCCTGTAATCCCAGTTACTCGGAGGCTGAGGCAGGAGAATCACTTGAACCTGGGAGGCGGAGGTTGCAGTGAGACGAGATTGCACCATTGCACTCCAGCCTGGGCAACATCTCAAAAAAAAAAAAAATCATAGTCTGCTTAGGAAATTCTGAGATTCTGCAAAATATTTTTAGTATTGGTCTTCACATTCCTTCCTGCTTGCATATTAATTTGCTTTCCTTTCTAGGCAAATTGGGGGACAAATTCTATCTTCAAAAATTAACCAAACCCTATTTTTCTTCCTGAATCTGACAATGGCTACACGCAGGTGACAGTGTTTTCAGAAGAAGAAAAATGAAGACTTCGTGATTGTCCAGAGACTATTGTTGTCCAGCAAATCGAACCCTCTGTGCTCGCGTGATATTCTCTGGGGAGAGGAAGCAGAGCCTTCCCTTTTATCCCAGGCAGCATGGGGCTCAAATTTCTGACAGATGGAAAGGAGTGGAGTCATGAGTTTCTGTACCATTCAACATTTTTCACACAAATTTTCTTGTGTTCACCTGTACTTTCAGTACTGATTCGTGGTGTTAAGACTAAGAGTAAAATCAGTGCTACACAATGAGGAAATCTAGATGGAGTAGAGGCATCACAGATCATTCCAGACAAGGCTTTTTAAGCCTTATCTTATATTTTCACTTTAACAATGTAGATCTGCTTAAAGGAGTCTGAAGTCCAGCTGACAATAGTTGAAAGAAAGTGCCAGAAGTTCCATATGGGCCTTATTACAGACAATCAAATTATGATAAGGCGGCATTATTTTTCAACATGACAAATTGTAATCACTTTAGCAGTGTTCCTATCTGTTTGCTCTTTGAAGCCAACAAAAAAGAAAATATATATAAACTTCTCACACAGAGGTGAAAAACAAGCTAACACCACGGACGCCTGTTTGCTTAAAAACAGTTTCCAGGTATTTTCTGGAGAATGTTTCTGTTTCCGTATAATGTTGTTTGCTGAGAATGATTCGGAGGCCTGATGAGAATAGCAGCAGCACCTACAAATAACATGTTTAAAGCACAGGCCACACACTGGTGGCCTGAAGGCTGGACTCTCATCACAACTGTGCTTAGCTTGGCCCTCTTGATGTTTTTAAATTTTTTTAGTTAATCATGCATATTTTGCTTTAGTCTTAATTTTAATACGTAACATATTCACTCTGTTCAAAACAAAAAATTATAAAATGCCACCCAGTAGATAATTGCTGTTTGTATTTTTAATGTATCTTTCTAGGGTTCCTTTGAGCATATATAAGAAATAAAACATAAATTCTTTTTCTTTCTTTTTTACACAAACGGTAACATAATATGCACTCTGTTCTATTCCACGCTTGTTTTCAGTTAACAATACTTTCTGTATCTGTAGGGAGCTTCCTCACTTGTAATGCCTGCAGAGTATTCTGTTGAATGGTTGTACCATGAGTTATTTAACCAGGACCCCATTTAATGCCCATTGGCTGGCTTCCAGACTTTCGCTATTAACCTCACTGCAATGAATAACCTTGTACATTTGTTATTTCACACGTGTGAGTTTAGGTTTATCCTCTACATCAACTCTTAGAGATGGAAATACAGGGTAAAAGAATATATCCTTTTTACAGTTTTGGTACACAATGCCACTCTGCCCTCCATCAGGATTGAATTAGTTTATACTTGTAACAGCAATGCATGATTGCCTTCTTCACACAAGCTTGGCCAATGAATGTTTTTGTAAACATTTGGATTTTTTTACTTTTCAATCTTCCTTTTCATGACTTCTGGATTTCTAGTCATACACACAAAAGCCTTCTCAATCCAAAATGAAAAGCTGTTTTCCATGTTTCCTTGTATTATTTTTAATCTATTTGGATTTTATCCTGGTAGAGGGTTGAGTTGTGACACCAAGTTAATTTTTTTCCAGATGGCTGCTCTGTTTTTCCTACATCTTTTATTTAAAAGTTCTTCACTTCCATAGATTTTAGGTATCATCTTTATCATATACTAAATTCCTATATGTCTTTGGAATTTTACCACCTTGTTATCATCAGCCATACAACGTATGCATGTATGCCTGATGCTAACATATGTTGTATGGTTGATGGTAACATATGTTGTATGGCTGATGGTTACAAAGTAGAAAAATATACAGCAGAGAAAAGGAATAAAGTGGCAGGAACTTAAAATAGGAAAGGACTTGCTGAGAAGATAATATTTGAGTAAACATCTGAAGGAAAGGAGATAGAATCAGTGCAGCACAGCACTGAAAAACCTTTGGCCTCTGAAATCAGCTGGGCCTGGGATCAAATCCCAACTCTACTTTATGACCTTAGGCAAGTTATTTATTCTTTCTGTGCATTAATTTCTTCATCTGTATAATTGGAATTACAAACAGTGCATGCTTCATGGGATCGTTGTAAGAATTAAACGGGATCTTTTTAACAAGCTTAGCACTGGGCCTGACACATAAAGGCTGATCATTTTTACGGTTATCATGGACACTTATTTTGTCATTACACACTCCTTAAATAATTCATGGCTGCAAAATATTCCATCACACATTGTTATGGGTTAATTTCACATGTTAAAACCACATGCGAATTTATTTAACTGCAGATCCCAAAAGTTCAACTTTTTAAGTGGTTCTTCATTGTTGCTCTTCCAGAATTATCCTATCAAGCTTTTTTTTTTTTTTTTTACTTTTTAACTTTGAAATTATTGTAGATTCACATGCAGCTGTAAGAAATACAACAGTTATCCCTTTATCCAGCGTCACTCAACGGTAACATCTTCAGACCTGTAGTGCAATATCACAACCAGGATATTGACAATGATACAATCAAATAGAGAACATTTTTATCCCCACAAGGATACTGCATACTGACTGTTCAGGTGCATCCACTTCCCTCTCACCCCCATCCTTTTCTTACCTCCTGCAACCACTAGTCTGTTCTCCATTGCTATAGCTTTATTATTTCAAGAATGCTATCTAAATAGTATCATACAGTGGGTACCCTTTTTTACATAGGCTTTTTTCCCCTTCAGCATAAATCTCTGGAAATTAATCCGAATCACTGAGTGTCTTGGTAGATATTGGTCCTTTTCGACTGCCAAGTAGTATCCCATGCTGTGGAAGTACCAGTTTGATGTTTGGTTGTTCCAACTTTGAGGCTATTGTAAATAACTTTGCTATAAACATTAATGCATAGGTTTTTGTGTGAATATAATTCTTCATTTCTCTAGGAGAAATGACCAGGAGTGCAATCACTATAGTTGCATGTTTTATTTATTTATTTATTTTAAGTTTTTGAGATTGGATCTTGCTCTGTTGCCCAGGCAAGTGCAGTGGTGCCATCTTGGCTCAGCCACCCAGGGTCAAGTGATCTTCCCGTCTCAGCCCCCAGAGTAGCTGGGATTACAGACACTTGCCACCACGCCCTGCCTGCATGTTTAATTATTTAAGAAACTGTCTAACTGTTTTCTATTCTGCCTGTATCCCTTTACATTTCTACCAGCAATGTAAAGTGATTACATTGTAAAGTGAGTAATCGAGTTTCTTGCATCCTTCCCAGCATTTAATAGTCACTATTTTTTGCTTTAACCACTTTGATGGGTGCATAGTGATGTCTCGTTATGGTTTTAATTTGCACTTTTCTAATGGTTAATGAGATTGAACATCTTTATGTGCTTATTTGCCATCTGCATATCCTCTGCAATGAAATGCCCCCTCACGTCTTTTGCCCATTTTCTAATTGGATTGTTTTGTTTGTTTTTAATGTTGAGTTTTAAGAATTTTTTTCTTTTAAATGTATTCTAAATACTAGTCTCTCGTCAGATACGTGGTTTGCAAATATTTTCTCCCACTCTCTAGTTTCTCTTTTCATCTTTTTAACAGGATCTTTTACAGGGCAAAATTTTTTAGTTTTGATGAATTCCAATTTATTATGTTTTCTTTTTATGGATTTTGCTTTTGGTCTTTGGTCTTTTATGGATTTTTTTAACCATAGGTCTCAGAAATTTTCTCTTATTTTTTTCCTAAAAGTTTTATATTTGAGGTTTTATGTTTAAGTCCACGATCTCTTTTGAGATAATTTTTATATAAGATGTGAGACTTAAATTGAGGTTCTTTCTTTTCCTCTATAGATGTCAAATTGCTCTAGCACAATTTGTTGAAAAGACTATCTTTATTCTGTAGAATTGCTTTTACACCTTTGTCAAAAGTCGTCTGGGCATACTTGTGTGGGTCTTTTCTGGCTTCTCTATTCCATTGGTTCTATATGTCTATGTCTCCACCAATACCATACAGCCTTGCTTACTGTAGCTATATAACAAGGCTTGTGATCAGATAGACTGATTCATCAATTTATATTTTAAAAAATTATTCTAAATCCTTTGTCTTTCCATATAAATGTTAGAATAACCTCATCTATCTCTACAAAATGTCTTGCTACAAGTGCTGGAATTTTGACAGGAATTGCATTAAACCTGTATATCAATTTGGGGCAGATTGACATCTTTACTATGTGAGTCTTCCAATCCATGAACATTGTGTGTCTCTCCATTTATTTAGGTCTCCTATGATTTCTTTCATTAGCATTATATAGCTTTCAGCATACAAGTTTTGCACATGTTTTGTGAGATGTAAACCTTAGTATTTCATTTTCGTATGATTATTATGGTATTGTATTTTTAATTTCAGTGCCCATGGGTTCATTCCTAGTATATAGAAATCTAGATCATTTTTACATGTTTATCTTGTATTCTTCAGCCTTGCTGAACTCAATTATTAATTCTAGGTGTTATTCTGTTGATTCCTTGGGATTTTCTAATTTTGAAAATAATGAAATTGTCTAATTTTGCCATCTTCTCTGGGGACAGTTTTATTTCTTCCTTTTCAATGTGTATTCCCTATATTTATTTTCTTGCCTTAATATACTTCCTAGAACTTCCACTACTATGTAGAATACAAATAATGAGAGCTGACATCCTTGCCTTGCTCCTAATCTTAGGAGAAATGCATTCAGTCTTTCAGAATTAAGGATAATGTTAGTTCTCAATTTTTATTTTGTAGATCGTCTTTATCAAGTTGAGGAAGCACCCTCTGTTACTGTCTTCCTTAGAGATTTATCATGAATGGAGGATTGAATTTTGTTGAATACTTTTTCTGCATTCACTGTTGTGATCATGTGATTTTTCTTCTTTAGTCTGTCACTATTGTGGATAACATCAATTGACTTTCAAATATTAATCAAGCTTGCAAACCTATAGTAAATCCCATTTGGTTATGATGTATACTTCTTTTGACATATTGCTGAAATCTACCTGCTAATATTTTGTAAAGAATGTTTGCATCTATACTCATGAGGCATATTGATCAGTAGGGTATTTTTCATTTCTTTGGTGCCATCTTTATCTGTTTCTGGTACCAAGTTTTTGGTAACTATCTTTATAAAATAAATTAGTAAGCATTCCCTCTTCTGTTTTCTAGGAGATTTCATGTAGAATTGGTGTAATTCTTCTTTAAACATTTCATAGAATTCTCCAGTGAAGTCTTCTGGGCCTGAAGACTTCTTTCCTGGAAGTTTTTAAATTATGAATTCAATTTTCTTAATAGTTATATGGATATTTAAATCATTTATATTATATTGGGTCAGTTATAATAGTTTGTGTTTTTTGAGCAAATGTTCCATTTTGCCCGTTATCAAATTTATGTAGGTAGCATTGGTTATGGCATTCTCCTATCCAGTTTTGTACCTGATACTGGTAATCTGTACCTTGACTCTCTTGCTCTCTCTTTTTTGTTGTCATCTGTTGTCTCTACTAATAGAGGTTTTTGCTGCTGCTTCTCTCTGTCTCTCCCATTATGCTGTTGATTTCACTCACTGGGCTTTTTGTTTTCATTATTATACCTTTCAATTCTAAAATTTCCATTTTAGTTATTTTTATATCTTCTATTTCTTTGCTGGGGCTTTCTATTTTTTCATTTGTTTCAAGCACTGTTACAATTGTTAATTGAAGCATTTTATTGTGACTACTTTAAAATCTTTGTCAGAGGCCGGGCACAGTGGCTCACGCCTGTAATCCCAGAACTTTGGGAGGCCAAGGCGGGCAGATCACTTGAGTTTAGGAATTTGAGACCAGCCTGGCCAACATGGTGAAACCCATCTCTACTAAAAATGCAAAAATTAGCTGGGCGTGGTGGTGCACACCTGTAATACCAGTTGCTCAGGAGGCTGAGGCAGGAGAATTGCTTGAACCCGGTAGGCAGAGGCTGCAGTGAGCCAAGATTGTGCCATTGTGCCATTACACTCCAGCCTGGGTGACAGAGCAAGACTCCGTCTCAAAAAAAAAAAAAAATCTTTGTTAGATAATTCTAGCATCTCTGTCATCTCATTTCCAGGTTGACATCTGTTGATTGCCTTGTTTTATTATGTTTGAGGCCTTCTTAGTTCTTGGTATGGTATGACAAGTTATCTTCAATTGAAATCTGACCATTTTCATATTATGAGACTGCATCTTGCTTAAACTTTCTATTTTAGCTGGCTGTCCCGGACACCATTCCAGCAGTACTGGGGCTGCTACCTCATTACTGTCAGGTGGAGGCAAACATCCAGGTTTCTCACCAGCCTCCATTGTTGGGGGGCGGGGGTATACTCCTTATTACTACTGGGTGGAGGCGGGAGTTTTCTGCTCACATGACCTTCACTGATACCACAGTGGAGGTCTCATTACCACTGGCTGACGCTAACTCCACTGGGTCTCTTCTCACACCACCCCAGTGGGGAGAGGGAGGAGCATCTCATTGCTCCTGGGTGGGGTTGGAAGTCCAGGCTCCCCATGTGGTCCCCGCGGACACCATGGTGGGGAGGGCTTATTACCAACCGGTGAGGATGAGAATCCCAGCTCCCTACTTAGCCCCACAGATGCCATCTTGCAGGGGTATTGGGATAACCTATTACGGTCTTGTGAAAGTGGAAGTCTAGGCTCCCCACTTGGCTTTCTCTGGCATGGGAGATGGTGAGACCACAGAATGTCCTGTGGTATTTGGCTGGAGTAGTATGGTCATTGTCTAAAAGTTTTCTGTCTTGCCAGATTGCCCTTTCCTGGTCCTTTAGTCAGAGAGAGTAGGCTTTCGGAAAGGATTTGTGAGTATGTCAGAGCCTATAGGTGTTTCCAGGTTGCTAATTTCTTCAACTCCAAGTCTGGGGTACTTGAGGCAAAAAGAAAACCCAAGGAATTCACCATCGTGTTTTTCCTCGGGTCCTCAGCTGGTCTGCCTTCTCTTCTCCACCTTTCAGAATCCTTTTATGTATGTTTTCTCTATAATGTCCAGGGTTCTTCATTGTCCTTGGTGAGAGGAACAGGAGAAAGTGTGTGTGCCCCATCTTCCCAGAAGCAGAAGTCTTATGTTATTTTTTAATGTCAATCTAAGAAGAAAAAAAAAATATTTCAAAGTAAGGGCTTAAGTTCAAGCTGAGAATTTCACCTGGAAAGGCCATAAAACTCTCACTCAGGAAGAGCCACAGGCAAACCTACTCCTTGCCCTGGGCCGGCAGATCTTGCTCCTCCATAGCTACTGTCTGTCCAAGGCAGGAGACATTACTGCAGTTGGGAAATCAGGGAAGCAGAGAGGCTAGAGAAGATGTCATGGGGCAATGCAGAAAGGCAGCGGGCTCCTGTGTTCCTGGAGTTCTTTTGAACTGTGTCTGCTCCAGTAGGGTTCTTTCTCCAGGTTACGGAAGTACTCACAGCTTTCTTCCTCATTCAGAGGGCGTCCATCATGGCAGATCCTGATGGCCACCTAGATCCATAGGGTCCACTTGATATTTTAGTAATTCCTAGTCCCTTCAGCTGACATCACTGTATTCCATTTTGTTTTGAGAAAGTTCAATAGATATCCCCTGTATGTCTAGCCCTGGAACCACAAAAAAGAATCATTGCCTTGCAGCCCTTTAGGAAACCCAATCAGGACAGGAGCTGCGGGCAACCTAGACATAGCCCCTTTTATTTTCTGTGATGAGCACTGGGGAGCACGTGGGCTGTCAGACCGGAGTAGCTCAGAGCAGTGGACCCAGGCTGGGGATCAGAAGAGCTACCTCCTTGCCTCCACGCCAACTTCAGAGAACCTTGCCTACTGTCTAAGTAGCCAGCAGCCCATCACCTCACCCTCCGTGGCCTTGCCTTTTCTTTTCTCCTTAGCAGCCCTCACCACCTGAGTCATCTGTGAGATGTATTAGTTTATCTGTGTTTTTGTCCACTTCGGTTTTTTCCCTTGTGAGAATTTCAGCTCCCCAAGGACTGTGAGCTGTACTCTCACTGCCTCCATCAGTGGGAAGCACACAGTAGATATTTGATCAAAAATTTCTCTCCTAATCTTTCATGACACCGTAGGCAAGTCCCCAGACTTGCTGTGATTCAAAAGTCCTGTTCAATCCAACTTTTTTTTTTTTTTTTTTGAGATGGAGTCTCACTCTGTCGCCCAGGCTGGAGTGCAGTGGTGCGATCTTGGCTCACTGCAACCTCCACCTCCTGGGTTCAAACAATTCTCCTGCCTCAGCCTCCACCGTAGCTGGGATTACAGGCATGCACCACCACGCCTAGCTAATTTTTGTATTTTTAATAGAGGCGGGGTTTCACCATGTTGGCCAGGCTGGTCTTGAACACCTGACCTCGGGTGATCTGCCTGCCTCGGTCTCCCAAAGTGCTAGGATTACAGGCGTGAGCCACCATGCCCAGCCCAATCCAACTTTAAAACTTTAATCACACATTCATTATAACATTCATCCCAATTCCTGCTAGAACCAAGCTCTGCCTTGACCATGGCCTGAGGTCCTTGCAGTCTGGAAGAAGGGGGACTTGCTTTTTTTCCTCTTCTCGTCCTCCCCTAGTGCATGTGAGTTTAGGGAGGAGGGGTTAAGGGGAAAGGGCTCTAGGCTTTTTGCCTTGCAGATTGTTCTCTCTGACTCTCCATATCTTCTCCGTTGTGGGCATCCACATGATGTTTCTCTTCAGGGAATAGGTGGGGACTTCTCCACTTCAAAATTATGTGATGGAACCCTCTGCTGCTTCTGCTGCTGTTTAGCCCCTTTGCCCTGTGCCCACCATCCTGGTAAGGTAGAGTGAGGCTGCCTGAGCCCAAACACCTTCCATGGCACCTACTCCTTAAATGTCAGTCAACACTTCCTCAGTCTGACTCCAAATTATTGTTATAACCATCTTGCTTTTCATAACCCCCATACCTCTGCTGAACTGAATAACCTGCCCCCTAAACCCTCCCCAAACCCATCCCCACCTCATCTTTTTCTGCATTTCTCACATGCCTTCCTCCATGTCCACTTGACAGAAATTTCTCCATCACCATCCCGCATTCCTCCCTGTTTCTGCGAGTCTACTTGCAACCTATGCTCCATGGCCTTGGGGAAATGCTGCTTCATCTTCAAGTCTCCCTCTCCCTTCTAGTTCAGTCACTCTTGACCTTGGTGCACACTGGAATCACCTGGGGAGGTCTAAAAATATTGACATCTGAGCCTCGCCTCCAAAAAGACTAATGTAATTGGTCGGGGTGGAATCTGGGTATTGGCATTTGTTTAAAAAGCTGCCCAGGTGATTCTAAAATCCAGTTATGCTGAGACCCACTGGGCTGATGAAATTAACTTGTCTTTTTTTTCTTTTTATCTTGAGACAGGGTCTTGCTCTGTCACCCAGGCTGGAGTGCAATGGCACAATCATAGCTCACTGCAGCCTTGACCTCCCTGGCTCAAGCAATTCTCCTGCCTCAGCCTCCCAAGTAGCTAGGACCACAGGTGCATGCCACCATGCCTGGCTAATTTCTGTTTTGTTTTGTTTTGTTTTGTTTTGTTTTTGCTTTGTTTCATAGAGACAAGGTCTCACTATATTGCCCAGGCTGGTCTTGAACTCCTGTGTTCAAGCAATTCTCCTGCATTGACCTCCCAAATTGCTGGGATTACAGATGTGAGCCACTGTGCTTAGCCTCACTTGTCTTTTTATCAGAGTACTTGTCCCTATCTACTGACCTTTATCCACCATAAGGCTCCAAGCATCTAGGAGAGAAGACAGTGTCAGATTCATTTTTGTAAATCTCACAGCTTACCACAGTGCTCAGTAATTAAATTAAACACAATAATAATAGCTAACCATTACTGAATGCTTCCTCTGTACTGCACATTCTCCTAAGTCCTTTATATGGATTATCCCATTTACTCCCTCAACAACCCTAAAAGGCAGGTGCTACTCATCACCCCACTTTTACAAATGAGCAAATTGCAACCTAGAGTTAGGGAAAGTGCAGTACTGCAGAGGTGTAGATGGCAGAGCAGGGATTGGACCTGGGCAGCTGGCCTCTGCACAGCTTGTATGTAGTCACATTGAGGGTTAGGATTTGGGGAGACACAAACTTTAAGTCCACAATACACAGTGAAAGCATAACTTCAGAGCCCATGCTAATGCTGTGTGGCCTCTGCACAGCTTGTATGTAATGTAACTACCCCCACATAGTTACTGAGTGAGGATGAATTCATGAATGGTGCTCCTGGGCAACACCTTACTTAGGCCTGTGGGGAATTTCTCAGTCTAGATTTATGTCTTGTGCCACTTTCATAATGACTCATCTTCAAGACACCTGTTCAGTTATTCATGTAATAGCTTTATTTAAAGTTTACTTTATATTGAACTTCACCTACACAAAAATATCCATAATATGAAAAGGTTGATGCTGGACATATTTTTCTAGTGCACATTGTCTTAGTTCAGGCTGCTATCAAAGTACCATAGACTGGATGGCTTATAAACAACAGAAATTGATATCTCACAGTTTTGGAGGCTATAAGTCTGAAATCAAGATGCCAGCATGGTTGGGTTCTTGTGAGGACCCTCTTCTGGGTTGCAGATGGCCAGCTTCTCATTGCACCCTGGAATGATGGAAAGAGGACTAGAACGCTCGCTGGGGTCTCTTTTATAAGAGCACTAATCCTATTCATGGGGGCTCCACCCCATGACCTAGTCATCTCCCCAAGGCCCCACCTCCTAATACCATCACATCAGAAGTTAGGATTTGAACACATGAATTTTGGGGAGACACAAACTTTCAGTCCACAATACACATTAAAAGAATAACTGTGTGTGTGCGCGGACATACCACCTAAAATAAAATCGCCTTCCTCATACGTATATCAACACTCATCTGCTATAAATAGAATTTGCAGCCATCCTTCTAATCAACCAGCTTAACCGCTTGGATCCCAGTTATACCTCAGAGTTAGTTTTTAAAAGTTCAACTCATATTAGAACCTGTTTTTAAAAAGTACATCTCTTCCAAAGCAAAACACTTTTCTCCCAGAATTAACCAGAAAACCTAACAAGACTATTAAGACCATGGCTTTTATTTGCTTTTAGTTTTATGAAGCTTCAGCTGCTCATGAGGCATTTCACAAGAAATATGCTTCCATTTAGAAAGAGTCCTGGGGCTGATTGAAACCCTTGTAGAATATGTGTATTATTGTTACTTTTAAAATACTCACCAAAATGTGCTTTTTGTATTTTTGCAGCCATTTCACAAAAGCCCCATTTTTAATGCAAACTATTCCAACCTGGCCTTTGGTGTTAGGCTGGTCTAAGTGCATAATCTAAGTACCAACTGAGTGCTGAGAACTGTGGTATAGAAATTCAGAGAAGGGGACAGAGTCCATGGGTGGCCTGACCCAGAAAAACGTCGGTGGGAGAGGGAGACTTGATTCCAATCGTGAAGAATAGATTTCAAAAGGGAAGACAGAAGCTGGAGAGCACAGTGTACAAAGGCATAGAAAAAAGAATTTACTCCATATCCTTTCATCCTTTAACAAATGTTTCTCCTGAATCTACTCTGTGTCAGGAACTTTGCAAATTGTATGGCATTTTCATTGCTTTTTTTTTTTTTTTTTTTTGTCTGTTTGGCTAACATTTATTGGACACTTCTATACTAGGCATTATGCTAAGGAATTTACATGCATTATTTCTTATGGAAACTCACAACGAATTATACCAGGCAAGGTTTATTATTAATCTTGTGTTCCATGAGACGACCTTGTCTCAGAGAGGCTAAGACCCCAGCTGGGGTTCCTCAACCTGTGAGTGGAGCTGGGAGGTGAATATGGAGTCTTTGTCAGGCACTGGAACTTTTATCAACCACTTGATCTTGTTGTGAATGAGACACACGCAGTGCCTGTCCTCAAATGCCCAGTTGAGCAGGTGATACTGGCAATTAATCAATTATGATTCAGTATGATGGGTACTGATGAGAGGGGAATTAGGAAAACAAATAGCAGTAAGAGATAATGAGCTTCAATTCTTGTTTGCAAAATTACTCAATTGAATATCAGTCTATGGGAAAGAAAGAGAGATTGATCATTGACATTCATTCTTCCCTTCATTTATTCATTTATAAATAATGTTCATAATCATTATCACTAATTAATATAAAAAGATCTGCTACACCCCTAGAACAAGATTTATTATTAATTTTGGTGACAAAGTTCATATTTCAAATACACTTATTAATTTCAAATTTAGGGAGCTCACTTCTTTTCAGACCTGATTTGATCCTCATTGCTGTTCACATGATAATGTAGCTCAAGATTCATGCATCACCAAAAACGAACTCACCTGTAGCCAGCTACAGGAAGTCAACACTCTCTACTATTAACAGAGTAGAAGCTTTCAGCTAAGGGAGAGTTACAGGAACTGGCTTTGCCCTCTTGCCTAAAACAGATGAAAACTTGGACAAAAAAACCAAACAACAATTTTTAAGACTGTTTTAAGATATCAGGCAACAAGGATAGGTGTTCTCTGAGAGACGGGACATAAGAGATAATCCCTGTGTCTGCTCCTACCTACTGCCTTGAGAGGGTTTCCAGCCCATAGCCTAGGGGGGAGGAACTGAGGCAGAGCCCAGCAGGCTCCCTGAGCCCAAGGTGGCCAGAGTTCATAGACAAAGCATCAGAGGAGAGAGAGAGATACACAGAGAGCAAACTCCAAGGGTCTGTCAAAGGTCCTCACATAGTATGAGGCAGAGAGCTGACCAATATGTTCATATGAGGAAACTAGCAAAGACTGAAGGGGGAAAAAAAAAAAACCAACCACCAGAAAGGCATTTACACAGGGCCAGAGAGAGTGCCTTCTCTCACCAGCCAGACTAGAAAACCTCATTATTAATAAGGCACTGGGTAGAGTAGTCACAGGGTCTTTCCTCATTAGCGAGAAAATATTAGCTTCCTAGACTAGACACGATTTTGGTCCTACCTAATGTAACTGCCAATGGGTTATTTTTGCCCGCTGCCCAGACAGAGCCAATTTATCAAGACAGGGGAATGGCAATAGAGAAAGAGTTTACTACACATAGAGCCAATTAAATGTGAGATTAGAACTTTTTTATTACTCAAATCAGCTTCCCCCCAAAATTCAGAGGCTAGAGTTTTTTAAGGTCAGTTTGGTGGGCAGATTGCTAAGGCGTGGAGAATGCTGATTAGTTGATTGGGGGCAGAATCATAGGACATCAGAGATGTCCTCTTGTACTGAGTCAGTTCTTGGGTGGGGGCCGCAAGTCCAGATGAGCCAGACCAGAATGCAGGGTCTGAAAAATATCTCAAACACCAATATTAGGTTTTACAGCAGTAATGTTATCCATAAGAACAACTGGGGAGGTGAAGAATCTTGTGGCCTCTGGCTGTATGACTCCTGAGCCATAATTTCTAATGTTGTGTCTAATTTGCTAGTTTTACAAAGGTGGACTGGTCCCCAAGAATAAAGGGGGCTTGTTTGGGGAAGGGACTGTTATTATCTTTGTTTCAAAGTTAAACTATAACTAAATTCCTCCCGAAGTTAGTGTGGCCTACCCCCAGGAATGAACAAGGGCAGCTTGGAAGTTAAAGGCAAGATGGTGTTGGTTAGGTCAGATCTCTTTCACAGTCATAATTTTTTCACTCATAATTTTTGCAAAGTCAGTTTCACGAACAAATCTTAAAAGCCAGAACTAAAAGGATCAAACTGATTTTAAGTATCTTAACTACCTCCAAAAACAAAGTTCAAAAATATTTATAGGAACAAAAAATATCCAGCCACCCAAACAGGTAAGATTCACAATGTCTGACATGCAAACAAAAATTACCAGGGAAGCAAAGAAGCAGGAAAATGTAACTCATGATGTGAAGAGAAATCAACCAAAACCTACCCAGAACTGACACAGGTGTTAGAATTGGCAAAAAAATAAAAAGGATTAGCATAAATGTGTCTCATATGTTTGGAAAGTTAAGTAGAGACATAGAAGATATATTTTTAAAATCCAAATCAAATTTCTAGAGATAAAAACTACAGTGTGTGAGGTAAAAAATACACTGGATGACATTAACAACAGATTAGACAATGCAGAAAAAAAAATTGTGAATTTAAATACACAGCAATAGAAACTATCCAAAAGGAACCACAGGGCAGTGGGTGAAAAGGAAGAGGGCTTTTTCAAAAAGAAGGAAGAAAGGAACATTAATGAGCTACAGGATAACTTCAAGTAGGCTAGTAGGCAGGTAATTGGAGTCCATGAAAGGAGAGAAAAGGAGAGAAGAAAAAATATTTGAAATCATAATGGCTAAAAATTGATGACTGATACTCTCACTTGGATTAAATCATTTGTTCATTCATTCACTAGTAATTTTTGAGATTGTACCATGTGCACAAGTCTGGGTGCTGGGGAAACATAAGGGAGAAAAAGAACCTTCATTGGTTTCTATTCCAGTGAAGGGAGAGGAACAAAACACAAAATGACAAGTGAGAGTTTTAATATAATTCTCAGTCTTGCCACTGAGAGCCAGATAACTCTTTGTCCTGGGCATTGCAGGAATTTTAGCAGCATGCCTGGCATCTATCCTCCAGATACCAGTGGTAAATCACTAACCCGCTACTCGTGACAATCAAAAAAATGTCTCCAGACATTACCAGATGTCCTTAGGGGGAAGAGGAGCCAGTAATATATTAGAAGTGAAATCTACTAGGAGAAAAATAAAGCAATTAGCAGCATCAGATATGCCGGGATATATTATAGCAACTTAAAGTAGAGTGGTAAAGAAAGACCTCGATGAAAACGTGGCCATTGGCTCAGGCGCAGTGGCTCATGCCTGTAATCCTAGCACTTTGGGAGGCCGAGGTGAGGGGATTACCTGAGGTCAGGAGTTCAAGACCAGCCTGGCCAACACGGTGAAACCCCATCTCTACTGAAAATACAAAAATTAGACAGGCATGGTGGCACACACTGTAATCCCAGCTACTTGGGAGGCTGAGGCAGGAAAATGGCTTGAGCCAGGGAGACAGAGGTTGCAGTGAGTCAAGATCATGCCACTGCACTCCAGCCTGGGTGACAGAGTGAGACTCTGTCTCAAAAAAAAAGAAAAAAGTGACAATTGAAAAAGACTTGAAAGAAGTAAGGTCACATGCTCCTGGCAGGCAGAAGCTCAGCCCAGATGCAAAGGTCCTGAGGCAACAGCCTACTTGACATGTTCAAAGAAGAGCAAGCAGGTCACTGGGGTTACAAAAGAGTGACCCAGGGGGAAAATAAAACAAAAAAAAACGGGCAGGAAAGCAATGAGAATGGAATGGAAGAGGGGCACTTCTCCAGGAATGAGCAGGAGGGTCCTGTTGTCACAAGGAGTGAGGAATGCTACTTAGGCAAAAACAAATTAATGCTTACGCTTGCCAACTGTGGCCTTGGACATGATGTTTAAACCTCTTTGGGCCTCAGTTTTCTCATCTGTAATTTGCCTTGCACAATCTTGGCAAAGATTAGATAAGATAGATTTGTGAAGGCACCTCGTAACTGTAAAGCTATACAAGCATAAACAAGCATTGTTTAAGACGTAAGGATGACATGGTTTAAACAAGTTATAAGTGCAGTACTTTTTGGGAGAGTTAAGTTATGAAGGGTTTTTACTGGTGGAATTTATGGATGTAGTCTATATTTATATACACTCCCTATGAGGATCTTGGTTTTCCACCACCTGGATTTAATTTATATGATGTTACATTTTACTGCACACACTATATAAGTTTAGCAAAGTTGACACTCATAGCCAAATAATCTATAGAATTTTAAGATGTTCAGTTCTGACAGGCCTGACTTATAATCCCCATATTGGCCTCTCTCAAGCTGTGTGACCTTAGACAAGTAACCTAAACTCTCTGAGCCTCATTTCATTGTTTGAAACTGTTAATTGTAATATTTGTCTCAGAAGATTGTTGTAAAGATTAAGTGACATATGTTTAATGCATTTATTTGTATAGTGGTTTGCATGCTGTAAATGTAAAATATTTGACGTATTGGCATTGTATATTATTCTATAATAAATAATAATATATTAAGATTAAGCGACCTTGTTCAAATTATACTAGCTTAGGAAAGAGAAAGCACTGGTGTACATGTAATGCTTAATAAGTAGTTGACGTAATTTGCACATCTGTCCTTACCTAAATCTCATGTTGAATTGTAATCCCCTATGCTGGAGGTTTGGCCTGGTGAAAGATCACAGGGGTGGATCCATCATGAATGGCTTGGGCCATCTCCTTGGTGGTAACTGAGCTCTTGCTCTATGTTCACACATGATATGGTCATTTGCAAGTTTGTCCCACCACCCCCTCCACTCTTTCTCTCTTGCTCCTGCTCTGACCATGTGCTGTGCCTGCTCCCACTTCTCCTTCCGCCATGATTGTAAGCTTCCTGAGGCCTCCCAGAAGCCAAGCAGATGCCAGTCCCATGCTTCCTGTAAAGGCTGCAGAACTGTGAGCCAATGAAACCTCTTTTCTTTATAAATTACCCAGAATCAGGTATGTCTTTATAACAACGCAAAAAATGGCCCAATACAATCGTCCATTAAAATGAGTTGAATTGTATCTCAGTGGTTGGGATAGTCAACCCATATCAATTTATACTGCTTGTCCAGACACTGCCAACCCCAGAGGAGAAAGTATAAAATCCAGGAGTCTAAATGCAGTGCCACCATATCCCACTCTCCACTACTGAGAGAAGGGGTCAAAATAGAAATACCAAGTCTTCTGTGGGCTTCTGCCACCTCACACACTGCGAATTGTTAGAAATCGCTTTTGAGGAAACAGAAGTGTCTCCTTTCATTCTCCTCTAAGTAAGGGAACTGGCAGCATGGGGGCAGGGAGATGGTGTGGAGAAGGCGGAACCCACAGCCCTGGGATGAAAGGAAGGACTACACGGGGATGAAAGGGAGGGCGAAGAGTGAAGACGATGCTCAACCAGCAGGTGAGAGTCGAGTCCGCCTCCCTCACTCCACCCACCTCCAGACCAAGCTCCCCACTGCCAGGCCACAACCACATGCACCAACCTGCCCAGCCCGGATACGTTTTAGGTCTCACTTGTCACAACCTCCGGTGCACCAAACAGCTTCTCAGATGCACCGATGTACCTGCAGGACCTCTCTGTTGAAACCTTCTCATTTTTTGCAAGAATATTCATCAAGTTTATATAATTTGCATACCTCTTGACCCAAAAATTTCATTTTTGATAATTTACCCAAAGAAAATATAGATACATGAGTATTTAAAAATAAAAGTGTGAGATGATCACTTTACTACTGCTTATAATACTCTAGATGTACAACTATACACACTGTGAATGTCCATCAATAAGGATATTAGACAATAAACAATGTTATAACCAAGCAATGGAATAAATGTCACCTGAGTCGTAAAGAATGAGGCAGGTTTAGCTGTGTTGCAATGGGAAGTTTCTGTACTACTTTGTCACATGAGAATTTATGCTGGTACAGATAGCACTATTCTATGTTTGTAAAATTTTCATAAATGATACATATTTATTGAATGCCTTCTGTGGGCCTCGCTGTCCTTGGTACTTGAGAAAAGCACTGAGTGAAGTAGATATTATCCCTGTCTTTGTCGAGTTTGTAGTCTAATGGGAGTATGAGGAAAAGCACAAAGACTGAGAAGTAAACAGAACTGCTGACACAGCAAAGATTTTTAAAAGGGCAAGGGACTCTGGTGGAGACGACAGTGGTGGGAGGACAGCCTTAGATGAATGTTTAGGGACAATCTCTCCAAAGAGATGACACTTATGACCTTAAGGATGGATGGAAATTACCTACGGGCAGACAGAGGAGCAGAATGTTTCAAACAGAGAGCCAGAAGTTTGGAAATAACCTGTGGTATGTTTGAAAAACTCAAAGAAAGTGGGCCAGAAAATGGAATGAAGGAGCACGTGGTACAGAGAGGATGGAGATTTAGGCAGGGGCAGACCATGTTAGACGTTGGAGATCCTGCATCAGAGTTTGGGCTTGACTCCAAGAGCTGTCAGAAGCTACTGGAGGGTGGTAAGGAGTGGGAAGATGGGATCTGTTGAGTAAAGAATGTATTGTGAGGGTCAAGAGCCCAACCAGAGACAAGGCCAGGGCTGTTGCAGTCAGAAGGTGGAGAGGCAGTAGCTTCCTGTCCTGGGGTCGTGAGAGGTGAGATGGTGAAAGGAAGGCAGATTCAGAACGCATCCTACCCTCCTGAGGAGGTCGGGGAGAAAATCAGTTCCCCTATCACACCCCTTGCACAGATGAACCTCATATCTCAAAAGCAAAATAGTTATTTTTAAACACCAGTACTTTTTCTTTTTCTTTTTCTTTTTTTTTTTTTTTTTTTTTAGTTGATATAATCCAACTCTGTGGAAATTGTGGGAAACGCCATCTCTGGGGATAATGTACACATCATAGATAAGGAGACTATAAAGATGGAAAATATCGATACCTTACACAACTTCTTTGCAGAATTGGAAGAAAAGGGTTTTTGTTTGAAATGCAACGTGCACTGCTGTGTTTGTTACCCTTTGGCTCCAAACAATGTCCC
This sequence comes from Homo sapiens, assembly GCF_000001405.40. Lineage (NCBI taxonomy): Eukaryota > Metazoa > Chordata > Mammalia > Primates > Hominidae > Homo > Homo sapiens. Next base: position 53,996,259 of record NC_000020.11, on the reverse strand, counting down.
TCCAACCAACAGCAAATGCTGAATATGTTAGAAAGAGGGGGAGGGAAGGAAGAGTGACTCTTATAATCTCATGATTGTTCTGCACGCCTGTGGGCAGAAGAAGTATGGCTGGAATTAGGGGGTAAGAGAGAAAGGGGTGTGAAGCAAAAGTATGACTTTGAGAGTTCACATTCAGCAAGTGGCAACTGTGACAACTGTTTTGCCCCTAGGACATAGTTGACGGCAAGGAAAAAGAAGGACAAGAACTTGGAACTGCGGATTGCTCTGTCCCTGGGGACCCAGAAGGACTGGAGACTGCAAAGGACGATTCCCAGGCAGCAGCTATAGCAGAGAATAATAATTCCATCATGAGTTTCTTTAAAACTCTGGTAAGCAGTTTTCTCCTCTTTTCCCCTCCACTCTATTGCTCAAAAGTTTTGTTAATTCTAAGAATAATGCACATTTGAATGTTATTGTACTAAATGAATTATCATGGTGCTGTTGGAGCATGGGAGAGAACAGGGACAAGATATGCTTCATAAGAAAGTTGTGTTATATCAGACTTTTAGCAAGAGAGCCCCTGAAGCTCGGAACCATGGTATAAGCAGTGGATGCCCAAATCATGTAACATGGGCTGTGTTGTAATGGAATTCTATTGCAATTGAATGTCTTATGTTCATTGATCATAAAAATAATTGAAAAATATCTCCCTGTGTTGTGGACATCTCAAAGCAGTTTTGCCACTCAAGTGGCAAATAAAATACTGTAGAAATCATTCAAAAAAAAAAAAACCTGAATGAATGAATGCATAGTGAAGCAGACTGTCCCAAATGTGTTTGGGCTATTTTCAAATATCAAGACTAACCTCAAAAGAAAAAACAATAAATGTCAACAGAATGTGCCACAAACACCAGAGGGTTGCACATGTGTTTGGAGTAATGGTAAAATTTATTGGAAGTCTGTGGTCTTCCAGGAGACAATTTTGAATGTGGTCAAACTCTTGGTAAATGTATAAGATCAGATGTATCTCATTATAAGATATTAATTTTGTTAACTTTTGTATTACCCGGCGGTCCTGAGATTTCTATTGAACTAAAAATACTTCTCATTTTATTCTTGACCTGTATGGTGAACTGGACCACCCTAAAGAGTTATTTATCTATGAAATAAAAATCACTCTAAAGAGCAATGATTTCTAATATTTGGCTTTCTCAAACTTTTAAGGTTTCACCTAACAAAGCTGAAACAAAAAAGGACCCAGAAGACACGGTAGGTAGTTGGAAGTGTGTATGTATATATTTGGGTTTGCGCATAGAATTGGATTTGGATTTGTGTCTGCCTGCTTGTTTTTTGAATACATATATGTGTGTGTGTGTGTGTGTGTGTGTGTGTATCATATCTATATATAATTAGCAATTTAATAGTGCTGTTAGGTTGTCATTAAAATATTTTATTTACATTAACAGTAGTTAAATTAAAATTTTACTGGAAAGCTTGAAAGACGTGCCAACTCTGGCTAAATAATATCACAATACCAATTTCTTATATAGCATAAGAACAGAATACTAATAATTATATCATCATCTTAGTCTTTTTAGTTGTGCGTAGAGGGACCCAGGGAATATAGTAAAAAACAGTCCATGTAAAGTAGAAGAAAGCTTTTCAGTAGGACGTGGACTCTAAAAAAATAAAGTAGAAGAAAGCTGCTATATTTTTGTTTTCTAAAAAATATGTTATTTTTCAATGTAATTTGAAAACTAAATAAATCTTTACTGCAAAGGCAGTGGTTTGGTGAAATAGAATAGTTTCCCTGGGGCACCTGCCAAACGGATGGCCATGCAGAGGCGTTAGGACACGCTAGAGAGCCTAGGTTCTTCACTGTCATCCAAGAATTCAGCCCACTCTCCTCAAAATAAACTTGGTTTGAAATACCATCTTCCTAGAGATGTTCTCCCTTTACACTGGACAAGGCTCGTTACCTCTAGTGGAATACACGGTTTAAGTTTCACGGGAACCATGAAGGAAGTTTAACTTGGTGACAGATAAGTGTCTTGGGTCCTTCTTCTGATATCGGAAAGTGCTTTGAAAAACAGTGGGATCAGATACATGGCTTGGTTTGCCCCCTACATCTGCTACCCACATGTGAAGGAGCTGGCTGTGAAAAGAGGATCCTAGATTTTGTCTCAAAAGACCTGCATTTCAGCTCCAGTTCTGCTACTTGATAGTGGTACAATCTTAATCTGTCTGAACCCAAGTCTTCATGTCTATAAAATTGGGACAAAAAAATTCTTTGTCCTGGACCCCAAGGTTGAATGAAGGTGTGGCATTGTTTTGCAAACTGTAGAGCTCTGATTAAATGTAGCGATCCCTATTTCAATGATCACAGCCAAGATTGGTTGAATGACATGACTACATTTGTATTGTATTTCTTGGTTTCCTCGAGAATTTTCTTCTTCCATTGGAAAAAAATATGTATCTGAAGCATCTACATGCATTTTCCTATAAAGTTATTCATTTGCTCCGAGGTCATAGGGTCAAGTTCAATGAATGGTTGGGGCAAAACGTATTTCTTTTGGTTCTATGTCTTGCGTTGTTTGAAGCCACATAGCGTAAAAGGCTCTAAACAGTGGAGTATGGGAATGTGTGTGTGGCTTCCCAAGTGACCTGATGCACTCATTCTCTTTAGCTGGTCATGGACCAAGACTCCTCCCTGACCCAGAATGTGGTCAAAACTGAACGTACCCAGCTGATAAAATCTCACCGTCCTGCCCAGGAAGCTGTGGGGTCACATTAGTGGAGCTGGGTCTCAAAAGCGGGTTTTGTGAATGTAGGTTGTCCATGACACCCACAAACAGATGTGTTTTCTACAAACCTGGTTCTCATACCTTGCAATTTTGATATCTTTTCTACTGAAGTTCTTGGATTCATGCTTTTGAAGTCTGTATTGTTTTCAGCCCACTACCTTCCCTACACGAAAGTCCCTGACATTTGTAACTTGAGCCAACAATCTTGAGTGGTTGTAGCCAGGCTATTTCGGTTTCGATCTCCCTCTACTTTGCCTCAGTGGATTGGTTCACACTACACATTTTCTCTGCCTGGCGGGGGTCTACCCATCTAGAAGTGAATTGAAATTTTTGCAGGTGATATTGCTTCCATAAAGTTTCTAATAGTGAATCAAAGGAGATCGATTTGAGACTAAAAGACATTCAGCAGCAGTCTTTGCTTTGACTCCAGGATGAAAAAGAAATATTTTGTCTGCAGGTATTTTTTACTTTACCATGTAGCAATAGCATTTAGATATCTACAACTATCAAGTAGAGACTGCATTATCTTCTCCTGTTATTTGTCTTCAGCAAATGGAGATACAGAGTTTTGTTTTGTTCTGTCTTGCTTTGAGGTGTGTTCATCTGGGTCATTTAAATAGGTCACTGTTGAAAATCACTGTATATCTAAAATTGTGAATATGGAAGTTTAAAAAAGATAAACATTTACAGGGTGTTTTGTGGTTAGAAGAGGGGATGGTGTACCAACAGTTAATTGTCACAGCGTATTAATGCACTTTAAAACAACAGAAAACAAAAAGAATTTTGTTCAAAAACAAAGTTCTGAGGTTGTGACTGCTGTTGCCCCAAAGGCATCGAAAGCAGAAAGTGTCTGTGATGGACAAGCTGGTCAGAAGACATCCGAGATCCAGGCTAGAGGCACCAAGAAAAAGCACCTGGATAGCCCCAGGCTAGGACTCGCCTTTAGAAAATTCTTTAGGCATAAGGTCTGTATCTTATTAAAGTAGGAGGAAAAACAAGAACTCTGGTCTTCACAAGACATGTGCCATCCTGAGCCCACCCAGCTCCTCTCCAGTAAAAACAGAGCCTTGGGTGGTGGGGATCATTAAAAGAGAATTAAAGATGATATGAATTAAACTTCAGTGATTTTTAAGTCCCCATAGTCATAAACATTTCAAACAGGTGTCTTCCTAGTGCGGACCAGGGTTCTGGAACTATTCTTCTAACCCAGTATTTCCCAAATGTCAATAACTTGTGTACCACCTTCACCATTTTTGTTAGATGTACTATTATTTGATATTTTTACATTGAAATTGACCTATTTTCTATTTAAATTGTATCTTTAAAAGAAACTTTATATCATATATAGAAAATCAGAATAATTTTTCCTAAGAGGAAGGTAAGCATTAATTTGGCTAATTAAAAAGACATTACATTCTAGCTACCTCATTTGTATTAAGCTCTGAATCTGATGCTCTTTCTAGCTTTATTAAAAGGTGATTAATTGGCCAATGGTAGAAAAATGTTAAAGATGTACCATCACCAGACTGAGACTTTCTCCAGAATGTTAGTAGAAGGATTAAATGAGAGTTGGAAAAGGAGAAGTGGTTTCACTATTTGAATACTATGTAATATCATATTTCTGCACAATCTATAATCTTCTCTGATCCACCAATGGTATGCTTCCTACATTTTGGGAAATACTCTTCTAACCTCAAGTAATAATGTTATCTTTCTGTGGTCTGTTTCATCTATTTCCAATATTAACTAAGCTTACACTGAACCCAAATAAAAGTCCAGGCGGAAAAAAGCAATGAATGAAGGCAGAGCATGTTTCAGCTCCATGTCCTTGGGAAGTTAGGACAACACTGAAGTCAGTTTGGGAAATATTATGCTTCCAATGTCTAAGAAGACGCCAGTGTTTGTCTGAAACCATCAGTTTAAAGGATCCCTGAATTGGGTTAGCATGCTTGAAAATTTGTTTAAAATATCAGCCATTTTCCACCAAGTCAAAAGCCTGTATTAAAAAAACTTCCCTACCTGGATGTCACAGTCCCGGGATTGTATATGCAAATAAGCACTCCATAGAAAGTTCTCACAGCTGAATCTGTATTTGCGTAAGCAGACTATGTTATGAAGCCACCTTTCAATTTCCATACAGGATAATTTTGTTCTGTGAAGAGAAAAGAATGGGGAATGATAAATATTGCAACGGGGGAGGGAAGATTAAAATGTGCTCCAACATCACATAACTTAGTAACTGCTGGGAAATAACTTAGTAACTGCTGGTGAAACGCGTCATAGATCTCATAGGAAAGAATCTAGTTTAACTCCCACTTGGAGCTTTTGTAAGTAAGGGGCCTTGAAAGTTTAAGAAGTGTATGATGTTTCCCCAGATCTGCCTTTCATTATGACATTCACTTCATGCACTACAAAATTTTACGTCTGCAGTATCTCTTGCCACCAATAAAGGGACCACCCAAGTTCAATGTTATCATTCCTAGGGCTTCCCAAAAACTGTTGGCCTCCCATCTTGTCACTGAGGTAGATGGGGAAAAGACAGGATTCTGGAAGAGTGGGAAGAGGCCGCGGGAACAGCCTTCTGGAATTCTGTAACACAGACACAAGGACTTCAGGGTTTTGCCTTGAGTGGCATTCAGTGTATTTTTTTATGTAAGTGTAAATCAAAGTAAGGGACACCTCCCAAATGTTCTGAATTCTTATTTACGCAGCAGTTTGTTAGAGCTCATTGGCTTTTACCTCTGCACCTGAGATAGTTCATTTCTTTTTCTCTTTTGATTATTTCTGTTGTCTCTAAAGATAGGAAAGTAGGGCCTTTAAATAACCAGCCAGATTCTCTCAGTGACATTATCATGATTTTAGGAGGTGTGATACTCTCCATTTCCCCATGGGTTTGTCACCTGGAAAAGAAAACGAGAAATTCAAGCAAATTGAAGGATAAAACTATTTTGCTATTAAAAAAAAAGTTACCAATTCTGGTTAATTCTGGGGCTTTATTTCTCTACATCTCTATGATCCTTCTTATAAAAAGAATTTTCTCAGTTCAAAAAGTAGGGAAGTCTGAAATCAGTAAGTGAAATACATTTAGTGTCAGCTTTTGCTGAATTGGAACCATTTTTCTCGGCCTAATGGCATGTGATGTCTCAGAATCAAACTTTTTCATGTGGCCACCACTGTTTGGTGACAACTTTAGACACAAAACAGAGCATTCCTTTAGAATGCCTTTGCCATGCCCCAAAATGCTCCCCTCTCTCCTCAGGTTTCCCCAGTGCCCACCCTTTCTGTAAGGCAGCTGAAGTATTAGCAAGCAGCATGCATGATTTATAAGCTCTACCATTCATTCATTGTTTTTGGTTCTTGGTGTAGTGTTTACATCTTACTAACATCTCCTCTCTCCCACACCCAATGTGAAAACAAGACGAAAATTTATTAAGAAGGTAAGGTCATTTGACATACAATCTCCAAATTGAATCCACTAGAATTTCATGGGCAGGGCCACCAGGTAAAATATACAGGACTCAGTTAAATTCAAATTTTTGATAAACAAGAAATAACTTTTTAATTTAAATATAAGTATGTCCCATGCAATATTTGGGACATGCTTATGCTAGAAAATTATTCTTTGCTGATCTTAAATTAATATTTAATGGAATATCTCATATTCTTATTCTCATGTGCTAAATCTGGCAACCCTATTCATGAGATTGCCTCTGAAAACACAATTAAAATTTTTGTAGTCTCCTCTGTAACGCAAACAAAGAATATCCAGTTGGTTGATGCTGGCAGAACTCCATCTGGGGGACTTCTTTGGGAAGGCAGGAGAGTGGTGGGCAGGAATGAAAAGACTAATGGTGTTCTGACTGGTATTCTACAACCCAGTGAGCAGGGGTGGGTGGCTGGAAATATGGCATGACAGGATCTTGTGTGGGTGTCTGTCTCTGGTCCCTGTCATAGACTGTAATTATTAATTGAATGACTGATTGTCTATTTTGTGCCAGAAGCTAGGCCTGATGGGAATTGGGGACGTAATCATGACCAAGACTTTCTTGGTCTTAGGATATGATGATGACCAAGACTCTAGCAAAAGAGATACATATTCAACAAACAACTACACAAATAAATTAGAATTATATAGTTACTATAACTGTAGTAGGGTCATGCCCTTGTAATGTTTTTGAAGGGTTTCTGGATATCCTCCCAATGCAAAGAGAAAAAAAAATTGGTCACTTCCCTATGAAACTGATCAGTATAGATGTGTTTCCCAATCTTTATCTCAGTATCAGCCCTCACCATGATACTTTTTTAGACTATTTTTTGCCCTAATCACCCTTCCCTCCACGAAATTTTAATGTAACAAATATTCTTTATACCTGTTAATGCACTGTAATTCTTTAGGGGAGACACAGACCATGTTAATATCTAATTTGGCATAACCCTTCTCCCAAGAACAAATGCAATATTATTTTTTGTTGTATATTGCCCTTGTTGAGAACGGTGGTATAGATTTCCCTCACTGATGGGTGGAATAGCCCAGGGAGCAGGAAACCTTGATTCATTGGAAACAGTGTAGTATGGAGTCACTATTAATGCTTGGGTTTGGGGATCAGACTCCCTGGATTCAGCTGTCAGCTCTGCCCCCTCATTAGTGTAACTGTGGGCAAGTTACTTAGCCACCAAGCAACTAAATTTCCCTGTCTGTGAAATTGGCATAAAAATTAGTGTCTTCCTGTAAGTTGTAGCATTTGATAGTACCATTGGGAAATTACAGCTAACAGTAATTTATTGGATATTTCAAAACAGCTAGAAGAGAAAAATTGTAAGCTTCCAACACAAAGAAAGGATAAGAGTTTGAGGTGATGGAAATTCCAGTTACCCTGGTTTAATCATTGCACTTTGTATACAGGCATCAAAATATCACATGGACCCCCCGAAAATATGTAAAACTATGATTCATCAATTTTAAAATACAAAAAATAATCGTTCGTCATAGGACTTTTGTCAGGACATTCAGGTGCTTAAAACAGTGTCTGTCACTGTTACCTTTTATTCTTGTCATCAAATAAAAGTTTAAAGTTGGAAATTATGTCTTCAAGATGCAACAGTGGTCCAGGGAGACTAAGCAGAGAGAGAAAGGGTGGTGGCTGAGCGGTGAAAACGGCCAAGTATGTAATGCATTAGGTAAACTGGAGCTGTCCCAGGTAAATTCTGGCACTCCAGGACCTGGGGACCTTGTTTTTTGTAACCTCTATGTGACTCTGAGTAAGTGGGCTAAATGCACATCAAAGGGAACCCTTGAGCCAGAAAAATAACACAGCATTTAGAAAAGGTACAAAGCCAAGCCACAGAAGTTACACCAAAATAGCGTGGGGCCATGGAGCCGCCCTTCTAATGACTTCGGCAGATTGATGATTGGCTTAAAGCAACCAGAGCCCTTTCTTAGAGATGGGGATGAGGTCAGCCCCAACCCCTGGATTCTTGGTCTAAAATGGACCACTGGGCAAATGGAGATTCTCCCAGGAAAGCAGAAGGAGAGGTTGTTGTTGAAGTAGCCACGCTTGGCCACTCTTTGCTCCGATACTTGCCGAAGGACCTTAGGGCAGTTGTTCCCTGTGCGTGGAAAACTCTCTTCTTCCCTTCTCTGGTTAATTTTCAGTCACCCTTCAGATCAAAGCACAACCATCCTTTTCTCAGTGAAGTCTTCCCTGATTTTCATGAGTGGATCAAACTCCTTGATTTAGCTTTTTATGGGATTGAGAGGAATAGCCTCAAATCGCCTCCCCACTCAGTAGCACTTATTACAGTTGAAATTTTACATTTATTTGTGGAATTATTTACTGTCATCCTCTCCTTGAGGACATGTAACCCCAGCACTTAGTACATATCATGGCTCATAGAGGACACTCAAAGTGGATTTTAAATGAATTATTGAATAATACTTTCTCTTATTTTCTGAAAAAGAAAACAAGCTACTTAGCATGTGTGTGTTAGGAGGAGGGGTACTTACCCTTTAACCAGTCCCCTTTAATTTAATTACCGTTTAGAGCTAAAATAGCACCAGGTACTCAAGAGCGTTTGGGACGTTTGTAATGCAGAATCTTATGAGCTCAGCCATTTTGACTTCACTGTCTATAAAATGCAAAGGTTATTGTAAATTCCAACATTTTGCCATTTTGTATACTTTTAAATGGAACTGGAGCTATTCCAGTATCAACTATCACAAAATTCATTTCCAGACGTCAGTTCTTTATCTTAACTTGAACTTAGAATCTGCTCAATGGATGACTCCTTCTTAGTATTAAAAATTTCAGCAAAGAAGATGTTGTGTCTTGCATCAAATAGTAAAATTCATGTTATTTGCAAACATCCTTTGGAGAAGCAATATGCTGCCTGGGAAGAGCTCTAGAAAGGAGCCAGAAGTTCAGACTTGAGGCCAGGTTGTGCCCTTGTTCAGCGTTGGGCAGATCATTGGCCTCAGTTTCCCCATCCATGAAAATTCATGCATTGGATCAGATGGGCTTTAAGACTCTTTCCAGGATCAAAAAATACTGTCAAACTTTCTGAATTTGTCCATATTCTATATTTTTTTTGAGATGGTGTCTTGTTCTGTTGCCTAGGCTGGAGTACAGTGGCACGATCATGGCTCACTGCAGCCTCCTGGACTCAAGCAATCCTCCTGCCTCAGCCTCCAAGTAGCTGGGACCACAGGTGCAAGCCACCATGCCCAGCTAATTTTTTATTATTTGTAGAGATAGGGTTTCACCATGTTGCCCAGGCTGGTCTTGAACTCCCGACCTCAAGAAATCTTCCCACGTCGGCCTCCCAAAATGCTGGGATTACAAGTGTTGGGCCACCACACCCGGCCCATACCCCATTTTTATTGCAATATATTTTTTCTTTTAGTCAGAAAATTTATTCAAGGATATTACATCCCTGGGAATTTAAAGGGATTGAGTCATAAGTATCCAGAGCAAAAAAAATCATAAAATGAAGATGTTTAGGATTAAGAGGTTAGGTCAGATGAACCTGATGTTAAAATTATGAGTACCAATATTCACTCATGTCAAGATAAATTCTGACTATAATTCTCCCAACTCTTCCTTTATCTCATGACTCAGTGGGTGGCAGAGCATAGAAATTAACACCCCCTTGCTGAAGAAATCAGATGTCCTGGAATTGGACTTCAGTGCAGCTGCTCAGAGAGAGAGACAGAAAGAGAGAAAGGAGATACGGACAGAGGGAGAGAGAAAAAGACAGAGGGAAGGAGGCGGAGGAAGGGAAGAAGGGAAGGAAGAGAGAGGAAGAGAGGAAATAAAGACCGAATGGATAACATTTCAAGAAGTTTTAATTGTGGAGTGTAGGGCTGCACCTAAAAGTGAAGAAATAGGGTTTGTGGACACTCTTCCAATTCAAAATCCCTTCACCAAGTTCCAGCCTAGTTGCCTTTTACTAACTTTATAGTCTAACTCAGTCATCCCCAAAGTGGAGTATGGAGAAAAATTTCAGAAGTTCTATATTTAATTTAACTCTCCTTTAATTTCTAATTTTGATCAGTAAGATGATGCATGTTTATAATATATACATAAATAAGTATGCATGTATTGAAGGTGGAAATTCAAAATGTTTTTACTGATGGGAACTTGATTGAAACCATTTGGAGACCAGTGGCCTAAATAAGAACTCCATATTCTAACAGCAAAGGGTCTCTTACCACCACCTTGATTCCTAATGAGTTACTTACATAAACATAATTAATAATGCTTCTATGTTTATTTTTTGAAAGAAAAATATCTTAACTTTTTCTGAGATTTTAACACAAGTCCACATTCACAGTAAAAATTTTTAAAATACAGAAAAATATAAAGAAGAAAATTAACATTATGTATAACCTCAGCCCATGTTTATTAAAAAGAGATCTTCCATTTTTAAAATTTTGAGACCATTTTGAATGTTTTCCCTCCATTTTTTTTAACTCTTTAGGGTGCTGAAAAGTCACCCACCACTTCAGCTGACCTTAAGTCAGACAAAGCCAACTTTACATCCCAGGAGACCCAAGGGGCTGGCAAGAATTCCAAAGGATGCAACCCATCGGGGCACACACAGTCCGTGACAACCCCTGAACCTGCGAAGGAAGGCACCAAGGAGAAATCAGGACCCACCTCTCTGCCTCTGGGCAAACTGTTTTGGAAAAAGGTAAGTCTGATTTTCAAGCGTTAGAGAGTCGTCCGGGCGGGGATGACTCCAGAACTTATTTCTATTGGGCTAACTGTTGTACTCAACAATGTATGGAAGGTGTTTCTTCTTCTTCAAAATGACTCGGCTTCCCATTGAGTAGAAGCCTTCTAATGTGTTCCTAGGAAAAATGAAACGCCTGTCATGTTATAAACATGTGTTTCGTGGGGAAGAAAAGGAAATGAACAAGTAGAATTTTTCATTCTTTGAGTGACTTCATTTCATGACAGAGGGTTGTGGTATTTCATGATTTCATTTTCCTTCTGAAATGGTTTAAAACCCTGACTTCTTCCTGGTCTCTTTGAGCACTCTTACTCTGGCAAGATGAACTACCTAGGGGCTGTCTGTCTTCACTCCTCCCCAGCCAGACAGAATCATTCATTATCAGCCACTAGGTCTCCACTATCCTTTTAGAAACCTAGGGTGTCCATCAGTTCACCACCAGGGTAGGCAAACACTGTGCTCTATGACAGGAAAAGTCAAACCACTGTCTGATTTTGTTCCCATCTGAGGTCTGAGTGGTGCAAGGACAGGGAGAGTGGGGCTGAGTTATTCTAGATCTATTCCTTAATTATCATTGCTGAGCAAGCCCCAGCTGCTACACATGTGCAGAGCTTTTGTCTGTTTTAAATTTGGCCAAAAGATGAGCAAGAAGTTGGAGATGAGGGTGTGGGTGGAATTCATAGAGCTGGAAAAATCTAACTTCAGAATTTCATCAAAACATCTATCGCACTTGGCACACCATGCAAAGCAGATGATGAATGCAGATGCCACTGTGGTGTCAGCTTTACTCCGTCGTCCAGAATCCAGCTGGATGCGGGGCCCCTTGCCTGTTTGCTTCCTGTCATACAGAAACCTTCCTTCCAGGTTCTTCCCAGAACACAGTCTTCACTATTTCATAAAAACTTTGGATGATGTCAGCTGACACATTCTGTTGTAATCCTTTTTCTTCATCACCCACCATTACTTATCTTAAAATATCTTTTACCAGCAATATAATAGAAGAAACAATTTCCAAGTGAGGTATATGTGTATATTGGAGACAAGAGAGAAGACTTAAGTGGCCCATATCTGAATAATTTTAGTTAAATAATTACCATGTATTCATATGCATATTCAAGGTGTCTTAGGAAAAATAGAGTTAGCACATTAAATTTGAGATTAACGTATGTTTTGCTCAAGGTTAAATAAGCATATTTTGTTTAAAAAGGAATCTAATAAAAAGACAGTATTACATAAATAATGGTTCTGATAGTAGATAAATAATGGTAAATTTGGGTCCTCCAAGAAGCAGACACCAAGACAGAATTGACGTGCAAGAGATTTATTGGAGGAAGACATCTGTGAAGGAGAAGTAGGAGTGGCAGAGCTAGGTACAGAGAGCCTTCAGACTACAGAGAGTTCTGACCATCTAGCAAGAAAGAGAGAGAAGGAAGGAGAAGTGGGTGGAGAAAGCCTCAAACTGAAGGTGGTGCTAAGAAAGTCCTGACCAAGCCAATGGAGAATCATAGAGTACAGATTGCCTGTTCCAGAGGCCCACACTGGACCGGAATGAATGGCCCAGTACTCCTGTCGTGCCCAGTCATTGGTAGGAGCCCCCAGGGAGAGGAGCAGAAGCTGAAGGCATGACAGGTGGGGCTGTCTTTCTTGCAGGAATCTGAGCAGCACACTTCCATGGCTGCTACAGATGATACAATATGGTAAAAACCACATAGGTGGTGTGCCAGTGGCTAAAGTTTGAGAAACACTGATGTAAAAGCTAAAAGTTTGAAATCAGACAGCTCTGACTTTGAGTCTCAGTTTGTCTCTATGAGCTTTCGTTTCCTCACTTGTAAGATGCAAATGATAATAGTACCTATGTCATACAAATGAATACAAATGAAGTAAGGATTAAGTGAAATAATGATGGTAAAACCTCCAACACTGGACCTAGTACAAAAGTGCCCACTGAACAGTGTTACCTCTCATCTATTTCCTCCGTGCTCAGGAGGGCTGAAGAACTAACCAGGCCGACGTCTTTATCTTTCTATACTGTCCAGTTTGAGAAAGCTGCTAAACTATTGCCTCAAGTGCTTATTTAATGTTTGGAATCTACAAGAGATACAGTGGTTCTTCTTTGAAGTTCAAGCTATTCCTTTGAAAAACAATGTCAGGACAACTTGACATTCATCTCCCTAATGATAGAATTTCATTTATTTCAGTCTCACTGTCTTTTGAGCCACTATTTAGCTTTATTTAGTATATCATTAAAAATATGAAGTTAAAAGAAATCAAAAACCAAATCCCCTGTGTCTCTCCTTCTTGCACCCAATCAGAAGAAAAGGCTCTTCGTCAAAGTTTTACTTATTCAACAATATTGTAATTACTTTATTTGTGCTAAGTACTTTATTTGTGCTAAGTTGTTTTGTGCTATATAGTTTGTGCTAAATACTAGGCATTGAAAAAGTAGCAGTAAACAAATGTCTGCCCTTTCCTAGCTTATATTCTTGTAAGAAAGCTTATATTCTAGCAGAAAGCAAAATGAGGACCTTTGTTTTCTTTTCGTTAAATTACAAAGACTATGATTATAAAATCACCCTTGTAAATTTTTGAAGAGTTTTGAAAAATGCAAAGGGAAATTCTAGGAAATTCTTACATTTTCTTATATTTTCACTGATAACTAACCTAACCTCTCTTTCTTCTCTCATTTTTAGTTGAAAAGCTTTCAAACATATTGATTTTAAAGTTTATAAGCCTGTAGTTACAGACAGCAGAAATGAATTTTTCCCAGAACAGGCTATGGATATGAAAGTATAAGTTGTTTTGATTTATAGTCTTTATTGCTAGAGTAGTTATTATTATAAAATAAAAAAATACCTTTAAGGAAACCAATTTCAAATTATGTTGTACTTTCCAAAAACGTGTTTAAAATGCAGTTAACTGGAGTAAATATGCCATTTATTGTTCTGAGTAAATTGGATTCTCACTTGCTCTGTGACCTTACATAAGTTATTTACACTATTTGAGTTTCTTTTCCTCATTTGTTGAATAAGAGGATTGGGATACACAGTCTTGATAATTCTTGTGTATGGCAAGGCTTACACAACAGAATCAGAAAGGTTGAGCTGTGTATCCCTGGACAAATTGGTTGACCACTCAAAGACCCTCCTTTCTAATCTGTAAAATAAGGACTGTGTTTTTCTCACAGTGTTGTTATAAGAAACCAATAATTGTACATATAAAGCACCTAATATATAGTATGTGCTCAGTGAATGATGTCATCATTTCTTCAAGTATGAACAATCAGTGGTCATGACTAAACACCCACGTGTGGCTTCTGGTGTTAACACCACCTAAGTACAAAACAAGTATAAAATTCATTTGCTAGCATCAAAAGATTTGAAATCCATTTGGAGGAACATGATACACACACACACACACACACACGCACGCACATGTATTTGTAATTAATAATTGATATATTTGGAATATCTTCAAAATATCCCTTTTCTGCTTTCCTTTGGGGGAGACAAAGAGTGGAGTGGGAAAATAATGTGCACTCTGAAGCCACAGAGACATTATCAAATCTCAGTTCTGACAGTTACTGACTGTTTAAATTTTAGTGGAGCACTTAAACTCTTGAGCCTCAGTTTCTTCAGTTATAAAATTGGCCAATGACATCTATCTTTCGTGTTTATTGGGAGGATCGAGTAAAAAAAAAAAAAAAAAGAACGCCAAATGACTGATATTCAGTGAATTATAACCCGATTCTGAAACAACGAAATTTGCAATTTAGTATTACTCTGTGGAGTACAGGTAACAAATGCTACGGTTGTTTAGAAAAGGGAGCAATCAGTGTACGTCAAAATAGACTTAAGAACTTAAAAAACGTATCTGAATCATTTGGGTGATTTGTTTCAAATACAGATTTTAACACCTTCCCATGGGGATTCTGGTTAAGAAAGTCTGGGCATATGTCTGGGCAATTATGGAAGCACTTGAAAGATGGGCTGACCAATCTGGGCTTAATAGAAAATGTCTTAGGGCTACTGTGAAGTTAATGGACTCAGAAGAGCTGTCACATGATCAAAATGATGCTTTTAGAAGACTCACTAGGAACAGGGCAAATGCTGGCTTAAGTGTTACCATATGAAAGTCTTTTAAAGAAACCTTAAGAATTGAATTTGCTCTTTAAAGGAGAGGAAACTCTGTTATTCTAGTTTCTATGGATAGGTTATCTGCTGTTTAGCTCCCCATTCTTAGCAATATAAATGTCCAAACAGGATCCCGTAGATTTTAAACTAGATTTTTTATTGTCACTGTTAATGAGGCTGGACCTCAACTGTGGATCATCCACCACAACATACTCATTGGCAGTAGAAAATAATGAATTGAAAAATGATATTCCTGGCTCCCTAGCTCCAGGCTTCCTGTTATATAGAGAACATACAGAAAGAAGGGAGAAGTTGCCTTCATTTGTCTTTATGTATGAGCATGGAAACCATGCCTAATACAAATACAAGTTAAATGTGAGATCCAGGCTTGGCTCAAAGATGCTCAAAGAGGACGCTATAATACATCAGTCAGCTTTCAAGGAGAGTAGAGACACACCTCAAGCCCCAAAGGCAGATGTGATGTTTGAGTAAAAGCAACAGTTTATTAGATGTTCCAATAGAGACCTAGAAATTAAAGAAGATTGGTTTCCATTTGAATACTAGCTTGGAATACAACATAAAGCACTTAACCCACTGCCTGACAATAATAGCCTAAGAGTGGCCCTATAATGTGGGTTGTCATCACTATTATCTCTATTAGCATTACTATTTTTTTCAGCTCTGTGCAATTGCATCTAATGCATGCTAAGAAGCTGGAGGAATGCAAGCCGACAAAGAATATTTATTAAGGAACAAAACATATTGCAAGGAGCTGTCTTCGGGAAGCCCTCTGGAATCTGGCCTCAGCCCTGTTTATTCAAAATTTTTATCAGTTAACTTGGACAACGACCAAGTTAAAAGAACATTTATCAAGTTTACAAGCTGGGTGGGTTCACTAGTGCAGTCCAAAATATAAACAATATGAATCTCAAAATAACGGCACAATGGGCTGAAGTTAGTATGACCTAGAATTTTTGGTTTTCAAAGGTCAACATAACACTATGTTATGGTACTTGGGTCATCAAGATTTTAACTGAGACCCACATTGTCCCCTACACCATTCCAACTTTGGAACCTAATATAACCTATTAGTTAGCAGTGTTAAAAATGTCTGTTTATAAGGGGTTCCGTAGCAAACATACATCTGGCCCAAGCAGACTTAAGAACATTTCAAAAGCAACATAGAATTACTCAAGAAAAATTCTAAATAGGTCTAGTAGATCTAGCCAGTGTCATTTCTTCCCAACATTTATAAAAATTGCTGTTGCTAATTGAAAATATACCATGTGCAGGTACTGTGCTAAGTGCTTTACATAAACAAAATAAATATCAGCAATTTTCATAGAATGCTGAACATACATGAATCCATGCCCACACAAATCCCATCCAGATAGTTCTAGGAATCCAAGATAGGTGATCATGAATCAGCCTGGGCTGCCATATGTCCCTACTGGGTGGTCACCCCCAAGCCACACCACTGCCACCACCACAGCCACCAAGGAGATGATCCGTGCCAATTTATCCCACTCATCACTGCTGTTGGGACTCCCAAGCCCACGAGAGTTCACCTGTCTCTTGCAAGGCAGCAGGCAGAAAACCTTTTCCTTCCATGTTGTGCTTAGCTCTGGAAGGAGAATCCCGCTGCAGCTGCTTGGACCCCAGAGTGGCCCCATTTGGCAAGACCCACTGTAGGCATCCATACAGCCCTTTTTCTCCCCAGTAGACAGCCAGTTCGAGAGTAGCTGAGCTGGAATGAGTTGTTCTACCAGCCACCAGCACCCTACCCAGAACCACTATTTCCCACAAGCCCTGGAGGTTGCTGATTCTGGAGTTCTTATTGCTCCTGGTAAATTCTCTTGCTAGGGTCCATTTCTTGAAACCTTTATTTTTGCTCTACTTCAATACATTCTGGCTTGTAGAAAAGCCTATAGACCACTGTACCCTAATTCCAGACATGGTTTGAGTTGTTCCTACCCCTCCCCCATAAACATACCTTCCAGGATCTCCAACTCCCATGTAAATGAGGGTCTTCATGTAAGTACCAAGAGGAACCATGTGGGTTTGACTCCAGCCACCAGGCTTCAGTGAGTCACAGCTGTGCTTCAGCCATGATTTTCCCTACACAGGCCTTATTTTATTTTTTCCTTAAAACAACGCTATGAGCAGTAGATAGTCTAACAGTCAGCCTTTGGGTAAGTGAACTGAGGTGCAGAGAAGTGTGATTAATTTGCTCAAGATTGCATAGCTGAAACACTGAATTTGTACCTGATTCCACAGTGTATGGTACTCTAGACTTGGGTTCTGAGCAGATTTTCTTTTACATGTGTCAAACACTAAAGGGGGATCAGAACCTGCCCTCTTATTATCCATTTTTGAATTCTTATTTTAACTGGATATTTCAACAACCACTAACAGAAGGCTACACTTGCAGGCCAGTGTGCAAATGTACAAGAATAGTTCAAAATTATTTAGAGTGACTCTTGGACACAATCTGAGAAGCATTTAATCCTTTACATAGTGCATTTATCTCCTGTTTTCATTCTATAAGAAGTCTCTTCTTGATATTCACAGGCATTTATTACTGTACAAACACCTGCTGATCTCTTTTTTAAAGAAAGACTTAAAAACAATTAGAACTTACTGCATGTTTTTTATCTATTGTACTTTTTAATACGTACTACTATTTACAGCAAAGATGTTGATATGACATTTGCTGTAATGATAAGGCATTTCTTTTAAAATATATTTAAGAAAAAAATATTAAGTAAAAATATATTTAAGTAAAAAGAGAGTCAGTTTAAAGAAAAACATCAACTGAATAGAGGTGGTACATGGACAGGTCAAGAATTAGAACATGGTTTTTTGTTCTTGCGATAGTTGACTGAGAATGATGATTTCCAATTTCATCCATGTCCCTATAAAGGATGTGAACTCATCATTTTTTATGGCTGCATAGTATTCCACAAAAAACCAAACACTGCATATTCTCACTCATAGGTGGGAATTGAACAATGAGAACACATGGACACAGGAAGGGGAACATCACACTCTGGGGACTGTTGTGGGGTGGGGGGAGGGGGGAGGGATATCATTGGGAGATATACCTAATGCTAGATGACGAGTTAGTGGGTGCAGCGCACCAGCATGGCACATGTATACATATGTAACTAACCTGCACATTGTGCACATGTACCCTAAAACTTAAAGTATAATAATAATAAATAAATAAATTAAAAAAAGAATTAGAACATGGTATGAAAATCATTGAAGTTTGAGAGATGCTCAACTGGATTATTTCCCAAAATGAGTGCTTTGCTAAGTAGTCTGACTTTAAAAATATAAAATAGCAATTCCTTTTGAAAAAGACAATATTTATAATGCCAGACTTAAAACATCAGAAAGATGTGGAGGTCTGAAACCATAATGAAGATTTAAAAAATCTGTTCAGAAGCAGCCCCTTCTATTCCTCACCATCATCTACATTGGTGATGGAATCTACTCCAAGTTCCCAGTTGCTTCTGAAATATAGTGAGCAATGAACAACCAGAAACTTTCTAGACACAGGCAATCAAAGATAAAAACTAGTCTTGTTGCAATAAACTGGGACAGGAAAAAGGGTATGTAAACCTAGAAGTGCTGTTCTTAAATAATGGAAGGGTTTTCTCAGTCTAATATAAACAGTATAATGATTCCTGAAACTTTTGTGGGCCGGCCTTGAGGAGGTCTGGCTTTAAAGATACCATTTGGTTCATTACGTGTTCATGGTATTAACCAGTGTCTGACTAATCTCAGAGAAAAAGGGGTGCAGTTTCAAGAAAGTATCTGATATGGTTTGGCTGTGTCCCCACCCAAATCTCATCTCAAATTGTAATCCCCATAATCCCCAGGTGTCAAAGGAGGGACCTGATAGGAGGTGATTGGATCATGGGGGAAGTTTCCCCCATGCTGTCCTCTTGATAGCAAGTGAGTTTTCACAAGATCTGATGGCTTTATAAGGGGCTCTTCTCCCTTCGCTCTCTCTTGCCTGCCACCATGTAAGATGTGCCTGTTTCCCCTTCCACCATGATTGTAAGTTTCCTGAGTCCTCCCCAGCCATGTGGAACTGTGAGTCCATTATGCCTCTTTCCTTTATAAATTACCCAGTCTCAGGTATATCTTTATAGCAGTGTAAAACGGATTAATACAGTAACACTACTGCTAATTTCTTCTGAACACATTACAATTTCCTGATAATCAGAAGCTTTCAGAAATTCAGCAATCTCTTTTAGGAACATTTTTGTGCCCAGAGAAACTTCACTGTGGGAAGAAGATAACTAGAAATAAATTATGCAATCTGAAGATCTCATCTAGAGAGAATAATTCTGTATGTGAAGAAAGGAATTCACACGATTGCCGAAAAAATGTGTTTCTGACCCTTGAAGTCATCATAGCAGGGGAAAATTTGGCTTTTAGATGTAAAATAAATGTATTAAAACCATTTCCACCACTTTCTAGCTGTTTAACTGGAACAAGTGGCTTCACCTCTCTGAACTTCTATTTCTTACTCTGTAAGTTAGGATCACAATACTTACCATTTTGGGGTGCTTTAAGTGAGATGATATATAACGCAAGATGCCTAGTGCAGAAGATACATTTGTAAATATCACTTCCTGTCTTCCCCTCCCCTGGATGCCTTAAAGGAAAAAAAAAAATAGGACTTAGTAACAAAATGGATATAGACAGAGTTCTTAACTTGTAATCCAAGAGGAGAGACATAGAAGGTCTATGAATCCTGAAATTATTTGCAAAGTATATTGTTTATGTGCATTTCTCTGGGAGGAGAGTCCAGATCTATCAAATGAGTCTCAAAGTGGTCTGTAACATCCACCACCATCCATCCAGAAGTTTAAGAACCACCAAAAGAAAGATGCAAAAATGAACTCCAAAGTTGGCTAACTGATAGAATGATTGTGGCTTTGACCTTTGACAGAATCGGGATAACTCCTATCCCACTTGGGGCAGGACTGTATATGCCAGAATTACTCCTGGGAGTAAAACGGTGTTTGAATGTGGATATGTAGGACTGCAGCTCTCTAGCCTTCCACAGACATGTTTTAGTCAAATTGAACTTTGACCTAATGAACTTGGCCTAGACTGAGGGCTGACGAAAGCAGCGGCCCCTGCTGCTGGCCCCTGTGCTATGGTCAGGGTAGGGCTTGGACCCTGCCTATTGTATTATAAAGCCTGCTTGCTCAAAAGGACAATTGAACGAGTTTCTCTGCACTTATTACCAGAATTTTCCTGAGTAGCTTCTTTGTTTTACCTAACAGTGACTCTGTATTGAATGATTAATTGCATTTCTCTCTTTTCATCAACTACTAAAAAATATAAAGGCAAGTACATTGCTTACCTACAGCAGTTAGCATTTTCTGTGACAACGCTTCTGCTTGCTCCATTTGTATCCTGGCTGCATCTGTGTTTTAATTTTCTCTTTGTTGCATTTTAAAATACATAACTATATATATATATATATACCGTTTTCATTTTTGTAAGTCTCCTTTCTTTTTAGAAGGAGGTGTACCTAGGCAATTCAGTGTCCCCGAACGCACCCCAAGACTGTGAGCCCAACTAACCCTTTGCTTTTATGTAACAATTTTGTTTTCTGTAACCTTTTAACTCTCACTTTTGTTTTTATCTTCCTTTAGTCAGTTAAAGAGGACTCAGTCCCCACAGGTGCGGAGGAGAATGTAAGTTACACACACCACGGCAGAATCATTCCATTCTCATCTTCCGCCATGTTGTACAATTGGGCATTTTCAGCTCTGGGGTCCTGTGTTCTTGCATGCTGCCAGTGTGATTCGTTTGTTGTAGACTCTCTTATCCCGTATGTGATTAGGGACGCATGGAGGATAACATTGGATGAATTTTTGTAACTCTCATTGAATCAGTGCAAAATAAATGCAAAATCAGGGCACAAATTTTTATAATTGTTATCAGTAGGGGCTGAAAGAGTCTACTACACGTAAGAACAGCTTTGCGCTTCCTTGAGGGATAATGATGCTCCGCCTTCTGCTTCATTCCACCTTGACTGCTCGTTCACTCTTATTTCCATGGTGATCCAGCTTCTTACTAACTTTGGGCGGTACCCAGGGCAGGGAGTTGCATCAGGCATGAGAACATCTTGCAGCAACAGACGCTGAGAATGTCGGTCTCAGGTTAGAGCGCTGACTTGACGGGTCTACCTCTGAGATAGAGACGTTGAGCCTCACAGTTTTCCTGGCTTTTAATCTTCTAGAGGAATTGTCAAAATTTTCAAGACAGTTCATTCATCCCCGAAAGGGATGGTGCTATATAAAACATCACAAAAACGTAGCTTCCAGGGAGATTAATAAATTGACCTCGTGAGTTTCAGACCCAAAACAACAGCTCTCTGCCTTGAAAGAAGTGCGCAGTCTTTGGGAAATTTTTATAAGTAGGGATAAGTGAATTCACAGCTCCTTGAGATAGAAACCGAACATTATCATGTTGCCAAAGCAAAACTTGTTCTGGGTGTCCCTTATTTACTTGCCATAAATAGGGCGTGTGTTTTTATTTTTATTTAGTTATGGGAACTGAACAGATGTTAAACATCCAAACACGTTTCTGAAATGTTGTCTGTGATGTGGAATAAAAATTAGAATGGCTGTGTTATGATTCTTATTGGAAGAAAAATCTTGAAATTGTGTCCGGAGTTGGTTCCTTCCGGTGGGTTCTTGGTCTCGCTGACTTCAAGAAAGAAGCCACAGACCTTCGCAGTGAGTGTTACAGCTCTTAAAGGTGGCACAGACCCAAAGAGTGAGCAGCAGCAAGATTTATTGTGAAGAGGGAAAGAACAAAGCTTCCACAGCGTGGAAGGGGACCCAAGCGGGTTGTGGCTGCTGGCTGGGGTGGCCAGCTTTTACTCCGTTATTTGACCCCGCCCACATCCTGCTAATTGGTCCATTTTACAGAGTGCTGATTGGTCCATTTTACAGAGTGCTGATTGGTGCATTTACAATCCTTTTGCTAGACACAGAGCACTGATTGGTGTGTTTTTACAGAGTGCTGATTGGTGCATTTACATCCTTAAGCTAGACACAAAGTGCTGACTGGTGCATTTACAATCCTTTAGCTAGACACAGAGCACTGATTGGTGCATTTTTACAGAGTGCTGATTGGTACATTTACAATTCTCTAGCTAGACAGAAAAGTTCTCCAAGTCTCCACTCGACCCAGGACATCCAGCTGGCTTCACCTCTCAAAATCTGTTTGTTGGTTTTACTGCCCTTCCTTCCTTCCTCCTTCCTTCCTTCCTTCTTTTCTTTCTTGAGCCAATCTTAGCCCAGCAAAGCTCAGGTCTCTCATCATTCCAGAAAGTTCTCATGAATTACTATTTTATAGAAAGTCAAAGTTTCTATTCCCGCAACCTACAAGGAGGACTCCACAAGACTTCTTTCTACGAACTTTAAGTTTAAAAGCTGCCCGTAAAATCTGTAGCATCTGTTAGCTTTGAGGTTCTGAGTTTTCTAAAGAAAAACTTTTTGGATGTTTGTGTGTAGTTGCTTGTTTAAGGAACCCTGTGTTTCCCGCAGCTCAGATGCTAAAATGCAGAGTTGATCTCTAACAGGCAAACAGGAGATATTCTATTTTCTACTGTGAAATTTTAAATAGAAATATAAACAGGAATTAAAAGTTAAATTATCGACACCAAACGATAACACAAAAACTGATGATAGGGACATAAAATAAGGTAAAATATTTGTTAAATAAAATAAAGAAGCATTATAAAAATTGCCTTAAATGACTTAACACTGCAAGCAACATTTTGATTTTTAAGGCTCAATATTTCATCTTCTTTTTTTCTGTTTGTGTGTTTGTTTGTTTTCTTGAGACAGAGTTTTGCTCTTTTCACCCAGGCTGGAGTGCAGTGGCGCAATCTCGGCTCACTGCAACCTCCACCCACCCAGGTTCAAGTGATTCTCCTGCCTCAGCCTCCCAAGTAGCTGGGATTACAGGCATGCGCCACCATGCCTGGCTAATTTTTGTATTTTTAGTAGACACAGGGTTTCACCATCTTGGCCAGGCTGGTCTCAAACTCCTGACCTCAAGTGATCCGCCCACCTTGGCCTCTCAAAGTGCTGGGATTACAGGCGTGAGCCACCACTCCCAGCATCAGTATTTCATCTTCTGACAGCCTATCACTTGGAGGGAATGAGACTGATGGTTGTGACGTTGATCCCATCATCTTCAGGCCACACCTCTTGAGCCTCAGTTTACTCATCTGTTAAATGGCGATAATAATATCACCTACACTTTCGGGTTCTTGTGAAAATTGGAGATCATGTCTATAACGTGCTTACTTCAGTGCCTGAAATGTAGGAGGAACTCAATAATTTTAGGGATCAGCAAACTGTAGCTCATGGGCCAAATACAGCCCACAAGCTAAAAATGATTTTTACATTCTTGAATGGTTGAAAAAAAATTTAAAAAGAATATTTTATGATGTGAATTCAAAATTCAAATTCAGTGTCCAGAAATAAAGTTTTATTAGAACACAGCCATGCTAATTCCTTTACATATCATCTATGGCTGCTTTGTTGCTAGGCAACAGAGTTGAGTAGTTTCAACAGAAACACTGATTGGCAGGGACTTTGCAGGAAAAGTTTGCCACCTTCTGCAGTAATTGTTAGCAAATTAGCAAATAAGAGACAACATAGTGAGTGAGCATGTCCCAGTAATCGGTGATTTTCTTTCCTAGTGAAATGATACAGCTCACAGCTGACTCAGTGTCCATGTGGATTGAAGGAATGTGTAAAACAGAGTTAGCTTTAATTTCCTCCTCTCTTAAATAAGAGAGAAGGCATTAGTCAAAACAATGTATAGTGCTCTACACCTTCACAACAGGACAATTAGATATGATTAACCATATTACAAGAGTGCTTTAAATAACGACTTCTGGCTAAAATGTGGTTGAGTTTATTCTTTAAAATTTCTCTACCTACAACTTTCCAGAACTAATCTATCAACGGATGCAAGGCCCACTTGTATTTAAAAAAAACTAAAAAACAGAGTGATGTCAACATTTCTCAAAGTTTCTCACAGAAAGAAAAATAAGGATTTTGAAGCCTGTGGAAGTTTAGTGCTTTTCCTAGAATGTGCTTCTGGTCCTATCAGAAATAAATCTTTTTTTAACTCTTGAAATGATAGAATCTTTCAGTTGTAATAAAAAAAATATTTTGCCCATTGGTTAATTGAGTTAATGTTCTAATGAAAAAAATTTCTTTCCTTCCAATAACCTGTAAGACCATGGAAACAGGTACTTCTGTTGTTTATCTCTCTTAATAAGTAATCTCTCAGTTGCAAGTGAAAGAAAACCCAATTCAACCTGGATTAGAAAGAAAGTGGCCTTTACTGGCTCTCATTACTAGAAAGTTAAATTGCTTTCAAATAAAATTTAATTCAGGGCTCTCCTTGGGTTCAGCCTTCTTGGCCTGGCTACATGCTCAGCTTTCCAACATCACATCACTCAGTCCAAAGTAAATGAGCTATTTGTCAAGTAGCAACCCTGCATGTCCTGGAGTTTGTTCTGTTTCACTGACTGAAATGCATTCACATGCTGTATTCGTCAGCTTTTGCCAGGTTGTGTTGCAGTGACAACCAGGTCCCAAATTACAGTGCTTCTCAATAGCAAAGAAGTTTGTTTTATTTTTTCTTTTCTCACTCATGCTACAAGCCAGCTATCAGTTGGCTTTGGCTAACCCATGTGGCCTCTTCCTGCTGAGGTCAGTAGAGAAGCAGCAGTCCCTTCAATAAGGACATGCAGTTCTTGTTGCAGAGAGAAAATAGTGGCATGGGTGAATCATGCAACGGATCCTAAAGCTTCTGCTCAGGCATGGTATATGTCATTTCTACCCATGTTCCATTACTAAAGCAAGTCACACATCAATGGGCACAGGTGTGTAATTCATTTACAGGAAGGTAGGGTAAATAATTGGAGAAATAATACAATTTGCCGCATGCTGTCATTTCTAAACCAACCACAGTCAAGGAGCTTGACCATGTTGATTGGTTTAGACCTTTTTAATTGGCTTAATCCAAATTACATAGTCTTGAAGATGGGAAAGATTGCTCTCCCAAAGCAAAATTAGAGTGTGTAAGCAGATGAGAGAGAATAGTTACTGAGTAGAAAAAAAAAAATCTGTGGGAGGTCTTTGTAATCAATCACATTAAAAGTCCTATCAAAATAATCTTTAAAATATTCTAAAATAAAAACCTTTAATGTTAATATGACGTTGTGCATGAAGTTTAAATGGACGAAATCTATTTGCCATAAATCAATTTCCAAAAGCCACAGCTCTAGTAAAAACTGTATAACCAAATTTCAAGAATAAGTGTGGTATAAAATTTGAGGCAAAAAGGGAAACTCTTCACTGAAATGTATATTGTCAATGTTAGATGTACCTGCCATCTTCATGCAATGTCTACCATATCCTCTACAGAAATCAAGCAGGGGGGATTTAATTCTAAAATGTAGCGCACATCTGACTTTAATTATGTCCATTCATGATATCCAAAATTAAAATGTGCAGATGCGGTCATATGTTCTAAATAGGAAACAACTTTTTCCAAAGCCCTGGCCTAGGAGAAATTTGGAAAATTATCCAAATAAAAATTGAATTCCTATGTCTGTATATGCAAATCAGATCCTTATTTAGCCAAGATTGTTCTGGATTTCCACACTGGATGTCAGTGGATTTTCCTTGGCTACTAAAAGCCAGCTTCTTGGCCTGACTTCAAAGGTAGTGGAAGTCTCCAGAAGTACTATATTTTTTTACCTACTGCAATAGTTGTGTTCTGGAGAATGGACTTGTGGCCTAGGATTTATGGGTTGATACCTCTCAACATTTGGAAAGGCTCAGCAAGGGAACCACTGGCATCCAAATAGAATTGATTTACAGAGTTATTGCCATACAATCTGATCATTTTATTTATGAGTAATTTTTCCTCCAGGTCTTTGCACACGAAGAAAGAACTCACTGCCTCAAAGACAGAATACTTCTGAACGCAAACTCTATTCCTTATCTACTTAAGAGCTATTTTCTATTTCTCCACTCTTCTACCCTTAGTTTTAGGCAAAGTTGCCAACTTTATACCCCCAAAGTATTTGATCATGATTAGTCTAAGTTAGTAATCTCATTTTCTTCACTAGTAAGTAGCCTGGGGGTAAGTGGCCTAGCTCTGACCCATGAAATTTAGGTACCCTGAGGTAGGGGATCAAAATACAGATGTTTATTTGGTGCAAGTCTTTGGCTGTGACCTTCCTTCTCAGAACATTGGATTGAGGATGTGATATCTGGAATTGTGGCAGCTATTTTTTAACCATGAGGTAACAAATAAAATGATGAAAATCTAGCATGCCAAGAATAGTGGAGCCAAGAACAAAGAGCCAAAGTTGTTAGAGATATTGTGGAGCCACTCAACCAACCCCAGAACTTCTTGTTCCATGTTTTCATTGGTTAAGCCACTATTAGATACATTGAGTTGCCGCAGAAAATGCCATCCTTATTGTAATGCCTATTTATCTGTGGTAAGACTCTGGCCAAATCATTCAATTGTTCACTCTTTATCTATAGAATAGGGATAATGTTATATTTCCTAAGCTGTCGAACTATCTTGATGCTATTTATAAAAAAATATTAAACACCCGGTACAATACCAGGCATAGCAAGAAGTAGCTATTAATATAATCATCTCTAAATATTGGATATGTGCATGGTGCCTAATCCAGATAATTCATGCTCATGGACTAAATAGCTCTAACATTAACACAAATAACAACCACTAGCATTAATTGAGTGCATGGTGCTAAGAACTTGACATGTATTGCCTGATTTAATATGCAGACAACTTTCTGATGTGTATGCAATTCCCACCGAGAACAGAGAACACGAAAAGCACAGAGATGTTGGGCACTGAGCTTAGATGAGGGATATAGATGTGATTTAGAGCCCAGCAAGTTGTTCTGGAGCTTGTCCTCTATGACCACGAGTTAGATTGCCTATATTTCAGCCTCACCTGAAGGGCTCTTGTGGCTCACACTTACTTTTCGGAAATGCGATTGAATTAAATCAGTTCAAAATGTGGAAATCCATGTCCATGCTCTATTGCCATTCTCAGTCTCTGATATGGCTCCAGTCTCCACCTCGTTTCCTAAAGATAGATTGGGGTCCAAAGCCAACAGCCCAGCAGCAGACCCTTCCTCACAAATAGGTTTTGTTTGGCCAATCCAGCATTTTTAATCATTTAACATCTTTAGATGGGACAGCTTGACTTTACTTTGTCATCATCCCTGTCACTACTTTTGGTCTTAGGTCTGGTCAATCCATGCTGATATTCTCTGCCTTGCCTCCTGAGGACTTTTGAGTTTGTAACCCCCCAACTTCCGTTTTTGTTTACAAAAAAGAAAATACTAGAAATTGTGTCAGTAGCTTAAGAAATTTAATTTAGCTTAAGAAATGTGATTTAGTTGCCAAATGTTGGGGTGTTCTGCATGCTGATTTACTGATGGGCAACTCCCTGAATCAAATGGCAATACAGAGACTAAGGGTTCTTCTCGATTTGGAAAATTCGGGTCATTTTGCAAACCAATGGTATGTTCTGTATGATGGGAAAGAAAATAGTTTCTCAGCAGACGATATTTTTGGAAATAACTAAGTCCCCTTCCCCTACCCCCTGACACCAAGAACAAGGCTCCAAGAAGCTAGGGGTCTGGCCCAGCAAAGACAAGTGGGAAGATGCCTTTGACTCTATGGTACTTTCCAGGGAGGCAGCAGATGAAAGCCATGTGGTTTAAAGGGCCAGATAGTAAATATTTCAGGCTTCATAGGCCATTTGTGGTCTCCATCCCATACATTTTATCTTTTAAAATATTTCTTCCAACGCTTTAAATGCGTAAAATCCATCAGGCGTGGTCGCGTGTGCTGATAGTCTCAGCTACGTGGCAGGCCAAGGTAGGAGGATCACTCGAGCCCAGGAGTTGAAAGCCAGCATGGGCAACGTAGCACGACCTCATTTCTTAAATAAATAAATAAAATTAAAAGGTAAAGACTATCCTTAGCCCAGGAGCCACACAGAAACAGTTACTGAGCTGGATTTGGTAGTATTTTGCCAGCCCCTGCCTGAGGAAACAAAGGAAATTAAAAAACCTCTCCTGGCCAATTCACTCTGTCCTGTGGCAGGGAACAACACAAATGCAGAAACTGTCCCAGATGTGACTGGGGCCCTGTACAAATGGAGTGAGGCACTGCAAAAGAACACAAGTTGAGAGCAGAGTGTGGTAGATGGGCCCTTCCATCCAAGCCGCCACAGACACTCAGAGGCAGAGGAAATCGAGCTCACTAGGTACAGTGGCCAGGGCCGCGAACAACTTAGCCATCAGTTTCTTGCCAAGTTCATTTTTCTTCTGAAAGCATAAACTTCAATTAAGTGAAATGGCAAATGACTGTTCTAGGGAAAAATTAGATATCGCTTAATGAGGAAGTCAATTAAATTCAGTGGTTTTTACACTCTCCTTTCTACAAAGAGGACAGTTTCTTTATAGTTGCAGGGGAACTGGAAAGAGAACTGGAAGCTGTCATGGTTACCGTCTCTAACGTTGGACTCTTAAGAAAATGATTATTCCTGGTTTCTAGACAGGCCAAATGTAATTCACCTACGTGGCAGATTAAAGAGGTGGGCTTACTAGATTTGATTGGGTATTGAGCATGCTCTGAATGACAGTCCCCAAAAAGGACCTCTTATCTGTTCTTCCCCTTGGGGAAGGGATTTTGCCACTTCCATGTCAATGTGGCAGTTGAGCTTGGAAATTGGTGCGTTGTACAACATAAGCATTACTTCTCCAAGATGTGCCTGTGTAGAAATGGTCATAGATTCAAAACTGTAGCTACTATGTGGACAGGGGGGCAACAAGGACCCCACTTTGTAAAACATGTTTTGGGGGAATGTTTTGTTTTTCATTTTCTTATTACCTGGCAAAATAATCCAGGTGGTGTGTGAGTCACCAGTAGAGATTATAAAGTCCAAGGAAGTAGAATCAGCCTTACAAACAGTGGACCTCAACGAAGGAGATGCTGCACCTGAACCCACAGAAGCGAAACTCAAAAGAGAAGAAAGCAAACCAAGAACCTCTCTGATGGCGTTTCTCAGACAAATGGTAAGCCCCTTACTTCCAGTATAGGAAACCTAAGATACCTAGAGCGGCTTCTGGGAACAATGGGCTCATGCCACAGGTAGTAGGAGACATAATTGTAGCTGGTGTGTATGGAATGTGAATGGAATATGGATTGCATAGTGAGAAAATTCCCTTTCTTCCTTCTGATTCAATCATACAGAAAGTCTCAGTTTATTGCTAATATTCTTTAACCCTTCTTTAATGCCTGCTAACACTTTTTAACAAAAAAAGAGGTGCCCTTGGGTTGGAATTTTTTTTATTTCAATAGTTGTGAGCATACAAGTGATTTGAGATTACATGGATTAGTTCTTTAGTGTGATTTCTGAGACTTTAGTGCACCTGTCACCCGAGCAGTGTGCACTACAGCCAGTATGCAGTCTTTTATCCCTCACCCTTCTCCCAACCTTCTCCCCTGAGTCCCCAAAGTCCATTATATCATTTTTTATGCTTTTGCATCCTCGTAGCTTAGCCCCCAATTATGAGTGAGAACATACAGTATTTGGTTTTCCATTCCTGAGTTACTTCACTTAGAATAATGGCCTCCAGCTCTATCCAAGTTGCTGCAAAAGACATTATTTCATTCCTTTTTCTGGCTGAGTAGTATTCCATGGTGTACATAAGCCACATTTTCTTTATCCACTCATTGGTTGATGGGCACTTAGGTTGGTTCCATATCTTTGCAATTGTGAATTGTGCTGCAATAAACCTGTGTGTGCAGGTGTCTTTTTCAGATAATGACTTATTTTCCTTTGGGTAGATACCCAGTAGTGGGATTGCTGGATCGAATAGTGGATCTACTTTTAGTTTTTTAAGGAATCTCCACACTGTTTTCTATAGTGGTTGTACTAGTTCACATTCCCACCTACAGTGTAAAAGTGTTCCGTTTTCACCACCTCCACGCCAACATCTATTTCTTTTTTTCGGCCTTTTAATTGTGGTTGCGTCCAAATTTTGGCATACAACAGCATCTAACTGGAAGTTACTATTATTGCTTACTATTATTTATTTTTAAAGTTTCCTTCTCTTGGTGGTCAATGATACTGCTTTTCTTATTATGGTAATGATATGAGGTTTTCTTTGAATTACATTTGTTTACATAAAGAATATCAGGCATTTTAAGGATTATGTATCAAATAGTCCAAGTTATATAAAGATATGGCAAAAATTCTGAAGGTGACGTGAGTGACACAAATTTGGACAAAACTAGCTTATAGATAAATTAAATAAGGAAATGACAACATAATATTCCAATAGTGAAATATATAACTTAGTTGATGAATTAGCCATGCTTTTAATTTGTGTAGAATAGAAAGAATGTGATAGATATATTTACTGTTTATAAAAAGCAATGCACATTAAATGACTAAACAGCCAGGAGCTTAAATAATATAATGCAACAAAACCTAAATCAGTTGGAGAACAAAAAACAAAAATGCATGTAAAAGGTCATTAGTTTAATTCTCTTTTAATGAAAAACAAGAATTTCATTATAGTGTGACTTTATTTTCAGGAGTATTTGGAGTTTAATCCTTTGAGAAAGCAACTCTCTAATTTCACAGGCTCAACCTGTTAAGGAATTCTATCTAGCCCACAAAACAAAACAAAACAAAACCCTTGCCAATGGGAACTGAGGCATATTAGAAATAATTATGTTAGAAATTGTTGACAGGAATCATTTTCTTTTCCTGTTATATTCTCATGGAGTAAAAAGTGTAGAATCAGTTGTGGGCGGCCCATATGGCCAAAACCCCATCTATCTCATTGGCCATTTGATCTGCAATTTGGCAGTGAAAATGGAGATTAAGACTTGAGATTTTTTTTAAAACCAATTTTTACATGATGCCAGGAAAGAAAAGAACATTTGGCCTGTTTCCGGCAACTCATCTAACTTACAAATGGGATCCCCAAATATCTCATCATAATATTGAGAGTGATCAGCTTTTCCATTTCTGGATGGAATTGAGAGGTACAGAAAAAAAAAACAGTAAATAGAATGATGGTCTCTTCCAAATAACCAACATGAAGCTCCTTCATTTAAAACAGGGAAAAGTACAAGAAACTCCAAAGAAAGCATGAAAAAAAAAAAAACCTCTAAACCACTCACAGCATCCATCTAAAACAAATTCTTAAATTCTAATGAGGTCTCATATTACTTAAATTTATCCCCCAGAGCTATCTGTTAGATGCTGTTTGGGAAAAGTTTTTGGCAGTAGAAAATGGGTAAGTCTAAATTCTGAGGGAAACAAATTGAAAAGAAAAGCGTCCTTTGGAATCAATTCGCTATAGGATAGGGATGAAGGTAGGTGAGGACACACTTTTCCCCAGCAATCCCCAATGGATTCTTAGAATTGGATTCCATGCTGTCCATTGTTCTTATTACCAGTTGCCCACGAAAAGGCCTGGGAACACGAACATTATCTTTGCAAAATTTAAATCCTGATTGTTGGAATTTACTTTAAAATTCCAGGTATTCTAATTATCGTCTTTTTTTCTGTTTTGCCTTCATTACAACACTATATTTATACTGTGATTAATTCAAATAAACAAATGAAGAGTTTTCCAGCTTACTAAAGTCCCTACCACTCCCTATTGCCACACCCAGTCTAGCTCACTCATTTATGTTACCGGCCCTTTCCCTGTGGGTATTTGAGTTTGCAATCCCTGATAGAGAACCGCCTGATTCTTTAGAACAACTTATTTGAATCATATTGTCTGGATTTATCATACTCAGGTTAACCATTGCTCAATGGATGGACATGTGGTATGTTTTCAACTTTTTGCATTTCATGCATTCACTTTTTCAACAAATAATTATTGAGTGTCCACTATGTTCCAGGCACAAGGGATACAACAGTGAGCGTAAACAGGTGCAGTCTCCCCCGGCGGAGAATAAAACAGACATTTAGTTTTAACTCTATCCTCATATTCAGTGAGCACACACCAAGTGTCTCACCCACGTTATTTCAGCTGCTTCGCAAGCCTGTATGAAGATCCTCACACACTTACTTCTATGCACATGTGTTAATGTCCCCATTGGGTAGATTTCTGGAAGTTGGCTCTAGCAATCATTCTTAGGAAATACTTTTTAGTAACATGTTCATAGCTTCCAAACTGATTCAAAGTCTTCGGATTTATGCAGGAAAGAAAAAACCTGCCCTAACAGCTTGAAAATAGAGACAACATCTGGCCCATCGCTAAGGGTTTTTTGAGCGGTTGGGGATGTTGAGCCAAATAAATAAACGTTTCAGACAAATTTTGGATATTGTTAGCAAAATATCGATTTGTTTAAATAATTGATTTAATGGAAGAGAGAACTCAGCTGCAAAACCTATGCTTTGATTCACCAAATCATTGATTTTCTGCTTTCTATCCTTTGCATTTCCCTCCTTTTTCTTTTTTTTTTCTTTTTGAGACAGTCTCGCTTTGTCCCCCAGGCTGGAGTGCAATGGCACAATCTCTGCCCGCTGCAACCTCTGCCTCCCGAGTTCAAGTGAGTCTCCTGTCTCAGCCTCCCGAGTAGCTGGGATTACAAGCGTATGCCAACACACCTGGCTAATTTTGTGTTTTTAGAAGAGACAGGGTTTCACCATATTGGCCAGGCTGGTCTCAAACTCCTGATCTCAGGTGATCCACCCGCCTCGGACTCCCAAAGTGCTGGGATTATAGGCATGAGCCACTGCATCCAGCTAGAGATCTTTTTCTCTCTAGAAATTTACTGCTCATAAAAATAAAAATAGAGGCCAGGCGCGGTGGCTCACGCCTGTAATCCCAGCACTTTGGGAGGCCGAGGCGGGTGGATTACGAGGTCAGGAGATCGAGACCATCCTGGCTAACACGGTGAAACCCTGTCTCTACTAAAAATACAAAAAACTAGCCGGGCATGGTGGCGGGCGCCTGTAGTCCCAGCTACTCAGGAGGCTGAGGCAGGAGAATGGCGTGAATCCGGGAGGCAGAGCTTGCAGTGAGCTGAGATCGCGCCACTGCACTCCAGCCTGGGCGACAGAGCGAGACTCCGTCTTAAATAAATAAATAAAAATAGGAAAAGTATCATTTTTAAAATAACTATATTTTAGGGAAAGGAAAACAGAATCATGTAAGTCCTAACAGTGCATTCAACACATAGAGATGTAGCACTTCACAGAAATCCTGCGGGCTCCTGCAGGATTTTAAACAATTGCGAGGAATATCTAAGACATCTGTCATGCCCTAAATAGGAAAAGATTCTTATACATATTAATTCAGCTGTATGTCAAGAAATTGAATATTTGAAGTGCTGGTGTATTTTTATAAAGTGAGTGGGTAGAATACTGCATTCATGTGTCCACAAAGCAGGTAGGCAAATGAAACCAGAAAGGTGGTAGATCTAGATACAGTTTTATACTTCGTCAATATTAATAACACCTTACACTTGAAAATGCTTTCCTCCTCCAAACTATTTTCACCTACCTTATTTCATTTACTCCTCCTCATATCTTTCTTTGGACCATTAGATTTGTAAGAAAATCTTTGTTGGAATAATGTTCTCAGGCTTAGAGAAATACTGTGAGCTTTAATAATGGGTAAATTAAAAGTCCAAATGAGGAGGCAGCCATGAAATCAGAGGGTTTTTTAAATTAATTACATTCAATCTAGTAAGTCTAACAAAATCTGTTGAAATGTACTATTGGAGGTGGAAAGAGGGTGGTCTGTGACGGTAGTTACAAAACAGAAAACCGAAAGTCTTCCATATGAAATTCTTCTCTGAGCATTAAAATGTTAATACTGATTTGCTCTTTAAGGAAAGATTTCTGAAGGAAGCATTAATTTGGTCAATTCCTGTCCCTACCAATGACTTGCATTCCTTTCTACCCTAAGAGGGTCTCTGTAGTCGTTCAGCACTTTTCAGTTATCGGCAGTAACAACAATGAGAGCTACCGTTTATTTATTGTCTGCTAGGCACTTTGCACGCAGTATCTCATTTATTAATAGAGAACTCTAGGAAACAAGTGCTCTCTCTGCCCCATGATGGACATAAGGACACAGAGACTAGTGAGTATTTATGGGATTTTTCCACGGTCCGGGAGCTGGTAAGCGGGAGAGCCAGAATTCCAACTCAGTTTGTTGTTTTGTTGTCATTTTGTTGTTCTAAAGCTCACCCTTTGACTCATGTGTAATTGCTGCTTCCTGTGCTTCTGCAGCTGGTATTCTCAGAAAGGATACGAAGGTAGAACAACCACATGCTCCATTGTTGTGATTTCTTTAGTAATGTGTTCTATGGAAGTACCATTTTGATGCATTGAGCTGTTGCACTTACCTAAAATGACAATAAGGGAAAGGAGAAGAAAATTAATATATGGCTTACTTAAAGCTTGCACATAGGTTTTCTAAATATATTTGTCACTAAAACAAAATTTACCTTGGCTGGGGAATTTTGCCTGACTAGTCCAATTCCATTTCAAGTGAGCATTGTGGTAAAATACTAAGCTCAGATCCATTACCTTTGTTGATCCTAGAAATTTTCAGTAGATCCCATTCTTGGATTTGTTTTCATGAGACTGGTCTGATAAACAATATTGCAGATATAGTCACCATATATTAAATTTTCAGCCCAATTCTTTTTCTTTTAAATGTCAATTGTGTTTGAATTATATTGCCATCAAAATACATTAACATTCCCTTCAAAGAAATGTGAACTGACCACCAAACACTTTTGCTAGATTTTTGAATAGCTAAGTGATATACATTGGAGATGGTTCAAACATTCCTCAGAGTATCAAGCTATAGGAATGCATGACAAGATGAAAGAAATAAAAAA
Source organism: Homo sapiens (assembly GCF_000001405.40). NCBI lineage: Eukaryota > Metazoa > Chordata > Mammalia > Primates > Hominidae > Homo > Homo sapiens. Next base: position 53,961,093 of record NC_000020.11, on the reverse strand, counting down.
TGATTTCATTAATATACAAGGCGTGAATGCCACAAGTAGATTCCATCTCAACACTGCAGGCTGAATGCCCTGAGATACTTCACCTTTGACTGTCATGAATAAAAATTAACTCCATGAAGAAAGTTGCTCAATATCACACTGGAAAATCTCTGAAATTACTTCATAGTCTTTAAACTGTTCTTCAAAGTATTAAATAGTCTCTGGAAGAATTTTAGTCTCTTTAAACAGTAACTTTGCTATTTTTGACAGCTGGAAAAAATAAGTTTCTATGTTTATGGTTCCTTTGAATACAGAGTTCAACATGAATTATTCTGATTTGTCTCTGCAAAGAAAAAAGAAAGAAGGGTAGAAGAAAAGGAGGGAAGTGAGGGAGAGAGAGAGGACGAGAGGAAGGAAGGAAGGAAAGAAGGAAGGAAGGAAGGAAGGAAACAGTTGTTATTAATAATAACTGCTGCTACAGAAGTGACTTCAGATGGATTTAATAAGATTCTAAGTGTAAACCCAAACTTCAGTCACCTTTGCATACATACAGCTTTACATGCCTCAAAATAAGCAATAAAGAAAAATCACTGAAAAGTTTGAGATACTCTCTCTCTCTTTTTTTTTTTTTTTTTTTTTTTTTTTAAGAAGTTGAACTTTGTTGCAGTAATCTCCCTGACAGCCTGGAGGTCTGTTTTCATGATTCATGATGTCAGCTGAGATCAGCTGCTGTCAACACAGCCTTCTGATTCAATCCCAATTCTTCTCCAAGGGCTCTCAAAGAAATGGGGGGAAAGAAAGCAAATTGAAACCTTAAATTGACAGAGTCCCTAATGAATGCCAAATTGAAACAACTAACGGGAAGTTTAGAATTCCTGTCTCCTAGGGGGCAAGTGAGAGAACTTTATTCTCTAGAAGGTGGTGGAGTGCTCATGCGTGACTCTTCATGTCCATTCGGTTTTTGCCTAAAAAGCCATTTTGTGCATTTGTTTGTTTTTTGCTGCTCAACATTCCCAAAGGTTGACAGATATGATCCAAAGCCACAGTGTAAAGGCCACTTGGGAATGGGCTTGAGTAGGAAGGGCTCTTACGACACAGCCCGAATTTGGAGGCTGAATGAAATCCTTACGTGTCCAAAGCTTTGGGTGTGATGGGAAGGCTGACAGAGCTGGTTATGAGGAGGGAAGAAATAGCCAACAGTTCATTTCTTTTTCTAAACCTTCTCAAGCAAGACTGGCCTTTGTAGAACAATGCACAAGGCACGGAGGAAGGAAAAACCCACTTTCCATGTAGACAGATCTAAATTTTATGGAGAGGACAGTCTGATCTTTGTTTGTCAATCTTAGTGAAACCTGCACCAATGATGTTCCTCAGTACACGGAACTTCCAGACACCACCTCTTTCACACTAAGCAGTATATTAAAAAGAGCACAACCCTTCTGTAATCCCAGTGCTTTGGGAGGCCAAGGCTGGAGGATCACTTGAGCCCAGGAGCTCGAGACCAACCTGGGCAACATAGTGAGACTCTGTCTCTGCAAAAAAATTTTTTAAAAAATAGCTGGGCCAAGCACAGTGGCTCACGCCTGTAATCCTAACACTTTGGGAGGCCGAGGCGGGTGGATCATTTGAGGTCAGGAGTTTGAGACCAGCCTGGCCAACATGGTGAAACCCTGTCTCTACTAAAAATACAAAAATTAGCAGGGCGTGTTGGCAGGCGCCTGTAGTCCCAACTACTTGGGAGGCTGAAGCAGGAGAATTTCTTGAACCTGGGAGGCAGAAGCTGCAGTGAGCCAAGATCATGCCACTGCACTCCAGCTTGGGCAAGAGAGTGAGACTCTCTCTCAAAAAAAAAAAAAAATAGCTGGACATGGTGGTGTACACCTGTAGTCCTATCTATCTGGGAGGCTGAGGCAGGAGGATTGCTTGACCATGGAGGTTGAAGCTGCTGTTAATGATGATTGTGCCGCTGTACTCCAGCCTGAGTGACAGAATGGGACCCTGTCTCTTAAAAACAATAATAATATCAAAAATAAAGAAGAGCACAGTTGACTCCTGATGAGGGGACATCCCATAAACATCCACATTTGAGTTTGGTCATCCTCCATCTTATCCAAGCTTTTATCATTTTGTTTAATCTAACATTCAGCAACTTCATACAGTGAATGCTCAATAAACGTTTATTGATTGAGTGGTGCCTCTTGCCTTCTAGGGGCAGTATGGGGAGGTGGTTTAGAGTGTGGAATATGGAGTCATTGCCTGCTGTCCAACACTGGCACTCAAACCTGCTAGTTCCATGGTGATGCTAGTATCTTTGAGCTTCCATTTCCTTGTCTGAAAAATAAAGTAATTCCACTATCTTAAGGTTCTGACATAATGAATAAATGAAATAATGCAAGTTATTATCTCATTTAGCACAATGCCCAGCACTTAGTAAGCACTCCACTAAAAATTATCCTTCATAAATAATAATTTGTATTATCTCTAATGTGAACACCGTAGCTCAGACAACAAAGATACATAATATTAATCAGTCAAAAAGTATTTGAGTGCTTTCAATGTTTCTGGCTGTTCTTAGTGCATGTGTTGTGGATTCTTACGGTCTGCTAAGAGAACAGCCATGGCCATAAATAACAGTGGAATCTGGAGTCTTCCTCTTTGCCCCATATGGCTGAAACCCTGCTCTCTATACTCCTCCCTTAGCTGGGAAGAGGAGACATTAAGCAGTGATCAAACGTGTGGGAATTAGACCTGAGTCAATGTTGTTGATAAGAACCGAACATTTTATCACCAGGTTTCTTAGGTATCAGGCACTAAGCATAGGACATTACTAAATGCACCGTTAAAACCACAGACCCCAGCATGAGTCTGAACCTGTATATGGCCAACTTGCTGAGAGCGGTGGTACTCAAACTCAGACAATCCTCAGCACCACCTGGAGAGCTTATTAAAATGCAGATCATTGAGCCTCTGCCTCTGAAAGCTTCTGATTGATTAGATCCAGCCTGGGTCTCCAGAATTTGCCTTTCTAGCAAGTTCCCAGGTGATGCTGAAGCTGCTGGTCCTGGAATCATACTTCTAGAACCATTAGCTTAGAGTGTGGAGTTTAAGGAGTCAAGTCCAACCCCTTTTATCCCTGTCACTGGTGTTGCTGGCTATAGGGGGTGCTAAAGGGTGGAAAATGAAATATTAAACAAAACTCATATCTCTATCAAGGAGAGAAAAAAAAAAAAACAATAAAACACCCACAGCCTAAATATTCCCAGTGGAAGGCTACTCATGGGTCAATTGTTCATTCAGTCTTCATTTAATATGTTCAACTATCTCCTGCTTCCAACATTAATTGGAACCGTCATCATTTATCTCAGAATTGCCTAATTCCAGGATTTAGTACTTTTGTTGTTATTTTTGGAGGCCAACACTTGAATTTAATTAGATCTGGTTAGAAATTGCATGGAAATCTCTATATCCAATGAGTAACATGTTTCCAGTTGGCCTTCCATTTGTCTTGACCCCAAACCTCAATGATAAATGACTGAGATCATCCATTTCAGAACTTTCTTGCATTCTCCACGTCACTGTACTTGTGGCTGAAGGCCATTGTCTGTTTGTTATTTTAGTCAGTGAAAGGGGATGGAGGGATCACCCACTCAGAAGAAATAAATGGGAAAGACTCCAGCTGCCAAGTAAGTGACCTCGAACTCAGTTTGGTGGTGGGATTAGTGGTGTATTCTCACTTCTTCACAGTATACTTTTCAATAAAATTCTCAGCCACAGCCAACTCATTTAATATCTCAGGATTAAGCACCTACTATATGCCAAGAACTATGTTGGGGTCTGCAGACACAAGCATGAACAAGCTAGAGTTCCTCAGCTTTATCCTATCAAAAAACTTTCACACATGTGCTTCCCTCTTTTCTGCATTAAAAATCTCTTCTCACCCTTCACTTTTTGCCATAAATGTCACCTCTTCAAAAAGACCTTCCATATCTGCCTCTCATAACTACATATTGTTCTTTTATTTCATAGCGTCATCACAAATTGTAATAATTCATTTATCTCCCCTGTTTCTTCTCATGTCTGTCTGGAATGTCTGTGGAGCAAGAAGTCTCCTTCTTCTATTTCTCTATCACCTTGCATGGTGTTTGGCAAGTACTAGAATCTATGTCTTGAACAGAATAAAGACATGGAGTCGGGGGGTCACACAGTTTGCTTTCATTATTTTCTTTATTCTAAAGAAACATAGCTATGACATATTTATAACTACATGTGTTCCTTTTTTTAAATAGGATCATGCAGCTGCACTCTTTTTTTAATTTAAAAATACACCTCCACAAAAAATGGCATCAAATATTCTTCTAGTAGTTTTGACAATATAGAGAAGTGGCTACAAGAATGAGTGGTAGACTCAAACTGTCTGGTTCAAATCCTGGCTCAGCCACTTTTTTTTTTTTTTGCTGTGTGACTTAGGCAAATTGCCAAATCTGTCAGCACCTCAGTTTCCTCATCTATATAAAGGAGCTATGAAAAGTACTTCCTTATGGGGTTGTCATACTTAGATGAATCAATACATGTAAAACACTTAGAACATTTCTGGTATAGAGGGCTCAATACATGTTAGCTACTGTATTAGTCAGCACGGGCTGCCATAACAAAATGCCATAGGTGGTTGCTTTAAAAGCAGAAATTTATTTTCTTGCAGTTCTTGTGGCTGGAAAGGATAGGATTAAGGAGTAACCAAATCAGCAGGGTTTGGTTCCTGGTGAGGACTCTCTTCCTGGTTTGTAAATGGCCACCTTCTTGCTTGTGTGTCCTTACACGGCAGAGAGAGAAAGAGAATAAGCTTGCCAATGTCTCTTCTTATAAGGACACTAATCCTATTGGGGCAGGGCCCCACCCTATGCCTTTGTTTAACCTTAATTACTTCCTATTCCAAATATAATCACATTGGGAGTTAAGGATTCAACATATGCGTTGGGGTGGGGGCACAACTCTATTGTTAACAGTGTCTATATGTTACTATTACTATTATGCTGCTGATAGGGAATTTCCATCTTATAATGTTGCCCATATCACACTCACAAATGGACGGTAATGACTGTAAATATGTTTTTGTATTTTTATTTCCATAATAATTGGTTTATCCTACATTTTTAAACAGGAAATATATTGCTTTTTACTATACTCTTCATATTTAAGCTTTTAAGACAAGCTTAAATATGATGGTATATTTTGTCTGGAATTTTACAGTGAAGGAATTATGCCAATAATCTTGGTGATTCTAAAATTGGAATGACATCCATACAAATCCAAATAAGCTAGAAACATCCCACCTAGGAGTGTTTTCAGAATCCAATTGGGAATTTTATTTTCCGGAGCCTTGGATTCAGACTTGAGAACACTGGTGTGTCCTTTCCATTTTTAGCTAATTTAATTCTCACAGCACCATAAGGTGTCATTTCTTTTATTGCTCCCATAGAGATGAGGAAACTAGGAGGTCAGTTTATCCTTGGTCACACAGCAAGGTTATGGTGGAATTAGAAACAAACCAGGTCCTTCTGACTCCAGACACTGAGTTCTTAGCCACTCACTGCATCTTAAAATCTTCTACACAACAAAAACAGTTAACAAGGCATTTGAACTGGGATCTCTGGTTTCTGGCCTTTCTGAAGAGCATTGTGGTGAGAGTTTCTGTTTCATTCTAAGGAGAGTATCTGCTCTGGGATATCTATTGTACTTGGACATCCATATCTTAGCATTTGCTGCAACTCTGACAGTTGGGGTCTGCCAGAAGTGTTCAAGACATATATTACAGAAGAGCTTCTCAAGGTACACTGGATGCCTGTTGCTTCTTTCTCCAAGGACTTCTGCCCTCTGAAGAGCACCGGTGGAGGCCTTCTGGACCGGGGAGTCTCTGCTGTTTGTCTTCCCGCTTACTTCTAAGGGGCGTGCATGATTCACTGGTGTGAAAAGAAAGTTCTCCTACAGTTGATGCCTTCTCCATCAAAGCTGCTACCTTGTTGTAGAACTTTTTACCTGGGTACAGTACATAACTTCATGAATCATGCTTATACACATGTATCCGGTGGGTCAAGTGTGTTTGCCAGTTGCCACAATCAGGGCTTTAAAACTTTTGAAGTCAATATTTAAAAGTTGACATTTTGCATTTTTTAAAATTTAATTTCAAGGTTGTCTTGAAACAACAGAAGCTCTGACCACACTGGGGCTGCAAGCCTACGTGGTATCTCTTGGCTGGATCAGAGCAACTGTTGCCCTTTGGACAGGGCATGTAACATTCAGTCTCCCCTGCTCTAAATTTTCTCCCCAACATCAAAGCCAGCCTTGCTTGAACTGGTGCTTTTCTTATACTGGAGAAATATTTTTTTGGACCTTTGTTGCTTTTGCAGCTGGAGAAATAAGATATCCACATGGTTATTCTTACCCCAGCCTGCATTTACTAGATTTTTGGATTTTACAGCCTCATCTCATCAAATTATTGGAAGCATGTGGGATTGTAAACCTTTCAGTTTGACAAAAAACGATATACATTCCAAACTAATAAAACAATCATCTCTTTTACCACCATTTCATGAAGCAAAAGGACAATTTCACACCAAAAATTAGGGTAGATGTAATTATGAAGAAAAGAATGGGCATCCCCAGGAAAACACTCGCATGTGGTTGCAAGTGGGAGTAGCCCCTTCAAAGCTGGCTTAAGCATAAAAGGGCTCCAGGAACAGCTAGATCTAGGAGGCACGCATGATACCATCAATGCCTGGTCCCTCTCTCTCTCTCTCTCTCTCTCTCTCTCTCTCTCTCTCTCCATTTCTCAGCTGTGATTTTCTCTGTGTTGGCTTCCTTTTCGGGGAGATTTTCCCTAGAAATATTGGTGGTTCTGGAAGCTCCAGTCTTACATTTTCACAGCTTCAGATCTAACAGAAAGGGAACCAGCCTCTCTCTCATTTCAGCAAAGCTCTGAGATTAGCTCCAGTGTTATCTGCATTTGGCTATGCTGAGCCAATCACAGCTGGCCAATCATATACAATGCTCTGATTAGTCAGGCCTAAGTCACATGCTCTTGTCTGGAGGTGGAAATAGTTTGCCTGGACCACACGGAGTAGATGAGGAAGAAGGGTGTTTCCCCAAGGAAAAGCCAAGTTCTGGTTCCAGAATAAGGGATAAAGAGTGCTTTCTGGGATAGCATAAAATGTATTAATGAATTATTAGATAACTAAATAAATGTCCCCACCATGACTTCATAAGTGCACATTTTACCTTTTTTTATATTCATTTCACCTAGGATTCATGAAAATGTAGATACCACCCAACATTTGAACATCTCTGTTTTAACATATTTATTCCCTTGCTATTGAGAGTTGTCCTGCAGCCACTAAAAATGTACTTTGTTTGAAATTGCTGTAGACATCAGACTCCACAGAAAAGACTATCACACCGCCAGAGCCTGAACCAACAGGAGCACCACAGAAGGGTAAAGAGGGCTCCTCGAAGGACAAGAAGTCAGCAGCCGAGATGAACAAGCAGAAGAGCAACAAGCAGGAAGCCAAAGAACCAGCCCAGTGCACAGAGCAGGCCACGGTGGACACGAACTCACTGCAGAATGGGGACAAGCTCCAAAAGAGACCTGAGAAGCGGCAGCAGTCCCTTGGGGGCTTCTTTAAAGGCCTGGTAGGTGGATTTTTTTTGCCTCTTCTTTCTGGGCTCTCTCCTTCCCCAACACCATCTGCCCCAGTCAGTTTTTCAAATTCTACATGTGGCTCTTCACACTGGGATCCCGGGTCTATCACTCAGGGTTTTTGAACTGCTATGTGACTTCCAGCAGGTTCAATCCTTCTCCATTTTACAAGCTGAGACCTTGAGCAAATTATTGCCTCTCTGAACCAGATTTTTTATCTGTTCATACATAATGATGCCTAACTCATAGAGTTCATGAAACAGGTGAGATACTGCATCTAGTCACCTAGCACAGTGCCTGAGACCTAGGGAGCAATCAGCATGTAGAAGTAATCGTCATCATCACCATCAACATCATCATCAGTTTTGTTCAGTGTCTTGTGCGTAGCAGATGCTCTGGGTAATATTTGTTGAATGAATGAATGAATGAATGCATTATTGGCTGATTTTATTTACATTATATTATACCAATTTGACGTGTTAAAAAAATTAGACAAATCAAATTTAAACACACTTTATGTTGTGAGCAAAGAACAGTTCATGAATTGGGCAGCACTCAAAACCCAAAGAGGTTCAGAGAGCACTGCCCAGTGGCATGAGCAGTAAGATTTTATAGGCCAAACATGGAAGCAAAGTAGAAAACTTATCTGATTGGGTACAATGAGGTGTTTGCCTTATTTGGTCACGATGTGATGAGTTGTCTGCCTTATTTGGGAATGGTCTGATCAATTGGTTGCCTGTGATTGGCTGAAGCTCAGCTATTTGTGATTGGCTGCAACATGGCTATTTGTTACAAAAAAAAGGATACTCATAAGGTAGGTTTTGGTTTGTTTACTTACTAAATGTGGTTGCAGTTTGTTACATAGACACTGGGAGTAAGGAGACTGCCTCAGGCTAAAGGCCTCCTGCTTATTTAATTTAACAGGGGTATAAATGCACAATTGTGTTACTCCATGGACTATAGAATCAATGGCTGCTAGATGCAGAGGAAATTTTTTTACTGCTTGCAATTTTAGGCAGACTGGTGGGGAGGTGTTTTAGATGTGCTTATTTTACTCTCCTCTACAAAATGGAAGCCCCTCTTCACCACTGGACTCCCAGCTCCATGAGGGCAGGGCACCACCTTTCAGGTTCAAGGCTGTATCTCAAGGACTTGAAATAGGACTGCATAAACAGCAGGTGCTTGATAGACAAAGGAATGAATGGATGAGATTAAAATAATAGATACCAAAATATGATATATAAAGTTGGAATACATTACTTGAAATTGTTACCCTTCGATAAAACATTGTACTCAACTTTAACCACACTTAACAATTTCTACTTGCATGTTTAAAAAATACCCACTTTGAGAATGGAGACACTGAAAGTGGGTATCCACTAATCATTTGATTTACATATGGAAACCACTGAAATTTCTTCCCTTCCTTCCTTCCTTTTTTCCCTTCTTCCTTCTTTCATTTTTCTTCCAAAAATATTTATTAAGCATTCCATCTAAAGCACATTCACACTCATAGCTTCTCTCTCCTATCCCACAAGATGTAATAGTTCCTTATTAGCTTCTTCTTTCTGGGTGTAGTGCAGTCTTCAAACTAATCATGTAGTCCTTGCAGTGGTTTCATTGATGTGAGGAAGGCAGATGTTGATGTAAAGCAAGAATGCCAGTTTGTAGCCCTGAGAGAAGGACTTCACCCAAGTGGGTGAGGCTGTATTGGATTTGCCAACGCAAGTCTTCTCAAAATGTACTGTGCACACGAATCACCCAGGGATCTATTAACACACATTCTGATTGAGTAGTTTTGGGGTCCAACTTGGGATGCCACAAAGCTCCTGATTGATGCTACAAAAGCTGCTGATCCAGGGATCACACTTTGAGTAGCAAGTTCCTAAAGGACCAGGAAAGATGTTGGGGAAAGTATTTGGATTTCTTGTAGTTTACTTCTTTTGTTTTTTTGAGATGGAGTTTCGCTCTTGTTGCCCAGGCTGGAGTGCAATGGTGCAATCTCGGCTCACCGCAACCTCCGCATCCCGGGTTCAAGCGATTCTCTTGCTTCAGTCTCCCGAGTAGCTGGGATTACAGGCATGCGCCACCACGCCTGGCTAATTTTGTATTTTTAGTAGAGACGGGTTTCTCCATGTTGCTCAAGCTGGTCTCGAACTCCCGAGCTCGAGTGATCCGCCCGCCTCAGCCTCCCAAAGTGCTGGGATTACAGGCATGAGCCACCATGCCTGGTCTTAGTTTACACGTTTTTAACCCATGATTTATTCATTCATTTAAAATGAACACCACCCAGGGAATGATTTACACTGTGGCTTCTAATTATTTTAATAGAAGCCAGCCTCTACAATAGGTACGAAGGCTGAAAAAGAAAGATGGTATGGAAAAGTTCAGATGATTTCTAATAATCTGGTCATTCACTTAACAAATATTTGTAGAATATTTAGAATCCTGGCAGTGAGCTAGACCAGGGGTATTAAAAATGCAACCCTTGTTTCTATAAATAAATTTTTATTGGAACATTGCCATGTTCATTCATTTACATGTTGTCTAGCTGCTTTCACACAAAAACATGAGGGTTGACTAGTTGCATGACTAGGGTTGACTGGTTGGGTTGACTAGTTGACTAGACTGCATGGCTCATAAGGCTTAAAATTTTTGCCAACTGGCCCTTTGCAGAAACATGTGCCAAGCCTTGAACTAGGCGCTGGAGGTATATTCAGCAAACAAAGGGGACAGGGTCCCTGACATCAGGGGTTCATATTCGAAGGGGAAGCATGCAGCTAAAAAGTATTAGTAGATAAGTTTAAAAACAAGGTTAAAATTATTAAAACTACAACGTTAAAATTACAAAATTAAAGACAAAATTTGCCAACAAAATTGTAGGTCTGGGAGATCACTGAGGGAAATAAACAAGGTCCCGCGATAGAGTTTGCCTGAGTATGGATGGGGGGGTGTGTGCTACTTTTGCCTGAGTGTGTCTGGGGGCGGGGTGTGCTACTTTTAATCGGTGGATCCCAAAATTGTCTCTGAGGAGATACATCTGAGATGAGACAGGAAAGGTTAAAGGTGCCAGACAGGAAGAGAGCAAGGCTCTTTCTTCCAGGAGGAGGGGACAGCCCTGGCAAAGGCACGGGGGTGGGAATGAGCTTAGTGAGCTTAGTACATTTCAGGAAGAGAAACAAGGCCGTGGTTGCTGAGGGTGGAGAGGTAGGGTAGGGGGAGAATGATGGAAGTAAGATTGGAGCCGTGGGCGGGGACCTCCTCATGCAGGCTGTACGGGCTGTGCAAGGAATGCAGACATAATCCTATCTGAGCAGGGAAGCTACTCACAGATATTAAGTAAGAAGTCTTGGCCCCTGTTGATAACATTCGAAGATTTTATTTTGCTGCTGTGGTGGAGAATGGCTGTTGAAGGTCATTAGGAGCTAGTTAATACAGGTCATATTTCTTGGGAGAGCTGATGGAGATTGGCCTGGTGATTCCTGAAGAAGTGACAAGAAGTGGACAGGTTTGAGACACTAATTACAGTTCTAGACACCGAGTCCCTCCTCTGGGACCACACTCCTTTACAGACCTCATCTCTTTAGGATGGCAGCATCCCTTCAGGCTGGGACTGCTTCTGCCACACCTCCCAGACACATAAGCCAGGCCTCCAAGAAGCTGTGTCTTTTGCTGAACATTCCACAGGTTGTCAGAGACAGAGGCAGCATTCAGCTCAGGCCCCCTAGACCCCAAGTCCTGCATCGTCCCAGTGTCACAAGGCCTCCAGCAATGATGGAGGACGGAGGGGGGCTTCCCTGCCGCTTTCCAAAGACCAAGCCTCGAAGACTTTCAAGCTGGACACATTCCCCAGGGTTGCCTGACCGCCTTCCTGGGAGGGGAATGCTGGCAGCCGAGCCTGTCACCACCCACAGAACTATTGTGGTGCCTGTTACCCACAGGAAATGAGACACACCGCAGGCCGATCCCTGCATGATCTTTGTCTCACAGTGACGTCCTCGTTAGTCAGGTCCTTTTTTCCTCCTTCTCCATCATGCTACTTGAGTTCTAACTGAGAGCAACCCACTTGGTTTTCAAAAATCTGAAAAGAACTGGAAGGAAGCCCTTGGCATTCACAAAGTCCAACTGTTTGAAAACATTTTCCTTTCTTTTTGAGCAAAGGGACTTTTTTGTTTACAAAAGAAAATGTCACAAAACCTGGGTGTGTGTGTGTGTGTGTGCGGATATATGCATATACGCACACACAGACACATATGATAAAAGTGAAACTATTCTGATTGATGGAAGACTGGGTTTCTCCCTTCCCCTAAGCACCACTTCTTTGATGGCCCTTTCCCAGCCTTCCCCTTTCCCATTTTCATGAGCCCCTGAAGTGCTAGATTGTGTGCAGCGCAATCTGCAGGCAGGTTTAGCAGGTGAACAAATGGAGGCTTGAAAAGGGAAGACATCTGTCCACACTGGTGTGGGCTGAACCGAGGCTTGTGACAATCAGCGCAGTCACTGCAAGGAGCCTGAGACCGAGGGTTGGAAAGAGCGGGCAGTGAACAGAAGAGAGCCGGGGACAACAGGTGAGCTGAGGGCCAGATTCCAAGTCAAAGTGGCCAGGCCGTTACCGCATGACCTAGTCCTAGGTCATCTTGGAGCCTCAGTTTCTGCATCTGTAAAATAGGGTGAATAATAATCACTGTCCACCTCACTGGGCTGGAGAGAGAACAGGTAAGAGAATGGGTCTGGTTTGGCCTTGTGAACTGTGACGTGTAGTCCTGGTATATAAGGCAGGAAAGGGGTTGCATTTATGTCTCTGGCCTCCAAGGTGGAGTCCCAGTGAGGCCAGAAGGGCATGTGTATGTATGAGGCCAGTGAGTCAGGTGTGGTCTGTGGCTACCTGAAGGGCAGGTGCCCACCTAAAGGGGGTGCCCCTCCTCAGCACCAGCCACATGTTACCTTGGGGGACTGCAGACCCATTGTGGCAGGACCTGTCCATTTAGTCAAGAGAAAATAACAAAGGTGGAGAATTTTTAAGAGCAAATACCTAATTTTTAAATGCCAGCATCTAATTTTTTTTTAATAAATGAAGAAAATGCTTGTACAAGTTCATCTATTGCAAAGTTCAGGCCCGTGGCAGCCACTTGGCCATCTGAGTTTGCTGTTTAGTCCATCAAGCCCCAAGATCAAGCTCATGGAACCTAAAGGATGGAAACCTCGGGGAAGTAAGCTTTAATAGAGGTGAGTTGACTGGGCAGGGTGGAGCCTGGGTGAACCAGGATCCACGGCAAGGCACGCTGGGCAAACAGAGGCAGGATGGATGGCTGCCACCCGTGGCCAGCCTGAGACCAGGCTCTAGACACTTGCAAGAAGCTTGTTCCTGGACTTGAACCTAGCTCTCATCTAGTGGCTGAGTGAGCTTGGACCTGTCATCTTGCTGAGTTTCAGATACCAGATCAATGAAGTGAATGGTGCTGACGTCACAGGGTTAGCATGAAGATGAAGGGCAGTAGTGTACAATGCCCTTAGAGCAATGCTTGTGAGGTTTAACTAGTCAGGAAAGGCTATTTTGTGAGTATTATTTAGTTAGCCCCTGCCCTGGGTTGTAAAGGTGCAGAGATGAGTCGGGCACCGCTGTGCCATGGGGAGTTTGTGCTCTAATCACAGCAACAAGCGATTACAATGCACGGTAAATGGAGGGGTTGGGGAATGGCCTTTACCCAGCTCAGGGTTCAGAGATCGGGGACAGAAGCCGGCACCCCACTTACTGGCAGGAATTTGACTGAAGTGGCTTGGGCTCGCTGGGCTTCAGCAGCCTCCTCTGTAGCCTGAGAGCGACAGTGGCGTCAACCTCGTGGGCTGCAGTGAGGACCGGGTGGGATGGCAGTCTAAGACCTCACACAGATGAGGCAGCAGGCTCTCAGCGGTGAGGGACCGGCCAGAGGTCATGCAACCAGAAAGGGATGGAGCATCCCCAAACCCACAGCTGACTCCTGAGCCCAAGCTTTTGGTATTTCACGGTGTCCTGGTCATCTCTTGATGCCCCAAAACTATTAATAACACAATGTATTGTCTGCAGTAGGTCCTCAATATATGTTGTTGAATGAAGTAGTGAATTCAACTACCACCACTAAAAATAATCATAACTCTTTTATCACACTTACTGTGTGACAAAGATTGTTCAAAGTACATTGCATATACTAACACTTAATCTTCAAAACTACCCTGTGAATTCCCATTTTATCAACGGTAAAATTAAGGCTTAAGTAGAGGGTTAAGCAATTTGACCAAAGTCACCCAGCTAGGAAGTGGCAGGTCTGGCGTTCAAAGACCAGCAATCTGATTCCTTGGTAAATTACATGAAATTACACTACACTATGTAGTAAATACAATATACTATACTATGCTAGATTATACAGGGCACTACACAGTCTATGTACTATATACATATACTATATATGTGCCCTATATACATCATGTATACTAAACTACACTCTATTTATTATGCTATAATACACTCTATATACTATATTACATATTATACGATATCATGTATATTCTACTGCATTAAACCATATGACACTATGTACATATACTAGACCATACATACTTTGTGATAGTACATTATACTTCCCTTTCCTATACTATATACTATAGTGTTCTGTATATATCATACTATATTGTACATTATGCTTTGCTATACTTTATTTACTATACTATACAGTGGACTAAACTATACTGTGCTATAGTTACCATACTTGACTATACTATATATGTATACTATATATACTATAAAATATACACTACCCTATATTATACTATCCTATATTACCTTATACTACACTATACTATCTATATATACTATGCTACAATACGTTATTATACTACTCTATACTATACTCTCTCTATGTGTGTGTGTATATATATATATATACTGTATACAATATATAAATCTTATACTGTACTACCCTATACTGTCTTATAGTATAAAAGGAGGCCCACAATTGATCCATGCAGCAAGGTGGATGAATCGCACATCCACTATGCTACATGAAAGAAGTTAGTCTGAAGGGCTGTGTATACTCTAGGATCCCATGATATGACATCCTGGCAAAGGCAGAACTCTAGGGATGAAAACAGATCGGTGCTTGCCAGGGTCTGCGGTGGGGAGCGGTTGACCACAAAAGGCACAAGAAAGATCTGAGGGGGGACAGAACCATGTGACATGTTGATTTGGATGGTGGTTTTAGGGGGCTATTTGTGTTGGTCTAACCTCATAGAACCAAATACAGAAAAGGTTAACTTTACTACTTATAAGTTATACTTGACAGAAACGGTAAAGTAATAATAATAATAATAGTACTCAGGCTAGGCATAGTGGCTTACACCTGTAACTCCATCACTTTGGGAGGCCAAGGTAGAAGGATCACATGAGCCCAGCAGTTCAAGACCATCCTGGACAACAAATTGAGACCCCGTCTCTACAAAAAAAATTTTAAAATTAGCTGAGTTTGGTGGTGTGCACCTGTAGTCCAAGCTACTGGGGAGGCTGACGTGGGGGGATCATTTGAGCCCAGGACTTCAAGGCTACAGTGAACATAGTCCCACCACTGTACTTCAGCCTAGGCAACAGAGTAAGACTTTGTCTCAAAAAAATAAAATAAAATAATTGTATCTGCCTGACAACATTCCTTCACCCACATTCAGTCAATGTTAAGGCTAGGTACCATGTGCTAGGAACCTGCAAGGCACTGAGACACGCAGAATCCTTGCAGCTTCCAATCTGGTGTAGAAGACAGATGTTAGACAAATAAATTAGATAATAAGATCATTTCAGAGAGTGGTATGTTCTGAGAGAGAATAAAATAGGGTTTGGGATGGGGGGTTGGGGGAAGGATAGCATTAGGAGATATATCTAATGTTACATGACGAGTTAATGGGTGCAGCACACCAACATGGCACATGTATACATATGTAACAAACCTGCACATTGCTCACATGTACCCTAGAACTTAAAAGTATAATAAAAAAAAAAGAAGAAAATAAAACAGGGTGGTGAACCTAGATGGTAACTGGGGAGGGAGCTAAAGTGAGGTAGAATTAGTACCCCCTAGGTACTAAGTACATTATAAGCATGAACTCACTTTATCTTGGGAACAACCCTCTGAGATAAGTTTGTCATTTCCATTTTAAAGATAAAGAAACCAAAGCGCAAAGAGATGATAAGTAATTTGTCCAAGATTTCACAAAGCTAGAAAGTCATGTAACTGGGTATCGAACCCGGGCATCTGACTGGAGACCATTCTCTTACCCAGCACTGAGGAATGAGATATATTAATTTAGCCCAACACCTAGCACAGAGTAAGTGCTACATAAATGGCCATTGTTGCTGTTGACATTACAGAGCTTCAATAGGCTGCCACGTCTTTCTGTTTTTCTCCAGGGACCAAAGCGGATGTTGGATGCTCAAGTGCAAACAGACCCAGTATCCATCGGACCAGTTGGCAAATCCAAGTAAACAAATCAGCACGGTTCCCACCAGGTTCTCCTGCCACCAAGATGTGTTCTCCTTACTCCATCTCCTCCCCAAACACGCTCCATGTATATATTCTTCTGATGGCCAGCAAATGAAATTCTGCCTAGAAATTAAGCCCGAGCTGTTGTATATTGAGGTGTATTATTTACGTCTCTGGTCCAGTCTTTTCTGGCAAATAACAGTAAAGATGGTTTAGCAGGTCACCTAGTTGGGTCAGAAGAGTCGATGATCACCAAGCAGGAAAGGGAGGGAATAGAGGAATGTGTTCGGGTTAAGTGATGAAAATGGCAGTGGTGGCCGGGCGTGGTGGCTCTCGCCTGTAATCTCAGCACTTTGGGAGGCCGAGGCAGGTGGATCACCTGAGGTCAGGAGTTCAAGACTAGCCTGGCCAACATCATGAAACCCCGTCTCTACTAAAAATACAAAAATTAGCCAGGCATGGTGGCACACACCTGTAGTCCCAGCTACTCGGGAGCCCAACGCACGAGAACCGCTTGTACCCAGGAGGTGGAGGTTGCAGTGAGCCGAAGTTGCACCATTGCACTCCACCCTGGGCGACAGAGCAAGATTCTATCAAAAAAAAAAAAAGGCAGTGGCAAGTAAGTTATAGAAGAGAAATGCTGCTAGAAGGAATTAAGCGTTGTAGTAAATGCGTGCTTATCCTCTAAGCTTGAAGAAGGGAGACGAAAATCCATTTGTTTAAATTCACATCTCAAGGAGGGAGAACCCGGGCTGTGTTGGGTGGTTGCCAATTTCCTAGAACGGAATGTGTGGGGTATAGAAAAAGGAATGAATAAGCGTTGTTTTTCAAATAGGGTCCTTGTAAGTTATTGATGAGAGGGAAAAGATTGACTGGGGAGGGCTTAAAATGATTTGGGAAAACAATTGCTTTTGAGGCTCAGTGACAACGGCAAAGATTACAACTTAAAAAAAAAAAATAAATAAAAAATAAAGGAAGTTGCACGGTTATTTTGCAACACAAGGGGGCGGCAAGGTCCCCATTTTTATCCTGTAATACTGTATCCCTAACAAAGATTTGGTCTCTGCTATCTTACATTATTAATGTTTCTCAGATGGCTGAGGGGCTCGCTTCATCTGTTCCGTCTGACACTTATCTCAAGTGTGTCTGTCATTCCTAATGTTCTCAGGATGTGCTCTGATAAAACCCTCCCCATAACCTCAGTTAATAAAAATTTACAGAAGACTTCTCAAATACCTGAGTTGTTTTTAATACCTGTACAAAGGAGTAAATAGGACCCTGAGTCTATTAAAATGTAATTCAAAGTAGCATATGATTGACTGACAGTCATGTAAACTGTATCTTTCTTTTTCTGATTTAATAAAAAATACATTTACTTCTAAAGTATCTTTTAATTTTCAACTTCAAAGCAGTCCCACTCTATATCTGAGATGACTCTAACTTCTACATTATAAAATCCATACTCTTTCTCCATTATCTTCTTTGGAAGATCATTCTCTCCCAGATCTTCCCGGATTTCCTTGTATATGGGCACACACACACACAAATGTGTGCAGTTGTATGTTTGCATGTACACACACATGCATGTATAGAATAGTGCTGTCTTAGGCCAGGTTGCTTGGAGCAGAGCCTGAGATGGGGATTTGGACGCATAGGATATACTGAGAGTGGGCTCCGAGGGAAAGGGAGTAAGAGAAAAAGAAGAGGGCAAGAAAAGAGTTGGGCAAGGGTTGGTTTCAACTGGAGCATGAATTGCACCACCCAGATAGTTTGACCTTGAGTCAAGGGAGCCAGCCTTTGAACCCTGGTAGGTGAATTCTGGGCTGCCCTGGGAGGTGGGGGGATGGGCAAGCGGCCCCCATTGAGCTGAGAAGCTGGGATGCCTAAGTAACTGGAGGATGAGTGCATTGACAGTGTCCACTACAGATACACACCTATATGTTCAGATACATATTTATACCCATATTTGCATATATATGCACATATTCATATATATAAATATATATCATGCAGGAATAGATCCATGCACTCACACAGTCATATTTACATACATGCAAATAAACACATGTAACTAACACAGATCCACACACACACATTGGCTCACACAAATCTATCTCATATGCAATTCATCACACATTGATCGGAGATAAACATTGAATATACTCTCCTGATGTGGATGGACCTCGACTCTAAGGACAAGTTTGCTGCTTAGGCAAATTACACCACGGCTTTGGCAAATAGGCATTTGGAAAATGTGTTCAGAAAAATATGGTATCACTCAAAACCCAAGCGTAAGTGAGGAGGGGATCCTGAGCTGCTGGGGCCTATTAGCTCCCAGCTTGGACAGGTCAAATTCGTGTTTCCAATAAAGACCAGAGGTCTTTTCCTTGCAGCTGGGTTAGTTTTTTCAAACCTCCTGACCATACCTCGAGATTACTCACACCTGTGCCTCACCCAGTTGAGAACTATCTCGTGCCGCTTAGTATCAGAATGCTTAACTTGGCATGAAGCAGGAAAACAGCACTTGGGGAAGCCATTGGTGGGAGGCCCATCACTGCCATCGTCAGAGCACGGGGTGATTCAAGGAAACCAGGCAGCTGCTATTCCTTTGTCTCCAAACACCGTGGGGGTTGTCTGCTGCAACCTTTGGTGAGCTCCTGAGCTGCAGTCCATTGAGGAAGGTGACAGTATCATTTGCAAGTTTCACCTCGCTGGGTACAGGGGCTTTTTGCCCAGATAAGAAATGCCCCTAGGCAGGAGGAAGAGAAACAGACTGAGTAGCCCAGGCCAGTTACTTAGCCAGTTACTAAGGCAGATGGAGCCCTCCCAAGCCCCCACTCAAACAAAACAAAACAAAATAAAACAAAAAAAAAGCCTCTTTGCTGAGAATCTCTCTGCAAAGCATGCCAACAGTTTTTATAACTGGTTTCCTATGCTCCTGGGCCAAAAAAGAGAATAGTCTTTTAATGAAATTGCTTTTTTTTAAAAAAGCAAGAAATGCCAGAGAGAAGTAAAGCGCATGACTTACTGGGAGAACTCTAAATTCAGTTATGGCTTAAGAAACAAGTTAATACTCCATTTTTGTGTTTGTGTGTGTGTGTGTGTGTTATTGTTGTTGAGATCCCATTTCCAATGCATTTACAATAAATACTAATGCCCACCCCTTATGCAGAACTAGAGTGAAAAAGAGCTGAAACTCACCAATAAACCCAAGAAAGCCTTTAGGACACAGATTCCCAGAAATGCCATCAGACAGAACAAGCAGTGGGGGAAATAAGCAAAGCAAAGGTGGCACACAGAAAAACATGATTAAAAGAGAAAGAAGAATTAAGACCTGGGGGAGGGAGCAAAAATGACTTTCTTATTATTATTATTTATTTACTTATTATTTATTTTTAGGTACACAGGGAAGTGTGTCTTCTCCCATGTCAAGAAGAAGTGGCCTTTCCAGGAATGGAGCTATTGAGCTGAAATGGCTGCCACTGCGCGTACACACACACACGCGCACACACACACACACACACACACCTCCCTTCCAGTTCCAGCTGACGGTGACTTTTTGACTGGTAACCATAAAAGAATTCATTCAAAAGGGCAGTTGTTCCCAGCAGCCAGTGAGGTCCTTCCTGCATTCGTTGTCTTGGAGAAGGAGGCACATAACAAAATAGAAACCAAAATGGGAAGGAAAAGAGAAAGAAAGTGAAATTCCTGGTCTTTGTTGTATGTATCCCCTTGCTTTTTAGATAAATTATCAGGGGTTTAAACACACACTCTCTCCCCTCCCTCCTCCCACTTCACACACACTAGATTGTTCTTGTCTGTTTGCAAACAGTCCAGAAGCACTGGGGTCTCATTAAATTAGATTCTAAGTGTCTTAAAGAATTAGATTTCAAGAAACCAAGAATCTGTGTCCTTTCCCTTCTCAGAGTGCCTGGAAGGGTGCAGATTTCTCCAATCTGAATCTGACAATGTTATTTCTTATGTCAGATAATCCCAAGTAGATCTTATACCTTAAAAAAATAAAATCAGCTACACTACCTACCTTACAGGGAAGGAAAAAGAACTAATTCCAATTATTAACTAACCCAAGATACAAACACAGGGGAAACTAGGGAATGTGCTTTGCAGCAATGTAAGATTATAGGGGTTGGTTTTAACCATCCTTTGAATGTCCCTCTTTAAGCCTTTTTAAAGGGCAATTTTGCACGGTGAGTAGAATTAGGCTTCTCCGTGGTCAAGATTTTGTTCACTCTATCAGTGCAAATTAAGTGGCACCGGCCCACTGGAAATTATAGTCTCCATTAGGAAGAAAAGAAATTACTTACCGAGCAGCAAATTCTCTAAATTTGTAATTCAGATCTTTAGTGCAGAATGCCGGTCAGGATCCAGCCCTTTGCATAAATTGGTTTTCTGGGGAGTTTAACCCCTTAGCCTCTGTTGCCCTTTTCTTGAATGGCATTCACGCAACCCTCTCCATCTCCTGGCCCTTTAACTGGCCCCGGCAGAAGTTGCAGTCCACAATTTCACAGAAGTAAGGATAATACATTATCACACATTACCGTTTATAAAGTGCTCTGGGTACAATCTGTAATTTAAAGCTGTATTTCCCTCACTGAACTTAAGTGCTTCCTTTGTTACATTTCATTACCGGGGGACTGGCATGCACCTGTATAGATTTTTTTTTTTTTTTTCATTTTTTGTTTTGTTTTGTTTTTCCAAATAAGCACTTCTTGACAAAATGGCCCCCAGCTGCACTTCTGCTAATGACAGCCATGGAAGGGCTGGTTCCTTACGTGATCTACTCTCTCAGAAGCTTGCTTTTGTCAAAATGCAGCCACGTGGGGGAGCTGCAGGACCTGGGGTTTTACAATGCCTAGCCCTTTTTCCCTGATTGCCTAACCGGGAAACTGGGCCAAAGCAGCCTGAGAGTGTATTTGTTGATTAACTTCTAGAAAGCAGTCAAGTTTAATTAGGAGAACTAGAACGAGAAAGCTGAACTGGGCAAGTCAGTTGCCTTCTATGATTCTCAGTCCTCCAAATGAAGATAAGGTTGGTTGGTTTGTGTTTCCATCCTTATCTGCTCTATCTTGGAAGAAGCTCAAGGAAGATTGTGTGATTGCAAAACGTTTCAGTTGGTGTCATTGCAATGCATTTAAGTAATCCTTACTGGCCCATCCTGCTCCACAAAGCAGCCTTACCTCTCATCTTCTCCACTCCCAACTAAAGAGCAAGTGATTTAAACTCTGAGTGTCCTCCCTCAACAATGGGCTAATAATAGAGCCTACTCGTGGAGTTGCTGCCAGCATGCAGTGAGATGGTGCATACCAAACATTTAGTGCAGTGGCTGGCACATTGTAAGCACTTAGGAAAGGCAAGCTATTCTATCATGGGGAACTTTTAGCACCAAGTAACAGAAAACCCCTACTTGAATTGGCAGATAATCGTAACAATAAGGGTATTTATCATTTCATATAATAGGTGTTGTATAACATCTTTGGCTTTGATTCTCTGAGACTCTCTTCCAGCTAACAACGATAATGAGGAAATGTATCGTTTCATATAACTGGTGTTAAGTCTCATAGCCTGGCTCTGGTTCTCTGACACTCCATTCTGCCATGTTCCATGGGTTGACTTCATCCTAAAACTGTGCTGAATGATGGATGCAGTTCCAGGCAAGGGGATTATGGGAATACCATAATCAGTTTCAATGAATCATTTTGGTGAAATCATGTTGAGAAGGCAATACAATGATACAGTAGACAGTAAAGCCATTATTGGTATCAGTGGCTTTAAGGCTAACCATTCCCCAAACTAACTGTGTCCCTTCAATTCACACCCATGGGATTTGTGTAATGACGGCCCCCACCTTCCAAAGCAGTGCCACTAGAATGTGAACTTATCAAGATCTGAACCTTCTTGTCTTGCTCATTCATTGTTCTATTGTCAGTGTCTAGCACAATGCCTGGACATGGTAGATACTCAACAAATATTGGTTGAATGGATAAATTGCTAAACAAATATCCTGTGGCCACACCCATTGTGGATTGCCTTATCCTCTAGTGTGAATTTGTTTTAGCTCTGAATGTCTGATCACCCTAACCAGACATCTACCCTTCCCAGGTAACCAGCCCAGTGGTTCTAAAAGTACAGTCCCAGGACCAGCAGCCTCAGCACCACCTGAGAACATGTTAGGAATGCAAACTCTCAAGCCCCACTCCATACCCGCAGAATCAAAAACTCTTGGGGTGGGACCCAGTAACCTGTGTTTTAGCAGCCTCTCAGGAGGTTCCAATGAAGGAGAAAATTTGAAAACCACTGGTCCAGGTAGAGCTACCACTTCACTGAGCATCAACAGCATGTTTGGTCCAAAGACTGGCCCTGAAGATGCTTAGATAAAAAAAGCTAACATTGAACCTCACTATATGCCAGGTATTGTGTGTCACATGACTTAACTTTGTTCACTGCTTATTTGGCAGCTGAGGAAACTAAGGCTCACAGAGAAAAAAACAACTTTGCCCAAGAACACACATGGCAGAGCCAAGGTTGAAATCCAACCTAAGTACATAAAAGCTTGCTTTCATGTCTGTGGGAGAGACAGGCAGGCAAAAAGATAATAATAATACAATGTAAGAGAAGCAAATGCAGGGTGTCATGGGACTCAGGGGAAGGCACTGGCGCAAGACCACAGTGGGTGGAGGTTGGCCACTTTGGGGAGGTGACAGTTGAGTTAACTCACACAGAATGAATAAGCGTTGGACAAAAGGGCTCCCAGAAGAACAGCAAGTGCAAGAGCCCAGGGTCCACAGAGAGAATGGCAGGTAGCTTAGCATGGCTGAAGTGAGACTGTGAGGAGAACGGATAAGAGGATGGAAGCTGGGGAGGTGGCACAGATGGATCTCAAGGACTTGGAGTAAAAAGTCCATAGTAACGAGTTTAAATTGTCTCTTGACGGCAATGGGGAGCCATGGAAGATATTTGAGCTGGAGGGTAACATAGATTTATATTTTGGCTGCAGGTAGGATCTAATACAAAAGCAATTCAACTAATATTCACTAAGTGACCTGAGTTATCTGTGAGATATTTATTATAAGGTGTTAAACTTCTTTGAAGATTGTAAGAAAGAGATAAAACCTCTAAATGGTTTTGACCCTTCAAAGGACATTTAAATGGTTATTTCTAAGTGTCATAAACATGGACTTGGGATTTGGCCTCATCATTCACCCAGATGATTCATACCCATGATCCCAGGCTGTGAGGTCTTGAGCAAATTACTTCTTCTCAGAGCCTTAGTTTGTTCCTCTGTGGAATGGGAATGCTAACAGCACTTACCTCGGAAAGTTGCTGAGAATAAACGAGACCGTGCATTTAGAGCATGTAGGCACCGTGTCTGGCAGGTAATGAGTGCTCAGTCAGCTTATTGATGAGGATGCAGATGACCTCAGCCTGAGATAGAACAGATGTGTTCTCTTTCATGGACTGAAGGCCACCCAGACTTTGCGACATCCTTAAACTTTGCCCCAGTTTCTCCTTATCCTCATAAGCAGTTGGCTGGCTGGCTTATCTAGAAAAAAGAAAGGAGGGAGGAGAAAAAGCAAAGAAAAATGTTCATTTTCCCTGCTGTTCACCCCATTCTAAAGTAAGGCAGAATTTCTGGAGAGGGGGCTCAGGTCCACCCTTGGCTATCCTTGGTTGTACAGTTGCATCTACTTATAACGGTGGCCAAGTCGCCATGGCAGTAGGTGCTGTGGCTGCCCTGCCCCATCGTCTTCAGACTACCCGAGTTTACCTGCAGCACTGACAGCTTCCCACCCCAAAACTCCTCGTTCTTTGCTTTTCCTCTCGGTGGCTTTCTCCAGGGGCTGTAGGAGCTTGTTTAGCCCACCTGCATGGCATTTTGAAAATACCTGAAATTTTATGCCCCGAAGGACAATTCTCAATCAGTGAAAGATGGGAGAGGAAAGGTAAACACCTCAGCTGCCCCATCTCTCAGTGGGACAATGTTGAGGGGTCGTCTTTGTGTTCTCTCAAGGGTCCTCAGCAAGACCGAGCCACCCGTCACCCACAGCAGTAACATACTCATGAGCACGCCCCCCCACCCCACCTTTTGTGCTTCCTGGGATCACTTCCCAAATAAACTACTTGCACCTAAGTTTTTGTCTCAGGGTCTGTGTCTTAGGTTAAAAACCTCTGTGTCGGCCAGGCGCGGTGGCTCACGCCTGTAATCCCAGCACTTTGGGAGGCCAAGACGGGTGGATCACCTGAGGTCAGGAGTTCTAGACCAGCCTGGCCAACATGGTAAAACCCCATCTCTACTAAAAATACAAAAATTAGCCGGGTGTGGTGGCAGACGCCTGTAATCCCAGCTACTCGGGGGGCTGAGGAAGGAGAATCCCATCTCTACTAAAAATACAAAAATTAGCCGGGTGTGGTGGCAGACGCCTGTAATCCCAGCTACTCGGGGGGCTGAGGCAGGAGAATCCCTTGAACCCGGGAGGCAGAGGTTGCCATGAACCGAGATCACACCATCGCACTCCAGCCTGGGGGACAAGAGCGAGACTTTGTTCCAAAAAAAAAAAAGAAAAATCTGTGATCTGTGTCTTAGGGTTTTCTCGGGAACCTCTATCCCATGACAAGGAGCTGAATAGAAGGACATTAATATGGGTGCTAGTTTTAAAGGTACTGGAAGAGTTGAAAAGACAACCATGGGGCCGTGAGGCCCACCCGGAGATTAGAAATAGAACATGGCACATGTATACCTATGTAACTAACCTGCACATTGTGCACATGTACCCTAAAACTTAAAGTATAATTTAAAAAAAAAAAGAAAGAAAGAAATAGAAATAGGCTACAAAAAGAACCACCACTAGAGACACACAGCCAAAGGGAAGAGGTGATGCTTCTGGAGCTAGGGAACCCGGCACCCTGTGGGAAATAGAACCCCATGTGGATGGGGGTGAGGCTGCTTGAGGGTAGCTGGAACCCAATGGAGGCTTCTGCAAGCAGTACCTTTTTGTTGACTGGAGGGAGGAGGCAGGAAAAATACGTGTCAGTGCCGCCCACTGGCTGAACTTAACCAGAAGCCAGTTGGTAATGGAACCTGGGAAATGCAGTTTGAAGAGAAGCTTGGAAAAATGATCTGAGAGTAAACATACAAATACCTAGCACAGTTGGTGGCTTTAAGAGGAGAAAAAAGGGAAGGGAAGGGGAGGGGAGGGGAGGAGAAGGGAGGGGAGGGAAGGGAAGGGAAGGGAAGGGAAGGGAAGTGAAGGGAAGGGGCAACCTTGATTAGTGTCCCACCCCCTTCCCTGGCTCTAAATAAATGAACATGTATGCTATGGTCATGCTGACATCCTTGTCTCCTCCTTTATCTTCAGAAGAGAGCAGTAGCTATGAACACAGGCTCTGGGTCCAAACAGCCTTGGTTGCAATCCCAGTGGTGCTACTTGCTAGCCACGTGGCTTTGAGCAGGTTCCTTAACTTCTTCCAGCTTCACTTTCACATCCATAAAGTGGAGACACTAGTAGAATCCACCTCACTGAGTTGCTGTGGGGATTTAACGATGTATTCCATGCAAAGCACAAAATGAGTGTCTAAGAAATGTTCATGCTTATGGAAACAGACTGTTCTTTGAGTTTCAATCAGCTTATTCAAGTTCCTGCTAAAACATGTTTCTTCTCCTCTTTACCACTCACACCTCCAACTTCAATGTCTAGAATCTACCCCTTGTCTCTACTTCACAGTCTTTAAAGTAAATAAATAAATAAATCTTTCTATTTTCATAGAGGTTCTGTGAGAACTGAGGAGAAACAGCCTTTCTCCTCCCCTCTGGGCTCACAACCCTCTCTCCGCATCCCCTGCCCCCTCCCTATCTTTGCTGGCCAGTTGTTCACAAGTAGCTTAACAGTTTTGAGAATACAAAAACAGGAAATTATGCCCCAGCCCTAAGACTAAAAAACTCATGTGCAAATCCTTCAGTGGACAGATTTCTTCAGCTTTCAAAAACTAAGGCCTTGAAAAATCAGGTCCCATGGCCAAATTTTCTGGATTTGCTTAATCATTTCCTTTGCAAATTTATAACCTCTTTAACCATGAAGAGAGATGGTGAGAAAGGGGGAGGCGGGAGTTGAAAATGTTTTAAGTTAACCGCAAGACAGGACAGGAAATTCTGGAGGGGTGTGCATTTCTCTTTAATCCCTTAGTGGCAGAGAGGCCTAAGATAGCAGCTCTGGAAAACTATTTATTGTCCCAGAAATGACCGTTCTGGGATATTGTTTTGCTGTTGATATTGACCCAGAGGAAAATGTGGCAGCCTTCTTCATTCAGTGGCTTAACAGAGAATAGAAGAGCAGGGAAGGCTCTGAGACACCCCGGTCTGATCCTTTACTTGACTCATGCAACAGACACTTATTGAGTGGCTGCCCTGCCCTCCAATGGATAGAGAGGACTGAGACAGCCTCCCAAAGAGGTGAAATAACTTCCTCGCTTTTTCAATGCCATTTGAAAAGTTAAGGAATCTACTGGGGGCTGTCTACTAGAAGAATCTAAAATAGGTGATCCAAAGCTGTTTTATTATTAAAATTCCTGAAAGACAAAAAGAAGTGACTTTTTTTTTTTTTTTTTTGCCCTTCCTTCTCACTTTCTGAGTTTTTCTTGGCTAATCGGAGTTATGTACTTTTTTTAACCTTTAAGGTAAGTTCCTGTCTTTAGCAGTGGTTTTTATTTGAAGCCAGGGCCCAACCCACTTATGTTGATCCAGCAAATGAAATGGAATGGAACAGAATGGAATAGAATAGAATACAACAGAAAGCTCATGGTGCATCACGGGTAATATGGTTAACATCCATTAGTGGAAGGTTTGTTTTGATTACTAATGTATGTGTATAGACTCAAAATGTATTTCTTATTATGATTTGTAATAAGAAAACTTTAAAAGCCTCTGATCTTTAATATAGTTCAGCAGCGAAAGGTGTGGGATCTAGAGTCTACTGGCATGAGTTTGAATGTCAGCCTGTCACTCTGACCGGCTGTTTGATGTTGGACAAGCTGATTATCCTCTCTGAACCTCACTTACTTAAGGGAAATACAACACAATAAAGAGAGATATAAAGTGAATATTGGATATCACAGTGTCTGAATTTCTGGGGTCATTTATCTGCAGAAAATGCCATCCTGCCCCCTATATCTTTCCTTTGGCCCAGCGTTCTGCCAGTTGTCTAGGGTCTACTCACCTTAGGTAAAGCTACTTCCTCTATCTTAACCTCTCTTGATTTGATCTCCCTTCATTCCCTCTACCTCCACTTGCTATCTCTAACATCATCTGTGGAAAACCAAAGCCATTTAATATGTGAAATTTCTCTTGGGAAAAATGGCTACATAGTTGCAGACCATCTTACCTACTGAGTACAAACATGAAAGCTAGACAAATACCTCGAAGGCATCCTAAAAGAGAGATGCAGTGCTCCACTTCAATTGAAAGCAACAATAAGACTGACAGCTGATTCAGCAGAACTAATCAAAGTCTGAGGACAAACTCCTTAAAAAAAAAAAAAAAAGATAAGATGGAAAAGAAAAAGAAAGAAAAGAAGAAAGAAAAACAAAAGGGGTTTAAAAAAAACCCTGCCAACCTATAGTTCTACACCCAGTAAGAAATAGCTATCAAAATTGAAGATTGCTATGTTTTCAGATAAACAAAAACTAAATTCTATATTACCAGCAGGTCCTTACTAAAAGAAATACTAAAAGATACTCTTTAAGAAAAAAATAAAATGATCTCAGATGGAAGAATAAAAACATAGGAAAGAATTAAAAGCAACAGAAGGACAAATGTGTCGGTAAATCTAAACGAATACCAACTCTATTAAAAGATCATAATAATGTCTTCTGGGATTTAAAAAATATATAGAAGGCCAAGTGTGGTGGCTCACACCTGTAATTCCAGCACTTTGGGAGGCCAAAGTGGGTGGATCACTTCAGGTCAGGAGTTTGAGACCAGCCTGGCCAACATGGTGAAACCCCATTTCTACTAAAAATACAAAAATTAGGCAGGCATGGTGGTGCATGCCTGTAATCCCAGCTGCTCGGGAGGCTGAGGCAGGAGAATCACTTGAACCCGGGAGGCAGAGGTTGCAGCAAGCCAAGATTGTGCCACTGCACTCCAGCCTGGGCGACAGAGCAAGCCTCCATCTCAAAAAGAAATAAAACATAAAATAAAATAAAATATATGTAGAGTTCAAATACATGGTAGCAATAACACAAAAGGTAGTCAAGAAAAAAACGGTACTAAACATGTTCCAAATTATTTTATTGCCTGAGAGCTAGCAAATGTACTAATTTTATTAGACTCTGATAAGTCAGGAATTATCATTGTAATCTATAAGGTAATAAAAAATATAGAAAAAACAAGCTAATAGGAGAAGCACAATGATTGAAAAAAGACCTCATTAATTTAAAAGGTCAGAAGGGAGAAAAGGGGGAACTGGTAAAAGTTGAAACTAATTAAAATAGTAATATATTAATATTGTGATAGTACTATACTAATAATTACTTTAAGTGTAAATAGACTAAATATTCCAACTAAAAGACAGATTTTATGCTAAATTAAAAAAAAACCCAAATATAATCTTCTTACAAGAGATAAGACCTAATATAAGCACACAGAAAAGATGAAAATAAAGATAGAAACAGATATTTCATGAACATACTAATCAAAAGAAAGCTAGTGTAGCTATTCTAGTATCAGATGAAATACACTTTAAGAAAAGAAACAATATAAAAGGTAAAGAGGATTATCTTATAATAACAAAAAGGGTCAATCCTACAAGAAAAAGCAATTCTAAATCTACAGTACCTGCTAGAATAGTTTCAATATACATAAAGCAGAAACTGCCAGATCTAAAAGGAGAAATAAATCCACAATTATAGAAGTAGGCTTTAACCTATTTCTATCAGCAACTGATAAACAAAAAGATAATTTAAGTCAGTAAGAATGGAGAAATTTTGACCAGCACTATTTACACACTCAGCCTAACTGACATTTGTAGAACAAACCAACCAATAACTGCACACTACCTCTTCTTTTTCTAAGTGCACACGGAACATTTAACAAAAGTTGTCACATGCTGGACTATGGAGTAGGTCTCAACAAACTTCAAATGCTAAAAACACACAATATGTTCTCTGACTACAGTGGAATTAGCTAGAAACCAATAACTAAGGATAAGAAAATGTCTAAATAATTGAAAATGAGGCAAAGCAATCCAAATAGCTCATGATTTAAGAGAAATCACAGTAGAAATTAGAAAATATTTATTTGACATATCAAAATGTAGGATTCAGCTAAAGCTGTGCTTATAGGGAAATGTTTATCTTTAAATACACATATTAGCTAACAAGAGAGGAAGAAAATCAATGACCTAAGCACACACTTTAGAAAATTAGAAAAATAAAAGCAATCAAACCTAGAAAAATTAGAAACAAGGAGATAATAAAGACAGTTATGAAAAGAAAATAAATGTACAACAAAACATCTCTTTGCAGAGATGCAACACCTCTTATTGATAGATTAACAGACCTACCATTCATTTGTTCATCCATCCTTGCATTCGTTCATTCATTGAATAAATATTTACTGAGAATCTATGCTGTGGATAAGGCACTGTTCTAATTTCTTAGAATAAAGAAGTGAACAAAACAAAGTTCTTCCCTTCAAGGAGCTTATATTTTGGTACAGGAAACAGGCAATAAACAAACAACTAGTGATAAGATGTCAAAAACTGGAATATGCTATTAGTAAATGAAAAAGTGGAGTAATACCGAGAAAAGGGCATGTGAATTTAGTTGGGTTGATCAGGGAAAGGCTCTTTTAAGATGACATTTGACCACAGAGTTTCATAGACTGGGGAGTGAATCATGCAAATATGAGGAAGAAAAGCATTCCAGACAAAAGGAAGAGGTACTGTACAAGCCCTAAGGTGAATGCACATTTGACACATTGAAAAGAGCTCGTGTGCCCTTGGATAATGTTGGACAGGCTGTCAGAAACCAGAAAGACCTTGTAACCATGATGGTAAGACCTGGATTTTAGCCTGAACTTGATAGGAAGATGCTAGAGCATTTTGGGCAGGGAAGTGACAGAATCTGATCATTCATAAGACCTGCTTTTCCATTTCTCTTCCAAGTAGGTTAATTTGTCACTTTCCTCCCTGACAGGCTTTAAATTCTGTAATTCAAGTTCTATTAGCATGATTTTCCAAGGAAAAAGCAAACTTTCTCCATAAATACATCCTCCTGCCCTCCTGCCAGGAGAGAGAGGGCTTCAAGCAGCTTTTCTAAGAGCGATTTTTTTCACCCCATGATAGTTGGATGTTAGGAAAGTGACAGAGACAGAACAAGTCATAAACATCACTGAGGTCTGAGGTTGGTTGAACAGGTGTATGTGAAAACCCTTAACCCCACCAGGAAGGACGTGTGACTATGAGGAGGGAGTAAAAATATGATGAAACTGTTAGTGGACTTTCTGTTCTGAGCTCAAGAAACATTTCCACCATGCAAGCAAGTAGAAATGTAAATGACACTTCAGAGAAGAGTTTCCAGTCAAAGATATGGGTGCAGTAGCCTTCAAAAGACAGTGATCATTTCAGCAACAATTTTCAACGCAACCTCCCCAGTACAGCCTACAGTCATGTTTCTTCGGGAAAGGGCAACGCATTCTGCTAAAACTTGAATTTGTTTCCAAGATTTAAACACCAGAAAAATGCATATGCAAATTCAGATTTCCATGTTCTCTTGAAATATTGGAAGTTGGGGGATCACGGACAAAATATAGGACACCAAATGACCCTTCCCCTTTGCTGGGGCTTAGTCTCACTTTTACACAATCCCCACAGAACTCTTCTTACCTGCTCAGCCCCCAGAGCTGTCTGCAGATATGCTCTCTAGTTTAAGAAATGAGGTTGATGAATTGGGGAAGAGAAAGCACCTTTCTCAAAGCATTTCCCAGAGGACCACCAATCCTATAAGGTATTCTAAGGGATATAAAGCTTCACATTGTGCTAGGCAGAATTCTAAAGTGGTCCCCAAGATTGTCCCCTCCTTGACCTGGTGTACATGGCATCCATAATCCCCTTACCTGGAACATTGGCTGGACCTTTGAATTGATGAGCTTTCACTACTATGATTAAGTTACATGACAAAGGTAAAAGAATGTTGTATCTAAGGTCCCCAGTCAGTTGACTCTGATTTGATCAAGAGGAAGTTTATCCTGGGTAGGCCTGGTTTAATCAGGTGATCCCTTAAAAGGAACTAGGGAAGCAGCAGCAGACGTTGTCCCATGGCTTTGTATGGGACACAAGACAAACTGCCATGCTGTGGAGAGAACAACACAGCGGCCAACTAGGAGCTCCAGGAGCTGAGTCCCTCAGTCCTACAACTGCCCAGGAACTGAATTCTGTCAAAAACTAGTGGGCTCAGAAGAGGACCCAGGCCTCAAATGAGATGACAACCCTGACCAACATGTTGATTTCAGCCGAGTGAGACTCAAAGCGAAGGACCCATCTAACTTATACCCAGAGTCTCAAACTGTTAGACAGTAAATGGGTATTGTTTTAAGTGACTAACTCTGCAGTGATTTGCTACATAATGATAGAAAATCAATACACCTGTGTCCATTCAACAAGATTTAATGAGAGCACCTACTGCATGTTACGTGCTGTTGTAGAAACTGAAGATGCACAGAGAGCGAGGCTGACAAAGTTCTTGCTCTCCTGGATCTTACAGTCTAGCTGCACAGAGAGCGAGGCTGACAAAGCTCTTGCTCTCCTGGATCTTACAGTCTAGCGGGGAAAGTCAGATAATAAATAGGAAAAACAAAGGCCGGGCACGGGCGGCTCATGCCTGTAATCCCATCCTTTGGGAGACCAAGGCAGGCAGATTGCTTGAGCTCAGGAGTTTGAAACCAGCCTGGGCAACATGGCAAAACCCCATCTCTACTAAAGATACAAAAAAAAAAGGCCAGGTGCGGTGGCTCACGCCTGTAATCCCACTACTTTGAAAGGCTGAGGCGGGCGGATAACCTGAGGTTGGGAGTTCGAGACCAGCCTGACCAACATGGAGAAACCCCGTCTCTATTAAAAATACAAAACTAGGCAGAGCACGGTGGCTCACACCTGTAATCCCAGCACTTTGGGAGGCCGAGGCGGGCAGATCACGAGGTCAGGAGATCGAGTCCGTCCTGGCTAACATGGTGAAACCCTGTCTCTACTAAAAATACAAAAAATTAGCCGGGCGCCTGCAGTCCCAGCTACTCTGGAGGCTGAGGCAGGAGAATGGCGTGAACCCAGGAGGCGGAGCTTGCAGTGAGCCGAGATCGCGCCACTGCAGTCTGGCCTGGGCGAAAGAGGGAGACTCCGTCTCAAAAAAAAAACAAAAAACAAAAAACAAAACTAGCCAGGCTTGGTGGTGCATGCCTGTAATCCCAGCTACTCAGGAGGTTGAGGCAGGAGAATTGCTTGAAACCGGGAGGCAAAAGTTGCAGTGAGCCGAGATCCCGCCATTGCTTCCAGCCTGGGCAACAAGACCAAAAACTCCTTCAAAAAAAAAAAAAGATACAAAAAAATTAGCTGGGTGTAGTGGTGTGTGCCCTTAGTCCCAGCTACTCAGGAGGCTGAGATGGGAGGATTGCTTGAGACTGGGAGGCGGAGGTTGCAGGGAGCTGAGATGGCATCACTGCACTCCAGCCTGGGCAACAGAGCAGGGTCACACGTTTGACCTTCAGTGGTCACACGTTTTTGGGTTTTTGTTTTGTTTTGTCTAACAAAAAACAAAAAACGTGTGACCACTGAAGACTAAGCAGGACAGAATATAACTTCGTCATGCACACTCCTGAAGGTTATATTAATAGATTCTGGGTTACTGACTCTAAGTAGCAGAAACTAATCAGCAAAGATAATTCAAGAGGTTACATAAGCAAAAATAATAGTAATAAATAGGAAAAAAGAGATATCGTTTTATTAATGTTGATAAATGCCACACATCCCAAAATACTAAGTCAGGGAAAGAGGACGGGATGTTATGGATAGCCAGCGACAGCTTCTCTGAGGAGGTGACATGGAGCATGAACCTGAAGGACAAAGGGAGCAAGCCCTGGAGGAATCTGAGACAACATCATGGTTTGAAAACACCCACTGTTGTCTTTCTCTTGAGGATCCCCAGGACACGTGAGGATACTAAAGGTTCTGAGAATCCCTGCAGTAAATAACCAGTTGCAAGTTGCTGAGCCCAGTGCCCCTGAACTTATTAAAACCTGTGATTCCACGAATTAGTCATCCTCTTCACAAACTTTGTAAAATATTGGATCAGCGGCCGGGCACAGTGGCTCACTCCTGTAATCCCAGGTATTCAAGACCAGCCTGGCCAACATGGCAAAACCCCATCTCTACTAAAAATACAAAAATTAGCCAGGCGTGGTGGTGCCTGCCTATAGTCCTAGCTACTCGGGAGGCTGAGGCAGGAGAATCACTTGAACCCGGGAGGCAGAGGTTACAGTGAACCGAGATTACGCCACTGCACTCCAGCCTAGGTGACAGAGTGAGACTCCATTTCAAATATGTGTGTGTGCGTGTGTGTGTGTGTGTATATATATACACACGCCCCATATATATATATACATGTATGTATAAGATCAGGAGCCAAATCCCCGGGGAGCACCTATTTTAGATGTGAAGGGAAAAAGCAGATAGAAATTGGTCCAGAGAAAGAGGTGAGCTTCCAGTGCACCCTCCACACAGCGGCCAGAATGAGTCTTTTAAAATTTAAGTCAGATCAGCTCCAAGCCTTCCAATGGAAGAAACGGGGAGAGGAGTTTGGAGGCTGTTGCTGTCACGCAGCTCAGTGATGACTGGAATTTGACTGAGGTGCTGCTGCAGGATGGTGAGGAGTGATCAGATTCTGGATTTATTTAGAAGATGGGGCGGGTGGGGTTTGCTGTTGGACTGGATGAGGGTAGGAGACAAAGGCAGGAGCCCAGGTTGATGATGAAGGACTCGGGGCTCTGAATCAGGAGCGGCTGATTCATGCTGTGTAGTTAGCATTTTGGAAAGGTAGGGGTGTGTGTGTGATGCAGTCAGATGGTAGTCAGGAGCATTTACATACGTGAGTCAACCTGGGAGTGAACTTGTGTCCAACTGAACATGAAGCAATTATTCAAAGTTGGTTTCCGGAATATTCCCAGGGTGAAATAACTTCCTGTGTTTATCACTGCCTTCTCAGTTGAAGTGTTTGCTTGTCTAGTGAACTGAGTTAGCCTTGTCTGTTGAAACTGGCAGTGGTGGGGCATGTAGGAAAAAAAAATTCTATGAAAATCTCAGGGAGCTGACAGACACTTCTAAAAGAAAAGAAAGTGAACAACATTATCCCTGGCCTCTTTTATGAGAGGGGAATTGATTGATTTATTCAATGCCTGATTGAGTATTGCCTATGAGTAAAGATTTAGGGGAGTGATAAATCAGAAAAACACAGAACACCCCAGTATAATGGGAGGGAGCCACTCCAAAGGCCAAATGTCGAGAAAATACTATAGGAGCTGCCACATGCATAACTGTATTGCAGACCCCTGTGTGATATGCTGGAAGTCTTGGTTAAGAACATGGATTCCCACTGAGCTAAGTGGGAGAGCTTGTTCAAGCTAAGACACTGAGCTAGAACATCCTGTCTCAGTTTCTTCACTATAAAATGGGCGTGGTGCTATTATGGTAATAATGGCGTTGTTCTATGGTGATAATACCATCATCATGGAAGTAAATCAGATACAGACACACACTGCTCAGAGCAGTGCCTGGCATCAAGTTAGCACAAAATCAGCATCTGCAACGTTTATTATGACGCTGTTTCAGACATGTATTTTTCTTTATTATGAAACCACAACGTATTTTTAAACGTTAGAGGAGAGAACGGAAAAACAACCATGATAATCCCATTCCCCGGCACAATCTTAATTTTACACAGTCCTTGCAAATATTTTTTACATTGACCATTTCATACTTATGAAAGTAGCTGGCATATAGTAGGCACTCAATTAAATGCTCGCTGGCTGACTCCCCAGTTCAGTGCAAACTATTTTGTTTTATGCTTTGTGTATGTAAAATTATATCAGATATATTTCGCTTTGGTTTCTTTTTCCTCATAAACAACACGATTACAATTTTATGGCTACAAGATATCTCATGGTGTCAGTGTAACAAGCCTTGAATAAGTCATTTTTCTTTTGCTGTACTATTATACGTGGAATTACTACAAACCACACTATTTTAGATAACACCACATTGAACTGTTTTGTACACAGTGTTTTGCCTTTTTTTCTAAAATTTCTTAAGACAACTGTGGAATTTGGAAATAAATACTCTCAGCTAAACTTTTAAGTTATCTGTTAGGTAGCCTAAAAAAGTTAAACCAAAATGAGATTCTTTTTATAAGATCAGGTTGTAATAAAATGAACTTCACAAGATGACAGTCACGTGAACGAAATAGTGACCTCATTTTCATTTTGAAAAGCTGCTTTCCCCTCTTCTGAAAAAGTTGTATTAGAAACGATTCCTCCAATACTCTAGTGATCTTTTATCTGAGATTAATAAAAGATACGAGTATTTTGATGTATTCATTAACAAAAGAACAATAAATTCACCTTTAGTAGGTGTAAGTAAGGAAAGATCTCAGCAGATCTGGTTAACTCTAAGTCTGGCTTTAGAAAGCCACAGTGGGTTGGGCATGGTGGCTCACGCCTGTAATCCCAGCACTTTGGGAGGCCGAGGCGAGTGGATCACCTGAGGTCAGAAGTTCAAGACCAGCCTGGCCAACATGGCGAAACGCTCTGTCTACTAAAAATACAAAAATTAGCCAGGCGTGGTGGCAGGCACCTGTAATCCCAGCTACTCGGGAGGCTGAGGCAGAATTGCTTGAACCCGGGAGGCAGAGGTTGAGGTGGGCTGAGGTCATGCCACTGCCACTCCAGCCTGGGCAACAGAGAGAGACTCCATCTCAAAAAAAAAAAAAAAGAGAGAGAGAGAGAATCTTTCTCCTCAAACTCTCTTTTCTTTATCCTTTTTTTTATTATTTATTTATTTATTTATTTTAAGAGACAGGGCCTTGGTCTGTCACCCAGGCTGGTGTGCAGTGGCGTAGTCATGGCTCACTGCAGCCTCAAACTCCTGAGCTCAAGAGATCCTTCTGCCTCAGACTGCTAAGTAATTGAGACTACAGGCACATGCCACCATGCCCAGCAATCTTTTCATTTTTTTGTAGAGAATGTTTTGAGCTATGTTGCTCAGGCTGGTCTTGAACTCCTGGCCTCAAGGAATCTTCTCATCTTGGCCTCCTAAAGTTCTGGGATTACAGGCAAGAGCCACCACAGCCAGCCATGTCCTTTCTTATTTTATCACCTGAATTATGGCCATAAGGCAGGATGAAAAGAAAATAAAATTAGAGAACCTGAGAATGAAATCATTGATTCAGTAACTGTTGCATGTTCTCCTCTATGGAGTTATTCCATTTAATCTTCAGAGGAACCCAGTGAGGTGGGGTTCTTCATCTCCTTTCTACACATGAGAAAACTGAGGTGTAAAGAAGTTACAGAATTTGCCAGAAGCCACAGAGCTGTTAAGCAAAAAAGCAAAGATTCCAAATGGGAGTGTGTGATTCCCAGTTTGCAGACTTAATCACGAGGCTGCATCGCCTCCTGCCATGTTGGGGAAAGCAGCGGGGTCAGTATGAGGGAGGCGGGCAGAGTCCTTCTCTCAGCGAATCACACAACTTGTTCAGGTCAGCCTGAGGAGACAGGGGCCACATCTTTGTTGCTAGCTTGTGTCTATAGCTCCCTAGAGTTCTGTGTTTCTCTTATAAAGTTAAGAACACACAACACCCCCTTGAGTTAGGAGCAGGAAAGAGTTGACTTTTGTTACCCAGTCTTGGAGAAGTTGATGGTTCTAGGTCCTTTTAATGGTGTGGAGGCCTGACATTTGATATCTGGGGAAAAGGTGGGAGAAAAAAAACTCCAAAATCCAAGCCCAGGCTGCTTACGGCCTGCTTGCCTGATTGCTTGTCAAACAGGAACCCTTCCTTGGCTGTCTTCCCTCCTAAATGATTTTCAAACTACAGTTTTAAAAACAGTTCCTTTGGGGAATTATAAAAGCAATGATGTTTTTGACGGAAAATTGTTGTGTCAACAGAAATGCATGAAAAATAAAATCACCAATTTCCTCATCACCCAGAGAGAACCACTGTTAACATTTTAACCACTTTTCCTTCTTTTTTTCTTTATGCAGAAATACTATTTTGTAAGCACTCAACTGCATAAAGTTTCATAGCATGCACTTTTAAAATTAAACATTGTATTACCAGCATTTTCCCATGTTTTAAAATTTTTCTAAAACTTGAAAAACATGATTTTTAATAACTACCTAATAGTCTACCCTACAGGTTATTATAACATTTAATAATTTCTCTATTGGTGGACATTCCTTTGTATCCTATTTCAAGCAACATTTCCCCCATGCAAATGTTTAGCCTTTATACAGAGATTATAATTTGATTCTACCAATCAAACTATTTTTATTTCACACCAACTTCCTTCTAGGCTTTTCTGTATCAGAAGAGTTGGGATGTAAATTACGGGAGTGATCTCAGCTCAGAAACAAATTCCATTGCTGTACCGTAGCAGCAACGCCCTCTGAGGAGAAGCCAACATGCCCTTTTAGTGAGCTTTTGGGTCACTCCAGTTAAAAGCAAACCAACACAGAAGTTTCCCTTGACTGTCTTCCCCCATCCTGTAGCCCTATGTTTCACTTCCCCTTAATTTCAATTTCTGCCTCTTTACCTCCCATTTACTTCTCAGAATGTTGTAATCTATTTTCCACTCCCATAACTGCTGAAACAGCCCTTGCAAAACACGAAATCCATTGTGCTATGCTTTAATTTCTAATTGCACAAGTGATACACAACAGCACTTTCTTAGTTAAAATGATAATCAACAATTTAAAGATAAAGGTAAACATTAAATTCATTTTTTTTTTATTTTTTTATTTTTTCTGAGATGGAGTCACGCTCTGTCGCCCAGACTGGAGTGCAGTGGCACAATCTTGGCTCACTGCAACCTCCACCTCCCGGGTTCAAGTGATTCTCCTGTCTTGGCCTCCCAAGTAGCTGGGACTACAGGCATGTGCCACCATGCCTGGCTAATTTTTGTATTTTTAGTAGAGATGGGGTTTTACCATATTGGTCAGGCTGGTCTCAAACTCCTGACGTCAAGTGATCCTCCTACCTCGGCCTCCCAAAGTGCTGAGATTACAGGCATGAGCCACTGCCCCTGGCCTAAATTCACTTTTAACCACTTATTCCCAATCTCAGGAACATCAAGGGTATCTAGTGTTGTATATGTGATGCGTTTTCTTCAGATCCTGTTTCTAAAGAAGTGGGGGTGGAAATGAGAGGGGGAAGAGGAGGGAGGAGGAGAGGGAGAGGAAGCCGCAGCACAGGCCATCTATAACGCTATATTTTCCTATAACTCCACTTTTTTGTGTGAGGGGGCGTTTCTTTTTGGTTTTGTTTGTTTGTTTTTTGAGATGGAGTCTTGCTCTGTCACCCAGTCTGGAGTGCAGTGGCACGATCTCGGTTCACTGCAACCTCTGCCTCTGGGGTCCAAGCAATTCTCCTGCCTCAGCCTCCTGAGTAGCTGGGATTACAGGTGCCCGCCACCACGCCCGGCTAATTTTTGTATGTTTAGTAGAGATGGGGTTTCACCATGTTGGCGAGGCTGGTCTCTTGGCCGGGCTGGTCTTGAACTCCTGATGCACGTTTAGGTTGTTTCTAGTTCTTCACTGAAACAAATAATAATACAACAAAGGGCACCCTTTACCACTTCTCCCTGTGCACCCATGAGAATTTCATTTCTCTAGGGCAGGTAAAGAATTGCACCTGCAGGCTGATTGAGTGCGCACTTTTCCTTTTAACATTAATAGGCTCCGACAACCTCTCCACCACCACCACAACGCGGCACATTTACATCAACAACCCATTTCAACCCCATGCTACTCGGCTCTTCAGTAGCCTCGTACAGCAGGTTCCCCACTTCTATCTTTTATTCCACTTTGCCTTCCTGTTGCTTGCCCGCTCTCCCAGCCCAAGCTTCTAAATCCCTTTTGCAATCTTCTCCTTTTCTATCTGTCCTGAAATGTGATTGTTGCCTGGAATTCTCCTTGTTGTGCCTGAATGATCTCGTATATTCCTATGACTTGCACAACCGGTTCCCTCAGGGGTCACAGACTCAAATACTTACCGAAGGCAGGTGGGGCAAAGAAATACTAGGGAATCCGTGTACCTCCCCCAATACCCAAGCCCCGACCCCACCCCCCAGCTCCAGCTGTTGTTGCTTTATTGGAATCTATGCCTAATACTCTCAGATTTCTTTTTCTCCAAAAGGAGGTGGAAATCTAGCTTTAAATATAAGTGCTCGCATTTTCTTAAGAAATGAAAATCAATTCAAAAGAAATTTTAATCCCTTGTGTTCAACAAAACACCCCTGTGGAGTAGGTTCAGCTGCCAAGATCCCAGATGGTGACTTCGACCTCAAACAAAATCACTCTCTTCCTCAAATTCTCCCTTTCCTAACACCCACCTGTGCCTTATCCAGTCAGACACCACTCCCGTGAGTGACTGAGAAATCATTCCAGAATTCAGCCCATCGTTCTGTCCTGTCATTGCCTTAATTCCAACTCTCAACAAATCAAATCCTGACTGTGACCAGAACATCCTAACTGGCTTTCCTGCCATTAGGCAATGCCTACCCTACCTGCCTTGTGCTACCCTCCACTCCATTCAAAAGCATCCTTGCCACGGCCGCTGGAGAGAACCTCATGTCAGAGGAGGCAGGGAGGGGAGAAGGAAGAGGTGGAGGCAGAGAGGAGGAGGAGAAAGGGAAAGCATCCGTGTCTTCCCTGCTCAGAGTGCCTTGCTAACGCCATGTTGCCCATCAAACAGTTGCTAACTGTGGCCACCTTTGTTCAGCACTTGACCCATTATAAAATTTGATCCAACATTATGACGTCAGATTTCATACAAGTATTTAGATACTGGGCTTTTCCTGATAAATCTAACTTGCCCTAGCCGCGATGGCTCACACCTGTAATCCCAGTACTTTGGGAGGCTGAGGCGGGCGGATCACAAGGTCAGGAGTTCGAGACCAGCCTGGCCAATATGGTGAAACCCTGCCTCTACTAAAAATACAAAAATTAGCCAGGCATGGTGGCAGGCACCTGTAATCCCAGCTACTCAGGAGGCTGAGGCAGGAGAATCGCTTGAACCTGGGCGGCAGAGGTTGCAGTGATATAAGATTGCGCCACTGCACTCCAGCCTGAGTGACAAGATCGAGACTCCGTCTCAAAAAAAAAAAAAAAAAAAAAAAAATCTAACTGGCTTGTAGCGGTAGGTCTTTAGTCTCCCATGGAATCAGTCCTCTAGAGCCAGGTAGTGACCATTGCTTTGGGGAGTCACATGCTTTACAGCCCTGCAGTTTTTCTCCTTTCTCTATTTCTGTACCCTGGCCAGCCTCATGCACGGATGTTACTGCCTGGCCCTAAAAGAGTTTCCAACCACCGAACCAAAGGCCAAAATTCAGTCTGTTAATGTGCCCGCAAGACCCTGTGTGATCAGCCCCTATGCCCCGCCATAGTCTCTACTCCCGGCCCTTCCCTTCATCCCCATCCTTTCTTCCACCGCTAATAACAGTTGACTCACAAAGAAATTGTTTCAGACCTGAACCTAACCACCACTCAAATGCCATGGTTGTTTTCGTTACTTAAATCAAGGCAGACAAACTCCGTTCAGAGAGGTCTTCCCTTTGGCTCGATAAATCTCTCTTCAAATCGCTAATGAAGTTGAACTTGCTCTAGACACTGCATTTCAGGTTTACGAAACTACTACTGAAGCTCTTCATTTAGTTCTCAGGAGTGCACTACTCAGCACAGATGCTAATAGAGGGAGACTGAGTTGCTGACGGACAAAGACACAGCTAATTTATTTAAAATCCCAAGGAGCAGTGCAGTTAAGCTCAGCCAGTAAGAATGAGGTTTACATTCTTAGAGCACACACACACACACCCCTTAACTGTCTCCTCGACATATATAATTATTATACATAATGATTATTTTGCTCCATGGTAGTTACAAATAAAAGTTGCTCCTATAAACTACTGAGTTAGGATGATTTTTGTAAAACTAGATACAAATTTCCATGCTTTAAAGATTCTTTGAAATGGTAAAGTCTACTTTACTTTAGACTTATGACGCTTACCCCTAATTGGGTCTCCCTTCTTTATTTATTTATTTAGAGACAGAGTCTCACTCTGTTGCCCAGACTGGAGTGCAGTGGTGTGGTCTTGGCTCACTGCAACCTCCGCCTCCCGGGTTCAAGCGATTCTTCCCCTCCCTCAGCCTCCTGAGTAGCTGAGATTACAGGCACATGCCCAGCTAATTTTTGTAGTTATAGTAGAGATGGGGTTTCACCATGTTGGCCAGGCTGGTCTTGAACTCCTGACCTCAGGTGACCCGCCTGCCTCGGCCTCCCAAAATGCTGGGATTACAGGAGTGAGCCACGGCGCCCAGCTGAGTCTCCCTTCTTAGTATTAATAACGTGATTTCAACTTGGTGTGTGAGGGCGAAGGGGAGGGGTCGCGGGGGATTAAAACTACATTTCCCAGCCTCCTTTGCAACTAGGGGTGGCCATTTAACAGACCTCTGGCCAATGAGATGTCAGAATCATTGATTGAGGCTTCCCCAAAAGCTCCTTAAAGGTGGAGGTGGGGTTGCACGTAGGAGTGCAGACATCAGTGATTCCTCCTGCCCTTCTCCCTGGAAGACGATGTGACCATCTGCTACCTGGAAGACTAGGTGACGATCAAAGAAGGGTCAAAAAATCTGGCCTTAAAATCCACACCACATCAACTACTACTTTCCGTGTTTTAAAGATTCTTTGAAATGGTAAAGTCTACGTGATGCTTACCCCAATTGGGTCTAATTGAGTCGCCCTTCTTTCTTTCTTTCTTTTTTCTTTTTTTTTCTTTTTTTTTTTTTTTGAGACGGAGTCTCGCTCTGTCGCCCAGGCTGGAGTGCAGTGGCGCGATCTCGGCTCACTGCAACCTCCGCCTCCAGGGGTTCAAGCGATTCTCCCACCTCAGACTCCAGAGTAGCTGAGATTACAGGCACATGCCTGGCTAATTTTTGTATTTTTAGTAGAGACGGGGTAGAGTAGAGGTAGGCAGCTACCCAGCTCTAGGTAGGTACCTCTGGATTATACCTCTGCCTCTAGCTATCTACCTCTAGATTATGCAGTAAATGAGAAACATAAATCTTGCCTAAGCTGCTGGTATCTGGGTTTTCCATTATAGGCAGGTAAACTATATTCTGTTCAAAGTAGTTTTGAACAACTGAAGAAAATGAACACATTTTTCCCACTGGCTAGTCCACTCAAAATCATGGGAAGGTACTAATTAAGAAACAGCTGTAAATAATATTTTATTCATATTATCTCAAAATTCTTAATATGCCATTTTACCATTTTCTGCCTTTTGATCCACATACAATCCAACATGAAATTTATCAACTACACATGTAAAAACAGTGATATGGAGAAACAAACCATCTGCAAAATTTCAACCCAAAGTTTTATTTCCATTTTGGCCTAAAGCAAGATGTTCCTTGCAGGGGTGGGAGGCCCTCCATTTCCCACCTTACTCTGCATGACTCAACCTGAATGCATCCCATTGGCATTCTGGATTTTTCTATAATCTCCTTTCCTTAATAAATTCAAGATTGCTCCACAAATCACCAACAGCTTATAATAGCATTACTGTTTCTGGGCTAAATCAGGGGTGCAGCACTGGCCAGTAGCTATGTCTATGGATTATCTGAATAATTGCTTCAATTCCCCACTTGTTTCTGAGTGAGTGTAGGCCTGACCCTTGGGCATGGCTGAACATTACTCATAGTCAAACCGAGAGTTTCAACGCTAAATGTGACAGTGTGTGCTATATCTGTTTTCTCTCCAGCAGATTATTCAAATACCATCTAGTTGAAGTCAAGCTGTCCCAAAGCCCACTGAATCTTTGTCCCAAAGGTCCCTGTAGGAGCCCTGGAAGAGCTTCCTCTGCTATATTGTAATCTCTTTCTCCGTGAATATGTGATGATTGGATGCTTTCAGCCCAATTCTTTTCTCCTGCCTCATGTCCCCTAGAGATCCCGATGGCTCCTTATAAAAGCCATGTGTGTCTTATCTCTTCCCATGCAGTCGCTAAAACCAGAAAGCAGGCTGGAAAACATTTCCCCCAACTGTACTGTTTTTCATCATTTCTTTCTGACACCCTCAGATAACTTGTTAGCATATTGTCTTTCCCCATTCAGTGCCGCCCTCACCGGGTGTTTGAGGGCTTAATGACATCACCCAGGAATTTGTAATTAGAAACAAAAATGCCTCTTTCAAAATCTATTAACACTGGAAGAGGGAAGAAAAAAAAAAACTTTTTAAGTTGCTGGTACAACCCCAAATGAATGAGGCCTCTTCTGACGAGGCAGAAACACTGCCAGCTTTCAGGACACTCCCAGGAAAGCACTGAAAACAAGTCACAAGTAACCTTTCTGGCTGCTGGTGCCAGTGCCACACGCAAGGGCTGACACCGGGACCTGGGATTGGCCTTGGACATTTTATAGGAAATGACACTGCTCTCTTGACTCTCCCTGGGAGAAGTTGTGTTTCTGGAAGCTCCTATAAGTCTCCAAGAAGTGTTGTGAATTTCTATCTCTGTGACTTTTGATTACTGAGTTTTTATTCATTCAATAAATTGTTTGGAGGGCCTCTCGCAACAAGCCTGTTCCTGGGGTCTTAGCTGCTGTCAATGGGGGTCACGGTGTGTTCCTGTGAATAGTAAGACCAGAGCTCTACCGTCTGATAGCCACTAGACATACGTGACTATTTAAATGTAAATTCAGAATAACAAAAATTAAATGAAGTTAAGAATTCATCCCCTCACAGTTGCGTAGCTGCATTTCAAGAGCCCAGTAGCCACATGTGGGTGGTGGTTACCATATAGGACAGGACAGTCCGGGCGCAGTGGCTCGCGCCTGTAATCCCGGCACTTTGGGAGGCTGAGGCAGGTGGATCACCTGAGGTCAGGAGTTTGAGACCATCCTGGCCAACACGGCGAAACCCTGTCTCTACTAAAAATACAAAAATTAGCCAGCCATGGTGGCGGGTGCCTGTAATCCCAGCTACTCGGGAGGTTGGGGTACGAGAATCGCTTGAACTTAAGAGTTGGAGGTTGCCGTGAGCCGAGATCGTGCCACTGCACTCCAGCCTGGGCAACAGAGAAAGGCTCTGTCTCAAAAATAAATAAATAAATAGATAGATAGATAGGACAGGACAGATGCAAAACATTCATATCATCCTAGAAAGCTCTCTGTGCAGTGCTGGACTAGGTAGTCAGATTTGCCTGGGACACTCTGGACTATACCTGCTGTGTCCGCATCATCATCCATAGCACTCTGTTTCACTC
The DNA here is from genome assembly GCF_000001405.40 of Homo sapiens. Lineage (NCBI taxonomy): Eukaryota > Metazoa > Chordata > Mammalia > Primates > Hominidae > Homo > Homo sapiens. The sequence goes on along the minus strand of NC_000020.11, from coordinate 53,916,338 downwards.
TCAAAAATGTCCTGGTATTTCAGCTACCCTTCTACCCGCTGAGCCACACTCTTTGCTAGGACTTCCCTGAAACCCAAACCCTTTGTCTTGATGAATAAGTTGGCAGTGTCCAGCAGTCTCCCCCACCCCATTCCCTCTCACCTATCAAAAGCAACAATTTTAGGAACAGGAAAAAAAAAAATCCAAGTGAAGAAGTTGTCATTTCTCCCCAATTAAATGATTTCCTTGTCAGCGGTTTCACTTTTGTTTTGTATTTCCCTTTGCCTAAAGCAGCTCTGATGGGCGCCCTTTGCCCTGAATCATGCCCACAGATCTCACAGGAAGGAGGCCGTCCCCGGCTTCTCCTGAGCCCTCCCGGCCACCCTCCCCTACTCCCAGCCTCCCCTTCCCGTCTTGCCCAGCAGAGGGCGTCTGAGTTTAATATTCTCAATAAAGAGCATGTACACAATCACTTGGGATTTTTTTTTTCTTTCTTCCAGTGATACTTTTTCTTTGTGAGCAGCAACTGAGGTGCCAGATAATATAGGTCACCTGAAGGACAAGCCGTCAGAATTGGAGATCAGAGCCGCTCAGGCCGGCCGCCAGCTCGTTAGGGAACCGCACACTCAGCTCCCACCCAGCTCGGGACGCCCAGCGGGAGCTTCCCTTGCAAACACCAGCAGACACCATTTTGCAGAACTCTTAAGAAACGCGGGTTAAATGTGTTAGGTACAACGCATGCAGCCAAGACGGGCATGGAGAGCGAGAGGGCTGGCCCGGGGGGGAAGCAAACCTCCTGATGATGGGATTGCTCTTGCTGGGGGCTTTGTAAACAGCCTTGCATCTCACACCTCTGCCAGGCAACAAAATGGTGGTGGCTAGAAAAAATAAATAAATAAATAAACAACGCGGGGGTGGGGGGAAGGTGGCACCAGGTAGGTACCAGAGATGGACTTTTCTACAATTTTCTTGGGCTGTCCGTTACCAACAGTTATTCTCTCTCTTTTTCTTTCTTCCTTTCCTTCTCTGTCTCTCTCTTTCTCCACCCCCCTCCCTCTCTCTCTCTCTTCCCCCTCCCTCCCTCTCTCTTATTCTCCTTGTTACATTCTCTGCAGTAATCTTCCCCCTCCTACTGAAGGGGGCGGAAGACCCAGCTGATTTGACTCCAGCTCCCCCTCCTCAGCCTTGCAAATTCCTTATTGAGCATAATTTCTGATTTGTTTCTATGTATCTTAAGGGGTGAGGTGCTGAGGCAAGTTAAGAGTTCGGGTTATCTTGTTTGCCTGTTTTGGTGCACTGAACATATTTACGAAATGAAAAAGCTCCTTTCTAAATGGGTGTTAACTGCTCTAAGATTCCCAGGAAACGTGTTGAAGGGACATCTAAATGGAAATTGTGCAGTATTACTCCATTGCACCTTTTAGGAAGAAAACAATTGTGGCTACTCTGTTGGGCTCTGGTGGCAGTGTAGTAGTGAGTGATTTGTGTGACTGCGGCACATTCATTTTCCTTTTCTATTATAATCTCACCTTCCTTAAGGAATAAATGAGACCATACAGTAAAGGGCTAAGCAAAGTTGCATGACACAGCTTCGGTAGCAGCTGTTACTGTTTTATTATGTCTTTGCTTCAAGCTCTCTCCCTGGGCCTGGAGCTTAGCTTCTGCACACAAATGCTTGATGGAGAGAGCTCTGTGTTATCTGAATCCAGAAATTCTACAGCAGAGGTTTGGCTCCACCTCACCATTGATTTCCTTTCGGTGATTTTGTAAGTCATCACTTTGTAATGCAATTTCTCTCTGTATGAAACAAACGAGTATTTTTTTTTACCACCCCTTCTGAGACTGTTGATAAAACACACTCGACAAACGTTTTACAGCACCCTTGTGAGGCACTAAGGAATGGGGAGAAATCTACACCTAACCACCACCACCACCAGGCATCCCAGTGTGCTCAGGGCAGCGCCAGTTTTTGCAGAAGTATTAATAGCCCCTCCTTTCACTCCCCCAAGCGTCTTCGATGGGATGGTTAGTTATAAGGTCACGCTACAGAAAACATAACACCAGGCCTGGAGAAGTTCAGAGTCAGGGTGAGAGAAAAGACTGGGAGGAGGAGGTGGGCACTGGAGACCAGATAACCAGAGAGATAACAGATAGATACATAGATAGACAGGTCATAGAGATACATAGATAAGATAGATGATAGATAAGACACATAGATGATTGATAGATGATAGATAGATAGATAGATAGATAGATAGATAGATAGATAGATAGATGATAGATACATACAATATATATAGATGAGTAGATAAAGATAGATAGGTACAGCCAGGCATGGTGGCTCATGCCTGTAATCCCAGCACTTTGGGGGGCCGAGGCAGGAGGATCACTTGAGTCCAGAGTTCAAGACCAGCCTGGGCAACATAACGGGACCCCGTCTCTATTAAATAAATTTTTAAAAAGATAGATAGGTAATAGATACATAGATGACAGACACATAGGTACATAATACATACATAGATGATAGATAGATGGAAAATAGGTAGAGGATGGATAGATAGATGGTAGATAGATACATACATACATATAAATGGGTAGATATAGATAAGTAATAGAAACATAAACAGGTAATAGACACATAGATACATAATACATATATATATATACATACATCAATAGAGAATAGATGGATAGGAAGATGGATGGATGGATGGATAGATAAATAGATACCTGGAGATTAAGAGAAGGAGAAATGAAGCTAAATGAAGCTTCATTTAGCTGAGAAACTGAATGACCGTGGGCAAATGTGTCATCTCTCTGAGTCACTGCTGCTTCATGGGGAAAGCAGGGACCATTGAGTCAGGCCTGCTTCCAGGGTGTGTAGCTGATGAAATGACAGGCACCTGAGCACCTGGCACAGGACCTCTCAACATGCAACTACGGCATAGCAAAGAAGGGATTTGACTCCTCAAGAACCAAAGAGGAAACCTCAAAAGAAAACCATCATAATACATAGAGTTATGTGTCATTTCCAAAAATATAATTATATCTTATGCTTTATTTTATATATATGTATATATACATGTATCTGTATATGTGTATATATATACATGTATACGTACATATATACGTGTATATATACGTATACATATATACACATGGATATATATACACACACATGGATATATATACATATATGTATATATACATATATACGTATATACATGTATACATATATACGTATATATATGAATATGTGTGTGTGTGTGTGTGTGTGTGTGTGTATATATATTTTTTTTTTTTTTTGAGACAGAGTCTCGCTCTGTCGCCCAGGCTGGTGTGCAGTGGCGCGATCTCAGCTCACTGCAAGCTCTGTCTCCCAGGTTCATGCCATCCTCCTGCCTCAGCCTCTCAAGTAGCTGGGACTACAGGCGCCCACCACCACGACTGGCTAATTTTTGTATTTTTAGTAGAGACGGGGTTTCACCATGTTAGCCAGGATGGTCTTGATCTCCTGACCTTGTGATCCGCCCGCCTCGGCCTCCCAAAGTGCTGGGATTACGGGCATGAGCCACTGCGCCCGGCCGCGTTATTATCTTTTTCCTTTGAACTTCACTTGGGGCTGTGGAGAGGACCCCGTCATCATCAAGGTACACGAAGACCTCTCAGATGGCCTTGCAAACTGTAAGGGCTCGACCTGTCTTTCATTCTTAGATTCCATTCCATGCCAGGAACTAACTACACAGCAGGCCAGGAGGGCAAGGGCTGGGGCAGAAGACAAGCACCATTCGACGGGGGCAAGGATGATGGAGTGACGGCTCCTACCTCAGCTGGGGACAGGAGATAAGAGACAGAGAGCACAGAAAGCAGTCTTGCACATAAGATCCCCAAACCTCCCTCTCACATGTAGATACAAACAGCAGAGAGGATCCAGCACTGGCCAAAGGAGAGACAGCTCTCATTTTATAAACATCCATATCTCCTGCTCCACCAACTTCCTAAATGCCTTCTTAAATTTTTGTGCAGGCTCCTAAGAAATAATATCAGCCAGCACCTGCTGCAAAGGGGCATCCCAGGATGTGTGACTGAATCCTGTGGCAACACTGCGAGGTTGGCATCATTACCCCCACACCCTCCCCAACCGAGGAAAGAGCTGGAACCTGGGGAGATGAATGACTTGATGTCCCACAGCCAACTGGCCTGCAGGCCCAGGGTGAGAGCTCTCCTTCTGAAAGGCTTTCCTGCCACCTGGAGCTGAGATTTGCCTTGCCTGCTTCTTAAAGCAATAGCTCCTCTTACCACTCCTTCAAAATACCTCTCAAATCCAACCGCTTGTCATCACAGCCCTGCTCTTACCCTAATCTAAGCTACTCACACCTCTTGGTCAAAGACTACTATAGCCTCCTCTCTGGTCTCTCTGCTTTCTGGTCATCAGCTCATTCCAGTGCCTGGTTTTGTCCCTGGAAGTCCCATGTCCCAGGAAACCCCTCCATCTCTGGTAAATCCAGATGACTGGTCACATTCTCTGCTGCCCACTTGCCCTCATCCCTGCAATCTGTTCTCCGAGAAGCATCAGTGTCATTTTTAAAATGTAAAGCGCATTGTCTCATGCTGCTTGGGACTCCCCATGATCCTTCCAACAAAACCTGGATTCTTTAACAGGGTCACAATGATCTTGCTGATATGGACCCTGGTCAAAGCTGAAGCAAGGATGGCTAGCCCAGGGCAGGGATGTGTGCTGGAGTTGAAGGCCCTCCCTACAAAGGCCACCTGCAAGGGCCACTACCACTTCGGAATTTGTGAAGGCCTGCATCGCTCCAGTGCCCCCAGACTTGTACCCGCTGACATATCTCTATCTTTCTGGGATCCTCACTCACGCCCTGGCCTGATGGCCTCTGTCACTCCTCTCCGTCCTTGTTTTCTTCACCCCAGCCACAATAGCTTCTGGCCAAGCATGTTCCCACCTTGTGGCTTTTCCCTCTGATACGATTTGGCTGTGTCCCCACCAAATCTCAACTTGAATTGTATCTTCCAGAATTCCCATGTGTTGTGGGGGGACCCAGGGGGAGGTAATTGAATCATGAGAGCCGGTCTTTCCCTTGCTATTCTTGTGATAGTGAATAAGTCTCATGAGATCTGATACTTTTATCAGGGGTCTCTGCTTTTGCTTCCTCGTCATTTTTCTCTTGCCGCCACCATGTAGGAAGTGCCTTTTGCCCCCTGCCATGATTCTGAGGCCTCCCCAGCCACGTGGAACTGTAAGTCCAATTAAACCTTTTTTGCTTCCCAGTCTCGGGTATGTTTTTATCAGCAGCGTGAAAACGGACTAATATACCCTCCTTTCTGGTGGCTCACTCCCCACCCCTTACAAGGCTGTGCCCTCCCATCCCCCACGCATCCATTACTCTCCCTGTTTTATTTTTCTCCCCGGCACTTACCTCTACTTGGCAGATATACCTTTTCCATAATTATTTGGCATCTCTCTCCCTCACTAGCTCCACAGACATGTGACTATTCTCGGTCCATGTCCCAGCATGGTCCCAGGGCGGAGGACAGTTCCTGACACATCGGTGCTCCGTGAATACTTGTTAATGGATGCTAGGCGGATCTCAGGGTCCTGTGCCGCTCTTTGATTCCTTCACTCTGCCTGACTCTCTTCCACCTATTATCTTTCTTATTTTCATTTTTTTCCACTTCTTCTTATTCTCCACTTGGCAATTGCCACCTCCATCTTCCTCATAAAGCCACCAAAAGAGGAAACAAAAAGAAAGAAAATTCAACATGCAGAAATACACTTGTCTTTCCCAATCTTGAAATTGGAGGTTTGAGTGCCAAGGCAGGGCTTTCGATGGTTCATCTCAGTGAAGGTGTGGGAAGCCCGCTGCAGGCGGTGCTCCTGGAAGCCCTGTGGCAGAGGGTCTTCACAGTGTGCTCATGGCCACACACCTAGGAAGTGGCAGGCACCACTGCAGCCACGCTGCAATCCACACGGTTCCAACCCAAGCACCTCATGATTTCACCCCATGCTCCATGGCCCTAGTCAGTTAGGTCTGGGTGGGGATTTTAAACCTTCTTTGCTTAGACTATGTTAGACTCCAGACTTATTTTTAAAAGCAAAAAGAGGCCGGGCATGGTGGCGCACGCCTGTAACCCCAGCACTTTGGGAGGCCAAGGTGGGTGGATCACTTGAGGTGAGGAGTTCAAGACAGGCCTGGCCAACATGGTGAAACCCCATCTCTACCAAAACATCAAAAATTAGCCAGGCATGGTGGCGGGCGCCTGTAATACCAGCTGCTCAGGAGGCTGAGGCAGGAGAATTGCTTGAACCCAGGAGGTGGAGGTTGCAGTGAGCTGAGATCGTACCACTGCACTCCAGCCTGGGTGACAAGAGCGAGACTCCGTCTCAAAAAAAAAAAAAAGAAAGAAAAGAAAAGAAGAAAGAAGAGAGGCAGGGCATAGTGGCTCACGCCTGTAATCCCAGCACTTTGGGAGGCCAAGCTGGGCAGATAACTTGAGGTCAGGAGTTCGAGACCATCCTGGTCAACATGGCAAAACCCTGCATCTACTAAAAATACAAAAATCAGCTGGGCATGGTGGCAGCCACCTGAGTAACCTGTAATCCCAACTACTCAGGTGGCTGAGGCAGGAGGATCACTTGAACCTAGGAGGCGGAGGTTGCAGTGAGCCAAGATCACACCACTGCATTCCAGCCTGGGCGACGGAGCAAGACTCCATCTCAAAAAAAAAAGAAAGAAAGAAAAGGAAAGAAGAGAAAAAAAGTGTTATCACCCTTAAGAAGCAGCTAGATCAAGTACCTTTATCAGTGATTCTCATATTTAAGTATACACAGGAATCATCTGAAGCTGTTAACTCCCTAAGCCTCAGTGTCTATAAAGCATCTATAAAACAAGGATACTAACAATAACTACTTCCTGGACTTCTGTAAAATTTTTAAAAGTTTTAAATGTGTTTTAACCAGGAGCCTTTCAGTTGCAATAGCAGAAACCTCAACTCAAACTGACTTAAGCAAAATAGGAATTTATTGACTCATATAACTTAATGATCCAGGAGTTGATAGCTTCAGGCGTGGCTAAATCCAGGGGGCTCAAACCGTATCCACCCTGTTCTTTTTTTTCTTTCTTTCTGCTTTCTTCTATGTTGGTTTCATTCTTGGCTTGGCCCCTCTCTGTAGTAAACTCTGATTACTTCATGGTTCCCTTTTCTCCATGTTAAGTCCAAGAGAAGATAAAAACATCTGTTGGCCAATAATTTATTTTTTTCTTTCTTTCTTTCTTTCTTTCTTTTTTTTTCTCTTGCTCAGGCTGGAGTGCAGTGGCATGATCACGGCTTACTGCAACCTAGACCTCCTGAGCTCCAACAATCCTCAGCCAACCAAGTAGCTGGAACTACAGGTGCACGCCACCATGCCCAGCATATTTTTTGTGGTTTTTTGTTTGTTTGTTTTTGAGGCAGAGTCTCGCTCTGTCGCCCAGGCTGGAGTGCAGTGGCATGATCTCGGTTCAATGCAATCTCCGCCTCCCGGGTTCAAGCGATTCTCCTGTCTCAGCCTTCCAAGTAGCTGGGATTACAGGCGCCCACCACTAGGCCCAGCTAATTTTTCTATTTTTAGTAGAGACGGGGTTTCGCCATGTTGGCCAGGCTGGTCTCAAACTCCTGACCTCAGGAGATCCGCCCACCTCAGCCTCCCAAAGTGCTGGGATTACAGGAGTGAGCCACTGCGCCTGGCCAATTTTTGTGTTTTGTTTTTTGTTTTTTGGTTTTTTTTTTTTTTGCAGGGAAACGGTTTTGTTATGTTGCCTAGGCTGGTCTCGAACTCAAGTGATCTGCCCGCCTTTGCCTCCCAAAGTGCTGGGATCCCAGGTGTGAGCTGCTACGTCCAGCCTCTTGCCCAATAATTTCAGTGAAAGTCCTGGGCTCAAGTCTCACTTGACCACTTAGATCATTTATGAACCAATCAGTTTGCCAAGCTGGGAATCAATGTTCATCCTTGAAGTCAGAGTGCACAGTCAGCACCCTAAAAACCACGAGCTGAAAGTGGGTGTGGTAGTTAGCCAAAGGAAAATTAGGGAGATTTTACACAAAGAAGGGAAATAAATGTGTGAATACAAAAATCTATGGATGCCCACAACATGTGGCCTGGTACACATGTAAGTACTCAATCTATGTTAGCTATTAAAGGGAGCACCTGACCAGAGGGCAAGGAATATTTGGGGATCACTGAAGCTTCAGAATCACACTTTTCAGCTGATGGTTCTGTACCTCGGCAGGACATCAGAAGTTCTTGCAGAGCTTCTAAACTCTCCCATCTGTGGCCCACGTTCAGTTCTGATTCAGTTGATCTGGGGTGAGGTCTGCACAGCACTGGGTGTTAAATCCACCCAAGAGAATTTAATGAACTGCCAGGGCTAAAAACGACTGCTCTAAGCTAATGCATTTGCTTGGCTGGTGCCCACAGACCTCTTAGCCATAGCACCAAATCCTGTAAGACCCAAGGAATTATTAGGAAGTACTAATTATATGTGAAGTCTTAATGCAGAATTTGAAAATCTCCCGAAATTATTTCTTCCAATGTCCTCAATGCTAAAACGGGACTTTGGTGATAGCTTTTTTTTTTTTTTTTTAATGAGACCGAGTCTCGCTCTGTTGCCTGGTCTGGAGTGCAGTGGCCCGATCTCGGCTCACTGCAACCTCCACCTCCCAGGTTCAAGCTATTCTCCAGCCTCAGCTTCCCGAATAGCTGGGATTACAGGCGTGCACCACCGCATCTGGCAATTTTGTATTTTTAGTAGAGACAGGGTTTCACCATATTGGCCAGGCTGATCTCAAACTCCTGACCTCAGGTGATCCGCCCACTTCGGCCTCCCAAAGTGCTGGGATTACAGGCGTGAGCCACCGTGCCCGGCCAGTGATAGCTTTAAAAATGCAACATAGAACTGAGCTGTGTGTGTGTGTGTGTGTGTGTGTGTGTGTGTGTGTGTTGTAACATGTGCGTGTGTGCTTGTGTGCGTGCCTACATGTGCTTTGCATTGGTGGTTAATTTAGCAACACAGATGACTCAAGAACTTAACTAATGTTGAGTCATGGCATCTTGTGTTTTCAACTTTCTTCCTCCCCTCCCCCACCTTGTCTCATCCACAAACATTGGATTCAACGTTGGAGGTATTTAATGCCACCAGTGACGAACAGATAGACACCACCTGCCTCCAGATGTGATATCCTGAGGAGGATACAACATCCTCTTTGCCCCACAGTCCAGCAAAGAATGCATAGCCTACACCGAATCAAGACACATCAGACAAACAGAAAATGGAGAACATTCTATCAAACAGGAGGAAGCTGTATTCTTTGAAAATGCTAATATCATAACAGACAAAAAAAGCTGTGAGAATGTTCCAGTTAACAGGACTGCATAAACAATCATGCAGATGGATATTAAGATATCAGTAGATAAATAAAGGCAATATAGGTATTTTTATACTACTTCTATATTTGTAACTTTGAACTTTTTTTTTTTTTTTTTTGAGACAGAGTCTCGCTCTGTCACCCAGGCTGGAGTGCAGTGGTGTGACCTCAGCTCACTGCAATCTCCACCTCCTGGGTTCAAGCGATTCTCATGCTTCAGCCTCCCAGGTAGCTGGGATTATAGGCATGCGCCACCATGCCCAGCTAATTTTTCAATTTTTTTAAGTAGAGACAGAGTTTCTCCATGTTGGCCAGGTCTCAAACTCCTGACCTCAAGTGACTCACCCATCTCAGCCTCCTAAAGTGCTGGGATTACAGGCGTGAGCCACCGTGCCCAGCCTGAATTTATTTTCAAATAAAAGGTGTTTCAAAAGCTGTGGACAGAGAAATACTGTAAACAATAACCAGAATGTTCACTTATTGAAATGTGGAAATACTCTTCATGACTCATCAAGATTAAGAATTGTAAACACGCATGCACCCCATATATCAAAACTCATTCTTCATTCTAATACAATTCCTATTTGCATACAGGGCCGTTCAACAGCCGAAATGTGAAGTACATCTATCCCTGAGCATCTTCATAAATTCTCCCAGATTAGGGGGCTCTCAGGAAGTTGCCAGATGGCACAGCCACACCCCCAGTGGTTTCTCAGGACTCTAGAAATTTCTGAAATACAGGCCAAGCACTCACTCTTGCCAGTAAGTTACATCGAAGCAGCTATATGGTAGAATTGATTATGTAACACAAAACCCATGGTATCCATTGCTCCTTAGAGTAGAATTTAAATCTTTACCTGGGCTCACAAGGTCCTGCCTCAAGTCCAGTCTCAGTTCATCCTTTGGACTTCTTCTGGAAGATTCCTCCGTATCAGCCTGCCTTCTGGTCTTGACATTTCCCTTTCTTACCTCGGGGCTTGTGCACCTGCCGTTGCCTCTCCTGGAAAGCTCTTCCCCAGGGCTTCACGTAACTGCCTTTGAATCATGTAAGTCTCATCTGTTATCCAGCACTATTCATTTTGTTCATAGAAATGACCACTAAGTGGAACTTTTTAAAACTTGGATTATTTCCTCCGTAGGAAAATGGTAGTCTTTTCAACAAGTGACACTTGAACAATTGGATATCGGTATGCAAAAATAATGAACGACCACCATTACCTATGACCATCATTTTCTGTATCTAGTAGATTCTTCAGTGGCTCTTCTGCCCACTGAGTCCTCCACCCGCTCTATGGCACATCCTTTATTAATGTCTTTCTAAAAAAATAGCCAATCAGTTGGGAAGCACTGATGGCCAGACAGGCTTTCCCTGACCACTCTCTAGCTCCTTCCCTTGCTCATTGCTCTTCATTGCGTTTGCTCCCTCTAACATTGTAGAGTTCATATTTTTGCTTGTTATCAACATACCCATAAACTCCACCCCCTTATCCTCTCACCTCTCTGTCTTCATCCCCCTACCTCATTCCCTGTAGGCAGGAACGATCTGCGTAGGGTGATTTTTCACACCACTGTATCCCTAGTACCTAGACCGTCCACATGGAACAGATGTGATCACCAAGTTTTAGAAGAAACTTGCAAGCCCATCGTCCAACACTTAACATCTTTATAGATGGGGAAATCCAAAGACGGTAAGTGATTTCCCCCACGCTCTCATGGCTAGCTGGGGCAAAGCCACAAGAGCAAGCATTGCATTCCTTTGGGTCCCCATCAAGTTAGTGTTAGTTCCATTACGCCACACTGCCCTTCTCTTCCAGGCCTATGGAGGCAGGAAGCACAAGACACAACCTAATCATGTTTTTAAATCTTAATTTTTTGGCCGGGCATGGTGGCTCATGCCTGTAATCCCAGCACTTTGGGAGGTCAAGGCAGGTGGATCACAAGGTCAGGAGTTTGAGACCAGCCTGACCAACATGGTGAAACCCCGTCTCTACTAAAAATACAAAAATTAGCCAGGCACAGCAGCGTGTGCCTGTAGTCCCAGCTACTCAGGAGGCTGAGGCAGGAGAATCGCTTGAACCCGGAGGCACAGGTTGCAGTGAGCCGAGATCATGCCACTGCACTCCAGCCTGGGTGACAGAGTGAGATTCCATCTCAAAAAAAAAAAAAATCTTAATTTTGTATTAACTTAATGCCTTCTAGTAGGGTTGGCTGTGAGGAGCCAGGGGACATTTGGCCTTGGCCTCATATTGACTTTCCAATGTCATCTCCAAAAAGATTGCATGAATTCACAGGGATGCATTCGTAATAGGGCAATTTTATACTTATGTACCCATCCACAGATCATGTTACCTCAAGTTCATTCTAAGACAATATGGTTAATAACTTCTACAGCCTTGTATACAGCACAATGCCATTGCAATGAACAGTAATTTGTGTGTGTGTGTATTCAAACTTTTATTTTGTTCAATATAACACTGAAAAATATTCCAAGGAGACCAGTGGTGACTTATGCCTATAATCCTAGCACTTTGGGAGGCCAAACCTGGAGTACCGCTTGAGACCAGGAGTTCAAGACCGGTCTGGGCAACATAATGAGACCCTGTCTCTACAAAAAATTTAAAAAACAAAAATTAGCCAAGCATGGTGGCACATGCCTGTAGTTCCCAGCTACTCAAGAGGCTGAGGTGGGAAGCTCACTTGAGCCCAGGAGGTCAAGGCTGCAGCGAGCCATGATGGAACCACTGCACTCCAGCTTGGGTGATAGAATGAGACCCTGTCTCTGAAAAACAAAAAAAAAAAGAAAAAAATATATTTCATAAATTTGGGTAACCCCTATTTTGGCATCTCTTCATCTTTATGTCTTGAAATGCCAGATGCCTCATTGAGTGGACACGCCTGTGTCTCTCCCGGCTTCTGTGTGGTCCTGGGCCCTGTACCTGTTTAGTGTCCATATTCTTGGAGATAGATCCCTATTGCACTTGCTTCCTGAGGGCACACAGATCTCTGGAAAGCTGAAAGAGGAAGACAGTCCTCTTAGGTACTAGTGCTAACAAGGAGCGATGGTTATGCAACCAGCTTACAAAATTTTCTTTTTGCATCTCTAGACAACTCAGCCCTGTCCCTCGTTGCATGGTGTTTGGTGGATGACTTGGCATGAAGCATCATATCTACAAGAAAAACAAGTCAAAGGCTGATGCCTCTGATGGGGAAATCACCACTCTCTCAGTGGGCAGCCACAGGAAATGGGTACCTGTCTATACTGGGGCCACAGGATTATGGGGCAATATCCCACATGCCAGAGCATAACATAGAGGCTCATTAAGGACAGATATTTGGGAGTGTATATTTATCAAAAATTCAGATGGGTGAATGGCCATCACAAATGGGAGAGAGAACTGTTAGCCAACGGGTGACTCAGGGGCTGAGTGTGCACCCCTGTTATGAAAACTGATTGTTAAAAAAAAAAAAAAAGTTGTTTGCACTCATCACAGATATCAACATTTGAAGGCACTGGCTGATTCCAACTTATGGCATAAATGACTATTCAATCGCAATTGGAATAGCTTAGACAAATTATCTGTGATTAAAGCAGGCCAATTTCTCAAAATAAAAGTCCAACCTGGAGCACAAATGAGCCTAAGCGCTTGGTCCTTGGAATAGTGACTTTTCTCTCTTGCAAAGCTTGGTCTCTAACCAAATAAGTATTTACCTATACATTTAGAGTTCAGATCAATAGGAGGAAGATGAAATAGCCAAGACTGCTTTTGTTGCACATGACAATGACATAACTCATCTTGTTTAAGAATGAAAGGAGGCCGGGTGCGGTGGCTCACGCCTGCAATCTAAACACTTTGGGAGGCTGAGGCAGGCGGATCATGAGGTCAGGAGATCGAGACCTTCCTGGCTAACATGGTGAAACCCCATCTCTACTAAAAATACAAAAAATTAGCCCGGCGAGGTGGCAGACGCCTGTAGTCCCAGCTACTCGGGAGGCTGAGGCAGGAGAATGGCGTGAACCTGAGAGGCGGAGCTTGCAGTGAGCCGAGATCATGCCACTGCACTCCAGCCTGGGCAACAGAGCGAGACTCCAACTCAAAAAAAAAAAAAAAAGAATGAAAGGGAACTTAGCACTTGTAACTGAAGCATCCAAGTTTACTGCTGACTTCAGGCATGCTGGATCCAGGCGGCGAGAAGCGTTATCAAGAATGTGTCATTCTCTATTTCTTGGCTCTGCTTTCCTCTATATTGCCATTACTTTCAAGTAGGCTGTCTCCATGTGAATGGCAAAGCAATCATCTGTAGCTTCAGGCCTAGATGGTCCCCACAACTGGTGGCTCCAAAAGAAACCAAAAGAAACACACACACACACACACACACACACATACACACACACACACACACACACACACACACCCCTTTTTCCCAATAGCTCTCACGAAAGTCCCAGGCAAGAATCTCTCTGGCTATACTTGGAACACATACCCAACCCAGAACCCATTCTCCTTGTTGGCCATTTTGTGCATATCCAGGTGATCACCATGACCAGCCATGCTGCCATAAGGATTCTTTTCAAGTCTCTTTAGGCATCCACATAAGGGGTACTGTGGAGTATAGAGATGACTATTTCTTTGAATACTGTGATAGATGCAATAGTAGACTTGCATTCAAGGTACCATAGTACAGTATAAGAAAAAATATATATGCCTTTGTAAACTGTGCTTACTCGCTCAGGAGCAGGGGGACGCCCCCTTCTTAAGGGAAGAGCCGGCATCACACGCCCTCCCAGCTCAAGCTTCCCCTGCGACCTGCACGTGTGTGAATTGGCAGGCCCCACTAATATTGGTATTTCCCTCTCATTCCTACTATTACCCCTGCCAAGCTTGGGATGGCAGAGTTGGAGTCATATCCATTCTAGGAGCCTAAAGATGTGACTCCTCTGCATTGATGAGAGACACGGAAGAGGGAAAAGCAAGGAAAGACTTTAGTGAGCTCTGAAGTCCCACCTGCCACTCCACTAAATGCCAGAATCATCTGGCCTCACTTAGTGGGTGGAGCAAATTCCTGCCCCCCAGGGCCTCCCTCCTGAACCTGCAAGGTTGGTGGGAGAGGGAGACCCTCCCCAAAAGAGGAAGCCTGTTGTGTTGAGAGTGATTTCAGAGACCTCAGCCAGGAAAGGTAAATCAAAATAACCCTTACACTCCGCCTCCTTCTTCCTTTAGAGGGGAATGTTTCCTGGCACGGGTGCTGCAGCTTAATAAATTGCATGCAGTAGATTTCAGGCCTTGAGAAAATCTTAACACTAGCTAATATGACCAGCACTAACAAAATTTCTTGGAGCTTATAATAACAAAAAAAGCTCATTGACGGATTCCCACTTTTATTCCTGCCCCCCTTTTCCACTTAGCCTTAAATTTTTTTTAATAAGAAATTTTTATTAACAAAAACAACAACAAAAAAAAAACAGAGTGAAGCACTTCACAAGATCTTGCCCAGTTTATTTTTTTAATCTGTAATAATGAGCATAACAGTTCAGCAATGGAATACTCACTCCAACAAAATCTCCAGATCTTTACATCCTGAGTCTGCGAGGGCTGGACACATGCCCTTGCTAATTATCAACCTTCTGAAACAGCTCAAGACATGGGATTAAAAACTGCTGTGGAATTTGAACTCACGGACATTCATCTGAGTCAGCTACTCTGAACTCGCATCTACTATAAGGACCTGAGCATTTCCTTCTCCCGTTTCCTCAGGACCTGCTCGGGGGTGTTCAGGGGAAGGTTGTCACAAACATACTTGCAATAAAAATAATCAAACAAATGGAGAGCATGTCTATTTCCGGAATTAGATTCTTTTGATAGTGAAGGAATCAAATGGGATAAGGGGCAGGGAGAAGTCAGGTAAGTCCAATATTACTATGTCCACATGCTTAAATTTCACTCCTCGGGGGCTTATTGTCCCTAACAATGGCCCTTTTAGCTATGGAATACGGGGAATGACTAACCTTTTTCTAGCCTGTCAGTGAGAACTACCACTATATATTGGTAAGTATTTCCGTACAAAATTCACTTGGAAAGGATATTGTTTCAAGCCTGGACAAAGCTCATATTGTCATGTTCCAGTTCCAGTTATTTTAGGCAAGGAAGGGGAATTTCCACTGCTCCCTACAATCAGTTTTGAGCACTTAGCTCTGAGTAATAACTTCCTTGTAATCTGTCAGAGCCCAAGTTATTTAACAGAGGAAAGAAAAAATCCCCTGATACTATGCATGAAATTCTTAGCCAAGCAAGCCACTTTAAGAATACATCAATTAGCTCAGGCAGGAGTAAAGACGTGACCTCATCCAATGGAGAGAATGCAAGCAACTTGATTCTAAAAGGAAGAAATGAAATGAGTCAATGCAAATTCCCAGATAGGATACAAAACTAAGAGTCATTTAATGTCAGTGTTGATGATAATAGTAGCTCCCATTCATAGCATACTTATCATAGGCCAAGCACTAGCCCATCCAAACCCCTTATTGCCCTGGTCCTATTAAAACTATTTAAGTTTTATTTTCAAGAGTCAACTAATGTATGCTAAATAAATAATAGTACAGGTGGCAACAGATATGGCAAAAATCCAAAGTAATATGCAAATGACAACTGGGAAACATTAACTGAACAATACCATTTCTATAAATACATAACAAATACACCATCATAACAAAGAAAGTAAATAAAATTACCGTGTATTGAAATTGGAGTTTAATTAAGTGCCAGCCATTTTATAAGCATTAACTCTAAGCCTCACAAAAGCCCTAAGAATTGGGAAGTATTGCTATTCCCATTTTACAGACATGGAAAATAAGGCTTATATTGCTAAGTCATTGGTTCAAGGTCACATGGCTAAAGTGGCAGAGCTGGGATTCAATCCCACTCTCGCCAGATGCCAGAACCCAGGCAGATGTTACTGTGGCATTATTGGCACTTGTGTCAAGCCCGGTGAGGGATTTCAGCAACCCTCAGTCTGGATGGTACCACACACTCCTCCAGGCAAAGGAAACGCCCACAGGCCACTGAAAAAAGAAGCCACTTCCTGTCCCTGCAAAGAGAGAACATCACCATCCTTGAGTCAGGTTCCTCACCATCTCTGGGCTCAGCCTCTCAGCTAAACAATTTATCTTTGGAGTGACAGGTGATGACTTAGTCACCCTGGCTCTGCCCTTCTCCCGTTTCCTATAAACCAGCTGTGTTTCACGGGTGATTTAGAGCATAACCACAGAACACATAGGCTTTTATGGAACAAGCAATAATTGGGCACTGCAGAGAAGCTGTCATGCCCCCCTCACCCATCCCCCCACCCCATTGGCAGAGCTAACAGCTCCCAGCTGCTCTCATTCAGCAGCACAGAAGCCAATTCACCTGGGAGATTATCTCCTCACTCTTAATGAGGCCAGCCTACAGCCAGTAACTGACTGTTCCAGGCCATGAAAGGCCAGCGCCTTTGCTTCAACATGAGCTAATGCTGGGGTGCAGTATCTGCTCCCGATACACGCAATGTATATCCCCAAGGCATCAGGCTGAAGCTAGACTCCAGTTCACAAAAACCTCTGCTTCGCTCCTTCTCCCACCGTGTCCTGCTTCCTTGGTTCCCACTCCCATGGGAGCCTTCCCTCACTAAACCACTGCCCCCAACCCCCATCCCCAGTGCTGCTTTCAAACCCAAAACACCACCCACCATGTGCCACCATGATGGGTACTGGAGACGTGTGTTAACTAAGTGGGATTTTTGAACTTCAGGAGCTCATACTAGTGAAGGAAACAGTTACATAAACCCAATAGAATAGGGTAAGAACTATAATAAAATGTGCATTCTTTTTACTCTTTCTCTTATTTTAGTACCTCTGTGCACCCAGGCCTATGATAAGCATTATTCAGACATTGTTCCATTTGATTCTGAGAACAAACCCATGAGGGAGGCACTGCAATTAACCCTTTTCATGGACAAAAAAAAACCCCAAGTGTTCACAAAGGTTAATTAACTAGCCGTTAAGTGTAGAGATGGTACTTGAACCCATTCTCTTTAAATTTCCTCGCTCTTTTACAGGGCGTCTTTCCCGCTTCTTGAGATCAGCCGTCAGCAAACCATGCTCCCTAGGCACTGCCTGTTTCTGCAAATAAAGTTTTATTAAAACACAGCCACACACATTATTTACCCATGTCTATGACTGCATTTAGTCTACGAAGGCAGAGGTGAGCGGTTGACACAGAGCCTGGAGGGTCTGCAAAGCTGAAAATATCTACGTCTCCCTTTTTATGGCTACAGGAGTAGCCAGCCCTCCTCTATTTGATGAGCTTCTGTTCTTCTTCAGCCTCAGAAAAAGAGAAACCAGGAATTTTCTTCCGTCCAAATCGAGGTTCTCCATCAACTGCTGCCTATAGTGGAGCCTGTGCTCCCTTTGCCCTGAGTCTGGGAGAACCTTACTCATTCACTAAGCTCCGGTGCAGCACTTGCTGGAGGACAAATTCACATTATCTGATTGGCCTGTGTTCCTCTTGCTGTTTCACCTACCGACACGTTAAAAGGAATTCTATCATTTCCTCAACGGATTATTCCTGTCGAGAACCACAACAAGGAAGCTTCCTCTTGAGATTTCAGCCTGGAATCCTCATTGTTCAAAGATATGCCATTACCTTTTAAATCATCCCCCGAGAAGTTCCTCTTCTAGCCTTTTATTTATGGAATTTCAATGCTTGGAAATGGTGATCACCTCCTCCCAGGGTTTTCTGCCACATGGCTTTCATACTTGAGCTCTTTTCATCTTTTCCCGTAAGTTAATCACTTCTTAATTGTGTTCTGTTGCCCAGTCTTTGAACTGTTGTCCAATCTGTTTGCATGCTGGGGTGATTACAATACAATGAGTATCATGAGCCTGACTGAGTCCATCCAGGACCAAATGGCCAGCTGAGAATAGCCAACAGGCTATTCTGTTTCTGAAGGCTTCTTCCTGTCACCAGAATGTTCTGGATGTGTTATTCATAGCTTGAACTAGCTCTGTTTTTGTTTTTTATTTTGGGGGGTTTTTGGGGTTTTTTGTTGTTGTTGTTGAGGCGGAGTCTCACTCTGTCACCAGGCTGGAGTGCAGTGGCGAGATCTCAGCTCATTGCAACCTCCACCTCCCAGGTTCAAGCAATTCTCCTGCCTCAGCCTCCCAAGTAGCTGGGACTACAGGCACACGCCACCACGCCTGGCTAATTTTTGTATTTTTACTACAGACGGGGTTTCACCACGTTGGCCAGGATGGTCTTGATATCTTGACCTCGTGATCCACCCACCTTGGCCTCCCAAAGTGCTGGGATTACAGGTGTGAGCCACCAACGCCCAGCCCTAGCTATGTTTATTTGGTACCCTAAGTCTCTGATTTTTAATGTAAACTCCTGCACCAAGTAAAACTTGGAACAACCTTTCTGCAAAGCAATTTTATCACATACACTAAGGATGTTTTAAAGTTTGTACCCTTTGACTCAATAACCCTACTCTAGAATGAGCTGTCAGCCTGAGAACCCAATGAAATAATCAGAGATGTCATAAAACAATGTAAATATAAGGATGTTCATCATGGCATTATTTTAAATAAAGAAAGCAAAATCAATTTTTATGTAAAGAAATGGCTAAAAATAATTTCATTTCTTTCTGAAGCAATATTCTATAGGCATAAAAATGATGTGTTTGAAGAGTTTTTGATATCGTAAAACATTCATGAAGCAATGTTAAGTAAAAAAAAAAAACTATATATGGAATAATACCACATTTTAAAACCCTTATATTTTTCTGTGTGTGCATACATCATATATATGTTATAAATATATAGTAAATATATTAACTTTTAATTGTTTTATTCATTACTGTATGTCTAAAGTCTAGCCGAGATTTCTTAATCTTCTTAATCATGGCACTATTGACATTTGGGGCTGGATAATTCTCTGTCGTGAAGGCTGTTCTATGCATTGTAGGATGTTTAACAGCATCCTCAACTCTACCTACTAAATGCCAACTCTACCTACTAAATGCCAACTCTACCTACTAGCAGCTGGCTCTAGATGTGACAACCAAAATGTCTCCAGATATTGCTAAATCCCCTCGGGGGACAAAATTTCACCTTTGAAAACCACTGCCCTAGAACATCTAATAGAGGATCAATGATATTGTTGAATAATTCAACGAATTAGAAAACATACATGAAAATTCCAATTGTTATTTCTTTTTAATGTGATTACTTTCTTTTTAATACTTCACTGTATTTTTCCAAATTTGCCACCACAAGCATATGCAGGTCCCATTAATAATCCCTTACCTATAATTCCAAAATCCACACAGTTCATTCGCCAGCAAAATATGGATTCTTCTGAGTTTCCATGAAGTCTTTAATGTTCTCAGGTGGTGTGACTATCCATACATTTCTCTGAAGAGGTATTCATGTATTATTTGACATTTAGTGTAAACAAAATGCATCTAAAAGCGCAAAAAATTTGGCTTACAAAATGCATCTGGCCCCTGGGTCGGGGATACAGGATTGTGGGCCTGTATTATTTTTATAATCAGGGGGATAGGAAGGTGAAAATTATAACGATACTCTCCTACTCAACAGAAGACAATCAATTAAGAAGGTATGTATACAGTAAACATCCACCTAGAACATTCTCTTCAAAAAGTAAATTATGGAAAAAGGCCAGGCGCGGTGGCTCACGCCTATAATACCAGCACTTTGGGAGGCCAAGATGGGCAAATTACTTGAGGTTAGGAGTTCAAGACCAGCCTGGTCAACATGGTGAAACCCCGTTTCTACAAAAATAATAAAATTAGCTTGGCATGGTGGTGTCTGCCTGTAATCCAAGCTACTTGGGAGGCTGAGGCAGGAGAATTGTTTGAACCCTGGAGGTGGAGGTTGCAGTGAGCCGAGATCACGCCACTGCACTCCAGCCTGGGTGACAGAGCAAGACTCCATCTCAAAAAAAAAAAAAAAAATTATAGGAAAAAAATAAATTATGGACAAGTTTAGTCATCTTATTTTATAGGAATAAGAATGAGGAAACAGATGCTTGGAGAAGTTCAGACCAGAACTCCTGCAAGCTAACGAATATGGATGTGGGGTGTGGATCTTGGGTCTGTGTGGTTGTTGTGTCTCCCATCTGAACCATCACACACAACCGCTTTCCTGTTTTGTTGACACACAGTGCAGTGTCTTGCATAGCTAGACACCAATTATGTTGGTTAGGTGAATGAACGAATGAGCACCTTCCTGCCACAAAGTTAATTCCTTAGAAGGCTCACGTCATCTGAATTCCATCTTATAATAAAAAAGAAATCAAGCAAGGTAGGGCCAGGCAGGGGCTAAATAAGAGCCTGAGGCAGACAGATAAGTCTTCAGTTGCAGAGTTGAAACTGTCACCGGTGATGATATAAACAGTTGTACCATCTGTGTGATGCCTTTATCAGGTTGGGGGACAGGCTCTGGAACCAGACCCCTTAGGTTCCAATTCAGGTTCAGCACTTACTGGATGCAAGTTAATTAAAGGTTCTGTACCTCAACATCCTTATTTGTAAAATGGGAATAATACTAAGACTTCCATTATACGTCTATGATGAGGATGAGATGAGTTGATACAGAAAAAGTACTTCCAGGAGTCTCTGGCCCACGGCAAGCACCAGTAAGTAGCCTCTCCTCTTTATCCCCAGTGCATCTTCTTCATCGTTAGTTAATTCGGCTGCTCTCAGCCCCCATGAAGTGGCTAGCACAGAGAGGCAGGACTGCAGGATGTCAAGGCTTCATGTTCAGATGGTCTTGGGTTCGCACTCCTTGCAGTGACAAGCTGTGTGACAGAACAAAACTACCTCTTTGTGCCTCGGTGGCCTCATAGATACCACCTCAATAATACCACATCATTATGGAAACTTTATGAAGGCTATATTAACGAATGGGTGCAAAATGCTCAGCTCAGTCATTTCTCAATAATAATGACTCTTTTTATAAACATCCTCACTCTTTTTTTTTTTTTTTTTTTTGAGACAGGGTCTTGCTCTGTTGCCGAGGCTGGAGTGCAGTGGTGTGGTCACAGCTCACTGCAGTCTCAACTTCCTGGGCTCAAGTGATCTTCCTGCCTCAGCCTCCTCAATAGCTAAGACTACAGGCACACACCACCATGCCTGGCTAAATTTTTTGTAGAGATGGAGATCTTGATTTGTTGCCCAGGCTGATCTCAAACTCCTGGCCTCAAGAGATTCTCCCGCCTTGGCTTCCCAAAGTGCTGAGATTACAGGTGTGAGACACTGTGCACAGTGAAACAGCCCCATTCTAATGATGAGAAACTGAGAAGCAAAAAGGTTAAGGATTAAGAACCTAAAGATGCAGAAATCCAGCCAGCGTGTTGGCTCACGCCTTGTAGTCCCAGCTACTAGGGAGATTGAGGCAGGAAGATAGCTTGAGTGCAGGACATTCAGGCAGCAGTGCGCCATGATGGCACCATTGCACTCCAGCCTGGGTGACAGAGCCAGACCCCATTTCTAAAACAAAAAAAAAATCAAATAACTAAAGATACAGAATTTTCAGCTTTTTCTGCAAGAGTGGTGCACCCTGAAGTATGTTATACCAAACACTGGTGGGATACAGAAGGGTATTCAGAGAGCTATCGGCAACATTATGTATTACTTTTTTTTCTTTTTTTTTTTTTTGTGGTGGAGTCTCGCTCTGTTGCCCAGGCTGGAGTGCAGTGATGCGATCTTGGCTCACTGCAACCTCTGCCTCGTGGGTTCAAGCAATTCTTCTGCTTCAGCCTCCCGAGTAGCTGGGATTACAGACGCACGCCACCACGCCCGGCTAATTTTGGTATTTTTAGTAGAGACGAGGTTTCACCATGTTGGCCAGGCTGATCTCAAACTCCTGACTTCAGGTGATCCGCTCGCCTCGGCCTCCCAAAGTGCTGGGGTTACGGGCATGAGCCACTGCACCTGGCTGTATTACTTTTAATAGTTGTGTATTTTCATGAACACATATATACTTAAGGGTGGAGGGTGGGGTGGGGAGAGGATGGAAAAACTACCTATTCGTACTATACTTATTACCTGGGTGGCAAAATAATCTGTACACCAAAACCCCATGACACACAATTTACCTATATAACAAACCCGCACGTGTACCCCTGAACCTAAAAAAAAAGTTTAAAAAAAGCATTCTTTAAAAAAAAAAACGGTATGTATTTTTTTCACAGTTTCTATCTGTGGCAAGAAAATCAGCCTCCCATTTACCATAGTGACATAAAGTTTCCTTTTTATGTCAGTGTAGTCAATATCCAAATAATGAAAGAAAAATCTTAAGTCAACACTAAACAAGGCAGCAAGAGATATGGCAAAAATCATGAAGTTCATATGTGAGCAGCGGCATGAGAGACACTGTGGTAGACCACATCTGGTGATTCAAATCGCCCAGCAAGATGGTCAAGGGGCCCCTTCAAGGGTTGCAGACAGTGACAGTCTTGTGATTCACTCCCACGTTCTTCATAAGTGAATCTTTCCTTTCTCTGGGTACACATTGACCTATTCCTTCATGAATTTCTTAACCACAAATTAGAACCATGTTATGACCGTCTTGGTCTCCAATTTTTCATCTTTCCTAACTTCCCCCTTGATGTCATTAACTGGTGTGTGTGTGTGTGTGTGTGTGTGTGTGTGTGTGTGTGTAAAAGACAGAGAAAGAAAGGCTGAGGGAGAGAGGGAGAGATGCTTGTGAACAAAGACCATACATGCCTCTCTTGTTCACACCACCTGCTTCAATAATGGACATGTGGGAGTGGCTTAATAGTGATCGTTTACCGTGTGCTATGCATGCATGATTGTTTCTAATCCACCCAGCACTTGGCAAGGCAGATAGTATCACACTACGATTTTTACAAATGAGGAGGAACTTGAGGCTTACAGGGGTGAGGTGGACCCAAGTGGAAGCAGCTAATGTGACAATATTAGAAGTTGAACCTGGGTAGCCTAAACTTAGAGCCTAGATCTAAACCCTTACCCCATTGTCACCCACTTTAAAAGATGCCAGGGAGAGGAGGGGAGGGGAGGGGAAGGGAGAGGGGAGGGGAAGGGAGGGGGAGGAGAAGGGAGGGGAAGGGAGGGGGAGGAGAAGGGAGGGGAAGGGAGGGGAGGGGAGGGGAGGGGAGGGGAGGGAAAGAGAAGGGGAAAGGGAAAGGGGAGATAGAGGCAACAATATTATTTTTATTTTTTATTTTTTTGAGACAGAGTCTTGCCCTGTCACCCAGGCTGGAGTGCAGTGGCACAATCACAGCTCACTGCAACCTCTGCCTCCTGGGTTCAAGTGATTCTCCTGCCTCAGCCTCCCAAGTAGCTGGGATTACAGGTACCCACCACCATACCCAGCTAATTTTTGTATTTTTAGTAGAGATGAGATTTCACCATGTTGGCCAGGCTGGTCTTGAACTACTGACCTTAGGTGATCTGCCCACCTCAGCCTGCCAAAGTGCTGGGATTACAGGCATGAGCCACTGCGCCAGGCCAATAATATTGTTTTTAAGCTACCTAACTAAACTTCCATGTCTTGGGTTCTCTTTTGCACTAAGCATTGGACAGACATCATCTCTATTCCTCATCTAAAATCTCTGCTCAGAGGAAGCTTGACTTGGAGACAGGGTAGAGGTTTGCTATTTAGTCATTTGCTGTCAGGACGGAAGTCGTTAAAGTCAGGCAAGCTATAGTTCCAATCTTGAATCTGCCATCTAAAAGCCGAGTAACCTTGGGCTCATTATTTATACTGCCCAGGCCTCGGTTTCCCCATCTATAATAGGGATGATGATGCCTACTCCATCAGGTCCTACAGGGATCAGATGATATCATGTGTCTCCTGTGCCTGCTTCATAGCATGTTCTTGGTGTATGGTTGCTGTAATTATTGCTGTTGCTGTTACCATTATCCACACACCTTATAAGTCTTGGAACCAAACTATCAACCTAGGGCCATTTTAAGAGAGTAAGGAGCTTATGAGTTAAAGTTGGACTTGAACATCAGGGAGTGCAATCAGCAGAACAATGGCTCTCTAAAAATATCCACATCCTAATTCCCAAAACCTATGACTGTGTTCCCTTGCATGGCAAGAGGGAATTAAGATTGTAAACAGAATTAGCTTGACTCATCAGCTAACCTTAAAATAAGGAGTTCAGCTTGGATTATCCAAGTGGCCCAGTGTAATCTCATAGGTCCTTAAAAGTGGAAGAAGAAGACAGTCAAGTAGTCAGAAAGAAATGTGACTCTAGAAGAAAGGCACAGAGAGAGCCAACGCTGCTGGCTTTCAGTGGAGAAGAGGCCATGAGCCAAGGAATGTGGGCAGCCTCTAAGGCTGGAAAAGGCAAGGAAACAGATTCTCCTCTTGTACATCCAGAAGGAACTGGCAAAACCTTGATTTTAGCTGCATGAGACTTGTGTTGGACTTCTGACCTCTGGAACTGTAAGCTAATGCATTTGTGTTGTTTTAAGCCACTTAGTGCTTAAGGACATTTGTTATCCTTAAGCCATAGGAAACTGATACAATGAGAGAAGACTGAGAAGCTGGCTTCAGATCCATAAGGAAGTCAGAGGTCTTGACAACTTGCCTCATGCAGGCAGCTTTGTCTCACTGATCATCTAAAAATAAAAGTAGAGACAATCACTGCTTCTGCTTCTCCCCCTCCCCTGCAGTGTTGGGAGCCTGGGTGCTCACTCAGCAGATCCAGGCAAGGCTGCTGGAAGGATGTTCTCCCTGGCCAGGGACAAACAAGTGATTGCATTCAGATGGGCCCCAGCCACCAGCAGGGCCCAGCAGGTAGAAGATGTTCTAGGCTGGGCAGAGGGTGCTGTCGTTTTTTCGCAAGGCCAGGAAATGGCCTTCTAGACTGGCAATTGAAGGGCTCATGGAGTGATGGCTATTTTTTCCTTCACAAGAGAAGTCTGGTTAAAACAGGAAACGCCATTCGCAGTGGACAGACATCAGGGCACCATGCTTTCTCCGTTTCCTTCACAATCCAACTGGGCTCACCAAGGCCAGAATGGGGGCTGACACTTGGACACTGTCCATCTATGAAGGAATATTTTGTCACCTTTCAAGGGCAGCTGTTCCTCTCCCATTATCTAAAAGGAAGCATAATGTACATACAATAAAAGCACAGATCTTAAGTGTTCAGTTCTGAGTTTTGAGAATGATATACCCCCCTGTAATTAACATCCACCCAAAACAAGTAAGGGAATGTGTCCTTTAGCCCAGAAAGCACCATGGGCTGTTTGTTAAGCAATGCCAAGCCCCATGCCCCACCCCCCAGAGGCAATGACTAACCTGCTTTTGGTTGCTATAGATTAATCTTTCCTGTAATTTCATAGAAATGGAATAATTCAGACTGTGCTCCTTCATGTCTGTCTTCTTCCACTCTACGTGATTTTGAGATTCATTCATGTTGTTGCATGGACTGTCTGTTCCATTTTCTTACTGAATAATCATATTTCACTGTATAGATAGACCTCATTTTTAAAAAATCTATTTTGCAGCTGGATGCGGTGGCTCATGCCTATAATCCCAGCATTTTGGGAGGCCGAGGCGGGTGAATCACCTGAGGTCAGGAGTTTGAGACCAGCTTGGCCAACATGGCAAAGCCCTGTCTCTACTAAAAATACAAAAATTAGTCAGTCGGGGTGGCAGGCGCCTGTAGTCCCAGCTACTCAGGAGGCTGAGGCAGGAGAATTGCTTGAACCTGTGAGGCAGAGGTTGCAGTAAGCCAAGAGCATGCCACCGCACTCCAGCTTGGGCAAGAGAGCAAGACTCTGTCTCGAAAAAATAAAATAAAATAATTTTTAAAAAATCTATTTTGCTATTAATGCCATTTGGGTTGTTTCCGGTTTGTGGCTATTATGAATAAAGCTGCTACGCATATTCATGAATAAGTCTTTGTGTAGACACAGGTTTTCATTTCTCTTGGGTAATACGTAAGAGTAGAGTCTATAAGAAACTGCCAGACAGTTGTACACCCTTTAGCAATGAACCAGCCTTCTGGTTACTCTTCATCTTCACCAACATTTGTTTCCTTTTTTGTTTTTGTTTTTTCGCTCTTCTAATATGCATGAAATTGT
Source organism: Homo sapiens (assembly GCF_000001405.40). Classification (NCBI taxonomy): domain Eukaryota; kingdom Metazoa; phylum Chordata; class Mammalia; order Primates; family Hominidae; genus Homo; species Homo sapiens. The sequence continues at coordinate 53,889,794 of NC_000020.11, read as the reverse complement.
ATCTCATTGTGGTTTTAAATTGCACTTCGATGTCTTTTGCTCATTTTTAAAAGTTGTGTTTATCTTTGTATTATTATTTGTAGTTCTTTATATACTTTGGATACAAGTTATCACATATGCAAAATTTTCCCCCAATCTGTGGCTTGTCTACTTATTCTCCTAATACAGTTGACCCTTGAACAACACAGGTTTGAACTGTGTGGTTCCACTTATACGTAGATTTTTTTTAACCAACTGCAAATCGAAAATACAGTATTTTCAGGTTGCAAAACAGAGGGCTGACTTTTCATATACTCAGATTCCACAGAACCGACTGGGGAACTTGAGTATACATGGATTTTGGTACATGTGGCAGGTTCCAGATTGGTCTGTAGTATCTTTGGATGAACAAAGCTTAAAAATTTAATGTTGACCAATTTATTTATTTTATTTGATGGTTAGTGCTTTTTGTGTCCTAAGAAATCATTGCCTAACCCAAGCCTACGACAATATTATTCTATGTTTTCTTCTAGAATACTCTAAGTTTATATTTAGTTCTCTGATCTAACTCAAATTTATTTTTGTGTCTGGAGTTAGTATGAGAGAATGAACCAATACGATGACTATTTGTTAATTTCCTACCAATGGCCAGGCACCCTGGAGACGGCAGGATCACTGTCCCTGAGTTCAGGGTCCAGTGCAGGGTTCAGCAAACCTTTTCTCTAAAGGGCCACATGGTGAATATTTTAGGCTCTACAGGCCATACAGCCCCTGTTGCCACTACTCTATTCTGCCTTCTAAGGCAAAAGCAGCCATGGGCAGTACCTAAATATGTAAGCATGGCTGTGTTCCAATAAGAGTATTCATAAACAATGAAATTTGAATTTTATATAGTTTTTATATTTCACAAAATATTCTTTTTCTTTTTTTTTTTTTTAACCAGTTAAAAATATAAAAACCATCTTTAGGTTGTGGACTATACAAAAACAAGCAGCCACCAGGTTTCACCTGCAGCCCCAGGCCACAGTTTGCCAACTCCTGGGCTGCTCAGCAAGGCAAACGTTCAACAAACACGAGGCCACGCTGTGATACCAGCATGGAAGCAAAGAGTTGCGTTCTGTGGGTGAGAGGATGACAGGTAGTGGGTAATCTGCTTTGGATGAGATCAAAAGGAATTATAACTAAACCACAATGAGATACCAAAAATAATGAGTGTTGGTGAGGATGTAGAGAAATTGGAACCTTTGTCTATTGCTGGAGCAAATGTAAAATGATGCAGCCACTGAGGAAAACAAAAAAATTAAAGAGAATACCACATGACCCAGCAATTCCACTTGTAGGTATAAACCCAAATAATTAAAGGTATCAAACAGATACTTTTTTTTTTTTCTTTGAGACAGAGTCTCGCTCTGTTACCCAGGCTGGAGTGCAGTGGTGGGATCTCAGCTCACTGCAACCTCCGCCTCCCTGGTTCAAGCGATTCTCCTGCCTCAACCTCCCGAGTAGCTGGGATTACAGGTGCCCGCCATTATACCTGGCTAATTTTTGTATTTTTAGTAGACACAGGGCTTCACCATGTTGGTCAGGCTGGTCTGGAGCTCCCGACCTCAGGTAATCCGCCCACTTCAGCCCCACAAAGTGCTGGGTTTACAGGCGTGAGCCACAGCGCCCAACCAAACAGATACTTTTTTACAGCAATGCTCATAGCACATATTTGCAATAGCCAAAGGGTAGAAACAGCCACATTCCATCAACAGATAAATGCATAAACAGGTACGTGCATACAATGGAATATTACTCAGCCATAAGAAGCGTGGAATTCTGATCCATGCTATGACATAGATGAAACCTGAAAACATTATGCCAAGTGAAATAAACCAAACCCAAGAGAAAAATATTCTATGATTCCATTTTTATGAGGTACATAGAACAGACAAATTTACAGAGACAGAAAGTACAATAGAGGCTCGGGGACTGCTGGGGAGAATGGGGGGTTGTTATTTAAGGAGTACAGAGTTTCTGTTTGGGATGATGAAAAAGTGTTGGCAATGGATGGTGGTGTTGGTCATCCAACATTGGAAATGCATTGAATCCCATTGAGTTGTGCACTTTTTTTTTTTTTTTTTTTTTGAGACGGAGTCTCGCTTTGTCGCCAAGGCTGGAGTGCAGTGGCGCGATCTCGGCTCAGTGCAAGCTCCGCTTCCCGGGTTCACGCCATTCTCCTGCCTCAGCCTCCCTAGTAGCTGGGACTACAGGCGCCGCCACTGTGCCCGGCTAATTTTTTTGTATTTTTAGTAGAGACGGGGTTTCACCGTGGTCTCGATCTCCTGACCTTGTGATCTGCCCGCCTCGGCCTCCCAAAGTGCTGGGATTATAGGCGTGAGCCACCGCGCCCCGCCGAGTTGTGCACTTATTAATGGCTACAATGGTAAATTTTATGTTATGTATATTCTACCACAATAAAAATGTATTTAAAATTAAAATAAAAAAGGAATTAAAACTAAAGACCTCGCTATTGTCAACAACAAGAGTCAAACTCTGTGAAATTTTTTAAGAGATTTATTCTGAGCCAAATGTGAGTGACCATGACCCATGACAGCACCCTTGAGAGACCACGAGAACATATGCCCAAGGTGGACAGGGCACAGCTCGGCTTTTATATTCTAGGGGATATAAGACATCAAATACATGTAAGATATACATTGGTTCAGTCCAGAAAAATGGGACAACTTTAAGCGGGGTGAGGGGAAGGTGGTTCCAGGTTCTACCTATGATAATAACAAACCTATCTCTTAGTGTTATGAAGACTAAATGAATTAATATATGACACAGACTTAGTGCTGGAAAGGTAGATTTTGATATCTTGATAGGTAGATTTTTAAATTTTCTGACTGGCGGCCGGGCGCGATGGCTCACGCCTGTAATCCCAGCACTTTGGGAGGCCGAGGTGGGCGGAACACCTGAGGTCAGGAGTTCGAAACCAGCCTGGCCACCATGGTGAAATCCCGTCTCTACTAGAAGTCCAAAAATTAGCCGGATATGATGGCAGGCGCCTGTAATCCCAGCTACTCAGGAGGCTGAGGCAGGAGAATCGCTTGAACCTGGGAGGCGGAGGTTGAAGTGAGCCAAGATCGTGCCACAGCACTCCAGCCTGGGTGACAAGAGTGAGACTCTGTCTGAAAAATAAATAAATAAATAAACAAACAAATAAATAAATAAAAATTTTTAAAAATAGAATTTTCTGGTTGGCAATTGGTTGAAAAAGTTATTATCCATAGAAAGGAATATCTGGGCTACAATCAGCGGTTGCAGAGGCCAAAGTTTTCTCATGCAAATGAAGCCTCCAGGTAGCAGGCTTCAGAGAGAATAGATTGTAAATGTTTCTTATCAGACTTAAGGTCTATGTTGATGTTAAATGCTCATTGGCTTTCTTGAATTACAAAAGGGAGGAGGGCATAATGAGGCATGTCCAACCTCCCCCTCTTTCCTGTCATGGCCTGAACCAGCCTTTCAGGTTAAATTTGGAGTGCACTGGCTGAGGAAGGGGGTCCATCCAGATGGTGGGAAGGCAGGGAGGGCCTTCAAATTTTATTTTTGGTGAACACTCCGTGTCTTTCCAACACTAAGTCTATGCCATATATTAATTCATTTAGTCTTCACAACACTGTGAGATAGGTCTGTTATGATCGTTATACCCATTTTACATATGAAGAAACTGAGGCCTTAAGAGTTTTGATAACTTGCCCAAAGTTATATAGCTAGTGAGCCATAGAATCAGGATTCGAACCTGAGAAGTCTGGCTCCAGGGCTGTGCTTTCAGTTACCACGCTACACTGCCTCTAAAAGCAGTAGTGACTCTCCAGCTGGGCTAAACGCTAGAGCTCCCTGGGAGCACTTAAAAATCTCCAAATCCTTGCTGGACGCGGTGGCTCACGCCTGTAATCCCAGCACTTTCGGAGGCTGAGGCAAGCGGATCACGAGGTCAAGAGATCAAGACCATCCTGGCCAACATGCTGAAACCCCGTCTCTACTAAAAATACAAAAATTAACGGGGCGAGGTGGCGCATGCCTGTAATCCCAGCTACTTGGGAGGCTGAGGCAGGAGAATCGCTTGAAACCGGGAGGCAGAGGTTGCAGTGAGCTGAGATTGTGCCACTGCACTCCAGCCTGGCAACAGAGCAAGACTCCATCTCAAAAAAAAAAAAGTCCACATCCAGGCAGCACCTCTGGGGGTTGAACCAGCACCATTATTTGGAAAAGCTCCCCAGGTGTTTCAGTGTGCAGCCAAGGTTGGGAATAACTGCCTCAAAGGACAGCCTTCTCTCAGGAGATGACATTTCCACCGTGATCTCAAAAGTGACATGAGTCAGCCATGTGGGTGGGGGAGCGTGGTGGGGGGGAGAGAAGAATCATATATTCCGTGTATTTTATTCGTTACGTATTTTCATCAAACCACTTTTGTCTTTCTCTTATGTAAGAAGAATGGCATGCATCCTAATAGTAATAGTAGCTCATATTTATTCAGCAGTTATGCTGCAAGCATAATAGTGAACACTTGTCGTGTGTTATCACCATTAGCACGCATGTTGATCTTATGAAGTCAACACCATCATCCCATTTTACAGATGAAGCAACCAAGGCCTAAAATGAGTTAGCTCCTCGCCTGAGGCCACGCTGGTACTAAGTGGCAGAGTGAGGACACTCAGGTGTGTTAATAGCTCAGCTCTCTGGCTCCTCCTTTCCCAGTGAAGCTTGCCAAAGGCATCCCAGACAGGAGTGAGAAAGGAAATGACCTATCTACTTCTGGTTGGTTTGGTTTTATGCTGTTTCCTGCACTTGTTTGCCTGTGGTGGAGCCCCTCAGTGAACCCCACCTCTTAGTAGATTGAGTCAGAGCCTTGGTGCTCCTCTAACACCATAATGTTCAGAAAGGAGCTCTCAGAAGAGGCTAAGTAACGCCTCTGAATAATCTCAGTCTGGGGTGCAGAGGAGTCCTGAGGCTGGGAGAACATTTTTGGGGAAATTCAATGTATTCTCAGCTAGAAACCGATATGTAGGTTTACAAGGTTTCTAGTCTAGGGAGAAGGTAAGTGAATGTGTGTGTGTGTGTGTGTGTGTGTGTGTGTGTGTGTTCCTAGGTCTGGAGCATGTGGATCATGTCCACAACCTAGAACAAGCCCACCTGGGGAGAGAAGGTCACCTTGGAGAACACGATATTGTAGGAGAGTCCCTTGACTTTTTCTTCCCAATTTAGAAAGCCCAAGGCCACGTTTTGCTTGTTCATCACTCTGACCTTAGAGCAGTGTCTGGAAGGTAGTTGCTCATTAAAATTTGTGGAGCAAGTGAATAGACACAATGGGATAAGAGCAGGGGAGTTGACTCTGTCTAGGAGGTTGTGGAGGGCTCCCCTACAGAGGCAGCAGCCAGCTGAACAGGTATTAACTAAAGAAAAGCCGGAAGGAAAGAATGCTCCAGGGAGCACAAAGTTCCTGTTCCAAGGTCAAATTGATCTTTCCTCTGATTCTTTGTCACTCATAACTGGCAAGGAAACTGAGGCTCAAAGAAGCTTAGTGACCTTGCCAATTATCACATAGTAGAAAACACCAGAGATTGGATTTGAACTTGGACTCCCAGACTGCTCTCCCAGGGCACTTTTTTTTTTGAGATAGAGTCTCGCTCTCACCCAGGCTGGAGTGCAGTGGTGCAATCTTGGCACAATTGCTTCCCAGGTTCAAGTGACTCTCGCGCCCTAGCCTCCCAAGTAGCTGGGGTTACAAGCATGTGCCACCATGCCTGGGTAATTTTTCTTTTTTTATTATTTTTTGTAGAGAAGGGGTTTCACCATGATGGCGAGGCTGGTCTCAAACTCCTGACCTCAAGTGATCTGCCCGCCTCGGCCTCCCAAAGTGCTGGGATTATAGGCATGAGCCACCACACCCGGCATCCCAGTGCACTTCTGTTGCACATTAGCAAATAGACAACGGGGATAATAAGAGTGAATAACTTATATTTCATGGTGACCCAAGGACCCCAACTATCATCACCAATAATACAAATCATATAACAGTATCAACCACATTTATTAGGAACTTACTATATGCCAGGCACTAGTGTGTGTGTGTGTGTTTGAAATGCATATATATCTTCAATTAATCGCCACTAAAAAGCCTAAGGAATGGATGCTATTACCATCCCTATTTTATAGTTGTGTAAATAAGGTCCAGATGGATTAAGTAACAAGCTTTGACAAATGGTATCATATCAAGTTACAAGACTTTTGCACAGCAAAGGAAACAATCAACATAGTGAAGAGACAGCCCACAGAATGGGAGAAAATATTTGCAAACTACCCATCTGACAAGGGATTAATAATCAGAAAATAAAAGAAACTTAAATAACTCTGTAGGAAAAAAATCTGGCCTGGTGAGGTGGCTCACGCCTTTGATCTCAGCACTTTGGGAGGCTGAGGCAGGTGAATCACTTGAGGTCAGGAGTTCAAGACCAGCCTGGGAAACATGGTGAAACCCCATCTCAAGAAAAAATTAGCTGGGCATGGTGGCATGTGCTTGTGCTTGTGGTCTCAGCTACTTGGGAGGTGGGAAGATCGCCTGAGCCCAGGAGGTTGAGGCTGCAGTGAGCCATGATTGAGTCACCACACTCCAGCCTCTGTGACAGAGTAAGACCCTGTCTAAAAAAAATAAAAAATATAAAGATATAATAACCCACTCAAAATGGACAAAAGGTTTGACTAGATATTCCTTAAAAGAAGACATACAAATAGCAAATAGGCATATGAAAAGGTGCTTAACATCACTGATCATCAGAGAAATGAAAATCAAAACTGCAATGAGATCTCAACTCAACCCAGTTAAAATGGCTTATATTCAAAAGACAGGCAATAACAAATTCCGGCAAGGATGTAGAGAAACGGGATCCCGCATACACTGTTGGTGGAAATGCACCTTAGTACAACCATTATGGAGAACAGTTTGGAGGTTCCTCAAAAAACTAAAAATAGAGCTACCATATGACCCAGCAATCCCACTGCTGGGTATATGTCCAAAAGAATGCACATCAGAACATCAAAGAGGTATCTGCACTCCTATGTTTGTTGCAGCAGTGTTCACAATAGCCAAGATTTGGAAGCAACCTAAGTGTCCATCAGCAGATGAATGGATCAAGAAAATTTGGTACATATACTCAATGGAGTACTATTCAGCCATAAAAAAGAATGAGATCCTGTTATTTGCAACGATGTGGATGGAATTGGAGGTCATCATATTAACTGAAATAAGCCAGACACAGGAAGACGAAAATCACACATTCTCACTTATTTGTGAGATCTAATAATCAAAATAGTTGAACTCATGGAGATAAGAGAAGGATGGTTTCCAGAAGCTGGAAGTGTGGGGTTGGGTGGCAGGGGAGAGGGGATGGGGTGGTGTGGTAGGGTGGGGGAAGGTGGGGATGGCTAATGTGTACAAAGAACAAAGAAAGTTAGAAAGAATGGATAAGACCTAGTATATGATAACACAACAGGGTGACTATAGTCAATAATAGTTAAACTGTACATTTCAAAATAACTAAAAAAGTATAACTGGATTGTTTGTAACACAAAGGACAAATGCTTGAGGAGATGGATACTCCATTTTTCATAATGTGATTATTACACATTGCATGCCTATATCAAAACATCTAATGCACACCATAAGTATATACACCTACCATAGACCTACGAACATGAAAAATTGTAATTATATATATATATATACACACACACACACATATGTAACAAGCCTCAGTTTACACAGCTGACAAGGTGCAGAGCAAAAGTTCAAACTCAGGAGCATCATGGAGCTCAGCCACTGTTCTCCTGGCGGGCCAGACATTTCAGTTCCTGGCATTGGATAAACTGACTTTTGGATGTCACCCAGTCAATGATAATAATTATTATTATTATATCTTGCTTTTTGAATTATTAGATCTTGCTTTTCTGAGGGATTTTTACTTTTCTGTTGCAAGAGAACTTTCACAGTCATTTGACAAACCCTACTTTTCAAAACCAGGCGTTTTAATATCATGTCTCAGGTAACGGAAATTTTTTTAGTCACAGGCTGTGAAAAAGTAATCAGTAGATAGCCACACAGAGAATGAACAGGACTTGCAGAGTAGATTCTTATCAGCTTGGGGCCAACACCCCTTCTGCACATCCCTAGGCCCACAGGGGCCTAGTCAGGAGGCTGGGAGGAAAGGCATCTTCCCCCAGAAGAAAGCCCAGCTCCTAAAACTCCTGGCCTGTCTCTGCCCCTTCCCCACTCCATGCTGCAAGAGGAGTGATTGATCTGGCTGGTAGATTGGGGAAGAAGAAAGCGGCTGAGCTGCCACCTGCTCCTTGTATATTTGGGTAGGAGGGAGTTGCCCATGGATCTTGTGTTCTCTGTTCCTGTTGGAGTTGGAGGGGTTGCCTAATTCTGGTCAGTGCTGGCAAGCCCTGTGGCCCACACATATTTATAGACTTTTCAGCAATAAAGGTGATATTTTGACTTTTTTTTTTTTTTTTTTTTCTGAGATAGAGTCTCACTCTGTCTGCCAGGCTGGAGTGCAGTGGCACGATCTCGGCTCACCGCAAGCTCCGCCTCCCAGTTTCACGCCATTCTCCTGCTTCTGAGTAGCTGGGACTGCAGGCACCCGCCACCACGCCTAGCTAAATTTTTTTGTATTTTTTTTAGTAAACACGGGGTTTCACCGTGTTAGCCAGGATGGCCTTGATCTCCTGACCTCGTGATCCACCCACCTCGGCCTCCCAAAGTGCTGGAATTAAAGGCGTGAACCACCACACCCAGGCTTTTTTTTTTTTTTTTTTTTTGTGATGGCGAGTCTTTCTGTGTCACCCAGGCTGGAGTGCAGTGGTGCGATCTTGGCTCGCTGCAACCTCCGTCTCCTGGGTTCAAGCAGTTCTCCTGTCTCACCCTCCCAAGTAGCTGGGATTACAGGCACACGCCACCATGCCCCAGCTAATTTTTGTATTTGTGGTAGAGACCTGGTTGGTCAGGCTGGTCTTGAGCTCCTGACCTCAGGTGATCCACCTGCCTCGGCCTCCCAAAGTGCTGGGATTACAGGCGTCAGCCACCGTGCCAGGCCCACATTTTGGCTTATTCTTCTATCTTATGGCTCAGCTGCTTAAGAAGCCAGGCAGGGAAGAAAGGGCTATTCGTTGGACCTCCTCAAAAAGCCCAGCAGAAGGAAGTCTTCTTTTAGGCAGCTTCGGTGAAGGGAGCAATTGTTAAACAGTGAGGATGTGTTTTTCTTTTCTATTCATTTATTTGCCCCACCATTGGCTGGCTAAGCACCTACTACGTGCCTGGTACCGTACCAGGCACCTTCTGAATAAAGATGAGCTCTCAAAAGTGGGAGCAAAAGACAGAATCGAGACTGAATTAGGTTTCACTTCCAGCCTTTCTACAGGAGGTGACCACGAGGAAGGAAGAGTAATGGCTGGGTTTGAAAAGCCCAGCATTCATTTCGGGTTCTTTGGGTTACACAGCGACTTGAGCGGATTATCTACCCTCACAAACCATTGTCAGCCATCTCAGCAGAGTGTTAATGAAGACAGCCTGTTCTCCCTCAGCCAAGGAATGAGTCCATGGCCAAGGCAAATCATCAAACTCTAATTGCAGGGATGGAGAATCTTTACCAGAGTGACATGGAGTAGAAAACAGAATTGCAGCTCACCCCTTCCAGCAGAAAGTTCTCAAGAAGCATTTCTGTTCCCTAGAAATGTGGGACTTTTGACAAAAACATCTAGAAGAATAATAAACAAAACAACAGCCAAGGTTTATTAAGCTTGTTGTTGCTTCACACAACCATCCTGGGAGCTAGGCCTTAGCTCATGTCTGTCTGTCTGTCTGTCTGTCTCTCTCTCTCTCTCCCCACCCCCCTACTCCTCCTCTCTTCTTCCTCTCTGCCTCTGTATTTCTTTGTTTCTTAGGACTCCTTTCTCCACCTGTGAGTTACTCAACATCCATGTATTAAACTTTTTTAGCACAAGATTTGTTTTGTTTTGTTCTGTTTTGAGACGGAGTCTCGCCCTGTCACCCAGGCTGGAGTGCAGTGGCGCGATCTCAGCTCACTGCAACCTCCGCCTCCTGGGTTCAAGCGATTCTTGTGCCTCAGCCTCCTGAGTAGCTGGGACTACAGGCGCGCACCACCACACCCAGCTAATTTTGGTATTTTTAGTAGAGATGGGGTTTCACCATGTTGGTCAGGCTGGTCTCAAACTCCTGACCTCAGGTGATCCACCCTCCTCCACCTCCTAAAGTGCTGGGATTACAGTCGTGAGCCCCAGCGCCCAGCCAAGTTTTAGGTTAAGATAGAGTTGGTTCCCTCTACAAGAGAAAACACCAATCCCACCCTCTGCACAGCTACTGTAGAATGCTGGGTGCAATTGCAATGCCTTCATGTAACAGCTGGGGAAATTGAAACTGACAGGAGACCTTCACGTTTAGGGCCAGGGAGGCCTTGTGGCTCAATGGTTAAGAGCACAAGTTGTTGAGTCACATGGTCCTGGGTGTTAAACCTGCCTCTGCTCATTATTGACTGGTGTGAAACACATTAGCTTCCCAAGCCTCGGGTCCTCATCTGTGAATACAGGATAATAATAGTGCCTAGCTCCCAGGACGGTAGTGTGAAGCAATGACGTGCTTAATAAACCTTGCCTATTATTTTACTTATCATTCTAGATTTTTTCTGAGAAGTCATGCAAAACAGGAATATAGACTGCAAAAAGATGCTAAGCAGGAAGGTATTAAAGGAAGCCTTTTTCCAAAGGGGATGTTTATTTCAGCGATGCACAGGGGGGAGCTCAACCAGCTGTTTTCCAGGAAATTGTCCACTTAACCTAGGGTGAGCTCTAAATTTTAATGACTAGCCAGTGTCGAAGGACTGGAAAGAGAAGAAAACAAACAAGGATGATGTAAAAATCCAACCACACGCTGCATAAACTCTGTGGTCTCCCAAATTTAATTAGAATCCTGGGTTTGGAGGCATTTCCCATCCCTCCAATATGGAGGTAAAGAATGCAAATTATCACCAATATTTTACTGGTAGCTAAAAAATGAAGTTAAATCATAGTAATCATCAGAAACCAGAATATTGGAAGCAGTAAGATGTAAATGATTAACCATTACCCAGGGACTGGGGACTTTGCCTCTGAAGTTTCTTCTGCCTGAAATTTTCTCCCCATTCTCCACCCCTGTACCTCTTCCCTTCACCATCTCAACCTTCTCATCTCAGCTCAGATGTCACCTCCTCACAGAAGCCCTCCTAGTTCTCAAATGGAACTACACTCCGAGAGTTCTTGACTTTTCCTTGCCAGCAGTACCAAGTTTGTGATGAAACGTTTCTATGATTCTTTGATCAGTGGATTTTCCCCAAGTACACTGCTAATTTCAGGTGGTCAGAGATCTCGTCTATTTCATTCAACACTGTAGATCAGGGTAGATCAGTTCCAGACTTACAATAGAAACTCTATATATCTTTGTTGATTGAGTGAGTTTGAAGTTTGGTAAATTTCTTTTAATTATCATTAATTCGCTCACTGGATGAGGACTTAGATTTGTACCGTATGCTGTTCAACAGTGAACATCATCACTAGTTCATTCAATTAGCAAATATCTATGAGTGTTTAATACCTGCTGGGCACCAATTTGAACTATGAGGATACCACAGTGACAAAAAGACAGAAATCCACTCCCACGTGGAACTTACATTGTAGTGGGAGAAGAGCATCAACAAATAATAAAAACGACACACGTCTGAGGAGTCAGAAGTGCTCTGGAGAAAAAATAGGGAGATAGATAGGGGAGGACCATGTGTATAAGGGGGCATTTAAAAACAAAACAAAAGAACAGGGTCTTACTCTGTCACCCAGGCCGGAATGCAGTGACACTATCAAAACTCACTGCAGCCTCCAACTCCTGGGTTCAAACAATCCTCCCACCTCAGCCACCGGAGTAGCTGGGACCACAAGTCTGCACCATCATGCCTGGCTAAGTGTTGTATTTTTTTGTGGAGACAGGGTTTCACCATTTTGCCCAGCCTGGTCTTGAACTCCTGGGCTCAAGTGATCCTTCCACCTTGGCCTCCCAAAGCCCTGGAATTGCAGGCAGGAGCCACAGCTCCTGTCCCGAGGGGACAATTTTAAAGGGAGACGCTGGAGAGGACCTCACTGAGCAGAGACCTCCACAAGGAAGGGAGCACTGAGTAGCATCTGGGAGAGGTCCTTCCAGAAAGAGAGCAGCAGACTCACAGGGCCTCAGAGGCGTGCCCTTAGATAGTGTCCCCAGAGTGGAATAAGCAAGGAAAAGGATGGTAGGTGGGCGAGCCGGTCAGAGAGGGGCATTTGGGCTGATGTGACTAAATGGCTTTAGATTTCACTCTGAGCTGGCCGTCTTTGGAGAACTCTGGAAAGAGATGTGGCATTGGAAATGATTTTCAAATAACCTCACTCCAGAGACTAGATTGAAGGAGGGCACAGGGGGATGTAGAGACAGTAAGTGCAGCGACTGCAGGAAGCTCCAGGAACCCCTGTGGCTGCCCAGACCAGGGCGGAAGCAGGACACAGAGGTGGTCTCAGGCTCTCTCAAGGTAAAGGCAACTGAAGGTGCGGACAGGATGAGTGTGGAATGTGAGGGGAAAAGGGGCACCCCGGACTCCTCCAATATCTGGGTCTGAGCCGCTGAAGGAATAGAGTTGCCGTGCGCTGAGAGGGGAAGACCAGGGGAGGATCAGGACAGGAGGGAGGCGCTGACGGTGGGAATGGGAAGTTCAGGAATCGGGTTTTAAGCATGTGACCATTCAAATTGTTTTTATACACCCGAAGTAGTGTAGGGTAGTGTAAGGTAGACAGTTCTTGCCCCTCTGGGCACTTATATCCTAATGAGGGAAACATCCAATAAACAACAAAACAAAGAGGTAAGATCACATGTCCAGCAGTGACAGGGGTTTCGAAGGTGATGAGACGGTGAGTGGCAACCACACAGGTGACCAGGGACAGCCTTTGTGGCGAGGAGACATTAGGGCCGAGACCTGGGACAGAGGACAGCAAGGCAAAGTCGCCGAGGAAGGAATGAGCTACGCATGTTGGAGGGACAGAAGGAGACCAGAACACAATGACCAAGAGGGAGGAGGGAAGGGATGAGGGGAGGTGGCCATGGCTTTTCTTGTGTGACACCAGAAGGCTTCTCCCTAGCCTGGGTGGTTCTTTCAATGTGAAGGGAAGCCATGGGGAGGTTTTACAGAAGGAGAATGTCGTTATCTGATTTCCATTCTTATAAAATGGAAATGGGGGCCGGGAGCGGTGGCTCATGCCTGTAATCCCAGCACTTTGGGAGGCTGAGGCGGGCGGATCACTTGAGGTCAAGAGTTTGAGACCAGCCTGGCCAACATGGTGAAAACTCGTCTCTACTAAAAAATACAAAAAGCCTGGCATCATGGCACATGCCTATAATCCCAGCTACTCAGGAGGCTGAGGCAGGAGAATTGCTTGAACCCGGGAGGCGGAGGTTGTGGTGAGCCGAGATCGTGCCACTGCACTCCAGCCTGGGTGTCAGAGCGAGATTCTGTCTCAAAAAATAATAATGAAATAGAATAAAATAATAAAATAAAATCAAATGGAAATGGAGAATGGATTCGCTGGAGAGGGAGACAAGTGAAGCAGGGGGTAAACCAACTGGGAGTGTGTGGCAGTTGTCCAGCCAAAATACTACATGGACTCGGCCAGCTCGATGAAGATGGGGTAAAGCCAGGAGATTTGAGACCTGTTCTAGAGGGAGAGACAACAGGCTATCCAGACTGGGTGAGGAGATTAGAGAAAGAAGAATCAAGGATGTGCTGAAGTTGTTGGAGTGAGGCTGGGAAAAGATGGCTGGCAGCCCCTGAGAACAGAGAACCCAAGTTCTCTTTGGGTCATGTTAAGTTTGAAATTGATGAGGAAGCAGGAACAGGGAATACATATCGGTACTTAAAAAAAAAAAAGTTAGCTCTTCTCCCTCCCTCCTCTCTGCGCCTAGCGGAAGTGATGCAAGGTGCACCGTAAGTGATGCAAGGCGTAGCAGAAGTGTCGTGAGGCATAGCGGAAGTGACTGCCGCCATGGTGTCGTGCTGTGACGAAGGGAGATGGCATTGTAAACGCCAGAGCGAGGTTCTGCCTACCCCGAGACTGCTGCTGTTCGGAGACCTGCAGGTGAATGCCCCATCACCATGTCTGACCTGGAGGCAAAACCTTCAACTGAGCATTTGGGGGATAAGATAAAAGATGAAGATATTAAACTCAGGGTTATTGGACAGGATAGCAGTGAGATTCATTTCAAAGTGAAAATGACAACACCTCTCAAGAAACTCAAGAAATCGTACTGTCAGAGACAGGGCGTTCCAGTGAATTCCCTCAGGTTTCTCTTTGAAGGTCAGAGAATTGCTGATAATCATACTCCAGAAGAACTGGGAATGGAGGAAGAAGATGTGATTGAGGTTTATCAGGAACAAATCGGAGGTCATTCAACAGTTTAGACATTCTTTTTTTTTTTCCTTTTCCCTCAATCCTTTTTTATTTTTTTAAATAGTTCTTTTGTAGCATGGTATTTAAAACGGAATTGAAAACAGGCACTCCATCTCTTTAAAACATCTGGTAATTTGAATTCTAGTGTTCATTATTCATTATTGTTTGTTTTCATTATGCTGATTTCTGGTGATCAAGGCTCAGGCCTCTTCATATTGCCCTCTCCTTTTATAAAAATTATGTGTGCACAGAGAGGCCACCTTTTTCAGGACTGTACATTTTCAGATGATAAGATTGACCAATGCAAGTATTCATAATGACTTTCCAGTTGGCCCTGATTTTCAACCATGTGATTGTTTCACTCCTGGACTATGACTTTTGGTGGGAGATGGAAGTTTTTTAGAGAACTGAGCTGTGGAAAAATGACCTCTCCTTAACAACTTGAAGCTATTTTTAAGATTTGAGGGTCTGGACCAAAAGAAAAGGAGCATCAGGTTAAGTCAAGGTGACAGATAAGGTTGAGAGTAACGACTAACTCCAAAGATGGCTTCCCTGAAGAAAAGACATTTGAAGATTTTTTTTTTCTTAATCTTGTCAGAAGATCCCAGAAAAGTTCTGATTTTCATTATCAATAAAGGTATACATGCAGAAATGAATACAACAGAATACTGCTCTTTTTTATTTGTACTTTTTGGCCTGGGATATCGGGTTTTAAATGGACATTGTCTACACCAGCTTCATTAAAATAAACAATATTTGTAAAAATTGTAAAAGAAAAAAAGTCAAATATTTCCTAGATACACAGTAGTGGAAAAATCAGGAATATCCAGCTTGATGGGTTTTCACAAAGGGACACCTCTGCACCCCCTTCTATCACTTCCCCAGCAGGGTAACTACTGCCCTAGTCTTAAGCAATAAACAAGTTTTATTGGCGTTTTTAAACCTATGATCAGTGGTAAGTGAGGGCATTTGCCCAGAATTTCTCAAAAAATTACCTCAGTTGAGGCCGGGTGTGGTGGCTCACGCCTGTGATCCCAGCACTTTGGGAGGCTGAGGCGGGTGGATCACGAGGTGAGGAGATCGAGACCATCCTGGTCAACATGGTGAAACCCCATCTCTTATAAAAATACAAAAATTAGCCGGGCATGGTGGTGTGTGCCTGTAATCCCAGTTACTTGGGAGGCTGAGACAGGAGAATCGCTTGAACTGAGGAGGCAGAGATTGCAATGAACTGAGATTGCACCACTGCACTCCAGCCTAGGTGACAGAGCGAGACCCTGTCTCAAAAAAAAAAAAAAAATTACCTCAGTTGGCTGGGCACTGTGGCTCATGCCAGTAATCCCAGCGCTGTGGGAGGAGCCTTTGAGGCCAGGAGTGTGAGACCAGCCTGGGCAACTTAATGAAACTGTCTCTACAAAAAAATTTTAAAAATTAGCCGGCCACCCTGGTCCATTCCTGTAGTTCCAGTTACTTGGGAGGCTAAAGTGGGAGAATTGGTTGAGCCCAGGAAGTTGAGGCTGCAATGAGCTAGGATTGCACCAATGCACTCTAACCTGGGCAAGAGTGAAACTCTCGCTCTTAAAAAAAAAAAAAAGTGGGAGAGTGGGAAATACCTTACCTGTTTTTTTGGGTTTTTTTTCCTTTTACATTGAATAAGAAGGTTTTGTTTTGTTGTTTGGCATGGAGGGGGTGCTTGTTTGTCCTTATCCTCCTTCCTGTGGTGAGGCACTGATGCAGAGTGTGTGTGGGGTCTCCCCTGGCCCCTTGGCTGGCAGAGAGCCTCACGTTCCACCTACTTTTTCTTGCCTCGCAGTCACAGGGGCATCAAACCACAGCAACAGGTATAACTGCAAACCTGCAAACCCTACTCCTCTCAGTAGCAAGTTCCCTCCTGCCCATCCCTTCCCTTTTGAGGTTCTTTTTTCTGGTCCAATCCCAACAGCTCTTCTTAAGGAAGCATCAGTTTATAGCTTTTGCAGTGTTCATTTAAATGTTTTAATGCAAACACAGCCAACCTCATTCTATTCTGAAAATTCATTTCTCCTTTCTCTCTGTCTCTCTCTCTCTCTCTCTCTTTTTCTCTCTCTCTTCCTCCCTCCCTCTCCCCGTTCCTGTGATTATTTTTTTTGGAAATAATTCCACACACTTTCTGCCTCCATAAACCTCTGACTCCAGCAGATGGAACAAGGCTGCTATTCCGAGTCAACGGAATCAACGGACCAGCTATAAGTGGGAGGCGAGTGGTACACACTGCAGTTTCACCCTAGTAGGTGACGTTGTGGCAACACCCACAGAACAAAAGATTCACCTTTTTCATCTATTTTTACATCTCAGGAAGCCCTAGTCCTGTCTTTTAATTACAGAACTGTTTTCCCCTCCTTGGCTCTGCACACGTTTTCTATATAATATTAAACAGTAACCTGTGAGTCTCCCACATCCTGGTATGCTCTGGATCACAGACCACATTTTTTAAACACACACACACACACACACACACACACACCACACACGACCAAAATCTGTACCAGCTGACAGCTGGCAAAGTAAAACCGCATTAAATTTGGCTCGCTTGCTTGCTTGCTTTTTCTTTCTTCTTTCTTTCTTTCTAACAGCTTGATTGAGACATGATTTACATATCATAATATTCATCCATTTTAAGTGTGCAATTCCATGTTTTTTAATTTTTTTACAGAGTTGTGTATTGGCTATTTCTTCTTGGAAATAGGGCCACTGGGGAAACTCTTGACCCCAAGGCCCCTCTCCCCACTTTGAACACGAACCAGTAAATAGCAGAGCAAATTCTGGTTCACCCCCAAAATAGTTTTTATTCATTTCATTGTGCCATTAACAGCTTACTTCCTGTGTTTTGATTCTGAGCTGTTCAGAAGCCACGTTCTTAGAAGCCACATTGCTTAGTTTTTACACCATCAAGAGATTTCTTTTGTGTTAGAGGTGTTTTTTGTTTGTTAGTGGTTTATTTAGAGTCTCCAGCTCCTTGTTTTATCTGCTGGGCTAATTAGATTTGAAATGAACCTTTGTAGCATGACAGACTGTACAGAAATATTTGGTATTCAGAGCTAAGCTTAAACATTCATAGCATTCTTACTTTTGAAACTAGCAGAAAGGAAGAGACTTAGAAATATAAGTAGGGCACAAAGGCCTAGAACCTTTTCCTAGAATTAAGCTCTTATTATATAATTTGGCTTTAACTCTGTGAGTCTCCATTTTCTCATCTGAAGAACAGGAATTAAAATAACCACTTCAGGAGATTAGCCTGAGGATCCCATTCATGTGAAAGCACCTAGAACAAAATCAATTTTTAAAAAAACCATCAATATTCATTGAGTATGAATCTTGAAGAACTTAACTAGTGGTATAAGAATTCTGTTTGTCAGGGTGCATTAATAAAAGCATAGTGCCTTCTGTTAAACGAGGATGTACTAGTTTAGTTATTCACTCAATGAATAGGTCATTACCTGCTGCGTGCCAGGCACTAGGGAGGGAACAGGGGACAGGCAGACAGGTGGAGGTGATATTCACAATATGGTTGTGCAAATAAATATCTAAGTATAAATTGTGCAAGGGTTGTTACAGAAACTTCTGGGAAGTGCACGTGCATGTGTGTGTATCTTTAAAGCAATTTAAGAGAATGTGTATTTTGTTGATAAAGTTATGCCTATAGGCATAGAAAATTTTTTCTGGAACAATCCATGAGAAATTAGTTACAGGAGTTTTATTTTTATGAAAGGAACAAGAAAGTACACAGGGGAACATCTGCCACTTTTTATTCTGTACCTTTCCATAAAATTTTAAGTTTCTAACTCTAAACTTTTTTTTTTTTTTTGAGACAGAGTCTCGCTCAATCACCCAGGCTGGAGTGCGGTGACCCAGTCTTGGCTCACTGCAACCTCCGCCTCCCAGGTTCAATCAATTCTCCTGCCTCAGCCTCCGGAATAGCTGGGATTACAGGCATGTGCCACCACGTCTGGCAAATTTTTGTATTTTTAGTAGAGACGGAGTTTCACCATGTTGGCCAGGCTGGTGATCTGCCTGCCTCAGCCTCCCAAAGTGCTGGGATTACAGGCATGAGCAGCCGCAGCCTAAACTCGTGTTTTTATTTGTTTGTTTGCTTGTTTAAGTGTCACTAGGGCTTCTCTGATCAGTAGGCTGAAAGGCCATTTTTTATATTTCTTCTTAAACTTTTCTCTACTGAAAACAAGACCTGTTATTTAAGATGGATAAATGATTAACTCTTGGAAATATAATTTGTCGTGTTAAGCCATTTAAACATTAAACATAATATTATTATACTTAAAAAGACAAAGGTCATTTACCAGAGTGTAAGAATTCATCAACCTACACCAAACTGTTACTAGCCTGCTCTTGCCTACAAAGTTTGCCCAGGCAATAATACTTTTATTCAATAGATATTTACTCAGTGCCTGCAGTATAACAGGCATCCTTCTGGGTATTGGTAGACAAAACAAAGCCCTCAGCGAGTCACAGCCTGGATTCTAGTTGGATAAGCTAGACAATAAATAAGTCAAACAAATATATAATAAGTGCTATGAAGAGTGACCAGGGGAGATGGAGGGTGCTTTTTGTTTATGATACAGAATACATTTAGGAGTTGCATTCACTACAAATAGAGCAGTCAGGAGACCTGTCCGAAGAGATAACATCTCAGCAGAGGCTTGCATGAAGGAAGGAAGGTGTGAGCCCTGCAAAGGAAAGACGGTTCCTGGCCAGAAGGACCTGAAAAGACCCTGAAACAGGAGAGCTCAAAACCAGTCAAGCAGAGTGCTGAGCTCAGGACTGTTTGTGATGCTATTCTGTCCACCTGTGCTATTGCTCAGGACAGCTCATAATTCAAAACTTATTTTTTAAAAAGTAAACATGAAACACTCATTACTAGTATTACCTTTATGATTATAGGACTTGGAATACTTGGTTCTGGGCATGGCTTCTCTTTTTTAGATATATAACAAAATAGTTGATGTAAACTACACCTACTAAAGGAGCAAAGATGTATCTTATATGCCAAAAAGAATTTAACTTTTTATAGCCATATTTATTTACAGTCACTACAATAATTTTTAATCTATTATCCTTACAAAACCTCATAAAATATACTTTTTAAACGATTGCTGTACATGCCTGTTTTCATTCATTGCAAATTAAGTAAATGTTACTTCAAGATCATAAGGAAAAATACTCAGAGACAAACAAAAAAGGACAGTGAGACACGTTGTTTTCAGCCTACTCTAAGGTGCCCACCAGTAGGAGGAGCACTATGGTAGGTGAGTAAAACCACACACTGTTTAAACAGCAAACACAAAAGCCCAGCCTTGGTTCAGTTCGCTCAACTTCCAACTGTGTGGCTTGGAACGCACCTTCCCACAGAGGCCCTCACCTGAAAATGAAGGGCTGGCTATTCTGTGATCTCTGGGTCCCTTGATGCATTATTTCCCTTTCCTTTTGTCTATTTTAAGTTCTACTCTATGAATTCTGACTAAAAGTACGATTTTGTAACCAGTTGTTTTCATTATAACTGGCTGAGCATTTAACTAACCTCTTCTTTTCTCAAGCAGGAGTCTGTGGGCAGATGGTTCTCAAGTAGTATTTCCCAACCAGAAGCCAACCCCCCACCTCCCCTTCTTGGAAACATTGGCAACGTTGACACTTTACTTTTTTTTTTTTTTTTTTTTTTTGAGACAAGTTCTCACTCAGTTGCCCAGGCTGAAGTGCAGTCGTGGCTCACTGCAGCCTCGACCTCCCCAGGTTCAGCTGATCCTCCCGCCTCAGACTCCTGAGTAACTGAGACCACAGGCACATACCACCACCCCCAGCTAATTTTTTTGTAGAGACGGAGTTTTGCCATATTGCTTAGGCTGCATACTTATATATAATATGTATACTATATTATATATAAAATTATATAGTGTATATCCTACATGTTATATATTATATATATTATATATCATATAATATATGATACATATATAGTATGTACTATATATCATATAATATATGATGCATATCATATAGTATATAGTATATAATATAAAATATAGTATATATCATACTATAATACTATATATTATAATATATATTATAATATAGTATGATATATATGATCTATACCATATATGCTATATTCTAGATATTTATATTTATGTATAATTATATTTGTATATAAATTTATACATTATATATAACATTTATTTTAGTTTTATATATAAAATATATATTATATATAAAATATATTATATATAATATATTATATAAAATATATAATATATAATATATTATATAAAATATATTATATATAATACATTATATATTGTATGTATTATATATACAATATATTATATGTTGTATGTATTATATATATTATGTTTTATATAATATATATTATATGCATTATATAATATATATTATATGCGTTATATATGATATATAATATATATAATATATTATTATATATATTATATATTATGATTATATATATTACATAATATATATTCTATAATATATATTATATATAAATAATAAATTATATATAATATATCATATGTAGTATATTGTATATAAAATATATAATATATTGTATATAAAATATATAATATATTGTATATAAAATATATAATATATTGTATATAAAATATATAATATATTGTATATAAAATATATAATATATTGTATATAAAATATATAATATATTGTATATAAAATATATAATATATTGTATATAAAATATATAATATATTGTATATAAAATATATAATATATTGTATATAAAATATATAATATATTGTATATAAAATATATAATATATTGTATATAAAATATATATGTGTATATATGTATTTTAGAGGCAATGTCTTCCTACATTACCCAGGCTTGACTAGAACTCCTGGGCTTAAAGGAACCTCCTGCCTCAGCCATCTGAGTAGCTGGGGCTACAGGTGAACCCACTGTGCCCAGCTCTCAATTTTCACATTTTTTATTTTCATGACTGTAGAGGGAACAGCTACTGTCACCAGATACTGGTGAGCACCCTACACTGCCCGGGACAGCCACCAACAATAAAGAATGTTCTAGTCGTAAATATTAGCGCCAAGGATGGGAATCTTGGATATAGAGAAATTGGGAAAAATGATGAGGGGGAAAGTGGGGGACCTTATTTACTGATGATGTCCATGGGGTATTTCCTAAGTAAGAAACAGCAGACAACTTTTGCCTCGTTTGATGGTGGTTCTCTTCTATTGACTGCTGTTTATTTTTTTCCGAAGACTTGGGTGTGTGACATAAGTAATCCCATGGTAGCCCAGGGCACAATGGGAGAAATGAAAAATGGAAGGCAGGTTCAAACATGCAGTGTGACTGCAAGAGTAACCTTCCTGTTCTAAGACTTGAAAAAGTTTTCAGATCCTTGGTGTATTTTATCAGCAGAACGTTCATCTGCATATGGCATTCAGAAGCAAACTAAACTTTTCTTTCCCCCCTGAGTCTTTTGTTTCCAAATCAATGGGAAACAAAGGATACCCCTGCTCCATTCAGGCAGTTTCAATGATTCTCAAATCAACGTGGGAGCAGTCGTTGGGCCATTTAAAATATACAGTGATAAAAAAAAAAGCATACTTATTAACCTTGTAAACATTCTATAAAAGTACAAGGGGAACCTTTATAAAGAATAGCCAAGTGTCCTTTTTATAGAATAGCCTTTTGTACTTTGAAATGTTCATGTCTATAAAATAGAACTGGACAGACGAGCCTAATGCAATTTCCATGTCTTCTAGTAATTGTTCCGTTAAAACATTATTTTTCAGCGTCTTAACACCCGGAAGATTAAGTTACCTCAACCCAAGATCAGTTCCACTTTAAAAAAGCACTTTCGACCCATATTTAACCAACCGTCAGAGAGGATTCAAAAGAGGGCTAATTGAGCACTGAGTGTTTGAAGCATTCAAATCAAGGCCCAGGTTTCTTCTTGAAAACAGCAACAGCTCAGCCTGGCAGGAAGCAGGGATTAGACAAGAGAATCGATTGAAACTTGCCTTCCAAACTGGAAGAAAAACTTTCAATAAGAAAGCGTGAAGTTTGAAATCACTGCATGTTATATTATTCATCTTTCAAACTGCCTCCAGCCTTATTGGATGGCATTTTCTCCTCTTACCCAGCTCTGAGCTGCCACTGTAATTCACCAAGAAACCCACTTTAGCAAGAATGACCCACCCTTCAGAGGGAAGTAGCCACCCTTAGCCTGGTTCTCTTTACCACTCTGTTCTGTCCCCACTCTATCTGCACTCTATCTCTTCATTCTATCTACATGTTTTGCAATTCCCTCTGGTATTCCAAGGCCAGTGAAATCACAGCCTCCAGTAAGGGTGCTAAACCCGAATATATTCACTGCTAAGCTGTATTTTTAACCCTTTTCACCCACCAATTTCAATGTTCTCTTTAATAGGTTAGCTATGGCAGACCTCATCAGAATCAAGTTATGGGAAGGCAAGCTGGAAAACCTCACAGGGGGGATTTCATGAAGAGAAAAGCCTGGGTGTTTTTCATCTGAATTCTTGTCCTCATCTCCCTTACCACCCCCAACAAATACAAGCAGCGGGAAACTAACAGTGATAATCAGTAATCTAATAAACTCAGCCAGCCTCAAGTTCTGTTGTTGTTTTCCTTAAAACAAACAAAACGAAACAAAAATAAGCATTCTGCCCAGAATTGAGAGAGAGAGAGAGAGAGAGAGAAAAGCTCTCTCCTAAAATCCCACAAGTTTGCTGCCAGTGATTCAGTACATACCTGACCAAAAAAAAAAAAAAAAAAATGTTGCTTAACTGGTTTGGTTGTTTCAGCTGGCTACTACCAAGAGAAGTAAACAGGACCTTATCATTTCAGTTAAGTCTGGCTTGAGCATTATTTTCAAGTAAATATTTATAATTTCAATGCTATTCCATTGCTACCACTGCTGTCTTTGGATTGGACCGACTGAAACATTGTCTTGGATTAGCCCGACTCCATAGCAACAGGCCAGGAGAGGCTGCACCCTCCTTGCCTGTCCTTTCTGTGGCTGGGGAGGAGAGGAGGAGGTATTTGGTGACACTCGCCATCAGGACTTTGCAGCTCTCTTGCCAGATAGCAGCTGAATTGAAGAATATCCTTCCTTTGCCATTTGGGCTCCAGTCCATCAGGATTTTTGCTGATCACTTTGCACATCTCAATGAATTTGACACACGGGCATTTTTTTTTCTCTCTCTCTCTCCTCATTCAGGAAGTGGAGAGCTGAGCCCTGAGATTCTTTCTGCTCCGATGATATAAACAAATTGTAGAGGAAGTCAAGTCAAACTTTCCCTTGCTTCTTTTGTTCTCCCAAATAGCAATTCAGAAAACAGAGCCAACTTTTCTTGGATGACTTTTAAAGATTGCTCTTTAACTAGAAAGGCAGAAACCCTCTTGCTTTATTTTGTATCTGTAAAAACAAAGATTCTCCTAAACATATTTTGTTTTCAAAAAAGCAGAAATGCCCTAGAAGTTAAAAAAAAAAAATAGCTGTTTTCTGAGACTTTTCAAACCAAATTGCTCTTTTGTCATTACACAGTTACCTAATTGTTTTTTCTTTCCTTGACAAATCTCCAGGCTAAAATACAAACAAGAGAGCAATAACGATCTTTGCGTGGATAATAGCTAAACCTGAATAGAAGCTTCCAGGGCCCTAATACACAGCCAAGGAAAGCTAACAGTCATGATTCAATAAAGGTGCCTTGTAAGGCATGTGCCAGACAGAAAGGAGACACCATATCTGTGTAATCTACAGACACTGCTTTAAACATCACATAATTAAGTCCTTCCCATGGTGGTGGCTACTTGAAGCTTTATCATTAGCTTGTAAGATTTCATCTCTGGGTTTCACCGATGGTTCTGAGAATGAACATTTTCAAACCAGAGGCACCTGCTAATCCAGGAGACATACTCACCACGCCTATTCTCGTCCTCCAGTGAAAGAAGCTCTATGTTAAATGACTGAAGGGAAACAGAAGGGAATATGTAACAAAATATATACAGGAGCAGCCCCGGGGTGGCTTTCCATGCTGAGTGTTCTATTACATTAATCCTGGCACACAAAAAATGCGACAGCCACATGGATATCAATATGCCTGCATTGTTTGTCTTCCATCGGCCCTCTCTGTACACAGGTGGGTAGCCAAACTTCATCACAGGCCTATTCTCTCGTGAAACATAATAGAGTTCAAACACAGGCTCGAACTGCTTCCTGAGTCTCAGTGTTCTCCTCTGTAAAATGGGATATCTGGTGGCTGTGTCACATGGGTTAGAAATAATATGAGTATAGATACAGAGAGATTTCTCGGTTAATCCAATGTGCGGCTCCTGTTAGGTTCTCGATAAAAAATTGCTGTGATATTAAAATTCATAACACTATGTGAGTTCTCCTGGGTCAGGAAAAACTAGCATTGGTAGAAGCTCAACCTTGCAATATTTGCAGTTATTTCTGTCAGAACGCTTTTCCTCAGTCACGATCCTCTCCTCCCTCTTTATCTATAAATACGCATATACTGTAGATATTTATAGACTAATAGGTATATAAAATCCTTTATGCAAGTTGTAATTGACTGTGTAATTATTGAATAAACAGTGGATGAAAGGATAATGGTAGGTTCTGAAAGCCAGCTTTAATTCACGTTTTATTTTATATTCATTAAACTGTTTACTTACTTGTCTACATTCTCCTCTCTGTTGATTATTTTCCAGGCATGCATTTCCCTCGAGCAATGATCAGGCTGAGAAAGTGATTTCATTTACATTGCAAAGGAGACAGAAAAACAAACAGAAAACCCAGAGGCCACGACTTCCCGGGAGTGCTCCAGAGTGTGTGTATTGCTAGTAGAAGCTATGTGCACCTCCACACCCCGGAACTATTTTTGAAGCTTTGATGTAGAAACGCACAATACCTACAGCGACCTTAAATTTCTGTAAAACAAATATAGCATGCATTGATGCAATTGCCATATATTTATAGAATTCAACAATTGCCTTCCACCAACTTTATCAAATATCTGCTGCATGGGGGCGGTGCTAGGACAGAAACATAAACAGCTCTGATTGGTCCATTATGCAGACGAAGCACATGCTTCAAGGACCAGAAAAGCAGAGAGAACACCGTGCTCCTGCCTTACTGGCCAAATGATGCAACAAGAAAATTCAGGAAAGTTAATTTAAGTTTCAACATACAGATTTTTTTGTCCCTTGGAAGACACAGTTTTAAGTTTTAGTTGAGTTTTGTTTTCATTTTTATTTGGGTACAGGTCTTGGGATAGTTCGGATTTGTGTTCAGAAAATTTTTACTCCTCCACACTTTGGAGGAATACCCTTCCCTGACTTAGGGATGTTGGACTTGGCCATGTGACTATTGGCCAGTAAGATGTTAGCAAGCATGATGCCATCAAGGTCACTGTGGATTTGCACAGTGGGCCTGGCTCTCCTGCACTTCCAACATTGCCTTGAGATGCATACACATGCCTGCGTCCAAGGAAGATGGAAGACACCTGGAGCAAACTTGGACTCAGCCCATAACTTGAAGCCCAGCCCGGACCACCCCAGGTCATCTAAACCCCAGCTAATTTGCAAATGTTTATGTGAGAATAAATAATTACCATTTTAAGCCACTGAGTCTTGGAGTGATTTTTTGCATTATTGTGGCAACAGCTGAGTAATGTAGGCCTCATAATATTTATAGGTTTTACTCTGGCCATGGCATACTAATACAGATCCTGGGGGAGTCTTGGGGGGAGGGGGGATTAATTTTAAAAAATAATTCAAACTCTTGCATTACTGATTCGACTTTGTTTTGTAAGTCAAGGTGAATCATTGCCTTTCATGTGATAAATGAAATTAGACGCCCATAGTGTTTCAGTACAGCAGCATATGATTAAAGAGCAAGAGAGATATGAGATACTTATTTTTTCATCTAGATAAAACCTTCATTCCACTACTGCTTCATTCAGAAAAAAAAAGTTTCACTTGTTAAAGGGATACTCATTCAGCTCTTTTGTGCTGGACCTTGAAGATACAGTTTTGAGTATTAATAACTAACTCTTCTCTAACGCTTATGATGAGCCAGGCATTGTTCTTAGTGGTTTATCTGCATCAACTCATTTAACCTTCAGAACTTAATGCAATCGTTACTATGACTGCGCCCATTCTCAGATGAGAAAACTGAGAAGCTGAGAGGGGAAATGACTTACTCGAGCTTCCATGACTTATAAGTAACAGAGCCGGGATTCAAATCCAGGCCATCTGACATCGGAGTACATGTTTTTTACCTATCGTGATAAGACATGTAGTTTCTATTGACAGGGAGTTTACAGAGTAAAGAGGACAACAACTTTAAACAAGAAGATCAATCAATCATTAGAAACCATGGGCAGGACCATCATGGAAAAGAGCAGGAAACTATGGTGAAGAGTAACAGGAAGGTTCAGGCGCAGTGGCTCACACATGTAATCCCAGCACTTTGGGAGGCCAAGTCCAGCAAATCACTTGAGGTCAGGAGTTTGAGACCAGCCTGGTCAACATGGTGAAACCCCATCTCTCAAGTACCCAGGGACACAAACACTGCGGAAGGCCGCAGGGTCCTCTGCCTAGGAAAACCAGAGACCTTTGTTCACTTGTTTATCTGCTGACCTTCCCTCCACTATTGTCCTATGACCCTGCCAAATCCCCCTCTGCGAGAAACACCCAAGAATGATCAATAAAAAATAAATAAATAAATAAGTAAAAAAAATAAAAATAAAAATACAGAAATTATCCGGGGCATGGCAGCGAGTGCCTGTAATCCCAGCTACTTGGGAGGCTGAGGCAGGAGAATCACTGGAACCTGGGAGGAAGAGGTTGCAGTGAGCCAAGATCACACCACTGCACTACAACCTGGGTGACAGATTCTGTCTCAAAAAAAAAAAAAAAGAAGAACAGGGAGGACCTGTTGTAGATAGGCGTTCAGAGAAGTCTTTTCTTATTAGGTGATATTGTCTGAAGAATGAATGGGATCAGAAGGAAAACTAGCTAGGAAAGAGAAGAATGTTCCAGGCAGAAGGAATAGCAGGGAGGTAAGTCTTGAGGCAGTCTACAGGTTGGTATGTACTCAGGACTGAAAAATGGTCATTGCTTCAGTGAGGCCGAAGGGGTGAGTATATCTTTTACTTATTGCCATAGGAGGGTAGCTGGTCAGCAAATTTTTTGTAAAGAGCCAAATAGCAAATCCTTTAGGTTTTGTAGGCCACGTAGCCTCTAATGCAATTACTGAACTCAGACAGCGTGACACAAAAGCATCCATGTAGAATAAGCATAGCTGTGTTCCAGTAAAACAGTATATGCAGACACTGAAATGTACCTTTCAGTGTTGCAGTTCCACAAACAGCAAGCATGTGTGTGAGAACACACAGGATGGTCACGGTTAGTGCATTTCCAACAAATCCGGTGGCCTTTCATGAATTTTTTTTTTTTTTTGAGACAAAGTCTCACTTTGTCCCCCATGCTGGAGTGCAGTGGCATGATCTCAGCTCACTGCAACCTCCTTCTGCCGGGTTTGAGCAACTCTCAGCCTCGGCCTCTCAAATAGCTGGGGTTATAAGTGTGTGCCACCACATCCAGCTACTTTTTGTATTTTTAGTAGAGATGGGGTTTCACCATGTTGGCCAGGCTGGTCTCCAACTTCTGGCCTCAGCTGATCTCTCTGCCTCAGCTTCCCAAAGTGCTGGGATTATAGGTGTGAGCCCCTGTGCCCAGCCGCCTCTCATAATGTTTGATGCACCTTGACCTTTAACTCTCAGTGAGTTCTCTGTTGAAACAGAACACAGGTCACACCATTAAGAACAAGACGGAATTTTGAGTAAAAGTAATGAATAAGCGATTGGGTTATCCAATCATCCTATTATTAAAGAGGAGTAAATGATAGAATCACCCAGAAAAATGAAGTAAAGTTCTTGTTGACTTGACATGATGTATTGGCATCGACAAAGATAACATAAAGCACATGCTCCATCTTTACACAGAGGATGGGGACAACAAGACTGGTTAATGAGTGTCATCCTTCAAAGAGCATTAAGATTAATTGCTGCGCAAGAAAACTCGAATTGCCCTGAAATCTTGGAGGTCATGTAAGAAAGAAATGTGATATATGTTTTCTCAAATTTAACACAATAATCCTAAAATTTTACAATACCTGACCAGTAATAAGTGGTGAAGCCAAAAGAAACTTTTCAAAACTGACAATAGTAATTAAAAAAAATTTTTGTTGATCAATCGTGTCAGGCACAGTGGCTCACACCTGCAATCCCAACACTTTGGGAGGATCACTTGAGGCCAGGAGTTCAGGACCAGCACGCGCAATATAACAAGATCTCGTCTCTACCAAAAAAAAAAAATTGAATTAGTCAAGTGTGGTGGCTAATACTTGTGGTCCCAGCTACTCTAGAGGCTGAGGCAGGAGGATCACCCGAGCCCAGGAGTTTGACAATGCAGTTAGCATATGATCACTCCATGGCATTCCAGCCTGGGCGACAGAGTGAGACCCTGTCTCTAAAATTAAATTAAATTATATTAAAAATTCTGATCAGTCATGATGGAGGAAAGACTAAATCCTCCTTCTCATAGTCACTCTCTATAAAATAATAACCCAGTATTGTTAAAAGATAATTAAAGAGTTTGTAGCTAAAACATACAGGACAAAAGTATCATAGCAGGTGCCTGTAATCCCAGCTACTCGGGAGGCTGAGGCAGGAGAATCACTTGAACCCGGGAGGCGGAGTTTACACTGAGCCGAGATCGAGACACTGCACTCCAGCCTGGGCTACAGAGCAAGACTGTGTTTCAAAAAAAAGTCAAGCAGTTGGTTAATTTTTAAAAGATGCTATTTTGGGAGGATTTTATGATATTAGTAATTTTTTTCAGCTTTAAAATTTTTACAATTTGTTGTACTTTCTTCTTTTATTCTAAATAAACGTTAACTTTCCTAACTAATTTTGTGTTCTTTTTCTTTTGGGAAGCCCCCAATTGTATAAGGTTGAAGACCTATAAACAGGAACCACTTCCATTAAAGCACTGACTATATGAGCCAAGCATATTTAGATGCTAGAAATCATTGAACGAAACAGTTGGAGGTGGTTTTAAAATAGGTCCACAAATTCTCTGGCACTCCTGTCTCCAAAAGGCAGAGGTTATTTCCCTTCCCCTTGAGTGTAGGCGGAGTCCAGAGACTTGTTTCTAAGGAACAGAAGGTTGTGGGGGCGACACTGGGTGACATCCAAGACTAATCATAAAAGGCACTGGAGTTTCCTCCTTGCTGTTCCTCTTAGGAACCCAGCTGCTGCGACATGAGAACTCAAGCTTCCCTATGGGAAGGTCTGCATAGTGAGGAACAGAGGCCTCCAGCCAACAGCCACGTGCGTGAGCCTGCTCAGAAGCATGTTATCCAACTCCAGTCAAGCTTTTAGGTGCCTACAGCCCAGAACAACATCTTGACTGCATCTTGACTATTCACAAGAGGCCCTGAGCCAGAACCATCCATCCAAACTGCTGTAGGATTGCTGACCTCAGAAACCGTGAGCTAAGAAATGTCCATTATTTTTCTAGCTGGCCCTTGAGACAATATTTTATTTTAATAAATAGAAAAAAAAAGTTTTTAAATGTCCATATTTTAAGCGAGTACGTTTAGGGAAAATTTGTTACACAGCAAGAGATAATTAATATACTTACAAAAGTTCCAGTTTTATGATTCTTATATTCTGAAGTTTATTAAATAGACAACGAATAAATGGCTTTTGAGAATGGTGAACAGTAAAAACTTTAAGAAATGCACCAAATTATCCTACCACTTGACCCAGCAATCCCACTACTGGGTATCTACCCAGAGGAAAAGAAGTCATGATACCAAAATTAGCCGGGCATGGTGATAGGACACCTGTAATCCCAGCTACTTGGGAGGCTGAGACAGGAGAATCGCTTGAACCTGGGGCGGAGGTTGCAGTGAGCTGAGATTGAGCCACTGCACTCCAGCCTGGGCAACAGAGCAAGACTCTGTCTCAAAGAAAAAAAAGGAAAAGAAGTCATTATACAAAAAAGATACATGCACACACGTTTATAGCAGCTCAATTCGCAACTGCAAAACTGTGGAACCAACCCAAATGCCCATTAATTAATGAGTGGATAAAGAAACTGTGGCATGTATACATATATACACACACATATATACGTGGTATACATATCAATATATATCATATATCCATGTATCATATATATCTATATATCATATATCAATATATATCATATGTATCATATATATCTATATATCATGTATATCAATATATATCTCATATATATGATAGAATACTACTCAGCCATAAAAAGAAATGAATTAATGGCATTTGCAGCAACCTGGATGAGATTGGAGACTATTATTCTAAGTGAAGTAAGTCAGGAATGGAAAACCAAACATTGTATGTTCTCACTCATAAGTGGGAGCTAAGCTATGAGGATGCAAAGGCATAAGAATGACACAATGGACTTTGGAGACTCAGGGAGCGAGGGTGGGAAGCGGGTGAGGGATAAAAGAATACAAACTGGGTTCTGTGTATACTGCTCTGGTGATGGGTGCACCAAAATCTCACAAATCACCACTCGAGAACTTACTCATGTAACCAAACACCACCTGTTACCCAAAAAAAACCTATGGAAATAAAAAAATTAAAAAAAATAAATGTATCAAATTATCTTTACGTATGTATTCATTTATCAAATATTTATTCAGCAGCACCATATGTTTATCTACTTTTAGGCACTGAGCTGGGCTAATTGACAAGAAAGACATAAACCCGCCCCTCATGGAGGGGAGCTATTAGAGAACTATTAGATAATCAATGTCACAAAGTCAGTGAATTAAGTGATCAGAAATTAAAACCCCCAAATCTATGCTCTCAGTCATGTTATAATATTGTCATCCAGTATGGCAGAAAATCAGGTTTTTGCCCTGCGTCTAACACTCACTCCCTGCAGAACACTGGAATCAGGGCTGAGTTTCCCTGTTCCAGTTCAAACAGCCCGATTATGAAAATGCCAATCATTGTAAGTATGAAGTGCTTGTTACAGTCCGGCACAGTGCCAAGCCCTTTATAAGCATTATCTCAGTTCATCCTCACGACAGCTCCCTGTTCCTCGGCCACTTCCACTCTGGAGCCCCTCCCAGGCTCCCTTGCAACTTGGCCTTATGGCACAATTCAGGCCAGTGAAGCCCGAACAGAAGAGACGGCTGGAAAGTTTCTGGGCAGGGGTTTGTTGTCTTGCAAATGATTAGATGTCAGTGGTTCTACTTGTTTCTCTTTTCCCTGCCATAAAAGTGAACTGGGTTAGGCATCCTGTGACCATAAGGAAAGACTAGGTGAACCACAAAGCACTGACATTCTTGAGCTACAGAAGCACATTGCTACCTCTGCATCCTTTAAAGTGAGGAAAAATTGTAACCTCTTTGTTTCAGCCTCTGTTGGCTTTTTGTTATGGTGGTTACTACTTACAGCTGAAAGCCTTCCCAACTTATCTAATGAAATTGAGACAGAGAACTATTAGATAATCAGTGTCACAAAGTCAATGAACTGAGGGATCAGAAATTAAAACCTCCAAATCTACACTCTCAGCCATGGTATAATATTGGTCATTATGGTTTCCACAAGTAAGCAAACACACACACACAAAACTATAGCAAATATAAGCAAATATATTTATCTAGTTTCCTTGATATGATCCAAATAGACTAACAAGGCTTTTTGATATTGCCTCAAACTATGGGATATTAAATTTTCATTCCATTTTTAACAAGTACTTAATTGGACATTTCTGGGAAGTCCTGGGAAGCTAAGAAATTCATTAATATTGATGATGGTGTTGGAAATATGTTAACTATGGATATGTCATTTAGAAGAGCTAATTAAATAGAAATTCTACTTTTTGAGGGTCCTTCCAACAAAGTATTTATGGAGCACCTACAATGTACCTGGTAATTTATTTCTATCATATTACTTAGTCTCTCTACTAGCCGGCAAACTGAGCCATGTGCTCCATTTTAGAGATGGGAAAACTGCAGCTCACAGAGAGGTTAAGTAGCTTGCCCAGATGGTCCAGCTTGTGGTAGAATCAGAATTGAACTCAGTTCAGTTCAGCAGTTCAGAGCCTGGACCACTGCATGTTATAGGGAGAGAGTGGTAAAATGTTCCCATATATGATACAAATATGTGACAGTAGGATAAGCGATATTAGATATGACAACAACTATGACAGTTTATACATGAGTGAATGAAGTTTGGGTAATGCTCTGGTGATGGTTATTGGAGTAAAACAAATATGAAGCAATTCCTGCTCCAGCACCATCTGGCTGTGACCTCAGTTAGGCAAGTTTCATAATCGCCCTGAGCCTCAATTTCTTCCTCTGTAAAATGGGGGCAATACTAATATCAATCTCACAGGGTTGTTCTGAGCATTCAATGGGACAAGGCTGTCCAGCCCTTTAAAAATATTAACAGTTATTCATTTAATATTTTTCCACACTTTGAAACCACCTTTGCAAAAATTACAATGGAGAAAACTGTATCAGTGAACAAGATCTGATCTAACTGACTCCATCTTGCTTTTAACCTCCAAGCTGTCCTTGTTCATTCCTGGGTGGATACCAAACTAACTTTGGGAGGAACTTAGTTGATAGTTTCACTTTGAAAGAAAGACTGTAACAAAAACCCTCTTCCTGACTGGGACTACACTGCCTTTGCAGGACTAACAAATTAGCTACAAAATTAAAAATTATGGTTTAGAAGCTGTGCAGCTGGAGGCTGCGAGGTTCTGAACCTCCCCAAATTGCTTCTGGGGATAACACTGCTATTGTAAAAGCGAAGATCAGTGCTTGAGATATTTTCAGACCCTGTACTCAGTGAATCCGCTAGCACAGCCCTGGATAGACTGGCTCATTTGGTCCTATGGCTCCTACCTAGAAACTGACTCAGTACAAGAGGACCCCCTCGACTCCCTAGGATTTCATCTCCGGCCTGACCAATCAGCACTCCCCGTCTTTCAACCTCCTACCCACCAAATTATCCGTAAAAACCCCGATCCCTGAGTTTTCGGGGAGACTGATTTGAGTAACAACAAAACTCTGGCCTCCTGTACAGCCAGCTCTGCATGAATTAAACTCTTTCTGTATTGAAATTCCCGTTTTGATAAATCAGGTCTGTCTAGGCAATGAGGAAGGAGAACCCATTGGGCAGTTACAACTTCCTCCCTATGTGCAAAGGAATCAGTTTCCTTTGTTTTGATCTGGGTATTCTCCCTTGACAACTACATACACTATCAGTAGTGGAAGAAGAAATACGTAATCATCAAAAGAGCAAATAATCTCTGCAAAAGCCATGTCTGAACTTTGCTAAGAACAATCTGTCAGTTTTTCACACCTGTGGCAAGTACAAAATGAAAAGAGAACAGGCCGGGCGCAGTGGCTCACGCCTGTAATCCCAGCACTTTGGAAGGGCAAGGCGGGCAGATCACCTGAGATCGGGAGTTCGAAACCAGCATGGCCAACATGGCAAAACCCTGTCTCTACTAAAAAATACAAAAATTAGCCAGGCATGGTGGCTCACGCCTGTAATCCCAGGTACTCGGAAGGCTGAGGCAGAAGAATCGCTTGAACCTGGGAGACAGAGGTTGCAGTGAGCTGAGATCATGCCACTGCACTCCAGCCTGGGTGACAGAGTGAGACTCCATCTAAAAAAAAAGAAAGAAAAAAAGAAAGAAAAGAGAGCACAGTGAAATCATCTGAAAAGGAGAACAGAGGGTTTTGCTGTCCTGGCTTGGAGCTTCCTTTTGCTCCCCTCACACTATCCGCTGCAATTTTTTTTCCTTCTTGCTCTCACTGATCTCTCTTCTCTATCTCTTTCTGCAGTTATACCAGCACTTGTTTCTGTCTTTTTTTTTTTCTTTCTCTTTTTTTTTTTTATTGATCATTCTTGGGTGTTTCTCGCAGAGGGGGATTTGGCAGGGTCACAGGACAATAGTGGAGGGAAGGTCAGCAGTTAAGTGACCAAAGGTCTCTGGTTTTCCTAGGCAGAGGACCCTGCGGCCTTCCGCAGTGTTTGTGTCCCTGGGTACTTGAGATTAGGGAGTGGTGATGACTCTTAACGAGCATGCTGCCTTCAAGCATCTGTTTAACAAAGCACATCTTGCACCACCCTTAATCCATTCAACCCTGAGTGGACACAGCACATGTTTCAGAGAGCACAGGGTTGGGGGTAAGGTCACAGATCAACAGAATCCCAAGGCAGAAGAATTTTTCTTAGTACAGAACAAAATGAAAAGTCTCCCATGTCTACCTCTTTCTACACAGACATGGCAACCATCCGATTTCTCAATCTTTTCCCCACCTTTCCCCCCTTTCTATTCCACAAAACCACCATTGTCATCATGGCCCGTTCTCAATGAGCTGTTGAGTACACCTCCCAGATGGGGTGGTGGCCGGGCAGAGGGGCTCCTCACTTCCCAGTAGGGGCGGCCGGGCAGAGGCGCCCCTCACCTCCCGGACAGGGCGGCTGGCCGGGCGGGGGGCTGACCCCCACCTCCCTCCCAGACGGGGTGGCTGCCGGGTGGAGACGCTCCTCACTTCCCAGACGGAGTGGCTGCCGGGCGGAGGGGCTCCTCACTTCCCAGACGGAGTGGCTGCCGGGCGGAGGGTCTCCTCACTTCTCAGACGAGGCGGCCGGGCAGAGACGCTCCTCACATCCCAGACGGGGCGGCAGGGCAGAGGCGCTCCCCACATCTCAGACGATGGGCGGCCTGGCAGAGACACTCCTCACTTCCTAGATGGGATGGCGGCCGGGCAGAGACGCTCCTCACTTTCCAGACTGGGCAGCCAGGCAGAGGCTCCTCACATCCCAGACGATGGGCGGCCAGGCAGAGACGCTCCTCACTTCCCAGACGGGGTGGCCGCCGGGCAGAGGCTGCAATCTCCGCACTTTGCGGGGCCAAGGCAGGCGGCTGGGAGGTGGAGGTTGTAGCCGAGATCACGCCACTGCACTCCAGCCTGGGCACCATTGAGCACTGAGTGAACGCGACTCCGTCTGCCATCCCGGCACCTCGGGAGGCCGAGGCTGGCGGATCA
This sequence comes from Homo sapiens, assembly GCF_000001405.40. Lineage (NCBI taxonomy): Eukaryota > Metazoa > Chordata > Mammalia > Primates > Hominidae > Homo > Homo sapiens. The sequence goes on along the minus strand of NC_000020.11, from coordinate 53,854,054 downwards.
CTCGCGGTTAGGAGCTGGAGACCAGCCCGGCCAACACAGCGAAACCCCGTCTCCACCAAAAAAATACGAAAACCAGGCAGTCGTGGCGGCGCGCGCCTGCAATCGCAGGCACTCGGCAGGCTGAGGCAGGAGAATCAGGCAGGGAGGTTGCAGTGAGCCGAGATGGCAGCAGTACAGTCCAGCTTTGGCTCGGCATCAGGGGGAGACCGTGGAAAGAGAGGGAGGGGGAGACCGTGGAAAGAGAGGGAGAGGGAGACCGTGGGGAGAGGGAGACCGTGGGGAGAGGGAGAGGGAGAGGAGGAGCCTTTCCAATTTTCTTTCTTTCTTTCCTTCCTTCCTTCCTTCCTTCCTTCCTTCCTTCCTTCCTTCCTTCCTTCCTTCCTTCCTTCCTCCCTCCCTCCCTCCCTCCTCCCTTCCCCTCCCTCCCTCCTCCCTTCCCCTCCCCTCCCCTCCCCTCCCCTCTTGTTTCTGTCTTAATAGATCCCTGACCTCTCCCATGAAAAGTGGTTTCCTGGTTTAGAAGAGAAAGATCAAGCACAACTGAGAATTTTCCATTTTCAAAAAAAAGGCCTTGTGGTAGGCAGAATTCTAGCCCAGCCCCATGGTCCCCACCCTATCCCCATGTCCCTGTAGTGTAGGCCCTTGAGTGTGGGCTGGACCTAGTGACTTCCTAACAAATAGAATAGAGCAAAGGGGATGGGATGTCATTTCCACGATTGGGTTGCAAAAGATTGTGACTTTCGTCTTGCTAGCAGACTCTCTCTGTGGCCTTCTCAGCTTGCACACTTCGATGAAGTAAGTTGCCATCTGGAATGCCCCAGGTGGCAAGGAATGGAGGGTGGCCTCTGACCAATAGTGAGAAAAGATCTCAGGTCCTCAATCTAACAGCCCTCAGGGAACTGAATCCTCCCAATAACCGCCTGAGCCTGGACACAGCTTCTTCCCATGTAGAGTCTTTACATGAAATCCCAGCATAGGCTGACATCTTGAATGCCGATTTGTCTGAGACCCTGAAGCAAGGGCTGATTCTGACAAACAGAAACTATGAGACAATAAATATGTCTTATTATAAGATGCTAAATGTTTAGATAACTTGTGACACAGCAAATACAAACCCAGATAGTCAATCAATAATGAATAGAGAGGAAGAAAGGAAAGAGCTGGATCAGGAGGTGGCATCTCTGGATTCCAGCCACACTTTGCACCTTCTATTCAGATGATCTTAGGAAAAGCACTTCCTTTCTCTGTCTTGCTGTCTCCTTCTGACAAATGACAGGGTTGAATTAGAAATTGTAAAAATTGCCGGGCGTGGTGGCTTACATCTGTAATCCCAGTACTTTGGGAGGCCGAGGTGGACGGATCACTTGCGGCCAGGAGTTCGAGACCAGCCTGGCCAACATGGCGAAACCTCATCTCTACTAAAAATACAAAAAATTAGCTGGGTGTGGTGGTGTGCGCCTGTAGTCCCAGCTACTCGGGAGGCTGAGGCAGGAGAATCGCTTGAACCCAGGAGGCAGAGATTGCAGTGAGCCGAGATTGCACCACGGCACTCCAGCCTGGCGACAGAGCGAGATTCCATCTCAAAAAAAAAAAAGAAATTGTAAAAATTTTGTAGCTTTTCTCTTTAAATATCTAGTGGCATTCAACTGTGGGCTCACATTTCATCTTGATAACAGCCTGTTAGAACTAGGTAGAAGCTGTCCTCATAAAATAGGGCATGGAATTTTCAGTTCACCTCAGTCCTCACCTGACCCTGTTTACTCATGTACATTACCTGCCAGGCATGGCATTGGAGACAGTGATTCCTGTGGCAGGGGATCCTCTGCATTCGTTTGGTTCCTTTGAGGTGCAGACTATCAGACTGCAAAGTGGAAAAAGCATGCCTCACATTTCCTGGAAGAAACAGCTGGAGGGAGAAGGGGAAGGAGATTTCCCACAATGCTGCCCTAACCCCCGCAGAGGAAGAAGGGGAAAAAGGACGGGTTGGTAGGGAAAGTCTGAGAGGGTGGTGCAGTTCTGAGAAAGTTTTGAAAAAGCCAAAGTTATGTATCAGAGGAGTCTCATGTCCCCCAGGAACAAGCCTGCCTTAGTATCCCTGTCGCATGCAGTCGTGGGCAAGGAGCAGCCCACGGGAAATGTAACCTTGGCACAAATATGATAATAGCTTTCAGATCACAGCATCGCAGGGCCCTCGGTCAATTACAGTCCCTGCTGCAGGAAATACAAGAGGCACATGTTTCTGTCTTCCATGTCTCCTAAAGTTCCTTCTAGCCTAAAAATCCTACCTAAATATGGATTACCCACAGGGCAAATATGACCCCTAGTTGTATTTTGGTTGGCTTATGGTGTTTGAAAACATTAGCTACAACAGCAAAACCACAATACATAGAGGAAAGTTTTGATAAAATAGACTTTATCAAAATTCACTCTGAAAAAACACTGTTAAGAGAATGAAAAGACAAGCTACAGACTAGAAAAAAAATTTGCAAATCATATATTCGACAAAGGTTTTTGATAATATGGTTTTTAAACTCTCAAAATTCAAAAATAAGAAAATAAACCGGCCAGGCACGGTGGCACACACCTGTAATCCCACCACTTTGGGAGGCCAAGACGGGCGCATCACCTGAGGTCAGGTGTTCAAGACCAGCCTGGTCAACATGGTGAAATCCCATCTCTGCTAAAAATACAAAATTAGCCAGGTGTGGTGGCGCATGCCTGTAATCCCAGGTACTTGGGAGGCTGAGGCAGGAGAATCGCTTGAATCCAGGAGACGGAGGTTGCAGTGAGCCGAGATTGTGCCATTGCACTCCAGCCTGGGCAACAAGAGCAAAACTCCGTTTCAAAAAAAAGAAAAAGAAAAGAAAAAGAAATTACCCATTTTTTTAACGGGGAAAAGATTTAGGCCGGGTGCTATGGCTCACATCTGTAATCCCAGCACTTTGGGAGGCCAAGGCAAGAGGATAACTTGAGGTCAGGAGTTCGAGACCAGCCTGGCCAACAAGGTGAAACCTTGTCTCTACTAAAAATACAAAAATTAGCCAGACGTGGTGGCACGCACCTATAGTCCCAGCTACTCGGGAGGCTGAGACGCGAGAATTGCTTGAACCTGGGAGGCAGAGGTTGGAGTAAACTGCAATCGTGCCACTGCACTCCAGTCTGGGCAACAGAGCAAGACTCCGTCTCTCAAAAAACAAACAAATTACTATACTGTGTCAAAACTTATTGTGCTGTACGCCAAAAAGAGTGAATTTTACTGTATGTAAATTTAAAAATACATTTCAAAAAATACATCCAACCCATCATCCCTGCTGTGTATGCCAGCACATGTTAGTACTACACTGATGTGTTCATCCAAAGCACCTCTACCAATTCCCAAACTGTGTTTCAGGAGGAAGTTACAGTCCCTTGTTGAAACTTCTACTTTAGAACAAGGAGTTTGGGATAGACTCAGTCTTCTGCAATGGTATGCAAAATTGTGCACAGATGTGTAATTTCCTGGGCAAAAAGTCCCAGCTGATGTGAAATGTTCACGAATAATATGGTGGTAACGAGCACGGGGCTCTCTGCTGATGGGGTGGGGGAATTTACATCTTTACTCTCTGGCACTATATGAGCTTGAACCACTTACACTTAACCCTCCAGAGCTTGAGTTTATTATTAGTAAAAGGGCAATAACACTAATCATAGACACTTCATAGGGCTGGTGTAAGGATTAAATAGAATAATGGATGTACAACACCACATGTGCAATTAATCCCCCATATACGTATTTTCAGAAATTTCTTTTTTTTAATTTTTTTTATTTTTTGAGACGGATTTCACTCTGTCGCCCAGGCTGGAGTGCAGTGGTGCGATCTGGGCTCACAGCAACCTCTGCCTCCCAGGTTCAAGCAATTCTCTGCCTCAGCCTCCTGAGTAGCTGGGATTACAGGCACGCACCACCACGCCCAGCTAATTTTTTTGTATTTTTAGTAGAGACGGGGTTTCACCATCTTGGCCGTGCTGGTCTTGAACTCCTGACCTCATGATCTACCCGCCTCAGCCTCCCAAAGTGCTGGGGTTACAGGCATGAGCCACCGCACCAGGCATTTTCAGAAATTTCAAAAGAAATTTGAAGAGTCATGAACGTGACTGCACATTTACCAAACATCTCCTGTTTTTAAAGTACTTCACAGAGATTCTCCTGTTGCTTATCCTCAGTTTGTAGATCCTGAGTTCAGAGAAGTCAGTAGCTTGCCGAAGGCCACACAGCAAATGTACAGCACAGCCAGAATTCCCAAGATGTTTATTCTCTTCTTGCCACGTGGCACAGCCTTCCAAACTGAGAGGAGGAAGAAGCAAGAGGGTTGCGTTGCTACCTCAAGGGGAATCTCCCACTTGCCAAACTCACAAAATCCCTATTCCCAAGGCCCACCGCCACCTCCCTGTCCTCCCAAGTTCCTTTCTTCCTTGAGGTCCTGTATCGGGCCCCTGCCCTTCTGCCATGTTCCGTCTGCCCCGTTCTAGTGGTGTGAGTTAGTGCTTCTCAGAGCTGTTTTCACCTGTAATCCTCCGGAGAGCCTTTTAGACTTTTTTTTTCAATTGTCCCCCATGATACTTCAATACCACATGTATACTGTTATCTGTTTTTGTATGGTACATATATTGTGTATTACGTATATTATTTTTTTTTTTTTGAGACGGAGTTTTGCTCTTGTCACCCAGACTCAAGTGCAATGGTGCGATCTCGGCTCACTGCAACCTCCGCCTCCTGGGTTCAAGCAATTCTCCTGCCTCAGCCTCCCGAGTAGCTGGGATTACAGGTGCCCACCACCACGCCTGGCTAATTTTTTTGTATTTTTAGTAGAGTCGGGGTTTCACCATGTTGGCCAGGCTGGTCTTGAACTGCTGACCTCAGGTGATCCACCTGCCTCGGCCTCCCAAAGTGCTGGGATTACAGGCGTGAGCCACTGTACCTGGCAGATAGATAGATAGATAGATAGATAGATAGATAGATAGATAGATAGATTTTTTTTTTTTTTTTTGAGATGGAGTCTTGTCACCCAGGCTGGAGTGCAGTGGCGTGATCTCAGCTCACTGCAACTTTCGCTTCCTGGGTTCAAGTGATTCTCCTGCCTCAGCCTCCCGAGTAGCTGGGATTATAGGCATGCACCACCATACCCGGCTAATTTTTTATACATGTATTTTTGGTAGAGATGGGGTTTCACCATGTTGGCCAGGCTGGTCTAGAACTCCTGACCTCAAGTGATCTGCCCGCCTCGGCCTCCCAAAGTGCTGGGATTACAGGCATGAGCCACCGTGCCCGGCCTATATTAATATTTTCTAAAGTGAGATTTTCTCATGTCTTCCCAAGAACCAGTTTTACCCCTTCAAGAGCAGTAGCATTTCTATAGAGAACATGCAGTGTCAAGGCTGGTAGCAGGTGCAGCCACAGCAGCACAGCATTGTCCAGGGCTTCATGTGAGCCTGAACAACTGCAAGAGCTGCTTGTGCATTCACCTGTCAGTCTTCTCCATATGTGTTCATGACCAGGTTCCATCCAGAACTGATAAGCTGTCCCCCTCCATTGACCTCTTCTTGAAACTCTTCTCCAATTCTATTTTGATCCTTGCCAATCTTTTCCCATCTTTGTTCACTTACGGGCTAGATGTCGAAGTGATTACAGCAAAGCAAAAAACATAGCAGGATGTTTGTTTTCTCTTGCAGGTGGCGAGATTACCCCTGATCATCGCAAAATCCATACTTTCTCAGCTTTTTAAACTTCTTCTAAACTGCCACTTTAATTTCAATACAGTGTTTCTCAGTTGCTGTTTCAAAAGAACATTTAGATTTTGAATACATACCAAACCAGCCCTTTTCTAGACTTCAGGAGAGGCAATCTTCACCAAACACTGAGCTAAATTCTTTTCAGAGATTATTGATATTTCATTTTTGCTGCAGCTGCTATTTTACACAGGAGAAAATGGAGGTTCAGAGATGTCCATTAATTCACCCAAGGTCACATGAGGATAAGCGCTGGTCAGCTCAGGCTGCAAATTCAAGACAGACTGGTTAACCATGATAATAAGCCATCACTTAATTTTAGTGTATCACTTCCCTCAAAGTGGGGAGGAGCACAGAAAGTAGAGATTTTAAAAGAGGAAGGAGGAATCTTTGTGCTTGAAATAAGTTTATTCTCCCAAACACAATAGCGTGATCCTGTTGCTGAGTATTACATAGGCCTTTTTAAGAGATGCACCTGATAACTGATGAAGATTTGCTACTCGGCCACTTACTTTACTGCTCTTAGCAAGACAATTCTCTCTTACTACCCAATTACTATGTTACAGAATGATTCCCTCAAAGGAGAATCTTCCCAATGACCACAAGGCTCCAAGGGGGAAAGCTTAACCTCTTAGCCTTTACCCAATGTGCCCAGAGACTTTCAACAGCTGTGAGAATGAGTTGTGTTTTCTCCGTTATTCAAATTTGCTTTCCACATAACGCTCTTCAGTTCAGTCTGCATTGTGTTAACCTTGAATAGTTTCTTTTATCCTTGTAGAATTAAGTAAACACTCCATCAGTTTCTTTCCATACTTAAGGAAAGAAAATATTTTACTTCTATAATGTTCTGTGATGTTTCTTTTTTATCATGTATGCACTAACGGGGAATATGCCTTCTGTAATGCTCTATATACAAATTTCCTCTAACCCTCACCACAACTTCCGGTTACTGGCTCAATACCTAGTTCCAAGATTAAAAAAAGGAAGCTCAGAGAAGTGAAGTGACTTGCCTGGGGGCACAAAGCTGGGTATTGACGGAAGAAGAATTCATGCCCACTTTCTGCTGGCACCAGGATTCATGTGCTTTTCACTAACACCATTTTCCCACGCGTGGCCAACAAACATATCAGTCAAAACTATCCTCTTTCAGGCATCTTTAGAACTTCTACCAGAAGCCTAAATTTTATATTTAGAATCCAACCAAATGACAAAAAAGAAAAGAAAAGAAAAGAAATCCCTTTACCTGACATTTTCAGTTCATCACTTTTTAGGTTCTTAAAACTGGCAGGCAGACTTCCAATTTCCAGTCCAGCAAGCACGAAGCTTGGGAGTCAGCACTTCATCCTAACAACAAGGAGAAGGCTAACCAAACTAAAAACCAAACAGTTCTTTTAGATTCTTATGGCAAGAGAGGTCATGGGGCAAACCATTACTCCCCAACCTGGAGAGACCAGCAGACGAATATCCGGAATCACAATTTACCAGGGCAGAAAGCTCCGTGGGAACCGGTGCCAGGGTAGGCACACCTGGGAGTTCGCCACCAGCCTGACCAACATGGAGAAATCCCGTCTCTACTAAAAATACAAAATTAGCCAGGCGTCGTGGCGCATGCCTGTAATCCCAGCTACTCAGGAGGCTGAGGCAGGAGAATCGCTTGAACCCGGGAGGCAGAGGTTGCAGGGAGCCAAGATCGCGCCATTGCACTCCAGCCTGGGCAATAAGAGCAAAACTCCATGTCAAAAAAAAAAAAAAAAGATTATTTTTTTACACCTGAAGTGTAATTGATTCATGACTGGAAGCTCATGTGTGGACAAGTCAGAAAGTTAAAAACTCCAGAGGCTGCATGAAAGACAACAAGAGAATGAGAAGATAAGCCACAGACTGAGAGAAAATATTTGCAAAAGACACAACTGATAAAGAACTATTATCTAAAATATACAAAGAACTCCTAAAACTCAATAAGAAGACAAACAATGAAATTTTAAAATGGGCCAAAGACCTTAACAGACATTTCACCAAAGAAGACACACAGATCATAGATAAACCATGAAAAGATGCTGCACATCTTATGTCATCTGGGCAATGCCAAGTATACACATGAAATACCATGAAATACCATGACAATGAAATACCATGACACACTTATTAGAACGGCCAAGACTCAGAACAACAACACTACCAAATGCCAGTGAGGATGTACAGCAATAAGAACTGTCATTCATTGTTGGTGGAAATGCAAAATGGTCCAGGCACTTTGGAAGACAGTTTGGCAGCTTCTTACAAAGCTAAACATAATCTTACCATATGATCCAGCAATTGTACTCCTTGGTATTTACCCAAAGAGTTGAAAATTTATGTCTATACAAAAATCTGCACATGAATGTTTATAGCAGCTTTATTTATAATTGCCAAAACATGGAAGCTACCAAGATGTCCTTTGGTAGATGAATGGATAAACAAATGTAATACATCCAGACAATAGAATATTATTCAGCACTTAAAAAAAAAATTGCTATCAAGCCATGAAACGACATGGAGGAAAGATAAGTGCACATCACTGAGTGAAAGTAGCCAATCTGAAAAGACTCCATACTGCCCGTATCCCCAGCACTTTGGGAGGCCGGAGGCGGGAAGATCACTTAAGGCCAGGAGTTTGAGACCAGCCTGGCCAACATGACAAAACCCCACCTCTACTAAAAATATAAAAATTAGCTGGGTGGGATGGCACTCACCTGTATTCCCAGTTACTCAGGAGGCTGAAGCGGAAGAATCACTTGAACCTGGGAGGCAGAAGTTGCAGTGAGCCAAGATCATGCCACTGCACTCCAGCCTCAGCAACAGAGCGAAACTCCTTCTCAAAAAAAAAAAAAAAAAAAACCACAGACATATCTCAGAGATATTGCAGATTCTGTTCCAGGCCCCCACAATAAAGCAAATATGACAATAAAGTGAGTCACACATTTTTTTCCCAGTGCATATAAAATTTATGTTTGCACTATTCTGTAGTCTATTGAATGTGCAATAGCATTATGTCTAAAAATATTTATAGACCTTAATGTAAAAATATTTTACTGGCAAAAAAGCTAATGATCATCTGAGACTTCAGACAGTTGTAATCTTCTTGCTGACAGAGGATCTTGCCTCAGTGGCTGCTGACTGATCAGGGTGGTGGTCGCTGAAGGTTGAGGTGGCTGTGCCAATTTCTTAAAATAAGGCTACGAAGTTTGCTGCTTCAACTGACTCCTCCTTTCACAAAAGATTTCTCTGTAGCATGAGATGCTGTTTGATAGCATTTTACCCACAGTTGAACTTTTTTAAAAATTAGAGTCAGTCCTCTCAAACCCTGCCACTGCTTTATCAACGAAGTTTATGTCATACTCTGAATCCTTTGTTGTCATTTCAACAATGTTCACATCTTCACCAGGAGTAGATTCCATCTCAATAAAATACTTTCTTTTTTTTTTTTTTTTTTTTGTGGCAGAGTCTTGCTCTGTCGCCCAGGCTGGAGTGCAATGGTGCCACCCCAGCTCACTGCTACCTCTGACCCTGGGTTCAAGCCACTCTCCTGCCTCAGCCTCCTGAGTAGCTGGGATTACAGTTGTGCACCACTATACCCGACAATTTTTGTATTTTTAGTAGAGATGGGGTTTCGCCATGTTGGCCAGGCTGGTCTCGAACTCCTGGCCTCCAGTGATCCAACCACCTCAGCGTCTCAAAGTGCTGGGATTACAGGTGTTAGCCACCACATCTGGCCTTAAGAAACCACTTTCTTTGCTCATCCATAAGGAACGAGTCCTTATGTGTTCAAGTTTTATCATGAGATTGCGAAAATTCAGTCAGATGTGCAGGCTCCACTTCCATTAATCATTACAGTTCTCTTGCCGTTTCCATCACGTCAGCAGTTACTTCCTTCACTGAAGTCTTTAAACCCCTCAAAGTCACCTATAAAGGCTGAAATCAACTTCTTCCAAACCCGTTAATGTTGATATTTTGACCTCCTCCCATGAAGCAAGAATGTTTGTAATGGCATCTAAAATCATGAATTCTTTCCAGAAGGTTTTCAATTTACTTTGCCCAGATCTATCAGAGGAATCACTATCTATAGCAGCTATAGACTTAGAAATGTATTTCTTAAATAATAACACTTGAAAGTCAAAATTCCTCCTTGATCCAAGAGCTGCAGAATGGACGTTGTGTCAACAGGCATGAAAGCAACATTCACCTCCTTGAACATCTCCATCAGAGCTCTGGAGTGACCAGGTACATTGTCAATGGGAAGTAATATTTTGAATTTTTTTCCCCTGAGGAGTAGGTTTCAACAGTGGGCTTAAAATTTTCAGTAAACCAAGCTGTAAACAGATGTGCTGTCAACCAGGCTTTGTCGTTCCACCTATAGAGCATGGGCAGAGTAGATTTAGCATCATCTTTTTAGGGGCCATAGGATTTTCAGAATGACAAATGAGCACTGGCTTCAACTTATAGTTACCAGCTACATTAGCCCCTAACAAAAGAATCAGTCTTTGAAGCTTTGAAGCCAGGCATTGACTTCTCTCTAGCTGTGAAAGTCCTAGATGCTATCCTCTTCCAATTGAAGTTTGTTTCGTCTACACTGAAAATCTATTGCTTAGTGTGGCCACCTCCATCAGTGATCTTAGCTAGAGCTTCTGGAGAACTTGCTGCAGATTCTTCATCAGCACCTGCTGCTTCACCTGCACTTTTATCTTTTTTTTTTTTTTTTTTGAGATGGAATCTAGCTCTGTTACCCAGGCTGGAGTGCAGTGGTGTGATTTTGGCTCATTGCAACCTTCGCCTCCCAGGTTCAAGTGATTCTCCTGCCCCAGCCTCCTGAGTAGCTGGGATTACAGGTGCTCGCCACCATGCCTAGCTAATTTTTGTATTTTTAGTAGAGACAGGGTTTCACTATTTTGGCAAGGCTGGTCTCGAACTCCTGACCTCGTGATCCACCTGCCTCAGCCTCCCAAAGTGCTGGGATTACAAGCATGAGCCACTGCGCCCAGCCTTGCACTTCTATCTTATGGAGATGGCTTCTTTCCTTAAACTTCATGAGCCAACCTCTGCTAGCTTCCAACGTTTCTTCTGCAACTTCTTCACCTCTCTACCTTCCACAGAATTGAAGAGAGTTAGAGCCTTGCTTTGGATTAGGTTTTAGCTTAAGGAAATATTATAGCTGATTTAATTTTCTATCCAGACCACTAAAATTTTCTCCATCTCAGCAATAAAGTTGTTTCACTTTCTTATCACTTATGTGTTCACAGGGGTGGTACTTTCAATTTCCTTCAAGAACTTTTCCTGTGCATGCACAGGCTGGTTAGTTGGCACAAGAGGCCTAGCTTTTGGCTTTTCTTGGCTTTTGACATGCCCTAATCATTTCTAACTTTTGATTTAGAGTGAGAGACATGCAACTCTTCCTTTCATTTCAACACTTAGAGGCCATCACAGGGTTAGTAACTGGCCTAATTTCAGTATTGTTGTGTCTTAGGGTCTAGGGAAGCCTAGAAAGAAAGTGAGAGATGAAGGAAAGAAAGAAAGAAAGAGAGAGAGAGAGAGATGAGCCAGTCAGTGGAGCAGTCAGAACACTCACAATATTTATCAATTAAGTTTGCCATCTTATATGGGTATGGTTCATGGTACCTCAAAATAAGTACAATAGTAACTGAAAGATCACTGATCAGAGATCACCATAGTAGATATAATAACAATGGCAAAGTGTGAGTATTGTGAGCATTACCAAAATGTGACACAGAGACACAAAGTGAGCACGTCATACTCACTTTGTGGTTGGGAAAATGGTGCTGATAGACTTGCTGGTCACAGGGTTGCCACAAACCTTCAATTTGTAACAAACATAGTACCTGAGAAGGGCAATATAGTGAAGCATAGTGAAAACAAGGGATGCCTGTACATAAAGCTTGAATTATAAGCTTTATGTGGCCAGATTAATGATATTTTAAACAGTTTCATTGGAATATATTCACATATTATGAAAGTCACCCTTTTAAAGTGCATAATTCAATTGTGTTTGGTGTATTCATAGATATGGGCAACCACGAACACAATCACTTTTAGAACATTGTTATCACCTCACAAAAAACCCTATAAACTTTACCTACTATCCCCTAATCCCCCGGTACCCACTCCTCCTGCCCTGCCAGCCCTAAGCAACCTACTTTCTGTTCTATAGATTGCCCAATTCTGGACTCGTTTTATTTTATTATTTTATTTATTTTTGAGATAGGGTCTCTCTCTGTCACCCAGCCTGGGGTGCAGTAGCATGATCATAACTTACTGCAGCCTTGAATTCCTGGGCTCAAGCAATCCTCCTACCTCAGCCTTCCAAGTAGTTGGGACTATAGGTGTGCACCCCGATGCCCAGGTAATTTTATTTTTATTTTTAGTAGAGGCAGGGTCTTACTATGTTGCCCAGGCTGGTCTCGAATTCCTTGCCTCAACTCCTTGGCCTCCCAAAGTGCTGGGATTACAGGCATAAGCCACCACACCCAGCTTTTAAAAAATTTTATTTATCTTTATTATGTTTTAAATTTTTTTAATTTTTTGGCAGAGACACAGAGTCTTGCTATGTTGCCCAGGCTGGTCTCAAACTCCTGGCCTCAAGCAATCCTCCTACCTTGGCCTCCCAAAGTGCTGGGATTACAGGCATGAGCCACCTCACCCAGCTTTTAAAAAATTTTATTTATCTTTATTATGTTTTAAATTTTTTTAATTTTTTGGTAGAGACACAGAGTCTTGCTATGTTGCCCAGGCTGGTCTCAAACTCCTGGCCTCAAGCAATCCTCCTACCTTGGCCTCCCAAAGTGCTGGGATTACAGGCATGAGCCACCTCAGCCTGCAGGCTATTCCGGACTTTCATATGAATGGAATCATATAGTGTTTGGTGTTTTGTGATTGGTTTCTTTCACTTAACATTTTTTCAAGGTTCATTCATGTTGTAGCATGTATTAATACATTTCTTTTTATGACAATAATATTTCATTGTGTGAATAGATCACATTTTGTTTCTCCATTAATCAGCTAATGGACATTTTTATTGTTTCTACCTTTTAACTATTATGAACAATGTTGCTCTAAACATTTGGGTACAAGTTTTTGTCTGTGGCTTGAATAATTTAACCCTGTGAGACTATGCCCCAGTGCAGTAAGAATCTACATAGAGGGCTAAAAAAATATATCCACACAAATATGATTTTTCCTTAGACATATTTTCAAGCCTACCATCTTTCAAAAAGAAATAATGAGTAAGTTAACTCAGGGCACAATAATTAACAAAGATTTTGAGCTGATCAGTTATGGACAGAGAACATAATGTCTACTTCCACTCAGTAAGTATCACCAAAGAACCCAGAGAGATATGTGACTTTTTAATTGATGGTGCTTAAGTATTCCAAAATGTTATAGAAAAAATATGCATGTGACTCACATGAAATCCATTTCCTCTGTGATGGGTTCTATACATGGGTAAAGGAAAATGAAAGTTGAGTTTGCAATAAATGCACATATATATCTGGAGTCTGACCTGCCTGGCTTCACCATTTTCCAGCTATTTAACCATTAATGCTAGACAGATGGCAGTCCTCCCTCCAAGGCTCAGCTTCTCATCTATAATTGGAGATAATCACAGTCCCTACATTGCATAGTATTGGAAGGATTCTGTGAGCTAGTGCAGGCTCACATAAGGTCTTTGGTTAAAGTTAGCTATTACAAGTAGTAGTACTAGTAGTAGTCATTGTAGTAGTAGTATTTTTTTAGGTGAAGTCTCACTGTGTCACCTAGGCTGGAATGCAATGGCACCATCTTGGCTCACTGCAACCTCCACCTCCTGGGTTCAAGTGATTCTCCCACCTCAGCCTCTCAAGTAGCTGGAAATACAGGCATGCACCACCATGCCCAGCTCATTTTTTTGTATTTTCAATAGAGACAGGGTTTCACTATGTTGGCCAGGCTGGTCTCGAACTCCTGACTTTAGGTGATCCACCCACTTTGGCCTCCCAAAGTTCTGGGATTACAGGCGTGAGCCACAGCGCCTGGCCTAAAGTTAGCTGTTATTATTGGGAATTGAGGGATGTTTCATTAATGGAACCATGGATAGGGTTAATAAGGACTATGAAAACCTAAACATTTAGCAGGAGGGGAGGGTTCGATAGTCCTTAAATCCCCCTCTTTCTGTCTTTTTCTTTTGTTTTCCAGAGGCTGCCTCTTTTGAGAAGAGGGAGAAAAGAAGAAGAAGAGGGAGATAAAAAGAAAATGTTTGTGAAGCAGCCACCAAAAGTTAAAAGAAAAAACTTTATGTCTAAAGGTCAAGTAGTTGGTGGCCACACCTGGGTGAAAGGCAGGGCCAATCCTAGCAGTGAGGTTTCTGGGAGGTGGACGTGGGGACAATGGCTCCCACACAGCCCACTGACTGCATAGCTGGGGAGGCACCATCCTAGCCAGGGTGAGGAGCAGGATGCAGGCTGGACATGCCGAGGTGCAGGCAGCTGCGTCCTCTCAGGCCTCTTGGCAGGAAGGAGATGATATTTTTGCTTCCTCCTGTGGTGGCACCTAGCAGCTGTGGCCTCACTTTTTGTTCGCACAGTGGGAGTGCCCTGCAGTCATGACCTCAGTGGCTTCCTCACTTTCTGGGACCTTTTGCAAAATTCTTGTGGCTTGCCATTTACGAACCTGGTGGCTTCAATGCCTGCAGCACCTTAAAGCCAGATTGCAAAGAGGCAAACTACAGGTGTGTGTCTTGTTCGCACCTGTCTCCCCAGTGACTAGCACAGTGCCTGGCTGCGTTTCTGAAGAAAAAGTGAATGAAGGATGAAAGAGGAGGAAAGCAGGAAGGAAAGAAAAAGGGAAAAAAGAAAAAAAAGGAAGTTTTGTTTTTATTTATTTATTTTTGAGATGGGGTTTTGCTCTTGTTGCCCAGGCTGGAGTGCAATGGCGCAATCTCGGCTCACTGCAACTTCTGCCTCCTGGGTTCAAGTGATTCTCCTGCCTCAGCCTCCCGGGTTCAAGTGATTCTCCTGCCTCAGCCTCCCGAGTAGCTGGGATTACAGGCATGCGCCACCACGCCTGGCTAATTTTTGTATTTTTAGTAGAGACGGGGTTTCTTCATTTTGGTCAGGCTGGTCTCGAACTCCCAATCTCAGGTGATCTGCCCACCTCAGCCTCCCAAAGTGCTGATATTACAGGCATGAGCCACCGCGCCCGGCCCCCCCCTTTTTTTTTTAAGGCGCAGTCTCCATCTGTTGCCCAGGCTGGAGTGCAGTGACATGATCTCAGCTCACTGCAACTTTTGCCTCCCGGGTTCAAGTGATTCTCCTGCCTCGGCCCCCCAAGTAGCTGGGATTACAGGTGCCCACCACCATGCCTGGCTAATTTTTGTATTTTTTTTTAGTGGAGATGGAGTTTCACCATGTTAGCCAGGCTGGTCTCGAACTCCTGATCTCAGGTGATCCACCGGCTTCAGCCTCCCAAAGTGCTGGGAAAAGTTCCTTGGAAGTTGAGATGAAACTCTCTGGAAAAGTTTGCTGTGAAGTATAAGGTAGTGTAAGGATCAAAGGTTACCCTTTTACAACTTCAGCGCTTATAAAATGTACGCGCGCGTGTGTGTGTGTGTGTGTGTGTGTGTGTGTTGTGTAGACAGCATGTTAATTGTCAAAGGTGGAGCCTCTTAAGTCAAACGGACTTCAATTTGAATTCCAGTTCCCCTACTCGCTGGCTTTATGTTCTAACCCAAAGCAAATGCCTTCAGGAAACCTGTTTCCTCATCCATAAAATGGGACTAACAGGAGAATTACTTGAACCTGGGAGGAGGAGGCTGCAGAGAGCCGAGATCGCACCACTGCACTCCAGCCTGGGTGACGGAGAGACTGTCTCAAAAACAAATAAATAAATCAATAAAATTTAAATTTAAAATTAAATTTAAAAAGAAACAAATTGAGCCGGGCACGGTGGCTCATGCCCGTAATCTCAGCACTTTGGGAGGTCTAGGCGGGCAGATCACGAGGTCAGAAGATCAAGACCATCCTGGCCAACATGGTGAAACCCTGTCTCTACTAAAAATACAAAAATTAGCCGGGTGTGGTGGTGGGCGCCTGTAATCCCAGCTACTCGAGAGGCTGAGGCAGGTGAATCGCTTGAACTAGGGAGTCAGAGTCTCAAAAGAAAGAAAGAAAGAAAAAAAAAGAAACAAACAAAACATTTCAGTCCGGAAAGATGCGGTCTGTGGGTACAACACACACTATTTGCATGATAGTTGTACTAAAAGCCCAGACTCAACCATAACACTATATAATCAAGTACTGCACTTGGACTGCCTAAATGTATAAAAATTAAAAATTAAAGAAGAGAAAGAAAACCAAAAAAGACGGAGAAAGAAGGAAAACCAAGAAAGAAGAAAGAAAGGAAAAAGAAAGGAAGGAGGGAGGGAGGGAAGGAAGGAAGGAGGGAGGGAAGGAAGGAAGGAGGGAGGGAGGGAAGGAAGGAAGGAGGGAGGGAAGGAAGGAAGGAGGGAGGGAGGGAAGGAAGGGAAAGCAAGCAAGCAGGGAGGGAGGGAGGGAGAAGAAAAGGAAAGAGAAGAGAAAAGAGAAAAGAAAAGAAAAGAAAAGAAAAAAGAAAAGAGAAAAGAAAAGAAGAGTCAGTCCGCCTGGCCAGGGAGAGGATAAACTAGACTGTTCCCACCCAGGAGAGCTGCCTCTCAGCTGAGCAAGTCAGCCAACACCTTGAGCAGGGCACCCACAGGCCAAAGTGCAAAGCCTGAAAGAGGAGCACTTAGGACAAGTAAAAGGAAGTCATTCTTGTCCCATCAGGGAGCAAGCATTATCCTTGAGCAATGGACAGGTGAATCATTTGTTAATTCATTTAATAAATGGTCGCTGATTACCTGAGCCAGGCAATGTTATAGACACTAGGGTTCAAACAGCAAATCGTCAGGTGTGGTTTCCTCTCACAAGAAGTCCACATCTTTACCTGACAGGCAGCCCACCAGTAAGCAAAGAAATAAATGGGATTATGTTAGACTGTAGTAAGGACCAAGAAGAAAAGAAAACCGAATTATAGATCAGAAACTGACTGAGGGGAGAGTAACTTTGGGGGTGTGCTCAGGGAAGCCCTCTGCGCAGGAAAGAGTTTAAATAGCAGTGTGAGACTGCCCTCCTCAGAAACGTCTACTTGCTATGGGCCCTTGACCACTGTCTGAAAGCTTGGATCTCAGGAGGATTCCCACCATTAACTATTAAGAGTGACTTGACAAAATATATAGTAATTTTTTTTTCTTTTTGAGGCAGAGTTTTGCTCTGTCGCCCAGGTTGGAGTGCAATGGCGTTATCTCGGCTCACCGCAACCTCCCGGGTTCAAACTATTCTCCTGTCTCAGCCTCCCGCGTTGCACAGCTGGGACTACAGGCGCCCGCCACCATGCCCAGCTGATTTTTGTATTTTTAGTAGAGACGGGGTCTTACCATGTTGGCCAGGATGGTCTCAAACTCCCGACCCCAAGTGATCCTCCCACCTCGGCCTCCCAAAATGTTAGGATTACAGGCACCACGACAGGCCGAAAAATAATTTTTTATTGCAACATTTCATGAGATAATCTTAAAGCAGCTAAGCCACTAGATCTATCGCTATGAGCTCTTATCTGAAGTGGATCTACAAAAACAGTCAATTTCCTCAAAGTGTCAATCCTAGATAATAGATAGGGACATTAATAATTAATGACACAATTTCTTTTTTTTTTTTTTTTTTTTGAGACAGAGTCTTGCTCTGTTGCCCAGGTTGGAGTGCAGTGGCATGATCTCGGCTCACTGCAAGCTCCACCTTCCGGGAACACGCCATTCCCCTGCCTCAGCCTCCTGAGTAGCTGGGACTACAGGCACCAGCCACAGTGCCCGCCTAATTTCTTTTGTATTTTTAGTACAGACAGGGTTTCACTGTGTTAGCCAGGATGGTCTCGATCTCCTGACCTTGTAATCCGCCCTCCTCGGCCTCCCAAAGTGCTGGGATTACAGGTGTAAGCCACCGCGCCTGGCCTAATGACACAAATTCTACCTGAATGACAGTGTTACAGAACTTTTATGATTATATTAAATAAACAACAATATGCTTCTCCTTTTGTCTCTATTCTTTAGAATGATTGGTGACCCTCAACCTTTTATAGTTATTTTTAATTTTTTTAATATTTTTAATTTTTTTATTTTATAGTTTTATTTTAAAGTATAGTTTTACATACTGTTCTGACAGTTCATAAAAATCTGGCAATTCAAAATTTTTACTTTGGCATTAGGTGGTCATAACCATAGGGAGTTGTAAAAACAATTTATGAAATAAAAAGATACAAACCAACAGAAAAAGAAAGAATGGCTCACTGTGCCTAAACTGTTTGTACAGACGACACAGTCTATGCAGAATATCTGCTTTCCTTCTGGGAATCTGGATTTGGGTATGCATTTCACCAGCCCCCAGTAAAACCCTGGGCACTGGGTCTCTAATAAGCTTCCTTGGTAGATAACATGTGACACCTGTTGCCACCACTGTCGCTGGGGAAGTACGCACGTCCTGTGTGACTCCTCTGCAAGAGGGTTCTTGGAAGCTTGCACCCGGTCTCCCCTAGACATCACCCCGAGTGCCTTTTCCCTTCGCTGATTTGGCTTGGCGTCCTTTTATTGCAATACACGTGAGTCATGCGCACTACTAGATGCTCAGTCCTGTGAGTTCTCCTGGCAAGTCCTCAAGTCTGAGAGTGACTTGGTGATCCTTGACACAGCCTCCCCAAGGAGATAACATTGGACCTGAACTCTGAATGAGGAGATGCCAGCCTTGTGATCACCTAAGAGAGACGCATATCAAACAGACAGAACAGCCAGTGCAAAGGTCCTGGGGCAAAAAAACTTGGTGAGTTTTAAAAATTGTTTTAGGCCAGGCGCGGTGGCTCACGCCTATAATCCCAGCACTTTGGGAGGCCGAGGCAGGCGGATCACGAGGTCAAGAGATCGAGACCATCCTGGCCAACAGGGTGAAACCCCGTCTCTACTAAAAATACAAAAATTAGCTGGGCGTGGTAGCACACGCCTGTAGTCCCAGTTACTCAGGAGGCTGAGGCAGGAGAATTGAATGAACCTGGGAGGCACACTTGAACCCAGGAGGCAGAGGTGGCAGTTAGCCGAGATCGCGCCACTGCACTCCAGCCTGGTGACAGAGTGAGACTCCGTCTCAAAAAAAAAAATTGTTTTAAAGTTAAGTGCAGTTAGAGCACTGTTACGGAGGAACAGTAGAAGAGGTTCCTCTCAACAGTTGAGAGGCTACAGGGTATATCAGGTCAGGGCTGGGGGAAGTCTTATAAACCATGGCAAAGAATTTGAACTTGATTCTAAGTGCCGCAGTAGCCACTGGAGGGCTTTAGAAGGAAAAGATTTTCTGGCCAGGCAAGGTGGCTTGCACCTGTAATCCCAACATTTTGGGAGGCCAAGGCAGGTGTATCACCTGATGTCAAGAGTTCGAGACTAGCCTGGCCAACATGGCGAAACCCTGTCTCTACTAAAAATATATATATAAAAAAAAAACAACTAGCCAGGCATAGTGGCACATGCCTGTAATCCCAGCTCTTCGGAGGCTGAGGCAGAAGAATTGCTTGAACCCGGGAGGCAGAGATTGCAGTGAGCTGAGATCCTGCCACTGCACTCCAGCCTGGGCAACAAAGGAAGACTCTGTCTCAAAAAATAAAAGGAAAAGATTTCAAGCAGAGCAAGAAAAAGTAAAAAAATCATTCAACGAGGTGCTCCTAAAAATTAAAAATTAAAAAAATCAGAAGGTGCCTCATTCCTGCCCACCTTAGTCTAAACTCTGAGCCAAAGATTGGCTTCAAGTAGTTTAGGGGCCACATTCAGCCTGCAAATACTCTGGTCCCTACTCTGCTCCCCTAGCCAAAAGAGAAAGGGAGAGAGAGAGAAAGAGAGAGAGAGAGAGAGCACACTAACATTTTAAAATCAAAAGACAACCTATAAAGTGTTATTTTTGGACTTCCCTTTAAAAATGCACATAGCTGAGTATTTAGTCACACAGGGCGTCTGTGGTGGCAATGCACTGGGGCCACCCTTTGCACAGGTGCTCCACTCCACATGTTCCGCCAGCCCAAGTGGCCACGGCTGCTCATTGAGACCCAATGTTTCCTGCCCCACAATTTATCAAGGAACTTGCTGTTGTTGTGGTTTACATTTTTGTTTTTAACACACAGCACACTTTAGCCATCCTCTTAGGCTAAACCGTAGGTAATCGCTGTTCTTATAGTCTGAAAATTGTTGAGTATTATATGATTCACCCTAATATATTCTACCTGGTTCCCAGAGGCTTTGGAGCTTGTGTCTCAGCCAGGCTTGACTTATTCCAGTTCCTTAAACTGCCAGAATAGTTCCTCATCCCGGGTCTTTGCACACACTCTTCCCTCCCGCTTAAACGTTTTATCCAGCCAACTTGGACTCGCCACCGGCTTTCAGTTGAGAAGGTGCTTCCCCTAAGAAATGTCACCTGACCCATCAGTGTCAGGGCTAGTGTGCCTTGTGAATTGCTCTAAAGGGCCATGTTTTAATATTAACATTAGGTTGGTGGAAAAGTAATTGTGGTTTTTGTCATTACTTTTATGTATTAGATATGTATGTCTCTTAACCACTGCTAGCAATGAGCCAAGGCTACCCCTTAACAGGGGTTATAATGTGTAATAAAGACAATCAGTAACAAAGACACGTATTGTGGAGGCTAAAGCAGCGCCATCTTGGAAGCTAACCCGACATGTTGACTTCTGATTAACCCTAGTTCCCCAGAAGGCCTCCAAGATTTCCAGATTGTCTATTGTTCCTGTGTAAGAGCAGGTAGTTACTGTAAATTCTGCCCTGAGGTCAAACAATCTAGATGTTATTGCACTTCAATTGCCCTAAACATCCCTTTGTAGTCACCTTTCCCTATAACATAGAAGTTCTGGGTCAGGGGGATAATGACACAAGGATCCACCATCTTGTCTCACCACCACCCAAGACACAAACATGTTTTCTGTTTGTAAGTCCCTATGAAATGTTATTTTCCAAGAAAATCGTTGTGTCAGCCACTTTCTTTGGTCTTTTAGCTTCTTAGGACTTTTGGGGTAGGTTTGCGTAGACCTGCTCACCACAGAACACATATGTATAATTTAATCCTCACAACACTATGAGGTACTGACATGGTTTGGCTGTGTCCCCACCCAAATCTCATCTTGAATTGTAGCTCCTATAATCCCCATGTGTCGTGGGAGGGACCCGGTGGGAGGTAATTAAATCATGGGGTGGGTTTTTCTCATGCTGTTCTCATGATAGTGAATAAGTCTTACAAGATCTGATGGTTTTATAAAGGGCAGTTCCCCTGCACACATTCTCTTGCCTGCCACCATGTAATACGTGCCTTTGCCTTCCTTTGCCTTCCACCATGATTGTGAGTCCGTTAAACTTCTTTTTCTTTACACATTACCTAGTCTCTGTTATTTCATTATAGCGGTGTAAAAATTGACTAATACCTGTACATACTATTATTATCCCCATTTTACAGATGGAAAAACTAAGGGCTAGAGATATATTGTGACAGGCTCAAGCCCATATAGCTGCAAGTGGCAGCACCAGGATTTGAACCTCCATTGTCCATCACCAGAGCTCGTGTCTGTACCACCAGACTCTCCTCATCCTCATCGTAATGACTGACTTTCTCCCCACTGGACTGAGGGAGAGGACTGGGGTCTTCGCTACGCTAAAGTATATCTGCAGTTCCTACTGCAATGGTATCTGGCACAAAGAAGGCGCCAAATGCATTTTTGTTTATTGGCCTTGATGAAAGGAAGGAGGTGCTGGCAAAATATCAACGGATGCGTGATCTTTTAAAAAATGTTTTGAATCATTGCTAATTAAGCAGCTCAAGAATTGATTAAAGGGATGGAACATAGAGCCAAGAGGAAAAAATATGCAAGAATGGAACTTTAATGAATCCATTCAGAGGGGTGTGTGGGCAGAGAGTCACCACGGGATATGGTATCTGGCTTTTCCCAGAAAAACTAGTTCAATGACAAAACAAATGATCATAGTGACATTCTTTGCATTTTGATATTCTTAGATTGGTGGGCAAGAAGGAAACATTAGGAAAAAGAGAAAAACTACAGTCATTGCAACATGCTGGAAGGCATTGAATACACAGACCTTTGGCTAAACAGTTGTGGTCTTTATAATTTTAACATTCATTTGCTACTTCATTGACTATTTACTATGTCTTTAGTGTGTGTGCGTCAATGCTCTAGGGAACAAAACAAAGTTGCTGACCACCTGGAGTTTATAGATGAGCCACGCAGGCTGATATGGTAGCCACAGGCCTCAAGTGGCCACTGAGCACTTGAATGGGGCTGGTCGGGACTGAGATATGCTGTGAGAGTAAAACACACACTGGATTTCAAAGACTTAGTTCAAAAAATGAATAAAAAATATCTCATTAACAATTATTTTATGTTGATTACATGTTAAAATGATAATATTATGGACATACTGGGTTTAATGAAACACTACTATTATAATAAATATAATAGTATTCATTTTCTTTTTACCTTCTTTTTTTTTTTTGAAATGAGGTCTCACTCTGTCATCCAGGCCGGAGTGCAGTGGTATGATCACGGCTCACTGCAGCCTTGACCTCCCTGAGATCAAGCGATCCTCCCACATAAGCCTCCTGAGTAGCTGGGACTACAGGTGTGTACCATCATGCCCAGCTAGTATAATTTTTGTATTTTTAGTAGAGATGGAGTTTCATCATGTTCCCCAGGCTGGTCTCGAACTCCTGAGCTCAAGCTCTCTGCCTGCCTTGGCCTCCCAAAGTTCTGGGATGACAGGAGTGAGCCACCACGCCTGACCTCTTTTTACTTTCTTAATATGACTCCTAGAAAATTTTAAATTTCCTGTGTGGCTTGCATTATATTTCTGTTGGGTAGCACTGTCCTAGAGGTGTATAAGCTAGTAAATAATACATATATTAATATAATACTTCATAGTGATGAATGCTTTGAAGAAAGTGAACAGGACAAGAAAATGGAGCCATATGGGAGGTGAGGGCTCTGGCAGTATTTCATAAGGGGCTTCCATGGAAGTCTTTTCTGAAGAGGTAATATTTGATTATCCAAAGATGCAAGGTCGGGCATGGTGGCTCATGCCGGTAATCCCAGCATTTCGGGAGGCCAAGGTGGGCAGATCACCTGAGATCATGAGTTCAAGACCAGCCTGGCCAATATGGCAAAACCCCGTCTCTACTGAAAATACAAAAACTAGCTGAACATGGTGGCACATGCCTGTAATCCCAGCTACTTGGGAGGCTGAGGCACGAGAATCGCTTGAACCTGGGAGGCGGAGGTTGCAGTGAGCCAAGATCACGCCACTCTGGCCAAAAAAAAAAAAAAAAAAAAAATGCAGATAAATCTTGATTCCTAGAGAAATTGCTTAGACTCTGTTTTTTCATTGTGTCACCAGCTAAAATAGTCAACGAATAATCATAGAGAAACTGAGGGGGTTAAAAAATGTGGAAATAGTTTGTACCTTCTTCTGTGATGGCCTGACAGGCTTACAAGCCAGGAATAATTATTTTTCTCTTGTAAACAGTCAGCAAATGTTCAGAGAACCATCTTATTTAGGCACAAGTAATAAAAATCTTACAAATAGATTTTTCCTTCCCTGTAGCTATTTGTAGCTACATTATCCGTTTTTATTTATTTCTGATAAAACAACACCCATGTCTGATGATGGAGGGGGGTGGGGAAACCATAAGCAGAACTTCATGTTCCTCAAGGGTCTAGCTTAATTCCAAACAATAATTGTGTTTCCTGTCTCAGCAGGATAAATGTACAGCACAGGAAATTCTGTATAGAGTGGGCAGAGGCACTTTTCAAATTTCCCATATGAAGAGTATGCTATTATTGGAGTAGGGTAATTTGAGCACCTCTCACAAGTATAGTATAAAAAGTTAAACCCAGATTAGAGAGTTCTGCCCAGGGGAAACGAAAGTAAACAAAAATTGAAGCAGTGAACTGTTGAAACTCTAAATGCCGTTGAACTTTGAGCATGAAGAAGCCCTCCAAACAGCCCGTGCACACAGTCAGAGAGCTGTTGTTAACTCAGATTCTATCATTTACAGGTGCCCCATGTTCATGACATGTTAATTAGGCTTGACAATAAACTCAGCATTTGTTTCATATTAGAACAATGAGATTTTATACATGACTCAAGGGCTATATTTAGTGAATTCAAATCCAATAAAATAAATTATTTCAATGCTTCTACATTCATATTTGGGAACCCTAAGTATACCACAGATCATATCATGCTGTTGACACCAAACCTCACGCACCAAAACCTTGAAATAGACCAGATAACCTAAACTGTGGGAATTAGGACTGTTCCTACCACTTAAGAAAGAGTTCTCCTGCGTTTGCTATATTTCCAGAACTTGGCTTTACATGAATCAAAGACATGAGATCTCTTCCCCCATTCTCCACTTACTCCCCAAATGAAAAGAAAATGAAAGAAAGGCCAAAGAGTATTTTCTTTATTTTCTAAAATTATTTCCAACTTTTCCTAGTGACTCTTAAAAATAGAAATGTGGCCAGTGGCTTACTGGTCGGATCCTGAGCCGATGATTCATTGCCATGAGACGTTATTTCGTGAGACATTCTCTAAGGGAATCCAGGGAAAGAATTCTGTCCTAGTCACTCACATATTATGCTTTTAAGAATGAGGTGTGGCCAGAGTTCTCAGAGATCCTTGAAGAGAAAATTATTTTCATTGTTTTTTCTGTTTGTTAGCACTTTAAAACTTAAAAACAGTTGGGATAATTCTACTCACTGTGTGGGGGACAGCATGGTGTGTTTGAAGACGTGCCCGGAAGAGCACAAAAAGTGACTCTTTCTCTCCCCCATACCACACACTCAAATATATGTCACCTCTCTATCTCACTCACGATTCACGCATCTGCAAAAGTTCACAGATAGCAAATTGGCTCTCCAATCAAAATAACAATGCCAGTAAAGAAACCTCAAAGGGTCCAGAAACAAACATTCAAACAACAGGGTCCTACGAAAATTTCATTAGAGAGGAAATAGGTCCTTAGAACAGAACAAAACTAAACAGAAACTCTGAAGGAAGATGAGAAAGAATACTATGAATGTGGTTAGCTAGAAAGCTATTCAACAGCTTCCTTGCTTCCCTAATATCCAGCTGCAGGAATATGCCAAGGGGAGAAAAAAAAATCTTTCTTAGTCCTACTAAACGTAGGAAAAGTGCTATTCTGACTCCAAAGCTGAGCTGTAGATGGCAGTGAGTGGGTGGGAAGGGAATGTGAGCCGTCCCTAACAACAACAGAAAGCCTTCTGCTAGTATCCGTTCCCAAACTATAAACACTCAGAGACTCCTCGCCAAGCACATAATAAAAATTTCACCTCCCCCCCCAACCATGGTTTCCTGTAGTTTGTACTATTCAAATGCAAATTGTGATGAATATCAGCGTGGACTCTCCAACTTAAAGAACTCTGATTTTTTTTTTCATAAGTATCCAAAGCTTCCCACTGAGAAGAAAGCATCATTTAGGAGATACTCAACTGGTTGAGAAATATATGTGCTTATTTTAGAATTGGCACAAGAATATGTAAAATGATCCACTGATAATGATCACCCTAAGGGATGTCACACCCAAACGCCTATTTTTGCAAACAGAAAAGGAACAAATACAGCATTCTTTACTGAAAACTCTAAAGGAGATCCTGCACCATAAATTACAGACCTAATCTAAGAGTCAAGCAATGTTTACTCTAAAAGGTGACATTCCGAAATTTTCCTACAATCGGATTAGATGGAAGAGCACATTGTCTTTCTTTCACTTGGGAAGTAAGCCCTACCATAATTCTCTTTTAAGGGATGAATCATAGAGCCCCCACATCTGACAATGGATTAAGTCATTTGTTTTGTTTCTGGGATATATTCTACCCTTCACTACAACTGGGATCTACAATTTGTTCTAACATTTTCTGGCAATTTCTGATTTGTTCAGACAAAGACCAGAAGCTTAAGTCCCACGGAATTAACTGGTTGGATTATTACCAAGGTGGAACAGAGCCAGAAGGTTGAGAACATACACATCGTGTGCTCTTGGGACATAATATCTGCCTTCGCAAGGATGGTATCATTTCTCAGCCTCTCACCCACCAGTTAGCTCAACGAACTGGAAATGTTTTTCTTTCCTTTCCCTTTTTTTTCCCTAATTTTTTAACAGCAGGAACAGAATAAACTGGTAATAAATCAGGCAAGCAATATTTTTTTTTTTGCTTCTTGGAACATACTAGAAAATAATAGTAACTTATTTGTTACAACACTTATATCTCTACATTAACCAACAAGCCAAAAAGAAGATGAAAGAAAAAATTAAGAAGAGACAAAGAGGGAGGAGGATGGGGAGGAAGAAAGAAGGAGGGAGGGAGGGACAGAGGGAAGGAGGGAGGGAGGGAAGAGGGAGGGAAGAAGAAAGGAAGGGAGGAAATTTTCTGATTCTAAAAAATCAGAAGTCACCAAAGTAGCTTTCATATTCAACTAATTGAAGAGTATGTTTAAATAATATTCCATTTGCCTAGTACTTCACAGTTTCACATACATCAGCAATTGGTTGCCTGATATCATTTATCATCTTTTATACTGGAGGAAACCAATGATTTCAAAGATTAAATAATTTAAGAATGATCATGTACCTAGTACAATATTGAGCCAAAATAAAACTTGGTATTTCAGTCTGCTATGGTTTGAGTGTTCGTCACCTCCAAAACTCTTGTTGAAACTTAATTGCCGATGTGGCAGTATTGAGGGGTTGGACCTTTAAGAGGTGATTAGGTCACAAGGGCTCTGTCCTCATGAATGAATTAATTCTTTCATGGATTAATGGGCTAATGGGTTGTTATGGGAGTGGAACTGGTGTCTTTATAAGAAGAGGAAGAGAGACCTGAGCTAGAATGCTCAGCCTTTGTGCCATGTGATCATGTGATGCCCTGTGCAGCCTTGCGGCTCTGCAGAGGCCCCATCAGCAAGAAGCCTCTCACCAGATGACTCTCCTCAACCAGCTTCTAGAACTGTAAGGAGTAAATTTTGTTTCTTATAAATCACCCAGTTTCAAGGATTGTGTTACAAGCAATGAATCAGACACAGTCTTAGTTAATAGTTAATAGTAATAGTTAATAGTTTTCATCATGACACTAGAGAGCTTTCATTTATTCTGGTTCTGCTACGATACTTACATTAATCTCACATTTTCACAGGTATTTCCCAGTTTTTATGAACCCTCTCCCAAAATTATTTTGTGAGAAATTAAAGCACTGCACAACGTTGCAGCCACTGAAATTGTTCATAGTACAGATCGCATCTGTAGATCCATCTCCTTCTGCTTTGCTCAGAAAACACATTGACTTGGGTGGTGGGCCTGTCTTCCTACCCGGTTTCTCTTTTTTTCTTTTCTTTTCTTTTTTTCTTGAGACAGGGTCTCACTCTGTTGCCCAGGCTGGAGTGCAGTGGTATAATCACAGCACACTACAGGCTCTATCTCTTGGGCTCAAGCAATCCTCCTGCCTCAGCCTTCCAAGTAGCTCATCTACAGGCATGCACCACCACACCTGGCTATTTTTTTTTTTTTATTTTTAGTAGGCACAAGGTCTCACTATGTTGCCCCAGGCTGGTCTCCAACTCTTGAACTCAAGAGATCTTCCTGCCTCAGCCTCCCAAAGTGTTGGGACTCTAGGCATTAGCCATCCTGCCCTGTCTTGCCCAGCATCTCTACCCAAAGGAAAGTACTCCTGCTTCATAGAAGTGCTTCTTAATGGGGGCAATTTTGCCCACCAGAAGACATTTGGCAACATCTAGAGACATTTTTCGTTACCACAACTATGGGGAAAGGAGAGAGGTACTACTGGTATCTTAGTGGGTAGAGACCAGGGAGGTTGCTAAACATCCTATAATGCACAGGGCAGCCTCACAACAGACAATCATCCAGCCCAGAGTATCAATGTTGCCAGGGATGAAAAAGCCCACTCCGTGGGAAGCCTGCTGAAGTCACATGACCCTGTGGGCTTACCCTCTTCTGACCCCACAGCAAGGAGGGGCATGAGACCTAAGCCTAGGCACCTGAGATTCCCCCTGCCCCAGGACTTTGCCAGAGATATCAGAGAAATTATTCTTTTATTTATTTATTTAGAGATCAAAACTTTAAGGCTGACGTAAATCTGGTCCCACCAGGCTGAAAATGAAGATAGGGAGAAGGAAACAGAATCGACAGGGAAGGAGAGAGATCTGAAGACTGAATCAGGCCCTACGTCTTAGGCTTTTGAGCTAAATGGGCCTCTAAATTTCATTTCTGTAGGGGGATTTGTTGTAGAAGTTTTTCTTAAATTACTCTCAGTTGACTTCCATGATTTTCAAGCAAGAGTCCTGGCTAACACTGAAGCTGATGAGTGAGTGTTATTATTATAAGAACACACTAACTACATCTAACTAATATTTTGAAAAGCCTATCATTCATCAATGTCAGCATTTCGGCTACTACTAATAACAAATAATAATGCGGCTCATAGGTCACAAGTAAAATCTCTTACATGTTACGTGTACTTTTTAAATAAGGGATTATCAGAATCACTACTTATTTGTTTGTTTTAGCTAAACAGGAAGGAGACAGACAAGGTTTTGTGGCTCATAGACCAAATCAAAGACCCAGTACTTGAAATAACTTGAGGAGTTACAGATGCCAATTTGATCCCAATATCAGATCCCAAATGACAAGGCAATCAATTGATAGACAACCTGACATTCCGTAGGAGATTTGCCTGAGTCTTTGACTCACCTTGGACAATTGAAGTCCAGGACTTTTTTGTTGTTGTTGTTTTTTTTTCAATAGTTTTGGGGGCACAGGTGGTATTTGGTTACATGTATAAGTTATTTAGTGGTAATGTCTGAGATTTTGGTGCACCCATCACCCGAGCAGTCTACACTGTACCCAATGTGTCTTTCACCCCTCACCCCCTCCCACCCTTCCCCCGGAGTCCCCAATGTCCATCACATCATTCTTATGCCTTTGCATCCTCATAGCTTAGCTCTCACTTATAACTGAAGACATACGATGTTTGGTTTCCCCTTTCTGAGTTATGAAATCCAGGAGTTTGTTTATAAGGGACCTCTTCCAGACGGCATTTCAAGGAATCTTCACTAGTATGGTAAGAGGCACATTAAACTCAACATGTCCAGGAGGGTCAGGACAGGCTCTCTCTGAGTTGAGATGAAGCTGAGAGGCAGGGGAGACTGAGGCAGTGAGGGAATTCAGGTGGACAGCATACCAGAGAGCAAAATACTGCAGAGAGAGAGCTCCAGAGATCGGCAAAGGGCCCACCAGAGGTCTTCAGCTGAGCTCTGATTGGCACACACTAGCAACACCTACCTGAGGTTGTGCAAAGACCTGGATCCAGCTCTTTTTTTTTTTTCAGTTATTTATTATTTAACAAATTTTTATTATTTCTCATGATTCTGTGGGCTTCCTGGGCAACTCTGCTTCACAACAATGAACTCTGTCATATTTTCTTGAATTAGAGCATTGGATTAGAGGAACTAGTATTGGAGCTCACGCAGGCAGCCTGGACAATCTCACAATTCACAAGGCACTGGGCAGAGCCCTCAGAAGCATCTTGCCTCAGTAGTGGAGAATAATTAGCTCTGGACTAAACACTGCTCTGATCCCACTTAACACATCTTACACCCTAAAAGGATCAAACTATTTCCAAGGAACTTAACTGCATCCCAGAACAGAACTTGAGATAATTCACAGAAACATAATATCCTGCACCCAACAAAGTAAAATACATTCCTGGCAAACAATTTTTTATTAAAAATTATAATTTTTTAATAGACACAGGATCTAGCTATGTTGTCCAGGCTGTTCTCAAACTCCTAGCCTCAAGCCATCCTCCTGCCTCAGCCTCCCAAAGTGCTGGGATTATAGGCATGAGCCACCGTACCTGGCTGGCAAACAGTTCTTTAAAAATTACAAGACAATTGGCCTGGCGCGGTGGCTCACGCCGATAATCCCAGTACTTTGGGAGGCCGAGGCGGGTGGATCACAAAGTCAGGAGATTGAGACCATCCTGGCTAACATGGTGAAATCTCACCTCGACTAAAAATACAAAAAAAATTAGCTGGGCGTGGTGGCGGGCACCTGTAGTCCCAGCTACTCGGGAGACTGAGGCAGGAGAATGGCGTTAACCTGGGAGGCGGAGCTTGCAGTGAGCAGAGATCGAGCCACTGCACTCCAGCCTGGGCGACAGAGCAAGACTCGGCCTCTAAATAAATAAATAAATAAATAAATATAAAAAAATAAAAATTACCAGGCAAGCAAAGAAGGGAGACAATATGACTGAGCCAATACTCGCGAAGCACAGAATTGCCAGAAGCCTCCAGAATCATGAAAAATAATAAACCATTGATGTTTTAAGCCAGAAGTTTTGAAGTAGTTTGTTAAACAACAATAAATATCAGAAAAAGGACCATCTTTTCCCATTCAGATTGTTGTAACAGGCTCCAAACTAGTTTTCCTGATTCCATTCTTACCCCCAGTAAATACCTTAGTAGCGGCCAGGATGATCTTTTTAATGATCTAAGCCAGGTCATATAACTCCTGTGCTCCCATCCCTCCCATGGCTCCCTATTTCCCTCAGAGTAAATATAAACGTTCCTACAACCTGAGTGCCTCCAAGATCTGTCTCTTCACCTGCCCGCCTGAAGCATCTATTCCGTCTCATTTCCAGCCTCCTCCCCATGGCCCTTTGGGCTCCAGCCACTTGGTCTCATTCGCATTCCCTCAATGTGGCCCAAAGCCTGGCTCTGACTTCAGAGCTTTTGCCCTTGCTTGGAGCCACTTTGGGGGATGCTGTTCCCTCCAGTGCCTACCTGACTGTCTTTTTGTGGGGGAACAGGGTCTTGCTCTGTCCCCCAGACTAGAGTTCAGTGGTGCAATCATGGCTCACTGCAGCCTCGACCTCCTAGCTTGAGTCATCCTCCCACCTCAGCCTCCCAAGTAGCTGCTGGGACTACAGGTGCGCACCACCATGCCCAGCCAATTTCTTTTAATTTTTTGTAGAGTAGGGGTT
The DNA here is from genome assembly GCF_000001405.40 of Homo sapiens. Taxonomy (NCBI): domain Eukaryota; kingdom Metazoa; phylum Chordata; class Mammalia; order Primates; family Hominidae; genus Homo; species Homo sapiens. The sequence continues at coordinate 53,823,070 of NC_000020.11, read as the reverse complement.
CAAGTGATTTACCTTTGCCTCCCAAAGTGCTGGGATTATAGGCATGAGCCACCGCGCTGGGCCCCAGAGCTCCTTTTACCAGTAACTGACAATCTTGCTATAAGCAAGATTCCATTTGCTAAGGCTGAATCTGAAAAATTAAGAAAATGAACAACGCAACTAAAATCCAAAGCACCTGCAATGACCACAAAAACAAAACAAAATCAAACAAAACCAAGAACTTAAGTGTGGACTACAAAGGGGATTTTCTGGGGTGCTGAAATATTGTTTTGATCTAGCTGCCAATTACCCACACATGCTCAGTGTGATAATTTATTGGGTTGTATATTTATGATATGTACACATTTCTGAATGAGTATGATGCACAGTTAAAAGTTAAAATAGGCCGGGCGCAGTGGCCCACACCTGTGATCCCAGCACTTTGGGAGGCTGAGGCAGGTGGATCATTTGAGGTCAGGAGTTTAAGACCAGCCTGACCAACGTGGTGAAATCCAGATTCTACTAAAAATACCAAAAAAATTAGCCGGGTGTGGTGGTGCACACCTGTAGTCCCAGGTACTTGGGAGGCTGAGGCAGGAGAATCGCTTGAACTGGGAGGTGGAGGTTGCAGTGAGCCAAGATGGCACTACTACACTCCAGCCTGGGTGACAGAGGGAGACTCTGTCTCAAAAAAAAAAAAAAAAAAGTTAAAATATATAAAATGTTTTCCTAAATACTTTTAATTTAAAAGGAACATAGACTAGGGCTGGGCGCGGTGGTTCACACCTGTAATCTCAGCACTTTGGGAGGCCAAGGTGGGCGGATCGCCTGAGATCAGGAGTTTGAGACCAGCCTGGCCAACATGGTGAAACCCCATCTCTACTAAAAATACAAAAATTAGCCAGGTGTGGTGGCACATGCCTGTAATTCCAGCTACTCGGGAGGCTGGGGCACAAGAATTGCTTGAACCCAGGAGTTAGAGGTTGCAGTGAGCCGAGATCGTGCCATTACACTCCAGCCTGGGCGACAAGAGTGAGACTTCATCTCAACAAAAGGACATACACTGTGATCAATGTTTTCAAAAGAGTACGAGTCTGTTGCAATTGACCAGGCATCACTGACCATCCCATCTGATCGCTCCCATGAAATATCTGTCTTATGTTCAATGCTGTGCTGGGGATGGCACACCTCAAAGCAGGAATTAAGGAACTGTCTTCACCCTCAAAGCACTTTCCATTGGGCCAGGGCAAAACGAGTAACATAGTCAAATAAGCCAACAACAATGGAAATAACAAGAAAGTAATAATGTAAATTTTCATAAAGCTTTTTCCCAAGTACTATTTCATCTGGTAAACAGATGTGTTTAAACACCAAATTGAACTGTAATAAATAGTGAAAAATTGAAAACTGCCTAAATAATTTACGATGAAGGAATAACATATTGTAGCCCACCATAAAACAGAATACTAGATAGCTCTAAGAACTGGAGTAAAGAATATTTAATGAGGCTGGGTGCAGTGGCTCATGCCTGTAATCCCAGCACTTTGGGAGGCCAAGGCGGGTGGATCATGAGGTCAAGAGATCGAGACCATCCTGGCCAATATGGTGAAACCCCATCTCTACTAAAAATACAAAAAATTAGCCGGACGTGGTGGCAGGCACCTGTAATCCCAGCTACTTGGGAAGCTGAGGCAGGAGAATCACTTGAACCCAGGAGGCAGAGGTTGCAGTGAGCCAAGATCGTGCCATTGCACTCCAGCCTGAGCAAAAAGAGCAAAACTGTGTCTCAAAAAAAAAAAAAAAAGAAAGAAAGAATATTTAATGAAAGGTGCTCATAATGTCTTTGACTAAAACACAGAGAAAGTGGTTTCTTTTTTTTTAGACAGAGTTTTGCTCTTGTCACCCAAGCTGGAGTGCAATGGCATGACCACGGCTCACTGCGACCTCTGCCTCCCAGGTTTGAGCAATTCTCCTGCCTCAGCCTTCCAAGTAGCTGGGATTACAGGTGCCTGCCACCACGTCCGGCTAATTTTTTGTATTTTTAGTAGAGATGGGGTTTCACCATGTTGGCCAGGCTGGTCTTGAACTACCAATCTCAGGTGATCCACCTGCCTCAGCCTCCCCAAGTGCTGGGATTACAGGCATGAGGCACTGCACTTGGCCAAATGGTTGTTATAATATGATCTCATATACAGTCATCCCTTGGTATCCATGGAGATTGCTTCCAGGAATCCTCCAAGGATACCAAAATCCATGGATGCTCAATTATCTGATATAAAATGGTATGGTGTTCGCATATAACTTACATACATCCTCCTGTATACTTTAAATAATCTCTAGGGAGACCTGGAGTGGAGCAAGATGGAGGAATAGAATGCTACACTCATCATCCCCGCACAAGGACACCAATTTAACAACTATCTGCACAAAATTTAAAAAACAGCTTCATAAGAACCAAAAATCAGGTACCAGCTCAGCAACAGTGGCATAGGTCACCAAGTGGGCTCTTGGGATTCCTGATTCCAGGTCTTGGCTCTTGGACAACATTTCTGTACCTGACCTGGGTGAGAGGAGAGGGGAGCCCACTGCCCTGAAGGGAGAGTCCCTGGCCAGGCAGCATTTACCACAAGCTGACCCAAGAGCCCTTGGGCCCTAAGGGAACACAATGCCAATCTGGCAGTACTCCCTGTGGGTCCGTGGAGTTGGCGGCCATGTGGTAAGGCTCCTCTGCCTTTGGAAAGGAGAGGGAAAAGTGGGAAGGACTGCATCTTGTGGTGAAGTGCCAGCTCAGCTGCAGTACGATAGAACAACAGGTAGACTTCTAAGGTTTTCAACTCTAGTCCCTGGCTCCCGAACAGCACCTGTGGACATGCCCGGGGCCTGGGGCTACTTGCCACACTGAAGGGAAGGATAAAAGCCTGGCTGGCTTTGCCATCTGCTGATTATCGAGCCCCAGGGCCTTGAGTGAACATAAGCCTTAGCCAGGGACTTTTTACAGCAGGTCTTGGGCAAGACCCAGTGCTATGCTGGCTTCAGGCCTGGCCCAGTGCAGTCCTAGCGGTGGTGGCCACAGGGATGCTTGTATCAGCCTATGCACAGCTCCAGGTGGCTCAAAACAGACAGAAAGTTTCCATTTGTTTGGGAAAAGGTAAGAGAAGAGAATTAGAATCTCTGCCTGGTAATCCAGAGAATTCTACTGAATCTTGTCTAAGACCATCAAGGCGATACCTCTACAAATCTGCAAGAACCACAGAATTACTGAGCTTTGGGCCCCCTAAAGCAGACACAACCTATATCACAAGACCCAAGTCCTTTTGAATATCTAGAAAGCCTTCCCAAGGACAAGCACAAACAAGCCCAGTCTGTAAAGACTACAATAAATATCTAACTCTTCAATGCCCAGACACCTAAGAACATCTATAAGCATCAATACCATCCAGACAAACATGGCCTCACCAAATGAACTAAATAACGCACCCAGGACCAATCCTGAAGAAACAGAGATATGTGACCTTTCAGACAGAGAATTCAAAATAGCTGTTTTGAGGAAACTCAAAGAAATTCAAGATAAGAAAGGGAAGGATGCCAGGCATAGTGGCTCATGCCTGTAATCCCAGCACTTTGGGAGGCCAAGGCAGGAGGATCGCTTGAGCCCAGGGCTTTGAGACCAGCCTGGGCAAAATAGGGAAACTCTGTCTCTATAAAACATTTAAAAATTAGGCAGGCGTGGTGGTTTACAACTCTAGTCCCAGCTGCTTAGGAGGCTGAGGTGGAAGGATCGCTTGAGCCTGGGAGGTCAAGGCTACAGTGAGCCATAATTGCACCACTGCACTTTAGCCTGGACAACAGAGTGAGACACTGTCTCAAAAACAAAAACAAAAAAGAGAAAGAATTCAAAATTCTATTAGGTAAATTTAACAAAGATAATTGAAATAATTAGAAAGGATCATGCAGGAATTCTGGATCTGAAGAATGCAACTGACATACTGAAGAATGCATCAGAGTCTTTTAACAGCAGAATTGATTAAGAGAAGAAAGAATTAGTGATCTTGAAGGCAGGCTATTTGAAAATACACATCAGAGGAGCCAAAAAAAAAAGAATAAAAAACAACAAAGCATGACTACAAGATCTAGAAAATAGCCTCAAAAGGACAAGTCTGAGTTATTGGCCTTAAAGAGGAGGTAGAGAAAGAGATAGGGGTAAAAAGTTTATTCAAAGGGATAATAACAGAGAGCTTATCAAACCTAGAGAAAGATATCAATATCCTGCCACAAGAAGGTTATAGACCACCAAGCCAACTTAACCCAAAGAAAACTACCTCAAGGCATTTAATCATTAAACTCCCAAATGTCAAGGATAAGTAAGAAATGTTAAAAAGCAGCACAAGAAAAGAAGCAAATATACAATTGAGTTCCAATACCTTTGGCAGCAGACTTTTTAGTGGAAACCTTACAGGCCAGGAGACAGTGGCATGATATATTAAAGTGCTGAAGGAAAAACCTTTTACTCTAGAATAGTATATCCAGGAAAAATATCCTTCAAACATGAAGGAGAAATAAAGACTTTCCCAGACAAATAAAAGCTGAAGGATTTCCTCAACACCAGACCTTCCCTACAAGAAATGCTAATGGGAGTACTTCCATCAGAAAGAAAAGGGTGTTAATGCGCAATGAGAAAGCATCTGAAGGTACAAAACTCACTGGTAAGTACACAAAAAACACAGAATATTATAACACTGTAATTGTGGTATGTAAACTACTCTTATGCCAAGTAGGAAGGCTAAACAATGAACCAATCAAAAATAATAAGTACAACAACTTTTCAAGACACAGACTCTACAATAAGATAAATGGAAACAACAAAAAGTTAAAAAGAAAAGTGGAAAAAGTTAAGGTGTGGAGTCTTTATTAGTTCTCTTTTTGTTTGTTTATGCAAACAGTGATAAATTGTTTTCAGCTTAAAATAATGGGTTATAAGATAGTATTAGCAAGCCTCATGATAAGTTCAAACCAAAAAACATACAATGAATACACAAAAAATAAAAAGCAAGACACTAAATCATATCACCAAAGAAAATCACCTTCATTAAAAAAAAAAAAAGACAAGCATGAAAGAAAAAGAAAAACCACAGAACAACCAGAAAACAAAGAACAAAATGCCAGGAGTAAGTTCTTACCTATCAACTAAAAAAAAAAAAAAAAAAAAAAAGACCTAATGATCTGCTACCTAATGATCTGTTACCTATAAGAGACACACTTAACCTCCAAAGACACACATAGAGCTGGGCGTGGTGGCTCAGGCCTATAATCCCAGCACTTTGGGAGGCAGAGGCAGGCAGATCTCCTGAGGTCAGGAGTTCGAGACCAGCCTGGCCAAATTGGTGAAACCTTGTCTCTACTAAAAATACAAAAACTTTGCCAGGCATGGTGGCGGCGCCTGTAATCCTAGCTACTCAGGAGGCTGAGGAAGGAGAATCGGTTGAACCCAGGAGGCTGAGGTTGCAGTGAGCCGAGATCACACCACTGCACTCCAGCCTGGGCAACAGAGCGAGACTTCATCTCAAAAAAATTAAAAACAAATAAATAAATAAAAAGACACACCCAGAATAAAAATAAAGAGGTGGAGAAAGATATTGCATGCCAATTGAAACCAAAAAAAGTATAGGAGTAGCTATACTTATATCAGACAAAATAGATTTCAAGTGAAAAAGTATAAGAAGAGACAAAGAAAGTCACTGTATAATGATAAAGGGATCAATCCCAGCAAGAAGATATAACAATTGTAAATATATATGTACTTAACACTGGAACACCCAAATACATAAAACAAATATTATTAGAGCTAAAGAGAGAGCTAAGCCCCAATACGATAATAGCTGGAGACTTCGGCACTCTATTCTCAGCATTGTACAGATCTTACAGACTTTATCTGCACTGTAGTCCAAATGGACCTAATAGATATTTACAGAACAGTTTATTCAACAGCTGCAGAATACACATTCTTTTCCTCAGCGCATAGATTATCCTCAAGGATAAACCATATGTTAGATCACAAAACAAGTCTTAAAACATCCAAAAAACATTGAAATAATATCAGTCGTCTTCTCTGACCACAATGGTATAAAACTAGAAACCAATAACAAGAGGAGTTTGGGAAACTATACAAATACATGGAAATTAAACAATAAGCTCCTGAATGACCAATGGGTCAATGAAGAAATGAAGAAGGAAATTGAAATATTTCTTGAACCAAATGATAATGAAAACACAACATACCAAAACCTATGGGATACAGCAAAAGCAGTACTAAGAGGGACTTTTATAAGTGCCTACATCAGAAAAAGAAGAAAAACTTCAAATAACCTAATGAGGCTGGGCATGGTGGCTTATACCTGTAATCCTAGCACTTTGGGAGGCCTAGGCGGGCAGATCACTTGAGGTCAGGAGTTAGAGAGCAGCCTGGCCAACATGGTGAAATTCTGTCTCTACTAAAAATACAAAAATTAGCCGGGCGTTGTGGCAGGAGCCTGTAATCTCAGCTACTCAAGAGGCTAAGTCAGGAGAATTGCTTGAACCTGGGAGGTGAAGGTTGCAGTGAGCCAAGATCGTACCACTGCACTTCAGCCTAGGCGACAGAGCGAGACTCCATCTCAAAAACAAACAACAAACAAAAAACCTAATGATGCATCTTAAAGAACTAGAAAAGCAAGAGCAATCAAACCCAAAATTAGTAGAAAAAAAGAAATAATAAAGATCAGAGCAGAAATAAATAAAATTGAAGTGTTGAAAACAATACAAAAGATGAATGACATAAAAAAATTGACTCTTTGAAAAGCTAACAAAATTGACAAACCTCTAGCCAGATTAAGAAAAAGAGAAGATCCAAATAAGCAAAATTAGACGCAAAAAGCAACATTACAACTGATGCTGCCGAAATTCAAAGGATCATTAGTGGCTACTGTGAGCAACTATGTGCCAATAAGTTGAAAAATGTAGAAGAAATGGACAAATTCCTAGACACATACAACCTACCAAGATTGAACTACGAGCAAAACCAAAACCTGAACAGACCAATAACAAGCAATGAGATCAAAGTCATAATAAAAAATAATAAAAAATTTACTCCCAGTAAAGAAAAGCCCAGGACCCAATGGCTTTACTGCTGAATTTGACAAAACAGTTAAAGAACTAATGCCAATCCTACTCAAGCTATTCCAAAAAATAAAAAAGGAAGGAATCCTTCCAATCTCATTCTATGAGGCCAGTATTACCCTGAAACCAAAACCAAAGACATACCAGAAAAAAGGAAACTACAGGTCACTATCTCTGATGAATATTGATGCCAAAATTCTCAACAAAATACTAGTGAACCAAATTCAACAAAATATTAAAAAGATAATTCATCATGACCAAGTGGAATTTATCCCTGGAATGCAAGATGGCTCAACATACACAAATCAATGTGACAAATCACATCAACAGAATGAAGGACAAAAATTATATGATCATTTTAATTGATGCTGAAAAAGTATTTGACAAAATTCAACAACCCTTCATGATTAAAAAAAAAAAAGCCTCAAAAAAAAGGGGGATAGAAGGAACATAAGTCAACATAATAAAAGCCATATATGACAGACCCACAGTTAGTATTATACGGAGTGGGGAAAAATGGAAAGCCTTTCCTCTAAGATCTGGATCATGACCAGGATGTCCACTTTCACCACTGTTACTCAACATAGTACTGGAAGTCCTAGCTACAGCAATCAGCCATCAAATGTATGTAACACACATCCTATGTTTTAGCACTAAAATCGGGTGGAATTTGGTTCTTTACATCAAAAGGTAAACTAAAGGACATGACAGTTTGTGCACAGCCTCTACAAGCTGACTGAAACTGGTTAAAAATCTGCAGCAACTTATCAGAAAAGAATTTTGTTGAGGTCTTTGTTCAATCAGAGCTGTAGTCATCTGGGTTATAAATCAAAGTTAGGAGAGATCTGGTAATGCCTATTGTTAGGAACTTTAGCAGTTGTGGTTTTTCTTGCAGCCATAGGATTTTAGAAACGTGCCATGCCAGCCAGGCCCTGAGCCCTCCACTCATAGGTAACTTTGTTTCCTTAATCTTTGCGTTCATCTTAGTCAATATAGGGGTTTCTATTTTGTTCTCTCAGATCACACCTCTTTTGTGGAGGAAAACACATTCTCAACCACTTCAGATGGCTCTGCTTTTTCTCACCCATGAAATCGCATGCATGCATGCGTAAACCTTCCTGCACATCTACAAACACTTTCTTAATGTTCTCTGCCTATTGACTCTATTGATGTTAATTTCAGTATCCCACTGCACATCAAATATTTGCAAAACTAAACAAGACATCTGTTTGCAAGTCTTTTTTTGTTTTGTTTTGTTTTTAGACAGAGTCTTGCTCTGTTGCCCAGGCTGGAGTGCAGTGGCTCGATCTCGGTTCACTGCAAGCTCCGCCTCCCGTGTTCACGCCATTCTCCTGCCTCAGCCTCCCGAGTACTTGGGACTACAGGCGCCCGCCACCAAGCCCGGGTAATTTTTTTGTATTTTTTTTTTTTGGAAGAGACGGGGTTTCACCGTGTTAGCCAGGATGGTCTCGATCTCCTGACCTCGTGATCCACCTGCCTCAGCCTCCCAAAATGCTAGGATTACAGGCATGAGCCACCACACCCAGCCTGCATGCCTTTTAAGTAAAAGTGGTAATGAGAACTGCAGAAGAAATGTCTGTGCAAAGCAATGTGGTTGAAACTCTGGTTTCTGTGCACCAGCAACTGGGTGCAATACTTGTAGAATCTGGGTATCGTATAGAAAGTCTAAGCACAATAGTAATGAGTAATATTATTCCTGTTTCTCTAGCTCTTTGCTGGAATGAACTCCAGCCAGCACCCACAATACTGGGAGTCACAGTGATGTTTGTCATTTGCATGATTCTTGAGAGACAGCAAAGCCCATGATCTAGGTTCTAAGGTATCCCAGTGAAGAAGCATGTTCCCAGGTCAATCCTTTACTCTCCCACCCTAACCTGTCTCATGGAATGTAAAGACACATACGTCCCATGCTCAGGTTCTATAGTAAGTAAAAATCACACAGATTTGCTCATTAATTCAGTGAGTGCGTATTGAGCACATCATGCCACGCACTTATGCTAGACATTGAGGATATATTTTGGCTCATCATAACATGGCCAGCTGCCTTCATGTAGTTCACAGACCAGTGGTGGAGACTGACAGATTATGTCTTAGTTCGTTTTGTGTTGCTATAACAAATACAACAGAGGAGGTAATTGATAAAGAAAAGAAATTTGTTTGGCTCTTGGCTCTGGAGCCAAGATTTAAGGCTCTGGCAAGAGCCCTCTTGCTGTGTCATCTCATAGTGGAAGCCAAAAAGGCAAAAAAGTATGAGCCAGCAAGAGCGGCCAAACTCATTTGATAACTAACCCACTCCCACAATTACACCATTAATCCGTTCATGAGGGCAGAGCCCTCATTTGACCTAATCTTCTTGTTTAGGCCCTGCCTCTCAATGCTGTTGCACCGGGGATTAAGTTTCCAACATACGAACTTTGGGGGACACATTCAATCCATAGCAGGTGTTATCCAATCAGTACAATGAAGTGTGATCAGGTGATGACAGGGGATGGGGGTACAGAGACAGCTGCCCAGAAAGGGGGGCCCCAGGACCCCCAGAGTAAAGAAGCTAGATTCCCACGGTACCTACCAGGATTCAGCAAGGAAAGCAGGTTAGGCTGTTCAAAGACCTGACAAGCAGAGAGAAAATGGTGAGAGAAGAAGGCCAGAAAGGAAAACCTTTAGGCCTGGCGCGGTGGCTCACGCCCGTAATCCCAGCACTTTGGGAGGCTGAGGCGGGTGGATCACGAGGTCAGGAGATCGAGACCATCCTGGCGAACACTGTGAAACCCCGTCTCTACTAAAAATACAAAAACATTAGCCAGGCGTGGTAGTGCGTGCCTGTAGTCCCAGGTACTCGGGAGGCTGAGGCAGGAGAATGGCATGAACCCAGGGGGCGGAGCTTGCAGTGAGCAGAGATCTCGCCACTGCACTCCAGCCTGGGCAACAGAGCGAGACTCCATCTCAAAAAAAAAAAAAAAGAAAACCTTTCAAAACGTGTGGACCTTGTGTTTCAGTTAAAGAGAGTGAGGGCTGTGGGAGCTGCCCAAAACCCAAAAGCCGGATTCCAAGGCATGAGATGGTCAGACAGTGGAGAATGGCCTGGAAGGAGAGAAAAAACAGCCCCCCAGCAGAATGTGCAATAAGACAGAACATTTGGGACTTTTAAAAGTATATAAATACAAATGTATATCAACATAAATGTCAAAATGTTAACAGTACCGTAGATTGCATTACAGTTAATTTTCATCTTTGTCTTTTTTAATTTAACCATATGTTTCTGATTTGTTTTTCTTTTTCTTTTTCTTTTTTTTTTTGAGACAGAGTCTCACTCTGTCACCCAGGCTGGAGTGCAGTGGCATGATCTCGGCTCACTGCAACCTCTGCTTCCTGGGATCAAGCTATTCTCCTGCCTCAGCATCCCAAATAGCTGGGACTACAGGTGTGCGCCACCATGCCTGGCTAATATTTTGTATTTTTTGGTAGCGATGGAGATTTCCCCGTGTTGGCCAGGCTAGTCTCGAACTTCTGGCCTCAAGTGATCTGCCCACCTCAGCCTCCCAAAGTGCTGGGTTTACAGTTGTGAGCCACTGCTCTCAACCTCTGATTTTTTTTTTTTTTTTTGAGACAGATCTTACTCTGCCTCCCAGGCTGGAGTGCAGTGGCATGATCTCAGCTCTCTGCAACCTCCGCCTCCTGGGTTCAAGCAATTTTCTGCCTTAGCCTCCCGAGTAGCTGGGATTACAGGTGCGTGCCACCACACCCTGCTAATTTTTTGTATTTTTAGTAGAGACGGGGTTTCACCATCTTGGCCAGGCTGGTCTTGAATTCCTGACTTCATGATCCACCCGCCTCGGCCTCCCAAAGTGCTGGGATTACAGGCATGAGCCATCGCGCCCAGTCAGGATCTCTGATTTTTCTAATGGTAAATAATTATTCACAGGATTGGGGAAATTTTTTGGACTAGTTTTAATGTGGTTGGAGCAGGACTGTTGCTGGATTGTTGAGGGGAATGACAGACCTTTAAAGGGCAATCCTCCTCCTTGGTTATATATTATAGAACTATGCTGTCAAGAGTTTAAGATGTTCTTCTCATTGCAGATACCTTAACAGTAACTGTGAATTGTCCTACCAGGCCTCAGGCATTTCATATGGATTAACTCAATTCTGCTCAACAGTTCTACTGGATTGGATAATCATTCCCATTTTACTGATGAGAAATCTGAGGCCTGAAAAGGCCTAGGTTGTGTAGCCAATTGTTAGAAGTGCCATTCACTGTGACACAAATTTCTGTTGACAGTGACCTGATATTAATTTCTCTTTTTGCCATCTTTAGTTTTCATCCTAGCTTCTTCTCTCCATCTCCATCTAAGTGTGTCTTTGCACATGTAAGCAGGTGTGCTCATGGACCCTGCAGTGGAAAGACTGTGGGCCTCCTTCCTGATCTTCACGTTCCAATAAGATTTTTTTTTTTTTTTTTGAGACAGAGTCTCTCTCTGTCACCCAGGCTGGAGTACAATGGTGTGATCTTGGCTCACTGCAACCTCTGCCTCCCGGGTTCAAGCAATTTTCCTGCCTCAGCCTCCTGTTAACCTGGGATTACAGGCACCTGCCACCACGCCCAGCTAATTTTTTGTGTTTTTAATAGAGACGGAGTTTCGCCATGTTGGCCAGGCTGGTCTCAAACTCCTGCCCTCAGGTGATCCAGGCTCCTCAGCCTCCCAAAGTGCTGGGATTATAGGCATGAGCCACCGTCCCAGCTCAATAAGATTTAGAAAGCCAGTAGGATGGTGGTTTCAGGGCCTTATGGAAATGAATTGGAATCGCAGCACCTCCTCTGATTTGCTGTGTGAAACTTGGCAGGTCATTAGCCTCTGAGTCTCAGATTCCCCATCTGTAAAATGAGGGGGATAAAAGTGCCTGTGGCATAGCCCTCTTGGGAAAATTGCAGGACATCAAGTATAAAAAGCCTTTAGTATGTTGCTTTGCTCTCATAAATGCCATCTATTACTATTACTGTTTTATTTTTATGAAAAAAAAGACTCCAAGAGAAAGTTTGATAACAGACTCATTAAGACTAAAAGAGTTTATACCATTTGACCCAAGAATTCTAGGGTTGGAAACCTGTGAATATACTCAAATATAGCAAATATAGCCAACATCAAGAGCTGTGACCAGGAAGACCACACTGGTAGTTAAAATATAGGACGGTTTCCATACTGGTTGGTCAAGAGCTGCCCTTCAATGCCTCTCCCTGGAATCATCTAGGGCTTCCTAGGATCCAGCAACTAACTAAAGGGTTAACACGCAGCTTTATAGTGGATCTCTCTACCCCTGCTTCTTGGACCACACCTAACTATTTGGAAGCTGCCTCCCACCCTCATCTCCTTCACAAGCACCAGGAACTTATTTGTGTGGCTTCATGCACTTTTTTTTTTTTTTTTTTTTTGAGACAGGGTCTCACTCTGTTTCCCAGACTGAAGTGCAGTGGCACGATCTGAGCTTACTGCAACCTTGATCTTCTAAGCTCCTTCCACCTCAGCCTCCCTAGTAGCTAAGACTATAGGCGCACCCCACCATGCCCAACTAATTTTTTTTTTGTATGTGTATTTTTGTAGAGACAGGGTTTCACCATGTTGCCCAGGCTGGTTTCAAACTCCTGGGCTCAAGCAATCCACTAACCTCAGCCTCCCAAAGTGCTGGGATTATGTATTCTTTTTATGGCATAAATCTGTTTGCAATCTAAATGCTTCATAATGGAAGACTAGTTAAATAAATTATGACACGTTCTTCCTGTTGAATATTACACAGCCTTATAAAAAAGAATGAGTTAGCACTAATATGTAGGCATTAAAGACAGATAGGATATATTATTTAGCAACAAAGGGCAAGTCACAAAAGCATATGTATTGTATAATCTCATTGTGCGAAGTAAATTGAACAGACATTTATGGGTGACTATATCTATATAAAACACATTGTACTTAGTTTTTGACTTATTTTTTATTATTTAGAGAGACTAAACATTAGCAGAACAAAGACTACATCTATACATATAGCTTGCTTGTGTGTAGAACATTTCTGTCTACATTTGATAGGTATTGTTATTTTAGATATTGTTACTTCTGGGGTGTGGAGCTGGAATGCAGGTGATGAATGTTCAGACAGTTTTTTTTTCTTTTTTCAACTTTTACTTTAGAATCAGGGAGTACGTGTGCAGGTTCAGACAACTTTTATGTCTCACTTTTTACTTCTGTCCTGTTGAAAATGTTTGGCCCTGAGTATGTGCTGCTAGTATTACTACGTTGCTGTTGTTGCTTTGTAGTGGACAGACTCTGAAAAGACTGTCGAATATTCTGGCCATTAAGAAGGAACAACTTGGCAAGAGTGGCCACCCAGAACCTGGGTGGATGGCCTGCAGCCTACCTCCCCAGTCCTGAGACACTGAGTGCTTGCAACGTGCATGGGAAATGCAGGGTTAATACCCCTTCCCAGGCAGCCTGCTGCCATTGCCTGCAATCCTGTAATTAGGCTAATTACACAGTAGTTTCACAAGTAGGGTGGAAATGTAATTGGCAGCAGGCACCTGAGCTCTCAAAGGTAGAACCTAGAAGGCAGCAGCCTCTGGAGGAGGTGGAGGAGGCAGATGAGGAGAGGAGCTAATTGTGGGGGCTTTATCTAAAAGGATTCTCTCTCCAGACTTCAGAGACTATTCCCAGCAAAGTGGCCCCACTGTGCATTCAAAGGACTGCAACCATGAATGAATCAGTGTAGAAAAGGGGTAAAAAACAAAGTGGGGGCTCTGCCGTCACTGAATTTTTATAAAAGGGGGTTTCTCCATTCATTGAGCAAAAAAGGAGCCTCTAGTCATTGAATAAGTATTACTGGGTTCTTTCAGTGTAAGAAGCTCTTCGGCAAGCCTTGGGGATCAAAGGGAGCACTTTCAAGGAGCTACAGGCCAGTAGATATTAGCCTGTTGAATTATGGACCTGGTCCTGGCTATTTTATAGTAATCTAACATTTACTGAGTACCCACTCTGTGCCAGGCACTGAACCTACTATGTGCCTGGTCCTAGCTATTTTATAATAACATCTAACATTTACTGAGCACCTACTATGTGCCAGGCTATTTATTTATTTATTTATTTATTTTTGAGATGGAGTCTCGCTCTGTCTCCCAGGCTGGAGTACAGTGGTGCAATCTCGGCTCACCGCACCCTCTGCCTCCCGGGTTCAAGCAATTCTTCTACTTCAGCCTCCCAAGTAGCTGGGATTACAGGCACGCGCCACTACACCCAGCTAATTTTTCTATTTTTAGTAGAGATGGTTTTTCGCCATGTTGGCCAGGCTGGCCTGGAACTCCCGACCTCAGGTGATCCGCCCACCTCGGCCTCCCAAAGTGCTGGGATTACAGACATGAGCCACCGCGCCCGGCCCAGACTTTTCTTACATTCATTCATTCAACCTACATCTCTTAATGCGACATACACTACCATTTCACTGGGTCTAGAACATACATTTTTTTTGTCTTTTAACTAGGTTTGCCAGAGTTAGCAAATAAAATACAGGACTCTGATTGCATTTGAAATTAAGATGAATGATGAATAACTTTTTAGTATAGATACACCTCCCAGTAGTACATTTTAAATAGAATATACTTATCCTAAAATATTACTCATTTTTTAAAATCTGAAATTCAAATTTAACTGGTCATCCTGTATTTTATCTGGCACCCCTACTTAAAATATTTCTAAAGCCTATAGGAGTCTTAGATCTGATGGGCTTTTATAATTCGTGACTTTTTTCTTAGTGGTTCACTAAAATAATGTATTTCAGTGGCTTCTTAGATTGGTTGAAATGCAGTATAGTAGCCTCATTTGACAGACGAGTAGACTGAGGCTTACTGAGGTTAATAAACTCTCCCAGGTCACAAAGCCAGTGGCACAGCCAGGATTTCAGCCCAGACAGGCCACTCTAAGACTGCATACAGGCCGGGCGCGGTGGCTCACGCCTGTAATCCCAGCACTTTGGGAGGCCGAGGTGGGCGGATCACGAGGTCAGGAGATCGAGACCATCCTGGTTAACACGGTGAAACCCCGTCTCTACTAAAAATGCAAAAAAAAAATTAGCCGGGCGCGGTGGTGGGAGCCTGTAGTCCCAGCTACTCAGGAGGCTGAGGCAGGAGAATGGCGCGAACCCGGAAGGCGGAGCTTGCAGTGAGTTGAGATCGCGCCACTGCACTCCGGCCTGGGCGACAGAGCGAGACTCTGTCTCAAAAAAAAAAAAAAAAAAAAGACTGCATACATATTACTATCCTTCTAATTAAGAATTCGTATTGTGCCAGGCACAATTCTAGAACTAGAGATATAGCAGGGAAGAAAATAGAAAAAAAAAAAAAAATATATATATATATATATATATATATATATATATATATATATATATATATATATATATATTGCCCTCATGGAGTTTAACCTGACAGTGTTGAAGGCAGAAAATGAATAATTACATTACATAGTATGTTAGAAGGTGATTAAAAAAAAAACTATGGAGAAAAATAAAGGAAACAAGGGAGGGAAACAGAAGGCGATGGGAGCTGTGATCCTAAGTGGGCAGGGGAGTCAGGTATAGTACTCAGTGAAAAGGTGACATTTGAACAAAGACTGGAAGGAGGTAAGAGGAAGCCATGCAAAGGTCTTAGGCGACAGCATCCCCCGCAGAGGGTCAGTGACAAAGCCCAGAGGCCAGGGCACATGTGGGATGTCTGAGGAAGTCAGGGAGACAGGTGTTGAATGAAGGAGAGGGAGAGATGAGGTCAGATGGGCTATGGGGAGTGAAGGGGGATCCTGTAGCGCCATTTTACAGACTTTGGCTTTTAACCTGAGGATAACAGGAAACTTGCCAACTCTGTGGTCTTGGGCAGGTGAATTGATCTGAGCTTTACCGATTTTTCCTCTTCTGTAAAATGGAGCTGATAATATGACCTACCTTGTGGAGCAGTTTTATGAATTAACCAAAAATTATAATGACCAGTATGAGAGGATGACAGATGCCTTGCTGCTGGGTTTATTCTTTTTATTTTTATTTTTACTGGCTTTTTGTTTGTTTTTTTCTGAGACAGGGTCTCACTCTGTCACGCAGCCTGGAATGCAGTGACATAGTCACAGCTTACAGAAGCCTCAACCTTCTGAGCTCAAGTGACCCTCCTGCCACAGCCTCTTGAGTAGCTGGGATTGCAGGCATGCACCACCATGTCCAGCTGATTTTTTTTTATTTATCTTATTTTTTTATTTTTTTGTAGAGACAAAGTTTCACCATGTTACCTGGGCTGGTCTCGAACTCCTGGGCTCAAGCTATCTGCCTACCTCGGCCTCCTAAAGTGCTGGGATTACAGGTGTGAGCCACCATGCCTGTCCTATTTTAATTTAATTTAATTTAATGTTATTTATTTATTTATTTATTTTCGAGACAGGGTTTTACTCTTTCACCCAGGCTGGAGTGCAGTGGTGCAATCTCGGCTCACTGCAACCTTCACCTTCTGGGCTCAAGCCATCCTCCCACTTCAGCCTTCCAAGTAGCTGGGACTACAGGCATGCACACCTGGCTAATTTTTTTTTAATTTTTGTAGATACAGGATTTCACTATGTTGCCCAGACTTGTCTCGAACTCCTGAGCTCAGGCAATCTGCCTGCCTCAGCCTCCCAAAGTGCTGGGATTACAAGTGTGAGCCACTGCGCCCAGCCCTGGGTTTATTATTGTTATACAAATATCAAACTTTTTTTGCACTTTGGCAAGTACCTGGCTTTGTTCATGGGCCCGAAGGAAAGCATATATAAATATACAAATTACACTATATGTATGGCTCATGCAGAGTGGAAAGAATTTTAATATCCTGATGATTCATTGCCTCATCTATTCACTCAACAAACATTTCCTAAGTGCCTCTTCATGCCAGGTTCCGTGCCCCAGGCACTGGGAATTTGAGAAAGAAAGGACAGAGCCTCAGACTCCGGAGAGTTTTGCCTAGAGCATGGGCTGTCACTGGTGGCCCGTGGAGTGGATTTATTCTGTGAATGTGTGTGATTTATCAACTCTGAATGGAGTCATTTTAAAATCTGGAACAACTGCCTTTAAAGATAGACATATGTCAAAAAAAGAAAGTTCAGATTTCCAGTTCTCTTGAAAAATCAGGAGCTCTGGCTACCCTGAGCCCACATTCCTCATAGAAACCAGGCCAGGCCTGAGCAGCAGCTGCACCCTTGGACCCAGCACAGGCTTCCCAGTTCACTCTGGTGCCTTGGTTCCCGGTTCTTCACCCCCAACCCACTTGGTTCATTTCTTAGCCTTCTGTGGAAATTGAGCATTCTACGTATTTGTGTTTTGACCTCCAGGAAAAGTATCACAGCAGATGTAAGGGGCAGGGACAAAGAAGGCCATGATGACTCTGCTGGAGATCCCCAGGATGGCATCACAGAGGGAGGGATGCCAGAACTGAGATTTGGATACACAGCTCAGGAGGCAGGTCAAGGTATTCCAGGCAGAGGCACCACTTGTGCAAAAGCAGAGGGGCAAGCAAGTCTTAACCCCTATCAGTATCATTCACTGCTCCTCATGGATGCCATAGTCAGGTGAGGTCGTTTTCCAAGGCAATATTTTCCACGAGTGCCAGGGTTAAGCGGCTGTCAGTTTGCAAATAAAAACACAAATGGGAAAACTGTATACATTACAATTTTACCATGAAACACACTCAGATTGCATGAGTTTTGCAAAAGAGATGGATCAGAGGAAAGGGACAGGGAGGGAGAACAATGTAATTCATGCAATTTAGGGTTAGGATTATTTCATCACTGAGTGTGTATCCTGGGGTGAGCTGGAGGTCAGAGGCATGAATCCCTGGTTTCCTCAGTGGGGTCCTGTCTCCTTTTTACCTCTCATGGTGACAACGTCTCATTCCACTATGTGTAATTGTAGGGTTTAACGGTACAGAAATTTTGAATGATAGGAACCCAAAACACAACCCACCTTCTACATTTGATGCTGAACAGAAGAAATAGTGAAATGCAACAAAATTCGGGATAAACTGGTGATGTTAGACATTATGATCTCATATGTGTTGTTGTTTACTATAAGAGTACTTCAGAGTAAATAACATGACCAGGAGCAGTGGCTCATGCCTATAATTCCAGCACTTTGGGAGGCTGAGGCAGGCAAATCACTTGAGCCCAGAAGTTCAAGACCAGCCTGGGAAACATAGGGAGACTTTGTCTCTCCAAAAACAACTTTAAAAATTAGCCTGATAAGGCCAGGCATGGTGGCTCACGACTGTAATCCCAGCACTTTGGGAGTCCGAGGTGGGCAGATCACAAGGTCAGGAGTTCGAGACCAGCCTGACCAACATGGTGAAACCCCGTCTCAACTAAAAATACAAAAATTAGCCAGGTGTGGTGGCACACACCTGTAATCCCATCTACTCAGGAGGCTGAGGCAAGAGAATCACTTGAACCCAGGAGGCAGAGGTTGCAGTGAGCCGAGATTATGCCACTACACTCCAGCCTGGGCAACAAAGCGAGACTCCGCCTCAAAAAAATAAATAAATAAAAATTAGCCTGGCATAGGTGGCATGCACCTGTAGTCCCGGTTCTTGGGAGGCTCAGGTGGAGGATCACTTGAGCCCTGGAGTTCAAGACTGCCGTGAGCCATGATCCCACCACTCCACTTCAGCCTGGGTGACAGGGTGAGACTCTGTCTCAAAAAAAAAAAAAAAAAAAAAGTCTCCAGAGTAAATAATGTGAAGCAGGAGGAAATGTGTATTAATGAACTTGAATTTGCAACCCAGAGTGAATTAGTCAGTATTTAAAGTATGGTAATCAGGAACCCACCAGGCAGTGACAGTTGCTTAAGTCTTTCAGATATTATAGGACCCTGCACCAGAGGGTTTGCTGGAAAGGATACTAGAAATAATGTTCACTGCTGAAATGAGTGGTGTTCAAGATACAATTGGATAGAATGTATGGGAGATTGGGTGTGGTGGCTCACACCTGTAATACCAGTAATTTGGGAAGCCAATGCAGGAGGATTGTTTGAGGCCAGGAGTTTGAGACCAGCCCTGGCAATACAGTGAGATCACATCTCTACAAAAGTTTAAAAATTAACTGGACATGGTGACATGCGCCTGTAGTTCCAACTACCCAGGAGACTGACATGAGAGAATTGCTTGATTCCAGGAGTTCAAGGCTGCAGTGAGCTAAGATTGAGCCACTGCACTCCAGCCTGGGCAACAGAGTAAGACCCCGCCTCAGAAAAAAAAAAAAAAAAAGGAAGGAAGGAAGGAATGAAGGGAGGGAGGGAGGGAGGGAGGGTTCCATTATCCTTGCACGGTATAAGAATACAGCAGTCTCTTGAGAGGTCGAGACGGGTGGATCACGAGATCAGGAGATCAAGACCATCCTGGCTAACACGGTGAAACCCCGTCTCTACTAAAAAACAAAAAATTAGCCGGGCTTGGTGGCGGGTGCCTGTAGTCCCAGCTACTCAGGAGGCTGAGGCAGGAGAATGGTGTGAACCTGGGAGGTGGAGCTTGCAGTGAGCCGAGATCGCGCCACCGCACTCCAGCCTGGGGGACAGCGAGGCTCCGTCTCAAAAAAAAGAATACAGCAGTATCCACCTGTTAAGATCTCTAGAGCCATGCTAGAGATATTTATTTTCAATATAATTTATTTAATTGTAAGTTTATATAACCATTTTAATAATGGCTATGTTTAACAATCAGGTCACAAAATTCCTGAAAATTTAACAGTTGGCTCTGGTTGGCCTAAGAGAACTGGCTTCAGCTCCTTGGTGCTGAGCCTGGGCTGCTCTGCCTAAACTCTCTGCCTGTTGGCACTTGATCATCTTTCAGATCTTGGCCAAGCAGTACTTGGTTAAAGAATTCTCAGTGCATTCTGCCACAGCTCGTCACACTTGGGTTAGCTAATTCTATGTACGATTATTGTTTGATTGTTGCTTTGACCGCTTATCATGTCAGCTCCACGAAAGCTGGGGCTTTCATCTATGTTTGTCCTGTCCCCTCCTGTATCTCCCATGCCATTCACAGGGCCTGGTACCCAGGAGGTGCCCAATTAACATCCATTTAAGAAATAAATGGGCTGGGCATGGTGGCTCACACCTGTAATCCCAGCACTTTGGGAGGCCAAGGAGGGTGGCTCACCTGAGGTCAGGAGTTCGAGACCAGCCTGGCCAACGTGGCAAAACCCTGTCTCTACTAAAAATATAAAAATTAGCCACACACGGTGGCATGTGCCTATGGTCCTAGCTACTCGGGAGGCTGAGGCAGGAGAATCGCTTGAGTCCAGGAGGTGGAGGTTACCGTGAGCTGAGATCGCACCACTGCACCCCATCCTGGGCAACAGAGACTCCGTCTCAAAAAAAAAAAAAGAAAGAAAAGAAATAAATGAATGAGAAATTTCCATTAAGGCTTTCTCTACTTACATGTGCAAGTTTTGGTGATGTTATGGAGAAATTAGATAAAATTTTGCACATAAAGAGTGAATGATTTGTTTACTAACTGGCCCATTCGTCAACTCTTTGCAGTAGTTCCATCTTTTTGTACCGTGGACCCTGTTGGTTGTCTGAGGAAGCCTGTGATCCCGTTCTCAGGACAAAAAAATGCACAGGCTTGCAAAGAAATCCAATTACATTAAAATGCAGTTCCCCTAAAAATGTTAAAACAAATGTATAATATGGTAATATGTGTGCATTTTTATTAACACATTAAGTGACAAGATGCAGTGCAGATTCTAACAACTGTAATTTTGAGATAGCAATAACTATAGAGGATACTTCCTATTATTTGTAACTCTGGTGTAAGATGAAAATATCTGGTTTCCACTGGCAACAAAGTCTCAAGGACTGCTAATTCTGCTGTGGTTTGCCTATATTCAAAAGGTGGAAAATAGGCCGGGCGTGGTGGCTCACGACCGTAATCCCAGCACTTTGGGAGGCCAAGGTGGGCAGATCACGAGGTCAGGAGTTCGAAACGAGCCTGGCCAACATGGCATAACCCTGTCTCTACTTAAAATACAAAAATCAGCTGGGCGTGGCAGCACACGCCTGTAGTCCCAGCTACTCAGGAGGCTGAGGTACAAGAATCGCTTGAGCCTGGCAGGCAGAGGTTGCAGTGAGTCAGGATCGCGCCACTACACTCCAGCATGGACGACAGAGCGAGACTCTGTCTCAAACAAAAAAAAAAAAAAGAAAGAAAGGGGAAAAATGAGAAAATGCAGATTAGAGTATATATGTGTTTTTGTTTGTTTGTCTGTTTGTTAATCAATGTATCATAAATTCTATCCCAGGACTGCTTGGGAGTCCGTGGACACCTGGTTAAGGATTCCTATGGACAGATCAATTAACCCAAGGGCTCCAGGAGATGCAGATCAAAGACCGCCACACAAGAAAGAGGCCACACAGATAAAGAGCCCAGGACCTGCTGTCAGACCTCCCCAGATTCAGATTCTTAGGCCTGCCCCTTATAGGCTGTGTGACCTCGGACAAGTTCCTTATTTACTCTGAGCCTGAGTGTCCTCGCTCGTAAAATGGGTCTAACAACGACCACCTCCAAGAAAGATCACGATGCTGAAATGACTCAGAACAGTGCCTGGAGTGGAAGAGCTGCTGGGAAAATAATAACTGCTATTTCTACATCAGTTATGCCAGTTCTTTTTGACCTAAGAAACTCCAGCGCTTTTAATACAATCAAACTGGGTTATTGGTGACTTACAGAGGAGACCCTAGGCAGGTAACTATTGAACCTTGAAAACCGTAACATGGACACAGAGTAGAGAGCCCATTTATCTCAACTGGATTCTTCTCAGTGGACTTCGAGCTTCTTATCAGAAAAACACTTTGATGACAGCGCTTAGTGCTTAACAGCTTAAGAGCAGTTCAAACATGCGCCAGAGGCTTGCTGAGGAGGCCCGCCCTCCAGATTCTGCAAATAGATACACTGGGGTGAGCCTGCAGCCCAATTTGCCCAGGACTGTCCTGGTTAATGCTTGCGGTCCCCGTGTGATTATTAATAGTATCTGTTGTATCCATACGAGCGTCCCAATTTAGATGATCCTATAGATGGTCACTGTTGATAAGGACCATGGCTGCCTTCTCCCTTAGCTGCCAAGCTGTGTATAGGATATTGTTTCTCCTTGGCAGAATTCAGAAAGTAAGTTTGGACCCTCTGGAATTCTGGTCCTTTTCTTCTAGGTTTCAGGCATCATTATTGCATAGGAGCTTTGAAGTCCAAAGTAATCTAGAGTTAGAATGACCAGACATCCTGGTTTCTTGGATTTTATTTTAAGTGGGAGGGGAGTTACTGAAGGGGTGATTATATATCAGTTCACTTAATCCTTATACTTATATATTAATAGCCCAGGCTTGGTGGCTCACACTTGTAACCCCAGGACTTTGGGAGGCTGAGGCAGAAGGATCGCTGAGCTCAGGAGATTGAGATCAGCCTGGGCAACACAGTAAGATCCCCATGTCTACCAAAAATTTAAAAACTTCAGCCAGGTGTGGAGGTACACACGTGTAGTCCCACCTACGCAGGAGGCTGAGGAGAATCACTTGAGTCCAGCAGGTTGAGGCTCAATGAGCCATAATCACACCACTGCCACTACACTCCAGCCTGGGCGACAGAGTGAGAACCTGTCTCAAAATAAAAATAAAAATATTATCATACTTAATAATAACGCTCTGGGGGTAAACATTGTTATTCCCATTGATGCATGAGAAGAGTAAGGCCCAGAAAGAAAAAATAACCTGTCCAGAGCCTCACAAATGGTAAACAATAGAGTCTGGACTTGATTCCAGATCACTTGACCAACTGCCCTGATTTGCAGATCCTCTGAGTTCAACCAAAGAAATGAGCACAAAAAAATCTCTCTGTGCCTGCAGGTGTGACATTCTTAACCCTGTCTTTAATACAACTGCCACATCCCAGCGTTCCTTGACAGACTGTGGAGCACACCTAAGCCACCTTGCTTGCCATAGGGTTTGGCTCCATGACCTTGATGTGAGTTCATAGATTTGTTTGCAGTTGTGAAAATTAAATGAGAGAGCGAGATTTCATTGTGTGTGTGGAGTGTGTGTGTGTGTGTTGGGGGAGGGAGGAGAACAAACGATTTTAAATTCAGCCTAAAATTAAATGCACATTGGATGCATGCCAAACGGACTCCACAACCACCAGACTTTGCAAGTTTCAACGATTTCCAAGTCCTTCCTTTGTTTTTTTTTCTTTTTTTGAGACGGAGTCTCACTGTGTCGCCAGGCTGGAGTGCAGTGGTGCGATCTTGGCTCACTGCAAGCTCTGCCTCCCAGGTTCAAGCAATTCTCCTGCCTCAGCCTCCTGAGTAGCTGGGATTACAGGCACGCACTACCACGCCCAGCTAATTTTTGTATTTTTAGTAGAGATGGGGTTTCACTATGTTGGCCAGGATGGTCGCAATCTCCTGACCTCATGATCCGTCTGCCTTGGCCTCCCAAAGTGCTGGGATTACAGGCATGAGCCACTGTGCCCAGCCTGCAAGCCCTTCTTCTGCCGAGTGCTATGCTAGTTTCTAGAAGAAGAGGGATGTTACTCATTCATCTGCTATGCATGGTCCACTATGTTCCAAGGTGGGAGACGTGTACAGAGGTGAGCACCTCCAGCCTTCAGGCCACTTATATTCCCAGGTGTAGGTGATAGATAGGCAAATGCGTGCACTCTGGTTGTTGAAGATGTAGAGCAATTGGACTCCTCCTGCACCACTTGTGGTCATGTAAAATGGTATGGCCACTTTGGAGAACATTCTGGCAGTTCCCTGTTTGGTTAAATATAGAGTTACCATATCACCCAGCAATTCCACTCCTAGGTATTTTACCCAAGAGAAATGAAAACACATGTTCACACACAGACTTGCACATGACTGTTTATAGCAGCAATATTCACAATAGACAGAAGGTGGAAACAACCCAAATGTCCATTACAGGATGAATGGATAAACAAAATGTAGCATATGCATACAATTGCTTATCCATAAAAAGAAATGAGGTTCTGACACATGCTGTAATATGGATGAACCTTGAACATTACAGTAAGCGAAAGAAGCCAGTCACAGAGACCATATATTTTATAATTCCATTTATATGAAATGCCCAGAATGGGTCAATCATTAGAGACAGAAAGTAGGTTAGTGCTTGTTCAGGGATGGGAGGACATGAAGGAAGAGGGTAATAACGGAAGGGTTTGGGCTTTCTTGAAGTGATGAAAATGTTCTAAGGTCAATGGTGGTGGTGGTTTTACAATTCTGCGAATGTACTAAAAACCATTGGATTGTACGGTTTAAATAGATGAATGAAATGATATGTGAATTATATATCCAAAAATGCTGTTAAAAACAAAACAAGTATATCCCGGACCATCAGAGAGAAAATAGAGTAGGAGTGTCTAAATCTTTTTGTGTTGCTGTAAAGGAACACCACAGGATGGATAATTTACAAAGGGAAGAGTTGGGAGGCCAAGGTGGGAGGACCACTTGAACCCAGGGCTTTGAGACCAGCCTGGGTAGCAGAGCGAGACCCTATCTCTGTAAAAAATTTAAAAATTAGCCAGGCGTGGTGGTGCATGCCTGTGATTTCAGCTGCTCGGAAGGCCGAGACAGGAGGATTGCTTGAGCCCAGGAGGCCAAGGGTGCAGTGAGCCATGATCATGCCACTTCACTCCAGCCTCAGTGACAGAGTGATACCCTGTCTCAAAAAAAGAAAAGAAGCTTATTGACCTAGGGTTCTGCAGGCTGTACAAGAAGCATGGCACCAGTATTTACATCTGGTGAGGACCTCAGGTTGCTTCCACTCATGGCGGAAGGGAAAGGGGAGCTGGTGGGTGCAGAGGTCACATGACACAAGAGAAAGCAAGAGAGATAGGAAGAGGTGCCAGGCTCTTTTA
Source organism: Homo sapiens (assembly GCF_000001405.40). NCBI lineage: Eukaryota > Metazoa > Chordata > Mammalia > Primates > Hominidae > Homo > Homo sapiens. The sequence continues at coordinate 53,797,962 of NC_000020.11, read as the reverse complement.
AGCAACCAGCTGTCAAGGGAACTAACAGAGTGAGAACACACTCACTATAGCAAGGATGGCACCAACACACTCATTGGGGGTCCACCCCCATGGCCCCAATGCCTCCTGCTAGGCCCCACCTCCAACACTGGGGATGAGATTACAACATGAGACTTGGAGGGGAGAACTATCTAAACTGTATCAAGGAACCTAGGCATGGGGGCTCACGCCTGTAATCGCAGCACTTTGGGAGGCCAAGGCAAGCTGAGGTCAGGAGTTCGAGACCAGCCTGGCCAACATGGTGAAACCCCATCTCTACTAAAAATACAAAAATTGGCTGGGTGTGATGGAACACACCTGTAGTGCCAGCTGCTCGGGAGGCTGAGGTGGGAGGATTGCTTGAACCCAGGAGGCAGAGGTTGCAGTGACCCCAGATTGCACCACTGCACTCCAATCTGAGGGATACAGTGAGATCCCATCTCACTGTATTTGTGTGTGTATTTGACCTAAAATGAGTTAATAAGAGTTGGACTTGCTACAAAAGCACCACCAATGTTTCCAATTTTTCAGCCACGTTTTTTGTTATTGTTTTTTGTTTGCTTGAGATAGGTCTTGCTTTGTCATCCAGGGTGGAGTGCAATGGTGCAATCTCGGCTCACTGCAGCCTTGACCCCCTGGGCTCAAGCAATCCTCCCACTTCACCCTCCTGAGTAGCCGGGACTACAGGGGCAGGCCACTACACCCTTCAGCCACGTTTCCAAAGTGGGGAGGATGGTTAGGATGCCTGGGTTCTGCCACAGTTTGTGATAAGGTCACTGATGAGGTGATCAATTGAGTCAGGAAGGCCTGTGGGATCAGTGATACAGAGGAGGACTGTGGAGTTGAGAGTCCTCAGCTGGAGTTCTGGCTCCAAGATTGCTGGACCCTGGGCTCACCCCAGCACTTAAGAGCTGGTTGTTAAGTTTTCAGGAATTTCACAAGCTGGTTGTTAAACACAATCTTTAAAAAAATTAAATTCTACAAACTAAAATTTATTTTATTTTATGTATATGTATATAAAAAGAGAGAGGACAGGGCTTCACTCTGCCACCCAGGCTGGTGCGCAATGGCGCGACCATGGCTCACTGCCTCCTGATTCTCCCACCTCAGTCTCCCAAGTAGCTGGGACTACAGGCGCATGCCACCACACCTGGCTAATTTTTTGTATTATTTGAAGAAATGAGGTTTCACTAGATTGCCAGGGCTGGTCTCAAACTCCGGGAGTCAAGCAGTCCTCCCGCCTCAGCCTCCTAAATTGTTGGGAGTATAGGCATGAGCCACTGCACCCGGCCCAAACTTAAATTTAAATAAATGATATTAAAACCAAAGGATGCGGGGCGCGGTGGCTCACGCCTGTAATCCCAGCACTTTGGGAGACTGAGTGGGGTGGATCACTTGAGGTCAGGAGTTCGAGACCAGCCTGGCCAACATGGTAAAACCCCTGTCTCTACTAAAAAATACAAAAAATTAGCCGGGCATGGTGGTAGAAGTCTGTAATCCCAGCTACTCGGGAGGCTGAGGCAGGAGAATCGCTTGAACCCGGGAGGCAGAAGTTGCAGTGAGCTGAGATCACACCATTGCACTCCAGCCTGGGCAACAAGAGCAAAACTCCATCTCAAAAATAAATAAAAAAATAAAATTAAAAATAAAACCAAAGGATATTCCAAGTGACATAATCTAGACACAGAAGGACAAATACTGTACTACTCCGTTTATATGAGGTGGATCTATTTAAGTGAAGTCTTACAATAATCTAAAATAGGCCAATTCATAAAGACAGAAAATAGAAGAGAAATTCCTAGGGGCTGGAAGGAGGGAAAAGGGAACAGGCAGTTAGTTTTTAACGAGTTGGTGTTTGGGATGATTTAAAAGAAAATTTCTGAAAGCAGTGGTGATGTTGATGCAACATTGTGACTATACTTAATGCCACTGAATTACACACTAGTTAAAATGGTAAATGTCATGCTTTGTACATTTTATCACACACACACACACAAAAAATTTAGGCCGGGCACGGTGGCTCACACCTGTAATCCCAGCACTTTGGGAGGCTGAGGCAGGCAGATCACGATGTCAGGAGATTGAGACCATCCTGGCTAACATGGTGAAACCCCGTCTCTACTAAAAATACAAAAAATTAGCCGGGCGTTGTGGCGGGCGACTGTAGTCCCAGCTACTCAGGATGCTGAGGCAGGAGAATGGCGTGAACCCGGGAGGCAGACCTTGCAGTGAGCCGAGATCGCGCCACTGCACTCCAACCTGGGTGACAGAGTGAGACTCCGTCTCAAAAAAAAAAAAAAAAATTTAAAAGGCAAGCAAAATGGCTCATGCCTGTAATCCCAGCACTCTGGGAGGCTGAGGCGGGAGGATTGCTTGAGGCCAGGAGTTTGAAACCGGCCTGGGCGATGTAGCAAGACCTGTCTCTACAAATTAAAAATTTTTTAAAAAATTATCCAGACACAGTGGTGCACACCTGTAGTCTTAGCCTCACAGGAGGCTTAGGGGAGAGGATCTTTTGAGCCCAAGAGTTCCAGGTTGTAGTGAGCCATGATCTTGCTACTGCATTCCAGCCTGGTGACAGAGCAAGACTCTGTCTCAAAGAAAAAGAAAAAACAGAATGAATAAGACTTGCTATTGGATAGCACAACTGGGTGACTATAGTCAAAAATAACTTAATTGTACATTTTAAAATAACTCAAAGATTGTAATTGGATTGTTTCTAACTCAAAGGATAAATGCGTGAGAAGATAGATACCCCATTCTCCATGATGTGCTTATTTCACATTGCATGCCTGTCTCCAAACATCTCATGTACCCTATAAACATATACACCTACTATGTACCCACAAAAATTAAAAATGAAAAAATTTAAATTAAATTTAAAAATAGAAATAACAAAGGAAACAAAGAGTGGAAACTCATCCCTTCCTAATGATTTTCCCACACTTTGCTGCTATCATCTGTGCTCCTGCAGTGATTCTCCTGTGTCATGGAAACACCATGTAAGGAATGGTCTTATTGCTCATCTCCTCCCACCTCCATGTTCAGCGGCTGTGGTGATCTTTGGGCACAAATCTGAAGGGAAAAACGAGCTGGCTATGTGAAGAGCCAGGAGCAAGCTTCCCAGGCAGAGGAAGTAGCAAAAAACCTCGTTTTGCTTGGTTGAAGAACAGCCAGAAGGCCAGCGTGGATAGAACAAAAGGAACAAGGCACGGCGCAGTGGCTCACTCCTATAATCCCAGCACTTTGGGAGGTCGAGGTGAGTGGATCATTTGAGGCCAAGAGTTTGAGACCAGCTTGGCCAACATGGAGAAATCCCATCCCTACTAAAAATACAAAAATTAGCCAGGTGTGAGGGGCGGGTGCCTGTAATCCCAGCTACTCGGGAGGCTGAAACAGGAGATTTGCTTGAACCCGGGAGGCGGAGGTTGCAGTGAGCTGAGATCCTGCCATTGCACTCCAGCCTGGGCAAGAGAGCAAGACTCTGTCTTATAAACAAGAACAAAATGAACAAGCGAAACGGTGGTAGTAGGTGAACTTCGAGGCATGACAAGGGCCATAATTAAGCAAGCTTAAGGAAAGTTTGGTCCATGAAGGGCCGCGTCTCATAGTCTTCTATTGGCCTTAATCAATAGTTTCTAGCCCGTTGGCCATAGTCCCCTGCAGTGGTGAAAGACGACGGGTTTGAGAAGCTAGGAAATCATAGGAAAGGATCCTGTGACTTGTTATACACACAAAACAGTATCTGTAAACCAAATGAATGCATCTTGGTTTTCATGTGGCACTAGCTTTTAAAGGCACTGGCAAGGCTATTGTAATTTCATAAACTACAAATCCACGGCAAAAGCACTTGATATTTTACAACTGTGCATTTATCACAGGTTCTTCTCAATCAATGAAAATAAATAACTAGACCATGTGATGATGAAATATCTGGCGAAGGAAAATGCACTCATACTCCAAACTGGAAGGACAAGTCTTGAGCATGTCCAGGCCTTTCTAGTCCCAAAGTCATAGAAGATTTTACTGTAAGAAAATGTGTTAAGGTAAAAAGAAGAGGTGGTGGTTTTATCATTATTATTACTAGAGAAAGAATGTATTGAGCCTTATTATCAGCTCTGTTCATGTTCTTTCAGTTTTTCATCTAATCCTCCAAGCTATTTTTTTTTTTTTCTGAGACAGAGTCTTGCCCTGTCACCCAGGCTGGAGTGCTGTGGTGCGATCTCAGTTCGCTGCTACCTCTGCCTCCTAGGTTCAAGTGATTCTCCTGCCTCAGCCTCCCAAGTAGCTCGGATTACAGGTGTGCACCACCACACCTGACTAATTTTTTGTATCTTTAATAGAGACGGGGTTTCACCATGTTGGCCAAGCTGGTCTTGAACCCCTGATCTCATGATCTGCCCACCTCGGCTTCCCAGAGTGTTGGGACTACAGATGTAAGCCACCGTGCCTGGCCTCCAAATTGTTTTTTAAAGCAAGTATCATGATCCTATCATACAGATGAGACGTCTTTAAGTTCAGAGATATTAACTACATTGACTATGTTTACACAAATAGTAAATGGTAGGGGAAGAGGTGAAGATCTAGCCTGTATCAGTCACATATGGCTGCATAACATATAATCCCAAAACTCCACAACTTAAAACAATAAGCATTTGCTATTGTTTATGAGTTTATGGGTTCTGCCAAGGGGTTCTTCTCTTCCAAGTTGAGGTCACTCGTGCTTCTGTAATCAGCTTTGTGTTGAGTAGGTGTTTCTGCTAATCCAGACAGGGCTCTCTCATGTGTTAGGAAGTAGGCTGGCTGTATGTTGGTCTATGATGGCTTTAGCTGAGACAGCTGGGCCCTTCTCCACGTGGTCTCCCATCCATCTAGCCAGGCCAGGCTTGTCCTATGGCAGTAGCAGTGTTCCAAAATATAAACAGACTCTCATGAGGTCTCCTGAGGCTGGAGCTTGGTGCCGGTACACTGCTATTTCTACTGCATTCTGTTGGCCAAAGCAAGTCAAAAATCCAGCTGCTATTCAAGGAGTGGGAAATAGATCCCACTTCTTCATAGAAGGGATCACAAAAAAATATGTGCAAAGGGTATAGATACAGGGAGGAAAAAGATACAGCCACTTTTTACAATCTCTTTTACCCAGACAAAGAAGAAAAAAAAAACTATTGTGTTAATAAAGGGCAGGAAATGCAGCACATAATGTAATCACAAGTCTCAAAATCAAGTAAGTTCTCCACTTTGGAGAACAGTTTGACAGTTTCTTATACATACATTAACCATACTTTTACCCCCTGACCTAGCAATTCCATTTCTAAGTATTTACCCAAGAGAAATAAACACACATTTCCAAAAAGAAATATATACATGCATACAGAAATGTTCATTGCAGCTTTATTCATAATAGTCAAAAACTGGAAAAAATAAATAAAGTGTCCATCAACGGGTGAATTGTTAAAGCGCTGTATAGCTACACAATGGACCATGGCTCAGAAGTAATTTTAAAATGAACTAAGGACATAAATAACAATGCAGACGCATCTCAAAAACATTTCAATAAAAAGAAGCCAGACACAAAAGTGATCATTTTGTCTGGTTCCATTTATGTGAAGTTTGAAAACTGGCCAGACTGAGCTACGGTGTTAGAAATCAAAATCTCGGGAGAGGACGGATTGTTACTGGAAAAAGACATAAGGGAATGTACAGTGATAAAAGAGTTCTTATATCAATTGGAGCAGTGGTTACAAGGGTATAGAGCTTTGTTGGAAGACATAAAACTACATTTAAAATCTTTGCAATTTGGCCAGGCGTGGTAGCTCACACCTGTAATCTCAGCACTTTGGGAGCCCAAGGCAGGCGGATCACCTGAGGTCAGGAGTTCGAGACCAGCCTGGCTAACATGGTGAAACCCTGTTTCTACTAAAAATACAAAAAATTAGCCGAGAGTGGTGGCGTGCACCTGTAATCACACCTACTTGAGAGGCTGAGGCCGGAGAATCACTTGAACCCGGGAGGCATGGGTTGCAGTGAGCCGAGATCATGCCACTGCATTCCAGCTTGGGCAACAAGAGCAAAACTCCATCTCAAATAAAGAAATAAAAATAAATAAATAAATAAATAAATAAATACAAACCTTTGCAACGTATTGTATGCAAAATTGGACCCCAATTAATAATAATAATGAAAATGAAGTTGGGCTTCAAAATGCTTTCTTAGAAAGATTTGGAGGAGGCCAGGTGCCATGGCTCATGCCTATAATCCCAGCACTTTGGGAGGCCAAGGCAGGTGGATCATGAGGTCAGGAGTTCGAGACCAGCCTGGCCAACATAGTAAAACCCTGTCTCTACTAAAAAATACAAAAAATTAGCCGGACATGGTGGTGGGCGCCTATAATCCCAGCTACTCGGGATGCTGAGGCAGGAGAATCGCTTGAATCCAGGAGGCAGAGGGTACAGTGAGCCAAGATTGTGCCATTGTACTCCAGCCAGGTTGACAGTGCGAGACTCCGTCTCAAAAAAAAAAAAAAAAAAAAAGATTAAAAAGATTTGAAGGAACTGGCAGGGGTTTCAGGGTTTCACTGTGAGCATGAGACTCCATGAGTCACGGTATTAGGGAAGTGTGAGATTGGGAGATTGGGGGCCTGGGAGCCCTCAGGGAAACCTGTAAGCATTAATTGTGTCCTTACCTGACCCTGCTTCTACAGAAAGGAGTAGCATCCATTTACATGTTCAAGAGACAAGCAGGAAATATCAACTAAATGTGCATGTAAATTCATTCCAGCTTGCTGTGGCTATGGGGAATTTCGCCTTGAATGGGTCCAGCTTTATTTTCCCAGGATTTTGTTGGCAGGAGGTGGTTCAGACGCCACCTTCCTGGAGTCAGATGCCAGGAAGGAGAGTCAAGATCCGCAGGGAGGCTTCTGTAGATGTCAGACTCCACTAAGAAAGTTGTGAATCAGGTTCCCGGTGTTTATGCTGCATAGAAACCACTGATTCTCTCACTTAGAAAATCACTCGAAACACATCCAATTATTTGAGCAGAGAGATTAAGAAGCGCTCTGTGCAACTGAATTGTATCAATGAAAACGAACAGAAATCTTGGTGTAAAAACACTCCAGCTAGACCTTGGCTGAGTGGAGCAAATGCAGGGGCGGGGGGGGATCATGGAACACAGATCTCCTGCTTTGGGGACTTTTAAAATAATCTGTGGTCTTGTTTTGGAATGAAACATTTCTCCTTAAATACAACAGGATTCCGTTGGCCAAAGCAAGACAAAAATCCAGCTGCTATTCAAGGTGTGGGAAATAGATCTCATTTCTTCATGGAAGAGATCACAAAGGTAGTATGTGCAAAGGGTATGGATACAGGGAGGGAAAAAGAGATACCACCAAAAAGAGATACCAGCATGGTGGCTCATCCCTGTAATTCCAACACTTTGGAAGGCCGAGGCAGGCGGATCACTTGAGCTCAGGAGTTCGAGACCAGACTGGCCCACATGGCGAAATGCCATCTCTACTAAAAATACAAAAAAATTAACCAGGCATGGTAGGTCGTGCCTGTAATTCCAGCTACTCGGGAGGCTGAGGCACAAGAATGGTTTAGACCCAGGAGGCAGAGGTTGCAGTAAGCCAAGATTGCGCCACTGTGCTCCAGCCTGGGCAACAGAGCGAGATTCTGTCTAAAAAAAAAAAGAAGACGAAAATCTGGGTTGTCTCTAAGAAACCAAATGACGAATGGAAAACATGTTTTAATAATAGTTTGCATGTCATAAGCAGCCTACCTGCATTATTCTGACTCAATCTACTACAACCTATGGGGTAACTATTATTTCCTCCATTTCACAGATAAGAACACTGTGGCTCTGACTTGCTCAGTCTGTCTCATCCTTGGCCTATGCTTTCAACATTTAGCTAAGTGGGTTTTAGTTTCCTATAAGAAAGTAGTTTACATTTCCATTCTCTTTCGCAAATGATCTAAACATAATATTTCCGTATGCTAACTAAACATCCCACTTAATTGTGTACTTGGGTTTACAATAAATGACCCCAAGTTATATTACTTTACTTGTGGAGTGAATGGGAAGAAGAAAGAGGCAGGATGGGCATGTAAAGGATGCATTTGTGCCAGCAGGAATGCTTTGTTTTTCGTGATTCAGGAGAAAAGTGGAGGATGGGCTGAGTCATTGCAGACTCAGAAAGTGCCATGACAAGGCATCCACACTGCTTACAGAGATTGCACTTCTGTGCAGTTGTTTCATCCACATATGAAATTATTGCTGCTAATTTGGGTTTCCAAGTCCTCATAGTTTTGTTTGTATTAATTTGTCAATTTGCTTTCATCTTAGGGTTCAGATTTATGAGATATATAAGAAGTATGTTTGTAAGGAGTTTAAACCTATTCTCTTACATTGATTTGCAGTTATGTTGTATAATTAAATATACACATTAACATTTTAGGTCTACACACTTTTTCATCTGTGAAATGGGTCTCACTATTCCTCATATTGCAGAGTCTATCTTTAACTACTACTCCCCCACTACTTCTTGTTAAGTGCATAAATTTCTCATGTTTCATAAAGAACTATTACTAGCAAAGAAATGCAAATAAAAGGCAATATGACTTTCTCTGTGATATCTACAAGCGTGTGTGTGTGTGTGTGTGTGTGTGTGTGTGTGTGTGAATATGCATATGTGTGTGTATTTTTTTGTCTGTTTTTGAGATGGAGTCTCGCTCTGTCGCCCAGGCTGAAGTGCAGTGGTGTGATCTTGGCTCACTGCAACCTCTGCCCCCCGGGTTCAACCGATTCTCCTGCCTCAGCCTCCCAAGTAGCTGAGACTACAGGCATGTGCCACCACACCCGGCTAATTTTTGTATTTTTAGTAGAGACAGGGTTTTGCAGTGTTGACCAGGCTGGTCTCGAACTCCCGACCTCAGGTAATCCGCCCACCTCAGCCTCCCAAAGTGCTGGGATTGCAGGCGTGAGCCACCATGCCTGGCCATGTTTTTTTGTTTTTAATTAGTTAGAAGCCCTTTGTTTTTTGGAGGAAAAAAGTATATCCATCCATCCAATGCAGGTAAAATGTAAATCAGTACAACCTTTGGGGGGGTGCATTTGACAGCATGCATCATGAGCCTTAAAAATATATCACTTTTTGATGACATCGGCACTCTTCAAAATACATAGGATTACTTTTACTCCAGTATTTCACTGCTAGGAATTTATCTTGTGTAAATAACATGAAAAAGAAAGAAAGAGAGAGGGTGGGAGAAGGAGAGAGGGAGAGAGGAAAAAAATACAACCAGAATGTCTGGCAATGGGAGACTGTTTAAATGTTCCCTGGTAGAATATGAAATAGCTCTTTCATTTATTCATTCATTCATTCATTCATTTTGCGACAGGGTCTCATTATGTCACCCATGCTGGAGTGCAGTGGCACGATCATAGCTTACTACAGCCTCAAACTCTTGGGCTCAAGCAACCCTCCTGCCTCAGCCTCCCAAGTAGTTGGGACAACAGGCACACGCCACTACCCCTGGCTAAATATTTTTATTTTTTTAGAGGTGGGGGTCTCACTATGTTGTCCAGGCTGGTCTCTAACTCCTTGGCTCAAAGAAACCTCCCACTTCATCCTCCCAAGTAGCTGGGACTACAGGTACATGCCACCATGTCTGGTTAATTTTTTTAATTTTTATATAGCCCTTTTAAATGGTACTTAGTAAAGAATGTTTAACATCATGATGGAAAAGTAGTCCCAAATATAAAGAAAAAACATAGGATATTAAACATGTTTCGTTTTTTCTAAAGCATATATGTTTTTAAATGCAGAGAATGAAGACTGAATGAATTCATAGCAAAATGTCAATACAGATTATTGCTGAGTGGTAAGATAGCACTGATTTTATAGTCTTCATTTTGTTTTTAATGATTGTGTTTAATTGTCCTACTGTGGATGAATATTAATTTTGGAAGTCAGTAGTGTAAATAAACCCCAGTGTAAAACAAACTTGGGTTAAGTTTTCAGCTGCATTAATCTTTCCAGTGATCTTAAAAGAAGTTATTTAATGTTTGTAAATCTCAATTTCCTCATCAGTAAAATGGGCATAACATTCATGTCTATTTTTAAAACCTGTGAGTCATAAATGAGATAAATGACATAGTAAGGGATTTAGCATTGGGACTGGCAAACAGTATGAGTTCAATAAAAGTTATCTGTAATGGTCGGGCACAGTGGCTCACACCTATAATCCCAGCACTTTGGGAGGCCAAGGCTGGCGGATCACCAGAGGTCAGGAGTTCGAGACCAGTCTGATCAACATGAAGAAACCCCGCCTCTACTAAAAATACAAAATTAACCGGGTGTGGTGGCACATGCCTGTAATCCCAGCTACTCGAGAGGCTGAGGCAGGAGAATCACTTGAACCCGGGAGGCGGAGGTTGTGGTGAGCTGAGATCATGCCATTGCACTCCTGCCTGGGCAACAAGAGCGAAACTCCACCTCAAAAAAAAAAATTATCTGTAATGAGAAAATAATGATAAAAATGTTTTCTTTGTGTTAGCCATATATTTAAATAAACATTTCTACGGTTTCTAAGTGTGCTAATCAAACATTCAGCTTCCACTAGGAAATTCTGCTAGCGGGAAAAAAAAAAGAGAGAGAGAGAGAAGGAGAGAAATACATGACCCAGTGTATCTTTATTAGCCTTGTAATCTATGGATATTTCTTTGGAGCTGTGAAAGGCATTGTTAAGCCTTTATTAATCATAGGCCATTGAGTGTTTACCAGGGGCGATTCTTCCTCCCAGAGGACGTTTGGCAATGTCTGGAAACATTTTCCATTGTCACAGCAGGGGTGGAGGTGCTACTGGCATCTAGTGGGTAGAGGCCAGGGATACTGCTAAATATCCAAGGCACACGACAGCAACACAAAACAAAGAATTATCCACCCAAAATGTCAACAGTGCTGAGGTTGAGAAGCTGCTCGTAGCGGCATTATGTACAACCTGACTGCGGAGGAGTGTGTAACAAAGTGAGCTTATTGCCTTCCTGCTTTTTCATCCATTGTATGTTTGTGTATGAAACTGAAGTGGAAACATTTTGGAAACACCTCCTCAGCCCACCCCACATAGAATATTCTTTCTCTTTCTCAACCCAATAGATCTCAGGTCCTATTGTGCACCAAATCTCTTTATCAGGGTTAAAAGACGAAGAAACACACAAGCAACTCATTGAAAGCCAGGGTAAGTTAGAGGTAGTAGGGTGAAGGTTAAGAGCTTGACTTTTGGAGTCTGACCAATGTAAGTTCAAAAGTCACTTTCCTCACCTGCTACCCATGTGATTCTGGGTAGAATTTTTTTTTTTTTACTTCTCCACAAGTTAGTTTCCTTAAATAAAAAACGGAACTAACCACACCTAGGATCACAAGGTTATGAGAATTAGATGTGAAAAGATAACGTAAAGCCTTTAACCCAGAGGCAGATTATGGGAGGAATTCAACAAACTGAAATAAAAGTAGGAGAAGGAAAAGAGAAAAGAAGGACTCTTAACAGTTCCTTTACTACAGAGCTGGGTTTGGTAAGCACTTCAGAATGCCTATTAAAGCCTAATGCGTTTGACCTGAAAGCCAGCAGCAACTCAACTTAACAGACAATGTACTTGATCAAACAAATCACAAGGAAGATGACAAATACAAGTTGCTGGACAAACCTGTTTTCTAAAAGAACAGATGCTGAAGCAATGATCCTAGGTGCCAAGAAAGGAATTCACAGGACCATGCTTTGCCAACAAATAAGTTATCGGATCAGAAGTAATTGTCACTGGTTCATCGGTGTCAAAAGTCAACTCCAAATTGCAAAGCTGGAAAACATCTTTGCAACATGTATGACAGACGCCTAATAGCCTATATAAAGAGAACTTACAGATGGAAAATCCTCAAAATAAAGGCAATACCCGTAAAAAGAAATATAAAAGGCTGATCAATAGATGCCATGATGTTCAGCTTATTGGCGAAGCTGCCCCATTTCACAGCTTCGGGGGGGGTGTCTATTTGGAAACAGACACTCCAAATAGAGAACTGTGAAACTGGCAGCCTGCCTGACCATATTCAGTGCCCCTGCTTAGTAAACAACAACAATAAGTAAAACAATGAGAATATTGTAATACAGTTGTCCCTCCATATCCCTGGGGGATTGGTTCCAGGACCTCCCACGGATACCAAAATCCACAGATGCTCAAGTTCCTGACAGAAAAAGGTGTATTTGGCAGGCCAAGGTAGGCGGATCACTTCAGCTCAGGAGTTCCAGCATAGTCTAGACAACATGGCGAAACCTCATCTCTACAAAAAGTACAAATATTAGCTCAGCATGATGGCGTCCCCCTGTAGTCCCTGCTACTTGGGAGGCTGAGGTGGGAAGATGGCTTAAGCCCAGTAGGTGGAGATTGCAGTGAGTCAAGATCTTGCCACTGCACTCCAGCCTGGGCAACAGAAACACACCCTGTCTCAAAAAACAAAAGAAAAAGGTATATTTGCATACAGCTTATGTACATCCTCCTGTACACATTAAGTTACCTGTAGATTACTTATAACACCTAAGCCTATATAAATAGTTGTTGTACAGTATTATTCAGGAAACGACAAGAAAGAAAGTCAGTACATGTTCACTGCAGATGCATTTTTTTTTTTTTTAAACAGAGTTTCACGCTTGTTGCCCAGGCTGGAATGCAATAGCGCAATCTCTGCTCAACACAACCTTCGCCTCCCGGGTTCAAGTGATTCTCCTGCCTCAGCCTCCTGAGTAGCTGGGATTACAGGCATGTGCCACCAAGCCCGGCTAATTTTTTTGTATTTTTAGTAGAGGCGGGGTTTCTCCATGTTGGTCAGGCTGGTCTCGAACTCCTGACCTCAGGTGATCCGCCCACCTCAGCCTCCCAAAGTGCTGGGATTAAAGGCGTGAGCCACTGCGCCCGGCAATCATCTTTTTTTTTTTTTTTTCAAATATTTTCAGTTGAGTTGAGTTAATCCATGGATACAGAATCCGCACGTACGTAGGGCCAACCGTCCTGAGAGGAATTTTTTTTTTTTTTTTTTTTTTGAGACAGGGTCTCATTCTCTCACCCAAGCTACAGTGCAGTAGCATCATCATGGCGCACTGCAGCCTCAACTTCCCAGTCTCCCGCAATCCTCCCATCTCAGTCTCCCAAGTAGCTGGGACCACAGGCATGCACCACCATGCCAAGCTAATTTTTGTATTTTGGGTAGAGACAGAGTTTTGCCATGTTGCCCAAGCTGGTCTCAAACTCCTGAGCTCAAGCAATCCTCCCACCTTGTCCTCCCAAAGTGCTGGACTTATAGGCATGAGCCACTGCACCTGGCCTACCTGGGGGGATTTTTAAAAGCATCTTTATTGACATGTAATTAACATACAATAACTACACATATTGAAAAGGTACAATTTGTTTTGTTCTGTTCTATGTATATGACCATGAAATCATCACCACAAATCAATATAGTAACCATATCCATTAGTCCAAAAGATTTCTTTGTAATTACTTTATTTTGTTCCTCCCGCCGATTACCAGGCAACCACTGGTCTGCTTTACTATAGATTAGTGTCATTATAGGTTAGTGTCACTAAATGGAGATTAGTGTATACTTCTTAGTGTTTATACAAATGGAATCAAATGGCATGTACTCTTTGTTGTCTGGCATCTTTCACTCAGCATAATAATTTTGAGAATCACTAATGTCATTGCATGTATCAATAGTTCATTTACTTTTATTGCTGAGTGCTATTCCATTGTATGGATGTACCACAATTTGTTTATCTATTAAGTTGTTGACGGACATATGGTTTATTTTCAGTTTGAAGTTATTACAATTAAAACCACTATAAACATTTGTGTACAACTCTTTGTATGGACATCTATTTCCTTTTCTCTTGGATAAATACCAAGGCATGAAATGGCTAGATCATAGGGTAGATGGACATTGAACTTTTAAAGAAACTGTCAAACTATTTTCCAGAATGGTTGCAACATCTTTCTTTCCTACCAGTGGTATATGAGAGTTCCAGTCCCTCCACATTCTTTTTCTTTCTTTCTTTTCTTTTCTGAGATGAAGTTTCATTCTTGTTGCCCAGGCTGGAGTGCAACGGCACCATCTCAGCTCACCACAACCTACGCCTCCCAGGTTCAAGTGATTCTCCTGCCTCAGCCTCCTGAGTAGCTGGGATTACAGGCATGCGCCACCATGCCCAGCTAATTTTGTATTTTTAGTAGAGACAGGGTTTCTCCATGTTGGTCAGGTTGGTCTCAAACTCCCGACCCCAGGTGATCCACCCACCTCGGCCTCCCAAAGTGCTGGGATTACAGGCATGAGCCCCCATGGCAGCTTTTTTTTTTGAGATAGAGTCTCAGTCTGTCACCCAGGCTAGAGTACAGTGGTGCAATCACGGCTCACTGCAACCTCCTCCACCTCCCAGTTTCAAGCGATTCTCCAGCCTCAGCCTCTCGAGTAGCTGGGATTACAGGAGCACACAACCATGCCAAGCTAATTTTTAAATTTTTAGTAGAGATGGGGTTTCACCATGTCAGCCAGGCTGGTCTTGAACTCCCAACAAATGATCCACCCACCTTGGCCTCCCAAAGTGCTAGTATTACAGGTGTGATCCATTGTGCCTGGCCAAGTCCCTCTACATTCTTGCCTACTCTTGGTATGGTTAGCATTTTAATTTTACCAGAAAATATCATGAATAATAAGGTAATATATAATATTTTGAACTATAAGATTTGCAAAAGAATTTCCATTGTTAATAACCAGTGTTGGTAACATATAGAAGAAAGCACTCTTATATACTGATGTTAGAAATGTAAATTAGCACAATTTTCTGAGAGCCAGCTTGGCAGTGTATATCAAATGGCTTGAAGTCTTTTTTGTTTTATTGGGCAATTCCACTTCTGGGAATTTATCCTAAAAAAAATAAGAATGCGTGCAAATATATATAGACAATGCTATTCACCTCATTGATGTAATAGTATAAACATGAAATCATGGAGACATAATCAATAGAGATGTATGGGATTGATACACCCATCCCTGGAATAGTGTGCAGTGGTTAAAAAATTATCTTGCAGAAAAGTATTTGTCGGAAATTTTTCATCACAACAAAAGTTGAGATAAATTTCGCAAACACTGTGTGTGATGTGACATCTGTGAGGCTGCTGTGCCTACAGGTAAACATGGGCACTGGGATGGCCTGGGTTCAAATCCCAGCTCTGACACATGATGTAGAAGCCCTACGACACAACCTTTCCCACTGTAAAGTGGTCATAATAGCATTCCTTTCTTTCAGAAGCCAAGATAAATGAGAAAAAGCACAGTGGGCTTGGCACAACCTCAGAGAGATCTTGGCTTTGTTTGTTTTTTTTGTTTTGTTTTGGGGTTTTTTTTCGGGGCGGGGGTTGTTTGTTTTTTGTTTTGAGACAGGGTCTCACTCTGTCTCCCACACTAGAGTGCAATGGCATGATCTCAGCTTGCTACAACCTCTGCCTCCCAGCCTCAAGCAATTCTTCTGCCTCAGCCTCCCAAATAGCTGGGACTACAGGTGCGCACCACCGTGCCTGGCTAATTTTTGTATTTTTGGTAGTGACAGGGTTTTACCATGTTGGCCAGGCTGGTCTTGAACTCCTGGCCTCAAGCGATTCTCCCACCTCGGCCTCCCAAAGTGCTGGGATTACAGGCGTGAGCCACCGTGCCTGGCCTAGTTTGTTTGTTTGTTTGTTTGTTTGTTTGAGACGGAGTTTCGCTCTTGTTGACCAGGCTGGAGTGCAATGGCACGATCTCGGCTCCCTGCAACCTGCACTTCCCAGGTTCAAGCAATTCTCCTTCCTCAGCCTCCTGAGTAGGTGGGATTACAAGCACCTGCCACCACCATGCCTCGCTAATTTTTTTTGTATTTTTAGTAGAGTCGGGGTTTCACCATGTTGGCCAGGCTGGTCTTGAACTCCTGACTTCAGGTGATCTGCCCGCCTCGGTCTCCCAAAGTGCTGGGATTACAGGTGTGAGCCACCGTACCCAGCCTTGTTTGTTTTTAAATAATGATTTTACATATACTGTTCTAAATGCTGGCCTTATTTTCACTATTAATCTTGATCTATATTTGTATTCTCTGAAAATAAAGATCACTATTAACAGTGGTTGTTTTGCAGATACAGGGTTTTTGGTAATTTTTTTTCTTTTCATTTATCAGTGTTTGCTAAACATTCTCTCTAAACTCACACTAGTTTTGTTATTAATAACTGTATATCAACCAGAGGTAGAATTTATTTGCATATTTTTCCTCTGGGATATTTTTCCTTTCTTATGTTTTTCCATTAAATACAGATTAAAATGTTTAAAGTTAAAAAATCTTAAAGGTAAATACAGAATTAGAACATAATTCAGCAATCCCACTCCTAGATATATATATCTAAAAGAATTGAAAACTGGGACTCAGATATTTGTACATCAGTATTTATATCCACATCATTCCCAATAGTCAAAAGGTAGAAACAACCCAAATATCCATCATTAGATTAATGAATTAACAAAAACGCAGTACATATATATAATGAAACATTATTCAACATTAAAATGCTACAACATGACCAGCATGGTGGCTCACGCCTGTTATCCCAACACTTTGGGAGGCCGAGGGAGGCGGATCACTTGAGGTCAGAAGTTCGAGACCAGCCTGGCCAATCTGGTGAAACCCCATCTCTACTAAAAATACAAAAATTAGCCGGGCATGGTGGCATGCACCTGTAATCCCAGCTCCTCAGGAGGCTGAGGAAGGAGAATCACTGGAAGCTGGGAGGCAGATGTTGCAGATTGTGCCGCTGCACTCCAGCCTGGGTGACAGAGTGAGACTCAGTCTCAAAAGATAAATAAAATAAAATGCTACAACATGGATGAACCTTGAGGACATTATGCCAACTGAAATAATATTTAAATTTTTTGCCAATATTTCAAAATAAAAAGCTGTGATATAAAAACCTAGTTTCCAGGCTTTTCTTGAAAAATTAAGGCTGGGTGCGGTGGCTCATGCCTATAATCCCGGCACTTTGGGAGGCCGAGGCAGGAGGATTGCTTGAGTCCAGGAGTTCAAGACCAGCCTGGGCAACATAGTAGGACCTAGCCTGTACAAAAAATAAACAAAATTAGCTGGGCGTGGTGGTGCGTCTGTAGCCCCAGCTACTTGAGAGGCTGAGGTGGGAGGATCGCTTGAGTCCAAGAGGTTGAGGTTGCAGTGAGCTGAGATCACACCACTGCACTCCAGCCTGGGCAACAGAGCGAGACTCTGTCTCAAAAAAAAAAAAGAATGAAAGAAAGAAAAAGGCCGGGCGTGGTGGCTCATGCCTGTAATCCCAGCACTCTGGGAGACCGAGGTGGGCAGATCACCTGAGGTCGGTAGTTCAAGACCAGCCGATCAACATGGTGAAACCCCATCTCTAATACAAATACAAAAAAATTAGCCGGGCGTGGTGGTGCATGCCTGTAATCTCAGCTACTCAGGAGGCTGAGGCAGGAGAATCGCTTGAACCCGGGAGGCGGAGGTTGCAGTGAGCCAAGATCGCGCCATTGTACTGCAGCCTGGGCAACACGAGCAAAACTGTCTCAAGAGAAAAAAGAAAGAAAGAAAAAGAAAATTAGAAGATTGGACACACCCTGGGCCTCCATGAAAACTAAAAGCTACAGGAAATATCCTTTATGTTATGTTACCTAATTCATAGCCTTTGTCACACTGTGGTACAAACTATGTGTTAGCCTGTCTCTGTACCTCTAGTCTAATGAGGATATTTTGAGGGTATCCCCTCATTCCTCTCATCCCAGTTCCTGACACAAAGGATAAATGTTTGTTGAAAAACGAATGGTTGGAAATTACAGTTGGTTTCAAATACATAATTAGTTGAAGCTAAGTCAACTTAAAGACAGAAGGCTCTATTTTGTTAATAAAGGTGTCAGCAAGGCATAGCACTACATAGTTGGTAAGAACATAAATCAGTCATCTTTGGAGGACTTCTGTGAGGTCTGTCAACATTTTAAAGCTGCATACTCTTTGACCTGATTATTCTGTTTAGAGGAATTATCAGACAGATACAATAGCATATGGGCATTTGCACACAAAGCTATGAACAAGAATAATTATAGCAATATTATTTGTAGAAGCTGGCAGCAATCTGAATGTCTATCAATAGGGGACTGAGTAAATAAGTGATCTATCTGTACAGGAGAATACAGTATTCTGCAGCTCGAAAGAGTCTATCTGTGCAGATACACAACTATCTCCATGGTTAGGTAAAAAAGACGAGATGTAGAAATATGTGCAGTGTAGCCCCCATTTGTGTATGAAAGGGTGTGTGTGCCTCTGTGTGTGCATGCGCACTTATATTTGCTAATATATGTGTAAAGCAAGGTTTCTCAACCTTAGCACTGCTGACATTTTGCACCAGATAATTTTTTGCTACGGGCAGCTGTCCTGTGCAAGATTTCCTGTAACTGCTTGTCTGTGGAGATGAAAACTAAGAGATCACAACCAAAAAGACAGAGGGAAACCATTTTCACCTGTCGAAATTTTAACTTTTTTTTTTTTTTTTGAGACAGAGTTTTGCTCTTGTCCCCCAGGCAGGAGTGTAATGGCACGATCTTGGCTCACTGCAACCTCCGCCTCCTGGGTTCAAGCTATTCTCCTGCCTCAGCGTCCCAAGTAGCTGGGATTACAGGCATGCGCCACCACGCCCGGCTAATTTTTTTGTATTTTTAGTAGAGACGGGGTTCCTCCATGTTGGTCAGGCTGGTCTCGAACTCCCGACCTCAGATGATCACCTGCCTCGGCTTCCCAAAGTGCTGGGATTACAGGCATAAGCCACGGTGTCTGGCCTGAAATTTTAACTTTTAGAACATGAATATTATAAAACAGTTTCATTTACATTTTACTGTGGTGTTCAGATACCTCCAGGACCACTTAAGAAAATACGAAAAACTCTACATGTTGGCAAGGAATTCCCTTCTCTCTTTTTGGTCTATTTATTAAAATAACTACATAAACCATAGATTACATGATCTCATCCAATTTGCCCCTTTGCCAGGTGGGAAAACTGATTCCAGAAAAGGAAAAAGTCCCGGCTGGGCGTGGTGGCTCATTCCTGTAATCCCAGCACTTTGGGAGGCCAAGGTGGGCATATCACTTGAGGCCAGGAGTTTGAGAACAGCCTGGCCAACATGGCGAAACCCCGTCTCTGCTAAAAATAAAAAACCTAGCAGGGCATGGTGTTGAGTGCCTGTAATCCCAGCCACTAGGGAGGCTGAGGCAGGAGGATTGCTTGAACCCGGGAGGTGGAGGTTACAGTGAGCCGAGATCACGCCACTACACTCCAGCTTTGGTGACAGTAAGTCTCCATCTCAAAAAAAAAAAAAAGTCCTAAGGCCATCGATGATGGGTGATCAAACCACAGCTAGCACCCGGATCCCCCAAGCCCCAGGCTTGCTGGGACTTGCACATCTAGGTCTCCACTATAGAAAGCAGACCTTTACCATGAGCTAGCAACTCAAGAAAATGACGCCTGTCACCCCGAGGCAGAACGACAGCTGCTTCCCAGCCAGCCAATGTCTATCTTTGTTCTGGGACATTTGAAGTTGTGCAATGATGGCTTCGCTCCAGCCTAGAGACCTGGCAGGTGCCTCGTTTTATCTGGAAACTTTGCCTTTGCTGTGGCCGACTGACAGTCCTCAAGGCAACTTCCATGTTCCCTGGGGGAAAGAACTCGATTGTTCTAGTTTCCAGCAGGCATTCATCTCTTGTTGGATCAGCTATCAACTGGGTTATGAAGAACAAATATGGCTTCCAGGGACTCCCTTTAGCTGTGGACTCAGTGGACTCAGGGCAGGGGTAGAAGAACGATTGTGAGCTGAGGTGGAAACTTTGCATCTAATCTCACCTTTTTGTCCACAAGAGGGTCACAGTCTCTGTGCTGTTCACCTGCTGATTAATCTTTTGGTGAATTATCTAGGAATTGTAAGTAATATTTGTATGGTGCTATAGAAAGTGCTTCCGCCTGCAATCATATTGTCATAGAAACCCTACCAGAAAAACTATGAACACACGCTTTACAGATGAGGATATAGCTTCAGAAAGGTGCATTAACCTTACCCACCATCACACAGTTAAATGATGAAGTGAGGTGTGGAAACCAAGATCGACTGAGTCTTTGTCCTTTAAGATCCTTCATGGAAATCTCACCATTCACCAGAAAGAATCCTATTAAAATAATGGCCGGGCTCAGTGGCTCACGCCTGTAATCCCAACACTTTGGGAAGCCGAGGAGGGTGGACCACCTGAGGTCAGGAGTTCAAAACCAGCCTGGCCAACAGGGTGAAATCCCATCTCTACTAAAAATACAAAACTTAGCTGGACATGGTGGCAAACGCCTGTAATCCCAGCTACTCAGGAGACTGAAGCGCAAGAATCACTTGAACCTGGGAGGCGGAGGTTGCAGTGAGCTGAGATCACACCACTGTACTCCACCGTGAGTAAGAGAGTGAGACTCAGTCTCAGATAAATAAATAAATAAATAATAACCTCCTAATTAAGAATTTTAAAAAAAATTTTTTTTGAGACAAAGTCTCACTGTTCACTGTGTCACCCAGGCTGGAGTGCAGTGATGATCATAGTTCATTGCAGCCTTTAACTCCTAGGCTTAAGCAATCCTCCCACCTCAGCCTCCGGAGTAGCTGGGAATACAGGTGTGCACCACCATCCCTGGCTAATTATTTTAACTTTCGTTTTTGTAGAGATGGAGTCTGGCTGTGTTGCCCAGGCTGGTCTCAAACTCCTGGACTAGGATCCTTCTGTCTCAGCCTCCCAAAGTGCTGAGATTTACAGGAGTGAGCCACCGCACCTGGCCTAAATTTTTGTTTTGTTTCCTTTTGTTTTGTTTGAGACAGAGTCTCGCTCTGTCATCCAGGCTGGAGTGCGGTGGTACCAGTCTCAGCTTACTGCAACCTCTGCTTCCCAGGCTCAAGAGATCCTCCCACCTCAGGCTCCCAAGTAGATGGGACCACAGGTGTGCACCAGCACACCTGGCTAACTTTTTGTATTAAAAAAAATACAAAAACTAGAGACGGGGTATTTCCATGTTGCCCAGGCTGGTCTTGAACTCCTGGGCTCAAGCAATCTGGCCACCTCAGCCTCCCAGAGTGTGGAAATTACAGGCATGAGCCACCGTGGCGGCCTCTGAATTTGTTTTAAGCCACTAAGTTTGTGGCAATCTCTTACAGTAGCAATAGGAAACTAATAGAGTAGCTTATTTCATCCTCAACCATTCTATGAGGTATGCCGTATTCTCCCCATCTTGCACAAGAAAAAGGCTCAGTAAAAGTTAAGACCACTGTCCAAGGTCCCAGCTAGAAAGTGGTGGTGGTGCTTAAAATTAATCCCAAGTTTTTCTGAAGTTCAAGCCCAAGCTTTCATTATGCCTCCCAGTTATCTAGGGTTATTTCACTTCCACCTGTGTGCTCCCAGGAAATAGCCTTACTTCTCTTTTGTTTTTTGTTTTTTTTTCTGAGACAGAGTCTCGCTCTGTCACCCAGGCTGGAGTGCAGTGGTGGCTCCATCTCGGCTCATTGCAACCTCTGCCTCCCGGGTTCAAGCAATTCTCCTGCCTCAGCCTGCCACCACTTCTGGCTAATTTTTGTATTTTTAGTAGAGACAGGGTTTCACTATATAGGCCAGGCTGATCTCGAACTCCTGACCTTGTGATTTGCCTGCCTCGGCCTCCCAAAGTGCTGGGATTACAGGCGTGAGCCACCTCGCCCGGCCATAGCCTTAACTTCTTGAAGTAACTCTCTCAAGCGGCTGAACAGATTCACCGTGTCTTCCATCTACTGAGCTACTCTCTACTGTGCTCTGATATAGCTACGACACTTTTGGTTGTACATGAAGAAACCTAGTTGAACTAGCAGAAGTAAAAAGGGAGAATTTATAACAAGAACAAAAAGATATCTCATGAAGCCCAAGTCCAGGAAGGTGATTAGGCCTTAGGAAGGACTGAAACCAGGAGATGGGAAGCTAAAAAGAACCTGACCAGGCTGGGCATGGTGGCTGAATGCCTGTAATCCCAGTGTTTTGGGAGGCTGAGGCAGGAGGCCAGGGATTCAAGATCAGCGTTAGCAACATAGAAAGTTCCTATATCTACAACAAAATAAGTAAATGAACAAAATAAAATAATCCAACCAGCAAGACCTTCTGTTTTTCTTCTTTTTTTTTTTTTCCTTTGAGATGGAGTCTTGCTCTGTCACCCAGGCTGGAGTGCAATGTGCAATCTCAGCTCACTGCAACCTCCGCCTCCCGGATTCAAGCGATTCTCCTGCCTCAGCCTCCCAAGTAGCTGGAATTACAGGCATGCGCCACCACATCCGGCTAATTTTTGTATTTTTAATAGAGACGGTGTTTCAACCTGTTGGCCAGGCTGGTCTCAAACTCCTGACCTCAGGTGATCTGCCCGCCTCAACCTCCCAAAGTGCTGGGATTACAGGTGTGAGCCACCATGCCCGGCCTGGCCTTCTGCTTTTCCATTCCTGCTTCTCTGCATCTTGGCCTCATTCTTTTCACTGTAGATTGACTTTCTCTGTCGGTGCATTGTCATGGTGGAAAATGTCTACCTTTGTGCTCAGATTTATACCTTACAGATCCAACTATTCAAAGAGGCCGACTGACAGTCCTCAAGGCAACTTCCATGTTCCCTGGGGTAGAGAACTCGATTGTTTTGGTTTCCAGCAGGCATTCATCTCTTGTTGGATCAGCTATCAACAGGGTTATGAAGAACAAATATGGCTTCCAGGGACTCCCCTTAGCTGAGACAGTGGACTCAGGGCAGGGATACAAGAAACACTGAGCCGAGCTGATATCGCAAAAGATAAGTACCTCACATTTATTTTCTCCAAGTTTTGCCAAAAAGCAATAGAGATAATAAGGCACCTTCTTCCACACGGAAGACCTTCAGTGGTTTCCCAAAGCTTTCTTCCCTTGTGGTCATCTCTTTTCCTGGGAAACTCCCTAAATCCTTCAGCCATTCCTCATTATGACATAGTTCCCAGATCACTCATCAACTCGCCTCTTCCCCTACCGCCCCCTCAACCTATGAAACTTTGGCAGGATCCTCATTAAAAATTGTACTTTGTTTCCATAACGAACCTCCATTCTGCAAACATGGGTTGCCTAGCTCATTCAAATTGTTTTCTTTCTTTATTGTCCTTGGAGCCCACAAGGCATATCCTGACTCCATTAATGCAGCCTAAGATTCTTTGCTTGTCGGCAGCTGTATGCATCTGGCTCAAATTGAACTTGTGGCCAACGAGAAGCCCCAGAACTACTTCCCAGGAACTGCTGTCTGGCCAAGTCTCCCCATTCCCAGAAGTGAATAATTGATGCCAGAATCCACATCAATCCCTGGTAAATGCTCTCTTATTTCTTCCAATCCTTCATTTGAAGCTATGGAGACCATTGTGAATCTTGATCCTGTAATACCAATATTTTGTCTCCTAGAAATTGCATCTGAAAACCTTAATTCTTTAGTCCTGAATCAAAATGATATCCAGGATAGATCAAAGACAGGGTCCCAGGGCACACCCCTGGAGACCTTCTAGGTTTCCATGACTCTATTAATCAACATCAAATAACTGAAAATGTACTGCCAGTATTTTATGAACCTTTCATTCCTGGAACAGGAAAGGTGGCTGCCCAAATTCCTCAAATATTTTAGATGTTTAATTTTTATAAGGACAGAGAACATCTAGTATGATTATAATCTAGGGCATTAAGACTATGGGAAGCCTCTGAAAATCTTCTTTAATTTGGATGAATCATAATAACTGTCACTGAGTAAGCACTTACTAGGATTACTGAATTTACTTCTCACATCAACCCAGAGGAATTCATATTTCCATTTTATAAGTGTGTAACCAAGGTTACACAGAAGTCAGTTGGTGGAGCTGGAATTTGAACACAGGCTGTTGATTCATAGCCTAAATGTTTAAGCCTTACACCACGGGTGGATTTTTTTTTTTTTCTGTAAAGGATCAGACAGTAAATATTTTAGTCATTGGAGCCCATCCAGTCTCTGCCATTGTAGAGTAAAAGCAATCAGAGACAATATATAAATGAGTGTAGCTGTGTTCAAATTAAAAATCTTATTTATAAAAACAGGCAGTGTGACAGGTTTGGCCCCCAGACTGGAGTTTGCTAGGCCATCTTAGAATGTTCTTGCTTCCCCATCTGCATAGCAAAATCCTACTCAAATATGCAGCTCAAACATGATCTTTAAGTTACAAAACTAGGCAGCAACCTGGATTGACCTGTGGGCTGACCTCTGCCCTACACCAGCATGCCTCCCGACTTTGGATCTCACTGAAGAACTGTGAGGCTAAATGGAAATCCGAATCAGAGCCAGCAAGACTGACACCTTTCCCTTTTTTTTTTTTTTTTTTTGAGACGGAGTCTCCCACTATTGCCAGGCTGGAGTACAATGGTGTGATCTCGGCTCACTGCAACCTCTACCTCCCAGGTTCAAGCAATTCTCCTGCCTCAGCCTCCTGAGTAGCTGAGACAACAGGTGCACGCCACCAGGTCCAGTTAGTTTTTGTATTTTTAGTAGAGATGGGGTTTCACCATGTTGGCCAGGATGGTCGCGATCTCTTGACCTCATGATCCGCTCGCCTTGGCCTCCCAAAGTGCTGGGATTATAGGCATGAGCCACTGCACCTGGCCAACACCTTTTAAAATACATAAAGATTCACTCATTCTCTTTTTTTTTTCGTTTTTTTGTTTGTTTGTTTGTTTGGTTGTTTTTTCAGACAGAGTCTCACTCTGTCACCCAGTCTGAAGGGCAGTGGTACAATCTCAGCTCACTGCAGCCTCCGCCTCCCAAGTTCAAGTGATTCTCATGCCTCAGCCTCCCGGGTAGCTGGGATTACAGGCGTGTGACACCATGCCTGGCTAATTTTTGTAGTTTGGGTAGAGAAGGGGTTTTACCATGTTAGCCAGGCTGGTCTCAAACTCCTGATCTCGCACCCGCCGTGGCCTCCCAGAGTGCTGGGATAACAGGCGTGAGCCACCGCGCCCAGCCCAATCATTTTCTATTTAATACTTCCCTGAACAGTAGTGATTCCCTGTGAGGCTGTTTTGCTACCTTTTCCAAAAACTCCCCAAAATAAATTAATAAATTTATAACAATCCAACACATGCACACGCACACACACACCTGTGCTCTGAGTCCTGGCATATGTTTTCAGGCACCAAGAGCTTCCTAGCAGCCATGCATTTGTGTCCTGTAGCAGAAGTTTGTTCCCAAAGTGCTGGAAGTATCAGTTTGTGATTTGCCAGGATGAAAAAGGCAGTACGGAGGTGTCTTACTGGATGTTAGGATGCAAGCATTCAAGGATATGGTCCAGGAATCAGAGAGTAAAGATTAATTCAGGCTTAATGGAGGAGGTTGTAACCAATCCTGCAACCAGAAAAGAAGTCACACACAATTGTGAAGAGTAAGTGAAAGATACCAGGACCAGGCTGAGCGCTGAGGCTCACGCCTGTCATCCCAGGACTTTGGGAGGCTGAGGCGGGCAGATCACCTGAGGTCAGGAGTTAGAGACCAGCCTGGCCAACATGGCAAAACCCCGTCTCTACTAAAAATACAAAAAAATTAGCCGGGCGTGGTGGCAGTCGCCTGCAGTCCCAGCTACTCGGGAGGCTAAGGCAGGAGAATCACTTGAAGCCTGGAGGCGGAGGCTGCAGTGTGCTGAGATCACGCCATTGCACACTCCAGCCTGGGCAACAGAGCAGGACTCCGTATCAAAAAAAAAAAAAAAAAAAGATATGAGGACCAAAGCCCCATTATGAACTCGAGCAACTTGAAAAGAACAAAACAGGCATTTAATGCTGGTCCAGAGAAGACTACTGTTTCTAGAGACACTAATTTTCTTGTTAATGGGAAATGCAAACATTTGCAATTCACTGTGCACTTTGCAGGAAGACTATAATAGGCCAGCTTGTATGAATTTAACCTATATGTTTCAGTGTCAACAGTTTCCAGGCAAGCTGTGCGGGGATGGTTTAAAATTTTAAAATAGAGAAAATATAAACAGTAACAATTGAATGTTTTTAAAGACACAAGAAGGAAGCATAGGTCATAATAACAGAAGCCCTGGGCATCTTTTAGCATGATTTTTTGTATTTTTAATGCTAAAAAAGATTTATTTGTTGCCGAATAGCTTTAACAGAAGTGCTATGGCAGAGTGGTTAAGAAAACAGGAGCTAAAATTAGACAGATATTGCCGAGCACAGTAGCTCACACCTGTAATTCCAGCACTTTGGGAGGCTGAGGCGGGTGGATCACCTGAGGTCAGGAGTTCGAGACCAGCCTGGCCAACATGGTGAAATCCTGTCTCTATTAAAAATTCCAAAAATTACCCAGACGTGGTGGTGCGTGCCTGTAATCCCAGTTACTCAGGAGGCTGAGGCAGAAGAATCACTTCAACCCAGGAGGCAGAGGTTGCAGTGAGCCGAGATTGTGCCACTGCACTCCAGCCTGGGCAACAGAGCGAGACTCCGTCTCTTAAAAAAAAAAGACCTTAAATTCTAGATCAGTGCAATTTTGCCCCCTTGCCCCAGAAGACATTTGGTAATATCTGGAGACATTTTTTATTGTCCAGCTGGCGGGGGGCAAGGAGAAGCTGCTGGTGGCATCCAGTGAGTGAAGGCCGGGGACACACTACATACAGACCCTGTCAGGCACAGAACGGCCCCTGGAACAAAAAGTTACCTGGTCCCAACTGTCAATAGTGTTGAGAGTGACAGCTCCTATTCTACCCTGTTCTAGAAGGGGAGGGGAAAAACAATGCTAGAATTAAATAGAAAAGACAATTCCAGATACTGCTCAGTGCTGCGAAGCCACTGAAGCAGGGCAGGGGACATCAGGGAAGGCTCCTGGAGGAAGTGACATTTTTGCTGAACAGGAACAGTTAGAAAAGAGCCAGGCAGGCCAGGCGCGGTGGCTCATACCTGTAATCCCAACACTTTGGGAGGTCGAGGCAGGTAGATCACGAGGTCAGGAGATTAACACCATCCTGGCCAACATGGTGAAACCCCATCTCTACTAAAAATACAAAAATTAGATGGGTGTGGTGGTGCGAACCTGTAGTCCCAGCTACTCGGGAGGTTGAGGCATGAGAATCACTTGAACCCAGGAGACAGAGGTTGCAGTGAGCTGAGATCCCGCCACTGCACTCCAGCCTGGCAACAGAGCAAGATTCTGTCTCAAAAAAAAAAAAAAAAAAAAAAAAAAAAGAGCCAGGCAAAGCTCTGGGGGCAGAACTGTAGAGGCCCAGGGAAAAGCAAGGGCAAAAAACCCTGAGGCCAGACCAAGTTGCAGTGAACAGAGGCAGATGCACGTGCGCTACCATGCCCAGCTAATTTTTGTATTTTTAGTAGAGATGGGGTTTTACCATGTTAAGAAAATAAAATATCCAGTTCTCCCCAGTCATTCCCAGGGTGATTAAGGTGGGGAAGGGTCAGAGTGAGCTGGCAATTTTGATGTTTGAAAGTTCTGGCTGGGCACAGTGGCTCAAACCTGTAAACCCAGCACTTTGGGAGGCCAAGGCGGGCAGACCACTTGAGCCGAAGAGTTTGAGACCAGCCTGACCAACATGGTGAAACCTCATCTCTATTTTAAAAAATACAGCCGGACACGATGGCTCACACCTGTAATCCCATCACTTTGAGAGGCCCAGGCGGGTGGATCACTTGAGGTCAGGAGTTTGAGACCAGACTGGCCAACATGGTGAAACCTTGTCTCTATTAAAAACAGAAAAATTAGCCGGGCATGGTGGTGCACGCCTGTAATCCCGGCTACTTGGGAGGCTGAGGCAGGAGAATTGCTTGAACCTGGGGGATGGAAGTTGCAGCAAGCCGAGATTGCACCACTGCACTTCAGCCTGAGCAACAGAGAAAGACTCTGTCTCAAAAGAATATGTGTGTGTGTGTGTGTATATATATATATATGTGTGTGTGTATATATGTGTGTGTGTATATATATATGTGTGTATATATATGTGTGTGTGTATATATATGTATATATGTGTGTGTGTGTGTGTGTGTGTGTGTGTGTGTGTGTGTATCTCTCTAGAATCCTGGTTTGGTGGCACACATCTGTAGTCCCAACTACTCAGGAGGTTGAGGTGGGAGGATGGCTTGAGACTGGGAGGTTGAGGCTGCAGTGAGCCGAGACTGCAGCACTGCACTCTAGCGTGGGCAGCAGAGTGAGACCCTGTCTCAAAAGAAAGTTCTGGATGAAGAAAACCAAGATTTAACAAGGGCAAAAGAGCAATAAAAATGATTCCAATTTTTGGAAGCTTACAAGAACCATCGTTGTACCAAAATTATCCTATATGAGATATTAGAAAACCAAAAAACTAGTTCAAATAAGAAAAAAATTCTGTAAAATATAGAAATCTACTTAGGAGTCTGATGCGGGCATATGCAGTTGATTGTCAGCCCTGTCTACCACGGAGGAGCCACATTAAACAAGGCATTAACTGTAGTCCACGTCAAGCTACTTCCAAGTGGCTGTTTAAAGATTTTTAAACATAGGGGATATTGTTTATGAAATGTAATCTGATCACCCAAGCAAAAATGACACAAATTCCACAGCAACTGCAGAGATTAAAGAAGTGTTTTAAGGACAAACTCCACATGAATCCCTTATCTAGCACCCGTCTTGTAAATTTACTCACCAAATAAGAGCTTTCAGGAGAGACGCTAAGGGATAAAGACAATTCACTCTTCAGAGAAAGACTTTCAGTGGACTTTGAAATTCCACTTTCAAATTGAGGCATAAACACCACTAAACCTGTGGGATTAAAAGACATAGTAAGGCATTATTATGTTTTTTACAGAGCCTAAAAATAATATTAATGTAATAATAACAGCAGCTGTATAATGAAAAGAGGCTCCGATAAAATTACAAAAAAATACAAATTTAAAAAAAAATAATAACAGCAGCGGACATTTCCTGAGCTAAGTGTTTTCTACTTATTAACTCTAATTGTCAAAGGGATTTATCATCTTCCTTTTGTAGATGAGGGCAATGGGGTCTCCCAGGGGGGTGTGTGGCTTGCCCCAAAATGCACAGCTATTGAACAATGTCCAGGCTCTGACAGGGGCAGGTCAGTGCTAAGTCAGTCTCCAAACTATGTTCCTTGTCGCATCTTGAGTAAGTTAATTCAGTGCCTCCCGGCATGGGGGAGAGAACAATGTAGAGATCACTTTCAGAGACTAATAATAACAACTAGCCTTAATTGAGCACCTGCTGTGTGCTCCATTCCAAGGCTAAGTGCTTTCACTCAGATCATCTCATCTGATTTTCATGATAAGCCTAGGAGTAGGTACTTCTATTATTTTCACTCGACAGCTGAGGGACCTAGGGCTCAGGTAGGTTCAGTAACTTAGCTAAGGTTACACATCCACGAAGGGCCAAAACCAGATATGAAACCCTGTAGTCAGATCTACCTGTCTACATGTTTAGCCAATACACTACAGTGAGGCAAATGGAAAAGAAATCACAAGTAGACGGGGTAGGTTAGAAGTTTGGATGCAACTCAGACATAGTCTCATTGCATCCCATGTATATTTCTCTTCACAGCAAATTGAAAATGGTGATTAACTGCAACCAAATTAAAATTTATATAATGAGTTGAACTCTTTCAGGAGTTTTCTCTGTTTTTCTGTTGATACCTCTCTATATTTTAAGGCAATGTCACTTTGCTTTGCTTACAAATATATTGAATATGTCAAGATTACTATTTTGTTATTACCTTTGTGAATTTCCTTGTCTATTTTGCTGGCTTGTTCTTCCAGATGAAATTTATTATTTGATTAATGTTGCCAAAAATGGTAAGAAAAATATCAATTATAGTAATAAAATGTTTTGTGGGGAAAGCATGGTAATTAAATGATTAGTTGTGAAAGTATTTCTTTGGTGTGTGCTTCCATTTGATTAGATTGTAAGACTTTTATCTGCCTTGGTGTCTCATTCCCGGTGTCTGTCACAGAGTTTGCACATAGCCAATGCTCCACTGGTATCTTTTAACAGGTTTGGGGGACTTGGGGCTTGTTTTGGTTTTGGTTTTGGTTTTGGTTTGAGTAAATGAAGCAATCATTGGAAAGGTGTAGGGGAAGTGCAAAGAGCCATAGGACCAGGGAATCCGAAATCATGGTTCCAAACTAGAAAGCAAGCACTTTCACTTTTTTCTTTCAAAATTTCTTTCTTCCAGAAACTTAATCCTAGCACAATTTTGATCACTAGGCCAAAATCATTCTACATGTCTGTCTTAGTCCCTTTGGGCTACCGTAACAAAATACCATAGACTGGGTAGCTTAGAGCAACAGACATTGATTTCTCCCAGTTCTAGAAGCTGGAAGTCAGAGAACAGAATGTCAGCATCTGGTATCCTGATCTCTGACTCCCACTGACCTCTGGGTACTACCATCAGGCTCTGGTGACAGCCGGCTTCCAGGCTGCAGACTGCCAACGTGGCAGAAAGGGAAAGTTCCCTGGGATTGCCTTTATAAGGGCACTAATCCCACGCATGAGGGCTCCACTCTCATGACCTCACCACCTCCCAAAGATCCCCACCTTCAAATACCAACACATTAGGGATTAAGATTTCAACAGATGAATTTGGAGGGAAAACAAACATTCAGTCCATCGCTATGTCCGCCATCAAAGAAAGAAACTCGGAAACACTCAAATGGTTACTTCCCACACACTCAGCTTCCAACCTTCAGCACCATTGGGTTTATTTTATTTTATTTATTTATTTATTCATTTATTTTTTTGAGATGGAGTCTCACACTCTCGCCTGGGCTGGAGTGCAATGGCGCAATCTCGGCTGACTGCAACCTCCACCTCCCGGGTTCAAGCAACTCTCCTGCCTCAGCCTCCTGAGTAGCTGGGATTACAGGTGCCCACCACCACGCCCGGCTAATTTGTTGTATTTTTAGTAGAGACGAGGTTTCACTATGTTGGCCAGGCTGGTCTCGAACTCCTGACCTCGTGATCTGCCCGCCTCAGCCTCCCAAAGTGCTGGGATTACAGGCATGAGCCACCTCGCCCAGCATCATTGGGTTTACTTAGGATAAAAATATAATTGTTAACTTCTCAAGGAGTTACACCTTGGGGGGTGCCGTTCCATTTATTAGTACCTTGGATGTTAATCTTGTTGGTTGGCACGAGGGGGGATCTTATGGTGCATCGGGGTCACACTTAGATTCTTACCGACCTAGCTTCCCTCTCTGCTCCTTGTGTCACTCAAGCATCTTAAGTCAGACTAAAAGTGACCGTGTAGAATAACAAAAGGCTACAGATTTGAAGAGCACAGTCTGCAGTAATCTTACTTGGCCATGGTAGATGATACGGCCCGCTGGTTAAGTCTTGGAGGCAGACTTAAGACAAGAAGCTCAAGGCTGAGTAACTGGGAAGTTCATGCCTCCTCCATCCACCATGCTGGAGAAATAAATGTAGACAGAAGCAAATCCAAATGAACGTCCTTCTCTTGGTAGGACTGCAGTCTTCGATTTTCAAGTCTAATACGCCCAGCTTCAAAATCTGGGTCTGCCACGGGACAAACTTCGGCAGCTTCCTTTACTTCTCTAAGCCTTGTGTGTATGGGAATAACATAATAGGGCCTCTTTCAGAATTCTGGAGTCAACCGGGCATGGTGGCTCACACCTGTAATCCCAGCACTTTGGGAGGCCAAGACGGGCAGATCACTTGAGATCAGAGTTCGAGACCAGCCTGGCCAACATGGTGAAACCTGTCTCTGCTAAAAATACAAAAATTAGCTGGGTATGGTGGTGAGAACCTGTAATCCCAGCTGCTCGGGAGGCTGATGCAGGAGAATCACTTGAGCTGGGAAGTGGAGGGTGCAGTTAGCCAAGATTGCACCACTGCACTCCAGCCTGGGCAACAGAATGAGACCCTGTCTCTCAAGAAAAAAAAAAAAAAAAGCCAGGCATGCTGGTTCATGCCTGTAATTCCAGCACTTTGGGAGGCTGAGGTGGGAGGATCATCTGAAGTCAGGAGTTTGAGACCAGCCTGGCCAACATGGTGAGACCCTGTCTCTACTAAAAAAAAAAAAAAAAAAAAAATACAAAAATTAACTGGGTGTGGTGGTGGGCGCCTGTAATCTCAGCTACTCGGGAGGCCGAGGCAAGGAATTGCTTGAACCCAGGAGGCGGAGGTTGTAGTGAGCTGACATCCCACCACTGCATTCCAGCCTGGGCGACTGAGCGAGACTCGGTCTCAAAAAAAAAAAAAAAAAGTTGGAGTCAAGTTTAAATAAGATAAAGATTATAAAGCCCTGGCCGGGTGCAGTGGCTCAAGCCTGTAATCCCAGCACTTTGGGAAGCCGAGGCAGGCAGATCACCTGAGGTCAGGAGTTTGAGACCAGCTTGGCCAACGTGGTGAAACCTCATCTCTACTAAAAATACAAAAATTAGCCAGGCATGGTGGTGGGTGCCTGTAATCCCAGCTACTTGGGAGGCTGAGGCAGGAGAATTGCTTGAACCCAGGAGGTGGAGGTTGCAGTGAACCGAGATCGTGCCATTGCACTCTAGCCTGGGTGACAAGAGCGAAAACTCTGTCTCAAAAAAAAAAAGTCCGGGCGCGGTGGCTCACGCCTGTAATCCCAGCACTTTGGGAGGCCGAGGCGGGCGGATCACGAGGTCAAGAGATTGAGACCATCCTGGCTAACACAGTGAAACCCCGTATAAAAAATTAGCTGGGCGTGGTGGAGGGCGCCTGTAGTCCCAGCTACTCGGGAGGCTGAGGCAGGAGAACAGCATGAACCCGAGAGGCAGAGCTCGCAGTGAGCCGAGATCCCGCTACTGCACTCCAGCCTGGACGACAGAGCAAGACTCCGTCTCAAAAAAAAAAAAAAAAAAATTATAAAGCATTTAGTGCAATGGCTAAAAAAAAAAGTGCTTGATAAATTGATTGCTACTATTAGTGTTATGATTATTAGTGACACAGAATATAGCCAGCTATTTATTTATAGAAAGAGGTCCCAAACTTTATGTAACACAGAAATCTTCACTTTCCTTTTGTGTCTTTTTCTTCCCTCAAAGAAAAAAAACAAATTTTTAGCCAAAACAAAAATGATGGAACAGCTCAGAGTTGGTACAATACAATTTACTTCTTAGGTTCTCATGTTTATACTGGGGAGATACTAGTGTATTTATCAATGCCTTAAGCAAAGAGAAGTGCAGCATAGACTAAGTGGCACCCTCATTTTCATTTTATATCTCTTTCTTCAGCCCACCCTCCTAATGATCGCGTGTATATTTTAGGTACATCTCTTCTGTATAAATCCTCCCACCCCCACTTTTTGTAAGCATGAAGATTAAGTGGACAAAGACAAATTCAATTAAGCTGTAAGCTTTGGTGACCAGCAGCTATTTTTCTTGAGAAACTGAATCCAAACATCTCAGGGGTGGGGACGAGCTTGCAATGCGCTTCTGAATGCAAAGGAGGCAGGACTTGAGCATAAATCACGCGACAAACTGAGCCCTCCTCTATTAATCTTTTCTTCAGAAAAAGACACTGTTTTAAGGGGAAATTAAAGGCAATCAATAAGCAGGCTCGCCTGCACGGCTTCTGAGCTCAAGATGCAAATATCATTCCAAATTCTGGATTCCAAAGAGACCCCTCCATTGATATGTTAATCGTCTCCTCGTGTTTCTATGACCTCAGATCCTGGCAGGGCATGAAGCCATACTTACAGGAAACAAAAGGAAAGCACGTTGTAGAACAAACATTTGCTAAGTGGACTTTGACTGTAAACCCCAACTTGTCATGTGCTAAAGGATGGAATTCTCCACGAGCCAGGGGCTGATGCCCTGAATGTTTAATATGTTTACATGTTTAAAGAGCTGCCATGACGTATTCTTTATCTGGTATCACCTGACATCTCGGCTTCATATTCATGGTGCACAAGACAGCAAAGGTTTTGGTGCTGTCATCCCAAATAAAGACAACTTTTGGCAATTGGAAATAAAATTCAGTTGCCTACAAATCAAAGATGACTGCAACCAAATGTTGATTACCTGTTTATAAATTCACCAAGTCAACAGCAAATTCAGAGACTACTTATTTGGCACCGATTGTAGGCAAGATATTGGGCTAGGGCACTGCGGATACACAGATGAACATGTTTGACAAGAAGGTTATGTTTTTAGGGGCAGGTAGGCAATATACAATCTAAAAAATAACAATAAATTGGGTTTGGGTGAGTGCTATGAAGAATAAAACCAGATCGTGAAAAAGAGAATAACTAGGGGTGGAGAGGGGGTAGAGGAGGTCCTTCCTGAAAAAATCATGTAGGTACAGAAATTCAAGGAGGTCAGGCAGTAACAGGTAGTCTGCAGAGGTGACATTCCAGACACAGGGACAGTAAGTGCCAAGGTCTTGAGGTAGACAAGGGCTTGTGTTTGAGAATCAGAAAGCAGCCAATGTAGCTAACCTGTGGTGGATGAGATTGTGGCTTACCCTCAAGAAAGAGCCAGCTCCTACAGCATCATGAAGGTAGCAATACTTTATGAGAATCAAGTTCAATATTCAAAAAAAAATAGCCAGGCACAGTGGCTCATGCCTGTAATCCCAGCACTTTGGGAGGCCAAGGCGGGAGGATCATTTGAGGTCAGGAGTTCAAGACCAGCCTGGCCATCATGGTGAAACCCTGTCTCTACTAAAATTAGCTGGGCGTGGTGACACACTCCTGTAGTCCCAACTACTCGGTAGGCTGAGGCAAGAGAATCACTTGAACCCTGGAGGAGGAGGTTGCAATGAGCCGAGATCGCGCCACTGCACTCCAGCCAGGGCAGACAGAGTGAGACTCTGTCTCAAAAATAAATAAATAAATAAATAAACAAATAAAGTTTTCCCATCAGTAAAGATGCATATCTCTTCTCCAATCCTGAACACTCTAAAAGAATCTCAAAGGTTGACCAAGCATATATTTTTGAAGAGTTTGAGGCAGGGCATGGTGGCTCACCCCTGTAATCTCAGCACTTTGGGAGGCCAAGACGGGAGACTCACTTGAGATCAGGAATTAGAGGCCAGCCAGAGCAAGATCCCGTCTCTTCAAAAAATTCTTTAAAATTAGCCACGCATGGGGCAGGGTGCGGTGTCTCACACCTGTAATCCCAGCACTTTGGGAGGCCAAAGCGGGCAGATCACAAGGTCAGGAGATCAAGACCATCCTGGCCAACATGATGAAACCCCCTCTCTACTAAAATACAAAAAATTAGCGTGCCTGGACTACATGCCTGTAGTCCTTGCTACTCGGAAGGCTGAGGCAGGGGAATTGCTTGAACCCAGGAGGCGGAGGTTGCGGTGAGCCGAGATCACGCCACTGCACTCTAGCCTGGCAACAGAGCAAGACTCCGTCTCAAAAAAATAAAATAAAATTAGACACGCTTGGTGGTGCATGTAGTCCCGGCTACTCAGGAGGCTGAGGAGGGGGGATCACTTGAGGCCAGGAGTTCGAGACTGCAGGGAGTTATGATTGCACCACTGCACTCCACCCTGGACAACAGAGTGAGACCCTGTCAGGGAAAAAAAAAAAAAAAGGACAAAGGTGGGCACTAACATTTGACCCATTTTCCCATTCAGGCACATGTCTATAAACCAGAGATTCTCACCCAGGGGTGAGTTTGCCTTGAGAGAAACACTGGGCAAAGGTCAAAGGCATGTTTTTCTGTCGCCTCCTGGAACATGGGGTACGTGTTACTAGTATGTAATGAGCAGAGGCCAGAGAAGCTGTTTAACATCCTACAGTGCACAGGATGGCCCCTCAACAAAGGATGGCCTCTCCCAGAATTTGAATATAATAGAAACCCTGCCATAGAGCAAAAGCTCCTTGTAAGGAGAAGGTTCTCGGCCGGGTGCGGTGGCTCACGCCTGTAATCCCAGCACTTTGGGAGGCCGAGGTAGGCAGATCACAAAGTCAGGAGTTCGAGACCAGCCTGGCCAATATGGTGAAACCCTGTCTCTACTAAAAATACAAAAATTAGCTGGGCGTGGTGGATCCCAGCTACTCCAGAGGCTGAGGCAGGAGAATTGCTTGAACCCGGGAGGCGGAGGTTGCAGTGAGCCAAGATCGCGCTACTACACTCTAGCCTGGGCAACAGAGCAAGACTGCATCTCAAAAACAAAAAAGAAGCAACTTCTCTGTAAGGGCACAGTGTGATGTCTTCCTTCTCTGCCACACTATGGGCCTAGTGATATTCATCCTACTGCCTTCTGAGGCCACCCAATGATGTGCCATAGTATAGTAGCACTGGGGTCACAGACTAAGGGCTGGGAAGGATATGATGGGAACAGAAGCAAATAGAAGTGTTAACTGAGGCTTTACTCACACCAGGCCCTGAACTAACTTCTTTACATCAATGTAATCATTATCCTCAAGACAGCCCTGCAAAGTAGGTACTTTTTTTTTTTTTTTTTTTTTTTTTTGAGACAGTCTCACTCTGTCATCCAGGCTGGAGTGCAGTGGCATGATCTCAGCTCACTGCAAACTTCTGACTCCCAGGTTCAAGTGATTCTCTGCCTCAGCCTCCTGAGTAGGATTACAGGCGCCTGCTACTATGCCCAGCTAATTTTTGTATTTTTAGTAGAGACGGGGTTTCACCATCTTGGCCAGGCTAGTCTTGAACTCCTGACCTCAGATGATCCACCCGCCTCGACCTCCCAAAGTACTGGGATTACAGCCGTGAGCCACCATGCCCAGCCAGTAGGTACTGTTTTTATGCACATTTTACAGATGAGGAAGTTGAGGCTCAGGGACATTAATATCACACTTCAAGGAATTAGGAATTTGGGGATTCTAACCCAGGGTGCCTGAACTCTTCATTTCTCCTCTTCATTAATATTCTGTGAAAAGCTCTGAGTGTTTGCCTTTAAAAAGCAATCAAGGCCCGGCACAGTGGCTCACGCCTGTAATCCTAGCACTTTGGGAGGACGAGGCAGGTGGATCACAAGGTCAGGAGTTCAAAACCAGCCTGGCCAAGATGGTGAAACCCCGTCTCTACTAAAAATACAAAAATTAGCTGGGCACAGTGGCAGGAGCCTGTAATCCCAGCTACTCGGGAGGCTGAGGCAGGAGAATTGCTTGAACCCAGGCGGCAGAGGTTGCAGTGAGCCAAGATCACGCCACTGCACTCCAGCCTGGGCAACAGAGTGAGACTCCACCTAAAAAAAAAAAAAAAAAAAAAGCAATCAAATGGGCTTCCCTTGCCCCTAACAGTGAGCAATTGGAGTCCAATATGCCTTAACTATCAGGTTTGCCAATGTGCTACGATTGTTCTGCTCAGACTATGAAGCGAATGTATCAATTCCAAGTGGTGCCATTGCATTCATTTTTGTTGCAAAATATTTGACTGGGCTATGAATATTTTCCCTCAACTCGACCCTTTTATTTACCTGCCAAATCCATGGTTCCTCCAAGAGTCTCCTCTGTGGAGGCAAATACAAATGACAGTGAAATCTCGATTCACTGGAAACAGGTTATACAAAGCCTACCTTCTTCTCTTTCTTATTTTTGGCCTTGTGCCCCATTTTTAGAAATAATGTAAATCACAAGAAAATAACCTAATATTTAAAATTTATTTTTAAACCACAACCAAAGAAACTCCACTTTGGGGAAGTCTTGAGGTTCACATAAGTGCAGCTCAAACTGCTGCAAGTTCACGGAACTCAACCTGCGTCATTGGACCCAGAGCTGTTGCTCTGGTCAGACCACCAATCATTACAGAGATACTCAATTATGTTTGGACACTTACTAAGGAAGCAAAGATTCTGAAATGCTTAAAGGCTTTCAAATGACACGGAATGATGTTCAAGATTTCTACATATTCTTGGCCGGGCACGGTGGCTCACTCCTGTAATCCTAGCACTTTGGGAGGCTGAGGAGGGCAGATTGCCTGAGTTCAGGAGTTCGAGACCACCCTGGGCAACATGGTGAGACCCTGTCTCTACTAAAAAAAAAAAAAAAAAAAAAAACTGTGACTCTGCTGAAATACAACAACAACAAAAAATGGCCAGTTGGCCGGGAGCGGTGGCTCATGCCTGTAATCCCAGCATTTTGGGAGGCCGAGGCGGGTGGATCACGAGGTAGGAGATCGAGACCATCCTGGCTAACACGGTGAAACCCCGTTTCTATTAAAAATACAAAAAATTAGCCGGGCGAGGTGGCGAGCGCCTGTAGTCCCAGCTACTCGGGAGGCTGAGGCAGGAGAAAGGCGTGAACCCCGGGGGGCGGAACCTGCCGTGAGCCGAGATCGCGCCACTGCCCTCCAGCCTGTGCGACAGCGAGACTCCGTCTCAAAAAAAAAAAAAAAAAAAAAACCGGCCAGTTGCAGTGGCTCACGCCTGTAATCCCAGCACTTTGGGAGGCCGAGACGGGTGAATTACAAAGTCAAGAGATCAAGGCCATCCTGGCCAACATGGTGAAACCTCGTCTCTACTAAAAACACAAAAAAATTAGCCGGGCGTGGTGGCGGGCGACTGCAGTCCCAGCTACTCGGGAGGCTGAGGCAGGAGAATGGCGTGACCCCGGGAGGCGGAGCTTGCAGTGAGCCGAGATTGCACCATTGCGCTCCAGCCTGGGCGACAGAATGAGACTCCATCTCAAAAAACAAAACAAAACAAAACAAACGATTTCTACATATTCTTGAGCTCTATGACAAATGCCAGCCACTTCAAGCCCCCTGCAAAACCCTGAGCAGATGGTGAGGAATTTTCTTTTTTGAATGGAATTTGAATTGAAGTCATATTGGATATCCCTCCTACGTTTCTGACCCTCGGTCTCCATGGCACAGCTTGCCCTGGTCACGCAGTCTTCTCTCTGTCCCTGAAATGTGCCAGGCTCTTCCCTGCCTGGGGTTCCTGCATTTGCTGTTCTCTCTGTGGAAAGGGCCATTTCCCAGATTGCTGGTCGCTTCTCATCCTTAGGGTCTCTGCTCAGGCAGCCCCAATAAAGTGGTCCCTACCAGTCCAGCAGTCCCGATCCACATCACTACCCACCTTTTGTTCCTTTGTGGAATCTGTCAGTTCTCTGCATTGTCTCGTCCACCTTTTATGGGAGATCGGTAAAGAGCATGCACAGAAGTGCTGTGTGGTTACCAGGGGGACTCTCAAATCCGAATGGCTGACCTTCATATTCACCGGGCACTTCACCAGCTGTGGGACTTTTAAAATATACTTAACCTGGCCAGGCATGGTGGCTCATGCCTGTAATCCCAGTACTTCTGGAGGCCGAGGCAGGCAGATCACTTGAGGTCAGGAGTTCAAGACCAGCCTGGCCAAGATGGTGAAACCCCATCTCTACTAAAAATACAAAAATTAGCCAGGAATGGTGGCAGGCACCTGTAATCCCAGCTACTCAGGAGGTTGAGGCAGGAGAATCACTTGAACCTTGGAGGCGGAGGTTGCAGTGAGCTGAGGTCACACCACTGTACTCCAGCCTGAGTGACAGAGTGAGACTTCGTCTAAAAAAAAAAGTATATATATATATGCTCTTAACCTTTTGGTTTCCTAGTTCCCTCATTTGCAAAATAGGAAAGCATAAAATGAATTAATATATTAACTGCTGAGGACACCACCCAGCATGTAATAAGTACTACATAAGAGTTGCCATGTATTAATAAATACTATTATTTTGTTAACTGTAATTAAATAAATACATCAACTATTCTATTCTATCCTGCATTGGTTTACAAATCAGTTAATTTTTCTACGTATTAGTATTTGATGAGCTCCCCTACTAGAAAGGGATTGCCCTGAGACAGGCACTGTGGAGCACAGTTCCTGGCATGCAGTAGGTGCCCAATCATGTTTTGTTGAAGGAAGGAAGGAATTAAAATGCTGCCCTTCCTTTCATCAAGGATGATCATAATACTCCCAGTAGAGCCTGGGGGAACTGAAATAGAAAGGTTCTATGGAATCTCAGTAGAAAATCCTCAAGATGGTATTTTAGCAGGTCATCTTGAAAGGTCGGAGAGAGTCTGGTGCCTCAGTCAGGAGGTGGCTCCCGGTCTCTATGCGCTGACGGAGATGAACGCACAGCAAGTGGCAGCGTGTCTGTGCAGCTGGCAGATCGTCTTCTAGGCATGCGCACTCGCTGAATGAACGATCCAGCATTCTCCCGGGGAGCCAGCCGCACTGCCTGCTCCCTGGACAATCAGAATGTAATAACCTGAATCCTTTCATTGCTGAGCCTGGGTTTATTTAAGTTTGAAACGCACTTTGAAAACAAACTTAAGGCCGGGCGCGGTGGCTCACACCTGTGATCCCAGCACTTTGGGAAGCCGAGGCGGGCAGATGACCTGAGGTCAGGAGTTTGAGACCAGCCTGGCCAACGTGGTAAAACCCCGTCTCTACTAAAAATAGAAAAATTAGCTGAGCGTGCTGATGCATGCCTGTAATCCCAGCTACTCAGGAGGCCAAGGCAGGAGAATTGCTTGAACCTGGGAGGTGGAGGTTGCAGTAAGCCAAGATTGCGCCACTGCACTCTAGCCTGGGCGACAGAGCAAGACTCTGTCAAAAAAAAAAGAAGTTAAAGATAATCTTATTTTTTTAATATTTTATTTTATTTTATTTTATTTTTTGAGACAGTCTCGCTCTGTTGCCCACGCTGGAGTGCAATGGTGCCATCTCAGCTCACTGCAATCTCTGCCTCCCAGGTTCAAGCAATTCTCCATCTCAGCCTCCTGAATTGCTGGAATTATAGGTGCCCGCCACCATGCCTGGCTAATTTTTTTTGTATTTTTAGTACAGACGGGGTTTCACCATGTTGGCCAGGCTGGTCTTGAACTCCTGACCTTGTGATCTGCCCACCTCGGCCTCCCAAAGTGCTAGGATTACAGGCGTGAGCCACCATGCCCGGCTGATAATCACATTTTTTTAAAAAAAACAAAACCATTAGGTGGAGAGCAATACACAAAGGATAGTGAAGCTGGAAGGGAGGAGTTTGGGTCCTTGATAACTTCCTTAAAATGCCCCAATAGCCCTGCAAGCTAAGACTACATATTACAAGGAAAAAATAAATAAAATCCTATTTAATAACCCACCATTTGGTAGTTTTTGCTACAGGCAGCCAAGGCAATCTAACCCGCAGGGAGGCACCCAGGAGTATGTGCTACATAGAGGGGCGTGGGTGTTCTACCTCAGCAAAGCTGAAAGTGACCTTTGCTAATCCAGCCAGCTCTCCAGGACTCAGGGGGAAAACTCATTCACCATATAGAAAGGTATATACTGGAGATGCATCACCTAAGCATTTAACTCACCAAATAAGCAGCGGGGGAGAGAAATCCTTTTATTGACTGTCATCAACTTTCCACATTCAAACTAGATCTTGGCCTTTGATGCACGCGGAAAAAGCAAAGCCAAGCCAAATGCTAAGACAAGCAGGAAAATTCCTCCTTGGCTTTTGGGCGTCCAAGAGCTTCAGTCCCAGTAATTTAAGCAATTAAAGATGCCAACTGATCTTCTGCCCTGGAGCTTCTTCCTAGTGACAGACACTGATGTACAAGTCTGCAACAAAACTTTACACTCATCTAGTGGTAGAAGAAAAAATACTGCATCCTCAAAGAAGGCAGGAGAAACAACACAGGCCAACAAATTACTGTGTGTCTACTGAGTATAGTTTCCTGTGGGGTTAAACTTAGGAATTTAAGAGAATCTGAAAATGACAATATTGCCTTTAGGTTTATATACCATTTAATAATAATAATCAATTAACTAAGCTAGCTGGCATTTTTTGAGCACTTATTATTTGCC
This sequence comes from Homo sapiens, assembly GCF_000001405.40. Classification (NCBI taxonomy): domain Eukaryota; kingdom Metazoa; phylum Chordata; class Mammalia; order Primates; family Hominidae; genus Homo; species Homo sapiens. The sequence continues at coordinate 53,756,028 of NC_000020.11, read as the reverse complement.
ATTAATGGTGCCACACATTTCACATGGATCTTTCTTATGTAAGCCTCACAAGCCCACGAAGGAGAAACTGTTATTATCCCATTTTACAGATGAGAAAGCTAATGCAGAGCATAGCTAAGAAATGTGTCCAGGCCAGGAATGGTGGCTCACGCCTGTAATCTCAACACTTTGGGAGGCAAAGACGGGCAGATCCCTTGAGCCCAGTTTGAGACCAGCCTGGGCAACATGGTAAAACCCTGTCTCTACAAAAAAATATAAAAATTATTCGGGTGTGGTGGCATATGCCTGTGGTCCCAGCTGCTTGGGAGGCTAAGGTGGGAGGATGATTTGAGCACAGGAGGTTGAGGCTGTAGTGAGCCATGATTGTGCCACTGCACTCCAGCCTGGGTGACAGAGCAAGACCCTGGTCTCAAAAAAAGAAATGTGGCTGAGTGCAGTGGCTCACGCCTGTAATTCCAGCACTTTGGGAGGCCGAGGTGGGTGGATGTCTTGAGGTCAGGAGTTCGAGACCAGCCTGGCCAACATGGAGAAACCTCATCTCTACTAAAAATACAAAATAGCCGGGCGTGGTGGCGTGCACCTGTAATTCCAGCTACTTGGGAGACTGAGGCAGGAGAATCACTTGAACCCAGGAGGCGGAGGTTGTAGTGAGCCAAGATCACACCACTGCATTCCAGCCTGGGCGACAGAGTGAGACTCTGTCTCAAAAAAAAAAAAGAAAAGAAAAGAAATGTGTCCACAGTCACACAACTTTAAATGGCAATTCTTCATTGCACATGTGGGGCATGTGACTTCCCACTGGCATATTAACGTCACATAGAATATCTGTAAGCCCATTTAGACTCAAGTGAGGCATTCTGAAAGCAATTCCCCAGTTTAGTGGTATCCACTCTGTTTATTTCAATACGTGGCTCTCAAGACCATAATTCGAGAAAGATAGTTTATTAAGGACATAGCTTAATGGTACAGTTTATTCAAGCACCAGCATCTTTCCATGCTAAAAACTGAGTGAAGACATAATCCATTGCTAAAAAAACCCCGGTGCCTTTTCTGGGATATGTAGTCCATGGTATTTTTTAATGAGTCTCCAATGGCTACTCTGCCCCCCAATAAACTCCCATGAAGGAGTTTATGACCCAGTCCAAAAACTCTGGCCTGGTTCTATCACATGCTTAATTTTGCCTTCTTGGTGCTTCCTGTGTACCAAGTACTTCATATACAATTCAACCTTTAATCCTCATCACAAGCCTTTGTGTGAGCTCAGCAGCATCATGCCAGTTTTTTAGATGGAGACACAGAGACTCAAAGACATTGAGGATCCTCCCCAAAGTCTCACAACTAGTGTGTGTGGGAGCCACAGCATCACCACAAACAGGAAGTATGGCCCCACACCAGGGCTCCCAGCCAACAGAAAGGAGTCCATTGCATTTTAGCCCTGCCTCCGCTTGCCACGCAGAGCTCTTGAAGATCCCCTTCAACGCCATCAACCCAAAAAGGCAGCTCCTGCCCTGGGCTGTGGAGGGAGATCCTCTTTTTCTAATTAGCACAGAGTTCTCAAATGGGTTTGTGTTGGTGGCAGCCAGCTTAAAATGGAATGAATCCATGCCTAAGGGTATGTTTGCATGTATCACCAAGGCAAGGATGGCGACTGAGTTTTTCTTCCTTACCAGACTTCAATAAGTTTCTTCACCCCTCTATGCCTCAGTTTTCCCAACTATAAGGTGAGGATAATAACAGCATCTACCTCATAGGGCTGATGTGAGCACTAAATGAATTAATACTTGTAAAGCAATGTAAAGCACCTAAAATAGTGCCTGACATATATGTGAGCTGTGATTATTATTATTGTTGTTATTTTTACATCACTTTTGCACATGCTAGAAACCCATTATTTGCTACACACAGACACACACACACACACACACACACACACACACAGAGAGAGAGAGAGAGAGAGAGAGAGAGAGAGACAGAATTCCTAATTTGCATGTTTTGCATTTGGCCCAGGTTACTTTTATTTGTTTTCCCTTAAGCAAAGACCAACAGATCATCAAAAGGCATATCTAGATTCTGCCTTTTGAATTACTGTTGTAATGAAAAGGGACTCAACATTTAGATCAAAGTCTACATTTAAGACAACGTAGTCTAAAAGTTAAGCAGGGTGGGGCGGGGGTGGGGGGAATAAGAACCAATCCCGTTCTTTTGTTTCCTGCTGTGCTGTGTCATAGTTGTTTTCCATTCTCTGATTCAGGCTTCTTTCTGTAAATGAAGGGCACATCCCTGGAATAAACGGAGCCTACGATTGTCTAGAATTATTATCTGTGTCTGCAGAATCACATTGCCACCCACTCGCAGGGATCTAGTACGGTTCTCTAAGACCAACAGCTGCACAACCAGCTCAGGTAATAAACAAAGCAAAAATAGTCAAGTTCCTGGCAAGACTTACAAATGCTTCTGGCACGTACCTGATGACAAAGGCAAAATGAATCCCTTCCCAAAAGTCTTAAGTAAGGATTTGGGGTGCATTGTGCTTAAGTAAGCCTCCTCTCTGGATATTTTATTGAGCTTATCGAGATTTTTTCCATAACTTTTAGTACAAGATGAATCCTGGAGGAGATGCTTGAATACAACCTGCTAGGAACTATACTCGCCCTCACTGAAAGGTTGAGTAAAACAGACTAGGAATCCTAAACTCTCTGACCAATTGTTTACATGCATGAGTTAGCCTTTTATGCATTTTCTCCCGCATCTATAACACGAAGATTGTTTACTCTGACAACCTCCCGGGTTGCTAAGAGAATCGAATAAGAAATAATATGATAATAGTGCTTTGAAAAGGACAGTAACAAAACCTAACGTTTCGATCAAGCTTTCAAAGGACCTTTTCTTTATTTTATTTGATATATAGAAACAAAATGTTTTTTGTTTGAGCCTCATTTAATATGGACATATTCTAAAAGGTGATGGCACACAGACTGTTTCTAACACAATCCTGTAGCCTGAAAGCCCCAGAGACACTGACGAATTTTGCCAACAAGAAGACTATCTTATAAAGTTAAAAATCCCAAACTTAAGAAAATCATTTCCCCCTTGACAAGTCTTAATCAAAATCTGCCCATGCTGGTCATTTATTCTTTCAGCGCATGTGATTGAGATTCCAGTAATTAAGTATGCTCTTCTCCTAAGAAAAGCCTGTTTCAGGTTCATAACCAGGAAAGCTTCTCAACCGGAGGTGTTGCCGGCAGCCACCATTTGTTGAATTACTGGTGTCCCTGCAAGTGGAGATGAGGCAGAAGGGGGGTGCCTGTTCCCAGCTTTACCTACCATCACCACCTTCCTTGGGCTCCTCTTTCTCTTCCTATTTTCTACTTAACCCAATTTATAAGGAATAAGTTAAACAAAAGTAACAAGCAAGTAGTGAAACTTCACTTAAAACAATCTAAAAGCCAGAATGCAACCTGATTGTTTTACAATAGAGTAACCAAAGACCCCAATTTTTTTGCGCACAGTCTCAAGCATCCTCAAGGGCCTAGTGTATCTCTCTTAGGCTCTGGAAGAGGCTGGTTTTTAAACAGGATTGTTTTTCTTTAATATTTAAAGATATTGTTTTATGCTTTCATCTAGTATGATGTGTATTTTAAAGAATAGAATGTAAACAACATTAGTCATTTGGATGTTTCCTATGCTTTAAATACACATACACACATACACACACACACACACACACACACCACCACAGCAGTAAGCTGAAAGAAGAGTTAATAACTTTAATAAAAGTTAAATAAAAGAAGAGTTAATAACTTTAAACAGAGGTCGAGAGAAAGCATCAAACATTTATTTTTTGTTCAACAGGGAAATTTCAATACTGCTTTATGGAGTCTACCTCGTTCCGGGCGGGGTAGAATTCCAGATTGGCTTCCAAACATGATTTCACGAGGAATGCCTCGAACCAGGAAGTTCTTTCATGTTCTGAAGCCTCCTGATTCTTAGAAATTAAAGGGCTTTCTGTTTATTATGTAGTTGTTTGCTTGGGTGTTTGCTTTTGCCAGTTGACTTTATTTATTTTTATTTTAGATTACAGAAGTAAAGGAAAAACACTGTAGTATATATGACTGAAAATAGAAACTCACCCTTCTCTCCCTCTGACATGGCTTTCCCCACCCCCACCCCATTTTTTATTTACTTCCTGTGTTAATGGTAAGAGAGTATTCTTCTCGTCCTTTTTTAAATATTTTTACACATCTAAACACACACACACACGTGCAGATACATGTCCTTTTTTTAAACGTAGAGGAAATCATACAGTATTCACCTTTCTACAACTGTGTTTCAATCAACAATATTGCTTGATGGTCTGTCCTTGGCCAAACCTATAGCCTATCTTATTCCTGAGGCTTTTTTGAAGACTTTTGCTCACTTAAAACCACGTTGATTTTCCACTGCCTTCTAGAGGCAACCTCACCTCCTCTCAAGGAAGCTTTCAAGCACGCAAAGCAGGCTCACTTCCTCTCTTGGCTGGAGGAAATTAGGCCTTCACACTTTCAGAAATAGCATCACTGTACCCCATTGCCTTATTCTGGTCTAAGTATCCAACAGACAAATTATCCTTTTCCTGTTAGCTGTGACTTTGAGTTTTCAGGACCGGAGCAGTTCCTAAAGTCAGAGAGAGAGAACGGTAATCATTTTTTACAGGGAGTGTGTCTTGATGGAGACAGAGGTTTAACCAGTGACAAACTGCTCAGCACAGCCCTGCCTGGCTGGAAAAGCATCTGTTTTCACTCCCTCGCCTGGTTACTAGTGGGTTCTGTCGCCTCATTCATAAAGATGAGATCGCTGAAACAACAGGCAGCCACAAAGCTCCAGGAAATATAACAGCATGCAGCTCCTCTCCAAGGTGTGAGTCTGTGTGTGTGTGGTGTGTGTCCATGCATGTTTCGCACGCACACTTACAGCTGCAGCACGGGGCTTAGAAAGATGTTCTGCCAGAGAAAGATAGGAATCTCCCTAGCAGCAGGCAAAACAGCCCAGGAATTGGAACAAGGCCCAGTCAGCCTCCTTTACTCCTTCGTTCATGCAGTTAATAAGCATCAGTCTACCTCTCTTAAGAGAGCCTAGTGGTTAGAGACTCAACTCAGAACTCCGATCCCTGGATTCCAGTCCAGGCACTGTCACTCACCGGCGCTGGTATTTAGTGTCTCTATTCCTCAGCTTTAAAATGACGTAAAATATACATCCAAATTTATTATCCAAACCCTTATAGCCCAATACACTTTGGAATTCTACACTTTTTATATTTTAGAAATGTAATGCGGTGCCTATATCTGATATTACATTGCACCTCCAGCGGGGTCGGGGCAGCACTCCCTGTACCATCTGATACATCAATATATCCACAAAGAAACATACAAAGATCTGGCCAGGCGCACTGGCTCACGCCTGTAATCCCAGCACTTTGGGAGGCCAAGGCGGGCAGATCACAAGATCAGGAGTTCGAGACCAGCCTGGCCAACATGGTGAAGCCCCATCTCTATTAAAAATACAAAAATTAGCTGGGCGTGGTGGTGGGCGCCTATAATCCCAGCTACTTGGGAGGCTGAGGCAGGAGAATCGCTTGAATCAGGGAGGCAGAGGTTGCAGTGAGCTGAGATCGTGCCATTGCACTCGAGCCTGGGTGACAAGAGCAAGACTCCATCTCAAAGGAAAAAAAAAAGGAAAGAAACATACAAAGGTCGCATTAAATGTGAGAAATATAGGCCGTGCTGGGATTACAGGCATGAAATATTTCTCACATTAAACATGGCGAAACCCTGTCTCTACTAAAAATATAAAAATTAGCCAGGTGTGGTGACGGCTGCCTATAATCCCAGCTACTCGAGAGGCTGAGGCAGGAGAATTGTTTGAAACCGGGAGGTGGAGGCTATAGTGAGCTGAGATCGCACTACTGTACTCCAGCCTGGGTGACAGCGCAAGACTCTATCTCAAAAAAATAAAAATAAATAAAGATTATTAGTAGGCGTAGAGAGCCGAATAGAGTCTCCCTGCTACTCCCAAAATTCATGTCTGCCCAGAACCTCAGAATGGTACCTTCTTGGACATAGGATTTTTGCAGATGTAATTGAGTAAGATGATATCATACAGGATTTGGGTGACCCTAAATCCCTCAGGAGGACTGGAAATCAATTTTTGACATTTTCAGTTTCTGTGGTGAAAAACCAATACTGCTTCCTACCAAGAATAACAGGGGAGAAACTCCCCAAGTTTAACAAGCAGGTTCAGATGGGAGACCAAGGATAAGTGCCCCCTACAGTTGATAAAGACCCCTAATCTCAGAACTTTCTGGACACAGAAAAGCAAGAACTTGGATAACTGTTTTTTTTTTTAAATCTAATGCAGCCTACACTGGCCAAAGACCCTGTTTAAATACTTTTTCAACGTTGTCATTTAAATGTAAGACTCAAATCACTGATAGGTGTCCTTAATTTCTAGAAAAGCCTTAGGTAAAAGATTCACCATACCCCTGGAATATATTATTTTGGTGTGGGTGGCACTGTTGTGTAGCTGTTATTTTCCCAGGCTCTGCCTCTGTCTTTGAGAGCATCACTTAAGCTCTGTAAGCCTTGATCTGCGAAATCGGGATGAGGATAATGGCAGACAACATTTACCAAGAGCTTGCTGTGTGCAGGCAGTAGACTCTGTCTCACACGCCTTCTTACTTAATCATCACCATCATTATCCCCATGTTGCATATGAGGCCCCTTCTTGACAACTGCAGAGGGGAAAACCAACAGCACTATTTTCTACTTTGAGCTGTGCTACACCACTGCTTGTAAAGTTTTAACAACTTACCTAGCAACTGACAAACTTACACAGCTAGTGAGCAACAAACTAGATTTGAACCCAGCTCTTATCCAATCAGTGCCTCCTTTTTCTTGTCTGTACCTCTACCTTGTAAAATCAGAAAAGCACAGAAAGCACAGGAAGCCATATGGCTGAGAGCACACACACACACACACACACACACTCACACACACAGATGCGCACACACACAGACACACATGCACACACACACGCACACACACACGCAGACTGGTATTACTTTACTTCTGACAAGTTCTCTGAACAGCAGTCATAGCACTCTTTATTCCTCTCTTTTTTTTTAAATAAGTGCCCACTGTCTGCCAGGATTTTAACCACATCATCCCTATCCTTGCCACAAGCCCTGTAGTAGACATAGTTGGTTACCAGATCTGTACTTTACTTGAACATACTTCAGTGTAATTAATCAGCGAGCTAAACTATCCATACAGTGAGTCTAAGCTTGGCTGTATAATAAGAGGGGTCAGCTAATCAGCAATGAAGAATATGTTGTTCAGGATGGTTCGCAAGCACAATGTTAGAAAGGTCCACACTCCGGCCACAGGTATTGCGAGTGCTTCCTGCAGTTCAGGAATAGGGTTTCTATTGGTGAAACTAGTGACTAGTTAATTTGCATGACGATATTACAAATGGATTTTCATTGGTGGAATTAAGGTACTCAGGACAAGTAGATTGACTAGAATGTGATACAGGATGCAACCCTTTACCCTTCACCTATACCCTTCCCTGCCTCATTCACTAACTGATTCTGTTCCAGTCACTGGTTTAAGAGAATTTCTGATTGCCTCATACAGGCCAGAGAGCACAGGGCCCAGCTTTTGGAATGTTGTTATGCCTGCTTTGAATACACCCTTCCTGCAGGGTGTGACCAGAGCACCTATAAGAACGGAGTGCTAGGCTGTATAGGGTACATAGGATGACTATCATTAACAACAATTTATTTTATATTTTCAAATAGCTACAAGAGTGGATTCTGAATGTTCACAACACGAGGAAATTATGAATGTTAGAGGTGATGGCTATGCTGATTATCCCGATTTGATTATTACACATTGTATACATGTAGTGAAATGTCACGCTGTACCCCATGAATATGTATCACTATTATGTGTCAATTGAAAATAATAATATACCAGTCATTTGATTCCAGCCAAAAACTAAATTAAATTTAATAATAAAGATAATAATAAAGGAAAAAAAGAACAAAATGCTGGGACTTTGTCAACAACCTTTCAGAACAGGTTGTATGAACTGTTTTGTGCCTGCTTTGCTAATAAATATTTGGCTATAAGAGTAGTAGAATTTGGGCCGGGCGCAGTGGCTCACTCCTGTAATCCCAGCACTTTGGGAGGCCGAGGTAGGTGTATCATCTGAGGTCTGGAGTTCGAGACCAGCCTGGCCAATATGGTGAAACCCCATCTCTACTAAAAGTACAAAAATTAGCCAGGCGTGGTGGTGGGTGCCTGTAATCCCAGCTACTTGGGAGGCTGAGGCAGGAGAATCTCTTGAACCTGGTAGGGGGAGATTGCAGTGAGCCAAGATCACTCCATTGCACTCCAGCCTGGGTAACAAGAGCGAAACTCTTGTTTCAAAAAAAAAAAAAGAAAAAAACAAAAAGAGTAGCAGAATTTGGACTGACATTTGATTGAATGATTGATTGAGTTTTTGAGACGGAATCTTACTCTGTCACCCAGGCTGGAGTGCAATGGTGTGGTCTCGGCTCACTGCAACCTCCGCCTCCTGGGTTCAAGCCATTCTCCTGTCTCAGCCTCCCAAGTAGCTGGGATTACAGGTGCCCGCCACCAAGCCTGGCTAATTTTTGTAATTTTAGTGGAGAAGAGGTTTCACTATGTTGGCCAGGCTGGTCTCGAAATGCTGACCTCGTGATCCACCCACCTCGGCCTCCCAAAGTGCTAGGATTACAGGCGTGAGCCACCGCGCCCAGCCAAGATTTGATTTTATGATAAACTGTAGCTAGGTTGTGGGGGAATCACTAACACTTACCTCCACCAAAAATAACCTAAGAATTGCTCCATGCCAATGGCTTAGATCACAGGAATTGACATGCTTCTCAGGAATCCTCACCTATGTCTTCCTTGACTAGGAGAATCCCTACTGGTTCAGCCTTTAGTCAGCAATATATTCAGAGGAGATGAGTCCAGGAGATGAACCATGATTGGTCTAAGCCAAGAGTCAGCAAACTGCAACTGCAAGGAATCTGGCCCACCATCTGTTTTTATAAATAAAGTTTTTGGCCGGGTGCGGTGGCTCACGCCTGTAATTCCAGCACTTTGGGAGGCCAAGTCGGGCGGATCACGAGGTTAGGAGATCGAGACCATCCTGGCTAACAAGATGAAACCCCGTCTGTACTAAAAATACAAAAAAATTAGCCAGACATGCTGGCGGGCGCCTGTAGTCCCAGCTACTCGGGAGGCTGAGGCAGGAGAATGGAGTCAACCTGGGAGGCGGAGCTTGCAGTGAGCTGTGATTGCGCCACTGCACTGCAGCCTGGGCCACAGAGCGAGACTCCGTCTCAACAAAAAATAAAAAATACATAAAGTTTTATTAGAACACAGCCACATCCATCCATTTACATGTTTCTGCCTGCTGCAATAGCAGAATTGAGTACTTGTAACAAAGATTTCAGGGCCTACAAAACTGAAAATATTAACTATTTGGCCCTTTATAGAGAAAGTTTGTCAACTTCTGGTATAGAATGATGCTAATCAAAGTGTGTTCTATAAAACAGAAGCATTGGCATCCCCCAAAAGCTAGTTAAAAATGCAGATCCTCGTGTCCCACCCAGACCCACATGGAATCGGAATAAGTAAATATAAGCATGAACATGTAGATTCTAGAAATTAATCCTCTTAAATCAGTACAGCATGCTCCTGTTTTTTGTTTTTTTCAAACAAAATTTCTCACATATTTATTACTGAACCCAGCCTGCTAGCTCAGAGCATACAAACAGAAAAAATACATTCCCAATAAAACATGTCCGATGGTTCAAATAGTGGTGACATTTTCAGCTTGATATGGTAAGATCATCATGACCTTGATACAGCATAAATATATGCTATCTCGTGTGCAATTCCTTATAGACCCAATGTCTATAAGGTTCTTCTCCAATGTCACCTTTCAGAGTTGTACCTGATTTTTTTTTTTTTGAAGCAGAGTCTCACTCTTGTAGCCCAGGCCAGAGTGCAATGGCGCGATCTCGGCTCACTGCAACATCCACCCTCTGGGTTCAAGTGATTCTCCTGCCTCAGCCTCCCGAGTAGCTGGGATTACAGGAGCATGCCACCATACCTGGCTAATTTTTTTGTTTGTTTGTTTGTTTGTTTGTTTGTTTTTGAGATGGAGTCTCACTCTGTTGCCAGGCTGGAGTGCAGTGGCGTAATCCCGGCTTACCACAACCTCCGCCTCCCGGGTTCAAGCTATTCTCCTGCCTCAGCCTCCTGAGTAGCTGAGATTACAGGCACGTGCCACCACACCCGGCTAATTTTTGTATTTTTAGTAGAGATGGGGTTTCACCATGTTGGCCAGGATGGTCTCAATCTCTTGACCTTGTGATCCACCCGACTTGGTCTCCCAAAGTGCTGGGATTACAGGTGTGAGCCATCATGCCTGGCCATTTTTTTGTATTTTTAGTAGAGATGAGGGTTCACCATGTTGGCCAGGCTGGTCTTGAACTCCTGACCTCAGATTACAGACGTGAGCCACCATGCCTGACCTGTACCTGATTTTATTACCAGTTTTCATCTGAATCCACTGGGGATTGGAACGATTTCGCTTTTGTTCCTTTTTTTTTTTTTTGAGACGGAGTCTTGCTCTGTAGCCCAGGCTGGAGTGCAGTGGCGCAATCTCGACTCACTGCAACCTCCACCTCCCGGGTCCCGGTTCAAGCAACTATCCTGCCTTAGCCTCCAAGTAGCTGGGATTACAGGCATGCACCACCATGCCCAGCTAATTTTTGTATTTTTAGTAGAGACAGGGTTTCACCATATTGGCCAGGCTGGTCTTGAACTCCTGACCCCATGATCCACCCACCTCAGTCTCCCAAAGTGTTGGGATTACAGGCGTGAGCCACTGCGCCCAGCCTGCTTTTGTTTCTTGGCAGGAATCGCTTAATCCTGAAAGTCTTGTGAGAAGACATGGCAAGAAGCAGAGTCAAGCGCACACCACGATGGCGGAGAAAGGAAGATAGAGGGGGCATGCTTCTGTTTTAAGACTACTATTCCACAATATTCCATTGGGTTGTTTGCAGATTAAATAAGGTAATACAACTAAGCAGTTAGCACAATACACAGCATGTACTCAGTGACTGGTAACTTACTGTTTCCAATCACAAATGAATGAGGAACACCTTGCTCCCCTGTCTGACAAAGGGAAAGAGAAAGAAAGATGTTAGGAAATCAGAGCCACATTTCATAGACCTGAGGACAAACCCTCAGGTAACCTTGGCACTTAGAAAGCAGCACCTAACGCATGCCTGTAGTCCCAGGTACTCAGGGAAGCTGAGAATCACTTGAACCCGGGAGGTAGAGTTTGCCGTGAGCTGAGATCGCGCCACTGCACTCCAGCCTGGGCGACAGAGCAAGACTGTCTCAAAAATAACAATAATAGAAAGTTTAAAAATAAAAAAAGAAAGCAGCACCTAAGACCCTCAAGCTTGGACAAGGGTTAAGTGACTCCTGAATTGGGAAAAGTCATAAAGAATCAACATATTTTCTCAACATACCACGATGTCTCCCACTTCAAGAAATGTGGCTCCAGCATGGGCAACATGGCAAAAACTCATCTCTACAAAAAAATACAAAAAGTAGTGGGGAATGGTGGCACGTGCCTGTAGTCCCAGCTACTTGGGAGGCTGAGGTGGGAGGATCACCTGAGCCTGGGAGATTGAGGATGCAGTGAGCCATGATCGCGCCACTGTATTCCCACCTGGGTGACAGAGAGAGATCCTGTCTCAAAAAAAGGAAGGAAGAAAGGCAGGCAGGCAGGCGGGAAGGGGGAGGGAGAGAGAGAGGGAGGGAGAGAGGGAGGGAGGGAAGGGAGGGAGGGAGGGAGGGAGGGAGGCTTTGCTGTTTCCTCTGCCTGGAACTCTCTTCAGGGGTCTAGATCTTCACCTCGTGGCTTGCGTTCATCATTCAAGCCTCTTCCTTAGCCTCTGCGGCCCCTATTGCTGCACCCAACTTTGATCACTTTCTGTCTCTTCTATCCCGTGTCGTTTCCTTCCTAGCATTCCTCCTCTTCACCTGAAAATATCCTGTTCATTGACTACAACTGAGTTACTATCTGTCTTGTTCACTCCCGGATTCCCAGAACACAGGGCAGTGCCTGGCACCTGGTATGCTCTGAAGTAGGTAAGAATTTGCCTGAATGAAAAGACGAACAATCGAACACAGGCCTCCTCTTAGAGGAAAAAAAAAGTATGGGATTTGAGGTCATTCAGCCATGTATTAGATGAGGCACCTGGTGTACCTGGGCCTCGTTCTTATCTAGAAAATGAAAATGACATCTGCCTTATAGAGTTATCAGGAAGGCTTGGCATAGAATATTCAGAACTCAGAGCAAGGGGCCTGGAATTTTGGAAACACAGAAGATATTATTTATTTTTATTTTTATATTTTATATTTTATTTTTTATTTTCGAGACAGAGTCTCACTCTTGTCGCCCAGGCTGGAGTGCAATGGCACGATCTTGGCTCACTGCAACCTCCACCACCTGGGTTCAAGCGATTCTCCCGCCTCAACCTCCCAAGTAGCTGGGATCACAGGCATGTGCCACCCCATGCCCAGCTAATTTTTATATTTTAGTAGAGACAGGTTTTGCCATGTTGGCCAGGCTGGTCTCAAACTCCTGACCTCAAGTGATCTGCCTGCCCCGGCCTCCCAAAGTGCTGGGATAATAGGTGTGAGCCACCATGCCCGGCCTTAAATTTTCTTTTTATAAATAGAGAAGGAGTCTCACTCTATTGACCAGGCTGGTCTCGAACTCCTGGCCTCAAGAAATCCTCCCATCTCAGCCGCCAAAGTGCTAGGATTACAGGCGTGAGCCAGTGTGCCCAGACAGAAGATACTATTATTAATCTTGTTCACTAACATTTTTAAAACCTGGATATGTTATGTGGCTACATTCATCGATCCTGGAAACCCATGAAAAATTAAGCCATATTAGAACACTGAAAACAGCAATTTAGCTCACATGGCAACACGAATCAATTTCCAAGAGCCAATCCCCAGTTTACCTATCTGTAAATATCACATTCAAACATGGAAGCTTCTTACTTTAACAATGTATTCTACTTGCAATTTTGCCAATAACATATATGTGAGGTGGGGTGATGTGCATGTCTGTAGTCCCAGCTACTCCAGAGGCTGAGGCAGGAGGATCACTTAAGCCCAGGAGGTCGAGGCTGTAGTGAGCCATGATTTTGCCACTGCACTCCAGCCTGGGCAACAGAGTGAGACCCTGTGTCAATAAATAAATAAATAAGTGCAAAATGCTTATCGGAATAAATAAATAAATAAAATAATATATATGAAAAATAATGTTTGTCTTCTGGAAAACCATTTTTTTCATTATTTTGGAAATTTCCCTAGCATATACTTTTGGTTTTTAGATAAGCATTTATATGTAGTTTCAATAAAGCTGATGAGGCAGAAAAGGTTTTTCCTTTGTTGTAAATTCAGGATATAAACATTTTCAAGTTTTGGCGGAAAAAAAGGAGAAAGGGGGAACACAAATTTTAAAAACTTTGTTTTGTTTTTAATTTTCCTGGACCCCTAATAGATTCAGTTATCTAATAACTATTATTACTTTTGACATTTTAGTTTTGTTTTTCCTGGTCAGCATCACATTTTTAAAATGAGGCATTTTTCTAGCCAGGCGTGGTGGCTCACACCTGTAATCCCAGCACTGTGGGAGGCCGCGGCTGGTGGATCACTTGAGGTCAGGAGTTCGAGACCAGCCTGGCCAACATGGAGAAACCCCATCTCTACCAAAAAGACAAAAATTAGCCGGGCGTGGTGGTACAGGCCTGTAGTCCCAGCTACTTGGGAGGCTGAGGCACAAGAATGGCTTGAACCTGGGAGGTGGAGATGCAGTGAGCTAAGATCACACCACTGCACTCCGGCCTGGGCTACAGAGGGAGACATCACCTCAAAAAAAAAAAAAAAAAAGGTATTTTTGGAGCAGGACATATGTGAGATTAAGAGCACGGGCTAGGATAATCTAGATCAAAAATCTGTAAAGGTTTTTGTAAAGAGTAAATTTTTGGGTTTCATGGGTCATACAGTGTCTGCTATTACAGCTGAAAAACAGCCACAGGCCATATATAAGCAAATAAGTCTAGGTTCCAATAAAACTTTATTTACAAAAACACATACTGAGCAGAATTTGGCCCTCAGGCGGTCATTGCTAACCCCTGATCTAGAATTATATTCTATCTCCATTTTCTAGCTGGGTGATCTGAGCCTCCACTCATCTATAAAACGGAGATAATAATTATACTACCTCATTAGATTCAGAGGGTGAAATGGATCTGTGTATAAAATACTTATTCCATGTAGGAGTTCAATAAACATTACCTGTTATTATCGTTTTCCTTTTTTTTACAGTAGGAAAATGAAGCAATCTGCCCAAGTCATGAAATTAGGAGGTGTCACACTCTACTGCACAGCCTCCAGAGGAGGTTTCCATTGCCCGATTTAATTTGATCTTAGCTTAGCTTTTGACTAAAAATGCCTTTTCCCTCTTTCCTAAGCAATTCCTTTCAAGGCAAAGTCATCAGAAAGAAAGAAGAAAAGAAAAAAAGAAAGAGAGAGAAAGAAAAAGAAAGAAAGAAGAAAGAAAAAGAAAGAAAGAAAGAAAGAAAGAAAGAAAGAAAGAAAGAAAGAAAGAAAAAGAAAGAGGGAGAGAGAAAAGGACAACGACAGAGATCTGTAAATGACCACAATTGATTAAACTCTTCGGGGAGAGAGATAATAACTCTGCCCTGCAAGTGTTTCTTCTGCCCAATCTCATCCCCTTTTTGGAGAAAGAAATTGTCCCCCAAGATTGTCCCATTTTGTCCTAAGGCTGGGGCTGGCCTGGAGAGAGCCTCTGAAGGCTTATCATGAAGCTACTTCCTTTAGGATACGGCACCATGATCACTGTGGCAAAACCCACCTTTATTTTCTCCATTAGGTAACATCACAGAGAAAAAAAAAGATCTCATGGGATTTTGCCTTTTTTTTCTTTTGGACATTTTTATTGTGTCTGGGTTTTCCACTCAAGTTTTTAGGATTTCTGGCATCAGACACTTGCCTTTGTCTCCCATTTCTTTGTGGTGATTGCCAAATGCCCACATACTATTTACACCTCCCATTCTCTCTAGGGTTTCTAATGCCTCTCTTTCTTATGACTAGCATTTCTTCCTAAACCTTTGCCTCTTTTTTCCTAAGCAGCAGGAGAGCTCCCAGAGTCTCAAGATAAACAGTAAACAAGATTGTGCATTTCAATGACAAATACAACAGGCAACCTATTTTTTCATCCCCACGTCATTTTTAACTTGGGGATGGTTACTTCTTCGGTTTTCCTTCTCTGAACATTGTCAGGCCCTGTTCCTCTTTCGTTTTGGTCTTGTTGCAATCTCTTCGTGAATTAATGTTTCAGTGAGTGTACTTGTGACAAGGCATATGGAGCGGGCCTCCTCTTTAACTCAAATTTCCTTCTTCCCAGGCACAACAGAAATTTGCTGTACACACTGCAAGACAAAGAACAAAAAGACCTCACTCGCTGAGCGAAAAGATCCAGTCGTATACATGATTTCACCGGGTTTCCAACTGTATAATGAAATCGAACTCCTCCCTCGGGAGGGGGTTCCCTCCCCCACCTACTGCACACACAAAATTCTACCCACTTCTTTCCAAGGACACACTTTGTTCTAAATCCCCAGTGGCTTTACTCCTGCACACAAAAAAAGAGCAGAAGTCTGCACCTAAGTTGTAAGCGTGAGCTGCGATCTTTCTCTGAGCCCAAGATGAAAGGAGTAGATGGAAAGGAATTACTCAGTGTGAAGTATGCATTTGTAATAAGCAGGCATGGGATGCTATGTAGTGATCTTGACATGGCTGATAGGGGATGAGGAGGTGAGGATGGGATAGACTTTTTCTTTTCATTTTCATGAATCTCTTACTCTCAAGCTGAAGGAGAGACTAAAAACCACAGGAAAGGGCACGAGTTTATTATCACAGATTTTTAATGGGTTAATAATGTTCTGCTTAAAACCCTCGTTTTAAAAAAAAAGTTAATTCGATCCATTTTTCTTTGGATTACAGCAACTTTAGGACAGGTGTGGTGTAATAGGAGTCGCTTTCAGAAAGGAGTGAGTGTGTTTGAGCAGAGAATCACTGGGTACACACCAGACTACTTATTGTAGCACTGTTTGTAGAAGCAAACACTGAAAGCCACCAAAAAGTCTGTGAAAAAGGGCAAGTGAAATACATTAAGGAATACCATTTAAAGAAATACTATGCCACCACTTAAAACATCAAGTTTTTCTAACACAGAGTGCTGTCCAAGAGATTTAAGTGGAAAATGCAAGCTGAAAGATACTTGTGTAAAGACAAAGAAAGGTGTGAGCGTTCGATATGCATATATGCTGATCTATGCGTGGACTATTTCTGGCATGAGACACTACAAACTGCTAATAGTCATTGTCTGCGGGGGAGGAGGGAGACCCACCCTTCCCCACAAGCCCTATAATTTGAATTTTCCCCAGGAGCATGTATGACATGGTTCCCCAAAATTTATAGCTCACTAGAAAAATACCTACATTGGAAATTGTCCATGATCGATACTCAAAGTGAAAAAAGCAAGTTGTATAACAGTGTCTATAAATATGATACCAGTGGTGTATTTAAAACAAAGCATGTGTATTTGTATATGTGCATTTTATGGAAAACGTCTGGAAAATATGTTTCACACTGTTAAAAAGTAGTTATTAGCTATCTCTGGTGAGATCATGAGCTGCGTGGGAGTGAGCAAAAGGAATGAGGAACTTCAACTCCTTTACCTTAATTTTATACTGTTTGAACGTTTTAAAGAGATTAGGTATGACTTCTATTTTAATTTTTAAAAACTAAACTGAGAAAATTATGTAAAGAAATGGTCACAGGAAATGGTCAAATACTGGCCCACGATACATGAGAAATGCGTGCCCTGTCTTTCCAGAGAAATCGAGCTCCCAAAAACGTTTGCGGTAAATCCCTGCTTTTTGGCTCCTCAATAATGGGATATTATACTGTACCTTATTGAGTACATTGGAGTTTTTTTCCCTTCCCTTAAATGCTATTTGCTGAAACTGCTCAAAAAGACTTTCCGAGGTGGCCCCGTTGGTGTCTTTGTTCCAGCCCGCCCGCCCCGAAAGGCAGGAGTCTCTCTGCCTTCAAGGAGCTGGAAACGCAGTCACAGCTCTCTCACTACAGAGGCCGGGCTTGTGGCAAACCAGGAGTCGTATTTGTGTTTACTTTCCTGCCTTGCGCAGTTGAGCTGCACTTGAGTGACTCCCATTAACAAGCATGAAGTTACTTAATGGCCTTGCCTGTCTGCTGTTTTCTGTTACGCTGCCATCCTGTGAACGGCCTTCTGTGTAAGTCACATTTGACAGTCTGCGTCTCAAATATGCTCTGAGAGTTGGAAAAGCCTCTCAGACAGCGTTTTCAAATGGGATCCCATGGAAATAGCCTCTTGCTTCTCAATTAGCTCGAAGAAGGCCCCCCACCCCCGTTACGTTTTCTTCTGCCTTAGGCATGTGTGAAAATGATGCGGGAAAAAGAGACACTTCGGAGATCATTTTCAAAGTCCTTATGTGAATCCTAGTTTCTAGGTGCTTACACTGCAATTCACCTACTGAAATAAACATATTTGGCAAATAGACATGATCTGCTTTCTGGGATTGATAGCAAACACTGAAGATCAAATAACAGCCCTAATCATTTCTGCATGTGCAGTTTTCAGGCGGTTCCCAGTCCTGTGACCGGGAACAAAGTTTACAGTTTATCAAACTTGCAGTAGTTCTGGGCTTTGCTCTCTTCTGGGCAGCGTTCTCTTGCTCCCGCGATGTTCTGTTTGAAGTCCTCTGCCCACTCCCCAAATTTTAACATGTAATTTATGACCTTATTATTTTATTCAGGAGGGAAGGATCAAGTGTGGAAGCCAAAATTATCCAAATAAGGATGGTGCTGGAACAACCTATGATCTGAAACTGGGGGGTGGGGGGCACGCCCCGTCTACCTCTGAGGCAGCTGGAATGTCTGCTAATTTTGATCACTTGAAAATATAATGGCTGCGTCTGCAGGTATTTCGGAGAGATCATTTAGATTCCTTTAAATGTAGGTGAAATGTTACAATAGAACAGGAATGGACTGTCTCTTGAGATGAAAAAGGGAACCACTGGCTATTGTCTGACCTCCCCAGTGCCTGATTGACTAGTAGAAATCACATCTCCATGGGAACAGATAAATGTCTGCTTTTCATGGCGTGAAATAACCAACTTAGCCCGCAAAGCCTCACCAACCTAGCACTTTATCTGGGCGGCTGTAAGCAGCCTCTCCCTTTTCATGTTCAGCCAAATTATCTGCCAGAATTTCTTTTCAAGTCTAGGGGAAGGGAAAAAAAAAAGGGAGTTTCCTCCCTCCATCCCCCCTCTGTATGGAGTTAATTACTGTATTTTCATCTGGGAGGGTGAAAAAATACACACGGAGCTGAAATAGCACATGAAACAACGGCTGACATGGGCTATCTGCCTGTTGTTGATTAGCTTTTGGTGATTTTTGTAAAAAGTATTGAGGTCTGCTGCTGTATTTGAGAAATGTCAGGAGGGTCAGGATGCAGCCTGAGAGGCAGGTCCTGGGGATGGTTGTTTTTTGTTTGTTTGTTTGTTTACTGTTGTGCCAGCATTTGGCTGTGTGACCTTAGAAAAGTGGACGCCAGCTCTGTTTTGTGATCTGAGAAAGGAAGGTAAGGGGAAGGATATTGTGATCCGAGAAAGGAAGGTAAGGGGAAGGATAAAAAAACAAATGCCGGAGAGTATCAGGTATCTGCCTCCCCTCCCCCTAGAAGCCCCAACATCTGCCATTTTAACTTTCTGATCACTGATCCAATGCTCTCTGCCAGCAAAATTAGAGAACAGCTCTCAGGAGAGCAGGGGCTTTCTCCGGTGGTTTCAGACACTTCAGCTTCTGTTCCTGGTTAAAAATACCACCGGAAGCAGCATTTTCTGATGATATTACAACACTTCCAGTCCAGCTTCTGAATCAGAGGAAAAAAAGAAATGAAAGGGGAAAAAAATAAAAAGAAAAGAATGCAGGTGAAATATACAGAGATATTTATCCATCCACCTATTTTTCAACACACGAAGTTGAGCTCTTAGGAGGAAAATGTCTTAGCCTGTTTGGTTCTAAAACTGGGCACAAGAATGTGTGCGGGTTCTTTATTTTATTGGAATCCATTTGCCCGTTCCTATTATTCCCTGCTTTGTCCTTGGAGCTATTTGCTCCTTTGTCTTTCTCCTCTTCCTCAGCACCTCCACCCACCCACCCACCCAACAAGTCTGAGCAGGAAAAGTGTAAAGCCCAGTGAACTGCAAACCTACTAGGCATTTTTCAAAAGAGTCCAGGTTAAAGATACCTGCAGGGAATTTGTCCATGAAGCAATCAAGTCTCAACTCCAGCTCTTCCGTGGACGTGATTCCTAAATATCAAAACCCCAGCGGTCTTTATCTGGACCAGCTGCTTCTGATGTCGGGAAGGAATGTGGCACATCAAGTGTGTGAACACTGCCTCTATTGTATCCAAACAGGCTGATTGAAGCCTGGATAATTGGCATGTAACCTTCTCTATTAATAGTGCAGACAGATATGTGAATTAGCTGAATCCCTTCAACATATGCCATGCATTAGCTAAAGGGGCTTACAATTCTCTTAACATCTCAGCTATTACACCAATAATTAGGCTTTAGAACTTGATAACTTTGGGGGAAAATCAATAAATAATGGGGAAGTTGAGCACTACCTCTGAATAAGAAGTGACTGTAATATTATCGTTCAGTCCAGCACTGAGAGTGGTCATCATTGATTATTTGGGAGCTTGAAGGTTTGGGGCTTTTGGAGAGAGACAGAGAGAGAGAGAGAGAGAGACACAGAGAGAGAGAATGTGTGTGTGTGTTGCTGAAGCTAAGTTTCTGGAGGAGATTATTAAATTTCAGGAGTCTTTGTTTGCCTTCTAGAGCCATGGAGGTATATAAATAGCAGAGTAATACACTTATGTCCTGTTTGACTATCTTGTAAAGGAACCTGCCCTGCCGTGGTTTGAAATACTGGAGAGGCTATTTAGAGCTGTGCATTGCTAAATACCTGGTTAGTCTCACATCAATTCCTAAGGCTAAAGGAAATACCATAGGCTGATGATTAAGAGCATAAACTGCAGCCAGACCGCCGGGGTTTAAGCACAGCTCTCCGACATACTAGCATGTGACCTTGGGTAACTTGTCTACCTCTCTGTGTCTCAGTTTCATCATCTGGAAAACGGAGAGATAATAATTCTTAGCCCACTGGCACACTGTCATTGTAAGGATTATTAAGTTATTACTTACAAAATGTTCAGAACAGTATTGGAGTATAAATAAGTACTTTTCCTTTTTTTTTTTTTTTTTTTTTTTTGAGGCGAAGTATTGCTCTTGTTGCCCAGGCTGGAGTGCAGTGGCACAATCTCAGTTCACTGCAACCTCCACCTCCCGGGTTCAAGTGATTCTCCTGCCTCTGCCTCCCGAGTAACTGGGATTACAGGTACCTGCCACCACGCCCGGCTAATTTTTGTATTTTTAGTAGAGATGACGTTTCACCACGTTAGCCAGGCTGGTCTCAAACTCCTGACCTCAAGTGATCCTCCCACCTTGGCCTTCTAAAGTGCTGGGATTACAGGCATGAGCCACTGCGCCTGGCCTACTTGTCCCTTTTCATTGAATAAATATGCATTGAAAGTGTTTTTCAAACTGCAGGTTGTGACCTGTCAGTAGGTGGTAAGATCAATTTAGTGGGTCATGGCTATTACTTTTAGTTGGAATGGAATTAGAATAGAATAGAATAGAATGACATATAGGTAGGATAAGTACTATTTTGTGAAACTTTTTGCTGTGTGTGTGTGTATTTGTGTGTCGTATGTGTATATAGTAGTTAACAATGTAAAAGTATTTCTTTTAATGGATGAAGCTAGAAAATTTTTAAAAACTTGCAATGAAATAATTTAAAATCTGGAAACAAGCTAAATACATAAATAGATTGGTTAAATTATCTTATATCCACACAATGAATTATCAGGCAATTATTAATAAGAAAGAGATCAACTTCCAAGTGCTTATGTGTACCGGTCTCCCAGAAATATTATTCTGTAAAAACAGAAGGCATTGCAGAGTGTATTTATTACAATTCAAAAGGAAATTTTCTTTGGGGTGTGTTTGCTTTAAGAACATTGAAACTCATTCTGCTGGCTGAGAGACCTTGTGCTAAGTGGAGTCTGATCTTCCCTGAGGATCACTTGCTCAGTGATTGGCGCCCCCATCCATCCAGTTGAGTGAGCCCAAAGCCTTGAAGTCATTGTTGACATGGCTCTGTATCTCACTCACCATAGGGATCCAAAATCCTTTCATTCAGCTTCATCTTTACCCTTAACACCTATTCCAAGCTTCTGTCATCTCTCTCCCGGACAACCACATCAACTGCTAACTCATCTCCCTGCAGCCTCCTAAGCAGTCCCCCTCGCCCAAGCCTCTTAACTGGTCTGCCTTGCACACACTCTTGTTTCCTTCCCTTCCATATCCCCACCTTAGCCAGACCAACATCCTCCGCTCTCCCTTCCTTGTTTAAATTCTTGCCATGCTTCCTTGCTGCTCTTGGGACAAAGACCAAAATCCTACTGTGGCCTTTGTGTTAATTTCCTACAGATGTCATAGCCAAGTACAACAAACTGGGTGACTTAAAACAACAGAAATTTATTTCCTAACAGTTCTGGGGGCTAGAAGTCCAGAATCAAGGTGTCGGGAGAGCCACCTTCTTCTGGAGGGGAGACTCTTTCCTTGCCTCGACCTACTTGGCAATCGATCCTTGACATTCTTCGCAGCTGGTTCACTCTAATGTATTCCTCTGTTGTTACATGGCCTTCTCCCTGTGGATCTGTGTCTTCTTTTTTTTTTTGAAGCGGAGTCTCAATCTGTCCCCCAGGCTGGAGTGCAGTGGCGTGATGTCGGCTCACTGCAAGCTCCGCCTCCCAGGTTCACGCCATTCTCCTGCCTCAGCCTCCCGAGCAGATGGGATTACAGGCGCCCGCCACCACGCCTGGCTAATTTTTTGTATTTTTAGTAGAAATGGGGTTTCATCGTGTTAGCCAGGATGGTCTCAATCTCCTGACCTCGTGATCTGCCGCCTCGGCCTCCCAAAGTGCTGGGATTATAGGCGTGAGCCACCGCTCCTGGTGATCTGTGTCTTCATATAAGAACACCAGTCCCATTGGATTAGGAACCCACTCTACGGTATGACCGCATCTTCACTAATTACATGTGCAATGACCCTGTTTCCAAATAAGGTCCTACTCAGAAATACTGGCAGATAGGGCTCTACTTCATCTTTTTGGAGGGACACATTCCAACTCATGACAGGCTTTGAGATGCTCTTCAGCTAGGCCCATGTCTCCCACTCTGGCTTTCTCTTCTGTCACCCTTTGCCCTATTTTTTGATTCTATGCGCACAGCCCTGTTTCAAATGGTCCAGGTTGCCTCTTGCCACAGGATTTTGCTCAAATGTTTTACATTTCCCCCTGCTTGGAATATTTTCCCCTTCCTCACTCCAACCTCTATTCTCATTTCACCTCTAGATCTTGGCTCCCTTGTCCGAAGGGGACGCCTTTCTTAAATGACTCTGCCCCCCAACAAAGTCAAATTCCTTTAATTCCACAAAATTTTATAACACCACTTCTTGTTTGCTAGTCTTGTCATGGGTGTAGCTTTGCATTTATCTGCTTGTTGGATGACTGTCTTCTACTCCACAACACTAAAAATTCCTGGAAGGCAAGAACAGTGTCTATTTTTTTTTTTTTTTTGAGATGGAGTTTCACTCTTGTTGCCCAGGCTGGAGTGCAATGGCGCAATCTCGGCTCACCGCAACCTCCGCCTTCCAGGTTCAAGCGATTCTCTTGCCTCAGCCTCCCAAGTAGCTGGGATTACAGGCATGTGCCACCACGCGAGGCTAACTTTTGTATTTTCAGTAGAGTGTACCAATACTATAGGATGGGTTCCTAATCCAATGGGACTGGTGCCCTTATAAGAAGACACAGATCCACAGGGAGAAAGCCATGTGACAACAGAAGAAGACATTGGAGTGAACTAGCTGCAAGGAATGTCAAGGATTGATGACCAAGTAGGGCGGGGTTTCTCCATGTTGGTCAGACTGGTCTCAAACTCCTGACCTCAGGCAATCCGCCTGCCTCGGCCTCCCAAAATGCTGGGATTATAGGTGTGAGCCAAGGAGCCCGGTCAACAGTGTCCATTTTTGCTCACCATTTTATTTATCTTCATCTCTTAGCACAGTACATAGCATCTACTGGGCACTTAATAATATTGTTGGATAGAGAGATGAATGAATGAGTGAATGAATAAATGACACATAGATTTTTCTTACATTCAGTTCATAAATATAATTCATGACTTGCAGGTAAGGAAGGCAGAAGATTATTATATACAGGGTCAGTTTCCATAAATACTAATCACACATTCAAGAATCTTGGCCAGGAGGGGTGGCTCATACCTGTAATCCCAGCACTTTGGGAGGGCAAGGTGGGTGGATCACCTAGATCAAAAGTTCAAGACCAACCTGGCCAACATGGTGAAACCCCGTCTCTACTAAAAATACAAAACTTAGCTGGGCATGGTGGCAGGTGCCTGTAAACCCAGCTACTCAGGAGGCTGAAGCAGGAGAATTGCTTGAACCCGGAAGGGGGAGGTTGCAGTGAGTCGAGATCACACCACTACACTCCAGTCTGGGTGACAAGCGTGAAACTCCGTCTGAAAAAAAAAAAAAGAAATTGTGTCGATGGTTTTTACAAGAGGCATTTTTTAAAAAATTGATAATTTTTACAAGAGGCATTTAAAAAAAAGAACTTTTGCCAATTGGGACTTCTCAAAGGAATATGACTTATCTGGGAGCAGTTAGGGCAAACTCATGAAGTAGCTGTGTATCAAAAGCAGGACTAATTTGTAACTTACACCTAAACGTGTGAGAAAATACTCAGCTTCTTAGCTTCTAAATATCTATTGTCATATATCAATAAGAATTTGCAAGATTCCTCCCTGCTGGAACTAACACTAAAGTTGAGCTTCAGGTGCCTTTGTCAGTCCATTCCTGCTCTACGATAAAATGCCACAGACCAGGTAATTTATAAATAATTGAAATGTATTTTTCACAGTTCTGGAGGCTGGGATGTCCAAGATCAAGGCACCAGCAGACTGATTGTCTAGTAAGGACTTCCTGTGCTTCCAAAATGGAGCATTGCTGTTGCGTCCCCTAAATGGAATGAACACAGGGTCCTCACATGGCAGAAGAGTAGGAGAGAAAAACTCTCCTCCTCAAGCCCTTCTATAAGGGCACTAATTCCATCCACAAGGGCAGAGTCCTCACGGCCTAATCACCTCCCAAGGGCCCCAGCTCTTAATACTATCATTTAGGGATTAAGTTCCTACATATTATATATATATACACACACACACATATATGAACACACATATATACATATATATACATATATACACACATATATACATATATACGCGCACACACACACACACACACACACATATTTTTTTTTAGATGGAGTCTCGCTCTGTCGCCCAGGCTAGAGTGCAGTGGCGTGATCTCGGCTCACTGCAACATTCATCTCCTGGGTTCAAGCGATTCTCCTGCCTCAGCCTCCCAAGTAGCTGGGGTTAAAGGCGCCTGCCACCATGCCTGGCTAATTTTTGTATTTTTAATAGAGACGGGGTTTCACTATCTTGGCCACGCTGGTCTAAAACTCCTGACCTCATGATCCACCCACCTTGGCCTCCCAAAGTGCTGGGATTACAGGCATGAGCCACTGCGCCCGGCCTCCTACATATAAATTTTAAAGGGAATGTGTTCAAACTGCAGCAGATCAAAGCATGATGTAGGCTGATTTAAACAAAACAAAACAAAACATAGCAGTGAGCAACTGTCCCAGTTTTTCCTGGACTGAGGGGTTTCCTTGGACACAGGACTTTCAGTACTAAAATGTAAAAATCCCAGACAAACTGGGACAAGCTGGTCAAACCTAGTTGAGTTTGAATTTGATATTTAACACTTTCAACATCTTAATGACATTTAAGATGTGAAAATAGAATGTATTTTTCATACTCCTCGTCACTGGGACACTATATTTCTTCACTGACAACTTTTAATGGCCAAGGATCTTATCACTAATGAAAAAGGGAACAGGCTGGGCGAGGTAGCTCACGCCTGCAATCCCAGCATTTTGGGAGGCCGAGGCAGGCAGATCACCTGAGGTTTAGGTGGGAGGATTGCTTGAGCCTGGGAGTTCAAGTCCAGCCTGGGCAACATGGTGAGACCTCATCTCTTAAAAATTAAAAATCAACTACAACAAAAAAGAGGGAGGTAGTAGGACCTATTTCACGGAATCATTATAACTATAAGAAGAGTTATGTTTGGCCGGGTGTGGTGGCTCACGCCTATAATCCCAGCACTTTGGGAGGCTGAGGCGGGTGGATCACGAGGTCAGGAGTTCGAGACCAGCCTGACCAACATGGTGAAACCCTGTGTCTACTAAAAATACAAAAATTAGCCGGGCATGGTGGCATGTGCCTGTAGTCCCAGCTACTTGGGAGGCTGAGGCAGGAAAATCGCTTGAGCCCGGGAGGCAGAGGTTGCAGTGAGCCGAGATCGCACCACCGCACTCCAGCCTGGCAGACCGAGACTCTATCTCAAAAAAAAAAAAAAGAAAAAGAAAAAGGGAACAGAACATGGGCATGTATTTTGCATAAAAGATAGATTTAACTTAAACCTTTACATTAAACATTCTCAATATCTATCCATTTCACTCAATTATTTGCAATATTTGTCTGATATAGTGAAAGTCAGTGTATCCATTAGTTATGCCACATAACAAACCACTCCAACATTTAGTGGCTAAAAACAACCATTTGTTTAGCTCGTGACTTTATAGGTGGGCTGAGAGGTTCTTCCTTTCTGGGCCAGCTCATATGATCACTGCTGGGTATTCCCAGGTGTCTGTGGTCAGCTGGTGGCTAGATGATCCTAAGACGGCTTCCTGTCTATGTGTGGAGGTTGGGGGCCATCACCTGGGTAACAAGAGCAACTGGGTCACATGTCTGGACGTCATCATCCAACAGGCTAGCTCCTTCACATGAAGTTATAGGGTTCCCAGGAGAAGTAAGAAGGCAAACCCCAAGGTACAAGTACTTTTTTTTTGAGACAGGGTCTCACTTTGTCACTTATGCTGGAGTGCAGTGATGCAATCTCAGCTCACTGCAACCTCCGCTTCCTGGGCTCAAGGGATTCTCCTGCCTCATTCTCCCAAGTAGTTGGGATTACAGGCACCTGCCACCATGCCCAGCTAATTTTTGTATTTTTGGTAGAGATGGGGTTTCACCATGTTGGCCAGGCCGGTCTTGAACTCCTGACCTCGAGTGATCCACCCACCTCGGCCTCCCAAAGTGCTGGGATTACAGGCGTGAGCCACCACGCCCGGCAGAGCTTACTTTGACAGTAAAAATTCCCAAAGAGCAAAGTACTGCTTACAAGTACTTTGGAAGCCTCTGTTTCCCCCAACATTTGCTAATGACATATTGGCCAAAACAAATCACATGGCTCAGCCCAGATTCAAAGGGTAAAAAAGTGACTCTGGCTGGGCGCAGTGGCTCATGGCTGTAATCCCAGCACTTTGGGAGGCTGAGGCGGGCAGATCACCTGAGGTCGGGAGTTCAAGACCAGCCTGGCCAACATGGAGAAACCCCGTCTCTACTAAAAATACAAAAAATTAGCTGGGCGTGGTGGTGGGTGCCTGTAGTCCCAGCTACTCAGGAGGCTGAGGCAGGAGAATGGCATGAACCTGGGAGGCAGAGCTTGCAGTGAGCCGAGATCGTGCCACTGCACTCCAACCTGGGTGACAGAGCGAGACACTGTCTCAAAAAAAAAAAAAAAGTGACCCCACTTCTTCATGGGAGGGTCTACAAAGATACACTGCACATAGAGATGGGAAAAATTCTTTAGATCTACCTCAGGTGGCATAGAGAATTTCCTTTTTTCTTTTGGGCAATATTCAATTATTAAAGTCACTCAACTTTTTGAATTTCCGTTTTCTTATAAAATTATGAGGAAGATGACAACTAAATTTGAAGCTGTATTTAAGAATGAAAAGCAATATGCCAAAAGTGTAAAGCACATAACCAGACACATAGCAAACAGTGACCATTAGTTCTCCCTCTCTCTCTCTCTCTAGCTCTCACTCTCTCCCTTACACACACATACACACACACACACACACACACCCCAATACAAAGCATTACATATAGTTGTTCAAACCAGTCTTTGGTATCCAATAGATCTGGGTTTGAATTCCAGGTCTGCTGGTGACTAGTTTTAAGATGTTGAACAAGTTATGTTCATTTCTCTGGAACCTTAGTTTTCTCATCTGGAAAATGAAAATAATGAGGTCTGAATTCCAAAATGCCTGACTGCTGGTTTTAATTACTTTCTTCTATCTGCCCTCTGTCTTCTCCTATTATTTTTTTTCTCCTTATCTAATATAACTCCATTGCATATGTTGCAGTTAGGAATCCTTGCAGCAGGAATTCACTGCTTATCCGACTAACAATAGCTTAAGCAAGAAACACCTTTCATTACCTCACACGGCAAGAAGACTGAAGGAACCATGTGGTATAGACCTGATCTCCTTCTCTGCTCTACCCTTGTTCACAGGTTGACTTTTCTTCTCCATGCTTGTCACCTCATACTTAGACCAATCCTAATTCTTTGGGTCTGAATATTTTCTCACTTGAAACAAAATTGGGGTTTTCTTATGCTGCGTGAGGTGGCTCACGTCTGTAGTCCCAGCTACTCAGGAGGCTGAGGCAGGAGGATGGCTTGAGTCCAAGAGTCTGAGTCCAGCCTGGGCAACATAACTAGATTCTGCCTCTAAATAAATAAATAAATATGGACACAGAGTGTGGCATAATAGACTGGGGGCTCAGATGGGTGAGGGGAGTGGGGGCGATGAGAGATGATAAATTATTTAATGAGTTTAATGTGTTCAGGCATGGTGCTCGCGCCTGTAATTCCAGCACCTTGGGAGGCTGAGGTGGGAGGATCACTTGATCCTAGGAGTTGGAGACCAGCCTGGGCAACATGGCAAGACCCTGTCTCTAAAAAAAATTATTAAAAAAATTAATAAGTTTAATGTACATTATTCAGGTTATGGCTACACCACAAGTCCAGACTTCACCATTATGCAATATATCCATGCAACAAAACTGCACTTGTTTTGTTTTGTTTTGTTTTGTTTTGTTTTGTTTTGTTTTGTTTTGTGAGACAGAGTCTCTGTCCCCCAGGCTGGAGTGCAATGGCGCAATCTCAACTCACTGCAACCTCCGCCTCCCAGGGTCAAGCAATTCTCGTGCCTCAGCATCCCAAGTAGCTGGGATTACAGGCACCCACCACCACGCCTGGCTAATTTTTGTGTTTTTAGTAGAGACAAGGATTCATCATGTTGGCCAGGCTGGTCTCCAACTCCTGACCTCAACTGATCCACCTGCTTCAGCCTCCCAAAGTGTTGGGATTACAGGCATAAGCCACCGCACCCAGTGTTTTTTTTTTTTTTTTTTTTTTTTAGATTTTTGTTCAGATTGAACCCAAGAGGACTCGTGACTCATGGCTCAACTGGTCCTATGGCTCCACCCAACAGCAAGTTCTGCACACCCCTATGATTGCTTCCCCAACGAATCAGCAGCAGTTATTCCCTAGCCCCCTGCCCATCAAATTGTCCAGAAAAACCCTAAGCTCCAAGCCTTCAGGGAGACTGATTTGAGTAGTAACTCCATCTCCCGCATGGCATAGCTGGACTTGGATTAATTAAACTCTTTCTTTATTGTCGTGCCATGGTCTGAGTGGATTGATTTTGTCTGTGCAGCAGGCAGGGAGATGATCACAGTCCGAAGCCCAGTGCCCCACTCAAGAACTCAGCCAAGAAGGTAGCAGAGAGTCTCAGCTGAAGTTCCCAGGCTCCAGAATCCTACTGGGGATTCTTATCCAGAGGCAACCTTAGTTGAAGCATTTAACCTCCTTGAAACTGTTTAAAGAGTTTTCTCACCTTGCGTGGTGGCGCACACCTGTAATCCCAGCACTTTGGGAGGCCAAGGCGGGGGATCACTTGAGGTCAGGAGTTCGAGACCAGCCTGGCCAACATGGTGAAACCCAGTCAAAAATTACCTGGGTGTGGCAGGGGGGTGCCTGGAATTCCAGCTACTCGGGAGGCTGAGGCAGGAGAATCACTTGAACCCAGGAGGCAAAGGTTGCAGTGAGCCGAGATTGCACCACTGTATTCCAGCCTGGGCAACAGAGGGAAACTCCATCTCAAAAAAAAAAAAAGTTTTCTTAACTATATAATAGGGATCTCATCTATATAATAGCAATATAACCTCCCTCAAGTTGATATTGTCCTAACGATTAAATGAAATAATGCATGCTGTGTCTGCACAAGGTGACAATACTTAATATTATCATAGTTTAACTCATTCTCTGACTACCAGGGCTGTTGCCCTTATAGCAGTGTCAGCCACAGGTCAAATTCAAGCACATGCTCTTTGGCCCAGAGAATGTTTTTATAAATGTGGAAAGTTCTTCTAATAAAATGTATACTTTCAGCTTACATAGAAAAAATTAGAAAAAGTTTAAAAATTTTTTTAATTAGAAAAGTTAATGGTAGAGGAGACTCACTTGAACCCAAGAGGCGGAGGTTGCAGTGAGCCGAGATCACACCACTGCACTCTAGCCAGGGTGACAGAGCGAGACTCCATCTCAAAAAAAAAAAAAGGAAAAATTAATGCTAGAATCATACTCTCAAAGGGCACCAGCAGCTGGAGCCTATAGTAGCAGGTGCCCATTTCAGGGCTCTCCAGTTCACCAGTCACCACCCCTCCCTATTGCATTACACTTCGACCACTTTACCCGTATCCTGCCCTGGTGGGCATTTGAGTTTGCCAGTGAGGATCCCAGCAGGAAACAGATGCCCCCTTAAAATAGAGTTAGCATTAGGCAGGGCGCGGTGGCTCACGCCTGCAATCCCAGCACTTTGGGAGGCCAAGGTGGGCGGATCACCTGAGGTTGGGACTTCGAGACCAGCCTGACGAACATGGAGAAACCCCGTCTCTACCAAAAATGCAAAATTAGCCTGGCGTGGTGGCACATGCTTGTAATCCCAGGTACTCCGGAGGCTGAGGCAGGGGAATCGCTTGAACCCAGGAGGCGGAGGTTGTGGTGAGCCGAGATTGCGCCATTGCACTCCAGCCTGGGCAACAAGAGCGAAACTCTGTCTCAAAAAAAAAAAAAGAGAGAGAGAGAGAGGAGCAAGAAGTAGTGAACGCCCTGAGGCTAATCGCAGCAGCAGAGAGCCATTCTTGCCCCCAGGCCAGAAAGGCAAAGGTAGGTGTGGTTCCCAGAATCTGAAGAACACAGCTGTAGAGAAAGCGACCTGACCAGGACTGTGACCTTCAGGAGAGAGATGCAGCCAACCTGGGGCAACCTAGCAGAGAGGGCGCCAGGGAAATACATGCTCCAACCTCCCTTTCTCCTCCCTCCATCTCCTCCAGGTGTCTCCCGTTGGCTAAACCCAACTGGAAACTATAGAGTAGGGGAACGTGTGAATACCGTCCAGGGAAGGCCACCACGGAGGCCGGAGGGCAGGGTCGGAGAGGAGATCCGGAAGAGGAGATGAAAAATATGGCCGGGCCGGGCGCGGTGGCTCATGCCTGTAATCCCAGCACTTTGGGAGGGTAAGGCGGGCGGATCACTTGAGATCAGGAGGAGTTCGAGACCAGCCTGGCCAATATGGTGAAACCTCGTCTCTAATAAAAATACACCGGGCGTGGTTGTGGGCGCCTGTAATCCCAGCTACTCGGGAGGCTGAGGCAGGAGAATCACTTGAACCCGGGAGGCGAAGCTTGCAGTGAGCCGAGATCTGCCACTGCACTCCAGCCTGGGCAACAGAGTGAGGCTCTGTCTCAAAATAAAATAAAATAAAATAAAATAGAAAAGAAAAGAAAGAAAAAAAAAAATATGGCCGGCACAGTGGCTCATGCTTGTAATCCCAGCACTTTGGGAGGCTGAGGCAGTTGGATAACCTGAGGTCAGGAGTTCGAGACCAGCCTGGCCAACATGGTGAACCTCTGTCTCTACTAAATACAAAAAATTAGCCAGGCATGGTGGCGGGCACCTCAAATATTTTAGAATCGCTTGAACCCAGGAGACAGAGGTTGAAGTGGGCCAAGATTGTGCCATTGCACTCCAGCCTGGGTATGAAGAGCAAAAACTCTATCTCAAAAAAAAAAAAAAAAAGAACAAGAAAAATATTTACATGCCATCACTGATTTTAAATTCTTCCTGGCCAGGCACATCGGCTCACAGCTGTAATTCCAGCACTTTGGGAGACTGAGGTGGGCAGATCCCTTGAGTCTAGGAGCTCGAGACCAACCTGGCCAAACATGACAAAACCCTGTCTCCAAAAAAATACATAAATTTGCCAGGCGTGGTGGTGCGTGTCTGTAGTCCCAGCTACTGGAAAGGCTGGGGTGGGATGGTTTGAGTCCGGGAGCAGAGGTTGCAGTGAGCCGAGATAATGCCACTGACCTCCAGCCTGGGTGACAGAGTGAGACTCTGTCTCAAAAAAAAATTCTTCCTAGTAATAGTAGATAATAGCCAACACCACCTTCTTCAATACTCAAATTTTAGATACCAGTTCCTCTATAAAATATTTTTAGACCGCTTTCCCACCCAATAATAGAACTGAACCTCTTCTTGGTTTCTCCCCATTGTACCCCATTCATATTTCTGTTCTCCACCCAACACTTTTTTATTCTTGATTGTCCTCCAGGCTACCTCTGCTCACTCTGCCCTGATAACACTGAATACAGGAACTGTCTCCATCACCCAGAACTCCCGGAACCAAGCACTCAGCCCGACACGTCATACTTATTAAAAACACGGAGGTCGTGAGTGGATTTCCACGTATTGTTCTAGATGATGGAGAGGCCTGAAGAGTGAGGAGTGGGGAAGAAATGTCATCGCTGTTTTCACCTGCACCCTTGTTTCAGAGAAGTGAATAGTCATTCATCTC
Source organism: Homo sapiens (assembly GCF_000001405.40). Lineage (NCBI taxonomy): Eukaryota > Metazoa > Chordata > Mammalia > Primates > Hominidae > Homo > Homo sapiens. Next base: position 53,723,683 of record NC_000020.11, on the reverse strand, counting down.
TGGTCAACAAAATGATAATAGTAGCAGCAACAATAATATTCTCTTTTTTTGAGCACTTCTTATGTGCCAAGTACTTTATGTATGCATTATCATAATTAAGTCTTTCAACAATACCATAAATCATATAATATTATGATCTCTATTTTTCCAGGGAGGAAACTGAGGAATAGAGAGAGTAAGTGGTGGGGGTGGGGGGCGCGGTGGCTCACGCCTGTAATCCCAACACTTTGGGAGGCCAAGGTGGGCAGATTGCTTGAGCCCAGGAGTTCAAAACCCACCTGAGCAACATGACAAAAACCCATCTCTATAAAAGATATAAAAATCAGCAGGGCGTGATGGTGTGTGCCACCAGTCCCAGCTACTCAGGAGACTGAGGTGGGAGGATCACTTGAGCCCAGGATGTGGAGGTTGCAGTAAACCGAGATCATACCACTGCACTCCAGCACTGACAACAGAGTGTGAGATCCTATCTCAAACAAAACAAAACAAAACAAAACAAAACAAAACAAAACAAAACACCACCAAGTTAGTGGTGAGGGCAGGATTTGACACCCAGATCCAACTGATGGATTTGAAGTCTTCAATCCGAAATACTACCTCTCTATTGTTCACATAGCCTTAAATTACTATTACTTCTACTACTTGTAAGCTGGACTATATGTTTGTTATTTCTATTAAAAGTATTGGAATTTTGATTCAGCAGTAAATACAGATCCAAATGAAACAGTGGCTTAAGCATAGAAAGGTTGTTTCCTTCATATAACAAGAAGTCCAGAGGTCAGCTCCTGCTGGTTTGATTCATTGGTTCGAGGATGCAAAGGATGAGATTTCCAATATTTTCTCGGACTTGCCCTCTTAGTCACAAAATTGCCACTTAAGCTCCACCAATCATTCCCATATTCCAGGCAGATAAAAAAAAGAAAAGTAGAAGGCAAAATGGCACCTGCCCAAGAGATAAAGCCTAGGCCGGGCATGGTGTCTCACACCTGTAATCCCAGCAGTTTGGGAGGCTGAGGCGGGCAGATCAGCTTGAGGCCAGGAGTTCAAGACCAGCCTGGCCAAAATGGTGAAACCCCGTCTCTACTAAAAATATAAAAAATTAGCTGGGTGTGGTGGCACACAACTGTTATCTCAGCTACTGAGGAGGCTGAGGCATGAGAATCACTTGAGCCTGGGAGGTGGAGGTTGCAGTGAGCCAATTGATATTGCACCATCACTACACTCCAGCCTGGGCGATACAGTGAGACCCTGTCTCAAAAAAAAAAAAAAAAAAAAAAGGAAGATAAGGCCTTTTTACAGAGCATTCCCACATGTCTCATCTGTATCTGCTTTCACTTCAGAAGTCACCCCTATTGGCAAGTGAGACTAGGATATAGATATATTTAACTGAGGACATTGCTGACCCCAACAGTATGGTGGCTCTGTTCACAAAGAATAGGGATGGTGGGTTGGCAGGTAACATTCTCTGCCACACTTCAAGTTATCTGTTTATGTCTATCACTTCATATCTTTTTTTTTTTTTTTTTTTTTGAGACAGAGTATCACTGTCGCCCAGGCTGGAGTACAGTGGCATGATTTCAGCTCACTGCAACTTCCAACTCCTGGTTCAAGCAATTCTCCTGCCTCAACCTCCTGAGTAAATGGGATTACAGGTGCGTACCACCATGCCCAGCTAATGTTTATATTTTTAGTAGAGACAGGGTTTCACCATGTTGACCAGGCTGGTCTGGAACTCTGACCTCAGGTGATCTGCCCACCTTGGCCTCCTAAAGTGCCAGGATTACAGGCATGAGCCACTGTGCCCAGCCAATTCATATCTATATCTTTAAATATTTATGCCTTATTCCAGGGGTTGGCAAACTAAGCCTACTGCCTGTTTTGAGAAATAAAGTTTTATTGGAAAACAGCCATGCTCATTCATTTACATATTGTGTATGGCTGCTTTCACAGGGCAAGGCAGAGTTTAGTAGTTGCTACAGAGAGGCCAGGTGGGCGCAGTGGCTCACGCCTGTAATCTCAGTACTTTAGAAGGCAGAGGCAAGAGGATCACATGAAGCCAGGAGTTCAAGACCAGCCTGGCCAACATGGCGAAATCCCGTCTCTACTAAAAATACAAAAATTAGTCAGGTGTGGTGGTGCAGGACTGTAATCCCAGCTATGGGCTGAGGCACAAGAATCATTTGAACCCGGTAGGCGGAGGTTACAGTGAGCCAAGATCACACCATTGCACTCCAGCCTGAGCGTCAGAGCAACACCCTGTCTCAAAAAGAAAAAAAAAAAAAGTTACTACAGAGGCCATCTGGCCTCCAAAGCCTAAAATATGTTTTTTTTTAATAGTTAATATCTCACCATTTACCAAAAAATGTTGCCAACTCCTCTTTTATTCTATTTCTTTTTGTCTTTGGAAAAACAAATTGTACCTCACTGTGACTCATTCACTGAAATGAGAATAGACCCAAATATAGTAGGTAAGACAGGAAGCAATCCTCCGTCATAATTTTAGTGTCTCTTTGTCATTCGTGCTGTGGCTCCAATTAACAAAGACCATTCAAAGAGCATATGAGATTTAATAGGCGTTTCCACTGTGATTTGCTGCAAGGTCTGAGCAATTTGATGTCATTTTTCAATATCTCTCACAACAATGGCAATCATTTTCACTAAAGAATAAACACACTTTTTGACTCCAGATGCCCAGAGACATTCCAGAAGACTCACACACAGGAACAATCTAAAATTATTCAGCTTTGGCCAGGTGTGGTGGCTCACTCCTGTAATCCCAGCACTTTGGGAGGCCGAGGCAGGCAGATCACCTGAGGTTGGGAGTTTGAGACCAGCCTCATCAACATGGAGAAACCCTGTCTCTACTAAAAATACAAAATTAGCCGGGCGTGGTGGCGCATGCCTGTAATCCCAGCTACTCGGGAGGCTGAGGCAGGAGAATCACTTGAACCTGGGAGGAAGAGGTTTTGATGAGCCGAGATCACACTATTGCACTCCAGCCTGGGCAACAAGAGCGAAACTCCATCTCAAAATAAATAAATAAAATAAAATAATTCAGCTTTGTACTCTATAGAAACATCACATTCAAAGGCAACTTTGTATGTGTGGGGATAATTACAAGTTTGATGGTAAGTGCAGGTTATCTGAGGAATAATTTCTGTGAAGAATTATACAGAAGTATACAGAGTGTTGATTGAAGAATATCTTTTTTTTTTTTTTTTGAATCTCACTCTGTCACCAGGCTGGAGTGCAGTGGTGCAATATCGCCTCACTGCAACCTCCGCCTCCTGGGTTCAAGTGATTCTCCTGCCTCAGCCTCCCAAGTAGCTGGGACTACAGGTGTGCACCACCATGCCTAGCTAATTTTTATATTTTTAGTAGAGACAGGGTTTCACCATGTTGGCCAGAGTGGTCTCAATCTCTTGACCTTGTGATCTGCCCACCTCAGCCTCCCAAAGCGCGGGGATTACAGGCATGAGCCACCATGCCCAGCCGAAGAATATCTTTTTTTTTTTTTTTTTTTTGAGATGGAGTTTCGCTCTTATTGCCCAGGCTGGAGGGCAATGGCGCCATCTCGGCTCACCGCAGTATCTGCCTCCTGGGTTCAAGCGATTCTCCTGCCTCAGCCTCCCAAGTAGCTGGATTACAGACAAGCGCCACCACACCCAGCTAATTTTGTATTTTTAGTAGAGGCAGGGTTTCTCCATGTTAGTCAGGCTGTTCTCGAACTCCCGACCTCAGGAGATCTGCTTGCCTCAGCCTCCCAAAGTGTTGGGATTACAGGCGTGAGCCACCGCGCCTAGCCCAAAGACTATCTTATAGCAAATCTCTACAGATTGAGAAAAATCAAAAGTATTTATGTACCTGTAGGCTTGTAAAAATCTACATGCTATACTTTCATTCAATACTCTATACAGAGCAGACACATTTTTTGCAAAGGATTTGCAACCAAATAACTTTCATAGTTCAAAAAATTTCTGTTTATCAACTTGCTGGCATTGTCATATGGCTATATTATATACAGTTTATAGTTCACGCAACCTGCCAGCTCCAAAATTGTGTTTCTTGACAAATTTGAGGTTTTGGGATTTTTCTTTAGATGGAGTTTCACTGTTGTCACCCAGGCTAGAGTGCAATGGCCCAATCTCAGCTCACTGCAACCTCCACCTCCCAGGTTGAAGCGATTCTCCTGCTTCAGCCTCCCGAATAGCTGGGATTACAGGTTTGTGCCACCACGCCTGGCTAATTTTGTATTTTTAGTAGAGATGGGGTTTCCCCATGTTGGTCAGGCTGATCTCGAACTCCTGACCTCAGGTGATCCACCCGCCTCAGCCTCCTAAAGTGCTGGGATTAGAGGCGTGAGCCACCTCACCAGGCCTGGTGTCTCTTCTTATAAGGACACTAATCCCATCAGATAAAGGCTCCACTCTTATGACTATATTTAACCGTAATTACTTTCTCACTCCAAATACAGTCACATTTGAGGTTAGGGCTTCAACATATGAATTGGGAGGGGACACGATTCAGTCCATAGCAACCTGTAAAACAATAATTTCTCAACAAATGGTAGCTAGTATAATTTTATTATTATTATTAATCATCATCATAGCTTTCAAGAGCAGTCCCCACTCTGAGCTTTGCAGGTTTGTGAGCAGCTCAGACAATTACCCCTAGCTGGGACAGATAGAAAAAGCTCATAAGGTTGGGCATGGTGGCTCATGCCTATAATCCCAGAGCTTTCGGAGGCCAAGGCAGGAGGATCGCTTGCATCCAGGAATTGGCGACCAGCCTGGGCGACATAGTGAGACCCCATTTCCACAAAAAATAAAAAATGAGCCAAGTGTTGTGGTGTGTGCCTATAGTCCCAGCTACTAGGGAGGCTGAAGTGGGAGGATCACTTGAGCCTGGGAGGTTGAGGCTGCAATGAGCTGTGATCACGCCAATGCACTGCAGCCTGGGCAACAGAGTGAGACCCTGTCTCAAAAAAAAAAAGCTCATGAGCTAATGAAATAGTCTTTCTTTCCAAGTGAAATGAAAAACTGGATTTCACAAGTAGCGATCATTGTTTACCAAGAAAAGAAGAAACGATTTTGAAGAATATTGTGAAATGCTGAAAGGCCAGAAAAAAAAAAGTCCTCTTTTCTCATTGGCAGACAGAGGAGATGGGTAAGGTGGCATCTTTCTTCAAAGCCAGTTCAGCCTGGAGATGAATGTGAGAGCTTCAGGGAAAACCAGCTCCTGCTCGGGCCCCCAGAATGATGGGTGAGCTCTGACGGAGACTGAAGCCCACATGAGGCTCTTCTGGTGCCTGCAGTGGATAGACGTGCTGGCTCTCTAAAGAAAGAGCCAGGCAGATGGCTACCAGCTCCAATTACTTTCCAGTCATTTCTCAAGTGTGTAAACTCTCTGGGTGCTATTGTCCTCCGCCCCCCTTTCAGGAGGGTATTAATGCCAGATTAGTGATCTGAAGCAGGCCCTCATGCCTCTGTGGGGCTGCAGACGGGTGCCTCCTTGAACGTGGTGTTTCCAAAACAAGACACTGGCCTCCGAGAATGTGTTTTATCACCTCTCAAGCCTTGAATGGGAAAATTCAGTGGAGATTTGCTTTTCATTATTTTCTCCAAAATGTGTGTGTAACTCCTAGATATTTATTCCCTCAGGAGTACTCCCACACACATGAAATACCGTACAAGTTTATTTGTTGCAGCACTGATTGTAAGAGCACAGGAGCAGAAATTATTTAAATACTCATTCATAGGAGACCGGTGACAGAAATTAATTCATTAAAAGGAATACTATGCAGCAGTTACGGCAAAGAGTGAGGAGGTGCTGGCAGGTACGCAGTGACGCCAAAATCACTGTGAAATAACAACAGCCGGGCATGGAGGCTCGTGCCTGTAATCCCAGCATTTCGGGAGGCCGAGGTGAGAGGATAACATGACATGAGGCCAGGAGTTCGAGACCAGCCTGGCCAACATGGTGAAACCCCATCTCTACTAAAAATACAAAAATTAGCCGGGCATGGTGGCTCATGCCTGTATTCTCAGCTACTTGGGAGGCTGAGGCAGGAGGATCACTTGAACCCAGGAGGCAGAGGTTACAGTGAGCCGAGATCGTGCCACTGCATCTAGCCTGGCGACAGAGGAAGACTCTATCTCAAAAAAAGAAAGAAAAGAAAAGAAAAGAAAATGTACACAATACATACCACAGAGGTTGCTTCCAGATTCATAAAATAACTCGGGAAATATATATGAGAAACTTGAAATAATAAGTTTTCCACAGGGAAGGGACTTGAAAACAGGAGGGAAGACTCAAAACAGGAAGGGACTTGAAAACAGAAGGGAGACTCAAAATCCTTTGTACCTATGAATTTGGTATCATGGCATGTATTCATTAAAAAAACTTATATATATGGTTATCTATACACATACATATATATACATATATATATATATATATATATATATATATATATATATATGTATATATATATAAAAGTTTAAATAGCCAGGCACAGTGGCTCACGCCTGTAATCCCAGCACTTTGAGAGGCCAAGGCAAGCGGATCACAAAGTCAGGAAATCAAGACCATCCTGGCTAACACGGTGAAACCCTGTCTCTACTAAAAATACAAAACATTAGCTGGGTGTGGTGGCACATGCCTGTAGTCCCAGCTACTCGGGACGCTGAGGCAGGAGAATCACTTGAACCCGGGAGGCGGAGGTTGCAGTGAGCCAAGATCGCACCACTACTCTCCAGCCTGGGCAACAGAGTGAGTCTCAAAAAAAAAAAAAAGTTTAAATAATACCTCCCAAAATAAAATGTATGATTATTATTGTATGTATTATTAATTATTATAATATTAAAGCATTGAGGAAGAATGGGAAACATCGTAAACTCTTCTATCTTCTTTGTAGTTCCTTTGGTAGTTTTAGTCTGAAATAATTTGATTTTTACAGACCTACAGCGTTCCCACGGGCCATTCACCCAACTTCCCTAATTATTAACATCTTACGTAATCCTAAGTCATTTACTAAAACTAAGAAATTTACATTGATGAAATACTATTCACTCAGCTTCAGACTTTATTCCAATTTCACCAGCTTTTCAATTAATGTCCTCTTCCTATTCCAGAATCCCACCCAAGACACCACACTGCGCTGAGTCTTCACATCTCCTTGCCTCCTTAAGTCAGAGACAAACTACTGTTTTATCACTGGCGCCATTCTCAGCCAACAGGAAGACTCAGAGGGAAAGAAAATACTTTGATTTTTTCCCTTTTTTTTTTTTTTGAGTCAGAGTCTTGCTCTGTTATCCAGACTGGAGTTCAGTGGCGCGATCTCAGCTCACTGCAGCCTTCCCTTCCTGCGTTCAAACTATTCTCGTGCCTCAGCCTCCCTAGTAGCTAGGATTACAGGCACACACCACCACGCCTGGCTAATTTTTTTTATTTTTAGTAGAGATGGGGTTTCGTCATGTTGGCCAGGATGGTCTCGAACTCCTGACCTCAAGTAATCCACCCGACTCGGTCTCCCAAAGTGCTGGGATTACAGGCATGAGCCATCATCCCCAGCATCCTACTTTTTAAGTGTAATTAAATAATTTTTAAAAAAGAATAATTAGGCCAGTCGCGGTGGCTCACGCCTGTAATCCCAGCACTTTGGGAGGCTGAGGCAGGTGGATCACGAGGTCAGGAATTCAAGACCAGCCTGGCCAACATGGTGAAACCCCATCTCTACTAAAAAATACAAAACTTAGCTGGGCATGGTGGCAGGTGCCTGTAATCCCAGCTACTCGGGAGGCTGAGGCAGGAGAATCGCTTGAACCCAGGCAGCAGAGGTTGCAGTGAGCTGACATCGCACCACTGCACTCCAGCTTGGGCGATAGAGTGAGACTCCATCTCAAAAAAAAAAAAAAAAAAAGAATAATTAATGGTGCAAGCCAGACTTATGAAGAGCTTTATTACGTGTAGGGCCCACCGTAAATGGAAACTCTGGTGCCCCTGGTTCAAATTTGTGAAGGGTTTTAAGACATCAGTATTGAAGCATTAAACCAAGCATGGGGCCTTCTGAGATCAGGGCCCTGTGCAGCTGCCCAGGTTGCATATCCTGGAGCCGACCTTGGCCATGAAGGCCAAACAAAATGTCTTGGGGCCAGACTGGGATCTACCTGGGTGATCAGTTTTCCTGAATTTTGTTTCACACCATAAACTCCCTCAAGAGAAGGGGCTGTGTTTCCTGAAAACCTTCCACATACTCCTTGTCTAGCAGGAGCTCAGGATTAGATGAGAGGAAGATCTGTATGATAGACCTACCTATGATAGATCTAGATTTGCATAGGTGAGGAGAAGCAGACATGCGTAGAGAGCTTCGGTAGCAGCAATGGAGCGTTTAATACTTTATGGGAAAGGAAACAAGTAAACTCTTTTTTTTTTTTTTTTTTTGAGATGGAGTCTCACTCTGTCACCCAGGCTGGAGTACAGTGGCATGATCTCGGCTCACTGCAACCTCTGCCTCCTGGGTTCAAGTGATTCTCTGCCTCAGCCTCCTGAGTAGCTGGGATTGCAGGTGCACGCCACCACGCCCCCGCTAATTTTTGTATTTTTAGTAGAGACGGGGTTTCCCCATGTTGGCCAGGCTGGTCTCAAACTCCTGGCCTCAAGTGATCCTCCCGCCTCGGCCTCCCAAAGTGCTGGGATTATGAGCATGAGCCAGCACACCCGACCAACAAGAAGTAGACTCTTAATCTTGAAGATTACAAAAATAATAATAAAAGGAATTGTCAACATTATCAAGCACTTCTTATGTGCCAGACACTGTTCTGAGCATTTTATATATTCACTCATTTGTTTAACCTTCAAAACAACCCTAAGAGGCAGGGATGATCATGGTACCCATTTTACAGATGAAGAAACTGAGGCACAGTGAAGTTAAGTCACTTGTCCCAGGTCACACAGCTAGGCAACGGTGCAGTCGGGACGCTGTTTAGTTCGTCTGCCTCCAGAGCCAGCACCCTTAGAATGCACTGCTGCAGAATGAATGGCTGGGCTTCCAGGAAGAGGACCATGGCATCCTTAGGCTGGTGCTGGAAGTTGGCCAAGGAAGTTTTTGCCAGCACCAGGTGGGATCAGGGTAATGGGAGGAGGAAACCAATAGGAAATAGATTTTGAAGGAAGAACAGGCAGCCTGGGCAGCTGGGAGGTCTGCAGAGTGGGAAGCAAAGATGGCTTCAGGCGACCCCTAGAGAAACTGGCCTCTAAGCTGCTCTGCCTAAGGCAAGAAAGAAATTCAGAGGCCAGGCGATGTGGCTCAGGTGATCCACCCGCCTCGGACTTTGGGAGGCCGAGGCGGGTGGATCACCTCAAGTCAGAAGTTCAAGACCAGCCGGGCCAACATGGTGAAACCCCGTCTCTACTAAAATACAAAAATTAGCTGGGTGTGGAGACGCGTGCCCGTAATCCGTGCTACTCAGGAGGCTGAGGCAGGAGAATCGCTTGAACCGGGGAGGCGATGGTTGCAGATTGCGCCACTACACTCCAATCTGGGCGACAGAGACTGTCCCAGAAAAAAAAAAGAAAGAAAATAAGGAAATTCAGATCTCTGGAGATAGAGACCAGGGAAGAGAGTTAAGAGGGAAAAACGTGAAGGAGGGAAGTGGAGCCAGCGCCTCTGGGACACCTGTGGAAGAAGAGAAGGAGGGCGAGGAGAAGAGCACAGCGGACAAGAGGAGCTTGTGCGGAAGAAAGGCCGAGGGCGGGTGTGGGAGTTGAGGGGTCTGTGGTGCAATCCCCTCCCCCAGCTCCGCTGCTCAGCTTTCGTCATTCTCACCTGACCTGTCGCATTCCACAGTAGTTGGAGGTGCTGGGTCTTTAGTACAAGCCAGGTGACTGGGGACCACTCCGCACAAGGCAGAGGGGAGGGGCGTTTCAGGGGTCCCAGTGTCTCCCCGACCCCTGGGAGTTTTCTCCACCTCTGCCAGGCACACTTGGTACTATGGGAAGCACCAGGACCCACCTTGGGCTGGGGTTGAAAGGAAGAATTTGATGGTTCTGCGCAGGAGCCCTTGTCCACCCACAGCCCTGGTCCACCTGGTGCGGGGGATTCCTCTTTATCCCATTTGGGGAAGGTTATAGCAAGCAAGGGCAATGGTCCCCTGTCATGGTCATCATTGTCCCCTGCTGCCGATGGCAGGATCAGGTGCAGAGGGGTGCTCAGTGTTTGTTGAGTGCATGAATGAAGTCCAGCAAACACAACTAGACCCGAGGGACTCACTGGGGTTGACAGGCAGGCTCCCTGGGAGGGGAAGGGGCTGCAGGAAGGAGGGGACCTGGGTTTGGGGAAGAATTGGTGCAGAATCCTGCCCCAGGCATGGTGGTGGCTACTCCGGAGGCTGAGGCAGGAGAATTGCTTGAACCCCTGAGGCGGAGGTTGCAGCGAGCCGAGACTGCGCCATTGCACTCCAGCCTGAGCAACAAGAGCGAAACTCCATCTCAAAAATAAATAAATAAATAAAATAAAAATCAAAATCCTGGCCCAGGATCTGGTCCCTAAGCTAAAGTCCCATCGTGGGTGCCGGCTAGTGAGAGAAAGGGAGCATTCGCAGCCTGGCTCACCCCAGCCCCCAGAAAGGCAGAGTCTCTCAAGCACGTGCACATTTGGAGCTGGGTAATTCTTTGTGGGGATTGCTTTGTGCGTTGTCTATTGTGCAGCATCTCAGCACCTTCACCCGCTAGATGACCCATGGTGATCCTCCCCACATTGGGAAAACCAACATGTCTCCAGACACTGCCAAACCAGGCCTCCACGCCTGGCTAATTTTTGTATTTTAGTAGAGACGGGGTTTCAGCATGTTGACCAGCCTTGGAATCGGCCACTGCTTTACGGTAACCTGCCCTCTTCTTTCCTCACCTCCGCGTCACAGACGCCTGGTTTCCAGCAACTCTGGTGGATTTTGCAATCACCAATCTGAGGACATCAGAGGAAAACTGAGACACCACAGGACACCTGAGTTCTCCCGCAAAACCCCTTTCCAGAGTGAGTTCAGTGGAATTCAAGCTGATGGATGTTACATCCACGCTCAAGATACTTTGTCAGTTTGTTGTGGTTGTTAGTGATTCAGCTGCTTTGTTTTAAAAATGAAGACACCAGGGCTCACAGGAGTTAAGTGACCTGCCCAAGTTCACGCAGCTCGCTGCCAAGCAAGCAGACCATTCATTTCTTACCTGCACGAACTAGTGGGAATGCTGCCAAATGATACAATTTTGAGTTGGCGAAGGGCATTCATGTTGGCGCTTTTAACCTCAAAGTGCCTGAAGGGTTAAGTAAAGTACCCTGGGGCCCGCTTTCCATTTCCAGCCTGCTCCCGGGGCTTTCTGTTTTGCTAAATGCCTGAAGGAGGCAGCTTGGCCAGCTGCAGCCTGTTTGGACATAACACTCAGTTGAGGGTCATTGTGATGCTCCTGAAAACAGGGAGAGAGGGAGGGAGGGAAGGAAGGAAGGAAGGGAGGGAAGGAAGGAGGGAGGGAAGTAGGGAGGGAAGAAGGAAGGAAGGGAAGGAGGGAGGAAAACTTCAAGTTCTTCAAACGCATGTATCAGGAATGAAGCAGGCGGGCTGTGGAACCAGTGGACGCCATGAGGCAATGTTTTTACATAAAACAATGAGGAGCAAGTGAGTGAAACTGGTTTGTTTTAAAACATGGTTGTCGTGTGTCATGCACTGTCCTCTCCGAGCCTTACTCACCTCTGTTGGCACGTGTGAGCCAGAGCTCACCCTGAACCTTAGGGATCAGGGTCATGTGTCAGACCAAGCCCCGGGAAGGGCAAGGCCAGAATCAGCATTCACCACCTGGATTGTTCCAGAATCCCAAACAACTCGAGGATGTGGCTCGCCACACTGGCTGCAGACGCCCTCACACTGGTGTTTGTCAGCAGACTCTGGTAAAGGGCTGCTTATGAGTTCCTTCCCAGACCTAGAGACATGTTTCTGCACTAGGCTGTGTGTGTCCCCAGCAGTGGTTCAGGTTGAGTGGGTAGCAGACAAGCAGAGGTAAGGCAACCAGATGCTGCACAGTCATTAAATATGTTTTTGTTGAGCACCTACTGTATACCAGGCACTGTTTTAGTCACTGGAATACAGCTACAGCTAAGTTCCTGCCCTTCCTCCTTGATCTGACAGAGTAGTCCATGGAGACAGTTAATAAACAAATCAATATTTATAATTTGCTCTGTTGCCCAGGCTGGAATGTAGTGACACAATCAGAGGTCACTGCAGCCTCGACCTCCTGGGCTCAGGGCTCAGGTAGTCCTCCCACCTCAGCCTCCCAAGTAGCTGGGACCACAGGCACACACTGCTACACCAGGCTAATATTTTCTGTTATTTAGATGGGGTCTACCCCGTTGCAATCCGTTACCATAAGATGCTGGTAATTCTCATGAGAAAACTGAAGCTGAATCAAGGGCTAGAGAATAACAGAGGGGGGCCATTTTAGGTAAGGGAAACAGGGAAGCCCTCTTGGAAAAGGGTGGGTTGGGGTTTTCTGGATTTTTCTTTTCTTTTTTTTTTTGGAGACAGGATTTCATTCTGTCACCCAGGCTGGATTATAGTGGCATAATCATAGCTCACTGCAGCCTCGACCTCCTGAGCTCAAGCAATCCTCCTCTCACCTCAGTCCTCCCGAGTAGCTGGGACTATATGCATGCATCACCATGCCCGGCTCATTTTATGTATTTTATTTATTTTTGTTTTTTTGAGAAGAAGTCGCACTCTGTCATACAGGCTGGAGTGCAGTGGCACAATCTCGGCTCACTGCAGCCTCCACCTCCAGGGTTCGAGCAATTCTCCTGCCTCAGCCTGCTGAGTATCTGAGATTACAGGCGCATGCCACCACACCTGGCTAATTTTTGTATTTTTAGTAGAGATGGGGTTTCACCATGTTGGCCAGGCTGATCTCGAACTCCTGACCTTGGGTGATCCACCCACCTCGGCCTCCCAAAGTGCTGGGATTACAGGCGTGAGCCACCGTGCCTGGCCTGGCTAATTTTTTATTTTTTGTAGAAACAGGGTCTCGCTATGTTGGTCAGGTTGGTCTCGAACTCCTGGACTCAAGGAATCCTAAGGAGGGAGATTGGAGGCTGTTCTGGAACACATACCATCAATGTCTTAGGTAAGAATGGAGTCCAAGGCCGGGTGCAGTGGCTCGCGCCTGTAATCCCAGCACTTTGGGAGGCCGAGGCAGGCGGATCACAAGGTCAGGAGATCGAGACCATCCTGGCTAACACGGTGAAACCCCATCTCTGCTAAAAATATAAAAAGTTAGCCGGGCGTGGTGGCAGGCGCCTGTAGTCCCAGCTACTCAGGAGATTGAGGCAGGAGAATGGCATGAACCCGGGAGGCAGAGGTTGCAGTGAGCCGAGATCACGCCACTGCACTCCAGCCTGGGCGACAGGGCGAGACTCCATCTCAAAAAAAAAAAAAGAATGGAGTCCAAGACTGTCAAACACACTTTTGAAAAAGGAGGTGGCTCAAACAGATATTGGTACACCAGGACTCACCACAGCATTATTCACAATAGTGAAAATGTGGAAATAACTCAAATGTACATCATCAGATGAACAGATTAACACAATGTAATATATACATGCAATGGAATATTATTCCACCTTAAAAAATAGAATTCTGGGCTGGGTGTGGTGGCACGCCTATAATCCCATCACTTTGGGAGGCCAAGAAGGATCACTCGCGCTCAGGAGTTCAAGACCAGCCTGGGCAACACAGGGAGATCCCCTTCTACAAAAATAATAGGAAATATTAGCCAGATGTAGCAGTGTGCATCTGTGGTCCCAGCTACTTGGGAGGCTGAGGTGGGAGGATTGCCTGAGCCCTGAGCTCGGGAGGTCGAGGCTGCAGTGATCTGTGATTGTGTCACTGCACTCCAGCCTGGGCAACAGAGTGAGAGCCGGTCTCAAAAAAAAAAAAAAAAAGGGGAATACTGATATATGCCTCAACATGGATGAATTTTGAGGACATTATGCTAAGTGCATGAGGCGAGACACAAAAGGACAAATATGAATATTGTATGGTTCCACTTATATGAGATACCTAGAATAGTGAAATGTATAGAGACGGAAAGTAGAGTGGAGGTTGCCAGGAGGTGGGAAAGGGGCGGATGGGAGTTAGTGTGTTTTTTTTGTTTTGTTTTGTTTTTCTTGAGACAGAGTCTTGCTCTGTCAGCCAGGCTGGAGTGCAGTGGCGCGATCTCAGCTCACTGCAACCTCCGCCTACTGGGTCCAAGCAATTCTCCTGCCTCAGCCTCCCAAGTAGCTGGGACTATAGGTGCACGCCACCACGCCTGGCTAATTTGTGTATTTTTTGTAGAGACGGGGTTTCACCACATTGGCCAGGCTGGTCTCAAACTCCTGACCTTGTGATCCATCCACCTCGGCCTCCCAAAGTGCTGGGATTACAGGCCTGAGCCACCATGCCTGGCCGGGGAGTTAGTGTTTAACAGGGATGGCATTTCAGTTTGGAATAATGAAAAAGTTCTGGAGATGGATGGTGGTGGTGGGTGCACAATGAGGTGAATGTACTTACTGTCACTGAACCATGCCTTGAAAAATGGTTACAATGAGGCCATGCATGGTAGCTCATGCCTGTAATCCCAACATTTTGGGAGGCTGAGGTGGGAGGATTGCTTGAGCCCAGGAGTTTGAGAGATCAGCCTGAGCAACATAGCAAGACCCCATCTCTACAAAAAAAAAAAAAAAATAGAAAAATTAGCTGGGCATGGTGGTACATGCCTGTAGTGCCAGCTACTCTGGAGGCTAGGATGGGAGGATGGCTTGAGCCTGGGGAGGTCAAAGCTGCAGTGAGCTGTCACTATGCCACTGCACTTTAGCCTGGGCAACAAAGTGAAACCCTGTTAAAAAAAAGAAAGAAAAGAAGACAGGGGAGGGGAGGGGAGGGGAGGGGAGGGGAGGATGGTCAGACTGGTAGATTTTTGTCTCGTATATTTTACCACAATTTTTAAAAACACACTTAACTGAAAAAAAAGAGGTAGTTGGTGGAGGGAGGAAGGCAGGGACAGGAACTACATTTGTTGAGTGAAAATGACCCTGGACCAGTCAGCCTGTTAAGCCTTCCATGCGTATTATCTCATTTAATCTTTACAACGTCTTTAGGCTTTAGATGTGAGCCTAGTTTACAGCTGAGCAAACCAATGCTCACAGCGATTCAGTGCCACAACAAAGCTGTGATTCCGTTCCACATTCCTCTCTCTGCCCACACTATTAACCTGCTGCCTTTAACCCACACATCACCCCCTTGTCATTTGCTTGAGCCATCTGCAAAAACCACTCTCTCCCATGCTACTTTCAACAGAGTTGGCTGCCACGGTAGAGACCTTAAAAGGGGCTGAATTGCATAGGATGAATTCATAAAAAATATGAGCTCATTTGAATCTTGAAATCTCAATGGTATCATTTTCATTTTGAAAATAAGTCATGTCACTTGTTCCACACACAAATTCAGGTACTTTTCTGGACACTGGAGAGTGTTAAAGAGATAAAGAAGCCAGCTACTTGATGAAGAGCCTGATCTAATAGGATAATCAGATAAAGAAATCAAAAGCACCAACTCTGTGTCACAAGCATTTGCTCAGGATGCAGAGGAAGCTCAGAGGATCCCAGAGAAGGGGTTTGCAGTTACTCCTAAGAAACCAGAACGCTCTTCCTCCCTAGAAAATGTTAGTCACCCTAGAACTTAAACTGAGTTAAGCAGAACTCTAACTTGCAGTTTCTGACACACTTTCACTTCCCCACCCACCTTCCTTCCCACTGGTCAGTTTCCTGGGAAACATTCGCATTTGGAGAACAAAAATACCAATAACATGTCATTAGAATGTCATCAACATGACAAGAACATTTTGTTAAAATAATTACAAGTCCTAAAGTACATGTGACAATTATTTTTAAATAAAATTCCTTTCACAGCAGGGAGTCACTAATGAGATGCTTTGTGTGTGTATATGTGTGTGTATGTGTGCAGGTGTGTATTGTGTGCCTGTGTATATGTGTATGTAAATGTGTGAATGCATGTGTACGTGTATGTGCATGTGTGTGTTTGAGCCTGTGTGCATGTGTATGTGTGCGCTTGTATATATGTGTGTGCTTGTGTGTATGTGTTTGTGTGTGTGTGTGCTTGTATATATGTGTGTGCTTGTGTTTGTGTGTGTATGTGTGCGCATGTGTGTGTGAGCTTGTGTGTGTGCGTACACATGTATTTAATACAAAAAAGCATTTGATTTCTCAGGATGTTTATGCCCTGGGTCAGAACAGTGATTGAGGTTTAATATTAACTTTGGCACAATTTAGGTAAATTCTGTTACTTGGAAAGAATTAGCAAGGCCTCTGGGGTTTTGTGATGGAGACAAGATATCATGGTTGTAACAAAACCTCATTTTTGTTAACTTTGTCCAAGAAAGAATAGGATGCTGCTGTTTCAAGAGATTTCGGTTCTGGGTCTCAAGTCAAAGGAAGGTTTGAGAATGTGGTGCATCAGAACTCTTTGTACTGGCTCTGGAAAGCTGATTTTGCACATGTCTTTTCAACTCTATCCTCACAGACTGCAGTCTAAAATTAGACATGGTGGGAATATTTACACCGTGGAAACTGACAAACACAACCAAGACTCCTCTGCCTCCACCCACTAGAACCAGTTAACCAGAGTGCCACTGGTCTAGGAGTTATAAACAGTTACTTTATACAGTTGTTCATGGGTATACAGCTTACCCATGAGATCCTGAAATAGACTGTTTCTGCTCATGTGAACTGCACCTCTGTGGTTAGAAAGGATGTTACTGTAATTTATGATACAAGATGGAGCCCTTTTCTCTTGTTTAAAAATGCACTGAAAGGATGTTGCAGGCCCCAAATGTGGGTTATCATAGCTTGCTTAGAAAGGGGAATTTGTAAAAGGGGCAATCTCTAGTTCTGGCAAGAAACTCTATCTGGGCTCCCACTAAGGGATTAAGTATCACGCAAGTACATTCTTGCAGCAGACCGATTCAGCTGGGAGGAAAGTCTCGCCACAACCGAGGGGTTTAGAGGAAAATAACAAATTGCTTCTCAGAACTGGTAGAGAGGATCTTTCAATTCAAGAACATACAGACAGCAAAATGCACAGAATGTAGAGACAGGGTGGGTTTTTTATTTTTATTTTTCAGGGAATTGTGCTCACCACATGTTCTGGTTCCATGGACAGAGAACACATTTTATCCCATCTGTAAGTAGAATATTTAAGATTCCTGAAATATTTTGAGTTTCCAAAAGAATTTTATCCTCAATTGATGATGCCTTGGTGCCTGAGTTACAATCTTAGAAAAGTCATACATGTGGTGAAATCAAATGTTGCATATAGTTAAGAACTTACCTGCTTGTAAGGTGAAGTCGCATGAGGAAAATTGACTTACTCATTGTGACCAAGAATTTGAAAATTCAAGCAAACACAGCCTTGAGGAAAGAGATGTATGAATGCAGCTTGCCTAATATTGGTCTAGCCTACAATTATGTGCAGTTATTCATGTGTATCCTTGGACATTACAATAAAAATACACCCAGAAAAGGAACTTATTTTGGCTTCAGTGTCAAGCATGATTTAAAAATACGAAAGTTTGGCCAGGCATGGTGGCTCACGCTTATAATCCAAGCACTTTGGGAGGCCAAGGTGGGTGGATCACTTGAGGTCAGGAGTTCAAGACCAGCCTGGCCAACATGGTGAAACCCTGTCTCTACTAAAAATACAAAAATTAGCTGGGTGTGGTGGCGGGCGCCTGTAATCCCAGCTACTCGGGTGGCTGAGGCAGGAGAATCGCTTGAACCCAGAAGGAGGAGGTTGCAGTGAGCTGGGATCATGACACTACACTCCAACCTGGGCAACAGAGCGAGACTTTGTCTCAAAATAATAATAAGAAGAAAATCAAAGGCCGGGCGCAGTGGCTCACGCCTGTAATTCCAGCACTTTGGGAGGCCGAGGCGGGTGAATCACCTGTGGTCGGGAGTTCGAGACCAGCCTGACCAACATGGAGAAACCCTGTCTCTACTAAAAATACAAAAAATTAGCCAAGTATGGTGGCGCATGCCTGTAATCCCAGTTACTCCGGAGGCTGAGGCAGGAGAAATGCTTGAACCTGGGAGGCGGAGGTTGCGGTGAGCTGAGATTGCACCACTGCACACCAGCCTGGGCAACAAGAGTGAAACTCCGTCTCAAAAATAAATAAATTAATTAAATAAAATAAAAATACAAAAAGTTATAGAGAAATTTTATTTTATCAGGACTTCTAAAGGGAAGACTTGCCTTCAAAGAAAACTCCAAACTATATTTTCCTAAGTCTCTCTCTCTGAATATTAACTAGCAGAATTACAGATGGAAGGCTTGGTAGGAGAGGGGAAAAATATAATTGGTGCACATATCTATTCTAAGCCAGAATGTGAGGTTTGTTATGGTTTCTTTTTATTTGCTTCCTTCTTCTCCTTTTTGGAATTCTGGCAGTGCCTCAAAAAGTTAAGCATAGCATTATCATATGATCCAACAATCCCACTCCTAGGTAAAAAAAAAAAAAAAAATTGAAAACAGGAAAGCAAACAGATATTTGTGCAGCCATGTTCATAGCAACACTACACGCAATACCTAAAATATGGAAGCAACCCAAATTCCATCAAGGGATGAACGGATAAACAAGATGTTGTACGTCCATGCAGTGGAATAGTATCCAGTTTTTGTTTTGTTTTTGTTTTTGTTTGACACGGAGTCTCGCTCTGTTGCCAGGCTGGAGTACAGCAGGGCAATCTCGGCTCACTGCATCCTCCGACTCCCTGGTTCAAGCCATTCTCCTGCCTCAGCCTCCCGAGTAGCTGGGATTACAGGCACACGCCACCACGCCCGGCTGATTTTTGTATTTTTAGTAGAGACGGGGTTTCACCATGTTGGCCAGGATGGTCTCCGTCTCCTGACCTCGTGATCTGTCCTCCTCGGCCTCCCAAAGTGCTGGGATTACAGGCATGAGCCACCGCGCCTGGCCATATCCAGTTTTTAAAAGAAATGAACAGGCCAGGCGGGGTGGCTCACACCTGTAATCCCAGCACTTTGGGAGGCAGAGGCAGGCGGATCACAAGCTCAGGAGATCGAGACCATCCTGGCCAACACGGTGAAACCCTGTCTCTACTAAAAATACAAAAATTAGCCGGGTGCGGTGGCGGGCGCCTGTAGTCCCAGCTACTCCAGAGGCTGAGGCAGGAGAATGGCGTGAACCCGGGAGGCGGAGCTTGCAGTGAGCCAAGATTGGGCCACTGCACTCCAGCCTGGGCGACAGAGCGAGACTCCGTCTCAAAAAAAAATAATAATAAAATAAAATAAGAAAGAAAAGAAATGAACAGGCTGGATGCAGGGGCTTATGCCTGTAATCCCAGCACTTTGGGAGGCTGAGGCAGGAGGATCACATGAGACCAGAAGTTTAAGATCAGCCTCAGCAACATAACAAGACTTCATCTCTACAAAAAATAAAATAAAACAAATAAAATGAAATAAAAAACACCCCGGGCGCTATAGCTTACAGCTGTAATCCCATCATTTTGGGAGGCCAACGCGGGCGGGTCACTTGAAGTCAGGAGTTGGAGACCAGCCTGGCCAACATGGTAGACCCCCGTCTCTACTAAAAATACAAAAATTAGCTGGATGTGGTGGCACGCACCTGTCGTACCAGCTACTCAGGATGCTGAGGCCGGAGAATTGCTTGAACCCGGGAGGCGGAAGTTGCAGTGAGCCGAGATTGTGCCACTGCACTCCAGCCTGGGCGACAGAGCAAGACTCCATCTCAAAAAAATAAATAGGCCAGCTCACGCCTGTAATCCCAGCACTTTGGGAGGCCGAGGCAGGTGGATCACTAGAGGTCAGGAGTTCAACACCGGCCTGACCAACATGGTGAAACCCCATCTCTACTAAAAATACAAAAAAAATTAGCTGGGCCTGGTGGCACCCGCCTATAATCCCAGCTACTTGGGAGGCTGAGGCAGGAGAATGGCTTGAACCTGGGAGGTGGAGGTTGCAGTGAGCCAAGATTGTGCCATTGCACTCCAGCCTGGGTGACAAAAGCAAAAGACTCCGTCTCAATAAATAAATAAATAAATAATAAAAAATTTAAAAAGTAAACTTCTGATATGTGCTACAACATTAAGGCTTAAGATCATGCTTAGTGGGCCGGGCGCAGTGACTCATGCCTGTAATCCCAGCACTTTGGGAGGCCGAGGCAGGCGGATCATCTGAGGTCAGGAGTTCGAGACCAGCCTGGCTAACATGATGAAACCCTGTTTCTACTAAAAATACAAAAAATTAGCCGGGCGTGTTGGCATGTGCCTGCAATCCCAGCTACTTGGGAGGCTAAGGCAGGAGAGTTGCTTGAACCCGGGAGGCAAAGGTTGCAGTGAACCAAGATCACACAACTGCACTCTAGCCTGGTCGACAGAGAGAGACTCTGGCTCAATAATAATAATAATAATAATAATAATAATAATAATAATAATAGCCTGGTTTGATGCTGTACACCTGAGTTCTCAGTTACTCAGGAGGGTGAGGCGGGCAGATCACTTGAGCTTGGGAGACGGAGGCTGCAGTGAACCATGACTGTACCATTGCACTGCACCCTGGGCGACGGAGCAACACCCCGTCTCAAATAAATAAATACATAAGAAACTACAAAAATGTATGGAGTCTTGCTCTGTCGCCCAGACTAGAGTGCAGTGGTACGATTTCAGCTCACTGCAGCCACCATTTTCTGGGTTCAAATGATTCTCCTGCCTCAGCCTCTCGAGTAACTGGGGCTACAGGCATGCGCCACCACGCCTGGCTAATATTTGTATTTTTAGTAGAGATGGGGTTTCACCATGTTGCCTGGCTGGTCTCAAACTCCTAGCATCAAGTGATCCGCCAGCCTCAGCCTCCCAAATGCTGGGATACAAGCATGAGCCACCACACCCGCCCCCTCACCCCCCCACTATTTATAAACACTGAATCTGCCCTATTTTATTTAAGAACACAGGTAATACCCTAAAGGTTGACATATTTCATCTTGTTTCCACTCGCCATGGTTCTGCAATGTCTGCTATTCTATTCGAAGACTTGCTGGGGTTTTTTTGTTTTGTTTTGTTTTGTTTTGTTTGAGACGGAGACTTGCTGTGTCGCCCAGACTGGAGCGCAGTGGCGCGATCTCGGCTCACTGCAAGCTCCGCCTCCCAGGTTCACGCCATTCTCCTGCCTCGGCCTCCTGAGTAGCTGGGACTTACAGGCGCCCGCCACCACGCCCGGCTAATTTTTTTGTATTATTTTAGTAGAGACGGGGTTTCACCGTGTTAGCCAGGATGGTTTCGATCTCCTGACCTCGTGGTGGTCCGTCCGCCTCGGCCTGCCAAAGTGCTGGGTTACAGGCGTGAGCCACCGCGCCCGGCCTTTTTTTTTTTTTTTTTCTTTAGACGGAGTTTCGCTCTTGTCCCCAGGCTGGAGTGCAGTGGTGTGATCTCGGCTCACTGCAACCTCCGCCTCCTGGGTTCAAGCGACTCTCCTGCTTCACCCTCCCGAGTAGCTGGGATTATAGGTTCATGCCACCACGCCTGGCTAATTTTTTTGTATTTTTAGTAGAGACGGGGTTTCGCCATGTTGGGCAGGCTAGTCTCAAACTCCTGACAGCAGGTGATCCGCCCACCTCGGCCTGCCAAAGTGCTGGGTTACAGGCGTGAGCCACTGTGCCCGGCCGCAGGCCTGTTTTAAGGATCAGACAAGTCAGTACCTGAGCAGCATAAAGCCATGAGTAGCTTTTTCAGTAAAACATTGTCTTTATAGCTCCATTTTTTACTTACTTTAGAGTGATTTAAATGAAAATAATATATTATTGCTTATAATATAATATGAGGAAAACTCCTGGCAATGGGAAGGAATGAACTGTGGACGCATGCCGCAATTTGGATGGACCTCAAGGGCATATTGAAGAGAAAAAAGCCACCCGGCTGGGCGCAGTGGCTCATGCCTATAATCCCAACACTTTGGGAGGCGGACGTGGGCGGATCGCTTTGAGCTCAGGAGTTGAAGACCAGCCATGGGCAACACGACAAGACCCCGTCTCTACAAAAAATACAAAAAAATTAGTGGTGACTTGAGCCTGTGGTCCTAGCTACTCGGGAGGCTGAGGTGGTGGGAGGATCGCTTGAGCCCTGGAAGCAAAGGTTGCGGTGAGCCAAGAGCATGCCACTGTACCCCAGCCTGGGTGACAGAGCCAGACCCTGTCTTAAAAGTAAACAAATAAAAAGTAAAAAGCCAATCTCAAAAGGTCATACACTGTAGGCTTCCATTTATATAACATTCTCAAAAATGACAAAAAATTATAAAGACAAAGAATAGGTAAGTGGCTGCCAGGGGTTGCGATGGTGAAGAGGAGAGAGAGTGTGGCTAACTAGAAGTGGATAAGTTGGGGAAGATCTCTGTGGTAATGGCACAGCTCTGTATCTTGATTGTGGTGGTGGTTACATGAATCTACACATGTGACAAAATGATATAGAACTCTACACGCACTCATTGTAGGACTGCCAATTTCCTGGTGTTGGCACCGTACTACCGTTTATAAGATGTAACCACTGGGGGAAACTAGATGGAGGATACATGAGACTTCTCTGCAGTCTTTACAACTTCCTGTGAAACTATAGTGATTACAAAATAAAACGTTGAAAGAAATCAATAATAGGGCTGGGCGTGGTGGCTCACGCCTGTAATCCCAGCACTTTGGGAGGCCAAGGCGGGTGGATCACAAGCTCAGGAGATCGAGACCATCCTGACTAACATGGTGAAACCCCGTCTCTACTAAAAGTACAAAAAATTAGCCAGGTGTGGTGGCGGGCGCCTGTAGTCTCAGCTACTCAGGAGGCTGAGGCAGGAGAATGGCGTGAACCCGGGAGGCAGAGCTTGCAGTGAGCAGAAATCGCGCCACTGCACTCCAGCCTGGACAACAGAGCGAGACTCCATCACAAAAAAGAAAGAAAGAAAGAAATCAATAATATGTATGCAATAAAACACTTCAGCTGAGGACAGTGGCTCGTGCCTGTATTCCCAGCACTTTGGGAGGCCGAGGCAGGAGGATCGCTTGAGCCTAGGAGTTTAAGACCAACCTGGCCAATATGGCAAAACCCTGTCTCTACTAAAAATACAAAAATTAGCCAGGCATGGTGGTGCACGCCTGTAGTCCCAACTACTTGGGAAACTGAGGCACAAGACTTGCTTGAACTCGGGAGGCAGTGGTTGCAGTGAGCCGAGATTGCGCCACTGCACTCCAGCCTGGGTGACAGAGCAAGACTCTGTCTCAAAAAAAAAAAAAAAAAAGAGTGGCTTTTAAATGATTAGATTTTCAGTATTTGACTTTGAACTTCCCAACAGCCAAGCCATAAAGAGAAGCCATCTGGAAAGAAACAGAGCAACTCTTTATTGTATTTTTCAGATGTTAATGTCTAAAAGATACTTCCTGGGAGGTTTTGAAACTGAGGTCCTAATGAGGAAATATTCTGAAAAGTAGTTTTTCCATGTGCAGAATTGCTTTTTATGGCCAGTTCTTGCAATTCTGCATCAAAGTCTAAGGAAGGGGAACTAAAATTTATCAGACACTTACTGGATGTCAGGGGCTTTACACATATTATAGCCTTTAATTATCCCCATTTAATACATTAAAAAACTGAGCCTTCAGGAGGTCATTTATTACCCAGAAATAAATGGGAAGTCAGGTGCCAGCTCAGCTCCAACGCCCAGGGTTTTTCCTCTCCTCTCTTCTCTCCTACACCTGACTACAGTGGCTGTTATCAGGACCTCTGTCTTGGGCTGCCATCTACAATTTGAGAACTTTGGTTCTCCTAAACTTGAGTACACATAAAAATCCCCTGGGAGAAATACACATTCTTGGGCCACATCCCAGTAAATTTTTTGTCAGTCTGAAGCAGGATGAGGTATCCTCATTTGCAATTGGTGCTTCAGGTATGTGGATGTCCTTCTTTCTTACTCTGCATTTGGGCATCACTGGATCATTCTATCATCAGAATGTTCTGGAATTTCCAAGCATTAAGGACAACCTGGTAAGGTGGCCAACCATTCCAGTTTGCTCAGAACTGAGGGTTTTCCCAGAACATGAGAATTTTAGTGCTAAAACCAGGAAAGTCCCAGACCAACTGGAACCACGTGGTCACCCTATTAGTTCAGGAGGTTAACTGACAGTCCCAGATTGTTCCTTTATGTGTGGAAATGCTCCCTGGGCACGGTGGCTCACACCTGTAATTTCAGCAACTGAAAAGAGTGAGCCAGGAGAACCCCTTAAGTCCAGGAGTTGGAGACCAACCAGGGCAACATAGTGAGACCCCATCTCTAAAATAAATAAATGAATAAATAAAACGTGAGCTAGATACTTGACAGGCTGAGGTGAGAGGATCTCTTGAGCCCAGGAATTTGAGGCTGCAGTAAGCTATGATTGTGCCACTGTACTCCAGCCTTGGCTAACAGAGAATAAAAGATGAAAGAAAGAAAAAAAGGAAAGAAAGAAACCAGCCTGACCAACATGGTGAAACCCCGTCTCTACTACAAATACAAAAAATTAGCCGGGCGTGGTGGCGGGTGCCTGTAATCCCAGCTACTTGGGAGGCTGAGGCAGGAGAATTGCTTGAACCCAGGAGGCAGAGGTTGCAGTGAGCTGAGATCGTGCCATTGCACTCCAGCCTGGACAACAAGAGCGAAACTCCATCACAAAACAAAACAAAACAAACAAAAAAAGGAGAATCATAATGAAATATAGGAAAGAATAGAAGGGATGAATACACCGAAATGTAAAAATTAGTAAAATAGAAAACAAAAAGAAATGGATTTGGTCATTTTACAGATGAGGAAGTTAGAGCTCAAAGAGGTTAAATCAACTGTCTAAGTGGTGACAGTTAGCAAGGGGTAGCAGGGCTGGGACTTGAACCTGGACATCTTAGATTCCAGAGCCTGAGTTCTTAACTATGGTGGGCTTGAGGTATAAGAACTCTTGCCGGGCGCGGTGGCTCATGCCTGTAATTCCAACCCTTTGGGAGGCTAAGGCAGGCAAATCACAAGGTCAGGAGTTCCAGACCAAACTGACCAACATGGTGAAACCCTGTTGTTACTAAAAATACAAAGATTAGCCGGGCGTAGTGGCACGCGCCTGTAATCCCAGCTACTCAGGAGGCTGAGGCAGGAGAATTGCTTGAACCCAGGAGGTAGAGGTTACAGTGAGCTGAGATCTCGCCACTGCTCTGAAGCCTGGGCCACAGAGCGAGACTCCGTCTCAAAAAAAAAAAAAAAAGGAACTTTCAGATGCTGACCATTCCTCTTTCTTATGAGTTTGACAGAAAATGCACTCTCTTTGGCTCTAGATCTCTATTTGGCTCTAGATAGCCCACGCCGCAAGCCCTAGTACATGTGAAATGATGCTAAAGTGGGACCCCTGGAGAGACAAGTTCACTCTGCTCAGCCAGCCTGACCTGGGAAAATAACCAGACTCTACAGTCTGAAATAGTATCAACTTCCTAACTTCTTTCCCTTTTTTTTTTTTTTTTGAGATGGAGTCTCGCTCTATCCCTAAGGCTGGAGTGCAGTGGCTGATCTCGGCTTACTGCAACCTCTGCCTCCTGGGTTCAAGCAATTCTCTTGCCTCAGCCTCCCGAGTAGCTGAGATTACAGGCACACACCACCATGCCCGGCTAATTTTTTGTATTTTTAGTAGAGACGGGGGTTTCACCATGCTGGCCAGGCTGGTCTTGAACTCCTGACCTTGTGATCCGCCGCCTTGGCCTCCCAAAGTGCTGGGACTACAGGTGTGATCCACCGTGCCCGGCCTATTTCTTTCCTTTCTTTCTTTCCCTCCCTTCCTTCTTTCCCTCCTTCCCTCCCTCCTCTCCCTTTCCTTTCCTTCCCTCCCCTCTTTTCCTTTATTTTCCTTTCCTTTCCTCCCTCTCTCTCTCTCTTTCTTTTTTCTTTCTTTTCTTTTCTTTTTTCTTTCTTTTGAGACGGAGTTTTGGTCTTGTCACCCAGGCTGGAGTGCAATGGCACGATCTCAGCTCACTGCAACCTCCGCCTCCTGGTTTCAAGCGATTCTCCTGCCTCAGCCTCCCAAGTAGCTGGGATTACAGGTGCCTGCCACCACACCCGGCTAACTTTTTGTATTTTTAGTAGAGACAGGTTTCTCCATGTTTGTCAGGCTGGTCTCAAACTCCCGACCTCAAGTGATCCGCCCGCCTGGGCCTCCCAAAGTGCTGGGATTACAGGCGTAAGCCACCGCACCCGGCCTCCTTTTTTTTTTTTTTGTCTAAGACAAGATCTTGCTCTGTCGCCCAGGCTGAAAGGCAGTGGTGCGATCTCAGCTCACTGCAGCCTCAACCTCCTGGGCTCAAGCAATCCTCCCACCTCAGCCCCCCCAAGTAGTTGGGACCACAGGCGTGCACCACCACGCCCAGCTAATTTTTTTTATTATTTGTAGAGATAAGGTCTTGCTAAGTTGCCCAGGCTGGTCTCGAACTCCTGGGCTCAAGCGATTCCCAAGCCTCGGCCTCCCAAAGTGCTGAGATTACAGGCATGAGCCACTGCACCCAGCCAACCCACTCTTGAGAATACCCATTTCACTTCCTAAAACTCCTTTTGTAGATCTTGAATTCCCTGCTTCCCCCTTTCGCTTCCACATAGAGCTTGCGTATCTTATTTTGAAATGTTTTAGGTGGGCGCGGTGGCTCACGCCTGTAATCCCAGCACTTTGGGAGGCCGAGGCGGGCAGATCACAAGGTCATGAGATCGAGACCATCCTGACCAACATGGTGAAACCCCGTCTCTACTAAAAATACAAAAAATTAGCCGTGCGTGGTTGCAGGCGCCTGTAGTCCCAGCTACTCGGGAGGCTGAGGCAGGAGAATGGCCTGAACCCAGGAGGCGGAGGTTGCAGTGAGCCGAGATCGTGCCACTGCACTCCAGTCTGGGCGACAGAGCGAGACTCGGTCTCAAAAAAAAAAAAAAAAAGAAAGAAAGAAAGAAATGTTTTTATTAAGTAAAGCAAAAACCAACCCCAGCTAGCTTAGGTTGAATGGGGGCAGTTACCAAAAGACAAGTTGAGGGGTGCAGCCTGACGTGGATGAGAAAGGACCAGGTCTAAGAAGTGGAAACACTGGGGCTCAGGAAGACCCCATCTCTCCACTTTGCCTCTCTCTGCATGTATTCGTTCTTCTCTCTCCTGCAGATTGACTGCATCTGAGGAAAATGACGGCGTCCAGGGCTCCCCTGAGTAATTGGATTTACTTCAGTGCTACTGTGCAGATGACATCTTCTTCAGTAATTATTCCAAATTTTCAGGGCAGGGTTAGATTTACCCAGTATGCATCAAGTCTTGCTCCCGTTTCATTCCATAACAGTTGGGAGAGCAGAGTGTTTAGTACAAGCCAGAAGCTGGGGGCCCACTGCATGCAAAGAGGAGGGGAGAGGGAAGTTAAGTAGTCATCATGAGCCGGGGGCATTCCACAATGTAGCCCCTACACCTGGCCTTTCCAAACCTGCCATTCACACACCACCTTCACAACCAGCTATGTGACCCTGAACAATGCATTTAGCCTCTCTGCGACTCAGTTTCCTCATCTGTGGGATGAGAATGGTGAGGACTCAACAAAGTTGATCTATGTAAAATTCTTAGAACTGTGATTGGTGCCTGGGAGTGGTGGCCCACGCCTGTAATCTCAGCACTTTGGGAGGCTGAGGTGTGAGGATCATTTGAGGCCAGGAGTTTGAAACCAGTCTGGACAACAAGGGAAGACTCCCATCCCTAAATAATTAAAAAAAAAAAAAACCAAAACAAACAAACTGATTGTCACTTAATGAAGATATAAAAAAACACTTAGTTTCATCTATGGTTTTGGTACAATTTTAAAATAAAATAAAATAAAAACACTTAGCTATTATTTTGCTAAGAGCCTTATTTTTTTGTGTGGTTTTTTTTTTGTGTGTGTTTTGTTTGTTTGTTTCTTTGTTTTTGAGATGGAATCTCACTCACTCTGTCGCCCAGGCTGGAGTGCAGTGGTATGAGCTCAGCTCACTGCAATATCTGACATCCAGGTTCAAGTGATTCTTCTGCCTCAGTCTCCTGAGTAGCTGGGATTACAGATGTGCATCACCACACCTTGCTAATTTTAGTATTTTTAGTTGAGATGGGGCTTCACCATGTTGGCCAGACTGGTCTTGAGCGCCTAACCTCAAGTGATCCACCCTCCACGGCCTCCTAAAGTGCTGGAATTACAGGTGCCTTATTGTTTTTAAATTTCCTCATGAACCACGTTAGATTATTACTATCATTTATTTTTAATAGACAGCTTCGACTTTTTTTTTTTTTTTTTTTTTTTTGAGCCAGAGTCTCGCTCTGTCGCCCAGGCTGGAGTGCAGTGGCAGGATCTCGGCTCACTGCAAGCTCCGCCTCCCGGGTTCACGCCATTCTCCTGCCTCAGCCTCCCGAGTAGCTGGGACTACAGGCGCTCACGAGCATGCCCGGCTAACTTTTTTTTTTGAATTTTTAGCAGATACGGGGTTTCACCGTGTTAGCCAGGATGGTCTCGATCTCCTGACCTCGTGATCCGCCTGTCTCGGCCTCCCAAAGTGCTGGGATTACAGGCGTGAGCCATCGTGCCCGGCCGACAGCTTCTACTTTAAATTAGTTTTGTAAAATGAAACTGTTAAGAGGTGATGAATCAAGGCCAAAAAAAGAAACTGTATCACCTCTGTAAATGAAAAATCAATATCATTTTCCATAAACAGAAGGTAACCGCTGAAAAATATGCCAAAGAAAAAAAAAAAAAGCTAACTTCTAGCCAGGTAGCATTGCCTGCCGAAGGCCCTGATGAAGGAGAGACCAGCTCTCTTGGTTCCAAAGAAAGGTCTGCAAGTATTAGAAAGTTGTTTAAAACATATTAGCACAGTGCTGGGCGCGGTGGCTCGTGCCTGTAATCCCAGCACTTTGGGAGGCCAAGGTGGGTGGATCACCTGAGGTCGATAGTTGGAGACCATCCTGGCCAACATGGCAAAACCCAGTCCCACCAAAAATACAAAATTAGCCAGGCATGGTGGTGCATACCTGTAGTCCTGGCTACTCAGGAGGCTGAGGCAGGAGAATGGCCTGAACCCAGGAGGCAGAGCTTGCAGTAAGCAGAGATCGCGCCACTGCACTCCAGCCTGGGCAACAGTGCAAGACTCCGTCTCAAAAACAAAAAAAACAAAAAAACAACAAAAAAAAACAAATTTGGCCGGGCACGGTGGCTCACGCCTGTAATCCCAGCACACTGGGAGGCTGAGGCAGGTGGATCACGAGGTCAAGAGTTTGCCAAGATGGTGAAACCCCATCTCTACTAAAAACTACAAAAATTAGCCAAGCGCACTGGCAGGTGCCTGTAATCCCAGCTACTCGGGAGGCTGAGGCAGGAGAATCACTTGAACCTGGGCAGTAGAGGTTGCAGTGAGCCACGATCATGCCACTGCACTCCAGCCTGGGCAACAGAGTGAGACTCCATCTCAAAAAAAAAAAAAAAAAAAAAAAAAAAAAAATATATATATATATATATATATATTCATAGTAGCCAAGAAATGGAAAAAACCCAAATGTCCATCAACAGAAGAATCAATATGTAAAATGGAAAATTATTTAGCAATAAAAAGGAATAAAGTACTCATACATGCTACAACATGGATGAACTTTGAAACCATTACGTGGCCAGGCGCGGTGGCTCACACCAATAATCTTAGCACTTTGGGAGGCCGAGGCAGGTGGATCACCTGAGGTCAGGAGTTCGAGACCAGCTTGACCAACACAGTGAAACCCAGTCTCTACTAAATACAAAAAATTAGCCGTATGTGGTGGCGGGTGCCTGTAATCCCAGCTACCTGGGAGGCTGAGGTAGGAGAATTGCTTGAACCCAGGAGGCGGAGGTTGCAGTGAACGGAGATCACCCCATTGCACTCCAGCCTGGGCAACAAGAGCGAAACTCTGTCTCAAAACAACAACAAAAGAAAACATTATGTTTAGTGAATGAAGACCGACACAAAGGGCCACAAACTGCATAATTTCACTTATACACAATGTGCAGAATAGGCAAATTGAAAGAAACAGAAAGTAGATTCGTGGTTTCCTAGGGTTGGAGGGGAAATGGGAGGAGAGTGTTAATGAATAAGGGGTTTCCTTTTGGGGTGAGGAAAATGTTCGGAGTGAGATAGCAGTGATGGTCGCACGACTCTGAACATGCTAAAAATCATTGCGTTTGTACACTTTAAATTAGTGGGTCATACGGCATGAGAATTATATTTCAATAACGATAATTTTATCTTATTTTTTTCTGTTAATCCCAACAATCTTTTATTTTTTTAACTAGTTTTTGGGGAACGGGTGGTGTTTTGTTGCATAGAAAATTCTTTAGTGGTGATTTCTGAGATTTTGGTGGCCACATCCCTTGAGCCGTGTACACTACAACCAGTGGGTAGTCTTTTATCCCTCAACCCCCTCCCACTCTTTCCCCTGAGTCCCCAAAGTCCATGATATCATTCTTATGCCTCCATAAAGCTAATTTCAAAAGTATACAGCTAACTCATGCCTTAAAAGGAGTTGGATGATTGATGCTCCACTTCCTCAGAATGTGTGGCTAATTGCTGTCCTGCCAAACCCATTGACTCAGGACTGGGTTGCAGCCACCGCTTACTTGGATCTGTTTGTGTGTGCACGAACGCTGCCTGTAGCAACAGATTTGAATGTGTGAAAAGCTTTCCCTAGGAGAACGGTCACTATGGTGCACCCAAATACTAGCGTTTAGCATTCAGGGTGGCTTAAGCCAATCCACTTCAAAAAACATGTTTCAAGCACCTACTAAGTGTCAGGCAGTGCCATCACAGCTGGACATACAGCAGCAAATGGGATTGAACGAGGCGGGTGGCTGGGCGGGGGGACATGGCCCTGACAGAGGTGACACTCGAGCAGGAGAGACACAGGTATAAACCAGGTAACACATACAGCTAAGACAGGTTAATCCTGAAAGGGATGAAAAGTGCTCCAATGGTAATAATATAATGAGAGAGTCAGAGGCTACGGTAAGGGCCTTTGTTTTTTTGTTTGTTTTTGAGACAGTCTTGCTCTGTCGCCCAGGCAAGAGTGCAGTGGCGTGATCTCGGCTCACTGCAACCTTCATCTCCTGGGTTCAAGCGATTCTCCTGCCTCAGCCTTCCGAGTGGCTGGGATTACAGGCACCTGCCACCACTCTCAGCTAATTTTTGTATTTTTTAGTACAGATGGGGTTTCACCATGTTGGCCAGGCTGGTCTCGAACTCCTGATCTCAGGTGATCCACCCATCTCAGCCTCCCAAAGTACTGGGATTACAGGCGTGAGCCACCGCGCCCGGCCTCCAGGTCAGTTTCTATGGCTGCAGTAGGTTCCAAAGTGTCTCTGATGGGTTCATTAACAAAGTCTTTTTTCCCTTTAACTCTAATGATCATACCTTGTTGAGGCTGAAAAACTCTACTCTTCCCTTTTTGAGCTGCTTCCCTCCAACCATTCACAGACCAGCTCATGTATGTATAAATGGACAGATTTGAGGGTATTTCATGTGACACAGCTTCATAATCCCACTCTACATATTCAAGACAAAAACAGCAACCCCTGCTTGGGGCTGAAGTCCTTCTAGATCCTTCCCTGTCCCATAAAGCCTTCTCCCAATGGCCGATCAGCTGCCAAACCCTATTGATTATATCCCTGCAGTGCCCTGGAGTCCTCCTGCCAGTCCTACTGTCATTGACTCAGCATCTTCAGGACCTCTTACCTACATAATTTAATAGCGTCTCTTCTTCCAGTTTTTCCTGCTTCCCTGGTTAAAAACACTATGAGTCAGCCGTGATACCTCCTTCCTCCTCGCCTTGCTTGTCTAAACCATCAACCTGTCCTGCCAATTTTGCTGCCCAAGAATCTCTCAAAACTGTTCACCCGCTTCATCTTCCCTACGGACACCCCTCCAATCTAACCTCCTACAGTTGATAATTGCAGGAGCTTCCACACTGGACCCTTGGCTTCCACTCCTGTGCTTATACAATCTATCTCCCTGATAGATACAATCTATCTGCTGCCTGAGTAAACTGGTGTTTTGTGTTTTTTTCTTTTTGAGACAGGGTCTCGCTCTGTCACCCAGGCTGGAGTGCAGCAGTACAATCATGGCTTGAATTCCTGGGCTCAAGTGATCCTCCTGCCATCATGTCCAGCTAATTTTTTTTTTCTTTTTTGTAGAGATGAAGTCTCACTATGTTGACCAAGCTGGTCTCAGACTCCTGGGCTCAAGTGATCCTCCTGCCTCAGCCTCCCAAGGCACTGGAATTATAGGCGTGAGCGACCACGCCTGGCGCTACTTGATCTTACCTAAAGACATCTGCATGTTTTCCTCATGCTGGCTCACTTTTTCCCCATCTATTCACCTTGAATTTTTTTTTTCCTCCAATTCATTCTTTAAAGTCCAGCTCTTTTTTCAATTTCAAAAAGTATGAAGTTTTAGAAGCCAGAAATCTAGGGCCTTTTTTTTTTTTCTTTTTGAGATGGTCTCGCTCTGTCACCCAGGCTGGAGTGCAGTGGTGTGATCTCAGTTCACTGCAAACTCCACCTCCCGGGTTCAAGTGATTCTCCTGTCTCAGACTCCCAAGAAGCTGGGACTACAGGTGTGTGCCACCATGCCCGGCTAATTTTTTGTATTTTTTTAGTAGAGACAGGTTTTCACCGTATTAGCCAGGATGATCTCAATCTCCTGACCTCATGATCCGCCCTTCTCAGCTTCCCAAAGTGCTGGGATACAGGGGTGAGCCACTGCGCCCATATAGGGCCTTTTTGAAAAAAATGTTTTTCCTAATGGTTAAATTTGTCAACTTAAAAAAAAAATTCAATCATCACCAAAAAAATAAATAAGAAAAAAAGAAAATTTAATCATCAGGCAAAGCTATTAAGCTTAATAAGGCAGACCCCAGTTTCTGCCTGTGTTTTACCTAGATCTCATTTGATCCCCATAACATTTTTAAGTGGGCCACTATCATTATCCCGATTTTCTGGACTGGGAAACTGAGTCTCAGGAAAGTGAAACAACCTGTACACATCCACATGATTTGTTAGGGGCAGAGTTGAGATTCAAACACACACAGTCTAGCTCCAGAGTTTAAATGCTTAGAAGCAAAGCTGGGCATATTGGCTCACGCCTGTAATCCCAGCACTTTGGGAGGCCAAGGTAGGTGGATCACTTGAGCTCAGGAGTTTGAGACCAGCCCGACCAACATGGTGAAACCCTATCTGTACTAAAAATACAAAAATTAGCTGGGCGTGATGGTACGTACCTGTAGTCCCGGCTACTTGGGAGGCTGAGGCACGAGAATCACTTGAATCTGGGAGGCGGAGGTTGCAATGAGCCAAGATCATGCCACTGCATTCCAGCCTGGGCGACAGAGCAAGACTCCATCTCAAAATAATAATAATAATAAAAGCCAGGTGTGGTGGCTTATGCCTGTAATCCCAGCACTTTGGGAGGCCGAGGAGGGTGGATCACCTGAGGTCAGGAGTTCAAGACCAGCCTGACTAACATGGAGAAACCCCGTCTCTATTAAAAATACAAAATTTGGCCTGGCGCAGTGGCTCACGCCTATAATCCCAGCACTTTGGGAGGCTAAGGCGGGCGGATCACAAGCTCAAGAGATCGAGACCATCCTGGCCAACATGGTGAAACCCTGTCTCTACTAAAAATACAAAAATTAGCTGGGCGTGGTGGTTCGTGCCTGTAGTTCCAGCTACTCGGGAGGCTGAGGCAGGAGAATCACTTGATCCTGGGACACAGAGGTTGCAATGAGCCGAGATGGTGCCACTGCACTCCAGCCTGGTGACAGAACGAGACTCTGTCTCAAAAAAAAAAAAAAAAAAAAATTAGCTGGATGTGGTGGCACAGCTACTCGGGAGGCTGAGGCAGGAGACTTACTTGAACCCAGGAGGCAGAAGTTGCGGTGTGCCAAGATCGTGCCATTGCACTCCAGCCTGAGCAACAAGAGCAAAACTCCACCTAAAAAAAAAAACAAACTGCCAGGCGTGGTGGCTCACACCTATAATCCCAGCACTTTGGGAGGCCGAGGCAGGTGGATCACGAGGTCAGGAGTTTGAGACCAGCCTGACCAATATGGTGAAACCCTGTCTCTACTAAAAATACAAAAATCAGCTGGGCGTGGTGGTACGCACCTGTAGTCCTAGCTGCTCAGGAGGCTGACTGACGCAGGAGAATTGCTTGAACCCAGAAGGCGAAGGTTGCAGTGAGTCAAGATCGCACCACTGCACTACAGCCTGGGTGACAGAGCAAGACTCGGTCTCAAAACAACAAAAACAACAACAACAAAAAGAAGCAAGTGAGTCTTGTTTTATTTGGAAACCAAAATAAACTGAATCAAATCAAAAGGTGTCACACTTTTAGTTTTATTTGAGAGACGGGAACAGATGTGAGTCACATAAGACAAATAAGGCACTAAGCCCTGTGAATGCCTTAACCCTCTTGGTTTTCTTCTCAATTCAACTAAATAGGACTCCTAGAATGAAAGTAAGTTGTAAGTGCTTGGTTTTTTGGTTTTTTTTCCTTCTCTCTGTCGCTCAGGCTGGAGTGCAGTGATGTCACCACAGCTCACTACAGCCTCAAACTTCTGGGCTCAAGCAATCCTCTAGCCTCTGCCTCCCCAATAGCTGGGAATACAGGTGCACACCATGATGCACAGTTAATTTTTCTGTTTTTCTATTTTTGTAGAGACAGTCTTTTTTTCTTTTTTTTTTTTTTTTGAGACGGAGTCTTGCTCTGTCGCCCAGGCTGGAGTGCAGTGGCGCGATCTTGGCTCACTGCAAGCTCCGCCTCCCAGGTTCACGCCATTCTCCTGCCTCACGCTCCCGAGTAGCTGGGACTACAGGCGCCCGCCACCACGCCCGGCTAATTTTTTGTATTTTTAGTAGAGACGGGGTTTCACCGTGTTAGCTAGGATGGTCTTGATGATCTCCTGACCTCGTGATCCGCCCGCCTCAGCCTCCCAAAGTGCTGGGATTACAGGCGTGAGCCACCGCGCCCGGCCTGTAGAAACAGTCTTGATATGTTGACCAGGCTGGTTTGGTACTCTTGGCTTCAAGCCAATTTTCCCACCTCAGCCTCCCAAAGTGCTGGGATTATATGTGTGAGCCACCACACCCAACAGTTATAAGTGATCTTGATTTGCAATCAGACAGATCTAGTTTTATAATCAGCACCACCATTCAATAGCTGTGTGTCCTTGGACAAGTTACTTAATCTCTCTGGGTGTTTCTCATGAGTAATACATGGATAATAATATCATCTCCTTGCATGTTTCTCTGGATTAAATGAGACAATCTAGGCTGGGTATGGTGGCCCATGCCTTTAATCCTAGCACTCTGGGAGGCCAAGGTGGGAGAATCACTGAGCCCAGGAGTTCAAGACCAGCCTGGGCAACGTAGTGAGATCCCGTCTCTATTTTTTAAAGTAGAAAAAAAATTCAGAGAATCTAGAGGTTCTTAGCATAGAACCTCAATAAATGTTTAAAATAAAGCAATAATTGTTTAAACTGGTTTTCATCAGCTCAATATTTACAGCGCCTGTTGCAGAGCCTAGCACTTTTAAATACTGGGTGTTTAAAAAGAAACTTGGGTATTTATTTTCATGTTTAGGCTGAAATACATGAATACATATCATGCAATCAGGCTCAATTATAATATTTAGTTTTTTCTTTTTTTCCCATCCCCACACCCCTATATTTAGATTTTTTAAATACAGTGTATTAATAAATTACTCATGAAAGGAAACCAGCTTGTCCCAAAATTATATAGGAAATAATGCATATCCTACAAAATAATAAACCAGTTCATTTCTTTTGGAAGGAAAGAAGGAAGGGAGGAAGGAAAGAAGGGCGGGAGGGAAGAAGAGAAGTCCACAGGGTTTTCCCACAGAAAGAAAAAGAAATCTCACAAATCGGCATAATGAGAAAGATCAAAAACTCCATAGGCAATAGTATGAAATGACAAGTATAATTTCAGTTCTAATATTACCATAATATGGTTTTCAAAGAACTTCATTCCTTTTTAATCAAATAATTATGGGAATAATATACCAGTTGGCACAGAAAACTGTAAAAGTATTTTATTAGAGAAGACTAATTAGAAAATCTAGCATTTCTTTTAGCATCTAAAGGCCCCACAGTTTGGGAGGTTTTATTTAGTGCGAAGAGAAAAAACTTTCAGTTCTCTTTTGAGTTAGCAATCCATATTATTTTTATTTTATTTATTTATTTTTTTTGAGATAGAGTTTCGCTCCTCGCCCAGGCTGCAGTGCAATGGCACGATCTCAGCTCACTGCAACCTCCGCCTTCTGGGTTTAAGTGATTCTCCTTTCTCAGCCTCCTGAGTAGCTGGGATTACAGGCGTGCACCACTACGCCTGGCTAATTTTTTTGTGTTTTTAGTAGAGATGGAGTTTCACCATGTTGGAGGCTGGTCTCAAACTCCTGACCTCAGGTGATCCACCCGCCTCAGCCTCCCAAAGTGCTGGGATTACAGGCGTGAGCCACCACACCCAGCCATATTATTATTATTATTATTATTATATATTTTTTGAGACAGAGTTTTGCTCTTGTTGCCCAGGTTGGAGTACAGTGGCACAATCTCGGCTCACTGCAACCTCCACCTCCTGGATTCAAGCGATTCTCCTGCCTCAGCCTCCCGAGTAGCTGGGATTACAGGCGCCCGCCACCATGCCCAGCTAATTTTTTGTATTTTTTTAATATAGACGAGGTTTCACCAACCAGGCTGGTCTCAAACTCCTGACCTCAGGCTATCCACCCACCTTGGCCTCCCAAAGTGCTAGGAATACAGGCGTGAGCCACGGTGCCCAGGCTGGGCCATATTATTTTTATTTATTTATTTATATTTTTTGAGACGGAGTCTAGCTTTGTTGCCAGGCTGGAGTGCAGTAACACAATCTCAGCTCACTGCAACCTCTGCCTCCTGGGTTCATGCGATTCTCCTGCCTCAGCCTCCCGAGTAGCTTGGGATTACAGGCACGCACCACCACACCCAGCCAATTTTTGTATTTTTTTTTTTTCAGTAGAGACAGGGTTTCACTATGTTACCCAGATGATCTCGATCTCCTGACCTCGTGATCCACCCACCTCAGCCTCCCAAAGTGCTGGGATTACAGGCATGAGCCACTGAGCCCGGCCTGTTTTTAAACAATCACAATTCAGCAGCCCATGGTTACTCAGATTGTGAACTGCCTTAGGGCTGAGTAGCTGGTAAAGGTGAAATCCACGTTTCTGAATTCTGACCTGGTAAACCAGCTTCCTCAGACCTTGTAATGAATAAGATGGGTGCCCCCAGCTGCAGGTGAAGTGACAGTTTCTTCCACCCACAGGCCACTTGCTCCCCGCTGTGAGGAACCACAGGCCACACTCTCCTCCCTACCCCCACCAGACACATATCAAGCCATCTTTGGTAGCTGTAAGAACTTTCTGCAGACCCAGTCTGGCTCAGTTCTGGGGACTCTAATCACGTTCAGTATTATTCAGAGTTGGATTCTGACATGATCAGTAGACGAATCAAGATCAAAATACTTTCTAAATTAGTACTAAAATACTCAATATAATAACCCAGTGTTTTCAGAAAGAAATCTGCACAGCTGGGGCTCAACTTTTTCTTGTTTTGTTGTTGTTGTTGCTTGTTTTGTTTTGTTTTTTGGCTCTTGTTTGTTTAAAATAGATGGAGAATGTATGCAAATAGGCAAAATTGTAAACTTCTTGGTCATAAGTAAGGCCCTCTAATTACTAAGCAACACTAGACATTTCAAGAATTGACTGCATTTACAGAATGCTTTCCTCATCTGTAAAATGTGGGTAAAATTAGAACCTGCCACACCGGGTCATTGTGAAGGTTAAATGAATTAATACCTGCTCAATAAATATTATTTTTTCAAGTGTTCAGTCCTCCCAGGGGGTGGTCTCTCTTAGGTGTCACAATGTCTAATAAGGGCCAGCTACATAATTTGTAAGGTCCAGTGCAAAATGAAAACACATGGCTTCTTGTTCAAAAAGTTATTAAAAATTTCAAAGTGGCAGGGTGCAGTAGTGCATGCGCGCAGTCCCAGCACTTTGGGAGGCTGAGGAGGGAAGACTGCTTGAGCCCAGACATTCGAGACGGGCTGCTTCCGAGCACAGAGCCCTAAGCAACTGCTGCCCAAGACATACACCCATGAAGCTGGCCCTGTGTCTAGCAATTCCGTAACTTAGGGTTGAGAATACTGAGGACCATACATTTACTCACTTAGCGTAGACATTAAACGAACAACACTTCACTAAGTCTCCTGAACAAGTCACCCAATCCTGTGAACCTATGGGTGATAAAATATGGGGATTATGCTGTAAAACCAAGTGCCCTTATCTTGGAAGTCTAGGGAATCCATAAATAAACTTGGAGAATATTAATGAAACCCCTGTAATTGTGCACCTAATCTGTTTGTGTGTCTTTTCCTGGGGAAATGCTCCATGAAGAATCCGTGAATCCAAACACAGGGAGTTGGAAGTGCTCTACCAGCCTTTACATTCCTAAAATCGACCGAGGGAGGGGACTCACGCCTGTAATTCCAGCACTTGGGGAGGCTGAGGCGGGATGATCACTTGAGCTCAGGAGTTTGAGACCAGCCTGGATACCATAGTGAGACCCCCGTCTCTACCAAAAATACAAAAAATTAGCCAGGTGTGGTGGCACGTGCCTGTAGTCCCAGCTACTCAGGAGGCTGAGGTGGGAGATGTCTTGAGCCTGGGAAGCGGGGGTTGCAATGAGCCGAGATTGTGCCTGCACTCTAGCCTGGGTGATCCAGCAAGGCCCTGCCTCCAAAAAAAAAAAAATCGTATATATTTATTTATTTATTTATTTTTGAGTCAGGGTCTCTCTCTGTCACCCAGGTTGGAGTGCAGTGGTGTGATCTTGGCTCACTGCAACCTCCACCTCTTCTGCCTCAGCCTCCCAAGTAGCTGGGATTACAGGCGCCCACCACCACACCCCGCTAATTTTTGTATTTTTAGTAGACACAGGGCTTCACCATGTTGGCCAGGCTGGTCTTGAACTCCTGACCTCAGGTGATCCACCCACCTTGGCCTCTCAAAGTGCTGGGATTACAGGCGTGAGCCACCATGCCCGGCCCAAGAAAAACCTTATGTGAATTCCAAAGATCTTCTGTAGGCCAGGGTTGAAAAAAGATAAATCAGTCAATCAATCAATCAGTTAATCCCTAAGATCAGCCGGGCACGGTGGCTCATGCCTGTAATCCCAGCACTTTGGGAGGCCAAGGCAGGCAGATCACGAGGACAGGAGATCGAGACCATCCTGGCCAACACGGTAAAACCCCGTCTCTACTAAAAATACAAAAAATTAGCTGGGCGTGGTGGTGGGCGACTGTAGTCCCAGCTACTCGGGAGGCTGAGGCAGGAGAATGGCCTGAACCCAGGAGACGGAGCTTGCAGTGAGCCGAGATCACGCAACTGCACACCAGCCTGGGCAACAGAGCGAGACTCCGTCTCAAAAAAAAAAAAAAATCCCTAAGATCTTTGTGTTCCCCATTGTTTAGCATAGGTGTTGCATCTAGTGGACAATCAGTAATGCCAGTTAGCAAAGGCAGGTAGGAATGAATGCCAAGTGGGTAGGGAACAAATGGCATTAAGTCCCTCCTTAGTACTGTGGTAAGAAAACAGAAGAAAGAAAAATCGAGTTAAGCATCAAGGCTGCTAACATTCAAATCCCAGCTCCACTGTCACTGCCATGGGAATTTACATGGTCACTTCATATTGTTAAGCCTCTGTTTTCTCATCTGTGAAATGGGAATAATAAATAATGCCTCCTTCACTAAGCTGTTCTGGGGATTAAATAAGCTAATCACTGAGAAGCGTGCTAGGTATACTGTGAGTCTCAACTTCTGTTAGATCTCTTTTTTTTTTTTTTAATTTTTTGAGACGGAGTCTTGCTCTGTCATCCAGGCTGGAATGCAGTGGCTCCATCTTGACTCACTACAACCTCCACCTCCCAGGTTCAAGGGATTCTCATGCCTCAGCCTCCCAAGTAGCTGGAATTACAGGTGTGCACCACCAGGCCCTGCTAATTTTCATTGTTTTTTGTTTGTTTTTTTCCTGCTTTTTTTTTTTTTTTTGAGATAGAGTCTTGCTCTGTCACCCAGGCTGCAGTGCAGTGGCACAATCTCGGCTTACTGCAACCTCTACCTCCCAGGTTCAAGCGATTCTCCTGCCTCAGTCTCCCAAATAGCTGGGATTACAGGTGCACGCCACCATGCCCAGCTAATTTTTGTATTTTTAGTAGAGACGGGGTTTCACCATGTTAGTCAGACTGGTCTCAAACTCCTAACCACGTGATCTGCCCACCTCAGCCTCCCAAAGTGCTGGGATTACAACCGTAAGCCACCGCACCCAGACTAATTTTTGTATTTTTAGTAGAGACGGGGTTTTACCATGTTGCCCAGGCTGGTGTCGAACTCCCGAGCTCAATCAATTTGCCCACCCCAGCCTCCTAAAGTGCTGGGATTACAGGCATGAGCCACTGTGCCTGGCCACATGTATTTCTTGTGTTTAATTTTGTACAACTTCAAGCCAATCTGTAAAAGAACAGTAAAGAAAACTTTGCAGCTCTTAAATTATATGGTATGGCCTTTATCATACAAGTATATAAAGAAGCAAACAACAGTATATATATTTTTGGGGACAGAACCTTACTCTGTCACCCAGGCTGAAGTAGCTGGGACGACAGGTACATGCCACCATGTTCAGCTAATTTTCTTTAGTTTTTATAGAGATGGGGTCTCACTATATTGCCCAGCCTGCAATAGTTTTTTTATAAAAGTAACTCTTTTCGGCTGGGCACAATGGCTCATGCCTATAATCCCAGCACTTTGGGAGGCTGAGGCAGGCAAATTGCTTGAGGTTAGGAGTTCAAGACCAGCCTGGCCAACATGCCAAAGCCCAGTCTCTACTAAAAATACAAAAATTAGCCAGGCGTGGTGGTGTGCACCGGTGATCCCAGCTATTCAGGAGGCTGAAGCAAGAGAATCACTTGAACCTGGGAAGCAGAGGCTGCAGTGAGCCAAGATTGCATCACTGCACTCCAGACTGGGCAATAGAGCGAGACTCTGTCTCAGAAAAAAAAAAAAAAATTAGCCAGGCATGTCACGCACCTGTGGTCCCACCTACTTGTGAGGCTGAGCCCAGGAGGTCGCAGCTGCAGTTAAGCAATGATTGTGCCACTGCACACAAAACAAAACAAAAAGAAGCCAAAAAGGAATAACTAAAATAAGATTTTCTGGTATTTCTACAAATTTGGTGTGTTTTCATTATCTTTTTTTTATTTTTATTTTTTTGTAGAGACAGGGTCTCACTATGTTGCCCAGGCTGGCCTTGAACTCCTGGTCTCTAACAATCTTCCTGCCTTGGCCTCCCAAAGCACTGGGATTATAGGCATGAGATACTATGCCCAGTCTCATTCTTGTTATCTAAGACCTAGCTTTAGCCAGGTGTAGCTAAACGTTCTATGTACATTATCGCCTGTTATCTTTGCAACAACCAAATGGAATGAATTCTTTTTTTTTGTTGTTTTTGAGACGGAGTTTCGCTCTTG
The DNA here is from genome assembly GCF_000001405.40 of Homo sapiens. Lineage (NCBI taxonomy): Eukaryota > Metazoa > Chordata > Mammalia > Primates > Hominidae > Homo > Homo sapiens. The sequence continues at coordinate 53,681,878 of NC_000020.11, read as the reverse complement.
TTGCCCGGGCTGCAGTGCAATGGCGCAATATCCACTCACCGCAACCTCCGCATCCCAGGTTCAAACGATTCTCCTGCCTCAGCCTTCAGAGTAGCTAAGATTACAGGCATGTGCCACCACGCCCGGCTAATTTTGTATTTTTAGTAGAGACGGGGTTTTTCCATGTTGGTTAGGCTGGTCTCAAACTCCCGACCTCAGTTGATCCACCCGCCTCGGCCTCCCAAAATGCTGGGATAACAGCTGTGAGCCATCACACCCGGCCGGAATGAATTCTTATTAAACCCATTTTATAGCTGAGGGAACAGGGGTGCAAAGCAAAAGCTTGATGAATTTGTCCAGGGTCTTAAAGAGTGAGCAGATCAGCCCAACAACTGTAGTTGGGCTACTCAAAGCAGTAACTTTGAGTCATGCACAATTCCTGGAAATGGGGGCAAAGCAAAAGTCCACTCCCAATTATTTATTTTTTTCCCAATTATTATTATTATTTTTTGAGACAGAATCTGGCTCTGTCACCCAGGCTGGAGTGCAGTGGCACGATCTCGGCTCACTGCAACCTCCCCCTCACGGGCTCAAACGATTCTCTTGTCTCACCCTCCTGAGTAGCTGGGATTACAGGGGCCTGCCACCAAGCCCGGCTAATTTTTGTATTTGTAGTAGAGATGGGGTTTCACCATGTTGGTCAGGCTGGTCTCCAACTCCTGACCTCAGGTGATCTGCCCACCTTGGCCTCCCAAAGTGCTGGGATTACAGGCGTGAGCCACCACACCGGCTCCCGATTCTTTTTTTCTGCAAAATCTATTGTCCGTATTACTGTTTTCGACACAACACCAACCTTGGCATTGGCGTTGTGATTCTCATCTAGTCTCTTCTCTTTCCTTCCTCAAGAGGTGATATATTTGTGTCCCCACCTCCTATAGTCATCTAGCCCCTGAGCAATGGGTGATTTATGGAGAGAAATTCCACACTCATTCCCTAAACAATCCACGCCTCACATTCAGTATTCCATCGCTTTCAAGCCAGGACGGCACTATTTCTTTCTTTTTTATCATCCGTAATCTGTTTTTCAGTGTCTGTATTATCATCTGCTAAATATAGTCTAATGTGCTATTTGTTTCAGTTCTCGGTGCCAAGACCTAGACGTGTCCCTTTGCCCCCACCTCAGGAATTTCCCAAATAAATCATAAATCATAAAATAGAGAACAATTGAAGTTAAGAGCCAGGCCAGTGCCTCACTCCTGTAATCCTAGCACTTCGGGAGGTCAAAGTGAGCGGATCACTTGAGGTCATGTGTTCGAGACCAGCCTGGCCAAGATGGTGAAACCCTGTCTCTACTAAAAATACAAAAATTAGCCAGGCGTGGTGGCGGGCGCCTATAATCCCAGCTACTTGGGAGGCTGAGGCAGGAGAATCCCTTTAACCTGGGAGGCGGAGGTTGCAGTGAGCTGAGATCATGTCTCTGCACTCCAGCCTGGGTGACAGAGCAAGACTGTCTCAAGAAAAAACAAGTTAAGAACCAATCCCAAGGATCCAGAAAGAAGTAGCCTAGGTAAACATTTGCTTATATGTCCCGTGTATTCTCTTCCCACCCTAATCCCATCATTTCTTCTGACAGGAAACATGCAGTGATTAATAAAAGCGCCTCCTTGAGCACTGATTTATTTTTGTCTCTGAAGGAATTAGAGGTCAGATAGTCTCTTGATTATCTCGCCCTGGCCTGAGGCTGCTCATTCATTCAGTCCTTCCCTCAAAGGATCTCTCTTTCACCTCTTCAAAAGCCAACCCCTTCCTTTCATTTTGGAAGCCTTCAGTCAAAAAGGGCTACAAGTCTGTGGCCGGGGAGGACTCCCTGCTCCTTCTGAGGGGCATGGAAGCAGCCAGCAGCCTGTTCTGAAATCAGAACTCTATCTACATGAGACTCCAAGTCAGCTTAGAGACCACTAACATTCCCGTACCTAGGTCGTGAGGATAGAAGCATGCCTGGTGTGTAAGAATTTCAAGGTAAACAAGTCTTTGAAAACCAGTCTTAAAATGGCCCTCAGGGAGCGGTTAGAGTGACTGTACATTTTTGAGCTCAGCATCAGATTTTTTTCTTCTTCAAATGAACATTTAAATTGCCCCCTCTGCCATTGTATTGTAAGCACTATAATTAGCATGATTTAAACAATGCAGCCACAACGAAACCAGATTATTTATCTGGACTTAATCTAGAAAGAACAAAGAAACCCATTGAATTTGCCCTGAAATCCAATTTGATACATAAACATGAATAGGGAAAAGTCAACATTCTGGGTAACTTTAACACAATTATATGATTTTTAAAGTACAGTACTCTAGAAAAAGACAAATGTCTTTTTAAAAAAATGACATACATAAACTCACACTTGCCACTATTCTCACTTAGGGGCCTTTCTCATTCAGGAGAAAGCCATTCCAGCTGCTACATGAAAGATACTTACTGAAAACTGCTTTGTGTATCACAGCTGTTTGTGTATTACGACACCCTCCCAGATGCAGTGACCTCTAAACTGGCTTATTTAATCAAGATATAAATAAAAATAAAAAAAATATAGCCCAGAATTCAAAATGCCAAACTTCCAAGAGCCGATCATGTTAGAAGCAAAATCAGTAATGCTTCTACCTCTTCAGGCTATTTGCAACAAGACCCCAAAAAAGCTAGTCTGTTGAAAACACGGACTTCTCCTCCCACCCCTTTGTCATTTTGTTTTGGTAGGGCCAACTGTGTATCTCTTTTTCTTAATGTTACAATTGTTAAAATAAAAATTCATTTGACACAATCCAATTTTAGGTTTGTTTATTATTATTTTTAAAATATCCAATATGTTCAAGCTTTCTCTGCAACCTTTGCTTTCTGTTTAATGCTATTAATTATATTCTTGTTCTTGCTGCTATAAGCTGCCCCTATCGGCAGAGATTCAAGAGAGACTTGAAAGAGTGAGCATATTTATCAAAAGAGAAAAAAAATAAAGAAAATAAAGACAGCACGAGAGCATATTGGATACATAAACTGTTCTTCCTGAAAAGATAAATGATTTGGTAATGAATAGATCCTTTAGGCCATAAAAAATCCATTTATTTTCTTTTGAATTTGAATAGAAGAGATTTGCATTTTTTTCCTGCGCAGTTACACTTAAATTAAAATGCAGAGCATGAGGCTAGCATACAATCAAACTAAATAATAACTGGGGCATACTGTATTATTCATAAAAACAAAATTAATAGTTTAGGGAAGGAAATCATTGTGGTAAGAAAATGTACATTGACACCAAACACCTACTGTCAGAAGGAAAAATAAAGCGATGCAGACTACTTACGAACTGGTAATTGAAGTTTGGCATTTTATTTGGGGATGGGGAGCAAGGGTCAAGGCGTTTATCTTGTATGGAATCTACAAAGTCGAAAATGTCTGCTTTTCTGATAGCAAAGTGCTAAGAACATTTCTCTGTATTTTGATGTCTAATTATACAGAGAAAGAGAGTTAACAGTATTTTTTTTTTCTCAAAGCAGAGTAGAATCAAGATACTTTTTCCCCCAAAAAAACATACTACAAGTGCATGTCTTTCTGTAGCTGGTCTGACAGGCACGATTGGCCCAGAACAGGAAGGTTGAGCAACAGCCCTCCTAATCTTTATGCTTCTTCCTTTCTCTCAACCTTCCCTTCCCCCACCCCGCACACACAGGAGAAAGTATTCCGATGTCTTTGATTGCCACCAACCTACAGTGGAGTCGGCTGAGAGATGGGTCTCTCTAGAGAGTTGTTCCTGCTACTCTCTCTGGTGACGACAAAGAACAAAGCCCAGGCCATCACAGAAGGTTCAGGAGCAGTGAGGTCTTGAAAATTTGGGAGAGAGAGAGCAAGAACATTTTTTTGAATTGAGGCAATAATATAAGATCTTCAATGTACACACACCAAACTTAAAAAGAGAAACAGGCTGTGGCAAAGTCAAAATGCCTTCCCGGGGCCAGGCAGGTGGCAAAAGAGAGGCCGGCCACCAGGCGGGGGCCGCGGCAATCAAAGGGGGAGGGGGCAGGTGTCCCTTGCCCACAGCCCTTCTATGGCCTTGCGGCTTGGAGTTTGGACCTGGTGTGGCCAGAGCTCACATTTTGTTAAGGAAAGCCAGAAATCCCAATTTTTATGTAGAAGCTTTAGAAATGTTGGTGACTATTTCAAAATGTTTGAATACCATCTGAGCCAAAGAAAACATGACTGTAGCAAACCCAACACTTGTCCACCAGTTTCCTATCTCTCCTTAGGAAGAACATAAAAGTCCAGAAAAGGATTATTTAAAACACACTGGACTTACACCATCAGTTACCTATTAATAGCTTCTGAACAACTGGCTGATTAGATAAACTGACTGATAAGACAGACGCTTTACTTTTTAACTTTGTAATATGCCATTTATTCATTCAACTTTTTTTTTTTTTTTTTTTTTTGAAACAGAGTCTCCCTCTGTCTCCCAGGCTGGAGTGCAGTGGAGTTCAGTGCCAGGATCTTAATTCACTGTAACCTCTGCCTCCTAGATTCAAGCAATTATCGTGCTTAAGCCTCCTGAGGTAGCTGGGATTACAGGCGTGCGCCACTGCACCCGGCTACTTTTTGTAATTTTAGTAGAGACGGGTTTTCGCCATGTTGGACAGGCCAGTCTTGAACTCCTGGTCTCATGTGATCCATCCACCTCAGCCTCCCAAAGCGGCAGGATTACAGGTGTGAACCACCACACCCGGCCTCAACTTTTTTTTTTTTAATTGAATGTCTACTATGTACTGGGAACTGGGCATTGCATAGAATGCTCTTTTCCAGGGGGAAATACACCATCAGAAACCCATTATTTGGGGCATACATAGTTAATAATTCCAAGAATTTGAAAGGGAAAAATTTGAAAGGCAGTATTACCTCTTATATTATTAATAGTGGGTTGCTTATTATATACTAAGTAATTAAATCTTTGATTTAATAGATTTACATCTATTTAAAGGTACTCATAAGAATTTCCCAAGAGCTATTTGTATTACAATGTTCAACTCAAATTTTGCCTTCATGCTGCTTGAAACATTGGCTAATTCCCTGAAAGGGATATTCACGTTTATCTTTTGGCATTGGAAAATTGACCAGCTCACTGTATTGTAGGCATTTTTCTTTTCTCTAAAGTGATCCATTTCACAATACAACTAAGCATTTTTCCTTGAATACATTAAAGTGGAGATCTCAAGATAGTGAAGTGATCTCATAAATGGTTAAAAATTGCAGATATGGACCGGGCACTGTGGCTTATGCCTGTAATCCCAGCACTTTGGGAGGCCAAGATGTGCAGATCACCTGAGGTCAGGAGTTCAAGGCCAGCCTGGCCAACATGGCGAAACCCCCGTCTCCACTAAAAATACAAAAATTAGCCAGGTGTGGTGGCGTGTGACTGTAATCTCAGGTACTCTGGAGGCTGAGGCAAGAGAATGGCATGAACCCGGGAGGCGGAGGTTGCAGTGAGCCAAGATTGCGCCACTGCACTCCAACGTGGGCTACAGAGCGAGACTCCATCTCAAAAAAAAAAAAAAGAAAGAAAGTAAAAGTACAGGTATCAGGCTGGGCACAGTGGCTCACACCTATAATCCCAGCACTTTGGGAGGCTGAAGAGAGCAGATCACTCAAGCCCAGGAGTTCTAGACAAGACTGGGTAAAATGAGGAAACGCATCTCTACAAAAAATACAAAAATTAACTGGGCGTGGTGGTGTGCACCTGTAGTCCCAGCTACTTGGGAGGCTGAAGTGGGAGGAATGCTTGAGCCTGGGAGGCAGAGGTTGCAGTGAGCCATGATGGTATCACTGCACTCTAGCCTGAGTGACAGAGTAAGATCCTGTCTCAAAAAAAATAAAAGTTAACACCAGGCGCGGTGGCTCATGCCTGTAATCTCAGCACTTTGGGAGGCAGAGGCGGGTGGATGACAAGGTCAGGAGCTCGAGACCAGCCTGGCCAATATGGTGGAACCCTGTCTCTATTAAAAATACAAAAAAATTAGCCGGGCGTGGTGGCGGGCACCTGTAATCACAGCTACTCAGGAGGCTGAGGCAGGAGAATCACTTGAACCTGGGAGGCAGAGGTTGCAGTGAGCCGAGATTGCGCCACTGCACTCCAGCCTGGGTGACAAAGCGAGACTCTATCTCAAAATAAATAAATAAATAAAATTTTAAAATAAAAATAAAAGTTTCTTGCACATTCAGAATAAGGGTAATTTGGTATAACCTTTCCAAAAGGCAGTTAGGCAATATAAAACAAAAAATAACAGAGGTTCGCTTTGATGCAGATATATATTACCTTTAGGGATTTACCTTAAGGAGAGGCCGAGTGCAATGACTCACGCCTGTAATCCCAGCATTTTAGGAAGCTGAAGCAGGCTGGTCAACCTGAGGTCAGGAGTTCAAGACCAGCCTGGCCAACCGGGTGAAACCCCGTCTTTACTAAAAATACAAAAATTAGCCAGGCATGGTGACACACGCCTGTAATCCCAGCTACCTGGGAGGCTGAGGCACAAGAATCACTTGAGCCTGAGAGGCGGAGGTTACATCAAGCAGAAATCAAGCAGAGATGGCGCCACTGCACCCCCGCCTGGACCACAAAGTGAGAAAAGGCATTAAAAAAAAAAAAAAGGAGAGCATCTCTCAAAAGGTTTTCTTGTTTTGTTTTGTTTTGTTTTTGAGACGGAGTCTCGCTCTGTTGCCCAGGCTGGAGTGCAGTGACGCTATCGCGGCTGACTGCAAGCTCCGCCTCCCGGGTTCACGCCATTCTCCTGCCTCAGCCTCCTGAGTAGCTGGGACTACAGGCGCCCGCCACCATGCCTGGCTAATTTTTTGTATTTTTAGTAAAGACGGGGTTTCACCGTGTTAGCCAGGACAGTCTTGATCTCCTGACCTCGTGATCCGCTGGCCTCGGCCTCCCAAAGTGCTGGGATTACAGGCGTGAGCCACTGCGCCCGGCCACATCTCTCAAATGTTAAAGTCTGGACACACTAGGGTGTTTGCACAAGGCTCAATTAAGAATAATTATAAATTGCAAAGAAACTAAATGTCCCTCAAAAGCTGTCAAAGGGGGCTGGGCGCGGTGGTTCACACCTGTAATCCCAACATTTTGGTAGGCCTAGGTGGGTGGATCACCTGAGGTCAGGAGTTCAAGACCAGCCTGACCAACATGGAGAAACCCCGCATCTACCAAGAATACAAAAATTGGCTGGGGGGGTGGTGCATGCCTGTATTCCCAGCTGCTCAGGAGGCTGAGGCAGGAGAACCTCTCGAATCCGGGAGGCGGAGGTTGCAGTGAGCTGAAATCACGCCACTGCACTCCAGCCTGGGTGACAGAGTAAGACTCGGTCTCAAAAAATATACATAAAACATAAAAAAGGCTGGGGGCGGGGGCTCACGCCTGTAATCCCAACACTTTGGGAGGCCGAGGTGGGCCGGATCACCTGAGGTCAGGAGTTTGAGGCCAGCCTGGCCAACATGGCGAAACCCTGTCTCTACTAAAAATACAAAAATTAGCCGGGCGCAGTGGCAGTTGCCTGTAATCCCAGCTACTCTCACTTGAACCCAGGAGGCTGAGGTTGCAACGAGCCAAAATCGTGCCACTGCACTCCAGCTTGGGCAAAAAGGTGAGACGCCGTCTCAAAAAACAAAAAAACAAACAAACCAAAAAGCTGTCAAAGGGTTGCATAAACTATGGCCCATCCATTAACAAAGATAATGTTAATTTATGTTTATTATTGCAGAAAAAAGTCTATGACCGGCCAGGCTCAGTGGCTCACGCCTGTAATCCCAGCATTTTGGGAGGCCGAGGTGGGCGGATCACGAAGTCAGGAGTTTGTAACCAGACTGGCCAATATGGTGAAACCCCATCTCTACTGAATATACAAAAATTAGCTGGGCGTGGTGGCAGGCGCCTGTAGTCCCAGCTCCTCAGGAAGCTGAGGCAGAAGAATCGCTTGAACCCGGGAGGCAGAGGTTGCAGTGAGCTGGGATTGCACCACTGCACTCCAGCCTGGGCAACAGAGCGAGACTCCGTCTCGGAAAAAAAAAAAAAGTCTATGACATATTGCACAGAATTTGTAGTTTAATTGTATTTATGTAAAATTACTGTGTAAGAGAAGCCTAAAACGATGTTCACCAAGAGTTAAGGATGCTCTTTTCTATGTGGTAGACTCTCAGATGACTTCAAGTCTCTTTGTACTTCTCTTTAAAGCTGAACACAAGTGGTTTAGACAATAGCAAAATCTCTTTTCAGAAGAGTTGGGAACATATGAAGCAGAGAAGCAACTTGGCCTCGAGTGGTGGCTCATGCCTGTAATCCCAACACTTTGAAAGGGACTGAGGTGGGAGGATTACTTAAGGCCAGGGATTTGAGATCAGCCTGGTCAATGTAGCAAGACCCCCACCTCTATTTATAAATTTTAATAATAAAGCATAAATAAATAATACAGAGAGAAAACTTGAGTGCAGAGTGGGCATGAGAAAAAAACCAAGAAAGTGTAAATAGAAAAACTGAATAAATAACTTTCTCAATTAAATAATATTTCCGGGCATGGTGGCTCTCACCTGTAATCCCAGCACTTTGGGAGGCTGAGGCTGGCGGATCACCTGAGATCGAGATTTCGAGACCAGCCTGACCAACACGGTGAAATCATGTCTCTACTAAAAATACAAAAATCAGCTGGGCATGGCAGCGCATGCCTGTAATCCCAGCTACTCAGGAGGCTGAGGCAAGAGAATTGCTTGAACTCCAGAGGCAGAGGTTGCAGTGAGCCGAGATCAAGCCATTGCACTCCAGGCTGGGCAACAGTGTGAGATTCTGTCTCAAAAAAAAAAACAGAAAAAGAAAAATGAATGAGCTGGTCACTTGCCTGCCTTGCCTCTTGGATTCTAACCAACACCTCATGTGAAGTTACGTTCTGATTCCGATGAGTGTACCATGCTTGCTTGGGTTTCTTGTAGACACAGCAATCTGTTAGAGTTTTCCAGACTATATTCCACAATGTTAAAAAGGCGTAGAATACACTACAACAAAAATTTCTGTGGTTAAATCAGCATAGGACACGCTGGGTTAGAGAAAATCAAACTGTTTTCTTTCCTACAGAACTTCTTAGTGCATTTTACATATGAACACGTGTTGTAGAGTTTCAAGGGGAGATTATATTTCCTGAATTTATTGACCATGGAACTAGTCACTCCTCAAAGAACAACTGAGTTCTTCAAGAGGATAAAATGTGAGTCATCCTTGTTTTTTTTTTTTTTTTTTTTAATTAAAAAAAAGACCTATATTGGCCGGGCGAGGTGGCTCACTCCTGTAATCCCAGCACTTTGGGAGCCTGAGACGGGCGGATCACAAGGTCAGGAGATCGAGACCATCCTGGCTAACACGGTGAAACCCCGTCTCTACTAAAAACACAAAAAAATTAGCCGGGCGTGCTGGTGGGCGCCTGTAGTCCCAGCTACTCGGGAGGCTGAGGCAGGAGAATGGCATGAACCCTGGAGGCGGAGGTTGCAGTGAGCCGAGATCGCACCACTGCACTCCAGCTTGTGACTCCGTCTCAAAAAAAAAAAAAAAAAAAGACCTATATTTTATTATCCTATTTTTAAAATATTCTACTGTTTCCTAACAATCCACAGCTATTTTTTCCATTACTTTATTCTACTATCTCCTAAACAAGTGGTTTGCAAAGATGTTTCTGTAAGGGACAATTCATAAAAGATGAGGCCGGGTGTAGTGGCTCATGCCTGTAATCCCAGCACTTTGGGAGGCCAAAGCAGGCGGATCACCTGAGGTCAGGAGTTGGAGACCAGCTTGGCCAACATGGTGAAACCCTGTCTCTACTAAAAATACAAAAATTAGCCAAGCGTAGTGGTGGGCGCCTGTAATTCCAGCTACTCGGGAGGCCGAGGCAGGATAATTACTTGAACCCAGGAGACAAATGTTGCAGTGAGCCAACATGGTGCCACTGTACTCCAGCCTGGGTGACAGAGTGAGACTCCATCTCAAAAAAAAAAAGAAAGAAAGAAAGAAAATGTTTTTAAAGGTATATATAGTCATGCAAAGAGCTTTATTGCATTGGGTGGGGTATATTTTTATGACTTAATTTACCTACCTTGATGGATTCTACGGTGATGATTAGGAATGAGAAAATGTCTGACATGTAATAAGCACTGTCTTAGTTCAGGCTCATATAACAAATTACCATAGATTGGGTGGCTTAGATAACATGTAGTTCTCAGTTCTGACAGCTGGAATTCCCAAGATCAGGGCACCAGTATGGTTGGGCCCTGGTGATGGCCGTCTTACCAGTTGTACACAGCTGACTTCTCCCTGTAGTCTTACATGGTGGAAAGAGGATTAGCTAACTCTGTGGCCTCTTCTTCTAAGGGGACACTGATCCCTTTCATGAGAGATCATCCCTCATAACCTATTACCTTCCAAAAGCCCCACCTCCAAACACCACCATATTGGGGACTAGATTTTAACATATGAATTTTGAGGAGACACATTCAGAGTCCATAACAAGCACTCAGTAAATTTTTTTTTTTTTTTGAGACGGAGTTCACTCTTGTTGCCCAGGCTGGAGTGCAATGGCACGATCTTGGCTCACCACAACCTCCGCCTCCTGGGTTCAAGCGCTTCTGCCTCAGCCTCCCGAGTAGCTGAGATTACAGGCGTGTGACACCATGCCCGGCTAATTTTGTGTTTTTAGTAGAGACAGGGTTTCTCCATATCGGTCAGGATGGTCTCAAACTCCCGACCTCAGGTGATCCACCCGCCTCAGCCTCCCAAAGTGCTGGGATTACAGGCGTGAGCCACCATGCCCGACTGCACTCAGTAAATATTATCCAAACATAAGATTTTCTTTTCTTTTTTCTTTTTCTTTCTTTTTTTTTTTTTTTTTTTTGTTTTTTTGAGATAGAGTCTCACTGTTGCCCAGGCTGGAGTACAGTGGCATGATCTCAGCTCACTACAACCTCCGTCTCCCGGGTTCAAGCAATTCTCCTGCCTCAGCCTCCTGAGTAGCTGGGATGACAGGCGCCCGCCACCATGCCCAGCTAATTTTTGTATTTTTAGTAGAGATGGGGTTTCACCATATTGGCCAGGCTGCTCTCGAACTCCTGACCTTGTGATCTGTGCACCTCGGCCTCCCAAAGTGCTAGGATTACAGGCATGAGCCACCACATCTGGCCAAACATAACTATTCTTATAGTTATAATAATTCCATGAAATAGGTCCTACTACCTCCCTCTTTTTTGTAGTTGTTGATTTTTAATTTTTAAGAGATGAGGTCTCACCACGTTGTCCAGGCTGGACTTGAACTCCCAGGCTCAAGTAATCCTCCCACCTAAACCTCTTGAGTAGCTGGGATGACAGGCGCACACTACCACGCCCAGCTAGCTCCTTTATTTATTTATTTATTTATTTATAGACAGGGTCTTGCTCTGTCGCCCAGGCGAGAGCAGAGTGGCATAATAATGGCTCCCTGCAGCCCCGACCTCCCAGGCTTAAGCAGTCCTCCCACCTCACCCTCCCAAGTAGCTGGGACCACAGGCGTGTGCCATCACACCTGGCTAATGTTTTTATTTTTGTGGAGATGGAGTCTCCTTATGTTGCCCAGGCTGATCCTGAACTCCTGGGCTCAAGCGATCCTCCCATCTTGGCTTCCTAAAATGCTGGAATTACAAGCATGAGCCACAATGCCTGGCTTACCTTTCTTATTTTACAGATGAAAAAATGAAAGCAGGGCGGGGCGCGGTAGCTCACACCTATATCCCAGTACTTTGGGAGGCTGAGGCGGGCAGATCACCTGAGGTCAGGAGTTCAAGATCAGCCTGACCAACATGGAGAAACCCCGTCTCTACTAAAAATACAAAATTAGTCGGACGTGGTGGCACATGCCTATAATCCCAGCTACTCAGGAGGCTGAGGCAGGAGAATTGCTTGAACCCGGGAGGCAGAGGTTGCGGTGAGCTGAGATTGTGCCATTGCACTCCAGCCTGGGCGAGAGTGAGACTGTCTCAAAAAAAAAAGAAAAAAGAAAAAGAAAGCCGTGCGTATTGGCACGATCCTGTGATCCCAGATACTTGAGAGGCTGAGGTGGGAGGATCACTTGAAACCCAGAGGCAGAGGTTACAGCGAGCTCAGCTGGCACCACTGCACTCCAGCCTGGGCAACAGAGCAAGACCCTGTCTCAAAAGAAAACAAAACAACAAAAGCAAGCCAAAAAGAAAAAGAAAGTTGCACAAAGTCACACAAGAGTGAACAGTAGGACAGGGATTAAAACCCAAATCCTCTGACCCAAGAGCTCAAACTCTAAGCCAGGAAAACATTTTTTTTTTTTTTTTGGTTTTAAGGAGCGAAAAGTTTAACAACCAAGAAAGAAGGAAGAAAGAAGAGAACAGCTCCCCCACACAGAGACAAGGAAGGGGGTCTTGGAACAAAGAGAAACCCCCAGAAAAGCTTTTAATGAAGGTAGCTCTGAGCCAGGCAGAAAGGAAAAGGTTATTAGGCAGCTATTATTATGGCTATGTTGTGCTAAGCGCTCGCTCTCGGTAAGGGAGTGGTTCTCAGCACTAGACTGGACTTCAGTCTTCAGATGAAGGACTCCTGAGCACAAGTTTATAACAACCTGCAATAGGGAAATAAACCCTATAAATGTGGGCGGGGCTTTCTCTAACATAAAGTTTATGCATTCACTTAGAACATCCCACAGCAAAGGCTGGGCACGGTGGCACATGCCTGTAATCTCAGCACTTTGGGAAGCCGAGGCAGGCGGATCACCTGAGGTCAGGAGTTTGAGACCAGCGTGGCCAACATGGTGAAATCCCGTCTCTACTAAATACACAAAAATTAGCCGAGCATGGTGGCACACGCCTGTAATCCCAGCTACTTGGGAGGCTGAGGCAGGAGAATCGCTTGAACCTGAGAGGCAGAGGTTGCAGTAAGCCGAGATCGCACCACTGCACTCTAGCCTGGGCGACAGAGGGAGACTCCATCTCAACAGAAAAAAAAAAAAAAAGAACATCCCACAGCAGAAGTTCGTTCATTTATTCATTCATTTATTTTATTGTTCAACAACTACATCTTAGTGTTACAACTCTTTTACAATTTGTCTAGCAGGCTTTCTGGTTTTTGCCAGAAAGCCCCCTTAAGAAAACTAAAAAAAAACAAAACAAACAAAAAAAAAAACTAAAAAAAAAAACCCTACATCTTTCTTTCTTTTTTTTTGAGACAGGGTCTCACTCTGTCCCCCAGGCTGGAGTGCAGTGGCATGATCTCAGCTCACTGCAAACTCTGCCTTCTGGGTTTAGGCGATCCTCCTGCCTCAGCCTCCCGAGTAGCTGGGATTACAGGCACACACCACCACGCCCAGCTAATTTTTGTATTTTTAGCAGAGGCGGGTTTTCACCATGTTGGCCAGGCTGGTCTCGAACTCTTGACCTCAAGTGATCTGTCCACCCAAGCCTCCCAAAATGCTGGGATTAGAGGCGTGAGCCACCACTGCACGTGGCCAAAAAACGACATCTTAAGCACCTATTAGAAGCCAGGCACCGTATTCAGTTTTGTGCCCAATGTTGTGAATACAATATTCAGCCCACAAAGGCAAGGATCCCACAATCCTTACTCAAACACAGTGATCATCATCAAAGTAATGTGAATTTTAAAAGGCTGGAAATTGGGAGGCCAAGGCAGGTGGATCAACCTGAGATCAGGAGTTTGAGACCAGCCTGACCAACGTAGTGAAACCCCGTCTCTACTAAAAATACAAAAATTAGCCAGGCATGGTGGCACATTCCTGTAATCCCAGCTACTTGGGAGGCTGAGGCAGGAGAATCGCTTGAACCCGGGAGGCAGAGGTTGCAGTGAGCCGAGATTGTACCATTGCATTGCACTCCAGCCTTGGCGATAAGAGTGAACTCTATCTCAAAAAATAAAATAAAATTAAATAAATAAATAAAAATAAATAAAAGTTGGAATTTAAAATTGGGTAAGGCATTTGATTTTCAATCATAAACTTATTATTTTGTTTTCTTTTGTTGTTGTTGCTGTTCTGCCTGGACAATCCCTACTGCAGAAGAAAGTAATTTTTTTTTTTTTTTTTGAGACGGAGTTTCACATTGTCACAGGGGCTGGTGTGCAGTGGCACAATCTCGGCTCACCTCAACCTCTGCATCCCGGGTTCAAGCGATTCTCCTGCCTCAGCCTCCCAAGTAGCTGGGATTACACGCGCCGGCCACCACGCCTCAGCTTCCTGAATAGCTGGGAGTGCAGGCGCTCACCACTACGCCCGGCTAATTTTTTGTATTTTCAGTAGAGACGGGGTTTCACTGTGTTGGCCAGGCTGGTCTTGAACTCCTGACCTGGTGATCCGCCCGCCTCAGCCTCCCAAAGTGCTGGGATTACAGGCGTGAGCCACCGCGCCCAGCCATAGAAGAAAATAATTTTAATGTATCCTTTTTTATTGGGTCTGAAAATAGATTTACATTGTTCAGCTACAAAAAAAAGCCAGTGCTTTCTGGGCATAATAATTGCTAATGTATGTGTAATACACTAAAGTTTAAAGTGTGCTTGTGCAAACAGTGTTCAAGTAGTTCTCTAACGTCCTACAGGAAAATAAGATGTGAAAACCAAGGCTCAGGAAGGCTAATGGATTTGCATGAGATCACTTGGGCAGCAATCCTGACCCAGCTATTGGTATAATGGTTATTGTTATTATTATTGCCATATGCCATTCCCTTAATACCTCAAGTTAGCTGAGACACCTCTCTTCCCTACAGACTTCAAGAGTCTGCTGGGTGCGGTGGCTCACGCCTGTAATCCCAGCACTTTGGGAAGGCCGAGGCGGGTGGATCACCAGAGGTCGGGAGTTGGAGACCAGCCTGACCAACATGGAGAAACCCCATCTCTACTAAAAATACAAAAATTAATTGGGCGTGGTGGCACATGCCTGTAATCCCAGCTACTCAGGAGGCTGAGGCAGGAGAATTGCTTGAACCCAGGAAGTGGAGGTTGAGGTAAGCCAAGATCGCACCATTGCACTCCAGCCTGGGGAATAAGAGTGAAACTCCATCTCCAAAAAAAAAAAAGGGTCTAATCTACATTCCCGAGACTGTAGGGTATGTGTGCACAAGTGTGTATACATAAAAATTCTTTATAATCTCTATTGCTAAATTTGAAATGTGAGTAAAGTACAACTATCAGGAGCATCCAATTCCAGGTACTTCTGGTCACATTAGAAATCTTCAAAAAATATATATGGAAGGCATGGTGGCTCACACCTGCTGTAATCCCAGCACTTTGGGAGGTCAAGGCGGGATCACTTGAGGCCAGTAGTTGAGACCATCCTGGGCAACACAGTGAGACTCTCATCTCTACAAATAAAAAAGTAGCGGATGTGGTAGTTGCATGCCTGTGGTCCCAACTACTTAGAAGGCTAAGGCAGGAGGATTTTCCTGAGCCTGGGAGGTTGAGGCTACCGTGAGCCACGATGGCACCACTGCACTCCAGCTCAGGCAACACAGCAAGACCCTGTATCACCCAGGCAGAAGATGGGTGACCACATAGAACAGAGACAACCTGTCCCAGCTAAGGACCCCTTGAGTATCTGTATCTGTGACAATCCGTGGATGCGGGAGCAAGGCAATCCTAGACTTGCTGACCACAGATACATGAGAGAGCCCAGTAGAGATCAGCTCATCTGGCTAAATCTAGAATATGCCAGGTGCAGTGGCTCATGCCCGTAATTGCAGCATTTTGGGAGGCCAAGATGGGAGGATTACTTGAGCTCAGGAGTTCAAGACCAGCCCGAACAACATAGTGAGACTCCATCTCTACAAAGATAAAAAAGATTAGCTTGGCATGGTGGCACATGCCTGTGGTCCCAGCTACTTGGGAGACCAAGGTGGGGGGCTTAGGCCCAGGAGGGCAAAGATGCAGTGAGCCATGATCGTACCACTCCACTCTGGCCTGGGCAACAGAGTGAGACCCTGTCTCAAAAAAAAAAGGAAGAGGCCGGGCGCGGTGGCTCACGCCTGTAATCCCAGCACTTTGGGAGGCCGAGGCGGGCGGATCACGAGGTCAGGAAATCGAGACCATCCCGGCTAAAACGGTGAAACCCCGTCTCTACTAAAAATACAAAAAATTAGCCGGGCGTGGTGGCGGGCGCCTGTAGTCCCAGCTACTTGGGAGGCTGAGGCAGGAGAATGGCGTGAACCCGGGAGGCGGAGCTTGCAGTGAGCCGAGATCCCGCCACTGCACTCCAGCCTGGGCGACAGAGCGAGACTCCGTCTCAAAAAAAAAAAAAAAAAAAAGGAAGAAGAATATGGCCTATAAAAAATGGTTGTTGCTTTAAGCTATTAACTTTTCGGGTGATTTGTTAAACAGCAAAAGCTAACCAATACAGCCAGACATGGTGGCTCATGCCTGTGATCCAGCAGTTTGGGATGCTGAGGTGGGAGGATCATTTGAGCCCAGGAGTTAAGACCAGCCTGGGCAACATAGCAAGACCCTGTCTCTACGAAAAAATAAAAAAGCCAGGCCTGATGAAATATGCCTGTATTCCTAGCTAATTTGGAGGATGAGGCAGGAGAATCCCTAATCCCAAGAGTTGGAGGCTACAGTGAGCTATGATCCGCCCAATGCACTCCAGGCTGAGGGACAGAGCAAGATCCTGTTGCTTTAAAATAAAAGAAAAGAAAAAGAAAAAAAAGAGCCGGGCACGTTAGCTCATGCCTGTAATCCCAGCACTTTGGGAGGCCGAGGCAGGCAGATCACGAGGTCAAGAGACGGAGACTATCCTGGCCAACATGGTGAAACCCCGTCTCTACTAAAAATACAAAAATTAGCCAGGCGTGGTGGTGGCGTGGTGGTGAGCGCCTGTAGTCCCAGCTACTCAGGAGACTGAGGCAGGAGAATCGTTTGAACTAGGGAGGCAGAGGTTGCAGTGAGCCGAGATTCTGCCACTGCACTCCAGCCCTGGTAACAGAGTGAGACTCTGTCTCAAACAAAAAAAAAGAAAAAAAATTTTGAAAAATTGAAAAAAGCTAACCAATGCACTGAGTAAATAAATTAGGCTGGCCAGACTGCATTGGCCTGAGAAAAAAAAATCTTTTTTCTTTTTTTTACCAGAGCCTACACCTGCTATCAGAGGCCCTTGGCTGTAAACAAGGGGAAAACACTATCTAATTGCTTTGATTTTTTTGTTTTTGACTCCCAGTATTCCTTCAATGCTCATTTCTCTGAAATATACATATATATTTCCTTGTTGCTTCTTCTATTACCAAAAGCCTGGTGTATTTCACACATGTTGTTAATTACAGAGGCCATATGTAATTAACAAGCAAAACTGTGGTTGGAAACTTAATTGCGCATACAAGGTGGCCGCCTAAATGTTCAAATTAAATGGTTAGCCATTCAACCACTACATTGTAAATGCAGGGGAAATTTCTCCCAGAACTTTTCAAGATTTGAAGTGGTACCTAAAGTTCAATCTATAAAACAGTAGCTGAGACAGACACGATTCATTCATTAACACCCACTGTATGCCAGGCATTCTGCCAGGTGTGTAAGCTACAGCAGAGAGCAGGACTTCACTGGGTTTCAGGCACTAAGGAGCTTATATCCTACACACCAAGTGCTTTGACTTTTTAAATTTCCTTGGCTGGGGTCAAGTCAAGAAAGTTCTATTAAGCATCCACCCTTTGAAGCGTGTTAGGAGAAATGGAGAGAAAAAGACATACTTTAAAATTTTTGTTTCAGCAATTCTTCAGGATACTTTGATACAAAAATCAATGCTTTTTTTTTTTTTTTTTTTTTTGAGACGGAGTCTCGTTCCGGCACCAGGCTGGAGTACAGTGGTGGGATCCCAGCTCACTGCAACCTCCGCCTCCTGGGTTCAAGCGATTCTCCTGCCTCACTCAGCCTCCTGAGTAGCTGGGACTACAGGCGCGCGCACCACCACACCCAGCTAATTTTTGTATTTTTAGTAGAGACTGGGTTTCACCATGTTGGCCAGGATGGTCTCAAGCTCTTGACCTAGTGATCCTCCTGCCTTGGCCTCCCAAAGTGCAGGATTACAGGCATGAGCCACCACACCCGGCCCAATGCATTTTCTTGATTGTTTTCATGGAATTGCCTGATTATTTGAATGAATAAAGAATATATTGTTTGGAGGCGGGGGGCAGTGGCTCACACCTGTAATCCCAGTACTTTGGGAGGCCAAGGCAGGCAAATCACTTGAGGTCAGTAGTTCCAGACCAGCCTGGCCAACATGGCCAGACAGGTTTTGTAGAAACCCTGTCTCTACAAAAATAGAAAATTGAACTGAGTGTGGTGGTGCACACCTGTAATCCCAGCTACTTGGGAGGCTGAGACAGGAGAATCACTTGAACCTGGGAGCAGGAGGTTGCAGTGAGCCAAGATCATGCCACTGCACTCCGCCTGGGCAACAGAGCAAGACTCTGTCTCAAAAACAAAACAAAACAAAACAAAAGATATATTGATAATACTGTTTGGGGCACTGGAGAGGCATCAACTATTATATACATGATGTACTCTCTGGATGCCTAAGTCCTCACTCACAGCCAAGGCAACTGGAGAATTGTAGCAACCACACAACTGAGGTTTCTGGATTGGCAAATCACTTAAGATTGTCTCTTTTTTGAGATAGAATCTCGATCCGTCACCCAGGCTGGAGTGCGGTGGCACGATCTTGGCTCACGGCAACTTCTGCCTCCTGGGTTCAAGCGATTCTCCTGCCTCAGCCTCCCGAGTAGCAGGGATTACAGGCGCACACCACCATGCCCAGATAATTTTTTGTATTTTTAGTAGAGACAGGGTTTCACTATGATGGCCAAGCTGGTTTTAAACTCCTGACCTCAAGTGATCCACCCACCTGAGCCTCCCAAAGTGCTGGGATTACAGGCCTGAGCCACCTCACCCGGCCTCAAGATTGTCTTTTACTTGAATTATTTGGATGACTGTTCTTAATTTACCCCTTCATCATGCCCGGAAATGGGAAAGAGGAAATGTGTAGATTGCTTCAAATAACTTCTGAGCTATTGCTATGTCTCAGGCATTGTTCTAAATGTTTACCACAAAATCCTGCCCTGATGGAGCAGACATTTTAGGCTGAAGAGACAGGTACTGGCTGGGTGCAGTGGCTCACACCTGTAAGTCCAGTACTTTGGGAGGCCAAGGTGGGAGGATTGCTTAAACCCAGGAGTTCGAGGCCAGCTTGGGCAACACAGTGAAACCACTGTCTCTACAAAAAATTAAAAAAAAAAAAAATTTTAAAAAAAGAGACAGATAAGAAAAACACATATTGAGTGAGATAATAAGTGCTGTCTAGAGGCATCCATATATTCCATCTATGATGTTTTACAGATGTTATTTACCTGGTGACTGCCAAATACTCCCAATATAATCTTAATTATCTTTTTTTAATAGCACAAGGAGCTGGGTGCGGTGGCTCATGCCTGTAATCCCAGCACATTGGGAGGCTGAGGCGGGAGGATCACCTGAGATCGGGAGTTCGAGACCAGCCTGACCAACATGGAGAAAAACCCTGTCTCTACTAAAAATACAAAATTAGCTGGGCACAGTGGTGCGTGCCTGTAATCCCAGCTACTCGGGAGGCTGAGGCAGGAGAATTGCTTGAACCCAGGAGGTGGAGGTTGCGGTGAGCAGAGATCGTGCCATTGCACTCCAGCCTGGGCAACAAGAGCGAAACTCCATCCCAAAAAAAAAAAAAAAAGAAAAAGAAAAGAAAAAAAAGAAATAGCACAGGGAATACTGACCACATTTCTGCCTTTGTTCAGTTCAGATTGACAAATATTTGTTGAGCTCCGACAAGCAGGGAGAGGGACAAGGTGAACCAGCCCTTTCCTGCCCCTAAAGAGCAGCATAGCCACCAAGTAAACACATCATTTCAATATACTGTGGTAGCCCCTGGATAGAGGGAACTAAAAGTTGCTACAAAAACATGAATGCTATCTAGAAACTCCTGCATTTTCTCTTGAAGCATGTGAAGGAGTTCATCTGAAAAAGATGCCAAAAAGCCAAGAATCCAGCATCTACATCATCTTAGGAGGGAGCAGGGATAGGTAGGGAGGAGCCACCAGCTCTCGGATATTCCCAGATGCTAAAAGGTAAAGTGAATTCTTCTATAAGGATGTGTCTATCTAGCTGAGTCTGCAAAGCCTCCCCACAGTAAATCTGAAGTTGAGAATGCCAAAGTATTTGCTTTCATCTAACTCTTTGACAGACAAATAGAATACAAAAATAAAAACATCTCTCTTCTACCCTCATTGTAATCTTTTTCCTCTTTTCAAAATCTTTTAAACAAAATGCCTCTTTACTGTGAAATCTGTTCTATTGATTTGTTTTCATAAAAGATCTCTCTCCTAAAGAAAGGAAAAGCCATCTTTGATCTGACTTGACAAAAAGATCTAATCAAACAATAAAATCTATGAAGGAAAAAAAAGAAAAAGAAGCAAGCTTCTTTGAGCCACATCAAATATATGAAAGAGAAAATACTTCATTTAAATGCTAAAAACTAACACAAAACAGCTTGAAATGTAATAACCTCTCCTGAATAAGTGAAACCACATGTTGATCTGACATGAGTTTCTAAGACACAATTAAAGGTCACTTCGTGTACAAACATCTCATTCGGAAGTGAGAAGCTTGAATTGCTGTCAGTATTTTTGGCCACCACGGGGCAGGTGCTCCCACCTGGCACAAACCATATAGACGCCCCCAGAGGGAATGAAGGTGATACTCCACATACTGGAAGCTTCAAATCTAGCCGCGCCAGGAAATGTTCAGCCCTGGATTTCAGCTGTTTCTCCCTTGATGTCCTAACAGAGAGGACTAACTAAATGTGAGAATCCTTGTTGTTTTAGGAAGCCCATGGAAGTGGCTTTACTTAAAAAACTAAAGGCTTCCTTTCTGCTCTGTCTGTCTTTATGACCCACCAGGGTCCTAGGAGAGAAGACATTAGGGTGTTGCAGCCACAGAGTCACATTTGGAAACGTCTTCCAGCAGCTGGGATGTTTCAATTCAAGACTCTTTAAGGGAACACAGGGTATTTGGAAAGTGACTTTAAAATGCCCTGGCCTCCAGGCCTATCTCCTCTTACCAAATCCCTTTAAGAAAGGATGTGCTGGGGAAAGACTTCAAAGTGTTTCAAAAGGGAAATCACATCTTGAAAGCTTTTCTCAGAATGAGAAAGAAACACATTATTTGATTTGAAAGAGAAGTAAATCTTAAGCAGCAATGAAGGAGGATCAAAGAATAGGTTCATGTGAACTTAAGAAGTGATCCTTTCCAGCGGAACGTGACTTTACTCTTTCCGATGCCCTCAACGCATTTTGGGGATTGTAAGTTTACTCGAGAATCAAAATAAAGAGGCGAGCCAGCGTTCCAGAAAATCACGTGGTCTCCCCCGCCCCCCAATCTATTTTACAGCCCTCTCCAGCTTCGAACTCGCGCCAGGCTGTGCGCACCGACTTTGCGCTGGCGGCGTGGACGCTGCGGCCACTCGCGGGCGGCGTGGACGCTGCGGCCACTCGCGCGGCTGTTGTTGTTGCTGCTGCGTGGAGGCACGCCGCTCCTTGCACACGCGGGGCAATTCTCCGGTTGGGGAAGGAGGAAAATGGCTGAGAAAAGGACCTAAGAAAGCCTTCAGGGTGGGCCCCCATTTCTTCCTGCCCCGCCCACACCCTGCCACACTCTCCCGCCGTCCCCTCCCCACCCCCCCTTGTTCTTTGGACCTGACCGATGAAAAATTCAACTAATACCTAAATAGATTCTTCTTGCAAAAAAGTAAAATCTCAAAGCAAAACAAAACAAAACAAAAATTTGTTAGGGGAGAAATCATCTGTGAGGTGCCCTTTCCATTCTAGCTCCCTCTCCCCTCTCCGTTTCCCTAAATGTTATTCTCTATCGATAGACATAGAGATGTGGATATTACCTGTAGATAGATATTTTAAAATTGTATTTATTTCTTAAAGACACTTCCATAATCTAATATACAAAGGAATTCATAAACTTAAGAGCGGAAGTTGTCACATAAATAAAAAACAACCAATACTTTTTGATCAGTAAAATCACTGATTCGGCTGGGCGCGGTGGCTCACGCCTGTAATCCCAGCACTTTGGGAGGCCAAGGCGGGCCGATTATGAGGTCAGGAGATGGAGACCATCCTGGCTAACAGGGTGAAACAAACCCCGTCTAAACTAAAAATACAAAAAATTAGCCGGGCGGGGCGCCTGTAGTCCCAGCTACTCGGCAAGCTGAGGCAGGAGAATGGCGTGAACCCGGGAGGCGGAGCTTGCAGTGAGCCGAGATTGCGCCACTGTACCCCAGTCTGGGCGACGGGGTCTCCGTCTCAAAAAAAAAAAAAAAAATCACTCATTCTTTGTAAAGTCCAATAAAATTAAGTTTAAGTCCATTGGTAAGAATGAGTAAGAAAAACAAGAGGGAATGTACTTATAAACAACATCAAGAATAAAAGTAGATACATAATTACACATACGGGGCCGGGCAAGGTGGCTCACACCTGTCATCTCAGGACCTTGGGAGGCCGAAGTGGGCGGATCACTTGAGGTTAGGAGTTCCAGAACAGCCTAGCCAACATGGCGAAACCCCATCTCTATTAAAAATACAAAAATTAGCCGGGCGTGGTGGCACATGCCTGTAATTTTACACCGAGCTACTCAGGAGGCTGAGGCATGGGAATCCCTTGAGCGTTGCAGTGAGTCGAGATCACACCACTGCACTCCAGTCTGGGCGACAGAGCAAGACTCTGTCTGAAATAATAATAATAATAGTAATTACACATACAGAGCAACCTTTTGAAATTTTAAGTGACTGTTTTCTACAGCTGTGTACTGTTTGGCTTGAAAACCTAGCTTTGTCTAAGGAAAAAAACCGAATTACCAAAATCAACCCAATCCAGGTGCTGTATTTACACCTGAAAGTATTGCTTTTCTTTACCTGCTTGCTTGATGTAATATATATTAAATAGCCACTGTGGAAAATCACGGGAAATTTTAATATTTTCCTCAGAAGCTTGTTAGTTAATCCAACTCTAACCCGGAGAAAGTTGCTGCATTAACAGTTTCTCAACAGACAAAAAATGGCCACGAAAACAATGGCTAGTCTTTATTTGGGGCTTACTCTACACCAAACATACACATTAGCATATTTGGCCTCCGTAATGCCGCTTAAGGTTTGATACCATTGCTATACCCATTTTACAGATGGCAAAACTGAAGTGTGAAGAGGTACCCAAGATCACACAGCTTTGAGGGGCAGAATGGGGATCCCAATGGAGAAAAGCTGTGACTGTTTAAAGTGTCATTCAAAGACTACATTACATCATAGGAGAATCCAGCTATAACTTCCCTTATCACATTTTAACTGGGAACCGCATAATTGTGCCATGAATAGTGCACCTATCTTACATAGATGGTCTTTAGCAAGAGCGTGAATTTAAAGTAGGAAAAACATTAAATGCCCTCAAGAAAGATGACTAAAAGATTTGAAGAAACTGAGGGAGTGTCAGCTAGGGTAAGGTTTACTTAATTGGAGATTTAGGGGATAAGTATAAAAAGAAAGTGTTAGCCTATACCTGGCACCCCAGAAACATCGATGTAGTTTAGCTATCCAGATCATTATATTAGTGTCAGGATTAATCTATTTCTCCCTACTTTTAATTTTTTTAAATTTCTTTTCTTCTTTCTTCCTTCTCCTTCCCCCTTCTTTCTTCCCATATCAAAAGGACTAAATGTTAATCCACTCAAAAGACCTGATTGGCTATAAATACCATATTTGCATTCCAAAAGAAAAGAATTATTGTGCCACAGCTATTGAGGGTAGGTAATGAGGATCTCAGTCCTCCTAAGCTCCTCTCCTCCTCACCTCTCTGCCCCCTCCCATCTCAAGCAGCTGTTTGCTCTCCCTTTCCCCTGCCTCCCCCATCATCCAGAGGAAGCACATGTGGAAGAAATTCATGGAGTCCTGAGCTCAAAGTCATTGAGGTCTATTTCAGTGAATATTATAGAATATAACACGAATATTACAGATTGTTAAGTCTCCAATTGTTCTACGTGGTTGCAGACCCCTCCTGGCTGGAATCCAGGTTCCACTTTTTTTTGTATATGGACATTCCTATTTGTTCATGGAGAAAGTTTTAAAATACTCTAGTAACCTAAAACAGAAAATACACTTTGAGAAAATTACTGTAGGTTTAATTTATACAGGACTTGAATTACACTTCTTCTTTTTTTGTTTTGTTTTGTTTTGCTTTTTGCTTTGCTTTGATTTTTTTTTTTTTTTTTTTTTTGTGGTTTGGTCCTAAAGATTCTACATATGTGTATTATCTGATTCAGATCCCACTGCCATTAGCTGCAGGGAAACTCCATTCTTTGAATGGCAGCTTATTGCTTTCTGTTGAAGGGCATGTCTGTCCCTTTCAAAGTAATATGAAAAACACAAGCCATTTTTGCTTTCTTGAAAGCACAATTCCAGTGGCTTTTTAAATAACTAAACTTCGCTTTGGGCAGAAGCAAAAAATAATAATAATAATAGCCTGCATTTATTCCATAAGATCTCTAGAACTTTAGAGCGGACAATTTATAACAACTTGGTTACATTTTTTGTTTTGTTTTGTTGTTTTAGGTAAAGTTGGTGCTTTCAACTACTTCAGAAATCCTTCTATTGGTAGTGTGATGTTTCCATATGACCTTTCCAAATCTTTTATAATGATGTGAGCTTTGTTGTATATGTGAAATCAATCAAGAAGCAGGAATATGTTAGTGTATTGCCTGTATTTTATAGTTTTTCTTTCTCAGGCACGTTATTTTTAGAGGACACAGATTAAGCAATTTGTTTCTGAATTAAAGTATTGCTCAATCTGTTTGCTTTCTTAAGAATTGCCTTAAACCACTAAACTATGTATGTGTGGGATTCTGGTTTTGAGCAAGTCAGTAATGAACTTTTAAAGTTCAGTCTACCAAGATGAGTCAATGTGATTGATTTATTAATTAGCAAAAGCCATCCTCTGAAATTACCTTGCATTAATCACAATTCATGCAAAATATATCCAATGAGTCTTAAGATGTGGGTTTGACAAACTATCCTTTCTTCAGAGACTATAGTCAATTTTAATAACCTTTGCTGGATAAATCATTAATGTTCAGCCTGAAATGATGAGTGGCTGAGGAAATTCCAAAAAGTACAGCAGGCCTATTCCTCCAGCAAAGCTGAAAACTATGTAAAATGGAGACAAGACGGCTGGGTAAAGCAGGAAACAAGATTCTGACAATTCTGGATAGTCTAGTATTTGCTGCCACTTGCACTAAAGGAATTGACTCTAATTGGATTCTTCTGAGTCGAGGGCTGATAAAAATACACAGAAGCAAACGTGTGGGGGAAACCCAAACTGCCAGAAGCCAATCTTTTAAAGGACAGCTAATACCTGTCCAGGGCCAAAATAAATGAATCCATTGGCTAAAAAGGTTGGGCTGACTAGTCATTTGGACTCCTGAACATCATCCTCTTTTGCATGCTCCAAAACCCCCGTGTTTGCAAAATCAGATACATTCAACTAAATTAAAAATCGTCTTCCAGTGGACCTATTTTACAGATGAGGAGACAGAAACCCTCAAGGTTAAGTGCAATATTTATTATGTGGCAAATTCAAGACCAGAATACAAAGATCTTCAAGCAAGCTAAATAACTTCTCTCAGCCCAAGTATCCCTTTCTATAATGATAGAGCTGGAATAAACAAAATTGTATGGTTTCCAATTCTAAAGTGTTGTGGTTTTAGTATCTGGATTCCAAGACTACTTTCTCAATAACCTCACTGTGTGTAAGTATTTACGTATGGATAAACATATAAAAATATATATGTGTGAAAATATACAGTGAAAATTCTATAGGAACAAAGTTTAGAGGACTCAGGTTTAAATGATATATATATGAACAAATTTTTAAAACGTGTATAATATGTTCACTTCCTATTACATGTGGGTTTTTTTTTTTTTGACCTACTGACTACATTAAAAAAAAAAAAAAAAGGAAGCCAGATATTTCTGGAGATGTTAAATTCCCCATTCTTTAGATAAAATGAAAATGATTTAGAGACATATGGTGGATTTTTAAAAAATCCACCTTCTCCTTTTATTGGAAAGATTTAAATATCTCTAATTGTATTCGAAAAATGCTGAACCGTATCAAACCCAAGTCATCAAACAGTGAGTTTTAATCAATTCATCTCCTAAAGATAGTTCACTGCTGGTGGAGTGTGATTCCTGAATTATCTTGTGAGCCCAAGTGATTAATCAGAAATGAAGGCAGGGCTAAGCTTCAGGGAGGTTTCACAAAAAGGCAGAAAATGTCCATAGATAATGTTATTGGGGGAAATTCTCTCCCTTCTGGAGGTGCTCAACATTTTATTAAGGAAACTACAAAACTCTCTTTCATATTAATGAACTATCAAATACTTGGGGTTATTAAAGGGAAAGAAAGAGAGCAAGAGACAGAGAGAGAGAGACCTCTGTCTTAGACTAGGAAAATCCTACACGTATTAGGAGAAGGAGTAGTTTGGGAAGACAACTCTTGGAAATGAGTTTACTGCTTCCTTAACTTCGAAACTCTTAACTCTTGATCAGTCAACACTTAGCCAGTTTCGGTTCTGTAATTAAGGAAGTAAAACCCTGAATCCGGAGCGCTCCTGGTGAATCGTGACTGGTATCTGCCCAAGTTTCCCTCTGGCCAGGGATCCTCACTCAGCATTCAAAAAGGAAAGCTGCGTTCGCGGTTCTTTATTACTTATATATTTATTTTGAGGGTTTTTTTATTACTTAATTAGTTATTTTGAGATGGAGCCTCGGTCGCCCAGGCTGGAGTGCAGTGACACAATCTCGGCTCACTGCAACCTCTGCCTCCTGGGTTCAAGCAATTTTCCTGCTTCAGCCTCCCAAGTAGCTGGGATTACAGGTGCATGCTACCACACCCGGCTAATTTTTGTATTTTTAGTAGGGACAGGGTTTCTTCATGTTGGCCAGGCTGGTCTCGAACTCCTGACCTTAGGTGATCCGCTGGCCTCAGCCTCCCAAAGTGCTGGGATTACAGGCCTGAACCACCTCATCCCACCCCGCGGCTCTCTAAATGTTGTACTCTGAACAAAAATATATTTCGGGGAATGTTACCTTTTAGAATGAACTAATAGAGTGATTGAACTTAATTTAACTTTTTCCTTTTGTTTTGAAGGCCTCTAGGGAAGTTGATAAAGTTATAATTTATCGTTTTGCAAGGGACATTCCAGAAAAGCAGTTTGTTTAATTTTTTTGTTTTTAAAGACAAGCAAAGGTCATAGAGACCAACTCAACTTTTTTTTTTTTTTTTTGAGATGGAGTTTCACTCTGGTTGCCCAGGCTAGAGTGGTGCAGTGGCACGATCTTGGCTCACTGCAACCTCCGCCTCCCAGGTTCAAGTGATTCTTCTGCCTCAGCCTCCCAAGTAGCTGGGACTACAGGCACACGCCGCCATGCCCAGCTAATTTTTGTATTTTTAGTAGAGACGGGGTTTCACCATATTGGCCAGGCTGGTCTTGAACTCCTGACCTCGTGATCCGCTGTCCTTGGCCTCCCAAAGTGCTAGGATTACAGGCGCGAGCCATTGTGCCCAGCCCCAACTCAACTTTTAATTTAACTTTGGGAAGGCTGTTTTGAAAAGAGGGGTTATTTTTTAAAATTTGGAGTCTTTGGATTTATTTGTCAAAAATACATAGTTTAACAAATAAT
The DNA here is from genome assembly GCF_000001405.40 of Homo sapiens. Taxonomy (NCBI): domain Eukaryota; kingdom Metazoa; phylum Chordata; class Mammalia; order Primates; family Hominidae; genus Homo; species Homo sapiens. Next base: position 53,654,029 of record NC_000020.11, on the reverse strand, counting down.
TTTAAGTATATAATAGTACAGAAATGTACTCTTTTTTGTAAAAGACAATATGGAGTAAAAGGTTTATGAAGAAATTGATTTCATAAGGGACATCTGAAACTAATCAATGAGTATCCTCAATCCAAAGTCGGGGCGGTGGCTCACGCCTATAATCCCAGCAGTTTAGGAGGTGGAGGCAGGCTGATCACCTGAGGTCAGGAGTTTGAGACCAATCTGGCCAACATGGTGAAACCCCATCTCTACTAAAAATACAAACGTTAGCCGGATGTGCTGGCCCATACTTGTAATCCCAGCTACTTGGGCGGCTGAGGTACGAGAATCACTTGAACCAGGGAGGTAGAGGTTGCAGTGAGCCAAGATCGCGCCACTGCACTCCAGCCTGGGAGACAGTGAGACCCTGTCTCAAAAAAAATCAAAACAAAACAACAACAACAACAACAACAAAAATGCCCCAAGACAGGTCCAGGGAACTGGATGGTAAATTTCCAAGTAGAAACACCCTAATCCTGAAACCAAATTCTCAGTCCACAACTTGCCGTATGCCTGAGCTCCATCATTTATTTTTTAAATTGATTTTTTAGCAACCAGCTGAGGCCTCTGCTTCCTTCAAATATGCAACTATCATAGTTACTTCCTTCTACTCCTTCCCTCCCGTGGGCCCAGAGGGCTAACACAAAAATTTCCCCCTTGATAAATGCTGATAGCAGTGTGAGAACAGCTGCTTTTCCCCAAGCTTGGACAGGCCTTTTCTCAATTTTAATATGTATCGGCCCTTACTGACTAACCTCGGCTTTGCAAACCCTTGCTTGGCTGGAAAGACTTACCTCCTGCAAAATAGAATGGTGGTGTTAAGAATTTTAGCTTGCAGATAAACACATTTAAATGCAGTGATAGCTCTTGAACATTGCACTCCCAATTTAATCTTTAATTTCTCCCAGATACACAGTAAACTTGAAATGGTCTTTAAAAATAAAGACTAAAAAAATTAAAAAGCACTAAAAGCTTTAAGGATACATGTCCAAATTACCCTGTAAAGAGTTGTTACCAAACAAAACAAACAAAACACCACGTTCACAGAGATTAATTACAGGGGACCTAAATTGAGAACTATCTAGTATCATAAATGATCATGATAACCAACAAAACTGAATTAGCATCAGTTTGAGACCTCACAGTTAAAGAAGGAAATAGACAAAAAAAAGTCTACTGTTTGAAAAGTGTTTAAACATTGACTGCTGTGAAAAGGGGTATAAAAATAAAACCAAAGAGATGGAAGAACTGTTTTCTGTGTGCAGTGGGAAAGTTTACACAGTTGACAAGCTGTCATGTGGGGATGTCCCAGCAACATTCAAAAGTCTATTTCCTTAGATCAAAAAGGACAGACACAAGCCCAATATTTATATTAATATCTGTGCTCGTTGGTCATAGTCCCTCTTCCCCAGAGTAATTATATGCTGCATCCGTGGAGCAATGTGTCTAATACCTTAATTCTCTGAGTACAAAGACCAGTGGGGTCATATGACGTTGCTATATTTAGAAAAGGACCTGCTTTCTGTTTTGCGCAACTCTTAACAATTTTCTGCTCTGAAGAGAGTTTCAAATGTACATTGATCTTTCTCATATCGTGAATGAACTGAATTAGCACCTGTTTTCAACTGCCACGATACTTATTTTAAAAAAGGGGAAAGAGAAGTCTGTGTACTCTTAATTCAACAAGGGACATGGGAGGTGTAATTTTTTTTTCTGCCTTCTTCCACAGAACTTAACCAGAAAGCAGTGATATTTACCAAATTTTACAGAGGCTAAGGTAGGTACTGTACAACTGAACAAAGCAACATGTGGAATGGTGATTATATCCCACGGTGATTTAGATGAAAATTTTCCAAAAACAAAACAAAACAAAACAAATACTACTAATGTTGGGAAGAGCTAACTCATGTAACTACGCAAAGTAACTGTGAATAATTAACTCTAAAGAAGCAGAAAAATAATTTATTAGTTACAGAAATGTCTGTGTAAGCCCCTTCCTCATAAAATACCTGGAAATAATAATGATTGTTTAAATGAACAGGTTTTGTTTTCTTTTTTTTTTTTAAATCATAAACATCAATTGACTACAACAAGTCCAATCCGTTTGGAAGCATGCTTGCCATCTATCAATATATTTTTTTTAGTAACCAAAGGTTAATTTTATGTTGATAAAATGAAATGTACAATAAAAGTTAGAAAATGTATAAACTTTTTTTTTTTTTTTTTTGAGATGGAGTCCCGCCCTGTCGCCAGGCTGGAGTGCAGTGGCACAATCCCGGCTCACTGCAACCTCTGCCTCGCGGGTTCAAGCGATTCTCCTGCCTCAGCCTCCCTAGTAGCTGGGATTACAGGCGTGTGCCACTATGCCCAGCTAATTTTTGTACTTTTAATAGAGACGGGGTTTCATCATGTTGGCCAGGATGGTCTTGATCTCTTGACCTTGTGATCCGCCCACCTCGGCCTCCCAAAGTGCTGGGATTACAGGTGTGAGCCACCGCGCCCGGCCGAAAATGTATAAACTTTTATGTGCAAAGAGTATAATAAACATATGTAATGATAATAGCTTAATTTTTTTAAAAAAATTTTTTCTTTTGCAATGGAGTTTTGCTCTTATTGCCCAGGCTGGAGTGCAATGGTGCGATCTTGGCTCACCGCAACCTCCGCCTCCCGTGTTCACGTGATTCTCCTGCCTCAGCCTCCGGAGTAGCCGGGATTATACGCATGTGCCACCACCCCCGGCTAATTTTGTATTTTTTTAGTGGAGATGGGGTTTCTCCATGTTGGTCAGGCTGGTCTCAAACTCCCGACCTCAGGTGATCTGCCCGCGTTGGCCTCCCAAAGTGCTGGGATTACAGGCATGAGCCATCGTGCCCGGCCTATAATAGCTTAATTTTTTAAACTTTTATTTCAATAACTTTTGGGGTACAGGTGGTTTTGGGGTTACATAAACTCTTTAGTGGTGACTTCTGTGATTTTAGTGCACCCGTCACCCCAGTGCATGCTGCACCCAATATGTAGACTTATTCTCAGAATATTCTTTTTTTTTTTTTTGAGACGGAGTCTCACTGTGTCGCCCATGCTGGAGTGCCCTGGTGGGATCTCAGCTGACTGCAACCTCCGCCTCCCGGGTTGAAGCTATTCTTCTGCCTCAGCCTCCCAATTAGCTGGGATTACAAGCGCTCAGCCGCCATGTCCAGCTGATTTTTGTATTTTTAGTAGAGACGGGGTGTTGGCCAGGCTCGTCTCCAACTCCTGACCTCAAGTGATCCGCCCACCTTGGCCTCCCAAAGTGCTGGGATTACAGGCATGAGCCACTGCACCCGGCCCAAATATTATATTTTATCAATTCTAAAGTGCACTTTAGTTTTTACATTTTAATATAACTAAAATCAATATGTATTTTGCAGTCAATGGCATCTTGCTATTATTTGAAAACATTTATTTAATAGTCCGTAAAATAATGGAACATGCCCAGATGCAGTGGTTTATGCCTGTAATCCCAGCACTTTGAAGGGTCAAGATAGGAGGATCGCTTGAGCCCAGGAGCTCGAGACCAGCCTGGCCAATATAGTGACAGAGACCCCAACTCTACAGAATAAATAAATAAGTAAATAAAATAATGGAAAATCTCACAAATGGTGACGTTTTAGGTTCGACAAAATACAGTAACTAGCCCATTTAGTTTTCTGAAATTTTGATGTTATTGCTTAAATATTTGTTCTGTGGTACACAACCGTAGGATTAATAATATTGATGAAAATAATAAAAGAGTAATAAGCATGTATTGAGCTCTTCCTGTGTGAAGTTCTGGACAAATCCTCATAAAGCCTTAAAAGGCAGATACTAAGCTGGGCGCAGTGGCTCATGCCTGTAATCCCAGCACTCTGGGAGGCCAAGGCAGGCAGATCACGAGGTCAGGAGATTGAAACCATCCTGGCTAACATGATGAAACACGGTCTCTACTAAAAACACAAAAAATTAGCCAGGCATGGTGGCACGTGCCTGGAGTCCCAGCTATTCGGGAGGCTGAGGCCGGAGAATTGCTTGAACCTGGGAGGCTGAGGTTGCAGTGAGCCAAGATCACGCCACTGCTCTCCAGCCTGGGCGACAGAGCAAGACTCTGTCTCAAAAAGAAAAAAAAAAACAAAAACAAAAACAGGCAGATACTAGGCCAGGCACGGTGGCTCATGCCTGTAATCCCACACCTTGGAAGGCCCAGGCGGGTGGATTATCTGAGGTCAGGAGTTCGAGACAAGCCTGACCAACATTGTGAAACCCTGTCTCTACTAAAAATACAAAAATATTAGCCGGGCGTGGTGACAGGCGCCTGTAATTCCAGCTACTCAGGAGGCTAAGGCAGGAGAATCGCTTGAACCCGGTAGGCGGAGGTTGCAGTGAGCCAAGATCTTGCCACTGCACTCCAACCTGGGCAACAGAGGGAGACTCCGTCTCAAAAACAAAAAAAGGTAGATACAATCCCATTTTATCCCATTTTGCAGATTAAGCAACGGGAGCAGAGAAACTATTGCAGGGCTCACCTTGCCATCCTTACCCTAATATCAGTTCTGTCATTATATAAAAGTTTGATATTTTGTTCATCATGGGCTGTTTGCATTTATTTTGATTTTTTTTTTTTTTTGAGACACAGTCTCACTCTATTGCCCAGGCTGGAGTGCAGTGATGCAATCTCGGCTCACTGCAACCTCCATCTCCTGGGTTCAAGTGATTCTCCTGCCTCAGCCTCTTGAGTAGCTGGGATTACAGGCACGCACCACCATGCCTGTCATTTTTTTTTGTATTTTTAGTAGATCCGGAGTTTCACCATGTTGGTTAGGCTGGTCTCGAACTCCTGACCTTGTGATCTGCCCGCCTCAGCCTCTCAAAGTGTTGGGATTACAGGCGTGAGCCATGTTGCCCGGCCTATTTTGATTTTTTTTATTTTTCTTTTTGAGATGAAGTCTTGCTGTGTCACCCAGGCTGGAGTGCAGTGAAGTGATCTTGGCTCACTGCAACCTCTGCCTCCCAGGTTCAAGCAATTCTCCTGCCTCCGCCTCTTGAGTAGCTGGGACTACAAGCGTGTACCACCACGCCTGGCTAATTTTTCCATTTTTAGTAGAAACGGGGTTTCACTATGAGGGCCAGGGTGGTCTCAAACTCCTGACCTCAAGAGATCCGCCCACCTCGGCCTCCCAAAATGCGGGGACTACAGGTGTGAGCCACCATGCCTGGCCTATTATTTTTTTTTGAGTCAGAGTCTTGCTGTGTTGCCCAGGCTGGAATGCAGTGGCTCAATCTCGGCTCACCACAACCTTCGCCTCCCAGGTTCAAGCGATTTTCCTGCCTCAGTCTCCCGAGTAGCTGGGACTACAGGGGCATGCCACCATGCCCAGCTAATTTTTTTTTTTTTTTTGACATGGAGTTTTGGTCTTGTTGCCCAGGCTGGAGTGCAATGGCACGATCTCAGCTCACCGCAACCTCTGCCTCCTGGGTTCAAGTGATTCTTCTGCCTCAGCCTCCCGAGTAGCTGGGATTACAGGCATGCACCACCATGCCCGGCTAATTTTGTATTTTTAGCAGAAATGGGGTTTCCTCATGTTGGTCAGGCTGGTCTCAAACTCCCGACCTCAGGTGATCCGCCCGCCTCGGCCTCCCAAAGTGCTGGGCTTACAGGCGTGAGCCACTGTGCCCAGCCTAAAGTATTATTTATATAGGCCCAGTGCAGTGGCTTATGCTTGTAATATCAGCGCTTTGGGAGGCTGAGGTGGGAGGATGGCTTCAACCCTGGAGGTTGAGACCAGTCTGGGCAACACAGTGAGACCCCATCTCTATATAAATAATTTTTTAAATAAAACATTGAAATAATTAATTAATTAATAATTAGCCAGGTGTGGTGGTGCACCCCTGTGGTCTTAGCTACTCAGGAGGCTGAAGTGGGAGGATCACTTGAGCCCTGGAGTTCTAGGCTGCAGTGAGCTATGATCGCACCACTGCAACTCCAGCCTGGGTGACAGAAGAAAAAGAAAAAAATCGTATATATATGTATAATTTATGTAAATCACTGAGTTTTTGGCATCGTCGAAATATTGTGCCTGGCCCTGGGTCAAGAACAAAAATTATGATTCTGGTTTTCTGACCTTAGGCCCCGTTTCCTTCAGAGCAATTATCACGATTATTAATAATGAACTTGTTTGCTCTCTTGATCGCTTTCAGCCTTTCTTGACTAAAACATACACTCCAGGAGAGCAGGGAAAATGTTCATTGTCAGGGGTTAGAACATAACCCGCTAACAGGGCACGGTTGCTCATAACTATAATCCCAGCACTCTGGGTGGCTGAGATGGGCGGATCACTTGAACCCAGGAATTTGAGACCAGCTTGGACTACACAGCAAGACCCCCATCTCTACCAAAAAATAAAAAATTAGCCAGTTGTGGTGGCACATGCCTATAGTCCCAGCTACTGGGGTGGTTGAAGTGGGAGGATCACTTGAGCCTGGGAGACAGAGGTTCCAGTGAGCCAAGATTACGCCACTGCACTCCAGCCTGGGCAACAGAGCCAAAAAAACAGAACCTGCTTTCATACTTTTCAACAAATTAGCCTCGAATACCTCCGAGATGTCATATTAGGTGCCAAATACAGCTGTGAGCAGGTTTCTGTCCTCTTGGGGTTACTGTCTTTGTATAAAAAAGTAAAAAATAATAATAATAAATCCATGGCCAGGCGCAGTGGCTCATACCTGTAATCCCAGCACTTTGGGAGACCAAGGCAGACGGGTCACTTGAGGTCAGGAGTTCCAGACCAGCTTGGCCAAGCTGGTGAAAGCCTGTCTCTACTAAAAATACAAAAATTAGCTGGTCATGGTGGTGCACACCTGTAATCCCAGCTACTCGGGAGGCTGAGGCAATGAACCCAAGAGGTTGAGGCTGCAGTGAGCCGAGACCGTGCCACTGTACTCCAAACCTGGGCAACAGAGTGAGACCCTGTCTCAAAAAAAAAAAAAAAAAAAAAAGAGAGGGAGAGAGAGAGAGAGAGAGAGAGAGATGAGGTCTCCTTACGTTGCCCAGGCTCATCTGGAACTCCTGGGCTGAAGGGATCCTTGGCCTCAGCCTCCCAAAATGCTGGCATGGGGGAGCCACTATGCCTGCTGCTCTTGGGAATTCTTGAGTGTTGCCTCTGGTTAAGTTCTACTTAGAAGTTAACATTCTCCCCAAGGCCAGGAGTGGTGGCTCACACCTGCACCTGTAGTCCCAGTAGTCCCAGCTACTCAGGAATCTAAGGCAGGAGGATCAACTGAGCCCAGGAGTTCAAGGCTGCAGAGCTATGATCATGCTGCTGCACTCCAGCCTGGGCGAGAGAGTGAGACCCTGTCCCTATTAAAAAAAAAAAAAAAAATTCTCCCTTACAAACAAAATGCTCATTGACTGTAATTAGAAGTGCCCACGCTGGGGACTGGTATGGCACAGAGCTCTACTTTGAACTGATTTTCAGCTGGAGTGGTGAGCTAATGATATCTCGCTCCATTCTTTTTCTGCCCTCTTTCTTCTTTTTTTTTCTTTTATTTTTTTTTTGAGATGGCGTCTCGCTCTGTCACCCAGGCTGGAGTGCGGTGGTCCCATCTCAGCTCACTGCAACCTCTGCCTCCCAGGTTCAAGCGATTCTCCTGCCTCAGTCTCCCGCGTATCTGGGATTACAGGCACTTGCCATCATGCCCAGCTAAATTTTTTTTTTTCCTGTAGAGACAGGGTTTCACCATTTTGGCCAGGCTGGCCTCGAAACTCCTGACCTCAAGTGATCTGCCTGCCTCAGCCTCCCAAAGTGCTGGGATTATAGGCGTGAGCCACTGCGCCTGGCCTCTCCCCTCTTTCTTCCTCTGCCTCTACCCCATGATGCACCAACCAGTATTCAGGACCCAATTTTATTTTGTGTCTGCTCTAAAAGCTAACTTTACCAGGGGTTTAGGCCATTAAAACACATTATTTGAAGTTTGCAGAATGCATTTACATTTTATGATCATTACAGCTTCAAAAAAAAAAGATGGTAATGTTGGTTTCCTTTCACATTGACCAACTTCTCTTCACATAAATACAAGCCAGTTGAATGGCATTCCAATATTACATAATTATTTGCACTCTAACTGAAATTACGGAATACTGAAAAAGTAGATTGGGATTATTTTAAATTGAAACTGTGCCCAAAGTTTTATTACTTATCAACTTTCTCTGAATGCTATATCATGACAATTATATTTTATTGTCATGAATTATGTTAACTTCATATTTCACAAAGCACACACTACATGTGCAAGGCCTTTGCTGAACCCAGGGAAAGGAAGAATGATAAACAGAAGCTGATCTTTGCCTTTGAGTTTACTTAACATATAAATAGCAGGTATCTTCCAGATGCGAGTAACTGTACTAAATACTTTAGATTAGGGGTCAGTAAACATTCTGCAAAGCATCAGCTAATACCTGTTTTAGGCTTTGAGCGCTAGAGGCTTTGTCTTAACCGGAAGTAGAACAGAGGCCATTGCCAATATGTAAATGAGTAGGCTCAACTGTGTTCCAATAAAACTTTATTTACAGAAATAAGCAGCTGCCCAGATTGACCTAGATGGCTGAGACCTGCTTTCAATGGATTGTCATCCATCTGTCACAGCCCACTCTTTTTTTTTTTGAGACAGAGTCTTGCTCTGTCGCCCAGGCTGAAGTGCAGTGGCATGATCTTTGGCTCACAGCAACCTTTGCCTCCTGGGTTCAAGTGATTCTCCTGCCTCAGTCTCTAAGTAGCTGGGATTACAGGTGCGCGCCACCATGCCTGGATAATTTTTGTATTTTTAGTAGAGACGGGTTTCATCATGTTGGCCAGGCTGGTCTTGAATTCTTGGCCTCAGGTGATCTACCCATCTCAGCCTCCCAAAATGCTGGGGTTACACTGCGCCCAGCCGCACAGCCCACTCTTAAGACTAGCACTATTATTATTATTATTATCATCATTTCATTTCATTTTATTTATTCTTTTGAGACATAGTCTCATTCTGTTGCCCAGGCTGGAGTGCTGTGGCCTGATGTCGGCTCACTGCAACCTCTGCCTCCCAGGCTCAAGTGATTCTCATGCCTCAGCCTCCCCAGCAGCTGGGATTACAGGCACCCGCCACCACACCCAGCCTGGGCGACAGAGAGAGATCCTGTCGAAAGAAAGAAGAAAGAAAGAAAGGGAGAAAGAAAGAGAAAGAGGGAGGGACAGAGGGAGGGAGGGAAACCACCTGAATATTTGTGTTAGCTTAAACTCAATTTCAGCTGTAATCATGGAAATCAAATTTATATAAGAAAATATCAGATTAATTCAGTTTTCATACACACATTCACTCGAATTTTTAAATTTCATCAATTGATTTTAGAAAAGAGCAGCATAGTGAAAAAAAGTGAAGAACTATATTCTTGCCAAATTTATACCTAAATTTTACTGAAATATTAATTAGTTTTTTTTGTTGTTGTTTTTGTTTTTCTGGAGACAAGGTCTTGCTTTGTTGCCCAGGCTGGAGTTCGGTGACAATCTTGGCTCACTGCAGCGTCAACCTCCCAGGCTCAAGAGATTCTTCCACCACAGCCTCCAGACTAGTTGGGACTACAGGTGCACACCACCACAACCAGCGATCTCGGCTCACTGCAACCTCTGCCTCCTGGGTTCAAGCAATTCTCCTGCCTCGGCCTCCCTAGTAGCTGGGATTACGGGCATGCACCACCATGCCCAGCTAATTTTGTATTTTTAGTAGAGACGGGGTTTCTCCATGTTGGTCAGGCTGGTCTCCAACTCCCTACCTCAGGTGATCCACCCACTTAGGCCTCTCAAAGGTGCTGGGATTACAGGTATGAGCCATTGCGCCTGGCCCATTTTTCATAAGAATTATAAAATTGCATTGTTTCTGACATGGGCGTAATCTATGATCTGCCTTCACCAAAAACATGCAGAGGAAAATAAAATACATATTTTTTATTTTTAGTTTCTCTGCTCTTTTGGCTTTATTGTTTGAAATCTTTTTATTAGTAATAGGTATGTTTGGTGTTCACTTTTTCCATACAGTGCATTAATGTGTGGTTTAAATACAAATTTAAGTGCAAAATTATAAGACAGTAGCCTGGAAAGGCCCATTTGGGCAGATGTGGCTTATTAAAAATCCCAGCTGGGTGCAGTGGCTCACCCCTGTAATCCCAACATTTTGGGAGGCTGAGATGGGCAGATCACCTGAGGTCAGGAGTTCAAGACCAGCCTGACCAAGATGGTGAAACACTGAGTCTACTAAAAATACAAAAATTAGCTGGGCATATGCTGGGCACCTGGAATCCCAGCTACTCAGGAGGCTAAGGCAGGAGAATCCCTTGAACCTGGGAGGCAGAAGTTGCAGTGAGCCAAGATCGTGCCATTGCACTTCAGCCTGGGTGACAAGAGCAAAACTCGGTGTCAAAAAAAAAAAAAAAATCACAATTTTTGGGTTTCTTTTAAAACTTAAAAATGGAGGATGAATTTCCAGCATCCTGCTACTCGGACGGAGGAAACAGAACAGGAACAAAGCTGAAGTGAGCTAGGCAGGCCGAGGGAACCTCTGGCTGCCTCCCATTGCTGCTGCACGCAGGTAATGCAGCGGTTCATAGCCTGCCTTCCAGCCCTGGTGTTAGACGACTTTCAGTTACAGTATTGTGGTGAATCATTTCCTTCCAAGGCTCAGGGTGATCTATCACACGGGCGTGTTGTCTAGATTTTAACAACAATATGAGCAGAAAAGTTCCTCATTCCAGAAATGCAAAACAAATTACATAAGAAGTGTATTCTTTAAAGGAAAAAGCAAAGTCTACATAAAGGCATAATGAATAGGAAGAACAATTATGCGTGGGAAAACAAAGCTCTTTAAAAAAATCATCAAAGAAATGAGGTTTTTCTTCCCTTGTCTAATTTATAACAGTGACGTTCCTTTTGAAGACAGGAGCAGGGGCATAGGAGCTGGAGTATCGGCCTTAGCTGTGCCTTTTGTAATGTCACTAGGGACAGGGAGGGGGAGGAGTTGTGACGGTGTTGGAAACACTGGCCCTGGTGTATTATTGCTTGCACTACAGGAGTTTTTGGTTGCCAAATCAATACCTTGGTTGTCCTTGAAAAACCCTGCAGGTCTGTTTTTAATAGCTTGCTACACCGGTGAAATTACCCTGATTACTTAGCAAAGCCTCACCTTTGATCCACTGATCTAGTTAGAGACCTGTGTGAGAGAGAGAGAGCCTGTGGCCCCAGAGATATTAACAAATTAGAAGAAGAAGGAAGGGAAAACTGCAACTTACAGAAATACAGGAAGTCTGAGGTTTGTCAGTTGTTGAAACATTTGATATTGTCTTTTAAGAGTCTCCGTGGTCTGAGAGCTTTCTTTGGGATAACAAAATACTAACATTAAAGAGCAACGTTCGGGCACAGTGACTCACGCCTATAATCCCAGCACTTTGGGAGGCCAAGGTGGGTGGTTCACGAGGTCAGGAGTTCGAGACCAGCCTGACCAACATGGTGAAATCCTGTCTCTACTAAAAGTACAAAAATTAACCGGGCATGGTGTCATGTGCTTGTAATCCCAGTAGGAGAATCGCTTGAACCCGGGAGGCGGAGGTTGTAGTGAGTCGAGATCGCGCCACTATGCTCCAGCCTAGGCGACAGAGCAAGACTCTGTCTCAAACAAACAAACAAAAAAAGAGCAACAACAATAACACCACAGCAAAGCCACCTGCTATTCAAAATCAAGAACAGTGGATCAATCCAAATTAAAGAATGGTGGCTGGTATTGTTTTCCACCTCACTCTCCCAAGAGATACATATGCCCAAAAACATTTCCATTTCCTGTTCATGCAACAGTGAAGTGAAGGGTCATTTTCCTTCCAATTTTTGTACTCATTAGACAGAGTGCCTTTTAAGCATTTATTTATTTTTAAATTAACAGACTTTATTTATTTATTTATTTTTGAGAGGGCGTTTTGCTTTTGTCACCCAGGCTGGAGTGCAATGGCATGATCTCGGCTCACTGCAACCTCTGCCTCCTGGGTTCAAGCAATTATCATACCTCAGCCTCCTGAGTAGCTGGGACTACAGACGTGTGCCACTAGGCCTAGCTAATTTTTTTGTATTTTTAGTAGAGACGGGGTTTCACCATTTTGGCCAGTCTGGTCTCGAACTCCTGACCTCAGGTAATCTGCCCGCCTCAGCCTCCCAAAGTGCTAGGATTACAGGCATGAGCCACCACGCCCGACCCAGACTTTATTTTTTTAGAGGAGTTTTAGTTTACAGAAAATTGACCAGACGGTGTGACAAGTTCTCATATGCCCTCTTCTCCAACTCCCTCCTTCCATCTGTACAATTCCCCCTATTAGTAACATCCTGCATTGATGTGGTCCATTTGATACACTTGATGAACGAATAGTAATACATTATTACTAATTAACGTTTATAGTTTACATTACAGTTCACTCTTTGTGTTGTACAGGACTATGAGTTTTGACAAATGCATAGTGACATGTATCTACCATTACAGTATCATACAGAATAGTTTCACTGCCCTAAAATACCCTCCTTTTATATTTCAACAAGCTGCCCTTCCAAGTTCTGTCCTTTCAACATAACTGCTCTTTTTTTTTTTTGAGACAGAGTCTTGCTCTGTCGCCCAGGCTGGAGTGCAGTGGCTCGATCTCGGCTCGCTGCAACCTCCGCCTCCTGGGGTCAAGCGATTCTCCTGCCTGTCTCCCGAGTAACTGGGATTACAGGCACACACTACCACACCTGGCTAATTTTTAAATATTTTTAGTAGAGACAGGGTTTCACCATATTGGTCAGGCTGGTCTTAAGCTCCTGACCTTGTGATCCACCTTCTTCGGCCTCCCAAAGTGCTGGGATTACAGGCGTGAACCAATGCACCCAGCCCATAACTGCTCATTTTTTCTCGTTTTTCCTTCTCCAAGGTGCTTTTATTTTAGGAATAGATGAAAGTTGATTCTCTTTGTTGGCAGAGACCTACAGAAAGTCATTTTGTGGCCAAGCATAGTGGCTCACGCCTGTAATCCCAGCACTCTGGGAGACCGAGGCGGGTGGATCATCTGAGGCCAGGAGGTCGATACCAGCCTGGTCAACATAGGGAAACCCCATCTCTACTAAAAATACAAAAATTATCAGGTTGTGGTGGTGCACGCCTATAGTCCCAGCTACTCAGGAGGCTGAGGCGGGAGAATCCCTTTAACCAAGGAGGCGGAGGTTGCAGTGAGCCAAGATTGGACTCACTGCACTTTAGCCTGGGCAACAGAGCAAGACTCTGTCTCAAAAAAATAAAGAAGGCCGGGCGCGGTGGCTCACGCCTGTAATCCCAGCACTTTGGGAGGCCAAGGCGGGCAGATCAGGAGGTCAGGAGATCGAGACCATCCTGGCTAACACGGTGAAACACTGTCTCTACTAAAAATACAAAAAATTAGCCGGGCGTGGTGGAGGGTGCCTGTAATCCCAGCTACTCAGGAGACTGAGGCAGGAGAATCGCTTGAACCCAGGAGGCAGAGGTTGCAATGAGCTGAGATCATGCCATTGCACTCCAGCCTGGGCGACAGAGTGAGACTTTGTTTGGCTGCAACTTGGATATCCCTGTAAAGTCTTCCATCCTGGTGTTCGTATCTTCACCCATGCAGAATCAGACCAAAACTTGCCTTGCCAAACACCCAAGAGAAGCCCCTTCACCTGCAAAGATAGGGCAGACAAGGAACTGGAAAGGGACTGTCTAACCATTGCCTGTTCCTCCCGTCTCATCTCACTTTATTTTATAGTTGTCTATCCTGATCGTCATATAAAACTGCCCAAACTCAGGAATGTTTTATCTTGCCCTCCTTGTCTGGAAGGTGCACTCTCTGGTTCCCAAGTCCCCTCTGTTACTGCCTGCATGTCTAGTGTTGAAGCCTGTGACTGAGCCCAAAGCCTTCTCCTAAACTGAGTGTTTATGGGGTACATTGCTAGGCTTTTGGGTAGAAAATGCAGAATGTAAATAGCAGAAAATTATTGTACCTCCCTTATTTACTCATTAAATTTAACACATATTTGAGTTTCTATGATGTCAGGCTTTGCTCAACGGTAAGACAATTTCCGTGCCCTAGTGGAAGCTTACAGTTTCACCAAAGAAGACAAACACTAAACATACAAATTTATAGGTAGAAAGAAAATAAAACAGGGTCATGGACACAAGATGAATGGGGAGCTGTTTGGTTAAAGGAGTTGGGGAAGGTCCCTGCAGTGCTCATATTTGGACCAAGCTATGAATAAAGTTAACCAGCAAGCCATGCAAAAGTCTATGAGTATTCCAGGCAGAGGAGACTGCAGACAAAGACCCCAGGGCTGAATGAGCTGGCTCGGCCAGAAGAAAGGAAAGGATAGTGCAATGATATTAATAGCTGATAGGCCAGGAGAAAATTGGTAAGACTAGTGCTCTGGAAACATTGACATGGTAAGAACTTTAGATTTTATTATGCAAAAAGATGAAAGCCCACTGGAGAGGTCATCTGTGGGATGGGGTAAGCAATAAGCATGGTATGAGTTACATTTTCTCTTTCCCATCTGCATCCCTTGTCTCAGTGATGTCGTCCAGTGCTATGGCCCTACGATGCTGACACCCACATATGTATCTCAAACTTAGACCTTTCCCAGCTCTTGCTTTCCATATCCAGCTACTTACTTGACAATTCCACTGGAACATCCAAAAGGCATCTTAAACTTACTATAACACAAACTGAGTACCTTGTCTTCCTCCCACAGTCTTCTCAGTTCTGGTAAAGGAGAGTCCAGCATTTATTGGCTTAGGCCAGAAACCTCGGAGTCATCCCTGACTGCTCCCTCATGTATCTAGTCTAGAGCAAATCCTGTCTATTGTACCTTCAACATGGATGTAGAATCCCACTAGATAAATTCCAGCTCCTCTGTCAGCTCCCTGGCTCAACCCCTCATCATTTGTCATCCAGATTATTAGAATGCCTTCATTGCTAGTTTCACTGTTTCCATTCTTGCCCTCCCTTTCACTCTATCTTTCACTCTATTCTTTTTATTTTTTTTGAGATGGAGTCTCACTTTGTTGCCCAGGCTGGAGTGGAGTGGCGTGATCTCGGCTCACTGCAATCTCTGCCTCCCGGATTTGAGGTATTCTCCTGCCTCAGCCTCCCAAGTAGCTGGGATTACAGGCAAACACCACTACACCTGGCTAAGTTTTGTATTTTTAGTAGAGACGGGGTTTTGCCATTTTGGCCAGGCTGATCTCGACCTCAGGTGATCTACCCGCATTGGCCTCCCAAAGTGCTGGGATTACAGATGTGAACCACCGTGCCCAGCCAGTCTATTCTTAAAATAGAGAGATCCTGTTAAAATAAGCCAGACCACATCACCGCTTGCCTCAAAACTGCCATGGCGGGTGGGTGCAGTGGCTCACAGCTATAATCCCGGCACCTTGGGAAGCCAAGGTGAGAGGATCACCTGAGGACAGGAGTTTAAGACCAGCCTGGGCAACGTAGTCAGACACTATCTCTACAAGAAATTTTAAAATTAGCCAGGCATGGTGGCTCATGTCTGTAGTCCCAGCTACTTGGGAGAATGAGGTGGGAGGATCACTTGAGGCCAGGAGGTTGAGGCTGCAGTAAGCTATGATTGCACCACTGTGCTCCAGCCTGGATGACAGAGCAAAACCCTATCTCTCTCTCTCACACACACACACACACACACACACACACACACACACACACACACACCTGCCATGGCTCCCATCTGCCTCAGGCTAGGAGCAAAGACTGTGCGTGATCTGGTCCATCCTTGCTTTCTGACCTCATCCACTCTGCTCCAGTCATAGTGAGTTTCATGCCTTGCCAAGAACACAGCAGACATCCTATTTCAGGGTCTTTGCATTTGCTGTGACATCTGCTAGAATATTCCCCCAGATAAATGCATGACTGGCTCCCTCACCTGCCTCAGGTGTCTCTTCAAATGACATCTTAGGGCAGGAGTCAGCGAATGGTTAAAAACCAGAGAGTAGGCTGGGCGTGGTGGCTCATGCCTATAATCCCAGCACTTTGGGAGGCCAAGGAGGGCGGATCACCTGAGGTCGGGAGATCAAGACCATCCTGGCTAACACGGTGAAACCTCTTCTCTACTAAAAATACAAAAAATTAGCCAGGCCTGGTGGCACATGCCTGTAATCCCAGCTACTCAGGAGGCCGAGGCAGGAGAATCGCTTGAACTTGAGAGGTAGAGGTTGCAGTGAGCCAAGATCGCACCATTGCGCTCCAGCCTGGGCAACAGGAGCGAAACTCCCTCTCAAACAAACAAACAAACAAACAAACAAACCAGAGGGTGGATATTTTAGGTTCTGTGGGCCACAGGGTCTCTGTGGCAGATACTCAACTCTGCCTTTGTCAGGCAAAAGCAACCACAGACAGTAAGTAAACCAATGAGCATAGCTGTGTTCCAATAAAACTTCATTGATACCGGGCACGGTAGCTCACGCCTGTAATCCCGGCACTTTGGGAGGCTGAGGCAGGTGGATTACCTGAGGTCAGGAGTTCAAGACCAGCCTGGCCAACATGGTGAAACCCCATCTCTACTAAAAATAAAAATTAGCCGGGCGTGGTGGCACACCCCTGTAATCCCAGCTACCCGGGAGGCTGAGGCAGGAGAATTGCTTGAGCCCAGGAGGCAGAGGTTGCAGTGAGCCGAGATCATGCCATTGAACTCCAGTCTGGGCAACAGATCGGGACTCAGGGTAAAAAAAAAGAAAAAAAAAAAAAAAAGAAACTTCACTGTGGGCACTGAGATAGAATGTCACATAAGTTACTTTCAGGTGTCAGAAAACATTCTTCCTTTGACTTTTTTCAACTATTTAAAAATGTAAGACAATTCTTAGCTTGCCATTGTACATAAACAGGCAATAGGCTGGATTTGGCCTCAGTCCGTAATTAGTTGACCCCCTGCCTTAGGGAGTACTTCCCTGGCCATGCTCTCAAAAATTACAAACACACACACAATCCCTATTCAACCTATCCCTTTTCCCTTTCCTTTCCTTTCCTTTCCTTTCCTTTCCTTTCCTTTCCTTCCTTTCCTTCCTTTCCTCCTCCTCCTTCTTCTTCTTCCTCTTTTTCTTCTTCTTCTTCCTCTTTTTCTTCTTCTTCTTCCTCTTCTTCTTCTTTTTTTTTTTTGTTTTTGAGACAGGGTCTTGCTCTGTTGCCCAAGCTAGAGGGCAATAGCATGATCATGGCTCACTGCAGACTCAACCTCCTGGGCTCAGGTGATCCTTCCACCTCAGCCTCCCGAGTGGCTGGGACCACAGGCATGTGCCATCAAGCCTGGATAACTTTTTAAAAATTTTTGTAGAGACAAGGTCTTGGTACATTGCCCAGGCTGGTCTCAAACTCCTAGCCTCAAGCAATCTTCCTGTCTCAGCCTACCAAAGTGCTTAAATTGCAGGTATGAGGCACTGTACCTCGCCTTTTCTTTTCTTCCTTTTCATTTCATTTCTTTTCTTTACTCTTCTCTTCTTTCTCTTTTCTTTCTGTGGCCGGCCTTTCCTTTCTTTTCTTTCTTTCTCTCTTTCTTTCTCTTCCTTCCTTCTTTCCTTCCTTCCTTCCTTCCTTCCTTCCTTCCTTCCTTCCTTCCTTCCTTCCTTCCTTCTTCTTTCCTCTCTCTGTCTCACTCTGTCATCCAGGCTGGAGTGCAGTGGCACATTCCTAGCTCACTGCTGCCTCGAACTCCTGGGCTCAAGGGATTCTCCTGCCTTAGCCTGCCCCTGAAGTAGCTGAGAGTACAACTGGGCGCCAACATGTCTGGCTAATTTGTTAATTTTTTTTTCTTTTTTTTTGTGGCCGAGCTCAGTGGCTCAGGCCTGTAATCCCAGCAATTTGGAAGGCCAAGGCGGTGGATCACCTGAGGTCAGGAGTTCGAGACCAGCCTGATCAATATGATGAAACCCCGTCTCTACTAAAAATACAAAAATTAGCCGGGTATAGTGGCATGCACCTGTAATACCAGCTACTAGGGAGGCTGAGACAGGAGAATCGCTTGAACTGGGGAGGCAGAGGTTGCAGTGAGTCCAGATCATACCATTGCACTCCAGCCTGGGCAACAAAAGCGAAACTCTGTCTCAAAAAAAAAAATTTTTTTTTTAAGAAATGGAGTCTTGCTATGTTGTCCAGGCTGCTCTTGAGCTCCAGGCCTCAAGCGATTCTCCCAGTTTGCCCTACCAAAGCATTGGAATTACAGGCAGGAGCCACTGCACCCGGCCCTATCCTTCTTTCTTAACAGCTTATCATCATTTGCCTTTCTCTATATTTAACTTACTGTCTTGTTTATCTTTTTTTTACTGACCCCTCCCAAACCCCTAAGCTGTTACCTCCATGAAGACCAAGGTTTCTGTCTGTTTGCAGTAATGTGTCCTGACGTATCTGGCATATAGTGGGAACTCAACAAAGATCAGTGGCATGAATGGCACTGTGAAGAGAAGAGCCTGGAGGGGAAGTTGGGGTGGAGCTGCAGAGAGTGCTTAGGAGGCTACTGCTGTTGTGATGATCAACTTGATTCTTCAGCCTGGAGCCTTGAGCCTCGTCTCCAAGGGGCAAGGCGGGGAGAGGAAGGTGCTCTTGTTGGGTCCACTGCGCCAGCATCGTGCTTCAGGCTTCACATGTGATGGGCACAGAATACTTTTCAGCTGAGAGCAAATTTAGGCTGGAGAGCAGATGTTTTATGGATGGTGACATCATGTGGTGGGCAGAGAGGCTGTGGTTCTCAGGCCTGGGTCTGCATCAGAATAACTTAAGGGAATCTTCCAGAAAGAAATTAAGTCTCTCAGGTTGCATGCCACACTTTCCAGAATCAGAATCCCTTCAGAGTCAGACAGCTGACAGATAAAATCCACCTCTACCCAAGACCGACCATATGAACTCGGGCAAGTTACTTCATATTTCTGAATGTTTACTGCAGCCAGGCACGGTGGCTCACGCCTGTAATCCCAGCACTTTGGGAGGCTGAGGAAGGTGGATCACCTTAGGTCAGGAGTTCGAGACCAGTCTGGCCAACATGGTGAAACTCCCATCTCTACCAAAAACACAAAAATTAGCCAGGCATGGTGGCACATGCCTGCAATCCCAGCTACTCGGGTGGCTGAGGTAGGAGAATCACTTCAACCTGGGAGGCAGAGGTTGCAGTGAGCCGAGATTGCACCACTGCACTCCACCTGGAAAACAGAGTGAGACTCCATCTCAAATAAATAAATAAATAAATAAATAAATAAATAAATAAATACTGCAGAGCATAGATGGTAAATACCTCATAAACTTGCCCTGAGGGTTCTATGAGTTCATGTAAATTAATCTCTCAACACAGTATTTGCCATACGATTGCAGTAAACACCAACTATTTTTTATTTTTCAGGAGAAAGGCATGCTCACTGTGAAAAAAAGAAATAAAATTTAGATCAGCAAAAATAAGGTCACTCTACTTCCCCAAAATAACTACCGATAACGTGCTGGTGTACATCCTTCTAGATTCCACTCACTCTGTGTGCTTTCTAACACAATACCGAGAATCAGGTTGCCTGTCATCTTCAACTGCTCCCAAGAATCAACCCTGCATCTAATCAGGCCTCCAGGTCTAACTCCTGGTTTACAGGAAGTACAGAGAATGGAGAAACAGGTTCAATAACACCAGGGAGTTGGAAATCACCAGAGTTTAAAACGTGGGGAACTTTTACAGACATGTGTCCAGGTTTCTTTAACACGTAAAAAGGAAAAATAGCATTTTGGGAGGCTGAGGCGGGAGGGTCATTTGAGCCCAGGAGTTTGAGACCAGCTCTGGCAATATAGCACGACCCAGTATCTAACAAAAAATAAATAAAAACATGACCTGGTGCGGCGGCTCATGCCTGTAAGCCCAGCACTTTGGAAGGCCGAGGCGGGTGGATCACTTGAGGTCGGGAGTTTGAGACCAGCCTGGCCAACATGGTGAAACCCCGTCTCTACTAAAAATACAAAAATTAGTAGGGAGTGGTGGCGGGCATCTGTAATCCCAGCTACTAGGGAGGCTGAGGTAGGAGAATCGCTTGAACCTGGGATAAGGAGGTTGCAGTGAGCTGAGATTCCACCCCTGCACCGCAGCCTAGGCATCAGAGCAAGACTCCATCTCAAAAAAAAAAAAAAAAATCTGTCTATCTATCTATCTATCTAACTATCTATCTATCTATCTATCTAGGAAAACCAGAGTCAGATGAATCCTACAGAGCAATGCTGTCCAACCGAACTTCCTGTGATGATAGAAATCTACATTTGTGCTGTCCAAGATGGTAGAGTCAGGCCACATGTTGTGTTTTTTTTTTTTTTTTTTTGAGACAGAGTCTTGCTATGTCGCCCAGGCTGGAGTGCAGTGGCGCGATCTCGGCTCACTGCAAGCTCCGCCTCCCGGGTTCACGCCATTCTCCTGCCTCAGCCTCCCGAGTAGCTGGGACTACAGGTGCTCACCACCACGCCCGGCTAATTTTTTGTATTTTTAGTAGAGACGGGGTTTCACCACGTTAGCCAGGATGGTCTCGATCTCCTGACCTCGTGATCCGCCCGCCTCGGCCTCCCAAAGTGCTGGGATTACAGGCGTGAGCCACCGTGCCTGGCTCGCTGTTTCTTCTCTCTCTCTCTCTCTCTCGTCACCCAGGCTGGAATGCAGTGGCACAATCCTAGCCCACTGCTGCCTTGAACACCTAGGTTCAAGGGATTCCCTCTGCCTCAGCCTCCCAAGTAGCTGGGAATACAGGTGGGCACCACCATGCTCAGCTAATTTTTTTTTTTTTTTGAGACAAAGTCTCGCTCTTGTCGCCCAGGCTGGAGTGCAATGATGCAACCTCGGCTCGCTGCAACGTCTCCCTTCCGGGTTCAAGCAACTCTCCTGCCTCAGCCTCCTGAGTAGCTGGGATTACAGGCATGCCCACCACACCTGGCTAATTTTTGTATTTTTAGAAGAGACAGGGTTTCACCATGTTGGCCAGGCTGGTCTCAAACTCCTGACCTCAGGTGATCTGCCACCTTGGCCTCCCAAAGTGCTGAGATTACAGGTTTGAGCCACTGCTCCCGGCCTGCCCAGCTAATTTTTATTTTTATTTTTGTTTATTTATTTTGAGATGGAGTTTTGCTCTTGGTGCCCACGCTGGAGTGCAATGGCATGATCTTGGCTCACCGCAACCTTCATTTCCTGGGTTCAGGCAATTCTCCTGCCTCAGCCTCCGGAGTAGCTGGGATTACAGGCATGCGCCACCACGCCCAGCTAATTTTTCTACTTTTAGTAGAGATGGGGTTTCTCCATGTTGGTCAGGCTGGTCTGGAACTCCTGACCTCAGGTGATCCTCCCACCTCGGCCTCCCAAAGTGCTGGGATTACAGGCTTGAGCCACTGTGCCTGGCCGCTCAGCTAATTTTTAAAAATGTTGTTCAAATTTGTTTTCTTTGTAGAGACGGAGTCTTGCTGTGTTGTCCAGGCTAGCCTTTAGCTCCTGGCCTCAAGCGATTCACCCAGCTTGCCCTACCAAAGCATTGGAATTATAGGCATGAGCCATTGCACCCGGCCCTATCCTTCTTTCTTAACAGCTTATCATCATCTGTCTTTTCTATATTTAACTTACTATCTTGTTTATCATTTTTTAAAATCTCCCCTCCTAAACCCCTAAGCTGTCACCTCCATGAAGACCAAGGTTTCTGTTTGCAGTAATGTGTCCTGACGTATCTGGCATACAGTAGGAGCTCAACAAAGATCAGTGGCGTGAATGGCACCTCTGAAGAGAAGAGCCCGGAGGGGAAGTTAGAGTGGAGCTGCAGAGAGTGCTTAGGAGGCTACTGCTGTTGTGATGATCAACTTGATTCTTCAGCCTGGAGCCTTGAGCCTCGTCGCCAAGGGGCAAGGCGGGGAGAGGAAGGTGCTTTTCTTAGGTACACACCCTGCACCAGCATCAGGCTTCAGGCTTCATATATGATAGATGCAGAATAACAACCAAGCACAATGTATAGACCTTGTCTAAGATCTTAACGAATTATTACTTTTTGAGACAACGTCTTGCTCTGTGGCCAAGGTGGGGTGCGATGGCACAATGTTACAAGGATTTTACAAATCTTTACGATTTGTAAAAAATAACAGGGTCTCATTATGTTTTCAAGGCTTGTCTGGAACCCACTGGGCTCAAGTGAGCCTCCAGGCTCAGCCTCCCAAGGTGTTGGGATAACAGGGGTGAGCCACTGTGCCCGTGCCCAGCCTTTATTATTTTAAAAAGTAGTCCTGGCTGAGCGCGGTGGCTCACGCCTATAATCCCAGCACTTTGGGAGACCGAGGCAGGTGGATCACCGGAGGTCAGGAGTTCACGACCAGCCTGGCCAACATGGTGAAACCTCATCTCTACTAAAAAATACAAAAATTAACCAGGCGTGGTGGCGGGCACCTGTAATCCCAGCTATTCAGGAGGCTGAAGCAGGAGAATTGCTTGAACCTGGGAGGCAGAGGTTGCAGTTGGCGCCACTGCACTCCAGTCTGGTGACAGAGCAAGACTCTGTCTCAATAAATAAATAAATAAATAAATAAATAAATAAATAAATAAAGACAGGTTCTTGCTCTGTTGTCCAGGCTGGAATGCAGTGGCACGATCATAGCCCACTACAGCCTCAAACTCCTGGGCTCAAGCCAGGCTCTCACTTTGGTCTCCCAATTTGCTGGGATTATAGGCATGAGCCACTGTATTTGGCCTAGTGGATATTAAGAATAAATAAGTTGGGGCCAGGCGCGGTGGCTCACGTCTGTAATCCCAGCACTTTGGGAGGCCAAGGTGGGCGGATCACGAGGTCAGGAAATCAAGACCACCTTGGCTAACACGGTGAAACCCCGTCTCTACTAAAAATACAAAAAATTAGCTGGGCATGGTGGCAGGTGCCTGTAGTCCCAGCTACTCGGGAGGCTGAGGCAGGAGAATGGCGTGAACCCGGGAGGCGGAGCTTGCAGTGAGCCGAGATCGCACCACTGCACTCCAGCCTGGGCGACAGAGCAAGACTCCGTCTCAAAAAAAAGGAATACAGAATAAATAAGTTGGGTCCAGGCGAGGTGGTTCATGCCTGTAATCCCAGCACTTTGGGAGGCCCAGGCGGGCAGATCACGAGGTCAGGAGTTCAAGACCAGCCTGGCCAACATAGTGAAACCCCGTCTCCACTAAAAATACAAAAATTAGTTGGGCATGGTGGCATGTGCCTGTAGTCCCAACTACTCGGGAGGTTGAGGCAGGAAAATTGCTTGAACCCGGGAGTCAGAGGTTGTCGTTAGCTGAGATCTCGCCACTGCATTCCAGCCTGAGAAACAGAGCGAGACTCCGTCTCAAAAAAAAAAAAAAAAAAAAAAAAAAAAGAGGCCGGTGCCGCGGCTCACGCCTGTAATCCTAGCACTTTGGGAGGCTGAGGCAGGCAGATCACGAAGTCAGGAGTTTGAAACCAGCCTGACCAACATGGTGAAACCCCGTCTCTACTAAAAATACAAAAATTAGCCAGGCGTGGTGGCACGCACCTGTAATCCCAGCTACTCAGGAGGCTGAGGCAGGAGAATTGCTTGAACCCTGGAGGCGGAGGTTGCAGTGAGCTGAGATCGCGCCATTGCACTCCAGCCTAGGCAACAGAGCGAGACTCCATCTCAAAAAAAAAAAAAAAAAAAAAACAGGACTCTAGAGATGACATGACAAAGTATACTGGAGAATATGTTTAGGTTATATGTAAATGCTACACCATTTTATACAAGGAACTTGAGCGTCTGTGAATTTTGGTATCTATGGGAGGGCCTAGAACTTAATCCCCCATAAATACTGACGGAGGCCTGTATTTACAGTTTTAATTCTCCTTTTACCTCGCAGTTACCAAAATACATTACCTTTGTTCTATAATGGTAAAGAGTAAGTATTGTGAAACTAAAATCTTCATGAATATGTTTACAGTCAGACATAAAGCTTTTGGGAACATTTCAAATTATAATAGTCATGATGACAACTGGATTATCCTGCCTCACTATCAAATCTCAGTATCTAAGAAAACTTCTGAAAGACAAAGAAGTTGGTTCATTTCTTTTTTTTATAAATTGGTTCATTCTATATGAAGAAACATGAATGCTTTCTTCCTTCTTTTTTCAGAGATATCTCCAAATCCTAACAAACAACCAAAACCTAGATGGTTATTAGCACTAAAAAGATAATAACTGGCCAGGTGTGGTGGTTCATGCCTGTAATCCTAGCAGTTTGGGAGGCTGAGGCAGGAGGATCGCTTGAGCCTAGGAGGTCAAGGCTGCAGTGTGCCATGTTCATGCCACTGTAGTCCACCTTGGGCAACACAGTGAGATCTTTTCTCAAAAAAAAGAAAGAAAGAAAAAGATAATAACTAGCCTGGCGAGGTGGCTCACGCCTGTAATCCCAGAACTTTGCGAGGCTGAGGTGGGTGGATCACCTGAGGCTGGGAGTTCGAGAACAGCCTGACCAACATGGAGAAACTCCGTCTCTACTAAAAATACAAAATTAGCCGGGCGTGGTGGTGCATGCCTGTAATCCCAGTTACTTGGGAGCCTGAGGCAGGAGAATCACTTGAACCCAGGAGGCGGAGGTTGCGGTGAGCCGAGATCGCACCATTGCACTCCAGCCTGGGCAATAAGAGCGAAACTCTGTCTCAAAAAAAAAAAAAAAAAAAAAAAAAAGATAAAGTAGATACTCATGTACAATTTGCAAACCAATAAAAGGAAATCTTTATTTCCTTTTGTAAGCAAACTAGAGATCAGGCAAAGGAGAGAAAAAAACAGAACATATTTTCCCATTGTCTATAAGCCCAGCATTGACTGGCTTCTGTTTCTTTTCACACTATTCTTCCCCTGGCTGCAGTTTCTCTAACCAGTGTTACTTTCTTCTTTTAGTTCTTCAAATGTTCCTGTTTCTTCCTACCCCAGGGGCTTTGCACATCCTGTTCCCTCTACTTAGAAAACTCTTCCTGGCCGGGTGAGGTGGCTCACGCCTGTAATCCCAGTACTTTGGGAGGCCGAGGCGGGTGGATCACCTGAGGTCAGGAGTTGGAGACCAGCCTGACCAACATGGAGAAATCCCGTCTCTACTAAAAATACAAAAAAATTAGCCAGGCATGGTGGTGCACCTGTAATCCCAGCTGCTCGGGAGGCTGAGGCAGGAGAATCGCTTGAACCTGGGAGTCGGAGGTTGCAGTGAGCCGAGATTGCGCCACTACACTCCAGCCTGGATGACAGAGTAGGACTCTGTCTCAAAAGAAAAAAAAAAAAGAAAACTCTTCCTTGTTCTACCTTCTCAGTGTTCATTCCTCCCTGTCGTGCCTTTATTTTTTATTTATTTATTATTAATATTATCTTTTTTTGAGATGGAGTCTCGCTCTGTTGCCCAGGCTGGAGTGCTGTGGTACGATCTTGGCTCACTGCAGCCTCCGCCTCCCTGGTTCAAGCGATTCTCCTGCCTCAGCCTCCCACGTAGCTGGGATTTCAGGCACATGCCACCATGCCTGCCTAATTTTTAGTGGAGATGGGGTTTCGCCATGTTGTCCATGCTAGTCTCGAACTCCTGATCTCAAGTAATCCACCTGCCTTGGACTCTGAAAGTATTGGGATTATAGGCGTGAACCATTATGCCTGGCCTCTGCCCTGCCTTTAGCGTAGTTGATTTCTATTCTCCCTTCAGGTCTCCACTCAATGGGTCCCTCCTACCTAGAAGCCTCATCCAAACTCCCTCCACCTCCAAGCTCCTTACAGGTTTCCATAGCATACACAGCCCAATCATGACTCTTAAGGGCCTGAGATATATTTGCCTTTGTGGACCCCTTCCTCCATAAAAGGATATGAAAAATTATATTTTATGACTACATTGGCCTGAAGAGGAAATATAATTCAGGCTGGATTCATTACTATATATTATATATGAATGCTTTATATTACTATATATATGAATATTATTCATGTTCTCTTCTGTCCTTAAAATAAATTAAAATAAAAATATTTTTGTGGGCCCCTAAAATTATCATGGGCCTCGGGTATTCTATTTCCTGTGCCAAGGAGAAGCTGACTTGCAAACACTACGCAAGTTTTCTTTTCTTTTCTTTTCTTTTTTGAGACAGAGTCTCTCTCTCTAGCTCTGTTGCCCAGGCTGGAGGGCAGTGGTGCGATCTCAGCTCACTGCAAGCTCTGCCTCCCGGGTTCACGCCATTCTCCTGCCTCAGCCTCCTGAGTTAGCTGAGACCACAGGTGCCGCCACTACGCCCGGCTAATTTTTTTGTATTTTTAGTAGAGACGGGGTTTCACCGTGTTAGCCAGGATGGTCTCAATCTCTTGACCTCATGATCCACCCACCTCGGCCTCCCAAAGTGCTGGGATTACAGGCATGAGCCACAGCGCCCGGCCCAGGGTAAGATTTTCATGTATTGCACACTGATAGGATTTTTCTCAGATTACAGATCAGTCATGTCATAAACCTCTTTCTATATCTATTTGTTTTTTATTTATTTTTATTTATGTATTTATTTTTGAGACAGAGTTTCGCTCTTGTTGCCCAGACTGCAGTGCAATAGCGCGATCTCGACTCACTGCAACCTCCGCCTCCCAGGTTCAAGCAATTCTCCTGCTCAGCCTCCCAAGTAGCTAGGACTACAGGCATGTGCCACCACGCCTGGGGAATTTTTTGTATTTTTAGTAGAGACGGGATTTCACCATGTTGGTCTTGAATTCCTGACCTCAGGTGATCCACCCACCTCGGCCTCCCAGACTGCTAGGATTACAGGCGTGAGCCACTGCGCCCAGCCTTATTTATTTTTAATAGAGATAAAAAAAAAAAAAGACCAAAAAAAGAACTGTAACTCCCCTCAAGGCTGGGCACAATGGCTCATGCCTGTAATCCCAGCTCTCAGGGAGGCAGAGGCAGGAGGATAGCTTTAGCCCAGGAGATCGAGACTTGCCTGGGCAATATACTGAGGCCCCGTTCTCCACAAAAATTAAAAAAAAAAATGACAAAAAAAAATAATAATAAGTGTAATAGAGATGGGGTCTTGCTATTTTGCCCAGGCTGGTCTTCAACTCCTGGCCTCAAATGATCCTCCCACCTTGGCCTCCCAGAATGCTGGGATTACAGATATAAACCACCCCACTCAGCCTCTATCTATTTGATTCTGAGATCTGTAATGCTAAAGATAGAAGACAGCCATGGACTTTGCATAGATGATTTTTTTGGCTGCATTGGCTTACTATGTCTTCCTTTAGTGAAGGATTCCCTGAATGAAACATCTTCTGTTTGTGGTGAGGGAACACCACTTCTTGGTGCAGGGGGATTGGCAAAATCTTTTGCATCATGGGGTTTGGCTTTTTCTTATTTATTTATTTATTTATTTAGACACAGGGGCTCACTCTTTTGCCCAGTCTGGAGTGCAGTGGTGCGATCATAGCTCACTGCAGCCTTGACGTCTTTGGCTGAAGCAAGCCTCCTGCCCTTAGCCTCCTGTGTAGCTGGGACCACAAGTGTGCACCACCACATTCAGCTAATTTTTAATTTTTTTTTTTTTAATAGAGATGGGGTGCCATTTTGTTGCCCAGGCTGGTCTCAAACTCCTGGGCTCAAGTGATCCTCACACCTTGGCCTCCCAAAGTGCTGGGATTACAGGTGTGAGTCACTTCACCTGGCCTGGTTTGATCAGTATAAGTCTATTATGCTCAATAAGAATTTCAAAGTTCACTGAACTTTTTCATACAATAAAATCATTTACACTTTTCTCTTGGGATTTACATGGAGTTCACTTTAAAATGACAGACTTCGGTTCTTTTCATCATACACAGAATGGAAAGCTTAATTAAATTTATACTGGTCATAGCTTTTGCCTGTGTCCTTCAGTGTTTAGAAACTGTATAATAAAGACAAGTTTTAATGAACAATATAAGTTCTGTGTACTTCAATTTCAGTTGTGTCTCAAAGATCATTTTTCTTTCTCATTAAAATTGCACTGCAATATTCTATATAGTGTGTGCCACATTAAAAAATATGTGTGTGTGTATGTATAAAAACTGAGACTTTAGGCCAGGCGCGGTGGCTCATGCCTGTAATCCTAGCATTTTGGGAGGCCAAGGTGGGTGGATTACGAGGTCAGGAGTTCAAGACCAGCCTGGCCAAGATGGTGCAACCCTGTCTCTACTAAAAATAAAAAAATTAGCCGGGCACGGTGGCAGGTGCCTGTAATCCCAGCTATTCGGGAGGCTGAGGCAGGAGAATCACTTGAACCCAGGGGGTGGAGGTTGAAGTGAGCCAAGATTGCCCCACTGCACTCCAGCCTGGGCGATAAAGTGAGACTCCGTCTCAAAAAAAAAAAAAAGCCTTTAATTTTTATTTTTTTTTTACTTTCTCTTTTGAAGGAGGAAGAGATAAATCATAAGGACAGAACTGATATTAAAGATTTGGTCTGAAAAAGGAAGCCTCCAGGGAATGTTATGAAGAGTCCATGTGGGTAAAACTTATTTGTGCTTTCTATTTCATCATGAATGATTATTCAGATTCAGAATGAGAGCATTAAAGAACTGTGAATTCTCCATGAAAAATGATAGTTTTTTCTACTTGTGGTTTAGTTTATTGATATTCAATCTTGTTTCATAAAAAAGGATGTTTACCATATTAAACATGTTTAAAGATGGAAAACTATTCCTTACATATTAAAAGAGTACAAGAAATATTTATGTATACATATAAATATATAGTAAGACATATTTAAAATATGTAAAGATGAAACAAAACCTTTATTTGTAGATAGCTGAGTAACTAGAAAATATAATTGGCCGGGCGCGGTGGCTCACGCCTGAAATCCCAGCACTTTGAGAGGCGGAGGCAGGTGGATCACCTGAGGTCAGGAGTTTGAGACCAGCCTGACCAATATGATGAAACCCTGTGTCTACTAAAAATGCAAAAATTAGCCGGGCATGGTGGCGGGCACCTGTAATCCCAGCTACTTTTCTTTTTTTTTTTTTAATTTGAGATGGAGTCTCACACTGTCGCCAGGCTGGAGTGCAGTGGCGCGAGCTCAGCTCACTGCAACCTCCGCCCTCCGAGTTCAAGCGATTCTCCTGCCTCAGCCTCCCGAGTACTGGGATTACAGGTGCCTGCCACTGCACTCGGCTAATTTTTTGTATTTTTAGTAGAGACGGGGTTTCACCTTCTTGGCCAGCCTGGTTTTGAACTCCTGACCTCGTGATCCACCTGCCTCGGCCTCCCAAAGTGCTGGGATTACAGGTGTGAGCCACTGCACCCGGCCAATCCCAGCTACTTATGAGGCTGAGACAGGAGAATCGCTTGAATCCAGGAGGCGGAGATTGCAGTGAGCTGAGATCGTGCCATTGCACTCCAGCCTGGGCAACAAGAGCGAAACTCCATCTCAAAAAAAAAAAAAAAAAGAAGAAAATATAATTAAGCCAAATACATATTCTCCCAAGCATTATGATTAAACCTAATTTGCTGTTTGTTTTGTTGTGCTTGGTTTTTTTGTTAGTTTATAGTTTGCTTATTCACTGCTGTTTTTAAAGATAGTAACTATGAGTCCTTCAGCTGGTGAATAAAATCCTCCAAGTTTTAACATTTTACAATTGAATTATATAAACATTGAAAATTGGGTTGAAATAAATCTAGTTGTTCAAGAGCGTATGTTGTATTTTCTAGCTGACCTGACCTGGCTAGGGAACCACTGCATGTTTGTGTTGTAACAACAGAGTTGGCTCATAGATTTTTAAGGAAGTATAAATGGGCAAAAATAAAAGTGCTGGCCTTGATCAATGTCACACACCTCTTTTTCAATGGATTCCAACTTTCTGTTCAGTCTCAATCTGTAATGAGACTCTGACTTTCACCTATACTCGTGAGATTAGAAAAAAATTCTGCCTCTGGGACAGAGGTCAGAGAGCTAATCCCAGCCTCTGTGTGATCTTGGCAGGTTAGTTTACATTTCTGTTCCTCAGTCTCTTCCTCTGTAAAATCGGGATCCTAATAGCACGTATACCATAAGGCTCTAGGAAGGATTAACTGAGTTAATACATGTAAAACTCTTGGGAGAGTGCTTGGGACATGGTGAGGGCTTAAGAAAAATATCTGCCATTATTAGGACGTGAGTTGCTGACAACTTTTCCCCCTCCCCAAAATGGCTACTGCTCTGTAAATAAGAGATAAGAAAACTCCGCTGGAGAGGGAGGGATTTGTAACCCTCTCCCTGTCGGGGGAGAAAATCACTTACTAAAGAACAAAGTTTTCTTTTATATGTCTTGAAAATGAAAACGTTCACAAAAGACAAGTATTCTGCCTAGTGAAAATGCCAGTTAGGGAGAGAAAACGCTGACTCCTCCCAGCTCGCAGCACGAGGAGGAGGAGGAGGGCAGAGCCAAGGGGACTTTAAGCTGAGTAATAGGCAGTATCCCTCGTGAACGCCACCCTCCGTCCTTCTCCTCAGGATTGGAAACCTCCGTAACAGACAGTTCAAGGTCTCCTAGGTATTTTACAAAAATCGTTTGAGAAAGACTTCCCGGGATCATCAATTTTTAACCAGTGCTTACCAGGCATATTCTAAATTAGTGAGACCTAAACCCTGCCTAAGGATTTGTCATGAAGCTCCTGTGATATTTTTTCCTACTGGTGTTAGTAATAACCACCCATTGTGTGAATTACACCATGTGAATTACACAAAAATAATGAGATTTTTTAAAAATAATTTTTTCCCTAAATGTTAGAAAACCCCACCCTATATCATTGTTTAAAAAAAAAGCTGAAAAATACACACATATACAAAGGGAATTAAAAATCACTGGTGATCATTAGTAACATCTTAGTGGATGAGAAAGGTTTTTCTTTTCTTTTTTTTTTAAGTTCCTCAATTGTGTTGCAGAATTTGGGATTTTTTTGCTGCGGGGGAGGAGTATTGGGATAAAATACTACCAGAATAAATTCAAGGAGAAAAAGAGGAAGCCATTTTACACTAATACCAGACTCTAGACCACTTCCTTCTCAAACAGGCACATCCCCTGTTGTGAAAACAGACCAGGAGCTTCAAGGTAGGGAGTGGAAATAGACTTGAATATTCCTTGTGAATTCTAGGAGCTAAAAGCTCAGGTTTAATGCAAAACCAAAGGACATAAGCTCACAGAGTCCTGGTATACAGAAGGGAACATTCAGATCCGGTTTGTAAGGGGCAAGCTCAGCACTCTTGCCAGGGGCCCTGGATTTAAGCATGGACTTTGCAATGTACTAATTTTGTGACCTTCGGAAGGTCATGGTCTCTCTGAGCCACCGTTGTCTAATCTGTGAAATGGGACATTCAACTTCCCCTCTGTACCTTGCAGTGTCATTTTAAGATAATGTATCTGTAAAATCCTTTTAACAGAACAATGCAAACATAAGGTGTTACGTTAAGGAGGCACAATTCCAAGCTTTTCTGTATTGTTTGGATCAAAACATTGTTTCCTTGTCTACATTATTTATCTACATGGACTTACAGTTGTTTGTGAAGATGAAATAAGCAGCTTCCACTGATGGCCTAACCAGAAACTTCAGTGGTTTGACTCTTAGTGAATTTGCCTCAACGTACGTTTTTTAAAAAGTACCTAGAAATAGTCTCACCAGGAAAGAAACAGAATGAAGCTGTCCCTAGGTTAAAACCACCTCACTCACAGTTTATTCCTGAAACAAACATTTGTTGACTGTGTTTTTGACATGGTTTACTGGCCTAAGCTCACAAACTTTCCATAAATGCATCAAGAAGTCAGTATTTCCTAGCCAAACACATTCTCATCTGTATCCCATCTCTGGCCAAATTCCGTAGGGATCTGGCTGTAAATAAGTAATGCCTCCTAGGAGCACGGTTCTGCCTATCTGCGGGCCCACGCCCTTTTGCTGTTCGACTTGAAACTTGGAGGCAGTCCAGGGATATGGCTAAATAATTACTGAGCCAGAACCAGTTAATCACAGGCCCTCCAGAGGTGGGGACCAGGCCCCTGTGCTCTGCACCCTGCGGGGGCAATGGAGGCACTTCAGAGTTTACCATCCTGGTAGGACCTAAGCCTTCGGGGCATCACGAGTCTGTTAAATTACTCCAGTCTTGAGCTAATTTGGTGCAGGCTCCCTGGATTTAGGCCCCAGTGAGTAGTTGGCTTTTCTGTTTTTGGCACAGGTAAGAAAGGAGGAGGGGAAAAAAATGGTGTAAGCAAGTTTCAAAATCTTAGATCATTTCATGAATGACTCAGTGTTTCCTTCTGGAAAAGTGCAAATAATTGGCTTTCATTAATAACTTAGCTTTGAAAAAAATTCCTAAATAGTGAGCAACCTTTCATGCTATCTGAACACTGCCATCCTCCAATCTTCAATTTTATAGCTTCCAGAGGAATTTCATTCACTTGATAACGTGTGCTTGTTGAAAAATAAACTGTCACCTACTTCCTCCTTGAGGCTTCCTGTTCTTTCTGAGAAAAGCATTGAGATTGTCTTTCTTTTTCTCTCTCTTTTGTTTTCCTATGTAAAAATATTCAGCCAGGCACAGCGGCTCATGCCTATAATCCCAGCACTTTGAGAGGCTGAGGCAGGCAGATCACTTGAAGTCAGGAGTTCGAGACCAGCCTGGCCAACATGGTGAAACCCGTCTCTACCAAAAATACAAAAAATTAGCTGGGTGTGGTGGCGCATGCCTGTAATCCCAGCTACTCAGGAGACTGAGGCAGGAGAATTGCTTGAACCCAGGAGGCGGAGGTTGCAGTGAGCTGGGATCCTGCCACTGAACTCCAGCCAGGGCGACAGAGCAAGACTCCATCTCAAAAAAAAAAAATAAAAATTCAGGCCAGGCGCAGTGGCTCACAGCCTGTATTCCCAGCACTTTGGGAGGCCGAGACTGGCAGATCACTTGAGGTCAGGAGTTCAAGACCAGCCTGGCCCTCATGGTGAAACCCTGTCTCTAATAAAAATACAAAAATTAGCCGAGCGTGGTGGTGGGCGCTTGTAGTCCCAGCTACTCCGGGAGGCAAGGGAATCGCCTGAATTCGGGAGGTCGAGATTTCAGTGAGCCGAAATTGTGCCATTGCTCTCCAAAAATAAAATAAAAAATAATAAAATAGGCCGAGTGCGGTGGCTCACGCCTGTAATCCCAGCACTTTGAGAGGCCAAGGCAGGTGGATCACAAGGTCAGCAGTTCGAGACCAGTCTGGCCAACATGGTGAAACCCCATCTCTACTAAAAATACAAGAATTAGCTGGGTGTGGTGGTGCACGCCTGTAATCCCAGCTACTCAGGAGGCTGAAGCAGGAGAATCGCTAGAACCCAGGAGGTGGAGGTTGTGGTGAGCCGAGATTGTGCCACTGCACTCCAGTCTGGGCAACTGAGCAAGACTCCGTCTCAAATAAAAAAAAATTAAATTAAAAAAATAAAAATAGTAAACATATAGAGTTATTATTCTTCTTCGAAAACTAATTATATGGCCGGGCACGGTGGCTCACGCCTGTAATCCCAGGACTTTGGGAGGCCGAGGCGGGCGGATCACGAGGTCAGGAGATCAAGACCATCCTGGCTAACACGGTGAAACCCCGTCTCTACTAAAAATACAAAAAATTAGCCAGGCGAGGTGGTGAGCACCTGTAGTCCCAGCTACTCGGGAGGCTGAGGCAGGAGAATGGCGTGAACCTGGGAGGCGGAGCTTGCAGTGAGCCGACATCGCACCACTGCACTGCAGCCTGGGTGACAGAGCAAGACTCCATCTCAAAAAAAAAAAAAAAAAAAAAGAAAACTAATTATATGTAGCACAAAAGGAAATAGCCTATTTCTTCATAGAATGAGAATGTTATACTATATATTTCTTTAGCTAGAAATACATACATAAATATATTTCAAATATCTTTAATTCATTTGAGCACATTTCAGTTTTAGAATTTTTTTTTTTAAAAAACCTCTATTTGTCTCTCTCTTTCTCTGCACATAAAACAACCCCTAAGTTTTCATACAGAAGACATCCATTCTTTCAGCATTGCTATAAACTCTGAAGATGTCTCAAATGACTCATTAATGGAATAAAGTGGAATAAAGTGTTTCTCATGTTAAAGATATGCAAATGGAACTTAATCAAGTGAAGGGAGACTCCGTAATTCAGTAAATAAAGCTGAGAATGTTACTGTGGTCACCCTGAACTCTATTTGCATGCAAGCTTATCTTATTTTTAAAGCAGAAGGGAAAAAAAAGAGGAGGAAGAAAAAAACATCCCAACGTTCACCACACGTTGTTCTCAAAATAAAAATCTCATAAGGTGAAACAGTTAACAAAGCAAAAACTGCTTAGTATGGATGAATCCAAAATACATTGAAATTATTTTCTAGACAGCAAGCATACGACCTGCCTCAGGTCCTCTTATGGAGAAAATTGCACAATCAAACTTTTTGCCATTCATGTCTGTTGTATTAGGTCAGGACTGATTATTTATTTATTTATTTATTTTTTGAGACGGAGTGTGGCTCTGTCACCCAGGCTGGAGTGCAGTGGTGCGATCTCGGCTCACTGCAAGTTCCGCCTCCCGGGTTCACGCCATTTTCCTGTCTCAGCCTCCCGAGTAGCTGGGACTACAGGCGCCTGCCACTATGCCCAGCTAATCTTATTATTTTTAGTATAGACCGGGTTTCACCGCGTTAGCCAGGATGGTCTCGATCTCCTGACCTCGTGATCCGCCTGCCTTGGCCTCCCAAAGTGCTGGGAGTATAGGCATGAGCCACCATGCCCTGCCTATTTATTTATTTATTTATTTATTTTGAGATGGAGTCTCACTCTGTCACCCACGCTGGAGTGCAGTGGCCAGATCTCGGCTCACTGCAACCTCTGCCTCCTGGATTCAAGCGATTCTTCTGCCTCAACCTCCTGAGTAGCTGGGATTACAGGCGTGTAGCACAACACCCTGCCAATTTCTTGTGTGTCTTTAGTAGAGATGGGGTTTTGCCATGTTGGCCTGGCTGGTCTCGAACTCCTGACCTCAAGTGATCTGCCCCCCCCCCCCACCTCCTCAGTCGCCCAAAGTGCTGGGACTACAGGCGTGAGCCACCGTGACCAGCCAGGCCAGAACTGATTGTTACTACTCTGGCTTCAGGAGTCAGCCCTGCTTGGGTTGTTGGGCTAATCACAGCGTGGGTCCCTGGCTATTTCCTCAAACCAGACATATAGTTGGATTGAAACAGAATAGAGGGCCAGGCGCAGTGGCTCAACGCCTGTAATCCCAGCACTTTGGGAGGCTGAGACAGGTGGATCACTTGAGGTCAGGAGTTTGAGACCAACCTGGCCAACATGGCAAAACCTTGTCTTTACTAAAAATACAAAAATTAGCGGGGCGTGGTGGCGGGCGCCTGTAATCCCAGCTACTCAGGAGGTTGAGGCAGGAGAACCGTTTGAATCTGGGAGGCAGAGGTGGTAGTGAGCCGAGATTGCACCATTGCACTCCAGCCTGGGCAACAAGGGCAAGATTCCATCTCAAAAAAAAAAAAAAAGAAAGAAAAAAGAAAAAGAAATAGAATAGAGATAGACAAAGAAGAGAGGCACCCCATGTTAGATTCTCACACTGGATATCAAATTACCAATCTTGCAACATTTAATACCAGGAATTAAAACCAGAATCACTGTTATTTTCTTTGAGGGAAAGCTCAAATTGCACATCGTTTTTACATTTGTGTGAATACATATGATCTATTTTATGTTCTGGAAGAAAACTTGCTCCAGTGCAATGGCTCATTCATGTAAGGTGGAAATATTTCAAAGAAATAGTAGGAAGAGGAAAGTTCACACCTACTCAGGGAGAGAATGGATTTAAATAAATACTTCCGAACAGATCTAAATTAATCACGTCATTGGTCAAGTATGAGGAAAGGCCACCTGCAGCCCGGTTTAATTCTGGTGAGATATACCTGGGCTATTTTGGAAGATGATGCCGCTGAAGAAAGCCTTGCCTTGCACATGCAATAGCATCTCACGCTTTAGCTGGCAGCAAATCCTACTCAAGCCACCTCCCGTTTAGCTGATTCGGCATCTTCGAGGTCCCACATGCCTAGGGAATGAGTGAAAAAGCCCTAGAATATAAACCACAAATAGTGTAAAGATTTATTTATTTATTTTTATTTTATTTTTTTGGGACGGAGTCTCACTTTGTTGCCCAGACTGGAGTGCAGTAGCGTGATCTCAGCTCACTGTGACCTCCGCCTCCCGGGTTCAAGCAATTCTCCTGCCTCAGCCTCCTAAGTAGCTGGACTACAGGCATCTGCCACCATGCGGGCTAATTTTTTGTATTTTTAGTAAAGACGGGGTTTCCCCGTGTTAGCCAGGTTGGTCTCGATCTCCTGACCTCATGATCTGCCCTCCTCAGCCTCCCAAAGTGCTGGGATTAGAGGCGTGAGCCACCGTGCCGGGCCTAAAGATTTATTTTATAAGTATCTTTAGGTGTTGCCATTTTATTTGGTTAGGCCATCTAGTTCTGGGGGTGTTGTCAAGGCTTTTCTGAAAATCTACTCAAGGGCAAAATAGAGGTGTCCTATGATTAGTTACTGTGCCCTTCACCCCATCCCTGCCCTAACCCCAGAAAAATTGATTCTAAAATAAAAAACAAGAGAAGAGCCGGGCACGGTGGCTCATACCTGTAATCCCAGCACTTTGGGAGGCTGAGGCAGGCGGACCACGAGGTCAGCAGATCGAGACTATCCTGGCTAACACGGTGAAACCCCATCCCTACTAAAAAAGTACAAAAAATTAGCTGGGCATGGTGGTGGGCACCTGTAGTCCCAGCTACGCGGGAGGCTGAGGCAGGAGAATGGCGTTAACCTGGGAGGAGGAGCTTGCAGTGAGCGGAGATCGCGCCGCTGCAATCCAGCCTGGGCGGCAGAACTAGACTCTGTCTCAAAAAAAAAAAAAAATCGACATATGTATCTTTTATGAAGTTAAAACATAATTCTGATATCAAAAGGTACACAGAGAAAAGTCAGTCTCTCTCCCACCCACTGTGGTTCCCCTGACTCTCGAGTCCCCTTCCCTTTGCAGGGTCATCCCTAGGACCAGGGTAAAGATTATTTAATTATTTATTTATGAGACAGAGTTTCGCTCTTGTCACCCAGGCTGGAGTGCATTGGTGTGATCTCAGCTTACTGCAACCTCTGCCTCCCAGGTTCAAGTGATTCTCCTGCCTCAGCCTCCTGAGCAGCTGGAATTACAGGCACCAGCCACCGCATTCGGCTAATTTCTTTTGGTATTTTTAGTAGAGACTGGGTTTCATGATTTGGCCAGGCTGGTCTTGAACTCCTGACCTCAAGTGATCTACCCGCCTTGGCCTACCAAAGTGCTGGGATCACAGGCATGAGCCACCATGCCCAGCCCGTATTTACTTATTTTTATTTGTATAAAAATGCAAAGATGGCCGGGTGTGGTGGCTCAAGCCTGTAATCTCAGCACTTTGCAGGCTGAGGCAGGTGAATCACCTGAGGTCAGGAGTTCGAGACCAGCCTGACCAATATGGCAAAACCCCATCTCTATTAAAAATACAAAATTTAGCTGGACTTGATGGCGTGTGCCAGTATTCCCAGCTACTCGGGAGGCTGAGACAGGACAATTGCTTGAACCTGGGAGGTGGAGGTTGCAGTGAGCCGAGATTTCGCCACTGCACTCCAACCTGGGCGACAGAGCGAGACTCTATCAAAAAAAAAAAAAAAAGCCAAGATTAGCTGGGCGTGGTGGCATGAGCTTTTAGTCTCAGCCATGATCCTGACATTGTACTCCACCCTGGGGGACAGTGCAAAGCAAGACCCTGTCTCAAAAAAAGGAAAAATAAAAAGCTTTACATTATTATTATTATTATCAATCATTAGAGACAGAGTCTTGCTCTGTTGCCCAGGCTGGAGTGCAGCGGCATGATCATGGCTCACTGCAGCCTCTAACTCTCGGTCTCAGGTGATCCTCCCAACTCAGTCTCCCAGGTAGCTGGGACTATAGGCACATGCCACCACGCCCAGATAATGTTTTGGAAAATGGCCATTTTTTTTTAAAGCTGCAGGAAGGCAGCAAAATTGGAACAGTGGTTATTTCTGCATGTTATGTGTTGGGTTTATGGGTGCAATTTTGAAATTTTCTATAATATGTAGGGATTAATTTTTTTTTTTTTTCGTGACAGGGTGTTGCTCTCCTGCCCGAGCTGGAGTGCAGTGGCACAGTCGTGGCTCATTGCAGCCTCCAAATCCTGGCCTCGAGCAATCCTCCTGCCTCAGCCTTCCAAAGTGCTGGGATTACAGATGTGAGCCACCATGCCCAGCCAAGTAAGGCTTTCTAATCATAAAAATAAAAAAGTATTCTTTAAGAATTATACATTGCGGCCGGGCACAGTGGCTCACACCTGTAATCCCAGCACTTTGGGAGGCCGAGGCAGGTAGATCACCTGAGGTCAAGAGTTTGAGACCAGACTGGCCAACAACATAGTGAAACCCTATCTCTACTAAAAATACAAAAATTATCTGGGCGTGGTGGCGGGTGCCTGTAATCCCAGCTACTTCATAGGCTGAGGCAGGAGAATTGCTTGACTCCAGGAGGCAGAGGTTGCAGGGAGTTGAGATCATGCCATTGCACTCCAGCCTGGCCAATACAGTGAGACTCCGTCTCAAAAAAAAAAAAAAAAAAAAAAAAGGCCAGGTATGGTGGCTCACCCCTGTAATCCCAGCAGTTTGGGAGGCCGAGGCAGGTGGATCACGAGGTCAGGAGATTGAGACCATCCTGGCTAACATGGTGAAACCCCCGTCTCTACTAAAAAATACAAAAAAATTAGCTGGACATGGTGGCGGGCGCCTATAGTCCCAGTTACTCAGGAGGCTGAGGCAGGAGAATGGCCTGAACCCAGGAGCGAAACTTGCAGTGAGCTGAGATCGCACCACTGCACTCCAGCCTGGGTGACAGAGCAAAGACTCCTTCTCAAAACAAACAAACAAACAACCAAAAAAGAATTATACATTGCATGACCAGAACAACAAAAACAAAAGAATTGGCCAGGCATGGTGGCTTATGCCTGTAACCCCAGCACTTTGGGAGGCCCAGGCGGGTGGATCACAAGGTCAGGAGTTTAAGATCATCCTGGCCAAGATGGTGAAACCCCATCTCTACTAAAAATACAAAAATTATCTGGATGTGGTGGTGGGCGCCTGTAATCCCAGCTACTCAGGAGGCTGAGGCAAAGAATTGCTTAAACCCAGGAGGCGGAGGTTGCAGTGAGCCGAGATTGTGCCACTGCACTCCAGCCTGGGTGACAGAGTGAGACTCCGTCTCAAAAAAAAAAAAAAAAAAAGAATTATACATTGCATATTAGAGTGTGTCCTCTAATCTTTCCTAAGTGACCTTGTAAAATGTGAGGACTCTTGTATTTGAAATATGGCAGATACACAGATCTAACAGCAGTGTTCTTCTAGTTTACTGTAAAGTTAGCCTGAATCATTCTGATTCATTTACGGTGGCTTCTACTATATGCTATTTACATTTGTTCAACACACATGTATAGTTGAACCATAGATATCATTTGAGCACCTATTCTCACATTTGGAAGATGGTACCTTTTGTTTCATTTGCTTTTTCTTTAATTTCTTTATTTTTTTCCATTTTTTTGTTTTTTTATTTTTCTTTTTTTTTGATGAAGATGGTCCTTTTTAACACTGTGCTGGACGTTCCATATGAGATCAATAAATACTAATTAAATTTGAAGATTGAGGATAGGATTAGCTTTTCAAAGGGTGGATCTTGAGACTTATAATAAGTCTGAGAATGGATTATAGATACTCCACCCTAATAATGCTATAAATACTTCTGGTGGTGGTTTCTAGGCTTGATCAGCTTAATGATTCATTTTACTTGCAATGATCTTTTTCAGTTGTTTGCCTGTGTGTGCTTTAAAAAGGACAAAAATAAGTTTGGAGGAAAAAAAATTTAATTGCTTTCAAATGTTCCAATAAATTCAAACCCATATACTCTTGCTCAAGAATTTCCTTGCTAGGTTATTACATACTTTGCCAAATCTCTCTAGCTTTCTCCTGTTTTCTTAATCTTAGGAACTATGGAAGATTGTAAGTGTTGCTGGCTGGTCAGAAAATGTAAATGTTTTCAAACAACTTAAACATTTACATGTCATGAGAGATTTTTAAAAAATCAGATATCCACTCATAAAAACAGCTACAGGTTTAAGAATCAGCAAAAAACCATCTTAGGCCCCAGAAGAGAAAGAGTATATATATTTTTCACATTCTTATTTAAATAACCATCTGTTATCTGCAAATGTAGTTCCTACTGAGAACATCCCAATAAAAGGCCGGTCTGTGACTAAGGAAATACTCCAACTAACGATCCACTGATAGGCAAAGAAATATCAACAAGGCCAGGAGGCCTCATCGGTCGCTATCTAACAGACCTGGTAACAGCAGCAGTACCAGCTAGATGGCAAAGGAGCAGTGGTTGTGCCCAAACCATTACAAGTTTGCTAGGATTATTTCAGTCCATCTAGCAACTCACTCCAGGTGGGCAGCATTTAGGCTGGATTCTATGCAAACAGAACACAACAGAATACACTGGCAATGAGGGGTGCCCTTGTGTTCCAGATAATAGAAGCTTTGAATTCTTATACCCTAAAATTTTAGTGTTTCTGTAATGGATCTACAGTGTTTTGCTGTATAACTTGAAAACTAAGACAGACATAAAATCTTTAAAAGCTTAGAAAGGGAAAAAGGAAAAAAGTCTAGAAATTTTTTTTTTTTTTTTTTGAGTCTTGCTCTGTCACCCAGGCTGAAGTGCAATGGCGCCATCTCGGCTCACTGCAACCTCCACCTCCTGGGTTCAAGCGAGTCTCCTGCCTCAGCCTGCCGAGTAGCTGGAATTACATACAGGCGCCTGCCACCATGACCGGCTAATTTTTCATTTTTAGTAGAGATGGGGTTTCACCATGTTGGCCAGGCTGGTCTCGAACTCCTTACCTCAGGCGATCCACCCGCCTCGGCCTCCCAAAGTGCTGAGATTACAGGCATGAGCCACCGCGCCCGGCTACATTTCTTTAAAATTTCTCAAGTTAAAAGTAAATAACTGTTAGAATGGTTACATCCAATATTTACAAGCAGAATGTGTTTCCTGAGAATTTGCCCTTTCATTTAAGGTTGCAGTAGTGCTGCCACCATGTTTTCACACGTGATCAAATGTATCCCATTGGAAAACCGTGTAATCTTGTTCGGAAATCTTCCTCAGGCTTTGGCATCCTGTGGGTGTTCTGCCAGAGAACTTTAATCCAAATCATAAACTTAAGTCATAGGTACTAAAAAAGAAACTTCTGGTCTAGGACTTTGAATCTTTTGACTGTTAATAATCAAGAAAGCTGTATTTTCTTTCGTTTAAAAAATAGAGACGACTGGTGGTGGTGGGGGCTGCGGGTGTGTGTGTGGCTCACGCCTGTAATCCCAGCAATTTGGGAGTTTTACGTGGGCAGATCACTTGAGGTCAGGAGTTTGAGAACAGCCTGGCTAACATGGTGAAACCTCATCTCTACTAAAAATACAAAAATTAGCCGAGCATGGTGGTGCATGCCTGTAGTCCCAGCTACTCGGGAGGCTGAGACATGAGAATTGCTTGAACCCGGGACAGGGAGACTGCAGTGAGCCGAGATCATGCCACTGCACTGTAGCCTGGGTGACAGAGTGAGATTCTGTCTTAAAAAAAAAAAAAAAAAGAAAGATTAAAAATAGAGATGGGGGGGTCTCACTATGTTGTTCAGGCTGGTCTCAAACTCCTGGGCTCAAGTGATCCTCCCACCTTGGCCTCCCAAAGTAGAAGCTGTATTTTCAAGTTGGTCAAGTGTTCACCTACTCTGCCTCCAACTGTGATTTCAGTATATACAGGCATCCATAAAGTCTAGAAACAAAGAATCTACGTCATTACAAACATCTTCAATTTGTAAAAATTAGAATACATATAATAGGATAGAGTATAATAGAATAAAGTAGGATAAAACAAAACAAAGTAAAATGAAATAAATTAAACAACACTGTGTCTCCAGACTTTATGAAAATCTTTTTCGTGGACTTGAGGATGTACCGAGCCAGTGGAGTGGCTGGATGAAATGGGAACTCCACCGCAGGAAGTGGTGCTTTTCTCATGCTGCTAATTAAGGAATGTGGAACCCTTCTTTCTGAGTCAGCTTGGCGGTATGTAGAATTCTGTCCTGCTCGGTGCTTACGTGATTATTGCATGAAACTTTAGAAATAAACCAGAGTATCTTGCCACTTAACACTTAAGAGGCCAGAGGTGGTGTGTGTGTGTGTGTGTGTGTTTTTAAATGGTTCCTAATCTTTAAAATGGTTAGTTGCAGCTGGCCTTTTATCAGCTGATCATATTTACAGCAGTCTCAGATGGCACGGTGCCGTCCCAAAAGATTTGGACCATTTAGAAGCTCACATTTTAAGGTACACAGGCTTATCATAGCATTCTGAGGATTCACTAGAATTACATGGCAAGAAAAACTTTTCTGTGGAACTGTTTACTATTCTTATTTTAAATTACTTTTTGGTAAAATAAATGTTAATTTATTTCAAAGGTAATATAAGTAGATTATGAAAAATAATTAGAGAAAAATAGAAAGTAGAAAAAGGGTCATACATATGCCATTATTGAAAAACAAACATTAAAAAAATTTTTAAATATAACCCATCATAGGATTAAGGGTAAAAAAAGAAAAAAAGAAACAATTTTAATAAAAATTTTGAAATGTATGCGAAAGTAGAGAGAATAATAAAAATAGTGTAATGAGTAACCCCCATATCTGATGCCCAGTTCTAGTTTCTTTTTCTTTTTCTTTTTTTTTTTTTTGAGATGGAGTCTCGCTCTGTCGCCCAGGCTGGAGTGCAGTGGCACGATCTCAGCTCACTGCAATCTCTGCCTCCCGGGTTCACACCATTCTCCTGCCTCAGCCTCCTAAATAGCTGGGACTACAGGCACCCACCACCACGCCCGGCTAATTTTTTGTATTTTTAGTAGAGACGGGGTTTCACCGTGTTAGCCAGGATGGTCTTGATCTCCTGGCCTCATGATCTACCTGCCTCGGCCTCCCAAAGTGCTGGGATTACAGGCGTGAACCACGGTGCCTGGGCAAGTTCTAGTTTCAAGATGTTAACCACCTTTGGTTCAATTCTCTTGTTTTTTTATTTACTAAAGTATTATAAATTCTCCTATGTCATGTCATTCTTCTATATCCTTCAGTATACATCTTTAAATATATATATAATGCATATTCTGTAATAATCCGTGCCATTATTACAGCTAATGAAATAAAATTTTTTTGTTTTCATATAATATTCAGTCTGTACTAAAATTTTTCTGATAAAATCAATTTAAATATTTTTATGTATATTACATCCTTTTTTCGTTACTAATAGAAAAAATTAGAGTTCATTAAAAATACAACTTTGCATCTCGGTTTTTTCATTTGCTATTATAAATATTTCCCAATGGCCTATTTTTCAAAGCTTTCTAATTCTAAAATGGCTGTATGTAATCGTGTGGGGATACATAACTTGGATGACTAACCACTCCTTTATTTGTGTCCCTCCACACATGCATGGAGAGTGAACGTGTATTGCTCTCCCCCTCGTAGTAAATCTTGTTACCACGAAGATCTTTGTTCCTAACACCTTTTCCTACATTAGGGCTGTTTCCTTAGGATTGATTCCAGGAGTGTTATTGCTGCATCCAAATGTATGAACATTTGTAAGGCCCTTGACTTGTCTCATTGAGTTGTTTACAAAAGGACTGTACCAATTTACACTTCCACTTACAAAGGATGAGAGAGCCTCTATTAAAATGTTTAAAGGCCGGGCTTTTCAGAGCTCTTATAAATCATTGGCTATAAGAGGCTGACTTAGGTTTGTCATATGGTCATAGTCATCTCAAAATAAATAAATACGCATTTTCTATAGCTATAAAAACATGGCATGCGCAGACTGCCAAACAACCACAAAGTAACTTTGATTAAAGGAGGAAACTGGTCTACTTGTTGAAAATGTGGTAATGAGATAGTTTCCACCCAGCCGGGAAGCGTGGCCCGGAGGGGGAGGGGAGCCTGCATTTCTTCATGCCTCTACCCATCCTGAAGAAGGTAGAAAGGAACAGGTCAGCGTTCTCTTCCTTTACTTTGTAATTTTTTTTTAAGCTGAATATTTAATTTGTTTCCATATGCCTGAGTTGATGATGCCAAAATACGGTTGAAAACTAGCAGAAAACTTCTCGTGGCAAGGGTTTCCTGTAAACAAACCCCATAGTACTGGGTAAGAGAGGATTAGGGCAGAGCCATTTTAGCTGCGACTCCCAATTCTATTTTGTTTCCTTGGGGACATGCTGTTTTTATTTGTGGGCTTCAAATAAAACTGCTGCAGAAACTGTTTATTTCTGTTCAGAGCATTCTTATTTTCTTTAAGGAATATATCAGTTACAAATCTTTGTAGAAAGTTCAGCTGTATTGGTTTGGAGAAGTTTATGTGTCAGTTTTTTTTTTGAGTCAAGAAGAAAGGAAAAACTCAACTACTGTTATGTTTATATGAGGACAAAAAAAAAAAAAGGAAGTTGATAAGAAAATACTTAGCATGACAGTC
Source organism: Homo sapiens (assembly GCF_000001405.40). NCBI lineage: Eukaryota > Metazoa > Chordata > Mammalia > Primates > Hominidae > Homo > Homo sapiens. The sequence continues at coordinate 53,609,268 of NC_000020.11, read as the reverse complement.
TTTAAAATCCAGCATCTGAATTTTTAATTCCTCACTCCCCTCCTTTTTTAAGAAACAGTACAGGAAAGATGGTCTTATTATCCTTGTTCGCATTTCACTGTTTTCACCCCACTCAACCAGGACGAAGTCATTCCTCAAAGCAAGTAGGAACAAAACATAATCTCTTAAGATATTTTTAAGAGGACATGCTGACTTGGTCTTTGTAAAAAAAAAAAAGTCAACAAAATGTGCTAACCACATTAAAAAAAAAGTTGTTAAAGGAGCCAAAGGGATTAGCCCTCATTGAAGGGCTGTATGAGAACAGGAAGCCTTCCGGGGCGAATCCTGGCTAACGTCATTTTGGCGGACGTTTATTGCGTATCGCCATGTGCCAGGCACCGTTTTAAGGCTTCATGGTGATGAGGGCATTTAACCCTCGGGACACGCCCATTCTGCAGGTGAGGCTGGGAAGAAGGTGAGGCCAAGGCCCGGCTCTCCCAGCGGCTGAGGGCGGCGGCAGGATTTGAATCCAGGCGGTCTCTGGAGACTGGGTTCTGAGAAAACCCGCTGTGTGAGGGCTGGGGGGACCGCTTTAAGCCCTCCGCTGGAAGCGGTGAAGAAGCTTTGGGCCAACGCAGTTCGGAGCGCCAGTGTAGACGCGTGGCTTCAGTTTGTCCTGTACGCGGGTCAGGGGTGTGGCTCTGACCCTAATCTCATCTCCGGCCTTCCCCAGTCTCCGGGCCCTGTGGGAGGGTGTGGTTGGGGAGGACACACCTACCTGGAGCCCGTCGGTTTCACCTCTTCTGCGGTGGGGTCGTCCGCAGTTGCCCTCTCTTTCCTCCTAGGCCTGGCTCGACCTCCACTTTGGAGAAGATGCTCCAGGAACACTGAAGGGCAGGTCGTCCCCGACCTTCTATGAGGATTGCCCAGCTCAAGGTATACTCTTCAAATAATTCCACTTGCTTTGTCTACACGGGGCGATCTAGCTGATGATTGAGCGACTCAGGTTCTGTAGGAGACGGATCCGGGTTCAGATTTGATCTCTTCCTTTCCTGCTCTGAACACCCTCCGGTATAAGCGCCCCTGGCAGGTCCCTGCGCGGGTGAAGGACGCGTCTGTGGGTGTCCGCCCTGGTGTGCAGAGCGGGCAGGTTCTGCGGCCGCGGGCGGTGGTCGTGATCATAATGGCGTGACTTAACTGAGCGCTGTGTGCCACCCCCCGACTTCCCCCACCCCGCGCCCGTTACCACGAGTGAGGTCTTGCTTATTCCTCCCAAATTCACTTGTCAGCGAGTACTATTTTTTAAATTTTATTTTTATATTTTAATTAATTAATTAATTATTTATTGAGACGGACGGAGTCTTGCTCTGTAGCCCAGGCTGCAGTGCAGTGGCGCCATCTCGGCTCACTGCAGCCTCCACTTCCCGGGTTCAAGCGATTCTCCTACCTCAGCCTCCCGAGTAGCTGGGATTACAGGCACACGCCGCAGCACCTGGGTAATTTTTTGTATTTTTAGTAGAGAGGGGGTTTCTCCTGACCTCAGGTGATCCGCCCCGTCTGCCTCAGCCTCCCAAAGTGCTGGGATTACAGGCGTGAGCCACTGCACCCGGCTATTTTTTAATTTAATTTTATTTTTTGACATGAAGTCTCAAATACAAAAAAATAATTTTTGTATTTTTAGTAGAGACAGGGTTTCACCATGTTGGCCAGGCTGGGCTCGAAATCCTGACCTCATGTGATCCGCCCACGTTGGTCTCCCAAAGTGCTGGGATTACAGGCGTGAGCCACCGTGCCTGGCATATATATATATATATATATATTTTTTTTTTTTTTTTTTTGAGACAGAGTCTCGCTCTGTTGCCCAGGCTGGAGTTCAGTGGCGCGATCTCAGCTCACTGCAACCTCCGCCTCCCGGGTTCAGGCGATTCTCCTGCCTCAGCCTCCTGAGTAGCTGGGACTACAGGTGCGTGCCACCGCACCCGGCTAACTTTTTGTATTTTTAGTACAGGCAGGGTTTCACTGTGTTAGCCAGGATGGTCTCAATCTCCTGACCTCGTGATCCGCCCGCCTCAGACTCCCAAAGTGCTGGGATTACAGGCGTGAGCCACCGTGCCCAGCCTATTAATTTTTATTTTTTATTTATTTATTTTTTTTAAATAAATTGAGATAGGGGTCTCGCTATGTTGCCAGGGCTGGTCTTGAACTCCTGGACTCAAGCAATCCTCCTGCCTCAGGCTCCCAAAGTGCTAGGATTACAGGCTTCAGCCACCATGCCTGGCTCATTTTTGTATTTTTTGTAGAGACAGTGAAGAGGGGTCTCGCTATGCTGCCCAGATTGGCCTTGAACTCCTGAGCTCAAGCGACCTGCCCACCTCGGCCTCCCAAAGTGCTGGGATTACAAACTGGAGCCACTGCGCCCGGCCGTTAGGGAGTTCTATTATCCCCATCTGTAAAATGGGGAAAATGGAGTCAAAGAGAGTTCAAAGGAAGCCCCAAAGCGGCACAGCTGGGGAATCGAGTTTTGGTTTGAACCCAGAGAGCCATTTTCAAGAGCTCAGCCCTGACCTGCTGTGGGGGGGGGTGGTCACTGCTCCTAGGGTGCCACTTTGTACTCTGGGAGACTTGGATTCCAACTCTGCTGGGGGATCTCAAAATGGAGGATGGTGTGCTTGACCCAGAGTCAATGCCCAATCAGTGATCCTTATTATTATTCTGTTTTCCTAAGGCCAAGGTCAACCACTTAGGACAGAAAAGAATGGTATGAGTCAGCATGGCTTTTGGCATTGGATCTGGGCTAGAATCCCACTTTCTTCTAGTTGTAGATCTTCAAGTAAGAGAATTAAGTCAGAAAGTTAACCTCAGGCCCCAGTTTCCTCATCTGCAAATGGATTTAAGCATGAAGGTTATCAGGAGAACTAAGTAACACCATAATATAAATCAGCTTTGGAGCTGAGAGTGGCACGTAGTGGGGGTGCAGTAAATCATTTTGTTTTTCCCCTTTTATTATTATTATTATTTTGAGGCAGAGTCTCTGTTGCCCAGGCTGGAGTGCAGTGGCTCCATCTCTGCTTACTGCAACTTCCGCCTCCGGGGTTCAAGCGATTCTCCTGCCTTAGTCTCCCAAGTAGCTGGGATTACAGACATGTACCACCATGCCCGGCTAATTTTTGTACTTTTAGTAGAGACAGGGTTTCACCATGTTGGCCAGGCTAGTCTGGAATTCCTGACCTCACGTGATCCTCCTGCCTCTGCCTCCCAAAGTGCTGGCTTCCCACCGAGGCCGGCCTGTTTTTCCCCTTCTTATCCCTCCTGTTCTCCTCCCTGTTTTTCTTATTTTATTTATTTATTTTATTTTTTGAGACTGTCGGCCAGGCTGGAGTGCAGCGGCATGAACACTGCTCACTGCAGCCTCGACCTCTTGGGCTCAAATTATCTTCCCGTCTCAGCCTCCTGAGTAGCTGGGATTATAGGCGCGTGCCACCAAGCCCGGCACATTTTTATTTTATTTTATTTAAGACAGTTTCACTCTTTTTGCCCAGGCTGGAGTGCAATGGCATGATCTTGGCTCACTGCAACCTCTGCCTCCTGGGTTCAAGTGATCTCCTGCCTCAGACTCTTGAGTAGCTGGGATTACAGGTGCCTGCCACCACTCCTGGCTAATTTTGTAATAATTTTTGTATTTTGTAGAGACAGGGTTTCGCCATGTTGTCCAGGCTGGTCTCGAACTCCTGGACTCAAGCAATCCGCCGGCCTTGGCCTCCCAAGGTGCTGGGATTACAAGCGTGAGCCAGCCACTGCACTCAGTCCTCTTCTTACTATTATTATTATTACTGTTATGGTTGTAGAAGTAACCTGAAATAGAGATACATTTAAATATCTGAGTGATTTCAGCAAAGGAGAGAGACCCTGTGTTACTATTTTAGGAGCGCTCCTGATGGTGTGAACCCGTTGAATACGCCACTTACTAACCGAGCCCGGCCATTTTGCTCAGATTATTCAGAGCTCTCAGGCCCATTCAGAATGAAATTCAAAATCTTTACCATGGCCAGAAAGATCCGTGCAATCAAGATGCACCATCCCCATCCTAATTTCCGGGCTTGTCGCCACGCCAGCCACAATGCCATGCTGGCCTCCTTGCTGTTCTTTGAAACACTGGGTGCACTTTGCTTCAAGGACTTCGCTTGCCTGTCCCTGAACCTGGAATGCTCTTCCCCTAGAACTCCTTGTGGCTCCCACTGTCACCCCCTTCAGATCTTTATTTAGATGTGTCTATGATGAAGCCTTTCAGGGCCAATCTATTTAACATTTCCCTCACCACCCCTCCACTCTGTAGCCCCTTTGCCCCTTGTATTTCTCTCCATAGTACTTATTTTAATATCTAACACACTATAATATCAAATGTTAACTCCATGAGGATAGGCATTTTGATCTGTTTGGTTCCCTGCGGCATCTCCAGCACCTAGAACAATGCCTGGTACATAGTGGGTGCTTAATATGTACATGTCACGTGAGATAGGAAAAAAACGAGTGTATTAAAGAATCCAGGAGCCGGGCGAGGTGTGTCATGCCTGTAATCCTAGCACTTTGGGAGGCTGAGGCGGGTGCATCGCCTGAGGTTAGGAGTTCGAGCCCAGCCTGGCCAACATAGTGAAACCCCGTCTCTACTAAAAATACAAAAAATCAGCTGGGTGTGGTGGCAGGCGCCTGTAATCCTAGCTACTAGTGAGGCTGAGGCAGGAGAATCGCTTGAACTGGGGAGGCAGACGTCGCAGTGAGCTGAGATTGCGCCATTGCACTCCAGCCTGGGCAACAAGAGGGAAACACCTTCTCAAAAAAAAAAAAAAAAAGAATCCAGGGAGGCCAGGAGCAGTGGCTCACACCTGTAATCAATCTCAGCACTTTGGGAGGCGGGCAGATCACTTGAGGTCAGGAGTTGGAGACCAACATGGTGAAACTGCCTCTCTACTAAAAATTCAAAAATCAGCCAGGTGTGGTGGTGCACGCCTGTAATTCCAGCTACTCAAGAGGCTCAGGCAGGAGAATCGCTTGAACCCCAGAGGTTGCAGTGAGCTGAGATCGCGCCACTGCACTCCAGCCTGGGTGACAGAGTGAGACATTGTCTCAAAAAAAAAAAAAAAAATCCAAGGAGCACAGAACAGCGGAACAGCTAAATATTGGAGCACCTCCTGTGTGTTGACCGTTCCACAACATGGAGGAAACTGGTCTTCCCTTGGAAGAGCCTCCCCCCTATTCAGGTAGTAAGAGAAATAACATACCCAGGGCTAGGCATAACGCAGACAGTGTCATAAAGGAGGCATTGAACAAAGGAGAGAGTAACTGAAGGAGGTGGCATTTCGAGTGACCTTGGGGCTGATTAGGGTGGTTACAGGTTGATGTTTATATATATGGCATATATGTTGGGGGATTGGGTGGCGGAGAGGGGTGCAGGCAGTCAGAATAGAGCAAAGAGAGGAGTAAGTATAGAATGGTGTATCAAATGTTTATCCAAAAGCAGGATATGGAACTAGTAAACATTTTATTCACAGTGTGTATTTTTTCTGAGAGGGAGTCTCGCTCTGTTGCCCAGTGGCATGATCTCGGCTCACTGCAACCTCTGCCTGCTGGGTTCAAGTGATTCTCCTGCCTCAGCCTCCCAAGTAGCTGGGATTACAGGCGCACGCCACTACGCCCGGCTAATTTTTGTATTTTTAGTAGAGATGGGGTTTCGCCATGTTGGCCAGGCTGGTCTCGAACGCCTGACCTGAGGTGATCAGACCACCTCTGCCTCCCAAAGTGCTGGGATTACAGGCATGAGCCACTGCACCCGGCCTGTTGTCTATATTCTATTTTTTTTTTTTCTGAGATGGAGTCTTGCTCTGTCACCCAGGCTAGAGTGCAGTGGCGCGATCTTGGCTCACTGCAACCTCTGCCTCCCGGGTTCAAGCGATTCTTCTGCCTCAGTCTCCTCAGTAGCTGGGATTACAGGCGCCTGCCACTGTGCCCAGCTGATTTTTTTGTATTTTTAGAGGAGACGGGGTTTCACCATGTTGGCCAGGCTGGTCTTGAACTCCTGACCTCGTGATCCGCCCACCTCGGCTTCCCAAAGTGCTGGGATTACAGGTGTGAGCCACCGCGCCCGGCCTGTTGTCTATATTTTAAAATTTGGATAATTTGGATATGGTATAGTTTTTGTGGCCATTTTCTTTTGGTGAACATGTAGGTTGTTTCTAGCTTTTCACTACTGGAAACAGTGCTGCATCCTTGTGTATGCTTTCTGCATGAGTGTATTTCTCTAGGATAGATACTGTAATTATATTCTTGTCTTTTTTTGTTTTAATTTATTCAATGTCTATGTTTCCTGTTAAAATATAAGCTCCATGAGGGGAGGAATCCAATTTGTTTTGTGCCTCACTCTTTAATTACTATCTAGCCAAGTGCTTGGGAGGAAGGAGAGGTCAATAAATATATACTGAGTGAATCAGGCTGAAAGATTGGCTGGGACCATGGTGTGGTTTTGCATCCTAAGAGAGGGAGCTTGACTTATTTTGGAAAAGTAAAATTTTTTTTGGAGAATTTCACACAAAGCAGTAGCAGGATGGTTATTAGCGGAATTTAGGAAAAAGTATTCTGGACTAGAAAGAAGGCAGGTACAGGAGATGCGATTATGAGATTATTACACAGGCTAGAAGGAAACAAAGAAACATGGGTGGTGAGAATAGAAAGGAAAGGGTACATACATTTCAGAGAGATTAGAAGGATAGGATTTGTGAGATTTATTAACTAGCTATAAGGGGTGAAATAAAGAAGGCATAGAAGGAAAGTTGATTTCTAGCGTAGAACATTTTAATTTTACAAACATTCTCTCTCCCAGCTCCATGGAAAAAGTACTCACTAATTGCTGTTGGTATATTAATTTGTATTACATTTTCTTCCCCACTTTCTTTTTATTTTGAGACAGGGTGTGTGGCCCAGGCTGGAGTATGGTGATGCCATCTCGGCTCACTGCAGCCTTGACCTCCCTGGGATCAAGAGATCCTTCCATCTCAGCCTCCTGAGTAGATGGAACCATGGGTGCCAACCACCATGCCCAGCTAATTTTTTTTTTTTTTTTTGAGACAGTCTCGCTCCGTCCCCCAGGCTGGAGTGCAGTGGTGCAATCTCGGCTCACTGCAGCCTCCGCTCCCTGGTTCATGCCATTCTCCTGCCTCAACCTCCTGAGTAGCTGGGACTACAGGTGCCCGCCACCACGCCTGGCTAATTTTTTTTGTATTTTTAGTAGAGACAAGGTTTCACCATGTTAGCCAGGATGGTCTCGAACTCCTGACCTCCTGATCCACCTGCCTCGGCCTCCAAAGTGCTGGGATTACAGGCGTGAGCCACCGTGCCCAGCCCTATGCCCAGCTAATTTTTATATTTTTCATAGAGACAGGGTTTCGCCATATTGCCCAGGCTGGTCTTGAACTCTTGGGTTTAGGTTAGCGCCTTGGCCTCCCAAAGTGCTGGGATTATAGGCATGAGCCACCGTGCCCGGTTTCCCTTTCAAAAGAGATTTCAGCTGGGCGTGGTGGCTCACGCCTATAATCCCAGCATTTTGGGAGGCCAAGGCGGGCGGATCACCTGAGGTTAGGAGTTTGAGACCAGCCCGGCCAACATGGTGAAACCCTGTTTCTACTAAAAATACAAAAAATTAGCAGGGCATGTTGGCGGGCGCCTGTAATCCCAGCTACTCAGGAGGCTGAGGCAGGAGAATTGCTTGAACCCGGGAGGTGGAGGCTGCAGTGAGCCGAGGTTGCATCATTGCACTCCAGCCTGGGCAATAAGAGCGAAACTCCGTCTCAAAAAAAAAAAAAAAAAAAAACAAACAAAAAAGATTTACAGTCTGTTACAGTCTGGTGAAAAAGAGGGTCCTGAATACAGGTATACCAAGAACTCAAGGGAGTGACACAGGTGGGAGGAAACTAGCCCTCAGGCAACCAAGTGAAACACTGTATTGCTGTTCCAGAATGTGGGGAAGGGAGGACAGTGGGTGCGGACGTTTCAACCTTGCCCCAGAGCCACACATGACTGACTGGTAAACATCCTGGAAATAGGGGGTCAAGAAATATGCATCAGTGCCAATTTTTAGAATTGAGGAAATTTAGGTTGGTGATAAAGGGGGAGTCTGACCTTGGGTTCAACTAGTGCATTGGCTTCATTGTAGTCGGGAAAGTAGGGAAACAAATTGTTAGCTGTGTGACCTCAGGCAGGTTACTGAATGATCCTGAGCCTTAGTTTTCTCTTTTCTCTCTCTTTTTTTTTTTTTGAGACAGGGTGTCACTCTGTCACCCAGGCTGGAGTGCAGTGGCGCAATTTCAGCTCACTGCAACCTCTGCCTCCCTTTGTGTTTTTAGTAGAGACAGGGTTTCACCATGTTGGTCAGGCTGGTCTCGAACTGCTGACCTCGTGATCCACCCACCTCGGCCTCCCAAAGTGCTGGGATTACAGGCGTGAGCCACCACACCCAGCAGGACTCCAACTTCTTACAGTTTGTCATATCCTCTTTGTTAAACCAGGATGGGGTCTTTTGGGAGACATTAACATCTCTTGGGAAAGAAACAGTTACTTGACGTTCAATGGTTCTTTTGGTTTTATTTCCATTTCCTTTAGTGGCTTCCCAGTGCTCTTGGAATAAATCCCAGAGTCTTAGCATGGCCCACCAGATCTTGACAGCCATGTTCTCAGGACTTTTGTTTTGTTTTGTTGTTGTTGTTTTTTTTTTGTTTAGTTGTTGTTTTCTGAGACAGGATCTTACTCTGTTGCCCAGGCTGAGTACAGTGGCACAATCTCGGCTTATTGCAGCCTCAACCTCCCTGGCTCAAGTGATCCTCCCACCTCATCCTCCTGAGTAGCTGGGAGTATAGGCACACAACGGCTAATTTTTTATTTTTTTGTAGACATGGGGTCTCGCTATGTTGCCCGGGCTGGTCTCAAACACCTGGACTCAATCAGTCCTCCCAACTCTCACTCTCAAAATGCTGGAATTATGAATTACAGACATGAGCCATCTCACAAGCCATCTCGCCCAGCCGGGAACTTTGTTTTTATTCTAAGATGCATGAGGGCTGTGTTATCGGGAATTTGTTTTTATTCTAAGACGCATGAGGGCCATGACATAACCAGACGACGACTTTTGAAAAGGTCAATTGTGGCCGCTTAGAATGGGACGGTCTACATTTCTGCCCTGTAAACACAGGGACCTCTCATGTAGAGACAAAATCAGCAGTTGGAAATGTGTTTTGGGAGTTGAGGGGAGAGTTCCAGGTGGGAAATATGGACATTTAGGAGCTTTCCAAATATTGATGGCATGCTGAAGCTTCGGACTGGATAAAATCACATGAATAAGAAAGTGTTGCTAGCATTGGGCCCTGGGCATGTCAGCACCTGGAAGTCAAAGAAGAGAGTCTAAAGAAGGAGCCAAGGGGACTGGGAGGGAGCAGCCAGCGAGGACTGACGGAGATCAGGATAGCATGGGGACCCAACTGCAAGGCAGGAAAGAGCTCTATCAAGTGTTGCAGATTTGGCAAATACTAGGGAACAGAGAACTGATCACTGATATCCTGCTGCAACGAGAGTCAAATCCCCGGTCTTCACACGGGCCTGCCTTGATTTCTTGCTCCTCTGTCCCTATCCTGTCTTCATTCCATGGCCCCCAGACACACTGGCTGCCTTCCAATTCTTTCTCCAAGCTTGGCTCTCTTCCTCTTTGGTCCTTCTCACCTTCTGTTCCCTCTGAATGAATGGAACACTCCTCCCCATCCCGGTATGATTTGCCACCTGACTTCCTGGGAGGTCTCTGCTCCTCAGGGAGCCTCAATCTATAACAGCAGGCTTTTCCCCTCTCCTATGACCCAGTCCCAGTAGGTTGTAAATATAACTACCAGTGTGTTGTCTGCTTCCCTCAAGAAGATAAGCCCCAATGGGACAAGGAATTCGTTTGTTTTGCTTAATGTTCTATCTCCCATGCCTAGAACAGTGCCAGGGCCCCCAAAACTCTAGGCTCACAAGCTTTGTAGTGTGTCTCATTTCATTCTCCAGAGTCTTGAAGAAATGTGACTATTACTTATATAAGTAACACAAACAATTATTATAATTGTCGTCTTCATCATCTTCATCATTCCCCTTTTATAGATAAGGAAACTGAAACCTGAGAGAGATTAAATAATATTCTAGGGTTATGCAGCTCTCCAGAGGTAGAATCTGAGTATCTGAGCCCAAGTTATTGGAGAGAAGATGTTCATGACCAGGACACTATGTCAGAGCCTCCCCCCTCCTCCCCCTCCCAGGGAACTAGGGGTTTTAAACCACTCTCAGAACAGAAGCCAAGTTCTTGAAGAGAATGAGAAAGGAGGTGCTAGGCAAGGGGAACCCCAGGGCTGAAGGCTCTAGGTCAGAGAGAAGGCTGGAGTTCAGATGCCTCAGTGAAGGGCTTGCCAGGACTTGAGGCTGGAGTTAGGCAGGGACCAGATCTGCAGAGCTGGTGGGGGAAGCTGTGGAGTTTTTTTTCCCTCAAGGCAATAGGAAGCCATTAAGGGGTGGTGAATTTATCTGATATCCGTGGTAAAAGTCTTTTTGGGTAAAAGTCTTGGATTATAGGTAGAGAAAGCATTAAGGGAAACCTAGAAAGGAAGAAGTTTGGAGAAACCTGCATATACAGTACTGTCTCTGTCTGGAGGAGAACACGTGATGGAGCTGACACCCTTTCTTCCCTTGCATTTGGGTCCCCATGCTCTCCTGCGGTCCCTCAGACCTCACTGCCTGCTCCCTCTCAGTCCCCTTTGCTCTCTTTCTCTTCTCCTTGACTTCCAGGCGCTGAACCACCCAAGGGCCCAATACTAGCACCTCTTTCGTGTGATTTTATCCAGTCTGATGGCTCAACATGCCATCAGTATTTGGAAAGCTCCTAAATACATAATTCTTACCGGGAACTCTCCCTTCCCAACACATTTCCAACAGCAGACTCCGCGTTCACGTGCATGGCACCTGCCAGTGGTACCTGGTGTAGGCTTTTGTTAGAGATAAAGATAAATGGACACAATTGAGACATATGAAGGTTTGCTGATGGATGCAAGGTCTGTGTAGGGTGGAGTAGATGGAGATGAAATATCCTGATTAGATTTTAAGATTCTGGCTTGAGATTATAATGATGATTGAATTTCAATTAATGTTAGTCACCCTCTTCTTCCCCTCCGTCCCTCATTCCAAAACTTCCTGTTTGGAATATCTAATGAAGGCAGAAAACTTTAAAGAGGCGTTCCCAGTGTTGTGTTTTGTGTGCAATTTTTAAGGGAGTTTTTACATTAACATTTTGAGTGAAGGTAATTTCAGAAAACTATCCAGAATATTAGAGGAGTCATGAGTTGTGTTTGCAGTGGGGGAGGGCACTCATCGAATAGGACAAATCCAGTTAAAAAATGCTGTCAACCTTATCAAGATTGACTAATCCAATCAAGTTGGGAGGGTACTGAAACCTTTATTTAAATTAAGTCTTATTCTTGACCCCTCCCTTTTTGCTGTGCTTATAAAAACCCGCAATCACATCTCTTCCAGTATTGTTTGGAGCCAGGTAGAGTGAAGTCCTACAGAGTTATCAGGTTCCAGACCCTGCCTTCTCTTCTGAAAGGTAAGTTCTGCTATATATATATATACATATATATAAATATATTTTTTTAATAGTATATTATTGTGATACTTTACAGAAGAGTGACTTGCATGGGATCAAGAAACTTAATAGAAAAGAGCAATGTGGTGCTCCTTCGAGCTGTTTGTTATTCCTACTTACTTGAGTGCATTTAGTCTTGTTCAAAGGGCTGTCCCTGTTTCCTTCTCAAATGTCCTTTGTAGTTTGCAGATGCTGGCAGGTTTGCCTAACTTTTTCATGTTCTTTTCCTGCTAACTCCTCACTGCAGTTTTTCAGGTTTTCCTGCTCTGAACACTGAATTCTTTTACGTCCCGTATCTATGTTGGCTCTGTTTCAGCTCCAGGGATTTACACACAGTTTCCAAATAGTTTTTCTATAATAGTTCCACAGTAAAATAACGTCTTGTGAAATAAGAAGATCCTACCTCATTCTGTTCTTCTAATTAAGGCTGAGTCTCAAAAGAGGATTCCAGTAAGTGTTAAATACAGCAAATCAGAAGTTTTTTTTTTTTTTTTCTTTTTTTTTTTTTGTTATGTTACTAGATCTGAGCATGCTGTGACTGGCAGGATCTGGATAGAAAATCAGATGTTGGCTAAACGAAGAGGCCTTATATCACTAGGATTAAATTAGAGATAATGGTGTGATTTTATAAGCGCATACTAGGAAATATGTCTTAAGGAGGGCCTGTTTGGATGATTGTGAAAAATGAGGTGTAGCTGATGTTTGCTGCATTGAAAGAAGGTGAAGTGGGGATTTTCTGCCCCTTCTCCAAGTACCATGTGCAGAGCTTCTCTTTTGGTTCCATTCTTTGTTTTTTTGCTGGCATCTAGTAGCACCTGACTCCTTTAGAGATGGCCTACGCAGGGAGTGATGGCGAAGCTGGATTTCTTGTGGGTGGAGCTAAGCATAGGAAGACCAACGTTCGATTTTCAATTTTCACTTTGTGCAGTATGAGTTCCTAGCTTTTATTACAAAACCAAATGCTTCCAGTGTTCTCCTGTTACTTTTGGAGTTTCCATATTTTAATTGTTTGAACTATACATGCTTTCCAAATAAATGGGAAGTATGAGTCTCACATTCTAAGGGAAGAATGTGTCTTAGGGAAAAGCCCTCCCAGGCGAATTCAGATCCCTCTATGTCCTTCTGAAAACACAGTATGTATTTGCAACCCAGCAGTCAGTCACTGGCAGAATTTTGCAACGATTTCCCAGTTTCGTTGGCACGACTCCAGGACAAGGTTCTTTGTAATTCTTTGCTCAAACATAAGGAGGATCACATATAAATAAAACTCTTAGCAGACAGATCAGTGAATTATAATCATCTTTCAGTTTTAAAAGCTACAACATAATAAGGCGCTCTCTTTTTTTTTTTTGAGAGAGGCGGCGAAACAGTAACAAATCATGATGCTATAATGTGAACAAAGTGGTAGCTTTGGAGGGCACAGGGGGAAAACAAGCACAACCGTTTTTGCTCAGAAAATAATTCAGTAGCAACAAGGTCTGAGAGCCAGGAATCTCCTTGTTCTTACTGAAACGATTATTTGTCAAAATATTTGATTGTTTCCCTATTCCCCCTGAAAAGTTTGGACTTTTCTTTTTGCTCGATTTTGACACTAGAATTTTTAACTATCAGTGCTATTGTGTTTACAGCATTCAAGGTCTCGGAGTTCAAAGGTTATCCATTAACATGTAGAATGAGGTTACACTTCAGGCTCAACCTGGTTCCACTTGGTCATAGTTTCTTTGTTGTGTAGCAAGGCTCATAGTCATTTGTTTTCATAAAGTTAAATGAAGTTTCTTGTTTATGAAGTGTTTTTGGACTGTGTTTTAGAATGTGACAATAAGTTTAAAAAATATATTTTAAAGATAGGTATTCATCCTTTGTCAGAAAAGGAATCCTAATACTAAAAGTGATCAATATCAGTGGACTTGAGTGAAAAAAAATTCACCCAATTTAGTTTTTTAGTGCTGGCCTAAGAATCTACTGGCACTGCTAATTAATTGTGAGTAATTGATTCGCTTCCTTTTTAAAAAAGACTAACCAGACCATATGTGGGGTTAGTAGTTATATATAAAATGACAGCAAAACATGACACTTGGCAAATTCTTCCCCTTTGCTGAGCTGTCTTCTCAAATTCCTTTTCCTATTTATTAAGATTGCATTGCTCACCAGCTCCGGATCGTTTCTGTAGTGCGTTCTTTCTTTTGATTTAGGAAATAGATATTTTAAATGCTTTTCTTGATGTGTTTTAAAGTTTTTTCATTTTGGATATGCTGAAGGCCGGTAAAAACACAAATATTTGGCTATTTTGTTAGTAGCGACTTGCATAGATCCATTTCACATTTGCATTAGTTTGCATTTTGGGGTAGAAAAATTGTGGATGTGCTTGTTATGTCTATGGTTCCTCGAAGCTTATTTAAAATGGGGAAATATCACAGGCCTTAGGAATCAGGATCTTTTTTTTGTCCTTTTTTTCAGTAAGGAAAGAAAACATTTGGGAAACGCTTTAAATGAGTTGTGCGTAGGGAGGAGGGGAAAGGGTAGCGGTTTTTTTTTTTTTTTTTTTGTCCCTTTTTTTGTCCCCGGTTTCCTCCAAATGGATTTCTATCAAAACCAAGTAGATTCTTGGAACCTAGGCTAAGTTTAGAAATCTCAAGTTAGAATAGCGCAAGCCCAGCCCTTTCAGAAAAAAAAAAATCACAACAATTAAATAGCTTTCTGAAGATACTCATTTAAAAACTGTTTATCTTCTCGACCTTCCTCAAGCTTGAAGAAAATCTTTGGTGTTTTTCGCGCACAGCTGCCTTCTAACCCGCGAGCAACGGCGTTAAGGTTTTTGTTTGTAATTCGGGGTGACCCAGGGGTTCGGGCCGCGGGCCCCTCCCCTCGCCCGCGCACACCTTGCAGAGGAGGGGGCGGCGGGGACAGGGCCGGATCTGCGCCTGCGCACACCCTCGCGGCCCCCTCCCTCCGGCCTCCCCGGGTACCTGTCACGGCTACCGCCGCGGCGCGCGCCCGCCACGTTAAGCCGGATGGCGGGAGGAGGGGTGCGGGGCGGGGGGCGCGGGGAGGGTGGCACGGCGCGCGCGTGCGCGGGAGTCGCCGAGCGAGAACTGGGAGTGCGCGCGCTCGCCGCTCGCTCCCGTCCCGGAGGCGGAGTCGGCGGCGGGGGGCGGAGCAGGGGCGCGCCTATGCTAGTCACGTGGGCGCTGGGGCGGGGCCGGGGCGGTGTGGGGCGTGGCCGGGCGGCCGGTGAAGGCAGGGGGCGGGGCGGCCGGTGAAGGCAGGGGGCGGGGCGTCTCCGAGCGGCGGGGCCGAGGGAGGGCGCAACAGCTGCTCCCTGAACACTTTCTGACCCAACAGTCCCCCAGCGCCGGACGCGCCGCGCCCCGGCGGCTCTAGGGACCCCCCGCGCCTGCACTGTCCCCGCGCGGACGAGTAGGGGGCGCCCGCGCCTTTGCCCCCGTGCGCACCCCCGCCCCGCTCACCTTAGCCCCGCGCCCGAGGTGAGCCCGGCCCCTATATTCTCCGGGCGGGGGTGGGGGTGGGGGACGCTCCTTTTTTGTTGGGGGGGGGTCTTGGAGGCGCGAAGGCACTAGGCTCCTCGGCGGATGGCTGCACCCCTCGCCCGCGGCTCCCCGTGTCTTTTGGGGGGCCGGGTGCGGGCGCGGAATCCGGGAGGTGTCCGCACAAAAGGCTGAGAGAAACTCCGCGACGCCTCCCTCCCTCCCTCCGCCCTCCCCGCCCCCTCCCCTCCGCGCCCGCTCCTCCTCATTCAAACCCGGCCGGCCCGAGTGGTGTCAGCTCAGTCCCGGCCGCCGCCGCGCGAGGAAATGGCCGAGGAGCCGGAGCCGCAGGTAAAGGGGGCGCGCCCCCCGCCCGCGCCAGCCGGGGCGCCCGCCCGGTCCTGCGGAGGCTCCCGCGCCGCCCCCGAGGCGCCCGGCTCTCGTTGTCTTGTCCCCCCCCAGGATGACCTCAGTTCCCCGTCTCAGCTTTCTATCCGCTCCTCTAGGGCGCCCCCTCCCCAGCCGGCTCCTGCGCTTCCGCCCGCGGGAAGGTGCGGGCGATCCCGGGCTGCATCCGCTCTTGGCCGTCACACTCACGCCGCACGATTCAGAGGGGCTTGGGGTGCGGGGTTCCCTGAATCTCCGCCGGGAGCGGGGGTCTGCGGGGGTGGGCGGTGGGGGGCTGTTCCGAAAAGTTGGGTCGCCCCGCGGGGCGGGTCTCCCAATTTGCCCAGTTGGCCCTTGGGGCGCGGGCGGAGGGGGAACGTCGGCGTAGGGTCCCCCCGCGATGCCCGGGGAAGGGCCGGGGCAAGTTGGAAGCGGCCAAAACAATGCGTCCGGACGGGCATCCCCCCGTAAACAATGGCCGGGACGGTCCACTCGGGCCGGGCGGAGGGCGCCTCTAAGGGACCGCGGGAGGGGCTGGGCCTCGCCGCGGACCCCGACGCGCGCCCCGTGACTCCCTCGGGTGCCCAAAAATCTGTCCCCGGGAGTCTTGGGGCGCCTGCTCATCCCTGAACAGGGATGCACGGGGCTGCGTTTCCTGGATGTGTGCGATAAGGTGGCTTTTTTTTTCCCTCCTCTAATTTTAAAGATTTTTTTAAGTCTTAATGTTCTATAAACACTTAAAGAATATCTTTACAACTCAATTCTAGTGGAACACCCAAAGCCAGCTGGAAGCAGAACTGGGAACTCTAAAGGGCAGGAAGGATTGAAATGCTAGCCCAAAAGTGCTGCTGCTTTTTTTTTTCTTTTCTTTTTTTTTTTTTTTAAGGGAAGTTTCTGCCAGGAGGTGCCGAGTGGTGAAACCGCTCAGTTTCAGGCACAGCCCTCTTGTCTCTCGATTTGGCCCCGACTGCGAGCCGGACGGGATGGTGGAGAGGCGGAGGGCGCTGCTGGGGGCCCGGGAGGCTGGATTTGGGGCTGCCTGGGCGGTCCCGCCCGAGGGGCAAGACCCGGCACGCGGGGCGCGCGCCGGAACCTGGGTCCCGGGAGTTTGAGAAGATGTTCAGGGCCCGGGTTGGAACCCACATTTTGGGATTCTGGGTAGGGCCACCGAAGACGGGAAGGCGCTTTCTTGGGCGGGTGGGGGTGGGGTGAGCAGGCAGGGAGTTTTCCGCCAGGTTTAGTTACAGGAGCTAGAAAAGGCCACTTCTGGGACCCTGGCATCTGGGCCGCCCTGAGAGCCCCAGAAACTTTTTTTTCTTTTTCTTTCCCCCCACCCCCCAGAAAAGGGTAGTCATTTCAGGTTTAAGGCTTTGGTGTATTGTTCTACCTCGAAATTCCTTGAGCCTCAGTTTATCTTCCTGAATCAGTCTATGGGGCTTGGAGCGTTGAACATTCCTAAACACGGAGAAAGTAAATGGCGGTTGCAGTGGTCCACTGGCCAGTTTGGGGGTCCTGTATTATTGGCCACTGTGTGTCCTACAGCGTAGCTAGGTTTTTCAGTTTTCTAGATCGTTTGGAAGCATTAAGCTGTATGTTTTAAGAAGCCTAGGTCTGATTTAGTTCAGGTTGATTCAATTATGTCTTCATTGCTTTTGAGTTGGTTGAATGACTTGACATGAGATTAAGCTCAACAAAAGAAAAGGCGAGGTAGCAACAGCTGCCGTCCAGGCCTGGCCACTAGGTAGGGGTCTTAGGAGGCCTTTTACCTTCTCTTTTGTATATGTCAAGAAGGAGATTTACAATGTTCTTATTTTACTGTACTTCTTTCCCCTGAAGTGGATGTTCTTTCTTGATTGATATCAAACAAGACTTAAAATGCTAAGTTTTATGATACTTAGACAACGAGTAATAGATGTAGTTTCTAAAAGCCTTGATGTGTCTGCAGTGACAAGTGCAGAGGAATAACCTCATTGCTTTTTGTCTGAAAATATAACAGGCAAGCCACTAGTTTGTGCTTACTTAATGTGTGCTAAGAACTTTTAAGGTGTGTCCTTAATGGTAGATAACTTTTTTCCTTCTGGGAAGTCATATTTATTTTAGATATTGTTTTGTTCAGGGTTCTGGAGACTAATAGTGTTTCGTTTTGTTTCTTAACCCTGATGTTGCTGCCATTTTTAATCGGTTATATTTAAATTCAAGAGGCAGTAAGTTATTTAAAATACAGTTGTCAGTAGTTCCAAGGCAGATTCATCATTTATTTTAATTGTTAGAATAGGATTAATAATCTGTTTGTTTGGAATTTTAATGATTTGGCGTGATGAGGAAAGCTAGTCCTTTAGAATTGTCTTTATTTGCCTACAGAAGGAGGAAGTAGAGGACAAGATATGACTTTTATTGGTGAAGGACACACACTTTTTTCTTTAGTGTCCCACTCTTTTAATCCTTTTGTCTTCACAACACTTTTCTAACGCTTTGCAGTTTGACCTTTGCTGTTTTTTAGTAACTTGTGAGATCGAAGTTTAGCAGTTGTGTTGGGTTCCTATTCCCTTTCACTTCTTACTCAAAAAAAGGAACTAATACACCACTTAGAAAAAATTTGTAGAAAACTTTTCTCCCCTTTACCCTGAGGAATCTATTTTGGTTAACAGGTCAAAATTTTTTTCCAGGTAGTAGGGGAGGAAGGAGGAGCAGTGAAGGTTTTGACTTTGACTGCCTTTACTTTTTTAAGGTGGGGGTAGATTTGCATTTTTCTTTGTGAGCCTCCATTTTTGGCAGGAAAACTTCAGGGAGGAGTAGGAGCCCCTAATCCCCTTCCAGTGGACTTGTTTTGGAGGAAATCTGAAAATAAGACTTAATCATCAAGTCACTTATAAACTGATGAAATAATTAAGGAATATAATGGCCTGGCAATGACTAAGTCCTTCTATCTCCTCATTGCAGATACATGCTAATCACTTTTTTCTCTCTTAACAACATTTATTATGAAATGGCATGTTTTTGCCACAGCAGGGTAGCCATTTCCCAACCCTGGAGCACTCTTAATTCTGAGATGCCTGATTAGAGCCTCAGGGGTCCCAAAAGATGTGCTGTTTTCCCACTTTATAAAATTACATTCTTTTCTCACAGTTGTCACAAACATGATATTGGTTGATAAGAACTTTGGAGTAGTTTTAATGACTCTTGACTGCCTGAAAGATGCCACTTTAAAAAAGGAGCTACTTTTAGCTGACTCTATTTGAAAGTAAATGATTGGACCCTTTTTATGTTTTATATGAAGCTTTGTTTCCATTTGCTTAAAAAAAAAATTCAAATTGTCCCATCTCCTGTATGCCCATATGGCCTGTATGTTATAGATTTTGAGGTTGCTGGGTATGATTTGTTTTAAATCGTTCCTTCCTAATTTCCCATTTCAGTTTAATCCCTGAGCGGAATGTTTAATGAATGAATTGGGAAGGTGAAGCTGAAGGACTGAGCAATGGCTGTTTTCAAGCCTTAGAATTAGAAAGTAGGAATGAAAAACATGAGACAGTTGCATAAACTGAGTATTCCACTAATAAAATAAATGTAATAAGATTTTAAATCCAGTTACTACAATTGAAATCTAAAAACAGAATAGTTTTTAGATTACTGGGATGTTAAAAAATAAAAACCTGAAAGGTATTTACAGAACAGCTACCAACATGGAATTAAAGGAATCTCAATCTTGTTAAATATTCTAAAGAGGGAAGGGTTTGGTTACAGCATGTAAATTAAACTTGAGACAATGGCGGGCGGGGGGGTCTTGATCCGCACACCTCTTCTCCAGATTCTGCGGGGGGGAGGGGTGTTAAAATTTAAACGCACATGGAAGAAAAAAAAAATGTATTACACAAAGACGGCAGGAAATTTCTTAAATTCGGGTGAAGGAAGCCTGATTATTGAATATCACTTAATGGCCTCATTTTAGAGGCAGTATAAAAACTTTTCTGAAATGCTCATGTTTTTGGAGTAAGGTGAACTGGGTTATTTTTCCCCAACCAGTAATAACAGACAAATTTGCAGTGGTATCTGGGGCAAAGGTTTTTGAATTTAGACCACGAGGAGAGATAGAAATCTGACTTTAAGGAAGTGGAAGAACAGGGACCATTCTTTCCTAAAATCTGCAGCTCACGATGACATGCTCAATTCTTGTACACATCTATCTTCCAGATAAATAGGGGGGAAGCCCCCGCTAGCCAGCTGCCGCCACATATTACCCTTTTATATTTAACGTTGGAATGCTTTCCATTTGAACATTTGTTGACTGACTGTTCTGAACATCTCCATTACTTCCTGTCCAGGGTATCAGCATAATTGAGTTACTGGAAATTTGGGGACAGTTTGGTAATTTTATGATAAAGTTGAGAAATAAAATTACTAAACCTGAAAAGACAGCTGAAGAAGTTGTATGAGAGAGTTAGTTGGATTCCTTACTTAGCCTTTGTTCTTATTAAGCTTTACAAAACTTGTTTCTGACCTCCACATGACTGTACTTCCTATAGAAAAGCTCCCCCAGACTCAGAAGCTAGGTTTTTAACAGACTCGTGTAGTGTTTCTGTATTGGTGTTCCATTATTTTCTGGTGTGTCTGGAAACCTTTGGAATTTAAAATGTAGTTAAGTGGACTGGAAATGTAGACTCTAGACATTTCTTGAATCAGCGTTAGGAGTAATAGTTACTTTTACTTCTACCTCTATCAAATAAGGATAACAAAGCATCTCAGTTATACTGAAGTGTTTTTGTTTCTTTTGTAATCAATATAGAGTTTTTCTTCAGTTTATAAATCTACTGAACAATGATTGTATTACTAATTGAAAGGAGACTTTTCCCCTTGATTTTGAAAGCAAACAGGTGACTGGAAAGAGCCAGATATACAACTTTAGTATGTAGTCAGCAAAAGATAGGATGGGGAGGGGAATATTTAAATCTTGCAGAAGAACGATCTTATGCCTTAAAAGGCATTGCCTAAGCTTGTATTTAACTAGGTTACTTGAATTGTGTTTAATTGAGAGCGCTCATTGGAAGAAGTGGTATGGTGTAGTGGTCTAGTAGTGGGCATAGTTGTGTGTGTGTGTGTATATATATATATATATATATATATATATATAGATAGATGTGTGTATACACACGTTCAGTGTTTTCATTACAGAGAGTTAGTGCAGGTAAAGATAGAACAGTTTATTAACAGTTAATTAATTTGCTGAAATCTTTTTTTTTTGGTGCAGTTAGGCCTGTCAAATTTTTACAGATATTTAAGGTTGTACTGGTTAAGTAGTAGTAATAGGAGAAACGGATAGCAATGCTTAATCTTGCTTAATTAAAGTTTTTAAAAATTCACTTTCCTTATATTATAACTTTTTTTCAGATCAGGATGTTTTTAAAAACCACTTTGCAGATGACAGTATCTGTTAATATTGAAACTAAAACTAGTATGTTATACTTTAAGTTCTTACTAAGATCCCTTAACTGACCTTAACTGATTTAAGATGAATTCAGGCAGTTTCTAGTTAATGACACTCAAATATGCTATATGATTATATTTTTATAGTACTTTGGTCTCTAATCCTATTTAAAATTGGTAATTTATGAACAATTTCAGCAAAATGAAATTATTTCCTTTACAAGCTTCCCAAGTTGAAGAGTTTAGGTTGTAACCTTAAACTTTGAATATTCCAATCTTTTTCTTTCGCTTAACTTGGAAGCATCTTTCCACAGCTAAATTAGGAAAGTTGGGTTGACCATTTAGCCTCATGGGTGTGACCCCTAGTAATTTCCTTGAAACAGTGTTGAAGAATTTAGAGCATTAAAAATAAAAAATAAAAAAACCTGTAGCTTTTTGATTGTTAGTAGATGGCTATGCAGAGTTTTCTCCACTTGTCAGATTAAGAAAAAATACTGTGCGTAAAAGACAGAGGAAAAACTTTCAGAGAAAATGTAAACTTCTAGCCAGGTCTTGGAGATAATTTTGTAGTTTTCAGGGTACAAATGCATTGGCCAGAGAATAGCAATTTAAGTTGAATTTTTTAATAACTCCTTATTTGGACACCTCAGTAACTTGGGAAAAAGTAGCTTTGTTAGCAGTATGACAAATTGTGTATAAATATAATTTTTCTGTGTTTTTGAGGACTTTGAATACCTTATTCAAAGCTGTATTATGGTAGATGCATATTCCATATCAACAATGTAAGATAACCTGTTAATCAGAAGAAACAGAGGCTGTGCTGTTTCTAAAAGTTAACAGTTTGAGTACATCAGGATGTAAAGAAAAATATTCCCAAGTTACAGTAATTGTCAGCAAAGTGGCTGTTGTACCTAGTTAGTTGTACTTAAGCACAGATTACTGTGCTTTTTATTAAGCAGTGTAGAATGTGTCCTATTTGCTGATTTCAAGATCTACAGGTAGTGGTAGAATTCATGGTAGCTTTAGTCACAAATCAGTGTGTAATTAGTGACCTAAAGAACATCACACTTCTATTCCAGCCTTTTCTAGCAATATGGTTCCTACTGGATTTCAAAGATTACGCTCTGGTAAATTTTAAAAGTATCTACTGAAATAATCCCAATAGAAGTTTCTTTCAAAATATGGCTATACTCAATAGCCCACTTGCCTTAGGTGTTAGGGGGTATATGAGTTAAGTTCTGTCGTTTACCTGAGTAAAGATTTTAAAATGTTTTTAAACATTGGAAAACATTTTTGTGAAGTACTTTTCAGTAAGCTTAGCGTGTTCATAACGCTCACTTTCTTGCAAGCTAGAAGCATTTAGATTATAGTGTTGGATTATAATATCCTGCTTTTCTCCTCCAGTTCTTTGTCAAGAAAGACAATTTACTTTATCAGCAGTGCCATCGGTTTACTGCTGCCTTCTGTGTGCAGGAGTGTGGAGAGCTGGAGGCTTCTGGGAAGGCTTGTGTTTGTGCACACACCCCATTCAATTGGAACGGTGATTTGCTGTTAGTAGATTAGAATTTCTATTTTGCTGTATTCTGTTATTAACGTCTTTATTGTTACAACCACTTTAACGATTACTGATGAGCAAATTGGTTTTAAGGGATGTAAACCTGGTTTAAAGTATTATTCATTGTCTTAGAGTTTAAGGAAGTGTTTTGTCTAGTGTGTTAGCAGTTTCTAAGTCAAGAGCTGAAGGCATTTGCTGTCAGAGATAGCCCTAGGATGCCCAGCATTTTTGTTTTGGAGGGTCATAAGGAGAGTGAGTATAAATCCAAATAGTGCAGTTTTTTTTTTGCTTGTGCTGATCAACTTTATGGTGTGATTAAATACGATTTTTTTTATTACGCTCTTGAAATTGTACTCTTGAAGTTGCAGAATGGCAATTAGATGGCAGTCGCTGATAGCCATGTAGAAGTTTTGATGAACATGCAAGTTAATTTTAATTTCTGATCAGTTACGGTTAGTGACTGTGGCCAAACGTGTGTACTGATTCTACACGTGTGCTAATTCCGTGACATTTATTCACCAGCTATGTGTCGAGTGCCTAATCCTGTGTCAGGCACCTTGTTCCAGGCATTGGGGGCAGCAGTGGACAAGGCAACAGTCTCCATCCTGAGGTGTTACTTTTAGAAAAAGACAGTTACAAGCAAACAAACAGGATGGTTTTAGATCTGGACAGAGGTTTTCAGAGGAAGTCATCCTTGAGCTGTCACAATACTTTGGGGGGGTAGGGTGTGCTGGGTAGTCAGGGATGGCACATTTGGGGTGCCTAAGGATTGCTGTGGCCCTGGGAGCCTAGGACAGTTGGTCACAATTGACTATTAGAGTCAGTCTCAGAAGCTTTCCTGGAGAAAGAATTCTGCTGTTTTGCCAGGAGGGTTTCCTTCCCCATCTGACCACACAAGAAGACCCCTTGGCCTAGAATGCCTGCCCTCATCTCCAGGTCTCCCAGGCTGTTCACCCTCCCAGGCAAAGTGGAAGCTTCCTCTGTCCTAAGATCGTTTCCCACTGAACCTCCTTCATTGTCCTTCACCGCAGTGAAATAATCCTACAAGGTCTTGTGTGGAGAGTGATGGTAACTTCTTTAACCCAGATAATTGAGAATTGGAACCAAAACATCTTTCTATTAATAAATATTTTCAGTAACTAAGTTATGCTGTTTCCCTGAGTGGGAAATAACACTCCATCATATTTCTTATTTTTTTGGGCGGAGAGGGGAGACTTGCTCTGTTGCCCAGGCTGGACCAGTGGTGCGATCTTGGCTCACTGCAACCTCCACCTCCTGGGTTCAAGTGATTCCCAAATAGCTGGGATTACAGGTGTGTATTACCATGCCCAGCTAATTTTTGTATTTTTAGCAGATAAGGGGTTTCACCATGTTGGCCAGGCTGGTCTCCAACTCCTGGCCTCATGTGATCCACCCACTTCGGCTTCCCAAAGCATTGGGAGTATAGGTGTGAGCCACTATACCCGTCCTCACATCATATTTCTAATCCCGAGACTGTAGAGCTGGTGTCTCTTTTTCTAAAGGATGTCAGTAGAGAAGTGGAGTTCCCCAAAATTACAGTTTCACGTATTAGTCAAGTTTCTAAAATACAGTAATAATGTTGAGAGCTGACATAGGGACTAACTTAGTTTTTTTTTTTTTTTTTTTTTTTCAAATTCTCACTGAACTTTGATTTTGCTAAATAAGGACATTAAAAAAAAAACCAAAAAACTCCACTATTGCCTATTGCCACTATTTGATTTTTTAAAAAATAAGCGTATTTTAGCATCTAAAAGTAGGAAGGACCTCAAATAAATGAGTCTTTGTTCTTGGCCAGGGAAAACAGCGTTGTCAGAATTTGATAACTGTTTTTCTAGGGTATGTGCTGTTATTCAGTTAAAACCTTGCCTGGGACGCTAGCATTCAGTAAATACTTGTTGAATAAGCAAATGAAACTTAAGCTTCTATGTATAGAAACCTAAGTCACTTCACATTCTGATTAGCAGAGTAATTGAATATTCTTTTCAATGTGTAGCTCTATCCCCAGAACCACAGAATATTGGAACTGTAAAGGCCATCCTATAGTTTAACCAACTGCGTTAAATAGATAATAGAAAGATGTGGTATGTGGCAGTGACAACTTGAAGGTTGTGACTAGAACTCGGGTCTCTGGAGTGTTCTATTATATCACACCAAGCTGGTCACCAGCCCATGTGTTGATCCTCCATTGTGATAGCAACAAAGAAAAGACTTCAGGACATTCTTTCCTTTACCCTAATCCTTGATCTGCAGTCTTATTTAGAAAAGCTTAATGTTAAAGATCTAGTTTATTCAAAACTAAAGATAACAAGGAGTATGAGAATTTCTATTTCGGAGTGTAAAGGAGGAGATGTTTCCTTGGCTTCTCTGAGCCTGCAGGCCTTCCTTGCTCTTTAAGGAAGTAGAGAGAGGGAGGAAAGTAAAGTATGCTTTTGTTTTTTAAGGTTACTTTGCTGGGAGTAGTTTGCATGCCTTTTGGTTTTCTTGGGTGGAATTAACTGACTTAAGTTTTAAGTAGTTGGGACTATTTAAAAACAATGCCTATCCAATGTTTGCCATAAAGGCAGAGGGTATTGGCTTTAGAAGTTAATTCTTCTCCAGGAGTGAAAATTAGCTTCTAAACCAGAAGCAGCAGAGCTAAATAAAGTAATTTTCCACCTGGCCAGTGCATGATGTGAAAGGTAGATTAAAAAAATGAGAGGGCCCATTTTCTGATGAAAGACTAAGCCATGTTGAAACAGCCCTGTTGAGGATTTTATTTTAAATCTATACATTCACAAAGGAGCTTTGTGTATGTCTTTCCCTATTTGTTGTTTGGACTAGGAAGCCCCACCCAGTGCTTGTTGAAGGCAGAAAGTCGTTGAAAGCAAGCTGGGATTTGAACAGTGGATTGAGGTTTCGAATATCCAGTGAACCAAAATATATCAGGGTTCCCCTGGCCAAGATGAGTGACCATTCTGAGGTGTTAAGTATTTCTTGAATGGGGATTTTAGGAAAAGTTTCTGTATTTCTGTGCTCATTTTGTTGACCTCTGTATGTGCAAAATCTCTAAGGGGGTGTTTGGGCACTTAGATTTCTTGGATGCAGATTTGTTTGTATATGAAACAAATTTTAAATTGTTTTGTATACACTGGATTTAAAATAGTTTACTAAAGTGTTTTAATTTTTTCATCTTAATTTTCACAGTTCTTATAGTCTTTAGATTTAGGGAGGCTGTTGATGGCATCCACATGTGCATTTTAGTGGCATTTAAAATGTATTCAGCTGAATTTAACAATTTCTGACCTAAAACTTGACATTTTAGATTTAAGTCGGTAAAGCACTGATTTAAACTGGATTTTAACTGGATGAAATTCTGATTTAATAAGTGTACTGACTGGATAAAATGCCAATGATTTAATTAACAAGCACGTTTAACAGGATGCCCTATATATTAGTTAAAAGTGAAGCAATTGAATTAGGTACCTTCTCTGCTGCGTGGAAAAGACCGTATGACTCACCCACACCAGCCTTCTCTTCGCTCTGAGTGTAGCTAACCGTTTCTGTTTTTTTTCCTCTAGGGTTTGGAAATCCCTTGTCTCCAGGTTGCTGGGATTGACTTCTTGCTCAATTGAAACACTCATTCAATGGAGACAAAGAGAACTAATGCTTTGTGCTGATTCATATTTGAATCGAGGCATTGGGAACCCTGTATGCCTTGTTTGTGGAAAGAACCAGTGACACCATCACTGAGCTTCCTAAAAGTTCGAAGAAGTTAGAGGACTATACACTTTCTTTTGAACTTTTATAATAAATATTTGCTCTGGTTTTTGGAACCCAGGGCTGTTAGAGGGGTGAGTGACAAGTCTTACAAGTGGCCTTATTCCAACTCCAGAAATTGCCCAACGGAACTTTGAGATTATATGCAATCGAAAGTGACAGGAAACATGCCAACTCAATCCCTCTTAATGTACATGGATGGGCCAGAAGTGATTGGCAGCTCTCTTGGCAGTCCGATGGAGATGGAGGATGCCTTGTCAATGAAAGGGACCGCTGTTGTTCCATTCCGAGCTACACAAGAAAAAAATGTCATCCAAATCGAGGGGTATATGCCCTTGGATTGCATGTTCTGCAGCCAGACCTTCACACATTCAGAAGACCTTAATAAACATGTCTTAATGCAACACCGGCCTACCCTCTGTGAACCAGCAGTTCTTCGGGTTGAAGCAGAGTATCTCAGTCCGCTTGATAAAAGTCAAGTGCGAACAGAACCTCCCAAGGAAAAGAATTGCAAGGAAAATGAATTTAGCTGTGAGGTATGTGGGCAGACATTTAGAGTCGCTTTTGATGTTGAGATCCACATGAGAACACACAAAGATTCTTTCACTTACGGGTGTAACATGTGCGGAAGAAGATTCAAGGAGCCTTGGTTTCTTAAAAATCACATGCGGACACATAATGGCAAATCGGGGGCCAGAAGCAAACTGCAGCAAGGCTTGGAGAGTAGTCCAGCAACGATCAACGAGGTCGTCCAGGTGCACGCGGCCGAGAGCATCTCCTCTCCTTACAAAATCTGCATGGTTTGTGGCTTCCTATTTCCAAATAAAGAAAGTCTAATTGAGCACCGCAAGGTGCACACCAAAAAAACTGCTTTCGGTACCAGCAGCGCGCAGACAGACTCTCCACAAGGAGGAATGCCGTCCTCGAGGGAGGACTTCCTGCAGTTGTTCAACTTGAGACCAAAATCTCACCCTGAAACGGGGAAGAAGCCTGTCAGATGCATCCCTCAGCTCGATCCGTTCACCACCTTCCAGGCTTGGCAGCTGGCTACCAAAGGAAAAGTTGCCATTTGCCAAGAAGTGAAGGAATCGGGGCAAGAAGGGAGCACCGACAACGACGATTCGAGTTCCGAGAAGGAGCTTGGAGAAACAAATAAGGGCAGTTGTGCAGGCCTCTCGCAAGAGAAAGAGAAGTGCAAACACTCCCACGGCGAAGCGCCCTCCGTGGACGCGGATCCCAAGTTACCCAGTAGCAAGGAGAAGCCCACTCACTGCTCCGAGTGCGGCAAAGCTTTCAGAACCTACCACCAGCTGGTCTTGCACTCCAGGGTCCACAAGAAGGACCGGAGGGCCGGCGCGGAGTCGCCCACCATGTCTGTGGACGGGAGGCAGCCGGGGACGTGTTCTCCTGACCTCGCCGCCCCTCTGGATGAAAATGGAGCCGTGGATCGAGGGGAAGGTGGTTCTGAAGACGGATCTGAGGATGGGCTTCCCGAAGGAATCCATCTGGGTAAGCTGCCCTGTCTCCGTCCCGTGCTGTTCCGCCTGTGTCTGTCTGTCTCCCCGTCTCCCCCTCTCTATTCCCATCTCCAGACAACGCTGGCCAGGAATGGGGTTTGGAGAGCCAGAGTCAAGTCCAGGCTCTTTTTGGTATCACTCTGTGTAAGTCATTTAACCTCTCAGGGCCTTAATTTTCTCATTTCTGTAATAACAGGGTTGAGTTAAGAGGTCTCCTTGTTCTGAAAATATATATATATTTTTTAAACGTGTATCGTTTTGCTCACAAAACACACTTTAAAAAAAAAATAACTTGTGCATCCAGCCCAAATGCACTGCTTCTTAACTGGGGCGATTTTGTTCCCAATCAGTATCTGGCAATGTCTGGAGGCATTTTGGTTGTCATACTGTGTGTGTGGGTGTGCCTGCTGGCATCCAGTGGGCAGAGGCCAGGGACACTGCTCAGCATGGTACAGTGCACAGGACAGCCCCATCATCAAAGAATTATCTGGTCCCAAATGTCAATAGTTTGAGCATTGAGAGACCCTAGCCTTCACTTAAGTTTTTCTGGCGTTCCTGATCTTTTTCTGTAGTGAATTTCTAGTGGCCATAAAAGGTACTGGGAGTGATGATCAACTAGAGCCAGGAATATTATTTGGGCAGCCGTTTGGTGCTGTCCAAAACCTTGTCCTTTCTGTCTGGCAAGCTAGTATCCATTTATAGGTACCTCAGGAACCCAAATGATTTGTCATAAAATACAAGGAATGTGAGCACACTGAAGACATTTTTAAGAAGGCTCATTTGCTCAGCAGAATTTTCAGTGTACTAGTGGCATTTATAGAAAGAGAAGGTGATCACTGAAGGCATGCTCACATAATATTCCTGAGCCCTGGTGGGCGTTATCTAGGGCAAAGGATTCCACCTGTGTTTGGAGTTGCGCCCATCCTCACTGTAGCCAGAGCTTCTCCTATCAGAGTTTAGTATTTTGTTTGAATAGAGGATCTTGCTGCTTAAAACAGTTGAAAAGACCCTGATGGGCAGGCCGTAATTGACAAGCGAATGATGGGAACATGAATCGGTCTTAGGGAAGCATCTGTCAAAGTGGTCCTCGGTTAAAACAAGTGCCTCCTCCTCTCAGTGTCACTTGATTGTGTGCTTGAATTCTTCGGAAAACTGGGTGTATGAGACCCACGATGAATTTGCCCACACGATTGATTGGACTCTTCCTTCACCTGCTCTTCAGCCAGTGCCAGTTCCTTTTCTGATCATGTGATTGACGTGAGAACTGTAGTCTGTATATCAAATCTTTAGAATGTTTTTGAGTTTCCTGGGACACAGGAAACCCAGCACTTAGCATACTACAAATCTAATGTCTTAATGGCATCATAAAAAGAGGCTTTAAACACAGACTCCAGTTAGCTAAGTGGTTTCTGCTAGTGCCGGTACTGTTGCAGGGGCCCTGTGAGATGCCCCAGTTCCCTGAAAGAAATGAAAAGGCCAGTTACCGGTAGGTGGTGTGGAAAACATGGGCTAGATCATCAGGCAGGACAGAATGCCTGGCTGTGGGTGGGAGCACCCCAGCTTGGCGTTGAGTTCTGGTTCTACCACTGCGTTGTTTTGTGACCAATTATGAGTTGCTTAACCTTTCTTTGCTACTATTTCCCTGTTTGCAAAATGGTTCATTGACCCCTGTCTTCCACCTCCCAAGGACAATTTCAACAGCCTATTTGTAAAAAGATCACAGTCCTTTAAAAAATATAACTGTAAAGTCAGAGGTGATGCTTGAAAGAGCAGGAACCAGGTAGATGTGGAAATGTCATGTCCTTTGTTCTAAAGAAAAGGCATTTCATAGCTTTTTGGATATGACGCAACATACCATAAATCCTGACACATAGTTGGGAGTCGGAAATTGCAACAACGCCCAGTTATAAACCCAGCTAGTTTGGGTATGATTGTAAGAAAAAAAAGCTGGCCATTCTGTATTTGGGGAATTGATTTTCCTAAACTTATATTATCTTAGTAGTCTAGATTTATCATATTGTACTATCATCCTGGCTTTTTTAAGACTTAAGAAGATCAAGTAAATTTTTTTTTCTTTCTTTAGACACTATATAGATCATCAAGGGTGTCTGTCTTACAGGTGGATAGTGATATGATCTACAGTGAGGGGACATTTATTTAAAACTTAAACATTCATGTGTTTTGGGGGTGGTATTTTAACGGCAGCACCTCTGATTGTCTTTTGGAGGGCTGGTGTGTGTTTGAAGTTCTGTCCTCCTTCCAGTGGACTCTAACTTCTCCTGATGCACGTGAGACACATTGTCCTATTGTCCTGCAGAAACTAAAGCCAAACACTGTCATTTGGGGACAGGTTTTCATTTGTCAGATCTCTTTCGCCCACATGAGTGTTTGTGGACAATACAGCCTGCTTTCCAAAACTTTGCTAAATTTTGACAGACTTTCCTAGGTGCTTGCCCAATGCCAGACTTTCTTTTCTGTTGAAGATTAAGTTGTGCTTGCTGCCCTCTAGTGGTCAGTTGTTTAATCCTAACCTTAAACGGCTTATTTTTCCCCTGGTGGTTGGGAAGTTGACGGTTTGTAATTGGCTCATTTTTCTAAATTATTCTGAAGAAGATAATTTTTCCCGCCAGTATGTATGTCCACCTTCAGTTTGCCAGATCCTGCCTGCTCAGAGACACTGAGAACCGGAAGCTGCCCGGGCAATTCAGTCTATGAAATGATCTTTCTTGTGATTAAGGCAAACGAAGAACTGAATGTTTAATAGTGTACTCTGCTGTACCCAGAAAAAAACAAAACAAAATCATGTTATAACACTCTAAAACTTCAAACAACCTCCAACAGCATTTGGTGTGTGTCTAGCCGTTTTGTTCTAACCCGATGTTATATAAAAGAATTTTTTCATGCTTTCCAAAAATGTTTATGTCAAGAATATTTAAGTCAGCATGCCTTATTCAGGTACTTCAGCTACCTTCTTATATAAATATTTTTGTTTTTCCTTTAAGATAAAAATGATGATGGAGGAAAAATAAAACATCTTACATCTTCAAGAGAGTGTAGTTATTGTGGAAAGTTTTTCCGTTCAAATTATTACCTCAATATTCATCTCAGAACGCATACAGGTAAAGAACTTTTATTTTTTTAACCATGCATTAGTTAAATTATGTAGTTATCTAATTTTTTTGTTGTTGTTGTTCAGATACTCTGCCAGATCCTTGGACTAGCTTAAGGATAAATATGTAGCATGTTGATTGCAGTGGTTATTTTTATTCTTTTAGTGCCATTGTAACTTGAGCCATTGTTCTTATTTGCAGTTCATTTCTTTTCTTTCTTTTTTGTTTTTTGAGACGGAGTCTTGCTCTGTCACCTCGGCTGGAGTGCAGTGGTGCAATTTCGGCTCACTGCAGCCTCCACCTCCCTGGTTCAAGCAATACTCCTGCCTCAGCCTCCCCAGTAGTTGGGATTACAGGTACCTGCCACCACACCCGGCTAATTTCTGTATTTTTAGTAGAGATGGGGTTTCACCATGCTGGCCAGGCTGGTTTCGAACTCCTGACCTCAAGTGATCCGCTCACCTTGGCCTCCCATAGTGTTGGCCTCCCATAGTGCTGGGATTACAGGCGTGAGCCACCGCGCCCGGACAAAGTTCATTTGTTTAGTTTATGACTGCTATGTCCTGACTCTTATCTTATTAAAAGCTACAGTATTTTAAAATGCTGCATCTTATGTCTTTATGATTGAGAATGAAATGAGAATCTATTTAGTAGTCTTGAGATTGTGAAAGGAGCTATGACATCATGATGTAGGAGGCTGCGTAGATTTGAAATTTCATCTCTTCCACTTACTATCTGTGCACCCTTGGGCAAGTTATTTAACCTTTTTGTGCTTTTAGTTTTCTTTGCTGTAAAAGTAGAATAATACATATTTCCCTAGGGCTGTTAGGAAGATTAAATAAGTTAGAAGTGTTGCTGTTAATTTTTCTATTGAAGATAGGCATTCATAATTTCAAATATTCATTACAGTAAGGATGATAAAGAACTGATGAGAAATCCTATGTGATAGTAGATCGAGAAAGCAAAAGGAGGAAAGAAGCCTGTTTTCTTAATAAATAGATATTTGATCTATTTCAGTGCTTTTCATACACTTCTATAATAAAGTGCCATTTCTTGCCTTAGGTGAAAAACCATACAAATGTGAATTTTGTGAATATGCTGCAGCCCAGAAGACATCTCTGAGGTATCACTTGGAGAGACATCACAAGGAAAAACAAACCGATGTTGCTGCTGAAGTCAAGAACGATGGTAAAAATCAGGACACTGAAGATGCACTATTAACCGCTGACAGTGCGCAAACCAAAAATTTGAAAAGATTTTTTGATGGTGCCAAAGATGTTACAGGCAGTCCACCTGCAAAGCAGCTTAAGGAGATGCCTTCTGTTTTTCAGAATGTTCTGGGCAGCGCTGTCCTCTCACCAGCACACAAAGATACTCAGGATTTCCATAAAAATGCAGCTGATGACAGTGCTGATAAAGTGAATAAAAACCCTACCCCTGCTTACCTGGACCTGTTAAAAAAGAGATCAGCAGTTGAAACTCAGGCAAATAACCTCATCTGTAGAACCAAGGCGGATGTTACTCCTCCTCCGGATGGCAGTACCACCCATAACCTTGAAGTTAGCCCCAAAGAGAAGCAAACGGAGACCGCAGCTGACTGCAGATACAGGCCAAGTGTGGATTGTCACGAAAAACCTTTAAATTTATCCGTGGGGGCTCTTCACAATTGCCCGGCAATTTCTTTGAGTAAAAGTTTGATTCCAAGTATCACCTGTCCATTTTGTACCTTCAAGACATTTTATCCAGAAGTTTTAATGATGCACCAGAGACTGGAGCATAAATACAATCCTGACGTTCATAAAAACTGTCGAAACAAGTCCTTGCTTAGAAGTCGACGTACCGGATGCCCGCCAGCGTTGCTGGGAAAAGATGTGCCTCCCCTCTCTAGTTTCTGTAAACCCAAGCCCAAGTCTGCTTTCCCGGCGCAGTCCAAATCCCTGCCATCTGCGAAGGGGAAGCAGAGCCCTCCTGGGCCAGGCAAGGCCCCTCTGACTTCAGGGATAGACTCTAGCACTTTAGCCCCAAGTAACCTGAAGTCCCACAGACCACAGCAGAATGTGGGGGTCCAAGGGGCCGCCACCAGGCAACAGCAATCTGAGATGTTTCCTAAAACCAGTGTTTCCCCTGCACCGGATAAGACAAAAAGACCCGAGACAAAATTGAAACCTCTTCCAGTAGCTCCTTCTCAGCCCACCCTCGGCAGCAGTAACATCAATGGTTCCATCGACTACCCCGCCAAGAACGACAGCCCGTGGGCACCTCCGGGAAGAGACTATTTCTGTAATCGGAGTGCCAGCAATACTGCAGCAGAATTTGGTGAGCCCCTTCCAAAAAGACTGAAGTCCAGCGTGGTTGCCCTTGACGTTGACCAGCCCGGGGCCAATTACAGAAGAGGCTATGACCTTCCCAAGTACCATATGGTCAGAGGCATCACATCACTGTTACCGCAGGACTGTGTGTATCCGTCGCAGGCGCTGCCTCCCAAACCAAGGTTCCTGAGCTCCAGCGAGGTCGATTCTCCAAATGTGCTGACTGTTCAGAAGCCCTATGGTGGCTCCGGGCCACTTTACACTTGTGTGCCTGCTGGTAGTCCAGCATCCAGCTCGACGTTAGAAGGTATTGCATGAGGGGCGTCGTGTTTAAATGGCTGCCTACAGTGATTAATAGCTAATCCAGGCATTCTCAGTGGAGATGGTACCACTCCCAAGGGTGGGGGGTAGGCAGCCAGAAGTTCTTGGGGGTCACAGAGAGAAGCATTCTTAGATACGGCAGTGGTTTGTGGTCCTCCAAGGCTTACTTAACTCTGTGGGTTTAACTCTTAACCCTGTGTATTTTATTCTTTTGATTTGTTTAGTCTTACTTTATTTTTAGAGAAAGGGTCTTGCTCCGTCATCTAGATTGGAGTGCAGCGGTGTAATCATAGCTTACTGTAGTCTTGAATTCCTGAGTTCAAGAGATCCTTCTGCCTCAGCTTCCCAGGTAGCTGAGACTATATGTGCTGCTACCATGCACAGCTGATTTTTAAATTTTTTTTGTAGAGATGGAGTTGCCCAGGCTGGTCTTGAACTCCTGGCCTGAGGTGATCCTCCTGCGTTGACCTCCCAAGTATCTTAGACTACAGATGCACTCCACCACGCTTGGCTAACTTAAATTTATTTTTTTGTAGAGACAGGGATTTGCTTTGTTGCCCGGGCTGGTCTGAAACCCCTGGCCTCAAGTGATCCTCCTGCCTCGGCCTCCCAGAATGCCAGCATTACAGGCGCGAGCCACCATACCCAGCCTTATTCTTGAGTAATTTTTCTTGTCAATTTTATTTTTCTGTTGTGAGAGTGATCATGGAAACAGTGGGTGAGAACACTGGTCTGTCTAGTCCATTCTTGTCTTGCTGTTGAAATTCCAGATGCAGCCAGTTGAGGCCCCAGCTTGCCTCACTTCATCACAGCCCTTTTTCTTCCTTTGCACATGTATGGTGTGCTCAGTAGTCAGTGCCAATCCACCTGGAGTTGCGGGGGTTTTTTTTTTCTTTCTTTCTTTTTTTTTTTTTTTTTGAGACGGAGTTTTGCTCTTGTTGCCCAGCCTGAGTGCAGTGGCACGATCTCGGCTCACTGAAACCTCCTTCTCCTGGGTTCAAGCAATTCTCCAGCCTCAGCCTCCTGAGTAGCTGGGGTAATAGGCACGTGCCACCACGCCCGGCTAATTCTTGTATTTTTAGTAGAGACAGGGTTTCAGCATGTTGGCCAGGCTGGTCTTGAACTCCTGACCTCAGGTGATGCACTGGCCTCGGCCTCCCAAAGTACTGGGATTACAGGTGTGAGCCACCGCGCCCAGCCTAGGGGTTCTTCCTCACGCATTTTACCATTCCCTGCTGGCCTGTAAACTTCTTAAGAGCAGAAACCATGTTTTACATGTACAGCATCAAGTCACATGCTTCCCACACGGGGCAGAATAGGGGGCGCCCAGTAAGGACCACACGTGGACCCTTGACCTGGCAAGAGCAGAAAGCAAAAGAACTTCCGATTAAAGAGTCTTGTGAACCGTTTTGCTGTTAAATGTTGTCAGCCCTCCATATCCTTGGGTTCTGCCTCAGTGGATTCAACCAACTGCGGGACTAAAATATTTGGGGGAAAAATGGATGGTCGCATCTGTACTGAACATCTGCAGTTTTCTTTTCCTTGTCGTAATTCCCTAGATAATACAGTATAACAACTATTTACATAGCATTTACTTCATATTAGGTATTATAAATAACGAAGAGATGATTTTTTTTTTTTTTGAGATGGAGTCTTGCTCTGTTGCCCAGGCTGGAGTGCAATGGTGTGATCTCAGCTCACTGCAATCTCTGCCTCCCAGGTCCAAGCAGTTCTCCTACCTCAGCCTCCCGAGTAGTTTGGATGC
Source organism: Homo sapiens (assembly GCF_000001405.40). Lineage (NCBI taxonomy): Eukaryota > Metazoa > Chordata > Mammalia > Primates > Hominidae > Homo > Homo sapiens. The sequence continues at coordinate 53,573,947 of NC_000020.11, read as the reverse complement.
AGGCACCCACCGCCACGCCAGCCTAATTTTTGTATTTTTAGTAGAGACGGCATTTCGCCATGTTGGTCAGGCTGGTCTCGAACTCCTGACCTTAGGTGATCCTCCTGTCTTGGCCTCACAAAGCGCTGGGATTACAAGCATGAGCCACCATGCCCAGCAGTGTAGAGATGATTTAAAGTATATGGGAGGTGCTGGATGTGGTGGCTCACATCTGTAATCCCAGTACTTTGGGAGGCTGAAGCGGGCAGCTCGATTGAGGCCAGGAGTTGGAGACCAGACTGGTCAACATGGTGAAACCCCGTCTCTACTAAAAATACAAAAATTGGCTGGGTGTGTTGGTTTGCACCTGTAATCCGAACTGTTTGGGAGGCTTAGGCATGAGAATCGCTTGAACCGGGGATGCGCAGATTGCAGTGAGTAAGTCTAGATTGCACTGTTGCACTCCAGCCTGGGCTAAAGAGTGAGACTCTGTCTCAAATAAATAAATAAATAATAAGTAAGTAAAGTATATGGGAGGATGTGAATAGGTTACGCTACAATACTGCAAATTAATAGTACTACAAGGCCAGTTGCGGTGGCTCACGCCTGTAATCCCAGGACTTTGGGAAACAGCCTGACCAACAATGGAGAAACCTCGTCTCTGCTAAAAATACAAAATTAGCTGGGTGTGGTAGCGCATGCCTGTAATCCCAGCTACTCCAGAGGCTGAGGCAAGAGAATCACTTGAACCTTGGGAGGTGGAGGTTGCGGTGAGCTGAGATTGTGCCATTGCACTCCAGCCTGGGCGACAGAGCGAGACTCCATCTCAAAAAAAAAAAAAAATAGTACTACAGATACTATGAATACTGCAGATACGACACTGTTTTATATTAGGGACCTGAGCATCCATGGATTTTGGTATCTGTTGGCTGGGGTGGTGGGGGCGGGTGGTCCTGGAGCCAGTGCCCTCTGGATACTGAGGGACAACTGTATTAATTTAAAACCAACCTTATTTCCCCCATAGGTAGATTGTTAACCTCATAGATGACTGGGGTTTTCCCCATAGAAATGTGTCCTGGTGGTGTCACTTCGTACAGGTGTCTGGCACATACCTGTATGTGTAAAAAAGTAGCTCAGTGTCCCAGGGACATCTTCTCCTTGGCAAACTCGGTCAAACTGCAGCATCTTCCTTTATCACATAGAAGCTCTACTGGTTTGTGCTCCCCAAAGAAACAGATTCAGTTTTGCACATTTCAGTTTGTGTTAGTTTCAAACTGAGGATTCTGTGTGGTGACAACACTCTGTCAAGAATTGCTTGATGCTGATTGGTTCAGTAGAGATAGCAAATTAAAAAACAATTGCTTTCAGACACTCCAGTAGATTTTATAAAAATTGTGATGAAATAGTAATTTTTACTGCCTTTTGGTTAAAAATCTTCATTTCCCCCCCCATGGTGCTTAAAATGGACATGAATCAAAACTTTGTCTTTACTTAAAGGGGGAAAAGGCTCTGTGTGTTGCAAGTCAGATCCTCTTTTTTTTTTCCCCTCCTCTGTGAGACAGGGTCACACTCTGTTGCCCAGGCTGGAGTGCAGTGGGGGCAATCACGGCTCACTGCAGCCTCGACCTCCGGGACTCAAGCAATCCTTCCATCCTTCCGTCTCAGCCTCCCGAGTAGCTGGGACTAAAGGTGCATGTCACCATACCCAGCTAATTTTTTATTTTTAGTAGAGAAGAGGTCTCACCATGTTGCCTATGCTGGCAAATCCCCTTTTAAATGATTTTAAAAAAAGCAAAAAACAACACTTTTACATAGTTTGGTTCATGATGCATATACGTTTCAAGTATTTTGTGATGTCATTTTTTTCCGGCTTTTTAATTCTTTCTAGTGACAGCCCAGACAATTTTAATGTTAGTGACATCAACCAAATTCTGTGCTAACAAGTGTCATAAAAACAATTCAGCTGTAACTGAAAACACTTGCATGCGACTGTGTGACTTAGGCGTTGATTACATTATCAGTGTCAGAAATTTTGAAAATTGACTTCTAAAAACCTATACACATCTTACCTAATTGTTTGACCTTAACTCTAAATATGTTTTTTTTTTCAATCAGGAAAAAGGCCTGTGTCATATCAACACTTATCTAACAGCATGGCACAAAAGAGAAACTATGAGAATTTTATTGGGAATGCACATTATCGACCAAATGACAAAAAAACTTGATTCACTAATTAGGGGGAAAAAAGGTGAGCATATGTTTCAATTAAAAACACTGGATTGGCTGAGTGCGGTGGCCATTTGGGAGGTCAGGGCGGGCGGATCACCTGAGATCGAGCATTTGAGACCAGCTTGGCCAACATGGTGAAACCCCTGTCTGTACTAAAAATACACAAATTTAGCTGGGCGTGGTGGCGGGTGCCTGTAGTCCCAGCTACTTAGGAGGCTGAAGCAGGAAAATCACTTGAACAACCCAGGAGGCGGAGGTTGCAGTGAGCAGATTGTGCCACTGCAGGTCTAGCCTGGGTGACAGAGCGAGACTCAGTCTAAAAAAAAGGGGGGGCGGGGGCGGGGATTGATTTTACTTGATCGGAAATAAACCATTAAGTTGTCTAATATAATGTAACAAAATTGCTTTTAAGTTGGATTTTGATTTTTTAGGTGTTTTAAAATTAGAGTCCTCAGGATCTTTGGATATTACTGAAGATAATAGGAAAACAGTCATAGTGACTGGAATTTACTGAGCATTTACTTTGTGCTAGGCATTGAATGAAGTGTTTTATTATCAGGATCTCATTTAATTCTGTTGCAGCAGAGGGCTTAGGTAAGGGATGAGCAAACTAGCTTTTCATGCATCATCATCAATAAAGTTTTATTGGAACATGATCATGCCCATCTGTTACATATTGTCTGTGGCTACCTCCTTGCTGCAGCAGCAATGTCGGGCAGTTGTGACAGACCACGTGGCCTGCAAAGCTGAAACTATTTACCGTCTGGCCCTTTACAGAAAAAGTTTGTGACCCAGCATTAGGAGGTACTGTGCATGCTTTTCAGATGAGACCGAGGCATGGATTATGCAGTTTGCTCAAAGCCCCGCTCTGCCTGTGAGAGGCAGGAGCCTGGTTTTTGTCCTAGGTCTGCAAAGATCCAGGCTCTATGCCCAACGTTCTAGTTTAAGAACTTGTTCAAAGACTTGGCAAGTACTTATCTGCCAAGATAAGTACTTATCTGCCAAGGAGGGGAACTGGGACAGGAGCAAGTATGTGAGCATGTGGTTCACATGTTAAAGGTCTCACTGTAGTGCACCGCCGTCCCGTAAGGCTCAAGTAGTAGTATCAGAATTATGCATGTTGGTTTTGTTAGTTTATATTTAGTTAATTAGTTTGGGCAGAAGGTGTGATGTCTGTGTACAGGTTATACTATGACTCATTCAACAATAAGATTAAATGGAAAGCTTGGGGCTCACGGGCAGATTTAGTTGTTCCTCAGGTAACTCTTGTCCCGTAAAACCGTCACTGTATATTCGTTGAGCAGCCTCTTCACCAAGTGCCTGCTGGCTGCTAGGATACGAAGATGAAAAGATGCTCGTGGTCCAGGACAGAATTTCTCTGTCATATTTTCATCGGGACTCATATGGGAACTGAGATGACGTTCTCCCTGGGCAGCGTGAGCCTTGTGTGGTTCTGCAGTCTTTTCTCCTGCTTAGGATAATAGATGAAGAACATGAGGGAGTAAAGCTTTGTCATCACAGGAATAAGATCCAGTCCACTCTATATTAAAACATAAAAATAATTTATGAATTATGAGGAGCAGATTTTAGTAACAGGTTACTCGAAGCATCCATTACAACTGATCAGTAGTAGCAAACAGCCATGCTCCTGTATCTGGAGCTGGTGTCTCTCTGGGAGCTCTGAGCTTCTCTGCTTGTGTTTCCTTCATCTGGAGAACATCCTGCCTGCTCTGTCTTTGCTTTCCAGCCTCTTCTTTCTCATCCTCTGGACCAGCTCACATATTGGTTTTGTTTGTCTGAGACAGGGTCTGGAGTGCAGTGGCACGATCTTGGCTCACTGCAGCCTCAAACTCCTGGGCTCAAGCAGTCCTCCCACCACAGCCTCCTGAGTAGCTGGGATTTTCTTGTGCATGGCAACTGCCTTTTACTGAATTCTGATTCTTGGTTAAGTCATCTCAGTTAAATTACTAAAAGTAGCTCCAAAGTTCGCAGCATTATCTAGTTAGTCATTCTCCTAATACTTTCATAGCAAAAGTTGAACTTAAATAGAACCCAGGGCCAGGCGCAGTGGCTCATGCCTGTAATCGCAGCACTTTGGGAGGCCAAGGCGGGCAGATCACTTGAAGTCAGGAGTTCAAGACCAGCCTGGCCAACATGGTGAAACCCTTCTCTACTAAAAATACAAAAAAATTAGCCGGGCGTGGTGGTGCATGCCTGTAGTCCCAGCTACTTGGAAGGCTGAGGCAGGAGAATCGCTTGAACCTGGGAGGTAGAGGTTGCAGTGAGCCAAGATCGTGCCGCTGCACTCCAGCCTGGGCGACAGAGTGAGACTGTCTCAAAAACAACAACAACAAATAGAACCCATTGCATTTCTAGGTCAGTTTGGTTCTATGTATTACGCTTTTTTAAAGAAAGAATTTTCTAAACTGTATTCAGTTTTGATCTTAATCATTTAAAAAATGTTGTTTTCCTTAGGTCTTGGTGGATGTCAGTGCTTACTCCCCATGAAATTAAATTTTACTTCATCCTTTGAGAAGCGAATGGTGAAAGCTACTGAAATAAGCTGTGATTGTACTGTACATAAAACATATGAGGAATCTGCAAGGAACACTACAGTTGTGTAAAGTTGTTCTGTTAACTTTTGTACCAAATAGCAATACAAACTAGTTGGAACAGTTGGAACTTACATACATGGGGACTGGAAATCTCTATTTTGTCCCTGAATAATATTTTTCTTAGAATTGACCAAATAAGAAGTGGAATTTTTGCATACTTGAGCGCTGCTGAAAAGAAATCATTTGGGTTGGGTGGGGCGGGATGGGGGAAAAGTATATAATGCTTGCACCTCAGGTAAAAATCTGTAAATATCTAAGTTGTAAACCTGCTTGTTCAAATACTGTGTGTATTCCTTTTCTCTAATGCAGCTCATCACTTGGAGCAGTTTCTGCTATTGTGCTCTTTCATTTAAAATGTATGTTTTTTTTTTTTTAAACTGTCAATGATTTTGTATTATGTTGAATCCACCCAAATCTATTGTTGTCTTAAAATTGTTAATGGAAGTATTGACCCTCTATGATATGTGCTGCAGATATCGAGGTCAGCCATTCGGAAGCTGGCAGCATTTTATCGCAACTTTGAGCATCTCAGATGGGGAAGGCACCTTCTTCCTCGCCTCTCCAGATTGTCCTGGAACCTCCAGGATCCTTGACTGAGGGCGTTGGGATGGCTTGTAGGATTTTTAAGAGAGTGTGTCTACAGACAAGCATTTTCTCTGTAGAGCAGCCACACGTTGTATAAACATAAACTGTATGTGCAGTTATTTAAATTTGTTTCTGTCAAATTAATCATTTTTGTTGGACGATTCAGTGGCGGGGGGGTTTTGCCTAAATTAGTATATAAAAACAAAAATGCTAAATTATATCTGTGAATTGCAGGTATTGGGGAACAGTTTTAAGGGAAATTTTGGGGGGAACATTTTAGGTTTGTATTTGGTAGTCTTAATGTATCTGGCATTTGGGTGAACTGTGGACATACTAGAGTTGATTATAGACACATTGATTTTGAATAAGGAACTGCTGGCCGAGCCCGCTGGGAGTCTAGAAAGAGAAAATCTGTTTCTAGACCTCAGTTATTTTCCCATTTTTGGTTGTTTTGAAGCAGTAACATTTTTCTCAGTGCACATGCAATTTGGGTTTTAGAGAAGATGGCCACCAGCTGGCTTCCTAGATATTTTAAACTTTTGTTCTTTAATATGCTGTCCATGGCTGAGTTTATTAGTACATGGGCTTAGTGACCACAAAATATTTTATTAAGAAACTGTTTCAAAAATAAATTTGCACTGTTCATTTTTCTGGCCTCGCTGTTCTCCATAGAGCAAGGGTAATCCTAGAAAAAATTTTTTTTTTTTAAATTATGCAACGTAAGATGTCCTCCTTGATAGAAGTCTTAGCTCCTGTGTTACAAGGGAGAACTCATTTGAGATCAGTCTGTTGGCATTGCAATGAAGTGCTTTGTATCAGGAAAGTGTACACTATTGACCTTTTTTCCTGTTCACAAGCTGAGCCATATGTACATAATCTAGATTTTGTTTTCATAGTTTTGCACTTTTATAGCCTATTTTTGAAGATTAACACATTTGCAAGATGATTGACTCAATCTTTGCCTAATCCAATGAGTGTTACAGAGAGCTTGCTGTGACTAGAACCATAAATCTTAAAGGGGGTATGTGATAATAGAGGGCTGGAATTTAAACCTGTATTTAAAAAAAAGAATCACCAAATCTATTTGAAAACAAGTCGATTTGTATTATGCTGGAATTTTTTGGGCTTTCAGATTTCTCTTTTTAACCACATTTCTGAATGTATAAAAATACCAATTATTTTCCTACAGCCCTTTGTACTTCAAAATATGTTTTTGTGTCCATCAGTATTAACTATTGGTATACTACTGGTTTTATATTTTTTTTTCTTTGAGACAACAGTACATATAATAGAGGTACAATTCGTTGGATTTTTGTTTATGTATTTATTTCATTCCAGTTTGATTTATTTTAATTGTTGATACTTAAGTTGTCGAACAGTAGACATTACTTGTTTTATTTATGATATATTTCAGCTTAAAGTTATGTTATTATATGTGGAAGTGTAAATATAGATTTGGTGTTTTGCAATCTTGAGTTTTAGTGTTTATTGTGTTTCTGGTTTCTGATTTTGTTTTATTTAACTTTTTAGTTTTCTTTCTTTTTTTTTTTTTTGAGATGTGCTCCTGCTCTGTCACTCAGGCTGGAGTGCAGTGGTGCAATCACAGCTCACTGCAGCCTTGAACCCCTGGGCTCAACTGATCCTCCAGCTCTCGGCCTCCCGAGTATCGAGCCATCATGCCTGGCTTATAAACACAATTTTAAGGCCAGCACGTGGCTCACGCCTGTAATCCCAGCCCTTTGGAAGGCCAAGGCGGGTGGATCACTTGAAACCAAGAGTTTGAGACCAGCCTGGCCAACATGGCGAAACCCCGTCTTTACTAAAAATACAAAAATTAGCTGAGTGTGGTGGTGCACACCTGTGGCCCCAGCTACTCAAGAGGCTAAGGCATGAGAAATCACTTGAACCCGGGAGGCAAAGGTTGCAGTGAGCTGAGATTGCGCCAGTGCACTCCAGCCTGGGCAACAGAGCGAGACTCCATCTCAAAAACAAAAACAAGAAAACCCCACACTCTTTTTCTTTTTTCTATTTTTTTTTTTTTTTGAGATAGGGTCTTGCTCTGTCGCCCAGGCTGGACTGCACTGGCGCAATCTCGCCTCGCTGCAACCTCCGCCTCCTGGATTCAAGAGATTCTCCTGCCGCAGCTTCCCAAGTATCTGGGATTACAGGCGTGTGCCACCATGCCTCGCTAATTTTGGTATTTTTAGTAGAGACAGGGTTTCACCATGTTGGTCAGGCTGGTCTTGAACTCCTGACCTCAAGTGATCCGCCTGCCTCGGCCCCCCAAAGTGCTGGGATTACAGACGTGACCTACCATGCCCAGCCCACCAACCTTCTTCCTTAGGATTTTAGCTGCCATTGATGTTGCAAAAGTCACTTTTAAAGACTTCTTAAAATTCCACATCTGTTAATTGAAATTCTATTAAGAAGAGCTTCCTTATGATTATTTGGTTACCCTGAAACACAGTTTCAACCAAAAAAAGGAGAAATGCTCGTTTTGTTTGTTTTTTATTCCTCTTGATTACCAGCTTTGAGGATGAGTTGGTGCCAGCATTCTCCAGAGGTGACCCAGGAATAAGCTTTTACATTTTTGGTATGAGCTCACAAGTCTTATACACTTGATGTGTTGAGAGCATGTGGTCGTCATTTTGATGCCTCAAGTCTCTTGTTTTTGGTCAGTGGGAGTTCCAAGTTGGCCCAGTGTTTGCAGGACAAAAGTCTGAAGGCTTCTTAACTTTTTGTTAAAACATGTTCTGGCTGGGCATGGTGGCTCACGTCTGTAATCCCAGCACTTTGGGAGGCTGAGGCGGGCGGATCACCTGAGGTCAGGTGTTCCAGAACAGCCTGGCCAACATGGTAAAACCCCATCTCTAGTAAAATACAAAAATTAACTGTGAAACCCCGTCTCTACTAAAATACAAAAATTAACCAGGTGTGGTGGCAGGTGCCTGTAATCCCAGCTACTAGGGAGGCTGAGGCAGGACAGTTGCTTGAACTCGGGAGGCAGAGGTTGGAGTGAGCCGAGATCGCACCACTGTACTCCGGCCTGAGCGACAGAGCGAGACTCAGTCTCTAAAAACAAACCCCAAAACAAAACCGGAGATGATCCAAATCCCACCTGTACTGACCCACACCTGGGAACCGTCATTTATCCAAGGATCCTGGGTTCCTTTTATGGGAAGCGGTAATTAGGGCAGTTTGGGCGCAAGGGGCATTTAGTCCTACCTGGGTGGTTGTGCTCCTGGCCTTTTTAATGTAGGGAAAGGAAATAAATATTATCAAAAAGGAAACCTCAGTGAATTATACTGCTATTTCCAACTCACGTTTTAGAGTTTTCTTTGATTTTGTTTTTGATTTTCTGAAAAGCTGGGTTCCTGGCTTTAACCTACTGTATATAACAGAAACAATGCCAATGTTATTGCTCTTATCACTGCCCAATGAACCTTTCAGATTTCTCTTTTGAGTTGGAGTCTCGCTCAGTCTCCCAGGCTGGAGTGCAGTTGCGCCATCTCAGCACACTGCAAGCTCTACCTTCCGGGTTCACACCATTCTCCTGCCTCAGCCTCCTGAGTAGGTGGAACTACAGGTGCCTGCCACCACATCCGGCTAATTTTTTTTGTATTTTTAGTAGAGATGGGATTTCACTGTATTAGCCAGGATGGTCTAGATCTCCTGACCTCATGATCCACCTGCCTTGGCCTCCCAAAGTGCTGGGATTACAGGCGTGAGCCACCGCGCCCAGCCTAAAGTAACCATTTTTAAAAATTATTATTTTTTTCTAAGAATGAGTCTCGCTCTGTAGCCCGGGCTGGAGTGCAGTGGCACGATCTTGGCTTACTGCAACCTCCACCTCCCGGGTTCAAGCAATTCTCTGCCTCAGCCTTCCGAGTAGCTGGGACTGCAGGCGCATGCCACCAAGCCCGGCTAATTTTTGTATTTTTAGTAGAGATGGGGTTTCACCATATTGGTCAGGCTGGTCTTGAATTCCTGAGCTTAGGTGATCCATCTGTCTCAGCCTCCCAAAGTGCTAGGATTACAGGTGTGAGCCACTGCGCCCAGCCTAAAAATTAATTTTTGATTTATCTTTTCATTAATTCTTTTTGAAAATACAGGCATATTTGCAGGTCTATTTATATCTCCCTTTCTTATTTAAAAAGGAGTTTACAGTCCACACTAGCACAGGCTGATTTTAGCACTGTTTCATTGTTTTCCTGGAGAATGAAACAGCACACACACACACACACACACACACACACACACACACACACGAAAAAAACGCTGAAAAAAAATTTTTTTTTAAAAGAACACGGTTTTCTGCTGAACATCAAATGACTCGAAGAAATCTACTTTGGAGAGGTTGAAGTTGGTGGTCTTTTCTCTACCTGCTTTTATTTCTTCAGTATATCTTTATTGAGCTTTCACTAAGTGCCAGGCGCTTAGGGCTAGTACTGGCTGGGTGCCAGGGACATGTGTCTCATGAACCAGGTAGCATTTCCTACCCTCTTGGGGCTGTCTTTGTGGGGTTGCTGGTGGTGGAAGACATTGAAAATAGGTCATCATGGCTGGGCGCGGTGGCTCATGCCTGTAAGTCTAGCACTTTGGGAGCCCCAGGCTGGTGGATCACTTGAGGTCAGAAGTTCCAAACCAGCCTGGCCAACATGGCAAAACCCCGTCTCTACTAAAACTACAAGAATTTGCCGGGTTTTGTGGTGTGCGCCTGTAATCCCAGCTACTTGGAAGGCTGAGACACAAGAATTGCTTGAACCTGGTGGGAGGAGGTTGCAGTGAGCCAAGATCGTGCCACTGCACTCCAGCCTGGGTGACACAGCAAGACTGTGTCTCGGAAAGAAAAGGGCTGGGGAAGGGGAGGGGAAGGGAAGGGAAGGGAGGGGAAGGGAGGGGAGGGGAGGGGAGGGGAGGGGAGGGGAGGGGAGAAAAGGTCAACAGACCAGTTATGGCCCTGCTGTAGTGGCTGGGGAGGAAATCAGCAGGAGACTGAGAATAATTAGGAGAACCCACGAGAGCTGGGTGGTCAGGACAGGACCTAACAGGTCCTAGAGGATGAAAGGAGGTGGCCATGTAATTAATGCTTTATAAAGAATCTTGGCCGGGCACGGTGGTTCACGCCTGTAATCCCAGCACTTTGGGAGGCCGAGGCGGGTGGATCACGAGGTCAGGAGATTGAGACCATCCTGGCTAACGCGGTGAAACCCCGTCTCTACTAAAAATACCAGAAAATTAGCCGGGCGTGGTGGCTGGTGCCTGTAGTCCCAGCTACTCGGGAGGCTGAGGCAGGAGAATGGCATGAACCTGGGAGACGGAGCTTGCAGTGAGCTGACATCGCACCACTGCACTCCAGCCTGGGCGACAGAGCGAGACTCCGTCTCAAAAAAAAAAAAAAAAAAAAAAAAAAGAATAGGTTACAGCTATTGATATTTACCTTAATAGATATGGAAAACTATTAAATAATTTACAAATTCAAGAACAACAATAATCCCACTACATGTTAATATAAAGAAAATTTGGCCGGGCGCAGTGGCTCACCCCTGTAATTCCAGCTCTTTGGGAGGCCAAGGTGGGCAGATCATCTGAGGTCGGGAGACCAGCCTGGCCAACATGGTGAAACCCCGTCTCTACTAAAAATACAAAAATTAGCGAGGTGTGGTACTCACCTGTAATCCCAGCTACTTGGGAGGCTGAGGCAGGAGAATCGCTTGAACTCAGAAGGCAGAGGTTGTAGTGAGCTGAGGTCGTGCCATTGCAAGCCAGCCTCAGCGAAAGAGTGAGACTCCTTCTCAAAAAAAAAAAAAAAAGAAAAGAAAATCTTTTAGTCAGGGATGGTGGCTCTTGCCTGTAATCCCGGCACTTCTGCAGGCCGCGGAGGGTGGATCGCTTGAGCCCAGGAGTTTGAGACCAGCCTGGGGAACATGGAGAGACCTCATCTCTACAAAAAATACAAAAATTAGCCGGCCATGGTGGTGCATGCCTGTAGTCCCAGCACTTTGGAAGGCCGAGATGGGAGGATTGCTTGAGGCCAGGAGCTCGAGACCAGCCTGGGCAACAGAGTGAGACCTCTGTCTATACATAAAATAAAATAAAATAACAAAATTAGCTGGGCATGGTGTTGCAAACCTGTAGTCCCAGCTACTCAGGAGGTTGAGGTGGGAGGATCACTTGAGCCCAGGAGGTTGAGGCTGCAGTGAGCTATGATTGTACCACTGCACTCTATCCAGTCTGGGCAGCAGAACAAGACCAACTCAATGGAAAAATAATAATAACTTGTTTTTTTTTTTGAGACAGAGTCTCACTCTGTCTCCCAGGCTGGAGTACAGTGGTGCGATCATGGCTTGACCTGGGTTTAAGGGATTCTCCCACCTCTGCCTGTCCAGCAGCTGGAACTACAGGTGCTTGCCACCATGCCTGGCTAATCTTTTTTTTTTTTTTTTTTTGAGACAGAATTCACTCTGTCACCTAGGTGCAGAGTGCAGTGGTGTGATCTTGGCTGATTGCAACCTCTGCCTCCCTGGTTCACCTCAGCTTCCCGAGTAGCTGGGATTACAGGTACATGCCACCACACCCAACTGATTTTTATATTTTTAGTAGAGAAAGGGTTTTGCCATGTTGGCTAGGCTGGTCTCGAACTCCTGACCTCAAGTGATCTGTTGCCTTGGCCTCCCAAAGTGCTGGGATTACAACTGTGAGCCACTTCACCCGGCCTAATTTCTGTGCGTTTTTTTTTTTTTTTTTTTTTTTGTAGAGGTAGGGTCTTGCTATGTTGCCCAGGCTGGGTGAGTTTTGCAAAATGGTTATGTGTGTGAATTTAGCTGAAGCAATAACGAGGATTTGGTTGCATTGGGAACCAAACCAGTCTCTAGTTATGAAGAAGGCAATGAGCACAACACACTTCTGCCAAATTGTAGGGGAGAAGTGCGTTCTTGAAGACCATCAATAACTGAATATCTGAACTATTCAAGGCTATTTTTCTCAATGGAACTAACTGACCAATGATGGGGCATTTTACTTAGTGCCATAAAGTGTCACCTCCAGGTGGCACGGGTGTTAACAAAGTTTGCCAGTTCCTTGTTCTACCAGCTTTGAAATTCAACTTTGATAGTTGAGCAACTTTTCAAAGATGGAACATTTGTGTTATTTCAAATGCTGTGGGGAACATTTGTGTTATTTCAAATGCGGCAGAAAAGATGAAACTCTATTAGTAACGCTTTTAATAAACTTTAAATTTTTTATAATTCAAAAAAATTTAAAGTTCCTTGAGCTAGCTTGTATGTTCATTACCTAGTGTAGTCCTTGTGCTTAGTGATTGTAACAGCAGAGCAAAATGACACCGCTGTTATATGGATATTTATTTCCAGTGATGCCAAAGGCCCAGTTTTTTTTTCTTTCTTTCTTCCTTCCTTCCTCCCTCCCTCCCTTTCTTTCTTTCCTTCCTTCTTTCCTTCCCCTCCCTTCTTCCTTCCTTCCTTGTTTTTGACAGTCTTGCTCTGCTCTGTCACCCAGGCTGGAGTGCAGTGGAATGACCTCGGCTCACTGCAACCTCTGCCTCCCAGGGTTCAATCGATTCTCCTGCCTCAGCCTCCTGAGTAGCTGGTATTATAGGCATGCACCACCACGCCTGGCTAATTTTTGTATTTTTAGTAGAGACAGGGTTTCATCGTCTTGGCCAGGCTGGTCTCCAACTCCTGACTTTAAGTGATCTGCCCGCCTCAGCCTCCCAAAGTGCTGGGATTACAGGTGTGAGCCACCACTCCTGGCCCCAAAAACCCAATTTAATTAAAAGAAGAAGAAAAAAAGGAACTCTCACTGCCATTGTGTTCTCCACTTTGCCCCAGGTGCTGGGCTCTGAGAGCTCCAGGGGCAGGGCTTGTATTTTCTAGGGAGGATGTAAGGCAAGAAAGCCCAGGGGAAAGTAAATGACCCTGGGAAGGAGGAGTCAAGTCCTAAGAGACAGGATTTGGCCCTGGAGGGAAAAGGGAGAAAGCCAGTCCTGAAGGAAGGGAAGGAGTTGCTCAAGCTCCAGGCGGGGTGGGGTTGAGCCTGGAGCCGCGCTCCCCTCTCCTGGTTCTCTCACCCCTTCCTCCTGCCTTCTTCTCTCCCCACTTCTCTTCCCTCTATCCCTCATTTGCAGATGGATCCATCAAGAACTTCTGGGCCGGATGCAGTGGCTCATGTCTGTAATCCCAGCACTTTGGGAGGCCGAGGCAGGCGGATCACCTGAGGTCAGGAGTTCGAGATCAGCCTGACCAGCATGGAGAAACCCCATCTCTACTAAACATACAAAATTAGCTGGGTGTGGTGGCACATGCCTGTAATCCCAGCTACTCGGGAGGCTGAGGCAGGAGAGTCACTTGAACCCAGGAGGCGGAGGTTGTGGTGAGCTGAGATTGTGCCATTGCATTCCAGGCTGGGCAACAAGAGAGAAACTTCGTCTCAAAAAAACAAAACAAAACAAAAAAACTTCTGGAAATGGACCAGGCTTAGTGTGGTTTGTGGGACCTAAAGACGACTAGCAAGGAAAATGATCCAACTCACCATTCGCCCCAAATGGGAATGAAACTCAGGATGACAGAGATCACAAGGCTTCTTGAACTTCTATTCAGATGCAACTTTATTTGTTTTGTTTTTTGTTTCGTTTTGTTTTGAGACAGAGTCTCACTTTGTCTTCCAGGCTGGAGTGCGGTGGCACAATCTCAGCTCACTGCAACCTCTGCCTCCCAAGTTCAATTGATTCTCATGCCTCAGCCTCCCGAGTAGCTGGGACTACAGGTGTGTGCCACCACACCTGGCTAATTTTTGTATTTTTAGTAGAGATGGGGTTTCGCCATGATGGCCAGGCTGGTCTCGAACTCCTGGCCTCAAGTGAGCCGCCCACCTTGACCTCCCAAATGCTGGGATTACAGGCATGAGCAACTGTGCCCAGCCCAGATGCAACTTTAATGCCACAAATACCTCCTTGGGTGTGCCATGTGATATCAATTATTCTGGTTACAGATTTTCTTAAGTAGAGAAATAATGGTAGTACATGAACAATAATACCAATAGTTTGGTACTTTAAAATAGCATAAACTGGCCACGGTGGCTCTTGCCTGTAAACCCAGCACTTTGGGAAGCCAAGGTGGGAGGATCGCTTGAGCCCAGGAATTCAAGAACAGCTTGGGCAACATAGCGAGACCTCATCTCTAAAAAACAAACAAACAAACAAAGTAAAATAGCAAAGGTGCAAAAGCCTGCCAAGAATGGAATGGATGAGTAAGCTGTGGCATCTCCTTGCAGTGGTCAGTATACAGTGACAAGAACGGATGATCTACAATCATAGAGCAACATGGAGAAACTTCGCAAACATAATGCAGAGCAAAAGACGCCAGACACAAAAGACTGTGTTCCGTATGACTCCACTCATGCAAATGACAAAAATGGGTAGCACTAGCCTATGCTGCTGGAAGTCAGGATGGCGTGTGCGCTGCTGCTGGTGGTGGGCAAACAGCAAGCAGGTACAGACACGCTTGGGATTCTAGACCTTTCGTTCCATGGTCTGGGTGCTGGTTTATGTTGTGAAAATAAATTGAAGTCTACACTTATGATTTGGGCACTTTTTGTGTGTATATATATGTATATATACATATATATGTGTGTGTATATATATATACACACATATATGTATGTGTGTGTATATATATGTGTGTGTGTGTATATATATATATATATATATATATATATACACTTCAGTTTTTTTGTTTGTTTTACAGAGAGGGTCTCACTCTGTCACTGGGATGCTGGGGTGCAGTGGTGTGATCATAGCTCACTGTAGCCTCCAACTCCTGAGGTCAAGTGATCCTCCTGCCTCAGCCTCCTGAGTAGCTTAGACTACAGGAATGCACCACCATGCTTGACTAATTTTTAAAAATCTTTTAAAAACTTTTCTTTGGTAGAGATGATCTGTTGACCAGGCTGGTCTTGAACTTCTAGCCTCAAGCAATCCTCCTGCCTCAGCCTCCCACAGTACTGGGATTATAGGCATGAGCCACCAATCCTGGCTGTATTATACTTCAATTTTAAAAAAGGAAAAAATAGCAGAGTAAAGTATGA
The DNA here is from genome assembly GCF_000001405.40 of Homo sapiens. Taxonomy (NCBI): domain Eukaryota; kingdom Metazoa; phylum Chordata; class Mammalia; order Primates; family Hominidae; genus Homo; species Homo sapiens. Next base: position 53,558,438 of record NC_000020.11, on the reverse strand, counting down.
ACAAATTGAGGTTATGACTCACAATACACCTCCTTTTTTTGTTTTTTGTTTTTTTTTTTTGAGACAGAGTGTTGCTCTGTCACCCAGGCTGGAGTACAGTGGCGTGATCTCAGCTCACTGCAACCTCTGCTGCCTACCCTGCCGCCCGGGTTCAAGTGATTCTCTGGTCTCAGCCTCCCAAGAAGCTGGGACTATAGGCATGCACCACCAGGCCCAGCTAATTTTTGTAATTTTTAGTAGAAATGGGGTTTTGCCATGTTGACCAGGTGGTCTCGAACTGACATCTGGTGATTTGCCCACCTTGGCCTCCCAAAGTGTTTAGATTACAAGCGTGAGCCACCACACCCAGCCCAATTTTTATTTTATTTTATTTTATTTTATTTTATTTTATTTTTTATTTTTATTTTTTGAGATGAATCTTGCTCCGTCGCCCAGGCTGGAGTGCGGTGGTGCTGTCTCGGCTCACTGCAGCCTCCACCTCCCGGGTTCAAGCAATTCTCTGCCTCAGCCTCCCGAGTGGCTGGGATTACAGGCGCCCACCACCATGCCCAGCTAAGTTTTTTGTATTTTTAGTAGAGACGTGGTTTCACCATCTTGGCCAGGCTGTTCTTGAACTCCTGACCTCATGACCCACCCGCCTCGGCCTCCCAAAGTGCTGGGATTGCAGGCGTGAGCCACTACACCCGGCCTATTTTATTTTATTTTTGAGACGGAATGTTTCTCTTGTCGCCTAGGCTGGAGTGCAATGGCGCGATCTCAGCTCACTGCAACCTCTAACTCCCGGGTTCAAGAGATTCTCTCACCTCAGCCTCCCAAGTAGCTGGGACTACAAGCATGTGCCACCATGCTCAGCTAATTTTTGTAATTTTTAGTAGAAATGAGGTTTCACCATGTTGGCCAGGTGGTCTTGAACTACTGACTTCAGGTGATCTGCCCACCTTGGCCTGCCAAAATGCTGAGATTATAGGCGTAAGCCACCATACCCAGCCCAATTTTTAGCTTTTGCTCTAGGTGTGATGGGAAGCTGTGGGGAGGTTTAGCAGAGGGTTTAAGTGACTGGACTTAGCACAGCTGTGTTTTCCTTCATGGTGTCTGACCCGAGGGCCATTGCATCATTGATGTTAATTCCAAATGAGGCTGAATATTCATGCGGAGACACCGACGGGGTTGACCGGAGCTGCTCCTCCCACCTCATTGAACTTGATTGCCATTTCTGGAAGGCTTCATCTGTCAGTGCCCCCGACCCCCAGGAGGAGGGTTGGGAGGGCTTCCTAGAAGAAGAGCTGTCTAATCTGAGGCTTGCACAAGGATCTGGGAGGGTTTGCACCGGCTGTTGCCTCTGAACTTCCCTCTTGGGAGGAGGTTAAAGGCAACAAGGCACATTTCGGGGATCATCAGGAGGGGGATGCCCTTGAGTAAGGAGTTTTCTGCCAGGAAAGGGTACGAAGAGGCTGAGGAGGTGGTGGTGAGCTGGTTAAGAAAATGTGGGCATTATCTTGTGGTCAATAAAAAGACACTGAAGAGGCCAGGCATGATGGCTCATGCCTGTAATCTCAGCACTTTGGGAGGCTGAAGTGGGAGGATTGCTTGAGCCCACAAGTTTGAGAGCAGCCTAAGCAACATAGTGAGACCCTGTGTCTACAAAAAATACCAAAAAAGTTAGCCAGGGGTGCTGGCACATGCCTGTAGTCCCAGAGACTCTGGAGGCCGAGGCAGGAGGATCGCTTGAGCCTGGGAGGCCAAGGCTGCAGTGAGTCATGATGGCACCACCACACTCCAGCTTGGACAGCAGAGTGAGACCCTGTTTAAAAAAAAAAAAAAAAGACAATGAAGAGTGCAAAGTCGCAGAATGACAAGATCTACCATTTCATTGACCGGAAGTGAACATGCAACATTAAAAATCAATGGCCAGACAACCTTTTGGTTGAACTTTTATTGATTTGTCCTTGATACTATCAGTTAGAGTTGAAGGTGATCAGGTGAGTGCAGCACACGTTGAAAAGTGAAACCCTGGCTGGGCGCGGGGGCTCATACCTGGAATCCCAGCACTTTGGGAGACCGAGGTGGGCAGATAACCTGAGGTCAGGAGTTTGAGACCAGCCTGACCAACATGGTGAAAACCCGTCTCTACTAAAAATACAAAAATTAGCCGAGTGTGGTGGTGGGCGCCTGTAATCCCAGCCACTCTGGAGGCTGAGGCAGGAGAATTTCTTAAACCCGGGAGGCAGAGGCTACAGTGAGCTGAGATCATGCCATTGCACTCCAGCCTGGGCAACAAGAGTGAACCTCTGTCTCAAAAAAAAAAAAAAGAGTGAAACCCTCTAGTGACTCTTACTGATTTTTGCTGATCCTTAATATAAAGCAAGTAGTCATAAGTCGTAACCAGCCCAATGGCCTCCTTTCATCTACGATACAAAAGACACCTGGAGTTGAGAAGCTGAAAGACCTTGAGAAGTAGCATTTGGTCTGTTTGGACTTTAGCTGACACAGTGAGGTCTTATTTTCTGCAAATCTGAATTGTGCAAATCTGAAGTTGTGAATTAGAGGCTTGTTAGAGTTCCACAGTATGTACCAAATTTGCAATAATGTGAATTCCACATTAGAAAGGCTCTAAAAATCTTATTTCAGGGTGGCCTGGTCCCCTCCTTGTTGAAATTAGACTTGCATCTTGTGGGTTCAAACAATGATGGGCTTTGAGTTTTCTTTTTTTTTTTTTGAGACTGAGTTTCATTCTGTCACCCAGGCTGGAGTGCAGTGGCGTGATCTTGGCTCACTGCAACCTCCGCCTCCCGGGTTCAAGAGATTCTCCTGTCTCAGCTTCCCGAGCAGCTGAGATCACAGGCATGTGCCACCACGCCTGGCTAATTTTTGTATTTTTAGTAGAGATGGGGTTTCACCATGTTGGCCAGGCTGGTTTCAGACTCCTGACCTCAAGTGATGCCCGACAAAATGAGACTCCATCTCAAAAAAAAAAAAAACAACAAAAAAAACTTCTATTCATTTTTCAGATCTCAGCTGGCTGTTCTTTCTTAGCTGTGGCTGCCCCCACATGTAGGGCCTCCTCTCCTGCCTGATCCCGAAGCACTCCCACTTTCCTGTTACTTGCAGGGCTGTGAGCATCAGTTTATTTGCCCTCAGCCCTTGGCACACCACAAACTCCTGGAGGTCAAGGATGACTTCGGTTTGGTTCATAGTTCATAACTCTCTGCCAAGCACATGACATTCTGCCCAGTACATCGTAGGAGCTGGAGAAATAGCGTAGTAAATAAAATTATGTAAATTAAACTTAATTAAAATATTCATTTTTAGAAAAACAAAAACAAGGCTGATAGGCCATTGGTGAAATTGACAAAAATGAACTAAAATTTGCCTAATAAATAAAATAGAACACGTTATTCAAAAACATTTGAAGGCTGGGTGTGGTGGCTCACGCCTGTAATCCCAGCACTTTGGGAGGCTAAGGCGGGCAGATCACGAGGTCAAGAGATCGAGACCATCGTGGCCAACATGGTGAAACCCTGTCTCTACTAAAAATACAAAAATTAGCTGGGTATAGTGGCAGGTGCCTGTAGTCCCAGCTACTCAGGAGGTGGAGGCAGGAGAATCACTTGAAACCGGGAGGCGGAGGTTGCAGTGAGACGAGATCACGCCACTGTACTCCAGCCTGGCGACAAAGCAAGACTCTGTCAAAAAAAAAAAAAAAAAAAAAAAAGAGCTTTTGAAGAACATGAATAGCTAAACCTACCCTACTGTATAAAGAATGTTGGAGGCTGGGCGCAGTGGCTCATGCCTGTAATCCCAGCACTTTGGGTGTTCGAGGCAGGCGGATTGCCTGAGGTGAGGAGTTCGAGACCAGGCTGACCAACATGCTAAAACCCCGTCTCTACTAAAAATACAAAAATTAGCCAGGCATGGTGGCGGGTGCCTGTAATCCCAGCTACTCAGGAGGCTGAGGCAGGAGAATCGCTTCAACCTCGGAGGTGGAGGTTGCAGTGAGCTGAGACTGGGCCATTGCACTCCAGCCTGGGCAACAAGAGCGAAACTACGTCTGAAAAAAATAAAAAAAGTTGGAATTTTGATTGGAAAAAGTAACACTTCATAAGGGAACGTTTTAGTTTGTATTGATTTCAATTTTGCCAACTTTCTAGCATGTTCAGGATTCTTCCAGCAGCTTCTCAGACAGCATATCAGCTTCGGTTAGCTACTATTCAGACAATTGCATTTCATAATCAGCAATCAAAATTGTACTTTTCTGTTAAAGCTGTTAAAATATTCTTGCTTTTAAAAAAGCTGTTAAAAACACAATTGGAAAAGTCAGTGAAATGATCATTTGATATTTGATTATTCAGTGAATTAGTTTTAGGCAAATCGGACTGGCAGGCTGCAGAGGTGGCAACAGGCCAGAGGTCATTAGAGGACCAGGAAGCCACAGGAAGGTCACCTCGGCTACATTTTATAGCTCACAAAATGTTTTTACACACACACTACCCACTCCCCCCCCTCCACTGCCCCCATCACCCCGAGATGGAGTCTGTCGCCTAGGCTGGAGTGCAGTGGCACAATCTCGGCTCACTGCAACCTCTGCCTCCCGGGTTCAAGCAATTCTCCTGTCTCAGCTTCCCAAGTAGCTGGGATTACAGGCACCCGCCACCATGCCTGGCTAATTTTTGTATTTTTAGTAGAGACGGGGTTTCACCATGTTGGCCAGGCTGGTATTGAACTCCTGACCTTGTGATCCTCCTGCCTCAGCCTCCCAAAGTGCTGGGATTATAGGCGTGAGCCACTGCACACAGCCTATACACACACTTTTTTAAAAAAACTTTTTTATTTTGGGATTTTTTTTTTTTTAAGTTTTAGTCTTGCTCTGTCACCCAGGCTGGAGTGCAGTGGTGTGATCTTGGCTCACTGCAACCTCCGCCTCCCAGGTTCAAGCCATTCTCATGCCTCAGCCTCCCAAGTAGATGGGACTACAGGCGCCACCACACCTGGCTAAGTTTTGCACTTTTAGTAGAGACAGGGTTTCACCATGTTGGCTGGGCTTGTGTCGAATCCCTGACCTTAAGTGATCCTCCTGCCCTTGGCCTCCCAAAGTGCTGGGATTACAGGCTTGAGCCACCTCGCCCAGCCTGGAATAATTTTATATTCACAGAACAGTTGTAAAGAGATTGCAGAGAGTTCCTGAATTCGAACCCAAGTTCCAACCCTGCACCCAGCTGGCCCTAGTGCTACCATCTTACATAAGCACAATGCATCTGTCAACACTAAGAAATTAACACTGGTATGTTACTTTATTTAGAATTCCCTAGTTTTCCCATTAGTGGTGGGATTTTTTTTCTGTCCCAGGATCCTACCTTGCATTCAGTCATCATGCCTCTTGTAGTCTTCTCTCGTCTGTGACCATTTCTTAGATTTTCCTTGTTTTTCATTCCGTGGACAGTGTTGGGAAGGACTCGGTGTTTTGTAGAATGTCTGCTGATCTGGGTTTGTCTGATGTTTTCTCATGATTGTCTGGGATTACGGGTTTTGTGGAGTATAATGCAGAGGTAAAGTGCCTTGTCATCTCATCATATCATGGGAGGCGGGGGTAGTATTGTGGGAGGCAGGGGTATGTGAGAGCCGCCTGGCAAATCTTGCCTCTACCAGGGTGCTTAATGTTGTCACATGTTTGATTATCATAACCTGTAAAATAACTGGAAAAGTTAAGATTCTATTTTATCATTTCAATGATTTTTTTTTTTTTTAATTTTGAGATGGAGTCTCGCTCTGTCGCCTAGGCTGGAGTGCAGTGGCGCAATCTCAGCTCACTACAACCTCTGCCTCCCGGGTTCAAGCAATTCTCCTGCCTCAGCCTCCTGAGTAGCTGGGATTACAAGTGTGCACCACCATGCCTGGGTAATTTTTGTATTTTTAGTAGAGACGGAGTTTCACCATGTTGGCCAGGCTGGTCTTGAACTCCTGGCCTCAAGTGATCCGCCTGCCTGGGCCTCTCAAAGTGCTGGGATTACAGGAGTGAGCCACCACGCCAGCCTCAACAGATAATATTTTAGTGAGCAGTCATATATGCAGGCGTTGCTTAAATTGAAGTCATTCAGTATTAATGAGGAAGGTCAGATGAGATCCTGTACTTAAGGAGCTGGGAAACTGAGGATTCGAGAGTCTAAACAGCTTTACCCAATGTGGTCCAGGTTGTAGGTGGCAGAGCCAAAATTCAAACGCGTGTCTCACTTCAAAGGCTCTGTGTGTGTTTGTGTGTGTGTGTGTGTGTGTGTGTGTGTGTGTTTGCTTTTGCTCCATTGATTCCAAATAACAAAACAAAACCAAACAAAAACTTTGCTACAAAACCCTCACTCTGATCCTGATGCTATCTTAATTGTGATAAATGTGTTGTTTAATCTTCACAACAAACTCATGGAAAGGAACTATATGTAATCCCAGAGCTTTGGGAGGCCGAAGCGGGAGAACTGCTTGAGCCCAGGAGTTTGAGACCAGCCTGGAAAACGTAGTGAGACCTCATCTCTACAAAAAGTTTAAAAATTAACCAGGTCTGGTGGCATGTGCCTGTAGTCTCAGCTACTCTGGAGGCTGAGGTGGGAGGATTGCTTGAGCCCAGGAGTTCAAGGTTGCAGTGAGCTGTGATCGCACCACTGCATTCCAGCCTGGCCAACGGCATGAGATCCCTGTCTCAAACAAAACTAAACAAAACCAAAAGAAAAGGAACTACATATCCTTCCTTTTTCAGGTGAGGAAACTGAGCCTTTGAGTGGTTAAGGAACATGTTCAAGGTTATAAAGCTGGCGCATGGGCTGGGCGCAGTGGCTCATGCCTGTAATCCTAGCACTTTGGGAGGCCGAGGTGAGCAGATCACCTGAGGTTTCTACTAAAAATACAAAATTAGCCAGGTGTGGTGGTGCATGCCTGTAATCCCAGCTGCTCGGGAGGCTGAGGCAGGAGAATTGCTTGAACCCGGGAGACGGAGGTTGCAGTGAGCCAAGATTGCTGCATTGCACTCCAGCCTGGGCGATAAGAGAGAAACTCCATGACACACACACACACACACACACACACACACACACACACACAAAAGCTGGCACATGGCTGAGTTGGGACTGGAAACAGACTGCTGGGCTCGAGGGCCTGAGTTTTCTTCATCAGAACATCACACACATTTAAAAATGTTTTGAAAATGTATATGTTTATTTATATTGAGGTAAAATTTACAAAACATAAAATATACCACATTATGCAAAGCTGGAGGCCAATAAACAAAATATATGTAAAAAGAAGAAAAAAATTCAAAAAGAAAAACTATATTAAAGTGTACAATTCAATAGCTGTTAGTACACTGACAACGTTGTGCAACCACCACCTCTATTATCAAGTTTCAAAATATTTCCATTGTCTCAAAAGGAAGCCCAGTTAGGCCACCACCCGCCATCCTTCCCTCCCCTAGCCTCTGGCAACCACTAATCTAGCTTCTGTCTGTATGGATTTACCTATTCTGGGCATTCCATATGACTGGAATTATGTGGTTTTTGTGTCTGGTTTCTTGCCCTTAGTGTAACTTTTTTTTTTTTTTTCGAGACAGGGTCTTGCTCTGTCACCCAGGCTGGAGGGCAGTGGCGCAATCGCAGCTCACTGCAGCTCCGACCTCCTGGGCTCAGGTGATCCTCCTGCCTGCCTCAGCCTCCTGAGTAGCTGGGGCCCCAGGTGTTCAGCACAATACTCGGGTAATTTTTTTTATTTTTATTTTTTGAGGAGACAAGAAGGTCTTACTATGTTGCTCAGGCTGGTCGGGAACTCCTGGGGTCAAGTGATCCTCCCACCTAGGCCTCCCAAAGTTGGGATTACAGACGTGAGCCACTGAGCCCAGCTGGGACTTAGCATAATGTTTTTGAGGCTTACTCATGGTGGAGCATGGATCAGTGTTTCATGCCTTTTTATAGCTGAATAATATTCCGTGATGTGGATAGACCAACATATGGTTTGGATCTGTGTCCCCACCCAAATATCATGTTCACTTGTAATCCTCCGTGTTGGAGGTGGGGCCTGGTGGGAGGTGACAGGATCATGGGGGTGGATCCTCATGAATGGTTTAGCACCATCTTCTTGTGTTGTTCTCATGATAGTGAGTTCTCATGAGATATAGTTGTTTAAGAGTGTGTAGCACCCCCACCCAACTCTTGCTCCTGCTCCCGCCATTTGAGACGCTTCTCTCCCGCTTTGCTTTCTACCATGGTTGTAGGTTTCCTGAGGCCTCCCTGGAAGTAGAAGCTGCTATGCTTCCTGTACAGCCTGCAGAACCGTGAGTCAATAAACCTCTCTTCTTTATAAATTACCCAGTCTCAGTCTCAGGTATTTCTTTCTTTCTTTTTTTTTTTCTGAGACGGAGTCTCACTCTGTCCCCAGGCTGGAGTTCAGTGGCACCATCTCGGCTCACTGCAACCTCCGCCTCCCAGGTTCACACGATTCTTCTGCTTCAGCTTCCTAAGTAGCTGGGATTACAGGCGCCCGCCACCATGCCTGGCTAATTTTTGTATTTTTAGTAGAGACGGGGTTTCACTGTGTTGGTCAGGCTGGTCTCGGACTCCTGACCTCGTGATCCGCCCACCTTGGCCTCCCAGAGTGTTGGGATTACAGGCGTGAGCCACCGCGCCTGGCCAGGTATTTCTTTATAGTAATGTAAGAACAGCCTAATGCAGGCCACATTTTGTTTATCCATTCATCAGTACGGACATTGGATGGTCTTCATCTTTTGGCTATTGTGAGTAATGCTGCTGTGAACATTGCTGGACAAGTTTTTGTCTGAATGTCCTTTTTAAGTTCTTTGAGTGTATAACTAGGAGTGGAACTGCTTGCTCACGTGGGTCACCCTGCTCCTTTTTTCTTTTACTTTGCAATATTAAGACCCCATATTAGTGTGATACTCTTTCCTAGACTTTTAGTCTAAATAATAGTACTTGCTTTGTTTGTTTGTTTTTTTTTAAAGATGGTCTTGCTCTGTTGCACAGGCTGGAGTGTAGTGTCCCAATCGTAGCTCACTGAAACCTCAAACTTCCAGACTCAAGGGATCCTCCTATCTCAGCCCTCTGAGTAGCTGGGATTATAGGCACGTGCCACCATACCCAGCTAATTTTTGAATTTCTTTGTAGGAACAAAGTCTCATTATGTTGCTCAGGCTGGTGTCAAACTCCTGGCCTCAAGTAATCCTCCTCTTCGGCCTCCCAAGGTGCTGGATAACAAGTGTGAGCCATCATGCCTGGCTAAGTCTTCAGTGAATACATCTAAATAAATATATTTTGGGTTTTTTGTTTTGTTTTGTTTTGTTTTTTGTTTCGTTTCTGAGACAGGGTCTCATTCTGTTGCCCAGTGTGGAGTGCAATGGTGCAGCCTCGGCTCACTGCAGCCTCCACCCTCTGGGCTCAAGTGATCCTTCCACCTCAGCATCCCGAGTAGCTGAGACTACAGGCATGTACCACCATGCCTGGCTAATTTTTGTATTTTTTGGTATAGATAGGGTAATGCCATGTTGTTCAGGCTGGTTTTAAATTCCTGGGCTCAAGTGATCCTTCTGCCTTGGCTTTCTAAAGTGCTGGGATTCCAGGCATGAGCCACCATGTCCGGCCTGAATAAATATATTTTGAATAAATGAATGGATGATATTAGTTGAGGCAACCCTTAATAACAAAGACTACCAAGACATTTATTGGTCTAGTGAATGGCTTTGTATCTTATTAACTGTAACATTTGAATACGTTTGAAACTTTGTTATATATGTGACATAAATTCTGGGCATATAATTAAATTTCTACAAGAACTGAGTTATAGTGAATGTTTATTGAATTTTAATTTATGCCTAGGAGAATATGCTGTATTTTCCTTTTAACTTTTCTATCTTATACCTAGTGTGTGAAGGCTACTGTTCTATTTTATTTTATTAATTAATTAATTAATTAATTAATTTATTTGAGACAGAGTCTCACTGTGTCGCCCAGGCTGGAGTGCAGTGGCACGATCTCCGCTCACTGCAAGCTCTGCCTCCTGGGTTCACGCCATCCTCCTTCCTCAGCCTCCCGAGTAGCTGGGACTACAGGTGCCCGCCACCACGCCCAGCTAATTTTTTGTATTTTTAGTACAGATGGGGTTTCACTGTGTTAGCCAGGATGGTCTCGATCTCCTGACCTCGTGATCTGCCGCCTCGGCCTCCCAAAGTGTTGGGATTCCAGGCATGAGCCACCGTGCCTGGCCTGTTCTATTTATTAGGAAACTGAGGCCTGAGGGGGCGTCATCCCAGCAGTGAAGCCTCGATTTGCACTCACAACCTAGAGCAGTCTCTACTCAGTTGGGTTACCTTCTCTCTCTACAGCACTCAGAACCCAGACGCAGGTAGAGACAGCTTTTAGTTTTATTAAAGGCAGCCCGTTAGAGAGAGGACTTCAAATGGATCAGAGGAAAAGGTTTTTCTCCCAGGCACTGGTATTGCAGCTTCTGTCCACACGAGGGAAGTATTAGCTAAGAATAGCAATTGGTTGCAACTTGGAAACAAAGGCTGCAAGAGAAACTAAAATAAACCAGCTACTGGATTTCTAGGCCAACCTTAGGAAATTAATCAGCAACTGTAGAACTCCGGGTAAACAAATGTAAACCAGACCAGCCATTGGCTCATACTGTCACAGTGAGGATTCTGACCTGTTAAGCTGGAAAGCAAGGGCTCCCTGCATACATTCCTGTCTACAGGACAATTGCATCTGGAGCTGCCCCATAAGATCTTAAGTTGATTCCCCCGGTACTTATGTTGTCACACACAGATGATGACCCAAAGGAAAGGGCACTGCTTAGCCTCCAAAGAACTGTTTTTTTTTTTTTTTTGGTAGGGTAGGCAATTGCATGACATGCTTACTTGAAAAGCAGATGAAGCCAGGCTTGGTGGCTAACGCATACAATCCCAACACTTTGGCAGGCCAAGGCAGGAGGATTGCTTGAAACAAGGAGTTTGAGACCAGTCTGGGCGACAGAGCAAGACCCTATCTCTACAAAAAATGAAAAATTAGCCAGATGCAGTGGCATGCATCTGTGGTCCCAGCTACTTGGGAAGCTGAGGTGGGAGGATTGCTGGCGTCTGGGAGGTTGAGGCTGCAGTGAGCTGTGATGGGGCCACTGCACTCTAGCCTGGGTAGCAAACTGAGAACGTGTCTCAACAACAAAACAACACAACAACAACAACAACAACAACAGCGGCAGATGAAAGTAAGCGTCCAGGAAAACCTTTAATTTGGGTGGACAGCCAGAGCTCCCAGAGTTTTGGAATTCATTAACCAGTAATGTTGAAAAAAACTGATGCCGTTGTAAGGATACCAAGTTTTGATTTTGCCAGGTAAGAAAGGGTATTCAAAAAATCCAACTGGCATTTACTCTCACTATCATTTCACAAAAGAGAAACCAAGACAGTTGGAAAAACATAATTGAAGACTGAAGGACTGTCCTTTAAATTGAAAAAAAAAAAAAACCCTCATGAAAAACAAATCAGTGAAAACTTCATTGAGACTTGCATAAAGATCAGTGTTGGAAGGCATTGTTTTAAAGGTGTTAATTCTTTTGGTTTGAGAAAAATTCTTAAGGAAATCAAGATAACAAAGAAAGAATAACTCATCTGAATTTCCCCGAACACATTGTACATTTCCACAGACCGGGAAATAGTTCGCAGTTACGGAGCATGTCCAATGGGCCATGCATTTTTCATGCATTGTCTCATTTAAATGTTACAACTACATTTGAGATAGGAACCTTTATCATCCCCATTTTATAGATGAGGACACCAGACCTTGCACCTGTACACAGCTAGTGAGGACATAGTGCTAAGGAGTGCATCCAAACAGTAGCAACAACGAATGAGCTTTACTCTTCTCTGGTTTCTTCAGTTGCTTTAGAAAAGAGAAAGGTTTCTTGGCAAATTAAGAACTACCCCTAGTTGGTCATAGAAAAAGAAAATACTCATAATTTCCCAGTTTTTTTTTTTTTTTTTGAGACAGAATTTTGCTCTGTCACCAGGCTGGAGTACAGTGGCACGATCTTAGCTCACTGCAACCTCCACCTCCTGGGTTCAAGCTATTCTGCCTCAGCCTCCCGAGTATCTGGGACTATAGGCACATGACAACATGCCTGGCTAATTTTTGTAATTTTAGTAGAGATGGGGTTTCACCATATTAGTCAGGCTGGTCTCAAACTCCTGACCGCAAGTGATCCACCCACCTCAGCCTCCCAAAGTGCTGGGATTACAGGCGTGAGCCACCAGGCCCAGCCTAACCTCACAGTTTTGAAGTATTAACATTTGAGCACTGTTCTTTTTATACATTAACATTTTGTTTTGAGATTGAACATTTTTTTTTCTTTTTTTGAGACAGTTTTGCTCTGTTGCCCAGGCTGGAGTGCAGGGGCACGATCTGGGCTCAGTGCAACCTCTGCCTCCCGGGTTCAAGCAATTCTTGCGCTTCAGCCTCCCAAGTAGCTGGGATTACAGGCGCCTGCCACCACGCCTGGCTAACTTTTGTATTTTTAGCAGAGACGAGGTTTCGCCATTTTGGCCAGACGGGTCTTGAACTCCTGGCCTCAGGTGATCCACATGCCTCGACCTCCCAAAGTGCTGGGATTACAGGAGTGAGCCACTGCGCCTGGCCAAGATTAAACTTTATCATCAAAATTGGGTCCTCTTTCATTTACTTAATGGTATAAGAGAAAACATTCCCCCAGTTATTAATATTCTTTGTAGTCATAAGTTTTGAACAATGTAATGCCTTCCACTGATGAATGAAACATACATTTTGACACCAATACCCTAAGCTGAGTCTTGGTTTCTTTGGAGTGTTCGTTATTTATAGAAACACTATGTTGATATTTTTGTGCATTTACCTTTGTTCACATTTCCGATTTCCTCATGGTTAGATTTTTCAGAAGTGGAATTATTGGGTCAAAGGCTAGAATATTTTAGAATATCCAGAAAGTGTTACAAGGAGCGCACATGATGATTTATCAGAGATAGCAATACTTGTTTTGTTGATTACACCATAAGCCACGACTACCAACTGTTTTTAAGATAGTGTCCCAGGACTAAGTTTGTTCAAATCCAGTTAAAAGATCATTCTGATACAGTTTCCACTAAAAAATCTGCACACATTGCTACAGACTGTATAGCAGTGGTTTTTAAAAAAATATATAATTATATATATAATATTATATATTATGTTATATATAACATATATGTCATATATATGTTATATATAATGTTATAAATATAATTGTATATATTATATGTACATACATACACACACACACCCACACACACACACATACATATATATTTTTGAGACAGAGTCTTGCTCTGTTGCCAGGCTGGAGTGCAGTGGCGTGATCTCGGCTCACTGCAACCTCCGCCTCCCAGGTTCAAGTGATTCTCCTGCCTCAGCCTCCCAAGTAGCTGGGACTACAGGTGTGTGCCACCACGCCTAGCTAATTTTTGTATTTTTAGTAGAGGCGGGGTTTCACCATGTTGGCCAGGATGGTCTCGATCTCTTGACCTCGTGATCCCCCCACCTCAGCCTCCCAAGGTGCTGGGATTACAGGCGTGAGCCACCACACCCTGACCTACATATAATTTCGTGTACACATTATATGTTATAACATAGTATATAAAAATATTATATATATGTTTTAATTTATTGGTTAAGGCTAGTCGAGTGCAGTAGTAAGAAGGGGAAAGAGTAGAACCAGGAGTTCTATCTGTAACGGACTGTGAACAATGAATTGAGATAACTCACTACCTTTGGAGCAGCCTCCAGCAGTGGTTCTTGAGTGGGAGTGATTTTGCCTCCCATGGGACATATGGCAATATCTGGAGACATCCTGGGTAGTCACAATTGGGATGGGAGGGTAGTCCTAGCATTTTGGGTAGAGACCAGGAATGCTGCTAAACATCCTACAATGCACAGGACAGTGCTGGTAACAAAGAAGCTTTGGAATATCAATAGTGCTGAGGTAGAGAAACCCTGTTCTAGGGTCTAGAGTTGCATTTCCAAAACTGTGTTCTTTGGCACATTAATGTTGTAGAATAAGTTATTAACAATGATTCTTATCTCACAGATTCTTAACTCTAGTGAAGAATCCATGTTTTGTGTTTTTTTGAGACAGGGTCTTGCTCTGTTGCCCAGGCAGGAGCGCAGTGGCACGATCACAGCTCACTGTATTCTCGACTTCCCAGGCTCAAGCAACCCTCCTACCTCAGCCTCCCGAGTAGCTGGGGCTACGAGCATGCACCACCATGCCCTGCTAATTTTTTCTATTGTTTTTCATAGAGATGGGGTTTCACTATATTACCAGGCTGGTCTTGAACTCCTGGGCTCAAGCGATATTCCCGCCTCAGCCTCACAAAGTGCTGGGATTACAGGCATGAATAACTGTGCCCAGCAAATGTGTTAATCCCTACAAAATGCTCAGCATGGTTTCTGGCAGAAGGTCACCATGTAGTAACATTAATTATATGATTATTATTAATAAGATGTTTATAATGAATAATAAGATTCACCACTGGATAATAGGTGCATCTCTTGGGGATTTACCATGTACCTTAGCACAACAGAGACTCAGAATTCTCTAGAAAAAATACTCATTAAACTTAGTATTGATGCAACTTTACTTGACTGAGAGTCCGACATATATATATAATATATATATTATTATTATTATTATTATTTTGAGATGCAGTTTCGCTCCTGTTGCCCAGGCTGGAGTACCATGGCACGATCTCGGCTCACTACAACCTCCACCTCTGGGGTTAAGCAATTCTCTTCCTCAGCCTCCCAAGTAGCTGGGATTATAGGCACCCGCCACCACGCCTGGCTAATTTTTTGTATTTTTAGTAGAGTTGGGGTTTCACCATGTTGGCCAGGCTGGTCTCGAACTCCTGACTTTAGGTGATCTGCCCACTTTGGCCTCCCAAAGCGCTGGGATTACAGGCGTGAACCACCACGCCTGTCTCGTATCTCTATTTTTGAAAGACATCAATTACCATCTCCAGGAAGGGTTTTGTCTCAGGAAACACTGGAAAACGTTGCTCTCGAACAGGTTTCCAGAAATTACTGCCTGTGGACCAAATCTTGCCTGCTCTCAGTTTTAGTATGGCCAGGGAGCTAAGAATAGCTTTTACGTTTTTAAATAGTTAAAAAATAGTAAAAGAGGCCGAGTGTGGTGGCTCATGCCTGTAATCCCAGCACTTTGGGAGGCCAAGGTGGGTGGATCACCTGAGGCCAGGAGTTCAAGACCAGCCTGGCCAACATGGTGAAATCCCATCTCTACTAAAAATACAAAAATTAGCTGGGTGTGGTGGCACGTGCCTGTAATCCCAGCTACTCGGGAGGCCGAGGCAGCAGAATCACTTGAACCTGGCAGGTGGAGGCTGCAGCAGTGAGCCGAGATTACGCCACTTCACTTCATCTTGGGCAACAGAGCAAGGCTCTGTCTCAAAAAAAAAAAAAAAAAAGTAAAAGAAGAGTAATATTTCATGACGTGTGAACATTACCTAAAATTCAAATTTCAGAGTCCATAAATAAGGTTTTCTGCTAACACAGCCACTCTTGTTGGTTTGCGTGTGGTCTGTGGCTGCTTTCCTGCTGCAAGGGCAGAGTGAGTTAATGGTGGAATGGACTGTATAATCTGCAAAGCTGAAAACACGGACTCTCTGGCCTTTTACAGAAAACATTTGCCGTCCTCTGATTTAATGTCTCTTCTTTATAATGCCCGGGACTTCTTCCTCTGAATATATAATTTTAAAAAACCCCATTTTGAATATTACAGCAATGGAGCATAGTCTCAGCTAAATAGTTATTTCCATAAAATATGTCCAAATTTCTGCTTTAAGTCTTTTGTGAAATGAGGCAGAACATAAATTTTAAAATGTCATAATGAAAGGCCATAGGATTTAATCTCATGTTCACAGAAATATCATCTGTAAATTTTCTTATGAGGGAAGATAACGTATATTTTTCTATTTAGTTATTTCTGGAGTCTAAGTCTAGCCTAGGTCTAATTAGAAACTTTTTTTTTTTTTTGAGACGGAGTATTGCTCTGTCGCCCAGGCTGGAGTGCAGTGGCACGATCTCGGCTCACTGCAACCTCTGCCTCCCGGGTTCAAGCAATTCTCCTGCCTCAGCCTCCTGAGTAGCTGGGATTACAGGCACGCACCACCATGCCTGGCTAATTTTTGTGTCTTTAGTAGTGACGGGGTTTCACCATGTCGGCCAGGCTGGTCTCCAACTCCTGATCTCAAGTGATCTGCCCAAGTGCTGGGATTACATGCGTGAGCCACTGCGCCTGGTCCATTTTTAAAAATTTTATATTTTTTTTGGAAAAACATCTGAATGTAGAGAGGTGGGCTTATTTCTCAGGTCCCAGCATTCCAAGGCCAGGATCATTGTCATTGCCTTCCTTCCAGTTTTTTTTGTTTTATTTTTGCCTTTTTAAATGAACATATTTTTACATACTCTAGATCATTCTGAATATAGAATTTTGAGTTTTTTCTCTTTGTTTCCCACCTGTTTTTTTCTCTTTTTTTGTTTTTTTCTTTTTTCTTGTTTCCCACCTATTTTTTTTTTTTAGACAGAGGTTTGCTCTTGTCCAGGTTTGAGTGCAGTGGCGCGGTCTCTGCTCACCTCCCAGGTCTTTGCTTCGACTCCCAGATTCAAGCAACTCTCCTGCCTCAGCCTCCCAAGTAGCTGGGATTACAGGCGCTTGCCACCACTCCTGGCTAATTTTTTGTATTTTTAGTAGAGATGGGGTTTCACTGTGTTGGCCAGGCTGGTCTGGAACTCCTGACCTTAGGTGATCTGCCTGCCTTGGCCTCCCAAAGTTCTGGGATTACAGGCGTGAGCCACCGTGCCCAGCCCCCACCTATTTTTATATCAGAAATATGGGCCAGGTGCGGTGGCTCACGCTTGTAATCCCAGCACTTTGGGAGGCGGAGGTGGGAAGATCACCTGAGGTCAGGAGATCGAGACCATCCTAGCTAACATGGTGAAACCCCGTCTCTACTAAAAATACAAAAAATTAGCTCAGCATGGTGGCAGGCGCCTGTAGTCCCAGCTATTCAGGAGGCTGAGGAAGGAGAATGGTGTGAACCTGAGAGGTGGAGCTTGCAGTGATCTGAGATCGGGCCACTGTACTCTAGCCTGGGCGACAGAGACTCTGTCTCAGAAAAAAATAAAAGAAATATGTACATATTTTTCTGAGACAGCGTCTTGCTCCATCACCCAGGCTGGAGTGTAGCGGCATGCTCACGGCTAACTGCAGCCTCGACCTCCCGGCTCAAGCGATCCTTCCACCTCAGCCTTCGGAGTAGCTGGGACAACAGGCATGCAACACCACAGCCAGCTAATTTCTATAGTTTTTGTAGGGATGGGGTTTCGATATGTTATCCAGGCTGGTCTCAAACTTCTGGGCTCAAGCAATCTGCCCGTGTCTTCCTCCCAAAGTGATGGGATTAGAGGCATGAGACACTGTGCCTGGGCCAGAAATATTTTTATTTTTATTTATTTATTTATTTATTTTGAGATGGAGTCTTGCTCTGTCGACCAGGCTGGAGTGCAGTGGCATGATCTTGGGTCACTGCAACTTCCGCCTCCCAGGTTCAAGAGATTCTCCTGTCTCATCCTCCCAAGCAGCTGGGATTACAAGCACACACCACTGTGCCTAGCTAATTTTTTGTATTTTAGTAGAGACAGGGTTTCACCATGTTGCCCAGGCTGGTCTTGAAGTCCTGAGCTCAGGCAGTCCACCTGTCTCAGTCTCCCAAAGTGCTAGGATTACAGGCGTGAGCCACTGTGCCCGGCTCAGAAATATTTTTAAAAAGTGTTATAGAAGGAGTCTTTCTGTGTTGGCTAGCCTGGAGTAAAATGGCTGCTATTCACAGGCTCTATCATTGCTCATTATAGCTAGAACTCCTGGGCTCAAGTAACTTCCTGCCTCAGCCTCTGGAGTAGTTGGGGCTACAGGTATGTGCCGCCATGCCTAGCTCAGAAATATTTTTGTAATGAACTTGCTCAGCCTCAAATTCTACCAGAGGACTGAGGCTGGGAGGTTCCAATGGCATAGGAAAAGGAAAGAAAAGAGAAGACGGAAGGCAAGACAAAAAGGGAGTAAAGAGGCACTGGAGGCCGGGCTTGGTGGCTCACGCTTGTAATCTCAGCACTTTGGGAGGCCAAGGTGGGCAGATCACTTGAGGTCAGGAGTTCGAGACCAGCCTGGCCGACATGGTGAAACCCCATCTCTACTAAAAATACAAAAATTAGCTGGGTATCGTGGTGCATGCCTGTAATCCCAGCTACTCAGGAGGCTGAGGCAGAAGAATTGCTTGAACCTAGGAGGTGGAGGTTGCAGTGAGCTGAGATTGCACCACTGCACTCCAGCCTGGGTGACAAAACAAGACAGTGTCTCAAAAAAAGCACTGGGAAAAGAGTGGGAAATGGAGAGGCAGAGGCAGATATTAACCTCAGCTCAGGTAGCTCCTTGGGATCAAGCCTGTGATCTTGACATAGACCCTTTCTGCTCTCCTTCACTGAGGCCACCTCATAATTTGTGATTCCTTGACCATGGGTTGACTGGTTTCCTGCCTCCTGGTGCTCTGTGTCCCCTGTGGCTAAGCATACTTGGCACCTAGGAGGGGCATCCGTCTTTGTTGTAAAAATAAATAAACACATGTGTGCTTCACTAGCCATGAGTACTTTCTCCCTGATGTTCAAGTTATCGTGGCTCCCAGCCCATAATTGGAGGGTTAAAGACCTCCCTTCCTCCACAACTCTCTGGAGGAGTCTGTGGCCGGATTTTCATCCAGACTCAGAAGCAGAGCTGACATGCACTCCCCATCACGGTGTCTCACCCTGCCTTGTTGCAATGCACCTCTGAAGTACTCAGTGTCTGCGGCAGGCTCTGCCTCTGAAAGCCCCCAAGGGCCCCTCTCCTGAGGGGCCGGAGACATGTAGTTTCCTTGCAGAAGCTGCTAGAAGCTTTCTCTCCCCAGCTCATCGCTACATGTTGTCCCCAGGGCCCCCCAGTCCTGTCCTTTAAGTTTTGGTATTTTGTTCGTCATGGAATTTTTGGCATTAATTTTGATTTTTAAAAAAATATTGCATGCCTGTAATCTCAGTGCTTGGGGAGTTCAAGGCAGGCAGATTGCTTGAGCTCAGGAATTTGAGACCAGCCTGGACAACATGGCGAAAGCCTGTCCTTTCAAAAAATACAAAAATTAGCTAGGTGTGTGATCTCAGCTACTCAGGAGGCTGAGGTGGAAGAATGACTTGAGCCCAGGAGGTAGAGGTTGCAGTGTGTGGAGATCGCGCCACTGTACTCCAGCCTGGGTGACACTGGGTGACAGAATGAGACCCTGTCTCAAAAAAAAAAAAAAAATTGCATTAAAATATTTACCATGATTACTGAAGTTTTGGAACTACCCCTTGAATTTTTGTGCCCAAAATGAGTGCCTCACTTTCTGGCCAGCTCTACCCAAGCAACATCGCTTGGGCTTAGAGTCTCCTAGAAGTTTCTTGTGAATCAGCTTCTTCCATTATCACCTCTTTTAAAACCAGTTCCAAGGGTGACAGCTGTAATACCTTCTTCTTGCCTTCCTCCCTTCCAAATCACTTCCTTGGGGTACCCTTCTGCCCAAAGCAAACACACTAAACAGACACACACACACACGAGCACACATATGAACAGTACCACCCACAAAATGCCAGAGCTGCCTCCATCCCTCCATCCTTCAGAACCAAAGGCTTCCAGGCCCATCAGCATGTGCACCGAAACCTTCCCAGAGGTCACCAGGCTACTAACTGAGGTAGCTCAGCACATCTAGTCTGGGCCGTCACATTCATCCTGCTGAAGAGGGTTGATTTTTCTTTTTCACAAAGAAGACTTTGAAACAGCTCTATGTTGTAAAGAGAGTACATGAATCTTTGGAGGATGGCTAACGTCCCTAGCGAAACATTGATTTATACAGAGGCTCTAACATGGGATAACAGCTTAAAGCATCCCAAAGAGGAGTTGCCAGCAGAAATCAAAACTTTTTTTTTTTTTGAGACAGAGTCTCGCTCTGTCGCACAGGCTGGAGTGCAGTGGTGCAATCTCAGGTCACTGCAACCTCTGCCTCCTAAGTTCAAGTGATTCTCCTGCCTCGGCCTCCTGAGTAGCTGGGATTACAGGTGCGTGTCACCATGCCCAGCTAATTTTTTTGTATTTTTAGTAGAGACGGAGTTTTGCCATGTTGGCCAGGCTGGTTTCGAACTCCTGGCCTCAAGTGATCCGCCCACCTCCAACCTCCCAAAGTGCTAGGATTACAGGCGTGAGCCACCACACCCCGCCCAGAAATCAAAACTTTGAGTTAAACCAATAATTTGGATAGAAATTTAGGCTTTTGAATAGTATTGATTTTCACTCATCTTTGTGGCCCTAGGGCCTAAGTCTAGGCTGGTAGGTCCTCAATATTAGGTTGTTGAAAAAGTGAAGAAGAAATGTAAGAGAGAGGTTTTAAAAATGAGTTATAAGCGGGCCAGGCGCGGTGGCTCACACCTGTAATCCCAGCACTTTGGGAGGCTGAGGCAGGTGGATCACGAGGTCAGGAGTTCGAGACCAGCTTGGCCAATATGGTGAAACCCTGTCTCTACTAAAAATACAGAAATTAGCCAGGCTTGGTGGCAGGCGCCTTTAATCCCAGCTACTTGGGAGGCTGAGGCAGGACGATCGCTTGAACCCGGGAGGTGGAGGTTGCAGTGGGCCGAGATTGTGCCACTGCACTCCAGCCTGGGTGACAGAGTGAGACTCTGTCTCAGAAAAAAAAAAAAAAGGCTTATAAGCAAGTATAATACATAGCACTCTCTACCTTGACCCAACTGTAGTAGAACCTTCACTCTAGTGTAGTGTGGTTGCTCAGGAGCCTGGGTTCAAATCTTGACATTGCCTCTTCCTGGCTGTGTTGCCTTGGTTGTGTAACTTAACCTCTCTGAGCCTCAATCTTCTCAGCTGTAAGATGACGACAATGAGAGTATCAACCTCACATTGTTAGGAATATTTCATGAGTTAATTTATTCCAGTTGAGAGAAATCTGGCACATAGTAAATATTCGATAAAGGTGAATCACTATTGTTTAAACAATTTTTGTTATTCATCAAGGGGGAAAAGGCTTAGAAGTTGCCTCTTGCTTTTCCAAATCATTCTTCTCATTTTTTTTTTTGAAACGAAGTCTCACTCTGTTGCCCAGGCTGGAGTGCAGTGGTGCGATCTTAGCTCATTGCAAACCTCCGTCTCCTGGGTTCAAGCAATTCTCCTGCCTCAGCCTCCTGAGTAGCTGGGACTATAGGCACGTGCCACCATACCTGGCTAATTTTTGTATTTTTAGTAGAAACGGGGTTTCACCATGTTGGCCAGGCTGGTCTTGAACTCCTGACCTCAAGTGATCCACCCCCCTCAGCCTCCCAAAGTGTCGAGATTACAGGCACGAGCCACCATGTTCGGCCTACGTTTTTCTAATTTTAAATTAGGTATTCCTTCTCCCTGGGTTAATTATGTCCTTTCTGGGAGTTTCTGGAAAAGTGCATTGCTTTACCTAACTCATATTTTTTTTTTCTTTTTTTTTTTTGTTTCTTTTTTTTTCTTCTTCTTCTTTTTTTTTTGTTTGACAAGGTCTCACTCTGTTGCCCAGGCTGGAATGCAGTGGTGTGATCACAGCTCACTGCAGCCTTAACCTCCCGGGCTCAAGCAATCCTCCCACCTCAGCCTCCCAAGTAGCTGGGACTACAGGCATGTACCAGCATGCCCTGCTAATTTTTTCTATTTTTTTGTAGAGTCAGGGTTTTCGCTATGTTGCCCAGCCTGGTCTCAAACTTGTAGGTTCAAGAGATCCTCCTGCCTCAGCCTCCCAAAGTGTGGGATTACAGGTGTGAGCCACTGAGCACCCAGCTCATATTTCTTATCTTCCTTTCTTGCAACTTGTCTGATGGGCTGGTGCCAGATGACCGCAGCTGCTGAAGCCCGTGGATCCAGGTTGTTTAAAGAGGGATAAGAGGTCTTTCTCATTCTTTGTCTCAGTTTAGCAGTACTGTGATTTGTAATAGGCTGCAGACTTTAAAAGTTTAACTGAAAAGTCCCCTCTGTAGCCTCAGAGTGACAATGCTGCCAAAGAGTTGGCTGCAATCAAATCAGGCAGAAAATGCAATCAAACACACCTAACCCTGCAGAGAAGGACGGAAGAAGGGTGAATGCTCATTATAAGTAACATTGCCAGGACGAAAGTTTCTAACCTAACAAGAGCCTTCTGAGTCCCAGATTCTACATCTCCAGACACACATTCTCCACGGCTTGACACCAGGGGTTGGCAAACTTATTTGGTAAAGGGACTGATAGTTGATATATTTGGCTTTGTGGGCCTGCTGGTCTCTGTTGCAGCTACTCAACTTTGCTACTTGTGTGCAAAATCAGCCATTGCACCTAAATACATAACTTTATTCACAAAAACATGGGGGTGGGGGCATCGGATTTGACTGGAAGGTTATAATTTTCAGATCCCTGGTCTATACTAACTGGACACTAACTCATGTTTACCTGTGTGTCTAAAGCATTTTCATCTGACCAGTGCCTGATTATGAATTGATGACTCCTAGTTTGCTGGAGGGCGAAGTTGGACAGAAAATAAGATAATTTGGCCGGGTGCAGTGGCTCACGCCTGTAATCCCAGCACTTTGAGAGGCTGAGGCAAATAGATAACTTGAGGTCAGGAGTTCAAGACCAACCTGGCCAATATGGCAAAACCCTGTCTCTCCTAAAAATACAAAAATTAGCTGGGCGTAGTGGCTCACACCTGTAATCCCCGTCACTTGGGAGGCTGAGGCAGCAGAATCGCTTGAAGCCGGGAGGCAGAGGTTGCAGTGAGCCGAGATCGTGCCATTGCACTCCAGCCTGGGCGACATAGAGAGACTCTGTCTCAAAAAAAAAAAAAAAAAAAAAAGAAAATAATCCTTTTTGACTTCTTTCTCAGTGGTTCTTCTGAAAGTCCCAGGTAAGATTCTTATTGACTTAGCTTGGGTCAGGTGCTAATCACTGAACCTCTCATTGTACCCAGGGAGATGCTGCACTCTGATTGGTCAGGTCAGATTGCTCATCTTTGCAGCTGGATGGAGCAGTCAGCCACAGCCAAACTAGACTCACTGAGAATGAGTAGTGGTTTCCCAAAGGAAATCAGGATGCTGTTATCAAGAGAAGAGGAGAAAAAATGTGGAGCCACCCAAAACACCAGACTTGTACCTCTCATCTCATTCCCTTTCTTACAAAGGATCCTGTCAAGTTTCTTAATCTCTTCTCTCCAGTAGAAAAGAAATTATATACCCAAATTTATACTACACCGTTAGCACTAAATGTCACAGTCATTTCTTTCTTTCCCCAGGGGACTTGCATTTAAAAGAGAAAAATGTGATTTGGAAAGGGGCAGAGTTTCTTCTAAGAAACGCATTGTTGATAGTAGAATATCAGACAACAGAGAGGATGAGAAAATTGGAGGTTGGCGAATGTTGATGGGTGAAAGTAGGGACCCACTGGGGATCCTTCAGATCACACAATGGGGATATGGTGACCCCCCATATTTATTTATTTTTTTTAACAGGTCTTTTATTTCATGCTTGATTATGTAGTAAAAGGAGGAGATGATGGCGATGTCTTTCATGATCACTGAAGCCTAGGATTCTTCAGACGTAGAAGGGAAGATTGTTTCCGTGATTTGGGGCATGACCATATTTCCAAACCCAAAATTGGTGCACAAGATCAGACAAAAGAAATCTATATAGCAGTTGAGTCCAAGAAGCAGTGTGGGAAATTTAAATTGGACACCGAAATATTTGCATCTCTCAAGTGTTTTGGGGTTCATGGAGGTCTGCAATGTGGGCATTCTGTGAAATCTAGGGCAGCTGGCTACAAAAATTGTCCTCTTGAATTGACATGAATTGCATAAGGTATTCTTCTTGCCCTGGCTTGGCCACCTCATACTCATTCTTCAGTCTTAGCTCAACACCAGCTCTTCTAGGAACATTTTTTTCCCACTCTCTAGTCTGGGTTTGACATAAAACAATAATAATAGTTTGTTGTTACTGTATCTCATGATTCGGGGGCTGGCAGGGCTCAGCGGGGTGGTTCTTGCAGCCCTAGTTAGACGATGACCCAGGTTGGAGTCATTTCGAAGACTTCCCTTTCATGTTTCTGACACTTGATGTCCGGATTGTCTTTTATGGCCTGGCCTTGGAAGTCATGCAATGTCACTTCTGCTGTATTCTAGTTATGACAAATGAGCCATGCCGGGCGTGGTGGCTCACACATATAATCCCAGCACTTTGGGAGGCCAAGGTGGGTGGATTGCTTGAGGTCAGGAGTTTGAGACCAGCCTGGCCAACCATGGCAAAACCCCGTCTCTACTAAAAATACAAAAATTAGCTGGGCATGGTTGCACACACCTGTAATCCCATCTACTTGGGAGGCTAAGGAAGGAGAATTGCTTGAACCTGGGATGTGGAGGTTGTAGTGAGCCAAGATCACGCCACTCTACTCTAGCCTTGGTGACACAGTGAGACTCTGTCAGAAAGAAAGAAGGAAAGGAAAGGAAGGAAGGAAGGAGGGAAGGAGGGAGGAAGGGAAGGAAGGAAGGAGAAAGAGAGAGAGAGAAAGAGAAAAAGAAAGAAAGAAAAGAAAGAAAAGGAGAGAGAGAAAGAGAGAGGGAGGGAGGAAGGAAGGAAGAAGAAAAAAAAGAAATGAGCACTAAGTCTTGCACATTCAGGGGAGGTGGGTTAGTGAGGACTTACATTCTGCCTCTTGAGAGGAGCATCAAAAATTTGCAGAAAATTTGCAATTTTGCAATTTTATTTATTTATTTTTGAGATAGAGTCTCACTCTGTTGTCCTGCCTGGAGTGCAGTGGCGTGATCACAGCTCACTGCAGCCGTGACCTCCCAGGCTCAAGTGATCCTCGTGCTTCAGCCTGCCAAGTAGCTGAGACCACAGATGCGTGCCACCATACCTGGCTAATTTTTAAAAATTTTTTTGCAGAGACAGGGTCTTGCTATCTTGCCCAGGCTGGTCTCAAACTCCTGGGGTGAAGCAATTCTCCCTCCTTGGCCTCCCAAAGTGCTGGGATTACAGGTTTGAACCACTGCGTCTGGCTAAAAATTTGCAGATTTTTTTTTTTTTTTTGAGACAGAGACTCACTCTGTCACCCATGCTGGAGTGGAGTGGTGTGATCTTGGCTCACTGCAACTTCCGCCACCTGGGTTCACGTTGATTCTCCTGCCTCAGCCTCACGAGTAGCTGAGACTACAGGTGTGTGCCACCATGCCCAGCTAATTTGTTATATTTCTAGTAGAGACAGGGTTTCACTGTGTTAACCAGGATGGTCTCCATCTCCTGAACTCGTGATCTGCCTGCCTCGGCCTCCCAAAATGCTGGGATTACAGGCATGAGCCACCATACCCAGCCTGCAGACATATTTAAAAAGGGGAACTGCAGTTCCCCTTTTTGTATTACTTCCC
Organism: Homo sapiens; assembly: GCF_000001405.40. Lineage (NCBI taxonomy): Eukaryota > Metazoa > Chordata > Mammalia > Primates > Hominidae > Homo > Homo sapiens. The sequence goes on along the minus strand of NC_000020.11, from coordinate 53,532,847 downwards.
CTAATCTTAGCCCTTAATCACACTGTATTATCATCAGCTTGTCTGTCTCCCTTTACCAGAGCCAGGGATTTCAGGGATAGAATTCAGGAGGTCTGTGACCTTGCATGGGAAAGTCTACAAACAGTTACTTTCTCTAAGTTCTAACTCTAACTTAGCATTTCCTTGATTGTGAAAGTTGGCAACACACCATGCAGTGGCACAAGTACCTGCCACTTTGCCACCATTTGAAGCCACGGATCTTTTCCCATAGCATTCCAGCAGCCGTGGATATCTGGAAATATTACTCACCTTGTCATGACTTTGGAATTATCGTGGTTATTAAACCCTGCTCTGAATTTTGTTATTAAATGCATTAATAAAGAAGCACATAGGGTATGATACCTCAGATTTGTTTTTATAAATACATTAATACCTTTGTATACATGTAATTGATTTTGCTCGTGATAATATCCATTTTATGCAGTTAAAGTTTTTTTTTTAATGTGTATTTTTGAGACAGGGATATCACTATGTTGCCCAGGCTAGTCTCAAACTGCTGGGCTCAAACAATCCTCCCACCTCAGCCTCCTGAGTAGCTGGGACTACAGGTGCATGCTGCCTGTAATCCCAGCTACTCAGGAGGCTAAGGCAGGAGAATAGCTGGAACCCTGGTGGCAGAGGTTGCAGTGAGGTGAGATCGTGCCACTGCACTCCAGCCTGGGCGACAGAGCGAGACTCCATCTCAAAAAAAAAAAAAAAAAGGGATATTTGGTTTCCACTCCCAGAGAGTCTAATGTAATTGCTCCAAAGGGTGCCCTGGGCATTAGGATTTTCAGCCACCACCCCCTCTCCCTCCCAGGAAATGCTATTTTACAGTCAAGGTTGAGAAACACTGGTTCTTGCAACCTGATGTGCCAATGAGTATATATAAAGCATGCTTCTTGCAATCTAATGTGCCAGTGAATCACCTGGGATGTTATTAAAATTGTTTCTGATTGTCTAGGTCTGGGTGGGCCCAAGATTTCCCATTTCTCACAAGCTTCCAGGTGTTGCTGGCGCTGCTGACCCAGGGACCACACTTTGAGAAGCAAGGATCTTGGCGGGGTTTCTCAATCTTGACACTATTGATGTTTTGGGCTGGATAGTTCTCTGTTGTGGGGGCTGTCCTGTGCATTGTAGGGTGTTCAGTGGCATCTGTGGCTTTTGCCTTCCAGATGCCAGTAGCACCCCCCAAATAGTGACAACCAAACGTGTCTTCAGACACCAGGAGGGCAAATTCATTCCGACTTGAGAAACTCTGGTCTGGGAGGTAGCTCTCTAAGGTTTCCTCTTTATGCCAAGACAGAATACTTAGCATTATTTGTAAAATAAGAAGAGGGATATCCAACTTTTTTTTTTTTTGAGATGGAGTCTCACTCCCTCGCCCAGGCTGGAGTGCAATGGCATGATGTCTGCCACTGCAATCTCCATCTCCCAGGTTCAAGCGATTCTCCCACCTCAGTCTCCTGAGTAGCTGGGGCTACAGGTGTGCGCCACCACGCCTGGCTAATTTTTATATTTTTAGTAGAGACAAGGTTTCACCATGTTGGCCAGGCTGGTCTGGAACTCCTGACCTCAAGTGATCCACCCCCCTCAGCCTCCCAAAGTGCTGGGATTACAGGTGTGAGCCCCCTGCCCAGCCTTCAACTTTTTTATTTCTATCATCTTGAAACATCAAGCAGGGTCATCCTACATTTAGAAATATCTTAGTGATGACAAAGAAGCTGGGAGCCAAGAGGCCTGAGCTCAGTCTCAGTTTCGTTGCAACTTGCTGTGTGACTTGGGGTGGGTCACACAACCTCTCTGGGTGTCAGTTTCCTTGCTGTGAAAATGAAAGGATTGGAGGAGAGCAGAGATGGCAAATTCCAGCCTCACCAGGGCTTATTCAGGTAACTGCAGGCCAGAGGGGGGCTCAGGGGTGTGTGTGTGTGTGTGTGTGTGTGTGTGTGTGTGTGTGTGTGTGTGTGTGCATACAGAATTGGGAGGGGTATGAGGAGACTTCAACCCATTTCATGGGAGTTATGGCTACTTAGCTGTCACTGATGACAGCCATATGGCAATGCAAATGCAATATTGCCCTCTGTATTAGTCCATTTTCATGCTGCTGATAGACATACCAGAGACTGGGCAATTTGCAGAAGAGGTTTAATGAACTCATAGCTCCATGTGACTGGGGAGGCCTCACAATCATGGCGGAAGGTAACAGGCACGTCTCACATGGTGGCAGACAAAAGAGGAGAATGAGAGCCAAGTGAAAGAGGAAACCCCTTATAAAATCATCAGACCTCTTGAGATTTACTCACTACCAAGAGAACAGTATGGGGAAACTGCCCCATGATTCAATTATCTCCCACTGGGTCCCTCCCACAACACAGGGGAATTATGGGAGGATACAATTTGATATGGGTGGGGACACAGCCAAACCATATCACCAAGTTTTCAGGTTTTTTTTTTTTTTTTTTTTTTTAGAGAGGTTAGAAATTTGGATTATTATGTAAATCTCTCTTTATAAATACATTACATTAAAATTTAAAAAATGCAGGTGGGACAAAAAAACTCTGTTGTAAAATTCCAATCCATGTGCTCTGGTGTGTGCAGCTCAGATCATAACAATCACAATAGACACACACACTTAGAGCATTTGCTGTGTGCCACGAAGACACCAATTCATTCCACCCTTACAATAATCCTATGAAGTCACTATTACTATTATCCTTGTCTTCAATATTGTAATTGTTTTTCTCACCTCCTCAGGGCCTATCCCTTTTTTTAAGATAAGGATACTCTACAGAGAGAGGTTAAGTATGTTACCCTAAATTGCACAGCTAGGAAGTGCCCAAGTGGGGATTTAAACTTAAGTCACCTGTCCTCGGAGGCAGTCCTGAAAGATTCTTGCCTACAGGGGCTGCTGCATCTGACTCTGCAGTTGTGCATGTCACGGCCACTGGGAAATGGTGCCCTCTGAAGTTGTGCAATGCTATAGTCCCATAACAACGTTTTTTTTTTTTTGTTTTTTGTTTTTTTTCAGAGTCTCTCTCTGTTGCCTAGGCTGGAGTGCAGTGGTATGATCTTAGCTCACTGCAACCTCTGCCTCCTGGGCTCAAGCTATTCTCCTGCCTCAGCCTCCTGAGTAACCGAAATTACAGCTGTGTGCCACCACGCCTGGCTAATTTTTGTATTTTTAGTAGAGATGGGATTTCACCATGTTGGCCAGGCCAGGCCAGTCTTGAACTCCCTACCTCAAGTGATCTGCCCGCCTCGGCTTCCCAAAGTGCTGAGATTACAGTCATGAGCCACCACGCCCAGCCAACAATGGTTCTTTGTTGCATGGAAACTCTAGAGGGGCTATGTAGACAAGGACAAGGGCCGCCGTGGTGTTTTTCTGGGTGGACTGATAGCTGAGGACCAGATTCTCCCACCCTCACCCCACTTCCATGCTGAAGGTTGCAGGACTGTGCTACAAACCCTGGAAGGACTGAGATGACATATTCCATGGGCACAGTGGCCTGGAGGACCAAAGGCTGAGGTAATAGGATGTGGTGAGTTGAATTATGTCTCCCCCAAAAACAATTTGTCCATCTGAAACCTCAGAATATGACCTTATTTGGAAGGAGAGGCTTTGTACATGTGATTAAGGTCAGAATCTGGAGATGAGGTTATCCTGGATGAGAGTGGGCCCTAAGGCCAATGAGATAGAAAAGGAGAAGACATACAGAGACACGGGAAGAAACCCATGCACATGAAGATGGAGGCAGAGATTGGAGTGGGGCAGCCACAGCCACGGATCACCAGGAACCACCAGAAGCTGGAGGAGGCCAGGAAGGGCGTGCTAGAGGGAGCACAGCTCTGCTAACAACTTGATTTTGGACTTGAGGCCTCCAAAACTGTGAGGTAATAAATGCCTGTTGTTTAAAGTCACTCAGTTTAGGCCAGGTGCAGTGGCTCATGCCTGTAATCCTAGAACTTTGGGAGGCCGAGGCGGGAGGATCGCTTGAGCTCGGGAGTTTGAGACCAGCCTGGGCAACGTAAGCAGTCCCCGTATATATCCAACATATACAAAAATTAGCTGGGTGTGGTGGCTCGTGCCTGTGGTCCCAGCTACTCAGGAGGCTGAGGTGGGAGGATGGCTTGAGCCTGGGAGGTGGAGGTTGCACTGAGCTGTGATCACAACACTGCACTCCAGCCTGGGTGATGAAGAGAGACCCTGTCTCAAACAAACAAATAAATAAAGTCACCCAGTTTGTGGTAATTTATTCCAGCAGCCCTAGGAAAATAATGTAGGGGGACTTTTAAAAAAATTAAAAAGTTCAATGTATGACACTGATTGGATAAAGAAAAATGAATAAATTAATTAATTAAAAAGAGGCTGGGTGCAGAGGCTTACGCCTGTAATCCCAGCACTTTGGGAGGCTGAGGAGGGTGGATCACTTGAGGCCAGGAGTTCAAGACCAGCCTGGGCAACATGGTGAAATCCTGTCTCTACCAAAAATACAAAAATTTATTGAGCATGGTAGCATGTGCCTGTAATCCTAGCTACTCGAGAGGCTGAGGCAGGAGAATCACTTGAACCTGGGAGGTGGAGGTTGCAGTGAGCTAAGATGGCACCACTGCACTCCAGCCTGGGCAACAGAGTGAGACTCCGTCTCAAAAAAAAAAGGGGGGGGCTAGATGCGGTGGGTCATGCCTGTAATCCCAGCACTCTGAGGCAGGTAGATCATAAGGTCAAGAGATCAAGACCATCCTGGCCAACATCGTGAAACCCCATCTCTACTAAAAATACAAAAATTAGCTTGGTGTGGTGGCACACGCCTGTAGTCCCAGCTATTTGGGAGGCTGAGGCAGGAGAATTGCTTGAACCTGGGAGGGAGAGGCTGCAGTGAGCCGAGATGGCACCACTGCACTCCAGCTTGGCAACAGAGCAAAACTCCGTCTGACAAAAAAAAACAAAAAAGGAAACAAAGCTACTTTGTTTTCCCTCCCTCCTCCCTCAGTCTGTGGACTGAGACTCAGGGCTGCCAGAGCTGTTCCTGGGATGGACACAGGGTCTCACCCACACGCAAAAGCTGCTATGTCTGAACTCTAAGCATCTTTAATACAGGCACACACGTGCACACACACACTGGTGACAGCAGATGTGTCTCCCATGGTGACCCCCAGCCTTGCTTTCACTCTTCCTTGTGCATGTCAGGGGGTCCGAGCAGGCCAGGAACCCTGGCCTCAAACACTGACAAGGGGTGATTTGAGTGGCTTCGGTGTGCCCGAGTGCAGGGCTGAGGCCACGCTTTTCCGTTGAAGAAGGAGTTTCAGGATTTGATAAATGACTGTTTAATGCTGGCAGGAGAGTTGGCTCATCATTGGGCAGCAACAATCATCATAATTAGAGACAGGCTAGAAGCAGAAGGCCCAGCCCTGCCGTCCTGCACTGCCTCAGAGCCTGACTCTTCTACGCTAACCCTTTCTGGGCCTTGGTGCTGCAGGAAGCCAGGGGCATCATCCAGAAAGAAGAATGTTCTCCGGGCAGCCGGCTGGGACCTCTGTGGAGCCATGAGCCTGGGTGTCAATGGGTCATTAAGCAATGCAGGAGAGGGCAGGAGAGTGGCTGATGTGTGCTGGGGACCCAGCCCAGGTGAGGAGCAGCCACCGTGCAGCGTGGAGCGTCACAGCCTTGCCAGGTCTTCCAACTTGTCAAGAGAGTACAAAAATTCAGGCTACTTTTGTGTGTGTGGCAGAATATGAGTAACATAAACTTTACCATTTTACTCATTTTAAAGCGTGCAGTTCTCCGGCATTAGATACACTCACATTGCTGTGCAACCGTCAGCAGCATCCATCTGCAGAACTTGTTCACCGTCCCAAACTGAAACTCTGTCCCTATTAAATGTGGTCTCCCCACCTCCCCCTCCCACCCCCTGGCACCCATCATGCTACTTTGTGTCTCTATGAATCTGAGCAGGTTATTTTTTTAGAGAATGAAATCTCCTCCTTTAAAAGTTTAGCCTCATTTACGATGGGCCACTGGAATGCACCAATGAATTTCTAATATACATCAACAAATTAACACTCCTGAAACTGAACTTTTGATTTTGATTTTTCCATCAAATGTGGCTTTGTGATTTTTTTTTTTTTTTTTGAGATAGGATCTCACTCCGTCACCCAGGCTCACTGCAGCAGCCTCAACCTCCTGGGCTCATGAAATCCTCCTACCTCAGCCTCCCAAGTAGCTGGGACCACAGGTGTGCGCCACCACAACCGGCTAGTTTTTTGATTTTTTGTAGAGATGGGGTCTCAGTTGCCTAGGCTGATCTCGAACTCCTGGGCTCAAGCGATCCTACAACCTCAGTCTCCCAACATGTTGGGATTACAGGCACGAGCCACTACTCACATCCTGGATGCACCTCTTAACTTATATGTGCCTCAGTTTCTTTATCTGATCAATGGAAATAATTATAGGACCCACGTAGTATGATTGTTGTGAGGATAAAATATGTTCATTACATAAAGCCAGTTAATGCTAATATTTTATTATAATTATAAAAAGACTTCTGTTACGATTAAATCTACTATTTCTCAATAGGTTGTAATTATTTATTTCCATGTCTGCCCATGTAAGATTGTGACTCTTTGAGAACAGGGACCGTATCTAACCAATTTGTGTTTCCCCAGAGACTGACTTATACTTTATTCTTATTTAGCAGGTGCTCAATTAATGTCTGGGGAGAAAAGGAAGTAAGAAAAGGAAGGAAAGAAGGAATGAGGATGGCCAGGCGGGGTGGCTCACGCCTGTAAACCAGCACTTTGGGAGGTCGAGGTGGGCAGATCACGAGGTCATGAGACTGAGACCATCCTGGCTAACACGGTGAAACCCTGTCTCTACTAAAGATACAAAAAATTAGCCGGGCGTGGTGGCGGGTGCCCATAGTCCCAGCTACTCGGGAGGCTGAGGCAGGAGAATGGCGTGAACCCGGGAGGCGGAGCTTGCAGTGAGCCGAGATCGCGCCACTGCACTCCAGCCCGGGCGACAGAGCAAGACTCCGTCTCAAAAAAAAAAAAAAAAAAAAAAAAAAAGGAAAGAAAAAAAAAAGAAAAGAAAAAGAAGGAATGGATGAGGTAATCCTCCCAGCGGTATGTCAGGACACTCCTAAGACACAAAGTCTGCAGAGCGGTACTTTTCCTAGGGTCTCCACCCTCACCCTGATCATAGGCGTGCAGCGTGCAGTCCCACCCTGTTTCAGCGACTGCCACTTAACAATCTGCCCTAAAACTTGGTGCTTAAATCTACAACCTATTTTCTATTACATGTATTATAAATTATGTACAACTTACATAATTATAAGTTTTATATAATGATGACATCTATTATTTCACAATATAATGTAATTACTTATTTCCACATCTGCCTTGTGAGACTGTGAATCTCACAATTAATTTATAATAAGTCATATATTACATATTATATATATAATAAACCTATCACAAACTATTGTATCTCTTGATTTTGTGGGTCAGGAATTTGGAAAATTTTTTCTGCTCCTCACTGGTGTTGCTGGAAGTCGCTCCACAGCTGGCAGATGAGCTGGCTGGGAAGATACAAGGTGGCTGCACTCACTATTGGGGGCCCTAGCTCGGATGCCTGCCAGGCTGGGCTCAGCTGGGACTGCCTCCTACACGTGGCCTCTCCAGCATGGTGACGTCACGGAAGCCTCAGACTCCTCACACAGATGCTGGATTCCCCGGAGGGAGTGTTTCCAGGGGTCCCCTGCAGAATCAGCAAGCAACGCTTCTGACACCTGCCTCGGAAGGGCCAGAGCACCTCTGCTGTTGTGGTCCATTGGCAAGCCAATCACTAAGGCTGGCCTGTACTCAAAGGAAGAATTAGATCCCACCTCTCCATGGGCCGCGCAGCAGATAATTCGGGGTCTTGGTTAATCTACCATGTTCTTTCTCTCCACTGCAGGTGTGTTAAACCGGAGGCCACTGGGTCTCTTGGACAACTAGCAGTGAATCTGTGAATCCCCTGAGTGCACAGTTTTAAATAAATGTGCAAAATGTGCATTTTTTTTTCAGGGAAATCTGAACTAACAAGATTTTGAATCACTCACCAAATGGCGGTCTTCCTTTTAACTGAGTCTTATCTCATCCTACTACAAAAATTTCCCAAGAAAATGTGAAGAGTCTTGTAAGTCTTTCCAATAATATAGAAAAACAAAAGTAATCCTTTAATTCCCTGCCTTGCCCAGTCCTGTCCCCTCCTCGAAAATAATCCTTGCTATGAATTGATGTGTATTTTTCATGATGTTTTCCCATGCATTGCATAGATAAGTAAGGTTTTAAAAAATACAAATAGCTTCATTCTCTTCCCACTTTTTTCCTGTAACTTGGTTATTTTTCACTTTTAACATTATGTATAGGGAATGAGTTCATGCTTGTAGTTCTAGACTTATCCCATGTTGAGGAATAGCCTCCTTGAACTCAGCCAGTGAACAATCTGTAATGCAGTACCTGCACCTGTTCCTCTACCAATTCACCTGCCTCCTGTTGTCAATTTTCCACACTTGCCAGCAGTGGTGCTGTAAACAGCCTCGCTTTACCTCCTTGTGCACATGTGAGAGTAATTCTCTTGGTAGGTACCTAGAGGTGGAATTGTCAGATAATTAGATATGTGCAATACAATTAGATTTTTTTATGTTACTTTAAGTTCTAGGATACATGTGCTGAACATGCAGGTTTATTAATAGGTATCCATGTGCCATGGTGGTTTGCTGCACCTATCAATCCGTCTTCTAGGTTTTAAGCTCTGCATGCATTAGGTATTTGTCCTAATGCTCTCCCTCCCCTTGCCCCCACCCCCTGATAGGCCCTGGTGTGTAATGTTCCCCTCCCTGTGTCCATGTGTTCTCACTGTTCAGCTCCCACTTATGAGTGAGACCATGCGGTGTTTGGTTTTCTGTCCTTGTGTTAGTTTGCCAAGGATGATGGTTTCCAGCTTCATCCATGTCCCTGCAAAGGACATGAACTCTTTCTTTTTTTATGGCTGCATAGTATTCCATGGTGTATATGTGCCACATTTTCTTATCCAGTCTATCTTTTTCTAATTTTTCTTTCTGAGATGGAGTCTTGCTTTGTCATCCAGGCTGGAGGGCAGTGGTGCAATCTTGGCCCACTGCAACCCTTGCTTCCCAGGTTCAAGCGATTCTCCTGCCTCAGCCTCCTGAGTAGCTGAGACTACAGGTGCCCACCACCATGTCCGGCTAATTTTTGTGTTTTTTTAAGTACGGATGGGGTTTCACCATGTTGGCCAGGCTGGTCTAGAACTCCTGACCTCAAGTGATCTGCCTGCCTTGGCCTCCCAAAGTGCTGGGATTACAGGCGTAAGCCACTGTGCCCGGCCCAGTTTTCATCTTTTTAATTGACGATAAAATGATTTACGTTGCATGACATGGGCTCACTGGTAACAGTGGATGTCATGTGTAGTGCCTGGCACATTGTATGTTCTCAAGAAAGCTTCCTTTTTTTTTTTTTTCTGAGATGGAGTTTTGCTCTTGTCGCCTAGGCTGGAGTGCAATGGCACCATCTCAGCTCACTGAAACCTCTGCCTCCTGGGTTCAAACGACTCTCCTGCCTCAGCCTCCCGAATAGCTGGGATTAAAGGTCCCACCACTGCGCCTGGCTAATTTTTGTATTTTTAGTAGAGACGGAGTTTCACCATGTTGGCCAGGCCCATCTCGAACTCCTGACATCAGGTGATCCACCCACCTCAGCCTCCCAAAGTGCTGGGATTATAGGCGTGAGCCACCATGCCCAGCCGAAAACTTTCTTTACAGGTTATTTCTGTTTGTGGCTTAGTCTCTCTCTGACAGGAAAAGGCTGTGCAATAGAAGGGAAGGTGTGCTTTGACCTTCAGGCTGTCATTTCCCCAGCCCAGCTCATGGGCTTCTGGTGGAATTCACTCTAACCCTGAGTCCAGGGGTGGACCTGGGATGCAGGGATTGGTAATCAGAACGTCATATTCCTCTCGCCAGTCACTGGTTCGGGGATAAGCATGTGACCCATTCAGAACAATGGCCAGGAAAATGCCACATGAGGAAGAGCTGGGATTAGTCTCAGCTCTTTCTGGGTTGCCTGGGGCACACAGGGGAGGAATGAACCAGAACAAAGTCAGAGTCTGCTATTAAGAAGGAAAGAGGCCAGGCGCGGTGACTCTCCCCTGTAATCCCAGCTCTTTGGGAGGCCGAGGTTGGAGGATCACTTGAGGCCAGGAGTTGGAGACCAGCCTGGCTAACATGGTGAAACCCCATCTCTACTAAAAATACAAAATTTACCTGGGCGTGGTGGTATCCGCCTGTAATCCTAGCTACCTGGTGGGGGCTGAGGCACAAGCATCGCTTGGACCCAGGAAGCAGAGGTTGCAGTGACCTGAGATCACACCACTGCCCTCCAGCCTGGGTGATTTTACTCCGAGTCAAACAAACAAACAAAGGAAAAGAATGATGGTTGCCAGGTAGATACTCAACAGTGCCCAGCGTCAAAGATGATCCCACACATAGAGATGAAGAAACTGAGGAACGGAGATGTGAAGAAACTTGTCCAAGAATAGCTGGTTAACTCCAGATCCCATGTTCTTAATCATAATACCATAATTTTCATTTTTGCTTGATTCTCTGTTTGGATTCTTCTTTTCCTTTTCTTTTTCCTTCCTTCCTTCCTTCCTTCCTTCCTTCCTTCCTTCCTTCCTTCCTTCCTTCCTTCCTTCCTTCCTTCCCTCCTTCCCTCCTTCCCTCCTTCCCTCCTTCTCTCCTTCCTTCCTTCCTTCCTTTCTTTCCTTTCTTTCTTTTCTTCCTTTCTTTCTTTCTTTTTTTTTTTGACAGAGTCTCGCTTTGTTGCCCAGGCTGGACTGCAGTGGCGTGACCTGGGCTCACTGCAACCTCCACCTCCCGGGTTCAGGCCATTCTCCTGCCTCAGCCTCTCAAGTAGCTGGGTTACAGGCGTGAACCACCAGGCATGGCTAATTTTTGTATTTTTAGTAGAGATGGGGTTTTACCATGTTGGCCAGGCTGGTCTCCAACTCCTGACCTCAAGTGATCCACCCACCTCGTCCTCCCAAAGTGCTGGGATTACAGGTGTGAGCCACTGCTCCCGGCAGATTTTCATTTTCCATGACTTTCAACAGATGGTAACCTCCTTGAAGGCATGTGCCATGTATGAGTCATTCTCCGGTTTATCCTCAGCACCCGACGCTGCTTGGCACAGAGTCAGGGATTAACAGGGCTCATATCTGGTGAATGAATGGGTGAACAAGAAACCTGTTCACAGAGTCCTAGATCTTTAGGTCTCTAAGAGATTCCATAGCCACTTTTCAGACTTTGTTGTACACACAAATCACCTGGGATCTCATTAGAAGGCAGGTTCAGATTCAGCGGCACTAGGGTGGGGCCTGAGATTCCGGATTTCAAACAAGGTGCTAGGTAATTGGATGCTATTGTTTCAAGAACCATGCTTTAAGAAACAAGGTCTAGACGGTGGTGCCATCCCAGTGGCAGTCACTAGCCACACATGGCTATAAGCATTTGAAACACAGCAAATCCCAGCCGAGATGTGCTGTAAATGTAAAATACATGCTAGGTTTCAAAGACTTATTTAAAAAGCACTGTAAAATGTTTTATAATTTAAAAAAATAAATAAAATAAAATAAATTAAAAAAAAAAGAGGCCAGGCGTGGTGGCTCACATCTGTAATCCCAGCACTTTGGGAGGCTGAGGCAGGCGCATCACCTGAGGTGAAGAGTTCATGACCAGCCTGGTCACATGGTGAAACCCCATCTCTACTAAAAATACAAAAATTAGCCAGGTGTGGTGGTGGGTGCCTGCAATCCCAGCTACTTGGGAGGCTGAGGCAGGAGAATCACTTGAACTCAGGAGGCAGAGGTTAGAGTGAGCCGAGATTGTGCCATTGCACTCCAGCCCGGGCAACAAGAGCAAAACTCCGTCTCAAAAAAAAAAAAAAAAAAGATATATGTAGGAATGAGAAACATCAAATTCAGGATAGTGGTTATCTTAGAGGGGAAGGAGAGGGAAGAGAGAGGTTCATAGGGATCTATTTTTAAAAAACTGGATATAATTACTTATTCATTGAAGAAAAACTACTGCTTAAAACAGTCCGTTTTGACTACAGAAGATATGGATGCTGTAATTTTATTGTTAAAATTTCTTCTACTGCTCTGTTAAATATTAGTTTTTATTTCTAAATAACTCGTTTCATTTTTTATGCTTATCACAGCCATGCATGCTTATGGCTTAAAGACTCAAATCAGTCTACAAGGTTTGTTGACTACATAAAGACAAAAAAAATTTTTTTAAGTGGTTGGTAGAAACAGAGGTGTTTGCTTTATTACTCTCTAATATGTTTTATAAATCTGAAGCATTTCATTAAAAAATACTCATAAAATCATGTGTAAGGCCAGGAGCGGAGGCTCACACCTATAATGCCAGCATCTTGAGAGGCCAAGATGGGTAGATCACTTGAGCCCAGGAGTTTGATACCAGCCTGGGTAACATGGCCAAACCCCGTCTCTACAGAAAATAAAAAAATTAGCCAGGCTGGTGTGTAAACCTGTAGTCCCAGCTACTCAAGAGGCTGAGGTGGGAGGATCACTTGAGCCTGGGAGTTGAAGGTTGCAGTGAACGGTGATTGCACCACTGGATTCCAGTCTGGGCAACAGAGTGAGACCCTGTCTCAAAAAAAGAAAATCAATAAACCTCCTTCAGAATTGCTCTGCGTCTACATATTTAGTGGTCTTAATCTTTTCTAAAACTTGAATTCACCCATCTCATATTCCACTAGCTTCTCTATTTTCTTGGAGTCATTTATCATTCTCACTTTTCTTCTCTACTTCCCACCCATCACATCCAAGTTTTGTCATTCAGAAGCCCTGATGAAGAAGGATTCTAATTTAGGGTCATAGGCCAGGTGGATTTTCTTTATTTCTGTTGGGCGTGGTGGTGGAGATAGTTTGGAAAGTGTTTTCAATATTATAATTACAGAGTGGATGACAGCCAGAGAGCTCTCTGCCCCTTTGATATCTTTTAAAAAAATGCCTTGAAGTCCCCACTTCCCAGTCGTATGCCGTTCCAAAGCTCTACCAAATAGTTCTGCTAATCCCTTGGGAGATTAAGAAATTTGGGGCCAATTTCTTTCTACAGAGCTCTGGTTTCCATGTGTGAGGCCTCTTCCTCTTCCCTACTTCCCCGAAACTCTGCCTCTCTCTCCTTCATCTTAAACTACAAAAACCCACTCAGACCAATCATTTAAAAGGTACTGAGGACTTTATTGGCCATTTTTTAAGGACAAACAGAGAAGAGTTTTACAAACCAACCTGCAGACATATTTTAAAGGGGTCAGTAGGCATTGCTCTACTTAAAATGTCTGTAGGGGGCTGGGCACGGTGGTGCACACCTGTAATCCCAGCACTTTGGGAGGCCAAGGCAGGCCAATTGCTTGAGTTCAGGAGTTCGAGACCAGCCTGGCCAACATGGTGAAACCCCATCTCTACAAAAAATACAAAAATTAGCCGAGTGTGGTGGTGGGCACCTGTAGTCACAGCTACTTGGGAGGCTGAGGCAGGAGAATCGCTTGAAACTGGGAGGTGGAGGCTGTAGCAGTGAGCTGAGATTATGCCACTTCACTTCATCTTGGGCAACAGAGCAAGACTGTCGCAAAAAAAAAAATTAAGAGTAATAGTTCATGACATGAAAATTACCTAAGATTCAAAATTCAGTGTCCATAAATACAGTTTTCTGCTAACACAGCCACTCTTGTTGGTTTGCATGTGGTCTGTGGCTGCTTTCCTGGTGCAAGGGCAGAGTGAGTTAATGGTGGAATGGACCGTATAACCTGCAAAGCCGAAAACACGGACTCTCTGGCCTTTTACAGAAAACATTTGCCGTCCTCTGATCTAATAATGTCTCTTCTTTAGAATGCCTGGGACTTCTTCCTCTGAATATATAATTTAAAAAAAAAACTCATCTTGAATATTACAGCAATGGGGCGTAGTCTCAGCTAAATAGTTATTTCCATAAAATATGTCCAAATTTCTGCTTTAAGTCTTTTGTGAAATGAGGCAGAACATAAATTTTAAAATGTCATAATAATAGGCCATAGGATTTAATCTCATGTTCACAGAAATATCATCTGTAAATTTTCTTATGAAGGAAGATAATGTATATTTTTCTATTTAGTTGTTTCTGGAGCCTAAGTCCAATCAGAAACATTATATATATATATATATTTTTTATTTTATTTTTATTTTATTTTTTATTTTTTATTTTTTTTTTGAGATGGAGTCTTGCTCTTATCCCCCAGGCTGGAGTGCAATGGCACGATCTCGGCTCACTGCAACATCTGCCTCCTGGGTTCAAGTGATTCTCCTGCCTCAGCCTCCTGAGTAGCTGGGATTACAGGGGCTCGCCACCACACCTGGCTAATTTTTGTATTTTTAGTAGAGACGGGGTTTCACCTTGTTGGCCAGGTTGGTCTCGAACTCCTGACCTAGTGATCCACCTGCCTTGGCCTCCCAAAGTGCTGGCATTACAGGCATGAGCCACCGCACCCAGCCATATTTTATACATATATTTTATTTTTGGAAAAAAGTCTGAATGTAGAGAGAAGTGGTCTTATTATTTCTCAGGGTCCCAGCATTCCAAGGCCAGGATCATTGTCATTGTCTTACTTCCAGTTTTTTGTTTTGTTTTGTTTTTATTTTTGCTCTTTTGAAATGAACATACTTTTTACATACTCTAGATCATTCTGAATGTAGAATTTTGCGTTTCTCCTCTTTGTTTCCCACCTATTTTTCTCTCTCTCTTTTTTGTTTTTCTTTTCTTTTTTATTGTTTCCCACCTATTTTTGGGAGGCGGAGGCAGGAGAATCGCTTGAGCCCGGGGGTCAGAGGTTTCAGTGAGCTGAGGTTGCACCACTGCATCCCAGCCTGGGTGACAGGGTGAGACCCTGTCAAAAAAAAAAAAAAAACGGCCCCCACAGCAGACATTTTATTTGTGTGTGTGTTTTTTGTTGTTGTTTTTTTAACGTCTTCAGGTTTTTTTTTTTTTTCCCCTATGGCTTTGTCACCCAGGTTGGAGTGGAAGACAATTTTTTCACAGACCCGGGGGTGGCGGGGAGAGGTGGTGGTTCCAGGATGATTCAAGCACATTCCATTTATTGTGCACTTTTATGATTATGACATTGTAATATATAATGAAGTAATTATACAACTCACCACAATGTAGAATCAGTGGGAGCCCTGAGCTTGTTTTCCTGCAACTGGACGGTCCCATCTGAGGGTGATGGGAGACAGTGACAGATCGTCAGGCATTTGATTCTCATAAGGACAATGCAGATCCCTCAACACTTGCAGTTCACTACAGGGCTCAGGCTCCTCGGAGAACCTAATGCTGCTGATGGTCTGACAGGATACGGAGCTCAGGCAGTCACGTGAGTGAAGGGGAGCGGCTGTAAACACAGATGAAGCTTGGCTCACTCGCTCGCCATTCACCTCCTGCTGTCCAGTCCAGTCCTGGTCAGTACCCGTCCGTGGCCGGGGGTTTGGGGACCCCTGCTGTATAGCGTATATTTTACTGATTTATTTATTTTCTCTCTTTTCTCTAGAACGACAGCCCTTTAAACAGAAGGACTCTGTTGTCTAGTTTTTTTACTGTTGTGTCCACAGCACCTAGAATGACTCTTGGCACATGGCAGGTACCCTATATATGTTTACTGAATAAACATATTTTTGTTTTCCTGAGGGCTATGGTGCTTGGGTACATATCAGAAGGACCTGGGAAGCTAGCTAAAAAAATATGGGGCCGGGCAGGGTGGCTCATGCCTGTAATCTCAGCACTTTGGGCGGCTGAGGTGGGCAGATCACGGGGTCAAGAAATAGAGCCAACCTGGCCAACATGGTGAAACCCTGTCTATACTAAAAATACAAAAATTAGCTGGGCATGGTGGCGCATGCCTGTAATCCCAGCTACTGGGGAGGCTGTGGCAGGAGAATCGCTTGAACCTGAGAGGTGGAGGTTGCAGTGAGCCAAGATCGTGCCATTGTGCTCCCACCTGGTGACAGAGCGAGAGTATGTCTCAAAAAAAAAAAAAAAAAAAAAAAAAAGCAATATGGGCTGGGCAAGGTGGCTCACACCTGAAATCCTAGCACTTTGGGAGGCTGAGGTGGGCCGATCAATTGAGGCCAGGAGTTTGAGACCAGCCTGGCTAATGTGGTGAAACCCCGTTTCTACCAAAATACAAAAATTAGCCGGGTGTGGTGGCACACACCTGTAATCCCAGCTACTTGGGAGGCTGAGGCAGAAGAATTGCTTGAACCCAGGAAGCAGAGGTTGCAGTGAGCCAAGATTGTGCCACTGCACAGCTGGGCAACAGAGCGAGACTCTGTCTCAAAAAAAAAAAAAAAGCAATGCCCGGGGCACCTGACACAATCCTAGGCACTCAGTTAAAGTCTGATGAAAACTAGATGATTGTAAGAGGCACCCCTGGAAATTGCTATTGCATTTATCTCCTAAGCTTTCAGCAAAATTTGTTATTTCTGCTTTAACAGAGGCAAGGAAAATAGTAAAATATATTGAAATTGGTTTGTATTAAAAAAACTCCTTTGTAGTTAGGGCAGTAAATTATAGACATAGGATTCAATATAGGCCATAAATTGAATATTTTAGTGTGAGTAGAGTTGTATTGAGTGTTCCTTTGGGGATTAGAGTTTATTTCCTAAGCTTTTGTTCACTACATCATGAGTCTTTTCAATAAAACGATCTCACTGCCTGACAGCCAGACAAGCCTTTCAGTGATGCGAGAGGATTTTATCGGGTGTGGTTAACTCAGAAAATTGTTCTTTGAAGATACTTTACGACCAAATATTTACTAATGTCCCCTAGCAGGCCTGGGTTAATGTCAGAATACCTAAGAAAGCAAATAAATGTGAGATAACCAGGACACACACACACACACATACACACACCCCTACTGCTTTTACTCTGCTTTAAGTAGACAAAAACCAAGAAATGTAATTTAAATAGAAGCTTGATGCTATCGTGACCTTAATATTAAAAGTTCTTGTGAAGAGGAATGGGATTAGGACTGGCGGGCACGTCACATAGAGATTTAAATCCATCCATTTATCCATCTGTTTGGAGCAGGTGGACATTTGCTTTACAACGCTAGGATTCAAGGCTTACAATTCATTCCTTTTCTTACCTAGGCACATTTTTGTATTTTTAGAAGAGAAGGGGTTTCACCATGTTGGCCAGGCTGGTCTTGAACTCCTGGCCTCGTGTGATCTGCCTGCCTTGGCCTCGCAAGGTGTTGGGATTACAGGCGTGAGCCAATGCACCTGGCTGCATTGTGTTTTTGAATATGTTTTATAATATGCACAATAAATTCATATAATAAGATGTATATATTATTTTTGCATCGCTAAATAAAGATCCATTGGGGGTTACAGGTGTGTGCACATCACCTTGGTAGTTTAGAGACCACTCTTTAGACCAATACCACTGACTTTATGAGCCTTCACCTGCGCACTTCCTTAAACATACTATTTCCCTGGTCCTGCTCCTCAAATATTCTGATTATTTAAATCCAGGGTGGGGCCCAGGAATCTGCATTTAACAGCTGCTCCAGCTGATTCTGATGTGTAATTATGGACAGACCAGGCCTTCTCAAAGTTTAATGTGCACAGTTATTACTCATAGATCTTGTTAAAATGCAGATTCTGTTCAGTAGCTAGAGTAGGTTCCAAGATTCTGCATTTCTTTTTTTTTAATTAAAAGATTTTATTGATATAAAATAAATGTAAATATTTTCAGGGTACCTGTGATATTCTGCTAACATTTATATAATATGTAAAGATCAAATTAGTATAATTGGGATATCTATCACCTTAAATATTTATCTTTTCTTGGCTGGTCACAGTGGCTCACGCCTATAACCCCAGTACTTTGGGAGGTTGAGGCTTCCCTTTGTGAGGGAAGATTGCTTGAGACCAGCCTAGGCCACATAGTGAGACCCAGTCTGTATTTAAAAAATTAGCCATGTGTGGTAGTACACACTTGTCATTTCAGCTATTCAGGAGGCTGAGGTGGAGGGATCGCTTGAACCTAGGGGATTGAGGCTGCAGTGAGCTATGATTGCATTACTGCACTCCACCCTGGGTGACAGAGTAAACCCTATCTCAAAAAAAAGTTCTTTCTTTATGCTATGAATATTTAAATTATTCTCTTCTAGCTAGATGGAAATGTACAATAGATTATTGCTAACTATAGTCGCCCTACTGATCTATTGAACACGAGAAGATTATTTGTTCTAACTTTATATTTGTACTCATTAATCACCTCTCAAGATTCTGCATTCTAACAAGCTCCTGGGTAACACTGAATGTACTGCTCAGAGGCTCACACCTGGACTAGCAAAGGTTCGGACCTGGTTCTCAAAGTGTGGTGCTCAGAGCAGTGGCATCACCTGGGAGCTTTGCAGACCGGCAAATCATCAGGCCCCATTCTAAACCTATTGCATCCTGGGAGCAGGGCCAGTCACTGTATCATGCCCTGCAGGTGGTTCTGATGCTAGCTCGAGTCTGAGAAGCTCTGGTTTACGAGAGAGGCCACCAAAGGCCTCTCTTCTGTCTTCCTCCAGCATCTTCATTGAACAGCCAGCTTCAAGCCCGTCCTACTCCACAGAGGTGAGTCTTTGGCAACCCTGGAGCCCCCTCCTTCCAAAGGCCTGCCTTCAGAACCTCTCCCTGCATTCCCCAGCACAGCAGGCATGCCCAGTTCAGTCGAGATGACGGGGTTGCTGTTGAGAAGGCTGACAGGCCCTCTCATCAAGGCGTGATTGGCAGTGCTCTAATCAGCAGAAAGAGAATGGCGCGCCTCTAGAATGATGTTTGCTCTGTAAATATTTGACATTATCTACCCTGAAAACCTGAAAGAGAACTTCATTTTTCTTTCTTTTTCTGGGAATACAGCAAGTCACGGAACACCCATAAGTATAATTAGTCTGACAAGGGAGTTTCTGATTGGGGCTGGGGACCTCGGATGTGGGAACAGTCGTAGGCGTCTTTGTCTCTGCTGTTCAGGGAAGATGAGGGTTGCTCAGCTGTGGCCGTGGGAATCCCAGCTCCCTTAGCAAAGGCCTGTGCACAGTCATGAGGGCGCCTTGCGGATTCACATTCAGTAGGTCTGGGGCAGGGCCTGAGTTTGCATTTCTACCAAGCTATCAGAAGCCACCGTTCCTGCTGGTTTGAGGGCGAGATCTGGAGGACATTCTTACTACTGTTGCTGACTTAATGTCTGCAGATGATTCAGACGTCATTTAGGGTGTGGCTTTTGGCTTTAGATAGATGTGGGTTTGAATTCTTTCTCTACACAAGAATTCACATTACTTGCTGTGTGACTTTGGGGAAATTAGCTTGCCTCTCTGAGCCTGTACCACGGAATTCATGAGAACACCTACATTTTAGGATGGTGTTACTCAACCTTTTATTTTAAAAATTATTCATATTTTTCAAGACAGGGTCTCACTCTGTTGCCCAGGCTGGAGAGCAGTGGTGTGATCATGGCTCACTGAAGCCTTGACCTCCTGAGCTCAAGTGATCCTCCCATCTCAGCCTCCCAAGTAGTAGCTTCCCACCACAGGCACATGCCACCGTGTTCGACTAATTTAACAGATTTTTTTTTTTTTTTTGTAGAGATTGGGGGGGGTCTACCTACGTTGCCCAGGCTGGTCTCGAACTCCTGGGCTTAAGCAACCCTCCCACCTTGGCCTCCCAAATTGCTGGGATTATAGGTGTGAGCCTTTTTTTAAAATTGCCTTTTTATTTTTAATTGCTCCCTTGAGGAGTGTTTTAAGACATTTTGTTCCTACTTGTCCCCTCCCCATGAATTTTTTTTTTTTAAAACAGACCTACATTCTATGCCTTTTAATTGTTTCTTTCTTTCTTTTTTTTTTTTTTTTTAGACATAGGGGTCTCCCTTTGTTGCCCAGGCTGATCTTGAACTCTTGGCCTCAAGTGATCCTCCCCCTTCAGCCTCCCAAAGTGTTGGGATTACAGGCTTGAGCTGCCGTGCCTGACCCCATGACCAATGACATTTTAATATCAGAGATACTTACTATATTGTTTATGTTCTGTGGCCCTTTGGAAGGCCACAGACCATGGCAATCGCTAAGGCTTTTCATTCCCCAATAATTAATTTTTGCCCATTTGGGGGGGATATCACCTTGTTGAGCATGTGTGTTTTAAGGAAATTGTAAAAGAATTAAAACAGATTATTTGTGCCAAGAACCTAATGCAGAGTCAGTGCTCAATAATATATTAATGTGTATTATATAAGGTATGTTACTGATCGTACATTAACACACGTGATCTTCTTTCCCAGTCTAATACCCACATATTGAGTATGAATGGGAGAGCAAAAGAGTAGAAGGAGGCACTGTCTTGTGGCTGAGGGGATCCTGTGCTGTCACAGCGCAGTTCAGGATCTGAGGTTCGGCTCGGGTCTCCGTTTGCTCCATGGCTCTGCACAGCTGTAAGCTCTCCCACCTGGGCCTCTGTGTCTTCATCTCTGCCGTGCATGATGCACGTTTTCCTCTATAATGCAGTGAGGGCCCTCCAGAGGGACAGAATTTATAGGACATATGTATATATATATATTTTGTTTGTTTGTTTGTTTTGTTTTTTTAAGACGGAGTATCACTCTGGAATGTCACCCAGGCTGGAGTGTAGTGGTATAATCTCAGCTCACTGCAACCTCCACCTCCCAGGTTCAAGCAATTCTCCTGCCTCCGCCTTCTGAGTAACTGGGACTACAGGTGCCTGCCACCACGCCTGGCTAATTTTTGTATTTTTATTTATTTTTGTTTTTATTTTTTTTGAGACAGAGTCTCACTCTGTTGCCCAAGCTAGAGTGCAGTGGTGCTATCTTGGCTCACTGCAACCTTCACCTCCTGGGTTCAAGCAGTTCTCCTGTTTTAGCCTCCCGAGTAGCTGGAATTACAGGCGTGCAGACCACCAGGCCTGGCTGCTTTTTGTATTTTTAGCAGAAACGAGGTTTCACC
The DNA here is from genome assembly GCF_000001405.40 of Homo sapiens. Lineage (NCBI taxonomy): Eukaryota > Metazoa > Chordata > Mammalia > Primates > Hominidae > Homo > Homo sapiens. The sequence continues at coordinate 53,511,718 of NC_000020.11, read as the reverse complement.
ATGTTGGTCAGGCTGGTCTTGAACTCCTGACCTCAAGTGATCCGCCTGCCTCGGCCTCCCAAAGTGCTGGGATTACAGACATGAGCCATCGTGCCCGGCTGGATATATGTATATATGGAAGGGAGTTTATTAAGGAGAACTGACTCACATGATCATAAGGTAAAAGTCCCACAATAGGCCGTCTGCAAGTTGAGGACAAGGAAGCCAGTAGTGGCTCAGTCCAAGCCCCAAAACCTCAAAAGTAGGGAAGCCGACAGTGCAGCCTTCAGTCTGTGGCCGAAGGCCTGAGATTCCCTGGCAAACCACTGGTGTAAGTCCAAGAGTCCAAAGGCTGAAGAACCTGGAGTCTGGTGTTTAAGGGCAGGAAGAATCCAGCACAGGAGAAGGATGAAGGCTGGAAGACTCAGCCAGCCAGCTTATCCCACCTTCTTCTGCCTGCTTTTTCTAGCTGCACTGGCAGCTGATTGGATGGTGCCCACCTACACTGTAGGTGCATCTTCCTGGGGGTGGGTCTTCCTCTCCCAGTCCACTGACTCAAATGATAATGTCTTCTGGCAACACCCAGACACACCAAGGTACACTCAGAAACAATACTTTGCATCCTTCAGTCCAATCAAGCTGACACTTAACCATCACAGGAGCATACCTGAGGCTGCTTGGAGCGAGACTATCACCCGGCCTTTGTCATGTGCACCACGCCAACGTGACTTCTTTGCGCTCCCACTGTGTCTTAGCCACAGGGTGTGGTGCTGGGGACGCAGGCTGGGGCATGAGGGGGAAGGCTGCTGGAGCCCTGCCCCTAGTGCATGTGGGAGACAAGCAGACAGCTCACATGACCGCAACTGCCAGGACCTTTGCAACAGCTCATGTGACTGCAACTGCCAGGATCTTTGCAACAGCTCATGTGACTGCAACTGCCAGGACCTTTGCAAGAGGGAGGTCCAGGGTGGGACTGGAGGGCAGGGGACTTTTTCTAAGCCGAGAGTCAGAGGCAGTCCTTAGGGGAAGCTGAAGGGTGAGGGACAGTGGGAAGACCAGGGTCCCAGCACATGCAAAGGTACGGTGGCAGGTGCTGGGATCCAGAGGACTCCAGTTTGGCTGGAGTGTAGAATGTGCTGGAATGGCAGGAGCCAGACCAGACAGAGTCTCAGGCCTGCTGAGTCCTTTGGAGCATATCTGGGGCCACAGGGGGACGATAAAAGTAATCAATCCAGGATGAGCGCAGGCAGGACAGGCTGGGGGCGCAGGAAGCTTGCCCTTACTTCTGAGAACATCGTGTGTTTTCCCAAAGCCGTTCGGTTTCCCTCGAGACAGGAGGAGCTTAGTTCTGGAGCCTGGGAAGCAGACCAAGGAGGGGCTGGAAGACCTAGAGGGGGAAGTGAGACACCAGCTCATATTTCAAAGGTCTTTGCTTGTCATGTTCACTTTCTCCGGGAAGTGCCTGTCCTCCATTATTCATCCTGCAGCCTCCAGGCCTCACCGGGTCTTCTTAGAAGTCCTGCAACACCTCTTGGTAATAGCATGGGCCTTAGGTCCCTAAAGTTTGCACATAGTGAAGAAACTATCATTTTTAAAGGGCCCACCATTTCCCAAGACTCATGCTAGGGGCTCACAAGAGTGTGGACTTTCCCACACCACAAACGTTAAGTCTGAATTTCAGGTCTACATGTCAAGTGGTGTGTGATACTGAGCAATGCGAATCTTCTCATCTGTGAAATGGGGGGTGACTAGTACCCTGCGGGCTGCTGTGAGAATCAGTCCATTTCTCAGCATGATGTCTTACTAGGCAAGCGTCACTACACAGCACATATGAAGGTATTAGCTAAGACTCATTTATGTATCTGTTTTTTTTTTTATTATACTTTAAGTTTTAGGGTACATGTGCACGTCGTGCAGGTTAGTTACATATGTATACATGTGCCATGCTGGTGCGCTGCACCCACTAACTCGTCATCTAGCATTAGGTATATCTCCCAATGCTATCCCTCCCCGCTCCCCCCACCCCACCACAGTCCCCAGAGTGTGATATTCCCCTTCCTGTGTCCATGTGATCTCATTGTTCAATTCCCACCTATGAGTGAGAATATGCGGTGTTTGGTTTTTTGTTCTTGTGATAGTTTACTGAGAATGATGATTTCCAATTTCATCCATGTCCCTACAAAGGACATGAACTCATCATTTTTTATGGCTGCATAGTATTCTATGGTGTATATGTGCCACATTTTCTTAATCCAGTCTATCATTGTTGGACATTTGGGTTGGTTCCAAGTCTTTGCTATTGTGAATAATGCCGTAATCAACATACGTGTGCATGTGTCTTTATAGCAGCATGATTTATAGTCCTTTGGGTATATACCCAGTAATGGGATGGCTGGGTCAAATGGTATTTCTAGTTCTAGATCCCTGAGGAATCGCCACACTGACTTCCACAATGGTTGAACTAGTTTACAGTCCCACCAACAGTGTAAAAGTGTTCCTATTTCTCCACATCCTCTCCAGCACCTGTTGTTTCCTGACTTTTTAATGATTGCCATTCTAACTGGTGTGAGATGGTATCTCATTGTGGTTTTGATTTGCATTTCTCTGATGGCCAGTGATGATGAGCATTTTTTCATGTGTTTTTTGGCTGCATAAATGTCTTCTTTTGAGAAGTGTCTGTTCATGTCCTTCACCCACTTTTTGATGGGGTTGTTTGTTTTTTTCTTGTAAATTTGAGTTCATTGTAGATTCTGGATATGAGCCCTTTGTCAGATGAGTAGGTTGCGAAAATTTTCTCCCATTTTGTAGGTTGCCTGTTCACTCTGATGGTAGTTTCTTTTGCTGTGCAGAAGCTCTTTAGTTTGATTAGATCCCATTTGTCAATTTTGTCTTTTGTTGCCATTGCTTTTGGTGTTTTGGACATGAAGTCCTTGCTCATGCCTATGTCCTGAATGGTAATGCCTAGGTTTTCTTCTAGGGTTTTTATGGTTTTAGGTCTAACGTTTAAGTCTTTAATCCATCTTGAATTGATTTTTGTATAAGGTGTAAGGAAGGGATCCAGTTTCAGCTTTCTACATATGGCTAGCCAGTTTTCCCAGCACCATTTATTAAACAGGGAATCCTTTCCCCATTGCTTGTTTTTCTCAGGTTTGTCAAAGATCAGATAGTTGTAGATATGCGGCATTATTTCTGAGGGCTCTGTTCTGTTCCATTGATCTATATCTCTGTTTTGGTACCAGTACCATGCTGTTTTGGTTACTGTAGCCTTGTAGTATAGTTTGAAGTCAGGTAGTGTGATGCCTCCAGCTTTGTTCTTTTGGCTTAGGATTGCCTTGGCGATGCGGGCTCTTTTTTGGTTCCATATGAACTTTAAAGTAGTTTTTTCCAATTCTGTGAAGAAAGGCATTGGTAGCTTGATGGGGATGACATTGAATCTGTAAATTACCTTGGGCAGTATGGCCATTTTCACGATATTGATTCCTCCTACCCATGAGCATGGAATGTTCTTCCATTTGTTTGTATCCTCTTTTATTTCCTTGAGCAGCGGTTTGTAGTTCTCCTTGAAGAGGTCTTTAACATCCCTTGTAAGTTGGATTCCTAGGTATTTTATTCTCTTTGAAGCAATTGTGAATGGGAGTTCACTCATGATTTGGCTCTCTGTTTGTCTGTTGTTGGTGTATAAGAACGCTTGTGATTTTTGAACATTGATTTTGTATCCTGAGACTTTGCTGAAGTTGCTTATCAGCTTAAGGAGATTTTGGGCTGAGACAGTGGGGTTTTCCAGATATACAATCATGTCATCTGCAAACAGGGACAGTTTGACTTCCTCTTTTCCTAATTGAATACCCTTTATTTCCTTCTCCTGCCTAATTGCCCTGGCCAGAACTTCCAACACTATGTTGAATAGGAGTGGTGAGAGAGGGCATCCCTGTCTTGTGCCAGTTTTCAAAGGGAATGCTTCCAGTTTTTGCCCATTCAGTATGATATTGGCTGTGGGTTTGTCATAGATAGCTCTTATTATTTTGAAATACGTCCCATCAATACCTAATTTATTGAGAGTTTTTAGCATGAAGGGTTGTTGAATTTTGTCAAAGGCTTTTTCTGCATCTATTGAGATAATCATGTGGTTTTTGTCTTTGGCTCTGTTTATATGCTGGATTACATTTATTGATTTGCATATATTGAACCAGACTTGCATCCCAGGGATGAAGCCCACTTGATCATGGTGGATAAACTTTTTGATGTGCTGCTGGATTTGTTTTGCCAGAATTTTATTGAGGATTTTTGCATCAATGTTCATCAAGGATATTGGTCTAAAATTCTCTTTTTTGGTTGTGTCTCTGCCTGTCTTTGGTATCAGAATGATTCTGGCCTCATAAAATGAGTTAGGGAGGATTCCCTCTTTTTCTATTGATTGGAATAGTTTCAGAAGGAATGGTACCAGTTCCTCCTTGTACCTCTGGTAGAATTTGGCTGTGAATCCATCTGGTCCTGGACTCTTTTTGGTTGGTAAACTATTGATTATTGCCACAATTTCAGCTCCTGTTATTGGTCTATTCAGAAATTCAACTTCTTCCTGGTTTAGTCTTGGGAGAGTGTATGTGTCGAGGAATTTATCCAGTTCTTCTAGATTTTCTAGTTTATTTGCATAGAGGTGTTTGTAGTATTCTCTGATGGTAGTTTGTATTTCTGTGGGATCGGTGGTGATATCCCCTTTATCATTTTTTATTGCGTCTATTTGATTCTTCTCTCTTTTTTTCTTTATTAGTCTTGTTAGCGGTCTATCAATTTTGTTGATCCTTTCAAAAAACCAGCTCCTGGATTCATTAATTTTTTGAAGGGTTTTTTGTGTCTCTATTTCCTTCAGTTCTGCTCTGATTTTAGTTATTTCTTGCCTTCTGCTAGCTTTTGAATGTGTTTGCTCTTGCTTTTCTAGTTCTTTTAATTGTGATGTTAGGGTGTCAATTTTGGATCTTTCCTGCTTTCTCTTGTGGGCATTTAGTGCTATAAATTTCCCTCTACACACTGCTTTGAATGAGTCCCAGAGATTCTGGTATGTTGTGTCTTTGTTCTCATTGGTTTCAAAGAACATCTTTATTTCTGCCTTCATTTCGTTATGTATCCAGTAGTCATTCAGGAGCAGGTTGTTCAGTTTCCATGTAGTTGAGCGGTTTTGAGAGAGATTCTTAATCCTGAGTTCTAGTTTGATTGCACTGTGGTCTGAGAGATAGTTTGTTATAATCTCTGTTCTTTTACATTTGCTGAGGAGAGCTTTACTTCCAAGTATGTGGTCAATTTTGGAATAGGTGTGGTGTGGTGCTGAAAAAAATGTATATTCTGTTGATTTGGGGTGGAGGGTTCTGTAGATGTCTATTAGGTCCGCTTGGTGCAGAGCTGAGTTCAATTCCTGGGTATCCTTGTTGACTTTCTGTCTCGTTGATCTGTCTAATGTTGACAGTGGGGTGTTAAAGTCTCCCATTATTAATGTGTGGGAGTCTAAGTCTCTTTGTAGGTCACTCAGGACTTGCTTTATGAATCTGGGTGCTCCTGTATTGGGTGCATATATATTTAGGATAGTTAGCTCTTCTTGTTGAATTGATCCCTTTACCATTATGTAATGGCCTTCTTTGTCTCTTTTGATCTTTGTTGGTTTAAAGTCTGTTTTATCTGAGACTAGGATTGCAACCCCTGCCTTTTTTTGTTTTCCATTTGCTTGGTAGATCTTCCTCCATCCCTTTATTTTGAGCCTATGTGTGTCTCTGCACGTGAGATGGGTTTCCTGAATACAGCACACTGATGGGTCTTGACTCTTTATCCAATTTGCCAGTCTGTGTCTTTTAATTGGAGCATTTAGTCCATTTACATTTAAGGTTAATATTGTTGTGTGTGAATTTGATCCTGTAATTATGATGTTAGCTGGTGATTTTGCTCGTTAGTTGATGCAGTTTCTTCCTAGTCTCGATGGTCTGTATATTTTGGCATGATTTTGCAGCGGCTGGTACCGGTTGTTCCTTTCCATGTTTAGCGCTTCCTTCAGGAGCTCTTTTAGGGCAGGCCTGGTGGTGACAAAATCTCTCAGCATTTGCTTGTCTGTAAAGTATTTTATTTCTCCTTCACTTATGAAGCTTAGTTTGGCTGGATATGAAATTCTGGGTTGAAAATTCTTTTCTTTAAGAATGTTGAATATTGGCCCCCACTCTCTTCTGGCTTGTAGGGTTTCTGCTGAGAGATCCGCTGTTAGTCTGATGGGTTTCCCTTTGAGGGTAACCCAACCTTTCTCTCTGGCTGCCCTTAACATTTTTTCCTTCATTTCAACTCTGGTGAATCTGACAATTATGTGTCTTGGAGTTGCTCTTCTCGAGGAGTATCTTTGTGGCATTCTCTGTATTTCCTGAATCTGAACGTTGGCCTGCCTTGCTAGATTGGGGAAGTTCTCCTGGATAATATCCTGCAGAGTGTTTTCCAACTTGGTTCCATTCTCCCCATCACTTTCAGGTATACCAATCAGACGTAGATTTGGTCTTTTCACATAGTCCCATATTTCTTGGAGGCTTTGCTCATTTCTTTTTATTCTTTTTTCTCTAAACTTCCCTTCTCGCTTCATTTCATTTATTTCATCTTCCATCGCTGATACCCTTTCTTCCAGTTGATTGCATCGGCTCCTGAGGCTTCTGCATTCTTCATGTAGTTCTCGAGCCTTGGTTTTCAGCTCCATCAGCTCCTTTAAGCACTTCTCTGTATTGGTTATTCTAGTTATACATTCTTCTAAATTTTTTTCAAAGTTTTCAACTTCTTTGCCTTTGGTTTGAATGTCCTCCCGTAGCTCAGAGTAATTTGATCGTCTGAAGCCTTCTTCTCTCAGCTGATCAAAGTCATTCTCCATCCAGCTTTGTTCCGTTGCTGGTGAGGAACTGCGTTCCTTTGGAGGAGGAGAGGCGCTCTGCGTTTTAGAGTTTCCAGTTTTTCTGTTCTGTTTTTTCCCCATCTTTGTGGTTTTATCTACTTTTGGTCTTTGATGATGGTGATGTACAGATGGGTTTTTGGTGTGGATGTCCATTCTGTTTGTTAGTTTTCCTTCTAACAGACAGGACCCTCAGCTGCAGGTCTGTTGGAATACCCTGCCGTGTGAGGTGTCAGTGTGCCCCTGCTGGGGGGTGCCTCCCAGTTAGGCTGCTCGGGGGTCAGGGGTCAGGGACCCACTTGAGGAGGCAGTCTGCCCGTTCTCAGATCTCCAGCTGCGTGCTGGGAGAACCACTGCTCTCTTCAAAGCTGTCAGACAGGGACATTTAAGTCTGCAGAGGTTACTGCTGTCTTTTTGTTTGTCTGTGCCCTGCCCCCAGAGGTGGAGCCTACAGAGGCAGGCAGGACTCCTTGAGCTGTGGTGGGCTGGGCCCAGTTGGAGCTTCCCGGCTGCTTTGTTTACCTAAGCAAGCCTGGGCAATGGCGGGCGCCCCTCCGCCAGCCTCACTGCCGCCTTGCAGTTTGATCTCAGACTGCTGTGCTAGCAATCAGCGAGACTCCGTGGGCGTAGGACCCTCCGAGCCAGGTGCCGGATATAATCTCGTGGTGCGCCGTTTTTTAAGCCCGTCCGAAAAGCGCAATATTCGGGTGGGAGTGACCCGATTTTCCAGGTGAGTCCGTCACCCCTTTCTTTGACTCAGAAAGGGAACTCCCTGACCCCTTGCGCTTCCCAAGTGAGGCAATGCCTCGCCCTGCTTCGGCTCACGCACGGTGCGCACACCCACTGACCCGCACCCACTGTCTGGCACTCCCTAGTGAGATGAACCCGGTACCTCAGATGGAAATGCAGAAATCACCCGTCTTCTGTGTCGCTCACGCTGGGAGCTGTAGACCGGAGCTGTTCCTATTCGGCCATCTTGGCTCCTCCACGTATCTGTTGATCCTTCCTTCCTCCCTCCTTCCTCCCTGTCTCCCTTCCTCCCTCCCTCCTTTCCTCCCTTTCTCCCTCCTTTCTTTCCTCCCTCCCTTCCTCCCTCCCTTCCTCCCTTCCTTCCTCCCTCCCTTCCTCCCTCTCTTCCTTCCTTTTTTGAGACAGGGTCTTGCTCTGTCGCCCAGACTGAAGTGCAGTGGCACAATCATGGCTCACTGCAGCCTTGAACTCTGGGACTCAGATGATTCTCCTGCCTCACCCTCCCGAGTAGCTGTGACTGCAGGCACATACCACCACACTTGGATAATTTTTTAAATTTTCTGTAGAGATGGAGTTTCATCATGTTGTCCAGGCTGGTCCCAAACTCCTGGGTTCAAGTGATCTGCCTGCCTTGGCGTCCCAAAGTACTCAGGTTACAGGCATGAGCCACCATGCCCGGCCTGATTCTTTTCTATGTATACATAATTTTATTTTTTTTAAGCAACTGTGCAGTGTGAGGGCTGATAGACTCTGTTGCAGGAGCTGGTGAAACAGTGGGAGACCAAGCAGGATTTTGCTCCTGTCTTCATGAGTCTGAAATCTAGTGACAGAGTAATGGGGCTCGTCAAAGATTTTTGGTAAACGACTAGATAGTAGATATTTTTGGCCTTGGGGAACAAAAAATGAAATTGTATTATGATGGCATCACTGTAACCCAGAGGGTGCCATGCAGCGGTGTGGAGCGAGGAGAGATCCATGTAAGTTTCCGTAGCAAATGCTTCACTTGGCTGTTGTAAAGTGCAAGCAGCCATAGATAAGTAATCAAATGAGCATGGCTGTGTTTCAATAAAACTTTATTGAAAAACAAAACAGATGGTGGGGGCTGGGCTTGGCCCATGGGTTGCAATCTGCTGACGCCTGGTAGAGAATTGGCCAAGACCACAAACAATGGAGCCAGTTGGCCTGGCTGAATCCCAACTCTGCCACTTACTAGCCTGTGGAGATTGAACAACTTATTTGCCCTCTCTGTTCCTCAGTTTCCTCATCTGTCATATGGAGGAGAAAACTGTACTCACCTCAGAGGGTTGTTTGTTTGGATTAAAGGAAATAATATAGGCAGAGTGCTTAGAAAAACGATTGGCATGTGGTGTGTACCATTATAATGCTAAGCTGTTAATTTTAGTGTAAGTGAGGAAGGTAGGCATTCATTAATGATGATCATGCCAAGCAGGATAAAATTACAACTGTAATAAGTGCTGGAAGACAAGGTCCTAGAGGGACTTCAGCTAATTTAGGGGCAATTGCTCAGCTGTGCCCTGAGACCTTTTCTCTACTCCTCTGGGGCAGAAAACTGCTATAGTGGCCACTTAATTTTAATGCATTTTTACCACTTTTTTAGTTTCTTTCACATGTTGTGGTCATACTATATTGATATGTTCCTGGAAAAATTAGAAAAAACACCTCACGCCAAGATAAACATAAGCTCAGTATAAAAAATATAAAGAGGCCAGGCGTGGTGGCTCCCACCTGTAATCCCAGCACTATGGGAGGCCAAGGCGGGCAGATCACGAGGTCAGGAGTTCAAGACCAGCCTGCCCAACATAGTGAAATCCCGTCTCTACTAAAAATACAAAAATTAGCCGAGCATGGGGGTGCGTGCCTGTAATCCCAGCTACTCAGGAGGCTGTGGCAGGAGAATCACTTGAACTTGGCAGGCAGAGGTTGTGGTAAGCTGAGGTCACACCACTGCACTCCAGCCTGGGCAACAGAGCTAGACTCCGTCTCAAAAATAAATAAACGAATGAATGAATGAATGAATGAATAAATAAAAAAATAAACAATACAAAAAATGTAGAAGAGGCAGGGCGCAGTGGCTCACCCCTGTAATCCCAGCACTTTGGGAGGCCGAGGAGGGCGGATCATAAGATCAGGAGATCGAGACCATCCTGGCCAACATGGTGAAACCCATCTCTATTAAAAATACGAAAATTAGCCATGCATGGTGGTGTGTGTCTGTAATCCCAGCTACTTGGTAGGCTGAGGCAGGAGAATCGCATGAACCAGGCAGTTGGAGGTTGCAGTGAGCTGAGATTGTACCACTGCACTCCAACCTGGTAACAGAGCTAGACTCCGCCTCAAAAAAAAAAAAAAAAAAAAAGTAGAAGAAAAGAAACATGAAGAGGCTTCCTACTCATTGTGGTGTTTTTTGTTGCCTTTTTAAAATATACATACATATATGTATGGGTATATATACATATATATACACATATATATATCTACATATATGTATACATATATACAAACACACATATTATATATATATATATATATATATATATATATTTTTTTTTTTTTTTTTTTTTTTTTTTTTTTTTTTTTTTTTTTGAGATGGAGTCTCTCTGTCGCCCAGGCTAGAGTGCAGTGGTGCCATCTCAGCTCATGACACTCCTAATATATATATATTTTTATGCAGGTAATATATGCTTATAATGAAATATTTTGGGCCTAGTGTGGTGGCTCACCCCTGTAATCCCAGCACTTTGGGAGGTCAAGGCAGGCGGATCACCTGAGGCCAGGAGTTTGAGACCAGCCTGGCCAACGTGGCAAAACCCCGTTTCTACTAAAAATACAAATAATTAGCCGGGCGTGGTGGCGGGTGCCTGTAGTCCTAGCTACTTAGGAGGCTGAGGCAGGAGAATTGCTTGAACTCGGGAGGAGGAGGTTACAGTGAGCTGAGATCGTGCCACTGCACTCCAGCCTGGGCGACACAATGAGACTCCGTCTCAAAAAAATGATAAAAAAAAAAAAAAGAAAAAAGAAATATTTTGTAAGTTAAGAAAAAGTAAAAACATACCAAAGAACATAAAATTAAACATTATTCAGAAGTTCAACACCAATAACATTGGTCTATATTCTTTGTCTATCTTCATTTTTTTCTATTTTGTTTTTTAATAAATATACTGTGACTATTTTTAAGTGCTCAAGTATTCATGACTGTGTACTATTCTAAGGCATAGATGTACCATCATTTATTTAATCAGCCTATTTTAGAACACTTAGGTTTATTCCAGTTTTTCACTCTTATAACCAATGTTATGATCAAACATTCTTATTAAATAAATCTCAGTGCACATCTTCAATTATTTTCAAGGAAAGTTCTCCAGAATAGTAATTAATCAAAGGGCATACACATTTTAGAGAAATTGATAAATACTGTTTAATTATTTTCCAGAAAGTTGCTATCCATTTTTGCTTTCAGCAACGATGTGTGTGTATATCTCTTTTTGAGCCCTCTCCAACAATGGGAACATTTTTCTTTATTTTTGTCAGTTTGATAAGTGAAAATGATTTCTTCTTATTTTACTTATTCTACATCCCTTTGATTATTATTGTCACTTGTCTTAAATGTTTATTAACCATTTTAATTTATCAATTTTTTAATGTTGGCTTATACATTTTGCCAAAAGTTTTCTATTTGGATATTTACTTATTTTTCATATATATATATGTATATATACACATATATATATATACACACATATATATACACATACATATATATACACATATATATATACACATACATATATATACACATATATATATACACATACATATATACATATATACACATATATATGTATATATGTGTATATATGTGTGTATATATATATATATACACATATATATAAAACACTCTTCATATAATTAATTAGAACTGTCACCATTAATCATGTATCAATATAAATAATTTTCCCCCAGTGACTTTTCACTGTATTTACAGTATTTGTGTGTGTGTGTGTGTGTGTGTTTTGACTCCTGGAGTTTTTATTATTTCTTCTTTTTATTTCTTTCTTACCATTTAAGGAAGAAATAATTTAAGACCGGAACTTAAGACTTTTAAGGTTGGAATGACTTCCCTGACTCATATCAGCTATCAACATAGATTTTATTCTAATTGTTTTATGATTTGTTTTCTGGATATAATCCTTTAGTTCATCTGGAATATGCTTTAATTTATAGCATAAAACAAATACTTAACTTCAGTTTCTGGTAAGCTTATCAGTTGTGTGAGTACTATTTTATTTTATTTTTTTGTTATTATTATTAGTATTATTATTTGAGACAGAGTCTTACTCTGTCACCCAGGCTGGAGTGCAGTGGCACAATCTCGGTTCACTGCAAACTCAGCCTTTCAGATTCAAGTGATTCTCGTGCCTCAGCCTCCCAAGTAGCTGGGATTATAGGCTCACGTGACCACACCCAGCAAATCTTTGTATTTTTAGTAGAGTTGGGGTTTTGCCACGTTGGCCAGGCTGGTCTTGAACTCCTGACCTCAAGTGTTCCCCCAACGTCGGCCTCCTGAAGTGCTGGGATTCCAGGCGTCAGCCACTGTGCCCAGCCTTTTATTATTATTATTATTATTATTATTATTTTTTTTTTTTTTTTTTGAGACAGAGTCTTGCTCTGTCGCCCAGGCTGGAGTGCAGTGGCATGATCTCGGCTCACTGCAATCTCCACCTCCTGGGTTCAAGGGATTCTCCTGCCTCAGCCTCCCGAGTAGCTGGAAGTAAAGGCATATGCCACCACGCCTGGCTAATTTTTTGTATTTTTAGTAGAGAAGGGGTTTCACCGTGTTGGCCAGGATGGTCTCGATTTCCTGACCTCATGATCCGCCTGCCTTGGCCTCCCAAAGTGCTGTGATTACAGGCGTGAGCCACCGCTCTCGCTCCCCCCACCCCCACTTTTTTCTTTGTTTAGACAGAGTCTTGCTCTGTTGCCCAGGCTGGAGTGCAGTGGCCCAGTCTCAGCTCACTGCAACCTCCTCCTCCCAGGTTCAAGCAATTCTCCTGCCTCAGCCTCCTGAGTAGCTAGGATTACAGGTGCCCGCCACCACACCCGGCTAATTTTTGTATTTTAGTAGAGATGGGGTTTTGCCATGTTGGCCAGGCTGGTTTCGAACTCCTGACTTCAGATGATCTGCCCGCCTTGGCCTCTTAAAGTGTTGGAATTACAGGCATGAACCACTGCACTTGGCCTGTGCTTGAACTTTTTAAGGGACTGCCTTGAGTCCACTGGTTTTAGGGCAAACACACACGCTCTTTGGCTCTCAGTGGGGACCTGGCACTGGGTGCAGGGTCTCATGCTCCTGGGGTCCTCCTTTCCTTGCGGCTTCCTGAGACTATGCTCTGTAACCTAGTTGGAGCTCACTGAGGCCCCTGGCTACCCAGAAAGTTCAGATATTTCAATAGCATGTTCTGTGATTGTATAAAATCCTTGAGAAATGCTTCCCTGCACTAGGGGGAGGATGAAAGCGGTGACTCCTGGCAGTGGTCGGGCAGGGGGAGGGAGGGAGAATTTTAGAGACTGTGCCTGGAGACCTCCCAGGCCTTCAGAAGAACAGCGTTCATTTATTTAACAATTATTTGTTGGACACGTATTGTATGTCAGGCATTATGCTTCTTATAGGAATACATGAAAAAAACAGACATTGGTTTCTGTTTTCACATGGTGGCCTGTGAAGGAAATTGATCACACATAAATGACAACAAACTCGTGATCGGGGCTGAGGGGTATAGTAACAGGGCACTGTAGATGAGGGCTAAGAGAGCACCTTTCAGAAGAGGAGATTCCCAAGGCAGAGACATGGGAAATAGGAAGAAGCCTGGCTAGGTGGTTCACACTGTCACTAGAGGGAACAGTGTTGTGTGGTTTAGGAACTGTTGCAGGGCAGCATGGCTAGAGCTGCGTGTCTAGAGGAGAGATGAGGTCAGGAAAGCAGGCAGGGGACAAACCAGGAAGGTTCAATACTGCCTGGGGGGCCGGGTGTGGTGGCTCACGCCTGTAATCACAGTACTTTGGGAGGACGAGGCAGGTGGATCACCTGAGGTCAGGAGTTTGAGACCAGCCTGGCCAACATGGTGAAATCCCGTCTCTACTAAAAATACAAAAATTAGCCGGGCATGGTGGTGGGCACCTGTAATCCTAGCTACTTGAGAGGCTGAGACAGGAGAATTGCTTGAACCTGGGAGGCAGAGATTGCAGTGAGCCAAGATCGCGCCACTGCACTCCAGCCTGGGTGAGAGAGCGAGATTCTGTTTCCAAAAAAAAAAAAAAAAAAAAAATACTGCCTGGGGAGGAGTTTGGATTTCTCTCTATGTGAGACGGGGTGCTGCAGAAGCCCTGCCCCCATTCCTTGGCATAGACTATTTCTTTGCATGTCGTTCATCTTTACTTCCAGTTTCAAGCAGCTGGAACTCTGTGCCTTGAGGTGTTCTCTGGCCACTGAAGACTATTTCTTCCAACCTTTGGGCAGATGGAAGTGCTAGGGAATTGATGTCCCCCTACCTTACCCTGCAGTAGCCTTTGACTAATAACTGAGCAGAGGTGGTGTATAAATACCCCAGCTCCCTCACCCCTCAGGCAGGATTACTGAGGCATGCTGCACGTTGTCTTCCAGAGCTCCCCAGTGGAATTGGACTCCATTGCCCATGGCGATAATTGTTCTTAAGGCCTCTTTTTTGGGCATTCTTCCTTTCCTGTTTCCCTCCCCATTCCTCTCTTAGTGTTTCCTGGATTCACCTCCTATATGAACTACTTGTCCTGACCTCGCATCCTCATCTCAGGGCCTGTTTCCATGAGAAATCAATCTAAGATAAATGGAAACCTGGGTGTTGAAGGACCTTGAGCCAGGGTTGGCAAACTATGGTCTGTGGGCCAAATTTGGCCTGCTACTTGTTTTTATGGAGTAAAGTTTTATTGGAACATAGCTACACTCATTTACTTATTATTGCTCATAGCTGCTTTTGCACAACAATGGCAGAGTTGAGTTGCTGGGTCAGAGACTAGATGTTCTACAAAGATGAATATATTTACTATCTGAGCCGTCAAAAAGTGTGCTGACCCTCGGTCTTGAAGAGCAAAATAACATGATTTGATTTACTTTATTAAAGCATCACTTCAGCTACCATGTGGAGCATGGATTTGGGTTTAGAGGGCTTAAGATGACAGATGGGAGATTAGTTGGGCGGCCATCCCAGATGTCTAGGAGAGACCTAAAGTAAACAGATTCATGTATTTTGAAGTTAGAAACCACAGGAGTTGTTGACGGACTAGATTGGAAGAAGGGGGTAGTTAAGGCACACACTCTCGTGTCCTGGTGGTTTTTCCACACCCCTTTGAGAAATTACTTCAGTGATGGCACAGGTTTTGCCTTCATCCTTCTGTGACTTCTCAGGTTGGCTGGGGGCCACCTCTGAGCTTCCACAGCCCTCATTATCATCCTTGCTTTGTGTTCTTTTCTTTTTGAGACAGAGTCTCACTCTGTCATCCAGGCTGGAGTGCAGTGGCGCTATCTCTGCTCACTGCAAGCTCCGCCTCCCGGGTTCATGCCATCCTCCTGCCTCAGCCTCCTCAGTAGCTGGGACCACAGGCGCCCACCACCACGCCCAGCTAATTTTTTGTATTTTTAGTAGAGACGGAGTTTCACCATGCTAGCCAGGATGGTCTCGATCTCCTGACCTCGTGATCTGCCCGCCTCGGCCTCCCAAAGTGCTGGAACTACAGGTGTGAGCCACCACGCCTGGCAGCTTTGTGTTCTTTTCTTTCTGTGATCTTGCCTTAGATCACACAGATAAAACATGACAGGACCTGGACCTTAACACAGTTTGGCTCTCAATCCTGTTCTCATAACCATCACTGCCTTCATTTATCTGTGTCATCCTCAGACCTGACACATAGTAGGTGCTCAGTCAGTGTTCACTAAGTAAATGATGACCAAGAACTCTTTGACTGGGTCCAAGGTGCTTATCCCAATACTTCGCCATGGCTACCTCCCTCATTCCTCAGCTGACTTGCTCTCTCTAGCCTGGCTGCTCCTATTTTATGTCCTAGACATGGAGCCATGGCAATGATGTAGAGCTAACAGGTGATACGGTAGCCATCATAATTTAATGAGTATGGGGCTCATGCAACCACAAGACACAGGAGCCGAGAGCTAGCTGTGCACAGACAACAAATCATTTTTGGTGGGGCATCAGCGTCTGCTTGGGCAGCTTGTATATGAAACATGGTCCAATTCTCCCAGGACGTTAAAGGAAGTGGAGGGGAGTACACAGGGAAACTGAGTGGTAAGCAGGGCCATCGCTTTGAGGTGGAGAAGGTCGGGCCATCTCAATCACGGCTGCTCTCTGCCTTGCTTCCTTGAATTTGTGACACAGCCGCCCACTGCCTCTGTTGAGATTACATCATAAATTACTCAGGCATAAGCAGACCAGAGATAAGAGCAGTCAGAGGCAGCCCAGAAACCAAACAAGGGGTGCTGGCATTTGTTAAAAAAAAAAAAAAAAAAAAAAGGAAATCTGATGGAGATGAGGGGAGATTCTGGAAGTGGGTCAGCGGGTCCCAACCACAGAGAGGCCTACCAATAACGTCCTCGCTTAGCCTCCCCGGGGGTCGGTGCTGTTCTTTCCCGCCCTCATCCCCCCTCTCTTGCCTTTTTCCTCTCTTGCCATCTTTAAAAAACACACATAGGCAGAAATCAATCCATCAAATGTCATTACAGATTTATTAAGCCTGATGTAGAAAGACATTTAACAGTAACATCTCCAGAAAGCATAAAAAGAGCACTTCTATTCAGTCTTGTGCTTTGAAAAGCTAAATATATTTTTATCATATAAATAATTCTTTTCATGTTTTAAGTGCATCTGTGTTTTTTTTCTTCTCTCCTTTAATTTTCATTTTTCAATTGGCCAAAGCAGAAGTCGACGTTGACTGAAATGAAGCCATTTGCAAAGCTAATGGTGTTGAGAGGCATGTCTCTGCTATTCCGTATCAGCTAGGTTTCAGGAAGGTGGTTCAATAGCTGCAGCATTAAAATGAGGGACAGCCTCCAGCAAAATCATAATTGAACACACCCAGGTCCTCAATGTCAGCAGTTGGGTTTCCTGATGCAAATTACGATACGGTTTCAGATGGGAACAGTCTATTTCCAATAACTGCTGAGTGGGGGAAAAAAAAGAGACTTTTTTTTTTTCAACACAAAGGCAAGAGTTATCATGTATAAAAATGTAAATAATATACTTATAGAAACCTTTTTGATGGAAATCAGGGGCTCCATATAACCTTGGCGAATGTGTTGTTTTTTTTTCACAATAGCTCAACAAAGTAGTGTCTGTTATTTAGGGCTTTAATTACAGTTCTCAAAGTAGAATGATTTTCCTTAAAAAAAAAAACTCTTTGGATGCAAAAAATAATGGCTTTTGTGATATAATTTAAGGGTTTTCTTCGTTTCCACCATCGGAATTTATTTCTAGTGATAAAATTGTATTTTTAAAAAAAATTCCCCTTCTACAGATAATTTCAATGCTGCGGCACCACACACAGGCATACATCTTAAGTGCCTCCAAACAAAGTCATTTTTATTCAGCAAGGGGACGCTGTGAATGTTTCTTTTTGCCTGATTTAAGTTATGTGGGAGTTCAAGATCAGATTGTTCATGATTACGAAGGAGGACAGGATGGTGGCACCACAGGACAGGAAAGGGAGCACTTTTTCTGAAAATCCATTCTTTTTTTTTTTTTTGAGACACAGTCTTGCTCTGTTGCCCAGGCTGGAGTGCAGTGGCACCATCTCAGCTCACTGCAACCTTCGCCTCCCGGGCTCAAGCAATTCTCTTGCCTCAGCCTCCCAAGTAGCTGGGACTACAGGCACGCACCACCATGCCCTGCTAATGTTTTTTGTATTTTTAGTAGAGACGAGGTTTTGCCATGTTGGCCAGGTTGGTCTGAAACTCCTGACCTCAAGTGATCCGCCTGCCTCAGCCTTCCAAAGTGCAGGGGTTACAGGCTTGAGCCACTGCACCTGGCCCCCTTCGTTTCAAGCAGGAAAGCCATCATTTCCAGTGGTTGTTTGTCTTTGGGCAGTGACAATGCGGCAAAGCCTTTGGAAATGTCAAATAGTGACTGCATTGAAAGCTAATATTCAGGATAATGGGGAGTAAAAGAAATTGGGGTCAGCCAAGGGAAGAATTTTCCAGATCCCAGAGAAATGGGCATAGATGCCTATCTGTGATGAATCTGTTTGGCCACAGGGTGGTATAATCTTCCTAGCAGAAAAGTTCTTTTTTTTTTTTCATTGCAAGGACAATTTATAATCATCAAAAAGAAGTGAAACATGGTTTTGATTAAAACAGCCTGTTGGCTCAATAATCTCTGTAATTTCAAAAACATCCTTAATGCAGAAGAAGAACACGCCGATGTCAGGAATGGCCTGGGGCCCCATTACAACAGCAACCGAATAAATAAGGAGAAGAATCTTGAGGTCATAAAAACAAAATTAAGCTAATGTTTCAAATTTTGACAATTATGAATTCTTCTTCTAAGAAGACATTAAAAAAATTTTCAGGCACTATTAGATAAAATACAAAGAGAATAATTCTACATGGATGAGTGTGCAGTTTTCCCATGGGGGTAAAGCATGCCTTTAAAAGGAAAACTCTGAATTAGGAAGTTGGTTCCTCCCTAGATCCAGCAATTGGACGGGACTCATGCAGACAGACAAACTTGGTTCTTATAGTTTCTTTGTAAACTCAGATCTAATTCTTTCATAAGCTATTGAAAGAGAATGACCAGGAAAAAATTACAAGCATATTTTTTCTATACAAAAGAATCCCCATTGTGGGCCAGTTTGGTAGGAAACAGAAACAAGCAAATATAACAAAATCTGTGTTCATACATGGCGATATAGTTAGTATATACAAATATGTACACTATAAAAATGCACGGAAGGCTTACGCTCCCAGCCATCCAAGCTGCATTGTACTCAGGGAAAACAGCCTGGTTTTTCTTCCTAGTATACAGGCAAATGTATTATATACAGCATGCAGGTGATAGAAAATTAGTGCGCTTGCACAGAAACATTCTACAGGCATGGTTGCAGTCATTTTTCTTTGAAAATGACCGGTCTGCTTTCTGAATATAAAAATGTGTTTGCCTTTCTTTGCTGGCAAGTAAACACTTTAGAGCAAGGATGAATGTGATTCTTGAACCTTGCTCTGACCCACTTCCCCCCTGCCCTTTCTAAAAGAAATTAAAAAAAAATCTAGAATTAATGCAAGGGAGCAAATATATAACATAAATGTGTTTGATATCAGGTTTCCCAAAAAGGTGTAAAAGCTCTGTAGAGCAAGAACTGGTTGGCCATTGAAATGACTGTATGATCACCTAGCTTCTTGATTTTAAAGGGGTTTGGAAGTTAATGATTCATGTCAACAGTGCCTGGCTGTTAGGAATCAAAGTCAGAAGGGATTAGAAGGACATCATCAGGAAATCAAAAAGTATATTTTACCCAAGATATTGTGACATTTAGGAACCCTGAGCCAAATGGGAATTGTTTTGTATGTCAGCTTTTTTGACTCGCATTACACATTCTAGTGTCTGAGGTGTTCGAAAGCTCAAGTATTGTATTGCGAAACTGGAATGTTTGTAATATTTACTTCAATGCACAATAGACATCACTTTTACTTCTCTGAAGACTGGCTGAACTTTCTGTACTTAAAAAATATACATACACATCTATAATTCCTGAATGTTATATGGGTCATTTAGAAAGTGAAAATATTACTGTACAAAGTCTTCACATTTGAGACATAATTGTATGATTGTTCAAATTCTGTTAATATTAGCTATTGGCAGGGGACTGATATCTAAATGCAGGTTTCAGGTTCAAGACAATTCATTGAACACATTGAAATTTATTTTCTGAGAGAGTTGAATGGAGTGGTTAGTTTTTTTTTTTTTTTTGTAATGCCTTTGTTCAAATTTTTTGAGGTTTCTTACCAAAAAGTTTCTCCTGGGGTTTCTTATCAAAAAGTTATTACTTGTACTTCTAAAAGCTGTTTTAAGCAAATAACCATGATACAAAGGCTGTGAATATTTAATCTGTCTTTTTTCAAACAGCCTGTATTTTAAAAGGCCTTAATAATAATCATGGCTATTGGTAAAATCATTTGTATGCCGAAGGGTGTCAAGTAAAGGTGTCATTCCTTGGAAGAGCCATTTTACTTGGAATATATTGTTCCAAAGGAAATGGACAGAGTCCTGTTGCAGAAATAGCGTTCCACCTGGTACTAGCATTTTAAAACAGTCCTATTCTAATCCATAACACATTTCTAGTTTTCCCTGAAGCTTTGGGCTGCCTTGTGCATGAATAATTTTTGGAGAAACACCCACGCCTGTTAGCCCATTGTTCGTAACTATTGGAAGAAGATTAACTAGAGCCTGAAAATTGTATATCTGCGTATGCCTCTGAATCTGTCACTGGGAACCAAAGGAGATAAGTGGCTTTTACTTTGGATGAAGAAGTAAAATTCCCCAGTAGAAATTCTAAAGATGATTCACAAGTTTCAAAATGTTTAATGCCTTCCTACAATGGAAATATGTCTCTCTGTCTGGGGGGATGGAAATTTGTATCTCTTTCTCCAGCTCAATCTTTGTCTAAAAGTATTTCATAGATATTTTGAGAAAGTGCCACATAGAGGAAAGGAGAAAATGAAGTTAGCATTTGAACATCTTACAAGGGGAAAAATACACGAAAATTTCAGTTTTGATTTCTTTTTTGCCTAATGCATGTTCGAAATAGATACTACCGTTATTGCTCTTTAGAACTACATATGTGCATATTTTAAAGCTTTAATATATTTCCTTATTGTTGTTATTATTTTTGCATTCATCTACATCTTACTATCCTTGTTGCAGAGAAGAGAGGATAATGTGAAAAATGACATTTGGGGTTTTTTTTTTTTTTTTAAACAAAAGCATTTAACAAGCTTAAAAAATGAAACTCAATGAAAAAGAAAAGAAGGTTTGAACACAGTCAAATAACCTGAGAAGTGACAGATGGAAAAGCAACAGAATGCAAGCACCTTGTAAGGTCTGTAATCTTTGGATTTACTGTGAAAAGTTTCAGAACATCATAGACTCTTACTGCCACATTGTCCATAGACCCTGGAAAATAACAGTGAAATTCATATGTATACACATATATATGAATACACACTCATGCATGCACACTGTCTTCACACACCCCTCCTCACCACTTAACCGGAGTTACATAAATGCTTCTCAGATATGTCATTGCATTTGTTTGTTTTCTGCATCTCAACTAAGTTCAGCGGCTTGCGCCTGTGACATTAATTATGCAAGATTCAAACAACCAAGCAGGCACATTTTGGGGGTGAGTTTTAAGAAATCTGTGACCTGAAAGAAATTCTGTGGGGACTGTCTGGGTTATCCAGTTTATTCCGTGATTATATTCTGTTTTTAGGTCTTGACCTATTTTTAAGCTGTTTCCTCTCTGTATGCTTTTCAGAAAAAAAATCCTTATTCTGAAATACTAATATTTTGATTCTACATGAACTGTGTCCCTCAAATGTCTTGATATCAGCTATCTTTAGGAGCTGTTGTAAAACACAGGAAGGCCAGGCTGTTGTGTGAAGTGTTTGCTGTTGTTATCCCACAGTGCCTAGGACAGTGTCTCACATAACAGGTGCCCAATAATATTTGTTAAATGAATTTGCTAAATAAATATCATTTCCTGTTGTGCCCTGTGCCACCAGTGCCTTGTAACATGCTGTGTATTTGGAGGATTTGCTGAACTACAAAATAGGGCCAAATATGTAACATTTAAATATTGACATATAAATTTTTAAATGGACATCTCAATTTGCAGCTGGTTGGTGGTCTTAGCTGGAAGGAGGGATGGGGAAGAAAAGGCAATCTCTCGCTCTCACTGGTACCAAGAGGTGGTGGAAGAATGGCGATACTTGAGGGTAATTTGCATTATATTTGCATGTCAGCCTCCTTTCCAATTCTAAAGTTCTTACTTATCAGAACTGTGTTTTATTCAGCAAAAAGAAAGCAGTGGTATGAAGGTGGGTAAAGACATTCTCCTGAGTTTATGTTATTTAGTTTTTTTCCTCCAGAAAGAAGTTTCTAGAAGCCTCAGAGGGCTGGCTGAGTGAAGACAGGCCTGGCCTCTAGGAATATGCTGAGTGGTGATGTATGCCCCAGTGCCAGCCCAGATCTTGTTTTCTAAGGTGAACCTTAGCAGCCATCCCTCGGCAGTGACATGCACGGTTGCCAGGCGGCAATTCACCTGTCTTACCAAATTTATCAATATTTTTTTCTCTCACCTCCCACCCCACCCACCATAGAAATTACGCTAACAAAACCATATCGATTATATGTTGAAGCAGATGATTTATTTTTTCTTCCTTAGAAGGGAAACAATTTCCATGGAATTGGGAATTGTATTGATCTCCTCCCCCCATTGGAGCAAGGGCTCGAGAATCCACTTTTGGATGGTTGCAGTGAGATCTGAATTATGTAACTTTGGCCTAATAACCCTGGATTGGAGCAGACAATTTTTAACAGCTACGAGAACCCCAATACTAATGCATTGATTTTCCTTTAATAGAATTTCCTTGTTGAAGGACGGTGCTCAGTAGAGTCCAGTCCACCCTTCAATCTTAACCCATCTGAAGACTGTTCCTTTCCAGTCGAGCTCCATTCATTTCTGGTTGAATAGGTTAAGCAAAGACAGACCTCACTGTTCTCAATTCACTTTATGATCCTCCCATCATAAAAAATAATATCAGCACCTTGCTTTTCATGTCAGAACTACATTTGAGCCGCTATTCCCTATGCCCATGAGTAAATCCCATAAAAGCCACCCCGTTGTACTGTTGCTATTTTTCCTTGTGGGTGATTGATTGATGGATGAGTGCTGACACTTCAATGAAGCTATTTCGACTGCCATCTCAATCCGATGATGTGAGGGGTATATTTTCTGTCCATGCCTCATTACTTCAGAATGACATTCCTGGAACTTCATTTACTTTTTCCCTCCTTCCCCGAAGCGCCATATTTTTTCCCATCTAGGTTATGCATGCCATAAAAAAAGCAATTTGCTATTATATGTGGCATAAGGGCAACACTTTCCCTAGGAGGTAAATAAGAAGTTTTTTTTTTTTTTTAATCCCAATGTTGAATTTAGGGATCATGTCAAAATTTCCAAAACAATTCCAACAGGCAGCCTCCTTGAGAAATGGTGAGGAAGAGATATTTGGTTTCATTTTGTCAGTGTTGAGATTAAAAAAAAATAACCTTGGTAATTAAAGCAACAACAGAAAATATTCCTTTTGTTTCAGAATCACCTAGTTCCTAGTGTTGTGCCTAGAATAGTATAAATATTTCACCATAGCTGAGTAGCAATTTACCACATAATCCAGACGTATTTGTCCTTTGAGAATAAGGAAATTCATTGTTTAAATGCAATGATGGATTTATCTATTATAGGTTGCTTTCAATTGTATAGAAAATGTTCAACTAGAGTAAACAGATCTATCCTTGCGTCTCCAAACTGTGCACTAGGTATGCAAGACTTTTAATATTAAAACATGCTCTTAGCTCTTCCAAGTTGACTTAGGACCTGATTTTAATCTGTGTAATACAGTATTCCCGTTAATAATAACGTATAATTAAGACATCCGTTAAAAATCCATAACGTTAATTTAATGGAGAAAATCTAATACAGTTCTATTGGAATTTTTACGTTAAATTAACTTTAACGGGCTTTTAATGGATGTCTTAATTAGATCTCATTATTAACGGGAATATTCCACAAATTAAAATTGGGCCCTCAAAGTTTTAATGAAAAAAGTTGCAGGAACACATTTAAAATGGACACCCTATTTCATGCTTTCTGTTGCTTCTAAAGCTAAGCTGCGTTTTAGAGCCCATAAACATCAGGTTCTGCAGAAAGGGATTACCAGAAAAGGCTGCTGCAGAACTTTCCACCCTGTAATGATCTCATCTTCTCGCGTTCTCTCAGATTCTGCATTTCACCTATTCTCCCAATTTGCAGTTCTCATAGACAGTGGTGTGTGCTTAAAACTATTTTTTTTTCAGCCAATCAAGATAATGATGATGATCAAGGTGCCCCACCACTGCATAGGAAAAGTCTTTGGCAGCAACATGGTTAAGCTTAACTATTTGAGCAAGTTTCACAGAAGATGAACATTGTTCAGGGGTTTTCTTGGCTCAAACTCTGGTTTAACTTAATAATTCTTCTACTTTGCAGTGATTAATGGTCCCCTAGTGCAGGGGCAGGACTGGGCAATCCAGGTGCAACTGTAATTGTTACACTGAACAGAAACATTTCCTTTAGACAAACGTTCCCAGAGGGGTTATAAATAGGAAATGGACATTACCATGAAAAGTAAGCCTCCAAGTGTCTACATCTAGTGCAACCCACTTGGACATTAGACTATGAAGACTTAGACTCCCCCCCACTTTCCTGTTACAAACTGACAAAATAAGTACATCAATGCTCTCAGTCATTACTTTTCTTCGGTGGCACTTTGTTTTCTTGTGACAGTGAAAAGGGTACTGTGGAGACGAGACAGCCCCATTGCAATTTATCAATGAAAATCTAATACCGCCCATAAGCAGAGAAGTGGAAATCAATACTTCATTACCAAATTGTTAGTGAGGATGAAGAGAAATGGCTGGGGTGATTTTTTTTTTTTTTTTTTTTTGGCAGTCTTCTCAGAGCCAGGGTGTCAGGAGGAGTTCAATGAGTTCAATGTCAGAAGCAGGATGGTGCAACGAAGAAGGGTTCAGTGTGAGGGGATCCAGGCTGGAAAGTGGAAACTAAGGCATTCGTCCTGTAATGGGAATCAGAACAACAGAAAGATGCATTATTTTCTGAGGTGTAGCCCAGGTGATTTTTTCCCCAGGGTGATCACCTTGCCCACCTCCACTACTTTATTTGTCCAAATGTTCTGAGTAGAGTCCTAGTTATATAACCAGACTGTGAAACATGAAAAGGAGGAGTCAACTTTGAGAAAAAAACTATTTAAATACTGTATGTTCTCACTCATAAGTGGGAGCTAAACACTGAGCACAGATGGATGTAAACATGCGAACAACAGACGCTAGGGTCTACTGGGGCTGGGGAGGGAGGAAGGAGGAAATGGTTTGAAAAACTGCCTATCAGGTACTATGCTCACTGCCTGGGTGATGAGATCCATACCCCACAGCTCACCATCATGCAATATTCCCATGCAACAAACTGCACATGTACCCTCTGTATCTAAAAAGAAAGTTGCAATTTTCTTATTCTTTTCCTTTTGAGACAGAGTCTCGCTTTGTCGCTATACTTGTGCAGTGGCATCATCACGGCTCACGGCAACCTCAACCTGCCAGGCCCAAGTGATCCTCCCACCTCAGCCTCCTGAGTGGCTGGAACCGCAGGCACACTCCATCATGCCTGACTAGGTTTATTTTTTATTTTGCAGAGCCTATCTCAGATTCCTGGGCTCAAGCAATCCTCCCACCTCAGCCTCTCAAGGTGCTGAGATTACAGGCTTGAGCCACCTAGACTGGCCAAAAAGTTGCAACTTTAAGAAAAAAAATATTTTTAATATAATGTATGGAAAGGATATTTGAACACCCGTGTTCATAGCAACACTATTCACAATAGCCAAAACTCAGAAGCAACCCAAGTGTCCAACGGATGAGTGGATAAGCAAATGTGATATGTACATGCGACGGAATATTAGCCCTAAAAATGGAAGAAATTCTGACACGTTCTACAACATGGATGAACCCTGAGAATATTATGCTAAGTGAAAATAAGCCAGTCACAAAAAGAAATATATTATATGGTTATACCTATATAACATATCTAGAGGTAGTCAAACTCATAGAAACAGAAAGAGGAATGATGGTTGCCAGGGACTGGGGATGAGGTGGGAAAAGCAATAAGAATTCTTGTTCACTCAGAGCAGTTTCAGTTTCATCTTTTGTAAGATGAAAAATTCTGTAGATGGACATTGTTATGTTTGTACAACAATCTGAATGTACTCAAAGCCACTCAACTGTGCACTTAATAGTGAAAATGATAAATTTTATGTTGTGTGTATTTTACTGCAATTAGAAATACATATACATAATGTATGATTTTTTTCACTATAAAGCTTTTTGGAAAAACAAAAACAAAACAACCTATTAACCTATGGTCATACTAGGCTTAAAGCTCTCATTCACGTTCTGCTGTATTTCCTTCTAGTCTTTTCTTTTCCCATGCTTTTTTTTTTTGTGCTGGAGCCTTGCTCTGTCACCCAAGCTGGAGTGCAGTGGCACGATGTGGGTTCATTACAACCTCCGCCTCTTGGGTTCAAGTAATTCTCCTGCTTCAGCCTCCCGAGTAGCTGGGATTACAGACATGCATCACCATGCCCAGCTAATTTTTGTATTTTTAGTAGAGACAGGGTTTCACCATGTTGGCCAGGCTAGTCTTGAACTCCTGACCTCAAGTGATCCGCCTGCCTCAGCCTCCCAAAGAGCTGGGATTACAGGTGTGAGCCACTGTGTCTGGCCTTCCCATGCATTTCGTTAGGTTTACATAGTTATATATGCTGACTATATGAGGCACCTGTCTGGAGGTATTTCTTCACTGGAAAGCATCAGTATAAACAGCTGTAGAAGTTCTATCACATACATTATAATAGTTTATGATACTACGATAATGTAATATTGGACATTTAATGTTTGCAATTTTTATTCAATAATACATAACACTATGATGAACATCTTTGCGTTTCAAGCTTTTCTGTATGCTGGAATATTTTCATAGGCTTAAATTCTTAAGTGTGGAATTCCTGTCAAAAGATAGGAACGTTTTCGGTAGAGAAGTGCTACTTAATAACAGGGTGATTTTTCTTTCCAAGAACTTTGCTCTGGATTACTGTGTGGAAAGCATGCAATTTCCTTCAGCCCAATCTGAGTGAAGTTTCTTGTTTACATCTTGTTATTTGGTGGTAATGTTCATTTTAGTGAGAAAAAACACTGAACCTAAATATGATTAGTCTTTTTAGAAAAGGAAAGCTTCCAAATTTCTAGTGGAAGGATAAAGACAAATTGAAAATCAGATGACATTTGATATGTGTACAGAAATGATGCACAAGATAATCATAACAGACATTTGAAACTATTCCTTGGTAAGGAATAGTATGACTGGAATACTAGCAACCAGTTATTATGTATCTACCAAATTCCAGTCACTTTATACACATTACTGTTAACTCTTGAAACAATCTCATTTTAAAAATGAGAGATAAAGGACGAGCATGGTGGTGCACGCCTGTAATCCCAGCACCTTGGGAGGCAACGGCGGGCGGATCACATGAGGCTATGAGATCAAGACCAGCCTAGTAAGCATGGCGAAACTCTGTCTCTACTAAAAACACAAAAATTAGCTGGGCATGGTGGTGCACCTCTGAAATTCCAGCTACTCAGGAGGCTGAGGCATGAGAATCGCTTGAACCTGGGAGGCGGAGGTTGTAGTGAGCCAAGATCGCACCACTGCATTCCAGCTTGGGCAACAGAGTGAGACTCTGTCTTAAAAAAAAAAAAAAAAAAAAAGAGAGAGATAAAAGTAAGTGACTTGTCCTAGGGTTCACAGCTAATAAAAAGCAGAGGATGGCTTTAAATTTAGTCCTTCCTACTCTGAAGCTTCCAAGCTCATGACAGGCACCACCCTACCTAGATTACAGGTGAATGCCTTGATCACCATCAGTGGAGAGAACCATTTCCCTTTGACATTAGATGTGCACTTGAGAGAAAAAGGGTCCCTGGCAATCTTTGTTTTGAGTTGGTTGAGATCCTCTGGCAGGTCTAGAAGCTTAAAGGAGGGTGATCATGTGGTTGGAAGAAGAGAGATGGGTCAAAGGAAAAGTGGAGACCACAAATTGGTGGACTTTTGGAAACTGCAATGGCATTACACTGTGAAACAAGAGTGAAGTCCTGGCTGAAGGACTGTTTCACACCAGGCCTACTGCAGGCTGTCATTTTCTCCTCTTTGACCATGATATTAATATGATATCAATTTCATGGAACTTTGTTTTATTATCACTTCCTTGAAGTGGCTCCACATTAAATCAACACCCAGACTTTTCTAACTGAGTTTCTCTTAGGGCAAAGTTTGTCCTGGGAATGAAAGTAAGGAGAAAGAAAATAATGATTTTATTATAGTTCCTGTCTTGGAAATTCACAACACACATTAACATATTAAAGACTCTGAGAAGTCCTGCAATTAAAATCAAACCAAACATAGTGTGTCTTTACTTAACTCAGTACTTGCCAGGTTTATTTGATAACTCTTTTCTTCCCTATTTAAGATTCACAAATATACCTGAGTGTTGTTTGCTGAAAAATACCTTCATGACAGATCCTTTTTGTTTTTTAATTTTTTAATTAAAAATTTGTTTTGTTTTGTTTGGGGATGGGGGAGGTGGGGGACAGGGTTTTGTTCTGTCACCCACGCTAGAGTGCAGTGGTGCAATCACAGCTGACTGCAGCCTCGATCTCCTGGGCTCAATCCATCCTCCCACGTTAGCCTCCTGAGTAGCTGGGACTACAGGTGCGCCACCATGCCCGGCTAAGTTTTGTATTTTGTAGAGCCTCCTGGGCTCAGGGGATCCTCCCACCTCAGCCTCCTGAAAAGCTGGGACAAGTGTGCATTAGCACACCTGGTTTATTCTTTTGTATTTTTTGTACAGACAGGGTTTTGCCATGTTGCCCAGGCCAAGCCATTCTCCCCGCCTTGGCCTCCCAAAGTGCTGAGATTACAGGCGTGAGCCACTGCACCTGGCCATTATCTGAGTATAGTTATTTTAAAATTTCAGATAACTATGTCTTTTATAAAACTTAGCTATGGGAGTATTTCTATTGGAGAAGTCTCCTGGATCCCACCATGACTGATGGAACTGGTGGGCTTTTGGTAAGGTCAGTGTTCCTACACTTGAAGAAGGGTAAAGAGAAGATCTGAATCTTGGACCACTTTGGGAAAACACATTATTATTTTTTAAAAATTATTTCTTTTTCTTTTTCTGTTTTTTTTGAGACAGAGTCTCACTCTGTTGCCCCGGCTTGAGTATAGTGGCTTGATCTTGGCTCCCTACAACCTCTGCCTCCTGGGCTCAGGTGATCTTCCCACCTCAGCCTCCTGAAAAACTGGGACCACAGGTGTGCACCAGCACACCTGGCTAATTTTTTTGTATTTTTTGTAGAGACAGGGTTTCGCCACGTTGCCCAGGCTGGTCTTGAACTCCTGGGCTCAAGCCATTCTCCCTGCCTTGGCCTCCCAAAGTGCTGGGATTACAGGCGTGAGCCACCATGTGCAGCCCTATTTTTAATTTTTGTGTGCACATAGTAGGTGTATATAGTTATGGTGTACATGAGATGTTTTGATACAGGCATGCAATGTGAAATAAGCACAAATGACAGATTCCTGTGTGAAAACCAAGGAAGTTTTCCAGTTCTCAAGACCTCAGTCCTGATTTTGTTATTGACTTTCTGTGATTCTTGACTCAGGTTATCTGGCTTTTTTGGATCTCAGCATGAAAGGATCCTGTTGTGGTGACAATGTGACATTGCTTCACCTTGTGTCAACTTCACAATGCTGCAGTTCAGGAGATCATAATTTCTACACTTTCAACCTAGGAAACAGAGGGTTAAGAGATGTAAAGATGTTGGGCCTGTGGTCATTCTTGTCTCTTCAACCACTGCTTCTTATACGGCTTGTAATAATTTGGTATTGTTTTCAAGTGCTGAACATTGACATTATTAGTGATTTAGAGGCGTTTTCCCAAGAATATCTGAGTATAGTTACTTTTTTTTTTTTTTTTTTTTTTTTTTATGAGATGGAGTTTCGCTCTTGTTGCCCAGGCTGCAGTGCAATGGCACGATATCTCGACTCACTGCAACTTCTACCTCCCGGATTCAAGCAATTCTCCTGCCTCAGCCTCCCGAGTAGCTGGGATTACAGGCATACGCCACCATGCCTGGCTAATTTTGTATTTTTAGTAGAGATGAAGCTTTCTCCATGTTGGTCAGGCTGGTCTCGATCTCCCGACCTCAGGAGATCCACCCACCTCGGCCTCCTGAAGTGCTGGGAGTACAGGCGTAAGCCACTGCACCCGGCCATTATCTGAGTATAGTTACTTTTAAATTTCAGATACCTATGTCTTTTATGAAACTTAGCTATGGGAGTATTTCTATTGGAGAAGTCTCCTGGATCCCACCATGACTGATGGAAGTGGTGGGGGCTTTTGGAAAGGTCAGTGTTCCTATACTTGAAGAAGGGTAAAGAGAAGATCCAAATCTTGGACCACTTTGGGACAACACACTATTATTTTTTTAAAATTCTTTTTTTTTTCTATTTTTTTTGAGACAGGGTCTCACTCTGTCACCCAGAGTGGCTTGAGTACAGTGGCATGATCTTTGTTCACTGCAACCTCTGCCTCCTGGGCTCAGGTGATCCTCCCACCTCAGCCTCCTGAAAAGCTGGGACCACAGGTGTGCACCAGGACATCCGGCTAATTTTTTTGTATTTTTTGTAGAGACAGGGTTTCGCCACGTTGCCCAGGCTAGTCTTGAACTCCTGAACTCAAGCAATCCTATTGCCTTGACCTCCCAAAGTGTTGGGATTACAGGCATGAGGCACCGTGCCTAGCCAAATTATTTCTTATATTAAAAGAAAAGTAAAGTAAAAACCTCATTTCTCTCTGTGCCTAAAGAGGAGATCCTGGCAGATAATTAAACCTGAAAAATGAAGGGAAGGGGAATAAGAGAACTGTTGTTAGTATTTCCTGCTGTTCAGAATGAATTGCATAGAACAGATTGAGAAAAAAAGGAAGTGGATACTGTTAGTTGCCTCTCAAATGGTAGTTGAGGCTGGGCTTTGCTGCTGCATTTTTTTTTCTAATATATTGAGCTACTACTATAAAAATAAAATGGAAATAAATAAAAAATTTAATTACATATCTAAAAAGTTCTTGGCAGTGTTCATTAAGTAGTTTGTGAGGGAGAGCCAGGCGAAGAGATGTAATTATTTTTGTATTAATTACAGAGCCACCAACAGATGCGTAGAATGACATATGCTTTAATTTGGCCATGCCAGCCTTTCTCATCCCCTGGCACAGCATTTTGGCTGGCTCCTACTCTTCTTGCCTTCCTCCTGCCTACCCCCTTCTCTCTTCACTCTCTGCTGTTGTTCTTATGCGACACTCCCATTTTTAGGGCATGTCTTATGGTTGCTAAAAGGGGGCACTGCTGGCATTTAGTGGTTAGGGGCTGGGAACGTGAGGCTCCTTGCAATGTGTGAGACAGTTTCACACAAGGTGCTGTTGTCCATCATCCTGCACCCATTTTTTATTTTTTTCTTTTTTTTTTTTTTAGAAGGTAGGGTCTTGCTCTGTCATTCAGGCTGGAGTGCAGTGGCACGATCATAGTTCACTGCAGCCTTGATCTCCTGGGCTCAAGTGAACCTCCTGATTCAGCTGCCTGAGTAGCTGGTACTACAGGCGCATGCCACCACAGTAGGCTAATTTTTAAATTTTTTTGTAGAGATGGAGTCTCTACAAAAACACCTGGGTTGGCTGGGCACGGTGGCTCATGCTTGTAATCCCAGCACTTTGGGAGGCTGAGGCAGGTGGATCACCTGAGGTCAGGAGTTAAAGACCAGCCTGGCCAACATGGAGAAACCCAGTCTCTATTAAAAATACAAAAATTAGCTGGTGGTGGTGGCAGGCGCCTGTAATCCCAGCTACTCAGGAGGCTGGGGCAGGAGAATCATTTGAACCCAGCAGGTGGAGGTTGCAGTGAGTCGAGATCACATCGTTGCACTCTAGCCTGGGCAACAAGAGTGAAACTCCATCTCAAAAAAAAAAAAAAAACAAAAACCTGGGTTATGTTGTCCATGCTGGTCTTCAACTCCTGGGCTCGAGTGATCCTCCCGCCTCGTCCTCCCAAAGTATTGGGATTATAGGTGTGAGCCATTACTCTCAGTCTGTACCATTTTTGAAAATATCTCTGCAAGCCAGTTTTTCTCTAACTTGGCCCTGTTAATATTTTCAGCCAGATAGATACTTCCTTTTGGTGGGGGCCGCCCGTCTATGCATTGTAGATATTCAGCCTCATCCCTGGCTTCTACCCACTAGATGCCAGCAGCATCTGCTTTACCCCTGAGTTGTGACAACTGAAGTTGTGTCTAGACACTGTCAAATGCCCATTGGGCGTGGAGGACAAAATT
Organism: Homo sapiens; assembly: GCF_000001405.40. Lineage (NCBI taxonomy): Eukaryota > Metazoa > Chordata > Mammalia > Primates > Hominidae > Homo > Homo sapiens. The sequence continues at coordinate 53,479,713 of NC_000020.11, read as the reverse complement.
GTCTTTGGTTCAAAACCTTTTTATAATTATCTGAGGCTAGAACTTAACTCTGTTTTACATATAAACACAAAGTCTTTTCTGCACAGTTTAACACACATTGTAATTTCCAGAAATAAAGCTTATCTGACAAAGAGAACCTGTATTTTGCTTTATTTGGAATTTAATGGGAGTTATTTGCCATTTTAGAAAATCAAGTCACCTTTGTATTACTGTTCATGATCCTCAAGACCCCCATTCAATCCACCCATATTGCTCTGCGTTTACCACTGACATGTTCACGGTGAGTCTGCCTATGGCGCACATCTGACTGCCTCATTACATCTTCTAGGATGTTGTTACTCTGAGGGTGGTCCATATAACAGCAGTACTGGGATCACCTAGAGCTTGTCAGAAATGCAGAATACAGGGCCCACCCCAAGCTGCTGATTTGGAACCTGCATTTTAATAGAATGTTTGGGCAATTTTTGTACATGCTCGAGTTTGAGAAGCCCTGTTCTGGTGCATTTTCATGTCTCAATTTTCTCCTTTTTTTTTTTTTTTTTTTAAATTGAGACAGAGTCTTGCCCTGTTGCCCAGGCTGGAGTGCAGTGGCGCGATCTTGGCTCACTGCAACCTCCGCCTCCTGGGTTCAAGTGATTCTCCTGCCTCAGTCTACTGAGTAGCTGGGATTACAGGCATGCGCCACCACACCCGGCTAATTTTTGTATTTTTAGTAGAGATGGGGTTTCACCATGTTGACCAGACTGGTCTGGAATCCCTGATCCGAAGTGATCCACCCACCTGGGCCTCCTAAAGTGCTGGGATTATAGGTGTAAGTCACTGTGCCAGGCCCCTTTCTTTTTTATTAGATGATTTCTTTTTGCGGTTTGTGTGTAGGCTGGCCACCCGATCTAGAAATTTTATTTCAGGATGGTAAAAGGAAGTTATAAAATGCTTGTCCTAAAATGTCAACAGTGAGTCTGCAAAGGCGGAGGACCTCTGCTCCCCACGAGCTCTTTCTTTTTTTTAATCTGATAACTAAATTTATTTATTTATTTTTATTTTTTATTTATTTTTTATTAAAGTTTTAGGGTACATGTGCACATTGTGTAGGTTAGTTACATATGTATACATGTGCCATGCTGGTGCGCTGCACCCACCAACTCGTCATCTAGCATTAGGTATATCTCCCAATGCTATCCCTCCCCCCTCCCCCCACCCTACAACAGTCCCCAGAGTGTGATATTCCCCTTCCTGTGTCCATGTGATCTCATTGTTCAATTCCCACCTATGAGTGAGAATATGCAGTGTTTGGTTTTTTGTTCTTGCGATAGTTTACTGAGAATGATGACTTCCAATTTCATCCATGTCCCTACAAAGGACATGAACTCATCCATTTTCATGGCTGCATAGTATTCCATGGTGTATATGTGCCACATTTTCTTAATCCAGTCTATCATTGTTGGACATTTGGGTTGGTTCCAAGTCTTTGCTATTGTGAATAATGCCACAATAAACATATGTGTGCATGTGTCTTTATAGCAGCATGATTTATAGTCCTTTGGGTATATACCCAGTAATGGGATGGCTGGGTCAAATGGTATTTCCAGTTCTAGATCCCTGAGGAATCGCCACACTGACTTCCACAATGGTTGAACTAGTTTACAGTCCCACCAACAGTGTAAAAGTGTTCCTATTTCTCCCCATCCTCTCCAGCACCTGTTGTTTCCTGACTTTTTAATGATTGCCATTCTAACTAGTGTGAGATAGTATCTCATTGTGGTTTTGATTTGCATTTCTCTGATGGCCAGTGATGATGAGCATTTTTTCAGGTGTCTGTTGGCTGCATAAATGTCTTCTTTTGAGAAGTGTCTGTTCATGTCCTTCGCCCACTTTTTGATGGGGTTGTTTGTTTTTTTCTTGTAAATTTGTTTGAGTTCATTGTAGATTCTGGATATTAGCCCTTTGTCAGATGAGTAGGTTGTGAAAATTTTCTCCCATTTTGTAGGTTGCCTGTTCACTCTGATGGTAGTTTCTTTTGCTGTGCAGAAGCTCTTTAGTTTAATTAGATCCCAATTGTCAATTTTGTCTTTTGTTGCCATTGCTTTTGGTGTTTTAGACATGAAGTCCTTGCCCATGCCTATGTCCTGAATGGTAAAGCCTAGGTTTTCTTCTAGGGTTTTTATGGTTTTAGGTCTAACGTTTAAGTCTTTAATCCATCTTGAATTGATTTTTGTATAAGGTGTAAGGAAGGGATCCAGTTTCAGCTTTCTACATATGGCTAGCCAGTTTTCCCAGCACCATTTATTAAACAGGGAATCCTTTCCCCATTGCTTGTTTTTCTCAGGTTTGTCAAAGATCAGATAGTTGTAGATATGCGGCATTATTTCTGAGGGCTCTGTTCTGTTCCATTGATCTATATCTCTGTTTTGGTACCAGTACCATGCTGTTTTGGTTACTGTAGCCTTGTAGTATAGTTTGAAGTCAGGTAGTGTGATGCCTCCAGCTTTGTTCTTTTGGCTTAGGATTGCCTTGGCGATGCGGGCTCTTTTTTGGTTCCATATGAACTTTAAAGTAGTTTTTTCCAATTCTGTGAAGAAAGGCATTGGTAGCTTGATGGGGATGGCATTGAATCTGTAAATTACCTTGGGCAGTATGGCCATTTTCACGATATTGATTCTTCCTACCCATGAGCATGGAATGTTCTTCCATTTGTTTGTATCCTCTTTTATTTCCTTGAGCAGCGGTTTGTAGTTCTCCTTGAAGAGGTCCTTCACATCCCTTGTAAGTTGGATTCCTAGGTATTTTATTCTCTTTGAAGCAATTGTGAATGGGAGTTCACTCATGATTTGGCTCTCTGTTTGTCTGTTGTTGGTGTATAAGAATGCTTGTGATTTTTGCACATTGATTTTGTATCCTGAGACTTTGCTGAAGTTGCTTATCAGCTTAAGGAGATTTTGGGGTGAGACAATGGGGTTTTCTAGATATACAATCATGTCATCTGCAAACAGGGACAATTTGACTTCCTCTTTTCCTAATTGAATACCCTTTATTTCCTTCTCCTGCCTAATTGCCCTGGCCAGAACTTCCAACACTATGTTGAATAGGAGTGGTGACAGAGGGCATCCCTGTCTTGTGCCAGTTTTCAAAGGGAATGCTTCCAGTTTTTGCCCATTCAGTATGATATTGGCTGTGGGTTTGTCATAGATAGCTCTTATTATTTTGAAATACGTCCCATCAATACCTAATTTATTGAGAGTTTTTAGCACGAAGTGTTGTTGAATTTTGTCAAAGGCCTTCTCTGCATCTATTGAGATAATCATGTGGTTTTTGTCTTTGGCTCTGTTTATATGCTGGATTACACTTATTGATTTGCCTATATTGAACCAGCCTTGCATCCCAGGGATGAAGCCCACTTGATCATGGTGGATAAGCTTTTTGATGTGCTGCTGGATTCGTTTTGCCAGTATTTTATTGAGGATTTTTGCATCAATGTTCATCAAGGATATTGGTCTAAAATTCTCTTTTTTTGTTGTGTCTCTGCCTGGCTTTGGTATCAGAATGATGCTGGCCTCATAAAAAGAGTTAGGGAGGATTCTCTCTTTTTCTATTGATTGGAATAGTTCCAGAAGGAATGGTACCAGTTCCTCCTTGTACCTCTGGTAGAATTCGGCTGTGAATCCATCTGGTCCTGGACTCTTTTTGGTTGGTAAGCTATTGATTATTGCCACAATTTCAGATCCTGTTATTGGTCTATTCAGAGATTCAACTTCTTCCTGGTTTAGTCTTGGGAGAGTGTATGTGTCGAGGAATTTATCCATTTCTTCTAGATTTTCTAGTTTATTTGCATAGAGGTGTTTGTAGTATTCTCTGATGGTAGTTTGTATTTCTGTGGGATCGGTGGTGATATCCCCTTTGTCATTTTTTATTGCGTCTATTTGATTCTTCTCTCTTTTCTTCTTTATTAGTCTTGCTAGTGGTCTATCAATTTTGTTGATCCTTTCAAGAAACCAGCTCCTGGATTCATTAATTTTTTGAAGGGTTTTTTGTGTCTCTATTTCCTTCAGTTCTGCTCTGATTTTAGTTATTTCTTGCCTTCTACTAGCTTTTGAATGTGTTTGCTCTTGCTTTTCTAGTTCTTTTAATTGTGATGTTAGGGTGTCAATTTTGGATCTTTCCTGCTTTCTCTTGTGGGCATTTAGTGCTATAAATTTCCCTCTACACACTGCTTTGAATGCGTCCCAGAGATTCTGGTATGTTGTGTCTTTGTTCTCGTTGGTTTCAAAGAACATCTTCATTTCTGCCTTCATTTCGTTATGTACCCAGTAGTCATTCAGGAGCAGGTTGTTCAGTTTCCATGTAGTTGAGCGGTTTTGAGTGAGATTCTTAATCCTGAGTTCTAGTTTGATTGCACTGTGGTCTGAGAGATAGTTTGTTATAATTTCTGTTCTTTTACATTTGCTGAGGAGAGCTTTACTTCCAAGTATGTGGTCAATTTTGGAATAGGTGTGGTGTGGTGCTGAAAAAAATGTATATTCTGTTGATTTGGGGTGGAGAGTTATGTAGATGTCCATTAGGTCCACTTGGTGCAGAGCTGAGTTCAATTCCTGGGTATCCTTGCTGACTTTCTGTCTCGTTGATCTGTCTAATGTTGACAGTGGGGTGTTAAAGTCTCCCATTATTAATGTGTGGGAGTCTAAGTCTCTTTGTAGGTCACTCAGAACTTGCTTTATGAATCTGGGTGCTCCTGTATTGGGTGCATATATATTTAGGATAGTTAGCTCTTCTTGTTCAATTGATCCCTTTACCATTATGTAATGGCCTTCTTTGTCTCTTTTGATCTTTGTTGGTTTAAAGTCTGTTTTATCTGAGACTAGGATTGCAACCCCTGCCTTTTTTTGTTTTCCATTTGCTTGGTAGATCTTCCTCCATCCTTTTATTTTGAGCCTATGTGTGTCTCTGCACTTGAGATGGGTTTCCTGAATACAGCACACTGATGGGTCTTGACTCTTTATCCAATTTGCCAGTCTGTGTCTTTTAATTGGAGCATTTAGTCCATTTACATTTAAAGTTAATACTGTTATGTGTGAATTTTATCCTGTCATTATGATGTTAGCTGGTGATTTTGCTCGTTAGTTGATGCAGTTTCTTCCTAGTCTGGATGGTCTTTACATTTTGGCATGATTTTGCAGCGGCTGGTACCGGTTGTTCTTTTCCATGTTTAGCGCTTCCTTCAGGAGCTCTTTTAGGGCAGGCCTGGTGGTGACAAAATCTCTCAGCATTTGCTTGTCTGTAAAGTATTTTATTTCTCCTTCACTTATGAAGCTTAGTTTGGCTGGATATGAAATTCTGGGTTGAAAATTCTTTTCTTTAAGAATGTTGAATATTGGCCCCCACTCTCTTCTGGCTTGTAGGGTTTCTGCTGAGAGATCCGCTGTTAGTCTGATGGGCTTCCCTTTGAGGGTAACCCGACCTTTCTCTCTGGCTGCCCTTAACATTTTTTCCTTCATTTCAACTCTGGTGAATCTGACAATTATGTGTCTTGGAGTTGCTCTTCTCGAGGAGTATCTTTGTGGCGTTCTCTGCATTTCCTGAATCTGAACGTTGGCCTGCCTTGCTAGATTGGGGAAGTTCTCCTGGATAATATCCTGCAGAGTGTTTTCCAACTTGGTTCCATTCTCTCCATCGCTTTCAGGTACCCCAATCAGACGTAGATTTGGTCTTTTCACATAGTCCCATATTTCTTGGAGGCTTTGCTCATTTCTTTTTATTCTTTTTTCTCTAAACTTCTCTTCTCGCTTCATTTCATTCATTTCATCTTCCATCGCTGATACCCTTTCTTCCAGTTGATTGCATCGCTTCCTGAGGTTTCTGCCTTCTTCACGTAGTTCTCCAGCCTTGGTTTTCAGCTCCATCAGCTCCTTTAAGCACTTCTCTGTATTGGTTATTCTAGTTATACATTCTTCTAAAGTTTTTTCAAAGTTTTCAACTTCTTTGCCTTTGGTTTGAATGTCCTCCCGTAGCTCAGAGTAATTTGATCGTCTGAAGCCTTTTTCTCTCAGCTCGTCAAAGTCATTCTCCATCCAGCTTTGTTCCGTTGCTGGTGAGGAACTGCGTTCCTTTGGAGGAGGAGAGGCGCTCTGCGTTTTAGAGTTTCCAGTTTTTCTGTTCTGTTTTTTCCCCATCTTTGTGGTTTTATCTACTTTTGGTCTTTGATGATGGTGATGTACAGATGGGTTTTTGGTGTGGATGTCCATTCTGTTTGTTAGTTTTCCTTCTAACAGACAGGACCCTCAGCCACAGGTCTGTTGGAATACCCTGCCGTGTGAGGTGTCAGTGTGCCCCTGCTGGGGGGTGCCTGCCAGTTAGGCTGCTCGGGGGTCAGGGGTCAGGGACCCACTTGAGGAGGCAGTCTGCCCGTTCTCAGATCTCCAGCTGCGTGCTGGGAGAACCACTGCTCTCTTCAAAGCTGTCAGACAGGGACATTTAAGTCTGCAGAGGTTACTGCTGTCTTTTTGTTTGTCTGTGCCCTGCCCCCAGAGGTGGAGCCTACAGAGGCAGGCAGGACTCCTTGAGCTGTGGTGGGCTGGGCCCAGTTGGAGCTTCCCGGCTGCTTTGTTTACCTAAGCAAGCCTGGGCAATGGCGGGCGCCCCTCCCCCAGCCTCACTGCCATCTTGCAGTTTGATCTCAGACTGCTGTGCTAGCAATCAGCGAGACTCCGTGGGCGTAGGACCCTCCCAGCCAGGTGCGGGATATAATCTCGTGGTGCGCCGTTTTTTAAGCCCGTCGGAAAAGCGCAGTATTCGGGTGAGAGTGACCCGATTTCCAGGTGCCGTCCGTCACCCCTTTCTTTGACTCGGAAAGGGAACTCCCTGACCCCTTGCGCTTCCCGAGTGAGGCAATGCCTCACCCTGCTTCGGCTCGCGCACGGTGCGCGCACCCACTGACCTGCGCCCACTGTCTGCCACTCCCTAGTGAGATGAACCTGGTACCTCAGATGGAAATGCAGAAATCACCGTCTTCTGCGTCGCTCAGGCTGGGAGCTGTAGACTGGAGCTGTTCCTATTCGGCCATCTTGGCTCCTCCCTCCCCCCTGAGGAGCTCTTTCTAAGCAGCATCTTCCAGTTCTGAAACTTGAAATATCGTCTGCGTGCTGGTGACTGTGAGTTCCAGATCTGAACATCCAGCTGGCATCTTGGCATCTGTTTGTGAAGATCTCACAACTACTTCAATAAAACCTTTCCCCAAACAGGGTGCTTGCACCCCCAATCCTTATTCTGTACCCCTCTGTATTCCTCTTCACAGGAAATGGAACTCATATGACTCAACTTTCAGCCAGAAAGTTCGGTCGTCTTTGACTGTGCCCTCACTCCTCCCTCGCATCCAATGGCTCACCCTGACCCTAGTCATGAAATCCTCCCGAACTGTATTTCCACGGCCACCTGCAATTGTGCACACAATTCAGGCCTGCGCCTATCTGCCCTGGATGGCTGTGGCATTCGCTCAGTGGGCTGTTTTAGTCCACTTGGTGTCCTTCTGATAACTTTCCATATAGCAAACAAAGTGAGCTTATAAAATCTCAAATTAAGTTGGGTCACTCCTCATTCCAGCTTAGAATCTGTCAATGGCCTGGCCGGGCGCGGGCTCACACCTGTAGTCCCAGCACTTTGGGAGGCCTAGGCAGGCAGATCACCTGACATCGGGAGTTTGAGACCAGCCTGACCAACATGAAGAAACCCTGTCTCTACTAAAAATACAAAATTAGCTGGGCGTGGTGGCACATGCCTGTAATCTCAGCTACTCGGGAGGCTGAGGCAGGAGAATCGCTTGAACTGGGAGATGGAGGTCGTAGTGAGCCGAGATCATGCCATTGTGCTCCAGCCTGGGCAACAAGAGTGAAACTCTATCTCAAAAAAAAAAAAAAAAAAAAGAAAAGAAAAGTGTCTACGGCACTTAGAAAAAAGACAAACTTGTTTTAATGTCCTGCTTGATCTGGTCTTGCCATCCCTCTGCCTTCACCTGGGTCCCTCTGCCACTTGATATATACCAAGAACACTGGCCTCAGGGTCTTTGCACGTGCTGCTCCCTCTGCTTAGCATGCTCTTCTTCCCACTCTTTGTTTGGCCAGCACCTTTTCATCCTTGAAGTCTCAGTTCAGATGGTGCTTTCTCAAATAAGTCTTTTCTTACCCATAGGACTTGACTACATTCTTTTGTTATCATCTTGCATGAACCTTTTGCAGTGTCCTTATAAGACTTATTGCAGCGTATAAGCACATCATCGCATATATAATTTTGAGTTTAGTGCCTGCCTGTGTAAACTCCAGGAAGGTGAGAGTTTGAGCACAGCACAGTCCCAAGTATAAAACCCACTATCTGTCACAGAGTGGGTCCTTGATAAATACTTGTTGAATGAATGGAGTTCTAAAGACACTAATTTGAAGCCTATCTTTTCTAACATGGAAACCATGAAGGGTTTTAAAGTATTTATCACTAAAACAATACAAAAGAAAAAAAAATAGATGTACCTAGAATCCTATTTCTCTAATTCTATGAAAGAAACAACTTAGAGCATGGAAAGAGACTGGAAAAATAGCCCAAGGAAACACAAGCGGACTCCAGAAGCTTTGCCATCTATTTGGTGCTTTCAAGTTCAAAGAATAATTTTGTCTGTCATTTTGAAGCAATTTACATTTTTTTCAAAGACCATTCATATACATTCTCTTTTGAAACATATTGGATAAATATTAGTACCCCAAAGATAAAGAAGTTGAAGCAGAGGGAGTTTAAGTAACTTGCTCTCAGGGTGATTCAGTGATAGGTCAGGACACATGACTCCTAATTTAGGGCTTCTTAAAGCTGTTTGGTTGAAAATGAAAAAAGAAAAACCTATATTTAGTGTTTTATTTATTTATTTTTTTTGAGATGGATTTTTGCTCTATCATCCAGGCTGGAGTGCAGTGGCGCAATCTCCGCTCACTGCAACCTCTGCCTCCCGGGTTCAAGCGATTCTCTGTCTTAGCCTTCTGAGTGGCTGGGGTTACAGGTGCGCACCACCACACCTGACTAATTTTTGTATTTTTAGGAGGCGGGTTTCACTATTTTGGCCAGGCTGATTCTTGAACTCCTGGCCTCAAGTGATCTGCCCACCCCGGCCTCCCAAAGTACTGGGATTACAGGCATGAGCCACCGCGCCCGGCCAAGTGTTATTATTTTAAAAAGACTGTGACAAGGAAGCAAAGGAGCAATGGAGACACATGATGCTTAGCGGTGTAATCCTGGGAGAAACCTGTAGTTAATATTTTTCAAATGGAATTACAATTTGGAAATGCAAATTGGCTTATCTACATTGCTGAATTTCATTATTAGTGTTTCATTTAATTTTTCCTAAGAGAAATCTCTGTGTGAGGAAACCCTTCAACTTTAGTGGACAAATTTCAATTCTTAGAGTGAATAAAATACAGGTAATTGCTTAAATATATTGAATACTTTACTTTTGATATGCCAGACACAGCTTCATGTGGGTGAGTGGATACTATTTTAAAACACTTTCTGATGTATTGCCTTTCCTTAATTCCTTTCTTCCATGTAGTTTTCCCAGCGTTGACAACAGAGACTGAGACTAATTGCTGTCGGAAAGGGAGGTCACAAAATAAACCAGAAAGAACAAAGTGGCTGAGTTTCCAAATGGCAAGAGGGACTCTTTTTTTCTTCTTCTATCAAACCTCAGAACGGTTGAGTTAATGAAAACATTTTAACAGTTATATATCAGTAATATCTGGGTTGTGTCTGCCTGCCTGCCTGCCTGCCTGCCTTCCTTCCTTCCTTCCTTCCTCCTTTCCTCTCTCTCTTTTTTTTCTTTCTTGGGTCCTTCCTTCCTTCCTCCCTCCCTCCCTTCCTCCCTCTCTCTTTCTCTATCTTTGTTGGGTCCTTCCTTCCTTCCTTCCTCCCTCCCTCCCTCCCTTCCTCCCTCTCTATCTTTCTTGGGTCCTTCCTTCCTTCCTCCCTCCCTTCCTCCCTCTCTCTTTCTCTATCTTTCTTGGGTCCGTCCTTCCTTCCTTCCTTCCTTCCTTCCTTCCTTCCTTCCTTCCTTCCTTCCTCCCTCCCTTCCTCCCTCTCTATCTATCTTTCTTGGGTCCTTCCTTCCTTCCTTCCTTCCTTCCTTCCTTCCTTCCTTCCCTCCTTCTTTCTTTTCTTGACAGAGTCTCACTCACCCAGGCTGGAGTGCAGTGGCGTGATCTCGGCTCACTGCAACCTCCACCTCCTGGGTTCAAGTGATTCTCATGCCTCAGCCTCCCAAGTAGCTGGGACTACAGGCGTGCACCACCATGTCCAGCTAATTTTTGTATTTTTAGTAGAGATGGGGTTTCACCATGTTGGCCAGGCTGGTCTTGAACTTCTGACCTCAAGTGATCCACTCACCTCAGCCTCCCAGAGTGTGGGGATTACAGGTGTGATCCACTGCATCTGGCCATGATTGTCATTTTTGATCCACCACATATGCATTATTTCTGTTAATTATTAAAACAATCCAACAAGGTATCCAATATTACAGAGAAAAAAACCTCTCTAGGTTTAGAGACTTGAAGTGACCTATCTGAATAATTATAAGTGAAACCGAATATTCTAACATTCAATTAGAATATGTACATATATATATATATATATATATATATATATATATATATAAAATATCGATTTCAGAGCCTTTAGGTTTAACTGCCAAGCTAATTGTTCCTGATGTTGAGTTGGATCTGTACTGATGAGACCATTCATTCCTTGTCAAAGGGGTACTTCATCAGACCCTTGAAGAATAAGGGGACATGATCATGATAGTCGGCTTGGAACATTTAAATATAGATAGCATTCGGGTCATAATTGACACACTGGAAAATCCCAACTTCTGAACTTCCTCTTTTAAAGTACAATTTGTAATATGTGTCTCAAATGCATGATGTATGTTTCATGACACAAACCAGACGACCCACTGCCTTCAGCTTTCAAGTTGGAGGAGAGTTTTTTTAGTTTTTTTTTTTTTTTTTTTTTGTCTCGTAATGGATGCCAGAGAATCTTAACTGACCTCTACCTTATATAATCAACTTTGCATGTCTATGGAAATAATTTTTACGGCAAGTCCCCTTTTGCCTCCTTTATGGGCCACCTCTGAAATGGTTTAAGATCTCTTCACCAGTGTGTGCAAAATGGCTGTTGAACGCAACCAGCAGAAACAGGGCGATATCTTGGAGAACAACAACAACAAAAATGTCAGGCAAGAAGATGTGGGGCCTCCCAAGAGTGGAGGTTTCATTTGTGTCCTTAACTGTGTGTCAGCTTAGAAGATTTCAATGGCAGCAGAAAATCTTTTCCATAAAGCACACTCTTCAACTGCAGGCTGCCCAAGTAGTTAAGAAACAGAAATGAGAGAAATGGCATGAGAGTTTGCCCTGTGAAAATCTCCTGACAACTAATGATGGGATTATGGAGTCTTAACTGCTGAACAGTTATCCCTAATTATAATCAAAGGTATGTCAATCTAAATAAAAATGATAAGACAGAGAGGCATTCTCTGCTATCTACTCCACCCCCCTCCACTAGCTTTTTAACATGAATCTCTTCTCAGTATGATGCTTTGACAAAGCTTGGATTGAATAATTATAAAAAAGAGATGGAGCCCAGTGTTAAGTAAAACATTTTTGCAGGAAGGAGTGGTGTTATTTTTTTTTCTTTTACAGAAAGAATGTTTTTTTTTAGTTTCAAATATTTGGTTCTATCACGGGAACCTCCTGTCGTCTCTGTTGCATTTGACTATGTCACAAAAGTTATGTCATAAATCTCTTCCAGACACTACGTATTAGGGAAGACGTTGCTTGCTTTTAAAGCCTGGTACACATATCCTCATGGAAAGGTGGTTCTTGGGATGGATCATGTTTGCATTCTTGCTTTCACTACCAGGAAGCTCAGAGTCAAATTGGTGGCCCAACTTTAGTAATTATGTAGCCTCCTAAGGCTGCAGTCTATACCTGTAAACTTCTTTTGATATTCTCTTTCCATTTTCCTTTGGTATATGTGTTAATAGTTTGGCTCTGCCATTTACTAGCTGTGTGATATTGGGGGACATAACTTACCTTTTCTTAATCTCAGTTTCCGCATCAGCAAAATCAGGATAATAATATATAGTACTTTTCACAAATGTTGCCTGGCGTTCAATAAGTGCTTAACGAAATGTAGATATCTTTAATGATTTCTATTATTTCTTTTATAATTTTGCTGCATTGCATATAGTACAGTATCTTAAAACTGCTGTGGAATGAGATGTAGAATAAATTAAAAATACATGCATAAAATTCTGCTTATGTGTTACAAATAAGTAGTCATTAGGTCTTGGAAAATAGACCACTCTTTCCTTCTGGAAATTTAAAAAATGAAGTCAAAAAGCTCTTTCGTTGCTGCATTAAACAAATGTTGAAAAGAAATCAGTTGTCAATTCAGAAGGGAAGCTAAGAAAATTTTTCCCTTTTTATAAAAAAGGAGAAAATAGCATTTCAAAACATTTGATGTGGATATTAAGAAGAAGAAAGCAGAAAACAGTCATAATATCTACCATTTTATTAAGTGCTTGTTAGAAGCTCTGCCTTCCTCAGTACTACCTGACAGTAGATTTCATTGTCTGTATTTGTTGATGAGAAGAGAGAGCCTTGGATTGGCTAAGAAATGTAATCAAGATCAGATAGTTAGCAAGTGGGAGAGCCAGCCTTTGGGCTTAGGTCTGCCTGACTTCAAAGCCTGTTCTCTAACCAGTATTTATTGCTGTCAATGAAACTAACTAGAATCTTCCAAAGGCACATTGCTCAGTAAAGCTATATAATGCAAAATGATAAGGATTGAAAAACTACCCAGCTGTTGCCATCCTTTCAAAAGATAAATTAAAAGGGTCACAAAGATCAGGACAACATCCAGATCAGGACAACATCCTGACAATGGAGAGAGAAAATGTCCCTGGTGGCTTCAGTGTTAATTATAATTTCATGTTGAGCAATTATACTTAACACTTGACAATTGTCATATATGGTTGCTTTTGGGGTATGGCCATAGAAGAGAGAAAGGAGGCAATTTTCCTGTACCCATTTTTATTGAGCCACATTCGTATACTCCAAAAGAGCACTTAAATTGTTTGAAAGAGGTCTACATGCTGGCAAACACCACCATAAACAACCTGGACAGCTTAAAGTCCAAACCGCCAACAACATGATTCACAGTGAACCCATCTTCTCTAAGTGGAGTGCAGAGCCAATGTTATTTATTGCAGCTAACTTACAGCCCAACGAGATTCACTGCATGGACACAGCTAGGGGACTTTACTGCTGCCTAAAATGTGAGTTGCTGGCATTTAATAAGAACGGTATGCCCTCCAAGTATGGACATAAACAAGGTAGACTTTTTTTTTTTTCCTTTTTCTCTTTCTTTTTTTTTTTTTATTTTTATTTTTCGAGGCAGAGTCTTGCTCTGTCGCCCAGTCTAGAGTGCAACAGCACGATCTCGGCTCACTGCAACCTCTGCCTCCCCGGTTCAAGTGATTTCTCCTGCCTCAGCCACCCAAGTGGCTGGGATTACAGGCATGTGCCATCACACCCAGCTAATTTTTGTATTTTTAGTAGAGACGGGGTTTCACCATCTTGGCCAGGCTAGTCTCGAACTCCTGACCCTTGTGATTCACCTGCCTTGGGCCCCCCAAAGTGCTGGGATTACAGTCTTTTTTTTTTTTTTTTTTAACCACTGTGATTATATGTCTAAGCTCATGGTGGCGATGTTTGTGGTTGTGTCTACACTGGAAAAGAGGGTTGGTAGATTGGAACACACACTTAAATAATTCAGCCAAACCCTCTTCCTAAGAAGAGTTTGTATTCATTTTAATGGTAGTTTTCATTTATTGAGTTTCCATCTTTTGCCTGAAGCTTGACTGCTATTGTTTTATTTAATTGTTATAATAGTCCCTTAAAGATAGCTCTTATAAACTCCTTTTTCTTTTTGAGAGATCAGAAAACTGAGGGTCAGAGATCTAAGTACCAGGACCAACAGCACATGCCTGGGAAGTAGCAGAGCTGGGATTTGAACTCAGGTTTCTGTCACCAATGTACCCTGCTGCTTCATAGTAATAAAGATTTCTGGCTGGGTGCGGTGTCTCATGCCTACAATCCTAGCAATTTGGAAGGCCGAGGCAGGTGGCTCACTTGAGGTCAGGAGTTCAAGACCAGCCTGACCAACATGGTGAAAACTCGTCTTTACTAAAAATACAAAAATTAGTCGGGTGTGGTGGTGGGTGCCTGTAGTCCCAGCTTCTCGGGAGGCTGAGACAGGAGAATCTCTTGAACCCAGGAGGCAGAGGTTGCTGTGAGCCAAGATCGCGCCATTGCACTTCAGCCTGGGTGACAGAGCGAGACTCTGTCTCACACACACACACACACACAAAAGTAATAACTATTTCCCTTTACCAATTTGATTATTATCAATAATTACCAATTTTTACAAATGAGTGGCAAAATATGAGTTCTTACTTTCTCCTTATGGATGAAGTTTCGGGAGGTTAAATTGTCCCCTGCATTCACACAGCCATTTCCCAGTGAAGCTGGAATGAAATCAAGATTTGTCTGGAGCTCAACCCTGGCCTCACTGGGCTCCCCTGCCCTTTCCTGAAGTATGTTATGGGGAACCCAAGTTGCCCAGGATGCTCTAAGAAAAAAAGATGCTTTTAAAAGTTCAAGTATCCATGTTTTAAGTAAAAGCACCTCAAATATGTCTACCTCTAAGCTGAGCGTGGTGGCTCATGCCTGTAATCCCAGTGACTTGCAAGGCTGAGGCAGGAGGATCATTTGAGCCCAGGAGTTTAAGGCTGCAGTGAGCTGTAACCACACCGTTGCCCTCCAGACTGGGCCACAGAGTGAGACTGTGTCTCTTAGAAAGAAAAATACTGACTGGGCGTGGTGGCTGACACCTGTAATCCCAGCACTTTGGGAAGCAGAGGCAGGAGGACTCTTGAGCCCAGGAGTTTGACACCAGCCTGGGTAACATAGCAAGACCCTGTCTCTACAAAAAGTAAAAAGTAAAAAAGTTAGCTGGGCATGGTGGTGTGCACCTATAGTTCCAGCTACTTGGGAGGCTGAGGTAGGAGAATCACTTGAGCTGGGAGGTAGAGGCTGCAGGGAGCCATGGTTGTACCACTGCACTCTAGCCTGCGCAATGAGAGAGAATTTGTCTCTTAGAAAAAAAAAATCCAAGCTCCTTCCCTCCTCACAGCCTTTGCTCCTGTTCTACCCCTGCCTGAAGGGCCCTTCTCACAACTCCACCTAGACAGTTCCTACTCCACATTCATCCCCTGGTTTAAAGAGCTCGTTGTCAGAAAGATCTTTTCTTCTCCTGGGATCCAGATGAGGTCCTCAGATTTCCTCTCTCTTAGATCCCTCTTGTCATGAATAATATATTGGTCTGGACGAGCACTGTTTGACATGTCTCCCCACTAGCATTCAGGTTCTAGGAGAGCAGAGGTGGGACTGTTTGTGCAACAGTCTCCAGAGTTGCCACCATGGCTCCTGGTCCATGGCTGTCACTTGGTGAAGACAGGTGAACTTTTCTGTTGACTTGGCCCATTGCTCTACCTTGATAGAATCATCAGAATGAAAGTAAAGGGTCTTCAGGCATCCTTTCTCCCCTACCATTTTGCGGGTGGTGACATGGAGGCTCAGGCTTACGCACTGGATGGCAATGATGGCGGTAATAATGGGAAACACCTGCTATTCAGCACTTCGGTCCATTGTCGATAGGGAGCCTGTGTTTTACCAATTATATCTTATTTAATCCTCAAGATAGAGGAGGAAATCAAGGCTCAGAGATGTTAAGCAACTTGACCAAGTTCACACCTAATAAGTGACTCAGAGATGTCCAGCTGAGGCTCCCGCCTCTAAGCAGATTCTGTCACTTGGCCCCACTCCAGGTAGGAGTCACCTGTGGATGCCTGGGCCCTACTCCCCAAGGTTTTGCCTTGACTAGTCCAGGGTATGACTTGGGCCCGGGGTTTTTAAAAGTTCCTCAGGGGATTCTAATGCACTACCAAGATTGAGAACTACTGCTCTCAGATAGGATTCATTTATTCACTTATTTCTACCATTTAATCAGTTAATCCTTCTTTCAGAGACATGGTAGAACACATAACTTCTATAATTCTACGACATTCCTCTCTTCCTTCTCTCTTTCTTTCCTCTCCCTACCCCCTAAGCCAACCTTCCTTCCTTCCTTCCCTCCCTCCCTCCTTCCTTCCTTCCTTCCTTCCTTCCTTCCTTCCTTCCTTCCTTCCTTCCTTCCTCTCTCTCTCTGTCTTTCAAGACAGGGGTCTCCCTATGTTGCCAGGCTAGTCTCAAACTCCTAGGCTCATGGGCTCATGTGATTCTCCTGTCTCTACCCAAAGTGCTAAGATTGCAGGCATCAGCCACTGCACCCAATCCTAAAACTGCATTTCTAGATAGACTAAGTTCCTTCACAAGCATACACAAATATTTATTTTAGAAGTGCAGTGCACCACTGCATATAAAGGCAGCAAATCTTATGTACAATCCAGAGCCAAAGTGGTCTAGTTGTACAAGACCTTTGAGTCCCTGGGCTCTGTTGATTTATTTGCATTTCAGTGATAACAACAATAGCTGTTATCAGTTATTGTGGACTTACCTTATACCAGGCATTGTGTGAGGCACTTTACATGAACAGAGAGGCCCCCACAACAAAAGGGAGATGGGGATGATCAGCATGACCATTATGCAGAAGGGTCAACTGGCTCATGGGACCACAAGTAGTTGGGGTCACTATGGTTATTAGAGGTGGAACCTGGATTTGGATCCCTTTTTACTTGCTCCCATCACCCCTGCCCCTTAACCACTGGCTCATGTGACCTCCTGGTGGAAGCTTCCAAGCATGTGTTCTGCCATCCTATTTGTGCACTGCAGAAACATGGAACCAGGCTTTCTTTCTCAAAGTAATTCAAGGCTTTCCTCCACCCCCAAATCAGCTGTTGAGCAGCTATGATATGTATTTTAAATGCTTTCCTTATAACATTTACTAGAAAATGTTCAGTCCTCCCAAGCACAGCCATAAATGAAGCTAAATGAAGTTAATGGGAAGCTTGCGTAGAAGGTTCCCATAGCTACAAGCTGCTCCTTCTGAAGCCAGGGCTGGGGCAGGGTGGCAGTAGGGAAGGTAAAGGAATAACAACAAAAGCTTTATTGACCAACAGCGTGGAGGCCAGTGTTGTGGGTATGAATTGTGTCCCCACCGAATTCTTACATTGAAGCCCTAAGCCCCAGCACCTCTGAATGTGACTGCCTGGACACAGAATCTTTAAAGAAGTAATTAAGTAAACATGAGGCTGTTAAGATGGGCCCTAATCCAATCTGACTGGTGTCCTTATAAGAAAATGAATTTTTGTTTTGTTTTGTTTTTGAGACAGGGTTTTGCAGTGTCACCCAGGCTGGAGTACAATGGCACAGTCTTGGCTCACTGCAACCTCCGCCTCCCAGGTTCAAGTGATTCTTCCACCTCAACCTCCCAAGCAGCTGAGATTACAGGTGCCCGCCACCATGCCCTGCTAGTTTTTTTTCTTTTTTTCTTTTTTTTTTGTATTTTTAGTAGAGACAGGGTTTCTTTATGTTGGCCAGGCTGGTCTCGAACTCCTGACCTCAAGTGATCCGCCTTCCTTGGCCTCCCAAAGTGTTGGGATTACAGGCATGAGCCACTGCTCCTGGGCCATAGCTCTCTTT
Organism: Homo sapiens; assembly: GCF_000001405.40. NCBI lineage: Eukaryota > Metazoa > Chordata > Mammalia > Primates > Hominidae > Homo > Homo sapiens. The sequence goes on along the minus strand of NC_000020.11, from coordinate 53,461,936 downwards.
TAGAATTCAGTTTTGAATAGGTTTACCAATGTGTTTGGGAAAGAAAATCCCCTAGATGTTTCAAAAAGAGTTTGTTGGAAATTGTCACCTCCATAACTTACATCTCTTACTGAGCAGAACTAGCTTCCTGGTAACCATGAAGTAATTAATGAAGAAGAGCAATCTCAGATGTTAATTTTAGACCAGAAGAAGGACTTTAAAAGAGCTTCTCAGAAGAGAATGGGATGTAGAAATTTCCAACAAGGGCATGCAGGAGTGTGTGTCTGAGAGAGTCTTTTTGGAACTTCTTACTCTCATTTATATTCATCTGTTTTATATATTGGGTACTGTAGAAGATTTTATCTGAAAAACATATTCAACTGTGACAGGAGGGGGAGGAGCCAAGATGGCCGAATAGGAACAGCTCCGGTCTACAGCTCCCAGCCTGAGCGACGCAGAAGACGGGTGATTTCTGCATTTCCATCTGAGGTACTGGGTTCATCTCACTAGGGAGTGCCAGACAGTGGGCGCAGGTCAGTGGGTGCGCACACCGTGCGCCAGCCAAAGCAGGGCGAGGCATTGCCTCACTTGGGAAGCGCAAGGGGTCAGGGAGTTCCCTTTCCTAATCAAAGAAAAGGGTGACGGACGCACCTGGAAATCGGGTCACTCCCACCCGAATACAGCGCTTTTCTGACGGGCTTAAAAAACGGCGCACCAGGAGATTATATCCCGCACCTGGCTCGGAGGGTCCTACGCCCATGGAGTCTCGCTGATTGCTAGCACAGCAGTCTGAGATCAAACTGCAAGGCGGCAGCGAGGCTGGGGGAGGGGCGCCCGCCATTGCCCAGGCTTGCTTAGGTAAACAAAGCAGCCGGGAAGCTCGAACTGGGTGGAGCCCACCACAGCTCAAGGAGGCCTGCCTGCCTCTGTAGGCTCCACCTCTGGGGGCAGGGCACAGACAAACAAAAAGACAGCAGTAACCTCTGAAGACTTAAATGTCCCTGTCTGACAGCTTTGAAGAGAGCAGTGGTTCTCCCAGTACGCAGCTGGAGATCTGAGAACGGGCAGATTGCCTCCTCAAGTGGGTCCCTGACCCCCGAGCAGCCTAACTGGGAGGCACCCCCCAGCAGGGGCACACTGACACCTCACACGGCAGGGTATTCCAACAGACCTGTGGCTGAGGGTCCTGTCTGTTAGAAGGAAAACTAACAAACAGAAAGGACATCCACACCAAAAACCCATCTGTACATCACCATCATCAAAGACCAAAAGGAGATAAAACCACAAAGATGGGGAAAAAACAGAACAGAAAAACTGGAAATTCTAAAAAGCAGAGCGCCTCTCCTCCTCCAAAGGAACGCAGCTCCTCACCAGCAACGGAACAAAGCTGGACGGAGAATGACTTTGATGAGCTGAGAGAAGAAGGCTTCAGACGATCAAATTACTCTGAGCTACGGGAGGACATTCAAACCAAAGGCAAAGAAGTTGAAAACTTTGAAAAAACTTTAGAAGAATGCATAACTAGAATAACCAATACAGAGAAGTGCTTAAAGGAGCTGATGGAGCTGAAAACCAAGGCTGGAGAACTACGTGAAGAATGCAGAAGCCTCAGGAGCCGATGCGATCAACTGGAAGAAAGGGTATCAGCGATGGAAGATGAAATGAAGCGAGAAGGGAAGTTTAGAGAAAAAAGAATAAAAAGAAATGAGCACAGCCTCCAAGAAATATGGGACTATGCGAAAAGACCAAATCTACGTCTGATTGGTGTACCTGAAAGTGATGGGGAGAATGGAACCAAGTTGGAAAACACTCTGCAGGATATTATCCAGGAGAACTTCCCCAATCTAGCAAGGCAGGCCAACGTTCAGCTTCAGGAAATACAGAGAACGCCACAAAGATACTCCTTGAGAAGAGCAACTCCAAGACACATAATTGTCAGATTCACCAGAGTTGAAATGAAGGAAAAAATGTTAAGGGCAGCCAGAGAGAAAGGTCGGGTTACCCTCAAAGGGAAGCCCATCAGACTAACAGTGGATCTCTCGGCAGAAACCCTACAAGCCAGAAAGAGTGGGGGCCAATATTCAACATTCTTAAAGAAAAGAATTTTCAACCCAGAATTTCATATCCAGCCAAACTAAGCTTCATAAGTGAAGGAGAAATAAAATACTTTACAGACAAGCAAATGCTGAGAGATTTTGTCACCACCAGGCCTGCCCTAAAAGAGCTCCTGAAGGAAGCGCTAAACATGGAAAAGAACAACCGGTACCAGCCGCTGCAAAATCATGCCAAAATGTAAAGACCATCCAGACTAGGAAGAAACTGCATCAACTAACGAGCAAAATCACCAGCTAACATCATAATGACAGGATAAAATTCACACATAACAGTATTAACTTTAAATGTAAATGGACTAAATGCTCCAATTAAAAGACACAGACTGGCAAATTGGATAAAGAGTCAAGACCCATCAGTGTGCTGTATTCAGGAAACCCATCTCAAGTGCAGAGACACACATAGGCTCAAAATAAAAGGATGGAGGAAGATCTACCAAGCAAATGGAAAACAAAAAAAGGCAGGGGTTGCAATCCTGGTCTCTGATAAAACAGACTTTAAACCAACAAAGATCAAAAGAGACAAAGAAGGCCATTACATAATGGTAAAGGGATCAATTGAACAAGAAGAGCTAACTATCCTAAATATATATGCACCCAATACAGGAGCACCCAGATTCATAAAGCATGTCCTGAGTGACCTACAAAGAGACTTAGACTCCCACACGTTAATAATGCGAGTCTTTAACACCCCACTGTCAACATTAGACAGATCAATGAGACAGAAAGTCAACACCCAGGAATTGAACTCAGCTCTGTACCAAGCGGACCTAATAGACATCTACAGGACTCTCCACCCCAAATCAACAGAATATATATTTTTTTCAGCACCGCACCACACCTATTCCAAAATTGACCACATACTTGGAAGTAAAGCTCTCCTCAGCAAATGTAAAAGAACAGAAATTGTAACAAACTATCTCTCAGACCACAGTGCAATCAAACTAGAACTCAGGATTAAGAATCTCACTCAAAACCGCTCAACTACATGGAAACTGAACAACCTGCTCCTGAATGACTACTGGGTACATAACGAAATGAAGGCAGAAATGAAGATGTTCTTTGAAACCAACGAGAACAAAGACACAACATACCAGAATCTCTGGGACGCATTCAAAGCAGTGTGTAGAGGGAAATTTATAGCACTAAATGCTCACAAGAGAAAGCAGGAAAGATCCAAAATTGACACCCTAACATCACAATTAAAAGAACTAGAAAAGCAAGAGCAAACACATTCAAAAGCTAGCAGAAGGCAAGAAATAACTAAAATCAGAGCAGAACTGAAGGAAATAATAGAGACACAAAAAACCCTTCAAAAAACTAGTGAATCCAGGAGCTGGTTTTTTGAAAGGATCAACAAAATTGATAGACTGCTAGCAAGACTAATAAAGAAAAAAAGAGAGAAGAATCAAATAGATGTAATAAAAAATGACAAAGGGGATATCACCACTGATCCCACAGAAATACAAACTACCATCAGAGAATACTACAAACACCTCTACACAAATAAACTAGAAAATCTAGAAGAAATGGATAAATTCCTCGACACATACACTCTCCCAAGACTAAACCAGGAAGAAGTTGAATCTCTGAATAGACCAATAACAGGAGCTGAAATTGTGGCAATAATCAATAGCTTACCAACCAAAAAGAGTCCAGGACCAGATGGATTCACAGCCGAATTCTACCAGAGGTACAAGGAGGAACTGGTACCATTCCTTCTGAAACTATTCCAATCAATAGAAAAACAGGGAATCCTCCCTAACTCATTTTATGAGGCCAGCATCATTCTGATACCAAAGCCGGGCAGAGACTCAACCAAAAAAGAGAATTTTAGACCAATATCCTTGATGAACATTGATGCAAAAATCCTCAATAAAATACTGGCAAAACGAATCCAGCAGCACATCAAAAAGCTTATCCACCATGATCAAGTGGGCTTCATCCCTGGGATGCAAGGCTGGTTCAATATAGGCAAATCAATAAGTGTAATCCAGCATATAAACAGAGCCAAAGACAAAAACCACATGATTATCTCAATAGATGCAGAGAAGGCCTTTGACAAAATTCAACAACCTTTCATGCTAAAAACTCTCAATAAATTAGGTATTGATGGGACATATTTCAAAATAATAAGAGCTATCTATGACAAACCCACAGCCAATATCATACTGAATGGGCAAAAACTGGAAGCATTCCCTTTGAAAACTGGCACAAGACAGGGATGCCCTCTGTCACCACTCCTATTCAACATAGTGTTGGAAGTTCTGGCCAGGGCAATTAGGCAGGAGAAGGAAATAAAGGGTATTCAATTAGGAAAAGAGGAAGTCAAATTGTCCCTGTTTGCAGATGACATGATTGTATATCTAGAAAACCCCATTGTCTCAGCCCAAAATCTCCTTAAGCTGATAAGCAACTTCAGCAAAGTCTCAGGATACAAAATCAATGTGCAAAAATCACAAGCATTCCTATACACCAACAACAGACAAACAGAGAGCCAAATCATGAGTGAACTCCCATTCACAATTGCTTCAAAGAGAATAAAATACCTAGGAATCCAACTTACAAGGGATGTGAAGGACCTCTTCAAGGAGAACTACAAACTGCTGCTCAAAGAAATAAAAGAGGATACAAACAACTGGAAGAACATTCCATGCTCATGGGTAGGAAGAATCAATATCGTGAAAATGGCCATACTGCCCAAGGTAATTTACAGATTCAATGCCATCCCCATCAAGCTACCAATGCCTTTCTTCACAGAATTGGAAAAAACTACTTTAAAGTTCATATGGAACCAAAAAAGAGCCCGCATCGCCAAGGCAATCCTAAGCCAAAAGAACAAAGCTGGAGGCATCACACTACCTGACTTCAAACTATACTACAAGGCTACAGTAACCAAAACAGCATGGTACTGGTACCAAAACAGAGATATAGATCAATGGAACAGAACAGAGCCCTCAGAAATAATGCCGCATATCTACAACTATCTGATCTTTGACAAACCTGAGAAAAACAAGCAATGGGGAAAGGATTCCCTGTTTAATAAATGGTGCTGGGAAAACTGGCTAGCCATATGTAGAAAGCTGAAACTGGATCCCTTCCTTACACCTTATACAAAAATCAATTCAAGATGGATTAAAGACTTAAACGTTAGACCTAAAACCATAAAAACCCTAGAAGAAAACCTAGGCTTTACCATTCAGGACATAGGCATGGGCAAGGACTTCATGTCTAAAACACCAAAAGCAAAGGCAACAAAAGACAAAATTTACAAATGGGATCTAATTAAACTAAAGAGCTTCTGCACAGCAAAAGAAACTACCATCAGAGTGAACAGGCAACCTACAAAATGGGAGAAAATTTTCACAACCTACTCATCTGACAAAGGGCTAATATCCAGAATCTACAATGAACTCAAACAAATTTACAAGAAAAAAACAACCCCATCAAAAAGTGGGCGAAGGACATGAACAGACACTTCTCAAAAGAAGACATTTATGCAGCCAAAAAACACATGAAAAAATGCTCATCATCACTGGCCATCAGAGAAATGCAAATCAAAACCACAATGAGATACCATTTCACACCAGTTAGAATGGCAATCATTAAAAAGTCAGGAAACAACAGGTGCTGGAGAGGATGTGGAGAAATAGGAACACTTTTACACTGTTGGTGGGACTGTAAACTAGTTCAACCATTGTGGGAGTCAGTGTGGCGATTCCTCAGGGATCTAGAACTAGAAATACCATTTGACCCAGCCATCCCATTACTGGGTATGTACCCAAAGGACTATAAATCATGCTGCTATAAAGACACATGCACACATATGTTTATTGTGGCATTATTCACAATAGCAAAGACTTGGAACCAACCCAAATGTCCAACAATGATAGACTGGATTAAGAAAATGTGGCACATATACACCATGGAATACTATGCAGCCGTAAAAAATGATGAGTTCATGTCCTTTGTAGGGACATGGATGAAATTGGAAACCATCATTCTCAGTAAACTATCGCAAGAACAAAAAACCAAACACTGCATATTCTCACTCATAGGTGGGAATTGAACAATGAGATCACATGGACACAGGAAGGGGAACATCACACTCTGGGGACTGTTGTGGGGTGGGGCGGGGGAGGGATAGCATTGGGAGATATACCTAATGCTAGATGACGAGTTAGTGGGTGCAGCACACCAGCATGGCACATGTATACGTATGTAACTAACCTGCACAATGTGCACATGTACCCTAAAACTTAAAGTATAATAATAATAAAAAAAGAAAAACATATTCAACTGCTACTAAAATTATTAGTATACATTTATGAAATAATAATGCCCGATGACCACTAGACCAGGTGAAGTAGCAAAACTTTGTGTATTTTTTGCTCTTGACTTACCAGTGAACATAGATTCCTTCAGTAAATATTGGGAAAACATTTGCTTCAGGCCCATTACTGGGTACCGCTTTGATACAGAGGACACACCAAGGAACAAGACAGATAGGACCTCTGCCTCTGGTAAGTTTGCATTCCAGAGGGAGGAGAAGACAATAAGCAAGCAAGCCATCAAGACCACGTCAGATGAGGTGAGTGCTGTGAAGACCGTAAGCAGGGTGATGGGACTGAGTGGTGCAGGTGTGGGCATCGTTACTGAAAGGCCAGGGGTTTGGTCTAGGTCCTACTGCTCGCCACACATAACGCCAACCACTGAGACAACAAGTATTGCCAGAGAAAAAGGCTTTAATCAGGTGCTGCAGCTCAGGAGATGGGAGGTCAATCTCATCTATCTCTCCAACTGACAAGAAATAAGGGTTTTATATAGCAGGGAAGAAATATAACTACATGAAGGAAAACAGGAATTAGGGAGTGGTAAGAAAGAGAATTTGGTCAACATGAAGTGGGTGGTCGCTCAGGCAGTCATAATGGGTGAGAGGTCTTCTGTCTCATTGTTCAGATGTGGTGATCTGGTAAGTTTCAGTTCCTTGATACTGTCTGCAAGGCCTGAGGGTAGGTTTCCAGAGAAAGGAGCTCAGATAAGACAAATGAAACTTTCTCAAATTGACTGGGAGAGTCAATTTCTATGTTTACTCAAAAGAAACCATAACCATCCATTCTATGGGACAATTGGGAGGGTTTCAGTTCTGATGGGGCTACTTTGAGAAAGGGGAGAGGGAGCCCTCTCTGAGGGAGTGACATCTGAATGAAGACCTGAAGGATGGGAAAGGGACAGCCACATTAACACATTTAACATTAGTTTTTAAAGACTTTTTTTTTTTTTTTGAGACCAAGTTTCACTCTGTCACCCAGGCTGGAGTGCAGTGGTACGATCTCAGCTCACTGCAACCTCCACCTCCTGGGTTCAAGTGATTCTTCTGTCTCAGCCTCCCGAGTAGCTGGGACTACAGGCACGTGCCACCATGCCCGGCTAATTTTTGTATTTTTAGTAAAGATGGGGTGTCACCATATTGGCCAGGCTGGTCTCAAAATCCTGACCTCGTGATCTGCCTGCCTTGGCCTCCCAAAGTGCTGGGATTACAGGTGTGAGCCACCACGCCTGGCCTTTAAAGACATTTTAAAGGGCTCCACGGGTTTCATCAGACAGCCAAAGAAGTCCACAGCCTAAGACAGTTAAGCAGTTTTGTGGCCTAAAGAAACCAAGGGTCCTCTAAGTCTAGCAGTTCTTAATCTTGGATGAGCATCACAGAAAGGTTGGTGAAGCCTGGAATTTTCAGTAGCAATTGTCACTCAAGTTGTTTAAGTTTATGGCAAAGACAAGAGATGACATTGTAAGCAGAATTTAGCATTTTGGTGCATGTGTGTATATGAAGTTATAGGTAGACTTGATTTTCCTGGAGAGAGAATCTGTAGCTCTCATGATATTTTCAAAAAGGCTCTTGACCCAAGTAGGAGTTCAGAGCCACCATTCTAGAAGAAGAGGTCCTAGGATGGTGACTTCTTCCAAACCAGTCTGTCATTCCCAGGAATAGTCCCAAACATGTAGCCTGATTACTGTTTGGAGAATTCCATTTCTCTGGGCATCCCTCTCCTACCCTGGCCTATTTTCAAGCAAATCTAAAGCTTCGAGTTTGTCCAAAATCAAGAAGATTTCCTACAAGAGGCTAAATGAGTGGTCACAGAAATGTTTGTATGAAGGATTCCCCCAATATCTGCTTTTATGTGAGAAGGGAGAGCCAGCGGCTCCCTACGTTAATCTTCATTATCACATAAGTGGCTTTTCCCCTCCTGGTTTTAAATTAAGATACCCTGGACATTTTGCTTTGCTTCCACTCCACACACAATCACACGATGGAGCATTGTAATTAAACCTCCTCTATTATTAGAGCACAGGAAAAAAAAATTCATGGCTGGTCTGAAGGACCCCAAGCTAGGAAAGAGAAAGGTAAACATTTAATTTGTTGTTGTTTCTATAAATCAGGGCCCAGTCATCAATTTCACCACATATTTGAGAGCACATGTTATTGACAATGTGTTCGTAGAGAAAAATGGAGTTTGCTGGCAAAGTTGTTCCAGTTTCTAAAGATTAAATTGTTCATTGTACAGGCCGCCATCTGCCCTCCCTGGAAGATATTTAGTTGTTGGCAGAGGCATTCAAAGTCTAGAAGACAAAGTTAAATTTCATTTTCTTTATTGCTATGCCTAACCAAAGGCGAATTCATTCATTCATTCATCAGTTCATTCAATATTTACCAAGTGTCTCTTTTGTGCCATACAGACGAATAAAGTCAGACAGCTTCCAAGGAGTGGATGCTTATGGAGAGATCACATGGAGCCTTGTAGCTGATTTATAATCTCATGGTCCTCATTCATACATCAAACCCCTGAAGGCCTGGCATTTTTATCTCCCGACTCAACCTGCATGCTACCAGAAGCTCGACAAAATTACGGTGAATAAGACATGCTTCTTCCCTTCAAGAAGCTTCTAGTCAATGGAGGATATGTAAGGCAGCAATCTAACAGCAATACAACACTAAACGTTCCTTGAGAAAAACACAAACAACAGGCAGAACTCATGTCTGAGTAGAAGCTTCTTAGAAGAACTGAGTAGAACTTGGAAGAAACATGTACCTCCTTCACACACATAATATTGTTTTATACTATGCTATCTTGTTGTAGGGGTACGTGTTGATATATAACCCCATTTTGCATGTGAAGTCAATGGGCTCAGTGGGCTCAGAGAGATACAGTGATTGATTTGTTCTAGTTCCTTTTTTTTTTTTTTTTTGAGACAGAGTCTCACTGTGTCACCCAGGCTAGAGTGCGGTGGCTCAATCTTAGCTCACTGCAGGCTCCACCTCCCAGGTTCAAGCAATTCTCTGCCTCAGCCTCCCGAGTAGCTGGGATTACAGGTACACTTTACCATGCCCAGCTAATTTTTGTATTTTTAGTACAGATGGGGTTTCACCACGTTGGCCAGGCTGGTCTTGAACTCCTGACCTCAAGTGATTTACCTGCCTCGGCCTCCCAAAGTGCTGGGACTACAGGCGTGAGCCACCACGCTTGGCCTGCTCTAGTTCTTGTAGGTAATAAGAGATGGTGTTAAATTCCTGTAACTAATAAGAGATGGGCTCAAATTCTCCCTTGAACTCTAAGTCTGGCCCCTGGGCCACATAAAGTAGGTCCTCTAAGCCCCTTACACTGTGCACAGTTCAGCCCTAAGCCACTTGCCTAGACCCATTGCATGAACTGCAGCTGAAGCTGCTCCTGTCCCCTTCATTAGTCATCTGGGGTTACTGACTTCCCTTTGTTCTTCACACTTGATGACAGCACTCTTGTCTTGCCCATGTCTTGACTATTCTTGACTATAATTTGAACCTTTATTTTCAGGCTACCCTTTCTTGAGTAACACTAAGTCTATCTAGCCTTGGATTCGACCTGCTTTCTAGGCTCTTCTCACCTGGGTTCCCCCAGACTTTACTAGCAAAACAATTCATTCATTCATTCCACAAATACCAATTGAATCTTTACTGTGTTCCTACTGTACTAAGTGGTGATCAAAATTGGAAGGATCCCAGCTTTACGGAGTTTATAGTTTAGTGAGGAAACTGACTTGGGGCAGACATTCACACACATAATAAAAATATTATAATGGAGGGAAGCATGATAGAGAAAAGTATGAAAAAGAAAAACAGGAGGTTCTAATCTAGTCTACATGTGTGCTGGTGAGTATGTTGGAGAAGAGAGACAGTGTCATGACAGGCTTCTATAAGAAGAGTTTTTACGGCAGGATCTGAAGTGTTGGATAAAACTAAGTTACCCAGATAAAGAATTAAGGAAATAGAATTCTTAAGAGAAGTCCCAAAATATCTGGTCCTGAGGCAGGAAGCAGTTTGGCTTGTTCAAGAGCTAAAAGAAAGCCAGTGTGGTTGAGGCATAGAGGCAAAATATAGCAAAGCATTCTAAGTCATTGAGGTTAGCACAGACATTGAGAATAAAATAATTATTGCTTTAGTCCAGCATATTGTGTCTCCAATAGATAAGATTTCCAAAATAGTTTGGTCCATATAATTTATAAAAATATGAGTGCTTTATTCTCTGTTGCATGAGTAGGTGTTTTAATCAGTCAACTTTGAGATCGAGAGAGTTATAAACCAGAAACTGAAAAAATTACATTATTTCGTCCTACAGAAGAATCATCATAGGGGACCCTTGTACTATGTGTAGGCTGTACAAAAACTTGAGACTGTTCTTTATCTAGAACAGGTTTTTAACAATTTTCATGAGCAACATCAACAATATGGCATGTTGGTTTGGAGTTTCAGTCAACTTTTTTCAGAAAGGTTTTCCAATCTGTTTTCCAAAGTGTGTACTTTAATCTGGGAGAGGAAGATTCATGGTCTTTTTTTTTTCCCTCTGGGCTTCTGAGACTGGAAAGTAGTATTAAGTAGAGAAAAGTGGACACTGTAAAGAGGAAACTAAATAAATCCTTAAAGCCACTACTTGGCACCTTTTGTTTTTCTTTTCCTGGCAGCCTGCATAGGTACTAGAAAGAAAAATGTGGGCCAGGAGTGGTGGATTACATGACTGTAATCCCAGCACTTTGAGAGGCCAAGGCAGGAGAATTGGTTGAGCACAGGAGTTCAAGACCAGCCTGGGCAACATGGGGAGACCTTGTCTCAAAACAAACAAACAAAAAGCCAGGTATGGTGGCACATGCCTGTAATCCCAGCTACTCAGGAGGCTGAGGCGAGAAGACTGCTTGAGCACAGAAGGTGGACTCTGAAGTGAGCCATGTTTGTTCCACTGCACTCCATCCTGGAGCTTGGGTGACAGAGCAAGGCCCTGCCTCAAAAAAATAGTGGTCTTTAGAGTCTTCTTCACAGTAAAATTAGTGATAATGCCTTATGAAATCATAAACAATAATAGAATAAAGGCAAATGGCTCATTCTTGTGGATCCTGCATGAGTTCAAGAAAAGTTAGGGACTATATACTGGCAACAAAAAGTGATCCCTGAGATTTTTGGAGCACCTCATTGCCAAAGCAATCAAAATGCTTTACACATATTCTTTCTTTTACCATCACATAATTCTTGCAATGTAGCAAAAAACTATCTAAGGATGGAAGGATGTATTTTAAAGAGGGGGAGATGGGGACATCAAAAGAGAGACCAGGCCAAAAGCACAAGCAAAATAATTAGTGGAGCAAATATGTTCAATACTACTGTGTCTCAGTTCATTTAAACAAATATTAAATGAGTAAGGCATAGCCAGTGCCTTCTATGAATCACAATTCAGCAAGAAGGTTAAGATATGTTCATTCATTGATGTATTTCTTCAATCAATAAACATTTGAGCACCTATACATATCAGGCCCTAGGCCCATTAAGAGGGTCCCACCCAGTAAGTGTATTAGCTAGATGTGGTCTCTGACCTTAGAGAACAAACTTAAAATCTGGTGAAGAAAGTAGAATGCAAAGCACATAACAAAAAGTAGATCAATGTTGCCAAAGGGAAGTAAATGGTGCTCTGGAGGCTCATGGGGGTGGTGATTAATGTGTACATAAATAATAGCATTGGGACACTCTTAATGGTGGGAGAAGCAGACCCATAAGATAGTAGTCAGTCTAATTAAAGAATCAATAAATGAATAATTAATTAACTGATGGAGGCTGAGCTAAGCCTTGAAGAAGGGGGTAGGATTTTAATATGTGAAGATGGAACAGGTAGTCCTCTGTGTGGAAAGAACAGCCAGGCAGAAGGATACAGTCTTGTTTGGGGAATAGTTGGTGAGTTCATTTAACCAACACATTGCTTAAGAGATGTGGTAGTATATTACTTACTTGTTTACTTATTTGTCTATCTTACCCACTGTAACATAAACTCAATGAGGACACGGACATTTCTTGCCTTGTTCAGTCACTGTTGACAGCCTTCAACGGTGCCTGACACATAGTGGGTGCCTCATAAATATTTGTTGAATGAGTAAATGGTAATTACCACCCATTTCATATATAATTATTGTGTGCTTACTACTTGCTATTCACTATGCTGAAAACTTTTATTTACTTATTTAATTCTCACAACAACCCAATGAGTTAGAAACTTTGGAAAGGAGAAGAGAATCTAAAGAACAGGCACAAAATATCCCAGGTATGGTTTGAACCTAGGGCTCTCTGACTCCAGGGACCACATGTTAATCATACCTTCCAGGGGTTAAGAGTGGTTACTAATATTAAAAGGGTAATCTGGAGTGATCTGGGAAGGACCACAGTAAAGTGTTGGGGGGTGATGAGTCATTAGAGACTCTGATACAGGGGAGGGACATGACTGGAGGAGTCACATAGCCTCAAGTTCCAGGTTTCTTTTCTAAAAATAGGTGATGATTATATACATCTTTTTTTTGTGTGTGGGAGAGTTGGTGATAATGTGTGCAAATTACTCAAGATGTTCTTTGTATCCATTTTTTGAGGGTTTACCAGGCCATCTGTCATCTTGCCTGGATGATCACTAATCTTTACAGCAATCTTGAAAGGTGGTTATTTTTAGTCTCCTTTTCCAGAAGAGAAATATGTGGTCCAGAGAAACATCAAATTATATGCCCCAAATCACACAGCTAGGGTAACAGGATACTGAGTTAAACCTTCTTGTTTCATGACATTTTGGGGAATGACACAAAGTTAAGGACTAAAGGAGCTGTATGCCTCCTACTTAACAGAAGCTGTCAGACACCACCTTAACCACGTGATCAAAGTTCACATCACCAGTAATAAGATAAATCAACATCAAGAAACTCCTGATATGGAAACCAGCCCAATTATCTGATAGAACTGATGTTTATGGTTTATTTTGAGGAAACACAGAAATTGACCCTCCCAGTCTTAAAACTTGAGAAAGTTACATTTGTCTTATCTGAGTTCCTTTCTCAGGAAACCAACCCTCAGGACTCCCTGATAGTATCCAGGAACTGAAACTTACCAGATCACTGCATCTGGACAATGAGACACCAGACACCTCATTCATCATGATTGCCTAAGTGACTACCTGCTTCCTGTTGACCAACTCCTCTTCCTTAACCCTCCTTAACTCCTGTTTTCCTACACATAGTTATATTTCTTCTCTGCTATATAAACCCCTAATTTTACTCAATCAGGGAGATGGATTTCAGACTGATCTCCCCTTTCCTCAGCTGCAGCACCCGATTAAAGTCTTCTTCCAGGAGGCCGAGGTGGGCGGATCACGAGGTCAGATCGAGACCATCCTGGCTAACACGGTGAAACCCCATCTCTACTAAAAATACAAAAAAGTAGCGGGGCATGGTGGCAGGTGCCTGTAGTCCCAGCTACTCGGGAGGCTGAGGCAGGAGAATGGCGTGAACCAGGGAGGCAGAGCTTGCCGTGAGCCGAGATCACGCCTCTGCACTCCAGCCTGGGCAACAGAGTGAGACTCCGTCTCAAAAAAAAAAAAAAAAAAATTTCTTCTTCCCTGGCAATACTCACTGTCTTGGTGATTTGGCTTTAATTTGCAGTGAGCAACAGGACACAGATGGAACCCCTGGTGTTTCAGTAACAATATGAGGCACCGAGGAGAGAGCACATCATTGGTAAACTTGCCACACATCCATAGCATCAATCCAATCATGAGAGGACATCAGATAAACCCAAAGTGGGAGACATTTCACAAAATCACCAACCAGTGTTTATCAGAAGTGTCAAGCTCATAAAAGACATGGAATGATTGAGGGACAGTCACAGATGGAAAGGGAAGGACACACAAGAACTAAATCCAATGTAAGAGCCCAAGTTAGGTCCTGAAACAGCGTAAGGACGTTTGGATAAAATTCAGATAAGATCTGTGGTTTGGTGACTAGTATTGAGCCAGTGTTAATTTCCTGCTTGTGATAATTGTACCATGCTTAGGCAAGACATTAGGGGAAGTTGGGTTAAGGGTATGCATAAACTGCGATTTTTTGCAACTATCTTGAAGTCTAAAAGTATTTCAAAATAAAAGGTGTAAAAAAGGGAAGGGAGAGCAATCAGACACATTTCCATGGGATTTATTAAGTGGCAGAAGAACAGGCCACTAATCAGTTTCTCCTTCTTGCACCAGCCTGTTTAGGAAAAGACTGGAGGAATTCGTGGAGGAATTCTTGGAGGGGGAACACTGAAGTCCGGTGAGTGGTCCTACAAAAACACTTGAAGGGATTGAGTTCCAGCAAGAAGAGGAGATTGGCATCTAATTTCCTGTTGGGTTATGCTTATGCAGCAGTCTCTGATCTATATTCTGTGACTATTGAGAAGGAGCAAAGGCTATTGGAGGAAGGTGATGGAGTGAAAAAGGGAAAGCAGTTGAGCTTCCTACATGCTCCATGCTGTGGCAAGAAAAAAAATGTGTAAGTTTCCACTAGGTCAAGAGCTGTCTTTTTGCTTATGGGGTCCAGCCCTAGAGGGGAGGAAGGCTCTTAGGGGCAAGAGAGTGAAGGGTGAACCATGAGTGGGGCAGCTGTTTAGGTTAGAAGTTAGAAGTCTTCCTGAATGGAACTCATCTCCCATGTTAGGAGCTGGGACTTCTGTAGACCCCATTTGTGCCCCCACTAGAGAGTCAGTCCCTGGATACCTGCCTTACCAGGGGCATCCACTGGCAAGAGATGATTGCAGTAGCATTTCATCAATATGAGAATTTATGAATTCATGTCCTTCTTTCCACCAACACCCATCCAAGGAAAAGGAGGTGTAAAAAAGGAGGAAGTAGAGAAGAGTGAAAAAGCTGACCTTGTTTTTCCTTCTCTCTCTTTTTTTTTTTTTTTTTGCGACAGAGTCTCGCTCTGTCACCCAGACTGGAGTGCAGTGGTGCGATCTTGACTCACTGCAAGCTCTGCCGCCTGGGTTCACGCCATTCTCCTGCCTCAGCCTCCCGAGTAGCTGGGACGGACTACAGGTACCTGCCACCACACCCGGCTAGTTTTTTTTTTTTTTTTTTGTATTTTTAGTAGAGACGGGGTTTCACCGTGTTAGCCAGGATGGTCTCAATCTCCTGACCTCTTGATCTGCCCGCCTCGGCCTCCCAAAGTGCTGGGATTACAGGCGTAAGTCACCGCGCCTGGCCAAAAGCTGACCTTCTATTCACTTCCTGTTTCAAGGATGGGACAACTGGAGGGATAGCTCTTTCATCCTCCAGCAGGCTAGTCTGTGTATGTTGTAATAACAATGGCAGAGGTTCAAGCTCTTTTCAAGCCACTGCCTGCATCACATCTGCTTGGAGAAAGCAAGTCACATAGCTGAGCCTAGAATCCAAACGAGAGGACACCACACAGTGACATGATCAAGGGCATGAATACAGAGCGGGTAAAGTACTGGGGTTGTTGGTGCATCTACCACAGCGGTTGTGGAGGTAAGTGGAAGAGGTGGGACCAAACCAGGTTTGGCTTGCCTCTGAGGCCTGTGGTCTTCCTCTAGGCTCAGCTGGCTCCCTTGTACCCTTGGATACATCTTACATGATCAAGGCACGTGTTCCAAGTAGGACAATGGCATGACATATAGATAATACAAGGTCCAAAGCTAACAAAGTTGCTCTTTGGGTTCCCTCTCCCCTGGTGGGTTTCATTTCCTGAGTGCATTAGTGTCTTTGCTGCTTTGGCAGAGAGCTGAGCTGATTCTTGGGATTGTACTTCTGGAGACTGGCCAGTTTGCACAGTTCCAGCATTGTCGGCCAGCTCAGACACCATATGGACCAGTGCTGTGGCATTGGGTACCAGGCTTTCCTGGACATCTTCGAATTGGCCACTTTCCATTGCCAATGAGTAGAGTGCTCAAAAAAGTCAGTTAAATTAGGCTTGGTAAAGGGACACTGCATCTTTGAGTAATGAGGTTGGGAAACAGGGAAAACATTTTCCACTAGCTCATGGCTCACTGTATGGCATTCCGGTTTCATGACACTTCATAATAAATCATTGCTTATCACTCACATGGGAACGGAACATGGCTCCAGTTAAGATTCGTTAGTGATTGTAAAGAAGCAACGTGGATTGCTGTATATCAGGACTTCTTGATCATCTTCCTGTCCACTGTAGGCACTTTTCTATCGTTATATTTACCGTAACTGTTGTTTAAAGCATAAATAAGTGGAAGGAAAGAGCACCCAATATGAATCATGAAAATAAATTTATCTTATTTATGTGTTTATGCAAGCATTTGACAATTATTCTGCACAGCAGTTTGCATCCAGGATTGGTAGCTGCTGCATTCAGAAAAGTTCCTTACACTTCAAGTTTCTCCCTCTCATCCCTCCTGCCTTTATTTTTTTAATAATGTGAAATGCCAGCACATTCACATTCAAGGATGGGAGGCCCTGGCATGTGTTTTATTCAAGTTTGAGGCATCAGGTTACTGAACCACATCGGCCTCAATGCTCATGACAGAGGCCTACCAGCAGACATGTTCGTTACATGCAATTCATTCAGAGCTTGGAGGAGCAAGGGACAGTGATTTAGAATAGAAAAAGGAGCCAGGGGTTGGGCTGGGGGGCCAAGTGGCAAAATAAAACCTTTAATTTAAAGATGCTCCAGCTGGTTGGCCACTTGGGATGAATGAAGACTTTGGTAGGAAAGTCCTAGCTGTCCAAGCAGACCACCCTGGGAGGTTTGTGATTTACACACCAAAGGTTACAGGGCTTGTGGACACTTTGACATACCCTAGAAACTTCCCGGGCTAGAATGTCCACGGAGAAAAGACTCAGCGGGTTTGCACAGTTGAGGAGGCTTTCAGTGTTTACTTACGGATGAACAGGAAAACACAAGCCTGTCCTTGAAATGCTGACAGGGCTCTCGTGATTAACTCCTGCCAAATTGATTTCCCTAGCTCCCCTCCCACATGTGTGGGCCTCTCTCAATCCCTTCCTGGTGATTCCCAGCACACTGCAGTACCGGCACTGGAGGACTCACTCTCTCCTTTTCTTGCCTGTTCCCTCGGTGCCCACTCCTCCCCTGTCCCCGGCACTCACCTAATAGAGACACAGTTGGGAAAGGGGTAGCCACCAGTGGCTCTCTCACTAGTGTCCGTGGAGTTGAGATGGAGCCGTGTGTGGAGGGAGAGCATTGTCTGGCAGCAACTTTTGTTTCTTGAGAGTTTCCAGAATATGCTAGAATGTGCGACAGAGAACCACGACTAATCAGCAAACAGAGCTCAGAATGGAAGATGGAGAAGGTTCTCAGGGAAACTGGGGCTTCAGTGAACCATGACCTGTCCATTTCTTGGGCTGAAGAGGAGATTTGTTCAAACATAGGGTGACTTCTCATCCTGGTTTTAGTCCCTTGTCCTGGGAAATGCCTCAGTCCCGGGAAAACGATGATGGCTGGCCACCGTACTTAAACTCTAGAGAGACGATTCCCAGGGACGCGTTCCCTCTCTCCAAACCTCTCTTCAGTGTTGATGGTGCCTTGGTTCCCCCATCCACTCTGCGAATGCCCTTGGAACACACCAGGCCTAGCTCTCCACGGGTTTCAACAGGCAGTAGCCACCATTGGTGGAGAGACTTCTGGGTCTCCAGCTTCATGGGTACTTTCAACTAATTATCTCTGCTCCTCAGACCTACCCTACAAAGTGTGTATAACTGGCTCATTTTACGGATGCAGAAACTATGGCTCAGAGGGCATTCAGTGATTTGTTCAAGTTCTCCCAGCAGAGCTACTTGGGTGTGACTGCCAAGCCCCTTCCCTCATGGAAATGATGTACATTCACAGCCATTAACTTGCTTTAAGCCTTAGAATGACATTTGAGCATGGGTGAGACAGATGATACCTGAAGATCGGAGAGGCTAGGTAGCTTAATCAAGGCCACCCAGGGCTCATGGATGGAAGAATCGGGGTTAAAGGATTCTAAATCTATGTTGCCCTTTGCATGGACATCTCTTTCTTCCTTCATGTGGAAGAAAATGGAGGCCAGAATTTCTTGAATTTTTCTCCTATTTAGAGTTGATCAAGATGCAGTCTAAACTGTCCCAGTTCATATTTGAATATTTTAAAGTGTGTTGATTATACATTAAAACGGTACTTCCCATGTTTTCTAAATATTTAAAAGATCCCTCTTAAACATCATGGCAGAAATATTAAGCTCACTTATCAGAGTTATAAAGGCTTTTAAAATATATATATTTCATGGCATTTCAAGCAATTGATCACACCAGTTGGGGGAAGACAAGAGGGTGACCACTTGTATGCAGAAAAAAAAATACTGGCAAGAAAATGTGGCAAGTGCTTCCAGTAAAGACGCTTCTTTGGAATTAAATGGTGATGGATGTTTAGAAACCAGTCTCAATGCAAAACTGTAATTTTTGCAAATGGTTGTGTCTTGGGATGGCATTAACATACTCAGTGTTCTCTATAGAAACGAGGACATGCTATTAAAAAAGCATCCAGTTCCTGCACACAAACTGAAGTTTGATCTTAAGCGGGATGAGATATTACTGCAAATTGGTTTTTACTTCAAAAACGGTTTAATAACAATCACGCCCAGAGCTCAAGTGCACACAATGCATCACTTAATTTCATCACAAACCTCTGCCGGCTTAAAAACAGATATCGAAACGGGGGAATACATATTTGACAATGTTGTTAAGGCAAGTTTGCTAACGCTTTTTGAACAACCTCCAACTGAGGCCTAAATGCCGGCAATATCCATAAACAACTCTAGAATGCCCAATTAGGGAGACAGAGACATAGCGTCCTGTCAGGGAGATTTGCATGGCTAAGAGTCTGAGATCACAGAGCGATGAGCGATCTCTCAGAGTGATGGGGGGTTCGCAGACAGATGACTATCATTACGATATTACGGGGACTCACACCTTCCCGATTACTGGCAGGATTCATTAATTACCACCGCATTTCCCTAATAGAATCCGTGCACTGGCTTATCAGCACCTTCCCTCTGTCTACCTAAGCCCCCGCTCAGCAGTCGATCACCTATGAAAAATTAGACAGTGCAGCTTCGAGTGGCCTATTTAAAGGAAAAAGAAAAATGAATATGGGAAGAGGAGGGGGAAAGTGCAGAAAAGAGAAGTCCAAAGCAACAGACACAGCATTCTTTTGACATGGGGTTTGCTTTTCCTTTTCTTCCTGGAACTGGCATGGAAGGAGATTAGTGGCGGTTGCAGGGAAACATACTGTGGAGAGTATGGGTACAGAACTGTCTCCTTTACACACACGTACACACACTCATACATTCCCTGCTTAAAATCTTCCTTTATATTTTCAACAAATACAAAATAAAATCTAAATTCCTGCTCATTCCTCTAACCTCATCTACTCCTTCTTACCAGCTAAGCCCCACCTACGCAGGCATTCTTTCTGCCCAACCCAACACACTCAACTCATGCCTGCCTCAGGAGCTTTGCACCTGCTGATCCTTTTCTTTAGAATATGGCTTGGATAGGTCAAATTCGGCTTGCAATTTGTTTCTGCACAGCCCTCGAGTGGAGAGAATGTTTGCACATTTAAAGGGTTATAATGAAAAGGCTGGGAGTGATGGCTCACGCCTGTAACACCAGCACTTTGGGAGGCTGAGGCGGGTGGATCATTTGAGGTCAGGAGTTCAAGACTAGCCTGGCCAACATGGCAAAACCCTGCCTCTATTGAAAATACAAAAATTAGCCAGGCAAGGTGGCACATGCCTGTAATCCCAGCTACTCGGAGGCTGAGGCACAAAAATTGCTTGAACTTGGGAGGCAGGGGTTGCAGTGAGCTGAGATCGCACTACTACACTCCAGCCTGGGTGACAGAGCGAGACTCCATCTCAAAAATAAAATACGAGGCTGGGCGTGGTGGCTCACGCTTGTAATACCAGCACTTTGGGAGGCCGAGGTGGGCGGATCATGAGGTCAGGAGATTGAGACAATCCTTGCTAACAAGTGAAACCCCATTTCTACTAAAAATACAAAAAACAAAACAAAACAAAAAGAAAACCTAGCCGGTTTTGGTGGCGGGTGCCTATAGTCCCAGCTACTTGGGAGGCTGAGGCAGGAGAATGGCGGGAACCCAGGAGGTGGAGCTTGCAGTGAGCCGAGATCGTGCCACTGCACTCCAGCCTGGGCAACAGAGTGAGACTCCATCTCAAAATAAATAAAATAAAATAAAATAAAATAAAATAAAATAAAATAAAATAAAATAAAATAAACAAATAAATAAGGGTTATAATGGAAAAAAAAGGAAGAAGTAAAGCAGCAGAAGTTTTACTGATGGCTGAGATAGAACAACTTTCCAGATCTTCTCAAGATTGGCTTCTCACCACTCAGGTCTCCCATGCCACCTCCCTAAGAAATTGGGGAACACCCAATCCAGAGCAGCCTGTAGTTACCTTCTACACTCAATTGCTTAATTTTTATTGCAGCACTCATCACCAATAAACATGTATTTGTTGTATTTGTTAGTCTGTGACAATGGTTCTCAGCCCTGGTTGACCATGTGAGTCACCTAGAAAGCTGCTAAAAATACTGATGCCCAAACCTGCCTCAGGGCCTTTGCACTTGCTGGTCTTGTTTTTTCCCAACGTGGCTTGAGTGGGTCAAATGTAGTTCACAGCTTGTTTTTGTGCAGCTCTTGAGCTAAGAAAGTGTTTGCATACTTAAAGAGTTGTAATGAAAGAAAGGAGTGAGAATAATTTGATTCAATCAATTGAGGTTGGGACCAGGCATTGATACACATGTATTTTTAAAGCTTCCTCCCCAACTCTACGGCACAGCCAAACTTGAGAACCCCTGGCTATTGTCCGTTTCTCCCCACTGGAGTGTTGGCTCCACGAGATCAGGAATGTGGCCTGTCTTCCCCACTGCTGTGGTCCTGGAACTTAGAACAATGCCTGAGCCTGAGGAGGTGCTCTGTCAATGTTTGATGAATGAATGAAAGAATATTTATCATAGATACGAACAAAGAATTAAGGACGACAGAAATGTGACAATGACGTAAGGTCTCCCAAGCTGAAATGATGCATCAGAAATGGGTGACAATTCCAGGAACCCCCTGCAATTGCAGAAGGCTCAGCTCCATTAGGGATAATGGAATGTGTGTCTCCCAGGCTGCCCTCTTGTTACTATCAACAGCATTATCAGTTATCAGCTGCTTTTACAATTACGCACCATGATTCTCCCTGCGTGAAGATCCCGCAACCACCAAACTCGCTTCTCCTTTTAAATTAAATATACTGAAAAGAGCAGAGATTTCAATCCTTCATCTGTTCACAGATGAAAAAACATTTCCAAATCGTCAGTGATCACATTTTTTTTTTTTTAATTCTAAGGACGGCCAACTGTTCCCAGTGATTTCGATTACATTTCCTACCTATTATTTCATGTAATGGCATCCCTTAAATTTTAAATTAGCTTTGAAGAATAAAAATAATTGAATTCCTGCTGTTTTGTGTACATAGAGGGTGACAGGAGCTAATGTGATAATTTAAACTGTAAATGAGTCTTCACTTTGTGTTCATTAATTACAGCTAATTACTGAATTACAAACCTTCTTGGTTAGGCACTGTTATGTATTCATGTAGCATGTTGAATCTCCAGCTGGTATAAAACTGTTTTATAGACTTACAAGCTGACACACCAAGCTACCACTGAAACAATTCAGTTTGAAAACAAGGGGGGTGGAAACACCCAACTGCAAAGTCTTCTTGGAATTAAAAGAACAGACACAGCGCTTCCAACTCATATCTTTGGGAATAGAGGATCTTGCACGTATAATTAGAACAATTTATGCCACAGGGAAAAAAAAAGCTAGGCTATTCTTCACTCTGGGTGAGAATCTATACTATAGCATGTAATTTGTGAGACTCAAGTGTTCCTGTCCTTATCTCCTTGTTCCCTAGAAACTGAGCATCATAATTATTTATTAACTGATCCTGCTTTTAATAACAAAGAAGCATAAAGGATGCCAGAAATCCTGCCCAATTTTCATGACCAGAAATGGCTAGAAAGGGAGGATTCCAACAGACAGGTCAAGGACTTGGTCACGGCCAATTCTCTCTTATTAGGTTAAAAATTTTTTTTTTAATAGTGAGCTAGGCACTTTGGATTATTAAACATTAGTATCTTCTGCATTATTACTGACTCCAGATGGAAGGATTTGTGATGTCTGGTTTCCTAAGATACTCCCTAAAAGAGCTGGAGAAATACTCAAAATGATGTGTGATCTCTGCTTGGCCAAATACAGTATAACTGTGAGTGTCAGAGGAAGACATGTGCAAAGTCAGTAGGTACATTTTAAAGTCATACTCTTTGTTTATTCATTTATTTGATAATTTTGTTGAGCATGTACTTTATGATGAACAAAATGCTAGGCACTATGAATTACCAAGAAATGAACAGGCAGGAACTGTATAACTGCCATAAATAATTGTTGTTTCCTTCAGGCGACAGCCCTAATTTTTCTTTTTTTTTAGAGATGGAGTTTCACTCTTGTTGCCCAGGCTGGAGTGCAATGGCGCGATCTCAGCTCACCGCAACCTCCGCCTCCTGGGGTCAAGCGATTCCGCAGCCTCAGTCTCCCTAGTAGTTGGGATTACAGGCGTGTGCCACCACGTCTGGCTAATTTCGTAATTTTTGTAGAGACGGGGTTTCATCATGTTGGTCAGGCTGGTCTCGAACTCCTGACCTCAGATGATCCACCTGCCTTGGCCTCCCAAAATGCTAGGATTACAGGCGTGAGCCACTGCACCCAGCCCAGCCCTAATTTTTATTTGGGGATCCACTGCTTTCTCATTTTTAGGTCAGGGGATCCCATAGGGCTCACCCCACTTCCAAGCTACAGGGCTGGGCATGTGACCCAAGTCTGGCCAATCAGCATGTTCTATTCTCCTAGCCACAGTGATTGGTCCAGGGATGAGCACACGACCCTAGGTAGTCCAATGAGAGATTTCTTCCTAAAAAATAAATTTTCTTATTATGACGGCTCAACTTGGGGCTGCTGGAGGTTTCTGAGCCACCACATGAAAATTATGCCCTTGCAGGCTGGGCTTGGTGGCTCACACCTGTAATCCTAGCACTTGGGTATTGCCTGAGCTCAGGAGTTGGAGACCAGCCTGGCCAACATGGTGAAAGCCCATCTCTACTAAAGTACAAAAAATTAGCGGGGTGTCGTGGCGGGCATCTGTAGTCCCAGCTACTTGGGAGGTTGAGGCACAAGAATTGCTTGAACCCTGGAAGCAGAGGTTGCAATGAGCCGAGACTGCACCACTGCACTCCAGCCTGGGTGACAGAGTGAGACTCTGTCTCCAAAAAAAAAAAGAAAAAAAAAAAAGAAAGAAAAGTACACCCAAGTACATCCTTCCAGGAGATTTGAGAGGCTGTGTATTAGTCTGTTTTGCGTTGCTATAAGGGGATACCCGAGACTGGGTAATTTAGAAAGAAAAGAGGTTTATTTTGGCTCACAGTTCTGCAGACTGTACAAGAGGCATAGTGCTGGCATCTGCTTCTGGCCAGCCCTCAGGAAGCTTTTACTCACTGCAGAAGGTGAAGGAGGAGCAGGCACATCACACGCAAGAGAGAGAACAAGAGAGAGAGGGAGAGGTGTCACACTTTTTTTACAGTCAGCCGTGGTGTGAACCAACAGAGTAAGAACTCACTCATTTCCACAGGGAGGACACTGAGCCATTCACGAGGTATCTGCCCCCATAACCCAAACACCTCCCACTGGGCCCCACCTCCAACATTGGGGATCACATTTCAACATGAGATTTGGAGGGGACAAAGATCCAAACCATGTCGGGTGGAGAAGGCCAGATTTCCAGTGACACCACTTAAGCACTGGATCTAGCATTGCCTGAATCTGTTGCACCCTTGACCTTCCCAGGAGCCAGTAAAATCCCTCTGTGCTTAAACTGGTTTGAGTGGATTTTTCTTTTTTCTTTTCTTTTCTTTTCTTTCCTTTTAGATGGAGTCTTGCTCTGACACCCAGGCTGCAGTGCAGTGGTGCAATCTTGGCTCACTGCAACCTCTGTCCCCCGGGTTCAAGCAATTCTCCTGGCTCAGCCTCCAGAGTAGCTGGGATCACAGGCACCTGCCACCATGCCTGCCTAATTTTTGTATTTTTAGTAGACACAGGGTTTCACCATGTTGGCCAGGCTGGTCTTGAACTCCTGACCTCAAGTGATCCATCTGCCTCGGCCTCCCAAAGTGCTGGAATTACAGGCGTGAGCTACTGTGCCTGGCCTGAGTGGATTTTTCTGTCATGTGCAATCCATAGTCCTAACACACACGTGATTATAAATCAAGGTACAGATTGACACATGTCATATAAGACGTGAGAGAATATTCTGGAGGTGCCCAGAGGAGGGCATACTCTTTTCTAGGTTAGAAAAGAAAGAGGATACCAGGAGCCTTTCTGGAGGAGGTGGTGTTTGAGCAGGGCTTTGAAATATAGAAAACATTCATATGAAAGAGACAAGGAGGACAATGGGAGCAAGAAGATGGAATTCCAAAAAAAGCATGAGGCTTATCCTGGAATCACACAGAATTGCTAGGGCCAAGAGTAAGTGAACAGGAGGAAAGGAGGCTGGGTGGAATGGCTCACACCTGTAATCCCAGCACCTTGGGAGGCCGAGGCAGGTGGATCACTTGAGGTCAGGAGTTTTAGGCCAGCCTGGCCAACATGGTGAAGCTGTGTCTCTACTAAAACTATAAAAAAAAAATTAGCCGGACGTGGTGGAAGATGACTGTAATCCCAGCTACTGGGGAGGCTGAGGCAGGAGAAGTGCTTGAACCCGGGAGGCGGAGGTTGCAGTGAGCCAAGATCCCACCACTGCACTCCAGCCTGCATGACAGAGCAAGGCTCCATCTAAAAAAAAAAAAAAAATAATAATAATAATAATAATAATAAATAAATAAAATAAGCCCTGGGGCCAGATCCGTGGCATCTTCTGTCTAGGTACGTCGTCCACGGCTTCAGATGTAGAAACACAGACACACCGCAGGGCACTGTGTGTCCTTCCCTGGGCAGCCTCTGAGCTTCTGGGTTTGGTTTTGTGAATTTTAACTTTATGGCGACTTTGGGCAGGATCAAACTGACTAGCGTAGTTTCTTGGAGATAAAAGAAAAGAAGGCACATTACCTTTCATCGTTAAGCCTGAACAGGAGAATCCCAGAGATCTCCCATAGAGAGAGTTTCACCCTGAGCCCCAGCTTTGGAACCATCATAGCTTGCTCTTTGAGTCACCAGGTGTTGCCAGATACTGTGTTAAATACTTCAACAGTGGAAGCACAAAAAACAGCCCAGCCATAGAAACCATCACTGAGTGCTCACTCTATTCCAGATACTGCACTACGCCTGATGATCATAACAATATGTTATCATTATTGCTATCATTGAAAAGAAAAATTGACGGAGCACTTGTTACGTGCAAGGCACTGTGCTCAGTGCTTTTCTTGCATTGTCTCAGTCCTGTGAGGTTGGGGTATTATCATGCCCATCTTAGACACGAGGAAACTGAGACACAGGGTGATAAATAACTTACTAAAAGTCACACACTTAGCAAGAGGGAGAGCTTGACCTTGAGCTTGCATAAAGCTGCTTTCCAAATAAATGTTCTTACAGCCAGGTGTGGTGGCTCATGCCTGTAATCCCAGCACTTTGGAAGGCTGAGGTGGGCAGATCACATGGTCAGGAGTTCGACACCAGCCTGACCAATATGGTGAATCCACGTCTCTACTAAAAATACAAAAAATTAGCCAGGCGTGGTGACACGCGCCTGTAATCCCAGCTACTCAGGAGGCTGAGGCAGGAGAATTGCTTGAACCTGGGAGGCAGAGGTTGCAGTGAGCCAAGATCGCGCCACTGCACTCCAGCCTGGGCGACAGAGCAAGACTCTGTCTCAAAATAAATAAATTAATTTAAAAAAAGTTCCCTGTTACCATGCTATAATGCCTTCCCTTATTTTGTTTTTTCACATAGATACGTTTTCAACTTTTATGTAAAGTTCTTTCTGCAATATGTGCTCATTACCCGGGGCGGGGGAAAAACAAAGAAGGAAACAGTCATCTTAGCAGTGCTCCAAATCACCCTCTTGTCCTGGTCTCAGTGAAGTCTTTATTGCTTCTTCTGCCAAAAAGTTTCCTGATGGTCTTGCTTGTCTTTGCATCCATTAGCATCTTGCTCTAGAATCTGACACAGGACCTTGCACACAATTGGTACTCAGAAAATAATGGTTGAACTGTGCTGCAAAGAAATAAAATTGTTCCTTATCTAAATTTTCTAACAACCAGCATGGTCTCCAAACCAACAGGGAATTCCCTTAAGAAAGGGCCAGATTTCTGATTCCGAAAGCTTCCTGTCTTTTTTGTTGTTTGGGAATATCATGTATCTTAGACTTTTTTGGTTTTGTTTTCTCTCTTTTATATTCATGGGCATTCAGAAATACTATGTGAAAAGAAAGCACATGTTCTCCTTTTCTGGCTCGGAAGAATTTTGGAGTGGATTTAGGCAGACCAGTCTGAACAAACACGCTCGAGGAGCTGAGGCCCGTCAGCACACGCTCAGCAGCTGTGCATCCAGATCCGCGTGCTCTCGGCTTGGCCAAAGCATTGCAAACAACTGAAGTCCTTGCTGCCAGGCAGATGGTCACAGGACTGTCAGCAGACCCTGAGAGACCTCAACAATGCCCACAAACTCTAAACAAATCTACGCAGAGTCTAATGGTGTCTGCTTGCTTTGCGGCTCTCCAGACTTCCTAAGTTCTGTTTGGTTCTGTGTGTTTGTTGTAGCTGGGAGAGCAGAACTGACCCTGATAACCACTACACGTAGAAAACAAGTCTAATATCCCCCTAACGGACAACTCAAGTGTCTTTCTTGACTACATGTGGCCTTCATGAAAACGATCTTCCTTATGATTCTTCCAAAACCTATTTCCAGGACCACATAGTTTAGTACTTAGTATTATTTTGTCTTGCAGTACTGGTAGACTACTTCTTATGAGTTACTCTTGTCTCCCTTATTGTATTGTCAGCACCTTAAAAGCAAAAACAGTGGCTTGGGCTTGGGTTCAAGGTCTAGATCCACCTCTTCCAAGCTGGGTGACCTTAAATTTGAATGATGATAATACCTGGAGGGTCATTGTGATGATTACATGAGATAATGTATGTGAAACACTTAGAATTCATGGGAAATACTCAACAGGTTATTCTTGTGGTGGTGGTAGTAGCAGTAATGATGATTATGATTACATTATTAATACATTCCAGCTGGGTGTGGTGGCTCGTGCCTGTAATCCCAGCACTTTGGGAGGCCGAGTAGGCAAATCACCTGAGGTCAGGAGTTCAAGATCAGCCCAGCCAACATGGTGAAAACTCATCTCTACCAACAATCCAAAAAAATTAGCTGAGCATGGTGGCATGTGCCTGTAGTCCCAGCTACTTGGGAGGCTGAGGCAGGAGAATTGCTTGAACTCGGGAGGTGGAGGTTGCCGTGAGCCAAGATTGCACCACTGCACTCCAGCCTGGGCAACAGAGTGAGATCCCATCTCAAAAAAATGCATTTCATAAAGCCCATTTTATTTAGGAAATTTTTGGCCAATACTGTATCTAGTCAACATTTGATGATCAATTAACAATTGAGAAAGATAAACAGATTTCCAGTCAATTGCTGGTTACAGGATGAGAAAAGACTGGGGAGAAAAGGTAAAAAGGACTGACAGAACATTCTTGCTACTGGATTAGTCCCTGGGACAGATACCATTAGTTACCTACGGAATATCCATTTCACTCTTCTTCCTTGCCAATAAAATTCTGTGTGTGTGTGTGTGTGTGTGTGTGTGTGTGTGTGTGTCTGTGTGTCTGTGTGTCTGTGTTGGTTTGTTCTGCTTCTTTTTATAGACAGAGTCTTGCTTTATTGCCCAAGCTGGAGTGCAGTGGCATGAACATAGCTCACTGCAGCCTTAAACTCCTAGGCTCAAGCGATCCTCCACCAGCCTCAGCCTTCTGAGTTGCTGGGACTACAGGTGCATGCTACGACACCCATTTAATGTATGTTTTAAACTTTTTGTAGAGACAGGGTCTCTCTTTGTCCCCAAGTTTGGAATGCAGTGGCATGATCATAGCTCACTGCAGTCTAGAACCCCCATGCTCAAGTGATCCTCCTTCCTTAGTGCCTCAAAATGCTGGGACTATAGGTGTAAGCCACAGTGCCCGGACAAAATCCTAGTTTTGTTTTCTGTGACAGTGTGCCCAGTTAAATATGTCACAGCATCTTGCAGCTAAGGATGACAAAATTACACAGTTTGGCTGAGGAGGTTCATGTAGAATTCTGCTGGGTTTCCAAGAAAGATTTGCTCCTCTGAGAAGAGGGGCAAAGGTAGCTAGTACTGTTATTTCACTCCTTTTCCTACCTTGAATGTGGACATGATGCAGCCATCTTGCAGTTGTAAGGCAATGATCAAAAGACTCACAGAGACATCTTCTAATCCAGATGTCAATTAGTGATTAACATCACTAATCCATTGACTCAATGCCATTGTTGCCTACTTCTGGATGTTGGGATGGTGAGAAAAGAAAATCTTGATTTATTCAAATCACTATAAGTAAAGCTGCCTTTTATTTGCAGCCTAAAGCATTCCTAACTTAGAATTTTCTTAAGTAACAAAACTTCAGAAGCCCAACTGAAAAAAACAAAATTCTCATTGTGGTTTTAATTTGCTTTTCCCTGATGATTAGCAATGTTGAGCATTTTGTCACCTTACCCCAGCCAGAATGACTATTATTAAGAAGTCAAAAAACAATAGATGTTGGCATGGATGTAGTGAAAAGGGAATGCTTATATGCTGCTGATGGAAATGTAAATTAGTACAATCACTATGGAAAATAGTATGGAGGTTTCTCAAAGAACTAATAATAGAACTACTATTCAATCCAAGAATCCCACTACTAGGTATCTACTCATAGGAAAATAAATTGTTATATCAAAAGGCACCTGCACATGTATGTTTATCACAGCATAATTCACAATTGCAAAGATATGGAACCAACCTAAGTGCCCATCAACTGATGAGTGGATAAAGAAAATGTGGTATTTACACAGCATGGAATACTACTTAGCCATACAAAGAATGAAATAATGTCTTTTGCAGCAACTTAGACAGAACTGGAGGCCATTATTCTAAGTAAAGTAACTCAGGAATGGAAAAACCAAATGCCATATGTTCTCACTTATAAGTGAGAGCTAAGTTATGGGTGAGTGAAGGCATGCAGAATGGTGTAATGAACACTGGAGACTCAGAAGTGGGGAGGGTTGGAAGGGAGTGAGGAAAAAACTACATTTTGGGTACACTACTCGGGTGACCAATGCACTAAAATTTCAGACTTGACTACTATATAATTCATCCATGTAACCAAAATCTGTGTATACCCCTAAAGCTATTTAAATAAAAAACCCACAAATTCTCCAGATTTGCATGAATGATATGCAAGAAGTGACAGCTATAGGCTTCCTTTACTAACTCAGTAACAGCACACAGAACCATGGGAATAACAGCTAATGGTAATAATTGACTGTTATTTACGTGTTTTTATTATGTGTATTTTCTGGGCCACATGCAACATATTACTTGGCACATAGTAGACACTTAGAGAAATATCTTAAAATAGGTATGAAAGAAAGCATAAATAATAAATC
Source organism: Homo sapiens (assembly GCF_000001405.40). Classification (NCBI taxonomy): domain Eukaryota; kingdom Metazoa; phylum Chordata; class Mammalia; order Primates; family Hominidae; genus Homo; species Homo sapiens. The sequence goes on along the minus strand of NC_000020.11, from coordinate 53,431,742 downwards.
ACACATTCCCATCCCCAGCTCCACAAAATGGCTTATTCTCTTCCACCTTCACCATGGATTTGTTTAACTTATTTTCTTCTCTCTTTTTATAAATGGGAATAATAATAATTCCTACCTCACAGGGTTGTTGTAAATATTCAATGAGTTGCTACAGGTAAAGAGCCTAAAACAGTACCTGTCCCATAGCAAGTGCTCAATATGTAGTAGGGATTGTTATTATTACTAGGTGGCAGGTGGTGTGCTAAGTGCCTTTCTTTTCTTCTTCTTCTTCTTTTTTTTTTTTTTTGAGACAGAGTTTCATTCTCATCACCCAGGCTGGAGTGCACTGGCGTGATCTCAGCTCACCACAACCTCTGCCTCCTGGGTTCAAGTGATCCTCCTGCCTCTGCCTCCTGAGTAGCTGGGATTACAGGCATGTGCCACCACATCTGGCTAATTTTGTATTTTTAGTAGAGATGGGGTTTCGCCATGCTGGCCAGGCTGGTCTAGGACTCCTGACCTCAAGTGATCTGCCTCGGCCTCCCAAAGTGCTGGGATTACAGGCATGAGCTACTGCACCCAGCCCTAAGTGCCTTTCCTGCATTGTCTTAGTGATGTTAATACAGGGAGTGACAGCTTCATGATTTTGGACAAGTCCATCTCATGTTCTGGATTTCAGTTATCCACATCGTAAAATGTGAATTAAAAACTAAATCAGGCCTGGCACAGTGGCTCATGCCTGTAATCCCAGCACTTTGGGAAGCTGAGGCAGGTGGATCACCTGAGGTCAGGAGTTCGAGACCAGCCTGGTGAAACACTGTCTCTACTAAAAATACAAAAATTAGCTGGGCGTGGAGACGCATACCTGTAGTCCCAGCTAGTCGGGAGGCTGAGGCAGGAGAATCAGTTGAACTCGGGAGGAGGAGGTAGTGAGCCGAGACCACGCCACTGCACTCCAGCCTGGGCGACAAAGCAAGACTCCATCTCAAAACAAAAACAAAACAAAACTAAACTAAACTAAACTAAATCAAATCAGTGTTTCCTAAATTTCTCGCTTTATTTAAAAAATCTTTTATTATTTTTTCTTTTTCCTTTTAGAAGAGATGGGGTCTCACTATGTTGCCCAGGTTAATCTTGAATTCCTGGGCTCAAGTGAGCCTCCCACCTCGGCCTCCCAAAGTGCTAGGATTACAGGTGTGAGCCACTGCATATGGCCCATAAACTTCTTTCTCTCACATATAACCTTCTTGATTTCTGATTTCTTGATTTCTGCCACAGCACTATCACCTGTATTCTCTCTCTATTTTTTTAATATAATATTTTTCTTTAATTTCTGTAACTTTAAAAAGCTTTATCCTTGGCCGGGTGCAGTGGCTCATGCCTGTAATCCCAGCACTTTGGGAGGCCAAGGCGGGTGGATCACTTGAGGTCAGGAGTTTGAGACCAGCCTGGGCAATGTGGTGAAACCCTGTCTCTACTAAAAATACAAAAATCAGCTGGGTGTGTTGGAGGGAGCCTGTAGTCCCAGCTTCTCGGGAGGCTGAGGCAGGAGAATCGCTTCAACCCTGGAGACAGAGGTTGCAGTGAGCCAACACAGGGCCACTGTACTCCAGCCTGGGTGACAGAGTGAGACTCTGTCTCAAAAAAAGAAGCCTTATCCCCTTAAGCAATAATGTCCAATAATGTCTATAGAATCATAGATATATAGTAGGGTTTTTCAATTGGGAGTGATTTTGTCCCTCAGAGAACATTTGGAAGTATCTGGAGATATTTTAGCTGTCCCACCTGGCCTGGTGAGAGTCCTGGCATCCAGCAGATGAGGACCAAGGATACTGCTACATCCTGCAATGTGTGGGACTGCCCACCCCAGAGAATTATTCAACTCACAACGTCAGTAGTGCCAGACCTGAGAAACCCTGACACCCTGACACACACACACACAATTGAATATGCTTTAAAATAAATACATAACCATAGAAAAGCTCACCCAAGTACCATCTAAACCACTCTGTGTACCTTCAGGGTCAAGGGTATCAAGTGCCAGGAATCCCCTAATAGAATTTTTTGATTCTCCTGACAAGAGATGTGTATTAGTCTGTTTTCACGCTACTAATGAAGACATACCTGAGACTGGGCAATTTACAAAAGAAAGAGGTTTAATGAACTTAACAGTTCCACTTGGCTGAGGAGGCCTCACAATCATGGCAAAAGGTGAAAGGCATGTCTCACATGGTGGCAGACAAGAGAAAAGCACTTGTGCAGGGAAACTCCCGTTTTTAAAACCATCAGGTCTCGTGAGACTTATTCACTATCACGAGAACAGCACGGGAAAGACCCGCCCCCATGATTCGATTACCTCCCACTGGGTTCCCCCCACAACACGTGGGAATTCAGGGTGAGATGTGGGTGGGGACACAGCCAAACCATATCAAGAGATTTCTCTATTTCTCTGGTAAGGAATTTATCATCTTCATAAATGGAGCTGGGGTTAGGATCACAATGTCCCTTTTGTTTTGGCACTATTGACACTGTGGGCTGCATAATTCTCTGTGGTGGAGGTTGCTCTGTGTTCCCTTATCAAGTCCCGTAAAGGCAGATTTCCTCCTCTAAACCTCAGTGAAGTCAAATCGGAGGCAGTGGGTTATTTCTTGTATCACTTAGTTCTAAGAAAGAAATTTCTTCAGAAACAAAACCTATCTTTGGGAAGGAAACAATACTCATTTCTGAATAGCAGTAACTATAGCTGTGTTTACCTGTAGAATCATCTGATTTTCCAGAGACAAAAGCAAAAGGACTTTGAGATACAACCATCTACCTGGAGCAATGTGACCTCCACAGTATGGTCACCTAAAGCACAAGCCAGTGAAGGGAAACTGGCATTTCCTGATAGAGCAGAGATTCTCAACAGTTTCCCTCCCCTGACCTGCGATGCCTGTCATTCACATGCATGACATTTTTATGATTCCAGGAATGAGACGGCTCTGTGGGGGCATGATGTGGAAGAGGAGTATCAGTTAGGCCCGCCCAGGTCATGTGGAAAGTCAGCAAATTAGGAATTGCAGAAATGGAGTTAGAGAATTTGCATTTTCATAAATGGAGCCAGGGTTAGGATTACAATTTCCCATTTGTCTGTTCCATTCAGAAAATTAAAGTGTAATGCCAATGAGTTCATTGACCACCCTCATCCTTCAACAATGATTGGGAATAAGTTATCTGCAATTCATGACAATTGATTCAGAGTCTCAAGACCACACTTGGAAATTGTTTGTTCAGGGAATTCCTCAACCAGGAGTTCCCCAAACTGAAGCCACTTATACATCAAAGTGGGAAACTGTGATAAGGAAGACTGGATGGAGACAGAGCCAGAAAAGTGACTTAGAATTAGTGCCATGTTTTCTACAGAGAGCTATAATAATAATACACAGTGCCTTTCTTGGCACTTAAAGTACACAGTTAAGATTTCAGCACAATTGTTAAAGAAGGAGCTACACATCTCATTCACCAACGAGAAGACTGAGTTTGTGAAAGAGCTGCGGAGCAAATTCTCTAACTCCATTTCTGCATTTCCTAATTTGCTGACTTTCCACATGACCTGGGCCAGCCTAACAGATACTTCTCCTCCACATCATGCCCCCACAGAGACTTCTCATTCCTGGAATCAGTGCTGGAGAATGATTTGGACTGAGTCACTTAAAAATAGAGATGTTAGTTGGTGCAAGCTTTGTACAAAGCCTTTATCAGTAGAGTCCAGAGTGTGCCAAATCAGATAATTTGGATAAGTTAAAGGATTTCTGGAAGGCCACATGATCTCAGACCCATCTCGCCCATGTCCCCCTCCATGTTAGAGTCCTTAGTATTAATGTTTGAGAGACTTTTCTTAGTTGACCATCAATGCTGGGTGAGGGCTCTAGGCCTTCCATCCCTTTCTTAACATGCTTGAAGTTCTTGGAAGTCAGGATGCAGCTGGGATTCACTGGAGAAGACCATGGAAAGGCAGCAGTAAGTTGGGGGGCACATTGTATGAAGGACAAACATTCCCGGGAGGTGACCCTCTACTGCAGTGGATAGAGCTATTCACTTCAGACCCTCAAAATACATGGCTCTTATTCAAACTTAGCTATTTCTGTTCTCTATTTTGGATTCAGAAATCTGTGTCTTTGTGAGCCTCTTAGCTTCACATCCAACCACCCTGGGCTTGTTGCTTTCTCTAAAGTTGAAGAGAGGAAGCCAGGTGGAATTCCTTTTCTAGGTATACCTGCCTGCTCAAGTTAAAGATGAACTTCCACAGTTTTTTTCCCCCTACAGATTCTGGTGTTTAAGTCGACAGGGGTGGGTGGTGGGGGTGGGGATCTGGCATGCAACCCGGAAGGGTAGGAGAAACTGAAATCATACCTCGCGTCTCTCCACAAAGGTTTGATTCTCTTTATGAGTAGGATCCGCCAATCCGTAATCAAGGGTTAATTTCACAGCTCACTGCTTCATCTAGCATAATATCCATTCAGACTAATTAAATCTGTCTAATAATGTGAGTGTCTTTGTCTTTGTTCTTCCCCTTCTTTGTGCTACACCCTTCACATCTCATCTCCAGAACCACACGCCATCACACTCTACTTGACAAGCAGAATCCATCCCTAAAATTAAAACATTCCTGACCTATCTGCAATGACAAGGCAGGCGAGCTTCACGGCGCTCCAGCCCATGAAGGGAGCTGACACATTTGTTTTTAATTTCAAAAGAGTAGAAAGTGAAGATCTGACCCCGTCAATCAAGCCCTGTGACAAGTTTAATCATTGGTGCCCCACAAAAATCACGGCTAAATAGGAATGCAAATACTGTATCACAGGGCTCTTATAAATGCTAATCAAGGAGAAGTAATCAACTGACAATTTCACTGATCTCTTTTCTGAAGAAGTCACTCAATGCTCTGTCTCTGGGCCACAAAGAGAAGAGAAAAAGACAAAAGGGATGTATGAGCTTCCCCTCCACCTTCCTTTTATTTTTCCTTCCAGGACATTTCTTTCTAAAGAGAGAATTCTCTCTTTTGATCCATCATTGAACTTTAAAGCAAAGAACTTACGCAGTTATATGTCAAGTATACTTTATTAGCAGTACCCAGGCTGGGCAGAAAACGCGCTGAAACTTCCGCTAAAATAAAAATCATCATTTATCTTTGTCATTAATCTGTTCTCAAATTCTCTTATATCTTAAAAGTGACTGACCTTCTCTGTTAAGAGGGGGAGGGAAAAAAAGTTTGATAAGTAGTCAAAAATCTGAAAATTGTGATCACCGTAACTTAAAAAAAGAAGAAGAGGAAGAAGAAAATTCCCTGTAAAAACATAAGCCATAGTTGATAAAGAATTTATAACCACCAAGAAGTTCTGAGCCAAGGGTCTCCCCCAGTCACCTTCTCCAATGGTTGACTGCTTAGGGAGAGAGGACAGAAATTAGAGGCCTATTTTTCATGTTCAATTTTACACAGGACCTGAGGGCTTTGTATTTCCAAAGCTTACAACTTGAGGACTTTCCTCTTTCTTCTTCTCCATTTTATTTTTTAACCAGGAAGTCCTGAAGCAATCAAAATCATTGGTTACTTCCTACCGTAAACAACCCTTTCATGAAGTCATAGCAGGAAAAGAAAAAAAGCCAGCACTCAGTTACTCGGAGTTTGTCCTCCCCTGTTTATCCTGGGCTAGGTAAACAGAACATTCCAGAAGTTCAGATATTGGTAGATTAATTCCTATAGTGGTAACTGAACTGAGTTCCCAATATCGAGGGTAATTTCTTTCATCTTAAGGATAGAAAAGTGGGAATTTATGGGTTTTTTTGGAGACAGCAGGAATTCCCTTTTTTGTCATGTTCTATGTAAGGGAGGGATGGACCAAATTCAGCCTGCTACCTGTTTCTGTATGACCCAGGTGTTAAGAATAATGTTTATATTTTTAGATGGTGAGAAAAAAAAAAACAAAAGAACGTTTTATGACATAAACACTACCTGCAATTCAAATTTCAGTGTTCACAAATAAAGTTTTATTGGAACATGGCCTGGCCTATTATTATATTGTCTGTGGCTGTTTTCATGCTATAATGGCAGAGCTCAATAGTTGCAATGGAGGTTGCATCACCTGCAAGACCTGAAATGTTTACCATCTGGCTCTTTAGAGAACAAGTTTGCCTACCTCTGTTTTATATCATCACGGAGAGCTTGCTAGAACTTGGCTGTGCCTCAATTTTCCCAGACATGGAAATTCTCAATATACACCCGTGAAGACGCATCAAATTTTTCAGATGTAAATTTTTAGTTTACTGGAGAAGGATGGGCTTCCTTGCAGGGAAATGAGCACCTGACTCTGATGCTGGACCTTGGACCCTCTCATGCTTTTGTGGACTCTTCTGCTGTCCAGTGTCTGAGGGCTGGAAGTCCCTCTGAGTGAATAGCTTTGTTTCAAATTAAGATCTAATTCATTTTGGAATGATAATGAGGTTCCAAAACCAGAACATGGACAACAAGAAAGGGAACACTGCACTATATTTCTGCTCTGCTATGTAGTCTCTGGAACCCAAGTGAGAGAAGTGAGAACTCACATGCAGGGATAGAAAGAGGGTGGTCCATTTTGGAAGATAGTGTGGTGGTTCCTCAAAGATTTAGAACCAGAAATACCATTTGACCCAGAAATCCCATTACCAGTTATATACCCAAAGGAATAGAAATCATTCTATTATAAAGATACATGCACACATATGTTCATTGCAGCACTATGCACAATAGCAAAGACATGGAGTCAACCCAAATGCCCATCAATGATAGACTGGATAAAGAAAATGTGGTATATATACACCATGGAATACTATGCAGCTATAAAAAGGAATGAGATCATGTCCTTTCCAGGGACATGGATGGAGCTGGAAGCCATTATCCTCAGCAAACTAATACAGAAGCAGAAAACCAAACACTGTTCTCACTTGTAAGTGGCAGTGGAACAATGAGAGCACATGGACATATGGGTGGAAGGGGAACAACAGACACTGGAGCCTGCCTGGCTGGGAGAGGAAGAGCATCAGGAAAAATAGCTAATGCACGCCGGGCTTAATACCTAGGTGATGGGTTGACAGGTGCAGGAAACCACCATGGCACACGTTTATCTATTTAACAGACCTGCACATCTTGCACATGTACCCCAGAAATTAAAAAAATTTAAAAAAAAAAGAGGTTGGTCAATATTTCTTCCTGCCATATGTGCCCAGGTATGAAACATTATATATATACATGGCTACATATGTAAGTGCATGTGTGTATACTTAAACAGACATATCTACTTTTTAAAAACACATGCAAATAATGGTCATCCGGGATATTCTCTTAATATTTTTCAGGGCTGTTTTGTTATTCTCATTTCATAGCTCATTTCCTTAAATTAGGAAAATGATTCTCAAACGGGAATGACTTGCCCCCCAGGGGAAAGAGGAGCGAGTGCTGGGAACATTTGGCAATATCTGGAGACATTTTTGGTTGTCACGATTTGAGAGGAGGTGCTACTGGCATCCAATGGGTAGAAACTAGGGATGCTGCAAACATCCTACACATAACCTACAAATATCCTACAGGACAGCTGCCATAACAGAATTATCTGACTGCAAATGTCAGTACTGCTGAGAAACCCTCAGTTAGGGAAGCAAAACAGTGCAAGTTCATCGACTTTGATGTCAGATAAATCTGGTTTAAACCAAAGGATTCTCAACTTTGGCACTATTGACATTTGGGCTGGATGATTCCTTGCAGCGGGGCTGGGCTGTCCTGCGCGTCGTCGGGGTGTTTAGCTGCATCCCTGGACTCTAGTCTGTAGGCGCTAACAGCACCACCCCCTGGGCGTGACAACTAAACATGTCTCCAGACCTTGCAAATATCCCCCGAAACTCACCTGCTTTGAGAACCATTGGTTTAAACTATGAGTTGATTACTTGACAGTGTGGTCATTTTGGACCAGTTGTTGACTATCCTGAAGCATCAGTTGCCTCGCCAGTCAAACAGAGGGGGAACCAATGCATTTTTCAGTAACGCTGCATGGGCGGAATGAGGTGACATGTGCAAGTTCTCAGCACAGTTTCCAGCACATATTGACTTTGGGAGATTGTCTTAAACAAAGCAGTTGGCAAAGTCTAGAGAAAACTCTGGGTGAAGGAAAGGGAATAGAGTTTGTTGAGGCCCTACCCTGGGCTAAATGGGCACTCTTGCCTAGAGTTGCAGAGAGAGCAGATAAGGAAGTTGAGTTTCAGAAAAAATATGTGATCCATGCAAGGTATCTTGCCTCAGAAGTGCTCAGGCTGAAATTCAAGCACACCAAGGTTCAAATATCATAGCCTTTTTTGTTTGTTTGTTTTTTTTGAGATGGAACCTTGCTCTGTCACCCAGGCTGGAGTGCAGTGGCATGATCTCAGCTCACTACAACCTCTGCTTCCTGGGCTCAAGTGATTCTCCTGCCTCAGCCTTCCTGAAAGCCAACACCATACATGGCTAATTTTCATATTTTTTAGTAGAGACGGGGTTTTGCCATGTTGGCCAGGCTGTTCTCAAACTCCTGACCTCAAGATATCCGCCTGCCTTAGCCTCCCAAAGTGCTGGGATTACAGCCATAAGCCACGGCGCCCAACCCAAATATCATATACCTTTTACCAGGAGACAGTGTAGGTGTTGGGTTTCTCATCTGGCTAGACGCCTTTCTTTGTGATTTTTTGGGCAAATTACTGCAACTTTGTAGATCTCTGTTTTCTCATCTATAAAATGGGGACTAAGAACGCATTGAGGAGTTAAGTAGGTAATGCCCTTAATAGCAGCTTCTCAAACCAGGAAATCAAATTACTACTGTTAAGTATAGATATTATTATTATTTGCATTCTATGTTCTTAACACTGCATCATGTTGCTCGTGAAGTCCTGACTGTATATTGAAGGAGATCAGTGTATCCAGGGGTGATTAGAATAAGTATATTTTATGTGTGAATAAATAAGGTTTTGTTCTCTCCCCTCCTCCCAGCATTGCTTCCTATTTTTTTGGACTCGAGATTGTAATGAGAAAAGCCCAGCCTTTGAAAAGCAATCCTGTGCAGGTGGTAATGAGAGGCCTGGCCGGCGGGTGTGTTTGTGGTGCTGGAAGTCAATTTAATCTAACTCAAAGGCTGATTAAGGTTGGGGTGTTGTATGTGGGTGTATGTTTGAAATTGCATCTGAGGGGGGTGGTTCTGAGATTTTTTTCAACTCTCTTCTTCTTGAGAAGGTGTTGAGAACGTATAAATTGCTGTGAGTTTTTCCTTTCGTCTCGTCTATAATAGCAACCACCACTCCTTTCCCTTAAAACCACATGGATCTGATAAGAATCATCTTAGTGCCCTCCTAATGCAGGTGAGACCAACAGCTGAAATCTCACAAGTGACAAGAGGAGGAGTTTGGGGTAGGAGTGGTCCTTAACCGTTCATTTCCAAGAACTGTCCACTGGAAAGTTTGGGTCACTGAATTCAAGGGAAGGGTCAGCATGCACACACTTTAATCTTCCCTGGCAGACATTGGCTTGCTTTGTGGATATGACCTTTTTTTCGTTATTTAGTTATTATTTCATAATCATAACCTTAACTCGGCAGTCCAGCTAGCCATAGACAGGAATAAAGAAAATACGAAACCCAACGAACTGCATTAAGAGCACAATATGATACGGTACTGTGAGAAATGGGGTGGCGGGGTGCTCTCCTGAGCTACAGAAGCAGTGGTCTGCTGGTTAAGATAAAACATAAGATAGGCCGGGTGCGGTGGCTCATGCCTGTAATCCCAGCACTTTGGGAGGCCGAGGCGGGTGGATCACAAGGTCAGGAGATCGAGACCATCCTGGCTAACATGGTGAAACCCTGTCTCTACTAAAAATACAAAAATTCGCCGGGCATGGTGGCGGGCGCCTGTAGTCCCAGCTACTCGGGAGGCTGAGACAGGAGAATGGCGTGAACCTGGGAGGCGGAGCTTGCAGTGAGCCAAGATCGCGCCACTGCACTCCAGCCTGGGCGACAGAGCTCCGTCTCAAAAAAAAAAAAAAAAAAAAAAAACCAAAAACATAAGATAAACTCATTAGAGTGGTCCACAGTCGGCAATGGCAATCTTCTTGCTGGTCTTGCCATTCCTGGCCCAAAGCTCTCCCTGGCTTCTGTGATATTGATTCATGCCCTCTTGCACCTTGCCAAACATCACACGCTTGCCATCCAGCCACTCGATTTTGGCAGTGCAGATGAAAAACTGGGAACCATTTGTGTTGAGTCCAGCAAGATGCCAGGACCTGCATGTTTCAGAATGAAGTTCTCATCATCCAATTTCTCCCTGTAGATGGGCTTACCACCACTGCCGTTAAGTCGTGTGAAGTCACCACTCAGGTACATAATGGAATAATTCTGCAAAGGCAGGAGCACTTTCTCTCCAGTGCTCAGACCATGAAAGTTTTCTGATGTCTTTGGAACTTTGTCTGCAAATAGCTCGAAGGAGACATGGCCTAAAGGCTCGCCATCTGCGGTGATATTGAACATGGTAGGGCTGACCGTGGCTGTGGCCATGACTTTTTAGATGGAGTCAGTGAGTCTTATTCTCTGCTCCATCTCCAGCCAAATCTAGCTCAGTGTCTCTCATTTAGTAAGAGGCTGCTCAGTGAGCGTTTGCTGAATGACCCAATGCGGGACAGAGAATCAAGAAACTGTATTAGGGAAAGGGTCCTGAGTTTATGCCAAAGTTTCCCAGATTGGTTTCCATTGAAACGTAGCTCTGTGAGATACCATCAGGTGTTATGTGAAGAAATGTCTGTGTAGTCAAATATGTTTGAGTGAGTGAGCCTGAGCTGAGCAAGACTTTACTGCAAGACTTCCCATCTTCTGTCCCTTTTTATGCTAATGGGTAACACAAACTCCAAAAGTGGGGTGTACAGCATGAGGCATTAACAAAAATTTATTGGACCCCACACACTTTTTCTTTTTTGTTTTTGAGACAGAGTCTTGCTCTGTCGCCCAGGCTAGAGTGCAGTGGCACAATCTCGGCTCACTGCAAGCTCTGCCTCCTGGGTTCACGCCATTCTCCTGCCTCAGCCTCCCACTCTCCTGCCTCAGGACTACTACTCCCAGTAGTCCCAAGTAGCTGGGACTACAGGCGCCCGCCACTAAGCCCGGCTAATTTTTTGTATTTTTAGTAGAGATGGGGTTTCACCGTGTTAGCCAGGATGGTCTCGATCTCCTGGCCTCGTGATCTGCCCGCTTTGGCCTCATGTGCTGGGATTACAGGCGTGAGCCACCGCGCCTGGCCCACTTTTTTTCAATGAATGTCTTATGAGCTTGGTGTTCCAGGAATGAAATTTGTGAAACTTTTCTCTAACAATCCAAATTCACCTCTGGGTCATTGATTGCTTTTGCTGTTTTCCTCTGTCTGGAATGTCCTTTCCTAGATATCTGCATGCCCGGCTGACACACCTTTTCCGCCTTCTCTGAGACGCCTTCCCTGACCACTCTGTTTTGAACTGAGCATCCTCCCTGTACCTGGCCTTCCCTGTTTTCCCACCCTGCCACCATAGGCATTTGATTCTTTCTGTGTTCTAAACATATTATCTATTTTACTTTCTGGACTCTTTCCTTCCAGTGTGAACACCAGGAGTGCAGCATTTACGTCCATCTGTAGACTTCTGTATAGAGCAGTGCCTGGCACTTAGTGGACATTTAGTGAAGGTTAGTTGAACAGTGAATGACTAAATTTCTGAATTCCTGCTTTATATACGGTGCAGAGAGACAGAGAGGGGCTAAGTGACAGATGGTCCTTGCATAATTATGTCAGCTGCCTGGCTCAGCAGGACGTATTAGGAGATCGGCAGCGTGGTGTCATGCAGGCCCTGGGACACTGTACATCAATAGGTGACATCAGTGTCCCTTAACAGAATGAGCTGCCCCTTCTGCCCCAGCAAGGTGGCCACAGATCTCTCACATGTCCCGTGTTTGTCAGGAGTGAGGGTGGTTAGAGTAGTGCCACTTGTTGACTCTGATTCTCCCAGTGGTCATAGCTATAATGCAATGAAGACTATTTGTTATTGACTGCCCGCTGTGGAAGGGGCCTGTGGTTAAGACCTCCTGCTCTGGAGTCTAATAAACCTCAGTTCAAATATTGGCTTTGCTCTTTATAGAGTGGGCAAACTTAGGCATGGTGTTTAATGTCTATACCTCACCTTTCTTACCTGTAAAATGGAGCTAGTGATAATGGACCCTCCACTTAGGGCTGTTGTGAGCATGAGATATTTGTGTAAAGAGTTTAGCACAGTGTCTAACCCATAGCAGAAACTCACTGCATGATGGCATTATTATTATTATTAACACATACCTTATCTCTCATCCTCATAGCAACCCTCCAAAGGAGATCCTTCCATTTTGAAGATAAAAAGATGAAAGTCCAAAGAGTGTAAGTGGCTTCCCCAACGTCTGGCTGTTAGTAAAAGTAGCCCAGATGTGAGCTAATGTCTGCAGGACCCTAGTGAGTGAGAAGGGTCTGAGTGACACCTGCCATGTGTCTGAGGCGGTTTGACGGGGAGCCCGAGTCACAAGTAGAACAAAACAACCTGGTCCACAAAGCGGCTTAATGCTGAGACAGTTGCTTTTTTCCTCTTAGATCTAACAATTAGCGCCAACTTCCCGATGGATCTAGCTTTTCCTCATGTTGTTAATTCACCCAACAAGAGCTGCTTCATTGCACAGGATGGCTTGAACTTTGAAAGACAGACAGGAGCTGAGTGGAGGAGGCTGGAGGAGAGAGAGGGATGAACCCGGATGTTTACATTTTGGCTTTAGAGGAGTTAGTCAGAGGGTCTCCCCCACCCAAACACCATCCTAGCTATGATCACACCTGTCTGGGTGGCCTGCCTTAGTGTTAGGCCTTTGGCGGCCTGGACTGAGCTGGGAGCGAGTGGGGAGGAGAGTACTTCAGGTTCAGGTTGATCTTATTGAGAACCTGGGAGTCTCTAACTTTTGGCATGGACTCTTCTCATTTAGGAAATCCCTATTGATACGGTTTGACTCTGTGTCCCCACCTAAATCTCATCTTGAATTCCTACATGTTGTGGGAAGGACCTGGGGGGTGGTAATTGGATCATGGGGGCAGGTCTTTCCTGTGCTGTTGTCGTGTTAGTGAATAGGTCTCACGAGATCTGATGGTTATAAGAAGGGGAGTTTCCTCGCACAAGCTCTCTTCTCGTCTGTCGCCATGTGAGACGTGCCTTTCACTGTCTGCCATGATTGTGAGGTGTCACCAGCCATGTGAAACTGGAAGTCCAATAAATCTCTCTTTCTTTTGTAAGTTGCCCAGCCTCGGGTATATCCTTATCGGCAGTGTGAAAACAGACTAATACGCCTATGACATCCTCAGGCTGCATCAGGCTAATCAAGAGGGCTGTTTTTTGAAGCTGCTCAGAGAATCCAGGACCACGTAGAGGCTTCTTTCCTTCCCATCAGAAAAAAGGGAACCTTGGGAAGTAGTAGGATCCCACACCCATTTTAGATGGAAAACCTGGAATGGGGAACACATGGAAAGCAGATATTTCTCCCCTTTACTCTCTCAGCAGGCTGTTTTGAATCATATAGACCTCTGCTTAAATATTCCCTCCATAGCAAGACCTTTCCTTACCATCCTAGCTAAGGGTCCCCTCCAACCTCAGCCACAGCCACTCTTATGGCGTCAAACACTCATTAATAAGTGCTATTATCTTGTTTTGTTTATTTGATGATTTGCTCCTTTTACTAGAATGTAGCTCTGTGAGCTCAGAGCCCTGCTCACTCTTGTTCCTTGCTGTGTCTCTAGCACTCAAAGCAGGACCAGCTGAGGAGGTCCTCAGTGTTTGCTGAATGAGTGATTACTTTTATTATGTATTCTCCAGATTTCTTTGTAAAGAGACTGCCATAGAAGGAGGATTATTATGGCAAGCATCTATACCAGCTCATCCCTATTTTTTAGTTTTTGTTGAAGATAGGATAAGAAAAAAAAGAGAAGCAAATGCAGCAAGCAGGAATTAGGTTAGACATCAGAAATTTTCTGATAGGCTGAGTTGAGTGATTAGAATAGGTTATGAAGGGAGGCTGTGCAAATTCCTATCACGTTATTCTAAAAAATGATGCTGGTGAACAGCCGGGTGCAGTGGTTCATGCCTGTAATCCCAGCACATTGGGAGGCCAAGGCCGGCAGATTACCTGAGGTCAGGAGGTGGAGACCAGTCTGGCCAACATAGTGAAACCCTGTCTCTACTAAAAATACAAAAATTAGCCGGGAGTGATGGTATGCACCTGTATTCTCAGCTACCTGGGAGGCTGCGGCAGGAGAATCGCTTGAACCTGGGAGGCAGAGGTTGCAGTAAGCCAAGATTGTGCCACTGCACTCCAGCCTGGGTGACAGAGCGAGACCCCTTCTCAAAACAAAACAAACAAATAAAAAAAAAAAACTATGGTGTGTGTGTGTGTGTGTGTGTGTGTGTGTGTGTGTGTCTGTGTGTGTCTGTGTCTGTATATAGATATCCTCAGGGATGTTTGCAAGATGGTGCTTAGTTCTTACCTACAGTTTCTCTCTCTAGAGTCATGGTTTTCTACTGGAAGGAGTCTTTGGCTCCTAGGAGACAGCTTTGAGAGTCATGCAGGGGAGGAGGGAGGGTGCAGGCCAGCACTGCTGCTCAGCATTCTACAATGCACAGGACAGCCTCCCACAAGAGAACAAGTCTGCCTACAATGTCAGTAGTGCCAAGGTTGAGAAAACATTTTCTATTCCAAAACTTTTAGTCTTCTGTCTTCAGGGGCTCCCCTGAGATCAGCCTTTTTCAAGAATTAATTCTCCAAAGGATTGAACCAAATGGGAGAATGAATGACTTGGGAAAAAAGAGGTTCACATTTGGGGATGCAATCCAAGGGGTGTGCCAGTCAAAACAGAATCAATGGATTATTTCTCTATGTGACGAAAAGAAGTCCTGTTGTTATGATTTGCATTTACACACTAAGTAAATATTTGTGGGACATCTACTATGTTCTCAGCATGATGGGAGATCATGGGGTTGGCAGTTTCTTAAAAGGTCAAATGGTAAACATTTTTGGATCTGCAGGCCATAGGGTTTCTGTAACAGGTACTCAACTAAGCCATTGCAGAGTTAAGGCAGCAATATGTAAACGATGGGTGTGACTGTGCCCTGAAACTTTATAGCAGGTGCTGGGTAGGATTTAGCCCACTGGTCCTGGCATGCTGATACCCTTTTTCCTGGTAGAGGCTACAGAGATTAGAAAGGGCGAAGAACTAGCTCTCAAGCTCACAGCCCTGTGGGAAAACTAACAAGTGAATAGAGCCCGACTACTGTCTGAAGGAATGACGCAGGGTGAGCAGACTTTCGGATATTGCTATTATTTCCAGTGCCTCTGGTATCAGCACGTGCTCTTTCCATATTTGGATCTCTGTTGCTCCACTTCCCACCGCCTTCATCCTGATGACCGCTAAGACCTGTACCTAACACCCAAATCGCCCTCTGGGGTCTGTGTTCTGCCCACTGTGAGCCTTTCTCTCTCATCTCCCTCTAATCCTTGCTGTAGTTGCCCAGCATGGCAGTGGCCTCACATGGCCTCTCTGCCTCCACTCGTCTCCACCACCCACCTGCCCTTCACGTGGGTGCCAGAGCAACCCTCCTAAATTGCAGAGCTGACTGCGTTAGTCCCCACTGAAACCCTTCTTTTCTAGCTCCATGACCCTCCTGACAGTTACCGGATTCACCAGGATGTACATATACACACATCTATACACAGGCATTATTTAGCTTTTGTTTCAAAATGTCAATATAAAGAAAAGGGGGAAATAACAGTACATTAAATATTACCTTCTTAAATCTAGACTTCCTCTTACGTCTCCTAACACTGTCATGCCTGTGTGTGCGTGTGTGTGTGTGTGTGTGTGTATATCTACACACACACATACATTTATAGTACACAAGCATGCATGTGTGCATACACATATATACACACAGGCACACACATATATAATATGTATATACACACATATAATATGTATATACACACATACATCACGTTTTACTATAATAAACTTTCTTTTTGTTTACTATTTATATTATGGGGTTAGGATATTATACAGATTTGGGGGCAGCTGCATAGGCAAGTACAGGTAGGTAAATTATCTGTAATAGTTTTAGGATAGTAAGAGTGTGCTAGGTGGGAGGCCTGTAGAGTAGGAGGCTGTGTGTGTGGGGTGCATGGGGTGCCTGGAGGAAGAGGAAGAAGGGGTGGGGAGCAGAGGAAGGAGCAGAGACTGTAGGGGGCAATGAGGGGCCTGGGGCCCCAGTGGAGAGCAGAGCGATAGGAGCTACAGTGCCTGCTTCTCTGGAATCATCTGTACTGATCATTTTATCATTGCATATTTAATTTTTTTCTCCCACTGGCATTTCTTAAGACATTCATTAGACTACAAAGATGAATCTTAGACAATAGCCAACCTGGCATTTTGCTGATTTTTAATGTGTTGATTGTGTAAGTTTTCAACAGAAGCCTTAAGGGTTTTCAATAATGGAGTATGTTAAAGGCAAATGAAAGAGAGAGGGGAAAGATATTTTCTTTTCTAGGTGTTGTCTTCTTAATTTGCATAAATGACAATAGTGACTATCTTGATTCGCTGCCACCTTTGTAAAGCTCGCAGTTAGAAATCAGCCACCGTGTATAATAATAACCCCTATTTATATATGACAGGCCCTGTCCTCAGCATTTTACAAACATTATCTCAATCAATCCTCTAAAAACCCTGAAGAAGCTGTTCTTGTCCATCTGAAAAAAGAATGAGGTGCAGACAGTGACATGGCTTATCTTAGGTCACGTGGCTGGAAGGCGGCAGACCCAGGTCTGCCCACTCAGGAGCCTGGTCACTCTGGTCACTTCACCAAGCTCAGCAGCTTTATTAACAAGAAAATCAGCAAGATTCACATGGAAATGTGCTTGCGTGAGCCCTTGGTTTAAGTCTAGTGCTATTAAACCACTGAGAATAGTCCTGGCTTGTTCTTTTCATTTTTTAATTAAATAAAATTTTTTTTAAGAGATAGGGTCTTGCTCTATTGCCCAGGCTGAAGTGCAGTGGTATGATCTTAGCTCCTGGCAGGCTGCTGGCAAAAGAGTCATGCCATCCATGCCTGTAGCCTTGAACTCCTGGGCTCAAGTGATCCTCCTACCTCAGCCTCTTGAGTAGCTGGAACTACATGTGTGTGCCACCACGCCTGGCTAATCCTTTTATTTTTTGGTAGAGATGGGGTCTGGCTATATTGTCTAGGCTGGTCTCAAACTCCTGGGCTCAAGCAATCCTTCTGCGTTGGCCTCCCAAAGTGCTGGGATTACAGGTGTGAGCCACTATGTTGAGCCAGTACTGGCTTATTCTTTTAAATAAAAGTTTTCCTGGGAAAAAACAGTACAAGAACTTAGTAAAAAGTCAAACACTACAAAAATATAAAGTACCCCTGTAACCCGAGGGCTCATTTCTGATCTTTCCAGAAATGTTCTCTACATAAACATGAGTGTGTGTATATGTATATATTATTCTTTTTAAATTTTTTAAATTTTATTTCTATTTTTATTTTTTGAGATAAGGTCTTGCTCTGTCACCCAGGCTGAAGTGCAGTGGCATGATCTTGGCTCACTGCAGCCTTGACCTCTCAGGCTCAAGTCCAAATAGCTGGGACTACAGGCATGTGCCACTATGCTCAGCTAATTTTGTAGTTTTAGTAGAGATGGGGTTTTGCCATGTTGCCCAGGCTGGTCTCCAACTCTTGGACTCAAGTGATCCTCCTGCCTTGGCCTCCCAAAGTACTGGGATTACTGGCTATATTAATATTATTTTTAAGAACTTTTTTGGATATAATGTAGATATTATTTTTAACACAAAGGTGAATACTATAGACACTTGGTATTTCCACTAAGTAATAACTCTTGCAATTGCTCTGTATCAGCATAGAAGAATTTCCTTCATTAGTTTGAAAGGCTGCACTGGGTCTCCTGGCATAGAAAACTAAAATGTGCTTATGCAATTCCAATGGATGGAAAATACTTCACAATGGAGTAGTCCTTGCTATGTGTCAAACATTCTCTAAGTGCTTTACCCATATTAACTCGTGTCATCTCCTACCCACCATATGAAATAGATACTTCAGTAGTCCCATTTATCAGATGGGGAAACTGAGCCAGGGAAGTGAAGCGACTTCCCCGACATCACACAACTTGCAAGTGGTAGAACTAAGATTCAAAGCTAGTAGCTCACGTGATCTCCCGCTGGCCCCGCAAAGTGCTGGGATTCAGGCGTGCACCACCGCACCTGGCCACACTGCAGGATTTCTAAGTCCAGCACCTGCATCCTTTGTCTGGGGACTTTCTCTGGCAGCCAGCGCCCACTGGCGGAGACATCTGCAGCAAAGTGACTGAAAGTGAAATCCCTCCACCTGGCCTCCTTCCCCCTCACTTCCGCGCCTTGCCACGGTCAGCCACCGATCAGCGGGAGTTGGTTTGTAAACACCCCAGCTCTCTCTGAGGACTATGTTCTACATCTGCTCCCAGAACTCTAAAGGATCAAGGGCCAGTTACCCACGATGACATCGTGCATGATCAGCTGCTCTTCCCCTCCCTGTCCCTCTTCCGCTCTCCCCTATTGGGGGTTCCTGGGATCAGGAATCCTTGTTTTAGAGGAGGCTTCTGGGGGAACCTGAGCCAAGACAAACCCGAGTATTGTTGGGACAGGAATACCGGGGGTGGGTTAAGAAGATGTCGAGGCCTGCCAGGGAGCCAGAGAGCCCTGGTCCCTAGCTCCAACCTGAGGACTGGGATCGGAGGTCTTTCCAGAAACAGAAGGCTTCTAGCTGCTCCCATGGGTTTCAGGAGGAATCCGCTTGCTTGGATCAGCTGACCTCTGACAGTTTGTTTAGGGAAGGAGTGGGGAGTGATTGTTACAGGCCCTGCAGGGGAGAGAGCCTGTGGGTGGTGGTGCTGAGGCGTGTTTAATGAGGCTGTCCCTTAGTCAGGGGCTGAAGGTGGACCCTTGACATTTGGAAGCAGCGTGGAGAGTCACTGTGCACCCCCTGAGAGACGGAGGCCTCTGCCCGGAGCAGGGAACTTCATAAGTGGCGGCCCAGAGGGAACCGTCCACAGAACCCGTGAGTGCCCAGAAATCAAGAGTTAGCTTGTTTCCCTGGAGATGGATGGTGGTGATGGTTGTGGAACAGTTTGTATTCACTTAAAGCCACAGAACTGTACACTTAAAAATGGTTAAAAGCGTAAATTTTATCCTATGTGTAATTTACCACAATAAAAACAAAACCAACAATGGGTCAGCTTTGATCATTCTCCTGGAGCACACAGGCTGGGAACCAGTAGCCTTGCTCCAGGGCTGGGACCTTTCTTGTCCCATTCCCTTTTCTAACTATCCTGAAGCTATTGTCAGCAGGCTGGGGAGGAGACCAGAGGAGCAGCCATAGAGAAGAATCGAGCCCTTCTCCAATTTCCCACTGGGTGCCTCCAGCCCAGAGCAGGACCGGACGTGTTAACCTGACTTTTCTGACTCTGAATTGGATCTGTGAACTGAGTCTTAATGGGACCATGGGCTCGTCCCTGCTAAGAGTGAGCAGAAAAGTCATGAGTTGCCTGAAGTCTTATTCAAGGGAGGGGAATGTTTATTCCCTCTGAACAGAATTGAAAGAAAGAAAGAAAGAAAATGATGCTTTGATCACCCTTCAGGCAACATGCCTATTCAACATGTATGCATGTTTTAACATTTATTTAATGCTCATTATGTGTGGGACTCTTTGTTAAATGTTCTTGCTTGAATAGGCTAATTTAATTCCATCTATGAGATAGGTACTCTTTTTTTTATTTTATTTTATTTTTTGAGGCAGGGTCTTGCTCTGTCATCCTGGCTTAAGTGCAGTAGCTTGAACAGAGCTCACTGCAGCCTTGACTTCCTAGGCTGAAGATATCCTCTTGCCTCAGCCTCCCATGCAGCTGGGATTACATGCACGTGCCAACCTACCTGTCCAATTTTTAAGTTTTTTATAGAGACGAGGTCTCACTATGTTGCCCAGGTTGGTCTCAAACTCCTGGCCTTGAGCAGTCCTCCCAATTTAGCCTCTCGAAGTGCTGGGATTACAGATGTGAGCCATCATCCTCAGCCTTAGGTACTCTTAAGTTACTTTTTTTAAGGTGAGGAAACAGGTTCAGAGAGCTTATGTTAAGTGTCCTAGGGGCTCACAGTAGGAGTTGGGATTTGAGGCCAGGTCTGTCAGATTCTAAAGCTCTGCTCTTAACCACTGTTTCCTAATTGCCCCAGGCCAAGACATGGAGCTCACTTGGAGACCCAGAGTCCGCAGGCTGCCCTTAGATTTTAGGGAAGTGCTCACAGTTTTCTCCCTTTACATAAGTTCATGCCAAGTCTGGGATGAGTTGAGACTGGAGGCCCCTGGGACTCCACATCATGTCAGGAAGGTTGAGGGAGGCCAAGGCCATGGTCCTAGCTGTAGAAAAACTTCAGGTCAAACGTAGCCTCCACTCACTCTTCTGTGACATGAAGGCCCCACTTCCCGTCTTATAGAAGAAGATACCCCCAAAATGCTGAACATGGTTCACAGTTATGAACAGGAAAGTGTTTCATAAGTGGCATTTGCACTAATATTTGACTTGAAGGAGCAGGATCCAGGGAACATTGAATTACAGCTCATATTAAAGTGCTTTAAAAATGGTACCAATGGCCGGGCATGGTGGCTCATGCCTGTTATCCCAGCATTTTGGGAGGCCAAGGCAGGTGGATCACATGAGGTCAAAAGTTCTAGACCAGCCTGGCCAAAATGGTGAAACACCATCTCTACTAAAATACAAAAGTTACCCAGGCGTCCTGGTGCATGCCTGTAATCCCAGCTACTCAAAAGGCTGAGGCAGGAGAATCACTGGAACTTGGGAGGCAGAGGCTGCAGTGAGCCTAGATAGTTCCACTGCACTCCAACCTGGGTGACAGAGCGAGACTCCGTGCCAAAAAAAAAAAAAAGGTGCTTATGATCAATACCATGGATTTTACATTTTCATAAATATAACACAGCTAATAATAATAATAATAATAATAATAATAATAATAATAATGTGACGATAATAACAGAATTCCCAAACTTCTTCTTAGGTTGTTATGTATGCCAAGCCCAGAGAGTTATGTGTTTTGTAAGTTGATTTAATTCAAATGCTATGCCTCCTCCTCCACCGATTTTGTTATCGTACTGAGACCTTTTTCATAACTTACAGGTGCCTTGGCATAACTTACAGGTGCCTTGATTTGCTCTGTTTTTTCTTACATCAGTAACTTTTAAGTGAATTCTGCTCAGGGATGTGCCTGGAGAAAGCAAGTTTGATGAGGAAGCTGGTGGAGCTGGTGGTTTGAAGGCTGAGTGAAAGTAGGGGAGAGCCCATGGCCTGATCTATGTAAGTGGTAAGTCAGGGAGGGTAGCTGCGGTCAGCATGTCCCAGAGTCACCTTCATCCTGGGATGCGCCCTCTGATTCTCAGAGTGAACATTAAAAATGGCAGACAAAACCAGGCACGGTGGCTTACGCCTGTAATCCTAGCACTTTGGGAGGCCGAGGTGGGTGGATCACCTGAGGTCAGGAGTTCAAGACCAGCCTGGCCAACATGGTGAAACCCTGTCTCTACTAAAAATACAAAAATTAGCCAGGTGTGGTAGCATGCACCTGTAATCCCAGGTACTCAAGAGGCTGAGACAGAATAATCTCTTGAACCCAAGAGGCAGAGTTTGCAGTGAGCCGAGATAGCGCCACTGCACTCCAGTCTGGGCGACGGAACAAGACTCCGTCTCAAAAAAAAAAAAAAAAAAAAAAAAAAAAAAGAAAAGAAAACAAAGATGTGAATTCTGAAGACCTTTTTCAAGGCTTTGTCCCCAGCTCTGCAAGGCCCAGATGCTAAATGACATTCACTGGGCTGTCAAAGTTTCTATTTTCTCAATCAACAATGGACTTCCATTCTCGACTCCAAAAGCAAAGCGTTCATCTCATCTTCATGAAAGAATTCCATGAAAGAAAGCCAATATGAACAGAGTGTCACATACCAATATTTCTTTTATCAAACAACATCCTGAAAACAAGGACTACATCAATTTTTTTAATATTCAAGCTGATTAGAAAGTTGGTTCTGTATTTGATTAAGTTCTGCAGAAATTGGGCTTGTGATGAATCATTAAACAAAGACACTTTTTTTTTTTGGTACAGCAATAAAGCCTCAAATGATTAATTAAGGGCACAATGCCAAAACAAGTGTCTTTGTTTAAAACACAGTGGACAAGACAGCCTTGGGAAAGTTGATGTCTTAAGTAGGCGCCACAACATGTTTTTAATTATGTTCAGGAAGACGAACAAGAATAGGAATCGCCAACTGTTTAGAAAGATAATTTTTTTTTTCTGAAGAAAGATTAGAATTAAAAAAAACAAACAGAGCATTATTGATTTAACATAAATGCCATTTGTTGGGCCTTTTGTAATTTCCTTATTAGTGTCATCATTCTGGAGTTCACATCCCCCCTTCTGTTATAGCGTTTGGCATTTGTTCAGCTCTCAGCAATATGATACAGTAAACATGCAGTGACTGCTCATATTAAAATGTTTTATTTGTTGTAAGTGTACAGATGATCAAACAGTGCACGTCCTAAATTATCCCAATCATTGCCCAGGCTAATCAGAAGAGAGGGAATCAGTGACCGTCTCTACGAGAAGAATAGGCTGGCCTAGGGTGCAGGGCTAAGCTGTCAGTTGGAAAAGAAACAACAGCAGAAAAGTTCATGCAACATCAGTTCTCCATTGCACCATCGTGAGATCACCCCACTGCTCAGTTGAAACAGACATCAGCCAGCTAGGATGATATACAGAGTGAAAGATACGTTTGGAAGCAGCTTAACTTTGGGTTGTATCAGGCAGTCAGGTTCCATTCGGATCAAAGTGTCCGATCTCAATATTAACAGTAATGACAGGTTGGGCTTTAAACAAGGCCAGCTCTTAATTGTAAAATGCTGAAGACGAATAGGAGCCCAACGGTTTGGCCCCTTTCCTCCCAACTGTCAGGAAATGGCCTCAACTCATTTGGAAATCGATGGATTTCCACTGCAGAGTGGGGACAATGGGCTCTGTATTTCAAGAAGTCACTTAGACATATCACTCTTATGTACACATAGCTCCCTGTCTTCCTCCTTCTTGCCTATCCTACTAGGTTTTGAGAAATGGCTAATTATTCATTTTGCTAGTAAGTAATGATTTTATCTTATCAAATGCATTAACGATATTAGAGACTGGCTTGAGAACCACACAAAAGATGCTGTGTCTTTCATATGTTCCTGGGTTGCTTTTCTCCACTAATGTGGTTTGAGTACCTGCTTGGTACTGGACTCTGTGTCGAACGCTGGGGACATCAGGATGAAGAAGGAGGACCCTTCCTCAAAGGGCTCAGACTCCAAACTTGGAGAACGGAAAGGGATAGCATTTCTGTGGAAGGACAGGCATTCTGGAGACTGGCCACCTGGCGGATTCAGGGGGAGTCCAGACACAGCCGGACACCAGCTCTGCTTTCTCCCCAGAATGCTGAGACCTCGTGATGCTGAGATTGATTCAGTAACTCAGAGGGTCTCATGTTTGTTAACAACCCCTTAAATCAGGGTGGCAAACTGTGACCCACAGGCCAAATGCATCCTGTGGCCTGTTTTTGTAAAGTCTGCAAGCTAAGAATTGTTTTTACATTTTTAAATGGTTGGAAAAAATTAAAGAATAGTATTTCATGATATGTGAGAATTACATGAAAGCCAGATTTCAGTGTCCAGAAGTAAAGTGGTATTGGAATGCAGTCACACCCATGTGTATCACATGGCACTGCTTTTGTGCTGTATAATGAGTTTGTTCTGCACCATAGTGAAAAAGCAGAAATGGGCAACCTGCATGTGAAGGCCATGGTTGTGTTCTAATAAGACCTTTTCACTGGTTGTAGTTTGCCAACCCCTGCCTTAAACCAAAGTCCATAGATGTATGGCAAGAATTCCCTTACTTTCTCATCTCAGCCTGACTTTATATGTGGAGAGAGAGTAAACATAGGTAACCATGGACAGGAAGAAGCTGTGCAAACTTAGGTGGCTTCTGATCCTCTTCATTTCCACGAGATTCCATGGAAATGAATCTCTGGGCTCAATAAGTGGGGAACTTCTAGGCACATGCCTGTCCATAACCCATTTGCAAGGTGATAATTGCATTCAAAAGAATTTCTCTTAGTGAGGGCACTGAGTGTTTTAAGGAGAAATACCATATTGAGCCACTTGTGATAGGAATGAGGAGGTGAAACTCTAAGGGGCAAAAATGACCACTGTGTCACCTTTTCACAGAAGAGCATTGTTTTGCTGAGTATGCTGGAGGGCTTGGTGGGTGGATTGGGGGCCAAGCTGAATTGCTCTGCATTGCAGCAGAAAGCAGGACTAGATATTGTGGAAACAAGAGAAATCAAGAAGAAAGGAATTCAAGAAGAAAGCTGGAGGTCACATGCAGCGGGGAAGAGAAAAGAAATCTTTAGGATTTTTCTAGAGAAATGTGGGAGAGGCTTCGTCAGGGGTCACTGTACACATGATGTTACCCCCACTGCTGTGTTTCCCTGGTGAACATTTTCTGACATCCCCATTGCTCATTGGTGCTTTAGTGAGAGACCCTGAAGTGGGGCTGAGTTTGGGGTTGGCATCAAAGGAAAACAGAGGCAAAATGTAGGGATTAGGAAGACGTGGGACCAGTTGACATTTGGGTTGCATTTTGATGTCACCTCATTCAGGACTATGCAGATATCATGCCTTCCATGTGGCCTTCCCTGAGCCTGGAATCTAAAGTACCTGTCTCTCCCTCCTTCCCTGTTCTTCCCAATCCCCACGCCATGTTTTAGTTTTTGCCAATACACCTTTCATCGCCTGACTTGCTCTTCTGTCATTATTTGGGACCCATAAGAAGAAGATGTTGCCTGCTTTGCTCACTTCTACATTCTCAAAGCTTAAAACAATGCCTGGCACATGGTAGATATGATATATTTGTTCAAGAAATGGTCAGGAGGAATTGGGGGTTCCTGCAAGCTGCCACATGCCTGTTTAGTGGCCCTTGCTTGTCCACCTGCCATACCAGGGACTCTACCTGTGTCCTGGCACAGGTAGGTCAAGCTGAGGTTAAGCTGGTTCCTTTGCTCACCCAGATGGCACCAACAGCCTCCTAAATGTCTGATGTTCTACCCCTGCCTCTCCAAATCCAGCCTCTACACCCAGAATATCCTTTTCAAAATGTAATTTGAATAATGTCACCTCCTGGCTTAAAACCTTCTAGCTGCTTTCTGTCATTCTTAGAGCAAAATCTGTAAGCTTTTGGCAGCCCGGAGAGTCTACATAGATGGTGCCATCTTTTTACCGCCATCTTTGTGATCCTGCTCCCTTTGATCTAGACACATCCACCTGCTCTTTTTCTTCCAAAACATCAGCTCTCTCCCTCTTATAACCTTGATAGTTGGTGGTTCTGTGCCCCCTGATCCTCTCTTGCTCTTTCACACTACTTAGGTCTCAGCTCAAAAGTTAGATACCTCAGAGATGCCTTCATCATCTACCCTGTCTAGAATCATCCACCTCACCACTATTTATTTTCTTTTTTTTAAAAAAAAGTATTTATTTTTTTGAGACAGGGTCTTGCTCTGTCACCCAGGCTGGAGTGCAGTGGTGCAATATAGGCTCATTGCAACCTCTGCCCCCTGGGCTCAAGTGATCCTCCCACCTCAGCCTCCAGAGTAGCTGGGACCACAGGCACACACCATGACGCCTGGCTAATTTTCTGTATCTTTGATACAGACAGGGTCTCGCCATGTTGCCCAGGCTGGTCTTGAATTCCTGAGCTCAAGCAATCCACCCACCTTGGCCTCCTGAAATGCTGGCATTACTGGCATAAGCCACCATACCTGGCCACTATTTCTTTTTATCACCTTGTTCTGCTATCTTTTCCTCTTGTCTCTCATCACTAGCTGCAATTATCTTATTTATTCTTCTGTTTACTAGTTTATGGTCTGTTCTCTTTCCCTAGAATGTTGGCACCTTGGCAACAATGACCTTGACCAGGACTAAAATAGTACCTAGGACTAAAAAAGTACCTAGCTGTTATAAGCACTCAATAAATATTTGCCAAATGAATGAGTGATTTGATCTATGTATGCAGAACTTCCTGACAGCAAAGGAGTTCGTTTTCTACCTACCTTCAAGTGCTGACTTCCTCAAATAATATATGTCAGTCCCCGGTGGTTCTGCCCACACAATCCTAATAGATCATCATAGGACAGCACACGCCTGTAAGATTACTTCCCAGTTCTTAGATACTACTTCAAGTTACAACAAGTTTCCAAAATTAAGTATGATGCAACTTTGTTTTTTTTTTTGAGACAGAGTCTTGCTCTGCTGCCCAGGCTGGAGTGCCATGGTGCAATCTCAGCTCACTGCAACCTCCACCTCCTGGGTTCAAGTGATTCTCCTGCCCCAGCCTCCTGAGTAGCTGAGACTATAGGTACGCGCAACCACAGCTGGCTAATTTTTGTATTTTTGTAGAGACAGGTTTTCGCCCTGGTGGCCAGGCTGGTTTCGAACTTCTGGCCTCAGGTGATCCACCCACATCGGCCTCCCAAAATGCTAGATTACAGGGATGAACTGCCATGCCCGGCCAACTTTAAGTTTTAAATTGGATGTCGAAGAGTGCGTGGAAGAACAGAAGCAGTCAGATAATAGAATTGTCTACAAAATAATTGTTTAAGTCTTTTAAACAAAGGTGTTCCCCTTCTTTGATCCTGCCATCAGTGATCAATGCAGGTGTAGTGATTACAGACTCTAACCCTTCATTGAATTAGCATGTAAGGGGAAGTCTTGGACTTGGATGATTATAGGATATTTCGTTAATAAACCTTATCTGATCCTTTTCCGCTAATAATTGTATGTAATTATATTTATGTGTGAGAACGTTGCATATTAATAGAGACTAGGGCCCTGAGGATTTAAAGAGCTTAGGAAGCATTTGACTGGATACGACCAATCATTACATGTCATGCAAAGTACATGGGGAGATAGGAATTTGTCAAAAAGAAACCAGAGAGTAGGAGAAACCCAACGCTTTCATTAACTGATAATATTTTTATTAGGTTGTTACTTTCAAGTGTCTTTTAGTACTTGCACTTGAATTTAAATGTCTGAAAAGGAATGGGTATTCAGGAAAAGAAAAGTAATTACACCCTGTAATTCTGATTTAATTACAAGGAAATAGATGTAACATGATGTGATAAAAGTTATGATGGGCTTTTTAAATGATATATGTCATTAACATGTTAATTGGCATGAAATCTGAACTCGGAGCCAGAGAAATCTTAGGTGAATATAAGGTCAACTCCATTACAGGCAGTTTTATAATGAAAATTCCATAAAAGCATTTTAAATTTTACTCTGCAATGCACGTTTTCCCATTTATGTTCAATACAATGAAATTTTAGTCCTGCTGTTTTAAAAAAAGAAAAAGAAAAGGCCATCCTTGAAATGTTGAGGTGGTTAGCTCGAACTTGTAATTGACTAGACACAAAGTCAGGGCCAGGTCATATTCTAGAAATCCATTTCTCTCAACATCTTAGCATAATGATGAAATAAAATGCATGAAGATTTTGATTATTAAAAGACTGCTTTTTCCTCAAAGACTCATCCCAGGATCTGTTTATTTTATTTAATTATAACGTTTTGGCTCACGGCTGTGGTTAGTAATCAAAAGTGTAAAGAATGCATCCATTCAGCAGAAGGAAGAAGCCAAACTGTGCCAGAAGAGGGGAAGATGCCCAGAGCCTACGAGCCGCAGACCTTCAGCTGGAAATACTGAAGACTCGCACCTGAATACGGGGCTAGTTTGACAAATCCACTATTGATATGCTTCAGTATAAAAGCACCAGCACATTCTCTCATTCGACAGCTCTCAGAGATGGAAGCGTTTCTGTGTGTGAGCAGCCACATTGGCACCCCTTTCTCATGGCATGTGTACCGCACACACACTCAGGGTGGCCTCCATCAGCAGAGCCATCCGTGAACATGAAGGAGGACACAGACCAGATGTGGATGCTGCACACAGAGTTCTCTACTCCTCACTTCTTGGTGGACATTTATCTTAGTTTAATTCAAATTATTTAAAAAGAGAATGGATTCCAGGGTATCTACATTTGGTAATAATCTAAAAAGAAAGAGACTTGGGGAACCCGCAGAAGAGAGAAACTTCAGGTAAAGTGGACATCAGGAGTTGATTTTTTGTTGTAATCTGGGTTAATTTCATTTATTTATGGAGCCTCAATCTAAAAGTGATTTGAGGTAGTTGTTTTTAAATTTCAGCTTTTATTTTACACCATGGAATACTATGCAGCCATAAAAAGGAATGAAATCTTGTCCATTGCAGCAACATGGATGGAACTGGAGGCCATCATCCTAAGCGAATTAATGAAGGAATGGAAAACCAAATCCTACATGTTCTCATAACTAGGAGCTAAACACTGAGCATGTACGGTGGTAACATGGGAATGACAGACACTGGGAACTACTGGAGAGCGGGAGGGAAGGGAGCGTGGGTTGACAAACTACCTGTTGGGTACTGCGTCCACTACCTTGGTCCAATATACCCAGGTAACAATCCTACACATGTACCCCGTGTATCTGAAATAAAAGCTGAAATTTGGGAGTTGATGTTTTTGAGGCAGCCCTGGGAGCTGAACAGTGTGGTGGGTAGGAGAACAGGCTGCAGAATCAAAGTTCGGTTTGATGTGGCTGAGTGCAACCCTCCTTTCTGACTCACTCACTTCCTCCACCCCACTTGGGGCAGAAGCACCTTCCTGATGTTTCCCCAACTTGTTTGTGCCCCGGGGACTCTGCACACAAGCATCCCACTGCCTGGCATGTGTTTCCTCCACCTCCCTCCACTCATTCAGGTCAGGCATCGAATGTCACTTTCTCAGGCTGATCTCTTTGGTTACCCCATTGAAACTAACACATCCTTCCCCTCAGTGCCTTCTTTTGCCTCTTTCTGCTGCTTTTTTTCATAGAAATGATCTCTAAACCATGGGGATACATTTTGAGAAATGCATCCTTAGGTGATTTCATTATTTTGAGAACATCAGGGAGCATACTACACAAACCTAGATGGCATAGCCTCCTACACACCTAGGCTGCATGGTATATCCTGTGGCTCCTAGGCTACAAGTATGTACAACATGGGCCTGTACTGAGTACCATACACAACTGCAACACCCATGGTGAGTATTTGTGTATCTAGATACATCTAAACATAGAAAAGACTTATGCTGCCAGTGGGAATGTAAACTAGTACAACCATTATGGAAAACAGTGTAGAGATTCATTAAGGAACTAAAAGTAGATCTACCATTTGATCCAGCACTCCCACTACAGGGGAAAAGAAGTCATTATATGAAAAAGACACTTGCACACTCATGTTTATAGCAGCACAATTCGCAATTGCAAAAATATAGACCAGCCCAAATGTCCATCAACCAAGTGGATAAAGAAAATGTGGTATATGGCTGGGCACGGTGGCTCACGCCTGTAATCCCGGCACTTTGAGAGGCCAAGGCGGGCAGATCACGAGGTCAGGAGATCGAGACCATCCTGGTTAACACGATGAAACCCCATCTGTACTAAAAAATACAAAAAATTAGCCAGGCATGGTGGCGGGTGCCTGTAGTCCCAGCTACTTGGGAGGCTGAGGCAGGAGAATGGCGTGAACCCGGGAGGCGGAACTTGCAGTGAGCCAAGATCACACCACTGCACTCCAGCCTCGGCAACAGAGCAAGACTCTGTCTGAAGAAAAAAAAAAAAAAAAAAAAAAAGAAAATGTGTTGTATATATACCATGGAATACTACTCAGCCATAAAAAGGAATGAAATGATGGCATTCACAGAAACCTGTGAATTGGAGACCATTATTCTAAGTGAAGTAACTCAGGAATGGAAAACCACACATCGTATGTTCTCACTTATAAGTGGGAGCTAAGCTATGAGGACACAACAGCATAAGAACAACATAATGGACTTTGGGGACTCGGGGGGGAGGGGTTGGAAGGAGTGAGGGGTAAGGAACCACACATTGTGTATAGTGTACACTGCTCAGGTGATGGGTACACCAAAATCTCAGAAATCACCACTAAAGAACTTACCCATGTAACCAAACACCACCTGTTCCCCCAAAACCTATTGAAATAAAAAACAAAATAATAAAAAAGAAAGTATAATTAAAAACATAGAAAAGGTACAGTAAAAATATAGAATTACAATCTTATGGGACCACTGTCCTATGTGCAGCCTATTGTTGATTGAAATGTCACTACTGGACACATGACTGTGTTGTCTAATTTGTATATTTGTTCCTAGCCTGTGTCTCCCCTCCAGAGTGTAGGTCCCTGAGGGCAGTCACCTGATCTGTCTCAGTCACTGCAGTGTCCCCAAACAGAGCACCGCCTCAGGCACACAGAGGTAAGCATGCATCGATCACACCAACGATGCAGGAATGTCCTGACACACCAGGCAGCTGCTGTGTGTTCTCGGGCTGGTTACTTAACTTGCAGGAGCCTCAGGAGCCTCATTGGTCAAATGGGAATAAAAGTTCTACATGATTGAATGCATGAAACCCTCTTAACATAATGCTTAGGACATGTTAGCTTAAACATGAGAGATGTTTGTTAGAATACCAAGGCAACATAGGTGGGATCTGAATTCTTGAGTCTGTGTGAGGGGAGATAACGGAGGTGGATGATACAGGTCTGGGAGAGCACCCTCCTCTGTTTTGCTCCGTCCTGGACTTCCCGATGCCCAAGTTACACAACACATCTGTACCCTGGGGAGGGATTGAGATGAACTCATTAGATGCACAGAGGTCATCCCTTAACTGTGCCCAGCTGAGAGTATTCATTAGGGTGAGGGCAGGCTTTTCCATTAGAGGAAGCCATTGAAGGTGAGGCAGTAGAGAGTACAATCAAGAAAGCGGACTCCGGGATCAAATGGGTGCTGAGTGCAAATCCCAATTCCTACTGCTTACTGGCTTGAGAGAGTAACTTCGCCTTATGGGCCTCAGTTTTCTCATCTGTAAAATGAAGTTAAAAAGCACATTCTTCCTCATAGGGCAGTGGTGAGGACTAAAGGAGGCGATGAGAAGAGAGTCCCCACAAGGAGTCTGGCACAGAGGAAGTTTCGACGTATGCTGTCCATTGCAACTTCGACTTATGCTGCGTTTCTGTGTCGGAACAGTGGAAGACATTCAACAAGCACTTTGTCTCAGAGGCTTAGTTACAATTAATTGAGCCTGAAAGACCATAGACTTGAAAAAGCCCTCAAAGTGATAAAGGTAAAAAGAAAAATAAAATGACATCTAGCAGGCACTGAGGGCTCTACAACGTGTGGCTAGCCTGTATTCAGCACCCTACAGTGTGCAGCCAGGCTGTGCTCAGCATCCTACAGTGTGCAGCCAGGCTGTGCTCAGTACTCTACAGTGAGTAGCCAGCCTGTGCTCAGCACTCCGCAGTGAGTGGCCAGCCTGTGCTCAGCACTCTACAGTATGTGGCCAAACTGTGCTCAGCACTCCACAGTGAGTGGCCAGCCTGTGGTCAGGACTCTACAGTGAGTGGCCAGTCTATACTCTGCACTCTACAGTGAGTGGCCAGCCTGTACACAGCACTCCACAGTCGTCATCTTTTCATCATAAATCTAATGGCCACTTAATGAGGTAGACCTGTCCCATGACTTGAACTGATTTCAAAAACTCAAAACTCATACTCTCTTGCATTTGGCAACCAAAACACAACCCACTTCCTGGGACCTTCTGACAGCCAGGCCACGTTGAGCAAACACCGAGCCCTCTTCAGAGTTGGTCAGCAGCCAGGTCAGCAGCGACTGGCAAGGCGACTGCTTGCCAGGTCTCCTCCAGCATGAGCTTGGGATGGAGCTGAATCCCTTTCATGCACAAGCAGAATTTGAAAAGGTGCGGGGCCACACTAGTACCTCTGCGTCTCCTGCCAGAGCCCACCAGCTTATTTTGCTTCTTCAGAGTCTGTAAAGCATCCTTCTGGATGACGAATGCCTTCCGAGGCTCCAGCCCACCAAGCCTTCCTCTAAGTTTCAGATGCAGAGGCCACCTCGGAGAACTGTGATTGTCTCCCTGCATCTCCCCAGTGCCCCCGGATGAGTGCCACCCTCCTCACCTGCTATCACAAAGACAAGAAAGGCCATTCATAATTTAAGTCAGCCCTTTCTTTCCTGCACGCCACCAACATGAGTCAGATGCTGGAGGAAAAATTGAACTCTTTCTCCCAGGATACACCAAAGATCAAGCAGAATCTCATTAAGGCTCACTTCAAAGACTCGTCCTTTATTTCCATACAAACAAGTTTAAATTATCGTGTGTGAATCTGCTGTTAGCAGGGACTCTGTTCCATTATGCATGATTCCTTACTGTTCATATCATGAATAATGGGCAGTGCTCCGTTAGCGATTTCCAGTAATATGCTAAACTTTGGGAGTGGTCATGGTGTTAGGTTAAAGTTCTGGTGTTTGCCTATTTTATTTCTTACTCAAGCTATAATGGCCTGCTTCATCAAAATAGGTTTCACAGTCTTATTGTAATGAACACAGCATAACACATGTTGTGGCTATGATTTCCTTATTATTATTATTGAATATTTATTGAGCACTTACTATGTGTAAGGGATGGTGCTCAGTGTATGCATTGCATGCATAATATTTAATCTTCCGGAATCCCATGAAATAGCTATGATGATTATTCCCATTTTACTGGTGAAAAAAACTGATAATTTGAGCAGGATCTAAATTATCCACAGATAAAACTTTTTTGTGTGTTTTTGAGACAGGGTCTCACTTTGTGACCCAGGCTGGAGTGCAGTGGTGCAATTATGGCTCACTGCAGCCTTGACTTTCCAGGCTCAAGCGATCCTCCCACCTCAGCCTCCTGAGTAGCTGGGACTACAGGCATGCACCATCACACTGGCTAATGTTTTAAACAATTTTTGTAGAGATGGTGTCTTGCTATTTTGCCCAAGCTGGTCTGGAACTCCTGGGCTCAAGCAATCTGCCCACTTCAGCCTCCCAAGATGATGGGAGTACAGGCATGAGCCACCGTGCCTGGCCTGATAGAACTGTTAATAAATGGTAATGCTGATTCAAATCAGTTGGTCTGACTTCAGATACTCCTAATTATAAAATACTTTTTACAACGCTATTACTTGCTGAAGAGCTTTGGCAGATAATCGATGATTTGGTAAGCAGGTATTTGGATGTCCAGTGCACATTTCTCATGTCCAGATGAGAAATGAATGCTCAGGGGATTGCTTGATACCTGGGAGTGAGAAAATCCTTGTTCAAGTACTGGTTTTGACTTCACTTAATCTTGGGCAAGTCATCCAGTCTTCCTGGATGTGCTGAGGTGGTTGCATTATTGCCTTTGTAATTTTTTTTCTTCATTTTTTTATTATACTTTAAGTTCTAGGGTACATGTGCACAACGTGCAGGTTTGTTACATATGTATATATGTGTCATGTTGGTGTGCTGCACCCATTAACTCATCATTTTCATAAGGTATATCTCCTAATGCTATCCCTTCCCCCTCCCCCCACTCCATGACAGGCCCCTCTGTGTGATGTTCCCCATCCTGTGTCTAAGTGTTCTCATTGTGCAATTCCCACCTATGAGCGAGAGAGAACATGCGGTGTTTGGTTTTCTGTCCTTGCGATAGTTTGCTCAGAATGATGGTTTCCAGCTTCATCCATGTCCCTACAAAGGACATGAACTCATCCTTTTTTATGGCTACGTAGTATTCCATGGTGTATATGTGCCAAATTTTCTTAATCCAGTCTATCATTGGTAGACATTTGGATTGGTTCCAAGTCTTTGCTATTGTGAATAGTGCCGCAATAAACATACATGTGCATATGTCTTTATAGCAGCATGATTTATAATCCTTTGGGTATATACCCAGTAATGGGATGGCTGGGTCAAATGGTATTTCTAGTTCTAGATCCTTGAGGAATTGCCACACTGTCTTCCACAATGGTTGAACTAGTTTACAGTCCCACCAACAGTGTAAAAGTGTTCCTATTTCTCCACATCCTCTCCAGCACCTGTTGTTTCTTGACATTTTAATGATCACCATTCTAACTGGTGTGAGATGGTATCTCATTGTGGTTTTGATTTGCATTTCTCTGATGGCCAGTGATGATGAGCATTTTTTCATGTGTCTGTTGGCTGCATAAATGTCTTCTTTTGAGAAGTGTCTGTTCATATCCTTCGCCCACTTGTTGATGGGGTTGTTTGATTTTTTCTTGTAAATTTGTTTAAGTTCTTTGTAGATTCTGGATATTAGCCCTCTGTCAGATGGGTAGATTGCAGAAATTTTCTCCCATTCTGTAGGTTGCCTGTTCACTCTGATGATAGTTTCTTTTGCTGTGCAGAAGCTCTTTAGTTTAATTAGATCCCATTTGTCAATTTTGGCTTTTGTTGCCATTGCTTTTGGTGTTTTAGACATGAAGTCCTTGCCCGTGCCTATGTCCTAAATGGTATTGCCTAGGTTTTCTTCTAGGGTTTTTATGGTTTTAGGTCTAACATTTAAGTCTTTAATCCATCTTGAATTAATTTTTGTATAAGGTGTAAGGAAGGGATCCAGTTTCAGCTTTCTACATGTTTGCCTTGGTAATTTTTAGAGATTTGGGGCAGGATTTTCTCAGCATTCTCTCTCTGTTTTTTTTTTTTTTTTCAGGGTATTGCTGTGTCACTCAGACTGGATGGAGTGCAGTGGCGCCATCTTGGCTCACTGTAGCCTTCAACTTCCTAGGCTCAAGTGATCCGCTCACCTCAGCTTCCCGAGTAGCTGGGACTACAGGCATGAGCCACTATACCTGGCTGATTTTTGTATTTTTTGTAGAGATGGGGTTTTGCCATGTTGCCCAGGCTGGTCTTGAACTCCTGAGCTCAAGTGATCCACCTGCCTCGGCTTCCTAGAATACTGGGATTACAGGCACGAGCCACCCATACCTGGTCTCTCTCTCTTTTTTAACTGATGGGATTGCAAGGAGAATATGCATTCTCTTTTGATTGGTGTCTCTGGAGGTTCCTTGGAGAGATAGTACCTGTATGCTGACTGTTTCATTTTTTGATGGTGTGACCTTGGACAAGTTACTTAACTTCCTCCACTTCAGTTTCTTCATCTGTACAATGGGAATAAGTGCCTGCCTCTTTCAGGGTCATTGTCAGGAATAAACTACATGGTATATGTCAACAGCTTAGAATAGCAGCTGGTGCATCAGAACCACGATACGTACATGTGAGCTGGATATTTTGTATTATTCTCATTAAAACCCTTAAAATGGCCGGGCACAGTGGCTCACGCCTGTAATCCCAGCACTCTGGGAGGCCAAGGCGGGTGGATCACGAGGTCAGGAGATAGAGACTATCCTGGCTAACATGGTGAAACCCCATCTGTACTAAAAAAATACAAAAAATTAGCCAGGCGTGGTGGCAGGCGCCTGTATTCCCAGCTACTCGGGAGGCTGAGGCAGGAGAATGCGGTGGACCTGGGAAGAGGAGCCTGCAGTGAGCCGAGATCGCGCCACTGCACTCCAGCCTGGGCAACAGAGCGAGACTCCATCTCAAACAAACAAACAAACAAACAAACACGCTTAAAACTTTCCAATGTGTGTCTATCTCATTACCCCAAGGTCATGTTGCATGCTATTGGAACATCTTCCCTTTAGCTCCCTCTTCTTTTAACATTCCATAGGTTGACCAGTGAAGTCATCGTTTATTTCAATGTTCCTTCCTATTCCCACAATCCAGGACAATAATTAGTCAATGGCACGTCTGCACGGTCATGTTCATGACTTCATGAAAGATGTTAAGATGGTTTGAAAAAAGTTGATTACAAGTCCTGTCTCTTGGACCAATTTCAGATTATTGAAAAACATTTGGAAGGGAAGTTTGAATTGGCCACAGCTTTTATTTCTAACCTCTTGAATTAGCTGATGTCAAATCCAGCTCCATTGTCAAGACAGGAAATGGTGTGGTCCTCTGGAAAATGTCTTAATAATTTTTGCATTATTTATTGAAGATATTTGGCTAGCTCAATGGAGAATGATTTTTCCATTTGGACATGTGTCACAGAATGTCCCAGACAGGAAATAAACGTAGGAAACCTCAGTTTAGAGACTGATGCAGGCTCCTTGAACACACCCAACCCTTTCCTGCACAGAATCTTTCTCCTGCTGGTACTGCCATCTCAACTTCCTTCTTCTTTGCTTACTCATCGTCTCTAATTCCATAGGTCCAGGTTCCATTAATTCTTCAAGATCCATCTAAAAGTCACATTTTTCTTACTCCAGAAACTGCTTCTCCAGGACAATCTATTTTTATTGTGCTGGACACTCTTTGAAGTGCTTTCTCAGACATTATTTCATTGATCTGGTGGGTTGTGCTCTGTCCTTATTCTTTTTATCATTTCACCTTTGATTTCACATGACTGAATTCTACTTTCCTCCACTTTAAAGCTCCTCTACCTTCCCCGCATGCTGAAGAGAACTTGGCTTGACTAGCGCAGCTTCTAGGCTTTGTTGTTTAAATCCAAGAAAGAGCAGAGACATGGGAAGGCAAGAAGGAGGTGAGTGGGAAGTGGCAAAGAGGAACAGAGCCAGTGGAGGCTGCATGTGGAGGGGACTTTGGATCTTTTTTTTTTTTTTTTTTTTTTTTTTTGGTGAGTTCTGGGGGACAGGTGGGATTTCATGAGTGGAGCTTTGAGAGAATCAGATAGGTAAAGGCAATTGAAGAACAGTTTTTTTTTTTTTTTTTTTGAGACAGATTGATTAGTGATGTTTGCTTTGAATGCAAGAGGTGGGGCTGGTAAGTGAACATGTGTGTTTGTCATTGCTATATAAATAAGGCCAGGAAAAGGAGATTAAGGCCCAGGCAACTGTTAAAAGCACATGGCAAGCAAGTGGGAAAAGGCAGGCTCTAATCAATTGCCTTTTGACCTAAACCACATTCCTGAAGAGCAGGACTGGATGGGTCTAGTTCATTATCACATCTCCAACATCCAGAACAGTAACTGCACATGGCAGATATTTAGCAGATATTTGGTGAGTTAGTGACTTGAGTTTTTGCAAGGAGAGTTGTAACTGTAGCAACCTTAAGCCAGTTTTCTTAATTTATAGACAACTTATTTTCAGTTTTAATAGTACACATAAAAATAATAAAACTGATAAGCACATGTAAACACTTGAGTAATTATTGTTTTCTTTGAGACAGTCACTTGTTCCTGCTTTGCCTTATTCCAAACCTCAACTGGGGACATCGGTTCATGGGATTCTATGTTCTGTTCTGACATCCTTGTCCATTGACCACCTTTTACATACATCTAAAGAATGAGATAGCAGGTCTATCCTTAAACCTCAGAGGTCACATTCCTTATTGAGGGAATATAAATCCCATTAAACACAGGACAACTTTTGAGGCAGGATCAGCAACCGTTAAAAAGTCCTGAACATTCAGTGACATGGCTTTTCTTTTTCTTCTTATTTTCTGATTGACCTGGAGAAGAGCAACCAGTCACTCTGTCAGTTTTTCCTTTTATAAATAATAACAAACCATTCCTAACTTTTCCTACCTCACCTGAATAGATGAGATGCAAATTATGGAAGTCGTTAGAATTTTTAAAAAAGTTTTACTGTACTTTAAAAACTCTTTCATTTGAAATAATCATAGATTCACAGGAAGCTGTAAAAATAGTAGAGTCCTATGTAACCTCCCAGTTTCTCCCCGTGGAGACGTCAATCTTAAATAGCTGGAGTACAATATCAAAGCCGGGATACCGACATTGGTACAATACTGTTAACTAGACTACAGACCTTAGTTTTTACAATTTGTGTGTGTGTGTGTGTGTGTGTGTGTTTGCGTGTGTAGTTCTATGCAACTTTGTCCCTTGCATAGATTTATGTAATCACCACCGAAACTAAGATACAGACTGCTTGGAACAAACAGAATAATGATATTAACAGGTACAATGTGTTTGGTACCTACTATGTTACAAACACTCTGCTGGCTGTTTTATGTGCATTACTTCATTTAATCTTCCCATCAATCTGGAAAGTCAGATGCTACATGTGTTTTACAAAGAAGTGAGCTGAAGCTCAGACAGCTTAAGTCACCTTGCACTGGTCACCTGCTTAGCCAGAGAACTGCAAAGCTAAATCTGTTGGATGCCAACACTTGCCCTCTTTTAATAATTTTATGTTGGTGGGTAGAGCTGAAGGTCATTATACTAAGCGGATTAATGCAGGAACAAGGGAACCAAATACTGCATGTTCTCACTTATAAGTGGGAGCTGAACATTGAGTACACATGGACACAAAGAAGGAGACAATAGACATCGAAGCATATTTGAGGGTGGAGGATAGGAGGAGGGTGAAGATTGAAAAACTACCTATTGGGCCAGGTGTGGTGGCTTGCCTGTAATCCCAGCACCTGGGGAGGCAGAGGTGGGTGGATCACTTGAGGCCAGGAGTTTAAGACTAGCCTGGGCAACATGGTGAAACCTCTCTACTAAAAATACAAAAACTATCTGGGCGTGGTGGTGCATGCGGTAATCCCAGCTACTCGGGAGGTTGAGGCAGGGGAATTGCTTGAAATCGGGAGGTGGAGGTTGAATGAGCCCAGATCATGCCGCTGTGCTCCAGCCTGGTTGACAGAGCAAAACTCTGTCTCAAGAAAAAAAAGAAAAACTACTTTTGCATTATTATGCTGATTACCTGGGTGACAAAATTATCTGTACACCAAAACCCAAGACACACAATTTACCCATGTAACAAACCTGCATAGGTACCCCAAAGAAATATAGATGAAGTTTTTTTAAAAAATAAAAAAGAATGAATACAATGCTAAAAAGAATCCATGTTGGAATTAAATTTAAGAAAAGTCACCCCATAGCCTCACCATCCTTAACAATTTGGTATATTTCCTCCTACTCTTTTTCCATGCAATGTGGATTTATACTTAATTGCTACAAAACTGTTGGCACAATTTCTATCTCACTTTTCCTGACTTAATATTACATCTTAAGTACACCATGAAAACCCTTCAGAAT
Organism: Homo sapiens; assembly: GCF_000001405.40. Taxonomy (NCBI): domain Eukaryota; kingdom Metazoa; phylum Chordata; class Mammalia; order Primates; family Hominidae; genus Homo; species Homo sapiens. The sequence continues at coordinate 53,392,473 of NC_000020.11, read as the reverse complement.
GAACACTTTCATTTTTTTTTGTTTGTTTTTGAGACAGAGTCTCGCTCTGTTGCCCAGGCTGGAGTGCAGTGGCACAATCTCAGCTCACTGCAACCTCTGCCTCCCAGGTTCAAGTGATTCTCCTGCCTTAGCCTCCCAAGTAGCTGGGATTACAGGCATGCACCACCACACCCAGGTAATTTTTTGTATTTAGTAGAGATGGGGTTTCACCATGTTGGTCAGGCTGGTCTTGAACTCCCAACTTCAGATGATCCACCTGCCTTGGTGCTGGGATTACAGGTGTTAGCCACTGCACCTGGCCTAGAATGATCACTTTCTAAGACTGCCCAATATTTCATTGCTCCATCACAGAGCAAGATTTCTCTGATGCCCTATCATTGACCAATAAAATTACCTCCATGTCTTTATTATTCTAAGTATTACCACAGTGAACATATTTGTGCAAAAATTTGTATGTGCAAAGCCAAAGATATTCTTAGGACTAGATTCAGAGATGTAAAATTACTAATTCTTTTTTTGTTTGTTTTGTTTTTAAGACAAAGTCTCTCTGTCACCCACGCTGGAGTGCAGTGGCACCATCTTGGCTCACTGCAACCTCTGCCTCCCAGGTTCAAGTAATTCTCGTGCCTCAATATCCCCACTAGCTGGGATCACAGGTGCACACCACCACGTCTGTCTAATTTTTGTATTTTTAGTAGAGACAGGGTTTCGCCATGTTGGCCACACTGTTCTCAAACTCCTGATCTCAGGTGATCCACCCACCTCAGCCTCCCAAAGTGTTGGGATTACAGGCGAGAGCCACTGTGCTCGGCTATTTTGCCATTCTTAATATCATTGCTTAAATATTCAGAAGGAATGTCTTTAAAATAGTACACTGGGCTGGACATGGTGGCTCATGCCTGTAATTCCAGCACTTTAGGAGGCTGAAGTGGAAGGATTGTTTGAGCCCCAGAGTTTGAGGCTGCAGTGAGCTGTGATTGTAAAAAAAAAAAAACAAAAACAAAAAACAAACAAACAAACAAAAAAAACGGCCTGGTGCTGTCGCTCACACCTGTAATCCCAGCACTTTGGGAGGCTGAGGCAGGTGTATCACAAGGTCAGGAGATCAAGACCATCCTGGCTAACACGGTGAAACCCCGTCTCTATTAAAAATACAAAAATTAGCTGGATGTGGTGGCGGGTGCCTGTAGTCCCAGCTACTCGGGAGGCTGAGGCAGGAGAATGGTGTGAACCCAGGAGGCGGAGCTTGCAGTGAGCCGAGATCGTGCCACTGCACTCCAGCCTGGGCGACAGAGCAAGACTCTGTCTCAAACCAAACCAAAACAAAACAAAACAAAACAAAACAAAACAAAACAAAAGTGTAGTATATGCTGTTGATCAGGAGCGGATGAATTAGAACCTCCAGGACAAATCTGGCCCAGCTGCCTGTTTTTGTAAATAAAGATTTATTGGAACACAGTCCCACTCCCTTGTTTATATATTATCTATGGCTGCTTCACATTGCATCAGAGCTGAGTAGTTGCCAAAGAAGCTGTATGGCTAGCAAAGCTAAAAATATTTACTCTCTGGTCCCTTAACAAATTTTGCTGGCCAAATCAAAACCACAATGAGATACTATCTCATGCCAGTTAGAATGTCGATCATTAAAAAGTCAAGAAACAACAGATGCTGGAGAGGATGTGGAGAAATAGGAATGCTTTCACACTGTTGGTGGGAGTGTAAATTAGTTCAACGATTGTTGAAGACAGTGTGGCGATTCCTCAAGGATCTAGAACCAGAAATACCATTTGACCCAGCAATCCCATTACTGGGTCCATTATAATCCCAAAGGATTACAAATCATTCTACTATAAAGACACATGTACATGTATGTTTATTGGAGCACTGCTCACAATAGCAAAGACTTTCTTGCTCTCTTGTGCCAGGGAAGAAGGCACACAGTCGGTGTTTAATAAGTGTTCATTGTTTGTTGTAATAATAGTTGCTGCTGCTAAGCATGGAGATAACAATAAATATGGAGACATTCTTATCCTCTCTTCTTCCTTCCCTGGCTTTCTGTGGCTCTTGGAATATGTCCTAGGTGGATAACTTCCTTTTCACACCACTAGTGTATACAGAAAAGCAGCTCTATTATTTAAATTATCCAAGATCAAGGATGTAAAATGAAGGCTGCCCCTGGCCCTGCGAGACATCCAAATAAATCTCACGGCTTCCAAATGTGACTCTGTCACCCTGGGATTAATACCAAGTAATCCAGTGCCAACATCAAGACAGTGAAAATAAGCATTTACTCTCCCGGAAAATCATTTTATACTGATTACAAGTTGTAGCCTGTCACTAGGATGTGAATTGAAAATGCGCACATTTGCAAGGTTAATATTTCTCCCTAAAGTCGCTCTCTCTGCTGCCTCCCCACCCTATTCCCTGGCTCAAAAGGAACAGGGATTCCAAATAAATATTTGTCCTGAGACATCCTTATTCCAACACACAAAGTTTAAACTTGCTTTGCATTTGCCTCCATGACACCAGAACAGCATGAAAATAAGTGGCCATGGTCTAGACGAAAAGGCTTTTTCAACCTCAGCGCTATTGACATTTCAGGCCGGACAATTCTTTGTTGTCGGGGATAGTCCCAGGCATTGTAAGATATTTAGCAGCTTTCCTGGCCTCTACTCACTAGATGCCAGTAGCACCCCTTCCTTAACTGTGACAACCAACATGTCTCTAGACATTGCCAAATGTCCCCTGGGGGCCAAGTCATCTCCCTGTTGAAAACCACAGGTCTGGAGATCTCAAAGCAAGCGGGTAGGCAACACAATAACATCAACCAGCAGAGCATGGCCACCTGCCTACTGTTGTAACTTCACCTCTGCCACTACTTTTCTTCTAGTCTTTCAACCCAAAGCCAGCCATACTCTGTCACCTCCTCCTAGCATTTGCTAGTCTTGGCCACTCTGCCTGGAATTTCCTCTCCTAATTCATGCATTCTGGAAAATCACCACCTCAATGAAGTCTTCCATGACCATCCCTCTTTCAGGCCTAATGTGGACTTAGACACAATTTCCTCTGAACATATATCACCCTTTCAACAAGCAATAGAGACACAATCGTGTAGGAGTTGAGCTTCGAGTCCGGGCTTAAGTGAAAACTACACATAACCCAGTTACACTTAGAAAATCTCTGAAATTCCCCTTGAATGTGGTATGAATGATATTGCAGAGTTAACTCTGTTTGGTCATTTTTACGAGTGCTGATGTTCTGAGAAGTTTTGGATTACCTGGAAGAAAGGAACACTAGGAGGGGACCCTATCTGTAGATGTTTGGGTTTTCAGACATTCATACTTTTGGAAAATCTCCCATAACTGATGAGGAAAAGGTCACACATTCCAGTATGTTCCTGCTTGCCTGCAAGGTTTACTTCATTTTCTCTTAATATTGAACCTCTGTAATCTTAATATCAATGAATAATCATCCACTGGAAGAGAATTAAACTACATAATATAAGTGAAAGTAGCTAAATATTGTACCTGGCATGTAGTGGGTACACAATTTAAACCTAAATTTAAGCTGGCCCTTGAAACTTGCAGAGGCAGCCGGGTGTGGTGGCTCATGCCTGTAATCCCAGCACTTTGGGAGGCCAAGGCGGGCAGATCACTTGAGGTCAGGAGTTTGAGACCAGCCTGGCTAACATGGTGAAAAACCCCATCTCTACTAAAAATACAAAATTAGCCAGGCAGGTGTGGTGGTGGGCGCCTATAATTCCGACTACTTGGGAGGCTGAGGTACGAGAATTGCTTGAACCTGGGAGGCAGAGGTTGCAGTGAGCCAAGGTCGCCTGGGCAACAGAGCAAGACTCCATCTCAAGAAAAAAAAAAAAAAAGAAAGAAAAAAAAGAAAAGTAGAAGAAGAAAGTTAAAGAGGTGAGTATGTTCAACTGGCATTTTCTCCTGCGACTGTGACTGTCAGGCTCTCGACTGTGGGTTTCACCCACCTTCAGTGTTGTATCATCACAGTAGATGTGGTTGCTTTTATGTTTTGATGCGCATTTCCTGTTAACTATGACTTACTCGAGGGCAGAGGACCTGCCTCATTTATTTTTATACCCCCAAAGCCCACCACAGAGCGAATACCCAATAATTTGTGTGTCATTTAAGTGAAGGAGCAAGAAATGTGAGTTTGAATGAACAGTATCTTCAGTGTCCTCCACCTACAATTTAAAAATTCTTCACCTACTGAAGAGAAACATTGTAAGATGCTGTCTCTTATGGGATCTGTGTATTGTATTACAACCCTATGACACAATCTACAACAGTGGAATGGCTGAAGGGATTGCTATGATGGGAATCTCCTGCGTCAGTTTGATAGGGATGAGTAAATCTGACCATCTGACCATACACTTAGTTATCCTTTTTTTTTTTTTTTGTAGAGATGGAGTCTCGCTCTATTGCCCAGGCTGGAGTGCAGTGCCATGATCTTGGCTCACTGCAACCTCTGCCTCCCAGGTTCAAGCAATTCTCCTGTCTCAGCCTCCTGAGTAGCTGGGACTACAGGCGCATGCTGCCACACCTGGCTAATTTCTTTTGTATTTTAGTAGAGATAGGGTTTCACCATGTTGCCCAGGCTGGTCTCGAACTCCTGAGCTCAGACAATCTGCCCACCTCAGCTTCCCAAAGTGCTAGGATTACAGGCGTGAACCACCATGCCCGCCTAGTTATCTTTTAAGTTATCATTTTCACTCCCATTCTTGCCAAGCCCACCTGAGAGTCACCTCAACTGCAGGCGAGAGGCAACAATGCAGTTTCACTTCAACTGTAGGCGAGAGGCAATAATGAAGTTTCACTTCAAGAGGGGAGTCCAAGTGTCAGGTTGGTTTCTTCCCAAATCAAGACTTGAGAGCAAAAGAGGTCCAGGTGCTCCCCAGCCCAGTCTTGATTTACCCCAGCTGGCCTTTGCCTAGAGAACAAATGGAAAAATGGTCTTTTCCTGTGACTGCTGTTCTGTCATGTCTAAACAGGTACCCGAGCCTTTACTTTAGTGACATCCAAGCAAGGAAGTACATGGTGGAAACCATCTTCAAAGAATATCCCCACATAGAATCAAGGGAAAATAAAACAGATCTTAAGATGATCCTGAAGCCAGGTCCCAGATGGTCAACAGAGGCCACAGCTAGGAAGAAACTTCCAGTGGCATTTCTTCTAGGGAGGCACTGCTTTTTAGACCACTGTTTTCTACATTGCATACAGTGAACGCTCGGGAAGTTTGTTAGTGGAAAGTGAGATCCCGTGGAGCTCGGTATGCCGGGAATTGGCTTTGGGATCTTAGTGAAAATTCAAGTGAAAACGATCGCTGTCCACTTCTAAAGACGCTCTCTGTCTAGGCAGGTGTGTGAAGTCAGGAGCCAGGGAGAAGGAAGTGGTGGTCATGTTTCCAGACCTCTGAAACCCGAGGACATCAGAAAGGGTTAATTCCAAGGTACACCACGGGCTATTCACACAGAGGGAGGGAAAGAAAAAGAATTTATATCCCTTTCATATATAAAAGGAAACAGATGTGATTTTCTTTACAAAAGAGCATTTCATTTAAAAAAAAAAAGGCTAGGTGAGGCAGAGTTAACATAACCATTATTCTCCATCTCAGGAAAAGCAAATCCTGTTTGCCTGTCATTATAGAAGGTAGCAAAATCCTTTCATCCAGTGATTAGTTGTAAACATTCCGCCGCCTTCTGGGAGCAGGCCTCTGTTTCCCATCTTACACCGAAGCCATTTTCTTAGACTAATGTTTTATACACACAGCTCAGATACAATGCAAACTCCCGGTACCCCAAAGGCAACGGGGCATTCGTTTATACTAAATCAGAAGTGTCGCCCTTGACAACCTGCAGCAGTGAAACATTTATTCAGTCTTGCATTCCTGGCACTTAGAATTATTTCTTTCATGCCTGATAGCCAAATTACAATATGGCAGGCTTCCCTGGAGCCATAGGATCATTAGTGCCAGCTCACAACATACTTTCAACTGATATGGCATTTCATGTACAGCTGCCAATCAAAAAATGGGATATGCAAATGAGGATGGGAGCATTGGTGTACAATTCCTGTACCGTGAGCTCCTCACAGATTTCCTTAATGACTAGCAGTCATTCCGCTGAGTAGAAGAAGTGGAAAGAACACAGAGGAATATTCCCCCAGGAAGCCGGTTGCAAGAGCCAGAAGTTTTTACATTTGATTTCCATATTTATTCTCTTTCTTGCCCCCTCTGTGTGTTTCTAAACAGTAGGCCTAAAAATACTTGAGCAGGGCTTGTTATATAAATACAGAGCCTTGCCATTGCAGCTGAGGCTCTCAGGCCACGCTAAGAGGTGAGGGGTGAGTTCTGTCTAAATACTGTGTGAGACCCAGGGCCTGGCCTTCTCCAGTGGAGGAGCCAGGCTCATTTGGAGGCAGGGGGAATAGCCAATTGGAATGCTGTCTTAAAAATGAAGGTGCGGTTGAGACTATGGGTCTAACACCCTCGTCCGGTGTGGCAGGTGGGACATCATCTTTGTGTCCGGAGTGATCTGGTCTCTACTTTTCTCTCCAGGCTTGTCTGGGCCACTCTCCTGCTTTGCTCACTAGATTCCAGCCTCTCCAGCTTTCTTTTCAGATTCTCGAAAGTTCCAGGCTCCTTCTTGCCTTAGGCAGGGCCTGGGCTTTGTTCCTCGTTGTTATCCCTGGTCCCTGGCTCAGAAGGAGTTAAATCAAATTGATGGAATGAATGAATGAAGCTCCCCGTGGACCAAGTACTGCCTAACGGGGTAGAGCTTGGCTTGGGAACCCTGGGTTAAAACTGGAGCCCTAACAGCGACCTTAAAAACATCTCCAGGGCGACAGAGGATAAGATAAAGATTCTTAAGGAAGAATTATGAGGAAGGCTGTCACGCCCCACGACCGAGAATGGTATTCCCATTCTTCCCATGACTGCTAAGTATGGAGAGTTGTCCTTTCACCATCTGATGGCTGTGATCTGCGTTTCCTACACCGAGGGAGGCGTGAGTGATCCTTTGGGGCGCCCCAGTATCTCCATTAGCCTTTTTCTTTCTGTGGGGGTGCAAATATATACTTAGCCAGTGTCTGTGCAGTACTCACTTCTGAGTTTTCCTTTATTTTCCAATTCTGAGAAACTGAAATATCATAAGTCAATAATATGACATTCCAAAGAGAAAAAAAAATCCCTTTTAAGAAAGGCTTAACTCTTTTCCGCCTCCTGTTTTTATATTATTCCTACTATACATGGCATGCTTTCCCCATATATCTAGATCTGGGTTGACTCCTTTATGTTTTATTTTTGATTTTTCATTTTTTAATTTTTATTTTTTGAGACGGAGTCTTGCCCTGTCCCCAGGCTGGAATGCAGTGTTGTGGTCTCAGCTCACTGCAAGCTCCGCCTCCCGGGTTCACGCCATTCTCCTGCCTCAGCCTCCCGAGTAGCTGGGACTACAGGCACCCGCCACTATGCCCGGCTAATTTTTGTATTTTTAGTAGAGACGGGGTTTCACCGTGTTAGCCAGGATGGTCTCGATCTCCTGACCTCGTGACCCACCCGCCTTGGCCTCCCAAAGTGCTGGGATTACAGGCGTGAGCCACCGCGTCCAGCCGACTCCTTTATGTTTTAAAATGAGAAAGTACAATGTCATTTAATTGTAGACTTAGACATATCCTCCATTGATGTCTAAAAAAACCACTGAGGATACTAAGTAATGCAGGTACCACCTGGATCATTATTGCTTTATCTCATTTTTGGTCAGGGGGCATTTTTACTTACAACTTCAAGTTTTAATTGTGATTGTGAAGCAGGCCTCACAATCACTTTATAAAATTGAACACAGGCCCAAAGAGGTCAAGCCCCTTGCTGAAGTCACACAGCTGGGAAGTGGTCAGGCAGGGACTAGACGTCAGGACAGTGGATGGCAAACCCAATGCATGAGTCACAGACACAGCTCGTCAAGGTGAAGCCATAAACAAAGAAGATACAGACTATATGATGCTCTCCCCACCAAACAATTAAATGATTAAGATTGCTGTATTCGGATCTTAATTTGATCTAAATAAACGGGTCTGCGTGTGGCTAAAAGTGAATGGCTTCGTTCATGAAGCAATTTGGGGCTGCAGTTTTGGAGTTTCCAGGCCCAGTCAAATCCCTCGCCTTCAGTAATGAATGTCTTCCTTTCTTCCCCGTCTAGTTTCTTCCTGCTATTTGTAAGCAAGAACTGGCTCACGGCTCCCAACTGTGTGCTCCCCACATAAATTTCCCTGTTTCTGGAAGAAATCTCTGCCTCTCCCAGCTCCTGGGAAATCTGGTCGGCTCTCACACCTCCCCTTGGCCCCGGTCTTGCATTTTTGTCTCTGGGGGCCTTCCCTGGGCACCATTCTGATGTCTTCGGGTTTCGAAAATAGCAAAAAGGTGAAATGCAGAGCCCCAGGTGGAACTCACATGTCATCCGGAAGAGGGTTTGGGAACAAGTTAAACTGCCAAAGTAGGATCTGGCTTACTTTGGGAAGCCTAGCTTTTTGGTTACTTCCTGAAATCATATTAAGGGAACAGTTAATCATTTATCCTGGTAATTTTCCAGGATTGAAATAATTAGCAAGCTTAAATAGATGGAGCGTTTATGAGGAAATGGAAACCGGGCTTTTTTTTGTAATAACAATTATTATTATTATTGTTATTATTTTTTGGAGACGGAGTCTCACTCTGTCACCAGGCTGGAGTGCAATGGTGCAATCTGAGCTCACTGCAACTTCCACCTCCAGGGTTCAAGAGATTCTCCTGCTTCAGCCTCCCGAGTAGCTGGGATTACAAGCATGGGCCAACATGCCCAGCTAATTTTATTATTTTTTAGTAGAGATGGGGTTTCACCATATTGGCCAGGCTGGTCTTGATTTCATGGCCTCAAGTGATCCACCCTCCTCAGCCTCCCAAAGTGCTGAGATTACAGGCATGAGCCACCGCACCAGGCCCTTAATAACAATTAAATAGTTACAAAATAAAAGTCATGGATTTATCCACCCCTATGGAACTTCTAGGGTATTTGTAAGAACTTCTAGGGTACATCTCAAGATTAGGGCTATATATTCAGGCTAATGACAGACTACCAATAAAAATGATACCTAATATTTGTGTAGTCTTTCTGGTAGATAAAGCATTTTCTTTTTCTTTTTTTCTTTTTTTTTTTGAGACAGAGTTTCTCTTTGTTGCCCAGGCTTGAGTGCAGTGGCACAATCTCGGCTCACTGCAACCGCTGCCTCCCAGGTTCAGGCAATTCTCCTACCTCAGCCTCCCGAGTAGCTGGGACTACAGGTGCACACCGCCACCCCCGGCTAATTTCTTTTGTATTTTATTAGAGACGGGGTTTCACCATGTTGCCCAGGCTGGTCTCGACCTCCGAACCTCAGGTGATCCACCTGCCCTGGCCTCCCAAAGTGTTAGGATTACAGGCGTGAGCCACTGTGCCCGGTGAGAAAGTAGTTTCACAGATAGTCTCACAAAAGCCCTGTAAAAGAGGGATCGGTATCCCATTTTGCAGATAAGGAAACACGCAGAGAGGAGCAGTGACTTGGCCAAGGTCATAGAACTGAGAGCTAGAGAAGTCCTGTCTCAAACCCAAGCCACAGGACTCTGTCCTTCCCCACACACCAGGTTGTCTCTTTGGTCATGAAAGTCTGCAGTTTTGCAGTCACATGTGCAGCAGTTACTATTAATTCATCTTCAGAACTATATGATCCTGGTCTCCTGCAGTGCTGAGTGATATAATCCAGACAGGAAACTGTGGCCCGGGGGGAGCCATGGAGTGCCTGAGAAAGGCCACCAGGGCTCGTGAAGAGCAATTTGAATGTCATTATCCCGAAGCTTCTATTTCTTGTCTGACCTCCCATTGCAGCTGCTCTGTGCTCTCTTTGGGTCCCTGTTTTCACTCTGTGTTGCATTGGCTCATATGGTGGGATAATCTTGGGACAGCTTCATTGATTTCTTCCCCCTTCTCCAGTTCTTTTAACCACTGGGACCGTTCCTTGTTTGGACGGGAGATAGTCACGGAGGAGCCTGAACCTGAGGGCAGAGGAATGGAACTTTGGGTTTTGGAGAGTCAAAGGCCAAGGGCATGGCCAAATCACAACAGATTCGGAGGAACATTTCCTGAGCCAGCCTGTAACCTTACTTAGCCCTGACCCCAGCACCAGCAGGGAAGGAATGTCGGGATTTGGGGAGGAAAAAGAGCCTCTTAGGAGCACAAGAGAGTAAGATACTGGGATAAATCTCTGGAAAGAACTTTGAAGTTTGACCTCCTACCCCTAGGTGGGGCTAGACCTAGGGAGGGCATGGAAAGATTCCGCAGGTAAGTTTGAGGGGCAAAGGAGACCCATGCTTGCAGCACTGGGAAGCCCTCAGAGCTCCACCTGCAAGGAGGGTGTGAGCCAGCCTGTCTCCATTTTCATAGGTTTAGAATAGCTTTTTGCAACAGCCAACATTTTCCTTGTCCCCAAAAAAGGTACAGAGCTCAACAGAGAAGAAAGAGCTGGCAGAGAAAGCAATGCCCACAAAGGGACAGAGACATGGGACAGCAGGTAACCCTGTGGATTTGGGAATGGGGACATCTCTGTGGATGCAGTGTAGGAAGAGCAGTCCCTACTACCTGCCAGTAGGGACCATACACAGACACCAAAAGTCATGGGGAGGAAATGAACACTGAGGACCAGACAAATCGCCAATTTCTCCCTTGACTCATCCCTACCTGAGTCACCTAAGTCATAAAAGCAATCCAAGTGAAGGCAAGTGGGAAATCCCTGAATTTACCAAAGAGACCCTGCAGTAACTGAGGTATTTTCTTCACTTTAGATATAATGAGGGCTCCAAGAAAGAAATTAATTTATAGGATAAAAATGAAGCCAGTTATATTTTTCACACACTGGAGCTTGTGCTGTGTGAAAATTGTACCTGACATATGCATTTAATTGCTTGTTTCCTTACCAGGGAGCAAGCATGGTGCATGGCATGAGGAGGCAGTCCATTTATTTTCGTTGAATGAAGGCATGAATGATTCAGGATGCAAATACAAGTTGGATTCCAGCAAATGATATTAGAGGCAGTGGTAGACATTTACTGGCAAGCAAATGGGTTCATTTTCTACCTTTCGTATGTGAGGTCTTTGTGGATGATGTACAGTAGACCTGATGTACAGTAGAACTGCTAAAGTGAGTGATGGGGGTGAAAAGAAAGTGGAGAGGCCTAGAAAACTAGCAGTAATTAACATGTGCTGTGGACTAACTTCATGATTGGTGTTTTGTACATATTTTATACATTCTCTTATTTAATTATCAATCTGAGGTGGGAATCATCATCCCTGTTTTACAGATGTTACAACCAAGATTTCGTGGATGAGTGAGTCACACAAAATCACAGAGCTACAAAATGCTGGATCCTGAATTAGAATCACAAACGCAGGATTCTGCATAGGATGGACTCACAATACAGTCTGAATTGATGAGACCAGCATAGTCATTACTATAGTATCTATTTTCTTATACGTGGTTTCTAGTTTTTTGGGATAGAGAGGATTCTCTAATGAAATGAATGCTAGCGATAATATAATGATAATAGTTATTATTTTAAAAATGAGATGTACACAATTGCCATTCTCTTGAACCCTCACAAAATAAATATTTCCTAAATATGCAGAAGAGTGTTCACCTGCTTGTAAGGTGAAGTATTGGCAGTGAAGTTTATTTTTCCAGAATCTCATCATCAAAGTGATCACTTGGATAATCAGCTGGGATAATCTGAACTTGAAAAGTGAATTCTTCATCCCTACCTTCTGCCCCATTATTCTTTTTACTGTCTTTGTTGGATTTTATTAAATGAAGGATGCAAGCTCCTCCTTTTTGCATTGTGTGTTAGAAAGAGTCCTAGCTGTGCTATAGAACAGTGTTTCACAATCCTCAGCCATTTGGGAAGCAACTTTTACAAATTTTGCCATGTTTGAGAGTTACTCCTATGTTCAATTATTTCCTTAATATTCTTTTTAGAGAAATTAACATACTTTAAAAACTTCACCTCATTCTAAGCAATAATTCATACTATCATGGATGTATTGAGTATATTTTTATTTTGCTTTATATAAGACTCTGTAACTGCTAAAATAAGAAAGCCTTTGTTTTTTGTTCACATTTTACCTAAAATCACCTCTATTGCAGGTAGGAGTCCCATATTTTTGGAAACACTGTTATGAAAGAATTTACCACAGTTTTAAATAAACCTTTTATAACACACATGCGTGTGCACACACACACACACACACACACACTCTCCAACCATCAACCTTCAAGCTCAAGTTAGGCTTCTCTTGAAGTTGGTGACATTGAGGCTGAAATGCCTTAAATTACTTTCGCTGGGTAAACAGATACAGGTTATACCATCTATTTTGAGAACCGGTTTCACAAAACTAGTTTTTGGCAGGATGAAAGTTTTTGCTACACATTTCCTTTCCAAGTCTTTTTTCCATGGTTTCCTGCATTTGTGATGCTTCGGTGATTTTTCTGCTTTGGCTCACGATGTTACAGGAGGGAAATCTATGGTAAGATCATAAAGTCTTTGGAAGAAAGAGGGTTTTAATCACAGATATGTTTGATAATTATAACCAGCAAGCCCTTTGGAAGAAAGCCATTTTTTTTTCCCATAGACTCTTGGGGTTGTTTTGACTTTTCTCCCCATGGTGTCAAAGGTGTCCCTTAGAAACTTTCCCATTTGATTTAATTGCTGTTTAATTCCTAAAACATTGCTTCAATTAGACATCCTGATTTATGGCACCATTGGGCTTCGCTTGGCAAAGACATCCCAAGAGACTGTCCACTTCTAATTCACTGATTTTAAACAAGCTCATCTCTTCCGCTCTGCAAACTTCAGACTGTTCTTAAGAACATCTGAAATACTAGATCCTTGAGTTAGTGTCAGGTTATTTTCCGTGACTCAAATTAACCTAATAATCTGAGTGACAACTTAATTAATTTATCCACTCATTCTACATTTATTGTGAGCCTTTATTTATTTACTTATTTATTTTTTGAGACAGGGTTTCACTCTGTCACCCAGGCTGGAATGCAGTGGCACAATCACGGCTCATTTCAGCTTTTACCTCCCGGGCTCAGGTGATCCTCCCACCTCAGCCTGCTGAGTAGCTAGGACTACAGGCGCGTGACACCACGGCTGGCTAATTTTTGTATTTTTTATAGAGACGGGGTTTCGCCCTGTTGCTGAGGCTTGTCTCAAACTCTTGGGCTCAAGCCATTCACCCACCTCGGCCTCCCAAAGTGCCGGGATTACAGGCATGTGCCACCATGCCTGGCTTACTGTGGGCCTTTTATGTAGCAAGCACTGTGCTAGGTGAGAGAGATGAAGAACATAAAATAAAAAATAAACAAAAAAATCCCACATGGTACCTGTGCTAACCAAGTGGTTAGGCCAGTGTTTGAACAGCCAGGATGGGATAGGAAACATTTATTCCAGTGTTTCCCGAGAAAGAATAATTTGTTTACTGTTCTCACAAATTTTTTCTACATCCTCATATCATCTCTCATATTATTTTTCTTTAGTGGTTTTATTTACATCAACTGACTTTTAAAAAATGTAAATATCTTCTTTCCCTTGTCCTAAGCAACATCTGTAAGGTAACAGGTTCCATGTGGCAGTTTTTTTTTAAAGACATATTACAATAAGTTTTGTGATCAATAAATAGACAATTCAAACAAAAAGTATTCATTAGCTATCCTACCTCAAATTTCATTTATTACCAGAGATGTATGTTTCCCATTTTGGAAAACACTGATTTAATTTTCAGATGAAGCCATTGAACTCCTGTCATGTGAAAAACACTACACAGGGTTTTAAATTTGTTATGAATATTCAGAGACACACTGAAACAGGGGGAAAACCTGTTGGGGCTTTAAAGTACAAATTCAGTACAAATTTGAAGAGTTTTTTTTTCTGGCTTCCAGTTTAAGGTGTGGGAGATTTTGAATGACATTTTCCTTGGCTAGTCATTTAGCTTGTGCTCTGCATTAGGTTCTATTATTATTATTATTATTATTATTATTATTATTATTATTTTGATACAAAGTTTTGCTTTGTCGCCCAGGCTGGAGTGTAGTGGCGCAATCTTGGCTCACAACAGCCCCTGCCTCCTGGGTTCAAGCGATTCCCCTGCATCAGCTTTCCGAGTAGTTGGGATTACAGGCGCATACCACTACACCTGGCTATGTTTTGTATTTTTATTAGAGATGGGGTTTCACCATGTTGGCCAGGCTGGTATTGAACTCCTGACCTCAGGTGATCGCCCGCCTCGGCCTCCCGAAGTGCTGGGATTACAGGCGTGAACCACCGTGCCTGGCCTAGGTTCTATTATTTTTATCTTTTGAACAGAACCACCGAGTAAAAGCTGAAGTTTCTCTCATCTTAGGATATTTTGTCTTCACATTTCCCGTAGTGGAAAGAGAGAATACTTATCCCTGAGACCTTGAGACAAGCATCTAATCCAGGGCCAGCAAACTCTGGCCACGGGACTTGGCCAGTAGCCTTTTGTTTTTTTGAGACAAGGTCTCACTCTGTCACCCAGGCTGGAGTGCAGTGGCCCGATCATGGCTCACGGCAGCCTCGACCTGCTGAGCTCAAGCGATCTTCCCATCTCAGCCTCTCGAGTAACTGGGATTACAGGCATGCACCATCATGCCCAGCTAATTTTTTGTATTTTTTTTATAGATATGGGGTTTTGCCGTGTTGCTCAGGCGTCTCTCGAAATCTTGGGCTAAAGTGATCCGCCCTCCTTGGCCTCCAAGAACGTTGGGATTGCAGGTGTGAGCCACCATACCCGGCCCAGTGGCCTGTTTTTATAAAGTTTATAAACCTCAGGTTGTGTATCTGTAACAGAGACAGCAAAGCCTTGAAAGTCTAAGATATTTACCATCAAGTCCTTTAAAGAATGAGTTTGCTGACATCTGATAGTCGATAGATTCTGGATAAACAAGAGAGAGCCAAGGAGTAGTCTTGCTTCCAAGCTACCGAGTGAGAGAGCTCTGATTTGCTTGGGGACTGTAAGAAAGTCACAGGGGAATCTAGAACTCCCCAACATGTCACAAGAAGAAAGTACTTAAGGCAGATAGCTTTGAACTGAGGTGACGGTCTCACTGGTAGGCTTGGTCCTTCTCTAGCCCATCAGGCAGTATTCCTTGATGCAGTAGAGAGAGCAAGTGTAAGGTTCTTGAAAGGGACTGTAAAATGTTGCAGTATCAGAATGAGGCCTTGACTTACACAAGTCTTGTTCAAACTATACATGTTTGAGTTGGACTTGCAATGACTCCTCGCTTGTTTTCATGAGGCCAAGCATATCTTGCTGTCAGTGAAGTACACCACGATTCTGTGAGGCACACTGACCCACAGCATCTATAGAAGAAGAGAGATGGCCACCGATTTTTGCTATTCCTCCCATGGAGAGGAGCCTATTTCCACTCTTTTTGAATTTGGCCTAGGCCTGTGATTCACTTTGACCCATAGAATGCAAAAGAGGTAACTTCTGAAGCTAGGTCATAAGAGACTTTGTAACTTCTGTGGGCCTCTGAGAGTGCTTGCTCTAGGGAGAGTTGGCCCATGTAAGGAGTCTGACTGTGTTGAGACCACCATGTTGTGAGGAAGCCAGATTAGTCGCATAGGGTGGCTATGCACATGAGTGTGCACAACATAAGTGAGGTGAAGGGGAGATGCCCAGCTAGCTCTCAGTTGTTTCAGCCATTCTAGGTGAGATACCAGATATGAGTGGAGAAATCCAACTGGAAGTAAAGGCTTCAAGTGATTCTAGCCCAAGCAACTGCATAAGAGACCCTAAATGAGACATCCTAGCTGAGTCAGGTCAACTCCTAGGCTGTGAGAGATACTAATAAATTATTTTTTAAGCCTCTAAGTTTTGGGAAGATATGCAGAAGAGAATATCTTTGTTATCTTGAGGCCCCAAGAAGTCAGACAAGATGGCAGGATCCTAGCAGTAACAAGTGGTGATTCAGATAAATGGCCCCTGCTCATCTCTCCAGCTTGGTTTAACATCACTGTACTTATTGCTTATTACAAGGATGGTCCATCTGTTCCAGTTTGCCAACACTTTCCCGATTTTAGCACAGAAAGCCCCACATCCTGGGAAACTTCTTAGTCCAGAGCAAACCAGGACAGTTGGCCACCCTATGCATGACATGACAAATTTCTTTCTGTTCTTCAAGCACACCAAGTCCGTTATGCTTTAGAGCTTTAGTGCAAATTGGTATCCCTGTCTGGAATGTTCTTCCTCCCTCTTCTCACTTGGCTAACTTCTCCCCAAACTTCAATTTCTTAGGGTGGTCTTCCCTGACTCCCAGGACTTCTAAGGCAAGGCTTCCTCATTAATATAGACCCTTACAACATTTTGTACTTCTTGGTAACACCAAACTGAATTGGCAAATGTTTATGTATTTATCTGATAAGTATTTCCTATCCTGTTAGAGTATGAGATTCACAGTTCTGTGCTGAAATAATAAATAAAGAAATGAAGGCAAACTGGCAAAGGAGTTAGTACCCAGAACTACTGTTTTCAAATCCTTTTGGTAATGAGGAGCTAACTTAACTTGACCGAGGTCCCAAGGCCAGAGGAGAAAAAATAATTTTGATGCACACAAGAATGTTTCCCAGTAGTTCTAAAAAGGGCAAATGGCAATTTAAAATGGGCTTATAGGCCATCTGATGGTCTTGATGCTACAGGGAAGGAGAACACCCATAGGCACCCCGAGATGGGAAAAGCAGCAGCCCTGTGGTTCCCTGGTGTGGCTTCAGCAATTGCTTGCTTGTGCTTTACGTCTGACTTCCCTTCCTAGGTAAAAAAGGGACTGAAATGCTCTGATGACTAATGGGAGGTTATGGAAAGATTTATTGGACAATTATCAATGTTTTTCCTCACTCAACTTTCCTTTAGTAAGTCATTATTTCATTTGGGGAATAAGTACCACTCATATCACCCCTCACATCCTGTCATTTCATCTCCTCATTTATGCTGGTTTGTCGCCTTGATTTGTAGAAGTACATAGACTGTGTATTAGAAGGATTTTTCACTAACTGAATTTGAATTTTATTCTCCTGTCATTTTCATATGCATGCAGATAAGACTTGATATAATTTTGTGTTTTTCAATCTGCAATCATTTGCAGGCCACCTTCACAATTTTTGCCACATTCTAGAATCAATTTTATTATTATTCTCCTAATGATTTAAAAAATTGACCAGTGTTTTTTAAAGTTAGTCTCACCCTTAGGCAATAATCCATGCACTCCTGGGTTTGATGGGCTGGTGTGTGTTTCTGTGCATGTGTGTGTGTATGTACACATGTGTATATGTAATTCTCAATGAAATAAATGCCTCAAAATAGATTTTAAAAATATGCCCATAAAAACTATAGTTTCATGGATTATGACTTGGGATAAGGCTATTTAAAAATAGTGTTTTTTTTTTTTTTTTCATATCAACAGAGTATACAGACAACCTACCTCATGGGTGAAAAAATTTGCAAACTATGCATCTGACAAAGGTGAGCAAAAAACAGCCCCATTAAAAAGTGGGCAAAGGATATGAACAGTCACTTTTCAAAAAAAGACATACATGTGGCCAAGAAGCATATGAGAAAATGCTCAACATCACTCATCATTAGGGAAACGCAAATCAAACCCAAAATCAGATACCATCTCACACCAGTGCAAATGGCTCTTAAGAACCAAAACAAAACAAAACAAAAACAGATTCTGGTGAGCTTGCAGAGAAAAGGGAATATTCACATGCCGCTGGTGGGAATGTAAATTAGTCATTGTGGAAAGCAGTTTGGAGATTTCTCAAAGTGCTCATAATGAAATTATTATTCAACCCAGCAATGCCATTACTGGGTATATACCCAAAGGAATATAAATTATTCTACCATAAAGACACATACACACATATGTTCATCAGAGCACTATTCACAATGGTAAAGACATGGGATCAACCTAAATGCCTATCAGTGGTAGACTAGATGAAGAAAATGTGGCATATATATACCATGAAATACTACACAGCCATACAAAAGAATGAGATCATGTCTTTTGCAGCAATATGGATGGAGCTGGAGGCCATTATCTTAAGTGAAGTAACACAGAAACAGAAAAACCAATACCATGTGTTCTCATACATAAGTAGGAGCTGGACATTGAGTGCCTATGGACACCAAGAAGGGAATAACAGATACCAGGCCTACTGGAGGGTGAAGGGAGGAGGGTGAGGATGCAAAAACTACCTATTGGATACGACGTTTATTACCTGGGTGACATAATAATCTGTACACCAGACCCCTGTGACTCACAATTTACCTATATAACAAACCAACAAATTTGCACATGTACCCCTGAATCTAAAATAAAAGTTAAAATAAATAGGTTTTTGTAAAACATAAAAGCTTCCTATTAGTACATGTATTATGTATATCACACTTTGGGAAGCAGTCATATAATCCAAGGTGATCTGGTCTGTTTTTAATAGGAAGCCAACCTGGAGTTGTTACTGTAATGGTAATCAGTGGTCTAGGAAGAATTCTACATAGGCCCCATCTGAAGCCCACTCAGATCCTGGCCCTAGGAACCTGGTGCCTTTGACCTGTAGCTCTGACTTTATAAAAACCTCATTCAGAATTGTAATAACATGTTTGACTCATTGCTTTTTGTAAGATTTCACAGCCAAGCCACCAGAAAATCCTGTTGGCTTGAACTTGAACATACATCCCAAATGCAACTATTTCTCATCACTTCCACCCAACTTTAAGTCATCACCGTCTCTCTTTGGGTTGACAACATTGGTTTCCTCACTGATTTCCCCATTTCCACTGGATTGAGAACACAAGAAGAAGAAAGCCATTTCTAGTCAGTTATTATGTGCTAAATGCAAACAAACTCTCATTAAGGAGCAAGAAGAAAGGCCATTTAAATATTTAAAATGCTTGGAATGCAAATGATAGAATTAAAAAAACCCAGAATGATTGGATGGCCTCATAATAACATCTCAGGTCAGCATCAGATAGCCCACTAAAAAATTCTTCCGAACATATTTTCTTCATAATTTATCATTCCTCTTAGAGCACAGAGGGTGATTTTAAATTGATGTGCTATAAGAATAAATACCAAACCAGTCAAAGTCGTCAGCAAATGTTCAGAATTATAGAAAACCATAGAAATGGACTCTAATTGCGTCATTATCTAATCTCCTTATTTTTGAATACCATTGCTCACTCATCTTAGGTCATTTTCTTTCCTTGTGAACTTTTCCATTTTCTCACAAGAACAAGTTTAGGATTTGGTGTATTTTGTCATGCAAAGCAATAGAAAGACTCATCAGAGATGTGATGGAAAGGAGATTCATAAAGAACTGTGGTTAGAAAAGGCCATTGTGGAATGTGGCTGGAAAGGTAAGGGCAGTTTTCTTGAAGTCCTTTATTCCCTGGGACATAGAAAGTGAAAAAGCGGTTTGCTTTTCCTCCCCTGTATGTTCTATCCCATGATTCCAGGAGGTAGATTTTCAGAGAGGTTCAATGAAGCTTAAAGTCTCAAAGTGAGGAGCTATCGGGTTTAAAAATATCAGAAGAAATAAAGCCTTTTTTCCTCCCTAAACCATTTTGCCACTAAGACATTTTCCAGCTGAAGCTGAGCTTTAGATTGGTGGGGGCGTTTGGAAGTTGATGAAAGTTCCTTAAGAAAATGGCTGAATGGAAAGGCCAGCAAAGACTCTCAAGGAAAGATAGGAAAGTTAGAGTCACAGAGACAGGCAGATGGAAGAGACCTTGGAGACAAGAGAACTGGTATTGGGTGAATAAACTGGGTCCTTCCTTCCCTTCCTCCCTCCCTTCCTTCCTTCTTTCCTTCCTTCCTTTCTTCCTTCTTTATTTTTTTGAGACAAGATCTCACTCTGTCACCCAGGCTGGAGTGTAGTGGTGTGATCTCCGATCACTGCAACCTCTGCTTCTTGGGTTCAGGCGATTTTCCTATCTCAGCCTCCCGAGTGGCTGGGACTACAGGTGCGTGACACTACGCCTGGCTAATTTTTTCTTTTTTCAGTAGAGATGGGGTTTCACCATGTTGGCCAGGCTGGTCGCAAACTTCTGACCTCAAGTGGTCCGCCTGCCTTGACTTCCCAAAGTGCTAGGATTACGGCATGAGCCACTGCACTCGGCCTGAACTGAGTACTGACTGAAGAGAGTCACCTCAAAATTGATGGCCGTTTGGAACCTCAGAATGTGACCTTATTTGGAAATAGGGTCTTCCCATTTGTAATTAAGATGAGGTCAGACTCAATTAGGGTGGGCCCTAATTCAATGACTGAGGACACAGAAACACAGAGAAGGAGGCAGATATTGAGTGATGCTGCCACAAGCCGAGGGGCACCAGGGATTGTTGGGAGTCACGGGGAAGTTAGAGGCAGGAAGACTCCTTTTCTAGAGCCTTCTGAGGGAGCATGTCCTGCTGACTCTTTTTTTTTTCTTTTTTTTTTTTTTGAGACGGAGTCTCTCTCTGTAGTCCAGATTGGAGTGCAGTGGCATGATCCAGCTCACTGCAACACCCGCCTCCTGGGTTCAAGCAATTCTTGTACCTCAGCCTCTGGAGTAGCTGGGACTACAGGCATGTGCCACCATGCCCCGCTAACTTTTATATTTTTAGTAGAGATGGGGTTTCATCATGTTGGCCAGGCTGGTCTGAAACTCCTGGTCTCAAGTGATCCGCCCACTTCGGCCTCCCAAAGTGCTGGGATTATAGGCGTGAGCCACCCCCTCCTCCCCAGCTCCTGCTGACTTTTGATGGCAGACTCTGTCCTTCAGAACTGTGAGAGAGCACATTTCTGTTGCCCTGTGTCACCCAGTGTGTGGTCCTTCATACAGCCATCCCAGGAAACAAATACACCGCCTAACACTGTTCTGAAGACTAGAATGTGTCTGACTTGACCTGGGTCTTGCAGCCAGGACAATCCTGTTTGGAAACCCGTATGAACTCTCTCACATTCATCATTCACTTCCTGGAGAGACAGATTTTGTAAACTTTACAGAGCAGCTTTTAATCATTCGGTGGTTCCCAGATTCCTAGGCCAGAGTCTCTATACTGAATAATTTATAATAGAGGTCATATCCATCATGGTGGCTTGAATTCTGTCCTCCCAAGAACACAGGCTCAAGTCCTGACCCCTCCTACCTGTGAATGGGACCTTATTTGGAAATGGAGTCTTTGCAGGTGTAATTCAGTTAAGATGAGGTAGGCCCGAAAAGCAATGACTGACAGTCCTATAAGAAGAGAGGACGGAGACCCATGGAGAAAGCTGTTTGAACAAGGAAGCAGAAGCTGGAGCGATGCGGCCGCAACCCAAGGAACACCAGAAGCTGGAAGAGGCCAGGATGGGCTCATCCCTAGCATCTTCAGAGGGAGTGTGGCCTTGCCTTCACCTTGATTTCCAACCTCCAGCGTCCACAACTGCGAGAGAATTAATTTCTGCTGTTTTAAGCCACTGAGTTTGTAGTAATTTGTTATAGCAGCTCCAGGAAATGAACGTGCCATCCCTCAGCCAAACCCAACCCACAAATGTGTTTTATGGGCTCACGTGGTTTTGTTTTGTTTTTTGAGATAAGGTCTTGCCCTGTCGCCCAGGCTGGAGTGCAGTGTCATCATCACGGCTCACTGCAGCCTTGAACTCCTGGCCTCAACCGATCTTCCCACCTCAGCCCCCTGAGTATCTGGGACCACAGATGCATGCCACCATGCCTGGCTAATTTTTAAAAATTTTTTTGTAGAGATGGGGTCTTGCTATGTTGCCCAGGCTGGTCTCAAACTCCTGGGCTCAATCTATCCGTCTGCCTCGGTCTTCCAAAGTGCTGGGATCACAGGTGTGAGCCACAATGCCTGGCCTTGTTTAGTTTTTAATTAAAGCGGTTGCTAATATTTATGAACGGAGAGATTTAACATAAAAACCATGATTTCTGTTTCTTTTTGAAAAATTTGAGGCGGAGATGGTAACCCTGAGACTTTCCACGGAGAAACTGAGCAGGGCTGCTCTCCCTTCACAAAGAGCCTGCCCAGAGCAGCTCCCCAGGTCCCCTCCTCCGGGAAGTCCACCTGCCTGACTCCTTGGCTTTCCTCTCAGGCTTTCCATGTCCTTCATGCCCTCGTCGGCTCAGGATTCTTTAAAGCTGCTCTCTGAATTTTAGAGACTAGAAAAGTGAAACCCAGAAATAGAAATTCCTTGCCTACTGTCACCCAGCATGTCTGGAACAGAGGATGGCTGGGACACAGACTTCAGATTCCTGAACTTCCTACGACACCGTGACACTCCCACCTACAGAATGCCACCAGACGTCTCCTGACATTCCCAGACTTCTGGATTTCACAGATCAGATTAAAAAAAATTTCAAGGAATCGACACAATAACTTTCCAACACAAAGAACACTGCCTTACCATCTTTGCATTAAAGAAAGGCGTTTCTATCACCAGTGTAGTGGAAAACACACAAGCTCAGAGTACAAATAAAAACTATGCTGGCCCTAACAAGCTTTTCATGAGGTCGTTGAAAACCTCATTGCCTTTCTTCTACTCTCCCTCATCTCTGCACACTGGCCTCCTTGTCATATTTGAATACATGAGGTCGTTTTTTCCTCAGGGACTTTTTTCTTTTTTTTGAGACAGAGTCTCGCTCTGTCACCCAGGCTGGGGTGCAGTAGTTCCATCTCCGCCCACTGCAAACTCTGCCTCCCAGGTTCAAGTGATTCTTCTGCCTCAGCCTCCCGAGTAGCTGAGATTACAGGCATGCACCACCATGCCCAGCTAATTTTTTTTTGTATTTTTAGTAAAGATGGGGTTTCACCATGCTGGCCCGGCTGGTCTTGAACTCCTGGCCTCAGGTGATCCGCCTGCTTTGGCCTCCCGAGGTGCTGAGATTACAGGCGGGAGCCACAGCGCTCGGCCTCCTCAGGGACTTTCAATGACTATTCCCTTTCCCTGTAACATTCTTCCCCAGATATAGTCAAGGCTTACCTCCTCCTCTATTCATGCAACCCTCTGCTAAATTGTCACCTCCTTGGCATGGACTTCCCTAACTCTACTGCATTCTCTCTTCTTTTTCTTTGAGACAAGGTCTGGCTTTGTCACCAAGGCTGGAGTGCAGTGGCACAATCTAGGCTCATTACAGTCATGACCTCCTGGGATCAGGTGATCCTCCCACCTCAGCCTCCTGAGTAGCTGGGACTACAGGTGTGCACCACCACACCCAGTTAATGTTTGTATTTCATTTTGTAGAGACGGGGTTTCGCCATGTTGCCCAGGCTGGTCTTGAACTCCTGAACTCAAGTGATCTGCCCACCTCGGCCTCCCAAAGTGCTGGGATTACAGGCATGAGCCACGATGCTAGGCCTCTACTGAATCCTTTATGCCCTCATGCAGGCTCTTCTTACGGCCCTTGTTGCTACTGAACCCAGTTCATGTTTATTTGTTTATTGTCTGTCTATCCCCACTATAATAAGAACTCTCTGAGAACAACTATTCTGTTTTCATCAATGCCTAGAAGAGTGCCTGGCACACAGAATGTGCTCAATAAATTTTATTGATCTGGATCAAATAAAGTTCAATACTTCATACTGAGTAAATTTCACTTGTTGAAAACCTCCCAGAGCATCTTTATTTCCCCTCATTTTGCTCATGAAAGGTGTAAATGTTACCCTATATTGCTATCAGTTTATGGCGTCATCCTTGGATAACATCATGTGATAAAAATTATCATGGGGGCCAGGTGCACAGGCTCACGCCTGTAATCCCAGCACTTTGGGAGGCCTAGGAGGGTGGATCACTTGAGGTCAGGAGTTCAAGACCAGCTTGGCCAACATGGTGAAACCCCAGCTCTACTAAAAAAATAAAATAAAAAAATTAGCTGGGGGTTGTGGCAGGCACCTGTAATCCCAGCTACTCTGAAGGCAGGAGAATCGCTTGAGTCCAGGAGGCAGAGGTTGCCATGAGCCGAAGTCACACCACTGCACACCAGCCTGGGTGACAGGGGGAGCTTCCGTATCAAAACCAAACAAACCAAACAAACAAACAAACAAAAAATTACCATCGAGTCCAAAACCCCGTTGGTATTTTGGTTTGGTTTAGCAGTGATCGTTCTGTGTAAAGATCTCGTAGCTGTCGGTTACTGAACTTCCCCTGAAAGAAACCCTACCTCCAAGTAAAAAAACACAAGCCCCCGAAAAACCAAGAAGCAAATGAATCATCAGATGGCAGTCCTTGTGGCAGCTTCTACAAGCTGCTGTCATGGGTCTTTGTCCCAGCGCGGGAGGAAAACAATTTCATGAGTCCAAGCTGTGAAATCGGCGCTACGTCACGTATAAACAAGTGTGCAGAAATTACTTTATTGGATTAGTGTTTTATTGCTTTTTAATATCTGAAGTTCCTGAAACAATACAAATAAATAGATTTATCCTTGGTTTTCATTACTAGTTACGGGCTTATTTAAAAGAAGAATAAGAAGGCTGGGCGTGGTGGCTCATGCCTGTAATCCCAGCACTTTGGGAGGCCGAGGTGGGTGGATCACGAGGTCAGGAGATTGAGACCATCCTGGCTAACACGATGAAACCCCGTCTCTACTAAAAATACAAAAAACTTAGCAAGGCGTGGTGGCAGGCGCCTGTAGTCCCAGCTCCTCGGGAGGCTGAGGCAGGAGAATGGCTTGAACCCAGAAGGCGGAGCTTGCAGTGAGCCGAGATCGCGCCACTGCACTCCAGCCTGGGTGACAGAGTGAGACTCAAAAAGAAAAAAAAGAATAAGAAAATGGGAGAAGAAAAACTTCTGTAACTTTGTTTTCAGCAGTACCTACTATCTAGGGTTGCTACACAAAGTAAATGCACAGGATCAGTAAAGTCAACCCCATCTGGACTCAGGAGAGTAAAGTTGTTTTTTAAAAAATTTAAAAATTTATTTTATTATTTTATTTTTTTGAGACAGAGTCTCATTTTATCACCCAGGCTGGAGTGCAGTGGCCTGATCTCGGCTCACTGCAGCCTCCGCCTCCCAGGTTCAATAGATTCTTGTGCCTCAGTCTCCTGAGTAGCTGAGATTACAGGCACGAGCCACCATGCCTGGCTAATTTTTGTATTTTTTTTTTTTTAGTAGAGACAGGGTTTCACCATGTTGACCAGGCTGCTCTTGAACTCTGGACCTCAAGTGATCCGCTCACCTCAGCCTCCCAAAGTGCTGGGATTACAGGCATGAGTCACCACGCCCGGCTGAGAATAAAGTTCTTGCAGAGTTAGCAAAATTCTGAATTATTTGGCATTTGAATAATGAGGCACTATGCAGGGCTAGTTAAGAGTATCAGCTATGGAGTTTGAACCAGGCTTGGATCCTAGCGTCTACACTGAAAACGGCAATGCCCTCGATTAAGTCGCACAGCCCAAGCCTTTCCTTTACAAAGTTGAACTGATAGAAGTGGCACCTCATGGAACTGTTGCCAGGTTTGAATGAAATAATGCATGCAAATTGCCTCGCATAGAGTCAGAACTGAATACTGATATCTATCATTATTACTGTTTGAAAAGACATGTGGTTCTGTTACTTTCAAGAATGTGCAGGAGCAAACATTAGAGGCCAAAGGGGGGAAATATGGAACAGAGTGTGGTCTATTTGTCCCACCTTAATAATAACAATAGCCCTGTCTAATACGCAGTGGGGCCTTCCTCTTTGCCATGCTCTTGACCTAGCCTCTCTCATTTAATGTCTACAGCAGCCTTACAAGGGAAAGCCTCTTGCACTCTGCGTTGGGCGAAGAGAACAGACTTGCAGAGGTTGACCCGCTTTCCACAAAGGTAGTAAGAGGCAGAGGTGGTGTTAGATCCCAGGCAGATGGAATTAGGCACCGAAATGGTATCATCATGTTTGGAATCAAGCTGCGTATTGGCACACACAAAAGGCAAAAACTAGTTTTTGAGTAATTATTTCCTTAAATAGACTAAACACCTTTCCCACTACCTAACTTTTACGATAGGTGGACAGACATACAGACAGGCAGAATGACAATAACTTATAAACTCTACAGAAAAATTCTCAGCAAAACTGTGGACAGTGGGACTGAATAGCTTGGTTCCTGATGCTGATAAAGGAATTTGAGAAACTTTGTCTCCACAGTGGGCAGTGAATCCCGGACCAAGTAAGTTGTGACTTACTCCAAAATAACAGCCCTGGAGAATGATCCAAATAACTCTCTTTTTCAGGTGACTAGGCACTCAGACTATTTCAACACAGAGACTGAGCTGTTTGTATTCCCCCTTCTTTTTCTTCTGACACTGGAAGGTTTGAAAGCTAAGCCCTCTCTGCCTTTGAGGAAAGGGAACTGAATTTTGGTTGATTCTGGCTTTGAGCCTAAACAATCTCCAAGGTTGAGGATTATAAAAGATCAAAGAACAATGAGGGTGAAAGGCTTTTTGTGCTGGAGGCAACAGGAGGAAGTGCTCTCTGGAAAAAGAAGGATCTCTGGACCATCAGACTAGCAGGGATTTGAGTCAGTGGAGAAGGAAGTGGATTCCCAGGAGGTCCTTGACATCTGGGAGCTGGAGAGACTTTTCCAGAAGAGAGACCAAGGTTTGGAAGTAGTGAGATGGGTGGATTTGGCTGAGAAGAGCAGGGAAGAACATTTGTTGAAAGCCTGGAAGCCACATGGTAGAGTAAGCATTGCCAGCTGGTAACTCAGCATTCACTTCAATGACCACTGCCTGTCACCTGAGGTGGGGGACCACACCTTTGCTTTGTCAGGATCCAGCATCTAGCTGGTCACCTCTTAGCGTAAACGGCATCTAACCATGTCCTAAGGTATTGGTCAGTTTCCATTTCACTTACTGTAAGTAAAAAATCTCCACTTGCAAAACTTCAGATAGTATGACCTCCCCCATCCCCAAATAGTAGTGGAGTGGGGTCCTAGGGAGATGGCAGTTTAGAAACCCTGGCATGTGTATTTTAAGGGTACATACTAAGTGAATAAGCTAGAGCCTCCCCCGACCCCCCCAAGCTGGGATAGCTGTTACAGACACCATCACACATGCATTCATCATGCCAAGAGCCTATGACTAGAAGCCAATTGGCCACTTAGGAGCATGTTTTAGCACCAGAAAACAGGCCAATCATTTTTGCCCAACCATCAGTCCTCATGACAAAAGTTTCCTTCATTCTCAGATCTTGGCTTCCTCAGAAGTTAGAGAAATACATAAAATTTCAAGGGACAAAGATTTTCTTGACTAGTGTAGAGTTGGGCATCTTTAGTAATGGGCAGACCAATGATCCCCCTGTCTCAAGAATGGTTTCTGCACACTTGCATTGTTGCTTTTGGCTGTTCTGCCTGTTGGCACAGGAGGCCAGGATCCTGGAGAGCAGCCATTAGTGCCTCCACGCGTTACAAGGAGCATCTCGTTTCTAAAACCAGGGCCATTCCAGGCCACAGCAGGATGACAGAGGACTTGGCCATTATCACAGAAATGGAGTCATTAGAAGTAATCAGGCATCTGCCCAAATAGTGGCTTGGATGAAAAAGGGTCATAAAACTCCTGCTGCAAGTTCCGCTGGTGTTGGCAATGCCTTCCAGAAACATCAAGACAGCTCTGCCAAGGCAGTGCCCCCATGCCAAGCCCCGGCACTCCACAAGCCAACATGGCTTTTCTATCTGGGAAATTTCCCACTGGGATCTCTAGCAACATCCCATTCTGCAGCTTTCAAGGAAGAAACAAATCTGAACCTTCCCTGTTGACTACTGACTTTGCAAGGCAATGCTTCCAACATTCAGTTTGCATCCAGAAGAAGAGAAAACTGGCTGGACAAGTGGGGCTGGGTAATCCTAATCTGTGATTTGTTTTCTTTCTACATTCTTCCCCTCTCCTTCCCTTCCTGTCATTCAGGCAGAAAGTGATGGCTTCAGGGGAGGCATGGGGCAGGATAGAGAGGAGAGGGCACCAGCGCGACTCCCTGACTCTTGTTTGAACATGCTGAGCGGGAAGGCAAGTTTGAACTCTTAAAAATATGGAGAGCTTTGCCTTGTTGCTAGCAGCTCTCCGGGCAGGTGGTATGTCTATAAGTTTCCTCTGGAAAATGAGAATACCTGCCAGCTGGGCTTTGTCTTCCCACACGGCGGTCCTTGTTGAGCTGAGCAGAAGCACCTTCCTCCCAGGCAGACCTTGCCAGCATAACCATGCCCTGCAAGGAGTCGAACCCTCGACCTTAATGCTGAGTGTCTGTTGCCATTTATCCCTGATCTATCTTTTAAAAACTCACCACCCTCATCTCCAGTCCTCCTTCTTCCCCTCTCCTGTTTCTTTTTTTCTCAAAGGTATTTATTACTATTTAACACCATCCATATGTTTTTATTATTATCAGTCTCTCCCAACTTGATAGAAAAAATAATTTTGTCTGTTTTGTTCACCACTCTATGCCCAGTACGTGATATAGAATAGATGCTCCATAAATCTTTCTCAAATAAAAGAATGAGATTCTATGAATCAGGTTTCTATTTACAGTGGGAAACAAATTTTTGTTGTTGATGTTGTTGTTGAGACAGGGTCTCGCTTGTTACTCAGGCTGGAGCACAGTAGTATGATCTTGGCTTACTGCGACCTTGACTTCGCAGGCTCAAGCAATCTTCCCACCTCAGCCTCCCAAGTAGTTGGGATTACAGGCATGAGCCACCACGCCCAGTCACAAAAGATGTTTCTATCTGCATGACTTTCCATGCACCCAGACAGCTCCACTCACTCATTTATCTGCTTTATTTTGATGAATCTCCTCTGCATCCCCTGGAGACCAGAGATGGATTCACAGACTCCATGTTGGAGAATTGACTTTATCTCAAGCTAGGTTCAAAATCAGGAGATCTCAGTCCTGAAGGGGCCACATGGAAAGGGGTAATCCATATCCCAATGATATGCTCCTTGGCATTGAACAAAATTCCAAATCTTGACGGTGTCTGGAGCACTGGCTTTGAACCCTGTTACACTCAATGTCCCTCTTGGAAGCAAATTCTTGGTAATGGCCCACGTTAGGTTGGGCTTCTAAGAAGTTGACCTTGAGACAAAGTCATCAATTTAAGTAGCTGATGCAGAAGATGATCCCAGGAAGCACAGCTAGGGTGATGGTATAGCAAGATAGGAAAAGGCCAGAAGCCAATCCAGGATGTGAGATCAAGGCAGGGCCCACCATGGGCAGCAGAGGCTCATTCCCACTGGGGACCTCCGGGAGACGTGCAGCACATGCCTCGGGTATACCCCTCCTACGGGGTGACAGGCATATTGTCCACCCACTCACTGTGCACCATTGGTCAAGGGCTGCTTCTGGGGCATTCGTTAAATCCTATGATGCTGCATGGCTGTGAGTGTGATCCCAAAGCCAGGAAAACGTCCTGAGGCCAAGAATAGCAGCACCTGAGGGTGGCAGGTGTTGGCGGAGGACACCTTTTGATGTGTGGAGATGAGTGTTCAGAGGAATGAGTGGGCTATGCACATAGTCTGCTAAATACTCCTGTCCACACCTGAAATCCCTTATTTACAAGCACAATTTTTAAGGGGCAAATACAAGGGAAGTATTTATAATAAATTAATGTACATTCCAACATTTAAATACTTCGGCATGACATACTAGAACATATGGTAAAGCAATCAGATTCTTACCATTATACATAGAAACACTGAATGTGACAGCACAAATACAGATCTGGACTGGTGTGTTGTGTCAGAGAATCGAATGCCTCTCATAATATTGCCTTCATGACATGAGTTTTTGATATGCTGAACAAGTTTCTGTACAGTTAGAACGAAGTACAGTCTTCCCTCAATTTACAGGGTACTTACATTTCTATACAGTTCAGAGCATATAAAAACTGTGTGGGCCGGGCACGGTGGCTCAGGCCTGTAATTCCAGCACTTTGGGAGGCCGAGGTGGGCAGATCAGGAGGTCAGGAGATTGAGACCATCCTGGCTAACACAGCGAAACCCCGTCTCTACCAAAAATACAAAAAATTAGTCAGGCGTGGTGGCGGGCGTCTGTAGTCCCAGCTACTCTGGAGGCTGAGGCAGGAGAATGGTGTGAACCTGGGAGGCGGAGCTTGCAGTGAGCCGAGATCCTGCCACTGCGCTCCGGCCTGGGCAACAGAGCGAGACTCCATCTCAAAAAAAAAACAAAAAAACAACAAACTGTGTGAAGAGGCTGGGCACGGTGGCTCACGCCTGTAATGCCAGCACTTCGGGAGGCCCAGGCGGGTGGTGGATCACCTGAGGTTGGGAGTTCGAGACCAGCCTGGCAAACATGGTGAAACCCCAGCTACTCGGGAGACTGAGGCAGAGGAATCGCTTGAATCTGGGAGGTGGAGGTTGCAGTGAGCCGAGATGGCGCCATCGCACGACAGCCTGGGTGACAGAGTGAGACTCTGTCTCCAGAAAAAAAAAAAACACAAAACAACAACAACAACACAAACAACAACAACAACAAAAGAAAACCAACTATGTGAAGGATGCTTTGTGTGCATGGCTCAGAGAGTTAGAAACCAATGTTTCACCTGCATGAATGTCTACTGGACATTGAAAAGTTGGGATGCCAGACAATTCTTCATGGTGTGGGACTGTCTTGTGCATTACGGGACATTTAGCACCTCTGGCCTCTGACCACCAAATAAATGTCGGTGTCACCTCTCAATCTTTGTGACAACCGATCCCCCAAAATAATTTCTGGAAAGCTGACTAAGGGCGATATTATTCCCATTTATAAACTATTGATCAAAAGAAAGGGTGGAAGGAAGGCCTCAAGAGTGACTCAGACACAATATGCCATTAATTGAGATCAATGGGAATTTGAAACAAAAAATTTAAGTTGAGTTATAAAAAAGAGTTTGTTTTGCAGGTACTTCTGATTTTGTGGCCAGATCTATACCCACTCCACAGCAGAGAGGAATGTTGGAGAAGCCTCGGCTTATGACACACAGTGTTGTAATTTCTTCCAGAGGAGCTATCATTTATCACCAGGACAATACCTGCCTATTATGTTGCAGGCCTGAGGAAGAAGCTAAAAAATATCATTTCTCCCAAAGAACAGCTTCCTGCAAAAGTGTCATTCTTTCTTGACCCAGCATCTAAATTCAAAGATCCTGGGCAAATGATAGAGGAGTTTGCTCATCACTGGGGTGTGTGCACCAGTGCAGAAGAATCTGACAAGCTTTGGGGGGTGTTCTTTATTTACTGATGCCTCAGTGTTGACAGAGAGGATGGGGCCAGTGAGCACAGCCACGCTGGGGCAAATCCTGGGGGCTGGGCGGGCAGCGGGTACAGAGCCAATGTGGAGAATTCAGCACGTGTGGATTTTTCCTGTGCTTCACTGGTTCAAAAGAAAAGCCCGAACTAGCCCCCCAGAGGGAGAAAAAGAAGAGGCTTGAGGAAGTCCTGCTGTGCGAGAAACCATCTCATCTTAGCTAAAATAGAAGAGAGCTTGGCTTCTGGCATTATCCTGAACACAAAAGTTTTTAATATAAGGTTTGTCATAGCACAACTTTATATTAAAAGAACTGACTTTGAAGTCAAACTGCCTGGGTTTGATACTCCAGGTCTATTGTTTACAAGCTCTGTACCTTGTATAAGATACTTAATCTCTGGTTTCCCCATCTGAAAAATGGGGATAATGCTACATTTTTGGGCTTTCTAAGAATTAGGTAAGATAATCCCCATAAACGCTTAGCACAGTGCCTAGCACATTGTAAGACTGTCTAACTGTGATGTTATTATTAAAACCCTGACAAAAATCACACCATCTTGGAACCATGAAATATCACTCGTTGTGCATTCTAGAAACAAAAAAATATATAGTCACTACAAACTTGGTGAATTCAAGAGTAGACCTTGTCTGCTTCTATGTCTCTTATGCCCAGCACTGTGCTTCATATGGAGTAGAAGCTCGAAATATTTATTGACTTCGGTTAACAAAAGTAAAAGTCACGGGCAGAGTACTTAAAGTAGGCTGACCAGATGAGCACGTTCCACCAATTCTAGTACTGTGTAAATTACACCTTAGGACATAAAAGGAGGTGATATGTGTAACCATAAGTGTGCAAGGTAGGTGACAAAATGACATATGCTGTCTTATACTGAATTATCATTATTACACTGTCTTATATGTTAGATTTATTTATACTACATTTACAAAGTGTATCATTTCCCCCTTCACTTGGAAATCTTGATTTTTTCATTAAGATGCTTTCCTATTGCACAGAAACTCAGCAAGGGCTATGAAATGGGCATCAATGTTATCACCTTGGACTGAAAAGTCCATTTCAGTTGTACCTCTTTCTAGTACTAAAGTCAATGTAGGAGCTGATTGGCTGCCAAGTTGATAATCTTTCAATTAGTTCCAGAGCCTGAAGACATCTTTATAACGATGTCTTAAGGATGACTTTCCCCCACGATGTTTGTTGACAGACTGACCAATGCACTAATAAGACTGACTTAGGGTTGAATCCTGGTTTTGTTGCTCACCATCGGTGTGATCTTGGGCTTACCTCTCACCATCTTTAGCCTGGCTCGAAGCCCTCCACGGTCTGACTCCTGCCTGCCTTTCTGACTTGATCTCCTTTCCCTCTTTTGTCTAGCCATCTTTCTGTTCCAGCCACAGTGGCCTTCTCTCTGTCCTCGAACATACCAACCACATGGCTCAGAGCTGTTGTATTTGCTGGCCCCGCTGCTCAGATCTTCACCACGTGGGACAAATAAAGATTGTAATAGCCTCTTGCCAGCACAGTTTAATCTTTATGCCAAATGAATGTTGGCGCCAAACTAGTGTTGCCAGATTTAGCAAATGAAAATACAGCAAACCCAGTTAAATGTGAGTTTCAGATAAACAACGTGTAATATTTTTGTTTAAGTATGTTCCCTGCTGTCCTATTTATGAAAACACTTTAATTTTCAGAGATTTTTTGATTTGAGAATCACGGCTAAGGAATTGTAGGCATGTATTACTCTCTTTCATTTTACAGATAAGAAATTGAGGCACAGAGAGGTTAAATAACTTGGCTAAGATCACACAGCAAGAAAGAGCCAGAACAGGTTTGGCCCCAGTCTGCCTGACCCTAGACAGTTTTCACCCTTTTTATGAATGAAGGTCTGTGATGTTGAGCTTCTTTATCTACAAAAGCAAATTTGTAACTCCTAATTCATAAAGTTGTTGGTAGGATCGAATGATGAAATAATGTCTATAAAACAACTGGATTAGAGTAGGCCCTCCAAAAAAATAGTACTTACAGATTAAGGCTAACAGAGCAACCAGGAAGAAAAACGTTAACATGGGAATGTTTTCAAGCAGAAAAAGCAGGCCATCTTGAAAAAGACTGGTTCATATTACTCTTTCTTAGACTTGTGTTCACAATAGACATTTGGTTTTTGATTCCTAAAATAATAAATAGCATTCAAAGGATTTTTGGTTTTTAAAATAAGAAAAATATTCAAAGCGGTCACTTCATAAGGGAGAGACAAAAGATTTTGTCACCTAGATTATCTGTCAGCTGAGTGAAGTTTTATTTTTGCTTCATCAAGTGGCACAAGACCGTTTAAAAAACCCTAACGGATGAATGGTTTCTACAATTTATTTCTCCAAATAAATCTAACTTGCCATTTTATTTTATGCATAAATTGGTGGATTTTACCATCAAATAATTGGAAGTAAATTTTTTTTCAAAAAGATGAAGAACGGCTGGGTGCAGTGGCTCACGCCTGTAATCCCAGCACTTTGGGAGGCCGGGGTGGGTTGATCAACTGAGGCCAGGAGATCGAGACCAGCCTGGCCAACATGGTGAAACCCCATCTCTACTAAAAAAAACAAAAAAAAGTAGCCAGGCATGGTGGTGCACGCCTGTAGTCCCAGGTACTGGGGAGGCTGAGGCACGAGAACTGCTTGAACCTGAGTGGCGGAAGTTGCCGTGAGTCGAGATCCTGCCACTGCACTCCAGCCTGGGTGACAGAATGAGACTCTGTTTGGGAAAAAAAAAAAAAAAAAAAAAAAAAAAGAACCACAGAAACTTTTTTTTTTTTTCTGCCTGGTCTCAGTTGCTAGGATTTTGTCCCAGTTTACCCAGGCTCAGTAACTGCATGAAAACAATACAAAGCTGGTTTTGCTTTTTTTGCTTCCCCCCATAAAGACACAGGCTAAAACTGGGAAATTACAAGGATGTTAGGTGGCAAATGAGAAAATCCTTGCTTTTGTCTCAGAGCCAGAGTGTTCGTGTGCTGGGTTCATTATGGCACTTTTAAAGAAGCTTGAGTTTGCGGTCGTCCATGTGAAAATGAAATTATACCATCTCTCCCTGGTTCTTTCCAGGAATAGTTTTCCACTTGGGAAAGTCTAGCCTTAGTTTAGGGTAGAATTAGTATTTTGTTTTCATAGAAATATCTTCTTGTCTCTGTATTTGGTTCTGGTGGCCTGTGTCATAACATCTTCTATTTGTATGCAGTTGCTCACTCTAAGAATAAACAGAGTCAGAAGGTCTCCTTGTGGGGTCACACTGGGAGAGCCCCAGGAGGCACAAATATCACTTGTCTGGTAGCTCAAAGATCTAGGGACTTCATGGGTTGAACAATGAAGCATACAAAGAAAGCAGCACCTCAGTGACGAAGAACAATTAATCATTTCACGATATCAAATTCAGAGGCCTATTTTAATCCCTATTATTCTTAAAGTGGATAATCACATTTTCATGAGTACGTAATTGTTTCTTGAGCACAAAAAAATTCTAAAAAATTTTGTATCAAGAGCTCACATTTTTTATTATTTGCCTTTACTAGCTTAGAAATTAATTGGGGGTTATTTTATTTAATTTTATTTTTTTTTTAATAAAATAGAGACAGCGTCTCACTAAGTTGCCCAGGCTGGTCTTGAACTCCTGGGCTCAAGTGATTCTCCCACTTCAGCCTCCCAAAGTGTTAGAATTACAGGCGTGAGCCACTAAGCCTGGCCTGGGGGTATTTTAAATGCAATTGAAAACTTGCCATTAAACTTTAGTTTTCTTCTGGTTACAAGTAAGCCCAGATTATAAGAAAATAATAGTAACAAATTATTGATACATTAATTATAATGTCAAAATTAACACGTGACATGAATTTATTGTGGAATTATTGCATGCAGAATATTGTCCTATGTAATAGTGATTATTAAAAGTTCTCCTATAACCCAAGTCAGCCTCTGAAACAAGAGAAATGGAATTTATGCAAACTAGCGGAAAATGAGTGATATATTTGACCAAATTCATTAGTATAAATTCAGAAGAACTGTCCCTTTGGTTTTGATTTTTGTGTTTTAGGGATTTAAAAAATTATTATGATAGTGAAAAAGACAAACTTTAGGTCCCTTGAGAAAAATGCACACACACATGCGCACACACACATTCACACACACTAAAGAAAATATTTTGCTTAGAATTTATTCTTTTCCATTTATTTTCATTCATCCTTATTATTATTATTATTATTATTTTCCTGTTTTCTGGAAAGAGTGTTGCCAATGCAACCCTTTATCAATAGATGTAGGACAACAGGAAGCTGAATAGTAAGTCTACTTCATTATCTAGCTATTCCTAAATATCAGAATGGTGGCTGCTGGTAAATCAAGGAGTCTTAACCCTTTTGGACTTATGGATCCTTTTGAGAGTTCTGTCCCAAAATGGACATGCATAAGACATAGGATGTTAATTCTAAGGGTTTGCCTCTCCTCCCTGGCCAGCTTTTATCTATGATCTTCAATGGATTAATAATTCCTCTGGTAGTAAAATGTCTAAAAGACTGTTCAAGCAGTACTAGCTGCATAATTTGTGAGATGCAGTGCAAAATGAAAATGTGAGGTCTCTTTATTAAAAACTTTTTAAGCATTTCAAGATGGTGACAGCAGGCTGTTAAAGCAAGTGTGGGACTCTTCTAAGCATGGGGCCCTGTGTGACTGCATAGGTTGTATGCCTATGAAGCTAGTCCTACTTTCAAGGGTAGGGCAGTGGTTAAGATTTCAAGCTCTGGTGCTGGACTAACTGAGTTCAGATCATAATTATCCCTCAGATTTCTTGAGTAAATTATTTTGTATCTCACTTTCCTTACTCATAATAATAAGGGTACCTACCTCATAGGGTAGTATGTGTAAAATTCATAGAATAGTAAGTCAACAGTATTGGCTGACTTTATTCTTATTAAGGTAGAATGTTGTCAAGTATACATCATAGCATCAATTAAAATCTCTCAATGTCTTCGTAGCACATGAAGCACCCTCAGTATCAGGCCTGCAATGCAATGTCCTGTGTGAATTTGCTGCTATCTGCCTCTCCAATTTCTTTTCTCACTACCTCTAAACTTTGCTCAACATACTCAAGCCATCCTTGCCTTCCACTAGTTTGTTATGCATGCCAAATGCTCGCTCATCTCAGGATCTTTGCACAGACTCTCCCTGCCTGGAGTGTTCTCTCCCAGTCCCAGCCAAGACCTCTCTTTGCATAAGTCCTATGTCAGTTCAAATGTCACCTCCTTAGGAAATCCTTTCTTCTTTGTGCTTATTCTTTCATCCTTCTTTTTGTTTTGTTAACAGCTTCATTGAGATAGAATTTGCATGTCATAAAATTCATTTGTTTAAAAGGTACAATTCAGTGGTTCTTAGTATAATTTCAGTTGTTCAACCTTCACCACAATCTAATTTAGAACATTTTTTTCTTCCCAAAAAGAAAACTAGTGCCCATTTGCAGTCACTCTTCATTCCCACTCCTAGTCCTTAGGAACCACTTACTTATTTTATATCTCTATAGATTTGCCTTTTCTGGATATTTCATATAAATGGAATCACATAAAGTATGTTTTATGTCTGGATTCTTTCACTTAGCTTAATGTTTTTGAAGTTTATCATTATAATAGTATGAACAAGTAATTCATCTTTTATTAATTGCTCTTTAGCATTCCATGGTATGAATACATCATATTTTATTTGTCCACTCACTAGCTGAAGGATATTTGGATGTTTCCTCTTTTTGGATATTTATGAACGATGCTACTGAGAACATTTCATGCAAGTAGAAAGGACTTTCTTGGCCATACTGCCCAAAGGAGGGCTCTTGTCTCCCAGGTGTTCTCTTAGAATGTTAATTTCCCTCAGAACACTTATCATTTGTAGTTATTTTTTCTTTTCCTTTTTGCTTATTTAAAAAAATTCTTTCTAATTACAATTTAAGCTCTATGGGACAGAAATTAGACCTGTCTTGATCATTATTGTATCCTCAGTGTTGGGTATACTCTAGGCAATAAATAAACAATAAGTAAGTGAATAAATGAATACATATTCTATTGAACAATTTTTAGAGGAATCCATATAATGACTAAATAATACTTCCAACCCCCTTGCCCAATCAAAGAAAAAAATGGAAAAACACCATTATAAGGCAACATCTGTTCTCCTGGGACCACCTCCAAAATGCAGTCATTAAAAGTAGTTGTAAGACTTGAGGAAAAGGTCAGAAGAAAAATGTGGATGGTTGCATACAAGGGGAAATAACTTACAATTAATTGTATATCATAAAAGGGAATGCATACATGATACTCAATTCTTTATCAATATTAAAGGAAAGTCTTGCTTGTATATGAAACTGTACACAGAGTGTCTAGTTGCTAGCCTAACTCTGCCCTTGTCTTCCTTGAGTTAATGACACCTTTCCAGAGTTTTCATCTCGGAATTTCTCTGTGACTAAAAATCAGGCAAGACATATATAATTAAATCATGTTTGTTAAGTGACCCTTTGATTCAAGAGAATGAAAATATGACTCAAATTGAGAAACCACTATAATGTTTTGAGCCCTTCACCTGCTTTGCAGTGGCTCAGTTTGAGTCATCTTCTTGTGCTTAAATTAAATGCTTTCTTCAGTTAAGAAGAAGTGGAATTTTATGCTGCTACTATACAAGCCAAATAGCAAGACATTAATCTATTCCAGTCAGAATTTCTGCAACTATCAAGAAGATCTCCTAAAAGAAAGAATATTAGAAGTTTTCAAATCAACACTATTCACTTGAGGGGCAAACCAGATTCCAATACAGGCCACCACAAGAGCACCATGTCTCCTCATGTTTCCCGAAATTGTCATTGGACTCTTAGAAGCTTGCATTTTCTCTAGTCTATGCTCTCTACCCCATAATTCTACGTCGTTACACTTCAAAGTTCTTGAACATGGCTTCTGAAACTCATTACTTGCCTTCTACCATGTTAGGGCTAATGATGTAGTTAAACTTTCACCTTGTTCTGACCATGGTTCTGGCAATGGTGCCTACGACGGCATTACACTGAATCCTTCCATTATGGTCAGTCAGTCCCTGGTCTTCTCTGATAGGGTGACCAACTGTCCCAATGTGCCTGATATTGTCTTGGTTTTAGCACTAAAAGACCCACATGCCAGGAAGCCCCTCAGTCCTGGGCAAATAGAAACAGTTGATCCCCCTACTCTTTGGTATCTATGAAAAGTTCATGTTAAAGACTACTGATGCTTAATGTCCATTCGTCTTTCATATTGGTCTAAAATGATTTCTAATACCCTTGTTTCAACTGCCTGATGATAAATCTGAGATAAACTGAATGACATAGTTATTTCAGAAAAGTCTTAAAATATGTAACTCCTTGACCCAGCAATTTTACTTATAGGAATTTAAGGAATTAATCACGTATATGTGTAAAAGTTTGGTTACAAAGGTGCTCAGTTGTATGCTGTTAATTAGAATCAGAGTTGGAAACAACCTAAATATACAACCCTAGGCCAATGAAAAAATACGTATTTGGTCTATGGAATATTCTTGTATGGCCTTTAAAAATGAATGTAGAAGAAAATGCTTAATGGCACGGGAATGACATTCACAATTTTAGGCTAGGAAGAATCGATTTATAAAACATTATGTAGGTATGACTTCAGTTTTTACCAAAAATTAAATAATTCTATGACATGTATGTGTACACACATATGAGAAATACAAACAAAATATTGAGAATGGGCAGTTGCAGATGGTCTTGAATAGCTAGGGGCCAAGACTTCATTCCTCCCTTAATCTCCATCAGCAACCCGCTCACACTCTCAGGTATCACTGGGTGTTTGCTATGCAGTCACAGCCTCAGGGGAAATCTTCCAGGCCATCTTCCAACCTGATTTACCAACCTTAAACCCCTCCTTAACTGATATCCTGGACTATCATTTTCTACGAAGGGTGAGACTATAGATGATTTTTAATTTTTCTATTTTCATTTTCCCTGTTTTCTAGTCCTTTATAAATAAGCATGCACTATCCTTATTCTAAGTAATACAAATTGTTTACATGAGAAAAAAGGAACTTGGGAAATCTTTTCCTGGTGGTCAGGGCAAAAATTAAGCAAATATATATAAGCAGAAGGATTAGCAACAGAGGAAGATGACATTTACTGGACATGGTGGAGACTACGGCCCATGTGAGTCAATTTTTACTAATACCAAAGGAATTTGCACCTCCAAATAATTTTTCTTTCCTCTCCGAAGTTGATGCCTAAAATTCTCATCTTATTTCTTTCTTTTTTTTTTTTTTTTTGTTTGAGACAGATCCTCACTTTGTCGCCCAGGCTGGGGTGCAGTGGCACGATCTCTGCTCACTGCAGCCTCCGCCTCCCAAGTTCAAGCCATTCCTGTGCCTCAGCCTCTTGAGTAGCTGGGATTACAGGGGCGTGCCACCTTGCCTGGTTAATTTTTGTATTTTCAGTAGAGACAAGGTTTCACCATGTTGGCCAGGCTGATCTTGAAGTCCTGACCTCACGTGACCCGCTCACCTTGGCCTCCCAAAGTGCTGAGAGAGTGAGCCACCGCCCCCAGACTTCCCACCTTATTTCTTAGGGGTAAGGCTTCAAATCCCTTTGATGAAGTGCATATGGGAAGCTAAGTCATCATTAGCTATTAACAATTTAGCCTAACTTAGTTTATAAGACTATTTCCTCATTGGACCCTGTAAGAATAGTGCACAGCCTACTTAAATTTTGTGGAGAATGATGTTGGTGATAAAGGACTGGGGTTCTGGAAATTCATGGTGTTGGTCAGATATGCAGTAAATAGAGCAAAAAAAAAAAAAAAAAAAAAAAAAAAGAGCTTAGGAGAGGGGCCAAAACGGAATGCAGTGGGGTAAAGAGCTGGCCCCAACCAAACTTTGCACATGGTGGGATGCTCCACACTTGCATTATGCTTTTCAGTGTCATTTTGTGTGAACTCACATGGTTTTAGAATCAGAATACAGTTTGCAAGAGTCAGTGAAGGATAATCTTATAGAGTGAACAATTTCTAAAGTAATAATAGTTATCTTTTATGGTGCACATAGTATGTGTCTGACACATGACTAAGTATTTTGTGTACATTCTGTCTCTTAATTCCTTCCCATAAATTTAGGGAGTGACTAGCAGTACAAATTAGGAAAGGAAGCACAAGGTATGAGGAAACTTTTCAAAAGGTCATAAAACCAATAAGTGGAAAATTTGAACTCAAATCTCTCTGACCTTGATTCTCTTCCTGTTTTCCTCCTTGAGGAAGATGTCTGTTTTTGCTACCACCTGGGGAAGAAGCTTTGATTTTAAAGGGATTTCATGTTTGGATGAGACTCGTGTGATATGGTCATCTCTGTATTTTAAAGTGAACTGACTTGACACTTTAGTCACATCTGTGAAATCCCTTCACAAGCTGTACCTAGGTTAGTGTTTGAATAAACATGGGACAGGAATCTCAGAGGCCATTTTTAGAATTCCACCTGCCACATTTTATCTTTCAAAATTTTGGATTGATGATAATTGAGTTAATTTTTTATGTAACTTTTTTTGACAAAAAATCAATTAATACTTGTAAACACTAAAGCTAACCTACTGAAGGTAAGTATCATAATCCATTCGTTAAAAAAATTCTTTATTTTCTTCATATTTTTCTCCATCATAGATTCTTTGGGTTATAATACTGCAGTATTTCATCAAACATTTTTTGAAGTTTGCCATTTGTTTGGAGTTCAAAGGAAATGTCAATTCCCACCTCCCCAGTTTTTAACCATGCAAAATATTCTATTGCTGATTTTGGATAAAAACACAGGTGACAGAAAAAAAAATCTATTCACTCAATAAGGGAAAACAGTGAATTAATGACTATTTTATATTTCAGAAAAAAGCTGATATTGGCAGATCAGATGCGGATGAAAGTTAGTCTCGTCCAATTTGGTGATCAAATGCAAATATCCCCTTCTTTGCTTCTTCCTAACGAATTGCAATTGAAATGTTACATTTTCATTTTAGATTGACAGAGGAAAAAACACCCAGCAATATTCTGAGGCCAAAAATTATGGCTGGAACCTTCATAAAAGCTTTGTTCCCTGAATGCTGGTTTATCAAAACTGCCCAGTATCTAAGTGAACTATTCTAATGAAAAAGATTTGGTGAGCAAGCATTGCTCTAAGCAACATTGCCTTCCAAGTCTGTCTTCTAGTTTCATATGGGAAAACCTGGAAGTTTCAAGATAGCCACAGGTTACTATAATATTCAGAGAAATACAGGATATTCCAGGTGGGATATTGGTGAAACAGACAAAAAGTGTTTCATCTTTGTGAAAAACAGTTACCTTTAAACACTGTAAAAGCTCTCAATATCAATCCTGTAAGGTGCTGGGGACTTCTTTTGGTGCTGCAAAAACATACGAGAACAGAACAAAAATCATGACCTGATGGAGGCTATGTAAGAATGACTTTAGCCAGGTGCACTGGAGGACTGTGCTATCTTAAACCTATCAAGTAGGATACAAGGTCACAATGAAACTTACAGCCAAATTGGTATTCTCTCATGTGACATGTGTTTGGGGTTAGACCCCTTGAATAACTCCAGTCCTGGGGTTGCTGGTCAAACATAACAAAATCCTTACAAAGCCACTGAGGAAGAGAACTACAGGAGACTTCACCGTCCTAGAGGTCCATCCAACCTTGGATTCCAGTGGCTAACTCCACATTGTTTTTCTGTCCTCAAAATGGCACAACAGAGTTGCACTGAGAGATAGAAAGGAATTGATATCCTCCACTGAGAACCACTTTCCACCTAAAATGAAGTCATATGTGATAGGCTGAATAAATGTCCCTGAGATGTCTACATTCGAGTCCCTAGAACCAGTGAATATGTGACTTTCTATAGTAAGTGGGACTTTGCAGATGTGATTAAATTCAGGATCTCAAGATGGGAACCTTGGTTTAGATTATTCAGGCAGACCCAATGTAATCACAGGGGTCCTTATACAAGGGAGGGAGGAGGATCAGTCATTAGTAGGATATGATGGCAGAAGAGGTTGGAGTAATTCAAGGAAGAGGCCCCTGAGCCAAGTAATGCAGGCAGCTTCTAAAAGCTGAACAGGCAAGAAAACAATCCCCTGGGACTTCCAGAAGGAACCAATTCTGCTGACACCTTAATTTTTTCTCTACGAAGCTGACATAGACTTCTGACTTCTGGAACTGAAAGATAATGAATTTGTTTTCTTTTAAGCCACTGTTTGTGCTAACTTGTTACAACAGTAATAAGAATATAAGAATGAATATACCACTGAAGATTGCATTAAAACTGCACGCCTGATTTCTTAATAATTATTTTTAAAAATAGTAAGTGTACCACTTTCAGACTTCACCTGGGGAAGCTACACTTCTTTTTTTTTTTTTTTTGAGGTGGGGTCTCACTCTGTCACCCAGGCTGGAGTGCAGTGGCATGATCTTGGCTCACTGCAACCTCTACCTCCCAGACTCAAGTGATCCTCCCGCCTCAGCCTCCAGAGTAGCTGGGACTACAAGTGCATGCCACCATGCCCAGGTAGTTTTCATATTGTTTGTAGAGATGGGGTCTCACCGTGTCACCCAGGCTGGTCTAGAACTCCAGGACTCAAGTGATCTGCCTTCCTCAGCCTCTTAAAGTGCTAGGATTATAGGCATGGGCCACCTCACTTGGCCACTACACAATTACTGAAAAGGCTCAGACACATATCT
Source organism: Homo sapiens (assembly GCF_000001405.40). Taxonomy (NCBI): domain Eukaryota; kingdom Metazoa; phylum Chordata; class Mammalia; order Primates; family Hominidae; genus Homo; species Homo sapiens. The sequence goes on along the minus strand of NC_000020.11, from coordinate 53,349,333 downwards.
TATAAGAAGAGCTTATACCTAAAAGACTTTGCTATGTGGTGGGCATTGTTTCTAATGCTTGGCTTATGTATTATTAACTAAGTTAATCCTCAAGAGAACTCTTTGAGGTAGGACTATTACTATGCAGTTTTAACAGATGAGGAAACTGAGGCACACTTTCCCAGTTAGTGGTAGAGCAAGGATTGAGACCTAAGTAGCTTGACCCCTTAGACCATGCTCCACTTTGCCCCTGCCTTGGGGGCACACCTGGACACTGTTCAACTGGGCTTTGCAGAGAGATTTTAGCCTTTGAACAAAGCCAGCAGCCCCTTAGAATAAAGACTAGTGAAGCAGGCCAGGTCATTTTGCCGAGTTAAACTGCTTTTGATCTATGATGAAGTGTAATCATAATGATGATAATCTCGTTAGCTTGGTATCCTTGCGGGGCTCGGAAGGCAGCTCCTGAAGAAATTTTGCAAAAATCTTTGCAGTCAGGGCAACTACTTTGGAATAAATGTTTCATCCTCCCAGGAGAGTACTTTGAAGGAAAATATCTATTTACTATGGATAGCTTAAGTATCTGCTTCTGAAAGAAACATTTGGGAAGAAGAAGTAGAGCTTGACATTGAAACAAAACAAAATAGAACAGAAAGCAGGGAAGTTTTAGTATTCTGTCATGACACTTTCATTACCAGCTCCCCTCCATGATTCAACTATTTTTCACATACAGCGATCCTCCCCGCCTCCAAAATTTCCGGCTCAATATCAGGTTCATTTTTGTTTCTTTGTTTCTTTTGGGGGGGTCTATTTTTTTTCTTTTCTTTTTTTTTCTAAATTAAAAGAAACACAGTTAATGTGAATGGCCCTTCTAACTAGTTATCCATGGTTCTTGACTATCCTCAATTCATTTACTTTTATATGCCTTTCATTTATTCCACTTGTATTTACTGAGCACCTACTACATGCCAGGCAGTATTTTCACTACTGAGGATGTAACGATGAAAAGACAGGCAAGGTTCATCCATGTTGCACCATGTATCCACACTTCATTCCCTTTTATGGCTATTCCATTGTATGGATATACCACATTTTGTTTATCCATTCATGAGCATATGGACACCTTTTGGCTATTGCAAAGAGTGCTTCTAGGAACACTCATATAAAAGTTTTCGTTAGAACACTTGTCTCCCATGTTTTTTGTATGTATGCCTAGGAATGGAATTGCTGGGTCCTGTGGTCACTTCATGTTTATCTTATTGAGGAACCACCAGACACAAAGGTTCACTTATTGTATGATTCCATTTAAGTGAAATGTACAGAATAGGCAGATCAGTAGACACAGATTAGCGGTTATCAGGGGCTGGGAGGAGGGAAAGAGTAGGGTTACCACGTTACGGGTATGGGAGTTTCTTTTCGGGGTCATGAAAATATTCTGAAACTCGATAGTGGCATAGGTGCACACATTGTCAATGTACTAAAAGCCACTGAATTGCATACTTTATGATACTTAAAACGGTGAATTTTATGTTATGTATATTTTACCATAATTAAAGTAAAAAAAGAGCATCAGGAGGAATAGCTAACGGATTCTGGGCTTAATACCTAGGCAATGGATTGATCTGTACAGCAAACAATGATGGCACATGTTTACCTATGCAACAAACTTGCACATTCTGAACATGCACCCTCAAACTTAAAGTAAAAGTTGGAAAAAAAAAAAGTAAAAAAGATGGACAACATCTCAGCCTTATGTAGCTTATGGTTTATTGAGTAGAGACAGACAATAAATAAATCAATATTTAATACAGTGTAGTCATATATGATTTGGAAAAGGGAGAAGTTGAATAAGGAGTTGGGGGGTGGATAAGGACTTGTCTGCTCCATTGGACAACGTCTAGCTGGGGAGGTGACACTGGGCAGAGGAAGTAGGGGGTGTTGAGCAATGCAGACATGTGGGGGTCACAGGCATTATCACTTGGCCCTCTACCTCAGTGGTTATCAGCCAGTGGTGATTTTGCCTCCCCAGGACACATCTGGCAAAATCTGAGGCAAATTTAGTCACCACAACTCAGGAATGGGAGTGCTACTGGCTTTTAGTGGGTGGAGGCTAGAGATGCTTCTCAACAACTTACAGTGCACAGGAGACCCCTCCCACCCCAACGAAGAATGATCCAGCCTCAAATGACAATAGTGCCAAACCTGAGAAATTTTGATCAAGCCCCTTGGAATCCAAGCCTTCACAGCTGTTGAAAAGCAGCCACTTTTGTATAAGGTAGGGTGAGGGACTGCTTTCCCAGGAGCCCATTCAGCTATGGTTCTGGTTTTGACCCCTGTATCTTCAGGATGAGGGAGTCTAATGCCCTCAGCCACTTAATCCTGTGAGAACTGGGACACTCCAAGACTGTCATCAGTATCCTGAGCACCTACTTCTACAAAGACCAGGAACTGGACAAAGAGATGTTTATATTAATAGCTTTGAGACTCTGTGTATCTGTGGGGGCAGGTATTGGAGGACATTCCACAGACGCTTCCATAAGATCTAGGTTTAACTCCCCTTTTTGTAGATGTCTACAGAATATCTAAAAGTAGGAAATCCATGCTCAATGACCTACGCAGTTGCGACGTTTCTCTGTTTTAATTTGAGACGGACACTTCCACCTCTTCGTGCTTTCTCCTGGTTAAAGCTAATGAGCAAACACTCTACCCTAGACGGGGCCCTCAACCTGTGGCCTGGCCTCACACGCTTAGGGTTTTGGTCAACAGGAGGAGCCTAAGCTTCCTTCGAATAGCCCTAGAGAAGTTTTCCATGCAAAGCTTCACAACCACAATAAGATATTTACTGTCTTTATCGGAGAGATCAAACCCACGCACAGATGTCACATTTCTCAAATTCCATCAGTAGGTCAGACAAGCCGTCTCTGGAAAGAGGACATTCCAGCCGGCAAGTTCAGAGCGTGCTGGCTTCGAGGGCCGTTCCCTTCCTATTTTCTGTCGTGCACCCTGAGCCTTTGTTGTCTCTGCAATGCTGATAAATCAATCCATCAAAAAATTTCCTCAGTGAAACTCAATCAAGAAAGGTCATGTCAGCGGGAGAGGAACAGATTAAATTAGCATCAAATTAGACATGGAAAGTGAGTTCTGTCAAAATCATCGCAGCGCTCAGCACAATTAGAATATGTTAATTATGCATTTCATTAAGGTGGATGTGAGATGAAATGTCACTGGGGTAGGCATCCGAAACAGGGAAGATTGCCAGGCACAACTTTCTCTAGACAATGTGTGACACCTTCATTAACATCAAGAATCACAAGTCTGCCTTGACTTTTTCTGCAAAGGATTCAACCATTAACTGTTTGCTGGCTCTTCTCATTTGTGCAAGGGGGTCCCTGTCCTCGGAGTGGGTCGGCCCCTCTTGAGTGACCGGCATGCTCTTGCCAGCGCCATGGCCCCAGGGGCTGCTGCCGGTGCCTCGTGGTCAGCGGGGAGGGTGGTGGTTTTTAATGAACTCCCTGAAATCAGCACGTGATCACGCCACCGCCTTAGGGGTGGCAGGATGCTGAGAAGTGGGGAGGGGAGAGAAATGAGGGGTGAGGATTACAGAGGGAGGGGAGGAGGGGCAGGGAGGAGGCTCTTGGCCTCATTCTTGGGGATGAAAGATATAATCAACAGAATGGGGGGGCGGGCAGGCGGGATCAGATTTACAAATGTGCACTCGGCAAACTCTAATTTGGTGAATTATTTTGCAGATCGTTCTCTGAGTCATGGTAACCAGGAGGGTTTTTCCTAGAGTGAAGTAGTTCCTCACAAGGCAGCTTCATAAAATGCTTGCTAGATGCTTATGATAGTAGGAGTTTTAATTTGTGCTGTCTCCTTCCTCTATGATTTCTTACAACATAGCTTTCCTATGGCGGTCTACACTGGGGGACGGGGGACCAGACAAGTCCTCTGTGTGTGTTATTCCCTGACGTTGTTTCCCACCTAGCCCCATTTCTCCCAACCACCAAGAGCTATTTCCAGGTGTCTAACAGGCAATGGTGGGGGTGGTTCCAGTGACTGCCTTGTGAGAGAATTTTCTGTGCCTAGTTCCCTGTCATCTCACCTGTGCTGTCCCCTGCTGAGGACACTTGCCAACCAGCCTCTCTGCCCTGCTCCATATCCACAAAAACACACATCCACACTTTGGCACAGGTTCCTCTGCCTCTTCCTCAAGTCTCAACTGAAATGTCACTTCCTCCAGGAGGCTTCCCTGACCACTTCCCTTCTGTCTGTGTTAGATGCTCTTTTTTTCTCATGAGATGCTGAACTTGCTAGGATTCACCAGAGTCAGCTTCTGTTGCTTGCACACAAATAATTCTAACACAAACACTCAAACTTGTCAATCACAGTGCATTGCATTTGCTAGTTGAATTGTCCATCTACCCACGTATTTTATTTTTTTACACAATCTTTACTTCTTGGCTCATAGGAGGTGCTCAACAAATGCATTTTAAATAAACAAATGACTAAGTTGTGGGATTTTATCATGGCATAAGTTCTATTGTGCAGGGGAGAAAGTGAAGGTTGTAAACTTTATCTCTAACTTTTCTCAATGGGGTTACTTTTTCTCATATTAGGTTAATATATACATATCAACATGCATCTATTTTTAACATACCCAGTTGGAATTCATTTGCTTTTAGTGATTAGTATAAATACAGTGTCACTGGTGCCATTTTTCCCCTCATTTATAAACCACTAGGGCACTATTTTGTGAATTCAGTGATTTTTCTCTTCTTTTCTTCTCTCTTTGTCATTCGCTCTCTCATATAAAAACCAATGATCAGCTTGACTTTTGGCCAGAACTGTAAGTCAATCAGTTTTTATCCAAAAATCTTTGGGGGATGTGCATAGTGAAAAACATCTTTGGTCTCAACTTCAGTGGCCAAGCAGACAGTATGGTCAATTCAGCGGTAGGGTGGCCTTGGGAAGCTATTTTACCTAAGCCTGTTTTATCCTTGGTAATGTGGGAATAACAATATGACCTTCCTCAATGCTTGTATTAATTGAGAAAATACAAGCAAAATGCAAGCCTGGTGCTTAACATGCAATAAATTCCCAGTAATGACAGTGATGATAATGGGGATGATGATGATGATGATGATGAGGAGGAGGAGGGTGATGGTAGTAAGAATTTTTTGCTGGAATCTGGGAAGTACCTGGAAGCTTGGAGGCAGCCTAGAGTCCTATTCTGAAAATATTGCATCAGCATAAATATCTCAATTTACAAGGAGAAAAGACAGCATTGGCTACCATTGCCCATTTTAAATTTTGCTTGAGAACAAGAAAACACACAGGGGACTGGGACCCTCTGGCAGAAATACTCCAGAGCTGTGAGATTCTGGAGTGAAACTTTGCCACTAGTCAAAGGCCCAAAGGAAGTCCAAGGAAATTGACAAGGGAAGTAAAGAGTTCCGCTAGAGCCGGGGATAGGCTATTCATGCCTGGCTCTCCTAAGTGTCTCATTTTCTGAGCTTCATTTAATTTTTAGGATCACCTGGGGCCCAGCCTGTTAGAAAGGGAAGACAGTGAAAATTACTCATGAGCTGGTTCTGATTTGATGAAGCCAACTGCCTCACCTCGTGGCGAGAGCTACTGGATGGGGAGGAGGGAGAGGACTCCATGGGTACAAAGCTTCCTCCCAGCCTGCCTTCCAGCTTCCTTGTCAGTACTGCCACTGATATGAAAATCAAGGGTTGGCATAAAGCTCATGGTAGCACTGGCAGAATTCCAGGCTGGCTCTAATGAGCCTCACCTGGGCTCATTACGTTTTCTTTACAAACCCTGCTGGAGAGGTTGGAGTTGCCAATTGGTCGTCCGGAATGTTAGTGCCTGGGATTTCTCAGTGCCTAGATTTCTTTTTATCTGCCGACAGTTGGAGCTCCAGAGAGTCAGGAAGTGACCTGAGAATTCTGGCCACTGCCTTGTGTGCCCACACAGCAGTTACCGTGTTTGTTCCGGAAAGAAAGGAAAATGTGAGGTAGGAGTCAGTGTCCAGCCTCGCTACTCCCAGTGTGGCCGCACCTGCCGTCTTGTTAGAAATACGGGTCCTGGCCCGGTGCGGTGGCTCACGCCTGTAATCCCAGCACTTTGGGAGGCTGAGATGGGCAGATCATTTGAGGTCAGGAGTTCAAGACCAACCTGGCCAGGAAAGTGAAACCCCATCTCTACTAAAAATACAAAAATTAGCTGGGCTTGGTGGCACACGCCTGTAATCCCAGCTACTTGGGAGGCTGAGGCAGGAGAATCGCTTGAACCCGGGAGGCGGAGATTGCAGTGAGCTGAGATTGTGCCACTGCACTCCAGCCTGGGTGACGGGGTGAGACTTGGTCTCAAAAAAAAAAAAAAAAAAAAAAAAAAAAAGAAAAGAAAAGAAAAGAAAAGAAATACGGGTTCTTAGGCCTCATCCCAGACCTACGGAACCTGCATTTTTAACAAGATCCTCAGGTGATGAGTAGGTACAGTTAAGTCTGAGAAACCCTGCTGTAGATGTTCCACAGCAGAAGGGAGAAAATATTCCTCCAAACGGGTCAATCTTTAATAGGGAGAAAGTATTTCCTAGAAAGACAGAGCATAAAGATTGCAGAGGCCCTGGATTGGGGTCTACATTCTTCCATCAGTTTCATGACTTGAGCCAGAGACTTAACCTTTCTTGGCCTTGGTTTCCTTATCTGTAAAATGGGCATACGTGAGTGTCTACAGTGCTGTGCTTATGAGGATGAAAGAATACAATAGGGACGGGCTTCTTTGCAGGGTACTTGAGACAGAACAAGCACTGAAGATAATACTTACTATGAATTGATGTTATTAAGGAATCATTGCCCCCAGTGGAAACTCAAATTACCATTCAACCCTTTACTGGTTATACCGGACGTAAGCGTCAGCAACCCCATTGGTAAAATGGAACAATAGTGTTCATTCTTTAAGGTTTATATGAGGATTAAATGAGATACTACAGTATACCTGACCAGTACGCCTTAAAACAGTCAAGGTCATCATTAAAAAAAAAAAAAAAAAAAAGCCTGAGAAGATATTACTGCCAACAAGAGCCCAAGGAGACATGGAAAGTAGATGTGTTGTGGTATTCCGAGTGTGAGCCTGGAGCAGGAAAATGACGCAGGGAAACACTAAGGAAATCTGAATAGAGTATGGATTTTGGTTCATAATAACGTATCCGTGCTGGTTCATTTGTTGTGACAAATTTACGGTACTAACGTAAGGTGTTACAAATAGGGGAAACTGGGTGTGGGGCATGTGGGGGCTCTTTGGACAAGCATCTCAATTTTTCTGTATATTTAAAATTGTTCTGGCTGGGCATGATTGCTCACGCCTATAATCCCAGAACTTTAGGAGGCCGAGGTGGGTGGATCAACTGAGCTCAGGAGTTCGAGACCAGTCTGGTCAACGTGGTGAAGCCCCTTCTCTACTAAAAATACAAAAATTAGCTGGGTGTGGTGGCACACGCCTGTAATCCCAGCTACTTGGGAGGCTGAGACAGGAGAATCGCTTGAACCCGGGAGGTGGAGGTTGCAGTGAGTTGAGGTCACATCATTGCACTCCAGCCTGGGCAACAGAGCAGCTCTGTCCCCCCAGCCCGCACCCCCCTGCCCCACAAAGCAAATATATCTATACATACATAAATAAAAAACTGTTCTAAGAAATGAAGCATATTTAAAATAGATAAGAGATAATTCGGCCGGGTATGGCGGTTTAAGCCTGTAATTCCAGCACTTTGGGAGGCTGAGATGGGAGGATTGCTTGAGGTCAGCAGTTCGAGACTAGCCTGGTCAACATAGTAAGGACCCCATCTCTATTAAAAAAAAAAATAAAGAAAAAAGACAGAAAGAGATAATGCATGAAAAGCCTTAGCAAGGGTGGCCAACCTGTTCCTCCTTCTGTGATTATCCCAGTTTTAGGACTGACAATTTTATGTCCCAGGAAATCCCTCAGTCTCAGGCAAACTGGGATTATTGGTCACTCCAACCTTAGCACAGAGTCTGGCACAACTCAGCATCGCAATCAATGTTGTTGTATTCGTTCCCTGGTGGTGAGCTCAGCAAATGCTCTGGAAGGCTGGCGATCGGAGGTGGATAAGGGAAGCTGTGAGTTCTGATTTTGTATCTACCTCCTCAAGGACAAGCAAACTGAGGCAGGGAATTTACTCACTGCCCCGACAAATACTATTGAGCATCTACTATGTGCCAGGGACTGTCCTCTATGCTGGCATAGAAGGGGGCTAGGAACACAAAGGTCAATAAAGTCTTGGCCTGAAGGATCCTAAATCTAATAGCAGACCTAAAACTTATACAACAGTAATAACAAAAATTAAAATGACAATGGCAAGCACAGCCACCAACAAGCCAGCAGGTAGGAATAATTGCGCTCAATTTTTTTCAGATTGAGGAGTTGATGTCTGGAGAACTCAGGCAGCTTGTCCAAGCGAACACAGATGCAGGGCCTACCCCACCTTTGTCCCTCTCCCATGCTTGGTGATTGTCCCATTACTCACTGCTGTCTCTCATGTCTACAAGACAAAGAAGAGAGAAAGAGAGGGCTAGAGGCACAGCTGTTACATTACAGGAGCTTCAGAAGGACGAACTAGCCCAAGTTAGGTGAAATAAGAGAGGACGTCCTGGAAGAGACAGAATCTAAGTGAAACTGTGAAGGCTACATGGGGATCCTTCATAGGAGTGCGCAACACAGTTTCTCCCATGCAATCCCCACTGAGTTTCTTTGTCTTTGGAAATAACCTGTGTAGAATATTTTGAAAGGATGATGATATAGGGCTCATTGCACATTGTGCAATAATTTTTTGAAAAATCACCTTGTTTTAGCAGCCAGGTGCAGTGGCTCACGCCTGTAATCCCAGCACTTTGGGAGGCCAAGGCAGGCGGATCACGAGGTCAGGAGTTAGAGACCATCCTGACTAACACGGTGAAACCCCGTCTCTACTAAAAAATATACAAAAAATTAGCTGGGCATGGTGGCGGGCGCCTGTAGTCCCAGCTACTCGGAGGCTGAGGCAGGAGAATGACGTGAACTTGGGAGGCGGAGTTTGCAGTGAGCCGAGATTGTGCCACTGCACTCCAGCCTGGGTGACAGAGCGAGACTCCATCTCAAAAAAAAAAAAAAAAGAAAAAAGAAAGAAAAGTCACCTTGTTTTATCCTAGCATTCCTGCATTGGCTGCTCTTCCCCCCACCAGGCATTGGCATTTATTGCTTCTGGAAAGAGATGATCACACCAAAAATCAAAGAAAAGGAATTTGAGTTGAACAGATGCAATTTTTGCAAAAGCAAGATTCTTGAGACAACTCAGACAAAGGAAAAGGCATGAGTAAAGCACAGGTGTTCCCTGCTGGGCCTGAGCAGACACACATTGGGATTTGGGGGGCAGATGAGAGCTGCAGGTGGGCTGGGAAGTGAGATGCTGCCTGGTGTTCCAGAGGAAGGGGAGATGATACAAATCCTAAAAGTTTTGCGTGGATTTAGGAGTAGCAATAACCTGCATCCCTTCCTCCAGCAGTGCCCAGGAGAGCAGCGAGTCCCCCAGCTTTCCTGGGCTCCAGTGCAGGAGGGGAGGATTGGCAGCACAGTGGCTGAGAGGAGCATCTCAGCAGATGGGCCTGAAGGTCATTCCAGGGCCAGCTTCATGGGCATTTGACCTGTGCAACTGCATAGCGTCCTGTGCTTGGCTTCATGCACTTTGCCATCTTGAAATTCCTATTAATATTTGAACAGGGGATCCTGAATGCTCATTTTTTACTGGGCCCTGAAAATCATGTAGCTGGCTGTGGCCACCTTACAGAGCTCCCACGTGCCCCAGTGTGAGAAGGACGGAGCTGTCTCCCAAGTTTGAGGGCAGAATACGCCATGATGAGGCCTTTCAGGGTTCAAAGTGGCTCAGGAACAGCCAGTAATGCCCTGGCCCTTGACCACCAGAAAATACTATGAGAGCTTGAGGCTGGGGACAACTCAGGCCTCCGCAGCCACCTTGGCCAATGAACCCTCTTTCCCTGGCCTGAATGTGCCCACCACTCCCTGCATAGGGCCTGGTATTAGCTGTATCTCTTGGAAGAGGAAGGAGTCCTGAGTTGACTAAGATGAAGTATCTGCCACTAAGATTAGGGACTGGAAATATAAATTAAGTTCAGGTGAAGAAAATAAGAGAATGTTAGATTTCTTCTGCACCCAAGCTTGTGGACTGAGGTATTTAACTGTTACAGGTGTGACATGGCTAGTTTGGTGACAATGCTGAGCTTAATTCTTTGTCATTTGTTGTTATTTGCCAATGATTCAGAGAGAGAAAATTTGGAACCCACTTTCTTAAATGTATGCATTGGCCAACACGTCTGTGCTTTGCTAAGAAGGCTTCATCAGTGCTTCCCATCACTGCAATGCATGCCTGGCTCCTGCCTGAGGTTTACAGAACGCTGACGCAGTGCTGGCCTCATCTGACCCTCATGAAAACCTGTGAGGAAAGGCTCACAGGGACTCTGGAGCAGGACTTCTCGCCCTCAGTACTCCTGACATTTGGAGCTGAGTACTCCTGACATTTGGAGCTGAGTACTCCTGACATTTGGAGCTGAGTACTCCTGACATTTAGAGCTGAGTACTCTTAACATTTGGAGCTGGGTGCTCCTTTCTTGTAGGGGGTGGGCTGTCCCAGGCACTGTAGGACATTCCACAGCTTCCCTGGTGTCTATCTGCCAGATGCCAGTACCACCCCAGCCCTCCAAGTCATGATCAACCATGTCTCTAGGCATTGTCAACTGTCCCCTAGAAGGCAAAGTCACCTTGTCGATTTCAAGTTAGTGTGGGCAGTTACTACTTGTTTGACCTGGGACAAGTTATTTAATCATAAAGTGCCTGAATTACTCCTTTTGGAAGAGAGAATACTAATTGTGTTACTTTTTCTAGTAGGGAGGACCCAGGCAGTCATCATAGGAGACCCTCCTTGGAGAGGCGAATGGGCTTCACCGATGTTTCCATTGTTCTCACCATCCCACGTTAGATAGAGAGCATGATGGTTTGGCAGGGTTAAATCCTCCTCCAACCCAGCCCATCACTCTTTTTATACTAAAACCCTTCAATTTTATGTGGAAAGAATTATGAAGACATTCTCTCTGCTCAGATAAATTATGAGGTGGAATAGTAACAATAACCTCATGGCTGGTGAATGCCTGCGACAGGCCAGCACCTTGCAAAGAGTTTGCAGGACCACGTTTGACTTCATGGACACACTATGGTGTGTCCCTGCTCTGCAGGTGAGGAGATGGAGGGTCAGAGAGGTTTTCTAACTTCCTCATGAACACGTCTCATGCTGCCTGGCCAGGGACATGGACAACATAGCTTTGAGCCTGTGCTTTAGCCAGGGGAAGCACTGAAGAACCATATTCCAATCAGTGATTCATGACTAAGCAACTCACATGACAGTTTCCCAATGTCTGCTCTAGCGTACAATTAGTACCAAGGCACTTTCTAAATATTTTTCTTTAACAGGGTTTCCATTTTAGCTTAAACACTTTAAAAGGCATTTTATAGCCCTACTCTACATCAAAAAGCAGTTTCAGCTGCCACGCATGGAAGGGAAATGAGTTTTTCACGTTGGGAGTCAATGTTATTTAATTATCTTTGGTAATGATTAACAAGAATCGAATCTGAGCCACACGTGGTTGTTCAGCCTCTTGTACTCATTAGATGTTCAGTAACTAGGTCATGGAAGATCCTATGGATTGGCTCACTCAGCATCCACTCACAGCTGACATCCCTGGGTATATCCCTCCTAGAGTGGCTGAGGAACAACATACTCCAGCTCCAGCCTCTGTGGTAACCAGGGGTGGTCATGTGACAGTTCCGTCCAATGAAACATACAGAGAATGGGTCCTTCTCTAATGAAAAAGGCAAAACCTTGTTAGAAGGGACTTTTTAAAAAAATCATGGCACCCTTTGTGATGGTTGGTTTTATGTGTCAACATGGCAAGGCAACAGTCCCACAGTATTCAACCAGTAATTATCTAGGTGTTGCTGTGAACGTGTTTTCTAGATGTGATGAAAGTCCATAAGAAATTGACTTTAAGCAAAGGAGATTATCTTCAACAATGCATGCAGGGAGAATTCAATCCGTTGAATAAGGCCCAAACGGAGCTTTTCCTGAGGAAGACATTCTGCCTGTGGATTGACAAGTTCAGCTCCTATCTGTGAGCTTCCACCTTGCTGGCCAGCCCTGCAGGTGTCAGCCTTGCCCAGCCATGCTGCACAACAGTATAAATCTCATTCTCTCTCTTGCTTTCTGTATATATGTATACACACTTGTATGTATTTACTCAAGTGTGGAATGTATGAGTGTATGTATACACATATATAGGTATATGCACACATCTATTCATATATATAATACATTATATAAATATGCATATGCACTTGTATGTATTTACTCAAGTGTGGAATGTATGAGTGTGTGTATGTATACACACATATACGTATATGCACACATCTATTCATATATATAATACATTATATACATATGCATATATATAGAGAGAAAGCGAGAAGATATCTTCAACTGGTCCTGTGCCTTCTCTGTTAAAGTCCTGGCTGATTACACTCTCCTTCCTCTTGCACAGTGCACGTGAGGCATGAAGTTGTATCTACCATCGTAACACAGACACAAGAACAAGACATGGAAGCTAAGGCTGACGGAGCAGAAAGAGGTGGAAAGAACATGGGTGTGTGTTGGCCTCACTGTGCTTACCCACCAGCTTGGATGCTCCATCCTCAGACATCTTAATATCACTAAAATCAGAATGCATCTTCCAATCAATGAGATCTTACAATGAATTCAGGGCATTCTTCTTTTTGTTTTATTCATGGAAAGGGTCCTAAATAATGACACATCTTATAATCTGCAGCTTCTTAGGTTTAATAAAATATACTAGCTACAGACCAAATATTGACTTGATTTAATCTGCTGTGTATTTTGGAGTGTCCGATTTGCATGTGTGATTTCCCTGGGCGTGAAGCTATGAAATAACCAGTCCTGGAAAGGAGACGTGGTAGAATTTCTCAGCCTTTCTTGGCAGTGTACTTTCTCTTCCTGATGCCCTCACCTTCTCTCCTGCAGCTCAGCCACCCTGTAACAAAGTGGTCACAGGCTCAACCTTTCATTTCTTAATGAAGGTTTCTTTTAAAACAAACTGAATCTTCCATATGCTTGCATTTTACCTGATGAGAAAATATAAGCTTTCCCAAATCCTGTCGCTTTTCACCCCACAGAATCCACTTGCCAAGCTTAATGCAGGTTGAAATGAGTTTTTTAAAAAACTGATGAAAATATTATAGGAATTCAAAACCAGACTCGTTAATATCCTGATTAGACTCCCCATGTTAATTGCGGATTCTTTCAGGCGACAGAGTAGGTCACTGTCTGGGCTTAATGTGATAGCGATGTTTAATAAGAGTCACATTTTGGAACTGCAGTTCACAGCTAAGATTTTGCCGCCTGGCAGATGAGGTTGGGAAGTGATTTTTTTCTAGTGCTTGTGAGAAGTAACAGCAGGTTCCCTGAGTATTCCCTCTGGGAAAGGAGAGCCAGATTGGAAAAAGGAAACCATGAGCTCATTTGTTCCTTCCCTTCCTCAACACCCTTCTCACCCTTCCCCAAAGCCTCAGTACAGACATTTCACTTTTCCCTTGTCACACTTGCAAACGAATGATTGAGATGATTCTTCCGATATGCAAAAGGAAATGACCCAAGGCAATTTTCCTAACAGAAGTTTGTGGGATTCCCACCATTGAGTTTTCTACCTCTCTCATCCAGGAGTCTGGGGCAGAGGGCAAAGACAAATGCCTACAGGGTCCAGAGAGGAACAGAAAGGACTGAGTGGGGCCAGTGGCAAACTGGAGAAGTCTGATCCTGTCTTTAGGGACCCAGTCTATTTAGCCTTTCCCTATTGTCCAAGTCTACCTTTAAAACATACAGAACCAAGCCCTTTCACCACTTCCATGATGACCATCTTTGTCCAAGGCAGTGGTGGATCTCAAATCTCACTGTGCATCAGAACCAACTCAAGGCTTGATTTGAACACAGGTTGCTGGCTCCATCCTCAGAGTTTCTGGTTTAGTAGGTCTCTGGTGAGGCCAAAAAGTTTGCTTTAAGAAAACTGTCCAGGCGATGCTGACGCTGCTTGCTTAAGAACCCCGTTTTGAGAACCACTGGTCCAAGGCATGGTCGTCTCTCACCTGGGTTATTGCAACAGCCTCCTAACTGGCCTCTGGGCAAATACTCGTGCCTACTCATAGTTTATTCTCAACACAGGATTCTTTAAAAATAGTACATCTGGCTGGGCGTGGTGGCTCACACCTGTAATCCCAGCCCTTTGAGAGGCCGAGGCTGGTGGATCATAAGGTCAGGAGTTCGAGACCAGCCTGGCTAATATGGTGAAACCCAGTCTCTACTAAAAATACAAAAATTAGCCAGGCGTGGTGGTGCATGCCTGTAGTCCCAGCCACTCGGGAGGCTGAGGCAAGAGAATCGCTTGAACCCAGGAGGCGGAGGTTGCAGTGCGCCACTGCACTCCAGCCTGGGCGACAGAGCGAGACTCTGCCTCAAAAAAAAATTTTTTTTAAATTAGAAAAAAAAAAAGTAAATCCACGTCACTCCTCTGTTCAAAATCCATTTCACTTAGTAGAAGGCAAGTTCTTTATACTATCTCTACAAGGCCCCAAATCAGTGCTTCTCCCCTTGGCCGCACACTGGAAGTGCAATTGCCGGTCGGACCCTTCACTCCCCACATTTTCTCTTTGACCGCAGTGCCCTGCCTCCCCCATCCTGCTTCAGCCATGCAGACCCCCTTAGGGTTCCCCCATTTAGAACATACCAGGCATGCTCCCACCTCAGGGCCTGTGCACTTGCTGTTCCCCCACTTAGAATGCTCCTTCCCCAATGTCTGTGTGGCTTTCACTTTCACCTCCTCAGACCTTAGCTCAGATGACTCCTTTCACAGTGAGGCCCTCTCCAACCATCCTGGGAAACACTGTATCCCTTGACCTCCCCTAACCCCCTCCCACGAGCTGTTGTTTTTTTCTCTCTTTATTTTTCTCAGGGCTTACTATCTGATACATTCCATGACTTACTTTTTATCTGTGTCTTACCCTTAGAACACAAGCTCCTTAGGGCAACATTGGTGTCTACTTTGCTCTCCATTATATCAACACAATGAATGAATACATGGAAGAATGAGAGAATGTGGGCCCAGGATGAACAGATGTTCTGATGTGTGGGAATATCTGCATGTAGTCAACAGACTTTGGCCACTAATTCCAGAACATTGCAAATATCATGTGCACCAATCTGTGGTCTGAATTATCTAGACTGCCATTTTGAAGTCTCCAGCCTAGAGATTTGTCTCCCAGTGATCTGGCCCTTGAGATGCAGGCTTTTGTCTGTTACCAAGTGGAGATGCAAGAGTCACCTTCCTGCCCATGCTAGAGATGCAGTCGCTGCATCCTAGGAGGAAGGAAACATAAGAGCTATGTAGCTCAAGGGTTTGAAACCACGCTTGGCAGGCCGGGCGCAGTGGCTCACGCCTGTAATCCCAGCACTTTGGGAGGCCAAGGCGGGTGGATCATGAGGTCAGGAGATCGAGACCATCCTGGCTAACATGGTGAAACCCCGTCTCTACTAAAAATACAAAAAAATTAGCCAGGCGTGGTGGTGGGTGCCTATAGTCCCAGCTACTTGGGAGGCTGAGGCAGGATAATGGCGTGAACCCGGGAGGCGGAGCTTGCAGTGAGCTGAGATCGTGCCACTGCACTCCAGCCTGGGTGACAGAGCGAGACTCCATCTAAAAAAAAAAAAAAAGAAACCATGCTTGGCAGAGAGATCTGGAGGAGTGCTCTGGGCCTCCCAACTCCCATTCAACCAGGACATCTCCTTCTCTCCACTTCAAAATCTGCTTAATAGATTGTTCTTCAAAGGCCTCTAATTGTGTTTTCAATCTGCGATCTAGCCTCTTTTATAACTCAATGCTCTCTCTAACCAACTTGTCCCTACTTCTTTACCTCCAAGTTTAGGAAACTCAGTATTTCCTAGGTAGTTTAATCAGATTTTGCAAAGCTCTAAATAAATATTTGTTCAATCAACAAAATAATGAGAATCCACAACATAGGTGTCTCTTTTCTAGATACTGAGGGTAATATAAGAGTGAGCAGGACAAATGACATGCTTGATGTCATGGAGCTTATGGGATAGAAGAGGGAGATACCTTCTGAGTTGAGATCTGAGTTCTGAGAAGGAGGCAGCCCCAGGAAGATCTGGGAGAGAGAATCACACACACCAGTGTAGTTAATGCAGGAGCTGAAAGAAGGAAGGATCTCGGCCTGTCAGAAGGAGTAAAAGAAGAGGTGGTAGTGGCTGGGCTGGCACCAGATGCAGTAGGTTTTGCATGCCAGTGTTCTTGAAGGAACAGTCTGTACAAAACAAATTGAGTCCCCCTTTCTTATAATGCATCTGCCAGGATTTGAAAATAGGCATCAGGTCTCTGCGCCTTCTCATCTTGCAGCTAAAGATCTCTCAGTGCAAACTACACAAGAAAAGGAAAAAGTTGGTACACAAGCTGATTCCTCCTGAATCTAGCCTGAACTAGCTTAGCACACTCGGGCTTCTTAGACATCTCCAGTTTCGCCTCGTCATTCCATTTGGCTTTCAGCTTCACACACCACTCCAAACACATGCGTGCCTGCATGTATGTGCACATACACACACAAACCCTTTAAAATCCATTCTGCATTTAAAATACTTTGGGTTCTCCTCATCCCCCACAGGATCATGTGTGAATTCCTTAAAAAGCCACAGGGCCTCGTGTGATCAGGCCCTGTGTTCTGCCATCGTCTTTTTCATTCTTCTTGCCTTTTCCCCTCTGACTTGAAACATGCTGTGTTGCACCCCAGGACCTTTGAACATGCTGTTGCCTTTGCCTTTGACATTCTTCTTTGTTCTTTCCATAGCTAATGCCCAAGCCTTAGAGGCATCTTTCTGGACCTCCAAGACTAGGCTAGGAGCTGTTTTTGTTAGGTGATTCCAGAGCACTGGGGCCTCTTCATGGCTTTAGCTCAGTCATGATGATTTGTTTTGCCTTCAGGCTTCGGCAGGGTGAGTCCCAGGCTCAGCACAGTGCCTGGCATGTGGTAGCCATGCCAGAATCTTCAGTGGGGTGCGCTCCAGTTCATCTGCCCTTCCCCACCCTGCCTTCTGCACAGGAGGCCTCCTTGCCCTCTGGCTTCAGATGTATTCAGTGAATGGGACCCCAGAGGAGGGCAGTGAAGATGGAGTCTCTGTCCTCCTGGCTCCATCCCTGCACACTTCCCTCAAGCTTGTTCCAACCCCTGACCGAGAGTCACTGTCCCTTCTCTCCAAATGACTTTCTATTTGCAGATTCCAAACATCATCCATTCCCCTTGGCCCATCAAGCCCAGAGGTGTCAAGAGCTCTGCCGCCACCAGGAAGGGGTTCCTGCCCTGTCCCTGTGGTTCTCTCACATGCCCCGACTCCACCCAGGAAAACATTCTGCTTGTCATAACCCTTTTCCTAATCTGAGTTTGCCATCTGTCTCCTTAGGGGACTCTGACTAATGCAGCAGGAATTCAGTGAATATTCATCATCTGGCTGAGGGACTGACTTCCGTTGAGCCATGGTGGTCACTTCTCCCACACACACCAGGGTCTGACACCTACTGTCCATTCTCTACGCCTGGCTCTTTTGTGCTCCTCATTCTTCTGGCTCCTGCCTGGCTTTCCTGTTGGCCCTCTCCCCTCTCCCCTCAGAGGTCGTGCATGGTTGGCGGTGCCACCTGGTATCAGGATTTTGGTTCCCCCTGGCCCGGCTGTGCTCCCTCACATTAAATCTCCTGGCCCCCACCAGGTCCCGGAAGAAGAACCAAGCACCTCGGTTTTTGCCTGCTTTTCTGGCACACCCTCTGGTGTCCAGGAGAGGATTCAGAGCTTTCCGTGGCTTCTCCCTGGTTAGTTACTACCTTCCGTTCAAGCTGCCCTATAAATTTCTCAGACCACAATGCTTTATAATTCCAGCTTCTTAAGTAGCCTTTGTTAAAAACAAAACAGAGCAAAGCTTTATCACTATGCCCTACCAACTGTATTCATACTTCTCCCAAACACCTGTAACCGAGGCTCATTAGCCCAGCCTCACTCAACACAAGCAAACATTAGTACATCCAAATCCCGCATAGACACCTGGTAACTCTGTCCATATATTATAACCAGTTGGTTATAATATAATTCACAGCAGGCTGAATTCAGAGCTGGGGTGTTTCTCCCTCTTACACAGTTTGCCAGACACCCTGGCAGATTTCCTTAGCTGTTGAGGCTTGAGAACTTCATCCCACGCAAAGTGTATGATACTGAAGCCAGGCTCTTGTGGGGAAGGATCCAGAAGGAGCCTACACACTTCAGATGAAACCCAGACAGATGTCAGATAAACATATTTGAATAAACCGAACGTCACCTTTCTCTTTAATCGCTTGCTTTGGAGGGGCTGAGACTTTCTGGACCTTATCAAAGCTCTGTCATCTTTGATTCCCTGGTCACATTTCATGCACACATTTTCTGTCTTTCTTTTTCTTTTTTTAGTGTCAAGATGATGGGGATGCAGAAGAAGGAAAGTAGAGAGGATTATAAGTTTAGGAGAAAATAAAACATACAATCTCCACCTAAATGTCCTGGCTGTTATGACTTAGGAGTGACTACTGGTACAGAGGAAATAGTTCTGGTTTTCTTAGGACTGTTGGATCATATCGGACTCTTAGGAGATTCTCAGGCTGCACTAACCGTATTCACGTTTCTTTCTCTTCAGTCTGTCAATTGAAGGCTTCTCATTATTATCACTCTTAACGTTAAAGGCATTGTATTTCATACCCCTTTTATGTTTAAAAAGCCTACATATCACCTCAAATGATGGCAGGTGAACTGGTGAAATCTGAACTAGCTTTGGCTTTGTTATTGCCCTATAGTTATGCAAGCACTGGGGGAAGCTTCGGAAAGGGTGCACTGGGCTTCTTCTTACATTTCCTTGCACTTCTTATGAATCTATAATTATTTCAAGCCAAAAGGTTAAAAAAAAAGTTGAAAGACTATGTAAAAGATAAATATGTAGAGACAAAAAAGTCTAGATCAGGAGCTGGCAAACTTATTCTGGAAAGGGGCAGATAATAAAGAAATATTTTAGGCTTTGCATACCATATGGTCTCTGTAACTCTGCCATTGTATCGTGAAATTAGCCATAGATAACATGTAAACAAATGGACATGGCTGTGTTCCAATAAAACTTTATTTATAAAACAGGCAGTGGGTTGGATTTGGCCTGAGGGTTTCAGTGTATCAACCCTGATCTAGAATTTTTGTAGTAAACCTTAAAGTGTCCCAAAATGTTAGTGATACAAATTAACATTGGCCTGGCTCTGTCCTCCCTGTCTCTCTCTCTCTCTCTTTCTCTTTCTTTTCCTCCAGTGGATGCCTATTAGTTATATTATTAAAAAATAAAGTGCTTGCTGTTTTTAGCTGATTTCTTTGTTTTTAGAAAAGTTACGGAAAACTACCTAGAATATCTTCCAGATTTTGGCATTCTTCCTCTTTTTACGCCCTCCCCCGCCCCCCACAACCATTATCCATATAATTAGTCTAGACGCAAGGCCCATGTTTATGACCAAATCCCACATGTGGGTGATTTCTGGTTAATGGCTGCAGTGTGTTTACGGTCAGCTGTGCCAGTAAATGCCAGAGTCATCAGACTGATATTGATATGGAGGATCAGAAGAAAAGAGAAAGCAGGGCTTTCCGGAGTTAAATTCAGCCATAAATGGTTTTCGATGCTAGATCACAGAAATACAGTCCTGGGGTCTGTGTATAATCACCGCCCCCATACATCCTGCTTTGTAGGAAGCAAAGAGAAGACAGACTCTTTTAGTTTTAAGTTAATTTTGTGATTAACAGGGTACAATGAAGGTGCTTCCCAAAGCTTTGAGTTGAGGACCAAGAATTGAAACTTATAATGCTGGATTCCTGCCTCCAGCCCTGCTCTAGACAAAACAGTCTCGACAGACAGTTGCCTCTCCGGTTTTTAAAGTTCAACAGGAAAGGAGACAGAAGTTGAAGTTCTTTGGCAAATGCATTCGAGTGATGAGAAACATTCCTGGTTTATATTAAGCTTGAAACCCTTCCGATGGCAATAGTCAGACCTTGAATTTATGGTAGAACCTGATTTTCTAGTAGAAATGTTACTTGCCTGGGTGATACATTCTTGGCTAAAGTCCTGAAGCTTAACATTTTCTAGAAATTATCTATAATGATGTATTTAATTGCTGATTCAATTAACTATTCACACCCTGCCACTGGTGGATATAACATTTCTAAAGTATCTATCAAGCAGGCCAGGGTTATGGCTTTAAACATGCAATTAAAAAAATTGATATTCCACCTTTAGCTACAAAAAGATTTAAGGTGATATATAATGGAAATAAATAAAAAAAGCTTAAAAAGGAGGATAAAGCAAATATCTTAATGATAAAAATTAGAATGGCTACTGTGATTAACCATTCACTTCGTATATGAGCTTCCTGGCAACCACTGGGAAAAAGGAACAATATAATTTTTAATGCTCTTATGATTAGAATAGAAAGATGCTAATTCCTCATCAAATTAGACAAGAAAATGCTTTGCTACTGATTCTGTATGTTGAATAATCAATTATCAATGGCTTATCAATATTCAATCATTTATTGGCTAGTGCACAGATGTTCCGGACGGTTCACATCACTGTTTCTGATCAGCATTGCAGAGAGGACAAATTACTATGCCTCTATAATGTGAGTAGCTCAGGAATAAAGAGTCCAAATTACAAATGATAAGTCTGTAAATGCTGAGATTCCAACTACTTACAAACAGAGTTGGATTTATACATATCCTGCTGCTTGCACAGTGCTGCATGTACGATTTCCACGACCTTCTCAATTTCCAGTATTTTCCAGAATAGGCTCTATTTCAAATATTTCTGTTTATGCAGATATTTTATAAAATACAGCACAGATGAAGCATGCTGGGAGTTACATGCA
The DNA here is from genome assembly GCF_000001405.40 of Homo sapiens. Classification (NCBI taxonomy): domain Eukaryota; kingdom Metazoa; phylum Chordata; class Mammalia; order Primates; family Hominidae; genus Homo; species Homo sapiens. The sequence continues at coordinate 53,328,199 of NC_000020.11, read as the reverse complement.
ATCTTGGAAATTTAGCAATCTCGGCACACATTTCCTCCTACTGGTCATGATGGAAGAGTGTGTTGGACTCTAAGGGTGAGCACCATTGTCAGGTTTATCGTCCCTCAATGTATAACCAGCACACATCCCAGCCCCCTGCTTTAAATGACTCCCAAGGCTTCACTTTGCATATCTTTACCAAGGGTCAGGCCCTGGTTGGCCTCTTCCCACTTGCTTCCAAATTCACAAGTCTGCAGTCACGAAACCTTTCTGTTCCTCAAATGCAAAGTGCACTCTCGCCTTGGGCTGCTGGCCCTTGCTGCTCTCCGTGTGGCTGACTCCTCACTGCACAGGTCTCACATTGGTCAGGACTTCCTTGTCATCCTCTTTACACTAGTTTCCACCCAGGCTCCCTAGCCTGTTTTGATGCCTTCAAAGCTCTTATCGTACCCTGAAGTGGTCTTGTTCATTTTCTCTCCTCGAACTAGAGTCTATGCTCTTGCAAACAAGGACTTTCTCTGACTATTCACTGATGATTTCCCAGCCCTAGCTCAGTGCTTGTCACATAGCAAGCACTCGGTCAATATTTATTGTATCAATGAATGAGTAAACAGGCAATCACAGGACTAATATCGCATCTCTGGAAGATAACCCTTGTTACATCACTTGGAAGGTCTTCCAGGAAGCACTGTAGGTTTTGGACCAATGCATTTGTCATTTCTTTTTTCTTTTTTTGAGACGTCTTGCTCTGTCGCCCAAGCTGGAGTGCAATGGCGCCATTTTGGCTCACTGCAATCTACGCCTCCCGGGTTCATGCCATTCTCCTGCCTCAGCCTCCCGAGTAGCTGGGACTACAGGCACCCGCCACCACGCATCTGTCATTTCTAGTAAATAATAGAGTTAATGGCTGTACGTCATTAGTTACTCAGGGGCCTGAGAACTCTTTGACATCCCACAGCTAGTGTCCAGATGACGAGGGGATCTTCCTTGATTGAAGGAACAACTTGTGACCTGTATGTTCTGGTTTGATAAATTCTACCCAACAGAATGAACAAATGTGGATGGTCAAGCTTGGTCTCGCTATCAGGGGCTGTGTACTTGGTGTGGTTTGAGAATGTGGGCTCACAAGCACTCTCATCTATGTCCTCATCAGACTTTATACACATCCTGCTGCATGCACAGTGCTGCATGTACGGTTTCCACAACCTTCTCAATTTCAAATATTTTCCAGAACAAGCTCTATTTCAAATATTTCCTCCTTGGATCTTTCCAGGGACATCTGAACTTATGTATCACGGGACCTAATTTTCATCTCGGAGAATCCGATCATCATAATTGTAGACCTGCTAATTTTCGCCAGTTTGCAAGGCAGGTAGTGTAAGATTTTCCCAGATTACTAAAATTGTGAACAGAGGTTTGCTGATATAGGCTCCTGGGTTTCTCCTAATTCTTACTTTCTTCAAGAGTCACACATTTCCTATAAATACCTTTCTGCAATAAGATATTTCAGCTCTTACTAATAATATTTCCTCCTCCAACGATGGCACATCTCCACTACCAAACAGTTATACCACATCATCAGCATGATGGCGCACACAGTGATGCATGGAGGGAGGCAAAGCCTTATTGGGAGGTGGTTGCCGGGGGGGCTTTCTAGAGGCGCTTAGTGACCAATTGAATCACCCCTTCCCATTAATATTGCAGCTCAAATCAAATTCATGTACAGCTAAAAGATAAGTTACTGCACCTCTATCATGGGCGTTGCTGAGGAATAGACTAAATTACAAGTGATAAGTTTGTAAATACTGAGATCTTAACTATCTATGGCCTGAGATGTCTTATCTATTAATAGTGCAACTCAACCAGGATAGAAGTCCCTGTCTTGTCTTCCTTTGCTCAGCACTCCAAGTTCCTTTGCTTAGACATATCACAGGCAATCATGGAATATTTGCTGATGTGAATGGATGGGGACAAATCCGACAAAAGTCATTGTTCCTCTAATATCTAAAATTCCACCATTAGCAATGCATTCTCTTGTGACAAGCACAGTCCTCTCTCCCATTCTCAAAGCATAAAGCCGAGAAAGAGGCAGCAGGGGTGGTGCAGGTGTAAGACACTTGCTTTAAGATACCAAGGTTGGGTGGGGCGCGGTGGCTCAGGCCTGTAGTCCCAGCACTTTGGGAGGCTGAGGAGGGGGGAATCACGAGGTCAGAAGTTTGATACCAGCCTAGCCAACATGGTAAAATCCTGTCTCAACTAAAAATACAAAAAATTAGCTGGGCGTGGTGGCAGATGCCTGTAATCCCAGCTACTTGGGAGGCTGGGGCAGGAGAATCGCTTGAACCTGGGAGGCGGAGTTTGCAGTGAGCCGAGATCGTGCCACTGCACTCCAGCCCGGGAGACAGTGTGAGACTCCATCTCAAAAAACAAAACAAAACAAAAAAAAGATACTAAAGTAGCCGGGAGGGCCTTAATTTGCTTTACTTCCTCCTATTTCCATTGGTACAAAAACTTCACACAGTTAAAAACAAACAAACAAACAAACAAACAACAAACAAAGCAGTTCCCCCTCATGCAGCAACTTGCCTCCATTATACGATGTGTAGACCTTAAGGAGAGCTTCTAGAAGGCAGTTCATGGCAGGAACCCAGGTGTGGACACTCCTGGCCCATCACTGAAGTCCCGCCCAGGGGAGGAGTGACTCTCCCTGAGCTGAACTGCCCTGTGTTTCACTGGAAGGCAGTGGTGTCCACACGCAACGGCCAGCTGCTCTCCCAGGCCTGCTTCAATGTCCACACATGCAGCTTCTTCCCCAGGGCTCTCAACCCATCACTGCCTCTCCACCTTCCTCTTTACTAATGATTAAGATGATGACTTTTTAGATCTAGATTTTCAGGGAAAGTCCCTGTTAAATCAATACCCTAGTTAAATCAAGCCCTCCCCTCAGAGATGTAAGGAGGTCAGGTGAAATTGCACAGAGCAGTGCTCCAAGAAAATTCAGGAACTGCTGGAGATCTCAACTCAGGGAAATGACAACATAAGAATCAAAAAACCAAGAAAAACATAGAAAAATAAAATGCTTCTGGTGGAAAAACATGGATCTCCATTTTCACAGTCCCTGTGTTCGTAAGACAGTTTAACCAAGACCAAACACTGCTTCTGGATTATTCCATGCCACTTGCCAAGTCTTTTCCCTGATAATTAGGCCTCAGGAATTCTGCCAGATTCATGCATTTGGCGGTGGCTAGACCTGCATTGACTGTTGTCACTCTGTTTATTATTACTTTGGCTATTTGTTAGCTTACAAATATAACTAGCCAATTTTGTTGAGCACAAAACTGGCTGTCCCGACACAGGGTTGAAGCCTGGGCACACAATTCCTGATCCCGGGTGCTCTTGATCTAATAGAGGAGAATAGTAGGGGCAATACATTTTGTAATGCATCAAAATCATAGCAGATGGGCAAAGTGCCACAGGATTACAGGAGAAAGAGCTACTAGCTCTTCCTGAGGTCAGCAAGGTCTTCACGGAGGAGGTGATGTGATCAGAGGCTTTGAGGATGAAAAGGAATCTGTCCAGCACTTTGGGAGGCTGAGGTGGGTGGATCACTTGAGCTCAAGAGTTCGAGACCAGCCTAAGCAACACGGTGAAACCCCATCTCTGCAAAAAATACCAAAGAGTTAGACATAGTGATGCATACCTGTGCTCCCTGCTACTGGGGAGGCTGAGTTGGGAGGATTGCTTGAGCCCAGGAGTTTGAGCCTGCAGTGAGCTCCTATTGCATCACTGTACTCCAGCCTGGGTGATAGAGTAACACCTTGTCTCAAAAAACAAAGCAAAACAAAACAAAACCAAAAACAAAAAGTAGAAAAGGAAACTGCCTCCTTCTCCCTCATCCTACCTAGGGCTTCTACACTGGACCCGCCTGCTGTTGGACCATGAGTGCTGTGCCCAGTGGAGATGGCTGCCTGCTCTCTGATGATTCCGAGACACAAAAACCTCACTCATATATCTCTATCTTAGGACCCGAGCATCCCGCCACTGGAACCATTCCTGTGAGTGGAGGCATTCTCTCAAAAACGCCGGAGCTAAAAAGAAAATGTTTGCTGTGGAAGGGAGTGACAGGAGCCCAGTTTGAGGGATGGCCGTCGCATGTTAGTGAAGGAGACTGGGAAGTTCCCCTGCAGCTCTGTGTACAGATGAACAGGGCGTCCAGAGAGGTCAGGAGGGACCACAAGAGCCAGGACTTGCCCTACCCGTCTGCCCCTGTAGCCCAGGATTTACTCCAAGTCAGTTGGTCTTAAATGATGTGATCAAGAGGATGTAATAAAGCCCTCCGAGGAGCCCGGGCATGGTGGCTCAGGCCTATAATCCCAGCACTTTGGGAGGCCGGGGCGGGTGGATCACCTAAGGTTAGGAGTTTGAGACCAGCCTGGCCAACATGGTGAAAACCTGTCTCTACTAAAAAGACAAAAAAATTAGCTGGGTGTGGTGGTGTGCGCCTGTAATCCCAGCTACTCAGGAGGGTGAGGCAAGATAATCGCTTGAACCTGGGAGTCGGAGGTTGCAGTGACCAGAGATTGCACCACAGCACTCCAGCCTGGATGACAGAGCATGACTCTGTCAAAAAAAAAAAAAAAAAAAAAAAAAAAAAAAAGCCCTCCAAGGCAATGAAAACGGGTGGCTTTGATGGGAAGAAAGAATCCTTAGAACTGAAACCAAGTCATCCTTTCACTTATTTATTTATTCACCTATTTCTTTTTCCATTAAAACTTTAAACTTTAACTACATCATTCATTCATTCATTCATCAAACAAGTATTTCCAGGGCACTTTCTACAGACTTCACACGGTAGAAGGTAGAGACTCAAGCCAAGATAGCAAATCGATGTCACCTTGTGAACCAAGGAAGGTCATTTTATAAGAGTCACCCGGAGTACTGTCTGTTTTGGCAGATGTGTGCCAGCCTCTGGCTCTCAGGCACTGGCTTAGCAGCTCAGATAGGTGCCTCAGCCCCAAGGAGTGGCTTGGGGTCCAAGAACACACCTGGACTCACAGCACTGACATTTTAGAGCTGGAAAGAATCTTCTCCCAGGCCAACATGCTTTTTCCATATCAAGATCTGGAGCAGGGTGACCGACTTGTCCCATTTGCTTGGGACTTTTGTGGCTTTAAACAGAAAAGTCTGGCATCTCAGTAAGTCCCTTAGTCCCAGATAAACTGGGAAGGCTGGTTACCTTCTTCTACAACCCACCCTGGAGGCAAATCTGCTAAGAGTTGAGCTTATTCACTCACAGCCCCAAAGATACTGGTTTCCATGAGCACCAAACACAGAGGCTCCAGGAAGAGAACAGGGTGATGTTTTACTTCCGTGGTGGGCAGGAGGCAGTCATGATTTCCTGTAGGCTAGCGTTTTACGTGGGTGTTTGCCTTCTTGCCAAGAAGATGGCTTTATACTGAATTCTGGGCTCAAGAGGAGCCAGGCCTAGAAACACAAGGCCCAGCTCCCTGCATTTGCATCAGGGCCCTCCCCAGTGGCAGCTTGGGCTTGGAAAGCCTTGGATAGTCACTGGTCAGGGGCTTTGTCACTGGCTCAAGAGGAGGCAGAAAGCTAGAAAAAGGTCAGCCAGTGGCACCCAGAAATGATCATGGGGAATGAGAACAGAAGAGCGGGACTAAAGTCATGTTTTTTTTTTCTTTTTTTTTTTTGAGACAGGGTCTTGCTCTGTTGCCCAGGCTGGAATGTGGTGGTGCCATCTTGGCTCATTGCAACCTCCACCTCTTGAGTTCAAGCAATTCTCCTGCTTCAGCCTCCTGAGTAGCTGGGATTACAGGCGCCTGCCACCACGCCTAGCTAATTTTTCTATTTTTGGTAGAGATGGGGTTTTGCCCTGTTGGCCAGGCTGGTCTTGAACTCTTGACCTCAAGTGATCCACCCGCCTTGGCGTCCCAAAGTGCTAGGATTACAGGTGCCTGGCTCAGACTCAAGTCTTTTACTTACAAAATAAAATCACTGTCCTCTGCCTTGTAACACTAGATGTTATTTCTGATCTCGAATAAAATTGAGGAAGTAGAATAAAAATCTCTGATTTACAGATAGGAAAATAGAGTCCCAGAGAGGTTGTCCTTTCTGCCCAAGGTCACCCAGCTATGAATGGCAAGGTGCTGAGATCCACCGGCCCAAAGTCCAAGCTTTCTCCATGACATCCCTGCTGCCTCCTTTTACCACCTGTCTCTGTGACATGACTTAAGCCAGTTAATGAAAAAAAGCAGGGGATGGCGGCCCTCTTGTGGCACATCCACCAGATCCAGCTCACAGGGACTCCCCATGAAAATCAGGCTTGTGCCTTCTCTTGAGACCACATGAGATCAGGCATCACCGGGTCCACACTGTCCATGACAACAATTCCCCAGAGGTGAGAAGCAGCCACTCCTTTAGATGAGGCATCAGACTTCAATTTGCTTGGTGTCTCCACCTCCCTTCACTCAATTTGTCATCTGCTGGCTTAGGAATGTCTTTCTTTTTTTTTTTTTTTTTGAGATGGAGTCTCGCCCTGTTGCCCAGGCTGGAGTGCAGTGGTATGATCTCTGCTCACCACAACCTCCGCCTCCCGGGTTCAAGTGATTCTCCTGCCTCAGCCTCCCAAGTAGCTGGGATTACAGGCATGTGCCACCATGCCTGGCTAATTTTTGTATTTTTAGTAGAGATGGGGTTTCACTATGTTGGCTAGGCTGGTCTTGAACTCCTGACCTCGTGATCCGCCTGCTTCGGCTGCCCAAAGTGCTGGGATTACAGGCGTGAGCCACCGCACCTGACAAGGAATTTCTATAAAGCATCACACAAATGGATGCCAACATACTTGAGCCCAGAGGGACCCACTTAGTCCAGGAGTTCTCAGATTTGGGGATATAAGAGACAGACCAGCGAAATTTCCAGAAAAAAAATATGAAGGAATGATATAAGGGACCAAACTTTAATTTTGCTAAAGATGGACACACAAAAGAAGAAAGATGAATTACTATGAACATTGTGTAATAAAAATGGAGGATATTTTCATTTTTCTAAAGTAAGAAGGAACAATTTCATTATTGAAAACCTGTTGCGCCCTAGAGTGATGGTGTATTGTGGTTGCTCCACAAAAATTGTGGAATGCATGTTGTTGGGTGAATTTCAGACCAAGAAAGAGTCTATTAAATTCACTAAAAGTAACTTTATGGAAATCTCATTTCTACTGGGACTTATGTTTCTAATTTGTCTAGAGAAAAGTTTATCGTACATGGGCACTGGCCAGCTAATTGCTTCTTGATGATGATGACCCTAAACTGGAACGATGTCTTCATCACTCAGAGGAGGCACAAGGTCTTGCTTAAGCACACACAGCTTGTTACAGACATGTCCCCCGACCACAGGCCCCAAACCCCTTCTACTTCAGTCTCTCCCAAAGTGGGAGGGAATGCTGGAGGAAGACAGGTAGTTGAGTAGGACAATTCCTTTTTTAATTCTTTTTTATTTTTTCTGTTGAGTCAAAGGGTGAGCTTTGTGCTGATGTGTTTTTAACACCCCCTAACACTTGTTATCTCCCCTTTCTGCAAAGAAAGAGCTGGCCGTGGGCTCTGAGCCTTCTACCAGCAACACTTCTAGAAAGGATTTTGATGCTACAGTTTTCTTGTTATTGCATTTTCATTGTTATAGTGCTCCCTTTTTAATGACAAATATGACTGATTTTCATCTAGGATGTGGTTTTACAAAGTGTTCATTTAAGTAAAAGTGTGAATTGAGGCAATGAAAAGAACTGATGCAAATAGTGGCAGGAAAATATTGCCCAGAGGCAAAAATCCTGAAGATGGGAAACATAGTGTTTCTAGACAGGACCAGCAGATCCAGACTGCCTCAGTTCAGATGCACCTCCTAGCTGTGTGACTGTGGGCAAGTTACTCAACCTCCCTATGCCTCAGTTTCCTCATTTGAAAAAACAGGGAAAATAATACACCAACCTTAGAAGCCACTATGATGAGTGAATGAGAACAAGGGTCAAGCACTCAGGACAAAGCCTGGCACACAGTACGTGCTTTGCTGAGGTTCACAATGAAGATAATGACCGTAACGATGATAATGATGATGATGGCAGTGTTGGCAGTGATGATGATGGTAGTGCATAGGCTCAGAAAGATGCTTGGCCATTGAGGTTTAGGTTGATGGCCCAGAAAGGGTGATTGGGCTTTCTCATGAAGAAGGGAAAGCAAATGCTAGAAGTGCACCACACCCAGAATGTCAGTGAGTCCGGGAAATGAGAAACATTTGGTATCTAGCCACACTGTAGAGTAATAATCAGTCTCTCTCTCAGCTGTGACATTCTGCAGAGAAGCAATTGTCCTGTTAACAGGAATAATGGCCACATGTGTTGAGTGCTTGCTCCGCTCTAGGCTTTGGGTGAGTGCATTGCATTCATTCTCTTAAAGATTTTGTCCCCATTTTTTAGATGACTAAACTGAGACTCAGAGAAGTTAAATAGCTTAAGTGCATGAAGCAGTAAGTGACAGAGCCCACATGAGATCCGGACAGCCGTCCCCTCTGCTTTGCTCCATTCCACTCTCAGCCTTGTCATGAAACTCTAGCCATGGCTGGCTCTTTCTCATTTGGGTACAGCCCAAATGTCACTGCTCAGAGGGGGCTTCCTGGGTCATTCTGTCCCTTTCCCAAACCCTGTCCACTCTCTGTCCTGTGATGGGACAACCTAGTGGTTAACGGCCAGACTCTGAAGGCCAATCCTTGTATCTGTGTTCTAACTCTTGTTTAAACTCTCTGAAACTCAGTTTCCTCATCTGTAAAATGGGAGTGTCATAGTAACTTAAAGGTTTCTTGTGAGTAACATTTAATGCATATACAAAGTACTGGAGATAATGCCTGGCCTGTAGTAAGCACTAATATTTATTGCATTTCTCTCCTGGAACATAAATTCTACAAGAGCAGCACTTATACTTGGCTTTTTTACAACTGTACTCAGTGCCTACAGCATAACAGGTGATCAATAAATATTAGCTGAACGAAATGAGTGAATGCATATGATATGGTTTGGCCGTGTCCCCACCCAAATCTCATCTTGAATTGTAGCTCCCATAATTTGCACATGTCATGGGAGGGACCTGGTGAGAGGTAATTAAATCATGGGGGAGAGCCTTGCCCGTGCTATTCTCATGGTAGTGAGTAAGTCTCATGAGATCTGAAGGTTTTATAAAGGGCAGTTTCCTGCACACTCTCTCTTGCCTGCTGCCATGTAAGATGTGCCTTTGCTCCTCCTTTGCCTTTCTCCATGATTTTGAGGCCTTTCCAGCCATGTGGAACTGTGAGTCCATTAAACCTCTTTTTCTTTATAAATTATCCAGTCTTGGGTATTTCTTCAAAGCAGTATGAAAATGGGTTGATACAGAATATTTACCTCCAAAGCCTATGTTCTCACTAACTGTACCAAGCTGCCCCCTCTGCTGACTTCCTTGTTTTATGCCCTTTGCCAAGCATGGTGCCCAGCCTGGTGGGGTTCAGTAAAGGCTGAGCAGAATTGAGCCTAGCAACTGTCCCTTCTTCTCCCAGGGAAGCTACATTGTGTTCCTGCCCACGATGCCAACTTTTTCTATCTTCCTCTGTCCCTCCACCTGGAAAATTCTGTGCAACATTTGTGCTGTACCTGCTTGCCCTGTCCTAAGCTAGTTTGGGAGTGATATGCTGCCACTCCTTGGATCCTCTTCACATCATCACACAAGATGAAACAATTGTCTTAATTGCCAGGCCCTGAGAAATCATGCAAAAGGCAGCAGGATGAAGCTCTGGTGCATTCTGAATGCCTTTGGGGAGTGTTTCCGCGTGGAATTCTGGAAGGTTTGGGTGCATTTATGGGGAGCCTTAGCTGTATTGATTTATAAAGTGCCTGTTTCCAGAAAGGGGTTGGGAAAACCCATCCTTTGCCCTCTCCTACCAGAAGGATCTTTCTAAGATGCCCTTTTCTCTCTCTACCTCCTGAACTTTTAGGCATTCTTCAAGGCCCACATCAAATCTCACCTGGTCTCTGGAGGCTTCCCAGCCTCCCTGGCTGTTAGTTGTTTATTTTTCTGATCCAAGCTTATTTTCTCTTCCTTGTATTACATTCGACCTGTTCATCTAGTCATTTGTTTAACACATACTGGCTGAACCCCTACTACATGTCTGGCCTTGTGCTCTTAGAATGACCAACAAGATGAAAATTTTTGCCACCAAAGAACCTTCAAATTGATGTCCATCTTTCCTCACAGACTTGTTGAGGCCATAGACATTGTTGCCAACATTCAGCACAGGGGCTGACCCAAAGTAGGGACTCCACCCTGCAGAACAGAGGGCTGATTAACCGAGTAAGGGAATGATGCGTAAATACTTTGCTCCAGAACATGGGCTGTGTGTGCAAAAAGAGGGTTTTTGATCGGCAATGTCCTTTGAATGATAAAGGGGCTGCTCTCTGTAAGAAAACCAACATTGCTCATCAGGCCTTGTAATACAATTCACGCCGACACTCTTCTTGTAAAATCCATGCATGCTGCAGAAATTTGTATTCTTGCTGCCCTGGAACGTGCTGCTGGACTCGAGGCCTGCATGCTGATGTTTAAATGGAGCTGCAAAAGTACTTTTTCCTTTTGCTGACTGGCATTTGTGCATTTTCAGTTCAAACTTGCTTCTGGGGTGGGGGAGAGGAGGAGGAAAGCATCTTCCATCAGATAACGTCTTTATTTTAAGTATTTCACAGCCTTTCCACTGCAGCCCACATGAGCCCCATGCTTCTGTGGTTGGCAGAGATCAATGCAATCAATATTTTTGACTGCAGAGCTTTCTATGACTTACACATATTTAAAAGGATAAAACATAATCAACAATTCTCTGTGTGAACTCAACCATTCTAATCCTTATCTTTGATTCTTTGGGATCCAGCAAATAGGATAAGTAAGTCCCCAGCATATTTTGCCCAAGACTAGGGAGTTCAGCCTGGCAGGAGCCTTTTGGTCCTGTGGCCTGGACTACACGAGCTTCTTTCACTCTGGGAAATCAGACTGGAAAACTAGACATTGTTGCATTTGGGAATATTGGTGGCCTTTTCCTTGGACCACTGCCTTTTGCTAAACACCACACTGCTTTCTCACACTGTTATTAGCTAAATAATGAGCTACTGCTCTCAGGGGTATTTGCTTCTTGAAAAGAACTACTTGAAGCCAGCATTAAGCCAAAACACTGAAGCATTAATGGTGGGATTGTAGGCAGCTCATTGAAACAGGGTGTTATTAAAAAAAAATAAAAGAAACCATTTATTGTGATGACTTTTACCTGGAGCAATTTCTCCTTATGAAAAGGATGAATGCACCAAAAAAGCAGGGATTGGCAACCTTTTTCTGCAAAGTGCCAGATAGTAAATAGTGTCAGCCTTGTGGGTGATACGGGTCCTGTAGCAACTACTTAACTTTGCAGTGAGAGCATGACTCACCCAAAATCTCTACATAAATAAGTAAATGAGTAACAAAATGAGTTCAGCTTTGATGAACTTACCCAAAATTACATATTTCACAAAAAACCTAGAAAGTTCTTTTATTTCCAGTGTACATCCTTTTTTTTTTTTGTCATTTTTAAACATAAAATACTATTTTGAAATGCACGTGGACAGAAGAGAGGGTATAGTAACCTGATCAGTCTTCGAGGCTGCTGTAAAGATATTCATTTAACCTCACCACAGCCCCTGAATTGTTTCATCATTTCTCTGCCTGCATTTCAGGGCCTTTTCCATTCCTCCACCCTCCAACACCAACCCCCTACTACGCTGAGGGCTCCTGGAGGGTTCTTTTTCTCTCAATCAATTCATCTTTTCTGTGAACCTATTGTTATTATTCATCTTTGTGCTCCCAGCATGTAATACAATGCCTGGCACTTAGGAGAAGTTATCAATACATTTACAAGCTCAACAACAATGAACCAAGTGATGAGTGAGATTTCCGTTTGTGCCTCTTTGTGAGTGGGGATGACTGAGGGTTGACATCATTTTCCTTTCTCTTCCTTACCCCAAGACTCAAAGAGTTTGAGTACTATGCCTTAGTTTGCACAACTTTTAAATGGCTACTTTAGTTTAAATATCACACACATCTTCATCCTGGCTTCTGTTACTGGATTTTATCACTTCCTTGAACCCACTAGCTTCCATTCCCTTCCAAGGGGTCTTATTATGTGTTCTTCCCTCTGCTTGGAATGTCCTCCTCGGCTCCTTTTTCCATGGTTCTTTCACCTATGGAACACCCACCCACCTCCAGAGCTCAGCTGAAACATCACGTCCTCTAGGAGGCCTCTGTGTATTTCTCATACCAACGTAGGCCCCTAAAATCTAGCTTCTACCCTTTCTGCTTTTCCTTCATAGCATTCGTTGCAATTATAATGGATTAGTTATTTATTTATTATCTGTTTTCCATGCTAGAACATCAGCTCCATGAGAGCGCCGTGATGTCTATCTTGTTCACTGCCTGTTTTAAAAACCTGGCACATAGAATATGCTGAGACAATCTGCATAAGTAACTGAACAAATGAACAACAGGGCAAACAAAAAACGGGAATCCACAAAAACCTAAAGGAGAAAGGAACCTATCTTCCTTTGACAAGAGAGCACATAGAATATCGCAGTTATTTAATTTGGTTTGTTGGGCAAACACTTTCAAAGAATTTTGACAACAACCAAAGGCAAGCACGCCTATACACAAAGTTCAGAAAGAGGTAATGTTTTCTTTCCCAAGATTTCACTTTGATTCATGAAGTACAGGATCAAAACGTGGAAAGTTTGCTGTATGTTTACAAGAGAAAATACAGACTTGGAATTCACTTCAAGAGAAGGATCCAATTAAAAGTGTGGATTGTCTTTTTATTCCTTTCCCAGAGGAAAAGTGTTATTTACCAAATCTACACTACTTAAGAAAATGATTAGGCACACACATCAAAACTAATTAATAGTTTTGATGTTGAAAGAAAACCTTTAGTCTTCTAAAGTATAATGTGAAGATGTCTTAAGAGTGTAGCGATTTCCAAAGATGGCAGCTACTAATTCCTCTTCTTCATACACATGCGTGGAACTGCACCCATCAAGAAGTAGGGTCTGCATCTCCTTTTTTTGAATCTCCTTGAGTTGTGACTTGACCAATAAAACATGGCAGAGGTAATATTGTGTCAATTCTTGTATATCCTTTAAAGGCTTAGCAGCTTTTGCTTTCCCTTGGGGAAGCCTGCCTTCATGTTGCAAAAAAGCTAGAACTAGGCCGGGTGTGGTGGCTCACGCCTGTAATCCCAGGACTTTGGGAGGCTGAGGCAGGCTGATCACTTGAGGTCAGGAGTTCAAGACCAGCCTGGCCAACATGGCGAGACCCTGTTTCTACTAAAAATACAAAAATTAGCCAGGCGTGGTGGCAGGCACCTGTAATCCCTGCTGCTTGAGAGGCTGAGGCAGGAGAATAACTTGAACCCGGGAGGGGAAGGTGGCAATGAACTGAGATCATGCCACTACACTTCAGCCTGGGAGACAGTGAGACTCTGTCTCAAAAAAAAAAAAAAAAAAAGCTAGGACTACATTATGAAATAAGACTGTTCGTAAGGAGATTGGAAGGAGAGCAATCAGGTGGAGGAGCATGGAGCACCAGGTATGTGGCTGAGGACTTCTTTGACCTCCTAGTTCAGCCCATTTGCAGGTGGATGAAATTAAGGAAGCTTCTCCAGATCATGCCCCACCAAGCTGTTTCAGAATGTTGCCTGAATTCCTGACCCACAGAATGAAAGAAATCAAAGAAATAACAAACCTTTGCTGCTTGAAGCTGCTAGGTTTGGGGTCGATTAGTTACACAGCAATAGATAACTGAAACTGCATCATATTTCTTTCTTTCTTTTTTTTTTTTTTGAGACAGAGTCTTGCTCTGTTGCCCAGGCTGGAGCGCAGTGGTGTGATCTTGGCTCACTGCAACCACCGCCTCCCAGGTTCAAGCGATTCTCTTGTTTCAGCCTCCCAAGTAGTTGGGACTATAGGCACCCATCACCACATCTGACTGATTTTTGTATTTTTAGTAGAGATGGGGTTTCACCATGTTGGCCGGGCTGGTTTTGAACTCCTGACCTCAAGTGATCTGCCCACCTCAGCCTCCCAAAGTGCCTCCGTGCCTGGCCAGCATCGTATTTCAATTTATCGAGTGGTCACTTCTTTGACAGCTTCAACAATGTAGAATATAATGGAACCAATAAACAAATAAGGTAATACACAGCCAGTGAATTCTGCTTCTAACAGGGATGTTGAAGTGCTCACTTGGGACCCACGATCTCTATGTTTAAGCACAATTTTAACAAGTTTGTTCATTTCAGAGCCAAAGATCACATAAAATTATGCAAATGGAAGCAGATTCGGTGGATTTTAGACAATGTGTTTAATTCTCTCACTTCTAGATTGTGGAACAGAGGCCAAGAGGGTCAAGTAGCTTGTGCAGGTTAACAAAGTACAAGAATGTATTAAAAATGGGAAAATAACCCAGGGTTTCTGGTCAGCCAAGTAAGGCACTTCACTTTACCTTCCTATTCCATAGACGAGACAAATTTAAAGAGGTTTGGAACAAAAGGACTTTTAGGTATAATGAGAGCACTGAAGGATGAGATGGAGAGCTGGCAGGCACACTCTCAAAAGTGTGGAAACCTCAGCTCCTGCAAAGTGAAGTCAAACAACTCCTTTTATGCTGTAGGGACCCCAGGGCATCCCTTTATTTCAGCCTAAAGCAGCCCAATACTTGATATTCATGACTATGACCCTGAGTCAGATAGCAAAGATTAAATTATGTTTCTCATATTCTATTTAAGGAGGTAGGGAAGTGTGTAATGCACTCTCAGAAATATTCCCATGCAAAATGGCTAAAATAAATGTATGATTTGATGTGCAATGGGATAAGCTTCAGTTATGTGGAAAATGCATTTACATGGAACAGTCCACGTCAAATAAATGAGGCATTGCTGTATTTGCAAAATGTTCAGCATGTATTCCAAGTCTTGGCTAGTCTGAAGGTTTCTGCTAAATGAAAAATGAGCTTTACTTGTGTCTAAATCTGAGCTTAAGTGCACTCTCTGAAACCTTCCCGGGAATTTTTTGGACAGGTGTCTCTTTTCAAACAGCATAATATTTGGACATTACATTTTAAATATGTGCAGATAAAAATGATATTCCAAATCTGTATTTCACTTACAACCAGATGGGATAACAGTAGTGAGAGTTGCTGAGAGACAGTCCTTCATGGAAAGAAAATGAAAATAAAAATCTTATCTCCTCCTAGCCTTGCTCAGAGGTGTTTGGCTACAAGTTCAAGAATGAATGTGGTATCACCCCAAATCTCTAATAATTCAGTGTGGTCAGATCAACAAAAAATCTACTATTTTGTTTCCACACAGGGTCATCATATTTTCCTTTTTTAAAATCTAGGATTTTGGGGACAATATAAACAGACCTTGCCACCTGCAGGCCCTTAATTAAGAACTCGGAACAGCGTGCTCATTGGCTGAATCCAGCTGTAAGCCTGTTATGTCTCACCCACGCGGTGCTTGGAAAAATCTCCAAATTTGAATTCTTTTAGAGAGATAGAGCGACTGGTGCCATTTCACCTACTCCATTTCCCTCTCTATTGTCTCCTCTTCTCATATACATTACCTGCCTGGCTCCTGTCGCTTTTGAATTTTTGACACCAGACTTAGAACCCTAATTCTTTTTAGGGAAGGAAAGATAAGGGAACAATCACTGCCATTCAGGGTTTTGCACCCTTTTGGTGTGTGTGTGACATATCGTCAAAAGACAGACATGCTGGTGGCAGATTTCACCCAAACTGAACAAGTTAGCGATTAGTTACCAGGCAGCCTCCGTTACAATGTCTCCACGTCTCTTGATATTTGTAAAAGAGTTCAGGGTGACTGCGCTACCCTGCTAAGTAGGATGCTCTACTGCCCTGTCCTTATGTGCTTATATATCTATGAGACATATTTATTGCACTCCGCCGCATCTTCCCTTACTGTAGGCTTGTCATGTGAGTGCAGTTGCATCATTACAGGTAAGATTTTTTTTAAAAAAATTTTTATTTTTCTGAGCCAGGATCTCCCTCTGTCACCCAGGCTAGAGTGCAGTGGCAGGATCATAGTTCACTGCAGCCTCAACTTCCTGGGCTCAAATGATCCTCCCACCTCAGCCTCATGAGTAGCTAGGACTACAGGCATGTGCCACCATACCCAGCTAATCTTTTATTTTTTGTAGAGACAATATCTCCCTATGTTTCCAAGGCTGGTCTCAAACTCTTGGGTTTAAGTGATCATCCCACCTCCGCCTCCCAAAGTGTTGGGATTACAGGTGTGAGCCACCATGCCTGACTACAGGTAAGATGTCCTGTTTGCTCATTCAAATAAGGCATTGACTATAGAATCTTCTCCTCATGAAGATGGGCACAGTGCTCATGAGAGTGGAAACTGCTGGGAAACTACAGAGGAAAATGCCATCTTGGACAAGCAGGACACATGTGGCCAAGTTGTTTTCTGCAGCTCTTCAAAAGGCAGTGTACGTGTGTCTGAGTGTCTGATCAAGATGCACGTTCACAGTCTGCAAAAATTCACTGCCCACTGTGTGTGCCAGGCTGAGGGCTGATTTGTTTCATGTGTTTTATCTTGTTTAACTCTCACCAACCAAACAAACCTATTAGCATGTTATAAGGTTTCTGAAGCATACTTTTAAAACAGAATGAAATAATCTCTGGAGGCTAGATGCTTTAATATTCTTCATCCATATTTGCTTTACTGTTAGAAGTTTATATTGAGGCAGGATGGTTTGAATGCCCAGATTCTGGGTATAGACATGCCTTCAGTCTGGCTGAATAATTTTTAAACTTCAGCTGCATAAGAATTACAGTTCAAGGTAATGTACAATGTAGTAATACACAAAATAAGTGCACTGTACTTTATGAATGGCTTAAAAGATTTTTAATGGTAATTTTGACTATAGGCAATTTTCCTCTTATGAGCTGCTTTTAGAAGTTTACACCTTGTGAGATGCAATTCTGCTCTGTGCTATAATTCTTACTTTTAGCTTATTGCAAGGTATACCTTGCTTTACAGCACATCAGATGATCATCTCAGCACAATGGTCTACCCCACCAAATATCTCTGTAATGGTATACTCATTTTCAGCAAAAATAAATTTTGCACATTTTGGCAGCCAGGCTCTTACAGTGGTCCTATAATCCCCATTTCTTGATGTGCATGTTTTTCTTGTGTAGTCCCTTCTCCTTGAGTGTGTGTGGGACTTGTAACTTGCTTTTAACCAATAGAATACGGCAAGGTTATGGGATGTCACTTTCATAATTATAATGCACTGGATGGTGACCTCCATCTTGAAAGAGACTCTTTCTCCCTTGCTGGCTTTGATGAGGTAAATGGTCATGTTGGGGAATCCCACATGGTGGAGGTCTAATACTAGATGGCCTCTAGGAGTTGAAGGTAGCCATCAGTCAACAGCCAGCAAGAAACCAGAGCCCTCAATCCTAGAGCTGAAAGGAAATGAATTTTACCATCGATGTGTGAGAGCTTGGAAGTGGGTCTTTCCCCAGTCAAACCTCTGATGAGACTGCAGCCCTGGCCAAAGCCTGGATTGCAATCTTGTGAAATCCTGATGCAGAGGGCTCACCTAACTGGTGCCTGGACTCCTTATGCACAGAAACTGTGAAATAATAAACATGTTGTTTAAAGCCATTAAGTTTGGGGTAATTAGTTTCACAGCAGCAGACTACAAATACACGCATTATTCAGAATTAGGTGACACATCTAAGACTGTTTCAAGGCCTACTAGTTGATATCCTCTGATCTAGTCCAATAGGGACAGGGAAACTGAGGCCCACAGAGGTAAATGCATTTGTTCTGGGTCATTTGGTTCTAATTCTGCCTCTGTGACCCTCCACTGACCATACAACTTCTGTTTCTTCATTTTCTTATCTCTAAAATGAAACGTTGGACTAGCTGACCTGCAAAGGCAATTTAGTCTTTAGTCAGGTCTCCTGTCTCCTGGGCTCTTGCTTTTATTTCAAAGCATGTTCTTTAGAATACTTGTTTAAAAGAATTCCAGGTGGAGAAAAAACATTCCATGGTCAGAGAGAGTTGGGAGGTACTATGTTAGATGCTCAACAATTTTCTTTATTTCAGTGGCTTTCAGAGCTATTCATTTGCTCACTTCCACTGGGAATGTCCAATAACGAGATGGAGTTAAAAGCATTATCCATACTCATTTGATCATGAGCCCTCCTTGCTTTTGTTTCCTCGGTTTTGGGATTCATGTTACACAGAGCACACTAAAGGAAGGTCTGCAAATGCCCTTCCAAGTCAGAAGGGTTCCTACTCTTTCCACTTTCAAATGACTTTGAATGACAGGAAGGTTAGATGCACTGAGATCCAACATCTCATGGCTGACAGACGTGTGTTGCAAAAGCCAGGCTGACACAGTTGAAGAAGCAGCAATATTAATATGGTGATATCACTCCATTGGTAGCATGCTAATTTGGGAGATGTACATGACATATACTGGAAATACACATCATGCTTGTTGCCCTGGAGAATAAAATGTCTTCTTCTTATTTGTAAAACTCCTTCTCCTGAACTCTCCCATTAACACTTGTCTAATGTACAGTGGTTTCTTCTCTTTCTTCCTTTTATCTTCCTTTCCTTCCTTTCTTTTCCTCTTCTCTTTCTTTTCTTTCTCCTTTCTCTTTGCTTCTCTTCCTTTTTGATAAATTCTTTTTTCATTGCATTCAGTGAAAGGCTTTGCATGCTTTGGTATAGAAGTGGGGTGGGAGGGCAGAAACAAGAGCTAATATCCTAAAATTCTCACATCTTCAGCCCAGAACCTGATTTCAGAAGAAACACTTCTTGAAGTAGCCCAACAATCTGTGTGACCTGACAGCAACAGGGCAGTCGTTCTTTGAATAAATATAAGGTTTTGAGCCCTCAGCTCATGGCAGTCATTTCCCAAGACCTCTTGGGCTGTCCAGATAATTCCTGAGAAGCCAGTGATTTGTATCTTGCTCTATTTGCCATTTTCGGGGGTGGTGTGATGTGAGCACTCTGCTCTGTCTTGCCTGTTGGCGAACAAACCTTGGTCCTCCCTTCATGTGAAGAACCTGAATGGCCTTCAGTCTTTTGCCCCCTGAGTTCTCTGTCATTGTTAAAACCGCAGCCCTCTTCCCCAACTGCTGCCCCGATGCAAGGCCTCAGGAACCATATAACAATAAACTCAAGCCCAAACCATGAAGCCCTCCCAGGTGCTTAACACCGTGCTGATTTTTAACCTTGCCCGACAATGCTCTCGCCTTTATCCACAGTCATGTGGCCTGGTTCCGATAACGGGGTTGTTTTCTAAGAGAAACAGTAATGTCGAACACCAAGTTGACAAAATAAAGAAGAATAAAATAGACATTATGAATAAAATATGTGGGCACAAAAATGTATAAATGATCTGGGGATGCTGACACAATAAAGTCTTTTTAACTGCCCTCCAGGCTAAATACGTATTTTTCAAACTTGTAAGTTTTATACATTAAAAAAGAAATGCCTCCCCCGGTGACCCAGGGCAGCTCAACGTGCATTCGACATGGATCATTCCTAAGTGTCGGTGGCCTTTTGCTGGTACAACATCCATTTCCTGAGTCCTTTGCTTATTTTCCGGCTGCACGTGTACATACATACACATCACCATCGAGACGCCCTGCTTTCCCCCATTTAGCAGTTGACATCAGCTTTCAACACGGCAGGATTACACTACAAGTCACTGGTGTCACCTATGCACAGACCGCGTGTGAACTCTACAGAAGAACAAGACCCAGAATCAACATTTTCCTGAACTCGCCCTTTTGAGGTCAAAGAAAGAAAGCAGAGACTGCAAAAAGGACTGAATGCTGCTCTCTGTCTGTCTTCTCAGAGAAACTTGAGGAACCTAACTGGAGACCAAACATGACTCCCCAGTACACATGTCTATTTCTTCTTTATTTTTCTCCATTTGATAAATATTTACTATGCAAACGCCCTTTGTCAGGCTCTCGGAAAGATGCAGTTTCTGCCTTCAAGATGTTCACTATGTCGTGGGAGAAGAATATGTGCAAATAAACACAGCGGGATGCACTACTGAGGATTATTTTTTTCTCCCTTCTCTGTCCAGTGAGAGAGGAATTTGTAGCCACTGCCATCTTTGGAAAAATGCATCCTCTCTGGCTACAGAGGATCTGGGCTCTAAACCAGTAGCGTTCCAATCTGATTGAGTCTGAGTTGGGGTAAAGGACCTATCCAGGGTCATTCTACTGGTTTAGAGCCGCCCAGATCACATTAGAATCACCTCTGGGGGTTTAAAACCATATCCGTGGCCATAATGGAATTTCCCAAGGGCTGGAAATAGTTCATATTTTGATCTGGCGGGTGGTTAAATGGGTGTGAACCTATGTAAAATCCATTGAACTTTACTAATATTTATGAACTTGGCTGCAGAAAAGATAACCTGAATTTTTTAAAAAGTTAGAAAAAAAGCCCTACATCCAGGCCCACTCTTACAGATTCTGCTATGGATGGTGCTGGCTTCAGTATGTTGCAAAAGCTCCCCAGGTGACACTAATGTGCGACCAGGGCTGAGAAACAGTCTGCAGGCAATTAAGTTCTAATGGCCTGGAGAAGGGGCTGGAGGGAGCATGCAGGCCTCTGTGGTGAAGGGTCGAAACAGCTGCTATGATGCAGTGCTGTTGCCCCTGAAAGACCACCCAAGCCCATCCAATGGGGACCAGGATTTTTCTTGACAGCTCTATAGCTCAGAGAGAGGGTCAGCTCTTTTGGGTTTGGGTCAGCTCTTTTGTACTTGGAAGAGCAGATGGTGGGATGGAAGTGGCAGGGAAGGGAAGTGGTCAGTGTTCTGGGTTCAAGGGGAGGTTTGGGAATCAAGTTGCAGCCTGGGAGGAGCAGGTAACAGGTGGCATTGCGTTGCATTCCAGGAGCGTCACCTGCCGATTCTGTGACCCTGGATTGGTCATTTACCCGCACTCAGCCTCACTTTGTTCATTTCCCAGTACTTTGCCTGAGACGTCTCTGGCTTAACACTTAAAGTCCTGTGTCCTGGGAAATGCCTCAGTCCGGACAAACTTGGGGTGGTTCCTCACTCTATGTATAAATTGACAGCAATTATACCTACTTCTTAGAATTCCTGTGAGGATAAACTGTTAGGTAAAATGCTTAGCACATTGCTTGGTAGCATGTCGGTGTCCAACTAATGGCAGCTATTATTACCAGTAGATTTGGCATTAGGGAAACTTTTCTGTTGTTTAATGGGATTAGTTCATGAGGTGCCTGGCACACAGTAGGCACACGATAAATATTAATAAAATAAATGTTCATCTGAGCCACAGATTTCATTACCCAAATTAGAAAACTTCTCCTTTCTTAATTATGAGGGCGTGCCTTCAAACTGTTTAACGACATCTTGTTTTGCAGCCTGCTTAATAAATCTTTGCTGCCAATGGCAAGTTCCCCATGTCGGCAAATCATTTAAATATTTAACTATTTTTTTTTCCTCCGCGAGGTTTCATGCAGGCTCTTAGCATTGTGTAGCTGATAAGCATTGAGACGCAGCAGCAAAATCCTAACCCCTTCAAATCTGTACATCTCAGACTTTCCTTCCTTTTGGGTGGCTATAGCTACTGGGTGGCTAATTCTAGAGCAAACACCACCTCCAGCACTGTCACCTCTCTCTGCTGTGCTTCCTCTACTGTAGGGGCTGGAGAAGCAAAATACACGTTTTTCACAGCCTCACTTTCATCTAGGTGTGGCTGAGTACACAATTTTGGTGAATAAGATGCTAATGGAATCCTGCCAAGAGGGAGGGGTGGTCCAAGAAAGTGTTTGCTTTTTTGGCAAGAAGAGCAGATGAGCTGGGTGGTGGCTCTACCCAGTCCTCTTGTCTTGCACACGGTTGCCACGCTCACGGAGAAAGGATGATGGTATGACCGTGGTGCAAGCACAAGGGATGAGGCCAAAAGAGCCATGGAGACCCCAAGATGAGTGAGCAGAACCACCAGAGCAGATGCCTCTTATTCAGTGAGAAAAGCCAGTTTCTGTGGTCTGAGACCAGTGAGGGCTGGGCTCTCTGTTACTTGCAGCCAAACGTATTTTTTTTTTTTTTTTCACAGAGTCTTGCTCTGCTGCCCAGGCCGGAGTGTAGTGGCACTATCTCAGCTCACTGCAGCCTCCGCCTCCCGGGTTCAAGCAATTCTCCTGCCTCAGCCTCCCAGGTAGCTGGGACTACAGGTGCACACCGCCATGCCTGGCTAATTTTTGTATTTTTAGTAGAGATGGGGTTTCACCATGTTGGCCAGGATGGTCTCGAAATTCTGACCTCATGATCCACCTGCCTAGGCCTCCCAAAGTGCTGGGATTACCGGAGTGAGCCACCGCACCCGGCCAGCCAAACACATTTTTATATTGTACATCCGTGGTGCCCAGAAAGAGCCAGACACTGAAAATAAGCATGTTCAAGGTGAGATCAAAGCACCTCCTTGTAGCCAACTTAAAACCAGAGCCAAACTCATTGGAGCAGGAAATGAAGAGACCCTGTGATTGTCAGACATTTGTATAAGGAGCGTTTTTTATAAGTCCAGTCATTCACTTGTCTGGGATATAGCTTGGCGTGTCCCAGTGCAGGCACTTCTCTGCCTAGTAAGCTGAATGACCATTGTACCAGAAAAGAAAAAAAAAAGAAAGAAAAAAACTTGGCTATCCAAAACCAGAGCTGACTGTGCCTTCTACCGGGCTACAGCATAATAAATGTAGCTCCATCCATTCCATTGTTTCTTACCTAGATGGATGGGGGCAGAAAAGAATAATATCCACGAGGTGTTTTCAGCATTTAAAGAGTTCATTAAGGGCCAGGCGCGGTGGCTCATGCCTGTAATCCCAGCACTTTGGGAGGCCGAGGCAGGCAGATCACGAGGTCAGGAGACCGAGATCATCCTGGCTAACACGGTGAAACCCCATCTCTACTAAAAATACAAAAAAAAATTAGTCAGGCGTGGTGGAGGGCACCTGCAGTCCCAGCTACTTGGGAGGCTGAGGCAGGAGAATGGCGTGAACCTGGGAGGCGGAGCTTGCAGTGGGCCGAGATCGCACCACTGCACTTCAGCCTGGGCGACAGAGCAAGACTCCGTCTCAAAAAAAAAAAAAAAGTTCATTAAGGCCGTGTGTAGTGGCTCATGCCTGTAATCCCAGCACTTTGGGAGGCCAAGGCAGGCAGATCACGAGGTCAGGAGATCGAGACCATTTTGGCTAACATGGCGAAACCCCGTCTCTACTAACAATACAAAAATTAGCTGGGCGTGGTGGTGCGTGCCTGTAATCCCAGCTACTCAGGAGGCTGAGGCAGGAGAATCACTTGAACCCGGGAGGCAGAGGTTGCAGTGAGCCAAGATTGCGCCACTGCATTCCAGCCTGGCAACAGAGCTAGACTGTGTCTCAAACAAACAAACAAACAAACAAGGAAACAAACAAAAAACTTCATTAATAGTTCTTTGCTATGTGAAATAAGTTGTGGGCTGAGTTTAGGTTTGGGGCAGGCAATTTTATAAGTCTGCTAATTAAGGAGGAGGTGCTTTTTTTGCTGTTGTTGTTGTTCGTTTGTTTTGCTTTTTCTTGGGGTGGTAGAATGGTGAGGAAGGAAACAAGCATCATGGCAGCCTAGACCAAGACTGGACTTTTGAATTACCCCACAGTACGATATGCTACAAGCAGGGCATGTCATGGTGCAATGCCATATGCCATAAGTACCGGGAGCTCTAAAACTAAATATTAGATTGTTTGCTGTACTCACCTCTACCTTCCAATAAAAGTTTACTACAAGAATCTGTTGTTTGAATGAGAACACATGGACACAGGAAGGGGAACATCACACTCTGGGGACTGTTGTGGGGTGGGGGGAGGGGGGAGGGTTAGCTTTAGGAGATATACCTAATGCTAAGTGACGAGTTAATGGGTGCAGCACACCAGCATGGCACATGTATACATATGTAACTTACCTGCACATTGTGCACATGTACCCTAAAACTTAAAGTATAATAATAATAATAATAATAAAGAATCTGTTGTTTGAATGATGTGTGAAGGTTGGGGATGGTCAATGATTAAGGTGAAAGGGCTGGGTCCACCTTGGGTTAACTCTAGGGAAGTGATAAAAGAATTGCTACAAAGGTAAGGTGAGAAAAAAGAATTCTGAAGAAACAAAAAATAATTACAGTAAATGTGTATTGGGTACTTACAACATGGTGAGCCCTGGTTCAAAGTGCTTAAAAGTTTAACATTTTTAATCTACTCAAGAACCTATAAGACAGACCTATTATTTTCTCCATTTCACAGATGGGGAAACTGAAGAACAGAGAGGCTGCTTCTCTTGTCCATAGACATACAATAATTGAAACTAGGTAGTCGAATTCTAGCATCTAAGTTCTTATCCACAACCCCAGATTGCCTTCCCTATTAAGAAAAATACAATTTCTGGGAACTCACAGAAACGTCAAGAGGGCACTGGATTTCAAGATGGGTGGGAGTTTGAGCATATCTGCACAGGCTGCAAGCCTTTTAATCACTTGAAAACTTCATGTAATCGCTGTCTGTGATACCGTTCATAGAAGAATACTGCTTATCTCAGTGTTTCTGTAAACCACCTTCCAGTTGTGCTGTTGATGATGAAAATATGGAATATCTCAATGTGTCTAAATTTAAATGAAGGCTTTTTAAACTTAAAAGATGGGCCTTAAAGGAAATATTTGTGTAACTGAAAAACAGTTTCTCTGATTAAGCAATTAAGTCTCAACAAGATAGACGTCATCATTGCTTAAAGGTCACTTAAAATGCAAAGAGGGCGCAGAACTCATCTAGAGCAGTAAATCGGTCCCTGTCTTGGGGGGTGTCTAAAGTTTTGAAATTTTCTTAAAGAGCACGTGCAGTTTTTAAGTATTTAGATATTTGGACTGTTGCCTGTGTGTACTGAGAGAAAAAGAAATCCTTGCTCTGCCTCTTGGTTAATCAAAATGCAGCGCTACATCTGAAAATTATTAATTTATAAGGTACATGTGGTTGGAAGGAGATATGGCCTACAGCAGAAAGAACTGGAAGAGGTCTAGCTACTTATTTTCACCACCTTTGTGGGCAAGCGTGTGGAAATTAGCTATGACTTTCTTTCCTACCAGCCACCTTGGCCGTGGAGGGTGTGGTTTCCAATGATTACATTGCTGCTATTTTGAGTAATGAGATAGGGCTCTGGCACAGCAAGAGGTAGATTTTACGGGGTTCATTTAAATTTTATGGAAATGAACATTTATTAGTTGACATCTACTGAAGCCCATTTTGAAGGCTTGCCTTTCTTAGTCCAAGGCTCACTGAGACTAAAGGAAGGTGTCTAGAAAATGTTCATCTCCTTCCTCCTTTCTTGAGAATAAGGAACTTACTCCATTTAATTGTCAGTGAAACTGACATTTTCCTGTGGCCTAATCCTGAGGAAGTGTGAAGAGGGTTCGAGAAACACTGTTAATACCCATTCTCCCGGGAACCCAGCACCCACACACGGTTAGAAAGACAATTACTTAGCAGGTTAGGCAACAGAATATTTATTTTCAAGGATCATGTTTGCCACAGGATGATGAGATAAGACCAAAAGTGTTCCATCTCCTTTTCTTTTGCATTCACTAGAGAATAAAAATTATTCACTAACAAGGTTCGATGAAATCCAGATTTATAAGGCCAAAATGGGTCTCAATCCGTTTCTGGATTATCATAGAGAATTTCATGGCTTTCTCCCTCACTCCCAGCAATTCCCACAAAATTTTCCTCAACGCTTTGCTAACATCGGGCAAAACCGAGTGCTAGGACACCCCCATGTACTCTCGGCTGTCCTTCTGAACCCCGATGTTGACAAATTGAAGAAATGGCTGCAACCTGGCATCATCGCTCCTCACTCATATCAAGCGGAATGGCAGGTAAACAGAAAAATCTGGACTGGCACAGAGAATGAGCCAACATACATAAATTACAAATAAAAAGGATTAAGCGATGCCAATCTGCTCCCCAATACCACTTGCCAGTGCGAAATCGCTATGGTAACCACTCCCCGCGGCCTCCCTGGGTATTCAACTAGTGGATTTTCCCCCCACTTTTCCTTTTCAAGGAAAGTTCTCAAAACTGATTTAAATATTATGATATTCTCATCTCCGAGTGCTAAATGCGAGATGTATTCATGTTGGCTGGGGTGCCTTTTCAAACATATACTTTTCTCCCGTCAAATGGCGCTGCCACGAAGGTGAATTTTCTCCTAATAGAAGGTTCCTTTTTTAAAAACCTGAAAGTTGGGGGTTGCAGGTGGCACTGTGCTTTTAGGGATGAGCGGGTTAAAGTTGCCAAGCAACCAAGTAACAATAAAAGGAGAAGAGGGTATCTACTGAACAGAAGTATTGCTTTTTGCAAACGTGTATCTGTCGTTCTCTATGCTTTTCCTTTTACCTTCTTGCTCCTACGTCGTTTGGTTGAGGTATTCTAATGTATAAATATTAAAGGCTTAGTTCGGCTTAGGGGATGGGCAGACACCAACATTCAGAGAGTTTACTACATCCTAATACCATTAGCAACTGTTTAATTTCCCTGGCAAAGGAGCAGGGTAGATAAACATATTTTTAAATCTTCATTTTGCAGTTGAGGAAAATAAAACCCAGAGATTAAATGGCCTGTCTGAGGTCACACAGTCATTGAGAAAGACAGAATCTGAACTTCAGTCTCCTTGATTTCAAAGTGGCATATTCTTTCTGCTACCTCACTTTGTTACTAACATGTATTTCTTTTTCCCTTTTAGAAATCACTCTGGGGGCTAGGCGCAGTGGCTCATGCCTTTTATCCCAGCACTTTGGGAGGCTGAGGTGGGAGGATCACTTGAGGTCAGGAGTTCAAGACCAGCCTGGCCAACATGGTGAAACCTTGTCTCTACTAAAAATATGAAAATTAGCTGGGCCTAGTGGCTCACACCTGCTACTTGGGAGGCTGAGGTGGGAGGGAGGATTGCTTGAACCGGGGACGTGAAGGTTGCAGTGAGCCGAGATCTTGCCACTGCACTCCAGCCTCCAGCCTGGGTGACAGAGGGAGACTCTGCCTCAAAAAGAAAATAAAAAAGAAAGAAAGAAAAGAAAAGAAATCACTCTGTCTGTAAGTCCTCCTACCCTTGAAGCTATTTGATCCATATAAACAAATATGCAACACCTTCCACTGGGCAAAAAGGAAACACATTGCCAATTGCGACCCCTTTTCTCCTCCCTGCTTCCTCTCCAAAGTTCCAAAGAAATTTAGTCAAAGCTCCCTGGTTTCAGCAGTTAGATTCTCAGAAACATATTTGAAACTGGAGTGTTTGACCACTTAGTGATGTTGACTGATGTGTTGGGCTGATCTGAGGCAAATTATATCCATTCACTCACCAAAATCATCCTGACATAGGCAGACACTACTCATTTTAAAAGAAAAGGATGACATGGAGGGGGAAGGGGGAATAACTGTTGTATTTTATCTATTGGAGATAATAAATATTACGTTTCAGATTAAAACAGGAGAGAGAAGAAGGAGAAAGAAAATACTAACCCTTCAAATCCTTTGTCAAGAAAATCTCTTCCAGGGGAACATCAGAAATTGCCTTTCTCAAGAAGTTTGAGCAACTACCATTAGGGCGGGAAAATGAAAAGGAACTTGAACAGAACAAGATGTCCTGAGTGATTTTATGATACTTCTGACCTTAAAAGCCATATATTGAGATGTAAGTGCTTTAGTTATCTTGCAGATCCTGAATCTGCAGTGACTTGAAGGCCTCTTGAATACATCCTAAGGTTTGACATTTGCTGCAGTTTTTTTTCCCTCTCTCCTAAAGATCATTACGAAACAATACCACAGAACCTATGAAAATGTGAACGTCTGTGGGAAGTTACTAAAACAGGTAGTGAGGGTTTGCTGGGGGCTGCACTTCAGAAAATCTGAAAATTGCTGGCTCTGTTAAGAGAAATAAACACTTTGTTCACAAGTGTCTTTGGCATGCCTCTGTGTGATGGCTTAGTTACAGCAATAAGTCCCTGGCAGGGAATTAGCTGAACAGCACGAGGGAAGTAAATAAGATAAACCCTGGAGAGGAAAAACGTGCTGAAGTTTTACTTTTTTATTTTATTTTACTTTTTAAGTTTTAAAGATAAAAAATATGCTATCATGTGGGGGAATATGTCATCCTCTGATGGGCTCTGTATAATGTTTAGAAGTTGGTGTCTCTGAGAACCTGGGAATTAAGTTGCAAAATGAATTGTCCAAGGAAGAACAACCAAACTGTAGTCATCTAATTACATTCTTAGGTGTTCACCAGCAAGTAGGGACATGTGGTCAAAATTCAAACTTCTGCATTGAGAGCTTACTGGCTGAGTAGTGTCAAAGGCCAATTGCTTATCTGTGGAGCTCTGTACATATGGTGAAGCCATATTGACTAATTATTTAGCAATTGGGAGAATAAGACAGCAAAATTGGAAAGGCATGGGGCAGAGAATAATCGGACTTAGAATTACAAACAAACAAAAAAGATGACGTTAATGACAAAATAAGTAAAGAGAGCAGTTATACTTGGGACAGAACAGTTTTAAAAGTACACATTTATAAATGGGCAAAACAAGGGAAAAAGTCTTTACCCATATTATAATAAAATATTTTTTGTAAAGACAATCATATCCACAAAAACGCAGTGGTGAGCTGAGGAGTCATTGTAATTTAATGGGGAAAAGAGCAGTTCAAGTTGTTTTACATAAAATCTTTGGGGCAGAGGATTTCAACTAATTGATGAATTATCCAATTAGTTGCCTCAATTCTTTCTTGACCTTGTTGGTGGGACTGTTCCAAACTGTGTTCAAACATTCTAGTGCTGCTATAAGACAGGGTGCGGCTTCCTCTCTTTTATAGAACAGATGGGGTCTAGTTAGCTATACATCATCTGTTAAGTTGGGGGTTTGCCCAGGAAGAAGACAATTCCCAGGCTCTAATCTTCTCCACCTACCCTGGGACTATGTCACTACTGACTCTTGGGATTGTGAAATTCACAGGAGCTGGAAAGCAGAGTCTCATCTATAAGCTCCAAAACAACTCCCACAAGCCCTTTTGGGACAGAGGCTCACACCTTCACAGAGGCACTTCATATTTTACCAGAGCACTTCTCAAAAATGAGACAAAAAGAAGTTTTGCACAGTTATCAGGTGTGTTGAAAATTATTTGTGACCAATCTCTTTTAAGGACTGCAATATACAATTTACTTGATTAAGAAGGAGGGAGACTAGATTTCACACTCTTCTATGCTATTGTTTTCCTCACTCAGTAGCATCCCAGTATGTTCTCTCAAAGGGTAAATCGATGCTGCCACTCCTGGGTTTACCCGCCTCCAGTGACTTCTCAAGGTCCTCTCTGAGACAGCTGACAAGATCCCCTGCACCCTGGCTTCTGCACAGCAAGCCAACCTCCCGCTCCCTGCCTCAGTACTATCCCCCTTGCTGTTTCCCAAACAAGCCAAGCTCCTTCTCGTATGTGAAACATCCTTTTGCCTTTCCCTGAAACACTGTTTCCCCAGATCTCTGAAGCCAGTTCTTTCTCATTATTCATGTGTCAGCAAAAAAGTTCACCTCTTCAGAGTGGGGTCCTTGATGACCCCGTCCACATAGTCCATCCATCCAACTTACACTCCAATCTGATTCTCTCACTGTTCTCAGACCCAGTGCGATGGTTTGTATCCTTTCACACTGCGTTAGAAATTATTTTGTGTTTATTTTTGTTTACGTGTTTGTTCTCTGCCCCTCTCCTCTAGAATGTAAGGGCCAGGAGAACATATCATAGTTACAATTGATGTCTCCGTGTACAGCAGAGTACCTGGCGTATAGTGGGTTTTCAATGAATATTTATCTAAATGAATGCATGAGTGTTTTTCTAATTAGAACAAAAAGGGTGGGGTTACAGATTTTGGGTCAAGAAGGACATGCCTCATGAAGAGGATCACCCATAATAGGTAGGTGACCGAAAGAAGTTGGAGACACCACCCATCCAAGAAGCTCCTTTATGGATACATTATCTCCCCTGCTCACCCACCTGGAAAGGAGAGAATAAGTTTCGACATTTTGTACAATTTCATAGCCAATTCTTTGATATCTGTAAGAGGCCACTAAATTCTGCAGTAAACCTTCCAGGGTTGAGGGATATTCAAATAGGTCACATGATAATTACAGGCAATATTTATCTAGTGTTTCAGTGTGTCAGGCATGGGCCTAATTATAACATTTAATCCTCAAGCAGCCTTAGAAGTGTTACTATTACTTTCTCCATTGTATACACAAGGAAAGTGGGGCTTGGACAAGTTAAGTCTTGCTTAAGGTCATAGAGTTAATAAATGATGGAGCCCAGATTCAAACCAAGTTAGTGAGACTGCAGAGTTCCTGCTACTAACTGTGTCCTACCCCCAGGTTGCCCAAGATAATACACTGGTTGATAGGTTATAAGTCATATCAAGTCTCTATGGCCAGGTGCAGTGGCTCATGCCTATAATCGCAGCATTTTATAGGCTCATGCCTATAATCGCAGAAACCAAGGCAGGAGGATAGCTTGAGCCCAAGTGTTCAAGACTACCTTGGGTAAGACGGCACGCTAATTAAAGCATTAGCTGGGCGTGGTGGTGCACACCTGTGGTCCCAGCTACTCTGGAGGCTGAGGCAGGAGGATCGCCTGATCCTGGGAGGTCAAGGCTGCAGTGAGCCTGATTGCATCACTGCACTCAAGCCTGAGTAACAAAGCCGGAACTGGTCTCAAAAAAAAAAAAAAAAAAAAGATTCTGAGATTTCTCTCATTGGATCAATTTCCCCTGCATTTCAGCCTTTATCATTGACACTGAGCTTATTTCCTGACCTGGTTCCCATTGCTATTTCTTAAGGTATACTAAAATCCTTTGCAGTTAGAGATTACAAGACTATAATAACTTGGAATAAGGTGATATGACTTGCCAGCATGGCCAGATCACCAGGGGTCATGGGACAGGGTACTGTGAGGGGATGTAAATATCATGTGACTTTCTCTACCTTGAAGTTGTCTGGGGTAAATGGATTGGAAATCAAAGATCCTGGATTCACTTTGGGCAGATCATTTCCCTTTCTACTTCATTCATTCCATCTGCAGCATAAGCAGACTCCAAAGTCCATTTTGTGATGGCGTCCCTAGACCTGCAGAAATTCTAAAACTTGGTTTCATCTCAGTCTCTTTGCTTGGGGAAAATTTCCAAAGCTTGCATGAAAAATATGAGTGACTATGCAAAACTGTCAACTGCCTTGAACAGGGAAAAGATAAGAGATGTATTTCTGGGTTTGTATCACCCTAACCTTAGCCTTGGACCAAAAATATAAAGAAGTTTCTAGGAAGATGGCTTTGACCTCAGACCAAGGAAGAACAGAACAAACTCAAGTTATGATAAAGGACAAAGATAGTCCAGAGACTGTGTTTTAAGAAAAAGATAAAGTGTGTGGGAGTGAAAGGGCTTGAGATGAAACAACCCTGGAAATGCTAGCCCAGCTGACCAGCTGTTTTCGACAGCACTTTTCACCCATCTTGCTGTACTGATGGATGAGGGAGATAACACTGAGCCTAATTTGAAGGAGGTTACATATTGGAAATTGCCAGCATATTGAATGTTGGGTGATCATGCAATAGGATAGATTGCAATCTTTTAAGAATAAAACCTTACAGCAACTAAACTGCATGATCACACTAATAAACACTGACATCTGGTCTTTTCCTTAAGTCAGGAAGTGGGCAGCTCAGCATTGTGAAGCCCAGAGCAAATTGCAAATTCCTCAATGAGACATCAATTTCTGGACTTCAGAGGAGACAAAAACGCAGACCTAGATCTGAAAAATTTATGAAGGAAGCACACCATTAAAAAAAATTTTGGAGATGGGACGGATAGATAACAGAACTAAGGCTGAGAGGAGAAACAGTCTTCAAGAATAATATGCATCAAACTGCCTGGATTTTTTTTTTTTTTTTTTTTGCAGTCATTACAGACCTGGATAGTAATGAATCCTTCAACTTCACCTTAGCTAAAGCATGAGGTGCAGAACATTAGATATATGAGAGAAACTTTTAGGAGGTCCATAGAGGCAGCAATACAAGCAAAAAACAAAAAACACAGAACTATAAAGTGAAAGATGGCTGTTTTAAATTTTCTTCTATGCTCCAAAAAAGAAAATCTCAAAGTGTCAAGTTCAAATTCAAGTTCAAGGTTTTAACATCCCACTAACACTTTTTAACCTCTTGTCCCAACAAAGAGAAACCAGAGCTCAGCTCCAAGACTTAGGCAAGCATCAGGATCTGGCCAGATATGAAAACATTGTTTTGTGGTCACTTTATGTATCTTTTGTCATTTGCTCCTTTTTTTGTTAAGTTATACTGGTTTCCATTTAGTCTAGTGATTAAAGTTTCCTCTTTAATACAAGTATTTATCATAAGTAAATAAAAGCACAGGGGTTTGCAGATATGGCAAAAAGTACAAATATCATGTGAATACAATTAGGGAAACACCGCTTTATGATGATAATAGCTAACATTTCTTTGTTTTTAGTGATTATCAGGAGCTATTTAAGTCATACACGTGCACACACACACACACACGTATACATAAACTCATTTAACTTTCTTTACTACCCCTTGAGATAGGTCTTATTATTATCCATGTTTTTATAGGAAAAACGGACATACAGAGAGTTTAAGTAATTTGCCCAGAATTCACATCTAGAAAGCTGCAAGGCCAAGATTTGAACAGGAGGGTTTTGGACCACAGAACGCAAATTTTTTATAACTGTGCTATCCTGCAACCAGGAGGTCTGGCTTTGCCTGCAAATGGAAATGAGTATGGTGAGCAATTAGTGTCAATCCATGAACCTGGGTTGTTGAAGCATTAGTTAAACATTTCTGTTTGTAAATGGAGGGTACGAGGACAAAATTAAAAACCAATGACTAGGCAGAAATGTACTAAATGGAAAGTAACAAGATGATGTTCATAAATACTGCAATCCTCTAAGATCACAGGGAGGACCAAGCAAAGAAATGAGCAAATCCAAGGGAACACTCCACTGGAGCCTCCAGCAGCAGAAATGACTCGTGTCTTTATGTAACCGCAGTAGTGTTGTTGGAAGCAGGCTTTATGCTGCCTTCACCTTTGAGATGTGATGGGAATCCTGCTTTTCAAAGGGAAACTTGAGAAATAAGAACTAAAAACAAGGATTGTGAAAGATTCCTCACAAAAAGGATTAGAGGATTGAGGAGTAAAAGATCAGAAAGACTTAAACCCAAAGACTCTCAGAACCTCTTGATGGACTGAATTTTTCTCTGAGCTGGTGAGTTTCCAGGCTCCTCTCAATTAAATGCTTTTTAAATGGGAATTATTTAAGTATCAGGAGCTGAGGAGAACCTGAAAGCTCAGGAAAAAATGATGACAGAAGAACTAAAAACTTATGACTCAGTTGTATAATTTTTGCCCAGCAAAAATTTATTCTCTGGGTTTGACTTGACTTTAATAAAATACTCTCTGTCTCTCTCTCTCTCTTTTTTTTTTATAAGCTTGTGGACTTCCAAAGCAGTTGATGCAGATGATCTCACTCAATCATTCCAATTATCCTGAGCAAGAGGTGGGGAAAGTATTTTATGACTATTTTTAAGATTAAAACATTTGAGGCATAAGACATTAGGACTTTACCTAATGGAATCTCAACTAGTAAATCAAGCCATTTAGCAAACGTCTACCACAGTGCTAGGTTCGGCACTAACTGCTTTACCATGTTTTGTTATTAATCTGCCTAACAACCTTTGAGGGAGGTACCTGCCTTTTGCTCAGTCTCTGGAGGCTAGAGCGATTAAGCGACCTGCCAAGATCCAGCCCCTCCTAGCTCACAAGAGCTCATGACAGCTGCCTGTGTGCGCCTCTTCCCACTGTGGAAGTATTTACACCACAGAAATTGGTCAACACGGCAAATCAGGACCTGTTATTTTATTTTATTTATCTATTTTTTTTGAGATGGAGTCTCGCTCTGTCGCCAGGCTGGAGTGCAGTGGCATGATCTCTCGGCCCATTGCAACCTCCGACTCCCTTTTTCAAGCAATTCTCCTGCCTCAGCCTCCCGAGTAGCTGGGATTACAGACATGCACCACTGCGCCCAGCTAATTTTTGTATTTTTAGTAGAGATGGGGTTTCACCATGTTGTCCAGGATGGTCTCCATCTCCTGACCTCGTGATCTGCCAGCCTTGGCTTCCCAAAGTGCTGGGATTACAGGTGTGAGCCACCATGCCTGGCCAGGACCTGTTTCTTTTCTTTTTTTTTTTTTTTTTTGAGAGCCAGTTGTTAAAATTTACCAGCACAGCACTGGGTACATGCCTGGTAATTGACAGAGCAGCATCCATAACCAGTCTGTCTGGTGCCACACTGTTGTTTGCCTTCCCCCTTCTCAAAGTGTCCATGCCCTCTGGACAACATCCAAGACTGGTCAGCCTTCTGTTGCCTGAAGAGTGAGGGGGCCTGAAGAATAACCTGGAATTCTCATGTATTAATTGTTTTTGTTTTTGAGGTGGAGACAGAGTCTCACTCTCTTTCCCAGGCTGGAGTGCAGTGGCATGATCTCAGCTCACTGCAATCTCTGCCTCCTGTGTTCAAGCAATTCTCGTGCCTCAGCCTCCCGAGTGGCTGGGATTACAGGCCTGCACCACCAGGCCTGGCTAATTTTTGTATTTTTAGTAGGGACAGGGTTTTGCCATGTTGGCCAGGCTGGTCTCAAACTCCTGGGCTTAAGTGATCCTCCTACCTTGGCCTCCCAAAGTGCTGGGATTACAGGTGTGAGCCACTGCACTTGGCTCATGTATTAATTTATACTAAAAAGTATAGAAATGCCACGGAGATTTTAAAAGATAACTCATACAATCTGTGCTTAAGAGCGTGGCCTTTGTGCTAATGGTGGTGGGTTTCAAATTCTTGCTCTTGTTTTCAATGGCGACCCTTATATCATCAAAACTCCCTACCCACCTAATTAAACTATTGACTGTGAATGGACCAATGATGAGATTGAGTCTTCTCTGATTATTCCATATTCCTGAGGGGACATATAAGAAGCATGTAGTGTTAGATGCATGTGACTTTTATCTGAGCCTTGCTACTCACTGGATCTGTGACCTTAGTCAAGTTACTTCAACTCTCTGACTGTCTGAATTGGAAAATGATAACAGGGCCATTGAGGGGGATTAAAGGAGCCATTGCTCTGGAGCCTGACAGTGAGCAAACTCTCAACAGATTGTTAGCTTCTATTCTGGGTAATGCAGTTACTGTTAGTACACATGCAGCATGGAAAAGGAAATTGTAGCCAGAAGGTGGTTTATAGACTGGGCAACATAGTGAGACCCCATCTCTACAAAAAAATATTAAAAAAAATCTGGCCATGGTGGTGCACATGTGTAGTCCCAACTACTCGGGAGACTGAGGCAGGAGGATGGTTTGAACCTGGGAGTTCAAGGCTGCAGTGAGCTATGATTGCACCACTGCACTTCAGCCTGGGCAGCAGAGCAAGACCCTGTCTCAAAAAAAAAAAAAAAAAATAGGTGGTTTGTGTGCATTTACTGGCCAGGAGGGTGAAATTCTAATGAACTTCAGAAAGAGTTCTTGGAAGGCTAGAGAGGCTACTAGGATTGCTTTGCTACTGGATTCAGAAATGTTCCAGACAAGCAGTCAAAAATCCTCTCATTTCCAGTGTGGAAGTTTAAGGCACAGATGGTCTCAGATTAACTCTCTACCCCTGTAAGGGTCAGGATTACCAGTTCACCATGCAGCAGTTTTGGTATAGAAAACATGTGGACAGAATCATGCTCTCCTCCTAGATGAATGGACCGAAGCCTCAATAATTAGTCATTATTATTAAGATTATTATATGTGAGACCTTCCCCATCATAGGCCAGACACTAAATGTTCCATAACCAAAGATGTCCTTTTCCCATGGGCAATTTTGGAATTCCCCTTAACGAAATTCCCTATCTGTTCTTTTTTTTTTTTTTTAAATGCTATCCTGACTATCTTTCTGTGATATCTATATTTTTTCCCTTCAGAAATTACTAATATCATCTGTACCATGGTGTCAGTATCCCAATAACTTGACTGGAAGGAAGGACATTCCTCAAGGCAGAAATTAAGGTTTGCCTTGATGTACCAAATGTACCAACGTAGGGCTTTGATTCAGAAGAGTGTGCTGTGAGGAGGCAGGTGCCAGGCGGATTTTATCATGACCTGGGTGAAAGCCATCTGCCCTGCAGAGGGAGCTGTTTCAGAACTCCTAATAGGAAAGTCAAACGTCCAGCACAGCCAGTGCAAGAGTGGTCCCACCAGCACAGTCCTGGCAAAACTCTTGACTGTGTAGCCTTCAAATCTGATTCTCTGGATCTCTGGGTGGTCCCATGAACTATATAATAACATTTGATGAAACTTTTTTTCTGTTAGCTGGTGTAGATTCTGTGATGTGTAATTGAGAATCCTAACTGAACCCACAATTTTGCTCTTGATCTTTTTTTTTTTTTTTTTTTGAGACAGAGTCTTGCTCTATCGTCCAGGCCAGAGTGCAGTGGCCTGATCTCAGCTCACTGCAGCCTCCACCGCCCAGGTTCAATAGATTCTCCTGCCTCAGCTTCCTGAGTAGCTGCGAATACAGGTGTGTGCCACCATATCCAGCTAATTTTGTGTATTTTTAGTAGAGACTGGGTTTCACCATGTTGGCCGGGCTGGTCTCGAACTCCTGACCTCAAGCAATCCACCCATCTCGGCCTCCCAAGGTGCTGGGATTACAGGCGTGAGCCACCGCTCCCAGCCTGCTCTTGATATTTTTGACCAGGGTATTTGGAACTGACTAGCACCCCTCACCGTGAATTGGTGACCTTTCCTTCAGTTTTCATGTTCTTGAGGAGACATGGGAATATGGCTTTCTCCCCTACGCTCACATCTACCCTCACTAAGCAGCTACTGCATAGGCCATGGGTCGGCAAATTTTTCCTGTAAAGGACTAGGTAGTAAATATTTCAGATTCTGTAGATCATAACAGTCTCCATTGCAACCCCTCAAATATGACATTATAGCACAAAAGCAGCCATAGACAATATGTAAACAAATGGCAAGGCTGTTTCCAAAAAAACTTTATTTACAGAAACAGGTGGTAGGCTGGATTTGCCAACCCTTGACATAGGTAGCACTTTGGAGATTATAGTTGGTAAAATAGAACTTTTGAGAGTGGACACTGACTACAGGTCTAGCCTTGGCCTTAATACTGGCAGCCTTGTCACTTTGGACAAATACATTTACCTCTCTATACCTGTCTTTGCACGTAATACCCATAATGAAACCAATAATAGTTGTGTTTCCTCTTACCTAGAATTCTGGATAGACCAAACGAAGTAACAGATCTCAGAGTGCTTTGACTATATTAAAAGTGTTTAAAAATATGGGGGACATTGTTAGAATGATACTTTTATTCCCCAATAAACAGTGAACTCCTGGAGATGAGAACCTGTGTCTTTTAACTCTAATCCTTTTTTTTCTAGTAGTTTGCCTTTCATATAGTAGACATTGTATAAATGTTTGCTCAATTAAAAAAAATTACTTAGTTTTTGATTTAGAGTACTTTTTAAATTAGTGATAGATGTAAGCTAAGGTTTGGATGATCATGAATCCACCAAAATGAACAGTGAAGTATTAACCCTATAAACCTTTGAAGTTGTGATCACAAATTGCAGTGCATATAGGGGCCAAGCAGAAAATATAAACGAGGGTGGGGGCTTGGGGTAGGGTAGTAGGAGGTGGTGGGGATTGTGGTAACCTGAAGAGAGCACGTCCTGTTGAAAGGGGAAAATATCCCTTAGCTCCAACTGACTCCACATAGGAAGGTGGAACGCCATTGACAATTTTTCTAGTTTTTCAAGAGAAGCTGAAAATATGGAGTTTAATGTAAATTTCTCTGATTTTAAATATTGACAACTAATCCTCTGAATTAAAAACCACTAAATCTCATTCTCAGGCCATTTACAACTCTTCATGCAATTTCTGGGAACAGAAATGAAAGTTATCATTGAAATAATAGCAATGTAGAAAATGTTTAGATTTCATTGTCTTTTGATCCCCTGGCTATAATTAATAGTCTTTTGCACTCATTGCAAAATTTCAATCATTTCAATTTTCAATGATTGTTTGATCATGGTTTTATTCTTTTTATGACTTAGCTAATTGCCATCAGAATTAGAAGCTGATTTATTTCAACTTCCCAGATATTTGCATGTCTTCCTTTTTTGATTCATTCAGGTCTCAGCTCAGACATCCCTTTCTCAGACAAGCTTTCCCTAAACCATGTCTCTAAAATAGCCTTCCTCCAAAGGACATGAATAGATAATTCTCAAAAGGAAATAAACAAATGGCCAACAAACATACGGAAAAATGCTCAGCATCACTAATTATTAAGGGAATGCAACATAAAACCTCAATGAGATTCCACCTTATTCCTGCAAGTATGGCCATAATTAAAAAATAAAAAAAAATAGATGTTGGTGTGGATGCGGTAGAAAGGGAACACTTTAACACTGCTGGTGGGAATGTAAACTAGCACAACTTCTATGGAAAACAGTGTGGAGATTCCTTAAAGAACTAAAAATAGAACTACCATTTAATGAGGCAATCCCACTATTCGGTATCTACCCAGGGGAAAAGAAGTGATTATATGTAAAAGACACTTGCACATGCGTGTTTATAGCAGCACAATTTGCAGTTATAAAAATATGGAGCCAGTCTAAATGCCCATCAACCAAAGAGTGGATAAAGAAAATGTGGTATATATACACCACTGAATACTACTCAGCCATAAAAAGGAGTGAAATCATGGAATTTGCAGCTATCTGGATGAGTTGGAGACCATTATTCTAAGTGACGTAACTCAGGAATGGAAAACCAAATATTGTATGTTTTCACTTTTAAGTGGGAGCTAAGTTATGAGGACTCAAAGGCATAAGAATGATATAATGGACTTTGGGGACTCAGGGCAAAGGGTGGGGGGTGGTGAGGGATAAAAGACTACACATTGGGTACCATGTACTTTGCTCAGGTGATGGGTGCACTGAAATCTTGGAAATCACCATTAAATGACTTATCCGTTTTACCAAAAACCACCTGTTTCCCCAAAACCATTGAATTAAATTAAAATAAAATAAAATATTAAAACATGAATAAATAAAATAGCCTTCCTCTCTATTGCTCTTCTTTTTCTCTTCTTAGCACTTATTAGCATCAGGCATATTATATTTTCATTTGTGTAGGATCTGTCTTTCCCACTAGAATGACAACTCCTTGAGAGCAGAAATATTGTCTCTGTTCAGTCCTAAGCTTCCAGAACCTACTACAGTGTCTGGCAATGGTAGGCACCTAAAAATATGTTGAATGAATAAATGAGCGGTCCTCCCAATCACTGTTGATGGGATGCCAAGACTATTCATTCTCCAAGACTTTGGCAAAAAAACACAGATGTGAGAAAACTAGACTTCTATTAACAAATTTTAATGTCAATATAAACCTAAAACTTATTGAACAGTAGCTAGTTTTTTTTTTTTTTTTTGAAACGGAGTCTTGCTCTGTCACCCAGGCTGGAGTGCAGTGTGCAGTGGTGTGATCTCGGCTCACTGCAACCTCCACCTCCCGGGTTCAAGCAATTCTCCTGCCTCAGCCTCCTGAGTAGCTGGGACTACAGGCATCTGCCACCACACCTGGCTAATTTTTGTATTTTTAGTCCAGACAGGGTTTTACCATGTTAGCTAGGCTGGTCTCGAACTCCTGACCTCAAGTGATCTGCCCATCTTGGCCTCCCAAAGTGCAGGAGGGATTACAGGTGTGAGCCACTGCACCTGGCCTACCGGTAACTAGTTTTTGACATTAAGAAAAATCTACACATCTGTCTAAAGGCAGATTTTTACATTAGGTTGAAGACTCAAGTTTCCTCTATGGCCAGCCTCCCGATAATGGAATTATAGTGGAATTTTATGAGGACCACATAGAAATTAGCTTGAGGATTAAAGACTTTAATCTTCTCCAATAAATGTCAGGAAGAGATTTGAAAAATATTTTTATAGAATATAAAATTTTCCATTTTGAAATACTCTTGGAGGGGAAAAAAAGCTGAGTCATTAAAAGTTTTAAAAACTCAAGAAATTCAGGTTGAATAAGAAAAATATTAACTCCTAAAAAATGACTTCTACTTTCATCTACCATGATTTTTGTTTGTTTTCAAGGTGATATTAACCACAGAAAAACAATTTTAGAAGGACAAGAAATCCAAAATACCACTACCCTGGCACTCACTGTAACTAATTATTTCCCAAGCTTTTTCCAATCTCAGTCTCCATGCAAGTTTACTAACCTCTTAGACAGTCAAGCAACACTTCCTCTTCTGGGGATACTCAACAGATAAGTAACAGCTGCTCACTCTGTGGGATGCGGTGGGTTCAGTTTCATTCCTCTGAACCCATGACAGATCTTAGGGTACACATGTTACTTATACTGCACTTGTATTGCAATCACCTTTTAACCTCCAACATCTAAACTGTAACTCCTGAAAAGTAAGTCAATGCACATGAAAATGCCCACCCCTTGTGGACCAGACCCTGGAGATGAGTTCTGATAAACACAGTGTCTGCCCTGGTGAGGCTCAAGGTAGAGTGGGAAAGACCAGCAAGAGAACAGACAATTAGAGAACAGACAATTCAAATGAACAATTAGAGAAGTGCCATGTAATTTTTCAATAAATATAAGCTCGTATCATTATTATGTCTATTTTTGTCTCCTTGAAAAAGTTCAGTATATTGAGTATGTTAAATAAATACTTATTCACAATATAAAGAAATAATTTGTTCCTACTACGAAGGACAAGACTGGGTGCCCCTCTTTTGTGCACCTGTATCTTTCCCATCACAGCAATGTGTCCAGGCACTACGATTGTGCATTCGCTTCACTTCCTTGTCCCCTAGATGATGAACCTCGGGGAGGAACTGTGTCCTGGTCTGGCATCCTTGGTCTGGCATCTGGTCATCAATTCAGAAGTGTTACGTGTGTGTGTGTGTGTGTGTGTGTGTGTGTGTGTGTGTGTATTTTTGAGACAGGGTCTTGCTCTGTTACCCATGCTGAAGTATATTGGTACAATCATAGCTCACTGCAGCCTTGAACTCCTGGGATTAAGTGATCCTCCCAAGTAGCTGGGACTACAGGTGCACACTACCCTACCTGACTAAGTAAAAATAAATTATTTTTGTAGAGAAAGGACCTCACTGTGTTGTTCAGGCTGGTCTCAAACTCCTGGGCTCAAGCCGTTGATGTTCCTACTTTAGTCACCCAAAGTGCTGGGATTACAGGTGTGAGCTACTGTGCCTGTTTTTACATATTTGAATAAAGCTGTAGAAGATAAAATGTTCTTAGAATTCAAGTTGGAGAGAAGCCGGCTATTTCTGCCCTAAGACCAAAAAAAAAGAAAAACAATAAAGGTGACACCTCCAATCAAAAAACAACTGGATTTTCATCATACCCTTACTAGGGAAAATGCCCTGAAAAAGAATCTCTAATGAAGGACTGTAGACATCTTGAGAACTCTTTTCCTCATCCTGAACTCTGTTTTCTTATTTCACACTTTTGTCTCCACACTTCCAGACCTGACGTCTCTAACTGTAAAGTCTTGTGTTGCCTCACAAAGCCTCATGACAGAATTTTCTTTTAATTAGTGCATTCATAATAGCAACAATAATTCTAATCATTAATAAGCCGCTCACTCCGCTTAGGAACAAACACAAATGGCAAGAAGTCAATGTTAATTTTAAAACACATGTAAACAAGAATCCAGGAAGGCCAAACACATAACCTTTTGGCATTATTAATGGCAGAAAACATTTTCCACTGAGCTCGAGAAGTAAATGCTACAACAACTGCACTCCATATACCTCTACCTTCACTTTTCATAATAAAAATAAATTGATTATTATGTAGCAATTTAAAAAAAAACCTCTGTTTTCCCTTCCCCAAATACCCAAAGCTTCATGAGGGTAGGAATCATTTCTGTCCTACTCCCTGATGCTACAGTAATTCTGGCATATAGTAGATATTCAATCCATCTGTGTTGAATGAATGAATCAATCCAATCTCAAAGATGTCCTGACAGATCCTTTGTGGAAACATATATAACCCTAATGGCTCAGAACATCACTTCACAAAGGAAGCTGGGCACCACTACCATTTCTTTTTCTTTCTTTCTTTCTTTTTTTTTTCTCTTGAGATGGAGACGGAGTCTTGCTCTGCGGCCCCAGGCTGAAATGCAGTGGCACCATCTTGGCTCACTGCAACCTCCACCTCCTGGGTTCAAGCAATTCTCCTGCCTCAGCCTCCCAAGTAGCTGGAATTATAGGCAGGCACCACCATGCCCAGCTAATTTCTGTCTTTTTAGTAGAGATGGGGTTTCACCATGTTGGCCAGGCTGGTGTTGAACTCCTGACCTCAAGTGATCTGCCTGCCTTGTCCTCCCAGAATGCTGGGATACAAGCGTGAGCCACCGCACCTGGCCCCATTTCTCAGATATTGTACTGACCCAACATCTGCAAAAAAATTTCATAAAGTTCTGAATTTTCAATCAAGAATATCTAAATTTTATTTTCATTTTGGTGAAAAATGAATCCAATCCTCTCCTGGATCCTCAGGAGAAGAGACTCCTATCCAAACACTGCTGTATGAAATCACTGCCCGCATTCACGTTTATCCTTGCGTTGAGCTGGTGCTCTGTGATCAACGCAAAAGGACATTTAACTTTTTAATACCGTGTTTCTCACTTTGTGGGGGCTTGCACATTTTCCCAGTTCTTAAGTTTGGGAAATGGTGGTAGCTACAACTTCCCCACTCAGCACAGTGACACCCAAAGTCTGGGCAATGCCTGGGGCCACCATCTGTCTCCTGTGCTTCTGACTCTGCTGAACAGCTTCAGAACGTGGAGCTGGATCCGAATTGCAGCGCCGGCCCTCGTGACAGACCCGGGATGTCTACGATCATTTCCTCTGCTGCCTTTCATATCACTGAACTGAAACGATCAGGCCTGTCAAGAGTAAGGGCCCCAGATGAAAGGCCAGTGCATTAAGACAGAACATAATTGCCAGCTTCTGAGTTGCTGACATTAATCGTTTTACTGAAAGAAGACAGTAGAGTTCCTCTCTCTCTTCCTCTCTCTATTTCTCTCTCCTCTCTCTTTCTCTCTCTTATTGCCATCACACAATGGGGGTGGGGGGGACGGGCGTGTAGGGGGGAAAATCCCAACAAGATTTGCTAATTAAAAGTAATATGTTTTCCCGTGTTTTTGGCAATTTGATAACACAAAACACTTACTTCGGGGCCACAGGGGGAAACAAACGGAGACAGATAAAAAATGTTTTGTGTTCATCCAAGCACAACTATGTTAATGCGTATTATCCCATTAATGTGCATCAACATCGGGAATCGGCTCACCAATGCAAGCAAGAAGCATACACTTATCATCATTTGATAACATGTTTAATGACAGATTGACGGGAGATTTGCAAATGTGAACTGGCATCAGTGTTGCTAACTTCAGCTTCTGCCGCCGCCTGTGCTATGCCAGCATATTTATGTGCATAATTTGATTTCTCAGCCACACTGTTAGTACATTTTTAATATTAACTATGCACGAACAGACAGCCGAACTTAAGTTGCACTGATGGTTGGAGTTCATTAGATTGAAAAAGATGGGCGTGCGTAACTAAGATGGAGGTGGCGGTCCAGCATTCAAGAAGCAACACTTAACAGACACACTCCATTCTCAACAAGCCCAAGCTACACATTTCACGTTGTTCGAGGCGGTAAAACTCTTATGAATGAAGGAAGAAGTGGAAGAAGAGGAAGAAAGCCCCTGCCGGGCATTTGGTCAGGAACTTGACAAAGAGCCCTGGGAATTACTGTACCCGTTTTTACTTTCCTTCTGCCACCTTCTTTCACCCCAAACTCCTCGAAGCTCTACATTCAAGCCTCTTTTGCATATTGCAGTCAATTGGATGGAGCAGGCGAGCACAGGTTTCTATTCATTCTTCATAAACCCAGGTCACAGACCAAGCATGCAGGAAAATCTTCCCTGGATAAAAATAGGGTTAATCTGTTTATCTTGGAGAGTCAGACCAATCTGTAATTGAATTTTGCCCTCATCACAAAACATTTGTGTGACTGGGTAGGATGACCTCACTTTGCTATACCTCCATTCCTTCAACTGTAAAATAGGAATAAGAAAATCACCTACTTCCCAGAGCACGGAAGCTTGAATAAGCTAAAACAAAGAAGTACTAAACCCAGTGTTTGGCACATAAGTAAGCTTTCAGTATATGTTTATTCTTCTTACTATTTTATTTTTTCCTTTTTTTGGTAATTAAAAAATTATAACTCTGCTTCCCAGCAAGCCCTAAAGTCCAGCAGAGCTGGGGTTTAAATCCAAGCTCCACCAGCTGAAAGCTGTGTGGTGATGGTCAAGGCGCTTAATTTCTGTTGACTTTAGGTACTTCATCTGTAAAATAGGGGTGATGACAGGGACCTATCTGGTGTGATGGCAGGAAAGATAAAATGGCATGATGTATGTAAAGAGTTTTAAAGAGTGCCTCGGACATAGTAAGCATTCAATAACTATTAGCCCTGATTTTTTGCAAGAATCAGGACAGGGCATGAGTTCTGGCAGTGATAATGAAGTTTG
Organism: Homo sapiens; assembly: GCF_000001405.40. Taxonomy (NCBI): domain Eukaryota; kingdom Metazoa; phylum Chordata; class Mammalia; order Primates; family Hominidae; genus Homo; species Homo sapiens. Next base: position 53,283,253 of record NC_000020.11, on the reverse strand, counting down.
GCAAATTTGCATTTGAATTCTTGTTCTGCTGCTTCCTAACTGTATGATAATGGGCCACTTACTTAACCTCTTTAAGGCTTAGCTTTTTCTTCTACAACATGGGGACCCATGATCCTACTTTGGAGGATGTGGGAAGGGAATAATGAGATAACACTGGTAGGGCGCTAACTCCATGTTAATTATGATTGTCATAAAAGTTTGTGTCTTCAGGGCTTTGATGGTGCCTGGTACATAATAAATGCTGAATAAATATTTGTTGATTGAACCAGCAAGTCAGATCATTATTAGGCATGTCCCAGGTTCCGTCTTGGGAAAGATTTGTCCAGGGAACAGGATAAGAGGACTGCATGTGTCTGTTCTGATCTGGGAGTGGCACAGTGAGAATGTGTGAAGGAGTCTCGGCAAGGCCTCCTCACGACAGCAAGCAATTGACACAAATCACATGCTTGGCACAGGAATGCCACCTCCTTATACAAAGAGCACTGCATGACGCCACTGGCTAGCCATTTTGTATTTATTCCTTCGAATCACCAGTCTGAAAGGTGCCACTAGAAAAATGCACAGACTTCAGTGTCAGAACCGGCCTTAAATCCTAACTCTGTCACCTGTCAGTCATGGTCACCCTCAGTATGTTACAGACCTTTCTGAGGTCCATTCGGTGAATATGAGTTAAGGATTTTAAATTTTACAGCCCCTGTTCTGCCCTTGAGGGGCTTATACCTGAACCTCGGTTTCCCCATCCATAAAATGGGGGTAATATCGCTACTTAAAGCGTGTGGTAAGGGTTAAATCAGAAAAAAGATAGAAAAGCTCTTGACACAATGCACACAGCAGGTACTCAGTCAATGCCAGTTCCCTCTCCCTCACTGATCTGCATATGAAAGGCTAAGCCAGAGGCCAGGCTTCTCTGATCACTTTCAAAAACGTGATTCCTGTATATTTGCACTATTTTGAATTGCTATGTAAATTAATTATTTTATCAGTGACAATCAGGTGAAAGTCACCTCTTCTTTTGATCCTTTTTTTGGACAAAAGAACTTGATATATTTTAACATCAGCTCTGAGAGGTAGGTGGAGAGTCTACCTTTATTCACAAAGGTAACTTTGGGGAAACTGAGACATTTTTCTATGCAAGTGAGAGCTAGATAAGAACCTGGCCACAGGGAAATGCATCTGTAGAGGACACAGTAGGGATGCCTTTGGATTTTGGATACTATATCCTTGTGCCCACGTCTGGCTTCTGAGTGTTTTACTTTCTAATAGGTGCACCTGCAGCTCTCTTCTGGGGATGTCCCCTGGTCGCTGAAGCTGCTCTGCCAGTACACACAGAGTGCCCTTGCTGCCTTCAAGTGTGTACCCCTGGCTATCCTTGAGCCAATGACTGATTGATGTGGAGTCAATCAGTCATTAGCCAAGGTAGCCCAGCCCTTGCTTACAGACAGGTGGAACTCTGAGGCTCCCCATGGGATCAGGCAGAGGCTAGGACTTGCTTGGCTTTCTTTCCTTCCCTGTCCTGCTTCCCTACTCCCTTACTGGTTCTTCCTGGGAGCACATTCCTGAGAAACCAGGGATTCAATAGGTTTAATAGCCCAGGAACCCTGATGTCAGGATCTGCTTCTAGGACCCCCACATGAGACACTATCCTACTAGACCATAGGCTGGTAAACTCTAGCCTGTGGGCCAAATCTGGCCCTCCACTTATTTTCATAAATAAAGTTTTATTGGAACTCAGCCATGCTTAATCATTTACATATCACCTATGGCTGCTTTTGTGATACAATGGCAGAGTTGAAGATTTGTAGTAGACACTGTATGGCCTACAAAGCCTCAGACATTTACTATCTGGCCTTTTGACAAAAGAGGTTTACAAACCTCTGTACTAGATAATGCTTTAAATACACCAAGCTTTTTTTGACCTCAAGAACTTTGCATGTGCTGTTCCTTCTGCCTGGAGCCCTCATTCCTTGACTCAGTGGATGCCTGGCTGCTTCTCATTATTTAGGTCTCAGCAAAAATGTCAGTTTCTCAGAAAAGACTTTTCTGACCACCCATCTAAAGTAGCCTTCCATTTCCCCATTTTTTGGCTCAGCATTCTTACAACTAACAGCACTGAAATTATTCTCTTTGATTAAATTGTTTGCTCCATGACAGCAACAGCACATAAACTGCATGAGGCCAGAGGCTTTCTTTGCCTTGCTCATTTCTGGATACAAGCCTGGCATAGTATCTAAATACAGTTTACTTTTAGGAATACTTGCTGACTGGCCGGGCGTGGTGGCTCACGCCTGTAATCCCAGCATTTTGGGAGGATGAGTGGGCGGATCACGAGGTCAGGAGATCGAGACCACCCTGGTTAACACAGGGAAACCCTATCTTTACTAAAAATAGAAAAAATTAGCTGGGTGTCGTGGCACGCACCTCTAGTCCCAGCTACTCGGGAGGTTGAGACAGGAGAATCGCTTGAACCCAGGAGGCGGAGGTTGCAGTGAGCTGAGATCGCGCCACTGTACTCCAGCCTGGACGACAGCTAGACTCCATCTCAAAAAAACACACAAAAAAACCCCCACACACAACAACAACAACAACAAAAAACAAACAAACAAACAAACAAAAAAACGACTTGTTGACTAAATGATGAGAAGAATCAAAAATACCTAAGTGGTTGCATTCATACCAAGTGGATCTTCTAAACCAGGACTTAGCATAGCTAGCTCCATGTAGGTGGTGCCAGGTCACCGATCCCCCTCTCATTTTGGATCCTTACTCCTAATGCGATGGAAACATATTTCATACTCAAGTCACATTAGTGCCCAGACATTTACTACCTCTGGTATTAATTCGCTTATTTTGCCACATTATATCATGGGAGGTCATTTTATGCTATAAGCTGTAATTTTTGAGTTTTATGATATAAATTGACCTGCTTTGGGAACCAGGCTATAAAAAGGATTGCTAGTGAGGAGGTTAAGAAAAAGTTATGTGGCTGTGTTAATGGTTTTAATTGATGCATTAAGTTTATAAAGTTTTTGTTGAGGCCTTCATATGCCTGAGGTCTTCAAGGAGCTTCCTGATAAGGAAGGAAAGGTACATTCACACACACATACATGTCCTGTGTGCAATCCATTCCTGCACACAGGAGCAGAGTCATCTTCAAAAATGCCCATTGGGTCATGCTCTTTCCCTATTTAAAGCCTCTCAATGTATTCAGAGTAATCTGAACTCATTACCATGGCCTGCACAATTGAGTCTGTCACCTTGAGCTCACAGCATTCCAGGGACACTGGCTTTCTTTCAGTTCCCCACAACGAGCCCAGCTCCTACTTGCCTCAGGGCCTTTGCACTTGCTGTCCCTGTCTGAAATCCTCTTCTTCTCATTTGTGGCTCCCTCAGTCCTTCATATGTCAGAAGCTGCCCCTCAAAGGAGTCTTCCTGGAGCACCCAAAGTAAATTAGCACCACTGCTACCCAGGCCCATAATGCTCTATTCCCTTCATGGGATCCTAAATGGCCTTATTTATTTTTTAATTTTGTGTCTATTTCCTCCAACAAGAATGTAAGATCTGTGAAGGAAAGGAAAATGTCATTTTGTTCATTGCTGTATCCTTGGAGCCTAGCACAGTGCTAGATATGAGAAAATACATAAACAACATGATATCAGATAGTTGTAATTTTATGAAGGAAATAAAACAGGGTGACGAGAAAGAGAAAAGTGAGAGAGCTGGATTGCTTTGGATCAGGGGTTGGTGAACTGTTGCCTGTGGGCCTGATCCAGCCTGCCATCTGCTTTCATAGGGCCAACAAAGTAAGAGTGGTTTTTATATTTTTAAATGGTTGAAAAATCAGAAGAAGAATGATGTTTTATGACACACAAAAATGACAAGAAATTCAAATTTCAGTGTCCTTTGATAAAGTTGTATTGGATCATAGTCACTACCATTCACTGGGATATAATCTATCATTGCTTTTATGCTACAATGGAAGATTGAATACAGCTGTCCCTTGAACAACATGAGCTTGAACTGTGTGGGTCACTTATACATGGATTTTCTTCTGCCTCTGCCACCTCTGAGAAAGCAAACCAACCCCTCTACTTACTTCTTCTTCTCAGCCTACTCAATGTGAAGATGACAAGGATGAAGACCTTTATGATGATCCACTTTCACTTAATAGTTAATATGTTTTCTCTTTCTTATGATTTTCCTGACAACGTTTTCTTTTCTCTAGCTTACTTTATTGTAAGAACATTGTATATAACGCATATAACATACAAAATATGTGTTAATTGACTTTATGTTGTTGGTAAGGCTTCTGGTCAACAATAGGCTATAAGTAGTTAAGTTTTCGTGAAGTCAAAAGTTATCTGTGGATTTTTGATTATGCAGAGGATCAGCACTGCTAACTCCCTCATTGTTCAAGGGTCAGCTGTAGTTGTGACACAGACTGCATGGCCCACAATGCTGAAAATATTTACTATCTGGCCCTTTGTAGAAAGAAATTGATGACTCCTCATTTAGATAGGCTTTCATGGAAGAGTCCTTAAAGAAGATGATGTTTAAGTTGATATTTAAATGATAAGAAAGATTAATATAAGGATCAGAAGGACTATAATTAAAGTACCTGAGGCAGAATAAGCACTCATGAAATGTTAGCTTATTGTGATATGAGCTGTGAATTATGACTTAGTCTGGCAGTTCTGTACTGGGAAAACTAGGGCAGGGTAGTAAGTAGAGATGAGAACTGAAGGTGGCTACTGCATCAGTCCTGGCAACAGGAGGGTATACTTCAAATGACATGGCTCCTGTGGAAATGGAAGTGGAAGTGACATGGGAAAAGCATCATGGAGGTCCAATCAAGAAAAATGAGTGATGGAATAAATGAAGAGTGTGAGGAGAGATGACAGAAAAAAGGAAGGTCCATAGATCCTAAGCTGAGACATCATGAGAAGAGTAAGGCTACCTACCATTTCAGAATTAGAAAATATCAGGAAAGTGAGAAGATGGCTTAGGCCAAGCTCCAGCTATCTATCTGGGCTTTTACAGACAACAACTGATTTAGATAGGCTTTCAGGCAAGAATCCTTAAAGAAGACGATGTTTAAGCTGAGATTTAAATGATGAGAAAGGCTAATATAAGGATCAGAAGGACTATAACTGAAGCACCTGAGACAGAATAAACACTCGTGAAATGGTAGCTCTTCTCATTGTGATATGAGCTTTGAATTATGACTTAATCTGGAAGTTCTGTGCTGGCCAAACTGGGACAGGGTAGTAAGTAGAGATGAGAAGACCTGAAGGTGGCTACTGCATCAGTCCTGGCAGGAGGAGCGTGTTAGTTGGATTTGAGGTCATTCTTCCCCAAGCAACAATGACATCAAAACTCCTCTGGGTGGACCAATCTCAGCCCAAGTTGTGCAGTGCTGAGTCTGCTCACTGCTTCCACAGGAGAGACTTGAACCCAGGCCAAAGACAGCATCCAATTCTCCAAGTTGCAGGCATTGCTTTAAGGGTATGTGCTTTCCTTATTCCCGGCTGATTAAACCAAATGTCCATATTTTCTTGGTACCCTTGGGAAACAGGCCCTCTATCTACTGGTGCATCTAAACTGATAGGATATAACCCTGGAGCTGGTCCACGTTTGCCATTTGCCTGAGAATGAGATAACACATAGAACACCTGAGCTGAAAGGTGGAGAAAAACAAAGTTTTGATGGCATACATCCTCTGAACCAAGGATTGCTCTGTGCATGAGTCCAACTCTGTCCTTGGATGAGCTGTTATATTCCTTGTTTTTTTTTTTCCTGTTTTTTAGTTTTTTGGTTTTTTTTGCAAAGTGAAAGCAAGTTTAGTAGAGAAGCAAAGAAACAATAGGATGGCAACTTCATAGACAGAGAAGCCACATTTCTTGTTTTACTTAACTAATTTTGATTTGCTTTGCAGTGAATTATAAATAAAAGATTTTGATAAACACAATATAGAGCTAATATGCTGAACAGTTTTAACCATTGCTTCCAAAATACTTTTAGGGCCAATTAATTCAGAATTAAGGAAGGTATTAAGCTAAGTCAAGAGGAAGACCTCTTCCCTTGATAGCCGGTCATGTGCATCAGGTGAGAAATTCCTCTTAATACAGTACAAGCAACTGAGCTGAGGTTGTCCACCTCTTTAAGCGATCTCAGCAGACTCAAGCAAACTTCCTGGCTACCCACTCCTTTTCTAGATTTTGGGCCTCTCCTTGTTTTGCTTCTCTATTTCAGCTCCTGCTCTCTGTTTAGCCCCTGTAATAGGTCATCCTGATGGACCCCTATGTTGGTTTGACTTGATTTTGTGCAGTAAGCTAAGATCTCACAAAGGACAGAGTGTCAGACAGGCTCAAAGACAGGAGGAAAGCTGCTAAAAGCAAACTATCTGGAGCACTTACAACATGCCCAGGTACTTAAAGCAATGGTTCTCAACGTGTGGTCCCCGGACCAACACCACTGGTATCATCTGGGTGCATGTTAGACATTCACAAGGTCTCGCTCCACCCTGGACCTATTGAATCTGACACTCGGGGGATGGCGCTCAGTCCTTTGGGTTTTAACAAACCTCCAGGTGATTGCGATGTACAGTCAAGTTTGAGAACCACTGGCTTAAAGCATTATCTGGATTATTTCTTTTAACTCTATCAATTCCTGAGGTAGAACAGTTATCCCCATCTTATAGATGAAGAAACTGTGTCTGAGAGCGTTAGAATATTTGCTCTTACTGCTAGTGAGTAGTGGACCCTAAATTTAAACCCAGGCAGCCTGACCATGGTTCCTCACTGGTGATCCCCAGCAAAAGTGGATAGATCTACGCAGCTGCTCATATTCCCAGGCAGAGTGCCCTGTTCGCATTCCAGTTGGCTGGCAGACACACTGTCCTGGAATGACATATCCTATTGCCCTTTTGCCAATTCCTAGTAAGCCTTAGGACAAATTTCTCAACTTCCAAGGAAGTTTCCACCTAAAAAAGTGGTTCCAAAAAAAAAAAAATGAAAGAGCCAGGCCTGGAGCTAAATCCTAGCTTTAGACCCTGGAGCTGGTCCAGGTAATCTTGCCATTTGCCTAATAATGAGACAACACAAGGAACATCTGAGTGGAAAGGTGGAGAAAGACAAAGTTCTGACGGCATACATCCTTTGAACCAAGGATTCCTCCATGTATGAATCCAACTCTCTCCTTGGATGAGACGGTACATTTCTTATTTTACTTAACTTTGATGTGGTTTGCAGTGAATTGTAAATAAGAGATTTTGATATACACAATGTAGACTTAACATGCTGAATAGTTTTGTTTGTTTGTTTGTTTTTGAGACGGAGTTTCGCTCTTGTTACCCAGGCTGCAGTGCAATGGTGCGATCTCGGCTCACCACAACCTCCACCTTCCTGGTTCAAGCGATTCTCCTGCCTCAGTCTCCTGAGTAGCTGGGATTACAGGCATGTGCCACCGCGCCTGGCTAATTTTGTACTTTTAGTAGAGATGGGGTTTCTCCATGTTGGTCAGACTGGTCTTGAACTCCCGACCTCAGGTGATCCATCCACCTTGGCCTCCCAAAGTGTTGGAATTATAGGCATGAGCCAGCGTGCCCAGGCAACATGCTGAACAGTTTTAACCATTGCTTCCAAAAGTGTCAACAAACTTCCACCCAGGTCCACTAAGATTTTAGGAATTATACAGCACACAGGGGGCTTGTGCTCATCGACCTGCAGCCTTTCCTCTTGAAAATCACCTCCACCCCTCTAAATCCCCCTTTTTGTGCACCACATTTCTCCCCAGTTAATGCCATGTATTATAGATGCCACTTTGCTTGCTGAGATTTATAGGCAATTGCTAATGTTCAGTTATAATTCCCCATTTCAGATATGAAAATGGCTCATAATATTCAACATAAGGGCCTCTCTACAATGATATATAATTTAAAAATTAACATGAGGACAGAGGAGACTCTGCATTTTTGAACTAGGAACTTAGAGACTCAGAGGTTAAAGCTTGATAAGGTGAGCTCAAGGAATGAGATGAGTTATTAAGTAAATGCCTCTGTTACATGTTTCCATGACTTCAGAGCTTTTCCAGTGTCTTCCAGTTCATTTGCACTTGTCAAAGTGCAAGTCCACAAATGGTATATTTATATTAGGGTACTTTTCCCCATTGTTAGGAATGTTCTCTAATTCCTGACACAGACCTTTCCAATATAAGCCGTGCTGTCAGAAAGCAAGCAAAGCAGAAAAAAATCAATGCTTGAGCTCCAGCAGGGGCCAAACAGACCAGAACAGTAAGACCAGAAAGAGCTTATGGGAATTCTTGGGGGAAAAACCTGTGGCTGTATTTACGGCATCACTGGCTCTGGGTGGAAATGGACCTAGAAGACTTAGAGCAGAGTATTCAACGTGCCCATCTCTAGGGAAGGGGATGAAGACAGTGATAGAGATAGAGAAAAAGAGGCAAAGAAAGAGAAAGAGCGCTAGCGAGGAAAGAAAGATAGGCAACGTTTCTGCATGTGTGATGCGTGAGATAATTTGGTGCTCGTATTGGTTCAACCATCCATGGCCTTGTGACCAAGTCCTTGTTCCCTGGTCTGCTCCAGCATCAAGTGGTTACAATTATGGATTGCAAATTTACTGTCATCTGACATCTACCTCAGCTTTCCCCTGATCAACAGAACTCTCTGCTGGCAAACTGAATAATTACGCAAGATTTCAGTAATCACGGGGATGCCAAAAAGGTCACTAAATCATTTTGAAAAAGACAATGTGTTCCTCCATGTCATCTCTCCAGTAAATCTCCCACAGAAGTCAGGACCACCTACTGTGGAGGCTCAGAGGAGGGGGAGCTGAATTACAGAATGGAGAGAGGAATGAAATTAGGATTGAAAAATAGGAAGGCGAGCACAGCGGGACCTTTTGTCTTTACACTTCGTAATTCCTGGAGAAGCATGAAAATAGTGGTTTACTTATTTATTTATTTATTTTGAGATGGAGTCTCACTCTGTCGCCAGGCTGGAGCGCAGCGGTGCGATCTCGGCTCACTGCAATCTCCGTCTCCCAGGTTCAAGCAATTCTCCTGCCTCAGCTTCCTGAGTAGCTGGGATTACAGGCACGCGCCACCACACCCAGCTAATTTTTGTATTTTTAGTAGATATGAGGTCTCACCAGGATGGTCTCGATCTCCTGACCTTGTGATCTGCCCGCCTTGGCCTCCCAAAGTGCTGGGATTACAGGTGTGAGTCACTGCGCCCGGCCACTAGTGGTTTACTTTTATCGGAATGGATTCCTCTTGGGAGATGGGCAGTGATGGCATGCTTGGGAGTCCGGGTGGTCCAGGGGAGATTCGGGAAGAGCAGTTGTATCCTGGTCCTCTAGAGCCCACCCGGGGCCCCACAGTGTGAAGCTGAGAGAATCTGTCCCCATGAACACGTGTCTTCTTTGTTTGAAGTCCCTTCTCCTCCCTAGGCAAGCATGGTCCTGAGTGATCCAGAATTCTCCCAGGTCCACGCATTCCTTCCCATGCTCACCGCCTCCACTGAGGCTCCAACCAAGGCCATCTGTTCCCGGTCTCCCAACAGCCTCCTTGCTGGCCTCCTGCTTTCACTCCTGACCCTCTTGTCCATTCCACACCCAGTAGCCAGAGTGATCTTATAAAAATGAAAGTAGGCTGGGCGTGGTGGCTCATTCCTATAATCCCAGCACTTTGGAAAGTCGAGGCAGGTGGATCACCTGAGGTCAGGAGTTCGAGAGCAGTCTGGCCAACATAGTGAAACCCTGTCTCCACTAAAAATACAAAATTAGGCGTGGTGGCACATGCCTGTAATTCCAGTTACTCAGGACGCTGAGGAAGGAGAATCACTTGAACCCAGGAGGCAGAGGTTGCAGTGAGCCAAGATCGCACCATTGCACTCCAGCCTGGGCAAGAAGAGTGAAACTCTGTCTCAAAAAAAGAAAGAAAGTAGATCATGCCACATGCCTGTTCAAGCTGCTTCAATGGCTTCCCAGTGGACCTAATGAAAAACAAATCCAACGTTCTTTTATTTCCCCACCCAGTTAGCATGGTCTCAAAAAATCCAAAGTTCTTAGCATGTTCTACAAAGCCCTGAGTTGTCCCATGCTCATCCCACAATTCATGTCCCACCACTGGATGCCCAGCTCATGACACTCCGGCCTTTCTCTGAATCAAACATATCAGCCCTGCTCCTGTTTCTCCTGCCTGGGATGTTCTGCTTCCAAGTTGCCACCTGACTCCTGTCTTTTCAATCTCCTCTATTTAAAGTAGGTGGCCCTGTCACAGTCCCTTGCACTACCCCATATTTCCTTGGTAGCCCCTCATTCTCAGAAATTGTTACTTGTATTTATGTGCTCAATAGATGTTAGCCCTTAGTATTATTATCAACCTGCATCCCCTGTTTCTCTTATTCTCTGGTGTAGCCCAGGACTCAGAACAGAGCCTGGCACACAGCAGTTCCTCCAAGAGTTAGCATAGACATTTCTTACCCCGGATGCAAAAACATCCTGGCAGAGTGTTAGTCCTTTCTACGGCAGGCTGGAAATGTTTCTTACATCCTCATACTTTTCTGGCTGTGCAAAGCCTGAAGATTCATTTGCACTGGGCTTATGTTAGATGCTGGGGACTGTGCTTCATGTTTTGTGTACTTTTATGTATTTGATCTGCCTCACGGATGAGAGACGTAAGTATTATTGTCATTTCGCCCATGGAGGATGGCAAAAGGAAGTATAATCACTTCCTAGATAGCATGTCCCTTTCTCCCTCTCTCTTCTCCTTCCTTCCTTTCTTTTATCCAATATTTGTAGAGTCTGGGTTCCAAGGAATACAACAGGAAGCCAGTCAGATGCAGCCCCTGCCCTCCCAGAGCTTCGAGGTGGAGGTCGACCTTGTATCCAATGTCAACTGGAGGCTCAGTTAAAAGTCCACTTCTCGGCCGGGCACGGTGGTTCATGCCTGTAATCCTAGCACTTTGGGAGGCCGAGGCAGGCAGACCATGAAGTTAAGAGTTCAAGACCAGCCTGACTAACATGGTGAAACCTTATCTCTACTAAATATACAAAAATTAGCCAGGTGTGGTGGTGCGTGCCTGTAATCCCAGCTACTCAGGAGGCTGAGGCTGGAGAATCACTTGAACCAGGGAGGTGGAGGTTGCAGTGAGCCGAAATCGCACCACTGCACTCCAGCCTGGCAACAGAACAAGACTCCGTCACAAAAGAAAAAAAAAAATCCACTTCTCCACTCACTTCCCAGCCCTGCAAAGTCAATTTCATGGAAACAATGCTCCAATATTTCATAAAGCAAACCTCAATTGAATATCTGTCTCTATGATCATGAAAAGACAAAGTTTGTGCACCCAAGGAGAAGCCATTGTATGCACATCCACCAGCCACCTGTCTGTTCAGCCTCCTCTCTCTGCCATCTGCTCCCCAAAACTGGGCTCTCTGCAATCATACTGAGCCACATGCATTTTCTGGAATGAACCACACCCTCTCTCTCACTTAACAAGACTTTACTCTTGCCGTTCCTTCTTTCCGCAACACTTTTCCCTCTTATCCTCCTGGCTAGCTCCTTTTCATCATTCCAGACTCAGCCTAGATCTCTTCTCATTTGGTTAGACTTCTTTGACCCCTCTTTTCCCCACTGGCTCCGTACTTCTGTTGTGCTAGCAGTGAGCAGAGGCTAAGCCTTGTGGTTTCATTGTCTTCCTTCCGTGATGGGCAGCAAACATTCTGAGGGCAGGGCTGTTAGACCTGTTCACCCAGCCTCAATTCTAGGGTTGCTATATTTTTAGTTATTATGAGAGTAGCTCTTGTTAATTGAGGACTTCTACATGCCTGATACAGGGCTAGGCAGGTGCTTAGTGGGTTGTATTTAATTTTATCTTTATAACAGTATGTGAGCTCAGCCTTCCTGCTGCTGCTTGATAGAAGAGACAGCTGAGGTTCAAAGAAGTGGTGTGCCCTGACCCAGGTCCCTCAGCCAGGAAGAGGAGACTCAGCCCTGGGGCCAGACTCCAGCAGTTCCAGGACCCATGTTTTTCCCCACTGAGCTTAGCTGCTGTGTGTTTCCTTCCCAGGATTTCTAGGCATCAGGAACTCCCTGTCTCTGGAGACTGCATATCAGGTCTCCCCTCCACTTACAAAGGCCTCGCATTTTTCATCCTCTTACATTTCTGGGATGACGAGGTCCTGATTGGCTCTTTGACTTCTAAGCCAGAGCAGAGACTATCCAATAGGGACCCATCTCCATGGTTACTGCTCACGGGAGAGTCTAACGAAAGGCAGCAGGGGGAAAAGTGGAGGCTCCCGCAAGTACAGGGGGAGGGGGTAGTCATAAACAATTAAAGATGACAAAATCCTCTGGTGAACAAAAATAGAATTATTTGACTGTGAAATTGAGAAATGTAGCATTGAAAAAAGCATAACCTGAAACATCATTTTTTTCTCCATCGATAAAAAAATACCAAATAAAACCATGCACATTTGAAGTGTCAATTTGCTGAAGGCCCCGAGTGGTAGAAAGTTGCCTTGGTCAAAGATTTGAATTTTGGGGATATTTAAGCTTTTTTTGGGGGGGAGGCATTCATCTGTTCTCTCCTTCAAATAAGTGGTGTGTCTGCATCTCACGCTTTGGTGTACTATGCACAGAATTTCACCAAGGGATGCCAGAATGGTGCTGACATTTCAGCCAAAATTCTGGCTTCAGGCAAATCCTCCATTTGTCTATACTTAGTTTCCAGCTCTGCTACTTACTAGCTGTGTGGCCTTCCTGGTCACTTCACATCTCTGAGGGCTGGTTTCTTCACCTGTAAGCTGGGTGCAATCATAGTTCCTTCTTTATAGAATTTAGGAGAAAGATTAATTGAGATAGGATACATAAGGCCCTAGCAGCTTAGGACTCAGAGCTTGGCCTCTCGGGAGGCAAGAATTGGGCTCTGGTACTCCACATCAGTCATTAACTCAAGGCCAGCCAGGGGCACACACTTGCAGGCACCAAGGGTGCTCTGTGTGTGCAAGCAGAGTAGCTCCAGGAGCTGGGAGATGTCCTCAGAAGAGAGCTGCAGGTGCATCTATTAGAGGGGAAAACAAGCAGAAGCCAGGCGTGGGCACAAGGATATAGTATCAGACATCCAAAGGCATCTCCACCATACCCTCTACAGGTGCATTTCACTGTGGCCAGATTCCTACATAGCTCCCAGTTTTATTGAAAAATGCCTCAGTTTCCTTAAAGGTAAATTAGTAAATGAAGGTAGGGTCTCCATCTACCTCTCAGAGATGATATGAGAATATATTATTTTATATAAAAAAGGATTAAAAGAAGAGGTTCCTTTCACTTCATTGTTACTGATAATATAATTAACCTATGTGGTGATTCAAACAGTGCTCAATAAATGTTAGTTCTCTGTCAATATCAATGACATGGATTTTCTTTTCTTTTTTTTTTATTATACTCTAAGTTTTAGGGTACATGTGCACATTGTGCAGGTTAGTTACATATGTATACATGTGCCATGCTGGTGCGCTGCACCCACTAATGTGAATGACATGGATTTTCTGATAATGGATACTGTGCCAGGCACTATTCTAAGTTCGTGTGTTACAACATTTAATCATCATCATATCCTCATCATCAGATCCTCCTCCTCCTCCTCCTCATCACCATCATCATATCATCATGATCATCACCATCATCATCACCTTCACTGAAAACTCCAGTGCAGTTCTTCCCAAGCATGGCTTAGCCACCAGCAAATGTGTGTTGTAACAAGTGGGGCTTTGCAAGGTGGCTGGTGGCAGGAAGAGAATGGGAAAGTTGGAGGGAAGGAAATGCAGGTTAATGCTACATTCCATTTTTTCTCAGGGGCATATCTTTTATCCCCCCCACCCCTCCCAGAGCTGTTTTAGATAAATCTATACTTACAATCTCTCTTTATTCCTTCAAATAAAGTGGCACCATCCATTTCACATCTTAATTTAAACCTTAAGTAAATGAAAGGGTTTTTTTCTTTAGGTGATCAAGGGCTGGGGGTTGAGGGGAAGGGAATTGAGAGGAAAGCAGTTCCTCAGGCACTTGCTGTGTGTGCCAGATCCACGCTGACAGCCCCCACCCCTGTACACTATCTGACCTAATCCTCAACACAAACTAAGGCAGGAGACACAGGGCTGCAAGGACATTTGCTGCCATCCAATTTGTGCCAGCCTGTTTTATCAATCTGAACCTATATTATTTTTAAGACCTCACGGCATCACTGAAAGATGAGTATTATTAGTTGGAATTTTAGGGATGAGAAAACTGACCCTCAGGGAGAATAACTGACTTGCCCCGGCTCCAACAGTAAGTGGCCCTGCTGGGATTTGAACCCAGGTGTGTCTGACCCCGAAGCCTGATCTGACCTCTGACAGTCGTGATAAAAATAATAGCTCAGATTTGCTGAGCATCTACTATAATTTAAGTGGTCTTTGTGGACAATGCGGGGTTAAAACCCTCACCATGCCCGCATGAAGAAGGGACTATTGTTTGTTCCAGTCAACAGGTGAGCAACCTGGGGTTTAGTGAAATTAAATAGCCATCCAAGATAGATCTTTAAAATAACCATTTGTTGTTCATTCACTGTTGTATTTATATTGAAGATTCAGCCTTTGAGGCCTACCCCAAGACTCATCACAGGGAAAGAAGAGGCAAAGCAAAGATGTAAGCCCAGGAAGACCGGTTCCATCCCGCACATGCTTAGCCATGAAGTGGTACTCAAATCCTGTTTCTAAGTCACGCTATTGCCTGGATAGGCAGTCTTTTCTCCTCCTGCTTGAGTTCTTCCCTCGTATTGCCATGTCTCGGCCCATGTCTGGATTTGTAGATCATCTCAGGTCCCAAAGTTCAGAACATCTGAATTTCTCAATTATAAAGATCCACCCCCATTCCTTAACTGGTTCCCATCTTTGTTGACGTGACACGAAATGAATAGTAAGTAATTCAATCTGGGTCTGTATCTTGCACAGACTTCTTTCGTATTCTGCATGGAACATATAATGTATTGGAGGCTCCAACATGAAAATGGAAAGGTGTTTTTGACCAAAGGACTTCCAAATGCCCGCCCCCTGCCTTTTTTATGCAATTCTTCAGTTCAAATCCACACTTTCTCCTGAAAAGGCCTCCGAAGGCTCCATCCCCAAGTGGCCAAGCCAACTGTCTTGCACACTGAGCCTCCATGGACTTTGCTTTGCTTCACCAGAAGCAGTCCAGGGAGGGTTAAGATTCAGGCTCTGGCTGGGAGTTTGAGTCCCACCTTCAACCCTCACCAGCTGCGTGACCTTGGACAATCACTAGAGCTCTTAAAGCTCCAGTTTTCTCAGCAGCACAGGGGGAATAGTAATAAAAATGCCTATTTCAAAAAGTTGTTGCAAGAATTAAGAAGGATACTATGTGAAAAGTGCTTAGCCTGAGCTTAGCACATATGAGGCATTCAATAAATATCAGTGTTGATGAGTATGTCAGCACTCATTTATTCCTTACTTAGTTTTATTTACTAAGTGTTTGTGAGTATCTGACCTTGACTATTGCAAGCATCTAACATACACTGGGCATCTTTAAACAGCCCTTTGTAGGTACAGACAGGAGATGACATGACTACAAGAGTCATGTGGTAGAAGGAACACATGTGTAGGGTCTAAGCTGGACTCCCATCCTCTCTCTGCCATGGACTGTGAGGCTGGGGCTTTTCATTATTTCTAAACCTCAGTTTCCTCTTATGTAAAATGGATGACTATCACCCATCCTGTGAGATTATTGAAAGATGTGAATAGCGCCTTTAAGGATCTGAGCAGAGGCTGAAATATTAAAAGAAACTGCATCACTGGAGCCTCATTTCACACCATCCATGCTCTCCCTCTCCCTTCCAGCTCACTGGCTTTCTTTCAGGCACCTGTACTTGTCCCTCTTCTTACTGGCCTCGGAGCCTCGACACAGGCTCTGCCCTCTGCCTGGGACACACTTCTTGTTTCAGCTCACTAGCTCTGAGGCCCTTCCCATCTTCCCTCGAGGCCTATCCTGATCTCAGTGCCAGGTCAAAGCCTCTGCTAGAGACTTTGTGGCCCTTGCAGCCTCATAGGTGGTACTCTTACCAGTGCCATCAACGTTTACCTGTGTGGTTATATAATCATCATCGAGGCCGGGCGTGGTGGCTCATGCCTGTAATCCCAGCACTTTGGGAGGCTGAGGCAGGCAAATCACCTGAGGTCAGGAGTTTGAGATCAGCCTGGCCAACATGGTGAAACACCTTCTGTACTAAAAACACAGAAAATTAGCTGAGTGTGGTGGTGGCACCCGTAAGCTCAGCTACTCAGGAGGCTGAGGCAGGAGAATTGCTTGAACCTGGGAGGTGAAGGTTGCAGTGAGCCGAGATCGTGCCACTGCACTCCAGCCTGGGCGACAGAGTGAGGCTCTGTCTCAAAAAAAAAAAAAAAAAAAAAAATCGTCGATCGGCCTCCCCTGCTAGACTAGAACTCCACAAGGCCAAGAAGTGTCATTGTTTGTGATTCCACTCTATCCCTAGAGCCTTGTATAGGGCTTGAGAAAAAAGTACATGCACACAAACACTTTTGGATTTATGAATGGTACAATTAACTATTATTATAGCCATATTATTCTTACTAGTAGTAATGATGGGACAATGAGAATTATTTTTGGTATTTCAGAAAAGCCAAGGTAATTGGTTTCTTATTTGAGGTGAGAGTGCATAGGTGCATTGAGAGAACAAACTGTGTTGCCTTGAACTAGAAAGTGATCCTGTAAGTGGAGGGGTGAAAACACAGGGTCCCAGCATTGTCAGAGCTTGAGTGTACAGTTATTTACATCAAATTAGTGAAAATGAGAAAACAATTTCTGGGCGTGGGGCAGAGCGCACAAATACTTTCAAATTGAACTTCTTGTTTCCAGAAGATTTCCTTTTCTGTTATTCTCTTTTCATGCTGTGTCCCTCCTTCATCTCTTTACTCCTGACTTCTTTCTGCTCATCTTGCAAGTCTCAGAATCAGGGCTCCCATGCAGGAAGCCCTCCCGGACTCCCTGTGTCCTCCTCCACCCTTGACCCCCATCCTGGGTTAGATGTTTCTCCTTGGTGTTCCCATAAAACCCAGTAAGTCTAACTGCTTAGATCTTATCCCACTGCAGGTAAAACTGGTGTAGCTGTGGCCAAATATCTTCTCTCGAGCCTCAGTCTAAAGTGGAGGGTCAGACTCTAAGCTTCCCAAGGGCAGGGAGCTCGCATTTTTCCCTGTTATAGTCTCAGTGCCTGTAAGAAGTGTCTGACAAATATTGGTAAAAAGAAAGAAAGGAAGGGAGGGAAGAAAGGAGGGAGGGAGGAAGGGAAAACACATTTCTCTTAGATTGCTCTCCTGTGCCTCTCTGTCCTGAAGAAGTCTTTCTGGTTTTCTGCTGATGTGTGGGACGTTCAGAATAAGAAAGAACAAAATTAATTACTTATGTGTATGTAAAACCTTCCTCTCTTTCAAAAGTGACAGCAAGAAGTGAACAAAAACCATCAGGTGGGCCAGACCTGTGCCTCCCCCACAAGGAGCAGCCACAGAATGTCACCAATTCTCAGGAATAATCAAGGCGTGGGGCTTCCCCGAGGGAGCCAGGGAGGTGGCATTTACTGCCATGGCGCCTATTATACAACAGAAAAAGAAAGTCCAGCTCACAGAGGTGGGCTGAGCCCCCACGGAGTAGGTTAACGCTGCGGGGCTGGAGGAGGAAAGGAACAGCAGCTTCCCCTGTGTTGTACCTGGCAGCCAACAGACCTCCTTTCCTCCTTCCTAACTCCCCTGCCATGACTTGCTGCACCCCCGCCTGTCCCTGCTCACCTCCAACACCCCTCAAGCCCCTCTCATGCTTGCCAGTCTCTCCCTTGTCTCAGCCTTTGTGGCATTGAAAATGTGAAATTTAATATCTTCCAAGCCCCTAAGTGTGCCTTCCCTGTCTGGCTCAATGCATTTGAATGTTCTCACTGGGACTTTCTTTGGATATGTGAAGTCTGTTAGCTGTGTGGCCTGGGTTAAGTCACTGAACCTCTCTAGGCCTTATTTCTCCCCATCTCCCCCACCCCTGAACGCTCTGGCCCTGGCCTCTTTCTCCAGTTTTCATTTTCAATGCTCTCCCCTTGCTCCCCAAGCTGTGTCTCCCCTGACCCCTGATACATCTGCAGATCCACCAGGCCTGCTCTCGCCTTCGGTGGTTGGAGAGGAGCAGGTACTCTTACCGCTTCTTGGGAACCCCTCTCTCTAAGTGCTTCTTGGCCAGTCTCAACATAAACAGATTCTCCCAATGAGGCCTTCCCTGAGTTCCCTGTAAGCCATGGTGCCCTCTGGCCCTCCACACTGCCATGTTTTCCATCATTATGACACTTTTTGTCTGCCCATCTCCCCGACAGGAATGCCAGCTCCTAACCTACAGTGAGTGCTCCCTGTAGAGCACCCAAGTGAATAAAGGGAGAAGCTTTGTATAAAAAAAAATCAACACATATCACGGAACAATAACTTGAAGGCTAACTTCATTGAACAAAATCTCCTTTAGCCATAGTCCTTTGCCTACTGGCATGAGTGCTGGGTAGCTTGCAAGGCATATATTTGGGCTAAAGTTGGTAAAACTTTAGAAACACTTGCTCATTCTGGACATGCATCCTTTGGGCTGGGGTTTTTGGCATGCAAGAAGATTCCACTCTTTGTAGCAAATACAGCCAAGGCACCGTTACACATGTTCAAAAATCAGCTCATTAAGACTATGCACTTTAAAGGCACCATGCTTTGAAACATTGTCTGTTCCATATACACTGAAGTTGAGCACTGGTGGCCCAGTGCTGCATAAGGAGCCCTGTGCTCCGATTCTGATGGCTGTGGCCTGGAGTCTCAGCTCCACTACCTGCTGCTGTGCTACTGCTGTGTGCTACCTGCTACCTGCTACCTGCACCTGAAATGCCTTCTCTGAGCCTCAGCTTTCTCATCTCTAAAATGGGTATAATATTTACTTTGCAGTTTTGCTGTGAGGATTAGACAAATACCATAGGTCAAATGTGCTGGGTAACAGCATTGACTAAATATCATAAGGATTAGAGAACACACACCATTTCACAAGCTACGCCGGCAATGAGTATTGTGCCCTAAGGCAAGAGATGTATTAGTAGAAGGCAAAAGATTTATATAATCTGAAAAGAAACCAGAGTATATCAGGAGAGCAGGGTGACCAACTCACCTGATTTGCCTGGAATTTTCTGGTTTCATTCTCAAATCCCTGGAACCCTCCCGGCCAAGTCCTGGGTAAGCCTGAATGATTGGCTCCTCTCCAGGGGAGCCCAGCCTGCCCCCCTCCTCTGAGTAGCAGCAACTTGACGAAATCTTCAGAAGGAAGTAGAGTTTCCTAAAGAACAGCCCAGTATCCTCTGAGATGCGGAAAAGTGGCACTCATGTTAGAGCCCAAAGTCCTAGTGGGGTTACCTTGGGGGAGAGGGGACAAAGAACACCAAGAAACAGGTCCAGTGTCTCCACCTGACCTGCCACCAGATCCAGGGGCTGCGAGCTAGCAGCCTAGGAGTTGAATCTGGTCTTTGATGTACTTTGTTTGGCTTGAAGGGTGTTCAGAACAAAAACAACAAAACAAACTAAAATCCGAACTAAACCAAAACACATCCATTAAAAAAACCCTCTCGACTAGAACACTGGGGGGCTCACACAAAGATCTGGATTTGCTACTTCTTTGGAAACCACTGGTGCTGTGCAAGGCCTCCTAGCTTCCCCGTGACGGCCCCTGCCGGCATGCTAGGGTCCTCCAGGTCATCGCCCAGTCCTGGGAGCACTTGTATTCATGATCCCTAATATTTGGGCACCGGTATCCACTGTTTGCGGCAAATAAACATTCAACAGTCTTGATGCTGAATGCCAGTTTTAAGGGAAATTTGTGTCTATTTATGGCTATGAAGTGTGGGTAGGTGGGAGATGATTCCATGGCAAGTCAAACTTGCCCAAAATTCATTGAGAAAAAGCTCTTGATCACTGTGTCTCAACAATCAGAAGATGTCTGAGTTGGAAAGTATCTATTTTTTGTTTATTTTCACAGATAAAAGGTATAGAATCAGCCCCATGGAAACACCTTCTGTGCCTAAATATATTCTATGCCTCCTGCAAGTAAACAAACAAATACACAAAGAAATACATGAACATGTTCCAGGAAACAAACCAAACCAAACAACTATTTTCCATATACTCCTGGCTTTTCCATATACTCCAGAACTTCGCTTCTGGAGGCGAATGTTCTCAACAGCTACACAGAGTTCTGTAAAACCCCCAAATGTGACATGTGCCTGTGGCTGCTGGCATCCCTTTTCCCTCCAGGTGAGCCTCACATAACATTTACACTGGATTTAATAGGAGAACATGACATGCACTGATTTTCAACAAACTCCTGATCTTCCAGGAGAGAGTCGGGAAAGAAAGCAACTGCACACCAAATCCTCTTCTATTTTGGTACCCTTAACACATTCCCTTATCTCCCTGGCCTACATATCATTTAACAAACTGCCCTGCGATTCTTGCAGGGCGTGGCATCATGACTGATTTAAAATCCCCACATTGCTAAAACTGCATTGTTCTTCATCAAGTTGAGTCATTTTTATGTGAAGTGTCAAGCTCCCTAACAAATAACTCCTGCCAGACAAATCAAGTTCCTCGTCTTAGAGCCGAGGCTAAATAGTTTATAGCTTTAATCTGCTCACCGAGGTGTGCAGTCTATGACAGTAATTATAAATGCAAGGAGAAATTATAGCTGAATGCTTTAACTGCATTAGGAGCCGTTTGATGAACAATCATGAACGCCTGCTCATTTCCAACAATAGAGGGCAAGTTAGTGTCAATGCGTTAGAGAGATTTCAGTTCTGCATGGCTTTTTCTCCCATTTACCACAGAATGTCACTTGTCTCCTAGAAAGTAGAAAAAAGCATCGTGGAAAGCTTTAAACTTGATAGTTAAAAAAAGAAAAAGACAAAGAGAAATGCAAGGAAAACTGTTTATCATTATGACTTCTTTTTCTCTGTTTGTTTGGTGGCAGGTTGGGTTTCAAATTAGCTCAGTGAAGGTAACTGCTTGTTTACTTACTAGAGGCCTTAAAAAAAAATCCTCCCCAAGCCATTTTTGAGAGATCTTTATGGAGAAAGACTTCTCTGCAGGAAGGGCAAGTTCAAGATCCTCACAGAGAGCAGCTCTGGCGATTGTGTGTCCCTCCACCAGATTCTGCTCCTCATCTGCAACCACCTAAGCTAATGACACAATTTAGCTCTTTATTTTCCCCTCCTCACTTTCGCAAAGACGTTTTTAATTTAGCTGAAGAATTACACAAATGTATTTTAAAGACATAAATCCATATAAAAAATATGAGCTAATTAAAACATTGCACTCCCTGTCGCTCATGGATTTTCAATTTAGCGAAAGAAAAAAGAATTGCATCTGGTTAAATGAAAAGATGATACTGATGGCAGATTGGAGTAAATGAAAAATAATGTTACTCTATATTAAAGCACCAAATTATACACGTCAGGATTGAGCATTCAAAAGTCCAAATGAGGGGGGAAGGTGCAATGGAGGCTGAGATGCATAGACGGAGTTAAGCCAAATATTTTTGAAAAAATGCAAACGTTAAGGAAGACGATGCATTTGTTTCTTGCTGCTTGAGAGATGCTAGATTATTGTACTTGACCCTGTTTCCTCAGTTCTCATTTCCTTTCCCTAAAATGAATTCCTGAGGGTCAGAATGAGGATGTTCTTTTTTAATATTAGGTGTATGTATTTTCACTGGAATTTGGGTCATTTCTTGGTTAGACACCATATGGCAAATGTATAATTGCCTGATTGAACAAGAGCATTAAAAGAAAGAGAACAAGGATGTTCTGCTTCACCCTGCGGGTCAGTCCTGGGCCCCTGAGTTGCAATGTTTGATAGCTGGAGCCTCCAAAAGGCCCAGGAAAGTGTCCTTTCTCCTCTCAGCTCTTAGGCCACATTTTACAGCTTTCTCTCTGGGCTGTTGGAGGTACATCCAGCCATGAGTATTACCTAGAAACCATCAGGCAAGGAGGAGGAAACCAAGGAGCAGGAGAAAGTTGATGAGCATTGGACAGTCCTGGGTTCAAAACCTACCTCCAGGTTTAGTTTTGTCTTCTTGGACAAATCATGAAACTCTTTGAGCTTTGGTTTACCTCTCTGCAAAATGAGGATAATATGAATAATTATGCCTGAGTTATAAAAAGAGGCCAGTCAACGGTAGTTTCACTGTCATTGTTATCTGAATCAAACAGCAGGTTGAGATTTTGCAGGATTATTAATTAGTTAGAGTTGAGAAGTTGCTGCAAGTTCTCTACGCTGCAGGTGAGGCTACAGAGCATGGTAAGAGCATGTAGTGGCTCTACCTAGAACTTGCTTTTCTTATAGACCTACTATGTGCTTTCTTGTAAACCTACTATGGGCTTTAAGGAAAATAATTACATACATTTAATTCTTACAACCTTCCTATGAGAAGGATATTATGTCCACATCATAAAGATGTAGAAGTGGGGCATGTCTTCATGAAAGCAAGTGAGTTGGGGGTTAAATCCAGCATTCTTTTCCAAACACTGCCTCTGAGACCACTGTTCCCCATCCCGGCTTCCCCCAGAACCAGGCAGAGCCACCTCCTGTGTGCTCCTTTCAGCATTTCCCCTAGAGTTTTTCATCTATTTGTCTGCCACTAGCCTCAAAGGCAGACTCTTGTCCTGGTTATGGCTTACTCCCTGGGAATTAGCACAGTGCTTGCTGTGGAACGATGGCTTTCTAGATATGTCATAATGAATGAGTGAGGCTCAGAGATTGTAGGACCTTGGGGAATTCAGGCAGAATCTCTCTGCCTCCATTTTCTCTTCCCTATCATGAGTGAATCAACCTCTACTTCATACGGCTGTTTGTGAGAATAAAGCAAAATAATGTTTGCAAAGTGCTTGCTGCAAGGCTTGGCATGTTTTGCTATTACAATTGGTAGAACTTCTGGTTCAGTATTATACTTCCATTGTTAAATATAATAGAGTCCGGTGCATAGTAAAAGCACAACCAGTATTTGTTGAAGGATGAAAGGAATGCAGGGAGGGAAGAAAAGAAGGAAGGAAAGAAGAAAAAAGGAAGGAAGGAAAGAAGGGAAAGAGGAAGGAATGAAGGAACAAAGGAGGGAAAAGAGGATGAAAGGAAGGAATATTTATTTAATGGAGGAAGGAATGGTTGATGCCATTAATAGATATTAATTTGTCCAGGCTATTTTGTTCTTCCCAACTGCCATATAATCTATGCTGTTAGGGTTGCCAGATTTAGCTAATAAAAATACAGGATGCCCAGTTAAATTTGAATTCTGATAAACAATGAATATTTTAAAAATATAAGTATGGCCCATGCAATATTTGGGCCAGGCTTATACTCAAAACCTATTTGTCATTTATCTGAAATACACATTTAACTGGACATCCGTTCTGTATTTTGTCTGGCAACCTTACGCGCTTTTCACCCTGAATATGTGTTTTTATCAAGCCGCCCACAACAGAAGTGGCAGCTCATTGGACTAGAATACTTTCCTGCCAACAATTTCAAGGCTAGGTGTGCTGTTAAGCTTGTACACTATATTACACAGTGATGACTATAATTTCAAGCCTTTATGCATTTCAGACTCATTGATTTGCTCTCTGTTTAATTTCTATTAGTCAAGAGCATGTGGCTTTTAAAGCTATATACAAATACATATTGAAATTGTTTTAGATTACTTATGACCTAAAATAGAGATGCACACTTAATATTTTCTAATGAAATTTTTAACGAAAAGTTGCATTTAATATTTGGCAGAGCATTTTGCAGGATTTAAGATATATCTGGTAAAGGAAAGAAAATTCAGATCAAAAGTTGTGTCTTTCAAAAAACATTGATAGGTTAAAGCTCTCATAGTTTCCAAGAAATCTTGATCATACTTTCTAAAATATCATGTCACTTTGCACAATTTGTGCTACTATGCATTACAACTAAGATTAGAGTTCCAGACAACAGTGATGTCATTTCATGACCATTTAGAAACCTTACATGCATCATTCTAAGCAATGGGCAAGGTATTGCATAAATATTGTTCTAAAAGAGGACCCCGGGGGTGGAGGCATTTTTTTCTAAGGTGACCAAAGCACCAAGAATCGACCTTTGTACAGATGGGGGAAACATTCAGGCAGATAGGAGTATTTTTACGATGAACACAAACACAGCCAGTACCTGCACCATCTTTTCTGTTTACAAAACATACATACACGCCCATGGCTTTGAGTGAGTCCCAAACACTCAAACCTGTTTTTCTGCAATCCTCTCAGAACCACAGCCTAATGGTGCTTGTAAGGATGGAGCTTTGGTTTTGTATAATGAAAACACCAATACGGTGCTTTCGAGGTCCAAATTAGATATACTCATCCTGTACAAATGCAGAGAAGTGCCAAAATGGCTATCTTATCTATGTATTTAATGGATTTGGAAGTACCTTTTGTATATGTTTTTCCAAATTATTGGTTCACCTTTGAATCCCTAGAACAGGTATCATACACTCCAGATTCTGACTGACGATGGATCAAGCTTTCTTTTCCTTACCTCTCCCTATCTACATATCAGAGTGTTTTGGCAATTATATTAATTTTCTAAAAAAGATTACAAACCTAACAGGTGGAAAAGTGGTCTTTGTTATAGTACAAATAAATATTACCTATTTGTCCTCTTCACCATGGTTTCAACCCACCACTATTGGATTTGAAATATCTTTCTTCTCTCTAAGTATTCTCTGTATGCCCCCCCTCTTTTTTTTTAAGAACCAGGAAAACATAATGGCAAGTTATTTAAGATTTAAAATGTTATGCAGCAAATAAATAGGACGCTGTTGAACCCCAAGCTCAGGTGTGAATTCAATGGATGCATTTTGGCTTTTCTTTCAATTCCGTGAGCTGAACAAATCATGCTTGGAAAGAATGAGAAGAATCTGCCAATAACACATTCAATCATCATGATAAAAACATGCAAACCAAAAAGATAGTCTTCATTTGGGTCTAGATAGCAATTAGAGTTATAGGAGGACTCCTCTCCATCAGAAGCGTAGATCGCCTCACTCAGGGGAAAGTCCCAGGTCAGATATTTTAACTTTTTATTTCATCTTGGCCATCTTCACACCCAGTAAACCCCTCTGTCTGATGTGAGGCAAGCCCAAAGCCATGCCATGTAAATACCGCTCTCTACCTGGAACTCTCCTAGTGTCCTACCTTTCTAGCTTGTTCTGAAAGTCTTCTATTTGTAAACCAATGCTCTGACAATAGGGTGTGGTGAGCGATTATATGTTATTAGTTTTTCATATTCGATCGTGAATTAAGAGCTAATTAACTAGGAGCAAATCCGTAACTTAACATGACGTCAACTGGATTGGTCAGCACAGAAGGTTTAGTTCAGGTTGGGTTCCCATCTTGGGGAATGGCCGAAGGTGGAGGACCACCTGAACACATAGGAGGGCCCTTAGTGTATGCGGGCATCATGCTGGAAGGGAGAGAAAAAGAAGTAGAGAAAACACAAATGGGCAAATGAAAGAGATTGGTTAAGACCCAGCCTTGCTTATCCTCAACATTTGAAAATGGCTGGTGAAACTAATCTGCCAAAGCATTTGACCTTGGTCTCTGCCCTGTTTCCTAAAAATGACACAAATGGTCTGGGCATGGTTGACTATATAAGGCATGGAACTTCTATGACACATGATGCACATTATCTTCAAGCTATGGGACTCCATGCACATTAACATAAGTGTACAGAAAGCCATTTGTTTCTTTATGTGAAATGAAACCTCAAGGGCACACATTGCCTCTATCTTTGTTAAAGGTGGGCTCTAATACTGGTCTATCCACAAGAAAACCAAAAGATGAAAGAAGAAAATAAGCTTCTTTTCATCTCAATGTTCTGCAAAGAAGAATATTTTTCTACCAACCTGTTAAGGGCACATGCTCATTCATAGGACACTTAATGTAGAAAATAACCAAAGGGAAGAGGTGGAAGGTGGCAATTACTAAAAGTAAGCTGCAAAAAAGCATTCATTACAAGTAACAATCATAAAGACAACTTTAAGCTATTCATGAGCTGATTAAGGAATCTCTATATAGTAACTACTTCTAGCACTCTCCAATCTTTCTTCCATTGCTCAACTTTTTGTCACTTTATAAGTCATTGGCATTGCTATGGAAAGGTGGGGTGGTGAAATGGAATGGTGACAGAAGTTAGTATCTAATAATTAAAATGAAAGATAGCCTTGGCTGGACACTGGAGCTTGCCTTGGGTAATTCAGGATTATGGATGATGAAGGCCTAAAAAAAGCAGTAGTAATCTGTGAACTTTATCTCTCTAAACCCGTTTTATTCTAGTTCCCAGCTCTAAACTAGAGGACTTAAGAGAATGATTAGGACTTAGTTTTCATGTTCTGGTCTTTCATTAAAATAAATCCTACTCCAGCAAGCTACTATCCTGCTTGGCATTGGGAGATGCTAGCTGCCTCTAAGCAGACCCATCTCCCTGTAAGAAAGCTCCTCACCAGGCTAATCGCAATGCCTCAGAGCAAACCCATACCTGCAGAGCTATTCTTCATCCACGTCTGTTACAAACTGTGAATGGTGTTCGGGTGACTTGCTGTGCGTTTTGCTTAGGTGGAGTTTTACCGCATGTTTGCTCACAAATGTCCGACAGCACAACTTACACTTGAATTTAGAGTCTGTGTCCTCTTCGGCAGCTATTGTTTCTGGAGACCTCTGAGCCGACGATACCCGGGAGATCTCTTGCTCCACCTTGCTTTGCTGGTCCACTGACAAGCGGGTCATGTCCTTCATTTGGAAACCCAGGTGAGATTCTAAGTGACTGATGTAGGTAGAAGGGGTTCTGAACTGGGAGGCACAGTCACTGCAATAAAAGATGGGGTGGCCTTTGTCCATGTTTTTCAGAAATTTTGTCCCGCCCGTTTTCCTAAGCTGGTACTTGACGTTGGCCAGCCAGTGACTGATAGTGGTCATTGAGAGTCCCGTAAACTTAGAGATTTGCATACGCTCTTGTGGGCCCAGATCAGACAGCAGGTATTTGCCCTCTGATGTCTGGAAGAGGCTCGAGGCAAACTGGGCTTGTAGAATCAGAAGATGCTGAGGATTCCAGTTGGACTGCCGGCCTTTTCTTTTATGCAAAGTTGAGACTTCACTGGAGACATCCTCAAAGCGCCTGACATCCATTTCCAGCTTCATGGGGGGGACCCTGGAGGAGGAGGCTGGCTTTGGGGTGGTGGCTTTGGGGAGGACTTTGACCATGTCGGCGATGTCAGACAGAGCGTGCTTCTGAGGTGGGGACATACAAGATTGTGCTTGCGAGGACTCGGCTTTCTTGCTTTTGGACTTGGTCAGGTCAATGGGCTGATCGCTGTTCTCAAACAGGTAGCGCCTGGACACGCTGGCTGACCTTGTGGAGGCAGGACTCAAGACCGGCTTGTCCATGACATTGAGATTCGACTTGTGGAACATGGAAATTGTGCTTGAACTTGGGCTGGAGCAGGAAGGTGAGCGCAAGGGCTCCGTGGCTTTGCCCAAGTGATTGTTCAGGACGGACTGCAGGGCGCTGAGTGGGTTGATGCATGGCAGGGCCGGGGCGTGGTTGGCGAGGGCGCACCCATTGCTCAGAGCAGATGTGGGCTCCAGGGGCTGGGGTTTCTCCTTCTCGCTGCCCTCTTTCATCAGCTTCTCCTCCTCCTTCAGGGGACCCAGCTCGGTCTTTTTGGCTTCTGGAGGTGTTTCACTTTTGCGGAAAGAATCGCCCTCACTGTGGCTGAAAGATGAGGCCTCTTCGTGGGGACTTTCTTTCCCACACTCCTTCACCGCTTCATCTTTGTCTTCTGACTCTTTCTTGACTTGAGTGTAAGGGGCCAGGTGTGTGGGCATAGAAACCAGTGGCATCACTTTCCACTTTGGTGCAATGGGCCTCAGCTTGTTGGTGAGATTAGGCCGGATCTGCAGTACCTGGGATCCCATAGGCAAAGGCGGCTTGGTGCCCTCAGACAGCTGGTAGGCTGCGTGGATGCTGGGGTAGGCACTCCAGCTGGGGGCCCCGTTTTGGGCTTTGTTGATGGCTGTGGTGACAGTATTTTCCAAAGATTTCAAAATGTCCCCTCCACCCTTTGAGCCATCTTCCAAGTCTTCCTCCCTTAGGTATTGATATTTGATTGTAGGGTCTAAAGGTTTTTGTAGAGGATCTTCATAGTCCTCGCTTTTCACGACTTTCTCATCCTTGCTGGTTTCCTCTGGCCTTTCTTTTTTACTCTCTTTCTTTAACTCAGTTGTAGAGGCTGTACAATCTGATGCTGAGTTACTGGATGGCTTGGGAGCCAGAGAATCACTGTTTGGGGCCTCAGACAACGACTGCAT
Organism: Homo sapiens; assembly: GCF_000001405.40. Lineage (NCBI taxonomy): Eukaryota > Metazoa > Chordata > Mammalia > Primates > Hominidae > Homo > Homo sapiens. The sequence goes on along the minus strand of NC_000020.11, from coordinate 53,254,742 downwards.
TTTCTCCACTGCTAACGGGTCTAATACCAGCTGCTTCCCTTTCTTGGAGGCAGAGCTGGTGACCTTGAGAAAGTGACCTGTGACCATCATGTGGGTGGTGAGCTGCTGCAAGGTGTCATGGGAGCTCCCACACTCCATGCACTTTAAGATCTGGGACTTGCAGGCCTCAAACTGCCAGGTGTAGCTGGCTCCATTTTGGTAGCCATAGCGGTTGTTGGAGGACAACTGCAAGTTGGCGTTCTTCTGAGAAGAAAAAGAATCTGCAAAAGATCCTGTGGTTGAATCGGGGGAACACGGCCGATTGACATCAAAAACGCGTTTCTTAGCCGGGGTGACCATTTTCGAGGAAATGGTTGGGACTGGCTCCTTCAAAGGCACTTTTTGGTAATGTTTTGTTTTAATCATGTGGACGCTCAAATCTTGGAGGGAATCAAAGGAGTCGCCACAAAACATACATTTCAGAACCTTTTGAGCATCCTCTTTGTCCATATCCTGGAAAGCCCTTTTCCTGGGCTTTGAATAGCTCGTGGGTCTGAGCTTGTCCTTTTTGCGGTTGTCATCTTGATAGTGGCCCGTTTCATTCATGTGCACAGTCAGCTCGACTAGGGTGTCATAGGCCGCGCTGCACTGTCGGCATCGGAATCTGCTGGCCCCTGTGAACACAGTCCCGCACATCTTGCTGCTCTGTCGGTACAACTGCACCGAGCTGAACAGGCTGGGTTTCGAGACGGACCGAGAAGGCAAGTTCTGCTGCAGGCTTTTGGACAGAGCGTCTTGGTGCCAATCAAAATCACTCTTGTTGCTGCCGTTTCGGGTGTCACAGTTCCTCCTCTCACTATTGGACAGCTTGAAGCCAAGGCCCAGGCCTGACCAGTAGGAATCCGACAGGATGTTGGCGTAGACAGCGGTCATTTTATCCATGCAATTGTGTGCTTCGTTTGGAAGCCTGACGTGAGTGTGTGCTTTCTTGTCTGAGGCATCTCTGCCGCAGACACTCTTGATGTCCGACACCTGATCACTGGCGTCACTCAGCAGAGACTCGTTCTCGGCATCCTGATTGGACAAATGACTTCCTGGAGAGTTCTGGTAGCTGAAGCAGCCTTTTTGCTCTGGGCCCGTTTCTAGCTCCTCGTCCGTCCCTGTGTCATTGCCACCCTGCAGTTGAGCTACTGAACCGCTGTCCTCCTCCTCCTCCTCTTCTTTTATTTCCTCCTCTTCTTTCAGCTGTTCCTCCTGGGCGTAGCCTGCAAGAGAAGAAGAAGAGATGAAACGACAGTAACAGGCTCCATATTCCATTCCAATTTCCTCACATAGACTAAGTGCTTCCCATGCCGAACTGAACGGTGATTTAATCTACATTTTTATGCACTGTGAGCAGTGGACACAGGAAAAGCCAAATGGTGTCTTTCGTGCCATCTAGTGTTTTTTTTTTTTTTTTTTTCAATTGGCAGGAGTCATAATTCTTTATAAATGCCTAGGATCCCAAGTTAATAATTTTCAGGTTTAAGGAATATCTTTCTAATATTCCTGTGATGGGATAGTTGCTAAATTCATGTGTATGACTTTTAGGAAATCTGGATTGAAATTCATATCCCATTAAAGTCACGTGTCTACAGGGAAGAATGTTGGCTCATAGGGAGACTAAGACTTGACTCTTGGCATCTAGATGGTAAAGTTTACCAAGACACTTGGATATATTGGCATATAACCATATAAATAAATCATTTTTGAGTGCTCAGAAGTAATTTGGATACACAGCCATTATATTTTTTGATAGCCCCTGTCTTTTTGCTATAACATTTTTATTTGTAGGGAATCACACAGCAGGAAGAGAGATGATGGGGTATGCAAATAAAATCTTCTGTTGATAGTTGAAAAATTATATAAGCTCAGCAAATATAATGACTTGAAAATAATCGCAAATGGTGCTAGAATGGGAGATTTGGCGACTATCTTATTATTCTAAAACAGGTTTGTGAAGACCTTTCCAGACAAGGTTGAAAATGCCCTCTCGATCTTGTGCCTGTAATTTCAAATGCACTGTGATTTGTGGGTACCCGTCATGAGATGCCAATTATATATTTGATTTGTAGATGCAAAATGCTATTGGGGATGCATGCTTTCCCTTCTCTGAAAGGATTTAGGACCAGTAATTACATAGGGAAAATGAAGACATGAGTGAGCCAGTGCAAAGGGAATTAATGGGCAAATATCCATCAATGGAGATGGGGAATGTGACATTATGCCTATGGGCTCATTTTCTTCACCTGGCCTTTTCAGAACCATGCAGATAACATGCAACCAAAGAAGTCCCAAAGAAAAGGAGATCCAGTTTTAGGTTTGCAAGGCCTGCACAATCTTAATGCAATATTTTCTTTATGAACTTCTGTCTCCTCTCTCTGTGGCAGGTAGCGACGTGGGGAAAACCTTAGAGCAGGCTCTGTTATTTCCAGTCACTAAGGACAAAGCTTGGAAAAGGAGTGGTCATGCGCTGGAGGTCCATCCTGTGAGGCAGGCACGGAGAATTAGAAGAGAAGGGGATTTGCTAGGATAAAGCAGCTACAATCAGCAACTCCAAAGGCTGCCGCTGCTGCTGCTGCTGAAGATAAAGAATATTTATTGAGCAATTGCTGTCTCCTAGGAAGTAAGCTAAACACTGCAAATGCATTCTTTCATTTTGTCTAATATCTGCATGAAGTAGCCACTATTACTTTCATTTCACAGAGGGGGAAACTGAGGCTTTAAGGTAAGGAAATTCACCCAAGGCCACACAGCTAGCGTTGCAGAGTGAGGACAGACACCCAAGTCTGCCTGATGGGAGAATGCCCGAATACAGGAGATGCTGCTATCTTTGTATTGCCAACCTAATGAAGAAGAACCCTTTGATGAGACCCAAAGGCTAAAGGTTAAGCAGTGGAATTTCATTGAAATGTCACTAAATAGATAACCACATCACAGGGGAAAACTGTGGGAAAACTGGAGACAAGAGCCCATGATTTTAGTGACAGAATACCGTAAAACAAGATGAAATGTATAAATTCAGTCTAGCCATGAGTTTTATGGTTGTGTTAGTTATTTTACTGCTATTGGTGTGGTGTGTTTTACCTTCCTAGCAAATTGACAGGTGGATTTTTTATTAAATTGGCGTTACTGGTCTCTAGCTTCAAAGATTGGTTTGAAAAAAACAACAACTACTCAATCTAGTCAAAAAACCATTAATAAGCGGTCACAACTTGCAGGAAAACTGTAGTTTAAAATGACCATATGGCCGAATTAGATTATTCCTGTCGGTATCATCCCATTTCCTTTTTCCTGGATTAACTTGTATGTTTGCAAAAAATAGATATACCATTCAAAGAGAAAGTCTCTGTTATAAAATTAATAAACTAAATAACAAATGATAAAATAAGTTGTTACTGAGCCAAGTAACATACATCAGAGAATCAGACAAATTTCATCAATCAAATAGGGTCACTTGGAGAATGAAGGGGTGCTATTACTCTGGAACATACGCTGGGTCAACAGGTAGTCAGCAGGATGTTCCAGGCCAACTAAGACATGTGACAACACCTGTGGGTAACGTAATCACAGCAACAAAGAAGCAAGTAAAGAAATCTGGGGATTTGGTGGCCATGAGGACTTTCTGTCATCACAATTGGCTAAGGGCATTTCTGGGTTTCATTCATCTCAGTATTTTCAGTGCCTAGCACCGTGCCTGACATCTAGCAAGAAGTTGGGAAGTAATTCATGTTATTTTGTGTGTACATTGATGAAATATACATACATGCACTCTAATGCGTGCACCTGTGCATACACACACACACACACACACACACACACAATCTGCCCACCCAGTATAGTCATTTTCAAACTAGGAGAAAAGAAGTGTTCTTTTTTTTTTTTTTTTCCCACTGACATTTGGAAGCAGAGCTTTCCGGACCAGCTCAACCTCACAATCTACTTTGTCCTTCTAAATGGATTCCCCAGAAGAAAAGTCAGAGACAGCAAACGCCTCCCCCACAATACAGATAAAATTTTCTGCTTAATTAGGCATTGACATGTTTACTATAACCTTTACAGAAGAGTAACTCGTGCTGAGAGACCCTTTTTGTCTGTTTTCCTCTGCAGAGCCGACTAAATCTCATGCACTGGATAAGGTAAGGCATTGAAAAGCCTCATACAAAAAGTGCCAAACATCTGTCAAAGTGAGTGTATTTTAACAATGGCTGAGGGTTCCAAGGAGTTTTTTTTAAAAAAACACCTTTCAATATTATACATCTAAAACTGTTCACTTGACTTAAGTGATTTTGTTTGCCACCAGCAGTTGGGGCAAGAGAGGAAAGGCAGCCAGAACAGGGGTGATCTGAGTGAATAATGAGTATCAGTGTCTCTCTCTGTATTGATGACTTGTTTAATAAGATTGCATCTTGTGTAAGTCTTAGGATAAGTGGATGAGTGGCAAGTTTACTCTTATGAATACTTATTTAATGAAAGAAAACTATCACAGTTATGCCAAAGCACAGGACAAAAGAACTGTTCTCTATAGAACTTCCTTGTTGATTGGGGGTCGAAGATCAAACTTCATAGTGGCAAAAATTTCCTTTTCCAACCTCAATTTCCAGTTTCATCCATTTCCCCAGCTTGACTCTGGCCACATGAGATGTCCCCATTCCTGGAACAGCTGATTCACGAGCAAATCCGGTCCATTCTTTGACTGAACTACTGACTCAAGAGACCATTTTTCTCCCACTCCATGGCCACTGCTCTAGCCTGGGCCACCGTTTTGTCCCCTAGGTTGGACAATGAGCTTCCTGCTTCTACTTCCCACAGTCTGCTCTTCAGTGAACTGCTAGAAGATTCTTTGTAAAAGGGATTAGGTCATGACAGCCCTCTCTTTTAACTCCTGCAGTGTCTTTCTGTTGCACTTGCAATAAAATCTCAACCCTTAGCATGGTCTACAAGAGCCTGCAGGATGTGCCCTAGGCCAACCTCCCTGCCCCTCTCTCATCACCCACGGCCTTCTCTTCATGCCTAGGAAACAATAATCTACTTGCCCCTCCTTGACCCCGCCAATCCTTCTCCTGACTGAGGCTTTCTGCCTTTGCAGATTTTTCTGACCGAAAAGTTCTTTGTCTGCACCATCACATAGCAGGTTCCATCAAGTCTCAGCTCCAATGGGCCCTTCTCAGTGAGGCCTTTGCTGATGTCTCCCCTGCTCTGTGTAACTATCCATCACATCACCCTACTGCCTGAAATCCCTGGAGCACTTACCAGACTCTGAAATAAACCCATTTGTTTATTGATTGATGTCTTCTTCTACTGGATGTAAGGTTAGAATATCTATCCCCATGCAGTCAGAATGCTCCTCCCCAGTGCTCAGTTCACATCCTGGCACAGAGTGATGTCCACAAACTATTTGAGTTAATGAATGAATAGATTACACAGTAAAAAGGATTATTCCAGCTGCAAACTTTGGCTCCATTCCTCAGCAGTGAAATTGGTACTTCTGGTGGGTAAAGATCTGCCCACCCTCAGCCCATGTAGATAGATGTGAATTACAATCATGCTAATCAACTTCACTCAATGATAAAACCAGAGTATCGGCTGTGTGCCGAGGCTCACACTTGTAATTCCAGCATTTTGGGAGGCTGAGGCAGGCAGATCACCCGAGGTCAGGAGTTCAAGACCAGCCTGGCCAACATGGTGAAACCCAGTTTCGACTAAAAAAAAAAAGAAAATCAGCCAGGTGTGGTGGCACACGCTTGTAATCCCAGCTACTCGGGAGGCTGAGGCAGGAGAACCACTTGAAGTGGGAGATGGAGGTTGTAATGAGCTGAGATTCTGCCACTGCACTCCAGCCTGGGCGACAGAGTGCAACTCTGTCTAAAATGAAATGAAATGAAATGAAATAATACCAGAGCATCCCCATAAATCATCTTTTCAGAACAACCCAGCTACCAACTTCCTTGCTGCCCAACTTCTTTGAGCTGTGGATTTACACTCCTAAGTATAAAGGCTGCAAATAAGCAACAAGACCTCAAAGCATCAGAATCTATGCTCTTAATGTGAACAGACTTTGATTCAACAAAGATTCACACATGGGAACTTTGAAAGTATGGACTAATTTTATCATGGATAAAGTCCATTAGCTGGTCTACTATAAACAACATTACATATGTATTAGCAGACATACATATTAGAGTAGCCTTCCCCTGAATTCTTCATTTAAAAAAGGAGAAATATTATTGGAGAAGAATATTTTATATGCTGCATTTGTTTTACCCTAATAGTATGTGGGTAAAAATTAGAAATAAACCCTTATATTTTATTTTCTTCTTAGAGAAATTTTCTTTCATATGAAAAGTTAATGGCTGGGCATGGTGGCTCACACCTGTAATCTCAGTACTTGTGGGAAACTGAGGCATGAGGATTACTTGAGCCCAGGAGTTGGAGACCAGCCTGTGCCACATAGCTAGACCGTTTCTACAAAAAAAATAAAAAAAAAATAGCCAGGCATAATGGTGCATGCCTATGGTCCCAGCTACTTGGGTGGCTGTGGTGGGAGGATCACTTGAGCCCAGAAGGTTGAGGCTGCAGTGAGCTGTGATCACGCCACTGCCCTGCAGTCTGGGTGACACAGCAAGACCCTGTCCCAAAAAAACAACAACAGAAGGAGGAAAACAATTATTTTTAAAACTATACCACCTCAATTTTTTCCAAACCTCTAGTCAGAATGATTTAAATGAAATTGTGCAAAATAATTCATGGGTGGTATGGAGTTACATATCAGACTTTTGCTAGGTATACGTTTCTGTAGTCACCTTGAAAGTCCACAATAGTGTTTACAGTAAAAACACTGACAGTTTTAAAAATGGCAGCAGAAGTGGAATCATAACATAAGAACAATTTAAAACTCAAGAAGGCTGATTTTTAAAAACTAAACCAGAATTCAACCAAGACCTCATTTAAAAACATATCCGATGGTGACAGGATCGTTTTCGCCAATCTACCGCACTAAATGACTGTTTAAAGTCACAGGAAGATGCCACAGGGTTCAAGGCAGACGTAAATGAGGAGATCGTGAGAATTTCTCAGCGTGTACCCAGTAGGTACAAAAAATGATGACTCGGAATGAGAGCTCCCTGTCATGAGTCTCTAGTGTTTGGGTGACTGTGGTCTAAAAGTCTGTTAGTATGTATGTTATTATTGGCACTAATTGGCATGCATGTTGGCAGGCTGAGTAAAGAGATATAGGATTCAGTGTTCAAGGAAGCTGAGCTATTCTCAAGGGTAGCCAGGCCTGGAGTGAGGGCCTCTTGGAGGGCCATGTGGAGGGATCCCTCTGCTTTTTGTTTCAGGAGAGAGGAAGTCTAGAGAGCTGTGGGATCCTTGCACCATTCCTGAGCACAGACTTCATTTACAGAGAATCCAGGTACCACAGGCCAGGGCCCAGTGTGTTTGCTGGCTGGAGAAGTGATCTACGTTCATGCACATTTTTAAACAGAAAAATGTTCAAAAAGAAATGTGACATTTATGGTGCGTGGATTTTTATCCCTGTCATGCCACATATAACATAAGTGTTACTGATATATACGGATCGAGAGAGAAGAGTTTGCTCCCTCCTCTGTCTGAAAGTCAGAACCAAACAAATAGAATTCTTTGTTTAAAGCACTGCTGGAGATGGCGTGGGTACAGTGATGGGGGGCCATCCTGAGCCCATGAGTACTCTGCGGAGATAAATGGGGAGGTTTCTGGTGGTCATCAAAACAACAATCTCTCTCTATTTTTTTCAATTTCCTGAAGATGGTTCGGGTAATTGGAATGCTTTACATGTACCGCGCTTGCATACCAGGTGGGGTCCGTCTAAACACTTAATGTACGCTTGTTGCTTCTTTCCTGGGCCATCGTTACAGCTCTTTGGACTGTAAAACGTTTTCTAATCACATTTTGTGAATTTCTCCACATCTTGGTCATCAGCAAAAAAACGGCTAAGCTAGTTTAAGTCAGGAGAAGTGGATATTCTGTCATCCCTTTGTGGTTCATCTGTTTATTCATTTAATCAAGAAATATTTATTCTGCAGTTACCACATGCAAGACACTTTAGTGGAGTTTCACTAGGACTTTCGTCACAGTGGGTCTTCCAAGGCCAAGGCAAGTAGAGAGGTGAGTTATGGAGAGAAGTTGGATGCTGAGGTTTTGGAGAGAGAGGTCATGAAAAGGTCACACATTACTGATGGAAGGCAGGTAATGAAAATGGGCGAAGCGGGCCAGGTGGAGGAAAATCCGTTCTCAGTTGTGAAGGTAAGTAATCATGTATACTCAGCTAGACTGGACACTTGTCTGGAGGACACCGAGGGCTGTGAGTAAGAGGAAAGTTTATGGCACATCAAAAGCACAGTGCACCAGGTGCAGTGGCTCACGCCTGTAATCCCAGCACTTTGGGAGGCAGAAGTGGGCAGATCACATGAGGTCAGGAGTTTGAGACCAGCCTGGCCAACATGGTGAAAACCCATCTCTACTAAAAATACAAAAAATTAGCTGGGTGTGGTGGTGCATGCCTGTAATCTCAGCTACTTGGGAGGCTGAGAGGCAGGAGAATCACTTGAACATGGGAGGCGGAGGTTGCAGAGAGCTGAGATCACGCCACTGCATTCCAGCCTGTCCAAGATAGCAAGACTCTGTCTCAAACAAAAAAAAAAAAAGAAAGAAAGAAAGAAAGAAAAGCACAGCTGCTACTGAAGGACTTTCATGGAGTTTGGGATTGCCAGGTATTTTGTTTGGGCCCAACTGTGTGGACAAAACTAAATACATCTGAGACCCAACCATTTGCAACCTCTGAACCGCAGGAACCAGGGGTTAGAGAATCTGGTGTGCTTTTCTGGTTCTCTCTCCTATCAGCTCTTTGACCTATTTCTTCATCTGTCAACCTCAAATAGGAGTGACTATCCCAAGCCTGACTGACTGAAAGGGTCCTATCAGGACAAAAGAGGAAGTGTATTGTAAACCCATACTATTCAAGTAGGGTTGATGAATGGTGTTGGCATCACCTGGGAGCTTGTTAGAAATGCAGGCTCTCAGCCCCACCCCAAGCCTACAGAATAGAAATCATTTAACAAGGTCTCTAGAGGATTCCTATGTGCCAGGAAGTTTGAGAAGTTTGGATGTAAATTGCAAAACAGTTAATTAGTAGAGAGATATTTAGCAATCTACTTCTCTATGCCTATGTTCACCAGTGTATGTGGGAACCAGCTTTGTGAAAAGATCATACAACTTTGAGGACTTTCAGCCCCTGTCCTCTCCAGAGACCAAGAGACTAAATGCCTATGGCTTAGATGGTTGCTCCCAGTTTATACTGGAAAACACCAACCAAGAGAGAAATAAATTGCTGATTCAAGAACTGATCAGTTAACAGGGTAGATAAGATGGCCCCTCAGCCTTAGGATCAGGCAGACCTTGGTGTACTGTGTAATGTCTTGGGAAGGACAAGACAATCTTGGGAAAATTACTGAAAACTTTCAAAGGCACAGCTTCCTCATCTATAAAATAGGAATAATAATAGTATCTGCTTCTTAAGATGCTTTAGAGTATAGCATGTGATAAAGTATGTGAAACACCAAGAATGCAGGGTTACCTCCCAACTTCTCAGTGCTGGTTCTAGGCACTTTCCAACCACTGTACATCTGATCTTCAACCTGAACCCACAGATGGCTGAAATCAGTTGAGTCTGGCATTCTGTGTTATCCCTAAATCTTATTCCAAGCCAACAGCTTTTAGATGGTATTCACAATAGATAAGAACCAGCTTTGTTTATGTGTCATCCATAAGAATGCATAAGAAAAGAGCTTCCTCCAGTTTGGGGTTTGTTATTTAATATTAAATCACTTGTACAAGGAGCCAGTGGTATGTGTGCCGGGAACTTCCGTAGAAAGTGATGTACAAACATCAAATAGCAAGTTATTAGGTCATTAGCCATAATGGTAATGTCTGCAATCCTCAAGAAATAAAGCAACCCACCATCTGAGAAAAAAGGTCTTTGTTAGAGGCCTCGGGCTTTGCACTGAGAGAGGTGACAAATGTTTAAAGCAGAAGGTCTCCAAGAAAAATGCTTTATATTCAGCTACCTGGAATTTCAGTCCAGCGTATATTATTATTGCGACGTGTCTTGGTGACAATTTAAAAAAGCAGAGTGAGAAAATATTCATGGAGAAGGGTGAGAAGGGGACCACTTTATAAGCTTTTTGGTAGCTCCAGTTTAGAAATCATTATCCTTACATTATCCTTACACCCAGAGAGTCACAAATCAGGAACAGAGGAGAAAACAAAGTGAAACGAAACAGGAACAAAGAAACTACACAATAGAACTGAGACTCTCCTATCAAATTAAGATTTTTAGGTGTTGACTTTTCAAGTGGTAACAAATATTTTCAGCAAGTCATGCATGCTTATTTTCTATACGTTTATTCCGCATAAGGATATATAAACACACTCACACACATATAGTTCCTTCCAAGACTGGAGAGGTTTTTTTTTTCCCAAGTAAAGGGACAGTGAATCATTGTCCAAAATGACCTTCAGAAAGTATATGAAGCTGCTGCACCATCTGTATTTTTTCAGATATATATTCCAATTTTACTTGAAATAACATCATTAGCACAGCCATCCCACAGAGCTAGAAGGTGATCTTGTTTCCTTTTTGCCTGGCTTGAAGTCAAACATCTTTTCCTTTTTTTGGCAAATGCTGCTTCTTTCTCTGAAATATTTCATGCAGATAATGGATAATGACCACTTCTCATTGCCTTTTCTCAAAAATGTCTAACTGCATTAGCCAAGAATGGACAAATTTTAACTTGCTTCTTTTGCTAAGTTCATGGCTGTGACCACTACCCATTAAGAAGAAAGAAAGAAAGAAAAAAAAAAAAAGCAAGCAAGCAAGCAAGAAACCCACTGTTCTCTCAGAAAAGCTACATTGGCACTATCAGAAAGCAGGCTGGACTTTAGTTTTCTGGTGAAAAGTCTTTGCTGTCTCTAGAAGAATCACAGAAGCCCGAAGTGGAAAGAATTTTCATGTCATTGGGCCAATTTCTCATTCAGGAAAGGGCTTCCTGGCCTTGGTATCCTTAAATGGCTCAGATGCTTGACTTTCCAACCCTCTTCTTCATGTTGGACTCTCCACCAGCACAGTCATTGTTACTAGCCTGCTATGAGGACCACACTGAATGGGAACCATTTCCATTCCTCACACTTAGGAGTTGAGCCGTGTTTCCATCATGGTACAATTTGATCGAATCAAAGGATTGGGGAGAACTTTCAGTTTAAGCTTTTATGATATGCTTTCATCTCTTCATCAACACTTCTGTCAGGTACTGCTCAGCATATACTTGAACATGCATGCAGTGATGACTCATAGAGTGCAATGACCTGCCCAGTTTCCATCTCAGAACTACCCTATCACTGTTCATTTTGTTTAGGACTTGAAAGCGAAAATTCTTCTCCTTGTTCCCTAAATTCATCAAATTCTTTCCTTCTTTAAGGCCCTTGAAATTCCATTCCCTATGTATAAAAGATTCCCCCTTTCCCTATATCTAAGTCTTTCCTTTTAGTCTAATTCTTTTAGTTTCAGCTCCAATGCCTTTCGTCGGATGGGTCATCTCTGATCACTGTACCCTCCCCCACTTACTCCTCCGAAATTACCAACAACCAAAGTTATTTTCTATCTCAGTCCCCCATTTTTCTTTTGTATACCTTATTTCAGTTTGCAATTGTACTTACTATGTACTTGATTGTCCTCTAGATAAGACTGTAAGCTCCCAGAGGGCAGGTCAAATCTATCTTGTTTACCACTGTATCCCATTGCTATACCCAGCCCACCTTGTTCAAGTGTTTGTTGGATATATGAATAAATAAATGAATGATTGGACCCATAAGTGAATGAATGATTGCATCAGTGAAGTATGCTTTTCTATCCAACACTTAGATTCTGTTCAAAACTTAGATTTTACTCACTGGTCCCAATTTGCTTTCAAGCCATAGAGAACAACAACAAGGTATCTTTTAAACAGAATATTGCTTTGGATGGTTGAAGTGTGCACATGGGTTTAAACTCACAGGGTGGGTTACTCCCTATGGGAAGTAGATGAATCAGGTACAAGTGTGATGTGAACTCAGGAGCCCGCAATTGTGACACCTCTTACTCTCTGCTTCTTCTTGCCTTAAACCCTACAACTTGGCTTATGTTCATCTGACATGAGGTGGACCAAGAACTCATCCCCTATAAAAATATAAAAACCTAATCTCTTATCTCACCTTTGCACTTCAGGGTGAATGAGTTAATTAGATCATTATTTTTGGCAGCTGGTTTCTTCTAGAGAAGAAAATGGGACTCCAGGAGTCAGCTGGGTCACCATAATACTCTTAGTAGTTCTGGGGGTGGTTTTTGTTCCCCAGGGGACATGGGACAACGTTTGAGGACATTTTTGGTTGCTATACCTAGAGAAGCGGTGTTGCTGGTATCTGGCAGGTAGAGGCCAGGGATGCAGCTAAACATCCTACAATGCACAGGACGGTCCTTACTCAAAGAATTATACAGCCTCAATATGTCAATAGCTTAGAAATGCTGCAAAGTCAAAGTCAGCTAAAGCTTTGGGAATTGACGACAAGTAAGTGTGACATTCATGCTCTTTCTAGTTGTCAATGAAGCAAGGGTCTGCACAGAGAAGAACACTCTATTATTAAAAGAGAGTGGTTCAAAAGTAAAAGTAATTACTTTTAATGGCAAAAACAGCAATTACTTTTGCATCAGCCTAATAGAGGAGAAAGTGTGTGTACCACCCTCATAGGTGTTACAGGATGGAAGAGAACAAGGTCTACAGCAAGCCCACCTGGGTTCAAATCTCATCTCTGCCATGTCCTGCATTATCATCTTGAGCAAACTAACAACTTGTGTGGGGCTCGGTCTCTCCATCTATCAATTGGAGATAATAATAGTACCTGCCTCAAAGATCATTTTGAAAATTAAGTGAGATAACTGGAAAGAAGTCAGAATGCCTGGTAAAAATCAGCACTCAGTATGTCTCCTCTCATTACCATCACAAGAACAAAAACCTAGTCATGAAGAATCATGTTATGGAGCTGGATTTCTCAGGATTTTTTGTATATACTTTTTCAAGTTTTGGCTGAAAAAAATGTTCATCAGGCTCCTAACATTATTCTCAATCAATTCATTCTGGATTCATTTAAATCCCCTTATCAGATTGAGTATTTTTATATTACAAGAAACAAACGAATAAAAAAGTTAATGATAAAAGGGATTAGCATTTCTAAACTACTCCAGTAACTCCACCAAATAAATCCTGACCTATTTCAGTTCTTAATTAACTAGGTTAGCTTTTAAATGAGCCAAATTATATGGAACAGCGAGTCTGAGCTGGGCCAAACCCACAACACATAGTTACATGAAGCAGTACTTGGAAAAGACCAAAATTCTGGGAGATACATAGGTTTTCAATATATAGGTCTTCGATATTTTTGAATGGACAGTTTGGAGAATCTAATGGAAAACTCTCCAGGGTTTTTTGACCCTTCGACTTAGGTTAGGGCTAGTTTAAGAATGATATTTCCAAGAGCTGTCATCTTTTCTTTGTCCCTACCTATAGAGAAAATGGGTAAATAGGAAGAGGCTTTAGGTCACTTTATCAGCATCCTCCTAATAGTACCAAATTGGCTGTTGTCCCAGGACAGGAAAGTTGGGGAAGACAGCACTATCTGGTGATTTAATATTCTCCAGTGGTGAACACCAATAAATGGTTCCTAAGACAGCCATTGTCTTGTTCTTGATATTCTTTCTGGCTTTTTGTCTCTGTTTCATTCTCCTTTTGGGGGTTATTTTCCCTTGCTTTTTAATTATTCTGATGTTAGTTTTCAGCCAGTTCTCAGACCACACTTATAGAAGTCAAACTCCCCTAAAAAACCATATCTATCTATCTATCTATCTATCTATCTATCTATCTATCTATCTATCTATCATCTATCTATCTATTTTAATGCACAGTCGAGTTTATTGTTTTATTTGCTTCTGGGAGTAAATGATAGTTTTTCTTTTCTTGGAGAAATTACCAAAAACAAAACCCAGATCTTTCTTTCTGACCTGGAGGAGGATTATTAGGCATGGGCTGAGTTCCTGGAAAAGCATCTCCTTATATGCAGCTTCTAACACCTTTGAGTGACCCTTAGGAGGTACAAAGGGAATTTGCAGTTGTACCTAAAAATGGAGATTCAAAGAGGACATTGGTAGTTACTTATAAGCATTTAAAAATGAAATGTGCTAATTCTTGAGCAATGCTGAAGAGATCACTAGTGTTCTAGGGTACATCATAGGAGACACTATGGTTGCTTCCCAATAAGTGTGGCTGAGGTTGGTCCCATCCCAGGTCTATGTGTGGGCGCTGAATCATCAAACCTAATCACCTTGCCGTAGCATCCTATTTAGGTTATTCAGGCTGGATCTAAGCCAATTGGTGATTGGCATTCTCAGTTTGATTTGATGGTTAAGAAAGTAAGGGTTTTTACCATTTGTTTTTCCTATTTTCATATAAGAACATATAATCTCATAAACTTTTAGGAGCTTTGCTAGTATGAGGAATGGTGGCTGGAGAACCAAGCCAACATATATGACATCACGGAGCCAAGAAAATTTCAACCTTGATCAAACTCTACCTGAAGATTTTGTCTTTGTACTTTGAAATTTCATGAACAAATAATACCCTTTACTGCTTAACATAGTTCCTTGCAACTGAGAGCTTCATAATATATCTAATTTGTATGCGCACATTTTATAGTTTTGTATAGCCGTTACTTTACAAATTAGATACATTTTTATAAATGTGTACAAATTAGCCTTGCTGTGCCCTGATATTTTTCATGTTACACATTGTTTCGTTCCTTGGTGTATATATTCTTCAGTCCCTAACAATTATGATAGCAAAATATTATAATTTTTTGTTTGATAAAATATGAGGTAATTTTTTGCTATTCTGTCCATTAATTTTTCATGAAGATCTGGTTGATACTGTAAAATTTGGGATTGCTGCTCGCAGTTAAGCACCAAATCCATTGTTATTTATCCATTGCGATTTCAAATTCCAAGGCCACTTCAAATGGCATCTCCTCCCCAAGGTCTTCTCTACTGCTGGACAAATCAAACTGTGATTCTTGACCTCCCCTCCCAGGTGGTAAGCTCTTTAAGAACAAGGGGGCTATGAGTGTTTATCTTTATATGCCCAGCACCAGGAGTTTTTGAGCATACAGTAAAGACTCTATAAATGTTCTTCTTTCTCCTTGCTTGCTTTGTATCCTGTGACTACATAAGATCTTGCACATAGCCAGAACTCCAGAATCCTACTTAAATAGGACAACAGAGATGATGTTTACCCCCAGAGGGTCCCAGCTTCCTGAGAGGACACTAAATTAGAGACACACTTGGTAATGTCCAACACACCCTTAATGACTCATCTGGGGTGATTTTGCTCCTGGGGACATTCGTTAATGTCTGGAGACATTTGATTGTCACAACTGGGAGACAAGGTGCTACTGGCATCTAGTGGGTAGAGACCCAGGATGCTGCTAAACATCCTACAATGCACAGGACAGTTTCATGCAACAAATACAGAGACTTATCTGTCTGGTTCATTGCTTTATCCCTAGTGGCAAGCCCAGGTCTTGAGGGAACTCTTTCCTGTTTACGTCTAACCACCATCCATTTCCTACTGTTGGCCATCTTGGCGGGAGTGCTCTGCACTTCTAATTTTGCAGTTTGGATGAATTAACAATTGAAATCACCCATCACCCTCCCTTCCCCCTTGATGTTAAAGTAGGTAGCGTAGCTCTTTTTTTTTTTTTTTTTTTTTTTTTAGATATAAGATTGACTTGGGACTGACTTATAGCATCATAAGGTCCAGGCTGTATAAAACTGCTCCCTTACAGACACATTGGAAAGGAGACAACAGAACAGAGATTCTGGCCCTCTGGGAGTTTAATTTCATGGTACCCCAGTGCATCTGGACTGTTTTCCAGCAAAAACAATATAGACATCCTGTGTGTGCATTGTGTGTGTTTATGTCTGTGTGTTTAAATATCTGATCATTTGTTTAAGGAGCAGGGAGGTGAAATGAACATATGACAACTTTCTCTCTTCTTTCCCATTTTGGTGTTTTGTTTTGTTTTTGCTTTACTATGGCACAGAACACCAGCTTGGCCAACCAAACTCTTGCTCCATGGAATGTGAATTCTGAACCTATGACTCAAAGGTGGAAATGGGCTGGAGTAGGTCCATTTCACAATTCTATGATAGAGAGATTGTCTTTTGATTCTGCCCCCTTGGTCCTCACAGACATACTAGTTCCTCCCCTTTTGGTGAACTACACTATGTTCCTCCCAACAAATTCCTTGTTTTTACTTGTTTGCCAAAGATAATATTTATCGCTTGCAATCAAAGACCCCACTGTTCGATAGATGGTGCTCAATACATACTTTGAATCAAAGAATGCATTTATACTAACCCAAACGGAATGGTTTCTTGGCATGTTTGAGTAAACTAAGCTCAAACCATTGGTACATTGCTTGGGATTAAGTAGAGGGTAGGTATTATTATTTAGATGTTCATAGACAAAAGGGCAGAACACAAAGGCATGTTAGTAAGAATACCCTATTTCTAGATAGCAAATATTCCCTTCCAAAGCCAGAGTCCCCTCTATCCAGATGTATATTTTTTCATAGAGCAAGTCTATATATGTGGATTTGCCTTAAAAATGCTTTCTGGAAACATATCATCCCCCAATGACTTGACTGTACCCGTCTCGAGTACGGTTGCAGTGCTCGTAGTCTATTGTGTCAATAATCTGCATATTTAAGAGTCCCCACATGCTCATTGAGACGATAGATAGAGCTGGTACAGTCTACTGGGTCAAAAATCTGCTTTAAATCGTCCATATACACAGTCGGTTGAGTAAATAGCAGCATTTTCAAAATGTCTCTAAATATATAATAACATGATAAATCACATCAGCTCCTAAAGATGCAGCCTCGCTACCGCTGATCAGGAAAATGATGTGCACTTTAACAAGCCACTTACAAATGATCTCATCTTTTTCCAGTCATGGGAGCATTATCTTTTTTTGTCTATATTTTTCGTATGTAGAAGAAAGAAATTCAGATGCACGCGCACACACACACACACACACACACTCACACAGAGAAAGAGAGAGACAGAGCAGGGCATATATGTATGGTCAATATCATCTTGCACAAATAAACTGGGCTTGAACCAGTTGTGCAATTGTAGGGAGTGAAAGACCAGAGAATAATATTCTCCTTTCTTTGGTTTGAAGGTTTCTACCATCACTCAGTTGTGTGTGATTCAGAGAGCTAAGCTGGGCTCCAAACACACACAAAAAACTGTTCTGTTTAAGTCAATTAGAGGCATTGATTTTGAGACCTCCATCTGACCTTATTCTGCTGTGAAGACAACCTATTCTACAGCACTTCATAAGAACCCTGTTTGCTTCCAAATGACTTCTATATCTACAATATCCTAATAGCTATCACTTAGTAAGGATCTCATGTGAGTTGTTTTAGATCAGTCTCACAACACTCCCATGGTGGAGGTGATATTATCAGTTTCATTTTTGAAGATGAGGAATCTTAGGCTTCCAGAAGTCAAACAACTTTCCTGAGATCACTGATGTGGTCTGGCTCTGTGTCCCCATGCAAACCTCATCTTGAATTGTAAGCCCTACGTGTTAGGGGTGGGACCTTGTGGGAGGAATTGATTAGATTATGGGGGCAGTTCCCCTGTGCTGTTCTTATAATAGTGAGTGAATTCTCATGAGATCTGATGGTTTTATAAGGGGCTTTTCCCCACTTCATACTGTACTTCTCTCTCCTGCTGCCATGTGAAGAAGGACATGTTTGCTTCTCCTTTGCCTTCCGTCATGATTGTAAGTTTCCTGAGGCTTCTCAAGTAATGCAGAACTGTGAGTCAATTAAACCTCTTTCCTTTATAAATAACCCAGTCTCAGGCAGTTCTTTAGAGCAGCGTGAGAATGAACTAATACAGTCACATGCCCAGAAACTGATTGAATCTAGCTTTGAAGTGAGTTCATTAGACCCCAGACCCAGTGCCCTCTCACAGCTGTGTACTAGCTTACTTGTGGCATGTCAGTTTTCCATGATGCCCTGCCATTACCAATGTGTATAGTGGAGGCACGTGTGTTTCTGCTATAATGCAATGTGTGTTCCTAGACAAATCTTGCATTTTGCACAGCTTTGCAGTTAAAATTATAGCACTTATGGGAAAAATAAGGTTAGGATAGACCACTTAGAAAGTAAGCAACTTAGCATCCAGAGAGTAAGCAAACAATAACAAACATAATAAACCTACTGGTTGGGTTAGATACACTTGTTCAATTCATAATAAGTAAAGGAATGCCAGAGCAAATAAAAGACTTAACCTTTGTAAATAAAGAAGTGATGGTAGTTAGATAGAAAGGAGTTTAAAGAGGTAGTGAGATTGTGAAGTTACAGGCAGGTCAAATTTTTAAAAATCAGGGAGAGGTGACAGTCAGGCTTCTGAGGCAGATTTACATGGTTAACCTGAGCTAAGAGGATTGACTTTTATGAATTGACTGCTTTCTTTGCTGGATTCAGCTGTGTTGGTGAACTTTGCATTTGGCTGCTGTTACTCAGTGGTGCTAAACAATAACGTGTTGGAAAAAATTACATGTGCATCAATGTGACGTTCTCATTATATTCATATCATTAACCTATTTACCAATCAGGAGTGAACTAATCTGCTTCACAGGAAGATGAGCTACAATGGAACAGACTTTATTTTATCTTTCATTCTTAAAGACCTTTCATGTTCAACTAACTCAATTGCTAAAATCCTGGGCACCTCACCAATAAAATCTTAACTTTGAATTAATTACTCAGGCAAACCAACTTAAAATAAAGATTGTAAATCTAAATAGCTTCCAGGCGACAGAATTTGCATCTCATAAAATCTCTCTCATTATTGGGGATATATAAAGAGAGAGCTTCCCTTTTATTTCTTCAAGTACCTACTGTGTGCCTGGTACAGTATGCAATATACATTTTATTTTGGAAATAATCCTGTGAGGTAGATATTTTTACATTTATGTGAGGGATTTCGGGCTAGCAGAAGAGATGAAAGTGGCTTTCTGGTACACACTGGCAGAAGCAGGATATGAACTCAAGTCCTGGCCAGGGGTGGTGGCTCGCACCTGTAATCCCAGCACTTTGGGAGGCTGAGGTGGGTGGATCACATGAGGTCAGGAGTTTGAGACCAGCATGGCCAACATGGTGAAACCCCGTCTCTACTAAAAATACAAAAAAATTGGCTGGGTATGGTGGTCCACGCCTGTAATCCCAGCTACTTGGGAGGCTGAGGTGGGAGGATCACTTGAACCCAAGAGGCAGAGGTTGCAGTGAGCCAAGATCATGACACTGTACTCCAGCCTGGGTGACAGAGTGAGACTTTGGCTCAAAAACAAACAAACAAACAAACACGCCCTCCCCCATTCCCCCCCCCCCGCCCCGCCCAACAAAACCAAGCTCAGAGACCCAAGACCCAAGCATCTTCCACCTCAACTTTCTGCAATGAGACATTAAGTGACGAGGTGCGCTCCTAGGGGACTGAAAGTGAACAATGGTCTCAACTGGGCACCTCTCATGCCACCTTGACTCCTCCATGAATTGATCCCATCCTTGTGGCTTACTGTCAATGCTTAACACTCCTAGCAGTCAGAATGAAAGATACATCAGATCCTGTCACTTCCCTGCTCAAAACCTCCCAAGGGACATTCTTCCCACTCAAAGAAAAAGTCAATGTTCTCACCATGGCCCTCAGATTTCTATGTATGTTAGCTCTCCACTTGGTCTCCAACGCTTTCTTCTATTTCCCTCTTCCTGGATTTTCTGCTCCAGCCATACTGACCTCTTTGCTATTTCCCATAAGCCAGGAACATTCCCATCTTAGGCCTTTGCGCTGGCTGCTGTCTCTGCACTTTTCCTAACTTCCTTCAAATCTTTGCCTAAATATCATTTCCTGATGGCACTTTACTCCAGTCACCCTATTTAACGTTGCAACCAGTCTCCCCATTCTTTCAGAACTCCCAATTCCCTTCTTCTGTTCTATTTTTCTTTTGCCTTCATACTTACCAACTTGTAGCTTACTACAGAATTTACTTCTTTATTATTTCTATTGTTAATTGTGATCTTTCTTTGTTAGTTTGTAAGCTTTGTAAGAACCGGTATCTTTGTCTCTTTGGCTTGATGCTGTATGGAGGCACCTGTGCATGGTGCTTGGTAAGTTCTCAAAAAAGTATTTGTTGAATGACTCAATGAAAATTTCATGAATCTTTGACATTTTCAACTCCCAAAGGAGAGCAAAACTTACCCACTCACCAGAATTTTTCTGGGTTGGCTGTGGGTTTGCACCTACCTTCTATTTTCCAATAAAACATAGGTCCCAGGGACTAGTCTTGCTTCCCAGACTTCCAACATTTGCTCAGTATGATAGCCTTTCTCAAAACCCATCTGGTTCTATATCTAGAAGTCAATTTAAGGGTAGAAATACAGAAATACTTGCAGTAAAGGCAGAGATGCTTCTTAATCAGAAAAATACTTACTGGGCCCATGCTTTCAGCCGGGTTGTGTCCACAACCATGCAGGGCCTGGGCTATAAGTGATACACATCAGGGCTATTGAATATGCTTCCTAAAGTTACTTAAGCCAGACATTTAAAAAGTTTTTAATTGCTTGGAAGAAAATCCAAAGCATGTTATTTTATTGCACCCTTCCATGTCTCTGGTCCTATGAGGCTGGAATCCTTGGTTCCAGGATATAGGGAGTCTGACATATACTCTTCTTTTTTTGTTAGTACTGAAACTATTTAATAATGTCTGAATTTATACTACAGAGTCTCCAAGTTCTTCCTCCTTCTCCCTCTGTCTCTAATGCAGCAAGAACTGAGTCTGCCCATTTGAACAAGCAGATAATTTATTGTTTGAGATGAGGAAAATCCCAGCTCTATCACTTGCTAGCTATGTGTTCTTAGGCAAGTTACTTCTACTCTCCAAGTCTCAGTTTCCTCATCTGTAAAGCAAGGATAATTATAATACTAAATCTGTATGGCCACTGAGGACATTTATGAGAAAATGCTACAGTTCTCTTCTTTCTTTTAATTCTTTTTCTGCCTCCTGCTCAACTTCCCAGTTTTAGCGTAAAGGTCTCACCCTTAGAAGATCTTTTCTGTCCCCTATTAGACAGGATCTCTTCTTACATAGTCTCATGGGATTTTTCTCGATTGCTCCCATCAAAATTACAATTAAACAATTATTTGTGTAATTGTTAAATTCTTGACTCTGCCATTTACACTCCATGAGGGCAGGGACTTTGTGCCTTGTGCATTGCAGTATCTTCTGCATTTTGTCAGAGCCTGCAGCATAGCATTCACTTTTCAAATAGCATTTCATTGATTCCAAGATCTTCCTTCCACATTTTAACATCTTGGGAATTAGGGTGAATCTTACAATCAATGGTATCTTAAAATGGCTGCCAGGGGGCAGTTGGAAGCTATTTCAGGAATGCCTTAACCAATTTATTTTGCTTATCTTTTTCTTTTTATATAAACACAAGAGTGTTACATTATAAAGATCTTTTTTAAAAAGAAGTCTAAAAGAGTCTTTCAGTAAGTATAAAATAGAAATTCTAAGTGATAGCAGGAGAGCAGTGTGTCATGGCTTAATTATAAGCATTTTTTTTTCTCAGTGGTGCAAACTAGAAGTAGTGCAGCTTGCTGAATGGCCTCTTAGCTTAGATAAAATACAGTAATTGTTGAATGGATGAAAAAGGTAAAAGTGCTTCACACGGTGCTTGGCACAGAGAAAGTGCTCAATACAACAGACCATACAGAACAATAATAATTTTCTTTTTTTCTAGAGGGGGGGTCTCGCTCTGTTGCCCAGGCTGGAGTGCAGTGGTGCCATAGTAACTAATTGCAGCCTCTAACTCCTGGGCTCCAGCCATCCTTCCAGCATTGTGTATGATGATTATTATGATTATGAAGAGGACCTGGCTAATTCAATATTTAACACAACTGTAACGTTCTTACTTAATGATTTGGGTTTCCTTGCAACACATCTAAGTTTCTGCAGAAATGTCTAATAGAGGAATGTTTTGTTTGAGTAAAATCAGCCTCGATCAGAAATGTGATCCATGTTGCAATTATTATTCTGTCTCCCTCCCAATGGTAAACTCCTTGGAGCTCAGTCTTATCAGTCTGGGTCCTTCTGTTTCCTCAGAGCCTGCAAGATGGTAGGCTCAAGGAAAATTAGATGATTAAATGCAAAAATAAACGTGTGAATTAGATGAGGATCCAGTGAGGAAGACTGTAGATGGAGAATTCCAATGCTCTGTTTGTTTTATAAAGAGATAGAGACATTGTTCAGTATCAGTGTGGGCTCAATAATTATTGTTTTGGCCAGGTGCAGTGGCTCATGCCTGTAATACCAACACTTTGGGAGGATGAGGCAGGAGGATTGCTTGAGGCCAGGAATTTGAGACCAGCCTAGGCAAAAAAACAAGATCCCATCTCTACAAAAAAATAAAAAAATAAATTAGCCAGGTGTGGTAGCAGGCGCCCGTAGTCTCAGCTGTTTG
This sequence comes from Homo sapiens, assembly GCF_000001405.40. NCBI lineage: Eukaryota > Metazoa > Chordata > Mammalia > Primates > Hominidae > Homo > Homo sapiens. The sequence continues at coordinate 53,232,008 of NC_000020.11, read as the reverse complement.
GGAGGCTAAGGTGGGAGGATGGCTTGAGCCCAGGAGTTTGAGGCTGCAATGAACTATGATGGTGCCACTGCACTCCAGCCTGGGCAACAGAGCAAGACCCTCCTCTAGAAAAAAAAATATTGTTTTGTATGGCCTGTAGTACCAACTCTCAAGGATTCACTGCAAATGAGTTAAAAACTCAGGAACATTCAACAGGGCTTTCAGAGTGTAAGGCTTTTCATGTCTTAGCGACAGGTGAGCAACAAATAGTGTGTGAGTGTGTGTTCCCGTAGAGGTTGAGGAAAGATGCTATCTGTGAGTCTCCTTTCCTTGTGGGTTGGGTGATTTCTTAAAGACCAAAAAAAAAGACTTCCAGGCACTTCCAGGCACGTAGTAAATGCTCAGTAAATATGTGTATATATGTTGAATGACTAAGGACCAGTGTCAAGATCATTGCTGAGACCACAACTACCCATTGATGACCTCTTCTCCCCTCCAGCAACTCTCCTGGACATCCACCCAGTGTTTAAATCCTTTTCATGGCTTGGGTTCAGTGGCTTCCAGGGCCATTTCTCAGTGTGGCCACATCAATGAACTAATGTTGACTTTGTAGATAACCTAAGAGAAACAGCTCTTCAATATTCCAATTCATCTATTGCCAGTTGAAGTCAAGTCACTTTACAGTAGATTCTTTCTGAAGGGGCGCATGGGTTGATTTACAAGTGCAGCTAGTTAGAAAGACATTCAATGATTTGTATATGCAGGATGTCAAGAATGCCCTATATTCTGTCTCCCGTCACAATATGAATGATATCCTCTCAACTGTTTATTCCGCTTGTTTTAGCCAAACATAAATAGACTGCAGACATGTCTAGGGCTGAAGGCATTTGCAGAAAATAAGCTTCTTCAACTCCAGATACACTGACAGTGGAGACAAAGTGAAGTTGCTGCTGCTTTGACAAATACCCTCCTTCCCTCAAGAAAGCAAAGCAGACAGAAAGTCCAGCCTCTCCACACTTGAAGGAGACATTAAGTTGAGGACTTTTCAAACCTCTTTTACTTTGCATCCCTATGGCTAATTTAATTTTAATCTTCAGGGCTGTTTTTAGGAACTTGAAAATATTTTTTCTTTTTTCTTTTTTTTTTGAGATGGAGTCTCACCTGGGCTGGAGTGCAGTGGTGTGATCTCGGCTCACTGCAACCTCTGCTTCCCAGGTTCAAGCGATTCTCCTGCCTCAGCCTCCTGAGTAGCTGGGATTACAAGTGGCCACCACCACGCCCAGCTAATTTTTTGTATTTTTAGTAAAGACGAGGGTTCACTATGTTGACCAGGCTGGTCTCAAACTCCTGACCTCATGATCCACCTGCCTCAGCCTCCCAAAGTGCTGGGATTACAGGCGTGAGCCACCATGCCCGGCAATGATTTGACTCTTTTTGATTTAGCCAACATTGGTTTCTCCCTTCTTGCTTACAGAAAACGGGGCACCGTGACTCCATTCTCTTGGCTTCTCTGTGCATGTGGCATGACATTTGTGTTCTCTGTGCCACAAAGAAGAGGGAGTGTCCTTCCAGTTGATGTCTGTGTGCCAGATAGACACAGCCACCACCTGGTGGCTGCTTTGTTGATGTGAATGGTTATTTGAGGGAAAGGAGAAGGAAGGAGAGAGGGAAAAGGAGAAGAAATAAAGCCAGTATCCCTCAAATAATAAATTATGTAATCTACTTCAGGGGAAATGATCCAATCATAATTCTGAACTTTCTATTCTGTTCATTTATTTCTATTATGGTTGTTTTGAATGTGGGATTTGCCTGTGTCTACTTTTAGCACAGTATAGAGAGATATCATCAATAAATAAATATATGAAAAAAGCAAATGAGTGAACAATGTCCATTCTTTGAGGGTTCATACTAGAACAGGTGGGAGGACAGAACAGGAAAGACTACAGTCTATCTCTCCTCCTCCCCCTCCCCTCCCTCCCTCCCTTCCTTCTTTCCTTCCTTCCTTCTCTTTTTTCCCTTCCTCTCTTTCTGTCTTCCTTCCTCTTTCTTTTCTTTCTCTTCCTTCTTCTTTCTCTTTCTTCCTTCCTCTCTTTTCTTTCTCTTCCTTCTTCTTTCTCTTTTTTTCCCCTCCCTCTCTCTTTTCCTTCCTTTCTTCCTCCCTCTTTTCTTTCCATTTCTTCTTTTTTTCTTTTCTTTCTCTTCCTCCCTCTTTTTTTCCTTCCTTCCTTCCTCCCTCCCTCCCTCCTCCCTCTCTCCCTCCTTTCCCCCTCCTTTCTTTCGATTCTGTCAGCCACACTTCTTTCTTTTCTCTCCCAATTGCCAGGTTGAAAGGCAGAGAAGAGAGTGCTGCTCCCAAAGAGGAAGGGAGCTGAGGGGAATGAGGGTGAAGAGGCTTCTAAACCCTTAATTAATGAACTATTTAGTTCGAAAAGCTGAGCCCCTACCGTGTGTACTGGGATGGGCAACAGAGACACCACTGCAAGGAGACATAGGTGTTCTAGGCTCATGACGATTAGAACTTTGCAGGCAAGGCTGATATTAATTAAATACGATCACACAATTTAATAGGCATACAGTAAATCACCTGTCTTTGAAACAGTTATGACAGAGGGCCAATTGTTGATATAAAACATGGCTGCTTTTGCTCTCTGTGAGCGTGAAGCCAATGGCAAGGTGGCATTGCTGGAGGATCTGTTGGAAAAGTTGTACTAAGTGACCCAGGGCAAAGGTGACGTACTGACCCAGGGCAAAGGTGACGTACTGGGTTAGCTGCTCCTCTAGGGGGTGGGGCTATTGGAAGAAAAAATTGATGGAAGTCACTTTGGGGCTCATTCATTACAATTTACTGAGCTTTCATAGCCAATCGATGCTTCCCAAACTAATGCCATCCAGCTCAGGGTCAAGCCCCTTCAGCCCGTTTCTAGAGGTTTCAGTGAAGACAAAATGCTCCTGTTCTGATTCCTGTTTCCAGAGAACTCTAAAAAGCAAAGGTGCAAAGAGTGTGTTGACTCCCGAGTATGGGTCAAAATCATTCTAGAAAACTGATCTGAAGAATGATCGTGTGAGACACTCATCTGGAGAATTTTGCAAGGTCATCCCGCCTGTTGAGACATAAAGGGACCCTTCTATTACAGTGGAGGGAAGCTGTGTCTTTCGGGCACGGATTCTCAACCAGGAGGAGTTGGGGGGCATTTTTCCCCCCAACTGGACATGTGACAAAGTCTGGAGACAATTTTGGTTGTCTCAACTCGGGAGGTGGTGCCACTGGCATCCAATGGGCAGAGGACAATTTTGGTTGTCTCAACTCGGGAGGTGGTGCCACTGGCATCCAATGGGCAGAGGACAATTTTGGTTGTCTCAACTCGGGAGGTGGTGCCACTGGCATCCAATGGGCAGAGGACAATTTTGGTTGTCTCAACTCGGGAGGTGGTGCCACTGGCATCCAATGGGCAGAGGCCAGGGGTGCTGCTAAGCCTCCCAAAATGCCCAGGACAGCCCCAAAACAGAGAATTACCGGACCCCGAATCTCAATAGCGCCAAGGTTGAGAAACCCTGCTTTGGAAGCTATTTTACTGCTTATAAGCTCCTAAAAGACTGTTATATCGCTTTTTACAAATTAGTAACTCTCAGCAGTTATAATTCACAACCTGAGCAGAAAACACAGGAATAACTGTGAGCTCTAGTCCTGAAAGTTGTGAAGTTCCATTCAAACAACTTTAGCTGGAAAAAGTCAGTTGGAGATGAGTTTTCTCATTCATGGTGCCTTTTCATCAACGTTGAAAGGGAGAGTCCTATGTGGTCGACTTCCAGAGGCACAGAGTCCTGAGGCTAACTTCACAAAACCAGGGTTTCTGTTTCACATCCTTCTCCCATTCTGTCTCTGTGAGTGTGTGTGTGTGTGTGTGTGTGTGTGTGTGTGTGTGTGTTTTGGGGGCCAGCATCCACCTCTGTATCAAAATATCTTAAATGATACCAGCAACAAACCAGAATCAAAAAAAAAAAAAAAAAAACACCATTTGAAATTATAAAGATCAGCAGTTTGCTACGTACTTGGGCCCATTTGATATAAACTTTGTTTTTATAAAGTATACCGTGGTAAAACTTTGAAACTTCAGTTCGTTAAAAATAAGAAAAAGGAGAGAAAAAAGGAAGAACGAAAGAAAGAAAAATGAGGAAAAAATACTGTAACAGCCTCACTCCCTTTGAAGTCAGTACTGATATAGCTCTGAACAGATCCATTCAAGTTCAACTAACATCAGACAAATGTTTAGTGTATCAGAGCAAGCCACGAAAGCAAGGATTTCATCAATATTTCACAACAGCCTCAGGGAAACTGTAGATTGCAATGCTGTAGGGCAGCTAATGGAATTACACACAAGGGTTTTGTACATTTAAAATAAGCAGCTACTAAAAAAAATTACCCTTCAGTTTGATAGAAACTGTATAAAACTGCAGATAAGAAACAATTAAATCACTCCCAACATTTATCCATGTCACTCTGATAGGTCATTTAATAACAGGTATTACTCTGTGTGTGTGTGTGTGTGTGTGTGTGTGTGTGTGTGTTTTCCTCCCCACTTACTAAGGCAATAATAAAGATTAACATTTATGAAAAGAAACATAAAATATAGCACAGCCAAATGAATAATTAAAGACAGTTTTGAAGAACGCTTGCCATTGTGTGCCCATGAAGTCTTTTCCACAGTCACCAAATATGTTTATACAAAATATAATTATAAATAGACAGAGGCTGCACGGGAGACCCACTGACCCTTGTTTGTTTTGATGTTAAAAAATAACTTTGAAGTATTTCCTAGGAATGCATGGGTTTCTCCGGATCTCATACATATATTATCATCTAGTGAGGCTCAGGACACCGAGAGGCTGGCTTTCTCTTTTGGAAGGTTTACAGAAATAGGCCTGGAGTTTGCAAAATGCTATTCAATAAGCCGGTGTGAGATCAGCATTTTCTTCCCTAAAGTCCTTTGTTGAAGTAAAAAATTCTGCATATGAAAGCAAATTGCATTTTCTAAACTGATACTTCCGTGACCACAAAAACTCACCTGACTTTTCTAACCCTTGGAGTTTCAGTTCCCCGAACAACAACCCTACTATTTATTGAAATTTCACATAAGGAGGACTTTTCAGACACCGCTGGATCTAGATCTCAACGGGGGGATTTTGCCTCCCAGGGCACAATATCTGGAGTCATTTTTGTCTCCAACTGGATGAGGTAGGAATGGGGGTGCTACTGGCATCTAGTGGGTAGAGGCTGAGGAGGCCACTAAACACTGATAACACAGGACGGTACCCGGTAAATAATTATCCCAAATGGTAATATGGCCGAGCCTTAGAAATCCTGTTCTAAATACACCATTTGAACACCTGAGCTTTATTAGGATAATAATAATACCCTTGTTAATATGGTATCCTAACTTCCAAATCATTCCCTGGTTTCACACACATCTATTAAAGAGCTTCTAAGTGAAACTCACAATGCTAAGTCCTTTGGAGAATAAGGATTTGACACGGTTACTGGCCACAGACTATTCTAATTAAGAGAGAGAGTTACACATACACACACACACACACATACACACACCGACCCACACACTTCATGACAATAACAGCTGCTATTTACTGAGCACAGAGCAGGTAAGAGGTGCTTTGCATACAATATTTCATTTTACCTTTATAACAACTGTGCAGGGGAAATATTTTTGTTGTGTCTTTTTTACAGATGAAGGGACACTGCCCAAGGTTACTGACAGAATACGGCAAGGCTGAGACCCAAATCCTAGGCCTGTCCCCAAAGCTCCCATGGCCACTGGGTTTATTAGTAGCTGAGTTAGCATTGTGTTTGTGTGCATGTGTGTGTGTGTGTGTGTGTGTGTGTGTGTGTGTGTGTGTTAAATTTAGTCTGTGAGCCATCTTCTTTAAACTTATGGTTTTCATCCTTTTCATGATAATGTCTATGTATACATACTTTATCATATACATGTATATTTATTCTTTATGTCACATATATTCCTTATTATATAACTTTATAGCATTACAAAAACCTTTGATAAATGTGGAATTATACATAAATACATCCATAGTAGAATTTTTCACTTATTTTCCAAATAACTTAAAGTTGAGTATATTTAAACCGATTCCCTCTTTCCCTGTTACAATTTAGAGCTGTAATAATATTGGAGGAGCAACCAGGCCACTTTTCATTTGTCAGAAATTTCTTTAGCAGAGCTCCGGACATCATGGAAAGAGACTTGCTTTTGGAATTGAGATAACTGGGTTGAAGCCTCAGTTCTGCCAATGAACAAGCGGTGTGATTTTAGGAAAACTGCTTGGTTTTTCTGAGTACCAGTTTCTTCGGCTGTAAAACAAAACTACCAATAGTTGCCATAGCGGAGTTGCGAAGATTTGAATGATTAAATGACATGATACCTAATAAAATGCTTTGCAGACCCTGCAGTGTTAAATCAATGCGAAGCCTGCATCAATACGAACATTCCCTTCTTCCAGCACTGAGGGCGAAGTCACCTGGGAAGCTCTGGCCTTCCAATCTCCGTTAACCTTCGTCAGAATCCAGCTCTCTCCGTTAATGGGTCAATCAATCAATCACTCAATAGTTATTGAAAGCCTACTATGTACAAGACCCAGGGGACCCATGATGGGCTCTCGTCAATAGAAGTACACAATTAGCAGGCATATTTTGACTTAACCTCTGGTTGGCTTCCTAATGGAATGGTCTGTAAGTATGGGAGGAGGTGAGTGGGAAGAGAAAGAAGAGTGGGTCTGCCTTCAATAGTCTCTTTCCCTTAAGAAGTCAATAACAGGAGATGGTTTAAGCCTGGGATTGGCCACCTATGGCCCACAGGCCAAATCTGACCCACTGCCTGTTTTCACTAATAAAATCTTATTGGAACATCGCCATACTGATTCATTTACTTAGGGCTGCTTTTGTGCTACAAGGGCAGAGTGGAGCAGTTGCAACAGAAACCATACTGCTTGCAAAGACAAAAATATTTACTCTTGGGCCTTTTACAGAAAAAGTTTGATGACTCTGATTTAAGCAATTACAGGAATAATTAATCATCTCCAGTTCTTGTGGGACAGGGTACACATAACCCAATGATAACAACCATTTATTAAGTTCTTTTTTTTTTTTTTTTTTTTTGAGATGGAGTCTTGCTCTGTCACCCAGGCTGGAGTGCTGTGGCATGATCTCCTCTCACTGCAACCTCCACCTCCCAAGTTCAAGCAATTCTCCTGCCTCAGCCTCCTGAGTAGCTGGGATTACAGGTGTCCACCACCGCACCCAGCTAATTTTTGTATTTTTAGTAGAGACGGGGTTTCACCATGTTGTCCAGGTTGGTCTTGAACTCCTGACCTCAGGTGATTCATCCGCCTCAGCCTCCCAAAGTGCTGGGATTACAGGCATGAGTCACCGCACCCAGCCTCATTTCTTAAGTTCTTAGTAGGAACTGGAGAATGCACTAACATTTCACAGTTATTCTCCCATCATAGCTTCACAACAACATCATGAGAACAGTTCTGTTCTTATTCTCATTGTGTAGATGGGAAAATGGAGGAACAGAGAAGTTTAGTAATTTGCCCAAAACCACCCAGATAGTTAGTGTCATTGGGTCCTAGCTTTGTTTCATTCCAACTTGTTTTCCTAATCACAATGTCAGAGCCTTTCACACTTTATTGCTCAAACAGTCTCTCATGTAACATCTCCATACATTATTTTCACATGCATATCCCCTTTACTGTTCTTTGCTGGCTAATGTTTTTCCTTGAATAATAGATTGTAATGACATTTGTTTCTTTAGCTTTGTCCTAGACATTATACTCAAAACATTTTGGGTTTGATGTACCTTTCATATGTATTTTTCAACTTTTTCTTCTGAGATCATTGTAGATTCATACGCAGCTATAAGAAATAATACACAGAAATCCTCCATATCCTTCCCCTGTTTTCCCTCAATGATAACATCTTGCATAATCAAAGTGCAATATCACCCCAAGAAGTAGATGTTGATATGATCCACTGACCTACTCAGGTTTCACCAGTTTTACCTAAACTTAGGGGTGTGTGTGTGTGTGTGTGTGTGTGTGTGTGTGTTTAGTCCTGTAACATTTTTTTCACATGTGTAGATTCATGAGCTCTCCACCACAGCCAAAATGCCACAGATGAGTTATATCACAAGGACTCCTTGTACTACTCTTTATGGCCACAGCTACCTCCCCCTTTCTTTCCCTTAGGTAACAATCCTTTTCTCATCTCCATAATTTGGTCATTACAAGAATGTGATAGAAATGGAGTGGGGCTGGGCGCAGTGGCTCATGTCTGTAATCCCGGCACTTTGGAAGGCCGAGGTAGGAGGATCACTTCGGCTCAGGAGTTTGAGACCAGCCTGGGCAACATAGCAAGATCCTGTCTCTACAAAAAGAAATTTTAAAAAATAGCCTGAAGTGGTGGCACATATCTGTAGTCCCAGCTATCTGGGAGGCAGAAGTGGGAGGATCACTTGATCCGAGGAGCTCTAGGCTACAGAGAGCCATGATCATGCCACTGCATTCCAGCCTGGGTGACAGAGCAAGACCCCGTCTCAAATAAATAAATAAATGGAGTGGGTCAGTTTTTGAGCAAGTAACCTTTTGAGTCTGGCTTTTTAAAAAGCTTGGCATAATTCTTGTCATATATTTTAAAATTCACCCTGAAATAACTATATACGTTTTAGAAGTTAAAAAAATTCATGTTAAAATTAACTTGAGTGGTGCCTATATCATACTTGGGAAATCCTGCCATAGGTGGTAATAAAACCTGATAGACAAGCAGACAGATAATATAGCCACAAAGATGCTTTTGACCAAAAAAAAAAATCTCTAGGTCAGCACTTCTCAACAGAACTTTCTAGATGATAGACATATTAGACACCCAAGCTGTCCATAGCCACCAGCCTCCTGTAGATACTGAACACTTAAAAGGTGGCTTGTTCGAATGAAGAAAGGAATTTTTCATTTTCTTTCATTTTAATTGATTCAAATCGACATATAAATGGCCACAGGTGCCAAGTAGCTTTTTTTCTGGACAATGCAACTCTAGATATGAAGGGTAAGACACTAAAAAAAGGATACATTTCTTGTTTTGCTGTAGTTTCTTTGTCAATGCAAAGACAATCTGAATAGTAAAAAGTGTTTTAAATAGGCTTCTAATGTATTTATTTGATTGGATCCCACCTGGGTCTGTAAGCTTGCATGTGGCTAAGCCTCATATTAGCTGTCCAAGCCCCCTTGCTGATTCTGGGCATTTGGCTAACTTCACTGCATTAGCAGTTAGCATTCAGAGCAAGTCCAAAACAGCTTGTTCCCATGGTTCCTGCTTTTTAAGTGACACCGTGTCCCTCAGAACACAGGGCCAAGTGACAGAACCTTTGGAGAGGCAGTCATAAATTAACCTGAACGCATTTTTGCACATGGTATTCCAGACTTTGCGAAGGGCATGAAAGGCTCCCATTGATTAGGAGAGGCTTAGAGTGGCACGCCTTCTTCAGGAAGATCCACATTTTAAGCACCTGCTGGTGGTGACATTCATAAATCTTTGTCGATTAACTGGACCTGCACTTGATGAATTTTGCTCTCACTGCTGGTCTGCATTGAGGTACACCACTGAAAGCTGAGTGTCTGTAGAGAGGCAAGAATGTTGAAGATTTCAAGGGTTGGTGGCAACAGTGTCCCAGAGGGAGAAAATAAAGCAATGCCACCCTTGGGTACTTGGAGACAGAATTCTAAAGTCATTTGTCAGAAGAGGTAAAATTTGTGGGGAGGAGGGGTAGAGTGGACTGCTGGGAATTTTTGTACAGACCCAGATGTTTTCCTGGAAATAGGAAAAAGAATGGTCTCTATCCTCTTTTTATATCTTTTAGCCTAAATATTATAAGAAGTAAGAGCTAGCTTTTGACCATTAGCCATCCAAATACTTAGGGACATGTATCCCTTAAAATACAATGCCAGTATGAAAGTCATTACCCTGGTCAGTTTCTTATTTCGCCTAACTTCACGCATCTGTAAGGCATTAGCAGTTGCAAGAGATTGATATGATAGTTTGTGAGTAATTTGAATGAACTATAACACTAACCCAGTAAAGTATTATAATTTTAAATGTGTCCAGAAAATAATTGAAATTCTGGCTTAGCTTCATCATAATGCAAACTGCTGGTTATACTTAACAGCTGAGTAGCTTAGCATGAATATTGCTTTAGAAATGGGGTCATTTTGTTTTTACGAAACAATATTGCTCTCAAACACGTTTAGGAGGGGAAAAAAAGCAAGTGATTATGAGTATACTTTTAACCTTTCTGTCTCTTTCTATCTGTGTTTACCAAGATGATTTAGGTGTTTGGTGTTGTCTGAAGGCAGACACAGAAGGTGCTGGCATTTGAAACAGACCCAGTAACAAGCCCTTGGCCATCAGATTTCTTCTTATACCACTCCGTCACAAAACCTCTGTTCTCTAGCAATCCATTTTCCTGTAGCCTGATCAGAAACAAGAAAGATAAGGACATTCCCTGCTGACCCAGAAGATAACAAAAATAGGTGGCCCCTATAGATACCCACAGTATTTATTTTTAAATGTAGTTACCAACACTTAAAAAATTGAGATTTCACATGAAAATCCAGATTGATGAGTGCTCATTGTATTAGCTCATTCTCATGCTGCTGATAAAGACATACCTGAGACTGGGTAATTTATAAAGGAAGGAGGTTTAATGGACTCACAGTTCTACATGGCGGGGGGGGCCTCACAATCATGGCAGAAGACAAAGGAAGAGCAAAGGGATGTCTTACATGGAGGCTGGCAAGGTGAGAATAAGAGCCAAGCAAAAGGGGTTTCCCCATATAAAACCGTCAGATCTCATGAGACTTATTCACTACCACGAGAACAGAATGGGGGAAACCACCCCTATGATTCAGTTATCTCCTACTGGGTCCCTCCCACAACACGTGGGAATTATGGGAAATTCAAGATGAGATTGGGTGGGGACACAGCCAAACCATATCATTCATGAATCAGAAGGTTTGGGAATACTGGGTCTACATTCCTGCCAGATGGCAATCTCTGAGCTTAGCAGATGCTGTCACCTTGAGATGCAGAACAAGCACTCCAGTTCACAACAGTTTTCTCATGGCCTGCTGTGTTTAATTTTTCTTCTTTCTATAATCATTTGAGTTTTTGATTCCTGGTACCCATTATCATTTTCTTAGTCCTTCATTCACAAAATACCCTACAAGGTGCCACAGGATGCATGACCGGCCCCTCACATCCGGGAGCAGTCAGCAAGCTTTTTCTGTGAAGGACCACATAGTAGACATTTGAGGCTTTGTGGTACATACGGCATCTGGTACAACGACTCAGCTGTGCTGTCTTAGCGTGATACCAGCCATAGACAATGCATCAATAAAGGGGCACAGCTGTGTCCCAATAAAATTGTGTCCATAAAAATAGGTTGGCCCATGAGCTAACCCTGACATGGGAGAAAAACAAAAAACACAAACAAACAAAAAAACTGGCCCTTAATCAGTAACCCTGTAGAGGAATTTTCTCATCAACAGGGAGCTTTCAATAGATGTGAGGCTAATTCTTCCCAAGTCAGTGCTCAAACTCTTAAAGCCCCACCTTTAGACAAGTGTGTGTGTATGAACGTGTGTATGTATGTGACTTAGCTCCTTCTTCATTTTTTCATTCTGAAATATTCACTGACTCTTAGTAGCTTTTTGCTCCAATTACCCCAAAGACTTTCCTCCAAGAAAAATGAAAGTTTAAAATCTGTTCCTTCATGGCAAGTTAGCTAAATGCGTTATTTTGATAATGAGGTTAAGAAGGGGTTTCCACTGAGAATGAAGGGTCATGGTAAGGAAAAATCTGAGAGCCCTCATTGTTCTTCATTTCAGAGGAAAGTGGTTTTCTTGTCTTATCTCACAGTCAGGCTTCACCTTAGCTTGTTCAATGGTGTGGATGTGAATGCTAGCTCTCTGTCTCTGTTTTTCGAGTATCCCTTGACAGATCTCCAGTTTCCTTTTGCAAAATCGAGGAGTCAACACTATATTAGAGGTGTCTAACTGGTAAATTTGAACCAAATGTGGATCCACATACATATTTAGTTTGACTCAGAATATTTAAAAACAAAATAGGAATTAGTTATTGACATTGGGAAATCAAAAGGTGTCACCAATCAGATTATTGGCTTTTCTTGAAAAATTTGAGGATCTAGTAATACTGGAATGCATTCTTCCATGTATATAATTGGCTGTGGCTGAGTATAGGTAACTTCTTTGATCGCTGGAGCTCTTTATAAGGTTACTTTGCCCACACAAATTACCTGTCTGGAGAAGTCCTTGAGGGAGTTTGTGACCCAAGGAACAGATAATTTCAACTTCTGGGATTTTAGTCTCTTCAAATAAAGGTAACAGTCACAAATTGCTAGCCCATAACATCTCCAAAGCTTTATCAATTAAAAGATGAATAACAATAATTATCTCAATCATACCAATAGAAAGTTATAGTGCTAACTATGCAGTAGTTACAAATTTAATACAAAATGATGCAGAAACAGGGATGAATATTCCATTTTCAGTCTTTTATAACTGCAGAAGAAAAAAGCAACACTGCCACTTGCTTTTTGTTTGGAGATGTTAAGCCTCACAAATTTTATTTCTTGTTGTTGGCTAAACTGCTTAAGATTGTTCTCGTGTTTAAAAAGCCAGGGGTGGGCCATAGAAATGGATGGATGAGGACATCAGCTTTTATGGGGGAATTCACAGCATTTCAATAGACTCTGTGTTTACCTGAAAGTCTTGGGCCAATGGAGAAATGAGAAATTGGCTTTCTATGGAAATACTGAGAAAAGGCCTCCAAGGGGGAGACACAGTAAAAGCTTCTTTTACCTAACTGTTTTCTTGTTGGAAATGGCTACCCACAGTGCAGCTGGGGGCTTAGCAAGCTGTGGTTCTCATTTTGCCCAATCTTGTTTTGAATCAGCTGATTCATTAAACTGCACTGATTAAGTCTGTATTAGGTAGTTCATATTACTAGACTAACAGATACTAGACTGTATTAGAAAGTCTCCAAAATGGTGTAGAAAACTCAGGTGCTGACCAGAGACAAGGAAAGTAACACTAAATTGTTCAATAAATATGAATATTTTAGAATATCTTCATCACTGTAAAGAAAGATGCTCTCTCTTATTTTTCTCGAATTCTCAGTCTGTTTTCTCACTTTTGAGAGACATTACTATAGGAGACAACTCATTTTCTTTATGAAAAGAAAGACCCAAACACAATGATAAATGGCTAGTGATGTTTGGCCTCAGGGAGACAATAGAAAGAGGTAGGTATTGGGGAGAGTTGCTGAGTGAATGCCCTGCTGGAAAGAGGTGGCAACAACATAGCTCCAGCTAATCTCGTCATCTGCGAATATAGAACCAATGCGGTAGATGTTTGGATTTTGCAAAAGAATATGAGAAATTGAATTTTTATGCGAAATCACCTGATTGACAAATTTTGGCAATGCTGTGTACATTATTATTACGATTATCTATTTATTTAGTGGTTTGTGTGGGCCGAACAAATAAGTCGGCAAGCCGAATTCATTTGCCCCTGTGCCAACTGTTGTAAAGTTTGATCTTGCTTAATGCATCTCAATGTTTCCCATCTCTCAATTTGAATTATAATAGGTGCCAGCTGAGACCATGTGGTTGGTGCAGCACACACACAGCTCTGTTCCTTGAAAGCTACTCAAAGCAAATGTTCTAATCACAGGTGAGAGGCCCTCAGCCTATAGGCGTAGTCTTTAGAAAACAAATTTAGTGCAGAATAAAGGACAACATCATGACTTGAAAGAACCAGACTTGAGACTGTTTGTAAAGTGCAGCCTGCCATTTGCGGCTCCTTCAAAGGAGCCTCGGCTTTCTCACTCTTAAAAAGGAGGGTGTTGGGCTAGCCAGTCTCCTTTCTCCCAAAGTAAAATACTTGTCTGTATTGTTCAGGGAGGAGAATCTATGCTTTGGGATGTGAAAGCCTAGGTCTGACTCTCCTTTCTAACATAAATTAGATTTGCATAACTTCCTTCAACCTTAGTTTTTTTGTTTGCAAAGGTGAGGATAAAACCAGTAATGATATCACAGGATTATGTGAAACTTAAATGAGATAGTAAGTCAGATAACTCTGTGTAAACCAGGGGTTACAAGCAGGGGCAGTGGATCAAATGTAGCCCTTAGCCATATTTTGTTTGGCCCATGAATTGTTTCAAAATCAGAGAAATTTCACACTTAAGGATAGATGCCTTCTGAGAAGTTCTGACGTTACTGGCCCTGTGTGGTTGCGTGGCAGAGCTTTACCGCTTTTGCCTCCTCTAGACTGAGCACCAGGGATCTGCCATGGTCCCCATCCACTCCTTATATTGCGCCTGGCTCTCTGCACTTTCTGCCATTATTTGTCTGTGGGTTTGCAGCCCCTGGCAAATTAAGTGATGTGCAACGGTTCACTGGCGTTGCTGTTCTGATTATTGTTGTTCTTCCATCTGTTATCCCTTTCTGCTTGTGAGCCACATATTCGCTTCTTTGGGGCTCAGTTATCTGGTCTTTAAAATGGGAATAATAATATCTCACTTGCCTAGAGCCAGGGGGCTGTCGGGTGAGGCCAGGCCCCTTCTGCTCCCTGAGCGCCCAGAAGTGGGGCGTCCGACCAGCAGAGGGCGCTGGTACGAAAGGCTGCAGGTGCTGGCATCGGCCAAGCGCAGACAGGTGGGGCCGCGGCAGGTGCGGCTCTCGCACTATCCCCCTTTCACAACTTGGGAGGACACAGCTTCACCGGGTGGGCCTGACAGCGAGCAATTACTCATCCATCGATACAGCCGCACATCACCAGCAATGTGACTTTCTGGAATATGTAATGCGACCACAGACTTTCTAATGCCGCAGCCTGACAATCAGACACTAAAAATAACAAACGGGCCCGCTCAGGAACAGAAAGACACGGCCTCTTTGGAAACTGGGGATGGGCCGTTTCCAACTCTGCTCACCGCTGGAGCCCTGCACGGAATTCTCCGGGCGGTGAAGTGAGTCGCCAGGAGCTGCCAGGGGCTGCAGGGAGAGTTCCCGCATTTGAAGGGTGTGTTCACTTTTAGACAACTCAGTCCCAGCAAGATGTAGACAAATTGGAGCAAGTTCAGAGAAGAACAACCCACATGATTAAGGGGAAAGAGGATTGATTTATAGAGAAATATTAAAGC
This sequence comes from Homo sapiens, assembly GCF_000001405.40. Taxonomy (NCBI): domain Eukaryota; kingdom Metazoa; phylum Chordata; class Mammalia; order Primates; family Hominidae; genus Homo; species Homo sapiens. The sequence continues at coordinate 53,216,731 of NC_000020.11, read as the reverse complement.
AGCCAAACATGTCTGCGCTGTGTTCTCCAGGTGACAAATCAGAGAGTGACACATTGTGGGGCTCCATGCACCTTTGAGAGGTGTAAACATCAGGGGATGAGAAACTAGCTCAGTGCAAGGAGCTTTTCACAGCATTTTCTAAGATGGCATTAACACCAGAAAATGTTCCTGGCTGGTGAAGGGTTGGTTGGGTCGCACCTATGCTTGAGAACCCTTTGTTGTCCTGATTTTGCCTGGCATAAAATGACATATCCTAGCTAGGGGTTCACATTTGTGGCCTTCAGTGCTCTGGCTGTGGCCTATTTTTCCTTGTATGTTCACGTCCTTGACTTTCTGCCAGGGATTCCGCCACCCCAGTCCCATTTGTCCTCACTCCAGCTTTACCTGACTACCTGTCTTACTCCTCCATCAGGAACTGAAATGCTTAGGAGCCAACAATGGCTTGGCTGGTGAAGTGAGGTGTGGAGAGGGCTGGGGAAGACAACAGGACCAGCAATTGCAAGGTGAGAACAGATGACAGGGACATTCCTTGGGTGTTGACTTCATAGAATGCTGAAATACTAGTGTCTTATTAAAAAGTGAGCTGGCCCCCCACTGTTTTCTATTCCTCATTCTGAGGAAGAGCTAAGGTCGTGCCTTTCTGTCCTCCAGATATGAGTCTCTGGGAATTTGACTGGGGAAGAAGGTCTTGGCCAAAATGAAGAATTCTGGGAGAAGAGGAATCAGACATCAGAGACAGGTGTTTGGCCTTAGGGGAAAAAGGGCAGGAGCTCAACCCTAGGAGAAAGACTGGGAATTAGGCCTGGGACCCCTCTTTTCCCATCCCTATGAAACCATTTTTTAAATTTTTTTTTTTTTTTTTTGAGACGGAGTTTTGCTCCTGTTGCCCAGGCTGGAGTGCAATGGCGCGACCTCGGCTCACCACAACCTCCGCTTCCTGAGTTCAAGCTATGCTCCTGCCTCAGCCTCCTGAGTAGCTGGAATTACAGGCATGTGCCACCATGCCCGGCTAATTTTGTATTTTTAGTAGAGATGGGGTTTCTCTCCATGTTGGTCAGGCTGGTCTCGAACTCCCGACCTCAGGTGATCCACCTGCCTTGGCCTCTCAAAGTGGTGGGATTACATGTGTGAGCCACCGTGCCCAGCCTTTCTTACATTTTTAATATAGTCTCTTCCTCACTTCTCCCCTCCCAAAGGCAAAAAAAAAATCTAGGATGCCTCCATGATGGAACTCTGACTGTAGACCATAGCTGAAGGAGCTCTGGAAAGAAAGCAAATGTCTGGCAAAAGCCACTCAACCTCTCCCATATACCAGGAAATGAGAACCAAAAGAGAAACAAGATACTGTGGCATGGTTAGACAGTGGAAGGGTGTGGTGAGAACGCTTTTCATATGACAGGCAGCTCTCAAAATGCTGCTATTTTGCTCTTAAAAACCACCGCAATATACTGGAATCCCGGGAAGTGGTGTTGTGATCTTGGGATGATGTGGCAGGGCTGTAAGGACTTAGACCAGTGTTTGCCACGTGGAAAAGTGGGCTCAGTGCTGTTAGATTTTCTACTTTTTCTCACAGTAGCCTGAAATTCAGGTTTTGATGAGATAATCTTTAAAAAAAACTCAAACAAACAACCTCCCTGCAAAAACAAACCCAAACTGCATTTCTGCAGGAGGACATTAGCCTATGGGTCCCGCCCACTGGTGTGCCCGATCTCAGTGTCCATTGGATTTTTTATCCTTCCTTTTCCCTCAGATGGCCCTTCCCTCATCTCCCCATGAACTCTTATCTCAACCTTTTAAATGCCACATCCTTCACAAATCTTGCTTCAATCAAGCTCATTGCAATGACACTCTCCTCTCAGGTTTACGGGCTCCTTCTTAGATTAATTATAATAATAATAGTGTTTATTGATTGAGTGCTTACTAAGCACAGGCAGGCACTGGACACTCTACACACCCTCCCTTCCTTCTGCTTCATTCCTTTCTCTGCTCACATTGTCTTCTTCTTCTTTTCATTTTGAGACAGTCTTGCTCTGTCACCCAGGTTGGAGTGCAATGCAGTGGCATGATCTCTGGTCACCTCGGCCTCCACCTCCCGGGTTCAAGCAATTCTCTTGCCTAATCCTCCCAGGTAGCTGAGATTAAAGGCACGTGCCACCATGCCTGGCTATTTTTTATATTATTAGTAGAGACATGGTTTCACAATATTGGCCAGGTTTGTCTTGGCCACGATATTGGCCAGTTCAAGTGATCTGCCGGCCTCAGCCTCCCAAAGTGTTGAGGTTACAGGCGTGAGCCCTCGCAACACTGTCTTCTTAAAAGCCCCTTCCCATACCAGTCTTAGGAAAGTGCACTTTCCTCCACCTCCAACTAAGCCCTTGCTCGGCTTCATTTTTCTTGCACAGCATTTAATAATCTGACATATTTTATACTTATTTGTTCAATCGTCCATCATCCGCTCCCTCTCCCCCTGCCACCCCCGTAACATAAACTCTAAGAGATCAGGGATCTTGTATGTTTTGCTCATTGTTATTTCCTCAAGACCTTGAACTAAGCCTGTTATGTAGGTGTAAGTATTTCAATAAATATTTAATTACATCAATTTAAATAATTTCATTTGATTTGGGCTACTTACCATATGTCACTTTACACTGTACTTTATCGTGTGAGTTTTGTGTTTTCACACTGAATTTGAAGCAATGTAAGGCCGACACCTATGGTTTATCTGTGTATGTGACCTCCCCGCCAGCACCTACTACTATATTGTACTTAGCACAATGTCCTATATTGAAGAGGCACTCAGGAAATAGTTGTTGATTTTAATCATCCTTCCAGACAAGGGAGCCAAGAGATGTTACAAAGTCAGGCTGGACTTATTGTCAGGAGGCACAGTCTTACCCTTTAGAAGTCACGGTGACAGGGCCATTTCATAATGGCTTTGTTTTATAAAGGTACTATTCAAATCTCAAGTGTGAAGAGCAACCATGAAGTTGGTTTATCAGTGTTCATTGGCATGAAATTGCAAAAAAAAAAAAAAGTCCAATTAGTTTATTAAATTCTTAATGGTGTCCCAAATAATGTTGTCACCAAAGAAAGAGAGGTTGTTTCTATAGGAAATACTTCACCATCAAATTTCTCTCTCTCTCTCTTTCTCTCTCTCTGTCTCTCGTGTGTGTGTGTGCAGCCTCGCTTTACCCATGGTATAGAGTTCAATTTTTCTTGTTGACTGATTAATTAAACTTTAAACACTTTTTGCTGTGGGTTTAATCAGCCATGCAGTCAGCCCAGTTCAGGCATTGACGAGTGCTGGGTGGTTCCTATTAGCTCTAGTTGTAACGAAGCATCCAGGTGCAGCAGCAGAAGGAATTCAGGGACCAGCTTTTTTCAAGGACTAATCCAGACTCCAAATTGTCATGTTTCTTCAGAGAGAGCCAAAAGGTACAATTTTGCATGAAATTTTCAAGGCATGAACAAGAAACTGTTAACAAACTTTCAACCAGTAATCTCCAGTGACTTAAACCTAAGGTAGCTAGATTTGTAGCTATTTGAAATTTTATTTAAAAGTTTTTCGGTGTTTTGATTGTTTGTAAGACATTGAAAAACTCCATAAATCAACAAAAACTGAAACTTAACCCTCCATACTATTAATTACATATTGCAGTAGACATTTTCCTTTCTTTCCCCTGTGTCCATTGCTGTTTCCCTTGATTGACAACACCTTGGTTTCAATTGTCTTATGAAGTGGATCCCCCTCCTTACTTTTGATCCACAGGATTCAGGAGAAGTCAACCCACACCAACCACCTAATGAGCATGCCACGCAAGCCCCAAAGCTTTTTTGGAGCACGTCATCCCCCTGGCCCCAAGGAGTGGTCCAGGGATGGGTTCCTGAGCCAATTCTGAAAAATAAGACTTGCAGAATTTCCTGGGAACCACCAGGAGAAAGCAGTACTTCCTTTCCTGCTGGTTCTCAATCTGGGGGACCACACCTCCATGCGGAGAGAATCTTTTGTAAATGAAGCCGGCACAGAGGAAAGTGGGTTGACTTCTGAATCCAGCCACACTTGAGATCTATCCTCACACTATTCAGTTAGAAGACCCAATGAAGTCCCTCTTGATGCTAATTTGAGTTGGGCTTTCTGTACTCTGAATGAAAGCAGTCCTGATTATTATATAAACGATATCCCTCCCCCTCGATGTGTCCCAGTAATTCAGAGTTCCCTTTTGGGGGCAGTTAAAAACTCAAGAACGAATGTCCATCACATCTTCATTTGAAAACTGCCCTGTGTTCCCGTAAAGAATTACAAGAAAGAATTTTACAGCAAGGATTCGTTAGTATAATTTGCTACAGCTTTTCATTAGCGGGAACCTACTCTAAATTAGTATCATCATTAAATAAACCATATGACAAGAGTTAGGTTTCTCCAAACTGTTCTTTTTTCCTCTAAAGAAATAGCTCAAATATCCGCAAGTATGTTGTCATTGCTCATGTAACACTTTAAATTATTGCAAAGTCATTGTTCTTTCATTTCCTATGCTCCAAGTGCTGGGTCACTCAGGGACTCCATGTGAGGGATTCCAAGATGACAACTTCATTAGAGAAGCAGTGCTGTCTGGGCCCCCAGTCCTTATGCAAACAGGCCCTTCTGAACACGATTGAGAGTTAGGAACAATTTTGAGCTCATTTATGCCACTTCGATATGATTGAAACTTAAGTGGGCTGGGTAACGCAGGTAAGGACAGGGTGGCCATCAGCAGTTTTGTCTTCATGGACCCCTCCTATAATACTAAACATTATCAATATTATGACAATAACAGACACCAGGGACTCCAAAGAGGGAGAGGGTGGGAGGGAGATGAGTGTTGAAAAGTTACCTATTGGGTACAATGTTCACTTCTGGGGTGACGGGTACACTGGCAGCCCAAACCTGATCATTATGCAACAAACCTGCACAGGTACCCTCTGAGTCTACGATGATAAAATATTTTCAATATTAAAAGTTCTTCTTTATTATTGTTTTAGACACAGGGTCTCACTCTGTCACCCAGGCCGGAATGCAGCGGCATAATTGTAACTCACTGCAGCCTCCATCTCCTGGCTCAAGCGATCCTCCCATCTGAGCCTGCTGAGTATTGGGATTGCAGGTAGGAGCGACTGTGTGGCTCATACCTAAAAATTATTCTTGATATTACTTTAAATGCATCAATGTTTACTTTTTTTTTTTTATTTCAGGCAAAATTTATTACACTTTGATGGGCCCTACAAAAGTAAAGCATTTTCTTTGACTGTGAATGTTCCTTTTATCCCTCTGATTCTAAAATAAAGTAAAACATTTCTGAAAGTTTCCTGAGCCTACAGTGCTTAATGGAGCCAGGGACCCTGAGTGGAGGCATCTATGGACCTCTTGTTTTGCTTTGCTTTGTTTCACACAAAAAGAGCTTTTATCTTTCATCGGAGGTTTAATTTTAAACGCCGATCTTGGGAAACTGTTTAGTGACCTGGGAAAGTTACTTAAAGTCTCTGGGCCTGTTTCCTCATATGTAAATTGAGCATAATAATAATCCCTACCTCACAGGGTTACAGCAAGGATTAAATGACTCAATTCAAGTAATGTGCTTAGAAGAGTCTGGCATACATAGCAAATCACTCAATAAATACTACCTACTAATACAACTGCTGCTGCTGTTTTTATTATGTCCAGATGGATTCTCTGAGAACATAATTATCCATTTGTTTTTTCTCTTTTTTTCTTCCTTTCTCTCTCTTTAATTACTAAAGGAATATTTCTTTAGAAACTCCAAACACTGCAGAAATATTTAAAGTAGGAACCCAATCTCATAAACCCCTTTGTCATCCTGCTGCCTGGAAGTAATCTCTGTTAAGAGATTTTGTGTGGACACACACACGGATATGCACACACTTTTTAATTGAGATTATATACGTCTTATTGATATGGACAGGAGACAGGGAAATACTGGATAGAAGAGGGTGGTCCTGAGCAAAGAGCCCCCCCATCAAGCCTGAAGACCTGAAGCTTTAAGTGGGAACAGGCATTTCTGTTCTTACACCCAAAGTGTTGCTTTTTGGTCCTCCATATCCCCCATCCTGTAGTCGTATAAACCCCAAACCCCAGGCTCCAAAAGCAGATGAGGAGACAAGGAGACAAGCAGATGGACGATGGAATGGCACGGCAGAGAAAGAGAGAAGGAACGTCTGAATGCTGACAGGAATTCATGTGGAAACGGTTGGAGTTGAGTTCAGCCACTGGACAGCCAAACTCCAGGGGAAGATCATTTCCCCACTCCATCCCCCTCCCAACTCCTCATCCAGCCCACTGAGAGCCACCTCCACCGCTCGATAAAATCCCTCATTCATCCTTCAAGCCCACATGTGGCCCGATTTTCCCTTGGATGCTGGGCAAAAGCTTGGGATACAGAAAGCTGTCACATTGGCTCTCTGCTCTTGCAAAAAGGCAGAGGGTCCATTGAGCTGGTTAACGCTCTAGCCATCCGTGGATGGCAGGGCTAAAACGGCACACTGCAACACACACCCACTCGGGCTCCTGCACCTGTCTGTCTGCGTGCTCCCCCACCCCTCAGGGGTTTGAGCAGTGGCAACGACCCAACAGGCAAGCCACACCCCTGTCTCACGTCCTGCGACGGGGATCTGGGAACTCTCCCGTTTCATTATTAATTTGCTTCTTTCCGACTTAACGCTACATCAAGGCAATGTTTCCAAATTGAAACGCATTTGTAGAGGGGGCCATCTTCTTCCTTTCCCCAAGTGGTTGCCACTGCCTAGGAAGTAGGTACTTCTGCTCTCCTGGAAGAACAGGGAAGAATCTGTCGTCTTCTCTGTGCCATCCCGGTGAGAGCCTGCTGTGCAACAGGGTCCATGCGTTCAAAGCCATTGTTCAGTTTTCACATCTGCAGGTTCCACGTATGCACTGTTCTTCAAGCTTTCCCAGAAGCACAAGGGGAAGTGTTAGGAGGCCCATTTCAGTTCAGCTCGGCTCCAAACCAGCTTCTCCCCAAGCAAAGCAGCTGATTCCATTCTGACTCAGGCATTCACTTTTTGATTGATTTGGAAGTAGAATGGGAGGGCTCTCTGATTAGCACTCTTAAAACCTCAGCAGGGTAGGGCCACCTGTCAGTATCTTTTTTACGGCTAGATAGTATTGATATATCCTAATTCATTTAACTAGACCTCTAATGATGGGCGTTTAAATGCCTTTCATGATTTCATTGCCCCAAACAGCTCTGATAAAATGGGCCAGCCCATGAGTCCCTCTGCACTGCACAGTAGAGTACTGGGAGGAGAACTGGGTGTTAAATTATATGTGCATTTTGGCAGCGCACAGTGGCTCATGCCTGTAATCCCAGCACTTTGGGAGGCTGAGGCAGGTGGATTACCTGAGGTCAGGAGTTCGAGACAGCCTGACCAACATGGTGAAACCCCATCTCTACTAAAAATACAAAAATTAGCCAGGCATGGTTGCGCATGCCTGTAATCCCAGCTACTCAGGAGGCTGAGTCAGGAGAATCACTTGAACCTTGGAGACGGAGATTGCAGTGATGGCACCACTGCATTCTAGCCTGGGTGACAGAGTGAGACTCCATCTCCGAAAAAAAAAATGTGCATATTTGCATTTTAAATACAGCCGTCATGGTTGTTTTGGAAATGTCTTTTTCACATGCAAAGAAGCTGATTTTATGCCAAGTCAAAATGGGTAGGTGGAACAAGTGAAAGGTGTGTCCTGGTAGAGGCAAAGCTCTTAGGAAAGAGTAAGCAATGCATACTTGGAAACCTAGAGGCTCTCTGGGATCAGCTGCAGAGCAGTAAGGGGGCCCAGAGACGCCCAGAGCTGTCTGCTGAGCAGCACCACCTACTGTGTTTCTGGCATAAGGAAATAAAACAAACACACCTTTGTGGTAGCACTGCACAGTGGTTACAGGGCGTGGGGGTGAGGTTCTAGAATTTACCACTTTCTAGCTGTATGACCTTCAAAGAGTTAGTTAACTGCTCTGAGCTCATTTTCTCGACTGTAAAATGAGGAGAACAGCAATTCCAACCTACAGGATTGTTGGCGACCTTAAATGAGAAAGTCCAAGTGCACTGCTTTGACACACAGACCGCCTCACACCTGGTAAGCGATCCGTACGTGTTGGGAGTCATTATCAAGTCAAGCAGGATGTGGGTGGGAAATGTGCTCTCGGAGGGTTTGATGCAAGTTACAATACTTGGGGAGTGCTTGATTTCCAGCTTCCTCATTCACAAATCAGGGTTACACCTCTTACTACAAAGAACTGATCCAGGATTAAATGAGAAACAAGAGCTGATGCCTGGCACAGGGCAGGCAACAGTAGCTGTGAGCTCCCTGTCTTCTCCATTTCTGTATCTACCAAAGGGAGGAACAGTCCAGGGTGAGGAACAGCCAGCCTGTGTGATCCCTGCTCACTAGCGCCACCAGTGGGTTTGTGAAGAGAAAAGACATTAGGGTGGTCTTCATCTTGATTTAAGGTTGCATTTATTTATTTATTACTTATGCTAGAGGCTTACATTCTCCAAAGAAATTGGTCTTAGGGCGAATGCGATTTACCATCAGCTAAAGGGGAAATGGTGGTAGAACTGTCATGCCAACAAGGTCAAAGATATTTGCATCTATGTTGTTTTATTGATTTTTTGACTTGATTCTCCAGTGAAGAGTAATAATAGCAATTAGTAGAACTACAGGAGGCTGGACATGGTGGCTCCTGCCTGTCATCCCAGCACTTTGGGAGGCAGAGGCAGGGGGATTGCTTGAAACCAGGAGTTTGAGACCAGCCTGGACAACATAGGAAGACCTCATTTATCAAAAAAAAAAAAAAAAAAAAAAAGTAAAACAATGTATCTGGGCACGATGGTGCATGCCTGTAGCCCTAACTATTATACTAGGGAAGTTAGGATAGGAAGATTGCTTGAGCCCAGGAGCCCAGGGCTGCAGTAAGCTATGACAGTGCCACTGCACTCCAGCCTGGGCAGGAGGGCAAGACCCCATCTCTAAAATAAATAAAAAAATAAAATAAAAAAGAAGAGCTGCAGCCCCAAATCTGTGATCTGGAAAGGTTTTCAGAGTCTAAGTTATAAAAGTGGGATTTAGGGTGCTCATCTCTAAAGATGTGGCTGTGGACAAAACTGGGGTCAGATAGGCCTCTGCAGCCATGTCCCTACAAGTGAGAGCCAGGGTAGGGGCAAGATGGGCAGCTGAGGGCATCTCCTCTCTACTGACCTCCTGCTTCTGGGGCCTTATTGCTGCTTCTTGCCACCAAACTTCAGGGCTTCAGAACACACCTGATTGGAGAGGGAACCTGTCACTCCTGCCTGATTTTTAACTACAGCAAAATAAGATGTTAAGTGCCCCCCACCCCTGAAAAAAACAACAACTCCCCTCTGTGATTTCTCTGATCTCATTATTGGTGCTCGTGGATTTCTCAGCCCTCAGCCCTCCAATTTCCCTCTCTTCCTTCTCACTGCCTTTACTAGGGCAGCAGCCAGTGGTTGTGGCATGCTTGAATTTCAAACAGGGCAGGCTGAAACAGGAACAACTGTATGTTTATTAGGGCATCATTATCCCTCTGAACTGCATCATTTATATCCCTGGGAAGAGACCACGCCAGGTCAGGAGCAACAGTTTGAGTCGATAATTTGTCAGGTTGAGCAGGTGGTAAGGGGTGGCATAAGAAATCACCTGAAAGGCACCGCAAACTGAAATGGATGGAGGTGGAAGAGTAATAAGAAAGTGATCAGTGAATCCACAAACAAGCACAGATAAATCAAACAGCACCAGGTGGATGGGAGCAAAATAGGAGAGATTCAAATTAGCAAGACTTGAACCTTATCAAGGGAAGGTTAGGAATTCACCCTCAGTCACCGTTACCCACCAGGGCTGGAGAAATGCCCACAAGAAAATGAATCTTTCCAGGGCAGGGAGCTGGAGTGGAAGAGATTTCCTAGAGAGTATCAATTTGGATTATAAAAATCCCAAGGTCTCGTGCTCTGACAGTGTGAAAGGTAGAAAAATGGACCAGACTTCTTGCAACTGCCACTACCCGTGGAGTGCTTGATACTCTTCAAATGTTTTTACATTCACAGAGGGTATACAGTGTTCAAAAAAGCAAGGGGATGAAAGACCCAGATGCAAAGCCTTGAAGAGGTAAGTGTTTCGGCCAAATACCCATGACCTTGGTGGCTCATAGATGAAATCTTTTCCCTTCTCTATTTGTTTTAACCCTTTGACCAAGTTTAGTCCTGAGTGTTAGAGTCAGAAAAGTAAAAGCAAGGGCTGAGGAACAAAAATCATTATCCTCATCATCGTGTTTATTATTTAGTAATAATGGCTACTGTACTCGGGGGCCTGTTTTGTGCCAGGGACTGTGCTGGCACATTTAGACCCTAACCTCTTTTAATCCTCACAGCAATCATATGTGGTGACTGCTATGTGTGTCTTTATTTATTATTATTTTTTATTTAATTTTTTTGAGACGGCGTCTGGCTCTGCCGTCAGGCTGGAGTGCAGCGGTGCAATGTTGGCTCACTGCAACCTCTGACTCCCAGGTTCAAACGATTCTCCTGCCTCAGCCTCCTGAGTAGCTGGGATTACAGGCTCGTGCCACCACACCTGGCTAATTTTTGTATTTTTAGTAGAGACGGGGTTTCACCACTTTGGTAAGGCTGGTCTCAAACTCCTGACCTCGTGATCCACCCGCCTTGGCCTCTCAAAGTGCTAGGATTACAGGTGTGAGCCACCGTGCCCGGCCCATATGTCTTTATTTTTCAGATAAGGGAACTAAGCCTTAAAGAATGTAAATGGCTTCACCAGGCTCACAGCTCATAAGTTATAGCATCACGATCAGTGCTCAGGATTATCTGAACCTAAAGCTCACACTGCACTGATCACCATGCCTTCTACAAGTGTTACTGAATATTTTTTAGAAGCAGATGAAGGCATTGAGAGGGAGCAGGAGGAGTATTCATTCCCAGGGACCCTCCAATTCCCAAACACACCCATGAGTCTATTCCATAAAAATTGTGGACAAGTATCAGGTTCAGGTAAATATGCTCGGATCTCATGTCTAGGAAAAACCTGTAGGTAAAGGCCTAACCCTGCAAAATGGACAGTGCGGCTGCATATTCACAAAAGAAGGAAGATGTAGATCTTTTTATACGAGTTTTAAAAAGACCCAGGATAGTTTTCTTAACATTTGGAACTTCCTTTGTGCATATCAAATGTGTTTCAAGTCACAAATAGTTGGTTTCAGCTCAATGCAGAAAGAATATGTACATTTTGCACAGAGTAAAGTACACCTGTTTGGAAATATTTTCTGTCTTCTGAATTTAAATGAAGCATTGCCCACAAGTTCAAAGTTGGAGAGATACCATAATTTCTGGGCTGAAATGCATGCTATTTTAAGCTTAGGCGCATGTTGGAAGCCAGCCACCAACTCTCCTCAGATTTGTCCAAATTCTCTGTGTTTTTCTTGCTTAGCACAGTGGTTAATTGCTCGGGCTTTATTATCTGAAAACCTGTAGACAAATCCAGAATTGAATCGCTCACGTGATAACTGTGTGACTCTTAGCAAGTTTCTTAGGTTTTTTTTTTTTTTTTGAGATGGAGTCTCCCTCTGTTGCCCAGACTGGAGTGCAGTGGCGAGATCTCTGCTCACTGCAACCTCTGCCTCCCGGGTTCAAGTGATTCTCCTGCCTCAGCCTCCTGAGTAGCTGGGACTACAGGTGCACACATGGCGCCGGCTAATTTTTTTTTTCTTTTTTTGTATTTTTAGTAGAGACAGGGTTTCAGCATGTTGGTCAGGCTAGTCTTGAACTCCTGACCTCATGATCCGCCCGCCTCGGCCTCCCAAAGTGCTGGGATTACAGGCGTGAGCCACCGCACCCGGCCACAAGTTACTTAGCTTTCTAATACTCAATGTTCACATCTATAAAATGGGGACCATAGTAAGATTATAGCTTCAAAGAGTTATTCTGAGTATGAAATAAAAGAAAGCACAAAAAACTTCATACAGTGATGCATGGTAGGAACCCGGTAAATGGTGTCTGTGATTATTATTATGTCTCTGTTTTTGTTGCAAGTGATCAGATACTGAAGGCTTCAAGCAGCGCTGCCCAATAGAAGTAGAATGTCAGCTATGCATGGAATTTCATATGCTTCAGTAGTCACATTAAAGAATGAGAAAGAAATAAGTGAAATTGATTTATATAACTATATCTTATTTAACCTAGTATGTCCAAAATATTATATCATATTATGATATAATAGTATCATATCATCATGTTATATGATGATATAGTATCATATCATCATGTTATATGATGATATAGTATCATATCATCATGTTATATGATGATATAGTATCATATCATCATGTTATATGATGATATAGTATCATATCATCATGTTATATGATGATATAGTATCATATCATCATATGATGATATAGTATCATATCATCATATGATGATATAGTATCATATCATCATATGATGATATAGTATCATATCATCATATGATGATATAGTATCATATCATCATATGATGATATAGTATATCATATCATCATATGATGATATAGTATATCATATCATCATATGATGATATAAATAGTATCATATAATATGATATAATAGTATATTATAAAATTATGATATAATAGTATCATATTATAAAAATGAAGGAGATATTGTGCACTACGGTTTTTGGACTAAGCCTTTCAAGTTCAGTGTGTTTTATACTTACAGTATATTTTAATTTGGACCAGTCACATTTGAAGGGCTTAGTAGCCCCATGTGGTATGTGGGACATACCGCTTGAACATTGCAGGTCTAGAGAGCTTGGGATCAAGTTCCCAAGGCAGAGTTTATAACCCAGTTTCAGTTTTTAGGTGGGTTTGGTTTGGGACATGCAGTTTTAAAACAAACGAATTACCAAGACCTAAAAAATCAGGAGATTTCGCATAAAAATTTATTTTCCTGGTTTCTCTTGGTAAAGCCTATGTCTGGCGATGAGACCACACTCCACCTGGCACCCTTGGCTGGAGATGAGTCTGCCCTCCTAGGGGAGGCAGTGTGGATGCTGGAGAATCTGCCTGCCATCCCACCCACTTCTTAGCCTCTCATGTCTCATTTATCACCATCTTTCTCATTTCCCACACCAGCCTGGCCCCTGTAGACCTATGAGTTTGAGACCCCCATGCCAAATCAATGAACCCTCAAAACAGAACTTAAAATTTGGGTGGAGGTGGGCACATCACTTGGGGTCAGGAGTTTGAGATCAGCCTGGCCAATATGGTGAAACCCCATCTCTACTAAAAATACAAAAATTAGCCAGGTATGGTGGTGGGTGCCTATAATCCCTGCTACTCAGGAAGCTGAGGCAGGAGAATTGTTTGAACCTAGGAGGCAGACGTTGCAGTGAGCCGAGATCGTGCCACTGCACTCCAGCCTGGGCAACAGAGTGAGACTCCGTCTCAAAAAAAAAAAAAAAAAAAAATTTGAGTCTGCTCAGACCCAGTTCTCTGCCTTGCACCTGTGAACTTCATTTGTCCTCTCAGCTTAAAGGTGAGTTGTGCCCATAGATTCATCTGAGGGAGCAGCTAAAGTTATATAAGGAGAGCTACAGCTCTGAATCTGACAATGATTCATATCGAGAAGGATGGAAAAGACTAAACAGCTCATATTGTGTCCCTTGATCTGCCTACGTATGATTCATCGCTAATGGCTTTGTACATAGCCATGGTAGCCAAGAGAGAAAGGCAGAGTGAATAGAGGGAGTGGCTGATCCCTCTCCTGAAACAGAAAAGCACCCCTGCCTCTCCCTCCCCAAGGCTGGAAGTATTACAAGTTATAGCATACATCAAAACCCAAAGCCTAAAGCCATCAACAAAACAGTTAAGTCTTGCTAGCTTCCAATGCTAAACCTGACTTCCCTTCGTTGGATCAAGGCACCCCAGGCAGCCTAGAATGAAGGCAATACAGTAAAGAATTCAAGAGCAAAGATTTAGAATTTAGACATTTCTGAAATGTATCCTCTGCCTATGCTACGGTGATTTGCATAAGTCTCAATCTTATGTTCTTCATCTGTAGAATGGGTTTAATAATAGCTTCTATTTCTTAAAGTTGCTGGGAAGATGGAGATAATATATATTAACATAAAGCACCGAGCTCAGTGGTCAACAAGCAGTAAGTGTTCGCTAAATTCTAGCAATGATTAAGGGGGCATATAAAATTATTACTAGTAAGTATCAACACAGCTACACTGCAGAGAATCATGTACCAAGTTGCAAAGTCTTTATATTAAGGTTAATTCTTTCTGTGCGACGATTCCAAACCACTTAGCCAACACGATGTCTCACATTTCACTTAGAAGAGAAAGTGATACACAGGATATTAGGTTCTTTTTCCACAATGGCCAAGCAAAGGTGTAGTGAGACTATAATTATAAAACCAAAGCCAGCAGGTACTCATCGACCCTCTACAATGCTCCAATCACCGAGGAAGGTCATGGGTAAAAGGAGTAACAGCTACTGCCTTTGTCCTCCAGCAGCAAAAGAAATGCTTGGAGAGAACATTAAATAGAAGCTGACAACAAAGGTGTGTTGCCATTTGTTTCCATACTGTCCATGTGAGCGACACATATGCAAAGGTAGTCTCTCTTGTTACTTGTGGTGGTTAGCGATGGGCAGAGAGAGAGGCTTACACCTGTCAGTACTGCCTTTGGAATACAACTGGGATCCAATCACTTCTGGCCTTCTCTGCCATTACTTCGCTACCCCAGCGGTTGTCAGCCAGGGCACATTTGGCAATGTCTGGAGATATTTTTGATTGTCACAACTTGCATGGGGGAGAGGTGCTACTGACATCTAGTGGGTCAAGGCCAGGGATGCTGCCAAACATTTAACAATGCATAGAGCAGCTCCCCATCCCACCACCCCACCAGCAAAAAAGGGTGTGGATCAAAATGTCCATAGTGCTGAGGCTTGAAACCTCACAGCCCTCAGCTTCACCCTTGTCCCTTGTGACAGGCGAGATCATGGCATCCAAAGATGTCTACGTCCGAATGTCCAGAACCTGTGAATGTCAGTTTATGTGACGAAAGGGACTTTGCTGATGTTAGAAAATTAAGGATCTTGAGATAAAGAGATTATCCTGGATTTTCCAGGTAGCCAAAATGAGAAGGACCCAAAGGGGCTTTATGAGAGGGAGGTGGGAGAATCGGAGTCAGGGAAGGTGATACGACAGCAGAACCAGAGGTCACCGTGATGCAATTCCCTGCTTGAAAATGGAAGGGAGCCCTGAGCCGAAGAATGCAGGCAGCTTTAGAAGCTGGAAAAAGAATCTCCTCTGGAGCCTCCCGAAGGAATGTGGGCCTACTGACACATCCATTTTAGCCCAGTGAAACTGGTTTCCAACTTCTGGCTTCCAGAAAGAAAGACAATGAATTTATGTTGCCTTATGCCACTACGTTTGTGATAATGTGTTATATCAGCAATCCAAAATGAATAACCTTTACAAATGTAAGTCAGATGAGTTTACTCTGCTCAGAACTCTTTGATAATTTCCCATTGTTCTTAGAAGTAAAAAGTCCCTACCCCAGCTATAAGACCTGCAATGATCTGATCCTTGCCATTTCTTTTGACTCAATTTCTTTTTTTCTTAAAAAAAAAAATTAATGGAAAATTTCAAACATATCCCAAAATAGATCCAATTGAATAATACATCTTCATTTACTATCAACCCATTCTAATATTTGTCAACCCAGGACAATCTTGCTTCATCTAAACCTCCAACCATTGTTCCCACCATAATTATTTTAAAGCAAATCTCTGACTTCATATCCTCTTATTCATAAATATTTTAGTATGTACTTCCAAAAGAAAAGAACTATTCTCCTTGTTTGTTTGTTCATTTGTGTTGAGAAACAACCAGTACTATTTATTTGGATGTCTGGGCCATGGTCGGTACCAACTATAGTTTCTGCTCTGTGAAGCCAAAACCAGAACAGGATACAAACAAACAAACAAACAAACAAACAAAAATCCCCCAAATCCCCAAAAACGCAGCAAGAAGGACTGTAAGAAGTCTTACAGAACATCCTCATCCACATGGGAGTGGTGAAGGCAGCACTCTTGTCTTTAATGCATATCCAATCTCCTCCTAATTTGAAACATAAGCATTCTCACATCCAAAAAAATAGTAACAATTACAGTTATCCGTAACGTCATAAAATACTCAAAGTTCAAGTTTCCAATCACTCCCAGATTTGACTCAGTTTCCTCCCCTCTCTCCTTCGTTCACTGTGCTCAGCCTTACTGGCATCCTTGGTGTTTCCTGGTTTTCAGGTGAAGGCTCACCTCAGGGCCCTTGCACTCGCTGTCACACAACCTGGAAACCCACCCCTTGGTTGGTCATGTGACACTGCATGAACATTGCCACTGTGGCAGGGAGGAGAGGCAAGATGGCAAGTTCCCAAGGAGACTGTGTATACCCTGAGGAAGTCCCCCTCCACCCGCCCACAAGAAGCAGCTCTTCCTCGCCATCCATTGCAGCTTCTGGCAATCGCACCCAATCCCTGGCAAAGCGTCTTGGTGTTCCATAATATGTTCTTGCTGATTGATTGATTGGTTGTTCCTCCCAGGATTGAGCTCTAAACTACCCTCATCTGATAAACTATTCCACATCTGAGTTTTATTTTCCCTTCCAAGAACCATAGCTGCAAGGTACCGCGTGGATGTGTGTTATGTCCCATGCTATACTACGTGATGTATACACATTTACTCCTCACAGGCACCTGTGCCATAGAAACCACTGCACATCCCCACTTGACAGATTAGAAGACTGAGGCTGTGGTGGGCAGAATTCTAAAATGATTCCTGGCTCACACGCTTCCTGCCCCCGATATACACTACACACACCTTTGCCCAGTTGTTCTACAAACACTAGTCTAGGCATTGCTGGGACGGAGTTTTTCAGATGTAACTGAGCTCCCAAATCAGATCACTGTAAAATGGGGAGATTATCCAGTGGGGGCCTAACCTAGTCACATGAGCCCCTAGATGTCAGAGATAAGGAAAGTCAGAGACTTGATGTGTTGGGATGTGATACTGGAGTTTCGCTGTCTCTGGCTTTGAAGACTGGGGACTGTAGAAGATGTCTACATTGAATAGACAATATTCATGTGTCTTGATTTTTTATTTTATTTTACTTTTTTTGAGATGGGGTCTCACCCTGTCTCCCAGGCTGGAGTATAGTGGCACAATCTTGGCTCACTGCAACTTCCACCTCCCAGGCTCAAGCAATTCTCATGCCTCTGCTTCCTGAGTAGCTGGGATTACAGGCGTGTGCCACCACGCCTGGCTGATTTTCTGTGTTTTCAGTAGAGACAGGGTTTCACTCCTGACCTCAAGCAATCCACCCGCCTCGGCCTCCCAAAGTGCTGGGATTACAGGAACAAGCCACTGCTCCCAGCCACATGTCTTGATTTTAGTTCTAAACACACTTGTAATAAATATAATTCTACAAACTAACATTTAATGAATGTTGGCTCTACGTCAGGCTCTGTAACGATGGCTTTGTATAGAACGCTTTATTTAAGCCATTTACATGGGAAAAACAGCAACACTCAGATGGGTGCTGGGGCCTGCCTAACATCACACAGTGGGCATCAGAGGTGGGATTCCAATAGTGATCTGAGGAAGTGTGTGCTCTAGTCGGGGCACCTTATTATTTCTTGTGAGTTTCAGCAGTGAAGGGATTAGGATTAGGACAGAGATGGCTCTCTGATCCTTATTTTCTAGTGTCATTAATATTCTCAAAATATTAGATATATTTCAAAACTAGCCACCATTATGTTTAAGTTCAAGCCTTAACATGCCCAAGGACATGGTATGGCATTGATTATCAAAGCTGAATCCCAAGTCGGAATAAGCCAGCTCTGGCTCAGCCTCTAATTGTTTAACTCAGGACAAGTCTTGGAGTTCCTCTGGGTTTAGTTATTTCAAAGGTAAAGTAAGATATTTGAAAGGGATAATTTCCAATATGCTTTGCAGTTTTGAAATAGTGAAAAAAAAATCAAGAAGGTAAAAGCTTATAAATTAACTTACATTTTTCATTTTAAGCAAAATTTCCCATTTGACTTGGCTCAGGAATCAGTGTTGAGATTTGACGTGTGGTTCCTTTACTTATCAGCTATGTGACCTCAATTTCAATTTCATTACTCCTCAATTTCCCTATCTGCAAAATGGGATTAAGTCTTATACCTACTTCCTAGGGTGTTTTGAGGATCCAGTGTGATAACGTGTATAAAACACTAAAAGAGCTTCCAGAGGTACTCAGTTCATGTGGCACATGAGCCATCTCTTCCCCACTCTAACCTTAGAAAATGAAGGCAAGTTCTTGTACTTCACACACAAAAATCCCGTAATGACCTGAATGATGGCTGATTCTTAACTGGGCTCCAGAGACACTGGATGGGCTTCCCAGGATGCCAGAACCCTGAAATTACAGGTAATGCTTATGTGTATGCTGAGTGAGAAGGTGTTAGCTTTTACCAAATTCTCAATGGATCCCCATCACAGATATTTCCTGCCCTAGAAGACTCCTATTTTTTTTTCTAATGTTAACTTTCATGTCCTTTGGACATATTCAAGGGAACGAATTGGAGTCTGGAAAACGAGATCATCTTTACGGAACCATGGAAGAATTCTTGGCCAAAGAGAAACTTTATTGCCTGTCGGGTCACCTTCTGGCTAAAATGCCCATGCTTACTTCAAAGCAAATGGGCTGAATTTTACTGCTACCTGGGTTTGCTTGTTGTTTTTCCTTTGAGTTGAGCTGAAAAATGTCCTCCCTTGGTGCTGGAAAAAACCATATAAGCTCAAAGGAACAGCCAATTAAAGGTCAGAAATTCAAATGTTTGTCTGTTCTGGCCCAGTATAAATGGGTGGCTGTCAGGTAGAAGCAGCCATGCCTGCAACAGCATTTTGCAGAAACGGGAGACTCGGTTCCTCCGTTTGAACTTGGTAACATTTAAATATCAAAAACTTTGTTTTCTAATGGGGAATGTATCGAAGGGGGAGAAATAAATTATATGCTTGATGGCAACTGAAGGTTGGGAAAATTAGGGCCATTTCCCACAGTGTGAATACGGTGATTTCAGTTTGCAAGAGTAAATTAAACCTTTGGGAGGATTTGTCTTCCATTAAATTGAACAGCTAAATAGACACAGAAGATGTTAATGTCACCAACAGGAAACCCCAAAGGTTACAAATAAAAAGAAAACATAGTTTTGTTAAAAGTCTTCTCCTTTGCACGCACCTACCTAAGAAATGCAAAACCCAAAACTGCACGTTGAGAATCAAAATTTTTTTAAAAATTAAAAGATCATAATTCCATTGCTATACCATATGTTATTAATGTCTGTCAACACTGTTTAGCCAGCAACTGCTGACAGTTTCATATTTGCTATCTAAATACATCATAAATAAATCAGTAATGAACCACTTTGGTAAACCTTCCTCGCTGATTGGAAATACAGATGGAGTAAACAAACTGCTAAAAGTATATACAACTGTTTAATGTCAAAGACAAAGTCACACTGTTATTTGACAAAATGAAAACGAGGATGGGGCTGATGGGAGGAAAAATTACCGATTATGGAGAGAGAAGGTAGGAAGGAGGAAGGCAACTTCTGTGTTTAGACACACACAGCTTGAAATTTTCTGTGTAAAAAGAAAAGTCCCAGGGGAAATTGGACATAGGGAAGCTGAGGCTGTACTGCATATTCCTGGCTTCCAGCCAGTGGATTAATGTGTATGCATCTGGACAATTTATTTAAATTTGCCACCATGGCAAATCTGGCAAATATGCCTCACCAAATACAGATCTGTGAAGACTTGCACCACTCAGAGTTGAATACCTTAGAAATACCTGGAATTCTAGGCAGGATGCTAACCAGAAAACACTGACCCACATGTTGTGTGAATAAGATCGTATATATATTTTTTGTCTGCCTGTTTTTAAAAGGGGGGTAATTCACCATTCTAAATGCTTCCGACAAGACATCATGAAACAAGGTATCATAGTAATGGGCTAGGTTCAGACAGAAAGAGCAGGACTATTTTAATTTAATTACATTTTCTTTTTCTTTCCAGAGTCCTTCCTATAATTCCGGGTTCCTTCAAGTAAGAGGTCGGGGTGAGTTGACCGCAATCAGGCCTCCTAACTTTATATCTGAGGTGCCATGCTAATTAAGAACTTCACTAGGTGGCGTATTCTAATTTGTTGAAAGCACATTTTTTTTTTTTTTTTTTTTTTTTTTAGCAGCAGATTCTTGATGCCTCCGGGATGTTGTCTCTTGGCCTGAACAAGATTTGCAGAAATGTACAATTATTCTAGGGACAGACAATATTGAGAAGGGAGAATTCCTCTTGCTCATTGAGAGGGAAAGGGACTCTCAAAGTTGTCTATTAGTTCCATGAGCTGAACAACTTGCTTCCTTATTGTCAGCGCCTAGAAAATTCTTTTGATCAGAGGCATAATGAAATCCATGTGGCATAAACAGAAGACGTCGTATCGATGGAATTCAAATGGCAGTCAGTAGCTGACTTCACAACAGAGACCCGACAGAAGCCCTTTCTGTGATAGGCTGCGACGCAGAAGCCGAGACTGGCCCCCTTGTTATGCCTTCCCAACGAGCCATCCACGCTGCTCTTAGCACAAAAAAATAGAATACATCATTCTGAATGGGCACATTAATCTGCAGGCTCTCCGTTTCTAAGTCACCTGCAGTTAGGTCTGCAGACACTGTGTATACCATATAAATCTGATTTCTGAGCAGGAGGGAGGGCAGAAGAGAGAAGGGCTGCTCCGTGAAATACTAGTTCGGCAACAGTTTACCTGCCTTCCAAGGCTGTTAGGAGGATTCATGGCTCTGGGTCATTTAAAGTTTGAAAAGATCCTTGTGCTCTTTCCAAGAAAGATAAAATCCTAAGACTAGCCACTTTGTATGCTGGAAAGTGAGAATGCTGGGTAAAGAGGGGACCCGTCAGGGTCACTGTCCTGGTAAACTGAGGTGCCTTAATCCTTGAAGACTAAATAAGTGCTAATTTTTGGAAAAATGAAGACCGCAGGCACATTTGTGACCTGTATTTGAAAACATCCAAGTCCTGAGCCCCTCAAGCACCATCTGAGGAGGAGTTCTTATGAAAACACAGTTTAGATGATGAACGTTCATATTTTACAAACCTTCACTTTATTTACCTGTATATCTTTCACCAATATAGTTGTTTTCATCAGCTTACCATGGGAAAACAGAGCTATGCACAATTCAGGAACAAAATCGCTTTCAACCAAATGCAGACTCTGAACAAATAGATCCCAAGAATATATATGTGTGTGTGTGTATATATATATATTTATTTATTTTTTCATTAATGACCCGCAATTACTAGTTGCAGACTTCTGGTAGGTGAGCACGCCCATTCATTCAATGCCAGTTGCCTGGATTTTGCTTCTACCAGGTGTGCCATGTCTCAAAGCCTTAATCCTGCATGACTGGAATCAGCCAGAAGGGGAGATCTGGCCCTGCAAAAGTCCTGCTCCTCTGCCTGCAAGTTTCAGTCTCACCCCTTGCCACCAATCCCCACCTTCCCGAAGGTGACAAAGGGACAGAGAGTCACAGAGTGATAGAGACATGAAAAAAAGTGTGGGAGGAGGAGAGGACTGTTAATTTACAAAGCCTGAAATAGCAGCTGCTAATGGGTCTTTGCACTCATTCTGTAATCTTTGCAAGGTCACAATCAGAACTAGCCTGTGATTGATTCCAAAGTGAAACTCAGCACTTCACATCCATAATGGACATTTCAAAACAGAATAGAGCTGGTTCAGGAATCTGTGTGTTTCTCAAGTCACCGGGAGCGAGTTTCTCTTCCTGCCTGGGCTGGGTGGAGCTGGCCCAGGCCTTACCCAGGCCTTAATAATGATCACATTAGGTGAAGTAATTAATGCCACTGACTTAATGAGTCCCTATCAATTGCCCAAGCCCCCTCAACTGCCATCTTACAAAGTTTCCTTCTTGGACAGCGACCCTGAAACATACCCCTAAAGGGTTAAGGGGAATGAGTGACAACCCTTCGGTATGATTTACAATGTGGAGCCCTGTAGTGAAACCAGGACTTGATGGATGATGCTGAAAGTCGGAGACTAACCATAAATCATGTCTTTGAATCACTGACAAAGATAAAGGAGAGAAAGAAAACGCAGTGGCATTGACATTCACTCTCCCAATAATGTACGTTGACTAGTTACAATGTGGAGCCTTAATTTAAAAAAGCCAACTAGAGGTATTCACCTCAGCTGGGAGATCCTACCTCGTGGGAGGCTGCTCTTAGAGATTACAAATCAGGGTTTGAGCCTCTTTCATGAAGGTCATTACCAGTGGCAGAGGACATTCTATGTAAGCAACAGCAGGCTCCCAACAAAACAGAAGACACATATCAACAAAACAAAACAGAAGAGTTCGGGGAACTGGTCAAGAATCCTGCCATTGTGCTCATGGAAGGCCATCACTAGAGATGATGGACATCAAGAGGGAATCAGTGAACTACCATCCAACAGACTGTGTTTTCCATCAGGAAAGCACTCAAATCAGATAAATGAATCATCAGAGGTGGTCAAAAGACACACATAGGTCAAGCAATACAACTTGTGTTCCAAAGTCTGAGCACTGAGGAGGAGGGAAATGAGAACCTCCCCGTTGTCCACTTTGTCTTTTATGCGGAATGCTAGAGAAACTGACTCCTCTTCCTCAGGTTCAAGGTTCCTCCCTCTTACTGTCAACTCCCTCAGGTTCAAGGTTCCTCCCTCTTATTGTCAACTCAACATGGGTTTCCTCTTAGCTCAAGAAGAGACCTGCTTTCCTACAGCGGATGGCAGTGGCAATCTCTGATGTGCTGCTTCTATTATTCAACAGATATACACTGAGCCCCTGCCAGGCTGTAGACCATTCCTGTGGTACGAGCACTGAAAAGAAAGGGTGGGTGCCTGTATGAATTCAACCCATTGAAAAAAGTTATTTAACATCAGCTGTGTTCTAGGCACCTTCTTGGTTAGATTTGGGGAACAGTGATGAACGAGACAGATCTGGTTCCAGTCATCAATTACATTATAGTGTCACAGGGAGACAACATACAAAAGAGAGAACAAATAGGATGAATGTTACAAAAGGGGGTGTGTTGGGGGGCAAAGGCAGTGCATAACGAGTTGATGACAGCAGCCACTGCCTGGGTGCAGAGCCCCTAAGGATACATGCTCTTGACTTAACAGGATTGCGAACGGCAATGTGTCTGGAGCAGTTGTCAGCCCAGGAGAAGGGAACAAGACAAAGAGGGTAGGAAACAGAAGACTGGAAACATTTTCTTATTTTTTCTCTGAATCTCTAGGAGTTGATATGAGATCCTTTTCTGAATACAGGAAACCAGAGGTGGTGTTTTTTTTTTCTTTTTTCTTTTTTTTTTTTTGAAAGTATTTTTAAAACCCTTTGCCCAAAGGAGGAACATTCTTCATGGTTCTATACAGACGACACAGGTAGGTGGTTACCATACTCTGTTTTGGGGTCTTCCACACCATCCTATGGACAAGTAGAGTGGATAAGAGCGTTCCGCATGTCCCCACTGTGGTGTTTACCTGCTGGCACAGCCGCTCTGCCCATGGGCAAAGATCATAGAAGATTCCCACTTTGAACTCAGTGACACCTTAGCATCCCTGGCTTAGATCCTATCTCAACCTGAGGAATCTTGTATTCCAGCCCTGAGAAAAATCATCTTTCTCAACAGGATCCAGCCAAAACAATGAAAAGTTTGGAAAAATTGCCCAATGATGAAAATCAGGAGATGTGAGCTCAAGTTGTAGGAGAAAGACCCAGGTTTTCTTCAGATTCCAGCATTGCCAATGAGAAGCCAGAGACCTCGAGATAAATACCTCACCTTGTGTATTTTCCTTCTCTCATCTTCTGTCAGGAGACACCCAGGAGAGCCCTTCTGTCCTGGTCTTTACATTCTGCCCTGTCCCCTTCTCTGGGCAGCCAATTCATAGACCAGTTGTTGTGGGTTTTTTTTTTTTTTTTCCAGACACTAAATTGTCCTTCCTTTTGTGCTCACCTTAAAATTGGAAAGATCTCATTGGTTTTCCAGCTCCCAAATGCCCACAAGGGAGTCACCACCTTACCACTTTCTCCCTTTCTTTTTTACTCTACATTTACTAAGCTTTTGCTCTGTGCCAGGCCCTGTGTTAGAAAGTGACAATGTAATACACAAAGGAGGTTGTCCTTGTCCTTTGGAAGCCTTCTTGTCTGACATGCACAAGCAAAGTTGTTTTTTTGTTTTTTTTTTTTTTTAGCCAGAGAAGGGTTAGAACAGCGTGGATCTCAAAATTGTCCATTATGTTGCTCTGGCACTTGCATCTCGCTGATGTCTATTTAACAGGTACAATGAAAAATCAACCTCTTGTGCTTATTAGCTGTGTGACTTTCTGCAAGTTGATCAACCACTCTGAGCCTCCATTTCCCTGTTCATAAAACCAAGTTAATAATATTATCTCCTTGTAAGATTGTTTTGCACATACTTTAAGCACTGAATGTTATAAAATGTTCACTGCTATTGTGATTTTTAAAATTTAATTTAATTTTTCTAACCCCATGCATTTTGAGTTAACTAGACTGGAACCAAAGCAAAATAAAAAGAGACAATCTCAGCACTCTCCTCCAAAAAAGACAAAGAATAAGTGAAAAGAAAGGAAGACTCATCAATATAGAAACAATCACATGTGTATGTATGCCTGCTGACATGTATGTATATTTCTCTTTAACATATGTCATCTCTTTGTGTCTATGTCAGACTTCCTTACAGTACTTTCTGTTCGGTACTTGACAGGTCCTAATATTCAATCAGTGCTGGGGAACAAGTGATAAGACAAAAGGAAAGAAGGGTTCCAAAGTGAAGATGTGTAGTTTAACTCAATTTTTTTTGAGACAGAGTCTGGCTCTGTCACCCAGGCTGGAGCGCAGTGGTGCAATCCCAGCTCACTGCAGCCTCCGCCTCCTGGGTTCAAGTGATTCTCCCACTTCAGCATCCCAAGTGGCTGAGACTACAGCCACGTGCCACCACACCCAGCTAATGTTTGTAATTTTAGTAGAGACAGAGTTTCACCATGTTGCCCAGGCTGGTTTCAAACTCCTGGCCTCAAGTGATCCACCCGCCTCGGCCTCTCAAAGTGCTGAGATTACAAGCGTGAGCCACCACACCTGGCCAGTAGTTTAACTTTTTATAACATTTCATGAATGTTATGTAATGGATATTCATGGAATGGAGTAGAGAAATATTGCTTAATTGAGGCTGACCATGAAAACTCATAAAACCCTATATTCACTGTATAATGCATAGTTATGAATAATATATTTAACTGCATAGGTCATATACATTACATATACAATACAATACGTAATAATGTTTGATTTGTACATATATATATATGCACATGTGTATGTATACGTGTGTATATTTTGATAATACATAACAAACCCAGAGTGGCCAAGAAGCTATGAGATATACAGCAAGGACGTTTTGGGAAATGACTAGAAATGTAACTAATTTTCTGTGCTCCCTGAACCATCAGGAAGGTCAACCTTCTTTTTCTTTAGCATTCATTAGCAGAAGCAAATAGTGATATTTAACCATTCATGATTCATCACATTCATTTCACAAAAAAAATGTACCCTGGGACCCCCTGCTACACCCATGGAAACATCCCAGCCTTTGTCCTTGGAGGCTCAGTAGAAATTCTGCCCTCGGTAGGGTGATGCCCACTTTTTGTTTTATAGATGCAGGAGACTTGGGGAAAGTCTAGGGCTTATCACTGGAAGAAATGTGGGTTTGAAATCCGGTGTTCAGCTACCTGGAAGCTTTTATGTTGGTTTTGAACTTCACATACATTAAAACTGCATCATCTATCAATCTTGCAGTTACATGTCACTTATGAAAATCTACTGAGTATTGTTTTCATCTTGCCTTACAACAAGCTGCGAAGCCTCATGAATACTGAATAGTGCTGGAAATACAGCACATCTTTTATTTTTAAAGGTCTCGACAGTTTGGAATGGCAGGATTTCTTTGTTGAAAACGGCACCTCTGCACACGGATTGGGGCTCTCTACTCCATTTTCCATTCTGCCCAGGAGCAAGAGGCACCCTCGCCCTGCATCATTAGAACCACTAGAGGGGTGTTGCTGCTGCTGCTGCCACTTCCTGTCTTTGAACCCCCTTGGTGTAAGTCATTAATGGGGGCTGTGTGGTTCAAGTGGGACATTATTATTCAGATACCAGCTCGCAAGGAAACAACTGGTTGGACAACCTACTTAGCCATTTTGCCAGCTTGCCTGGTAATCTATTCTCATCCTTATTTTAATTTAATGAGAGAAAGAAAGAGAAAGAGAGACCTAAACACACAGAAACACAGATAGCGATATACAAAAAGAAACAGAGGCATTTAAGAAAATATATATATATATATATATATATATATATATATATATATATATATATATATTTGAGACAGGGTCTTGTTTGGTCACCCAGGCTGGAGTACAGTGGCATGATCATGGCTCATAGCAACCTCAACCTGCCCTGGCTCGGGTGATCCTCCCACCTCAGCCTCCTGAGTAGCTGGCACTACAAGCATGTGCCATCACGCTCAGCTAATTTTTGTATTTTTCGTAGACATGAGGTTTCACCATGTTGCTCAGGCTGGTCTCGAACTCCCAAGCTTAAGCAATCTGCCCACCTTGGCCTCCCAAAGTGCTGGGATTGTAGGCGTGAGCCATTGTGTCTGGCCCAGACATTTAAGAATTAATCAAGCAGGGATAAGTGCATTTTATTGTACTTTCCTTTCTATCACTCATTTATTCTATAAATATTTCCTGAGCAGTTGCTTTACATTGCATACCAGGGATACAGAGCTGAAGAAGAGAGACAGCATCTCTGCTCACGTGGCTCTTACACTCTTGATGTGGAAAAGGATGATGAGGATGAGGATACTAATATGTGGTCTGAATATGGTGCTTATAATGTGCCAGGCATTGTTCCAAACACTTTATGAATTTGTTCCAAGCATTCTACCAATAATCATGTAGTTAATTCTTGTAACAACCATGTGAGGTACCATTATTAATGTTTCTACAGAGTATTTTCTCTGAAAACAAGCAAACAGAAAAATCAGGTGATCTGATACCACTGAGTCCATATTTCTTGCACAGAGCTGAACAGAGATTCCCTTTCAGTTTAAATGTGTGCCCTGGAGTTCACCATTGTCTGCACCACTTTATGGTCTGACTTCCATTTGACTTATGTCATCTACCTGCTTCTTGCAGCTATTTGCATATTCTGGTTTAATAGAACGGGCCTTCCAAGGTGTAGGTTTCTTTGCTCTGGAAAGCTCATGGAAAAGGATGGAAATCTTTTTCCCTAGAACTCTGCTAGATTCTGAATTTAGAATTTCAGGGGAAAGTTTTTCTCGTTACATTTGTACACCTTGTCATAATTTCAAACATGTACAATAAATAAATGATATGCAAATCCTTGTGTGACCTATTAGAAATGGCATGAGGAAAGAATCTGCTACTTCTAAGCTGTGTGCTTTTGAGCAAAGAATGTTAGCTCTCTCCAACCTCATCTCTGTCATCTGAAAAATGGGGATAATCATATTTCCTCATAGACATGTTATAAGGATTAAATGCACTAATGTACATATATGCCTGGTATACAGTAGGTATATAATTTAAAATATTGATACATATAAGTACTTGCTAATCAGGTTCTTATATACGTAAGAACCGTATATATATAGGCAATTTACGTTCTTATAACTTAGGCAGCTGGTTCATAGGTATACTGAATTTATGAGAGTATGAATGTTTATTAATATGTATTCATATGTATATGTGTGTGTAAGATGGAGCTAGACATATATATTTAATTATATACCTATTTGGACCTATTTCTTCTATGGACTAGCACCAAATCCTAACAAGGCTTGTGGACATTTATTCTGTCTCATAGCCCTTGTGTATTCTACAGACCCTCTCCATTGTCTAGCAAGTGCATTTCATTAATTTAGAAAGATGCTGTTGAGAAAGTATGGACTCATCACCAAAAAGCTTCTCTGTCCTAGAGAAATCAAAGTGAAGAGCAGGCTCCAGGAAACAAGGTTGCTTAGCATTGCCTTGTATCTCTAGTCCAATGTAGATTTTACACTGAACATTGAAAACCTGGTGAACTTTTCTGAAAATAACTTGATCGACTCCCAGTTAGGAGCAGATTCATGTCAGGCGCTTCTCCAAAAGTCCCCTCGGCTGTAGAGCTGGGGGAACAGGCATGTTGTACCATTTATGTAATGATACATGGCTGGCCCTCCCCTCCCCCTTAAAGAAGGCAGAGAGAAATGATAGTCATTGCCGCCATGCAAAGTCGCATTGGAATTGTGGGAGCATTTTGGTTTTCATGAATTTTGAGAAGGGAACTGTGGGCACAAAACTACTGCTATTTGTCCTGACAAACTGCCTGTTCTGATGAATTAAGTGTCATGATTGTAACCCACGAATACCTTCAGTTCCAGGAACAGAAAGTCTTCCAGACTTGCTTCGTGCCACATTTCTGAGGGTTCTAATGATATATGGAGAGGGTGAGCCATGTTACCAGGAGGCGGGTGGTTTAAGGGTAGCAGGAGCTGCCTGAGCCACGCTTTTGGAGATGGGAGGTATGCATATGTTAGAGACAGCCACACTTTACTGATTTCCCATTTTCCCTCATGATAGCACCACCCTTTTCCCTCAGATCACTTTTTCTCAGAAATGCTCCATCTGAATAAAATTATTATCCCAAGCACATATTTTTTTTTTTCTTTCCCATCAGCATTTCCTGTCCTCTCACCTTAAAAAAAAACAGCACTGAGAACTTTTCAACCAAATGCAGCCATGTGGAGCTTGAGTTGTTTCAGATTTACACAGGCCCTCTGCTAACATCCTGTCGGGTGCTAAAATCCCACAGCTGTTCTGCTGGGACCACCCGGCTAGCCACGGACCACATCTGACAAAATGATACTGCTCGCTTCCAGAACTCCTCACACAGTTATTCTTGGATAAAAGGTAAAGCAAATAGCAAGCCAACTGCTCACTGCTGCAGAAACAAAGACCATCTAGCCATTTATCAAAGCTCGAGACACCGGTTTGCTTTAAACACAGACACCTCTCCCATTACAGCT
Organism: Homo sapiens; assembly: GCF_000001405.40. Lineage (NCBI taxonomy): Eukaryota > Metazoa > Chordata > Mammalia > Primates > Hominidae > Homo > Homo sapiens. The sequence continues at coordinate 53,187,377 of NC_000020.11, read as the reverse complement.
TTAAACGATAACACGATATTATATCAGAAATGACAAATGGCACAGGTGGGGCCTAACCTATACACAATCGATACCTGCTCAGAAGTAAGAACCATCTTGAACGTATCGACAGAAGGAACAGGAATTCTCATAATACTGCAATGTTTTCTTGGTGTTGTGTTGGAACCAGAGGCCAACAGTATTCATCTGGGCATGACATTTTTTCACCAGCGATGTGTAGCCCCCAGACGTGCGGCGAGTGTCAAATCATTATCACTGTCCTGTATCTATGCTATATTGGATTCTAAAAGGCCCAGGCCAAGGAAATTGATTAGGTTGCTCCCTCCACAGCTTAAAACTCATTTTGGCTATATACACACAAAGAAAGGGGCTCCTCGAACTACCAGGCTCCATGAAAAATGGCAGAAGTGTAATTAAGGAGATTATGCCCTAGGGGTTTCTTTCGACCTGGCCCCAAAATATATATATATATATATTAAACCCTAGTGTCCCTGCGCACACACTGCCCCCAAGAGGAGACAAGCTTTCATGTTTAGATTGCAAAGAAGTAACTCTCCCCCAAGTGATTGATGAGGGGAGATTGTTAATACGGCTGCTGCCTCCCTCCCCCGTGTGGTTGTATTTAGGTGGATGCCAGACAGAGAATGACTTGGAAATGGGATAAAAGACTCAAAGCAAAGGCGGGTGGCAGAGAGGAGAGGTGGTGTGATGAATGCCTGCAGGCAGGTGAAAAGAAACCTTCTTCAATAATGGGGGTACCTCGGTTTGACATGCTGCCCTGAAAACAATACAGGTGGTGAGGATGGCAACCTGAGACCACTCAGAAAAAGTGAGATGGATGTGAGCACATATAGAGTTTTCTTCCTAGAGCTGACTGCTTGACCCCAAACCCTCAAACTATTACTTGCAGTATTTTATCAAAGACACAGACTTGCAGAGCTTCAAGCCTAGGGTTTCTGATTCAGTACGTTTGCAGTGGGTTTTTGAAAGTTGTATTGTAGAAAAGTCTTCAGGCAATTCTGAGTTTCAGCCAGGTTTGAACACCGATGGCTTAAACCACTGGTGAGCTGGTAAATCTTTAATACCCAGCTCTAAAAGAATGTCCTAAATTGAAACATTTGATGATTGTAATGGTATAATTATTCCTGCTATGGACAATTGCAAGGAGCCACTGAAGGAGATGGAAAGAGAGATGCACACAAATAGCAACAGCTGGACAACACAAGCTGGCCCCAGCCTTCCACCAGCTTACATCAAAGGGAAATATGAATCAAGTTAATAAGAGCGTGTGATAGGGAGAAGCCAAATCAATGTTAGTCATAGTGAGAAAGGAGAGACATTGGAAGCGTTTGCAGCAGGGCTGATTAAAGCCCTCTTTATGTCAGTAAGAAATCCACCCAAGTGCCAGTCCCAAGATGGCACCATTCACAGTAACCCTCGACTTGGACTAATGTTCACCTGAGTTCTAAAAGCCATGATGAAAGAATCAAAGTTAAGAGCCAACAAAATGATTGTAGTCTGCTGATAGATATGGAAAAAGTATCATTTAAAAACTCAATTAAATTACTGATACAAGCAAGGGATTATTAATTAGTGTTCAAACCATTAAGAAAATGGTTGAAGGGCAACTGAACATCCATTTAGCAAGAGAATAGAGCCATAGGGATGACTTTCTAGCAGCAAGTGGGTAAACTGTTGTACCTGTATAATGGAGCAACGCAGCAGCCATCATCTTTTCTTTCTTTTTTTTCTTTTTTTGAGATGGAGTCTTGCTCTGTATCCCCAGCTGGAGTGCAGTGGCGTGATCTCAGCTCACTGCAACCTCTGCCTCCTGGGTCCCAGTTCAAGGAATTCTCCTGCCTCAGCCTCCTGAGGTTTCACCATGTTGGCCAGGCTGGTCTTGAACTCCTGACCTCATGATCTGATCTGCCTGCCTCGGCCTCCCAAAGTGCTGGAATCACAGGCTTGAACCACCTCGCCTGGCCACCATCATCTTAAGTCAGAGGCTATCACCAATTTTGGAGCAAACAGATTTTGTGTTTTCAGATGTATTGCAATAGAGCCTACATGTCGGGTGTGTTCTAGAAAAATAAATGTCCAATTTGAACCCACGAGGTTTTATGCATCACTTCTACAGGGGTTGGAGAAACAGGCTAAATGACAGTAAAAAGCTCCCAGACAAATTCAGAGGAAAGACATTCTTCAAAACAATTGGCTCAATCTCTTCTATAATTCTGGGTCATAAAAAGATGAAAGATTTTAAAAAATGTATAAACAAAACAACTGGATAAAACACGTGTTCCTGAATTTAGGAACAGTCCGACCAATCCAGCTGAAAAGGATATTTATGGCATAACTGGAAGAATATGATTATGGTCTGAATATTTAAGCCTGTAATCCCAGCACTTTAGGAGGCCAATGCGGGCAGATCACTTGAGGCCAGGAGTTTGAGAGCAGCCATGGCCAACATGGTGAAATCCCATCTATACTAAAAATATAAAAATTAACAAGGCATGGTGGTGCACGGTTGTAATCCCAGCAACTCAGGAGCTGAGGCATGAGTATTGTTTGAACTCGGGAGGCAGAGGATGCAGTGAGCCAAGACTGTGCCACTGCACTCCAGCCTGGGCAACAGAGTGAGATTCTGTCTCAAAAAATTATAAAATTAGAAAAATTAAAAACAATAAAAATTATTAAAATGAAAAATAGAGATTGTTGACTGAAAATAGCAGGTTATATAACAGCATGTCTATTACAGTCTTGTGTTTAAATATACATATATGCACAGAGAATGTTCTGGAAGTAGGCACTGATGTTAGTAGTGTGATCTTTGGGTGATGGATGTTTTTATTTTCTTATTTATGTTTGTTCCTATTTTATAATGCCTTAAAATTCACATTTTGCTTCTGTCATTTTAAAAAAGATTATTTTTAAAAAGGAGTAAAATGCTCAGAAAAACAATATTGACCTCCAAAACACAGTAACTCCAAGATGCGTTAAAATTCAGAAAAAGTCAGTCAAATGCATTTATCTCAGTGGTTTTGTTCACCACTGCATTCCCAGAAACATGGTACAGAATATGCCATATGGTAGCTGCTTAGCAAATATTTGTTGATTGAATCAAATCCAAAAATCATTTCAAATTCCATAAAGGACAACTGACCTTGGTGATTGGGAAGGGGTGAAGGAAGGAGAGAATGCATGGAAAGATGATTTATTTGATGATGCTGTGTTGCAAAGCCACAGTCCCACAAGAGGCCACAAAGAGAGAAAAATGGCAGGATGAAGGCAAAATACAAGTTGAGATGCATTCAGGAGGTGAAGCGACTGAGAGGGAACTGACTGTTGGCCTTGGCATTGCACGTCTTCTGGATAGCGTTGTGGGCAATGGTGCTGCCAGGCAGGACTCCCTTCATTTCTCTCAGGATAACACTCCTGAGGCCAACGGGGAGACTGGAGCCACCCACATCCCAAAAGCATCCAGAGAAGTGGATGCAATCTGCAGAGCAGCCTTGCTCTCACACCTTTGTTTCCTTCGAATGGTTGACCCATCCTGGCTACTCTAACGATGCTGCCTTGTGAAAATAAAAACTTAAAAAGACAATACTTTGTGTTGCCTCAAGATACAAGGCAGTGGCAGTGGCTTTAATTTCAGGAAATCAGGTCCCTAGTATGTCAGTCACTGATCAGCTGAATGTCTTATCCTGCATTCCAGGAAACTCCTGAGAGCTGTGTGTGATCAGTTTTCCATGAGAAATGTGAGAGGAAGCTGAGTATATGTGTGTGTGTGGTTGTGTATGAAGGATCTGCTCACACACAGCTGAGCCTTGAATCCTGCCAAACAGAATCATCCCCCTACAATTAAAAGAAAACACTTTTTCAAGCCCCTGCCACAATCCCTGGCTATGCCCCGCTTTGGCTTCCACCTGCTCTGCATGTGGGTTACTGTAAATACCGCAGGCAAAGGGAATGGGCCAGGCTAATATGAATACTGACCCGAGCAGCATCTTCACTCAGGGACGCAGAGGATGGCCACATCCAAATTCTTAGACTCCACACCCTTGTGCTTTTTCAATCAATCTTGACTTCAAAGGGGCCCTTACACATTGGGTGACCTGAAATATTCTCGAGGGAAACACATCTTGAGAGCTTTGCCCGTAATATCCTTTGAACTTTTTCACATCAGCACAGGGTGGGAATGGTTGGGTTGGGAGAATGCCCTAATTTCATTGAAGTTTTGTCTCCCAGCCAGGGGAAGGGTCCTTTCTCAGCTGCCAGGGATCCAGTACACACTGTTCTTTGGGTAATGTTGAAAAATGAGTCTCAACCTCATTGCTTGCATGTCTTTTGCTCAGTACACCAAGTTCAAGGAGAAGTGGGGAGAACAGGCCACTTGTCCTGACTGAAAGGGTTTGTAAAGTTCCATCTTAACAATCATTAGATTTGTTCCATCTAGCAATCATTAAAACGCCATGAGGTGACTTCATTAAATATCAGTAAATAATGGTTTGTGTCTAAATTTGGGGTTATTAGAACATTGAACACACATAGGCTGTATCCCTGTTCAAAGAGAGGAGAGACACACAGAGAGAGAATGAATTACAGAGGAAAAGATGAGAGACACTCATCTTTAAACATTCTGGGAACAAATTTGGCAGAAAACCCTCCTGGTAGTTGGTTGTTTTTTACTCTGAGCACGTTTATCAAAGGGAAAGAGAGAAGTTCAGATTACCAAAAGTTAGAGAGATTCTTTGGCAAAATGTATACCATTTTAATTAATCATTAGCAGGTGTTAAATAATTTGATCCCTTTACTTGACTTAATACCATTAAATAATCATTTAGTCAATCATTTGTAACTGTTTAATGTCTGTTTAGACTGGAAATGCCATGAGGGCAAACCCCGCCCACCTCGTTACCTCTATGCAGAGGTGGCTCATGACTGGATAATCCACTTTTGCATGGATCAGAGTACTTTGCCCATATTTGTTAAATGAATGAACAAATGAATGAATGACTGAAGCTCTAAAACCATGCTGGAGCCATAATGAAGATTTACTAAATATTGAAGGGAGAGAGGGAGGGAGGCAGGGACGGAGGAGGGAGGGAAGAAGGAGAGAAAAAATGATAGAAGGAAGGAAGGAGGGAGTCAAGAGGGAAGGAGGGAGTGAGGAAGAGAAGAAGAAAGAAAGAAAAGGAAGGAAGAAAGAAAGAAAAGGAAGAGAGGGAGGGAGGGAGAGAAGGGAGGGAGAGAAAGAAGGGAGGAAGGAAGGAAGGAAGGAAAGGAAGGCAGGCCGGCCTAGGCACTATATGTGGCACGTAGTAGGTGTTTGATGGGGCAACATGGACTGATGCATAATATCCTAAGATCATCAAATAAAAAGTCAGAGAATTGAGGCCCACATGTTGCTACCATCACTTCTTCACCTATTTCATTCATTTAATTTTTTTAAAACCATGTTTTGCTAAATTCAGTCTTTCTGGTCAGCCACACTGGCTGTCTGGGCACAGCTGTTAATTTCTCTTTCTCCTGTTTGATCTTGGCTCACTGCAAGCTCCGCTTCCCGGGTTCACGCCATTCTCCTGCCTCAGCCTCCCCAGCAGCTGGGACTACAGGCGCCCACCACCACGCCCGGCTAATTTTTTGTATTTTTGGTAGAGACAGGGTTTCACTGTGTTAGCCAGGATGGTCTCAATCTCCTGACCTCGTGATCTGCCCGCCTCGGCCTCCCAAAGTGCTGGGATCAGAGGTGTGAGCCACCGTGTCCGGCCCACAGTTGTTAATTTCTAAATAAAAGCAACGACCCCCTACTCCTCACTCCTCAGAGCCCCTGATTTGTTAGATGCTTTTCTGTGTCTGTGGGCTCAGTCCATCTTTCCAGACCTCTTTTTTCTGTCCAGTGTATTTGTTTTCAAGAGAGATGCTGAACTTCTGTTTGTTTCCTTTGATCTGTCAGAAACAGAATCTATTTAGACTGTCTTCCAGTCTGTTGTTTGTGGAGTAAATATGTACACAGCAGCAATTACACCCCAGACACTCTTCTTGGAGCTGGGGTACCTTTGTGAAAAAAGAACAACATGGTCCTTTCCCTGCGGAGTCTATTGTCTTGTTGGGGAAACAGATAAGGAACAAACACACCCATGAACAATATCATTTCAGAGAGTGACTGGAGCTATGGAAAAGAGAAAAAGGGATGTAGAGAAGAGATTCTTTATCTAGCGGGGCCAGGGTAAGTTCTTCCAGGAGATGACAGTGAAGTTAGGAGAAACTTAACTGCAAAAACACTGAGACAGCGAAGAGCTGGGGAAAGGAGGAACATGTGAAAAAGAAAGGTGAGAAATGGTGGGGTACACTCAATGAAGGGGAGGGACCAGGAAATAAGGCAATTGGCTGGGGTTTTAGCTAAGTCTAAAGGGCAGACCCTCCTATCCAGACGGTCTGGATATGAGATCGTGGATAGGAGATCATGGGATCTAATTTATATTATTCTGCAAAACAAAAGCTCCAATTCCTAGGAGCCACATGTCTGACTCAGTAAGGCAGCTCCTTGTCCCTTTTTGCTTTGTGTTAACAAGTGATCTTTTCATTTTATTTTATAATTTTTTTAATTTAAAAAATATATTTAGGGGTAAAAGTGCAGATTTCTTACATACATACATTCTGCTTTGGTGACATCTGGGCTTTTAGTGTACCTATCACCCGAATGGTGTGCTCCTAATCAAATACATTTCAGCAGTGTTAGGAGAAGGATGTTGGCAGTTGTGGCCCCTCCTACATGAGTTTTAGAACTACAGAGTTCTCCAGGGTTGCTTTATTTATCCTGAGCATGCAAGACTGAACCAAAATCAGGAAGGGCTGCCCTGGTGTGATCTCTGCATAAACCTGTATCTCACCCTGGACTTCAGCAAATTAATTTGTAAAACTGAAATGAAACCCAATTGGCTGAGTGACCAAGCCATTTCTTGGGGGTTTCTTCTACTTCGGATTGTTCCCTTTGAGTATTCTGCTTTAGACAAAGCAAACCATCCCTCTAGGGAAAATGCCATCATCCTGGGAATTGGAACAAAGTTTGAATAGAGTAATAGATTCTACCCAAATGCAAAAATGTAATGAAAGATGGATTTTGGTAATGTGCTCTTTCTGCTGCTGTGCTTATCGAGATACAGTGTACAATTCTATCAACATGCCCAGGAGAAGATCCAAAGCCCTCCCTTTCTCCCAATCTCTTTCTTTTGTCACAGAATCTCTGAAGCTACTGAAGTAATTAATGGGGAAAGTACTCAATGCCACATGAACCTCCTCCAATCATTTCCAAAATGGTTCGACATTCTATAAATGACAGTTTATGTGCCTATAATATGCATCTGGTGAAATGCGTATTTTCCTTTCAGAAGGTGTTTCCATTACGGTTATTCTGAACATCACGTGATCTTACAGTTGCTAGGGTAACTCCATCTTTTTTAAAGGAGAACAACAGAGTAAATAAGCACGTAAATCGACTTTGGTGCTATGTAAATTCTAGTGAATCTCTTATCGTTACCTTGACGATAAAAAAGCTGGCATTTATCTTCTCTGGCCCCCAGCACGCTTTAGTTTGAACTTAAATTTTATAAAATACACGTGTGGGTATGCCAAAGGCTCTACAGATATCCAGGAAGCAGTGCTGGTCAAGCGATATGTTCAACAGGCAAGGCCGCCTGGACAATGACGATGGGTCACAGAAGAACCAGGGGAGGGAGTAAATGGGAGACCAGATGTTCAGAGTCAAGAGGTAATACCTGTCAATTATGGGCTATCACTCAGTAAGCCTACTCAGGTGGCACGTGAGCTTCTGGAACAGCCGGAAACCTTGTCAACTGTCCAGGTAGTTTGTCCACCTGAAGTCTCACCTATGACTTCTCTGGATCCTTTGGCATCCTAGCACTGAAATCTGCAAAGCTGCTTATGTACTTTCTGTAAGGTGAAAATTACGGATGCAGCACCTGTGATTAAGTCATGATGGCTGGAAGTAAATCTTGGTGAATATTTCTAAATGTTTTCCACATTTCCCATACAGAGGTTTGATAATTTGTTCACCTAGTTTCCATTTTATAATTGAGGTTGGCAGTGGAGACCAAGACTCGATGTGGTGTGGGTCAATTTGGAAGAATTACTTCGAAGAAAATGAGAAAGAAACACTCAAATGAAATCCCTTTTGAGGAAGGAGATACTCTTTTCCTTAAAAAAAAAAAAATCAACATTTGTATCAATAAAGGTTGAGATCAGAAAATGTTTCCCGTTCAATGAGAAAGATTTGGACTGTGATGAAGATAAACTAAAAAGAAAAGAGTTTGACCAACTGGCAAGGGTTTGACCCCTTTCCCCTTTAAAAAAATCACACTAAAACTACAGCTTATGTTTCGCATGAGTGGATGCTCTGAATTGCAATGCAAAGTGCTTATGAAAACTTAAGATCTTACATTACTACTTCAAAGAGTACATGTGATAGGAATTCCTATAGAAGAAAATGAAAAAGGATATAGCTTGAAAATCCAAATTTATAGCAAATTCTGCATCTATCATTTGGCGATGCTATGACTGGATGCTATCACTATTTGGAAGTATCAAAAATATTACAAAGGAAAATTAAGCTTCATTTTACTCTATCTTCTTATAAAGTGAGGCCCACATCCTGGTGATGACTATTTCCTTAATGAGACTATGGGATTTTATCAAACTCCATAAAACATGATTGCATTTCCTTCACTCTGAAATCACCTTATTTTAATTTCCACATGAAATTGGGATGCAATTTGTGTGTACATTTAATATGCGAGGGTTCCTTCTCCACCTCTCACTCACTCCTCCCCAAAAAAGCTTTGGCCAAATCTACAGCATGTTTTACAATGGACAGAGTCTTAGGATTGAGGCAAGTACAATCAAGAGGAGTCAGGGGCTAAGATAAACAAAAGAACATGAAAACAGTGATGGTGATGCCTCATGTGATTAGCTCTATGGTCCCTTCCTCTTCTCAGAGTGACAGGCAGAAAAATCGACAGTTAATTCCAGATCCATCAGGGGCTGTGCTGCCTTTCTACAGAAATGATGAGTTTAGAGAGCAAGCTGCAGATGAGTGTCTGAGCACTCGCGGGAGGTGCCGAGTGTCATGGCAGAAGTTCGTGTGGCATCGCTGTCTGCTGCGTCCAAGAGATGATAGGGTCCTTCCAGAAGAGGAACAGCAGGGTAGCGCAGAAATGGAAGGTAAAAGAGGTTAATTTATGGAAATTATCCAGGTCATGCAACCAGTAGGACATATCAAACAGCTTTAAGAGAGCAGCAGTGATGTGTGTAGGATCTGACTTTTAATAGGTCATGAGACAGTGACAGCTAACGGGGAGCCAGGTAACTTTTGGAGACAAAAGCTAACATTTCCAGAGTGCTTACAATGCACCAGGCACTGTGCAAAGAGCCAAAGCAGTGCGAGAGATACTGTGATCCCCATTTTACAGATGAGGAAATAGAGGCTCTGAGAGTTTCAGCATGAAGTCAGTAAGGGGCAACTCCTCTCAACATTGGGATCAAGTCCTACCTTGGGCACTGTAGGGAGAGCACCTAGGAACTGTCCCTAGAAACATTATGTGTGGGTCCATGACCAGATTTTTATTTATTTTAAAATCAGAAGAAAAATAATGAACTTTTAGATAGAAGAAACTGCTTAAATGTAGATTAACATATTTGTCTGTATACTAATGTAATCATAGGATATAATTTTTAATATCTTTTTAAATGCGAGGGGCCCCGAAGGTAAAGGTGCCAAGGATTCATGGAAGACCTAATGCAGCCCTGAAGAAAGAACTGGAATTAAAGGGCAAGTCTAAAGCCTTGCTTCTTCAAGTGTGGTTTGAGGACCAGCCGTATGTGCACCAGTGAAGGCTCCTTGGAAATGTAGAATCTCGGCACAGATCTGCTGAATCAGAATCTACATTTTAATGAGATCCCCAGTAGATTCATACGCACATTAAAATTTGAGATGCACTCCACTAAATCCTGAACTAACAATTTATACTAACTCTTCATCTTCACATGAGCCACGGCAATTTTAACCTGTATTGGAATCTAAAACCATGCTGGGTAAGGACAGAGGTTTTCCTGGGAGCTGGTTTAGGTGTCCTTTTACCCCTGGTAAGGCAGGTAGGTTACAAAGATGCATACAGTGGTTGGATGCAGTGGTTCACACCTGTAATCTCAGCACTTTGGGAGGCTGAGGCAGGAGGATCACTTGAGGCCAGGAGTTCGAGGCCAGCCTGGACAACATACTAAGACTCCCATTTCTACAATGATAATAACAAAAAATTTCTACAATATAATTTCTACAATAATAACAAAAATAAATACATAAAGAAATACAACTTCTGGCTGGGTGCGATGGCTCGTGCCTGTAATCCCAGCACTTTGGGAGGCCGAAGCGGGTGGATCACAAGGTCAAGAGTTCGAGACCTTCCTGGCCAACATAGTGAAACCCCATCTCTACTAAAAATATAAAAATTAGCTGGGCGTGGTGACGCATGCTTGTAGTCCCAGCTACTCGGGAGGCTGAGGTAGGAGGATCGCTTGAACTCAGGGGGCGGAGGTTGCAGTGAGCCGAGATTGCACCACTGCACTCCAGCCTGGTGACAGAGCGAGACTTCGTCTAAAAAAAAAAAAAAAAGAAAGAAACAAAGAAATACAACTTCTAAATAAAAATATAATTTAGAGATAACAATGTTGATTAAATCACTAATATCCTGTTACTCTTGACTTAAGCCCTGTGAAATAATTAGGGAGTTTTGCACCAGTACCGGTCACCAACTCCAGTAATCAATGCTGTAGGAAACATGCACAGGTTGGGAGTCCTCAGTCACGTCCCCTTGGTTTTTCATTCTAACAATGCTCCCTAGCAACCCTCAATTAAGAGGGCTTTGAGAAACCTACCCGCTGGCTCCCTGCACTGGGGAATGAGGTGAGCTAAGCCTAGCAGACACCTCCTCCCAAAAGGATTCTAGCACTGTCCCTCTGACACCTGCTGGCTACAGGTGTTCAGCAACTTTTAAGGATGAGGGCAAAGAACTATTTCAGTCTATGAGGCATTCTTTGAGGCTTATCAGGGAGAAGATACAGACAGGAGGGGAAAACGGGTAAAAGAAAGAGGGAGAGAAAATAGGAGGAAAATGTGGAAAAGGCATTTGAGAGGGAAAAGCCTGAAGATGACCTTAGAACTAAGGAGCAGTAACTCCAGCAGTTCAGCACCTGTTGTCAAACACCTTGTGAATGAAAGAGCAAGGAGGGAATTTAACTCTGTCCAGTCAGTGTCAAATATCTGGATTAAAGGGGTGTGTGCACACTCATCTTCTTCACAGCACTTGTAATGATCTGAAATTACGTTGTTTATTTATTTACGTTTTTACTCTGGGTCTCCTTTGCTAGCAAATAATCTCCATGAGAATAAGGCTCTGTTCTGTTCACTGAAGGATTCCCCACACCTGGACAGGCAGCTGGCATGTGCCCAGTAAAGTTTAGCTGAATGAATGCAACAAAGGTTGGGGGAAGTCAGTCTTTGTGACATGCTAACCAAGTCTGTAGGTCGGGGTACCACCAATCTGAATCCAAGCAATCTAGAGGAGCCGATGGAACTTCTCATTCTGGCACTAATTCCTGATTCACTGTATGGCCTGGAGCAGCCACTATCTGCCCTACCCCAATCCACCCTCTGCCTCAGCTGCTTATCTGTGGGAGACAGATGAGAAGACTGACCTGACTTCCCTCGAACAGACAAGATAACAATGTGTGCATGCTCTGAAAGCAGTGCCATGCTTCCTGGAAGAAAGCCGTTGATATAAGCACAAGGGTGTGTTTCCTTCTGGCCATTGAGCATCAGACAAAACCACCAAGGGCCAAGGCAGAAGAAAAAAACGCCCAGGGGGCCAGGTGCAATGGCTCACACCTGTAATCCAGCACTTTGGGAGGCCGAGGCAGGTGGATCACCTGAGGTCAGGAGTTAGAGACCAGCCTGGCCAACATGGTGAAACCCAGTCTCTACTAAAAATACAAAAAATTAGCCAGGCGTGGTGGTGGGCGACTGTAATTCCAGCTACTCGGGAGGCTGAGGCAGGCAATTGCTTTAACCTGGGAAGAGGAGGTTGCAGCAAGCCGAGATCGTGCTATTGCACTTCAGCCTGGGCAACAAGAGCAAAACTCCGTTGAAAAAAAAAAAAAAAAAAAAAAAAAAAAGAAAGAAGAAGAAGGAGGAGAAGGAGAAGAAAAAGCCCAGGGAGCTATAACATAGTCAGGAATCATCCTCTTGCTGCCCCCGTTACGTCTCATTCTAAAAGCCAGCAAACAGAAACTCATCGAGAGAAAGACATTTGTAAAATAATGAAAAAACGAAGAGCCAAGAAAGATTATTTATTCAGACCCTCAGAAATGGGGTCCTGCAATTTCCTATTCATTTTTTCTTTTATTTTTCTCCTGCTCTTGATCCATTTCCTCCTTCACGCTGCCTCCTTCCTACCACTATGCCATTTTTGTTTGGGACCCAATTTAAAAAGTGCTGCATTTCTCTGGATTTGTCTAAATATTACACTGGGACTGCCCCTCCGTGGACTTGAATCACCCCAAATTCCATTTTACATTTTCCTTTGTTGGAACCCACGTGACCAAGGCAGAGCCTAAAGGAGAATAACCCTGAGCATGTCCCAGAGACACAGGCGTCATGATAGCTAAGCCTTGAGTGCCAGGCTTGACAACTCAGAGCTTGATAGGCATCCACCCACCAGTATTATCATTCTTGCTCTGCAGATAAAGAAGGTGGGTGCTGAGTCCTACAAGGCACACAGTTAGCAGAAGCAGATTTGAAAATGAGCCCAGTCCATCTGTGACCCATTCCACTGGCCCCAATTTAATTAAAAATGCTGGAACTTATTCGACATGGCCTATGAAGGGTTGCTTTTGACAAACAGCAAGACTTATGGTTGAGTCCCCAGGTCTCAACTGCTAGTGGGGTTTGTGAAAGTTTCTCCTTAGATCTGAAGCTCAAGGCAAGGAATCTCTTGTTTTCCTTTTTCTTTTTCTACTTGATTTTATTCTTCATAGATTTAAATATTACCCAAGGGGCCAACTTTCCCCTTAATTCTCTATCAGCTTCTGGCTGGGCGCACAACCCTATCCTAGCTCTAACGCTTTGTTCTTACTCTAGCCCATTTGACATCTCTCCCATGCTAAAACCGTTAGAGCTAGGACAACACACAGATAAAGCCATGCTGGTCACTCCAGCATCCTGAGATGTCTCTTCCTCTCCATTTCCCCTTCCTCTCCCTCCTGAATTTCCCTGTGGTCAGGGCCATGCCTTCATGGGTATGTGTATGTGTGTGTATGTCTGTCTGTATGTGTTTGTGTATACTTTGAAGTTCTATCTAAAATTAAAAGTATCACATGGACTTTGTAAAACACACACACTACACACAGAGGTATAAAATCTAAACAAACAAAACAAAACAAGATCCTGGGTGCCTTCCACACACCTTCCTGGCAGCCCCAACCCCCAAATCATCACTGTGTATGGTCTCATATCTTTCCAGAACATGATCGTGCATTTACAAAAATACTTTCTACCTACCTACCTGCCTACCCACCCACCCATCCATCCCCTTTTCAGTTACACAACTGTTCAGACTGTTGACTGTTTCATTTAACAATATACCTAAAAGCTTGATCCATATGGATCTGCTTTATTGTTATTATTATTAATTTTCTTTTGAGATGGAGTCTCACCCTGTTGCCCAGGCTGGAGTGCAGTGGCGCTACGTCGGCTCACTGCAACCTCTGCCCCCCGGGCTCAAGCGATTCTCCTGCCTCAGCCTCCTGAGTAGCTGGGATTACAGGTGCACACCACCATGCCTGGCTAATTTTTTGTATCTTTAGTAGAGACGGGGTTTCACCATGTTGACCAGGCTGGTCTTGAACTCCTGACCTAGTGATCCGCCTGCCTCTGCCTCCCAAAGTGTTGGGATTACAGGTGTAAGCCACAGCGCCCAGCCTCCGCTTTATTATTATTTAAATACTTACCTAGCATTTTAGCAGGTGGATAGGATATAGTTTATTTGGCCAATCCTTTATGGATGGACAATTTGGTGATTTTTATTTTAATCTACTTTATTTTATTTTGTTAAAGTTATTCCCCCTGGCCTTCTATCATTTACTCCTGTTCTCAGCTAGACTGTAAGCTTCTTGAAGGCAGAGCTCTATTTAATAGTAGCAGCTACAGTTGATATTTCCTTGTGCTGGGAGCACTGTGTTCATTATGTGTCATGCACCAGCTCAAGACCATTATGAGACAGGTACTGCCATTCCTCCACTGTACAGAACAGGAAATTGAGGCTTACAGCAGGGAGGGTAATTTGTCCAAGGTTATACAAATGCAAAGTAGATTCAAACCCACAGAGCTTGTCTTCAGAGCCTACCTCCTATCATTCCTCTCTACCTGCTGTGTGGAGTCCACTCTCGTGATTCCCTCAAGTTTGCTAGTGTTTCTTAGCCATGCTCTGGTGAAGAGGACCGAATGGAATATCAAGTCCAGAGTCAGTCTTCCAAGGCACAGATCCTGGCTTTCCCTCTTTCTAGCCGTGAAGCTTTAGCAAGTTACCAGAATGCTCTGTGCCTCAGTTTCCTCTCTGTTAAACAGAAATAATGATAGTACTCACCTCACAGGATGGTTGTGAGGATTTAGCAACATAATCTGGCCCAGAGGAGGCACAGAGTCGATTTTACAAACGATTCAAGCTTAGACTCCAGAGTAAAGATGCCATAAGTATTTGTTGAACGTTGTAAGTCTGGGAACTTTTTCTTTTCTCTCTTATTTCTTCCTCCTCTACCCACAGAGCAGCTTAAACTGTTAACTGACTAGAATTTTCCTAAGACATCTTTTAAATATTTTAAATCTAAAAAATAAAAATAAAAATAAAACCCAAACAATAGCTAGAGTTCAGACATAGCAGGCATTTTTAAAATAAAAGAGCTAGAAGAAGATTTGGCCAATTGAAGAGGAAACAAATGGAAAAAAGAAAATCCTCAAAAGCCTTTTTATTAATTGATCACATGTAGCATATACTTGGAATTGAATTGGGAAAAACACAAATTCTGCCCTTGTCCTCTTGGGACTTACACTTTAATTCACTAAAACCAACCAAAATTGATATGGTTCAGAGTTTAAAGTAGATAGACATTGCTTTATAATTCATATCTAAAATGACCCTCTTGTTCTAGGCAAAGTGAGATAGACAGAAAAATGACAGGGCTGACTGGATAAACTGAGATATGCATACAACAATCATTTTTTTTCCTCGTAAGTTACAATGATTTTTAAAGCTTCATGTCCTTGTGGTTCTTTTTTTGTTCCCCTTTATTCATATGAGGCAGGATGACTTATTACTCTACCTATAAATTTCTTCTTTAGAGGTTGCAATTTTCATCTAGGGGGAAAGCCCTTTTCTTATTAATGATCTGTATCATTTGTAGTAACAATACCTTTCTTCCTTTGTTTAAGAAAAAACAATAATAATGATAGTCATAAGAAGTAGACTTTCCATATCAAAGTCAACCAGAAAATAAATGAGAAAAACATATATTTTGATACCATGTTTTAGCCTCAGAAAAGTCAACAAAATTATTTTTATTATATATTAAACATATAGCTCCTGCATATAGCTCAGAATCAATTAATTTAAAGTAATAATTTGTACAAACACCCTCACAAAAATTTTAAAGGGTATTAAACACCCTGTTTTATAAACATAACACTTAATTTAGGAAAAAAAAAACATTTAGAAGGTAATGCATTTAGGATAAGTGCACAACACATGAAAATAATAAATGAAATTTTCCCAGTTTAGAAAATGAATGTAATTAATTAACATTTAAATTACATTTTTAATTGCAATCATGCCCTCCCAGGGGACTCATAAGGGACCATAATTGCAATTAAAAGCATGTGGATTAGATAATAAAACAATGCACACTGTCTGAAATGTGCGATTTAAAATGGAAAACAGACATTGTTATCGGCACATCTAACTTAATTGTAGCCATAAAGCAAATGTGCTGTACAAAATAAAATTCACATACGGGAACATTTAATTCTGGAGTCTCTTAAAGGGGACACGCTTGAGAGCACATTTTATGACAGGTTCTGTTGGAAACAGCCCTTTAAGGCTTTCGGATCGAGGGCTGGTGCCTTAATGTTTTTGCATTAATAAAAGCAAAGCTGAATGTTCCTATTAAAACACACAGATACATTTAAGTAAGAGATGAAACTCGATGTCTAAATTAAAGCTGCGGTGCATAATTCTATTAGCTGGACAGACTGTAAGGACATGTAATTTTGAAACTATATCTTTTTGTGTTTTTTTTTTTTAATTACTTTTTTTCTTTTCATTTTTTATTGTCTTTCCTTCCTTTTGAGAGGAGCACCATCAAAGGTGTGGGGATTTGGGACTGGAGGAGGGAGAGCCAGAGACGTGTGTCTTGGGCAAGGCTAGAGCTGGGCCCAAACACCACTCTGACGTCCTAACATCCAATATCCCTCACCTTAAGGAAGACAAACCAATGCCCTTTCATTATATAAAGGTCTATTTTAGTACCGCTAAGCTCAGCATTATGATTAGAAACCTTTTTTCATACCACACATTTCAGCGTTCACAACTGGGGTTACATTTGCCAGCGTCTGGAGACATTCTCTGATTGTCACAACCTGGGGGAGAGGTGCTACAATCATCCAGTGGGTGGAGGCCGGGGATGCTGCTCAACAGTGTACAGTGCCCAGGACAGCCTCCCCGGCCCCCGCCACCACCATCATAGCAGGAAAGTATCTGGTTCAATAGCGTCAAGGTTGTCAAGATTCAGAAACCCTGGTTCATCTTAGGAGAGAGAAGAGATGCCAAACTTCTAAGGAAGCAGACTCAGATTTTGGCATACGCTTGCTAGGAAATACAAAACTGTATCTATCCTAAGAGAAAATGAACAAAACTCTTTCAGAATCACATTACAGTAGATACAGGCTGCAGTCTACGGCTTCTTAGCCTAGATGTCAATTTCATTTGCTTATTTATGAGGAACAGCGATTCTGTTTACAGTATAAATGTTAACATGGAATTAGAAGCAGCATAGCCCTAGAAAAGCAGTGTAATCGAAAGACAAAGTCTAGACTTTGGGGCTGAATAGATCTCCATTCAAAACCTGGCTCTGTAATTACTAGCTATGTGGCTCTGCTAGAGTTGATTTTCCTCTGCAAGCCTCAGTTTTCACATCTGTTTTCCAAACAGTAGTTATTCTTGTAGCATTCTTGAAGACAAGTAGCATTCTTGTCTTCAATGGTGGTATGCAGATCAGAAAAAATGGGCATATATATGTAAATATACACACTTATACACACATACATTTATTGAATATATTTACTTATGAATGTATAAGTATACATACCATACATTGGTTACATAACTGTGTATAAATACCTTTACATAAGTATAATATACAATGTATATATAGGCACATACCTGGGCATGCACATGTGCAAAATTTATTAATTGATATGCAAATTTCTATAAAAATAGACAACTATTCTCAAGACTTGAGTTCTTGACACTGTGAAGAACTGATATAAACTGGATTCTGTTTAAAAAGGGGAGGGGGAATGACATCTAATTCTTCTGACAAGTTTAAATTTACATATATGCACAGTTCAGTGCATTCTACAAACTCATTCATGCAACAGATTTTTTTGAGGGGCTTACTATATGCCAGGAACCATGCTAGCCTTGGCGATGTAGTTAAAAAAGAGAGCTGGAAGAAAAGGGTTTTAGGTAGATAATAAAACATCTGGACTTGATCCTAGGACAATGGGAAATCATTGATGACTTTGGGCAAAGAATTAAAACCAACAGATTTGCATTTCCTAAGAGATTACTGAGCAGTGTGGAGCATTGGTCAAGGAAGCATGGGAGACTAGAGCTCAACACGGCTGGAGCAATGACGTTGAGAGGCCAGAAGCTGGTACAATTATGGCTTGGAGAGTTTACCAGATTGGAGGAAGAGCTGAACCCAGCTGACAATACAGTTTTTGTTTCAAATAAAGCCCAGAAAGGTGAGAACCAACTCTCAATTTCTTAACCTAATGAAGGGCAGTAAAAATGAAGATGTAAGACTACTTGGATCTGAGACCAGTGAGTCCTAGATACCTATCCATCCCACTTACCTGGAGCAAGTAAAAATTACAGATTCCTGAACCTCATTCAGACCTCTCAAATTGGAATGGATGGGCAGGACGTGAGGAGTCTGTAATTCTGATGCTTGGCATGTTTAGGGAAGACTGTACTGTCATAACTATTGTTTATTTGTAATTCAGGTTACAAATCAAGAAGATTTTGAACATTATTCAATAAACTGAAAAGCCGATATCTAGGATGATAGCAGAAGTGATGCCACCTGTTTGCCAAATCCTATTTCTTCTTTCTCTTGCTACAGGAAGACCACTCTTCCCAGTTTCTGGCCAATGGGATGAGGGAAGAAGTGATGGGCATCAGTTACAGAACTCATTCACACCTTCAATGGTTTTGGAAGCCACATGCTCCAGATGGCAGAGCTACCCTGGAAAGAAGGTTGCATCTGAGTCACCACGTGGAGATCAACTTTGTACATGTGAAACATAAATGTTTACTGTGTTGGGCCACTGAGATGTTTAGCTGTTTGTTTCACCAGCTAGCCTTAATTATCCTAATACAAGGAGACAGACAAGCAAAAACATCTTTCAGAGTATGTCATGGAATCCATATATATTCAATCAATTTTTCCAGTATTCATCATAAGTTTTCTAAGGCAAAGTCTCTGAATAGCCAGCCATAGATGTTATTTCTAGCTTCAGGATTGGTATATTTGAGTGGATTTTAACTCTTTTGGAGTTTAACTAAGAACACATTCCATTCTCATAAACTAGACTATGTGAATAAGCCAGTGGTTTTCATTTCTCAGGTGGGGAGGTTGGCTCCTAGGGGACATAGAACAATGTCTGGAGTCATTTTTGTCTGTCACAGCCTGGGGTGAGGTGCTAGTGGTATCTGAGGGTAGGGGCTACACGTCCGACGATATACAGGACAGCCTCCATCAGCAAACAACTATCCAGACAAAAATGTCAACAGTGCCATTGGACAAACCCTGAACAAATCAAATTGAGAGTGCACTTGATCTCGGGGACTGAGGTTTGCTTGCCTTCTGGACATAATCACACACCCATGATGCCAAAAAGAACAATGACCAACTGATGCCAGACAGACCCTGCAGTCCAACAAATCAGGTTGCCCATGACTGGCAAGGCGACTATTGCCACTCCCTGCCAGATTGTGGCAGTCAGTTTGTCAGAAAATCAGACAGAAATGTACCAGGGACTTTTTGTCACCTGGGCATAAAGAAACACCTTGAAAGACAGTTATTCACATGTTCAACTTTGTCTTCTTTATTCCAATTTGGTGCTAATGTCACATTTGTCATAACTTCACATGACTCTACGGGGGACGTAATACCCCACCCAGTGGGAGCGTGCATTGACAGGTGCTGCAAAGTTCACCTCTCTGCCACCTTCACCACTTGCACCTCTCATTCAAACACACAGGCCTCCAGGAAGAACAATTTGAGATTGCAATGTTTAAGACATTATGAATTAAACTGCCATCCAATTGATATGATATGAGGAATACCTAGAGTCCCTTATTAAACACACACATACACACACACAAACACACACACACACACAAACAAGCAAGCAAACAAACAAAACATTACTCCCTACCATTCTCCACCCTGACACAAAGTCTGATCTCAGCACAGCTTGGTGACTGTGAGAATGAGTGATGGGGTCAAACATAGGTTTGAAGCCTGACTTCCCTGCTTCCTACCTGTGATTTTAGGAAAGTTATTAAACATGCCTAAGCACCAGTTTTCTCACCTATATAGTGAAAATAATGTCTACCTTATATGGTTGGTGTGAAGATCAGAAGAGAAAATGTATATAAAGTGCTCAATTTAGTGTCTGGTTACAGTAGATGTAAACTATATCCTTCTTGATGTAGAATAAAAGCTCACCTCCACAGACAGCATAGTCATATGTGACTTGGCCTCTGCTGGCCTCTACATTCATCTTCCCACTTTATTCTGGATTCATTGAGCTCCAGCCACCATCTTTCTTTTCCAGAAAGAACAAACCCAACTCATTCTCACCCCAGGACCTTTGTACCTGCTGCTTCCTCTGTGTAGAAAGGTCTTCCTCCAGATTTTTGTCATGACTGGGACTACTCAGCCTTCTGGTCACAGCCTATATGTCACCTTCCTCTGACCGTTGTCTCCATAGTTGTTCCCACCTTTATTTTTAGTCATTCACTATTACATTATCAGGTTTTTTTAATATAATACTTAGCAGCATCTGAGATTATCCTATTCAGATATTTATG
Source organism: Homo sapiens (assembly GCF_000001405.40). Lineage (NCBI taxonomy): Eukaryota > Metazoa > Chordata > Mammalia > Primates > Hominidae > Homo > Homo sapiens. Next base: position 53,166,873 of record NC_000020.11, on the reverse strand, counting down.
TACCTGTTTATTGTCTTTTTCAAACCATTGATTGTAAGCTGCATGCAGGCAGAGAGTTTGCCTTATTTTTGTTTTGATTTTTTATTTTATTATTATTATTTTTTAGACAGAGTCTCACTTTGTTGCCCAGGCTGGAGTGCAGTGGTGTGATCTTGGCTCACTGAAACCTCTACTTCCCAGGCTCAAGTGATCCTCCTACCTCAGCCTCCCAAGTAGCTAGGACTACAGGCATGTGCCACCATGCCTGACTAATTTTTGTATTTTTATTAGAGATGGGGTTTCACCATGTTGGCCAGGCTGGTCTTGAACTTCTGGCCTCAAGTGATCCACCCACCTCAGCCTCCCAAAGTGCTGGGATTACATGCATGAGCCACCACTCCTGGCCTAATTTTTAATTTTTCAAATGTTTAGTTTTTTTTGTAGAGACAGGCTCTTGCTGTGTTACCCAGGTTGGTCTCAAACTCCTGGCCTCAAGAAATCCTCCCACCTCAGCCTTCCAGAGTGTTGGGATTACAGGTGTAAGCCATCATGCCCAGCCCAAATTCGCCTTATTCAATGTCTGTGTGCACCACACTTAGAATTTTTCTTACCCAGTTGGTTTTCAATGAACATTTGTTGAATAAAGTAAATCAAAACTAACTTGATTAATAGAATATGTTGAAACTGCCCCAATACCTCCTGAGAAATCTTTTAATAACAAAACCAAGGATGGGGAAATCTAACAAGGACTCTAAGCTCCCAGCAATATCCTCAAAGGGTGGAGATGTCCAGTTGTCGTCACAGCCCATTCTAGACAAATCTTCAACTTGTATTAGTTTCTGATAAGTCATTGCAGGAACAAAGAGTTCACAGATTTGGGAACGGGACAACTAAACATATGCCACCATCTGAAACTAGAAAGTTTGTGATGAACTTCAGTGTCCAGGCCAGAGGACAGAATGATGGGAATGCTGTGTGAGCCCATCAGAAAGGAGCTCAGTGTTAAGTGGCTGTGCAAGGGTTTGCAGTCACCGTTGTGAGTGAGTCTGCATGTGGACCCAAATGGGCAGTCAAGGGTGGCTGGGAGGACTACCTAATTATGTTTCAAATTCACCATCAGGCGACTCCACTTGGCCACTCTTTCACTTGCCCCATGAAATGGATCTGAGACACAAACTACGCCTTAACTAGGCAGCTTCCACTCTTGCTGATCTCATTAGTCGCCCAATTGGGCAAGACAGGTTTTAATTGCATGTCAGAAGCTTTATTTTTCTGCCCCAGGCAAACAGTTAACCACATTAGTATAGCACTGACACATTAGAAGTTGGTCAGCAATAAAAAGTGAAAGAGCCACTTTTAGAGACAAGTGAGGTACCTGTCAGTTTTGAGCATTTTCTCCCTAGCATCTGTAGCTACCTGCAGGAGAAAATTTTCAATCGCCACCACGACAATGTGACAAGGTGTAAATAATGCATGGTGCTGTATTTCACAGCTTCATGGTGTGATGTTGGATAATTGATTAGGAAAAGGCTTGAAGGCAGACAAATCTGGTTCAAACATGGCCTGTGTAACTTACTAGTTATTTCCTCAGTTTCCTCATCTGTCAGACAGGAAAAATTAGTGACACTTGCCTCTTTGGGCTGTTACAAAGATTGAATGGGAATGAAATGTTGCAGGTAAAACCTTGCGTCCAAATTTTGACACTTAATAGGCACACTATGAGTGTTAGCTGTTATTATTACTTTTATCCATCCTCATCCATCCATCCACCCATCCATCCATCCATCCATCCATCCATCCACCCTTCCATCCACTCATCTATCCATCGACTCATTCATGCCAGCCTCTGTGACAAGTGTAATGGTTTGCAAGACCACTAGGCAGGGATATTGGAAAGTAGAAGCAGAGATTAAATGAAAGTGGTGATCATATAACCATCAATCAAGGATCCTTGCATCTCAAACAAACATCAATGATATTAGGTCCCTCTAAGCGTGTCCTTTTATGGTAGGCAACATATGTTTATTTTATAGAATTCCTTATGGAAATAATGTTACTATGATTTAAATGTCAGACCCATGGGACATCCTATTTAAAGCCAATGCGTAGGGAAAAGGGGATATTGTTAGGAAGGCGAAAGCTTCAGTGTCTCAAACTTCAACTGCTTTCTTCTATAGAAGGCTAGTATTTCATTTAATCCTTCAGAACAGTGCAGTTCAATATAGTAGTCACTAACTCCATGTGGGCATTTAAAATAAAATAAAATTCAAAAAATAACTAGTTTCTTAGTTGCACTAGCTAACAGGGCCCAGCAGCCACAGATGCCTAGTGCTACTAGTGTAGACATACAGATAGAGGGTATTTCCATCATCACAGAAAGTTCTATTGGACAGCACTTCTTCTAGTTAATTAATATTTAGTTCCTTATCTCAGTATTTCAACCCCTATGTATATTCCTTTTTTTTTTTTAAGAAAGGTGACCAGGAAAATGATCTCTTTCTTTTAATAGTTGTAAACTATGAAATATTTTGCCTATCAAATTGTCAATAATCAAAATAAAAGGCAAAGGTGAGATGAAGTAGACATTGACCTGCATTTCTGGTAGTAGTGTATTGATTAATCTCTCCTACTGGGGAGAAGTTGTGTAATAAAAATCCAGAGAAATACAAATATTCTTACCCTTTGATCCAGTAATCCAAGCTGATTCCTAATCCTAAAACTAATTCCAATCTATTTTAGGATAATAGCTAAAAAAAAAATAGAAGCTCTACATAAAAAGATGTTCACCACAGTGGTGTTTATAGTACAAAAAACAGAACAAAGTAAATGTCCTGTAATAAAGGAGAGATTAAATAAGCAATAAATAAGTATAAATACTCCTACTTGATGATGTTACATAAACATGGTTATTACAATATAATATAACCACTTGATAAGATGCTTATGACATAATTAATGGAGAAAACCAGAATAAAAAATTATATTAGTTATCAATTGCTGTGTAACATATTATTCAAAAATCCAGCAACTAACAACAACAAACATTTATTATCTCACAGTTTCTGTGGTTTAGGAAACTAGAAGGGGCTTAGCTCAGTGAATCTGATTCAGAATCTCTCACCAGGTTGCAGTCAAGCCACTGGGAATGAAGAGTCCACTCCTAAGTTAACTCATGTAGTTTTTGGCAAGTGATTTCTGGCAGGCTTGTGGACTGCCTAGTGACGCCTTCAGTATCTCACCAAACCACAGGATAGCCCACACCACAGCTACTGGCTGTCCCCCAGCGTGAGTGATTCAAGAGACAGCATTGGGAGATATACCTAATGCTAGATGACACATTAGTGGGTGCAGCGCACCAGCATGGCACATGTATACATATGTAACTAACCTGCACAATGTGCACATGTACCCTAAAACTTAGAGTATAATAAAAAAAAATAAAATAAAATAAAATAAAATAAAAGGCTCTTCTTGAGCTACTGTGGCACCAAAGATGCCCTGAAACCTCAAAAAAAAAAAAAAAAAAAAAAAAAAGAGACAGAGAGCGTGCGTGCACTTAAGATGGAAGCCACCATCTTTTTATAACCTAATCTTGGAAGTGACATCCCAATATGTTTGCCATATTCTGTTTACTAGAGGAGGGTAAGTCCATCCACTTTCAAGAGGATAAAATCACACAAGGACAGGGATCTCAGCAGGTGGGGACCATCACACCTCCTGGGTGTGACGCCTATCACACAAATCATAGGTACAATATAGTCACATCATTTGAAACAATAAAAAAGTTGGGTTCAGTATTTAAAAGAGGAGCAGAGAGGCCGATAGACAGGAAACAGAATGGATCTTCCTCTGTATAGTAGGACTATGGAGGAAATTGTTTTCCTACATTCTTTTCAGTACTTTCTAATAGTAAACTTTTTAAAAACAATTATTATGATGGAAACACTCAATAAAAGTTATTGAATTGGAAATAAACTGGTTAAAAGTAAGTAGATGTTATATTTATAACTGACGAAGGTCATTTTAAACCTGCTTCCAACTCTGAAATTAACTTTCTTATTTTCTCCCCCTCCCCCGCTTTGTAAAGAAAACAATCAGCAGATGTCTCTGCAGTTAATAGTTAGAATGTGCAAGGTAACAGCATTAGAAAGCTACATCTCTGCCTCTATACCCACTTTTCCTGGAGCATAGCCCCTCCTTTCCCATGCAACACCCCCACTAATGAATTCCCAGAGTACCCTGTATTTTAACATCTACAAGGACAAGGAAGGCAGGATTGATGGCCCTGCAGTCACGTCCTGGGCTGACACTGGCAGTGGAAGGTAACTCATGCTTAGCACTTGACGTAATTTTTTGATGACTGAAACCTGATCCCATCGACCGATCCCCTAGTGGCTGATCTCATCTCTTTACCATCAGAGAAACTGAAGTCGAGTTACCAGGAAAGATACAAAAGAGGAAGCGAGTGGGCAACGTCTCAGCATAGAAAGGAGTAAGCTTGTGTTTGATCTTTTGTCCAAAGAACATTCCTAATTCTCACAAATGGGATGGCCGAACCCAAAACATTGCGGCAGCCAGTCCTTCCCTCCCCGCCCCATCCCTGGCCGGGCCAAATTCTTCTGAGCTGGGTGTCCGTGAAGTTCTTTAGAGGAAACTACAAGTTTGTTATTTTTTTCCTTCAGTTGTGATTTTGAGGCGAGTCTCTTTTATTTATAAAATTGAGAAGAAAAGAATAATGCAATCCACAAAACACTCTTGGAAGGGTTAGAAAAATAAACATCATAAACAATGGCAATAAAAATGAGCCTTTAATGAGTATTTTGAGCCAGGAACTGGAGGCAGATGACAAGGGTTGAGGTTCAGATTTGCCATATAGTCACTATGTGACTCCAAACAAGTTGCTTTTCCTCCCTAAGCCTCACTTTACTAATCTGAGAAGTGATAATAATTGTACCCATTCATTGGTGAAGATTAAAGGAAAAGGACCTAAGGTGGATATACAGTGCCTGAGATATAGTAATTGTTTATAGAAGTGTGATATTTCTCTACTCTAACTCAAATAATATCACTCATTTACTTAAAACCCTATGATATGGTTTGGTTCTGTGGCCCCACCCAAATATCACCTGGAATTATAATCTCCACGTGTTGAGGCAGGTACCTGGTGGGAGGTGATGGTATCATGCGGGCGGATTCCTTCATGCTGTTCTCATGATAGTGAGTTGAGTTCTCACAACATCTGATGGGTTTATAAGTGTTTGGCAGTTCCTCTTTCGCTTGTACTCTCTTTTCCTGCTGCCTTATGAAGAAGTTACTTGATTCTCCTTTGCCTTCTGCCATGACTGTAAGTTTCCTGAGGCCTACCCAGCCATGCAGAACTGTGAGTCAATTACATCTCTTTCCTTTATAAATTACCCAGTCTCAGGTAGTATTTTTATAGAACTGTGAAAACGGACTACTACACATGTAAGGCTTTCTATCACAGAGAATGAAATTAAAACTCCTTACCATGAGCTACAAAGCCCTGTCTCATCAGTCTGAGTGCTCCCCGTCATGTTCACCCTCCTCCCACCCATGGGTCTTTCCTCCAACCCTGTGGCACACCTCTTTTGCTCTCACCTCAGGATCTTTGCACTGCCTAGAACACTCATTCCGCAGACATTCATTTGGCTGGGTTTTTCCTCAATAATGAGCTCTCAAGTCAAATACCACTCCATCAGATAGCCTTGCATTACCTCCTATTTTTTTTTTTTTTTTTTTTTTTGCTGAAAATAACCAGAGTTGGTTTCTGTCATGTACAATCAAAGGAGTCTAATGGAACCAAGTAGCAATGTTCTCGAAAACAAACAAACAAAAAACCCCAAACATTTTGCTGTTTCTTTCCCCTCTGTATTTGCTAACTTTATCATGACTTTATTCTTAAAGCCTATCACTGGTCTGCTTTTATTAATAGATTAGTGGAAATTTTCACCTGGCCTATTAGCACCTTATAAAGAAATAGATTAAGAGTAGGGAATATATAGATGAAGATGTACATTCAAAGAAGATGGGCCTATGGTGAGCAAAAGAAAAATGTTTCCAGAGGTGTAGTTTGCCACATGGTTCATCTAGAAAGGGCAAACTGAAATGTCTTTTTTTTTTTTTTTTTTGGAGACAGAGTCTTGCCCTGTCACCCAGGCTGCAGTGCAGTGGCACAATCTCAGCTCACTGCAACCTCCACCTCCCGGGTTTAAGAGATTCTCATGCCTTAGGTGTGCACCACCATGCCAAGTTAATTTTTGTATTTTTAGTAGGGACAGGGTTTTGTCATGTTGGTCAGGCTGGTCTTGAACTCCTGGTCTCAAGTGATCTGTCTACCTCAGCCTCCCAAAGTGCTGGAATTACAGGCATGAGCCACTGCCCCCGGCCCTGAAAATGTCTGTCTTATTACTGCACTTGTGCATGCTTTACTTGGCTCCAGCAATACTGTAAATGCCTGAACTGAACAACAGATGATTATGGAACACAGAGAAGAGATACTTTGCACGACTAGGGATTAGACTCGGCATAGCCATAAGGGATTTGATGTGGACTCCTGAACCCATGAAGGTGAAAGATCATCCCATAAAAAACTACCACCCCCTTTAGCCCTTTCAATGTTTTCCATTTTCTTAGGATGGAGAATAACTCTTTAACATGAAATTCTTAGCCCAGTATGGTCAGAGATACCTGCCTCCCCAATCTCCTCTCTCCCATGTGCCCCTCCTGCATTCTGTTCTTCAGACATACAGGCATCTTGCTTTGAATTTCCTAGGGCCTACTATGTGCCCTCCTACCACTGGGCCTTTTCATATGTGGACCCTCCCTTCTGGGATGATGGACTTCCCTCTCCTCTTCACCTGCTCATCATTCAGCTCCTACCTCAAACACAACGTCCTCAGGAAAGCCTCCTCCAACTTCCCTGACTAGTCAAATTTTATAATTATTTGACTAACAACTGTGTCTATCACCAGAGGTGAGCAATGTTCAGGCAAGAAAAATGTCAGATTTGCTCAGCATGGAACATGCTGTTGCTATTACAGGTACTGGCTTAGTATGGTATAGACATTAAATAAATATTTGTCAAATGAATGAAAAAAATGAATGAATAAATTTACTGTCAGAATCAACTGAAAGAATAAAGTCATAAGAGCAATTCCTATTTTGAACAATAGAAAACTTATTGACTTTGGTCACTTAAGTGTTTTCCTGTTTTTTTTTTTTAACTCCTGTTTTTTAAATCATTCATTGAAAAAACATTTATTTCTCTTTAACTGACATTTTGTTGCAGTCATGGGAAGAATAGACATTATGTGTGTTCCATGAACTATAACTTATTCTCTTTGATGTACTTCATTTTTTTTTCTATCTAGAACATGGGTTGGCAAACTTTTTCTATAAAGGGCCTGATAATAAATATTTCAGGCTTTGAGGGTCACATGGTCTCTGTAGCACCTACTCAATTCTGCCATTATAGTACAGAAGCTGCCACAGACAATACGTCAACAAATAAGAGTGGCTGTGTGCCAATAAAACTTTATTTCCAAAAACAGATGTTGGGCTGGACTTGGCCCATGAGCTGTACTTTGCTGACTCCACTATAGAGGATGAGGAAAAGACAAAAACACAGGCTCAGCCTGGCATTTAACTCTGGAAACTAGGGTGGTACATTCCCTGCCTTGCTTTATGAACTTTGGCACATCAATTGATCTCTCTGGGACTCAGTTTACTTAGGATTAAAATGAGATAATGGTCATAACAAAGCATGGTTGTGAGGGTAAGAGGCTGTCAAATAAATGAGCTGGAATTCGACAACCTTGTTTTGTACCTATCGTATTTGTTTTCATGTTTACTTTCTATCTGTCGTCAGTTCTGCTAATTTTCCCTGTATAGTTATGAAATAAAATTTCTTTTAAAAATAAATGTAATGAAGGAAAAGAGGGAGAGTCAATGTAAAGAATGTTTTAAGGTTTAAAGAAAGATTGTTGTGGCTTTTGTGTGCAAAGTGGGCAGGTGAGGCAAAGACCAGCCAGGGAGGCCATGGGAGAAACTACTACAGGAAGTCTGGGTGTGCACCCATGGTGGCCTGGAACAGGCGGTGGTGATGAAGGAGGGATTTAGCTTGTCCCTCCATGGTTGGGGAGGGGGTGGTCCTTGAGGGCCACGACATTATCACAGCTGGAGCGTTCCAGGGCCCGACACTCTGACAGGCAATGAGGCAGGGTCTTGGAAATGGATGTTGATAGAGTAAAAACAGGAGCCACTTTCTGGGGATATTGAGATCATCTCATTTAAAGGACACGCCACTTACTCTGTCCTTCTTAGTGTCCTGTTCTCCCACTGATAGGCTCAAACTTCAAAAATTAACCCACAATCCAACCATTTCTCACAACCTCCACCACTATCAGCCCACCACTATCAGCCCAGCCACAGCCACTACCGACTGCCACAGCCCTGTCCTGCCTGCCTGCTCCCAGCTCACCCCCACCACGGTCCATCCACCGGTGTGCAGTCAACCTGCTCACAGGTAAGTCAGATGATGCTTTTCTCCTGCCCCAAACCTTCTAGCCTCATCCATTACTCTTCCAGTGAAATCCAAAGTCCTTATGAAGTCCCATAGGTTCTGCACAGTCTGCCCCCTGGTGGCCTCTTCCACTTTTGCCTTCCTCATTCGGCTCCAGACATCCGGGTCTCCTTGCTGTCTCTAAAGCCCATGGTGACTTCCGGGTCTTGGCTGTTTTCTTCCACCTGGGACACTGTTCCCTCCACGGCCCCACAGCTTCCTTCCTCACTTCATTCAGATCTTGTTCAAATATCGCCTCCTCAAATGAGATCTTCCTTGACTAATCCACCCAAGGCAGCAGCAATTCACAATCCCCCACTCAAATTTCTCAGTTTCTCTCTGTATGACAGTGTTCACTACCTGAAATTCATTGGTTTGTGGCTGTGACTGCCCACCACTCTTTCCCTTTAGAGTATAACCTTCTTGAGGTCAGGAACCTTTACTACTCTTTATTGCGACCCCCAAATGCCTAGGAAACATAAAGTAGGTATTTAATGTATGTGAGTTGAATAAATAAATAAATACATGAAGAACACTCAAGGAACCATCCATTCATCTCTCCCTCTCTCTAAAAGCAGAAGTAAATCAGTTTCATTATCAAATAGAGTAAATATGTTGAGATGCATTACTATACATAACACTAGTTTCACTTGGTGTTAACCAAACAACTTTATCTAGTGCTTCCTATAGCAAAGCAGAAATTTTCATGATGAGAATACTTTCTTTAAAAATACCAATTCGGGGCGTGGCATGGTAGTGCGCACCTGTAGTCTTAGTTACTCAGAAGGCTAAAGCATGAGGATTGCTTGAGCCCAGGAGTTTCAGACTGCAGTGAGCTACAATCATGCCACTGCACTCCAGCCTGGACAACAGAGCAAGATCCTGTCTCTAAAAAAAAAAAAAAAAACCAACTCAATGTTGGAGGATAGAACAGGTTTGTTCAACAGAACATTAGTAAAATGAATTTATAGAGAGTTCCAGAAAACTGCCAAAGGAAGTAATTCTGTTCAAACCCACTGGAGACACTGATAAAAGGTAGAATCCTTAAACACAATCAGAGTGTTTTACGCCCATAAGGATCTAAGCTCTAAAAAAAATTGTTCCTAGAATTACTAAATTTCAAGCATAATTGAGAAATTAGCTTCTTTGCTCATAGAGGGTAAGATTCTAGCTGTACTGAAAATTGAGTAGAGGTAGATGTTTGGAGGAGTTTCAAAGGGCAGATACGAAAGCAGGACTTGCAGTTTTCACACATGCAGTAATAAAGCTTGCATGTGATGCCAGGAGTCACAGGTAATTAGATGGCACAAGCAGCTGAAAGGTCTAATGTTTCTCTGCTTAATAAAGCTCTGCACCTTCTTGCTTAACTTCTCTTAGGCAGATAGAAGTCGTGAGATGGTATCTGTCCCCAGAGATAGAGATGACACTCAGGTCATTTCAACAGCTCTTATTTCCCCCTACCTACAGAAACGTTATCTTATAATCTTTGACTGCCTTTAGAATATAACCTATTGGGGAAATGAAGTAGGCCAGAAAAAAAATTAAGAAAAAGTATTAATTCAGCACAGTGTAGAAATCACGACATTTGGTCTTTCATCCTGAAATGTAGGACAAACTTGAGCAATTCTTTTCTTTCTGGGCTACACAAGCCTCAGTCGTCTCTGAATCATGGGAGTTTGCCCTTCATGATGAGATCTGGGTTTTAGTCCTGACATTTGCTGGATGGGTAACCTTGGGAAAATCACTGAACTGGTTTGAGCTTCTTCTTAGGTTAAAGAGTGATAAGCTTTGCTCTGCTTGTTTCACAAGGTCATTATGAGGTTTAAGTGAGATGGTGCATACAAAAGTGCTCTCCTTCTGGAATGTGTGACTTGAATGTAAAAGGATAGGGTTCTCAGGACTGCAAACCCAAGTGCCCATGTGACCCAAGCCAATAAGATAACCAAAGAAGGCCCACTGAGTTGCCATCCTTCCAGGCAGACACCATCATTTTGTGTATATAAGTGTAGGAAGATTCTTTTCTTCCACAGAGACATATGTTTTCTTAAATTTTGCTTAAAATTCACTGACCCTCTTCAACTAGCTTTTTTGGCCCATTGCTGATAGAGATATGGGTAAAAAGAAACATTACCATGATGAAATTTAGAGTGCAAGAACAATAAAAATGGTAAAGGATACGTGGGTCTGGCTAATTAGAGACAACAGAGAATGGTGAGGACTGTGGCAAGCTGGAGAGCTTGCACACTCTCAGCTGCAGCCCCTTGTTCCCAGGAGAAAATGAGACTCTTGGGGTCAGGTTTCTAACTTCTGAAAAGAAACAGGCATTTAGAGACATATGTAAAACCTCCTTATATTTAATTAGCCAATACCTAATTAAAGTTTTAAAAAATATTAGAGAAACATCCAGGGGTGGTATTGTCTTGTAGGCTACAAGTTTGTGACCCAGACAGCCAGTGATGGAATGTTTTCTCATTAACTTAAAACAGGATCATGTCTTAATTGTCTTTTGAGGCCAATGTAGAGTCTATCACAACATTGAGATCTACCAGGTAACCCATCTCCTGAAATGAAATGTGCAAAATTCCCTAGTAAGCGGGGTTTTAAAACCTTTTGTAATTTTTCCTGGGCCCAGGTCCTAAAAAGTGAAGTCATTTTCAGAGTGGGTCTTCCCAAAGTGGGAAGATATTGTGCATTGAGTTTTCCCTCAATCTTCAGTGATCTGTCCCGGGTATCTTCTGCTTGCCCTGTACATTAATTCTGCACCCTCCTTCCCAGACCTGTGCCCTGGGAGACTGTCCCTGATATATCCCCTCAATGAGATCCTCTGTCCTCTGGCTACCCCTGGAGTTTGCCCAAAGGGGATGGGCAGGTGGGAGGAGGAAAGGCGGGAATATATATCCCACGGGTTCCTTTTGACCAGGTTACCATGAGTCCTATGTTCGTCTACCAAAGGTTCCTTTCTGACACCAGTCTCAGGTCACTGAACTATCCCTTCTTGGTTTCTTAAACACCACTCCTACCTTTTCATTGTCTTTTTATTAAACTCTTCCCCTATTACCTACTGGGGTAGGTCAGGTGTTCCCTGCCTGGTCAAACAATTGATACAATAATACTTCATAGGGAGGGTCCAGTTCCGGATCAGAATCACAGGTGAGCTACCCACGCAGTCCTCATGGAAGCACTCAGGAAATATTTGCCAGAAAAAGAGATTAACCTTTATGTAGTTCCTGACAAAACTAAAAAAAAAAAAAAAAAAAAAAATGCATATTCAAACACCTGTCTTAGAAGAAACAAAAGTCTCACACATATTAACTATTTTTTTTTCAACTTACATCGAGGTGACAGGCATCTTTTATACAGAAGGTAATATTTAGATGTCATAATTTCTAGTGGGGCAGAAGAACTAATTAAATGCATGTCAATAATGATAATGATGATGGCATAAGCAAAGGATAGTTTTTGGTTGCTGATTATTCGGGAGATACTATGCTATGTGCTTTATATAGATTGTCTCAGTGACAGCTCACAAAATTTGGAGGGAGCTACACTTCTATACTCACTTTATAGATAAGAACCTTGAGGTTTTAGAGATGTTCACTGACTCAGAATCATACGGGAAGTGTGTGACTCAAGCCCAGCTCTCATAGTTACCTCTAGATTTCAGTGCATTCAGATTTCAAAGACAGGAGTGGTCAATGAGGGCTGGAGTAGTCCAGAAAGAAAAGTATTGATGAACTTCATCATATATTTCAGAAATTGATTTTTGAATCAAAAATCTCTGGGCCACACTGTTTGGATCCTTCAACTGGGCAAGAGAGGGCACCCGCAGTGGTTGTGCATGGAAGGTCACAGTTCTTGCTATGCCAGGAAGTTGACGAGAAGCTGGGAGACCTAATTTTATTATTTGTTATTTTTATTTTACTGCTGAAACAAATTTTGTTCATGGGAAAAGACACTTATTTCTAATGAATCATACATAGGAGCAATGTTAAAAAAACATTTACTTCTTAAAAAAATTTTTTTTGGTCACTTAGGTCATTCCCCTTTCCTAACAAAACTAAAGTTTTGGGGGAGTTGCTACTTACTCCCCATTAGATGTAGCCTGATAAAGCTCTTTTTCAAGTCCCCTGTTCTAGTCCCCTAGCCAGTATGACTGATTGCTGGTAAATTGGCCTTGTTTGTATGCACACATTTTGCCATGTGACTGCGAAGCTCTGTCTGTTAAAAGATAGCATTTATTTTTCCATTGCTTAAGTTGGGCTGGCCTTTTGACTTACTTTGTCCAATGGAATGCAATAGAAGTAAGCACAGTACAGTTCTGAGACTAGATCACAAGGACTTACAGGCTTTTGCTCTTACAACTCTGCTACCACCATGGGAACAAGCCTAGGTTAGCCTGCTGGAGGATGAGAGACCTTATGAGAGGAGCTGAACCATCTTATCTAAGGCCACGCAAGACCAGCCAGTCATCAGCTGAGTCTAGCCAAAATTATTGACCTGCAGGACCACGGACTAAATAAGTGGTCCCTGTTTTAAGCTGCTGAGTTTTGGAATGGTTTTTTAATGCAGCAAAAGCTAATGGCTCCAGTTGGGCAAACTGGACACTCTTTTCATGAAATTTGCATCTTGACCATAGAAGACAAGAAAATGAGGAAATTTGAAGAGCAATTCATTTAGTCCAGTGGTGGGACCTCAACAAACTGGTCTGCAGTTTCTACTTTCTAGACTCAGGGTCTGTTCTGACATTGAACCATTTCTAAGATTAGTCCTCCACCTTTCACATCCATTCTGTGAGTTACTGGTAACCCTGCAAGGAATTTCCTTTTTGTTTAAGTTACCAAGTCAGTTGATCCTGCTTGCAGTCCAAGAACTGTAACATCCCAATATACAATTTGATGTGGTCATCTACAGCCTTGACCAAGCAGGAGAGGGACAGGGTGGCACATGCAACTTTTGAAGTAATACCTGGTGACAGGGACCTCTTGCCTAGCACTCTCTAGGCCACTGCCTGCTTTGGCCACACTGCAGGAACAGTCCTGCTCTTTGAGCTCTGATAGAATCCCAGGCTGGGGACATTTATGCTTGCCTCGCTACAGAGCTATAGGATGTGTCAGGGGCTATGGTCACAGCAGATATTCTTTTCTCTCTTATCAACTTCCTAATAGGTCAGCTGATTTTGGTTCCATGCGGCTGCATAGGATGTCCTGATTGTGTTATGGGTGATTTCATTTTTGAAAAGGCATTCTGAGGCATGATGGATTCTGGACCTGGGCACATGCTGCTCCCTTTCCCTGGAATATCCCTATCAACCTCTCTCCCACACCACCCTCTACTCATTCCTCTGTCAGCTTTGAACACTTTCTCTGAGTGTTCTTTCCTGCCTGCACAGGACTGGGGTAGGCAATTCTTCTCTGGGTCCTCAAAGCCCCTGGTAGCATCACACCATGTTATAAATGTAATTATGTTTACTTGAATATCTCTCCCTCTCTGCTGTAGTTCCCTGAGTTTCTGGGCTTATGCTTTTATCATTTCACCTGTCATTCCAATCAGACAAAAAATAAAACCATAGGTGTCAGACATAATTTCATATTTCAGCAGAGTGATATTGGTCAATCAACTCATTAAATCTTTCTAGGTGTTGGAGGGCCAGATCCAATCTAGATACCTGACCTGTCTTGGTTGTCCTACATAGGGTTAATAAATGACAACAGTTAAATCTTGTGAGACTGCATGGCTGAATTTCTAGCTTCTCTCAAAAGATCTGATTGGCCACCCCTGGTCTGTGTTTCTGTGTGGCAACAACCAGTAGAGCAACAGCCATTCAGCCATTCAGAATCAGGGTCAGGATTAGGGTCAGGGTTAGAATAAGGGTCAAGCTCAGGGTCAGGATAAAGGTCAGGGTTAGGCTGAGAGTCAGGGTTAGGGTCAAGATTAGGGTGAAGGTCAGGGTTAAAGTTAGGGTGAGGGTCAGGGTCAGAATTTGGGTTAGCCCCAGTGAGCCCTGTGTAGAAACTGTGTAAGCTCCTAAGTCACCTGAGTTCCCTGGCTCACCTCTGAGACTGCAGTGGATTGGATCTAAGCTCCTTAATGCTTTTTTACTTTCACAGTCAAGAAAGTGAAAAAAAAATGTTGCCAATCAAACTATTGTACAATGAAGAATGGAGGATGCATCCTAACTTCAGGGATGTTGTAATGTGAAAAATGTATATCTTAGGATTTTAGTACATGGTACCTGCGTGGCTCTGGCAGAAATCAGAGTTTGTCAACCTTGGACCAGATGATGCTTCCCATTTTACAGCAACCTTGCCCTCGAGTTCAGTTCTAAACAGAAGAGAATCTTTGTATTTACTTCCAACCGTCTTGTATTGCTTAGTATTTTATAAAGGCATTAATTATAATGAAATATATTCATACATATTATTTTGTATGTATCTTGATATATATCATGCTTCATCTCACATTATGCTAAAGAATAATCACCAATGGTATCCATATGTATCAATTATGACCAATATAAAATTTAAAAATAACTTGAAGGCTGTAGTTATTAGAAAGGCCATGAGGTGATAGTAACATTTACCCTAGTTCACAATCCCTTATCTTTGATTCCCAAAATCCTAAAAGCTCTGAATACCAAAAGTTTTTTTAAACTTATTTTCTGTGATTCATGTAGCAGAAAAATCTATTGAACTTTTTAAAGCTTAAAAAAATCTCATTTAGTAATCCTAATGCTTCATTGCAGAAATATTTATATTTTTACATACAAGATGCTATTCCTCACCTTCCTTCCTGAAGATATTATCTACTACATGGTATATGTACCATATTCTCTTTCTAAGATCTGGAAAACTCTGAACTGTAAAACACATCTGCCTCAAAGAATTTTGGTTGAGGAATTTGTAGATTTGTATAAATATAGACACTAGCCCTCCCAGCTAGGAAAGACTAGTCCAGAGTCAAAGTAAGTTTTCTCTAAGCTTTAGCTACACCCATTAGCCGAGGCTTGATATTATGCATTATTTCTTTACTTAGTCCATTCTTGATCCATCTCAGCGAATAGGCACCAGTATAATAGGACATTGTTCCTTAATAGGGATGGGCTTGTTATGTACCCAGCTCCCAATTCTATCTCTTATGACTCTAACCACAGAGGGAGAAAAATAGTGATAGAAAAAACATACTGCATGCACCTTCTGTTTTAACAGGAATGTGCTGTCAAGAGAGCGTGATATGATAAGGCCTTAAATACATTGATGCTCTAACAATGTGTTGAGAATGGGAAAGGTAACATTTAATAAGCATGTTAGGGTAATTAGTTAAGTCACTTGTCAATTAACTAGATTACCTAATAGCTAATTTGTCTCTCCAAGCAGCAGGCTTTGTGGAAAGGCAGTCAAGGAAAACTTATTTTGAAAGGATGGCCTTCCCACGTAAGTATACCTAAGCCAGCCCAATTTCAGTGTTTCTGTTGGCCTCAGAGCTCCACTGGTGAGGATCTTAGTTTTCTTATTTGCTTTTAAATGAAGTCCCTTCCTTTTCTTCTCTTTTTAAGATCTTCTCCTTCCTTCCTTTCTTCCCTCCTTCTTTTTCTTTTCCTCCTTTCCTTCCTTCCTCTCCTCCTTCCTTCCTTTTTCCTTTCTTCTTTCTCTTTCTTTCCTTCTTTTTTTTAAAAAACTTTTATTTTATTTTATTTTATTTTCCTGTAGTTGATTTTACCTTAGATTAGAAGCCACCAACACTCCCTGTGAAGGACCAGCTAGTAAATATTTTAGGCTTTGCAAGACAAGAGACTAAATTGAGGATATGTGCAGGTACTTATGTAACAAAAGAGAAAACAGATTTTTACAAAATTTTTCAACCATTTATGTGAAAATTCTTTCTAGTTTGCCAGCTATATAAAAACAGGTTTCAGGTGGGATTTGACTCACTGGCTGTAGTTTGCAGATCCCTGGTTTGCATCATCACTAAATTGTTAATTTCCTAAATCAGCATGGTTAGATTTGCAATCTGGAAGTTATCAAAATCATCTGGCCTCCCCACTGTGTTCATCATTCACCCTCCCAATAAGAGGCTAAAAGCATAGACTCCAGACCCCAACTATCCAGATTTGAATCCCAGCTTTGCCAAGAAGTGTGCAACCTTGGATAAGTTACTTAACCTCTCTGTGCTTCAATGACACCATCCCCAAAACAGAAATAGCGATCTCATAGGATTGCTATGAAGATTACAGTGAGGTGTATAAGTAAAACATTTACCGCAGTGTCCGGCACATAGGCAGAACTATGAAAGTGTTAACTTCTTTTTATTACTTTAATGGCACAGGGAGTAGAATAAGGAACACTTCCCCTTTGCAATGAAATGATAAGCAGACTCTATTCCCTGATCCCTGGAGATCCATTTGGTGACGGACTTCATGCCAAGAGGAGAGAAGCTGCAAGGAGATATTCTTGGGCATTTTCCGAGCGTGCTTATGCAAACAGGATGCTGTAAATGTCTCTTTGGAGAAGGAGCCTGCCAGCAGGTCTCAGTTTTGCCTCGTGATTTATTGGGACCCTCTGCTTTTGTTCAAATAGGTTTTCCTGCCTCAGCTCTTCAATGATTGGACTGCAAGTCATGCCCTGTATAGTACCAAGTCTGTCTCCATGCCCTACATAATATGTGATGAGAAGAAGTGCTATTAAAGAGGTTTCCTGTTACGGTCTCCTCATTGGCACCATGAGCTGAGCGGAAATCTCTGAAGGACTTATTTAGCATGCACACACTAGAACTGAACTAAAGCAGATCCTTGCATTGGCAGCTCAAGAACTTTAAATGCCCCTGGCAGAAACTCCTCCTCTCTTTCCTCCCCCTCTTTCTCTCACTCCCTTTTGATGTTCTCTCTTTCTTTTAGCCTATCGTTGACAGTAAGTGCAATCACATTACACACAGCTTTCTTTGGAAAGCCCCCTTTTTAATGATCTGGCAGACACTGAGCCCTTCCAGAAAAAAAATTTCAATCCCTCTTCCCACAGCTTCCGCAAGCCCCAGTGACAAATGACACCTGTCATTCTGTCACAGACAAGCAGCACAGACAGGGATGTCAGTGATGTATGGCTCACCAGCAGAGGAAATCAACTTTAAAAAAAAAAAAAAAACCCTAAAAGAGCTGACCAGTACATTGTCAGGATCCTGCTCCCAAGGCCTCGCCTAACAGACAGACTGGAAGAGAGACAGAAAAAGTTTCAGCTTGAGGGGGAAGAATGTATAAGATCAAAACACAGAAATATTTATCTACGGAGAAACTGGCATCAAGTAAGCCACAGATTGCTTTGCATTGTTTATTTCTTTGCAGTGCTCTGGATATTAGCCAAATTCTCACCTCCTCCTGTGATTTATGGAGGAAAAGGTTGATTCCTGCTCTGTGAGAATTCTCTTTCTGGAGCCTCTGAAAAAAAGTGAGTCAACCCGAGCTTTGTTTGTTAAGCCTAAATTACCCCATTTTACACTGAGTCCAATGAAAAGCAATAAAATTTCCAATAACCCCCAAGGGATTCCCTCCATACAAAGACTGTACCCTGAAGATTAATAACCTGCCTTTTATGTTGATGGCAATCTCAGAAAAGATTGGGAGATGTCTTCATTTTCTTTATCTATATATTTTTTCTATTTTGTATCAACCCCCACCCCATGATCCATACATATTGAATGCAAAAACTTTTTTTTTCTTTCAATCAAAACCACTGCACTTAGATCCACTTGGGGTCCTGATTTAATAGGCAAACTCAGCCACATTCTCAAATTGAATATGAGCATCTACAGGGTGTCAGGCCTGTACTATATCCAGAACAAGAAATTAAGAAATAGAAAGCAAAATTCTTCCTATGCAGGATTTCTCATCTTCAACACTATTGAGGTTCGAAGCTGGATCACTCTGTGTGGTGGGCGGTGTCCTGTGCACTGTGGGAAGCTTAGCAGCAACTCTCGCCTCTACACGCTAGATGCTAACAGCTTCCCCACCCTAGTTGTTTCAATAAAAAGTGTCCCAGACAATGCAGAATGTGCCCTGAGAAATGAAGTTGCCCCAGTTGAGAACCACTGTTCTAGACATTTGAGATCAAATCCCCAAAGAGAAATAACATTCATGTGATCAATTGAAGTTCGTAGATAATTAAACACTAAATAGTACGATATAGAAAATATTAGCTGTAGGAATTTAGAGACTTTCCAAAAGACACATTTGTATTTATCAGGTTTGTGCAAATGCCTCTATTTTAAGCTGTGTAACAACAACACAAATCTTGTTATAAGACATAGACCCACTGGCCGGGCATGGTGGCTCACGCCTGTAATCCCAGCACTTTAGGTGGCTGAGGCGGGCAGATCGCAAGGTCAGGAATTCAAACCAGCCTGACCAACATGGTGAAACCCCAGCTCTACTAAAAATACAAAAGTTAGCCAGGCGTGGTGGTGCATGCCTATAATCCCAACTACTCAGGAGGCTGAGGCAGGAGAGTCACTTGAACCCAGGAGGTGGAGGTTGCAGTGAGCAGAGATGGCACCACTGCACACCAGACTGGGCAACAGAATGAGACTCTGTCTCAAAACAAAACAAAACAAAACAAAATAGACCCACCACTTATTTTATGCATGTCTTATGCATAGATATGATGGAACTGAATATTGGTTTAAAACAAACAAAAAGAAATCTTAGTCTCACACAAATCACATTAATACCACAGTGATATGGCAACCAACAATCAAAAATTTCTTTTCTAATGATATTATGACATGACATTATTAAAGCTTTGAAAAATATTGAATTAGTATTCATTAAACAATATTATTAAATCTTTGTGAACATTTAAGTTTCTAGACTGGATTGAAGAAGGTAGGACTACAATTAAACTTTTGTGTCTATGCCTTTTTTGTAGATGATAGCACAAAACTGTTAACATACAAATCTTCAAAATGGAGTTTATACAGAGATATTAAAGACATTCTTTGACCTACTGAAAGAAAAGGGGATGAAAAGAAAGCTGAGCCCAGTTTCCAGGCACCATGTATAATATCTAAGGTTGTCACCCATCAATTGTCACTAAAAGAGATCAAAGTTAATTTAGAAGAGACAGATAGATTTATCCATGTATAAAGCCAATAATGAGAGTCACATGAGGAAACAAAAAATATGTAATAAGCTGAGTTGAGATCACAAAGAATAAAAAACAAAAAGCATGTAATTAATACATTGGGCACAAAATCAACCTTAGCATCAAAATGGAAGAAGAAGACATCAATGAATTAAGAATTACAGGCCACTGAAATGTAGCTATTCCCATCAACTGAAAAAATAACATCAAATGCTTTATAAATACTAACTGGTTAATCTTCAGAATTATAAGGTCAATGGTTCAGGTGGTTGTTGCAGTTATTAATACGGGTCCTGAAACTACTTTCATAAAGATCTTAAAAATGAGAGTACCTATCCTTCACGCCCGCCTCGCTCCTCTACCTCCCTGCAAATCAGCTGGTGGAATTTGTTCCTCACTGTATTGGTTTCTATCTTGGTCACCTTAAGACAGACTATTCTTTGTTCACACAACACTGACTTGCCTACCAATGGGGAGCCTAATAAAATTTTATGCTGTTATAGGACTTTTCTGTGTCATCTTCACCTCCTGGTCTTGCATCATGTTGAGGGCAATTACACATTTATTTATTACACATCCTCAAATATAAAACCACGAAAACTATACCAAAGACAGCAGCTTTTCAATCATCCATCAAGATATACCAGTTTCAAAAGACAATCCTGAGCCACATCCTGAAGGTCATTACTCACGCGCGAAAGCTCATTTCAAAGGCCTCCTTCATCTCTTGATATTGTCAGATAGTGTGTGTGCCAAAGTGCTGCTTGGGGATCTCAATAGCTCCATGTTATCTCTCTCTGGGCATGATTAGTGTGAGGTGCGGGCACCAATTTAGGCTCCGTCTACACAATGCCAAAACAGTCCAAGAAGAAATGAAACCATCCATCACACCACTGGTGGTTTTAGCTACATGATGCCAAATTGTGTTGACTCATCCGCCCCCTGCCCCACAACTGCATTCACTGATGATTTGAGTTCACTTTGAGTATCTGACAATGAATCTGCTTAATATACTAGATATGAAATGGACCACAAAGACAACATGGTCTTTACTAAATCAAACTCTAAAATTCATCTGTATTCCACAAGCTCTGCACCCCTCAGCACAGGCTATTTCCCTCCCACCATGCTCTTGCCTAGACCAATATATTTGAGTGCCTGGATCCACCCTTTCCTGAAGCTTCAAGGTTTTCTCCTAGACGTTTTAGTATTGTGAGCCAACATGATTTTCCCCAACTCTTAAGTTTTTTCTCAAATCAGACAGCAGTCCAAGTGCTTTCTATTTATTACCATTCAGTCATTACAACTGTGCTAGGAGGCAAGGGCCACAATTATCCATGCTAGAGTTCTTCTGTGCCTTGTGCGTATTTCCTAGGCATGTACCTCTCCCTCCCAAGCATTCTTCTGGGATTACCTGTGCTTCTCTGGTTAAGGGCAATTGTCTGGCTGTTCCCATACAGGGCAAGCTGGAAATGCTGGAGAATAATGCCCCTAGAAGCTTCCAAGCAATGACAGATGAAGATTTGGTTAAAAACTACCCCAGCATCCTTAGCCCTCATTGGGATAACTCTGAGGTGTGTGTTCTACACTCTCTTCTAGAATTCCCCAGCACAAGGAAGCTCCTGCTGCCCACTGGGCTGTCAGGCTGGATAACTCACCCTTCATTAACATCCTTCCCTTCCTGTCTTATGGCCCCACTCTGCTATTAGGGTTTCCCAGGATCAACAACCAAAGAAAGAATGTGTACTCAAATTCTTGATACAAGGTGTCATTCTCGGGGAACACAAATGAAGACAGCACATTTGTACAGATAAGGAAAGAAAAACAGAGGCCCTATTATCTTGTGCAGGAAAAGAGAGTGGGTCTGCCATTTTGACACCAATGCATGGGATTTCTATCAGGCCCTGGTCCTCCTCCAACTCTCTTTCTTCAAAAGAAAGTGATGTTCCTCACCACCCACCATGTCCTGATCAGAGGAACCATGGGAGAAATTTCTCTTGGACTTGTCTTGAGAGACAGGCATGGGCTTTGAACCTTGGGATGAGGCGAACATTATAACTCTTCACCTGTTTTTCTTGTGCTGTATCTTTCAGGATCCTCAGGCCCAAATTTTCACTCCAATTTTAGTTGAATACATTCTTGTGGAATTACATTTCTCCCTGCTTCATTTTATTGTTTTAACAAAATTTAATTTTGCCGTTGTTTCC
Source organism: Homo sapiens (assembly GCF_000001405.40). Taxonomy (NCBI): domain Eukaryota; kingdom Metazoa; phylum Chordata; class Mammalia; order Primates; family Hominidae; genus Homo; species Homo sapiens. Next base: position 53,144,980 of record NC_000020.11, on the reverse strand, counting down.
TCTCTCATCTTCTTTTAATAAACATTGTTGGTGTGAATTATTATATCTGGACTCAATTCTTTGAAGAGAAAGTTTTAAAAAATACTTAGGCTACATATATATCTGCATTGTATTTTATATATTATTATATATATATTTAATTCATCTTTCATACATTTTAATACATGTAATACTATTTAGTGGCATGAATCTTGAGTCAGTGTGTTTACCCATATAACCTCATAGTACGAGGAACATAGTATATATAGTATTTGGAGCACAGCTCCGGAGTCAGACTGTGTGGGTTCAAATCTCAACTCCATGAATATTATGGGTTGTTAGACAAGTTATTTACCATCTCTGTGCCCCAGTTTTCTCAGTGGAATAATAATAATACCTAATAATATAGGGCTGTTGTAGGGATTCATGGAGTTAAAACATATACAGTGATTAAACCATAACTGGCAGATAGCAAACATTGTATAAGCGTTTGCTGTTATTACTACTGAAACCCTCCTTGCAAAAATTGTAACTGAGAAAATTATTACAGTGAAACAGATCTGACCTAACTGACTCCATCTTGCTTGTAACCTCCAAGCTGTCATTGTTCATTCCTGGGCATAGGCTGAACCAACTTTGGGAGGAACTTAGTTTATAGCTTACCTTTGAAATAAAGACGATAACAGCCCTTTCCCAAAACAAATCCCCTTCCTGTCTGGGCACTAGACTGCCTTTGCAGGACTAACAAATTAGCCACAAGGTTAGAAACTATGGTTTAGGAGTCATGCGGCTGGAGGCTGCAAGATTCTAAACTTCCCAATTTGCTCCTCAGGATAACATCACTATTGTAAAACCTAAGATCAGTGCTTGAGGTATTATGCAGACCCTGCACTCAGTGGATCAGCTGGTACCACCCAGATGGATAAACTGGCTCATCTGGTCTTGTGGCCTCCACCCAGAAACTGACTTAGTGCAAGAGTACAGTTTCAACTCCATATGATTTCATTTCCAAACTTATCAATCAGCACTCCCCATTTTTCAACCTCCTACCCACCAAATTATCCTTAAAAACTCCAATCCCTGAGTTTTCAGGGAGACTGGTTTGAATAACAATAAAACTCCGGGCTCCCATACAGCCAGCTCTGCGTGAATTAAACTATTTCTCTATTGCCACTCTCCTGTCTTGATAAATCGGCTGTGTCTAGGCAGTGGGCAAGGAGAACCCACTGGGAGGCTACATTACAAGGCAACTCTAAGTCAAGATTATTACAATTATTATTATTATTATTTATTTATTTATTTATTTTTTTGAGACGGAGTCTTGCTCTGTTGCCCAGGCTGGAGTGCAGTGGCACGATCTTGGCTCACTGCAAGCTCTTCCTCCCGTGTTCACGCCATTCTCCTGCCTCAGCCTCCCGAGTAGCTGGGACTACAGGTGCCCGCCACCATGCCCGGCTAATTTTTGTATTTTTAGTAGAGACGGGGTTTCACTGTGTTAGCCAGGATGGTCTCGATCTTCTGACCTTGTGATCCGCCCACCTCGGCCTCCCAAAGTGCTGGGATTAAAGGCGTGAGCCACCGCGCCCGGCCTATTACAATTATTTTTTGTGAAGAATGTGTTTCTCAGGGGCATGGGGAGTTGGCCCAACAGAAAATCATAGCCAAGTTTACCTTCCGGCTGTCAGCCATAGTGTGCCCTAAACTTTTCAGAAGTTTCCACATAGGAAACTGTGAATATCAGAATTTAGTAAACGTGGTATTTTCTGGGGCAAAGGAGTGAGTCTTCTGTAGAAGCCTGTCGGGGTCTGTGAGTAAATGTTTCTTGTGCCTTCACTCCTACAGGCCCCTTAATAAATTCTAGCTTAAATAGATGTGTTTTCAATTCGAATAGTATTTACATATGCCTCATCTGGTAAACTGCACTCACACACACACAAAATGGACTGAGGAGAAAAGCTCCTACACACTTGTCTTAAGTGTTGCAAAGCAGCGGGTCACGTCAGCGCCGGATTAAGCAAAGTTACTCAATGCGATCTGACACAGTTCAAGCAATGCAATGTGACAGGACACCAGCAAGTAAGCAAAAAACACGCTATTTTTGGCCCAAGTGCTCATTATCGTCTTACATGCAATGGGCTGATTTGTGATAGTATTAAGCAGAGCATTTTTTTTTTTTTTCATCTTAATACTGTTACCGGCTTGTGGGTGGGTTTAGAGGACCTCTCAATGGCCTGGCCTCTCCAGGGTTTTCTGGAATTTTAATCTTTTGAATGCACTCTGCAAATGAGTAGGCCACACCCTCAGTAGTTCAGCTCAGAGGCTGCCAATGTATAACAACTTTTCAAAATGAAATGCAAGCATTAGACAAAGCAGGCTGTTGTTCTGAACTTGATCAGAATATCTGAACATGTGTGCTGACTGGTTCAGGTAACATAGCCCCACTTTTTCTCTAGAGAACATCCTCTGGCCTTATCTTCCTTCCTGTGCTTGTATTGGAACTCATCACGTGACTCAGACCTAACCAATCAAAACATAGCCTACCTCTGACCACAGTGATTGGCTAAAGCCTGTACATGTGACCTGGTGGGACCAATGAGACTTAATTAGCCTTTTTCCTCCTGGGCATTTGGAAGAGAAGCACGTGGCCTTCTGTTCTCCTGTTCTTCCGGTCTGAACCGGAAGCCCTGTGGAGCTGCTGGGGGCAGGACAGGATCTGAGAGTGTAGCTAATACAGAGGAAGGAGGACCCTAGGAAGAGAGTGAAACAAAATTACCTTAACCCTTGCACCTGGCCTGAAGGTCGTTTCCCCTGTACTCTTCAATCACATGAGCCAGTTAACTATCTTTCTTCTCCTTTATCTCTTTCCTTAAGTCATTTTGAGGTGAGTTTTCTGTCATGGGCAACAACAAAAACAACAACAAACAACAAAAAATCTTGACTTAGGATGGTATTGAAAAGTCCATGGCCACAAAAGATGAGTGTGGTCTTAAAACTTCCAAGCAGAGCCCCCCACCACCGTCCCTGACATCCACTTGCTTCCTGCCCACAGATGGAGGTGAAGCCCACAGGTTTCCAGCTGGTGCCTGGTGGCTGTTGTGGGAAGGGCGACCTCAGCGTTGGGCTCCCATCAACACTTCTCCCCGGTGATGGAGGCACTGTGGCTTACTCAGCCCTTAGCGCCTATCAGCAGGAACACTTCATCACACTGACAAGCTGATATGCTAAATGAATAAGTGCAAGGCACAGCGAGGTCACCCAGAAGTTAACTGAGGGGATTGCAGGAAACAGTAGACACACTCCACCAGGGAGGGCCCGGATAGGTGCAGGAAAGGTGACAAACAGCACCCAGGCCCTGTGCCCCTTGGCCATACACCCCATTACAGCCCTGACAGCTGAGTTCTAAACAGTTAAATATGAAACTGTCAACAAGGCCTTGTCTTAATAACCAAACTTGAGGCCTTTTATCTGGGAAGATTTATGAAGTAATTTTAAAGAGATCCAAGCAAACATCTGTCAATAAATTGAATGCCGGCTACAGGATTTACAAGCAAGACAAGAATTTCTCATTAAGTGCACATTAACACGGTGGGGATCATAAATAGAAGGAGGCCAGGATGCGGAGCCTCTCAAGCTGTCATTAAAACACTATCTAAGAACTAATGAGGAAGTGATGGAAGGATACTAATGATGCCCTGGGCTCCCAGCCTTCGCCAGTCTGAAAAAGGGCCATGAAGAATCAGACAACTCTGGAGGCTGGCTGCTGGCCTGGGGTGGCTCCTTGGAGCTCATTTTGCTGTCTGCTCAGGAGCTATAGGTGTCCTCCATCCACCGAGGGACAGCAGTGGTACCCACGTGGCTCACTGCACCATCCCTATCAATGGAGTTAAATTCCCAGAACCTCCTTGGTGGTCAGCTTCTGATGGTCTCAAACACTTAACAAATATTCCCATACCGCCTACCTCATTTAAGATGCTGTGCTAAATAATGTTTCCACAGTGCAAGGAGGAACCTCCAGAAAGTTCTCTGTGGCTAAAGCATGCCTTTGAAATGCAAGACACACAAAGCTTCATTTTTGATTGATAGGCAAGATACGGGTTTGGGAAAGACCCTGGAGTACCTGCTGTCCACACCGTCCCTCAACTCACCCCTTCCCTGGACAGATTCTACCTGGCATGCTTTGCCCCCAAAGCTCTCCCTCTTCCCAGAGTGATGCACAGATCAGAACCACCAACGGCAGAAGGTCTGGGAAGCCTGAGGAGTGGTAAGACTGGAAACGTGCAAAGGTCAGCGGGAAGCTTGTTTGGGTCATGAGATAATACAGATCTGGTTGGGTACCTGGCAAGGCCAGGGAATATAGCCATGGGGGTCAGAATCAGAAATTAAACCAAGAAACCACTGACTCTGTGACTGAGGTTCAGGTCTTCGTGACTGTCCCTCTTTTTTTTTTTTTTTTTTTTTTTTTGAGACGGAGTCTTGCTCTGTCACCCAGGCTGGAGTGCAGTGGCGTGATCTCAGCTCACTGCAAACTCCGCCTCCCGGGTTCATGCCATTCTCCTGCCTCAGCCTCCTGAGTAGCTGGGACTACAGGCGCCTGCCACCTCGCCTGGCTAATTTTTTGTATTTTTAGTAGAGACAGGGTTTCACCGTGTTAGCCAGGATGGTCCCGATCTCCTGACCTCGTGATCTGCCCGCCTCAGCCTCCCAAAGTGCTGGGATTACAGGCGCGAGCCACCGTGCCTGGCCCCTCTATCTTTTAAATATAATGCTATATTCTATTAACATATTTTAGTATATCATATTATATATATTGCATATTTATTTATGTACATATTATTCCCTTTTTTCTTCTTTTTGTCTTTCTCCCCACTACAGTAAACTTTTTATGAGGGTAAAAGCTGTTCTGTCTTGTTCAACACTGTGCACTGAGAGCCTAGAACAGTACCTTTGCATAGCGTAGGTGCTCAGTAAATATTTGTCGAACGAATTAATGAAGGACTGAGAAAATTAAGATCCAGTGAGGCAAAAAAACGGCCAGATAAAAAGTACATGCATGAGTGAACATAAAGAGGATGGGATTAGAGAAGTTCTGTAGCGAAGTCCTAAAATGATTAAATGCTGAGAAACATGCAAAAAAGCTTCTTAGGGCAGCTATCACTGATAGGTATGGTTTAGTGTGAATCCTAATAAACAGTCGAATGGATTCAGGACTGGACATAAAATGATAAAAGGGACCAGAAAAAGAGAACCAAGTTTTTTGCACATAGCATTTATTATCATTAGGAGTGTAAACATCATGATAAATTATTGTAAATGATAATAGCACTTTTGAGGCCTTGCCATGTGCCAGCCACTCTGCTAGCCCTCTATCTGACACGAAAGATTCCACTTTTGATCACTGCCACTTAAAAGCAAAATGCTGGCCAGTAACACAGAATTAGATTGATTTGTATTGGGAGGACAGTGGGAATTCAGGGAATGAAGGAAAGTACTCCAGGCTGGCAGCTGGTACCACAGCAGGGCAGAGTAAACGCAGGGCAAATACTTTTTAAAGAAAGGGCTTGCTTTGAAGGGGCCTTCTGTGGGAGGTTTCCCACCTCACCTTGCCCAGTCTCTTTCTTCAAGGAAAAATCGAGATAGTCTGGTGGCCACATAAATTCATGGAATATGTATTTAGATGCCATTTATTCAGGAAATAACAAGTACTTACTATAAACCAGACCCTGTACTAGCAGGTGATACTGCAATGAACAAAATAGCCTTAGTCTCTGCTCTGGTGAAACCGAGAATCTGGTGGGGAGGAGAGGCAGAGAGCAAGCAGTTATAGTAAGTCTTGTGAGTGTTATGTGAAGGCATCTGTGCAGCTGTGTCACCATTTGCTAAGGGTAAATGTTTCAGAGTAATTTAAAGAAGAAAAGATAGTTGTGGTTAAGTAGCTTGAGAAACACTGTCAGAACAACTTTCTCAGACCCACTTAGCAGGGAGGATGGTGTATTGTGATTAATTCCTTTTGTCAGATTAGTTGTGTGTGAGACCTCCCTGTCCTGTAGACACCCTTGAATCTGCCTTGATTCACTCAGCTATTCATTTCCTCATTTGTTCAGAAAATGTTTGAGCCCTTCTCTGTGCACCATGCCCACCGCTGGTCAATAGAGACAGAGACTTGGGCACAGCCCTGTGGGATTCCTTAGTGCTGGGGATTGAAGGAAACACCTACTGAAACAGCCAGAACATCAGGTGTTGAATGTTACCAGCAGAGTGTAGCAGCTCAGAGGCCTGGTGAATTCCACCTGAGGGACTTAGAGAAGGGTTCTCAAAGTTTGGCACATGTAAACTGGGTTTTGAAGTATATATAGAAGTCCATCAGGTAGAAAAATACAATCTAGAATAGATAAAAGGAACAATATGTTGGCAGGGGTTGGGGGGTGGAGGAAGAGCACAAATATGAAAGGACTTAGTGTGCTGAAAAAACTGCCGAGTGTTTGATGTGACTAAGGGTGAGAGAAAAGCCCTGGTTGAAAAGCTTGTGTGGAGGGAGAATAGGCAGACCTTAAGGTGACTATTTGCTATTTTGGAGGAACCTATATGTGAAGTATTGTTTTTTTTTTTTTTTCTTTTTTGAGACAAGAGTCTTGCTCTGTCGTCCAGGCTGGAGTGCAGCGGCTTGATCTCTGCTCACTGCAAGCTCAGCCTCCTGGGTTCATGCCATTCTCCTGCCTCAGCCTCCCAAGTAGCTGGGACTACAGGCGCCCACCACCACGCCCAGCTAATTTTTTTGTATTTTTTAGTAGAGACGGGGTTTCACCGTGTTAGCCAGGATGGTCGCGATCTCCTGACCTCATGATCTGCCCGCCTTGGCCTCCCAAAGTGCTGGGATTACAGGCATGAGCCACTGCGCCCGGCCACTGATATATGAAGTATTGTTAATGCTGGGCTAAGGAGTTTGGATTTTCTGCCTCTGCCAGTGTTTTCCAAACATTAGTCATTTGTGGACCACTTTCACAATTTTTGTCCTGGCTGGCTACTGACTTGGGGATTTCTTTTTTAAGTAGCTCACTTAAAAATACACTTTATTAGATTTATTTTTTAAAGATAGCTCTAAAAATACCACAACTATTCAAATGAAATGTATTCATTTGTATGTTCCTCCAAAGCATCTTATCCGCTACACTTGTGGAAATATTGTTTGGAGCCCTGGGATCTGTAGTATTTTTGGAACTACATGATCAGGTCAGAGCTGTGCTTTACAAAGATGCTCCTGTTGCCAATAAGAAGAATGGATTAAAGGGGCTACGTGCACAGAGATCAGCTAGAGGGCGATGATATGAATGTGTCTGAAAGGTGACAAAGTCCTGGATGAAGCAGCAGCCGTGGGGGTGAAGAGAGTTAGGGACTCATTTGAGGGCCACTTCAGAGGTAGACCAAATAGGATTTAGCGGCAGATTTGATGGGTGAGAGAGGGATGGTGGCAACTGTGATGGGCTAGACGTGGCTCCTTAATGGAGGGGCAGTTCCTGACAGCCATTTACAAAGTGATTCCATTTATATCAGTTATTCACAGACGCTGGAATCTTGAGCTCTTCAATGCCTAACGAACAGTTATGTAACCTGCAGGAGCTGAATTCTTGGTGACGGAGCCAGCAAGATCCTTCCTGGGGAAAACAATTTACTTGATACACAGTGTTTAGAATGAAAAAAAAAAAAAAAAGAAACACGAATATATTATCCATCTGTCTGCCCAGCTGTGGATGCTACATAGCTAATAGAAGAAAAATTTCTGTTAGCAGTTTTCTTGGTATTTTGTAAATCTAATTCTTAGATTTTTAGCTGCAGAAGTGTTACTATCAATGATAAAGGCAAACCAGGATAACTACAGTGGGAAATTGAAGTAGGTAACTGGTTGATTGCATGTATTTTAATTTTTCGGAACCCAAGCGCCATCCCCACACAGGGACAGGCAGAGGAGGGCAGACACACCACCCTCCCTGCTTTGTGAATCATCTAGACGATATCAGTCCATTAAACCACATAACCGATCATCTCTTTTCTTCATTTTGCTTCTGTATGTAAGATCGGAATATCTTCACTTAACAAGAAAGAAGGGGAAAATGGATCCTAACAGTCATTTTAATCAGGTAGAAAAAAAAATGAAGGGGAAAAAAAATCCAAACATCTCTTTTCCCCTTCTTCCTCAGTAGATTTTTTTTTTTCCTGTAATGGTGTAATGTGATGCCTTTCTTTGGGTAAAGCAATTTGCATCACTTAGAGGAATGAAAGGAAACTATAATATCAAGTTTATCTAAACTACTGAGTGAAAGGAGACTTGAAACTCTTAACTCAAGCCAAGAGAAGCACAAACTGCTGGGAAGTTCCAGTGTTTGGGAGGGAGATTGGATACTTTCCTCTAACTACTTTGATGTTACAGGTTCCTCTTCTATAAAACAGAATTAAGAGTGTCTACTGAAGTGGGCTTTAAGAGAGGTAATAAAATATTGAAATACAGTGTTCAGCACAGTGCCTGACATACAGCAAGTAGCCAATACATGGTGGAAGGAGTTATTATTCCCAGTAGTCCATCTGCCATGTAAGCTCAAATTAATTTTAAGTTCCCTTAAAAACTAGCTCTTCGATCCCTTGGTTTTCTCCATGTTTTAATTTGGTAAATGCATGCACCAATATACGCTCTCTACTTGCTATGGTTTGAATGTTGTCCCCTGCCTGGCAGTATTGAGAGGTAGGGCGTTGAAGAGGTGATGAATCCATTCATGCATTAAAGGGTTAATGAATGAATGGGTTAACATGGGAGTGCAACTAGTGGCTTTATAAGAGGAAGAGAGACTTGTGCATGGCACCTTAACACACTCAGCATTCTCGCAGTGTGATGCCCTATGCTACCTTGGGACTCTGTGGAGTGTCCCCACCAGCAAGAAGGCCCTCACCAGATGCAGCCCCTCAACCTTGGACTTCTCAGCTTCTGTAACTATAATAAATACATTTATTTCCTCTGTAAATTGACCACTTTTAGATATTCTGTTATAAGCAACAGAAAGCACACGAATACACTACCTAAAACTGAAGTACTAGAAATGGGACAAACATTGTCTGGGTGTGGTGGCTCACGCCTATAATCCCAATGCTTTGGGAGGCTGAGGTCAGAGGATCATTTGAGCCCAGGAGTTTGAGACCAGCCTAGACAACATAGGGAGACCCTATTTCTAAAAAAAAAAATAAAACATTAGCTGGGCATGGTGGTGCACACCTGTAGTTCCAGCCTCACTTCTGGAGGCTGAAGTGGGAGGATCCTTGAGCCCAGGAGGTCAAGGATGCAGTGAGCTATGGTTGCACCACTGTACTGTACTCCAGCCTGGGTGATAGAGCAAGAACCTGTCTCAAAATAAAATAAAATAAAATAAAAATAAACAAACATACTTAACCAGCACCATAGGAAATCTCCACTCTTGGGAGAACCCATCAACAAACGGCAGTGCATCCATGTACCAGAACATTCCTCTGCAATGCAAAGGAGTAATTGGCAGGTGCAGGCAGCAACTCGTACAGATCACAAAGGCCTTATGCTACATGAAAGAAGCCAGTCCCCAAAGGTTAATTACTGCGGGCTTCTATCTATATACATTATTCAAAGACAAAATGATAGAGATGGAGAACAAATCAAAGGTTGACCGGGAGTAGGGTAGGAGGAGGGTGTGACTGGAGAGGGAAGCAGGAGGGAGTTTTCTGGAGGGCTGGAGCTCTTCTGGGTCCTCACTGTTGTTGTCATAACACAGATCTATACATGAATGAAAGTTCATAAAACTGTATACCACAGGAGAAAGTCAATTTTACCATATGATAATTTTAAAAATAAGACAAAAAGCAACCAGACACAAATTTGAGGTCTTCTTTCTTGGAGGATGCTTGCCATTTTCACAAACATAGATTAAAAAATAAAAAGGCAGTGCCACAACCCTTGTGTGTGTGTGTGTGTGTGTGTGTGTGTCTGCATGTGCATGTATGTGTGTGTGTGTGTGTGTGTGTTTCTTTGTCAGGGGAGAGATGGCCTGGAGAGAAAAAGAGTATAAATGTCACAAACAGGTCATATTCCCATGGCATAAAGTGTGAACGTCCTCTTCAAGTTGTTGATTTGGGTTTTCGGATGGGGTGGGATAGCAGAGTGTAGTGGGAAAGGGGTGGGACCAACAGTGAAAGGGTCAGTACATAAAGAGGGAGAAGATGACCAACAAAAATATAAAAGCAGCAAATATCATATAATGTGATCGTAATTATGTAAAATTATGTAACATGTGAGTGCGTAAAAACACCGAGTTGTCCGTGTAGCTATGTAGCTGCCGAATTGTTAAGAGTGTCCATGCTATATCTTTAAGTGAGCAAAGCAAGTTGCTGCGTAATACATAGAGGATGCATCTCCTTCGGAAGACACAGACAAGTCAAAATCCTGAGATACACAAACTCCCCCCTTTCCAAATGCCCAGCTTCCTTCTTTCAGATGGTAAGCAGAGACAATAAAAAGTGTCAAATGATGAGAAAATTTATATTGAGGTGTGCTATGCTCCAGGTTAAATGAACACTAAACATTCTACAGTGTCAGAAAAAAACATATATTGTTTTCTTTTTTACAAAACCTTTCAATATCTCAACACAGTTTGCTAACATTAACTGGCTAATCCAGCCAAACACTTCTTGTAGACAGCTTCAAAGAAAATATAATTTGCTGTATTTTCCAGATAAAAATGAAGATGGAGCACAGTGTTTTCATTGTTAGAACATTCTGGGGTTTTCAGAGCACTTCTTTATGGGTTATCTCAGAGAGGTTGCTATTGGTCTGGCGTGCTGAGTTGTGCCCACTTTATAGGTGAGGAAATTGAGACTCATGGGGCAAGTAGAGTGCCTTTAACTGTTTAGAGAATAGAATGAGTAGAATGCCTTTAATTTTTCAAAGTACTTTTTGTGGCTATCTGTTTCTCCAGATAGTATCAAGGTCTTGCCCATGAAACGTGGCCTATTTTTTTTTTTTTTTCAGAAAAAATGGTAAAAAATCTATCAAAGAATGCAAGGACAACATTTTTATAAAGAACCCTTACAAGGACAGATTGTTCCAATCTACTTGTTCTATTGGTCAAAGGGTTAGGCAAAACAGACCTTTTGGTGCTGAACACACCCCATAGCCAGTGTCAGGAATGTCGATAAGAAAAAATCAAGAACACAGAGTGATACTGGCTTTTGATACCACGGAGACAACAGAGTTAGGACAATGCTCCCAATACTATATTTGGCAATGCGATAGAATTCACTGGAATGGCTAGATGTTTAGTTGATTTTTATTAGTTTTTCTTGGAACACTGAATATACATAGAACTAAATATAAATAAAAATGTAAATATATGTATTTTTAAGCAGAATTATCCAGCAAAGCTCCCTGTTGAGAATATGACGAGCTGCCTGCTTGCATGACCTCACTTTCTGGCGGTTTGATTTTCTTTGAACAGAAGTCAGTGTTGTGTTTTCTGCATGGCATGCATATGTGCTACCTCTGGGGTAAGATGATGCCTACCAAAGTGGCAGACCACGAGGAATGGATACAAGTGGAGAGACACTGGAGCTGGCTCGAACTGGGTGCTTTATCCTTGTGTCTGTCATGTACTGCTGAGCTGTGGGAAAGCTGAGATTAATTACAGGAAATGGAGGTACATCAAAGGCAAGGAACAGGCAGCTCAGAGCTCCTGGCTGAGGAGACCAAGTTGAGACACAAATGGGGATCATGTAGAAGCCAACCATGGCAGTGGTCAAAATGGAATGAACTGAAGCCAGTTGGAAGAAGGTGAGCAAGTTGGAGTCTAACGTGTCAAAGAGTGGCCACCTGTCAAGGAATTCAGGGGCTGCATTCCCACCCTGGAGGGAAAAAGAAGGTCAGGAAAGCAATGCAATGAATAATATTAAAAACATAGATATTACTGCTTTTGTAACTTAATCAAATGCTAGCAGGGAGAGAAAAGAATGAGAAAGAGAAAAGAGATATGCATCATGAAAGATAGAAAACGGTAGAAAGAGAATAAGAGAGGAAGGCTGGAAGAGAGGGAATGAAGGAAGCAAGAAGACAAAACATTAACTTAAAAATGAATGTCAGAGGTAAGCCAGAGGGAACATAAAATCCTGATATTTTATGTCAGGACAAGCTAATTAAACATGGATTCTGTACACAGGTAATTGACTAGTGAATAATTTAAGCACAATAGGCTTGGCACTCAATGATAAAGTGTCACAGTACACACACCTTCAGCAAGATGATGCAGGTCTTGGGATGAAGAGGTGGTATAATACTAGGAAGGAGAATGGAGAGAAAGAGAGGGGGACCTTTGTGGTTTTCTAAGATTAGCGTTTTATTTGAGGACAAAAAAAATTATGGGCAGGGTTGGGTGTCATGGCTTATGCCTGTAATCACAGCACTCTGGGAGGCTGAGGCAGGCAGATCAACTGAGGTCAGGAGTTTGAGACCAGCCTGGCCAACATAGGGAAACCCCGTCTCTACTAAAAATACAAAAATAAGCCAGGTCAGGAGGGTGAGGCAGGAGAATTGCTTGAACCTGGAGGCTGAGGTTGCAGTGAGCCAAGATGGTGCCACTGCACTCCAGCCTGGGCGACAGAGTGAGACTCTATCTCAAAAAAAAAAAAAAAATTAGGGGCAGAAAGAATAATGAGAAACCTGCAGTGGGAGCAGGGGATTCAAGGGTATTTAGAGACATATAAGCTGACCCTTGACTGAAATCCTAAGCTAGCTCTGTTCTCAAAAGATAGAACCCTCTCTCAGAACCTAGGACACAGACAGCAAGACATTTGAGGAAAGGGCATGTCAGAACAGTTACTGCCTGGGTCAGATTGATCATTACATTTTCAAAGAGGTGATACAAGGCTGAGGGTGAGGCGCATGTGAGGTTCCTTCTACTCCAGCCAGGGTGCTCCTGGCTACCGCCTGCAAGTTCTTCCTTCTTCTCTCTTCCTGTCTCTTTCCCTCTACTCTCCTTCACCACTCCCACTTTCTCAACCTGGCTCGCTCCCTCTCTTTTTCTCAATATGCAACACTCTTCAATTTTACAGAGCAAAATTCTGCTCCAGGCATCTGAGAGACTAGGATTGCTAGTGTGGCTTTTTTTTTTTGGGGGGGGGGGGGGGTTGTCATTCAAGTGCAAATGAGTGAAGAGTAACAGATTAAAATGCAAACCCAATTAAAATCTTCAGATGTCACAAGGTACTAATGTCTACATCTGGTTTTAGCAGCTGCAAATTTCTAGGAAAAGAAAAGTTAGCTTTTTCTTTTCTTTTTCAAAATCTAGATGCCTAAAGATACTTCTTAGAAAACTCACAGCAGAAAGACAGGAGCAAGAACAGAGGGTGGGAAAGCACCAACACGCAGGAGGCGTGGAGTGGGGCCACTCGTTTCTCCCTGATGTTCAAAACTGAGAAGCCATCTCTAATGATGGGCTGCATTTGATGGGAGACTCATCAGAGGACCCAGGTGTTCAGCTTTTAACTTATTTTTTTGCAAAGCAGGTATTTCTGCAAACAGGAATTAGAGAATGGCCTCCAGCTAGATTGCAGGGAGTCCCTGCAGAGAAAACCCTTAGAGAAGAGAATCACTGAAGAAGAAAATGAAGATGACAAGGCTGTTGCTTCTTAATAAACATGATCACATTGTCAGCATGCATTATTTATTACTTTTCTTTCACTGATTTATTGTCCTAAAACATGTAATCTAATATGGAGGGGAGCACACATGCCCACACAGATGTCCTGGTGACTTTCTTGTGTTTCACAAAAAAACAAAACACATAACAAAACGTTCAGGAGTTCTCCATTTGATGAAATCATAAACAACCTAATCTGGTTTATCTTTCCCTCTTCCTCATGTTCTTATTTTTCTTCCTCTTTGGAAGACACATACATAAAATGAAATCATCATCACTGAAAGTGATATTAGTCACCATTTTATGTATCATCCACGTGTCAGAGGCTTAATAATATATTTCTGATTCTGTAAAAGAAATAGCATTTCACTCATTTTGCATGCAAAGAAGTGTAGCTCAGACACTTAAGTGACTTGCCTAAAATGGCACACTTAGAAATTGCTGAGCTGGGATTGGAACTTGGGTGTCTGGTTGCTTGATGCTCGTATTAATTGCCAAATAGTACTGTCTCTGTTCAAGGTAACAACGCCGATGAATTCAGGGCCTGGGTCTGAACCCAGGCAACTCTGAATCCAGCGACTGAGATCTTCTCTCCTAACCACACTGCCCTTCAACATACACATTCCTCTGAAATCAGTCGACCCTGTTACTTTATTTACTTTTATTTATATATATATTTTTTGAGATAGAGTCTTGCTCTGTCACCCAGGCTGGAGTGCAGTGGAGCAATCTCAGCTCACTGCAACCTCCACCCTCCGGGCTCTAGCAATTCTCATGCCTCAGCCTCCTGAGTAGCTGGAACTGCAGGCTCACGCCACCACACCTGGCGAACTTTTTGTATTTTTAGTAGAGATGGGGTTTCGCTGCATTGGCCAGGCTTGTCTTGAACTCCTGGCCTGAAGTGATTTGCACACCTTGGTCCCCCTAAAGTGCTAGGATTACAGGTGTGAGCCACTGTACCTGGCTGACCCAGTTACTTTAAATAACAACAACAAATAAAATTCACCTTTGGCTTTTGCTCTCCCTTGCTCCCATGACTGTTTCTTTTCTTTTCTTTTCTTTCTATTTTTTTTTTTTAAATTTTAGCTGTGAGATACAGTTCACATGCAAGACACACAACCACTTCTTGAGTCTTACATAGATTTAGATTTGCAGCATCTAGCGCTAAGAAATTGATAACTATCATAATATGTAAACCCACTGAGCCACTATCAACCACACATAACTAACATTTTCTTTTCCTACTTTTTTTCTTCTTCTGCCACTCCCCTTCCCTTTATGGGAATTAGTAAGACACAGGACCCCCCATCTCTAAGAACACCTTTTGCCGGCTACCATTCCGAGAGGAAAACGAGTATAAAAGCAGGACTGAGTTTTTCTGAAATTGTCAACACAGGGTTGGTAATACATATTAAGCAGGACCTGGTGAATCAGATCAGGAATTTGTGCTGAAAACCAAAAGGCAAGCAGAAGGATGCCAGGAGCCAGCGCTGGCCACAGAAAAGGGTGGATCATCCAACCGAAGGTTAAGCAAGGCACGGGAGGGGAGAAGACACGCAGAGCCACTCTGCGTAGACTGACAGCCAAACTTGCACCGTCAGCGCCGACCTTCATTCATTGTGTGTGTGCATATTTTCCTGGTGATAATGTCATGTTTCATAAGGAAAATCTGGAAGTAATAGAAAAATGTAAAGAAGAGCACTGTCTATGATAAATTGTATCATAACAATGTAATAACAATATTATCCAACAGTATCTATCTATAGTTACATCCACTTATTGATATATTATAGCTATAAATGGATATAGTATGGTACAGATTATAATGTACACACTATTTTGTAAGTTGCCTTTTGTTCCTCCTACTTAATATGTGGGAAACCTTTCATTTTATAAACATGAATTTTTAATGCTAGGTGATGATCCATTGCCCGATTTTTAAAAAAGTAACCAATCCCTGTATGCCTAGATCAAAACATCACACGTACCCCATACATATATATATCTACCATGTACCCACAAAATTTAAAAATTAAATAATAAAGAGTAGAGCTTTGGCACATTGTGAAAATGGTGCGCAAATAACTGAAATTTGGGAAGTATTGCCCTAAAATAATAAAAGTTTTTATATTACTGACAAAAATAAATATTTCCTTATTATTGGATATTGTTGTTGTTTCTAATTTTTCACTATTTTACCAATGTTTCACTGGATATAATTTTACATATATCTTAGTGCAGAGATTCTCCTACTAGATTGCTAGATATGTAAGTACGGGGTCACAGCCTTTGTTCACTTCATGGGCCTTTGATCTCTTACCAAAGTGCTCAACAGAGGGGGTTATGAATTTGGACTTTCTCCTGGCGCATATGGAAGTGCTCCTGCCCAGCCAGGCATGGTGGCTTATGCCTGTAATCCCAGCACTTTGGGAGGCCGAGGGGATTGGATCCCGAGGTCAGGAGTTCAAGACCAGCCTGGCCAATGTGGTGAAACCCAATCTCTACTAAAAATACAAAAATTAGCCTGGTGTGGTGGCGTGCACCTGTAGTCCCAGCTACTCGGGAGGCTGAGGCAGGAGAATCACTTGAACTTGGGAGGTGGAGGTTGCAGTGAGCTGAGATTGCACCACTGTACTCCAGCCTGGGCGTCAGTGCGAGACTCCATCTAAAAAAAAAAGTGCTCCTGCTCATTTCTCTGGGTATTGACATAAAGAAATAATATAGCGAATTGATACCCCAAATAATCATAGTAACAGTAACAATTATGGTACTTGGTGGTTTAAGTTGCATGTCTTTGGTAAGCAATTATCTATCATCATACTACCAATGTTTTATAGCAATCTACTGTCTTAAAATATAAACAAAAACCAAGAAACAACAACAACAAACACCAAATTCACTGGCCCCAGTGAAGCAGGTACGGAACAAGAAAACAAACAAACAATAAAACCAAGGCACCAAGGCAGAAACAGAGCAGGATGTAGCTGGTTGATACTAAAATTACTCTATTTTTCTAACAGTCCACATGGCTCAGCCCATATGAGTTTAGTTATGAGAAAATGTGTCCCATATGGGGTTGAGCCTCTTCAGTGGAAGAATTTGTTTTCTTTAAGTCCCTGTCCCTTTCCCCACCACCATCTAACTTAGGAAGATGACTCAGTTCTTTGACCACATAGGAAAGATGTACATTTTCTTTAGTATCATTTAGGAATCACCCTCAAGATGAAATCTACTATCTGGATTACAACAAGTTTTACGATTAAAGCCAAGTGACCAGCCAAAAACAGCCACAACATGGTATTAAAAAAAGAACACTCATTTGCAAATCAAAAGACAGAGACTTTAGAGCAAATTTTTCTCCCCTCATTAGCATGAACAGGAATAAAGACCTTCCCTTGGTCTTGAGGCAGCAGGGCACCCTGGCTCATCTGTGAGGCTTTGGATCCAGCAAGTCAGGGTTCAAATCATGCCTCTGCCTCTTCCTGGCCCTCTGACCGTGAGCAAGTCATCTTGTCTCTCTGAGTCTCACTTTCTTCATTGTCATCGATGAAGTTGTTATAAATACTCTGCCTCACAGTTTTCAATAAAGATTAAATCAAATAATGGATGCAAAGAACTGAGTGCATGCCTGACATGTGGGTCGCTGTCAATCAAACATCAGTTTCCACTGATCTTTCCATGGTTGGTTCATTGTCATCAAGGTTTCAGCTTCAGGGCCACCATCCTACCCAAAGTAGCCCATTCTTTCTATTAAAAAAAGTTTTTTTGGAGACAGGGTCTCAATACGTTGCCTAGGCTCATCTCAAGCTCCTGGCCTCAAGCAATACTCACACCTGGGCTTCCGAAAGCATTGGGGGATTACAGGCGTGCGCCACTATGCCCAGCCATAGCTTCTTTCTAGTTATCCTCTCCCTTGTTACAATGTTTTTATTTTTTGTTTGTTTTCTTTATAATACTTAGCCCTATCTTGAAGTAAGCTTATTTCAATCCTTGTTTATCTCTGAATCCCTCACTCAAATGTAAGTCATCTGAGAGCTTCGTCCTTTTCTGTCTCATTGAATATATTTTTAGTTTCTGGCACAGTGCCCAACACTTAGTGGGCACTCAATACATATTTATTGAAAAATAACAAATGAATGAATACATCTTCATGCACACACAGATCCACATGTGCATCTATAGATACCATCAATATACCACCAATAGTTTGGTTGGCTAATTCATTCGCTCTCTCTTCTCTCTTTCCTGCCTCCCTCTTTCTTTTTCTCTTCCTCTTCTTCTTTTTTTTTACCTTTTTCCTTCCTTCAGCCAATAATTATTAAGCCAGTCTCTCTGCTACATGTTGGAGGTACATTCATGGAACGGACAGAACATCCTCGAAAGAGCCCAGGATTCAGATTTATCTCTACCTCTCACTTCCTTCACTTCCCCTTCCTGATGGATTGCTCAGATTTCAGCCTCCACTATCTACAACAGTGTGGATCCGGAAAGCCTTGTTCAGATCCTCGGGGTGCTTGTCAAGTAGTTGCAAATGACTACCTCGCGCTATAGACTTTCAGCTTTGGTCATATTTTACTTTTTTGTAAAATATGCTATTTTGTTTCAAGATCTACTGCTGTCCACCAAAAATACAACTCTGTTACTAACCCTGCCAGCTCCTGAATGATACCTTTGTGGACACTAAAAACAATTTAATGGCATGTCACAATAGCAATTCACTCTGTTAATAGCCCCACTCAATAATACTATATTGCATAAACCTCCTCTAGTCATCTGAAAAATAATTCACCTTTACTCACTCCAGAGTAAGCTCCATTTCACTAACAAATATATTTCTCCCCAAACCTACAAATACTCAGCATCACTGTCCTGTGACAATAGCTATTTTTCCTGGATGAGGTCAGTGGTATCATGTTTCTATTACCTCTCGTTGGCTTAGTCCCAACGACAATCTTTCCCCATGTAGGGCATCAAATTACGGGACAAGGCAGTCCCTAATTTCTGGCTCACATACCCAGGAATGAATGCTGTGTGATCGCACAGGCATAGGAAGCGCTGGCTCTCTTTGTGGACATCGCTCTGCCAAATCTAATCGATGTTTATGTGCCAAAAGATCTAGATGCAAGGAGTATTTATGTGGATGAGCACTAGTGTTGTTCAGGTTTATTACTGTTTAAAATGGCTTCTTCAGGGTAGTAGGCACAGAGGTTCCTGGCCTGGGGGCCTATGGACATCAAGAGTCCCATGAATCTGGGAATTTCATAAATGTGCATTTAAAACACAACAAACAAAAACCCAGAGTTTTATTTTTACCAACTTTTAAGTGAAATTTAGCATTTCTGCTATTATCAATGTAGCCACTAAGTCATGGGACTTGTGACTTTAGCACCAATACAAATCATAAATATCTGCATATCACATTACAGTTGTTGCAGAGATATTGAAATATCACTGAGGCTTATTTCTATTTCAAAATTGTTGTAATTATTAAGCCCACTGATAGATTTGGTTATCTAATGTGTTAATAAAGAAGCTCATCTACAACTGCATCACAATTTTTTTTTTTTAAATATTTTGGTAACTGCATTCCTGTATAATTAGGTGTTTGGGTAATCTTTTATATATTTTATTCATTCAAAAACAGTATTCTGAAAAGGGGTCCACAGGTGTCAGCAGATCACCGGGGGGTTGCCTGATAGTATAAAATACTTAAGAACCCCTGCAGGAACGTAGGGTGGGAAAGAGCCTGAGGTAGGAAGCCAGGCCATTTGGGCTCAATTCATGATTATTCAATAATAGTAATACAGCGAGCAACCAGAAAGTGCTTGCCATGTGCCAGGCAATGTTCTAAAAGCTTCACAGGCATTAAATGTACTTCACCTTTGTAATCATTCTGTGAGACTCATCCTTTTACTATTCTTTACAAGAAAAGGAAACTGAGGCTCAGAGAGAGTAAGTAACATGCCCAAGGCCACTCAGCGGGTAACCAGGAGAGATGAGACTTATGCCCAGGGAGGACTTGCTGTTGACTTCTCTCCTCTACGGCCTTTCACAATATCTCTTTGTAATTATTAATAATTAGCAATAATATAAACCATTAGTAATAATATAAACAAGAACTTTCTATGCAACATTCATTTAATCCTCAAAATCACCCTATAAATTAAGCATTATGATTATTATCATCCTCATTTTCGAGATGACAAAATCGCATTCCAAAAGAGGTTGAGTAAATTGGCCAAAGCAATATAGCTTGAAAGTGATGCCAAATCCAGGTCACTGCCTGCTTTTGTAAATAAAGTTTTATTGGCACAGAGCCACACCCATTTGCTTACAAATTATCTATGGCTACTTCCTCTCAACAGCAGCAGAGTTGAGTGGTTGTTGCATGGTCTGCAAAGCCTAAAATATTTACTATTTGGCCCTTTACAGAAAAAGTTTGCTAACCTCCTAACAATCACGTGTTATGCCCACTCCCTGGCTGTGTCTGTCACTTTCTGGCTGACAGTGTGGCCCTGGGAAAGAAGTCACCTAAATCTCCATGTCTTCAGGTGGAAAATGGGCATGTAGCATCATCAACATCTTAGGATGGTTGTGAAGATAAAATGCAAAGAAAGAGTTTAGTATAGGTTCTGCTACCTGACAAAGGTTCAGAAAATCTTTATTGCTATATGATGACTATTGTTATAACTTGAGTCTATAACTAGGGCTTCATGCCATATTCTAAAAAGTCTAATCATCCGTAAAGCCAAGTTGGCAATTCCTGGTCATGTCGATGATGCATGGAGAGAGCTCCTCCTGATGCTAGGTTTGCATTTAGCTCTTCAAAAATGTGATCTGTCTCTCAGATTAGGACAACACTGCCCTCTGGAACAAACCAGTCACTGATCAGTGACCTAGTCCTTCCAGATGCATCAGCACTGCTTGAGCAGTTTGTTCATTAGGAATGAAATTCAGCCTCCAAATGGATTCAAGTGATTGGGACTAAATCTGGGTCCCAAATTGCCCAACAGAAGCCTGATTGCAGACATGCAGGGGGGTTCAAACCCATTGGAAAAGAGTACAGTTAAGCAAGAGAGATCCCCAGTGGGTAGTGAAGGGCCGGCCCAGGAAAGATAGCAGGATTACATAAAATGCATTTTTTAGGAGGAAAGAATGCCAACCCTATTTCCCTGCATGCTGCTTCCCAGGGAAACACTGGCTGACGCTAAAAGGGAGTTGTCTTCCCTAAGCTATGTCAACAGAGGAAAAGAGAAAATTAAGATGATTACATATGTTTAGGGGAAATTCGGGTGTTTTGGCTTGAAGTTTGCTTTCTCTATCAACCATATTAAGCAGGCAATTACCCAACGCTCCATTTGGCCTGGAAGATGCTGCATTAACACGGAGAATTGTTTTTATAAGCACCTTTTAAAAATTAAGGCAGTAGAGTCATGCACTTAGGAGTCCAGTTTTGGAACCAGGCATGTATGGGTTCAAAGCCCAGCCACCTTACTTTCAGGCTCTGGCCCTACACAAATTGTTTCATTCTTCCAGCTTCAGTTCCATAATTCGGGAAATGGGGTAGTGCTTGTTTTATGGGCCCCAGTACTTCAGTTCTCTAGCTATGCCCTTTGCCGGCTAACTTACTTGTATCTTCCTACTCTGACTGTAGGCTTGACTGTGCCATGTTGTCTACTGGGATGTTAGCAAGTGTGATGCAAACAAAAACTTGAAAAATGCTTACCTGAATGGACTTGTTCAGGCTTTTACCCTCAGCCATTGATGTAAGAAGAAAATGCCTAGGTTAGCCTGCTCCACAATTACACAGGTGTGATATGGGACCAAGTTGTCCTAGCCATCATAGTTGAGGCTGTCCTAGATCAGCCAACCGATAGTCAATCCCCTAAACATGTCAGTGAGTCCAGTCCAGACAAGCAGAGGCTGTAATCCCTCATGGAAGCTGATCATACGTTTATTGAAGAGGACCAACTGAGATCAGCCCAGCTCTAGCCCAGGTCATCTGTACTCCACAGACTGGTGAGCTAAAAAAATGTTAAAGTTTATGGCACTGAGATTTGGAGGTTTTGGTTATGGAGCACTGTCCTGTCAATAGATAACTGACACGGATGAGAATATTTACTTCATAGAAGTTGCTTTGAAAAATAGATGAGACAATACCTACTGAGATCCAGCACAGAGCTGATGGAGAGGTGGCTGGAGAAGCCGGATTGGTGACAGTGAGGAGATACTTCTGTGATTTAATCCGTGTTTTGTCTCCAACCCATTCATGTAGTTATGGGTGGTGCTTCTTATGTCAGGGAAGGGAAGTGGAAGAGTAGAAAGCGGAAATACCCAGTACCTCCCCCAGTTTTTATTTCCAAAAGTTTAAATCTCTAGGGAAGCTTAGAGAATTTGGAACAGAAATAAAAGAAAATGTATTTAATCAGAAGTGGGGGTTGAGAGTGGGCCTTCCTCATGCCCTGTCCCCCACCAATTCTAGATGAAAAAGAGAGTCCACTTTGGCTGGGAGGAGGAGAAACTGCACAGTGAATGGAAGCCAACATCCCAGGGATTCAATATCTTTGGTGTGTCTAGGTAGCCGTGATACCAGAGGCAGCCTTGCCGAAAAATATCCATCCTCCAAGCATGGCCCAGATGCCAGAGAGAGCATCCTGACTGGTGTGATGAACGTCTCCCCGTAACCCAACAGGCTGTACATCCTTCCAGAGAGCTGCCCCCTCTTCCCTCCAAACACCTTGGGCTGGAGTACTTTCTAGATCCCTGGCTCAACCTTAGGGAAAGAGGACCCCGTAAAAGATTAAAATTGAAGCCTTCTGTTTGCCCTGATAGAAATAGAAATTAACTTGAAGTCTAGAAAATAAAAGTGGTCTTATTTGTAGATCTTTCGTTTTTTTGTCCTAAAACATACTCAACTAGATGCTACTGCTGATGATGTTGATGACAATAATGTCATGATGGTTGTTGATGATAGAGGAAATCATTGTTGCTGTTGTTTTCTTTCTTTTTTTTTTTTTTTGTAGATGGGGTCTCACTCTGTCACCCAGGCTGGAGTGAAGTGGCGTGATCTTGGCTCACCACATCCTGCACCTGCTGGGCTCAATCGACCCTCCCACCTTAGCCTCCTAAGTGGCTGGGACCACAGGTGCATGCCATCACACCTGGCTAATTTTTTGTGTTTTTGGTAGAGACAGAGTTTCTCCATGTTGCCCAGCCTGGTCTCAAACTACTGAGCTCAACCCATCTACCCACTTCGGCCTCCCAAAGTGCTGGAATTACAGGCATAAGCCACCACGCCCAGCCAGAAATCACTATTTTTAACATTCAAATACTATCAATATTGGTAAGAAAAGTGGAATATTTGCAGCTAATGTAGATGACATTTTAAGCAACATCTATCAATAGACGATCTCATTTCCAATAGATCACTTGCTGGGAGGGAGAGAGGAGGGACAATAAAACTCAGGACTTACTCCACTACTCTTGTTTAATGACCTCGACTTCCCCGAGAAACTTAGAGAAGAGTCTCTTCCACAAAAGCCACACCCTGGCAGTCTTCAGGCTGTATCTCGCTGGAAAATGTGTTTTCTTTGGCTTGTTTGGTGTTTATACACTTTTAAAAACATTATCAACTTTTAAAAATCAGAAAATAACTGTCTCTCAATGAAAGACATCCAGATTTTTGGCTTCTCTTGAAGACAAATAAAGGGGGGAATGTAGCATCCCACATAGTAACTCAAAACAGGAGTTGAGAGCAGTTCCTCCCTCCAGAGGCTATGAGTCTTCAGTTTATCACAGTCCCCACTGCTCCCTGCAGTCTTTCCAATTACAGGTGCAGTGTCAACTGCCTGCCATCATTGTTCAGAGTGGACTGAAACATAATCCTCTGAAAAGTAGAAAAATAATAGCTAGACAATGAAGGCTATATATATCTTGCCCACTGCCTCATTTACTTTTTTTTAATACTAGATTTGGGGTATTAGATATTGTAACCCTAAATTTAATCCTTAAGATGATTTAGTAATGAGACATGTATGAGTTCTAAAGGAAGACAATTTGAGGCAGAAGCTATTGTTTTCATAAATACTTTCACATGTTATACATACACACACAGACACACATATGGAGCAACAGTAAAAGAACTACCTGTAAACAATACTGATTTTGTCTGTCTGAAGCATTTTTAATTTTTCCCCAAATAGAAATATTTGTTTTCCAAGGAGGCCTACATCTTTGCTGGGAAAAAAAGTCTATCACTGGAACTTTCCTAAGAGTCTGAAAGACAGCAAAAATGTTGTGGCAAAGAGAAAAAAAAAAGAGGCCATTTGTAAAGAAGAACTATTTGTATCGAATATCATGAGAAAATAAGTGCATCATGACAATTTTGTACATCTTCTATGATTTGATTGTCAGTAATGAAGCCCACAGGAGAGTGATAAATGTGCAGAGGAAAAGTATCTATTTCACTTATACGGCAAATTATGCAACTCAGGGCTTGATAGCACTTGGCAAAATACAAATGTGTTTGAATGGAATTCAAATTGTTGCTCTTTGCCTAAGACACAGGTAATATCACCAGGGGTCCTGTCTTTGGATTTTTTTATAAGAGGTAAGAGTTTAAGTAATAGTAGCAGTATTACAAAATTACCTTTAAACACTGAAAACATTTTTACTTTGTTACAGGGTGTAATTTCCACTTTTTCCCTCTAATGGCTCATACACAGAAAATGATACACTAATGCAATTTTTCAAATTTAGTTACCTTTTTTTGTGTTCTAAAATTATATGTTCTCGTCATTTGCCCTGTTTGTCAGTCTCCAGAATGCATTTATTTCCCCATTCTTACGGTTCCATAATTTATCTTCTTGTCACAGAACTTTCATAAACTTTTTTTTTAAAGATACAAAATAGTTGCAATAAACTCTGACAAAAATGCTTCCAGTTCAACTTTTGAAATCTTTCAATTATGTTTTGAACGATTATCATACTTTGTAGTGTGGCTGTGCTGTGAGATCTCTGCGGAGTGACATCTTACTAGGTTAGGTGAAAAAATTGCTTGAAAAGAGACGCACTTCAAACCATTTATATTTCTTTGCCTTTTCACTTTGGAATCCACGGATTCATATTCATGCTCATTCCATGTGGAGAAGGGAAAGAAAGGAATCATGAAATGAGAATTGTATCCGTGGTGGATGGAAACAGTGTTGAATCAAACTCCAATTATCTAGATGGGATGTGGGAGGGAAATTGTATGTTTGTGATCCTTTGAATACCAGAGGAAAATATAAAGAGGAATCCATAATTAGAGGGCCTTATTAAAAACAAAACAAAACATAGGCACCTCAAACAGTTAGAAATGCTGAATATTAGATTTAGAGACTCTTGGCTACATCTTCCTTATTATGAGAAGTTATTCAGTGGAAATACACGTTAGCTAGAAGACTGTTCTGTGAGGTTTTCTGTGATGCAGAAGGGAAGAAATAAAGCTTTACGAAGCCCCAAGAGCTATGCCATTCAATGGAAATATAAAGTGAACCCCATATGTGATTTAACATTTTCTAGCAGCCACATTAAACAAGCAAAATTAATTTTAAAAATGCAGTTTATTTAACTCAATATATTCAAAATGTTGCCATTTTAACATATAATTGATATAAACATTGTCAGTGGAAGCTTTCACATTCTTTTTTTGCATATTACATCTTGATAGTCTATGTGTATTTCATAAAACATAGCTCCATTGGGATTAGTGACATTTCCAGCATTCAACAGTCATATGTGTTCATCGTTACCATGCTGGGCAGCATAGCGCTGGACTCTCTCCCCTTGACTGCACTGAGGGCTCTGAGCTTCCATGAACTTGACCTCTCTTGCTGTAGCACTTATCATCGTGTCTTACAATGTCTCATTTAGTTGTGTCTCGTCCCTATTTGCTTAAGTTTGATGACAACTGGCAACAAATCCAGTTTACTCATTGATGTGACACCGATATCTAGAACATAGCAAATGCTCAGTAAGATCTTACTGAATAAATAAGTTAACAATTAAATGAATGTATGCACTTTCTTTTGTGGAAAAATAGATCTTTTTTGGCAGAGGGAGAATCTATGTGCAGGAGACTCGATGAATACCTCACTGAAAGGGTTTGGATCTGTGTCCCTAGGAAATTGCAGGTCTAATTGTAATCCCCAGTGTTGGAGGTGAGGCCTGGTGGGAGGTGGTTGGATCATGGGGGTGAGTGTCTCATGAATCGTTTAGCTCCATCCCCTTGGAGCTGTTCTAATGATAGTGAGTTCTTGCAACATCTGGTTATTTAAAAGTGTGCAGCACCTGACCTCTCTCTCTCTCCCTCTCGCTCCCACTTCAGCCATGGGATGTGTTCTCCCCCTTCATCTTCTGCCATGATTGTGAGCTTCTTGAGCCGATGCCAGCATCATGCTTCCTGTACAGCCTGTGGAACAGGCTCTTTTCTTTATAAATCACCCAGTCTCAGGTATCGCTTTAAAGCAATGTGAGAATGGACTAGTACACCCACCAAGATGCCTTTCTGGTGTGGCCATTCTATGGCTATTGTGAGTGGTGGCTGCTGGCTGCTTACAGCTTCCCCCCTCCAGAAAATTGTCCCCAGAGGCTGCTAGCAGTCACCCACCTGGGAGGTTAAGGAACCTCCCTGACACCCATAACTGATGACTGGCTGACATTGGGATACACAAATCCAACCCCCTTACCTCAAATGAGGACAGCTCCACTGGAGTTTATGTTCCAGAGCCCTCTGCCTGTGCTTCAGACCAAGATCAGATTTTCCCTGAGATCACACCCTCCCTCCACTCATCTTTCTCCTGCCCTGTCCTGCTTTCCTCACTCTCTCGTAAGTTTTTGTTTTATTTTTTTTTCTGAGACCTCTCCCTCTATAAATCACCAGCACCTAAATCCCTGCCTCAGGCTCTGCTTTCAGTGGACCTCACATAAGACACTAGGATTTTCTTCTTCTTTTTTGGGTCATATTTTAACTCTTCTTCCCACCCCGCTCCCCTAAAATTAAAATCTATTTGTTTCTTACAAAATTTATCCTAAATCTTCCCTCACTAACCCTCAAAACTATCATACACTGCTTCGTAAGAACCATTTACCCATATAGCGTAAGCCAGCAGAGGCATCTGGCTCCTTTATCTGGATATCCCTTTTAACCCATGAATGCACTGGTAAATTCTCTAAGCATGCCGATCAAACAGTGGTGATCAAGAGCAAATTCCATCACTGTACAATTCCACAATTCTCCTGAGTGATAAGAAGGATAATAATTCTGTCACTTCTCCATGTGGCCCAACTGTAATGCAACTGTGACAAGTCTTTATGAAAATACACACTTCTCATCCTTTACATCCAGGTGCCATTTCAGTCATTTAGTAATGGAGAGACAGGTAGATTGAGGGAAGACATTGGATTAAGCAGTGAGAAACATACTGAATTTGTCCACTGCTTGGCCAAAAGATGGGAACAGAGAGCTACTTAGAACCCAAGTGGTGCCTTGAATGCACTTGCTTTTTGCCATGATTACGGCTTTAAAATACGGTGTATCAGTTTATACTGCCAAATGACTGATCAATGCCATTAACTAAGCCTCAGGACTTCTGAACTTGAAGCTGGCTCTCCTTGATACACTCTTGTTCTAAATATTTGCACAACTGGCTCCTATTTTTCACCTGGTTCTCAGCTCAATCTAGAACTGCTTCCTTCTCCCAGTGTTATTCCTGAATGCATAACCCTGTCTTATGTGCACAATGGCACTTAGCACTAGCTGATTGTCTTACATACACAACTATTGTCTGTCTCCCTTCACCAGGAAGGAGGCTCCTGAAGGGCAGGTACTTTTGTCTCTTGTTCATTTCCAAATTCTTAGTGCCTAGAACAGAGCCTGATACCTTGTGTGTGCTTTATAACTATACATTAAGTGGATGAATGACTTAAATTAGTTTAGCTAACTCCAAATTGTTCTTGGTAAGGAAGATATGCCATATGTTATCTCTTGCAGACAGTGATGATATTGGCCAGGAACCTCTATATGGAGCTTACTAGGTGTTAAGAACTGCATGCTTGTTCCCCTTAAAATTCATATGCTGTAGTTCTAACTCCCAATGGGTTGGTATTAAGAGATAGGGGCTTTGGGAAGTACTTAGGTCATGAAGGTGGAGCCCTCATGAGGAGATTCATGTCCTTATAAGAAGAGGCATGAGAGAACGTGCACTGAAGCATTCTCTCTCTCTCTTTCTCTCCCTTTTCCTTTTTCTCTACACCATCCTCCACCCTACTCTCACTCTCCCCCATGAAGAAATCAGGAGGAGGGCCCTCACCAGAACCCAATAATGCTGACACTCTGATTTCAGACTTCCAGCCTCTGGAATATTTAAACTTGCTCAAGTGTTGGTTGAGCAAGCCACATAGCCCGTGGTTCTTGCTATAGTAGCCCAGACTGACTAAGACACTAGCAAATACATACAGCTGTATCATTGACCTTCTCGTTGGCAGAATTAAAAAATGCCATTCAAAACAATATACTAAACAAACATTTGGGAGGCCAGAGGAGGTTCCCTGAGGACATAGGGTCTCAAGTATGAGTAGAAGACCACTGGAGAAATCAGGAGGTAGGTGACGTTCATGCCATGCAAAAAGGCTTGCAGGATCTCAGAGTTCTGCAGCTGCAGGGGACACTATTCACACTGCATTTCTAGGTGGTCAGTTTGCCCTAAAATTGTGCAAAATGTCTTGAGACCAGTTGGACAAATGGCTTGTGTACCAGCCGTGGGGTGGAGGGCAGGAGCAGAAGCCTGTAGCACTTAAGGAGCTGAGAGAGAATGAGCGAGGTTGTAGTCAGGAGAGTAAGGAAGACATTGGGGCACCCAGAGAGGTGGCCTGTGGGAAGCCATCACATTCTTCTCTTACAGAGATTTGCATTGCAAAAGGAACCTCCAGGTTACCGAATAATGATTTGCCTATGCAATAAAGACAAAATGAGCTACACAGTCAAACACTAGGGCATCTCCCCTCCCTCCTTAAATGTGCATTCCTTTTTCATCATTTTGAAAAATATTTAAAATAGTATGATATAATGTAATGCAATCAATTAATAGCAGTAGCTTATTGATGCATACAGAATCTCTAATTCTGATAAGAACCATTAAAGATTATCTCCATTTTGCAGATGAGAAAACTGAAGCTCAGAAAGATTACAGAGCTAACTGATATAAGGAAGAGAAGTAATGCAACACAAGACTTTTCTCACTGCATCACCTGTCTCACGATAGCTTGGTTTCCTTGACTGTAACCACAGCAGCCCATTGGTTTCCCCACTGCTGGATTGAATCACTTATCCACACCCACATCCATCAATCCACTCATTCCTTTGTTGTTCTTTCATTCAATATGAAACCATAATTTCTAATTTTAATCCCCCAAATCCTGCTTATGTGCCTCCCCTTCTTCCACTTGAAGTTCATCTCCCCACCAGTGGCCTTTGCAACTGCTCACCTGCCTGGAATGTGCTTCCTCTCCTCTCACCAGACTCATTCTCTCACCTTGTTTTGCCCAAATACCACCTCCCTGTTGGCCTAATTAAAACACCTGTTCCCTCCCCACCTCTGCACCTCACTACCATTCTCAATTCCTTTGCTCTGTGTCATTTATTTACTTATTTTTGTCATGCCACCTGTATTAGTCTGTTCTCATGCTGCTAATAAAGACATACTTGAGACTGGGTAATTTATAAAGGAAAGAGGGTTAACGGACTCACAGTTCCACATGGCTGGGAAGGCCTCACAATCATGGTGGAAGGCAAAGGAGAAGCAAAGGCATGTCTTACATGGCAGCAGGCAAGAGAGAATGTGTGCAGGGGAACTGCCCTTTATAGAACCATCAGATCCCATGAGACTTATTCACTACCATGAGAACAGCATAGGAAAGACCTGTTCCCATGATTTAATTACCTGCCACCAAGTCCCTCCCATGACTTGTGGGAATTATTGGAGCTACAATTCAAGATGAGATTTGGATGGGGACACAGCCAAACCATATTGCTACCAAATAGTACTTAAAATTCAATCACATATTTATGGCTTCCCTCTATTCTAGAGGTATGATCCACAAGGGGAAAAACTTTGTACCCCCACACACAGCACAGTGCCTGACATGGAGTAGGGCCTTGATGAGCATTTGTGGAATGAACAAATGAGGAAGCCTGACAAGGTAAGGGGGCCACCCAAATGCGTAAGACTTGGCCCCTGCAAGGACACTTCATCCATCTCAGTGGACACCAGCCACTGAGAATTAACACTCCCACATGCAAGGAAGAATGCGTGATACCCAACCCAAGTTTTTTCCTGCCTCTCAGGTCCACCCTCAGAATTGGTGGGCACAATTTAAAACATCGGTAACTCTTATTTAGTGCACATATGCATTGTTCCTGCTTCAGAGTTTGCTGGAGGCAAACACACACACACACACACCCCAGGCATAAAATAATTTAAGCAGAAGGCCCAAATAATCACCCCTCTCTTTTACCACCTCCTCTCTAAAGAATTTCAGTGGAAATTAGGGTTGTGTGTAAACTCTAGAGACTGCCTCTGTCTGAGCAAGAGCAGCCATTTGGGGAAGATCCAGAGTGGCGGAAAGAGGTCACAGCACCAACACACCAACAAGTTTGCACTGAGAAGCCCATTTTACACCTCAAATTTCTAACTTGCTGACAGAGGTGCCCAACACATGTAATTTGACCAGACTGCACTGGAAAGAGCAGTGGTAGCTAGTATTTATGGAGTGCTTACTGTATACGGAATAGTTTGCATTGATCATCTCGTTTCTTCTTCATGACATATCGTGAGGTGGGTACTAGTACTATTTTTCCTTTATAGATGAGGGTCTGAAGTTTAGAGAGATTTTGTGATGTGTCCAAGATTCAGCAGCTAGTTAGGCTCAAGACTAGGTATAAACACAGTTCCAAAGCCCAGATTCTGAGCACTCATCTGAGATTGTCTCTTCATGGATGCTTTGTGTATACTCGTCCATGAAACACATATAAGTAAATTAGAATAATCCCAGACGCAAATTTATAAGAGATTAGAAAAGTAAGAGTCTTGGTCAAAATGGAACCAAGCAATCAACATCCACTCCAGAAATGTGTATGGACCATTTTTTTTTTCTTTCTTTTTTTTTTTTTCATAAGAGACAGGGTCTTGCTCCATTACCCAGGCTGAAATGTGGTAGCATGATCACAGCTCACTGCAGCCACGAACTCCTAGACTCAAGTGATTCTCTTGCCTAAGCCCCCTGAGTAGCTGAGATTATAAGGTATGTGCCACCGTGCCCTGACTATATGGACCTTTTTTTTTGGTACCATGCATTGAGAGGTGTCAAAGAGCCACTGCTGAGTGAAAACCAGATAATCCATACACTTCTGGATCCCATTATGGAGTTCAGACATGACTGGGGAAAGCAGCCTTATATAAAACACTAATACTTATTAATTTGTGATAAGAGGAGATGCCTAAGGTATTAAAAGCACAAATACTAAAAGGGATTAACCTACGCTTAAGGACTGCCAAGTTTTGTTATTGTTCAGACACACTCAGAGTCAATTCTAGGACACATTTTTCTGGGTATTAGGGCACATTCTGGGTGCAGAATATTTTGCCTCTTAGATATTCTGAAACCTCTCTTTAGAACTTCTAAACAGTTCTATTTACTCCTATTATCTAAGAATATCAAATATATGTGCAGCCCAGCCAGATACATGCCAACACACAGCATCGGCAAGTAGCAATCAGGTAAATGTTAGATACGTGAGTGGTTGATAAATAAACATTTTATACGCTAAACAGCGATAAACTACAATAAATAAATGGGTTTAATATGGTTAGATACACAAAACTATTTCAGGGAGATAAACGGCAGTGGGCTAACGAACAACGAAGTACAGAGGGGGAACAAACAAACAAATTCTAGAAAGAAAGAGAAGAAAAAAGGAGAAAATTTCCCTCCAGGGATTTCTGAAAACATCAACAGCATCATTCTTACTGCGTTCTCAGTATATGTCAGGTCTGCTAATCTGTTGTAAGCTATATTCTCTACAGACAGATATAACACCAGAGAGCACATTAAGACCACCTATTTCTATTTCCCTGACACCTGACTTCTTCTGCAGTCCGCCTCCATGGCAAAGAGGGAATCTGAGGGCTTATCAAATATGCAATCTCACTGCAAGCCGTGGCTGATATTCTTAAACTTTGCATAAATCTGGAATTTGAAAATTATGGGTCCTGCCAAGTTAACTTGTGCCTTCCACCCTTGCCCTGTCCTTTTCTCAGGCCCCAAACCAAGGGTTACAAAGAATCCAATATCTTTGATGAAGACTATTAAAAAATAATAGGTTATTTTCAAGCTTGTTCATGTAATCTCAGTAGATGGGATTTATGTTACATCAAAAACGTATTTCCAGCTGGGTGTAGGGGCACACGCCTTTAATCTCAGCACTTTGGGAGGCTGAAATGGGCAGATGACTTGTGCTCAAGAATTCCTGGTCTGGAATTCCTGACCTGAGCAATGTGGTGAAACCCCATCTCTACAAAACATACAAAAATTAGCAAGGTGTGGTGGTGCACACCTGTAGCCCCTGCTACTCAGGATTGCTTGAGCCCAGGAGGTTGAGGCTGCAGTGAGCCATGATCATACCACTGCACTCCAGCCTGGGCAACAGAGTGAGACTCTGTCTCAAAAACAAACAAAAAACCAACAAAAAATGAATTTCTTATTAGGATTATCCCTAATCTGAATATGATTCTGAGAGTAATTGGAAGGAAGGATAGAAAAAGTAGAAGACAAGTGAAGGGGCAGAAGAGATATATGTCCTTCCAGTCAAAACTGAGGCATTAAAATGGACTTAAGGCAGTTCAGTTGCACAGGATTTCACTCTCAGAAGGGGCTCTGTGGTTGCTGGCTTGAAGAACTTCTTAATAATTTTATCTGTGAATTTGTGTTTTGTTAACTGAAGTCCAGTGGGACATAGGACATGAGCTAGGGGCTTGGAGCATGGGCTCCTGTGTGGTTCTGCTCTCCCTGCTCCCTAAGCAGGGCTCTCAGCTGGCCCCTCCCTGCCCTCTGGTGACCTGGGCCCTACCTGTCTTCCTCCCTTGTCCCTGTCTTGCTCCTATTACCTGGTTTTGCCTGGGTGGCAACTGGGTCATATAGGTGAGGGAAGGCCCATATTCTGCCATGGTTCTCAGTTCTTGATGAGGCCGGGACATGGGTGTGGAGACAGTCAGGGTTAGACACGTGCCCTCAGCATCTCAGGATGGGGCAAGGCGGTGGCAGCACCAAGGCATGGTAGGTGGGGCCTCTTGCCCATCCCTGACCCAGGTGGTGGGATGACCCCCAAGGATTGTAAGCTCTGCATCAGGTACCAGAGCGTGCAATCTCTGGGGGTCATCCCACAACCCTGAGTTAAGGTGGGGGCCTGAGGGAAGGAAACACTGACTTTCCTGGCTCGATCTGGGGTCTGCATTTCCATTTTGCACTGGGCCCCTCTAGTTGGCCTTGGGTTAGAGAAATAACATGAAAATATTTAGGGCTGTGAATGTCTTCCACTCCCTCTTGGAATCAACCCTGGTGGAGTCACTGAGGCTTTGCACCAATGTTCCAGGTCTCTTCTCTGCAGATGTGCTGGAATTACACTTTGATGTCCTCTCGAAGTTACGTGGGCCACCTGACTTGCTTTTCCATTCTGGGAGGAGATTTAAGAGCTGATTCATATCTTCTTTCTCTCTGTCATGGTAAGCACCATGTTTCAAAGGGTGGCTGCTTTATCAGTCTGGGCCCAGAATGAGAATGACAGGGATCAGAGCCCCTTTCATGACCAAGAAATAAACTTTTGTTATTTTATGCCGTAAAGATTTGGGAGTTTAGTGTAGCAAAACCTAGTCTACACTGATGGATATAATCTCAGTGATGAATTGTTCTTCTTGGCATGCTTTCTGGCAAATAATAGATGTTTAGTGTATATTCATTGACTGAATAAATAATCTTCTCCTGGCCACGTCTGAGAGCCTCATGTAGATATATTATGCAGATATTCTTCCTTGCTCAGTTGACCCTCTTGGACAATTTCCTTTTATATCAAATTATCATTTTGATTTCTGAACTTCTCTGATTGACCTTGCACTTCTTGAATCTTTATCTCCTGCCTGGGCTCCTCATTTTTCTTCCTCTTTCCCTGTGTTCTCCTTTTCACAGAGAACTTTTTGAAAACCACAGATAGATAGGTGACTTCTGAAACTGCCATTTAGATCCACCCTTCTATTCTACATGTCATCTCTTGCCTTCAACTGTACAGAACCTTTCTCTTTAGATGTCTGCTGGCATCTGACTCAGTATGCCCAAAATGGGACTCAGCTGCATCTTCCAGAACCATCAACAGTTCCCCAAGTCTCTGCCTCCATCTATATCTCGGTGGCACCGCCAACCCACAAGCTCTTTCTGTAGCTTTATTTTAGGTTTTGCATCTGCTTTATTTTATTTTATTTTATTTTAATGTTATCTGCCTCCCAACTTTTCTCTGCCATGGCTGTTGGATTCACTATGGTCTGAATTTCCACCCCTTACCACCATATTTCCAGTACTCTTTATCTCATATCCCAACTGCTCCAACAGACGTTGGCCTGCCTTCCTTGTTGATCACGTATCTTCTTAACATTTTTTTTTATTATGTAACTAGAGTCTTCTTATAGAGTAGTGGTGCCCAACTAGCATGCCTCCAAGTAGTAATGCATAACATAATTTATTTTTTTCCTTTTAGAATTCCAGATCTGAACACTCTCTCAGATGGAATGTTGAGTTCTGAAGGTTATGCTAAAGGGATAGAGAAGAAGGGCTGCAGCAAGTGTGAGCAGCAAGAGAGGGCCGGAGAAAGTCTGGGATTTATTGGAACATGTATGGGAATTTGGCTGTGGGCATGAGGGTCACGGTGGGCTGAAAAATAAAAATTTGGCTGTCCTTGTTTTGCGGAGCCATAACTTACCTAGGGCTAGCACAATAGGAATGACAACTTAAGCTGCCTAGAGGGGCGGGGCAGTGAACAGAATTAAGTGAAGATGGTTGTAAGAATTTGGAAATGCCCTGATTAAGACTGCTCTACTCATAGCTCCAGCTGGCCATGATCACACAGAAACACAAGCCTGGCATGCTGAAACGCCCTGATTTTTCAAAAGAAGCCAGAAATAGGAATTGTTAGGTGAAAAAATGGAAATGTAGAAACTAATTTTTTTAAAGTATTGTGAAGCTCCAACAGAACATTTCTGTGGACCAGGCCTTCTTGAAGGTTGCTATTTTGAGATCTCTGAGTGTAAAGAGGAGATGAGCTGAGCTGAGCTGAGCTGAGAACCCAGGACAGAGTCCTAGGGAGCCATGACATTTACTGGGTCATTGGAGGAAGAACAGAGCAAAAGCATCATCACAGAGCTTGGGAAGGAGCAGCACTCCAATTCTTACAAAGTAGGTCAGGAGAGATTATCTAGGACTACAAGCTTCTGTTTCTATCATAACCAGGAAAACAACAGCAGCCGCAACTACATCCACAACCAAAGAATGATTCTTTTAGAAAGGGAAATATCGATGAAACTCCATTGCAACACTGCAAATAAAACAAAGGGAGAATTAAAATTCTGTGCACAATATTGCAGTACTTTCTGGAGGGATGAGCTCAAAAGAGAAATCACAGGATGGGCCATGCAACTACGTCTTCAGGTCCAGCTAGGGTTGGCCAAAGCAAATTGAAAGAGATGGGAGTGAGTGGGAGAGGAGGAGCTCCAGGGAGAAAATGAGAAGGACTCTTCCAAAGAGGTTGGTAATGAAAGATAAGAGAGAGATAGGGTGGATTGAGAAAGAAGCATAGGTCTAGAGACAGGCGGAGAGACCGACAGACAGATGATAGGTGATTGAGACAGACACACCCTCCCATGAAATTATTACCTGAGAGTAGATGAGCACTTCCTGTGGGCCAATAATCTTCTAAGAGCTTTAGCTCTAACTCATTTAATCCTTGCAAAACCCTATAAAGTAGATACTATATTTAAGCTCATTTTAAAATGAGAAAACTGAAGTACGGAAGTGTATTTTTGTATTTCAGTTATTTGTCTATTTGTTGAAAAGAGAGATTTGAGAATGTTTGTATGGAGAGAGGAGAAGTCAGGAGAGGAGAAGTCAGGAGATGAGAGGGTGGGAATTCAAGAGGTCCATTTGGAATACCTCCAGCTGAAAAGAGATAATGAAAAAATCCCAAGAACTGTCCTGAGTTCTTGGAGGGTAGAGGGTGGAGGGGCAGAAGGGAGAGTTGTGTATTCTTCAGAAACTGCAGGGAAGGAAGAAAAAGAAATTAATGGTATGAAATTGTTGGCGAACCAGGGACACTGAAGGTAGAGACTCAGCAGCCTGTTTGCTTTTGTTTCTTAAATAAATCACATTGGATGTGGGGCTCTGTTACTCTTGAGGATGTGATACAGATTCTTGGTTGTGGGAAAACTCAAATTAATCATAAAACAGGTCTTGGATATTGAGGAGAGATTAATCATCTAGAAATAAACCAAGGATGGATTATTTCATCTCTTTGGGTTGTGCTCAAATATGCATCCAATCCTACTGGATATTGGAGCCATATGGAACCCTTTTTGGTACACCTGCTAATGGAGACTTCCCAAAAGGGATGCTCTGAAGTCACAGTCTGCACTCATGATATTCAGAAAGAATTCTCAGAACTTGTCGACTACCTGTGCTGCCCTTTGTGTTGAGGGTAACACGTACCGTCTTCCAGCTATAATTGTAAAAACCTAGTCCTCCTCCTCAGGGCGGCTTGTTTTTAAGAGTTGTGGAATGTGGAATACAAGCCTTTCATTTAAAAAAGAAAATGCCTCCATGTGCATAACTTACATTATCCAGAACATGACAGAAAGCACAGAGGAAAATAATTCTGTCTTACTCCCCTCATAAAAATGGCAGCATTTTCAAGCTCAGACTCTCTCTGGCTCTGTGTATGTGTAATGCCAAAGAGCCTCTCTACTTTTTGCTGCTTTATCCTAAAGTTGTGGTTCTCAACAGGAGTAAGAGTAAACATGAGTGGTTGGGATGCATTTAAAAATTCAGATTCTCAGGTCTCATCACCAGAATTTCTAATTTGGTAAGTCTAAACTGAAGCCTAGAAATCTACATTTTAATCAAGCTCCCCATGGGGAAGAGAGATTATGTTTAGAAAAATTAAAAACAAAACAAAACATTGTTCCACAAGTTCTGACAAATAACAAATCTTACCCTGAATTGTTCTGGTAAGAAGTGCAGGACCTGCCTTTAAGAAATTAGAGGGTGCAAAAGATCATCTCTTTCTTAACTGAAGGACTTGGGGAGCCAGAAAGAAAGAGGAGTTTCTGAAAGAGGCTCTCCTTTCATTAAATTAGAAGAATTCAAATCAACAAATATTCCACAGGGGCCCCCTACACTCTCCCTACTCTATTAATACTTCTGCACATGGAACAGACATGAAGATACGGTCTCCCACCCATGACCTGTTGGGAAGATACGTGCGGCACCCACGTGTATGCACACACATGGGAATGAACTATAATTATGACAACTACTCTCCACAGGTTTTCAGGCTGCTCATATTTCAGACCTCTGGACCCTTGTCCTAGATGCTATTACACACCATGTCCTGATTTTGGCTCAGAAAATGTAGTCAATGAAAATATGCTACAAGAAAACTGAGATGGATGTTCAAACCTCTCCCATAGAGAAGGCTTCAGGTTAGGAGGTGCTGCTTATGGCAAACAGAGGCGAGGTGGTGCTGCTTTTGTTACGTGACAGATGCTTTTTTCACAAATTCTCACACTAGCCCTCTGAGGCCCTCATGGACTCCACTATGATATCTGTTTTATAGATGAGGAAACTGAGGCACAGAGAAGTTGCAGTAACTTGCCAATCACATGGCTGGCAGGTTGAGGAGGAGAAATTAAGCTCAGGATAGCTCCAGAGTTTATGTTCTCAACCATGATGATAGACTTGAAGCCTTCTGCCAAAGAACCCACTGGGCTATGGCTTGAAGGGAGAGGGAATTTTGGCAGATGCAGGGCTGTGGGAGAAGGTCAAGTCATCTGCATGTCCATATTCTAGGGCCTGTTCTGGGCACCAGGACCCTACAGTGAACTGGGCCTAAAAGGAAACAGCAACGGGAAAGATACAGGCAGAGGGCTTGCTCCTGGAGCATTTTAGAAAGTGTGAGAAGGGCCAGGCGCGGTGGCTCACGCCTGTAATCCCAGGACTTTGGGAGGCCGAGGTGGGCGGATCACTTGAGGTCAGGAGTTCAAGATCACCCCGGCCAATAAGGTGAAACTCCGTCTCTACTAAAAATACAAAAATTAGCTGGGCGTGGTGGTGCATGCCTGTAGTCCCAGCTACTTGGGAGGCTGAGGCTGGAGAATCGCTTGAACCTGGGAGGTGGAGGTTGCATTGAGCCAAGATAGTGCCACTGCACCCTAGCCTGGGCCACAGAGGGACTCTGTGTCAAAAAAAAAACAAAAAAAAATGCCCTGCGTGGTGGCTCACGCCTGTAATCCCAGCACTTTGGGAGGCCGGCGGATCATGAGGTCAGGAGATGGAGACCCTCCTGGCTAACATGGTGAAACCCCATCTCTACTAAAAATACAAAAAATTAGCTGGGCATGGTGGCGGGCGCCTGTAGTCCCAGCTACTCAGGAGGCTGAGGCAGGAGAATGGCGTGAACCTGGGAGGTGGAGCTTGAAGTGAGCCAAGATCGTGCCACTGCACTCCAGCTTGGGAGACAGAGCAAGACTCCGTCTCAAAAAAAAAAAAAAAAAAAAAAAAAAAAAAAGAAAGTGTGAGAAGGCCCTAGAGGAAATAATTTATGGTAAGTGACATAAGCCAGGCTCAGAGAGACAAATACAGTATGACCTCACTTATATGTGAAATCTAAAAAAAGTAAAAGCGAGTAAAAAGGTGGTTATAAGAGGCTGGAGCGTGGGAGGATCAGGGAGACCTCAGTCAATGGGTACAAAATTACAGTTAGATAGGAGAAAAAAGTTCTGGTGTTCTATTGCACAGGAAGATGACTGCAATTAATAATAATATGTTTTATATTTCAGAATAGCCAATAGAAGATTTGAAAGGTTCTCCTCCCACAATATTAAAGATTTGAGATGATGGATATGCTAAACACTTGTATTTGATAATTCCACAATGTATACATGTATCAAAGCGTCACATCGTACCCCATAAATATGTACAATTATTATTTGCCAATTAAAAATAAAATAAGGCTGGGTGCGGTGGCTCATGCCTGGAATGCCAGCACTTTGGGATGCTGAGGTGGGCAGATTGTTTGAGCCCAGGATCGTTCGAGACCAGCCCGTGCAACATGGCAAAACCCTAGCTCTACAAAAAATATAAAAATTAGCTGAGCATGGTGGGGTGTGCCTGCAGTCCCAGCTACTCAGGAGGCTGAGGTGGGAGAATGGCTTGAGCCCAGGAGGTTGAAGCTATAGTGGGGTGTGATTGCACCACTGCACTCCAGCCTGGGCCACCCTGTAAGTCCCTGTTTCAAAAAATTAATAAATAAAAATAAAAATAAAATAAAATATAACTTAAAAAAAGAGAGAGAACTCTATGGGATTGGTATCAGTGAATGATAAGTGGAGGTTAAAGGAGATGAGATCAAGGCCTTTGGGCATTCAGAAAAGATTAAACTTTTCTGAAGGCGCCAAGTTATCTTTAAAGTCATTGTTGTCAACAGGGGGAGATTTTACCGCTCAAGAGACATTTGGCAATATCTGAAAGCAGTTTAATTATCACCACTATTAAAGGGGCTGCTACCAGCATCCACTGGGGAGAGGCCTG
Organism: Homo sapiens; assembly: GCF_000001405.40. Lineage (NCBI taxonomy): Eukaryota > Metazoa > Chordata > Mammalia > Primates > Hominidae > Homo > Homo sapiens. The sequence goes on along the minus strand of NC_000020.11, from coordinate 53,105,369 downwards.
GGATGCCGCTAAACATTCTACAATCACAGGACAGCCCCTCTCAGAAGAATCATCTAGCTCCTAATGTCAGCAGTGCCAAGGTAAAGGAAGTGGAGAAATCTTGCTTTAAAGATTTTTGAGCAAGAAATGATAAAGTCAGGGGTAAACTGAAAAAGGCATTGCAAATTTCACGTGGCCACGAAATGAGTTCCGGGTCTGGGGCATCTTGGCTCTGAAGACAGACTCTCGTGTTCCTTAGTTCTCAAGCATGGCTTCCTTAGCTAGCTCTCTTGGGAGTGACTCTCTTTTGACTACTGCATCTAGGAATGCAGAAATCTCTAACCAAATGTGACTTCGTCCTTTGGCATTAGGATATTATTATGCTGCTGGTACTAATAATTAACCTCCATTTAATAGGAAGCCTTATCTGGAGAAGAGCCTCAGCTCCTTTCTCCTAGAAGAAAACTCTCCCGGGAAAGGTGGGCGCCATCTTCACCTTCTCCTCAAACATGCACAGAAACATGAATAGGATGGGGCAACGGTAATTGCTTCGATGCCTTGCATATTTATGTTTGAGACCTTCGTAAGAACTGTTACTTTAAAACAGAAGGATCGGTTCATCTTTAAGAGGGGGTGATTGATCACTGCCAGGCGGGCATTCCTTCATTCTTGGTTTTCTCTTAGCCTCCGTAATAAGTTCTTCACGAACACCAGTTTGCTATTAAAGAATGGTATTCATCATAAGCCAAGCATAGAGGAGGCAGAATTTGATGGGCACAGTACCATATTCCCAACCACAGTGTCCTTTTTCTTCAGTCGGATCTGTCACATCATTAACATTTAAGGAAAAAACACACAAAGACTTTGGTAAATATTAATCAGAAATGCACAGTCCCTTTCCCTACTCAATTACCCATTACTGTGCTCTCCAGGTGATAATATCCTGCTAAACCTCCTATTTGCTTAAAATGCAAGTGAAAAGTACTTTCTCTGGATTGCTCCTAGTGCTCTTAAGCAGCCTAAATGGCCTCTAACAGTGGGGAAACTTTCTTCCTCTCTTTCGCCACTCCTCCTTTATTCAGCATTCTTTCAGGTCTTCCGGTGTCTGTGGGTGAGTCCAACCCTCCCACCTTCCCCCCACCCCCCAGTCTGCCTGCTTTCTTGATAGGTTATGACTTTTGCTGATGTATTCAGGTGACTTGAGGCATGCAGAATTCACAGCACGCGTGCCCAGTGGTCAATGTCCCCAGCAGCCAGCAGATCATGGCACCTCTGCAGAGCGCGATGTCTTAGAACTCAGATGTCCATTTCCTCCCACTTCAGATCTCATCAGACCATGCAAATTGCCAGCAACCTTTCCACACTGGCTGAAGCGGGTCTAAGTCATGATCTCTCTTATTATCACTGAAGTCATTAAAAGTCCATCAGATCAATTGGGCTCTGACATAACATTAAAAATGTTCTTGGGTGAAATCTATTTCTCCACTTCTATAACTGGTATAAGTTCAAAGAGCTCATAATGAAATCTTGTCCCACCTGCGGCAGCTCCTCAAGTTAACAATGAATATTAAAATCCAGGTGTGGCAAGAGCCAGATTCATCATGGAGCATCAAAATCTGCACCTGAAAGGCCATGATACTGAGAGCCACCAGCTTCGTATAAACAGCAAATATGCCCTGTAACTGAAATGGTGAGGGGCAAGTCACACTTCCCAGATGTCAGGTCAACCTACCTGTGGGCCTGAAATTATAGTGGCAGAATGGAGAAGTGAGATGATTTTTCTCTGTTATTAAAAATGTTGGTAACTGAAGTTATTCTATACTTCCATTCCTGTTTCAAAACCAAGCTGAAGCACTCTCTCTGCTTTCCCTACAAATTAGACAAAATATTTCCCCCCAAACAATTTCTTCTAGTTTTGGAATGACATTTTGTCTTTCCTAAATAAAAGCAATCAATGCACACATATGTATTAGGTAGTTGGCTTATTTTAATTTTGTGAAATTAGACTCTCCTTTAAACATACCATCAGAGGTTGTTTGTCTAAGAAACCCCTGGGGACTTTGCTGTCTGCTGAGCATTTGAGAAATAAAGAGAGAAGTAGAACCAAAAGATACCCATTTTTGCTCGGATACAGGAAAATGAAACCAACAAAAGATTATGTTTTTTCAATATACTTGGGAGGTATAATTCTTGCATATTAGCTTTTATGTTACTTCTTTCTACCCCTGAATATGAGAAACTGTTCCTTCTACACCAGGGCTTTAGAACTTTTTTTCTTTGTAATTGACCTATAGTAAAAAACACATTTGATATTGTGACCCAGTACACGTGCGCTCATATGTTATAAAGAAACAGTCAATTAAACAATTTTACTTCCCTTGCTACATGCAAGGTACTCAAATGTATTCTAATCTATCCTAGTGGGTGCAGCGCACCAGCATGGCACATGTATACATATGTAACTAACCTGCACAATGGGCACATGTACCCTAAAACTTAAAGTATAATAAAAAAAAAAAAGAAAGATGCTGGTCATAATCCACAAAATTCATTGTACTAATGGGCCTTGATCCACAATTTGAAAAACAATGCCCTCTCCTAAACTACATGAGCTGCTCAACTCAAAATCCAAGTCATATTCTTCCGTTCTACCATAATAACTTTTTTACATATTAAATATTAAACAAGATGGGGGGAGGTTGATTATGAAGTATTTGTGTTATAGCAGGATTTAGAATCACTATTGTAGAACCCAAAACATATTTTCAGCTGAGATGTTATGGACACCGTTTGAGTTTTGCAAAGGTTGTTTCTACTCTCCGTAAATTGCACCCTTCACTCTTTACGGTCTTATTAAGAGTATTCCTTTTTCCTCCCCTCCCCTCTTCTTCCTTCCTCTCCCCTCCTCTCCCCTCTTCTTCCCTCCCCTCTCCTCTCTTCCCCCACCTCCTCTCCTTTTCTTTCCCTTTCCTTTCTTTCTTTTCTTTTTTTTTCGTTAAACTCAAACTGGGTCTATGTGACAAAAAGTGAAAAATAGAGTTAATTGTCTGAATGTTTTCAAATATACAGATGCTCTAGCACTGTGTAGACACAGTGACCCTGTACCTGCCCCAGGCACTTTTTTCCTGCAGATGTTCTGGCATGTGCAGAGAAGGCCTCAGGTTGGGGGAAATCTGATGATGTTTCTTGAGCTAAAGTTGCGTACATATTGTCCATTATTTATCCAATACAGGAAATCAGTTTCCATCAAAATACAATTCTAGAGGGAAATTTCTCATTGCCTGGAAAGTTAGGTGCTGGAAATTTGCCATAACACCATTAAGTATTGAATAGAATTTGAAATAATGTAGGTTCTTCTTGGAAGTCAGCCAAGAGACTTATTTATTGTTACCAAATTAAAAAAAAGTCCTCATAGGGATATTCCAACAATGAGGACAAATTTCAAAAGACGCTCCCCAAAAAAGTGATTTTAAAGTTGGAAATAAAATGTGATAACTTCAAAATAGTAATCAATATTTACACATCTGGTTCATACATGTGACTTCTACTTTTTTTCATATAAGATGAAATGCTCACTTTAACCCCATCACCAATACGACCTCTACAGGAAAACTATTTGAACCTTCATGTTGCCAAAATAAATTGATGATGAACTTTTCAGCTCAATTCTTGTTTCAAATTTCAAAGTATATTAGCAAAGAACCACAAAAGGTGATTACAATGTGACTCAATAGAATATAATAAAAAAGAGGAAGAAAGCCAATTGAGATGTGCTAGAGAACCCAGGAGGAGTGGGGGCTGTGGTTTCTACAAACTGTCGGAAAGTTCTGAAATCAAGAATGGTTGGATTAAACAGATGCCTTCATTGTATTTATTCTTTAAACTTAAGAATACAGACATTTTAAAATGCAGAACATTTTCCTGGCTTCTACCAAGAACGACGGTGGGATATTAAAAGTTGCTACAATGATTGGTTTTCCCTGAGATTTGCAACGCAATAAGGAATAAATTGACGTAAGTGATAGGAACTATCACTCCCCCCTCCTTTTTCATTATTAATGACCAAATATTATTAAATCAATAATTTTGGTGACGATCTGAACAGGTTATTAAATATCATGTATTATTAACCTAAAAGTTGATCAGAGCTATGAAAATAATTCAAGTTAATGGGAATCTTTGGATTTCTAATGAAATATCCAGTCATTGACAAAACATCTCTTTTAGGATTTTTGGAACATGAAAAAGCAGAGACCACAGATGTCCTTAGAACGGCATTCCTTGCTGGATTACAGGAAATTAAAAAACCAGATATCCATGATCAAAATAATAGGAGATTAAACAGACCAGGTAAAAGGTACTAATGACTACAGAGAATTCATTTTCTCCCACCCCTACCCCTGCTTTGCATCTCTCCCCCACCTGCCCCACTATTAAGATTGGACCAATTGTTTCAGAAACCTCAAAAAACTGGGAAACAGCCATGGATTTGTCAATGCTGGGTGTGCCTCTGGCGAGGGGAGTTGGGCATAAAGCAATTAGTTGGTGGCTCTTGGCCAGTAGCACTTTCTGTTCCAATTACTTTGCCTTAAGCGAGGAGTGTGTGGAAGAGTATTTTGTCCAGAGGTTGTTCAATAAAAGGCAGTGGAATGTGATTTAATTTAGAAGGGACAAAGAGGCAGGAGAGAAGGGTTGGGGGTGGGACCACAGCAGGCAAAAAGGTTTGATGGGCTTTGACCCTTTTGTGAAATCATAGTTACCATCCTTGGGAACGTTGACACAAACAGAGCTGTCAGAGAAACTGACAGCAAACAGATGCCCCCTCACTCTCTCTCTCTGCATACCTTCACTGCAGGCTTCCTGCTAAAACAGGAGCTTGCCAAAAAGCATTATCCTGTGGTAGAATTTCCCAACATTAAAGTGACTCCATTATTGAAAAGTTTAATAATATGCACTTTATTTTTTAACCATTTGATGCAACTTGAGCTCTGAATATTAATGGGGGAAAGAAAGCCACAGCCAACGAGGGGTTTAGACTTTTGCAAAACCAGACAGGTGGGTTAGGACCTGGGCAATGACCTGGAAAACGGGAAGGCAAAGGAACTTCCCTTGTTAGAAATGAAGGGGCAAAGTGAGGTTGAGGCCGTTTGCAAATAGGTTAAGAAAGCAGGCACAGAATCAGAGTCCACGAGTGCAAATCAAGGCTCCATCTTTTACTCTCTGTGGGATCTCAAGCAAGTTAACTAATCTCAGTGAGTCTCCAGGATTAATGATAACATGCATCCAGTGGTGGTTTGGGGTCAAATCTTAGCCACTGAATCACCACCAACAGCCAGTATTCAGCAGTGGCCTCAGCCCAGCCCCTGGCACTGAGTACTTGCTTATTCACTTGGCAAAAAGTGGATTCCTTCCATTCCCCCTTCACTGCTGCTGCAGACAGATCCCCATTATCATGATAGGACCAGGTTAGTGTGTAGAGGAGAAGTAATAACAATAAATAAGTGATATGGTTTGGCTGTGTCCCCACCCAAATCTCCTCTTGAATTGTAGCTCCCATAATTCCCATGTGTTGTGGGAGGGACTTTGTCAGAGACAATTGAATCATGGGGGCAGTTTCCCCCATACTCTTGTCGTAGTAGTGAATAGGTCTCACAAGATCAGATGTTTTTATAAGGGGTTTCCTCTTTCACTTGGCTCTCATTCTTTCTTGCCGGCTGCCATGTAAGACATGCCTTTCGCCTTCCGCCATGATTGTGAGGCCTCCCTGGCCAAGTGGAACTATGAGTCCATTAAACCTCTTTTTCTTTATAAATTACCCAGTCTTGGGTTTGTCTTTATCAGCAGCGTGAAAACAGACTAATACAATAAGTAAACAAAAATGTGCATGATATGTTCAGGCAGTAAGAAGTATTGTGAAGAAACAGGTTGTAGCAAATGATCAGAGAGGGACCATTTTTATTTCAGATGTGAGAGATTGTGGAGGCTTTCTGCAAGAAGTCGAGTCTAAGCTGGACCTTGTAGACTACTCTAAGACAAGAGAATGGCAACAGGGAAGGCCCTCTACAAGCACTAGATGATAATAATAATAGGGTTTATGACTTTTACTATTAAATTGAGAATTGGGACATTCCAGATAAGCTTCTGTGAAGAACTTGCCTTTGAGGAATGCAGCTGCATCCTTCACACCTGACCCTCGCTCAAAGGACCTGCACCTGTTTGGGTCTTCTTTCTTCCTTGCTGGTGCCTAGTCAATAGAAGATCATTCCATTACCTCTTAGGCTGAGCTGGGAGGTGGTGGGGGAGGTCACCATTCATTCACTATGGAGACTAGAATTATATGTAGGACCACAAGATGGCATCAAAGGTGGTCCAAGCACCTAGGCAAAGACTCATTGGCAATGGAATCACGCTAAGACTTAACCATATGAAAATATGCTAAGAGAGGGAATTGTAACCATCCAAAGATACAGAAGGATACAGAAAACCACAACCCTGGCCTTAAGACTGCATTCCTCATCCATGTAGCCCATGTTCTTATGTTATAGGATAAACTAAATAAATCAAGGGACTCTTGGGATAGATCAGGAATAAGTCTGCAATAAATTCCATTAAACTTACTTGTCAGTGCCTTGCCTGGAAACTTCACTTCTTTTTGAAAATTAAAAAGTATTATTGAATGCTGTGGAGATGTGGCAGGAACTGAGAGGGAAATTCCCCCCTGAATTTCTAGCTAATTTTTGAGAAAGTTAAATAATTGGAGACAGTTCATTTTTTTGTGATAATTCATCACACAGTGGATTCAAATGGGACCAAAAAAATTCTACACATTAAACATTTGCAGTATTATTAACTAGAAAACAGTATGCAATTGCTCATTTAGGTCTCTTTAGTTGTTGACTTACTAATTGCTAGGACAGTACACAAAGTAAGCACTAAATAAAAATGAGTTGAATAATGAATAAAGAATGAACAAAATGGCTGTGAATCTCGTACATCTGTTACATATGGTAACTATAATTTTTTGACTGTTTCCTTTGTGCTAAATGTTTTACAAAGATTATCTAATTTACTACCCCAGACATAGACATTGTTTTTATCTCAAGATGAATAAACTAAGCATTATGCATTATTATCGCTGAGGCTGGGCAATATTCAACAGTCAACCAGTATTTATTGAGTACCAGTGATGTGCCAGCCACACATAGCTGCTAAGTAGCCATTGAAGTTTGTCTGGCTCCAAATGCTATGCTCGTAACCACAATATTCTGCTGATTTTGAATGGAGAATGGTGGGAGCCGAGTTTACCAGACTCCAAATCAGACTTAGCTTCTCACTGATCACAAGAAACCTCAGTGTCAGGCAAACATAGGAAAACTAAAGGTCCTCATTGTACACATCCACATCATCAGCAATACCATATTTCTGCATATCCATTCTTGTGTATCTAAAACGCCACACTATTCATGGTCTGGCCTATGGCTTTCATTAAATCTAATGGACCTTGAGAGCATGTTGGAGGTTCTAGCAGGGGAGCATAGCTACTCGAATACCCTTGACCAAAGACCTGTCCTGCTCTATAGGGGATGGTCATCCTCTTCAGCTGAGCTTGCAGCTTCGGGAGGGACACACATGGAGTGGTGAAGGAGGAAGGGGACACCCGCCTAGCCAGCCAGATCAGCCAAATCAACCCTGGCAATCAATGGGGTGACAGATGTCACAGCCAGATCGTCCTCACATCTGGTTTTCATTAAATCTAACAAGCATTTTCATTAGAACATGCAGGCCAAGGTTTGGAGCAATGATTTTCCATCTGGTTGCCAAATATTAAGACACATTTTAAGTAACTAACTGGATTTGCTGCATGGATCCCCTGGGCCAGATTGAAACTGGAAATAGAACAAGTGTGATCTAGGAGTCTTGAGACAGCATTTCTGAGACATAAAGGCCAAAGGAGATGGGAATGCTTTCCCCATCTCTGCATCAGGAAATCAGAGTTGCTAATAACAGTCATCTGGGTATTATATCTGGCCTTGATACCTCAAACATTTTCTTAAGCAGGTTGGGAAGTACCTTCTTATTTTTATTGGGAAAATCATGGGACCAGCTCTGGGGAATAAAACATAGCAAGAGAATTATTACTGTGCCAGATGGTCATTCTGTCCCCTGAGTGGGTTTAACTCAATGGTTCTCAATCAGAGGCAGTTTTGTTCCCACCCTGTCCCTCATCCCATCCCCCTCCTTGTCCCAGGGGATGTTTGGCAATATCTGGAGACATTTTTGATTGACACAACTGAGAGTTCTACTGACATCTACAGTGCGGATGTTGGGGATGCTACACATCCTACCACACACAGGACAGTCCTCTGCAATAGAGAATTGTCTGCCCCCAAATGATGTCAATACCATTGAGCTTGACAAAACTTGTTTTTTGTTGTTTTTTTTTGTTTTTTGTTTTTTGTTTTTGTTTTGTTTTTTGTTTTTTTTGGTTTTTGGGTTTTTTTGTTTGTTTTAATGGAGTTTCACTCTTATCTCCCAGGCTGGAGTGCAGTGGCAGGATCTCACCTCACTGCTACCTCTGCCTCCCGATTTCAAGCGATTCTCCTGCCTCAGCCTCCTGAGCAGCTGGGATTACAGGTGCCCACAACCACGCCCAGCTAAGTTTTGTATTTTTAGTAGAGACGAGTTTCACCATGTTGGCCAGGCTAGTGTTGGACTCCTTACCTCAGGTGATCCACCCCCCTCGGCCTCCCAAAGTGCTAGGATTACAGGAGTGAGCCACCGCGCCTGGCCGAGAAAACCTGGTTTAAATGATGATGATGATGCTTATGATAATGACATACAAAATTAGAGCTCATATTTATTGAGTGATCATCTCACGCCTGCCCCTTTGCTAAATAGTTGTCATTTATAATCACTGAAATCTCACACCTGTACTAAAAAACAATACAGGCCGGGCATGGTGGCTCGCGCCTGTAATCCCAGCACTTTGGGAGGCTTAGGCGAGTGGATCACTTGAGCTCAGGAGTTCGAGACCAGCTTGGCCGACATGGTGAAACCCCGTCTCTACTAATAATACAAAAAATTAGCCAGGCGTGGTGGTGCACGCCTGTAGTCTCAGCTATTTGGGAGGCTGAAACAAGAGAATCACTTGAATCCAAGAGGCAGAGGTTGCAGTGAGCCGAGATTGCAGCACTGCACTCCAGCCTGTGCAACAGAGTGAGACTCTGTCTCTAAAAACAAACAAACAAACAGACAAACAAAAAACACAGAGGTGTTAGTGTTAACAGGAGGGAGACCTAGAACTTCCTGACCCTAGGATCCTTAAACCCTAGACTACAATTGCTTCTGCTGATAGGATTGGCTGGGCCCTTTGGGGTTCTGACAACCTTCCCCAGGTTCATTGGAGAAAGAGAGTAAAATGAAGGCTTCAAACCCAATGCTGAAATGTTGTCAAGCCCAGCCCTAGGAGTGGCTCTTTCCCCCTTTAGTATTATTTCCCTGGTGAATTGTGAGGTGATAATCCTCTGCTCCCCACTTTCCACTTGTAACAGTAGGCAGTGGTTCTCAACTGGGGGCCGTTTTGGCTCCCAGAGGACATTTTTGGTAGTCAGAACTGGGGTGGGGGGTAAGAAGGAGATGCCACTGGCATCACAGGGGTAGAGGCCAGGGATGTTGCTAAAGATTTTACAGTTCACGAGACAGCCCCATAACGAAGAATTATCTGGCCCTAAATGTCAAGAGTGCTTAGGTTGAAAATCCTGCAGTAGAAGGTGAAATGGAAAATCAAGCCTTGGGGAGCAAGCTGGCTTTTTATGTAACAGAAATTTATTATTGTTGCTGCTGTTGTTGTTCCCTGCCACCTATTCATGCTGCTTCTAATAATATCTTATCATCTTGCTTTGAGATCCCCATTTAGAGTCCATGTGATTCTCAGGGGGCTGGCTAGCTCCATCCCCAGCTCCAGCTGTCGCATGTCCTAAATGTGACTTATCAGCACATCCCATTTCTCTTGGTTGAGCCTGGCACAAGCACACCCAATTTGATATCATGAGATATTGCCTAGAACTTCTGAGACAGAGGCCAGCTCTGTGACGGTGGACTTACTCTTGAGAGATATAAAGCTGAGGCTGCTAGAGCCACCTGGTTACCACGAGGAGAGAGACTGCCTCAGGATAGAGCCAACATAGCAAAAGTGACCCAGAGAAATATATAGAGAGAAACCAAACCTTTGTGATGTAATTTAATGGCTTGAACCAGCAGTACCTGAAGCCAGCTTGTCCTAGACTTTTGAGTTGCGTGAGCCAGCAAATTGCCTGATTGTCTGAGCCATTTTGCGTTGGGTTTTCTGCCTGCTGTAATTGGAAGAGGCTTACCTTATACACCTTTCACTTTGAGGTCATAACTTTCATTACCTGAAATGATTTTCATTGAAAAACAAAAATAAGAAGGCATCTGCAAATTTCTCTGCATTATTTACAGGAGATTTCATAATGCAACAGGTAAATCTGGGGAAACTTCTGGGAGGCAGAATTTTCTTTACAAAGGGCCATCTAACAGAACAGCCACTGGCTATTCATAATATGAGAAAAATCCATCAGTCCTGATTTCTGGAAGCACAGGTACAGAGAGCCATAGGTTTCATCTATCTTGTGAAGAGTCTAGGTGTTCTGGGGGCATAGTAGCATTTTTGACACCTGTTATAATGACATCCATGATGCAGATGTTCACATCAGACTCTCAGCACGCTGTGTGGAAGGTTAGCAAGAGTACGCCAGGCAGATGTACTGCACCGTGGGGAGAAAGGCCCATGAGTTTACCATTGGGTAAATTTGAAAATCGCACTTCCCAAAATGAAGTAGTCACTAAAGGATCTCTGGAGGGGAAAATGTTCTAACTTGCACCGAGTCAGGGACCCACATATTGGACTTTCACCCAGGTGTAGAATGTCACTGATGAAGTTTAAAGACTACTGTGGCTCTGGTTCCCAAAGTGTGGCTCATATACCAGAGATGGCAGACAAGATGTTTTTAGTGGGCCCTTAAGTAAATCATTTTTTAAAATCATAATAGTTACAAGATTGTTTTTAATGAAAATGAAAACAAAAACATAACTAGCGTATCAAACATGGGATTTGGTGGTTTTTATGACTTAGTACAGTAGTTGGCAAATGTTTTCTGTAAAGAATCAGGCAGTAAATATTTCCTGATTTGCAGGCCAGACAGTCTCTACTCAACTATCTAACTTTGCCACTATAGGGTGAAAGCATCTGCAGACGATACAGTAATAAATGGGCATGGCTGTATTCCAATAAAACTTTACTTACAAAAAAAGGCGGAGGGCCAAATTTGGCCCTGAGGCTGTAGTTTGTCAATCCCTGGTTTATTTAAAAAAAAAAAAAAAAACTAAGTCAAAAAAGGGAGTAAAAAATTGTAAATATTTGTAACAAAAGTGGTACCTAGATAAGGTAAAAATCATGAAGTAGTTTGAAGACGGTTGAAGTCTGATGAAACCCGGCTGAGGTCCTATGCTTTCAGATTTATTCATGATGATAATGATTATCATCATAAATCATTAAATCACTTATTTTTAGCATGTGTTTATTGAGTGTCTATTATGTGCCAGAACACTGTACAAAGCACTGTGATTTCAACTGTGAATAAGACAGGCACGGTTCTTGATGAATTTTGCTGAGAGTTATGAGAAAATAGTTATGGTAAGAGAATGATAAAGACTTCTCTGAGGAAGTAACATCTAAGCAAACACATAATGAATGAGAAGACACCAGCCATTAGAAAAGCCAAAGAAAGAACATTCTGGAAAAGAAAGTGGCATGTAAATGTCCCAAGGCACAAAAGAGCTCCATGCACTGCTTCAGTATGGCTGGAGCCCACCCAGCGAGAGTGAAGGAGAGCAGCACCACCATGTTGGAAAAGGAAGCATGAGCTAGATCAGGCCATAGTGAAAGGCGTGGGAAACCACGGAAAGGCTTTAAGCAGAAAAGACACTTGGGTCAATTTCCATGTTAAGGTTACTCTTCCTTCCCTATGGGCAACAGACTGGAGGGGGAAGAGTGGAGCAGGGCTTCCAACCCAGCAGCCACGGCAACACAGCAGCCACAGTAGCATCTAACATTGGATGTGTGCTTACTGGGTCAGGTCTGTGTTCATCACTGAGCATTCCTCGTTAGATTCTCCCAATAACCCATCAGAGGGGTTGTATAATTGGTCCCATTTTACTTAAGTAGAAACTGATGAGCTGAGAAATGCTTTCAGATGGCCAGGCACCCACAGCTGGTAAGTATCAGAGCCAGGATGTGGCTCAGGTCTGTATATTTCTAAGAGTCAAATGCATCTCTTCTGTGCTCCCTAGCACAGGGCAAACTACAGTCCCAGGGCCATATCCGGCTCACCGCTTGTTTTGTAAATAAGATTTATTGGGAAACAATCCTGGCCATTTGTTTACCTAGTCTATAGCTGCTTTCCAGCTGAGTAGGTACTGCAGAGACTATATGACCTGCAAAGCTGAACATATATATCCACTGCCCTTTTACAGAAAAAGTTTGCCAATCCGTGGTCTATGCTACTCTTTCTAGCCAGCAGAATGTCCAAAACAAACGTGATGCAACAAAGATACTTTACCATGAGTGCCACTGTCCCAGAATGTTATTTTTACAACTGCTTCTTAGATCCTTTCCCACTCCGTTCTCATGTAGTATTTTATCTTAAGACTTCAAAATAATTTTTCAAAAGATGCAGCAATATACAAATTACAACTGGGAGAGAAATGTTTCCAAGAAGGGTTTCAGAAGAAACTAAAGACATAGCATGTGACAATGAGCAGCATACCAGGGAATATTGTTTCCTTTTCCCATGGCTAACATTTATCCCACAAGTAATGCCGTGTTTGTTAGGTGGTCTTGAGGGAAAAATATACTAGCAACCCACACAGCTTCTTTGTCAAACAGAACACAGTCAACGGGTAATATGAGAAGACTCAAGTTGACTGATAAAACATCATCTGGTGGCTAGTGTTAAGACGGAGAATGAATCCTGGCATTGAATTCTGGCTGAAGCTTCAGTCGACACTTGACTCAGTTTACACATTAAAAAAGGGATGTGACAACACAGAATGGTAACTAGGTTGGTTTCCAATTCTACTAAGGTCTCTCGTATAGGGCTATAAAGTATAGGATTGGAACTGATGTCAATTCTAATTGATGGGAGCGGTCACACAAGGAAACGATATTGTGAGTGTGATGCTTGCTGTCACATGCTGTGTCAGTAGTTTCTTCCAAAACCCTCCTCTGGGAAACAAACAAAAGCATCGGTTTTGTTGTTATATTTTTGAGACAGGGCCTTGCTTTGTCACCCAGGTTGTAATACAGTGGTGCAATCATGGCTCACTGCAACCTTGAACTCCTGGGCTCCAGCAATCCACCCTTGTCAGCCTCTCTAGTAGCTGGTACAACAGGCGGGTACCACCATGTCTAGCTAATTTATTTTTATTTTTAGTAGAGACAGGCTCTTGTTATGTTGCCCAGGCTAGTCTTGAACTTCTGGGTTCTAGTGATCCTCCAATCTCTCTGCCTCCCAAAGTACTGGGATTACAGGCGTGAGCCACTGAGGCTGACCAGAAGCACGGGTTTTTAGCACACTCTCTGAATTTCTGAAGTACACTATAATGGAGTGCTTTCTCTACATTAAGTATAAATGCTGCATTGGCATCAACAGTGCCTCATTTCCTTTTGGACAGGAAGTCGTGATACTTTTGCATCTTCAAAAATCTAAGGTAAGGGAATAAATGGATCTACCAAGAAATAGTATGGCTTTGCATATAAAATACAATCATATTGCAAATTTTAATGAGCAAAATCAGAATATAAATGAAGGATTTAAGTAGTAGGTAAATCTTACAAATTATTTAAGCTATATTTTCAGCAAAGCAACTTGAATCTGTAGCTTTGCTGGAAGCTCAGCAGGCAACCCACATCCAGTGAAAACCGGGAGCGGCATACAAACCTAGAGAAGTGGCTGATGACTACACAATCCCTTTCAAGGGACTGTGTTTTATAATGCTCAGCATAGATGTACTTCTTTCACCAATGTTGCCGTTATAGAACTATCTCCTGCACTACTATCCAGGCTTTACATAAACTCACTTCTTAAGTAAATGAATTTGAACAGTGTATTTTCTATCACAACTGACATTGGCAATCTAGCGATAATAGCTACAAAATTACCAAATTGATGTGGTCCTCATTTTACACAAGTATTACACCTTAAAATAAATACATTACAATTAAATTGTTAGGAAGTTTATCTGTGTACCACTTAAAATGCCACTGTGTGCTATCAGAGTTTCACCCATCCTCCAAAACACACTCCTGAGGGAATATAAACATTCATACATGTAAACATTTTATCTGATATGGTAAGTATTTTATTATTTGAATTAAATATTAAATGGTATCAAGTCTGTATGCGTGTTTTGTTATATGGAAACATGACATATTGGAAACAAAACAGCAAACGAAAAGGGGAGTAAAATTGAAGAAAGAATCCACACAGGCTTGAAGCTTAGGAGTGTGCACACACAGCATTAGTGACTTATTACCTCAAACCAGAGGCTCGATGAAGCCTTTGTTTATTCTGCAAATCCACAGCAAAATAATTGCTGTGAGTTATCTTAAGATGCTGAGGAAGCCACCTCAAAGCACACCTGGGCTTGTGGGCTCGGAGACCCTTGCAAGCAAGCTGCTGTCAGCTGCTCCATTTTGGCAGACGGGGAAATGGTGCACCTCAGTCTTACAGAGGTGCACTCCATTCCAAACCCAGCCAAAGTTCATGTCTGAATTCTGCTGCTTAAAATCTTTCAATTGGAAGGAACTCCTCACTCTGTCTCATGGCTTTCAAATTCCAGCAAACCTATTCCCCCATGGCTTCATGCCCTGACTCTCTCCACCCTATTCTCAACCCCAGTCAGAATGGTCTCCTTCGTATTTGTGACAGTTAATATTGAGTGTCGATTTGATTGAATTGAAGGACGCCAAGTATTGTTTCTGGGGGTGTCTGTGAGGGTGTTGACAAAGGAGATTAACATTGGAGTCAGTGGTGTGGGAGAGGCAGACCCACCCTCAGTCTGGGTGGGCACCATCTAGTCAGCTGCCAGCACAGCTACAATAAAGCAGGCAGGAGAAGATGGAAAGAGCAGATTTGCTGAGTCCTCTGGCCTTCATCTTTCTCCTGTGCTGGATGCTTCCTGCTCTCAAACATCAGACTCCAAGTTCTTCAGCTTTTGGACTCTTAGACTTACAACACTTGTTTGCCAGGGGCTCTTGGGCCTTCGGCCACAAACTGAAGACTGCACTGTCAGCTTCCCTACTTTTGAGGTTTAGGGATTTGGACTGATTTCTTTGCTCCTCAGCTTGCAGATGGCCTATTGTGGGACTTCACCTTGCAATTGTGAGTCAATTCTCCTAATAAACTCCTCTTGATATATACATCTATCCTATTAGTTCTGTCCCTCTGGAGAACCCTGATTAACACAGGATTCTTGGGCGCTCCCCAGGCCTTCCTCAGTAGGGTCTGGGCACTTGCTATTTCCTTTGACTGAAAGGTTCTTTTCTTGTTCTTCATGTAGACAGTTTATTCTCACCCTTTGAGACTTATCTAAAATGTCACCCTATCAGGGAGTTCTCTTATAGCCACGTATCTTATGATCTAGCTTTTTAATCTTCATAGCTATTATTACTGTGTGAAAAATCATATTTATGTGATTAAATGGTTAATGTCAGTCCCTCCAAAGGGGCTGTGATTTTTCTCAAGGGCAAATCTTTTCTCAGTCACTATGTTATCCCAAATGCCAAGTACAGTGCCTGGCATGTAATAGATACTTCATAAAGTTTTTGTTGAATAAATAAATGGACTTACGAAGACCAGCTTTCCAAATCTTGGAAAAATCCCTACTTATCTCTTTCTATTACGGTGCAAAATGTACATTCCCTTTACAACTTCTTTGCCAGCCTGGAAGTTGGAAAAACTCTGTTTAATAAAAAAAAAAAAAAAAAAAAAGAAAATCCCATTCCTGTACCTGTCACTGCTGGGTTAAACAAGTTCACTTAAGATTTTTTTCTCTGTGTGGGCTTTCCTCAGGCCCTATAGATGTGCCACGTATGTTTTATGAGCTAACATTTATTTTCGACACTTTGGCCTATTGGACATGATCTCGTAAGCCTGAACTCTCAGCTGACATGCTGTTGAACATAATGGGGAGATTTAAAAAGGTATCACCAAGGAGTAGAGAGGATTGCGGAGCGCCAGGGGCGAGGAGGAGGTGGTTGAGATGAGCCACGGAAAGCTTTCACACTGTTCTCCCTGGCAGTCAAGGAGCCGTTGCTATGATGTGCAGTCTCAGCACGTGCATCCTGAGCCAGCCGAAGAATGCAGAACAACCTAATTGCTATCCTTGGAACTCAGTGCTCCCAATAAACTTGAAAGCTGAATAGCAACATTTCACAAACAGAGCTGCAGCCTCCTAGCTAGGTGAGCGGCAGTGGAGTCTCTGCATTGCTGTGTGGTACTCTGGATGGAATCCACAGGTCTCGGAAATGCCAAAGCACTCTCTTTCTCAGACAGAGTGAGCCTTCAATTAATTACAAAAACTAGACATTGAAAATATGCCATATGTCAATCCATAGTGGAATTCATATGGGGGAAAGGGAAGTTTTAAAGGTTTCTGAAAGCCATCAAATCTCCATTTAGATAGAATTCTTCAAAAAAATATGAATTTAGTTATTCATTTGCACGGGGTAAATTTTTCAATTTAGCGGAACAAAGGCAACTACAACTTGGCATTTAAAAACTTGGGAGAGTTGACAACAGCAGGACGGAGGGCCAACGCTGAGATCCTCAATTCCATTCAAATCACATAATCAGTTAATGCCAATTTGTTGCTAGTGCTTTAAAGTCAGAAACAAACAGGGCCCTTAAAGGATTTCCCTCCATAGTACCCAACAAAATTACTCATTGCAATTTCCTGTATGATAATTTTTTAAAATGTCTGTCTAACTCCAGTAGACTATAAATTCCATGAGAGCAGAATTGTGTACATTCTGTTCACTTTTGAGTTCCCAGAGTTGAATCCAGTGCTTCATATATAGTAAGTTCCCAACAAAAACTTACTAAATGAATCAAATTAAGCCCCAGTGCTGGACCTCAAGAAGCTCTCTGTTCAGTAGGAAACAGGTAAGAAAACAAAAGGATTTCAGCAATAGGTGATGAGTCCCAGAGCAGAACTATGCCCAGGATACTTATGGGACAACAGAGCAGGAAGCTGAATTCATCTTGAAGACAGACATGGGGTAATAGAATGCTTCCAAGAGGGGGCAAAGCTTAAGTCAATTTTAAAAAATAATGCCAGGTAGAGAGAACTGCTTGGGAAAAGGTTGGAGGAGAGAGTTATTTAGTTTCTCTCCCTGGAGCATTAGTCCAAAAATCACCAAGGTGGCCAATTACCAATATGGCAGATACAAAGTCTCTGGTCAAGCCAAATGCCAAAAGAATTTACCTGTCCTTGGATTTAATCCAACTAGAAGAAGCAGAGGTACTACACAGCCAACACGTACCATCATTTAAGTCCCTGCCAATGGCCGAATCAATAGACATACTACTTTTCTCTAAATAGCCTGAAGACACCACTAAAATACACAAGCAAATCAAAAAAGAAAGTCTTTTCCAAGAGTTTTACCAAGAACTGTAAGACCTTGCCAGTCTGTTTCTGATCCTTCTTTTAACAGACACAAATCAGAAGCATGATTATGAGTAACGCTGTGCACCCAGTGAAGAGGAAGAGACACCCACGAGGCAATTAAAACTTTGGTCCATGGTCTTTCAAAAGTGAAGACTGGGGGCTTGCATCAAGAAGTCTGAGTTCTCATGAGCCGACTGTCAGAGCTAAAACATCAGAACTTTGGGCCAAGGATCGAAAATGTGTAATGCATAAATGTCTGTAGAAACTGCCAAGGGATTTGTGTGAGCTGACCAACTGTGCAAACAATTATCTGTGTTTAGAAAGCTCTACAGTAACGGAAACGTGAAGATTTGGCCTTTGGAGTTGAAGAATCTCCTGGAAATATCCCTTGGAGTAACTACTTGTTTACTTGGAAAAGCATCTGATCCTGGGCAAAAAAATTTCCCTTTTTTGGTTGACCTCAATTCTTCTCTCCATTCATGACAGGCTGTTGCTCAAGAAAGGGCAAAAGGTCTAGCCATGTGAGAATCTGGTATTATGAATTCTCCTCCTTCAGATCATCACATGGCTTGTTTTCTCACTTCCTATGAGTCTACTCATAGGTTCCTTTCTCCGCAGAGCCATGCTTGGCCATCCTATCTAGCATGAAACCCTCCACCCCATCCCCTGACTCTTCCTCTACCATCTTCTTGGCTTTGTTTTCTCCTTAGCATTTCACGTCTAACATGCCAGCTAGCTAATATATTCATTTTTTATTTTCCTTCTCCCTTACCTGAATTCTTAGGCAAGAACATTTGATTGGTTCATTGCTATATCCCCAGCTCCTGGAAGGAGAACTGGCATTAAAAGATAAGTCTTAAATGCAGACACTCCTTATGGTGCATGCCATCTCAGCAACCACAGAACTGTGCAAAGGGAAGACACGGTTTCAGGACACGAGTTCCAGTTAACAGAGGCAAATTGAGGTGGCCTATAAATAATTGTTAGGATGAACAGAGCTGTCCATACTTCTATTTTATGGTTAAGGCCACCAGGGAGAGGTTGTTATTTGCCCTATATACATCATTCCTGACAGGAGGTTTCTCCAACAATCACCTTCCAAAGAACCAATGTGGTAGACACACTTGGGGATGATCTATTCAAGCCATACCTTCCCTTCCACAAGAACTACTTGCTCCTCAAGCCCTAACAGACTCCACCTCAATCAGAGACAAATGGACTGAAAGTAGGCTACCCACAGAGAGCCAAGCTTTTGGTAGAGATTAGCCCAAAAATCTGAATGGAGATATGGCGATCTTGAGAGAAGGAAAGTCTGAAGGAAGGTGCAAAACACATATACCTTTTGGTTCATAAAGATACCTGGCTCTACCCTCTCCGACATCCCACTCAACCCCACCTTTGCATCAATTCCCTGGTCTATGCCAGCGCCCTCCTTAGACATTTTTGTTGTTACTGTTTAGTTGTTATTGCTTAGTTTCCTTTGAAGAGAGTTATTCTTCCTTACAACTAAAGAAACCTTGATTGAGATGCACAGTGGGCAGCTGGCACCCACCCCACCACTACTGAGCTACCAAGAGACCAGAAGACACGGCCTCCATGCAAAGAGATTGGTGCAGATGGAGAAGTCAGGATGAGGAACAGCTGGAGACCATGCCACATGCACAATAACCCTAGGCCTTGAGAGGCACAGGTGAGGTTGAGCGCAGCTGGAGAGGAGAACTTTGAGAAGCCCTCATGAAGGTCTGCCTGGCTTGTGGTTTAATGCTTACGCCTGAACGCCACCACTGAGCCCTGCGTGGGATTACTTCAGGGGGAATTTGAGGAAGTTGAACTCAGTAATGGGCATGACTTTGCAGCTAGGCACCTTTCTGGCCCTGAATCCTGGGGGCATAGTGTTTAAGATCATGAGGTCTAGACCACCTGGGTTTAAATCTGAACTTTGTAATTTATCCTGGGGAAAGTCCTTGCCCTCTTTCAGGGGCCTTCATTTCCTTATGTGTAAAATGGGAATAATAAAATAACACCTAGTGTACAATGCATACAAAGTAATTGACAAGGGGCCTGGCATGTAAATAAGTGTTCAATAAATAACAGCATTGAACACCTGAGTTTGTCTTACTTTAGGAACCAAGCCACTACCACTATGCAGTTTCTCCTCGGTGTGTTTCCCCACTGACAGCCTGGTCATATTTCAGATTCTCCAAGACATGCAAAAGTTCTACCTAAAGTGAAATATCGGTCTTTCTTTCTTTCTCTCTCTCTCTCTCTCTTTCTTTTTGAGATGGAGTTTCATTGTGTTGCCCAGGCTGGAGTTCAGTGGCGCGATCTTGGCTCACTGCGACCTCCGCCCCCTGGATTCAAGCGATTCTCCAGCCTCAGCCTCCCGAGTAGCTGGGATTATAGGTGCCCGCCACCACGCCCGGCTGATTTTTTTGTATTTTTAGTAGAGATGAGGTTTCACCATATTCGCCTGGCTGGTCTCGAAGTCAGGAGACTTCAGGTGATCCACCCATCTCAGCCTCCCAAAGTATTGGGATTACAGTCGTGAGCCACCACACCCAGCATCTATTTTTCTTATTTAACAAATGCACCATGAGCTAGCACAGGACTAAATTCTTCATGTATATGATAAAGCAGGTATTATTATCCCATTTTGGAGGAAAGCAAACTGAGACCCAGTGAGGTTACATGGCTTGAAATAGGCCTAACAATCTAATAAATGATTATTAATGTCTACACAGAAAAAACCCAAGCATCTTACTTTCTCAGTAAATTGCTTTCAGAAAAGCTAAATGTTAGTTCAAGCCTTGGTTTTTGTCTTGGTGAAAGGCACTTGCATAAAAAAGTATGAACTGAGCTTGACTACTGGTTTTAAAATACAGAATAGGTGCTTAACCAAAGAAGGAAGGAAGGAAGGGAGGGAGGGAAGGAGAGAGGGAGAGAGGGAGAGAGGGAGGGAGGGAGGGAGGGAGAGAAGGAGAGAAGGAGAGAGGGAGAGAGGGAGGGAGGGAGGGAGGAAGTTTGGTTGGAAAGGAAGAAAAACAGAGGAAAGGATGAATAAATTTTTAAAAATTGAACATGAAATTAAGAGTCAATCTTGCTCAAAAATTCCCACCTATAATCAGAATGCTCCTCACTAACCAAACTGATAGAAGTTTAGTCAACAAATTTGTCATTTGTCCTCTGTATGGATTACAGCATCATTCAGTTTTAGCTAGTGACATATTGTTGGGCTGAATCTTAAATAATGCCCAAACAGTGAAAAATCTTAGTGGAAAAAACCCCGACAAAACTAAGTCCACTTGAATATCCAAATTGCTTCAAACACTCTTTAATACAATATAATTCCAACACAAAAATAATTCCAAGGGTTCTTCAAAATTCATTATAAAACAATTTAACCGATATATAAACACTTGTTCTTGATTCCAGGACCTGAAATTAACCAGAATAAGTGGAATGAAAAATCTTTTGAGTAATTGCTGTGTATTTTGTCGTTCTTTACTTTTCCTGGGTTATAAAATTTTTGTAGTTATGGAAGTGATCTTATTACTTATGACAAATTTGATTAGTGGCTATTCTGTGGCAAACATTATGAAAAATACCTTAGCTATGTTATCTTATTTAATTTTTAATAATATTTTAGTTTTTTTAAATCAGAGAAACTTAAACAATAATAAAGAAGGCTTATGATTTTACCCAAGATAAATCAAATGATGTTAAAAGACAGAAGTAAAAAAAATGCAATAAATGCTTACAGTTAAAAAAATTCACATAGAAAGGGAAGAAAACTTATAAAAAAAATAGACATTCCCTCTTCAAGTTATCAATGCAAACTGGAAATTTTTATAATTCCTTCCAGTAAAAACAGAAACAGAATTCCATACTATCTCATTTGCTTTTAGTCTTTATAACGGTGAAGCAAATATTACTGTCATGCCCAATTTATAGATGAGGAAACTGATACTTCAATTAGTTAAATAATTTGCAGAATGTCTCACAGCTGGTAACAATGACAGACTAAGGTTTGAGCCTGAATAAACAGAAACAGGATTTGAACCAGTCTGTCTGACTTCGAAAACTGTTTGTTCTTTTTATCAGGTAACCTGATCATATCTGATAGTCCTTTTTTGGCTTTCCGATGTGATCAGCAATATGAAAGAAGTAGATATGGCGAAAAAAGGATCACCGACCCTGGCTATACGGTTAAAACCGATAGAAATGTGAGGCTTCAGAATATATTTTTGCAGACCTATTAATTTGGAAAGCTATTTACAAGCCTCAAGTCAGGCCTACAAGCAATGTCTTATTTACCTCCCTAAGGAAGGTCACATTTTGGGGTCCTATAAGTAAAAATAACATTGATAGCTACATTTAAGGGAGAATTGGAAAACTCAAAGGCATGGTGTGATTCATTGGTTGGACGATTGCACAGATGCCTAACTGTAAATGCACACACATAAAGAATTCTAATAAATCTAATAAATGATTAGCTGTATACCTACATCAAAATTTGGACTTAGATGGGACACCTATTCAATCTGTTCATTTTATACACAGAAGGTTAGGTTGCAAGTAGTGGTCATTTTGTCAGCCAAAGACAGAGCTGGGGGAGTCCTCTGGCCTCCAAAACCCCTCTGCTGAGGACTCTTTCTGAGTTACCACCACTAAGTGTCAAGGCTCTGGCCTTGCCTCCATCTAACCAGGAGCACCCTGTTTCTAATATTCCCATCAGAGAAGAATTTGAAATTTGCTGAAACTATCCAGTACAACATTTAACAAGATTTGGCATGGACAGTTTCTCAGGAATTACTGCTTTAAATAGCCAACACCTTCCCATAACGGACTTTGTGATTTCATAGATGAAAGCACAGGTTTTTCACCCCCACATAAAACCAACTCTTGCCAGATAGATTCTTTCACATTTAGGTGGCTTATCATTTCCAACTTTGTTTAGACAGCTTTGCAGCTGCCATTTTGGAGAAAGGGCATCGGTGAGGGAATCACCAGGGCACAGAAGTCCTTTGAAAGGCTTTAAAAATGAGTTCATCCAGCTAAGACAATGTTTTCCAAAAATAATGTACTTTGGCTTAAAATGTAAAATTAACATCAAATGAAGATCTCTTAAGAAGCTCTAAAATGGAGATGACTATCTTAGTAGCGTGTAGTAGGTACTTGATGCAATCAGCGTGTTCTACACAGGTAATTACTTTTACTACTAATGGTGCCTCCCACTCAGTGAGAAAGATAAGAGGCTCCAACTCTACTTAATCACGAGGCTTCTTTATTATGGCTCGACCACCTACTGAGTAAAACAATTCGCTTGCTCTATTCAGCAACTCTCACAAATGAGAAAAATTTATTAACATGTGAGCAGAATGGGACTTATTTAGTATGTACAAAGGGGATTACCACATGATTTAAAAATACATAGACCATTCAAAGAGTTGTGTGGGTCATCTTGAGTGAAGGCCTTTCTGGAAAATGTTTATTTTTGTAATGTTGAAGCTGGTTTGCAACAACTGTCCAGTTCAATGTGCTTTGAAGCTATTTAGAAGTGTCTGTTAAGAGAAGGGAGTGACGAAATTACACAAATACAAAGTCAGTGACGGGTGACCTTGGGTAAGTTATTCATCTCCTCTGGGCTATTTTCATATTTGTGGAATGGGAATAAGAACAAAAATATCTGACTGCACTCCAGCCTGGGCGACAGAGTAAGACTCTGTCTCAGAAAAAAAAAAAAAAGAATAAACATATTTGTTTCATACTTACGTACAGTCAGTCTAATATAAGGTGTTTGTGTGTTTCTAAAAAGGACCACAGTCTTCTAAATTTCACAATAAAACCCACAGAGCTTACGGGGAAAATGGGTTTGGGAGAACAAAGCTCCTGTCAGTAACATATAATAAAAAAGCAGGAACCTAATACAAACAGTAGCACCGTTTTATGCAGGTTAAATGGTGAAAAAATTTATAAACACCGTGATAAATAAGTATTTTACCTTAATAAAGAGCCGTGGAAGTGGGTGTTGGAAGTGGTGGGAGG
The DNA here is from genome assembly GCF_000001405.40 of Homo sapiens. NCBI lineage: Eukaryota > Metazoa > Chordata > Mammalia > Primates > Hominidae > Homo > Homo sapiens. The sequence continues at coordinate 53,081,597 of NC_000020.11, read as the reverse complement.
AGTGTTACCTGGAATCCTACAGCGTTGTAACAGCAATTGTGCATGGGTGGGTGGGGCTTGTGGCACACCAGCTGAAGGAAGTGAGTAGATGTTTGAGGTATGTGTGTGTTTGCTTTTGTGTATTTCTACATGGCCTGGTTCAGCTGGGTGCAGTTTTCTGTGTTCAGTGTTTCTCAAGGACGAAGTCACACGTACACAAATGCAAACTCAGTGTCAAGCTGAAAGTGTATCCACCATTTTGGAGCAAAATTATGTTTTAAGGAAGCATTGGCTGGGCACAGTGGTTCAGGCTTGTAATTTCAGGACTTTGGGAGTTTGAGGCAGGATCACTTGATGCCAGGAGTTTAAGACCAGCCTGGGTAACATAGCGAGACCTCATCTTTACAAAATAAAAAATAATAAGATAATAAAAAAAACAGGTGGGTGTGGTGGCACATGCCTGTAGTCCCAGATACTTGGGAGGCTGAGGCAGGAGGACTGCTTGAGCCCAGCAGTTTGAGGCTACAGTGAGCTATGATCATGCCACTGCACTCTAACTTGGGTGACAGAGAAAGATCCTGTCTCTAAAAAACATGTTTTAAAAGCAGTATTATAGCAGAACCGACAGCATTATGAAGATTAAAGAAGCTAATGTTTGTCACTACACAGTGGGACCTTAAGAAGTGTTATTTTTGCCTTGATCTCCGTGGCTGCCTCAATTAAACTGGTGTCAAATTCAATCCCAAACTCATAGCTGGTGGACTTAGGCTGTTCATCTCTTTGTTATTCTGGATCAACAAAAATGATACGACTCTAAAGCAGGTGTCCCCAGCCCCTGGGCCGCGGGCCGGTACAGGTCCGTGGCCTGTTAGGAACCAGGCTGAATAGCAGGAGGTGAGCGGTGGGCGAGCGAACATTACCACCTAAACTCTGCCTTCTGTCAGCAGGGGCATTCGATTTTCATAGGAGTACGAACCCTGTTGTGAACTGTGTATGCGAGGGATCTAGGTTGCACATTCCTTAGGAGACTCTAACTAATGCCTGATCATCCGAGGTGAAAGACTTTCATCCTGAAACCATCCATCTCCCCTACCTTTGTCCGTGGAAAATTGTCTTCCATGAAGCTGATCCCTGGTGCCAAAAAGGTTGGGGACTGTTGCTCTAAAGAACTGACTTGCAATGTTAATAGAGGATTCAATGCATTTGTTAAATGTGTACACTTGTACCTTTGTCCTTGCCTACAACAATATCATTTCCTGTAAAGAGATTAAGCACAAAGCCAGGAAATACCATCCTCTTCCTTAAGACCAAGTTGAAAACTACTCTGTAAGAAGCAGAAATTTAGTGGCCCTTGGGAGGAAAAAATGGTGTTACTATTCACAATGTTTGATTAGCACCAGGGAAGGGCAGACCAATTTCTCTCTAGAGCCTTTTAGTAAGAATTAATGGGAAACACATACATAAGGCTCTCTATGCGTCTGGTACCATAAGAGCTCTGGATATATTAACTCGTTTAAGATTCGAATCATTCTACATAATTGCTTTTCGGGTCTTGATGTTTTTTATTAAATTAGGTAAGCTGAGCTAGTCTGGAAATTCAGTCAGATTTCCAGTTAGCTAGGCAACAAGTTTTCATTGGGCAACAACAACTTGAAGAGACTGAATAACCTAAGTTGAACTTTGGAGTCAGACCAATCAGAATCACGGCTTCACTCATAAGCTATGTGTATTAGGACATATAATTCAACTTTTGTGGACCTCAGGATCTCTTCTGCAAAAAAAAAGAAAAAAAAAACAGAAAAAGAAAAAGGTTACTAGTAGCTATAGTAGCTATCTGCTGGTGCTTTTGTGAAAATTAAATGAGATAAAGGGTATAGAGTGGCTAGTGTGATAGAGGGCACAGTCAGCACTCAATACATTTATTTATAGAGTTATTATCGTTTTATTACCAGTGTGGGGCCAGCTGATATTCACTTCGTTAGGCATATTGGCACATAATCCAGCTGTTTGAAATAGTGCCTGGCTCAGACCAAAGCCTTGGAATTTGGCCTCTAAAGACTTGAAGTCTCTGCATTCCTGATTTTTTCCTTTCTGTATTCCCAATACACAGGATTATTCTGTCTCTGTAGCGCTAAGATGCCTTAAACATAGCAGCGATTTGAGAGGGTTTTGCACTTGCTCTGCAGATTAACCTCTTCCAGTGTGAACATGTCACTGTCTACGTTAACCACTGTCTGGCAACCCGCATGAGATATGCACACTGTTGTCTCTATTTCTCATCTCTCATTTATTTTTCAACCCACCCAGTCTGGCTTCTCCTCCCATTGGTCTACTGTGAATGCTTTTACTAAGTTCACCCAGGAGCTCAGCCAAGTTAAGTCCAGTGTGCATTTTTTCAACTTGCACCTTACTGACTTCTACTAAAAGTAGTTAGTAGAGCTAACCACTTTTTCCCTCTTGAGACACTCTCTTCTCTATTACTTCCTATTTTGACAATCACCCTATGTTGATAGTCTTCCACGCTCTCCAAAAGCTCATGTTTTGCAGACTTTTTTCCTTTTCAATGTTGGATATTGGCCTTTCTCAGGGCTTAGTCTTTCTTCCTCAATAATCTCACCCTAAACATGCTCGTCCACTGCCAGGGGTTCATTATGTTCTATTTGCTAGGACTTTGACATTGATGTAATTGGGTATTATGTTGAAATCCAGATAAGTACCCAATGGTCTTCTCCCTAACTCTTGAACATCAAACTTAACAGTTCCCAAATGGAATTACGATTTTTACCTTTACCAAAATTTTCCCCCACTCCATTATTCCCAGCGTACCTCTAAATTTACCATATAGCCAAGCTCTATTGATTTTTACCACCAAATCTATCTCAATCCACCCACTTCTCTACATCTCTATTGCTGCCAGCCTAGTCTAAGCCACCATCTTTTTGTCACCTGATTATCACAGTAACTACCTCACTGCTGTCCTTGAATCCATCCTCATTCTACTCCAATACATCCAGCAAAATGCAGCCAGGGTATTTTTCAAAGATAATTTATGATGTAATCCTGTGACTAAAAACCTATAATAATTCCTCCATGCTCAAAGACCACATCGAAAAGTGTTAACATGATCCCAAATATGCCAGAGTCCCTCTAATCCAGTTTTATCTTGTACCATTTCATGTCTTTTTTCAAGAAATATTTAACGAGTATTTATTAGGTGTCAGGCATACTGTAGTTCTTGGACTTGGCAAATCTTCTACAATGAACAAGTATTACTCAAAATTTTAATTTAAAAAATGTCTAGGTGTTCATTCAAAGGAATAGAAAAAAAGCTGTCATGAAATGGTTAAACCCACATTATTTTCTCTATTCTGAGTAATCCCCCTAAGTGCAAAACTCTTTACTCATATGTTTTTAGATTTTGGGTTTAGATCTTTGACTTCAGGAAATCTCCCTTTCTTAGCGTGAACACACAGATTTTGCAGTCTAAAGCTGGATTCGTGATTGATAGAAGCTCTTCGCATGTCATTCTCCCTCCTTTCCGATAGATTCACTCTCAGAAACAGTCATGCAAACTCTGCCTACGCATTCAGTAAATTGGAGAAGTTGACATTCTAAACATCTAAAAGGTAAGGATTTGGGTAACAGAAACTCACCCACATTGTACACAGGGCACATTTCAATTTTCTGCTGCAGTACTCAGAGGAGATTAGAGTGTTCACAAAGTTAAGAAATTTCAGAACAGACAGGGAGAGTGAGCAGCCAATTTCCATTGCATCTTTGCAAGTGACTATCAGGAAATTTGTTATTAATTTTGTCCAAGGTGATGTAATCCAAACATTAGTCACCAACCTCCTTTTCAGCGATAACGAATGATCTATTAATTGCCACACTGACTGGCCTTTTGTCAGGCTTTGTTTTTCTTTGACCTTTGTGCAGTATTTGATACCTCCACTACCCTGTCTGTGTGACTCAGGCTTGGCTGCTGTGTATGATGTGCCTAAACCTCCTGGGTCGTCCTCCCTTCTGTTTGCCTTTCTATCTCTGGATCATCCAGAATTGCTCCTAATATGTGGACAGGTCCCAAGACTCTGGTCTTGTCAATCTTTTCTCCCCTTGCTAACTCTCCCTTCTCAAACAAAACTAATTCACTCTCACAGCTCCAACTGTACAGATGATCCCCAGAGTATTATCTTTTTTTTTTTTTTTTTGAGGTAGAGTCTTACTCTGTCATCCTGGCTGCAGTGCAGTGGCACAATCTTGGCTCACTGCAACCTTTGCCTCCAGGGTTCAAATGGTTCTCCTGCCTCAGCCTCCCAAGTAGCTGGGATTACACGCACACGCCACCATGCTATTTTTTTTTTGTATTTTAGTAGATACAGGGTTTCACCATGTTGCCCAGGCTGGTATCGAACTCCTGACCTCAAGTGACCCACCCGCCTTAGCCTCCCAAAGTGCTGGGATTACAGGCATGGGCCATCGTGCCTGGCCTCCAGAGCATTATCTTTACCTCTCATCTCTGCTAAGCTCATAGACTTGTGTCTTCAGCACCTGAGAGACTACTTCCACTTGGTCACACTTTTCCTTTCCCCTCTTTTGCTTTTCCATCAGAATTTACCTCTCCACTCTCTCTAAGCCCGAGTTCTCTTAGGAATACCATGATTCTTCCGGATACAAAAATGCAAAACTCTGAAACTGCACATCAGGGTCTTGTTTATAACTCTTTCTTTAATGACTTCCCATCACTCTCTGAATTGCGTCCAAAATGAATTATGCATCTGCAAGTCCCTTTTATAATTTAACTCTTTCCAGCCTTCCAGGATCCTCCATCTAGTCCTTCATCAGGTTGTGTTTTCCTAAGTTCATTGAATGTGCAACATCTTCCTGCCTCATGTTGTCAGCAAATAAGGTACCTGTGCCTAAAATGTTCTCCACTCCATGGCCTGCTCCACCCTCACCTCCCACCATCAACCTAATTTAGTGCTGTTTTTTTCTTTTTTAGCTGTGAGCTTTGACATCACTCATCTCAGTAAGCCCTCAGTGATCTTCAGACTGGGTCAGGACCTCCGCATCGCTTGTATGGAATCTGGCCCAGTCCTTTCATAGTATTAAGCACAACTGAAACGTGCAGTCTGATACTGGTTTCCCCACTAGATTGTGAGCTCTGTGAAGGCAAGGACTTGCTCATCTACTTTCATCCAGTGCCTGGCACACAATAGGGCCTCAGTAAGTTGAACAAATGAATGAATGAATTAAATCACACTTTGGTGACTCCATTATCAGCCATGTGCAGTTTGCCAGCAAATTCAGCAATTTTTCTGGTTAATATCACTCCACCCTTCCTTCCTGTCTCCATCATCCTTTCTGCTGTCATCCAGTCCAGGCTCTCATCATCTCTTGCTTGGATCACTGTAAGAGCTCAACTGTTTTCTTCAGATCTCTCTTTGCTGTGATTAGTTTTGTAAACTACTGCCAGATTAATCCTTCAAAAAATTCTTTGTGTTATTCCTTTGCTCAGTAATCCTTGACCACTCTTTTCTGTCTACAGAACAAAGTGAAAAGTGTCCTAGGGTCTCAGAGTCGAAAGGAACCTTGAAGATCATCTGGTGTAACCACCTCTCGCTAGAAGTGAGGAAAGCGAGGTCAAGAGGGGTTGGGTGACTTGCCAAAGAACAAGGAATCAGTGTTTCAGTCTCCAGACTGAATGCAGTTGAGAATGTGCCACTTAAAACACATTCAGTCTCTCCCATTGCATGTAAAGTACAGCCCAAACTCCTTCCCATGGTCCCCAGTCCCAGCAGAACCTGGCTCCCACCGATGGTGGCTGACTTGTCCCAGTGTGCCGTGGACTCTCCCAGTTTAAAAACTGAAAATCCATCACCCCAAGAACTCCCTCAGTCTCCTAGCAGCCTGGGCTGGTGATCACCCTACTCCTTCCTCCACCTTCATTCTCATATCTTATCACGCTCTGCCTTGTTTAGTTCTCACCTGTCCTGCTGCCTTCTGTTTCTAGAACATACTATCCAAACTCATTTTCATCTAGGGCTTTTGCACTTGCTTCTCCCCTCTCTGTGTTTGCCAAGGTTAGTATCAGAAACTAACCTCCCTGATTTGTCGCTCCTTTTATAGCTTGGCATGCAGTGCTTTCATAATCTGACTTCAAATCCCCTTCGTGTCCCTATTTTCCTACTACCATTCCAGTAGAGTCACTTATGTGCTCAAAAACAGTAAGCATTTTAATGATGAAAATATCTGTTGAATGAAAAACCCAAGATCTTTCTTAATCCCATTGCACAGGCTATTAAAATGGTAAAAAGAAAGATCCTTTGCACAGAGCAGTCCATGAGCTTCACAGCAAAGAAGGCAATAATGAAAAAGTCTGAGACTACCTGTCTCTTTTTTATTTATTTGCATTACTCAGTAGATTCCAATCTTACTCATTATAACAGCCCAGGGCCCTTTAGGCCAAGCACGTCACAATGATCTATCGTTGGGATAGAAATCTTTTGGTGATGACAGCCAGGATTGACAGGGATGTTTAAATCCTCAACTATGCTTTGGATGACATTCAATTTTTTGTCATGAAATTTCAAAATGTGACTGGAGCACTTTCAAAGCTTTCCACATGGAGGAAACGTCAGCGACAAAAGAGGACATAAAACATCTGTGGTTGAGTGGGAAAAACACTGACCTGCAAGGTCAAATACCTTGGGAGGGTTGGGGTTCTTTCTGATGAGCTGGATGACTTCAAGTAAGTCATTTGCTTCTCTAAGCCTCAATTGCTTCATCTGTTAAATGGGACTAACAATACATATCTCTGTTGAAAAACGAGTAATACACATGCTAGTTCCTTCAGCACCTTCCCTGGCACAGAGTAGATGTGCCTGAATTTTTCTTTAAAATTCAGACTATAATTAGTATCTATAGTTAAAAATAATTAGTATCTATAGTTTCCAAGTAGCCTTTTCTTAATCTGAATAGTCCTTTATTATGAGTCCCTGAAACTCAGACATAGCAATCACTATTTTCTTTCCTTTCTTCATTGTTTTGCAAGTTTTGTCCAGCTGTTTAGTCTGTGTATACTTGAACTTTCCAACAATCATAAGCTTTAAAAAAATCTGGTTTGCCTTTACCTTTTACACATTTGTTGGATTTCTACACTTCGTACTGCATCCATCTCATTCTGACTTGTATTCTGGCCAGCCCACTTCCTGGTGAGCAATTGAGGCACTGTAAGAACACAAAGACCCATGAATCCTGGTCCTAGCCCTCTGGAAACTCAAAATCCAGTAGAAAGGACTGATACTTAGGACATAATTTCAGCAATGTGGTAACTTCTATTTCCAAGTACAATACAGGGTATTGTGAGAAGAAAGTGAAACATTTAACTTCTTACTCAAAGGAAGAATCCTCTAACTTCACAAGGGAGTGGTCAAGGAGGGCTCCATTGAGAAGGCGACATTTGAACAGCAGTTTAAAAGATACATAAGAGTTCACCAAGGATGTCATGAAGGTGAGAGACAGTTGTATGTACATGTCTTTTACAATGCTAGAATTGCGAAGTCAGTTTTTTAGTTTCTTTTCACTGCAGCCAGACTGAAGATCCTTGAAATTTGAAATTAGAAAGTGTGGAAGCACCTCACACATCACCAGGCATCCCAAAGTATGTAGCAAAATCCTGCCCCCAAGAAATCCTGAAACAAATCTGTATAATTAATAGTGTCTACTTTTAGCTAATGTATAGTATAAGTAACAAACACTGAGGTCAGTGGAAAACTATAATTAAACATGCATGTCTCAAAGTTAAAAATGTACATCAATCAACCCAGGCCTAAAACTGAAAATAGACCAGTTTTTTTTTTTAACTTGACGGAATGGAGTTAATAAAAGATGAGAACCACTCTTTTCAACTATCAAAACAGTGTTCCTGGACTGTTGAAAAGCATCCATTAGCTCATCCCGTATCATCCCCTTCCTTTTAAAAAATAATAATTTCATTGTTAAAATGACTCATACTTACTGTATTTAAGTAATAGAGAAAATTATAAAGAAGAAAGTTTTAAAATCATTCAGTAGCCCAGCATCTAGAAATTACTCTAACCTTCAGTTAATTATATTTCAGATGTGTCTCTATCCATATGTGTAAATGGAAGAATAGAGAAATGGATGAATGGATGGATGGATGGAGGGATAGATGAATGAAGGAATGGAGGGATGGATGAATGGATTAAATGATGAATGGATGGAGGGAGGGAGGGAGGGACAGATGAAGGAATGGAGGGATGGATGAATGGATTAAGGGATGGATGGATGGATGGATGGATGAAGGGATGGATGGATGAATGGAGGGATGGATGGATGGAAGGATAGATGAAGGAAGGAATGGAGGGACAGATGAATGGATTAAGGGATAAATGGATGGAGGGAGGGATGGATGGAGGGATAGATGGATGAAGGAATGGAGGGATGGATGAATGGATTAAGGGATGGATGGAGGAATGGATGAATGGAGGGATGGATGGAAGGAGGGATAGATGAATAAAGGAATGGAGGGATGGATGAATGGATTAAGGAGGAATGGATGGAGGAAGGGATGGATGGAGGGAGGGATGGATGGAGGGAGGGATGGATGAAGGGAGGGATGGATGGAGGGATAGATGGATGAAGGAACGGAGGGATGGATGAATGGATTAAGGGATGAATGGATGGATGAAGGAATGGAGGATTGAATGAATGGATTGATGGATGGATGGGCAGAAGTATATGCCTTTATTGTTTTCAAGGCTAATGGTTGATCCCATTCTAGTGAATTTACCTGCCTCGACCCCCCAGTAAACAGTAAGGAAATGTCCAGTCTCACAGACTCTATTCCCATACTTTCTAGGTTCCAAAAATGGACTTCTCAGAGGAGTCTTGGAAAACCTTCTAGGGATGGTGTCAAAACACCCAAATGAGAAGGAGAAAATGAAGCCAAATCAGTTATTTTTAATCATATTAATTAAAATCTATAAGTAGTTTATCAATTTTATGGGCTCTTACAAATAGAATGGAAACAAGACATTATTTAGATTCACCCCTTTCATGTTGCAATGAGGAATGAGGAGACTAGGAAGGACAATTTTATTTTCCAAGCTTACAAATGAAAAGGGACAGAAGCAGGGCTGCAGAGCAGCTGTGAGCATTCAGTCAATGAATATTTTTATTATTTCTAAGAGAGAAACATAGTAGGACCCCTTTCCCCCAAGTGGTAATTGATATTGCTGGATTATTATGATTTTGTGGTATACCCTGAAGATACTCTTTGCACTTGTATTTGTATACCATGTTGCCTTAAAGAAGCCAAAAACATGGGATGCATCCCTTTAAAAAAAGTCCTTAATGTCATAGAAACAAAAGAATTTCCCAAACTACTTCTGCTCCAACCCAGCTTAGCATCCCCGATGCTTTTCTGTTTGGATTTGTTGGTTAGGAAAACAAACCCCAGCTACTACAGCATAGCACAGAATATTCCACCGGGGTTCCCCAGCCTCCGCGCGACTGACATTTGGGGCCAGGTGATTCTCTGCTGTGGGGCTGCCCTGTGCATTACGGGATGTTTAGCAGCATCTCTGGTCTCTACCCCACAAGCTGACAGTAAAAGCTCCCATCTGTTTTGACAACCAAAAATGACTCTGCAAATTGCAAAATGCCGGCCTGGGTTGGGGAGCTGGGGCAGTACAGGATCATTCCTGGTTGAGACAACGACAATCCAAAGCCCTCAGTGTCTCCAATAAAACAAGCAAAAGAGATTTTTATAGACAGATACACACAGTACTACTCTCCAGGGGTATTCAGGGGACATGACTTCACGGACGTCCCTGGATGCAGGGGAGAGGAAAAAGATCTTGGATAAGCAATAAAACCCATGTCACCTGTGATGGGTCACAGAAGTCAGCTCTGGGTTCTCCCGACCCACAGCTTTAAGAACTACAAGCAAGAACACGTAGGTCCGTGAGATAGACCCTTCCCCCAAAATTGGCCTGGCTTTTTAAGCCATAGTAAATAGAAAAGAAGAGGACAGAGACTTTGCAATCCTTTATCTTCATCAGACCCATGAACAGGAAAGAAGGAGGAAGAAAAATGACTGCTTTGACTCTTTGGGTAACTTAAAACGTCAGTGTGTTGCCAATTATGGCAGCTGTAGTTGCTTTATCTTTTGGGGACACTAGCAGCTCATGAAATGTGAATTTTAATTTAGCAGTCGGAGTTCAGATGGCTGGTTCAACAATGTTTAGAAGCTCCTGAAAGATAGTCACTAATTAATGAACATTAAGCCCTAGTTTCTAAGACATTTGAAACAAAGCAGGACAATGCTCCCGTCTCTGTATACTTCAGGGACTGATCTAAAGAACTAGAGGGGAGAAAGCTGACAGTGAGCACAGAGGCTCATTCCTCTCTTGAACTCCATGATTCACCAGTTCACCAAATGGGGGGGATATTTTTTAAAGTACAACTTTTATTCTGAGAAAAAATTCTCACTCGAGGAGTCATTTATGTATGTGCTATTTAGTAATATAAATGTGAGTGTTAGCATCTTACTAATCAAATGGAAAATTGTTTCGTTCTAACGGTTTTGAAACTTCCCCATCCCTCAAACAAATAGTACCCATTACTTTAAACACCTCAGTGTCTAGTAATTGTTCAAAAATGTGTCAGACTACCAGTAATTTAAGTCCTGTCAAAAATAAATCTCAGACACTCACTTCTTCCAGTCAGTGACTTGAAGAACACGCCCACATGTCAATTACCGGAAGCTGTAGCAATGTTTCTTTGTTCTGAATTTGTGTAAACAGAAAAAGGCTCTTCCTCAGTAACAACCGTTTTCTGAAACCTATATAAATGTTTATGTGAACCTCTCTGCAACAACACCTAACAGAAACAATAAAAGCCACTACATTGGTAAATACACACACACATACACACACATTCATACACACACACATCACTGTATGTGCCTCTTGGTAATCAATGTTTAAGTGTGAAGGAGTAATGTATTGACTTGTGAATTACTCTTTTCGCAGAGGCCTGACCCCAAAGCATTTACATTTTAAATTGTAAATAAAAATGATCTACATTTTTAGAGGGTCACAGTCACTGGCTCCTTTCCCTATTATCCGAAAGAGATTGCTTCACAGATAATTTCGAAAGCGCAGGTAAATAAATGAGTAGAAAAACTGTGACTATAAAACAGAAATAGTTCACAAAATTGGCAGCTAATTAAGATAGGCTATTAGACAGGGTTTCTCTGTGTAAAATTGTTCTCCATGAGTAAGACTGATAAATCTTGTGGATTCTCTCAGTCCTTACTGTAATGCATATATGGTTATAAATAGCTGTAAATCAAGCTTTAGATGAGGAGTGCTAGTGATTTTCTAAGGTTCACATTTCTTATATAACAGTATTTTTATTGGAAAAGATTGTAATCATTTAATCATAAAATCATGAATACCCTGTAATGTTGTTCTAAGGTCTTTCATGAAGTTTTTCTTGCTAAATAAGATGACTGAATTTCAACAAAAGAAGAAAAGACAAATAATTTTGGTTTACCTGACATTCATTATTCCCTTCTCCCCTCCCTGGCTCAGAGGTGCATACTAAAAAATAAATCTAGCTATAAACAATACATAGATGGATAGTGTAAAGATGTTGGAACGGGACCCTAAGTGGTCCTCTTTCCAGGGGTAAATTAGAATAAGCTGATTTTCATTAAGCAAGAACAGATCAATATTTCATTATTAACATGGTGACAATTGCATGTTAATAAGAAGTCATCTTTTTTTCAAGCATCCAACTGTCAAACCCACTGTATTAATGGCTCCCCTCATCCAGTGGCGTCTCTTTGCTTTTCCTCTCGTTATATGGAAACTTGAGCGTGTGTGTGTGTGTGTGTGTGTGTGTGTGTGTGTGTGTGTGTGTGTGTATCAAAGCATTGACCTTTTGCTAGGCAGGATTAGGGAACACCTCCTAATGTTTCCCTCAGGAAACAAGGGATTTTGTTAACCCGTTTCCCCTTAGGTTTCTCTTCCCCAGAATACTCCCATCAACTTGTTTGTCACTCGGATTTAGATAATGATTCTGTTTTGGTAGATGGTAGTTTTACCGATAAAGTAAAACCTCGATATTTTTTTCTTTCAGGAAGGAAGATAATAGGATAAATCATTAATTAAAGGGGCTGCATACGGGACAGATGGAATTCTAACCATGTGGACACCTCCCCCAACGGTGGAGGGGTAAAAAGCACCATAAATCACTCACGGTCCAGCAGTCTTCAGTAGGGCCCATCTTGCCCCCTACAAGTAATGATAAACAACATATACTTCCAGTGCAGCCCACTGGGTATTCTAAAGTAGGTGAACTATGAGATAACACATTTATCCTTCTTGGGAAGGTATCTCTTCATATTTCACATGGCGCAGAGAAAGCAGACCCAACTGAATGACAACTAATGAGGATTAATGCATTATTCCACAGAGGATTATGGGCTCTTCTCGTTTGTGCAGTGGTTAAATAATAACAAAATCAGATAAAATGGCTCCTGGTGCTTCCCTGAACTGTAAACCTAACACTCGACACAGTTGTTTTTCTTTTCCTTTCCTTTCTCTTCTATTCTACCTTTTTTTTTATTTTAAGAAAAACGGGGTTCTTAGGTGTTCAACTTCTAAATCCAGTTCTCACAGTCATTGCCTCAGTTCTTTATGGAAAAAAAAAACAACAGAAAATCTCTAATAGATTCCTCTGCAAAGCCAAAATTAAGTTGCAGCGTGCTAAAATCCAAAGAGTGCATGAAAAGGACCATTTTTCTTAAGATTAAAAGTCATATGGGTGTCCTATGGGACTTAACCAACCATACTGTAATCTAATTTAGCATTTATGAAATCTTATACTTATTCATTTAATAATTACTTATTAAGCACCTACTCTGGCCAGAGACCCCTTGCTGGGACCTTACACTGGTGTGATTGTTATGACTTAAATAGTCACACAAATACATTCTTGATTGCCAAGTGTGGTCAGTGCCATGGAAGAGCTATAGGAGATGGCAAAGCAACTAGACTCGGTGTGGGGGCTTAAGGCAGATTCTGCCAGAAAAGTAACGCAGTAGGGAATAAGGAGAGGAAGACAATTCAGGAAGAATGCATAGCTTGCAAAAAAATTTCCTAAAGTGGGAAGTGGCACAGCAATTCAAAAAACAGAGAAGTCCAGTGGAGTTTGGAGTATGAAAGTATTATGAGAAGGACAACAACAAAACTTGAAGCCAAAGAGACAAGCAGGACTCGGGATCCATAGACTGGTGTGGGTGATGGTAAAGTGTTGGAATTTACCTGAATAAACCCAGGGTTATGGGTTAAACTGTGTCCCCTGAAAAGAAAAGTTGAAGTTCTAACCCCTGGTACCCGTGAATATGACGTTATTCAGAAGAAGGGTCTTTGCAGGTGTAATCAGCTTAAGATGACGTCTTTAGGATTGGTCCTTGTCCAGTGACTGGTGTTCTTAAAAATCAAAGGAAATTTGGACACAGACACCAAAAGAGGGGATGCCACCTGACAACACGGACGCACAGGGGAAGGGAGCCATGTAACAACAGACACAGAGATTAGAGTGATGTGTCTACAAGCCAAGGATTGCTGGCCACAACCAGAAACTGGAAGAGGCAAGGAAGGGTCCTCCCCAGAGCCTTCAGTGGGAGCAATGCCATGCCAACACCTTTGTTTTTGCACTTCTAGCCTCTGAAGCTCTGAGACAGTACATTTCTGTGATTTTAAGCCACCCAGTTTGTGGCACTTTGTCCCAGCAGCCACTAACACACCCAGAGAACCACAGCAGAACTGCCAGGGAAGGCAGGAGTTTTAAAGGCAAGAAAGTGACCGTATCTATCACGTTTACATTTTCAAAAGATCTATTTGTCTGCAGAATGAACACCACCAAGTTAGAGAGGGTCAGAGATGGAGTGGGAAAGTACTTTAGAAGGCTCTGGAAGCAGCTTGGGAGAACTGTGCATTCTGGGAGTGAGGCGCTGGCATGGACATTTGCTAAATGTATATTTTTGGCACTGATGAGGACTTGGCTGCACTGCCCAGGAGGGCTAGAAAGAGAAAGGTTACTTTTCAGTGACAATTCTCAAATTTGGGCACATGTATTTCTATTCCATACAAAGATGTATTCTGCAGACCCCAACTGGAGCCTGCAAGTGACATTAGAATTATTTTACCATTTCACACATTGAGTTGTTTTTCTCTGAATTATAATTGCTTTTTACATAACAAAAAACCTGCTCAAGAATGACAAAGCATAAAGAGTTACTTCTCACCTCCCTTAAGAATGTGGCAGAATAGGATGTGATGGGGGGCAAGGGGGAGGATCACTTGTTTCAATTACATACCATCAACCATCGAAGAGACAGTCAAAGCTAGAATCACTGGTCCCCTATCACCATAAGACAAACTATTCACGTTGTCATAAACGGACCAAAGCAATTCACTGGTTCTCATCCAACCACATAGATTATGGCAGAATCACGCTCTACTATGCACGCTCAACTCCTTCAGAAATCTACCTTTCTGGGTAATGTTCTAAACATTGTTGGTGGATAATATTTTTGAAATGTGAGGAGCTGGTCCCACTCCTGCAGCGGGACTTTCTGAAGCTGTCTCCTGCACCCCACTCTGTAAAAGACGCAGCCCTTGCCTCAGAAGAGGCATCATAGGGGAGAAAGCTGAACAAGGAGCCTTAGTCTTGGTTTGGGGACTTCATAAGGAGACATCCTAGCATTTAAAAAAATAGCTTCGTGGTGGCTCACGCCTGTAATCCCAACACTTTGGGAGGCCGAGGCGGGCAGATCACGAGCTCAGCAGATTGAGACCATCCTGGCCAACATGGTGAAACCCCGTCTCTACTAAAAATACAAAAATTAGCAGGGTGTTGTGGCGCGTACCTGTTATCCCAGCTACTCAGGAGGCTGAGGCGGGAGAATCACTTGAACCCAGGAGGCGGAGGTTGCAGTGAGCCACTGCACTCCAGCCTGGTGACAGAGCTAGGCTCTGTCTCAGAACAAACAAACAAACAAAGCAACAAACAAAAACAAACAAGAAACAGCTTCAGGAGAGCAAAACGCGATAGCCGGAGGTCCACTTCACCTCCATTTTCTCACCTCCCTTTACGTAGAAGATAAGGCTTCCTGGGTATTGAGAGGAATGTGAAAATTGTGGGGGGTGGGGGGCAGTGAAGGAGAAGCAGTCTTTGCCATTCAGACTCGGAGCGGAGAAGCAGCTCTGTGTCCTGACTTCCACTTGCTACTTGCAGGGCCTCCTTGGCCTCGAGTGGAGTCGGGGGTCGGAGGGAGCATAAACCAACCCTTCCCCTTGAGTTTGGCGATTCAAGAGCAGAAGAGGTCTCTGTTCCAATGCCTTGTAAAGAAACTCCACCTCCCCTAGGCCGCCATTCCTTCTTCCACACGCACCATGACGCAGGAGCAGAAGACTGGAGATGCTTGCGTGCTGCAACTGAGCAAGGGGCCTGAGACGTTTCTAGGAAAGCCCCAGCAGTTCCGGAATAGCCTTCAGTCGGTGAGCAGAAAGGGAGCTGCAGATCCCTGCGGAAGTCAGCGTGGATACAGGTGATAACTGAGAACCACGTATGACCCCCAGATTCTTGGATGTCTGTAAACACCCTGGAACTTAGGCACAATCTCAGGAAGCTGAATTAACCTACATGCCCTAACTTGACAGAGATTACGTTTCTGTCAACCAATGGCAAAGGTGATTATAATAAGAATTTAATTCAGTTGTGAAAAAAATAACAATAGGTTTCTTGCCATTTGGGCTAGAGACCTATATATTCACGTCTGCAGCACAAAGCCACTCTTCATGGTAGTATTTTCTGGGAGGAAGGTAGGGTCCTGTGTATTCCACAGCAAGATTTCCACGCCCCCTTCCAGAGGGAATGCACTTTAAGTGGTATCCCCAGGGGTGGGGACAGGACAAATCCAACCATTTACGATCTGCCTGGGTCCCGACTGTGTTGCTATTCAGCCACATGCCTTGTTCTGCAGATTACATTGGTTTGCAACATCCCTGAAACTGGGGTGCCTTGGGATTTGAATATTATGTTTCATTATTCCGTTTTCACCTTCTACTTGTACAACCTTTCATGCTTTTCCAACCCCTTGTCTTTTTTTTGTTCCTTCTGCAGCTCTTTGAGGTAGGAGGAAAAGATATCATGCTCCCTTTTGACAGATGAATGACTAAAGCACAGAAAGATCTGGTAACATGTCCAAAGTCTCAGAGCATACAAGTAATAATAATCATCTCAACCACGACAACAATAATTTGTAATAATAATAAAATAGTTACTATGTTTTAATTTCTTGCTACTAGTCTGCCAACAGCTCTTCACGCATTATCATACTTAGAGTGTCACCAACTCCTTTAAGTAGGTATTGTGTGTTGCATCATCCTGCAGACGAGGCGAATGAGGCGCAGTGAGGTTAAGTGCATTGACAAAGATCACATAAATGAAGAAGTGTCACAAAGCACAGGTAACTTATGTACCGATTTTCGAATTTAACCCTTAAAGAAGTTGCCATCCACTGTTTCATTTAATCCTCTAAACATCAAATAGGTCTATTAACATGTATTAAAGTCAGAGAGGCTTATTATTATAAGTGAGTAGAGTAAACCCTGAAGGCAAGCAGGAACACTTTAGAAGTCTTACCATCTGCTCCTCACACTGGGGATTTGATAGTATCATATCTTAAAGGCAGGATGAGTCAAAAGTCCAGATATCCACACATAGACTTTCTTTTTGGCCCTTTCATTAGCACAGCAATTATCAAACTTTTGTGGGCATAAAACTGACGAGAAAAGGCTTCACACAATTGTGTGTGTGTGTGTGTGTTTCTCTGTCTACGTCTTTTATTTATTTATTTAAAAAGTTATTTATTTTTTAGAGATGCTGTCTTGCTCTGTTGCCCAGGCTGGAGTGCATGGTGCACTCCATAGCTCACTGCAGGCTTGAACTCCTGCTCTTAAACTCCTGAAATCCTCTTGCCTCAGCCTCCCAAGTAGTGTGTGTGTGTCTTGGCTGATATTAAATTTCTGTCTTCTAATGGCATAGGGGCTCAAACGTTCTTAATTCAGTAACATAAAAAAAATAAAGAAGGCTTAAGCATAGAAGACATAAAATTTCAAAGATAATTCTGACTGTACATGACTTTTGCTTAATGGCCTGGCTTCAGAACCTAGCCCTCACATAAAATGTGGAGCTTACTTAGAAAGTAAGAGGTGTCCGGGTTCTGGCGGCAGGTGTGTGTGACTCCAAGGCCCTTGTTTATTACCATTTGGTCTTCTAAACCAGAGCCAGAGATCTCCTAATGTTTTGGGTCTTTTCCCCATTCGGATCCCATCAAGCACAACATTTAAAAATATGTATATAGATAAGTGGTGGTGTCATAAATACCTGTTGACTATCTTGCTGATTGACCACACTGATTTGATCTTATCTGAAATTTTTATTTTAAATGCCTCAAATAACCCTCAATCTTGCCAGCTGTTAAAAGCCAAGTGCCTGCCATGTAGATATAGTAATTTGCTGCATCGCTATTAAGAAATATAACTTGAGGCTTCCAGTTCTAATACACAGTAGCACAAACAGAATGTCAATTTCCCACCGAGTTCAGATGGGTCTATTTCAGACTACTATTCAATATATGTGCTGTTTGCTAACACTCACCTGTAAATTTGTGTTTATTCTTCCTTCCTTGAGCTCTAAGTGCAATCTATTTTAATTTTTCCCCTTTGCCAAATATTCGGTTGCTGACAAACACACATTCAAATTTCCTTGCATATTCATGCCTGTGATTTTGTGCTCAAGTTGAGTACCTGGGCAAATCAGTTTTGATTTTTGCATATGCATATGCATGCAAGCAAACACACATTTTCTATTCACTTACAATTCACTTAAGAAAAGATGAAAAATATGCTCCAAAATAACACAATGATGTCCACCACTCCTACTTAAGTAATTAGACTATACTGCCAGTTCTCATCTTCTGCAGGGGATGAGTGTGAAAGTAGTAAGTTTATTTACAGTCTGAAATCTACCCTTAAAAATCTTTAAATTGTCCATAATTTATATTATGAATCATTTTATGCATATGTTCCTTTGCATTAATGTTTATTTAAATGCATAATATCTATATAAATGTGCATATGTAATATATAGGCAAAGTAGAATTTTAGAGTATTTTACAGTACTGGAAATGTTTGGTTAAGTGCATATACAGGCATGCTTGGTTTAATGTGCTTCATTTTATTGTGCTTCAGAGGTATTTCAATTTGTAAAAAGCTTGAACTTTTTACAAATTGAAGGTTTGTGGCAAGCCTGCATCCAGTAAGTTTATTAGTACCATTTTTTCCAATAGCACATGCTCACTTCAAGTCTCTGTGCCAGACTTTGGTAATTCTCGCAATATTTCAAACTTTTTCATTATTGTTATATCTATTATGATGATCTGTGATCAGTGCTCTTTGATGTTACTGTTGTAATTGTTTCGGGGGTGCCAAACAAACTGGAAATAGGGAAGCTCTTTCCTCAGCCCTCCTTATTTCCTGAAATTAGGGAAATTGGGCCAATTAATAACCCTGCCATGGCTTCTAAGTATTCAAGTGAAAAGCAGAGGCACACATCTCTCACTTTAAATTAAAGGCTAGAAATGACTAAGCTGAGTTGGGAAGGCCATGTTGAAAGCTGAGACAGGCTGAAAGCTAGGCCTCTTGTGCCAACCAGGTAGCCAAGTTGTGAATGCCAACAAAGAGTTTTTGAATAAAATAAAAAGTTCTACTCTACTGAACACACAAATGATAGGAAAGTGAACCAGCCTTATTGCTGATATGGAGTACGTTTTAGTGGTCTGGATAGAAGATCAAACCAGCCACAACATTCCCTTAAGCCAAAGCCTAATCCAGAGCAAGGCCCTAACTCTCTTCAATTCTGTGAAGGCTGAGGGAGATGAGGAAGCTGCAGAGGAAAAGTTGAAAGGTAACAGAGGTTGGTTTATGAAGTTCAAGAAACACTAACACTTGTAAACACTAACACTTGTAAACACTTAAATGTGGTATATGTTGTAACTCACCAATATTCTGAAATTACATTGTCACAACTATTAGGATGGTTATACCTACTTTTATAATTTCCTTTCTGAATTTGCACTGCCTCAGAATTTTCTCTAGCTTACTGTTTTGTGCTCGAAAACCTCCCATATGACCGTTTATAGTTAATATCTCTTATATTTATACTGCACTTTACAATTTGCCAAGCAGTTTCCTGGTGATTGTCTTATTTTATCCTCATAATAGCCCTGTAGGGAAGGCACAATTAATTTCCATTTTACAGATGAGATGACAAAATCAGAGAGGTTAACTGGTGATGTGGCTTAGTTGAGATTAAAAACAGCTTTTAAGAGTTGAAGTTCCCACTCTTGTACCACAGCTGCTTCCTGGTAAGGTATAAAAACACATCTCTTCATAGAGATTTCTTGGAAGATATATGGCCTACTTTTTTTAAAGAAAGCCTTGCTAATTCTTGCTTAAGTGTTTTAACTTCAGCCCAGACTTACTTATTTACATAGGGAAGAAAAAATGATGCAATCTATAATTGGGAAAATGATATCAGAAAAGCTTGGGAATTAAACTTGAAGATTGTTAACCTTTATTTCAAGTGGGCCATGTCTCTGAGATTTGAGGTGGTTGGGTGAAGCACATTCGTTGATTTTAAAATGGAATTTGAGTTTAAATCATACATAAAAAACATGTCTCTTTCTAGTGCCAAATCCAAAGAATCAAGCCATTTGGATAACATCTCACTAAGAAGCCTGGAGTCTTTCTGGAACCTTGCTGGATGATGTTTTAAGTTGAGTTCACAAAAACAGAATAGGAAAAATAGATACAACCTGTCAGTAAAAGAAAGTTCCAAGACTGGTGACACATTAACATGAATAGTTGAGAAAGCTAGTTCAGCTCAACAACTCTACACAGGAAATCTCCCAGCATCTTCATAACCTGCTGCCTGGATTCACCACTGGGCAGATTAGAGAAGTCCAGACTAGATGTGCAATGTTGTTTTCATAATCTTATATCTTTTCCTTTTCATCTCTTATGATCCTCTGTTAGAATGACTCAGGGTGTCTTTTGACAAGCTACTGGGCAGAAGTTCAAATGCATTTGGGTTTAGCTCAGTGAATATATGTTGAGCCCCTACAATGGACTCTCTCTGACGCATGTGCTGGTGATCTGTGCATTGCTGATTCTTATTGAAAGAGGTGGTAGAATTCCTCTATGTGCTTAAAAGGAGAGTAAAGATTGAAATTCTCCAACCTTACCTCTATTTTCTTGTCATTTCTGGCGTTCAAAATATCTGAAGCTTCAAAAAACGTTCAGGGTTGCATTCAGTCATTCATTGATTAATTCATTCACAAATGTTCTTTGGGGTTCAACAGTGTCAATTTTGTACTTAGAACCAAGAAAGGAACCTTTAGTAAGATCTTGTACCTACCGGTAAGGTACTTATCATTGAATTGACAGACAGATAAGAAAACAATGAAGCAATATGTAATAAGTATGATAATGGATAGGAATATAGAATGACTAAGGAAATGAAACACCACCACCCAACCTAGACTGTGAAAACCAGGAAAAGGATTCATTGAGGAAGAGAGGCCTGCCCTGACTTCTGAGTGCTGCCAGGATATGGTGAAAAATCTGGCTGTTGATATCCACGGTTTTGATGGGGTTTTATTACTTTTAAAGGATACTGTTGTGTAGAAGGATATTTTAATATTTTTACTCACTTTTATGAAAAAACACTTTTAAACACTCTTCCTTCTATTCAGGATATTATTTAGTTAACCCATTTTTACTACGTAAGTATAATTTTGAGTTTTCTGAAGATGGAAGACAAATTGCTAAGCTCCATGCTTAAGCTCCAACTTTACATTTCTGTTTCTGAGTGATGGAAATTCTATCCAGTTTCAGCTATCTAACTTAGCATAACTTATTCTGTCAATACTTGTGTCCTGCCTAGCACCGTGTAGAAAACCAGTTTCATTAGGGAGGCAGGGAAATTGGGAAGACTCAACTTTTTAAGGAAATAACTTTGGATAATAGTTTGGATAGAATAAGCAACTATGGGGTTGTTTTAGGTATTAGTAGTGAAGTGTTTTTTATGTGAGTAGCAGGGAAACAGCTCCTGAGAAATCAGAGTTATTTGCCATAGACCTTTGCCATTTGTTGGAGATACATTCTACAGCCCTCAAAATCCCCTAAATTTATGAATCTACCAAAGCATATCTTTTCCTTCATAAAATTCAGTGAGGTAGATCTGAAAAATTTTGACTTCTTTAGTTTCTTAATGGCCGTATAAATGTAGAATCAAAAGTCATTTGTAAAAAGTGACCTGTTTTGTGTGTACTGCTTTACAACTACACTGGCAGGCAGAGACAATGTAGCCCAAGAGAGAAGCCGCAAATCTACATTTCGACATAGCTCTGGGCAGCTCACTAGTAAAATTACACACTTTTACATATAAATGCCACCCTGCACAATACAAACCCTCGGCCTTTGGCTGCCTCCTTGATAGACAAAACCATAATGCTACATCTGCAAATGTCATGAAGCTAGGGTATTTTTAAATCACTAATAGGCAAAACAAAAAATTTTGAACGACTGGGTATTCCAAAGGGATGAAGTGTTAGTGTTAAATTCTGGCAAATCTTCCTGAGTAAGAAGAAAGACAGTCGCTTTAGTTCTTCTTCTTAAGCATACATAAACAGAAAAAAGGACAACATTTCAAAGTCAATAGGAACGTGAAACAAAATAAGTGAGATAGAATTCTTCATTGTCCTCAAAATAAATCTCAAAGCTGTAGGAGGGTCTTTAACCAATTAATAACCTCTTACTAATCACACTAAAACATTTTCATTACATTATCCCTAAAACTGGATATGAATTCAGGAGAAATGGCAGCTCATGTCCTAGTCACAAACCATCACTGGTATATTTTGTCATCTGTAAGACTCTGTTATCGATACAGATTTTCATTTTTGTAAATCATCTTTCATTTGGGGAGGGACGGGGGTATTTATTTTTTCCTAGTCTTTTCTCGGAATGTTAACCTTGTTTAAGTTTTTCATTTCCTCTGCCCAAAGCACCATGTTGCAATAGAACTAAATGCATAGTAAAATGGCCATGTGAGAAAGGTTTATGCATTATGTTAAAACCTGCTCCCTTGATAAATGGAGTCATTAGGGTCTGGAATTCACTGTGTTCATCTACTTAGCTCAATCCAACAACATGCCTTAAAAGTCTCACTAATTTGTTCAAATGCTAATGAGCTGCACTACCAAACCTCATCTGTTGCAGAAGGATCTAATATTTTAGGAGTTTAATACATTTAAGAGTTATCCATGGACTCATTTTACCTGGCTTGGCAATTCAAGACTACTCACATTTACAGACAGGGAAAAAATGTTTAGTACATTTCCTTGTGTGGCAGCTTCTGAAAATACACTCAATGAGACTTAATAAAAATCACTAGCATGAGTTTATCGTCATCTTCTGTCAGGATAGGATGTGGAGAAAATGTCCACCAAAAGGTTTTGTATACAGATTTAAATGCATGTATATATTTCAAACAAACGAAATATATGTATTAATACCCAAGTCATCTCCAAGACAAAAGGCAGCCAGACTGGTCATGTTTCCCCAGGCCAGACCTGGATCTCTGCATCTGTCCTGAGCTTCTAGAAAGGGAAAATGACAAAGTAACTGCTTTCTTACAGACATTTGCCACCTGGTCAGGCCTATTTCCAAGAAAAGCAAAATAAACTAAAGAAACTCAGCCTTGTTCCACAAACCTTGGTTGAGCATCTGCTATGTACTTGGGGCTTTAGTCCATGGTGCTTTTTTTCTCCTACTGTCTTTTGAATGACACTGGCCCCACTTTTAGAACAACTAACGGGGTCAGCTTCATGGGTGTGTGGCCCGTGCTGTCAGACAGGGCCCCATGCTCAGAAGGGCCCATACATGGTTTAATGCCCTGCTGTTGCTGTCTTGAAATTCTGCAAGGGGCCCTGCCTTTTCATTTTGCATCAGGCCTCACAAACTGTAGCCTGTTATGATTGTGACTTCAGGTGAATTAGTTTGTTGACTAGGTAGATTTATCAAGGCTAACTTGGGGGAAATTGGCTGTGTTTTGACAGGCAGAATTCAAGTTGGATCCTTCCACTTTGCATTGTTTGAGGCCATCAAAGACAGAGGTCCCCAACTCTGGGGCTACAGACCCATACCAGTACGAGACTGTGGCCTGTTAGGAACCAGGCCACACAGCAGGTGGTGAGCGGTGGGCCAGAGAGTCTTATGGCCCGAGCTGAGCCTCCTGTCAGATCTGCAGTGACATTGGATTCTCTCAAGGGCCTAAACCCTATTGTGAACTGCACGTGTGAGGGATCTACGTTGTGCGATCCTCATGAGACTCTAACTTATGCTTGATCTGAGGTGGAACAGTTTCATCCTGAAATCATCCCCCTACCTCCAGTCCTAGAAAAATCGTCCTCCATGAAACTGGTTCCCGGAGCCCAAAAGGTTGGGGACCACCGATCTAAGACATTACTTCCTCCAGGGAGGGGACCTCCATGCCCTTTCCTGACCCCATTTCTGTCCATGTCCTCAAATCTTATTTAGCTTCTGCCCATCCTTCACAATGGACTTTCTCACAGTTTTCTATTACCACGTGCTTACCTGCACCTCACTCCCTGGACTCTGGACTCCCTGAGGACAAGAACCATGCGTGTTCATCACTGTTTCTGTGAGTGTCCAGGGCTGCTAAAGCAGTATGAATACAGTAGGTATTTGGGGCATGGTATATTAGGTATACCAGCTTCTCCTGGGCCTCTAAAAAATTCAAGGGACTTCAAATCCTTGGGGATATGACCAAATATGCATTGGTTGAGACATAAAAAGAAGTTATGATTATAATAAATAATAACAACATAAAAAGCAAATGAATTATTATGATTTCTTAAAAGAAAAAAAAACATACATAACCTGGCAAGTGGGTGCATTTTAACAGGCTTATTACTATATGGTATGGGAACTCCCAAAGGAAGGTTGTAGGGCGTCTGGGAAATTTCAGTGGTCTTGTTAGTGCCTGGCATAACTCCCAGCACAATGCCAGGGGCCTGGTACTGCAGATTCAAGTTCGGTCAAACACAAATTGAGTAAAAGAGGAAGATATAAATATGAGTAAAAATGGTGCATGCTTACAAGGTACTAGGTGTATTAGTCCATTTTCATACTGCTATGAAGAAATATCCAAGACTGGGTAATTTACAAAGAAAAAGAGGTTTAACAGACTCACAGTTCCACATGGCTGGGGAGGCCCCACAATCATGGTGGAAGGTGAAGGAGGAGCAAAGGCACATCTTACAGGAGAGCGGTGCAGGGGAACTGCCCTTTATGAAACCATCAGATCTCATGAGATTTATTCACTATCATGAGAACAGTACAGGAAAAACCTGCCCCAATGATTCAATGACCTCCCACCAGGTCCCTCCCACGACACGCGGGAATTATGGGAGCTACAATTCAGGATGAGATTTGGGTGGGGACACAGCCACACCATATCATTGAGAGAACAAAAATTACTAACAGACAAGAAGCCACTGGACAGATCCTAAGGTTCTGAATCATGTGCTAGAGATTCTAAGTCACAGAAGAGTTCAGGCACATGAGAGAGAGGAACAGACAAAAGGAGTTCTGAAGCATGTCCAGGTGCAGGGAAAGATGGGATTGGGCAGAGTGTGAGCATTTATTTCCAGCAGGTAAAATGCATGAGGTGACAAGAACACAGGATGGTAATCTGCAGCTGAGTGTGTGCTGGGGTTTGTGTAGTTGGTATGGAGGAATATGACGCAATTAAGCAGAGAAAAACAAAGAACCCTGTCCTTAGGTGAGTTGAGGCTTTAGAAAAAGAAACTCATTTATTTAACTAGATAGGGAGGAACCAAAATGTTTGCTAACTTAGAAGTCAGTTGAACCTGTAGTCTTTCTTTACTTGACAAATAAGAGTTAGCCCTTGATAACGACAACGGTATTGGGCGAAATGATACACAGAATCAATAGACTGCGATGTTTTCCAGTGGTTTCCCATCTTGGCTTTTCCTCATCCAGTTCAAGGGTCTGGTACTTAGGCATCACCTGTTTCAGTGTATATAGTTGGTCCAGTTTGCACAACCAGAAACAATAAAAAACTTGGCCTGATATTCCCTGTAGTACTGAAAAGCAGCAGGATCCTTAGGACCCACCTGCACAGAAGGACTTTAGGAGCCCTCTCTGCTATAAGAAAAAAGGCTGAAGCATGGAATTTATTAAGTTCACGCAACCAAAATATATTGTGTACTTACTGTGTTCTAGGTATAGATAAAATAACTCTTGAGGAGCTCAGATTCTAAGAGTAGAATTCAGAAACAAACAAGCAAACAAGTAAAAAATAAGTAATCTCAGATAAGCATTACTGTGAAGAAAATAAAATAGCAATGGAAAAGTCTTAGGTTGGCAAACATTTTCCATCAAGGGCCAGATAGTAAATAGTTTGGGACTCACAGGTCACACTGTCTCTGTTGCAACTGCTCAAGTCTCCTGGGGTAGCACAAAAGCAGCCATGGACAGGAGGTAAACAAATAAATGTAGCTGAGTGCCAATAAAACTTTATTTACAAAGCCAGACTGCAGGCTGGATTCAAACTGTGAGCCATAGTTTATCTGCCCCTGGGATAGAGAGCTGGGAGTTGGTGAATTTAGCTAAGATCTTCTGGAAAGATTTTTTTAAAGAGGTAACATGTCAGTTGAGACCTCAGTGATAAGAAGGGTCCAGCCATGGAAATATCAACTGAAAAAAATGTTTGAGAAGTGGAGAAAACTGATGCAAATGTTCCAACGAGAGGAGGAGTAAAAATGGGAATGGATTCATTACCTCTGGGTACTATAAATCACTCAAAGTTCATGCAAAAAAATTATAACTAACAGCAGGATTACAATAACATGTCCATAAATATAAAATCCCACACCACTTTTTGAAACTTTTCTCTTAATAAGTATCTGAAGCCTTGTCTGAATTATTGCAAATTTTAGTGAATTGTTTTCAAAATCCTGGCACAGTGAGATAATTTCACATCCAGTCCTGTCTCCTAACTCTGAACCTGGATGTGGACTACTTTGGACTCATTTAATCAAGAGCTAAGCTTGAGGGAAACCCAAATGTACTTAAAATGCACACTTAACACTCAAGAAATGCTCAACGAATGATTATAAGAAAACCAGGTTGATGATTTCAATATAAAACCTGTGGAAGACAATGGTGTGGATAGAGGGTTAATTATTTTTAGACCTGTTCATTTGCTTTTTTTGTCATCAATAGCAAGGGTTGAATTTAGCCTGAGGATAAAAACTGACAGCCCACAGATCAAGTTCAGCCTTCAGATTAGTGTTGTTCGGTTAGTTATCAACATTTTGAAATCAGAAGATTTGACATATAAATCTGGATTTCTGGCTTCCCTTGAGAGAACTGACCACACTGAGCCCTTCAATTCTCACCTGACAGTAATTGTCAGGAACTAAGCAAAAACACCTCCTTTAAATGAGCATGAGCATTCCACTTTGCCATAGTGTCTATCTGACCTGCTGGTTTTGTGGATCCTGAAGTTTTAAAAGCTGTATAGTGCCCATAGCCCATGAATACAAAATTCCTGGGGTGACTCCAATGCCATCTAACACCCTAACATAAGGGAGAAAAAAAGGAGGATGTCAAAAAGTGACAGCCCTATTAATGAATTAAAGTTAAACATCTTACTTTTGCAAATTTTATGAAAACATACAGTCTGGCACACTAGAACCCCTCCTAGGGCGGCAAAGACTCAATCTACATCTCTTGCTGTTGGCTTGCTACTTGCCTGGACTCTGTGGGCATGTGAGGTTTCAGATGTTTCAATGGAAGGATTTCTAAGTTCTCTTTGGGCTCTGACATTTTAAAGTTCTGCGGATTTGCTTTTGTTCACACTGTGTAATATTTTCTTAAAAGATTCATAGCACAAGCTACCTTCCCTTACTTTAGTCTTAGAATAATCTGCTAAATGAGCTTGACAATGGATAGGATGTGTGGATTTCTTTCAGTTGTTTGAGAGCAATCTAACACATCGAAGCTGCCAAGCATCAATTGAAAACTGAAAAATTCAGCCATTATCCTAAACAAGTGACAGGCAAATTCTTACACCATGCTGATGATCAAACAAATGACAAGTTTCTCTTTCTTTGTAACAAAGTTGGACCGTGGCTGCATCTGTGTGAAATATGAGTGAGAAGGGAGAAGTTTGTCAGGCTGCTCAAATCATGAGATAATTGCCCACATAGCTTTTGTGTGGGCCACCTTGTGGTACATCGTTCCTCGATTCGCTCCGGATCTGACTTCGATGTCTTTTCAATTCCAGAGCAAGGAAATATGTTGTCCAAACCCCTAAGGATCTTTTAATCTGGCACTCAATAAAATCAAAATGCTATTATTGGATACGTGGTCAAGAACTGTGATACAGAAAACACTATGAGTTCAGTTAGGGCGCAGTCACTAATTAGACAGGGTAGCCCCTTCCTCTCATGGCAATGGACAACATGGGACAAATGCAGTGGCTTTCACAGATACTGGAGTGATAAACTTGCCACTAACACTGAAATTCATAAAAGCCTGAGCAGACTTTTACTTTGGCATGGATCCCTTGCATTGAGGCATAATTTCTACATTTGCAGATAGTTCAAAAATGTTTTATGTATGCGCTATTTCCAAAGAGTCTTTTAAAATTTTCTTTCTCATAGTATAATCGGTTGTTATCCCTCCTATTGATTTCCCTAAAGAGCACAAGTCTCTTCCATTAGATATCGAGAAAAATATATATATATATATATACACACACATATACATACATATATAGCTTTTAAGACAAATGGAAGCAGTTTTCTTTTTCTTCCTTTTTTATTTGGAGGGAATAAGATGGTGGGGGAATGAATCCATTGTCTGCTACCTAGACCGTTCTCTTGGCTACCTTTTCACAGAGGACCTTGTTTGTCCCTGAAACCTAAGCACATTTGGTAGAGAAAAGGGAAATTCTGAATGTTATGAGGCTACAGATATGCAGTCATTGGCAAGGAACAAAAGTAATGGGTATAGCAGAAACAACCCAAATGTCCATCAACAAATGAACAAATGAATGAATAAATAAAGTGTGGCATATCCATTTCATGAAATATTATTTGGTAATAAAATTGAATGAAGTGCTGATACAACATGAACGAATCTTGAAAGTATTATGCTAAGTGGAAGAAGCCAGACACAAATGATCACATAGCGTAGAACTCCGTGTATATGAAAGGCCCCAAACAGGTCAATCTATAGAGACAGAAAGTCTCTCTACCAGTACCGGAGGCTGCCTAGGGCTCAGGGAAGGGAGGAAGGAGGTGTGAATGCTAAAGGATATGAAGTTTCTTTTTGGGGTGATGAAGATGTTCTAAATTAGATACCGCGACGACGGTTGCACAGCTACGTGAACATGCGAAACACTGTTGAATTTTATACTTTAAGAAGTGAATTTTATGGTATATGAATTGTATCACAATAGAGCTGTCTTAAGAAATGCAATCTAACAGGCATAATCCCACTTTTGGGTATGTATCCAAAATCAATCAAAGCAAGGTCTCTAAGAGATATTTGTACAGCCATATATGCTTGTATACTGTATTTGTAGTAGCATTATTCGTAATAGCCAAGAGGTGGAAGTAACCCATGTGTCCATCAACAGATGAATGACTAAACGAAATGTAGTATATGCATACACAGGAATAATACTCAGCCTTAAAGAAGAAAAAAATTCTGATACATGTTATCACAGAACCTTGAAGATGTTATGCTAAGTCAGCAGTACCCTAACCCTTTTAGGCCCCAGGGACTGGTTTCGTGGAAGACAATTTTTCCAAGGACTGGTGGCTCAGGGGAGGAAGGAGGTTTGGGATGAAACTGTTCCACCTTAGATCATCAGGCATTCCATCCTCATAAGGAGCACATAACCTAGATCCCTCACACGCACAGTTCACAATAGGGTTCGTACTTCTATGAGAATCTAATGCCGCACTTGCTGGTCCTCCACTCACTTCCTGCTGTGGAGCCTGGCTCCTAATGGGCAAAGGACTAGTAGCGACCCGCAGCTCAGGGGTTGAGGACCCCTGTGCTAAGTGAAATAAGCCAGTCACAAAAAGACAACTGTGGCGTGATTCTACGTACATGAGGTACCTAAAATAGTCAAGTTCTTAGAAACAGGAAATAAAATAGTGGTTGCCAGGATCTGGGGAGTAGGAGAGAATGGGGAGTTGTCATTTGATGGGTATAGAGCTTTAGTTTTGCAAGATGAAAAAGTTCTGGAGACTGGTGGTACAACCATGCAAATATACATGACACTTCTAAACTGTATACTTAACAATGTTCCAGATGATAAATTGCAATGTTATGTGTATCTTAATACACTTAAAAATGTTTAATTTTGTTCCAAAAGGTAATGGGCATATTATCTATGTGAAGCAACAGCTGCCTCGGTTTTCACATCCATCCACAATTGTTTCTTTCTCCTGCAAAGGTCCGTTCTATGGGTTCGCACCTTTCTTTTGATTAAAATCAAAAATTTGTCCTGCAACTGGACCCCATTTTAGAAGCAACATAAACGGAGACTCGTGTGAGAACTTGGCAGGGCTTGTGTGTGAGTCCAGCCTTGTGCAGTCGGAGCCCATATTCTTGATATTTTCCACTTCTGTGGCTCTTTTCCCAATAATTTGAAATGATTTTTGCCAGGTGGCAAGGCCTGTAAGTAACTCAGACAAGCCAATATGTTCCAGAAAATATTATGGAATAAATCAATAAAACTACTTGATATCTTGATGTTTTCTTTAGTTCTCTACAGCAAAAGAGCTTGAATACTTACAGGGCTCCAGTGCAAATCCACCTGAATTGTGTGTGTGTGTGTGTGTGTGTGTGTGTGTGTGTGTGCGTGCGCCACAGAGTAATATGATAAGAATATTTCTTTAGATTTGGTACCCACTCAAAAGTCATTTTTACCAAAATACATTCATTCCTCTGAATACAAGTGGTACAATATCTTTTTTTTGAGACACAGTCTTGCTCCCGTCACCCAGGCTGGAGTGCAGTGGCAAAATCTCAGCTCACTGCAACCTCCACTTCCTGGGTTCAAGCAGGTCTTCTGCCTCAGCCTCCCAAGTAGCTGGGATTACAGGCGCCAGCCACCACACCCTGCTAATTTTTGTATTTTTAGTGGAGACGGAGTTTCACCATGTTGGCCAGGCTAGTTTCAAACTCCTGACCTCAGGTAATCTGCTCACCTCAGCCTCCCAAAGTGTTGGGATTACAGGAGTCAGCCACCATGCCCAGCTACAATATGCTTCTTGAATAAGGAGTTCTGTTAGGAAATACTAAATGCTCTAGTTCCCACTTGGAGATCTGCAATGTGTATTAATCTATTGAAAGCTCTAAAGAGTTCTAGAGTAAAGATAGTAAATATTGTTTATCTATTTTGCCAGAATCAACAGACTGTTTTATCTTCAGGTGGCTTCTACCAACATCCTATGTATTCTGGAACATGTTGATACACGCAGCTCCCAAATAGTTATCTCCTTTCTGCAAATACTCTGAGGTTTACACACAGCACACCAAGAACTACCATTTAGAGGGAGGTGGTTGGATCTCCTATAAAGATCCTTTGATCTTAACACTTACTACCTTCAGCTCTTTATTCAGTTGCTTTATCAAAGACCCTTCCTAGACAACCCCTTTTAAATAGCAACCAACTCAACTCAACTTTCTCCATCGTCTGCTTCATCAGTCTTCCTATGACACGTCTCTGCTGACATTACACAGCTCCCTACGAATGTCTCTCCATCTAGACTCACAGCCCCGTGCGGGCAAGACATTCTTTGATTCATCTCTGAATCAGGAGCTGAGTCGTTATTGAGTCAATCAACACAATCAAGAGAAAACTTGGAAAATGGGGCAAATTATTAGTCATAATTTGTATCTAATGTATCAGACTAAGGTATCAGATGCTTTATTTGTGAAGACACTAACCTCATCATTGAAAAGGGAAGGTATCTTTCTTTGCAGACTTAACTCTGCTCTTTGGTTAGCAACAGTGAGAGTAAATCGGCAGCGGTAGTAAGAACAACTAAATATACCAATCACAAAACACTTTTTAAGTAGCCACTATATATAAACATTCATATATATACATACATATATATATATACATATATATGTGTATATATGTACATATATATGTGTATATATATATACACATATATATATGTGTATATATATATATATATATATACACACATATACATTTTTTTTTTTGAGATTGAGTCTCACTTTGTTGCCCAGGCTAGAGTGCAGTGGCACAATCTCAGCTCACTGCAACGTCCGCCTCCAGGTTCAAGCAATTCTCTTGCCTCAGCCTCCGGAGTAGCTGGGATTACAGGCATGCACCACCAAGCCAGGCCAATTTTTGTATTTTTAGTAGAGACAGGGTTTCACCGTGTTGGCCAGGCTAGTCTCGAGCTCCTGACCTCAAGAGATCCACCTGCCTTGGCTTCCCAAAGTGCTGAGATTACAGGCGTGAGCCACTGCCCAGCCTAAAGTACCTACTATTGATTCAAATGCTGCTTTTTTTCCCCTTAGGGCACTGTGCTGTGTGCTTCATTCACCATTTCTTTCTCCCTCCTTCCCCACCCCACCTCCCTTCGTCTCTCCTTTCCTTCCTTGTCTACTCTGAGAGGTGTTTCAGCAGTTTCAGTGTACAATCCCAAGCTGAATCCTAAGAATTCAAAGACATATATGACACAAGCGCTTCCTTTATGGAGGGCACTACCTAATGGTGAAGACAGTAAAACATAAAATGTCTGAAAAATCAAATTAAAGATAAACTAAGACTCCCTACGTCACTGGGGATGGGATGTGCCTCAGCTTGGGAAAAGTAAAGAGGCAATCATGAATGGTTCCTGGAGGAGGTGACCTCTCAGTTGAGTTTTAGGTTGAATATATGTTAACCATGAAGACGGGAGGGGTGGGGGCAGGAATTCGTACTGGAAGAGCACCGTGAATAGGAGCTGGGGGCCCAGTCAGAACATGTTGCATGAGGGAAACTAGAAGGAATCTGACATTGTCAGAACACAAAATTGGAGTCATGGAATGGTGAGAAAAGAGGCTAGAGAAGGGATTAGGGGCCCCTCTTTGGTCCTCATAGCTGCTTTGTTAGCTCAGTACCAATAGCCGATGTTCATCCAAGCCAGCTTTCCTTTCCTGCTTACAAAGGGCCTGACGCCCTTTGTAAGGGCTTCTGGGCATTTTACAAACACGATGTCAATGAATACTCCCAACAACCTCATGAAATAGATATGATTATTCTGTCCATTTCATAGGCATGAAGACTGAGTTTCAGACAGTTTCGGTAGAATAAAGAATGAATGAGAGAAATCCTGCCCTGGTTTACTGGCCAGCTGGGTGAATCTCTGACCTATTTTATTTTTATTTTAAAAATGTGCAGAGTTTGTTGTTATTGAAACCTGTGACGCAGGGCGTGTTGCACAGAACACTGGCAAGCCCAGTGGGTGGCTGGAGGTGTGTAGTGAGCAGCTATTAGAACCCCCCACTCACAAAATCCCATACAAAAGGGGAAAAAAGAAAAGCTTTTCTGCACTGAGTGAACTAGAAGCCATTTGCTGACTGTTTCCAAAGAGCCTGACTTGAGTTCTCACTTTGCAGACTGATGGTGATGAGCTGCTGGTGGGGCTCTCTATGGAGAGGGTCTGAGGTCATCCGCCGGAAACTTTCCTGCTGCCCACGCCCGGCAAATCAAAGAGCTGGTGGTAGGTGTTGAAGGGAGAGGGAGCTTTTCCATTCCACCCTTGATCAGGAGGAGGGTAATGGCTCTGATGATGGATTGCACGGAACGTGGATGCTAAAGAAAGACAAGCGAAGGGGAGATGGAAAGTGGATTGCCAAGTCCTGGGCAAAAGATGAGAGGGGAATGCCTTCCCAGACAGAGCAGGAAAACAATTATTCGTGATTTTGAAGAAAAGCAGTTCCGGCTAAGAAGTTATTATTTTGCTCTCTCTCTCTCTCTCTCCTCCCCTTCTTTTAAAAATGTAAGTAGGTGGAGGAATTTGTAACTTATGAAAACAAAGATCAAAGAACAACGGGAAAGGCCAGAAGTCAGAATGGGTCCTGGGCTGTCTTTGATCGGCTCTACCCTGGGGCTCTGGAGTCCATGTTGTGACACTGTGGCTCTCAGTTCCTCCTTTGCACAAGATGGAGAATGATGCAGAATGTTGAGCGGAGAGGAAGGTCAGCGCCAGCTGTATTCAAGCACAGAGTACCACAAAAGGCGCTGGGGGCAGACAGGCCTGAGATGGGATCGCCACTCAGCCACTTACGAACCTGTTTACTAACTTGGCCACATCCCGTCTCCCCTTCTGACCTCCGTTTCCACTGCCAATTAAAAGTGCGACGGTGTCTACCTTGCAGGGCTGTTTTCAGAGTCAGCGAAAATCTATGTATGTTTAGCACCTAACACCACATCCATGCATGGGGTATGCACTCCATGCATGGAACCTATTTTGATGTTGAAGGCAGCAGTAGTTTTAACACACAGGAATTTTATTATAAGGACACTCTCTTATCACATCCTCAGTAAAGAATGGTTTTTTTTTGCTCCAAAATGGCCCGTGACTGTATTTTGCTTGGTTGTCATAGTGTTTTTCTTAAGTCTGAATTACTTGTTGTAGCTTTGTTTCTTTTTTCTTTCACTCATAGATCTCCTGTTTCTTGGTATTTGACCACTCAGAATAGAGACTACATTTCCCAGCCTCTGTCAGATAGATACAGCTTTGTGGCAATGCACTAGACACTGAGCTGTCAGTGGAGGTAATATTTGTGATTTCCAGGTTATATCTTTAAAAAGAGGGGCCTGCCTTCCACTGCTTTTCCTTTCTTGCTGGCTGGAATGTGCATATAATGGTAGAATCCAGGGCAGCCATCTTGGACCATCAGAAGGAAGCCTTGTGTTACGGTGGCAGAGCAACCAAAGAGAAGGTACTTGGGATCCCAACACCAAGAAGTGTCCTGCTAGCTCTCAACCACTTACCGAGACTTTTATATCAGACCTTTATATAAGACAGAAACAAGCTTCTATTATACCTTAATAAAGTCATGTTATCTTTCAGGATATGAAGAGTTAGAGTCTGTTTTACAGAAGCCAAACCGGCATTGTTTAATGTTAACATTTAAAAATCAGGAGGTTTCAAATAAATATTATGCTTTTAAAATTTATCTTGAAAAATCAGAAGCAGCTGCAACACTGGAGCCATGTTTCCTTGTGTTCACATGTGTCTTCATATGAGGCATGCAGGATCCCTTACGCCTCTGTCTCTTTCCAGCACCTTCATTCAAACATGAATAGCCTTGAGACTCTGCCCTCTCCTTAGAGCGATACACAGGGATGGTTAATAAGAAAGCCACAGTGAAGTTACCCTGTTCATAACATGCATTAAGGGCTCATGAGCCAGACCTTTTGTGAAGTACACAGAATGCATCCTGTTAGTTCCACCTTCCCAACACCACAGGTTAGTATTAGCATCCCCACTTTGTAGACAGGTAACAGAAGTTTTGAGGGGGCACAGACTTGTTTAAGGTCATGGGGCTGAACGTCCAAGGCTGTCTGATTCCTGAACTTGTTCAAGCCTATACCTACTCTACTGCTTGGGCTGAGTTCCCAGGGTTTTGTTTTGTTTTGTTTTTTTTAATCAAATACTAACTCATTTGCAGAAATCTAAATGAATTTATGAAGAGGATTTCCTGAATAATTAACAGAGTTTGCTCCCTCTGCATTCACCGCAGACTTCTAGCAACTGTTTTCATTGTCTCGTTATTGGTGAATATTTTAGCTTAGGGTGATAATATCTCTGTCATCACACAGCATTGCTCAAGGCGAGGCAGCCTGCAGGGCAAGATAAAAATACAAATCCTGGCATTCAGCATGGGCTGGGGGTCCTTTTGCTAGCCACCATCGAGTGCCCTGGATGAAAAGACCAGTCCAGATGATGGCTGATGTTGGCGGCGGAGGTCACGTGGCTGTGGAGGGTTCTAGAACATCATTTCCTGGGAAGATTAATCAACAGATATGCACAGTTGGCTCACATCAGTGTTCTTTGGATGGGTTCAAGGCTAGAGCTTGCGGTTAAGGCTGTTCCCATGCTTGTCTCATAGTTTGGCTTCGTGTCTCCCCTCTTGCCTGCAGCCCCCTTGACAGATACACTGTCCAGACCCACTCTAAAGCACACATCGGGAATGCTTTGAAAGCTCAAGAAGGAATCTGGGGGCCCTCCTTGGATCTTGGAGTCACAGAATGTCAGAATTGGAAAGGACCTCAGAAAGCTTCTGAGCCGACCCTTTTGATTTATAAGACAGGAAACAGATACAGAGAAAGGAGCAGAGCTGGTCAATATCTGTCCATCAACAGCACTTACTGTATGACCCCATTTTTGTGTGTGTAAGTTAAAGGTACATGCAGAGTGGCACTTTGGAAAGATGACGATGATGGAACAGTTGTGTTGTCTCTGTCCTAGGCACTCATTTAAGTGCTTTATATGGATTTTCTCTTATGCCTCACCACATCCCTCCGGGATTACTACCCATAGGTAGAGAAGCTGAGGTGCAGAGAGTGAAATCCACTCAGCCATAAGGGTGGTTCCCAGATTCGAAGCCAGGTTATCTGACTCCATGGGTGAACTGTTACCACTGGATTAGACTTTAATTCAAAAGTTGCCAATCCAAATTCCTACAGGGACAAAGCTGATTCCTTAGGTGAATGAATCAGGATAGGTAGAGCCTGGGAACTGAGGGGGAAATGTCTCGTCTAAACGGAGTCACTATTCGTGAGTGCCCCCTTTCCTACACCATGCATATTGTCCCAAGGTCCTGTGATTTCTCAAAAGGATCCAGGAATTC
This sequence comes from Homo sapiens, assembly GCF_000001405.40. NCBI lineage: Eukaryota > Metazoa > Chordata > Mammalia > Primates > Hominidae > Homo > Homo sapiens. Next base: position 53,045,430 of record NC_000020.11, on the reverse strand, counting down.
AGATGTGCACATGATGTTTACACCAACTACCAGTGGACTGTGGAAATCACTAGAACCATTTGCAAATATCCTGGGTCTCTTCTCCTTTTGGATTCTCATGTGTATTTTCTGGCTGCACTTCCCCACCCTTTTGAAATCACGGAAGGTTGAGAGAAATGTGACCAGAAGTGAGGACGTCACTGTGAGAGTCAGCGTATGACCCGCTGTACTCTTCCCTTCTCACAGGGGCAGGCCATGCTGGTGTCAGATGGTGGCTGCTCTAGTCATCTGGAGTCCCAGAAGAAGCCCTCAGTTGACCCACTGTGGGCATGGAGTGTGAGTGGTAAATGCATCTTTGTTGTTTTAAGCTATTGAGATTTGGGGATTTTTCTTTGTCACCACATAACTTATCTCATCCTGACAAATATGAGAATTAATTTTTTAAAAATAAAGGGCTGGGTGCAGTGGCTTGCACCTGTAATCCCAGCACTCTGGGAGGATCACTCGAGGCCAGGAGTTCAAGATCAGCCTGGGCAAAAAAGTGAGACCCCGTTTCTACAAAAATTTTCAAAAAATTAGCCGGGCATGGTGGTGTGCACCTGTAGTCCCAGCTACTCAGGAGGCTGAGGTAGGAGGATCCCGTGAACCCAGGAGTTCAGGGCTGCAGCGAGCTGTGATTGCATCACTGTACTCCAGCCTGGCCAACACAGTGAGACCCCATGTCTAAAAACAAACAAAGAAAGAAAGCACCCCAAAACATACAAGCAGCACTGTCTGCATCCTTAAAGGTTGGGGAACTGGGGCTGGGGTCCAAGAACTCTGTGACTTACACTTCAGAGTTGGTGAAGGGGGTGCTTAACACAGGCCACTTCAAGTCTTGGTCCTTGGCTCAGCAACTTCCTTCTGTCCTGGAGCCACTGACACGCTGATGGCCGTAGCTAGTGTCTTGCTAAGTGAGAGCTACTGGTGTCACAAGGACCATGACAGATTTTACAGCACACTTTTCCTCCTCATTAGAAACTTCACTCGCAGCTCACTCCACACCAGTCACACTCAGTATCATCTTGCACTCAGAATGTTGATGTGTCAAAACCCAACACACCATGGCTACGCTACAGAGCGGAATATGACAGAAGATATGTGTCACAGGTTGTGCATCTCTAATCTGAAAACCTGAAATCCAAGACTCCAAAATCTGAAACGTTGAGAGCTGATATGACGTTCAGAGGAAAGGCTCGTTGGAGCATCACAAATGTCAAATATGTGAATTAGGGATGCTCTTTGCACGTATTCCAAAATCTGAAACAATCCAAAATCAGAAATACTTCTGTTCCTAAGCATTTCAAACAAGGGATACTCACCCTGTATCTCCAAACTGAAATGTGAATGCCCGGTGAGCAGGAAGTATTTCTGTTCGGAGGACAAAATGATGGAGTACATACCCTCTCATAGAGAATGAAGGATTACTTAGGAAACTTACCTCTTATCCCAATTAAAGAACTGAAAATATAGCTCAGTGCTTTTTCTTTGAGTCTCCAGCGAAGTACAGATGTTTGAGATTAAGCAATTTAATATTTCCAGAAACTATTAAATTTGTTTACCAAGGTTCTAGCTGGCATTGGCTGTCCATGAAAACAATGAGCTTCCCCAGGTATCAGTTTTTTTTTTTAATCTGTGAGATGGGACCTATATTATAAGATTGCCTATCTTTGAGACTGAAAGATAAATATATACAAATCCTATATTCGAATGAAGAAATTGTTCTGGTAATGGAAGAAAAAGTATATTATGTCCACATGGCCAAAGTATTAAAGTTGTGACTTTGATTTGATCTATGAAGGCAGCAGCAGCAATAATTCCACTCAAGTATCAGAATGGAGACTATGTTTCAGAGATTTTTTTTTTAAGTGCAAGATTAATGAATGCTTATTATAATAAACTCAGACACTTAGGGTTACAAGCAGAGTTTCTCAATCTTGGTGCTATTGGCATTTTGGGCAGGATGATCCTACATTGTGAGGGCTGTTCTGTGTAATTGATAATATTTATCAGTATTCCTGGTCTCTACCTAATAGATGCCAGTAGCAAACCCCACTCCCTGAGTTGTGACAACAAAAACGGGGACATTTGGTAATGTCCCCTGAGAGGCAAAACCACCTCCTGTTGAGAACAGTATAAATAAGGCATATAAAGTATAACTGAACATCCCTTCCCCAGAATAAAAACTTCCCTGATGTAACCACTGTTACCAGTTTCATTTATATTTTTCCAGCAATTTTTTTATGCACAATCAAATTTACATTCACCTTTATCCCGTCTCCATGCAGACATAGATGCTAACTTTTTTCCCCTAAAACTGGAATTATGCTTTCTTTGCCAACCTAAAAAAATTAAAATATTTCTTATTTACCTGTCCACATGCCTGTATTTAGAGGTTCTGCCTACTTTAAGAAACAGTGACACTGCACTCCACTGGAATCATGCACTCTAATTTATTTAACTGACTTTTTAGTGATGGACATTTAAGTATTTCCAGCTTTCCCTACTATAAACAATACTGCATTGAATATTTTTTATATTTACATCCTTGCACATTTGTGCCAGCATTTCTAGTGGAATTGCTGGATCGAAACATATGCACTTATAACAATGATAGATTTCCGCAAATTTTCCACTAAATCCCCAATAGATGTTTTAGCCTCCTTGGTAGCCTTGGAAGCTTGGAATTCCAGTGTTTTTTTTTTTTTTTTCTTCTCTACTTCCATAATAGTGTAGTAGTTAATAGCATGGATAAATGTCAGTTGTTCTGAGGCTGAGTAACTGACTTTCACTTTCTGAAGTGAAAGAACTCGAAATTTGAGTCCCAATTCCATCATTCCCTATGATCTTCATGTTTCATTAGGCAAATTGTTTAAACTCACTTTCCTCATCCATAATAACAATAATAGTACTGCCTCTTTCAAAGCATTGTCAGAATTTATTGAGATTATATATAATAATAGCAGTGTGTGTATATATACGAATGTATATGCCTAGCACACTGAAGTGATTTCTCACAGTTAATAATAAAAATCAAGGGAGTAGGAGGTTCAGAAAAAGTAACGCCAAAATGTGTATACAATCTAACAATTAAAGAACATTGTGTTGCCAGATGATTCAGTACCCTCTAAAAAGATGAACTTCAGATGATCCTAAAATGAACATGATAGAAGGAAAAATATTTTCCCTCACCAAGGAGATTGTAATTAATGTTTGAATCACTCGATGCTTATGAATCCAGCAGAGGGATAAATACCTATATTTATATACATACACACAGAAGATATTAATATATATGCTTTTGAAACATGCCCCCACACATTTATATAAGAGAATGTCATGGGCATATGTTTTTTTTTTCCCACATTTGGGTAATATGCTGCAATGTAGGAGAGGCTTATTTCCTTCCAGGAAAATCTCAGAATGCTCCTCTCTGTTCTTGCTGGGAGGAACTTGCCACCATAATCAGATTTCCTGGAAAACAGACTTCCAATTCACCTGAAATGCTTCAAAGAAGTTAGAAGAAGGAATGAGCTCATGCCAGTAGGGCTGCTTTAGGCAGTGGGTATCAAGGATCATCTCGATCCTGTTTTAACACTTTTCTTTCAAGTTTCAGGAGACTCGTGGCATGGATTTTGCAGAAAGGCGAATCTGTATTCAAATGCTGGCTCTGCCACTTACCAGCTGCATACTTTTGGCCAGCTTAACTTCTCTGGGCCTCACCTTCTTCATCTGCAGTGTGGGATAATTACTATGCCACAGGGTTCTCCGAGGATTAACTAAAAGAGTGAGCGTGACTTGGCATCTGTTATATTAGCCTATCCAGTATCTGGTAATTTGACCCTAGTCTTCCTTGAGAAACTGTCCCCTTTATGTCGTTGGTCCTGGAGGGTCACATGGGCTGACTCCTAGGCTGGCTCCAGGGCTGAATGGGTGACCCAGAACTGGCGGATCAGAGAACTGCATTCCCTGGGCAAAGCAACAGGCTTAGGACTGGGCATGGAGACTCAATTCCCAGATGTCTACTAGAAATGTTAAAAAGTAAATCTGGGCTTATTGAGATATTAGGATGTAATCTGATTTTGGCATCTTGCTAGGTCCTGAGAATAGAAGTTTCCAGAAGAAAGCAGAGATGGAAAGAATAAGACCTAATTCTGATGAGTCATTTGAGCCCTTATGTCCAACTTGGCAACGCCAAGGCCTCCCCGGCCTTTTGGAGACATGGGCCATAAATTAATCTTCTTGATTTAAACCCACTGGGTTTCCAATCACTCGAAACTTAGAGTCCTCACTAATAAAATATGCAAAAGGTTCAGTCCACTGTCTGGTAATTAGTGCACAAGGAGCCGGGTGGGCACTTAGGAGACGGCTCAGCTTCCTGCAGAGACTAACCAGTTTCGTTTCCCCTTGGCACCTGAGAAGAGAGGGCTGACTGACAATGCCAGGAGATCAGGTTCATGGCACGGTAAAGAAAGCAGCTGCTGTGTGAATAGGAACAACAGGAACCCTGAGCCCAATTTACTCATACTTGGCACCGTGCCAGGCTGTGGGGTGTCAAACTCGGGGAGGGAGCAAATGCTGCGCCTAAGGAAGGCTGAGCTGATGCAACCTGGGCCCCACTGTGGGATCAGCTGGAAGACACCGCACCTGGGTAAGGGTCGTTGGGTCCAAGGGTGGACACTAAGTCCCCAAACAAACAGGAAAAACAAAACAAAATGGACCCTGCCACCAGGTCAGGGCTAAGCCCCCACAACCAGGCTTCCGTGAAAGGCTAAGGCCTCACTTTGATGATAAAATGCACAGGGAAGAACACGTGGCCAGGGACAGATGCAGCAATGATGGGTGGGGGGACGGGGTGGGAGCAAACTGCACTCAGAGAGCCCAGTTTGTATCCCAGCTTCTCTGCTCTCAAGTTGTGTAACCTCATTCATTTATCCATGCCACCCCTTGGCTCAAAACCCTTCCATGGCTCCCATTGCATTTGACACCAAAGGCTGAGATATTTAGCACAGCCCACAAGCCTTTGCACCACTTACCCCACACCTGCCCTCTGATTTAGCCCTCCTCCCTCCACACCAGCCACACAGGTGCCATGCGGCTCCAAATTGACCAACATGACTCTGCCCCAGGACTTTTGTGCTTCTTCCTGGAACATGTTTCTCCTAGACATCACCATGACTTGCTCCTTTACTTCATTCAGGTCTCACCTTGTCAGACAGGCCTCGTCTCTGGGCTGATTGCTTTACCCCACCACCACTGTGCATCTCTCCCTGAGGTCCTAACTAACTATTCACTGTTTTTGTTTTTTTAGACGGAGTCTTGCTCTGTCTCCAGGCTGGAGTGCAGTGGCTCGATCTTGGCTCACTGCAGCCTCCGCCTCCTGGGTTCAAGCGATTCTCCTGCCTCAACCTCCCGAGTGGCTGGGGCTACAGGCCTGCACCTCCACGCCTGGCTAATTTTTGTATTTTTAGTAGAGACAGGGTTTCACTGTGTTAGCCAGGATGATCTCAATCTCCTGGCCTTGTGATCCGCCCACTTTGGCCTCCCAAAGTGCTGAGATTACAGGTGTGAGCCACCACAGCCGGCCCTCTTCACTGGTGTGTGTGTGTGTGTGTGTGTGTGTGTGTGTGTTTGAGATGGAGTCTAGCTCTGTCACCCAGGCTAGAGTGCAGTGGCACAATCTCTGCTCACTGCAACCTCCTCCTCCCAGGTTCAAGCAATTCTCATGCCTTAGCCTCCCCAGTAGCTGGAATTACAGGTGCCTGCCACCACACCCAGCTAATTTTTTGTGTTTTTAGTGGAGACGGAGTTTCACCATGTTGACCAACTATTCACTCTTTTGCTTAGTATCTGTCTTTCCCTCCTAGAGTAGAGATTTTTATTTGTTTTGTTCACTGCTGTATCCCCAGTGCCTAGAGCAGTGTCAAGTGCACAGAAAGAGGCCTATAAATATTTGTTCAATTTATTTGGTTAACACATATTTAATAAAGATCTACCTGTACCAGGTGTGAATACAACAGCATCGAGAGAGAAAAAGGTACTGACACTTGTTGTTGAGAAATATTCATGTAGACAAATTAAAGAACAACAAGAGTGTGGAAAGTTCTCTGGGGTGATCAAGGATGGCTGGGAACAGGGAGTATTTTTAATCAGATGATCGGGGTAGGTTCCAAAGTGGATGAAGTCACTGAGATGGTGAGAAAGCACATCCCCCCATGTGTAGACCAAGAAGGAGAAGGGTTCCAGATGGCAGGAATGAAAAGTGTAGGGAGGTGGAAGTGGGTGGATCACCTGAGGTTGGAAGTTCGAGACCAGCCTGACCAACACGGAGAAACCCTGTCTCTACTAAAAATACAAAATTAGCCGGGCATGACTGTAATCCCAGCTACTTGGGAGGCTGAGTCAGGAGAATGGCTTGAACCCGGGAGGCAGAGGTTGCTGTGAGCCGAGATCGCACCATTGCACTCCAGCCTGGGCAACAAGAGTGAAACTCCATCTCAAAAACAAACAAACAAACAAACAAACAAAACAAAACAAACAAACAAAAAAAAAACAAGAAGTGAAAAGGCCCTTGGACCCAGAAGAACTTTGTTAGAATACCTATTCTAACAAATACATATGTCTGCATGAGTATCTCTCAATAACAACAGTCAGTACCTTTATCTCTCTGGATGCTCTTTTATTCACACCTGGTACAGGTAGACCCTCATTAAATATGTGTTAAGCAACATGTGTTAAAAAGCGGTTGGTGTAGCCAGAGGAAGGAAAGGCTGGACATGGGACAAAGTTAAAGAAGTAGACAGAATGAGAGCTTGGGGAGGCACCTAAAGGAGGGGCCAGGGTTTGGGATTTTCTAAGAAAAGGCAGCCATTATGTCATCACTTTCAGATCCATTTCTCCTGTGAAATGGAGATGATCAATACTCTTAGTGAGAAGAGGATTCAGCAGGAAAGGCATTCATCATGCCTAGCACAGTGCTTGGTAGGAGTAGACAGGCCGTAAACAGCAACCCTCCACTCTTCCCCAGGGGAGAAACCCAATCTTCCTGTAAGGCCCAAGTTAGCTGGGATAGTAAGCTTCTGCTTCTCAAACCCAAAGGCTTATTGATGGAGATGACTAGAAATGAACTTTAAGGATCAAGCAGGTTTCAAGTACAACATTCAAATTCTGGGCAGTTTCTTTTTTTTTTTTTTTTTTTTTTTTTTTTTTTTTTTTTTTTTGAGACGGAATCCCGCTCTTGTCGCCCAGGCTGGAGTGCAGTGGTGCGATCTCAGCTCACTGCGACCTCCGCCTCCCGGGTTCAAGCGATTCTCTTGTTGGGCAGTTTCTTTTAGCCCCGGGCAGGCTGTCGTTCCCTCCCCGAAGGTGATCCTGCGGTACACTAAACACGCTGTCCAAGCTTGGAGCTTGTCAGCACAGTGAATACGAGCATGAGCGACAGACTGAGATTTACCTGAGCGCATGTGGAGACCCAACCAAGCAGACCCAGGCATTCTGTCCTGGCAGACTCGCCCTGCTCTGCACACAGGCCCCTGTGCATCTCATGAAGTTGGGTGTGGAGAGAGGGTGGACCAGATGCACACAGGCAAGTCCTGTTGGTAGCGGATGATCCAGGGCCACCGGCCCTGCCCCAGCACCCAGGCACTGCCGAAACAAGTCTCCCGGTGCTCACAGCAGCCAGAGGGGAATATCGTTTTATTTAAGCAAAAAGCTTCATTCATAGAATTCACAACTGGACAAATCAACCGTGCAACCTCTTGACATTAAGCAGGTCAAAATCTGTATCTTCTATGACCCCTAGAAACTTACCCGTAAAAATAGGTCTGATCAACAGCCCCAAGCCTGGGAAGAACATAGATGGAAATACAGAAATACTTAATTAGAGAATATTTTGCTTAGGGGATGATTTGAAGATCTATAGAATTTTTTCTTACTTAAGAGCTATTTAGTTTCAAAGAAATGTATTTTTGTTTGGAGTCTTAGGTCCATGTCTTTTCACGTTTTTAAGTCTTTTAAGTCGCAGGAGAAAACGCTAAGAGAACTTTGAAATACTAACCAGGATTTCTGCTTATAAGCCACAGTTTGACTTAGGGATTTCACTTTTGTACAAAAGAATGTTTTATTGTGTGCAGAATAATCTGACTAGTGATAGCACACGTGGAGCCCTTTCTGCCTCTGCTTCCTGAGCGCTCACTGACCCGTGCCTGAGTGACCTGGCAAGGGTGACACTGGCAATTATCAGGAAGCCCCGACCTCGGAGGCGGCGCCTGAAAATTCATCATAGGGAAAGAATCTTATTTAACTGACAGGATGTTCCTCATAACAGAAATGATCAGGGAAAAAATAAATAAATGCAACATTAGGAGGATTATAATACTAATACACTGCACTAATACCATAATTAAATACAATACTATCAACTTAAAAAGTGAAATATTCAGCAGCTATTAAAATGTAAAGGAATATTTAATGACTAAACTGATATTCATGAAACTAAGTAAAAAAGCAAAATTACAGCAAATATAAGCAATATGATTCCATTAAAGAGATGTCTATCTACACATATATAATATAAAGTTTATGTGAAATAATGTTTGTTATATATGAATATGTATTGTTACATGCTTTTAAAATATATAATATATACTTTATGTAATATATATAATTATATAATATATATTATAAATACATATATAATATACATACATATACATAGTAATACATACACATATTATGTACAGATTATAAATATCATATATAATATATAATGTGTAATGCAATAAACCCAACCTCTCTATATTATATATGATATACATAATAAAATGTAGAATACATTTTTACTTTTTAAAACTTCTTTTATTTCTAATTCTTTCTAATATATATGTGTATTTATTTCTAATATATGTGTTTATATATGTGTGTATGTATATGTGTTTCTATTTCTTTCTAATACATATGTGTATATATGTGTGTATGTATACGTGCATATACATACACGTTATTAAAGGTACATTCAAAATGTAAATTTCCTGTTATAATATGAATAATAAAAGTTATTTTTATAACATTTAACATCACAGAACATGACTTGCTTATTCGGATCACAGTGTCTTGCACAAAGCAGATACTTAATTAATGTTTATCATATTGAGAAAAGAAAAAGCAAGGTAAGAGAATAGAATCATTTCAGCAAGGAATAAATAACTCCCAAGCCTCACGTGAAATCCTGAGTACATGTGGGTCAAATTAAGTGGGTACATCATAAATTTTTACTTCATTTGTTGCTCTGCACACAATAGCATATTCAACCTTTTTCTGTGGTCGAGAAGCGGAATTAGTCATTGAGTTAGAGGAAAATTTTACTTGGTAATATGGCATTGAAGGATTATTTGTGAAATGTCTTTCCTAAAGATCAATAAACATATTTTATATTTAAGTGAATAATATGTGTATATTTTCTTAATCACTGATATTCTAACAAATATGTATAAAAAATATACACTTATGAATAGGTCTTCAGTCAGGAATATCTATCTGATGCTAATGGTTTGATGTGCACTTCTAATCTTTGTAGTATAAAAGTGATCCTAATGTGTCTGTCACCTACACTCCGCTGCTACACAAATAGCTACTCTCTGCTATGAAACCAATGAACTCTGCTTTCTTTTATAGAGATTCTTTGATACTTGTCTTCCCCATTAAACTGAAAGCTCCCTGAGAGTAGGGACTGTTATCTACCTCCCTTTCCTCATATCCAGCTTGGAGCGACATATATGGCAAATTCTAGTTGAATAAATAAATCAATAGATCATGGCATCCTATTATATTCCTACGGGGAAATAATATTTTAATTAATATACCACAGGAAATATTCACTATATTTCTTGATTCCTATCTTGCATCTGGTGTGTACTGGTTTGCATTTAATTTCCTCTTGAGTTTTTATAGCAAGTTCCTTTAAAACCTTTTATGACACTAAGTGGACCCATGTAAATATTGAATTAAAAAACTAAAAAACAAAAAAACAAAAAACCTCATCCCAGAAATCAGTCTCTGCTGCATTGCCTCTTTCCCTTGAACCACTGCTGATTTCACCTCTACTGGGAGTCAGAGGTGAGGTTCCTGATCCCCAGATCAGTCTCACAGGAGAAAAGAGGACTCATTGCTATGGAGATCAAGGCACCCAGCAGCAAATCACAGAGGAGAGTGGAGAAGCAACCAGAGAATAAGAAATGCAACTTGAGGCTTCCAGGCTTGTAGTCGTGTGGGCTGACAGAGGCCAGGTGCCTTCTCTCTGCTTCACCTCTACTACATCCTGTGGTGCTGCCTGCAAACCACGTCCTAAGTCGTTCATGCCTCCCTCACCACTGCCATCCTCTTTGTTCCAGTGATAATTATCTCTTTCTAGACAGGAGTCTCCTTACTTGCCTTCCTGCTATCCTGATCTCTATAATCTTCACAGCTGCTGGAGTAATCCACCTTGAAAAGGAAGTGAGACTCTGCCACCCAGCTGTGAAAACCCTGCCAATCGTTTCCATCACACTCAGAATAAAATCCAAATATTTTATCCTGACCTATAAGATCCTGCAGGAGTGGGCTCTTGAGGATCTTGGACTTTACCATGGGCCATTCTCTTCATTGTTTGTGGTGTGAAAAGAACCCTGGAGCAAACATTTCTGCCTTAGGGCCTTTGCCCTTGCTGTTCCCTCAACCTGGAAGCCCTCGCCCTCAAATCCTGGCATGCTTGGGTCCTTCTTCTCATTGGTAACTGTTTTCATGTTCCTTCCTCAAAGGAGCTTTTCTTGATTACCTCCTGTAAAATAACTTCCGACTCACAAACACATTATTCTATTTTATCTTCTTGGAAATTCTATTTCACCAAAAGTCATCATGGTTATTTATTGTCCAGCCTGCCCACCAGTTCGTCATCTCCCTGAAGCCAGGGATCTTGTCTGTCTTGCTCACTCTTTATCCCCAGTACCCAGTGCCTGGCACAAAGTAGATGCCCAGTGAGTAGATTTTCAATACCTCTATGGGGCAGACACCTTATTTTGCAGCACTATAATAAAAGCTATTGATAATATATATAAGCCAACAACCCTTTAATGCAGCTGTTATTACAAATAACTTGTAAATGAGAAAACTGAGCCTCAGAGAAATTAAGTAACCTGTCCAAGGGGGCATCTAGCTAGTGTTTCCAAGCCTGATTTGTACCCAGTTCTGACTTCAAAGTCCATGCTCCCACAAGTCTCTGTCTATTGTTTCCCACGTGTTGATTTACTAGTAAACAGTGTATTATTAATATAGTAAGCTCAAGCTAGTCATTTACTCATTGATTCATTCGAGAAGTATTTATCGAGAATATAATATGTCCTATGTCCTGTGCTACGCTCTCCAGATATCTGAGTCTATAAGGCTGCCAAAATCCTCTTACTATTTAAAAAGTGGCTTTTGGCAGGGCACGGTGGCTCATGCCTGCAATCCCAGCACTTTAGGAGGCCAAGGTGGGAGGATCACCTGCGGTCAGGAGTTCGAGACTAACCTGGCCGACGTGGTGAAATCCTGTCTCCACCAAAAATACAAAAATTATCCAGGCCTAGGGGTGCATGCCTGCAGTCCTAGTTCCTCAGGAGGCTGAGGCAAGCAAATTGCTCGAACCAGGGAGGTGGAGGTTGCAGTGAGCCGAGATCACACCACTGCACTCCAGCCTGGGTGACACAGCAAGACCCTGTCTCCAAAAAAAAAAAAAAAAAAAAAAAAAGCTTTTTATCAATCAATGCAGAGGGCGACTAAAACAAATTCCTGGCATAAAAACAGCAATTATTGAGCACCTTCTATGTGCCAGCCACTGACCTAGGCCCTTGGATTATACAATCCCATCTGCTCCTTGCAGGAGACGTTAGAAGGCGGATCATGCTTATCTCAATTTAATGATGAAGATACTGTGGCCCAGAGTGATTAAGTGACTTGCTTACATAGGTAGTCACTGGTAGAGCTTATGTTCGCTTTTCCCCAAAATATTCTCCTCTTTTCACATCACACATTGACACTGGCATGCAGTAGGAAAAACTCGATAAATATGGGTGGAATGAACACATGAAGTACCCAGCCAACCCAATTTATGATGTAGCAAGCCACCTGCTTTCAGCCGGTTCCACATACTAGTAACTCTCAGCTGTAGAAAAGGACTATTCTCGATAGCAAGAATCAGTTTTACTATGTGATGGCACAATAGTCTTTTTGCTAACGATTTTGGGGAAAAAATAATACCAGCTGTGAATTCAAATCATAGCATCTACTTACTTAATCTGTTTGGATTAATCAAGTTCTATCAACTTTCTGGGCATGGAAAGTCACCAAAATTCACTAGTCTATAGCCAATAGCTTCTAGTATCTGAAAGCTTATATATCAGGCACTGTTTATGTCCCTTTGTACATACTGTTATATTTAATTCCAGTATAACCCCATGGGTATGAACGATTATTATCTACATTTCACAGAGCAAGGCAAGTTGCAGAGAAGTGAAGTGACTGGCCCAGTATTGTGCAATGATGGGAGTGTGGTAAGGGCAGGATTTATGTCCAGGCATTCTTACTCCCACACTCATGCTCTGAATGACTATGCTAGCAGGCCTCCTGGCAAGAAAGGAGTCGGAAAAAAAAAAAAATCAGGACATGGGGAAAAGTAACTCAGGAAATCTTTACGCCTCCTCATCGGTTCTCACAAATCCCCATCAAACTGAATCCAACAATGAGAAATGATTTTTCCCCGGGGTCTGACCCCCAAATGCTTTGACAATGAACTCTGCTTCCCTCACCACAAAATTATTCAAGAACTCACAAAACAATCGCTGGCCTCTGAAACCCTATCTCAAGACCTACCAAGGGCCTGACTGATGGCCCTGATGATATTACCAAGTGGTTCTTCCCATTTTTGGCATCAATCAAGAGTTTATGTCCCAAGATTATTCCACCAGACGGGTCCTGCGGATATGATGGGATTAGCCAAATTTCAAAGCTTCTTTTTGACTTCCAGTTGAAAATTGGGTACATATGCTCCTGAAGGTTATGGGGGCTATGGGAGAACATCAAGTTGATTCATCAAATTAGTTCAAACGTAATCGTCCTGCATGACTGGCTATAGAACTCGTCAGCTATAAACGTGTCAAAAAGTCATCCGCTCTAACGTTAAATAGAGACGCAAAGCAATGTTGTTCTGGATCTGACGTTCGTTGGACTTTAGCCTCCTAAGGAGGCTGTGTTTCCTCTTGGAGCAATTTGTGGTAAGATGCACAGAATGAATAGATTGCAGCAGAAAAAAGAAGCCCACACTAGTTGCTAGAAATACCAGCTGTATGCATCAGACCCATAACTAAATCCTTTTCTTTTAGAGACGCAAAGATTTTAAAGACTCAAGCTTTGAATTTCTTTCTTTCTTTCTCTCTTCCTATCTTCCTTCCTTCCTTTCTTCCTTTCCTCTCTCCTCCCTCCCTCCCTTCCTTCTTTCCTTCCTTCCCTAATCATGCTGCACATGGATTACTTGCCTTTCCACAACTGAGACTATTTTCAGAAATGAAGACAAAACACACATCACTAAAAATTTTCTCTTGAGTAACATATTCTCCCATGTGGTGCTACAGAATGCAAGAGCTGAAAATATGAAAGAGTTGCAGAGAAAAATCTATACCATATCAGGGCAAGATTTAAGACTTAAGGAAATTAACATTCTGCTGCTGTTGAGGATCATACCCTCCCACTACAGAGTGAAGCTCCTCAACCCTCTATACACTTTTCCACCCTTGCCGTCTGTGTGAGTGACTTCTCTGTGCCCAGCTCTGTGCTACTGACCCTGTCACCAAGCACGCAGGAGTCAGATGCTACAGGCCTTTCTCTATAAACCCAGACAATTCCTGTTCACTTGCTGCACTCCACTACAAATCTGAAATTCTTCAACTGTTGTCTCACTTGTCTTCTTTTGGTGACTACTTGTCTGGTTCCTAATTTTTATGCCATTTTGGAGTAATTTTTCCCTTTTTTGTTATTGACAAAGACAGAGGAGGCCTCCTATAATTTGTGGGTGACTGACAAGGCTGAATGTTGTTAACTCAAATGTTTTGATTTACATCAGAGAGGACCTCCAGGCCCCAGACATGACAGGCTGCGATAGCACCTTCAAAGCTTGTGAATATCAAATCCCATTAAGCAAGCCCTTTATGTGCAAGTCAATAAATTATCCTTTCTAGGGTGATTTGGCAATAAGTAGCAAAAGCATTAAACAGGCATAATTTTGGCAATTCTACTTCTGGGATGCTATCCCAAAAAGAAAAATAGACAAGTGTGCAAAGATGCAAATAGAAGGATGTTCATCTCAGTGTTGTTTAGAATAGAAAGAAATTTTAAAAAAAATAAAGCCCACATTCAGCAATAAGGCGAAGTTAATAGGTTAAATAAATATGTCCTATCCATACAATGGAATATTTATCACCATTTAAAATTTTTACGTGTTTCTTTATCTGTTGATGGAAAAAGATATTCTCCTTAAGTACTCAGGAAAAAAAAGATTGTAAAACTCTACTGGATTACGCTATCCTCTATATGATTATAATGTTTACATTACGCATCTCTATGTGAAAAAGCTTTTGAAAGGCTGTAGTCCAAATATTACCAGTGGTGATATCTGTGGGTGATTTTAAATTTCTTTCCACACTTTACAATGTATGTGTATTCCTTTTATAGCCAGAAGAAACAAAGGTATTTTTATTTCAGAGACACAATGGCCATTGACTTCAGAAACTTCACATACTGTAACCTATTTAAGAATATCTCCATCTATATCTCATCAGAATTGATGCCCTCATTATAAAGGGCAACCATGATATAAAAAATTGACCCAGAGACCAGAGAGACTCCATACAGCAACCTAAAACCTTCTGTTGATGCTTGCTGACCATGATGTGCTTGATCTTGGCTTCTTGGCTGAGTTCGGAATTTCTTTTTGAAAGATGAAACTGTGAATTTCCTGTTAGGCAAAACCCAGGTTGACTATTTTTTTTTTTTTTTTAAGTCAGTGCTCTATTTCCAGGGAAACTGAAAACCTTGAGAATAGTGTCGTCTGTGAATTTACCACATACACATCTTCAGCAAAAATCAACCACCAGGTGGGAGGGAAGAGGCAGTTTAGCACAGTAATTACAAATAGGATTTTTGAGGCTGAGTGGCGGGGTTCAAATCTTAGCTCTGGTACTTCCTGGTGGTATAGCTTTGGGAAAACCACTTCCTCTCTCTGTGCCTCAGTGATAAGATGGGACTAAAACTAATAATAATTTCTGCCCTATTGAGGGGTTGTGAGGCTTAAATGACGAAATATAAGGAACTGGCATATAGTAGGTGCGTCACAGATGTTAAAACAAGAGTTGATCTAAGTTCCTAGAGCAGAAGTCAGAAGCATGCAGCTCACAGGATATCATCCAAAGACAGATTTTATTTGGCAGTCATAGGCATTTTTAATATGATAATTTGCTTTCTAATATGAAAAAAATTGGGAGATATCAAAAAAACTCCAAATTTCTAGAATTTTTGAAGAAAAAGGAAAGCTCCTCCCACTTTGAGTTTTATAAAACACAAAATGTGATCATACTGTACGTTTGCAACTTGCTTGTTCACCTCGCCACACATCTTTCCAACATCCATCCATATGAATTGCATAACTGTGGTTTATCCGTATTTATTAATTTTTTGAGACAGATTCTCACTCTATTGCTCAGGCTGGAGTGCAGTGGTGCAATCTCAGCTCACTGCAATCTCCACCTCCAGGGTTCAAGCAATTCTCATGCCTCAGCTTCCCAAGTAGCTGGGATTACAGGCACGTGCCTCCACGCCCAGCTAATTGTTGTATTTTTAGTTGAGACGGGGTTTCACCATGTTGGCCATGCTGGTCTCGAACTCCTGACCTCAGATAATCTGCCCGCCTCAGCCTCCCAAAGTGCTAGGATTACAGGTGTGAGCCACTGCGCCTAGCCCATCTTTATGCCTTTAAAACCACAATATATTTTTATATTCTCCTTTAATGAAAATTTCTGGGCTAATACAAATAATTTCACTGAATATTTTTGTACTTGTCTCTTTGTATATGTGCAATGAGTCAATAATACCTTGTTTTGGGATATAAACCCATGTGGTAAAGCTATAGAGGAAAACGAGGGAATTATAAACATTCAATTTTAGTCAGCAGCTACTGCAGATGGCAGGTGTGTAATATTGGGGGTCTCACTCAAGAAACCTGAACAATACTTACAATGTTCTATTTGAATGGAGTTCAAATAGATAGGTTGATAGGTGCTCATAGTATTAGTATGCTTGATAATTCACATGTATGTTTTACCCATATTCCTTTGTAAGTATCCAATTAGAAAAGCATAGTTTTGAATGAACTAAAAAAATTGAGAGATCTAGCAACACATTGTCATAGCTGTGTCTGTTATAAAAGCCAAGAACTGTTCAGTTAATCACAGTCCTTGCCACATCACCATTATATTACACCTGTCAGTGGATTCATTTGTGTAACTTGCCTGGGTCCTTTAGACATCTGAGTTAATGAACCCAGCTCTAGAAGATGGTGTAATCTCCAGAGTGCAGGCCAGAGGAAGCCATTTCACTCACCACCAAGTCCTTCCTGGAACATGTAAAGTGTGAAAAAGTTATTCCCATCTCCAGCACATCTCACAATCCGGCAGGCACTGAGGAAACTGCTGAGAAACCTGCCCCAACTGACTCAGTAGGTCCAAGATCTTAAGGCACCACCTCCGCCAAAAAGCATGACATTGAATGAAAGTGACTAACCAACAAGGAAAAACAAAGCAAAGAGAAAAAGTCCATCTTTCATCTTCAGTCTAGAAGTCACAATTTCCAGGGCAAAGAAATAGATTCCCAACCAACAGGAGCAGCGAGTCATCAAACATTGCCAAGGTGTTAGGCAATAAACAAAGCCCAGGGTTCCCGCCACCGGGTTCTGTGGCCCACATTGCTGTTGCTCTTAATTGAAACAAGGAGATGGTTTAAAGATGGCCACATCGGGGATGTGATGCTTGAAGGAGTTCATTCTGAGGATGAACCTTTGTTATTCTCAGCACTGCTTGGAAAATCCATCCAGGTGAAGGGGGATGTAGTGGGGAAACTCCATGAGTGTGGCTTTCATGTGTGGATCAGCTCAGTCTCTCCAGTACTTATTCTATCATATGGGGTACTTGGTACCCACATGTCTGCTATCCACCACCACCATTTCCCAACAAATTGAGCCCAAGGCAGAGAGAAGAGACTGGATTTCCTGCACTCTGTAGATGCTGCTTCTTAATGGCTCTGAAATCAGCTCCTGGGCCTCCATGTCCTGCCATTTCCTCCAATGCAACCACAAGCCCCGTCTCCTGGATAACTTCAGCAGTGCCCCACTTTTCCCCTGACTGCAGTCCTGTGTCGCTGCAATCAAGTTTCTACCTGGTGACCACTGGGATTCTTTTCTTTTTTAAAAAAAATATCTAACCACCCTCTCCTCTCCTTAAATGGCATTTTCCATAGCCCCACTGTGCTGTTCGCAAGGTGTAAACTCAATAGTATGGGTTTCAAGTCCCTTCAGGGTCTCTACATTTTTTTCTTTTTTTGAGTTGAAGTCTTGCTCTGTCACTCAGGCTGGAGTGTAGTGGCACGATCTTAACTTATTGCAGCTTCAAACTCCTGGGCTCAAGCGATCCCCTGCACCCAGCAGGGGTCTTTCCTTTTATCTTTCATCTATCTTCTATCCTCATTCCAGCCAAACAGAACTATTTGTTGGTACCTTGAACGCAGCGTCTTTTACCAATTCCAGGCTTTTCTACTTGTCACTCCTCCTATGTGGTAAATACCATCCTCTTCTACCATCCCTTCCCCTCTCCACTATCTGGTACTTCAGCCTCAGGGTTAGCCATCATTTTCCTTGACAAATGATTTTTTTCTCAACAACTAAGATTAGATAAAGTACCATAAGGTGCATGTGCTCTAACAGCATATATAGTAGAACTGTATTATTGGATGAAACCATTTTGCTTCATACATAAATACATATATGAGCATATATGGATATGTGTGTATGTGTATATGTGAACTGTACATATGCATGTATAAATACATATGCATATATTTTAAAATAAAAATGAAAAGTACATCCTAACCCATAAACACAGCTCTGGCTCAGTAATTCCACTTTTTGGAAGTTATCCCAAGAAAATAATCATAGATGTATTCAAATATTCAGCTGCAATTTTTTTTTTGTATTAGAATATGGCTGTGATAGCAAAAAAGTTGCAAACAACTTGAACTGACTTAATGCATTAGAGTACATTAGAGTACTATTTAATGAAATGTAGTTTTTGTTGTTTATTTATGTATTTATGTTTATAAAGACAGGGTCTCGCTGTCTTTATAAACATAAATACATAAATAACTTATGAACCCCTGGGTTCAAGCAATTCTCCCACCTCGATCTCCAAAAGTGCTGGGATTACAGGCATGAGCCACTACGCCCAGCCTGAAATTGATTTTATTATTAAAACTAAGCTTCTACAGCACTATTTAAAAATATGAAAAGATGTTGAAGATATATCATTAACTAAGGAAGGATATTACAAAATAGTACATACTTTAAGTATAATAATATTTTGTTAAAAAGGCATTAAATGTACAGAAAGACAAAGCAGCAAAATGTTAACAGCATACCATGTGTGGATGTGACAGTTATATTTTTCTCTCTTATTTGCATGGGTTTACTAAGCATGCCACAATAAACATCTTTTTGTGGATGTATGATAGCTATAGAAGTTTTGTTGGCTTGTCTTAGAAAAAAATTTTTTTAAAGAATATGAGAGATTAGCTGGACGTGGTGATGTGCGCTTGTGGTCCCAGCTGCTCCAGAGGCTGAGGCAGGAGAATCAGTTGAACCTGGGAGGCAAGGCTGCAGTGAACCGAGATCGAGCCACTGCACTCCAGCCTGGGCAACAGAATGAGACCTTGTCTCAGAGAAAAAAAAAAAAAAGAATATGAGAGGATGCCTTGGTATCCCAATTCCTGCAGGTATCTTGGGGCTACAGTTGGGGCCAGAGGTGGCCTGACATAGAGAAGAGCTTGCAGACAGGTCACAGGAGGGCAGGCACAATGAGAAGGATCCTGTTTCTTATAAACTTGGTCTCAAACCAGCTCCAGTTATGGTTCCATTCATGGAACCTGCCTCTGAATTCAAGCAGTCAGACTCACGTGTGTATGTGTGTGTGTTGGGAAGAGGAAGCTTTGGTTTCACTAACTTAGGGTTGGGAATAATTTCCTGCTTAGAGAGGAAAAACAAATGACAAAGAGCACTTGTTGGGTACATGGGACACCTACCAGCCAGACACTGCCATACCACAGCCTCCTGCAATCCTAACGGGCTCTACTTCTGTCGCTTTTCTCAGGGACTACTGTCTGGGTGAAAGAGAACTACATGTTT
Source organism: Homo sapiens (assembly GCF_000001405.40). Classification (NCBI taxonomy): domain Eukaryota; kingdom Metazoa; phylum Chordata; class Mammalia; order Primates; family Hominidae; genus Homo; species Homo sapiens. Next base: position 53,025,905 of record NC_000020.11, on the reverse strand, counting down.
TTATGGGTGGGGGTGGCTGAAAGAGTATCACTGGCAGTCGAAGAGCTCCTAAAGGTGAGGGTCATCCTATAAATAGGAGAGAATTGGAAGCTCATATTACATTTTAGTAAGTCTCCCTTTGGGGGCCTGTGTGCACTGCAGAGAGTTCAAGAGAGGATTCATTTTGTGACAGGAAGATCATATAAGAAATTGAATTTATATCTATTTGTGTTTTCTTTTTAGGTAAGAAATAGTAATTTTTATCTGAAAGTAAGAAAATACAGGTTGACACTGGTGTCCTGACTTGTTCTAGATGTGAAGGTGTCATCTGCCGGGGGCAGGCACCCAGGGGTGGGGCGGGGAAGTTCATCAAGGTGGAGGGCTGATGTGATCCTTGGCTCCTTCCTTAAATCTCAGCCTATTTCCAGGAAGGGCAGCTTCAATGTGCCTATGCAACTGGATACATGGACTTCATCATCTGGGCTTAGTTGGATCCACTTGAACTCATGCATTTTTGTGTTATATCTCAGCTAGTACAGCCATTTAAATGAAGTCACTAAACATAATAATAATAATTGACAACCAGATCTTTGAATCAATATATGATGAAGTAATAAACCAAGATCTTCAAAAATTATGAACCATATTAAATGTTTGCTCTTACTATAAAATGTTTAAAAAAATTAAAAGCCAGAATTTTTTAAATACTATGAGCAAATAGGATGGAGTTTTACATATAAATAATATTTATGCATATCTATAAAATATATAATAATATATAGTCTTTAATACTATCTACATAAACTTAATTTTTATATCTAATTCTTTTCAAATTTCCATTTTGTACACATTTTAATGAAGCACATTTTTTGCTAGTACAGTAGCATATGCATATAATTTACACACGATATACATATTTTAGGGTTGCATGCTTAAAATTTACCTGCAAGATAAAGATACATGCACACGTATGTCTATTGTGGCAGTATTCACAATAGCAAAGACTTGGAACCAACCCAAATGCCCATCAATGATAGACTGGATAAAGAAAATGTGGTACATATACACCATGGAATACTATGCAACCATACAAAAGGATGAGTCCACGTCCTTTGCAGGGACATGGATGAAGCTGGAAACCATCATTCTCAGCAAACTAACACAAGAACAGAAAACGAAACACTGCATGTTGTTCCTCATAAGTGGGAGCTGAACAATGAGAACACATGGACACAGTGGGGGGAACATCACACACCGGGGCCTGTTGGTGGGTGGGGGGCTAGGAGAGGGATAACATTAGGAGAAATACCTAATGTAAATGATGGGTTGATGGGTGCAGCAAACCACCATGGCACGTGTATACCTATGTAACCAAACCTGCACATTCTGCTCATGTACTGCAGATCTTAAAGTATAATAATAAAAAAAATCTGCAAGAGCAAGTGCACATGGTAGGAAACCATGGTTTAATGTTCTTCTCCTACCTAGACCATTAATTATTTGAGGTCAGGGACAATTACCACCTTTTATGTATCCTGTTATCACGTATGCCTGGTTCCAAGGCACAAAATAAAGGTTCATCCAATGAAGGACATTTCCCTTAAAACACAAACCAGGAAACGCCAGATTAAAAGCAGAACATATGATTTGGTTTCCCCTGAAAACGTCAAGTTTTGGCTTGACCTACTAACAATAATCTCTCAACATCATCCAACAGTTTTAAGATAAGATAATAATTTATGTACATATTTATTTCAATAAAATATCAAGCCATACACTCTGGTTATGAGTACAGCTTTTTTGTTTTTTGACTCAAAAAAAAAATAAGAGGGTGGAATGAATACTTTTTCTCCTTCCCACCCACACTACTTCAATAGGGGAAAAAAATGACCTCCCCTTTATGGCAATTTGTAGCCTGGAGCTGGTTTTTAGAGTTGAGTAATAAATCCCAGAAAAACAGTGACTACAATGGAAAGGCTGACAGACATTTAACACTAATGGTGCAAACAGAGGGCACTCAGGAAAACGCTCAAGTCAGATTCCCTACACTGCTCAAAGATTGCTCACTGGTGTGCTGCGTTTCAGTGGACAATTTGCTTGTTTATAAACAGCACAAAATTTTCAAAATACTAGAAAATCCAGGAAAGAAAAATGTCCTTGATATTCCTGTTTCCCACAGGTTTGAATATCACAAAATATTCACTGCAAGGGCTTTGGCTGCTGTTGTTTTTAACTATAAGGAAGAAAAATGGTATTTGAAACATGATAACTTGATAACTCATAAAAAACAAAAAGCAAAAAAAAAAACAAAAAACGAGTTAAAGCACAATACTGAAACTACAACTTGAACTATGATGGCTTCAAGTATTAACGCCTCTGTCACATCTTCCACCACTTAGAATATCTAGTTTTCTAAATGGAATGTACTCCTGCGTAGAGGCTAAAAATGTAAATTGCCAAAACCATTTGGTTAATATTCCACATACCTAGGAAAGAACTATCTCTGAACATTTAGGTTAATGTTGAGGTTTAATGCTTAACAATTCAGAGGAAGAACATTTGGATAAAATTCTGCTTCCCGCTGCAATTTCTGTCATTTCCCATTGAGTTAAAGGCTCTATAGATTATATCTCTGACTATGGGATAGGAACCAGCCTTGAAAGGCCATGAACACCACCTCCAAGTGTCTCATGTTGGACAGTAAAAGGATCTTATATATTAAGGTGAAACAATACACCCAAAAAATGTAGCAATGCTTCAACCAGCAAGACTTCTATAATTCAAGCAAGACTTCCATCCTGGGATTTCAAGAATATGGAACAGAGACTGTTTTAGGCTGAAGGAAAAACATTCCCAGGTGATAAGAATTTACTTTTATATGGAGTCAGGAGCAGATCTGGGTGGGGGGGTAGTCTGAGGATTATAGAGGTGCATTTTCCAGCAGAGTCCTGGAAAACCAGTTTAGACAAGAAGAGAAGCAATAACACACAATGCATCGCCATGGTAATAAAACCATTGGACCTATTCATGTAATTATTCCATACAAATATCAAAGACGTAGTCAGAGCAGCGATGATATTTTATCATCTCAATCAATCCTTTAGGTTCACACAAAGGAACTCCTATTTTAGTCAACCACATATGTTCTGTGAATAACATTATTCATGTTAGATGTATGTACAATTAGATGTATATACAATTAGAGACACGATTACACGTAAATTATTGTCTGTATACCTGGGAGAAACAAGCCATGTGCTTGGCATTTTTATGGGCAACTATGGATTTGCAGATAGATTTACATTATAAGCATTCTTAGGAAGGATTCAGACTTGAGCAAACGGTGCAGATATATTTTTAAAAGATGCTTCCCGTTCACAAGGACTCAATTTTGAAGCCCACTCAGGCATTCTGCATGTACAAGCACTTTCTCTGGGTAAATTTAAGGGCAGTTTGAAACTTTGGCCCAATTTGATCAAATATTGATAGACGGTCCAGTAAAACGTGGCATGGGAAGCAGCTAGTTTACTGCACGTTGACACTGTAAATTTGAAGAGACACTGTCAACCTGCTGAGCTCTGAAATTTACTTCCCTAAAAGACAGATAAATCCCACGGTTAACACCGGAGATCTGTGTTAAATATACATACTCATGTACCTTATGTAAGGGACTCCACGATAAATTTCTCTTAGAGTCTAGTGCTAGGAAATAGTTTTTCTTTCCTGATGAATGTATCTGCTTTCTTGTTAGAGAACAAAGGCTCTGTGACTCATCCTGTTTCTCTTTTTGCCTTTGCAGCCAGGAACCTCTGAGTTTCATTTTGCAGTCACTTAGAGTAGCACTTCTTAGCTTAGGTTTTCTGGCACAACTGATCTGCTCCTTCATTATGAGCCCCTATTTGTCCCTCCACCATGTTACTTTTATGATTTTATCTCTTTTATTGAAAAATCTCCTCAAATTCTTTTTGGAAGAAGAAAGAAGAAAAATACTTAATAAACATACTCAGGTCCCAAGATTCCTTCAAGTAGCCTCAGTGATACTTTGTTTCTTTTACTTGCCTGAAAGTTAAAAAAAAATTACTACTTAAAAACCAAGTATCTGGATACATCAGTGTTACTTAACATAGAAATACAGCTTCCTCCCTTGCCATCTAGCACATGGCTTGGTTGTAGAGACACAGTAAGATGAACCTGCAGTGGATAATTAGGACAAGTCCTTCCTAAGAATATATTCATTGGACTTATGATCAGTTCCTGCTGGAGTTGGTAAAGGCTGGTCCCACATCACGCTTTTCTGGGGCTTTTGAAAAATAAAAAACAGAGATGCATATTTATCGTAAGGGGAAATTATTGGAAGAAATGCTTTTTCTTTCCATTATGAGACAGAGAAATTTGGTTCCAAATAGGCTGACACAGGCATTGTTAAGTAGAGGGGAAGAAAGGAAGAAAGAAGGCAAACCCAATTTGATTCAGCATCAGCGGAGTTCCAACTTCCATTTAAACCAGTGGTTCTTAAACTAGTGTGCTTTGGAATCACCAGTGAGGCTTGCTAAACACAGCGCACGTGGTTCCATTGTCATGGTTTCTGATTCAGTAGGTCTGGGGTGGGGTCTGAGAGTCTGAATTTCTAACAAGTTCCTAGGTGAGGCTGATGCTGCTTAAATTCCTGCACACCTTCCCCCCAGAAAAAAATCCAAAGTGGTTCAGTTATTCAGTTATTGTCCTAAAACCATTTTCCCTCCTTTATTCAATCCAAGTGCTATTCCACAGCGTTAGGGGAAGGGCTGGGAAAGGAGATGGGGGAGATATAAATGTGTGTTAAACTGCCATGGTTTGGTCCACCATTTGTTTCAGTCATAACAGCAACAAATGTTTGTGTAGAGCTCCCTCTGTCCAGACCTATGCTAAGTGCTTTACAAGCCTTACTTCATTCACACACTTATCCTAAAAGGTAGACATTAATATAGTTCCCCATTTACAGATGAGGAAATTGAGGGTTAATACTAGCCTGAGGTCACATAGCTGGTAAGTGGTGTGCCTGAGGTTGGAGTTCAGGTCTGTTTCCGGAGCCTATGGTCTTAATTGGAAGACTGTGGAGATTTCTCTCCAGGTAGAAGACAGAGATACAGCAGCTTCTTTTATTTTTATCAGATTCTTTATCCAGAAACACAGTATCACAGTGTAAACCTGAGGCTATCCCTGGTCTTTGGATTTTGGCTATTCAGTTTCACAGTGGGTGTGCACCCCATTTAGACCCACTTGCTCTTGGCAATTCCTGCAGGAAGTAAGTGGTGATATTCACCCCTGGCCCAGGAAGGCAAATGACAATCTGTTTAATTGGAATGTGACCAGTATTTCAAGAGCCAAGACCTCTTTATGGGGCCAAAAATAGCCACAAGAAGCTAGTGGTTTCGGACCTTTTTACAAACAGCAGAAACGAAGGTGGTTTTTTGTGAACACCAGATCCTAGCTTGTAATGCGAGTTAGGATACAGCTGTTAGGCTCTACATGGCTGTTTTCGTTGGCCATCTGGGAAATACAAATATTGACCACCACCTTGTCTACAAGGATGCCATGCTAAGTAAAATGAAATGAGACTGAGAAAAAGGAGATTAGAGAAAGGAAGAATGAGAATAAAAAATTAAAATGGACCAACAGTAATAGAAGTAGTAATAACACGAGGACCGATGGTGACGAAGTGACATGGTTGGGCTCTGTGTCCCCACCCGAATCTCATTCTGAATTGTAATCCCCACATGTCCAGGGAGGGACCTGGTGGGGAATGACTGGATTATGGGGGTGGTTTCCCCCATGCTGTTCTCATGGTAGTGCGGGGGTTCTCACGAGCTCTCACGGTTTTAAAAGTGGCAGTTTCCCCCTGCATACTCTCTTCTCCTGCCACCATGTAGGACGTGCCTTGCTTCCCCTGCATCTTCCACCATGATTGTAAGTTTCTTGAGGCCTCTCCAGTCATGCAGAACTGTGAGTCAATTAAACCTCTTTTGTTTATAAATTACCCAGTCTCAGGTAGTATCTTTATAGCAGTGTGAAAACAGACTAATACAGGAAGAGAGTGATAACCAACCTTCATGAGACTTTCTCCACTGGACAAGCCCTGTGCTCAATGCTTTGTGGACTCAACTCATGGATTCATTTAATTCTTAAAACAATTCTACGAGTAGATTGTAACAATGTCCTCATTTTACAAACAAGAACGGAGGCTTGGAGGAAGTAGGCAACTTGCCCACGAGGATGTAATTCCAAAGTGGTGGAATATATATTCACCACTTTGGAATTCACGTAGATTCACGTAAAGGCCAAGACCTGACCATTACATCACACGAGCTCACCTATGGGGGTCAATATCACAGGCACCACCTCTGGACATTCAACAACAGGGGTCTCCCCCAACCCCCTGATACCACTCCCTTTCCTCAGTAAGAAACTGTAGCTAGTCTCCTCTCCTTGGCCACAGAGTTTCAGAAGTTTGAGCCTTGTCCCAGCAGTCACAGTGGGAGTGGTAAGCCCCAACAGTGAAAGCTCCACCCAATTATTGCCATATAGGATAGTGACTTCAGTGCTTTCAAATCAAGTCTTAAAGAAGGCTCTAATTCTATATTTGGATATAAAATACCCTGAAATTTAAATGAAGTCTCCTTTAAAAGAAAAAAAAAAAAACCCAGGCAACTAACACTTGTCTATTTGAAACACAGTCTGGGAGGAACATACCAGATCTGTGGATCTCATTTGAACTGCAGGCCTTCATATATAGTTCATGACCTGTAACCTATGTGCCAAGTGGCCAGAAAAGAGTACAGCACATTTTGCTTACAATTACACAAATATAGAGAATTGGTCCTTTCCCTCATTTTTTTTCTCCCAATGTTTAGATTTGTAGAAAGCTTGAAAGGAGAAAAGCACTTTAAATAGGGAATCAAATATTGAGCAAATGAGAGAAAAGAATAAATCTGTTTGAAAACAGTCTCATAGCACTAATGACTAGGATCTAAAAATAATCTTAACATATTTTTAAATTGGACGAAGATCCAGAAAACGAATTGAAAGATAAACTGGGCAAGACGTTTTTAGCAAGGTGAAACAAAACAGGATCTCAGTGTAGAGCTGAGAACCTAAGAGTTGTGTCCTGAATTAAGCTTTCTCATGATCTTTATGGTATGCAAAATGAAACCAGGAAAAGGGGCTGGAGAAAATAGCACAAATGCAAAATCTTGCCTACGGGAAGCACAGCATATGGAAAGATGTGTTAAAGTTCAACATTGCTTTTAGGTAATCTGATTTAAAGGCAGTGGTGACCTGTGATAGGACAAAGGCAAAGTCATCACTTTCAAGGTGACACAGGGGCATTCAATGCTAGTTACAAAATGCTTCCAGTTCACTGGAGTCAGATTCATGTTTCTTGTTATCTGCTGTCCTGCCCTCCCCCTTCTGTTAGCCCCTGGTTTGCTTCAGATCCTCTGCAGAATTCTGGAAACCCAGACCCCCTTTCCAGGACTAGCAGTGGAGCAGGTGACCTTGACCAAGCCAATGAGCTCACTTCATGCCCCTGAAAACGGGTAATGGTTTGGGAACTTGGTATATGACATAAGGTGGTCTATTCCCAGTGATTGTCTACAAAACTGCTGGGAAAGACAGGAAAAAGACACTTTCTCTTTCCTGTTGGATATGAATGAGGAAGTTTATAACTCTAGAGTCTTCTAGCTGCCGTCTTGAGGCTGCAAGAAATGGTAGGAGACAGAAGGACGTTGCCTTCTTGGTGATATTGTCCAGCTGCTAGAGCAAGCCTTCCCTGATGTATACATGATTTTGGGGTTTTTCAATTACATGAGCCAGTAATTCCTTATAAACCAGTTTGAATGTGATGTTTTCCTTGTTACTTGTAGCAGAATCCTATTGATGCGATGTTCGTCTCTTTCACTGCATTGCATACTCCACCTAGGTAAGTTCCATGATTTTATTGTAAAATATCTATTTGGATCAGTAGCCGAAAATACCAAGATTAATAAAATCCCATGAAAGTTACATAGTCTATTGTGAAAGAGAGACATGTTAGGTAACTACTATACAATGTGATTGGTCCTAAACTATACAAGATACTTCTGAAGCACAGAAAAGAAAGTTCTTAACCATTGGGGTGAAGACGCATTAAAAGGAAGGGATGATAAATACTTCCCAAAGCGGGTGATGTCAAAGTATTCTCTAGCCCACAGACAATCTTAGTAAATATTAGGCTGTTTGATGGATTGTTTATGTGAAAAGATTCAAATTTTCAAACCTCCATTAATTGTGTACTGCTTTCATGTTTTTCCCTATTATATTTACTTAATTTAAAAACTTGACTATTTTTAAACTTAAAAATTCAGTTAAGCCTCAACTTAAGCAATAACATCTATTAGATCATGATTTTGCCACGAGTTATATCTTTTTCACATACACATTACGATACATATCAACTGTTAAAGAAAAAAAATGTTGGCCCGTATGCTATGTAAAATCATGTTGTGAAACACCAGAATTACATCCACTGCACTTTGAGAGATCCTCAGGGAGAAAGACAGAGAGGACTTATTTCAGTACGACTTGTAGCATGTCATGGGCTGTGGAGTCAAGCAAACTAGGGATCAAAACAGCTCTGTAAGTTACTAGGTGAGATGATGGGTAAGTTACTAATTACCCTGAGCCTCATTTCAGAAAAGGAGGTTTACAATGCCCTGTATGCCACAGAGCTGTTGTGAAAATTCAATGAGATACCGCACATAAAGCAATGAGCACAGATCTGAACATAGGCAAACTTCAATAATGGTGTCAATTGTTGGGGAAAGGAATATGATGATGACTAATGTTCTTCAATTGTATAAGGCACTAGGCACTGGGGTAATGAACAGGGTTTCTTACAGTTATTTCCATTCTCCTTCTCCTCCAAGTCCATGGTAGAGAATAACGTCCTTGTCTCCTTAGCAGTTAGTGATGAAAACAAGCAAGCCCCCCACCTGCAACTCACGAGTAAAAGGTAAACTTCTGTTGTGTTAAGTCATTGTGATTTGGGGGTTGTGTATTATGCAAGGTCAGCTTTATGGGGATGCAACCTGTGGAGCCCACCACCCTCAACTAATGGCAGATGAGTAGCGTGAATAGAAAGTCAACGTTTGATGTGTTAAGTCACTGTGACTTAGGGGCTATTTGTTACAGCAGCATAATCCAGCCAATTCTATCTGATACAGGCATACCAAGTAGTAGATTGTCTTTTTGCACTTACTTATTTGATTTCCATTTCTTGATTTCAAAGCCTCTCACAAAATTCTGGAAACCGTAAAAAGGAAAAACCATTTCTCTGTGGACCAGGAATGCTCATAATTTGCAGAGGGTGAGTCACATGGTAGAAAGATGCCTGCGTTGAGGATGGGTGGAGACAGGCTAAGGCTCTGTTCACTTTAATTGCTTTAGTTCCACTAATCAATTAACATTTGGCTAATAATCCCTTTCAAATGAGTCATTCTCACCAATTGAAGGCTGATTTGTTGCTAACTGCACCAGCTCATGGTGAACCTACCTTGTTCTTTTGAAACTGTTTAGTGGAGGCTTTAATGGAAGTTATGGCAGTGATAGACTCTTTCTAGACAGTGACGAAAGAAGTCATGAGTGGGGAGGGGAAGGGAGGAGGAAGAGAAGTCCTAGGCAGTGCTGGCCTGAATGATTGAATTGGAAAATGAGCCATTCCTCAGGGTTAGCAAATGATTCTTCCCCAGGCAGCAGATTATTAAGCACACCTAGATAATAAACGGATGATTTTCACAGTCATCCTGCATGGCCCTCATATTTTCCATTTTTAAATTCCATGTTACTTTTAAAAGATTCGTCCATTATGGTGATTTACATCGCTGAGCCGAGACAATGATGCCCTTTAACGTCAGAGGCAGGGCATGATTATTTATCATTAAATCGGGATTTTTATTATTTTTAAAAATTCTTCCCTTTCTGGCACAGCCTCTTGTCATGCATGACACAGATAGGTGCTGCCCTTACTTTCAGCCCCCTGAACACTGGGCAAGGTGTACTTCACAGCATCCTTAAGAATAGAGAAAAACACCCCTTTCCCCCACTTCTCACCCTCCCATCCTGTCCCAGCAGCATGATCACCGGTGAGTTAACGGCATCATTTCACTAGAGAATGTCTAATGGTGTGGCATTGAATTCTGATTCCATTTCTTCCAAAATAATGAGGTAGAGGCCCCCAAGTCACATTACCCTCCTATATTTTAACATAGAACTTAATTTATCCATGACACAAACATTGGCTAAAGGAATGTGCTGTGCCAGGTGCTATTTGAGACCATGAGAACATTGACAAGAACCAGACAGAAGAGGCCCCATCCTCATTGTGCAAATTCTATCCTGGGGTTCTCATCCTGGCACTATTGATATTGTGGCCAAAGATAATTATTTGCTAGGGGTAGTTGGGGGTGTTCTGTGTATTGTAGAACGTTTGGCAGCATCTCTGGTTCTACACACTGGAAGCCAGTGACATCTTCTCCCCAACTGTGATAACAAAAAAATGTCCTCTGGGATGCAAATGGTCCCAGTTGAGAACCACTGTTCCCGTACAAGAAATGAAATATACACAAGGTAATTTCATACAATGGTAACTGCTATGAGGAAAATGAGATTTGAAAAGGTTGAAAGAGGATGTCTAGGAAAAGAAGAGATCAGTTCAGCAAAGGGATCACAGAGGGCTTCTCAGAGGAGGTGACAGTGACAATGATGAGGAGAAGCCAGGCCATGGGAAGAACCAGGAAACCAGCAAGTGTAAAACTGAGAGGACAGAATGGGGTCAGCTGTTTTCAGAAACAGAAGGAAAGACAGTGGCCACCATGCAGTGTGGGGCAACAAGGGAATGGCGCTATTCCACACTGGAGAGGTGGGGAGGTAGGCAGAGGAGAGACAGGGCAAAGAATTAGGCTTTAAATGCAGTTTGGGAAGTTATTGGGAGTTTTAAACACAGGGTGACATTACAAAATGTATCCATTCATTGCACACAAACGAACAGACGACTCATTCTGTACGAAGCGTTGTACTGGGGCTTCAGGGAGGTGGAGGGGAGCAGGATTTGGAAATGTATGAAAACAACTAAGTCCCTGTCCCTGACCTTGAGAGGTTCCCAGACTACTGAAAGATATTAACAAGTAGGCCAAGAAAAAGTGGGTTATAAGTGTTAACAAGAGATAGATACAAAATGCTGGGGGTACATTTCCTAGCACGGAAAGAGGAAGGGAGAGGTTCTTGAAGGAGGAGAAAATGGAGCTTTAGTCAAGAGGAAGAGGAGGGTAGAACTTGAGGCAGGGCAGAGAGCACTGCCTAGGAACCCATGAGCAGCAGGAATCCAGGTGCCTCCAGTCACCACCTGGTCCCCAAATTCCAGCACAGCTCCTGGTTCATAACTAATGCTCCATAAATAGGTGAAGAAATTTTTCTGCATTCTTCACATGTAGGGAATTTTTCTAATCACTTCAACATGCTGCTATCGACTGAATTATGTCCCCACCAAAGTCCTGTGTTAAAGCCCAGACCCTCAATGTGATGGTATTAGGATGAGGGGCCCTGAAGAAGTAATTAGGTCACAAGGGTGGAATCCTCAGGTTGGTATTAGTGCCCTTGTAAGAAGAGACATGAGGATGTGCACTCGCTCTCTTCTCTCTCTCTCTCTCTCTCTCTCTCTGCCGTATGAAGAGATGGCTTCTTCTACAGGCCAGAAAAAAACCCTTTACCAGAAACTTGACAATGCTAGCACCTTGATCATGAACTTTCTAGCCTCCAGAATTGTAAGCAATAAGTGTTTGTCATTTAAGCCACCCACCCAGTCTATGGTATTTTGTTACAGCAGCCTGAGCTGACTAATACACACTCACTGCTCATTTCACTTTCATATCATCCCCACGAGGCAGGAAATTGAAAGTAAACTCCATGGCTGCAGGAAGTATTGCCTTTTGTTTTCATTCCCTTATCCCAAGTGGATTCAACGCTGCCTGGCACACAGTAAGAGTGTCATAAATATCATTTGAAAGAATAAATAAATGAGCCTGAATGCAAAGGAAAGAAGATTTTTTAAAACCACATAGGCAATAGAAAGCTATCACTGATGCTTAAATAAATGTAATCAGCCTATGCTTCCTCTTTGCTTAGCGCCACTTACTATAAGTTATCACATGTAGTCATCACCACTGTGTTGGTTTCTGGGGAGCTTATGGTGAACAAAACAGATGTGGTCCTATTAGACCACAATTAAAGGGATGATATTAATAATTCCACAAACAACTACTTAAAATAGTGTCTACTGGTGCAGTAGCAAAGAATGGATGACAAGGATTCTCGCCCAGTCTAGAGGACAAGGACCACACACTATAAATATTTGTTAAGTTAACCTATGCTGAGGACCCTTTCCTGTTCTTATGGAGAACAGTTGAAGTTCCAGAGTAGTGTCATTTAAAATTCTTTAGTACCTTGTCTCTATGTATTTCCTCTTTATAAAGCTGGCTGTATTTGTATGATAAAAAAAAAATGCTCGAGCTCAGAAACCATTGAGGACAAATAGGGATGTGAGAGTTTCATACAGGAAATAGCCACCTTCCATTAACAAGTAGAGCCTGTTGGGAAGCCTTTACTTCTCTTGTTTTAATTGGGATAATAAAATCTTCCTGGGAGTAGGTGACTCAAAGGAGAGAAAGACATGGCTGATCACCCAACATTTTTGCTGCAATGGTCACAAAATCTGAAGTGATCTATAAATATTACTCTGTGAAGCTATACTAAAACTCCAATCACACTGAGATGAAACAAGAAAACAAGAAGAAAATATAGTGAATTTTTTATCAAGTAAAATGTGTTAAACCCTATTCTTTTTTTCTGAGATCATAAAGGGATAGTTATCAACTAGGGTAGCTTGTCTTGTTTTAGTTTAATGTCTTTATTTGGCAAAGTAAAAGAGAGAGCAACCTGGAGCTAATTTCCCCAGCATTTGGTCGTTTTTTTGAAATTTTAGAGTGGGATCCACTGTTGTGGAAAGGAGAGATCTTAGCTGAAGTGGCAGGTGCGAGGGACAGAGAGAGAAGCCGGGAAGGGCCAAGGCAGTCTGAGACATGAGCGAGAAAAGAAAACTGCCTTCCCAAAAAGTGTACTTGTGCACCTGTGTCAGTGCATCTGTGCATATGTGTAGGTGTGCATGTATGTGTGCATGTGCATGTGTGTGTGTGTGTGGTTGGTTGGTTAGGGCTGTAAAGGGGGCCTGTTGAAGAAAACAAGGAAGTCCTAGAGGGAAATGGAGAAGCGAACCTTCCCAAACCAAGGGAATGTTCTAAATTGGCCCAGCTGCTTGGGGTTCTGGAAAATAGGTACCACACCTAAACTTCCCAAGCTTTAAAGTGTGTTTGAACCACCTGCGGATCTTGTTAAATGAAAATCCTGATTCATTTGGGTTGGCAGAGGCCTGAGATTGTGCATTCCTAACAAATCCAGACGATGCTGATACTCCTGCTCTGAGGACCACATTCTGAGTAGCGAGGAGATGGAACACACCCAGGAGTAAGGGACCAGAGAAGGCCGATTGGTGGCTAACTGAGCAGAAACAGAGACGGGAAACAAGAACGGAAGGTGATAAGGTCAGACAAATGGACCCAGAGGTACCTACTGGATATCAAAGTGACCTCGCTGGTAATTAGGATGCAAGACCTCTGGCCAGCCCTGGGTAGCACTGATTCACAATAGGGCTGTTTATCTCGAAATATTGTACATTGAAGTATAAATCTGTATGAGTACCTCTCTGAACAGTCATGGGCCATCGTGTAGTGGTCAAGAACACTGGCTTTGAAACCAGATATCGTGGATCAAATCCCAGCTGTATCACTGACTAGCATAAGACCCCGTTTCTCAATTCTCTGTGCTTCCCTTTTCTCATCTGTAATGTGGTGGCAATTGTACCTACCTCATAACTTTGTTTTGTAAAGTGCAGGGACCATTGCCAGGCACAGAAAAGAATGACCCTATTGGGAAGGCAGATGGGGACTGACTCAAAGAAGTTGAACCATTCACTCTTCAGCCAAAAGGTACAGCTTCCAAAGGCAGCTGTGGGGTTGTTCGATTTTCCCAGTGTAAAGAAAACTGCCCTTAAAACTGACTCTGGGGAGATTTTAATTTTCCTCTTATATAAAAGCAATATATGGTCATTCAGCCATCTGTTTATTTAATTAACCATGAAACAAACATTTCTTGAGATCCTACTATGCTCCTACCCTAATTTTCCACATACTCCTGTGTGCTCTTTGATATTCAAAAAAAATCATCTCAGAAATGTGTTTGGTTAATACACAATCTGATAGAAACTGAATAAGTCTGCTAGTTCTGAACTATTAGGATTATATAGCATAAAATAAGGTCCTGGCTTTTTATTAGTAATGTAATCATGTTGGATTAGATGAATGAACACTGTTGGTCCTGTTATATTTAAAACTTTGGGTTTACTTATCTGGCCACTGTTACATTGGAAATAAAGGTATTAATAATTTGTTATGGGCATTAAAAGTGAGATTCTCGGCTACAGTGTGATATTTGAAATTGGAACCAAAAGAGGATCCCAGGATATGAATTGGGGCTCTTGAGATATGGCAGACTTGCACAGTGCACAACCTGAACATTCATTCATGACACCCCTGCTTAGCTCAATAACTTAAAACACAGCAAACAAATATTAACTCATCTGAGGACTTTTCACAGTAAAATTCAGGCCAAGCTGGATCAGTATATTTTTTCCCTGAGTTACATAAAAGGCACTAATAAAGAAAGCTGTTTGAGCAAAACTTATCAAATATGATATTCACTTTTTTATTTTATTGGTATTACTTACAAGTATTTCTGTTTAAATGGCCAGATTTAATTAAGTTATAAATATGACTGTTTTATTATAGCTAAGTAACTCTTACAGAGACAACGTAATAAAGAAAATGTCCAACTCTACAAAATAAAATTTTTCTAGGGAGGAAAAATAATTCTAGTTTCAGCTTTCAGTTGGGTGGAAAATAAAACTAATAAAAATAAAAAAATATTAATAGCAATTTGGGGAAAATCGTCAGCTTTTCAGGTGTGACACTCCTAAAATATGTTCTAGGTCTCCAATTTACAGTGCAATAAAGTTGTTTCACTCTACATACAAAGCCATATTGGTGGTTAATTTGCTGTGTTTTTTGTAATCACTGCAGCAGTAAAGCTGTCATTTTTCCTCTCATGACATGTGTCTCAGTTTGTCATAACTCAGCATATCAGCATTTTATTTTGTTTTGTTTTGTTTCCAATCTAGTTGGCCAAGAAAAAGAAACCAACTGACCTCCTTCCTAAGGCTCACAGGCTGGGCACACATAAAATCCGACCAGAGGATCTTGCATCCAGCTGGTTCTAACCACTGAACAGCAGAGTCATGTTTTCCACTCTGAGTTACTAGTGCCATGTTTTTTGTTATTGCTGTTGTTGTTTTGCTTTGCTTCCTTTAGGAGTGTGTGTTTAGACATGGAGGATTGTGCAGATAGGATTTTGATGATCCAATCAAAATGGGGAATTGTTCAAAGATCAATCTTTTCTCATTCTGCCATGTGATGCAATGTGGTGGGTGGAATAGAGGGATGTTCTCAAACTTCGACGTGTGTAACCATCCTCCAGGGTTCCAGTTAGGAATCCAGATTCCTGGGTTCCATCCAAAAGACTGCAGCATCCAGCCTGAGGCAATGGGTCCTGAATGACTGGCTTTGTGGTTAGAGTAGGTTCTCAGTATTTACATACGAGGATGAGGAGAAAATGGTAGGTGAGAAGGGGAGGGTAGACCCATGGACGAGAGCCTTTTGTCCACTCTAAAAGACTAAGAGAATCAACAATGACAATGATAGTGATTATGATATAGTTTACATCATCCCCGAAACACAAGATGCCACGAAGCCATATTAGAAACAAATCAAACAAACAAACAAAATCCTCAGAGTTCCCAATGTAGGTCTTTTTTTGGGGGGAATTTTGGGTAATGAATTTCTAGTCCCTTCACTGCATTAATGGAAATAATTGAGTATCTTTGGTGGTTGGTCCAAGGGTCTGCCATTTGCCATTGAAATAACATGGAAATTTGCCTTCAACAAGATATCTGAAAAGTCTGAGTTTGGGCAGAAGCTTTTTGACTGGGAAAATCTTTCTCCTCTGAATCTTCTAAACTTTGGGGCTAAAAAAGTTAACATTGAAAGTTTATGGAACTATTTCTCTTTTTACAGTAGTCCCTACTTATCTGTGGTTTTGCTTTCTGTGGTTTCAGTTACCTGTGGTCAACTATGGTTCAAAAATATTAAATAGAAAATTCCAGAAATAAACAATTCATAAGTTTTAAATTATGTGCCTTTCAGAGTAGTGTGATGAAATCCTGAGCTGTCCCGCTTCATCACGTCATCTCTTTGCACACACGGTTTATCATTTTTCATCATCACAAGAAAAAGAAGAGTGAGCACTGTACAGGATATTGCTTGTATATTTTTTGTTTTGTTGTGAATTTTTTTGAGGTAGGGTCTCATTTTATCACCCAGGCTGGAGTACAGTGGCAGGATCACGGCTCACTGCAGCCTCAACCTCCCTGATTCAACCGATTCTCCAGCCTCAGCCTCCTGAGTAGCTGGGATCACAGGCACATGCCACCATGCCCAGCTAATTTTTTGTATATATATATATTTTTTGTAGCGATTGGTCTCACTATTTTTTCAGGCTAGTCTTGAACTCCTGGGCTCAAGCAATCCTCCTACTTTGGCCTCCCAAATTGTTGGTGTTATAGGTGTGAGCCACCATGCCCAGCCAGTACAAGATATTTTGAGAGAGAGAGAGAGAGAGAGAGAGAGAGAGAGAGAGAGAGAGAGAGAGAGGAGAAAGACAACATTCAAATAACTTCTACTAGAGTATATTATTATAATTGTTCTATTTTTTATTGTTGTTAATCTCTTACTGTGCTTAATTTATAAGTTAAGCTTTAGCACAGGTATATTTGTATAGGAAAAACATAATATGTATAAGACTTGGTATGATCTGAGGTTTCAGGCATCTACTGGAGGTCTTGGAATGTATTCCCCATGAATAAGGGTATACACTACTCTATTTTTAAAACGGGAATAATTGACACTTGACTAAGTTGGCCTTTATATCGACTACTTTTCCTCTAAAATTCCTCAAACTCCTTATTATATCAGCCCCCTACCTTGACTTAATATTCTGCTGCTTAACTCTGTTTTTGACGTTCATTTTGAAAATGCTTTAAGTATCAATGTCAATTCCCGTAAAAAAAAAAAAAAGGTGATTATAATCCTTTCTTAATTTTGCCCCTTTGCTGAAAATATCCAATCCCCCAAAGTTCTCTTTTCTGACTGTCAGGGGAAGAACCCTAACCCAGGCTCTTAAGCCATTATAAGCCTATCAAATGCCTCCTCCCACTGTTTTATTCAACCAGGGGAATTTTCTATTTGCCCAGGACAAGTGAGCAATTCATTATTCCAATAACTGCTCTGCCAATGTCATTCCTGAAGAATAAGCCATGAATTAACCACAGGCTTAAGTTCAAGTGACACCCAATCCCCAATTACCCAATTAACCATATTTCTGAAATGCCTTTACCTACTTCTCTCCTCTTTCCATCCAGTGTTTCTTCCCTTTATTTTTTTCTTCATAAAGACTAAACACACTGTTCATATCATTAAGAAAATCATGCTCAACACTCTAAACTGGGCTTTCATTCTCAATTCTAATATCAAGGTTAATTATGTATTGATTTAAATTGGTCTTTTTTGCCTTGAATATTAACTCACATACAATTCAGTGGAATTGGTTTCTTGGTGTGAGATACAAAATGCTTTCTTCTTTACAAACATAGGCTTGACAAGGTAGACACCCTTACACATAATTTATAATGATATAAATTAGTATTATGAATAAAAGTAGGAAACACAGCCAGACCATTTGCTGTGTTGTATTATTATTTTTTAAATTATTTTAATTTTCCTGATGAAACCTAATTTGGATTTTAATCATTAACCATGTCATGCTCACATCACTCTGCAAATACTCAACTGGATATATGGATATGTCAGAAATACAAACACACACACACACACACACGAATATACATACACACACACGAGTATACATACATACACACACACCACACACGCATATACATACATACACGCATGAGTATACATACATACACACACGAGTATACACACATACTCACACACACACACACACAAACACACATTTCTTTCTTGGATGACTCTTATCATTCCCCTGTATCTTCTAGCACCTTCTCTAGGATGGTAACTATTCCATGCTAATGTCATCACCAAGAAATTATTTTATCCAACACGTATTTTGTGCTTCTTCCTGTCTTTCACTTTGAAAGGCCTATACTCATGCCATACTCCTCTTGTTAACTCTTTATGGCCCAGTTGCCATATTGCAAGTCATCTTTTTAAAATGACCAAACATTTTCATGTGTTTGGTCCATCTGATTTCTGAACCTCCTTCCTTACCATCTTTCTCTTTCTCACTGGAGCCGATCGTGCCAACCTTCCTCTGTCCATGCACCTGCTGTCTCCAACCTCAGGACTTCTGCACCCAAGGCCTTCTTGGCCAGAAGCTCCTTACTCCACCAGGCCACTTCAGCCTGGTCAACTCCTGCTAAGCCTTCAAGTATCAAGTTCAATGCCACCTCCTCAGGGAAGCCTTTCTTGCCACCCCAGGCTAGGGCTGTCAGACACCCTCACAGTAGCAGCCTTTACTCTTGCAGCACCAGTCACAATGGCAATTAAAGAATTATTGAGAAATTTACAAGTGTCATGAGGGCATCATCAGCTTTGTTCACTCATGGATTTCCAGAACTTGCACATTGTAGGTGCTCAAATATTTATACTGATATTCAGTTTTCCCCTCTAACTCTCCCAACTCCTACTCAATTAACTCAGAAAAGTCCTATTTTTATTTTTTATTCATGTTTGACCCCAAACAAAATAAACCATAGCACCCTACCCCACCACCACCCAACATGACAGATTAATATTAGAATGATGCTATTTTAGATCTGTACCAAAGAAAATGATGTGAAAGAATGAAGAATGAAGGACTACATGTATCTCTAAATCTGAGTTTATAAAATGGCAGTTTACATTGAATTCAGGTACCACGTGTGATTTACTTAACTTGTGCTGCTTAGGAAATTGAAATGTAGGTTTGTGAATCCATTGAGAAACCAAAAGATCTGGCAACATAGATGATGGATTCCTGCATGGTGACTACAGACTGGAGTTGAGTAGCCGTGGTGCACATTAAAAGGGACTGGGGCTTGCAGCACTCCATGGTCCTCACCACTCCCTATTGGCTAGTGTTCAGTTTATCTTGGTCATGTGCTTCCATGCAAGGCATCTAAGGATACATGAGCCTGTGCTCCTATTGCAAATTCTTCAAAAGCACATGGAGACTTCTTCCAGAATAGCTATAAAAATCTGTATCTATTTCTCAGTCTCTTTTCAGGCATGAATACTTAACGTTAGGGAAAATATCACTTTTTTTCTTAACTGTTTAATAACTACTCTTGCAATAGTGACACTAATGATTTTTCAGTAGGGATGCAAACATTTTTGCAACAATATATGTTAAGTAAAATTCTGTGAGTCTGTCTGGGAACAGATCAACTCATGCACTTTTTATAATGTTGAACATCTTACAACTTTTCTTTCAATAGGAGCAAACTTCCAAACTTTAGGCTCGTAAGTGAATGAAGTGGCAATGGAACTGGTTATAAGTTAAGCATTTTGAGTGCACACATGTACGTGTGTGTGTCACAAAAAAGAAAAGAATGAAGGATCATCTAACTATTAAATACATTCCATCTCACCCTGCTCTGTGTTAAACTTGATGCCTTTAAAGCTAAGATTCTTCTCTTGGGATTATTTCTTGAGTATACAGGAAAGGCAGGTGAAATGCTATTAACCCAATGGGCTTATCTTATCTTAAATTTCATAGATTTCTCAAAACAGAGAAGAAAAAGTGAGGTCACCAAACACATCAGCTAGAGGAAAGAAAATCTAGCCAGAGAATAACCAGAAAGAGCCAGTACTTGGAGAGAGGGGCTATATACACAAAGGTTTGTTCTACTTTATACTTCAAGATGTCACAGTCACTCCAGAAATTTTAACACCGAGTACCTCTCCAGGGCCTTGCCTAGGACAGATCGAGAATGATCCAAGTGTGAATTTATTCAGCTTCTCATCACCACATGACACAGGACACGCTGCATGCAGGATTTACAGAGAATCTCCAAAGAATTTCCTGTTAATAAAACCAATGTGTCTACTGCCTGGGGACAGCAGTGGTAAGACCTTAGACCCTTCACCTCCCATTCCTCTAGGCCACCATTTCTCCTCTGGAACAGGAAGAGTTCAGATGGCAGGACATCTACACGTTTTCTCCAGCTTCAACATTTTATATTTCTAAATAGTTCAGCTCAAACCTGGCTTATTTGTTTATTTATTTATTTATTTACTTTTGAGACAGAGTCTCTCTCTGTTGCCCAGGCTGGAGTGCACGGTGTGATCTTGGCTCACGGCAATCTCTGCCTCCCAGGTTCAAGCGATTCTCCTGGCTCAGCCTCCCAAGTAGCTAGGTACAGGTGTGCACCACCACACCTGGCTAATTTTTTTTGTATTTTTAGTAGAGACAGGGTTTCACCGTGTTGCCCAGGCTGGTCTCGAACTCCTGACCTCACTGATCCTCTGGCCTCGGCCTCCCAAAGTGCTGGGATTACAAGTGTGAGCCACCAGGCCCGGCTTAAACCTGGCTTCTTATATGTAGTGCAGTTAAGGGAAGAGGTTCAAAGTTCAGGATGACTCCCACGATTCTATTATATCACTTACTGGCTGTTTGGTCTTAGATGAATTTCCTCCTGTCTCTCTTAGTTTGCTCATCTGTAAAATGGGAATAATGATGGTATCTACCTCCACTAAATCAGAAGATTCATGTACAGCCCATATTGCCTATCTTATAGTAAACACTGAAAGTTGGCTATTATTATTTTTATTATTATATTGAACCACTCAGATTAAACCTGAGGGTCTGACTTTTGGTAGCATCTTGATGTCTTTTATGGCATGTGATGTCACACGGACGCCCACACATTTCTTTTGTGTGCACCTAGGACACCATTTAAAAAGAACTTCCCTGAGCTCATAAGCAGCAGGATGGTGTGGCTTCCTCTTCCAGCATTTATACACCTTGTTTTATGCTTTTCCCGGCAGGTCTGGACTGCTAAGCGTAAATGCCTTTTCTCTGTTTTTGTTCTTCTGGGTATAAAATTAAAAAGACAGGAAGAGGTGGCGGGGCAACGCCTGCATGGGGTCAAGGCAAGTCAAACTCTGACCCTTCTGGTCTTTCGCACATGGTCAACTGCTGTATCATCTTACGTCTTGGCCATCAGGAAGCTTGACCGATTTCAGCTTCACTAGGGAATCAGTTTGTCTTCACTATCAGAATACTCTGCAAAATCATCCAACACAATGAATTACAGCTAAAATAAGTAGGACTGAGCAATGTGTGTTTTCCTATTTGTATTTCTGGATGAAATTTGTATTTCTGGATGAAATTTGTATTTCATCCAGAAACCCTTAAATATTCTGTATGAAATATGTTTAAAGTTGGGGCAGGTATTTAATTGGAGGGGGGGAGTGGGTGCGTGTTCCATGCTCAGGCAACAGTCAGCCCACAGATATTATACTAGAAAAAGAAAGAACAAAACAACTCCTCTATAGGGTTTCGCCTGCTTTCATTTGGCAGTGATGAAAACAGGGCATCGAATATGAACTCCCCTGAACTTTCCACAGACACTGAAGCTTCTAGAACAGGATGCATACTGTCCATGTGGTATGAGTGTGCACAGCTTACGGAAAGAAATAATTAAAAAAAAAAAGAAAAAGAAAAAAAAGAAGGAAAGAGAAGGAAAGAAAGAATTGCTTGTGCAGCCAGGAAATATTTTGCTATGGACAGCACATCCCAGGTCCCCAAGATGAAATATTAATGTACAATTTGTTTATCTGTGGGCTCGCATCTTTCCAGCACTGAGCTGTTAATTTTCTATCAGCACAGACAACGGATCAGTCAGTCATGAACTCTTCACAGCCATTACCCGGAGACATTTTGATTAAGTATGCCTAATGTAGTGGATAGGGAAGAATGAAAACACTCTGCCTGCCAACTAGTGATTGACCATTAAGCCACTGATGAATGTGCCTGTCAGAGAGGAGACAATTACCTCAACAATGAAGAAACTCTTCTGGAAGGCTTATTTCTCCATAGGGCTGACACATTTTACCAGATTACAGGCGTGCCAGTTTGAAAGCGTGTAAGCCGATCACTAAGGAATCTTCTCAAAAGTTCACAGAGGGAAGGAGTAAAAAGAAGGGCCACAATTTTCTCAGGCCTGCTCATACCTCGAGCTTCCAAAATAAGATCCTGAGCTGTCCAGCGCTTGCGAGGAAGGTGCACTGACTTAATATTTAGGAAAAAATTTCACACACACACACACACACACACACACACACACACACACACCATCCCTGGAGAAAAACAGGAGGCTGATGAAATAAAATAGAACCCCAGGTAGACAGGCAGGATGTTTCTCCCCACAATGAAGGACAGTACCTGGACGGTGAACTAAATTTCATACTGGAAGTGCTTAGAAAAAGAATTTAGTTTTGACATTTTGTTATCTCTTAAGCTCGAGGCAGCTTTATTAGATAATGTATTTGTCCTTTAGTGTGTCTCTTATTATGTCTACAACGTAGAAGCACAATTTAGAGCTGTCCATTACATTATGAAGTCATTGGTTAGCAACTGGGAAGGAATCCCAGCTGTTCTCTCAAGTCCTAAGGTTTATGAAGCCTCATAATCAATAGGCCCTGGGAATGCAAGGTGATGGCCATTTCTTCAGAACATGAAGACTTAGGAATTAAAAAACTGAGATAACTGCTCACAGATAAACTTCTATTGATTTATTAATACACACGTCGTACCTGGAGAATGTGATAAAACTTATGTTCTTTAAAGCTTGCCCGTAGGTCCCAAATACTGTACTGGACATCCTTATACTAAACATTCTTTTATATTATCTGAAATTCAAATTTAACTGTGCATCCTGTTCTTTTTTATAAATTTATTTTTTATAAATAAAAATATTTATTTTCTTTTTTATAAATTTATTTTATTGCTAATTCTGGCAACATCACTTAAGAGGTAACATCAAAAGGTGGGTAAAAGCATAAGATTTCAAGCCAGAGAATGGAGGCTGTGGTTTGGGGCAGACCATGACCTCTCCTTGAGCCTTGGTTTATTTTTCAGGGTAATGGAAAGAATAATCATGCCAGCTTATTTGTTAGGAAGATGAAAAAAAGATAATGTATGACAGTTTCTTTCATTTTGTATTATTTTTAGATTGTGATTGGCTGATGGACGCTCCACAAAGTATGAAATTTACTCAGAGTTAAACCAGAAGGGTCGACAGCACGGGCTTGGAAGTCAGGTACCCCTGGCTAGGTAGATCAGCCTGGCCTCTAAGCAGCTGCAGAAGCTTGGCCGAGTCACCTGACTTCACTGTGTGCCTCTTTGTCATTTCTAACATGGATACCATTATGTCTCTTTACTGGGGTGAGAATTAAAATGCAAAAATTCACCCAAAGCCTGTGTGGCACAGAGTAAGTGTCCAATAAGTTCCGGCTCTCACTTGTACTACAATGAAGTGATGTGAGTTAAGGTGACAAAAGCAACCTTAGATTTTCCTCCCTGGGTTGGTTGTGTGCCTCACAATAGAGCCTGGTGAGTGTTGACAACTTCCGTTTTCTTTTTATACTTCCTTTAAGCCTTGATAAAAAGGTCACAATGATGTTCTTTAGTCCGTTCTCCATCAAAGCAGTGAAATATCATCCAAGCAGCTCAGGAACTCCGTTCTAGACAAGCCTTCTCAAAACCACAGCTATGCCACTATCAAACAATGATACTCTGTTTATGAAACTCAATAGGGAAGACATACGTAACGTTAAACCTTCCTGAAATGTCACACACTTTTAAACAAGTGTTTTAGTTGTGCATGTTTTACCTCTTTTCTTTCAAAATGAAACAGAAGACGAGGTGGGGCTTTATTTAGTCTGGGGCAAAAGAAAAAGTTTCATCCAGCAGAGTTTAGCTCCCCTGTCAGATGATAAATGAGACAGGTGATTTTTTCGCTTCCTTATTCTTGAAAAAGCTAGCAATGGTGAGAAACAATCATCTTTAGGTCTGAGTGAAGCAAGGGGTCTTCCTTTCTCCTATTTTCCTTTCATCCTCTACCTAGCATTATTTCTTCTCGAATGTGTTTTTAACACTAGTTGTTCAAACAGGTCATGAATCCTTTCTCCTTCCTTGATATACATTTTGACTGTTGCCAGAAACTACCTTTGATGTGTTCCTGTAGAGAATAACACAGGCTTTCCTGTTTGTCTCAGAGCTGCTGAACTGAAGCTTCAACTACAGAGAACAAAACCATCTGCATTTAAAAAAATATCAGCACCCCCTCCCAAACACACACACACACACACACACACACACACACACACACACACACACACACGCACATGAACGCACACACAACATTGTCATTGTAAACCCAGACCGGGTCTCTCTGGGGTTCATAGAGTTCCTGTTGTGCCTCTCTTGGTTGTTTTAATGTGAGTTTTCATCACGCTACTCCTCATCTCTGCTATCTGTGTCTTAAAATAGCAACAGTCATTATCAGATGGCTGTCCCCCTCTTCCACTCCTGGCTGAACTAGAGAGCCTCTCAGATTTCCCCACCAAACCTCTGAATCCATCTGAGGTTTGCTCATCTGTCTTTCTAAGTCAGCAGAAGGAAAAACACAGGAAGACTGTGCCTTGAGCTATAACGAACCCTGGACATCCCCCAGCTTGTGTCAGTATCTCCCGAGGAAACTTTTCATGGAATCAGAGCGCTGGAAGAGACCTCAAGAGATCAAAAAGTCCTGAAAAACAAGGGTTCTAAGAAACTGAGAATCACAGAATATTAAAAATGCAAAAAGCTTCCGTCATCTCATCTCCTATCTTTCTCATCCAGGTGAAATTGTTTCCATTATTTTGACTTTTCCCTATTCATCCCACTTTCTGATCCTATAACAGTGTTTATCCCATTTCTATAACTTGCATGATTTCTGTTTTATCTCCATACTGCCTGTATTATTATTTTTTAAAAATTGATTTCAAAAAGATTCATTTTTTTCTTTACATTGGATTGAGCAGTAACATCCATGAAATCAGTTTTAATATATTAGTTTTACTTTCCCCTTCTATTACACAGCAAATGAAACCATAATTATTTTAAAAATTCATGCTTCTACCACCTAAAACAATCACTCATATGACTGTCCTACACATACAACAAGTTGGAAAAAAATACACTAGGGCAGAAGCCAGCAAACTTTTCCAATAAAGGACCAAATAGTAAATTTGAGCTTTGCAGGCCAAGAGACAAAATTTAAGATATTATATAGGTACTTATATAACCTAAGAAAACTAATTTTCACATTTCCTCCCAATCATTAAAAAATGTAAAAACCATTCTAACCCATAGGTCATACAAAAACAGGTGGCGTTTAGCTCACAGGTCACAGTTTGTCAACCCCTGCTTGAAACATATATCTGATACTTACTTGAACCTTCTCTGAAATGTCTATAATGGTGAGTGAGACAGAAAAAGACTCATTGGACGTCTGCGAAGATGAACTATTTGGACATCATAAGTGTTTAGCATAACACCAGGCACAAACAACATTACTCAATAAATATTAGCTGTTGTTTTCATTACCATCATCATCGTCACCATCTTCTTCTCTCTTAGTGGGGTTGGTTAACCACTGAGTATGTGGCTTGGCACACAGTAGGCACTCAGTGAAAGCTAGATGGTGTTATTATTTCACATGGTTGGGGTATACAGCATCTCAACCATTTGAGCACATCAGACTTAACTGTAGGATTTTTTAAAAACACACATGCTGGTTTTCCACCCCCAGAAATCCCAGTTTGCCCAAGGAAAAGCTGAGCACATGACTTTTTTTTGAAAGCTCTAGAGGCGATTCTGATGATTCCAGTCACAAACCAGTGGCTGATAGAGGGAGGAAAATCTGGGCAACAGGGTAGGAAATCCCAATCTCTAGACTGGCCGTTTGCTCTGCTCAGTTTTATGGTCACATACGACACCAGCTGGTGCTTAGCCCACTTTGGAAATGTTGGATTCCATCTGTCAGTCAGTCATCAACCGATGCTAACTGAGGAGACCTATCGCACACTGGCCCTTGAGCCAAGTGCTCAGATACAAAAATGAAGGAGGCAAAGGCTCTATGGTTTATAGCCCCCTTCCCTCACCTTCCCTCCCTTTGCCACCCTTTGTTTTTCTTCTTAGCCCCTTTTTAACCACATGGCATCTTAAGTATATATGTTGCTTCTGTCCCCTGAGAGCAGGGTCCTGATGGATCTTACTCATTACTGCTGCTACAGAACAGTGCTTGGCACCCAGGTGGTGTGCTTAATAAAGATCTGTGTTAAGGAGGTGAATCGGGAACTCTGTGCATCTTGGAGAACCACTCTGATTCCAACCCAAGGGAGAGCATGAGGCCTCAGACTCATGGGTCTTGGAATGTGGCAGTGAAGAGTGGAATGTGGCAGTGAAGAGTAGAACGTGGTTTTCAGCTCTGCCATCATTTTGCTAGTCTGAAATCACTGCTGTAAGTTTCAGTTTATTCATTTATAAAATTTATAAAATGTTGTGAGGATTAAGTGGTATAATGCTGAATGTGTGGAAAGTGCTTAAAAATAGTAGTTCGGTTGAGTTGATTTTCTCATCACCTGGAATTGAATAAACAGAAAACAGTTCTAGAAATGTTTTGAACATTCCTGAAGAGATAAACTAAGTAGCCAGCAATACGCCTACAATATTCCTAATTATATGTCCTGAGAGCACGCATCTGTTCACTGAACAAATATTTATTGAGCTTCTACATGTACTGGACACTATGGTGGGGTCCCAGCAGGTGGGAGTCATAAAACTGGACATGGTTCCTGCCCTCATGGAACTGTGTGCAGAGGCGATAGACAGAAATTAACTAAACCAAGAATCATAGAATTGTAACCCTGAAAAGAGCAAGGCAGTGAGGTATATGGTGCTTTCAGGCCTGTACTGGCGAGGGTGGATTTAACCTAATCTAAAGGCTGAGGCAAGGTTTCCCTGAGCAAGTAACCCTTGGGCTAATATATGAACCATGTGAAGGCATTAACTAGACCAAGAAGAGGGCAGAGCTTTGGCCAGGTGCAGTGGCTCATACCTGTAATCCCAGCACTTTGGGAACCAAGGCGGGTGGATCACTTGAGGTCAGGAATTCGAGACCAGCCTGGCCAACATGGCGAAACCCGGTCTCTACTGAAAATACAAAAATCAGCCAGGTGTGGTGGCAGGTGCCTTTAATCCCAGCTAGTCAGGAGGCTGAGGCAGGAGAATCGCTTGAACCTGGGAGACAGAGGCTGCAGTGAGCCAAGATCACGCCATTGCATGCCAGCCTGGGTGACAGAGCAAGACTCTGTCCCCCCAAAAAAAGAAGAAGGCACAGCTGGGCATGGAATAAGGACAGAAAGAAACCACAGTTCAGGCAAGGAAATGATGAGGATTTCAAGTCAGAAAGGAGGCAGGAGTCAACCATTCAGGGTAGGCTAACTCTTCTAAAAATCTCAACGTGCTCACGAATCCCCCCCTGAGCATCCTCTGAAAATGCAGATTCTGATGAAGCAGGTCTGGGGTGGGGCATGAGAATCTGCATTTCTAATGAGCTCCTAGGAGATGCTGAGGCTGTTGGCCTGCAGGCCATACTTTGAGTAGGAAGATGTAAGGCCATCTGTTTATCCTAAAAGCAGGGGAGTTTAGGCAAAGAGATTTTCCTAGGATTCCTCTGGATTTTATGAACCCACTTTGCAGTTATCACAGAGCAAAACCCTCTGCCTGGAGCTTGGGAATCCTTTGGAAGCCACAAAGATTTAGTTGGAGTTGCTGTTCTTTCCTAGCAAGTATGTCACCCCAGTTCTAGGTGGCATCGCCTGGAACAGGCTCTTTGCCCAACAGAACCCGGCTTGCTTGGGTGTTACCATTCAGAAACTCTAGAGGGTAGGGCTGGGGAGAGGACAGCCCAGGCATTTTTTTTTTCTTTTATCAGGTTAGGTTTGCTGAAAAGAAAATATAGAAATGTATACAAATAGATCATCTTTGAGATGCAATAATAGCCACCCATGGGATTGAAATGAAATCTTACAAACACGAATTCGTCTCATATTCAATCATTAAAGGATTAAGGGACTGGTATGCTTTTGTTGTTGCTGTTGATGTCCGAGCAGACCCAGATTAGAAATCTCAGGACTGCCAGTCCACGTGGCAAGACTGATCACTATTGGTGATCAGTTGTGATCATCTGTAGAGATGAGCATCGAGAAACCAGAGAGCAGGACAGTGCTGAACCCCCCCCCGGGGCAAGATGAGCACAGGAACCAGGGCAGATGAAGCTGGGAGGCGAGTTCTCCTTTGGTGATATTTGAGGGGACAGGACGAAGAAAGAGATGCCTGCACTATGCCTTTGCTGCATCTCTCCCAGGTGCACTGATGTCTTTCTAAGACAATCTGGGTGACAAATATGAGCCCAAGAAACATTGCCTTTGTAACAGATCCCAGCCGCTCCCAATGAATGTCCCCAAACAAAGGTTGCATGCCACCCCCTCGTGCTTGAGCGAGCTCAATTTAATTACTCACCTCTGCAGCTTTAAATCAAAGGTGGCTCCTATTAAGCATAATTACCTTTGCCAGCAGCTTGTATAACACAGTAGTGAGGAGCTACTAACCAGGAATGTTTTCCACAGAGTATTACATATGCATTGGACTAAATCAACAGCAGCCAGGGACCTCAGCTTTGGATGCACAAATGATTCAGCCACGAGCACATGCATGTTGCAGGTAGACTGTCACATGCACACATCAATACAATGTTTCCTTCGCATATGTCAGCAGCCTAGAAACACCACTATGCAAGAGAATAAACTACAAGAGAAAAGGCTTCTCTAAAGCTCAAACGCACAATATATGTTGCTAGATCAGTTTTTCCACAAGAAAGCAAATTGCAATCCAACCAGTTAGTCTCTGAACAATCCCAAATACAGCAAGAGAAGTCAGACAAACTCTTTCTCAACAACCGAATGCCCATATTCCTCCAGGCTTTTTACCCCAGGAAAGCAGGAAGTGATACTACCCAGGCTGACTGGGATACAGTCATTTTTTTCCTCCTGTTCAACCTCACCACATCTTTCATTCCTGACATACAAAAACTTTTTAAAATCATGAGCATCTTCATCATTTCAGGCTTCTCAATTCCCATTTTGCCTAATAAATAAATAAATAAATAAATAAATAAATAAATAAATAAATAAAAACCTGAAAGGAAAGTTGAGAAGAACTTTCGGCCTTAAGCAAAAAGATGCTACAGTGATCTAGACTTGGAAAGTGGTTCTTTCAATCCTGTTGGCTCATTCTGGGAGACATATTTTACCCCACTTCCATTTTATATTACCTTTTTATTAAACTGTGTGCCCCAAAGCATAAATGCAGACCTCAAAAGAATATATCTCTTTCTCCAAAGACATCTATGTGCTATTCCAGTAGTCTTCAACATACTGTTGTCTACAAACACCACATTAACATTTATTAAGAACTTACTATGTACTTAGCATGCATTAAAAACACTATTTTTAATTAAGAAAGTGGGGCTTAGAAGGTTAAATAACTTGTCTACGATCAGATAGAAAGTAAATAACCTTGGCCGGGCACAATGGCTCACACCTTTAATCCTAGCACTTTGGGAGGCCGAGGTGGGTGGATTACCTGAGGTCAGGAGATCAAGACCAGCCTGGCCAACATGGCAAAACCCTGTCTCTACTAAAAAAAAAAAAAATACAAAAATTAGCCAGGTATGGAGGCGTATGCCTGTAGTCCCAGCTACTCAGGAGGCTGAGGCAGGAGAATCGCTTGAACCTGAAAGGCAGAGGTTGCAGTGAGCCAAGATTGCACCACTGCACTCCAGCCTGGGCGACAGAGCGAGACTATGTCTCAAAAAAAAAAAAAAAAAAAGGAAAGAAAAAATAAATAACCTAGATTGGAACCTCAGTTTGCCTGAGTTCAAAGCACTTGGTTGCAACCCTATAGAGAATGTAGTGGACAGCTATGGACTCTGCTGGCTCTGCATGCATTCCTCCCTTTTTTGGTAATGCCACTTTGATTTTGCTTTGGCAAATCATTCTGGATGCACAGAGCCAGAGAAAGTGATTGGTTCAGGGAGGGTCGTGGAAACCTATGTAGGTTAAGGTCAACCCCAGAATATTTGCTGGAGGTCCTGAGAGAGATGTTCTTTTCTGCTAGTGGCTAAGCCAGATGGACGATGATGGTAGGTGGTTACTACAGCCACCCCATGTAGAGATTCTGAATGAGGAGCGAGGTTAAAAAACATCAAAGATGGAGCTTACCCCAACTCCATTCCTTGGGTCTCTGTATCTGTAGCTGTGAAGCTGGAGCTCTGCTGAGGAACTGAGATGCTGGAAAATGTATCACAGGCAAAAACAGGATTCATCAAGATAAAAAAGTTTGACCTCTAGAGGTGCTGAGGTTAGGTACTTGTTGTGGCTTTAGAGTGAAACACACCTGAGCTTCAATCCTGGCTCCACTATGTGTCTTCCATCTGAACTAATTACTTCACAGCTCTGTGCCTCAGTTTGCATATCTGGAAAACAGGAATAATAGTCTACCTGCTCAATTGAAAGGGAGGCTAAATGAGCCTCAAGTGCACTGTAATGTACATGGGACAGAGCCTGGCATGTGGTGGACTCTCGGAAATGTTAATGCATCTGGTTATCACAGTTTCCAGGAGCAAAACAGAGGGAAGGAGACACAGGGAAACCAAGCTGATTTGATTAGAGGTCGTGGTGAGCAGTGAAAAACACTCAGAGTGGCCAACCAGGGAAAAATCTGGAGAACTTCACGGCACATTATGGCTTGTAAGAGCTGACTAGGGGCTAATGTGCAGGATAAAGGGCACCTGGGTTCAGGAAGGATTCGTCTGAAGGGAAATCAAGGGAACCATTGCTAATGAAAATGTCAGGGCCCACCTGTGATAAAATCCGGGCAGAAATCAACAATTAGATCCAGAAACAAACATATAGACATGAGCTTGAATTCCTAGGGAGCCACAGATCATCTTTATGCATTCATTTATTCATCCATCCATCCATCCATCCGTCCATTCATTCACTCATCCATCCATCCATCCATCTACTCATCCATCCATCCATCCATCCGTTTATCCATCCATTCATCCATCCATCCATCAATCCATCTATCCATTCATCCATTCATCCATTCATTCACCCGTCTATTTTTCCATTAATTCACCCATTCATTCTTTCAACTAACATTTCCTGAGACCTCACTGGGTGCCTTCTTCCGGACGTTATTCTGGGCACTCCATTGCTAACCTCTGAAAGCAGAGGCTGTGCCTTGTTTATCCTGATAAGCCCTGATACACAGCACAGGGGCCGGAAAACAATGTAAATTAATAAATATCTGTTAAATGAATAAAAGGCAGACTCTCAAATACACATACTCCTTTCTGGGAACTTATCTTTCACTAATTTGTTTGATCTATCCATCCCTTCTTCCTCCAAGCAGTTTCCAAGCCTCTTTTGTGTTATTCTTGGAATGAGATTTGTACCCTGGAAAAGCTACATGGCAGCATCAGCTTCAGCCCAGCAAGGTTTCCAGCTCACATCCTCACCCCACAAACTTCCCTTTGCTCCTCCGGAAGGCAAGGGTGGCCTTTTACTTTTGTTATGTGTTTCTCGCATAGAAAATTAAAACATCTCAATCCACAAATTGGTTTGCTCAGTGTACTATGTGTCACAAGTGTCATTTTCATGATTGCAAAAACTATAGGAAGCCCTTCCCCTTGTCTTCATTTATTATTTTTTTCTTTCAATAAGGAAGGTTATAAGTTTCCATTGCTACTGTTTTATCTTGGGGGACTCCCCATTAACTTTTCCAAATCCTTCCCTCCACTTCAGGAAAGCAGCTTAAAGTATGTGCCTAAGAATTCCAATTGCAGTTACAAACAAGCGTTCCTGCTTATTTTTATTTGTCAGAGTGCACTGGCAGATTCAAAAGTCAAACCAAAGCACAGAACTTTTCTTGTGGAGGGGCGCCCAGGGGACTGTGATCTAAAATGAAAATGAGATCATGATTTAATAACAACAACAAAAACAAACCTCACACAGTGCATTGTTACACGTTTGAAAACATCTCTGTATTCCTTAAATGTTCTGCTAAGAGTACTAACAGGTCAGTCCACAGGAAATGCAAGAATACGTTATATTTTAATCAGGGCACATAAAACACTGTCTAGAATGTTATGTTGCCCGGGGGAATGCAGTGAGCAGGGAACATTTATAAACTCCAGGTCAGTCTCCCCATTACATCACTGTGAAAAAAAATAAATTTATGAGGTTAAATTATATGGATGTTATATATTGGAAATGTTAGCCCATTCCCAAATGAGAATGTTGGCTGAAATAGCCAGATTCCCAGAGAGAAATTTCAAAGTCCTTCTATTGTGGATGTTTTTATGGTAACTTTCCACAAAGCAGTGAAGACTTATTATTTGGAGATAATGAAATGAATAAAAAAAGAGAAGCCTAAGAAAAAAACCTGTAAATTCCAATCGAGAGGGCACCTAAAAGAGCTGCTTACATTATTCTTCTCCTGAGATGATAATACAGAAGTTATTTTGTGGAACTTACTCATGATTTATTTGATCTATTCCTCATCTAAGTGATTGGAAACACAGATGTTGATGCTATAACTTTGCTTCCAGTAAATAATTCCTCAAAGGACTCACATTTGTTTAACCTTAGTCACAAGATGATAAAACTTATTAAACATTTATGGAGGCAGCAACACAATTCTGTTGGTTTATGTGTTTGGCAAGTTTGGAAACTCATTTCCCCAACTTTTCCACCTTCCTTTCACCTCTTTTAAAGAAAAAAAAATCTTTGAGGAAATTCCTGTACCTGGATTATGAAGATTTTTTTCCCCTTCATTCTTTCTCTCCATTTGTGGCTGCAGTTTGACAGTAAACAGAAGGGCTGCCCTGCTGATCTTAAGGAACAATAATTAAACCAAAGGGACAGGAGACAAGGGGCTCCTATGGGATCCACAGAGGAAGAATAAAAGCCCCACTGAAGAACTGTTTTCTTACGATTGCTAGCCTGCTTCTGAGATAAGCAAATGTTCACGAGTGCCATGTGCATGCATCGGTTTATCTATATGACATTTACTAAGATCCTACTACAGTCAGCTCTGTGAGTATAAATAACTGGGGTATCTAAATATTCCAAAGGCCTGGAACCTTGGAGAACCCCTTGTTCATTCATTCATTCATACATTCATGCATTCAACCCACTGACTGTGTTCCAGGTACTGCAAATGAATTGTTCCCACAATTCCTAAGATGAATCCCTGACACGATAGAACATGTGGCATGGAGAGGAAGAGAGGCCAGGAAATAGACATTACAATAGGGTGTGGAGCTTCCAGTACTATCTGTCTCTTATACATTTCCCATTGAGAGCAAATTTTCCTGAGCAGGGGACATCCTGTGTAACAGTGGTTTTGTTTTCCTCTAACCAAGCCATGACCAGGAGGTCAGGGTACAGTGCCACAGGGGAACCCCCAGGAAAATACACTGTGACGTCGGCTTCATGTTCACAGGGAAAATCCTGAAGGGCTTTGCAGTGATTCCATTAGCAGCATAGTTGGCAAGAACACATGAACATGCCAGGTCCACCACAAACGCAAAATCATGCACCAGAAAAGCTTTTCACACTCTTTCCCCACAACACACACTAATACCCACAACATACATAATCCACACAAAATCATGCATCAGAAAAGCTTTTCACACTCTCTGCCCCCAACACACACACTAATACCTACAACATACATAATCCACACAAAATCATGCATCAGAAAAGCTTTCACATTCTCTCCCCCCACAACACACACTAATACCCACAACATACATAATCCACACAAAATCATGCATCAGAAAAGCTTTCACACTCTCTCTCCCCACAACACACACTAATA
This sequence comes from Homo sapiens, assembly GCF_000001405.40. Classification (NCBI taxonomy): domain Eukaryota; kingdom Metazoa; phylum Chordata; class Mammalia; order Primates; family Hominidae; genus Homo; species Homo sapiens. Next base: position 52,991,549 of record NC_000020.11, on the reverse strand, counting down.
CCCACAACATACATAATCCACACAAAATCATACATCAGAAAAGCTTTCACACTCTCTTCTCCTACAACACACACACTAATACCCACAACATACATAATCCACACAAAATCATGCATCAGAAAAGCTTTCACACTCTCTCCCCCCACAACACACACTGATACCCACAACATACATAATCCACACAAAATCATACATCAGAAAAGCTTTCACACTCTCTCCCCCCACAACACACACTAATACCCACAACATACATAATCCACACAAAATCATGCATCAGAAAAGCTTTCACACTCTCTCCCCCCACAACACACACTAATACCCACAACATACATAATCCACACAAAATCATGCATCAGAAAAGCTTTCACACTCTCTCCCCCTACAACACACACAATAATACCCACAATATACATAATCCACACAAAATCATGCATCAGAAAAGCTTTTCATGCTCTCTTCCCCTGCCACAACACACACACTAATACCCACAACATACATCACACATGTTCAATCACAACACACATAATATACATGTATTCACAACTCACGCACACAATAAAAGAGACCTACAGCAGAAATACACAATCAAAATATACATACAGTGTAACCAAGTCATGCTGGGTAAAATATACACACAGTGTTCTCAATACGCAGAGGTAATAGACCCAACACACACACACACACATCCCTGTTATAAGGATGATGTTGGTCTTGGTTAGGAAAAGCATATTGTACCACATGGACCTTCTAAACATTGGAGTTCTGTCTTATTTATTTCTACCCCCTGGACCTACCAGTGAGCTTCAATATATGTTTGCTAAACTGCATTAACTTAAGTTTAACTGCTTAAAGTGTTAAATTGCGGGATTGACTGTTGTTAACAATTCATCTTGTAACACAAAATCCGGGGGGCTCTTCCTTCCCTGACCCGACCCCATCCACACACCTGTAACACTCCAGGAGCTCGGCATCTCTAAAGCCGTAGCTGGCCAGCTCTGAAGCTTGATCTATTACAAACACTGAGGACAAGTGTGATTTCTTTTCTGTTGTTCATGCTTTTCTTTTTACTTCTCCCTGTTCCCCACCCCACCCCACCCCAAGGCAGCTACTCAGTTTTCTTAACACACTTATTATTGGGATTATTGATATATTTTATTTACGTTCAGCGTACTTAAGCCAAGCAGGCATTTTTCAAGTGCCTACTATGTGCAAATGTTTTGGTTAGAGGGGTAGACATCTTTGGTTAGAGGGGTAGACATTTTTCATTAGAGGGGTAGACATCTCAGTGAAGTTACAAAAAATATTCAAATTATAAAATATTAGCTGTTTCAATAATGTTTATTTTTTTCCCAAATGATTTTCTTACTACATCCAGTAAATTTTTCATAACTGTTCTTCTCCACATAAATTACTTATGTGAAGATTGTAAAAATTACCACCAATATTCAATACAGGATTTTGTGCAATGGTGAAAAATTTAAAACATGCTAAATGTCTATTAACAGAGGAACCGATAAATGAATACAAATGAACATTCTTATGATGGAATATTACAAAGCACATAAAGAGAAATTAGTTATATATATATAATTAGTATGTATATATATTAAAACCTATCATCTCTCTTTTTCTTTTTTCTACCTATCTATTTACTTGGTTAGAGTCCAAACATAAAGTTAAAAAAAAAGGAAAAAAAATTACAAAATATAGTGTGAAACTATTTACACAATCTTTTAAAAACATATACGAAAGAATAATAATGCTTCTAACAACATATACATGCATGTAAAACTATAAATAATGGAAGATACGCACACTAGATTTTTAATAGTGCCTGTCTCTAGGGAGAGACTGAGAAAGGAAATAATAACTAAAATTTGTTGAATTCTTATTATGCGCCAAGCGTTGTTCTGAGTATGTAATAAGTATCACCTTTTTAACTTCTCATAATAGTGCATGGAAGTAAGAACTCTCCTTATGCCTATTTTACAGGAGTGAGGCACAGAGATTTTAAGCTGGTTGTTCAAAGAGTCCTTAACTATTTGTAAAGCTTAATTATTTTATATCTGAAATTGATTGATCAAGTGAAATAAGCTCATTTTATTTTTTTAACAGTTCTTTCTTCTATTCCATCTGACTGACTTCCCATCCAATACTAACAAAGAAAACATTAATGTTAAAGACAATAAAACAGGATGATCATTTCATTCCATTTCTTATTAGATTAACCTCAAATCAGATGGCAAGGCAGTTTGCCAAACTTTGTATTAACACAATGGGTTGTTTTAAAATGTGACCCACTAAAAAGGAAATAAATAAACAAAAATGTTAAAAAAAAACATCACCAATAATAACTAAAAACAATTGATTTTTTTTTTTTTTTTTGCCAGACAGAGTCTATCATGATTTCTGGTGTAGACAACATTCTCCCTCTCAGATAGGATCCCTTGAGTTTCATGATCACCTTTCTTATCCTATTATTTGGAGTACTCATTTAAGAGTCACCTACTGTTAAGGTGACTCTTAAATACAAATACAAGACATCTTTTAGACATCTTGACCATAAACCTGTGAGGGCAGATTTTCATTTGCTAAAATAAATAAGAGGGCAGTGTCGTTGCATGCGTTCCATATTTTTTGATGGCCAGGAAGAGTCCTGGAGCCTACAAGAGATTTATCAGGAACAGATGAGCAGCGTCTGACTTAAGGCCACATCCTCAAAGATGCTGTGGAGTGGGTGAGCACGATTCTTACTGAGACGCCCCAGATGGACTGTGTTGGGGGTTTTCATGATTTTTTTCTACTTTTGTTTAGTGAAACAGGAATGGATTTACAAAAATGCCATCATGGATAGCATAAGAGATTTCAAAAGTCTTTATTCTTTTTCTTCATAGGCTCAAGTTTTAAAGATGGTGTTTGGGGATTTAAATAAGTAGGGATGATCTTTTTTTTTTTTTTCTACAACACAATTGACTTACTTCAACCTGGGGAAACACTAAATTTCAGTTCATGGCCTTAGCCTCCATGTATCTATACTATATTGTGGAAGTTTATTTATGTGAGTCTGTGCTGTTAAGCATGAAATACTATGAGAAGCAACAAAGCATAGTGTCTGAGAGCTTGGACTCTGATAGGTGGGCCTGGGCTTCAGTATCCTATCTAAAAGCTTGTCATCATCTTAGTCAAGCTCCTTGAAATTTCCAAAACTTAGGTTTCCGTATCTATTCAATTGGCCAATAATCATAACCAGCTTACAGGATGTCTCGGGGAGAGATTGTATATAAACAACCTGAATGTAGCCAGTGCTTGGTAAATGTTAGGTACAAGCTTAGTCCTTTTGGCTTCGTTGTTATATGGGTCAAGAAATGGTAACCATTAAGGCGATGACAGTTAGTGTCATGTTCATCATTAGCACCATCATCGTTTTTATCACATTCACCCATGGATCACCGGTACTACATAGAAAGGGCTTGGAAGTCTGATTCAGGAAAGGAAATCAGGAAAGAACAAAGGAAATGAAGGAAGAATAAAAAAGAAGAGAAGTCATTGAAAAAGTATGAAAAAATATGAAACAGATAACAAGAAAGTAGAGGAGATTCCAAAAAATACAACCCAGGTTTTCTGCCCTCATTCTATAGAGTCTTGAGAATTGTAGGGTGTAAGAAATAAAGAATCAAGTCTGAGAGATCCCTTTTGCTTCTTTCTTGTCTCACTGATCTGGAACCCAGGTTGCCAGCTGGCTCCCAAGCAGACAAAGCCCTCTTAAATTATTTTCTGGATTGCTTGTCTTTCTCCTTCTTAATTGAAGACTTTTCTGGGCTCTGTTTCATGCTGAGACCAGGTAGACAAATGTGTAAATGCATGCATTTCCTCGCTGTAACACAATAGAGAGCCTTCTTATATTTTTTTCTGTTCACTAAAAGCCACAAGTGAAAATGGACCCCTCAAACAACTTTGAAACAACTTTTAAAATATAAGTGCTTTGGCATTTTGGGGGTAGGGGAGAGAGAGAGAGAGGAGAGAGAGAAGAGAGAGAGGGAGAAAGAGAGAGGGAAAGAGAGAGAGAGAGGAGAGAGAAAGAGAGAGAGAGAGGAGAGAGAAAGAGTATAAAAAAAGGGAACTTATATAAATTTTATGTACTTTTTCCTGTTATCCTGTAATTCAAATGGATTAATGGATATCTAATGTACAGATTCCCAGATTCATGGGCCTCATTCCCCTCCTATGGAATCAGAATCTCTAGGCTGTAGGTCTGGAATCTGCAAATTTGCATTTTAGCAACTTCTCCAAGTGATGAGTATACCAAATAAAGGTTGAGAACCACTCCTCTATTCTAGATGCAAAACCAGGAAATCATTCCCATTCCCTCCATATTTGCAAAATTTTGGGGGTGAGTAAAGACTTTCCTGAGCTTCCCGCTGATATCCTGGGAGAGGAGATTCCTTCAGATTTCCAAAGTTTTTGGAAGTTTTAATGAAAGCCTCTATCTTCTGGGGGTTTCTTGACAGCCCTTACTCACAGCTTCTTCTGCACCTTGCCCTGCCCTGGCATTGCAGTGTCCTCACATCATTCTACCCCCTCTTCACAGCTTGTGCAACATCTTCCCCTACATACACACACACACACAAAACACACAAACACACCACACACACACACAATTGATTTTTTAATATTTCTTTAAAACCATTCCTTCTTTTTTCTTGCCGTAATTTTATTTTAAAACAAAAATTTATGTCATAGTCAATGAAAAACCCATATCATTTGCCATACATTGATGGTAATCAGACAACAAAAGTCTAAGATTATTATTTCTTTTTTTTTGAGACGGAGTTTCACTCTGTTGCCCAGGCTGGAGTGCAGTGGCGAGATCTCGGCTCACTTCAATCTCCGCCTCCTGGGTTCAAGCGATTCTCCTGGCTCAGCTTCCGGAGTAGCTGGGATTACAGAAATGCCCCATCACGCCTGGCTAATTTTTGTATTTTTAGTAGAGATGGGGTTTCATCATCTTGGCCAGGCTGGTCTCAAACCCCTGACCTCAGGTGATCTGCCACCTCGGCTTCCCATAGTGCTAGGATTACAGGCGTGAGCCACCATGCCCTGCCCTGAGATTATTATTTCATTTCTTTCTTTCTTTTTTTTTTTTTTTTTGATGGATTCTTGCTCCATTGCCCAGGCTGGAGTGCAGTGGCATAATCTCGGCTCTCACTGCAACCTCCGCCTCCCGGGTTCAAGCAATTCTCCTGCTTCAGCCTCCTGAGTAGCTGGGTTTACAGGCATGTGCCACCACCACGCCCGGCTAATTTTTTTTTTTTCTGTATTTTTAGTAGAGACGGGGTTTCGCCATGTTGGTCAGGCTGGTCTCGAACTCCCAACCTCGTGATCCGCCTGCCTAGGACTCCCAAAGTGCTGGGATTACAGGCGTGAGCCACTGTGCCCGGCCATTATTTCATTTCTTTACTGGATATCTTTGCTTGCTAAAGTCTCTGAATCTGAGGTCTGCTCTTTCTGACAAACAAGGGTGAGAGGTGTTAAAAATAGGCTATTATCAAAGACTTTCTCTTGACTTACCAGAGGCATTGAAATGGTATGAAGAAGGGACATTACTTTCACTACATGACTCAATGCTACTTAATCTACCACTCATGGTAGGAAAATGCTTATTGGGATAACTCTGGCTTAAATAATGTTCAAGGTTGGGCTTGCTTCCTCATTAAAACTGCATAATTGGAGACGATGGTTTGAGTCAGTGCTCTCTAACCTTTCCCCGTAGAGACATGCTTTCGGCTCCTTGGGTTTTCTCATTTTAACTCCTAAGAACCATGTCACCATCATTCACTCCTTCAAATAATATTTATTGAGCATCGTCTATGTGCCAGGTCTTGTGGACACGAAAGCAATGAGACACAACATCTGCCCTTCAAAGTCCATAAGGTCAGAATCGTGGTGATGATTTTAAGAATTTAACATTTATTGAGCACTCGCTGTATGCAAAGCACCATTTGAAGTGCTTCACTGGTATTAATGCTTGACTTCTCCCAACTACCCAGAAGGGGGTTTTATTATCCCCATTCTACCAATAAGGAAATCAAGGCATGGAGAGGATTATTAACTTGTTAATAGAATGACTAAAATGTATTGACCACTTACCATGTATGTACCATTCACCATTTTCTTCATTGCAAGTACCACGGTGTTAAGCGTATTATCTGGTTTATCTCAATTAATCCTCATAAAAAACCTATGAAATGAGTCCTTTTATTAGGTCTGTTTTGCTAATGAGAAAACAAAGTCTGGGAAAGCAAAGATGCCTGAGGTCGCACCGAGATGAAATAATCGTTGGAGAGAAATTGAACCCATGCCTGTCTGTCAGACTCCAAGATCCATCCTCTTGCCTAGTGACTGAGTTGTCTAATGGGGGTGGAGAAATATGTGAAGAAGCCATTCCAGGACTCCAGGAAATATGCGTGGAAAAGTGTGGCCTCTTTCCCTGTACGGTCAGTTCTAGAATGTAGGCAGCTCCCAACACTTTTATTGGTTTCCACTTTGGCTCAGAGAACGATAGACTGACAATTTGCAGTAAGACCCTTACATATAACTGGAGGAGAAAAATAGAAGACAGAATTAGAGAAAATATTCATGGCTAACCTAGTCTGATTTCTCCTGGACAGCTTTCAGTAGACGCCTCTTTTTCACTAGCACCCTGCCTGCAAACTTGTGGTCTCTCCCCGGACCACTGTCATGGCTCTTCCGCCATCCATCTGGTCCAAGTCAGCATAGCCTTTGACTGCATTGATGTAGACGCCTCTTGAGTGGTCGGCCTGCTCGCAACCTGGGTCCCTGATAAATCGCAGGACAGCCAGAGGAGCCTATCAAACCTAAGTCAGATCCTGACTCTGCTCCTGCACCCTCCGAGGCACCCCACCTCGGTGACAGCCCCAGCCCCTTGCTTGCTTATCTTTACCCTCCCTGCTCACCCTCCCCGTCTGCTCCGGCCACCCAGTTTCCCAGCTGCTCCTCCTGTTCCTCCCAGTAGCTCTAGCCCCGGATTTTCAGCTGTGCCTGGCACTGTCTTCCTCCAGAGAGGTGCAGTTTTCTTCCAACCGCTTCACTCCAGACCCAGTATCACTTCCGCAGACGGGTACCTTTCCTGATCGTCTTATCCAAAACAGCCACTTCCTGTCATGCTCTACCCCTGCAAACACCCTCTGCAAACACCAGACCCTGACACATGGGACTGTCTGCTGGCTAGTCCCTGGTCTGTCCTCCGCACTCAATGTAAGCTCCGGGAAGGCAGGCACTTTGTCATTCGGATGCAAGGCTCCAGTTCCAGCGCCTCCTACAGCACCTGGTACACAGCCACAGCCGCCCTCCCAACATCACGCTTGTTCATAAAGGTCCTAAGGCAGGCAGCAGAATCTCCCCCGTGCTCTCCAGGATCCCAAATCTCTTTGTCCTAAGATACATCTTAACAGGCAGCCAGCCAGCTTCCCTTCTTCCTGCTCTCAGGCACTTATCTGGAGGTGACAATTAAAAAGTGAAGAAGGCGTTACCAGGAAACAGCCCGTAGCCTATTCCCATTAGCTTAACAACCCCTAAGCTTCGCCGCCTGGGGCCTGAGGGGATGAGCGCGGGTTCCCCGTGGGGGAGGGACAGAGTTGCCAGGTCCTGGGGGGCTCGGAGCACCACTTGGAGAGCGCGCAGGGAGAGGCTGAACCTCAGGGTCAGAAATGAGGACCCTCCACTCCTTCCCCTCCATCCATGTTCTCAGCAAGCACTGTCTAGAAGATGAATGCACAATATTTACCGCACAAAGGGATATCACTGCTCTTCAGTCGAAGGCACGTGATGTCACGATGCGCAAAATACAAGATTCAGACGAAAATCATCGTCTTTTGGTCATTAATATTTTCTCATTTGAAACATATTCTAAGAACAGCTAGGATTTGCAATTGGTCCAGAGGTCTGCTAAAAGTTTTAGACCTATGAAAGAGATCCTTATACTTGAAAGTAATTAATTAGTATACAAAGCAATATATGAATGAAAGCATTCATTTCTTTACAGTTTCATTTATTCATTCATCAGGAAATATTTGGTTACTGCCTAAACGGTGCCAAGGACTAACTCAGGTGCCTAGATTTCTCTCAGAATTCCTGCAGAAAAGAAAACACAATTAAGTGCAAGAATAAAAAACATTCATTTGTGAGGAAGAACCCATGTAAATACTGGGCCCGCACCAAGAGTTTTATATGTGTCACATAATCTAATTATCACAAGTAAAATGTGAGGTGAGCAAAATTCTTATCCCCATCTGACAGATGAAAACGCTGAGGTGCAATGAGGTGAGGAAACTTGCTTCTGAGTGCACAGCTGGCTGCAGTTGGACCCCAGGTCGGCTTGACTCTTAACAATGCCTTTCCACAGCCTCGCCATGTCATCCATCACAGCACCAATCTCTCTATGAAGGCTGGGAATGTGTTTTTATCTCCAGCTGCCACCTCTATCATCCTAAGCATCCTACTCACCATCACTAGGGGCTGGGTAAGTAGACGGAGAGAGCAAACATGCCCAAGTCCATCATCACTTTTGAAATACAAACAGGACCTATGTTCAACTAATAACCAATCAGATCACATCACCTCCTTAGGCCTTTGGCATTTCCTCCTTCCTCTGCCTGGACTGCTTCTCCCAGCCCTGTGCTTGGCTAGTCTCTCACTTTTTTTTCAGGTCTGATCAAATCACCACTGGAGAAATAGCTCCCCTGACCACTCTATATAACATGGCAACCCTCCATCATACTCTACCTCATGAAGCCAGATTTATTCTTATGAAATGCAATTAGGACTATTCAATATTGTGTTATATATTTATTTGTTTGTTAGCTTTTTAGGCTAGCCCACAAGAATATTAGCTGTGTGAGGGCAGGGGCATCTCTATTCTTGTCTACTGTTATTTTTACAGCACCTAGAACAATACCTGGCACATAATAGATGCACAGCCAATATTTGTTGAACAAATGAATGCATGTACGGACATATGAAAGAACATCCCATAAAGAGACAACTTCAGATGACAGGAGTTGGCCTGAAGATTCTATCTGGAGATGCCGCTAAAGGCAGCATCCTCCGTCTAGGCTCTCAATTAACCCCATAGCTTTAGACATCACAATAGACACAGGGGGAGAATAATAAGACTGAGGGTTCTTCCTTGGGTCCTTCCTGGCAACTCGCTATGACTATTCTAGATAAACGATCATAATAAATTAAATGCATGGACTTTGGAAGCAGGAAGAGCTGAGTTTAAAACTCAGCTTGGCTACCGCACGAACTTGAATGAGTTATCCTGCAACTTACTCAGATTCTCATCAGTAAAACAGGGATTATACTTGAAAGTTATAAGGAACAGGACTTAGCCCAGATGTCCCCTCCTCTGAGAGGTCTCCCCTGACCATCTACATCTCTGTTGTCCCAACTCCTGCTCTCATAATTTTGCTTTTATAAAGCTATTGCCATCATGAAGCTTTTTTTCTATACTGAAATTATCTTTTCCTTTATAAATTTCTTTGTATATTCTCTAGCTTCCCCCAATTGGAGGGCAAGATCCCCAGGGATCATCCCCATCCTATTCACCTCCAGGTCCAGGTAGTAGAACAGCATCTGACACATAGTAGGAACTCAAGAAATAACTGCCGTGTAAACGAATAAATGTAAACATATAAAGCACGTGGTATGTAAAAAGCACTTGTTTAGTGGCAGATATCATTGTTACCATTGTTACCGTTGTTGGTGGTGCTATAAATTCTATTTCTTGGGAAAGAAACTCTTTTTTGAGCGGGTGCTGGACTCCAAACAGCCCAGAATGAGTCTGCCTCAGGAGAAGAGGCTAAAACACTGCTTAGCCATTGTGTTTCCAGGCTTACAAATCAAAATCCATCCATATCTGGTTTCTTTCAAGCCCTGGACCCCTTGTTCTGTGATAACTGGTAAGTTGCTTGTTTCCCAGTTAATATAAATTTTCCATAGTCTGGTTATTCAGGGTAAAGACACACTATTCCCTCGTATCCCTGTGGTGCCTAACAGTTTCAGCACACTTTCTCAGCCCTCCTCTGACACAATCCTTTCCACACACCTGGAACATATGATTGCCCCCATTTTATAGATTAGAAAGTGGAGGGCAGAGATTTGAGCAGCCTGCCCAAGTTTACGCGGCCGAATAAGAATTAGACCTAGAGACTTGAACTTCAATCAGTCTGACTCCAAAAACTCACATTCTTACCCGGAGAGTAAGGTTTATCTCTAGAGCTTGCCCGGGGCTAAATAACTAGCGTGGGGCAAGGCTGCAACCAGAACCCAAGTCACTTGCCCTTACTCCGCTGTTCCATCCACAGTCTCAAATCTAATCCCAAGGGGGAAAACAAGAAGAAGCACTCAGCAGTGTACCCAACTTTCTAATAAAGGAAAATAGCCAAAGGCAATTCTGATATAAAACGCATTTATGGCTTTTCATTTTGGCATTTCTTCTGTACCAAATGGCACCGTGCACATAGAATAGATTTGACTCTTCTCTACAGCATCATCTTGGCCCAGAAGCTATTCATATCTCTCTGGGGTATAAAAGAGAGGCTCCTAAATACATAAAAAAAATTCCAAGGATCTGATAAATTGAAGTGATTTAAAGTAAGCCCTGTGCAGTTTATATAGAGATATTTATATGCCACTGCTCTCACTTACACAAGCCATTTTTCCCCTATAGAAGACCTTGACCCTCTGTCTCATTTTTGTATCTCCCATGTCACAAGGTTTCATGGGTTTTTCATGATCCAGTAAAGCATTACGGAAGTTTCTTTCAAATTCATTACAAATAGAATGGCTGCTGCCAACTCTGTTTTTATCTCATTCTGCCCTTCGTAACTATTTTCATTAAAAGCAATAACTGTATTCTACCCACCTTAATATCTAAACTATATAATTTCCATAGAAATGGCTTAGATGTGGCTTTAAGAAGAAAGCTCAGGGGTGATTTTAGAGTATTCCTTCAGTTCTGAAAGCACTCAAGTAATTAAGACCAGTGATCTTAATTTTTATACTAACAGAAACTGCAGAATGCTGGCCTTTTTTTTTTTTTCTTCAAACCCACCTTAGTGTCTAGCAGTGTTGTGGAAACATGAGGCCTTTCCTTAATCATAAATGGACACTACAGCTTTTCAATTAAATTAGTCTTTGGAGAGAGATGCAAAAGAGCTAAAAAGCTCCTTAAAAAAATCTTCCCTGCTTCACCGCTTCTCATTTGCCAAGAAGAGATGTTTAGCTAAAACGCAATGCTGTTGTCTTCTTATCCTGCCGCAACAAAGTTCTCTTGATCTTGAACCCTGAGCTAGCTATCTTACGAAGATCCTTGAGGTTTTTCTTTTGGTTTGCATGCCCACATTTGGTTTTCTGAAACAATTTTTTAAAAAGTGTTGTGTAATATAGTGTCTTACATCTGTGTGTCCAGAGAGAGTTTCATTAGTCCCTGCTTCAGGCTGGGGTAGCAGGTAGGAGGATATTGAAATTGTTTTTTAAATGACACAGGTAGAAAGAGAGCTCTCATTTAGATGAGCAGAATTCAAGACAAATGCTTTCAAATATGATCCAGGTATTTCTTCCCCCCATGTAATTTCTCTAAGCTCATTATCTCTAAAACTTTTGCATTGTGCGTTTTCCTGTTGTTATGCATAGCTAAATAATACTGATATATTAATAATCGGATTATCTTGCTGTGCCTCCTGAATTTTAATTTCTAAAATTGTAAATAATTTTAGCATGACTTTAGCATCCCAGAATATTTGAGGGTGCCCAGAGGATGTCTTTTTCTACAGGGGAAACGTAAAAAATTGAGGGAGGCAACAACTGAAAATTCCAAATGGCCATTTTAATGACTTTCAAATGCCTCCAAATTATTGAATCATTTCATTCATGGAGTTTGCTTTGGAAACAAATATATCAGCAATTCCCACTCGCATCTCAGATTTCTCTTCTGTGTCTCTGTGTATGTATATAATGTCTTTGAACGGACCTCAGTCTGATACCCTTGGACAAAATAATTTCTCGGACAAAATGAGCAATATGGATACGGCCACACTGCTGGAGACGCTCCCCATTCATGTGCAAGTTAAAGTTGAAACTATGTGTTTGCAGAGGTGCTTTCTCATTAGTTTGCAGACCTAGACTAGCAGTGAACCGTTGGGCTCTGAAGTCTCTAATTTTTATTACAATGTCTTAAAATCTGATGTATCTTGAAATCCACTTTAAATGCTATCTCTAAACGTTCTTCTCAGAAAAAGTTCCCAAAACAAGTGAATGAAAGGTCAGTAGGAGGAAAAAAAAAAGAAATTATAAATCCAGTGAAAATAGTGTTACATGTTAGAGGCATGTAAATAGATGGTGTTTTTTTCTTACTGTAATATTCAGGTAAGCAAGCAAGTACTCTCCACTTTCTTATGTGGTTAGAATGACTAACTTCCTCCTATAATCGAAGAGCTGCTTGCCAAAGATCACCCTAAGGAATGTGAGAATTTCTAACTTTAAATAGAACTTGTAAAACTTAAAAAAAAAATTAAAAATACCAATTGTTACAAATTACTGAAAAATGAATGTAAAAACCTATTCTGGGGTAAGCAGACTCTATAAAGATAGAAGGATAAGCTCTCCCTGATTACAGACTACAGTAAAAGATAGTCTGTATTTATCACAACATTAGAAAATTAAAATAAATTTCTCTCAAAGAAATAAAAATATAAAAGCGTTCTCAACTTGTGAAGCAATAAAATTATTTGTGCGCCAGGCTTCTTTTAATACCACTGTGATTTTTTTAATAAAAGTCGTTCAGTTTGATTGTAATTAAATATGTAATGAAAAACCACTGCTTCAGGGAAGCGATGCAAGACACTATTTAACTGTTAGTTAAATGTATTTCCAACTGACTTTGCATCAAACGAAAATGATACTCCGTGTATGCCTGGTCTTAATATAGAATTTGTTCGGCAATTTCTGTGTTTTTTTAAAGGGGACCTAGGTAGAAGCAGGCATTGCCTTCGAAATAGTGGCTGAGTCTTCCCAGACCATGACATTCCCAAATAAAATTGATAGTATAAATACAGTGATGGAAGGGAAGGTCGACTTTGGACATTTACCTCGTGTCAGCTAATTACAGGCATAGCACAAACGTGACCAGGGCCTAGGTTTTCTTCTTGGTTGACTTGATAAGCTCAGCTGCAGTGATGAACAGTGAGGCATCATTTCAATGGCTTTAAAAAATGCCAGGCTCAGTCTGTGCCCCCACCCCCATGACCAAAACCCATTCAATGGACAGCACAATTCCCAAGGCCCTGGGAAAAGAAACAGATCAACTCAGGTATTATCCTTTGGAGAAATTCCGTCAAATGAATGAGAAATCAGCTGGGATGAAATGAAAGCATAAACGTCCGTTGGAGACTATGACAAAAGTCAAGCTGCTTCAGGGACCGACCTCCTAAAAATACTTGGGAGGTATTTCTTGGGTGTTAAGCATTCCCAAAGTGTAGCAGTAGAATGGGCAACTGGGAGATAAAGAAATGTAAAGTGGAAGAAAAAAATGTAGACTGTTTCTGAGGAATGTTTCTCCCCTCCCCAAAAGTAATCTTCAGCATCCAAACTCTTAAGCCTCAGAGAAGATTTTCATTGTCAAGAAGTTTCCCGGAGCCCCTGCTCCCTTACAGAGTTTCCACTAAACTCTCTGTCACTTGTAATCTGCTGATTAGGGTTAACGTATTGTGTCCTGATATGGCAGATTAAAAATGAAATCAATAAATGCCTAAAACAAATGGGCTTTTGAGATGTCCTATTCAGTCTGAGTCTTTAAGGGTGAGGTGAGAGGTGGAAGAAGGAAATCAAGACGGGGGTGGGAAAAGGACCACTTAAGCAATCAATTTCCGTCCAAAATGTTGTGTGGACCAAGCGATTTCAAGGAATCTATCCTTCCTTTTTCAGATATCTGCCTTAAGTAACAAGAATGGCCAAAAGAGTTTGTGCTGCTAAGACCCTTTGGACTTTATTGTGTCCATGCGTGTGTGTGTGTGTGTGTGTGTGTGTGTGTGTGTGTGTGTGTGTGTGTATTTTTCCATTCATTTGTTAAAAACATACTTTTGGGCAAGTGAAGGAATCCATCGCGTGAGATATTTAAATATTCAAGATGTGAACTTGTCTTTCTGAAGGATGTTTAAACAAAGTGAGGGAGGAAGGGTCCCAAATCTACCCGATTCCTAGTCTCTTGAAAGCTGTCCCACTTGACAGTAAATTAAAGGTAAACTTCGCCCTGAGCTGCCTGCCCCCTCCCTCCATCCTGTTGGTTGAGATTTCTGGGACCTCACCGGTTAATTCAGAGTCATCACTATCAAGAGGTGGAAAAGAGATCTCTGAGGTCATTTCTGCTCTGTTGCAGTGTTCAGAGTTGTCCCTGTTGACTATGTTTCCCATGTAAATAACCTGTGTTATTAAGGTGCAAATTGCAACTTTTAAGTAATGATTGCTAATAGTCTAATGTTTACTGCCACACAAGGACATTCATGAAAACAAAATCTGCATTATTCATCTCCATATTAAATAAACAAAATAAATTGAGGGAGCTGTTCTTTCTTGCAAGACTCTTCAGATCTGGGTGATCAGAAAGCCTTTAAGAGTCAGCAAGAGGGAAACATCTAATTGCTTTGGGTGGGCAGGGGCAGAATCCTATAACTTACATATATAAAAGATATATTCACAAGATGTGCTCACAAAAGATTGTGTGTTCTATTGCAATTGGCTGTCATTAATATAAAAGCAGTTCAGTATGGTGAAATAAAATACGTATTATTTATGTGCGCGCACAGAGGCTGAGATAGGCTGTAGAAAATCAAGAGTTAGATTCTAAGTCTACAATTTTAAATTTTTAACCACTCTGCATCCTGCAAAATGCAAACAAATCAAAACACCGTTCTGTTTTACTTTCCTGCCATTTTCTCTATCTCCCTTGAAATGCATAGAAGGGGAAAATGCTGGTACTGAATCCTGCAATATTTTCAGGTAATAGTGGATGTATTTTAATGGTGAGTGAAATATACATCCAAGGAAGCAAGCATGCACACACAACACAAACCCCTGGGGTACTGTAGGCTGCTTTCTCAACTTTTTTTTTCTTGCCCTAAGTAATAGTATGGTGGAATAGCATAGCTTAAGAAAGCCAGGAAGAATGACATTTCAGAGGGAAATACTCTGATTTAGCTGTTTCCTTAAAGAGAATTGTCCCCTCACATCCCTTCCCCCTGAAGGGGGAGGAACATAACAAATAAAGACTAAAATTCCTCATCACTTACAATATCATCTTGTTTATTCTGTTTAGATACCTGCTTTAGTAGAAAGTTCTGTAATTGATTCCTTGAAACATGGAACTTATAACTAATAATACAAAGGAATCAAATTGCCTGGAACAGTTCTTGGGAAAAAGAGCGCTCCGGGAGAGCCTCAGCTCGGATCCACTCACAGGCTTTTTCTATCTCCCATTATTCATTAATCAAGCTAGAAATCAAGCTTTCAACATCAGTCCTTGGGTGTAATTACTTACAGTTGTGCATTGTGTTTAATTTTAAGCAGTGATAAAAGTTAGTATGGCCATAATCTTAGAACCCACCTTCTCCCCTTCCCTGGATGTTAACTGACTACAGAACCCCAAAGTGGCTAACTTTACTTGTGAATAACCACTTCAGCTGAAATAGAGTAGGGCATTGATGACCTTAGATGAACAGAAGAAACACTGCATGAAAAACTGTCTCCTCTATTAATATGTGAGCAAATAAATAAGGTAAGAGGGCCCTCACTGTGTACGAAATGAATCATCCTTTTTCAGCTTAAAAAGGGTTTCCGCTTCTGGTGAAAATAATAAGAATCATACAAAACAAACATACAAAGACAGTAGGAATATAATAGGCCAGAAAACTGAAACTATAGTTACAAGTTTCTAACACACACACACACACACCCCCACACACCCACACACACCAATAAACTAGCCAGCACCAACAGACACAGCTTAATGAAAAGGACCTGATTTAAATAATGTGATACAGTGTTATGTTACGTACACCTGGATCCTTATCGATCGTAGGATAATTATAATCAAAGTCGAGCAATTCTGAGCAATGCACTTTTTGTAATGAGCTTACTAAAGGAGACATGTCCAGTCATTCTGGTAATTTAAATTACTGCCTAGTTGTTGATAGTCTTTACCGGAACAACCAGAAAAAAAAAAAGAGTAATTTTCAGGGCAGTATCACTTCTTGCTGGACCGTAGCCCAGGGTTCTCTTTCGGGACAACAATAAGGACGTTATCTCTAATAATGTAGCTACACTTAAACTTATGTTGCCAGAACTAGATGCAGCAGGCTCACTGTTCCTGGGTCTCAAAGGCCATTGAACACATCCACACGCTGTCAGATTGCAAAGCAGCCTAAGTTTTAGGAAATCAGTGAGTTAAATGCAGAAAGAGACAACGGTAGGAAAGAGACATTGTTTTCCAAAGAAGTAACTAGAGTTGAAAAAAGAAAACCTCACTGATGAGGCAAGTTCCAAATACGTACCTCACTAAAAATATTTTAATTATTTTGCTTTTAGGGAAACGATCAGAAAATATATGAATCCACGCTTTATCAATATTTCTGCATGCCACTTGAACCAACTTACAAATAGGGAAGCAATTCTGTGCTCAGAAGGAATGATAATTGTGGATATTTTGAAACACTCAGGCGAGGAAGGAGGATGAGCTTGGTGGTTCAACACATTCAGACAAGGGATGCCCACTCTCCTCAGATTCCTAACTAACTTTGGATTTGTTCTAAGGGTGACTTTGCAAAGTTTATGAAAGTGTTCCACCAAACTTCTCCCTATGTTTTGCTAGAGTTGGAACAGAATGAAATGTGGAGGTGGGTCTGCAGAAGACCAGTCTTACCTAATGTTGCCTAAATCAAGAGGGTAAAGACAGAGAGAGAGGAAAAAACAACTAAACTTAAGCTTTTTGCGAAAGCCCTGATTCAACTAAAGGACACAAAGAAATAAAAACGCCCACATTAAAAGCCAAACAAGATAATAATTGTGCATGTCTGGCTCTGAATATAGAGGGCAAGGTTTGCGTCACTGGCACTCTGAGTTACCATGGTGAGTGATTTATTGATATATATCAAGAATGAATAGATCAAAGGCAGCGAGATGACAGGTGATCAATCAAATGTCAAATCAAAACTAGCAATCAAGTGGAAAGCTGATTTTTCAGTGGGTGGGTCTGGCAGAAGAAAAATGAACTTTCATATTACATTTCCGAGAAACAAAACCCCAGCATACTATTAAAAAAGCAATTAAGCAACCCAAAAGAAAAAAAAACTTTAGAAGGTCTATTGTACTGATCCATTAACCTGTTCTTATCTTTTTTAGGGGGCAGTAAGGATTCAGATGGGATAGTTTTTACAGTACGAATCATTTCACAAAGTTTGCAACTCTCTAGGCAAAGAAAATCCAGAGCTGTTTAAATTTCTATGGGGAATTTCCCCCCTACAACCCTTTTTGGTTTTTTTAAAGAATAGGGAAATTGTTAATTACATTTCCAAATATGGATCCTTTTAGAAAATATATGCAAAGAGTCATCCATTTCCTGGGGGCATTTTGTCCACCTTGGTGATCAACGCTAAACTCCTATTGCTGGCCCCAAAGCCTGCCTGCAGCCCGAGTGTTAGGTATGCCTCACACTTCAGCGCCCCAAGCCCCAGTGAGAGGAGACGCTATCCCTGGAGGCCAAAAGCCACTGGCACTGACCACGCAGAGGGATGCAGGGGTGGAGGGGCTGTCTCCCTACTCCGCACCCCAAATCCTCAATCCGACTTTGGCCCGAGAGGCAAGAAACAGACTGGAAGAAAGTTAGGGGTGGGGTAGAGGGTGGAGGAAAGAAAGTTTAAGGAGGAAAGGCTTGGTGGGATAGCTCACCCCAACCCAACCGGAGCTTGGAAGGGGAGGATTTGGGAGACCAGAGAAGGCGAGAGAGGACGGGGTTATTAGAAGGGCACCCGGCGCAAACTCCCCCGAAAGCTTAAGTGGGTGGTGCCCCCGGGCACCCAGGGGCAAGGAGGGCGGGCGAGGAGCTCGGCGCACAGGGCAGCCCCGAAGCGGAGCCGTTTCTCTTACCTGCCGCCCGCTTGGGTGCCTGCTGTTTTCTCCTCGGCATCCTCTACTTCGCTCCAGTCCCACTTCTGGCGCCCCAGCCCCGAGCCGCGCGCTGGGGCCCGCTGTCTCTCTGGCCTCTCTGGGTCTCCTCCGCCTCTTGCCCGGTGGCTCCTAGGACGTCACTCGGCCTCTGTCCCCCTGACGATCCCCCCTGCAACTCCTCCACCACGGGCCAGAGACCCCCCTCTCTGGGTGGCAGACACGGGTGGCTTGTGCCGGCTGCTTTGAAGTAGAGGTTGGTTCTGCCTTGTTTGTTTGTTTGTTTATTTTGAATTTTTTTTCCTCTCTCTTTTTTGTTTTTGCTTTTGGAATTTTTTTGGTTTTGTTTTTGCGGTTTTTTTTTTTTTTGGTGACTGTTGAGACACTTGATTTCTTTATTAAACATCCAAGCCCGGGTTCGGATGGAAGGGACGAGGGGCGCACACGCGCCACAGGCACACTCGCGCGTAAAGATAAGGAAAAAAAAAAGGCAATCCTGGGAAGGTAGTGGGTTTCTTCTTTTTCTTCTTCTTCCTTCTCCTCTTTCCCTCCTCCTCCTCCTCCTCCACCTCCTCCTCCACCTCCTCCTTCTTTTCTTCCTCCTCCTCCTCCTCCTCCTCGCCGATCTCTATGGCGGATTCGTGCCGGGGGGAGAGCGATCACTCACTGTAGGTTTGTGGCTGCTGTCAGATCCCCGTCTGTGAGTGATATGCGAGAGGACAGGAGCGGGTTTTGGAAAGACAGAAAATCTGGAATTCACTCACTCACACACACACACAGACACACACACAGACACTCACACACGCACTCACACGCGCACGCACCCCCGCTTCCTCGCACACACACACTCACACCCCCCACATATGCACACACACACAAACACACACACACACCCTCGCACACACACACAAGACAGGGCGAGGCGATGCCAGCAAACATCGATCCCGCTGAACAAACTGAACATTAACAAACTCCTCCTCCTCCTCCTCTCCCCGCGACCTGATGACAGGGAGAAATTTACTCCCCAGCCGCAGAGCGCCAGGCAGCGGGAGCCTATTAAAGGGACAGCGTCCCGCAGGGGAGAGGGGCTGGGGGCGGGGGCCCCGGCGCGCCGGCCCAGGCCCCTCTGTGCGCCCTCTCCGCCGGGGCGAGGGCGTGCCCACCGGGCGCGGGGACACCCCTCCGGGAGGCGGAAGGGGCGGGGGCGGGAGGAAAGGAGGTGAGGAGGGAAGGGGTGCGGGAGAAAAGGAGGCAGTGTGATGATGGCTGAACTCTGAAGCTGGGAGGCTGTGGAGGGAGATTCAGGGGGGCCAGGTTGGCTGACCAGCAGGGACCATGCACAATCTTAGGAGAGGGAGAACTTAGGTTTGCTCGGGGCTGGGAAGGGGGAGGGGACCTTATCCAGTGAGGATCTCCATCCTGTAAGTCTTAACCTGCCCCCACCAAAATGTGCTCCCCACGACCCCTTCAATTTAGTGCCCCTGTCCCTCCCACTTTCTCGCTAATCAATGGGTGGTCACAAAAACAAAAATCTCCCTTCTGTCTACTTTAAGGTCTAATCATATACTCCTCTTTTTGTTTCCTTTGAAGAATGTTTATTGAGCATCTACTATGTGCCTATTCTGGAGACACAGAGGCCACAGAGAAAGGGAAGGTGGTGGCCATGTTGGTATTTATATTCTAATGGGGGAGTGCAGACAAGTGCCCCCCAGCTATCCAATCTTTGCTTAAATGTCCCCTTTTCCCAAAGGTCTACCTCACCTAAAATACACACACACACACACACACACACTCCCTGCCCCATTTCTCCATTTTGTTATTCCCCAGTGAGCTGATCAGTGAGTGTCACACAGGTTATAGACAGTTTTCTATTCTGTTGATTGTACAAGTTCCCCTCTTGAATGTAAGCTCCAATGGAAGGAAGGATTTTTGCCTCTTTGTTCTCTTATATCCCCAAGTGCTGGCAAAGCACAAGACATATAATAAGTGCCCAGTAAAATATTTGTTGAATGAATGAAAAGTAAGCAAGCAAATAAACAGGATACTTTGAGTGATTCGCTCCATGAAGACGTTAAGCTGAGTGCTGTAATAGTGTCTAAAAGGGGGTGGGTGGCTCTAGATTCAATGTAGGATATGGCATTTGAGCACAGAGAGATTGAAACAAACATGTGATTATTGAGTTCTGCTATCGGCCAGGCACCTTTTGAGGTGTTGGGGGCAAGTCTGTGAACAAGGTGAACCTAGACCATGCCCTCAAGGAGTGCTCCTTCCAGTGAGAGGGCAAAGCAACTGAGGGCATTTGATGCAGGCTGGGACTAGAGGTGTTTTTTTTTGCTTTATTATTTTTTTTATTTCAATAGCTTTAGGGGTAAAAGTGGTTTTCGGTTACATGGATGAATTGCATAGTGGTGAAGTCTGGGATTTCAGTGCACCCGTCACCCGAGTAGTGTACATCGTACCCAATAGGTAGTTTTTCAGTCCTCACCCCCTTCCCATACTCCTCGCTTCTGAGTTGCCAATGTCCATGATATCTTTCCATATGCCTTTGCATACCCATGCATTAGCTCCCACTTATAACCAAGAACGTGTGGTATTTGGTTTTTGATCCTGAGTTACTTCACCTAGAATAACGGCCTCCAGCTCTATCCAAGTTGCTGTGAAAGACATTATTTTGTTCTTTACTATGGCTGAGTAGTATTCCACGGTGTATATATATGTGTGTATATACACACAAACACACATATATATACACAAATACACATATATAGATATATATACCACATTTTCTTTATACAATAATCAGTTGATGGGCACTTATGTTGATTTCATATCTTTGCAATTGTGCTGCAATGAATATACGCCTGCAGGTGTCTTTTTGACATAATGACTTTTTTTCCTTTGGGTAGATACCCAGTAGTGGGGTTGCTGGATCAAATGGTAGATCTACTTTTAATTCCTTGAGAAATCTCCATACTGTTCTCCATAGAGATTGTACTAATTTACATTCACACCAGCAGTGGGTATAAAAGTTCCCTTTTCCCCACATCCACACCAATATCTGTTGTTTTTTGACTTTTTAATAATGGCCATTCTGGCTAGGGTAAGGTGCTATCTCACTGCAGTTTTAATTTGCATTTACCCTGTGATTATTGATGTTCAGCATTTTTTCATTATGTTTGTTGGCCATTTGTCTGTCTCCTTTTGAGAAATGTCTATTCACGTCATTTGTCCACTTTTTAATGAGATTATTTTTTTTTTTTTCTTGCTGATTTGTTTGAGTTCCTTGTAGATTCTGGATATTAGTCCTTTGTCAGATGCATAGTTTGCAAATATTTTCACCCATTCTGTAGGTTGTCTGTTTGCTCTGATGATTGTTTCTTTTACTGGGTAGAATTTTTTTAGTTTAATTAGGCTCCATTTATTTATTTATTTTTGTTGCATTTGCTTTTGAGGGCTTAGTCAGAAATTCTTTGCCTAAGCCAATGTCCAGAAGAGTTTTTCTTAGGTTTTCTTCTAGAATATTTATGGTGTCAGGTCTTATGTTTAAAGTCTTTAATCCATCTTGAGTTAATTTTTATATATGGTCAGAGACAGGGATAGTTTCATTCTTCTACATGTGGCTATCCAATTTTCCCAGCACCATTTATTGAATAGGGCAGGGGTCCCGAACCCCTGAACCATGGACTAGCACCTGTCCATGGCCTGTAAGGAACTAGGTGGCACAGAAGGAGGTGAGCAGGTAGGGGTAAGCAAGCATTACCATTTGAGCTCTGTCACTTCAGCAGGGGCATTAGACTCTCATGGGAGCTCTAACTCTATTGTAAACTGTGAATGCAAGGGATCTAGGTTGCACACTCCTTATGAGAATCTAATGCCTAATGATCTGAGGTCAAACAGTTTTATCCCAAAACCATCCACCCTGCCCTGGTCCATGGAAAAATTGTCTTCCATGAAACCAGTCCCTGGTGAAAAAAAGGCTGGAGAACACTGGAATAGACCTTTTCCCAACTTATGTTTTTATATGCTTTGCCAAAGATCAGTTGGTTATAAGTATGTGGTGAAGGTGTTCTTAGGAGGAGTGATTACCCTGAACTTGGCGAAAGGAAGGATGGTTACCAGGCGGGGCTTCAAGGGAAGAGGTAAGTCAAAGCTGAGTCTTACATATAACAAACGGGTAGGCAAAAAGGGAACTCTGATACTGAAGCCCTTGTATCAAAAAGACACCGTGTAAGGCTTCTGCTTCCGCATTAAAATCTCCTGAGGCCCTTGTTAAGATGCACGTACCTGGTCCTTGCCCTAGAGCAAGATTTTCTAACCCAGGCCCTATTGACATTGAAGGTCTGATAATTCTTTGTTAGGAGGGGCTGTCCTGTTCAATGTAGGATGTTTAGGAACATCCCAGGCTTCCGTTGTGACAATGCAAACTGTCTCCAGATACTGCCCAATGTCCCCTGGTAGGCAAAATCGTCCTTGGCTTAGCATCACTACCCTAGATCTTCTGAATCAGAAAATTCCGGATGAAGGCTTAGAGATCTGTATTTTGAACATGTAACCCATCCATCCCTACAAGTGAAACTTCTGCTCACACCAGTTAGAGAACATCTGCCCCCAAATTGTTTGTTCTTTTGTAATCAGACATACTCAATGTTGTTAACTATAAAGCCAAGTCAGGCTTAGATATTAATGTAACTTAAGGGTTCAAGGGGTGATGTTGTAATGGTGGCCGTCGCGATGGGGTTTCACCTGTGCCCACTCCTCAATACTCCTCCTCCCACCATGATCACCCCCACCCCACCACCCCAGCAAGGCCTGCCCAGTCTGATCTGGGACACTTCCCACTACAACCCACCCACCTGCTTATGGGGAACTACCAGTTCTGACTAGTTCCATGAATATTTTTCTTAACAGTTCTTTGGGCTGTATGACACTCAACTTTCCCTATCCTACTTGTCAGCCACAAAGTGTTGTTGTGATTGTTTGCAAAGTGCTGTTTAATCATTTTTAACATCCTCACGCACTTCTCCATCTCACATGTGTGGTACAAGTTGTTAACTCACTTGCCCTAAATCACCCGAGAAGCCTCCACCCATGACCAACTCCACCCAGTCCCAGCCTAGTCCTTAGGCAACTGAGGCAGAAAAAGCCCGATTTCATAGTTGGCAATGTCAACAAAAAAGGTATTAATTCTAATTACCCAATACATTTTTACAGAGCACTGTGCAAGGGACCATAGCCTATTGAATAAAACCTCACAGCCTTGCAGCCAAGGAACCACCGTTGTGGGATTAGGGGATACTTGTTTATAGGATCAGGAGGCCTGAACAGAAGAGGAGTGAAGCTGCAGCAACCTCACCATGAAGCCGCCATGCTCTGTGCAAGCCCCATGCCTGCTGGTGTGGTGTTTGTGTTACATTCAGCCAGTTATTTCACAGACATCTACTGCGCCTGTTAGGTCTACCAGGCCTTGCCCCAAGCACAGCAGATTTTGGAATGCATAAGGTAGGATCATCACCTTCAAAAAGCTTTTGGATGTTATAATAACATCCCAAAGACTGGGAACTAAAAAAGAGGGAATTTGGAAGCTGGGTCCAGCCTTGGAGACAATCAGGAAGGAAATGGGCAGGAGAAGATGACTTTGGATGACAGAATTTCCCTGAGGTTCTATCCAATATCCTTCTCAGAATTTTACATCCGCTCTCTCCTTGTTCTCAATAGCTGGTTATATAATGTGGGGGACTTGTAACAATTCTGCAGTACCTACTTTCTGGCTGGCTATTAACACATTGTTGGATCTACATTTCTGAAATGTTCTTTTATTAATTTGTATTTTTTCATACCGTTACTAATAGTTAGCTTAGTTATCCACGAAAATGGTTTTGGCTTACACCAGCGGGATGTATAACACTATGTACCCAGTGCTGTAGACAAGATGTTAAATAATATTGAATCACATAGTAAGAAAGTTATTCCCTTTCAATTCTCTTTCAATCTGATAAAATAACCATTTTGTGCTCGTGTCTCTTTTATACCTAATGCTTGCTAACTTCTATTTTTCAACAAAGATACCACGGATCTTAGGCTCAGAAGCTTGGGAGGGACAAGAGTATCTAGCTAGACTTTTAAAAATGTTTTGTTTTCAAGCATATGAAAAAAGCCTCATCATCACTGATCATTAGAGAAATGCAAATCAAAACCACAATGAGATAACATCACATGCCAGAATGGTGATTATTAAAAAGTCAAGAAACAATAGATGCTGGCAAGGCTGTGAAGAAATAAGAAAGCTTTTACACTGTTGGTGGGAGTGTAAATTAGTTCAACCATTGTGGAAGATAGTGTGGTGGTTCCTGAAGGATCTAGAATCAGAAATACCATTTGACCCAGCAATCCCATTACTGGGTATATTCCCAAAGGATTATAAATCATTCTAAAATAAAGACACATGCACATGTAGGTTTATTGCAGCAATATTTACAATAGCAAAGACTTGGAATTAACCCAAATGCCCATCAATGATAGACTGGATAAAGAAAATGTGGCACATATACACCATGGAATACTATGCAGCCATAAAAAAGAATGAGATCATGTCCTTTTCCAGGACATGGATTAAGCTGGGAGCCATAATTCTCAGCAAACTAACACAGGAACAGAAAACCAAACACTATGTGTTCTCACTCATAAGACTCATAAGTGGGAACTGAACAATGTGAACACATGGACACAAGGAGAGGAACAACACACACCATGGCCTGTTGGGGTGGGGAGCAAGGGGAGGGAGAGCATTAGGACCAATACCTAATGCATGAGGGGCTTAAAAACCTAGATGACGGGTTGATAGGTGCAGCAAACCACCATGGTACGTGTATACCTTTGTAACAAACCTGCACATTCTGCACATGTATCCCGGAACTTAAAGTAAAAGAAAAAAAAGAATTAAAAAAATGTTTTGTTTTTAATGCTTTCGATTTAGAGTTACCTTCTGTTTTTAAAGATCCTGCTCTCCTTGCGTAAGAGCAATCTAATATTTAAACCCATTAAGTGGAATTTTAAAAATAAGTATATTAAAGGAACAATAGAGAGTAAAAAGTGATTCAGGTGGGATGTGGAAATGGCAAAATGTGAAAGAGATGGTGTGGGCATTGCTAGAATTGGAAAATACTGTGCTAAACCATAGACTCTGGCACTTGGGGAAACTTCTTATAAGAGCTGGTGTCTTGGGATGAGGCTATGTTTAAGTCTCCAGGGAACTTCGCTTCCTAGGATCCAGCACTCGAACTTTGGGATGTGTAAGGGCATGAACTGATTGGAATGACTCAACCCTACCTTCCAGAACAGTTGTTCACATGCTGGCTGAACATCAGAATCACCTGGGGATTTTTTGTTTTTCAAGATAAAGAACCCCAGGCCACATCCTAGACTTACTAAATTAGATTCCAGGGTGGTGTCAGAAAAATCTCAAAATCTTAAAGGTCCCAGGTGATTCTGGTAAGGCACTAGGCATAGGAAACTTTTCTGTACAAAAGTTGAATTTTATAACAAGTGAATAGAGTTTGCAGAGTTTCTTGCATGCAAGGAACAGAAAAGGCATTTGTTCTTGGATTCACTCAAGTCTTCTAATCACACTGTAGAAGCCTATCAATCCTCCCCCTCAAAGCACACAACATATCGAATTTGTTGTTAGTTCACCTGTTTTACCACTGATGCAATTAAACAAATATTTGCCAAGCACCTACCTTGTGCAGGGCAGTGCTCTAATTACTGGGCTTTGGGGTAGCCTTGTGATACCTGAGCACAGAGAGAATGTCTCAGTCACCATAGTGCCTCCTGTATAGGTTTCAGGACCTTTACTCTTATTCTTTCCTTCTACAAAGTTCCTCCTCCAGATCTATCTTTCCTCTTCACTCTAAACTCAAATGTACCTTTGTTGCCTACCCTATCTGTCCCACTCTTTCTCTGTATTTTCTTCATGTATTTTTGTGTTTTTCCTGTCTGTCTTCCCAAATTCACATTTATATCCTCAGGTTGAGCACCGTATTGGTGCTTATTAAAAATCTGTGGAAGGATTGAACATGAAGCTGAGGATACATGCAAGGAAGGTCTTTTAAAAATACCTTTGGCGCAATAGGGTTTTCTTTTCTTTTCTTTTGTGTTTAGAGACAAGATCTTGTTTGCTCCCAGGCTGGAGTGCCGTGACTCGATCATAGCTCACTGCAGCCTCAAGCTTCTGGGCTCAATCAATCCTCCCTCCTCAGCATCCCAAGTAGCATGGATATCAGGTTCGAGCCACCACACTCTATTAATTTTATTTTTGCAGACAGGGTCTCTCTGTGTTACCCAGGCTAGTCTCAAACTCCTTGGCTCAAGCAATCCTCCCGCCTCAGCTTCCCAAGGTGCTGGGATTACTGTATGAGTCACTGCTCCAATAGGGTTTTCATTAGATATGGAGATAACATTTTAGCTTATGTGTCTCATTCTCAATTGATGCTGTCTTCCCCTCACCAACTTCCCTCCCTTTTCCCCTTTCCTCTTGTCTATTGCCTCCTTCAGATCCTCTCTTAAATATCACCTCTTCCAAGAAGTCTTCCTGGGTGGATCTTTTGAAATGCATCCTTCTCTGGTCCGTATCTTTTCAAAACAAAGAGTCTCAAGGTAGACTATGATCCCAAATGTATTAGTACACAAGCAGAGAGAACAAATTTATGCTTGCCTATCATAGTGATGGTTACTTTGGAGGGTGGGTCTAAGGAGGCTTCTGAGAGGCTGGGATTGCTCTTAACCAGGGTGCTAGTTACTCCAGTGTGTTCAATAAGAGAACGTTAATTCAGCTGCACACTTAGAATTTGTGCCCTTCTGTATATGCGCATAATGCTTCAAGTATAAAAAGCAGTGCTCTCAAACATATTTCAGCCAGCTGGGGTGATTTAAAAAATTCCAGTGTCCAGGCCTTACCCCAGACCCATTACATCAGTCTGTGGGGGTGGGATTCAGTTGACAGTATTTTTTAAAGCTCCCAGGAGATTCCAATGTGCGGCCAAGTTTGAGAGCCAGTGTACCATACGATGTTGCCCTTGAGGATGTAAGTCATGCCTTCCTCTTATGTCATTTAACTCGTTCAAGATATCCCTCTTCCCAGCAAGTATTTTGTGAAAACTTATAGGTAGCAATCTCTCGTTATTTTCTACTTTCCCAGGAAATCCCCACCATCACGTTGGGGAGAGTAAAACAAGAGGAAGTCCCAGATCATGGAGAGTGACAGGAAGAAAATAAAGCAGGGTGTTGAGAGTGTTGAGATAGAGAGTACGGGGGTGGGGCAGAGCCCACGTTAGGGCTGGGGTCAGGGAAAGGCTCTGGGAGGAGGTGACATTTAAACTGAGATCTGGAAGCACCCAATCAGGATCCCAGCCCTGAAATTGGAAGAGATGTCTGAGCTTCAGGAATAGAAAGATGCAACTGTTAGAACTGAGATCGAGAGAAGCAGCCAGAGAGAGGGAAGCAGAAATGAGGCAGGAGAGATGGACTGGGAATAGACCACTGAGGAGGTCAGTCATCATACCAAGTTTGAACTTTATTCTTCCAGCTATTGATCAATGCAATTCATTTACTTACAACCAACCCAGGAGAAACTATGTCTGATTTAACTGGGTGCAAATTTGCTTTCTAAAAACAGGTGAGGTTGATGACAATAAAATTCGGGAATGCCCAAGCATTGGCAAGCTTGCTTCTAAGAATAAATCCTCCAAGAGTTACTAGGCACTCGTTTTTAGAACTATTTTGATTTGGTTAGGTGTAGAATTTTGCAACAGCAATTAAGCATTATGTATATTTTAAAGGGAATGATTGCTGACTGGGCCGATTGGGGCCATGGGAGCTGTTAGATTTAACATATATCACATTTCTCCCTTGGAGTTGGCTACTTACAGTCAGTGACAGTGTTTGCTGCTCCTGAAGAATCCAAACCAAGTCGCTGGCCCAGTAATCCATTGCTCAACTTCATTAACCACAGGAAGACATTAAATGAATGTAAGGACGGGAGCAGCCTGGAAACCATGTGATAAGCAGCCTTTAAGTTCTGGTATATTTTATGCCATCTCAACTGTGCATCAAGCTCTACTTCCTGGACTCATTAGAACTGTGTGCCCAAAGGTGCCCCTCAACTTTCAGAAGCAAATAGAGAAGGATATAATTCGCTCTGAGAACACCTTTCTGTCTTATCCAGAGCATGTCTTATCTATTATGATTAGGCATTAAGCATCCTATTGTCCTTAAAATTTCATGAGATTCTACCCCTGCTTGCTAGGATTATGTCAAAGCGTCTTGTCTTGAAGGCAACAATACAGCTTGTCTTTTTTCCTTAACCATTACTGGGCACTCCCAGGAGGCTAAGGAACCCATGGGCTTAACATGGTTGAATAGTCTAGGGCTGTTGCAAACTCTCTTTCTAGAAAGATTGCGTCTTGCTTTTGCTTCCCCAAGAAGCAGACTCTGAGATAAAGATTTGTGTGCAAGTAGTCTGTTTGGGAGTTGATTCTAGAAAACTCCAGAAGGGGAGTAGGAAAGTGAGTAAAGAAAGGGAAGGTGGCTGGTACAGGTGTGTTAACAAGCAAGTTATCACTGTGGGCCACTGGAGCTTAATCCTGCTAGGAATGCTGGGAGGTAGTGTAGATTCTGCACTTTCGAGATGTCTCTCCTAAAGGGTGAGAGAGCTGGGGTATTCATCCACCTACTCCTGCCAGCCATTGGGTGAGGGCCACTTCTGGCCTTCCCTGGAGGCAAAAGAGATGGGTGCTGGCAGTTCCTAGTAGAGTTGGTGTGTGAAGAAATGGGCAAGCAGGCAACTTCTGTTGGAGTAGAATACCCTAAACTGTGAGCTTTCTGAGGGGAAGGAACAAGACGGTCCTCTTCCTGCAGCACCTCTACTTTTTGGCATAATGCCAGGCACACAGTAGACCTTCAATAAATATCTACCAAGTGCACCAGTGAGTTCAAAATGTTAGTTCCATGCCTCTTTTGGTTGCTCTCTCCTGTCCAGTCCTATTGTTTATAATCTGTAGTTTGCACTTGCTTACAAGTCTTTTGTATTCCCTGATTTGGTCAATCTTCACTTTCCCCAAAAGTGAGCTCCTTCAGGAGCAGGGGCCTCTTTCCTTTTCCCCATTGTATCTCTAGTAGGGCCGCAGAGCTCTCATTATCATCACAGTTTGAGTTTTTAAACAAAATAAAAGACATGCGGTCTGACATTTATGAGTGTGTTAAGCATAAAATGGGGGCAGAAGGTTTCAAATTAGGATTGTCCCAGAAGTCTTAGGACATATGATCACTGTGTACAGATCAGGTAGACTTCATGACAAAAGGTAAGTTTGGGTTTGGAATCAAAGAAAGCAGCACTTTAAAAAAATTCACCATTTACTAAGACCTCAGGCAAATTGTTTAGCCTCTCTGGGCTTCCGTTTTCCCATCTGTGAAATGGGAATAATTATATCACTGACTATTACCAGTAGAGAGAGACTCACATGAGCAAATATAAAATACTGAGCATTATACTTGATACATAGAAAGTACTCCCCAATTTTTAGTTTTTTCATTATTTTATAAACATTTGTTGATTGTTGTTTACAGAGTGTTTTCAGATATATCAGAGGTCCAATCTAATCTGAGCCGAAGAATAACATTCACTTTGGCTCAATCCCCTACATTTGCAAGGGCGCCAATTTACAAAACCGATCAGGGAAGCTGGTGTCCTCATGCAGGAAGTACAGACAACAGAGTACAAGTTCAAGCCAATGGAGCAGAAAGTTCCTGCTGCAGAGGGTTCCTGCTAGCGTCCTCTTCCCTCCACAGGCCGACCCACTGTCTCCACTCATATTCATTAAGCACCTGCTCCGTGCCAGGTGCATGACTGGGTATTGGGGATGTGGCAGAAAAGAAAGCACCTGCGTGGCTCTTAGGGAACTTAAACATTGAGGGAAAGACAGGCAAATGATGGTCATGATCATAATAGCAACTGGCATTTCCAAAGCACTTGGTACCAAGCGCTGTTCTAAGCACTTTACAATATGAACTCCTTAATCCTTAAAACAGTTTTGTTGTTGTTGTTTGTTTTTTGAGATAGGGCTTCACTCCATCACTCAGGCTGGAGTGCAGTGGTGCAATCCCGGCTCACTGCAACTGCCAGCTCCTGGGTTCAAGCAATTCTCCTGCTTCAGCCTCCCAAGTAGCTGGGACCACAGGTGTGTGCCACCACACCTGGCTAATTTTTTTGTATTTTTTTGTAGAGACAGGGTTTCCCCATATTGGTCAAGCTGGTCTTGAACTCCTGACCTCAAGTGATCCATCCGCCTTGGCCTCTGAAAGGCTGGGATTACAGGTGTGAGCCACCGCACCCAGTCCTTAAACCAGTTTTTGATAAAGTGCTTTTGTTGTCCTCATTTTACATATGAGGAAACTGAGGCACAGGAAGGTTAGGTAACTTACCCAAGGTTATGGCGATAGCAAATTGGGAAGCCTGGATTCAAACCTGGCATGCCTCCAGTTGTTTTATTCTTAACAACCATGCATTACTCCCTCTTGACAGTGTTGCAGCCACAGTGAGTTTTATATCCCCCAAATCCAGGTATTTCTTGCATTGCTTTTCCCTGCTTACATTCAGCAACTGAGAATTTAAGAAGCCTCAGTTCTTAAACATTAGCACCCATATTATCTCCCAGGGCATTAAGACAGATTCATGCACCTCACCTCTAGAGCTCCTGGTTTAGCAAGTCTGGGGTGGGGTCTTAGAAGGTGTATTTCCAACAGGCTCGTAGATGACACAGCAGCTGCGAGTACACAGACCACACTTTTGAGTTGCCACAAGGGTGACTTTGCTCTCCCGGGTACACTTGACAAGTCTGGAGACATTTTTGGTTGTCACGACTCAGGGGTTGCTACTGGCATCTAGTGGGTGGAGACCAGGGATGTTGCCAAACATCCCACAGTGCCCAAGAAAGAGGCCTGCAAAGAAACAATGATCTGGCCCTAAATGCCAACAGTGTCAAGGTGAGAACCTCAATGTAGAGCACAACCTCACAAACCTTCATGTGTATAGGAAACACCTGAGGATGTTGTGGAAAATGTGGGTTCTGATAAAGTAGGACTTGAGTGGTGCCTCAGATGCTGCATTTTTTTTTTTTTGAGACAGAGTCTCACTCTGTTGCCCAGGCTGGAGTGCAGTGGCGCGATCTCAGCTCACTGCAACCTCTGCCTCTCAGGTTCAAGTGATTCTCCTGCCTCAGCCTCCCGAGTAGCTGGGATTGCAGGCGCCCACCACCACACCTGGCTAATTTTTGTATTTTTAGTAGAGACGGGGGTTTCACCGTGTTAGCCAGGATGGTCTCGATCTCCTGACCTCGTGATCCGCCCACCTCAGCCTCCCAAAGTGCTGGGATTACAGGCGTGAGCCACCGCGCCCGGCCAGATGCCGCATTTCTGACAGGCTCTAACAGGGGATGCGAATCCAGGGACCCCACTTTGAGTAGCAAAAGCTAGAAAATATCTGTCATAGGTGGAGGTCTTGAATCAATGCTTAGGGCACCATGGACTTCTAAGAAATAAAACCCACATATCATCTTTCATTAGTTCAGAACAAAAGTAACTCTGAATTTAAATAATCCTCTTTCAACTCTCCCTGTCGTAAGTTTTGCCCTTAGAAAAGTCCTGGAGAAGAGGGGCTTGGACGGACAGAATCCTCCATCCCTCTCCTCCAAGCCGTCAGGGGCCTATTTAAAATGAGGAAGGACAGAGCTTAGTCACAACTGCCTTGCTTCAATCCTGAAACATCAAGTCGAGTCTATTGTTGCCTGGAATCATGGCTTCTTTCCAAGAGCTGCACATTGACAGTGGGGTTTGCATCTGCCTGACATTTAGGTCTGCAAATGCGAGATGAAAAAGTGGCTGTTTTTAAAATGGTTGCTCTCTTGGGAAAGGGGTATGGGAGAAAATGGACTCTCTGCGTCCAGCTCTCCAGAGATGGCACCCCAGCCCCAGTGATAAATGGCAGCATTAACAAGGTTTGGTTGAGAGAGAACCTACAGATTTATGACTTCCTGTGTCCGCCAGCAGATGTCATTATGGCTGACAGAACAGAAGGCCTTTCAAGAGCGAGCTGGGTGGAGCTAAGAAGAGGGGGGAAAAATAAAATAAAAGGCAGTAGCCAAAACGAGTGTTTGCTTAGTGGTGCTATTGTTGATACTGTCATTTTAGGGACACAGCGAAGTTTTATGCTAAACTGAACATATTGTGATATCACGGAGGTCCTGCTTCTAAGATTTAGACAGAAACTCTCAAATGAAAGGCGAAGTTACTGGCTTCACTCAAATAAGAAAGCCTACAGGTTTTTTGTTCCTGGCCTATTTGTAACCTTACAAATTCTCTAGGATAAAATGGACACTTTGCACTGAATAAACATATACTTACCCTGCAATACCATTTTTGATGAGTTTTAAAATATATTCATTTTATAAATTCAGCAGCTTGTTCTGAAATTCCTTTGATGTACATATAATCTCATCCATGTTAATAAATTGCTTTATAGGATGTCACTGGTATTTTAGGTGTCAGAAAATTTTGTGGTATTGAAAAATGGTATAAATTTGGCATTCATCATGGGCCCCAAACCCATATTAACAAATACAACTGCTAACACATACTTAGCAATAATTATAGGTCACATGTTTATATTTCCTCCTTTTAATCTTTACTGAAGATTTACCTTCAGTATGTAAAGAAAGCATTTTTTTTTCCAGTTGACTCTCATCTAATGGACACTGGAATGTGTCCCTTGGTCTCAGTGATCAGTGCCCCAAACTGCAACCAGAAGGAACAGCTCTGGTTACAGATGCGGGACCGTCTTTAGATCTGTCATCAACAAATCATCCCCCTCGTGACTGCATAGCCAATGTGACTTGGCAGGAATTGAGTCATGGAGAACTCCTTGGAGGACTTGCAGAGGACGGCAGTAACAGACTCTTTTCTGCCCCTGGTTTCTCAAAAAAATAAATAAATACAATAAAATAAACCAACAAAAACTCATTTTAAGAAAAAACTTGATTGAGAGCCTTCTATCATTAATCAATAGCCATACAGTTAATATATGTGTTGTGGTGAATATCTGATTTCATAGAGATTTTCAAAATAGCATGGTGGGTAAAAAAATGGCTACCTCTGTCATGCCTTTTGCACACCTCTTCAGAGTGGTCGTGTGGTGATTTACTGACAGACCGGGCTCCAGAATCTCACTCTGAATTCTTTTCCTGGTTCTTCCACTCACGACTTGTATGATTCTGGCCAAGTTAACATAAGCTCTTCAAATCTATTTTCTCACCTGTAAAAGATGGACAATAATGGCACCATTTGCTTAGTGCTTTTTCTAATGAGGGTTGAACACTTGTTTGTGAGGTAGTGAACCAAGTGTCTGGCACAGAGAGGAGCTCAATACATTAGCTACTGTTATAATGATTAATGTTAAAATATATTCCCTCTTTATTATTTCACAGGTAGACACGCAAAGTTATAGACTGATTCATTGGCCACCCAGAAAAGAAATCCAATAATAATAGTAATAACTTTAATTGTAGCTGTCTTATATTGAACACATACTAAGTGCCGGACACTGTCCTGAATACTTGACATGTAAAATCTATTGAATTTAATCCTTACAGCAACTTTACGAGATCAAGTATTATTACTTCCATTTTACATAAGAGGAAACACAGTTTGGATGGTTTAAACCAGTGGTTTTCAAAACTGAGCAAGCATCAGAATCAACTGCAGGGCTTGTTAAAACACAGATTGCTGGCTCGCCTCCCCAGAGGCTCTGAATTTGTAAATCTGGTCTGGGGTCACAAGATGTTCACGTGAACAAGTTCCCAGGTGCTGCTGCTGCTGCTGCTGCTGCTGATCCAGGAACCCCATCTGAGAACCACTGATGTAAGTAACTTGTTCAATGCTACACAATGAGTAAGTGACAGAATGAGTTTTCAAATTAAAAAATTTGAATATGTTGAAAATATTTTTTATTTATTTTTCTTATTTATTTTGAGATGGAGTTTGATCTTGGCTCACTGTAACCTCTGCCTCCTGGGTTCAAGAGATTCTCCTGCCTCAGCCTCCCAAGTGGCTGCAATTACAGGTGCGCACCAACACGGCCGGCTAATTCTTGTATTTTTAGTAGAGACGGCGTTTCACCATGTTGCCCAGGCTGGTTTCAAACTCCTGACCTCAAGTGATCCACCCACCTCGGCCTCCCAAAGTGCTGGGATTACAGGCGTGAGCCACTGTGCCTGACCTGAATACATTTTTTAAAATGTAGTTTTAACAAATACCTATATTTCTTCAAATTTCCTAACATTCAACCTTTCAATTAATTGTTGATTGTTGAATTCACAAAGGGCAATGGTTTGGGTAGCTGCTTGTTTGCATGAAATGCCCTGTTCCATAATGTTCTTCATGGCCCAAAACAGTTTGGGATTTCCTAGAAGGGGAGAATTTTGGGATTTCAGAGCAGCATCAAATCCTTAAATCAACCCTACTTGACCACTCTTGAGGTCAGAAGTCCTACTGGGTTGTAAGAGAACACCAGGGCTGTGACCCACCCCAGCTGGAAAATTCATTAGGAGTTCCAAGGTGGAGCCCAGCTGAGCCAGCCACACCTGGGCACCATCTGTGCCTGAGAGGCCTGGCGTTTCCTTGGTCCCTAGCCAAGAAGGAGTCTCAAAACATAGCCCATCTGGACATCAGAAGTCTCTGGAGATGCCTCCGTTGACTGTCTAAGATCCAGATGCCTCCACTGCCCAGGTGAGCCACTTGCAACCAGTCAGCCCAGGGGACCATTGGTACAAAGTGCTGTCTGGAGTCAGACTGAGATGTGCTTTGACTCATATCAGAGAGTTTGGGAATGTAGGAGAGAGACCTCCAGAAGCCCTTGAAGAGAGATATGAATGGAGACAAAAGATGCAGGCATAGAGCCCGGGTAAAGCCCTTAGTGGATAAAGTAATCCAGCAAAGGTCATTGGTGTCTTCCTTTTCAGTTATAAATGAAAATAACCGGAATTCAAATATACAGCCAGGAAGAAGTGTGACTACTCAAGGACTCGAAGAAAACAGATAAACTGAAGAAAACAGGTGACGCCTTGGACAGAGAAGATGCTGGCTGGTGGAAGACGGGGAATTCCTATTGCTGTGATGGAAGATGGAGGAATGGGGACCACACTGGGTTTACCATCAGGAGCCTGGGTTTCCAGTGCAGTCTCTGTAGAGAGTGGGCCAGATGATTTTTGAGGCCTCTTCCTCTTCTGACATACATAGATGTTACTTATTTATACACTCATTCATTCATTCATTCAGCAAATATTAACTGAGCACATTGTTTGGGGCAGGTATTGTTATAGACACCAGGATAAAATCACAGAGCCCAATCTTTTCTCCCATGGAGCTTACTCTCCAGTGAGAAGAGGAAGATAATATATAAAATAAATTATCTAGTATATTAGGATGTGATAGGAGCCATGGAGAAAATGAAGGGGAGTAGACTTGGGTTGTAATGGCCTATATGGTGGTATGGTTGAGAAATGGCTGACTTCCATTCCCAGTGACAGCATTTATCACCATCAATAACTACCCTTTAGTTACAAAGGAGAGAAAATTAAGTCAAATTGGCCTAAGGACAAAAGGAAAAATTTGGCTGCATATAACCCAGAAGTCCAGCAGTTGATAGTTTTAATGGACACTGCTGTTTTTCCTCCCAGCATTCACGCCATCAATCCTTTCTGATATAACTCAGATTTTCCTGTGGGTATCTAATGCTTTCTCATTTGACTTCTGTACTTCCAGAGAAGGAGACCCCACCCCCAGCTCCAGGGCTTAAGCCAATCAGCGCATTCCCTTCCCTCACTGATCACAGTGATTGGTTCATATGTAAGAAAGGGCCCAATGGAGCAGAATCTCAGAAATGCGGCTTGGGAGCTTTTATTTACTGATCTAGGAGGGAAAAAATTGTTACTGGCAGCTATCTCATAACTATGAGGAGGCCTGGAAATAAAAACCTAGGATCTTGATGGCACCATTGATCCACTGAATAAACACACTCGAGTACATCTATCTTATGACTAGATGTATAAATGAGCCAAAAAACTTAGAACGCTTCAAGTTGGGCTTTCTGTTATTTATAATAGATAAAATATCAAGTTCAGGCACAGTTACATCTAGGTGCTCATCAATGACGTCATAGAGCTCCAGTTTCCTTCTGTGAGGGCTTCACTCTCAGCCTGGCTGCCCCCACAATGATCACCAGCAGCCTCATTCCTGGCAGCACTCGCCAAAGCTCTGCACTCCTCCTCCCTGGGTTACCTTGGTTCATGTGCCCATCTCTGAACGCAGCCCTGAGGTCAGGGGGATAGAATGGTGATGATTCAGGGACAGATGCTCTCTCCCGGGGCCAGGTCTGCCACCTGCTTCATTTGAATTACATCGTTGGAGAAAGTGGGTTGTTCAGATTAAAGAGATGCTACCAGAAAGGTGGTTCATGGATGCTGGAAAATCAGAAATCATAAAAATTCACTATAATACCTCACTTCCGACTTTGGGGTCTTACTTTCCTTATGTGTAAAATAAAAACGTTAAGATAAAGTGATGTTCCCCAATAATTTTGCTATCAAGGATCTCCTCTCTTGCCTTCCTTCGTTGCTCATTGTGGAAACCTAATTAAACTAAACTTGAAAGATTTTTGTCTATAATTCATCCATTCTTCCATGTACCACTCAACACACTGTTATGGATTGTCCACTACCTTCCAGTTTAGTTCTAGCTCTGTGATTACAGCAGTGAAAAAGGTTGGAAGTAATGTGATCCGTTCTG
This sequence comes from Homo sapiens, assembly GCF_000001405.40. NCBI lineage: Eukaryota > Metazoa > Chordata > Mammalia > Primates > Hominidae > Homo > Homo sapiens. The sequence goes on along the minus strand of NC_000020.11, from coordinate 52,954,427 downwards.
CTAAATGAAATATAATGGGAAGTCTGCTGGTGGTTTTCTTCCTAGGTTAAAATATCAGAGCTTTAGAAGAAAAAAGTTTCCTGTTCATGCCCCTTCTTCTCTGCTTGATATGTTGGTATGAGGATGTGATGCCTGGAGCTGGAACAAAAAATTTGCAACCATGAGGTGGACATGCATGAAGACAAAGAATTAGCATGAGCACTGAGGAGCAGGAGGGACAATCAAAGCCTGGGGCCATGATGGTTTGCACAATCCTTGGCCTTCTGTGTTGAATCTAGACTTATTCATCCAGGCTTTTTATAAGGTGAGATATGGCAAGTCTTCATTTTTTAAGGCTCAGTTAAAAGTATTTTGTTACTTGCTGTCAAAAGCATTCTTGATTGATACAGTTAGATTCAGTAGAAGTCCCCAAGCAACTTATAATCTGAAGATGTCCAGTGAATAGAGAATTGCAAATGTCGCGAGTGTCCTGAAGAGGAAGTACAGGAGCTTATATCATGGGCATCTAAACATTCAAATAAATTATATTTAAAAAGTAATAAATTTTTCTACTACTTTAGAGAATTAGATCAGAGATAGACAGAATTTTTCTTAAAGGACCACGTAGTAAATATTTTGCCATTGCAGGCCATACTGGCCTCTGTTGCAACTACTCAACTCTGCTGGTGTAGTATGAAAGAAGCCATAAGCAATATGTAAATTAATCAACATGACTGTATTCCAATAAAACTTTATTAACAAAATAGGCTTCTGGCTGGATTGGGCCATAAACCATAGTTTGCTGACTCCCGAATTAATTACATGCAACTGAGTATGCAATAAAAACAGACAATCAAGTTTAGCTTGTAATACTTAATAAAATATGGAAATACTTTAAAAATTTTGCTTTGCAAATTTCCCAGTGTCAGGTCTTTAAGCTCACACATTCTGTGAGTCAGTGATTCCTCTTTCATGCCTTCGCCTTCTCCCACAGATGTGGATTGAGAAGTGGGTTGGCTGGGCAGCTACCCAGGGTACCAATCTCTAATGAGCTTAGGAACACTAATGGAAGGAGTTGAGAAATCTATGTTGGTTCTTCTCTAATGAAAACATATACCACTGTAATATGAACCAGGCAAAGATACAAAAACATCACATTTATTAGCCCTGAAATGCTTCTGCTAAGATTTTGTAACTAACATACACTGCATTTACAATCGGCTCAAAGATGGCAGTTGTGGTCAGCAGAAATACCAGAACCATGTAATGAGTGGTGTGCTGTAACCTACAAAGGATGTGATTTATATTGTGAATATTAAACCTTTTAATATAACTCCCAAGAAGCTGCTTGGTTCAGAAAAACTAACAAAAGAATTCCAAAGAGAAACACAAACTGCAGAAATGTTGGAAATATTTTAATTTACTTTTTAAAAAAAGAATATTGACTCATTTTCAACCAATGGAAGTAAAATTGTAATTCTGATTCTGAAAAAAAATTTAAAGAAAATCATATTCCACCCTCAGTAGCTGATATGGTTTGGCTGTGTCCCCACCCAAATCTCATCTTGAATTATAGTTCCCATAATCCCCAAGTGTCATGGGAGGGACCCGGTGGGAAGTAACTAAATTATGGGGGCACTTACCCCCATGCTGCTGTTCTCATGATAGTGAGTAAGTTTTCACAGATCTGATGGTTTTATAAAGGGCTTTTCCCCTTTTTGCTCAGCACTTCTTGCTGCCGCCATATGAAGAATTAGCTGCCCCTTCCGCCATGATTGTAAGTTTCCTGAGGCCTCCAGAGCCATGTTGAACAATGAATCAATTAAGTCTCTTTCCTTTATAAATTACCCAGTCTTGGGTATGTCTTTATTAGCAGTGTGAGAATGGACTAAAACACTAATGGTATGTGGGACAAATGCTTGAAGGGTATTGGATTGAAGAGTCACCAGACTATTAGTCTAGGTGGCTCTGGTTAGATAAAAGCCCAGGAACTCAAGTCCATGTTGAGACTAAGAAGGTAACCACAAATGGAATGCATTGGATCCGAGGCAAGAGGGAAGGGTGAAGACTGAGGCCGACTTGAGATCATATGCCCTGCCCCATCTATTTTTCTCTCTCTCCCTCTCTGTCTCTCTGTCTTTCTCTCTCTTTCACACACACACACACGCATGCACGCACACACACACATACATGCATGCATGCACACACCAGCTCTCTCTTCTACACAAGAAACACACATTCCTTCCACCAGTGTAGTCGAGATGTGCTGGATAATGCTGAAGTCTAACTGTGTATCTTAATGGTTCAGGTTGCTTAATTCTTCCTTTCACTGACAAGATGAATTGTTGTAGAAGATGACACCCCTATCAGCATCTCACGCTCTGGATCTATTAGTATCTCTATCTGTGGAGAAGAGAGAAGAGAGTGATAATTTATACATACATTTGTTTTGTAAAAATTATACTCCTATCCTCTGATTGGTTCCAGTCCCCCAGAATATCACTCCTCTGTGATAGAGAATGTAACTAGAAGGGGAAATGTTAAATCGTTCAAGAATTTCCAATTTTTATATTGCCACTTGTAGCAAACTGTGTCATCCACTAAGCCATGCAGTTTTTCCTATGCCCAAAATGTCACAAAAAGAAAAGTAGATCACAGCAGTTTACACATGCCAAACACATTTGTCAAATAAACAACCCAGAAAGAATTGCAATTGAAATACCATCCCTGTAAAGAAACACAGTATTTAATCTGACTTTAATTGAAATGGTGCATGTTGATACCTTCATTTGTGCAAGATATGAAGCTGATATAAAGGAAAATAATGACAATAATTCCACTTGAGACATTATGAAAGTTGGGACTTCTGAAGCACTTTGATGGGAAAAAAAATGAAACATATACTCATGCCTGTGAAGAAACGTTGTTGCATTTGGTTTATAAAATGCTTCCATGTGGTAATGAATAAGGTAAAATTTCCAGTTTAGTAGAGTGCTAAATTGAGCTGTTATATGCTTCAGGAAGATATGTTTAGCCACTCAATAATTAAGCAAAAAATCCAGAATTGTTTGGTGCAGTGGACTCAAGTGTCCTTTGCTGCCTAACTTCTATTCATCTTCCCCTGTAAGAGAATACCACGTGGAGTTTGCTTTGGGGCAGTTAATTCTGTCCCGTGCTCAGCCATTCTTGTGGTATTGACCCTTTCCCCAGCTCTCAGGACTGGCTAAAGTCAATAATCTCATCTCATCTCACCCTTCTGGCAACCATAATTTGATCCATGATGGGCAGAAACTTAGAAGCAACGAAATCTGTAGAAAAGTTTGTTAAAGCTTCTTGGGGAAAGAGAGGGAACTTGCTCCTCCTTGACAGCCATAGGAGGAGAGCCATTCCTTCTGTGGTCTGTGTGGTGTGAACCTATGAAGACTTGAATGGCTTCTTTGCTACCAAATGGAAGACTTTGGAATTGGCAATGGGAACCTATCTGAGGCCTGAAGAATAGGCTGACTCTGTGGAAAATAGACAGAAAAAAATGGAAGGGAACAAAGCTCGTCCTGATGTCACCAGATCAAGCTGTACCTGAAGCTGGTCCTGCCCTTCACCTTTATAGTGATAGAAGTCCATATGTCCTCTTATTCTTCAAGCTTTCTTGAGTTGGATTTCCTATCCCTTTCAAAGGAAAGATTTGTAACTCATCATTTGGCTTTGGCAAATGGATATATTATTAATAATACTTTTTTGATGAGTTATGCCAGGAAAATTGGGCCATTCTGTGGGTTTCTGCTTTGTTGTTTTGTTTACTATATTGTTTTCAATTGGAATGAATACCTCATTAAGTCATTTTATTACTAGTCCCCTGTTTCATAATTTATAACACAGTTTAAGTACCACCTTCCCTATGAATTCATTATTAGATAAGATTATAAAGACTCTAGTTTTAGATCTGCTGAGCCTGCCCCATGTGGTTAAGAACATGTGTGTTAGGTTAGAAACACATGATTTTGAAGCCTGGGCTCCCTATTTACTAACTAAGTGACTTTGAACAGTTTACCTAAATTCTCTAAGATACTTCTCCCAACCTAGAAAAATACTGTAATAACAGCATCTTATCTCAGATGACTTTTGTGAAGACAAAATATTATAATGCATGTACAACACTCATCACAGCACTGGACACAGAGTAACTGCTCAATAAATGTTGATGCTGTTTATCTTATTGTTATCATACATATCTAAGAACTCATCATATACAAAGAGCCCAATAAATTCAAGCTGCAGTAATTAGCTCAATAAATATTTTCTATATGAATAATTTTAAAAATGATGAGCAGACAGTTGAATGAATATATGAGTAAATTAAAACGTGATTCATTGAAAAAATGAATGAATGAATGGGAGCTAGAAACTGAGAGTGATACCACAAATTGAGGGGCAAGGGTAAGGGATGAGAAGGAGGAGAAAAAGATTGAAAGGCACCCTGTGCTTTATGGGAATGCCCTTCTTGTGATCTGCGTCTCCATCAGGTGGAATGTTCTGCTATGCTGCTCTCTTCATACTCTCATTACTGCAGGTCATCTGACTGGAGCTTGTTGATGGGCAGCTTTATAGAGAGCTATAAAGCAGCACTTACGGCCAAAGTCATCATAGTTTGTTGAATTCTGTGCTTATGGTGCCCACATCATTTTCTCTCCTTTCTCTAGGTCATAGTCATTCAGTACACACATGGAGTTTAGCATAGATGGCTTAATTCCTCATACTGCCTCCCCATAGCCCCTGAAATAAAATTCAAGAGACCTCAAGACCCAAAAGATAAGTAAGAATAAGTAGGATAATGTGGACGTTTATTGAGTACTTATTTTAGTCCAGACCCAAAGAGTTAGCCAGGCCAAGATAGCTAGCTCACCATCTTGAATGAACCATCTCATCCAACCTTCACAACCATATGTGTCAGGTACACTCATTAGCTCAACTTTGCTGATGAGGATATAGATACACAAGGTTATGTTACTTGTTCAATGTCACAGGGCTAGGGAGTGGCACTGACAGGATTTGAACCTAGGCTTCTGTCCCTGGAGATTCTTCTCCAGGGGGCTTTAGCCTTCATCACTCTCTACCTTGCCTTAACCTCTAATGCACTTGAAGTTACAAACACAGCTGTCCATCCACTTCCTTTAGACTCTTCAAAATGAACTCAACAGAGTGAGTTTTCTGAAATAAAATTCTTTAAATATACACACATTAGAGACACTTTGAGATTATTTTAAAAATTCATATTTATAGATTTATTTGATTTTTTTTTACATATTTCCTACTCATATTCCATTGATCCATATTAGCCAGTAGACAGACACTTGGAATCATAGCCCAGGTACAGTGTTGTAGTCCAGGTACTTCAAATACCATTTCAAGGGACCATAGACCATTCTTAGTGTAGGTATCTGGACCACCAACCTTGCTCTCACAGCCAAGCTTGGACAGGATGGCATTAGCTAAAATTCTGTTTTAGACAACCTTTTATGCCTACCTATCCAAGAGCTATGGAATTTGTAGCATCCCAGCCTCCAGATTCACAGAACAGAGTATAGAAGAGGGATTGAGAGCTGAGAAGTCATTGCTTAATAACTATCACACTGGCAACTTACATAACTCTAGGAGTTATATGTTCTCTTAACTCTGAAAATGGGCTGCAATCCACAGGGATGGATCCTTGGTAGCCATGTTTGTATCATGTGACCTTGCTCACTTCCTCAAGTGGATTGAGCAAGAACACTTGCATAAATCACATTCTGTCTCCTGAGGACTGGGACTGATAGTTTGTGTCACTGAACCTGACTCATGTAAATCTGGGGTCACCATATTTCACCATATTCCACCAAACAGACTAAGCACGGAGGAAATCTGTCTATAGTGTGATCAAAGTCTAGAGTAAAGAAAGTAGAGTAGAAATGAAAAGGGAGGTGAGGGAGGGAGAGAAAGTGCCTCAGTGGTTTTCTAGTTTTTGAGTCCAGTCTCTTCCTAAAGGCTGGCTGTATCCCAGTCTTTTGTGTTCCTTGAGACATTCCTACCTTTATAAAACATAACAGCATTTTATATCAGTCAAGTAAGTTGGTTTCTGTTGCTTACATCCAAAAAGCACAGATTAATAAGACAACCCACTTTTTATTTTTTTCTTGTTCAGAGCACGCTCAAATACTTTGTGAGACAAGGTAGCTTACAAGTAACACATAAACATTTTATTGGCCAGAAAGATGGTTGGTCAACTACATTTAAAAAAGACAAGAAATGGGCAGAGCTATTTATTCAATATTTTTAGCAACAAGTGACAATAAAATTTCCAAGTTGTTCCTCAGCTTCTAATTTCTCTATAAGATTTTATAAATATCTAAGATTTAAATAATTTAAAAATAATTAAAAATTTCTAAATAATTCTTTTAAATTACTTTTTAAAATGGGTGGCTTGAAAGGAAAGTATTAACTGTTAGCTTTCAGAAAAATAGCAGTGGAGGTCAATAAAGTTGGAGAAGGATGAAGAAAGTTTGGAATCACCAGAAAAACTGTTTGTAATTCAAGAAGACAAATGACCATTTTGATGGCAGTCAGACACATTTCCAGAAAATAGCTTACCTTGTATTGGATAAAATAATGCTGCCTCCAATTAGAATATAACCCGGTAACTAAAATGAAGAGAAAAAGTGTGAAGTAGAAGGAGTTCTCTGGTTGCCAGGGAGCAACTAAACTCAGTAACTCAAGCGAGTTTAGTAAAACAGTGTTGTGTGTGTGTGTGCACGTGTGCGTGCGTGTGTGTGTGTGCTGCTTGAATCTGAGAGGAGCATGATTAGAGTAAGCTTTGGGCATAGCTGGATCCAGGTGTGCAAAGGACAACACCAGGAATCTGTCTCTTGCCACCTCTTGTCTCCAGTTTTCCATGTATGGGCTTCATGCCTAAGCAGGTTTATTGCACATACAGTTGCCAGATTTAGCTAATAAAAATACAAGATGCCCAGATACATTTGAATTTAGATAAACAATGATTTTTTTTAAGTTTCAGTATATCCCATGCAATATTTGGGACACATAATAAAATTATTCATTCTTTATTTGAAATTCATCTTAATGGGCCATCCTGTATTTGATCTGGCAACCCTATTCACATGAGGTGGCAAAGATGGCTGCCAACACCTCTAGACTTATATTCTATTAATGTGACAGCCTCTGTAAAAAACGGGGTTATTTGTTAAAATTTTAATATATATAAGATTCAACTTTAACACCTGTCTTTTGACTCCTCTCTGTCCAGGTCTCTTTCTGTGCATTCCATGGCCACCATCATTCCGATATTCACTGGAGAAATCAATTAGCACTTATGAGGGCTTCCCTTCTCTCTCTTCTCTGTATACAAAATGAACAGGTAAAAAGGAAATGCTTGTCAAAACAAATCTCTATTTGGTTTTCTCCATCTATGGGACAATCTCTGTAATGTGTCAATCACTTTGTTGCAAAATAGCCCCTCCAAGACACAATCCACATTTTCAGATGACACCCGCCTGTCAGTCACTCACTAATTCAAAGCCAAATTTCATGCCAAGCGAAGACCAGTTTGTCAATCACTTTGCCTGCCACACATCCACCAGAATCACCTGACAGCTACAACGTTCTACTCTCCAATAAAGTAGGTCTAGTTAAGGCTGTTTGTCTCCTCTAATTGAGTTCCTTTTAGGACTGGTAGCTTAGCAACTAATAAGTTATTTTCTGTGACAACTGGCCTAAATTTCATAGCTTTCTTGACCATTGCCACTTGTTAGAAAATTGTTTCCCCTCAAGTGGCTAAACAGCACATGTAAAGATATATTTAATACTGAATTGTTCTATTGTTTCTATTATAAGCACTCTTCCACTGCTTAAAAGTAAACACAGGATATGTTGTTAAATAGACATAATTTTGAATAATTATGAAATGACTTGAAATTTGTTCCAAAGACTCAAATTCTTCATTATAGGTCGCACTAAATGCTGGAAAAGGGGCCAACAGGATTAATTCCCAGCATTTATTAGGCTATAAATTACTTCATAAGTACCTACTGTGAGTGAGTCACCATGAAGTCATGCACAAAGTATTTTATAATACCTGTTCTTGGCCTGAAGAGACTTGGTTGGGGAGATAGCTGGCAACAAACTCTGTGTCTGTTTAGAGAATAAACAGTGCAAAGGTTAAAAAAGGCAATGATAATAATTTTCTAAAAGGATCACAATATAGTCATGATTGGTAGAGGGAACGATGATGGTTAATTTTACATGTCAACTTGACTGGGCTGAGGGATGTCCAGATAGCTGGTAAAACATTATTTCCATATATACCTGTGAGGATATCTCTGGAGGAGATTAACATTAGAATCATTAGACTGAGTAAAGATCACTCTTACCAGTGCAGGTGGGCATCAGCCAATCTGTCAAGAGCCTGAGCAGAATAAAGGAAGAAGAAGGGTGAATTTGCTCTCTCTGCTTGGGCAGGGACATCCATCTTCTACCCTTGGACATTGGTGTTCCTGGTTCTCAAGCCTTTGGACTAGGACTTACATCATTGGCTCTCCTGGTTTTTAGGCCTCAGGCTTGAACGGGAATGAAACCATCAGCTTTCCTGGGCCTCTAGCTTGCAGACAGAAGGTTGCTTTATTTCCTAGCCTCCATAGTCACGCGAGCCAATTTCTCATAATAAATCTCTATCTATCTATCTATCTATCTATCTATCTATCTATCTATCTATCTATCATCTGTCATCTATCTACCCTGTTGGCTCTGTTTCTCTGACAAAGACCTTGTCATTTCTTTGTCATTTGTATTTCTCTTTCCAGTGTTAGAGAAACTCTCATTGCATGTAGAGTAAGTGAGAGATTGTGCCTTTACCTTCCACTGTAAAAAGTTGAAAGACTGGACTTTACCATCCCTCTGGCAGCCACGAAATCAAAACTTGGCTAGTTGGATGTGCCTGCTCTGGACTTTTGAATCTATAGCTGTGAGAACATTTGAACTCACTCACAGTAGTTTCCCCAGTGTCCAGGAGCAGTGGCATCAGCAGCATACAGGACTGTGGTATTATTTTGCACCCAAAATAACTGGGTGATTGATTGTTCCTGCTAAAAGGAGAATGTTGTGATCCTTGTCTCCTGTCTACTCTTGAATTGCCATGGTTCTAACCTGGTTCTCCAATTGCTCATTAATTTGGGGAATCCCTCATATACTTCAAATATATGCAACTGACTGTTGAACAACACAAGTTTGAATTAGGGGGTCCATTTATACACAGATGTTTTTCCATCTTTCCCACTCCTGAGACAGCAAGACCAACCTTCCCTCTTCCTTCTCCTCCTCAGCCTAGTCCATCTGAAGACTATGAGGATAAAGAACTTTATGATGATCTACTTCCGCTTAATGAATAGTAAATATATTTTCTCTTCCTTATGTTTTTATTCATAATGTTTTCTTTTCTCTAATTTACTTTATTGTAAGAATACAGTATATAATACATATAACATAAGAAATATGTCTCAATCAACGGTTTATGCTATCAGTAAGGCTTCCAGTCAACAGTAGGCTATTAGTAGTTAAGTTTGGGGGGGAGTCAAAAATTATATGTGGATTTTCGACTCTGTTGGGGTAGTTGATGCCCCTAACCTCTGCATTGTTCAAGGGCCAACTGTACATATATGTGTGCGTGTGTGTATAGATATATACATAATTTTATATGAGATATATAATTAAATTCTTATATATAAGAACAATGAATGAATATATGTACATATATAATATATGTATGTATAATTTAAGACATTCAGAATCATTTTTTGTTGTACATAACCTATAACTCCTCAAATTTTTAATTGATTTAGAAAATGTGTGTGCGATAAGAAAGGTTCTCTCTTCACTCTGGGCTGCAATAATTTGGGAAGCTTCCATGGAGAATAAAGACTTTAAATACTCTTTGCATAGGCAAAGAACAAGGGAGCAGCTGTTCTGGATAGAATCACTGGTACAGAGAAGCAGAAAAAGTCTAGTACGTTGAGAACAAATTTGAGGCTTAATAAAGAAAAGATCTTGTTTATCTTCCCCATTATTTTATCTTTGTAAAAATAGCACAGTGACTAGCAAAAGATAAGCATTAATTAAAAATGTGCAACTATGCCAGGTGTGGTAGTTCACTCCTGTAATCTTAGCACTTTGGAAGGCTGAGGCAGGAGGATTTCTTGAGCCCAGGAGTTTGAGACTAGCCTGGGAAACATAGGAAGACCCCGTCTCTACCAAAAAAAAATAAATAAATTAGCTGGGTGTTGTGGCATATGCCTCTAGTCCCAACTACCTCAGGAGGCTGAGATGGGAGAATAGCTTTAGCCCAGGAGGTTGAGTCTGCAGTGATCCATGATTATACCACTGCACTCCAGCCTGGGCAAGAGAGCAAGACCCAGTGGTAAACAAACAAACAAACAAACAAACACCAGTGTGTAGAAAAATGAATGAATAAATGAATGACAACAAAAGAGAAAAAATACCCACATGAATCTGGTTAAACTAGAGACTCCTAGTGGGGAGGTAAAAAATGAGTCTCTAACATTAGTTGAGAAATTATGGTGAAGAAGCTAAAAATTGACAGCAATGATTTCTGCCTTTTAATATCAATTTTCATCATATTATAATGTACCATTTATCCTATAATGCATATAATGTTAAATTATAAGACTCCAGAGTTCTACAGAGACAGGGAACACATTGAGTACATCATCAGATGAGTCATGCTTGTGGTATTGCCCAATGGGAAACAATCTCAATCTGGAAATTTCCATACACTAAAAGGAGCTGGCTTCAAAACTCCATTTGGCCGCCTTAGAAGATGCAATTGAGCAGAGAGAGAAAATGTTCAGGGAGAGGAAACCATGATGGAATGGCTAACATAAAGAGACAGAAGCCATTCCTGTACAATAAAGAATTACTGGAAGGCAATTTGCAGAGCATGGCATGGGATGCCTACTTCTTTAGCTCCACAGCTGTTCTAGACTTTAGTTTAGGGCGTGTCCTTTGGGCAATTGCAGTCAGGGAATTCCCTGATATTAGTAAGCAGCCTTTTGATGTTTCAGTGAAGACTGCTCTGGCATGGAAGAATGAATAATGAAGAATTTAAGCCAAAGAACATAGATAATTCCATTAGATACATTTGGATAATGGCTTGACCCATTTCTTAGTGGGGAGGGATTGGAAGCTAAACTCAGAACCAACTCTATGTTGTTTGTGGAGGAGCCAACTTTTAATTTAGCATTTACTGTGCATTATGATTGGTTCTAAGAACTTTGCATGTATCACCTCATTAAATCCTTGCAACAGTTTGCAAATGTAGATGTTGAATGAGAGGTATCAGAGGAGAAAATCTATTGTTTTGGAGAAGGGGAAGGTATTAGGTCTTATCTGGAAAAGTGGAATGTGTGAGGTCACTCAGACCTTATGGAGAGAAAGACAAAACAAGGGACAAAAACTACAATATTTATACTCCAGTGATTACAAAATGGTTTGGGCCAAGCAAAAGGTGTGATGGAAAGGAGGCTGTAGTTCAATTAAAGCTGTGCTCCGTTGCTCTGTTTCCATGGCCATTGACACAGGGCTCTTTCCCTGTGTTAATGACATTACAATAATACTAAGAAGAAAAAAAGACATATACAAATGAAGAAAACAATAAGAAGAGAGAGAGTCACACGTGGGCTAGTTATTTCCTCAGTGGACAAAGGTACACCAGTGTTTGGCAAGGTTTTGTGCAAGAGAAAAAGGAATAATCTCACAAAGAAAATAACTTTACTGACAAAAACTTGGAGCCTGTGTGCTCAAGAAAGCTTCCCATAACAGAACAGTTGTTTTCCTCACTGACCTTGATTTAAGTCAGTGTCAGTAATAAAATCATGGTGTGGCCCATTCTCTTTTGATATCACTAATCAGAACTGAGAAATGGGCAGTGTTGAACACTCGGTGCCCTTGGATAACTTAGCCTGGATTTGGAACCATGGGTGGATTTGACTGTTCAGATTTCTCTCCCTAGTGAGGATGATTGGGATATAGGGAGACTTATAAAATGAGGAACTGAGAGGTTGTTATTATCATTCTCATTTTACCAATGAGGAACCTGAGGTTCAAAAAGGCTAAATGGTCCTTAATAATACATAACTGGTAAGGAGTGGAGCCAAAATTGATCAGTCTGACTCCATAGTTTAAAGTCTTTTCCATTATGATGTATGCAAAAGACTGCTAGTGTTTTCTCCTCTCTCTTATGTCTTTTATTACAACAATGTAACACTCATATTTTAGTGGAGCAGATGGTTGCCCAGCTTGAGACTACATTTCCCAACTTCCCTCATAGCTGGGTTGTGGCCATGTGAGTAAATTATGGTTAATGAGATATGAGCAGAAGTGGCGTGCGATGCTCCCCAGAAGAGCTGGGTGTGACTTCCCGTGCCTCTTTCCCAATTCCTAATGGTTACAGCTGGAGATGATTGACACCACCCTCTTGGACAAGCCAGAGATAGACACCATGTGTTGAGTATGGTTGGAGAGAGAGAGAAATACACTTCTATCATGTAAAACCACTATAATTTTTTTTTAAACAGCATCTTAGGCAATATCCTAACTTACACATGATATAACAGCTCTCCAAGGGTTTTACCATTTCTTTATGAGGAACTACAGGTTCTTATCACAGATTATGTAATACTTTTTAGTTTGATATAAATATACATGCATATATTAAATATAGTAACCTCTAAGTGAAAGAGTTTAGATATTTCTATATAATTTTGACTTTACTCTTGATTAATTCTTTATGTTGTTTTTATGAAGACTTGAATTAAAGAATCATTCAGAGGCCGGGCGCGGTGGCTCACGCCTGTAATCCCAGCACTTTGAGGGGCCCAGGTGAGCAGATCACGAGGTCAGGAGATCGAGACTATCCTGGCTTACACGGTGAAACCCCGTCTCTACTAAAAATAGAAAAATTAGCCGGGCGTGCTAGTGAGTGGCTGCAATCACAGCTACTCAGGAGGCTGAGGCAGGAGAATGGCGTGAACCCCGGAGGTGGAGCTTCCAGTGAGCAGAGATGGCGCCACTGCACTCCAACCTGGACGACAGAGCGAGACTCCGTCTCAAAAAAAAAAAAAAAAAGAAAAAGAAAAAAAAAAGAATCATTCAGAAATATTTACCTCTTTCTGGGTAGACCTAATATACCAGAGTTCAGCAAACTATACCTGCCAACAGGGGTCTAAAAGACCAGGAATCAGCAAACAAATCTGGCCTACAACCTGTTTTTATAAATAAAGTTTTATTGAAACACAACCATGCCTATTTGTTTACATATTGTCCATGGCTGCTTGTATGCTCCAAGGCAGAATTGAGTACTTGAGACAGAGAAGTCCAGGTAAGCAGTGCGTTTACAGAAAGATATTTTCCCATCTGGATGTGATGCACATTTCAACAGTACTTACTATATTCGTTGCTTAAATGCAAAAATCTATCAGGGTTTTTATAAGTGGGTTACCTCTCCTCATTTTTTTTTTAGGTAAAATATCTTTGGGAGGAAATTGTCATTTTTGACCTTGTGAGAATGAACAAAGGGGCAAAAGTGAGGTAAGCTATAACATCAAGTGCGGACAGTCTTCTCTCCCTCCCAGACATGACTCTGGCATTGGGATTTCAGATGGAAAAGCCAAGCGAGTTTTATGTAGCTGCCCTAGTCTTTGCTTCTTGCATCTGTAGCATAAAGAACGTCTTGTTCTTGTTGGGAGGAAAGGCATGATTGAATCAGATTCCGCAGAAGTTTGCAAGCGCCAAGGGTGTCCATGACTCCAAACTGCTTTCCCGATGCGCACAGACTGAAGCATCTGAGGGGACTTGGGTGTGGAATGGATGCTCTTCGCACTCCCAGGGGAGGAGCCCTCTGAAGCCTAAGGCTTCGGTCAGGGAGACCGAAGTGTGGGGGAAGCAGTCCCATTGCCTCAGCACCTGGACTGTGAGTCCATGAAGACCTCGGGGCAGAGGAAGCAAGAGGCAAAATACTGTAAATATTATTCAAATAAAGAAAGCACAAGGTCAGAAAGCAACAGAACGCTGGAAATGTTTTTCTTTTTTTCCCCTTCTTTGAGGCAGTGAAGGCGAAGGGGGTTGTTATTTTATAGGCCCGTGCTGGCAGTTGTGCTCAAGGCGCTACACTCTCTGTGTTTGAAAGGCCAGTTTATGAGGCAGCAAGGGATGATGCCACCGTCTTGGTGGCTACGACAAAGGTCAAGCTCCTGCTCCTGCTGTAAGATCTGTCATAGATCACCTGCAGCCCTGCTCCATGTTCCCTTCACTCGGGCACCCATGCTGATGGAGAAACAAAGGGAAAAAAGAGTCAGCTCTTAAACGATGTTGCCCAAGTGACAATTGTCATTTTTTGCTCATGTTTGATTGGCTGAGGCAAGTCACATGAAGCAAGCCTGATTGGTGTGTATAATCTTCCCCCGGTAAAGGACAATGCATATCTTGTCCACTGCATCCTCTCCACAAACCTGTAGGGTAATAATTATATAAGTCATTGTGTAGGAACAAAACTGGCACTCAGATAGATGTTGCCCATTCTGACACAAATACCAAGTTGGTGACCCGGGATTTGAAATCACATTGTACACCAATTCTCTCCTCACTATTTTTTTTAACTGCACCACCCTATCTTTTCAGTTACCTATGAAAAGTGGAATTAAAATGTTTACATACGTTATCACAAGAATAAAGATTATCTCTCTTCATTAAGCTAAGCTTGAATGGCGTTAGTTCTCTGCATCCCATACCCCAGCCTGTTTTCACGAGGCTTGATAATATACAAAAAGAGTTGACATTTTTGAATAGTAATTCTACATATGCCAGGCACTGGGCTCAGTGTTTTATATGCTTAATAACATATTCACAAAACTTTTCACACACACACACACACACACACACACCCCTTACAAGAAAGATATTGCTACCTCGAGTTTGTAGGTGGAAGCTGCAGCTCAGAGAGGTTACATAGCTTGCCAAATACTGCCTAGCCAATAAGACTGCCACGATGTAAGCCCATCTGCCTGTCTCTAAAGTTTATTCCCTTCTTTCTGCGTATTCTGGCAGAAATACCTGCTGGCTCCCGGTGTAAGGGAAAAGATGGGAAAATATAGAAGAGATTGTGAATGTCTAGAGTGTAACTCTTATTTTTTCTGTCAATTACTCCTGTCATATTTATAAGCACTGATGTGTCCTGCTGTAACATTGTGTGCCATAGCATTAAAAAATGCTAAGTAACCCAAACATAATTAGAAAGGTATATTTCCTGGGAGAGGTGAGTGGCAATACCATAGAAAGTACTCCCAAGCCTAAGATAAGCAAGTTTTGGTTTAAAAATAACTTTAGATGCTCTGTGCTGCTGCTCGTTTCAATTAGGAAACATAATAAAATAAAACTGCACACTCAACTATACGTACTATGTGAAGAATATAATTATATCTAAGTAGATAACCTATATGTAACCTACTTGAATTTATACAAATAGGCATCTAGATTTACCTGCCTGGAAAAGCAGGCTGGCATTTAAATCTCGTTAATCTATCTTTTGCTCAGGTGGTTGTAGCAGTTTTGTAGATAGGGCCATGCTGTCTTCCATGGCCTCAACTGGAAAACGGGCATAATTAAATCTATCACGTGGGTTGTCAGAAAATGTGAATCAGACACACTGCTGATGATTGTGAAGGTACTGCTTGTAAAGAACAAGTGCTGGTCACATCTTTTGATAAAGGTGTAACATGGAGAGGGCAGTTGAAAATGAAAACCCCTTCTCTGGATGTTTGTCCTCCAACCACCTACTCCTCCAAGCCAGAAATCTGATGGCTGTTTTGGAAATTCAGAGTCTCTTAACTGTACCACAGCTCTCCTCCCAGCCTTTACATCTACTGATCCCTGTCTCTTCCAGTCTCTCTTCATTCCTTTCACCCCTGTGTCCTGCTGTATCTTGTAACTATGTCACGTCATTAAAAGATAAAGGCGACAGCCACGGTGTAAGGGTTAAGCCCTTCAAGGTGGCCTTAGAACACAACAGACAAAGGCTGGTAGCTCAAGAGCCCCATAAATCCCTGCTTTTCTTGATTCTTCTCCTTGGTGTCTAGGTTCTTGGCGAGGCACACGACATGCTGACCCTTTCACCTGTTCACCCCCATCTCTCCTCCAGGTATTCTCTTTGGACAGAGTTTCACAGTTGTGGTACTATTGACTTACTGAGCCACATAACTCTCATTATCTTGTTGTGGGGGTTGTCCTGTGCATTGGATGTTTAGAAGCATCCCCAGCCTCTACCCGCTAGATGCCAGTAGCACTTCTCCTCCCAGTTGTGACAGCTAAAAAGCATTTCCAGACATTGCCAAATGTCCCCTAGTGGTGGTGATGGTGGTGGGAAAATTACTTCTGGCTGAAAACCACTGACTTAGTAGCCTCACCCTTGATTGTAAGTCGTGTTTCATTGGCTCCACCGTGACCTGTAAGCTCTCTGCATGTAGGGAACCTGCAGCTTTGCTCCCAGCTCCACCTCAGAAGTGGACACAGTGCCTAGAGTCCAGCAGGCTCTCAGATAGTGGTTGAGTGAGTAAGGGAATGAAGCATCTGGAAATTTCCTCTGGCTTGGAAAGTGAGGTTAACTTTGCTTTGCTGAATGACCTAGAAAAATTCCTTTATGCCCTTACTTTACATGAAATGCGATTCTCACAGTGCACATCCCTCTGATCGGATATGTGAAATCACCCGTTAAAGAATGCCAGCAATTCTGCTGTTAGGACTCTTGGGTTTTCCAGGAGGAAGCCATGAGTCTTGATTTTCTTTCCCCCTAAGGTTTGGCTTAACACTGAGGCGCTGGAGCGAGAGCAGCCGCAGTCCAAAGATTCATATCCCCCCTGTTTCACTGCATATGGCCTTAGAAAAATTATTTTTTGAAAAATGACCTAAAGCTTTCCTAAACTCCTCAGGAATGACACCTGAGGGGAACACCTGAAAGACTTCACATTCATTAGCTAAACCTTCTTGTTAGGTTATGTTCCCTGAAATGCATTTGACAGTTAATGAAGTAGAAAAGATGGCAGTCGAAGAAAAAATAAAATTCTGTCAGATTCTGGCGATAGAACAGGGAGGTTAAAAAAAAAAAAGCAGGAACCTGGGGAGGCATCGATAGATCAGCACCCCACACTGTGAGGATTTTATCGCTGGGCACATTGCCTCGGATCAGAGCCGGCGGCAAAGTTAAATTCATGCATGGCACTCTGCTCAGATCCTAAGACCATACAGAACTCAGGCAACCAAGATAAGGTGCCTGTCAGGGCAAAAGCAGCAGGAATACAGGGCTGACTGGCAGATATGTGAAACAGTGATCAGAGAAGAGAAAGAAAAAGGAAAGACATGTTCAAAAATATTTGGACTGCTTTAGACACCTTTCCCCATTTCAGTTGGATTACAATTTAGTCCAAACCTTGCTTGAATACTCAGAAGGTAAAACCAGCTTGCAGGCAGTCGAGTGAGCAGGCACAGACTTTCTCTGCAAACATTCAGTTTTAAATGACCTCGTGGGATGTGATTCATTTCCCGATCCCTTTTCATCTTCCGTGCCCTCTATTGAGGTTCAGAAAAGGGATCTGCGGGAAGAAGAGTGGCACACTGGTGTACACCTCTGCAGTTGCCAAAATTATTATTTGGTTAATTCAGCTCTGTCCAGTCTTCCTGAAGTTGGGCAAACCTGTTTTCTTCTCTATGATGTATCACTTAGAAACACCAACTGCAAGGATTTCTTATGTTCACAAAAAAGGAAGGAAACAGCTGGTAAATGTTTCACAGATGGCAAAGCTCTTGGCATCTCTCTCAAGAGAGGGCCACCCATGCAGATGGCTCATTATTTTAACATTTGGATTTCCATCTTATTAAAACATCTTTTTTTTCCTCCTGGTTTTATTTAGCATCATAAATTCTCTTACACTTCAGCTAGCGACTAAGCGATTTGAGGACGTGCGCTCTAAGGAACATCCTTTGGCTAAAACATAGATTGGTAACATCATTATTCCCAGCTTTGATCTCAACATGATGGGCTTCAACCTGATTAAAAATTCCAATGGATGGAAAAGCTCTGAATAGTGAATTTATCAAGCAAAAGTCCATGAAGTCCATATAGTAGCTGAATTATTCAGCAGAACGATAAACCGAGTGAAATTGGGGGAAATAGTTTTATTCAATGCATAAAATCTCTATTACTATGCAATATGCATATATAAAAATAGACAAATGCACAGTGGGTGTAGATTTATAAACACACCCTTTCTACATATGTAAAGGGGTTTCTGCACCATGAAATGCAACGACCAAAATTTAAACCAAGCAATGCCAACTCTTGGCAAGGTAGATAGGAAAGGGCCAAGATTTCAAAGGATAGTTCTCTGCCCACTCAGATGTCAACAGGACTGAACCTGCATCTTCTATCCGAATAGCTGTTTCTAGGTGCAGAAACAGGAAGGCTGTTGTGTGGCTGGATGGAAAGAAACAATGAACTCTTGCTGCCCTGACGTTGTTGCAAAAGCAGCCCTCGCCACTCTCCTTTCCAAATATTGCTCCCAAGGATTGGGGAAAGTTGTGGATACCTCAGCATTCCAAACTATTGTGCTGGGGTGTGGGGAATGTTGGAGATGCAAATGCAAGTGACAAAGCAATGTAATAAGAACAAACCAATCTCTTTAATGTGGTGTGAGATGCTGGCCTAAATACAGATCACTCGCTATGTTCTCACAAATAGGCCTCATGGAGCGGGGCCTGTGCACACCACGTTGTAAATGTTTATTAGCAATGGTACTCAATGCACGTTATGGGTCCGTGGAGCCCAGAGCTGGCTCACTTTGGGGGTCAAATGTAAATCCCTGAAATGCTGAGAAAATGTTAATAGTTGCCATCACCAAGAACATATCGGTTGAGAATGTACATAGGTATCATAAATGGAGGCTTTGTTCATCGACTTGAATCACCTCTGGAACATCTAGC
This sequence comes from Homo sapiens, assembly GCF_000001405.40. Classification (NCBI taxonomy): domain Eukaryota; kingdom Metazoa; phylum Chordata; class Mammalia; order Primates; family Hominidae; genus Homo; species Homo sapiens. The sequence continues at coordinate 52,935,365 of NC_000020.11, read as the reverse complement.
CTAAAGCATTAGCTTGTGTAATGCATTCTGTGAGCTGCTGGCTTTTCTATCAGATGGAAAGCAAGACAGGAGTTTCAGAAAGTATAGTTTCACAAACAAGAGGTGGAAAGGGCAATGCTGATTAGACATGTCTAGGAAGCTATGAGTGGTAGAGATATGAAAGAAAAAAATTAAACCAACTTCTCACTAAGAAAATTTCTTCTGGGGGGTCTCATGTTGCTTCACGGGTTTTGGTATCTTAGCATAAATTGTAATCACGAAAGCACAGGTCCTGACAGTCCTCAGATAGTAGACTTTTATGGGTGGAGGATCTTCAAGCTTACCCTCTTTGATCACTCTAAGGTAGTGGTTCTTAAAGGTCCCCAGTCTAGTGGCATCAGCATCACGTGGGCCCCACCCCAGACCTACTGAGTCAGAAACTCTGCGGAAGGGGCCCAGCAATCTGTGTTTTAACAAGCCCTCCAGGTAATTCTGATGCATGCTCAAGTTTGAGAGTCACTGCTCTAAGGAGTAACGGTTTGTCACTCCACCAGTGCCCAAGAATCTTTTTGGTGACAGACATCAAATATGATTCCTGCAAAATCCTGGCAGCAGAATACATTTGTCTATTTAACTGCATGCAAAATGCTTGTCAAGAAGGATTCTGGGGGCTCTTTTTGCAAATGCTTACTCTCTCCTGCATGTGCTCCATCTATCTCTTTGGAGACTGCATATGTCTTCGATCCAAGCTCCAAAGTTGCAAGCCGTCTTAAAAGCACCCCTCACCCCCATCCTTTTCACCTCATATTGGCAAAGACAGAACACTGCACCTAGTTTTCTGTGTCTAGGTGGAAAAGACTGACAGATTTCATTACATTTGTCACAGGGTCTAAAACTCCATGTGGGAGAAAATAAGCCCATTTAGTAAAAACATCTCACTGTACCTTTGAGCCAGAATGGAGAAGCATAAAAAGTATTGTTCCTAAGAAAATTACAAGGCATTTGGTTGTGTTTTCAAAAGCGTGATGACTATTCACCAGACTGGTTTAGGTGGCTACAAAGCCCCCCACAAAACTATATAGGTACTAGAAATACATATGCCTCCAGCGAAATGGCATAAGAATCAAAGGATAAATGAATTTCCTGTGGTGCAGATGAGCTGCTTAAAATCACTCCCATCTGAGCACACCTCCTTTTCCTCATGTGCATTGAAAACCATTTGAATAATGCACGTTATTCAGTTGCATTGTGAGCTCTGAAAGCCATTTAATGAAGGTAGACAGGCTTCCAAGAAGGTGCATTCTTTGACTAATGTAGATACTCCTGGAAAAATCTTTCCCCAACATGGAATGCAAGATTTACTGAGTGAGTGGAAGAAGGAATGCTATTATAAAGTCTTGTTTCACTCAATCAAATCAAATGGAAGCAAACTTGGGTTAAATTTGATCTATTCTAGGTGAAGCTTACCCTATGCAATGTATATACTGAAAGGCTGTAAGTCAATCACATTTTAGCAAATCAAACCAACTTTCTATTGAGTTTTACTGTATTATCAAAGTTGCTTTGTCTCTTTATGATTGATCATCAATTAACAGTGGTTACCAATGCCAATCTTTCTGTTAAATAGTTAACGATCTATATACATTAATGCTTAAATGAATAAAACACACTCCTAAATAAAAATTTTATGAATATTTAAGAACGTTAGGGGCACTTATTTGTACCCCTAAATATAGTGTATACATACATACATATATTATGTATTGTTTTAATAAAGTGGAATAACTGTGTCCAAGAAGATTGACTCTTCATATGTAATTTATTTGGTTAATTGAGCCGAAATTACAGGAAAGGACATTTAGAGCAGGGGATATTTAAAATTTTATTCATCTTGGTACTTTGAATTAAAAGGTAGTATAGAGTCAGGTGCAGCAGTGTGGGCTTTGGAGTCACACCTAAACTCAGACCCGCTTGCCACTTCTTGGCTGTGGACTGGGCCTCCCTGACCCCCAGTTTCCTTCTCAGTAACACGAGTCTAGTAATTATTTCTACCCAACGGGGTTGCAATGAAGAGTAACACACTGCTTATTTTTAGCACAGTGCCAGGTACACAGTGAGCACCCGAATAAATGGCAGCTGGTTCTGTGCTTATTATGAACTGAAGGAGTCACAGGTATCATGTCCATGATAAACGGGGTATATATAAATGCCCATCTGGAAAAACCACCCAAACAGTTTGACACCATTGTGGTATTTTAAAAAAATTGCTTTGGCTATATGTCCAAAGAGAGGCTCAGCAGGGTGAGAACAGTTCTAACTAAGTGAAGCAATATGTGGATATTTTAGTATTTGGGGGGAGTCCCATTTTCAAACCCAACTCTTCAGTTTCTGAAATTATTATTAAATAATAATACAGATGATCATCATAATAATGGCACTAACATTTATATAGCACTCACTATGTGCTGGGAACTGCGGTAGATGCATGTATTAATCCATTTAAATATCACAACAATCCATTGAGAGAGATACTGTCATTATTCCTATTTCCCAGAAATAGAAATGAATATGCAGAGAGATTAAATGGCTTGCCCAATATCTCACAGCCAGGAAATGGTCGAGCAGGGGTTTGAACTGAAACATGGGGAGGATAAATTCTCTTGAAAAGGCAAGCGAGGGAAGGCACTGCAGGAATCATCCGATCTCATCCTCTAATTTTACAGATGGAGAAATTGAGGCCAGTACTTAGAACAGTGCTTATCATTTGTAGTAGATGCTCAATAAATAATATTGGAGTGATGAATGGCATCAACAAATGGGAAAATGACTTATGAGTTACTGGCATAGTCAGGAACTAAAAGTCTGGGTCTTTTACTTTGTGTTTTTTAAATTTTTTTTAAATTTTACTTTAAGTTCTGGGATACAAGTGCAGAACCTGTAGGTTTGTTACATAGGTATACATGTGCCATGGTGGTTTGCTGCACCTATCAACCCGTCATCTAGGTTTTAAGCCCCGCATGCATTAGGTATTTGTCCTCATGCTCTCCCTCCCCTCGCTTTTATTTTTTCATTCCAGCTTTTGCTGTCTGGTGAATAGCAACCATACAGCTGAGACACTCCCCCCAGAATACCTGTTGCCAATAATGAGCTTTATAGTCCTTGTAAAATTATTTGTATTTATCATTTCATATCTGACTGTCTGTATGTTTGCTGATATCTCTATTGCAGAATGTTCATCCCTAGAGAACAAGTATCTCAAAATGACCCTTGGGTAAGTAATCTCATTTCTTTTCTCCTTTAGTCTTTTTTTTCCTTTCTTTCAATTTTTGGTTTTATTTGGTTGGTGTTCACCCTTCAGCGGGTGTTCTCACTTTCCTGAACTAATCCATACAGTTGTGAGTAGACTTCAGTGGTCAAAAAATGCTTCTTGATTAACAAATCTTTATAGAAGGCACTCAGGTCAAATGAATAAAGAAGATAATAGACTCTGAATTAGATGGGAAATTCCAGGTTGCCAGTAACAGAAACACCAGCCTAAAAGATATGAACAATAACTAGCAAAAGGAATACAATCGGCCCTCTGTATCTGAAGGCCCCGCATCCCTGAATTCAACCAACTATGGTTTGAAAACATTTGAAAAAAAGAACAATACAGTAATAAAAAATAATGCAAGTCAATAGCATAACAACTATTTACATAGCATTTACATTGTATTAGGTATTATAAACCATCTAGAGATGGTTTAAACTAGGATATGGGGAGATGTGCATAGGACTTATGGAAATACCATGTGCCATTTTATATCAGGGACTTGAGTGTTTATGGATTTTGCTATCCATGGAGGGGAGAGAAGTTTCCTAAAACTGATTCCCAATAGATACCAAGGGACAACTATATATTCCTCATGTAACGAAAGCTCCAGGGGCCTCAGGACAAGCCTGGTCCAGAGCGCCAGTCTCTTTCTCTGAATTTATCAGCTCTGTCTCCTTTACATCTCTCCTGTCTTAGGTAGACCTTCCCTCACAGTGATGTCAGATGTGTCCATGGGTTCTGGAGCTTTAGGCTTTCTTATTTCCATCCAGCAAGGGTGAAAAGTCTACTTCAAGAAAAATTATCAAAATAAACAAAAATCCCTGGTTTGAATTTTGTTGCCTTTTTTTTTTTTTTTTTTTTTTTTTTGACAGGGTCTCACTCTGTCACCAGGCTGGAGTGCAGTGGCGCGATCTCGGCTCACTGCAACCTCCACCTCCCTGGTTCAAGCGACTCTCCTGCCTCAGCCTCCTGAGTAGCTGGGATTACAGTTGCCCGCCACCATGCCCAGCTAATTTTTGTATTTTTTTTTTTTAAGTAGAGATAGGGTTTCACCATGTTGGCCAGGATGGTCTCGATCACCTGACCTTGTGATCTGCCCACCTTGGCCTCCCAAAGTGCTGTGATTACAGGTATGAGCCACCATGCTCGGCCGAGTTTCGTTGCCTTTTACTAGCCTGATTTGATTCATGGATCTCTCTCTGAACCAGTTCTTATAGAGAGAAAAAATGCACCATTGGCTTAAAATTTAAGTCAGCCATCAGCAAACTTGTCTGTAAAAGACAAGACAGTAAGTCTTTTAGGCTTTATGGGCCATAGGGTCTCCATCACAGCTACTCAACATGGCCATTATAGGCTGAAAGCAGCCAAAGGCAATACAACGATGAATGAGTGTGCCCAGAATTGGCCTGTAGGCCACAGTTTGCCAATTCTGGCTTAAACAGTAAGGCCCTAACACTGGTCCAGGGGCCACACTTGAGAATCTTGTATTCTTTTTTTTTTTGAGACAGAGTCTCACTCTGTCACCAGGCTGGAGTACAGTGGCAAGATCTCAGCTCATTGCTATCTTTGCCTCCCAGGTTCAAGCGATTCTCCTGCCTCAACTTCCTGAGTAGCTGGGACTATAGGTGTGTGCCACCATGTCCAGCTGATTTTTGTATTTTTAGTAGAGATGGGGTTTCACCATGTTGGCCAGGATGGTCTTGATCTCCTGACCTTGTGATACACCCGCCTCAGCCTCCCAAAGTGCTGGGATTACAGGTATGAGCCACCATACCTGGCCAAACCTTGTATTCTTTAAGTACCTCTCTGCCAGTGGCATATCTAGTGTAACCCTAATAAATCTTGAGCCTCGAGACCATCCTGGCCAATATGGTGAAACCCTATCTCTACTAAAAAAAAAAAATACAAAAATTAGCTGGGCATGGTGGCAGGCACCTGTAATCCCAGCTACTTGGGAGGCTGAGTACCTTCACAGAAGTTCATTCAAAGAAACCCAAGCTAGCCATGAAGTAGTGATTTTTAAAATCCAAGTGTTGGTTGGGTGTGGTGGCTCACGCCAATAATCCCAACATTTTGGGAGGCCAAGGCGGACAGATCACCTGAGGTCAGGAGTTCAAGAGCAGCCTGGTCAACATGGTGAAACCCTATCTTTACTAAAAATACAAAAATTAGTGGACATGGTGGCACATGCCTGTAATCCCAGCTGCTTGGGAGGCTGAGGTGAGAGAATCACTTGAACGCAGGAGGCAGAGGCTGCAGTGAGCTGAGATCACACCACTGAACTCCAGCCTGGGTGACAGAGTGAGACTACACCTCAAAAAAGAAAAAAATCCAGTCTTTTTGCAGGTCTCTCAAAACACATGAAGCAATATTCAAGATACAAACCAGGACAACGTTCCCAAAACCTATTTCTCTTCTTTACAATTCTCTTACCTCAAAGTTCCCCATTTAACAAATCCCCTGACTGTAATCATCACTAGCTGTACATCTTTCCTCCATTTCTCTTCAGACTCCTTTCCTTCCCAGGCCTTCAATATGTAATCAACGTAGCTTTTCTCTCTCTCTCTTTCTCTCAGTCCTCCTCCATTTCCTCTAGGCCTGCAGCTTCCTTTGTCTACTCTTTTCTCAATTCTGAATCACAAAATATTTTAAACCTGGCTGTCAAAGATTGCCTAGTATTGAATAGTGGGAGAAGGGAGTAGAAAACACAACACGGATAGGTCAATGTAGCTTGTTTTTGTCAGACTTGCAAAACTGGAACCCATCATGTGTTACAAGTAGTAGTGGTGATTTCTTTGGAAGAATGGGATGGGAAAGAAATGGGAGGTGGAATTGCATTTGAACCTGGAAAATTCCATTTGTTTTCCAAAAACTAAAATAATACCTGAAGGAAACATGACAAAGTGATAGCATTCATACTATTTGAAAAGTGGGTACACATTGGTGTCTTATTTTCTGTACATTTGAAATATTTCACATTTTGAAATCTAAATAATTAAATAAGAACATGGGAGAAAATAATGTCTGTGAAAGTACTTGGTTAACTTAAAATCCACCAAAGCAAACATCCACTAGATCTCAAACATTACCAGCAGCCGCATTACGTGGAAGCTTTACTAAAACACAGATTGCTGGGCGTCACCCCAGAATTTCTCATTCAGTTGGTCTGGAGTGGGGCATAGGGATCTGCATTCCTAACAAGTTCCCAGGTCATGCGGATGCTGCTGGTCCAGGGACCACTCTTTGAAAAATCATTGTGGTAGACAGCAAGCTCCATGTGGTCAAAGACCATACATATTTACTGACTCCCAGCATCTCCCTTGATTCCTGACACTTGTAAACACTCAGTAAACATTTTTGTGTGGATCACAGCCATGGGCTATCATATATGGGGAAAGTGGATACTGCACACAGTTTAAGGTGTTCTTTCAATCCTTTGGGGAGTAGAAAGGGTCCTCTTTCTTATTATTACAACAGGACTAGTGGGTTTGATTGAGAAAAATGGGAGTCCTCAGGAAGTAAGATTAGGGGAAAGTCAAGGATCAGAGATGGCTTCCTTTTTAGGAGTGCAAGGAGACAAAAAGGGACTAAAAAGAGAGCTAATGAGTCTGTTCTAACATTCACTTGGCATCCAGAGAGACCCCCGCAATCCCAGCCGGCAGCTAACTGCTGGCTGCAATATTTATAAGTCTTGCTCTTCTGACTAGGCACGGCCCGCATCTCTGTGCTGCGGCCACCTGGGCTTGCTTTCAATCCTTCCCGGGTGAAAGGCACCCTATTCTCACAGGTCCTCCACACTTGCTGTTTTTTTTTTTTTTTTTTTTTTTTTTGCCTTTGCCTTGTTTGCTCCTTAAACTTCACACCTCTACTCAAAAGTTACTTCCTCCAGAAAGCCTTCTTTTGTCCACCTGAACTAAGTCAGAGACTTCAATCATACATTCATGTTAAACATGCTCATTTTTTCACAGTTCTTCATAGCTTGCAATCATACTTTCTTTTTTGGTAACTACTGTTCACCTCCCAGTTTGACTGGGAGCCCAAGAGAGCTAGGAGCTTATCTGCTTTGCTTGTGTCCCCTACACATAACCTAGTATCTGGCCTATAACTTGTATTTAATAAATATTTGTTGAATGAATTAGTAAGACATGAATATGGGCTCCTGCTATGGTCTGAATGCTTATGTTTCCCTAAAATTCATATGTTGAAACCTAATCTCCAATGTGTTGGTATTAAGAAGTGGAGACTTTTGGGATTTGATTAAGTCATGAGGGTGAAACCCTTATAAATGGGATTAGCGGCCTTATAACAGAGACCTAGCTAGCCCCTTTCACCATGGAGGATGCGGAAAGAAGGTGCCATGGATGAACCAAAAGTTGGGGCCCTTACCAGATACCCAATACACCAGCACCTTGATTTCAGACTTCTCAGCCTCCAGAACTGTGAGCAGTAAGTTTCTATTGCTTACCAGCCACCCACTAAGACAAGTCCCGTCCTCATCCATCCTGCTTTGTCATTACATGATTGAAGTCACCAAGTGCAGGCCCACATGTATGTCTCAATTCCCACAGTCCAGGTTCAATTCCAAAGTATGCTTTTATCATTTGAAGACCCCTCTCCTATTTTAGGTTTCTCTGATGCCTTACCTTTTCTGCCCCCAACTTCAGAGGCTGAGAATGAAAGATTAGACAAGAGTCAGCTTCCCACAGGGAAGGAGAGAAGTGAGCAGTGATAATAACACCAGCAACTTGGAAACAGGCAACTGGCACAAGGCCCTACTCGAATCTCCAGTACAAAGGGAGGAAGGCAGACCCGAGAGTATCAATAAGTCACAGAGGGGAGAACCTATGAATGAAAGAAACTTCTAAAAGTATTATTAAAATGTTGGTTTGGGCCAGGTGCGGTGGCTCACCCCAGCACTTTGGGAGGCCAAGGTGGATGATCACTTGAGGTCAGGAGTTCGAGACCAGCCTGGCCAACATGGTGAAACCCCATCTCTGCTAAAAATACAAAAATTAGCCCGGCTTGGTGGCAGGTGCCTGTAATCTCAGCTACTCGGGAGGCTGAGACAGGAGAATTGCTTGAACCCAGGAGGCAGAGGTTGCAGTGAGCCAAGATCACGCCACTGCACTCCAGCCTGGACGACAGAGTGAGACTCCGTCTCAAAAAATAAATAAATAAATAAAAATAAAGTAAAATGGTTTGCTCAGTTTTCTTTCTGAAGGGCAGTCTAACATCAGCTTGAAGAAGCACTTTTTTAGCACCAGTTAAGCCACAAAGGCTGTTGTGTAGAGCCAGGGGTTGGATGAAGGATTTGGACTGTCTGATCACAGCCTGTCACACCTTTAAGCCTGGTTTGTTTGTTTTTTTAATCATTGCCCAGTTTATGAATCATTGTTTCTACTTGCTTTAGAAATAGTCATTCTCTACTTTTTCATTTTTAGATTGAACTTGTGCTGGCTTTTTATATATCCCTTTGGTGTCTTACCTGCTTAATGAAAGAAATACACAGTGCTTTTAAACAACCATAAACACGTGGAATGGAAAATAAAAACATTTCTATTATTCATCTTTCAGGGATAACCAGTTTTTCCCTTAAATTCTTTTACAATGTCAACACAGACATGAATCTCTTAGTTTATGATTTTTTAAATAACAAATGTTGTAATGCCAAACACATTGTTCTGGAATTAACTCTTTTTATTTGCACACTCTTAATCACCATTCGTGCCAGTTCTTATGGGTAACCTTATTCTGGTAACAGATTTCTATTCTGTGTTATTTCACACAATATTGGATGCTTTTCCTAACAAAGGTATTGACATTGTTTCACTTTAATATGAAATGATGATGAACGTTTTTAAACATATAGCTTTGTTAACCTAACAAACCTATCCACTTTCTCGTCCTCCCTCTGGAAAGAAGCATGTCCGCTGAAGACTAGCCAAAGGAAATCCTTTACTTAATAATTACCACTGGCTCTTGGAAAACAGAAACCCAAGACCCATTCATTTCTTCATTCACTTTTGCGTCGAACATTTAGTATACTCCTAAGAAGTGCCAAGTATCATTCTAAACACTGGTGAAATACACAAAAGAAGGCTCTGCTTTTATGGGTGAATATTTATTAGGGAAACAGAAAATAATAAGTAAACAACAACAACAACAAAAGAGGATTTCAGAAATGGAAAGATTAAACCACCCATGGGAAATTAAGGGAAAGAGTTTTCCTAAAGAAGGAACAGCAAGTTAATGACTTTGGAGGGGTGTGAAGAAATAAACATGGTTCCCTGAAGGCGTGGACAGGTGCACAGGGCTGGAGCCCAGGATTTTGTGGAAATTAGTATGAGGTGGGGCCTAGGAAGGAGCAGAAGGGGCCATATAAGGTAGGACTGTATAGGTCATGGGAAGGACTTGGTATTTTATTAAGAATTATGGGAAGCCACAGGCTGGGTGTGGTGGCTCACGCCTGTAATCCCAGCACTTTGGGAGGCCAAGGTGGGAGGATCACTGGAGGTCAAGAGTTCGAGACCAGCCTGGCCAATATGGTGAAACCCTCTGTCTACTAAAAATACAAAAATGAACTGGGTGTGGTGACACGCACCTGCAGTCCCAGCTACTAGGGAGGCTGAGGCAGAGGAATCGCTTGAACCCAGGAGGCAGAGGTTGCAGTGAGCTGAGATCATGCCACTACACTCCAGCCTGGGTGACAGAGCAAGACTTTGTCTCAAAAAAAAATAAAAAAAGAATTATGAGGAAGCAGAGGAGTGATTAAAATCTAACATGTATTTTAGAAACCATCATCCTTTTGCTGGGTTGAAATTGCCTGGAGTGGAATGGATCGTCAGAGAGCAGGTTACTGCTGGTGTCCAGGAAACAGACAGTCGAGACAGTCTCCATCCAAGAACAGGGAATCCCAACAGCTGCACAAATCCAGGCAGTACAGCTCTGAGTCTCAGAAATGAACACCCGATGTACTCAAAAGATCAGTCGGCTGCAATCCCAGATAGACTAGCATGAGCCAGGTAAAAGAGAACTAGGAGATCAAGACAGACGACATTAAACACCCAAGAACCAACATCACTTCAGTCTGAGGAGCATGGGATCCCCAGGGAGCTGAGTCATTGAAGATCAGAGTATCAGAGAGCTATCACTGTGTAGGATATTGACTTAACCGAGGTCTTTGACCTTCACAGGCCTTTCATCTCCAGGCAGCAAAGACCCTTGAGGTCAGCACCACCCCTTCAACATATCTCTCTGGGCTTGATGAAACAAACCAGAGCTTCACGGTGATCTCTGACCTTTTTGAGGCAGGAAGTCATATTCATAAATTTGAAATATCTATGTTCTGGTCAGAGGGAAGATCATTGCTGGGGTTACCTCTTCAAAAGTCTTTCTGGGTCCACCCCCTTTGTATCCGGCATCTGTACCTCATTGGCTCAAATGACTTGTCATTCCCTCTATGAACCTAGCACCTGGAAATTTGAATGACTGAAGCAAGGAGAGCAGAATTTTAAGAACTGCCATGCCCTGAGGGAAAGTTTATGATTTAGCATTCTGCTTCCAGATAGCCCGCCTCCAGAAATAGTCACACATGTGCACAAGAATATCTGTGCATTGTTGTCCAAGGAATATTTTTGAGCATATTTTCCCAGTCTTGTAAACAACACAATATAAAATTATGGACGTCTGTCTAGCAGTGCCATTGTAGGTGTGTGCACTGGAAAGTTCTAGAAATACACATTTTTTGACAGCAGGAGGAAGAATTTCATACTTTCTATAATTTTGCATTAGGTTGAATCACGTGAAATTGCCACTTTTTGTAAATAGAAAATGACTCAAGATTGGCAATTTCATATGGTTAATTCTAAAAAGACTTAAATTGCGGAGAGGCAGGAGAGCGAGGTTGTTAAAGTAATGGGTTCTGGAGCAAGGCAAAATGACCTCCAGGGCTAACTCTGCTTCTTCCTACCTGTTTAACTTTGGGCAAGTGGTTTCACATCCCTGCCTCAGTTTTATCACTTGAAAGATGGGAATAATAATAGTACTTAGTTCAGAGTGCTGCTGTGTGAATTAAATGAGTAAAAGGGCTTTTAACTGTGCCAATGCAAGCCTTCAATCAGGGTAGCTATTCATTTATCAAAACATCTATTATTACTTTTGAATTTTTTTTTGAAAAAAAAAAAAAAAGAAAAGGATTTGCCTAGAATATGCTTGAAAAGTTCTTTCCTTGTGGTGATGAGAGAAAACTCCAGGTGGATTCCTTCATTATAATGTCCCGTTGTCTAGGAAATGTGCCTTGGACCCTTGGCAGTGCTTGGGGACAGCATGACACTCACAGCCAAGCAGCCTTATTGCTCGTAGTGAAGCCCCATATTTCCTGAATTTCCTCGGTCTTCTCTCGCTCAGCTCTTCCCTTCCCCCCATTACTATTTATTTACATGGCATCTTCCTGCCCTTTTAATTATATCACCAACATATTTGTAAACTCATTCATTTCCCATCCCCTTTCCATTCTCTGTGCACTGCTCTAAATATAACCACAGAAACAAAACAATGCAGTTCCACAAACAAAGGCGCCTCAGCAGGGCAAGCAGAACCCTCCAGTAGGTCTTGAGTCAACTGCTATTTCTCGTCTTCTTCTTTTATAAACCAGCCCCCAGCTCTCACAATAGAAAGGGTGGGAACCCTGATTAAATGGTATGCATTACTTAAGAGGGAATTAAAAGTGATGCAAAGGTTTTCATTAAACCGCATTAGGCAAGGGTACTCAAGAACAAAGTTGCCTGGGTGGTTTCCAGTGTGAATGCCTAGTTTCTGAATCTGCAATGACTCACTTGCTCAAGAAAGAATTGCTTGCCTGGCTAATTGCTTAATCAGCCAGCCACATGCCTTTCCCCCACCTTGCATGGAAAGCAGGACTATGTGTGAAGGATTGAGAATGGGGTGGCGTAGAAAGGTAATTACAGGTATTGAGAAATGAGCATCCAGGGAAAATGGAAATTTATAAAGATGTGTGAAACGCTAAAGTTTTGGCTGATTTTCTCTGGAATCACTGAAAATACTAACAATATTTATTTTACTTACAATGACTGAAAAGGGTAACAATAAAAATATTTACTGAGCACCTAGTAAGTGCCAAGCACTGTCTGAGGCATGAGTATACCATGTTAAAAAAGACAGCCAGAGCCCTGTCCTCATGGTCTTGTGTTTCAGTGGTGGGAGTAGGGAAAAAGCAAGTAAAGGAATAATTGCAATAATTTCAACTTCTGGAAACCCTGTAGGGGAAGTAATGGGGGGGTAGCAAAGGAGGTTAACTTGAGGTCAGAGATGTTCTCTCTGGGAGGTGGCATTTGGGTTGAGACCTGAAGGGTAAGCCACATGGGAGAAGTGGGAAAGAAGTGTCCAGGCAGAGGGTGACAAACGCCAAATTCCTGAGCTGTCAAAGGCTTGTAGCTGAGAAACAGGAAGGGTCAACTAGCTACTGCAGGTTGTTGCATAAATTATTAGAAGCACATCAAGTCTCAGAACCAGAATGGAATTTTTAAGAAAACCAAAACCAAAAAGGAAAAATTACTTACCTCGGATCACCCAACTCATGGGTAGTGAAGCCACAGTGAGAACTCAAACTATCTAAATTACAGGAGAAGGACTTTATCTATTGCAAAATGGAGCGTATTGAATACAAACAGTTTACATCAGCAGCCTGCTTCCAGTGTGTCTGTATAGTTTTTCCACTATGCTAACTTTGGGGTAATTTGGGGTTCAAGATTTGATGCTGGCTCTTACTAACCTCTAACCTTTTAGAGGTTTGAGGTAAGTTTGTCCCTTAACTTTCCTGAAGCTCATCTATAGAGTTTCATGCAGAGTTACATAAGGTGTATACCAGTACCTGGCACACAGCACATATGCAAAATGTAAACTATCATCGCTATTACTATTATTCTTTTGTCAATATTCTCTCTGTTCTATCTTTTTTTTTTTTTTTTTTTTTTTTTTGAGACGGAGTCTTGCTCTGTCGCCCAGACTAGAGTGCAGTGGCACGATCTCGGCTCACTGCAAGCTCTGCCTCCCGGGTTCACGCCATTCTCCTGCCTCAGCCTCCCAAGTAGCTGGGACTACAGGCGAGCACCACCACGCCTGGCTAATTTTTTTTTTTGTATTTTTAGTAGAAACAAGGTTTCACCATGTTAGCCAGGATGGTCTCGATCTTCTGACTTCGTGATCCGCCCGCCTCGGCCTCCCAAAGTGTTGGGATTACAGGCATGAGCCACCACGCCTGGCCCTCTCTGTTCTATCTTAATAGTCTCCATTATAGAAGACTGTATTATACATCATTTTACATTCCATCTCCCAATGTAGAATGGGCTATATAGCATAACAAACGGCTTTATAATCCAAACATTTGCTCATTTATCACAGCAGCAACTATATATCAAGTGCTGCGGGAGAAGTGAGGAAAACAAAAAATTTTACTGTGGCGATAAATCAATTGTGTCATACTTGGTGTCAGCTTCAGGGGATTGAGTCCTGGATCTGTGACTTATTAACTATGTGATACCAGGCAAGTTGCTTAACTTCTCAGAGTCTCAGGATTCACATCTGAACGATGGGGAGAGTAGCCCATATAGCATGGCTTTGACACGGAGTAAATGGCTTGATGCCTCGATCACTGACTCCGGGATTTGGAATATAATAATAGCTCCTAACGGCTAGTTCCAATTGGCCTCACCATTCAAGAAGCAAAAATTTGAGGGGGTAGAAACAAGAGGTGAGCAATTTGAAGAGGTTCATTACAAATTAAACATACTGGGGGTGCTTCTCCAGGAAGCAGAGATCTCATAAAGATTCTGGAGCTGATTCTGAAAGAACGGATAGGAATTTTCTCAAAAGATGGGGAAAGCACTTCAAATAGCAAAAACAGCGTGTGCAAAGGCACGGAAGCTTGAAACAAAACGGCTTATTGGGGAAATGCGAGGTCACCTGGGACGGCTGTTTAGTGCACTGGAGGATGGGAAATGGATATTGAGCAGTAAGGCAGAAAAGGTCGAAATTCCTTCCTAAAGAGTGTGTGCTCATTATGCTTATGGCCCCAGATTGTCCCGTAGAGGCATCTAGATCACAGTCCAAAAAGATTTTCAATCTTAAGCAAACTCCTTTTCTTTTCTTCCCAACAGCTGAGAATGAAACAAAACTGTTGCATCAAAAACTGAATATAGGGACAACCTTGTAGATATAAGATGCTAAATGCCAAAGTGCTACGTGAGATTTGCCATTCATACTCACCTAGGGAGTCCCAGCTTTGGCCAGACTCCCCATCCCCATTAGTAATGTGGTGACATTCAAGGGCATTAAGTAATGCTTGATGCCTGAAATGTTATTTTGAGAAAATCCCATGAAAATAAAACTACAGCCAAAGTAGAAGGCATAATCATGCCTTTGGAAAGTAAACTGGAGGAAGTTTATCCTCAGGTAGAGAAAGGAGAGTTCATCAGGGTTACCACAATTACCCAGGCATGTCAGAATAAAACAGGAGCAAAGAAGCTCCCCTGAATAGTTACCAGATGAGGACTAACATCCTCACCATGACACAGGCAGCCCTTACATTGACATGACCAGGATCCATATACAACACCCTTCTTGAATTTAATGATCTAATTTAAGGCCTGACAAACATACTGTTTTTTCAAGGGGCTAGGAATGGCCCTCCCTTTTCCTCGAGCAAAGTAATTATTCCCCCAACTTGAAGCAATAGTAGTGAAAGCACTTTTTGTTTCTCCAATCCTCTAGTTGAACCCCCAGGCTAAGATTTTTTTTTTTTTTTTTTTGTAAGGCATTGTTCATGCACAGTGACATAGAATTTCATTTGCCGGGTTTCAAGTATTAAGAGCACAACACAAAATCTAAGCAATTTTAGACATGTGTCAATCTCAAATAAAAAAAAGCTTTGTGCTGGCACAGAATGTCAATGCTTGAATTAAAGAGATGGAGAATTTCCCTGAGCGAGAGCTGTACATGCTGACATAATACATTGTTAAGGCTCTGTGTTACGATACAACCAATATGTTTTAATAATTTATTGGTATTTATTTAACACACAATACTGTCATACCAAATCTAAACCAAGAGGTCTAGGTTCCTCATTGATTCATGTGCATGGTTCTTATCAGCATCATTAGATGTTTCCTTAGAAAATTCTTTTGCTTGTGACAAGATTATAGAAGGGTGTCTCAGAAACCTCATGCAGGCTGTATTCTGGTATCACCTTCTGGGGACCCTCAGTGGGATATTGCTGAAAGGATTTAATGTGGTTTTGTATTTTTTCTTCTTTACTTATCAGACTTTATCTCCCGATGAAATCACTGCTCTAAGAGTTAATCTCATTCGAACACTTACTCAAAATCTAACCAGCTAAGAGAATGCCACAGGCTGATGCGGAAGCCTGCTGGATACAGAATCTAGGTTGAATTCTTCTGGACTGCCTTAATCATTAATTCATCAGCTTGAGGATTCATTCATCTTTATTTCACTATTACCTAATGAGGATAATGGAGGCTATCAAAATCTAAAGGCTAATCATTTTTTAAAGTGAGTATTTGATAATTATTAATTAATAATAATGTCAACAATAACCTTAATTTTCCAGGTATTCCCCCTAGAGATTTATATTTTAATTATACTTGCCATGAGGACAAATGAACTCTCCTAGAATTAAGCTTTGGTTTACAATTTTCAAATCACAGGAGCAGGGAGAAGCTATCTTCATGTAAAAATAATCAGACTTCTTCTTTTTGAAGAGCCTCAAATGGCAGTGATGAAGAGAGAATAAATACAGCTGATGAGATTTAGTGTGACATCAGTAATTCTCAAAGGGACTCCACACCATAGAGTTTGCTGGTATGGATGTTCATTGCTTTTATGGAGGTGACAGGCCTGACCTGTCAGCTACTAGTAACACCCAGGACAGACTAGAAATGTCACAAACTACTAACAGTTACTACGCAAGATATCAAAGGATGTGTCTAGAAAGGGGTGGCTCTTCAAAACTGGCTTAAACCTGTTTTAAAGTTCCTGTTTCTTTAATAAACCTATCCTTTTCTCTTATGGATCCTAGAATTTATTTATAAAAATTTTAAAATTTCTAAGTGGCTTAAGATTTTATTTTCGACTGGACTATTTTATTTCAATGTTATAGAAACCCAACTCTAACTAATGTCAGCTTTAAAAAAATGAGGGAGTTATTGGCTCCTGTACCTGAAAAGTTCAGGGATCAAATTAGGCATAGCTGGATCCAGGTGCTCAGATGATGACAGTGGGAACCTGTTTTGTTGTCTCTCAGTTCTCATTTCCTCTGAGTTGGCTTTATTCCCAGGGAGGGTATTTCTCCCCCATCTAGAATCCCCAGAAGCATCAGACTTATCTATTATCAACTTTAAATCCTGTGTAATGAGAACCTCTCTGTTATGGGTTACACTGTGGTTCTCCCCAGATTCCTGAGTCCTGACACCCAATACCCCAGAATGTGTTGTTATTTGAAAATGGAGTCATTGCAGTTGTGAGTGGTTAAGATGCAGTCATACTGGAGTATACTGGAGTATACTGGAGTATGCTGAGTCTATGATCCAACATGACTGATGTCCTTGTAAAAAGGATAAATTTGGACTCAGCCATGTCCGGGGGCCCTGGGAGAAAGCCATGTAAAGATAGAGTTATGCTGCCACAAGCCAATGAACTCCAACTAGCTAGGTGAGTGGCCTGGAATAGAGCCTTCTCCAGTGTCTTCAGGGAAACCATGGCCTGCCAACATCTTGATTTTGGACTTCTGGCCTCCAAAACAGTGAGATAATAATTTTTTGTTAAGTTGCTCTTAACAAAAAGAAGTGTTTGTGGTACTTCTTACAGCAGTCCTAGGAAACCAATAGTACTCTTCTTTCTAGAGGTTCCATACAGGGTCCTGAGATTCACTTTGACTGGTTCAATTTTGACCACACTCATCTCCACAGCCAGATGAATGGTTGCACAGATCCGACTTACATGCCCAATCAGGAGCTGGGAGTGGATTCAGTCCTACCCTATCTTTGTGTGCCAAGAGTGAGCAAAGAATAGCTATCCAAGGAAAGATCAAAGTGCTATCACTGGAGAAAAGGGGGCAGCAAAACCAAAAGGTGTCCACTAATTGAGTGCATCAGAGAAGAGAAAAAATGAGGTGATTTTAGCTTACTGTCCTCTGCCTGAATGATCACCATCTCCTGCTTCATAGGCTGGATAAGCTCCTACTCATCAGTCATGTATATGGGCATCTCCTCTGTGAAGCCTTTTTTGGGTCCCTCTGATAGAATTGAGAATCACCCTGCATAGACCCCCTCCCATAACTTGGTATACTGCAATACTAACAATAATAACCAACCTTTTTATTATGGTAATGATGTGCTAGCCACAACTCTAAGCTGTTCAATTAATTTAATCCTGACAATCACCCGAAGAATTAAACATTATGTTATTCCCATCTTATAGGTGAGGAAATTGAGGCTCAGAAAGGTTTCCTGAAGTTATGTAACTCATAAGTGCTAAGTGCCAGAACTAAAATTTGAATCAAATGGATTTAGCTTTAGGTTCCATGTTCTTTACCAGTTTATCATATTGCATCAAATAGCCATTCATTTTCCTACTTTCTCCTCACACCTACCTCCTTCTATGAGGCCAGTAAATGTGGCACATGCATCACTAGAGAAGTTCACAATGATTTTATTTTTTTTAAACACTTAATCTCAAAAAACTAGTTATAGTAGTTATATTTTTATATTGGTTTATATGAAAGTTTTCTCTTTGTGGCAAGGGGTAACTCCTTTTAATTTTCAGAGGTGCTATATACTTTCTTAAGTAAATTTAAATAAAAGCAGATGATTAAAGCTACAGTGAGAATACTGTAGTACATACAGTATATGAATATGCCAACAATGTTGAAAGTAGTATGGAAATTATTGAAGTTTAAGATCCATGTACTTAGACTGTAAGCTCCTTAAGGAAAGTGTTGCATCTGCTGTGTTCTTAATGCTAGTGCCTAGCACAGTGTCCAGCTTATGGTCAACACTCACTGAACACTTACTGCATCATTTTGTATTGACTTGATTACTGGCAATATAAAATACAGAACCCACACCACCTCAACTGAACACAGTACATTTTGTTATGTGAAATAGCAGGAATATTGATTCTCCCATCATTACTGAAATTCAGCCAAGCATGGTCACAATGGACAGTCATCTGCCAGCTGTTATTTGGATGAAGTAAAATAAAACTTGGGGTCTTAGTTTAATGCCAAGTCACTACACAACTTTATATCCCAGAAACACATTATGCCTATGATGTATGTGTTTTCCAAGAATGAGGAATATTATAGACTCTGTTTATTGTTTGTAATATACTTCTTTAAATGACTAGTTTCTCTTCCCCTCTCAGAATTACTTCAGATGAGATTTTTCAATGAATATGAGTTCATGTACAATAGCAGAAAACCTTTGCCATCTTTAAATGGCTCAAATTTTAGGCTGACAGGACTTAAAAAGCAAAGGGATTATTCTGAAACTTCTCTTACAAATATGTCTCTTTTAGAGCCATATTCAAACCCAATCTGGTAAAGTGTAATGGATAAGCAAGTGAACTTGAGGAAGTTAATTAACTCCCTTGTGCTTCCTTTACTTTTCTGTAAAATGTAGATTATAATAGACTTGTTGAAAGGATGAAATGAGTTAATGTATGTAAAGCACTTAGTTTACTATTGAGTAAGCACTTAGTAATAATAGGTGTTGTTATTTTTACCATTTTTAATGCTGTTGCTTGAAACTCATGTTTTCTTAGGTATATTATGAGATCAAACCCACATATCATAAGATCCTTTTTAATGTCTGGCACTTTAGGGACATCATTTCATTTAATCATGTTTCAGATAAGGTTCCCAAGGAAGCCAACTTTGTAACTGAGATTAGTATGAATATCTATTAGAGAGTGCTCTTGGTTTTAACATCTGTGGGGGAAGGGAAGGAATAGACAGACAGAGAATTGGAGTTGCTTGCAGTAACACTAATGGCCCCAGCTAATCCCATAAAAAGCTTTGAACTGAGATGACCTATTAGGATTGTCTTGAGTTGGGGCAAGAGGGGCTTCCTTTTTTATCCCCTCATCAAATAGCTATGGGATTCAGGGATTTCTGACTTTATCTCTTCCATTTCCAGAGAGAACTCACAGCCATAATACATCAAAACTTTTTTCACCTGGTGAAATTGGACCTTTAGTCCTAACTGGAGGTTCAGGGCAGTGCAACACAGCATCCACTACAGTCCACCCCTTTAGTTCAGATCCTCTTCTTTCTATAAGTTCTATATAGGCAGCTCTAGGTTTCTGAGAGGACTTTTTGTTTTGGAAAAACTTACAGGAAGAAGACAGTATAATGAACTAGTTGCCACTGTAGCTGTTTTTCAGGCGACAACTTGTCCTCATGGTCTTTTGTGTAATCTTAGATTTCCCTCACTCTCAGTAACTCTGCCATTCTGGGTCATTCCACCTTTCATGTTTAAGGGTCTAAGCTTATGATAATCATGACTTTTTCAACCAGGATGGTGACTGCTTTTCTTGCCTGTCATGCATTTGACCACAAGAAACTCTGAGTGTCCAAGTGGCAGTCTTAATTCAAGAGTCTCTTGCTGTGTCCTCTGGTGTGATCACGTATTAGTAGATCAAACACTATATAAGCACTCAGTCAGTGTGTCTGGCTGAGGGTCTGTGGGTAGGAAAGGCAAATTCATAACTGGAATATCTGCTGTGGCGACTCTGGAATTTATGCTTCCCTTAGAGTGGTAAAAAATATATCCTACCAATGTGTTAGTTCCAACTCTATGGTCACTGATAGTGTGTCAAACGCTATATTCTGGAGGAATGCTCCCATATTGATAAACTCTTTCCTACCTAACTGGATTTTCCACTTCCTTGATTAACAACATCCTCAGAGTCTAGTTTCATATGTACTCTCCCAACTCCTGCCAATTTTTTTGGCTAAGTCCTCTGGCATATTTATATAGTCCCTTTCCTCCCTTAGTGGGCCAAGTGCTTCTCTGAGCAGGACAGGGTGTAACTTAATCCTAATTTTTGGTGTGCTGTGGTGGCCAGGAAGGGAGGTAAGGACAGATGCTGGGGGAAGGAGAAGAGAATGAAGCAGGGTTATGCAGACAAAGAAATGAAGCTGCAATACAATCACAACAATGTCCTCAATCTACCCCACAGGGAGATTTTAAGCTGGGATGAACTTTCTTAGTTGTGTAAGATGGTGGGCAAAGAGTCTGCTTTTTTTTTTTTTTTTTTTTTGAGACAGAGTTTTGCTCTTGTTGTCCAGGCTGGAGTGCAATGGAGCTGATCTCAGCTCATCACAACACCCACCTCCTAGGTTCAAACCATTATCCTGCTTCAGCCTCCAGAGTAGCTGGGATTACAGGCATGCACCACCACGCCCAGCTAATTTTGTTTTTCTTTTTTTTGAGACGGAGTCTTGCTCTTTCGCCCAGGCTGGACTGCAGTGGCACTATGTCGGCTCACTGCAAGCTCTGCCTCCCGAGTTCACACCATTCTCCTGCCTCAGCCTCCCGAGTAGTTGGGATTACAGGCATGCACCACCATGCCCAGCTAATTTTGTATTTTTAGTAGAGACAGGGTTTCTCCATGTTTGCCAGGCTGGTCTCAAACTCCCGACCTCAGGTGATCTGCCTGCATAGGCCTCCCAAAGTGTTGGGATTACAGGCATGAGCCACTGCGCCTGACCAAGAGTCTGCTTTTTAATCTCATGTTTCCACATTAAACAGACATTAGTTTCAATTTGCCCTTGCAAAAGGAATGTGACCTTGGGCGAATTGACTTCTTGTGATGGACTGGTAAATGTTTAACAACTGTCAATCTGAAGGTGAAAAAAACTTATTTGTAATGTTTACTAATTTTCATGATGTAAAGAAACCATTGACAAGCCACAGACTGCTGGTCTACCACCTGATTTTGTAAATAAAGTTTCATTGGAAGTTAGCTACACCTATTTGTTCACATGTTATCCATGGTTGCTATAATGGTGGAGTTGAGTAATTGCAACAGATAATATTGCAAAGCCATAAATTTTTACTATCTGGCCCTTTCAGAAAAAAAATGCTGACTTTTTGCATAAATACTCCCACCATGGCTGATTTCTGGCTGCCAACTGAACACAGAATTGGAAACAGATGGCCACAATTGACCCCTACAAGACAATAGGAGCCAGTTGTAGCATAGTACATTGACTGAGGCCATTTCCCAGATTACATTGAGAGCTGAAGCTGTCAGCCAGTGGCACTTCCAGCAGAAATCAGGGTAACATACTGTCTTAGTCCATTTGTGCTGCTAAAACAGAATACCATAATAGACTGAGTAATTTATAATGAGCAGAAATTTATCTCTCACAGTTCTGGAGGCTGAGAAGTCAAAGACCAAGGTTCTAACATCTGGAGAGGGCCTTCTTGCTGTGTTATCCCATGGTGCAAAGGAAACTGAGAGAGAGAGAGAGAGAGAGAGAGAGAGAGAGAGAGGGAGAGGCTGAACTCAGATCAGAAACATGAGACTAAGAGCATTAAGTCCACTTTGTCCTAAGTTATAAAGTTATTAAATAGTGAAGCTAGAATTCAAATGCAGCTCTGTTATGCTCCAAAGACATTGTGTTTCTACTACCTTCTATTCAGCTAGCTGATTTGACGTTAGCATCCAATACCATTCATTCAACTACTATTGAGTGAGTCAGCTATGTGCTAGACATTGTGATACAATAAGAAGTAAGATACAAGGGATCCCTTCCCTTAGCCAATGACAGTGAATTTCTGGTATGCTTACTTATCTGAATGTCTAAATCTGTCATTATCTTAAAGCTTAGCTCAAAGTTCTGGACCACAATAGTTTTCACTAATTTCTTTTCTGATTGAGTCCCTATTGCACTAATGGTCAATATCAATATGATATGGCACTTCCTAGTCTCTTATTGTTTCATATTAAAGTCTGTTTTCCAGCCAGTTCATGGCCTATTGACAATGGTGCTGTTTAAGGGGGCCAATGAATCACATCCATCTCCCACCAAACTCACAACCAATTAAGAAACTGACAATAGATTCAGAGATATGAAGATTGAGGTAAGACAAAGTGAGTAGAAGAATTTGGCCTGGTCCTGAAACAACAGATAATTTATTCAGTTGATAAAATTTCTGAGCATCAGCTATTTGACATGCCTTGTTCTAGCTCTTGAAATTTTAGGGGTGATAACAACACAATTCCTGCCATCATGAAGCTTATGTTCTAAGGTAATCTGGATTCTCAATACCTCCCCAGTCCGTAGCTCAGAACCCACATAGAGTAGGAAAATGGGGCTCTTACCCAATAGTAAACTAAATGTTTTACTTATATTAGTTCATTTTATCCTTTCAACAAATCTATTACAATCTACATTTTACGGGGTCTTCAGGGTCACTCATCCAGCTATCTGAAAGAAAAGACTGCTTCACACTTGTTGAGTACCAATACTGGGGCAAGAGAGTTTCTAGATTGGACTTTTGCTGCCAAGGCCTAGGGCCCCACTCAAGAACAAAAACTACATTAAAACAAAAGAAAGAAGAGAATGTATCCACCATGTGAGCTGGATGGCCTAGAATAAAGAAGGGATTCTAGGCCAGGCTTATGAAGATGCAACACCTCTTTCATCAATTTAGGCATTGTTATCATTGAGGGCATAGAAAGAAGCCTTACTCTAATACTCTTTCAAGGAACAGAAACTCCCTTATGGAGACATGAGGAGGGGGAATAAGTTTTCTATTCTCTATCACATGGCAGAAACAGTGTCTAATATTTAAATCAATTGAATTACCTGGAACTGCCTAGAAACATAGTGGGTATTCACTGAAGTCTTATGGAATTGCTTAATTTAAATAATTACACTTACATTTTGGTAAATTTCAGGGCCAAAGGATCATCGTAAAGGTTGGGCAAGCATCCATCTATTCTGGATCAATCATAAGTCTCAGCCTATTTTTTTGATAATTATAGTATAAATAATATCAATAAATATTTTGAGGTGAATGCTTTGTACTTGGCTGGATAATACCCACTGTGTACCTTGTTAAAATTACATGGTTTCTTTCTGAATAGAAAGCACTCTGTTCATAAAATGTCCTATTATCACGCTTCATGATGAATGAGCTGTGTTTATTTGTTTCTTTCCTGGCTGTCTTTAGGAGATGATCTAAGGTTAATGGTGGAAATGCTACCAAAATAAATGGTTTCATGTAGTCAAATATTTCATCTGAGCACTTTGTTTCAGGAAACTTGAGAAGAAAATAAATGAATGTTTTCGGAGCATTTGAATTCATTCCTTAACTTTAGTGCTGCAAAGTTTTCTGAGATATGTTAAAAAATATATATTTTCCATGTTGCCCATGAAGTCTACGATGCTTCCACTAATATGTCAATTGGAATATTACACATATTTTCTCCTGGAAAATCCTCAAAAGGATGTAGAAGGTGATTTCAGATGCTTGCATAAAAGTGGGCATTTTCCACGTGAAATGATTCCATAGAATCATACTCTTTCATGAGACTGATATTCACCAGTGCTGGCTTAAAACATTTTCCTAAATTGACATCTTGTTCTGAAAATAAACAGATGTAACATTTGCCACCAATCATTACAAGTTAGTGTGCTTTTGAAAAAAAAAGGTATGGTCATATAGGTAATAGAATTTTCCTTTGCTGTCACAGATTCTGACTTAGCTTTATAGGTTTAGTTAACACTTGCTCTAGGCTTACATAGGAGTCTCTCACTTTTGGTCAAAGTTCTCAGATAAATTGCTGCTCCTAAGGGGCATGGCCAGGATGAAGTCATCATTTTTTACTTTTGGGCTTTGGAATTCTTTTAAGAGCCTCCTTTAGGTCCTCTTAAGTACAGATGACTATCAGCTATCTTCTTCCTGCAAGGACTTACACACTCAAAAATATTTGAAAATGCCAAAGTCATCCTTTGTCTTGCAGTCAATATTATTTTGGAGATGAACAGAGATTTAAATTTAAACAGGACTTAAAACTACAGCCTAATAGAGAAAGAGTTTATACTAGAAGACATTTCTTTAAGACCAATATTTTTTAGTTCTTTTCTTTTTTACAGTTAATATAGCCCAACCCTGGCAAGATAAAGAGAATAAATTTACCTTCCAAGTCCTTGGGACTTAAAACAACAGCTCAATAGAGAAGAAGTCTATACTAGAAGACATTTCTTTAAGACCAAGATGTTTTAGTTTTTTTTTTTTAAGTTAATATAACCCAACCCTGGCAAAACAAAAAGCCTGAGTTTACCTTCCAAGTCTTTCTGGTAAACTCCAGCATAAGAAATTATACATCTGACTCTTTTAAACTTAACTTTTTTGTCTTTTTCTAAACTAACAATAGCTTCAAGGAAAGGTGTCCAAAATTGACTCAAAAGGAAAAGAAAGACCCATTACCAATTGAGATGTCATTGGAAAAGTGGGCTATGAGAGGTTCTTACTGGCTCCTTGAAGGGTTATATTCTATTTTGGCTCCTTTATTTATTATTTATTTAAGATAAGAGAAATTGCTTTTCAAAATTACAAAATTAACTTTTGCTCTTTCGAGACCAGAAAAAAAGCAGACCATAAAACAAAAGAATAAGACATCTACAATTCTACCTGCCTGTGTATATTCACTATTAATAAAGGGTATGTGACCCTACAAATTTATTTGTTTATTTAATAAACTATTTATTGAGTTTCTATGGCAGGTGGTTTTTCAGGTACTGGGAATAGAGACATCTGTAACATGCACCTTCCTGGTGCTTACATTCTGGAGAGAAGACAAAGCGTAAACACATAAATAGATTTACATGTAAGATAAAGACAGGAATGGTAAGATGGTCATAAAGGAAAAAAATGGCTCATGGAATGGAAAATGATGGTGGCATGGTGGGCGGGTGATTTTAACCACTAAACGCCTCTCTCAGAAGGGGGCATTTGGAGAGAAACTAAGACAGAAGAAGCAGTTGGGCTTTTTAGAGCTAGGAAATGAGTCCCACCCCACCCCCAATCCCCTACAGAGGAACAGCCCCTGAAAGGCTGAAGGATAGAAATGACATTGGTGCTTCAAGGATCAGCAAGACAGCCAGTGTCGGGGTGGAGTGTAGGGCGAGATGACTGTAAGTGACAGGCAGAGGCCAGCATAGATAGAGCTTCGCAGACCACAGGAAATGGTTTGGATGTATCCTCCTCTGGTTTGTGTTTCTACAGGCTCAGTTTGGTTGTTGTGTGAAGACTTTTTTGCTAGAGGAGCAATCAAGAAAGAGGAGGAAGAGAGAGGGATGCTTCCACGTGGAGGTAAACGCATGATGGCCGTCGTGACACGTGGTCACTCGAGGGGTTGCTGAGGGGATGTGGCTGGCCACATGTCATGATGTTTTGGATGCGGGAAGTCGATGAACACCCCTTTTTCATTTCGTAGATTGTTGGCAATCCAGCAATAGGAATCTCCCCAACCTTCTTCATGGTCAGATGGTATTTAATAAATGATTGTTCTATTGTTTATTTCTCCAATGCCCAAATGAGCATAACTTAGATTGTTTTCAATTAGGATCACTGAAATGAACATTCCTTTTTTCTTTCTTTCTTTTTCTTTCTTTCTTTCTTTTTTTTTTTTTTTTTTTTGAGACAGGGTCTCTCTCTGTTGCCCAGGAAGGAGTGCAATGGTGTGATCATGGCTCTCCTCAGCTCCGTCAGCTCCCAGGCTCACCTCCAGCTCCCAGGCGACCTTCCCACCTCATCCTCCAGAGTAGCTGGGATCACAGGAGCACTCCACCATGCCTGGCTAATTAAGACAAAATTTTTAAGAGATGGAATCTCACTATGTTGCCCAGGCTGGTCTCAAACTTCTGGGCTCAAGCAATTCTCCCTCCTGTCTCCCAAAGTTCTGGGATTACAGGAGTGAGTCACCACACCCAGCTGACAGTCTTGTTCATGTAACTGTATACTTGTCTGATTATTTCCAAAAGGTATTTCTAAAAGTTGAATTGTTGGATCAAAGAGTTATTCGCTTTTAAAATTTGTTACATATCTTCCTTTTCACTCTATTCTTTAATTTAGGGCAATCGTGTGATGCTAGGACTTAGTTTTAGAATTTTTAGCGGCAGATTTGGGCTTGTTCGTTGTCTTAAGCAATGATAAAATGATGAATTTGTGGACAGCATGTAGCGTGGACAACATTTTCTGAGTGATTTTGAAGAGAAGATGATCTTTGGATTAGAAGATTTTATTGCTTAGATTGGGAGGCCAGGATTTTCCCACCAACTAATTTAGGGGCACCCTTGGTTGTCATGTTGCTGTTCACAGCCCTGGAGCAGGGCCAGTTTGTGCACTGGGTCTTTGAGGTAGCATGGTGTCTCCAGACTTAGCATCCGATCATTTTTTTAAAGGACAGGTAGGGTGTTTCTGGAGAAAAAAAAAAGGAGCCAAGTATCCTAAAAAAAAACACCTTTTAAGTGGTTCTCTGGAATAAATGACACAGCTAAGTAGAAATAATTGAAGCTTGCAGAAATGTGTGCATTCTGATCCAAGCACCACCCCTTATTACCTCTGTGTTCTCATCTAGGTTATTTCGCCATGCTAGGCCTCAGTTTCATCATCTATAAAGTGAGAATTTAATTCCTACTGTGTGTGGTTGTTTGAG
The DNA here is from genome assembly GCF_000001405.40 of Homo sapiens. Classification (NCBI taxonomy): domain Eukaryota; kingdom Metazoa; phylum Chordata; class Mammalia; order Primates; family Hominidae; genus Homo; species Homo sapiens. Next base: position 52,908,304 of record NC_000020.11, on the reverse strand, counting down.
GAATATATGACATAATTCTTGTAGAAGGTGTTTACTGAGCACTTGCTATGCGCTATGCTGTGCACCTAGCTTGGTGTCTATGGTCTCATTTATTCCTCCCAATAATGCCAAGGTGGGTAGTATTTTTATTTTGTATTTCAGTTGGGAAGAGTGAGGTTTGAGATATTGTGTGAATTGATGAAAGTCACAGAGCTAACAAGTGGCCAATCTGGAATTTGAACACAGGAATTCTGATTGTCTGACTGTAAAGGGCCAACCTATCTCTACACATACTCTGTGCTCCATCTCCATTTTATCCTTCATGGAACCTGGCAGAGGGTAGAGTGGAGACTTATCTTTCATCCAGAACTTGGCAGAAACAGAAAGAACAAATTGCCATTTTCCTTGAATTCACATATCTCTTTCCTACTCAGACGTTCCTGGCTCATGGAATTCAAGTTGAGCATCATCAAGTAGAGTTTATCAAACATCCATGGCAGAGATCCTGAATCTAGTGGGAGCTTTGAGATAATCCTCTGAGATGTTTCCTCTTCTTCAGCCTTCTCACCTTGATGCATGGGAAAGGAACTCTGGGCCTTGCAGAAAAGTCAAGAGGGAACTCCTGGCCTTTCCTCCATCCCATGTGCAAGGGGAGCCGCTTTGCTGTGATTAGGAGAAGTACTCACACACATGGCTCACACACCTTCTGCGTCAGTTTGGACCTTAACAGATGTTTTCTCTTTTATGTGGCCATGTTTTCTGTGTAGAATGCAAACCTGGGCTGGGCCAGGGCCAGACCTCAACGCTTGTCCACCTCTTTCGTGGTTCCTTGAACCCTTGCTCAGGTGGGCAAAGCACATATCAGAACTTGGAACTGACCCTGCCAGTCTTACATCAAAGCTCAGGGACCTCTTCACATATTGTTTAACTGGGGTATGTGTGGCAGAGAGTAAAAGCAGCCTGACGCCCTCCTTTTCATATTGATTAGGTCCCGTTGTGGAGCATGGTCAGCTCTGTCCACTCTCCTTCTTTTTATCATTAAGTTTTTTTTTCTTTTTCTTTTTTTTTTTTTTTTTTTTTTTTGGAGACAGAGCCTCCCTCTGTCACCCAGGCTGAAGTGCAGTGGCATGATCCCAGCTCACTGCAACCTCTGCCTCCCAGGCTCAAGTGATTCTCATGCCTCAGCCTCTCAGCCTCCTGAGCAGCTGGAAGTACAGGTGCACACCACCATGCCCACCTAATTTTTTTTGTAATTTTAATAGAGACAGGTTTCACCATTTTGGCCAGGCTGGTCATGATCTCCTGGCCTCAGGTGATCCACCTGCTTCAGCCTCCCAAAGTGCTGGGATTACAGGTGTGAACCACTTTGACTGGCCTTTTTATCATTAGCTTCTAGTTGGCCAGATGGGTCAGTTTTCTTTAGAAACAAGAGACAGAGACACAAGCCAACAGAGACATTCCAGAAAAGTATCTCTCCCAGGATCGTAGACCAAGATGCTTGATCAGAGATGCTTGATCAGAGATGCTTAGTCTTCGAGATCCAAGAGTGGGAATTAAATGATACTCATAGTATTTACAGGGACGTTTAAAGAATGTTCTGGAGCAGGGTTCAGCAAATGCTGGGCTGTGGGACAAATATGGTCTGCCATTTGTTTTTTTAAATAAAGCTGTATTGGAACACAATCATGCACATTCACTTAGGTATTGTCTATAGCTGCTTTGTCACAACAATGCCAGAGTTGAGTAGTTGCAACAGAGACTGTATGGCCCACAAAGCCCAAAACATTTACTGCTGGGCTCTTTGCAGAAACTTCTCTGACTCCTATTTCAAACATAAGTGTGCAAATGCATTACTTGGGGAGCTTGTTACTAGGTCTGGGGGTGGGGAACTAGAGACTGTGTTTCTGAACAAAACTGCACCTCATGCCAGTGTTGCTGGTCTTTGGACCACATTTCTAGAATCCAGGTTCTAGAGCAGTGCCATTCAGTAGGACTTTCTTTTCTGCAACACTGGATGTGGTCTGCAGCTGCACTGTTCAGTGTGGTAGCCCTGCACCACTTGTGGCTATTGAACACTTGCAAAGAAGCTAGTGCAACAGAGGAATCGAATACTGTATTTAATTTCAATTACATTAAATGTAAATAGTTACAATTGACCAGTGGCTACTGTATGTGACGGCATAGTTTAGAGCATAAATCCTAGATTGGATTGCTTGTTTCTAAGAAAAAAGTCAAACCATGCTGAGGTTTCCCTCCTATAAAAAATAAAATACAGTATGCACATATATGTGTGTGTGTGTATACAGTATATACATGTATATGTATACATATACGTGTATATAGTATATACATACATATGTGTGTGTATATATTATATATGTTTATAGTATTTTTAGTAGAGACAGGGTTTTGCCATGTTGTGAAGTGACAGAGGGAGACTCCATCTCAAAAAAAAAATAGGTATTAGCATTGCAGACAAGTTGGGAGGATATGAAGTCTTGGCTTGCTCACAGGGAGGGGGGCTCAGAGATACTGCAATCTGGCCTGAGTATAATAAACCCCTTTGTTACATTTAAATACCATCATACTATCTTATACACAGAAAAGCCTCAGGATGTTTTATAGTAACAATGCAATGGCATGAAAACCCCAGACAACTCTAAAAAGGCGCTAATTATTATTATTAGTGTTTTACGCTAACAATAAATGTCAAATGGAATCCTGAAAACAAATAACTACCTGTCACCAAGTGAATGAAAGGCAATTTTAGTAAAGTGAATTAAAACCCCAAACATCACCAAGCCCAACCAGCACGCAATGCCAAGGCAGCTTAGCGGATTCCTTGGCAAATGCATTCCTGGAGCAGCAGGCATAGGATGTCCTTGGGGGAAAGTCCTGAAGACTGTGCCTGCTCGTTAACATCCAGAGGACCTGGAGGGGGAGGTGGTCAGAGCTGAAGTGCAAGGGGCAAGTGCATCTTTGGGAAAGGCCCTCCATCACAGCAGATGGCAATTGGAGAACATTAAGGTGGAGCATCTTTATTTATCGGCTGGGCTGCAGCCTGCTCGAGTGTTATCAGTGAAAAATTAAAGTTGGACAGCAGAATGTGGATTTGTTTTCATGACACATTTCCCTTAGATTTTTCAAAGTGCATTCTGGGTGTCTCCCAAAGACTATTTTTTAAAAATAAATTGTACATTTTATTTTTTCAAACTTCATTTATCTTTGATATCTGATTGACATATTCAGGACAGTTCAATCCTTTCTGCTGAAGTGAGCTGTGACAGCTGCTGCTACATAAATCGACATCACAGAGCCCTCCCGAGGAACAGGGGCTGTGTCTTCAGACAGGCCAGGAAGGAGAGCCTGGTGAGTTTCTTTCTAGATGGCTAGGGATGTGGTGGGATCCATCTCTTGGGTCACCAGCTAGATGAGATTTAGAAGCATGCATCCAGCTCTTGCTAATTATTGCAGAATCATCAGAGAAACCAGGAGACTCACAAAAGGGGTGAGAGGCTGAGATTTGCCTCTCTGATTTTTCTACTTTGTTATAACTACTGAGGAAGAAAGGGAACATGAAGTGGCAGATGCTTAACCTCGTTACCATGAGCAACTTAGTTTGTTCTACCTGATTTAGGACTGACCTTTGGAGCATACTCCTTCTCTCTTTCTCTTCCCTTCCCCCTCTCGCTCTCTTCCTCCTTCCCTTTCTTTCTCTTCTGTCCCTCCTCCCTCTCCCAATGTTTGAATTCATAATAGAGTCACACAATTCTAAACTACAAATCATTAAAAATTATTGAGTAAAAAGCCTTCCTGCCACCTTGCCTCTTAGCTTCACCCCTTCTCTCAAATTTCGTATTAATCAGGTATTTTATGCTTACACAAATAAGTACATATATATTTAAGCACATGCACACACACACACCCCTTTTCTCCTTTTCTCCTTTTTTTTACACAAATGGTCATATATTATACACATAGCATAGTTTTCTTTTTGCCTTACTTTTTTGTAAAACCTAAAGTCTTTTATCTTAGAGATCATCCCACATACATTAATAAAGAGCATCGTCTTTTGAAAAAACTGTAATACACCCCAATATGTGGCTGTAGCATAAATTATTCATTCAGTGCCCTGAATCTAGGGGCATTTAGGGAGTTTCCAAAGTTTTGCTCTTACCAACAACCCTGCAGTCAATAACCTTGAATGCATGTCACGCCACACATGTGGGAGGGTCTCTGCAGAATAAATACCTAGAAGTGGACTAGCTGGGGCCAAGGGTAAGTGCATTTGTAAGTTTGATAAATATTGTCAAAGTGTCCTATGTAGAGGTTGTTGAATTTACATTCCCATCATTCATAAGCGAGAAGATCTGTTTTCCCATTCGATTACTCAGGGAGGGTATTATCAAACCATTTGATTTTTGCAATTTGGAAAAGAAAATGCGGTCTCCCAGTAGAATATTAATTCACATCTGTCTTGAGTCAGGTATTAAGCAGCTTGCCATATATGTATTTATGAAGTATATTCTTTTTTTGTCATTTGTCTATGATATGCCTCTATTCTGTTTCTTTTTCAATGATTTCTTGGAAGGTTTTGTATGTTGAGGAAATCAGTTCTTACTATTGTTTAATGAATAACACATACCTTCTTCTCAGTGTTTGATATGGCTTGGCTTTGTGTCCTCACCCAAATCTCATCTTGAATTGTAATTCCTGTAATCCCTATAATCTCCATCTGTCAAGGGAGGGACCAGGTGGAGGTAATTGGATCACGGGGGCAGTTCCCCTATGCTGTTCTCGTGATAGGGCATGAGTTCTCATGAGATCTGATGGTTTTATAAGGGGATCTTTCCCCTTTACTCAGCACTTCTCCTTCCTGCTGCCTTGTGAAGAAGTTACCTTGCTTCCTCTTTGCCTTCCCCATGATTGTAAGTTCCCTGAGTCCTCCCCAGCCATGCTGAACTGTCAATTAAACTGCTTTCCTTTATAAATTATCCAGTGCCAGACAGTTCTTCATAGCAGTATGAAAATGGACTAATACACTGTTAAAAATATGGGTTAGTGTTATGGATATAGGGTAATAATTCTTCAATGTTTAGCCATTCATTTAATTAACTAATTTATTTATTTTGAGACAGAGTATTGCTCTGTCTCCCAGGCTGGAGTGCAGTGGTGCCATCTCAGCTCACTGCAACCTCCGCCTCCCAGGTTCAAGCAATTCTCCTGCCTCAGCCTCCTGAGTAGCTGGGACTACAGGCACACACCATCATGCCTGGCTACTTTTTGTATTTTTAGTAGGGACAGGGTTTCACCATATTGGTCAGGCTGGTCTCGAACTTCTGACCTCAGATGATTTGCCTGCCTCAACCTCCCAAAATGCTGAGATTACAGGCGTGAGCCACCGCGCCCAACCTAACCATTCATTTATTAAAAACACATCACTGAGCACCAACTACCTGCCAGCCACTGCGTTGGGAACTGTGCTGTTCTGGTTGGGGAGACAGACAACTCAGCAGGTAAGAATAGCCATTTGGGGTGAAAGAAATGATGAGAAGTGTGCTGGGCACAGGGGAGTTCAAGAGAGGCAACTCTCCACCCTAGGCATGGAGAATGATCAGGGAAGGATTCCTGCTGGGTGTAATCTAGAAGCTGAAACCTAAAGAACAGCTAAGAGGTGGTCAGCCAAGAAGTGGGGGAGAGCAAATGGGGAGAATGAAAAGATGTTTTAGGTGAAGAAATGGATTGTGTGAAAAATAGAAGAAAAAGATATCTGTGTGTCAAGAAAATGACAAGAATTTAGTAGAATGAAGGGAGAGATAATAGTTGAGAGGGAGTAGGGGTCAGTCTTAATGAGGAACAAAATTGTGGGTAATTTGAGAGTCAAGACAAGTATTTATTCACACCAATGCTGTACAAGTGTTGGGACATTGATGAATGAGATAGACAAGACCTTTCCTTTGTGGAGCTTATATTACAATGGGGGTGGGCATAGACTGTAAACAAATCAATGGATTAAACAAAGAAATAATCTATATTTTTAGTGCTCTGAAAGACATACACTGGGCTGTTTTGGGAAATAGAGGCAAGGTCCCCTGCAGACAGGATGTTTGGGGAAACCATCCCTGGGGACGTAGTGTTCAAGCCGGACAAACTAAATGATCAGACACAGGGATGCAAGGAGCATGGCTGAAGAGCTTGGTCCATCTCTATACCCCCAACTCTGCCCAGTAGAGGTGAGGTGCTCACTGCCCACCTAAGAGATATTCACTTTAATGCTTTTACTTTTTAAAAGAAAGAATGAGCTTAAATTATGCTCAGAGAGAGCTTTATTTAGATACAGCAAGATCTGCCTCAAGTTTATGAAAGAGATTTGTGTATAGTCCCTGACTTACAATGGTTCAACTTTGGATTTTTTGACTTTGGGATGGTGCAAAAGTGATCCACATTCAATAGAAACTGTACTTTGAGCACCCATACAATCATTCAGTTTTTCAGTTTCAGTGCAGTATTCAATAAATTACATGAGATGTTCAACACTTTCTTAGAAAATAGGCTTTGAGTTAGATGATTTTGTCCACATATAAGCTAATGGAAGTAAAACAACACATTTAAGTCAGACTAGACTAAGCTATGATGTTCTATGGGTTAGATGGATTAAATGCATTTTTGATTTACCGTATTTTCAATTTAAGATGGGCTTATCAGGAAGCAGCCTCATCATAAGTCAAAGAGCATCTGTGCATTCCTAGAGAGAACACCACTTTGGGTTTTTCCATGTCCACAAACTGCCCAGTCCAGGGATATATGCAGAACAGCAAATAAGGACGACTATCTTAAATGGTAAGCTGTAATATTCGGTGCATGGCTGTGAACTGATGTCTTCAGGCATTGGACTGAGGATGGGTCATATGCCTTCTAGACTAGAGAGTCTTTTAACCCTAACTCTTGAGGCAAGTTGGCATCTTCAATGAGGCCAGCTACCTCCCATAATGCACCTGCTATAGCTTCCCCATTCTTTTGAGACCTGAAAGTAAATTATTCTAACATATCTTATCTATGAATAAGTAAGTGAAGAGGCACTTGAATCACAGAAGAGAAAAAGATAATGGTACATGGTTTTTCTTATTCCATTTAAGAAGTCTTCTCAAACTATAAATTTTATTTTGATAATATTGGCACCATCTGTTCTGGAACCAAAAATTATTCAAGGATAAGAAAGAATAACAGAATAAATTAAAATTCCAGGACTAAAGATATTTGAACAAATTTTAAGTTAAATTTCCAGAAGTGAAGAGCAAATAGTAACAACAGTTTTTTTGCCATGCACTAGGCTCTTATGGTAAACACTTTTTACTCCTCCCTTTACTTGATCCTGGTGATAATATTGGTTGTCAATAGTATGTATTATTCTTTCCTTTCTGCAGTTGAGGATGTTTTAGCAAAAGACTTTTAACAATGAGTCTAAGGTCCCACAGTTAGTAAGTCACTAACCTGGAATTTGAACCCAGGAGACCTGTTGACTATCACACTCTTAACTGCTGCTATGATGTTCTCCTGGGACAGCTCCTGGTCTCCAGTGAAAGCTAGAAACATTATTGTCACTAGCCCAGGAGTCCACACACTTTTTCTACAAAGGGATCAGATGGTAAATATTTCTTACCTTGTGAGCAATATAGACATTATCTGTCCTAGCTTCTCAACTCTGCTGTTGCAGGGTGAAAGCACCACAGACAATATGTAAAGAAATAGAGTGACTGTGTTTAAGTGAAACTTATTAAAATCTATATAATTGTGTGTATCACAACATATTACTCTTCTTTCGATTTTTTTCAACCATTTTAAAATAAAAACACTATTCTTAGCTTATGGGCCTAACAAAAATTGATGGTGGGTCTGATTGGCCCATGGGCCACAGTTTCCAATGCCTGCCCTCATCTGTAAGTTCCCTGAGCAAAATAACCTGCTTCAACAATAGCAGTTACTGACTAGTGAAGACAGAAAGAGGCAGGGAAGAGGAACAGGGAAAAAAAGAAATGAAGAAGAAAGAAGAAAGAAAGAAAGAAAGAAAGAAAGAAAGAAAGAAAGAAAGAAAGAAAGAAAGAAAGAAAGAAAAAGAAAGACAAAAGAAAGAAAGAAAGAAAAAAGCTAATTGCATCTTTTTAGCTTTGACTTTAGATAATTATTGGTACAACTTAACAAAATAATAATTTAGTAATATGTATACAAATTTCTCATCTTACTAAAAAACACCTTGAGAAATATATCAGAAGAAAGCAAGTACATAAAGGTATATGTGCAAAGATGTTCATGTTTTATTATTTGCAAACAGAAAAAAATTCAGAGTCCTAAACATTCAGTAATAGTGGATTGATTAACTAATATTACCATGGAAGATTAAGCCTCCGTTAAATGATTATGTAAATGTCTACTTTTTGACATAGAAAGAAGCTTGTGATATAAGAAACGAAAATTGCAGAACACAAAACATTAGGTATTATCTGAGCCCATTTTTGCAGGACATATAGTTCTATGTACATATACACGAGGGAAACTGGAAAACTGTGTAACAAGATATTCACATTGGTTACTCCTGGATCTAATGAGTATGAATTTTTATGCATTTTACTATATTTGCAAAAAATTGCATTATTAGAAGGTGTTGCTTTTAAGATCACAAAAATATAGGTTACAAAAATAGAATAAACAAAATTAATTTGGAGGATCTCGGCTTTGTGTCATGTATGAAATATTTCATCCAAAAATATCCAGAAAATACAACTCCCTTCAGATTCTTAGAGTGTCATGCTGCTTTCTTCCATTTTCTCCTGAACTACATATTAAATCTGTGCTTTCTTCTCATTGACGGTTGAATTCATAACCTCCTCCCCTCCTGCTTCGGTAACCTGCCATCTGTCTTCCTTCTGACCTGCTGGGGACTCACAGAAACATTTGTTCTCTCGAAAGCATGGCACTTGGGAACAATGTCGGGGGAGACATGGTATTTTTATTGCTTTTCTTCTGTTTTCCTTTCTCTGGGTCCTCCTTTTTCTCTCAAACTTTGCACCAGTGGGACCCATGCATGTGCTTGCCCCCACACTCTGTCAGCCTCCAGAGTCACATTCTCAACTGGACAGTGACAGCAGCCATCCTGGTTGTGATTTATCTTCACAAGTTGCCAAATCACTCTTGGTAGCATGTCTGTGCTTGGTGAATAATGAGAGAGACCTACCATCCATCTAAGGACAAAACAATGTGAGCAGTTACATTTAAATTTAGCTATTTTTCTCCCTCAGCTTATTTCTTATTTTCTGATTGAAAGGGGCCTATCTAAGGGCCTTTGTGGTAAATACCCAAATAATTGTGTCACATAGACAGAGGATCATTTTTCACCGGAGTCAGCGATCACTGTGGATCAGCCACCATCCTGAAGTTGCCAACACTGCTCAAACTCTGGTCTCTTAATAGCAATTTCCCTGGACCTTCAGAAAAGACTCATCTCAATGGCTTCCTATTAACTACTGAGGAGCAGGTTATTGAACCAGTCATGTGGGCTGAAAATTGCAAGAAGATGCAATCTCTATATAAGATAACATTTGGTATCTGAGTATGTCTCCCTGATAAGCAATAAAAGCAGGATGAAATACATAAATATAATATCCACCTGATGTGATGGCAGTGACGGGTGGGGAGAGGAGGCTTTGAGGACACACAGACCTGAGTTTGAATCCTTGCTTAGCCACTTGCCATCGAGTAATTTGACTTTGGAAAAATAAAGTATTCTCTGCACCTGCTCTCTCATCTATAAGATGGATTATTCACCTATTTGCAGAAGAGGATTGTTATGAAGATGTGGCAGATTATGTTTTCTAAAGATGGCAGTAAAAAGATCTCCTGGCCTATTCTTTTCTAGAACATATCCATTGCCTCCATCCAGAAGAAGAGTTTAATTTTTCTTTCCTTGAATTTGGACAGGCTTTTGACTTACTTATAACCAATGGGATGTAGTGGAGGTTATTCTGTATGCCTTTTGAATATAGAGCATAAAAATCCTACATCTTCTGCCTTGTTAGATGAGGTATTCACATTTGGAATCTGGTGCTACTATGTAAGAAGTTCAAGCACCCTGAGGCTGCCTTGTTAAGAGGAAGCTCAAGCAGCCTCATGGAGAAGCCACATGTGGGTGTTACTGCCAACAGACCCAACTGAGGTTCCTACTAATGGTCAGCATTAACTGTCAGCTACACGAAAGGAGACATTCCAGATAATTCCAGCTGTCAACCATCAAGTCACTTCCAGTATTCTAGTTTTCCTAGCAGAAACCCCAGACATTGTGACTAGCTAACCCTTTGTGCTCTTTTCAGTATCCTCACCCTCACAATCTGAGAATACATGAAAATGGTTGATTTAAGCCACTAATTTTTGGGGTGATCTTTTATTTTATGCAGCAATAGTAACAGGAAAATAATATTAGGAAAGTAAAATTCTTTAAAGCCAGCAGCATATAGAAAGATCTTCAATAAGTGGCAATTCTAATTATTTGCATGATTTTCTTCTCTGAACTAGATTTCAGATATGACAAAGAGGTGGTAAAACAGTAATTCAGGAGCCTCCACCTCTAAAGGATGGAGGGGAAAAGTATCCGTTCAGCTTTTGTTCATTCATCCATGCCTGTAAGTGATATTTATTGGACACGTACATAGGGTATTGTATTATATAAAAATTCAGTGTGCCTACAATGTATATTTGATATATAAAAGCAAACATGGATTGGGGAACTATTAGGTAATATTAACTCCTTGAATTTTTACAGAGGATTTTTTATATCAGCTAAAATATTGATTTGTCATTAAGCAATAATAAATGTATAAAATAATAAAATAAACTGTCATATAAAAATAAGACATTACAAATAAACTGAAGGTGCTTGTGGTACATTCCCCTACCACGCTCCTCCCCAGCTGTGGTACTGTATCAATTTGTTGACTTTTCTTCCAAACAATTTTCTAGTAAATTTTTTCTTAGCACACATCTGTAACAGCCAGAATTTCCTTTGTATTTTTATACATGTGTATGTACCTATAGAAAATACAAATATAGTTTTGTGTTTTCTGAACCTTTTGGTTGTTTAAAAAAAGCTTCATGTGGTACAAGATGTTTGTGCAACTTGTCTTTTTCTCTAAAAAATATGTGTTGAAGATTTGTTTATGTAGGTGATATGTCTTGGCTGGGTCCTCACCCAAATCTTATCTTGAATTGTAGCTCCCATAATTCCCACATGTGGTGGGAAGGACCTAGTGGGAGGTAATTGAATCATGGGAGCAGTTTTCTCCATACTATTCTCGTGGTAGTGAATAAGTTTCACAAGAGCTGATGGTTTTATAAGGGGTCTCCCTTTTGCTTGGTTCTCATTTCTCTCTTGTCTGCTGCCATGTAAGACGTGCCTTTTGCCATCCACCATGATTGTGAGCCCCCCCCCCAGCCACGTGGGACTGTGAGTCCATTAAACTTCTTTTTCTTTACAAATTACCCAGTCTTGGGTATGTCTTTATCAGCAGTGTGAAAACAGACTAATACAGTAGGTACATAGAGGTCTATTTTCTTCTTCTTCACCACCACATCCCGTTTCACTCTTGCACACTTACTTAGCAGTCCCCTTGCTGATGGACATGTAGGTTGCTTCCTGTTGTTCCACTTCCCCCAAAGAATGTGATGTACTTCCTTGCACGTGTCTCTGTGTCCATGTTTGAAGGTTTCTCTAGGGCACAAGCAGAGAACAAATGACGTGGCCCAGATCATGGGTACTTTCATTTTAAAGAGACATCATCATTCTATCCAGTGACATAAAACAGTATCCACTTCTCTGTACTTTGCCATCAATTAAACATGTGGTTAATGAAAACAATAAATGAATGGATGATGAATAAATGAATGATCAACACTCCAGAAAATCTAACACTTAGAATGTACATGACTCCTGGCATGGAATGCAGGTGACCCTTGTCAGAAGCGGGCTTGCCCCTTTTCTCTAATAACCTAGGAGACAGGATGGACATGTAGAATCCTTGCCTTGTGGATAGAAGTATTTCAGAGAGCCAGATGAACATTCAAAAAAAGTAAAAATATTGGTTTTCAGGCTGCTGTCCTGTGGTGCTAAGGACAGGGAGGGGGTTGGGGGAAAAGCATAAGGCAGAAAAACATGACACAGAAACAGAATTGTTTCCTAATAAAAAACCTCTCAAAGTTTTCCACGAGGCCCTGTCAGCAGCTCTTCAAGCAACACGGCTTATTTTAAATTTTATTTAAATCAACAAATTGTACACACTTGAATACGGAAACAGAATACAGGGAAAACACAAGCTGCCCTAACAGAGTAACGTCTAATAAACATTATGCTACTCGGAGATATTTGCTGCTTAATCACCCCATGAAAGGACGCATTCAGCCAAAAGATGTCAGATAACATCTTGCTAAAGGCAATGGTGCCAGTTTTCCTGGCTTCGAAGTTCATGCAGCTAGTTTTTTCCCCCTTCTTCTCCATTTGCTTTAAAAAAATTTTTTTTTCTTTAAAAGTATGAAGCTTTGAGACGCTGTGTCTCTTGGATTACTCAGGAGATAAGGCATTTGTGCTTTGAGTAATGACAGCAATAACTGTTTACTGAATAATTTTTGTGTCAAGACTGACTGTATACTTTGTGGAGCCCCATGCAAATGGGAATGTGGCGCCCACTATTCGACAATTATTGAGAATTTCAAGACGGCAGAGCATTACCCAAAGTACAGGTCCCTTCTCCGTGGAACTGTGCAGATGGCATGTCCATGAAGCTGGCTCCGACTGGGTTAATTCTTCACATCTGTGGCCATCTGAAGAAGATCTTATCTTCCCAGCAGCAAAAGCTTTCCTTCTTTTCCTGCTCCAAGAAAAGGCAAAGTGACTGGGTTGATGGGACTCCACGGGACTAACAATGGTTGGCCCCTGAACTGTTTTCTAAGGATGGAATCAGCGAAAACTGCCTGGCTTTTGTTTTGCTGGCCAGATCATGCAAGCTGTGAATTGAATTACTAGGGAAAGGAGAAAAATAGTTGAGAGGCAGTGTTGGGAATGTTAGGCTGAAGGAAAAACAAAGAGAACTAGAAGACGTCGGGGCCCATAGTGGAACTTTGAGAAATGAACAGATGCGTTTAAAAGGTAATTTTTTAAATGATGTTTTGGTGCATAGTGGGTGATATAAGTCCTCTTCCTCTCTCCCCTCAATATCTTCAGTAAAATCTACTTTCATCACTACAGCAATGAGGAAGAAGGTGATAATATGCTGTGTATATTCTAAATGTGGTTAAAAGGAAAGCTCAAAGGCTACCCATTAGATAATCATCATATTTGGGTTACACACAAATTATTTCTTTTAATTGTCTCAACAAAGCAATGAAAACATCATACAACTTCATGTATCCATTTTCTATTAAGTGGTTGGATTTTTTTAAAATACTGATTTACAGAAACTCATTACATATTAAGAAAACTAGTTCTTTCTTATATGAGTCGCAAAGATTTTTGCCATTTGTTCTTTTGTTTTGTGTAATTTTTCCCATGTAAATTCTTTTTTAAAATAATCATATTAGTTTCTTAAGGTTGTTGTGTTAAACTACCACCAATAGAGTGGCTGAAAACAACAGAAATGTATTATTTTACAGTTCTGAAAGCTAGAAGTCCAAAATCAAGGTGCTGGCAAGGCCATGTTCCTTCCAAAGGCTCTAGGGAAAATCTTTCCTTGCTTCCTCTAGCTTCTGCTGGTTTCTGGCAATCCCTGGCCTTCCTTGGTTTGCGGCAGCATCGCTCCAATCTCTACCTTTGTCTCCACGAGACCTTCTTTCCTGAGTAACTGCATACACAAATTCCCCCCATCTTTTAGGGACACTAGTCATTGGATTAGGATGCATCCCGATCCACCATTATCTCAACTTAACTTGATTATATCTGCCAAAACCCTCTGTCCAAATAGCTCACATTCATAAGTCCTGATGGCTGGGTTTTGAGCATGTCTTTTTTGAGGGACAACAAAGTTTATATAGTCCACAACAATATATAGTTAAATGTATTCATCTTTTCTTTCATGGCTACTTGGTGTAGTGTTGTTTTTGTAGAAGAGCCTTTTTGTCCTGTGATAATGATAAAAGTTCTTCCATTTCATTTTTTAGTAAATAATAGCTCATTTTAATGGTTTACATTTAAAGGCTTGAACATTTGGCATAAGTTTTAGTGTAATGAGCAGGGCAGGATTTCATTTTGTTTTTAATCAGGCAGCTATTCCGATACCTTAACGTCATATATTTAATAATCAGTATTTTCCAAACTGATTTTAAATGTCACTATTGTCACATAATACATTTCCATATTTATTTGTGCCATATTTCTAGACTCGATTCTATTCCATTGATCTGTTTTTTTCTGCTCTAGTACCACCACATTTTAATCATTTTACTTTTAGAATATGTTTCAGAATTTTCCTAACTGTTCCTATCGATATATTTTTAATTGAACTTTAGAATTAGATTTTCTAGTTCAAAAAAGTGATAGCATTTCTCCTGAAATAATATTAAATATATAGATTTACTTATCAAAAAGTGACGTCATGCAATTATTCTTTTTTCCCCAAGTCTTCTAAGTCCCTTAGCAGCGATTTAAAGTCTTCTTAAAAGTCTCTCTCATTGCTTTTTAAGCTTAATATTAGAAGAGATTATCTATCAAGAAAAGATATTGACTTTCATCAAAAGTCTTTCAGCGTTTATGATGACACTGTCATTTTTCTTTTGATCTATTGATATAGGTTTTTAAAATACTAAATTGTTCCTGGATATTTGGAAGTCATGATTTAAATTCTTATTCTCACACTTAATAGCTTTGTTTCCGTGTGAAAATTGCTTCATCTTACTGAGACAATTTCCTGTAAAATGGGAATAATTGTAGAGCTGTCATTTTTGCCTGCTTGGATCATTCTCCTTCATAGTGAAACACCATCCCCATTTGTCTCTGGAGGAGTAAGTCTTCCTCACTCTTGGTTCATGTGGTGTGAGAGGAGTTGACTCTTCCCCAGATCCAGGGGGACAATTAACACAGGGCTGCTGATCAGGGCACCTTACTTCTCCCACCACTGCAACAGTGATTTAAGAATAACACAAGCTGGGCCAGTTACTGGGGATCTTACTGCTTATGCGAAGCTTCTGGGACGTGAATGTAGAGTTTTGATTCATGGAATTGTCAACACTTAGGAAGGGTCTGCCTGAGAATGAAATTGCAGAGGAAATCAAAGCCGAGAACAAGAGAGAAACAGAGAGATTTGATGAAATGCTTTGAAAACTTGGAACCAGCACTCTCTGTTTACTGCCTGAGTATTTAGTCAAACAACAACAACAACAAACACAACAACAAAAATAATAGTAGTTACAATAACTAACTTTTTTGAATGTTTGCTATAGATCAGATACCATTCTGAGTACCTTTCATGCATGAGCCCTTTTAGTCTCCATAATAATACAATGAGGTGAGTGTTATTATTATTATCCCATTTTCAGATGAGAAAACCAAGGCCCAAGGGGTTTTAACAACTTTCTCAATATCACAGGGATGGTAAATGGCAGGGTCAGGACTCATGTCCAGGTCACCTTGCTCTAGCATCTAGGTAGTCTGCTTGTGCCAGTCAAGGAGCTTTCTGTCTACAGGCTACTGGAGAAGGGTTTCTGCCACCAGCAATAATGCAGTTTTAATCATAAAATCATAATACCTACCTTGTAAAGTCGATGAAAGACTTAAATGGTTTGTAGATGTGAATTCACTTAGTGCACTGTCTGCCACATAACAAGTGTACAGATGTTAGATGTTGCTGTCTCAATTGAATCATTGAGTCTTACTGTCCAAACTGCTCAGAGAAGCAGAGAGGAGTAGAGACAGTAGGCTTTTTGGAAGTACTTATATAGTTATTAGTCTTGCCTGAGTTCTGAGAAATGGACTTCATCTGGAATTACAACCTCACTTGCCTAAGGGGCCAAGAAGTTGGTGTAAATCACTATTTCTGAACTTTGGTACTGCTGGCATTTTGCAACCAAAAATTCTTGGCTGCGTGGGCTGTAGTGTGCACTTTAGGATGTTAGCAATATCCTCAGCATCTACCTGCTAGATGTGGGTAGCACCTCCTCACCCATCATGTGATGATCAAAAATGTCAAAAATCAAAAACTGAGACATTGCCAAATGCCCCTTGAAGGACAAAATTATCCTCAGTCGGGAACCACTGGTGTAAATGAATGAAGCCCATGCTTACATTGTGTGAGTCCCGGTGCTTGTGTCATTGTGAAGGATGGCCCTGTCTGTCTAGAGAGGCAGCCACTGCTTGGCTCCACCTGGCTGCTGCAGAAGGGGAAAATAGACCCATTATTGTCAGATCACCCAGATTTTCAAGAGAAATCCAGGGTCTAGTCATATATATATATATATATATATATATAGTCATATATATATTTATCTAGTCATATATATATATTTATGTACCCCATATATATATATGTACCCCATATATAGATATATATTTATGGGGTACATGAAATGTTTTGTTACAGGCATGCAATGCAAAATAAGCACATCATGGGGAATGGGGTATCTATCTCCTCAAGCACTTATCCTTTGAGTTACAAACAATCCAATTATATTCTTTAAGTTATTTTAAAATGTACAATTAAGTTATTATTGACTACAGTCACCCTATTATGCTATCAAATAGTAGGTCTTATTCATTCTTTTATTTCCTTTTGTACCATTAATCATCCCCACCTCCCCCCAACAACCCCCTACTAACCTTCCCAGCTTCTGGTAACCATCCTTCTATCTCTATATTCATGAGTTCAATTGTTTTTGATTTTTAGATCCCACAAATAAGTGAGAAGACGTGACATATGTCTTTCAGTGCCTGGCTTATTTCACTTAACATAATGATCTCTGGTTCCATGCAAATTGTTGCAAATGTCTAGATCTCATTCTTTTTTATGGCTGAATAGTACTCCATTGTATATATTACCACATTTTGTTTTTCCATTCATCTGTCGATGGACATTTAGGTTGCTTTCAAATCTTAGCTATTGTGAACAGTGCTGCAACAAACATGGGAGTGCAGATAGCTCTTTAATGCTCTGATTTCCTTTCTCTTGGATATACACCTAGCGATGGGATTGCTGGATCATATGGTAACTCAATTTTTAGTTTTTAGAGGAACCTCAAAACTGTTCTCCATCGTGGTTGTGCTAATTTACATTCCCACCAACAGTGTACAAGAGCTCTCATTTTTTAGGTTTTTAAACATTGGTCCCCATTTATTTAACTTGATGTAGGCCAAATGAAAGACAAGACCTCTGTGGCCATGTTTGTCCTCCTGGCTGCCCGTGTGCAAGATTTGGCCTGGAGGATTTCCCAAGTTGCTATTCCAGAGGTCTCTGTGATGCTGGACAGGGTTCCCTTTTCTTATGTACCATTGTCCCCAAGAATGCTGCCTTTCAAGACAGTTGGGTATTTAATTCTCTTAATTGGTTAGGTTTGTGTTGCTCCCTTAAACAGAAACATATTTTTAAGTTGTCCGTTGGTAACGTGAATTCTAGAGTGAGTAAAATGAAAAGGATTACTTAGAAGATGCTCTCTCTGCGGAGATTTCAACTGGAGACCTCTATCTTTTTACCTATCTCAATTTCTGGTGTCTGTGGATGTTTTCATCGCTTGTAAATGTTGGAACTTCAAGAACTCCTTTAAGTTAGTTCACCAATGTGGACAATTTATTATAAAGATATAGGGGAATTTCTTGGAACCTATACATGACATGTGTAATCAAACCTCAGAAGGGATCAGAAATGCATTTTTCTTTTTCTGTGAAGCTTTTATTTTGGGCAGACGGCAGGGCAGGGGGCTCAGTCCTCCTTGGCAGCTGCTTTCCTCCTGGCAGTCATGCTCAGCTCCTCCCACTTCCTCTTTGTGGAGATGTGCATCCTCACCCTTTTCTTGATGAACTTGAGGGCCCATTTGTCCTTGGAGACCTGGGCTAACTCCATGGCGTGCCACGCACATGGAGCAAAGCCATTCACCTCTCAGATCATGTCCTGCATGAACTTGGTATGTTTGGTCAGGTGCTGTCTTGTGTCAAGTGACATTATTCTCTTGTTTTCTTAGATGTATCTTTTATTCATTTTTCTTCCTCCAGAGAATAGCATTTTCTCTTTTCTTAAGCACATGGCTGCCCCCTTCCTGGAGTTATATACTGCTCAGGCTTCAATATGAATTTTCTATGAGAGAATGTGATTAAATCAGTTGGAGATAGGCCTCAACCCATGAGTCCATCATGCTATGACAGTATCACAAAGCCACATGATCCACTCTATGGTATGAGGTACTTGCTTTGCTTGTGCTGAATCTCCAAAACCTAGAATCATGCCTGGCATATAGGCACACTTATGGTCTCTTCTCTCTTCATACATCCTCCTTGTGTGACCTCATCCAGGCTCGAGACTTAAAATATCATCTACATTCTGCTGATGCTGAAACTGTCATCCCTTGAGTCAAATTGAACTCCCTTGACATCTTCACCCAGATTAAGGCATCTAACATTTAGGCATTTAGACTAAACTTGTCTAAAACCAAACTCTTTCTCCAAAATATGTGCTCTTCACCTCTAGGGATGAGTCTTTTTTCATCTCAGTAAATGATACCCCCATGCTGCTGCTGCTCAGACCTGCAGCTTTGCAGGCATCTTTGGCACCTGCCCTTCTGTGACTCTCCACTTCCAAGTTATCCTTAAATCCCATTGGCTACAGAACCTGGCCAGTTCTCACTGCATCACAACTATGATTCGGTCAGAGTCACAGTTATCTCTCAGCTGGATTGCATCAATAAATAGTCGGCTAACCAGTTTCACTGCCCCCTGGAATCTGGAATGTTGTTGTAAAAATATTAGTCAGATCATGTCATGCCTTGGCTTTCTTTTTATTTTTTATTTTTTTGAGACAGAGTTTCACTCTTGTTGCCCAGGCTGGAGTACAATGGCGTGATCTCGGCACACTACAACTTCCACCTCCTGGGTTCAAGCTATTCTCCTGCCTCAGCCTCCTGAGTAGCTGAGATTACAGGCACCCACCACCATGCCAAGCTGATTTTTGTATTTTTAGTACAGATGGGGTTTCACCATGTTGGCCAGGCTGGTCTCGAACTCCTGACCTGAGGTGATCCACCCTCCTCGGCATCCCAAAATTGCTGGTATTACAGGCAGGAGCCACCGTGCCCAGCTGGCTTTCAAAACCGTCTAATGGCTTCCAATATCCTTCAGAGTGAGAGCCTAAATATGCTAAGATGCCAGAAGGTCTGCGTCGTCTGCTCTCCTTCCTTCCCCTTTCTGTATTTCTGCTTTTCACTGTCTGTTTATTCACCTTTCTTCTCCAGCCACAGGGGCCTCCTTGCTATTTCTCAGATGAGGATGCTCCATCCCAGGGACTTTGCATCTCCTTCTCCCCATGTCTAGGGAGAACAGATATGGGCATAGTTTCCCTCTGCCTTTTTTCATATTACTTCTTCAGCATCTTGGTGAGGTCTTCCCCAGCTCCCTATATAAAGCAGCATGCCTATCACCCCCGGGACACTCCAGTCCCTTCCCTTTCCTCCCCGCCCTCAGAGTATTTGTCACTATCTTTTGGTTATTGTCAATTTCTCCCACTAAAATACAAGTTTATAAGATCATAGACAGTAACTGTTTTTTTTTAACTTTTATTTTAGGGTAATTTTAGCTTTATTAAATAGTTGCAGAGATAGTACAGAGAATTCCCATGTACCCCTCACCCAGTTTCCCCATTTGTTAACATCGTACATGACGGTAGAATGTTGTATTTGTTACCTTTGATGAATCAACATTGATGCATCACTGTGCATTCAAGTTTATAGTTTATTCAAATGTTCTTAGTTTTTACCTGATTTTTTTTCTGTTCCAGGCTCCCATCCTGGTTCCCACATTACACTGAGTCATCATGTCTCCATAGGCTCCTCCTGGCTGTGACTGTTTCTCAGATTTTTCTTGTTTTTGGTTGCCTTGAGAGTTGTCAGCGGTAATGGTCAGGTATTTCATAAAATATCCCTGAATTGGGTTTGACTGATGTTTTTTGTGATTAGACTGAAGTTATGGGTTTGGGGAAAAAGACCACAGAGGTAAAGTGTCATTTTCATCACATCATATCAAAGGCACATGCCATCAGCATGATTTATCACTGTGATACTGACCTTGAGCACCTGGCTGAAGTTGTGTTTTGTCAGGTTTCTTCACTGTTAAGTTACCATTCTAACCCCCTACCCTTCCTTTATACTGTGGTTTTTGGAGGGAAGTCACTATGCACAACTCATGCTTATGGAGGGGCAGTTATGCTCCACCTAAGTGAAAGCAAAATATCTATATAACTATTTGGAATTCTTCTGCACAGAAGATTGTCTTTTGTGCCCCATTTATTTATTTGTTCAGTCATTTATTTATATCAGTATGTATCATAGATATTGATTTTAGACTTTGTCTATAATCTAATACCACCTAACTTAGTTGCTCACATTGTTTCAGCCTGGCCTCCTGGGAGCTCTTTTGGTTTGCTTCTGTATCCTTCAGCATACTGTTATTATTGTGGGCTTCTTTTTAAAGCATTTTCTTACTTTTTGATAATGCAAGATGCTCCAGGATCATCTTGTATATTCCGGTCCCAGTCCTAGAATCAAACATTTCTCCACAGAGTCCTGGCTCCTTGTACTAGAAAATAGCATTTAGAAACCAAGATCTAGGTGCTAGGTGTGCTCATTGCTACTGAATGTTATTTCATTTAGATTCTATAGTTGACAGAGCAAGGAAATGTATGTGTGTGTATTAATGTGTTTATATACACATATCTATAAATATTTCTATGTGTAACCATCTATTTGTAACCATTTCTATAGTGTAACCAACTATATCAAGCTAAACATGAATTTATATTGACGTCTACAACTCTAATTAATTACTGAATGGATCATTCTCATCTTCTCCTCTTGCTTGTTTGTAACAGTGTCTTTTGTTTTTTTTTTTAGTGTCTATTTTACAGAATAGTGCCCAGACAGAGTAGGTAGTCAATCAATATTTGTTGAATGAATTTGTTGAGTAAATTTGAGAAGGAATGAATCAATGTAGTCTGCCCCTCCCTACTAAGCAGAGAAGACCTTAAAAGAGAGAGTGTGGAAAGTACTTTGACGTGGTGGTGCATGCCTGTAGTCCCAGCTACTCAGGAGACTGAGGCAAGAGAATTGCTTGAACCTGGGAGGCAGAGGTTGCAGTGAGCTAAGATTGCGCCACTGCACTCCAGCCTGGGTGATAGAGGGAGACTCCATCTCAAAATAAATAAATAAATAAAAGGTGCTCTAAGGATCAAAGGAATAAAAAGTATTTGCTTCTCTGTAATAATAGTGTCAGCAGTACTTTTTCAATTTCAGCCCTTATTGCTCTGACTATTGTCAGATGCTACACTGAGAGTATTTAGTAATGTAAAAACATTAATTTTTAAAAAGTTATTTCAGGCCAACTCCAATCTGACTATACAAAAATGAGAAAACTGGCCAATTTCTTCAGTTTTCTCAAAACATGCACCTCAAATTTCCACTCCTAGCCATGATGAAGGACCTAATATCAGATTGGTCTCCTTTCATGAACAACTAGAAAACTGAACAAAATATAGGAAGCAATTTATTTTCAGACATTAAGTGATGTGTAGCACAGGACTGTGATCTTTGAGAGGAAAAAAACAATCGAGATGAGCCACGTGATCACTCTGGACTTCTGCTCGCCATGTTCCGGACTACAGTTTAGGAGGGTCAACCCAAGCAGATTATAATGGTCTTGCTGAATTGAGGAAAAAAGCCTCAATATTTTGGGGAGGAAGAATGGATGGAATTTGTGGGGCAGAATCCTAAAAGAAAAGAGCTCCAGAAATCTGCAGAGCATCTTCTTGAAACTTGAACTAATATTAAGTTAGTTGTGCACTGACTGAAACTACACAAGGGTGAACAAAGAATGATTACCAAATAGAAAATAAATAAGCCAGAGTTCAGTGTTAGGAGATATTTGAGTTCCAACACAACAGAGAGGTGAGATCGAGTTGAATACACAGGGTCTGCACAACGACCCCCCAAAGTGTGTTACAATAGCAGTAGGGCTAAACTAGCCTGAAGGTAGAAAGTAATCAAGGCTAACCAATCCATTTTGGGCTGGGTAATTCTTGTGTGTGTGTAGCCGTTGTGTGCATTGTTTACTAGCATTCCTGACTTCTACCAACTTGATGCAGTAGTACCCTCCATGTAGCGGTGACAACCAAAAGGGCCTCCATATATTGCCAAATGTCCTATGGGGACAGAAGTGAAAAATTACCATCAGTTGAGAAGTACAGATTTAGACCAATCCGAATAAACTTAAAAACAAGCCTCCAAAGAATCAAACTGATATGCAAGCAATTTAACCAACTTCCAAACACTCTTTAAGGAAGACCACAAAATATAGTCACTCAACAATGTAAAATAATGTTCAGCATCAAGTAAAAGTCACTTGGGAAACAAAAAAGGCCAGAATAATATGGAGTCTCAGAAATAACCAAGGTGATGTAATTAGTAGACAAGGACTCTAAAAAAGCTATTATAATTATACTCAAGCATTTAAAAAACATGTATGAGAAAAGAAATTAAATATATTAAAAGTGGAAAACCAAATGGAATTTTGGCGGCTAGAAATATAATACTTGAAATTAAATATATGTAATTTTTCAATACTTAAAATTAAATATATACTACATATATATTACACATAAACAAAAGATTAGATGCTGAAGAAGAAAAGTATGTTGAATTTGGAGACATATCTATAGAAAATATCTAAATTAAATCACAGAGAACCCCCACAACAAAAGATGAGATTCTCAGTGTCATGTGGGACAATAGCAGGTGGTCTAATTTACGTATTATGGGGGTCCCAGGAAATGAAAGAAGAGAAAAGAAAATATATTTGAGAAAAATAATTGCCAAAAACTTTCCAAAATTACTGGAAATTATGAATCCTGACATTTAAATATCCCAATAAACCCAGAGCAAAGTAAACATGAGTAAAGCTACACAAAGTTATATCATAATCAAATTGCTAAAAACCAGTAATGAAAAGGAAATCTTAACAGTATATAGAGGGGAAAAAAAAGACACACAAAATAAACACTACAAAGATAAGCACACTTCTGATTTCTCATCATAAATACAAGCCACAAAACAATGAAGCAACCCCATTTACTGGTGAAAGAAAAAAAGAAAAGGTTAACCTAGAATTCTATAACCAGTGAAAATATTCTTCAAAAATAAAGAGAAAAAAGACACTTCATTCCAATTCAACCTGAGAGAATTTGTCCCCAGCAGACCCTCACCCCAAGAAATTTTTGTTTATTTTTTTCCTAGAAAAACTTTTTCAGGCTGATAGGAAATAATACCAGATGCAATTGAATCTCCAGTGCCAAAATTGAAAGACAGGTAGGTAAATACAAAAGGCATTCTTCTCATTTAAAACATTTCTTTTATATAGTTTCAATTACAAAATAACTGACTTTAAAGCAAATAATAGCATGTATTTTGAGTTTGTTACAAATGTGAAAGTTAAGTGTGTAACAACATTAGTACAGTAGACAGAGTGGAAGAAATGGAAGAATATACTATTTTAAGATTCTTATTTCATGTTAAGTAGTATATTATTATTTGAAGTTTGTGATAATTTAAAGGTACATATTATAAACCTAGAAATACCACTAAAAGGAAAACAAGTATAGGTAATAAGCCAATAGAGGATATATAAAATAGTTTAAAAATCCAATTAATCCAAAGGAGGTAGGAAAAGAGAAAAAAGGAAGGGAAGAAAGGTGGGGCCAATAGAAATATAAAGAGCAAGACGGTAGACTTAAACTCAGATCAATAATTTTATTAAATGTAAATGGTCTAAACACCCTGATACAATTTTAGAGATAAAAAGTAAAACTCTCTGTATCTATCTACAAGATTCGCTCTTAAAATCTGCAGATTCAGATAAGTTAAAAGAAAGGATAAATAAGGATCTGCCATGCAAATGGTAATAAGAAAATTGGAGTGAGTTCATTAATATCATTTGAAGTAGACTTTAAGGATAAAGAAGGGCCATTTTTAATGATAAAATGTTCGGTTCATTAAGAAGGCAAGACAATTCTAAATATGTATGCACCCAATAAGCAGAGTTGCAAAATACATTAAACAAAATTGCCAGAAGCAAAAGGAAAAACAAATCCACAACTAGTGTTGGAGACTTCAATACTTCTCCGTTTCTGTGAAAAGATTAAAAAAATTGAAACCTGTTGCTAGATTTATCAGGAAAAACAGAGAGCAGAACTGAATTACCAGTATTAGGATTTTAAAGAAAGGAATTCCTACAGATCCTTCAGACATTAAGTTGATAATAAGTGACTATGACGAACGACATTGTGACAATCAATTTGACAATTTAGAGTGAGTGGACGAATTCCTTGAAAGCCACAAATTATCTAAGAGACACAAAAAGAAATAGAAAAATCTGAATAACCCTGGTTATTGAAGAACTTGAATTTGTAATTTAAGACTTTATAAAGAGAACTTAAGGCCCAGATTATTTCACTCATAAATTCTATACAATATTTAGGAGATAAATACTACTAGTAGACACAATTAGAAAATAGAGGAGGGAACACATACCAATCCATTTTTTGAGAATATCAATACTATGATGCCAAGAGCAGACTAAGATATAAGACAAAAGAATAACCCCACAGATTAATATCTCATTAATATAAATATAAAAATTCTTAATAATATTTTAAAATGGAATTCATCATTATACATAAAAATGATAAATTATTTTAAAATGGAATCCATCATCATATATAAAAATATCATGACCAAGTAGGGTTTAATTTTAGAAATACAATGTTGGGTTTTTCATTTGAAAATTAATCAATGTAATTTACCATATAAAAGAATAAAGGAAAAAAATACCATCAGCCAAACAGAGGCAGAAAAAGCATTTGGCTAAAATCAATAATCATTTATGATAAAAACTCTCAGCAGAATTGAAATAGAAGAAATTTTCTCAACCTGAAAAGAGGGACCTAAGAAACATCTAAAATTTCCACTATTCATGCTTAATGGTGAAGAACTGAATAGTCTTCTTTTAAGATCAAGCATAGATCAATGATGTTTTATCTCACCATTTATATTCACATTGCCCTGGGGTTCTAGACACTGCAATAAGTCAAGGAAAGGTAATAAAAGCCATACAGACTAGAAAGAAAACATTTTCAACTGTCTTTATTTGTAGATGGTATTATCATGAACATAAAAAATTCTGAGAACTCTGTAAAAAGCTTCAAAAACTAATACATTTATTAAAGTCAAGGCAACAAAGTTAATATAAAAAATCAATTGCATTTTAATATACTATCAACAAACAATTGGTAAATTATATTTAAAAGTATGATTTACAATAGCACCAAAACCCATGATAAATGTAAGAATAAATTTAATATAATATGTTCAGGAACTGTACATTGCAAACCAAAATGCTGAAGAGAGAGAGTAAAAGAGATGTAAATAAATTGAAAGATATGCATGACTGTAGATTAGAAGACTTGATGTTAAGGTATCAGTTCTCCCTAAAATTGTCTATAGATTCAATGCAAACCCATTATACATCCCATCAGTCTTTTGTGGAAATTAACAAGCTGATTTATAATTTAGATGGAAATGCAAAGGATTTAGATAGCCCAAACAATCTTGAAAATAAAAAAACAAACTTGGGTGTCTTATGCTATCTGCTTTCAATACTTACTGTGAGTCTATTGTAATTAAAACAGTGTGACATTAACATAAAGTAGAAATACAGATCAATGGAATAAATAAGAAAGTCCAGAAGTAGGCCCACTCATATATGGTCAATTCATTTTTGACAAAAGTGCCAAGATAATTCAGTGGGGGAAACAATAGTCTTTTTAAAAATTTGTGCTGAAACAACTTGATAGTCACATGGAATATATGATAAATTTTGACCCCTACCTCACACCATAGACAAAATTAGCTTGCAATGGATCATATACTTACATGCAAATAAAAAACAGAATTATATACTACTGCGTCAACACTAGAATGGCTACAATTAAAGTGACTTACAGCATCAAGGGCTGATGGGAATGTAGAATAACTTGAACTTCAAACTTTAATGCTGGGAGCTTAAAATGGTACAACTTTGAAGAACTTTTTGACAATTTCTTATAAAGTTAAATATATACTTAGTATGTGATCTAGCAATTCCACTTTTAAGTATTTACTTAAGAAAACTGTCTTAGAGCTCTTTGAACTCCCTAAAATTATACTTAGAATTCTTTGGTATGTGCATTTTCTTTCAGAGAATAGTCTTTGTTTTCCTCAGATTCTCAAAGTACTCATGACCCCAAAAGAAATATGAAACACTGTGCCAGTTATAGCTGTCCTGCTATGACAATCATTACTCAGACTAACATAAGGGTCCCTAAAAACACTCAAAGTGTCATACATCATCAGCACTGGGAAACCACCAACAAAGAATTGCCCAAATATGAGGAGGATGCTACAACTACATACCACTAATAAAAATTGAAATTGATGAGGGCTTTGTACATACCTTAGAATTGTCAATGATATTTTAACTAACTTGTACTAAAAAATCATCAATATGTTGTAAAATATAGCCACAAGGATATTCATTATTGTGTCTTTTATAATAATGAAAACTGAAATAGCTTTAAAGTTCAACAACAATGAAGTAGTTAAGAAATTATGGTACATCAATGCAATGTCATACCATGCATGGTATCTTTAAAAATGGTGTTGGAAAATATTAATGACATGCAAAATATAACATCCTATCTCAGGAGACAGCAAACTATGGCTATGGGACAAACCCTGCCCATCACTTAGTTTTGTAAATGGTTTTGTTGGAACACAGCTACACCCATTCATTTCTTATTGTCTTTGGCTGGTTTTGTCCTACAGCTGCAGAGTTGAGTGGTTACAACAGAGACCTTATGGCCAGCAAAGCTGAAAATCTGCTCTATCTAGTACTTTACAGAAAAGGCTTGCCAATCTCTGTTCTATATCATTAAGTAATAATATAATATCTCATTTCTGCAAAATACACACACAAAGAGAGAGAGAGAGAGAGAATTCAAAGTAGATATACCAAAATGATAAGCAGTGGTTTATCTTGGGTGATAGAATAACAGGTAATTTTCATTTTTATCCTTTTGCTTTGTAGTATTTTCTGGAACTTATACAATAACTATGACTTTTACCATCACATATAAAACATTTTTAAAAATTTTATAATATCATTTAAAAGTCCCTTTCTATTTAGCCTTCAGCAGTTTCTCCAGGCTTCCAATCTCTTCTTGTGGTTACAGTGACAGCAGAAGAGTCTCCAGTTATTTTGTTGAGTGGCTGTGAAGCCACCAATTGCCCTGTAAGCAGGTTCTATTCAGTATTGTTCCTGGGAGGATATTAGCAACAGGAAAGGAAGAACAGGGCAACAGTGCTTGGAGGAAATTAAGATCTGCAGACGTGACATTTCCTAGAAATCATCCTGTCTTGGTTTCTCCCATAATTATTCACCATTTTGTTTACAAATGGGAAATAGCATACTACTGTTCAGTGTCTTCCAAGAGACTAAAGTTAATTTGAAATAATCCTCCAGCAAAAGCACCAATAAAAGCATCTGGAACACCCTGTTGCCATACCCTCTGGCTACTGACACGACATTATTGATACACAAATCAAAGTTGACTGCTGTGGTAACAATGAGTCCCCTGGCAGCAAGCGCTTTCAACAGAGAAGTTGTTTCTTTCTTAAGACAGGACCAACTTAATACAATATCTCATTGTAACAGGCTTAGTTAAGACATTAAAGGGATCCCAAACTGAAATTTATTTATTTTTCCTTTTTTCCCCCTTTGGATAGAATGGGCCAACAAAAACATAATAATAAATAAATAAAATATGAAGAAATTCAAGCTAAGCTTAAAAATAGACTCATGAGACATAAAGGAGGTTACAAATGTAATGTGATTTGAGGGCTGTCACACGATTTCACCTGTCAGAAACCTGTAACAGGAAACTTACGCCTGCCTGACGTTTTCACCATTAGAGTCATTCTTTTAAGACACAGTATTTCTTAAAAGGCTTCTCTCAGATATAGAATTATAGAACTTCTGGGTGTAAAGGACCCTTGGAGGTCATTAATCCATTTGTGAACTGATATGCAAATCCATTCTTTAGTATCTCTTCTAAAGCGTTGCCCAGCTTTGGTATAAATGTCTGCCACAATAGGGGACTTATTGCCTCAAAAAAAAAGCAACTTATTTCATGTTGAGTGGGCTCTAGTTATATAAAACGTGTCCTCCTGGTAAACTAAAATCTGTTGCCCTATAGTTTTCACTGTTTGATTGTAGTTTATTTCATTCATTCAAACAAGTGTTTATTATGCATCATTTTGGGCATTATCAACATAGTGACATTCCAGGTAAGCAAAGTTCTTGCTCTCATGGAGTTTACCTTCAGTGAGGAAGACAGCCAATACACAACTAAACTCATAAATAAGCAAGATTGCTTCGGATAAGGTGAAATGATCATGACCAGAGAGAGTGGGGTGGGGGTACTTTAGACATAGGGTGTTATGGGTTAAATTGTGCCCCACCCCAACAAAAATATATGTTGAAGCCTAAACCCCAGTACCTGTGAATGTGGCCTTATTTGTATATAAGGACTTTGTAGATGTAATGAAGATAAAATGATGTTATTAGGATAGATCCTAATCAAACATGACCAGTGTCTTTACAAGAAGAGACGGGCTGCGTGTGATGGCTCACGCCTGTAATTCCAACACTTCTGAGGCCTAGGCGGGCCAGTTGCTTGAGATCAGGTTTGAGACCAGCTTGGCCAGCAAGGTGAAACTCTGTCTCTACAAAAGATAATGGGAGGCCGAGGCAGGCAGATCACCTGAGGTCAGGAGTTTGAGAGCAGCTTGGCCAACATGGCAAAACTCCGTCTTTACTGAAAATACAAAAAAGAAAATTGCTGAGCATGGTGGCAGGCGCCTGTAATCCCAGCTACTCAGGAGGCTGAGGCAAGAGAATCACTTGAACCTGGGAGGCGGAGGTTGCAGTGAGCCGAGATTGTGTCACTGCACTCCAGCCTGGGCGACAAAGTGAGACTGTGGCTCAAAAAGGAAAAAAATAGCCAGGTGTGTTGGCAGATGCCTGTGGTCCCAGCTACTCAGGAGGCTGAGGTGAGAGGATCACCTGAGCTTGAGCTTGGAAGGTGGAGGTTGCAGTGAGCCAAGATCATACCACTGCACTCCAGCCTGGGTGACAAAGTGAGATCCTGTCTCAAAGAATGAGAGAGAGAGAGAAGAGACTATGCACAGAGGGAAGATAATATGAAGAGACACAGAGAAAATGCCATGTGGTGATAGAAGCAGAGATTGGAGTGAGTATCTCCAAGCCAAGGAAGGCCCAGGATTGCCGGCAACACTAGAAGCTAAAGGAAAGACATGAAGCAGGAACTCCTCTAGAGTCTTCAGAGGGAGCATGGCCCTGCCAGCACCTTGATTGTGGACTTCTAGACCCCAGAACAGGGAGACAAGAAATGTCTGTTGTCCTAAGCCATCCAGTGTGTGATACTTTGTTACAGCAGGCCTAGAAAACTAATCCAGAGGGTCAGGCATCTCCTGACCTAGAGATGACTCTTTGAGCTGACGCGCCAGCTTTAATCAGAAAGAAGACTATTCCAAGCACAGCAACCCAGAAGAGCCAAAGCCCTGGAGTTGGGATGTGCCTGGAATGTTACAGGGACAGAAAGGAGGCAAAGGAGGAAGACCTTTGGACAAAGAGGGAAGTGGTAGGAAATGAGCCTGGAGAAGTAAGCTGGAGTGAGATAATCTGGCAGCAGAGGCTCCCAATCTGCCCTATGCAACAAAATTCAGATGCCCAGGTCCCATCCCAGGGACTGGCACGTGAGGGTTCCAGCCACGGACATAATCACTCTTGGGGTGATTCTAATATTCAGCCAATTTCAAGAATCCCATATGTAGAATTTTATAGTTCTGATAAGGTAGTTTGGGATTGTATTCTTTAGACAACGGGAAGCCATCGAGTACTTTAGTTTGTTTGGAAGGTCTAACTTCTTTGCAGTCTGATGCCCTTCAAATATTTGAAAGCAGCCCCTGTATGTTGCTCCCATCCCCAGTGCCTCCCTCGCCCCTGTCTGCTCTTCTTCAAGTCAGGTTCTTGTATGCAGTTTGATTTAATAAATATTTATTGCAGACCTAGCAGGAAGCCATGAAAGTAGAGTACCTCAATGTGCTTTAACATGATAGCACACATTTGTCTGTTAATCAGCTAGTTCACTAGTTCCCAACCTTTTTTCTGCCCCAGGAAGCTGACCTCCTATTCCACCCTTCTTCCACGTGAGAGGCAAAGTTGAACACTGTCCCTTCCCATAGAAGAACTTTTGTTCTACTTTCCCACCAGTCAAAAATCATTGAGTTAACTAGTACCTCGAAAAGACCTAAAAGCTCAAGAAATTTTGAGGTGGCAAAGAAGAGAAAAGATTCCAGGATTCATCCAGGAAAATGCCTTTAGCTTGTCTTATGTGCTAGACCTCTTGTGGCAAGTTGTCCTTGTTCTCTAAGCAGGGCAAGGAGGCTCAAGCAGTGATACCATTTCCAGGGTGGTTACTGCTACGGTAAATGGATGTGGCAGTCATTGCAGACAGACTTCCCCATCTTCCTCAGGTTGAGAAGAGAATAGACCAGGTAGTGTCATTCATGCAGTGACGCTGAAATTTCTGCCCAGAGGACCCTTGCTTTTAGCTCTAAGGTATTGTTGGAAACCTCTTCTTAAAGCAAATGCAGAAGACAATATTCTCACTATGTGATTGTTTATGCTTTTTGTTCTCCAGAGATTGGCAAAAACCCCTGATGAACACAGAAGGTTGACAAGTCACCAGGCAACACATACCAAAAGAACAGAGCAACAAATTGCAAAGTTCTGGCTACCTATCTGCCTTTTTACCCATTATTACAGAGACCTCTGTATTCTAATCCTCTCTCATTGCCCAGGTCCATGAAAGAACTCATTTTAGAAGGGGTAATGGTATTGATATTTATTAAAGGAGCCCATACTATCTTTTTTTTGCAAATACCTTCCCCTTTTTTTTTAATTTATTATACTTTAAGTTTTAGGGTACATGTGCACAACATGCAGGTTAGTTACATATGTATACATGTGCCATGTTGGTGTGCTGCACCCATTAACTCGTCATTTAACATTAGGTATATCTCCTAACGCTATCCCTCCCCCCTCCCCCCACCCCATAACAGGCCCCGGTGTGTGATGTTCCCCTTCCTGTGTCCATATGTTCTCATTGTTCAATTCCCACCTATAAGTGAGAACATGTGGTGTTTGGTTTTTTGTCCTTGCAATAGTTTGCTGAGAATGATGGTTTCCAGCTTCACCCATGTCCCTACAAAGGACATGAACTCATCATTTTTTATGGCTGCATAGTATTGTGGAAGTCAATGTGGTGATTCCTCAGGGATCTAGAACTCGAAATACCATTTGACCCAGCCATCCTGTTACTGGGTATATACCCAAAGGATTATAAATCATGCTGCTATAAAGACACATGCACATGTATGTTTATTGCGACACTATTCACAATAGCAAAGACTTGGAACCAACCCAAATGTCCAACAATGATAGACTGGATTAAGAAAATGTGGCACATATACACCAAGGAGCCCATACTATCCTACTAGGGTATTCACTGGTATGGCTCAGCCACCTGTTTATAACCTGGATTGGTTCTGACTGACTGATGCCTGATGTTAAATATTTTGAATATTACTCCTTTATCTCAGGACTCATATGGAACCATAATACAGCCATAACATAGCAGCTCTAAGATGCATCTGTGAAGGATACTTATTATACTATCTCTGTTGTGCTTTCAATAGCAGCTGTCCTGGTTACAACCTTGCTCTGATCCACAAGAGTGGACACTTGGAAATTTCTTTATGCGATGACTTTGGCTCCATCCCTACTCCAACCACACTGATTTGTCAAGGGGTAAGAACTAGTCAGAGTCTCTCCTCCAGGAACTAGGATTAGGCCAAGGAGATAGTCAGTTTCACTGTTTATGCTTTTCCCTGTCACTGTCTGTCTCCATCTCTTATTCTCACTGTTTCTCTCTGTCTCTCTCTCTCTCTCTTTACAATGTAAAAACTTGGGGATCATCAGCAACCCTACTGTATGATTTAAAACTTGGGAAACTGAACAAGGCAACTTGCAGTAAGGAAACAAAAAATCAGAGACTGTTAAGTTACATATAATTTACTTCAAATTCCTTTGAACCAGGTGAAATCACCAATATTTGACCAGTTAAAAATTATGATTAATAAAATTGGCACAAATTCTATTTCTAGCTGTGCTATTTGGAATGTATGAAGTTACTGTCCTTTTCAATTTTCTCTGAGAATTGATTTGTTTTTATTATTGTTCATTTTTCTCACAAAAGTAAACAATTTCTGTGTGTTTCATCAAAGAATTGTGAATCCTTTTGATATGACTGTCTTCAGGGAGATGGAATACCTAAGGCAGGTAGAAACATCTGGGGAAGGGCATTTTTCGCTAAAGGACTGCTCTGTGTTCATTGAGAATTTTTGATCTGAGTATCTAAACCTCAAAAGTGGGCCTAGATGGAGTCTCATCCTCATTTTAAATTATCAATTAGAAGTCCTGGTAAAAGCTAACCCTCAGCAAACACAAGAATCTCTGCCAAGGCAGCCTCTCAGAACCTGTGTACAATAGAGGAGGTAAGACATTAGACGGTGGGTACCACACCAATGGATACGAGATCAAACACTGAGATGGCTGGAGCAACGCTTATTGCTTAAGCCTCAAAATAGCATAGACACATTTTTGGAGGAGATTATATAACCTGTGGGAAAAAAATGGATACTGGCTGACAATCAAAAGAGATTTGGACAATGGCTGGAAGTTGAGGGAGCTTCCAGGCATATTAGGAAGCCATTATTATTATCAAAGAATGTTCTCGTACCTTCATGGTGGTGTGCAGAAGGTATAATGCAACACTCCTTTTTAGAGCCATGTGCAAAAATAATAGCAGAATCATCTCATCACAAAATTGTTCCAGGCGTGACTTGTGAGAGGTTTTGTGACTACATGCTGCTTTGGTGGATTCTTGGTCACCTCACTGTCATTAGAAATACGCTGCTAAAGGAGAGGTCAGCAAACTATGGCCCCTGGGCCAATTCTAGCCCACCACCTTCTTTTTTGCACAGTTCACGAACTAAGAATTTTTTAATATTGATATAGTTTAAAAAATCAAAAGACGTATATTTTTGACATGTGAATATTCTATGAAATTCCAATTTCTGTCCAAATAATTTATCGAAAGAGATGAATATTGACAATGGCTGTGTTGGTGTTAAGACAGAGTTGAGTAGTTGTAACAGAGACCATATGGTCTGCAAAACCTAAGATATTTACTATCTGACTCTTTACCGAAAAAGTGTGCCACCTCCTGTGCTAGACTATCATTCCCTGGGCTTCCAGAAGACTCCTCATGCAAAATGTTGTTGAGGTAACTAAAAGGAGAGAGGTAGGTCTTTGTCAAACTTGAAAAAGGGACTATTCCTGTTTTGTGCCAGCTTGTTAATAAGTATCAAAATTTGGCCTGAGACTTGTTTTTTTTGAAACCTGGTTGTGAATTGTCGAAGCAGACAAATAATTGACCCCTTTCTCTAAACTGTTGGGAGTCAATGATATTGGCCAAAAAGAAACTTGTAGTTGTGTAAAGCCCAATTTGCGTAGGTCATTTTGCTGCAGATGCCCCAAGAGAGGTAGAAATTAGAGCTGGAACAAAAATCTCATTGGCACTTTAGTCCCTGGTTTCAGATTTCTTCTAAGACTCATTTGCTTTACTTCTCTTTGCATGCCCTAAAACACTGAATATCTTTAAAATAAATCCCTCTTGTTTTACTTAAGCCACATCCAGCAGATATTTATCACATGAAACCAAATAGAGTCCTTATTTATATACTCCTCATGATCAGCAGAAGGGGATATAGACAAAGGAGTTGCAGTTATTCATTTTATGGAGCCATAAGATCTTCTTGAATTATTTAGCTAACTGTCCACCAGCAGTCATAGCCTAGTACTTCTCACACTTAACCCAGAAATCTTAGTTATTAAGGTGACGCTTTATAATCTTTGCATTGGCCAACAACACAGCAAAAATATTGATACTTTTTAGGTAAGATAGGGAAGTGTGTAGTGTGTTGATCGGTAATAAGTAACCTGCACCAAAGTTCTTTTTAAGAGAGGACAAGACATCACAAACCTAAGACAGCCCAAGTGCCTAATCTATTATTCATAGATAGTTCCAAAGATTCAGCAGGTGATCAAACAGACATTCCAAAGACATAAATAGGGTCAGTGCAAATACCTTGTAAGAACCAGCGCTTCACTTTTTCTGCTGTGCTTCATTCTTTTTGTAGAATTTGCCTTCCTTACTGGGAGAAGCTATCCCCCAAAGTTGCCATCGCTGTCATTTCCCACCAGTCTCACTGCTAGGTGACAATACCAGCCACTGTTTGAAAGATGTGCAGGGAAGACAGCAAGAGTATGCTCTTTGCAATGACAGATCAATAAACACCTTCATGCAAGATCAATAAACACCTTCATGCAAGCATGTCCCAGTTAGTGGATAAATGGGCCCCTGTTTTAATTATTAAAAAAGAACTGGCAAGAGTCAATAGATAGGCACTTTATAAAACAAAAAGTGTTTCTAATACTAAATTGACTTGGTTGTAACTTTCTTCTGACTTAATCGTCTTCATCATAGCATTTATCAACAAATGAGAACTAAAAGCAGTCTGCTAACCAATAGACATATCAGCTTTTAGGGTCACTGCCATGGAAAGAACATTTGCAAATTTTCCAT
Source organism: Homo sapiens (assembly GCF_000001405.40). NCBI lineage: Eukaryota > Metazoa > Chordata > Mammalia > Primates > Hominidae > Homo > Homo sapiens. The sequence continues at coordinate 52,873,166 of NC_000020.11, read as the reverse complement.
AAAGATGTCCTTTTGCTATTTTGTACTGACTTCCAACATTGTTCATCTTTTGACGAAGTCCATGGTTCTTCTTGGTAGGAGCACCTATGAGCCCGGGGAATTCTTTTTCCTGCCTTTTCTAGTGGTGAGAGCACATTGGTTTCAAAAGTCTGTGCTACATAGAGCACTCACTTTTCCTGTACTAATACTAATAAATCCAGGAAAGAGTGCTTCATGAAATGGATGGACCTACGCCTGCTTCAGTATAATGGGGCTTTTATGCTGACATGCTCCATTAGGGACCACCACACACAGCTTCCTCAATAAACAAGCTTACTGCTCTAGTAATAGAGTCATTTATGGAGAGAAGTCAGCCAAAAGACCAGAACTTACGAGAGGTTCTCAGAGAGGAATCACACGGAGTTAGGTTAAAAGATAATCCCATAGATTCAAATCGAAAGACCATCTTTCAGCTGAAAACCTGGTTCCTCTGGCTGGGAGCCCTGGTTCCTCTGGTCCAATTACCATACCTTTTCTTTGTGGTCCAGAGAGAACAGCTCATTCGTAATGTCCTAAATAAGGAAAGGAAATTTAGTGGCTCTAAAGCCAATTAAAGCTCTTTCTGAATATTAGAGTTTCTCTTTTGCCAAAACACAAGAATTTCTGATCAAACAAGAACTTTCCCACTTTTAATTAGCCCCTTGTGTTCCAAGAAGAAAAGCAAGGAAAAAAAGTCACCATTACAGGGATTTTAAATTATTTAGCTCTACTGATTATTAAAGGAAGATGTCACAAAGAAATGGGTGTTTCCTTTTCTCTGGTCTCATATCTTCTGTGGTGGGAGTAACTGTGTCTTATCTAGGACTAAACAAATCCAGGAGATTTAGGAAGCATGCTGGCAAGAGGTGGGTACAAGCTGAAAGCAAGAGCTTCTTGTAAGACATGATTGCCTGAGAAAGTCCCCAATGTGCTTGCTTTACAGCCACCCCCCAATGTATCAGGTGGCCTAATAGAACTCAACATATGCTATCATTGCTCTGTGTGTGTGTGTGTGTGTGTGCGCACACACATATATATAGGATGTGGGATGTAAGATATGTACATATGTGGATATAAGATATCTGTGTCTGTCTGTGTGAATATGTGTGTGTGTGTGTGTGTGTGTGTGTGTACATCTCTCTGTGTATTTAGATATCTAAAGGAGGGTTTAAAGGCCTCTTCCTTTGGCAATTTTATCTGTCCCTCTTTTATTAAGATATAACCAACGTATAGTAAACTGAACAGAACTTTAGGTGTATACCATAATGAATTTTTACATATGTTTATGCCTGGGTAACCACTATGCAGATTAAGATATAAAACACTCTTAAGAGCTTAGATTTGAAGACAAATTAGTCATTTCATAAAGTTTCTTTCTTCTGCACCCCCAAAAGAAGAGAGGGTAGTACTATAGCACCAACCAGCCTCCAACCACAGGGGATCTCTGTCCTTATGGATTACAAGGTTGATACTGTTATAAATAGTCCTAAAGAGGTGAAGCATTCCTGGTGAATGAATTCTGGAGGATGTTTCCCCGGCAGCCAATCCCAGCCTCATGATGGGAGGAGGCTCCTCCCACAGGGAGGAGTGGGAAGACACACTTTGTGCCCCTTCCCAGCCTCCTCTGCAGCTAGCCCATGTGACTGCACTTCAACCAATGGAAGCCGTGGGAGTACCAGCTGGGACCTTCTGGGAAAGACCATCCCTCCTGGGAGATGAGTGTGGAAGTTCCACTTCCTTTTAAGACAGGGGCATGTAGATGGGATTCTTGGAGCTGGGGCAGCTATCTATGAGGGAAGATGACGCCAGTAGCCCCAGGACAGCAGCAAGATGGAGGCTGAGTCCTGGAAGACAGGGTTGAATCTCCAAACTAGAGGCCAAAAAGCTTGTGTTGTGAGCAGCCACGTATTAAACATTTTAGGCTTTGTGGGCCGCCCATGGTCTCTATTGCTGCTGTTGCTTTAGCAATCTTTCTTAATTTGGGGGCTGTAGAAAAAAAAAGAGAGACACAGGCTGCAGTGTAGATTTGATCCACTGGCCATGGTTTGCTGAACCCTTCTCTAAACCAACCCAACAACACATATCTGCAGAGTTTTTGTTAAGGATGATGATTTAAAACAAAAACATAAACAACTGTCTTTTAAGCTACTCTAGGTCAAATATTCTGTTACTTGCAACTAAAATATTCCCCAATGATGTTGCAGTATGTCTGCCTTCTCAAATGTGTTTCACATCTTAAGGAAAATGGAATGATATTGAACTAAGTACTTGAGATGCCAAGGGGAAATATGCTACAAGTGTAGTAGGACATTTTCTCAAAATGTAGTGTTTTCTCCTGCCTTGGAGGGACAGGACTGGATGGAGGGACAAATGGCTGTGGAGAGCAAGGACCACGATCTGGAGGTGTAGAGCACTTTAAAATGCTAAGAGGAAAGCAAAAAGATTCTAAAATTTCTTAAAAGCAGGGTCCAACTAGCAGCATTTTCCACCTGAACAGTTTATATGGTTTACTGCCTGCATTTCTCCTTCCTTTCAATGCCATAATTGATGGTTAGTTTTATGTGTCAACTTGGCTAGGCTACAGTACCAGTTATTTGATCAAACGCTAGTGTTGCTGTGGAGGTATTTTGTAATGTGTTCAACATCTACAGTCAGTTGACTGTAAGTAGAAGAGTTTATCTTTGATAATGTGGATGGGCCTCCTCCAAGCAGTGGAAAGTTCCTGAGAACAAAACTGAGGTTTCCCCAAGGAAAGAGAAATTCTGCCCATCACTGTAGCGTGAGCTCCTGCCTGGGAGTGTTCAGCCTGCTGCCTTATGGATTTTGGACTTGCCAGCCTTTGCAATGCTGTATAGTCGATCCTCATTATTCACGGATTCCATATTTCTAATTCTACTTACTAAAAGTTATTTGTCACCCTGAAATCAATACTCAGAGAGCTTTCACAGTCATTTGCAAACGAGCACAGAGAGGCAAAAGATTTGAGTCACTTGATTCACATGTTCCAGGCTGAGACTGAAAAAAAAAAACAAAACAGAACACTGCTCTGCCTTCTTGTTTCAGTTCTCACACTGTTAACAGGAGTCCTTTTTGTGGTCTGTTCAGTGCCATGTTTTTCACATTTTTGTGCTTTTTGTTCATGATTTTGCTGTTTAAAATGGCCCCTAAGGGTAGTGCTAAAAAGTGCTGTCTAGTGCTTAGGTATTGTAAGCACAAGAAGGCTGTGATGTGCCTTGCAGGGGAAATAGGTATGCCAGGTAAGCTTGTTCCGGCATGAGTAATAGTGCTGTTGGTTGTAAGTTCAATGTTAATGAATCAAGAATATATACTGAAGAAGGTGTCTTTGAACATAAACACACATCGTACAAGATCATATATTCATCAGTTGGCAAAAATGTGACCAGAGGCTTATAGGAACCTAATTATGTAATTCCCCTAGGAACAATGTCACTGATTCAGTGTCTGTAGGGTGTGTGTGTGTGTGTGTGTGTGTGTGTGTGTGTATATATATGTCTGATTGATACACCAGCTCACCAAGTGTGAGGTTCTTAAGGGCAGGCCAATCAATTGTTCAATGACTCCTAGTACCCTCAAGATAAAGTCTGACTTGTTACCACAGCCCTCAATATTTGCTGTTCTCTGAGTCCTGCAACCTGTGCAACCTCACCTTTTCTCTCTCTGGCACAGCATTTGGCCTTTAACCAAACTTGACCATGTGCCGTCTCTGAATGCACTGCCTTATTTTCCTTTTCTATGCCTTATGCACCTGCTCTCTGTCTCTACACTGCCAGACCTCTGCCCACCACTCCAGCCTCATTTCACTGACCTGCATCAGCCCTCTCCCGGCATCCCTTAACTTTCAGCTCTGTCTCAGCATCCCTGGCTTCCTACAGCCTTGCCCCCTCAAGGCATATTTGCACATGTCGGGTCCCTCTTCTGGAATGTTCTTTCATGCTCCCTTTGTTAGTTAAAACTTACACCTCTCCCATAACCCAAGCCACATTCCCTTGCTTCCCTCACTATTGCCCATTGCATTGCATACTTCCCTTGTATGGCAATTGTCAAAATTGTAATTTTTATCAGTTTCAGTTACTTAATTAGTGCAGGGTTTCTTAATAATTTTGTTCCATGGCTCCCTATGGCAGTCCAGGAAGGCCAGAATAATGTTATCAAATGCGTAATATAAAATACATAGGATTACAAAGAAACTTAGATTTCAATATAATTGGTTATCAAAATATTTTTTAAAGAGTAGCACAGTAATAACTGTGCTTCTTTATTACCATATTAAATAACAAGATCTAGTGGAAAATCTAATAACTATTGTAATTTTGAAGTGGCGATGAGCACGAATGATATTTTAAGGCATTTTCAGCAATTGTATTGGGATATAAGAATCTAGAATTTATATTGGTGAGCAAAGTCACAGATATTTCTACTTCTACTGGATTTGTTGCCTAAATTCACAATGGGAGGAAATGCTAAATATTACTTAAAGATTTCTAAAAATAGGCCGGACGCGGTGGCTCACACCTGTAATCCCAGCACTTTGGGAGGCTGAGGCGGGCGGATCATGAGGTCAGGAGATTGAGACCATCCTGGCTAACATGATGAAACCCTGTTCCTACTAAAAATATGAAAAAATTAGCCAGGCATGGTGGCAGGTGCCTGTAGTCCCAGCTACTCGGGAGGTCGAGGCAGGAGAATGGTGTGAACCCAGGAGGCGGAACTTGCAGTGAGCCGAGATCGCGCCACTGCACTCGAGCCTGGGCGACAGAGCGAGACTCCTTCTCAAAATAAATAAATAAATTTAAAAAATAAAAATAAAAACATCATTGTTTTTTATCCAAGCTCACAGATTCCCTGTCCCTTGCTGAGTTCCTTGTACTCTAGATTACAGAGTTCACATTTATGTTTGAATTCCCCACTGTATCATAAGCTCCGAAGGGCAGAGCCATGTCTAATTTTGGTTACTATTATATTCCCAATACTTAGGACACAATAAATAATCAGTAAATAGCTGTGGAAGGACAAAATGGAAGGAACAAAGGGACTCCATTGTCTGCTTGGCCAAGTGGATTTTTACCCACGTGCTTTAAAACTTTGAAACTCAGGTCAGGTTTTATCTCCTTAAGATAGTCTTCCATGTTCATCGTCTATCACCCTTCTGGGTTGGCTGTCCCTCCTGTGAACACATTTTGTGAAATACTTCCTTCTGAAATAGTACTTTCTGAAATTATCAATTTAATTATTTGTCTTCTCACTCATATGTTTTTTATTGGAAGACTTTCTAGGGAAAGGGATATGTTTTATTTCTCTGTAACTCTCTGTATTTATCTCTCTATATTAGTGTTTGTTAATACAGGGAGCAGGACACAGTTTTGTGCTTAATGGAATTTTAAAAAATTGAGCTGAGTGTTATTTTCTCCTTTTTCACAGAGGTGCTATCTCTGCTGTGACTCTGATATCACGTGGGACCCCTGGCTCCTCTTTGACCTATTCTTTTTGCCTTTCATTCTCTTCCAGCCCCTTCTTGGTAGGCCTATGGGTCAGTGTTCATGCAATTGCCCATTCGTGGTTTGGCTCTAAGACAAACTCCATCAGCATGAATAATGACATGCATTTCATAAATCTTGAAATGTAGCTCTCTTTTGATCAGTCACGGAGAAACAAGGGACACACATGGCCTTTGGAATGTGAACAGTTTTTAAAAGAATCCAAAAGGCAGCACATCCACATACATTTATCCCATCTAACAACAAAGAGCACAGATTCAGCAGCCCTAAGAGGCTCTCAGCCTGAGTGCCTGGAATAAGAAACATCATGGGAGCCTCTAACCGCTTGTACCTCTTGTCTTTGTTGATTTTGCCAGAGGGATGGACAATGGATGACTGTGACTTTTGTTTCTTCTATATGTTTATGTATTTATTTGACATGTACCTTGTTGGAAGGTGGAGTGGGAGGAAGTGGGAAGTTCTTTGGAATACATATGGAATCAAAGCAGTTGCTTTGAATGAAGGGTTTCCCAATTGAAAACCACTCTTTTGTTACCACATCTGAGTATTAATTATTTAATTTATGACTTACGATTTTATTGTTAAAACAACCTCTTTACGTTATACATTAAAAATATTTTCTAATAGTCATTAAAACAAGAATTTTCATGAACCATCCCAAAGTGTTTTGTATACTGTCAGTACTAGCAAGTTTATGGACTATGGGTCAGGCTCTGTCTATGTTCCCCATTCTTTTAGCTAAGTCTGCTAATAATCTATTTTTAAAAATTACCACAAAATGTTTTATATGTACACTACGAAGTAGGGGTTTGTTTTGTCCATTTTAAACATTTTATGCACGGCATCACATCATTCATATCCATCTGCCCAACGTGCTTTGGGTGCTCAACTTTATGTCTTGGAGATTTAGCTGTATTGATAAATTCAAGCCTTGTTCACTCATTCTAACTGCTGTATGAATATACCACTATTTGCTTATCTATTTTCCTATGGATAAGCATTTAGGTTTTTCTGATCTCTCAGTATTAAAAGCAGAGCACATTCATTTTCACAGAGGTCTCCTTGGTTATACTTATGAGAATCTTACTAATGAATACACCCTAGAGTGGAACTTCTGGCTCCAGCAATGAGTACACACATCTTAAGTGGCATCAGATACATCTCTAACATGCTTGTACCTTTTACATTCCTGGTAGCAATGCAGATTTCCACGTCCTCTGACAATATTTGATATTATAAGACTTCTAAATTTTGTTAATTTTAGGGGTGTGAAATAGTAGACCATTGTCATTTTAAGTGGCATGTCTTTGATTGGCACCCTCTGTGAATTGTAGCTACCCTTAAGTGCTTTAGATGTGTTGAGGGCATTGTCGTGTTCAATCTGTCCAACAGTCTTGTAAGGTAAGTATGACTGCCATATTCCACAAATTTGCTCTCAACCACACAGCTAGAATTCAAACCTTCAAATGCTTCCACTTAACTACCCTGTATTACAGCCACTCCCCCTCTCCGTATCAACATGTAGGCAGCCATATATTGCTAAAGAGTGAAACTTAGTATTTGCAGACATCAATTGCTGCTTACAACTTTCCCTTATTATTCCATCTCATTAGCTAACTTGTAAACCTAAGAATGAGACCTCTCTTACCCCCAGTGCAAGGCACAGGTTTGTATGTGTGGTAGGTTTGTACATATTATGTGTTTTTTAATTAAAAAAGAGAATAATGGTAATAATAAAAACCTTATGGAGTTTCACATGGATTGTAAGGCTGTGTGACTTAAACACACACTCTCTCTTTACGGAATTATGCTCCAAGCATTCTCCTGCAGTCTCCTTTGCATCTTGGGACATTCTTTCTCTTTCTTTTCTTTTCCCACTCCCTGCCTCCCTTTTTCTCCCTCTCTCTCTTTCTCTCTCTCTCTCAATCTCTGTCTCTCTGAGAGAACTCTAGTTTTTTGCTGTTTTACTTTTTGTTCTCTTTTGTTTCACCTTCAGGGATAACTTTGCTTTGTACGTGGCTGGTGAGAGGATGGGAGGAGTGATTTGGGAGTGTTTCTGATAGAGTCAAAGCAATAACTAGATGGAGTTCCTTGGGGGTGGGTGATTTTTGTCAACAGCGTTGACTCATTTTTATTTTAAACTGGACACATCTGCTGAGGGAACTGGAGAGGGGGATGTCTCTTTATCATTCAGAACTACCCACAAGACTGTCTTGCATGGAGCGAGCTGGACTTGATTTAGAACTGTGTCCCAGTTGCCTGAATGAGGTCTAGGGAATCAGACTTTCCATAATACACCCCGGATTAGTCATTCGGTGAGCAGGTGAATATTTGCTTTTGCAATTGTGCCTCACTAAATAATCTCGATAGATATAAAAACAGTGAATTCAGCTGCTTGTGAATAGTATGGATATTTGAGCTTTTGTGCAGTACCAATCCCCAGCAATATTTTTTGTATTAAATACCATGAATCCACTTCACCTGTCAGCACTATTCAAAACACGAACTGCTGTATGAATAGAAAGGGTGTTCTGGGATCTTTCAGATGATTACTGTTGCTAGGAAAACCACTTCCTGATATCTTTGTGCTTGCTGTATGTGTCTCTCTTTGTGTACAGCTTACAGTGACAAGCAAATTCATAGCATGGTGTTGGGGAGAAATTGGGAAAGTTTAGAAATGTTTAAAGAACACTGCTTAAAGTTAAAAAGGGGATGTCATCTAAAATAATAGTTATGCCTGCTTTCATGTGGAGGATTATAGCTATCAGAAGGAGAGCAATGAGGCTGCATTTTTGTTATGGTGGTGCAGACTTCAGGGTCATTCCAGCCATCATTTTCTGGAACCTCAGAACTAGGTTATACTTTTTTGGTGCCTGAGGAAATGACCATTTTTGCTCCTTGTGAATGTCTTGCCAATTATTGTTTCTATAGTGTCAGGTCTGCTTAAAGTTGCAATTCTACAAGACTGATGGGAGGGGCTTGTGTGAACTCTCTTGAGGACATAGTTGGGAATGAAAGCAGAAACAGGTAAGACAGGCTCATGCATTCACTCAGAAGAAGGCATTCTTCCCAACTGTTGCTGCAGAGGTGAGACACGGATCTCTTATCCTGGAAACGTCCTGAAAGGATCAAAAGCCCGTGTGGCCTCAGTACCAGTGACTAGCACAGAGGCTTCCACCACCATCACTTCTGCATGATCTCATGCAAAAGTGATGGTACTAACATCGCAGCAAGCCCAGTGCTGTGCAGGAGCCACACATCATCTCCGTAGAATTTCTGCAACAGTTTTAGTTGCTGAGGAAACTGGGGCCAGTTATTTCACATCTCTGGACCTCTCTGTCCTCATCTGTAAGATGGGGATAATGTGTTTATCTACTTAATAAGGCTGATGTGAGGGCTTAATGGTGTAATGCATGCAAATAATTCATTATAGCACCTGGCACATATTAAGGATTTCAATGAGTGTTTCTTTAAAGACTCAGGAAAGAACTGGCCTGCCCTAACATCCAGATTCCTTCACGTCATCCTCACTTGTTCTTACGTTGTGCAGCTCACTGGTTCCTCACAGTATTATGTGCTAGATGTTGATTTGCCAATGTTTTCTTGAAATAGGTCAAAGAATCTTGCTGGCATGGATTGCTGTTTTGTTTTTGTGTTTGTTTCACCAAAGATGTAATAATAATAGCAATAATGAAAATGATAAAACTAAGACTTCTTTTTTACAAACTTTTATTTTAGGTTCGGGGTACATGTGAGGGTTCATTACTTAGATAAAATTGCATCATGGGGGTTTGGTGTACAGATTATTTCGTCACCAGATATTAAGCCCAATACCCAACAGTTATCTTTTCTGCTCCTCTTCCTTCTGTCACCCTCCAACCTCAAGTAGACTCCAGTGTCTGTTATTTCCTTCTTTGTGTTCATGAGTTCTCATAATTTAGCTCCCACTTAGAAGTGAGAACATGTGGTATTTGGTTTTCTATTCCCGTGTTAGTTTTCTGAGGATAATGGTCTCTAGCTCCATCCATGTTCCTGCAAAAGACACTATCTCATTCTTTTTTATGGCTGTATAGTATTTCATGGTGTATACGTACCACATTTTCTTTTTCCAATCTGCCATTGATGGATGCATTTAAGTTGATTCCATGTCTTTACTATTGTGAATAAGCTAACACTTCTTAATCAATTTATATTAACCAAGCTACTTTCAGATTGATTCTCTCATTTGAACCAACTCCCAGATACCATTGACCAAACAAGAGTAAGAAAGAGGAAACTGGGGCTCAAATAAATGTGAATGACTTGCTTAAAGCCACCAATGAAAATGGGATAGAGGTAGCACCTCCTTCTAGTTTTCTGACTTCCATTCTTTTACTTATTCCACTACATAATATTGTTAGAGAGGTCTCCAACTGGGAAATGGGGACAGACACAAGAATGGTCAAAGATTATTGCAATCATCAAGACCCTTATTCTTGTCTGAGAGTCTATCCTGAGTTTGTCACTAAGATTAATTTCATATCTTGACTCCAGGTAAGGTTTGGGATAAATTATGTCTAAAATTATAACAGGAAACTGGAGTATTAGCAAGAGGCTTCAATTCAGGGGCCTTTTAGTTTACATTTAAATCCCCCAGAGAATGTAGAGCACTCTCTTTCCAGGGCCACTGGGCACAGAGACAGATTGTGACATCATATAGAGTGTATGATTTTAGGATATCAAAAAATGTACTCTTTTTCTAAATATTGCTCCTCAGCCAGCCCCGCTACAGAGCCTGGTATTTCCTCTTTTAAGAAATTGAGAGCAAGTACCTTTTACCTGGGAAGGGGAAACTCATCAAATGCTATCTGCTCTTGGGACCCAATCCTGAGTTACTTTATCAGATTAACCTGATAGTCACCAGAACTCCATTCAAACAGAACACAGGACTGTTATATTTGGGTCAGTAAAGGACAAAGATCTGGTGTCTGGACTGCAGGTGCTGTGGTATCGTTGGAAGCAAAGATGGAAAACAAAGCAGGAGATGAAGGGTTCATAGAGATAAACTTCTTCCTATTTTGCCTGGGGTAAGAGTTGACTCTACTCCTTGCCTCCGAAATAATGGGGTATAAAGCACTTGAGAACAGCCTTGGATGGCACATGGGAGATGCCCTTACTTCATAAATGCTGCATTTGGAGTATTTGCCTGATGATTGCTGGGAAAATCAAGACAAATGTATTCCAAGCTTCTAGTCCTTCCCCACATACACAAATGTACAACCCAGGGCTTCTCATCCAGAGATTCTGCCCGTTGCTGCTGCCATCCTGGCACTGAAGATAAACTCTGCATGGCGCGTGATGGATGTGTCTGTTTGGGGGTGGGGATGGGTACACAGAGGCAGCGGCAGCTCCTGGACAGGGGTGGGGCTGTGATCGATGGGATCCAGTTTATCCCATGGCTTCTGTTGAGCCAGACTGTCTGGGTAAATCCTCCCCAAAAGTCAATCTGCAGTAAAGAGAAGAAGGGGTCCCATCACATTCTGACATGGTTTGTTTGTATTTAAAACTAACATTTTTTGAGGGCTTCCTCTATCCTAGGCACTATGCTAGGCATTTTCTGTACGTTATCTCTGATTTGGAAACTGATTTTTTTCACAAAGTTTATTAAGATTTAAATGCTTTAAGCAAGGGTTCATGGTTTATCATGCTACTCTGCCACATAAAGGTAGATATTTAATTTTTAAAATATTAAAATTACTAAAATAAAACTTTATAATTCTACTCCCTGGAACTTTTCCTGAGGGGATAATTAAACAATTGTAAAGTGATATAAGTACAGGATGAATTTTGCAGCAAAGGTTATAACATAGAAAATTTAAAAAAATCTATATGCTCATCAATTGGGAATGTGTGTATACTTGTATGTATATGCAGTATATGTGTCGGTGTGAGTAGGTGTCTGTGTATGTGTTTATATACACATATGCATATGTGCACACATATAAGCACATATGCATATATATACACACTTGTGTACATATAAATGCATATGTATATATTATATAGGAGGTATATCTAAGATGCTCAAGAGAAATTTTAAATGAAAAGAGTAGGCTTGTTAAAATGTTATTTCCATATCCTTATAGTACACATTAATAAAAAGGCTGAGAAGGATATGTATGAGTTGCTCAAAGTTATTTTTTCCAGAGAGGCTAAGGAAGGGAATTTACGGGTGAAGATGTTATCTTTCTACTTCATTCACTTCTGTATATTTTTAAAAATAATATGCATGTATTGATTTTGTAATCAACTCCCTCAGTAAAGCTCTTTACACTCGAAGGGGAAGGGGATTAAAAGGCATACTGTACACAAGTTGCACTGCCATAATATATCACCCATTTAATTACCACCAATAGTGGTGAAATTAGCCAGTTTCACAGATATCGTCACTTCTGGTCCTTAACTCATTTTACTTTCTTCGTTTGCCTGATTAACTACTTTCATTCAGGGCACTGAGCACATCAAAGTGGTTATTTAAAATATAAAAGAAGTCTTGGAAATAAAAGGGCAAGTAACTCAGGTAAAATTAAGCACTTTATGAGGTCAATATACTTATTTTTGGAGGCTAACAGTCTATAAAGAAGACAGCAGCCCTTGGGTAAATACATAATCCATTTTGATGAAAACAGGTGTCAATAAAGAGCCTCTTCCAAATGGAGATGTGCAGGGTATCATTACCCTTCTTGCAATCTTTCCTTCCTTTAAACATCCAAAGACCTGAATGGCATCAGGGACCAGAAAGCCTCAGAAATGCTTGTATGAGTACTCTGTGCAAAGCCCTCATTGAGCTAGCATGGCATAGTGGGAATATGTGGATTAGGGGGTTTCAGTGCTGAAACTGATCCCAAGTCCACTAAATTCAAATTTTAAAACACAAGGCAAATGCCTTCATCTCTCTCTACACCTCTGTTTCCTTATTTTCAGGATGAGAGCAGTACTCATCATTCTTGCAACTATGAACTACACCATGTTTCACATAATAGTCTGTGAATAGCGTTGAACACTTCAGTTGAATTCATATCAGTTCAATAAACATTTATTAAGTAGTTATGTTGTACTAGGGACCCTACCAGGCCGGGGGGATGGAAAAGTAATAAAAATCCACCTCAGGCCTCAAGACCTTACCACATGGAAAGCAGTTCTTTATTTTCTTTCTTTATTTATGGTTCTTTGTTTTTCTGAGACATTCTACCACATCACAATCAGTTATGAGATTTGTTGCAAATCATGTGTTAATGCAACTAAAGAACTAAATAAATGTGTATATGGTTTTCAAGTTTTCGAGATGTGAGGAGTTTAAAGGTTATGTCTATGGTACTGTCACTCTTCCTTTATCTTTAGCTCTGTCTTTTTCTTTTCTTCAGCTTTATTGAGGCAAATTTACATATAATACAATTAAACTGATATACTTTCTTCAGTGGTAGAAAAAGGCAAGGAGTTAGAGTTATCCCAGGGAAATGATCTAGAACCCAGAGTCTTCCTTACCCGAGCTATACCCTTACTTGTTATAATGCACTTTTATAAATACCGTGTTAAAAATTACCTTCTTTACTCAGCTGCAAATTATCTTTTTCTGTGGGTGTTGGGGGAATGAGCATCAAAATCAGAGTGTGTCATCGCAAATGTACATAATCCATCAGCAGTGTTGGGATAAGAAAAATGAGGATGCAATCCACTTATCTAATGGAGTGCTACACAGACAGAGTTTACGAATATACTTCTCTCTAGGAGTTTTCAAGATGGAGACAAATACGAAGATCTAATTTATTTGGTAGATAAGAGAATTAATTGCTATTATCTACCACAAACACTAACGGGATGGGAGGGAGGGCCAGGGTGGCTGGTGGATTGCAAAGGGCAATTGGCTGCTGTTGCTTTTCCTCTTTGCCTGGGGAGGTCTTCCTGGAAGAGGAGGGGCCTCAGGAACACTGTGACTGATTAAAGAGGGAAGGGCTTGCCAAGTCCCAGGTCATAGGGAATTCCAGGCCTGGGAGGGAGGAGGCTTTAGCCCTCCTGCTTTAATGTGCCCTGTTACAGAGAGACGGAGAGACAGAGAGATGGAAAGATGCACTTAGCGATGACAGCTAGTAAAGCAACGTTTTCTTTCTGTTCCATGAACCATTTTAATCAAACCATGGAGAACTCAGAAACATAAACACATGTGCATCTCCTTCTCTCTCTTTGCTACTTTATCCTTCTCCCTTTCCTGTAAGAGTGACTCATGGTGGACAAATACTCTTTGCCTCAGATCTGTCTAAGGGAGTGAGTCAATGTAAGAAAAATTAAAATGCAGAAAGAGGAGGATAACAATTAAATCAAAGAGCTGGAGCTTCTTTGGGCGTCTGGTGGTAGGTGTGAGCAAGTGGCTACATGCCAGTGCTTAGGGGCTAGTGGGGCCACATGTTACCGTGAGGCGTGACCCCTCTTTAACAACCAGTCGCTCAGCCTTACAAACAGATTTCCTGGCTAGTGTGAAAGTTACCAATAGAAGCCGGATGCAGAGGAATAAAGCCAGCAGTTTAATTCATTCGGGCTCTTGATCATTCTGAGAATAAAATAGGTCTCTATTTTAAGGCACTAGAGAGGATTCCCAAACCAAGTGTGAAAGAAATGTTATTTTCCAATAGAAATTAATTTTTATAGCAAGTTTTTATGCTGTTGGCTGGAAGAAACAATTCTCGTCAATTCATGCTTCTTCAGTCAATTCACAGTTATGTGTCTAAGTTCTGGGGCATTGGTAGAGCAAACTCATGGGGATGGGAAGGAATGTAGTCTAGACCTGTGCAGTCCAAGATGTTAGCCACTAGTTACACGTGGCCATTTAAATACGTCAAAATTCACTAAAATTAAAAATTCAATTCCTTAGTTGCACTAGCCACATTTCAAGTGCCCGATGGCCACATATGGTGAGTGGCTGTGAAGATACAGAATATTTCTACCATTAACAAAAGTTATATCTATCAGAGCTGGTCTACACTATCATCATCTAGCACCTTAAGAATTTCCTGACATGTTTTCATTCTCAGTTTTACAGCTAAGGAACCTGAAACCCAGGGAGCTTACATAACTTGTTGATTGTCATTCAGATTCCAGGTAGCAGAACTGGAGCTCAGACCTCTTTTGGGGGGATCCTAAGCAATACTTTTGCTGCTCCCTTCTGGTCCACATCACAAGTCTGGAGAATCTAAAACAAGCTGGGCAATGAGAAAATCTAACTCTTCATGTGTTATTCCCAATAAATCAGTTATGACATAAACTTTATGCTCTCTTGTTGAGGTTTTCAAATACGTGTCCAGAATTTTGAAACACAAAAATGCGTATTCTCCACATTTTTGCTATTTTGACTCTTCTCTAAGGAACAATGGACTCCTGGTTTAGTTTGAATGAAGATGAAAAGGCAAGTCCAAGAATACAACGCACATCAATTAATATAACCAAATATTATCCAGCCTCAATAGGTTTAGCTGAGGAGGTCTAGGTAGATGAACTTACGATCAGAGACAACCTAATTGCCTCCAATGAATTCAATCCTTCCAATATAGATAATGGGCCATCTCCAAGTCTCAGTGACTTTGTTTATAAAGTTTATGGTCACACAAAGTCCTCCGAAGGTCAGACAGCTCTGCAGAGCAACCCCATGCTATGACTGGGTGATCCAAGTTGCTCCATCCCTGTGACTAGCAGCTGAGCCCCTGGCCCTTATCCTTGGCTGTCAGAGAAAACGTGGACGATTACATGGGGCTCTGCATTCCTCAGTCCAGAAGTGACATATGTTACATCCCTCAAAGAGCCCTAGTCACATCACCAGCCTTACTGCAAACAAACTGGGAAAGGAGAGGAGGCTACAGACTATTGGCTGGGCATTCTCGTTTTTGCCACACTGGTAATTTAAAGTGATTGACAGTAGCAAAAATAGCAATATGTTATTGAGCACTCGACCCTGACTGAACTCTTTGTGTGCAATATCTCATTTAATCTTCACAACAGCCCCGTGTGGCAAGTACTACTATTATCTCTCTCTTAAAGCTTCACACAGTGGAACTTAGATGGGTTAAGAGATATAACTAAGGTCAAACAGAAAACAGAGAGCACAGCCAGTGCTTAAACTCGGGTCTGACATCAAAGCCCACAATCTTAACTTCTGTGCAGTAGTCCCTCCCTCCATCCCTCACTATATGTATTTGAGAAATTTTAGGGAAAGCTAAAGATGTCAGAAGCTTAGGGTTGGTTAAACATTATTGTTTTTTAAAAACTGAAAATAAAGTTGCACTGTAGAATAGTGCTGTTCAATAGAACTTTTTGTAAAGGTGGAGATGTTACTGTGTCTGTGTGGTCCAATCTGATAGCCACTGGCCACATGTGGATAATGAGTACTTGAAATGTGGCCAGTATGACTAGGTACTAATTTTTAAATTTTATTTAATTTTCATTAAATTTAAATGGCCACATGTGGCTAGCGGCTACCATATTGGACAGTGCCATTTTAGAGACTACATAGTAGTGACTGTAACTTTCATCCTGAATTAGTCTGTTCTCACGCTGCTAATAAAGACATATCCGAGACTGGGTAATTTATAAAGAAAAGGTTTAATGGACTCACAGTTCCACATGGCTAGGGAGGTCTTACAATCATGGCAGAAGATGAAGGAGGAGCAAAGGAACATCTTACATGGTGACAGGCAAGAGAGCGTGTGTAAGGGAACTCACCTTTATATAAACCATCAGCTCTCATGAGACTTATTCACTATCACAAGAACAGCATGGGAAAGACCCACTCCCATAATTCAATTACCTCCCACCGGGTCCCTCTCACAACATGTGGAAATTATGGGAGCTAGTCTTCAAGATGAGATTTGGGTGGGGACAGCCAAACCATATCACATCCCCAATTATATTACAGAAAACATAGGCAATGATGTTGACCAACTATACAAAAAAATTAGTGACCATTGGAAACCAACATAGGGTCAAGGAGAATACATTGTATCAAATTAACCCATTCTCTTGTTGGTAAGAGTGACCAGCCTGGTAGAGTAAGAAGCTGTTATGTTTCTAAATTTTCGATGTCCTCATAGCATTGTAAAGATTTTTTTTGTTTGTTTTTTGTTTTTTTGAGAAGAAGTCTCACTCTGTCACCCAGGCTGGAGTGCAATGGCATGATTTCACCTCACTGCAACCTCCGCCTCCTGGGTTCAAGCAATTCTCCTGCTTCAGCCTCCCGAGTAGCTGGAATTATAGGTGCCCACCACCATGCCCGGCTAATTTATATAGTTTTAGTAGAGACGAGGTTTCACCATATTGGCCAGGCTGGTCTCAAACTCCTGACCTCAGGTGATCCACCTGCCTCAGCCTCCAAAAGTGCTGGGATTACAGGCATGAGCCACCGCATCTGGCCAAGATTATAAGATTCTTATCAACAAAATTGAGAAATAAGAACTTTATTATAATACAGGTAATGTGTATTTATCAAGCTTCTTCTAAAGTTAGCACTGTTCTTCCCACCAGCCTCAATGTCTCTCTTAGTAACGTTGCCTCTTGCTTTGTTCTAGATAGACGTGGATCGTTGTAGCAAACCACAAGGACTCAAGGCATGTTTTGCCAAATTTGGAAGTAGCCTAATCTAGCCAATGCAGGTGGATAGTCAGAAGCCACACAGTTTGAAATAGAAAGTTACAATAAGGTCGAGTGTCAAATATCTCAGTATATTCCAACTTGAAAGCTTTCATTCAAACTATGAAGAAAAACAATGAGGAAGGTAAAATAATGAAGTGTTAATATTCAAAGTCAACTCGTGACTATTCAAAGCTCAAAATCTTATTTTTGTGAGAAGTGTTGGTGCACAGCTTGGAAACAACACACACTTTGGGAACAGAGATCTGGGTTTGAATCCCACCTCTACTGTATACTAGATATTTGACCTGATGGATGACACACTACTTTTCTAAACATCAATGTCCTCAACTGTGAAATGGATTTAGAACACTTTTCTCACAGAGTTGTATTTACTAAGCTAATGTCTATATAGCTTTCCCTCTACACATGCTACATAGGAAACATTTTGAACTAATAGCCATTTTTATTGGGATTCATACTATTTCCATGAATCAGTTCATATCATGCATTCTCTCATAAGCCTTTCTTGACTACCTTTAGCTCAACTCCCACAAACTTATCTTATCCAGGGAAGAAGCAACAGCTGAGGAAACAGGATCTCAAAATACAGAAAAGGTCTCAAAATATTAGTATCTGGAAAATTAGTCAAAATCTCTGGGGGAGGCCTTGGAAGTCCATTGGAATCAGAAGTTTTAAAACAATTTATGGGGCAAGAAAGGATTTCTCTCACATTTGCGTTAAAATTATTTCTTTAAAAAGCACTTTGATGTAAACATTTGCAAAATGGTTTTTGAAAAACCTGCTGCTTTTCAGAAATCCAGCTACTGAGTCAATCAAGTGAAAGTGCAGATACTAAATTTACTGACTTGTTATTAGGCACATCTGAGTTCGTGTCCCAGTTCTTCCGCTTATGAGCTGGAAGCTTGGATAATTTGCTTGACAGCTTCATCATTCAGTTTCCTCATCTGTAAAACTTGACTTTAAGAGAAAGAACTATCTCTAATGGGGAAAAAATATATATTTTAAGGACCAGCCGTCAAAGGTGGGCCTCAGGAGGCTTTGCAGATAGGCCATGACCAAAGTCAAAAAGGAGGCAATCTATGCTCCACCCAAGAGAGAAAAGGGAATTGGAGGCTGCCAGGATGATGGAGAAGGGAAGGAATGGAGAACCCCTTTGTATTTATGTTTTTATAAGGCCCTCACAGACTGGGTCTTGATCAGCCTCAGTTAAGTTGTTTCCCTCGCCAAGGCTGATATCATTTTTCCTGACTAGACCTTCACCCAACAGCAGCAGGTGACTGATAGCAAAGTTAGTTTACTAAGTTGGTTAGTAATTGCAAAATACATGTGCTACTTCTTGATTCAGGTGGCCTCACTGGATTATTCTTCAATCATGATTCCACCTTGATGTCAGCGAAGGACCTGGGAAACATACACATCTACAGAACATATTTCAGGTCCTCACCCGTTTCACCTCTTGGCTCGAATGGCTCCTTCTCTGAGAGGCCTTCACCAACCACAAAATAGAGGCCTCCACCTCACACCACTTCCTAGTCCTTTAGTCTGTTTTATCTTTATTCACAGCACTTAGCATTTCCTGATAGTTTATAATATATTTATTTGTTTATCCGTATGACCCTTTGCAATGTACGTTTCATAGGAACAGGGACTTTGTTTAGTTTTCAGTGTACCCAGTGGTGTGCTGGTACATTTAGCAACCAACTCTCTAGAAAAGAGAGAAAAAAAGCCATGACTGGTTTCCATGGTGTAAAGACTCCAACTATGCCCAATTTCAAGCCACGAATATGATGTCACAAAATGCAGGCTTGGAAAGAGATGCAGAAATTCACCCTTGCAAGATGGTGCAAGCCAGCTCTAGAAAACTTCCGGCTTCTAGGACAGTGCCTTCCTTACGGTAAGAACCCAGCAAATATTTATGAATGGCTGAATGTGGAGCAGTTCAGAAGCATGCAGCAGCTGAAAAGTGGATGCCAGCCTCAGGGAAATTGACATCTACCACTCAATGAGTAGAGTTTTATGTATTTTCTTGGTCACTCAGCAATGCTCCTAACCCCAAACTTGCCTGTGCAAGATCTCAAAATCAAACATTGAGTGGGAAGGCTTTAACTGTTTTACTCTGAAAGTTGTGTATGTGTATTTTAAGCAATTCATTTCTTTTGCTGAAAAAGGTAATTTAATTGCACTGAGATAGAACATTTAATTAATAATATTGTAATTTCACTATCTATGTGTAAATGCTCCTTCTTCAAAAATAGAGTGAAGTTCTTTGAGGTCAGAGACCATGATATACTCATTTTAAGAAATCTCTTTTAGCTTAGGCAGAGCACATTGCAGATAAAAGTTTCTCCGTAATATTTATAGATTATTATTTAATACTAATTCATTGCAGGGCTTTTTCTGGCTTATTAAGAATATGGATTTTCAGTGACCAACTCTACTTGCCTGGACAGGGTCAAAACGACTTTAAAATTCTATTTAAGCATCAGTTTCCCTGTTTTTTTCCATTCTACCTATAAGATTGAGATTCAGTAACAAGTCATGTTGTGTATTTTCAGAAGTTTCTTCCGAGGCTTTAAAAAAATTTACTTTTCTTTTTTCGTTTTCGTGGCAGCAGAGTGGAGGGGGAGGGGGTGTCAAGTCCCCTATTTTCCATACTGATTTTTTAAAAGGAAAATGAAGATCTAGTTTAAAGTGCTTTCACCAAACAGGAGCAGAATGAAATGGAGAAACTTAAAGGATCTCTTTCTGTGAATAAAATGACAGATAAAATATCTATTTTGCTCATATATTTTTCATTCACAGACAGTTCATTTCAGTAAATATCTTACCACCTGCACTTGTCTATTTTCCAAGGTTTTTGGGAAATTTCCAATAAGTTCAGTTGGACTCTATAGTTGGTATTTATGAGGCTGTGCTTAAAGGAAAATTGCATCAAGGATATCATCAGCTAAATTTTTTCTGTGTTTTTCTTGAACATGAAGTTGGCAAAAGCTCTCAAAAGCCTTATCAGGTCATAACTCAAAGATACATGTGGCCTCCACAGCTGGGTTAATATTTACAAAGCACTCTCCGCCCCCAGCCTTTTTCTAATGTGTCTGTCCCATGGTTCCTGCCTTTTTGGAGACTGTTAATACCGAAGATTAGAAGAAGCCAAATCTACACCAGCAGAAAATGCCTACTGTGGACTCCCTTCAGAAACATTCCTGCAAAATAGGCTCTGTTGGTCTCTTCGAGTGAGTTGGGAGATTTCTGAATGCCCTAAACCAGTGTTTCTCACCCTCAGCAATGTTACATTTTGGGCTAAATCATTCTTTGTGATGGGGCCATCCTGAGCATTGCAAGATAGTTAACAGCATGCCTGGCCTCCAGGCTCTGGATTCCAGCAGCAACCTCCACACAGTTATGACAACCACAAATGTCTTCAGACACTGCCAAATATTCCCTGGGGGTGAAGGAGCAAAATCACCCCCGTTAATGACCAGTGCCCTGGCTTCTCACCCTGATGCATGTAGTAAGTACATAGTGAAGGATTTTCACAAGGCAACTTTAAGAATTGCCTTATATTTTGGGGGTTCAGAAATACTGATTACGTATCCCTCCCCATCACACACGAAGAGCCAACAGTACCTGTGCATTCTTAAAGTCCACTTTTCCCTGGTGTGAAGTTTTTAATAACAAAGCATGGGGTTAAGATGGCCAGAAACGTTCTTGAACAAAATTACGAAGGAAGTATCATGACCTCAATGTCCCTGCATGATAGAGGAATCCATTATCACTTTAGAATTTTTCTGCAAACCATATTTTCTCTTTAGAGAAATAAGACTAGAAAGCACAATAGCAAGAGTGGGGCCCAAATGATGTGGGTAAAACACTGGATCCTCGGGCCGGGCACAGTGGCTCGCGCCTGTAATCCCAGCACTTTGGGAGGCCGAGGAGGGCAGATAACGAGGTCAGGAGATCGAGACCATCCTGGCTAACATGGTGAAACCCCGTCTCTACTAAAAATAAAAAAATAAAAAAAATTAGCCGGGTGCAGTGGCGGGCACCTGTAGTCCCAGCTGCTCAGGGGGCTGAGGCAGGAGAATGGCGTGAACCCGGGAGGCGGAGCTTGCAGTGAGCTGAGATCATGCCACTGCCCTCCAGCCTGGGCGACAGAGTGAGACTCCATCTCAAAAAATACAAAACAACAACAACAACAACAACAACAAAACCACTGGATCCTCTACTGATTTATTCCTTTGACAAATAGTTCATATACGTCGGCTGACTGAATGAGTGACAGCTATGTGCTGGGTTGTCTGCTAAAGTTGGAAAAATAATAATGAGCAAAAACATTTGGTCCCTGTCAGAGAAGGTACAATCTAATGGGAAGATTTTACACCAATGATCCTGAATCTACAAACAGATTATATGCTTCCAAGGTCCTAAGAGAGTGGCAATCAAGAAACATGACCCATCCCATTTCCTTCTTAGGATGACACAAGCCTTGAAAGATGAATTCAAGTCAAAGGAGAACTGTGGAGGGAGTATTTCAGACAAACGGGTCAGCAGGTACAAAAGCCTATAGGAGAGAGGGGATAAAACGAGTAAGAGAAATGAAAAAATTAGTAAAGGCAGTGGCTCTGGAACACAGGAAACATGGGGTGAGGTTGTGCACAGAAGGCCAAGTTGCTAAAGCTGACTTGCTGTATGCAGGTACCACGAAGCAAGCTGTTCTTTGCCCCATCAATGGATGTGCGTTGAAGGGCTTCAAGCGGTTGCAGTAAAGATCATATGTGAATCTTTCAGAGCTCTGTAATTGCAGTATGGAGGATGATCATGGGGGTGGAGGGGTGTTGGATGACATATAATGGAAAAGAGTAAGTTTTACTGGTTCTTCAGGTGAGACAGGAGGATTGCTTAGACTCAGAGAGTCCAATAAAAGAGAGAGGTAGAAGAATGAGTGTCATTTGGAAGGTAAACCAACAGGAGGTGGTGCGGGATTTGACCAAAGTCTCCAGTTGGCAAAGACTAGTTATTTACACCTGGGGCCCCTTCTGATGGGTTGAAGTCCTTGCTGGACTAGTCTTCATTATGCTTTCTATATTCCTGGAAAGATTGGAGATGAGGTTGTTCAGAGAAATAGATGATTCAGGATACTCTTAGTTTTTTTGATTATGCAATGGGATGGCTGGGGTGGTGTGTGTCCAGAAAGTAAACACTAGCTTGTGCTAGAAAATTGTGAGCTTTATAGTGAACATGGTGAATTTAAGGTATTACAGAAGGAGGAGATCTGGTTTCCAGTTCTGTGAGGGAGGAGCTTGGCAAGGATATGAAGAATTGGCTAGGGAGGCCATTTTGCAAAACTCCCTTTAGTAGAGTAAAATTTGAGCAAGTATTAAGCAGGGGCTGACCACTTTTAGCAAATAATAACAGAATTATAAAACAAACAAAAAATGCTGATTGTCAACCACAGTTTTCCCCTTCACCCCATCTCATGTAGGCCTTTAATATGAGAAAGAATCTTGTGCACAGCTTTCTGCATGAGTCCCTGGTAGGAAAGGACGTTTACAGTGTTAGGAATGTTCTGACCATTTCTGGAAGGGGATCATTCACTTATCATGTTGTGTCTTACCCAGGACATCTGTAGGAGAGATTCTCCTTTTCTTCACCTTGCATCTGCTCAGTATCTTAATCCCAAATTGTGGGAGTGAAACTCTGGCAACCTTTAAGGATATAATTTGCTTCCTATTACATTATTTCTTCCTGTACAAGGGAGACCAAGTGTTTGTCATTTACGAGTGTCATGTCATTACATTCCATATTGCAGTGTAATGATGTGAAATGATTAAATGACAAAATGCCAGCTCACTGCCAAAAATTTAAAGTGGCATACTTTTATTTGTAGATTGGAAAGCTATTATTAATTTTTATATTGACTTTGCCAGATGAAATAATGCAAGGAGACTGGTACATACAGAAACAGGGCAATATTAGGTGAGGTTCTGAGCCCCAATTTCAGCATAAATGGGAAGATTCTGGAGCCTTCCTCAGGCCACACATCCAGAGCTAAATGTATTAGTTTAGAACAGTCTTGTCACCTGATGAATGTGGAGTGACAGGCATCAAAATACAACCTGACTGAAGTTTTTATTGAGAAGAAAAATGGGAATTGAGAACAGGTGGCTAAGAAGCCAAAATGGTCTATACACCCTTTTTCCTCCTCTTTCACCAATTTTTTCCATTAGCACTTATTGGGAGGTTGAATTTTGTTATTTTTTTCTTTTAAGCAAACAATAGCATGCAAATGACCAGCATAAAAATCACATCATAAAATTACCAAAATCATTTACAATTGGCAAAGTTACAATTTCTCCTTCCCCTACCTCAGGCTATAAAATCTCATGTGCAGATCTTTGAAATCAGTTAAAAATTACATTCTCAGACATATGTATTTTTTAAGCTGTTAAAGTTCAAATATGCGTAACCTCAAGCATTTGAGGATTTGTGACAAAACCTCTTCTCATGTGACAGTTCTCACTTTTGCTTATGGCCCCCAATCATAGCAACAAATTCATTGCCCAGTTCCATTAAGAGCTGTCTTATAACCATATTCATGTGACTTTTTTCTGTTGTTTTTGTTTGTTTTCTCTCCTTTGAGCAATTTTTATTCTTTTCTTCGTGGGGATAAGAGAAACACGATATGTCTTGATCTTGTCACTTTTTTTTTTTTTTTTTTTTTTTTTGGGACAGAGTCTCACTCTTGTTGCCCAGGCTGGAGTGCAGTGGTGCAATCTTAGCTCACTGCAACTTCCACCTCCTGTGTTCAAGCGATTCTCCTGCCTCAGCCTCCCAAGTAGCTGGGATTTCAGGGGCCCGCCACCACACCTGGCTAATTTTTGTATTTTTAGTAGAGATGGGGTTTCATCATGTTGACCAGGCTGGTCTCCAACTCCTGACCTGCAGTGATCCACCCGCCTCAGCCTCCCAAAGTGCTGGGATTACAGGCATAAGCCACTGCACCCGGCTAATCTTGTCACTTTTACTGGGTCTCCCATCCAAGAATTACCCTTGCTTTTGGAATTCTCTGCCCTGGAACTCAAAAGCACATTACAGATGGTTTGTATTTTGTTTTATTTTCCTTTTCAACTTTTCCCTTTAATGTAAGCTAACACCTTATAGTCCTAGCTCAATTTTTATTACATACTATTGTTGCTTTTGTTGAGGACATTGTTTTGTCGTAAAGTGCTCTTGGGTGAAAGTTGATTGATTGCATAAACGGGTGTGGAAGAAGAAATCAAGGTACATGGTGTTGTTTTGTTCTTTTTGTTTGTTACGTATGGACGCTTGCATGGCCACTCACCTGTGGCTCAATGAAGGCACCAAATGCTAATAAGTTCGTAGATATAGACAATAGCTCTTTGTTTGCCAAGATGGCCGGTACTCTTGGCTTTTGCTGCCACACCGGAGGCATGTTGCCTTTTGCTTCTGGCACATTGGCAGGGATACAGAGTACATGTTCTTCATGGAAAGGGACTCATAAATGGACAATTGCTCAGGTAACAAAACTGTGAAGAGCTCATTTGGCTTGTTGAAAATGCTTAAAAGTTTCGTGATTAGAAAGACATCACTGTCAGAAAATCTACTCTGGATGAAATGACTTGCCATTTTATTTGAGTTTTCAATGAATCACAGCATCTTTGTTTGGCCCTTGCGTTGTCTTCACCAAAAAGAACAAAGTAGAGAAAAGCTTGTGCCTGCAGTGCTGCAATCAGGAAATGCTGCTCCATTCTAATCCTTTCTTCTATGACTCCTTTTGAGTCTTTGATTTCTACATCTCTTTGGCGCTAGCTCTTGTTTGGCAGGTAGTGAGAACTAAGGGTTCTCTTGGAAGACAATACACTGAAAAGTATTGGAGGATTTTTTTTTCTTTATATATAAATGGCTTTGTCATTCTATCTTAAATCATGAATACATAAACTAGCTGCCAAGAACAGCTCAAATGGCTGCATCAAGGACCCTGAAATAATAGGCTTGCTCCACCCACCTCTGCAAAGGACATTGTATTAAGCCTGTCCTGACCAGCACAGGCAGAGCAGTGAGTTAACCTAAGACCTTTGTCACATTGTTATGGCCAGTGGGTGTTATATGTGTTTTCATAAATAAATGCTGCTCTTCAAGAAGTCTCCACCTTTCCTGAAATCATCTAAAACCTTGGGCATCTCCTTGATGACAATTATTGGTTCATTTTCTCATGCATTCAACCCATGTTTAGGTGCTCATGTAAGTGCTTGAGGTGAATAATAATAGGTCAGACACAGTTCCAGCAGTCATCTAACTTAGATTCTAGTAGGAATGACAGAAAGAAGAAATAAAAAAACAAGAAAATTTCACATGGTGAAATGAAGAAATGAACCAAGGTGCTGTGATTGAGTGCAAGTTAGGGATGGTATAGTCACAGAGAGTGTCCCAGAGGAAGTGACACCTGAGCTGAGAATGTATGCTGGAGTGCCAGTCATGTTACAGTCATGGAAGCACATTTCAAGCGATGGGGATGGCAGGTATAAAGACTGTGTGACAAGAACAAGCTTGGGCAGGAAGCAGTCTGGTGTGAAAAAATGGCGTTAAACTACAGGAAAGATAAGAATTGAATCAGAGGAGTCAACAAGAACCAGCTCATGCAAAGGCTTTCGAACCTAAACTGCATCCCCAAACTTGCCTGGCCTTCCTTTGTTTCTCGTTTGTTTGTTTTGTTTTTGGAGTGAGTCACATATATCACTCCACTTTCAGGACAATAAGAAATACCACTGTGATATAAGCAGTGATGTTCTGGGGCATGAATGGATTGCTTAATGTTGACTGATGTGTAAAATTTACTGTTGCTACACCAAGGGACACATACACTTAGGTATATGTATCTGTCAGCTGCAACAAGGGAGTATAAAGGATGTCCACTGTAGTGTGCAGCAGAGTACAACTTACAGTGATAATAAGTAAGAGAGGCCCCTTCCCCGTTCTGCCTGCCTTGATTGAGGGTGTGCGGCCTGGAGCTGTGGCTAACATCTTATACTCAAACCTGGGAAGAGGAAGGCCATCTCAGAGACTCTAACTTCCATGCCAGATATCCTTGAGTCCATGAGCCATGGTTCATTAGCCACTTACCTCCAGACTTTTTGTTATGTGAGAGGTGAAAATCTGACTTGTTTAAAAATAATGTGATAAGTTAGAGGCTTAGAATAGAGTTAAGCTTGTGAAAAGAAGAGGGTCTACTGAAAATTCGAAAACTTTGTCTCATGAGTTTATAAGAGAACTCAGAGCAGCAAACAGTTCTACCCATGAGTGACACAGTGCCAAGGTGGCAAGGGAAATTGAATAACAGTAACAGAGAGAGGCATGGTGTACTGGAGTGATAATCAAGAGGTAATTATTAACTGTCTATTTTAGCATGGTCTTGAGTTTTTTATTCTTCTCAAGAATGCAATCACTTTTTCAGGAACCGAAAGAATTAAGAAACTTTTTTAAAAAGGTGAGAGACACTGATATATCCAGTAAACAAAGAGGAAAGACCCTTCTCAAGTAGCAAAATTTTCACCTGTGCCTGGCATCACAACACCTGTTATTGATCACCAAGATCCTGCCATTTGGAATCTCAGTCCAGACATGAAGGACAAGTTATTTAGCCTGCCCACTCCTAAATGGCATCAGTGTCTGATCCTGGTTCAGGTTCCCTGGCTACATTATCGGCATGTTCCTTCTAGTTTCCAAATCTTACTCTCTTTCTCTAGTTACCTCTCAGGTTTCAGATTTTTATTAAGTAACATAGAAAGGTTGGCCAAAGATTATGAGTTTCAAATAAGTTTGTGTGTGTAGGGGGTTGTATAAGTAGAAGCTGGCTTTCTTCAAGTTAAATTTTGTGTAGAAACCCACTAGGTAAAAGAGAGGAAAGTGGGAATGTCACAGTTGAAACAGGGGTGGCTCCAGTGCCACAGGCTCCATCTGCCTTGCTCTATGCACCGTTCCTGAAGACAGTGCATTTGGGATGCAGACAAACACCTGATCCAGAGGGCTTTAAATGGAGAAATAAAAATTCTCAGACAACACCCACAAGAGCAATGATGTGGAAACACACCTGGAAATGTGCAGGTGGGGAAGGTATCTGGTTCAACATGGATTAAGTGCTATTTATTAAGAGTCCAGGTCTTTAGTGTTCATTACCCTAACTTTACTCTCATTAGAGAATGGGGATTAAGAGATGGAGTTTGGTGCCAGAAGTCCTGTGTCTAGCTCCACACTTGCCAGGTATGCCACATTTGGCTACAGGACCCTCTTTGAGCATTAGTTCCATATCTGTAAGATGGGGATGATCCTCAAGGATATACAGAGAATTTAAATGATTTGTCCAACGTCATTCATGAGCATGGGCCTTGAGTTGCAAACCCTAAGCCTTCTGACTTATTAAGTCCAGTACTCTTTTTTTCTTGTTAATAAGAATACCTTGCTGGAGATTTACAAATAATTTGGAAAAAAAATGAAGAAAGGAAGAAAAGAAGGGAAAAGTACAGAAGGAAAGAAAGCAAAGAAGGAAAGAAGTGAGGCAGGAAGAAAGGAAGGGAGGGAGGGAGGAAGAAAGGAAGGAAGGGAGGGAAGGAGGAAGAAAGGAAAAGAGGGAGGAAGAAAGGAAGGGAGGGGGGAAGGAAGAAAAAAAGGCAGATTTTGCAACTATACATAACTTAACATTCATGCACCATGTAAAAATAATGTGGACTTTGTTCAAAATTTCTACCACTAGTCATTCACTGAATTAAAGCAGTCATTTCCTTCCTTTTCCTGATAAGATCATTTTTCTGATTTTGACAAACTTTTATGATTAACAACAGGTAGGTACTGAGAAATTGAGCAATTCACAATAGAATGGATATGGCAGCAGCTTCAAAATTTACAAAATAGTTGATTATGATCACATGCTACACCCTCGACTTGCTGATGGGGCAGCGTGGATTCAACCAGGAATGTCCTCCTTCCTGAATGGATGATGATGGGGCAAACACAGCGTTCCAGTCACTAGACATGTACCTCCTATGCAGGTGGGCACACAAGACAGCTGACTAAGGTAATGTTCACAAACTTTTGATGTCAATTAATTAATCATTAATTGTATCAGACAGGAAGGTCTGCAAAGGATATGGCAAAAGATTGATCAGGAATTGATGGGGGGGAGGTGGGGATATAAGGCAGGAAGGTCAAGGTATAGTTAAACCACAGAGGACCATGAGCCAGGAGTCTGGACTGTGTTTAAGGATGGAAGAAAACCTATGTTTTCCCCTTTCCTCTTGAAGAGAGAGATTGGTAGTCTACCCTTCCTCACATCCCTTACCCGATCTCAGCCACTCACATCTGAACTCTTGTCTGACACAAGCTATTAGTATCACCACAATAAATCAACTCATTTTCACCAGTTTTCATACATGGAAGAGCCTTAGTGAAATTGGGGGACCTTGCAATCCCTCCATCATAATGAAAGTAGCCAAGAAGCAGTCACTTAACAAAACACTTATCAAGGGAAGAAGTCAACACCAATGATCTTGCATCTTCTATTTTCATAGCATGGCTCACTTCACTTTTAAAAGTAATTTTAATGAATTATCTCCCAAAATACTAGGATCTTAGATTCCAAAATATATTTTGGAACAGATAGGCCTCCAACAAGTAATTCTTGAAATTATTAATATTTCTATATTCATATACATCTGATAACAGCAGAAGTACCTTTTTTATTGGAAGAAATGTTACATTAAAACTGGAACTCATATTTGACTGACTTCGGAGGGATGACCAAAAATAGAAGTTGGCTTACGTATCCTTCCATTTTTAGGGGAGTGAAGATATGCATTTAGACACTTGATTTTCTTAGCTTAGGGAGCACTGTAGGCTAAACTGCTTTGGCCCTGAGGGACTCTTTGCTATTGGCAGCCCTGGGCAGTGTAAGGTTTTAAAAATTCATTTCTGATATATAGTTGACATGGATTTTTTTAAGTGTTTAAAATTGTACTGGGTCGCTACCTTGGCCCTCAAAGAATTCTGCTCCTATTGGTTCCTGGTTCTTGCTCCTCCTTCTCATATTGCCCTAACTTCACATTGAGTTCCATTTCCAAGTTGGATATTTGTCTTTTTGCAGGGAAGAAATGCATGAGAAATTTGCAAAGAGGGAAAGCCAAGAGCACCTGTAGTGTTCTGGAGGTAGCTGCACACTGACATCCCTTCACACCCAGTGGCCTCTTGTGAAAGAGAAGGCAATGCAATGCCGTCGGAGACAAAGCCCAGCTGAAGAGAGGCAGTGCACTTGCTGATGGGTAATGTACAGGAGGGGGCGTGGTTGGGTAATGCAGTCAGCTGGGTTATACACAACTCTGCGGAGAATGAGGACGAGATGCAAGCCAAGGTTGTGTTTTCCATTTGCAACTTAATGTTGCTGCTGACATCCTTACAAAGGGAAGGATAATGAGCAGACTACATCTCCTCTCCCAACCCAGCCTTCTGAGCCCTAAATGAAGCAGGTAGGGCCAGCTATCCCCTAGAAACTAAAACGCTGCACACTGTTATGAAAAGGCACTTCAGGTTTCAGAAAGAATGTGTTCCTACGCTAGCAAATTTGCAATTAGGGTAATGATGGGAAAATAATGTGCCTTTTGCTCAAACAAAAAGTATCATGAAGGGTCTAGTGAAAAACTTGTTGGATGAGGAGCTCATAAAAGGTTGAGTTTCTCTTTCTGGCTTTGCAACTTAATAGCTGTGTGACCTTAAGCAAATCACTTGGCTCTTCTGAGTCTCTCTTACCGACGTGTAAAAGGGCAATTATGATTGTTGTTCTGCCTGCATTGCAGGGTTCTTATGAGGATCAAGTAAGTTTATACATAGGAAACTCATGTGAGTCAAAAAGCATTATACTAACACAAGATATTATCACCAGGCTGTACTTCATTTGTTTTTCACTGTTAAATTTGTAATTCCTCCAAAAGAACGAGAACAACGGCCTAAGAGCATGCATTTCCCTTGCAAAGGAAAGATGGGGGAACATTCATCCGCTAAGGCTTCTGTTCTATCACCTTCATCGTAAAACCACCCACCTCAATAGCAGGGCAATGATTTAGGTAACAGCTCAGTTTTAGAGGCCAATGAGTGTGAAAGCTGCTTAGCAAATGGGGATGCCATCACCCCTGAAGTGGTTGGCAGTTGGAGGCTTCGTGAACATCAAGCGCAAATCACTTAGGTACATGAGACATTTATGATATGGGGCAGTAAATAATGACCAGAGATTGCTAGTAAAATATAGGTGAGACCCTTACTAATTTCCATACACAGAAGAGAAATTCTCTGTGAGGATAGGAATGTAAGATGCAGAATTATGAAGAGTTAGTGTGTGTATGGATATACACATATACAGTCAGCCCTCTACATGCCTGGGATCTGCATCTGTGGATCCAACCAACCCCAAATAGAAAATATTCTAAAAAGAATTGTGTCTGTACTGAACATGAATCGACTTTTTAAAAACTGTCATTATTCCCTACACAATACATTATAACAACTATTTACACAGCATTTACATTGTATTTGTATTATAAGTAATGTGGGGATGATTTAAGGTATACGGGAGGATGTGCAGAGGTTATATGCAAATACTACACCATTTTATATTAAGGGCTTGAACATCCTCAGATTCTGATTTCTGAGGGAAGTCCTGGAACCAATCTTCCACAGATACCTAGGGATCTGTATATTGCATATTTGCAGATTGTATATATATATCTCTCTAACATATTACGTGTTTTGTTTTGTTTTTACATTTGCCAGATACTAAATGAAAAGCAGGCAGAAATCAGCAATGCATCCAGCTTCTGTTGAGGGAGATTCAGTGGAATGATTTTTATATTTTCATGAAGAAATTACAGTTGAATATTAAAACCTGGTATTTCAGTTTATCTGGTCTGACTCCCATCTAACTAACCAACATAGCCATGGATTTTGTAAAACTCACTTAGCAAATCATCTTAATTGGTACCAAAAAAGTGATGGCTATGGAAATATTGGCATTTCTATGTGCATAACTGATGTTTTTATGAGGATAAGAGGGAGAGAAGAATCACATTTCAAAGAAGCTTCTACTGAAATAAACTAACCAGAAGAACTAATTGTGGCATACTTAACAGCTTTGAGCTTTATGTGTACACTACCTATGTTTCCTGTTCAGCAAGTGAATGTCCCCAGGCCGGTAGGGGCAATGTGAAGATGAATCTTATATCTCCAATTTCTCGAAGAACATTTATTCATCTTCCTGGAATTCACTCATTGCCAGTTCTTTTAGAAATACTGACACAGTTAATAGTGTCTAATGTCGTGGATGACTGCCTTCCACCGATGTCGTGACTTCCCACCCAAGAACCAATGACTTCTTTCTCTGTGATTCAGCTCTCCACTGACCCTCATGGGCAAGAGTGGGGTTTCAGCAATTATTCTTTCAACCTCTATTGATTAATCACACGATATAAGCCAGACACAGTTCTGGGCAGCAGGATACAATAGTGAACAAGACAACCCCAAATCCCTGCTCTTGTGGAACTGACATTTTCTCATGGGGTGTGGGGGTTGGGGAAGAATGAGAGATGTTAAATGCAAAACCAAAATAAAAGAAATTTTAAGATCATGTGATAGGGAGTGGCTGGCTGGTCAGGGATAGCCTCTCCAGGACTGGGACATTCATGGGAGTTGACATGTGAATTATGAGAAGAAGCCGACAATGCCAAGATCACATGGCAACACGTTTCATGCAAAAGAAACAGCCAGCATGAAGCCTGTGAGCTGGGAACAAGACCGGCTCAGGTCAAGGGACAGACAAAAAGGCCAACAAGGCTGAAAAAGAATAAGGAAGAGGAGAGGGGTGTGAGGTTCAGCAGGAAAGATCTGAAGGACTGGGTCAGACAGGGTTCTTCAGGACATGGAAAAGAATTTGAATTTTTTAAATAAATGCAATGAGAAGACACTGGAGAATTTTAATCATGAGGGTAACATAGTCTGTTTTGCATTTGAAAACTAACATTGTGACTGTTAGGCAGCAAATGAAGTTGCCCTCCCCCAGTCCATCCCTGGCCGTGGTTGATCGAAACATAAGTGACCATCTTACCCGGTGTGTTTTTTGTCACTATGGAATTTGCATTTAGGAACAAAGGGTCTGTGTTTATTCAAGTGGTCTCTTCATGGGGCCGATACTGTAACATACATAGCTGGGGGTCTGAGGCAGCCACGTTGTGCCAAGGGCACTGAGGAGAAAATGGCGGCCTGCTGGATTCTTCTTTCTTCTGAGGCTCAGGTGACTGCTTGTCCTCATATCACTCCACCAGACTGTCAGGAGCTAAGCGGAGCTCGAGAGAGCTGAGCTGCCAGGTGTCAGGGTAGCTGATTAAGACAACAAGCCAAGATGAACAGTGAAGGCTTTAATCATTTACTGCAATAGTATGCACAAGAGACTAAACCAGAGAAAGTGCCGACTCCCCATCATTCCATTTTCCCCAGCGCACCAGCCCTCATTGAGGGTCTGGATCAGCACTGAAGCCAAGGGATTGTCTCACAGCTGAGGGACCCCTGAACAAGAGACTCCCGCCATCAAATGGATCTGGAGCTGGCGGGGGGTGGGGAGAAGGAAGGGCTATGAGTGTGAAAGTACTGAGCACTGAGTCAGAGTGGAGAAAAACATCTCCAAGCCTCCCCGCTTCTTCTCCTTGATAAGGTGACCCCTGCAGAGGTGTCTAAGATAAGCCTCTGCAGAAAGCCTGTGATAAAGAGGCCTCCAAAGAGAGGCACCTGGGCCAGGAATGTGGATGTGCATAAGAGCAAGGCTGGCTGGGGGGACTCAGTGCTTGACTGCAACTCCCCTCAGAGACTCAATGTGTCGGCTGTGCCCCAAGTCTGCAGTGGGGAGGGCAGTTTCTCCCCACGAGGTCTGACAGGTAAAGCCTGGTATTAATAATTGCTTATGGCCAGATGTGAAAGTTCACACATAGGTTTAGGGCTACGAACTGGTACTCCAAACAGACTATGCTAGGTGCTTACTATAAACCCATCTACAGTAGAGCTTGAGTAACTTCTGCTGCTTGAAACTGGCACTCTAACTAATGAAATTTAAAATGAACCCCAAAATGAGTTAGAGTCAAATAATGACAGGATGTGGGAAATGATCACAACATAGGTATAGACTCCAGAAAAATGGGCACCACTACCCATAAGAAGACGCCCAGAGATATCTTGCAGACTATTTAAATTGAGAGCAAGAGTTTGAGCCTGTACAGTATTTCTGGCAATCCAAAGAGGCAAACCCAGGGGCAGGAGCTAGAGAACTTGAAATATAACCAGAGTGGCCTATCTCTGAGCTTACCTGTTGGCTTACTCTTTGCCAGAAATTTCTGTTGTGCAACAAGAATGATAACAGTTGGGAAGAGAAGAAAGGTGCAAGAGAAGCCCTTGACTATCTCACCAAACCCATCCCCTCCCTCTGCTTCCTCCTTCACTCTGCTTTGGCCCCACTGGTCTGCTCCCTGTTGCCCGACAAGTTCACACCCCAGGTCCCTTGTATATGCTGTTCCCTTTGCCTGAATTGCTCTTCCCTTCAGCCCTTGCTAGACTCCTTCATTCAAGCCTCGGCTGAAACGTCACCATTTTCAAGAGTGACCTGGCCATTCCATCCCAAATGGCAGTTCTATCACTTTTTATCCCCTAACAGTGGTTTCTATTTTTCTTTATAATACTTATCACAACCTGATATTATGATTGATTGCTTTGTTAGTTCTTGTGTCTTCCTGTGCCCACACTAGAATGTAAGCTCCACGAAGTTGAGAGCTGTTTAGTTCATAAATCACTGCATCCTCAGAGCCTAGAATAGCACCCAGGAGTTATTAGTTACTCCATAAATATTAATTATATGAATGGATGAAGGAAGAAATGAAAGAAGGAAGAAAGAAGGAAGAAGGGAAGGCAAGGGAGGGGAAGGGAGGGGAGGAGAGGGAAGGCAAGGGAAGGGAAGGGGACAGGAGGGGAGGGGAGGGGAAGGGGAGGAGAGGGAAGGGAAGGGAAGGGGGAGGAAGGAAGGAAGGAAAGAAGGAAGGAAGGGAGAAAGAAAAAGATGAGAAAGGGGAAATAAAATATCTTAGATTCTAATTAGAGGAGCAAAAATGAATTATAAAAGCCAAACATGTAAAATAGAAAAATCTCTGAGTGTTTTACATTTAAAGTTAATCTTAGTTTGTTTTATTCATTCGTTTATTCCTCTAATAAATATTGTCTGAACATCACATTCTAGGGTTATCAGAGAAGGCTGGATCTTAAAGGTGAAGACCATAAAGAAAGGACAGTGAGATCAAAAAGAAAAGATCTGTGTAGAAACAGTAAAAAAAAAAAACCTCACACATCAGTGTGTCTGAGCAAAGCCAGGTTGAGAAATATTCTTGCTTAACTATCAAACCTAACAATATATTTTTCAGATGTGAGAGATGGAGTAAGAGAAAACCATACCACAATGGCTGCTGCCAGGCAGGAGTACGTCTTGGGCTGCTACTGTGGCTTCATCACGTCCCCATCCTGTGCTTAGAGGAGACCTCATGGTTACAAGGTGGCCTCCCTCACTTCTAGGAGGACATGATATCTAAAATATTTCACAAATGGTACAGATCTGGAGGCCCCTGCTCTTCCAGGAGTTTTTCCCTTTAGAATCACAGGGAGATCCAGGGGGCTTGGGCAAGGCACTAAGACAAAGAGGGACACTTGGGGAATTCAGGAAAGTTGCTATTTACCAACTGATGGGAAAGTCTTTCAGCATTTTCACAACTGCACCACCGTATCTGTGGTAGCAGCTGAATATCCGTCCCATTTCTAGAATTCAGGTGGAAGGAGGAGGGAAGAAGAAGGGTGTGGGTTTCTCTTTTAGCAGGGCATTGCATTTATTTCCTAAGAACATTCTCCCAAGAAACTAATACCCAAATCTCACTGGGCCAAAGTAGGCCACGCGACAACTACTAACTGCAAAGGGGCATGCATCTGTGTTTTCCAAGCCTCTGCAATCCAGAGAGGCAAGGAAAAGGGAGTTGTGACTGGCTTTTGGAAAGCCACTTCCCAGTTTCTGCTACACCTTATCATTATGGTTTGGGAAGGGCACGATTAAAGGCCAGCTCATCTATCCTAGAGGTGGGCAAATTGAGAACGAGGATCTCAGAAAGCAAAAAGCCCAACTTAAAGTAATGCATTATATTTTGAACACTGAATGTTTGACAATACATTTCACGGCTCATTTCCTGCTACTTGTGAATGCTAGTAAACACTCAGAGAGCGAATTCACATTTTTCATGTCAAATATCCTTATGGTTCTCCCCTCCCCCAGCTTGTCAACAGTTAAACAGGCCCCTGTGAGGACAGTCTGTTCACACTATAATCTTCTGCGACACTAAACCTTAATCTGTCTTAAAAATTTCTATTGTTTTTCACTAAAAGGTTATTCCAGAAATATTTTATAGAGCACATTCATTTTCTTGGCTGAGAATGAATTGCAAAATCAGAGACACTCTAACCAATACTGAATCTCCCTTCCCAGTCCAAATTTAAGAATTTCATGCGGATTACTCATTGCCATCTATCTAGCTAATTCAATGTCATTATTTTTCTCTGGTCCAGGCAGAATTTACCCTTCCCTGAAATGAGCTTATCCCATAAGATATTAGTGGAAGGAGAACAATGTTGGTGAAGTTAGAGTCCCTGAAGTCCACACATCCACTCTCAAGCCTGGAATTAAGGATCTGTCAAAGTCTTCCATTAGAAGAGAAATTTTTTTTTTTTTTTGAGACGGAGTCTCGCTCTGTTGCCCAGGCTGGAGTGCAGTGGCATGACCTTGGCTCACTGCAACCTCTGCCTCCCGAGTAGCTGGGACTACAGGCACCCGCCATCATGCCCTGCTAATTTTTGTATGTTTAGTAGAGTCAGAGTTTCACCATGTTGGCTAGGCTGCCCACCTCAGCTTCCCAAAATGGTGGGAGTACAGGCATGAGCTACCGCACCCAGCCTGTTTTTTTTTTTTTTTTAAATGATTGCAACTTGCAAATTAATAAAACAGAGAATCAGGAAAGAGTTTGACTTAGCAACTAGTGACCTTCCCTAAATACTTGGTTTTGCCTTTGATTTCATTCCCGCACTCCAACCTTACCCTGTTCTTAGCCTAAATCTCACTTACTATACAGATTACAATTTATCTGCCACTTCCTTTCATAGGCTTTCTCTGTCCCAAAGACTGAGTAAGGAACTTTGTCTGAACCTCCTCATCGTCTACTCTCATTTCTAACATCCTAGCAAGTCTACATCATGGTGCATATGCAGCACTGTCCAATGGAAATGGATGCAAGCCATATGTGTAATTTAAGAGTCTCTAGTAGCCATTTAAAAAAAGTAAAAATAAACAAGTAAAACTAATTTTAACATATTTTCTTTAATGGAATATGTCCAAAGTAATATCATTTTGATATCTAATCAATATGAAAAATACTAATGGCATATTTTACATCCCTTCAGTAGTTCCAGTGAATGCTTTATATTTACATATCCCTCAATTCATTTCCTTCTTCCCTTCCTTCCTTCCTTCTTCCCTTCCCTTCCCTTTCCCTTTCTTCCTTCCTTCCTTGCCTCCCTCCCTCCCCCTCCCTCCCTCCCTCCCTCCTTTCTTTCTTTCTTTCTTTCTTTCTTTCTTTCTTTCTTTCTTTCTTTCTTTCTTTCTTTCTTTCTTTCTTTCTTTCCTTCCTTCGGACAAAGTTTCATTCTTGTTGCCCAGGCTGGAGTGCAGTGGCACAATCTCGGCTCACTGAAACCTCCGCCTACCAGGTTCAAGTGATTCTCCTGCCTCAGCCTCCTGAGTAGCTGGGATTACAGGTGCCTGCCACCAACACCTGGCTAATTTTTTTGTGTTTTTAGTAGAGATGGGATTTCACCATGTTGGCCAGGCTGATCTCGAACTCCTGACCTCAGGTGATCCACCCGCTATGGACTCCCAAAGTGCTAGGATTACAGGTGTGAGCCACCTCGCCAGGCCTCATAGCTCTCGGTCCAAACCAGCCACATTTCAAGTGCTGGACAGCCACATGAGGCCATAGCTATGACACGTTTCTACACTATTTGGTTGTGCCTATGGGTTTCTTCCCCACTGCACTTAAGAGCAGGGATTATATTTATCTTTCACCACTATACCCCTAGCACCCAGCATATAGTGGAAGCTTAATAAATGTTTGATGAAAAAATAATTGAACAATCCCATCTCTGCCACTATTTAACCATGTGACTTTGGGTTAGTTGATTTCTCTGGAGCGCCCACCTTATTAAAAAAGAAGGTGTCATATTCCATGATTGCCAAGGTCCTCATAAATGTAAACATTCTAGGTCACTTATTTCAGTTCCCCCCTCCCTTTTGCACTCTCAGTTAAAGCATCTAAGAAGATGCCCTTGATTTTCATTAACGGTGCTGCAAGGCCAGGGTAAAAGAGAAAGACACACAAATTTACCATGCTCCACCTTGCCATATTTTCCCAATTGGTCTTTGGATCTCAGAGATATTAGGATTGTGACACCATTCCATTTTTAAATAGAGTTTATTGTTTTTGTTAGATATAAAAACATCTTCAGTATAGAAATTTGGACAATACAGCAGAATAGTCAGAAAATATTATTTATATAGCTACTACAACAGAGATAAATACAGCTAACATTTTTGTGTCTAACTTTCTGGTGTTCTTTCCTCTGTATTTACCAACAGCAGTATGTTCATAAATAGGCATTTGATGCTTCTTTTAGAAAAATGAGGGTCATAGTAGATGCTTTTTTTCACATCTTTTTTTTCATCTAACAATGTTTTGGGAACATACACCTCAGTCATAAAATGTTAGTTGAAAGCATAATTTGGCTGGGCGCAATATAGAGCTTTATACAAATACATGGAGGTGCCACGTTAAGGAGATGAAAGAATAAACCAAGTGGATACCTGTGGAGACAGTTTTCCAGATGGGGGGGAACAGCAAGTGCAAAGGCTTGGTGCTGGGAACAAACCCAGTGTGCTGGTGTGGCTCACGCAGGATAAGCAAGGCAGAAAGAGGAGGAAAGTGAGTTCAGAACAGCAACGGGAGGCCTGACAGTGCGGCGATTGTGGCCACTTACATAACTAGAGAACCTTCCTCTGAGAGATAAGAGGAGCTCCTATGGGGGTTTCAGCACCACGCTTGGTGAGGAGGTGGGTGCTACTGGCATCTAGTGGGTAGAGGCCAAGGATGCTGCTCAACGTCCTACAATGCCTAGGACAGTCTCTCACAACAAAGAATTATGTGTACCCAAATGTCAGTAATGCCAGAGTTGAGAAACCTTGCTCTATAGGAAAATGAGCAGCAAGCAGAAGACCAGTTAAGAAGTTGCCAAAAACAAACAAACAAACAAAATGTAGACTTGAGAAGGTGTTTTGGACTCAGTTGGGAGCGGTGGAGGGGAGAATCAGTAGTCAGATTCTGCACAGAGTTGAAGATGGAGAGTTTCATGGTTTGCTGATGGATTGGACATGGAGCGGGGGGCAAAGAATAGAATCAGTTGACTTTGAGGTTTGGGGTCTGAGCAGTGTAAAGGGTGAAATTGTTAATTAACCAAGGTAGAGCAGAGTTTAAAGGAAGTTCAGTGAAGAAGATTAGGAGTCTGGATGTCAGGGGTTTTAGAACTGGATTTGAGAGAGCTGAAGACTGGTTGACATTAAAAAGTAAAGAAGAAGGAACAGCAAGAATGACTTCAGGTATGTGGCCTGGGCAGCCGGTTAAGCTGGTTAAATAGCAGAGTCCAACCGAGACAGGAAGAGAGTCCAGTTTGTAACTGGAAGACAGCAGGTTTGACTTTGGACATACTGAGTTGGACTGCACCCAAAGGTAATGGTCACAGCTATTCTATCTCCTCCCCTGTCTCTGAGCATCAGCTAAGCTCATGAAGGAAAACTACCTTGTAAAGTTAAAGTCTCTTATATACAGAGTTAAAGTCTCTTATATACAGATGTTGTTTTCAAAGTCACATCACTTAATAGGGCTTTAAGTTTCTCTATCCAATTTCCTGGAAGACCATAATGTATGTCCTGACACATTCTGCCCTTCAAGAGTCTGATGAGAGTTGACTCTTTGCCCTCAGGGAAAATGCATATTTATTTAGGATGCTTGAAAATTAAGTTTATAGCAATTGAGTTTCCCTCTATTTGGCCTCGGAGCACATTAACGTTCTTTGAATTACACTGTTAAGAACATTTTAAGGGTTATTTTTACATCCGTGAAAGGCTTTCAAAGCTACAGAGCACATAGGATATATCATTCTCAAGGAAGACAGCTCTAGGTGATTCTGGAATAATTTTCTTATAAGTGGTAGATAGGGATTATTATTAATTTTTGTTAAGGGACATATTGATAACCCTGTACTAACAAGTCTCCGTATTCCTTATTCCATTTTCTTCCCACAGAATCCCATGAAGTATGTTCTGTTATTGTCCTGATTTTGCAGACAAATAAAGTGAGGCTTAGAGAAAGCAAGTAGTGCACTCAAGGACCAGTGAGGAGAAGAAATCACAAGATGGATAAAAGATGGATTGTGAAGGGATCTTAAAGACCATTCAGCCTGGGCCTGGTGGCTCACACCTGTAATCCCAGTACTCTGGGAGGCTGATGCTGGCAGATCACTTGAGCCCAGGAATTTGAGACCAGCCAGGGCAATGTAGTGAAATCCTGTTTCTACAAAAATTAGCCAGGCATGGTGATACGACAGTCTCAGCTACTTGGGAGACTGAGGTGGGAGGATTGATTGAGCCAGGGATGTCGAGGCTGCGGTGAGCAGTGATTGCAGCACTGCACTCCAGCCTCGGTGACAGAACAAGACCCTGTCTCAAAAACAAAAACAAACACCAAAAAATCATTCATTTGTTACACCCTGTACTTTACAAATAAGTCAGCTGAAGCCCCCGTGAGGCTAAGTGACTTAGCCAAGGTTATGTGGCTAGCAAGCAGAAAACACAGCCATGAGCAAGCATTAGAGGCAAAAGATAGATTTTTGCATCCACAAACAACTCAACAACAAAGGACACAGATAGAAGAAAGGGAAAGTCAGTCAAGTATTGAGGTTGGAGAGACTGATTCTAGATAAGTAAATCATATAAGGCCTGTGTTTGATGGCCTAGACTTTATCCTTTACTGAGCTGTTTCCCAGACCATATTCTGCAAACACTAGTTCCCTAGGAATTTACTAAGTATTCCATGAAAGTATTCAGTAGTCATGGAAGTTTGGAAAATGCAGGGAATCCCAGGCTGTGAAGTATGCTATGGACATTGTAACTCTCCAAGAGGGAGGTAGAATACACAGCAGTTCTTGAAATTTATTTGACCAGCGAATCCATGTCCCCGCATAGCTTATGTGAAAGTAGCATTCCTGAGACCACCTGCTTATAAAAAGCTGCTGTGCGGGACAGTTTCAAATGGAGATTAAAATGGGCAATGAGAAATGATGAGAGTCACTTCAAAAAAATACAATTTAGCATAAAAATCTGATTGTGTCAGCATTTCCCTCTTTTTTTTTTCTTTTTATTGCTGTACTGTTTCACACTTACTATTTGCAGTAGGTGTCTGGCGAGAGGTTGTGTGAAGTGATGGGGAAAAAGCAGAAAGGACTTACACAGTTTCAGAAATTCCTGGAAGGCTCCTTTGGAGTCTAATGTTTCTTTGTGTGTTTGCTTGCTTGTTTTCCCCACATAAAGAGATACCACATATGGATTTGAACTCCATTCTGCAATCCACCCACCTAGACCTAGACCCGCATTCTACATGAATTGCAAGACTGATCCTGTTGCTATGCAGGATCCTGGTGTGTGGGAGGATGTAAGGAGCCCATGTGTGGACCCACAGTGAAAGGAAGCATGTACATTTTATTTTATTTATGTATTTTTTTATTTTTATTTTTATTTATTTTTTTTTGAGACAGAGTCTCGCTCTGTCCCCAGGCTGGAATGCAGCGTTGTGGTCTCAGCTCACTGCAAGCTCTGCCTCCCGGGTTCACACCATTCTCCTGCCTCAGCCTCCTGAATAGCTGGGACTACAGGCATCCGCTACCACGCCCGGCTAATTTTTTGTATTTTTAGTAGAGACGGGGTTTCACCGTGTTAGCCAGGATGGTCTCGATCTCCTGACCTCATGATCCGCCCGCCTCGGCCTCCCAAAGTGCTAGGATTACAGGCGTGAGCCACCTCGCCCAGCCTTTAATAGTAATTTCTTGATAGACTTGTGGTGAAATTAAATGAGATACTTCAAGGAAAGTTCTGAGTGAGCATTCAGTAAATGTTAACTATTATTCTTAGCATTTTAATCATCATTTTGATACTTACTAAAAGAATTGAGAGAGACCAGGAGAGTTTCAAGAGGCAGTAGCTAAGGCTAACTGCCATTTTTGCCAAAATCTGACTATCATCCTAACACTCAAACGTCAAAGGCAATTTAAAAATGAAACTTGAGAAAGAGGCCAGGTGTGGTGGCTCACACCTGTAATCCCAGCAGTTTGGGAGACCAATGCAGGAGGATCACTTGAGCCCAAGAGTTCAAGACCAGCCTGGGCAACATGGCAAAACCCCATCTTTACAAAAAATACAAAAATTAGCCAGATATGGTGGCACATGCCTGTAGTCCCAGCTTGATTGGGAGGCTGAGGCAGCGGAAGGATCAACTGAGCCCAGGATATTGAGGCTGCAGTGAGCTGTGATCACACCACTGCACTCCAGTCTGGGCAACAGAGAGAGAAAAAAAGAGAGAAAGAGAAAGAAATTATTTCAAAACAATTTCTGTAAAATATGGATATGAATGAATATGGGAAGACTTACTTAAAGAATACTGTTGATACTTTTTGCAATTTATTTTTAAACTAGCATGAAGTACCTAGCTAAGCAAAAAAGGACTCTCAAAGTCAGATATTTGAATAGCGCCTGTGGCAAAGCGGCAATACACATGATATACAGTTGCTTTGTAGTCATGGGCTCTTTAATTCAGCAGACTGATGTGTTGCTCACATAATGGATGTGCGGAGTAGAATGAGTGCCAGACAGGATTATATCCCCCCCTCAAAGCAATGCATTTGAAGTGCAGATGAATACAAACCATTTAGGAAATAATTGGTCTGACCCAGTAGCAGAAGTGGCCATTTTGGCAGCAGGGAGAAAGGTGTTACTCAGGTGACAGGAGGCAATGAGGCTAAGATGTAGAATGCAAGATTTCTCGGGTTTTAAACCTGTCAGCATAAGAAATAAAGGAAAATTGCAAACACAGTTCCAACCTTTCTGATGCCAGTCTTTCAGACTTTGTTAAAAAAAAAAGGATTAAAAAAAATCTCTCTCTCTCTCTTTTTCTCTTTTATTACTTCTATATCAGGCGTTAGCAAAATTTGGCCCATGGGGCCAAACCAGCCCACTACCTGATTTTATAAGTAAAGTCTGTTTTTAAATATAGCTATGCTCATTCATTTACACATTGTTCATGGCTGCTTTTGTGCTACCGTGGCAGAGTTGAGTAGTTGTACAGAGACCTTATGAGCCACAAAGCTTAAAATATTTTTTATCTGGTCCTTCACAGAAAATATTTGTTGACTCTTGATCTACAGCTGTAGTTCAATCAAGGCCACTCCCATCTCTTTGCTTAAAATCCTTAAATGACATGCTGTTGTTCCCCTAAGTTTGAATTTTAAATGTGGTTTAAAAGATCTACAAGCTGGCCTCTCTCTACCATGCTGACTTCACCTCTCCACTATCTGCTCCACACCTTTACTCCAGATACACAAAAGGACATTTAGTTCCTCCGAGGATTCACACTCAGTCTTGTCCCTAGGTCTTTGCATGTACTGCTCCCTCTACCTAGAACATGCTTCCCCAGCTTTCCTTCCTCTCTTTACCAAGATTGTTTTGCATTTTTCTCATTGCCATTAAGCTCTTAAATTGCTCTATGCGCTCTGTTTCTTCAGGTGTAAGTTCTACTTCTCTTTGTTTTAGGGTTTTCACATTCCTCAAATGATGATTAGTGATTGTTCTCCATTTTTGTACTTGAGATTATCCATTTGCTTGTGCTACCTATTGAAGTAGGACCTGGAGTTGTGGCTTTAATTTTGATGAGAGCTGGGGAGCAGAGGCAATTCTGTACCTGCTCTGCTGAGTACTCCCCACCACTCTGAGTGAAACTCTGTGTCCTCTGCTCTAACCTGCAGGCAGATGCTTTCCAGCTATTGCCTGGTCTAAGAGGGAGAGTTGCAGGGGTCAGTCATCTTGACCTGGTCCTCCAATGAATTACCTTGTCATTTCACCATCGATTCTCTCTTTT
This sequence comes from Homo sapiens, assembly GCF_000001405.40. Classification (NCBI taxonomy): domain Eukaryota; kingdom Metazoa; phylum Chordata; class Mammalia; order Primates; family Hominidae; genus Homo; species Homo sapiens. The sequence continues at coordinate 52,829,551 of NC_000020.11, read as the reverse complement.
TCTTTTTCCACCTCTGAGCATGAAACACCCTTGATGGAAATCCAGTTGTAAGAACAAACTATTTCTTACCTTCATGTGAGATGTAGGTAATATTTCATGTTCCTGTCTTTAAAAAATCATATTTTCTACCTTTCTGAGGACTTAATGCAGAAGAATTTAGCCTGTAGCATGCACTCCACCTGTCAACTTGAAAGAGAAGATATTGCTGATTATGTCTTTTATGCAAAACTGTAACCTCCACAATGGTGTGGATCACCACATCTGTCTTTTTCACAGTTGGGTAATTGCTACCTATGGCAAAATCTAAAACATGTCAAGTGCTCAATAAATATGCATTGAATGAAACAACAAATGGAGAGTGGTGGATTACTGGTAACTCATGTTTGCTACCAGGTGAACCAACATCCCCAAAGCACAATTTAGCCTAGACTCCAGTTTTAAAAAATGAAAACAGAGCAAAGAATCTTAGCCAAAATATCTTTATACTTTTTATTCTCATTTTTGTCCATCATTATTGTAACAGGAAGAAGCTCTCTGCTTCTTAGCAAGTGTTCTAGTACATAGTGTGCAATCAAAAGATGAGCTTTAGTCAAAATCATGAGAGATGTAAAGGTACAATTATGTCTCCGTTTTGGTCATTTCCCACAAATATGTAGTGGCATGGATTTCCTCATGTTGATCCCATTTCAGTCAGGGAAACGCCATCTCAGTTCTCTCCAAGATGTACAGTGAAGTCCCAATCAAGCATATTAATATCACAATGCCAATTTTTCCCCTATTATCCACTCCACTCATTACAACTTGTTTATCTTGTATTCATCCTCAGGGGACTCAGTTTTCAGCTAAATAACCTTTTAAACAGTTCTTGTGTTTTCCTAAATTTCGTATCATTGTTACAACATTGGATGATATTTAGATATAAATCTATGAATGTGATTACCTTAGGTGTATATTTATATACAAAGAAAATGCATGATCAACCATATAACAAGAGCATCAAGATTTTGAAGTGTGGTTTCACATTTAACAAGTATATTTAAGTATATTTAACTGATTCAGAGAAAACTTATGAAAACAAAGAACAAATTATTTAGGGATGACTAGTATCAATGTCATGTGGATGTCGAAAAAATTTGAAAATAGTTTTGAAAGAACTGAAGCCCAGGAAATACACTAATCAAGCTGTCATAATAAAACAAGTTCACCATTTAATGCCATATACTTCTCAATAGTTAAGTTTCTGAGAAACTTCCAGAGTCCATGCTTTATCCCAAATATAAGACTCTGTGCCATTCAATAGGCAGAGAAAATTCAGAGGAACAGTGTTTGCTCCTGTGCAGATGACATATTTGTTCCCACAACCACTTGATTGACCCAAAGCCAGTGTCTTTTCCCAAATGCCAGGCTAAGGTATAAATCACTGGGCTGCAAAAAGTCATTAAGTTGTATCAGCTAACTTCAGGTATATTTAAAACCCACCAACATGATTATGCATTTTCTTTTGAAAGAATTATGAGCATAGAGATACGGCACTATGCATATGACTTTTCAGTATGTGTTGAAGCACCACCATCTTTAGTGACATGACTTGGTGAAGGCACTTTATCCCTTGACAATGAGTGGAAGCTCATTCTGATGAACCACGCCCTCTTATACGAGCATGCTCATGTCTAATAAAGCCAAATACTTTTTTAAAAACACTCATCTTAACTTCCAGCTTCAGTGCTGATATCTAAATAACTTGAGAATTATCAACTCTACCCATACAACAAAAAACCTGGACAAACTAAAAATCAACAATTTTTTTTGGACCCATTGGAGCACCGATGTCACAGGCCAAACCACCACCGTGAAATCTGGAAAGACAGGCAATTGCAGTCAGAGCTGAGATTGGCTTACCCAGAGGCCAAAGCGGCAAGGGCCAAGTACTGGCAGGAGCAGTTAAATGCTAGTTTTTAGGAGTTGCTGGAGGCTGAGTGTGGACTAGTAAGAGGGTAAGAACTCCTGTGGACTCCGTCTTAGGAGAGAGCCCCCACACCATCATGGGTTTCATCTTTAAGAACCAGAACCACATCAGGTTCTCATGGTGAAGGTCTGACATAGATTTCCTTCTGGCTCTCCCTAGAGGGAGAGAATAGCAATCACTATGAAGTAAGCCCTACATGCTCTCCATTAAAACAACAACAACAACAACAACAGCTTACTCTCCAGGAAAAAGGGCTTTGCCAAGCTCTATTCCAGCTAGAAGAGGGGAAGTTCTCCCACTGTACTTCCCCCAAGCCCAATGGCCACAATTAGAACCATTTGAACACAAAATAAATAAAGTGGTATTGGATTACAACACAAAGGATAAAATAAATATATAAATAAGTCCATACTGATAAAAACAAATAATTGGATGTGTAACACACACACACAACACACACACACACACACACACGCATGCGCAGAATAATTGACTAATATTCCATGCAGAATACTTCTAGATAATTTATATAGATATTCAACCATCAAGGAGGAGGAGCCTCCTGCTTTGGCATGGGCTACACAGAGTGACTTCTTTCCAACGCATACAGCATGAAAAAGGGATGACAGGGAAGAGTAACTTTATAGTTGAGAAACCTGACAAACACAACCTTGACCAAGTGCACAAGGTTGATATCAATGGTGATGAGTCACAAACTATTGACTCTAGATAAAAGCATGTACCCCTGATATGTTCTGATGAAATTGGCACTTCATCTCTGTGATATTCCACCCCCAAACATACAACCCCAGTGTCATGATGAGAAAAACATTTTTAAAAATCCCAATTGCAGAATAGGCAGCAAAATATTTGACTAGTATTTCTCAAAACTCTCAAGATCATCAAAAACAAAGAAAGTCTGAGAAACTGTGAGAAATGGCCTGCTATGGTTTGAATGTTTGTACCCCTCCAGAATTCTTATTGAAACTTAATCACCAAGGTGATGGCATTAAGGGGTGGGGCATTTTAAGAAGTGATTAAATAATGAGGACTCTGCCCTCGTGAATGGGATTAATGCCCTTATCAAAGTGTGAGAAGGAAGTAGCTGGGCCCTTTTGCCTTTTATTGCCTTCTGCCATGTGAGGATGCAGCAAGGAGGCACCATCTTGGTTGCAGAGATATTTCATCAGACATTGAATCTGCCATTGCCTTGATTTTGGACTTCCCAGCCTCTAGAATGATAAGAAATAAATTCCTATTATTTATAAATTACACAGTCTCCTGGTTTTGTTTATTTGTCTGTTTGTTGTTTGTTTTTTATAACAGCACAACTGACTGGGACACTGTGACAGCCAAGAGGAACCTAAAGAGACATAATGACTATGTGTATTGCAGTATCCTGGGTTCTGGAACAGAAGAAGGATATTAGGTAAAAACAAAGGAACTCTGAATAGACCATTGACTCTAGTTAAAAATAATATATCAATATTGGTTCATTGGTTGTGCTAAATGTATTATACTCAGATGATAATAATAGGAGAAACTGGGTATGGGGTGAATGGGAAGGAACACTTTGTACTATAATGGCTTCAGTTTTCTATAAATCCAAAATTTGTTTATAAAATGAAGAGTTTATATAAAAATGGAAAAAATAAAAACAAAACTTAGTTCACCTTAGAATCAGCAGCCAATATCAAATAAGAGAAATTATCTGGCATTCATGTGCAGTTGGGTCTTTCAGAATATCCACCTTCATTCCTCCTTTTCTGATTCTTTCTGAAGACCTCAACTCCTGAACCTAGTTCCGTCTCTTGCTCGTACAAGGGAATACGTACTGAGCATATGATGTCAGATTTTGCTTCATGTATGTTTTTGATATATGGTCTGATATTTTCTTCTACCTCTCCATCAGAATTTAGCATTAATAAAGATATTTAAAATGATTACTAGCATAATAAGGTCCAGACTGTCAGACTTACCAAGGCTGCAAGTTCAAGAACTCTTCTCCCATGCAGGATTTCTCAGTAGAAGCTGGATTGGTGAGCATAGACATTACAGGGCTGACTCTACCAATCCTCTTAGGCATAATAGAGAAATTGTTGCAGGGGAGGAGGAGGAGGAGGAAAGACACTAGTTTCCTGTAAAACAAAGCTAGTAGTTTTCTATGATAGCATTCTGTGGTCATTTATTTTTGAGAAATTCTAGACCAGCTTAAAAACAAAAACCGAAACATGCTTCTTGAGGGTAGAACTGCTCAGTTCTCATGTGCTAATCTAAATGAATATCCCATACAGAGATATGGAAAGTAATAATTCCTCAACTTATTTAATTATGGACTTTTTTGGTGGTGATGGTAGTGATGGTGATGGCATGCCTATTACCACTGTGAGGCTTAATAAAAGAGAATTTCAAAAACACTATCTTAGAGGCATAAAAGACCCCGCGTACTGATTACAGTATTGTCAACAAATGTTTAAACATAAGTTATGTGTAAGACAACCTGTTTCTCACAAGCTTACACATGTGGACTCTCCTACTTTGTTCCAGTTCCTTCTATGAAGGGCTGGCAGTCTAAGGGTCAGGTCAGGCAAAGCGAAAGTGAAAATTACTTAGTTTATTTTCTTCATCACCGAAGTCAGCTGGAGGTACAAGAGGTGAAGTTAAACGCACAAAACACCTTCCTTTCCATTGTGTTATACAATTTTTCCTGTTGCTTTCTTGAACTTTGTTTGCCCAATGTGGAGCTAGTCTCCTCCAGTGGGTTGTGGCCCTTCTACTTATTATTCGCTTCATTTGCAAGTAGATATTCTAATTTGTATGTTTCTATTACTGAAGGGCCCCAGTGCCAGTGAAACCAGGAGTGGTTAAGTGCAATTCCACCTAGACTGAGACCTCTCCTCACTTTCTTAGTCAGAGGCCAGTGGTATGTGCGGCTCATGTCTTCCGCAGTCATAATGTGGCAAACATTCTGTGATATCAGTCTTCTTTTTTTTTTTTTTTTTGGAGATGGAGTTTCACTCTTGTCGCCCAGACTGGAGTGCAATGATGCGATCTTGGCTCACTGCAACCTCCGCCTCGCGGGCTCAAGTGATTCTCCTGCCTCAGCCTCCCAAGTAGCTGGGATTACAGGCATGCACTACTATCCCCGGCTAATTTTTGTATTATTGGTAGAGATGGGATTTCACCATATTGGCCAGGCTGTTCTCGAACTCCTGACCTCAGGTGATCTGCCGGCTTTGGCCTCCCAAAGTGCTGGGATTACAGATGTGAGCCACTGCACCTGGCCCAGTCTTCCTGTTTGGTTTATTTCTCACCCATTTCTTACCCCCAGTCAAGGTCTTTTCAAAGCTTCCATTTTACCTACATTTACTAATTTAACTCAATTTACATGTCTAAATGAATATTGGAAACTGTCTACCAAATGATTCCCTTTCATCAATACTGCATTCACAACACAATCTAGTTGGAGAGAGGATAGAAATATTTCTGTATATAAATACCATAGAAAAACCTAATGCAGAATCTAGAAATAAACTAGTAAATTACTATTTTATTGGAGTGCCTTTTTGTTATATTCTTTAAAACAAATTGGAGTTGAATCTCATTCTTTAGGACAATAACTATTAGTTTCCCCATTGTATGTGGGGGAAATTAGTCTACAAGAAGTCTACAGACTTGGCAATGTGACCAAGCTGTATAAGACATAGGTCATGGACACCTAAAGCAGCTTCGTCTCTATAAATGCTCATGTTTGCTTTGTTGGGGGATTCCAATAGACAGCATGCTTGGTAAAACATGGTCTTTCAAATTGGGTGGGGTCAATTAGTACCTGACAATGTCTAAAAAGGAATTCATAAATATGTAAACATTAACAACATAGCCATTATATTACTACATGATTTTCAATATCATTAAAGTATGTTGCTGCTTCTTAAGGTTGATTTATAAGTGACATGCAGATGACTAGTGCAAAATCCTGGTGCTTCCCTGTTTTACTAAAATACACTGAGAGGACTTCTGATGTTGGTTCTGTATGCACAGCAGATTGTGTGCTCCACCTCCACCTAAGGTTTTGGTCTGTGGCATGCTGTGGAATTACTCATAAGGCAGCATATTATGGAGTTGTGATTTCATTCAAATCGGTAAGATGTGGTAATGAAATCATTCCTTATAACATGTTTCAGGTCTATTAAACAAGCACATTGAGGAATTCCTGTTTTATCTGAAGTAAGCCTGTCACCATAACCTAATTGCAATGTCTATGCACCTGGAAGAACGTAGCATTCTTGGGATGATTTTAGGAATGAATTATTTAAGTTTCCTATTTCCACTTAATATTCTTCACAGATTAGTGCATTACACTTATCCCTTTATGATTTGCAAATTTGTCTAATTATGGTTCCTGGTACCTCCAAGCACAACATTCTTAAATGTGTTCATTCCAATCTATGGGAAGGATTGCTGAGCCAGGGCATCCGTAGGTAAGAAAAACTTTGTAGGGCCAATCTACTAATAAAACCTGGCATGATGCTTGCTGCAAAGATGCTGCCTGTCAAAGGCTTAATCAGGGAGAATAATCTTGCCCACTCTTGCATCCAGGAAAGTCACTGTTTATGACTTCAGGGATCAATGTCTTGTTAATTTAAGAGAGAAGCTGGGAGTGAACCCTTCTAGAAAAGCACATAAAGGGCTGGGGTGGAGGAAGCTTATTTAGGGTGCTTTTTACCCATTCCATATCAGTGAAGTTTAAAAGAATTACAAGAAATCTTCTAGCTTGTCATTTTTTGGGGGAGCTGGTTGATGATCTTCGGCCTCTGCATACCATCTACACATTGCCCTGATCAGTTAAAACTGTAATTTGCATTGGGATTTAGGTCAGTCGTAGAGAAGCTACTGCATAGATCCTCACTACTTAAAGTGTGGCTCCCTGATGGGTAGTATTAGCATCACCTGGGACCTTGTTAGAAAAGCAGACTCTTAACCCCCACCCCAGACCTATGGAATCAGAGTCCACGTTTTAACAAGCTCTCTGGGATAGTCATATGCACAGTCAAATTTGAGAAGCACTGATTTAGGGCATGCATCTCAAAAGTGGGGTGCATTTACCCCAAGGAGTGTCCAAGAAGATTCACCAGGGACCATAAGTCACAAAAATTTATTTACTTTCATATACTTGTATTATTTCTATCTTGTGAATTTTAATAACATATATAATATTGTAATATTGTACATGAACAAAACTTATCAACAAACACATATTGGTTGTGCATGCTAAAAAGTTTCCTAACAACAAAATATTTGCCTTGCACTAGTCTTCCTCCAAGTATGGGCTGCAAACTACCTTTATCAGGATTAAATGGAGAAGGCTGATTAACCATGTAGATCTCTGGGATCCAACCTGACCCAGTGAAACAATCTCTGGGAGTTGGCATTGGAAATCTGCATTCTGAACAAGTTTCAAGGGCAGTTTGAGAAAGACTGGGTTAGACCGCCTTCTGCCTGCTTTGTCTGAAGTGTGATAGTAGATGTTTGCTTGCTCCCCAACCCAACATCACTGTATCTTCTGTCTTACATTTGGCCCAACACCCAACCATGAAGATTTTCATTATATAGGTTGAGAATCCCTAATCCAAATCCAAAAATCCAAAATCCAAAGTCTGAAATGCTCCAAAATCTGCAATTTTTTGAGCCCCAACCTAAGGTAGTGACACATTTTCTTTCTGATGGTTCAGTATACACCAACTTTGTTTCATGCACAAAACTATGTAAAATACTGTATAAAATTAGTTTCAGGCTATATGTATAGGATGTTTATGAAAAATAAATGAATTTTGTGTTCACACTTGCCTACCATCCCTAAGATATCTCATTATGTATATGCAAATATTCCAAAATCCAAAAAATATCCAAAATGTGAAACACTTCTGGTCCCAAGGGATACTCAACCTATATTATTTTATGGCATTTACATCATTTGTATATCATTATATCATTTCATTATGTCATTTAATAAAAATATCACTATGATGATTTTGGAATATTTTTCAGGTTCTATAGATCTGTATCATGAACAAAGGAAACAGTAGCCTTCCCACATACCCTCCTTTCCTAGAGTCAGTTGATATCTGGGCTTGTGAACTCTCCTGCCAGCCTCCAAGACAGGGAGTTAATAGCCAAAACCAAATGGAGCTCAGAAACCCATAGTGGTCAGGAGGTGATTCATACAGGTATCATTTCTTAACATTCCTCTGCAATATAGGAAGAAACCAGGTATAGATTCTACAGAGGTCTTAAATTGGAAGGCAATTCAACCCATTTCTGACTTTCAGAGAGGCCCAAGTAACAATGTTGGCCAAGGTTAGGCATCCCTTTGCATGCTCTTGATTTTCCTATTTGTTTCCCACATGGTTCAAAAAGCATGTAGACAGTGGCCGGACACGGTGGCAACAGAGCGAGATGCCATCTCAAAAAAAAAAAAAGCATGTAGACAGTAAGCCAACTTTTCACATGTTTGCTTTGCTGGGGAGGAGGGGTTCCAACAGACAGCATGCTTGCTAAGACAGCATCTTTCAGGCTGGGCAGGGGCAATTAACACATGATAATATTTTTAAAGGAACTCATAATTATCTAAATATTAACAACATAGCCACTACATTTCTTTTTCTTTTCTTTCTTTCTTTTTTATTTTTCTTTTTACATGGAGTTTCACTGTTGTTGCCCAGGCTGGAGTGCAATGACGCAATCTCGGCTCACTGCAACCTCTGCTTCCCAAGTTCAAGCGATTCTCCTGCCTCAGCTTCCCAAGTAGCTGGGATTACAGGCACCCGCCGCCACGCCCACATAACCACTATATTTCTACATGATTTTCAATACCTTAAAGTATGTTGCTGCTTTTTAAATTGATTTATAAGTGACACTGTGTACAGTGGGGCATAGAGACAAATAAGATAGAGTCAATGTGCAGAACAGCTTGAAGTCCAATGTAAAAAAGTCACATGATCAATTAAATACAGAATAAAGTGCAAAATGAAAAACAATGGAATCCTGGGAAAAATCTCTGGAAATGTCCAATAAGAGAGCCATTCCATCTCCCTCGACAAGGTAGCAGGAGAGGTAAAGGAAGGCTACACAGCAAGGTTTCTCACCTGCTAGACCAAGCTTGAAGAATGAGTGAGATTTTACCAGGTAGAGAAAGGAGGGCAGATGCAGAGAACAAATTTATTATTTCTAGACCCCATTCCTGCTGTTTCTTCTGTCTTCCATTTTATATAGTTTTTATATAGTGCAATGTGGGATGGGCTCATTCTATCACCATCATCATCATCATCATCAACATCAACATCATTATCAACAATATTATTGGTTCCTTAGTATGTGCCTTGCACATGTGCTTTCATGTGTGTTTTTTAATTTAATTCTCAAAACCGCCCTGGGATCATGTTCTACCATTATTCCTGCCTTTCAAATGGGGAAGTAGAGGAACAGAAGCATAAGTAACTTGCCCAAGGTCACCCAGCTAGTGAGACGTGTGATAGGATTTAGACGCAGGTAATCAGACTCATGATGTCTGTCAAGATAACTTGTTCCTGGTTGGTCACTGGCCCCATTAACAAGACATACATCCATTAGTAGAGTCAAGGGTCATAGCCATGGCTTCAGTCACTGAATTAACTTTCCAGGTGAAGCTAAGTCCACAAGCTGTTGTCCCTGGTGACCAAACTAAAGCTCTCTTCAGAAATCCATCATGTGCCATATTATTTTTATTCCTGAACTAGGTGATTTGTTGCAATGCTGCCAATTGTCTGGCAATCACCTGCCACTTCTGGAAATAAACCCCACTATCGTTTAGAGAGCAATAAAGGGGAGCCCTTGATGTATGGGAGTTGGCAGGAAGATGTGGATCCCACCACCCTCTAAATCCAGTCTAGGCTAAGTTAAACACTGTTGACCTATCTGGGCTGCAGATTTGGTCCCCATCCAATGCACTCTTTGGATTGTGGATCGGTGTCTCTGAGACTGTGAATATGGTCCTTTTCCCCAGCACTAAATTTCTCCTAAAATTTACTTTCCAAAACATTATTTTTCATGTTAAACAACCTCAAAATGCATTTTTCATGTTTATTGCCAGTGCATAAAATTACAATGCTGTGAACATTTTTAGCAGCATAACAATATCATGATCCATAATTTAAAAGGTGACTTTAGTATGGCAATAAATTTCATGAGACACTGAAACCTCTGCAGAAAGTAGACAAATTAGGGGCCAGCCATTCAACCAACATTTGAGAGGATGTGGTTAATTACTATGTTTCCACCATTAGAGAGAACTGTGGGAACAACTGTTGTCTGCTCCACGGTAGAAGAGTGGTAGGAGAAATAATGGGAGACGGGGTTTGCAAACTGTCCTTTAGGAAGACGTTGATGACGTTTAGTCCATGTAGGGGGAGTGATGAAATCCAGGTAAGAGGAATATGACTTCACAGATTTCCCCCAATTAAAAAAAAGAAAAAAGGAAAAAAATCAGCAGACGCACCCACACCAAGGCTGTGTTGAGTCTACTAGAAGGTGAATGCTGTGTGTCGGGAGTGAGGCTATTAGCTCTCACTGGCTGAGTTTCACAGTTTGAAATTAATTTTTTTTTTTGTATTTTCGCCCTCCTGAGGTCCTGACCAATTGCCACTTTGTCGGTGAGCTTTTTTAATTTTCAAGGAAGGTAGGTAGTGTGTGAAACAAATCAATTGCTTCTTCAGAAACCATATCTGCATGGCTTCTCACTTTAGCTTCTGCCAAGCTGGCGGCAACCTCAATTTTTTTCTCCAAAAGGTACGAGGCCCAATTAGGAAGCCAAGTGAATATGGAAACAGTTACATCAGGCACAGAAACTGCACAAGGATCACTTTCTTGGCAGAAGGTGATGGCTGATGGAAGTGGGGTGAGATTCTGGACAACGTGCACGTGCCTTCAAGTGGATATGGGGGTTGCTGGTTCTCTCTGTGTGCTCACACGAAGGACCTGGTGACAGCAGGAAGATAATTACCAAGTGAAAAGCTCTAATGAAGCCATGGAAATTAGCACACCCCCAACAAGTTACAGGGCCGAAAGCACGAGCACGCACACACGCCCACGTGTGCACGCACAAGTCCCAAATGATGTGTTTAACATGACTCGCCCACCCTGGCATCGTTACTCTATTTAGGCTAATGATGCCGGGGACAATCAGAGCTATCACTGCTCTGAAAATGATCGGTACCATATAGAAAAGCCCCCTGGGGAAATTTGGCCTGTTAAGGCTTTTCAGGTCTGATGGATTTTTTTAATCTATCCGCCAGACTGCTTTGAAAGCTAAATAGATGCCCATCAACAGGCTGTCTGTCAATGATCAACAACTTCACATATTTTGCTTGTGTTGACATGTTAGTTTCAATCTAATGGGTTGTTTGCCAGATGGCTGCTGTCCTCATTAGGGACTCTGAGGACATCAAGTAAGTATTCTTTGGGCTGGTTTATGGACAAAACAGGATGGCCCTTTGTTTCTAACTATTTTCTAAAGTATTTTTGTTCTAACTATTTTAAAAGGTCTGAATTAACTGATGGATGGGCTTTAAGGAAGGTGTGTCTATGGCTGTCATGAACATGTATGTATGAACATATATAGTGGGCATTGGCAACACAATTCCTTCCTGTTTACTTAACTGAGAATAGAGGTTGTGCTACATCAGGACAAAAATATACATTTAGGAAAAGTGAACTTTGGTTAGGAAATGACTTAAGTGATAGCAACTGAAAGTTTGAACTCATTAAACATACCAGATCAAGTATTCTTTAACATCTTGACTTCTGAGGATTATCACATTTCTCTCTGTAGCATGACTCAAAAGCTTAATATGTTGTCCTGTCCCAGGGCAGGGTTATTAAGTTCTCTATGCTTTCCTAGCTGTATTCTTTCCTTAGTCAATCTCATTTAGCCCTATGGTTTAAACATCTTCTATGGCCAGTGACTTCCAAATTGTATCCAAGCTCTTATTTTTTTTCACAGGATCCTACTCCTGTGTCCAGCTACATATTCGATTTCTCATATGCATCTCAAATTAACAACATCTTGAAAAGAACTTTCTAAATATTTTTTGCCAAAATATCCCTCATCTGCTCACTTTTCTTCATTTCCACTCCCACAAACCAAAGCTCCTTACTTGGATTATTGCAATTGCCTTCCTAATTGGTCTGTTTACTTCTACTCTTGTTAGTAGACAATCCTCTTTTCACAGCAGCAAAGGGTGTCTTTAAAAGATATTCAACACAACACGTTAAATTTCCTACATAAAACCCACCAATGGCTTCATAATACATAGAGAATGTCTCCCAACTCCTTACCATGTAACTATGTAGGACCGGGCTACACCTACCTTTCAGTTTCTACCTCCTACTATTCCCCTGTCCAGATTACGCTCCAGAGATGTCCTACAGCATACTCGGCTTGTTCTTTCTAAGGGCTCTTGAATTCATTTTACCTCAGCCTGGAATGTTCTGTCCCTAATATTCTATTTTTTTCTTGTCCCTTAAGTTTCATCCCAGAAATTCCTAACTACTCTTTCCAGAATATTCCACCCCAGCCACTCCATCATGTCACCCAGTATTGATCTTTTCCCTTCACTTGCCACTATTGGCAATTGACTTGTTCATATATTGTCTTTCTGGTTTATGGCTTTCCAACCTAAAATCTAAGTTCCATGGACCCTGTGTTGCTCACTACTCTATCTGTGACACTTGGAACAGTAACTAGAAAATATAAATGCTTAATAAATATTTATTTGTTAAACAAATTGTTATGGATTGGGCGTTTTCTCCTTCACCCACCCAAATTTATTGGTTGAACTCTTAACCTTTATTGTGATGGTATTAGGAGTGGGACTTTGGAAGGTAGCTAGGTTATGAAGGTAGAACCCCATAAATTAGATTAGTGTCCTTATAAAAGACACAAGGGCTTGTTCTCACTCGGCTCACCACTATGTGGGGATACAATGGGAAGATGGCCATCTACAAATCAGGAACAGTGCCCTCACTGGACACCAGATCTCCTAGTGCCTTGATCTTGGACTCCCCAGCCTCTAAAACTGTGAGAAATAAATGCGTGTTGTTTAAGCCGCCCAGTCTATTTTAATTTTCTATAGAAGCCTAAGCTGCTTAGGACACAAAAGGATGTTTCAGTATAATAAAATTTAGCACAGAATTACATATATTCTTTTTCATTTTATAGAGTTTTGGGTCTTAATTTCTCAACTATATTAAAAACTCCTTAAAAGGAGGAACTCTGATAATCCCTCAGCACCATCATTGCAAGTACCAATAAACGATCATTGATAAATTTACATATAAACAAAGCTTTCTTTTTAGAATATTCTTTCTATTGGACAGCCATATTCCCTAGCTCTCTTCAGTTATATTCAACAAAAGGCAAAACAAAATAAAAATGAACCCTTTGTTTACGGAGGGAGTGGATGCATACTTCAAATTAAACCAAGGGATTAGTAGCAAAAGAAATAAAAACCAGGAAATTCAGGGAAAAACAATACAAATCGTGCAGTAGACATCAAAAATCTAGTTATGAAAATCATTTAAAAACCCCTGCAGTCAGTGTTTCTATTAATTAATTTATTCACTTATTTAGTAAATATACATAGAGCTCCAACTACATGATGGATTGTTGCTGTAGAACAGTAAACTTGAGACACTGTTTGCAACCTTTGAGGATGATTGACTAATGGAAGAGACAGACAATTGTTCAGATAATTGCAATACAGGGTAAATGGTAGTAAGAAATGAATAGTCACAGGAGTTGGAGAGACCCAGACAAAATTCTGACTTGGCCTAGAGGGTCCAGAGAGCATCCCAGAAGTGGTTGGCCACCTTGTGTTAATGCTGCGTTCATCACATTCTTAATGCACGTTAAGAATCACCTAGGAAACTTGTTAAAATGCAAATTCACAATCCCTTGCCTAGGATCCTGATGCAGGTGGTTTATAAATCACATTTTACAAAACTGTGCTTGGTAGGTAAGATGAGGTTCTTTGGAGTCAGACACTTCTGCTTGTGAGCCTCAGCACTGCTCTCATACATTTGCTATATGGTGAAGTTTCTTTCCCTCGCTGACCTCAGCTCCCTTGCTTGTACAAAGGGGATAATAATACCAACCTCATGTAGTTGTGGTGAAGACATAGATAATGATGGTGAGACATAAACACTACACCTGGCACATAGAAATACCCTGTAAACATAGCAAGGGTTATTGTCATCAATGTTATCATCAACCTAACAAAGCAAAGGGAAGTGTCTTAAGCAGAAGAAACAAAATATCCCAGCCGTGATATATAGTATAACAATGCAGTCTAGACCAAGGGTCAATAAATTTAACCTACTGCCTGTTTTGACTCTGGAGCCAGGCCACTAGGGCTTGAATCCCAGCTCTGACACTTGCTAGCCGTGAAAACTTGGGTAAGTGACTTCACCTTTATGTGCCTCAGTTTCTTCTAAGAAATAGAGATAATATGAGTACCTTCCTCATGGAGTTGTTGTGAAGACTTTAATAGATACAAAGTCTTTAGACGAGGGCCTGGCATAGAGTAAACATTCCATAAATATTAGATATTCTTATTATTAATATAGGATAGGTCTTTATTTGTTTACTGAATCTTAATGGTTTATGAAAACCAGCTGGAATGGGGTATCTATGGCTATGGCTTGAGGCCAAGAAGATGAAGGAAAAACAGATTTGCTCTAGATGAAGCAGAGTTCATCGACAACTCAATTTTATACCTAAGTTCATTTTTATATCTAAGACTCAAATCACTTAAAACTTTCTGTGCCCTTCTGAGCTTTTATTACTTCATATGGATGCATAGAAAAACAACCAGACTCTTCACAAAGGTCTAGCAACAAACAAGCAATCAACCACAAATATGACCAAATTCTATTTATGTGAAGATTCCGTTTGTGTGGTTTTCCTTTTTCACACATACAATTTTATTTTGTTGGCCTGGCCACCTCACTGTCTGTTGCCTCAGCTGTGATGGCATTCTCTTAATAAATACGGTGTAAACTCATTTTTCTACTTTGGTTTTTTTCAGTCCTCTCTTCTCTTGCAAATCTGTATCCTACCTCAGACAGCTCTATTGGAAGGTGTTGCAGACACACTTGCTATGTAAGTGGTGATTAATACAGACTGAAGTTAGACAGACCTGAATTTGAATTCCTACTCCGTTCCTTACTTGCAAGTTAACTAACTTCTATTAGCCTCAGTTTATCCACCATTAGAATGGGGATTATAATGACCCCCACTTCATAGGCTTGACAAGAGGAATAAGTGAGATAACACATATAAAGCATCTGCCACATAAGATATGACACATATCTTATGACACAAATTGCCCAATAACTATTGCTATTTTTATTAAGAAAATCTGACATGTAGAAATTTTGGCTTGGTATTTTTGAGTAACACTGCTATGAAATGCTTCATTCCAATTATTCTGCAAGTGAATAGATTCTGCCCTTCTAGAAACACCATATTTTTTCCTCAAGAACATTTAGGCACTTTCTGACTGTTATTAAATTAAAATGTTTATCCCTCAGGAGAGAAAACAATCAACTCCCACACCAATTCTATTTATGAAACAAAATGCTTTGGTTTTTCCCTGACTCAAATCCTCTTTTATGTACAATCTCTTTGAAATAGAAGGGTATTTAGAATGATACGCTGTGTGTGTGTGTGTGTGTGTGTGTGTGTGTGCGTGTGTATGCATGTTTATGTGTTTGTTTCTGGGCAAAACTGATATTTGGGGTTTGTCATGAGAGAAAACCTTCATCTGCTCCCAAATAGGAGCTAAGACCATGGTGGGGCTTCTTGGTAGCAGGGGAGCTTCTGAGCCCTTGTGGTGTAGGTGCTACAGCACTATGTGTGCTCTGTGAGTGGGGTTTGGTGGAAGTCTCAACAGCAGAGACAGATAGGACCAAAATTTGCAAAAACGTTTGCTCTCTTTCTTGGGGAAGATAAGACACAGTCAGACATCAACCAGTCTTTTAAAATTCAGATGAACACACACATTTCTATTAATTTGCATCCATGTCTCTGTGCATCTTCATTCTTATTTCATATTTTAAGTCGTCAGTCAAAAGGAGGCCATTGCTAGGGAGTACCAAGTGCCTTTCTGCATTTCTGTTTAAGTAACCCACATTTTATAGTTCAGCTTAACGGAAACACCATTTACTTGGAATCAGGAATCTTGAGCTTGATCTGATTTCTCCTTCAATGCTGACATCAGAGGTTACCTTCTCTGGGAATGTTCTCACGCCTAACCTCACAAACAACCCCCATCATTGGTAGCTCACTTTTCAATACGACTGCATAATACGGTGTAGCTATTGCATTAACAGTCTTCTACAGTCTTGTTATTGTCTAATTGTTTCTCCCTCTTTGGCCAAAGTGACTCAGTCTTTTGTCTATGAATTCCCAGGGTCCAGCCTAGTTCAGTGCTCTGTGCTCAGGAAAAGCCTGGTGAATGACTGGGGCATGAGGGTCAGAGAAAGGAGACAAGAGATCACCACGCAGAGTCTACGAGTACTGTCCAGATAGGTCAACCAACTCATCCTAGTGTGCCTATGACAATAAAAGTCCCAGACACACGGGGATGGTTGGTTACCCCATTTCTACGTGAGGAATCTTGTCCAAGTTGTCTCATCCCTTCGTGTCATACATCTTTGTATGCCTTCTTCTTTGCCAGGGGAATCATTGTCAGAATCTTCTTCAGCATCATCACTCTTCTTTCATCACAGATACTACCTCAGTGAATAGAGGTGATATCTGTGGATTGTGTCTGCCCAGTCCTCCATTTTACCCTTTTGGTAACAGCACCCCAGCTCTCCTCTAGGGGGCCTTTCCTTCTCCAGTGTTAGTCCAAGTGGTTGGCTCCACCCTGGACTTCAAGCTTGGGCACATAACCCAGGCCAGGCCAGTCAGAGAAATCTCTTTGGCTGTGTTGGTTAGTTTAGAGATGATCGTGTGACCCAAGCCAGGCCAATGAGACACACTTGAGGCCCTAGGTAGAAATGTGGAGGAAGATGTGCTCTTGTGTCACCAGGAGTTGTAGCAGATAGGCCGTGAGTCATGGTGTGGAGGACAGCCAATAAGAGAGTGGCCTGCTTCAGTGCAAAGTCAACCCAGAGGGAAGCAGCACTGAGAGATGGAGAGAAACACATCCTGACAATGTCACCGAGCTGTGGGGCCAAGCTCTGCCAGACTGGCCCTGGCCGTTTTTGTGAAATAAGTATATTTTTGTGCTTTGGTTTGTTTGATGTACAGCCAAATGTAGAGTCCCAACATAGTAAATTTACATCAATACAGGATGCTCAAGAGCAGATTTTGTATATTTTACTTCCAATCTTCCTTAAATCTCCAATATTAAAAAAAAAAATCCCTTTTCTACCCATGACTGTACTGCTTTGCATTTTTATACCTAACAGTTAAATGTAGTCTGTCTAAATGGTGGATAAGTAAAGTATGAACAACAGAAAGAGGAGTTCCCAACTCATTGGTGTCTGCTCCCTGCCCCTTCCCACTGAACACACTCTTGCTAGACACTATCACACAGCCCACTTATTTGATTAGGATCAAATAAGGTAATACATGTAATAAGAAGGTAGTACATGTGCCTAACTTGTATTGTGATCAATAAATTTTAGTTATCCTTACAATCATATAATTGATATTATTGATTTATATATTTTACAATAGATAGGCTCTTGGTGTTGTCAGATTCAAATGTGGCTTTGAAGATTTTTGATGTGCAGGAATGTGTATGTTTTTGAAGGCACCAACTGGTGTCTTCACTTTAGCGTGACTTTCTTGTTCCCTAATTTGATAAAGTGATGAAGCCTGTTTCTTTATAAAACAGGCTATAAGAAAAGTGACATCTCTAGAGGAACTGTAAAAGCCAGTTTGGAGTAAAGATACATTCAAGAAGCACATGGGTTTTGATGGAAGTCATTGTAGGAGAAAGGGAAGAACTTGAACAAGTATTTCCAACTTTGTGAATCAGTGTTAAGAGACCTCGTCTCTACAAAAAAATTTTTTTTTAGTTACCAGCGTGGGCAGCCTTGTCTCAAAAAACAAAACAAACAAACAAAAAAAGGAATCGCAGTTAATACTTGATTGTGTATCATCAATCAGCTTTTAAAAGGTCATGATGTAGTATATTTAGGAAAAGCAAGATCACCAATAAAAACAGGAAATGAAAAAAGAAAAAGCTAAGTGTGAAAAAAATCCTTCCCAACACCACTTTCTGAGTTTTCACATATTTATTGCCAATACTTAGCTCAATTGCAGATTTTCCCAAATTCCTTCTCACAGGCTTTTCAAGCCAAAACAAACCTTGTGCTAATTCAATTTCAGATGCCAAAATGTCAGGAGCAGAGTAGTGGATGAGGACGAGATTGATGGGATTCCAGGGTCCATGGGTGTCTTGTGTGAATTCAACATAGGACTTCTCCAGGCTCAGTCAGGAAATGAACAAGCTCTGCAAAGTCGGAAAGTACTTAGGGAATAAAGAACTGATTCCATAGTGTTGCAGTTCCTTCCCTCCCTCATCTCTCTTTGTCTGCATTTCCTTTTAACATGCCAGTGGTCAAAGTGAATAATGATATATTTTTGTTGTTGTTTAAGAGAAGCCCTTGAAAGCCATTCTGAGACTGGGGTCCAGAAATCTAATCTTTGTTTGATTCTATGTTTAGTGGGGATTCAAATCCCAACTTAATTTAATCTTTTGACTTATCCTGCAGGTACTGCCTGATTATATTCCATTGCCACCAGTAATAGGATTTCAGGGACAGAATCTTGCTATTAGCACTTTGAGAAACAAAAGTGGAACACAAACGGTCTCTGGCATTAGTCAATGAAATCCACCGTAAATGAATGACTGCTTTCCCCAACGTTTTCCCTACTGCCTCATTTTAATAAGCTATAGTGAGGATACATATAAAAAGTTGCAGATTCCAATGATCTCCAGAAAACCTTGAATTTCAACCAAATTGTGGAAATTGAGAGATATGCCCGCAGCCACCATAACAGACAGGTCCTGGTACAGATTTGTTAGTAATTTCAATGATTCATTTATATAGCCATTCTTCTTAGAGTTTTATAATAGTTGGTGATTTTTAATCAACATAGAAATCATGTATAGCCTAAATGAAAAGGGAAAAATGTCCATCTCTTTGAGTAGGCTGTTTGGGTTTCATTCCTGGCTCCACCTCTTGCTAGATGGGTAACTTTACATGAGTAAAAGTTTTACTTGAGTAAAACCTCTCTGTGGCTGTTTTCTCATCCGTGAAAAGGGGATAGCAATACTATCTGTCTCCTATGATTTTTGAAGGATTAAATAAAATAATACATGGAAAGCCTTTGGGAAATCCATTAGCACATAGTCAGTTTACATAAAATATTACTATGACACTATGAAGAAAACAAAAGAAAATGCAGAAAAGTGAAAGAAAGAAAATAAAATGACACTCCCTGCCAAAGAGCCATGATCTCCGATTTTGTATGTTCTTCCTCTGTTGAGACTTTATTTTTCTTTCTTTCTTTCTTTTTTTTAATTTTTTTTATTATACTTTAAGTTATAGGGTACATATGCACAACATGCAGGTTTGTTACATATGTATACATGTACCATGTTGGTGTGCTGCACCCATTAACTCGTCATTTACATTAGGTGTATCTCCTAATGCTATCCCTCCCTCCTTCCCTCACCCCACAACAGTCCCCAGTGTGTGATGTTCCCCTTCCTGTGTCCATATGAGTGAGAACATGCGGTGTTTGGTTTTTTGTCCTTGCGATAGTTTGCTGAGAATGATGATTCTTTAGATTCCTTCACTATGGAAAAAGTGGAGCATATGCTATAGGAAAGAAAAGTAGAATGTAAAATCCAGTTGATGAGCAAACATCTGAAAAGATTCTTAAGTTCAATAGTGATTATTAAAACAAAAAGCTATTAGATTTTCACCTAACATTTGGACTGAGGTAAAAACTATTTTAATACTCTGTGTCATTAAGGGATGATAAAATGATGTACATAAACATTAGGGGTCTTCACTGCAAGCAGCAGTGACATATTTGGGCTGATTTCAGCAAGAAAGGTAATTTATTATAATGTTATTGGGTCACTCACAGCATTCCTGGAAAAGCTGGAGAATTAAGTCCAGGACTAGCAGCCATGCACATGGCCTCAGGTGACATGCAAAATTGATCCAGCACTAGGTGCCACTGCATGGCTTGCTGATACCCCTTGGTGCGGACCTTGGCTGCTGCCTGAGCCCTCTGGCCAGTGCTCCTCCAGGAACTTGATCTGGAGCTCAGAACCCCACAGCTGCCAAGGAGATGGCTCTGCAGGTCCCTGCTTCCTCATTACGACTCCCATTCCAATTCTGGGCTGGCCTGGGCCCCTGTAATTGGAAGATCCCGGATGACAGTTCAGCTTCAAGGCTGCAGGGAGAAGTGAGCATAGGCAGCTTCAGCAGCTACTCGGGGAGGCAGCCTCGACCTTGAATCTAAAGGGATTCCTTATACATAGGTAGAGGCTTATGGTATATAGAAAAAAAAAATGACCAGAGCATATATGCACTACTGAAAGACATCATCTTATATGACCTGTGAGAGTATAAAGTGGTTTATTCTTTATCTGAAAGCAGTTTCACGATATGCTTCAAGAAGCTTAAAATCATTCATATCCTTTGACTTTATAATAATCTCACATCTGATAGTTTATCCAAAGGAATTTATCAGAGAAGCTAATCCATTTGTACAAAGATATTAAACAAAGCTTTACATATTGATCAAAAAATTGACAATTATCTAAATATTTTTACAATTAAGGGATGCTTCAACAATGTTAGATCTATTGTTTTCAACATTATTAGAACTATATTGTTAAGGAGAAAGTGGGAACTGTGAAAACTATCATTTATAATGTAATTGTGAGTGAGATGCTGTTTTAAAGGATTTGCATGAATGGTCTCACGAAATCATCACAACATTCCATAAACCATGGAAGGTAAGTGCCATTTCCAAAGGGAATTTAAGTAAATTGACTTAAGAGAAAGAGGAGGAGGAAGAGGGGTATTGAGAGTCTCTGGATGACAGCCCAGAATGTTTTTAGGTAGGTACATCTCTCTGTTGTATTTTAGAATCTTCCCGAAGTATACCTTTGTTTTAGCAACAGAAAGAGTGTTGCCATTTGCTGCAGTGACACGCTGACATTTCTGAGCTCCCTTTGGAGCTGGACTTTTCTTCCCATATGCTGAACAGAGACGGCTTATTTTAATCCTTAGCCTCACTCCTCATTCATCACCCTCTGTGAAAATTTATGATTGTTTGCTTTTTTAAAATGAAATGTTCACTTTAGGATAGTTTTAGATTTACAGAAAAATTGCAAAGTCAGTACAGAGACTCTCAATACACCTCATACTCAGTTTCCATAGTTATTAACATTTTACATTAGTAGGGTGCGTTTTCACAGTTAATGAACCAGTATTAAAACACCATTATCAACTAAAGTCTATACTTTATTCAGCTTCCCTTGGTCTTTCCCTAACATCCTCTTCCTGTCCCAGGATCCCACCCAAGTTACCATATTATCTTTAGTCATTGTGTCTCCTTAGCTTCCTCTTGGATGGGATGGTTTCTCAGATTTCCCTTATTTTTTATAACCTTGACTGTTTTGAGGAGTATTTTGTCAGGTATTTTGTAGAATGTTCCTCAATTGGGATTTGGCTAATGTTTTTCTCTTTATCAGACTGACATTATGAATTTTGGGGGAGAAGACTGAAGAGGTAAAGAGTGCCATTTTCAACACATCACATCCAGGGCAGACACTGTCAATATAACCTATCACTGTTAGTATTTACCCTCATCACCTGGCTGAGGTAGTCCTTGTCAGGTGTTTCCACTATAGGGTCACTCTTTTTTCTCATCTTTTCTACTGTACTCTGGAAGGAAGTTACTATGAACACTCCATACTTAAGGGGTGGGAAAATTTGCTCCACTTTCTGGAGGGTGGTGTGTCTACATAAATTATTTTGAGTTCTTCTTCATGGAATATTTGTCTACTCTCCCATATGTATGTGTTTATTCAATCATGTACTTATATCATTCGTGACTCACAGGTATTTATTTTATACTTTGAACCACTACTACTTATTGAATTTTGTTGCTCATTTTCTTTGCCTTTGAACATCAATGAAGACAGTTAATAAAACCATATCCAACCCTAACCCTGAGGCACCTGAAGCCAGTGAAGAGTCAACACCCAACAAATGTTTGCTGAGTACCTACTGTGCATACCACAACGAGATGGTGCTCTTTTGCAGGTAAGAAATGCAATCGGCATTCAATCTTTTTGTTTCTTATCTTTTGTCCATGACCAAGCATTTGATGACATCATGGAACCAGGTTGCCCAAGGATTTTCTTCCACAACTCTTCATATAAAGCATTCCCTGGTGGCGAGGTCAATAACACACATTCGTTCACTGGTTTGTTAGTGAGATCCAAAGTTTCTCCTCTAGTCTATTGTCCAGTGATTCAGGTCAGCTCCCTTTTTCATTCCTTAGCATGTTCATTTCTTATTTTCACATACTCCTCAGTGTCTATTCTTTCAGCATTGACCTTGTTCACCCAAATACCATGTAATTGGAAAGAAGAATCTAATGCATGGACTCCTTCATCTTCCATGTCCTTCATTTGCAACTTACATATATGTATTTCCACCACTACTCTCTTTCATTCGTCCTCCTGTAATCCAAAGCCAGCTTCCCCATCTCCGTTCTTGATACTCTTCCCATGATCCTAGAGACTAACTTCATTTAATTGTTCAGTTTCTCTTGTATGTTGACTCTTCTGTCATTTTCAACCCACAAACACATCCACATCACCACACCACCCTCACTGTTCTTACCAATAGCTAACATTTTCCAAAGACTTAACTATGTTTCAGGTGTTGTAATAAGCACTTCATACATATTTCATTTAATCCTCACATCAACCTTACAATGTAGGTGTTATCATTATCCCTATTTTTTTAAACAGAAAACAGGCTGCAAGACAGAAGGGAATTGATCAAGATCATGCTGCTAAAAACTGTTCAAACCAGGATGAACATTACAGCAACATGCTGCACAAAGTCTCAGATTTTCCCACTGACTTGAAGGACTGTTTTCCCTGCTTCTTGTTCACTTTGTTCTGAGCAAAATATGAAACACATTTGTTTCACTTAACTCTTCACCTCACCAGCCACAAACATACTAATCCATGCCTCGCCTTCAAAAAGTCAGTGTTCAAGTAAAATATTAAATAACCATGTTAAATCTTCAATTCCCTGCAGAGGGATGGTCAGGGAGCCAACAAAGTGAGCAAACACACCTTACAAACAAAACTGTGGATTGTCCACAGTCCCTAAACTGGATTATCTACAGTCCCTAAGCAGGAAGTTTTAAGCCAAGCTAGCTGGGAGCAAACAATACACTTAGTGCATGCATAACGGCATATATCTTAACAAATGTCTCAGGGTTAAAAGTATAAAAGGTCAGAGGAGGAGAGAAATATATCCTAGGCCCCCATATGACTGCAAAATTAAGAAAACAGGGCTTTGATTCTGGCCTCATGTGCTTTGGATTTCTCTTCTCTCTCTCTCTCTCTTTTAATGGACAAAAGAAGCCTTCTAACCAGCAAGGTAAATAGTTCATGGGTTATTTATTTTATCTCTATTCCTGGTTAAATTGAGTTCAAAATAATTAGATAACCCCAGAAAAGCTGTGACTGGTACTGCTAATTCCACCTAATGATTTTCCCTCGCAGTTGCCCAGTGAAAGGGGTTATCTGTTAAAACAAGCTTTAAACTATTAATAGAGTGAAATTACAGCTTCAGCAGCTAACCCCAGGTAAAGTGGTTCTGGTAAGGTATGAAGACTCAAGGTTGGGGCCCAGTTATGCACTTCCCCCAAGCGACCTTTCTTTCTCACTTCTAGTTGACTGTTTCATACCAGACGTAACAGTTAACTTGCTCTCGACACCTTACAGTATTTGTGGCCTTAATTGAGGGACCTAAACAAACAAATAAATCACCCTGGCCCATAAAAATGACAGAATTCATATGGTAGCATTCTTCATTCTCTCCAATTTGTTTTCCTGAAATCCCTGCAGCGATTTATTTGCTGAATATGCAAGATTTTCCCCCTTATGAAAATTACAAATTGTTGTCAAGGTTAACGAGTTAATATTCTCATTCAATATTTATTTTATGGGAAGACGGAGGAAGCACGAATGTTCCTGTACTTCTTTCCACTGCAAAGTCTGGTTTCTTAATCAAAATGACAAGGACACTGTCCTTTGGATGATACTCTGAATCATCAGGACTAAAAAATGAGCTTTATTAATCAACAGACCCTGATTAATTATTATAAAGTGCGGCTCCTACATTTCTGTACATTTTAATAATTCCTGCAGAAGGCTAACAATGTCCCCAGAGATGTGGAGGCTTTGGGGTTTGAATTTTTCTGAGCAATGTCACAATAAATCGTCAAGAGTAGCACTGTTCTTTCTCACTTCACTTCAAACCAGCAAGCCAGGGACAGTCTTCTCTTTCTTATTTCCCATCTATAATTTATCATTTGCATACAAAGTAAGGAGCCAAGAATCAGCGGTTTCATCAGTTTTCAAAATACCAAGGGACAATGACGGGGGATTTATCGCAGACCACGTGATCTAATTCACATAATCAGAATATTTCTGGGGAAAACAGCCTGACATGATTTCTGGATAAGAATGACCACGTCAAAGACTGATAGGAGGAAGGCCACAGTGTGAGAAACTCCTGTGAGCTGCAATATCCTGATCTCTTTTCCCAGACACACACAGCCCAAGTACCCACCCACAGTGGGACATTATCCAGTCTTCTCGGGCTGTCAGGGATACACGAATTTTCAAGCCCCCTGAACAACATCTTTAGTACATCACCTAGCAACTGATAGGGTAACAGAAACGTACTCTCTCTTGACTGGGGTTGTGGTCACAGAGTGCATATACAGTGATCAAAGTCATGGGATTATACCCTTAAAATCTGTGCATTTCACTGTATGTGAATTTGACCTCAATTTACATATATATATATTTTTAAATTTTATAGCAGGTAAGAAGATAATTCAAATAGCAAAGTATACATGCCTATAATGCAATAATAATGTAAAAATAATAAACATATAGATGCATGTATAAAAATAATAAAGTTATACATGCATATATAAAAATAATACAGATGTGCATGCACATATATATATACACATACACCTGCACACATATATCTGTATATCTATATTTATTATTTATACACATATCTATATTTGTATATAAATATACACAAGTAAATATAGATATACAGATATATGTGTGCGGGTGTATGTGTATATATGTGTATATGTAACGTCTATGACCAGCCGGCTGCTGCTTCTCATTCTCAGAATGGCTCTAAAGTGCACATGGAAGCAAATTTGCTTAAAAAAGGGACAGCAAATTTCCTGCCTGAGGATCTCTTGGAGCTTAAATAGTCCTAACCCTGTGAGTTTTACAAGGTGACTACGAAGCTAGCAGATCCTCATGGCCTATAACTTTTGGTGCATTAGGACAGGGGTTCTCTATTCCCTACATTAAATGATGATGAGGCAGCTCCAAGATCTGCAGGCTCCCAGAAGACCATCTTACTCCAGGAATTTCTAGCCATGGTGTATATACTCGTTGGCATGTCATGGTCTGTTATGAAGTCAGTTGCAAGCTAATCATTGCCAACAGTAAGGTACTAGAATTTATAATAAACTAAAATATAACAATGAATTAGAATTGATGCAAGCTTATATCTACCCAAATATGAATTAAGCCACCACATTCATGGCAGAGTCATGACCATATCCATGTGGTAAGTTTATGGGAATCTCTGTTTTTAACACCTAACATATGTGGAAGGAAAGGGTATCCTTGAATAGGGTCCAGGTAGATGGGCCTGAGACTCTTTTATGGATTTTACTTCAAACAAAAACATCTTGGGGAAAGTGGAAAGTTTCCTGGGCCACCAAGAGCAGATATGGCAGATAGAGATGAAAAAAGCCATCTGTGATCAGAACAAGGAGGATGCAGGTGAAATCTGCATGGGTGACAGCCTAGGGCCAGATTAAAGAAAGGACAAGACAGTGAATGCAGCATGAATCCATGACCCCAGACTCCACCTCACACCCACCTCTGCTTCCTATCCAAGCTCCTTGAACTTAAAGCCAACCCTGAGAAAGAGGGGAGTACCATGAACTGAAATATTTTATTTCTGTCATTTAACATCATAGAGATTTGCATCAGCTATGAATTTGGTTCAGAAGTATACAATAGAAAATTGAGACAACAATTACTTAATAGGATAAAAACTATTTCTCCCTCAAGTAAGCAAAGCCTGTTGATAGGCATTCTGGGGCTGCTATGATAGTGTCAACATCACTAGAAACTCAGGATTTTTTCTTTCCGTTCTTCCATTCTTAACACGAGGCTTCCAATTTCAAGATCTCTCTGTGAGTCTAACAACATGGCTGCTAGAGCACCAACCAGAAAAAAAAGGTAGAGGAAGTATGAAAAAAACAAAGAACAGTTAGATGTCCCACTTTAAACACCCATATACCAACTCATTTTCATCTCATTGGCCAAAATGTGTTACATGGCTAATGCTGACTTCAAGGGTGGCTATGAAATGTTGCCTGGCTCATTGTGATCCACAAAAAAAAAAAAAAAAAATGAAATATTTATCACACACAAAAAAAGGAAGAGTGTGTATTAGAAAATCAATCAATAGTGTATGCCACAAGACTTACAATAGAAATTAACTTAGATAACATCAGAGATGTTATGAGTCTTGTAGAAAACCGTGTGTATGGTCTCAGATCTGCATCAGCCTCATCTTTGATAATGACCTTCCTTGAGTAGGAGAGAAAAGGATGCAGTCACAGAGCACACAGATATTGGGATAACCCACAGCCCTTATTCTCCATGGTGGAGTTCCAGTAAGAAACTATTACAATGTCATTTGTAGTTATGTTGGCATGAATCAATTTCAAGCTTTACTTCTCAACAAAATTCTTTTGAGAGTTCATCAAAGTCTAAGTCACCACTGAAAGTTGTATAGGTGACTCAGTCGCCCAAACTGAAGGTCACCATGGAAAAAAAATATCCAGAACACCTGGCTTGCCCATCCCTAAAAAATACAAAAGAGGAAGCAATGTGATTCTATTCCACAATACTTTTGGGAGGCAGCCCCTCTGACTTTCTTGAGTGTTTCTTGGGTATTTCTATTAAACATACAGTTGAGTCCTTATAAAATATATGTCAGGTTTCTTCATGGGACCCAAATGCTGTGAGGTCAGGACACATGCAGGTGCCCACATCAGAGTTTTGTGTCTTTTCCTGTATATATCAATGGTGCTCTCACTTTTCCCGTTAAAGTTGGGTAGTAGCATCTCAGGGCTCTGGAACCCTGGGCTTCCCCACCATGCCTGCATTTTACCCTGTAGAAGTACAAGTCCTAATCACAGATAACAAGTAAATGAGATTATGATGTTAGCTTTCTCCAGAGATAACAGCAGTCCAGATCATAAAACTACCATATGGCAGATTTGGCAGTCTTTACCGAGCGCCATGGATTAATTATCACATAGACAGACTCCGGTCCCCATTTGCAAGTGCCTCGGGCCTCCTGTGGCAGGAATTGGCAACCCAGTGAAGGCAAAAGCCTGTATTATGTTTGGCAGGGACACGATGTGACCTTACTGTGGCCAGTTCTGTCATCTCTTAACATTTCGCTCATGATTAAGTTTATCATTTCAAATAAACACAAAATGTCAGGTCTCTGGGTCTACTTAACATGGAGAGCCAAAATAGACTTCTTTGATTTAAAAGGGTCCAGGCCAAGGGAACGATCTGATTAGCTCTCCCATCTGACTTTTATTAGAGCTATCGGATAATATAGTGAGAGTAAAATCCTTGTTCTGATTGGCTGGTTGCCACAAACCAAACCCTCAGGGCATTCGCCATGATCCCTTTGACATCTCCAGGTTACTAACTCAAAGCAGTGATTACTGGCTTGATCCTCCTGGAGTTCTGCCTTTCAGCCTGGCACCTACTAGCCCTGAGTCAATTCCTTTCCCATTGATCCTGGTTCTCCATTGGTTGAGGATGCCTGCATATCCCTGATTTTCCTTCTGTTCCAACTGCCACTGCTAAGAACTGGTCAGAGTGCTTTTCAAATATTCCCCATCTGGGGCTTGAGTCAATATTCCATTTTCAGCAGATGCCTGGCTATCCTTTGACTTTGGACACACGATGTTGGAACGGTTTACTTCTCAATGATTTCTTCACTCAACTGGAAACCACCAAGTAGAAGGGGTGAGGGAGAAATGCTTCTGTAACGGCTTGGTTCTAAAGGTGTCACTGTAGAAGAGGTGCTACTAGTTTGATTTGCATTTAAAGTTCAGGACACTTCCTTCAATGTTGCCTTAAGCCTTGTCTCTGGTTTGTTTTATGATTACACCATGCACAATTGCATGAGTCAATGTCACATAACTACAGACTCCAGGCAATGGTAGTTTTTAATCTAGAGCAGAAGTCAAAGTTTCAGGTTGCTCCAAGCTCATTTATTTATTCATTCATTCAACAAACATGAAAATGCCTGGTCTGGTCCCTGTCTATTCATCAATTCATCATGCAGATCACCCTCTCTCTTTCTTTGTCCCCCAGCCCAATGGATCTTCTCTAGTGATTTGAATAAGCTAAATTTCTTCCTTCCTCAGAATCTTCTGCCGTGTTCCCTAATTAAATGCTCCCCATTTCAACTCCATTTGACTATCGCTTACCTACTTAACTTTTACTTACTTCTCATCTCTGCTCAAGTGTCCCTTCCTCAGAAAATAAATAGGAACCCCCATGATATGTCTTCACAACCAGAAGGAGGAATATATGATAAAGAACAATGATCACAATTACATTTAATACATTAATTTTATTATGATTTATTGAATACTCACCTTCCTGGTTAGCTTGCAAGCTCCATCGAAATTACGACTATATTGATCAGTGCCCACCCTCAATGCCTAGTCCGGTGTCTTACACACAGTGGTGCTCAACAAATATTTGTTTATTGATAAATTGAGTGTTTAAGTTGTGTCACCAAGAGGGTTGCTCCTGAGATGATGAAAGAAATGCTCCCAGAGGAGCTCCCAGGTAAGGTGTGAAGGGTAAACAAAGGATGACAATGCAGTGGAATCAAGGTTAAATTACAGATCTTGCAGTGGGAGAAAACTGTAGATATTGAAATCTATAGGTTTCCAATGCTTTTTACCACATTTCTATAACCCCCATGAGGGGAAGTTAGATACAGAGTAGGACAAAAAATTTTTACAATTTATTGAACATGTAGAACAATTAATACCCTGAAAGCCAAAGTGCCTTTGATTTTCAAGAGCCAAGCTTTGTTGAGAGAGAAAAAAAAAGAGTTTTTGTGTTTGGTTGGTTGGTTGTCTCAATTTCAAGTATTAATGCTAGAGCTTGGAGGACTGGGGTACACCATGGATCATAAATAAACCAAAAAATAGGAGCACATATGTGAAGATGTGGTAGACTCATTCTCACCTGAAAATAAAATTAAAAATATGAGAACAGGTGAAAGAAGAGTTTTGAAACAGACTAAAGCCTTTTGTGGGTGTCCAAGAGGAAGTTCTTCTTTCCCTTTCTCTCTTCATGGGCGCAACCTTTGGTGGAAGATGTTGGGAATGAAATAAATGACCAGATAGGTCTAGGAAAGTCCTAGGCCAAGGAGAGTTGTAACTCACTTCTTCCTGTGTAGCCCATTCGGCCTGAAAGTCTCATAGAAAGGCCTGTTCTCCCTAAGCACAGTGCTGCATCAAAACAGCACCAGAGAAACGTGGCCCCCATACAGTCCATTAGCAGGGGCTGAGGGACATCTCTAGATACAGAGTCCTCATTGAGTCCTGATTGTGTCAAGGTGGTGTGAGGAAACCAGCCAACAGTTCCTGAGCTCCCAAGGAACAGTGGATATAGGCTCAGCTGCAGAGAACAGACAACAAATTCAGTGATACCAGATGTGACTAGGAAATTCTGGAATATGATTCCCAAACACCAGATGGAGTAACTTAGCTGCAGTGGAGGCCAGTGGAGC
The DNA here is from genome assembly GCF_000001405.40 of Homo sapiens. Classification (NCBI taxonomy): domain Eukaryota; kingdom Metazoa; phylum Chordata; class Mammalia; order Primates; family Hominidae; genus Homo; species Homo sapiens. Next base: position 52,799,292 of record NC_000020.11, on the reverse strand, counting down.
ACGAAGATGGCATGAGCCCTGGAGATTTCTCTCCTAATGCCTGGATGGCTTTCCCATTATACCTCAATGCTCTGCAAATTATAGAACCAAGGAAGTGAGGGGTGTGTGAAGCAGGTTCACTAATAACCAGTCCCAAAGGAGGACCTCCACCGCATGGAGGACAGCAGAGATATCATCACTATACCATCCACCAGGAATCAGGATCCAAACCCTTCTGCCTATAGCATCCTGGGCTGCAGTGTTACCAATGCCTGGGTCTGATGAGACAGGGCACACACACATGAAACAAGTTACATGAAACAGGATTGTTATTCACAGATAGGCAGCAAGGGACAAAAGGAGCATAGGATCAATTGTGAACCAGTCCCCTAAGGCTCAACAAGGCTGGCCTGGGAGAATGGAGTCTTGACTACCCATGCCACATTTGCACTGCAGGTGAGAGACCCCAAAAGACAGCTTGCCCTGGGTTATATGCCTCAGGGGCCAAGAGACTCACTGGGAAAAGCTTTGAAGAACATTCTGCTTCGAAAGGAAGGAGAAACAAAACCCAGGCTGTCCCAGGCAGTTCCTCTCTAACTCAAGATCTTACATTCCCTAGGAGGGACAAGAACAAGCTCTACTTCAGGAAGTTTCTCTCTGTCTCAAGATATTGCATTCCCTGTACATTCTATAGTTATTCTTGAGAACTACAAGCAAGAAAAATGAGAGAACTGGGTCAAAGCAAAGCCACCTGCAGAACTGTCCTGAAGGAGCATGGATAGAGAACTTTGTATATTACTGAGCTGTAATCTGGAAGTGACTAAGGTGATGAGATTAAGAATTTTCAGCCATTAGTGGAAATAAGTGATCTTGGGTAAACATTTTATTTTAGTCATAAGAAAATGAATCTGCATTTCTGCAGTGCAGAGTCTGAGACTGTAAACATTTGAACCTGTTACAGTACAGTTGCCATGAGAACTAGGGAAAGGAGTAACTAGCTTTGTGTATGGGTGTGTGGAAAGAACATATTTGAGTTGAGTCATGGCACGTAAGTAAGAGAGGACCAAGTGAAGGTGGTGGGAAGTGAATTGTAGGTGGAAGGAACAGCCAATGTTCAGAAAAAGAGGAGTGAAAGAGCACTGCCTAATCAACAAAAGGAAAGATCCAAGTAGCAGGAGCATAAGGCTATCCAAAAACATGAAGCTGGAAAATTAGGGCAAATCTAAGCCACGGAGAATGGATTCAATCCTGTAGGCATTGAGGATGGACAATTCTAAGATGGGCAAGAAATTTTCAGAGTTTTGAGAGTTTTACCCATGAAGCAACATGGTAGAGGGTCTCAATCCATCCAAACATCACAATAATCTAGGGGGCTTTTGAAAAACATAATACTCAAAGCCCCTCTTCAGAGATTTTGATTCAATTGGCCTGTGGCAAGGCCTGGGCACTGATTTTATTAAAACCTTCCCAAGTGATTGATAATGTGGCCATAGATGAGAACCAATGGAACAGAAACAGGGAGAGCAGCAGGGAAGGTGTTACAGGAGATAACGAGGGCCTGAAGTTCATGATGATTGTATGTCTGTGTCAAAGGTGACACCAGAGTCAAGGGTGAGGGGCTTCCAAGAGGGCGTCCACGCATCCCTGGTTTGGTGTTCTTAATGGTCTTTCTCTCCCTATATTGAAAGTCAAATATACACTTTGTAAAACTTCTGTGAGTTAGCTGTAATCAGTCAGCACAGCTACCAGTCCAGCTTCTGCACCTGTACCTGCCATTTAAAATTTTTTTTTCTACCTTCCAGATATTGTATTGTCTCCATACCTGGATTCTTCCAGTTAGACTTTCCAGATTGACTTCTTTATACTTTAAGGACTACCATTCCATAAATCTCTAATCTCTTTTAAGCTCAAATGCACCTCCTTCCCACTCTTCATAGAGGAGGTCCTGACTGACCCTTCCTTCACTTTACCTTATGGCTTGTTTGCTTTTATGTGTGTGTGTTTTTTAAGAGATTGGGTCTCACTAGGTTGCCCAGGCTGGTCTTGAACTCCTGAGCTCAAGCGGCCCTCCCTCCTTGGCTTCCGAAAGTGTTTTGATTACAGGCATAAGCCACCACACTCAACCCTTGTTTGCTTTTTATATTGTCTGTCTTACTCAAGAGGTAACAAACTCCATGAAGACAGGAACAATGGCTGTTTGATTCACCATACTCACAACCTATTAAAATGCCTAGAACATTGTTGGTGCTCACTAAATACTTTTTAAAATAAATGAGTGAAGTATTCTAAGTTTCACAAGACCAATCCAAAGGTATTTCCTCAGGATGTCCTCACCTGGAACCTAACTTATTTATTCATGCATCTGTTTCATTATTTTTTTTCTTCCTTCCTTTTGTCTTTTCTTCTTTTGGTCTTTCATTTTTTCTCTTCTTTCCTCCCTCTCTTTATCTTTTCCTTTCTTTCTTCCCTCTTTGTTTCATCTTTCTTCCCTTCCTTCAGCAAATATTTATTAAGCTCCTATATAAACCAGGCAATATGTTATGAAATGGAGCTGGTGGTGAGAATACAAGTATGAATAAGATACTGTCAACCTTCACATAGTAGGTCACCTGTTAGAGGGGATAGCTGTGTAATCAAGCAATTACAGCACAACACAATAAAGAGAACATCCAATGAAACCTTTGACAGCCTAAAGGACAGAGCATCACCTGTTAGCAGGGAGCAGTTTACTAAAGGTATCATAGAGAGGGTTATAATTGAGTTGGATTCCAAACCAGGGTTTCTGAACCTCAGCACTATTGATGTTTTGAACTGGATAATTCTTTGTTGGGAGAGGAGATGTCATGTGCATCATTGGGTGTTTAGCTTTTACACTCTATGTGCCAGTAGCACCATCTCTGCCAATCAGCTGTGGCAACCAAAAATGTCTCCAGACATAGCCAAAGCTTCCTGGGAGACAAAATCATCCCCATTGAGTGCCACAAGTCTAAATAGTAACAGCTTAAGCTGTGGGGTAGAGGAGAAAAACATACTCCCTGCTAATGTTAGGGAGTGAGTACATGCATAGCAGTGTCAACACACATAGGGTGTTTCACAGTTCTCAATTCCTCTTGACACACACCGAGGAGAGAACCAGGCATGCCTTAATGATGTAATAAGGGGCATCTGGAATGGGGGGGAACCTGAACAGCTTCCCTCAAGGATGGGTTGGCTTTATCTCCCAAACTTTAAATGCAATGGTCTTAACCAAGCAATTCTTCTTGTAAGAATTTGAACCAAAAATACTTGCCCATGTGCACAAAGCTGTGTATACCTAAAGGTAGTCATTGCAATACTATTTAAAATAGGGAAAGAAAAATGTCTAAATGTCCATTTTAAGAGGCTCATTTGGTAAATGGTGAAATATTATACAGAGTCTAAAAGTAGTAACATTCATTGCTATTCCCTAATATTGAATCATCCTCAAGGTATAATTACATCCCAGCTTCATCCCTTTAAAAACTTGTGTCTTTGAGCAATTTATTTAACCTATCTCTCTGTTTTCTTACATGTAAGACAGGGATAAAGATATATCTATCTCATGGGGTTGTCAGGAGGATTAAATGAGGTAGTATATAAAGAACTTAAAGTAATACGTAACATATATTAAACATGTTATTTATTCATTATTGTTATCTATATTTAGAAAAACAACTTCTGGCTCAATAGGCATAGTGTCATCCCATTTGTGTTTAAAAAAATACACAAAACTTATTTTACTTACATATTTGTAATACCTTTCTTGTAAGACACAAGAAACTCTCAGTAGGAGATATGTCAGGGAGTTGGAATAGAGTCTGTGCACTGGCGGGGAAGTGGCCATTCTATCATTTTATTCCCTCTTGTATATTCTTTAATTTAAAACAAATAATGTGCTTGTATTATTTGCAAAATTACAAAAATGATAATGTTCAAAACACGTTTATTTGCTAAATCACTCTGAGGTTGATTTACATAAGAGGATTTCGAGAAATAAAATACTTAATGAAAAACTGTGGCTTGATATAATGTGAAGGTCATTATGATGCAGAGACAGGTTTGGAAATTCCCAAATTCAATCACAGCAACCATGGCCCTGTTTCCCATTCAGATTGCCACCAGTAAGGTGAAAAAAGTTTCCAATTCTTCAGAAACCCATGTTAAAAAAGGAAATATCATAATTTAAAAGACAAATAATAATAATCAAATTATTTAAAATTTTTTAATATTTATAAAATTTTAATTATAAAATACAATTTTATTTTACTACTTGTATTGAAAACAGTTGATTTAATTACTTTTTAATTTATTTAATTAATAAAACATTTGTAAAAATAAAACTATTATTTGTCACCATGATTTATGAGTATGGTAATCTTGGCAGGTTTTATAACTTCTTCAGCCTCTTTTTCTTCATTTGTAAATTCAGTGTATTAATAGTCCTTACATCAGGATAGCAATGAGCATTAAGTAAGATAATGCATACAAAGTACTTTGCACAGTGCCCAAGCATGTTGTAAGGGCTCAAAAGTACATAGTGATAATAATCATTTTATCATCATCATATTCTTTATAAGAATATTCTATTAACTACACTTAGGATTATTTTCCCCTACTATGACCATGCAGTGGAGGAACTGGCTCAAGGGAAAGCCTCTAGAAATTTGAACTTCTTTCTTACAGACACCATTCTCTACACCCATAGATAAACTTTTCTAGATAATTGGCAATGGAAATGACTGATTTTAAAAAGAAAACTGTAGTCCCCCCACTTATTTACGGCTTTGTTTTTGGTGGTTTCGGTTACCTACAGTCAACTGAGGTTTAAATAGAAATAAACAATTCATATGTTGAAACTGCACACTCTTTTGAGTAGCGTGATGAAATCTCACTCTGTCCTGCTCTCTCCCTCCTGGGACGTGAATGATCCCTACGTCCAGTGTGTCCACACTGTAGATACTACGCGCCCGTTAGTCACTTAATACGTGTCTTGATTATCAGATCGACAGATCAAGAGAAGAAAAAGGGTGAGTACAGTAAAATAAGAAATTTAGAAAGAGAGGGAGGGAGAAATCACATTCACATAACTTTTATTACAGTATAGTGTTATAATCGTTCTATTTTATTACAAGTTAGTATTGTTAATTTCTTACCATGCCTAATTTATAAATTAAACTTTATCATAGGTATGTATGTATAAGGAAAAACAGAATATATAGAGCTCAATAAGATCTGTGGTTTCAAGCATCCATTAGGGGTTCTGGAATGTATCCCCTTTGGATGAGGAGGGACTACTGTAGTCAAAAAAAAAAATCTTATATGTTGGGGGTATTTTGAAACCAGGAACCCTGGCAAAAAATATACCTATATAAAATTGCACCTCTACCTCCCAACAAAAACCAAACCAAAACTTATAATATTTCCTTTCTCTGCTTATTGAAAAAAAAGTCTATTGTCCCTGTATTTTGATGAGGTGATATCATCAAGAAGCCATCATTCAATGCCAATTTATGAGAATCAGCAATGCAAAGTAGAAAATTAAGTCATGGTGGGGATGCAGGACAGGGATATAATTAACACTGACGGGTGCTTGGATTTTTTAAAACCAACATCAGGAAAACCATATAAAACTACTGTGTAATGTAAAACATTCTCCCGAGCCAGCAGGGAAGTGGACTGTACGACCCACAGGGTCTCCGTTCCAACTCTAATTGCTATTATTCTCCGGGATGTGATATCTTAATCAGAAACAATAGCTTGTCTAATTGACTAAGGTTGGGGGGAGGCCTGCTACCTCTCGCAGATATCTGAACAGTGAGCACAGTAAATGAGTAATGCAGAGAAATTAAGAAAGGACAATTCAGACAGTGAGATCAATTAGATTGTGAAACAGTCATACAAGCGGAGGCCTGGAAGCTTCTTCACTTCAAGTATTTAAGATTAGAAAAGTGACATAGAGAACATCATCTGTGGAATTATCTTTTATTTGCAAGATTGGATGATCTATATTTTTTCAAATATAGTATCGAATAATTGCTCATATTTGTAACATGTCTTTCAGTCAAAGAGCTTAAAGAATATTCACATACATTATCTCCATGTCTCTGGTCACTGTCGCACACAGAGTTTATTGTAATCTCAAATTTTCAAATGTGCAATCTCAGAAAAAAAGAGATGTTATCTATAATCTACCAAGTATATTATAGCACATAATCTAAAATAGGATATAGAAAGGATTTTCCATGAGAAATAATAATGCTGGGAGGAAAACCCCTAATATCTTCAAACATATTTTAGGAATATTCTACACGAAGAATGTAGCAGGGTTGATTTTATTCAGGTCTTTTGCTGGTGTATACCCAGATGAAAGAGAGAAAATCTCTTCTCCGAAAGTCATTTTGTTAGAGAGTGTTTGTCTATAGAGTTTGAACATATTTTTTCAATAAGTTTGACTGCAAAGAATGAAGTTTGAAAGCAAAGAATACTGGACTGAATGTCTAGAGAACTGCTACTTCCTAGTTAGCCATTTGCTTTTCTGGACAGGTCACTAAATGTCCCTGGAGTGACATTTCCCTCTGTTTCCACTGCCAAGGACTCCCTTTCCCTTCCCCTTTGTCTCTCCTCCCAAGAGATCCATGCCTATCTGTCACACTCCATTTACTACATGATGGACCTCATGCCCCTCACCTCTTATTTTATTGCTATTTCTATTTGCTCATCAACTGCTAATCAGAACTTTCTGATTAGGAGAGAACCACTATTATTACACTCAAGCGAACCAACACTTGATTTGTTGATTTACCCTGGGTAAAACGCCCATTAGTGGACTGTAATGTTAAAATCAGCCCATGCATCTCTATTCCTTCCTATAAGGGCTTCTTACAGGTCCAGAGCCCAAGTTGGAGGCTGGTAGATGAGGTTCCTCAAATTCCAAAAAGCAGAGAAGACATGGGTAAGGATGAGGTGTCTCTGAGAGCCATCATCCTCTTTCAAGAGCTCAGAGCTAGGCCCTTCCACCACAGGGGCTGTATGAGTGCCAGGTCCAAGGCTGAGAGACCATCCAGCTTTTTGAAACTGGAAATATCAGTTTCTACATGAAATCTCATGATGTTTTAATGCTAGTCACCACTGTATCTCATCAAGTCTAAGATATCATTGCTTAAGATGCATCTTTATTTCTGAGAAGTTAAAATATAGACAGAAAAAGTATTTTTATGCAATCAATGAAGTATAGTAAGTTGATTTCTTTTTAAAATATTTTGATTTCTAATTTTTAAATTAAAAATTCTTTACAAAATTTAAATTTACACATGAAAGGATCGTAAGACTGAGTATGACCTATAGACCACAAGTTTTAAAAAATTTTCTTGCTGAGTCTATATTTTCTTTCACATTCCTTCTAGCTAGAGCTAGGCTATTTTATTCACTCAACAACATTGAGATGACAATTTACAGAGAGCTTTTTAAACATAACCTTCCAAGGGAAAACCAGTATGTGAAACAGATGAACTGAAAACTTTATAAGTGCCAGCATAACAGCAAACACATCCCACTTTTTAATTATATAGAACTAAGTAAGAGTAGGTTAAAGTTAGATTCGTTGACATATGATTATACTTCATATAAAATCAATTAGAGATTTGACTATTGTTGAGACTAATTTTATATTTTGAAATCATGACTTGAATTTTCAGAGCTCAAACATTTTCACAAAGCTTCTAGCACCCAAGCCTTTCTCAACTCATGTTGCCTTGAAGATGAAATGGCCTGGGCAAAGCACTAACCTGTTTCATGCTTCTCAGAAAGACCTACTATGTGCCAAGGGACTGTGCCAGATAATGTATGTATTATCTCATTTCATTCTCTCACAACACTCTGAGGTAGGTATTATGTAGCTTTATTTACTAAGAAGTAAACTCAGTCTGAGAGAGTCTCAGAGAAGTTGAACAACTTGTTCAGAGACATCTGGTGACTTTGGGTTTGTTCCATTTCCTCCTGTACTGTCTGCATGCTCTCTGTGTCCTGAGAGGGTAAGCAGTACAAACTCCCACAAAGATTATGTTCCTTTTTCTGAAGCTTCTGGTTGGGTTTGACCAACGGGGAATTCTGCCAGGAAATTAGAAGGAAGAAGGACTGTGTGATCTCAGCATGTTTTTCCCCCTTGATCCCACCCCAAGGGGTCATAACAAGCCAACTGGGACCCTCTTGTGACAGGGCAGCCCTCTCCACACAGCCCTTTGTCTCCTAAGTCCGGTCATCTCTCCTTCCCCTTGCCCCTTCAGTTGTAAAGGTAGTGAAAGAGCCCCTCTGTTACCACCCCTCAGGTGCTCCATTATTCCTGGCATATTCCCTAGATCCTGTCCACAGCTTTGTAGAGAGTCCCTTTATTCAACTCTCTTCAAAAATAAGCATTCTGTGGGTGCCAGGCCCAGAGAGCATCAGGGACCAGGGATTCAAATCCAGGTTTCAATGACCCAGAATCAAAAATACTTTTCACGCAACAATAGCGCTTCCCAAATATCTCCTTAGAAAAACTCTGAGCATGTAGTGTTACAGGAGTCTGTTTTAAAAGAGAAGGGGGAAACATTAAAAAAATAAACAATTGTTTCCTGTGGTATAACATCTTCCTCATTAATATCAAATACCATATATTTGAGAATCGTCTAGTACCTCTGCACTATTCAAAAGAACAATTGCTGTGTAAATCCAAGGTATTAATAGTATATCACTTTTGCCTGGCCATAAAATCCCCAGTAACACAAGGCTGCTATAGGATAAAATCATTTCAGCAGGAGGAAATCTTAAGGAAACAGATTCTACTACAAAGGAATTCACTCTGTATAAAAAGTATAGGTTTATGGAATTCAAAAAGGTGTTGGAGGATTTACTAATGCAAAAAGGAAGACAAGATTATCTGTACATAAAAAACGGAATGTTTTGTTTCCTGTAGCTTTGTCAATTGCCTCATTAATTACACAGGTGGTCACCTGGAATTGCTTTGAGTATACCTCAATATTTGGTTCCAAGATACATTATAAAATACAAAATATTTTAATGCCAGTAATATTCTTTTATTCTTTGTGTTCACATAGTGTCTATTTATATATTAAGTAGCTCACCAGGGAATTCTGGGTTTCAGTTCATTTTTCTGTAAAGGTAATAATAATAAAATAATAAGAAGAAAAAAACCAAGCACTTTTAATGAATACTTACTATCCAGGCCCATTCTAAGCCATTTATATGCATTTCTTCAATGTACATATCTTACTTAATGTAATATTTATAATAAGATATTGCTATACTAGTATACTTTTATTATTCTCAAGTTACAGGTGAGAGAACTGAGACCAAGTGTGTTTGTTTATCTTGGCCAAGGTCAGGCAGCTAAAAGATAATAGAACTGAGACTTGAATCTTACTGCAAAGCCAGTGCTCTCAACTTCTATCCAGAAGCACAAAATCAGATGCAAACTGAAACCAAATAGGTACACAGAATGAATGGATCCAGCTGGGGGCAATAAAGGGAGGGTTATAAAACCGGAAAGCGGATGCCCCATATAAAGGGATAGTCCCTGTTTGGCTCCAACTGATCAATCATTTCTAAAAAGAATGGGCACATCGCAGAGCCATGTCTTTGGTTTTCAAAGAGAGGCAGAAATCCTGCATTTTTACATACGAATTTCCTGATTTTTAAGTGCAAGCTATAAGTCCATCAAAACAGTTCTGGTTTTCAAGCCAACCTTGTAAGACCACAGGGCTATGGCCTGTGCTCTTCTCTAAGTCCTCTTGGTAAATCACAGAAGTGGCTCAGCCCGTTTGTAAAAGCCACTGAAGATCTTCCCATCTACTTCAGAGACTGACAACATGATACAAGCCCTCAAGTGAGTTACAGCGAAGGTGACCAACCCATCTTCAACTGCCTGGAACTTTCCTGATTTCAAAATGGTAAGTTTCATGCTCTGGGGATCTGCAGTCCCAGGCAAAGTGGGACAACTGGTCACCTCGTTATAGCAGGGAATTGACTTCTGGCATCTGTAAAGCTCTGGAAGGTCAACCAACCAGACCTTCAGAATGTGTCCTTTCAGGGGAATTTTGCCATCCTTAGAGGTGCTAATTTGCTAAAGCTTCTGTGTCTCCGCTTCAAAAATTAAACTGCCTCAGATGCCAGGGTGTAACGTTCCCTAGGACAGCCCCCAAAAGCAAGTTTCCTGGAAACTCTCTGCGATGGGGAGAGAGAGGCACCGGAGGAGGAGCGGACGTCCTGGAGAAAGCTGCTGGTGGTGATTCGTCAGAGAATCCTAATTCGAATCCAAATGGGAGCTCGCCATTATCGGGGGCTCACACAGCTCCAGGTAAACAGCTAATGAGCAGGCTGCCAGTTCCATTTTTATCAAGAGCCCTCCGAGACTCAACCGTGCCATTTCATAAAATATGCAGATGATAGTGCGGGAACAGAGCAAAGGCTTTGAAAATGATTCACACAACCTAAAAATGATGTTGAAAAGGGAGGAATTAAATATTCACAAAGTGAGAGAAATTAAGGCATATTAACTGTTCGAATGTGGAAATGAAATGACTAGCATGCATAGAGTTGATGAGAACTGCATGATTACAGATCTGTCAAAAGTTTCTAATTCTGACACTGCGCGATGTGGAGGTGCTTGTTGGCTGGTAAGGGCAAAAAATTAGGTATGGGACAAGCCACACGATGCTGACAGATCAGAGTCAAAGGGAGGGAGGCACAGCAGTGATTAACATTAGGCTCCGTTCTGTGCTGAGGGTGAACTCGGTGATCACAAAATGAATACTAATTATGAGCACAAAACAGACCTTACGGGGACTGGACGCTTGGAGCTGAATGTGGCTATTAAGTTCGTAATGAGGAAGGCAAGAGAAAGCCTAGAAGCTGCAGAGGCTAAATTCGGTGAGGTCATCCTACCCTCCACATTTAGGGAATGGAAAGCCAAATTGTGGCCCATCCAAACTAGAATTAGCAGTAATTATTATATAATATGTAATGATGGGATTTAAATGGCTAACACATTTTCTCTGCTGAGACCATTTAGACATGATTCACACAAATGATTAAATTAATAGATCTTCCTCTTTTCAGACTGCCAGGCAGCTTAAACTAGATTTTTCAACAGAGACTGATCCTAGTGAGATCGTATGAATAGAGAGATTTACGGAAATTGCAGAAGGAATTGGTTCAGTGTATAAGAGCACACTAGGGTTTAGAGAAATTTACAAATTTACCTTGAGGATGAGGACTCAGCTCTTGGTCCTTGCTTTAAAAAAAAAATCCATCTATGTTTTAAAAAACGGTTTTAGAAGGTGAATATATGAAATCAAACTCCTCAAAAATAAAGACACACAACATTGAAGCTTAAACAAATATTCCTAGAGATAGAGTTGCTTTCCTTACATCTGGGAGGCAGGTACGTTTTAAAGAAAACAATTGATACATGTAAAAATACATTTAAATATTAATGGGGAAATAATTCAGAGAAATTTAAAATTTGGTAAAAATGAAAAAAATTTGAAAGATGATAGTACAGATATTTGTGATTGCAATACAGCATCCAAAATATTCAGAAGTATATTAATAAATGGATAAGTAAATTGCAAACACAAAGAAAAGCCTGAAGTTATCTTTGATAAAACATTTCTCTACTAACGTTTCTCTTCTGCTTAAACCCCATCATTGTTGTTGGATTGGAGATTGTTCATTTTTTTTTTCCTTCCGCAGAAGTATAAAGCAGTTATTAGGGACATAAGGAACTGCCAGAGATCCACTGTGTGTTCTGAGTGGAGAGTTTTCTAGTCCCATCAGCTGCACAGCATATGAGCAAATTAACAGGCACTTGGGGAGGAAGCCCACAGTACGAGGCTCAGGCATGTAATAATTAACATAGCCTTGGTACCTCTGTGGCATCTTGGGATGAAAATATTAATCATTCACAGCTGTGATCGTCTCAAAATCTCCTATTTTATGGCTTTGACACATCCATGAATAATGCCATTTGCTATAATGTGCAGCATATCAGAAAGAATATTTTTACACTATGGCTGCTTCTCTAGAATACGTTGTAAAACTGATGAAAACGCTTGGTTCCCTGCGGCATCTAGAGAGAAAAAGAACACAAACAATCCTACTTCTATACTGCACTTTAGTAAGCACCTACTATGTGCCAGAATTTCCATGGACTCTTTATTCAAGCCTTACAGTGACGCTATGAGGGCAGTGCTGTTATCTCTATTCTGTAAATGAAGAAATGGGGGCAAATTCAGAGGTAAAGGTCAAGCTGCAAAATAACTACAGACAATACCCCATAAATACATACACCTACTATGTACCCACAAAAATTAAAAAGAAAAAAAAGAAAGAAAGGCAGGATATGAACCTCAGCCTCCTTTGCTCCAGAGCCCATACTTTTTCCAGAGCGTGAGCTTCAAGGGAAACTCTAAATATAACTGTGACATTGGTTTCCTCAGTGCCCTCTTCCTGCTTGGTCTCGGGGGCATCACCTTGGCAATTAATTCACAGGATCCATTCAGAATATTTTTGTCATCTGCTTCGTCACTTTCATCAGCCCTCTTCTGCACTTTTCCTACCCTTGACTTGGGCATTCAGCTCAGGTTCATGCCCTTCCCAATTCGTTCTCCATGCTGCAGTCAGAGTGAGAGTTCCCCAATGTAAATCAAGTTGGGAAACTCCTCTACCTAAAATCTTCACATATTTTTTCCCATTGCACTTAGGATAAAGGTAGACAATATATTGCCTACAAAGTCCCAGGTGATCGTGAACACCATCTTTCCCCAGCTTCATCTTCCGTATCCCACTTTCTAGATCTTTTCCTAATATCCATCAAAGCTGTGTTCCTCCAAGTTGCCAAGCCCATCCCATGTCCAGCCCTTCTACATGCTGAGATGCCTCTGCCTGTAACACTGCTTTTCCCTACTATATCACCACCACCCACACACCTTGGCAAGCTCCTTCTCATTCTTTGGGTCTTTCCTTCAATTTTACCTTCTCAGAGTTGACAGCCTTAACTCCCTAATCTAATTGGAGCTTTCTACATACTCTCATAACACTATAGATGTTCTCCTGGCAACTGTCACAATTATAAGCAAATTACTGTTTGTATGAGTGTTTGTACCATAACACCTGGCTGCCACAGTAGATTTTAATCTCCATGATGGCAGAGACTGAATTCTCAGTGTCAGGCACACAGTAGGTACTCAGTAAATATGTATTGAAAGGAAGGGATGAAGGAAAGACTGCATGAAGCATCTTCGTTTTGGGCAGAATCCAATCCTAGTACTTTCTTCATTGTTTAACTCAACACGGAAGACTTTCCTCATAAACGTTCCCACCACTTGGCAATGACCCGGGATGATTGCGTCATGAAGAGGGAAGGGCTGAGTGTATGCCCTGGAGAATCATTTGAGTGCAGGAGCATAGACTCCCCTAGGCAACAGGAAGAGTCCTCCTCCCCCTAGGCTCCCAAATCTTCTGCCACACCTGACCTCCTGCTATAATTGCTTGTTTGTGTGGCCAATTCCCTCATCGGGACCCCCAGGGAAAGGACTTACCTGGTTGGTATTTGCAAGCCTCCAGCTTCCATCCGTCACAGGACACAAGCCATTGGGTCCTCAGTAAATGACTCTGAAAAATGTTTTTATTAATTAGTGACCCAATGAGTAATTGAATGACTAGAGAAATCAGTAAATTAATAAACTAGTAATAAAGTAAGCAAAAGTAAGTGTGAAAACAATTACTCACACAAGTTTTTCCTAAAATGTAGCTCCCATCCCATTGATGGTATATGCCTAAGATAATTTAACTTTTAAATTTTGGTCTCTAAGGAATGAAGAACTAGATGTTGGAAAAAATTAAACTCACATATTAAATCCTTTTTATCCTTGATATGATTACTTACAGCAACTTGAGTTAGATAAAATAATAAGCAAATACTGTACTATTACAGAGGGTACTTGAATGTGGCAAAAATCATGAAATTGGTATGTCAGTGAGTGAGGCTTGGGAACATATGGTTCTAAAATAAATGAGGGAAACACCCTAAGATTTCATGAGCATCTGCTGTATTCCAGACACTGTTTTAAGCACTTGACCAGTTTTAACTCATGGCATCATTACAATAGCCATGTGAATAAAAACCATCCCATTTTACAGATATGGAGAGGTGAAACCTTTGTCCAAGGGTGTGTCACAAATAAGTGTTTGAGCCAGGATGCAAATCCAGAAGCCCACTTTCTTAACCACAGTGCTTTAAGGCAGTGAGTGCAAAGCAGAGTGAAGGAGCCAGGGTGTGAGTGAGCTGGTGAAGGAGAGAGCCAAGAAGCCAACAAAGGGCAGAGGCAGCCTCCCATGCAAGTGCCTGGCCTACACCTGACTCAGAACTGGGAAGGATGCTGGGAATGACCCTCGTCTTTGGCCTGCTTCTTGTATGTCTTGACCCAGAGTAGTGCAGTGGCCATCTGGACCCCCACTTGGAGGGAGATGTCTTCCTATGAATCTGTTTGCTGTTCATGACGAGGGAAAATACCCCGTTTTTCTCCACTACAGTTGAGGTGGGAAGCATCTCTCTGAGCCCACTTTTAAGACGAAAATAAGTGAATATGAGCTGAGCCCATTTAATTTTAGACAACTCAACTTGCTGTGGACTGTTCAGAGCACCTACCTAGGAGGTGATATGGTTTGGCAGTGTCCCCACCGGAATCTCATCTTGAATTGTAACTCCCGTAGTTCCCACGTGGTGTTGTTCTCATGGTGGTGAATAGGTCTCATGAGATCTGATGGTTTTATAAGGGGAAACCCCTTTCACTTGGCTTTCATTCTCTCTTGTCTGCCACCATGTAAGACGTGCCTTTTGCCTTCCATCATGATTGTGAGGCCTCCCCAGCCACATAGAATTTTGAGTCTATTAAACCTTTTTTCTTTATAAATTACCCAGCCTCGGGTATGTCTTTATCAGCAGCATGAAAACAGACTAATATGGGAGGAGATGGGAGCAAAGTGTTTGGCACAGCAGCCATTATGACCTAGGGGAATAAGAGAAGAGGGTGATCCCATATTAACTTAGAAAAGATGCGTGAGTCTCTTCTCACTTTTGGATTCTCTTAGAGTTTCCCTCCCTTTTCCATGCAACAGGCTCATGCTGCATATGACTGTTCAAGAATCAGTCAACCCTCTCTCTCATTCCAAATCTTTGTCTTTTTCTCATAATTCGTCATCCACTTGTGATGCTCCCCCTATGCAAATCCTAAGCCTGAATTCTGATTGGCGCCCCCTTGAGGTGGGCAGTCAGGTAACTTACTTTCTCTGAGCCTCCCTTTTGTCCATGTATCAAATGGGAATACTAACAGCCCCACCTCCTTGGGCTGGCATGAAGAGTAAGTGGAATAAGTGCATTAAAGCCTGACAAGCCCTGTGGCTGGCACCTGCAAGCACTCCTATTGGTGGCTTCTATTCAGTAGTAGATTTGATCTTAATCCAAATGCTTAGGGTGCAAAAAAGACACATTTACTTTTCTGTCTCCAAACTTAATTTCATTGTCATTTTTTAAATCAGGTGGCATAAAATTAATTTGGAGTCTCCCAAACTCCCTTTACTTGAGGTTGAGTCTTACATTCTAGAGATTGGGATTCTGGTCACTGGTCATCATTGCTTTCTGTACCAGTATCCAGTGATATGGCCTCATTTAGTCTTGATCGTGAAAGTTAAAGCTGCTCTCTCCTCACCACAAAATGCAAATCCCTATCAGTAATCCTGCCACTTTCTGATTCTCCGTGTTTGAATGGAATTAACTTTCTGATTCTCTTCACTTTGCAACATGGTAGGGGAATTTCCCTTGCAGCTGCTTTAAAACTATCAGCTCACCATCCTGCATCAGTAAGATTTGGATGCAGAGAATATTTAATGTACTGGGGCACCTAATCATTGCTGGAAGGCCTGAAAAATCACCTCTAGGAGTGAGTGGAAAAGTATGGCAGAAATGGCCCACTAGGAAACTCTGAGCTCTGCAAACATCAGAAATATGGTGAATCAGGAAGCTGCCACTGCGACACTATGGCCTCAAGAACACTTCCTGATTCAGGATTAAGAAGCTGCTTCTACAGTGAGCGACCCCAGAGCCACTTTGTGCCTGCAACATTTGTAACTGTCAAAAAGAAAGATGCTGTGTACTCTGCCTTTCACACCACAAACCAGAGTCTGGATACTGGGATCGCTTTTAACATGACCATGGGAACCCCAATTTTCCATGACTACTTTCCAGAAGAAAACACAGAAGCAGCAGGGGTGTGACTTCAGGCTCCCTCCTGTCTTCTATTTTTAGAAAAATGCAAAATGGGACAAGATGAAGAAGGATGGAGAACTTCCAGACAACTACCAAGTAATTCTCTCCCCATCTCTTCCAACTCAATTTCCTGACACCCAGGAAAGATGACCCTATGGTGGTCAATGCAGAAAGACTCATATGGATGGGTTAGCAAGTTCTCCCTTGATGTTGAGCAGCATTATTGGGGATAAGGTACCTGACACCTTCAGTATAGTCCAGAGCCTTTGTAGACTCTGCATAGAGTCTACATATTTGCATAAAAATGTCGTTATACAAGTCCTTTCTGGTGATTTATTCTTGTAGTGCTCTCTTCCCAATCACCCTGCTGGTGTTATTACCTCCCATTTTACACGTAAGAGAACAGAGGCCAATACAGATGAAGTGTTCAGTGTCACAGAGCTGCAGGGCAAGATTCAGCTTTTGTTGATTCTAAACCTTATTCAGTTTGGATTCTCCTTTAAAAAAGGAATCAAAATTATGGATACAAAATTAGATAAGAAAGTGAATATTTATTTGAAATGAGAAAATAAATCAAGACAAATCACAAATTTTAAAAAGCTAACAAACCACAAACATCACACAATCTAGAAAACTAACTTCATATTTTATTAACTGCCTGACATTCTAAAATATTTTTCTGACATTTTTTGTTTTATACTCTTTGATCACCTCTTCGTGACAAAGATTTTATAAAATATTTTTCTATAGAGAAAATAAAAAAAAAATTCTAGTCTTTTCCCCTAGCATGGTTGATCAAAACCTTTTCTATTATTGATAGTTTACAAATATTTATGTGAACTCTATAACACATTATTGGTAATGTCATAAACATTTTTAGAATTGTCAAATTTGGGAAAGCCTCTATCAAATTTCTTTCATACATGAGCTGCAGAATTTCAGGGAAGTTTCAAGCTTTTTTGTGTAGTGACTAATCTTAAACACGCTTTGAATTAAGGATCCCCAGTTACCAGTTTGTCACTTATACACTTACTTAATGGTGTATTATGAGTTTTATGTTATCTTCATCTATGTTAGTATTCTGTGTCAAATCAGCAAGAAATTTAAACAGTGGAATTATGATAATTTTTTAAATTTCCATCAAAAAAGAAAAATAATATGTGGTACATTTATAATTGTGCATTCTGCATTAATGAGTATACTCTAGAGAGGAGAGAACTTCCAATTTAGCTAAGTGTTGATGAGAATCAAATCCTCCACTTACAAGGGCACACATATCTGATCTTTAGAAGAATTGTCAGCAGGCTAGCTTTCTGCTCCTTTTATGCCAAACTCTTTTTCTACTCTACTTCCCATTGACAGTACAGACACCTTAGGATGTGTTTATATTGCTGTACTTCCACTGGCCCTGCACCTGCCCACTGCAGCATTGGCTTCATAGGCCTAGTGGGTGCATGAGAGTTCCTAGAAGTCATTCCTATACCAGGATACTAGCATTACCTTAACCATAAATGAAAGTGATGGACCACCACATGTATATATCCTGCTGCTCCCCATATAAACCTACCCTCAACTCACCTTTCCAGGAACTGGATCTTAAAATGCCAGTGGCCATTCTAATGCCATCTAATTCAAAGAGAAGTATTGTGGAGGGGAAGTAAGAGTGGGAAAATGTAGCATCTTAACCAGAATGGCCACTGGCATTTTAAGATCCAGTTCCTGGAAAGGTGAGTTGAGGATAGGTTTATGTGGGGAGCAGCAGGTTAAGCATAAAACATTATGCTTTACAGCTTTTAGAGATACATATAACCATGACAACACATTGGTAGCACCCTCCCAGGGCCTGAAATGGGAGAGTCTCGGAAGTTTAAGCTTGCTTGGCCTCAAGGTTTATCAGCACAACTGGAAACCAGATCTGGAAGTTCTGACTATCGCAGCGCCTCTTCCCACTATGCCTGAAGACATCCCCATTCCGAGAAGCATCTGCATAGTCTGGGGACATCTTCTTTCTCAATATTAGCCACAATTAATAATCAGAAGCAGAGACACAGCCACTTAACATATATCAACCACTCTTCTGGGAGTGAGCTGTCATCCTCCAGTTCGCTTTTCCCGAGATAGGGAAATTGATAGGTCACTAGTGTCTGTGAATAGCACTCAAAAGGTATCATATTTATTTTAGCTGCAGCTTCAAATCAGTGGCTATCTGCATTATGAAGAACATCATTCTGTAAAACACATTTGGTCTTCATTTTTCAAATGCTCCTGAAGGAAACATATGGTAATCTGTTTAACTCTGTATTCCATAGAGATACCTAAACTCCATCCACTAAACACTCATGCTATTTTTATTATAAAATTCATGTCCTTTTTCTACCTTACATATTCCCCCTTTCTGCTTATATGCTTAAAAATACCCGAGGCCACAAGCCTACCCTGCTTACCATCAAATTCATGAGTCAGGCCCAATGGTCATTAAATATAACAGAAATATTATTCACTAGGGGGTTGACAAGTACACATTGGTGAAGCCCATATTCTTCTGAATTTCAGACTTGAACTATTTTGAAGTTACTTGTTTTGTATCAAGACTCAAACTAACACACAGCCTTGATTTGATCTTCTGAATTATTTGTCTCCTCCTAGAAGCTAACCTCTGCAAGTTTCTTTTGACTGTCCAGTTTTGAGGCTCTGTCTTAGAATCTGATTAGTTTTCCAGATCTGAATTCGCTTCTCCTTGTTTCTATTCTCCCATCAATAGTGTCATTTAAAATACGGATTCTACTTTGTAAATACTCCTAAACTGACTGCCCTTCCCTTTTCCCAATGAGAGCTCCATGTGGAATGTGACAATGAGAACTCCAGGTCTCCATTCTAATGATACAATTATTATTGATGTTTAAACCATAAACCAGAGTTGGCATTTAATTGGAAGTTGCTTTCCAATGCAAGGAAGGAAGCATAGTTCCTAAAATTTGGTTTGTGGGATAAGTGGAGTTCCTCTTAAAATCATTACAGTTCTTTCTCCCAAAGCAGGCATAAACATGAAATATTAACCTATCTTTTGCTACACATAGCAGTATTTCCAAAAGATGGTCTATGACCAGATGATTCTCTATGGTCACATATATTTAGAAAACGTATCATTTTAAATCCTCCTCTTTAGTTTTCATAATGCTCATTAGCATACTTAAGGATCTAGGGGTCCTTCACTAAGTAAACAAACAAAATCTTTTTGCTTTTTTAAGTTTCCCAACTGCACTTGATCGTGGAATATTTTTTTCCTCTAACAGCCAGTGAAACTCATACTCCCAAACCACACTTTGGATAATGTTGCCATAACAAATTTTAATTTTTCATTTCTAATTTTTCAGTAACATAGTATGCTTTTAATCAGTAGATTTTGTGAAACAGAGAAACATCTTAATATGTTTAAAACTGTTTGATTAAACCTTTTTTTAAGATTGAGAAAAACAATCGAAGAAATGCTTGCGTAAAATAATGTAGAAATTTTATGTAAACCTCAGAATAAGAATCAGAGTTCAGAGTTTGAGTTCTGAAGACCTTGAGTTGCCTTTCTGCAGCATCCTCAGAGCATAATTAATGGGATTAGGCAACTGACTAACCATTTATTTACTCATTCGTTAGTCACTAGTTTATTCTTTGATTTATTGAGCAACTGCTATGTGCCAAGCACTTTTCTAGGCTCTAAAGATACCATAGATGACTTGCCCATAGGGGTTGTAGCCTTTTGAAAAAATAAACATTAAATAAATAATAGCACAAACACATATTTAATTTTAATTGCTGTCAGTTCTCTAGAGGAGAGGAAATTGGTGGAGTAATGACATGTAACAGGAGAAAATTGCCCAGTTTCGGGGAGGAGGATGTTGTTCCCTGAGGAAGTAACAATTAGACTGACATGGACAGAATGAATTGAAACAGATCAGGTTAAGGCAGGAAGAAAGAAGATGTTAGTCCCCCAAATAGAATATGCAGGAAGGAATTTTATTGGTTGGAGGAAATGGAGGGAGTCCCTGAGGCTTGAATCCGGAAAGAAAAAGAGAGAGGAGTGGGATGAAGCTAGAGGGGTGGACAGGGGCCAGACTGGCTAAGACCTGGCAAACCAGGAACATACATGTGCATGTGTTAATTCCAAGATCAGCGGGAAGCATCACTGATCCAATCTCCTACTTTCAAGGTCATATGAAAAAGAGTTCTTGATTTAGAGAACAAAGTGGATTCTATCCTGATCCACTTAAGCATCATTTAATGATAAAAGGTTGCATGCAAATAAAGGACGAGAATTAGGCAACGCAAAATAAGAGGCTTCAGTTATACAAAGTGAACAGAGCCGGTTTCAAATCCAAGAATTCCACAGCTATGAGATGAGAATGTGCTGCTGTGTAACTGGAGGTGGTATCCCACATGAAAGCAACCAAAAGACCTGTCACCTAACCGGGTGGTCCCAAATCCACTTTACTTATTATCTCTCTTTGATACATCTCAGATAAATTGGTTTTAATCACAGTTCATGAACAAAGACAGAAGGTGGGATTTCCCTCTCTTCAGCATAACAATTTTCTCAGAACAAGCCATCTTTATAAATAATTCCATATTATCCCAGTCATACTGTCTGGATATCCGGGACTTATTTAATGGAATGGTTAGCTTTAAATATTTCTGGAAGAAGGCTTTTAAAATTTAGAGTGTATGTCTTCATGACAAAAGGTTAGGGTGTGTGATCAAATATTATGTCTTTGGATTTAAAATATCAGAGTTGATGTGTGACTGGGAGAGGGTAAACCTCCCAGAATTTAGTAGATAATTCTTGGGAGGGAAATGCCTGCTTGACATTATTTATGATGGATAATAGCAGTAATATAATTGCCTTAATTCTCCAAGCTATTCCTTTTGTCTTCTTTATCTCTGCAATATGGCATTTCCAAGATTCTAGGCACCCACCAACATAATTAACATAATTTTTTCTCTTTCCTATGTCTTAATAGCCAGGTAGTCTTTAAGTCTTTTTGGATCTATCTCTCACATCTGCTTCCTGCCCCTTCTCAGGCCCAAGAAACCCAGATCAGTTTTCATTACCTCTTTTTAGAGTGGTAATTGTTTTGAAGGTCTCATAAAGGGATATTAGGTAAAGTGGATTTGGGGCCACAACTACTATCTTAGAGTAGTAAAAAGACCGTGAGCTCAAATTCAGGTTCAAATCTCAGAGAAGTCACTGCACTTCCTTAAGCCTTGTTTTCTCCATCTAGAAAATGGAGATAGAGCCAGGTTATGACTGCTGGCAACAGTGGCTACCAGAATGGATCCTGGAGCCCAATCTGCCTAGGTTCTATTCATTGGTCTCCCATGCGACTTTGGAAAAATCACGTAACCCCTATACACCTTAGTTTTCTCATGTAGAAAATGAGAATAAAAATGGTAGCTGCCTAAGGGGTTTGTTGTGAGAACACAGTGAGATGATATGTTCAAACATTTAGAGTGGTGTCTAGTGCCAAGTAAGCACTCAGTCATTATTAGATGATGCATATTCAGATTACACATGACCATGTTAGGGCTCGTCCAGATGGCACTTTAGGACTGGCACTTTCTCCTAAAGCCATGTGTCACTCACAAAGTCATAATCTGGCGCCTGTCTGCCATACATGCTGACACAAATGCACCAGTCCCTGTTCCACCTGGAAACCCCGGAATCATCCCCTTCTTTTGCATTTCCCTTCCCGCATCTCAAGGCAGCCTCACATTCACCCATCTCCTTGCTTAATAGCTCTGTAGGCCAGGGATGATGTCTTGTTTCACATTCATGTAATTGGCAATAAATACTTCTTGGCAATAAATATTTGATGCATTTGTTGCATGGCCCCATAAAGCTGTATTCTCAATGGATTCATTCCACACTGGAAGGTCGCCATTACAGTCCTGCAGAGTGTTGGGCTGGTCTCCCTGCTGCAGAAAGCAGCCCCATGCAGAAGGATGTCAACCCCCTCCAGATAGCTTGAAGACTAGCATACACAATTTCACCCTAGGCTTTTGTAGGTTCAGAATTTTAATTTCCCAAAATCAATCCAAAGGTGGAAATTTCACATTTTGAAAATTGACTGGTTTTGCTAGGTTATCTCTCTGATACACTAGGACAATGTCACCTTTTCAGGATAGTCAGGTTTTTGGTTTTTGGTTAAGGGATTTTAACTTTTTAACTTTTTTGGTGGGGGGCTATAGTAGAGACAGCATATTATAGTGTTTAAGAGCAAGAATTAGACTTTATGGGTTCTAATCCCAGACTTACTAGTAACCTTATGCAAGTTATTTATGAGTTCTTTTCTTATCTATAAAATGAATGATAATATTGACTCTTCATAAAATTGTTAATACTCAAAAATGGTTAGAACATTGCCTGGTGCATAATACTTTTCAATTCCTGTTAGATACTAGACTTAGTAGTTCCTTCAGTGATAGTTTTTAGTATCAAGTATAAAACTTGATCCTCTCCAGGACCAGTTAGGTCTCACTATTGAGAATGTTCTTGTAAGTTTCCTTTATAGCCTGCAAGTGTGACGGTTGTGGGTGATGGTGGGTTGGGGGGAATCCTGCTATGTGCCAAGGTTCCAAGAGGTGTAAAGACAAACAGGGTCTCTGCTTTTATTTAAAAAGAAAGATTGAACAAATATGTGAACACGTAGCTCATAATGCAGGATGTACATTACGGGACAATTTTTGATCCATTTTTCATAGGTGGTGAGGGAGGAGCTCTTCAAGAAGGTGACAGTTAAACTGAGATATGAATATAACAAAGGAATTATCATGCAGAAAGCCAGGGGATAGAATACCAGACAGATGGTTTGGAAAATATAATTAGTCAAGCATGTATCTGAATAAAGTCTGCCTCACTAATCTAGACCAGCGATCAGGAAGCTCCAACTCATGGGACATATCTAGCTAGTGACTTGTTTCTTATGAATAAAGTTTTATTAGAACACAGCCACACTCATTGGCTTACATATTACCTATGTCTGCTTTTGTGCTACAGTGGCAGAGCGGAGGAGTTGTTACTATGAGACTCTATGGTACACAAGTCTAAAATACTTACTATCTAGCCCTTTACAGAAAAAGCTTGTTGACCTGTGGTCTAAACCATAAGACCCACAAGGGTGAGGACCACATTTGTCTGCCTTTCTCATTGCTGTTTCCTTCAACCTGTGTTTGACAGTAGACTCCAGAAATAACTGGAGAAGCAGCCACTGTAAGGTATTAGGTGTTGGTGACAACTTTTTAAAATCTCTTCAAAGATGAATTCAGAACACATAGTTGTCCTTTGAGAGGACACCATTGGTTCCCACATACACCGAGAAGCAGAAATACAAAGTGTTGGCCCAGGTAGTAGCTACACATTGTAATCCACCATATGAATGCCCTGCAAGGTACTTAGATTAAGATTGTTTCCACCCTGAAAAGCAGCAGTGGTTCTGTAAGATGTCACCCAATTTGGCAAGGAGCGATGTACAAGGAAATCACCCCCTTTGCCAGCTTTGCAGGAAACCTCAGCATGTGTGATATGCTAATGCAAAGCAGCATTTCTTTAGCTTGGCACATACCACAGCTTCTCCATGATGGCACCATGAACATTTGGGGTCAGAGAAGTCTTCGTTGTGGGGACTGCCTTGTGCATTGTATGATTGATGGTTAGCAGCATCTCTGGTCACTACACAATAGACACCAGAGCACGTACTTCTCCAACCAAAACATATCTGACAAATGTAAGGGGCAGGGGACATGAGGATGAGCAAAATCACCCTCAGTAAAGAAGTACTGACGTAAACTGAAAATCTCCTCTTCCTTCTTTCTTTTCTTTTTTCTTTTTTTGAAGATAGTCTTGCTCTGTTGCCCAGGCTGCAGTGCAATGGTGCCATCACGGCTTGCTGCAGCCTCGAGCTCCTGGGCTCAAGTGATTCTTCCACCTCAGGCTGCCAAGTAGTTGGGACATAGGCATACGCCACCATGCTCAGCTAATTTTATTATTATTATTATTATTATTATTATTATTATTATTATTATTATGTGTAGAGACGGGGGGTCTCCCTATGTTGCCCAGGCTGGTCTTAAACTCCTGGGATCAAGTGATCCTTCTTCCACAGCCTCCCAAAGTGCTGGGATTACAGGCATGAGCCACCACCTCCTCTTCTTTCTATGGTAACTTTTAGGTGTTGGAAGGAGTTGCTCTCACAAATGAATGTGTAGCAATCTGTGATTTTAGTAGCCAACTTTTCAATTCAAATCACCCTGTGTATGTTTGCATCCATTGGGATATGGGTGCCAATCAAAGATGAGAGTATTATAATTCCTAGTAACATTATAGAGAGTAATTTTTTCTACTATGAGACAAGCTTTTTAAAGTTGTGAAATTTAATTTGAGGTTGAGAGTTCTGTGCCCTCTTTGGAGTTGAGGAGTTCTTGTTGTGATTTTTTTTTAACATTTTCAGGCACAAATGCAGTCTGAGTGCTATAATTCCCACATCATTCATAGATCAGATGTGATAAGAAACTTCTGAATTCTCTCTCTGCTCTTCATGATGGCTGAACTAAATCTGCCTTTTTGCCTATAGCTGGTACACAGCAAGATGCAGTACAAGAATCAGGTGCACACATGGGTGCCCTTCTTTGCCAAGAGGATCCAGGAGGGGAGAACAAAAAGGGAGAAATAGAAGAAGAGAATGCAGCAGGCAGGTGCATTCAGTCTTCTCAATGAAAAAGGGAACAGCAGGAATATGTCCTCTTGGGAATGAAAATTCAGAACAATGCCATCTTGGTCTAACTGGATCTTGAGACTAAACATTCATGGTTACTTTGCTTTATACTCCCAATATTATTATAATTTTTGATATAGTATATTTTATTGTTATATGTGAAATAAATTTCACAAAATTACAAAAATTTTAGTCTAGGTTGCAAACGAGACACCTACAAATATATATATATGTGTGTGCATACATATATAAAAAATATGTACACACGTGTGTATATATATAAAATATATATATAAAATACACACACGTGTGTATATATATTATATGTACACACATACATAAGTATATATGCACATACTTACATGCATACGCATATGGGTACATACATATATACATCTATAATAGATATGTATACATATATATTAGGTTCACATTTTGGTTTTAGCTTTGAATTGTGAATATTTAAAAATAGAGAAATTGGCTGGGTATGGTGGCTCATCTCTGTGATACCAGCACTTTGAGAAGCTAAGCCAGGAGGATCACTTGAGCCCAGGAGTTTGAGTCCAGCATGGGCAACATGGTGAGACCCTGTCTCCTAAAAAATTAAAGTAAAAACAGGCCAGGTGCGGTGCCTCATGCCTGTAATTCCAGCACTTCGGGAGGCCGAGGCAGGTGGATCATGAGGTCAGGAGTTCGAGACCAGCCTGGCCAAGATGGTGAAACCCCGTCTCTACTAAAAATACAAAAATTAGCTGGGCATGGTGGCAGGTGCCTGTAGTCCCAGCTACTCGGGAGGCTGAGGCAGGAGAATCACTTGAACCCAGAAGGCGGAGGTTGGAGTGAGCCAAGATCATGCCACTGCACTCCAGCCTGGGCAACGAGAGTGAAACTTCATCTTAAAAAAAAAAAAAATCAAAGTAAAAACAAAATAGTCTGGCATGGTGGTGAGTGCCTGTGGTCCCAGCTACTCAGGAAGCTAAGGTAGGAGGATTGCCTGAGACTGGGAGGTTAAGGCTACGGTGAGCTGTGATTTTGCCAGAGTGACAGCTAGGGTGGCAGAGCGAGACCCTGTGTCAAAAAAAAATAAATAAATACATACAAATTAAAAAATAAAAATAGAGAAATCTTTCATGGAAAAATTTGGATCTCTGTCTTCTCTTCAAAATCCAAAAGTTATGACACCTCCATCATGCGTGCCTTCTTAAATGATGACAGTCCAGTCGAGACAAGCAGCAGGGCATGTACTTAGAGTTTCCCACACTCCCCACCATTCCCCAATACCTTATCCTTGCCCATTTCACACATTTAGGTCAGCTGCCTGGGATGCGTTGCCATCTCTACTTGCAGCCTCTTGTATAGATTAATTTGATCTTTATCTTTGGCCTCTTTCTGGAGCCAAATCAAATCCTTGTAACTTTCAAATAATCTTGCCCCAAATGCATTGCTTCCATAAATGTTTGTCTGATAGATCTTACCAAGATTTCTTTCTCCCACAGTTTTCTCCACTCAAATATATCATACTTCATTTATGACAGCATTTCCCAAAATGTGCACTATGGAATAAATATATAATGTAGAAAATATAAGAATTCTATGATTGAGCAAATTAAGAATATTCCATAGTACACAAAGTTAAAAATGTCTTTTCAGTAGTAATTCCCAGAGCCTATAAAAATGCAAATGTGCTTTGTGACTCTCAAAGAATATGTGAGCATTTCTTAGTTTTCCATGGAACTTCAGAAGATTCATTCTGTCACGAGGCAAGATTTGCTTGCCTTTTAAAAAATGTATATTTGTAGTCTCCAATATTTTTGATAATTGTTTTCAACCATAGATATGTTGCAGAAAAGAGAGGCATAGACAATCATAGGGTCATCAACTTTTCATTTTGCAAAGATCATTAAAAAGCAAAATGTAACTACCATCCATAATAAATACCTTTACATAGAAAAGTCACTTAACAAAATAGAAAAAAAATAACATCTAGATAAAAGACCATCATTTAAACTAAATGTGTTTGCCTTGTAAAATGTGTGCTGTGTTTCCTTTATTTCAATGAATATTTGTATTAACAAAAACTTTGTCACAGACTGTCACCTGTATACAAAACTGAATTGGGGAAACATTGGTCTACATTGCATTAAATCTGGCAATGATGCACACTCAAAAACCACTGTAAAAAGAGTTCACACATGAGAGGAGAGACCACTGGTTTTCAAGGAAGGATTTTCTGTGAGGCTGTGGAAGTAAAGCTGAAGCAATGGGAAGAGAAGACAAAAATAAGATGAAACCAGGCTTTCCTTCTCAGTGTTTGCAGGTTTCTTTCCACCAAACGTGGTCTTACCTTGGAGTCACACTGGGGAGGTTTTGAAACCTTGCCTGAGCTGTAGGGACTGCCCATCATAGACTGACATTGTTGGGGACAGAGTGATGATCAAGATACAAAGTGAATGGCTTTAACAGTTTGGATTAGAACAGAGAGAAACAGAAGTGGTACTTTGAGAGTTAAGCCAATGCAGTCTAAGACCTTGAACATATGTTATTTATTTAAACCATTGTAAGATGGAAAAGGATGATGATACTTATGGTAGATTTTAAGGAGCTAGAAATGCAAGACATAAATATGTTCCAATTATCCATCGTATATATAGATCTTGCCTTCTGACTGGTGGGATGATATTTCTTGCTGAGCAAATTCCTTGAGTTATACTGGATAGGAATTCATGAAAGTCCTAATGTATTTTATAAAGATTTTTTTTTTGTTTTTGCCATTTGACCATTACCACTTGAGGAGGGTGATAAAATATAGAGCCTTCAAATGATCCATTTTTATTTTAAGAAGGATTTTTACTTATTTCTTGTTGTTTTACATATTGGTGTCCTCTTGAAAGATTAATAAATCTTTGAGGGCAAGAACTAAAAGTAGACATTTTAGGATCCTCACTGCCTGGTGCCCAGGAAGTCCTTGCTAAATACTTTTATGAATAAATGAATGTAAAAATAGTGAATGAAGAACAGAAGACAGCATGTTTATTTTTTTCCATTTTTCACTTTTTATGTTAAACTTTGTATTTTGAGATCATTGTAGACTCACATGCAGTTGTCAAACAATAACACAGAGCGATCCTTGACCCAGTGTCTCCTGGTGGTAGCATGTGGCCAAACTATAGGGCGATGCCACTACCAGGACAATGCCATTGATACAAACACAGAACATTTCCAACATCACAAGGATCCTTCATGCTGCCCTTTCATCATCACTTCCCTCCTGTCCCAAGTATAATAGAAGTCCAGGCTCCCTACTCAGCCTCTGATGACAGCAGAAAGGGGGGCTCTGGGATCCCTAACTAATGCTAGGTGGGGGTGGTTCTAGATTTCCCTTAGGCCGCGCCTGACACCTCCCTGGCTAGAAGGGATAGAAGCACCTTGTTATTGCTCCCTCATGGCCTGCACGGACACTCCAGGGGAGGGGATGGACTTGTTACTTTGGGACAATGGTGAAGTTTGAATGCTCCCCTGGCCTCTCTGACACCAGCCAAGTGGAGGCACTGGGGTGCCTCACTGCAAGTCTCATGAATGGGGAAATCTTGGCTTTCCAGTTGACCTTGGCTTGCATGATTAGGTTCGGGCCATATATTTTTTTTTCTATGTTGTTTGGCTAAAGTAGAATGTGTTTATTATTGAAAAGTTTTCTGTCTTACTAGGCTGCCCCTTTCCGGGCCCCTTGGTTAGAAATAACAGGTTTTTGTTACGGCTTTTTTTTTAACCTGTTGGTGTGTGGCTTCTTCAGCTCCAAGTCTGGCATGTATGCAGCACAGAGAAAACCCAGAGAACTCACCACCATGTAATTCTTTGAGTCTCAATAACCCTAGCCAATCTATCCTCTTCTCTCCACCTTTTAGTTTGAGAGATATATACATATACATATATATATATTACATATACATACATATATGTAAAACACATGCCCATATACATATACAATACATACACATGCATATATATAATACATACACATATGTAATACGTACACATACATATCTAATACATACACATGAATATATAATACATGCACATATAATATGTGCATATACATATGAAATACATAAATATGCATATATAATACATGCACATACATATATAATACATGCACATGCATATATAATACATGCACATACATATATAATACATGCACATGCATATATAATACATACACATACATGTTTAATACACATGCACATATAATACATACACACATGTGTATAATGCATGCACATATATAATATATACACATACATATATAATACACATATAATACATACACATACATAATACATACACATATGTATAAAAACATACACGTGCACATATATAATACATGCACATGCATATATATGTAATACACATATGTAATACATAAATATACATATATATAATACATACACATACACATATAAAATATGTGCACATACATATGTGTACATATTTATAATGTCCAGATTTTTAATAGTTAGTGGGAGAAATAGGAAAAATTATGTATACTCGATCTTTCTGGAAATGGAAATCCTCACTTTACATTTAAAAGGGGGAAGTTAAAAAGATCCCCTGAGTATAATACATTTCAATGTTCTCCTTGAAGAGTGTGTGTTTTTTATCTAAATGGACACCTACTCAAATATTATTTTAGTGTTCACCCATCTAAAAGCAGTACCAATCGAAATGTAACTGGAGAGTAGTAGGCACCCCATAGTCAATTTAATATATAATAGACCTTCTATTTCAAAAACAAATTCTCACTCATCCTGGCTTTCTTACTTGCATGCATAAAATGTAGATATTTACATTTTGATGTATTACTTTTCTGATATCGACTACCCCCTCATAAAGGCAAATGGTTTACTTTGAATTAACTTTTCTGAACATAAAAGAAACAAAAGGTCAAAAATCTGTAGTTAGAGGCATGCATCTTGATTTTACTTCCACTCTTTTTAGCTAAGGTTAACAGAAACAAACACGCCACAGAAAGTATTTTCTCTAATTTTTCCCATAAAAACACGTTTTTCCTTTTTTTAAAGGAAGTTCACAAATGTAAGAAATCACTGAAGCCCTTTCAAAATAGGGAAAGAAATTTCAAATCACAGATCCATTTCTGATATGTTCTCATTTAGGAAATCCTGTCATGTTAATGCATGGGGGTTTGAGCACATGTGATGCTGAAACTTGCCAGACTTTGGAGAAGGTTTCAAGAATAACAATGACGATGGGAAGACGCCTTATTCCTAAGATATTTCGACCTTCCCCACTTGCATGCATGCCAGGCCCTTGACTTAACTTGACCTTTCCTTCTGCCGTTGTGTGGGGCAGGCCTACTGGCAGTCTCAGAGGAAAACACACAATCCGAGATCTAAGAATCAGAAGTAATTAAGGAAGAGAAACTGACAGTACAGGCTTAGAACGTGGTGGAGATAAAGTGAGGCCCTAGGGTTATGACAGGAAATTTGGAGCTGAAAACCAAAAATGACTTTTAATTATAAAAATTCCAATTTGAAACCTCAATGACTGTAAACCTAGCTAACAGAGTCACTAGATTAACTAGGAGCAGCAGATTTCTTCCTGCCTTAAATACACACACATCTATATATACACACATTCATATACTCTATCCTTTAAAATTTCCAAGACACATCCTGGGTCAACAGGCATTCACAATTCATTAGTCTTCTCCTTATGGCTTATCACCTTCTCACCGTTAAATAAGAATACCCTTAGTGATGTGAGTCGTAGCCTTCATACAAGATCACATTATCTTCCACAAACTGTCTTTACTAAGGTTGGAAGGAAAAGCCTGTGCTTTTTGAAAAACAATTCAAACGAGTGGAATCAAATTGACAACTCCTTTCCAGGGAGCTTTCTCCAACTCTCCATCACTACATCTGGGGGAGACGTCCTACTGTGTGCCACCAGCATCCCTTGAACACATCTCTGTCACAGAATTTATCACTTCAGCTGCTTGATCAGGGCTAGCGTGAATGTCTTAGTTGATTTGATCTGATTTCCCCAATACCTGGCAAAGTGACTGACATATGGTGAGCGGGTCACAGTTGAGCGAATGAATGAGTCTTCTACCAACTGACCAACAAATAAACTAAAATAAAAACAACAGGGAACTCTAAGAGACAATACCCTGCTGCCATGTGACCAATGTGAAGCGTAGTAGACAAAGTAGGATTGTCATATTTTTCAAGACAGACGTGTACTGCAGCACCATTTATACCAAAAAGTTTGAAACAACCTATGCCCTCAACATGAGACTAGAGAAATTAATTGTAGGATATTTAGCTGTTTAAAAGGAATGAGCAAGATGAATATCAACAGGAGGGACCTTAGAAACACGGTTGAAGGGAAAAAGCAAATTGCAGAATGGTTGTGCATCATAATATTTTTATATAAAAGTAAAAAGAACAGGAAGCAACTCTACACATTTTGTGTAAAAATAACAAAACAACGATATACATTTTCTCAGGGAATAGAACATAGATGCAATTTAATTATTTGAATTAAATCACAGGCTATATTTCAAACCTCATAACTGGTTTCCTTAGGGGAAGGAAGGAGAACTAAAGTGAGGATGGTATCAAAGGGGCCTTTACTACTATTCATATTGTTCATTTCTTTTTAGAAGGAACGTACTTTAGTTACATCTATAACTTGCAATTTTCCTACACACTTAAAGCTGGTACGTTCCCAGACTTGAAACCTTTGCAAATAGTGACCCCAGTGCTCTAGAATATCTTATGAGGATTTGTGGGATTTTTTCCCCCTTTCTCCTTCTCTATCAAAAGCTGAGAAAAACATTTGTGAAGGATATTGTTTAGGCCAATCCTCCTCCTTTTGGAACGATCTCCTTGTTTGTCAACTGCCAGCTTTGACATTCTCTCTCACTTCCCACGGTCTGGCAGCCTAGCAGGGATCTGGAGCCAATTTGATTCTCCCCCTCTGAAGAAACAGCCTAGCAGTCTGTACTGTGTTTGGAGAGAACTAGTAAAATGTGCCTTTTTTTCCCTCTTTATTCCAAATGCCCCAGCGTGCATGTTAAGACGGGGGAAATCTGCCTCATGGCAGAAATGTGCTGTCAGCATCTTCCATAGTAATTAATTTTCTGATATGTCTGGGTGTTTGATGGAAGACTTGATAGTACAACAAAAAGCTTCCACACTCTACCCATGATTTCCAAAAGTTTGCAATTGAAAACAGACAATATGGGCGCAAATGTTTCATAATAATGACAAATGTTGATTGAGTACCATAGATCGCAACAACTCTCTGAACTAAGTCCCACTGCTAGCATACCCATTTTAAAGATGAGAAAACTGAGGTTAGGTGAGTTGCAGGAGGTCACATCCCTAACTTTTGGCAGAGGCACACTTCAAACTCTGGCCATCCGGCTCCAGGTTTCCATTCTGCCTCATGTCAGAATCTCTCCTATCCAGTTCTTAGCATACAGAAAACCCTCACTAAATACTTCTTGAATAAACTAATGAATATTTTACATCTAATAGACCCTTGATTAAACGACATTGTGCAAAACCAAGGGCATGGCTAACCTCTTTAGGAATGTTGACAATGAATGGCAGGACTTCTGGTAGAAATTTGAGTCAGAAACACATGGATACTCTCTTTGACTTCTACACTGACAAACCTGGGTAGTTTCTCAGTCTCAGGCAGGATTCTAAGACGCCCCCAAGACCCTCTCCCTCTGGCGTTCAACAGCGTGTGTAGTCTCCTCCTGTATAGTGTGGACGAAACCTGTGAATATGATGGGATGTCACTCTTATAATTGGGTTACTAATCAGTTGACTTGAAGTTATTCAAAAGAAAAATGATCTGGGTGGGCCTCTGACCTAATCAGAGAAGCCTTTAAAAGAAGATGGACCGGCTGGGCAAGGTGGCTCAGGCCTGTAATCCCAGCACTTTGGGAGGCCGAGGCGGGTGGATCACTTGAGGTCAGGAGTTGGAGATTAGACTGGCCAACTTGGTGAAACCCCGTCTCTACTAAAAAATACAAAAATTGGCCTGGTGTGGTGGTGCACGCCTATAATCCCAGCTACTCAGGAGGCTGAGGCAGGAGAATCGCTTGAACCCAGGAGGTAGAGGTTGCAGTGAGCAGAGATTGCACCACTGCTCCAGCCTGGGTGACAGAGCAAGAATCCGTCGCAAAAAAAAAAAAAAAAAAAAAAAAAAGGAGATGGAACATCAGAGGGATGAGCTCCTGCTGGCCTAGGGGAGAAAGCACACTGATGTGCTATGAGCTGCTTCTAGGGCCACATGACTAGAAACTGTATGTGACCTCTAGAAGGTAACAACAGTCTCTGGCTGACAGCTAGCATAAAAAAGGGTGTCAATCATACATCCACAAGCAAATGAACTATGTCAAACACCAGCGAGAGGCCAAGTATGGTGGCTTACACCTGTAATCCCAGCACTTTGGGAGGGCAAGGCAGGAGGATAGCTTGAGACCAGGTGTTCAAGAACAGCCTGGGAAACAGAGCAAGACCTGTCTCTACCAAAAAAAAAAAAAAAAAAAAAATGTAGCCAGGTGTGGTGGCAAATGCCTGTAGTCCTAGTTACTCAGGAGGCTGAGGTGGGGGGCATTGCTTGAGCCCAGGAGTCCAAGACTGCAATGAGCTGTGATCAAGCCACTGCACTCCAGCCAGGTGACAAAGTGAGACCCTGTCTCTAAAATAAGTAAATAACCAATGAGTGTGGAAGCAGACCAGAGATTCAGATGAGAATCATAGCCTCCACCAATACTTGTTTTCAGCCTCGGGAGGCCCCAAGCAGAGGACTAGCTAATCCATACCCTGACTCCTGACTCATGGGAATTGTGAGATAATGTTTGTGTTTTTTTAAGCTACTAAGCATGTGTTAGCTTTTATATAGCAATAGTAAACTAACCTAGATAGTGACACATCATATAGGGACATAACAATAAAATAAAATAATATAGGTGAATCATCTAGCACATGTGTTTTGGCAGTAAATTTTTTGGCCTCCTTCCTTCCTTTGAGATGTGAGGCTGCCACTTACTGCTCTGAGGGTGAATGTGATGGCTGGAGCCCCAACAACCATCTTGGCCAATGAGGACAAGAGCCACATTAGAGATGATGAGTGGAAAGTTGGAGGGAGCCTGGAGCCTTTGACCATCACAGAACAACCACACCAGCTAGGACTTATGTATGAAGCAATGGCTCTCATGATGAAGCTACACTTCTGGAGTTGCCCTGTTACTTCAGCCCAAATTAATTCTAACTAAATCAGTTATGTAAATTGGCACATAATTCAGCTTACTGACTCACCATCAAGCTCTCACCAACCAAAAAATTGACAATGGTGACTTTATGTCCAGAAGCAGGGTACTTTGGACTTTCTGGAACACAGAAACCCAAGTTATATGTATGTGTGTGTATGTATGTATACACACACATATATATGTATATATGTATAACTTGGTACATATATGTATATGTACATACATGTATAACTTGGGTTATACGTACATACTTGTATAACTTGGGTTATACATACATACTTGTATAACTTGGGTTATACATACATACTTGTATAACTTGGGTTATACATACATATATAAATATATATGTATTATGTATATACATACATATATAACTTCAGTTATACATACATACCTGTATAACTTGGATTATACATACATACATATAGATATATATGTACAAATATATGTATATATAAATATACATATATTTGTATATATGTATATATTTGTATGTATACATGTATATATAATACATGCATACATATGTAAATATATATAATATATATGTAGGGTTACTTCATTTTTGGTCAAGAATTCGGAAGAAGAGAGGTGAGATTTTGTCTTTGATTGTAGGAGGTAGGAGTAAATACTGAGATAGAGAGAGAAAGAGAACAAGGCCTCCAACCTATTTAAGACCCATTCTTCATCAGCTCCATCAGAGTAAGAAGAGGACCATCAGCAGAGGAGAATTTGATTCTCTCATGGACCCCATTTCAATGCTTAAACCGCAGGCCTCTCTTTTTCTGGAGAGAATTCCTATTTTATTAAAACTGCTGATTGTAACCCCACTTATATATGAATATTGCTCACACACACAGAAAAGGAGCTAATGAGATCAAACACAACACTAATATTAAATTACCATAACTCATTTACCCTGCCTGCACATGACTTTCTCCCCCCTCCCTTCACAAGAGCTTGTACATGCACACAAAATCTATAAACTCTTCCTGGGAATACAAAAGCATCCTCTATGATGTTGATAAGAAACAGGACAGTCACTCTCTCCTGACATATTTGTTCTTTAAAAACAAATCAATGGCACAGGCATTTGGCACCTGAATGCAGAACAACGGCTTGATGGGGCAAAGATTGTCTTCATTAAGGACATTAATATTCATAGGGAGTAGAAAATCTGACACAAGAGAGGACTCACTAACCTTTTCTCGTATTAGATTTTTACTTCTTAACACAATTACAGTCCGGCAATGACTTAATTAATGCTGCTTTTCGTCAGCCGCCTTTAAAGAGCTGTCAATTTGGTCCTGCAGAGGCTGTCAACGAAACAGAAAGACAGTCATCTCGGTGAAAAAGACACAGGAAGAAATTCAAACACTTAATAATATTCAAAGTGCTAAGCAAAGTCACATATCAACTGGGATTAAGGAGAATTTTTGTCTTTCTCTTCCATCTTGTTTAAGTGAGTCCTGCTGATGGCACGATTAGGACTTGACTATTGCTTGGGTTTCGAAGATGTAGAGAAACATAGAGTGAAAGATCTGGGGTGGAAGGAAAGGACCTCCCTATCATAAAAATGTGGCATGTCAACTACCTGGATGTTCTGCTTTTCCACAGTCATGGGGTGTGGAATTGGAAAAGACTTGAGAAAGCACATTGTCCAAGCACCTCTCTTTATAGATGAGGAAGTCGGTCAGTCCCCTGTGTCTTTGACCCAGATGTTGCAAATTTAATCTCTGCGGGCCAAAATTTCATCTGCAAATATTTTTTTCTTTTCTTAGCCTGCACAGTGTTAAAAGCGATTAAAATAAAGGATTTGCCAAGATGTAAAATTTCAAGATGCAAGTTTTCTTTAAGACTTAGAGTGTTTAGCAACTCTAAATAGACCTTTCTTCACAGTCATGACAGGCAGAACCTCAGAGCTGGTGACTCTCTTCAGTTTTAACACGATTTCTCTTGCACACACCTGGTTGCTTCACTCCTTTCTTTCACCACTTAGGGTTTCAAGGTCCATGCAATTGTCTCTCTTGCTTTGGGAAACTTAACTTCACCTCTCTTCAAAGACAACCTCAGGATTATCAGTTTGAAAAAAAATTGTACTTTTTCTGATAATATTTCCGTCTGGCTATTTCTTGGCTAAACAGCCTATTCTTGTCACATGGCTGGAATACTCCTCCCAGCTCTTAGCCTACATCAGAGTCTCCCAACTGTGGCACTATCGATATTTGGGCCTGGGTCATTTCTGTGGTGGAAGCTGTCCTCTATATTGTAGGATGTTTAACAGCATCCCTGGGCTGTACTCACTAGATGCCAGAGGCACCTCCCTTACCTTTCAGTGTGACAACGCAAAGTGTCTCCAGACATTGCCAAGGGTCCTGTAGTGGGTAAAATCACCCTCAGCTGAGAACCGCTGATCTAACTATCTCTTCACTATCTTCAACTTCAATGTCCCATCCTCAGTGAGGCCTGCCCTGATTACTCTAACCATTCTTCCCTTATGCCCTGCTGTGGCGCCCTGTGCATTTCATACACTGTGTGGTGCAGGGTTTGTTTTATTTGTTTTTCTACTCAGTATCTAGATTAAAAGCAGCATGGGAGTAGAGGCAACTATACATTTTATTTGAATAAATAGCATTTGAATAAATGCTTCAGCCTCTAACAATCCACTATAAGGGCAACTCTCAATTATGCCTCATCAGAAATGAGTTTCTTGGATCCAGTCTCATGAACAAATGGCTTTGGGGAAGAAAGGCACAAGGCCACTATTCCTTCCTGTTATGCTATCAGTGATGGGTCACATGGACTTGAAAAACACTCTTTCTTATGACTAAGCAGCTCTGATTTCAGTACTCAACGGTTTCAGAGATTAAGTCCCATTTGTCACACTCTGGACCTTGACTTTTGGTTTGGAAAATATGAATAGTCACATAAAAAAAGTGACAGCATGGGGATGCCTTTATTTTTCCTGCCTGAGAAGCTACTAGCAGTGACTCTGCCTATGAAGACACAGAGGAATATTTGTGGACTTTCTTCACCCTGGGAGGCTGCTAAACATCCTACAGTGTACAAGACAGCCCTCACCACAGAGAATTACCCAGACCCAAACGCCAGTAGTGCCACAGTTGAGAGGCCCCGATGTACGCTAAGAGCTGGGAGGAGTATTCCAGCCATGTGGCAAGGGTACACTGTTTTAGCCAAGAAATAACCAGAGGAAAATATCCTCAGAAACATCATAGTTTGTTCAAACTAATAATCCTGGGGTTGTGCACAGGCGATGGCATCTGGAAAGGTCTGGGATTGTGTTTGAGGAAGCTAGAGAGGCAACCACATGAGCTAGAGGGGGCTAGGTGGTAAACGAACTGCCGGGAGGAGCACTGTTTAGCCACACAAAAGAAGTCCAACAGGTACTCATTTGCCTCAAGAAGATATTGCAGGAGTTTGATCTGTAGTGGCCATCAGAGTTGGGCATTGCTCAAGAGATGGTCAATTTACATAGGGCACAGGGAGCCTGATGCAAAGAAATGGTTCCTGACTTATTTCCTTTTGAGGCTCATTATTATTAGACCATCTCTGACTGAGGTATTCCCATGTAAGTTCTCTTGACAGGCCCCAAAGAGCATTTCAGTAGGTGATCCAGAGTCAACATCAGTCCCTAAAGATCTGTTGGAGAGACCTGTCTAGGACATATCCCATGTGACTAGGGCTGGAGAGACTTTAGATCCTGCCATTCCAACACAGAATGGCATACTTTCCAGAAATTGTTGAGCACACAAGTAAAACCTAGTGGGGCTTAAACTATTGGATTTTACGTTTAAGCTACCACTCTGGTGGGAGCTAGGATTTAAGCAGCAAAAGGCATCCTTGATGGGGTGGGCAAAGCAGCAGAGGCTGCATGCGACCCGTTCTCAACAGTGACACTGGGTGGAAGCACCAGAAACAGCAGCAGCTGGGACCTGCAGTCAGTTTCCAGACCTCTCAACCCACCAATTCTCCCTCTGACCAGCTTTTGAAGCAAAGGTGACTCTACAAAATGAATGCAACCCCTGAGATTCAGGACCAATCCATGTGGGCATGAGAGCTGGGCATGAGGTCAGGGAAAAATGGCAAGAGAAATATATTAACATTTCCGCTTATGAGTGTTTATGGGAGCTCGAGTAATTAAGTGGAACTAATAAAAGAGGTGTGGCTGTTTTTATTCCTCAAGTTGTAGAATCACATTATACTAATCATGCCTTTCAGAGTTTGCAAATCAACCTGGTATTGATGTCAAAGAAAACAGAATCTGTTACAGGACTACCAATAAGGATAACCTAAATGTTAAAATCTCAAAACTTAATGTGAGATTTATTGCATTTGTTGTTAGTCTTTTTATCTATCTATTAACCCATTGATTGATGGAAGCACATTCATTCAGGCTGGCAAGTTTTAAGATACAGAAGCAAAGAACTAATCATACCTTCCTTCTGTACCTTCAGCCCTTAGTTACATGGGATTAAATATGTAGGCTTTAGCATGACACAGGTCCGGGTTCAAGCCCTGGCTCCGCCACTTATTAGCTGTGCAGCCTTAAACAAGTTACTTAACTTCCCCAAGCTTCAGTTTCTTCAAATGTAAAATTGTGATAATGATTTCATGACAAAGTTAGCATTTACAATATGGAGAATTTATTGTAAGCCAAGATACGTGGTTTCTTTTTCGGCATTGTTTTATATAATCTTTTCAAAATCTCTGTGAGGTGCAGACACTATTTTTTTACAAGCAAAAACCAAAGTTTAGAGATGTTAACAGATTTAACAGATTTTTGAGGCTGATGCAGCTAGTAAGTTGTAATGTCAGGATGCAAACTTAGGCTGCCTTAGAGCTTGTGCTCCAACCATTACGCTATGCTGTTTCTGTCATAGGGCCTTGTGATTATTAAACAAGATCAGGTATGTATAAGCACTTAGCACAGAATATAGCACATTGAAAGC
Source organism: Homo sapiens (assembly GCF_000001405.40). Classification (NCBI taxonomy): domain Eukaryota; kingdom Metazoa; phylum Chordata; class Mammalia; order Primates; family Hominidae; genus Homo; species Homo sapiens. The sequence continues at coordinate 52,759,935 of NC_000020.11, read as the reverse complement.
GACCAATAAATGCTCTCTCTTATAATTTACACCCATTAGTATCCTACTCCTGAATATCACCTCCTCCTTACCCCTTTCAACTTATAGTGAAATCACTTTGTTCACTTATTTCACCTTGTCCTAATTCCACACATTTCTGTCTGATGTCAAAGTCTTCCTTCTAAGAACTTTTGTTCACCAAATTATTCCTGTCATTGCTTGAGCTCTTGTCTTCTTGCCCATTTACATGTATGCAGTAAGTGAAAATTTTCATACAATTCTAGCAAAAATGTCAAAGTGTCTAAATTGAAATTTGGGACCCATAATAGCATCCTTGCCCCTGATAAGACTTCCCTAAGTTGTAAGTGAGCTTTTCAGTATAACTGCATGTATTGAACTGAGTCTGCAAATAGATTGAGAGCTATAGTTGACTGTCAGTGGAAGTTGATTTGGCCTAGAAATCTCTCCAGGGGTTCAAGTCATATTTTATCATTATCAGATTCTGTAGATGAAACAATTTGCCTTTAAAATTATCATTGCAAGAAAGATGTCCTGATTTTCCCAATGCAGTACCACCTAATCCTTAGCAAGCCTGGGACATTGATATGGTGGGGTGGTGGAGTGGGCATGGAGGGCACTGATATTCTTCATTCTGCCAAACTTGGACTCAAGGAAATGTCACCCACAGGTGGTCCAGCAGATGCTCAGAGGGTGAAGCACATTTATCATTGAATGAACCTACTTATCTCTGAGGACTTTATGTCTTTCGGGAGTCACACCTGTCATGGGGAAGACTGAGAACACCTTTCAAAGAAAACCTAATTTACTTAAAGAAAAGTGTGTGTGCCCCTTCAACAATCGTTTTGTGTACCATTCCATGGACAGGATGATGGAACAGACAATTTCAAGCCAAGGCACTTTTCTAAGACACCTGTCTGCAGATAACTGATCATGAAATACAAGTGTCTCCAACGCCCAGGAAGAGGGATTACGGCTGCATCCACCGTGATAGGCTGGGGCAGAGATGGATGCTTGCACACCTGTTTTAAGTAAATCCTTCCCTTCTTAAGGAAATGAAGAAAGGTTGTCAAATATAACAAAGAGTCATCTTCATCCTGGACTCCACTTGCCTTCCCCATCATGGAGTCTGAATCATGTGACAGGGAAATGGAAAAGACCATTCTCATCCTATAAAATGGGTTCAAAGCAATGTGGGGAGAGAATTCATGATAAATAATGATAAGCAATCTACTTGTTTGGGAATCAGAATGCAGATATAACAGAATACACTTAAAATGCAGATCATACTACTATTTTCATAATCATCAACATTTGTTTGTGTTGATGTATATTTACATAAAGTCAATTGTAATAATAGACAAATTTATTGAATGTTTACTGTGTGCCAGGTAAAATTCCAGATTATTTACATAGCCTATTGTATTAGTCCATTCTCATGCTGCTATGAAGAAATACCAGAGACTGGGTAATTTATAAAGAAAAGAGGTTTAATTGACTCATAGTTCCACAGGGCTGGGGAGGCCTCAGGAAACTTATAATTGTGGTGGAAGGCACCTCTTCACAGGGTGGCAGGAGAGAGAATGAGTGCCAGCAGGAGAAATGCCAGACGCTTATAAAACCATCAGCTCTCATGAGAACTCACTCACTATCACGAGAACAGCATGGGGGAAACCACTCCCATGATTCAATTACCTCCCACTGGGTCCCACCCATGACACATGGGGATTATAGGAACTACAATTCAAGATGAGATATGGGTGGGGACATAGCCAAACCATATCACTTATCTAATTTATTCCTGACAACAATTCGATGTGGAAGTAATCACTATTTGCATTCTATGGGTGGGGAAACTGAGGCTTGTTGAGGATAAGTTCCTTGCACAATATGACAGAACTAGTAAGGAAAGGAGAATTTAAGTGAAGCTGGTTCTCTTTCACTTTGACATTATATTCTTAATATTCGGCAATATAATCTCATCTCACACAAACAATGTGTGTACAAATTTGTGTTTTTGTGCACACTCCCAGATTCTCATGTATGTTTGTAGATTGCATTCTGGGATGTCTCAGATAACGCATGAATGCAGAAATAGTGGGATTGAATAATTGTGCACAGCAATAATCTTCAGGGTGGCTGTCAACAAGCCTTAATTTAGAAATAAAAAAGTGAAACAAAACATGCAAATATGGTAGTAGCAGGATGCTGCATTTACCCCTTGTCTCTTTAATAAACAACTTGGAACGCTGAAACAGAGAAGGATTTAGTGTTTGGGTGTGTGGAATCTCATCTAAATGCCTAACACAACTTCTATATCAAAGGCACTCTGTGACAGGAGGTATTGCATTTAGCTGCACCCATTTTGGATACTTTTCAGAAGCAGTTATCAGAGGAAGAGATAAAAATAAAATTTTCAGTATAAACTTGTGCTAACTCTTACATTCACTTTTAATGAACAGGTCGTCTGTGGCTCTAAGTATGTCTGCAGTTTTCTTTAGACCTCATTTCTTCCCTTCGACTGTAATGAGAGGGGAAGAGAAAAGTGGAGAGCCACTACAAGTCTTGCAATAGTTCATAAATATCTCTTTAAATATGAAACTATCTAAACCCTCAGTGGCCATTACTTATTTATTAAGCTCCCTCTCCAAACTTCTCCCCATATCATGACCACTCTCTGAACTCACACGATGGTCTTTCAATATGTCAAACATTGAACCATTCTCTCTCAGATCCTCTCATTCTCTCTTACCCCTCTGCAATCACCTTTGCATTGGCCCAACTTCTCTTCTATGTTAAAATTCAGTGCAATGTGCAATATGCCATTGATTCTGTCATGTCCAATGCCCTGGGATCAGGGATGAAAGTTGGAAATCATCCTTAGAACATGCATTTGTTCTCCAACCAAAATTTTTATTCAAAAGGTAGAACCACAACCGTGTCACTTTGCATCTATCTAACAATGCAATTATTTTTATAAAAAAGAAGGCAAAATGTATAGGGTTCGTTAAAAACATTTTTAAAACACAGAAAACAATGGAGAAGAAAAAAAATTTAAAGCATGACAAATAGTGTCACCCCAAAATAACAATTTTAAATATTTTGGTGTGTTCCTAAATGGCCTTTGTGTGTGCACTTTTTGCACGGCTTTTAGATTGTACTATATGTAATATTGTGAATCCTGCTCTTAGTAGAATATAAGGTTCTCACATGCCAGTAAGAATGTCTTCTAGTCATCATGAAAGAAGCACAAAGGGAATGCAGTTCCTAAAACCCACAAACAAAATAGCATAAAAAGAGGGGGTAAAATTTTACTCCAAATATTTAGTTTTGAAATGCCAACTTGCTTAAAAGTCAAATAGCATTCTTCTTAGCCTGCAATACAGTATATCTGGTGTATTCTGGATGGTCTGTGTAGCAGAGTGTTGTCTTGCTTATTCACATTTATTCTACTAATTAATTGCCTTTATTAATATTTTACCTGATTCTAAATTCCATGAGACAAGGTACTGTATTTGTCTGATTTTCTCTGTAAATCCAGTTCCTAGCACAATGCCAGGCACATAGTAGAAACTTAGGAAGTGTATGTTGAATGAGCAAGTGATTTATCTCAGTTTTCTGTCTAATCCTCAGGTGAAAATTAAATGCCAATCAAATGGCATTGAGATTAGACGCAGAGAAAAGGAAAACAAGGACACTTCATTTTGGTAGTGAACATAACAAGAGGTAAAGAGACTCCTATCTAACGCAGCATTGTTGTTTTTTTAATTCTTCTGCCTGTTTAGAAAAATAAATAATTACAAATCCTTTTGTGAATTTTAATATGTTTAATCTCTGAAAGATTGGACCCAGCCAGGGAGCCCTTATAAACGTGTTAAGCTTTCTTAAATGCCTTTTGGGCAATGCTAAGACTTCTTCATGTTGGGTTGATGGTAATTAATACCATCCCAATAGTACACCTGAGTACTTTATTATTCCAAAAGGCAAAGACAGGAAGCAGTCTTATGAAAATAGCAAGCAGAATTAGGTGACATCATTACATATTGGGTACTTCATTGAATTCTGTGAGATGTTTTATAAGCCTCAGTGTATGAGAAAATTGTATGCATAAGTCTCCAGATGTAGATAGAATCATGGCTCTTTCCCAGGCTTATTTACCAATTGTACTTATTTCTCCTTTAGAAATAGGGATAAAAATAGTGTCTACCTCATAGAGTTATCATGGTAGTGATTAAATAAATGAATACCTTCAAGCATTGCCTGGCACAGAGTACGTACCCCAAACTGTCCATACTTCTGCCCCTTAATGGATAGTTTCCATACATATACATATACATATACATATACATATACATATACACACATATACATATATATACACATATACATATATATACACATATACATATATATACACATATATATCTTATTTCTCATTAGAAATGTTAAAATATTTTTTACTGTAGAAATTTTAAGAAAAAACAGAAAAGAGTGAAATAAATCACATTTTACTCTCCATCCAGAGACAAGCATTACTATTACAAATAAACATCTTTTTATTTCAGTAGTGCTGCTGGTTTTTAAGTGTTCACAAGTCCTTTAACATTCTTCAGTTAAAAGGTAGAGACTGATATGGTTTAGATCTGTGTCTCTACCCAATCTCATCTTGAAATGTAATCCCCATGTTGGAGGTGGGGCCTGGTGGGAGATGACTGGATCATAGGGATGGATTTCTCATGAATGGTTTAGCACCATTCCCTTGGTGCTGTTCTCATGACAGTGAGTGAATGAGTTATCACGAGACCTGCTTGTTTTAAAAGTGTGTAGCACCTCCCTCCATTCTCTCTTCCTCCTGCTCCAGCCATGTAAGATGTGCCTGCTTCCCCTTCACCTTCTGCCATCATTGTAAGTTTCCTGAGGCCTCCCCGGAAGCTGAGCAGAAGTCACTATGCTTCCCGTACAGCCTGCATAAACTGTGAGCCAATTAAACCTCTTTGCTTTACAAATTACCCAGTCTCAAGTATTACTTGGTAGCAGTGCGACAACAAATACAGAACCTAATTCTAATTGACTTGAATGGGGGCCTGGCTTAGTGATTTGATTCTAATGAATAAGTTGAGGAAGTGATGTTGTGTGACTTCTGAGGCTCAGTCATAAAAGGCATCACTTCTTCTGCCTTACTCATCTGGATTGTGCATTCTAAGAGAAGCAGGCCACCATACTGTGGGGGCATCAAGCAGCTTGAGGACAGGCCTGTGTGAGAAGGAACTTAGGCCTAAGCCTGTCTCAAACAACCAGAACCTTTCCAGCCATGCAAGTGAGTCATCTTGGAAGAAGAGCTTTCCAAGATGCAGCCCTGGCTCAGATCTTGACTATAACTTTATGTGAACTTGGGCTGGATTCTCTCAGCTAAGCTGCTTGCAAGTTCTTGGCCCAGAGAAACCACAAGATGATAAATGTTTGAATTTTTTAAGCCACTAAGTTTTGGGGTAATTTGTTACACAGCACTAAATAACTAAAACAATGACTTTACTTAGTCATGTATTATTGCTAGAATTTCTGTTAGGTTTTTTTTCTTTCAACTATATTCATTCTTTTTTCATAAACTTCCATTATAAAACATATATGTGGCTCCATCACTTTGGATATTTTACCATAGTGTGTTAAAGTCTCTTTTAGATTGTTTTATTAACTGTAGTTATTTAGGAAACAAATTCTGTCACTTTTTATAGGCTTTCTCTCTCATGGTTGTTTACTTCCTTGTGGGAATTGTAATTTCTGACTCTAAACTCACTTGGCAGTGAGTTCAGGGAATTCCTTTGATTAGGAACACCTCCTTGAGGGCTGATTTACATGTTCCTCTGCTGGAACCTAATGGCTTCTTCCAGTTCAGACCAGTTCTAGGTTAATTTGTGGTTTCCATGTTTCACATTCAATAAATAGTGTGACCAAGGACCCTACATCCATGCATGATGTGATGCAGGGTTGGGATTTTGAGTTCTCATTTTGGATTCTTTCACAGGGCAACTAATAAATAAGCTTCTTTAAAGCTTCTTTACCATGGCCCTGGAAGGCAGGAGAGTTTTTTGAGCTCTCCTTTCACTGATTGCTGGTTTCTGACTTTATGGAGGAAGCTTATTTCCAGCTCCCACCCACCATACAAACTTGAGGCTTTATTCTTCCATTCCCACAGAGACATTAACCTCCAGCATTGAATAAACACTTTGTTTGAGACTTCTAAGGATTTCCCCTTCAAGCTTAGCTATGTATTTAAATATATAATTTTCCAGGATTTCTATGTTGAAACAGGACCAGGAAATTTCATACATCAGCTGAATTTGCCCTATTAACCAGGAGTCCTCCAGAATCAGAATCTTCCCTACGTGTAACATTTTTGTGTAATTATATTCATGGTGGCTGTGCAATGTTTTATTTTGTTTTTTAATTTAATATTGTAATAAAATTATTAAAATTTCCAAAGATTATTAAAACTCTTCTAATAATGGTTGTAAAATATCCCATCAAATGAATATACACTGATTTACTTAATAATATTCCCTGTTTTTTGGATGTTGAGTTTTTCACTATTGATTAATAAGAACTCATTTTGTCTTTTGTATTCTTCAGAAAAGAAGGAGATATCTCAGTATTTTTTTTTAAGAACTGAGGGTGGGAAGAGATGAAATAGTTTGTTCATGGCCATACGGTCAGACAGAGACAGAAGGATGCATTCAGGTAGTTTGACTCCAAAGTGAGCACTCTTCCTAGGTACATTTTGGTATCACACTCTCTTAAGTAATAAGGGGAATGGAGAACTTTTCATTACAACTGCATTCTCTAGCAACCCAGGTCTGCTTACGGAAAGCACCAGGAGATGGCATCTCTCAGCACAGGTTTTGCTCATAGTGCTGGCAGGCAGAACCAGCCAGTCAATACGGATCTCCCAGAACTTGGGTTATTTATACTGATTGTTCCTAAAATGAAAACCAATATGGAGAACTGTATCTGGGAAGCTCTGTAGTTTGAGCTTCAGAATATTTCTAAAGACTCAAGGGCCCTGAACATACAAACACTTCTATTGTGTGCAATAAACATGAAATTTTATTGTGTGTTCTTTTAACAAACTCTTTCCAAAACTTCACCATAATTTCTTATTCTCTCTGGTGATGATCAGAGTACAACTAAAAAGTCTCCTCCCTTTTTTAGCTTTGTATTTGACAATATTATGCTCACTGAGATAACGGCATTAAAATCTATTCATTCAATACAGTTTATTTAGTCCAAATATAAACTATTTCCAAACATATGTGCTTACTTACAGAACCTCTCTACAAGGGCTATTTTTCCACAAATACTGTTTAACCCTATTATTTGTTGCTCCATAACCATTACTACCTATAACATAGCATTCTTCCTCTTTTTTAATACAAAGATACCAAAAATCATGTCAGATCCTTTTTAATATCACCCTGGATGCCCTGGGGGATAAGAGTCAGTGTCTTATATCATGAATAGTGGTTTACTATTCAATTCCGACTACAATAATCTACCTTATTGTCCAAGATATTTGTGGCAACACCATGTGGCCTTTTTTCTTCTTTTGATAAAATGGATGCCTTAGCCTAGTCCTGGACATCTCATAACATGCCAAATTCCTCTCCAAAGCACAGCTTAGAAACTGGCACACAACGTGCATTGGGTCTCAGAACACAGTGAGCACGGGAGCTCTATTTTCATTGAGAACAGCTGCTCATTTGCTGTGGCGAAGAGGCCTCAGGGTTAGAAGGGACCGAACTGCTCAGCCTTTAATGTTTTTGCAAAATTATCTTGTTGACAAGTGCAGCATTATAAATTTGAATCCATTAGCTAAAAGGATCCATAAATATTTGAATAATGGCCTTTTTAGATTTTCTCCAGTCTATCAAACTTGTCACATGTCCACTTCTTACATTTTTTTCTACTGCTGAAAAGAAAAGAACTGAACTAAATCTTATGGGTGGTTTCTAGACATGGGTATTTTGTCCTTGCTTTCAAAATGGAAATGCTTTGCTGAACAGAAGTTGATTAACCAAACCACACCAGTGTGTATTTGGCAGTAACGGCAGAAGGTGTACTATCCACTAACATTTTCCTTCCCAGTCTACGCAGTGGCATCTGGCCAGCAGGGCTCCGTTTCCTGGCCTTCCATGCAGGAACATCCCAGTGATGAGCTCTGGCCAATAAAACTTGAGCAGATATGACCTAAGTCACATGCAAGGAGAGGTTTTATGGAACCCATATGTCTGCTCTGCTGTCTCTTTTTCTCATTTTCTTGCTAGAAATGGAGAACTCTGGGGAAGTGAATGATGGAGCCATAAACTAGAAGTAACTTGGAATTTTGAAACACCTCCTGAAGTCAAGCGAGCCACATGCGAACCATGAACACCAACATTGATCGGTTGCATGCTTGAAAATGCGCTTCTACTGTGTTAAGCCTTGGAAATTTGAAACTGGTTTCAGCAGCTAGCCATAACCCAACAAATACATTGACCCATTACAAGTTAAAATGGTAGCAGAACTTGTTTTTTAGATTCTAGAATTTCAGGTTTATTTGTTTTCTGTTTGTTTTTCAGAAGAGATCAACTAAATTTTGAAGCGGTGACCCTTGAATGTTTCTAGAAGGTGAGATGCGACTTGGCTCTGTGTTGTTTGTATTACATGAGGAGTCTATCAAAGAGTGTCTGGACATCTTGGTGACCAGCATAAGTAGTATTTAATATGTCTTTCTACCACCTGCTTATCTTATTTCTAAAGAATGTGCTACAGCGCTCAACCAACAACTACAAATAACAGCACTCTGAACTCCTGGCTGAGGGTTCAGCCTCAAACTGTCCCTTTGGTGATACCCATGGAAGGTCATCGTATACATTCATCCACGTTTCTAGGCTTTTTTTTTTTTTTTTTTTTTTTTTTTTTGAGATGGAGTCTCGCTGTGTCGCCCAGGCAGGAGTGCAGTCGCACAATCTCGGCTCCCTGCAAGCTCCGCCTCCCGGGTTCATGCCATTCTCCTGCCTCAGCCTCCCAAGCAGTTGGGACTATAGGTGCTCGCCACCATGCCCAGCTAATTTTTTGTATTTTTAGTAGAGATAGGGTTTCACCGTGTTAGCCAGGATGGTCACGATCTCCTGACCTCGTGATCACCCCACCTCAGCCTCCCAAAGTGCTGGGATTACAGGCATGAGCCACCGTGCCTGGCCGCTAGGCTTTCTTAAGGCTATCAATAGATGAAACAGTTCACAATAGAACTTCACCCTTCAGCCCCTCTCAGACCACAACCATCTTCAGGGAATAACACTCTAGTGTTCTCTCTGCCTATGAAATTATTTTAATGGCTAACATTCACTGAGCTTTCCCTATGTGCCAAGTACTGTGCTAGATGTTCTATAAACGTGATTCCTGCTAATCTTTATAACAACCCTATAGGATTTACATAATTATCTCCAGGAAACTGAGACTTAGAACAGTTAACCAAGTTGCCAAAAGTTACACAGCCGCTAAGTGGTGGAGCATGAATTTAAACTTGGATCTGCCTTGTTCCGAAGCCATGTGCTGTGGGAATATCACCGAGGACATTATGAATATCCACATGAAAAATTTATTTTATAACCCAGGATTTCTCAGCCTTGGATTGTTGACATTTGGGGCCAGATAATTCTTTGTTGTGAAGATGCTTGTAGGATGTGTAGCAGCATCCCAGGCCCCTACTCATTAGATGCGAGCAGCACCTCCCCTCTCAGGGTTTTGACCACTAAAAATGCCTCAAGGCATTGCGAAATATTCCAGGGGAGGGGGTAATACTGCCCGCAGTTGAGAACCACCATTAATACCTCAATGTTAGGAGTAAACTTTCTTCCCCTAAGGAACTGATGTAGTCCTTGCTTTCTGATAAAGAAAATGATGTAAGTGATCATGTCTCCATTTTTGCTATGGCCACCAAGAAGCTCGAAGGCAAATTCAAGTTTCAACTATAGCCAAAAGGTATTCCCAATGTCCTGGGCAATTTTCATTGGTCGTTTTCTAATTCTTTATTTTCTCTGTCTTTTTGCCTCTCTTCCTTATTTCTCTACTTATGTTTTCCATTATAGATGTCTTCCTCTAAAGTCATTTGAAATGCTTCACAGAAGATAGCAAGGTACAGATATGAAAACATTTTTATACTGATTTTGAAATTGACTTGCTTAATTATTTGATCAAAGCTGAATCTTTCTAAGAATAATAAATATTTCTGTTTTTTTAAAAAAATCTTTTCAATAATTCTGTCTGATATTAAGCAAAATCAAAGTTGGATTAAAAAACTGAACTTTATTGAAATTTTCTGGCTCCCAGAATCTTATTTTAAAATGGGTTCAGGGGTATTAGAATACTAGAAAGAATAAAAAGGAAACCTAGAAGAGCTTTGGAAATAAGTACATTTTTTCAAGTTTTTCCATCACAAGTGTTGAAAAATATCATTCTATTAAAATATTTTTATTATTAAGATTCTATGGAGAAGACTGATGATAAAGTGGATACCTTTCTAAGATGCTTTTCTAAGATTTTGCTACTACTCATGCCCTGAATTGATGCACAGGGATCAGTTCAGCCAGTTGAGAGGCTCCACTTTTAGAAACCTACCACATGTTTTCACAAATGAATTTTCCAGTCTGTCAATTACTGAGGAGATAAAAATTGGGTCCAGAACAAAGGGTGACTCAGAGGCTCATTTGGAAATTTGGGATTTCTGGTTCTGCTTTGACAGATTTGGAAGAAGAGGCAAAACATTTCCTGTAAATACCATCGCTGGGATGAATTCTCACTCTCCTGTCCCTCCATCAAACAGAAATCTATATTGTGCCTTGAGTTGAGCTCCAGAGAAATTATCAATATTCACACATCTGGCACAAATCTGTTGGAAGAAAAAAAAACCATCATGCCATCTGTATTTCTTCAATCGTTTTATAGCACAGCTCCAGTCTCTGGCCATCATTTTGTCACTCGGTCTTGTAAATATAAAGTTATATTACTTTTTGGCTTGTTTGAGGACACCGTTCATCATAAGGGGAGGATGAAGAGATGATGTCACTGCCGGGAAAAAAAAAAACAAAACACAACAACTTCGCCTTTCTCAATCCCCCACCTTCCCCAGAGTGTGGAGGAGCCAAATTTCATCTAGTTTGGCACAGTTGTAGGAATTAACATGACTGAAATGTATGCCAGATTTCAAAACAATTTCTAACAGTTTCTGTGAGACCGTGTAAGCAACTGAAAATTGACATGTTGTGTTGTGCCCGAGTCAGCCAACTGCTGTCACTGCATAATTAGATTTTCCTGCATGAGAGGAAAAAGTGTTCCCTTAAAAAATTATGAAATAAAGCAGAAGCTAATATAAAATACAAGTGGGCCCGTTATTCACATAGAGGTAGCCTTCCGCCAAAGAATGACTTTGGACACACACACACGTGCACGCACACACACTCACACACACACAACTCCAGGAGAGGCTGATGGCCCTGGATTTCTGCGCTTTACATGCAAGAAATGCTCTTTGCAAAGGGAAGAGGATTTACGGCACAGGCCAGATGGAAGTAGGCCCACTTGGCTGCCCAAGGAATGGCTGAAACCCAGAAGCAAGAACAGATTTGGAGCTAATGAATGTGCGGTTCCTTCCTTCTGATATGGAATAATAGATGTGGCAGAGTATGCCAGGTGCCCCCAATACTTATTCTCCCCTTGTCCAACAGTAACAGTAGTTTTTGTTTGGCACAAAGGAGCCCAGCTAAAGGCTATATTCCCCAGGCTCCCCTGCACCTCGATATAACCATATAACTAAGTTCTGGCGAATGAGGTGTGAGAGGAAGTGGAAGTTTCCAGATTCCATGTCGTGTCCTTAACAGGAAAGGAGGGGTTCCCTCCGCTTTCTCCCCTCCCGTCTTCCTGAGGGTGGGAGCGCAGGCATCTTTGTCCAGGAGGATGAGATCTATACCATGTGGACAAGAGCTGCACCCTAGAGGCAGCAAAGTAGTAAGACAGAAAGCTCAATGTCCCTGGTAGTTTTAAGTCACCTTACCGACCTTGGATGATGTTCTGCACTGTTCCATCAGAGAAACGCCATTTACTGCTCATTTAAACCATTGTATTTTCATATAGCAGCAGCCTTTTCTGCATCCTAACTAATACTGCTCTCTTGGAAATGACCTTCAGAGTTCATCAGAGCTAGACCCTTGCAGACAGGAGTGTTTACACCCAAGGACATATGTATCTTTGTTTTCTAGTCATGTCTTTCAAGGTAAAGACCTTTCTTCAAATAACTGTATATGTTCAAAAGGCAAAATACGACTCAAAGTATCATTCATGTGTGATAAGGTGATTACAATTACTGTTACCATTTTACAAATGAAGAAACTAGTTTACAGAAATGAAAAAAAAACTTACCCCAAATTACATATTACATGGCTAAAAATTTTAGTTTTTTTTCATATCATGCTCAGGTGAAATGAGTTTGTAACATATGGACAGGCATTCAAAAAATATTGGCTATTTAACTGAATTAATGACTACATTCTTAAAATAAAGCAGTAGAGGTAAGACTAGAACTCAGGTCTACTGACTTTAAAGACAGTAATTTTTAACTCTGCACTCTCTTTGCTCCCTGACTATGTCTTAAATTAGGATACTTTGAGTTAAGTTTGTGAATAAAAGTTTCAGTGCATCTGTAAAAAGAAAATAATTAATTTAAACATTTTCAATTTGTTTAAATCTTATATCAAGTGTTTCGTTCCTCTGCGCCCTGTAGCCAATAACAGAAATCTTTAACTTAAACTGGCTTAATTATTAATGGGGCCTTGTTGACTGATGTCACTGAATCCCCAGAATATGATTCGTGCCATCCCTCAGCACAGCTCCTCTCCAAGTTGGCTCCCCTCCCAGGTTCATATGATATCAGCATGGCTGTCAGCCCCTCCAGGCCTACATCCCATCCTGTTTCATTCCAACAGAAAGGAGCCCTTCCTCCTTGGTCTGATTGCTTTATAAGCCTGTTTGTCAACTAAAAATATGTCCTAGGGCAGCAGTCCCCAATCTTTTTGGCACCAAAGACTGGTTTTTGTGGAAGACAGTTTTTTCCGCGGACTGAAGGTCGGGGGTTGGTTTTGGGATGATTCAAGTGCATTACATTTATTGTGCACTTTATTTCTATTATTACGTTGTAATATTTAATGAAATAATTATAAAACTCACCAAAATGTAGAATCAGTGGGACCCCTGAGCTTGTTTCCCTAAAACTAGATGGTCCTGTCTGGGGGTGATGGGAGACAGTGACAGATGACATCAGGCATTAGATTCTTATAAGGAGCATGCAACCTAGTTCCCTTGCATGCATGGTTCACAACAGGGTTCGCACTCCTATGATAATCTAATGCTGCTGCTGATCTGACAAGAGGCAGAGCTTAAGTGGTAACGCGAGCAGTGGGGAGCAGCTGTAAATACAGATGAAGCTTCACTCACTCACCCGCTGCTCACCTCCTGCTGTGAGACTCTGTTCCTAACAGGCCATGGACCAGTACCGGTCTGTGGCCCGAGGGCTGGGGAACCCTGTCCTAGAGTGTTCAGAGCTCTGATTGGTCAGGTCACTAGCTCTAAGAATGTAAGATATGTGGTTCCCAAGAGGTCAAACAGAGTGCTGTTCCCAAAACAATAGGAAAAAGATATTGGATAAGCAACAATAACAAATGCCCGCTGCAACACTCTTTATACATTCAAAGCTGCCCCATCATAGGAATCACTTATGTTTTGGTATGCCCTCCCCCAACTTTGGCCTAAACTATCATTATCTGGAGTCCTTGGCTGATTTCTAATCCTAGACACATACTCATAAACATGTATATAATGATCTATACACAATCAGTACACACATTCAGGTACACACACACTGCTCATTCCTCTGCCCAGTGCTGTTCTCATTTCCCTAAATATCACTCATCTTCTGGATGCAGCACTCTCCAGGGGCAATCCCACACCACAGTCCTGGGTTCCAACCACCAGTTGGTCTGTAAAAAATTGGTTGTGTAATCTTGAGCAAGTAACTTAACCTTTGTAAGCCTTGATATCCTCATCTGATAATGGGATCACAATCATCCCCATCTCATTGAGAGGATGAAACAAAGAATGCACATAATACTCTAAGCCCAAGGCCTAAACTCACAGTGTCTGCTAGCCGGTACAGGTGGTAGGTCATTGAGCCCCCTCTCCAATCCTCCTTCCTCTAGAGAGCCCTAATTTCTGCCGACAATCTGGCCTTAACAGTCCTTCTTTGAACTTCCATAACACTTAGAATTGATGCAATGTTTATTGGCTCTGAGGCATAAACTATCTGCATTAATTATTTGTCTTCCCAATAGATCAACCTCTGTACCAGAGGTTGGCCCCATTCCCACACTGCGATTTTAACCTCTTTTTGAAGGCTGGGCTTCATAGTAGATCCAGAGTAGGCTAGACCAGGGTCCAACACCCAGCTTTGCCATTCACTAATGAGATCATGAGCAAATTATTTAACTTATATAAACTTCAGTTTTCTCCTCTGTAAAATACAGTTGATGTCAAAAATAAAGAAGACAATGTATATAAAGTGCTTTAGTATGGTTCCAGACACATAGTAAGTACTTTAAATGACAGCCATTATTTTATATTCCATGTATTTTTAACCTGCTTCCATACTTCAATTTCCTACCTTAATCATCCTGAGAAATGGCCATAGAATGAGTTTAATTGAGCTAAAGTCCCACCTCTTCTGTGCATGATTGAATCCATCTCCTGACATGTTTTGCAAACATCATTTGTCTACGTGGTCACATCAGAGCAGATTTTTGACTAAGGAAATTTCACCAGCCAAGTTCAGAGCCAGAATAATGACAGGGAACTGAGAAGAACTGAGTTTCTATTATGAATTGAAAATGCACTGGAGACTACTTTTATTGTCTCATTGGGTCTTCCAATAATCCTGAATAATGAACCACCCATAATATGTAGTGGCTTAAAACAATAATAGTGTAACATTTTCACAATTCAGTGAGTTGGCTGCATAGTTTCTCTGGTGGTTTTATTTGGGCTCATTCATACAACTGCATTCAACTAGATGAGCAGGTGTGTGCTGTAATGTTCAAAGTGGCCTCACTCATAAGCCCGGAAGTTGCTGCTGCCTATTAGTTAGATCACCTTGATTCTACTGCAAGCCATCTCTCACATGAGCCAAACCATCTTCCTTGCAGCAACGGAATCTTTATGCAGAGTTCCAACAGGCAGGTTCCAACAGGGCAAGCACCAATGGGCTAGTGATTGTCAAGCCTCAGCTTGCATAGTTTATTCCAACAGAGAGTAATGTTCCACTGGTCAAAGTAAGTCACATAATCAAGCCTAAGGCTAATCTTGATAGGCACTTAGCCTCTACCTATGATTGAAGGGTGTAGCAAAGAATCTTTGGCCGTTTTTAATCTATTACAGAGAGTTTAAACAAGGTAGTATGTGGCAACCAAGTGACAAGAGTTTAGGATCAAATTCAGGTTTGAATGTTCCTGTATTTCTTTCACTACACTGATATATAGCATCAGAATAGACCAAGGATGGTAATTTGCACAATTACTTAGATTTGGGTTTTATTTCTTGTAACACATATTAGAGTCCCTACCATGTAATAGATATCATTCCTACCTCTGGGGTTGGAGCAGTGTACAAGACAACTAGAGACCCCGCCTTTCAAAGGATAAGAACATGTCATAATGTAAGATTAATGAGATGACAGTAACCAAAGAAGGGGAAGACTTTAGACTGATCGGTCAGGAAAGGCTTCTCTGGGGAAGCCTGAAACAAGAGTGGAGAAATGAAGGCAGCCACGGGAGAACTGTTTTTAAGCCAAGTGTCTAGCAATTGCAAAATCCCCAAGGCAAGAAAGCGTGGTGTCCGAGGGACACAAATAAACCAGCATGACTAGAAGACAGAGGGCAAGAGTTCCGAAAAGTAGAAAGAGACTAGAGCTTATGGGATCTTGCAGGCACAGAAAGGTGCTTGGATGTTATTCTAATTGAAATGTGAAGCAATGGGAGCATCCTGAGCAGGGGATTAATCTAGTTTACATTTGACCTGGGTAACACTTGATAATGCACGATAGCTCTAGTTGCTAGGTAGTATGTAGATTATGGGGCAGGAGAGGAGAAGCCGAACTCAGTTGGAAGGTTAAGTGCTGACCAGGGCAGTGGGCATAGAGAGAAGAGGATATTTTGTGGCACACTTTAGCATGAAGGTTTATGAGACTTCGTGATGGATTTCTTATGAGATGCTGGCCAGTAAGGATAGAATACCAGAAATAGAGTTAGGAATGTCAGCAAATGCCACAAATCATCAACAAAGGGTGAGCCTACCTAATTATAAAACTAAATGTCTTTGTTTTACCTTGTTTTCAAATAACATGAATAAGCGTCTTTTTAGATTCTTTTCAAATTCATACAGGTGCAATAGATGGAAAGGAAAAAATACTTTAGTGATGTGCAAAGGGAGAAACAGGAATTCAGAAATGCATACTTCCTGGTTTCTGAGAATGCTTTATATCCCAATCATCTTCTCTGATTAGAATGTGAGCATTCACCTGTAAACTAAAAGGCAGTCAAATCTAATCATGGGAAAAGAAGAGATAAACATCACCTGGGTTGCATCCCATTGTCCATACAGACATTTAGTCAATGATACATCCCAATACAGTGCAATAATCATGGCAAAAGTAATATTTATCAATAAAACTGAAGCACATTAGCCTCTCCCTGATATACTTCCCAATCCCCTTGGCTCCTCCAACCTCTACTCAGCCCTTTTCTAATTCACAAAATCTAAAATTGTCCTTGGCACATACATAAGTGGAGCAAACATCCAACTTTTACATCTACCTGTTAGCTTCAAAATACCTAAATCAACCCGTGTGATTCAGGAGGCAACTACACCGTGTCAAGGCAAAAGACCTAGATCCCTGTCTTGTTTAATCAATTACATCCTGAGACTTAGTTCTCTGTTGTCTGCATATTTTTCCTGCATAAATCTTCCCCAAACAATAAATCATCTTTCTGTCTTACCGATCATGTATGGGCTCATTACTTCACACATCATAATTATAATCAACGAACAAAACTCAAGAAAAAAATCTGAACAATGGAATGATACTTTTTTTCTTAACATCAGCGCAACTTTATATGATCAAAGCTTATAATAAGATAGATGGGTGCTTTGGATAATTTCAATGTAGGTCTTTTTACATTTTGCAGAAATCCTTAACAGGTCCAACTATCTAAGGAAAAAATAGCTCCTTTTGCCTTTAAGACTTCTAACTCTGATTTTTTTAAGTGCACAGATAACTTTAATACCTAAATTGAAAAATGAGAAGAATATCCGCAGGGAAAAAGGAGCTCATTGCTCCCTCCCTGAAGTTCATCAAATGTTGTCACATATTTCTCTAACATTTTTGACTTGGTTAAGTGCAAATTTAGGTGAACACACTCTTTTCCCAGGGTTCATGGCAACAGGAATATAATATGTATTTTCCGATTAATGAGTGCAGCTCTACAGTCTGAGTGATCTTAGGCAAAAGGAACGTCCTAGAGGCCGAGGGCAGAACCAAATGACCTCTCATTTCCATTATTTCATGACTTGGTTGTCACTAACTTTTTGAACACTCTCTTCAAACTCCTTCTTCGGTATATTTGTGGGATATAAAACCCCAAAATCCCCATTCTCAGAATTTAAATAATAAACAAGAGTACACATTAATTTCTCCCATAACTATGGAAAAAAACTTATGTTATTAATAGGTGAAAGGTTAAAAAAAAAGCTCACCTTTAGTCTCACCAATCAAGTTATTATATCACTTGGGAAATCAGTGAATTATAATTCATGCGATTAATGAACTACTGCCATACATAAAAGTCCAAATCTTTTTTTAATGCATGATTTTTTTTGCAGCAATGTATAATTCATTGATAATAGACAAGATTCTCTTGCCCATCTCACTTTTTATTTCATGGTTATTATTGATGCTGTTTCATATGGCTTGTGGTTATCAAGGACAAATTGGAATTGACTCCTAGGTCATGAGGAACCCAGTCTTGACTGGGAAGCTTATAAAACACTGACCCCACACAATAAGGCTGCCTCTGAGAAGATTGTATCCGCAAACCATGAACATCTCATTTTATGTTATAAATTATTTCTCTGAAGCTTTGTCACCTATTAGCTATGTGGCCGTGAGTGTAAAGCTTAACCACTCTGTGCCTCAGTTTTTCCATCTCTTGAATTTGGGGCTTTTAGTCAGGATTCAATGAGTTAACACTTGTAAAATGCTTAGGATGATATTTGGTAAGTGTTAGAGTATTTGTAGTGCTGTGGCTATTGTTATTATATTTCTTCATTTAGTAAACTTATATTTGTTCTTCCTGATTTAACTGTTTAAGCTCTTCTCTGAGAAGTCTTCTTGACCTTCGTAGGCAAAGTTATTCATCTCTTCTTCTCTAGTTCCATATTTCTTTGATTCCTAAGAAATGTGATTATAATGTTGGTTCTTACATCTGTCTCCCACACGAATCTCTGTCTGCCACTTTAATTGGTGTCTTTCCAGAGCAGAAACAGTGTCTTCGGTGTTTCCACCCCGGGTACCAGCGTATCTCCTTGCACATGTGAATGAAAAAATGAATCTGCTCCTGGTAAGTGTATTGGTAAGTAATTTAGGCTAGTTCTAGAAATAAATATAAACATAATAAATTATTTTGCTTAGTCTTCATGTTTTTAAAAGGTTCATTTGAATTAAATATCACCATTTTGCAAGAATAAAAGAATGAATCTAGTCAATGATCAATGACTGCTATGCCAGAAAAAATAGATACAACTGGACAGCATGTACCTCCTCATGGAGAAACCAACACTATCTTTAACATAGTCCTTCCTCTCCAGAAAAGAAGTGGTCCTGAATTAGATTAAGCCCTATTGATTAACTTACAGAAAATACAGGGGACAGAGGAACATGTCATCAGACATGATGATGATGAAATTAGTAAAATCCAGACTGTGACAAACTCTGCAGGGAAAACTGCAAAATAAATGATCAAACAAATTTCAGGTGAAAAAAAGAAAAAGAGAAAACTGTAAATTGAAAGGGACTTAAGAGACATGTCACCCAACTGCAATATGTGAATTGTACTTGGATCCTGATTTCAACAGGATCTGAATACTAAAATTCTAAAATAAATCAAATATTGCCTGAAGATTTGATAGTATTTTTGTTTGGTCTACATAGGGCTTAAAACGTCTTTGAATAAGTTGCCAATATTCAGAACTCATAAGATTTCATGTAAAAATCTATATTTCGGGCTTTCCTAAAAAGAAAAAAAATAGAAGATCTGGCAACACTGGGCCCATGTTTCTATAAAGTCATTAGAAACTGAAGTTCTGAAGCAGGAGAGAGATTTGCTGAAGGTAACATTTTAAGGAATAGCATAGAGACTGCACGTAAGGGAAAAAGTGCTAAAATCAGAAATGCTTTCAAAATCTGGTCTGATAATGAGGTCCTGGCCAACTTAGCGGCAGACAGAGTCAAAAGAAAGGAGGAACCACCCATGTACAGAAGTGTCAACAGGACTTGGGGACAGAATGGACTTGAGAAGTGAAGGGAGGACTGAAATATAATTGGCTCTAGGTCATATAAGCTGCAAGACTAGAAGAATGAGGATTTGGGAGAAGAACCTTTGCCACACTGGGATTCTTAGAAACCAGGAAGGAGGTTGAATTTGTATTGACATCTTCTGGGATATGGTGACGCAAGAGGTCAATATAGAAAATTACTTAAACTAAATAACAGTGTCATTTCCACATTGACATCTTGTAGACACCAAGAAATATAGAAACAAGATTTACGTAAGAGGCAGGAAATGTAGATATTAGAGAACTGGTAAGCCCTCTGATGACTGCTTCAAAAGATACAAGGCCAAAAGATAATCAGCCCTCCACTCAAGAATGGTAGTAAGATCAGAGAAAGGAATATGTATGAATAGTGGATGCACATGGCCAGTGCGCATCTGAAGAAGGCAAAGCAAAGGAATGTTTGCATGCTCCAGAGAAATTTCTTGAAGGAATCAGCTCCTCTTGAACCATCTCATGAAGGAACAGTAGACACAGCACAAGAATGTGGGATCAATATGACAAAGTTTGCACTGACTCAACCAATATTTAATGAGTGTCTACTAGGTGAACAACACATACAACATACTTCTCCACTTGCTGTATTTTTCCTCATAGCACTTATCAGTGGCAGATATCATATTCTGTATTATACATGCACTTACTTGCCTGATTCTCACCTGTCTCCCCCAGTAGAATGCAAGCTCCATGAGCACCAGGACTTCCTCTCTTAATCAGAGTATCCCCAAGGCTTAGAACAGTTCCTGAAACATAACTGAGTTCTCAAGTAATATTATTTGGAAGTGTCCATCCTCATGGAGTTCACAGTCAAGGTCAGAGTCAGAAAATTGAGCTGGCGACTACATAGAGTGTGAGCAGAGTGGAAAGTTCACGAGATTGGGAAAGCACTCAGGCTTCCCCGAAGCATCACTGGAAGAAAAGATGTGGTCAAATCAGGCCAACAGCCTACCTCATGGAAAAAGAAACCCAGAGAGTTCAATGCATATTTATTAAATAGCTGGTACTGAAAGACATACAGCCCAAAGCTAGAGGGATGACAAAAATCACACCAGTTATTGGCTTCTATATCCAGCTGAAACAGACCTTATACAAATTAAAAATTCTGGGTGTGATTTTCTCACCAAATTGGTTGGTTTCTGGTAGCACTTAAATGTGGGTGGGGAGACACAAGCTGGAGATGAGTGTGTCCGTGCCATTTCATGAGACACACAAAATCAGCTCAACTTTGGTGGAATTAATTTAACGCATTAGATGAGAGGGGTGTGCGTGTGTGTGTGTGTTGTGTGTGTGTTCCATTAGATGGCATTTTCAGCCTTGTGAGGGAAATCAGGGAACACTCATCATGCACTACCCAGGGGGCTAGGAGACCAATGCTTCCCCTCTCACATCGGCTAGCCAGTCTGAATATCAGGGTAAACACCACCTCCCATCTTATCGAAATGCTTCCGTTGCAAAGCAGCAAGAATTTGTCAGATACAGATGGTGATGCTGACTTCTCAATAGGGGAAAAAAAGGACCTAAATTAGACTTCTATAAAAAGAATATTGCATATTTATTTCCACAATAACACCCAGGAAAAACGTTAGTCAAGAAGCAAGCAATTGGGTGAATAAATAAGCTTGTCTTTGTTCTCATCAATTAAGTTATTACATCAGTTGGAAAACCAGTGAATTATAATACAGATGTTTAATGAAACACTGCTGAGCCTATAAGTCAAACTCCTATTTTGTGGTGTGATTTTGGCTGCATAGTTTTGTGTGTGTTAAACCGTATTTATTAGCTGATACCCATTATTATTTTGAGCAAGGTATAATTCAGTTGTCAGGCTCCATCGCAGGCAAGGAGATTTAATCAGTAAGAGGCGCTTTGCTACTGAGTATAAAACAATGTGGGTTTCATGAAGCAATCACGGCAGTGTGAAAAAATGGGATTAATTAGTATTGTACAAGAACAAGCAGCATGCTCATTAAAACCTTGTGAGGTGGCTCTTGATAAACTACCACTTGATAGGACCGCATTAATGTGACAAGGCAAAGACTTCATTTCCAAATCCTTTCTGATTGTATCTTGCTTTTAAGTTACCTGAAATGACCTGCGTTGGTGTTTGGAATACAGAGATCAAAATGACTGCCAGGGATCCCCGAGCCACCTGGACCCAGGAAGCCAAGCATAGATGGGGAAGCTTCAAAGACAACATTTTTTGAACTCACAGTCAAACATGAATCAATAACTGCAAATGAGGCAGCGCCGGGGGTGGTGGATTTGCATTTGCACTCGGCAGGTTGGGCAGAAACTAATTTGACAATTGGCACCCACCTTAACGAAGGCCACATACGAATCCTCTGTCTGTTTGTTTATCTAGAGCTGGTGATGGTTGGAAATGTACATGGCCCGAGGAAGCGATCAGGGGCTCCAGAGAGGTATGGGGGAACTCGGAGGGAACCAGGAAGCAGGAACTCAGAGGGCTGGCCCTTCACATACCTCTCTCTTAGTGCTGGTGATAATTACAGTCATGTGTTGTTTAATGATGAGGGTAGGTTCTGAGATGCATCGTTAGGCGATTTTATTGTTGTGTGAATATCACAGAGTGCACTGACATAAACCTAGATGGCATAGCCTGCTGCACACCTAGGCTATATGGGCTAGCCTCCTGCTCCTAGGCTACAAACTTGTGTAGTAGTGCATGACTGTACTGAGTACTGCAGGCAAATGTAACACAAGGGTTAGTAGTTGTGTATCTAAACATACCTAAATGCAGAAATATTGTATATGCAATCCCTGGTTAACCAAAAAGTCGTTATGCAGCTTATGACAGTATTCGGATTTCCAAAATGCCTCTCTCGCTTCCTGAAATGTAGAGTCATTAATTATTTTGTTTTGTTTCCACAGTAAAAGCATCTGCACGTGAAAAAAGCCCTGTGAGAACAATCTGCTTTGGGTAAGGAATATTTTTGATGTGCTTTGGACTCATTTTCCTCTTTGTTCATCCAGTTTTACTCTCTTTCAGACGTGGAACAGTATGGGTTGAATGTTCATGCTACAGTCATTTGGGGAGGGGTTGTGCTCTCAATTTAATGTCTGTGGAAATGCATTCTGAACAGTTCACCAAATCTATACGTTCCTCAAAGGATCTTCTCTTACCTGTATCCCTCCAGCTTCTCCCTTTCTTGGCGGCTTTAGTTAACACACCATGTAAGGCAATTGTACATAGCACAACTATTTGTTGAGGGTATTTCTAGGAATAGAAAATGCTGCTCAGAAACCTCAAAATCCCTGCACCCACCACCCCCCCGACAACCATTTTACTAAAAGAAATTAAGCTTGTTACATCTCACCAGTATATTAAATTAATGCTTTCTACCATGAAGCTCAAGTCCTCAGCTCACAATTATAGGTTGTTTGCAATTGAACTTGGGTAATTCTACTGCAATCTGCAGATTCAAGGCACTGGGCAGAAGTCAGGCTACCTGAGCAGGCTAGATGGGATTAAATACACTGCTTTAGCAAGTGATGTGTTGCAATATTATTAATTTAAACCCTAACGTCTCATTGTTGTGATTCGAGCTGCATGATGTAATGCAATATGACAGCCATTGAATTAATAGAAAATGGAATTCATCTCTCAAAATTTCACACAAAGTAAAGGCACAGAGACAGACAAAAATAAAGGGAGAAAGACAGACAGATAAATACCTTTAATAGGTTCTCTGTATTCAATTGAGTCTGTCTCTATCTGGTAGCATTTGAAGTATTTCATAGCATCAGCCCTTTTGCAGACAGACCCTTGCCATCTTATTTATTCCTCTGTAATGCAAAGAAGCGAAAATGTTCCTATTTTGTTTCTTTTATTTTAGCCAGTGAATTGCATAGAGGTAATATGCTGTAAGTGGAGGTTCAGGCATTACCATTTATGCATGACACAGTAATAGGAAATTTTCTGCCCCTCTTAGCTTGATAAGAACCTTCTGCAAAGACCCTACAACTCCTTCAGGTAGTAGCCACCTACTTGATTTATAATCTTGCAGTGGCGGAAGAGGTTAGCTGGGTAATTTAAATCACTAGATTTCACTAATGAACTAAGGCCAGGGAGAAAGCACTTTACGTTGTAAAGGCTCCATTTCACCTTCCTTATGCCCCACATACTTTATCTCCAAATTTTTACATTATTTATATAAAAAGGGAAATGGCTCTCTCATGGGAAAATGAGTGAGCAAAGCATCTCCGCTGATAGGGTATCTTCTACAATTCACTGCAAATCAGCTACCCTCTCCCAGGGCAATAAAAATAGAGTCACCAGATTTAGTGACTAAAAATAAAGGATGCCCAGTTAAATTTGAATATCAGAAAAACAGTAAATAATGCAATACTGGAGATATTTATATTAAAAGTTATTTGTTGCTTATGTAAAATTCAAATTTAACTGGGCTTCTTGCTTTTTATCTGGAGCCCTAAACTAAAAGGGTGGAAAGGAGCCCTACTTAACCCAGTGAGGACATTACATGACATCTCAGCAGCAAGTGCTCTGCAAAGCTTGGGAAAATTAACTGTCCAAAGAAGCCTTCTGGCATCTCTGCCTCTCAGTGGAGCATTTTTATTCAGCAGATTACTAAAGGATTCACTAAGCTTTGCAATAAACTACTGTTCACTTTTTTCCCCACATGGATAAGCAAGTTTTTGTTGTTGTTGTTGTTGTTTGGTTGGTTGGGTTTTTTTGAGATGGAGTCTCACTCTGTTGCCCAGGCTGGAGTGCAGCGGTGCTATCTCAGATCACTGCAACATCTGCCTCCCAGGTTCAAGCAATTCTCCTGCCTCAGCCTCCTGAGCAGCTGGGACTACAGGTTGCACCACCATGCCCAGCTAATTTTTGTATTTTTTAGTAGAGACAGGGTTTCACCATATTGGTCTGGCTGGTCTCGAATGCCTGACCTCATGATCCACCCGCCTGGGGCTCCCAAAGTGCTGGGATTACAGGCTTGAGCCATCTCACCTGGCTGAGACTTTTATACTGTTATATTTTGTATAAAGAAAATATACAGTGGCTTTCAAACCTGAGAAATCCTAGAGCCTTCCACCATTACCACCCAAACATCAAATATCTCTACCTACCTCCGTAGACTGCAGTTTCAAAAACATCAAGCTAATATGTACCCAAAAGAACTGAAACAGATATGCAAACAAATCCATGCAGGTGCATGTCTATAGAAGCACCATTCACAATAACCTAAAGGTTTGTAGAAGCAACCCAAAGGGCCATCCACTGATGAATGGATAAATGAATTGTGGTCTGGTCTATACCTACAGTGAAATACTATTCAGCCATAAAAAGAATGAAGTACTGATCTATGCTGCAATGTGGATGAGCCTAGAAAACTATGCTAAGTGGAAAAAGCCAGACATGAAAGGTCACATATTCTATGATTCGTTTTATATGAAACATACAGAATAGGTAAATCCATAGAAACATACAGCAGCTTAGGGGATTTCAGGAGCCTGGAAAGGTAGGGGGTGAGGAGTGGATGGGAGAGTGACTGCTAATGGATACAGGTGGTGTCCTTTTGTGGAGATGAAAATGTTTTGGAACTAAATAGAGGTGGTGGCTGCACGGCATTGTGCTAAATTTGCTAAATGCCACTGAATTGCTCACTTCAAAATGGTGAATTTTATGTCACATGAATGTCATCTCAATAAAAAGAATAAATAAATAAATAAGTCATCTATCTTAAGGAGAATTGAGATTTGCTAGTCTGCTTTTGGACTCATTTTGAATTCTTTACCAGCTGCTAAAAGACCTTCTCATTTTCCATAAAGCTTATCAACTAAAATCATTTCCATGTAAGGTATTAACTAATACGAATTGAGCACATATTAAAGAGTCACAGGTAGCTTTGCAGACCCTTCATGCAAATTATTAATAGAAAATGGTGCCCCCCTTGAGGCCACTTGATGAGCTGAGGCATTGAGGGCCATGTATAGTTTTTTGTTGTATATTCTTCTTTGCCTTTTTAAAGAATAACCTTCTAAAAATGTAAAAAAAACACTCTTCACTCATAGGCCACACAGAAAACATTCCACAGGGTCGAATTGGCTCACAGATAGCAATTTGCCAGCCTCTGCTCTGTATCTTGATTAGGTGCTGGTTGCATGGATATATATATATTTGTCAAAACTCACTGATCAATACACTTAAGACCTATGCTTTTTACTATATGTAGTCTCAATAAAATATAGAACAGTTCTTGACAGTTGAGTTAATGCTCAAATGAATGTTAATGTTATTTTAGCTTCATATAATGACATACTTTATTTTTAATTATAACAAAGTATTATTATTCTGCATTATAAAACAAATTCAAGCTATATATGTGTGTGTGTATATATATATATATATATAGAGAGAGAGAGAGAGAGAGATTGAGAGAGAGAGAGTCTCACTCTGTCACCCGCACCCAGGCTGGAGAGCAGTGTCATGATCTCAGCTTACTGCGACCTCTGCCTCCTAAGCAACTAGGACCACGGGTGCGCGCCACCAAGCCCAGCTAATTTTCTGTATTTTGGGTAGAGATGAGTTTCACCATGTTGCCCAGGCTGGTCTCAAACTCCTGAGCTCAAGCTATCCACACACCTCGGCCTCCCAAAGTGCTGGGATTACAGGTCTGAGTTACTGTACCCAGCTTCTAGCAATATCTTTTAAGATCTCCATTGTGATTCCCTCAACATCCTACTACTACCTGAACACATACTTCTGTTCCCTTCTCACAAAGAGAATTTGACTTATTGGGGAAGTGTCTTAAACCTGGGAGCACTCCAACCCACAGAAAATATTCTCAGACCTCAAGGGGTCCTTGAACCCTAGTCAGAGAATCAAGCATCTGTGATGGACCAATCTGTTCCTTCTACCTGGTGCCTGAGTAAGAACTAGCCATAAGACCACAAGGCCACCTTGCCTTTGATTAGCATGCTGCGCGTCTCCTTTCCCAGTTAGAGCTCTCACTAGTGTCAACATTGACAGGAAGAGGTTTTTGAAGAACGAGAATGTATTGCATTTAAGATCTACCCAGATAACCATTTGAAACATTTCCAAAGGCTAAGACACTATTTTTGAGAATATTTTCTGTGCATTAATATTTCCTTATGTACATATTGGCATCACTTTTCACACATGCTAAAGAATATTCCCTATGGAACTAGCAATTCAAAACTGTTGAGCAAAACCACATTAGATAGTGTCATGAAGAAAACTCCATGTGGAGTGAAAAAGTTCTCATCTGTTTCCAACAATGGAAGCCCTCGTATTGGTGGCAATAGGAAATGTGAAAGTATTTTGCTAATTGAAGCTTATGAGAACACTGAGGCATGGCTGCCACAAACGAAATGATTGAACTTTTTCTTAAAGTTCCCTCAGAACCTTGAAGTTGAGAGATTGCTGGGGGCATACCGTTCCTAGCTAGGGCTTCTGATACTTATGTTTCTTTCTTCTTTTTCGCTTTCTTTCTTTTTTCTTTCTCTCTCTCCCTTTTTCTCTTTCTTTTTCTTTTTCTTTCTTTCCTCTCTCTCTCTCTTTCTTTCTTTCCTCTCTCTCTCTCTTTCTTTCTTTCTTTTCTCCCTGTCTTTCTTATATATGCCATATAATTGGGATGGGGAACAAACTGCTTAATTAACAGAATAAATATAATTATATTGAACCTTTTTTATCACTTGTCATGTCTACATGTCTATGGTTGCCACATGCTATATGGAAAGCGGGGAAAGAATGAAGAGGTGCTGTCTGCTGTCCTTGGGGAGCCCACAGTCCTGTTGGGCAGCTAAGATGACATCCTCACACCCTCATTACAACAGGTATAATGCCTGGCCTTGAGCCTTAGGTACCCTGATGCATTTAATCATCATGATACCCATGGAAAATACATAGTATTTTTACATGCATTTCTCATATGCAACAACTGAGGCTTGTCAAGTAACCTGGCCAAGATTTGATCCCAACAATAAAAAACAGTTAGTAATGGAGCCAGCATTAACACACAGTTCCACCCAACTCTAAATTCTATGTTCTCAACCGTATCTCCTTACTGAGTTGTCGAACGTAAACTGAAAACATAAGTAGCTATGGGCCACATAGTGGCTAAAATTCCAGAAAAGCATCCAAGAAGACTAAGGACTAGAATGGAAACACAACAAATTAAGTAAGACTTTAGCTGCACCCAAAAACAGGAGTAATGTCTGAGTATGCAAAGCTAGGAGAGAATGGTATTTTATAAGGAGATCCCAACTTATCTGGGATGGATTCCTGGAACTGTCGATAAAAGAAATTAAATTCTCACAAGGGGACTTCAGTCCAATTAAAACAGCTTCAATTCATTTGCTGTCAAGCATTATCTTTTTACAGATACCTTGATTTGTTAAAATTGATCAGGACATGAATATTTCAAAAAATCACTCTTCTTCACGGTTGGAACAGTGAGAAGTCATAGAATTTTGGGCAACTACTCACATTAGAGTACATCAGGGAGCACTGCAATTTTGCCTGGTAAATGTAGATGGGTATCATGTCTCAAATACAAGTTGATGCATAGTTTATGTGCATAGAGGTTGATGAAGAGAGAAAGGGACCATAGGAATGAAGAATTGCTAAATAATTCCAAACCACTATCCAGTCTAGAAACATCTAAACTGTGTCGTTTCTCTCTTCTACAGCAGGTAATAGAGACTGAGTAACTTTCCTAAACTGTCAAAAGGGATATAGTTGGCAAACTAGCTAAGTGCCTGGGAAATGCCCTGAGGGCCCCACAGCTGGGAGGACCATTCTGTTGCCTCCCTTGGCCAGAGGGATTCTGGAGAGAAAGAGGAGGAGCTCTCATGGTAGCTTCTTGTGGTCTCTGTTACTATAGCAACCTTCTCCTTTGTTTCCCTGGATCTAGAGCTGCCGCCTCAATCAGCGACTGGCATTCAGGTGAGGCAGCCGTGTGATGGCATTAGGAAAATGAGGAAGTGGAAAAACAAGCCTGCTTGAGCAAACAGACACACACACACACACACACACACACACACATCCTGGCACTCAGAATTCATTGTTGGGATGAGTTTCCAGACCTCTTGCCATTTTCTCTTTAAGTCTCAGTATCGCAGGTTTGCAATTGCTGTTGAATAATATGCTTGGGGAATTTTTGCTTTATTCTGGCTGTCATGTGGATGGTTACCTTTTACATGCTGTTTCACTGCCTGCAATGCTTTGCTTTTCCTTACCCTATGGAGAGGTCATAGCCTCTAATAGGCTTTCCCTGACCACCACCTCCACCCTCTGCTCATATTCTCTCTTTCAGCATCCTGTCTGGTCCTTCCTATCAGTGAACACAATTTATGACTATTTTTTTGACTGTCTTGTGTTCATCAGCTTTTGCTTCAACTTCCCAACTAGATTCCAAGCCCCATGAGGGCAGGAACACCTACCATTTTTGGACAGTGATATCAAATGAAATATGTCATGCAAATGGCAAATGAATATGCATGCAATAAATAAATAATATGATAATTTTGAAAACATAAGCTAGGGAGCTGGGATACTGAGTGCTATTCCAGTTGCTTAGTCTCTCTCAATTCTCTTAAATGAATAAAATGAGAATGCATATCATTCTCATACGTATGCAAAAAACAACAGTATCAAACAAACAAAAAACGAATTTAAAAACCTAAACAGAAGCTAGTGTAAAAAGATCTGTTAATTCCACAGCAGTGGCATACTAGAAGGTAAATCTAGAGATAAACTTCATGGAAAGGCAAAGTATCCTTCCTTCCTATCTCTAAAAATAGTACTTGGAAGGGGGAGCCATGAGCTATCAGACTCTTGATAATTTGTCGGTGTTTATACTAATGACAAAAGCAAAATTAGTTTGAAGAGCTGAAGGGAGATCTACCTTTTCTGAAAATCTGAAAATTATCTCCAATAAGATTTTCTGCCTTATTGACTAATGCAATCAAGGGTCTACATTGTTCCTTCTTTGCAACATTTCAGGCTTAATGGTCTCAAATAGGTATGATTGGCCAAGCCTAAGTTTTGAGCTTATGTTACAAGCCTAGCTGCAAGGGAGCCAGGAAAATGAATATCTGGTCTTCAGGGCTTAGATGTGGTATATGGGCTCTACCTTTCACCAACACACATATTATGACATTATGGGAAATTCATTAAGTCTACAAAAGAAATTGAGATTATGGTCAACCAAAATTCAGTACAAATGTCCACTATATATCTGGAAATGCAATAGGCTATGCAAGAACTGATGAGTCTCTTGACTCAAAACTGTTTAAGGGGAAGTTGGGTGATCTGAGGCGTTGTAGGCAAACATTTTTCTATAAAAGCCCAATAATAAATATTTTATGTTTTGTGGTTTCTGTCACAACTACTCAGCTCTGCCATTCTAACATGCCAACAGACATAGAAAATGCATAAACAGGCTGGGTGTGGTGGCTCACACCTGTAATCCCAGCACTTTGGGAGGCCAAGGCAGGTGGATCACGAGGTCAGGAGTTCGAGACCTGCCTAACACGGTGAAACCCCATCTCTACTAAAAATACAAAAATTAGCCAAGCATGGCAGCATGAACCTGTAATCATAGCTACTCAGGAGGCTGAGGCAGGAGAATCGCTTGAATCCAGGAGGCAGAGGTTGCAGTGAGCCGAGATTGTGCCATTGCACTCCAGCCTGGGTGACAGAGCGAGACTCCATCTCAAAAAAAAGAAAAGAAGAACAAACGAAAGAAAACGCATAAAAAGATGAGTGTAGTTATGTTCTAATAAAACTATTTACAAGCACAGGCAGCAGGCTGGATTTCATCTGCAGGTGTAGTTTGCTGACCATGGTTTAGAGTATGTGTTCTGGGATGTGGCTGCCTGGGCCTGACCTTAGTCATGCTCACCACTAGCTATGTGATCTGAGGCAATTGCAATTAAATCTTCTCAGTGTTCTCATCTGTATTGTGTTGCTCTTAATAGTACCCACTTCAGAGTTATTGTGAAAATTACATAATATCTGTACAATTAATGAAACTGAGCCTGATACGTAAAAAGCACTCAAAAAAGTTCACGATATTCTGCTATTCTATAGGGAATTTAAGCATCATATAGGAGCACTGTACACATATTTACTTTGTCTCCTCATTATCCCTTCTTTGGAGGCAGCCCTCCTCTACTCAACAGATAGGTCCTGCAAAATTTATATGGAGGGTGAGGTGGGCCACATCATCTCTTTGATTCAAAGATGGGTGACCCCAGTCACATCAAATAGAGCTTCCTTCCTCTCTGGCCACAATGAATATCTTTTGGTCAGCACATGACCCAAGCTGAGTTATCCCTGAGACATTTCTTTTTTGAGACAGGGTCTCACTCTGTCACCCAGGCTGGAGTACAGTGGCATGATCTCTGCTCACTGCAACCTCTGCCTCCTGGGCCCAAGTGATCCTACCACCTCAGCCTCCTGAGTAGCTGGGACTACAGGTATGCACCACCAGGCCTGGCTAATTTTTTAATATTTTTTTGTAGAGACGGAGATTCACCATGTTGCCCAGGCTGGTCTTGAACTCTGGAGCTCAAGCAATCTGCCTGCTTCAGCCTCTCAAAGTGCTGGGATTACAGGCATGTACCACCATGCCTGGCCCCCCCACAGAGACGTTTGTCTGTCAAAAAACACTTTAATAAATATAATATGAAAGGTCCAAGATGAGGAATCAGTAAAAATACTATAAATATAAAATAAATGTCATAGTGAGAGATGGCAACGTGCTAGCAGCCCTCGCTTGCTCTCGGCGCCTCCTCAGCCTTGGCATCTGCTCTGGCCGTGCTCAAGGAGCCCTTCAGTCTGCCACTGCGCTGTGGGGGCCCCTCCCTGGAGCTGGCCAAGGCTGGAGCCGGCTCCCTCTGCTCCTGGGGAGGTGTGGAGGAAGAGGCGCTGGCAGGAGACCGGGCTGTGCACTGCGCTCGCGGGCCAGCATGGGTTCCTGGTAGGCACAGGCTCAGCGGGCCGGGATGAACTCTCTCTAGGCTGCTGGAGTGCCTGGGCTAGGTGCCACAAAGTCCCCTGTGAGTGCCACTGAGAGGTGAAACCGGCTGGGCTTCTGAGGATGTGGACTTGGAGATCTTTTGTGTCTAGCTAAAGGATTGTAAACGCACCAATCAGCACTCTGTGTCTAGCTTAAGGTTTGTAAACGCACCAATCAGCACTCTGTCAAAACAGACCAATCAGCTCTCTGTAAAATGGACAAATCAGCTCTCTGTAAAATGGGCCAATCAGCAGGATGTGGGTGGGGCCACATAAGGGAATAAAAGTAGGCCACCCGAACTAACATCTGTAACCCGCTAAGATTTCTTTGCGGTCTGTGGAAGCAGTGTTCTTTCGGTCTTTGCAATAAATGTTGCTGCTGCGGACTGAGTGCGCGTGGCTCTTATGAGCTGTAACACTTGCTGGGAAGGTCTGCAGTTTCACTCCTTAAGCCAGTGGCCAGTGATACCACGAGCCCACTGGGAGAGACAAACTCCTGACAGGAGGAAACAAGAACTCTGGTTGCGCCACCTTTATGAACTGTAACAGTCTCCACGAAGGTCTGCAGCTTCACTCTTGGAGCCGGTGAGACCACGAGCTCACTGGGAGGGACGAACTCCAGACAAGAGGAATGAACAACTCTGGACGCGCCACCTTTATGAACTGTAACACTCACCACGAAGGTCTGCAGCTTCACTCCTGAAGCCAGCAAGAACTACGAACTCACCAGAAGGAAAAAACTCCGGACACATCTGAAGAAAAAAAACTCTAGGCACACCATTTTTAAGAACTGTAACACTCACTGCCAGTGTCCGCGGCTTCATTTTTGAAGTCAGTGAGACCAAGAACCCACCAATTCCGGACCCAATAGAACCTGTAAAGCTGTGGTTCTCCAGCAAGCATACCTGGGATTTTTTGTTTCAAGAATGTACTTGGTCTACTGCAAACAAATCTAATCAGCATTTCAAGAGAAAGGGGTCCTGGTGTATCTCTCTAATGATAAAGCAGTTTTGTAGAGATACTAGGTTGCTGTTGGCAATTGATCTACAACTTACATTTTATTTGGATCCCCAAAAGAATAAGATTACAGGGAATTCATTGAACTGCAACTTAAAAGGTCTTTCTTACAGTAAAGAAAATTTATACCATAGAGTTATAGGACAGAGGTATATAGAGCTATGTGTGTAATGTAACAGATTAAAGTTGAGAATTATCAGAAATACATAGCCATATTAATCAAGATTCATTTGGTTGCAAGTGACAGAAAACCCAAATAAAATACTTCAATTTAAAAGGGGACCATTGACTGGCTCATACAGTTGAGAAGTCTAGGGGTAGGATCACCTTCAGGTAAGACTGCATCTGGAAGGTCGATATTATCCAGGCTGTCTGATTTCCTCTATTTTCAGTCCTGCTCAGCTTTTACCTTTGCTTGGATGTATTTTTCAATGTGATGGGAGAGATGACCCCACATACCCCACCCTCTGGGATCCACTGTTAAAGCTCACCAACTCCAGTGGAAAGATTTCTTCTCTTCAGTGTCTGTTAATCCTAGGGAAGACCCCAGAAAGATGAACTGTTAGTAGTTCATGCCAGACTAACAAGGTGACAAAAAAGATAATGGGTCCTATTAAGAGAGGCCCATTTGAAGTCGCAGTTCATAAAATGGAAGATCTTGATTAAAATCCTCACCAGAATACCTGGTATGAGGAAACAGAGGTCAACTCCTTCCACCCCAACTCTGCGAAGGAGTGATAGGGAGATAAAAGCTAACACATAACCACCACAAGTCATGCATAGGCTCCCAACCCTGCAAAGGGGTGACAGGGAGATAAAAGCTAACGTGTAACCACCACAATCATGCATAGGCTGAGTGCCACTGAAGACTTATCTTCATTCTTCGTTCTCTATGACCTGCCAGTGACTCCCAGATGGATTCAATACTTACCAACAATAGAGAAATCTTATTACTGCTCAAGTGCAAATCGATGTGTATGGCACTGGCCTGGAGGGCTGTCAAGGAGAGCTCAGGTCTGTAAGAGCCTTCCTCAGTTAGAAATGAGTCTTAGTGGACAGAAAAATCAGAGCATTTCAGATCACTGGGGCTTTGTATTATAGAACTTTTCTCTTCTAGTGAATGTAGTCGTCTTGGTGGTAAACTGAGTCCAAGAAAAGGGAGGTATCTGAGTAAATCTTCTGTGATTTTTGATAGAAGCTAATTCCTGAAGCCAGCGAGACCAGGAGCCCACCACTAACTGTTGAGAGCAGCTAGTTTAGGAATCCGGTAAACTTGCTGTGCTGTAAAACATGCCAAATATTGGTTTCTAAATCCGCTTCCAAATGGAAATAATACCATTAGTGCAAATAGCTGCCTTTCCATGAAGACTTTCGGCCAAAAAGTTTCAAAAACAAAATTTTACAAATTAATTGTTGGAATGATACCCCCTTCAAATCACCGTCACCCACCATCACCACCACACGTATACTGGAAGCCCAACTGGGAAAGCACACGATAAGAGTTCCAAATGCACCATGATTGGGAATAAAAGAATATCTGAAACTCTGGGAAGAATTTTAATACCTCAAAGTGTCAGGAAACAGGCCCACTCCATCAGATTGGCTCCATCAGGCCCCACAGTTGAAAGTGTGGACTGGCTAACGGGTTATGAAGACAATGAACGAAGCTATATAAAGTGACTACTTCCTTTGGGATTCATAACATTCTATAGTGCAGAGCAGCCTTTTATTGCACTGTGGATTAGAGATTCAGATGATAGAAAACTCAGTTCCAGGGCCCCTAATATTTGCGTTATATTTATCAAACAGGGGTATATTGTGAAGTGAAGGTTTTAAATCAGATTCAATCTAGCCTGAGTGAAATCTGGACTAGGGGTTTGAGCCAAACTGTAAGGAAAACCCCCAATTAACTCCAGGTTCTTTGACTCCAACATTTTTGCTTTACAAATAAACCAAAGATCTTTGTTTAAAAAATTATTCTCCAAAGTTTCCAAAGAAACTATAGATTTGCTTTGCAATTCGAAACAGTAGAATACAATAGCACAACCACCATTTCGGGGAGACTTTTTGGTTCATCTGTTTAGCCCATGTTTATGGAAGACCAAATATGCCTTTATGTATTTAGCATATAGTGGTAGTTGACATCCATAATCTGCAGTGGTAGGTTACTCAATAAATTACATTGCTGGCCTCATTCATCTCCAAATCTAATGGAGAAAGATGCATAAAAATCTGGAAAGTAAATACATGCACACAAAAATTTAGGGCACTACACTATCGTTCTCTTAAAGCAGGGGTTGGCAAACCATGTCCCCACAGCCTGTATATTTGCAAAAAGTTTTATTAGTTCACAGCCACTCTTGCTTGTTTACATAATGTCCGTGGCTACTTTTACGATACAGTGGACAGTTGAGCAATTGCGACAGAAA
The DNA here is from genome assembly GCF_000001405.40 of Homo sapiens. Classification (NCBI taxonomy): domain Eukaryota; kingdom Metazoa; phylum Chordata; class Mammalia; order Primates; family Hominidae; genus Homo; species Homo sapiens. Next base: position 52,724,727 of record NC_000020.11, on the reverse strand, counting down.
CCATGTGGCCCACAAAATCTAAAACATTTGCTATCTAACCTTTTACAGAGAAAGTTTGTTGACCTCTGTAAAGAAACTAAAAGGTCAACGTGTTGAAGTGACTGCAGCGGGGAGTTGAGTAGAAGGTCTGGGAAGAGCTCACTAAGGCGGTGGGTGGCATTTGAGTTGAGACCTGTGCGATAAGGAGCCAGCCATGGGAAACCAAGTGCTTTGGACAAACAGAATGATATGATGATTTTGGTGGTTTGGTTTGTTTGTTTCTAGTAAAGCATTGCCTTAAAGGTGATGAACAAGTTGCCAGGCTGTCATATACATTAGGCAAGACTCAAGTGGTAAAATAAACACACACTCAACCTTCAGCTTGTTTCCTGTGTGAGGTGATAAAAGCATTTTCTAGTCATCTCTGTGTTCTCATTGAAAAAAGGGAGGGAGTTCCCCATAGTTCAATAAGCAACTCTACAAAAAAGGGATGCCTCGGCCCACCCCTAGAGGACAGCATTAATTTTTATGGTCAAGGGTTAGAGCAAAATTCTACTTTCTTTAGGAAATTTTTCTCCTTGCTTTGCCTGGGATGAACTCACTCTCGTCTTCAATTCTAACTCTTTCTCTTATCTTCATGCCTTTGTGCTGTTATAACACACCTGCTTGAACCTTGCTGGGGATATCTTTTCCCAGAAAAGGTATTCCAATATCATTTGGGGAGAAGCAGAAAAACCGAGACCAGGAAATCCAAATGAACAAGATAAGTCCAGACTCTTGCCCGTTTATTTGCACCCTAAGTGGCCTGTGTTGCTGGAGAAGGTGGACGCAGTACTGGCCAGAGACTGCTGTTCTTCTTCTATAATGCTCCATGTCTCCAGCTGGTGCACCTATCAGGAAAGGCTAAAAAACCCACCTCGCCTTTTGTGCAGTATCTCACACCAATGGCCCTTTAACTCTCAATTCTAAAACCACATTTGAAACTATTTCAGGTGGAAAGCCACACTTAGCAAGCATGTCTTTGCCTCTATGAAAAACCTCATGCTCCAATTTCAGATATTTTCACCATACTTGTGGTGGTCTTAATGGATAAATTAAATCTACTTCTCTCCTGATTGCCTTGCTGGCCCTCTTTGTAACTTCACTTTGTATTCCTTTCTGTTCAATACTTTTCAGAGTACTGAGAGTTTAAAGAGGTACAATAAATCCCAGATCAGTTTTTAATGACCACGGTAAGCCTGCTTGTAATATGTCAGTAAGCTGAACCTAAAAGCCAATGGGGAATAGGCCATTTCTGCCTTAGTAATTGCCTCCACAGAAAGATTTATAATGTCATTATCTGAATCTATAAGAAATAACTCATGGAGCTGAAATACCCTAAAAAAATATTACAATTCTCTTAAAATCTAGTCATTCATAAATGCTAAATCATAAAACTTTTTTCAAGATGTTTTATGTTAAAAGTAAAACCCAGTAAAAATATAAATGCTCATTTCTTAATGAGATTCCTCATTCTTTATGTATCTGTTTGTGGTTTTGCAGTTTTCTGGGATACATTTATAAACCTAACACCGGGCTGCCAGAATCTGCAACTACTACAGGAAGCTACGGAATCTGAAAAGGCATTTCTTCTTGCCTTTTTATCTCTGTGTGATACCAGGAAGTGAGGAGGAAGAGGGCTAGTTAGTATAGCAATAAAATTAATTTCAGCAATAAAAGTCACCCTTTTCCTTAATTTCTCCATGTAACACGTGCACACACACACACACACACACACACACACACACTTCCTGCCAAAGGCCCTACAGAGCTGTTTTAAGGTATTTCTGCAGCTTCCCTTCTCCCTTAACATTCCCAAATAAAAAAAGCAAAAGAAAAGGGGGAAAAAAAGATCAGTGACTTCTTTCAAATAGCGGAAAACATCCTCCCCAATTTGTCCAGAATTTAATAAAGTCTTGATATTGCCCTATCTTCTCACCTCCCTATAAAATAGAGCAACATTTATACTAATTTCTGCAGTTCTAAAATGTTGTTGGGGGTAGAGAATGTATTACAGTTTTTAAATGACACTCAAGATGTTTTTCATAATTTGGGAAGTCATATTTTCTCCCTTTAAATACGGTAACTTGCTGCAAGCTTGAACATTAAATAGGGTTCTTTTCAAAATTGCCCCCTTCCTTCATGCTCAAGGTTGGAAATTTTCTCTACATTTTCAATGTCTAGGATTGCAGCTAAGCCTTGTGGGGGATGAGGTGTCAACAGAGGGTTCTTTGAAAGCATTTGGGAAAGAAGGCAAACCTGTGTCTGTGTTCACCGTTTCTGTTGACACCTCACTGAGCCGGCCATCATCACTACATTCCTTGATTACTTTCCACTTTGACATGTCTATAAATGTTGACTTTCAAGTATCTTAAGGTATCTTTAGTCAACATATCCAAAACTGAACTAACCTTCCTTTTGGGAGCCTGCTTCCCTCCGTGAATAATACCACCTGCCCATCTGTTTCCTAAAAACCAGAAAGCTGGGGAGAAAGGCAAAAAAACACATTTTCTCCCTTTCTCCCACCACGTGCATCCAAAGAATCACCAAGAAAAATCCTACCTGCAAATGTCTTCCATGTATAAATATTTTTTCTGTCCCTACCCTATCTTAGTAATTTCTCACCCAGACTTGCAACTATCCCCCAACTGATTTCCATATGTATGTGTATATATACACATATACACTTCTTTAAATGTATATATATAGTGTGTTTGTTTCCACACTAGCAGTTCTGTCCTGTTTTATTTTAATCTATATAATTTCATATTTTTATATAAAATATATTTATATAAATATATAATTATATATAATATGATTATATATAATTATATATAAAAATTATATATTATATATAATTATATATAAAAATTATATATTATATATAATTATATACAAAAATTATATATTATATATAATTATATATAAAAATTATATATAACATAACATATATAAATTATAACATATATAATATAAAATTATATATAATATTATATATAAAAATATATAATTATATATAATTATGTTATATGTTATTTCCATATAAAGATAAATAATACATACATAATTTCTATATATAATATATCAATACATAGATATTTATAAGATATATATCTATATATGATATATAAGGAGAAGTGATATGTAAATAATTTCTCTCTATATATCATATATATGTTAGTGTGGAAGCAAAAAATGAAAAACTATATAAATAAAATAGTTTTAACAGTGATAAGAGCTATGAAGAAAATATACCAGAATCATATGACAGCAATCCAAGGAGGTGGAATGAGCTTAGACATGAATGCAGACATCAATGGATCATTGAAAAATGCAGAGGAAGAGTGATCCAAGTCAGAGGCCAAGCAAGTAGAGGGCTCCTTTGATAGAAACAGGAATCCCGTAATCAAGAAAGAAGACAGTGGAGCTGGGACATTGTGATTTGGGTGCAAAGATGCCTAAAATGAGGCTGAGACTGGATTGCAAAGGTTAATTTATGTGTCAACTTGACTGGGCTAAGGGATACCCATATAGCTGGTAAAACATTTCTGAGAATGGCTATGAAGGTGTTCCCAGAAGAGATTAACATTTGAATCTGTAGACTTAGTAAACAAAAATCAACCTCCCCAGTGTGGGCCGGCATCGTCCAATACATTGCGGGCCTGAATATAACAAAAAGGTAAAGAAAGGGCTGATTTTTCTCTTCCTGAGTTGGGACATCCGACTTCTCCTGCCCTCAGACATCAGAGCTCCTGGTTCTTGGGCCTGTGGACTCTGGGACTTACACCATCAGCTCCTCTGGTTCTCAAGCCTTGAACTTGCACTGAATTACACCACCAGCTTTCCTGGTTCTCCAGCTTGCAGATAGCAGATGGTGAGACTTCTCATCTTCTATAATTGTGTGAAGCAATTCTCAAGACAAATAAATCCATTTATATCTATACTTATACCTATACCTATATTTATCTATATCAATACCTATATTTATACCTACACCTATACCAATATCAATATACTATTGGTTCTATTTCCTTGGGGAATCCTGACTAATACAATATGTAAGCTGCACTGTGAGATGCAGGTTGTATTTAGGTGCCATAGAAAATCATCTGATGGTTTTAAGTGAGGGACCAACATGATCAGATTTTTTGTTTTAGAAGAATTGGTCTGCCTGACTTGGGGAGAGTACATTAGATGGGGACCATGAATGAAGGACAAGATCAGTTAGGAAGCTGTTTTAATTTGCATGCGTGCTTCTTCAGTGACTACCCATTGCCTGTGAAACAAGTTCAGGTTCCATCACACGACGTTTAAAGTTCTCTAAATCCTGGCCCCTGCTACACCATTAGGCTTACCTCCTAATACTCCATGATGGTCTCTCCACTACAGCTTGCCAACACAGCATCTTCAGCCCATTGTAAATGATTTCCCTCCAGCCTTTAACATATAGAGTTCTCACTTTTTCCAATTTCCCTGAGAATATATTCCCTCTTTCAAATTCCATCTGTTATGTGAAGACTTCTGAACAAACCAAGTCATAACAAACTTTATTCTTCCTAAACAATGGGTTGCACTTAAAAAAAAAAAGCAGATATATCTCCTGCCACCTCTTGGATGATTGCTTCATATTATCATTTACCTTTTGTTTAGTTATTTCATTTTCCATGTGTATACATATGTCCCATTTTCCCAACCACAATGTAAAACCCCTAAGGGCAAAGACCTTCCTTATGTTTCTGTGGATCTCCCGCAGTCCCTGGTACCATGCCATACCCACAACCTGGCACTGGGTATATGCTGATCTGCTGTGGAGGCAGCACTAAAACCCCTTCTCAGAACCGAGATAACCATCAAGTAATCTAATGACTAGGTAAGTAAAGCAGTTGAAATTTGGAGAGAGATTTTTGAAGTACTCTTTTTTTAATAGTTTCTTTCCTGAAAGCTTTCTTTCTATAAAAACCTCCATGCTTTGAGTAGAACTGGATAGGAAATGTAAAATTAAACTCGATGCACTGTTGAACATTAGCTCTATAATTCTAATCTGGATTGAGATTGAAGATTTAGAACTGAACCCCTCTGAAGGAGCAGTGCAGAGAAGCTTACTTAGGACAAGGTTGCATGCTCGAAGTGGCCCTGGATACATCCGCCATTCGTGCAATGTGAGGTTTAAAGGTAGACTAGATTATAGAATTGAGGCCAGAGAGAGGCAAGTTCAGGTGAAAAGAGAAAGATAACAACATAGTCTGGTGCGCTGTATGTGAGACCATCTACCTGTTACAACCATACATTTGGTTTGGGGAGAAGTGGACTCTGGTTTCACATTTCTTTGCAAGTGTCTCCATTTTTGTGGGCAGGGAATTCTATTGACAGGTTAAGATTTTCATTGAGTGAATCTCAGCAAAGGTATGTCTATTCTCTAAGCGCAGTTTTCTGTGTTCATCATGGGAAAGTCCATGAAAGGACCATGGGAACTCACACAGAGGAAGGGCAAGAGCTCTCTAGTCCCTTGCAAATAGAATGTGGAACTGGCGGCTATTGGAAAAATAACATTATTATCTAAGACTCTTTCTAAGAGGAAAAAAGAGGCCATTCAGGACAGATGGATGGATGGACTTACAAATTGCTTCCCTGGGATTTAGAAAGAAGCTAGAGGCCCCTGTAACATCTTCTAAATCTAAATATTTAGAAGTCTCTATTACTTGTGCAAGTTCTAGAACAGGATCCTTCAACCTTGGAACCATTGACATTTTGGGGCCAGGTGATTCTTGGTTGTGGGGCACTGTCCTATACATCATAGGATGTTTACTAGCATCCTTGAGTAGCCAATAGATCCCTGTAGCACTTACCTGACCCAGTTACAATCTAAAAAGTCTTCAGATATTGTTAAGGGTCCCCTGGGGTGGGGTAGGAAGAGGAGGTCAAAAATGACCTCCAGTTAAAAACCACTGGACTACAGTCAGGTGGATCTGAGTTTAATTTTCAGATACTCCATTTTCTCATCTGTAAAATGGAAATAAATATCAGCCACCTCAAGGAGTTTTGGGAACTCTTTAATAGATAAGGCATGTAAACCATAAGCACAGTCCTGGCATGAAGTAAGAACTCAATAAATGTTAGCCATCACTATTATTGTTATTATTATTTACTGACCATGGCCGGGGCAGATCATTCTACACTCTGAATATTAGTTTTAACTCTTTAAACAATTTAAAGAAAGTCATTTTTCTCCATGTGACATTATTTCTTATCCTTGCTAATGAGGAACAATGTATCTCTCACTGTATAATTTGTTGCAGATAAGCAGAAAGCACCTGAATTCTCTTTAGCTCATACTACAAATAACTTGGATGTGAGGGGAATCTTCTGATATTTGCCTCCTTTTTAAAAAAGAGAGGGAATTATCATTTTTTCTCATCTTTAAGTCATTTTTCAAATGAAACAGTAGACGAATGTCAGCTACACCAATTATCTAATTGTGAAACTGATCTTCACTTAAAGCGTCCGTGTTTTTGACATAAATAGCCATGAAGTGGTAAGTTTTCAGCATGATTGTTAGACTGATTGCTGAGTGCCAGATACCAGAGGCTAAAGGAGGAATGAGTTCAAGAGATCTATCGTACAGCATTGTGACTATAGTTAATGATGATCTATTGTTTTCTTGAAAAATGCTAACAGAGTGGATATTAAGTGTTCTCACCACAAAATGATAACTATATGAAGAAATGCATCTGCCATTAGCTAGATTTGGCCATTCCACAATGTATGTATACTTCAAAACTTTATGCTCTACATGATAAATACATATATTTTATATGTCAATTAAAGAATAAATACATAAATTTGAAAAATAAAGTGGTTTTAGCCTTGAAAATTACATTAGCATTTTTCGGCCAGGCATGGTGTCTCACGCCTGTAATCCAGCACTTTGGGAGGCCGAGGGGGGCCGATCATGAGGTCAGGAGATCAAGACCATCCTGGTTAACATGGTGAAACCCCGTTTCTACTAAAAAATACAAAAAAAATTAACTGGGCATGGTGGCGGGCGCCTGTAGTCCCAGCTACTCGGGAGGATGAGGCAGAAGAATGGCGTGAACCCGGGAGGCAGAGCTTGCAGTGAGCTGAGTTTGCGCCACTGCACTCCAGCCTGGGCGACACAGCGAGCCTCCGTCTCAAAAAAAAAAAGAAAAGAAAAGAAAAGAAAAAGAAAATTACATTAGCATTTTTCAGTTGAAGGAAAATCACTTTAAGTCAGTTAAGTAAATCATGTCTTCAGTGTTGGCCCAAGGTAGTCACTGACCTGTATGTTAGAATCGGTAGTCTTGTGACAGATCAGAAAAGGGTAGGGAAAGAAAAATCAATCATGTTTTAATTCTTCCATGGTTGATTTTGTTTTGTTTTGTTTTTAAATTGAGGACGAGATATAAATAAAAGAGAATGAATGGGTCTCTTACTTGTGAACAACCATTTTCTCTTGTATGTGAACTCTGCAGCTAAGCTTGCCAATAAATGGTAAATGTGTGAAGCTGAAAAGAGCACTTTCATGTAAAACAATTAGATGTGTGGAAATCCCAAAATGAACACCAAAAAATGCATCAAGGTTAAGGGTTGGCAAACTTTTTCTGCAAAGGGCCAGATAATATGTATTTTAGGCATGTGAGCTGTATAGTCTCTGTTGCAACAATTAGCTCTGCTGTTGCAGCACAAAAGCAGCCAAAACAGTAAGTTAAGAAGTAAGCATGACTGTGTTCCAATAAAACTGTATTTACAAAAAGAGCACCCAAAGGCCCACCTTACTGACCCCTGATTGAGATAACGCCCCAATAAAAGGCTTATCCTCAACATCACTGGTCTTTGTTATGTGTGTCTGTCCTTTCAATGTGTCTAAGACCCTTTCTGGGCAAATACTCTTAGGAAAATGATAAATACATAGAGGCCTTTTCGTGTTCTTACAACTCAACAGAGTGATCTCAAAGCATGCTCATTTTAACAAAATTATTCCAATGTCTTTGCAGACTAAATAAGCCTGGTATAAAACCGCACATTTAATTTAATTTTTCACCTCCAAAAATAAAAAGCAGTAGTATTAAGAAATTCCATCACTCAACGCTGAGAGGAAGCTCCTTCAAGTCTTCGTTGCTGTAGTAATTACTGGCAAAGAACCCCTGATGAGAGATCCTTGAAAAATGGAAAACGTACCCTAAGAACTAATAAAAACCCAGTCAATTGCTGTTAGATATCTCCAAATACGATGCAGGGAGGGGCAAGGAGAATTACAGGGTTGCAGCATGCACTCCTCTCAAAATAAAAGTCAGAGAGAAAGAGATCAAGAGGGTGATTACAGGCAAGAGGACTTGGAAATACAGAGGGGGATTTGAAATTTTTCCTGGGACATGGTTTGGAATGTAGTTCATAGTCCTATTATATAAAGGTTAACTCTACCGATCCGGACAGCAGGAAGACAAAAAATGAGAAAAAAAAATGCTCTAATCTTAGAATCAACAGTGCACATTGAAATAGCTTACAAATTAAAATTTTGCAAGGAAGGAAGGAAGAAAATATGAAAGCAGGCAGTTTGATCTGCTGGGGAGAATGACATCTTCCTTATTTACTGCTATGTCTCTAAGGTCTAGCACAATGCATGGCACATTATAGGTGCCCAGTAAATATTAGTCAAAGAAGGGAAGAAAGGAAGGGACAAGTAGCCAAGCAGCGCATGAAATCATATAATAAAGAATTCTATCCCATTAGTATGGAAGAATACTGGGAACTAGAGATGACTTTTCATGTAAGAAGTAGTAATTATGTGCTAGGCTAAATTAGTCCTCATATAGGAGACCTTGAAAGAAACTCTTTCTGTGGTAGAAGATGGTGCCCATGAGTCATGATCGGGGGCTGAAGCCTTCTGCCTCTGAAGAGAAAACCTCTGGGTGGCATCCTGGCCCAACTGACCATCGGAGAAGAGGGGAGATTCTCAAAAGCACCTCTGGGTGAATTTGTGAGTTTCCACATATAACAACCTTTATTCTGACTGGAGATAATAAAACTCCGAGACTATCAGTGTTCTCCAGAGAGTGGCTGTGACGGAGCTGTTATAGCTCACCAAACACCCATGTGAGCCCCACATTTCCCGGCCTCCTTTGCAGCTAGGTTGGGGCCATGTGACTGGAGAATTATCCAGGAAAGGATGTAACCTGGGCCAATGTCTGGCACTTAAAAATAAACCATTCCACCCTCTAATGTGTTTTGTCTTTGCCACAGCCCCCATTCCACCGTCTAATGTGTTTTGTCTTTGCCACAGCACCCGCAAAGGGTATGTGTTCCAGATGCGAAACTAAAAAGCGCTCAAATCTTGAGTCAATCTTGAGCCATGCAAGAGACTCGCTAACCCCCAATCAGCTGTGACATGAGTGAGGAATACACCTTTTTGTTGTTACACCATTGTATTTTCAGGGTTTATTTGTCACATCAGCATAGGCCAGTTTTGCCCTGACATATCTAATCATCCCACTCTTGCTATAACAATTAAAATAGTTGCAGATGCAAGTGATAGAAAGCCCAACTCAAACTGGCTTAAAAAAAAAGAAAAGAATCCAAGCAGACCTGGATCCAGAGTTTAAACAATGTCAGTTGGAATCACATTCTCTTCATCTCTTGGCTCTGCTTTGTGTTGGCTGCACTTTTAGGGTGCGCTGGGGACCTTCAGAAGCCTAGGCTCTGCCCAGGTAGTGACAAAATAGCTGTAGTACCCCCAGATCCTATCTTCCCATGAGAAAATCCAGAGGGGTTAAGAGTCTATTTTCTGTTTGCACCCACAAAGACCCCAGGATTTATTATGATTGGGCCAGCTCAGCTCACCCTGAACTCGAGCCCATCTTTGTGGCTAAAGGAAAACAGTGCCATGGTCAGCTTAGGCCTGGATCGTATGCTCTGTCCCTAGAGCTGAGGGAGAATCCTTATCCAGGATACACGGACTGAGACCGGGAAAGGAGAGAGTCTTCAGAAGGAAACGTGCCTGTTGCTGGAAGGAAAACAAAGGTGAGCTGGGGAGGTAAAGATGTTTTCTCTAATGACATACAATGGGAGCAGTCACTACTGTTGTATTCAGTTAGTGCCCAGAAGTGTCATTTATCTCTCTAAATTTGAGGAGTGAGGAGTTCCAATGATTAAATAATGTTCTTATTTCTAAGGTGCAATATGATTTACAACAGTGATATTAATTTATACTTCAACTCTCTTGTTTATCCAAACACATCAGTTAATCCTCACAATCCGGGAAACTAATAAACCCTATTCATTTATTTTGAGACAGCAAAGATGAGTTGAAAAACCCAGGCTGTGATGCAGAGAGAGTTTTCTTCATCTTAGTTCAATGTTTACCCATCTCCATCTTTGTGGCACTTTATCTACCCTCTTAGAATCACAGCTTCTTCTCTTTTGAAAGGGATAAAGATGCTTATTTTGCAAGGTTGCTATGAGAATTAAAGAATAATGTATGAAAAGAGCCCAACACAGTGACCAATACAGACAGAGGAGGCATTCAGTAAGAATTCTTCATTTTTTAGTATTATAATGATTCTATTTAGGTGGTGTCTGGTACATCATAAACTCTCAATAAATAATTGGCTATTATTATTGCAAGTAATATGAATGCTTGAAGAAGAGATAAAATAACTAGTGAATGAAAAGAAGAACATAGAAGGAAGACAGTCAAAGAAGGAGGAAAAGAAGGGAGTGGATTTCATTCATTTAATATATGTTATTGAAGGATTATTGTGTGCCAGTCATCATGAAGGGTACACATTGATAAAACAGATTTATCCCCTTTTCTTCTGAAGTTTACAACCTAGTGAGAAAGAGAGGTGATAAGCAATTATATGTAAAAATAAAAGTACATGTATCATGATAAATATCAAGGAAACTAAAGGAATGCAGTATTAGGTAACAACTAGTATAACTAAAAATAGGATAGTCAAGAAAATCTCTCTAAAGAGGTGACAATTAAGTCAATATTTAAAGGTTAAATTGTAGCAGTGATTATTACTAATACTAATATTATTATTTACTAAATCCAGGATAAAATTACAAGGACATCATTAAAACATATTTATAAAATTCAACTACAATAATAATTATTTTGCATAAAAATTAAACTCAGTAAAATGTATGCATTTGATATGTATTTACTGAGTACTCAACCAACTGTTGGCTTTGCATCTTTCAAAGAACATGAAAAATGTTTGATCCAACCAGGATGAAACAATTCTTACAAATGTCCACAGAAGGAGTATATATGCAAACAGTGCAAATCTCTTTTTATTTCTATCACACACCTTCTAATTTACTTCAGTCAAACTTCTTTGTCAACATTAAAATCATTACTGCCTATCAATAAATGATCATAGAATGGTGTCTTTATTTATTTTGTGTATTTTCTAATTCCCAACACTAGAATATAAGCTCTCAAAGGGCAATGCCATTTTCTGCATGTTTCCCCACTGTATCCTCAATGCTTAGAAGAGCACTTGACACATGCTAGGCACTCAATACATTGCTGTCGAATGAATGAATTAATGCAAGGCTAAATGTGTTTGCATTTCACCAAGTATATTTGCATTACAGACTTGTAATTTCACACTGGGTTTAGTCAATGTTTTTTAACACACTGACACTTATAATCAAGACTCAGGGTTTTGCTTACGCTAACAAATGCTGATTCTCCCTAATATAGAGCACTGCTTTTCCCAGCTCTGAATATTAGCTTCTCATTCAATCTTTATGACATATATTTCTGAATAAAGAAATGAAGTCCCATGTGTAGTAGTGTGTATTGTAAAATTGATCACTATCCTTTTATTTCATTAGGGGCTGGATACAGGATAAGAAGCCTTCTGGGAGATAAAGAAGCATGACAAGACCATGCAAATAATTATGAATGGAACCATACACTAACAAAGTGAATGGGTCTCCACATCGTTAAAGCCCCTGAAAGGGTCAAAAAAATGAGGAGGTCAAAAGTAGACAGCATCGTCAATACACTTGGCCAAGGGGTTTTTGCAATGGAAAATACCTTTGAAGGACTAATAGTTGAATTGGCATGTTTAAGTCATTTTGGCAACCAGAACTGCAACCCTGTCTCCTGAATAAGATACTGCTGCTCTCGCAGAACAAAAGAACCGTTAACAACACCAACTAACCCGTGTAATTCTCATTTATACATTTTTATTACCTTCCATATACTCTATGTGATACATTACCCATTCCATTAATTGTTAACATACACGCAAGTCAAGATCTTTTATTATGCGAGGTCATCAGTCAGTGATAACAGAGATATTGATGAATTAGTCTCCTCATCAGAAGTTGAGCAACATTTCCATTCAAGATGATACATGGACCTTTAAAACATACTCAATAATATTGAGTCTCAGTCTTCTGTTGCTTTTTTCTGAATGTGCATTTAGACCTTTACACATCTATTTAGTCATCCATTCATTAAACATTCAGCATTAATTTTCTACTCATAGCACCAGAACCGTGTTTGTCTTATTCACCATTGTACCCTTACTGCAAGGACCTAGAACATAGTAGGATCTCAATAAATTCTTAGGATTCAAAATAAATGAATGAGGATGTGGTAGGAAGAATTCTAACATGGCCCCCATGACATTCATCTCCTGATGTTACTCTGTTAATAATGTTACCTTACATGGAAAAGGGGTCTTGAAGATGTAACTAAGGCTAATAATTAGTCAACCTTAAGACAGGGAGATTATGTGGATTAATTTTGTGTATTAATCAATTTTACATAAAAATTTTAAAGTCAGAGAGATAAGCATGTAAACATCTCTAGATAAGAGCCCAGCTCAGCTGATGTCTTGATTTCAATCTTGTGAGACCTTAAGTGCAGAACCCAGTCGAGCCCACCTGGACTTCTGACTTACAGAGCAGTGATATAGCAAGTGTGTGTTCTTTTGCTAATAAATTTGTGACAATTTGTTACCCAGCAAGCCTAGGTAGCTAATACAGGGGGATTTGGGGAGGATGGTAGTAACGGTGACAGTGTAATATTTTAATCTTGCCTTACATTAAAAACAAACATAGCAACTAAATAGAAAAAAACAAAACTCATGGACAACATCGAATTAAAAAAAAGGCAGGTAACAAAGCATATCTACAAACCTCATATTTCAAGCCGGAGGGTAGGGATGAGAGCCCCAAGTCCCCACGGGTCAAACTCTGCCCAGAGGAAGCAGAGGTTAGAAATGGAGTGCCCAGATTTGAGAATAGGAGAAACCTTAAATAGCCAATAGGAACTTACTGGGAAACAGTGGACCAGCTGAGGTGGCAGGCAAAGATGGGGCTGCCATGACCACTCTAAAAGCTGGTGAGTGTAAGAGGCCAGTGTGAGTCCTGAAAGGGGCAGGAGCTGTCCAGGCCACAGGAGCCCTCAGTGACAACAGCCAAAGCCCCCTGCCAGGACCAGGCTCCATACTGAGAAGAAGCTCCTGGAAAGAGAATCCAAATTAAAGGTAGTAAATAAAAGTATAGAGTCGGGGGAGTTTGGAATAACAGCCAGAGAAATCTTAGAAATTAAGCCACCATTTGTGAATACTATATGAAAACAGATGAGGAAGCTCTATGTGATTAGAAAAAGAGATATACCTAATGTAAATGATGAGTTAATGGGTGCAGCACACTGACATGGCCCATGTATACATATGTAACAAACCTGCACGTTGTGCACATGCACCCTAGAACTTAAAGTATAATAAAAAAAAATTGCCCTGAACCACATTTCCTTTAAAAGTTCAGGACAACTAATTTCACATAGAAATGACAACAGAAAAGTATTGAGGTCAGATCCCTCGCAACATTACAAGACAAAAAAGAGAAGTAAAAACCAATAACATGCTTATAGAGATGAAAGCACGCCAGAAAGCTATGCCCACAAACAGATCAAAACTGTAGCATACTACATTATACAATAAAATTATACAAGATCTGAAAACACAACACAAATCAGAATTCGATTGCTTAGAAATGAGGTGAAAGAACATAAGAAATATTTAGAAATAAAAAAATCATTTAAAAAATGAAATCTAAGCTAGGAAAAACTACAAGATTAAAAATGTGATAAATACAAGAGAGAATTAACACAATATACAATGCCTGAACATAATGAAAATTTTTTAAATAAAAAATTTAAAAATTAAAAAGAAGCAAGAAAATAAAAAATTCAAGAGAAAGTGGAAATATTGAAGACAGGCAGAGAAGATTCAAAAATAGATGGTAAAATAAAAAACAATGCAAGGGAACAGAACAAATACTGAGATACATAATTTAAGAAACTTTCCTGAAATTGAAAAAATATATTTGAAACTGCATATGGAAAGAGCACACCAGGTACCTGAGAATAGTAACCTGGAAAGACAGTCTCCAAGAAATAAAATCTACGGGACTTTAAAGCTAATGAAATCTATCAGACTTTAAAGCAAAAGGAATATTAAATGGACATTTAGATAAAAAGAAAATATTATTTATTTAAAAATATTGGCATCAAACTTTCTGAAAGCAACACCGTATGCCAGTAGAAAATGGAGTACCATACTTATTCAAGGGAACAAATTGTGAGTTGAGGATTTTATAACTAGCAAAACTGACTTCCAATTATACAGGGCACAAAGCACAATCAGCATGCAAGAACTCAGGGCAAAAATGAGAACACCTATAAACCTCAAATTTCAAGTGAGAGGGTGGGGACAAGAGGCACAGGTCCTGGGTGGATAAGACTGTACAAAAGATGCAAAGCAAAAATATTTGCATTGCTATAATCTGAAGGTTTGTGTCCCTCCAAACAAAATTCATATATTAATATATATACATATATATATACACACACATATATATGTGTGTGTATATATATATATATACGTGTGTGTGTGTGTGTGTGTGTGTGTAACTTTTATTTTAGGTTCAGGGGTACATGTGCAAGTTTGTTATATAGGTAAATTACATGTTGTGGGGGTTTGGTGTACAGATTTTTTCATCACCCAGTAATAGCATAGCACCTGATGAGTAGTTTTTCTATCCCCTCCCTCCTCCCACTCTCCACCTTCAAGTAGGCCCCAGTGTCCATTGTTTCCTTCTTTGTGTCCATATGTACTTAATATTTAGCTCCCTCTTATAAGTGAGAACATGCAGTATTTGGTTTTCTGTTCCTGTGTCAGTCTGCTTAGGATAATACCCTCCAGCACCATCCATGTTGCTGCAGAGGACATGATCTTGTTCTTCTTTATGGCTGCGTAGTATTCTATTTGAAATACCATCTTAAAAGAGGGAAAGGAAGGCTTCCTCCAGATCTGGGACAGAAAAATATAGAAGATGAGTTTAGAACATCTTGTCATATCAAACAGCGAAAGACCTATCAGACTTCAGGGTCATCTCAGAAAGACTCAGGAGCCATATTGAAAAGGCTCTCAGTAGCAAAAGTGGGATAACTTGAGCTTTGATTAGGCTAATAAATGCTATGGACTGAAATTCCTTACATACTTTATTATGTTATATGAGGCAAATAATAATAACAACAATAGAGAATCAATGCAGTATCTCAAAAACTGATAAAGAAAAATAATGAAGCCTTCACCTGTTTTTCCTATATGAACTTCGAGGAACTCAAATGAAAGATGAGGCAACGTATTTCTTTCTAAAAGTATTGCAAGTTATATATAAAAAAGAATTGATTCAATCAGAATGTCAACATTCTGAAAATCATAATAAATGATCACATCTAGGCATCATCCCTTGGCAACTGTGGCATCTCAGAAAGAAAGATGAACAGAAATTCTATGCCTACTACTGAGTGAACACACAGTCAAGTCTTGCCAGAGGGACTGAACCCAAGTCTGATTAAGTCTCTGGGTTCAGTTGTCAATTTGCAGGAGATAACAGCAAACAGAAGAGCTTGCTAAGCTGCACCAAGAGGATGCAACCGCAAAATCTAGACAGTGGAAACTGTAGGTTCAATGGCCTGTGCCTTCCACGAATAAACTGCAAGGAAAATAAAGGGCTAGAAGGAGAACCTGTAGATTAAATGAGATTTAAAAGACATACAAAGAAAAGGCAAGACTAAACTATAGTGTTTAGGAATGAACACTTGAATAATAAAACTATTTTAAAACTCAAGGAAATTACCACTGTGAAAGTCAACAACAGGGGGTCAGCAAACTTTTTCTGTAGTAAATATTTTTTAAGCCTTTGAGGGCCAGGCAGTCTCTGTTACAGCCACTCAACTCTGCCATTGCAGTGTGAAAGCAGTCACAGACAAGTTAAGGAATGTCTGGGTGTCGCTGTGTGCCAATAAAACTTTATTTGTAAAAACAGCTGTCAAGCCAATTCCTAGTCAAGATCATGGTTACTTTGGGGAAAGGAATTGAACTGGGGTTGGGATGGAATACACAAAGGTGTTTCTTTGCCAGCAAAGCTCTCTTTTTTGAGCTGGGTGGCTGTTTTGGATATTCAGCTTATATTGTCCATTAAGCTATATAATTCTGTCATGTGACTTTCAGTATCTGTACTTTATTTTAAAATAAAAAGGTAAATTCAAGTGATTTGTGTAGGGGCAGAATAAAGATCTGCTATTCAGTGTTCTTATGAAGGATAAAAATTGCCTTCCCTACATGTAATGCTTTTTCTTCACAGAAGCTGTGTGAGTTATATAAATGGCGGCAAATGAGAGAGCCTGGGCTGTGGAGACACCAGAAGGATTTGATTCCCAGCTTCTCTAAATTACCAGCTGCATGGCACATTTAGGTGTTGACTTGACTGGGCCAAGTTATCCAGATATTTGGTCAATCAATCTAAATGTCACTATGAAGGCATTTTCTAGAACAGATAAACATTTGAATCAGTGGGCTTTGAGTAAAGCAGATGAACTTCTATAATGTACATGGGCCTCATCCAATCTGTTGAAGGCCTTAAGAGAAATAAGACTGAGGTTCTCTGAGGAACAGGGAAATCTGCCCCCAGACGCCCTTCAGACTCCAGTCGCAACATCAGTTCTTCCCTGGGAACTCCAGCCGGCCAGCCTGCCCTGCAAAGTTTGGACTTGCCAGCCCCACAATTGCATGGCCCAATTCCCTAAAATAAATCTCTCTCCCTCTCTCCCTCCACTACACATTATATTGGTTCTGTTTCTCTGGAACTTTCTTTCTCTTTCTCTATTATATATAAATATATAGATATATAGGTAGATAGATGATAGACATATATAGAGATATATGTATATACACACATATATGGATATAGATATACTCTCAGATAGATAGATTCTCTTTTCTCTATATATGTGTGTGTGTAGATAGATAGATAGGTGGATGGATGGATAGATAGATAGATAGATAGATAGATAGATAGATAGAACATTATATTGGTTCTGTTTCTCTGGAAAACCCTTACTAATATGCTAATTGCATAACCTTGGAAGAAGTTACCTACTCTGTGCCCCCAGGGACCCTTCAGATACCCCTCAGACTCCAGTGGCAACATCAAAATTCTTCCCTGGGACTCCAGCTGGTCAGCCTGCCCTGCAAAGTTTGGACTTGCCAGTCCCACAATTACATGGCCCAATTCCTTAAAATGCATCTCTTCCTGTCTCCCTCCCCTACACATTATCATTATATTTCTTCTGTTTTTCTAGAACTTTATCTCTCCATATATGCGCACACACACAAACACACACACACACGCGCGTGCACACACACACGGATATGGATATAGATGATATATATAGATTCTCTCTCTCTCTCTCCATATATTGCACTCTATTGGTTCTGTTGCCCCAGAAAACCCTACTAACACACTAATTGTTAACCTTGGAACAAGTTACTTGCTATCTCTGTGCTCCAGGTGCTTCATTGGTAAAGTGAGGCAATAATTGTAGAAATTATGAAAAGGTAATGTCCCAATATATTGGGAATGGCTTCCTGAGTAGAAGACACAGGCTTCCCGGAGAAGGCTGCCTAGCTTTTCCCCCTTGTTCTGACATGGTAAGAGCAGCAGCTACCTTGTGGCCTTAAAGACAAGAACTTCATGCTAAGGATTGTGACTGAGCAAAAGCGAAGAAGCCAGAGTCCCTGGGTGTGATCACTAAGCCATCTCACCTGGTCATGAGAGAAAACTGCTAAATGGAGCCAGAAAATTGCTGTGGTTCAACCTAGCAAATTTCACCCTGACCTTCACCTTTAGAGTCAAGCATAAGATTATAGACAGAATAATGAGCTAAAATTCTTTACTCGGAGCAGGACATAGAAAGTGCTCAGTAACTATTGTTATTATCATTATCGACCATTATCATTGTGTGCCATCCTTCCATGCTGATCTACCACGGCACAACGTGGCTGCAACACCAACCCCAAATCATGAGATCCTCAGCCTCAGATCCAGAGGAAGAAAATCCTGTTTCTCCCTCAGGCAGCCAATAAAACTTCTCGTCTTGGCTCTCAATGGCCGTGGAACTGCTGATCTAACGGGCCAGTGAGAGTCTAGGCCTTGGTGCTGAAGGCTGGGTTCAGGTTACCCAAGTCAGCGAATAAAACTACAAGATGCCCACTTATATGTGAATTTCAGATAAATGATGAATTGTGGGGTTTTTGTTTTTTTGAGATAGGGTCTCTTTCTGTTGCATAGGCTGGAGTGCAGTGGTGTGATCACCACTCACTGCAGCTTTGACCTCCTGGGCTCAAGTGTTCCTCCCACCTCAGCCTCTCAGCCCCGTAGCTGGGCCCACAGGTGCAAACCAAGATGCCCAGCTATTTTTTTTTCTGTAGAGACAGGGTTTCACTATGTTGCCCAGGTTGGTCTCAAATTTCTGAGCTCAAGTAATCCTCCTGCTTCAGCCTCTCAAAGTGCTGAGATTACAAGCATGAGCCACCACACCCAGCTGAATTATTTCTGATGTAATATGTCCCATGCAATATTTGGGATATAGTTGTACTATAAAAGTACCCCGTCTCTATTAAAAATACAAAAAAAATTATCCAGGCGTGGTAGTGCGCACCTGTAATCCCAGCTACTCAGGAGACTGAGGCAGGGGAATTGCTTGAACCAGGGAGGTGGAGTTCCAGTGAGCCTAGATCATGCCACTGCACTCCAGCCTGGGTGACAGAGCGAGACTCTGTCAAAAAAAAAAAAAGTATTGTTTATCTGATATTCAAATTTAACTGGGCATTCTATATTTTATGTGGCAACCCTATTTGGGGCCCATTAAAACCAAATTACCTTAGCTGAGAGGGTGGTGGGAGCTATGATTCATTAACCGAAATTTTGAGGCTGTCTTATCAAAATCAGGTGAATGAAATGCTTGGAGCAGGGAAAATACACACACACACACACACACACACACACACACACACACACGTACATAGACCTCTTCTCCAAACATCTCATTTTCCAAAACAAAACAATTCATAGACACTGCAAACTGAATATCTATGACAAATAGACATGAAGAGATGGTAGAGATCTAAAAAATGCAAAATTTAAAGTATGAAAAAACACCTACTTGTACATAAGGTAATTGTAATCCAAACTCACTGATGTTTATGACAGACAAAAAATTTCTATTTTTTTTCCCTCCAGTCATTCAATTGCTGGATGAAACCCCCAATAAGACATAAAGGAAATCACAGCAGAGTATAAAGACTCAGAAAGAATATAATTATATGATAGGTGTGTGTGTGTGCTGTAAGCTTGCACATATCTATCTCTTTCTTGAAAAAAGATTGCCTAAAGAAAATCTCTGATTTCATTGAAAACAATAATTATGTCAGTTATACCAAGAAAAGGATTATAATACTCAGAATTTGGAAGACTTGGTAGCTCACAGTCTAGTATTCTGCATATTTGTTGCAAACTAGAACATGCTGAAATGATACATGCTACTATGTGTCTCTGTGTGTATACAGATATACATATACACATATATGCATTTTTTTTTCATTTCTCCCTGGTCTTAGCCTGTGATCTACTTAGATATGGTAAAAAATCCACTGTGGAGGCATGATAGGAATTAACAACATTATGTGAATTTCGGTGGTCTTAAATTAGACAGCTCTTAGAATGCCAGGATCCAAGTCCTTTGATTTTATAGAACTGACAACTTCTTCACAGCACTTTCGTCAGGCAGACTCTACAACAATTAAATAAGAACAAAAGGCTTCTAGTACTGACATTACTGCAAATATATATATATATATATATATGTAGAGATATATATATATGTAGATATATATATATATATGATGAACAGTTAATTTTCTCCCTTTACAAATTCCACTAATAGTCTGAGCTGTAGCCTCAATTCTCTCATCCTTTGTACAAATTCAAACCTTGTGATAATGGAGGAGTTGGATTTATCTCTTTTTTTTTAAGTGATTTTCCCAAATGGACAAAGGAGTTTGACATATGAAAACAGAAGATTGTTTCGTTTTCAACAGAAACTAATAAGAAATCTGTTTTTTAAAGTCAACAGCATTGAATAAGAAACACTGCATTTATTCATTCATTTTTTCTTTTCTTTTTTTTTTTTTAATTTTTTGAGACGGAGTCTTGCTCTGTCACCCAGGCTGGAGTGCAGTAGCGCAACCTCGGCTGACAATAACCTCCACCTCCCAGGTTCAAGAGATTCTCCTACCTCAGCCTCCAGAGTAGCTGGGATTACAGGTGGGCACCACCATGCCTGGCTAACTTTTGTATTTTTAGTATAGATGAGGTTTCACCATGTTGGCCAGGCTGGTCTCGAATTCCTGACTTCAGGTGATCCGCCCACCTCGGCCTCCCAAAGTGCTGGGATAACAGGTGTGAGCCACTGCACCCGGCCTCATTCAGTTTTTCATTCATTCATCCAGGCACTAAAAATACACAGCAGGGAATGAGGCACATTGTCTACCCTCCTGGGAAGAGACTGTTTCACTCTGGAGCAACGGGATTGCTTTGTTGCAAGAGCCCACGAAGTGCTTCATGCGTTTGCGTCTCTTGTCCACTGGGAGAATGCAAAGAAGAATAAGAATCATTGGGATGAGCTGGAGATATTTTATACACCTGTTGTCCAAAGGGTGGTAAATGTATCCCTCTAGGAGACAACACTATTTTAGGTGGTATACAGATGTATACTTTCAAATTTTTATTATTTATTTATTTGTATCAATGCAGACCTTATATGTGGATTTTTCATTACTAATTACTATTTTCTTTTAACATGGATTCTTAAGTTGTTTAAAATAGAGTCTGTGAAAAATAATTAGTCAAAAAATAATATAGGTGGTTCATGGACCAGCAATATTTACTGGAAGTGACTCAAGTGGCAAACACTATTTTATGTCCTTTCAGGTACCCCAAGAAGACTCTTGCCTACCTGAATTCCTCCTGGCTTGTTGCTTTGGGGCTGAGATTTCTTTCATCACAGAATTCTTTGGCAGATGTTGCAGAATAAGATATAAGAGCAAATAGCCTTGGGGAAAAAAGTACATTGGTTCACGGTAATACAAAAGCGTAAGTCAACGACATGGGTCTTTCTGACATTTTGTTAGGGGACACCCATAGAGATGGGAAAAGTGTCTGTGAAGGGGTCAAAGGGTGAGGAGAGGTGGGGTGGGGGAAGGCTGTATAAAGCTTCATGGATTTGGGTGCATCGAGCCAGATATGTATCAGCACTGATTGCCAGGGTCCTCAAATCACATAGTGATGTTTAGAGCAGCAAAAAGAAACAAGGACATTCTCGGTTCTCTGTGGAGGACAAAGTGCTTAATGCATTTCATTCAGTCTTCCAAAGAAATAAAACCATGGGGTGGTATTGTCCCAATCCACATTGTACATTTGAGGACATAAATGCTCAGAGGTGTGAAGTAACTTGCCCAAAGCTATTATTCGGCCAAGCCAAACTGGGACCCAAATCTAAGTCCTCTAGTTACTCGTCCATTCTGTCCTCTTTTCTATTTATGTTCCGTTTTCCAGAAATACAGCAAGGAAAAGTATGAAAATAGAAACAGAATGTACCTCCTTCTAATTCCTTTCCTAGTGATCACTGCTGTTACCCTTTTAGTGTTATTTTTGTCAGGAGTTTTACCAGGCTAGCAAAATAAAGCTTGACAGACAAGTGGACAACCCAATTTCAGGACATCTTCTTTGTGTTTTCTTTTTCCTTTTTTCTTTTTAAACATAACTACATTTATATTCAGGATATCTTTCTACGCTCATACTTCAGTTGCACCTCATTTGGAGGTTGTAGCAACAGAATATTTCACTCTATGGGTGTGCCATTACACACAGAGCCAGTCCCATTGAAGGACATTTAGGCGTTTTCAGATTTTTTTCCATCCAAGCAATAATGCAATGACCTTCCTCATACATATCTCTCTCCACATTTACATAAGGGTTTAGGTAGAATTCATTTCAGTCCATGGATTTGCTAGATTGGAGTATACGAACACTTTTAATTTTTAGTTTTGATGCATATTGGCAAATTACAATAAAACCAGCATGAATTGCATGAACCAGCAACAACTCAAAAAGATATTTTTAAATGAAACAAAATACAGCAAATCAAATGCAAACAGGAAAAAATAATAGCAAGTAGCACTTATCCAACACTCCATAGTTTGCAAAATACTTCCAATACTTTCCAATGAATCTTTTCACTTGATCTTATTGTTGAAGGAATTCTTCCTGAACCCCAGCTCCCCAAGTGAGGTACGAGGCCACAGTGTTGAAATTTCTGTTGAATATCAGTCCTCTATCCCCTGCCCTGCCTATGGCAAAACTCTTATGTTTAACGACATGGTTATTTGTATCCTTCGGGGAAAATTATGAGGCCTCACATATACAGAAGAGCAGGCAGCTCTGACTGGCAACATTGTGTGTGTGTGTGTGTGTGTTTGTGTGTGTGGGTGTGTGGGTGTACGTGCACATGCGTGTTCCATATTCAGCACTTTAAAGGATCATGTATTTGAACTCCAATTGCTTTACCAAAAGCCAAGTTGTATTACAAAAATATGACAAAATTTGTATTATCGGCATCAATTACTCGGGAATGATAAATCATCAAACTGAAGCAATGTAGATAATTAGGCTGTTTATATTTGTGTGTATGGTGGTTTTTGTTTTTATTTATTCTTCTCCTTTTTTTCTATCCCCACTCTTCCCCCAGTCAGTCCATCCCTACCTTCTTTAAAGGAATTGGATACATACGATTTAATTTAGGGGCTACTGGATCTCTTTGCTATTCTAGAACAGTCCACAGATCAGCAGCATTGACATCCACCTGGAAGCTTGTTAGAAATGCGGAACCCCAGGCCCCATCCCCAGACCCACTAAATCAGAATCTGCATTTTAACAGGATCCCAGGTGATTCATGTGCGCATTAAAGTTTGAGAAGCCCTGCTGAAAACCTTTCCTCCATTCACCCAAGATAGAAAATTGATTTTTAAAATATAATAATAACAAAATAAAGAACCAAACCCCAGCTAGGACCTGTGCTAACCTGCGTTGACAAAGGCAGCGAAAAACGAAGGAAGGGAAAGAGAGAAGAACAAAAGGGCTAATTATTTCCTCATCGGAACACGTAGACCTTATTTCAAAGAACGCTGTGAAAATATTCTTTTCCTATTCCTGTTTTAAGCGCCCATGTTTTATATTTCTTAGGAAAAGGGGCTAAAAGCTAGAGCACCATATATTTTGTATAGGTAGGGTTTTAATACGCTTCAGAAACCCCAGTGCCTAATGAAAGCCTTTTAAGTAAATCTCACGAAGCTCTAATCTCGAAGAGCTTCCCATGTTCTTCTCTGCTGTTCTTAATTTTTAATAAGAACAATTCCACGCAGCTCGAAAGCACGGCTCAATTAAGAAATATTCCTACCAGGCATCTTTGAAATCTTACAGCATTCTCTTCCTTCTGTTTCCTGATGACCCTCAATTTGGTTGTGTCGAGAGGTTTGTGGAGAGGAGGGGAAAAACGAAGCTTATTTTTTAATTGCAAGTTCAATTTCACACTCTTCTTTATGAGATGGCAAGACCAGTTTTCAAAGATAGAAAGGGAACTCATGTAACTGCTGCCAGAAGGCTACAGTGGAATATCTTAGTATCCTATTTTGAAATTTCAAGTGGCATCTTTGATCTGATTCCTTAGGCATTAGATATCCTTGAAGTTATAGTGAGGTCATGAGAAATAATTTTGAAAGAAACAATTGTGTCTAAATCATAGAACCCCAACCACAAGTATTTTAAAGTAATCTAAACTTAACTCCCTAATAATGTTGTATGGTTTATAACAGGAGAATTATTAGTTCTTCCTAGTAAAATTTACTTTGCATTAATGTGTCCTTTCTAAAGAACAGTTTCTAGAGATTTAAATCTAGCCACAAATTTTCACTAGCTACTCCTATTTTTCAGCTGAGAATTCATGTTGACACCTATATCTGCATATCTAATATATCAAAACACATACACGCTTGCATATGTATGTGTGTATATGACAACCACCACCAATGGTGTTGCCCATGTTGGTTAATTTCGAAAGCAGAAAAATATAATTGCAAATGTACAAAATTATGCATTCTTGTGTGTGTGTGTGTGTTTTTTGTTTTTTTTTTTTTGAGACAGAGTCTCGCTCTGTCACCCAGGCTGGAGTGCAATGGCACGATCTCGGCTCACTGCAACCTCTGCCTCCCGGGTTCACGCCATTCTCCTGCTTCAGCCTCCTGAGTAGCTGGGACTACAGCTGCCCGCCACCACGCCCAGCTAATTTTTTTGTATTTTTTAGTAGAGACGGGGTTTCACCGTGTTAGCCAGGATGATCTCGATCTGACCTCGTGATCCACCCACCTCGGCCTCCCAAAGTGCTGGAATTACAGGTGTTAGCCACCGCACTCAGCTGCATTCATTATTTTTATTTGCAACCCACTCACTGCCTAAAATGTGAGGTAGTTCACTAAATTAAGCATAATACAAATGAGACAATTATATATAGAATCATGACAGAGAGAGAAAGAACAGCAAATAAGACATTATTATACATCAGAGCTACAGCAACACTGACCATTGAATGTAACTTTGCCTTTCCTAGTTGTCGAGACAAAAAGGAAAACCTATTGAACTACGTCTCTCCCTGTATCATAGGAGAAAATGTACAAATACACCAAAAGTAAAACTTTCATGGCCACGAAGAGATTTTCGCCTGAAGATCATATGGATCTAAGGATCAAGTTTATTTAATGCACAAAAAAGCTTTTCCATCTGAAAGGGAGATTCACAAATTCTAAAGGTGGGGCTCATATTTTGCTCAAGAAGGACACTGGATTTGTTCAAACGCTTGGATGAACAAGGAGTGTCCCAAGTTCTCAGTCTCCAGATCATGTAACCTGCAAGGGATGAATTAGAAACAAGTTTTTCCAAATCATAAAATTATTTTCTGCATGCGATGAGAATAATTTTCATGGAATGAGATCTAAGGGATCCCATTTTAGGGATCTCAAGAAACCTAACAGCCAATGTCTTCAAATATGGCTGTACAAAAGACAAAATACAGCAATATTGGTTTCTATTTGAACAATCTTGATGATAATAACTTAGAAAGGGGATTTCAACAGGTAGATGAGATAATGCTGCCCAAAGTAACAGAGTTCACTATAAGGATGGAAGTCAGAGATCTTGTTGGCTCAAAACGTTCAATGTCCCTCCCAACCATCAGACATCCCTAGCAAATTCATCAAGGTTATATCTCAGATTAGCCCAACTGCTAATATTCCATTTGACTTCTCTGGAGATTCAGTATCTTTAGAAACCAAATGTCTTAAACTAAAAATTAACATCCTACCATACAAATTTAGGAGCTTGCAAGTTTATTTAACTCAGTCATAAAGGATGTTTTTTAAAATAAATTTATTAGGATATAATGTACGCAACATAAAAATTTATTCATTTCAATGATATTTAGTAAATTTAAGAAGTTGTGCAACTATCACAATAATCCATTATAGAATATTTCATCACTCCAAAAAGATCATGCAGTTAATTTTTTCACCCTCAAATCTAGGCACTAATCTATTTTCTGTTTTTATGAATTTGGTTTTTTGCCATTTTATATAAATGGAATTATACAGAACGTGGTCTTTTGTGTCTGGCTCCTTTCACTTAGCATGATGTTTTGGATATTTATTCATGTTGGAGTATGTATCAGGACTTCAGTCCTTTTTATTGATAAATACTTTTCCATTGTGTGGGTATATCACATTTTATCTATCCATGCATCATTTCATAGACATTTGGGTTATTTCTAATTTTAGCCACAAAAACAGCTTTCCCATCTGAAGGGGAGATTCACAGATTCTAAAGGTGGGGCTCATATTTTGCTCAAAAAGGACACTGGATTTGTTCAAATGCTTGGATGAACAAGGAGCATCCCAAGTTCTCAGTCTCCAGATGATGTAACCTGCAAGGGATGAATTAGAAACAAGTTTTGAGAAATCATAAAACAGGTTTGTGCATGCCCCTGCTTTTTATCCTTCCTCCCCTTAGTGATTTTTTTTTTTTTTTTTTTTTTTTTGAGACAGCATCTCGCTCTGTTGCCAGGCTAGAGTGCAGTGGCACAATCTCGGCTCACTGCAACCTCTGCCTCCCTGGTTCAAGCGATTCTCCTGCCTCAGCCTCCCTAGTAGCTGGGCCTACACATGCGTGCCACAGCACTTAGCTAATTTTTTGTATTTTTAGTAGAGATGGGGTTTCATCATGTTGGCCAGGATGGTCTCGATCTCTTGACCTCATGATCTGCCTGCCTTAGCCTCCCAAAGTGCTGGGATTACAGGCGTGAGCCACTGTACCCGGCTGTGAATTTTTAATAATTACAAATCTAACACTTCTTGAAGGCTTATAATATTTGAGGCTTACAGCAAGTTTACACTATTATCCAATTTAATTTTCACACTAACCCTATGAAGTATTATTTTAATAAATAAGGTATCAAGCCTTTTGGCAATTAATTATTCAAGATCATCCATCTAGGAATAGGTAATAGGGGAACTCAAAAGCTCATTATCTCACCTATAATCGTAGCACTTTCGGAGACTGAGGCAGGAGGACTGCTTGAGGTCAGGAGTTCAAGACTAGCCTGGGCAACATAGTGAGACCCCCATCTCCACATAAAATTTTAAAAATTAAAAAAAAATTAGCCAGGTGTGGTGGTGCATGCCAGTGGTCACAGCTACTCAAGAGGCTGAGGCAGGAGGGTGGCTTGAGCCCAGGTGTTTGAGGCTGCAGTGAGATATGATCCCACCACCGCACTCCCACCTGGGTGACAGAGGGCCTGTCTCAAACAAACAAAAACTTCATAATCTTACCCCAGAACCTTAATAGCCACTGTCTCATACTGCCTCTTGACATCGTAATGCAGATCTCAGCTTCTCAGGAAAGTCCCTTCCTGATCTCTTGAGTAGCTTAGAGACTCCCAGTAAGTGTTGTTTAGACCTTTGTGCTTCTTCATGACACTCACTGCACTGGTAATTTCATATCCACATTTCCTTTCAGCCTGTCAGTTTTACAAGGACAGAGAACCGAACTTAGCTCCGTTTTCTTCTTGTTATACCCTACTCCCTGTCCCATCTTGGACTTATCTTAAGCCTTCAACAAACATGCATTAAATACATGGGTAACTTTTTAAAACTTTTATTTTAGGTTCATGGGTACACGTGCAGGTTTGTTATATAGGTAAATTTGTGTCATGGTGGTTTGTTGTGAAGATTCTTTTGTCATCCAGGTACTAAACCTAGTACCCAATCGTTACTTTTTCTGCTCTTCTCTCTCCTCCCATCCTCCATCCTCAAGTAAGCCCCAGTGTGAGTTGTTCCCCTCTTTGTGTCCGTGCATTCTCATCATTTAACTCCCACTTACAAATGAGGATATGCAATATTTGGTTTTCTGTTTCTGCATTAGTTTGCTAAGGATAATGGCCTCCAGCTCCATCCATGTTCCTGCAAAGGATGTGATTGCATTCTTTTTATGGCTGTATCGTATTCCACGGTGTGTGTGTACCACATTTTCTTTATCCAGTCTATCACTGATGGGCATTTAGGTTGATTCCATGTCTTTGCTATTGTGAATAGAACTATAATGAACATATGTGTGCATGTGTCTTTATAGTAGGAGGATTTATATTCCTTTGGGTATATATCCAGTAATGAGATGGCTCAGCCCAATGGTAGTTCTGTTTTTAGCTCTTTAAGGAATAGCCACACTGCTTTCCACAGTAGTTGAACTAATTTGCACTCCCACCAACAGTGCATAAGCATTCCCTTTTCTCCACAGTCTTGCCAGCATCTGATATTTTTTGACTTTTTAATCATAGCCACTCTGACTGTCATTGTGGTTTTGACTTGCATTTCTCCAATGATCACTGATATTGAGCTTTTTTTCATATGCTTGTTGGCCACATGTATGTCTTCTTCATATGAGTAATTTTGAAAATTAAGACAACTTCCTAGAGTTTATGCCAGGATAAGTTTGTTAGCTGCCAAGCACTTCCAAAAAGTGGCACAATATTTCCACTTTTGTTAGAACATTTAGTGTTGGCATTTAAATATTGGAGCACAGTTGCCAAATACAAAAAATTTAATTTCAGCTTATCTGATGATAAGCAGAGCCTTTGGAAATGAACTAACCAATGGGGTTGTTTTCTTCAGTGGGTTTGAGACAGTAAATTCATGTCATAAACCCAAGAGAAGATGCTGTCCTTTCTGGTTATTAGTTATGAATGTTTTTGTCTGCATGTCACAGAAACCTGTGTAATAGTGGCCATTTTTTTATAGGCTGAAAACCTTGGCATCCGGTAGTCCAGGCCAGTGCAGTGGCTGACAAGGTCATCAGAGGCCCAGATTCCTTCTAGCCTTTGCCTCTTCCATCAGCATGTTGGGTACCATGATGGTAAATGGCTCCTGTAACAACTTATAATGACTGAGACCAAAGTAGGATGAAACCAGAGGAGGATGGAATAGTCATGACAGCAAAAATTTTCCAAGGGTCATTGTATCTATCATTCATTCATTTAACACATACTTATTGAGAAACTACTATGTGCCAAGCACTAATCTAAGCTCCAGGGATAGGGCAGGGAAAAAAGCAACATCTCTCTGCTCTTCTGGAGGTTATGTTCTAGGCAGCCCTCAAGCAGCTCCCATACTCTGAGTGTTTATTAAGGTCTAGGCCAGGATTTCCCACTTTGTATTATTGACACTCGGGACCAGATTGTTCTTGGTTGTAGGGTCTGTCCTGTACATTGTAGAATGCTTAGCACCATCCCTGGCCTCCACTCACTAGGTGCCAGAAGCACCTGCTCCACTCCCACCCTAGCTGTGACAACCACAAGTGTCTCCAGACATTGCCAAATGTCTCCTGGGAGGCAGACTTGTCTCAGTTGAGAAGCACTGGTCAAGCATTTTTCTAAGTGTGTCACATGCGTTAGCTCATCTAACCTTTGCAACAACTCTGTGAGGTAAGTATTATTAACCCCATTTCAGAGATTTAAGAAAAGGAAAAAACAAAACAAAACAAAACAAAACCTTAGCTATTGAGACACTAAATAAATTCTCCAAGGTTGCAAAGCTGGAAGCAAAGCCCACTTCTTCTCCAGTCCACCTGCTGCATAGCCTCTTACTGGGCAGGGGAACATCATGGCCACACTTAGCTGCCTGGAATTCAGGGTTGGTGACAGCATGACTGGCTGATCCTAATCCCAATCCATGCCTTCATATGTCAAATACATAAAATGCATGTTTCTGGCTTAGAAGAGTGCCTAAAACATAGGAAAAAATACTCAAGTGATAGCTACTATGGTCATTTTATTTTATTTTATTATCATCATATTTTTTTTTTTTTGAGATGGAGTTTTGATCTTGTTGCCCAGGCTGGAGTGCCAAAGAGTGATCTTGGCTCACCACAACCTCTGCCTCCCAGGTTCAAGCAATTCTCCTGCCTTAGCCTCCTGAGTAGCTGGGATTACAGGTATGCACCACCACGCTCAGCTAATTTTGTATTTTTAGTAGAGACAGGGTTTCTCCATGTTGGTCAGACTGGTCTCAAACTCCTGACCTCAGGTGATCCACCCACCTCGGCCTCCCAAAGTGCTGGGATTACAGGCGTGAGCCACCGCACCCAGCCTACTATAGTCTTTATTATTACCTGGATCTGAGCACATTGCCACCCAAAACAAAAATGAGGTTTATTTGCAAGAGAGAAGCTTGGGCTGGATGTCATGACAAAAATGACAAATAATAGTACATTATATAATAGCATATAACAGTGTCAGCAACATCCTGTTTCCTAATGCTGGGGGATCAATTTCGCATAATAGCTCTACTAAGATATTGAAATATAAGTAAAATAGGAAGGAAAGTAAGACACAGTCCTCTCTTATATCATTTGAAACTGAAATTCATCCATCATAAGAACTTAACTGCTTACTGTGAGTTTAGAAGAGATAATATGTTACAGGATTTAAGAAGCATTAAAACCCTGTGTTTTGTTCAGAGATGATTCCATTTTATTCATCTATTGTTTCTGTCCATTAAGTCAAAAATGGATGAGAGAATTATGAAGCAGAGAGGAACAAATACCATCCATAACCACTCCCGCACAAAAGGAAGGACCCATAACTGAAAACCATGCCCAAGCCAGCTTGTTATCCATAAAGACATATAAGGATTTCTTCACTCATTTAACAAATATATATACAGATATATGAAAATCAAAAAAAATTTTGAGATTGTACTCTGAGTTAGAAACAGTTCAAAATACTGAGGATACAGCAGTAAGAAAATCAGACAAAATTCCTTCTTCTTCCAGAGTTTTCATTCTAGTACTGAGAGGCAGAAAATGAACAGATAAGGACAATACAGAGACCATATTTGCACTCAGGACAGTAAGACTCCATGACACTTTCCCCTCCTTTCTTAAAGGGCTTTGTTCTATGGAAACAAAGGCTTAGATGAGATTGGTGAAGGCTCACAAAATGTTTCAGGTAAGATTCAACCAAAGAATGTTGATGAACCCTTTACTTTACAGATAAGAAAATTGAGTCCTAGAGAAAGGAAGCATCTTGGTCAGCGTCACACTGTGTATTAATCAGGAGTCTTTCTGATGCCAAAACAAACAAACAAAAATACTCATTCAAACTCAATCCCCCAAAAAGGGTAAATTTGGGTCTTATAACTGGCATGTCTGATGGGTAAATCTTGTCTCCAGGTAAGGTTTGATCCAGGACTTCAGATCCCATTGCTGGAACACAGACTCTTTTGCATCTCTTAGTACTGCTTTCCTCTCTGCTTCATGCTCATTGAGGTTCACTCGGCAAACTTACAAAATGACTGCCGGCAGTTCCAGGCTTACATGCTACTAGGCAGTAAAACCTAGTCTCCAAGAGCTCAGCTCTGCAGCCAGATCGACAAGTTCAAATCCCAGATCCACCACTTGCAAGCTGTGTGGCTTCAGGCATATCTCTAACCTCTCTGTGCCTCAGTTTCCCCATCTGTGAAATGATGACAATAAAAGTACATACAAAACAGGATTGTTGTAAGGATTAAAGAGATAATTCATGTAAAAGCATGTTCTTAAAGCAGTGCCTGGTAGAGAGTAAACACTCAGTAAGTGTTAGATATCATTATTGCCAGTTTTCCAATTCCAAGGGAAAGGGCTCGCTTTTTCCAATAACTCAGGCTGGGCAAGAAAGGTAATCCATCCTGCCTGGGTAATGTGCTCATTCCTCAGCCAATCACTGGAGCTGGGGTGATAGAATACCCTGATCGGCCAACTTGGGCCTGGTTCCTACTGGAGCCATGGGTACAGGAAGGTGCAGTCTGGTTTGAATCCCATGAGCTGAATGTGGGGAGAGAATAAATCTTCAAAACAAAACAGGCTGATGCCAGAAGGAGAACAAATGGATGTTGGGCTGACAAAGGAGACAGCTGTCTATTCCAGAGAAGCTTTGAGGCATGTAAGGAGCTGGGGAGTGGAAAGAGAGAGGGGGAGATATGCTAAAAAACAAAGATGAAAATTACTAGTAGAGACACAGTGGGCAAAAAGGATGGAAGAGAATAGGGGAGCCACTGATCCATCACTGCATGTCAACTCAAGCAAGGACACCCTGAGAAATGAAATTGAGTCTAACTCTGTCATCCTTTTTTAGGCTAACATTTCTGGTGTGGGGACAGGGATGTTGACTTTGTTGTTAAATTGATTCTGAGATCTTGCTATTTCTTTGCCCATTTTCAGAGACCTCATATTACACCACAGATTTCTAGTGTCTCTTCTGACTAATCAAGACTTTGGGGCAAGGCATGGTGGCTCACACCTGTAATGCCAGCACTTCGGAAGTTGAGGTGGGCAGATTGCTTGAAGTCAGGAGTTCAAGACCAGCCTGGCCAACTTGGTGAAACCCCATGTCTACTAAAAATACAAAACTTAGCTGGGCGTGGTGGCGTGTACCTGTATTCCCAGCTACTCAGGAGGCTGAGGCACAAGAATTGCTTGAGCCTGGGACGCAAATGTTGCAGTAAGCCACTATCAAGCCTGGGTGACAGAGCAAGACTATGTCCCAAAAACAAAAACAAAAAAAAAAAAAACAAAAAAAGACATTGAGCACTCTGGGGACTGAATTCCCACATGGCAATGTATGAAGGTGAGTTGCTTTTTTGGACAAAGCTGCTACATTCTAGTTCCTTGACATGAAAAATGTGGCCCATGCACCAGCACAAGCATCATCTGGGAGCTTGTTAGAAAGGCAGAATCCCAAGCCCCATACCAGAACCTCTGAATGAGAATGAACAATATTCCCAGGGGATTCGAATGCATACTCAAATGCAAGACGCCCTGTGCCAGTTCATCACAGCCCCCACATGGGTCATGCCGACTTATCTCATTGAGGGTCAGGACCAGAACTAGGATATGGCAAGAGAATTATGGAGGGCATAAAATTCATGGAGGCCCTCATTCCCAGTGTCTTCCAAGTGGCTCCTTGTTAGGGTTGTGGAAATACAGAATGAAAATTTGGACAATCCTGAGAGCACACAGCTTCCTTTTTTTTTTTTTTTTTTTTGATGGAGTCTTGCTCTATCACCAGGCTGGAGTGTGCAGTGGCATGATCTCGGCTCACTGCAATCTCCACCTCCCGGGTTCAAGCAATTCTCCTGCCTCAGCCTCCTGAGTAGCTGGGACTATATTAGCACCACCACACCCAGCTAATTTTTGTATTTTTAGTAGAGACGTGGTTTCACCATGTTGGCCAGGATGGTCTCGATCTCTTGACCTCGTGATCCACCCGCCTCGGCCTCCCAAAGTGCTGGATTGCAGGTGCGAGCCACCCTGCCTGGCCGCGCACAGCTTCTTAAATGCTGTACCCTAGATGCAGCTCTTGCCTGACTCTAGTCCTGGTCCTGCTGAAGATGTTCAATTTACTGTCAATGTCCCATTTATATAGTATTAGGACTAGACAGGAGCACAGAAAAATCTAGTACAACTCCTTACTTTTGCAATTGGAAATGTAAACAAAAAAGAGAGTACAACTGGCCCAGAGTTGAGCTTCTGATTAGTAGCAGAACAAAGAAGAAAATTCAGTCTCCTATTGCTGGGGCCCAGGAAGCTTTCCCCACAAAATCACACCTGCCTCTCTTCCAACTTGACCGTAGGTCTTGGATAAGTTTATACTAAAGGGGTTGAGGTCTTGCAAGTAGATTAAGGATCATGGAAGGCAAGATTTTCTAATTCCTTTATTAACAAATCATTACAAATGATCACCTATTGATAAATAACTTGGTTGCCTAGGCAACGTGGATATACTTAAAGGAACTTGAAAGTACATTTTCTTTTACTTGATGAGAAAATCAATTTTTAAAATAATCAAAAGCAAAGATTTCTTAGATGTAACACCAAAAGCACAATCTATAAAGGAGAGAAAAGATAAATTGGACTTGATCAAAATTAAGAACGTTAGAGGAATGAAAAGACAAGTCATTGATAGGGATAAGATATTCAAAACTTAATTAGGCTGGGTGCAGGGGCTCACACCTGTAATCCCAGCACTGTGGGAGGCCGAAGCAGGTGGATTTCTTGACCCCAGGAGTTCAAAACCAGCTTGGACAACATGGTGAAATCCCATCCCTACAAAAAAAAAATTACAAAAATTAGCCAGGCATGGTGGTGTGTGTCTGTAGTCCCAGCTACTTGGGAGGCTGAGGCAGGAGAATCTCTTGAGCCTGGGAGGCAGAGATTGCAGTGAGCCAAGATCGCACCGTTGCACTACAGCCTGGACAATGGGAGTAAAACCCTGTCTCAATAAGGAGAAGGAGAGGGAGAAGGAGGAGGAGAAGGAGAAGGAGAAGGAGAAGAAAAAGGAGAAGGGGAAGGGGAAGGAGAAGGGGAAAGGGAAGGAGAAGGAGAGGAGAGGAAGAGGAAGAAGAAGAGGAAGGAAGAGGAAAAAAGAAGAAGAAGAAGAAGAAGAAGAAGAGAAGAAGAAGAAGAGAAGAAGAAGAAGGAGAAGAAGAAGAAGAGAAGAAGTAAAGAAGAGAAGAAGATGAAAAAGAAGAAGAAGGGGAGGAGGAGAAGAAGTAAAGAAGAGAAGAAGACGAAGAAGAAGAAGAAGAAGAAGAAGGGGAGGAGGAGGAGGAGGAGGAGGAGGAGGAAAAGGAGAAGAAGAAAAACAGTTACCCAAAAAGGGCAAAAGACTTGAACAGATATTTTACCACAGAAGACATATGAATGGCAAATAAGTCCATGAAAAATTGCCACATCGCTAACCATTAGGGTTTCTTAAACATAACAAAGTGTATATTTACTGCCTCAAGGACTTAGCATTAGCTGTTCCTTCTACCCGGAATGCTCTTCCCGATATACTAAAAAAGCTTGTTCTTCATATTTGTACGTCTGCATTCAAATATCACCCTCTCCACTTAATCCCTGCTTCCAGTGCCCCCTTCTCTCCTTCCCATCTTGATTTTGCTGGCTCACACTTATGACCTGACATGCTATATATCTCGCTCATTTACTTAGTTATCTGCTTGCGCCCTCCAAAATGTAAGCCCTCTTAGGGTAGGGAATTTTTAAATATTTTACTCACTGCAGTATTCCCAGCACCTGGAATAATGCTTAGCACATATTACAAGCTTAATAATATTTGCTGAATACGTGAATCCACTTAAGTCTTTGCTCTTCATGTGTTCATGGCACCTTACAGTAGCATTTTTGTGGTTATACTGCAGATATTTATCATTAGATTCAACAGTGGGAAAAAGAGCACTTTTCAAAATGCTTTTCTTTTTGAGTTATCAGTTCATATAACAGAATTGCTTGAAAACCAAAATTTAGTATGAGATAATGGATGTTATAGCACTTTATAAGCAGCAAAGCACCGCATTATTCTTAATAATCAGACTTATGAATACCCACAGGCTAATTTCCTGAGCCTGAGATAACTTAATTCTGAGAAAGTCACTTTGAACTGTCTACACCTCAGTTTCTCCACCCGTCAAATAAACAGTTGAAAAACCAATGACATCTAGCATCTTTTGGGAAGTTTAGTGTGGGGGCATAAGAATCTAGACTGTTATCAGAAAAACCTGGGCTCAAATCTTGGCTCTGCTCACACAACCCACAGGTCTTGGGCAGTAACTTAATCTCTTTAAGTCCTCAGTTTCTGCATCTGTAAAACGGGGGGGGGGGAATGTCCCTGCCTCTTTGAAATGCTTTAAGAGAAAAGTGAGATAACACCTGCAAACTCCCAAGCACATAGTACGTACTCTGAAAATGTTAATCTCTCCTTTCTTGAGTTTCTAATCCATTTGTAACTCATCATCAGTTTCATCTGATATTTTAGTTCCTTCTACCTTGTAGAGAGATTTGATGTTAGTTTTGATTCTAACATTTATAAATCTTCAAAGTGAAAGAATTAAAGCTGCTAGTCAGTAAAACTTAATTACTAAATGTTCCCAAGTAGAAGTTTCCCCCCAAAATTGAGTTCCACCCACCCATCTGGGCCTGGAGAGTCAGTAAGGGTAGCCACGTTACACATTGCTCTATTTTGAATGCCACAGTGAACAGCACAGGCTTAACTGCAATTAAATAGTCCCTGCTGACCACTGAATATACAGTACATCATGTCAGGAGAGGCAAAACTGTCAGATTAGTGGAAATTCATTTTGGGATTGCTGGGTAATTTTGAGAGCTGACAGCCAAAGAAAAATCCATGATCCCTTGTGTGTGGCAGCATAGATATAGATCACCCTTGAACAGGAGTTGTTTGGGAACTCAGAACGCAGAAGTGCTCCAGATTTGAAAGCTCACTTCTAGAGCAAAGTTGGGAAAGAAAATGTGAGTGACCAGATCATTGTTTTAAATTCTAAAAACTGGAAAGACATCTCTGTAGTATCAACCCTGGCTAGCAAGCAGGAGGTATGCTCATAAAGCTGGAATATGCTTTTGTAGTCAGTCACTTCTGAGCTAAGGATTGGGAGCTACTCACCGAGATAACAGCTGGACATTAGTTCAGGATGCTGAGAGGATCTTATGGTTTTGGACTCCTTTTGTCTGAATGGACATGTTTAAAATTGTTTTCTGGGGGTTGCTTGATCCTAGATGAGGGTCTTCAATCTCTCCACTCCAACCAGCAGCCAGTGCTTTCTATATGAACCTGCTTTCTCTATGAAAATGCTTTATAGAAAGCATTTCTATGAAAACTTCTTGATGGGAGGAAAAAAAACATTGCACTAAGTTGATCTGCTACGGAGGGCTCAAAAGCAATAACTAACATGAATTAAGCTGCTCAATGTGTACAGAAACTGTGCTTAGTGCTTTCCCTGTATTATCTCTTAGACTCTACTTGGATCTTATGAGGTTGGCATCCCTGTACCCATTACATGGATGAAGAAGCCTAGAGAGGTACAGCAATATGACTGAAGTCATACTGCTATGACAAGAAGTGACTAGGGTTTGATTCTAATCATCTCGGTCTACAGTAGCAGTTCTCAACCAGGAGATTTTGCCCCACAGAGGGCATTAGGCAATGTCTGGAGACATTTTTGGTTGTTGAAACTGCTACCAGTATCTAGTGAATAGAGGCCAGAGATGCTGCTAAACACCCTACAGTACCCTCCACAACGAGGAATTAGCCAGCCCTAAACATCAGCAGTACTGTAGCAGAGCAATGCTGCTCCAGGACTGTGATTCTGAAGTGCAGTCCCTGGACCAGGAGCATCAGCATCAGCTGGGGTCTTGTTAGAAATGCAAAATTTAGGCTGGGCACAGTGGCTCACGTCTGTAATCCCAGCGCTTTGGGAGGCTGAGGAGGGTGAATCACCTGAGGTCAGTAGTTCAAGACCAGCCTTGCCAACATGGCAAAACCCCGTCTCTACTAAAAGTACAAAAATTAGCTGGGCATGGTGGTGGACACCTGTAATCCC
The DNA here is from genome assembly GCF_000001405.40 of Homo sapiens. Classification (NCBI taxonomy): domain Eukaryota; kingdom Metazoa; phylum Chordata; class Mammalia; order Primates; family Hominidae; genus Homo; species Homo sapiens. The sequence goes on along the minus strand of NC_000020.11, from coordinate 52,687,228 downwards.
AGCTACTCGGGAGGCTGAGGCAGGAAAATGGCTTGAACCCAGGAGGCGGAGGTTGCAGTGAGCCAAGATCACACCACTAGACTCCAGCCTGGGCGACAGAGCGAGACTCAGTCTCAAAAAACAAAAAAAAGAAATGCAAAATATAGGACTTCACCCCAGACCCTCAGAGGGCATGGGGCCGGTAACCTGTGGTTTAACAATTCTCCAGGTGATCCTGATGCAGGCCAAAATTGGAGAACCACTGGTCTAGGGCCATCGGAACATGTGACTGATCTCTGCTGCCCACCCTAAATGTTCACAAATCCTCTAAGGCTGATATGGTTTGGCTGTGTCCCCACCCAAATCTCATCTTGAATTGTAGCTCCCATAATTCCCACGTGTTGTGGGAGGGACATGGTGGGAGATAATTGAATCATTGGGGAGGTTCCCCCATACTGTTCTCATGGTAGTGAATAAGTCTCATGAGATCTGATGGTTTTATAAGGGGAAACCCCTTTTGCTTGGCTTTCATTCTCTTGCCTGCTGCCATGTAAGATGTGCCTTTTGCCTTCCACCATGATTGCGAGGCCTCCCCAGCCACGTGGAACTGTGGGTCCATTAAACTTCCTTTTCATTATAATTTACCTTGTCTTGGGTATGTCTTTATCAGCAGTGTAAAAAAGGACTAATACAAAGACTAGAACAAAATTAGTATCAGGGCCTTTGGCTTGTAGAATTCTACCCCTGTCCGAATTCTAGACTATCAGACAGCTTTTATCATTTCTGAAGCTACAAAAGGATGTCATTGGCTTGTCCAGGTCCTCCCCTGGGATGTCCAGGAACCAGACAATGTGATGGTGAATTGTTCAGGAAGACTTAGAGTCCCCACCAATGTTTCTCAGAACATTGAGGTACTGTTATCTGCAATGGCACAAATGAATATATATTGACCACCCTGCCCCCCGCCTCCAGTTTATGTCAGATTCTGGGAGAGATACATGTACAGATGTCATCTCAATTACTACCATTAATAAGGATAATGATAATTACTGTTTCTGGAGGACTTTCCATGGGCTAGGCATGCCTGCTAAACATTTGACCTGCATGATCTCATTCTTCATCACTACCTTGTGAGTTGGGTTTCATTATCATGTCCATTTTAGAGATGAAGAAACTGAGGGTTATGTCTGTATGTTACAGACCTTCCATCTGATGCCGTAATGCTCTAACTGGCTGCCAAATTAAACAAGTTAACTTTGTGGGGAGTGGAAAAAGGGCACCAGGCTGGGGTTCATGAAAGTTTTGCCACTAAAGTCAATTTCTCCCCTTATAAAACAGAAGGTTTAAACTAACGCAGACCTAATTTTCTTCCACTTCTAACTGGCTATAATTATAGTGTGTAATAATGTTTCCATTTTATTTGGATCAGCACAATAAACACTATCGCTATTTGCATTGATGTTTACATTGATTTCATTACATTTCACTGATATTGCACTTTTAAGTTTTCCAAGTATTTTCCCATCCATAGTTTCATTTCAATTCCCAACTGTTCTGCGAGGTGCAAAGGGAAGATGTGTTGACTTCCTTTTATCTCTGAATACTGGAATGATCCTTGCTACATGCCTGGCAAGTGCTGAGTGCTTTATAATCCTTGTCTCTTGTGACCCTATGAGACAAGCATTATTATCCCTACTTTTCAGATGAGAAAACCAAGACTCAGGGAGAAGTCAAGGCCCAAGGGCACACACCGTAAGCGCTGAACCTGCATTCAAACTGATGACACCCAACTGACTCCCAAACCCCAAGCTCTTGGCCCCAGTATGCACAGGTCTTCTGAGAAACTGAGGTGCAGAAAGAGCTAGAACTTCCCTAATCACATTTATTGAACTGAAGCCTAGAATAATCGCCTCCTCTCCTGTGGTCCCGCTACTAGAACACAACTGGACTCGACCCTCTCCTTTTGGGGAGTGGGAGTGGGGCGGGCATAGAATCAATGCATGGTTCATCCTCACTGTGACTGAAATGAAGCTTACCTTCCCCCACTGCACTCTGCCATGGAGGGTGGGGTGGGGGCTGCTCTGCCTAGTGCCTGCTCCTTTAAACAGATGCACCAGCCTCTTGGGAGATGAAGCTCGTTGGTTCTGTCACTCGTGAGTAATGCACCATAGCTCCCTAGTGGGGAAAATGCCAGATTATACAATAGCATGCTTTGGTGTGCAACTGTCTTTAGAATAACAAATCTCCTCTTCTGCTTGTGAGCATTACGCTTTAATAAAAACAAAAATAGTGGCCACAAATCCCAGCTCTAGCTAAAGGGCATTTCTTCTAAATTCATGTTACACCCCTCACCGTACCCCACCCCCAACACACACCTTTCATCACTCACAGGGAGTGGGCTTTATTTACCTTTGTCTTTTGGTGGGAGCAGACAGAGGGAAAAGAGTTTCTCAGCCTCAGCACTGTTCACTACTGACCTCTTCAGTGGAATAATTCTTTGTTGGAGTGTTGGGGTGAGGAAGGGGGGCTGTCTTGTGCATTGCAGGATGGTTGGCAGCATCCCTGACCTCCACCCACAATCCACCACCCACAAATCTGGGCAGTGCCCCCATTCCAGTTGTGACAATAAAAATATCTCCACATATTGCCAAATGTCCCTTGGGGTCTGCATACTCTTGCATGGAAAGTGTTCGGTCCCAACAGTGGACAACGTAAATTAGATCTCAGCAGCATGGTCCTAGCTGCAGGTTGCCCATTCCTCCCCCACGGCCCTTTAGGGGAAAATGAGAGTGTTGCAAATACCATGCACAGCCGGGCCTGGAAGGCCGGGGGCGAGGGTGCTATGCAGAAAGCAGGCTTTCGGATGGAGACGCAGCCTGAGCTCCTGCCCGCCTGCTCTCAGCTGCACTGGCACCACCTTCACACGTTCCAAACTTAGAGGTGAGAGCTCACAAGTGAGAGAGGCGCAGGAACCCAGCAGAGCCACAGGTTGGAAATAGCACACTCTGGGAACGCAGAGGGGATGGGTTTCCTTCCTGCCTGCATTCGAGCAGCGCAGTATGATAGAAATACATTTAGGCATTCTTGTTGCAAATAGGCACGGAATTAATGTTGGCCTCCAAGTACTTCCTCTATTTCTGAGACTTGGTATGCCTCCCAAAGGGTATTGTTTGCCCCCACAGAGTTTTTGAAATTTGGAATCGTTGCCAGCATTGGAATAGTGCTTTGTAAAAATGCAGATGTCAGATGTGAGGCTCCTTAAGAAAAATCGGAAGTTCTGGATGGATGTTATTGGGTAATTGGCCTGCAAGCTCACACGGCAACCCCAGGCAGGGACTGGGCGGTGGCACCCCTGTAGATGAGGCAGGTGCTCTGGTGTTCCCCAGGGACCCACTCAGCCACTTCACCAGTTTACACTGCCTGCCTGGACTCCCTAGATACTTGAGTTGAATGCCCCTCCTCTATGTTTTTAAAATGTGTTGTATTAAGCAATGTTAGACACATTCAAAAATACATTTAACACATGTGTAAGTTGGAAAGCACACTAACAAAACTAGCATCCAGGAACCTACCATCTAACTTTAAAACTGTCACTTTATCTTGAATATCCTGTTATTTTCTCCTTCTCTCCCACTCAGGTATACGTTATTCTGAATTTTGTGTTTATCATTCTCATGTCTTTTTTTGTATTTAGTTTTATTCCATATGTATGCATCCTGAAATAATATGCTACTTGGTTTTGTTTGTTTGAGGTTGATAAAAATGGTATCATAGTGTATGTAGTCTTAGGTGATTTTTTTTTTCACTCAACTGTATGCTTCTGAGATGTAGCCACATGGTTGCATATAGCTGTGGCTCTTTCATCTTCACTGCTGTATAATATTCCAACATCCCAGAATTTCACCTGGCTCCCTCCTTCTCAGCTCCCTTCTTCTCAAGGATAAGCTTTCTAATGACACTGTCTCAAAAAGCTTTGGAAGCCATCAATTCAAACAAGATGCTTTCTCATTCTTTTCTCTTTAAGCATTCAGTTTGGTTTTTTTTCCAAAACGCTTGCCACAATTTGCAATTACTTGTTCTTTGTTTTTGTTTTTGTTTTGAGACAGGGTCTCACTTTGTTGCCCAGGCTGGAGTGCAGTGGCGTGAACAAGGCTCACTGTAGCCTCAACCTTCCGGGCTCAAGTGATCTTCCTTCCCCAACCTCCCATGTAGCTGGGACCACAGGCATGTGCCACCATGCCCAGCTAATTGTTTGAATTTTTTTTTTTTTTTAATTTTAGAGACAGGGTCTCACTATCTTGCCCAGGCTGGCCTGGAACTCCTGAGCTCAAGTGATCCTCCCAGCTCAGCCTCCCAAAGTGTGGAGATTACAGATGTGAGCAACCATGCCCCACCTGCAACTGCTTTTTCAGTTTGCTCACATATTTGTTCATTACTATTTTTCAGCAGACTGTATGTTCCCTGCAGGGAGGATCTGCCTACTGTCTTTGCTGTTACCCCAGCACTCAGGCAGAACTCAACAATGTTCTTCATGCACAACAATGAATATAGGAAACAATGAATATGTTTTTCTGAAAATTTGATAACTATTTATGGGCAAGGAAATGAGACTGTAGCCCCTGAAGAATGCTAATTGGCCTTTTAAACTGAAGGTAGAAATCTAATATGCTTTATTCACAGTGCTTGAGTCTGAAGTGCTTGGTAAATATTTGTAAGGGTTGTTAAGTGAGGTGATATGTGCAAACTCTGGGTCATGGCTTCTCAAGCACCTTGCCCACTCGTCTGCACTTACTTCTTCCCCCTAGCTGAAATGTGGGGATGGTAGTAAACCATTCTGAGTCAGACAAACAAGGAAGTTGTCAAAAAATGGAGAAGCAACAAGTAAGAAGGTGCTGGATGACTGATACTATGGTACTGCCATACTATAGCAGCCCTAGGCTTAGAGAGAGAAAGGGCTTCTCTTTTGGTTAAGCCAAACTCATCCTGGGTCCCTATGACAGCAGTCAACCTCTGTGCTAATGAATACGGTCTGTTGGTAGAACCCTGCTGGGAGTAGAGGGAATTAGTTGCCCCTAAGAAGATGTACTCGACCACTAAGCAATCCTCTGACATTACCCTCCTATCTACTGCCCCTATAAAGGTGGTGAGTGGGCCCCCAGGATCCAGGTACCCTCCCCCAAGCACCACTCCCTTCCCTTTCTCCAAGCTACCTCACTCTCTGATATGTCTTTCCTGATCAACAGCCCTTTAAAATTCCCTCTCTCTTTCTTTCACCATTTGGTTCCATCTCAAAAACACTGGTTACTGGACTTTGTTCTTGGAGTATTAGATGATCAGAGAGGGAGACAGCAACAACAACAACAACAAAAAAGCTTGGATGGGAGTCAGATAACCCAGTTCCAAAGCCAAAGCCAAAATTTCCAGATTTTACACAGAATCTTGTTCTGAATCTGCCCCAAGACACAGAATAGACGGTCAAGACCCAAGAGAATGTAACATTTCCCAAATAGCTATGGCCTGAAAATGTTTAAGGCAGGCCTAATCAGGTGTCCTCCTTAACCAAAATGAATTCTTCATAAACCACCTGTAGCTATGATAAAGTGACTTCCTGGAGAACCTGCCAAAACAAACCATTTGTGAAACGTACACCAAGGAAACTAAAGGAAGTGACTTTCTGCAAGGGATCATTATTTATATACCAGGAAAATGTTGAGGAACATTTGCCAAAAACAATAGTTTCAGAAGCGTTGGTCGGCTGCCGATCCATCTGACAATAATTAGCTAGCAAGAGCCACTGTCTGTCTCTTCAGGCCACGTCAGGTTGGATATCATCAAGCCAGACCATCTGAAAATAAAAGAAGGCATATTTTTCATTCCCTGGTATTATTGTCCGTCTTTAATGGCATCAGCTTATGGGTAAACAAGATCTAAACAACAAATGGCAACCTTTTTTTGAGTTCTTCCTAAATGCCAGGTAATAAAGTATTCTATCTCATTAAAATATTATTTAAAAAACTATGATGTACATACCATCCCCATTTCCATCTGAGGACAATCAAGGCCTGGAAAAGCAAAAGAATTTCCTGAAGTCCACCTTTCTAGCAAGGTGTAAATTTAGGATTAAAAACCAGTTCCATCTTCGTTCTTAGCAGGTGTGACAGTATTTCTTAAATTCCATCCATTTGTGTACTGCATCAAAAATGTTTGCCATATCTATGCAATAACTGTTATAAAGACATGAAATGCTTTACTTTCAATAGCTTTCCCTTCCTTTTTGGTTTCCTAGATTTATTTAAAAGGGAAATATTTTACAAAAACCATAAATGTAAAGCACAAGTGTCATTTGCCTTACATAGATGACCAACTTGAATATGTCACAATATAAACATTAAAATGCTATAAAATTCTATCTGGACTTGTTGCCTGTTGAAGGGTCTGAGCCTGAAGTCTCCTCTTCCTTTGTCAAAAAGGGAGATTAACAAGTGATAGTGTGGTGTTAAAGACTACGTTAGCACCAGCTGAGACTTTCTCCCCAACCAGACAGAAGGACTTAAAGAAAATCCAATGGGCAAATCTTTCCTACTAGGAGTGTCACTGTTATTTAATCATGAGTCAATGTACCCCCAAATCATTTTGTTGTGTTTTGTCTTGCTTTTATGAAATACCGTATTATGCTCTGCTGTCATTCAAAAGATGTGTATTGGAAACACAGATTTACCCGTTTGTATATATTTTCTTTCCTTTTAGTTTAATTGACACATAATAATTGTACATATTTATAGGGTACATAGTGATGTTTCAGTACATATAATGGACAGTAGAGATTTTTAAGATTCCACATCAATAATGTACATACCACATTAAGTTTGATCATCTTGAAACCCATCACTAATTCCTGCTCATGGATTAAAAATCTAAGAAAAGCAATAAAAGTAAAAATTTACCTACTCTTTCTCAAGATAGATTTATCCATTAATTCATTGATTCATTCATTTCAGAAATGCTCATTGAGAGCCCCAAGTGCTGAGAATAAAATGGCAAACAATACAGACATTGTTCTGCCCTCACATAGCTTATCAAATGAAATCATGTTGTGATTGTAGCTAAACTAGGTGGCAACACTCGTTGAATAGCAATAGCACAACTGAATAAAGCCTTCCTGCCCCTTAAGTAGAACATGGAACTGAGAAGTTAGACTGGCAGATAGATATGGAGAAGGAAGGATCATTATCTGGCCTCTCTCAGTCAGTTTTCTGAAGTGACAGCACTAAGCAACTGTTCTTGGTTTATTGATGGAGAGGAGCCAGCCTCCTGGATGTGTTGTCCAGCATCTGAGTTTCCACCATTTCTTTCACTTACTGCATTTCTTTCTCAAGTAGAGGAGTCCCAGTACCCTCTCTTATCACAAAAGAAGCAGTTATAATCAGCCAATCCATACCTGGAATCAAAAAGACCTCGCCTCAAGTCTTGGCTTCATCACTCTCTACCTGTATGGCCTGGATGTGTGACTTTCCTAAGTTCCTTCATCTATAGAATAGGATCATAATACAACCTGTCTTTGGAGTTACTGTGAGGACTGGGTGAGACAATGCACAGAACTGTGATCACCTAATAGCCAGCGATAGCATCCCTACAAGATCTTGTTGCAGACTGAAACCCCACCCATGCAGAAATGAATGTATTAAGACCCTAAGCTTCTATAGGCATAAAATATGAAAGGGCTTCAGAAAAAAAAAGCACTGGGATCCTCACTTTGGGGGCTTCTAACTCCCCTGTTCCTGAGGGAGACTCACAGTCACCACTGAGCATGTTCCAAGGAGCCTTGATGTGTAGGAATGTGTGGAGCTACCTGTATTGCTGCCAGGCCCCACTTGTCATTCACTAAACCAGTAGTTCTCAACTAGGGGTTATTTTGGCCTCAGGGGATATTTGACAATATCTGAAGACAGTTTTGTTTGTCACAACTGGAGACGCTACTGGCATCTCATGTGTAGAGACCAGGGATGCTGTTCAACAACTTACAATGCCCAGGATGGCCCCCACCATGGAGAATTGTCAGGTCCAAAATGCTAACAGTGCTCATGTTGTGGAATAAGGAGAACTTTACCAAACCAGTGCCTGGTGAGGAAATAAATCTCTAGAATGTCCAGGTCGGGATATCTGTGTCCTAATGGAACCAGCTGATACTAATGGGGATAACGAGGACATTTCTAAGGTAAAGAAGAGTCAGGCATGGGAATGTTTGGTGAGAGGGAAGAAGTAAGGGTTGGAGGAGGATTTCTGCTTAGTTGAATGTCTACTCCATGAATCTAAAGACAACAGAAAAAGGTGCAGCCAGAGGATTGCTGGCAATGGGTCATTGTTTTTTTGTTTGTTTGTTTGTTTGTTTTAGTGGAGTTTTACCTAAGGACCTAAAAAGGGAGGAGGGGGGAATTCAATAAAATCAGAAATGTTATGAGCAACTCTGAAGCGTGATCCAGCAAAATTTCATGCCCTTTAAGAACCTTGGAGGGCAAGGAGTTTGTGGACCAAATGTGGCTTGTGCCAATTTTTCTTTTTAACCTTTGAGTATGAGCCAATGCAACACAATGAGAAAAGTACAAGAGTAGAAGTTGGTACCAAGGTAGACAGGCAGCCCAGACTCAATTTTACTCCAACACCCATCCATCTAAAATTTGTCTCCAAGGTCACAGATAAAATGCAATTTGTTTCATAATAAGCCCCAGGAGTTTACATTAAAGACATGATTACCCAGAGGCAATGAGAGCTGTCTACAGTTTCTTCTGTTTCAAGAATATTTCTAACCTAAAGAAAGACAGGATAGCTCTGAAGTTTCACTGTAAATTTCAGCCTGTGATTTATACAAAATATAGAAATTTTGCATATTTGCAAATTTGCAAACCCTTTCTCTCCGACCCTCTGATCTTCTTTGGTGCCCCTAATAGCAAAGCCCAGCAGGAAGCTGGAGGCGGCCAGAGGCAGTTTGACTCAACTCCATCCAGGTGAATGGAAACATGATAAGGAACCTAGGCTGCAAAGCAAGTACTGCCGGCACCACTCAGCTGGAGAAGCCCCTTCATCTGGCTAAGCCTCAGTGTCTTCATCTGTAAGATGGAGATGCTAAAAGCATCCCCCTCATGGTGCTGATGGGAGGCCTGGGTCAGATAAGACGTGCAAAGTACCTGGTAAGGACACTGCTAATAGTAGCTATAATAATGGCTCGAGTATGCAATGCCCCAGCTTGGTTTTGAAACAGTCATTGATCCCAGCAATGAAACCACTGTAGAATAAAGGCTGTCAGCTTACAGCTTGGCCTAATGCTGATGTGACAGATAGTTGGGCTTTTGATGGAGCCTTATGCTCCATAGTTGAGCAACTCTAATTGGGGGAATGAGGTCCAATCCACGATCAATCACAGATATGCAAAATTTCTATTTCCTGTATAATTCACAAGCCAAAATTTCCAGTGAAACTTTGGTGCTGCCCTGTCTTTCTTTAGGATAGAAATATTCTTAAAACAAAAGAAATTGTAGACAGCTCTCATTGCCTTCTGGGTAATCATGTCTTTAAAGTAAACTCCTGGGACTTATTATGAAACAAGTTGCATTTTACTCGTGCCCTTGGAGAGGAGTTTTAGATGGATGGGTGTTGGAGTGAAAGCTTCTAGAAGCCGATCTTATTTCAAAGGAAAAGAATGTGCTTTCAATTTTTGATGGTATACAGTGGATTATTTTTATACCCATTCCTGAGTCTTTCATTGGAATACATACTAGCTATCTGCTGCCATAACAGTGAGGGAATTTTCCACTCTAACAACTGTGATCCTGTTTTATCTTTATGATGTGCAGAGGAAATGAGTGTTTGGCTGAAATTAGCAACTTTTATCCCATCTTCTCCTGGGAGCCCAAGATTCAACAACAGCATTTAGTCAACATTTATTGGACTCCTTCTATGTGTATGATACTGTGCCAGCATCTAGGGTTGTGATATTCTAGAAGACATAGTTATAACTGGGTGAACTCGAGGAAGGGGCAAGGACTAGAGTTGGAAGTGATTGTCAGAATCAGTGAGGCTCTCAGCATGATGGAATGCACATGTACACTGGGTAGTGGAAGGAACATTTAATACAGGGACACCTTACCTAGAGGGAGGCAGGCTTTAAGGAGAGCAGCAAGGTACAGAGCTGGACATCTGGAATAGTGAAAGCAGGAACCATTCACCAGCCCAGGCCTGAAGGACAAGAAGAAAAAGTGCCACCAGAGCCCAAGAGGTGACTGCAGGAAGAGGGACACCTGAGGAGACCTAGAGCCTTAGTTAGAGGGACACAATCAGCCGTGGGAATGTGGCGGGGAGGGAAGTAGGAGACGCATACATCAAACCCTTTCCCTCCCACCCTCTGACCTTCTTTTGTGTCCCTAGTGGCCAAGCCCAATAGGAAGCTGGAGGGCAAAATGTCTGTCAAGGCAGACCCCACGGTCAGGCTCCCAGCGCACTGTGGGAGTAAGTGACTGGTAAGTGTATCTAGAGAGACATGAAAGAGATCTGACGCGTGGCCCAGGAGGATGGCATTCTTTATCTGTGATGTTTGGATTTCATGCAAGGAAAATGCATTAAAATGAAGGAGAAGAAGGAGAAAGAGAAAGAGGAAAAGAAAGAAGCCAGAAAAGGCATAATAGGGAAGAAAGACAGATAAACAAGCAATTACATGCAGAGGAAGTGCGTTCCTGCAGCAAGCACTGGTTGCTATGGGAACGCCAAAGAGAAGTCCCTCCTTCAGGGTTGGGGAGTCAGGTGAGGCTTCCTGAAGAAGAAGCAACCATCTGAGTTGAAACCCGAAAGGCCAGCAGGAATCCGCCAGGTGAGAGGGCCAGGAATGACATTTACAAAGGCCCTGATGTGAACCGAGACATGACTGGTTCTTAGAGGTCAAAGGTAAGTTTGGGGAGAGGCAAGAAGGAAGATCAGCGAAGGAAGCAGAAAGAGGACCAGAAAGAACCTCATATGTGACAACAAAGAGCTCAGATTTCATTCTATAGAAAATGAGGAGACATAAAGTGACAAGAATAAACTGATACTTTTCATGTTTTCCTCCAACTTGACTCTCAGAAAGTACATTTGATGCTGTTACCCATTAGCAAACACATACCAGTTTGTCCCTGTACTTGACCAAAAAAAAAAAAAAGAAAAAAGAAAGTGTGTGGGGGAGATTGGTTTGTCTTTTGAATCCATGGCAAAGATCCAAATGGCAAAAAAAAAAAAAAAAAAAAGAAAGAAAAGTAAAAACTAAAAACACAGGTGGTTCCTTTGGTTGGGTGAATGTTTCCCTGACAAAGGAAAGTGCTGATGTACCTCTCTACTAACCACTGCATGCCTGAATAGAGATACCAGCATTTCAAAAGGCAACCTGACACACCTTTGGCATTTAAGAAATAGAAGTCTTAAGCTTCAGCACCATGAGCCGAGCCCAGATTAATGACCTTTCAGACTATAGGCTCAAGGAATTAGAAATAGGTCAGCCCTGCAAAGAATTTTAAGAAATCACTGAACCACTGCAAATCAGACAGCTTCTCATTGGTTCCACCCACTCCTAAGAAAGTGACCCTCCCCACTTCCTGATTGCCTCTATTTCATCAGCTCCCTTCATTTTGGGTGTTGGGGGAACAAATATAGACAAAATATTGCAAAATATTGCAAAAATATTGCGAAGTATTGCAAAAATATGACCTTTGGTGCAAAACAAAGGAAATATAAAAACAGACGTATGCCAATTCCTCATTGGGTTCCTCTTTCATAGGCCACCGGTTCGTGGAGGAGGGGTGATTTTCATACCTGAGTGTCCTTTGCATATTTGCCTTTTGCTGTAAGACATGGGTATGCAATAAATAAATTCTGCAATATGATCTGACTGACAAAATTCCCAGGTCATGGCTTGTTTTTACCTTTATCTTGATGAAATTTGTTCTGAAATTGTGAGTTTGGACATGGAGACTATCTTCTCATACCCTGGCACCGGAAAACCACTGGTGGGATCTCCAAAATCCTAACACATGAACATTATTCACTGGATTAGTCCCTGTGTCTCTCAGGATAACGAGGTTCTACTGATTTGACCTTACTTTCTCTGGTTTCCCAAATTTTGCTTTGGAGATATAAGCATCAGCACTCACCTGATGTCAGTTGCTAATAAACCAGATTTTCTCAAACTGAATCCTGTTTCCTGGATCTCATTGTTCTGCCTGCCCACATTCAGGTTTACATTTCTGCAAGGGCTATTTTAGAAGAACCATGGCTTTGCCACAAAGGTTCTATCCAGAATAGTTACTACTTTCTGGGGCAAATGGCTCCTACTCCACTATCCCATCTCACCATGGTGAGAGATGGTCATAGCACTCCTGCCCGCTTCCTGACCACATGAGTGGGCACAATCTGGGCCAATGGTCCTACCATTTCCCCTGGCCACAGTGATGGGTCCAGGGATAGCTCTGGGTCTGAAGTCAAGGCCAGTCAAACAGGGTAAGACTCTCACAGTGACTGTCAGACTGGGCTAAGGCCCTAGATCCATTTATGTATGAAACCAGCCTGCTCTATCCTTCCCATGGCTTGGTTAAATAAGGCAGTTAGTGTCCCTCTTTGGCTTCAGAAAAAAATAGTTTGATTTCTCTATAACCTGACAAAGTCCTGCTCTTCATGCTTTTAAGAAAAAGTTCTCAGTTCTTTCCACATATTAAATTTACTCACTCATAGAATAGTGACGGAATATCTCAGGTCCCTGGTACAGCTGTGAGGAGTGAACATAGTATCTCATCTCCTAATGTCTCTCCAACTGGTCACAACCACAGATGTGCACAAAGGCTTGGTTTTGTTGCTGGAAGGAGAGGAAAGACAAGATAGCAGAAGGAGTGTCAAGGCATCAGCGCCTCCATCCCTATAGACTAGATTCGATGATCTCTGGCTAGAGGACTAACGACTAGAAGCTGCAGGACTCATTTTCACAAGAAAGTATGTGAGGCCATGAGCTGCAGGCTCCTGCCTTCATGCCCAAGGGGCATAAGCTGTGACAGATTCAGACAGGCTGTGGTATTTCCCATCTCTGCAGAGAACCCATAGCCAATTCCCCAGGCATGCAACTGAAAGAGCACTTCACATGGAACCCCACACTTGATCAATGCTTTGCTGTTGCAGACTTTAAATAACATTTAAAGTTATTTAAATAAATTTTAAAGAAAAGGCCCCACATTTTTATTTTGCACTGGATCCTACAAATTATGTAGCCAGTCTTGATAGAACCAGCACTTGTTGGTGTCCCAGAGGTTGTGAGGTAATAGTTTATATATGAAGAGCATCATTAGGAAGGTGATGGCAAAACTCCTTCAACTGGTTTTGTAGCCAGTGGAAACCAGAGAGTGGTTGGAATAGAGTAGAACGTGGAGGATGGCGGCTGATGGACTTGACTGTGGCTCCATGAGAGAGTTATTTTTTGGAAGTTCCTAGAAAGTACCAGGGAGACTTGCTTGGGTTGAGTCGGGGGAATGGACTCTGATCCTACAATCAAGTTGGTGGGGGACTCAGAGCATTTAAATGGGGAAATAATATAAACACAACTCAAATATACAGAAAAAAAGTCATTAGGGGCAGTCTGGAATCAAGACTGCCTGGGGTCTCATTTCTGCTATTTCATAACTGTGCGACCTTGGTCAAATTACCTAACTTCTCCATACTTCATTTCCCTCATCTATAAAATAAAACTAACATTTGTACCTATCTCATCACATTTTATTAAAAATTATGTTAGATAATACATGCAAAGCAAAGAGCACAGTGTCTGGCACACACAAAGTAAATCTTTAATAAAAGTTAACTGTTATTAAAATTATACATACTTTGGGAACAAGTAATTCTAGGTGTGTGAATAATTAGCCAATAAAAGTGTTAAGGATTATATGCCTTTTACTATGAGCTAAGCAATGTTCTAAATCAGTGACACTCAAGACTTTTAGGGCTTAAGATGCCTTCACACTCTTAGAAATCATTGAGCTTCCCAGAGAGTTTTTGTTTATATGGCTTATCGCAATCAATATTTGCCATGGTAGAAATTAAAACTGTGAAAGTTTTAATATATTTATTTATAAATTCATGCTAAAAAATAATAAATTAATAATAAATGACTGAATCCATTACATGTTAATATAAACAACATATGCTTATAAAAGGATAACTATAGTTTCCAAAACAAAAAATATTTAGTAAGAAGTATATTTTTAATGCCTAGTTGTAGAAAAGAGCTACATTCTCATATCTTTCCCTGTGTTGTCTGTAATAATATGTTGTTCTGGTTAAGGCAAGCGTATGAGGAAAATCCAGTCCCGCACATGTGTGTACTTAGAATAGTACTATAAAAAGCTTTTCAGATAAGTAGGGATTTTCTTCTTTGATACTACACCAAAACTCAACAAGTAATAATTTTTTAAAGGTTACTACAATGTGGAATGTGAAATCATATTCAATAGACTTTTCATACTCTGCTACATTAAAATCCATTTGGTCTATCTTGCAATTTGAATAGACCTTTAATGCATGCATGATTTTGTAACATCACACATTGGTCATTTGGAAAATATTGACTTAGCAAGTTATGAAGATATTCCAGATACTGACATATTTCATATCACCACCATTCTTATCAGAAAGGAATTTAAGCATGGGGAAGCTGTCAAGCTCACAGTGGTGAGTTTAACTTTTACAAAATTCTCATTTTTGCTTGAAAAGAAGAATTTTATAATTGGCAACAAATACCACTTGCTGTTTTCCTTGCAGTGATACTTATTTTGCTCATTTTCAAAAAAAAAAAAAATCTGCCAGATTCTGAGGTCTGAATTACCATAATTTGTCAGTCATTCTTCCAAATAAAGATGTTTTATGAAAACCATGTCTACTTCAGCTCCCAACTCAATCATACAAGTGTTTTCCTAGAAACAACCATCATGCCTTATATAGCAGAAGTGCTTTATATACACTTCCCTTTTTATCACACAGAACATTAAAAATATCAAGATTTAATAAACTTAAGAAATGTTACTACTTCATCAAGTCTGCTCTTAAGTTTCATTTTTTTCCCCCGCAAGTATGCTGTGGTGCAGAATACCAAGACTTCTAGCATAGTTGGTGCCACCACTTAGTACCACTTGTGGTACTAAGGCACCACAGTCTACCCAGCATTGATCTTGCACCATTATTCCAAAAGTCAACTCATGAAAAGGCAAATTACTTATTAATATTTTTATGAACATACTTTTGATTTTGTGGATCCTAGGTCTCTGAGACTCTTAGAAATCATCAGAATAACTCTATAACATGGGTGTTATTATCCCCATTTTCTAGATAAGAAAATTGAAGCAAAATGGGCTTACTTAAGATCATACAGCCACCAAGAAGGACCAGGATTTACCTGGAGCGTGTGCTCCTAACCATTATGATGAAATAAAGGCGTGGTTGTTATCTGCATATTTTACAACCACAGTTTTTTGAGACATTTGCTATGGTGATGAGAAAAAAGAAAAAGGACCTAAAAGCAAGACAGACAAAGGAATAAAGAGAAAGATCAAAAAGAGGAAATTATCTCTGATGAAAGATTACCATTTATCCATGAGATTAAAATACCTCCCTGGACACAGTCAGAACACAGCACACTTAAAATCTCATTGATTTACAATGCAATTTAGATTTTTTTTTTGAAACCAGGTAATATAAGAACAAGTATAAACTAAAAGCCTTGGATGACAAACTTGGGTCAGCATCAGAGTTCAAGGAGAAGGTGGTGACGACTGAGCCAGGTTCTCAAAGAGCAGTACATTCCTTTCTCTTTAAAGGCAATTTATCAGGATTTATCCAAGCCTGTAAGAACAATCCCTTAAGACCATCCAATTTCCTTTCTTTCTAATTCCATACTTAGCAGAGCAACCTTCTGATAATTAATTTGGTTCCTCAGGTAAGTCAATACCAGGAAAGAGACTGACAGAGTTACTGTGCCAGCTACATCACCTGCTGTAAATGAATAAATTGGTTTGTGGATTTATCAATCTACCTCCAAGAGTTCAGTTTGCAAACACCACTTTTCCTAGGGTGCCCTGTCATTTGACTTGCAGACCTGCAATGCTAGGTGACCAAAGTGAGAAGGGCTCTTTTAAGACTTTCATAATCCTGGCCATTCTTGTCATAGGAGGTACCACCTTGTATTATGTCAAGAATATTAAAATGCACTCACTCCCTGGGCTGCCATGTTGACAAGCCCACTTTTGAGTGGAGCTCCCTGGAATTGTACAATATGTGACCCCGCTTCCATTGCATATTAACTGAAATGTATTTTGTGAAAAACAAGTGGAAAGACTGTTTATTAAGCTACTTATTTAGTTACGAGTTACTCATTTGCCCAAAAGTTCCCAGCAATCATTACGTATAGCGGAGAATGCTGCCCTGACCACCCTATTTAAAAGTACAACTCACACCTGCCCACACCACCATGGACCCTACTTACTTCTCCTCCCCTGCCTTATTTTCTTTATGGAACTTGTGAACATAGGATGCTGATGCAGGACAGGCAACCCCGGATTGGAGATTAGCCCATGAGGGTTCTTGGCTTCACCCAGGAAACAATTCAAGGGTGAGCCAGTGGTAGGGTAGAAGAAAACAGCTTTATTGAAGTGGCAGTGTTATAGCTCAGGCAGTATTACATCTCTGTGACTGCTCCTACAGAGTTGGGCTACCCCATGGGCAGTGTGCTGAGAGTAGCAGCTCAGGGCAGTTTTGCAGCCATATTTACACTTACTTTTAATGACTTGGAGATTAAGGGCCAGTTGATGCAGAAATTTCCAGAGGAAGGGTGGTAACTTTGGGATCCTTGGGTCGTTGCCATGGAAAGGGGTGGTAACTCCGGGTGTTGCCATGGCAGTGGTAAACCTGACATGGCAGACGGGTGAGGTGTCTTATGGAAAGCTGCTTCCGTCAGGTCCCTGTTTTAGCTAGTCTTCAATTTGGTCTGGTGTCATCGGAGCCCAGCCTCCAGAGTCAAGTCCCACCTCCCTCCTCAATACCATAGATCTAATTTATCTTACCATAGATCTAATTTATCTTGTTTATTGTCATTCCATTTTCACCATGAGGGCTGGTATTTTTGTGTTTTATCCACTACAGAAACCTCAGCACCTAGAACAGAATGGAACCTAGTAGATATCTAGCAAATATTGGTTGAATTAATAAATGCATTAATTTCAAGTGAATTTTTTATATGTTAAAATTATTATTATTATTATTTTTTTAGTTTTTAGATCTCAAATATTTTAGAGGTCCTTAAAATCTATATAGACTGTAGGTACTCTGCCTTGGGGTGGGGCTCCTCCCCCAGCTCCCACCTTGTAGGCACAGAGTACTCAATACTCCTTATTGGGGACAGCAGACTCGGCTGTTCTCCTCTCACACCACCTTGAATCCTTCTTACAGTCTCCTGTGGGTCCTATCCCCACTTCCCCCCCTTCTTTGGGCACTTTCCTATACTTGTGATTCTTTTTAAGGAGCTGCCGCAGGCTATGAGGGCTGCTCTGCTTACAGGGAAGATAACCAGAAGTGCCTGGGAGTTTATGCCTCTCCCAGTGGCTCTTAGGCAAGGACCAATTGTAGGGGGAGTATGAAACCCCACTTCTTTTTCTGCCAGTTGAGAAAAAAATCTGGGGGGAGATTTACACTCCTGAGCTCCCCATAGGATCAGGCTGAGGCTGAGATTTGCCTGAAGTCACATCTTGCCTGGCTGGCTCCTTTCCCTTCCCTGGGCTGCTTCTCCCATCACCCTACACAATTCTTCTGGGGGAACATTCTCAGTAAATCCTTGCCCATGAATTCTCATCTCAGGTTCTACCACTGGAGAATCTGACCTGGCACCCCCACAGCAGCCTCACGCAACGTGTGCTTAATTTCCTTAGGATGAAGTTCACTGTGGCTGCTGCTGCTGCTGCTGCCCGCATGCCCAAGAATCCAGGTAGGACCAGGTACCTCTGTCATGTTCTTCATGGAACGAATGGCCTTCTGGGTGCACAGCCAGCCCCAGACAAATACCTGAGAGGAGGGAGAAATGACGGGATGAAACAAGTTTTAAAAATGACCACATGATGCTCAGAAGCACAAAGGTTGGAAAATAGTGCCATAATATTGAGAAATGGGTTCAAGCTCAACTCACCTACAGATTTATTATGCGACCCTAGACAAGCCTCCATTTGATCAACTCCAGCTATTTTGCCCCTGAAGTTCAAGTCTGTGTTGAGCTTTTGATTCTCCCAAAGAAAATTATACCACTGCAATAGCTCTTGTTTCCAGCCTGCTTGTTTGAATTAAAGCTTTGCAGCATTTTAGTTTATGGTATCTCTGGGGAGGAGTGAATATGTCAGTGTAATTAACTCATCTGATGAGAGAGGTCTTGTTTATTTCCCCTACAAAATAACAGGTGGTGGTTGAGCTCCGATACATTATGGTGATATGAAACACATTTAGAATAAATCACATTAAATAAATAGGGAAACAAAATGATTTCGAGGTCTATTTTTTATTGTTTTAAATTAAGTTTTGAAAGTGAACAGCTGCATACCAAAAAGCCACACAACTGCTACTCACCTCCAATCTGCTTCTTTGAGAAAGGGTTAATGGCATTTTTAGGTTCAACCGATTAGGACTACTAGAAACTTGAGTATTCTCAAATTATTATCCAATCACTGGCTTTCTGAGCACCCTCTTTTTGCGTGGGATGTGGCAGTCTAATCAACTTGAGTGATCAGTTAAAATAACCATATGCATTTCATTACACAAAATCCACAATGACATGCATTTCAGAAACATGTAAGAGTAACACCATGTGCTGGGCATTAAGTAAATAAAAACAAATATGGAAGAGTCTTTCCTATGAGAGGTTCACAGTCTAAAGAAATATCGTAAATAAAAAGGCATTTCCAGGTATTAAAATTGTAAAGAATATTATTCCTTACTCCAAAAACTTTTTTTTTTTTGATATGGAGTCTCACTCTGTCGCCCAGGCTGGAGTGCAGTGGCATGATCTTGGCTTGCTGCAACCTCTGCCTCCTGGGTTCAAGTGATTCTCCTGCTTCAGCCTCCCAAGTGGCTGGGTCTACAGGCAGGCACCACCACCCCTGGCTAATTTTTGTAATTTTTGTAGAGAGGGGGTTTCACCATGTTGGCCGGGCTGGTCTGGAACTCCTGACATCAAGTGATCTGCCCACCTCGGCCTCCCAAAATGCTGGGATTATGGGTGTGAGCCACCGTGTCCAGCCAACCTGCAAAAACTTAATGTAACTTCAGAAATTGATTTTTCTTTTTTACAATTAAATGAATCAAGATCCTAGAAAGCAAGAACAAAAAATAAATTCAGCAAACCAGAAATGATGAAGAATTCCTGATGTGGTTCAAGGTGAGAATATTTGATTGGAGCTGTAGAGATATTAGGCAGAGAAAACCTGTGAGAAGGAGAATATGATGTAAGGGAAGTGGAAGAAGGATGGGAAAGGGGGAATGAGAAGGTGGAGGGGAGGCACCAAGGAGATGAGGAGGAGTAGAGGGGAAAAGAATGCAGAAAGGAAAGAAGGAAGGGAAAGAAGGTAAAAGTGAGGGGAAAGAAGAAGGTGGTGAAGGAAGGAGGAGAGAAAGGGGGAGTGGAAAAGAAAAAGGAAAAGAGGTAAGTGCTTGGAAAGATTGAATGGGTGGGAAAAGGAAGCAAAATGGCGGGGAAAAAGGAGAAAGGGTGGAGAACGTGAGAAAGCCGAGCAAAGCTGGATCAGATGGATGAGGACAACGTCATGACTTTTGGCGCATAATAACATTCCAGCCTCAGGGTCTACAATCAGAAGGAGCAAAAAGGGCCCTTATGAAACTGAATAAAGACCCTCAAAGATACTAGGTCTGGAACCTGTAAATATTACCTCAGGTGGAAAAAAAGGTCTTTGCAGATATGATTTAGTTAAGGATCTTGGGATGAGGAGATGATCTTGGCTCACGGTGATGCAAAAAAATAATTTTAAAGGCATAGAATATAGACCCAAAATTTCCACTATTTCTCAAGAACGAGTTCTAGAAGGAAAGAAGAAAATTATATAACAAATAATCATAATAAAAGAACATTTTCTAGAGCTGAAGAATAAAAAGTATCTTTAAATTGAATGGGGCCTTTGAACATTCAGCAACAGAAAAACTGATGGCAATAAAAGACCCATCCCTATAAACATTATGATAAAATGTTGGAACAAAAACTAAAGATAAAAACCTGAAAATATAAAAGCTAAAGTCATTTCCCTTTAAAGGCTAAAGTTCTGATTGTCATTAGCTATCATTGTGGGCTAGACAACATTGTAAGATAGAAGATAATGGATCTGATCAAACAGGCGCTTGACTATTTGCTAACACGTAAGAAATCAGAAACCTTACCATCCACAGAGTCTCTTTGAGTTCCTTGAAGATATGCCACAGGAAAATTACCAAAGAATCTATGGTAGAAGAAAATGACATACAAGAAAGGGTAGAAAACAAGAAACCAGTAAAACATAAGGTCAAATTGTGCAATCAAAAAAAAAATAGGTTGAATACATAGAAACAGAGAGTAGAACAGTGTTTACGGGAGCAGGGAGGAGAAGGAAATGAGACCTGATGAGTCAAAGTGTACAAACTTGCAAGTAGGTGGGAGCAATAAGTCTAGATATCTAATGTACAGCATGAGGACTATAGTTAATAATATTGTATACTAAAAATTGTCTAAGAGAGTAGATTTTAGGTGCTCTGACCACAAAAACGAGGCAAATAAGGAAGGGGATGGATACGTTAATCTACTTACCCATAGTAATCATTTCACTGTGTAATGTATATCAAAACATCATGTTGTACTCCTCAAATATATACAACAAAAATAAATAAGTGAAAATGTATAAAAACTTTACAAAGGAAAAAAAAGAAATAGAACTTTAAAAGATGGCAGAATTAATACAACCTCTTCATTCACACTTTGATAGGCTGGATAGAAGCATAGCCAAGCCAAATGCTTCTAAAGTGTGAATAGTTTTAATGTGATTCTGGAATTGAAATTTTGAAAGGTCACTGTATCATAGATAAGGAAGCGAGACTGGAGAAGAGTGAAACATACTAAGGTTTCTTTCCTGCTCAGAGGATACTGACTGACTCAGGATACACTGGATAGATACTTTTCTGTGTATGTGATTTAAAGTGTACATATAAGCGTCAAAACATAGACATAAAATATAAAACTGTGAAACTACTATATGAAACTACTATATAAACACAAAAATAAGTAAATCCAATCCACTAATAACAGTCAAGTTAAAAAATATATACCTAGTAAAGGAAAGATATCAATGCAATGGTATATAGATGTTCAATTAATAAATATAAATGAGTTAAATTTAGTTATAAAATGGTAGATAATTATTAAATGATAAACATTTTAATAGTACAAAATAATATTCAGTATGAGTAAGAAACAGGGCAATATGGGCAAACATAGGACCAAAAGAAGCATTTTTAAGATGGCAGAGATTTTGTTCAAGTTAAAATGCTGATGAGAGGAAATTGATAAAGGGGAATGAGATGAGGAGGAGATGATTTATACATTGATATCTCTGAAAGGTAGGATAGACTGGATCTAGAGCCAGATGGAGGGATTCACCTCAAAGAAAAAAAAAGAAGCTTCCAGGTTTTTCAGATTTTTCTATACGTCATTTACAAGCTGTCATTGAGAGTCAATAACCAAGGTTTCTCTATTATCACCATGATGGGAGGATTCTTTATAAAAACACATTCTCTCATTAAAATATTGTGAATATTTATTATTATGGAGTTAAAAAACAAAGATTATAAAGAAGATTTTTAAAACTTCCTAAAACACCATCTTCCAACTTCTTTCCACTTTTATTTTAGTTAAGAAATAAACAAGTTTTCATTGTTCTTTTTTATGACCAGTGTTGCCAAATACTACCTGGTTTTTTTTTTTTTTGCATTCTTTATGTATGATCTTTCCATTGAACAACTAGAAATACAGCTTTTGTGATGGAAAAGGAGCCATAATTTAATTTTAATTAATCTTAATTATGCTTGATTATTAAAAAGCATTTGTATGAAAAAGTACATTTCCAGTTTAGCCCACATGGTCTTCCCCAGTTTCTACAGACAATTCCCTGCTAACATGGTTCTCTTTCCAAGGAGCCCGACTACTTCTGGAATGGAGATGAGGGTGGGCTCAAAGAGGTACAAGGCTAGAGGCAAGTCCTCACACCCTGGAAGTCTCATAAATGAACAGCAATGGTAGATAGTGATTGAGAATATGGACCCTGGAGCCAAACCTTCTGGTTTTAAATCCAAGCTCTGCCATTTATGAGATCTGTGGTCTTAAATGACATAATTTTCTTCTCTATGCCTCAGTATTCTCATCTGCAAGATGAGGTGGGTGTGTAAAAATACCCTGTACATCATGGGGGTGTCTAGAGAATTTAGTGTATTGATGAATATTAAATGCTTGGTTACAAGAGTGTCTAACACAGACAGTAAGCATTATTTAAACATTAGCTTGCATCATAAAATTATTTCCTAACTGTTGGGTTTCCCTGACAGTACCCGGTCTTAATGAGTCTTTCTCATGTGTGAAATTTCATGTTTATACTAGCAAAGTTCTGAGTTTGTACTCTATGCTAAGTCCTGTACTAAGTGCTTTTATGAGCAGGGTCTTTATTTGATCATTCATGTAAGAACTATTAATATTTATTCAGTCCCTTCTTTGTATAAAGAAACATTATGTCCAGAAATATTACAGTGAAGAAAATTAGGGATTATCTCTAGTCCACTTACAATAGTCAAATAATTCCTCATTTCATTCTCACAACGGTCCCATCAGGAAGATACCATTTTACAAATGAAGAATTTGAGTATCACAAGGGCCCAAGGACCCAGGCCAGTTAATAGCTGAGTCTGGCTCCAGAGCTCACCCTCTTCATCATTTTGTTATACTGTTGGTGGTGACGGGCTCTCTGGGCTGGTTGCGGATGGCAGAGAATCACATTTGTCTCATGCCTGGTTGGTAGAGGGCCTTTCAGCTGCCTCCCTAAATGCCCTGTCCGCAGGATCACCTGGACCCTTATTGCCTATGGTATTGACCTGACTCTTCTTAGGAAACGGCCTGATTAACCAGAAGCCCATGTCAATGGCCAAATCCTCAGCAAGGGTTTGATCATATTCTCTCCTCAATCCTTCAGCATGGGAGAACCCCAACAACTGGACTATTTAGGAAATGCATCTCATGCATTTTTCTTTTGATTCCTCATGCCTTTTGAGAACCTCTTTCAACTGTTAGTCTACTTCCTGGTTGGGCTAACCTTCACCTGCTATATCCTGTTGTGGTCACTTCTGGTACCCAGATACCTGTCCCAGTACTCCAGAAAACAGGTTGAAGCTGGACACTCTCTGGAAAACCCAGCAACAAGAAAAGACCAGAAGCCTTAGGGCTGATACCAACAAAACACTTCCCTCTGTCATTTTCATTGAGGACACGGTATACTCAGTCTGCAGGTGGCATGCCCCCAAATTCTGCAGGATTTGAAGTTTTGAATAATCCCAGGCCTTGGTTGAATCCTGCCTCTACCATGTTCCCGCTCTGTGACCCTGGACCAGTTCCTTAGAGTTTCTTACCCTGCTTTTGTGTGTGTCGTTTATAAACTTGAGATCGGTGCAACAGTTCCCAACCCATATGGTTATCATGAACAACGAGATGTACTAAGTTAAACATTAAAAACATTAATACAGTGCTTAACAAAGAATATGTCCAATAAACATTATCATAATAAGAATATCTTTATAATTATTATTTATTTTGGCCATTTTGATCTGGGATCATGCAAAGTATGGTCTCAATGGTACTTTCATTCCTGGAAAAGCTATCCCTCCTTACACACACACAGAAAGTCTTTTTAACTCATAGTATAGCTAAAATGTAGTCACTTTTAAACAAAACAGAAAAATAAATATATTGAATAAAACATGACTTCTCATTTATTCTGAATGTTGATGTTTGAAGGAAAACATATAATTGAGGATGAAGAGAGAGAGGAAGAGAGAGATGAGATAGCAATTTTATAGAGCCTTGCTACTCAGTATGGTCCACAGATCAGCCTCATTAACATCACCAGGAGCTCCTAAGAAAAGCAGAAGTCCAGGTTCACCCTAGTCCTACTGAATCAGAATCTGCATCTCAAATGATCCCAGCTAATGCCTACCCACTTTAAGGTGTACATTTAGCAGCACTATCCAGGGCTGAAAGCTGGTGGTGCTGGCTCTTCATGAAGTCAATTTTTACTTTGGAAAGTCTAGGTGACCTTTTTCTAGATGTATGTTTCATTAGCACAACTTTTATACTTACCAGTAATAACTAAAGCATTTTTGAAAGTTCAAAAATTAAAATGGAGACAGTATTGGTGAGGAGAAAGAGAGGGACAGAGACAGAGACAAATAGATCAAGACAGATTTTCCTAAATGACTGCAGCACAAGTCTCAGAGGCTACGGTGCCTGGGCTCTGGTTGCCAAGCAGACTAGCTGTAGCACTGAGATTGGACAACATTGGTTTCAGTTCAGATCCTGGGTTTGTTCTAAATCCTACTGCGGCCATGAAAAGATGATCCAAAGAAGAAGTTTCCTTATAAACCAGTGGTGCTCCAAGCTTGACTCAAGTGGATACTTGCACTGGATTTTGAAGAAAAGAAGGACCAGGAAAGAAGGAAGGAACACAGAATTTGAAGTCAGGGTCTTGAGTTCAATTCTACTAACACCATCGACTCACTGGTGGGAAGTGTAGCACAGAACCAAGAGCCTAAGGGTCAGTTCAGGCCAGGATTCAATACTCAGTCCTCCAGGGGCCAGTGTCAGAACATGGGTATGTTAGATAACCACCCTGCTGTGGTCTGAATGTTTGTGACTCTCAACATTCATCTGTTGAAATGCTAACCTCCAGGGTGATGGTATTAGAAGGTGGGGTCTTTCAGGAGGTGATTTGGTCATGAGGGCAGAACCCTCAAAAATGGGATTCATGTCCTTATTAACAGGCCCAAGAGAGCTCATTTTCCCCTTCTGCCATGTGAGGACAAAGAAAGAAGGTGCCATCTGTGAACCAGATCCAGAGTCTGTTGATGGCTTGATCGTGGACTTTCCAGCCTCTAGAACTGTGAGAAACAAATTTCTATTGTTTATAAGCTACCTGGTCTATGGTATTTTGTTATAGCAGAAGGAAAAAGTATTTTGTTACTTTTCCTAAGTAAGATTCTTTACTGTCTGTTATAGCAAGCTTCAACTATACAGAGTCCCATATCGTTGTTCTCACTGAAAGTAGGTAAAAGAAGCATCATAAGTACAGAAAGTGCAAAGGTATCTTTGTGAATAAGGAGTTACAAACTAGACAACTTGAACTGGGTCCGGTTCAAAGGCCTATTTTGTTGCTCTAAACGTGAAAAAAAATTAAATATCAGAGTGTCCATAATAATCCAGATTTCTGGCTTCTTTTAAGGCAATTTGTTAATACTGAAACCACATTTAGGCAGGATAACAAGCAAATGGCACTGATCTTGGCTTATCCCTGTAGAGTTCAGTGAGACAGTACCCTCCAGTCCCTGTTTTCTTACATATGCCCGATTCACCCAGTTACATTGGCTGATGAATCTTGAGAAGTATTTCAATTTGCAACCCCTACCATAAATGAAAGACCTCTGTTAACCAATTTGGGGTGAGCTGGAGTGAGGTTCCTCCCACCACTGACCCAGTCTGGAACCCAGACTCAAGGGACCAACGTCCTCAGTTCATAATGAGCATGTTATATAATCACAATGCAGAAGAGTTATCATTTCATTTAAAAGTAGTGACTGCTGGAATTACATTTCCCATGTAAAACAACACAATTCCCAGTTGATCAGCAAATAAATAAGAGAAAACAGCTTTGTAATTATTTCGACAGTGGTCGGGCTCAAAGACACCCATCAAATCCCATTTCATGAGAGAGAGGGCTAAGCAGAATTGAGCAAACATTTTACCTGAGTCTAGTCCAACACATCCTGCTCCAAAGATGACTCCTATAATGAAAATCTGTCGTTCGCAAATGACTCATCATCTGAAAACTGTGCTGAAGATGCTGGAAATGCGGGTGATGCATGCAAAAATGAAATTAATCAATATGAAAATGAAGATCAGCAGTCTATCACAGCTGAGCTGTTTGATAATAATGAACCGGGGAAACAGACAGGGCTCAAGAAACTCATGAAAGTGTAGGAAATGTCAACAGGAATTATGAATTAGTAACTATTGCTAAAAATAAAGAAACAAGAGTAAGTGGACAAAAGAACCATATTGTGTTGGGAAATAGCCCCATGCATTTCTACCTCCCTTGTCTAAGCCACCAATGTTGCTCCTATGTATTATGACACTGGACTCCTCACTTGCCTGACCCACATCATGTTATCTTCACAGCAGCCAAAATAATCCTGTTGGAATGCAACTCACGTCAAGGCACCCTTCTACTAAGAATAGTCCACTGGCCTCTATGTCACTTGCCATTAAAGTCAACATCGCTGCAATGACCGATGAGACCTGCATCACCGGGATCCCACTTCCTCCCATTGCCCCTTCACTTACTCCAGGCGCACCAACCAGAAACACAATGTTCCCAAGACACCAGCCATGGATCCTTCTTGGAGCACTAACAGGTGCTCTTCCAAGAACTTGGAAGTTGCCTCTCTTAGTCAACCTCAGAACTTGTTCCCTCACTTCTTTACAATCTTCCCTTAAAAGACCTGTCTCAGCCCAGCCCTCCCTAGCCAACCTATCTAAAGTTACAACCCTCTTATCCTAGCCAGAGAAATTCCCTACTCGCCACCCTCCTTCATTTTGTTCTTTAACATATTATTATCTCAAATACACATATTTTAGCCAAACATCTGGTTTATTGTCTGCCTCACCTGTTAGACTACAAGCTCCAGGAGATCTGAAAGTTTTGCTTATTTTGTTCTCTGTTGCATCTGCAGTACACAGATATGTACCTGGAATGCAGTAGATGCTTAATAAATATTTGTCAAATACATAACTATCATTCAGAATGTACAGGAAAAGAATGATGATAACAACGTGTAAAAGAGATTTGTTAAATTTGCCAGAAATACGTCCAGGTAACAGCCCCCATCCCCTCCCGAGGATTTGTAAAGGTGGTGAGACAACACCAATCTTCTCCCAAGTGAACAGATAAAATGAAGGTTCTGGGACCACTAGAGGTGAACACTCTGCCTGCATTGGTGGTATTCTGGCCCTTTTTTCTCCTCTGGGGTAGTTATATGGTGAATCCCAGCCTGAAATCACCAGTCAGTCTCTTCCTCTCCCACTTCTTTATCAAGAATCAAAATGGACTGATTTGCAATTCAACAAACATTTATTTACTGAATTGAATTTGCAAGTACATTAAGGCTTCAATGTGACATAAAGGGAAAATTGTTAAGTTAGTCTTACAATGAGTTTTACTTCCACTTATTTATGAAGATTAATGATAAATATTTGGCATCAATCTGATTGCTTTTTATTTGCACTTGTCTTCTATAGGAACCATTGATGGTAATTCGGCAATATTTGATGCCTATCTGCAAAACTACAGCAAAGGGTATGAATTAGGAAATGATGCATTTGCAAGATGGCCATTCTCAAAATTTATTATCAGCATCTGAGTGGGTCCTCCTCCTCTATCTAGAAAACTGATCCTCTTATAAGGTACTTCACTTCTTCAAGATGATAGACCAATGGACCACAGAGGAGAGGCCACGTTCAGTAATATCCATACACCTAAGCTGGTATATATTTTACATGGAGTCTTGCTCTATTGCCCAGACTGGAGTGCAGTGGCGTGATCTCCGCTCACTGCAACCTCTGCCTCCTGGGTTCAAGCGATTCTCCTTCCTCAGCCTCCTGAGTAGCTGAAATTACAGGCACACGCCACCACACCCAGCTAAGTTTTGTATTTTTAGTAGAGACTGGGTTTCACCATGTTGGCCAGGCTGGTCTCAAACTCCTGATCTCAAGTGATCCACCTGCCTCGGCCTTTCAAAGTGCTAGGATTACAGGAGTGAGTCACCACACCCAGCCAGTAAGTATATTTTTCATTATCCTTTCTCCTTCCTTCAACTTAGAGGAGATATCTTAAAGGTCCAAGAAGCCCCAATGACAAATAATCATGTTTGTGTCTGAGTGCATTCTGTTTGTTTCCACAATATTCTAGAGAAGTGTTTCTCAACCTCAGCACTGTTGACTATTGGAGATGAAAATTTCTTTGTTGTGAGAGGCTGTCCTGGACATTGCAGGATGGTTAGCAGCATCTTCGGCCTCTACCCACTAGATGCCAGCAGTACCCTCCTCCCAATCAAAACATGTCTCCAGACATTGCCAAATGTTTTCTGGAGGGCAAAATTGTCCTCAGTTGAGACTACTGTTGTAGAATGAGTCTTTCCATAAATTGAATTATGTTTTCAGCACCCAGTTGAAAATAGTACATAATTAGGCCCTATAAATGTATCACCATGGTATGTTTCATAGTCATCCCCTCCTCTCTTCATGTATTATCTCACCATACTTCAGGGTCTTGAGAGTGTCCTAATCAGGGAGCAATTTGGTTGTTCAAAAAAAAAAAGTAGAAATACACTTAATTTAACCAAGTAAGGAATTATATATCCTAAGTGTGCACAAGAACTTCTCAGACCAGAGAAGACAGAGCGAAGACTTATAGGACTTATAAAGTAGACAAGTAGTCAACTCTTTCTTCTCTCTCCCTCCTCCTTTCTTTCACTCCTCTCTCATCATTTGTCCTTCACATAATAGCAAGAGTGAACCATTTAAAATATAAATCTGGGCTAGGCACTGTGGCTCATGCCTGCAATCCCAGCACATTGGGAGGCCGAGGAGAGCAGATCACTTGAGGCCAGGAGTTCGAGACCAGCCTGGTCATCATGGTGAAATCCCATCTCTACTAAAAAATACAAAAATTAGCTGGGCGTGGTGGCATGCACCTGTAATCTCAGCTACTCAGGAGGCTGAGGCAGAAGAATCGCTTGAACCTGGGAGGCGGAGGATGCAGCGAGCCAAGATTGCCCCACTGCACTCCAGCTGGGTGCACTCCAGCACTGCACTCCAGTCCCCTTGAGACTCTGTCACAAGAAAAACAAACAAACAAACAAAAATCACATCTATATAAATCTGGTCATGTTATTCCATGGTTTTCCATCATGCTTTAAATAAAATCACCATGATGACAGTGACCTGATCTGGCCACTGCTTATGTCTCAGACCTTATAACTCTCTCCCTCCCTCTCACTTCTATAGCCACATAAGCTTTCTTGCCCCACTATATATGCTCACATCTCATGGATCTTGCACCTGCATCCTCTGCCTGCAACGTCTTTTCCCCAGATAGTCCTGTGGCTTACTCTCTCATTTTATTCAAATTCCTACTCAAGTAGTACCTTCTAATAGATATCTTCTGCAGCTATTCTATCTAAAGTAGCAAGGTCCCCTGCCCCCAATTTCTACCTATTCTCTATCTCCTTATTCTCTTACCCTTTCTTCATTGCCTTTGACTCTGTAACATAATTTCAGATGGCGTTATTTATTTATTTTCTTCCTCTCACCTCAATTAAGCACATTCTGGGAAGTTAGGCCATGCTACTCTCATAATTTCAAAGCCTAAAACAGACGATGGCATTTTAGTAGGTTTTCAGTCAATATCTGTCAAGTGAATGAATACATATCTCATTCTTTATCCTTTGAAGAGGGGCTCATATGTTCAACACACTTACAGGTAACCCATCATAGATAGTCCAAAACAGCAGCCTTAAACCTTGAGTCTATGAAGTGAAGTTTGAGCTTCACTCCAGTTAATTAATCCAGTCTTGGCATCATTCTAAATTTGGAGGAAGAAACTGTCTTTTATAGTCAGTCTTGGCTGGGTGTCCATTCCTTGTTCAAGCAGCTGACATCAGAGATCAGGCTTCAAGGCTAATGCTCTTAAGCCATAAATAGGGCAGATTCGCTAAGAAAAAGGAATACAATGGGCTAAGATGCTCGAATCTTAGGTATTGGGTATTTTAACCTCATCCTCCCCTCCACTGTCAATATTCTAAGACTTTCCTGACTGCTAATTTTCAGGGAGCCAGGAAATAAAATCCCTTCACAGAGTGAAAACGCAAGAGTTACATTGTCAAGAAAAAATGGCTAAGGTAACACATAGGCCAGAAATCATGGCAAGTAGATGCTAACCCAAGCCTATAATTTGCTCATAACTAAGAGTTTTAATCTTGAGATCAAAGTAAAATGCCATGATCAAAGTCAAAGGAATGCGACTGAGGAGAAGAATGTAAAGTAATCTCAAAGACCACGAAGGCAAGAAGAAAGTATGCCCCAATTAGAAATCAGATGCAGTGCAGGTTGCAGTGTGGTTGGCTATACACATGGGAATGGCCACTGGGGGAGAGGAGGGAACATTGACACTGAAAGATTTAAGACAGGCAGGAAGAAATAAGCATGTGGGCTTCTATGGCTGGAATATGTCCCTCCACCAGGCACAGTGGCTCATGCCTGTAATCCCAGCACTTTGGGAGGCCAAGGTGGGCGGATCACTTGAGATCAGGAGTCCGGGACCAGCCTGGCCAACATGGTGAAACCCCGTCTCTACTAAAAAAGTACAAAAACTAGCTAGCATGGTGGCGTGTGCCTGTCGTCCCAGCTACTCAGGAGGCTGAGGCACAAGAATTGCTTGAACCCCGGAGGCAGAGGTTGCAGTGAGCTGAGATCACGTCACTGCACTCCATCCTGGGTGACAGAGGAAAACTCCATCTAAAAAATAAAAATAAAAAGAATATGTCCCTTAAAGTCCCTGTCTTGGAAATTTAATTCCTAATGTGAAAGTTTTGAGAGGTGGGGAGGTTTTAAGAGCGGATTAGGTCATGAGGGCTCTTCCTTCATGAAGGGATTAATGTTACTTTCATAGGAGTGGGTTTAGAATCACAAGAGTGAGCTCGTTATAAAAGGAAGTTTGACTCCCTTGTGCTCCCTCAAATGCTCTCTCTCGCCCTTGTGGATACTTTCCACCATGTTATGACGCTGCAAGAAGGCTCTCCTCATCAGATGCCAGCACCATGCTGTTGCACTTCAAAACCTCAACGACCATGAGCCACATCAATTTCTGTTCATTATAAATTATCTGGCTTGTGGTATTCTGTTATAGTAGCACAAAACAGACTAAGACATGGATTGAGCATGAGGAAATAGGTAAGAAATTGAATTCTTACCTATTATTTGATAAGAAAGTCTTTCACAAGAGGGTAGACAGAGCAGTACCCCTTAGAAGCAGATCAACTAGGATTGAGCTCTGATTGCTGGAAAGAATGTCTACATACTGCAATTATAGGCCTTTCTGGTTTGAGAAGATGCGTGCTCTGTCCCGAACAAAAGGCTGAGCTCAGCAGCAGGCAGTGATTGTAGTTGGGCGCTAGGCCCAGGAGATTTCTCATGGTCCTAATAACCAGCTTCCATCATGAGCCAATCCATCATGTACACTATTTCTATGTTAATGTTGTTCAAATGACATTAACAGCATGTCACTTCTTTGTTCAGAAGCCATCAGTGACTCATTGATGCCTAGTGGATGAAGTACAAATGTCTCAATCCTGCACTTACAACTTTCCATGATTTACACTGAAGAATTCATTGTACAAGAACCAAAGAATGCAGGACTGGGCATTTGTGTCCTCCAAAAAGAGATATGCTGAATTTCTAACCCCCAAAACCTTAGAATGTGACCCTATTTGGAAATAGGGTCCTCACAAATTCAACTAAGTTAAGATGAGGTTATTAGAATGGGTTCTAATCCAATACTACTGGTGTCCTCATACAAAGGGGGAAATTTGGACACAGCACAGAGATAAGATTATATGAAGACACACAGAGAGAAGATGGCTATGTGACAGTGGAGGCAAAGAGGGGAGTGATGCATCTACCAAGCCAAGGAATACCAAGAGTTGCTTGCCTTGGCATCAGAAGCTAGAAGACTCAAGGAAGGATTCTCTCCTAGAGCTGTCAGAGAGAACATGATGCTGCTGACACTTTTGACTTCGTACTTCTAGCTTCCAGAACTATGATAGAATTCATTGTTGTTGTTTTAAGCCATCTGGTTTATAATATTTTGTTAAAGCAGCCCTAGAAAACTAACATATTGAAAAAGGGGCATACCAGGATCTTCTATTTAATGTCACATGGGAAAAGTGACCAATATCTCAGTTTGCCTGGGTTTTCTCAGGGATTTTCAGTGATAAAACTGGGAAAGTTCCAAGTACACTGCGACAAGATGGTCACCTGGTGTGGCAGCCTCCTCCCTTAGTAGGCAGAGTTCCAGGGAGGAAGTAAAGCAGCTTTCACAAAGTTCCTCTTTCGAGGGTAAAGTTAGGGAAAACTGTTAGATAGGATATGGCAGCCTTAACCAATGCACAGGGACAAGGAAAGGTCAAGAGACTCTAAATATAAATTTAACATGAAGGTCCTAGAAATTATGATTGGTGAACTAGTCCCCACAGGAGCTAAATCAGGAGAGAGATAAAGCAAAGGGTAATTTCATCTCGGGGAGATGATGAGAAATAAAAATAGTCCATATTTGGCACTCCTGGAGTAGATTCACCAAATGTTCCCCAGCACTGGTATTTTTTAAAATCTGTATTTGTTTATAGAATAGGCAGAAAGATACCTTTTTAATATGAATTTATTTCTTGTTAGGGTCACGCACTTTCAAATATTTACTAGCCACTTGTATTTCCTCTTATGTGAATGGAGTATTTGCCCATGTTTCTCCCACAGGTTTTAGTTTTGAAAAATTGGTTCACATGAGTTCTTCAATAGTCAATATATTTACAATGCATGTGCCACATATGTTGCACCTATCTATCCATGTTTATAGTATGCTTTTTAATGCGGTCTATGTTGCTTTCAAAGTATAGAAAATTTATTTAAATTGTTGATGTTTCCTTTGTGATTTTTAACCATTTTTTAAAAATTTTGCTCTTAGGCAGTCCTTACCCACAATTTAAACTTGTTTTTAATTTTTGATAAGTAATGGTAATATTTTATCCTTGGAAAGAGAGGAGCATAAGGTTAAAACAGTCATCATTCCATTTTATTTTAAAAAGTCATGTCATCTTTACTTACTATACTAAATGGCTCTTGTTCTTCCTTCCTATGGCTGGCACAGCATAAGCCAGTGCCTGGACTAGGGTGAGGGGAATAAGGTGCCAAGGGCACCAAATGGAAGGATTAAATAGTAATTAACTAATTAGTATGTTTGAAAACATAAATACAACACTAAAAATCCAAAGAGTGACAGAGGGTAACAGGGGAAGCAATGTTAGAAAAATAAGTAGGAGAGTAAGAAGAGAATGAAACAACTTTAAAAATTGGTATCAGAAATAAAACAGAGAGGAAATTTCATTGAGGTGAGGTTGTGAGGATGAGTTGAAAATTATTATTTCCTTGTTAATGAATGCAGTAGATACTGGAGAACCATATTAATTATTGCTCATTTTTATGTTATTTTGTACTTATAGAACTTACCTGTTTAAGCCCTATTTCACAGTTTTGCTATGTGATATCTTTGGCTAGAAGAAGCGAAAGAATGGTGTCTTGAAAAAGTAAAAGTCAAGATTCTTAATGGAATACAGTCCATATTCTATTCCTTCCTTATCCACTTGAAGAATTATCATTCTCAGGTCTCCGATAGACTGCAACTGCTCTCTTTCCTTCTGCACCTAGCATCCCAAATGTCAACATGGACTTGAGGGAGCTGGCTGTGAGCTTGCCTTCCACTCTCTGCACTACTGGGGTACCATAGAAAGGCAGTTGGTCTTTGTCCTGGCTCCTGACACATATTTCTTAAGTTCCTTGTAATTTCCTGCATAATAAGGGTGACAGGAGCATCTTTTGCTCAAATGAGGTGACTCTTGGTGGGTCCCTAGATAGCTTCAGGATGGGGAATAGTTGCCAGAAAGACCAAGCCTTGATTAAAAGCATGGAACTTTTAGCTCCCAACCTCCCCCTCCAGGGAGGGGAAAGGGGCTAGAGATTGAGTCAATCATCAATGGCCAACGATTTAATCAATCATGTCTACATAACGAGACCTGCATTACAAACTCAAAATGACCAGGTTCAGAGAGCGTTCCAGTTCACAACCACATCCGTGTGCCAGGAGGGTGGGGCACCTCAACTCCATGAAGAGAGATGCTGCACTCGGGATTCATCTAAACTTTGCCCTATGTACCACTTTATCTGGCTGCTCATCTTTATCCTTTATAATAAACCAGCAGAAGTAAGTTAAGTGGTTTCCTGACTTCTGTGAGCCATCCTAGCAAACTGTCAAAACTGAGGAGAGAGTTGTGGGAACCCCCAGTCTATACAGCTGGTTGGTCAGAAGTATAGGTGACCTGGGATTTGCAATTGGCGTCTGAGCCCTTTAACTTGTTGAATCTGTTGCTAATTCCAGGTAGATGGTGTCAGAGATCAACTGAATTACTGGACACCTAGCTGGTGTTCAGAGAATTGGATAATTCGTTGATGTGAAAAGAAACCTCTGATTTGGTGTCAGAAGCATTGTTAAGTAAAAACAGTTCAACTGTATAACTTCCCCTTTCTAGGGAATTCCCTTGCATCATTTCTGCCTTTGATAGCAGAGCTTAGTGGCTCTTTTGATCTCATCATTCAGAAGTACAAAGTTCACCTTTTAAAGGAGAAGTAATTACATAAAATATTGCATTTTTTAATTATATATATAACTTCTCTGAAGTAAGATTTAACATGTATAGGGCAATATTAATCGATTTAATGTGGCTCATCTTTTGTTTTAAATTAAATTCCCCTAAAAATAATTTTTATGTATAAATTCCTGATAAGTTGTGTTTTCTTTTTATGTACTCCCAACATTTATCAAAGACTACATAATTCCCACTGACA
Organism: Homo sapiens; assembly: GCF_000001405.40. NCBI lineage: Eukaryota > Metazoa > Chordata > Mammalia > Primates > Hominidae > Homo > Homo sapiens. The sequence continues at coordinate 52,652,148 of NC_000020.11, read as the reverse complement.
GATGGTGTTTTTACTTTAAGTTGCACTTTCCTAAAATGTGATTTCAACATATAGGAAAAACCAAATCATTCCATATATTTTTTTCTATACACATAACCTTGATATGTATGGAATCTGGGTACTTGGAATTTAGGTTAACAAGATGGATGTGGCCTTTTACATCAGGAAGTTTAGTATGGAGAGTGTGTTAGGGAATGACTTCCCTCTTCTGGCCTAGAAGTTCTGCCTCTCTTTACTACAGCACTTAGTTGGTGGATGGGAATGGTCCACAGGCTCTTAGAAAATTTGTTGGTGTGCAGCAAACAAGCTCACCTCTATTGGTTCCTGGCAGGAAGGAGAGATGCAGCAGCAACTCTGCAATTGTGAGCAATAATTTCCAAGAGAGATGTAAGACTGTGCTAATATTGTCAACACCTTGTTGATTAACTTTCTCTGGAAGAGCATGTATAGCAACTAATCAATAACAAGTCCAAGTCTTCTCTTCTCCTACTACTCACTCTTTGGTTGATGGAGGTTAAAAAAAAACTTATGTTTATGTAATTTTTAACAACTACCAGAACAAATCCTGAGTCAATGTTTGACAATCTAAATCCCTTTAAAGTCCTCCTAGGGATTGCAAGTTGTTTATTGATCAAATCCTCGTGTTTAGAAAATGAATTCCTCTATGAAATTGGGGGAAGAAATTCCAGTCATATGAATGAGTTGGTCTTTTCTTCCAAGGCCAATAGTGAAATAATTTATAGAGAAGAATTGTAAGTGAATTAGCAATTGAGACACTGGGACTTATCTTCAGAGGAGAAAATCTAAATATTTGTCCGATTGAAAATAGTCACACTTCTGTCTGTTAAAGAAAAAAGTAAACAAGAGACACAGTATTTAAGTCCTAAGAAGAGTGGCTAGAAAATGAGGATTTAAAATTTTATCCAAGAAAAATGAAATAAGCACATTTTTACCCATTTCTCCTTTAAACTAGTTACATCTGTTGAAATTACACATTTATAGATATTAACAATTTGGATAGTTGAGCAATTCTTTATTGCATTTTGTTCCTTAACTATTACTTTTAGGCAGGAGTGATACTAAAATAATCAGCAACCTACATAGCACTCACATGGCACTAACCAATCAGAACAGACATTCCCGTGTGCAGGCTTTTTTCTTTAATCTTTACTCTTTATTCTTCATTCTATAGCTGCTTGATCAATAAGGAGTCTTAGTGTAGGACCTTAGGTGACCAGGATGAGGTAGGGGATCTTCAGAGGAAACTAGAGAAGGAGCAACATATAAACTAGTACGGCAATACCAATCATCCTTGCTGAATATCAACTCTTAAGTCCAAAGTCAAACTCCATTATAAAAGACATCACAATACCATCCCAGTTTTGTTGTTGTTGTTGTTGTTTTGTTTGGTTTTGTTTTTGCTGGGATACTATTTGTGTTATTAGCATAATACAAATTATACATTCTTGAGTTAAAGCTGAAAGAAAAAACCTGAGGTGTAGTCCTCAGGTTAAATATCAGCGAGGAAATGCAAGGTTCTTAACAAAATAGAAAGTTTTAATGTTATGTGCTTTTCATTCTAACCTCTTCTTTTTTCATGCTCCTAAATGTTTTGGTATGTTGCATTTAGTTTGGATGGTATATTAATCAGGGTACACCAGAGGGAAAAAAAGACCAATGAGATGGGGGGAGAGAGAAATAAGATTTTTTTTTTTAATTTGCTCATGCAATTGTGGGGGCTGGCAAGTCCAAAATCTGTAGGGCAGACAGGCAGACTGGAAATTCAAGTACGAGTTGATGTTGCAGTCTAGTGTCTGAATCTGCAGGTAGGCCAGCAGGTAGAAAACTCAGGCAGGGTTTCCATGTTCCAGTCTTGAGACATAATGGTGTCTTCGTTTGGAAACCTCAGTCTTTGCTCTTCAAGCCTTCAACGAATAGAATAGGTACCACCCATATTATGAAGAAAGCAATCTGCTTTACTTAAAGGCAATTGCTTTGAATGCTAATCACATTCACAAATATCTTCACAGTAACATCTAGACCACTGTTTGACCAAATAACTGGGCATCATAGCCTTGCCAAATTGACACATAAAATTAGCCATCACAGATAAGTATTTCTGAAACTTAATAATAGGAAGGATGATGGAACTGCTAAGGTATGGCAAAATAAAAAACCCATGACTAATTCAATACCTTTAAATATGTACTTTATGCTGGGCCCAGTGCCAAGTGCCTCTCTCTTCTACACCTTACAATAGCTTGAAGGGGTAAATATTGTTATTATTCCACTTTGTACATGACCAAACAATGGTTAGGAGAGATTGCATCACTTTGCTGTATTAATTTCCTATTGTCACTATAACAAATTAGCACACATGTTGTGGCTTTAAAACAACACAAATTCATAATCTTACAGTTCTGGAGGTCAACAGTCAAAACTGGGTCACATTGGGCTAAAATCAAGGTGTCAGCAGGGCTGTGTTCCTTCTGGAGGCTCTAGGTCTAGAGGAGAGTCCATTTTCTTACTTTTTCCAGCATTTAAAAGCTTCTTATATTCTTTGGCTTGTCATCTCTTCTTCTATTTTCAAAGTCAACATGCTAGCAGTTTCTAACCTCTCTGATTCTGACCTCCTTTTTGGGATGACATTTGTTCCACTCAGATGATTCAGGATAATCTCCCACCTCAAGGTTCTTAACATAATCGTATCTGCAAAGTCCCTTTTGCCAGGTAAGGCAACATATTCACAGGTTTCAAGGATTAAGACACTAGCATCCTCAGGGAGCCATTACTCTGCCTGTCACACTTGCTTAGTCTCACACAGCTGATAGTAGTGAAGTCAGGATTCAAACCCAGTCCCATCTAACCCCGGAGTCAACGATCTTGACCATGGTGGCTTTTCACCTCCCATAAATACCATGCAAAAGTAATTTAAGTCATTAGAGTGACTATGTATTTGAGCATGAGCATGAGCAGCGATCATCAAAAGCATTTGTCATAGAGAAGCAAGCAGATTCACAAAGCACTGCTTAGTAAATTATCCACAGGCACATGAAAAAGCTTTGTTACAAAGAATGCTTAAACATCTGGAATTTTACTTCCACGACCAACTGAAAAAGCGAATTATTCAGGCTTCCAACACTAAAATGATGCTTCTCTGATCACATAGATTAGCTACAAAGCCAAATTTGGAGAAGACTGAATTTTTAAAGAGTATCTTGGAAGAAGAAAGAAAGGAGACAAACAAGGACGCTTTAATGCCAAAATTAGGGCTACTGTCCTCACACAGAACACCCCAAAATCTCAAGGATCAGTTTGCAGACTTGACCAGCTCCAAGAAGCCACATGGATAAAATAGGGTTGGGAGGATTTGGAAAATAAAGCTTGGAATCCACCAGCTTGTGACAGAAGGAAGAAGGATGTATTTACTTGGATAAAGAGAGTTCAAAACAAAACTCCGAAAAAATTACAAATAAAATCGCCCAAGGAAAATGAAAAATAATAAGACAAACAATCCCGTGTGAACACACTGCCTATTCTCCTTTAACGGTCTTTTTGCTAATTCCTCAGTTCACCATGTTGCAAGACAACATTTTAAAAATGACCATGGAAACAGCCTGTTCGAAGGGCTGGCAGCAGAGCACAGTGGGCAAGGATGCCCTGTTTACAACGCAGGTGCACACACACACACACACACACACACACAAACTTAAGTTGATTTTTCAATAACTTGATTTCTACTTCCATTTTCTCTGCCCTGGGAGATATTTGGCTGTTGATTTAGAGATGCGATCAGCTCTGAAATACTACTTTTCTCCTTATTTTTATGAGAAGGAAGATTAAACAACAAGAAAAGAAATTTCCATCTGCCTTCTATAACACTTCCCTAGGAAAAACTGATTGCCTTATAATAGGCAGCAGTGGTTCTCAATTGGTGCTATTTGTGCCCCAGTGGGCATTTGGCAATGTCTGGAGACATTTTTGGTTGTCAGAACAGGAGGTGGGGAGGCAGGTACTATTGGCTTCTAGTGGTAGAGGGTATGCTGCCAAGCATCCTACAATGCACAGGACAGCCCCTATGACAAAGAATTATTCAGCACAGAATGGCAATAATAATAAAGGTTGAGAAAGCCTGACCCATAGCCTAGTGGATAAGAACAGGGCTCTGGAAGTAGATAGCCTGTATTCAAATCCTGGCTTCACTACAGACTAGCTGAACACTTTAATGTTTCCATACCTCCACTTCCTTATCTCTAAAAGAGACAGCAAATGCACCCACTTTAGAGGGTTCTTGTGGGCATCAAATAAGTTAGTCAAGGTAAATGCTTAGAGTACAGCCTGACAAATAATATGCATATCACAAACGATGCACATATTCTTAAATATATCTTCGTAGACTACTAACTTCACAGGCTCAAAATTGCTTACCTGTTTAGCTTCCTCAACTCCCTCACTGAAGTGTGAGCATCCTAAGGACAACACTGGATCTTAATTGTTTGCTTCACCTCAGCACCAAGCACAGAGGTTAAGGAGACTTAGAAGAAATGAGATGCCAAAGATCCAATCCACTGTTGGTAGCCATTGTCATTGGCCATCGCCCACATCCACTCAGCCCTGGGCACTCTGGGCCCCATGGCTTCATGTTCTCTATGACCGAAGGCTTTCTCTGACCTGAAGTGCCAGGGAATCAATACCGCCAGTAAGCAGCCCTCAATCAGTAACAGATGGAATTGGTGGATTAATATCCCAGTTCCCCCGGCCCTCACGAGCATCACTGTGAGGTACATGTTCCCCACTGTCTCAGGCTTCCCTAGCAGGTGTAAGCTCCAATTGCCCAGAACAGTGCCTTGCTTGATAACATGCCCTTTCCTGATTGCCTTCCCATCCTTGTCTCATTTTCCCCCTCTTCCGCCACTGTTTTGTGGATTTACCTCCCATGTAAGCGACTGTACTCTGACCCTGGTCTTCGAGGTGGCACCTGGAGGAACTACAACTAACACAGCACTCTAGGAGTAGGATGGGCCAATTTCTCCAGGAAGATGATCTCCCTGACTAAATATTCCTGCACATTTGTGGGAGATAAGAAATCACAGTACTTGGACTCAGGCTCCACTCCTGTCCATTTCTCATCTCTTGGGAAGCAAGTCCCTTTCCACAAGATGGCAGGTGCTGAAATGGGAAGTAGAAGGGAAAAAAAATCCATTTTCAGAGTGATGAACTAAATAATTTGCCTCCAGGTCTGAGATGGGTATTAAATGAAACTTGAAGTAATCTTCCCAGCAGAGCTTGGGGGCACCTGTGACTTTTAAATGGAGCTACTCTGTTTCTAGGGAAATACATACTTCTAAAAATTACGCTTGAGGATAAAAGCTTCCAACAATAAATCTCCCGGAGGCGCACTCCTCTAGGGACAAATATACTGGGAAATCTTCAAAGAGGGTGCTCGGTTTATCACTTCGTGTCTCTTTCCCACTGCAGAAGGAAATCCCTCTGTTTCCACTGAGAAATCAAGTCCACTGGGACCTCTTCGAAGGATCGAGAGTTCTTCAGCTCCTCCCATCCCCACCCCTTAAAGACCACAGATCATTTCATTCTGAAAATAATCCTTTGGGGGTTGAAAGCAGACAGCATATTAACAATCGATGCTGTTCCTCTTGACCTGAAGAAAAAAAAGAAAATCAAGCATACAAATAACAAAAAGTACTCATTCCTGCTGTGAAATAAAAATATAATCTCACATCTGTTCCTTTATCTTTCACGGAAAACCGGGTGATACTATTACTAAGAATTTGTTGAGCACTTACTATGTGTCTTAGTCTGTTTTCTATTGCCTATAACAGAATACATGAAACTGAGTAATTTTAAAGAAATTTATTTTTCACAGTTATGGAGGCTGAGAAGTCCAAGGTCAGCGGAGTGCAGCTAGTGACAGTCTTCTTGCTGATGGGGACTACAGAGTCCTGAAATGGCCCAGGGCACAGCATGGGAAGGGGGCTAAATGTGTTAGCTCAGGTCTCTCTTGCTCTTCTTATAAAACCACCAATCCCACTCCTATGTTAATTAATTATCCATTAATCTATGAATGGATTAATTCATTCATAAAGTCAGAGCCCTCATGACGCAATCACCTCTTAAAGGACCTACCTCTCAGTACTGCCACATTGGAGATTAAGTTCCAAGAACAGTTTCAGAGGTGACAAACATTCAAACTATAGCATTATATATAAGGCATTTAAATTTATCTCACTTAAAAATTCCACAAGATAAATAACAGTATGTCCATTTTACAGATGGAGAGTCTGAGAGGCAAAGCTTTAAAAAATTGATGAAGTTTATGCGATTAGCTCATAAATAGCAAAGCTGGGATTTTTTTTAACCCAGGAGAGCCTGACTTTAGAATTCTACACTCAGTGATTACCTTACATGAAACTTAAGTCAATTTAACTAATAAACATCATCTGAGGAAAGCTGATTAACTATTCCACTAGATATCAGGCAAGAAAACAGGGAGCGTATAAAAACTGACAGTCGTCAGAAGGAAAAGCCCAATGAATGGGGAATAATTGCTGCTGATGGCCAGTGAAGTCTTTCATCTAAGATTCCATAATCATCGTAAACTTTATTTCTCATATGTATATGAAACATGCGTATAACTACAACGCAGTTGTTGAAGAATCTAATTTGCAGGAAAATGAAATTAAATATAGGAGTAATAGAATTAATAGAAAAATGAGACTTGGAGATGAATCTACCCTCACTAAAGAAAATGAGGAAAAGAGACCCATGTTCTACTGCACCAAGACCAACACTGTGACTGAAAAACCTCTCAGTTTCCTGCAAAGTGAATGTGCTGAATTCTCTTCAAATTCCCCACCTGCCTCACACTCAGAGCTGTGTGTCAGACTGCCCTAGCCCAATTCTGAGCTCCAACACTCACTAGCTATAGGGGCTTGAGAAGTTCCCTCATCTTTTGTGAGCCTCTGCTTCTCACTAAAATGCAGCCAGGGCTAATAACTTCATCAAAGGATTGTTGTGAAGATGAAATGAGCAATGCATGCAAAGGCATGACTCCATGACCAGCAAGTAATAAGTACTCAGTAATTATTCCTGGGTCTCCTTCTGCCCTCACCTGAATCCTGAGAGTGCCAGGCAGTGCACACAGACACCACTGGCCCCAAGCTCTATCCAGTGGCCTTTGAGCTTGGCTTCCTTTGCAGACCAGAGTAAAGAAGGGAAACGGTTAGGTGAACTAGCCTCTGCATTGAGCTCCTGGCGGGGGGACTCTCACATTGGTGATTCAACCATTTATAGGACTCCAAGTTCAGGGGAGGGCCCTCTTTCATTCCCAGCCCCCTGGGATGAGATCTTACGGGGATGAGCCTAGAAGAAAATCCAGCTGTAAGTGCATGGATTCTCATGGCGCTTTAGGATGCACTGAACAGAAAGAAAATGCTTATAACCAGGGGGCGATACATAAACAGGTGGGTGTTAGGAAGACTGATGAGTGGCCCAGAACATGAACTCTTTCTTCAGAGGTTCATAAAAATAGCCCTTATTGACTGAAATTACTTTAAAGAAATTATTCCTAGTCCTCATCATAAATGAATAAAATTGTTCCTTTATCTCCAGTTTACAGGTTGGATTGATCTCAAAGTTCAAGTATCTTACCATAAAGCCCTAGTTGGGAAGAGGCTGATTTGGAATACAGACTCAGACATCCTGATTCTGCACCCTGTAATCTTTTCTCTCTCCCTTCTGTGTCCCTCTTGAGTGATTAGTGTTTCTACAGATACCTAGAAACAGTGGGTTGTAGACAGAGAGATGAGCTGCTCAGCTCAGACCTCCCTTCAGGAAAGGCCTTACCATCTAGCTGAGGGGTGTGGGTCAGCAGACTGTACCCCCTCCCCACTCCTTGCCATCTGTTCTTGAATGCAGGGGCTGCCACAGCTGCAAAGGGCCAGCTGCACCCAGGTCATGCTTTCAGAGCAGCCCCCATAGTGATACAGCAAGGTGGGGGCATAAAGGCCCAGTCATTTCTGTCCAAGGCAGGATGCTCTGATAGGCAATACCAGCCCCAGAGCTCCCCAAAGGGTTGGCAGGGGCTTTATCAGAGTTGCATGTCAGTTCAACGTCTGCCTGTGCCCGATCTTGCTTTCTCCCCTTCTTTTTATAGGTGTTAATCCCAATAAATACCTGAAACTCCCAATTCTGCCTCCAAAGAACCCAACCTGCAGTACAAAATGAAGTACAGAGTGTGGTCTACAGAGCCACTCTGATCCTAAAATCACAATCATTCCCATTCAGAGGGCCCAGGGAACTCAGGTCTTTTAAGCCGCAGAAAGATAGGCTCAGGTAGGGAAAAACAGACGTTGTGTTTTGGAGTCAAAAGACCTCTGTTGGACCCTTAGCTCATCCACTGTCTATCTCTGTGTTAAGCAATCCAGGTGACCTCACTCAACCTTATAGGAAAATTAGAACTAATATTACTTCATGGGATCAATCGAGAAAATGCAAATAAAAATCACAGCGCATTTTATAATGCTTATCACTGTCATCCTGACATATCCCCCTCATTCCATTATAGATGAATGGGCATAGTTATTTGTGGCATGGGAGAAATGCTTCTCTCTTTCCCAAACTCAATTCCCCTCTCACTAAAGGAGAGTAAATTCCATTCTTTTCCAAAACTCTCCAAAATCAGCAGGCCCAGCAGCAAGAAAGCGAGGAACATTGTTATTCTTGAACAGCAGAGCTGTAGCATATAATTAAATCATTAAGAGGCAAATTAACTCCTCTAGCAATACTCTTCTAAGTATTTGTGGGCAAACCCATTAGCATTGTGCCAGTAAACTCTGAAATTTCTTTGCATGCAGACTGAGTAACTACAGCCTCAAAGGAAAGGGGTGGGGTGGGTAGTGCAGTGCACGGTGATTTGACCTACCATGGAGATATACGGGAGTGTTAGGGTGGGGAATAGACAGGATGCTAATGATGTGTTGTGACTATATTTCATAAACCCTTGAAAATATAGCTGCCAGATTTCTTCTACATAGAGCCAACAATAAATCTATTTGTTTCCCAGGAAAACCATTCAAGAGTTTTTGGTTTCCCATTCACTTAGTCTTCATCAACTGCCCCCAGTTTTGCTGAATTCACTCAGCTTGGATTATTTGGTTCTGGAGAGGACATAGCTAGGCAGGGTTACTGAGTCAGTAGAATGGGCATCTTCCAGTGGGACACTTTGGAGCTGTTTATTTAGCAGGGTTTTCAGAATAATGAATATAAAGTGGGCTTTGACTCTGTAGCCAAATATATATTTATGCTATTGACTCAAATTCAAGGTGACCAATCTGGTTGGCTGTCTGTGGCCTTCAATTCTTCAAGGCTTGAGTGTTTTAGTCAATATGTTGATCATTTATATGATGACCCTGCTTAAACCATTTAATAAAATGTAAACAACATGAAAGTGTATTGGAAGTCAACATAGCTCATTATTGTTGCTTATACACTCATCGAAATCCTGAGCAGGGCATCTGACCTGATTGGAGGTTTCCTCCAGAGTCATACAATAATTTCAGCTGTGAAAAAAAAATTTTATGGCATGTAAGATTAGCCCACACTAATGCAAGGTCAAAAATAATAGAATCAATAGGCAAACTCAATACTGTTAACATTTTGAGAAAATTACTACCAGAAAACAATGTCAACAACAGATTGAAATGGGTCTCCAAAGTCGTCCCATTGATTTCCTTTAACTTTGGTGACAATCTAACTCTTTCTTTTATGCAATATGGAATGTTTTAGCCTTCTTTTCCCCCAGCTCTGCTTTAAACACAGAATATTTCTGTTGTACTCTTTTTGACTGATGTCAAACATTACGTGTGTCAGAAAAACGTATATGGTTGTCCATATCTAAGACAACTGAATATGAAAATTTATTCCATCATGTGGAGCCTTTCATGGGTCTTTAATTTAGGGCTCAGTTGATAAATTCAAGAGTTATTTTAATTATAGCAAGGCATCCAAATGCAAATGTAAACAGTGTCATTAATAAATGATCAACTAAGTAAAAACCAAATAATGGAAACACACGGACTTGAACATAGTTTTATATCAACTATATTGCAAGCATTGTCATCACCCTTGATGTTTGAAGGAGAGTTTACAGTTTGGCAGATCCAGGTTCTTTAGTACTGAGAAATCAGACAGTAGCCATGCATTAGCAATGGAGTTAGCAACCCCAACCCCACCCAAGACTTTTCTGCCCTAGTCTTCCCATTTTAGTCAAAGGCTCTATCACCCCCAACTCCAACCACTGATTTATTCAAACCAAAACCTTAGGAATTATCATTTCTCTCTTTCCCTCTTTCTCATAGCCAATCCATTAGCAAGCTGTGGCAATTTTAACTCCAAATTATATTCTGAATCCATTTACTGAACTCCGTCTCTGGTTATGCACTGCAGTAGCCTCTTTCCTGGTCTTCTTCTTCCTATTTTATATTGAATAGGGCATAACGATCACTTACAAACACAAATCAAGTCCTTAAAACTCTTTCATGGTGCCATTGCCCGTAGTATAAAACCCAGACCTCCATATCATTACCTACCAGGCCCTATATAACCTGGTCCTCGTCCACCTCTCCTTCCTCATCCTTGGTCACTCCATTCCTAACTTCCTGAGCTCCAGCCCCACTGTTCTTTCATGGCTCAGAACATGCGAAACTCAATAATATTTCAAGGCCTTTGCCTGGGCTGTTTCTTCTTCCTGGCACATTTTTCTCCCAACCTTATTCATCACTGGTTTCTTCTCTTTGGGTAGGTCTCAGTTCTCCTGGAAGAACCTCTGACATGTCATCAAAGGGTGCCCTTAACCTCACCCTCATACCTCTTAGTTACTGTCATGTCATCAAAGGGTGCCCTTAACCTCACTCTCATACTTCTTAGTTACTTTTATCATCTTCATCATTTCTAATTAATATGAGATTCCTTAAAGAACTAAAAGTAGAACTACCATTTTTTTAAATTATAGTTTAAGTTTTAGGGTACATGTGCACAACGTGCAGGTTAGTTACATATGTATACATGTGCCATGTTGGTGTGCTGCACCCATTAACTCATCATTTAACATTAGGTATATCTCCTAATGCTATCCCTCCCCCCTTCCGCCACCCCACAACAGGCCCCGGTGTGTGATGTTACCCTTCCTGTGTCCATGTGTTCTCATTGTAGAACTACCATTTGATCCAGCAATCCCACTAGTGGGTATCTACCCAGGGGAAAAGAAGTCATTACACGAAAAAGATACTTGCACATGCATGTTTATAGCAGCACAATTCACAATTGCAAAAACGTGGAACCAACTCAAATGCCCATCAATCAATGAGTGGATAAAGAAACTGTGGTATATATATATATGATGGAATACTACTCAGCCATAAAAAGGAATTAATTAATGGCATTCACGGAGACCTGGATGAGATTGGAGACTGTTAATCTAAGTGAAGTAACTCAGGAATGGAAAACCAAACATCATATGTTCTCACTCATAAGTGGGAGCTAAGCTATAAGGATGCAAAGGCAAAGACAATGGACTTTGGAACTCAGGGGGAAAGGGTGGGAAGGAGGTGAGGGATAAAAGACCACAAATTGGGTGCAGCATACACTGCTCAGGAGATGGGCGCACCAAAATCTCACAAATCACCACTAAAGGACTTATTCATATAACCAAACACCACCTGTTCCCCAATAACCTATGGAAATAAAAAAATTAATAACAAATAAATAGAATCATAAAATATGGGGTCTTTTGTGACTAACTTTTTTCACTTAGCACAATGTTTTCAGGTATCACCCACGTTATAACACATATCAATACTTCATTTAAAAAAAAAGGTTAATATTTATAACTGACTCCAATGTATAAAAGAAAAAGGAGGGGGAGAGCTGAATCATATTCTCTAACATATACCCCTTTGTTCTCAAGCTTGATTCACACAGACAACCAAACTCTATTCATTTATCCATTAAGGGCATTAGTACTCATCTTGCTAAATTTTCTTTGGAGTAATTTTTCAACCTTTCAGAGTTTCTCCCTAATTTCAGGGTTCTTGTCCCCTTCCCATAATGCACCTGGGCATCAGGGAAAGGTCAGTTCCTCATGGTGCCAGGAAGGCATTTCTGGCCTGTGAGCTCCCCTTTCATGACGGCTCCTTCTGTTCATGGTCTTCCGGCATTGCCCTTCACACTTACTGCAATTACTGTTGCAGAGGGTGGCCTCCCTGCTCAATGGGCATTCCAGGCTGGTGTCCACCAAGATGCAGTTGAGACCCACCAGTCCTTTGGGCTCTGTGTTGGCCTCTAGTGTTAATGACCCTGGATCTCACCATTGCTTCCGGGCATGAAGTCCCAGTCCCCTAAACTTCCTCTACCTGAACCCAGTCTTCTTCCAGGCAAAGAGTTCACACAACATTTCCATATCCCCATGAATACAAATGGCTGCTTGTTTCCCACCATGTTGGGGTATGTGCAGTCCTGTGATGCTGCCCAGGCCAGCCTGTGTTACTATCCTTTTTCCTGCCTCAGCCTCCCGAGTAGCTGGGACTACGGGCACATGCCACCACACCCGGCTAATTTTTTGTGTTTTTAGTAGAGACAGGGTTTCACTGTGTTAGCCAGGATGGTCTCAATCTCCTGACCTCGTGATCCACCCACCTCAGCCTCCCAAAGTGCTGGGATTACAGGCGTGAGCCACCGCGCCTGGCCGAGCAGTAATTTTTAAAAGTCTAAATACTATCAGTAGGCAAGGATGTAACAGAGGAAAATTCTTATGTAACACAGGAAAATTCTGATATACTGCTGGCAGGAGTATAAATTGGTAGAACTACTTTGGAGGTCAGCTTAGCACTATCTGGTAAAGCTGATGTGTATATCCACAACCATGTAATAAACCCATGCAACAAACCTGCACATGTACCCCTGCAAATGAATCTAAAATAAAAGTTAAAGGTTATATTTTTTTAAAAAATAGAAGCTGCCAGAGTTGCCCAGATGTGAACCATGTGGGCAGAGAAATGAACACACACAGAATATATTTGGAGATGGAGTCTACAGGACTGGCTTCTAAATGGCATACAGGGAATAAGGAGGGAAAGAGGCATATCAAGGGCGAATCCAAGATATATGCAAATTGTTTCACATGAGGAACAGAACAGCTCTCCAGCTATGGAGAGCTGATATTCTTAGAATCTCAGTTAATAATACTAAACATCGTTGGTAACAAGGACTGTAGACACACAATAGAATTTAATCGCTGGTACAACAGTCTCACAATGGGAAATTACAATGCCCTGAATTTAATAGGTTTCATTTTTCAAAGTGAATATTTCGCTTTTACAATCTCTCACTGCCAGCGATGCTCTTGGATTAGAACTGATTGGAGAGTTTTCTTTTATCTAGAAACAAGACCCTTGGCTATTCATACAGACTGATTAGCTTTGTCCAATGGAAACGAAGGCCACTTGCCTTCCTCTTCCTCCTTTATGTTCCAATGTTTTTGATTACCTCAGACAGGCCTTCAATTTTTTTTTTTCCATTTTAGCACAGCAGTGACAGTATAAGGAAAAATAAAAGGTGTCAGAAGACCTGAGTTCCAGTCCACCAACCCCAGCACTTGGATGGGTCACGCATCATCTGATCCCCAGGTTCCTCAACCGAGTTAATAATTACATTCTGCACATATTTATTGAGTAGCTAGTGCTTCAGGCTCTGTTACGTATTAGGGATATGGTGATAAAATCGTCCTCGCCCCTGACCTCAAAGAGTTTACAGGATTCCCCATCCCCACCCACAAACAAAATGTTTTGTAAAATTAATGGGACAGACAAATGTACACTTATTAGAATTTCTGTAATTTATTTAGTCTTTTAAATGGCTCCACCTACCTTCTAATATGATCAATTATGATTCAAATGCCTGTTTTGCACATTCTGAAGAAATGATCACATACAGTTGTGGAGGTCTATAATCCCCCATCTGGAATTTTCAGGCCAAATATATTTCAAAATTCAAGTTTTACTTAGATTTTAGGTTAATAGGTTCAGATATATTAAATCATAATCTCAAAGGAAACTGAGGCTGATCCCCGTAATCAAGCCCAATATTTCTGCAGTGCAACCTAGCCTCAAATGTCACTATACACACACACACACACACACACACACACATACATATATATAGTCCTTATTCATCTTGCTGTGTGGGGATATCCCTTAGTTCAATTTTGGCCATCAAGTGAATCATAAAACAAATTTAAAATAGCCAACTTTGGTCTTCAGGTGGTTTTTTTTTTTGGATTTCAGAATTGCATGTAAGAAATTACAAGCCTACAGCTCATAATTTTGAAATAAGCAGGACATGGGTTGAGCCTTAAAAACCAAATTTATCAAAGATATTCATTACAATTGCATTTGCTATAATGGTATTTGACCTATAGATGACCCAGCTTTATAAATAAACTTAAAGCACCTCCAGGTCCATTAATATTTCATTGATCCATAAAATACTTTCAAGTACTTATATTTATCTGCCTCATAGAAAGACCGTATCTGATGTAGAAACCACATGCACAAAGAAAAGCAGCCTCGCTCTGGTGTCCTGGATCATAATTCACATGAACATTAGGAGTCAGCTCTAATATAATTTTTAAGGCCCCAGGAGGGACTAATGAAAGTTGGCATGACAGAATTGGACCATGCCATATGGTGGGTCAGCTTTTCCCATGCTCAAGATAGCAACATTAGAGTGATCTCTTTAAAATGCACATTGGAGCCAATGTCTTCCGCTTAAAACCCTCCAGTGGCTTCCCACAGCACCTGGAAGAAAGGCCAAATTCCTTAACTTGGTATGGCACCATATGACCTCATCTTTCTCCATCTCTCCTGATGTTCCAACCACCTGGCCTTCTAATTTACAAAGTTCCCACCCACCTCAACACCTTTGCCCAGCTATTCCTCCTGCCTAAAAAGACTTGAACTGGCCCCATTCTTATTCCTAATGGCTTCTCTCCATCACTGAGGTTTCAGCTTAAAGGTCACCCACACAAAAAGATCCCTGACCACAATTTTATCTGAGGAAGGCACCCGGCACAGCCTTCATCAGGTTTTCTGCAGGAAAGCAGAGGCAGGACAGGTGAACAGCTTAGAGCTGTCTAGTTTAAATAATTCTAGTGGGCTCTGGGACTTAAAGCTGTTCCTAGTTGTCTGGTACCTGGCCCCAGGTTGATTTAGGGTAGGGGACATATTGGGCTGGTGTGTGAGAGTAAGCTACAGGAGAGGGCTCAGAGTATGAAATATGGATCACAGAATAAATGGAAACAACTTTGGTCATTAGTTTGGCCTTGTAATTAATGGATGTCAAATAGACAAATTCAGAAGCTATGGAAACACAGACCGGTGGCACACAACACTAAACCAAATATAAGACTGTTTTAAATAAGATAGAAGTTTATTTCTTTCATGCATAAAAGAAGTCCAAAAGTAACAAATCTAAGGCCAACATGGTCGCCCAATGGTGTCATCAGGGAACATATGTCCTTGTCTTTCCACTTCCCCAACCCAGCACAAGAGTCCCTTCTCAAGATCACTTTGTGCTCATTTCCCATTGCTGTTGTAACAAATGATCACTAATTTGGTGGCTTAAAGCGACATACATTTAGTATTGTACCATTCTGAAGGTCACAATCCAAAATGAGTCTTACAGTGCTAAGAAAAAGATGTCTAGGAGGACTGTGGTCCTTCTCAGGGCTCTAGGAGAAAATCAGTTCCTCGCCTTTTCCAGCTCCTATGGGCTGCCCACATTCCTTGACTCATGGCCTGTCCCTCCATCTTCAAAGCACATCACTCCAACCTCTGCTTCCAAAGTCTTTGACCCACTTGCTTCCTTCATCTAAGAACCTTTCTGATGACAGTGGGCCCACCTGGATAATCACCCCTCGCAAGATCCTTAACTTAATCACATCTGTAATGTTCCTTTTGCCATCTAAAGTAAGGTACTCACAGGTTTTGAGAATCAGGACATGCATATCTTTGGGGGGCCATTATTCTGTCACCATGCACCGAATTCTCCAGGGTGGCAGCTAGAGCTCCAGGCATCAAATACACATTCCAGGCAGCAGAAAGAGAAAGGAGTGGAAAGTGTCACTATCTCCACCTGCTTTAAGGAGCCTTCTCTGAAGTCCTCATAGCACTGTCTCTTATGTCTCTTTAGCTAGATTTAGTCATAATGCATATGTTCCAAAGAAATGCAAGAGAAGCAAGGAAATGCAGACTTTCATGCCAAGGGGTTATGTGCCCAGCTCAAAATGAAGGCTCGCTACTAAGGAAGAGGTGGAAATAAATATATGGAAGCCCCTAGCAGTCAATACTACAATCTCCAACAGCAATATAGCTGTCATGATTGCAGAAACCTTCTCTCTCTTCTGGCTGTTCTCTCTCACAGAGCTTGGACAGCCATCTGGGACCCAGCTGGTCCAGCCATAGACTGTGGAAATGTGACATGAAGCCATTCCTGCTGGAAAATCTGAGTCCTTTGAGGGCAGGGCCTTGTCTTTCATGCTCACTTATTATTCTCAGTGCCTAAAACAGTGCCTGGTGCCCAACGGGCTTGCAGTAGCTGTTGATTGTGGAATGAGTCTAATCTCTTTCATGTCTAGTATACAGGTTCTCAACTGGAGGTAATTGTGACTCCCAGGGGACATTTGCCAATGTGTGGAGACATTTTTGGTTGTCACACTGAGATGAGAGGGTGACTGGCATCTAGTGGGTAGAAGCCAGTGGTGCTGCTAAACACCCCATAATGCCCAGAACTGCCCTCAACAACAGATGATTACCTAGCCTCAAATGTCAATACTGCCAAGACTGAGAAACTCGGCTCTATGATAGGGTGTCAAAATTCTTAGACCCCAAAATTCTAAATTTGTTTTAAAATGCCCACCATGAACTGCCTGCTAGGACTCCGGGTGGAAATAGCCCCATTGCCCTCATGACAGAGCCCCATTGCCCTCCTGTTAAAATGTAAATTCCATGGGTGAAGGGTAAAGTGCCTTATGACTCCACCTACACTTGCCCATCCTGTGTCATGCCTTGGGGAACCTCCACAGCCATTCTTGCTGGAGAAACAGCCCCCTCCCTGCAGGTCACCAAACACGTTTCCATATCCACAAGCACCTTCGCTCAAGACACTCCTTTCTCCTTTTTCACCTGTTTAATTTTTGTATATCGTCCAAGTACTAGTGCAAGAGCCATTTTCCTTTGGAAAACTTTTTCTGAAGTCTTTTTCATCTTCCCATCAGGGTGAGTCATCTTCTTGCCCAAACTCCCATAATACCTTCATCATGGCAGATCACTTCTTATTGATGTGTTAATTTCCCAGGGCTACTATGGCAAAGTACCACAGACTGGGTGGCTTAAAACCACAAAAACGGTGGGGCATGGTAGCTCACGCCTGTAATCCCAGCACTTTGGGAGACCAAGGCGGGTGCATCACCTGAGGTTGGGAGTTTGAGACCAGCCTGGCCAACATAGTGAAACCCCATCTCTACTAAAAATACAAAAATTAGCCAGGTGTGGTAGCGGGCGCCTGTAATCCCAGCTACTCGGGAGGCTGAGGCAGGAGAATCACTTGAACCCAGGAGGCAGAGGTTGCAGTGAGCCGAGATAATGCCATTGTACTCCAGCCTGGGCAACAAGAGTGAAACTCTGTCTCAAAAAAGAAAAAACCACAGGAAACATTGCCTCACAGCTCTAGAGGCTAAAAGCCCCAAATCGAGTTGTCATGCAGGTAATGCCTCCTCCGAAGGCTCTAGGGGAGGATCCTTCCTTACCCATTCTAGTAGCTCCAGGGGTTCCTTGGCTTGTGGCAACATAACTCCAGTCTCTGCCTCTACTTCACATGGTCATCTTATCCCTGGGTCTCTCTTCTTATAAGGACACCAGTCATGTGGCATTAAGGGCCTACCTTAATTAGTTACCTCATCTTCACTAATTATATCTACAACAATCCTACTTCCAAATAAATTTACATTCTAAGTTATTGGGTGTTAGGACTTCAACACATCTTTTTGAGGGACAAAATTCAACCCGTAACAACTAGTATAATGATAAATAAATGTATTGGTCTTTGAAAAGAATATGAGAAAAATTCAACCAAGTAGGTTTAAGTTAAAGAGGAGAATGTTTTGGACATGCCAAGGAGGTAAATGTAGCTTCAGGCATAGTGGGATCCAGGAGCTCAAATACCAATCAAAGGGCTTGATATCTGTCAGTCTCTAAATTCCACTTTGCACTGTGCTCAGCTTCATGTTCAGCAAGATTTCTCTATGTGGTAACTCCCAGAAATTGTGGGTTTACATTACTCTTACACTTAGAATCCCTATCAAGTGCAACTACAGCAGATAAGAACTTTTCTTCTGGTTTTTGCCAAATATATAATTGAATATTACAGCAATACTTGGGGTCAGGTAGCTAGCTGAACCTATTGCTGTGCTAACTGGCTCAGCCTGGTCCCATGTCCACACCTGGGGTTGGGAGTAGATATAGGGTCAGCCCTTTCTACAACTCAAAGCCCAAGAACAAGGAAGAATGATACCAAGGAAAATCAGAAAGAGGAGTGGATATATGGCTGGAAAATCAGCAAATACTTAGCACAGATAGTTTTTTGTCCCCTTTTTTCCCAGGAGATGCCAAGCAAGCTAATGTCAAAAGTGACATCCATCTCGACTGATTCTGTGAGAAACACCACCAGACAGAGTATTTGGCACATAGTAATCGGTCAATAAATGTTTCTCAAATTGAACTGAGATTTTCTTTTATCTGGTGTCTTTCTGGCCCTCTCTGGGCATCTCTTCCTTTCTTTTGATCTAAGTGTCATGCATTTCTCCTCAAGTGCATCCCTCTTTTCTCATAAGTGAAAGTTGTAAACTATTCTAAACATAACTTGTCTTTTATTCTTCTCTCACAAAAGTATAATCTTACCATTGGTGGACAAAGACTTACTATGTAAAGCTACATGACTGTTATGATTGTGATGACAATGTGTTTGAATGCCACCTTTCTCCCCAGGTTCCCACCAAAGTCCTCAGATGTGTGATTTATAAGAAAGAATATTATGCACAGAAAAATCCCAACCATTCATTTTCTGCCATTCTCATGTCACCCAGTGAACAGATGTTGGTCAAAGAATAAGTCAACAGCAATTGGGTTCACCAGCTATCGCCAACGGATCATAAAAGAGTTCATGATTTTAATCAAAGTTTGTCATCCATCCAGAACTGAATAAATGAATTTCCACCAAAAGGAAGTTTAAGCTTCTGAAAGTTACCTAGCCCAAGAGCAACACAGTGAACTGTGGGTTCAGAAAGAAAATAAAAATCAATCATGACAATTATTTTACTAAATTATCTTGAACTGCAGTGTATCACAAAGGCTCAGGTAAATGTTGACTGTCACACCAACAAGCAGTGCTGTTCCCATCACTGACCTTTTTCTTGTTAAAATGCATGTCAATATGCAAAATAGAAGTGTTCCATATGAGAACTGAATGCACGATCCATTTCGAGAATTTCCCGAAATAATCTGCAGGAAATGGAATTCAAGGGACAATTCGGTTTATCTAAAGACATGTACAAACAACCTTTAAAAATTGTCTTGTCTGAAGATTCGCTCCTTCAGTTTGTCAGCTCCTGTTTCAATGGATTCAGATCTGAGCTTGCTTCAAAATAAGATGCAGTGGAGTGGGATGTCCTGATGGCAAAACTTCCTGAAATATCTCATTTACACACAGGTCACTTCTCTACCAACTTCCATCATCTAGAATATAACTGAAAACCCAGTGAAAAGCAAGAGAAATGGTCCTTTGAACAGCCCATATAGATGTAGTCAAACTCAAGCACTTTGCTAATTAGAGAGCTACAGTCAGAACCTATGGACTCCAAACTCTTCTTAAAAATCTAACGATCTCGGTGTAACAGTGAAGGGCCTATCAGAAATCAGATGGCTCATTTAGACTGGGATAATTCAAGGGCAGTTCAGTAAAGGCACTATTTACAAAGGGTTTGGTGTCGGAAATTTGAAGAAGCTGTTACCATCCTGGGGTCTGAAGGAAAAGAGGAGGGCATTGTTCCCAGAATCAGGAACGAGGAAGAGCTCTGTGAAAAAAGGCTACCTGAAGAGGAATGATGACCACAGAGGAAACGACCAGCCAAGGCAACCCCAGAAAAAGTGAGTCTAGGAAACAAATATCCCAGCCTCCTCTCTTCCCTCTTATTTCTTGCCAGCTTGCCTAGCTGAAAGGCAGTGAGTTAGGGAGCCAGTTGATGAAGCCCCTAAAGTTCAGCTTTGCAGCCAGAGAGCAGGGTACGACAGGGTGGCAAATGGCCCTGCCAGGGCAAATAGAGCATGACGTATACGCTTAGTTGATCACTGTGGGTTTTTCAGCCCACAGTACATGTGGGGAAACTAGAAGCAACTGGTGCTAAATGCAGTACATGGTCATGCCCAGAAGGGAACATCTAACAACGACAAAGAAGAAATCAATTTTTCCTGCAGATACTGATATTCTAATATGTGAACAGGAATTTTTGAAAATTTCATTCAAAGCTACAGATTCTCTCCCCAAATGAATTCAAATAGAAATCATACAGAATGGGACCATTTAGGACTGGGCCCCAATTCTCCATGGTGCCAGAGGACATCCCTGTAGTACTGATACCTTAGTAATTTAATAGCAAGTAGTCCAGAAAAGCTTTTAAAAATCCATAAACTTATCTTAAGCAGGTAGAGACATTTACGAATTTTTTATAGGGCTTTTGTCCCATAGTAGTTAAGATTTATTTGCTAATTTATGAAACACACAGTAATAATTACTAACATGTTGTTGAGCTCTTACTATGTACTAGGCACTTTACACACAAAGGTCATCTCATCCTCACCCCAGCCTTATGAGCAAGCATGATTATTTCATTCCTATTTTACACATGGCAGTTAAGTAAGTTGCCCAGGGTCCCACAGCTGGTAAGACACAGCGCCAGGTTTAAACCCAGGCAGTCTGGCTCCAGAGTCTGTCCTCCTAACTAGACACACAGCCTCTCTAGCTCACATTTACAGCACCTGCTAGGTGTAAGCACAATGCAAAGGAGATGAGAAAAAAAGAAAGAGAGAGAGAGAAGGAAAGAAAGAAAGAAAGAAAGAAAGAAAGAAAGAAAGAAAGAAAGAAAGAAAGAAAGAAAGGAAGGAAGGAAGGAAGGAAGGAAGGAAGGAAGGAAGGAAGGAAGAAAGAAAGGAAGAAAGAAAGAAAGAAAGACACCCATGGCACCTCAATGAGTCTATAGTGCAGAAAAAGTATATTAATAATAAGAAAATGGTATATTATTTTTCTATTGTCATGTAACAAATTACCACCAATTCAGCAGCTTAACATAATGAGCTCTTCCCATTCATGAGCTCTCAGTTCAGTTGATCAGAAGCCCAAGCGTGGCATGACTGGATTCTCTTCTCAGGATCTAACAAGACTGAAATCAAGGTGTTGGTTAAGCAGCATTCATATCTGGAGGGTCTGGGGAAGGATCCATTTCCAAGCTCATACAAGTTATCAACAGAATTCAGTTCCTTACAGTTGTAGGACTGAAGTCCCCATTTTCTTGCTGGCTCACAACTCATAGAGGCCACCCACACTCCTTGCCATGTGACCCCCTCCATCTTCACAGCCAGCATTGGAGAATCTCCCTCATGCCAAACCCCACTCATTCTTTGACTCTCTCTACAGGAAGAGCGTGAGCTCCTGCAAGGACTCACCTGATTAGGTCAGGCCCACCCAGAATAAACCCCTTATCCTAATGTCAACTAATTATGCATCATGATTACGATGATAAAATCCCTTTTTCCATGGGCATGGTATCTTGTCATAGTCACAGGTTCCTCCCACACTTAAGGGAAGGGGATTACACAAGGGTGAGGGTCAGTGAAAGTCATCTTAGAATTCTGTCACCAACACCTGGCAATGGTGACATGAGGCATTGATGTAAGATGGTCAAAAAGCAGTGTGGAGCTGGCCAAAATGACCTTCTAATAAATTATATATATAACATATTATAGTGATATGTAATTATAATTACATATTACATATAATATGACATTTATATTACAGTATATAAATAATATTCATATAGTTTATATAATATATAAAAATTTATATTTTATATGTATATATTATATATAATATATACTTATATATTGTATTAGTCCATTCCCATGCTGCTATAAGGACATACCCAAGACTGGGTAATTTATAAAGAAAAAGAGGTTTAATGGACTCCGTCTCACGTGGTTGGGGAGGCCTCGCAATCATGGCAAAAGGCGAAGGAGGCACAAAGTCACATCTTACATGGTGGCAGGCAAGACAGCCTGTGCAGAGGAACTGCCCTTTATAAAACCATGAGATCTCATGAGGCTTATTCAATATCACTAGAACAGCATGGGAAAAACCCACCCCCATGATTCAATTACTCCCCACTGGGTCCCTCCCACTACACACGGGGATTATGGGAGCTACAATTCAAGATGAGATTTGGGTGGGGACACAGCCAAACCATATCATATGTATAGAAACTTGAGTTGCAAGTTTTCCATAGTGGTTAAAATTTATTTGTCATAACTTATATATAAGTTTTATATATATTATATATAATGTAAATATCTATTATATATATCTATATAACATATAGAGATATATATTAGAGAGACAGAAAGTCATTAATTAACCTTGCAAACCTGGAGTCAGACTATGGGAATCCTCCTTGGGCTCAGACTCTATTGTTCAAATTGTTTAATTCCTCCAAACCTTGGAGAAGCTTCCTGCTCTGATGTCCAATAAGTGACAGTATATTTCTCATAAGGTTGCTGTGAGGAGTAACAATTAAATCCACGTGGCTTCCTAGCACAGCACCTGGCAAGTAGGCGCTGGGTACTCTTAGCTATTAGAATTAATATTAGCATTGCTGTTAATATCTTTATTGCTATTCATACTTGAGTGAAATAAGCCTAGACTGAGTTCACAGCACAGCTGAGAAAATTTCCATTGCTTGTGTGGTTTAACATGGATTCTGGGAGCAATAACCCTGGTCACTGATGCATCAACTCCGGAATAAATGCCAGTGGCCGCTGGCAAGAAAGGAACAAGAGCATCCCATATTCCAGCTCCATTTACAAGATGGCTTATTGCTTTTATAGATCCTTCAGACAATGGCACAAAGGCTTCCAGAGAGAAAAGCCTGAGATACTCTAATACGTATATGGACAGGAATATTTGTAAGATTCTTCAAAGCATATGGTCTCCAACCAAAGCAGACAAGCAACTGGAAACAGAAAAAGTTCTCCTTCTCTATCTATTTAAGCTGTAACAAGCTTCTCTTTTGCATTCACTTTAATTTAAACAATGTTGTATGTCAGGCTACTTCCTGCAAGTTGCAACTCATTTCAGCTCCTTTTGCATCATCACTCAAGAGAAGGCACTCACGGAGACAACTTGTGGGGGTTGTTTCATTATTGGGGACTGTGTCCTTTCCAGAAGCATCATCCTCTTTAACTGGTGAGGAGTGTTTTCTGATTTTTTTCTAGAGCAGTGTCCTCCAAAGTGGAAAATAAGCTAAAAAAGATATTAGACCTTCTATTTATACTTACTTCAAACTAAAAATAAGAAAGAAATTAAACTGTGTTATATTTTAATAAGCAGCTTGACACTTGCCTCACTCCCTCTGCGTCGGTTACATATGGTATTGCAGAAATTCTGAGAGAAGGTGGGAATTCTACAACTCAGAGGAATTGGGGATGGGGGAGGCAATGGCATTCTTTTTTTTTTAAATTATACTTTAAGTTCTGGGATACATGTGCAGAACACGCAGGTTGTTACATAGGTATACATGTGCCATGGTGGTTTGCTGCACCCATCAACTCATCATCTACATTACGTATTTCTCCTAATGCTATACTCCCCAAGCCCCCCACCGCCCCCGCAACAGGCCCTGGTGTGTGATGTTCCCCTCCTGTGTCCATGTGTTCTCATTGTTCAGCTCCCACTTATGAGTGAGAATGTGCAGTGTTTGGTTTTCTGTTCATGTGTTAGTTTGCTGAGAATGATGGTTTCTGGCTTCATCCATGTCCTTGCAAAGGACATGAACTCATCCTTTTTTATGGCTGCATAGTATTCCATGGTGTATATGTGCCACATTTTCTTTATCCAGTCTATCATTGATGGACATTTGGTTTGGTTCCAAGTCTTTGCTGTTGTGAATAGTGCTGCAATAAACATATATATGCATGTGTCTTTATAGTAGAATGCAAATCAATAAATGTAATCCAAACAGAACCAATGACAGAAACCACATGATCATCTCAATAGATGCAGAAAAGGCCTTCAATAAAATTCAACACCCCTTCATGCTAAAAATGCTCAATAAACTAGGTATTGATAGAACATATCTCAAAATAATGAGAGTTATTTATGACAAACCCATAGCCAATATCATACTGAATGGGCAAAAGCTGGAAGCATTCCCTGTGAAAACCAGTACAAGACAAGGATGCCCTCTCTCACCACTCCAATTCAACATAGTATTGGAAGTTCTGGCCAGAGCAATCAGGCAAGAGAAAGAAATAAAGGGTATTCAAATACGAAGAGAGGAAGTCAAATTGTCTCTGCAGATGACAATGGTGTTCTTACTGCCTCTAGCCTACAGCCTATTGAGGTTTCTTGCAATTTACACATGCCTAGTAATGTGGATTCATAGACAGCATTATCACCTCTTAACTATAGCAGCCCTCACAAAAAGGACTAGTGGCTTAAAGATTCCTACAAAGTAATGTGAATTGAAGGAAATTTTAACAATGCAAGCATCTGCATGCAAGGAGAAAATGGCTCTAACTTCTTCCACCATTAACAGGAGCTTTTTATCAGTTATATTGTGATGTAAAAAAAAAATGATGATGAGCAACTCGGAGTTGTCAAAACAAACAAACAAAAAAGGAAGTTATCCAGCAGATTATGTAACATATAGATTTACATTTAAAACCATGATCTGATATTTTCTGTACTAGAATATAGGCTCCAGAACAGCAGGGATCTTGTGTTTTTTCATGCTTTTTACTCATATTCTTAGCTTGGCACATAGCAGGCATTCCATAAATATCTATTAATAAATAACTTAATCGGTAATGATGAGGTTTACATTTTTCAGAGATAGCCTCAGTCATCTCTCCCATTCCATAGGCTGGCTTACAATGTGATCTTGCTATTCCCTCATCAAGAAGTATAGTCTAGGCCTGGTGCGGTGGCTCATGCCTGTAATCCCAGCACTTTGGGAGGCTGAGGTGGGCAGATCATGAGGTCCGGAGATCGAGACCATCCTGGCCAACATGGTGAAACTCCGTCTGTATTAAAAATACAAAAATTAGCTGGGCGTGGTGGCAGGTGCCTGTAGTCCCAGGTACTTGAGAGGCTGAGGCAGGAGAATTTCTTGAACCTGGGAGTCAGAGGTTGCAGTGAGCCGAGATCGCACCACTGCACTCCAGCCTGGCGACAGAGTGAGACTCCGTCTTAAAAAAAAAAAAAAAAAAAAGTATAGTCTAATTCCCAGCCCTTGAGCCAAGGCAGGCTTATGACAGCTTTGATGGATACATTATGACAGAGGGAATGCTACGTGACTTCCAAGGCTGTCAGGAAAAGCCATACAGCTTCCCTCTCTGGTTTCTCCTGAGATGCTTATTCTGGAGGGAGCAAGAGCTGCTATTCAAGAAGTCCAGCTACACTGAGACCATCGTGGTGAAAGGGTCACATGAATGCTCTGACCAACAGCCCCAGTTAAGGTCCCAAAGCTGCCAGCCATGGCAATGGCACAACTTGGACATCCTTCAAATGACTACAGCCTCAGCTTCACCCAATATCAGACTGTACTACACGAGGACCTCCAGGTGAGAACCAGTCAGCTGAGCCCTTTCCTAATTCCTGACCCAGAAATCATGAGCAAAACAAACTTGTGAGTTTAAATCACTAAATTTGGGGATCATTTGTTACATGTTACTAGATAATTAAACAATAAACCTCCTCCCAAATACATGTTATGGCTCAATATTTTTTATTTTTTATTTATTTTATTTTATTATTATTATTATTTTGAGACAGAGTCTCACTCTGTTGTCAGGCTGGAGTGCAGTGGCGCGATCTCAGGTCACTGTAACCTCCACCTCCCAGGTTCAAGTGATTCTCCTGCCTCAGCATCCGAGTAGCTGGGATTACAGGCGCATGCCACCATGCCCAGATAATTTTTGTATTTTTAGTACAGACGGGGTTTCACCACGTTGCTAGGATGGTCTTGATCTCTTGACCTCGTGATCCACCCACCTCAGCCTCCCAAAGTGCTGGGATTACAGGTGTGAGCCATCACGCCTGGCCTACTTTTTATTTTTTTGAGATGGAGTTTTGCTCTGTCTCCCAGGCTGGAGTGCAATGGCTCGATCTTGGCTCACTGCAACCTCCTCCTCCCAGGTTCAAGCAATTCTCATGCCTCAGCTTCCAAGCAGCTGGGATTACAGGCAGCCACTACCAACCCTGGCTAATTTTTTGTATTTTCAGTAGAGACAGGGTTTCACCATGTTGACCAGGCTGTTCTCAAACTCCCGACCTCAGGTGATCCGCCTGCCTCAGCCTCCCAAAGTGCTGGGATTACAGGTGTGAGCCACAGCGCCCAGCCATGGCTTAAGATATTTTTTAATAATACTATGAAGCCATTGCAAGTCATGAAACATGTAAAACTAATAAGCATGAGGTTCATTTCTAATAGTAATTTTATTTAGTGAGAGCAATGATATTTTGGTACTATTCACAAATAGAATAATTAGATTACAAGTAATTTCAGTTTTATCTTATCAATTTGTAATAGACCTAATGTTTGTGTCCACCCAAAATCCACATATTGAAATTCTAATCTGCAAAGTAATAATAGGTTGGTGCAAAAGTAATTGCGGCTTTTGCCATTACTTTTAATGGTAATGCCAATGGCACAACTAGGACATCCTTCAGATGACTGCAGCCTCAGCTACAGCCAATTCGTTTTAATGGCAAAACCACAATTACTTTTGCACCAAACTAATATTAGGAGGTGGGGCCTTTAGTGGGTAATTGGGTCATGAGAGTGGAATCCTCATGAATCCTATTCCCTCATCAAGAATTGTAGTCTGGCCAGGCATGGTGGCTCACGCCTGCAATCCCAGCACTTTGGGAGGCTGAGGTGGGCAGATCACCTGAGGTCAGGAATTCAAGACCAGCCTGACCAACATGATGAAACTCTGTCTCTACTAAAAATACAAAAAGTAGCCAGGCGTAGTGGCAGGCATCTGTAATCCCAGCTATTTGGGAGGCTGAGGTAGGAGAAACACTTGAACCTGGGAGGCGGAGGTTGCAGTGAGCCGAGATCATGCCACTGCACTCCAGCCTGGGCAACAAGAGCAAAATTCTGTCTCAAAAAAAAAAAAGTTTAGTCTAATTCCCCAGCCCTTAGGGCAAGGCAGGCTTGTAACTGCTTTGATGGACAGATCCTATTCATGAGGATTCCACTCTCATGACCCAATTACCCACTAAAGGCCCCTTTTGTCATGTCAGGATACAATAGAAAGTCAGTAACCTGCAGCCTGGAAAAGGACCCTCATCAGAACCTAACAATGCTGGCACCCTGATTTCCGACTGCCAGCCTCCAGAACCATGAAAAATAAATGTTTGTCGTTTAAACCATCCAGTCTATGGTATTTTTGTTACAATGGCTCAAACTGAGTCACCATTTAAAATTATAACTGCTTATGTATGCTTTCTAGTGGACATAAGATATCAATACTTCAGTGCAAGTATATAATTTATAAATAAGTAAACAAATATTGGGAACGCATGTTTAAAATATTTCAAACTGAAATGTAAGATTAAATTGCTAGCTTAGTAAATGAAGAAAATAAATCAAACCTCTCCCAGCATCCTGCACAACATTTCAGGAGGTTCTTGGACTTTTGTCATAGAGACCTGGCCTCACTTTAATGAATCCCATCTTGGGTATCCAGCAGGCAATGTGCACAGTGCTTGTGTGCCGTCTATGCTGCAGTTGACAGACCTCTCGGATTCATCCCTGTTCTGCTTCTCACTCCCTCTGCACATTTAGGCAAATTACTCTAACCTTCCCCTCCACCCTTTTTCTTGAGACAAGATGGAGTACAGTGGTGTGATCACAGCTCATTGCAGGCTCAACTTCCCAAGCTCCAGTGATTCTCCCACCTCAGCCTCACAAGTAGCTGAGACTACAGGTGTGCGCCATTGCACTCAGCTAATTTATTTTATCTTATTGTTGTTATTATTATTATTATTATTATTATTATTATTATTAGAGACAGGGGTCTCACTAGGTTTCCCAGGGTGGCCCCGAATTCCTGGGCTTAAGTGATCTTCCCACCTCAGCCCCCCAAAGTGCTGGGATTAGAGGTGTGAGCCACCACACCTATCCTCTAACTTTTTTCTGAGCCTCAGTTTCCTAATCTGTAAAAGCCGACTTATAAAACTAGATAGCTCGTAGGGTTATCGTGAATATCAAAGGAAAAACTTTCAGTAAAAAAACCTATTCAGCACTGTAAGTGCGTAGCAGACTCAGCACAGGTAGTCAACACTCAATAAACATCAGCTGCATCTTCATCCTCATTATTACGAGGGGCAACCTCCGAAAGAACACATGAAAGACAGGAAAGGCATGCACAATGGGGCCATAGAACAGATGTGATGGTCCTAAGGACTCGAATGGGGAAGATGCTAACTCTTATAAAGAGAAAAAAGAATAAAAATCATGAAACTACCACAGTACCAAGTGCAAAAAAATTCTGGGATAGCAGTGATTTGGAGAAATACATTGGTGAGAATATGAAGTTCTGTAAACTTTCTGGAAAGTAATCATCTGTGTTCATTTAAATAGAAGTATACATACCCTTTGACCCAGCAATCCTACCTTTGGAAATATATACAAAAGCAATAGTGTACAAGAATATGTTAAAAAAAAATGATGTGTGTATGTGTGTTTATGTATATAGGCATACATATATACATGCATATACATGCATGCATTTGTGTCTGGTTATAACACCATAGAAAAATGACTAGAAGGATATGCACTAAGCTGTTAAAATTAGTTACTTTAAGAAAGGTGAAGATGGAGAGGAATAGAGCAAAAAAAATTTCTTATGCACTAAATTGCTACCCTTGCTATAAATCACTGGTATTTATATATATTTTTTTTTAATAAAGAAACTAGAGAACTTGAACTTTCACTGTGTTATCTTAGATAAAGCCACAATAAATCACACCCTTCCTTCTCCTGAAGAGGAGTTTCTGGTCTTTAAAAGATGAAGTTCCAAATGGTGGATCCTCGTACCTTTGACCACTGGGGATGGATGGTGTAAGTGTGGGAGAAAAGGAGATGGGAGAGAGAGGAAAATCATTCAAAAAGTCAAAATCTTGGAATTTTGCATTTCACAGTCATGTAAAATAAACCAAACAGGCAAAAAGCAATGATGAGAACTTTTCTCACATAAAATATCTCCTATTATATTCCCCAAATTACAAACATATTTGAGATTTGCCAAGTACATATATTCTAGCACATAAAAAAAGAAAATACACCATTTAGATAGACTCAGGATATTTTTTAAGTACCTACCAACTGTCAGTCACCCTCCAGTTGCTTTCAAATATCAATTTCATCTCCAGAACATTCCAGTGGTTGAGTCAGCAAGCATTCCTAGTCATTGGCACTTTAGTTTGAAATACCATCATGAGCCACTCCAGTTTCTGAGGGAGATTGTTCTGGAGTACAGGGGAATTTATCCTAAAGGAAATGTTTTATTTGGGATTCTTTTGGCAGCAGATGTCAACATCTAATTTAATCTGATTTTAGCAAAAAAAGGGACTTTATTGTCTTACTTATCATGGAATTGTTTGCAATAAGCCTACCTCCCAGGACCAGATCCAGCCATTTCAAGATTTCATCAGAATTCTTTCTCTAATTTTCATCTCTGCTTACCTCAATGCTGGCTTTATTATCTGGGTGACTCTCCCTTCACAGTAACAGAGCATCCAACATGCATTCTATGCACTTTGTAGCCCTAGTGAGAAGATGTCTTCTTGTTCCCCATAAAGTCCATTGAAGTACATTGTCACATCTGGAACCAAGGAGGAAGAGTCAAATCTATTCAAACTCTTTGGACTGGGATGAGGGAGGCATGGTTCCTCAAAAGGAAATTCGAGATGTTACTATCAGAAGGTCTGGACTTGGGGTAAGCAAAGAAACATATGTCTGTTTCAGGGAATAACAAGAAGAAGTGGTTTGGGCCATGGTGTCCTGCAGACTCCCAGGGACCCTTCTGTAGCACAAAGCCTGCCATGTGGTGAGTATGGCTATGAGTGAGAAATCAGGGAGCCCCAGAAGGTCACACGAGGGTAATGGGAACAGCTGGCCTGCTGATTCAAAGTCTAGGTTTGGAATCCCCTGATGAATCCTACACTCTTTAGAGTTTGAGAAGCTTGGGTTCTGAGCTCTGTTAAAACAAACAAACAAACAAAAAAAAGGATACCCCTGCTATACCTGCCCACAAACCTATAGACTTGAGGACATAAAGGTAGGGCTTATGAACATGGGCTCTGACAACAAACCAGGGCCGTCTCCCTCCTATCCTACCTGCCACCCCTTAGCTTGTGATGTGTGGAAGTGATTTAACTTTCCTGCGTTTCATTTTCTCATCAGGAAAATGCAGCTGATTGCCAACTACATGGACTTCTGGCCAGCATTAGTGTTTTCTTCAAGAGTTGCATAGGGGAGCAGCTAAGAGGGTGGGGAACGGAACCCCATGTTTAGGAGGAGTTTGCTCTCCTGCTTACCAGTGAGGTGAACTTGCTCTGAAATTGTTTCCTCACCTGGGAAGAAGTAAAGTTAATGATAGCACCTGCCTTCTACAATTTTCTGTAGGATTAACATCACAGGTGTTCTGCACTGTGCCGGCAGATAGCAAGCACTCAACATATGGCAGGTGCTCGGGCTCTCACTCAGATGCAGCTCAAGGCTTTGTGTCTGTCTTAGCTGAGCTGTAACTTAGAACAGTGTCTGGCACATAATTGATGTCCAACAGATATTTGTCACAGAAAATGCTGAATGCTTGTCATAAATTCAGTACCACCTCAACTCAGCCTTCTCTTCTACAACTTCTCCTACTTCCCAAATTTTCTGATTCAGATTTTATATTCAATGCATAGTTATCAAGAACCTATTTTGTTGCAGGCACTCATCTACACTCTGGGAACGGAGCTGTGAATAAGACATGCAAAGAAGTTACTCCTGGGAGTTCATATTCTCCTTGAGAGAGGGAGGGGAGTTGTATATCCAGTGGGATAAGGTCTAAGAAAGAAACAAAGGGCATTGATGACAAGAAGTTGAGGGGTGGGAAGTCAAAAATGTGTGATCTGGGAAGCTTCCGGACAAGATGGCTTTTGAGCTCACTCCCAAAAGATAAAAGGAGCCAGCCATGAAAAGGGCTAGTAGAAGAGAATTCAAGGTGGAAGTCCTGAGGTGGCATTATGGATTGAATTGTGTCCCCGAAAAGATATGTTGAAGTGATAACTGCTAGTACCTGCAAATATGGCCCTATTTGGAAATAGAGCCTTGGCAAATATAGTCGAGTTCTACTCAATTTAGGTGGGCCCTAATCCAGTGACTGATGTCTTCATAAGAAGAGGAGAAGGGATGTAGAAACACACAGGGAGGCAGAGATGGGGACAAAGCACCCACAAGCCAAGGAATGCCAGGAATTGCCAACGTCAGGAACTCAGAGAAGGAAATGGAATAGACTCCCCTAGAGCCTTCAGAGGGGATACGGCCATGCAGACACCTTGACTTCAGACTCCAAGCCTCCAGAACTATGAGAGAATACATTTCTGTTGTTTTTCACCACCTGGTTTGTGGGTCTTTGTTATGGCAACTCCAGGAAACTAATGCAAGTGGAAATAAGCTTGGCATGTTCAAGGGACAGAAAGGAAGATTGTTGACAGTGGACTGTGGGGGAGAGAGTCAAGAAATAAGGGCAGAGAGTTAGGAAGAGGCAGACTC
Organism: Homo sapiens; assembly: GCF_000001405.40. Lineage (NCBI taxonomy): Eukaryota > Metazoa > Chordata > Mammalia > Primates > Hominidae > Homo > Homo sapiens. The sequence goes on along the minus strand of NC_000020.11, from coordinate 52,619,924 downwards.
AGCAGGACCTGGTGGGCCATGGTGTAAACACCACCTGCTGCTCAGCCTGCAAGGGAAGTCAGGGGAGGAGCTGTCAGCGGGGGCAGGACATGATCTACGTTTTTCAGAATCACTTCGGCACCTATACTATGGGGGCACATAGCAAAACAGAGGGACAGTTTAGCCTGGAGATAGTCATTGCTAAGGGCATGGGGTGGCTTTTATTACCCTGGCAGTAGCATCCTTTAAATACTGGAAGAAAGGACCATTGACTGAGTTGAGTCTGGAAGCACCTTTCAACCCGGGAGTTGCTCAAGGAAGAAGGGTGGATGCTCATTTTTTGTGTGTGTGCCTCCAGATCTTTCCACCTCAAACCATAATCTGCCATCTTTCTCCCATTCTAAATTCACTAATAATGTTCCAGAAGTGAGGCACATATTTTCTGTGAAAGAGGATAGGTGCATACATCTGCACATAGGCATTTGCACATGGCTGTAAATGAATGGCTCATAGTTAAGGAAGAAGCAAGTATCAGTTCCTGCTATGTACGGTCAGCCTGTGTTTTCTCTTTCTTTCTCTAAGCATGAAAATGCTGCATTTTGTATTTTTCCCTCACTGTGATCGTTCTGTTTTTGTGACTGTGTATTAGTTACCCTGGCAACGTGGTAGACTTGAATTTGATTGGTCAGGTTGTCAGGTTCATTGTGAGAGCCAGGGGCCCATTTTTGAACGCTAGACCTGTGCATGTTTACCGCAGCTACACAGACAGGCTTGGTCAGGAAAACCTGATTGAGCAGAACTTCTGCATCTCCTCTGTCTGCCAGAGGGACCCTTCCAGCACCTGCTGTGTGAATGTCCCTTGCATTGCTTTTGAAAAGATGCAAGAGCTCATCTATATCTTTGAAATGTCTGTCAGAAAATGTGCTTAGCATTGGTATGTTCAGACCATGGTGCAGAATATATTTATTTGTAATGAGAAATTAATTTTCCAAGAAGCTTAGAGAGAATGGTCTAATTGCTGGACCATGGGATTAGAACCTGTTACACAGATTTAATTCAGACTTGCTGTGCAATCTCAAGTAAGTCACAAACTCAGCCAAATGCTTCGTTTTCTGTAAATCAATTCCATTCATAAAGAAAGAGCCTCATCTTAAGAATGAGGTTCTAAGAGCACTGAAGATTTAAACTGGGATAGTTGTAGTCTCATTCTTCCAACAATATTGAATCATTTATTTAATCAATTTATCAGATACCTTGTTTACTGATTAAAGTCTGGTTCTATTCATTTACCAATTACCTAGGAAAAAAACAAACTCCCATCTATGGCTGAAAATCTTTATTAGCCAATGAATAAATAAATCCAAAAAAGAGTAAAGTTAGATACAGACCAATGCCTAAAAAAGTTAATAACTGTGTTTTTCTTATTTGCACAAATTCCTAAGTAGCCATACCTGGCTCACTTCTTGCAATCCTTTTGTTTTTAAAGAAAGCATATCATCGATGCCTGGATCTATCACACTCTCTGTATTTGAACATGTTATATCTAACTGTGCTATATAACCAGCATAGTCTTAATATAGATGTAAAAGTCATTGGCAAGCAGTCATTTTTCACCTTGGTTAAGTGTTACAGTATGTTCAGCTCCAGTAAAGCTAACATTTAGGCTGTCCAATTCAAAGAAGAAGAAGAAAAAAAGTCTGAAGGGAAAAGAGACAAGAAGCACATTCCAAATATCCTTCCAAAAAAGGCGATTGCACAGTAATAATTAATTCCTCTGCTAAAGTTACTAGGAAAAAACGTGAACCATCTAAAACTCAGACCGCCCCCAATCCCCCCACTCAGGAAAAAAAATGCCTGGTCAATTGTGCACAGGGCGACAAGAGAATCAGAGCATAATAGGAAACTAACTCCTTCGTGGTTGAGCCGATAAACCAAATAATACTAGCTTTTGAACATCACATGCTTTCTAAAATACCTGGTGTGGTTGGACTTTGTTAGTGAAACTTGTTTGCAAGACTATCAGCAGTGCATTCAGATTAAGCGTTGTTTCTAAATCTGCTAATTTGCTTGCACATGCCACAATGAAATAGCCTTAGATTTGTGTAAGGAGTGTTAATTTGTTAAATACACCACAATTTTTAAAAATCTTTTTTTTTAGTCCGTCTTCATTGTCTAACACATCGGGAATCCCCCAAAATGGAAGTGGTAAGACTCTTGACCCTTGAGAGGCCTGCTTGCTCTCAGATTTCTGTGCAAGGAAGGTTCTTATGGAAATAACCCTCTTTTTTTTTTTTTTCTTGAGACGGAGTCTCACTCTGTCGCCCAGGCTGGAGTGCAGTGGCGTGATCTCAGCTCACTGCAAGCTCCGCCTCCTGGGTTCACGCCATTCTCCTGCCTCAGCCTCCCAAGTAGCTAGGACTACAGGCTCCTGCCACCACACCCGGCTAATTTTTTTGTATTTTTAGTAGAGATGGGGTTTCACCGTGTTAGCCACAATGGTCTCAATCTCCTGACCTCGTGATCCACCCGCCTCGGCCTTCCAAAGTGTGGGGATTACAGGCGTGAGCCCCCACGCCTGGCCCTGGAAATAACCTTCTTTTGACCAGAAGGCACTTGGTAAGAGGCTTCCTTGGTGAGTCCTGGCTTGGGGCTGCTTCTTCCTGCTGGTCTTGTGCCCTACTTGCTTGGAAGCCCCCCTCCCCGGCCTCTCCCTTCCTAGAACTCCGAGCCACAGACAAGTGCCCAGAACATTACCCTGAGATTTTCAAAGAAGACAGAGAAGAATAGGAAAATGAAAAAACGCAAATGTAAGTCTGTGGGGATGGAATTAATTAAAAGGAAAAAATAATACGAAGGCCAAGGAGGGGAGAGAGGGTGAGAAACAACAAAAACTCATTTACAGCCAACAGAGATCATCTGAGGGAAAACAAAGAATGGAACCCAAATGAAAGATTCCTGTGCAAGTCTAGGGAGAAGACTTGGGGATGTGCAGGGAGAGAAAAGGACGCAGTGATTAATAAAACAGAGGGGAAAATGAAAATGCAACACAAAGCCCTCGGGTTCTACATACAAGCCAAGGTACATATGCCAATAAAAGCAGGGAAATGGGGAACAAAGGATGTCATAGCAACCTCAAGGAGCCCTGTTGTGCTACCGACTGCAGAGCTCATGGACATCCATCAGGAAGCCTCCAATACCCAAACCAGGTACTCAAGAGGGGAGGGCTGTGGCCCCCAGCCAGGGAGATCTGAGCCCCTGCAAGACACTCTTGTCTCACTTTCTTCCTTTCTCCCTCCCAAAAAAATCCAAACCAGTTCTGCGCCAAGCCTCTCCCTTCTTTTTCCAGCAGCTGTTTTTCTGAAATGCAGGAAAACAAACCTGGACCAAGCATCCTGATGCTTTCACACCCCCCAAATTATGCTTCCCAAGTTGTTTCAACCCTGAGTAATGTGGTAGCATTCCCTTGTGCTCTCAAAAAACTCCCGGCTCCTTTAAAACAAAGACAATGATAATCACAAAAGAAAAACGCATAAATGTGTTTTGCTTGCTGTTGCAAAATCAGGCATCCCACCGTTCTAATTCATTTGGGGATGTGGACATCCAATGGGATATATAGCTCATTTGCCTGTGCCTAATTCAAAGAGAAATGCTCATTTCCTTCCACCTCTATCTTCTACTTAAATTATAGGTCTCTTCTTTATTAATAGACCATCACTTCTTTCTACTTTCTTGTGGTTTGAGTGGGGGAAATACTGTGACATTTGGAACAAAACAGGAAAGATGAATGTTTCACCATCAAGACTTGGAACGCAGTGGAAAATAAAAGAGAACTTTTACAGGAACCTAATGGAGATATTGACATGTGTGTCTGGAAATCTAAACTTAGTAAAGTGTAAGGCAAGAACAGGCTTTCTCACTTTATTTCTGTATCTGGAAAGTTTCAGCGGCTGGTACCATATGAATATTTATTAATTCATTGTGAATCAGAACCTGCGATTATTACTCAAACTATCTTTTTACCTTGCAAGCTTCAACTCAGAAGAATAAAAACACATCTGCTTTTGCTCTTCCCATATTTTATTCAATGTTTTAACAGCTTTGCTGTAAATATCTCATCCATTACGATTTAGTTGTGACTATATCTGCTTCACGTCTCCTGTTTTATTACTGTCATCACAATGAAACAACACACTGTTAATTCTGTTAACTAACAAGTTCATTGTTCGAGCTAGTAAGCTATCTCTCGTTTGTTGGGTCCACATGTTAAAAGAGAATTGGTTATAAATCAAAGAAGGGCCTGAGTGGGGCGTGTTCCCTTTGTTCAGATGAGTGGTCTTTATTTGAGATTGTCATTTAATATGCTGTCATGGAAGAAATGACTAAATCTGAAGATAGGGCCAAATCCAATTGTATTAGATGAAGAGGCTGCACAACCCTCCAAGAATTCAGCTCTAAAATATGCAAGTGGACATAGAGCTTCAGATTCTCTGCATGAAACCTGTACTTCCTTTATAGCTCCCATTCAATTTAGACCTTGTAAACCTATCTTCTAGATCTTTCCAGAGGAAACTTGCTAATATTTTTCACTCTCAGTGTGAAAACTGAGTCAGTCAGTGTGGTCTGATGGTTAAGAATGTGGGCTTTCAAATTCAGCATCCTGGTTTGCTTTCCACTCTGCCATTTCGGAGTTGTATGGACTTGAATGATTTAGTTAGCATCCTGATCTGTAAAATGGGACAGCAACAATACCTGCCATGTTAGGTAGTTGTGACAATTAAATGAGAAAATGTCTATAAACTTCTGTATCAGTCAGGACGCAGTATAGGAAATCAGAATCATTCCAGATATTTCAACCATATAATCGGTTATTCAGGTGTTAGGTGTGTACCAGTTACCTATTACCATGATAATGTTGAAAAACACTTGCCTGAACACCACGCACACACATACAGTGGCTAAAAACAACGAGCATGTATTTAAATCACAGATCTGCAGGTCAGAGATTTGGGCTGGGCTGGGCTAGGTAGTTCTTCTTGTGATGCTAGGTTCACTCTATGCCTCACTGGCTGTTGGCTGCTACACCTGAGCCAGATGTGTAATTCTCCATCAGGATAGCCTGGTTTTGTTTTGTTTTGTTTTTTTGACAGAGACAGAGGAGCAAAAGGACCTCTCCTTGTGTGATGCTGGCTAACATCCCACTGGCCAAAACAGGTTACATGTTAGGTGCAAAGGTTGGTATAGATAGAATGCCCACTTTTATGAAATAAACACGAAAAAAGAATGAGTTCTGAGGGCATTTGAAATGGGTACCATAGATCTTGGTCTATATTGGAAAGGGAAGAGAAGGGGAGGGGAGGGGAGGGGAGGGAAGGGGAGGGGAGGGAAGGGGAGGGGAGGGGAGGGGAGGGAAGGGAAGGGAAGGGAAGGGAAGAAAGGAAGAAACCTCATTTTAAGAAGGTCATTTGAGTCTACTAATTTCAAAACACAAATGAGCCGAATTTATTAGGAACAAATTCTGGTTCATTAGAACTAGTTTTTCTACGATACATTCCTTAAGGAAAACATACCTCAGTTGTGATTCTAAATCTGTCTCCTGAGAAATCTTGGATGCCTGCTGATCATTTTGAATTCCTTGCCACCCTCAACTTTCTGGCTGCATGTAAGAAATCATTTTAAATGAATTGAATAAAATTCACAAGTGTTATATGCCAGCAAATGATGAACTCACAGGAAATATGACTCAAATCCACTTTTTTCATTTTGTTTTTTTTTTCTCATAATAAATAGAAATGAACAAATGTGGCTTTAATGACATCTTGGAGTGAGAGCTTTTATTGATATATTATCAGTTGGAAATGTGTAACACTTTGGTAAATAAACTCCATTCTGCATATTTATAACCAGATTGAAAAAGGTGTATTTGTTATTTTGTGTGACATTTTCTAATGACAGTGAAGTTTTATATATGAAGATATACACATACCATCATAAAAATGAACAATATTTCAGCTTACAAAATGTTTCTTTGATTGAAGATGTTTTTGTACTTACTTAGTTTCCAATTACTTTTTTAACTTGTGCTCACACACTTAAAAATACCTTCTCCCCCTTCCTGTAAAGCTGTAAACAGATGCTCCAAATTGTGTCAGTTGAGACAAAATTTGGAACATCTGTTTTAGGGTGACAAGTCCTTCTTTGGACAGCTGAAGTTTTGATCATCAGCTAATTACAGTTTGTATCAGGTCAAAGTCTGGGTTACAAAAAAAAATGGAAACTGGCTTAAGAAAAAAAGGGAATCCAGTGATTCACATCCACTGGCTTCAGACACAGTGTGATGAAGGTATTTAAATGATGCCCTAGAACCTGGTATCTCCCTCTCTCTCAGCTATGCTTTCTGATTTGTGTTAGCTTTCTTTTAAGACAGGTTACCTCCACAAAGTCGCAAGATGACAACAGCTATAGAACAACTTCTTTGCTTCATAGATGGCAGAAAATAGTCTCTCTCTCTCTCTCTCTCTCCACGCCCGCCACCTCCTCTCTTGCTTTCTTTTTTCCTTCCCTCCCCTCTCCTTCTACCAGTTGAAAAGTCGAGGATCAGCCTACTTACCATTGGCTCAATTGCTCACATGCACATACCTGGACAAACTTTTGTAACTAGGAGTGTATCAGTTATCTATTGCTATGTAACAAATTACACTCCCCTCCTTCTTCTGCCAAACTTAGCAGCTTAAAATAACATGCACTTATTACCTCACAGTTTCTATGGGCCAGAGATCCAAATATGGCTTCACTAGGTCCTCCAGCTCAGAGTCTTTTGTAAGCTCCAATTGTGGTGTCAACCAGGACTCCAGTCATTTCAAGGTTCACCAGGATCCTCTCCCAAACCCACTCAGTGGTTACTGGCAGGATTCAATTCACTGTGGGCTGTTGGACTGAGAGCCTCAGGTCCTCAATGGCTGTTCGGCAGAGACCATGCTCAGCTTTTTGCCATGTGGCCTCTCTGTAGGGCAGTTCACAACAAGGCAGCTGGCTTCATGAGAGCAAGCAAACAAGAGAGATGAAAGTCACAGTCTCTAATAACCTAATCCTGGAAGGGATATCCCATCATTTCTGCCATATTTTAGTCATTATTAGTGTATTATTCCATTTTCATGCTGCTGATAAAGACATACCTGAGACCAAGCAATTTACAAAAGAAAGAGGTTTAATTGGACTTACAGTTCCATGTGGCTGGGGAAGCCTCAAAATCAAGGCAGAAGGCAAGGAAGAGCAATCCACGTCTTCCATGGATGGCAGCAGGCAAAGAGAGAGAGCTTGGGCAGGGGAATTTCTCTTTTAAAAATCATCAGATCTCATGAGACTTATTCACTATCATGAGAATAACATGGGAAAGACTTGCCCCATGATTCAATTACCTCCCACCAGGTCCCTCCCACAATATGTGGGAATTCAAGATGAGAATTGGGTGGGGACACAGCAAAACCATATCAATTAGCAAGTGATAAGTCCATCCACACTCAAAAAGCAGGGATTACACAACAGCATGAATACCAGGAGGTGGGGACCCCATGGGAGCTATTTCCAAAGCTGCTTACTACCATGGATAATGACATATGCTGGTTGGTTTAACCGAATCTCAGCCCACCACTAGAGCTGGGGGATAATCAACCACAACATTTTCTAAACTATGAGTGAAGGTGACCATCACAAATGGGAATTTGCATATGGTTAGAAAGTTTGCATGTGGTTTGAATATGGTTAAGCGGACGACATTTATGAGCATTACTCACAACAGACCAATGATATTTTATCATCATAAGTGTTGAGAATAATACATTAAGTCGCGTTCCTGATTTTGACACTGTTTCATGCATCACAAAGACAACATATTCAGAGACAGTAAGTTAAAACTACAGAAATGATGGTTGCATGATAAAACTGACCTTAACATACTTGAATGTAGATTTAAACAGAACAGACTCATGTCCCACTGACTCCATATTTTCTTCCGAGTGTCTGATGTTGAGATTTCTGAACATTTCAGACCTAAAACACTATTTTTCAGAACTTGAAAATAATAAGTGTTTATTTTCATTTGTGGGGAGGAGAAAGGAAAAAGAGTATTTCAAGCAACTGACTGCAGTCATTTTTCTATTCTAGGGGTAGTTGCCTAATCCATATCCATGTGGATAGCTCTTTACTTAGGAAACCTTGATGGCTTATTTGGATGACAAAGGTGAGTTCAGAGACTGATGTTGCAAAGATAGTTTAATGGGTCTGTATAAGAAAGAAGGAGATGGGCACCATGGCTCATTTCTGTAATCTCAGCATTTTGGGAGGCTGAGACAGGAGGGCTGCTTGAGCCCAGGAATTCAAGAGCAGCCTGGGCAACATAGGGGGACCCCCACCTCTACAAAAAAAAAAAGAAAAATTAGCCAGGTGTAGTGTTGTGCACCTGTAGTCCCAGCTACCCAGGAAGCTGAGTCAGGTGGAGCCCTTGAGCCTGGGAGGTTGAGGCTGCAATGAGCAGCGATCCCACCACTGCACTGCAGCCTGGGAGACAGAGTGAGACACTGTCTCAAAAAAGAAAGAAAAGAGAAGAGAAGCAAAGAAAAAAGTAAGAGGGAAAGAAAAAGAAGAGAGAAAGAAGGAAAGAGAGAGAAGGGAAGAGAAATAGAGGAATAAAGGGAGGGAGGGAGGGAAGAAGGAAAGAAGGAAGGAAGGAAGGAAAGAAGGAAGGAGGGAGGTAGGAAAGGAAAGAAGGAGGACGAGGAAGGAAGGAAGGAAGGGAGGAAGGAAGGAAAGAAGGAGGGAAAGGAAGGAAGGAAGGGAGGAAGGAAGGAAAGAAGGAGGGCAAGGAAGGAAGGAAGATGGAAGGAAGGAAAGAAGGAAGGGAGGGAGGGAAGGAGGGAAGGATGGAGGAGGATGAGGAAGGAAGGAAGGGAGGAAGGAAGGAAAGAAGGAAGGAGAGGAAGGAAGGATGGAAGGAAGAAAGATGGAAGGAAGGAAGGAAGACAAGGAAGGAAGGAGAGGAAGGAAGGAAAGAGAGGAAGGAAGGGTGGAAGGAAGAAGGAAGGAAGGAGAGGAAGGAAGGGTGGAAGGAAGAAGGAAGGAAGGAGAGGAAGGAAAGATGGAAGAAAGAAAGATGGAAGGAAGGGAGGGAGGAAGGAAGGAAGGAAGATGAGGAAGGAAGGAAGGAAAAGAAGGAAGTTTTCAGATTCTCAACATGGAGGGAGAAAAAGAACCCTTAGATTGAATGAGGGCCCAGAGAATACTATTACAGTTGAGCTTTAAAAGAAAAGGTAATCCCAGAATGCTGAATTTAGGGACCCCTGACATTGGAATTAAATGGCAGTGACCAATTCTGTCTATTACCTGTTTAATAACCATTCTCTTTTATCTCATATATAATAAACATGACTTTATTTTCAGAGTATAAAAACATTCAATGAAATATTTCCTTTCAAAGGTTCCCTTTTGGCGATACATAGCCATGCGAGACAACATAGCCATGAAACAAACCAAGTCCACCAGTGGCTTCCTAGGAACACATTTGCTTTCCTGATAAAAGAGGACAGATGCAGTTGCAGAAGTACCTGTGCCTCTTTTTCTTTTTCTTCTTCTTTTTCTTTTTTAATCTCTTAAATGCAGATATAAGAACTGGTACTGAAGCAGCCATCTTGTGACCATAAGGAAGAAGCCAAGAACATCAGAACCAGTGGCCTAGCCATTGCACAGTCATCTAAACACACCTCTGGACTTGTTATTATGTAAAAAAAAATAAACACCTGCTCTTGTTATTTGCAATTCAACATAATCGTAACTTACATAATATTTATCAAATTGATACAAATAAGAAATAAATTACTTGGGAATAAAATTTCCAGTAGTTTGTCAAGCATCTCCAATCTTCTGATTTCTTTATTTCCCATTGCATTTTTCCCCAATAAATATTCATCTTCAATACTCAAGAGTCTTCGTTATGTCAGAGGGAAGTTGCTCTGAAGCTAAAATCACAATAGAAAAATATATCCAGAGGTATAGGCCTGTATCCCCCAGCAGTTTCTTTCTTTGGTTATGTCATCTATTGTCAGGGCATATCAACAAAACACAACGAATGGTCGGATGTGGCTGTCCTTGGTCATGATCTCTTTCATTCTTGAATACCTACTCATCACTTACAGTTCTGCCTCAGTTTACTGTGCAGAAGCCACCTGTCATGTAACATCCAAATCTGGTCATTTAGGACTTAACTTCCCTCCATCTCTTCATACTGAGATGTAGTGATGGGAGATTTCCATTTCTTCTTTCAAATGTTGTTTATACACACATTTCAGGCATAAACTTTGTGGGAAACAAAAATGAATGAGGAATCAAGTTGCTCTCAACAGCGTCTTGTAGACATAAACTTTCATGAAAAAAAAAAAAAAAAGAAAACCTCAAAGGTCTTGTAGAAGAGGTAAGTCATCCACCCAACCACCTAAAATATAAAATGAAAAAGTAGCAACGGCCATACCGGAGGCAGAAATTAAGGCGATGGGCATTTATAAGGGAAAAAGTAGTATTTCTGCAGTATGAGAGAGAAGATCACATTTTAAATGGACCTTTAGAGAGGGGAACAATTAAATGGGTGAAGTCAGGGTGGGAGGAGCTAATGAATGGCTAATGAATGGAGAGAGCATTGCAGAGGCTGTAGGGGGCCAGCAAAGGTGGTGGAGCAGAGCAATGGTCATCTGCATGTAAGCTTCCAGAGTAATTTTAGAAAGAAAACTTTTTAAAATTTATAGTTGCTACTGTCCAGTGTGAAGATCAAACAAGATGCAAAACCACGAAACACCACACCTTTTGTAGATACTAAACTTCTCACTATGCAATGGTTCAGGGAAGAACCCACCTTTTGAAAAGGTGGAATAGAATAGCTTGAACCGAAGCACTTTTTAATGCTCCACGAACTCAGCACAGTTCATTATTACGGAAGTATTTCCCACACATCCATATACCAGTTTGTTGAGACATCTTAAATTCCTTTGAAAAAAAATGTGGACTATAAATCAAAATATAACACAGCAAATAAACTATGGTTCTTTTGTCTTTAAAAACCATTTGCTAATCACATTTAGTGAAAATCAAACTCTACTGCTCACAGAGGATGTGATTGCTGTCTCTCTAAAGGGGTGGTAGCTACACAGGTCCAGCTTCTTGCTGACATATGGAAACACCTGGTGTCAACAGATCTCCTGGTTTTTTTTCAAGGAAAATAGGAAATTCAGATTTGTATGTAAACTGTGCTAACTATGGGCTCCATTAATATATATATGTATATATAAACAAATATGCTGGCCAGGCCAAATTTGTCTGCAGGCTAGATTTATTCGATACATTGGCTGAGACTTTGGACCTAATGGCTGTACTTCTGAAATTGACCCTATGAAAAGAATGCAAAATAGCAAAGGAAAAACCGTAAACAAGTGAAAACCTGTAACAACTCAGTTTAATTCACTTAAAAAGTTAAATAAGCTATTATGTATCCACTCAATGGATTATTACGCAGATGAATTAATAAAACCTATATATTAACATCAAAAAATATATAAAAGAAAATAGCAAAACTATGAAGATAGTAAAAAGATCAGTGGTTACCAGTGGTTACTCAGTGAGACAGAGATTAATAAATTCAAAGACACAGAGGATTATTAGGGCAGTATGATTCTATGTGACATGATAATGGTGGATACACGTTATGATACATTTGTTAGAAGCCCATAGAATGTACGTCACTAAGAGTAAACCCTAAAGTAAACTATGGACTTTGGGTGATGATGTGCCAATGTAGGTTCATTGACTGTAACAAATGTATCACTCTGGTGCATGATGTTGCTGGTAGGGGAGTCTGTGCTTATGTGGGGATATGAGGTATAATGGGAGCTCTCTGTACTTACCACTCAATTTTGCTGTGAACTTAAAACTCCTCTAAAAAGTAAAGTCTGTTTTTAAAAAGGGAACAAAATTCTTTAAGCAGCATGATCACAAGTATGTAAAACCAACAGATGTAAAATTATACCAATCAAAATGACTATTGGAAAGATATACATTTTTATACTCACAAGTGCTTTTGGGATGGGGTTATATGTAATTTTTTTCTCTTGCTCTATTTTCCAAGTGTTCTTCAATGAGAAAATTATATCACTGTCCTCACTTTGCAGAGTAGTGTGGGACCATAAAAACGACTGTGCAGGCTACAACTGTGCAAAAACATCTGATTATTAATAATCAGTGGTAAAAATTGCAGTTGTTCTGTGACCTTTAAAAATGGTTGTCAAAACATTAAAAAGTCACTTATTCTCACTTATAAGTAGGGAAATATAAAAATAGTAAAACTAATACTTTAGTACACTACAATTTTAAAAATTAGAAACATTGAAAATTGAAGTTTTTTTCTTTATTAAAAACTTATCAAGAGTTGTTCGAACATTGTAGAACTTATGAGACAAAGCAAGCATCTTCTCCACACCTTCGTGAATCGTTATACTTAATTCTAACTTTAAATCAGTTTCCAAACCTTGAGTGTAAATCTTTCAATGTTGTCAGTTATCTCTGAGAATCCCTTTAATGTGCAGTTTTTGCCAGCATCCTTTCCTCTGGGACATCTTCATCCTTTTCGTCACAACCACTTTCCTTACTTATTTTGATAAGCTCGCTTCCTTGAAGTTCCTCCAGCTGCATGGTAGAGCCTCCAACCACAGCAGCATCAATATTCCTACGATCAGCTATTTCTTCAATAACTCCATTTAGGTTCAATGCAAGTTTCACTTCCAGCACTACCACTTTTTGTTTCTTTAATGCACTTTTATCTTTGTTGCTAATCCTATCTTAGGATTACTAACTTTTTTTAAATTTTTTTGTTTTTTGTTTTTTTGTTTTGTTTTGTTTTGTTTTTGAGACAGAGTCTTACTCTGTTGCCAGGCTGGAGTGCAGTGGCTCAATCTCCGCTCACTGCAACCTCCACCTCCCGAGTTCAAGCAATTCTCCTGCCTCAGCCTCCTGAGTAGCTGGGACTACAGGCATGTGCCACCACCATGCCCAGCTAATTTTTGTATTTTTAGTAGAGACGGGGTTTCACCATGTTGGCCAGGATGGTCTCAATCTCTTGACCTTGTGATCCGCCCACCTCAGCCTCCCAAAGTGCTGGGATTACAGGCATAAGCCATGCGCCCGACCAGTATTACTCACTTTTATAAAATGTCACATGGTTTAATCACTGGGAGACAAGGAGACGACACAACTTCATGCTTTGCTGTCTGTGTATGAACTGAGTACAGATGCGTACTGACCAGTCATTGCCTTCGAAGAAGTGACATGATCAGTCACAGATCATGATGTGCATGTGTTATTTACTTAGTGATTTATGAACTGAAGAGCTAGCAGGGAAATTTGTGCTTCATGCAATTACAGGTAATATATCAAGGTAACTAAAAATTGACCCACATTGTTGGGGAACTGGAGTTATTTAATTAAAACACAGTAACTGAAATTTGTGCCTACTGGAAGCAAGGACCTCTGGTATTTCAATATTGGAAAAATATTGGAAAAATAAACTTCATCATAAAATTTCCTCGTTTCTTTTATTGGTCATGGGCAGTCTCAAAGACTAAAGATACACTTCTGAAGAAGACATGCTGCTGGCTGAGTTCAGTTGATGTATGGCCCTGGAGACCTCATGGAACATTTCATAATGCTGTTTTGTTCTGACTCCCTGTGAATAGGTACATCTGGAGACATATATATTTATGGAAAATGCTAAATATTCTTTCTTCCCTACCTTATGTCTAAGTAGGTCATGTTAGCAATATTTTGAGTAGTCATTACATTGTAGCCCATGTATTTCCAAGAACATATTGAATGTAGCTGTAGGACGCCCATGGGTGGTGACAGTGAATGCCTCCTACTTCAAAGTCCCTTAAATATGATTGTTCTCTGGGAAACCACAGCATCATGTATAAAAGCAGAAAAATGCAAAGTCAACTTAGAAATAAAAAGTTAAAAGTCATCTGATGTCCTTGGTAGATGCAAAATGGATAAAATTTAATAATTTTAAATGATTTTTTACAATAATGGGGAATTAGCAACATAGCACTGGAAAGAAGAAATTTTAGTAGGAAAAGCCCCAATAACAAACATCATTTTAAGTGGTGATCTTAGTGTGTTCAGGCTGCTACAACGAACTATCATAGATTGGGTGACTGATAAACTACAAATGTTTATTTCTCACAGTTCTGGAGGCTGGGAAGTCCCAGATCAAGGTTCAGACAGATTTGGTGCCTGGTGAGGACTTGCATCTCTTTTGGAGATGATCATCTTCTCACATGTCCTCACATGGTGAAACGGGAAAGGAAGCTCTGGATTTTTTTTTTCTTTTTAGATGGAGTCTCCTCTGTTACCCCAAGCTGAAGTGCAGTGGTGCAACTTCAGCTCACTGCAGCCTCCACCTCCCGGGTTCAAGCAATTCTCCCACCTCAGCCTCTCTAGTAGCTGCGACCACAGGCACACACCACCACAAGTGGCTAATTTTTTTTTTTTTTTTTGGTAGAAATGGGGCTTCACCCTGTTAGCCAGGCTGGTCTCAAACTGCTGGGCTCAAGTGATCTGCCCACCTCAGCCTCCCAAAGTACTGGGATTACAGGCATGAGCCACCATGCCCAGCCTGGATCTCTTTTTTAAAGGCACTGTTCTCATTCAGGAAAGCTCTGCTCTCATGACCTAATCACCTACCAAGTCTCCACCTCCTAATACCATCACCTTGGGGGTTAGGATTTCAACATAGGAACTTTGGAGAGACATAAATATTCAGTTTGTAGCAATTGTGAAAATTTAGAAGATTTGCTGTCAAAGCTAACAATAAAACAAGCATGCACATCACTGTTACTTTACAACACTGTTCTGAAGGTCCCAGCCAATACATCAAAAAAAGAAAAGCTAATTAGAGGGCTAAGGATTTGAAAGGAAATAGATATATCATCATTTGCAGCTGAAAAGATTATCAATAAGGAAAATAGAGTCAACAAATGACTGCAACCAAAGGGAATGTTTACCAAAGTTGATACACATAAGATGGGTGTTAAAAAAATGTCCTAGATGCTAGATGTAATCAATTACGATATGTAAAGAAGCATCAATGTGATTCCTAAACCATCAAAGCTGGAGGTAACCAGATTGAAGGTATTAACACAGATAAGCAAATACGTAAATTTGTAGGGGACTAGGTGAGCCACGAATTCAGGGACAGTGAGAATCACAGAGGAAAATATCAGCAACACCCAGGCAAAGAGTCCTGTGACATGGATAGGTCAATACTGTGAAACCGTTAGTACCTGAAGCCATTATATTTCCTAATCTTATATAAATAGATCACCTAAGGTCACCCCATTTCTTAAGATTTTTATTAAATTTGCTTTGTGCCCTTTAACAGTCCTTGGAAATTCAAGGTTGCCAAATGATTTATCAAGTTTAATCAAGGATGGTCCATAGTCTGGTCAGAATTTTTGAGCCCACCTTTGCAGAAAGGCAGCCTAATCCAGGGCACAAAACTTCTCCTTTCCTGAAAGTCAAGAGCAAGCTGTTCATGGATTCCCAGTGTATTTCTGGTTGCAAATCTTTCTGAGATAATTTGACTGTTTGAACCACATCCCCCTTCCCAGAAAAAAAAAAAAATGCACATTGATGGAAATACTGCATTTATTTCCAGGGGGCTCAAAGACCTCCGGAATCCTATCCAAGAGACCTCAGTTAGAGGATCCTCGCTCTGCAGTATATGGCACATCTGTTTCTAGATGTATCAGTGCTCATCACAGCAGTTCAAAATAAAGAAGCCCTTCCCATTTGGCTGCCTGGGATTGGATCTCAGCTTAGTCCTTAATCAGCTGTGTGACCTTAGTTACATAATTTAACTTATTTGGGCCACAGTTTTATCATTTGCAAGGGGGATCATAATAGTTCCTACCTTATAGGGTAATCATGAGGATCAAATAAGGCAAAGAAGGGAAAACTGTTGGCACGGTGCCTGCTACATGACAAATGCCAAATACATTTGAGTTATTATTGTTTTATTATTAACTATCCTTATGCTTGCATTGTGTCTTAGTTCTATTTTAGCTTTTTAAGATAAATACACTTTCTAATCTATACCAGAGTTTTTCAACCTTAGCATTATTGGCATTTGAATATTCCTTTGTTGTGGGGCTGTACTGGGCTTTGGAGTATTGTTCCGCAGCATCCCTGGTCTCTCCCCACCAGAAGACAGAAGGACCCCCACCAGTTGTGACAACTATAAATGTCTCTTAGTGGGCAAAATCACCCCTCCCTGACTGAGAATCAGTGTTCTACACTGATCATATGGATGTTTTGGGAGATTTTTATGGCAGAGAGAAAAGTAATCATAATATTTAAAATATTAGCATTGCCGATGAAAGCTCCTTGAGGCCAAGAATGTTTACTCAACACGGAGAATGAAGGGCTCAGAGTGAGGAAGAGAAAGTGATCAGGAGTGCAGATGGAGAATCGCAAGGCTCAGGACACATATAAAGGTGATAGATGTGCAACACAGGGGTTGTGAAGGATACAGAGGGAAAAAGACATTTTGGCAGTGGAAGAAATAAATGGGAAACTCAGCGCGGGGAAATGACTTAGCCTACAGAATACATCACATGAGTAACACCTGGGAAGGGTCAACAGAGGTTGAATACGAAAAACAGGGAGAGGAAATGAGGGGAATGGTTCTGTGATTCCATGTGAGGTCAACACCGCTGATTCGGGGTAAGACTGCCGAAGAGAACGATTTGATGCGGAATTAAAGGGTAGAGCCAGGGGATAAGAAAGAGAGGCTTAGAAACCTTGGATTCAGATCAAGGCTGAGGTTAGGCTGAAACCAGAGTATCAACCTTTTAAGAGACTCACACAGTATACTCATTCCTGCAACAAATAAAATTGATACCCGATGTGTATTTAGTCGATATACTACAGTAAATTTGTTTTACATTCTGAGTAAATAGGCTTGTTGGGGCAGGCTTATAAAACACACACACACACACACACACACACACACACACACACACACACACACAGAGACAGAGACAGACAGAGAGAGAGAGAGAGAGAGAGAGAGAGAGAGAGAGAGAGAGAGAGAGAGACTCAGAGAAGTTAAAAAAGGCAGCCCTGGTCATAAAGTGCATGGTATGCAGATGAGACACATGACCTTCCCCTGAGCACTTTTGAACACTTCCCATATGTCTGGTTAAATTACTCACCGGTCTTATCTCACTTCATCTCACAAAATCTTCTGGGGTAGTAACGGTAACGATCCCCATTTTACAGATGAGAAAACCAAGGGTTTGAGAGGTTACATGCTTGCCCCAAGGCTGCACAGCTACAGAGTGAGGACTTAAAACCCAGTGGTCAGTCTTGAAGACTTGCTCTCTTGGATCCTCTGCTGCCTTCTCTCGAGGCTTCCCCTGCCTGGGAGGGTTGGAGTGCTGAATTCACCTCATCTCAGTGTGCTCAAGCCAGGACGAAACAGACTAAAAACTCTTGAGTAATGTGGCTCTCCTCTGCCTTGCATTTATTTTTATTGCATAAATATAACCACTTTGCAACTGAATGGTGCCTTAGCATGTTAGTTGTATCACTGAAGGTGACAGAAGGTGGAAAGAGAGGGGGTATAATCTAAGTGAGGGAGAAGTGTTGTGATTTTCTGCATCATCAGTTTACCTCGAAATGATTTAAACCAAACTATAAAAGAATATGTATTGAATAACTACTTTGTGCTGCATTATATGCTAGGTATTCCCACGTAAATTATTTTACTTACGCCGACATTTAAAAAAAAATCTTCCAAAATTGGCCTCATTATCCTCATTGTTCAAAGAGAAAACCAAGGAGAGGGAGCTGATACTCAAACCAAGCTAGATCTGACCCCAAATCTAAGGATTTTTTTTATCAGACCGAAACAAACATGTTAAAACCAAGGATCCTGTGTTCTGACATCTTTTCCTTCTCTCCAAAATTTTTGCCATGTGTGACCAATTAGCAAGCACAGTTGGCTAGAACATGGTGCTAATAAGGCCACGGTCAGGGGTTCAATTCCCTTATGGGCTGAAACTTGATACTTCCTTCCTACAGACACAGACCATCTAGACCACATCTGGGCCCCTCCCAAGAGCATCATATTGGTCATAAGTGCAGTTGAGAAAGTCTTGCTAAATCACAGTAACTCCATCTGCACTATTGGAACAATTCAAACATATGCCATACTGATGGTGTGACTATAGGCATAAATAAAAAACAACATTGTTATTAGTTAAATAAATTAGTAATTTTTTGCACTCCAGCCTGGGCAACAGAGCGAGACTCCATCTCAAAAAAATAAATAAATAAATTAGTAATTTTTGCTGACATTGTAAATTTTAAGTGTATTCTTTGTGGCCCAATAGAGCCATGACTTTATTTTTAAAAGCTCATGCATGTAGAGATACTAAAATTTCAAGATGTTGAATGACATGTGCAATAATACCTCAATTACTGAAACTCATCGGAAATGAGTTATTTTGTATATGCAAGTTATGTTCAGATAATGGAAGTGTCTGCTTAGCACCAAGGCATGTCCACATTAGAAATTTTGATGAAAATATTTCTAAATAAAATTCACATTATTACACCTCTCAAATAGGAGAAATGAAACATAATTTACCTTAGATATTTGTTATTCTGTTATTTACCAAAAAACACAATTTTAACAAACTAATTTTTTGCAAAAATTGGGAAATAAAGATATGGGCAAAGATATACAACACAGGAAATCAATGTTAACATCAAACAAGATAGAATTTAGAATTAAATAAAAGAATAAGGAGGAATATAATGTAATAGTAAAAGACATATTTTCCAAAGAAGACACTATAATCATAAACCTACCTGCACCAAATAATATAACATCATCATTGAACTGCAACTATTTTGGACTTCTTGATATTCCTTAAATAAGCCAAAATAGTTCCAGACTCAGGGCCTTTGTGGCTACAGTCTCCTCTGCCTGAAACTCACTTCCTCTAAGTTTGCTTTCTCATCTTATTTGGTTCTCCACCCAAACATCACTTCCCCAACCCCACTCACCGTAATGAAGACTGAACATTCTATCTGATTTGTCACCTATGATCCTAAAATTTGGAATTGTTCAATAACTGACTCTCTATATGCAGGAGATCTTATTGATATGGGAGACATTAAAGATACCCAGGGCCCTGAATCCACCTACCCTAAATTTTATTAGGTTCTCAAGTAGTGATTACCAGCATCAGAATTCTCTAAGCAAATGTACTCTTTATTCAAGAGTTTAGACCCAAAACCCCATAGGAAGATAAGTCCACAGCTTCTCTCAATCCCTTTCCTCAATAGCCAATCCTAATCTAGACCATTAATTTCTTACCATCGCAAGAGTGAGAAGAATCACAGAGAAATACATGCAATGAAAAAGATACGAATTCTTTCTGTATTTGTCGCCCGTGGCTGCTGTAACAATTTCCCACACACTTCGTGTCTTAAACTGAAATAAATTTATTCTCCCATAGTTCTGGAGGAAAAGGCTGACCTGAAGGTGTTGGCAGGGTCACACTCCCTCCAGAGGTCTCAAGTAAGCATATATTCCCTACCTGCTGCAGTTCCAGAGTTTGTGACCAGATAACAAATCTCTGCCTCCATCTTCACATTGCCTTCTCGTGTGTGTGTGTGTGTGTGTGTGTGTGTGTGTGTGTGAAATTCCCTCTATCACTCTCTCATAAAGACACTTGCGATGGCATTTAGGGCACACCTGGGTAATCCAGGGTTATCTCCCCATCTCATGATTCTTAATCACATCTGCAAAGACTCTTTTTCCAAATAAGATAACATCTATGGGTCCCATATATTAGGATCTGGTATCTTTGGGTCAACCTCCTTAGTCTTCTCAGGCAGCCATAAAAAAAAATAACCATCACTGTGAAGGTTACACAACAGAAATGTATTTTCTGAAGGCTGGAAAGCTGAAGATCAAGGCTCCAAAAGAAGTCTGTTTCGGGTGAGGGTTCCCTTCCAGATGGTCACCTTCTTGCTCTGTCTTCACAGGGTAGAGAGAGAGAGAGAGAGGGATCTTTGGTGTCTCTATCTCTGTCCCCAGGCTGGAGTGCAGTGGCGTGATCTCGACTCACTGCAAGCTCCGCCTCCCGGGTTCACGCCATTCTCCTGCCTCAGTCTCCCGAGTAGCTGGGACTACAGGCGCCCGCCACCACACCCGGCTAATTTTTTTTGTATTTTTAGTAGAGATGGGGTTTCACTGTGTTAGCCAGGATGGTCTCGATCTCCTGACTTCGTGATCTGCCCACCTCGGCCTCCCAAAGTACTGGGATTACAGGCGTGAGCCACCGCGCCCGGCCTCTATCTCTTCTTACATTGGCACCAGCCCTATCAGATTAGAGACCCACACTTACAACCTTTTTTAAACTTTATTATCTCCTGGATGAGGCAGGGGGAGTTTATGATAAGACTGACTTTGGACATACTGAGTTTGGAGATGTCTCTGAGGTATCCCAGAGCTGATGTCAAGGTGATTTAATATGAGTCTAACACTCAAAGGAGCTTGCAGGAAAGGTCTACTCTGGTGATCAAAGTGTGTGAGTCATCCAGAGGATACCCGTCTGCAGCTCCTGGAGCTTATACAATTTGGAACCTCTAATTAAGCACAATAACACAAGAATATAAAATTCAGTACAGAAGTGTACATGTATTTAGAGTTAAAATAAAATCTTAACAAATTGCAAGTACTAAAAACTGAAAATACCACTAGCATCACAAGATTCAAAAAAAAAAACACAACAGTTTGTATTAGTTAACTGCCTGATATAACTCCATAATAGATCTCTTTTCCACATTTTACGTCAGCTAAAATTTGATAATCTTTTCTTATGATACTTTTTGTATATTTTTCATAAGAAATAGTAAAGAAATTCAGACCTTCCTCTAACATGGTTAATTAAAATTGGTTTCATATTATTGATAATTGGTATACGTAGAACATGTAACTTCATAGACAGATGTACTTGCCTTCCCACTGCTGCCACAGGTTCATGCCCTACGATTCAGGAATTCTGGCACATTTTCTTCGGCTTATTTTTTAAAAAACAGAAAAATATGTGGTGCTTTCATAATTGTATACACTGTATTATCAACTGTATTTCAGACAGGAAAGAAATCTTTTTTTTTTACTTTTAAGTTCAGGGGTACATGTGCAGCTTTGTTATGTAGGTAAACTCATGTCACAGGGGTTTATTGTACAGATGATTTCATTACTCAGGCATTACGCCTCGTACCCATTAGTTATTTTTCCCGATCCTCTCCCTCCTCCCACTCTTCACGCTCTGGTAGGCCCCGGTGTCTGCTGTTCCCTTGCATGTGTCCATGTGTTCTCACAGGAAAGAAATTCTATTTTGCCATGGCATCAATGGGAAATCCATCCGTCACTTCAGTTTACACATTTGGTGAATGGAAAAACTTCCCGCAAACTAGCTTCTGGCTCCATATAGTTTATTTATTATTTATTTATTTATTTATTTTGAAACTGAGTCTCCCTCTGTTGCCCAGGCTGGAGTGCAGTGGCATGATCTCAGCTCACTGCAACCTCCCCCTTCTGGGTTCAAGCGATTCACCTGCACCAGCCTCCCGAGTAGCTTGGATTACAGGTGCCCACCACCACGCCCAGCTAATTTTTGTATGTAGAGATAGGGTTTCACCATATTGGCCAGGCTGGTCTCGAACTCCTGACCTCAGGTGATCCACCCACCTCAGTCTTCCCAAAGTGCTGGGATTACAGGTGTGAGCCACTGTGCCCAGCCTGGCTCCCTATATTTTTAACTTTGTGTCTCCTCCACTACCCACTTACATTGAGTGTTAAGTGCCTAGAAAACACACGTAGCCCTACAGAGCCTCTGGCCTTCACCTTTGTATCACCATCCGCTGGGAGAGATGGCAAAGTGAGCATTAAGAATATTCTGGAAGTCATTCCTACACCAGTAAAGTGAGCAGTAACTTTACTGTACGCAAAGTCACCTAAAACCCCATATGTGTGTTCCACATGAGACAAACCAAATAAATTCTAGGGCATCCCCTTAGACATGTCCAAAAGCTTCCTGTAGCCACCTACATTTGCAAATTGGGCAAAATCATATGGCCCCTCCCAGAGCTTTAGAAGGGCTGATGCCAGTGGGTGAGACCCTAATGTTTTATGAGTGTCACAGGAAATTCATCTCCCATTTTGGGTGTGTATTAGATACCTCTAAAGCAGGCTTTCTCTTTCGGCGCTATTGACATTTGGATTTGGGGTGGGATAATTCTTTGCATGAAGGACTGTCTTGTGTACTGTAGGATGTTTAGCAACATCCCTGGCCTCCACCCACTGGATGCCACCAGTACCCCACCCCCACCTCAGCCAAAGGTCTTCAGACATTGCCAGATATCCCCTGAGGACAACACCACCGCTGTTGAAAACCACTGCTCTAGAAACACAGTTCAGAGAGAGAACAACACATTTACTTAGTGAAGGTTTATCGAATGCCTACTATGTTTAAAGCCCTAAGGAAGGTCACTTTGCAAAAGGTCACAGTGCTGTTGGGAAAGCACACAATAAATACTAAATTTCGGTATAATGCAGTAGGTACCATAACAAAGCTATCCAAGACACTGTGGGAATCCAAGACACACCTCTTTCCTACTTCACAGGGCTATTGGGGGGATCAAAACGATGGAGACTGTAAAGCGTGAGATGACTGCATCTAGTCCACAAAGGTATTTCTTTATGTTGGCTCGTATAAGCTGACATGAGAAAACTGCAAGGAATACTCCAATTAGCCACAACAGTCACTATTTGCAAATGCTGGCCAAGAACGACTGAGAAAGTGTGTTAATCATGACAAGGTGGAAAATCCATCTCCTTTTCTCTTTATTCTGACAGCTATTTCCTTCTACCATAGTAGTCACACTTATATTTGAAATTCACAAATACACAGATTGACTCATTCCTAGGAAAGATGGACAATTTCATTCATAGAAGATTGGCCACAGGGGTTTATTCCAGCTAAATGGAACAGAGAAGAAAGAGGTTAAATCAGTGAGAATTTAGCTTGTGAATGGCACTGTATATAATTGGAAAAATAAAAAATAAAAATAAAAAACTACCCACCTAATTTGACACAAATCATTCCTCCAGAACTCTTGAGATAACCCTGGTATTTTTCTTACCCTATTGTGTTTTCCCCACAATCAATTATTAAACCTATTGACAACAAGATAAAAGAATTCAAGGGTATATTGAAAATCAGGGCCTATTTCATACAGGGTGCTGTCTCAAATATCAAATGTATTTGTTCACGGAAAGCCTTGGAACGGACAATGTGTTCCCTTTGCTGAGCTGTTTGCATTTCTGTAAAATTAGTAATTGGAGAGGGAATGCCACTAATTCCCATTTCTCCATTTGAAAGCTACTGCAGGGTCCTTTATCAAACTGAGCACTATGTAACTGCGCTCGGCAGAAATGAGTTAACCCATGAGTTCTCCTTCGATTGCATTTAATCACAGGAGCTCCTTAGAAGCATTTTCCTTTAATCCTTTTTCTTTATCAGCACTCTTTATTTTGCTGATCTTACCTTAATTTGGCCACTCAGAACTTCTTCTAGAGAGTACTTTGTGGCCCTCACGTGGATTAACTAATCAATTATTACAATAATTTCCACTTATATAGTGCTTGATCATTAAAAACCCATTTTGAAATAGGCGAGGGGTGGCTTAACATTGTGGTGTTAAAGCAGTGATTCCTCAAAATTTATTAGAAATATAAAGTATGCTAGGGTGCTGAACCCATGATTCCAGGCCGTTACTGTTGAGAGTAAGGTTAAATTTATTTAAATTTTTAAAAATCAGAAAAATAATAATGCAGGTATCTCATGGATATGCAAAAATCATTGAAGAGGGTGTGGAATAAGTGATAGTTCAGAGATCCTAGCTAAGAGGATGGGCTTTGGGGCTGAGACAGCCTAGACTGAGATATGTCTCTCTCACCTACCAGGGCTCATGTTATCTTTGACAAGTTACTGATCTTTAAACCACAGGTTATCATCTTTGAGTGGGGTTAATCCCACTTACAGTGTTGTAGTGAGATTAAGCCAGATCATCCATTTACAGTCAGTCCAACCTTATGCCTGATATATAAACATGCAGGACATTTCAGGATAAGGAAAAGAAGTGATTACTTTGCCATACACTATCACTGTGCACATGCACACATACACACACAGTCATGCACGCTTCATGCATAAACAAACTAAACAAAGAGGCCAACTTTATAAAATGTGGTTATTTTACTCATCAATTGACTAGTTATTAATTGGGAGAAAACTTGAGTCAATTCAGTCAAAAGAGATCCATATCATTAATTAGTTGGTTAGTTAACTGATGAGTTGTTTATGTAACTGGCTAATTAGTTACTTGGTGTAAGGCTTGTTTCTGTGAGTTCTCTGGTTCAGGATCTAAAAACTTCAACATGATTGATGTTTGGGGCCAGCTAACTCTCTGTCGTGGGCCTTCCCTGAGCACTGTAGGATGCTTAGCAGCAACGCTGACCTCAACCCACTAGTGCCAGTAGCACCCTCCTTCCCTAGTTTTGATGACCAAAAATGTGTCCAGACATTGCCATGTGTCCTCTGGGTTGAGAATCACTGCTTGGGTCCAACATGCTAAACATTTAGATTAACAGTCATATAATTTTCTCCCATCTGCTATTTATTTTTAATCTCGTTTTGCTCCAAGCCTGAACTTCATGACCAAACTGAGGATGAAATTTTGAGCCTGGCTAATAATTTTTTTAAAATAGAATTGCCAGTTGTTCCTCATTATAATTGTTATTTTAAAATTACTACCTCAATTTCAAAATATTTGGCCTGGGAGGGGTCCCAATTGGGCTGAAAATTGAAAAATTATAAATTAGTCTCTGCCATCAAATCTCTTATGCTTTAGTTTGGGAAATGATACATAAAACTGAAAAATTTTAAACGGGGGGTGATCAGTGGAGAATTAATTCTCCAGAATTCTGCATGTCTGTGTGAAGGAGGTTGTAGTGAATTCTAGCAGTGTCTACAAAAACATTCATAGTAGAAACTAGCCCACACCAGTTTAGGGTGCGCACGTAGTCAGGGGTAGGGTTTCCAGGGTTTAAAGAGTGTTAGGCCGGGGACAGAGTGGAAAACAGAGCAGCAGGATGGTGAGGGTAATGGGAGGTTCAGGGTGAGAGATAGCGACGTTTTAGGGAAAATGACTTTTAGGAATCTTTGGGTATGGCACACCGTGTCATTTTGGCTGCTAGATTAGCTCCCTCGGGGAAATCTGCAGTAAGGATTTTCATAATCCCTCATGGTTTGTAGTCACATTTATGCTCTGTTTTGTTTTGACTTAATCTGTGGATAGTGATCAGGGCTGCAGGACCTCCCTGTTATATCGAGGTTACAGCAGAATCTAGAATTCTAAGATCCGTAACAGTGGAAACCTGTAGTGGATTTACCACGAAGCTAATGAAGCTTATGTTTCAGAACCCCTCACTTGCAAGACCTCCTCCCTGGCCCTGAATCTAACTGTGTGTATGTAATTTAATGTTCTTTTCCTAAAGAGGACCCCCCAAATAAAGGTTTAAGTCGCCTTGAAGTTTGGCTTTTCCCTTAGTGAATACCAAGTCTCTTCAGTTCTCCTCTGTACCCTCAGAATCTCCCACAGTGCCTGGAATATAACAGACACACAATTATGTTTGCTGAGTGACTGGGTGACCAAATTAATGAACAAACAAAGGCAATAGTGATTTAAACACTTCAGGAAAGCATGGGAGGCCATAATGAACTAGAGGCCATGATTTATTACCTACTGATTTAGATAGACAGTAAAAGCCATTGAAGTTCGAAAGAGAGAGTGATCATTCCAGGTGTGATGAAATGGAAAGACATTTACAAGCCAATGGTAGACTCATCGAATTTAATGACAACACGATGAGCCACAGCAGCTGGCAAAATCGCTGACTCAGAGCTTGGATTCTGAGCTTGAACTCCAACTCCATTGCTTACCAGATGGAAACCACCCAGCTACTCTCTCCAAAATGAGGGCAGACATGGCACCGTCAGCACAGGACACTGCTGAGGATTAGAGAGATGCCACCTGCAGAGCATGCAATGTGGAGCCAAGCACATTGTAGGTACCAGTAAACGGTTAGCTAATATTATTACTGACTGGTATCCCTGTGCCACACACTGTGCTAAATGCTTTCCAAGCCTTAGAAAGAAAAGTGTCCATAAGTAATGGAGAAAAGTCAACATTTATTGAGCATCACTGTAATTCATCAGTGTTCAAGGTACTTCACTATGTTCCCCATTTAATAGTCACTGCAACTCAGTAAGTTTGGTGTTGTTATTATTTCAGTTTTCTAAGTGTAAACTCGAAATGAGAGAGTTACATGCAAAGATATTAAGTGAGTGAGCAGAGATGGATCACAGACTATCGGATGTCAACACCAATATTTCTATTGATTGGCTTGCTTTGATTCCATCTTGTTGGCTAAGAGCTCAGGTTTGGGGGTAGGTGTAAGAGTTCAAATCTTGAGTCAGCCCTTCTTTGACCTCTGCAATGTATTTGAGTTGCAGTTGCAGTATCTGCAGAACAACGAAGACAACAGTACTTATAGGGCCACAGAGAGAATTAAATTAGATGACACACGTGAACTACTTGACTCAGTGTCTATTACATGATACATGTTCAGTGCATCTTCAGGTTACTATTGGCCAAAATTACAAACAAGTAGAAAGTTCTATATTGACTCACCTCACCTTCAAACCCCAACTTAATGAGTGTGATGTCTTCAAGGAGTGCCCTATGAAAAATTTATATATTTCAAATTCAAATTATGCCCACCCAATTAACTGAAAATGTCTGCTTCCATCACACATTAGCATGATTTACTGAGAACATTCTCATGGAGAAATTGGGAAAAGTAAGAGAAGTGAATCTCAGGAGAGAAATGAATCTCACGGAGGTTGGAGGGAGATGCAATTCCTGTGCCACAGAGTCACGTGACCTTAGATCTTTGAGGAGAAAATTGTGGTTTTGGCATAGGCGGTTCAGGATCATGTAGAGGACAGAAAGCTCCCTGGAATAGCAACAGTGACCTCTAAGATGGCAGCCAAATCTTTAGTTTTAAAAGTTATTAATCTTTACATGAAATTCCTTGTCAGTGGCAGGAGGAATATTAGTATTATTTAATTTCATTCAAATTACACTACAAAAAAAAATTAAAGTGAATAATTATGAAAGTGAGGTCAACTCAATTTTCTATAATAATGTTTTTTTGTTCCCAGGCTCATTATTGCTAATTCCTTTCATAATCTTTGCCATCTAACCTCATTTGTTTCATTTATAAGTGGCAAGAAACGCACATCACAAAACAGCAATGAAATCAAGACAGCAGCATGTCACTTTGGTGATCTCTGGAGAAAGTAATTATTGTCTCTAGTTAACCTTTTAGGGAAAAACTTGTCTGCATATTCCCAATGTAGGTATTATATTTGTCAAAGTAAAATTTTCCTTTTTTGATTTTTTTTAGTCATGCAGCCTAGCTGGAGAGGGTAGAGGCTTCCCTAAACCTGAGGCTTTATTCTGATGTTCTGAATACTTATAAACTAAATGAAAAAGCACTCAAGTAGGTTTTAAATGGGCTTTTAGTGGAACACAAAACACATACACACACTCGTTTTTAAACTTTCAAAATCATCTTGCTTATGCAGCTTCAAAAAAAAAAAGGATTTTTCATGTTCATTACCAAGGCCCTCATATTTGAGATCCTCAGAATTTAATTTGATGCCATGCCTGCACTTTAAACCTGTACTGTTTGGGTTTATGAAGATTCTCGAAAATGTAACTAACAAAGGCATGCCCTGCTTTAAAAGCATTGTATCTTAGACACAGCAATTTTACTTCCAGAAACTTACCACAAAGCAGGATGGGTGAACTTTTGGATGATCGACAACCCTGCCCTTCAGGTGCTTAAATACTTTGATTATCACCTTTTTGCTGATCACTAAAGAAACACTCAAGAACACTCAAAGAAACACTCAAGAACATTCAAACATCGCTCTGTTCCCTGAGACCCTTCAAATAGGTACGTATTAATTTAGCAAATACACAAATACATAGTGGCTCATGCCTGTAATCCCAGCACTTTGGGAGGCTGAGGCAGAAGAATTGCTTGAGCCTGGGAGTCCCAGACCAGCCTGCACAACATAACGAGACCTTGTCTCTACAAAAAATATAAAAAATCAGCCAGGTATAGTGGGGTATACCTGTAGTCCTAGCTACTTGGGAGGCTGATGTGGGAGGATCACCTGAGCCCAGGAGGTTGAGGCTGCAGTGACCTATGATTGCACCATTGCACTCCAGCCTGGGGAACAGAGTGAGACCCTGTCTCAAAAAACAAACAAACAAAAACAGCAACAACAAAATAAATTTAAAAAAATACACAAACCAAGAAGGGTATGATTCACAATTGTAGTAAGTGCTTTCAAGGCCATGGACGGGATGAAGGAACAGAGATCAATGGAGGACTCCAGAGGACAGTCAGCTCCCCGCACATATTCCCTTGTCACACCCATGGCGCCCAAGTGGCACCCTGCTGGGCAGTTCCCTTGCGCTTCGAGAGCTTCCTACCCCTAGCACCTGCATCTCTCTGCCATAGAGCCTTCTGTAATGCAGCGAGATTCACGCTCAATCTGTACGAGCAGAGGCTGGAAGTGCCAAATAATGAGCCCCTCCAGGAGTGCCCCTCCACATGCAGAGGACGGGAATTGGTGGAAAACCATCACGGCTTCCCAGCCCCTTATAGCACAACTCGGAGGAGGTTTCACACTGTCTCCCAGAAACTCCCTGCAGAATTGAGTTCCAGTTGTCTGCAGTGATCAATTTCTCATCAATATCACCTTGACTTAACTCTCCTTCCTTCTCTATTCCTCTGATTCCCGGGATCACCTTCTAAATAAACTACTCAAGTCTGCCTCTGGGAAACGATGTGAGAAAGTCCAATTTAACCTGGTTCATAAATGAAGAGAAGGAGCCCACCCTTGAGCATCTGGGGAGAAGTATTTCATGGAAGAGGAAGTAATGTCAGGGCCAAAGGCCTTGAGGTGGGAAGCAGCTGTCGTTACACTGCGGAGTTGGAAAGGAGACCAACGTGGTGGAAGCCCAGGGTTCCAGGAAAGCCAGGAAGGCACTGGAGGCCTGAGACCAAGGTGGGACCAGATCGCGGGAACCTGGTAGGCCATGGTATGGACTTAAGGTTGTGTTCTAAATGTACCTCCACCTTACAAATGAAGAAACTGAAGAAGAGAGAGGCTATAAAACAATGGCAGGTGGCTAGCGGGTATGAGTGAGAATCTAAAAATGGTGTGTATTAGTCAGGGTTCTCTAAAAGGACAGGACTAATAGGACAGCTGTACATATAAAAGGGAGCATGTTAGGGAATATTGACTCACACAATCACAAGGTCAAGTCCCACAATAGGCTGCCTGCAAGCAGAGGAGCCAGGAAGCCAGTCCAAGTCCCAAAACCTCCAAAGTAGTGAAGCTGACAGTACAGCCTTCAATCTGTGGCCAAAGGCCTGAGAGTGCCTGGCAAACCACTGGTGTAGATCTGAGAGTCCAAAAGCTGAAGAACTTGGAGTCTGATGTCGAGGGCAGGAAGCATCCAGCATAAGAGGAAGATGGAGGTCAGAAGCCTCAGCCAGTCTAGTCCTTCCATGTTCCTCTGCCTGCTTTTATCCTAGCCATGCTGGCAGCTGATTAGATGGTGCCCACCCAGATTGAGGGTGGGTCTGCCTCTCCCAGTCCACTGACTCAAATGTTAATCTCCTTTGGCAACACCTTCACAGACACACCCAGGAACAATACTTTGCATCCTTCAACCCAATTAAGCTGACACTCAATATTAATCATCGCACAGGGCAATGTGAATACTGATCCCACCTTTTTAGTCACTCTTCTATTAAACCAGATCTAAAATAGCTTAAACCTGTATTTCCCCTCCTGATTTACACCAGGCTGGCTACTCATTCCCTTTTCACACCTTCCTGCCAAAGGTCTTGTTTCTGTCCTACTACCAATATGACAGATAATGAACTCCGTTCCTTACATCAGCTGGAAGAGCTGAGCACCGGCATTCCTAGCCAATCTCTGGCACATCCTTTTGCAAACATCAAGATATATGGCCTTCGTAAATTTTCTGAGACATATTAATGTTCACCTCCATAATGCCTTAATTGTACAGAAACCATTAGACAATAATGTTAAGGTGACAAAGGGACCCATGCAAATGGTAAAGAAAGAGAGCAAGATGCCTAAATTAAAAGGGGTGAAGGGTCCAGGACAGTCTTTCATGGGGGAAAAGATTCATGGAGATTTGCTGTCTTAACAAGAATGGACTACCTCATAAATTTTCTCAATATGATGCCAGTAAGTCAAGGGGAACTTTTGTAAAGTAGGAATTTACAAAAGGTTAAATTAAAATGAAGACTGAACAATTATTTTTGTCCTCCTGCCTAGCAGGGCTTCTGCTAATGTTTGTGTACAGAAGTAGTAACGGCGGGATACTTCAAAGCCTTTTCAGGGAAAATCATATCGTTGGTGAGAAAGGATTTGATTTTGTAAAAAGCTTACATTGTAAGTGATATTGAAAATAAAAAGACAAGATTGCATGAGCTAAGTGCTTTATTTTTATTAGTGTTCGTGGGGTTCCATGGATCCTCATTGTGCCCGTAATTGGGGTTTTAAAAATGGGAATAAAGGAGAATATATTTTCCTTTGTCTGTGAAGATGGCATTCCTGACCCACAAGTGCAGGGCCACACACTTTGAATTTTGTTTCTGGGGAAGAAGACATATTTGCTTCAAGGGCTCCTGATTCTCTTGGCAAGGCCAGAGCATTTGATCAGGGACCACTTTGAGAGCAACATATTGAGTTTGCCCTCATGTTTTCCTTGATCCAGTCCCCTTGGGTACTTTGTTAACTTCACAGAGAGAAAGAAGTAGAATAAAGTGGGAAAAAATAACAATTTCCAGCTGATTAAAATGGAAGCATCATATGAATAGAGGGCATACATCCTACGATTTCTTATCCTCAATGCCTGGCCCTGGACCTGTCATTTATAGGAAGTACATTTGTTACAAATAACCCAAAAGCCCAATGTAACTCAAAATATAGAAATAATTTTCTTATACAACTAGAAATCTAGAGGTAGGGTCATGTCTAGAGTCATTAATTTCCTCAGCAACATTATCCAAGAGCCCATGCTATTTCCACATTTATCTCATGTAGAGTAGGTCTACAAGTTAGCTCCCTTTGAGGACCCCTAACTGTATTTTTTTTAAGAGCAAGAATAGCCTTCCTAGAAGCTTTCTGGTGACTTCATATTTCATTGCCTCAAATTCTACTTACGTTTATGCCTTAAACAAATCAACAGCAACGGAAATGGCACTGAGAGGATTGGCTTAGATAGTCAAGACTTGCCCTTGGGTTTGGAAATGGAGCAGCCTTCTCTCAAACACAGCCACTTCAAGGGGGGATAGTTGAACAAAGTCAATGGTTCTGATAAAAAAAAAAAAAAAAGATAAAAAAAGGAATGGAAGGTGGGAGTAGATATTGGCAATCAACAACCTCCACTAAAATAACAAATTTTGGTAAATGTTTATTGAAGAAAACACTGAATGAAACAAACGAGTCTGTCTGGTGTCATTCATTATTTTCTTCCTCGGGGATGTTGATTTTGGTTTGTTTCTAGTGAGTGTCTGTTGTTTTTTGCCTTTCCAGCATTTATTCCTCCTTCTTCTCATAATAACATTCCTATTTCTCCTTAAAAACCCCAAAGACTCCATCATCAATCCATGTGGATTGATTGGTGCTAAACTCCTCCCAGATACATGAGACACATATTCAAAATCTGACCCATTAGTATCTCCCATTCCTCTTGCCACAGCAACTGATTCACCTGAAAGATTAATCTAATGAGAGTTAATTCAGAGGAGCTATGGGAAAGGTTGATATCTCTTCCCAATAGAATTAGAAGGTGTTTGGAGCTACAATACTGTAATCTTGGACAGTTTTTGTTTATACTGGGGAGAAAGGGAGAGCATGAAAATGAATCCAACATTGAGAAAGGAAAAACCAGGAAATGGAGCGAGACTAAATCTTGAAGATACTGTTTAGACTCTAGGTCCAAGCATGCCTGAATGAGCGAAGAATGTGCTTAATTCTGAACTTTTTTTTTCGAGACAGAGTCTCACTCTGTCACCCAGGCTGGAGTGCAGTAGCATGATTTTGGCTCACTGCAACCTCTGCCACCTGGGTTCAAGCAATTCTCCTGTCTCAGCCTCCTGAGTAGCTGGGATTACAGGCACCTGCCACCAAGCTGGGCTAATTTTTGTATTTTTAGCAGAGACGGGGGTTTCACCATCTTGGCCAGGCTGGTCTTGAACTCCTGACCTCATGATCACCTGCCTTGGCCTCCCAAAGTGCTGGGATTATAGGTTTGAGCTACTGTGCCCAGCCCAATTCTGAACCTTTAGACAAATAATTCAGTATATTCTTTGTTTTCCCTTAAGTCAGTTTAAATTGAGTTTCTATCACTTGCAACCAAAAGAGTCCTACCTAATTCATATTTTTTATCCCTACTGTGCTGTGAGTTTTCTAAAAATTGAGGGTCTGACATATTCATCTCACCATTTCCGTAGCCCCCAGTACCTAGCAAATTTTTTTCCACCTTTTTGTCATATGAGAATTTTTTAATATAAAAAATAGTAAGACTTTCTCACAATAGTGCTTATGCTTTTGAGTATCTGTTGAGTGAGAAAATGTATCACAGAGAGCTACTCTGAAACCAGGGGTACTTTTGTTCAATGAATTTCTATTTTATGACTCACAAAGGCCTCCACCTACATTTTAAAACAGTCATATATAATGTGCAAACACATTACCTATTTAGCCTAAACAAATTTTGATTTGCATGTTGATTTGTGGTTTCTGAATTTAATAACTGCACAAGGAGAGCCACAGACCACAGTCTGGAACACCAGAAGAAAGTGAGTGGTAAATGAATATTTGTAGAATGCTATAGAATAAATGAATCAATGGCTGACCCCTTGAAATACACTTTTCAAATGACTAGCTCATGTGAGAAGCATTATCCAAAGAGGATGTCAAAAGCTCAAGGTCCATAGATGATTGTTCTAGGAAATTTTGAAGTTGAATAATTGTAGGTAGGGTGGGTACTCTCAACTTCATCATAATTCCTACCAGTTTCTGGTGTCTCCAGTGGCATAAAGCACCCATTTAAATCTCCTGCCATCCTTGTAGGCATTTGGATTTGTGAGTCCCTGGTGTGGAAGATGTTTGTAGTTGCCTACTTATTATCCATTTTCACCTTCTCATCTAACTTAAAAGAGCAATGTGGGGTCCAGGAACAGTGGCTCATGCCTGTAATCCCAGCATTTTGGGAGGCTGAGGCAGGAGGATCACTTGAGCTCAGGAGTTTGAGACCAGCCTGGGCAACATAGTGAGACCTCGTCTCTACAAAACACCAAAAAATTAGCTGAGTGTGGTGGTGCATGCCTGTGGTCCCAGCTACTCTGGAGGCTGAGGTGAGAGGGTTCCTTGAGTCCAAGAGTTTGAGGCTACAGTGAGCCATGATCATGCCACTGTGCTTCAGCCTGGGCAACAGAGAAAGACCCGGTCTCAAAACAATAACAAAAACAAAAACAAAAACAAAACAATGAACAATGAACAAGAGAACAATGTGGAAATCCAAAAACATCAGTTCCCCAGGCTCCAGTATAGCTAGTTTCAGCCATGTGATATAGTTTTGCCCAACGAAATGTAATTGGAAATCTGCTGGGTGGGGATTTCTGGGAAGCCCTAAAAAAGTATTTTTTTATAAAAATGAGCCAAATCAGCTGACACATAACTTCTGCTCACTGTCCTTTCCCTATCTGCCTCCCTGGAATGTAGGCACAGTGTCTAGAGGTGGAGCCACCATGTTGCCAAAAGCCTGAAGACGGAAGCCATACACCAAGGATGGTGAAAAGAACCCAGGGTCCTTGATGGAATCAGGAAACCTTTGTACTATGCCTGGAATACACAACTCCAGGTTTCTTGTGATAAGAGAAACATATAAGCCCTAACTTGTGTTGCCAGGTTTCTGTTACCAAATTCTGCCATTGCAGCAATTGCAGCATGAAAGCATTCATACACAATACATCATGGATGGGTGTGGCTGTGTGCCAATAAAACTTTATTTACAAAAGCACAGTGGGCTGGATTTGGCCTGAGGGCCATAGTTTGCTGATCTGTGTTCTACATATTCTCATGGTGATAGCTGTAGAATTGTTGCTTATACTTCTTTTTTAGTTCTTCCAAATTACCTTACGCAGTGCTACTGGTCTGTAAGAAACTACTGGAGACGAGAAAAAGCAGAACCCCTCCGTGTGCTTTCCACTTCATAAAGGCACTAGGATGGGCATAGATAGAAGAAAATAAGGCTTATACCCTAAAAGATGTAAAATGATTCATGGCTCAATCATTCTGTCAAGGATATTGAATATGTCTTCTCAAGGATCCCTTTTGAGAAGGAAGGGAATAAGGGGATAATACAGGATTTTGGTTAAGAGCTAGAGGTTGCAGGACTGGCAGACTATCACTCAGGAGAATGTTAAGACTTGTTCATGGGAAGTTAATATAAGTAATAAGACCACAGGTGCTGAGGACAGGGCCTCTGTAAAATACCACTAAGGTGGTGTTTGACAATTCCTACCATTTGTTTTGAGAAAAATGCGCCTGATAACAGGTATTCCAGAGTAGCAAGATCTCCCACAGAGACATCAAGATAAGGGTGGAGCACATTCACTTTGTAAAAATTGCCCATCCACTCCCTCTTTTCTGTGTTATTCTTCAGAGTTTACTTACAGT
The DNA here is from genome assembly GCF_000001405.40 of Homo sapiens. Classification (NCBI taxonomy): domain Eukaryota; kingdom Metazoa; phylum Chordata; class Mammalia; order Primates; family Hominidae; genus Homo; species Homo sapiens. Next base: position 52,584,843 of record NC_000020.11, on the reverse strand, counting down.
GGATGTTCCCTCTCTTCCCCCTCCACTCTATGCCCCTTCCACTGCATAACACCTATGAAATCTGTACCCAAGTCACTTCCCTGATTGGTCCTAGCACCGTGGCACAGTGCTTGGCTCAACTTTGCTCCTATCAGAGTGAAGCTCAGGACCTTTGCTCAGAGAAGTGACTCTTTCTCCCTTCCTGGATGTGAATATGAAATATACAGTCTAGTTCCTAAGGCATCCTTGAAGGAACCCAGTCTCAGGATAAAGCCATCCTAGGAAGGAGGGCAGAACAAAGGTCATCTCAAAGAAATGAAACTGGAGTTCTGAATTAGCTCTGTTTGAAAACTGTTCACCTCTATTTTTTTAACTCTATAAGTCAGTAAATTCCCTTTCTGATTAAACCAAAGGTCAGCAAACTACAGCCTGTGGGTAAAATTCAGCCCACTGTATTTTTTATGGCCCTCAAGCTAACGGTGGTTTTTATAGGTGAATGTTCGCAATTGATTTGATGATAGAGAATACTAACTGAGCTTCAATTAAGAAAAATTATTTATCTCTCTCAAAATAAGAATTTTTTTTTTAGAGATGAGCTCTCATTATGTTGCTTGGGATGGAATGCAATGGCTATTCATAGGTGCAATTATAGCACACTACAGCCTCTAACTCCTGGCCTCAGTCAATCCTCCTGCCTCAGCCTCCTGAGTAGCTGGGATTACAGGACCTTGCCACTGTGCCTGGTTTTCTCAAAATTAAGAATTCTATTTTTTTTCTCGTTAGTAGACCTGTATTACAAAAACTTGAACTCGATTATTATATTTTGAATTTTGTCATTGAAAAATGTATGAAAATTTGTCTTCTTTCTTGTTGCATAAGTGCCCACTTAATATTCTCTATTTTCCCTCTTGGCTCTTGAGGCTTAAAATATGTATTCTCTGTCCCTTTACTGAAACAGTTTGTGCACAGCTATGTTAAGCTATTATATTTCACTTACCTGCAGTATGCCAATAAAATTGTGGTAAGTAGTACACTATTGTTGTAAGGGAAGAAATGAAAGTGACCACTTTTGCTTAAGTTTCTGCCACATGAAAACTCAACCATACTCATTGAATCAACTGCCTGAAAGGGCCTCCCCTCCAGCCATCACCACCCACTCCAGCTTTCCCTGTCCTTCAACAAGTAAATACTGTCCTCTTAGATGTGGTTTTTCTGTCCTTTGAATCTTTGATGGTATGCTTCCCTGTCATATCCTATAATCCTATTACAAAACAATAAAAATTTGGCCTGGAGTGGTGGCTCATGCCTGTAATCCCAGTACTTTGGGAGGCTGAGGCAGGCAGATCACCTGAGCTCAGGAGTTGGAGACAAGCCTGGGCAACATAACAAAACCCCATCTCTACCAAAAATACAAAAAAAATTTAGCCGGGTACGGTGGTGTGAGCCTGTAGTCCCAGCTACTTGGAAGGCTGAGGTGAGAGGATCGCTTGAGCCCAGGAGGTCAAGGCTGCAGTGAGCTGAGATTGTTCCACTGCACTCCAGCCTGGGTGACAGAGGAAGATCCTGTCTCAAAAACAAACAAACAAACAAACAAAAAAAAACATGGAATGATTTATGCCCTATAAAACAATTATTTTATGGTTCTTAGAGTTTTTACTTCTTTTCTATATCTAAGCGTATCCAGTAATAGTGAGGCATTTATGACTTATATTTTTGTTGAAATTAAATGGAACTAATATATTATTTTTTTCTCAGAAGATAGCACTTTTTTTTTTCTTCAAAGTACGAAGAGTCAGATGGTGTAGGTGACAATCTGAACAGTGTTGATTCTCCCTTTTCTGTAAAAAAACCCCAACATCTTCCCTCAATAATGACTGCCATCCAGTTTTACTCCTTGCGACTGGGTGCAGCCAACCAGAACACCAGCTTCCTGGGTGGTCTTTATGGCCCAAATCTGGCCATTTATACCTCACTGAGCACAGTGATTGGTTCAAAGGTAAGCACCTGATGCAGTCAGAGCCAATCAGATCCAATCTCAGGATTACCTGGAGTTTCCTGGAGGGAGATGCTTTCTTTTCCATTTGACTTGAATCGGGGATCATGTGAGCTGCTGGAAAGATAGTCTGCCTGAGAAGAACTCAACACAGAGGAAATCAGAGCAGAGAGGTGGAAAGAGAGAAATCAAGCACTGGTAACATCGTTTAAAGAAACAGATTCAATCATGCCTGAAGCTAGAGCTATTAGACTGGACTGTTCAATTACATGAACCAGTAAATTCTTTTTCTGCTGGAGCCAGCTTAAGCTGGGGTTTCTGTCACTTACAGTGGAAATATACAACCACTATGTGATGCTGTGGCTGTCTTAAGTTGGGTTCTCCCAAAAACAAGCCCTAAGACAAAGATCTGAGTGCAAGTCATTTATTTGGGAGCTGCTCCCAGGAAGTGCTGGTAGGGGGACAAGGAATTAAGACAGGGAGGGAAGGACACCCGAAAGGGTGCCTGATCAAGCATGCGGACACTGAGAACAGCTGAGGAGCTGAGAGACACAGGCTAGAGCACACGCCTCAGAAGTATTATTCTCCTTCTTTGCTCCAGGAGCAAGGAAGCTGGGGTATTTAACCTCCAATTCACATTCATCATTGGTCCAGAGACTGTTTCTAGGGGCCTTAATGGCTCAGCATTTCTAGCCTGCCCCTGGCATGAGAAGGCACACAGAAGGACAGATACATGGGGAGAGAATTCAGACGCATGTACTGCAAGGCAGACTGGGAAGTAAGCAAGGCACTCATGGAATCAAGCAATTGACTGAATATTTCTGAGCTTCACTTGCTTCACTTGTAAAATGGGGGGACATTCACATCTGTGATGCTTATTTTACAGAATCATTGCAAGAATCAACTGAGAATGAGTGTGTAAAAGGACTTCTATAATATGCAAAGTGCTTCTATAATATACAAGGATGCAGTATTATTATTGTATTGTGTTATTTTCTTTTACTTATCTAATGCAAAGAAGAAAGAATAGGCTCAGATGACATATACAAAGCCTAACTCGTATACATACAATGTGTCCTTTATGCATTAAAGATCCCCAGCAAAGTGGCCCAGGAGTCACAGAGACCCCCAACTTCTTGCTGTCACCACTTGGATTTCACACCTGTAGTGGCCATATGTTGTTCTGTCCTGTCGGGCATCGGTTGCTCCTCCTAGGACAGTACCTTGATTTCCCTTTGGAAACCACCCTCTTCCACTGCCATCCCTGTGAGCAAGGTGGGTTGACCCCAACTCCTGCCTCTGGAGGTGAAAGTATGACTCAAACCTGGCCAATGAGCAAGAGGCTGAGGCTGACAGGGACATGAGAGTAAAGCCACCACACGCTCTGTCCAGCACCTCATGAGCCAGCTCTCACCTTGGACATCTACTTCTCTGTCCCTATGTCCATAGTCATATCAGGTTAAGAAATAATGCTGGATTGAGGACAGAAGACCTGACACCAAGTCAATAAGTTGACCCTGATTCGCTGGGTCTTTAACTTCCTTTGGCCTCATTTTCCTCCAGGGTAGAAGCTAAATGGGTTGAACCAGAGCCAGTACTTCATGTCACCCACTGTTGCTGGGTCAGATACTCCAAGAGAGCCAGCATCTGGACACCTGCCTTGAGAGGCACAGGGGCCAGGCAGTGTTAGCAGAGATGCAATGTCCAGAGAGAAGACAAGCACGTTAAGCAAAAGATGCTTGTCTACATCCAACAAGCAGAGTATGAAAAGGGAAAAAGAGAAATGTTCCAGTGGAGAAACCTGCAAACACCACCTCAACCAAGAGATCAAGGCTAACATCCCAGTGATGTCACGTGGACATCATGTGGCCCAAGAGGATATGATGAGAAGGCACTTCACCTCTGCCGTTTTCCTCCCTAAAACCCAAAATCTCACTCTAATTGCACAAAAGAAGATAACCCCAAACTGGAGTGACGTTCTGCAAAATATCCAATTGGCACTCTTCAAAATTGCCAGGGTCATGAAAAAACAAGGAAAGACTGAAACTTATCACAGACCAGGGGAGATTAAAGAGACATGGTTATATGAAAAGTGGTATCTGGGCTAATTCCTGGAACAGAAGTGAGACATTAAAGAAAAACTGGAGAAACCCAAATACAGCCTGAAGTTTAGTTGACAGTAATGTACCAATGTTGGTTTCTTAATTTCGACAAATGTATCCTGTTAATGTGAGAAGAAAGCCTTACAGGAACTGGGTGAGGGTTATAGAAACTGTACCATTTTTGCAACTTTTCTGTAAATCTAAAATTATTTTTTAATAACAGTTTATTTTTTGAAAATTATCCCTTTTATTTTTAGCATTTCTTCCATAAAGCAATCTGAGCAAATGGAGCCAGATGAGAGGCACAAGCAGCTCATGGTAGGTTGGGTTCCTGAGAAACAGACTGAGACAGAGATGAGTATCTTGGGAAACAGCTATGGACTGACTAGTGTCCCCACCAAAACTTCCGTGTTTAAACCCTAATCACCAATATGGCAGTATTTGGAGACAGAGCCTTTAAGAAGGCAGTTAAGGTTAAATGACCTTAACTATGAGGCTGAGGCCCTGAGCCAATAACACTGGTGTCCTTGTAAGAAAAGGAAGAAACACAGAGCTCCCTCTCTCTTCTCCCCTGCATATAGGAAACCCATGTGTGACGGTTAATGTTGAGTGTCAACTCGATTGGATCGAAGGATGCAAAGTATTGTTCCTGGGTGTGTCTGTGAGAGTCTTGCCAAAGGAGATTAACATTTGAGTCAGTGGACTGGGAGAGGCAGATCCATCCTCAATCTGGGTGGGCACCATCTAATCAGCTGCCAGCACAGCTGGGAAAAAGCAGGCAGAGGAAAGCGGAAGGACAAGACTGGCCAAGTCTTCTGGCCACTGTCTTTCTCCCATGCTGGATGCTTCCTGCCCTCGAACATCGTACTTAAAGTTCTTCAGCTGTGGGACTCTTGGATGTTACACCAGTGGTGTAGGCCACAGAATGAAGGCTGCACTGTCAGCCTCCCTACTTTTGAGGCTTTGAGACTTGGACTGGCTTCGTTGCTCCTCATCTTGCAGATGGTCTATTATGGGACTTCACCTTGTGATCGTGTGAGTTAATAGTCCATAATAAATTCACTTTCATATACATGTCTATCCTATTAGTCTTGTCCCTCTAGAGAACCTTGACTACTACACCATGTAAGGACACAGCTGGAAGGCAGCCATCTGCAAACCAGGAAGGGAGTCCCCACCAAAAACCATGCTTACTGGCACCTTGATCTTGGACTTCTAGCCTCCAGCATTATCAGAAAATAAATTTCTGTTTTTTAAGCCACCCAGCCTGTGGCATTTTATTATAGCAGCTCAAGAAGACTAAGAGAGGAACCACGCCAGTGGAAGGGAAGTGAGGGAGTGAGAATGAGCAGAGGGAGAAGCTGAGCTATGATGCCGTGACAGTGCAAGCCTCAGCCAACTCTGCAGGGAGTTCTGAAGCTGGGGTGACCTTCAGAGCTATCCGGAATTGGGGTTAGAGGATCAATTGGTCAATGGATGCAGACCGTCCCAGGAAATAGGTGGAGTGTCTCTCTTCAGCTGCAGGACCCCTGAAAGTGGGATGACCACGGAGGAACATCTGCCTGCATCACTCTCAGCAAGTCCTTTGTCCAGAAGGGGATCTGGGAGGTGCCCTATAGCATCCGCCACACAACCTGTGGCCCACTCCACTCCAAGGGTTTAAGAGAGTGAGAGAAGTAAGTACATAGATCATAACTTGGTCCCCAGCTTAACATTTCTGTAGCCACAAGCCTGCCTGTCCATAACTGAAGGGAATGTTCACCGTGAACAAATGATTAAAATTTTAAACCAGATAGGATTTTAGCAGCTAAAAGGGAACGAAAAGTTATGCAATCTGTCCAAGACATCATGAAGGGATGTGCTACCCAAAGGGGAGAGAAGATTCACCTGAACATACGCAGGAGCAGTAATCAAAGAAAAACGGAATAACCTCATGGATGAACACCCCTAAGGGGAAATTTGGTTTGCTAAGCCAGCCACAGGAGTCTCATGTACAGTTGACCTTTGAACAACATTGATTTAAACTGTGTAGGTCCACTACATACAGATTTTTTTCAACCAAACAAGCAAAACCTGCTTCTACGGAGGGTCAACTTTTCCTATAAACAGGTTCCACACAGTGGACAGCAGGATTTGAGTATGTCTGGGAACCCCGTGTATACAGAGGGTTGACTGTACTAGGATTCTACAATAAAATGCTCTTAGAATAAATTTCAAAATCCTCCTTCTACAAAGCCCTGTATTATCTGGTCCCCTCACCAGCTGCTGCTTCATCTCAACACCAAATTTATTCCAACCTCAGTCAGGGCCTTTGCAGGTGCCAATCCCTCTACTTGGGATTCCTTTCCCCTCTCTCTTCACCCAACCAATTCCTGCTCACCCTTTGGGTCTTAGCTTGAAAGCCACTTGCTTGGGGAGACCTTCTTGATGTCTCAGAAGCCCCATTGCATATACTGCTCTGTGTCTCAACACACTCTATGTCTGCACCATGCCCCAGTGATTACAGGTTTATTTTTTGGAACTCTTTGTGTAGTGCGGGCGTTCTCCCCACCTCTATCATTTAACTATTGCCATAAACATGCTATGCAATGGCAAAACTCAGCGACTTAGAATGACAAGGATATATATTCTCTCTTAGGGTTCTGTGGGTTGGCTGGGGCAGCTATAATGCTGCAGGTCCTTGGAGCAGCTGGGGTGTGGGCAGCACATATGTGAATTCCAGGCTCAGGGTAAAGGGCATAAACACCCGGAGGAAGCACTCCTCACTGCCATGGCACAGGGCAAGCTCAACTGCTCAGGCACTTGGCAAAATCTAGCTTGCAGCATCTGCTAACACCTCATTGGCCAAAAGCAAGTCACACAGTCAACCCCACAGCCAAGGAAAGGGGAAGTACGGTCTATATACAAGAAAATGAAAGTCAGGGGGCTCAGGGCAGGGATGTCCAAAGAGGAGTGAAGAGCTGAGACCTGTAATTCAATGCACCACCTTCATCCCATTTAAACTCTCAAAAAACAAGGACCCTATTTGTTTTTTTTTTAATTGTTTTATCTACACAGCCAAGCGCAAGATAGTCACATAACAGGTGCTTTATAAGGATGTGCGAAACATTCTGAATATCAAAGAATATAGTTCAGATGAACTTTTGTAACCCAATCCATTTTGAAGTCAGCAACTGCTTGTAATGTGAGGACGCATGAAATATATCTCAAAAGAAAGGTAATGGCACGTGTGCTAGACTCTAAATCAGCCATCAACGAGCTACTATCATAGTATCTTCAATGGATTATACAAACGATGGCTTTGAAGAATGTCTTTGCCTTGCCAGAATTATGATTTGTTATTCATCTTGTGGATTTTTAAACAGAACCTTGTACTTAGTATTCAAATTAATGACTCCAATGTATTTGCCTGGATTTAAAAAAAAGAACCATTTTGCACAATACACATAATAGTTACATTTCTGTGATAAACTTACTTGGTAAAAGCTTTCTCGATTCTATCATTTAGACAAGTAGATTTCAGTAAATCAAATTTGAAAGCCACAATGGTAGAAGGAGCGAGAGGCTTGCAAGCGTGGTTATGAGGCGAGCCTTCAGTTCAATGAGGACGGTGGCAGGAAAAGCGAGGAAGGAAAAGCCTAAATGAATATAAAGGAGGCTAAGAATGTTTCAGGATAAGCCTCCAATCAGAATCTCATTCTGTATTTCCTGATCTGATTCACTAAAAGCTCATTCAGCCTGAGAACAATTTGATAGAAAGAGCAAGAACTCTGAGGACAGTCTAGGTTTAAATTCTGAATCCATCATTTCCTAACTGTGCAACCCAGGAAAAACTGACTTACATTTCCTATGTCTCAATTTCATCACCTGCAAAATGGGATAGTAAGTCTTGGTCATGAACTTCATAAAGTTGTGAAGATTTTTTAAATCACACATGTCATTCATCCCAAATGCCTGTCCATAGGCCCATGCTAGTCTCTAAAAATGTTTTCATATGTCCATTATAGAATGAGAAAAATGCAGTGTTACAGGTTGAATTATGTTTCCCAAAAGATATGTTGAAGTTCTAGCCACTGATATTGATGAATGTGGTCTTATTTGAAAATAAGGCCTTTGCAGATGTAGTCAAGATGATGTCATGGGCAGGTTGGGGAGATGGGGGAAGATCTAATCTAACATGATGGTGTCCTTGTAAGAGGAGGGAAATGCTACCTGAAAACCAAGACACACAGGGAGAACAGTGTGTGAAGACGGAGGCAAATTGGAGTGATGTGGCTGCAAGCCAAGGAATGCCAGAGGTAAAGCATCACCACCAGGAGCTGGGAAGAGGCAAGAAAAGATTCCATCCAGAATTTCAGTGGGCACGTGGCTCTACACCTTGATTTTGGACTTCTGACCTCCAGAACTGTGAGACAATAAAATGCTATTGCTTTAAGTCAACCCATTTGTGGTCCTTTATGATGAAAAACCTAAGAAACTAATACATATGGTAACAGTGAATTTTTAATTAAACAAAATGTATTTGATTTAAAAGAATGGTCCTTTTTAAATTTTTCTTTTATGTTCTTATTCTCATGTAACAAGAAGTGTGAAGACAGCGGGACAGGGCAGGAAGCAGGTGGCTACCTCTGCCTCCCACTCACTATCCTTGGTGTACATCCTTGTCCTCAAGGCTCCTCCTGTAAGCTCCGAGTTACATACATGGAGGAAAGAGTGGGGAAAGACAGAGCACAAAAGGCACATGTAGCTGCTCCTTTCTTTAAATCAACTTTATTAATTATAGAGTAGTTTAGATTTACAGAAAAATTGTAAGATATCTTAGAAAATTCCCATGTACCCTCCATCCAGTATTTCCTCTTACTAACATCTTAGTGTGCCACGTTACATTTAATGAAATAATATTAATACATTGTTACAAACTAAAATCTATAATTTACTTAGACTTCCTTATTTTTTTACCTAATGTCCTTTTTGTGTTCTAGGGTTCCATTGATGAGACCACATTAAATCTAGGAGTCACGTCTCCTTAGGATCTTCTTGACTGTGACAGTTTCTCAGTCTTTCCTTATTTTGGAAAATCTTGTTCATTTTGAGGACTGGTCAGCTATTTTGTAGGATGCTCCTCTATTGGTTCTTTTTTGAGATAAAATGTATGTAATAGAAAATTACCATTTTAAAGTGTATAATTTAGGGGCATTCAACATATTCACATATCGCATATTTTGTTTATCCATTTATATGTCGATGGACATCTGGGTTGTTTACACCATTTGGCAATTGTGGATAATGCTGCTATGAATATTTGTGTACAAGTATTTGTTTGAGTGTCTGTTTTCAGTTTTGTGGTATACACCAAGGAGTCGAATTGCTGAGTCTTGTGGTAATTCTATGTTCAAGGTTTTGGGGAGCTGCAAAACTGTTTCATATAGTGACTGTGCCATTTGACATACTTTTTTTAAATTAGTAGACTTTATTTTTTTCAGGACAGTTTTAGGTTTACAGAAAAATTGATCCAAAAGCACAGGGAAGTCCCACCTTCCTCCCACCAGATGCTCAGTTTCCCCTATTAGTTATTTCTATTGCAGTAGAGTGATACTTTTGCTACATGCCCTTTTAAGTGGGATATTTTCCTCACTATTTTTGATGGTAAAAAACTTTTAAATGGGCTGGGTGTGGTGGCTCACACCTGTAATCCCAGTGCTTTGGGAGGCCTAGGCGGGCAGATCGCCTGAGCTCAGGAGTTCAAGACAAGCCGGGCAACATGGTGAAACCCCGTCTTTACTAAAGTACAAAAAATTAGCCAGACATGGGGGAACATGCCTATAGTCCCAGCTACTCAGGAGGCTGAGGCACAAGAATCGCTTGAGCCCAGGAGGCGGAGGTTGCAGTGAGCCAAAATCACGCCACTGCACTCCAGCCTGGGCAACAGAGTGAGACTCCATCTCAAAAATAAATAAATAAATAAATAAGCTGCATGCCCTTTTAAGTGAGAATGGAATAGCAGTGATATTGGATGATGGGAGTGTGTGACTGTGTGTGTGTGTGTCTGTGTGCACATATATGTGTGTCTAAGGAACTTACATGGCAACCCAAGTCAATACCTTGTTTTTGTTCTAATAGTGTATGAAATAATAAAAAATTAAAAATCAAGGGTAACTATGTGAGGTGATAGATGTGTTAACTAGCTTGATTGTAGCCAGTGTCTCACAATATATATGTATATAAAAACATGTTGAACACCTTGATTTATACAATTTGTATTCATCAATTAATATGGTTAGGCTTTGTGTCCCCACTCAAATCTCATGTTGAATTGTAATCCCCATAATCTCCAGGTGTTGAGGGAAAAACCTGGTGGGAGGTGACGGGATCATGGAGGCGGTTTCCCCTCCGTGCTGTTCTCATGATAGTGAGTGAGTTCTCACAAGATCTGATGGTTTTATACGTGTTTGGCAAGTTCCTCCTTCACTCATTCTCTCTCTCCTGCTGCCATGTGAAGAAGGTCCTTGCTTCCCCTTCACTGTCTGCCATGTTTCCTGAGGCCTCCCCAGCTGTGTGGAACTGTGAATCAATTCAACGTCTTTTCTTATAAGTTACCCAGTTTCGGGTATTTCTTTATAGCAGTGTGAAAGCAGACTAATAAACCAATTATACCTCAATAAAACTGAAAAAAATACATGAATAAAAATCAGGGAATCAAGGACAGAGATAAAACATCTAGACTTGAAGCCTTATATACAGTACCCGTAAGTGCTGATGCTGGGTTCTGTGGGACCAGGCATGGTTAGAAAAGAGAAGTCAGCATCTTTATCTACTAAGGTTCCCTGGACTTTGGGATGCACTGGAGACACATGCCTTCCAGCCTCTTCCCTGTTCCAGCTAGAAGTTATCAGCATGTGCTAGCACTAATGACGTATCTCCAGAATTCCTCAATTCCAGTGACTTTTCCTGCACAGGACATGTGCTGAAGTAGAAGACAAAATGGAACTTTGAGATGTATCTGGCTTAAGTTTGATAAAAGTAAGGGAAAGTCAATCAAGGCTTATCTTTCTCATGGGGAATAGAGAAAGCCCCATATTTTAAAATGTGCTGCCTCCACCTCACTGATGTGTTCAGAGGACTTAAGAAATGAAAAAAGAGAAGCGGGATGACCTCTTAGAATCTGCTCCCAGTTTTTTTTGTTTTTTTTTTGTTTTTTTTTTTGAGATGGAGTCTCCCTCTGTCACCCAGTCTGGAGTGCAGTGGCATGATCTCGGCTCACTGCAACCTCTGCCTCCTGGGTTCAAGCAATTCGCCTGCCTCAGCCTCCTGAGTAGCTGGGATTACAGGTGTGTGCCACCATGCCCAGATCATTTTTTTATTTTTAGTAGAGACAGGGTTTCACTATGTTGGTCAGGCTGCTCTCAAACTCCTGACCTCACGATCTGCCCACCTCAGCCTCCCAAAGTGCTGGGATTACAGACATAAGCCACTGTGCCTGGCCTGTTTGCACTTTTTATAGAGGATTGAAAGTGCTTAATACCAGTACAACTGCATTATCATTTTTTTTTAGCACAACTCTTGGCATTAACGTTTTTCTAACATGAATCCTTTAGTGTCAGAGTTTCATTTGGACATTTCCCCTGCTTTTTAAAGTTCAAGAACCAGAATGATGGCCCAACTAACTCTTCTTAACAGTGCTCCTGGAAGAATAAACTTTTGTGTTCATATAACCACTTTTCACAAAGCAGCCTGTCTTCATCTGTTTCACACTACTTTAACAGAATAACAGAGACTGGGTTACTTATAAGAAAATAAACTTATTTTTTTATTTCTCACAGCTCTTAAGGCTGGAAAGTCCAATACTGAGGCAACAGCCTCTGGCAAGGGCCTGCTTGCTGAGTCATCCCTTGGCAGAAGGCAAGAGGGTGAGAGGGGGATGGCAGGGAGTAGGGGAGCACTGAATTCGCTTTTTTATAATGAACCAACTTTGAAGATAAATAACCTATTCCCATGACAATGACATTAATCCATTCATGAGGGCAGAACCCTCCTGTCCTAATCACCTCCTAATAGGCCCCACCTCCCAACCCTATTGCCCTGGAGATTAAGTTTCTAACACATGCTTTCGTGAGGACACATTCAAATCCTAACACAGCCCTAGTCCTTCAACAACTTAATCCAGACAAGCCATTAAATGGTGAAAACAGAAAGGCATATTTAAATATCATCTGGTTGGATTTATATTCTCTTAAAAAGACCCTTCACTATAACTCAAATTATTTCCTTATTAATTCTTTAATTTTGATTACTATTTCTGATTTAGTATAATCCCCATCAAAACTCAACAACTAGTTAGTCATTTTAGAAATATCTTTTGGCCTGGCACGGTGGCTCACACGTGTAAATCCCAGCACTTTTGGAGGCCCAGGCGGGAGGATCACCTGTCAGGAGTTCGAGACCAGCTTGGCCAACATGGTGAAACCCTGTCTCTACTATAAATACAAAAGTTAGCCGGGCGTGGTGGTGGCGTGCCTGTAATCCCAGCTACTAGGGAGGCTGAGGCAGGAGAATCACTTGAACCCAGGAGGCAGAGGTTGCAGTGAGCAAGATCATGCCACTGCACTCCAGCCTGGGCAACAGAGTGAGACTCTGTCTCAAAAATAAACAAACAAACAAATAAATACATAAATAAATAAAAATTTTTTAAAAGTAGAAATATCTTTAAACTGTTTTTGTTTTACTTTGTTTGTAAAGCCTAAATTTTCAAGCAGGTTGAGTTCCTTTTTCAGATAAATGCAGTGGACATCTAAGAAGCCAGAACTACAAAAATTCACCTTCTCACTTTCATTTTATTATCCTCCCCTCAAGTTTTTATTTCCTTCTACCACATAATATCACAGTTTTAAAATGCTGCACATAACAGAATTACCCAGGATAGGACATTCCTCCCTTTTTTATTCAAATGTTCTACCTGTCAATTTTCTCTTTTTCTTCCTTTCTGTTGAAACACATATGCATCCCTTCTGAGGAGCAGATACATAGAGGCAAATAATCACTCATGTACACCCACATATAGAGGACACACATCAGATGAGGTATTTTTTTGTTTGTTTGATAGGGGCCTTTTTGTTCTGCTATTCCTGACTCTTTTAAAAGTATGCTAAACAACCTTTTAGTTACCTTGAAATCCACTGCTATGGATGTTTAACTGAGTGTAGAAGAGAGAAAATTAAAATAATCAATGAATGTAGTTTGCTGCCTGGTCAAGGTCATCAGCATTTAATTTACTTGTTCCCTCAAGCGATTGGTGTTAGCTTCACTCTTTCCACTACTCGTTAGCTATAATGCAATTATCTTCATACCCATTTCTACTGGAGTCTGGGATGGCTAAGCCATAGAAGGACTTTTACCTGTTCATTTCATTAAAAAAGAAGAAGAAGAAGAAGTAGTTTGACTCTTCATTGATCATATTTTCTTAAACAACAAATATCTAATTTTTCAAATGCTTCTCTAATTCCATTAAACCTGGTTCCAAATGGCAGGAATGGAAAACGTAGAAGCTGAAGGTGCTCCATCTCTATCCCTAGGCAAGCATCATGCCCGTGCAGCCTGACATGGCAGGTTCCAGCTATAAGCCTCTGGGAGCCCTTGCAAGAGGGATTTTGCAGGCTGCCAGAGACCATTAGCCCCTCACATGAGGCAGACTGGATATGCTGGGGCCTTAGTATTGTTGGCAGCAGGCTTTCACCAGCAACCGGTGGGATTGGGTACATAAATACACTAGCTTCCTGGACTCTCTGTTGGAATAACTCCATAGAACTCTGTTCTTCACTCTTTCCATGAGTCGCCCAGTGGGGGTGAGCCCCAGTTTTCCACAGTCATGACTTACTAGATAATTCACTCTTTATTTGTTTCTACCTTTTCCTGTCTCACATCTTGACTCTCCTACCAGTGCTTCCTGGGCTCACCTTCTACACACACCCCTGGCATTCACATCCTTGCCTCAGTAGTCACAGTGTCCTCAGTCTGAATCCGAAGGACAGCTTTAGATTCTAGTAAAAGGACTAGTTTTGATAAGGAGAAAAATCTGTTTATTCTCCTCAATGTGTCAGAGTTGCTAGAATTTCAAAGGTGATTGTGACAACTATTATAAATAACATCACAGTTCACCCAATGATACCCAAGTAATATAAAGATTTTTTTAACATCCTCCTAAGCCTCTAATTTTCAATTAGAAAATTCAAGCCCCGGATGACTTAGGTTTAAAATATTTTTATTCTTAGGTGATACAGAAACTACTTTTAAATCTGAGTTTTTTTCTAGGTTTGGTTGTTTAATGTTATACTATTTACATATAATTATATTACATTAGGTTACATTAATTATATTACATAACTAATTACATTATATTAATTACATTAAACATATAATGCTTAATGTTACAATGTTAATACTTATTCAGTGTTAAATAAACATTTAACAAGTATTGCCTGTACACTAAGTGTAGTGCCAGTCTTCTAGGAATCCCAACAAGAAATTCTTCTCTGCCTGGCCCAACAAAAAGAGTTGTAGGTTTCAGCCTAACATGCCCAGGGAAGGCCATTTTAAAATGGGTTCTCTGTGACTTTGCAAATATAACTAAGAGTTTATATGTCTATCGACCCATTTTTCAGGTACAGTAACAGAACTGAGTTTATCAAGACATCAGTTTTATGTTTGATCTTAGATTTCATTTTACTATAAAAAACACATGGTCTTAAATTTTATTTTACTATAAAGAACATTATTGGGAAAAATAGAAAAATTTGAATGAAGTCTTTATATTAGATAGTAACATTATATTAATTTTAATTTTCTAGTTATGATACTTGTGTTTTCATTATGTAAGAAAATTTGAGAATTTGTTTTTAGTAAATAAACATTGTATTTAGGGATAAAGGGACATCCTGTCTGCAACTTACTCTTAAATGGTTCTGAAAAATCATCACTTATATCTGATGCAAACACATATCTATCTGTATGTATATTTCTCTTCCTAGACATATAGACATAGATGCAGACTATATGTTTATGATATAGAGAAAGAGCCAGAGGTAGAGAGAGAGATAGAGGTAGAGACAGAGACAGAGATACAGATAGAGATAGATTAAAGAGAAAGAGGCCAGGCCTGGTGGCTCATGCCTGTAATCTCAGCACTTTGGGAAGTCGAGGCGGGAAGATCACTTGAGACCAGGAGTTTGAGACCAGCCTGGGCAACACAGTGATACCTTGTCTACAAAAAATTTAAAAATTAGCCCTGTGTGATGGTGTGCGCCCATGGTCTCAGCTACTAGGACTGAGTGGGGAGGACTGCTTGAGCCCAGGAGGTCCAGGTTGCAGTGAGTCATCATCATGTCACTGCACTCCAGCCTGGGAAACAGAGCAAGAGCCTGTCTTGAAAGGAAAAAGGAAAGGAGGGAAGGGAAGGGGAAATGGAAGGGGAAGGGGAAGGAAAGGAGAAAGGAAAGAAGAAAGGAAAGAAAGAGATAAAGTGGGAGTCTGAGGCAGGCAGATCACTTGAGGTCAGGAGTTTGAGACCAGCCTGGCCAATATGGTGAAATCCTGTCTCTACTAAAAATACAAAAATTAGCCAACTGTGGTGGCATGTGCCTGTAATCCTAGCTACTTGGTAGGCTGAGGCAAGAGAATTGCTTGAACCTGGGAGATGGAGGTTGCAGTAAGCTGAGATCTTGTCACTGCACTCCAGCCTGGGCAACAGAGTGAGACTCCGTCTCAAAAAAAAAGAAAAAAAAAAAGACAAAAGAAAAGGAAGGAAGGAAGGAAGGAAGGAAGGAAGGAAGGAAGGAAGGAAGGAGGGAGGGAGGGAGGAAGGGGAAAAAAGCAAATATTCTAAACATTTAACATCTGAGCAATCTGGGTAAATATTATTTCTGCATTTTTGCAACTTTTCTCTAAGTCAGAAATTATGTCAAAATAGTATCTGTAAAAAGACACACAATCTTACCTTGGTCCCTTTTTAGCTAACAGAACTGTGTGAACCACACATAACTGATTGTATATTCTGGATGCTTTTCATAAAATAAACGATCCCTTCTAGGGGTCATGTCCATTTAAGCTTCTTTAACTAACCAAAGAAAACTACCTATACTTTGGTTGGAAAAGAATCCCTTTATCTCAGAGTCTCTGCATCTACGCAACCTTTAAAAAGGTTTAAAAAGGTCTCTTCCCATTAAAAAAAAAAAGTATTTAATCATTCTGCAGCTAGAACTTTATCCCTGCCTAATGTGAGTACTGTTTGTTTCTGACACACTTCATTTGGATTCTCATGTGAGCAACTTGTCTTTTTCCATTCTGGGGGAGATGGCATGGGGCACCCTGACTGTCTCTCTACTCCAGGTAATTGTGGAGTATGCGGCCATGGAGTTTCACAATGATTTGGAGCGCTTCTTCTGCAAATGTATTATGGTAATGACCTTTCAATACTTCCATTGGCTATCTCGATTAAGCTTTTCATAATGGAACACTTCCACTGTTTCACATACCTACAGTCTATTGAAAAATGACCTGAAGTATCATTAACTCTTTAGACATTTCTGTTAGTAAAAACAACATATTTCCCCTTCACCTCAGTTGACCCCCATTTCTCAATTCTTACCACTTGTCATTCTGGACTAGTCGTGGAATATGTCCTGCTGATTTCTTGCACAAAACACAAGACACCAGGGACATGCAGTGTTTTGGGAGGCGTTCTCTTCCTTTCTAGCTGTGACAGATTATAATTTCTAAAAAGGGTCACAATAGTATTTCCTGTCCTACATGCTCTTCCAGAACTTCTCACTCCCCCGTTAAGATGTGGAGTCGCTTGAACCTGGATGGGGCTTTTTGTCTGCATCAAATAATAGAATACAGCATAAGTAATGCTATGTGCCTTCTAAAGCTAAGTCATACACGGCAACATGGCTTTCAGCTAGTTTAGAACATTTGCCCCTGGAATCCAACCATCATGTTGTAAGGAAGCCCAGGCCACGTAAAGAGGAGCCAAAGCCCCCTGGACTCCTAGCTGATTGCCAACATCAATTCACCAGCCATGGGAGTGAGCATAGAGGATTTAGATCCTCCAGCCCTAAGTCAATCCCCACAACCAATGCTATGTGGAGTGGATTCAAGTCTTCTCCACGGAGCCCTATTCAAATTACAGACTTGTGCACAGGATAAATGTTTGTCACTGTTTTGAGTCATTAAGTCTTTAAGTGGTTTGTTATGCAGAAATAGATGACAAGGACACTATCACAGGACATGCCAAGAAACCTAAGCCTTAACATGCTGTTCATAGCTGTTATCCTTTTCTCTCATGTTTTAAGACGTGGGCAGTGCCTCTGTGGATGCATTTCTTACTATCCATGTGGACCATCAGTAGAAAGAAAAGCAGACATGTATTTTATAGATTTTGTTGTTGCAGCAGGTTTCATATGTGTTTAGAAATAATATCTAGCCACAGAGTGACTGGAGGATTGAGTGCTTCCAGGCACAGCTGAAATCTATTAATAATTTTTAAAAAACAGCTAATTATGTCGTATATCTTCTGTTTGCCCCTCCAGATCCCTCCCATTCTTCTCCAAGAGGTGTGGAAGGCTAACCTGTAAAGACTATAACAAAGGGCTTTCCTCTGGCTTCTGGAAGAACAGCCTTATCAGGAATATGGAGAAAAGAGAGTGAGTCAGGGGATAAAGATCTTTTGAAGAAAGGTGTGGAGGTAGGTGGTAGCATGCTAGTGTAAGTTTAACAACTGGTTCTCGAGGAAAAAAAAAAGGATGTATATATACACATAGATGTTTGCTACAAATTTTACTGATATAAAGGATATGTTGCACACAATTTGCAAATAATAATAAGATATTCAGTATTTATTATAAATTCCATAGAGTTAATTGATTCTCACATAATACTTTCATTGATTTCCTTCTCAGCCCTTGTCCCCACAGTCAACCTATGGTTACAATTGATAAATGAGTATAGCGGAGACATGATTATTGGCTAACATTTTTGTCTACAGTAAAGAGTAAAATTAAAGTGAAAATACAAAAATATGGAAATTATACTTACTCACTGATGATATGAGCTGCTTTATTGCTGAATCATGTCATAGCTTTCAAATACTCAAAGAATATGACCTCAGTTCTTTTGCTCTTCACAACAGCTATAGACATGAAACGTATTCAAGTTTAATCTGCATTATTAACAGGACTTCTGTCATTTTCTCAAGCCTAGACAATCAGCAAAACAATAAATAAAGCCTTGACTTGTATCGTTTGCCAATGTCTGTGGTGTAAATATTCCCACCATGAACTATTTCAAGCTACTAACATGATGTCACTGAACGTGGAAGTGGGAAATGATTCACCATAGTACATGATTATATAGTATTGTCATACTATGTAACAGAGATGCAATAGATGCAAATAACGTAAAGTGTAGGTAACAGTAAAATGCAAAATAATTAGGAATTACTTAGTTTTGAGACTTTATTATCTTTGCTGCTAATCAAATTTATTTAATTGAAAGTTCATATAATTTTTTTTTAATAATGACCATTCTTAATAACTGGTTTGTAAAGTTCCTGAGATTTCAATAATGGGCTCTCACAAACCAGTATAGGCCAGCTAGCTCCACCTCATTCTGGAGATAGAAAATGACATGATACTGATTTGCAGTGAGAACAAGCAATGACTCTCATGCCTAGCTGCATGTTAGAATCACCTGGAAAAAATTCCAACGCCTAGGACACACCCCAGGCCAATTAAATCAGGATCTCCGGGAGTAGGGTTTGGGCATCATTATCTTTTTATGTTCTGCCAAATGATTCCAATATGCAGCCAAGGTTGAGAACCACTGGGATAGAGGGAGAGGATGACTAGCCTGCTCCTGGAGAGATGAGATGAAAGTCACCTGGGCTGGGAGTGCCCAGTGACTCAATGGAGCTCAGAGGAGGTTGGAACAGTATCTGGAACTCAGTTGTAGGCAGGGCCACCTGGAAGAGGCAGTTAGCCCTGAGAGAGTTCAAAGCACCATCCCTTGCTCACAGCAGGAAGCCTTGTGCCAGGTGAGCCCTTGTCTCCTTTCCCTGGCTATTCGCTTCTCAGGCAGGTAGGGGCTGTCCCTTGCCAGCCACCTCACCCTTGTACTGTCCTGCAGAAGAGTCTCCCACACATGTCCAAAGAATTTTCTGATCCCCATCAGGACTGCTCCTAAATGGCTAGTCCTCTTTTTTGACAGCTCAGGACACTCATAAGCCTCTCAAAAGAGAAAAGGTGACAGTGTGGAAGTCTTATAGTCCTATAGTCCCATAGTGGTTGTGATTCCACAAAATGCCTACGTTGAAATCTTAATCCCCAAGGTGATGATACTAGGATGTGGGGCCTTTGGAAGGTATTAGGCCATGAAGATGGAGCCCTCATGAACGGGATTAATGCCCTTGTCAAAGAGACCCCAGAGAGCTCATTTCACCATGTGAGGACACACAGCAAGATGGCTGTCTATGAGCCAAAAAGTGGGTCCTCATCAGACACCGAATATGCTGCAGCCTTGATCATGGACTTCCCAGTCTCAAGAACTGACACATAAATTTCTGTTGTTGATAAGCCATCCAATCTATAGCATTATGGGTAGAGCAGCCCCAGTGGACTAAGACAGGAAGGAAGGGTCCTATTGTCAGCACTTGGTACTGCACAGTGGTGAAACTTCCCCGTTAATGATTTCAAGTACTTCAAATCCTCACCACCACCCAAGATGTGCAACTGTTATTCACCTTCATCTACAGGTTCAGAGAGGTTGACCAATGTGCTCAAAGTCACACAGCTAGAAAAAGGCAGAGCTGGGCATAGGCCGCAGGCCAGTGTAGCAGAAGCACACCGAACAGTTCCAGACGCCTTCTCTCACAGAGGCCCCAGGCAACCTTCATTTCAGTTCCAGACTCTCAGCATATTTGCCATGAAATGTTGATCCTTATCCTTCCGTCTGCTTTGGGTGAAGACAACAGGCTGTGGCTAAGAGAAAGAAAGCCTATCCCTGGGGCCATTAACAGCCATTTTTAAACACTCTTTAATAAAGACTATTTCTCAATCTGGATAATCATGTAGACAGCATGAATTTGTTTCTTGCTTTGGCAGTCAGTGCAGCACTGGCTTTGGAACCAAATGGACCTGGGTTCAAATCCTGATGCTGCTACCCACAAGTCACTGGACTGCTTTGAAACCTCATTAATCCTTGTGGTTCTTGTTGGTTAGTCTGTGAAAGGTGATAACAGTAATTGCTTCATATGGTTGTTATGTATTCACAGAAAATGTATTTACAATGTCATGTGCCTTACCCATAGTAGTTTCTTAAAAGTGCTTATTCTTATGTACATGGTGTCCTAACTTTTAGATATTCTCATTGTTTGTTTGTGTAAACAAAAGATCCTGGTTTGCTGAAAAATGTGTGCGTATATTTGGGGATTTTGTTGTTGTTGTTGTTGATGATGAAATCTCACTCTGTAACCCAGGCTGGAGTGCAACGGCACAATCTCGGCTCACTGCAACCTCTGCCTCCTGGGTTCAAGTGATTCTCCTGCCTCAGCCTCCCGAGTAGCTGGGATTACAGGCATGTGCCACCACGCCCAGCTAATTTTTGTATTTTTAGTAGAGACAGGGTTTCGCCGTGTTGGCCAGGCTGGTCTCGAACTCCTGACCTCAGGTGATCTGCCAGCCATGGCCTCCCAAAGTGCTCGGATTACAGGCATGAGCCTGTAAGCACACAAAGACTTGTCCTCCTGGAGGACACTACGTTAAGCGCCTGGCCTGGGATTTATGCTAAATGAGAATATACTCAAAAAAAGCAGGACAATTGCTAGTAGAAATGTAAAAGGGTACAGACACTTTGGAAAACAGTTTGAAAGGGAGTTTGAAAATTGTTTTACAGTTAAATGCAGAAATGACCAATGAAAAAATGCTCAGCGTCACTAATCATCAGAGAAATGCAAATCAAAACCACAATAAGATATCATCTCACCCCAGCTATGATAGCTATTATCGGAAAAACAAAAAATAACAAACGCTAGCAAGGATTCAGAGAAAAGGCAATTCTTATACACTGTTGGTGGGAATGTAAACTAGTACAACCACTATGGAGAACAGTAGGGAGATACCTCAAAAAAACTACAAATAAGACTACCATATGATCGAGCAATCGCACTACTGGGCATTTATCAAAAGGCAGGAAAATCATTATATTGAAAAGACATTGGCATTCCCACAATAGTCAAGATATAGAATCAACCTAAGTATTCAACAACAGATGAATGGATAAAGAATATGTGGTATATATACACAATGGAATACTATTCATTCATAAAAAATAATGAAATCTTATCACTTGAGGCAACATGAATGGAACTGGAGGACATTATGTTAAGTGAAATAAGCCAGAAAGTTAAACACCGCATGTTTTTATTCATGTGTGGAAGCTAAAAACAGTTGATCTCATAGAAGTAAAAAGTAGAATGGATGATACTAGAAGCTGGGAAGAGTAGGCGGATGAGGAGGTAGGGAGAGAATTGTTAAAGATTACAAAATTACAGCTAGATAGGAGGAATAACTTCTACAATTCTTTAACACTGTAGGATGTCTATATTTAACAATGCTATATAGTTTCAAATAGCTAGAAGGAGGATATTGAATGTCCTCAATATAAAGAAGTGATAAATGTTTATAATAGATACGCTAATTACCCTGATCTGATCACGATACATTATATGTATTGCAACATCACTATGCATCCCATAAATAGGTACAATTTTAAAACTGTTAATTTTTAAAATTTTTTTTAAAGTTCTTAAATAAATTTTTAAATAAATAAATAAAGTTAAATATAAATTACCATACAATCCAGTAATTCCATTCCTAGGTATATATCCTAGAGAACTGAAAATTTATATCCACACAAAGACCAATTCATGCATATGTATAGCAACATTATTTATAATAGCCAAAAACTGGGAACAATACAAATGTCCATCAATAGATGAATGAGCAAACTAAATATATATGTCCACACAGTGGAATACTACTCGGCAATCAAAAGGAAAAAGTACTGATACATGGTAGGACATAGATGAATCTCAAAAACACTACATTAAGTGAAAAAAACTAGAGGCAAATGATTACGTATTATATGATTCCATCTATATGAAACGTATGGAAAGGGCAAACCTTTAGAGACAGAAAGTAGATTACTGGTTGCCTAGAGTTGAAAGTAGGAACACAGAGTAACTGCAAATGGGTCTGAGAGAACTTTTTTGGTATGATGGAATGGCTCACAAATTGAATTGTGGTGATAACTGCACATCTCTATAAATTTACTAAAAATCATTTAATTTTACATGTAAACAGGTGAATTTTATGGTATGTAAATTACATCTCAATAAAGCTATGCAAAATTAAAAAGAAAAGCCAGGTATAGGATTACTTAAAAATAATTACATTTTTAACTGCTTGGTCAAATAACTCAAGGCCTCTGTCACTTCTGCCTCATTTCCAGAAGAGACATCTAACATTTAACCTGCTTTAAGATAGAATCTAGAATAAATAATAACAACAAAGTCTATTGTGTATGGGTACTCCTAGTATATTGTACTCTGTGATACACAATTGATATTCTTTGTCCATGTAATCCTAACATCTGATCTGCAAAATCTTATATAATATTATCTCCCACAAATTTATAGATGAGAAAGTTGAGGCTCTTATAAGTCAAAAAAAAAGTGTCCAAGGTTACTGAGCAAACAAATGCCAAAGCTGGGGTTTTTCTAGCAAGAGTTAAACCATCCTTTTATTCTCTCTTGTAAGGAAACTTTCATACCCATTCTGCACATATCTGCAGCCTCTTTTAATCCAAAATGAAGACTTGTACATCATCTCACAACATATCAGCAAATAGGAAAGATACAAGCATACTCATTTAATTGACAGAATTTAATCTATATTATAAAAGTGAACATATATAATAACTTGCATTGATTTAAGAGACAATCAAAAAGCTTCTTGTAGGTTGAATCTTTGTGAGTTATTTCTTTAAAAGCCCATTTACCTAACTTTGACATTCTAATAAAAAGATAAGATTATGATTCTTGAGAACTATATAGATGATAAACACAGAATAGCTAAAAGACAGAGAAAATGCAATAAATAAAATACCACATTGCAAAAAAACAGAATAATCATTATGTCTAACCATACATAAATAATGGTATATCAATAAAATCAAATATAATGTAACCTTTAAAAAATCATGTTTCAAAGATTGACATCAGCAAGGTGGCTGACTAGAGAGGCCTAGTGTTCATCCCCCAAGAAAGGACAATGGCAATGAATGGCTAAGATTTTCTGGAGTGCTGAAGAGAGAGTACTGGAGTGCAGTGGGGGAGTGGAGACACATCTGTAGTGACTGGAAGTCCAGGAGGGCAGCATGGAGGAATCTGGCCTCTGCAGCCTCATTTTCCCCACTTGGATCAGATCTGCCCAGATTCAGAAGGGATTTCCCCTTGCAGAAAAAAGGTAAGCAGAAGATCCCCACCAGCCCCTATCACCACCACAAACACCTACAGTTCTTACTGCAGAGGAATCTCACAGTCCTGAGTCTGGCTTGGAGAGCTGCTGGGAATTCATGCAGCTGCATTGCCCCAGAGTAGGAGCACAATGTGTATGCACTTCCACACTTCCCACCCCCACCCCACCCCCATGAACCAAACTGCTGCAGCATGGTGCCATCTTGAGACCAGAGCTGCCTCTGGAGTGCACACTGCTCTGGGGTCCAGTAGCCTCTCCAGCAGTGGGGATCCATCTTCATTCCACCAATGCTACAATGGTTGCTGGACACCACAACTCCAGCCACATGGAGCATGGGCCCAAGATTGGCTGTGAGTCTGGTCCTCCACATCAGGGAAACCAACCTTCTGCTGTTATACTACCAGCCAGAGAAACAGCCTGGCCATTCCACCCAGGGAAAACCCACTCTTGAGCCAGCCAAACTGCTGTGTGCCCTCTCCTGAGCAGGAGAGTTCCCTCAGCCACCAAGCAACTAACATGCCCCTAAGCCAGTCAAGAAGCTATGTGCCCCCATCTTGGGCCTGAGAAACAGCCCTGTTGGCTGCCCCTGACAGGCATAACCCCATGTCAGCCATGCAACTGTGCGCCTATATCCTGAGCTGCAAAAGCATCCCTGTGAGCTTCCCCAAAAAGACACTCCCCAGGCTGGTCAGGTAGCCTTGCACCTGCATCCCAGACCTGAGAAACAACCCTGGGAAGGAAGACACACTGACAGGCAAGCCAAGCAGCCTTGCAACTGTGTCCAGAGCCTGAGAAAAAGCCCTATGGTCTGCCCCTAGCAGGCATGCTCCCACATTGGCCAAGCAACTGTGCATCCATGCCCATAGCCAGAGTAACAGTCCCATGACTGCAACCCTAGCAAGGCAGGTCCTAGGTTGAGCACTCACACGCCCCTGACCTGAGAAACAGCCCAGCAATCCCACCCCCAGCAAAGCCATACAATCACACTACATATTTCCTCAGCATATGTCACTGAGACACTCACAAACATCACTAGCATGGATTACAGCTGAAGAAACTACATGGAGACTGCACTACTGCATTCACATAAAACCAAAGCCAACAAACCCCACCAAACTGACCCTCCAAGACACATCATTATGAATCAAACTTTCTCTTCAAACTCTACACCATAAAATTGAAAGAGGTGACTTTTCCCCTGGATACATGGAAATTAACATGACATATCAAACATAAAAAATGCAAGGAAATGACACCTGCAAAGGAACACAATAATTCTCCAGTAACAGACCCCAATCATAATGAAATATGTGAAATGCCAGAAAAAGAATGCAAAATAATAATCAAGAAAACTCAGTAAGGTATAAGAATACAGACAATTCAGTGACATTAGGAAACAACTCATGATATGAATGAGAAATTCAGTGGAGATTGCTATCATGAAAAAAGAGCCAAACAGAAACCCTAGAGCTAAGAATTCAATGAATGAAATTAAAAATATAATCAAGAGTTTCAGTAAAAGACTAGATCAAGCAGAGGAGTAAATTTCTGAACTTGAAGAAAGGTCTTTTGAAATAACACAGGCAGACACAAGAAAAAAAATTAAGACAGCCTACAGGATTTATGGGACATCATTAAGTAACAAATATCACATTATGGGTGTTCCAGGAGAAGAGAAGAGACAGAGTATAGAAAACATATTTTATGAAATAATAGCTAACATTTTTCCAAGTATTAGGAGAGAGATAGATATCCAGGCCCAGGAAGCTCAAAGATCCCCAAATAGAATCAACCTAAAAAGGTCTACCCTGAGCCATATTACAGTCAAATTGTCAAAAGTCAAAGACAAAAAGAGAATTCTAAAAACAACAATGGAAAAGCATCAGGTCACGTATAAAGGAATCCCTATTAGACTAATAATGCATTTCTCTACAGAAACCTTACAGGCCAGGAGAAAACAGGATGATATATTCAAAGTACTAGGGGAAAAATATTGCTAGCCAAGAATATTATAATCAGCAAAGCTATCCTTCAGAAATGAAAGAGAAATAAAATCTTTCACAGACAAGCAAAAACTAAGGGGATTCTTCACCACCATACCAGCCACACAAGAAATGCTCAACAGAGTCTTACATTAAAAAGTGAAAAGATGCTAACCACCATGAAAACATGCAAAACTATAAAACTCACTGGGAGAACCAGTACACAAAAGACAAAGAGGAAAAAAATTAAACATTATCACGATAAAAAACCACCCAATCACAAAAATTAACAATAAGAGAGGAAGTAAGTAATGAAGGATATACAAAACAACTAAAAAACAATCAGTAAAATAACAAGAGTATGCCCTCATCTATCAATAATAATCTTGAATGTAAACAGATTACATTCCCCATTTAAAAGATAAAGACTGACTGAATGGATAAAAGACATGACCCAACTATATGCTGCCTAGAAGAAACTCACCTCACATGTAAAGACACACATAGACTGAAAATAAAGGAATGGAAAAATATATTCCACCCAAATGGAAACCAAAAGTAAGCAGAGGTAGCTATACTTATATCAGACAAAACAGACTCATGTCAAAAACTGTAAAAAGAAACAAAGAAGTCTATTAAATAATAATAAAGGGATCAATTCAGCAAGAGAATATAACAATTATAAATATATATGCACCCAACACTGGAGCACCCAGATATATAAAGCAAATATTATTAGATCTAAAGGGAGAAATAGATCCCAATACAATAATATTTGGTGACTACAACACTCCATTCTTCAGGATTGACCATATGTTAGGATACAAAACAAGTCTCAAAGAAAAATTAAAAACTTAAAATCATATCAAATATTTTATCTGATTACAATGTAATAAAACTAGGAACTAATAACAAGATGAAAATTCAAAATTATATGAATACATGGAAATTAAACAACATGCTCCTGAATGACCAATGGGTGAAGGATGCAATAAAGAATGAAATTTAAAAATTATTTGAAATAAATAAAAATAGAACACAGTATCCCCAAACCTATGAGATACAGCAAAAGCAGTATTAAGAGGCAAATTTATAGCAAAAAATGCCTACATAAAAAATTAGAACTATTTCAAATAAACCACTTGATGCATCTCAAGGAACTAAAAATGCAAGAACAAACCTAACCTAAAATTAGCAGAATAAAAAAATAATAAATATCAAAACAAAAATAAACAAAACTGAAACTAAAAAACTTACAAAAGATTAACAAAACAAGAAGTCAGTTTTTTAAAAAGATAAATAAAATAAACAATTTGCTAGACTATGAAAAAAGGGAATACCAAAATAAAATCAAAAGCAAAAAAAGATGTCACAACAGATACAACAGAAATATAAAGGATCCCTAGAGACTACTATGTACAACTATACACTAACATATTTGAAAACTTAGAGGAAATAGATAAATTCCTGGACACATACAACCTAGCAAGATTGAACCAAGAAGAAATAGAAAACCTGAACACACCAATAACAAGTAACGAGATTGAACCAGTAATAATAAGTCTTCCAACAAAAAAGTCCAGGACCAGATGGCTTAACCACTGAATTCTACTGAAACTTTAAAGAAGAATTAACACCAGTTCTCAAACTATTCTATAAAATGAAGCAGAAGAAACTCTTCCTAACTCATCCTACAAGGCCAGCATAAACCTGATATCAAAACCAGACAAGAACACAAACTTAAAAATGCAAACTACAGTCCAATATTCCTGATAAACATAGATGAACAAGCCCTCAAAAAAATACTAGCAAACCTAATCTAACAGTACATCAAAAAGGTATCACACCATGATCAAGTGGGATTTATCCTAGGAAGCAAGGATGGTTCAACATATACAAGTCAATAAACATTGTACATCACATCAGTAGAAAAAAGAACTAAAACCGTATGATCCTCTCAATAGATGAAGAAAAATCTTTTGATAAAATTCAAACATCCCTTAATGATAAAAATGTTTAATAAATTAGGTATAAATGGATACATGAAAAACCTATAGCTAATATGTTTCTGAATAGGGAAATGCCGAAAGCTTCTTTTTTAAGAACTACAACAAGACAAGATGCCCACTCTCGCCAGTCTTTCAACATAGCATGGAAGTTATAACCAGGGCAACTCGGCAAGTGAAAAAAAGAAAAGACATCCAAATTAGGAAAAAAGAAACCAAATTATTCTTGTTTGAAGATATGATCTTATATTTGAAAAAACTAAAAACTCCACCAAAAAAACTACTAGAACTGATAAACAAATTCAGTAAAGTTGCAGTATATAAAATTATTGTACAAAATGTAGATGATGGGTTGATCGGTGCAGCAAACCACCATGGCATGTGTATACCTATGTAACAAACCTGCATGTTCTGCACATGTATCCCAGAACTTAAAGTATAATAAAAAAAATCAGTAGCATTTCTATACACAAACAACTAGCTGAAAAAGAAATCAAGAAAGTAACCCCATTTAAAATAGCTACTAAAAAATTAAATACCTAGGAAATTAAATACCAATGAGGTAAAAGACCTCTACAATGAAAACTGTAAAATATTGATGAAAGAAATTATAGATGATACAAATGGAAGAATATTCCATGCTCATTTATCAAAAGAGTTAATATTGTTAAAATGACCCAAAGCAATCTATAGATTCAATGTAATCTCTATCAAAATACCAATGATATTCTTCACTGAAATAGAAAAAAAAATCTAAAATTTGGATGTAACCACAGAATATCCTGAATATCCAAAGGAATCCTGAGCAAAAAGAACAAAGCTGGAGGTATCACACTACCAGACCTAAAGATATATTACAAAATAGCATGGTACTGACATAAAAATAGATCCATAGGCTAATGGGACAGAACAGAGAACCCAGAAATTAATCCACATATCTACAGCCAACTGATTTTTTACAAAAGTACCGAAACACTCATTTGGGGGAAAGGACAGTCTCTTCAATAAGTGGTGCTGGGAAAACCAGAGATCCATGTGCAAAAGAATAAAACTAGACCCCCATCTCTCACTCTATACAAAAATGGACTCAAAATGGATCAACGTCCTAAATATAAAGTTCAAAACAATAAAACTACTGAAAGAAAACAACAGGGGAAACACTTCAAGACATTGGTCAGAAAAAATATTTTATGAATTAAGACCTCAAAAGCACAGAGAGCAAAAGCAAAAATAAACAAAAGGGATTATATCAAGCTAAAAAGCTTCCAAAAGAAGAGAAAACAACATAGTGAAAAAACAACTTCTAAAATAGGAGAAAATATTTGCAAACTTCTCATCTCACAGCGAATTAATGTCCAGAATTTACAAGGGATCCAAACATCTCAACAGCAAAAAAAAAAAACAAACAATCCAATTTAAAAATGAGCAAATGATCCGAACAGACATTTCTCAAAAGAAAATACACAGATGACCAACAAATGTATTTTAAAATGCTCAACATCATTAATTATCAGGGAAATGCAAACGAAAACCACAATGAGGTATTATCTCACCCCTGGTAGGATAGCTATTATCAAAAAGAGAAAAAAAATAACAAATACTGGCAAAGATTCAGAGTAAAAAAGAACTCCTATACACTGCTGGTGGGAATGTAAACTAGTACAGCCATTATGGAAAACAGTATGGAGCTTCCTCAAAAATCACAAATAGAACTACCATATGATTCCACTACTGGGAATCTATCCAAAGGAAAGAAAATCATTAAATCAAAGAGATAGCTGCACTCCAATGTTTATGGCAGCACTGCTCAAAATAGCCAAGATAGGGAATCAACCTGTGTCTAACAACAGATGAATGGATAAAGAAAATGTGGTATATATGCACAATGGAATACTATTCATTCATAAAAAAGAATGAAATCCTGTCATTTGCAGCAACATGGATAGAACTGGAGGACATTATGTTAAGTGAAATAAGCCAGAAACGGAAAGTTAAACACCACATGTTCTCATTCATGTATGGAAGCTAAAAAAGGAAATTGATCTCATAGAAGTAAAAAGTAGAACAGAAGATACAAGAGGCTGTGAAGGGTAGGGGGATGAGGGAATAGGGAGGGAATTGTTAAATGATACAAAAGTATAGCTAGATGGGAGGAATACATTCTAGTGTTCTATAGCACTACAGGATGACTATAGGTAACAATAATATATTATAGTTTCAAATAGCTGGAAGGAGGATATTGAACATCCCCAATGCAAAGAAGTGATAAATGTTTAAGATGATGGATATGCCAATTACCCAGATCTGATCACTATCCATTACACATAACGAAACATCACTATGTGCCCTATGAATATGTATAATCACTATGTGCCCTATGAATATGTATAATTATTCCTTGTCAATTAAAAAATAAAATTTTAAAAATCAAAAAGAACGTGAACATTTGAAGTAAAAAAAAAATCATGTTTCCCAGAATACTTAATGGCATAAAAAATAATTTAAGATATAATGTAGTGAGAAAAGCAGGATATGAAATTCCATAAAGAATATAATACCAAAATTGTAAATAATACTACAGTTTATGCACATATACACACACACACACACATATATATACTCAAATAGGCCAGGTGTGGTGGCTCACGCCTGTAATCCCAACACTTTGGGAGGCCAAGGTGGGTGGATCCCTTGAGGTCAGGAGTTCGAGACCAGCCTGGTCAACATAGTGAAACCCCATCTCTATTAAAAATACAAAATTAGCCAGGTGTGGTGGCACACACCTGTAATCCCAGCTACTCAGGAGGCTGAGGCAGGAGAATCACTTGAACTGGGGAGGTGGAGGTTGCAGTGAGCCGAGATTGTGCCATTGCACTCCAGCCTGGGCAAAAAGAGCGAAACTCTGTCTCAAAATATATATATATAATATATATAATAATATATTATTATATATAATATATATAATATATTATATAATATATTATATATATAATATATATAATAATATATATTGTATATATATAATATATTATATAATATATTATATATATAAAAATATATATATATAATTATATAATATATTATATATAATTATGTTATTATATTATATATATTATAATATATAACATAATTATATATATTATAATATATATTATATTTATAACATATATTATATATTATAATATATTATATTTATATATTATATATTATAATATATTATATTTATATATTATATAATTATGTTATATATTTTATTATATATATTATATATAAAAACTGTCTCAAAATATATAAATATGCATATATACATT
This sequence comes from Homo sapiens, assembly GCF_000001405.40. Lineage (NCBI taxonomy): Eukaryota > Metazoa > Chordata > Mammalia > Primates > Hominidae > Homo > Homo sapiens. Next base: position 52,553,887 of record NC_000020.11, on the reverse strand, counting down.
GTGTGTGTGTACAAACATGTGTATGTGACTAAAAAATGCATCAAAAATAACAGTATTAATGGTTACTTCTGTGTAATGCAATAATATGTGATTTTTACTTTCCACCTTACACTTTTCTGTATTCGGCAAATAAATATGATTCACTCTTAAGATTAAAATTAGAAAAAACTATATACATAACTATGTTTAAAGAAAAACATAATCATTAGAAAAAATGAATTTTATTTTTACAGACACACTTGCTCTAAATAAACTCTTACCTAATTATGGTACTGATAGGTGCATGTGTAACATAAAACATGAAGGACTGAAGTCTAGTTTCTCAAATGAATTTTTTCTTTGTTCCATTTGGAACCAATTTGAGAGGCACTCCCAGGGTGCCATCTGTCCTTTCCCAGTCATATCCTCACCGCCAGCCTTGGACAACTTTGTTCAGATGAAATGGGGACCTTTTTTGTGTCCATTCCTTGACGGCTTTGAAAATTATTTAGCTTCTATCATGATGGATACTCTCTGCGTAAAATGACAGATGGGCAGCCTCAGAAAATGGACGACATGAAATTTGAAAAATGATATGACTGCTGGTGGACAGACATTTTTTTAAAAGAAAACTTGACATGAGTTTGAAATATAGCATGGAGGCCTGTTCTATCATTTTTCTCCCTCTGAAGAAATCAGTAGCTGTCCTTTATCCATATGCTCTTCAGGAAAGAAAACCTATACTCGAGTTAAAATGGATTCTTTTCCCCTCCTTAAAAAGTACGTGAGGTAAACTGTAGGAGTGAATTTGCTCATTTACTCACTCAACAATTTATTGAGTGCCTACTATATGGAGGCCATTGGTTAGTGGCTGGGGATATCAAGACGTATTAAACATAGTCCCTGCCTCCAGGGATCCCATAGCCCAGTGAAGAGAAATGAGTAAATAGATGAGTACCATCCGATGCAGTATGATCAAAGAGAGAAGTGCATCAGGAGTGTTACGGGCCCTGGAGGAATGGGATGACACTAGGTCTTGCGCAGGGAAGAAGGGTGTTAGAAGAGTCTTCCCCTGAGAAGGTGATGCCTGAGATGAGTCCTTTGCAATGCTCATATATTTCTCTTATTGTCTTGGCTAAATCTTGATGAATTACGAATCATCTGCCTGTTGACACAGAGGCAAACCTTTTCCTATGAACCATTTTACTTAGTCACACAATTCCAGACCACGTCTCAGCTGCGGGTTGGCATGTGCCCAGAGAATTCCAGTTCCTTTAACAGATTAACTTTTAAATGTTTTACCCACCTCAGCAAAGCAAGGATTTTCCCCAAAAAGTGAGCTAATGTCTCTCCTTTTTCCCTTCTGTTCTTCCCCACAATTATATAATACAACCCGACGTCATCGAGGTATTTATTTTCTTGGTAGGAGGCACAGGTATGTGCTTGTGTTACCGGAGGTATTCGAGTTTATTGTAAGAATACAAAGGTAAGGAAGGAAATAGAAGTTGCCTCACACCCCTGATCAAAGGAGATGCAACTTATCCAACAGGAGCCCTGTGGATGCTGTAATGGCTCTGGGACCTGTGTCTCCAAAGCCGGCATGCTCTGTGCTCTCCCGTGCTCCTGGCTTTGTGATGACTCAGTTACTCTCAGCCTCTACTGAATTACTGCACTTTTTACCCTTCTTGCGGCTAATTTCAGGCTTTCACTGCCTCATTGCACCTGCTCTTTCTCTTCTCTCTGCATTCATATATTAGCATAATTTAAGCTCAGAGCACCTTCTCTCAAGAAAGGAAGAAGGAAGGCCAAATAGAACTCTCCAGCGATCATCCCGCCTCTCCCCAGAGGAAAACCAAATTGAACAACTATCCACATAAGAAAACACCTTCATAAGGACTGAAACTCATCTGAGTAATCGCAGTGCCCAATTTTAATATCATATCAAGGAAAGAGGCACTGAAGATGGTAGGAGAGACAGTTTTGAATTGCCTACACCACCCCACCTGTCTCCCCCCACAGTGGCCACATGGCATTGAGAGAGAATGTGTGTGCTGGAGGAGGCAGAGTGCAGTGATGATGGGGTTTTGCATTGGAACTCAGTGTAGCCCTGTCACAGCGGAAAGCAACACTTGACAGAAACTCACCCAACATAGATGAAGGCGGCATTTAGATGAGTCCTAGCCAGAGGCAAACTGTTCATCCCAGGGTCAGAACTTAAATTCTGGCTAGCCTCACCACCACGAGCTAAAGTGCTCTGGGTCCTAAATAAACTTGAAAGGCAGTCTAAGCTACAAAGGTTGCAATTCCTGGGCAACTCCTGGTGCTGTCCTGGGCTTGGAGCCAGTGGACTTGGCGTACACATGACCTAGTAATTTTACTCCCAGAGGATATTTGACAACATCTGAAGACATTTTTGATTTTCAAGACCAGGGGAATGCTATTGGCATCTAGTAAGTAGAGGCCAGGGATGCTGTTAAATATTGTACAATTCCCAGGACAGTCCCCACAACAAAAAAGTATTCTAGGCCAGGCGTGGTGGCTCACGCCTATAATCCCAGCACTTCGGGAGGCTGAGGCGGGTGGATCACGAGGTCAGGAGATCGAGACCATCCTGGCTAACAAAGTGAAACCCCATCTCTACTAAAAATACAAAACATTAGCCGGGCGTGGTGGTGGGCGCCTGTAGTCCCAGCTACTCAGGAGGCTGAGGCAGGAGAATGGCGTGAAACCGGGAGGCGGAGCTTGCAGTGAGCGGAGATCGCCCCACTGCACTCCAGCCTGGGCGACAGAGCGAGACTCCGTCTCAAAAAAAAAAAAAAAAAAAAAAAGTATTCTACCCTAAATGTTAATAGTGCCCAAACTGAGAACCCCTGCTCTATTATAAAGGGCTTGATACTATTTGTGCTTCAGTCTGCTCTGCCAGGATGTGAAATTTTAGAGAGTTGGGGTCATTTCTTACTTATCCCTCCACCCCATCCCACAATTACAGAGCAGGCCCTAATACACATTTGCACAGGAGAATCATTAAACATTATTAAATAAAGAGATTCCTGATGCCTTCACTGGAGGATGCCACATAGAGTTGCCCACGAAGAAGGAGCTCAACTGCAGATCAGCTCCTGGCCTCCCCGCATCCGCCCTTGTGGCTTTTGAATCAGAGCTTGCCTTGAAAGCACTGTTTGTTACTCTGACCATGTCACCCTGATATGAACCATCCCTCCTCTGATTGACAGTCACACAGGCTTCCTCTTGAACCTGTTTTAGCCACACTGGAGTTATCACAGTCCATCTCTCTCAGGTCCCTGCCACCACCACAAAATGAATTTCATCAACTCTACAGAAACTAGATGACCAAATATTCCAAACTATACCCTCTAAATTTGGTGAATACCCATCTAGCTTTTATTGTTTAATGCTGTAACCAGCAAATAGAAAATTCAGTTTATTTCCACAGATTAAGTGATTTTGTAAAGACGCAGGAAACCATTGGAAATGAAGAAATTAAAGATGGGGAAGAAAGGATACAGAAAGGGAAGAAAAAGGGACATGCAAGGAAGAAGCATGCGGGAGGAACAACACAGACTCCTTCAGTCTTGATCTCAGGGATTTTCGAGCTTCAGGGTTACCAGGGCAATCCTGAGTGGTCTTGGGACACATTTGGGTCTCACTGTTAAATAGATCTTACTATAGCTCTGATACTTACCTCATGGAGGACCATATGAGGGAACACAAACTGCTTTGAAGGTTGCTAACATGTAATGAATGCTGAGAGAATACTTACTAGGTCTGTTGTTCTGACTTTGGTCTAAGAACACCAAGGGACTTGTTCTTGACATTTTTTTCATAATCACAAATAGGAAACCTTCATCTTGAGATGCCTGCAAAAAGTTTGATTTATTTATTTATTATTTTTTGGGTGGATTGAACCTTTTTTTATTTTTCATTTTTAATTTCTGTGGGTACATAGTAGGTGTATATATTTATGGGTTACATGAGATGTTTTGATATGGGCATGCAATGTGTAATCACATCAGGGTAAATGGGATTTCCATCACCTCAAGCATTTATCCTTTGTGTTGCAAACAATTCAATTATACTTTTTGCTATTTTTAAATGTACAGTTAAATTATTACTGACTATAGTTACCCTCTTGTGCTATCAAATACTAGGTTTTATTCATTCTATTTTTTTATACCCACTAACCATCCCCACCTCCCCCACCCCGGCCTCCTACTATACTTCCCATCCCCTGGTAACCATCCTTCTACTTTCTATCTCCATGACTTAAATTGTTTTGATTTTTAGATTCCACAAGTAAGTGAGAACAAGTGACATGTATCTTTCCGTACCTGGCTTATTTCACTTAACATAATGACCTCCAGTCACCCATGTCCTTGCAAATGATGGGATCTCATTCTTTTTGATGGCTGAATAGTACTCCATTTTGTACATGAATAAAAATAATTTTCTTTTATTATTATTATTATACTTTAAGTTCTAGGGTACATGTGCACAACATGCAGGTTTGTTACATATGTATACATATGCCATGTTGGTGTGCTGCACCCATTAACTCGTCATTTACATTAGGTATATCTCCTAGGGCTATCCTTCCCCCCTCCCCCTCCCCCCACCCTACGACAGGCCCTGGTGTGTGATATTCCCCTTCCTGTGTCCAACTGTTCTCATTGTTCATTTCCCACCTATGAGTGAGAACATGTGGTGTTTGGTTTTCTGTCCTTGCGATAGTTTGCTCAGAATGATGGTTTCCAGCTTCATCCATGTCCCTACAAAGGACATGAACTCGTCCTTTTTTACAGCTGCATAGTATTCCATGGTGTGTATGTGCCACATTTTCTTAATCCAGTCTACCATTGATGGACATTTGGGTTGGTTCCAAGTCTTTGCTATTGTGAATAGTGCCGCAATAAACATATGTGTGCATGTGTCTTTATAGCAGCATGATTTATAATCCTTTGGGTATATACCCAGTAATGGGATGGCTGGGTCAAATGGTATTTCTAGTTCTAGATCCTTGAGGAATTGCCACACTGTCTTCCACGATGGTTGAACTAGTTTACAGTCCCACTAACAGTGTAAAAGTGTTCCTATTTCTCCACATCCTCTCCAGCACCTGTTGTTTCCTGACTTTTTAGTGATCGCCATTCTAACTGGTATGAGATGGTAATTCATTGTGGTTTTTATCTGCATTTCTCTGATGGCCAGTGATGATGAGCATTTTTTCATGTGTTTTTTGGCTGCATAAATGTCTTCTTTTGAGAAGTGTCTGTTCATATCCTTCACCCACTTGTTGATGGGGTTGTTTGATTTTTTCTTGTAAATTTGTTTAAGTTCTTTGTAGATTCTGGATATTAGCCCTTTGTCAGATGGGTAGATTGCAAAAATGTTCTCCCATTCTGTAGATTGCTTGTTCACTCTGATGGTAGTTTCTTTTGCTGTGCAGAAGCTCTTTAGTTTAATTAGATCCCATTTGTCAATTTTGGCTTTTGTTGCCATTGCTTTTGGTGTTTCAGACATGAAGTCCTTGCCCATGCCTACATCCTGAATGGTATTGCCTAGGATTTTTCTAGGGTTTTTATGGTTTTAGGTCTAACATTTAAGTCTCTAATCCGTCTTGAATTAATTTTTGTATAAGGTGTAAAGAAGGGATCCAGTTTCAGCTTTCTACATATGGCTAGCCAGTTTTCCCAGCACCATTTATTAAATAGGGAATCCTTTCCCCATTTCTTGCTTTTGTCAGGTTTGTCAAAGATCAGATGGTTGTAGACGTGTGGTATTATTTCTGAGGGCTCTGTTCTGTTCCATTGGTCTACATCTCTGTTTTGGTACCAGTACCATGCTGTTTTGGTACCAGTACCATGCTGTTTTGGTTACTGTAGCCTTGTAGTATAGTTTGAAGTCAGGTAGCGTGATGCCTCCAGCTTTGTTCTTTTGGCTTAGGATTGTCTTGGCAATGCGGGCTCTTTTTTGGTTCCACATGAACTTTAAAGTAGTTTTTTTCCAATTCTGTGAAGAAAGTCATTGGTAGCTTGATGGGGATGGCACTGAATCTATAAATTACCTTGGGCAGTATGGTCATTTTCACGATATTGATTCTTCCTATCCACGAGCATGGAATGTTCTTCCATTTGTTTGTGTCCTCTTTTATTTCACTGAGCAGTGATTTGTAGTTCCCCTTGAAGAGGTCCTTCACATCCCTTGTAAGTTGGATTTCTAGGTATTTTATTCTCTTTGAAGTGATTGTGAATGGGAGTTCACTCATGATTTGGCTCTCTGTTTGTCTGTTATTGGTGTATAGGAATGCTTGTGATTTTTGTACATTGATTTTGTATCCTGAGACTTTGCTGAAGTTGCTTATCAGCTTAAGGAAATTTTGGGCTGAGACGATGGGGTTTTCTGAATATACAATCATGTCTTCTGCAAACAGGGACAATTTGACTTCTTCTTTTCCTAATTGAATACCCTTTATTTCTTTCTCCTGCCTGATTGCCCTGGCCAGAATTTCCAACACTATGTTGAATAGGAATGGTGAGGGAGGGCATCCCTGTCTTGTGCCAGTTTTCAAAGGGAATGCTTCCAGTTTTTGCCCATTCAGTATGATACTGGCTGTGGGTTTGTCATAAATAGCTCTTATTATTTTGAGATACGTCCCATCAATACCTAATTTATTGAGAGTTTTTAGCATGAAGGGCTGTTGAATTTTGTCAAAGGCCTCTTCTGCATCTATCAAGATAATCATGTGGTTTTTGTCTTTGGTTCTGTTTATATGCTGGATTACATTTATTGATTTGCGTATGTTGAACCAGCCTTGCATCCCAGGGATGAACCCCACTTGATCATGGTGGATAAGCTTTTTGATGTGCTGCTGGATTCGGTTTGCCAGAATTTTATTGAGGATTTTTGCATCGATGCTCATCAGGGATATTGGTCTAAAATTCTCTTTTTTTGTTGTGTCTCTGCCAGGCTGTGGTATCAGGATGATGCTGGCCTCATAAAATGAGTTAGGGAGGATTCCCTATTTTTCTATTGATTGGAATCGTTTCAGAAGGAATAGCACCAGCTCCTCTTTCTACCTCTGGTAAAATGCAGCTGTGAATCTGTCTGGTCCTGGACTTTTTTTGGTTGGTAGGCTATTAATTATTGCCTCAATTTCAGAGCCTGTTATTGGTCTATTCAGGGATTCAACTTCTTCCTGGTTTAGTCTTGGGAGGGTGTATGTGTCCAGGAATTTATCCATTTCCTCTAGATTTTCTAGTTTATTTGCATAGAGGTGTTCATAGTATTCTCTGATGGTAGTTTGTATTTCTGTGGGATTGGTGGTGATAGCCCCTTTATCATTTTTATTGCGTCTATTTGATTCTTCTCTCTTTTCTTCTTTATTAGTCTTGCTAGCAGTCTATCAATTTTGTTGATCTTTTCAAAAAACCAGCTCCTGGATTCACTGATTTTTTGAAGGGTTTTTTGTGTCTCTATCTCCTTCAGTTCTGCTCTGATCTTAGTTATTTCTTGCCTTCGGCTAGCTTTTGAGTGTGCTTGCTCTTGCTTCTCTAGTTCTTTTAATTGTGTTGTTAGGATGTCAATTTTAGATCTTTCCTGCTTTCTCTTGTGAGCATTTAGTGCTATAAATTTCCCCCTACACACTGCTTTAAATGTGTCCCAGAGATTCTGGTATGTTGTGTCTTTGTTCTTATTGGTTTCAAAGAACATCTTTATCTCTGCCTTCATTTCATTATGTACCCAGTAGTCATTCAGGAGCAGGTGGTTCAGTTTCCATGTAGTTGAGCAGTTTTGAGTGAGTTTCTTAATCCTGAGTTCTAATTTGATTGCACTGTGGTCTGAGGGACAGTTTGCTATAATTTCTGTTCTTTTACATTTGCTGAGGAGTGCTTTACTTCCAACTACGTGGTCAATTTTGGAATAAGTGTGATGTGGTACTGAGAAGAATGTACATTCTGTTGATTTGGGGTGGAGAGTTCTGTAGATGTCTATTAGGTCCGCTTGGTGCAGAGCTGAGTTCAGTTCCTGGATATCCTTGTTAACTTTCTGTCTCGTTGATTGGTCTAATGTTGACAGTGGCGTGTTAAAGTCTCCCATTATTATTGTGTGGGAGTCTAAGTCTATTTGTAGGTCTCTAAGGACTTGCTTTATGAATCTGGGTGCTCCTGTATTGGGTGCATATATATTTAGGATAGTTAGCTCTTCTTGTTGAATTGATCCCTTTACCATTATGTAATGGCCTTCTTTGTCTCTTCTGATTTTTGTTGGTTTAAAGTCTGTTTTGTCAAAGACCAGGATTGCAACTCCTGCTTTTTTTTTGTTTTCCATTTTCTTGGTAGATCTTCCTCCATCCCTTTATTTTGAGCCTATGTGTGTCTCTGCATGTGAGATAGGTCTCCTGAATACAGCACACTGATAGGTCTTGGCTCTTTATCCAATTTGCCAGTCTGTCTTTTAATTGGAGCATTTAACCCATTTACATTTAAGGTTAATACTTTCATGTGTGAATCTGATCCTGTCATTATGATGTTAGTTGGTTATTTTGCTCATTAGTTGATGCAGTTTCTGCCTAGCATCAATGGTCTTTACAATTTGGCATGTTTTTGCAGTGGCTGGTACCAGTTCTTCCTTTCCATGTTTAGTGCTTCCTTCAGGAGCTCTTGTAAGGCAGGCCTGGTGGTGACAAAATCTCTCAGCATTTGCTTGTCTGTAAAGGATTTTATTTCTCCTTCACTTATGAAGCTTAGTTTGGTTGGATATGAAATTCTGGGTTGAAAATTCTTCTCTTTAAGAATGTTGAGGCCAGTCATGGTGGCTCATGCCTGTAATCCCAGCACTTTGGGAGTCCAAGGTGGACAGATTATGAGGTCAGGAGATCGAGACCATCCTGGCTAGCATGGTGAAATCCTGTCTCTACTAAAAATACAAAAAAATAGCCGGGCGTGGGGGCAGGCACCTGTAGTCCCAGCTACTCAGGAGGCTGAGGCAGGAGAATGGTGTGAACATGGGAGGCAGAGCTTGTGGTGAGCCAAGATCACGCCACTGCACTCCAGCCTGGGCAATAGAGCGAGACTCCGTCTCAAAAAAAAAACAAAAAAAAAAAACAGAATGTTGAATATTGGCCCCCACTCTCTTCTGGCTTGTAGAGTTTCTGCCAAGAGATCCGCTGTTAGTCTGATGGGCTTCCCTTTGTGGGTAACCCGACCTTTCTCTCTGGCTGCCCTTAACACTTTTTCCTTCATTTCAACTTTGGTGAATCTGACAATTATGTGTCTTTGAGTTGCTCTTCTTGAGGAGTATCTTTGTGGCATTCTCTGTATTTCCTGAATTTGAATGTTGGCCTGCCTTGCTAGATTGGGGAAGTTCTCCTGGATAATATCCTGCAGAGTGTTTTCCAACTTGGTTCCATTCTCCCCATCACTTTCAGGTACGCCAATCAGACGTAGATTTGGTCTTTTCACATAGTCTCATATTTCTTGGAGGCTTTGTTCATTTCTTTTTACTCTTTTTTCTCTAAACTTCTCTTCTCGCTTCATTTCATTCATTTGATCTTCAATCACTGATATCCTTTCTTCCAGTTGATCGAATTGGTTACTGAAGCTTGTGCATGCATCACATAGTTCTCATGCCATGGTTTTCAGCTCCATCAGGTCATTTAAGGTCTTCTCTACGCTGTTTATTCTAGTTAGCCATTCGTCTAATCTTTTTTTCAAGGTTTTTAGCTTCTTTGCAATGTGTTCGAACATCCTCCTTTAGCTTGGAGAAGTTTGTTATTACCGATCATCTGAAGCCTTCTTCTCTCAACTCGTCAAAGTCATTCTCTGTCCAGCTTTGTTCCGTTGCTGGCAAGGAGCTGCATTCCTTTGGAGGAGAAGAGGCGCTCTGATTTTTAGAATTTTCAGCTTTTCTGCTCTGGTTTCTCCCCATCTTTGTGGTTTTATCTACCTTTGGTCTTTGATGATGGTGACATACAGATGGGGTTTTGGTGTGGATGTTCTTTCGGTTTGTTAGTTTTCCTTCTAACAGTCATGCCCCTCAGCTGCAGGTCTGTTGGAGTTTGCTGGAGATCCACTCAGACACTGTTTGCCTGGGTATCATCAGCGGAGGCTGCAGAACAGCAAATATTGCAGAACAGCAAATGTTGCTGCCTGATCATTCCTCTGGAAGCTTGGTCTCAGAGGGGCACCCGGCCATATGAGGGGTCAGTCAGCCCCTACTGGGAGGTGTCTCCCAGTTAGGCTACTCGGGGGTCAGGGACCCACTTGAGGAGGCAGTCTGTCCATTCTCAGATCTCAAACTCCATGCTGGGAGAACCACTACTTTCTTCAAAGCTGTCACACAGGGATGTTTAAGTCTGCAGAAGTTTCTGCTGCCTTTTGTTCAGCTATGCCCTGCCCCCAGGGGTGGAGTCTACAGAGGCAGGCAGGCCTCTTTGAGCTGCAGTAGGCTCCACCCAGCTCGAGCTTCCCTGCTGCTTTGTTTACCTACTCAAGCCTCAGCAATGGCAGGTGCCCCTCCCCCAGCCTTGCTGCCGCCTTGCAGTTAGATCTCAGACTGCCATGCTAGCAGTGAGCGAGGCTCCATGGGGGTAGGACCCTCCAAGCCAGGTGCAGGATATAATCTCCTGGTGTGCCATTTGCTACGACTGTTGGAAAAGTGCAGTATAAGGGTGGGAGTGACCTGATTTTCCAGGTCTGTCATGGCTTCCCTTGCCTAGGAAAGGGAATTCCTCAACCCCTTGTGCTTCCCAGGTAAGGCGATGCCTTGCCCTGCTTTGGCTCACACTCCGTGGGCTGCACACACTGTCCTGCAGCCACTGTCTGGCAAGCCTCAGTGAGATGAACCCGGTACCATAGTTGGAAATGCAGAAATCACCCATCTTCTGCCTCGCTCATGCTGGGAGCTGTAGACTAGAGCTGTTCCTATTCGGCCATCTTGGAACCCCACTCATTTATTGAAGACAGACTCTTGCTCTGTCACCCAGGCTGGAGTGCAGTGGCACGATCTTGGCTCACTGCAACCTCTGCCTCCCAGGTTCAAGCAATTATCCTGCCTCAGCCTCCCGAGTAGCTGGGATTACAGGCATGCCCAACCATGCCCTGTTAATTTTTGTGCAAAAAGTTTTAAATCCTCCTGGTGGTTCTCAGCCAAAGTGAATCGGGTCCCCCAAAGGTTACATTCAGAACTGGGGGAGGTGTACTTTTACTTGTCACAGTGACTGGGAGGCATCAACTGGCATGTAATGTCAGGGGTCTAGGGACAACCAACATCTTGCCTCGGATGGGATGCAATAAAGAACTGGCCTGCTCCATGTGCCAACTGTGTTCCCCAACATGAGAAACCTGGAGCCAAATGTCCCTGGGAATCCATCTGGAATATTCCATATGCTTTTGGAGTTGCCAGCCTCCTAAATGGTGTCAAATCAAGTGTTAGCTGTTGAGTGTACCAGGCTTCTTTGTGGGTGGCAATGTAGTTAGTTAGGAGTGCCAGGGTAAAACGAAATTTGCAGGGAGAGGAATGGGATTGGAAGTGAGTACATACAATTAAAAATAGCCTCACATTTTTATAGGACCCTGATCTGATTTCTCCCTGGTATAACAGCACGCACTATGAATTAGGATTGCAAAGGCTGGCCCGAGCTTGGAGGCATTCCTATTTTCCCAGTGCATTTTCGGCTTGGTGTAGTATCATTTAGAAATAAAAGCAAAAAGATTTATGTCTCATTGCATTTTGTAAAGACAAAAAATAGTTCCCAGCATGAAGAGGCAAAGGGATGCCAAATTTCAGTCTCAAATGAAATTTTGTTCCTTGCTAAAATTTGCTGAAAATGGCCATTTATATTGGAAACTATAATTTACACTTCATACGGATGTGACAGAGGAAACCTAGAAAGATTTTTGGAAAAGACAGGAGATGAGGGGGCAAAAAAAAAAAAGAGAGAGAAATACACTGATTCCATTTTTCCTCCTGGTTCCTTTTTTCTTCTCTTTTTCTTTTTTAACCAAGATGCTCACATATTTCTTTCAATGAATTTATTGGATCATAGAAACTGTTGTCCTAACTTGTCTTATGATCCATTTCCCCTTTTTATACACCCCATGGCCAGTCTCCAATGCCCAATCCAATGCAATGCACTGTCTTAATCCTAGGAGCCAAGGTTTTGTGAGGGCTACTATAATTCAGTCAACAGCTATGTATCACATTAACATCCACTTTGTTCCTACAATGTGAATGCTCTTGGTACAACATATTTCACAGAAACAGATGATGCATGGCTGTCCTTTTAGCCCTCACGATCCAGTTTAGACGTGGAGATATAACCTGCAATCCCATCTAAACCCACCCCACAAATATGTCCCATGCTGTTGTGCTGGGCCCTGTGACGAATGCTAGGAATGTGGCTATGGACGTGATAGTTGTGTTCCTGTCCCCATGGAGCTTACAATCTAGATAGGGAAACAGATCATCAATACATAAACAAATCACTCCTCAGTATATATGGGCAGATCTAGGAAGGAAAGAGTTGCAGTAGTAGAGAACTGAAGAAAGAGGGAGAAACTTCAGGCAGGAACAATGATAAGCAAATTGACTCCGTAAAGACAAGAATGGGTACAGGAAAGTTAAGGGCTGCAAGTTCCAGGCAGAGAGCAAAGTTTATGGTGTGAAGTTTCTAAGTTAGAAAATAATTCACCTGGTTCGGGGGAGGCCAGTGAGGCGGAGACAACAGCACGACAAAATGTCATGAGGGAGGCAGGAGTCAGAGAAAGCACAAAAGGAAGCGAACCACAGGGATAAATGAGGGCTGTCAATGGCAGTCCCAGCTCGTGCTTATAAGTGCTTCTGCTCCTGCATAGAGCCCAAAGGACAGGTGGCTGGGAGCATTTGCAGAGCCTGATCTCTAGCAGTGCAGGAAAGAGATGGCAGTGGCTTACAGTACCCACCTTCTGGAAGGTAAAGTGAAATGCAGATGGGTGTAAGATGCCTCTTAGAGGTGGCACAGGCAGGACTTGCTAGTTAGAAAGAGAAGGAATCAAAGGTGACTCTCAGGCTTCTGGCTCAAAGATGTGCTAGCACAGCTGAGATTCCAAAGGACAAGGTCAGAAGTGAGCTGGATGAATCAAGAAAGACAACTTTGCAGATAACTTGTGGTCTAGAGGGCATGGTGAGGTAACAAAGGCAGGCAGTGCTGCCAGGGTAGCAGGGTGTGCCAGAAGGCTCTGTGAACTGGGAGGGGAAGGAGAGCAAAAAAGGCCTGAAGGTGACAAGAGCTCCTCAGTCATGAAAACTGTCTGCCAAATGCTAAACCCACATTTCAATCCACTCAACCCCTTATGTGCACACAGCACGAGCTGCAGCATCTAGACCAACAACAGTTAAAAGCACGAGCTCTTAAGACACAGTAAGACTGTGGACTGTACTGAGTACTGGCCATGCTGAACTTCTCCCTGCCTCGGTTTCCTCATCTATACAACGGTGATAATCCTAGTTTTTGCCATAGAGGGCAGTAACAAGGATTCTATGTCATAATGTATGAAATAAACTTAACCCAGTGACTGGCACATAGAGTTCAGCAAACTTTAGTAACTTATTTTTAACTATCATTATTATGATTATTATTACAAATACTGCACCTTTCAAATGGCCAGATCTATTTTTCTATAGCTGGTACCTGTCAGGGTTTATTCTGAAGAACCTTGAGTAGCAGGGACTCACTAATGTTTTATGATATTTTACCTCACTTTATGGTAGTCATTTATGACAAGACCAGGATGACATAAACTGCCATAAACCAAAGCAGTGCAATCACACAAATGACCATAAATCAAGGGGGCGCAACTGAAAAGGGTCATAAAGGGAAGGAAATGGAGGGAAACAGAGGAGAGGCAGAGAGTGAAGTTGGGAGCCCGCAGCACAAACTTCCAGAGAGTGGAATTTCAATTGAGGAGCAAACTCAAAAAAAAAATAGATGGATGTCTTCAAGGGTTGTTTAAATTTCATGTACACATTTCCAGACAAATATGGTGCAATTTCATGGTTTCAAAGAGAAATACCTTATTTCATGTCCTACTGTGTTATGCATTTTTTATTGGAAATGCTATTTCTAATCCTATCAGTATATTTGGGATCTATATTGGACTTCAGAGATGTTTAGAATTCACAAGAGTAGGAAATACTTTAGCAGTTCAGGAACTATTGATGTCCCTGGATTCTTCTGGCGCCCCGCTGGCTAAAAGGGATTTCTTAACCAGCAGAACTTTTTTCTTTGCCCTTCTTTTCTTTCTTTAATATTTCTTTTATATTATTTTTTCTGGAGCTTACTATAATGAACAGAGACTAAGAGAGGGTATATAGATTCAATGCGCTAGGAATAATTCTGTTCAGGTATATGCAGATGAACAGGAGTGATGGATGGAAAACACAAGTAACAATGTTTCCAAGACCCTTGTTGAGCAGATTTTGCTCAGCTTTTAGACAAAGTCACAAAAACAAACTAGGACGACAAATTTGGACCTAGTTCTGATTATAACTTTCTTAGTTGTTTTAAGATGATTCAAGTAAGAAATAGAAACTAGATGGGAAAAAGACACCAACATATATAACATTTTATCCTCCATTTTTCTTGCTGAGAGAATATTTGTGGCTAAATATTACTCCCAGCCAAAGTGGTATATTTGAAAATATATGCAATAGACCTAGTTCAAGGGACTTTAAAATCAAATACTCTTTTAGACAGGTTAAGGATCTGCCTGGCTAAAAGAGCACTTCCATTTATACACCCCAATGGTGAACAGTCCTTTTATAACAAACACTCTCCTTCCAAACATGTACCTTTTATTCAAGTTAGACTTCATATGCTTGGAGTTTTCACAAAGCAGAGCCCATCTGTTTTTCAAATTACATCGACCTTCTTGAGCGTGATCTGTCCCATGCACCAGTGTAGTCCTAACACAAGATGCCAGGATGTTCCCAGGAACACACTTCTACCAGCATACAGGCTGGCAGCACGAGGCAACGAGGATTGGGAAGTCAAAGCTGCAGGACAGTGAATTTGGTGCCTCCCTCACAGATGTTTTCAAAACCTGGTGAAAGCTGAGGCCACTCTGCCATTAGCGTCTCACCTCTACATTTTCAGATCCTCCTTTAACGAAAAAAAAAGTTTTGGGTTACATTTTTTTAATTTTGTTTTTATCATTTTCTGGCACTCTTACATTTTTTTTTATCCAAGACAGGATCTCACTGTGTCACCCAGGCTGCAGTACAGTGACATGTTTGTAGCTCACTGCAGCCCCAAACTCCTGGGCTCAAATGATCCTCCTGCCTCAGCCTCCCAGGAAGCTGAGGCCATAGGTGCACACCACCACACCCAGCTAATTTGTTAAACGTTCTGTAGAGATTTTGTAGAGACACGATCTCACTGTGTTGCCCAGACTGGTCTTGAACTGTCTGCAATTGATCCTCCCACCTCAGCCTCCCAAAGTGCTGGGATTACAGGCATGAGCTACTGTGCCCATTTTTTATTCTAATTCTCCCACAGAACTTCCAGATATTAAGGGTCTTGATTTTTTTGGTTGTTTTCTTTTATTTTTATATATATCTTGGATACTTAATTACTCAATATGGTCTCCCTCCTACTTGGCTAGAAATGGCAACTTTTGGCCCACAGATAGCAGTATATCTTAAGGAAATATTTGGACAGCTATGCAAAATTGATTTATAATTATAAAGAAAAAACTGGAAACTCCCTGAATGTCCACTGAAAGAGAATTTTAATTGCATTACAATACATTCATTCAATACAATACTATGCTGAAGCTGTAAAAGACATGAAAGAGTATTGATATTTGTATGGAAAAGTATATACTCACACACACCTATCTTAAAAATCTGGAAGGATTTATGCCAAACTGTAATCAACGACTCTCTCTGAAGAGGTGAAATTTCTGAGAAAATTTTCATTTTCTGCTTCTTACATTTCTTTATTGGGTGAACTCACATAATGGGCACAGAGCATATGGGTATTAAGGTAAAGATACTTTTATTTTGAGAATATTGAGTAAGGTTCCATTTTTGTTGCACAAACAAGTGTGGGCATACATTATTTTATTTTCCAAGACAGAGTCTCACTCTGTCGCCCAGACTGGGGTGCAGTGACATGATCTTGGCTCACTGCAACCTCCACCTCCCGGATTCAAGTGATTCTCCTGCCTCAGCCTCCCGAACAGCTGAGACTAGAGGCATGTGCCACCACGCTCAGCAAATTTTTTATTTTTTATATTTTTTTTAGTAGAAATGGGGTTTCACCACATTGGCCAGGCTGATCTTGAACTCGTGATCCCATGATCCACCTGCCTCGGCCTCCCAAAGTGCTGGGATTACAGGCGTGAGCCACAGTGCCCGGCCTGGGCATACAATATTAATAGCAGTTATCTGTGAGAAGTGAGAATGTGAGAGAGTATTCTTTTCTTCACTACTTTTTCTGTTTTCCAGGTTTCCCACAATGAATACATATTACTTTTGTAATATGAGAAAGTTAATATTTTTTAGAAATGCCCCCCTTAAAATGAAATATAATAAAATGCAAGACAGAAGGAAAGGCCAACTTCCCTACTTATGTCTCCTCAATCCTGGAAACCACAGAGCCAGAAGCTCAGCATATCTGTTTTCCACAACATACCACAATCTAAACAACTGTGAGAAAAAGGGGAAGAGTGAGCCTGTGCCTGTACAATGCATTTGGAGCTGCAGATGAACAGTCCTCCGGTTGCAGGTGCACTTGGGAGTGTTTCTCAGGCCGCCTTCCCTGCAAACATCCTCCCGCCTTGGTCTCTGGCAGCCATGTCTGTGGTGTGTGACTCGACTTCACAGATGGCAGCACGTGGCACCAATAACAAACAGCTAGCACAGGAGGGCGGGGTCCACTGACTCAACAGCAACCCATCTGATTCTCCCTCAAGAATGTCGTCTTAAGAGTCAGATGGCACTGAGCTCAAGAACTACACGGTCACATCAAGTCAAGGCTGGAGGGGATGTTTTCTGCCAAGTATACACTTGATAGAAGAATCAAAAAAATGCTGATCTTCAGAAAGAAGAAAAATACTGCAGCAGACACATATTAAAAGGAGAAGTCCAAAAACAACATGGCCCTAGAGAACACTAAAGAGTGGGTTTATACCTAACAGAATAGCAGTTTCTGGCCCCAAATACCATGAGGAATTACCATTTCCAATGATGGCTTCCTATCACTTTTCAATACAATACCTTTCACTTGCATGGGCTTTGGAGAGCTTCTTCTCCTGGCAACTCCCACTAAACTGCCAGTTTCACGGCGTCTTGTCAGTCTTGGACATTGTGTCCCCAGATCCTAGAACAGTGCCTTGGATATTGCAAGTACTCAATATGTATTTACTGAATCAACTGATGAGCCAAGGGACTAGATGAAAATAGTCCAGAAGCTCCTAAATAGGTCAGATCCTTGGGCAGAAAGATAAGGGATTTTATTATTAAAAATCCACCAGATGACATGACAGGAATGGCCAGAACTTCTTAGACTAGAGTGTGTGTGATTGGAATGCAGAGCATTCTTGAAAATTTTAAATAGACTTTGAAATCTTCATAACTGACATCACTCATCCCTAAATCACATCCTTGCATTTGGGTGGCTGATGACGACATTGAATTTTGAATGAAAATTTGAATGAAATTGCTCTGCTCAGTGCAGAAAGTCAAAGGGAGCCCTTGAATTGAGTGTGTGATACACAAACACATAAGCAGTCCAGAAGCCCATGTATAAGCAACAAAACTGAGTTACTCTTTTTTTCAATGAAGTAGGCTACATTACCCAAGAAGCAGAGCCACAGATGATTTCCTGAAGGAGCAGGAAAACAGAATGTGCTCAAAGAGTATTGCAATTTAACCCACTCCAACAGATAAAACATCATATTAAAAAAAATCTAAACTTATCTTTCTTTCTACATCCCGGTAGGTATGTTTGAGATGATCCAATTTTATATTGAACAACCTTAATTGAGAGGAAACAAAGTTATGAGTCTGGGGCAGAACTGCCTTGCAAGGCAAAAAAGACAGAAATAAAGGCTCAATAGTAGCATGCAATATTATAGAGATGGTTTTACATCTGTTTTGCATAATGTTCTTTTGGTCCTTTCTTCCCCATCAATGAAGATTTTTTTCTTTTTTTTTTTTGGTCCTTCAAAATAAATTCTAGAGAAGGAACAGCAGGTATGGAGAAAAATAATAACAAGCGCTATATGCTATACTGTTTCTTGGCTCAACTAGTAACGATCATTTTCTAAGGTGAAAGGGCCTTAGGAAACTTTAAAAAATGTTAGCAGTGGTACAGCTTTAAGGGTGACAAAGTTGTTTACTAATCATAGTCTTTAAATTTGCTTAATTATTGGAGCATTAATTTTCTGGGTTCATTTCAGAAGGGACCACCCTTGGAGGAAGTCGGGGGGAAACATATTGTCTACTTAGAAAGGCAACTTTCATAATTTGGTTGTATTTCCCCATTGGTTAACCTTTTAAAGGAAGGGAAAGATTATAGATTAAAACACTCTACACTAGCAGACCTTAAGGTGAGTCATTCTATTTTGTTTTGTATTTAGATGAGAAATTGTAGTTCATGTTTACACCTTTTTTTTTTTTAGTGCATATTGCTCATTATCTTAAGGGAGAGACCAAGAATGTTACAATGATTATTAGTGAGGCTGGTGATGAGATTACCGAACCATCTGGAGTTGGCTTTTCTTGTGCGATATATAATTATAGGGGTCTATTTACAGTCTTATTTATTTATTTGTTTTGCTTTTTAATGATTCACATTTTAATTTTTGTTCTCTCCCCACGAAGGGTCTGATTTCTCCATCTTGAGCGTGCATTATTATTTGGAGTGCTACTTTATTCCCTGGAATGCTAGAATTAAAGAACATTTTTCAAAACTAACTAAATAAAGAGCCAACCTCAGTACCGTAATGTCAGAGATCTGGATAAAGCATACCACAAAAGGAAAGCACGGAGCCATAATTCAACTAACACATTTCCCACTTGTATGGCAATCCTGGGGCATATTATGTTGTAAAACATCTTATTCTCCTTCTAATTTCTTAAATTGTTCCAGATGCTCTTTAGCCATAAAGAAATGTAATGATAATTTTTTTTAAAGCTGCATCATCTGTTTCCATAACTGACTTCCCTGCAATGTGCCAGTTAGTTTAGGAAGTTCGAATCAGAAACAAGTTTATATATATGGTTCATTTGCACATAAATAGGGAAAGATCAGAGTTGAACAGCACAGTAGTAGAGAGACAATAACCAATCTCACTTTAACAGAGAACCATCTAAGTGCTCTGTGACATAATATCCTCATCTTCAAAATAATGATAATACTGCCTACCTGATGGATTTTTGTAAAGATTAAATTAGCTCATGCACATAATTTTAGAATCCAGTAATTGGCACAAAAGTATTTAGCAAAAGTAAACTATTATTTCCCAAAATCTTTTAATCATCCCTTTTATGGATATAAGACAGCTAGAGGTGATTCATAGAGAATTTTTTAATGTTTAATGTGTATCAATTATGATGACCATGGCTATGAATAGTAGATATTATTTGGGAACAGTAATTTTCAACCAATAAAAAGTTTAAAATAAAAATTACTTTAAAACAGGGCATGGCAAACGATAGCCTACAAGTGAATTCTGGCCCATTGCCTGTTTCTATATGGTCTGCCAATCAAGAATAGTTTTTACATATGAGTATTTTCAGTTTGGTGATAGTGAGCACTAAAAAGAAAATAATCCCTTTTTTATTAATAAACCTTTATTACAAAAATTACACTCTCATTAAATTTTGAATTTCATCAGTAAAAAATTGGACAAAATTTGTTTTCCCTGTTGTTATATAAATACCAACATAATACCCTTGATTTTGCCTCTTGGGCTGTAAAGCCTAAAATATTAACTCTCTGGCCCTTTACTTTCTTTCATAGAGTAAGAAGTCCAGAGGCAGAGCAACTCTCTACAGTCGTTTAAGGGAATAGGTCTGTGATTCATCAACATCAAGATTCTTTCCACGTGTCCATTCTGCCATCATTAATGTACTAGCATCACCTGCAAGCTAGCTCTTTTCCTGGTGGGAAGATGAGCTACTGCAGCTACAGAATGCAGAAAAGTCCTCTCTGGTGTCTCCTTAAGGAGAAAACTTTTCCCAGAAATCCCTGGGCAGATCTTTCCTTACTTCTCATTGGCCAGAGCTGGATCATATGACCTCTCCTGAGCCAATCACTGGAAAGGAAAACAAGATTCTGATACCTGTCTTAGTAAGTTCTATTTACTTGAGGTGGGAATGGGGTCAGCTTTCCTTGAAGCACAAGATTGCATGGAGGATGGGTGGGTAACCTCATACATTGGGGTTCTGTTAGAAGAGGAAGGGGGAAAATGGACATTGGATAGGCAAGCTATAGGATGTTCATTTCTTTAAATGTGCATTAGAAACAAACCTTTTAAAAAAACTTAGCCTTAAGCAACAAGAGCTATGAAAACATGGGTTCGTGTGCTAATTTTAGTTTGTTTTCTAATACACATTTAAAGAAATGAACATGCATGTTTTCATAGCTCTTGTTGCTTTGGTTAAGGCTAAGTTTTAAGTCTACTGAAATACACCATTAAATATGAGTTACTATACTCTTAAATCACACAATAACTAAACTTTGAGCAGTTAGGCATGTTGACCATTGTTTATGTTATACTCTTTGCTCAGAAATTCCAATTTATTCTTCAAAGCCCAAATCAAATGTCCCTTCTCTGATCTCTCATTCTTTTTATGCCCAAAAAGGATTGGTTTCTTCCACAGCACTTTCTTTTTTATATACCTCTTCTAACAAGGGCCAGGTTGTGATATTTACATATCCACTCCTGATGGGGAACACCCTGTTTGTCATTCAGCCATTTATGAAACACTTGGTTGAGCAGCATTTATACGGCTTACGGAGAATACATCTACGTCATTTCTAGCCCTGACAACTAAGGCGTGATGCATAGGAGGTACTCGTGGTATGTTTGCCAGTAACTATCCATGCAAACTTAGCAAAGGGGAAAAACACATTTTGAACAACTGGCACTTTAGCAATTTCTTATTTAATTCAAAACAAAACCAGTCAATCTCATAAAATCTCTGAGGATTGCAGACAAAAATGTCCCTGGAATAGGACTGGATTAACACACAGATAATTGGAGGTAAGCCCTTTTGCCTCCAACCACCAGCTCATTACTAATTTACCCCACTTTAAGAGTATGAGTCAACTTCCTTCTTTTAAGAGAATCCAAGGAAAGCTAAAGACGTACTCCTCTCACTGTGTAAACATAATTTTATTTCTAATTAATTTCAATAAAATTTTAAAAATTAAAATTTGATGACTTTCCTATCTTATTTGGAACACTTCAATGACACCTCATTTCTTTCAGGATAAGGGCAGAAACGGGCCTTCACAGATCTAGTAATTTGACTCGAAACTTTTTTCTTTTTTTTTTTTTATTACACTTTAAGTTCTAGGGTACATGTGCACAACGTGCAGATTTGTTACATAGGTATGCATGTGCCATGTTGGTTTGCTGTACCCATCAACTTGTCATTTACATTAGGTATTTCTCCTAATGCTATCCCTCCCCCAACCCCCTACCCCCTGACAGGCCCCGGTGTGTGATGTTCCCCGCCCTTTGTCCGTTGTTCAACTCCCACCTACTAGTGAGAACATGTGGTGTTTGGTTTTCTGTCCTTGTGATAGTTTGCTTAGAATGATGGTTTCCAGCTTCATCCATGTCCCTGCAAAGGACATGAACTCATCTTTTTTATGGCTACATAGTATTCCATGGTGTATATGTGCCACATTTTCTTAGTCCAGTCTGTCATTGATGGACATTTGGGTTGGTTTCAAGCCTTTGCTATTGTGAATACTGCCGTAATAAACATACATGTGCATGTGTCTTTATAGTAGCATGATTTATAATCCTTTGGGTATATACCCAGTAATGGGATCTGTGACCTGAAACTTTCTTTGCATCTTGCTTCTCACTGTCCTCCCCACTCTCTCTTCTGCAGCCACACTGGTTGCTTGCTGTATTTCAAACATGAAGCTGCTCCTTCCCCAGGACCTTTGCACATGCTTTCCCTCTGCTCCAGATACTCTCCTATTAATCTCTAAGGTCTCAGGTTAAGTGTGACTTTCCCTGGGAAGGCTTCCTAGTCTCCCCAAGCTAGATGAGGCTCCCATATCACATATTCTTATGGCTCTATACTTTTTTCTTCAAGAGAGTAACCAAGTTTTAATGAAATTGATCCTTTGTGTAAGCATGTGTTTGATTTCTGCTTTCCTCATAAGAAAGTAAGTTCTGTGAGGTTAGGGAACTATGCGTTGTTAACTGCTGAATCTGCAGTGCCTAGGACAGGGCCTGGCACATAGTAGGTCTTCAATAAAGATTGGTTGAATAAACCAATAAATGAGCCTGTCCAAGAGCAGTAAGGTCACTGCCTGGACCCATCAGTATTCCCCCAGGACAACACAGAATTCCAAAGCCATTTTCTTTTGACAACAACAACTCATTTCTGCATTCACTCAACAAGTATTTATTGAGCACCTGCTGTGTGCCAGGATCTTAGTCAGTGGGGGTAGAACCATAAACTAAATGACCAAGTTTCTGGTCCCCTGGAGCTTACATCGTAGTGGGGAGACAGAAATGAACCTATAAGTAAATAAATGCCAAACAAAATATCCGGTAACAACACACACTATGGAGGAAGCACCAGGATTTTATTTGAAAATTATTTTTTGTGTGTGTCATGGTAGTATCCTTTTCCAAAAATTGACTTTCTTTGTTATGAAAATAACAGCCACCATAAATTTACCAAGTATCTGGGCTTAGCTCACCTCAGAATGACTCTTCACTTCAGCCAATAAGAGGGACTCTGTTTACATGAAGATCTCTTTCCTGAGTGGAAAATAGACAACAAATAAAATATTTCAGGGTTAATTTAACTTTCCAAATTACATATTCATCTGAAGCACCATCCACTGCCAGGCAATAACTCACTATGCTGCCAGATTTTAAGTACTGTAGCGACAGCTTGGTGTTAAACTCCTCACATCTTAAAAGATGGCTACCCTGGGGTTTATATCAAGCCTACATAATCATATATTGAAGCTTGGCTTATTTATTTCCATGTTTCTGAAGTACTATTAATCATTTTTCTAAGATGGTTGATGTGTTACATAATTAATAAAACATAAGAGCTTAGGAAAAAAGCCCACAGAGAGAGATTTGGACATACACTGAGAAATGGTGTCACTTTTTGGTACCAATGGAACTCCCAGCTTTCCAAAGATCAAGTCTTAACTGTAGGAATATGAAAACATATTTTCTTTTTCCTTTCAGCTTTCTCCTTCCTTTCTGTGTTTGGCGAACTTAGACGCTGGTCAATGCTAATGTTTTACAGAGAAAGAAAGTGTGTGGAGGGAGGGGTGAGAAGCGGTAAATAAAATCATTAATTCATTTTCTCACCTTTTTGCCTCTGGTGATTGCTGTCCCTGTGGGTGATAGCTTGTCTGTGGTTTTGACCCAATTCTTAACACCTTTCTTATGATACTCTGCCAATTAATCTAATGGTTCATTAATTGCAAACATCTGAAATCATTACACCGTGATTGGGCACAGGCGCATCAAACCTTGCGAAGCTGTAACTGCTTAACCAGCAAATGGGCTCACTGCAAAGGAATGTCGATGTTTATAGTAGATGTAACCCAAACTCGGGTGTTCATTGACACATTGTTCCATTTGTATACAACCACCCTGGCATCTATCTGTTCAAGAGAGCATGATTTATCCAGTGCTATATCCTGCAACTGACAGGCCAAAGATTAGCGCTTAACCCAGATGAAAGTGGAAGCTGTGTGTATTCCTAAAACAAATATTTAGTGTCTGCCAAGCTCTGCTTAATATTAATTCACGATAGAGAGCAGTTAATTTAAGCTTAGTTCATGCCAAAATCTATTTGGGTTTTGTAAATCATTTTTCAGGATTACAGTGTAGAAAATCAGACAAAAAAGAGATTTCCCTAAAATTACAAAACTGCAGATCCGGTCAGGGCTTTCAGAAAATATCTAGTCCAAAGTTCTAAACAGGCAGCCCACAAATGTGAAGTCTTCCAGGAGACAGGATTTTCTTGAATAGCACAGTTTTTTAATAATTGTTTTTAATTGTTTTCAACATCTGAATTTCTGACTTTTCTTACAGATCTAGCAATACGGGGTCCAGGGTCCAGCAAGGCAACAGTCAGCTGGAACTGAGGAGAGGATGTCCCTATGGAAAGAAAGAATACATGCTCTCCATTTGGCCATAGCTCCTACCTCTCCCTAGTATTTACTCGTGCCCACTTAGACCTGCCCACTGCTCATCTGACAGATGAGGAAACTGATGTCTGGAAAGGAGGAAGGGCTATTCAAGGACATGTGTTCCGCTAGAGTGAGAGCTGGGATAAGAACCCAAATCTCCTGACTCTACCATATTTATTTATTTATTTAGCATCACTCAATGCCATTTCATATTGATATGCATATGGTTTTAGGAGGAAAAATTTTAATCCAGTGTTTAGGGGGTTTTCAAAGGGCATAGGGCATGCCTGGGTCATTAGTATTATGATCGATCACTCTTCATTACAGCACATGTACGTTATTGCTTCTATAAGAACTAAATAAGAGTGATTTTACAAAACTATAAAAATGCATTAAGACCTTCCCATCTATATGCACCTCTAATTTGCACGGGCAGTGACTTTCTGCTTTCGTTTATTGATATCCTTACCTAACCCCTGTAAATCATTAAGTACAGCTACCACTTACTGGACACCTCCTATGTTCCAAGCTTACCCATACACCTTTCTCCTAAGTACCCAAAGCAGTCCTCAAAGATCAGTTTATTGTTCTCATGTTACAGATGAAGAATTTAAGCCTCAGGAGGACTAAGCAACTAGCCCAGGGTTACACAGCTAGTTAATGACAGCTTGAATTTGAACCTGGATATGTTGGCTTCAAGTCCTTGGTCCTGCTACTGTATGCCATGCTGGCTGGCTTCTGCCGAGTTAAGCTTTTGCCCTATTGACATAATTAAAAATATTGTTTGTATATCATACATGGCTCAATGTAAGGAGGCAAAGAAATATAAGAGAGACATGCAGTTGAGAATGGGTTAAATTTTCTGATAGCATCGGTTTTAAAAATGAATTCTTTGCGTTTTTAAAATGTGTGTGGAAGCATATTTCTCAGTGTGCAACAAAAACATTTAGGCTCCCCTGTCATTTTGGTGAATTTTGTTTGCATGTTCTCTTCATGGAATACTGATGTTAATTTTTGGTTAAGTTTAATGGTACGAAGTATAAAGCAATTTGATAGAATAAGTAACCTTTCATTAAAGTTCAATACAGTACTTAAGGAAAATGGGACTGTGTGCATTAATTGATAGTTGACAGCTATTATTTCCATGAAAACCTTTTATAGTAAAATTTCTATTTGATAGATTGGAATTTATAAAATTTGCATTTCACTAAGCTGGATTCAACTGGAAGTACTGGGGATGTTTTTCTTCTTCAAACAATATTCCATCTTTACATTTTTATTAAACATTTATTAATGGATAGAATCTTAATTTAAAGAGTATGGCACAGATTTTATTTAATAACTCAGGCTTAGTAGTGCATGAACGTAAGCGTTTGCCCTGTATTTGACTTTGATAAAACATGACTATTTATGAATATATTTATCCATGGAGACTTAATTAGTACAGTTGGGTTTGGGGCAAATTGCTTAATAAAAGAATTTCATTTCATTTTATCTGTTTTTATTTTTAACTCACAATAAATCACATAAATATCACTGGGAATTTTTCTTCCAGTTGGCAGGTTAGAAGAAAGTGATATTATTTCAGATTTGTCATATTTGACTGACATTACAAAAATGTGAAATGGAATTCAAATTCTAATTCTATTCAGACTCTGCTTCATCCTACCCCTTTACAAATACTTCTTTACGAAATGCTTGAGTGACCGCTAAGATTTCATCTGGCATCTATAACCAAGATTTTAACAAATGAGCTGATGTTAACATGAAAGCTATTTTCTCCCATCAATTCTAATCAAAATATTAGCAAGATTCTCCATGGTTTTTTATAAACCACTCATGTAGAAGTTGTTCTTGCCATTTAAGAGATGGAAAGTTTAGGACCAAGAATGGTGAAGTTACTTGAAATTAAACTAATTTAAGAATGTATCAAGGTCTGAATCCAGGGACTGAGGTCTTTTTCCAAATGTAGCCACCAGATTAAAAGCCTTCCTGTCATGCTGCTCCCTCTACCTGGAAAGTTTCCTCTTCTTCCAGGTAGACCTGGCTCCATCACACTTTTTAGGATTCAGGTGATACCCTTACACACAACACCACAAGTCCTCCTCTCTATCTAAATGATGTCTCCTGTCACGCCTGCATCTTTTCATTCTTGCAGAGCATGTATCACAGGTTATGGTTGTCTAGCTATCTGAGTACTTTTTGATCATGTATCTCTCCAATTAGACTTTCCATCTCCATGAAGGCAAGGATCTTATCTAATTTGCTTACTCTGCTGCACAGTTAGTGTGTGGCATAAAGTATGAATAGGTTCTCAGTACATTGTTGAACGAATGAGTGAATGGAGACTTAAAACTCAGAGCTCAAAATGAACTTCTGCCACCACAAGTAAATCTGCTGTGAGACCAAAGACTCCTAGTTTGTATGATAAGGCACAGCTTATTCCTGTCTTCCAAAAATTGAAAGAGAGAAATTTTAGCCAGGGAGTTAACATGGTCCACTTTATGATGTGATACAAATAAAAAACTTGGTGTCTCTTTTCAGAAGTCTTATTCATTTTCCTGAGAGCCACTGATGTGATAACAGCCATGGATCCAAACCCATGGAGCCTAAAGGAGGCTGTTTTTAATCACTTCAGTGAAGAAATTTTGTTTATTGTCGCCCTCAGTGGCACTGCTACCCGAAAAGTAACTCAACAGGAATTACCGTGAAACTTAGGAGACATCGTGAAAGATATAGTAGTAGCTTATAATAATGTCATTTATTCCACAGGACAACTCAGTACTATATGGTGTCGATGTGGGAAAGCTTCCTAAGGAAGTGAGCAACTGCTATGTGTTCAGATTTAAGGGCAAAGTCACTGAAGAGCAATTCAGTTCCATGAGCTATAAATTCCTATCTTTTCAGGGAGTTTCTCTCTTCTTCTACTCCCTTTGAGTAAAATAGTTATCGGGTTCTTTTGATATTTTTCTGAAGTCAGGATTACTAATATAAGGAGATAGCATCTCACTTTATGAGCTGGAATAACAAGAACTTACTAAGACGGACCAAAAAAGAAATCTACTTTGAGTTCATGCAGTTCTTACAGATGCAACCTTGTCATTAGGCCACGGGCCAACAAACGTTGTCTGAAAAGGGCCAGATAGTAAATATTTTAGGCTCTGCAGGCTGTAGTCTCTGCCACTACCACTCAACTCTGCTCTTGCAGCATTAAAGCAACTATAGACGATGCATAAATGAATGCACATAACTGTTCTAATAAAGCTTTATTTACAAAAACAAGTGGCTAGCCCATAAGCCAGACAATGCATAAATGAATGCACATAAGTGTTTTAATGAAGCTTTATTTACAAAAACAAGTGGCTAGCCCACAAGCCAGAGTTTGCCAATGGCTGATCTAGGCTAAATTTTGGATAAAGCCCAATTTTCTAGTAGGAGCTTACAGGAGCTCATATCTGAGACTTGAACTCCCCCCAGAAATTCTCCCTTCCACTGCTTCAACCCAACTGATGGATGCCTAAAATCACCCCTTAAGGGTTTTAACTATTTTTGTCAATATATGTTAATAGGTATACATCTATGAAGGAAAAAAGCATTGTGTAGTCAAATATATTTTGGATGCTGGATCAACAACTTTAAGCATATTTATTTACTGAAGAATTTTTAGCGCCTTTAATATGTTAATATATCTTGAAAATACGGGAAGATTAAACATAAGCATTTCCTAAATGTATTTGACTCCGAAATCCTTTTGTGAGGGCATTTTGCAGGACTGTTTTCCACCAAACACACCTTTGGAAATCCTATTTTCGTATAAGGATGTCACTAGGAAGGAGTAATAAATGATGATAGCTATCAGGTATTGAGTGCTTACCACATATGATTCCATATACCTGATGTCATTTAATCCTTGCAACCACCCTATGAATTATGTCCCCTTTATAATTAGGAATATTGAAATGTAAACAGATAAAGAAATTTACTTTTGGTTATATAACTGGTAAGTGGCAGAGTCAGCTTTCAAATGTATGTGTCTGTAACTTCAAAACTCAAGCTCGTAGATTCTATTAAATCTTAGAGTCATTCACATTTTAGTCTGAAATAAGGATTTCCTAAAACCAGATAATTTTACACTAAGAAGCGTAATTAGAGATATAATACAATCCACTTACATGGAAATGAATACATTCCTCAAAAAGGAAAACCAAACCTCAGAAAGAGATCAGGACTGACCCAAGGACACTTAGTCCTCAAGCTGTAGGATCAAAGAATCAAAGAATATTACATTAATTTAGTATAATTCCCTTTCCAAAGAAGGCTTTGCTGAGATGTGCTCAATGGAGGAACAAAAAAGGTCATATCAGTCAGGACCATTTCAGTTATAAAAGGCAGAAAACCCTACTCATACTGACTTAAGCAAAGGAGAATTTAGTGACTCATGTAACTAAAAAGTACAGATGAATCTTGCTTCAGGGATCCGTTAATTCAGGAGTTAAACTATTTCACCCAGACCTAACTCTTTCTTTCTCTGTGCTCTCAGCCATGATTTCTTCCTCAAATTTCATGTAACGGTAAGATAACTATCAGCAGCCACATGGTAATATCCTCACAGGTTCAAATGCAGCAGGAAAATAAACTTCTTTCAACTCTTCTTTCAAAAATTGGGACAAATGTCCTGGGTCATTACTGAACAAAACTGTGGTCAGAGGAATAATAGACACCTAGGGTTCAAACCATGAGATAATCTTCTACATTGCCAATCGCAACCTAGCTAAGAAGCCAAAATCAGTTGAATAAAAAAAGAGAAAAGAAGTTTAAACTTCTCCGAGAATAATATCAAGGGTAAGTTGGGTGTATTAATACCTACCTTGAAGAATTGTTGTAAGGATTACACAAAAAGCAAAGTATGCCACCTGACATATGGTAGGTTCTCAATCAGTATTAGTTTTTTTTTATTCTTTACCTCCCATCAGAGCTTGAATACTAATAGAATTCTCTTGCTATCCAACTGCATTCCCACCAAAATGTTCCCAAGATGCTGCCCCTGATGTCTCTAGGGATTAGGGGATCTGACACAGATACAGACATTTTATACAACAAGAAAATCACAACAATGGGTTTGAATTGGCAACAAAATTATTCTCAAAATTACAGAATTTTCTTTCTTCATAGGACACTTTCTACACAATGGTGAAGCCTTCTGTAGTGTCAAGGTTACAACAGCTTATAAGAGACCAGAAACCAGACACTGAAGTGAAAGATCAAGCAAACTTCTACAAAAAGCTAACAGAATTACTCAGGAAGTGAAGGGAGAAGGGATGGATCCTGGAGGTGTGAGAACTCAGAACTGCCATTCTTCTACCTTTCTCCTACTTTTCTTTAATAGAATTTTTTTCTATTATTCTGTTCTAAAGAACTCAACCAAATTATTGAGTGATCCAATTAAAACCACAGCATCACTTAGCAACTGTTAGTACTTAACACTTGTCTGGCTGATACTTCTAAATGTGACTGAGGGATTACATCATGTTGATTGTTATTATCATTACTCTTTACCACCAGTGGGACAGGAACATCCACTTCCTGAAGCAAGAAAACACTTTCTGTACTTAAAAAAGTTCTCCAAAACCTACAAAATAAATTTTTTTGAAAATAGCAAGAGAAAAACACGTTACATAGAGGAACAAAGATGAGGTCAACTACTAATTTCCCATCAGAAACAATGGAGGTCAGAAGACATTGTAATGACATGTTGAAAGTACTGAAGGGTTGAGGGGATTGGCGGGGGGGAATCTGTTAACCAAGAATTTTATACCAGAAAAACTAGCTCCCCACTCCTTAGATGTAGGCTCTGCATAGTGACTTATTTCCAAAGAGTATGATACAGGGACAAAAGAAGACATTTACAGTGGAAAAACCTGACAAACACTACCTCAGCTAGGTGAGCAGGGTCAACATCATGTGGATAAATCATGATTTAAGTCATAAATTATGTTGATATCATATACCTTTGACATAATGTGAAAAGAATACTTTATCACTGTCATCTTCTTCCCAGTAACCATAACCCCAGTCTTATGAGAAAAACATCAGACAACTCCTAATATAGGGGCATCCTACAAAATACCTGACCAGTACTCCTCAAAACTTTTAGGTCATCAGGCCAGGCATGGTGGCTCACGCCTGTAATCCCAGCACTTTGGGAGGCCAAGGCAGGTGAATCATTTGAGGCCAGGAGTGCTAGACCAGCCTGGCCAACATGGTGAAACCCTGTATCTACTAAAAATACAAAAATTACCTGGGCATGGTGGCAGGTGCCTATAATCCCAGCTACTCAGGAGGCTGAGGCACGAGAATCACTTGAACCTAGGAGGCGGAGGTTGCAGTGATCTGAGAACACATCAGTGCACTCTAGCCTGGACAACAGAATGAGACTCTGTCTAATAAATAAATAAATAAAAACACAAAACTTTCAGGTCATCAAAATAGGAAAGTCTGAGAAACTGGTGCAGCCAAGAGGAGTCTGGTGGACCTAGTGACTCCTAGGCTAGCACATGATGTAATATACCATCCTGGACAGAATATTGGAACAGAAAAAAAGGGCATTAGGTAAAAACTAATGTTCTTAATAAACTGCAGACTTTAGTTAATAATAATATATCAATATTCATTTATTAATGGTAACAATTATATCATACTAATGTACAATGTTAATAAAGAGAGGAAACTAGCTACAGGGTATATGAGAACTCTGTATTATCATCTCAATTCTATAAATCTAAAACCATTCTAAAAAAGATAGAGTCTATTTTGTTAAAGTCTCAATAAATTTAAAAGAACTGAAATCATGCAAAGTATGTCCTCTGATCACAGTAGAGTTAAATTACAAATTAATAGTAACAGTACAACATGTCAAAATTTGTGAGATTCTGCTAAAACGGAACTTAGAGGGGAATTTACAGCCATCATGCTTACCTTCAAAAAGAAGAAAGGTCTAAGATCAATTATCTAAAATTTCATCATAAGAAGTGAGAACAAGAAGAAAGAAATCAAACCCTAAGAAAGTAAATAACAAAGTATGAAAGAAAACTACTTGAAAATTATACAGCTTACAAAGGACTTCTATCCAGAATATATAAACAATGCTTTGACAATAAGGCAAACAAACCAACAAAAAAATAGGTGAAACATTTTAAGAGACCCTTTGCAAAAGTGAATATATATGTATACATATGCATACCTTGTTTTATCATGCTTTATTTTATTGTACTTTGCAGATACTGCAATTTTACAAATTGAAGGTTTGTGGCAACCCTGCATCCTTGGAGCAAATCTGTTAGCACCATTTTTCCAACAGTATGTGCTCACTTTGTGTCTCTGTGTCACATTTTGGTAATGCTTGCAATATTTCAAACTTTTTATCATTATTATTTCTATTAAGATGATCTGCAATCAGTGATCTTGATGTTACTATTGTAATTGTTTTGGGTTTCCACAAACCATGTCCATATAAGGATGCAAACTTAATAAATAAATGTTGTGTGTTCTAACTAGCTCACCAACAGGCCATTCCCCCATCTTTCTCCCTCTCTTCGGGCCTCCCTACTTCTTGAGACACAACATGACATTAAGCCAATTAATCACCCACAATGGTCTCTAAGTGTTCAAGTGAAAGTAAGAGTTACATGTCTCTCACTTTAAATCAAAAGCTAGAAATGATGATGCTTAGTGAGGAAGGCAAGTCGAAAGCCAAGATAGGCTGAAAGCTAGACCTCTTGTGCAAAACAGCCAAACTGTGAATACAAAGGAAAAGTTCTTGAAGGAAATTAAAAGTGCTACTCCAATGAGTCCACAAATAATAAAAAAGCAGCACAGCCTTATTGATGATATGAAGAAAGTTTTAGTTCTTTGAACAGAAGATCAGATTAGCCACCACGTTCCTTTAAGCTGCAGCCTAATCCAAATCAAGACCCTTTAACTCTCTTCAAGTCTAGGAAGGCCTAGAGAGGTGAAGCTGCAGAAGAAAAGTTGGAAGCCAGTAAAGGCTGGTTGATGAGGTTTAAAGAAAGAAATTGTCTCTATAACATACAAGTGCAAGATGAAGCAGCAAATGCTGATGTAGAAACTGCAACTGGTTATCCAGAAAATATTGCTAAGTTAATTGATGAAGGTACTTATATATAAAACAACAGATTTTCGATGAGAACAAAACAGCCTCAAAGTGAAAGAAGATGCCATAGAGGACTCTCATAGCTAGAGAGGAGAACTCAATGCCTGACTTCAAAGCTTCAAAAGCACAGGCTGGCTCTTTTGTTAGCAGTAATCCAGCTGGTGACTTGAAGTTAAAGCCAATGCTCATTTACCATTGTGAAAATCATGGAGTCCTTAAGAATTATGCTAAATCTACTCTGTCTATGATCTATAAGTGGACAAAGCCTGAATGGCAAGCCCATCTGCTTACAACATGGTTTACTGAATATTTTAAGCCCACTATTGAGACCTACTGCCAAGGAAAAAAATATTCTTTTCAAAATATTACTGCTCATTGACAATGTATCTGATCACCCAAGAGCCCTAATGAAGATGTACAAGGAAAGTAATGTTGTTTTCATGGCTGCTAACACAACATCCATTCTGTAGCTCATGGATTAATTTTGACTTTCAAGTCTTATTATTTAAGAAATATATTTTGGAAGGCTATGGTTGCTATAGTGATTTCTCTGAAGAACCTGGACAAAGTAAATTGAATAGCTGAAAATTAGAAAAGTTTATTTCAACCTTCATGGATGACTTTTAGGGGTTCAAGACCTCAGTGGGAGAAATAATTGCAGATGTGGTAACAAGAGCAAGAGAATTAGATTAGAACTGGAGCCTGAAGATGGGACTGAATTGCTGCAATCCCATGGTCAAACTTGAATGGATGAAGAGTTGCTCCTTATGGATGAACAAAAAAAGTGGTTTCTTGAAATGGAATCTGCTCCTGGTGAAAATGCTGTGAATTGTTGAAATGGCAAAAAAAGAATTTAGAATTTTACATAAACTTAGTTTATAAAGCAGCAGCATAGCCTGAGAGGATCAAGTCCAATTTTGAAAGAAGTTCTACTGTGGATAAAATGCTATAAAATGCTATCAAACAGCATTGCATGCTACAGAGAATCCTGTCATGAAAGGAAGAGTCAATTGATGCAGCAAAATTCACTGTTGTCCAATTAGTCAATAGTCATCAACATCAAGGCAAGACTCTTCATTGGCAAAAAGGTTACTACTCACTGAAGGCTCATATGATCACTAGCATTTTTAGCAATAAAGTATTTTAATTAAGTTGTGTACATTCCTTTTTTAGACATAATGCTATTGCACACTTACTTGACTATAGTATGGTGTAAACATAACCTTTATATGCACTAAGAAACCAAAAAATTTGTGTGACTTGCTTTATTGCAATATCCACTTTATTGAAGTGGACTGGAACTAAACTAACAATATCTCCAAAGTATGCCTGTGTACAAATGGCCAACAAACACATTAACAATTTTAATATAATTGGAGATAAGCGAAATGCAAATTAAAAAAACAAGAGATACTCCTATGAAGCCAGCAAATAGGTAAAATTTTAAAATAGCCAAAAATAGCAAGTGTTGGTGAGGACGGAGAGCACCTGGAGACCTCATACACAGCTAGCATAAATTTAAAATAATACAGTCACTTTGGGAAACATATTGGCAGTTTCTTAAAAAGTTAAAAATATATACACTTATAATCAAGTAATTCCATTCTAAGGGGAAATGAAAATATATGGCTATATTATTTATTACAGCCAAAAAATTAAAACACTCAAATACACATCAACTGGTGAATAGATTTAAAAAAGATGGTAGTCTCTATCAAATGTAATATCACTCAGTAATAAAAAGCAATGAACTATTCATTGATTTATGCACCTTTTTTGGAAAAAATACCTTGGCTCAGAGAATTCAAATTAAAATAAATGTTGACAGAAAGATAAGAAATATTATTGAAAATAAGCACTTACTGCAGCCACTTTTGCTTTCAAGAGCTGTAACACAATTCATCCTAAGAAATGTTCAAGTCCTCTTTTTTTAACCTTGGAAACCACCTGATAGAGTTCTTTGAATGTGAAAACTGAGGTCTTTAGGTCACAGTAGGGAAGTCAAGAGTAAAACACCGGAAGGGCTAAATACTTTTACATAAAGGGAAAAGAGGAATTTGATGACTCTTTGATGGCAACTCTAGAGGCTATGAGATGAAGAGTCTGAAGAAGAAAAGAAACAATATGATTTAAAGGGAAGGGAAATGGAAAAGGAAGCACAGGAACATACTAGGAATTTACAGAGTAGGAGTTCAGAGACAGTACAGACAGTAGGAACTTCTACGTGGTAGGAAAGGATTTTTAGAAAACACACAATAACCAGCAAACATACGAAAAAATTCTCAACATCACTACTCATCTGAGAAATGCAAATTAAAGCCACAATGAGATACCATCTCAGTCCAGTCTAAATGGCTATCGTTAAAAAGTCCACAAACAACAGATGCTGGTGAGGCTGCACAGAAAAGGAAATGCTTGTACACTGCTGATGGGAATGTAAATTAGTTCAGCCACTGTGGAAAGTACTTTGGAGATTTTTGAAAGAACTGAAAACAGTACTGCCATTCAACCCATTACTGGGTTTGTATAGTCCCAAAGGACTATAAATTGTTCCACCATAAAGACACATGCATTTGTATGTTCATTGCAGCACTATTAACAATAGCAAAGACATGAACTCAACCTAAATACTCATCAATAGTAGACTGGCTAAAGCAAATGTGGTACATATACACCATGGAATACTATGCAGCCATTAAAAAGAAACAAATCATGTCCTTTGCAGCAACATGGATGCAGCTGGAGGTCATTATTAAGCAAATTAACTTGGGAATAGAAAACTAAACACCACATGTTCTCACCTATAAGTGGGAGCTAAACTAGGGTACTCATGGATATAAAGATGGTAACAATAGACACTGGGAATTACTAGAGGGCAGAGGGATAATGGGTTGAAAAACTAACTGTTGAAAAACTATGCTCACTAACTGGGTAATGGAATCAATGGTACTCCAAACCTCACCATCATGTAATGTAGCCATGTAACAAACCTGTACATGTACCCTCTGAATCTAAAATGAAAACCGAAATTCTAAAAAAAATGTGTAGGATCAGTGATGATATATTGAAGTGCTTTCATTCACTAAGTATTAATTGAGCTCCTACTATGTGTCATGTTCTATTCTAGGCACCAAGGACAGAATAGCCAGTTAATAAAACATCAAATTACCCCAAGGATACTCTCAACAATGTAAGGTTATTTTCTGCCCTGAGTTATCACTGCTATCATTGCTCTTCACTCCATCCCAAACAGGCAACAAACTTCTACTACAAACAGCAGCATTATTTTAATAGTTCATTTGGGAAATAAAGGACAATAGATGTTGTCTAATATGAGTTAAAACAAGACCAGCAACATTGGATGACGGTCACAGGAAGGAAGAGTAATGGCTCAAAACAGATGATCTCAGACAAGCAAACTGTAGCAAAGGCTGATTCAGAAAGCCTCAGAGATACCAAGGAGATCTTCGTTGACCTCCCACAATATGAGGTGTGGCAATATGGTGACATTTGGGGCTATACACCAATGTTACAGTTCCCCTCCTTTCAGGAAAATGGTGAAATCGTGCATTCCCACCTCCTCCAAGTTCAGCATGGTCAGAAGATGTGCTTCAGCCAATGTAATGTGAGCAAAAGTAAGACATGTTACTTCCATGGTGAAAACTATAGAGGAAAATGAATAAACTGCCATGTTCTTTTGTTGCCTTGCCATAGCAACAAACCACCATCCAGGGAATAAAGACTCTGTTCACCAGCTTTCCTCAATGAGGATATTTAAAGAGCCCACCAGCTAACTTGAAATAGACATAGAGCATGAGCAAGAAATCAACCTTTGCTGTTTATAAGTCAGGACAACATGGCGGTCATTTGGTACCACAGCACAAGCTAGCTTATCTCAGCTGATACAGATAGATTCAGCTAGTCTCTGTGGATATTGTAGGAAAGCTGAAGGACCCAGGGATATCTGACATTTTTAAAGAGCTTTTTAAATAACAGAGTACTCTGAAGGAACCAGGAAGACAATGTGCTTTCAGGTGCCAGATTGGAATAGATGGGAAGATAAAAGCAGTAAATTCACCCCTAAGGATTCTGGAAGGTAAGGCAAGCATCATGACAGGTCTACTTGTCTTTTTCTGACAGGAAGAAGTATACACCTTTGTGCAGAGACAATACTTTTTATCCCCCTAGAACTAAATTCAAGCTGGATTTGTCCTCTGGGGATTTGTTTAAAGGCTGAGGAACAGAGTGAACAACATCTTCGCCACAAAATCACAGACACACTATAAAACTGGACAGTCCTTTCAGTGACCCTGTCCAGAAGGAAAAGGCATAACTTAAAATAGTGCAGCAGTGAAGGTATTTTTCTGTGAAAACTTGAGACAACATGGACCTACCATGCTTCTTTCAGATGACCTAGGTCAGAGTTCCCAGACACTCATTTGTAAAACATTTTCACATTTTCCCATGGCCACTTGCTCTCTGTTCGTTAGTTACTCACTATTTTTATTAAATTGATTGCCATGTATGGGCATCATTCAATTTATTTTAAAAGAAAAAAATGATTTGAGTAGTATGAATTGAAAAACAGTGCCATCCACCATAATAGATATAAATGTAAGATACCTATCATCATAAATACACATGAAAATAAGACAAGGTTATTCCATTTTATCTAGATATTGTAGCCTGCCAAAGTTTATATGCCTGAGGTGTGCCTGTTGTTCAAAGGAGGACTACAAAATGATAGCACCAACCTGACTCATTCTCCTTCACTAACAGATGAAAGAGAATGATAAAGTAATTTTCATACTAAAAAATTCAATGTGCTACCACTCAAATAATCTCAAGTGCTCTCTGTGGTATGTGTCCTACATTTGGGAAATAAGGATTAGAGTGGGCATGGATGTAAATTCATCTCTCAGGTCACTGACAATAGGGAGAATGATGGACCGACAAACCCAAAGGCTGCACTCTGAAATCCATCATAGTGTTCTCCAAGAGGCCACACTGCCCATAGGCAAGCTGCTCCCACCAGTGCCGAGGGCAACAGGACATGAAAGCAGGCCCACTCCTCAAAGGCATGGGGCTTCCCTGCCTGGCAACTGTGGTTCATCAACTTTGACAAACCTTCTCAGAGCAGCAGTGCAGTCTAAGAGGCTTCCACTTGACCTTCCTTCCGTCTTTCCTTCCTTTTCTTCCTTTCTCCTTCCCTTCCTCCTTCCCTCCCTCCCTCCTTCCCTTCCCTTCCTTCCACCCTCCCTCCTTCCATTCCCTTTCCTTCCTTCCTCCCTCCCTCCCTCTCTCCTTCCCTCCCTCCCTCCTTCCCTTCCTTCCTCCCTCCTTCCCTCCCTCCCTGCGTCCCTCCCTCATTCCCTTCCCTTCCCTTTCCTTTTCCTTCCTTCCTTCCTTCCTCCCTTCCCTCCTTTCTCCCTTCCTTCCTTCCCTACTTTACAAGGATCAAAATTACTCCACAGTCTGATGGCTCACCCAGCTTCTCTCTCAGATTCCTCTCCATTTTCCTTTGTAAGCATTTCCCCCAGTCCTCTTTGTGTGTGCCTAGCCCTGCTTTCACATCTGCCCCTCAGAGAACCAGACTCACATATTGACATTACCTAATGCATCTTGTGGAGACCAAATGAACAGGCAGGAAGAAGTCCCACTAAATTGTTTTGTCCAAATATCAGATGTCTCAAATAAGCATTAGATAGAGTAAATCTCAGTCTAATCTTCCCCAAAGCTTACATAGTGCAGATAGTCTATATTGCTGATTAAAATAAAAGCCACAGGATCTGTGTACTAGGATTAAGAATGGCAAAGCTAACGTTTTGTGGTTGAATTTTAAGAGCTGCATTTATTTCCTTCCCCCAAATATTAGGCAGATATCTACTTATCTTTAAAACCCCAACTCAAGCATTACCTGCTCTGAGAACTCTTCCCTGATCTGATCAGCCAGCATTGGTCCTGTCTCTGTGTCCCCACAATATCCCATTAGCATATGCCTTCCAGAAAGCACTTACCACATTGCATTGTAATGAGAGTAGAGTCATATCTTATGAGACCAGGTTGAAAAGTCAGAGCCTGGAGCAAACATTATGTAGGGGAAAAATATATTTTAAAATCTCTTTAGAAAGTCCCATGGTGCAGATGGACAGACTGTTTCTCAATGAGTCAATCACAACTAGTTTTTCTTCTTGTGTTGGAAAAATCACTATGCCATTAGTTAAGCACATTATAAAGTAGTTGGTTTGTATTTCAGGACCACATTGCATGAAAAATACAACGATGTTGGATGTTTAAATGCGAGGATGACACTCAACCACTCAACACGAGAAGATGTCCTATGAGAGGCACAGGCAACCTGAGGTTCACTGAGAAAATTCTAGCTTCCTTTCGCCTCTCACACTCCAGCTGGGGTCTGCATTTATTGAACAGAATGGCAGTGTTGGCCACTTAAATAACTCTTTCTCTCACTTTTTAAAACCTTGCATATAGTTAAATTCTCAAAAGTTAAACTCAGTATTTACTGTAACTTCTGTCTCCTTCAGTAGAGTCTACTTGACTGAAAGCTTCTAACACTTCACAGTGTCTGTACACAGCTAGTATTAAAAACATGAGTGAAGCTGGGCACAGTGGCTCATGCCTGTAATCCCAGCACTTTGGGAGGCCAACGTGGGCGGATCACTTGAGGCCAGGAGTTGGAGACCAGCCTGGCCAACATGGTGAAACCCCGTCTCTACCAAAAATACAAAAATTGGCTGAACATTGTGGCACACAACTATAATCCCAGCTACTCAGGAGGCTGAGGCAGAAGAATCACTTGAACATGGGAGGCGGAGACTGCAGTGAGTCGAGGTTGTGCCATGGCACTCAAGCCTGGATGACAAGCGAGACTCTGTCTCAAAAAAAAAAAAAAAAAAATATATATATATATATATACACACACACACACACACACACACACACATATGTATATGTATATATGGGTGTGTATACATATGTATATATGTATATATATATATATGAGTGAAGAAGTGAGGGAGAAAGAGAGGGAAAGAGAAATAGAAGCAAAAAAAATGGACACCAAACAAATTCATTCCTGGAAACTGTCTGGGGTTGAATTTCCTCAGGAGCAGACCCCAAGACAAGGATTTGAATGAAAGGTGATCCCAGGAATCATATTGAAAGGAGTAAGGAAGGGAGACAGGGGACAAAGGATGGAACACTTCCCTACAGGGCACATAGATAGGAGCAAGTGACTGCTGTTGGCAGCTGGGATTGAATCCTACAGAGGACTCTGGGGGCAGTACAGAACACAACTCCAAAGCCTCCTATATACGGGAAAGTAAGCTGAAATATTTATCCGCCAACCCCACTCACACGCAAAGGCCAACATTCTTATGGCAAGAGAAAGCCCTGCTGCTGAGAGTCACAGCTTTCCAGTAAGAAGCCATAGGCATGTTATCAGAAGTGTGAGATTGGGGGAATGTGGGTAGAACACAGACATCCATTGCCACAGAAGGAAGGATAGAGAATCGGAACATACTGGGATTCTGATTGTTTTCTTTGTAAAATAATTTTTTTAATGATTACATTTAACAGTGAGCATAAACTGTCACCTAAGTCTTCTTCATGAGCCACCTCTTATAATCTTTGGTTTTAAAGCCATTTTTGAAATTTAAAAAATATATTTGTAACATACTAATTTCACCCATATTTTAGATACATAAATATACATACTAAATAAAAAAATCTATATAATGCTTAATATATGATGTCTATATAATGTTTTACATATTTCCAGCAACTAGTTGCACAGTATTGTTGACCTTTAGCATCATATTTACAGTTAAATGTTTATACTAACCAGAATTTTTTATTAAAGCAAATTAAAATTTTGCAGTCTTGAAAAGAATGCTCCCTCCTTATCCACTAAAAAGTTATCATGATGAAATATTTGTTAAACTAAAGGTAAAAATTAAAGATCACAAGATCATGAGGAAGCAGGCTTTACTTTAAATTTTCACATACATGCCAACACTTCACTGTTATAAATAGAGAAGCTAGCAGAGAAGTTATATAACTCTGATTCAATGCCCTGGATTTGGGCAGCCTATTCTGAAATTGTAAAAACCAAAACGGAGATTCTTTTTCTACAACCAATGGAAAATGAATGTAGACATTTATGACTATGTTACATTTTTGCCCATGAGTATTTCTAGCCTGTTCAT
The DNA here is from genome assembly GCF_000001405.40 of Homo sapiens. Lineage (NCBI taxonomy): Eukaryota > Metazoa > Chordata > Mammalia > Primates > Hominidae > Homo > Homo sapiens. The sequence continues at coordinate 52,513,089 of NC_000020.11, read as the reverse complement.
TGTCCCAAGCCCCAAATAAATATTTTGCCTACAAGATATTATGTAGATTGTTCATTGGAATACTAATTCCTCTCATTAAAATCCGAGTTGATGAGGGTCCAATGTGTCGCAAGGTTCAAAAAGGTACACTTTCCTTTAAGCAAAGGCTATGCGTAAATCCCAGATCTCTTTATTCGGCTGCTGGGAAGGGAATGGTGAGCTCACTGTCTCTGATCTATGCCCCGACCTTCGGCAGCCCTCTGTGACTCATTCCTTCATTCTCTGCCCTTGAGCTTCAGACCCCTGCCCTGAACTCTCACCGCCGCCATATGGACCCCTCCTTAAATAAATAATACCCATTTTTTTAAAATCCCAGAAGCTTTTGTTACTGTAAGGAATCTTATGGTGCTTTTCGTGGTAAAGCGTAGAATTGCCTCTATTGTGACGACTCTACAGAAACAGGATAGACTTGACCCAAAATGTGGTTCAGATGTCAAGACTCATGACACCACACAGAGACAAAGAGGGTGCGTACAAGCTTTGTGACTCACATAATAAGGCTTTCTGGAGAGAGCAGAGCAGACTTTCAAGCACATCCAAAATTTCTTGACAGAGCAGGGAAAGGACACTGACTTGGGGCTTTGATGGTGGTTAAGGGGTGGGCCCACATTAGGGTTCCCGTGATGCCTGGTTTAAACTTCCCACCGGCACCAAAGGAAGGATTGTCCGGGATTTCTTAACAGTTTCCCCAGATGTGGAACAGACAGGGAGGAAGGATGAATGAGGCCTAAAACCTGTCCATAAACATCAAACAACGGAGTCTGACTCTTTTTTAATGTATGCATTTTATTAGATAATTAGGTTAACTTCAGATTTGGCCTTCAAAACCAAGGCCAAAATAATTGTGCAGAATTAAAATATATTCAAGAATCCAGTCACAATTTAACTAGATCAGGCTTCAAAATGGAGATGATTTTGTTCCTTCAAATAACCTTCAGTTAGGAAGATCACATTCCTCCAATATGTGGAAAGGCAATAAATACTCTTTCTTCTCTCAGTCACTGAGGAATGCATTTTTTTTCTTTGTGTTCATTTATTTATTTATTTACAGACAGAGTCTTGCTCTATCACCCAGGCTGGACTGCAGTGGCTCCATCATGGCTTACTGCAGCCTCAACTTCCTGGGCTCAAGTGATCCTCCTACCTCAGCCTCCCAAGTAGCTTGGACTACAGGTGCATACCACCATGCCAACTATTTTTAATTTTCATGGAAACAGGTCTTGCCATGTTGCCCTGACTAGTCTGGAACTACTGGGCTCAAGCAATCCTTCCACCTTGGCCTCCCAAAGTGCTGGGATTCCAGGCATGAGCCACTCCTTCAGCCAACATTTTCTCCCTTAATGAGCCTAAAGTATTAGCAGGCATAGGGAAGGTCCTCTGAACAGCAGGGCACTTCCAAGGTGAGCCATGGAGATATGGGCAAGGCAGCAACTACTTACCTTGTCACTTGTAGGAGTTCTTTTGAGAAATCTCTATTCAGATCTTTTTTGCTGTTTTTCTTCCCTTCTCCTTTCCTTGGTTTCCCTTTTCCATGACACTTCTTTAGACCCCTTTACTCATCCTTAAAATCCTAATGCTCATCTCTGTAGAAACCAAGAAAAAACGACATCCCCAGGAGCACGAAATAAGTGCTGTGATTTGGATGCCAGTCACATGTCTCCTTCCTCTTGGCCAAAGGCTGTTCACTAAATAATCACCAGTTTCATGGATTTGGAATCAATAGGCCTGGCAACTTCACCAGACTGCTGTCCCCTCAACAAAGTCATGTGCAAGGAATATTCTGGAAATGGAGAAATGTCTCTTTTATCTTTGTTTTTAAATGTTTTATTTCCTTAGGTTTTGGGGGAACAGGTGATATTTGGTTAAATGAGTAAGTTCTTGAGTGGTGATTTGTGAGATTTTGGTGCACCCATCTCCTGAACAGTATACACTGAACTCAATTTGTATTCTTTTATCCCTCACCCCCTTCCCACCCTTTCCACCTGAGTCCCCAAAGTCCACTGTGTCATTCTTATGTCTTTGCATCATCATAGCTTAGCTCCCACTTATGAGTGAGAAGATAAGATGTCTGGTTTCCCATTCCTGAGTTACTTCACTTAGAATAATAGTCTCCAATTCTATCCAGGTTGCTGTGAATGCTATTCATTCATTCCTTTTTATGGCTCAGTAGCATTGCATCATATATATATATGTAATCACAGTTTCTTTATCCACTCGTTGATTGATGGGCATTTGTGTTGTTGATTCCAGGAAGTGGAGGCATGTCTTGAGCAGTATCCTTAGGATTTTTGGGGACCCTCATATGCTTTCCTACAGAATCTTTCCATTTTATCTGGACCTGATCTTCCTCACCCATGTGTCCCTGTCTCACTTCTAGAGTCAGACTCTTTATTACAGCTTCCCCATTACAGTCAAAATTCATATATTGACATAATAATCATCGTAGGTAATAAAACTTATGGTTATTACGGTATCTGCTACACACCAGATATGGCACCAACTATTTACATGCATCGTTTCATTGAATTCTCACCACAATCCTGAGAGCATCTTTGTTTGGGTTCTCCCCAAAGGAGAAACTTGAAGGATTTGAAAAGAAGCTCTTTATTTGGGAATGTAGGGCAGGAACATAGTGAAGGATTGGGAAATTGACTCAGGATGGGAGGAAAGCCAATAGAGGGTGTGTAACAAGCTAGTTACCCCTGGGGATGTCTGGAACTCACTCCAACGGAAGACCTTCTGGGAGACTGAGTGGAACATAGAATCATTCCCTGGGGGTGTGGGGGTGGTGAGGAGGCTGGGACGTTTATCTACCAGCTCCTCTTATCATTTGCAGATCACTCCTGGGGGTATCACCCCCAGCACTGCCAACTTGCCCACGTGCAGGTTGAGCTGCCTCTTACAGTCAGAGAAAGCCTTCAAGGAGGGAGACATTGGTGCTTGAAGTAAGAAGCTATTAGCAGGTATAGGGAATGTCCTCTGATCAGCAGGGCACTTCCAAGGTGAGCCACGGAGATACGGGCAAGGCGACTACCTGCCTGCAGACAGCAGCTCCTATTGTTCCCATTTTATGGATAAGAACATGAAAGCTCAGAGAGAGTAAATAATGTTTTCAGTGATCACACATGTAATAATTAAAGAGCTAGAACTAAAACACAGGTCACTTGACTCCTGAGTTGCATTCTCTTTTTTTTTTTAATTTTTAACTTTTGTGGGTACATAGTAGGTGTATATACTTATGGAGTGCATGAGATATTTTGATACAGGCATAGAATGCATGACAATCACATCAGGGTAAATGGGGTATTCATAACCTCAAGCATTTATTGTTTCTGTATGTTACAAATAATCCCACTACACTCTTTTAAAGTGTACAATAAATTATTATTAACTGTAGTCCCCCTGCTGTGCTATCAAATACTAGATTTTACTCATTCTAACTATATTTTTTGACTCATTAACTACCTCCCACCCTTCCCAGTCTGTGGTAACCATTTCTATTCCCTATCTCATTAGTTCAATTCCTTGAACTTTTTTATCTCCCACAAATAAGTGAAAACATGCTAAGTCTGTCTTTCTATACCTGGCTTATTTCACTTAACATAATGACATCTAGTTCCATCTATGTTGTTGCAATTGACAGGATTTCATTTTTTTATGGATGAATAGTATTCCATTGTGTACCACAATTTTCTTTATCCATTCATCTGCTGATGGACACTTGGGTTGCTTCCAAAGCTTAGCTATTGTGAATAGTGTTGCAATAAACATGAGAGTGCAGATATGTATCTCTTCAATATACTGATTTCTTTTCTTTTGGGTATAAACCCAGCAGTGGAATTGCAGAATCATGTGGTAGTTCTATTTTTAGTTTTTTGAGGAACCTCCATACTGTTCTCCATAGTGGTTGTACTAATTTACATTCCCACCAACTGTGTGTGAGGGTTCCCTCTCCTCTGCATCCTTGCCAGCGTTTGTTATTGCCTGTCTTTTGGATAAAAGCCATTTTTACTGGGGTGAGATGATATCTCATTGTGGTTTTAATTTTCATTTCTCTGATGATCAAGGATATTGAGCACCTTTTCATATACCTGTTTATCCTTTGTATGACTTCTTTTGAGAAATCTCTATTCAGACCTTTTACTCATTTTTAAATCAGGTCGTTGGATTTTTTCCAACAGAGTTGTTTGAGCTATTTATGTATTCTGGTTATTAATCCCTCGTCAGATGGGTAGTTTGCAAATATTTTCTTCCATTCTGTGGGTTGCCTTTTCACTTTGTTGATGATTTCCTTTGCTGTGCAGAAGCTTTTTAACTTGATGTTATCCCATTTGTCTATTTTTGCTTTGGTTGTCTGTGCTTGTGGGGTATTACTCAAGAAATCTTTGCCCAGTCCAACATCCTGGAGAGTTTCCTCAATGTTTTCTTTAAGTAGTTTCATAGTTTGAGGTTTTAGATTTAAGTCTTTAATTCATTTTATTTGGTTTTTGTATATGGCAAGAGATAGGGGTATAGTTTCATTCTGCTGCATATGGATATCCAGTTTTCACAGCACCACTTATTGAAGAGACTGTCCTCACCCCAGTGTATATTCTTGGCACCTCTGTCAAAAATGAGTTCACTGAAGACGCATGGATTTATTTCTGGGTTTTCTATTCTGTTCTATTGGTCTATGTGTCTTTATGTCAGTACCATGCTGCTTTTGTTACTATAGCTCCATAGGATAACTGGAAGTCAGGTAATGTGATTACTTCAGTTTTGTTCTTTTTTTCTCAGGATATATTTGACTATTATGGGTCTTTTGTAGTTCTCAATAAATTTTAGGATTTTTTTTTCTATTTCTGTGAAGAAAGTCATTGGTATTTTGATAGAGATTGCATTTAATCTGTAGATTGCTTTGGGTAGTGTGGACATTTTAACAATATTGATTCTGCCAATCTATGAAAACATGAAGTATATTTCCATTTTTTTGTTATCCTCTTTCTTTCATCAATGTTTTATACTTTTTATTATTGAGATCTTTCACTTTTTTTGTTTTCTTCCTATGTATTTTATTTTATTTGTGGCTATTGTAAATGAGATTGCTTTCTCAATTTCTTTTTCACATTGCTTGCTGTTGGCATATAGAAATACTACTGATTTTGTATGTTGATTTTGTATCCTGCAACTTTACTGATTTGTTTATCCACTCTAATAGTTTTTTGGTGGCGTCTTTAGGTTTTTCCAAATATAAGATTATATCATCTGCAAGCAAGGATTATTTAACTTCTTATTTTCAAATTTGATGCCTTTTATTTCTTTCTCTTATCTGATTGCCCTAGCTAGGACTTCCAGTACTTTGCTGAATAATTATAATAAAATTGGGCATCCTTGTTGTGTTCCAGATCTTAGATGAAAAGCTTTCAGTTTTTCCCCATTCAGTATGATATTATTATGTTGAGGTACGTTCCTCGTATACCCAGTTTTTTGAGGGTTTTTATCATAAAGAGATGTTGGATTTTATCAAATGCTTTTTTAGCATCGATTGAAATGATCATGTGGTGTTTGCCCTTCATCCTGTTGATAGAGTGAATCAAATTAATTGAATTGTATATATTGAGCCATCCTTGCATCCCTGGATTAATCCCACTTGGTCATAACAAATGATTTTTTTTTTTTTGATGTGGTGTTGAATTCTGTTTGCTAGTATTTTATTGTGGGTTTTTGCATCAATCCTCATCAGGGATACTGGACTGTAGTTTTCTTTTTCTGATGTCTTTTGTTTTTGGCAGGAAGATAATACTGGCCTTGTAGAATGAGTTTGGAAGTATTCTCTCCTCCTCTATTTTTTGAAATCTTTGAGTAGAATTGGTATTAGTTCTTTAAAAGTTTAGTAAAATTCAACAGTGAAGCCATCAGGTCCTGGGCTTATCTTTGCTAAGAGACTTCTTATCATGCCTTCGATCTCATTACTTGTTATTGCTCTGTTCAGATTTTGAATTTCTTTACGTTTTAATCTTCATAGGTTGTATGTGTCTAAGAATCTATCCATTTCTTCTAGGTTTTCCAATTTATTGGCATATAGTTGCTCATAGGAGCCTCTAATAATACTTCGAATTTCTGTGTTATCAGTTGTAATTTCTCCTTTTTCACCTCTGATTTTATTTATTTCAGTCTCCTCTCTTTTTTCTTAGGCAAACAGTGTGTCAATTTTGTTTATCTTTTCAAAAAAAATCAACCACTGCTTTCACTGATCTTTTGTATTTTTTGGTTTCTTTAATTTCTGCTCCAATGTTTATTATTTATTTTCTTCTATTAATTTTAAGTTTGGTTAGCTCTAGCTTCTGTATTTCTTTGAGATGTATCATTAAGTTGTTTATTTGAAGTTTTCCTGCTTTTTAGATGTAGGCACTTATTGTTATAAACTTTCCCCTTAGTGCTGCTTTTGCTGTATCCTATAAATTTTGATGTGTTGTGTTTCTATTTTCATTTATTTCAAGAAATTTTTAAATTTCCTTCTTAATTTTTTCATTGTCCCACTGGTCATTCGGGAGCATATTATTTAATTTCCATGTTTTTGTATAGTTTCCAAAGTTCCTCTTGTTGTTGATTTCTAGTTTTATTCCATTGTGGTCAAACAAGACACTTGATAGGATTTCAATTTTTGAATGTTTTAAGACTTGTTTTGGGGCTTAATGTATAGTCGATCCTTGAGAATGATCCATGTGCTGAGGAGAAGAATTGTGTTCTGCAGGTGTTAAGGGAAATGTACTGTGAATATCTATTAAGTCCATTTGGTCTCTAGTGCAGATTAAGTCCAATGTTTCTTTGTTGATTTTCTGTCTGGATGATCTGTTCAATGCTGAAAGTGGGGTGTAAGTCTCTAGATATTATTGTGTTGGAGTCTAGCTCTCGCTTTAGCTCTAATAATAATATAATATTTGCTTCATGTATATCTGGGAGCTTTACTGTTGGGTGCATATATATTTATAATTGTTGTATCCTCCTGCTGAATTTACTCTTTTATGTAATGACCTTTTTTGTCTCTTTTTATAGGTTTTTCTCTTGAACTCTATCTTGTCCAATATAAGTATAGCTACTCCTCCTCTTTTCTAGTTTTCATTTGCATGGGATAACTTTTTTCCATCCCTTTATTTTCAGTCTATGTGTGTCTTTATAGGTGAACTGTGTTTCTTGTAGGCAACAGATCACTGGGTCTAATTTTTTTCATCCATTCAGCCATTCTATGTCTTTTGATTGAAGAATTTAGTCTAGTTACATTCAATGTTATTACTTATAGGTAAGAACTTACTCTGCCATTTTCTTATTTGCTTTCTGGATGTTTTGTGGTCTTCTCTTCCATCTTTTCTTCTTTTCTGTCTTCATTTTAGTGAAGGTAATTTTCTCCGGTGACATGCTTTAATTTATTGCTTTTTATTTTTGTGTATCTGTTGTATATTCTTTGATTTGAGGTTACCATGAGGCTTGTAAATATCTTATAACCCATTACTTTTAACTCATGACAACTTAATACTGACTGCAAAACAAACAAACAAAAAGAAAACTAATAAAAACTCTACACTTTAATTTCAACTCCTGCTTTTTAACTTTTTGTGGTTTCTATTTACATCTTATTAAACTGCCTATGTCTTGAAAGGTTGTTGTAGTTATTATTTGTGATAGTTTCATCTTTTAGTCTTTCTACTCAAAATATGAGTAGTTTACACACCACAATTACAGTGTTCTAATATTCGTTGTTGTTCTGTGTATTTACTATTACCAACGAGTTTTGTGCCTCCAGATAATTTCTTATTGATCATGAATGTCATTTTCTTTCTGGCTGAAAAACTCCCTTCGGCATTTCTTGTAGGACAGGTCTGGTGTTCATGAAATCCCTCAGTTTTTGTTTGTCTGGGAAAGTCTTTATTTCTTCTTCATGTTTGAAGGATATTTTCACCAGATATACTATTCTAAAGTTTTTTTTTTCCTTCAGCATTTTAAATATGTCATGCCACTGTCTCTTAGCCCATAGGTTTCCGCTGAAAATTCTGTTGCCAGAACCATTGGAGCTCCTTCATATGTAATTTGTTTCTTTTCCCTTGCTGCTTTTAGGATCCTTTCTTTATCCTTGCCCTTTGGGAGTTTGATTATTAAATGTCTTGAGGTAGTCTTCTTTGGGTTAAACCTGCTTGGTATTTCATAACTTTCTTGTACTTGAATATTGATATCTTTCTCTAGACTGGAGAAGTTCTCTGTTATTATCCCATGAATAAATTTTCTACTCTGATCTCTTTCTTTATCTCCTCTTTAATGTCAATAACTCTTATATTTGCCCTTTTGAGGCTATTTTCTAGATCTTATGGGCATGCTTTATTCTTTTCTATTCTTTTTCTTTTGTCTCCTCTATGTATTTGCAAATAGCTTGTCTTCAAGCTCACTAATTCTTTCTTTTGTTTGATCAGTTCTGCTGCTGGAAATTTCGATGCATTCTTCAGTATGTCAGTTGCATTTCCCCGCTCCAGAATTTCTGCTTGATTCTTCTTAGTTATTTCAATTTCTTTGTTAAATTTATATGATAGGATTCTGAATTCATTCACTGTGTTATCTTGGGTTTCATTGAGCTTTTTTAAAACAGCTATTTTGAATTGTCTGAAAAGGTCACATATTCTGCTCCCCAGATTGGTCACTGGTACCTTATTTAGCTCCTTTGGTAAGGTCATGTTTTCCTAGATGGTCGTGATGCCTGAAATAGGGGTCTCAGGACTCTGATTAGTGTCCTACTCTACTGTGACTGAGCTGGTATACAAGTTGCCAAGACATAGTCCTCTTTACTTTCCCCTCTCCTCTCCTAAATCAGAGGGAAGGAGTCTCCTGGAGCCATGAGCTGTGCTGCCTGGGGTTGGGTGAAGGGTGATTAAGCACTCTGTTGGCCACCCCCACTGGTGTCTCAGTAGGCCACATGCACCTCAAGTACACTGGCTCCAGGACAAGCACAACACCAGGACCTGCCCAGGAATTTCAGTCCTTGTGGCCTAGAATGCCTTTCAAGTTCATTTAGTATGCTGGAGGATTTTGCTGTGGTCATGGAGATTGCCTGAACTTTGGTCTAATCACTAGGATGGGCAATTTCTCTGTGACTAGGGCTGGTCTAAATGCTCCTTCAGTGGACACTGGCCGAGTTCTGCCCCATATTGCTTTCCACTGTGACAAGGCAGCACTGAGTTCCAATGCAAAGTCCCACAGTCACCACACTCTTCTTCCCCCAAGTGCACAGATGCTCTCTCCACACCCCAGGGCAGCTGCCGCGGGATGTAGGAGGAGTGGTGTAGGTGATTCAAGACTGTCTTTCCCACCCTTTTTGGTGCCTCTTTCCTTAACATGGTGTTAAAACCAGGTACTGTGATTGCTCACCTAATGTTTGGTTCTTATGAAGGTGTGTGGATAGTTGTTTAATTTGGTGTTCCTTTGGGCAGATGATTGCCGGAAGCTTCTATTTGGCTATCTTTCTTTGTCTCTTATGCCTTCTCCTGAGTCACATCTTTAAGCAAGGCATATTAATGTAAGAGGATTTTTCCCCTTTTAGAGAGTGAAATTGAAACTAGTGGAATGGTAAGAATATGGGCTTTTAAGTCAAACTCTTTCAAATTCAAACACTACCCCTTATTAGCTTGGTAAGCTTGGGCAATTTTATTAACCTCTCTGTGTCTGTTTCATCATCTATACAACGGATATAATAGAAGCATCTACATCCATCTCACAGTTATTAAAATGAGTTTATGTAGTGGCTTAGAATTGGCTTTTCTATGCCACAGTGTAAATGCCCAGTAAGTACTGTTCATTTTTGTTTAGAGTTGTGATGAGTATCAATTCAGGAGATATCTTGATATCTGGTTTTTATTCTAAACCACTAGTTTTAGAAAATAATTATCCTGACCTGGTTTCCTTTTTGGAAACCATTTTATATGTTTATATAGTTTTAAAATTATATACTGGATTTCTTCCCTTCTCTATGCCACTTTCTCAATCTTTCGCTATGTTTCCTGCCCTAACCTCCCAAATAAATAGTTTTCTTTGAAATCCCTCAAGTTCTTCTTTTGGGATTAATCCAAAAAAATCTAAAATATAAAAATATATTTAAAAGATGTCTATCTACAAAGGCACCATATTAAACTAGGCATAAGAAGGTTACTCCAGTTGTGTTCAGCTTCTGCTTTATTAAGTTTAGTTCTAATCCCTCTGCAGATGGGATTTGCAAGACTTATCTTTCTAAATGGCAAACGTTATGCAAGCAACAGCAAGACCCTACCCCAGCACAGTTCTCCACTCCAGGCTCTGATATAAGCAACACACTGGGTTAGAGGAAAACATATTTAAAAAAAAAAAAAAATCAAACAAAACCCAGGTTTTCTGGCTACTAAGTGTCTGGGGATCCCTGGCCTCTTTAACTGGACTCAGCAGCCAAGAAAAAGCTTGTCTGGGAGGTGATCTGCTGACCAAGAGTTCCGACTGCATTGTTTCTGGACCATTCTCCATCCCTGCCCCCTCCCTTTCCTATGCTTAGGAATAATAATAATAGTCAATACCTCCTGGGAACAGATCACTATTCTAAGCACTTTACGTATATTCACGTACGTAACCATTACGACAACCTCAGGAAGTAGTCAGTTATTATTATCCTTATGCTATATTTGCAAAAACCAAGAAACACCAGAAATTGGGACAACTTACTTCTTTCAAGTACAGTTTGGTTGGCCACTTGTGTCACAGGTAGTCATTCAAAACAAACAAACAAAAAACCCTTATATTTCAAAAAGCAGGCTTTGGGCAGGCAAATTGGAGATGTTTCCTAAATATTCCCCCATCCACCCACTCACCCACAAAAACTCACTGCAACCCCAATTCAGAGTCACTTAACCAAACACAACCCCAAACAAAGCTTTCGAAGAGCTTCTGCCAACCCCATGGAGATATCTTTGGATATTCAAGCAAAGAAAAGGAGAGAAAGGTAGAATATGCGAGAAAAAGGAAATGCTTTGTCGAACCAGCTAAAGCAGTCGCTCCACAAACTGCTTATCAGGTGGTTTTCTTTTTAATCAAGAAAATCTTCGGAGATGTCAGCCTAACAATAAAATATATCTGCTTTCATTGGTAGGCTATTCCCATCTTCCTTTAACACCGAGTAACACCCTCACTTTCTCGCTTTTCATTGTTTTTTTAACAGATTCTGAATTTTTTAACAGATTCTGAAATAAGTCAGTCTAAGATGAGTGTTATCATACCACCCTGGATAACATTCTATAAGCTGAGCCTGCATTTGTTCTGCATCTTGAGGAATAGAGGTATACCCTGGAGGAATGCACTGGATGCTATGGTTAATTAAGTAATTTACTCAATCAAGTTTAACAGTGGTTTTAACTTTAATGAGATCATTACATTTTAATATGGAAATAACAGCCGTGTATCCTTAACAATCCCCACAGTCCGCGAACCCACCTCCCTCTTCCGCCCACTTTGCACCAGGGCTGATGTTGATTTGTGAACCTGAGCACCTAAGGGTAACATCCAGAACTTGTAATACACATGTCTAGGGCCCATTATGGATACACACATGTGAACCGCTGTTCTGGCTTTTGGTGTCCCCTGCTATATACTCGAAACCCACGCAGGGCTTGTCGCTCATGGTAAGAGCCAAAGTCTTAATAATGGCAGAGTACTTTCTAGATAAAGGGAAATAGAAACTTTCGACACTGAAAATTGGTGTAAGGAAGGCACAAAGAGAGAAACAAAAGAAAATAGCCACATGGGCAAAGTGGCTTTCAACTGTCCTAGGGAGACGTACCCTTAGGCTACCAGCCTCAACTTGGGTTGCATTTAATTGGGATCCCGCAAAGGCCAGCAAATCATTAATGTAATGGCCTTCCAAGCTCTTATTGAGAACTTTTATTATCCCAGATACAGTACTTTGGAGATTAACTAGGAAAAGTTTTACAAGACGGTGAAGGTAATGAATCATGAATTCTGTAAGGGTAAACCCAACACTCTGAAACCAAGTACAGCTGTCTTATATTTGCTCTGTGTGCATTTTGCTACCCATAATTTTGTCATCAATTTTCATCTTTTGTTTAAACATATTTGTCTTTTGGACAAGATAGGTCATATTTCATAGGTTTGATGAATTTTCTCCTTGGTCCAGTTTTACAGAATTTGCACTTAATTAATTGCCCAACCTTTAATTCGACAGACTGTTTTTAATGGCTATGTAGTTTCAAAAGCATATACACAGTGGAATTTCGAAAAAGTAATTGTTTTTGTGTCACTTCCAAAGAAAGTCGCAATTATTAAAATGTGTAAATAATTTGTCAAATGCGCAATGGGCAATAATTAGGAAGATATCAAATAAACCTTTAATGGATATTTTTAATTTGTTGTTCAGCAGGAATATTTAAATAATGCAACAAAATATGTCATTTTTCTCCTCAGGACTATAGAAGCCAAATTCCAATGTGAAAATGCACCTTTCAATTGCACAGACTAGGTCATAATGGAGGTGACAGTCATAAAAGATTTTCTAGCTCTCAGCAGAGCTGTAAACCGGGACCCCTCATCCAGGCAGACAGCACAGAATCTGAAAATCTGCCTATCAAAAGCATCATTCAAGCCACAAGGCTCTTCTGTTCCTGGTAAAAGGCAGGCAGGAAAAGAGGAGACAAAGGTCAGTTGTTGTCATTTCTTTATAAATGTGACGGTGCTGGCAGTTTGCAAGGGATTGCCATGTTTCCCTGGCAACTTTGTGTGTGTGCAGATGCGTTTAGTACATTTTTTTCCCCTTGTTATTTTCAGACCGTCTTTTTGTACTGTGGACTATTTCAAATGTATTCTCCCAGTTACATGGGCCTTTTTATTAAGAGGATTAAGAGGCTGACATTTTTTGGAAGGGAGGTCAGCTGAGTTTAGGGTGGTAAAAATCAGAGTTCAGTCTTCAGTCAGATTACACATCAAAAGCAGGTGGGGAAGAGCTGGGGTAGAGAAAACATATTAGACCAAAGGAAAATTGAACGTACTCAGTTTTTAGAAATTGGAACCTGAGATACCATGAATTCCTGAGACCGTACCTTGTCATCTCTTTTAAAGAAATGTTAAGCAAATTTTCCGAGCAGACTCCACCTGCCCTCTTAGATTTGGTGATTGTCTGAGAACCTGGAGTTAGTATTTAATTTGGGTTCATCTGTTCCTCCTTCTTGTTTATTGGCAGCAGGGAAGGGACACTTGGAAATAGCTCTTGCCAAGCTCTGCTCCTCATTAGTTCATCCATAGCATTTAATGGGCCCCTATGAATTACCAGGCATTGTGCCGGACACAGGGTGGGGTCAGTGAACACTTTCTGTAAGGGGCACAGTACTAAATATTTTAGCTTTTTGGGACCATATCATGTTGGGAAACTACTCAACTATCTATGTATGTTGTGCAAAAACAGCCATAGACAATGCATAACCACATAACTCTGGTGGTGTTCCAATAAAGTTTGCCTATGAGCACTGAAAATTGAATTTTGTAATTTTCATGTGTCATGAAATATTGCTTGTTTTCAACCATTTAAAAATGTAGACTGGGTGCAGTGGCTCACCCTTATTATCCCAGCACTTTGGGAAGTCAAGGCAGAAGGATTGCTTGAGGCCAGAAATTTGAGACCAGCCTGGGCAACATAACAAGACCCCACTTCTACAAAAAAAAAAAGAAAAATTAGCCAAGCATGATGGTGCATGCCTGTTGTCCCAGCTACTTCGAAGGCTGAGGCAGGAGCATTGCTTCAGCCTGGGAAGTTGAGACTGCAGTAAGCCGTCATCACACCACTGCACTCCAGCCTGGGCAATAGGGCAAGAACTTGTCTCAGAAATAAATTTAAAAATAAAATAAATAAAAAATAAAAATGTGAAGAGCAGTCTTAGCTTGCAGATACAGCCCATGGGCCATGGTTTGCTGACCCTGGGTATAGATGCACAGGTTGTCCTCTCAAGGGTCTGACACTGTGGAGGGGATGGACAGTAAGGATGTAAAAGAACACATAAACAAGAAGGAAATAAAATGAAGCAACAAGCTAAGGAATGACTGAGGATGGCGGCCGCTGTAGATAGAGTTGTCAGGAGGAATCTCTCTGGGACCTGAATGACAAAGGGAAGCAGCGTGTTGTTCACCTGGGCATCTCTGAGTGGACTGCTAATTCTAGAAGTTGGCTACACTTTCACTAATTATTAATTCCTCAATGTACACTGCAAACGCCAGAAAACAGCAATGGATTCACTCAACGCTGTTATCAAAATTGTAGATGATAAGCATATGCCAGTAAGAATCATCATACCTATTAATATTGACAGATTTCCAGGTGCCGTGTGGAACATCTAACCCCCAGCAACTAGGAGATAGGAGTTTTAAATATGCAGCACAGTTTTTCAAAGCAGTTTTTAATTTTCTTTAAATTGGAAGTAGTACCATGACCTGAAGTCATTTTTACTCTCGTTTCAATATTCCGTCTAAATAATGGTGCACTGTCAAATTACAACCTTGAATTGACAGGGCCTCTTTTATTTACATCCTATTGAACTGCAGTAACTTTTTCACAGCTGCCAAAGTATTTTTTTCAAGCAAAACAAAAGTATTTCCATGAAAGTTCTCTTGGGGAAAACACAGAAGCAGAAAGAGACTCACTGCTTAATTTGTCTTTTTATTTTATCTTATTTTATTTTATTTTATTTTAGACAGGGTCTCACTCTGTTGCCCAGGCTGGAGTGCCGTGGCACAATCACAGCTCACTGCAGCCTCAACCTCCCTGGGCTCAGGTGATCCTTCCAAGTCAGTCTCCCGAGTAGCTGGGACTACAGACATGTACCACCATGCCTGGATAATTCTTCTATTTTTTTGTAGAGATGGGGTTTCTGCATGTTGCCCAGGTTGGTCTCAAACTTCTGGGTTCAAGTGATTCTTCTGCCTCGGCCTCCCAAAGTGTTGGGATTACAGGCATGAGCCACCGCGCCTGACCCTAATTTGTCTTTTAATGGGAACACCATTCCTGCTCTTCTCAAGCATTGCTGGCTAATATCAACCTCAATGCCAAAGGATTGCATAGCACTTTTTTTTTCTCAAATAGTTTTAGAGTGGGGCTTCCCATAGTTCCAAAACAGGAAGCTGATTCAGAATTGCTACTAGGAGGTACTATAAAGTTGAATTCAAGATTTCTAACTTGGAATAATCTCTAATAGTGTTAGGGGTTAAAGGGTTACTTTATTGGTTAGTTGGTTGCTTTTAAATTAGCAACTACTGATATTTCTGTCAAAAGGCTTTGCTTCTCTTACATAGGACTTATTTCTACCCGTGTCTTTTCCAAAATCAACCTCACACGTGTGAACACACACACACACACACACACACACACACACCTCTGCATCCTCCAGATTCTCTTAAGGATCAATCTCTGTGAGCTCTTTCGAGATCCCACTGCAAATTTTCCTCCTTTTCAAAGTATTTCCACTATTTTTAGAGGAAACTACAGGAATTCTAAGGAAGACCTGCATCCTCAACTTGGCGCCTCAGTAACAGTATGACTTGAAGCCATTGTTTCATATCTCTGCCTGTAAAATGGGCTGGTAAACACTGGCCCCACCAAATCACATAGCTCTTGTTAAAATCAATGACATGACATATGCAAAGATGATGAGAGAACAGAAAATGCTTCTAGATATTATCATTATTATCACCTACTGTGATATCACCAACACCTGGGTCTTCAGTCTAAACGAGACCATGTTAGTTTGTGCTTGTTGACATGTTGCCTGTAACCAAGTTCAAATTTGCCTATAAACTCCCTGGGAATAAGATTGGGCTCATCATTTTTTTCATATATTTTGTGCAGTGTTGTGCTCACAGGAGATCCCAAAATGTGTTCCTTCACTGGGAGGCTAATAATCGCCAAAGACCTTTCTCAGTGGCAAACACTGTGATGTCTACACAGAATGCTTGCCGTCACTAAAACAGGGCGGCCTTCCCCAGACTTCTGCTTCGAGACAGAGTTCCACTGAGTGCATTCCTCAGAACTCAAGACCCAGAGATATTTTCCAAAAATAAGCGTCTTGTGGTCACACAGTTAGAGAGTATGCCTTATTGTACCCTTCTTAGAAAGTTATCAGGTCTGCCACCACACCCGGCCTGTCATCCCAGCACTTTGAGAGGCTGTGGGTGGATCACAAGGTCAGGAGATCGAGACCATCCTGGCTAACATGGTGAAACCCCGTCTCTACTAAAAATATAAAAAATCAGCTGGGTGTGGTGGCGGGTGCCTGTAGTCCCAGCTACTCGGGAGGCTGAGGCAGGAGAATGGCATGAACCAGGGAGGCGGAGGTTGCAGTGAGTCGAGATTGCGCCACCGCACTCCAGCCTGGGTGACAGAGTGAGACTCCATCTCAAAAAAAAAAAAAAGAAAGAAAGAAAGTTATCAGGTCTGGTGGTATGTTAAAGAGTCACAGAATTTCTGCTAAGAGGTAGGCACCTTTTATTTACTCTGAAGGGTCACTAACCTACTTGAAGAGAGATGCTTTCTCTCCATTAGCACCCATTTGAATCCCTGCTAAACAGATGTCCCTTCGCAGTCACTTTGGGAAATGTCCCAGAAGAGTGTTGCAAGTACAAGTCATAAAAATCAGCTTCGTGGGCTAAAGCAGGGATTAGCAAGCTGCAGTCCATCGAGCAAATCTGGCTACTGCATGGTGTTGTGTGGCCTGCAAGCTGAGAATGGTTTTTCCACTTTCCAATGGTTTAATAATAACAAAAGAAGAATTATATTTTGTGACACAAGAAAATTATATGAAATTTAAACCTCAGTGTCTGTAAGTCAAGTCCTTCTGAAACACAGCCATGCCCATTGTTTTGTGTTTTGTCTGTGGCTACAACAGCAGAGTAGAGTAGCTGCAACAAGAACTCCATGGCCCTCAAAGCTGAAAATATCTACTATGGCTCTTTATAGAAAAAGTTTGCTCACCCTGGTTAAAGCATCACTTTTTTTTTTTCTAAGTGACAGAGTCTTGGTCTCTTGCCCAGGGCTCAAGTGATCCTCCTGCCTCAGCCTCCCATGTAGCTGGGACCACAGGCACGCACCACCTTGCCCAGCTATTTTTTTTTTCTAGAGACAGGGGTCTCACTTTGTTGTCCAGGCTGGTCTCGAACTCCTGGGCTCAAGTGATCCACCTCAGCCGCCCAGAATGCTGGAATTACAGGCATGAGCCACCTTGCCTGACCTAAAGCATCACTTTTAACAAATGAAATAGAAAAGGATAGAAAATGCCAAAGTGTATCACACATGTGGGAAGGATAATTGATGTTTCATGGAGCACTGGCTTCAGCAAAATGTCTATATATTATGCATGCACGTGCACCCTGGGTCACAATATAAAATGTATTCCTTACTGTGAATCACAGTCCAATTTTTTTAATGTTTCTAAAATCATATTAGAACCTGCCTATGACTTATGTTTATAAGCCAACAAGGTCTACCTAGGTAGCTAGAATGGCAAGCAAGAGAGAAAGAACAGAAAAAGAACTGATCGATGAATCCAGGTACTCTACCTGCCATGTCCACATAAAGCATTTCACTGAAGGTTCTTTTCAAATGAGGAAGAGATGAAAATGGTCCAAAAAGTAGTATCAGTGATGTACAGAATATGCATCCTTATCAAAGACTACTCTGAACCAATGTAAAACATTACTGTTCATTTAACCACAAAGAGGGCTCCATTCCTAAAATAACTTTCCATCCACCCATCCAACATATGGTCATCAAGTCTGGAAAGACCTGAAGTGAGGAGATGTAGGTGGCCTGGGGGAAACTAGCCCAGTAATAATTATAACAACTCAATCATAATGATTATAATAACTAAAATAATATGTATTCAATACCTATTAGTAGGGATTGTACTAAGCACATTTATTTCATTGAGTCCTGAAAACAACCCTATGATGGGGGGATTATCATTATCCCTATTTTCCAGTTAAAAGACTGGAGGCATAAAGAGGCTAAATTACTTGCCCAAGGTCACCCAAGGAGTAAGAAGACAAGCTGGGATTTGAACTTAGACAGCAGATCTCCAAACCTACCCTTTTAACTATTTCATGACATTTTCTGGGCATTCATATATCTCATCAATTCATGTCTGCTGGAAAA
This sequence comes from Homo sapiens, assembly GCF_000001405.40. NCBI lineage: Eukaryota > Metazoa > Chordata > Mammalia > Primates > Hominidae > Homo > Homo sapiens. The sequence continues at coordinate 52,494,866 of NC_000020.11, read as the reverse complement.
AAAGAAAAACACTGAACCCGTTAAGTGATAAAGCCATAGAAAATAGGTTTCATTATGGAAATTGTCCTATGGAGAGAATGCTACAACCAAAGTAATAAACAACACCCAATAATACATGTACAACTTGATGTGGCTGGAAATGTAACTACACCAGTATTGAATTATCCCCAAATTTGAATTATAGAGGCGTAACTCAAATTACCCCCCTTGCCTGGTACCTAGCCCGAAAGACATATTTTTTTAATAAACATTTTGTGCTGCCTTGCCTCCTCATGCTGCACGCTGCCGTGTAAAAGCCACAGCCTTCCTAACGTGATTCATCAGAAAAATCAAGGGGGAAAAGAGTCGTGATCTGATATACTGAGCACTCTTAAATTACACAGCAGCCACTTCCCATATAGTGCAGGAGAAGACAGAAATGCGATGACTAAGTACGTCTCAGCCTGTCACGTCCGTGAACCAGGGAGTGGGGTAGTTCACTGAATCATGTTCTGGTAGCTCTGCATATCCATCGAGACACGAGGTAGCCAAGCCGGCTTGCCCGAGATGAAAGTCTGAGTAATTCAGAGGAGGCTGTAATTCTTTATAAAAAATACACTAAGTAGTTTTGTTGACTCCTACATGACATTTCCAAGGTGGCTGGGAAACCAGACCATTTGTTACACAGAATCTAGATCAATACAGTGTGTGGAAGAAGATGAGCAATGTTAAAAAAAAAATTTATTTAATTGAACAGGGGCTGAATAATTCCACACCTTACACATCTCCAATTTTATGTTTTAAATTTGAGATTGAGAAGGATACAGCAATACAGCAATACAGCAATACGGCAAAACACCAGAATCCTATTTCTCTTCTTAGATATGATTTTAAAAAGAGAACGCTTTTGTCTCATTTGAAAAACCAAAATATACTAAGAAAACAGTTGATTGCTTTTATCCTTTTCTTAAATTTTTTTTTAAAGTGACTGTCCTCACCGTCACTCTGACAGGAGTCTGAAAAATTAACACATCACTAAGACCATGTGAGATTTAACTTTTGATACACAACAAAGCGGGTTACTGCTGTGCTGGCTATTCTTAACCCACCTTGTGAGTGTACTTTTTTTATTGCTTTATACAGCATATCTGATTCCCTCTAAAGCACCAACTAAAAAATCTATCCAGCTGTCATTTGCTGCCTGGTAACATCTATCATCACTCAGCCTGGCAAGTCTAGTCTATGAGGCAGAGGGGAGAGGAGACAGGAGGCAGAGTCAAGGACTGTCACGTGGGATGGGAAAAAAAACTTGTCACAATTATTTATGACTCCTGCTCAGGCACATAATAGGATACATAAGCCTCTGTTTCGGTTTCAAGCACCTTCGCAAGGCTGCTCCCTTGTCGAAGCTGGGCGCAGGCAGCTCTACTTTACACACACAATTTCCTGAACAATGCCGGGCACTTGTGAAGTGACAGTGACAAATTTGGGAGTTGGTGGCTGTAGCTCTATGGGCTGTTAGGAGCAGGCGGGTGTCAGTAATCAGGAGAACTACCACGTGAAGCCCCAATGCCTCCACTCCCCAATTCCTTTCTCATGAAAGACTTCCTTCCTCTCCTTGCTTTCAACTGCCAGGACGCCTGTTTGGGGAATAGGAAATGGTGCATTCCAGCTTGTATTTTATTAGTCTAAGCCATATTTATCCTACTCAAGGAGGAGGAGGCTTCTGTGCTCATTTGTTTCTTCCCCTACCCGTCCCCAAACACACAGAGCAAGAAAACAGTTCCAAGCTTTCATCTGTAAGCATCCTCTGCGTTCACGCCCACTAAATATCCATGTTGCTGAACAATTGGTTCAATTAATTGTCTGCCTCTGGATGTATTCGCAAAAGCAAGTGCTGGATTAGAGGGTAATTTTTATCCAGTTCTGGAATCTCAGTCCTGCCACGAAGCCCTTGGCTTCAGTAGCCTCATAAGGGTCTAACTTTTGGCTCTTTGGAGAAACCTAAAGGAAACTCCATCAACATTCTCTATACCCGACAGACCATGGCAAACAGAAAGGCTGAGCCTGCAACGTTTAAGATAATTAAACACAAGATGAAGGTCCGGCCCAATAAGTGACTCTTGCACACGTTGTGACTCTAGCATGGCCCAACATTAACCGAGGTGCCCACAGAGTCCTCAGGCACCCTGGCATTACCTGCTCAGACTCTGCTGAAGAGAAATGGCAAAGACCTTAATTAAAGATAAGAGGAGCACGATGGCCTGTACATACTCTGGAAGCCAAATCAGAAATTAATGTAAGGAAGAAGAAAATCTGTGAATAAAAGCACCCAGAAACATCAGTATTATTCCAATTATCTGTTTAGAATTTAGTAAGCTGAAAAATCAGCCACCTTCATTTAGAAATATCACAGGAGGCCATAAGAAAATGTCCTTGTTTCACTGAATTAGTCCCAACCTATCATACATAGTGCATGAGAATGAAAATTTGATGATGTAATTACTACCAAATAATACCATATTGTGGGTGGAATTCTGCATACTACTGTCTTAAGACTAGAAGGGTATCTGTGTGAATTCAAGAAATGAAGCCCATAGGGATCATCCAGGAATCACGATCTGCCCAGGAATCATTTCTCTTGTGTCACATCCTCTCCTCTCTGCTGTCATCGCTCCTTCCCTATCTCCATCTTCTGGGGAATTGCAAAGTTGAATTCCACGGGCAGCCTTGTGCCTGCCTGTGTCTTGTCTACAAAGTGACCTGCTTTCACATGTTGAATTTAAATGTCTTTAGGGTGAATATGGATTCTCTAGATCACTAAAGACTTCATCATTGTCTCTTCTTTTTTTTAACTGTTATACTCTGCCTTTTCTTTTTCTAATTTTTATTTATTTATATATTTATTTACTTATTTATTATACCTTAAGTTCTGGGATACATGTGCAGAACATGCAGGTTTGTTACATAGGTATACACACATGCCATGGTGGTTTGCTGCACCCATCAACGTGTCATCCACATTAAGTATTTCTCCTAATGCTATCCCTACCCCAGCCCCCCACCCGCCGACAGGCCCCAGTGTGTGATGTTCCCCTCCCTGTGTCCATGTGTTCTCATTGTTCAACCCCCACTTATGAGTGAGAACATGTGGTGTTTGGTTTTCTGTATCTGTGTTAGTTTGCTGAGAATGATGGTTTCCAGCTTCATCCATGTCCCTGCAAAGGACATGAACTCATCCTTTTTATGGCTGCATAGTATTCCATGTTGTATATGTGCCACATTTCTTTATCCAGTCTATCATTGATGGGCATTTGGGTTGGTTCCAAGTCTTTGCTATTGTGAACAGTTCTGCAATAAACATACATGTGCATGTGTCTTTATAGTAGAATGATTTATAATCCTTTGGGTATATGCCCAGTAGTGGGATTGCTGGGTCAAATGGTATTTCTGGTTCTAGATCCTTGAGGAATCACCACACTGTCTTCCACAATGGTTGAACTAATTTACACTCCCACCAACAATATAAAAGCATTCCTATTTCTCCACATCCTTCCCAACATCTGTTGTTTCCTGACTTTTTAATTGTTTCCTGACTTTTTAATTTCCATTCTAACTGGCATGAGATGGTGTTTCACTGTGGTTTGCATCAATATTCTCTTTCTTATATTCAGCCCTCCCCCAAATGTATGTTACCCATTTAGCCTCTGAAGACAATTCATTTTGCAACAACTCTTACCTTTCTTTTCCTTTTTGATTATCTTCCTATGGCCCTTTCATGTATAGTATGAGGAAGTAGCCTTTGTCCACCACGTTCACGTGCACACACACACGCGCTTCACATTTCCAAACAGAAGAGGGACCACCTCTCCCGTACCTGCGCCAAAGTACTGTAACCTGAGCACCACCCGACCTCTGATGCCTCCAGGTTTCTCTATGCAAGAAGAATGACTTGCCTATCTGAGAAGCTGGTGATAGACCGGATGTCTATCACTTCTAGCACTCCCAGACATAGAGTCACTGACTTGGAATTCCTAACAAGCTTCCTGCTGGATGGTTCACATGACCAGCTCAACTTACAGTGCGATAAATACTATTATGTTGCAAACCACTCAGAATCATCCAGCTTCCACCCCGTGACTTTTAGAAACTCACTTATTCAACAGATATTTACTGTTGGGCCAGGGGTGGTAATAGAGTGGCAAGCAAGAACAACATAGTTTCTGCTCTCATGAAGTTTTCTGTAGGATGACACTTAAGTCACAGTAATGAAGTGTGCATCACAAAGCAAATACAAGGTGTGACAGTAAAAGCATCTGACACAGGAACCCGACTCAGTCTAGGTGATTTAATAAGTGACAGCTCAGCATGGTCCTTGAGAATAAGTGGGGGTTCTTCAGGTTGATGACTTGAGTGAGTTGCATAGCTTCACTGCTGTGAAGATTAAATGAGCTAATGTTGGTGGAAAGCACTATGAAAACTACTAAAGGGTTAGTTGGTAATGTGGCAAAATAGAGAAAGGTGACTGTCCACCCTCAATGTCACTAGACATACATACAGTTCAAGAGCTTTGGACTCAGATAAAGATGGGTTCAAATCCTGACCCTGACACTCACTCTCAACAGAGGTTAGGCCAGCTGGGCGGGGTGGCTCATGCCTGTAATCCTAGCACTTTGGGAGGCCGAGGCGAGTGGATCACCTGAGGTCAGGAGATCAAGACCAGCCTGGCCAACATGGTGAAACCCCGTCTCTACTAAAAATATTAAAAAAAAAAAAAAAACTTAGCCAGGCGTGGTGGTGGGAGCCTGTAATCCCAGCTACTCAGGAGGCTGAGGCAGGAGAATTGCTTGAACCCAGGAGACGGAGGTTGCAGTGAGCCAACACGGTGTCACTGCACTCCAGCCTCGGTGACAGAGCGAGACTCCGTCTCAAGAAGAAAAAGAAAACAGGGATTAGGCCATTACTTGTTTTCAGTCTCAGTGTCTTCACCTTTAAAAAGCAAGGTAATAATACCTGACTAATCAAATTATGCATATAAAACTCCCTGGTCCTACTGTCCCTGTCATATATGTAGAAGTGGTCAGTGAATTTAAGTTTGCTTTTTATTGTTACATCTGGAACCCCCAAAAAATGGCAAAAGAGGGATAAAAATATAATTAAGAATCATTACCTGGGAACCACCCAGACTTACAATGTATGGTGGATAATGAATGCCTCGTATTGCAGCAGCCAACTATGGCTCAGTAAACACTTCCATAACCATGGGCTTCTGGGTCTGCAAAAACCTGGTTAAGCAAGAAGGGTAGGTGCCTCTATCTTCATCTAATAAATGTGAAACCATGAACCAAAAAGCAAGTGGCCTATTCAAGAGTTTCCAAATGCTAGAGAGATGTGGAATTTGGGTATTCTGAATCCTAATGCTTTGCTTTTCAATCGCAACATACTCAACTCTCCAAGGTAATGATGGCCCCAGGGTCTGCCAACCCCCTTTGGGAAGGAATTGGATTACCTTATTCAGAGCCTGGGTCAGCAAATTCTGGCCCAAGGACCAAATCCAGCCCTCTTCTTCTCATTATAATTAAAGTTTTATTGGCACACAGTCACGCCCATTTAATATATTATCTGTGCCTGCTTTTGCACTGCAACACCAAAGTTGAGTAGTCATGACAGAGACCTTATGGGCAGCAAAGCTGAAAATATTTATTATCTGGCCCTTTACAGAGAAGTTTGCCAAGCCTGATCTATACCATTAGTAATATAATAACTCCAACACATGTTGCCAAACTCAGGGTGCAATAGGATGCTCAAGCTGAACCACCAATGCCAGAGCTAGTAAGAACAGATTTGTGCCTAAGGCAAGGTGTTCTGATAGTTTTCAGCACTGCTATTATTTAAAAGAGTTTTATAATTGTTTTTTATATTATTAAGAAATCCTTCTTAATTTCTTAAGAATTAAGATATTAAGAAATTATCCTTAATATAGAGCTACATTGTTTTAAAGTCTTACTCTATAAAGATATATATTGAATAACTTACAGTGAAATCATACACTGTCTGGGATTTTTTTTTGAGATGGAGTTTCACTCTTGTCACCCAGGCTGGAGTACAATGGTGTGATCTTGGCTCACGGCAACCTCTGCCTCCTCCCGGGTTCAAGCGATTCTCCTGCCTCAGCCTCCCAAGTAGCTGAGATTACAGGCACCCGCCACCACGCCCAGCTAATTTTTGTACTTTTAGTGGAGACGGGGTTCACCATGTTGGCCACGCTGGTCTCGAACTCCTGACCTCAGGCAATCCGCCCACCTCGGTCTCCCAAAGTGCTTGGGATTACAGGCGTGAGCCACTGCACCCAGCCTGTCTGGGATATTCTTTAAAATATACCAGGAAAAACAAGATGGGGAGTGGGCGGATTAGTGAGTCAAAGATGAAATAAAAGTGGCAACATGTTGAGGCTAGATGATGAGGTACAAGGGGAATTGTTATACTTTTCTTTTTACTTTAGTATGTGTTTGATAATTTCCATAATAAAAAGTTATACTTAAATAGGTTATTTTTAAAGTATTTTGTCAACTCTTTTTTAAAAATCTCATCTGACTGTAACAATGCATATTTTGTATTGTTGCAGAAAAACGTTTATGATCTGAAGATATGGCCCAAATCACCAACCACGCAATTTGTTTTCTGAGGAAAGGAAAGACCTGGTGCAACTTTATACAAAGAGCCCATCATTCATCCTTGATCAGGGATATTTTCTCCTCCCAGCCACTAATCTGCTCTCTGCTCTTACATTTGTACATTTTTAGAACGATATTAAACATCTGAAGAGTCATTCAGGGAGCTAAAGTTCACTGTGGTTTGAAGTCTTATAACTACAAAATAATGTTGTTCTAACTGATCTTTCACATCAATGCAGACAAAAGCACTTTGGTATATATGTTTAAGGCTTAACCCTATCAAAGTCAGGAGGTTCTGATTAGAGTATATTAGGCTTGACACGCTCAAATGGAATTAAATCAAAGATGGAGTTGCAGTTTCTATGTTTTAAGTATCATAACCTATACTTGTATATAATAATATTATAAAATAATGTTATTTTAATTTTGTTGATTAATAGAAAGAATATTGTCTTATGATTGGAATTTTCCTCCTCTTTGTCAGCATGGAAAACCTTACAATAATAAATACTAGTCTGAGGAAGCTGAATGAGGTTGAAGTCTTCAAATCATTATCATTTTCATCATCATCATTCTGGTCAGCTTCACCATCTTCATCATTTTCATCATCTTTATCACCATCATTTATTATTATTATCTTCATTATCATTTTCGTCATCAGTATCAATATTCTCCTTCATTGTCATCATCTCCTCTATCATATATAGATTTAGTAATTTTCCAGTTAGACACAATGTCATCTGTTGCTCACAACAGCTCCATGAGGTAGAAAAATTGAAGTTGCCTCATATGTGAATTCAACCATGTGAACAGGGCAAAAAAATTTAAAAAGAGCAAGAAATGAATATAGTGACTTAATGGTATATCTAATGCAGTTATGTGCCACTTAATGATGGGGATATATTCTAAGAAATGCATCGTTAGGTGATGGCATTGTGTGGACATTATAGGATGACTTACACAAACCTGGATGGCATAGCCTACTACACACCTTAACTATATGGTATAGCCTATGGCTTTCTAGACTACAGACCTATATAGCATGTCACTATACTCAATACCTTAGGCACTATAACACAATGGTAAGTATTTGTGTATCTAAACATAGGAAAAGTACAGTAAAACTACAATTTTATAATCTTATAGAACTGTCATTACGTATGTGGTCCCACACTCACCAAAGCGTCATTATGTTGCACATGACTATATACTATAAAATTATATTTTGCATATGTACTATTTTATAGAGTGCATATTATAGATACATTATTATACATTTACAAATACTTGCACTGTATAATTGTATACATAAAACCATGAGTACACTATTTTACAGTGACATAAGCATTCTTCAATGATAATATTAACTATCTCTAATTTACACTTTATTAGTTAATTTAAAATCTAACCTCTGGGCCAGGTGGCTTACGCCTGTAATTCCAGCACTCTGGGAGGAGGAGGTGGGTGGATCACTTGAGGCCAGGAGTTCGAGACCAGCCTGGCCAAAATGGTGAAACCCTGTCTCTACTAAAATACAAAAAAAAAAAAGAAAAAAGAAAAAAAAAATTTATCCAGGCATGGTGATATGTGGCCAGCAACTCGGGAGGCTGAGGCACAAGAATTGCTTGAACCCCAGAGGTGGAGGTTGCAATGAGCTGAGATCACGCCACTGCACTTTAGCCTGGGTGACGGAGTGAGACCCTGTCTCAAAACAAACAAACAGAAAAAGATTTTACACATCTTGGTGAAAGAAGGGCACTGTGTATGTTCTTTTTGCCTGATAGTCTTAAATTTAAGCAGGTATTAACCAGAACCTACACACACTTTATAATTCCCCTTTCTCTCCCTTCTTCCCTATGACCCTCCCTTTCTTCTTCCTTCTTTGCTTCCTTCAATTTTTCCTTCTTTCCTTCTCTTCCTTTCTTCCTCTCTTCCTTCTTGCCTTCCCTCCTTCTACCATATAGCTTTTGAATAGCAAGTTAAAAAAAGGAAACAGATACATAAACAAGATAATTCCAGACAATGATCAATGCTCTGAAGGAAATTAGGCAGAATGATCTGATAGAATATGCTTGGGCAGAAAAAGGTTGAAATTATTTTGGACAGTGACTTTACTTCAAACAGGAAAGCGGTGTAAGGAGGTGAGAGTGTGCCCTGTAGTGCAAGAGGCCCTTCCTGTTCCACTCAACCCCCACCAAAGTAATTTCGGGAGAAAAAAGGAATCTTGTATTTGGTTAGTTGCATTATCTATTGTTACATCTTCTTATAAGGCAGGCATGTCATATGACATTGACTGATGGCTGGCATGAAGTCTAAGAACCATATACAGATAGATACCCATGCTCCTTACCCATGCTAAGTAGTTAAACTTCAAGAGATTCATCTTTCCTTCAGGTTAAAGTTGAATGGCTGCACTGGCAGAGGGCTACGGAACTGCTATTCTTGATGTAGTTAGAGAAAATGAATGTGATTCGTTGTAGACAGTATCTTTTAAAGGGTAATATTTTGCCTGAAATATGAAGAGTGAGAAAGAGCTGACTCTGCGAAGAGCTGAGGGAAACACATTCTGGTCAGAGGGAAAAACTACTGCAGAGGCTTGGTGAGGAAGCGCTACTGTGTTAGGAAGACAGAAATCAATGTTTACGTAACATATTCACAGGTTCTGGGGACTGGACATGGACATATTTGGCAGGAGCCATTATTCTGTCTACAATTTTATTCTTCATCAAATGGTCAATTTATGCATTTATTTATGATTTCATTGTCTATATTTAAGGTATACCACATGAAGTTTTGATATGCTTATCTTGATATACATATCCAAAGTGAAGTGATTACTACAGTCAAGCAAACTAACATACCCATCATCTTATATAGTTATCTTTCTGTTTTGTTTGTGTGTGTGTGTGGTAAGAGTACCTAAAATCTACTCTCTTGGAAAATTATCGATATGCAATACAACATAACTAATGATGGTCCTCACATTATATATTAAATCTACAGCTTACCCTATATAAATGCAATTTTGTACTTTTTGATCTCATTCCCACCCCCATTCCCCACACCCGACCCTGATAACCACCATTTTATTCTGTTTCTACATGTTCACTTTAAAAAATAAATAAATAAATAATTATAAATCAATTTTCCTTGTTACTTTTTTTGTGTTTTTCATCAATTTTAATCCTCTGAATGTTATGAGGCAAGAAACAAGTCACTATACAACAAAATCACCTCTTAGATATATGTTAGTAAAGTTAATATGTAAGATGAAAGTTGCTTATAATAAAACTTCAATTTTTTTTTTAGTTACACCTCCTGAGAATTTCTCAAATATCCCAAAGATTTCCGTCCTTTATCAGCTTTTAACAAGTAAGTGCAGAACAGCCAGTTCTACCTCCTGCATTGAAATCAATTACTGTTTCATTATCTGAGCCACAGACAGGCATCTTTAACCAATGTAATGCAGGATTGCTCATACCAAGAGAAAAATAGAGCCTCTCCCTTAATCCTCAAATAAACAGGAGATTCCTGTCTTCCATCTCACATTCTGGGTGTGTGCTCATCTGGTCGTGTATTGGTGGAATGTGTCACATTATTTAAATTATCCCTACTCTTACACTCTGTCTTTTGTTCTGAGCACATATTTGAGATGCATCACCCATGAAAAACCATTATTCCTATTTTAGTTTGGCTGTTTCTACCCTTAGCCTCACCGCAATTACTGTCCTTGGAAGACAGTATACTGGAATTGTTGTCAGGGTAGCTTTGCTCTCAAATAGGTTTGGGATCACTTCACAATTAGTCCATTTATGTATGTGTCTATGAGATATTTAGCTCTTTAAGTCCCACTTTCTTTATCTCTACAATAGGTGTCATAAAACAGTGGAGTCACAGCTTACTCGGAGGTCAGATTTTTTTTTTTTTTTTTGAGACACAGGCTCGCTCTGTCACCCAGGCTGGAGTGTAGTGGCACCATCTCAGCTCACTGCAAACTCTACCTACTGGGTTCAAGTGATTCTCCTGCCTCAGCCTCTCCAGAGTAGCTGTGACTACAGGTGTGCACAATGCCCAGCTAATTTTTGTATTTTTAGTGGAGACCGGGTTTCGCCATGTTGGCCAGGCTGGTCTCAAACTCCTGGCCTCAAGTGATCCAGCCACCTCTGCCTCCCAAAGTGCTGGGATTACAGGCATGAGCCACCAGGCCCAGCCTAAAATCTTTTTTTTTTTTTTTTTTTTTTTTTTGCTTTTAAGTATGGGTCTCTTGCATTATCTTACATACATTTAAAAAATAGCTCTTCCTCCTGGAATCTCTATCCACTATTCCAATCGATTTCCAACTTTTTAAAGCCATAGATTCCTGTCTTCACAAAAAACCTTGTGCAGGAGTCCAATAAATAAAACAGATTCCCTGGAGCTGTTTTGGATGAAGCTTGGGCTGGAGGGCTGGGGAGCAGAGCTGGCCTGGGTCCTGGACATCCAACCCCACAGCAGCCCCTGCCATCCTGAACCCTGAAGCTCCCTGAGCTGCTTCCTGCATTTTGAGGGAACCATTTAGAAAACATCAAAATACTGAAATTTAGAATTTTACTCTCAAAATACAAAGGAGCTTTAATTAAAAATGCTGTATCAGCAGTTTCACATTAAGCTTCCACTTTACTTCAAATGGTTATGTTTGATTATGAGCGCACTCAATTGGGTGGCTATGTTATGCTTTTTTATAATTAGATAACAGAAGGTCTGAACACCAACAATATCCATCTTAGACATTGGTTTTGTGCAATCTTTCTAGACAGCCCTCTGGTACTACTGAAGCAGTGACTTTTTAAAACTTTTATGCAAATTGCATGTAAAATAATCCATGATATACTTTAGCATTAGTTGTTCTCAATTTGAGGAAATGCTGATTTAAAACATAATTTAACAAATTATTCAGTCAAGCATAATAAGGACAAAATTCTTTCTCCCATAAAATTTTCAAAGACATTTGGACAAGGACAGCAATAGTAGTGAAATTTGCTGAAAAACCTCTAACTCACATACTTTTTTTATCCTCCAAATATACTATTATGAAGTATAAATGGCCAAGCATACAGACCGTCCATTAAAAAGAATCTATCTAATGCAATCTTTAACAAACTTTTCAGGAGCTACAATTATGTCCTCAAAGCCCACAGCATGAATTTTTTAAAACAAATTTGATGCCATTATAAAGTCATGGATTGACAGTTCTGGAGACTGAAATCTTCCATTTAACCACTAACCGGGTGTGGCACAGACAGAGGCAATGAAAACCCTGTCCACTTTCCTACCACTTCTCCTCAAACTTACAGTGGAGACACTTTTAGGAAATAATGGAACACTGTGATTTAGGCTTGTGTTTAATCCAGGGCCATTTCACAGGCCATCTTCACTAAGACATAAATTCTTATCCACATGAAAGAAAGCCCATTTATTTCTCTCTCTCAGGACACAGGACAGCTTTCTAACACTGATGCCCTTTTGTTCACCATGCCAGATCAAAACCAAGTGCTCAGAAACTGATATTGTTTGGCTGTGTCCCCACCCAAATCTCATCTTGAATTCCCACGTGTTGTGGGCAGGACCTGGTGGGAGGTAACTAAATCATGGGGGCAGGTCTTTCCTGTGCTGTTCTCGTGACAGTGAGTAAGTCTCATGAAATCCAATCGTTGTAAAAAGGTGAGTTTCCCTTCACAAGCTCTCTTCTCTTGTCTGTGCCTTGTGAGACATGCCTTTCACCCTCTGCCATGATTGCGAGGCCTTCACAGCCATGTGGAACTGTGAGTCCATTAAAAGTCTTTCTTTTGTAAATTGCCCAGTCTCAGGTATGTCTTTATCAGCAGTGTTAAAATGGACAAATACAGAGACCCATGTCAATTCAGTGGCCTCTCACCAAAAAAAAAGAAGACAAAACAGATGAGGACACAATGCATTCACATCCATTGCATCATCTCCTGAGAAAGACAATGCTAGAATGATATTGGAACTTTGGGCCTTCTAACAAAAACACTTGTGTATAATTCCAAAGACTTTAGATGACTAAGTCATGGGAATCACAGTCAAACCTGCCAACAGTGAGAGTTGAACCCTCTACTCGACGGCTTCTTGGTCTTGGCATTTGGGGCTAGATAATTCTTTGCCGCGGGGGCTGTCATGTGCACTATAGGATGTTTAGCAGCATCCCTGGCCTCTACCCACTAGATGCCAGTAACACCCACCCATTGGAACAACCAAAAGTCTGCAGACATTGTCTTATGTCATACGTCCCCTGGGGGCCAAATTGCCCGCAGTTGAATCTCTACTCTCTAACACCCTAGTTCCAGTTCTCTCTCTTAGACCCCAAGATAGCCACAGTTGCACAAATTTCTTTTTCCCTTTATAGCTTTCTCTTCTTCTATCCCAGGCCTAGAAGGATAATTCTAAACACATCATTTTACAGACATGTTATTATATAGATAGCTGGGCTGCACAGAACTTGGCAAAGAGCCATGGACTGTGTGCTGTCTTCTGCCCTTTATCGAGAGTATCTTCCTGTTTTACAGTTGGTTGAATTATGCTCCAGCTCCCAGGCAGAGTGGCTGGCTGGAGAAGATCTGATGAGAACCACATTGTTTGGTTCATGGAATGTGATTTACACCCCCCAGATACTGAATTTTAATTTGTTATATACGTCTATTAAACTCTGCCTTCCTCCTCCCCTTTCTTAGAATGAAAAACAGATTATTTAGTGCACAATCTAAAAATCTGCCGGTTATTAAATTTTCCTTTTCGTTTAGTTTTGAAGCTTTTATGCCTCTGAAACTTATTTACATACTGTATATATTAAATAAAGTGTAATCCATAGTACTCACAGGATTCAAGAAATGATGAAGTACTGTTCCCATGGTCTCAAAGCAGAGTCTATCTGACTCCTCAAAAGAGGAAGAGATTTTTAGCCTTGGTCTACAACTCAAGAACATACTTCCACTGAAGCAGCAACTTACGCCAATATTAGGGAAATACATAAGATGCAACAAGTAGAGATGGTTGTATACACTCTGAGTGCTATGTTGACACCTAATATAATAAAATATAGTCTGGCTGGGCGCGGTGGCTCAAGCCTATAATCCCAGCACTTTGGGAGGCCAAGGCGGGTAGATCACTTGAGGCCAGGAGTTTGAGACCAGTCTGGCCAATATGGTGAAATCCCCTCTCTACTAAAAATACAAAAATTAGCCAGGCAGGAAGCGGAGGTTGCAGTGAGCTGATACCACGCCACTGCACTCCAGCCTGGGCAACAGAGTGAGGCTCTGACTGAAAAATAAATAATAAAATAAAATAAAATAGTCCTATGAGGTGCTAAGAAAAAATACAAGTATGTGTATATTGTTGTATATATTATATATTGTATATTTTATATTCCATTTCACAATATGCTTAAGAAGCCAAATCAAAGACAGAAAAAAAGCCATAATGTTCTATTTTAAGGCATTTATGCTTGTAAGAATTCAGTTCACCTTTCACATTGGTTAAAAATAAGATGCATTCATTTGTGAAATCATTCATAAAAATACATAATTGCTTTAATAAATCCAGTTTCCATATATTCAGTACCTACTATTACAGGAGGCATGTGACCAAAAAAAAATTTTAATTTAATGCTCAAAACAGCTTGGAAGTGTAGGTCTAATTAATTCCACCTTGCAGATGAGAAAAAACGTTCAGAGAGGTTAAGTAATTGTTCCAAGGTTACATGGCAAGCAAGCAGCAGAACTGGAATTTGAATCCAATTGGGATGACTCTATGTTGTTCATCCTGGAGCCACCTCATTATTTTACCTTCTCTGATCAGTTCTCTAAGGCCTGAAGTTGTTTGAAATTAAGTCAGTATTTTGGGGGAAAACCAAAGTAAATTGCAACCTTTGGAGCTTATTCAAATTCTATCTAAGCAGACTCTTCAGTATTTTTATTATTTTTAAACATTTTTTAGAAAGGCCCTACTTTCAGACTCATGGAGATTAACAGTTAAACATCTCTTTGGTTTGCAAAACAGCAAAACATTCCTGGTAATCCTGTCCCTCTTCTGCCTTCTGGTCACTCACTCACCTTTCCATGGCTCTCTCTTGTCCACCATCTGAGTCCAAAATCTATACTATTCCACCCTCATATTTCACTGTCCCACACTCAAATTCCACACCCCAGCCTCTGAGTGACTTGCAGTCCCCTAGCATCTGGGGCCTCTTTTAGTATATACTATGCTTATGCATTCATTGTTGAACATTTTTATCAGGAACCTACACTGTTGTACCTCCAGCTCCCAGGCAGACCGGCTGGCTGGAGGAGATCTGATGAGAACCACATTGTTTGGTTCACAGAATGTGATTTACACACCCCTACTGTTGTAGGTATGGGAAAGGCAATGGCGTATAAGACTAAGTGGCTGCCCTCATGAAACTTCCAGTCTAATATGGAAGAGACAGACAATGAATAAATCATGAACTGAAATATTTAGAATGTTGGGTTGTGATAAAGGCTTTGGTTGAAAAATAAAGCTGGGAAAGGGATTAGTCAGTGCTAAACTGGAGGAAGCTCCCATAAGTTTAAAAACCGTGGCCAGAGAAAGCCACACTGACAAGGTGGCTTTTCAGCAATAACTACAAAGAAGTGAGAAGGTGGCATGGATACCATCACAAGGAGATCCACATGGCTGGCACAGAGTAGGCAATGGAGAAAGTGGTAGACAATTTGGTGAGGATTGGGGGAGGGGCTATGATGTAGGAGCTTCTAATTATTATGACAGCCTCGAGGAAGACATTGACATTTACTTTAAGTGGTAAAATGGGTCTCTATTTTCTGTGCCTTTGTAACTTGAAGGCTCTGTCCTAACATAGTGATTCTGTCCATTTTTGCTGCTATGACAAAATACCTAAAAATGGGTAATAAATAAACAACAGAAATTTATTTCTCACAGTTCTGGAGGCTGGAAAGTCCCAGATCAAGACTCCAGCAGTTTCAGTGTCTGCTGAGGGCCCAGTCTCTGCTTCCAAGATGGCACCTTGCATGCTGCTTCCTCCAGAGGAGACGAACACCATGTCCTCACAGGCAGAAGGGATGCAAGGCAACAAACTCACTCCCACAAGCCCTTTGATAAAGGCCATAATCCCATCTATAAGTAATTCTGCCCTTACGACTTAATCACCTCTTAAAGGCCCTACTTCTTAATATTGTCACATTGGCAAGTAAGTTTCAACATATTAATGTTGCAGGACACTTCAGACCATAGTACATAGGATCTGAGCTATAGTACATGCTCTACGCATTTTTTCTTTTTTTTTTTTCACGGAGTCTCGCTCTGTTGCCAGGCTGGAGTGCAGTGGCGCAATCTCGGCTCACTGGAACCTCCATCTCCTGGGTTCAAGCGATTCTCCTACCTCAGCCTCCCAAGTAGCTGGGACTATAGGCGAGTGCCACCACGCACAGCTAATTTTTTGTATTTTTAGTAGAGACGGGATTTCACCGTGTTAGCCAGGATGGTCTCGATCTCCTGACATCTTGATCTGCCCACCTCAGCCTCCCAAAGTGCTGGGATTACAGGCGTCAGCCACCGCGCCCAGCTGCTCTATGCTTTTTATGCAAAGATTGAAAACTGTGTCTAAAGAGCCAAGAAGCTTCTGGAAATATGGAAGGGGACTGGAGAGGGAGGTCTTGTCTAAATGAGGCGCTAGCAACAGTTGCCAGATGGAATATGGTCCCCAGACCCAAACATCACACAGCTCTGGGTCAGCTGTGGCTTCTGGTCACCCAGCATATGGCCTCTGTTGCCACTCAGTATCTGTCTCTTGAATGAATCAAGAAGATAAAACACTGCAATGTCTCATTTTTAGAAATACTGTGAACAGTAAGAGTGTTCTATGCAGCAGTAAGAACTTCAGTATCAATCTTCATCAAACCTTTCATCTCACTGATGGATTAAAAGTTTGAGTGTATCCTTTCTAATGTATGATCAACCTGTGTTTTTTAAAATGATGCTTCCAAAATTCTGTTTCCCAGAAATTACTGTATCTGCCTAGGGTTAATAAGACACTTCTTGCCACTGTCATTCTTTTCAGCCTTCTTCTACAAGACCTGCTAATTTCACCAAGCAGGAGTAAACCTATGCATTACATCTATTTAATTGTCCCTAGAAAATATTGCTCTCTTTAAATGCAGATGTAAACAAAAACAAAAAAAGAAACTTTGTTTAAAAATGACCCAGAGTTAAGTACAAAAGCGGGGAAGATTTTCTGTTGGCTTTAACGGGGGAAATGCTGAATATGCAGTGAATTTTTTTATATTAATAATAATAGGAAACGGTAGATAGTGGCACCTCAGCACAATTCTAATTTAATGAGAAACAATAAAATAGTTTTCCAAAGGGACCTATTTAGGTCCAAGAAAGGGGAATGTTAAAGTTTCAAGATTTATTCTACTTTCGTTAAGGTATGCTGGTACACATTTTCTGAGGCTATATTCTACCCACTGATTAGATCTCTCTCTTTATAATTTTCTTACTTGTAAGGGAATTAGACTGGTATTTTCCAGGCTAAATAACTTTTAGACAAAATATTTAAACTGAATCAATTCATTCCCAGCACGAGGAAGGCTGATCAAAATCCTGTATCATTTAGACAGCCAGATGAGGCAAATTTTTAATATATTTAGATATCATTAAGTGCAAAACCATGGGAATCAACTATTAAGAAGTGCTTGTTAAGAAAAGAAGTGGATATACATAAAACTTCTGACAAAGTGCCATCTTTGATTTAAGCCTCCTTTTCTGGTGTTTTTCAAATTATGTGGACTACTTAACCAATATATATTATTCACTGCAATGTTCAAACAGTCTCCTATGTGAGGTGAGACTATGACGGTGAGGATGGCAATGATGATGTTGACGACAATGAAATAAATGATGGTGGTAGCTGACCCTAATTGAGCCCTATCTACATGCTAGACACTGTACTAAGACCATTATATTCCTTGCTTGACTTCCTCTTAACATTCATTATGTGCTAATCTGTGTTAAATGTGTAAAGTGGCTTCCCAACATTTTGCAAGTTACCTTACACTCTCATTTCACAGATGAAGAAACTAATGCTATGAGGTTGAGCAACCAGGAGTCACCTAACTGGACGGTCCCTAGGGAGAGGTGCTCGCAAGACTGGCAGAAATTGGGCGGGCTCTACTCCTAAGGAATACTGAAGTCTCTGTCACAGGTACAGCTCTTATAACCCCACAACATCACTAGAGAAGTTAAGATTCTTGAAAGGCGAAAAAATATAAAATACATTTATTAAGCATTTACTCTCTGATAGGCATTATGCTAAATCTTTTATTCTTATTATCCTTTCTAGTCCTCATCATAAATGCATAAGGAGACAGCATTGATCCCCATGCTTTACAGATGGGGGAAACAGAGGCATGAGAGTTATTTGTCCATGAGCATATGCCTATAAATGGTGGGGGCTGGGCTTGACCTGGGAAGTTGAAACTCAGAGCTCATGTTCTGGCAAAGTGCTATGTTTGATTTAAGCCTCCTTTTCTGGTGTTTTTACGTAATAGCCACTATTATGTTCTGGCTGTTTATGAACAAACTGAGCCTGAACTAAGCCCTTTGCCCAAGCTTAGAGTTGAAAGAACAGGACTGAGCTCTTCAAAGGACCACGTGGGCCAGGGCAACAGGCTGCAAAGAGAGTGACTATAGCCCAAAAGACTGGCAGACACTCAGAAAAGCCTACACCTTTTTTGCTCTCCTAGAGAGAGCGAGGAATCTATTTTTAAAAAAAATAAGAGTGAGATTTCCCACCAAATCCAAGAAATGGCCTTGGGAGAGATTAGATTTGATTTCGAAGGAAAAAGGAATGAGAGATAGTGAGTGAAGTCATGTTGCAAACCCATGCTGTTTACACTCAGATGCCTGGGACAGTCCCTGCCTTCCAGGAACAGAAATTCTAATGTGGATGCTGAGAGATGGGAAAACACAGAGTGCCATGAGAGGTGGGCCCCGACAGCAGCCAGCATTCCACAGCGGAACAAAATGCAATGCCCAGTCCCTCGTTGGGCTGAAGTCGAGGCCTCCTCTAGCTCTCCCCAGCGTGAAAGGTCTGCTCTTCAGCCAGTAAGGAGCCACTGAGGTTTCTGGGTCAAGGCATAACAGGGACCAAGCTGTCCTTTAAAGAGTTCAATTTAAAGCTGTTCATGAGACAGCATAGAATAGGAGATACTGAAAGTGCAGAGGCCCCTTAGGAAGGTAGCATGAAAACCTTAGAGATACTGAACATAAATAGTGGCAGCAGGAAAAGAGTCAAAACCAAAAACCAAGTTGAGAAGACATAGGATGAAAGTTTCCAAAGCTGCGCATTTCCTGCGAACGCTTTTAGGATTGGGGGTAGAAGCTATGGAGCGTTTGCAGAAACTGGCGTGGATGTGGGCTCCACTAATAATTAAGCCATGGGCTTTAGTGGGGCAACTGCTCAACCTCACTGAACATCAGTTTCTGTATCTGTAAAATAAAAGGTACAATATTCTCACTTCACAGTCTGTTGCAATGTTTAAGTATATAAAGCACTGAGCATACTGCACAAATATGTAGTAAAATGCAACAAATGCTACCTCCTAATACCATCAAACTTTTGTTTCTGTCAATACAAATAATAATAATATTCCTACATTACTATTTTAAAGGATCCCTACTTACTAGTTGATGATGGTAGGAGGGGAGAGAAAGAAATCAACAATAGCAACAAGGAAAACCCCATAACGAATCTTTCTTTCATACCCTTGCACTTGAAATGCCCTATATGAAGGTGTCACGTGGTGGTCTGCTTTGGTGGCTGAATGGAAGTCCCTGATCAGACAAAATGAATAAATGAACAAATGCACTACAACTGAAGACTGAAACACAGCTTATAATCTGGCCAACTCTCATCCCTGGGGGATAAGCATCCACCTGATCTCTCTGTAACCTGAACTATGTTTCAAAAGCTGGAGATAGTGATTTCTTTTACCCACATCTTCAGCAACATGTTAAGAGTCCACTGCAAGCCCTACACTGTGATGTCTTCGCTCTGTGATTCCCGATGATATTGATACATCACCCACCTTCCCAAGACTGATCTCCAAGTTAGTCCAGTGCAGAAACAACAACGAACATCCTGGCTTATGGTGTTCCAGGCATCATGCTAATCAGTTCATATACAGCTTTGAGAGAATGAAATTCAAACTCAAAACCTAGACCATAACATCAGCAAAGTCAGCTATTTCTGCTTCTCTGTCTTCTGCTACAGAACAACCCTATGCTGACTTCCTTCCATGAAAATGTAGAAACAGCCTCCTGCTAAATAGGTATAGTATACTGCTCACCTGCTTAAACCTCTTACAATTTCCCATTCCATTTACAATGGAATCTAAATTTTTTAAAATGGCCTTCCAGGACCTATATGAGTTACCCCAACTTATCTCTTTATTTTCTTATACATCAACACCTTCTTTTCCCCTGGAGAACAAAACTTGTTTTACTTCAGGACCTTTGTATTTGTAACATATCCCTTCTGCCTGGAAAGCTCTTCCCCTGAATCTTCCATCTCATACTAACTTTTTTTTTTTTTTGAGATAGAGTCTCAATCTGTTGCCCAGGCTGGAATGCAGTGGCGCGATCTCGGCTCACTATAAGCTCCACCTCCTGGGTTCACGCCGTTCTCCTGCCTCAGCCTCCCAAGTAGCTGGGACTACAGGTGCCTGCCACCAGGCCCAGCTAATTTTTTTTGTATTTTTAGTAGAGACAGGGCTTCACCGTGTTAGCCAGGATGGTCTCAATCTCCTGACCTCGTGATCTGCCCGCCTCGGCCTCCCAAAGTGCTGGGATTACAGGTGTGAGCCACCACGCCCGGTCATCTCATGACTAACTTCTTATTCATATCTCAGCTCATAGGTCGATTTTGTCAGAGTCCTTAACCTGACAGTCCTTTCTGAAAGTAATGTAACACCTCCCAGAGGTGTGCAGGAGCTGGCTTATACTGTGTGCATCTCTTCCCAACTCGTAGTCACGCTGGTCGCTTGAAATCAGCCATGGTGGGAGTATTTACGCCAAAGAAATTGGTAAACACAAAAAAAACCAAGGCTTTTTTCCCCCAGAGAACCAGGTATTGAACATTTACCAACACACCACCACCCACTTCTACTCCCCACCTTTCACTGTCTTAACATTCGGCTTTTTTCACTTTTTTAGCACCTATCATTCTGAAATCATCTTTTCTATATGTTGTTTACTTTTTTATTAACTCTGTCTTCCTGTTGGGATGTAATTTACAGATAGCAAAGACATCCAAACTGTTCATTGCTATATTCCTAACACTCAGAAGCATGTGTATAAGAACTTTAAACATTCTTACTGTAAGAAGGAATTAATTCAATTCGCTTTCCCTATATTATTTGCCCCACTCTATTTAAGATTCTGAATTTCCTAATGGAGGTCTTTCATGGTTAAGATATTTTCAGCCTAGAATTTTCTAGTAGTTATAGCTTCAAGCACTATCAACACGGACAGTGTATGTACGCCTTACCAGTCACCAATTAAGAATTGGAATGATGATTTAAAACATCATTTACTAGTTTTCCTACTCCATAATATCTGTTTGAAAATTGTGAAGAGCTCACCCTTGTCTCTTTTCATTCCAGAGTTCTATGTAGAAAAATGTCTCCCTTCTGAAGGGCACTTACTATAAAATCCCTTTGTTAGAATAACAGGACCATCTGGCCCCATCCATCTTGCTGCAATTTGATCCTGGGTTAATTGCACCCTGTCACTGGCCATGATTGACACTGTCTATGTTTTCTCTCTTCACTAAGACTAGTTCATTATGGAGGCAGCTTTTAGAAGACTCAGATTCTTGAAGACTTTTCTGCAGCTGCTCGGATGGAACCAGAGACTTTTGTTAGGCTTTTCCTGGTGGCCCACGGGATCAGGATACCACCGAAAGTAAGACATGAGAGGGGAAGTTGGCCACAACAGGAAAGAAGAGATCAATCCTTTGAAAGGTTGAAAGGCTGACAAGCAGAGGAGAAGAGCAATTAAACAATCACTCTGATTGATTACCCAAGCATGCTGGATGATATTGATTAGAAGCACCTCTTAACAAAAGTATGGCATGCCTGTGTCTGTAGATATGGGGTCCCAAACACAAGTGCCTATAGGAACTAAACAGATAAAATATATAGGGAGGCAAATAGAGTACAAAATAATACAGATAGGGAATGATGTGGCAAATTGAAGACCCCATGCTGCCCTTTAAAAGGGGCAACACACATCAAGCTACACCCAATATTTGCCAAGAAGGAATCTGGAACCAGCAATGTCAGATTCTAATGGATGTTGTTGGTTGCCTCCCAAAATCCAGTCAGTGTAACCCCCTTCTTTTGTCAATGTAACCCCCTTCTCCTACATAAGTTGGAAAGTTGGTCCTACTTTTATTCTATTCTCTACATTGCCAATTAGAAGAAATCTACTCCGCTCGTCAGTGTTCAGTATAAGAATGGGCGTGTAACCCATTTTGCCATTGAGACATGAAGGAAGTCCACCTGGATGTCAGGACTTCCAAAGGAAAAAACAGGAAAACATCATTTTTCTTCCCTGGACAACACTGTGTCTTCTTGAGATACTGAAAACTGCTGCCACCATCTTGCTAAGAGACAAACACGGATGAGGACAGAGTCCAGGGCACCTGAAGAAGGGGCAGCAGATCCCTGTGACACCACACCTGGAACCAACCTCTGGCCTTCGTGTTACAGAAGAACATCATTTTTCTTATCATTTAAGATGGTCTGAATAAGGTTTTACTTGTTACTTGCCAACAAAAGTACCCCAAGCAATATACCAACCTCCTAACTTGCCAAGTGAAGTGGGAATTCCATTTTTAAAATTGTGGTCACTAATTTTTAATATTATAGAGAAAAGTCCCCTCTACAGAAAAGGTGGACTTACTAAAACAAACAAACGGCCAGGCACGGTGGCTTGCACCTGTAATCCCAGCACTTTGGGAGGCCAAGGGTGGCAGATCAGGAGTTCGAGACCAGCCTGGCCAACATGGTAAAACCCCATCTCTACTAAAAATACAAAATTAGCTGGGTGTGGTGGTGCATGCCTGTAATCCCAGCTACTCAGGAGGCTGAGGCAGGAGAATCGCTTGAACCAGGTAGGTGGAGGATGCAGTGAGCCAAGATCATGCCACTGCACTCCAGTCTGGGTGACAAGAGCAAAACTCTGTCTCAAACAAACAAACAAACACACTTCAGTGGGGTGGGGGCAGAGGGAACTTTTTTTTTTTTAACTCATGGTCCAGCTTGTCACCTTAACTCCCAGTTTGCAGTGGAATCTATCCCAAATTGTATATCTCAGACAGGTTTTAAGTTCCTGGAACTTGAAACCTCACTTGAAACATGTTGCCTCACCATTAATCAAGAGGACACTTCTCCCTGCCTGCCTTTCAAAGCTTCACTTTCTGCATAATTTAGGTTTGCGTATCAATATCCAAATGCACCAAGGTGTGGCGCTCAGCGAGAGAGATGTGGGGCTGTTGGAGAGAAGACCTTCAAGAATCGAGGAGGTTTGTTAATTCAGTTTTTTTGCAAGAAAAAGGTCATGAAAATGAGAAAATACTTACCTTATTAAAGTCCAGCAAAGCCAATAAACTTGAATTACTATGTATATTAACATGGTTATTTCTGCAAATATGATCCATTCCTGTCTTCTCAGCTTTGCTCATGACTTGACCCCTCTCACAAAATATCCTCTCTTGTCCTCTCTGCCCATCCATACTTTACCTAGATTTTACTTAAGGCCTAATTCAAAGCCTGCGTCTTCCAAGAAGCTGCTTCTGACTGGGAATTCTCAAACTGTTTCTTTATGTGTGGTTGACACATCAACTGTGCAGAGCCTTCTGGAGCCATCTGTCTGTTGAATAGTAGTCTTCTGACTTCAGGATCAGAGCCCGAGCAAGGGAATCTTCAACTGATAATTGATATGCTCCAGGGAACCTTCTGCACATTACAGTTGGGAGACATTGTTCCAATGTCTCACAATTTTATCATTATAATGGAGTTTTGAATCATTACCTGGGTTTATTTTTAAATCATTCTTTCCAAGAAGGTCATATCATCTCGACTAAATTATGAGCTCCTG
Source organism: Homo sapiens (assembly GCF_000001405.40). Classification (NCBI taxonomy): domain Eukaryota; kingdom Metazoa; phylum Chordata; class Mammalia; order Primates; family Hominidae; genus Homo; species Homo sapiens. The sequence continues at coordinate 52,470,999 of NC_000020.11, read as the reverse complement.
GAAAGGAAGGACCTTATTTGCTACTTTCATGTTCTTATTTCTCCTCTCTAGGCTGTAGTTTCCTCATCAGCAAAATGCAGATGTATAGTTCCTGCTTAAGGGGTTGTTTTAATGAGGCAATGAGACAATTAAAATATATTTAACCCTAACTATGTACCAAGACACAGTTCCAAGGCTTAGACACATTTTTCACTTAATCTTCAAAACAACTCAGTGGAAAAAGTGAGATCATCTCCTTCTTGCTAAAGAAGAGGCTGATCTCCCTTGAACTCCTTGGCTCTAGTGATCCTCTGGCCTGCTTTAGCCTCCTGAGTGGCTGGGACTGCAGGCACTCACCACCACACCCAGTGGCTAATTTTTTATTTTTATAGACAGGGTCTTGCTATGTTGCCCAAGCTGGTCTTGAACTCCTAACCTCAAGCAATATTTCTGTTTCAGCCTCCCAAAGTGCTGGGATTATGAGCATAAGCCATGGTGCCAGGCTCCCCAGGGAAGTTAGGAAGTCTGGAGACGTTCACACAGCTGGTAAGGGTAGAATAGACTTTGAAGCCACATTCTTCTAAGTCCATGTTTTACTCCTATCCAGATATCTATGCAATTATAAATTACTGGTGATCAATACACATCCCTGGACATAGTTGCCAAAAACCCAAAATACACTAGTGCCCAGAAGAAAGGCAGGTTAAAATGTCCTGCCCTAGACCTTGGAGCTGGAGAAAAATCACTCCACTTTTCTTAAAACAAGAATTATCAATTACGTGTTGGAATCAGATCTTATCCTGAGAGTACAGACCTGAGGCCCCCACCTCAAAGGACACTGGGCCCTCAGAGAAGAAAATCGAGGAGAGCAGCAGCTGTCGGAAGCCCCATCAGAAGGGAAGCAACCGCGAGCCTCGTAGCAACGGGCTGGGCTGTAGAAGCAGTTGACACATGCACTCACCCATGGCTGCGTTCTCCGCCTGTGCTGCCTGTAACAATCATCTGGGAAGGTATCTTTAAACGAAATCCCTGAGCCTCAGCCCCAGAGATTTGGATTTCATGATTCTGGGGCCTTCTGAGAATAGGAAAGATTCAAAGCTGCCCAGGTGATTCTGACATGCACCCAGCCTGAGAAACATCAGACCACAGGCAGCCCTGACCTCTTCGTAGCCTGCCCTGCAGACCTTCAGCCTGTTCCTTTTTTCATCACGAACAGGCCTCTAGGTTGGTGCCTGGCATATAGTAGGCATTGCAGAAATATTATTGAAAAAGATGATAAGTGAATGCTGAAACATGCTCAAGTGACTCATTTAGTCTATTTCCTATCCCCTCGCTACCACTTCACTTGCTCGTTATCGTCAATGGTTTCCTTGTCTCACTCTAGAACATCCAAACAGTCAGGAAAACTGCAACTCCATTATCTAACCTGGTCCAAAACAGTGTCAACTTATAAAACCATTAATAGAGTCTAGGGTTCTCTAACTTAACCCCCAGGAGACAGTTCTCCATGGATCTCTCACGTTTCTTTATGTCCTGTGAGCAGAGGCCCTGACAGCTTTTGTTGCGGGGTTGGAAGATAGAGAGAGTGTTTCTCTCTAGAGCAGAGGGCAGATTTGTTTCCTGGTCAACAAAAGAAAGATAATGTCTCCCTCTAGGGCAAAGGTGGGACAGGCTCGCTTGAAGCCCTGTATTAAAGATTGGGTTACTTAATTTCAGGATTCCTCTGCTATGACACAAACCAACGGTGTGCGGCATCTACCTCAGCCATTCCTCTTGGCCCCAAGGGGCCAATGCAAACACGAGGAGGCTCCCGCTGCAAGCCGTGATGTGTGGAATGAAGTCCTTTGTCTCTAACCCAGAAGTCTCACATCTTCTGCCAGCGTTTAAAGAACCATGACAGGTAACTTGATAGCCTGCAAGTAGGGTAAAAATATTAGATCCTTCCCAGTTCTTGGCAAGCTCCTATACCACTCCCCAAACTGAATCCCCATGCCTTTCCTTATTTTTGTGGAATAGAGCCTTATCACTAAGCACACTGGTTGAAGCTGCCAGTTCACAGGTTGTTCTTCCTCAAGATACTAAAAGTTACTCAAGAATAGGGACCGGCCAGGCACAGTGGCTCATGCCTGTAATCCCAGCACTTTGGGAGGCCAAGGCAGGGGGGTTCAACTGAGGTCAGGAGTTTGAGACCAGCCTGGGCAACATGGTAAAACCCCATTTCTACTAAAAATACAAAAATTAATCGGGCATCATGGCACACCTGTAATCCCAGCTACTTGGGAGGCTGAGGCAGGAGAATCACTTGAACCCGGGAAGCGGAGGTTGCAGTGAGCCGAGACTGTGCCACTGCAATCCAGCCTGGGTGACAGAGTGAGACTCTGTCTCAAAAAAAAAAAGGGACTAAGTGATATTTATTAATAGATCCGATGCTAGTAAAAACAAAGCCCTTAGTGCCCAATCTGCACATCCTCTCCTCCCATCCCTCTCCGGCTCACCTTGTCTCTGTTGCTCTACTCTGCAGCCACACTGGCCTCCCAGCCTCAGGGCTTTGCCCTTCCTGTTCCCTCAGTACGACGAATGCTCTTCCATCCAATTTTCCCATGACTCCTTCCTGTGTTTCATCTGAGTCTCTGCTTCTGTGATATTGTGATCTATAATAATACATATGTACGTGTGTGTGTATATATATATATATGTATTTAGTCTTTGTCCAGTTTTATGACACAGAGCTCCTAAAACTCTTGGAATCTCCAGAATGAAAAGAGTGTCTTTTGTATGCTAATGAGAAGACTGGGGGCTGGTGGCCCCTAGACAGCCTCAGGGTGGGGGCTGGTCAACAGAAAGACCAAGGCAGGCTTACAGGGTTGGCACTTTCAGCCCCACCTCTCAGCCTCCAAGGAGAGGAGAGGAGCTGAAGGTTGAGTTGATCACCAATGGCCAATGATGTAATCAGTCATGCCTATGTAAGGAAGCCTCCTTACAAACACTGAAGACACATGCACAGGTATGTTTATCGCAGCACTATTTACAAAGCAAAGACTTGGAACCAACCCAAATGCCCATCAGTGATTGACTGGATAAACAAAATGTGGGACATATACACCATGGAGTACTATGCAGCCAAACAAAAGAATGAGATCATGTCCTTTGCAGAGACATGGATGAAGCTGGATGCCATCATTCTCAGCAAACTAACACAGGAACAGAAAATTAAACTGTTCTCACTCGTTAAGTGGGAGTTGAACAATGAGAACACATGGCCACAGGGAGGGGACACACTGGGGCCTCTCGGGGGATGGGGGCAAGGGGAGGCAGAGCATTAGGACAAATACCTAATGCATGCAGGGCTTAAAACCTAGATGACAGGCTGGTAAGTGCAGCAAACCACCATGGCACACGTATACCTATGTAACAAACCTACACATTCTGCACATGTATCCTGGAACTTAAAGTAAAATTAAAACAAACAAACAAACAAAAAAAGAACAGGACGGGGTTCAGATTGCTGCCAGACAGCTGAACCTTTACCTGGAGCACCTAGAGAGGGCACGGAAGCTCAGCATTCCTTCCCACATGGTTTGCCCTGTGCATCTCTTCATTGCCCATCTGCACTCGTTGTAATATCCTTTATACTAAATGGCCACATGTAAGTACGTAAGTAAAGTGTTTCCCAGAGTTTGTGAGTTGCTTTAGCAAATTAATCAAACCTGAAAAGAGAGTCATGGTAACCCCTGATTTATAGCTGATTGGTCAGAAGTATAGGTGACAACTTACTACTTGTGATTGGCATCTGAAGGGGGAGGGTCAGTCTTGTGGAACTGAGCCCTCAACCCGTGGGGTCTGATGCTATTTCCAGGTAGATAGTGTCAGAATTGAACTAAATTATAGGATTCCCAACTGAAGAATTGCCTGTTGTATAGAGGAAAAAACCCACACATCTGACGTTGAAGGGGCTGTGTTAAGTGGTATGTGACACTAAGAAAACACTTTGGTTCTTTCCAGTGTCTTACAGCTTCCCACCATAATTTAAACTCCACAAGGGGCTTCATCTGTTTTGTTCACTCTTGTATCCTCAATGCTAAGCACCATTCTAAGAACAGTGCCTAACACAAAATGGGCGCTCAATAAATATGTATTGAATTGGCAAATAAATTAAAGAATAAAAGCACCTAGCCCTGTGCCTTGCAAAAGTAGCTGCCATGAATGTAACCATGGTAAATATATAAATTTTAGCCAGCAACATCCAGTCCATAAAATGCCACATTTCTTTATTTCTTGAGATTAAGTTTAATCAGCTCTGGGCCCCTTCTGCTGGACCAGTAGGAAACTCAATCTCAGTCTTGGAGGGGACTCTCTAACCCTCTCTAGCATCATGCATAAACCCCAGGAGGTGAATGCAGCTTAGAATATTCAGAAAAAGGATCTTTGGTTTTCAGACGATAACCATCACTGCTGATAAATGCTGTGTCCCCCAAAACATACACACCACTGCTACAGAATACTGTCAGTGGAGTCCCACACAGACATCCCCTCTAAAGTTCAGCCACTTCCTGGGGCACTAGCAAAGAGGGATCAGACCCATTTTATCAGCAAAAAAAAATGCAAAAGCCAATTTTCTTTGCCAGCTATAAGGTCGCTCTCCATCCTCCCTCTATTCTGTCTGCTCCCACCTCCACCTCCCAAAAATGCTCCTCTCCATCCCTCCAGCACAATACCCTTCAAACGACTTTAGATTTTCCAAATTTTAAGCTTGGAAAATCTTGCCTTTGGCCCTACAACACACAAGCTGCTGTAAAATGCTAAATGAGGCATTTAAACAGACTTGTTGAAATTCAACCAGGCAAATTCAAAGTCTCGGTTTCCTTCTTTGCATGGCAGGGGAAATACATCAGGGAGAACAAAATACACAGTGATACCCAATAAATTACCTGCCACTTTAGAATTAGTCTTTGTGTGTGTGTGTGTCTCAGCATTCCACACAGCGCCTGGTCCGTAGGTGTGAATAAATGTTGATAGAATTCGTGACACTCGTGTCCATGAAACAATGGACACATTAGAGACCATTTAGTAAATTTGTTTTAGGTGAATTTATTCACAATTCATGCAAATAAATTGAATTTACCTAAAACAAATTTACCAAATGGTCTTTAAAGTGGACATCTCCCTAGAGATGGTTTGCACTTCTAGGTCCTCTCTCCACCCTTCTTCACTGTTGCAGGGCTCCATGAGGATGACTTCTGCCTTCTGGTGGGGTTTGCTGCCTGGGATACACTAGCAGAGTATCTCAGGGAGGGAGGAGAGGAACATCAAGGTATGAATTCTCTCCACTCTTGGTCAGTTGTAATGGTGTCACCAACTACTGACTGTGTTCCTTGTTTCAAGGAGTGTTTGTGATGGACTGAATGTTTGTGTCTTCTCAAATTTATTTGTTGAAATTCTTACCCCCAATGTGATAATGTTAGGAGGGTGGGGCCTTGGAGAGGGGATTAGGTCATGAGGGTGGAGCCCTCATCAATGAGATTAGTGCCCTCGTGAGAAGAGGCCAGAGGATGCAGACACAGGAGGTCAGTAGTCTGCAACCTGGAAGAGGGCCCTCACCAGAATCTGGCAATGCTGGAACTTTGTTCTTAGACTTCCAGCCCCCAGAACTGGGAAGAATGAATTTCTGTTGTTCAGAAGAAACCCAGGCCATGGCGCTTTGTTATAGCAGCCCAAGACAACTTTCATTCAGGGAAGCAGGACCACTAATGTGGGTGAGTGTGTGTGAACGCATACCTATAGGTATGGCTTTGTGCAGGGATTTGACCAAAAGCACTCATGGGCGGAGGTGACATTAGGCAGTGTCCCATGCTCCAGGCTCATGGGGCAGACGGTCAGGGAGGGAAGCTGGATGTAAAGTCAGGGAAAGCAGAGACAAGCTGGTGCCTACAAGGAGGAGCTGCAGCCCACGGGATGGATGGAAACCCGTGTCAACTCTTGTTGCCTCTGACCATGTCCATGAGGGTGGCCTGCAGTGACCGGACCCTTCATCACTGACATGAACATACACCCAGTCTAAGAGTCAGGAAAGCTGAAAGGAGACGCCAGGGGAAGAGGAAACAGCAACAGAGCAGGCCGAGGAGGGGAATCAGCAGATAGGGACCATGTGTGAGCCACAAAAGGGCTGCAGCTTCACGCCCATTCCTCCAAATCCCACACAAGAGTTTCTCTGTACCCTTCCCCAGCCACACCACTGAGAAGAGGATTCCAGGAAGTATGGTTCAGCCTGACCACATGGACACCTGCAAAGCCAGCACCTCCCTCAAGGAAAGCTCCCAGCTCCCAGCTCCTAGCTCCCAGCCCTGCCAGAGCACTTCCTCTCCTCCCAGTCAGCTCACAGGCTTGCAGGACCTCCCTCAGTCAGTCAGCTCCTCTCCCTTTCCTCCTTCTAGTCAAGGAATGAATGCCAGCGTCCTCTTGTCACCAGCCCCAGAGCACTGCATGGTCCCTGGTGGTCTCCCAGCACACTGCCCACACCGTTTTTGTATACCCTCCTCAAATTACCCAGGTGGGCTGCGCCATCTATTTCCGGCTGGGATCCTGATGAAGGGTACACCTACCCTTGGTGCATAGGAACAAACAGAATGTGAATTGGTGAGTTTATTTATGGCTTTTCCCTGCTGGAAATATATTTGTTTAAAACTATTAACTGAACAACTATAATTTGAGCACCTATCTGTGCCAAATAAACATGCTAGGGATGCAGAGGTGAACAAAAGGCACAAACTCTCTACTCTAGTGGATCTTGCAGTCTAGAAGAGATTGATAATAAACATATCTGCTTCCTTCAGCAAAATGTTATAGACACATAAACTTGTGATAGTCATTAAATTTCTAGAATCTTCTGAGGAAGCATTAATGGTGACTTATAAAATATAGTTATTATAATCCTGCATCTCCAAAGATATAGTTTATGTTGTCTCTCTTTTAAGAATATACCCCTGAATAAAAGAAAAAGGATCTTATAATGAACACATGCCAAGTGACTGGTAGTGTACTAGGCTTTCTATAGATAATAAGATATCTCATTTAATTCTCACACAATGCCACAAGATTAGTGAATAGAAAATATTATCACCACTAAGTAAATGGGGAAACTGAGGCTGGGAGAGGTAATATGACCAGCCTAAGGTCACACAACTGATAAGGGAAGAAGGTAGGATTTTTATTTTGGGTTTTGGCTCCATATGTGTAAAGAATTGTGCTAAATGTTTTATTTAAAAAAAATTACAACAAGCCTAATAAAGTAGGCTTTATGACTGTTCCTCCTCTTAAACAAGAAGTAATTTCAGTGTAGAGAAGACACAAAAATATTAAACAGAGGAGTCAGGAACCGAACCCAACTCAGCCTGATCCTTCTTCCTACACCGCAGGCAGAACCCATAAAACACAATTGGCAAGGCATTTGTTAAGGCTGCGTTTCAATCCTGAATATCTTTCTCCATAAATACAGAGAGAGATCTACATATCTATAGAGATATAGCCCCACATATTCATTATATTCTATTCAACACATAATACAGATATTCCATCTAATGCTTCAAGCTGTTCTACTCCTAGCATTGAATTATTTGCCTCTCCCATCCTCCAATAACCAAGTTTGGGGAGAAAAGCTAGCTGCCACATAAGTCTTGATGAGAATAAAGTCTCTTTATTACTATTATTATTCCCCTAATGGTCTGTGCAGTATCGTACGTAACTTTTTAGTCCTTCATAAAATCCCGTTGATAAACATTTGACAACTTGTTACAATTTTAAAACTTTCATTGCCAGATCTGTGCCGGCACCACTGGAATCTAACAATGTGATATGAAGGCAGTCACGGTAGCTTTCTGTGATGCTATAAAGAATTTTGCAGCCTCTCTCAGCACCTAATTTATGACATGTGCACTGATGAACGATCAAGATTCACTATTTGCCATTATAAGAAACAGGGCTACCAATTCATAATTTTCAGGAAAGCTGGTTTTAACAGCCCTATTAGTTTTACAATTCCGACTTTTGTAAGCTTCGATTTGTTATGTTTAAGTTATTTGCTCTGAGGAATTTGAGTGCTCTTACTGGGGTCTTAAGGTCTATTTTTCCAAACAGAGTTTGCAGAGAAAGACGATGGCAGTGCTGGAAGTTCAATTAAGATAAACTATGAAAGGCAAAGGAAAAAGCTGTGGATGTCCAGTCCAGTCGAAAATACACAGAGTCTTTTCACCCCTTTCTGTTTTATTAAAATACATATATAATAAAGCAGATGATTTGTATTATCGTCTATAGGCTACACTACAGTTTTCAGACTTTTACTAAACCAGATCCTAGTGATCCCTTTGTCTATTGAGGGATGGTTGAAATGTCAAAATGAGTAAGACATCTATAGCGAAAAGGCACATTTAGTTCTGTGCCATATCTTTCCAAATGCACAGGCTTAAACATAGATTATGATACATGCCTGAAAGTTATTAATATATACATAGTCTTTTCATATTCATTCATTCATGAAACAAATAACTTTTAAGCACAACCACAACCTTCAGACCGAATTCAAGCTCTCAGCCCTTTTTTGTACGGCTCATAAGTTAAGAAGGGTTTTTACATTTTTTAAACCAAAAGAACAATATCCCCTGACATGTGAAAATTATATGAAATTCAAATTTATGGTGTTCATAAATAAAGTTTTATTGGAATTCGGCTGTGCGCGTTTGTTTATGTATTGTCCGTGGCTGTTTCACGCAACAGTGTCAGAGCTCAGTAGGGTGGACAGAACCGTATGGCCCATAAAGACTACAATATTTACCATCTGGTCCTGATCTATTATATGCCAGGTACTGGAGATGGAAGAAATAAGAAAACAATGGAAAACAAAACAGAACAAGCTCTGGCCTCATTCAGGGCAGCAGTAAATATATCAAATGATTATAAGTACTGTGGAGAAAAGTAACTCAGGGGGAGAGGGAGGGACTACTATTTCATAGTGAGTGGCTGCGAAGTCCTGCTCAATACATGTGCAGAGCACTCATGGAAGTGGGAGAAGAAGCCCTGTGGGTAGCTGGGAGTACGGCAAACGAGGAAGAAAGCAAGTGCGAAGGCCCTGGGGAGACAAGTGTGGCTAAGCAGGAGGGAGAAGGAGATGGAGGGAGACGACGTTGGCAGGGTCATTGGTAGCCAAAGCACATGGACTGTGGGAGGTTTGAGCATTCGCTCCGGGGGACATGGAAGCCATCCAAGAGTTTGAGAAGTGAAAGGATGTGAACTGCAAACAGACTGTGTCAGAGCAAAAAGGCTGAAAGCAGGAGACTGTTAAGATGCCACTGCAATAATTCAAGTGTCTTGAACAAGGCTGGTAGCAGTGAAGGATGCATGAGTGTGGTCTACAGAAAAGGAAAAAGAAAGCTATCAAAATAGGTACTATTTATGACCGAGAAGAATGACAATTGCCTCAGTAACCATCTCACTTGTTTCACTAAGTAAAATATATACTTTTTGTTTCATGAAGTAGCACTGTCCAAATGCAGGGAGGCTAATGTGGTAATAGCATCAAAATTTAAAAAAGCATCCAATTCTTCTTCTGGGAATTTACCCTAAGGTTACCACTAAAGATGCATGCAATATTATTCACCCCACTATGTAGAACATCGAAAACTTGGAAACAGCCTCAATGTCCATCCACAGGGGATGGAGTCAGAGCATACTATGTGCCCATCAATGAGAAGACAGGAAGGAGAAAATGGAAGGATCTAGATTCTGGAAGTTTCTCTGAAGTAGAAGACCAGGTGAAATGAGCATAAGAGAAGGAGGGTTCTGGAAGGATCAGAGGTTGCTTATAAAAGATGCCTCTGAGCTTCCAAAAATGGGGTTGTCTTGATGTTGAATAGGTCCAGAGCCAGTTCTTAGGAATTACATGGAGGAGAAGCAATCCTCAGAAACTGGGAACTCAAAGCAGCTGAAGGGAATTGTAACAGGTCTCTCAACCCTATACAATCTAACAGCCTCTTTTATAATATAACACCCTTTTAGTCACCCTGAAATGAAATAATACAAATTTTCTACCTCTAAAATACAGGTAGAATATTACAAATTTTTGTATGAATAATATAATTTTTTTTAAAAAACTCACCATGAAGCTCCAATTCTAGTACAAAGAGGATAATATATATATATAATTTGTAATAATTAATATGTATTTAATATGTCTTGGGTACAACTATATGAGAAGACCTAATGGAATATTCTCTGTGCATACTCATGTAAAATCCCCTGAACTCAATAGCCTCAATACAGAAAAATAAGGTGTGTTGAACAGGTGACTCAAATACCACGGTAGCATTGCCATCGGGGACATGAATTTTTTTCAATGATGAGAAAGCCCTTGGTGAATTTCCAGACAAAATATAATACAATTCTCCTTCAATTTATGGGGAGTGTATTAAAGTTACACAAAGAATACTTTGTGCTACATATAAAATAGAATTTGGGTTCTAGGTCCAAATAATTATAATAAGGTTTTTTTAACTAGCTGACTTTCCAACAGGATGCTAGGAAGAAATGCCAGGATGTGAAACAATCCTTTGTTACGTTATATTCCCTGTATCCCATGGCAGGATAGTGAGTAGCCCTGGCCCTCACTCACTAATTCAACATAGATGTCAAAATCTCTGAGAGTGTTGTCTGACCTGGAGGAAGAAAGAATATTGTGATCCAGGAGCCAAAGTCTTCAACAAATGAGGAAGGTGATCAGAAAGAAGGTAGATAACCACAGAAAAAGGATTAGTGGTGTGCTGGGAAATGTTAAGTAATTCGCTCTGATTTGTAGCACTGGCCAATTTTCATGGTGTAAATACTCCCACCATGGCCAATTTCAAGCTACCAACATGATGTAATTGGATGCAGAACACAAAAAAGAAGTGCTCAACTAGCTCTCCAAAGCCAGCACAAGCCATCTCCAGCAAACCACAGGGATGGGTAGAGATGGGTATAGGCAAAAGGCATGGACCTCATGAATAGAAATTTTACATGAAGGTACAGAAGAAATAATCTGAAACATGCATCAGTGATGAAGATATCACCAATGGTTTTTCTGCATTAATTCATTTAAGATTATGAACTCCAGCTCCATCCATGTTGCTGCAAAAGACATGATTCATTCTTTTTTAAGGCTGCATAGTATTCCATGGTGTATATGTATTACATTTTCTTTATCCAATCCACCACTGATGGGCACCTAGGTGGATTCCATGTCTTTGCTATTGTGAATAGTATCACGACGAACATACAAGTGCATGTGTCTTTTTGGTAGAACGATTTATTTTCCTTTGGGTATATACCCAGTAATGGGATGGCTGGATCAAACGGTAGCTCCATGTGGGTAAGAATTTAGCAGAGTTTGTTTACCAGGAAACAGAATTCTGAAAGAAGAAGAAAAAAAAGGGGATATGTCCTGGAGAGAAGGTAGCAAAGAGAGGCTAGGTAAGGAAATCTCCAGATTTCTGGGTGTGACCGAGGTGAGAGAGAGCCTTTCCCCACTCTAAACCAAATCTGATAGCCATTGAGGAGGCAGTACTTTAGCGAATTCATTTTGCACACAGTCATCAAATTATTATAATTTAGCTTCAGCAACTACAGTAGCTGCTCAAAAAAGACTACAGTAGAGCTCTGTGAAATATTTTGCACATACAGCAAATGCGGCAGATTTTGCCACTTCATTGACTTTCTAAAACTGAAAGATCTCCCCCTTTGTCTCGCATAGTTTCACTAATTGCATCATTAGCAGAAGGCCATTTGACCAACATGGAGGAGATAAAAACTACTTTTTCTACATCTTAAGAGGAAACTCAAGTTAAAATAGAAAAATGATCATGCCTGTGTGGTACAGAACCCATAGAAGATAAGACAGTTAAGTGATTACAGAGATGTCATCTTAAAAAAATCAAAAGAATTGACTTATTTCATGTACAATTGGTATAACTGTTTGATCAACCTCAGTTTCTCAATCTTCATAACATGGACAGTCTTTGATGAAGACAGAGAAGCAGGATAAATGCAAAATCTTGGCACAAGAAGAAAGGGTCTCAAGGTAAAAGGATGGAAATGAGAGAGCAAATAAAGACAAAGTCCTCGAGAGTGGATAACATAGAAGTGCAAACCTGTGTTCTCTACCAGAGGTGGATGGCCTCTGGTGACAGGATCTGCTGAGAGTCAATGGTGATGGGTGGGTGTTGGGTCTGAGCACAGTAACAAATGTTAATGTCTTTGAAAACGGCACATGCTATCAACTAATGCACCATAAGACTGCTAGATCTTCAGTCTACCACTGTATTAGTCCATTTTCATGATCTATGAAGAAATACCCAAGACTGGGTAATTAATAAAGAAAAAGAGGTTTAATAGACTCATGGTTCCACATAGCTGGGGAGGCCTCACAATCATGGTGGAAGGCGAAGGTGGAGCAAAGGCACGTCTTACCTGGTGGCAGGCAAGAGAGCTGTGCAGGGGAACTGCCCTTCATAAAAGCAGCAGATCTCGTGAGTCTTATTCACTATCATGAGAATAGCACAGGAAAAACCCACCCCCATGATTCAATGACCTCCTACCAGGTCCCTCCCATGACACGTGGGGATTATGGGAATTACAATTCAAGATGAGATTTGGGTGGGGACATAGCCAAATCATATCAACCACACTATGGGGAAAAAAGAGTAAACTATGTGGCAAAAAAAAAAAAAAAAAAAAAAAAACTTGTCTGGAAGACAGTATACCTATGTTATAATTAAAAGTACCTATTAATTTATCCTAAGGTTACTGTTAAAGATGTGTTCAGTATTATTCAGCACACTATGCAGAACATCAAAAACTTGTGAATGTCTATCCATAGGGAAAGAGTTCATAGCACACTATTCAACCACATAAGAAGACAGAAAAGGAGAAAGTGGAATGGTCAAACAATGAGCTGGCTGAATTCTGTTCCAGTCAGTGCTATTAGTGTCACCTGATGTTTGGAAATATGACTCAACCAATGCCAGTCAACTTTATGAGCAAGTTACAATGGGGATTCAGCTATAAAGAGTCATGGCCAGCCACATAGCAAGAAGGCACTTGAAGTGGAACTTTAGCAGTTTGTATGTTCAGAACACATCGACTTTGGTGTCAGATCTGGGCTTGAATTCCGGCATCCCATAACACCTCGCAGTGTGATATGTGAATTCACTAGACAAGTGAATTAAGCTCTCTTAGCCTCATTTTTCTCATCTGTAAAATGGGGATAAAATAGCAAAGACATTGTAGGACTGATATAAGGATTAAATCAGACAATGCATTGAAGTGGTTAACACAGTGACAACTATTAAGTCTGCAATAAATGTTAGCTGCTAACAACAATTATGATATGAACAAGATTGTCATAAATGTTTATGCCATGCATGAATCAAATATGAAACAACAGCCATGAAGGACAGGAAGTGGATTAATAAACCAGGGGCCTATAAATAATTCTGTTCACTTATTTGGTTCAGGTAAACTTTATCTGTGCCTGAAGTAAATTTGTTCCAAAAATGTAAAATGAGTGCTTACTATGTCCCAGTCAGTGACCTCAGTGCTGAGGATACAGCGGCAAATTAAACAGACTAAAATCCTTGCTGTCCAGCACCTTATATTCCACTGGGGAGAGACCACAATAAATAAATGAAGGGTGAACTTCCTGTCTCTTCTTGAGCTCTGACATCCATCTTCTCATGCCCGCAGGGACTGGAGCTCCTGTTTCTCAGGTCTTCAGACTCCCAGACTTACATCAGTACCCCCATCCCACACCTTGTCAGTCCTATAGCCTCAGACTGAGAGTTACAGCATTGAAGCCCGGGTTTCTCAGGCCTTTGAACTCACAGTGAATTACACCACTGGCTTTCCTGGGTCTCCAGCTTGCAGACAGCAGATCACAGGACTTCTTGGCCTCGTAAGCAAGTGAGCCAACTCCCAAAATAAAACTCCTCATATTCATATATATATATATATATATATATATATATATATATATATATATATATATATATATATCTGATTGGTTCTGTTTTTATACAGACCTTAACTAATACAGCTGGAACTTTCTAGAAATGCCAACTCGGGCTTCCCTCCAGTCCTAATAGATCAGGATCAACTCGAGCTTCCCTCCAGTTCTAATGGATCAGCAACTCCGGGGATTGGAACTTTCTAGAAATGCCAACTCGGGCTTCCCTCCAGTCCTAATGGATCAGAAACTCCAGGGATTGGAACTTTCTAGAAATGCCAACTCGGGCTTCCCTCCAGTCCTAATGGATCAGAAACTCCGGGGTTGGAACTTTCTAGAAATACCAACTCAGGCTTCCCTCCAGCTCTAACGGGTCAGAAACTCAGGGGCCTGGAACTTTCTAGAAATGCCAACTCGTGCTTCCTTCCAGTCCTAATGGATCAGAAGAAACTCGGGGGCTGGAACTTTCTAGAAATGCCAACTCAGGCTTCCCTCCAGCTCTAATGAATCAGAAACTCCAGGGGGCTGGAACTTTCTAGAAATGCCAACTTGGGCTTCCCTCCAGTCCTAATGGATCAGAAAATCAGGGAGGTTGGAACTTTCTAGAAATGCCAACTTGGGCTTCCCTCCAGTCCTAATGGGTCAGAAACTCAGGGGGTGGGCCCCACCAATCTGGAGTCTAACAAGCCCTCCAGGTGAATCTCACACAAGTAAGTTTGAGAATCACTGAGAATTTACATTTCTAACAAGTTTCCAGGTGCTGCTGATGACACAGGTATAGAGACCATACACTTAGAAGTATAGTCTATATATGATGTATACGATATATACTACATGTAGAAGTATATGATATAAAACAAAGAAAACAAACATAAAACAAGGAAAACAAAGAAAAGAATAGATATGCTGGGCATCATAAGAAGTATATGATATATATATACTTCTATATATAGTATATATCATATACACCATATATAGACTATATTTCTATAATAGTGTTGTAGTATATATAGTAGTATATCATATACTTCTATATATGATATAGATAATAAAGTATACTTCTATATATAATACTATATATTATATACTTCTATATAATATTAGTTTTAGTATACATAGAAGTAGGCATGTGGGTAAATTCTGCCAGAGGTGGATATATCATACATATATCAAATATATTATACATATAGTATGTATAATATATCGATATTATTATATACAGAAGTATATAACATAGTAATGAGTTCACATGAGATCTGGTTGTTAAAAAGAGCCTGTGGCCTCCCTCTTCTCTCTTTTGCTCCCTCTCTCACCATGTGACATGCCAGCTCCCATCTGCCTTTCACCATGAGTAAAAGCTTCCTGAGACCTCACAAGAAGCAGATGCAGGATCCAAGCGTCTTGTACAGTCTGCAGAATTGTGAGCCAAATCAACATCTTTTCTTTAAAAATTACCCAGCTTTGGGTATTCCTTTATTGCAATGCAAAATGAACTAACACAGGTACATTATTATTCAGAGTGCTTTTTTATAATAAATGGCAAGAACATAAGTCCAAGCAAGCCTAACTAAAAAGAAAAAAGAAAAAGAAGTAGATTGGCTTATTTATCTGGGGAAGCCTGGTTTCAGGTACAACAGAATCCAAGTGCTCTAACTGTGTCATCAGGAATCCCTTTCTCTCAGTCTCTCCTCTACTTTCCTCTGTGTTACATTCACTTTTCCATTAGGAGGCAAAAAAACCAGGAGCAACTCCAGGATTACATTCATCCTGTGAAGGAACCCCAGAAGGAAGAGCAATCTCTTCACCGCTAGTCATAGCAAGAACCCAGGACCCAGTCTCTTTGTTCCAGCTTGGGTTGCATGGGCAACTGGAAACCTATCTCAGTTGCCACGGAGATGTGGTGCATTGAGGTGCCAAGTCTGGTTCACGTGCCCACCTGGGAGCTGGAGGTGGGAAGAGCTCTGTATCAAACACCTATTCTGAGAGAGTATAGAGTAATTGAGTTTCTAGCAGAACACATGGCCACAAAAAATCCAGATTTCCCAGTCTTGCTTGCAGTTGGGTGGGACTGCATGACTAAAAGATGTGTGAATAAAAGTGATCATGTACAACTTGTATATTTTGCCCTTAAAAGGAAGAGAGTTCTGACCTCTTTCTCCCTTCCCGCTGGCTGGAATGCAAACCACAATGGCAGCAATCCCGGGTCATGAAGGCAAAGGCAACATCATAGGGATAGAAAGAAATGAGATAGCAGCATCCAGGATTCCTAACAGAGTTTCAGAGCAGAGCTGCCAAATCAGTTGGACCTTTATTTCTGTGAGACTAAAATAAAATTATATTGTTTTTAAGTCACCGTTTTGGGGGTTTGTGCACAGCATACCATAATCCTAGCTTATACAGAGTTTGAGCTTTATTATCACAAGGGAGATGGGAAAAAAGAGCCAATGATGATGATTATCATCACCACACAATGGAATTGGGGTTTTTTGTTGTTGTTTGTTTGTTTTAGTTTTTTTGTTTGTTTGTTTTTTGAGGCAGAATCTCGCTCTGTCCCCAGGCTGGAGTGCAGTGGTGCGATCTCAGCTCACTGCAACCTCCGACTCCCAGGTTCAAGCAATTCTCCTGCCTCAGCCTCCCGAGTAGCTGGGATTACAGGCATGCACCACCACACCCAGCTAATTTTTATATTTTTAGAAGAGACAGGGTTTCACCATGTTGGCCAGGCTGGTCTTGAACTCCTGACCTCAAATGATTCATCCACCTCAGCCTCCCAAAGTGTTGGGATTACAGGTGTGAGCCACCGCACTTAGCCACAATGGAATTATTCCTATGAGACTTTAACACTCACTGGTGTGGGTTTTCTGTTGTTTTTTTTTTTAGAAACTTCACAGTTCTGCTAGAACTCTGTTCTACCTAAGATCTATTGCACTGATTTGTTCAAACAAAGCTTTGAGCCTTTACATTTACAAATGTAACCCAACCTTGCTTAATCTTGGCATTGTGTCTTCACTACTGAACTCCGTGGTGGCATTTGTTGAGCCCTTCTGAGATCTGAAAGATGTCACCAGATCATTGAGTTAAACGGAGCTGACGTAGCTGGAGCAGAACCCAAGATCCCGCAAGGATAGAGACGGGGCAAATTACAAATCTTATCATCATATCATCTCCCGAAAGATCCCATTTAAAGGCAAGAATCAAAGTTCTTGCTGCTCTGACAAGAAGGAAAAATGCACACAGACCACAAACAAATGTATCCTGTCTAGTGTGTAAGGAGACAAAGATGGTTCTCACACACAGAAGAGGAAAATAATATCTCTATTATCTTTAGTATGGATAAAACTGCCCTTTCTCTAACATTTTATCATCCCAGTTTGTTTCTTCACACAAGCAAAAGAAGAATCTATTTTTATAACATGATTTAATATTATAAACTTTTAATTATATATTATGTAAAATATCATTATAATAGGAACGATAACAACTAACCTTAATTAAGTGCCCAATATGTGCCTTAAATCTATTTTTCTCACTATAGTCTCAAATCACTTTATCAGGTGGGTATAATTGATAGTATGTTATGGATAAGGAGACTGACCCAGTGTATTAGTCCGTTTTCACACTGCTGTAAAGATATACCCAAGACTGAGTAATGTATAAAGGAAAGAGGTTTAATTGACTCACAGTTCCACAGGGCTGGGGAGGCCTCAGGGAACTTACAATCAAGGCAGAAAGAGAAGCAGGCGCATCTTACATGGCAGCAGGCAAGAGAGAGAGTGAGCAAGAGCAGGGAAAACTGCCTCATAAACCCATCAGATCTCATGAGAACTCACTCACTATCACAAGAACAGCATGGGGGAACCTCCCCGTGATCTAATCACCTCCCTCCCTCAACACGTGGGGATTACAGGTCCCCCCACTCCACACATGGGGATTACAATTGGAGATGAAATTTGGGTGGGGACACAGAGCCAAACCATATCACCCAGGAAGAAGATAAATAACTGGCCAAAGTCACTCAGCCAGGGAGTGGCAGGTCCAGAAATGAAAGGTAGGCAGTCAAATTCTAGAGCCTGCCTCCTAAAACATGATTCTATTTGACTGTTAACCACTTGTGGTGGACACCAAGATGGGCCACCTAGATCTACCTTCAAAGAACTTGTTGCCCAGCTACGGGAGCAGGGTCAGCAGACAGGCAGGTTGATCTCCTTCAGGGTCTGAACATGGAAAAAGACACTGCCCCAAGGTCATCTGAGCCTTGGGTTTTGTATAATAATACATTCAATAAATAATTTTTTTTTTTACTATATTCCAAGCACCTTCCTAGGAAAGAACACAGTAGACAGCGTCCCTGCCCTCAGGGTTCTCAAGGCATTTACTGGAGTAAGGTCAGTGGTTCTTAATCTTGATTGTTCATGAGACTCACCCAAGAATTGATTTGTGTTTTTATTCATTTATTTTAACCATACTCAGGTCCCACTGCAATTCAGTTGAATAAGAAAGAAGGAGAAGCTGTGAACTGTAGGTCTAAGGACTTCTCAAACTTTTTCACGTACATGGAGTCACCCTGGGCTCTTATCAAAATGTAGATTCTGATTCAGTAGGTCTGGGGAGCTGCTGCTGCTGCTGGTTCCAAACTACGCTGGATTAAAAAGAGGCAAAGAAGCAGAAGATAAGCACAGGTAAGGAGGTGTAGAGCCGCCCACACATGACATTCAATTATTTGATGTTTTTGCATAACAGACACAGACTCTATACAGGAGGAGGTTATCAGATTTAGAGAAACTTCTCAACTGGGCAAGGTGGCTCAAGCCTATAACTCCAACGCTCCAAGAGGCTTGACTGGTGGATTGCTTGAGTCCAGGAGTTTGAGACCAGCCTGGGAAACATAGCCAGACCCCATTGCTACAAAAAATAAAAACTTAGCTGGGTGTGGTGGTGCACACCTGTAGTCCTAGCTACTTGAGAGGCTAAGGCAAGAGGATCACTTGAGCCTGAGAGGTTGAGACTGCAATGAGTAGTGATCACGCCAATGCAAACCAGCCAGGGTTAGCAAGGCCTTGTCTCAAAAAAGAAAAAAAGAAAAGAAACTACTCAATACTCTATCACTGTTGTTTCTTAAAGGATAAAAACAGGCATACACACACACAAAAGAACAATATAGAACACAAAGTCATTTCTCCTTATACATTTAAATGTTTAAATAAAGCTTTGTATTACTTTTTGCATTTAGATGTTAATAATAAAGACTGTGTGAGCACGCGTGTGTGGCAATTCTGATGTATCAAGACTTTTCTTCTAGTCTAAACACAGTCATCTTCACAAGTAACTTTGACAATACACTTTCATTTTGCCAGGGTTGCCTGGGATGAAGTTTGCTCAGCCATTAAAAGGTGGGAAAGTCTCCTGCTGCTGTGTATATGAGAGAAAGCCACTGTTAACGTCATGTGTCAGCTACCCATCAATTGAGGCAGAGGAAGCAATTGGTTCATCAATGGGTTGGTAAGAAGCCCTCCAAACCTTAATTATCTGAGTGCCCCTCAGTTTCACTGGGCTTGTCACTGACTCCTTACAAGCTCAGAGGCAGACGAAAAGACAAACAGCACATCACCAACTGGTTAATTAGCAGTGAACACAAAGCAACCCAAATTACAAGCTCGAGAAAAGATGCCACAGATTTCCTTTTCATACACTGGATTCAAACATCACGGGCAAGGGGAAATGGCGAGTTTTTCATGTTCCAAAAGTATCTCAACTGCCCCCTGGGCTCTGCTTCAGAAATCAGGAAGCCAAATAATTCTTTTCTTCCCCAAAGAATTACAGAGGACCTACTGCATCCTGATCCCAAGGCTACGAAGGGGAATACAATGTGGCTGACTGAGTCATTCTTTCATGTATTCCTTCAACAAAGATATATTGTGGTCTCCTAATTCCTACTACATCCAAGTGCTAAGCTAGACACCAGGCACATGGTTATAAAAAATAAAGTCATGTGGCCAGGCACAGTGGTTCATGCCTGCAATCCCAGCACTTTGGGAGGCCGAGGCGGGTGGATCATCTGAGGTCAGAAGTTCGAGACCAGCCTGGCCAACATGTTGAAACCTCGTCTGTACTAAAAATACAAAAATTAGCTGGGCATGGTGGTGCATGCCTGTAATCCCAGCTATTCGGGTGGCTAAGGCAAAAGAATCGCTTAACTCTGGGAGGCAGAGGTTGCAGTGAGCCAAGATTGTGCCATTGCACTCTGGCCTGGGCGACAGCATGAGATTCTATTTCAAAAATAAATAAATAAATATTAAAAAAATAAAAATAAAGGCAGGTTTTTGACACATGCTACAGCATGGATGAATCTTGAGGAGATTATGCTAAGTGAAATAAGCCAGACACTGAAAGACAAATAGTGTATGATTCCACCTATACAAGACATCTAGCATAGTCAAATTTGGAGAGACAGAGAATTGAATGATGGTTGTCAGCCAGTGGGGGGGGAGGGGAAGGCAAAATTACTGTTTAGTGATTATGGAGTTTTCATTTGGGAAGATGAAAAGTCTGAAGATATAGTGATGATAACAGCATAAAAACGTGAATATACTTAATGCCACTGAAGCATACACTCAAAAAGTATTAAAGTGGTACATTTTATGTTCTGGATATTTTGCCGCACTTTAAAACAATTTTTTTAAAGACAGAAAACAAAGGCATGATTCCTGTCCTCAGAGAAATTACATTCTAGTGGGAAGGTAGTCATGAAATAAACTGAGAAATCAGCACATAACTAACACTGCATGGTACAATTGCTATAAAGAAAGGAAGGTCCCTCTCATTAGAATCAATGTTGCTAATCTATCTAAATACAAAAATAACCACCATATTATTTGCTTTATTTCATTTACAAATGGGTCCCTTTACATATTGACCTCTTGATTATGTTGAAGGTGTATAGATAAATCGTTCACTACCTAACTAAGAGGCCTACAGGCAGAGAATTTTCAAGATAAAGTGTTATGGGGTAGTGCCAATTGAAGATCAATCAGAAATTACAGTAAGCATCTTGGTAATTACAACAAAAGCTAATGGAAAAAATGATTTAACTCATAAAAGTTTACTATATACCCAGTCTTATACACACATATACCTATAAAATGATGTAATGAAAAAAATCCATATGAGGCTGCATGGTTTGCATATTTAATAGACACAGTTATTGCTTGTGAGCATAATATTCCATATTTACTTGTCTAATATTCCCTCTCCTGCTGATTATTTGAGCATTGCTGTTTTTCAAAAAGTTAAAACAGTATGTCACTTCAATCTCACTGCTATTGCGCAAAGGATTTAAACTTTTGTGCCTTTGTTTAAAAAAAAATTCTTAGCTAAAGCTTCTCATTAAAATGTAGAGAACACAAGCATCCTCAAATTTAACCTGGAACTTGCATTGAAAAAAAAAAAAAAACCTACACAAAGCCTTTGGATTGAACACTGTGCTTTTATCCTCTGACAATGTGGCAAACTTTCAGCATTTCCGGGAATATTTTCCAACTCCTTTAAGCACCTGAAGGGTTTCTTGCATGTCGGATTGGTTGGCAAGGAAGATGTGAGTAAAGAGAAAATAGCAGAAGAAGGAAAAAAGAGAAATGATATCCTTTAGATTCACCTACCAAATAATCGCATCCTTTCACCAGTGACTTTATCAGGTTGAGGGCAAAGACAATACTGCCAGGATAATTAACAATTCTGGTTTTAAAAAGCCGAAGTTGATTACCTAAAGGGCAGGCTGCTCTTTAAATTAAAGATGATATCTGAGGCATTTACAGCAATGTATTTATAGCCACAGGTATTATACATAAATATATAGGTCAAGAGTCTACTCCCAATTGTCTAACAGGGCCATCCAGGTGAAATAATTGAGTGGAGTGAGCTGGGTAGGGACGGGTGTGAGCTAGCCGGCATGCTCTTAATGAAGTGGGCAGATGTTACTCAACCAGATGCGGCCCCATATTGACAGAGCTTCCACATTTCAGAGGAAGGCAGAAATATTGATTTTCATGTAAAATCTCATGGTTTGTAAATACTGGCCCATAGAGAATTAATTTTTTTAATACATATAACTTTATAATTGCTGTGTAAGCCAAACAAAATATATCTGCAGGTCGAATTTCCTGGGCACCACTAATGTTGACCTATGTCCTAGTTGACCCCAGTTCCTAAACATTGTGGTGGGAGAAGATTCAGGAATCCTCTGCTGAGCATCAGATTTCATAACCCTGGCCTTGGATGCCCTCGATGAAGTCAAAGAACAACCCTCCAGGCGGGAGAAGTGTGGGCTTCCGCAACTTGGCTTGGAAATATTCCAGAGAGCTCTACCTCCACACCTCAGGCATGAGAGGCAGAAACTCTCAGGGCTTCACCTAAGCATTCCTCCTTCTTCTCCTTCTCCTCCACCCCCTAACACCCCTCCACCACCCAAACAGTATGCAAGGTTCAGGAAGATGGAAGAGAACTAAAAACAAAATCTCCAGAGTTATCTTTGGCAAAAGAAATAAAGGTATTCCCTCTAGCTAGTTCTTGTCCCAGTTTCAGATAAAAAGATTCTTTTTTTTTTTTTTTTTTTTTTTACCAAAGAACTACCTAATGATGGAGGGTGAGGGAAAGATATTTGCCACCCTACAAATAGGTTCTCTTTTTTTTTTTAACTTTTATTTTAGGTTCAGGGTTACATTTGCAGGTTTGTTATATAGCTTAACTCGTGTCACTGAGGTTTGATGTACAGATTATTTCTTCACCCAGGCACTAAGCCTAGTACCCAATAGTTATGGAGGTTGAGAGGAGGAAGCAAAACAAAACAAAAACAAAAGTTTTCCTTTGATAAGCCCAAATCTTCCCAACTCTATTACTAGATTCTCAAACTGACAGGTTTCAGGGAGAATCTGCCCTTCAAACAGTTTTATTTGACTAGCACAGGTAGTTTTGTTTTATTTGGCTTCTAACTTGTTTTTTCTTTTTTGAGATGGGGTCTCACTCTGTTACCCAGGCTGCAGTGCAGTGGCATGATCTTTGACCACTGTAACCTCTGCCTCCCGAGTTCCAGTGATCCTCCTGCCTCAGCCTCCCAAGTAGCTGGAATTATAAGCATGTGCCACCATACCTGGCTAATTTTTTTATTTTTAGTAGAGACAGGGTTTCACCTTGTTGGCCAGGCTGGTCTCGAACTCCTGGCCTCACGTGATCCACTATCCTCAGCTTCCCAAAGTGCTGGGATTACAAGCATGAGCCACCGTGCCCAGGCCTAAAATATCTTTAATTCTACCATGTGGGGGTATGTACTCTGGCTTGGCTAAATGGGCCACCACCCCCATTTGTCTCAAACCCTGTGGAGGCACTATGTGTGTTATCTGCCTGGCTTCTGAATTTGCTAAGGCAACTGAATTTGCTAACTCTCCACTTTCTTGTCTTTTCTCCATTCCTCTATTTATTCCTTTTAAAAGAAACCAGCCTCTAAATGAATTCTACAAGCTAGGTACAATGCATCTGAACCAATCACACGAAACTAGAACTACTGTGTGTAGGACTGCAGTAGGCACTGATGATGTAATAGTGAATAAAGACACAGGCCAGCTATGAGTGGGCTCAAGGTCATCATGGGAGAAATAAATTACCAAAGAGATAGGCTTACTGCCAAGTAGAAGCTGCTCCAGTATAGAGATGCTTGAGTGCTGGGAGACATGGGAAGAACTAGTTCTCACTGGATTTGGGGGGCTGAGGCCTCTCATCTTCTTTGGAGGCTGTTGCATGGTCATTCTGGATCTACTTATTTGTTTTTAACTGATTGAGATGACAACCAGGCTTGAATGAAGGAAATGTCATGCCATTTGAGGGGGGTGTGTAGTTCCTCCCTTATCATGGTTGGACTCAGCCATGTGCTTTGGCCAACGGAATGTAAGCTGATATGTACAGGCAGAAGTCGGCAGAGGGGGAAGCACTGGGGCAGAGTTGAGCTGAGTCATAACCATCCTGTATTTTTGGTTTCGTGAAAATGAATGTTTGTTATTGTAAGCCACTGAAATTCGAGGGTCGTTTGTTATGCAGCAAAGCTAATTAATGCACTAGCACAGTGTACTGACAACCATTGTTTTGTTAAGGAAGAAAAATGTTGACAATTTTCTGTTCAAATAACATCTGCACATCAGCGACCCACTTAGCAAAAATAAGAGGTATAGTTGCCAATATAAATTGAAAAAGGGACACATTGGGAAAGCCAATACTGAGCTCCTTATTTTTCCCCTGAAAATAGCGCACCTCCACTGATTTTGCCATTCGGTAAATGGTAACTCCGTCCTGCTTGTGGTTCAGGCCATAAACACTACGTCATCCTTGACTTTTCTTTCTCTCACACCTCACACCCAAATCGACAAGCGAATTCTGTTGACTCGACTGTTGAAATATATCATATATCTGGCCCCTTCTCACCAACTTCACTGCCAGGACTCTGACACCAGCCACCATGATGTCTGCCTGAATCACCGAATCACCACTGGCCTCCCAACTTCCTGCTTCCACTCTTCCCCAACAGTCTACCTTTTAACCAGCATCCAGAATAATGGTAATAAAACCAAACTTACAATATGGCCCTCTTTTCTTCCATTGACTCTCATCTCACTCAGAGTAAAAGCCGAAGACCTCGCCACAGCCCACCCAGTCTCATATTCTCTCCCTTGTTCACCTGAATCCAGCTAACTGATATCCTTGCTGTTTCTCCATCACGCCATACTTATGCCCACTTTGAAAGTTTTCATTTGCTACTTGTTATATCTGGACTGCTCTGCAAGGGAAACCTGTTGGCTTGTTTTCATTTCCTTCATTTCTTGGCTCAAATATCTCCTTATCAATGATATCTTTTCTGAAATTCTTGTGCAAAAGAGCAGCCCCATCCCCACTATCTCCCCTCCTGCCTTCTTTTCCCTCATTTGTCTCTCTCCATAGTACTTCTCACGACCTGATAAACTATACAGTTAGTTCTTTCCTGGTTCCTTCTACTGGAAGTAAGCCTCATGAGAATATAAATTTTATTTTGCCCACTACCTTATCCTCACCTCCTACCAAGGGCCAGGCACATTATAGGTACTCAAAATATATTTAACGGACAAATATTGGAATCAGGCAAATCTACATTTGAATTCTAGCTCTGACATTTATTGGCTGTGTGACCTTGGACAAACCACAACACCTCTCCGAACTTCTATTTAATCATCTGCTAAATGTGAAAACAATCACCTCCCTTCAAGGCTTCTTCAAGGTATAGAGGTAATGTCTTTTCAGGGCTCACACTGATACGGGGTAGATGTTATTAGAGACACTGCTTATTTCCCAACTCTCTGACATCCTTGTTCATCCTGCTCCACCAGCCCACGTTGGTCTGCCCACACCAAGCTCGCTTCCACCTGGCCTTTGCACTCACTGCTCCATCTGCCTGGAATACTCATCCCCAGATCTCTGTATCATGGGTTTCTTCTCATCACTCAAATTCCCGCTATGATGAGACCTCCTTACAGATGACATCCCAGCCATGCTGCCTCAACTCTCCATCAGTCACACCCCAACACATCATCAGTTTCTTTCCTCCATAGACTTATCACCTTATTAGTCATTTGCTTGCTTGCCCTCTGCATAGCTACCCTAACTAGAAGACAAACTCCAGAAGGAGCAAGCTCATATGTCATGTTCACCAACACTTCTGCAATACCTGGCACACAATACCCACTAAGCAAAGATAAGAGGTATAGATGACAATATAAATAGAGAAAAGGGATAAAATGGGAGGGCCAATACTGAGCTCCTCAAGTAAATATCTCTTGAATAAACAAAAAACTTAATGGAGAAAATGTACGCAGCAAATAATGTATATGCATAATAATCTGTTTTATGATTATCACAGTGAAATCCTAGTACCATATGGGTTGAGAATCAGGTGATGTTGTGGGAAGAGGGAACAGCAGAATGGCAACAAAATGTTGGAGGACTCTGCCTCCAAGGGATCTGGAAAGCATTTTATTTAAAAAAATAAAATAAAATAAAGTAAGAGTGTAAAGTATTTACTAAAATAGAAAATCATCAGTCGCACCCAGATGACACCAAAGACCTAAGAAAGCGAGGAATCTTTGGCCAGAATCACCATTCTAGTATTTACAAACAGCAGACTGCACTGCAAAGAGGAAGCAAAGAAACCTTGCTTAATTCACGTTAGAGCAGAAATATTTAAATACAGAGAGTCAGGAAATAATTATGACTAGATAACTCAGGCCCAGGTCATCTTCATTTCAATCCTAAATGGAGACAGTTTTGCCCTTTGGGCACAGAGACTGAAAGGCCTCCTCCCCTTTGGAATTCAAAACAGAAATGAAAAACATCACTCTAAAAAAGGTCAAGATTCAGGTTTCAGAGATTTGCCAGTGCAACTGGGAACCAGACATCAAAAAAAAATTAAAATACTACTTTCATTTCTGGAACCACTTGACACATCTGTAAGTGTCTAAATGTAGCCTGTATCATGGACTAACCCACTGATGAGATCGTAAAAGTTTTGTGAGCGGATACAGCCAAACTCTATCTCCCAGGATTCAAGGAAATCCTTTTGTTTTCTAAAGTCATTTCAAAGATGCTATTTATCATCCGTTGGGAGAATGAATATTGAAGCATCAGTGTTTTGCTTTCGGTCAGCTGTACAAGTCTACAAAGAGGATGCTAATCAAACTGGTGAGTACCTTGTCTTCACACTTGTTCAAATTAAAGACAGATATTGAGGTGAATTTCCCATCTAGAACAAGCAATGAAAATTCATTTCTTTCTACTCCTTTAGTGTTTCCTGTAATTCATGCTGATCATAGTGTATAGGCAGCAAGAAATGCCTGTAAAAAGGGCTTTTAAACTCTTAGTTGTTTGCAGAATATTAGTAACACTATAAAAAGTTTATGTTAATTAATGCTGCCTTTTAATAGATTTCCTGGAAGTTTGTAACTGTGTACTATAAAGGCTTTCAAGATAATGTATTATACAGTGGTTATCATAAACTCCAAAGCAGTTCAAATATTCCTTTTATGTCTCAATAACTTTCCCCCAAAAGTTACAGTATTTAAAAGATTCAAATGCAGAATAAAAAGAAAAAAATTTTTCCACCGGGGATATTTTAAACTTTTATATCTCTCATCATGCTCAATCTAATTTCTCGGCAACACTGTACTTATGCTTGCTTGTAAGCAAAAAGCCATCTGTACATCCTATCGGTGATACTGGGATAGACTGTCCTCTATAAAGTACAGGGCAGGTTTTACAGAGGGTAGCCAGTACAGACAACTCACAACTTTCATATGCCTCTGGACCAAGTCTCTCTATAGATGAACATCACTTATCATTGTTTATTTCTCTAAATTAGGCAAAAAGAAGCATTTACAGTTCAAAGAAGCCCCGTTTTTCATATTCAGCAGACGGATTAAAGGGAGAGTTTGACTGTGAGAGTTTCAAGAGAGATCGCATCCAAATTCAACTTCAACATTTGGTTTTAGGATGTTAAACTTAAACCCCAAAATGCAAGATCTCTGGGGATTTTTTTGGCAAAATAAATGCTTGGTTTCTCTTCTGTCCTAAAGGTTTTGGACATCCCATTCCAATATAAATCACCATTTCACAGGAAGGTAAACAATAAAGATTTTCTTGTAACTTTAAAGAAGGAAAATAACAAGTATCACCAAAAATAGAATTTTTAGAAAATGCAAATGACTTAAATTGTGACTACAAGTGAAAAAACTTAAAGAACAGAAAGCTGAAATTATACAGATTAGGTTCAATTTCAGTCTTTTGATATGGCCAGTAAATCACAAACATGGCTGCCCAGCTGTACTCTAAAAAATACACAATAGTAATACACGCACAAATATCTCACCTTTCTCCTGCCAAATTATACATACAGTATTATGGGTGCTTTGCGGCTCTCAACTAAGGTCTTGGAAGCTATGTATCTCTTACTTTTCTCCATTCCCTAAGTCCCAGTTATAAAACATTTGTCATTTGGGTTCCGTATCCGACAGCATCTGCATTATATTATGTTTAATCTCAACTCCAGGAAAAAAAATAACGTTTCCTGAACTTCTGAGCACTTATTATGATTTTTCCTTCAGAATTCTAAGCCCTCACAGTGACCTTAATTGAAGACTTTACTAGAATCCCCAAATGATCAAACTACAAGTTTATGTATATGTGTAGTATGTGTGTGTACACATTCACTTTGCCAGTTAACAGAGACCAAACGTGAATAATTCAAGGTTGCAAATATTTAGGAAAGTTAACAGCTGCCAAAACTCAAGTAACTTACCTGAGAATTACAATCATCAGTAATAGGGTAACCAACCATCCCAATTCACCGAGGACCAAAGGATTTCCGGGATGTGAGCTTTTAAGTGCTGCAGCCAATACAGTCTTGGTCAAACTGGTATGGTTAGTCACTCTGAAAGCTGCACAATGAAATTAGCAACAGAGATGTTTTAAAAGGAGAAAAACTCCAAGTTGCCTTAGCATCTATAATCCTACAAGGAAAAAAATACATATGCTTTGCTATTATTAATCCTGTATTGTGATCATCCTGAAATGCTTATTTGCACCACAAACTTTCTTAGACATTCAGTTCTCTCTCCCTCCCTTTCTTTCTCTCTCCCTCCCCTCTTTCTCTTTCTGCATTTCTTTCAAAGTCCAATTTTACAAATACCATTTTGAATCCATACCTCAGAGACTTCACTTCCATGTTTGCCAATAAGAATCTTCTGGTCCCCAAGTGCCACCCCCATCCCCCAATAATGTAAATACAATTAGTTGATTGAAAGCACATTTCATGTTTTGTTTCTCTCCTAAGTGTCTTGGTTATGAGGCCCACACTGTGTGAGGCATTCATGCCTGGTCCTCAAGGAAGAGCCAAGAGATGGAAGGGAAATACAGCCTGAGGAAAAAGTCTATAAAGATTTCTCGCTTTCCTAATCCCTTCTCTCTAATGTTTCTTTGTAAATTTGTCAGATGGGAATGAAATTGCCTCATAACTCTCCAGACGTGAAGAGCATCTCTGAAGAAAATTACGTACTTGTCAAAGCAAGGGGGAATTTATGTTGGTGTTCCTGAGATGTGATTTTATTCCGTCTATTTCCTTTGTGCACATCAGAGCAACAAGAGAGACAAAAAACAACGAGTTTATGGATATTTTTTTCACTCTGGTGCATTTTTTGCTTCTATTTTTCCCTTTTGTTTTCTTATTCCCCCCTCCTTTCATCTATGTTTATTGCCAGTGACAGTAAACTTCCATACAACAATGCTGTGATGATAGTAGCAATGATTTCTACCAGGATAAGGCAGTTCAAACAAGCACAAAGATGATTTCCCCATGGACAGTTCCAGAAGGTGTGGGTTACATTTTTGAGTCCTACCCAAAACTGGCCAGGGACGATTTGGATACAAAAGTCTTGTTAATGTTCCTTCCAAGCAGTGGCATGCTTCCTGAAATTAAATTCTTTTCCCTAGATTGCACATTATGGCTTGCACTTCCTGCATTTTGTTTTCTGAATTTAGAAGCTGCAGAATCTTGTTTGCTTGGTAGGTTCACTGTAAATGATACAGTAAAAGTAGCAGAAAATTTGGAGACAGCCACACCTGGGTTCAAATCCCAGCTCTTTGCCTACCTGGCTGGGGAAGATGTGCAACTTTTCTAAGCTTTTCTTATTGGTTCAACAGGACTGCCCACTTCATGTCACTATTTTAAGGGTGAGATGAGAGAGCTTCCAAAATGAAAAGCTATGTAGCTCTGCAGTTAGGAGCTGGGATTCTTGAATCACCAAGGAGTTTCAAGGTCACCTGGCTGTCCCCTCTCCTCTATTCCAAGCCAAGTGATCTTGGCAAATTAATCAACCTTCTGTTGCCTCAATTTCCTAATCTGTAAAGTGGGGACGGTAATAACACTGCTTCATAGAGTTCTTATGAGGATCCCATGAGTCAATGAAGCACTTGGGAATCTGCTTAGCATTTTATGGCTGTTTGCTATTTCATTATAACATATGCCAAGCATCTGGCACAAAGAATCCATTCAATAAATATTTTCCTTGTCCTCCTTTCCATAAGCTCTTTTTCCTTGAAAGCCTGTTATACTCCCTGTGTTTCTGCGACATCCTACACAAGGCCCATCTCGCCACAGGTGTTCCAAAATGAAGAATTAATTAATGTCCAGATGCCTTGTTATTGATGATATTCTATATATTTGGTTCATTTCCCTTGTGCTTTGCAGTACTTTTTAAATATTGAAGAAAATGAGGAAAACATTTTTCTTTTAATGTTCAAGTTCATCAAAAAAATGGTTCATTGAAAATTTTAAATAAAATGCATTAGGGAAAGGAGAAGACAAAACAAACACACACACATACATACACATACACACACACACACACACACACACACACACACAGCCTACTCTCAAACAAGCCAAGATTCTACAAGGCCACCATAAGTGCTATTTTGAATCTTTCTGGGAGCTGATTCTCACTAAATGAAAAATAAGACAAATATTGATGGGTGGGTCTAGAAGGATTGGTAAGATTTTTCCAGGGGGGTTCCTTGAGGAAGCATTAATTGGGAATCAGGACAACTGTACTAACTTCATCTATGTAAGTCATGGCTAAGGAGCCCCAGAGCTGAGATGATGAGCTTTGAGAACTTCCCCAGAATGACCCCACCTCGTGGGAGAGCAGTAATGTGCCTTCTCCTCCACCTCCGAAGAAGCTCTGTCTATGGCACATCTGAAATTCAACTGGAACGCAGAGGTTAAAAACAACCCAAGAGAAAGTTCTCACTGCATCCCAGACCTTACACCTGGAGAATCTTACAAATCAGTTATCATCATTGCACATGCTTTAATTAAGCTGACATGAATAAACTTCAGAAATTTCAGGATGCAGTAAGCATGGTTAAGTGCCATAGGGAATAGTTCTAGGCCTTCTAAATGCCAGCATAAGGGGAAAGTGGGTCTTCCAAAGATTGGGATACAAAAACAATTTTGTTTTTCTTCCGTGAGAGGGATGTTCAACCATTAAAGTAATTATAAGGCTCAGGGAAGACCTACCTTCCCTCCAAGACTATTTCCTCAGTCGTTCTGATCAGAACATATATTGTTTATTACTCCCTCGTTTACCAGCCCCCAAATATCATTACAATGTCTGTGCCGTGATATATGTATGGTTGTTACCCTTTTAATGGATAAAAAAAGATTTAAGTACTTCATTCTGTTGCATTTTGACAGCTGTTAGCCATCATTTTTCCATTCACCTGCATTTAGCAATCCCATAAAGGAAGGCAATCTTGGAAGGAACAAGAGCCGGGCACTGCAAGGTGATAATTCTGTATCACTCTGGCCTATAAATACCTGCCAAGCTTTGTGCTGAGTCAGCAGTCTGTGACGGAGCGGCAGCAGTGCCCTTTTATCTGTGTGAGTGTCTCACAGCAATTGGACCACCAGCCCCTGCAGTGAAAATCCATAGTATTGATCAGGCCATTTCTCCACTGTAATTCTTTTGTAGGAAATCCCTGATGACAAATTTTATCTGCACCACTTTTTGATTGCTGGTTTGATGTAAAGGATCTCTAAAGGCAGAGTTAAGCGCTGGGCCGTTCCACGTTATCAAGCGGCCGTTTTATTTACTGAAACTACAATTGTGGTCACATGCACACACAAAAAAAACGAAGAGAGACAGAGGGTACCAGGAGAAAAAAAAAATAGAACCAAATAATATTTCAAAGGGAACAGAAGGCAAAAGGGGGATAAGAAAATATTGCATCAGCTACTTTATTGGTTATCAAAGGCTGGTCCACATTTATAATTGCATAAAGAGGGGAAATGGTGTTTGGAAAATAATGCTGAGATGATGTAGGGTTGTATATTGAAATTTAGTTGGGTCTATTTTTCTCTCCACACTGCCCCTAGATTTCTCACCTCCCAGACTTGCTAAACTTCCTTAGTCTATGGCCCCAACATGTTAGGAGAATCTCTTTATCTGATGGTGTTAATCAGAGATTAGGATCAGGTGCGAATCTGAAGCCCAGGTGAACTTCTGTAGAATATCCAAACCTTCAACAAAAGAAAGGAAAGTTTACATAAGAAACTGTATCCTTACAAAACTGCTGGCCTTGCTGTTTCTGGGCACAAATGCAAAACGAAAAGAAAAGAAAATGTCCCTCCCTGGAGTCCACAGACTGATTCTTCCCCAGCTACAGACCCAAGGCAAGTTCTTTGAACCCCCAGGTGCTCAGAGTGCTGAGGAAAAGCTCCTCACTTAGCGTGCTGAGGTGAGCCACACATTCCTGCCTGCTGTAGCTGGGTTTCTCAGCTTCAGCCCTGGGAATATTTGGGGTCGGAAAATCCTTTGTTGCAGTAACTGTCTTGTGCACTGTAGGATGTTTAGCAGCATGCCGGCGTCTACCACTAGATGCCAATAGCACTCCCATCCCCCAGTTGTGACAACCAAAACTGTCCCCAGACATTGCCACGTGTCCCCTAGAGAGAGGGGCAAAATCACCCCACCGTGAGAAGCAGCACTTGTCAGGGCTGGGGAGTGGAAATGAGTAGAGAGAGAGAGAGGTGTTCACAAAGCAAGAGATACCTTGAGCCTTCCCATTCGGTTACACACAAACAGGAGTGAAACAAATCATCATTTGCACCATAAACCAAAGAACAGCTAAGCGAATGTCTCCATTTCAAGAGTTGCAAACTGGATTCTCTTAGCCCAAATTCTGCCTACAGAAAAGTTTTATTTGGCCAACAACTTTGGGAATGGGATTTGAGGACTTTTGGTGAGACCTCCAGTCTGCAGCTCTGGGGACACACCGCCACCCCAGTAACTTAAAACTGACTCACACAATTAAGTTACTGCAGCCCTTAAAACCTACATATGCCTAGTGTTCCATTATTGGAACGCTAAGCTTGTGGGAGTTATTTATATCTTACTGCTCAAGATCATCGCCAAGGTCTGATTTTTCACACACAAAAAAATTTGCAACCTCCGGCATAAATGGATTAAGGCGTGTGTGGCCTACTCCATTCTCTTGGTGATATTTCTAGTACAGTGGTTCTCAAGTGGGAGTGAGTCTGCCTCCCAGTAAACATCTAACAATGTGTGGAGATGATTTTGGTTGACACAACTATGGCAAGGAGATGAGGGCTGAGGGGATTCGCTACTGGCATCTGGTAGGTGGAGGTCAGGGATGCTGTTGAACACCCTACAATGCACAGGACGGTCCCCACTACAAAGAAGTACTCCATAGTGCCGAAGTGGAGAGATGCTGCTTGAGCTGATCCTGATCTGCCTGCTAAGATCTGTGTTTCCATCTGATAGAAGCCAGAAAGATAATCTTCAGTCTATACACAGAGCAACCATGCTAATGGTATCTACCTCTCACTTTGATCAAGCAGGGACATGGGTGGCTCTTAAAAGCACCTGCCCTGCTTGGCTGGGTCCCTCAACGTGAGGTAGGAAAACATCACCATCCTTCATGCCCTGGCCCTAAGAGATGCTACTTCAACGGGAATGTTCTCAGACCTGGTTCCCTATCTGAAAGCAGCAGCGAGAGAACGTAGAAAGCTCCGCCTTCTTCTAACTTCACGTCCACGCATGAGCATTTGCTCAAGGAACTCACTCAATGGTGCTGAGATGGTGTTAGGTGATTGGATTCCTTCCCCCAGTTTTATCATGGAAAGGCCGCCAGACTTGAGGGAAGTTTATTAAATAGCTTAAAACTGCACTGCAGTGATGACACACAGTGCTACTTATGGAAGATGACCTCTGCTGGGATTTTTATATGTGATCCCAAGGTCCTCCATACTGATGTCTACAGAGGTTAAGTGGAAGTCACAGGCCAATGAAGCTGTAAAGTATAGGCGGAGAGGGAGGGTTGGAAGAGTTAGAGAAATAAAGGATGCTTGGTGACATTTGAGTTTCAGATAAACAAATGATTTTTAGCATATGTCTCATAATTTCAGAAAAACAATAAATCAGTCTTTTAGTATAAGTATATCCCAAATATTGCATGGGATATACTTATGCTAAAAAAAAATTGTCTGACATTCAAATTTATCCAGATGTCATATCTTTTCTACTTGCTAACTCTGGCAACCCTAGTTCAGGGTAAACTGGAGATAACTTCCATCTTCTGGTTTGCAGATTTGACTAAATGTTACCACTACGGAAGACATAGCTAGCCCCAGGTTTGCCAGGTCTTCTGATTTTCATAAGGGGAAAAAAAATCAGATTTTTTCATGAAATCTAGCGATTTTAGAATGTTGGCAACTAATTTTTTTAAAAAAAAATCTAACAATGCCAGATGGAGTAAAGCAAGCAGGTCTGCAGGCTGCCTTCAGCTCGGGGGCAGGCTCACAGTGCAGCAGTAGAACAGGGAACATTTACTGAGTCTTTATACAAGCCAGACGCTGTTCTAAGGGACTCACTAAGTCCTCTCATCCACTGGGAGGGATAAATGATTATCATCATCTCCATGCAGTACATCAGGAAAGTGAGGTCCAGAGAGTGGAATTATTTTGACAAAGGTCCCACAGTTCGTAAGTGGCATAGTTGGGGTTTAAAACCAAGCAGTCTTTGCCAGAGTCTGTTTTTGGGCCCATCACACTGAACCTTTTCAGAAGAAAGCTTCCCATAGGGCACAATAATTATAATAAATTATAATAAAGGTAGTTCTGAGTTTCTCCTTCCAGACACCAATTATGTCCTCCCCACGGCCTGAATGGAGTCAGTAACAGCACTGTGCATGGCCAGCTCGGAGCCTAAGGCTAAAGGAAAAACTCAGTAATACTGACCCTGCCTTTATCTAAGACGTTGATATTTTCTTCTTCATGGATTTAGAGATTTTAATATTAATTTAATGTTTTAATGTTATACTATTATATGCTAATAACGAAGATTTTTTTTGGTGCCCCCTTAAATTTTTCGTCCAAAGTGAGTGATTCACTTATGTCACCTGCCTCTCTCAAAGAATAGCATTTCCATGTTTCTGGATAGCTTTTCAGATTATGGAAGTTTCATGAGGGAAAGTTTTTTCATACTCAAAGGTATCCATTGCCTCTTTATTCAAAACAGTGAGAACACTAGCAATAACCGCAATGTTCAGCAGAGAGGAGTTGGTTAAGTGAATTACAATATACCTATATGAAGAAATAGTATACCATTAAGAGGATACTTACAAAGAGGTTTTAAAATGATACTTAAATAATAAAGTGAAAAAAGCAAGATAATAAAATTATATTTGCAACATGATCTAAAAAATGCTTTAACAAATAGAAGAAAAAAATGAAAACACTGGAGGAAAACACCGCAAAAGGTGGCAGCTTTTTCGTCTGAGGGACAGTATGGGTGATTGTTTTTTCTCTTTTTTTTTTTTTTTTTTTTTTTTTGAGATGGAGTCTTGCTCTTGTCACCCAGGCTGGAGTGCAGTGTCGTGGTCTCGGCTCACTGCAACCTCCGCCTCCCAGGTTCAAGAGATTCTCTTCCTCAACCTCCCGAGTAGCTGGGATTACAGGCACCCACCACCATGCCTGGCAAATTTTTGTAATTTTAGTAGAGACGCAGGTCTCACCATGTTGACCAGGCTGGTCTCAAACTCTTGACCTCGAGATCCACCCTCCTTGGCCTCCCAAAGTGCTGGGATTACAGGCGTGAGCCACTGCACCCGGCCGATAGTTTTTTCTTTCTTCTTAAAGATAGACTAGTATCCTAAAAAAGCTGAATATGAGTTTTGGAATCAGGCAAGGCTGTGTTTAAAATCTTACTACGGTATCCACTTTGGGCAAGC
Organism: Homo sapiens; assembly: GCF_000001405.40. NCBI lineage: Eukaryota > Metazoa > Chordata > Mammalia > Primates > Hominidae > Homo > Homo sapiens. The sequence goes on along the minus strand of NC_000020.11, from coordinate 52,435,127 downwards.
TGCTTAATTTCTACCTGCTTAAAACTAGGTACCTCAGAGATTTGTTAGGAGTCCTTAAAATTAGGTGACTGGGTGAGTGCCTCTGTGTGTGTGTGTGTGTGTGTGTGTGTGTGTTATGTAGATGGACACACACATGCTCATATTTAATAATTTGCACATTTCTGAGTAAAAGTGATGCTCAATAAGTGATGCTCAAACATACATTTTCATTAGTTGCCAAATTTTGATGAAAAACCTATATAAGTATTAGAGTCAGAAGAAAATAAACCACAGAAAAGACTTTGAAAGTCCCTAACAAAAAGCAAATCCCCTTGGTAGAGTTAGCTATCACTGGGCACTTCCCAGGATGCATATCCCATGGGGAATGGACACATTTGAGATGTCTGCGGAGATGGATGAAGAGAAGGATGCAAGGATGGGAGGATTCCGGGACCTGGGGAGTCTCGAGCAGACTCAGCTCCTCAGCTGCAAGCAGGCACCAGTCTTCCTCTCCTTACAAGAGATGTTACCTTCTCCTGTTTCAGGAACCGGAAGGTGTTTCCTCGTCTCACTCCCCTCCAATCTAGGTGGCACTCCCTTTCTACTGAACTAGCTTCATAATCCACAATAGAATTCACCTGCTCATCTCACTCCAGCTCTTCCCTCAACAGCAGGCCCCTGAGCCACTGGAGGAAGGAAAGAAGAGGAAGCATTTTCAAATAAAAAGTGAGGATGGAAAATGAGAAATCACCCAGAAAATGCCATTTTCCATTATTCGGTAGCTCTGCTACCTCCACTCCCAATTATGACTAAGGCATCTCCAGATTTGGAGTCAGAAATTACGGGCTGTGGGCCAAATCCAGCCCACTGCCTATTTTTGTAAATAAAGTTTTATTGCAACACAGCCACTACCATGGTTTGATTGACTGCCTCCAACTGCTCTCTTTCTACACAGACAGGGTTGAGTAGCTGCAATGGAGATTAGCCAACCCTCAGAGCCAAAAATATTTACTATCTGGCCCTTTACTGAAAATGTTAGCTGACCCCTGAACTAAACCAATGAATAAATGAACAAAGCTTAGTTGAAACATTTGTATTATGTGGTGGTTAAGCAATAAACTGAATAGGTCAAGAAATCTATTTCCCGTTTCTCATTTCTTCTGAGGCAGATGATCTAACAAACAGCCCAGAGCAGGTGGTATTTTGTGGACAAAATACAAGGCCATATGTTGAGCCAATCATAATGGGAGTAAATGTGTCACTGACAACAGGGGAGAAGAGTAAGACTGTGTTAACTTTTAGCCTTGCCCGTATTCCATTCAGAAAGCTAATCATGTTTCAATTGAGAATCCTATGTTTTCCTAGAATGACCAATATATGAAAAATGTTGACTGAGCCTGGGCTCCCCTAATTGAAATCCACATTGGTTTATGTGATTAAACACACTGTCATTTCTTGTCTATACTAACAATTATGCCAACAGGAAGCCTCAGTTCAAAGACTAACACTAATAATCAATAGAGTCAACAGATTAGGGCAAGAATCAGCAAAAGTTTCTGTAAAGTGCCAGAGTGTAAATATTTTTGGCTTTGCAGGCCACACAGTCCATTTTGCAACTATTCAACATAGCACTAAAGCACCCACAAAAGCAATAAGTGAGTGTGACTGTGTTCCAATAAAACTTTATTTATAAACAGAGGTGGCAGGCCAGATTTGGCCCATGGTTCATAATGTACCAACCCTAGAATGCAGAGGGTTGCAAACTCAGTTTGCTACAAGGGCCAGGAAGTAATATGAGTTAATGAAGTGAGTTTTGTATATTGCAATACTCCATTGTCAGCACTATATTTCAAACACTGCATCCAAATGAACTACTTTAATTTTCACAGTGGTTGGCTAAAACCAAGTAGCTTCCCCCTTCTTTCTGGACCTTGAATTTGCCTTATACAGCTAGAAGGAGAGGCTGTGATGCACTGCAGAGTACAGGCCCTCTCTCAGAAGGTGGCTTTTAATCACTTGCCTGATTAATTAAAAAAAGAATCTAGATTTTCTGCTTTATATGTAAAATGCTGGCAATACATTCCTTTTTTTTTTTTTTAATTTGGAGAGGATAAAAAAAACCATATGTGTGATTCAGGATTTCTCAATCTTGGAAATTCTGACATTTTGGGCTGGATTATTCTTTGTTCTGGAGTCAGGCGCTGATCCTCCCATAAGTTGTGACGAGATATTTTCAAATGTCCCCTAGGAGGCAAAGTCACCTCCTGTTGAGAAACACAGCTAGAGTTGTTGGAAACTTTGATAATTATTCATCTCTGCTTGGTCTACATCTCTCAGTATTTGCCTACACACATCCCTTATTTTTAAAATATATTTTGCTTGGCTTTTCCTTCATTCCCTTTTTGAAGAGAAAGAAAATAAGAAAAGATTGGAAAGAACAACCAAAAAAAAAAAAGCAACATTGAGAGACATTAAGAAGATGTGAAAAAACACAGAAGTGGGCCAAATGACAATGGAAAATGAAGATTCAGGGGGAAAATGAGAAATCAGGTGTTAAACACACTAATCTCAACATATAAGACCCAGTGATCAGAAGGAGAAAACCATCCTAGAGAGTGAAATTGATTTTTTTCTTTAAAATAATTCCAAGACCCTCATGTTTAACTTGGACACACATTCTTCATGTAGTGATTCACAACTAATGAAATCAGGAACAACCAGTATTCAGATACTGCCTTTATGAGGTTTCAGACAAATGCTATAGATCATTCTCCATTCATTCTTCTTTATATCAATCACAAATTCATTTCTGCATTCAAAATGTTTTTACTTTGCTTGGGAGCATTCATAATATTTGTGTGATATCAGTGCTGCTCTTATATTGCAATACTCTATTTCAACATGGTATTTCAAACTCTGCATCCAGATGAACTACTTTAATTTTCACAATGGTTGGCTAAAACCAAGTAACTCTCCCCCTCTTTCTGGACCCTGAATATGGTTTATAAACCAAAGCTTTTCAGTTATCACCATGAAAATTAAATTCTGTCAAGATGTAATTTATAGTCTTCTTTGTTGGTGTCAGAAGAAGAAATCCTAATGGGCAAATGTGTGCATTCTAATGGAGGAGGGAAGTATTTTTATATAAGTGAGGTGTGTTTAATTCCTGGTAATTTATTCCCACCTCATGGTGGGAATCTTCTGCATTCAGACTAGAGATTGGTGTATCTTACCCCAGCCAGGTGTATTGCAGAGGAGCTGAAGGACAAAAATGTCAAAGTTTCAGCTTTTGAGTTTCAAAGCCAAGATCCAAGAAAAATTTTTAAAATGTATAACAAGGCCAGATGCAGTAACTCACGCCATAATCCCAGCATTTTGGGAGGCGGAGGTGGGAGGATTGCTTGAGGCCAGGAGTTTGGGACCAGCCTAGGCAACATAGCAAGATTCCATCTCTACAAAAATAAAATAAGATAAATAATATGGTTTGGCTATGTGTCCCCACCCCAATCTCTTCTCAAATTGTAATCCCCACCTGTTGAGGGAGGGAGGTGACTGGATCATGAGGGCGGTTCCCCCATGCTGTTCTCATGATAGTGAGTGAGTTCTCAAGAGATCTGATGGCTTTATAAGGTGCTTTCCCCGACTCTTGCTCAGCACTTCTCCTTGCTGCCGCCATGTGAAGAAGGACGTGTTTGCTTCCCCTTCCGCCATGATTGCAAGTTTCCTGAGGCCTCCCCAGCCACGCTGAACTGTGAGTCAATTAAACCTCTTTCCTTTATAAATTACGCAGTCTCAGGCATTTCTTTATAGCAGTGTGAAAACAGACTAATACAACAAATAAGCTGGGCATGGTGGTATGTGCCTGTAATCCGAGCTACTTGGGAGGCTGAGGCAGGAAGATTGCTTGAGCCCAAAATTTTGAGGTTTTATATATATATATATATATATATATATATATATATATATATATATGAACATATGATAAGGTAGAGCAAGATTTTTTCCCATCCAATAAGAGACTGGGAGAGGAAGAGGCAAAGCAAATAGATTTAGATGCTGGTGGAACTGTAGGTCCCTGGAATGTCAGGAATGGGTCGCTGAATGTTAGGCCCCCCATCTACACAGACATATTCACAGGACTTATACACATACATATGCTGAATAGCCCCCAAACAGAGGGGAGTGATAGAAACCCCAGAGAATTTCAAAGAATACAAAAGGAAAGGATGCTGGAGCTTGCTCCCTGGGTGGAACTCAAAGAGGTGGTGAGGTTTGTGGACACATTCTTAGTTATAGAACTGGGCCTGGGGAAGTTCCCAACACATAGGCTTGTCCAGACCAGTGTGCCCAGAGTGGCCTTTTTCTCTGTTTCTCTGTGTGGCCGGAAATAATGCAACACGCACGAGAGCAGGTAGATGAACTGGGTCGAGACATACAGAATGCAGGAACCATACATGTGAACTGTGCAGCCAGAGACCCAGTGGCAATATTCAGGACCGCCCTCCACTGGAAGCCAGTATACACGATGGACATTCAAGTCACTGCTGTTCCTGTCCCTACAGCAGTCCTACCTATACCCCCTTAGAACATGCATGCCTCTCCATGGTGTTATGAGCTGAACCGTGTTCCCCCAAAATTCACATGTTGAAACCCTAGCCCCGAGTATCTCAGAAAGTGACTATATTTAGAGATAGGGTCTTTTAAAAATGATTACATTAAAATGAAATTCTTAGAGTGGGCCCTAATCCAATTTGACTATTAGACTTATTAGAAAAAGAAATTATTTGGGAGTTTTTTGGAAATTTCTTCTTTTTTCTTAAATTTTATTTTATTTTAGGTTCAGGGACACGTGTGTAGATGTGTTACATAGGTAATTTGCATGTCACGGGTGTTTGGTGTACATATTGTTTCCTCACCCAGTTTTTTGATCCCCTCCCTCCTCCCATCCTCCACCCTCAAGTAGGCCCCAGTGTCTGTTGTTCCCTTCTTTGTGCCCGTATGTACTCCGTGTTTAGCTCCCTCTTATAAGTGAGAACATGTGGTGTTTTGTTTTCTGTTCCTGTGTTAGTGTGCTTAGGATGACAGCCTCCAGCTCTACCCATGTTGCTGCAAAGGACATGATCTCATTCCTTTTTATAGCTGCATAGTATTCCATGGTGTGTATGTGTATGTATATGTGTGTATATATATATATATATATATATGTATATATATAATCACATTTTCTTTATCCAGTCTACCATTGATGGGTATTTACGTTGAGTTCATGTCTTTGCTATGGTGAATAGTGCTGCAATAAACATACACATGTGTGTGTCTTTACGGCAGAACAAGTTATATTCCTTTAGGTATATACCCAGTAATGAGATTGCTAAGTCGAATGATAATTCTACTTTGAGTTTTTTGAAAAACTGCCAAAATGCTTTCCACAGTGGCTAAACTAATTTCCACTTTCACCAGCAGTGTATAAGCATTCTCTTTTCTCCACAACCTCACCAGTATCTGTTATTTTTTGACATTTTAATAATAGCCATTCAGACTAGTGTGAGATATCATCTCATTATGGTTTTGAATTGCATTTCCCTTATGATTAGTGATGTTGAGCAGTTAAGAAAAAGAAATATGGAGATACAGAGAGAAACCAGGCTGTGGTACATGCACAGACAAAAGACCATATGAGGACACAGGGAAAAGGCAGCCATCTGCCAGCCAAGGAGAGAGGCCTCAGAGGAAATCAAGCTGGTAACACCCTGATCTTGGACTTCTAGCCTCCATAACTACGAGAAAATAAATTTCTGTTGTTTAAACCCTCTGTCTCTGGCATTTGATTATGGCAGCCCTAGCAAACTAATACATTAGGAGAAAGAATTTGAAGCAGGGAAGAAAGACCCTTAGTTAACTGAGAAAAGTTGGTGTATCAGTCAGGATAAGCTAGGCTATGGTGTGGTAACAAACAGTCCCAAACTTTAATGGCTGGAAATGAAGGCTTATTCTTGTTCATGAAAAGCCAACTCTAGGCCCAGAAAACTCTCTGGGGAATCTGTGATTCATGTGGCAGCACAGCATCTGAGGCTACTTCAATTTTGAGGTATTTGTCTGTCAATATGTCCTTCCACAACCGAAGGTAAAGGAAGAGAGAACACGGACAATTGCATACAAACTCTTCAATGCTTCCACCCAGAAGTGACTCATTTCTGCTCACATTGCATTGGGGGAAACTGTCATATTGTCATACCTAACTTCAAGGAGGTAAGGAAGTGCCATCTTCTCATGCACCCAGAGGAAGAGAAGAACAGGAGTTATTGATGAAAATTTACATAAAGATAACATAAACATATTGATCTAGATTATCTGGAATTAACTGGAAATTAAATAACTAACTTCTGGCAGGTCATGGTGGCTCATGCCTGTATTCCCAGCTCTTTGGGATGCCAAGGAAGGAGGATCACTTGAGCCCAGAAGTTTGAGAACAGCCTGAGCATCATAGTGAGACCCATCTCTACAAAAAAAATTAAAAATTAGCCAGGCATGGTAGCATGCATCTGTAGTCTCAGCTACTTGGGAGGCTAAGGTGGAAGAATGCTTGAGCCCAGGAGGTTGACACTACAGTGAGCTGTGATTGTGCCACTGCACTCCAGCCTGGGTGACAGAGCAAGACTTTGTCTTAAAAACAAACAAACAAATAATTTCCCACCTCCTAATAGAATAGGGGCTCAGAAGATAAAACACATTTGGTTAAAGAAAAATAAAGTTACATTGCTTTATGTGATTTTGAGATTCCTAACACAAATCTAAGGTCAGGACACTTAGATTTCCAGAATTGTAGCATTTCCATCATGTACCAGTTATCTATTACCATAATAATTCTATATCACAAACAACCACAGAACTCAGTGGTTTAAAGCAATGTCCATTTGTTTTAGTTTACAAGTCTGTAGATTGGCTTAGTATGTCCTCTGGACTAAGGCCCAACTTCTATCAGGCAGAGCTGACCTATGCACCTTGGTCAACTAGCAGGCTGGCTGGAGGTGGCTGGTCTACGATGTCCTGTGTAGGAAGGACTCAGCTCTCTTTCATACCCATTCTCATCTTCTAGCAAGTTGGTCCAGGCTCATTCTCAGGACTGTACAAGGTTCTGAAAAATTGAGCGCAAGAGAGACAGAAACAGAAACAAAGAGCAAGAGAACTGAGTAGCTTCGAAACAGCACCCCATCACTTCTGCCACATTCTATTGGCCAAAGCAAGATGCAAGAGCAGTAAATATTCAAGAATGTTCAATATTCGAGAATATTCAAGAATTCAAATTTCAAATATTCAAGAATATCCAAGATCTCTACCTCCTAACAGGAGTAGCTTGCAAAAGGTATAGATACAAAGAGGGATGGAGAATTGGGGCCATTTTTATATCAATCTAGCACACATATAGAAGGAGACTTAACTCAAAGGCCCAATAGTTCTTAAACTTGAGCATACATCAGAATCACTGAGACTGCTTGTTAAGAAACAAACTGCTCAGGCCAGGTGCGGTGGCTCATACCTGTAATCAAGAAACAAATCACGGAGAGACATTCCCAGAGTTTATGACTCAGTAGGTCTGGGGCCCAGGAATTTGCATTTTTTATTTTGTTCCCTGCTGATACCAATGCTGCTGGCCAAAAGCTGACAGTTGGAGAACCACTACAATAGCCTCTCTTGCAAATTAGAAAAATGGGAGACGTAAAAGAATCACCTGTATATACCATGCTTAAGCCAATGCCAGAAGTAGCCCCCACATTTCCAGCCTGGGCTTTCTTTCCACAACACCTCAATCCACTCTACGAGTCATTGCCTTTTCTTTGTTCGCCTCTGCCTTGAATATTGCCATTATTTTTATTATCATCATTAGCAACGATTAAAAAGATTGAGGCATGACAAGGTGTAACATTCTGTCAAAGGCATATTAAAAGCTCTGCCTGAGAGGCCTAGTCTCAATCACAGCCAGACATGTAGTACTCTGCCTGGGCAACCCCCACGATATCACTCTTAAATTAAGCAGTCCCTGTCAACTAAGCCATTAATCTACTCAAGAGGTTAGATGTGTCCCTATGAGTCACATGTGAGCTCAGTGTTCCCAGGTGAGAATGCAGTAGCTCCACCTACATTTTCCCCATCTAAACAGACGGTTTTCATTATGTCTTTTGTCAGTCACCACAAGGGACAGTCTCTGTAGAAGTAATATGACATTTCCCTATGTAACCATGCTGTATATCAGATTCTCCTAATTATTCCCTCTACCAATATGCCTTGTTCTTGGACCACAATGTCTGCATGGAGTCCTCCTCACTGAGTTGTTTTAATGTCACGTGCTTGGATTTTCTTGAACAATGCTACCAAGTACTATCCCATGAAAATCACCATTCTGTTTGATGTTTAATTCAGCTATTCCCCTTGCCCCTGTGTGAGGTGCTGCTCAAAATTCAGGTTTATAAAATATTCTTCGTCAAAAGGATTAGAAATACTTTGGATTTTCTTTGAGAAAATGAGAATTATGGAACCAGTTGTTCCATTCATCCCCTTTTCTCTTGGCTAGCAGGAAGCTCAGAGAAAACTATGAAGCTTGATAGTAGTCAAGCTTGGTGATATACTTACTGGATTATTTTGTTATTCATTTTTTATTTTGTACTTTAATTTCTACCTTCCCTGACCCCAAATTTCCATTTTTATTGTTTTACATTTCTTGCTGCTTTTGTGTGTGTGTACTACCTCATTTCCCTTTAGGAAAAAGTAGGTTACAAATAGTATAAACACATTATCCATATTCCCAAGTCAAAGAAAACATTGATTAGCTATTAGCCAACAAGCTTAAACCCTCAATTAAGTGTCTTGGTATGTGGGGAAGGGAGGAGGAGAATGAGAGGAAATAAGAGACATTTTCACTGGAGGGAAATAAAAAATGAATCTTAAGAAAGCTCATTTTTATTTCACAGGACCAAGAAAATTTAGAAAAGCAAGAAGTCAGAGCTGGAAGTAACTCCACGTGACTTTGAAACCCCTTCTCTGCACCAACACAGGACAAAGAATTCACCTGCGATGCTCCAGAAACTCCAGAATGTGGCCTGGCAGGCTCTGCCCCAGCCAGGGCTCAGCGGTTTCCACCTTCCACAGCACTCAGAAAACAAAATATTCCAGTTAAAATGCACTGTACAGTGTTATATTACCCTGATGCAAGATTTATGAAGTGTTTATGCGGTTAATTGAGAACAGACGCAGACAAAAAAGTAAAAAATACCTTTAGTCTTACTTTATTTTAATGAAATCCAGATAAGAGGGAGAGTTTTTGTTTTGTTTTGTTTTGTTTGGTCAATTTGTCTTTAGATAATTTCACATGAAAAAGCAAATATTTTAGGCATCGGATACTCTTCTGATGGTTCCCCTTTATATGAAAAGAGTGACCACATATCCAGAAGGTCCAATAGCCCATGATTTTGGATCATTTAAAAATACTGATATTCTTCTTGGACCATTTAGTATGTGATCCTTTCAGACATATTTCTTTCTAAACCTCACTCTGTCATTTCCCCCAAAGACGGACAGATGATGACAGCCAAGGAGTGATGTAACCAGTGTGGAGCATCTCTCAAGGCGATGGAAACAACGTGAACACTGCAAGCGTGAGGAAACAGGAGACGCCATCATTTCATCAGGGAAAGTAAGCACAAACCTGCAGGAGGCGTCCTCGTGGAAACTTCTTCCTTGTCGTGTTACAATTTCTGTTGACTCATCCCAGCTCAGGGGATGCAGAGCCGCAGGAGTACACAAAATGATAAGGTTTTCCTTTCAATTTAAAAGTCATGTTTGAAGCATTTCATTAAGAAATTGTAGAGAAAAACTCATCTCTCATTAAACATGATAGGAAAGGCTTCAGACATACTTTTTCCATTCATCTTCTCATTATGGGAAATGCTGCTGCCTGTGTCACTCAGGTATAAACTAAAAGGTCAGTTCTTTAGCAAGGAGGCTTTGTAATCTGTTAGAAAACACGGTGACAACACCCCCAGTGCATCCTCCTGATTGTCGCTTCAGTTGGCCCATGACTTCTCTCTCCCTGCTCCATACAATGCAGTTGCATTTTTGAGGAAAAAAGTTTCTCTTTTTTCTCACTGTTTAGATTCTCCTAAGCTTAATATTTTTAAAACGTTAGCTCCATCTCACCCCTAATCCAAGAGATCCTCATCTACGTCCCAGAGTACAGGTTGATGATGATTCCCAGTATCATCTCCAAGCACATCACCTCCAGAAACTTTTCTCAAATGTTCCTTTGACCCCTCCCTACAGGCCATCAAGGCCCACTGCTCCTGCCTCTGGATGTTTTAACCCCCAACTTGTCTATAACACTCACTTTCTATGACAGTATATTATGGGCATATGCATGTGCAGACGAGTAAAGGTGGATGCAGGTAGGCACAGGTGAGTGAAGGTGAGCGCAGGTAGGCACAGGTGAGTGAAGGTGGGCGCAGGTAGGCACAGGTGACTGAAGGTGGGTGCAGGTAGGTACAGGTGAGTGAAGGTGGGTGCAGGTAGGCACAGGTGACTGAAGGTGGGTGCAGGTAGGTACAGGTGAGTGAAGGTGGGTGCAGGTAGGTTCAGGTGAGTGAAGGTAGGCGCAGGTAGGTGCAGGTGAGTGCAGGTAGGCACAGGTGAGTGAAGGTGGGCGCAGGTAGGCACAGGTGAGTGAAGGTGGGTGCAGGTAGGCACAGGTGAGTGAAGGTGGGTGCAGGTAGGTACAGGTGAGTGAAGGTGGGTGCAGGTAGGTTCAGGTGAGTGAAAGTAGGCACAGGTAGGCGCAGGTGAGTGAAGGTAAGTGCAGGTAGGCACAGGTGAGTGAAGGTGGGCGCAGGTAGGCACAGGTGAGTGAAGGTGGGCACAGGTAGGCACAGGTGAGTGAAGGTCGGTGCAGGTAGGTACAGGTGAGTGAAGGTGGGCACAGGTAGGCACAGGTGAGTGAAGGTGGGTGCGGGTAGGCACAGGTGAGTGAAGGTGGGTGCAGGTAGGTAAAAGTGAGTGAAGGTGGGCGCAGGTAGGCACAGGTGAGTGAAGGTGGGCGCAGGTAGGCACAGGTGAGTGAAGGTGGGTGCGGGTAGGTACAGGTGAGTGAAGGTAGGTGCAGGTAGGCACAGGTGAGTGAAGGTGGGTGCAGGTAGGTATAGGTGAGTGAAGGTGGGTGCAGGTAGGTATAGGTGAGTGAAGGTGGGCACAGGTAGGTACAGGTGAGTGAAGGTAGGTGCAGGTAGGCACAGGTGAGTGAAGGTGGGTGCAGGTAGGTGCAGGTGAGTGAAGGTGGGTGCAGTAGGTACTGGTGAGCAAGGGTGGACACAGGTAGGTACTGGTGAATGAGGGTGGGTGCAGGTAGGTTCAGGTGAGTGAAGGTGGGTGCAGGTAGGTACTGGTGAGCAAGGGTGGACACGGGTAGGTACTGGTGAGTGAAGGTGGGTGCAGGTAGGTACAGGTGAGTGAAGGTGGGTGCAGGTAGGTACTGGTGAGCAGGGGTGGATGCAGGTACATACTGGTGAGTGAAGGTGGGTGCAGGTAGGTTCAGGTGAGTGAAGGTGGGTGCAGGTAGATACTGGTGAGTGAGGGGGGGTGCAGGTAGGTTCAGGTGAGTGAGGGTGGGTGCAGGTAGGTACTGGTGAGTGAGGGTGGGTGCAGGTAGGTGCAGGTGAGTGAAGGTGGGTGCAAGTAGGTGCAGGTGAGTGAGGTAGGTGCAGGTGGTAGAGAAGGGTCCTGCCTCAGAATGCCTATCCATTCATTCCATAAATGACCACTTCTTGAGTGCTATTTGTTAAAACTTTCCCAAGACCCCAGGACACTGCTAAATAATCTATACAGGAAGTCTGATCTTGGAAAGCTTACAAACTATCCGAAGGGGTAGGCATTAAATCAAGTGCTCAATTTATTAGCTATTTGCAGTGGTTAAAAGTGCCTCAAGGAAGAAAAACAAAATTCTTGAAAATGTTTCAAAACCAAACCTGACCAAATCTCAGGACAAGGGTCAAGGGAGGCTCTCTGAGGACATATCAGAGGAGTGGGTGTTGGATGGTCAAGGAAAAGAAAAGAATGTCAGAACAGCATGTACACGGCCCCGAAGCAGCATGGAGATGGGTTCTTTTCTGCAAAACTTTCAAAACCAGCACTGCTGAACCAATAAGAAAGTGAGTCTGGTAGAGGCTACACAGAGGTTCTAAATCCATGCAACCTACGTGTTCATCCATCAACGAGTAAGTGGATAAAGAAAATACCGTCCATATACACAATGGAGTACTATTCAGCCATAAAAAAGAATGAGATCCAGTCATCTGCAACAACATGGATGGAACTGAAGATCACTAAGTTACATAAACCAGGCACAGAAAGACAAACATCACATGTTCTCACTTATCTGTGGGATCCAAAAGTCAATACAATTGAACTCATGGACATATAGAGTAGAAGGATGGTTACCAGAGGCTGGGAAGGGAGGTAGGGAGCTGTGGGGGAGGTGGAGATGGTTAATGGGCACAAAAAATAGTTAGAAAGAATTAATAAGATGTACTATTTGATAGCACAACAGACTACAGTCAATAATAACTGTACATTTTAAAATAAATAGTATAATCGGATTGTTTGCAACTCAATGGATAAATGCTTGGGAGGATGGATAGATACCGCATTCTCCATGACATGTTTATTTCACATTGCATGCCTGTATCCAAACATCTCATGTACCCTATAAATATATACAACTCTATGTGCCCACAAAAATTAAAAATTAACAATAAAGAATTTTTTTAAATCCATGCAAGACTTTATTTGAAGAGCAATTGGAAGTCACAGAAAGCTGTGACTACTGATGTGATGTGATTACTAATGTGAAAATTAAATGCAGGATTTTAAAAACACATTTCTAAAATATTAAGAATTGCCTTTTTGACGTCATCTCCCCAACCACACTCACTAAGCTCAGTTACACTGGCCCCTCGCCGTTCCTTGAACAAGGCAAGCAAGCTTCAACCCCAGGGTCTTTGCATTTGCTTTGCCTTCCCACCCCCCACCTCCAGCAGACCACATTGTTTCATTCACCCAGTCATTTCATTCAGATTTCTGCTCAAATGTCCCCTCTTCCAGTAAGTCTTCTCTGAAGAATTGATCTAAAGAAACATCCACTGCCACTTTCTATCCTGTATCTTGGTCTATGTTTCTCCAGAGTCCTCATCCCTTCCTGCTACTATAATACATATTCATTTGTTCATCCATCTTTTTTACTAGACTCCGAGCCCCACAAAGATGGATTCCTTGACTGTCTTGTCGGCTGCTGGTGACTATCTTGTCCGCTTGTCTATGTGCCTGGCCCCTAGTGGGCACTCAGTGACCAAGTGCTCACAGATGAATTCACAGTGAACGGGCCAAAGAGGGGGCAGGGCTGGATTCAGGGCACCCAGTCAGGACGTAATCTGTAGTCCTTGAGTCAAAAAGGATTTGATAAAGAAAAAAGATTCATACAGAAAACTTTAATCATATTTTATTCTATGCCAAGCACTGAGCTGGGATCTAGAGATAAATGAAAAACATACAGATAAGATTTTTGTTACAAGACAGTTTGCAAGTTAGGAATTTATATTACTAGGTAATATAATATGATCGATTATATTTTAAAAACTTTTATGGGAAGTGATGGCTTCCATTAATTGACAACTTTCTCAGTACCAGACACTGGGCTCATTAACACACACATTCACCTCTTTAACTTCAAACAGGTATCATCTTTATCTCACAGAAGAGGAAACAGAGGCCTAGAGGTGAAATTTGCTGACTTAAGTCATACAGCTAATGAGTGACGGAAGGAGAATCTGGAGCTTATATGGCTCCAGGATCCATGCTGTTAGCCACGGCTTCCCCCTGCCTCCCCTATAACAGCCTCAGGGTAGGTCTGTAACTTGCCTCTCTGTATGTCCCCCATAGCAAAAGCCCTGAAAAACAGGGGTCCACCGATGTAGCTGGTCTATGAATTGGTGGTGGCAGGTCTACAAATCTATGTAGTCATCATAAACCCTTTTAAAGTAAGTTTCAATGCCCAAAACATAACATGAGTCTACATTTTCTCTTTCCACTAGTAAGAACGAGAATAGCCAGCATTAATCAGACACTATCTTGGCACTGTGCTAAGGGTTTCGCATGAATCATCTCATTTAATTTTCCCAACAATCCCCAATCACAAAGTGTAAGAACTATTATGATATCAGAAAGCAATTTTTTTTCAGATTCAAGGGACTGCACTTCCATTTAAACTGGTTTACTTAAAATAAATAAATAAATAAATAAATGCTTTTAAAAGTTACTTTTAAGGGCATGGAAATTATTATCTCACAAAAATGACAAGTCCCAGTGTACACGGGGCTTTGGCAGGGATGAAGGGGGAGCCTCAGACAATAGTGTGAGATCTCTTTCAGTCCCTCTCGTAGTTCTGTTTTCATCAATATCACCTTCCCTCTCAGCCACATTCTAGCCATATGGTGTACCCAGCAGTTCTTGGGTTATACATAGTCCAACCACTGTAGGCTCAGCAGGAAGGTAGCCACTTTTCTCTTTCCAATATCGTGATGAAAGTTCCAAAGTTGTGTTCCACTGGCCTAGATTTGGGGTCATCTACACATACCCCTGAACCAGTCACTGAGACAGGGAGAAATGGGATACTCAATTGGTCAGGCCTGGGTGGATGTGATATGGGCACATCACAATGACCAGGAAGAAGCTGATGATCTGATTGACCAGGCTGCAGGCCCCTGGAGCAAGGATGAAATCAGTCCCAGCCACATTACATAAAGAGGAAGAAAGGGCAGCTCAAAGACAGAAGACTAGAGGAAATGCCTTCACCCTTTAAAGATCTGATTATCACTTCTTCTCACATTCTGTTGCCCAGCTCCAGCTCAAAAGAGGCTGAAAAATGCAGTCTTCAGCTGGGCCACCATGTTTCCAAATACAATTACGGGCCTTATTAGTAAAGGATCAAGGGAATGATGGATGTTGAGGACAACTACATATCTCTATCTCAGGCAGCCCAACGGGTAGTGGACAGCATAGTCATAAGACTGGACACTGAGGAAGAACAAGGATAATGCTTTATACTCAAGGACTGATGCTTAGGGATGCCTCTTACATTGTAGGTGCCTAACTCAAACCATGAGGGCTGCTATAACAAAATACCTTAAACTGGGTGATTTATAAACAACAGAAATTTATTGCTCACATTTCTGGAGGCTGGGAAGATCAAGGTGCCAGAAGACTCAGTGTCTGCCAAGGACTGGCTCTCTCTCCTTCAAAGATGGTACCTTCTAGCTATATCCTCACATAGTAGAAGGGTAGACTGAGGAGGCTCCTTCAAGCCTCTTTTACAAGGGCACTAATCCCATTCATGAGGCCTCCACCCTCATAACCCAACCACCTACTAAAGTCCCTACCTCTCAATACTATCACATTGGGTAAATAGGTTCCAACATATAAATTTTGGGGGACACATATATTCAGACCATAACAGCATCCCACAGTGTAAGGGGAAGAAACAAATAATGAATTTTCACATTTATTTAAGAAAGAAACTTATCTTTCCCCAAAAATGGGGGAAAGATACTGTTACTGTAATATAATACCAGAGACTAGGTAGTTTGTAAAGAAAAGAGGTTTACTTGGCTCATGGTTCTGGAGGCTGGGAAGTTCAAGGACATGGCAGCAGCTTCTGGTGAGAGCCTCATACTACATCATAACGTGGTGGAAAAGCAGAAGAGCAAGTGAGTGCTTGTGAAAAATATTGCAAAAGTGAGCCAACCTCACTTTTACAACAACCCACTTTTGAAAACTAACTCACTCGTTAAATAATGGCATTAATCTCAAGATTTAATCTTGAGATTAACTTCTCTAGAAATCACTCCTTTGATAATGGCATTAATCCATATTTGAGAGGTGTGCCCTCATTACTCAATCACCTTTTAAATGCCCCACCTCTTACTATTGTTGCATTAACAAATAAGTTTCTAACATATGACCTTTGGGGGACCCATTCAAACCATAGCACCTATATAATGTCTTTCCCCTTAAAGTTTAGCATGTCAGTCATTAACTGGTAGGACTATCACACTTCTATTCCTTGTTGCCTATGTCAAGGACTCCTAAGTAATGGCAAAAAAAAAATCTTACAAGACAGTGAGAAAATGTCCATATTAAACATAAGCTAATACATAATGGTTAAAAAAAGTCTAAATCTAGAGACCAATAATACGGATTTTAATCCTAACTTAGCCATTTATAAGCAGTATGATCTTGGGCAATCTTCTGGTTTTGTTGTTTATGAACACTGGTTTAGTCAATTATAGGAAGGGTGAAATTAATAAATTAGCCATCACCTCACATGGTTGTCATTAAGGTTAAATTTGAAAGCACATGTAAAATATTTGGCATAATATCTTGCATATATATCTACTGAGCTCTTTATCTGTGTAATTATTGTCATTAACAACAATAATAGTAATCAGCAGGGTGCTACTAAAAACGCCAAATATAACAAGAGCAGCACAACTAACATTTTTGAACACAGTACAGGCCAGGAACAATTCAAAGGGCTTTAGGAGAAATCATCTCATTTAAACCACACATTTAATTCAATCTTTATAAAGTGGGTTTTATTATTTCTCCATTTTGTAAATAAGAAAACTGAGACACAGAGAGGTGTGGCAGACAGACTCTAGGATGGCCTCAATGATACCTGCTTCCTGGTATTCACAGCATTGTGTGATTCCCCCTCATACAGTAACTCGCTTCTACCAATAGAATATGACAGCACTAAAGAGACATGACTGACTGTTGCGATTTGATTTAAAAAGCTGTAACTTCCATTTGCTGACTGACTCTCTCCCTTGCTGACTTTTATAAAACAAGCTACCATGTTGCAGGGGTTCACCTAGCAAGAAACTGAAGGTGGCTTCTGGACAGCAACCAGCCAGACAGTGAAGAAATGAGGCCTTAGTGTCACAAGTCTTGAGGAACTGACTCCTGCCAAAAGCCATGGGACTGAGCTTGGAAGGGGGCCTTCCCAGCTGAGCCTTCAGAAGAGACCCCATCTCTGGCTAACACCTTGACTGCAGTCTCAGGAAAGACCATGAAGCAGACAACCCAACTAAGAGGCGCCCAGATCCCTGACCCATAATAAATATGAGATAATAAATATGTGTTATTTTAAGCTGCTACATTTCGGGGGTAATCTGTTACACAGTAATAGATAACCAACACAAAGAGCTGCAATACTTACCTAAGAATAAAAGAAAAAGCACTGACTTGCAAGTCAAGAGGCCCACTAGACAAACCCTTCAACAGTGGGAGTGAACTTGCAGCATCTAGATTCCGGCACAAAGCAAAGCATGCTAGATAAGTGTTTTCAGGGAAAAGGAACAGCATCAGAAAAGGCCCCAAATAAAAGAACAAGGCTTAGTCTACTTAAGCACTTTTTTTTTTTTTTTTTGAGACTGAGTCTTGCTCTGTTGCCAGGCTGGAGTACAGTGGCGCGATCTTGGCTCACTGCAACCTCCACCTTCCGGGTTCAAGCAATTCTCCTGCCTCAGCCTCCCAAGGAGCTGGGACTACAGGTGCATGCCACCATGCCCAGCTAATTTTTTTGTATTTTTAGTAGAGACAGGGTTTCACCATGTTGGCCAGGACGGTCCCAGTCTCTTGACCTCATGATCTGCCCACCTCGGCCTCCCAAAGTGCTGGGATTAAAGGTGTGAGCCACCACGCCCAGACCACTTCTCATATTTTAATGTGCACATGCATGACCTGGGATGATTGTTAAGACGGTGATTCTGATTCAACAGGTCTGGTGTGGAGCCTAAGAGTGTGCATTTCTAACAGGCTCCCAGGGAATATCAATGCAGCTGATCCAAGAACCACACTTTGAATAGCACAAGTATAAACCATAAGGACATTTATTGCTTACTCAACAAAAAACTGGAATTTTTTGTTGGGTGGTCCAGAGTTGGTCAAGCCCTTTGGCCATAGTCTGACATTTGGAACGACATAGGACATGTTTACATATGTACAATATGAAATAATATAATGTTGTATAATATAGTGTAATACAATGTATATACTCATATGTAAGTATATAGTAACATAGCTAATTATTCTCTATATGTGTATACACAAATTTTAACAACTGGCACTGCATGGTCCTTGGTCAAGCAAAGCAGGTAAAAGCTGTGAATGGTATGGCCATAATGGTGTACACTAAAAGTATAACACATTTACATATATGTGTATATTACATGCATATATGTATAAGTATACACATAAACATATGCATAACTAGCTTGAGCTGGCACTGATCCCCTTTAGAGGGTATAGGTCATAGCTCGTCTTGCCTTCCTCTGGCCTCCCTCCCTCAGGAGTTCGCAACCAGCATGGTCCATTTGGAAACCATGCTTCTATAAGGTTTCTTGGCTATATTGCTCTTTCACAGTCTATGCATGGGACAGAAAAGTTCCAGCTACTTTAGTCTGACTTTGGTTGATGACTATACTTTGTACCTCCCACAAAAAGGACCCATTTCTTGTGGACTTATTTCCACCCCTTTATGTCTACCTGGGAGTACAGTCAGACACAGCACTCAGCATCCCAGATCCAAATACTCTGTTGTTTTGTACAAGGTTGAGACCCTACCATTTCTCGGTTCATCCCTGATGTCACCTAATACACTGTTGACCTTCCGGGCCACCACCACGCAGTGGTCCAAGGTCTTTGAGAGCAACCTATGCACACAGAGTAACTACTGACGGATAGAAGCATTGCTCCTTCTCTTCCCCCCAGTCTCTCTAACATTGATAGCAGTTGCCCAAAGACATAACCTCCAGGGGCCTGGTTGTCTTGCTTTACCTTGGTGTCTTTACGATACTAGGCCTGGATGTCAAAACTCCCAAATACCCTGGGTTCCATTTTCATTGCACTGAAATAGCTCTTTACTGTGACCTGCAAACACACAGATGATTGAGATGAAGCAGCTCTAGTTAAAATGCTTATAAATTACAAGTGAGGTTAAGCCGGGTTCTACAGGTAAGTGACAGATATGGATACAAGTTAGATGTTTGGGGATGCCTCTAGGTCCTCGTGTGTCATTTATAAAGAGTTGAGTTTTCCAAACTTACTGCCTAAGAAGGGTCATCTGGAGTGCTTGTTAAAAATATGTATTCCCAGGACCCTCCTTCAGAGAGTCTGATGCAGAGATTGGAGCAGACAGCCTGGGAGCTCCTGCTGTTATAAACTTGCCTCAGGTTTCTGATCATCAGGTAAGTCTGGGAAACATCCATATGGGACTATGGATCCCAGAAGTGGCTGAGCCCCAGAATTGCCTGGGATGCCTTTTAAGCATCCGATCATCTGGTCCATTTGGAAGCCGTCTTTTGGGCTATGTTTCTCAAAATTGTATGTGCACAGGAATCACCTGGGGATCCTGGAAAAAAATGCAGATTCTGATTCAGCAGGTCTGGGGTGCAGCCTGAGATTCTGCATTTTTAACAAGCTCCCAGGTAATACTGCTGTTGAGAGTCAGCCAGGACCGACTACATAATTTGTGAGGCTCAGTGTAGACTAAAAAATGCTGGCCCCTTTATTCAAAAAGCAATTTTTAGAAATGTTTCTTTGTGGTCTCTCTCTCCATCTGCCTTGGTGTTTTCTAATTTGCTTTGTAATGTTGTTCTTTCTTGGACACAGGGATGCTCATGAGATAAGTTCACTGGAGTGAGGCCCCATCAAGACAGAGGGCAGCAGCCGTCACTGGACAGTGTCAGGAAGTGGGGAGCCAAGAAGCCATCCAGGGAGTGGACAGGGAGCAGAAGGCAGGAACTAACGTGAGCTGAGGCTCCAAGTTCCGGGCACAAGTAATGTCCCTTTGGATGTCACTTACAAAACACAAATAAACATAGAATTACAAATCTCAAGGTGGCAACCACAGAGCATTAAACCTCAAGCATGCAGCCACTTCCAAGTGCAGGACTCTGCGCTGGTTGCAAGCCCACAAAAGCTGACCACATTTTGAGTGGCAAGGATTTGGCGGACTCAAGTACCCATTCATTGAAAAATAGTGACCCCAACCCATTAGTATCCATAAAGATAGAGTGTTCTCTCTTTTGGTTACAAACACAACTAGGGATGGGAGAAATTGTTTTAAAACTGTCTTCCATAAAGGAGTCCTTACAGACACACAAACGAAATTTAAAAGCAAGGACAATTTTTGGCCTGGCACAGTGGCTCACGCCTGCAATCCCAACACTTTGGGAGGCCGACGTGGGTGGATCGCGAGATCAGGAGATCGAGACCATCCTGGCTAACACAGTAAAACCCCATCTCTACTAAAAATACAAAAAAAATTAGCCAGGCGTGGTGGCGGGCGCCTGTAGTCCCAGCTACTCAGGAGGCTGAGGCAGGAGAATGGCGTGAACCCGGAAGGCGGAGCTTACAGTGTGCCAAGATCGCGCCACTGCACTCCAGCCTGGGTGACAGAGCGAGACTTTGTCTCAAAAAAAAAAAAAAAATCAAGGACAATTTTCATATAAAGAATAGCACTATGTACACTAAGACTAAAGGAGACAGTATAGAATGGTGCCTCAGTGTACTAGCTCTGGGACCAGATAGGCTGAGTTGAAGCTCTGTGGATCTTGGGCAAATTATTTAACCTCCTTATCCCTCAACTTTTCACCTATAAAAGCCAATGATGAAGCTATCAACTACCACCTAAGATCCTTGTTAGGATTAATAAATTAATACCCATAAGGAACTGAGGACAAGTACTAAATATGAGCTTTTAAAGATAGAGGTGGTAGAGCAAGATTGGCTGATTGGGCCAACAACCCATCACCTGTTTTGTAAGCAAAGTTTTATAGGAACACTCATTTGCTGTGGTTTAGATGTGGTGTGATCTCCACCAAAACTCATGATGACATTTGATGCCCAATGCAGCAGTGCTGGGAGGTGGGAAGTAGTGAGAGGTGTTGGGGTTATGTCCATGGAGCTCACATGAATAGACTAATGCCCTCCCACAGGGGTGAGTGAGTTCTCGCTCTCACAGGAATGGACTAGTTTCTCCAAGAGCGGGTTGTTAAAAAGAGCCTGGCTTGGCCGAGTGCGGTGGCTCATGCCTGTAATCCCAGCACTGTGGGAGGCTGAGACCGGTGGATCACAAGGTCAGGAGATCAAGACCATCCTGGCTAACATGGTGAAACCCGGTCTCTACTAAAAATACAAAAAAATTAGCTGGGCATGGTGGCAGGTGCCTGTAGTCCCAGCTACTTGGGAGGCTGAGGCAGGAGAATGGCGTGAACCCGGGAGGCGGAGCTTACAGTGAGCCAAGATTGCGCCACTGCACTCTAGCCTGGGCGACAGAGCAAGACTCCGTCTCAAAAAAAAAAAAAAAAAAAAAAAGAGCCTTGCTCTGTCTCTAGTTTCTTCTCTTACCGTGTAATCTCTTTGCACACACCTGCTCCCCTTCCTCTTTCCACCATGAGTGGAAGCAGTAAGAGTCTTCATCAGATGCAGTTGCCCAATCTTGAAGCTTCCAGTCACCAGAATTGTGTGCCAAATAAACCTCTTTTCTTTATAAATTACCCAGCTTCAGATATTCTATTATAGCAACACTAAACCACTTGTGTGCATATTATCTACGGCTGTTTTGTGCTACAGTGGCAGAGCTGAACAGATGCAAGCCTAAAACAGATACTCTCTGGCCCTATACAGAAAAATGTTGTGACTCCTATGATAGAGTATAAAATCATGGATTTCAAAATCCAGTTTTCAGGAGTTGAAGGTTTCACATAGGCGACTTAACCTTCAATTTTTTAAAACTAGGTCTAAGCCCTCTTAAAATTGTGAAGAGCAAATATGTACTCTCAAATATGTTGTAAATCATCCTGTAACGCCACTGAGGTCACTATCATTCTAATTTGAACAGTCAGACTAAGAGGATTTTGTGCAGACTTTGGAATAAACCCTTCAAATAACGTTGGGAATATATTTAAAGTACCTGTAAAAGCATCATGGTTTATGAAGCCTGTAACTCTGCCCTGATCTTTCTCAAATGTTCTGGGCTGCACATGTCCACTCCCATAAATTCATGCAAGCAAATGCACAGGCACAAAACATGCAAGACATCAGCACCTAAATGGCAGGTGAAGAACAGATGTATCTGCTCAGAGTGGGCACAAGAGAACAAATAACAGGATGTTCAGAGAGAATATTGTTACCAGTTGAGTTATGGCTAACATATTTGTCCATTTTCTTAGTCCATTTTCTGTTGCTATAACAGAATACTACAGAGTGGGTGATTTATAAAGAATAGAAGTCTATATGGCTTATGTTTCTGGAGGCTGGGAAGTGTAAGAGCACATCACTGGCATCTAGTGAGGCCCTTCTTACTGTGTCATAACATGGTGGAGGGCATCACACAGCAAGAGGGCAAGAGTATGTCAACTCAGGTCTCTCTTCCTCTTCTTATAAAGCTACTAGTCCTCTCAATGGGGCCCCACCCTGATAACCTCATCTAATCCTGATTACCATCCAAAGGCCCTGCCTCCAAATACTATCAACATAAATTTGGGGATTAGGTTTCCAACGCATGAACTTCTGGGAGACAGATTCAAACCATAGCAGTGCTCATTACACCAACAACAACTCAATGAGATAAACATTATTTTTATTTATTTATTTATTTATTTATTTATTTATTTATTTATTTTGGAGACGAGGGTCTCGCTCTGTCGCCCAGGCTGGAGTGCAGTGGTGCAATCTCGGCTCACTGCAACCTCCACCACCCAGGTTCAAGTGATTCTCCTGTCTCAGCCTCCTGAGTAACGGGGATTACAGGCGCATACCATAACGCCCGGCTAGTTTTTTGTATTTTAGTAGAGACGGGGTTTCACCATGTTGCCCAGGCCGGTCTCGAACTGCTGAGCTCAGGCAATCTGCCCACCTCAGCCTCCCAAAGTGCTAGGATTACAGGCGTGAGCCACCGTGCCTGGCCAACATTATTATAATCTCCATTTTACATGAAAGAAAACCAAGGTTTAAAGAGGTTATGTAACTTGCCCAATGTCTCACAGCTGTTAAGTGGTAAAGCCAGGGTTTGAACAGGCAGTCTAGCACCAAAGCAATCCTCTAACTCAAGTGTCAACAACAAATGTTTTTTTAAATGGTCGCCAGATAGTATTTTCACCTTTGCAGGCCACACAGTCTCTGTTACAAATATTCAATTCTGCTGTTGTAGGGAAAAGCAGTCATAGATGATATCTAAATAAATGAGTGTGGATGTGTTCTAATAAAACTTTACTGACAAAAACAGGTGGCTGGCTGGATTTGGCCCACTGGCTGTGGTTTGCCTACTTGTGCTCTAACCACTAATGTAGACTGTTTCTAATAATGTCTATCAGGTGACTGAAATATGTCTGAGCACACAATAGGAGTGGAATAAATAATCATTAATATTATTGACTACCATTATGAAAATAAGAACAATTGCATGCCTTTGATTGCACTAAACAGTCAACTCAAGCTGTCTTTATTTTTTTTTTTTTTATAGCTACATTCATTTCTGAGCTGAAAGGCTTCTTCATGTAATTTCATCTTGCCGCCATCCAAGAGGGGGATGCTACAACACAATCCTCCTCTCCGATGGGATTTTAGTCAATCACATCTACAATACAGCTTGACCTCTGCTTTCAACTGGGGCAGGCGTGGACGCTGGGGATGGCTCCTGGGTCACAGCACAGCAAGCTGCTGCCATGCTCAAGGCAGTAATCAGCTCACGGATTTCAGCCCAACTCCTGGGGGCTGGAGATGCCAAAATGTGCCCCAAACTACCTGTCAGCAATTAGGAGCCCAGGAAACAGGGACTAGGCTTGCCTGATGGGAAGACATTTAAAGCATCAGAAAGGCTGACAATCCTCACGTAAGGGTGGGCCTGGTGTGGGGGTGGCAAAAGGGCGACTCATAAACCACCAAATGACAGAGTCCAAATTGCTCCATAATGATGATGCGATGCATCCCTTGACACCAGGGATGAAGTCGGACCACATGTAACAGAAGCCAACAGAAATTGAGAAAAGCTCGGTGTCAGATGAAAAGCAGTGATCAGTCTCGACAGGATCTGTTCTACTCCATTTTACCCGGTGCACGTTCTGGAAGCAAACACCCGCCAGCAGTGTATTCTTTTTCCCCCAAAGTTCAACGGGTGAGATGTGAACACAGGCAGTAAAAAGCCCTGAATGTCTGTGGCTTGTAGGGGTCGTAATTCTTTCTCACAAAGTTACCTTTCCTGTTTCTATGAATTACTCTTACATTCTTGTAAGAGATATGGTTTGAGGTATTTATGGTGCATTCAATTCAGCTATCATTGATTTATTGAACGAAACCAGCTCGGGGATATGATGGAAAGGCCCCAATTCCAAAAACTCTTACATCTCCGCACGAAGAGCATTTTCTGCCCTGTTGGCCTCCTGCAGATGACCAGCCGAGATAAACAGAGGGCACCCACTCTCTGTTGCAATGTGCATGGTGATGTGAAGGAATCAATCAGACAAAAGCAGATTATTACAGTGTCTGCGAGAGATCAAACAGTGCTGGCATTCGCACCCACACACGCCTGATTTACAGGCGAGCTGATAAAGTGCTGCAGCTCACTGTCAGGAGAACATGACAACTCCTTGAGCTTGTGGATAAATTATTGCTGAAGCCCATGATAACATTTCTCCACCTAGCAACCAAACATAACAGGATGTGGCTTTTAGTACGAGGAGCCAAATGATACAAAGACAAGACGCCCAGGAGCTCTCAGAGCTCTGAAGGCACATTCTAAGATGCAATTGTGAAATCGCAGCCTCGTGAAAACACATGTGAAATCTATTTTGTAATTAATAACCATGCAGAGGATACCCAGACCTTTCCTATCCATGCAGATGCAAAGAAGAATGTGCCCTCTTTTATGATGAATATTGCTGGAGCCAAAAGTTATCTCCCTCTGAGCTCTGTGCCTGGGACTGTGCTGCTTTATGTGAATCCAAGTGGGGCCCCAAAGTGTGGAACCTGTCCTGTATACCTGCTGATAAGTGCAGTCAACTTGGAGTCAGCTGGGCCCATAGAATAAAACAACATTGAATCCCACAGTGAGAAAAATTGCCCCCTTTCTGGTTCTTTATTGACTTTCCCAATAACATCAAGGAGGGCTGCAGTGTGGCACTAGTATGTCTCAAACACCCTCTAAAAGTGAAAAATGTATTTTTTAAACAAAGAAAGGGAGACTGTGTCTAGCTAGAATTTGTAAAAACCAACATTGTTTAGCTTTCACAATTTTCATTCAAGTCACCATCTTTTCCATGTGACATTGTTTTCCAACTAATGGAGGTGATATCCAGTGTCTGTTTAAAACAAATTTACTTGAGACATGAACCGTATGAGGGCAGGAACTTTTGCCCTATTTGTAAACTGCTAGACCCTCGAAACCTCAACAGTTTCTAGAAAATAGACTGTCAATAAATATTTATCTAATGAAATTTATTAAACGAAAATATCAAGTAAGTGATAGTAGAAATGGTGCCAACGTAGCAGGATTTGTGATGAGCGCACAAGATGAGATAGAAACATAGCAAAATACGTGAAAGTGGTACTCAAACAATTAGTGTTGACGAATGGGACAAATGCTCCTTTGATGTTCTTTGTAAGCCTATGAGGCAGGAACTATTATTTACTTTTCAGGTAAGGAAAATGATACTCAAAGATATTAGGTAACTCATTCAGAACCACAAGCCTCTATGTGGCCGAATATGAATTCAGCCTGAGCACCTAGTCTTAGAGGTAAGCTCTGAGGTGCTCCATTCAACTTCTTCCCTCTCACCTAAAGAACTACATTGTGAAGTATCTGCTATTGCCCCCTCTTCACATGAAAGAAAACTGACTTTAATGAACCTGCCCAACATCATGCGGTGATCACGGGCTGGGATTCAAACCCAGGACTGCTTGGCTGACGGCTTCCACTAGGCTATTCTGTCCTCAAAGAAACTTGCCCCAAATGATCATACAAGCAGCTAGAAATTAGATTTTAACTGGTATCTAATTAAAACTCTGGGTCACACCTACCTTGAGTGCTCTAAATGTGTTCCAGAGAACAGAAACATCATTTGATCAATAAAACAGAAAATTAGCTCAGCACCTAAATGCATTTGAGACACTGCTTATAATTGCCAAGAACAGTGGCCAAAGGTAAAAGCAACTTCAGTCATGCTTGTTTTACAAACACACAAATAGCCACTGGTACAAAAGGGAAAACTTAGTCCTTTCCTTACCTTTTATCTGCAGGTACCAAGATAAGCAGCTATTATTGGTAATGAGGAAGGAACCATGCTACAGCTCCTTGGGAGGGGAAAAACGAGCAAAGGAACTAAGAATCCCATTAAAGTATAATCTTCAATTTTAAAAAAGCATGACTCTCCTACAAATATACAATGAATACATGTCAAAAATTTTATTTAATTCATTAATTAATGAAGAAACAAACATAATGGTAAGGTTGGTTAAAAGGAGAAATTGAGGAATGAGGATTTATATCGTAAGTTGGCCAAAAGGATGCAGAAATAAATGTGCTAACAGAGTCAAAACTGGGTAATGTTGTATAGGGTCACTAAACTATCACCAAGAGGAGTTATTTTTCTCCAAGACAGAAAACATAGTTAACATACAACTTAAAGTATCTGGTTCTAACCAAATAGCAAATTGCAGCTAAACACAGGTGCATTCTTCTATATAATCAATCTTGGGTGAATTTTTTCAACACTCACACTGAAAGGACATGGACTCATTCTCAGCTTTATTTGCAAGTTTTGGATAATTTTTTAAATCATTTCATCAAGTTTTCACTATTATTTCTGCTGTCTTTGTGTGTATAGGAATGTAGTGCCCCACTAAAATTCTGATTCAATAGATTTGCAATGGGGCCTCAGAAAGTGTATTTTAAGAAGCTCCCAATGTGATTCTATTGCTGATAGTCTATAATCATATTAAGAAATAACCAGTTAAGGCCAGGCGCAGTGGCTCATGCCTGTAATCCCAGCACTTTGGGAGGCCGAGGAGGGTGGATGACGAGGTCAAGAGATTGAGACCATCCTAGCCAACACAGTGAAACCCCATCTCTACTAAAAATACAAAAAAATTGGCCAGGCATGGTGACATGTGCCTGTAGTCCCAGCTACTCAGGAGGCTGAGGCAGGAGAATTGCTTGAACCCAGGAGGCAGAGGTTGCAGTAAGCTGAGATCGTGCCACTGCACTCCAGCCTGGGAGACAGAGCAAGATTCCATCTCAAAAAAAAAAAAAGAAAAAAGAAAGAAAGGAAGAACCAGTTAAAGTGATTTAAATTATAACTTTTGGCAAGTGACTCAATGAAAGATGCTTTCATTTGCAAGAAATGAAAACTTAGACAAACTGGTTTCAAGAAGGAAAAAACTTTAACATCATAAAGATAAGAGGTAATGGGGGCTCTGGGGTAGTAGATTCAGTAGCTTAGGGATGTCTATATTAGCGAGGTAGACTCCGCCCTCCCTCTACATCTTCCTGGAGCTATTGGCAAGATGGCTGTAGCAACTGCATGTGTCACTTCCTGGCCCAATATATAGGGAAAGAAGGGAGACTTCCTCTTACTGTGCAGTCTCTCTTCGCAACACTTTCCCAGAAAACCCCAATCCCAGTAGATCTCCCTCCACAACTCATTAGCCAGGATTTACCAAGTGGTCATTCCCCCAAGCCAGTCACTGGCAAGGGGAATCTGAATGGGAATTCTTGACACCAATCAGGGTGTACTGAAAAACTGGAGTGGGGTTGGCTTCCCTTGAGGCAACTGAGCTAATGTGGAAGGCATGGACATCTGAACAAAATTAGCATTGTTTTAGAAGGGAAGTAGAGGTGGGTGTGGGGAGGAAATTAGTCCAGTAACTGACAGAGTCCAGAATTAGTGTATTTTTAAAAAAAAAAAGTTACAAGCATGATCTTAAAATTAGGTTGCATCTCAGATGTGTGGACAACAGCAAAGACATGGAATCAACCTAAATGCCCATCAGTGGTAGACTGGATAAAGACAACGTAGTACATATACATCATGGAATACTACATAGCCATAAAAAGAACAAGATCATGTCCTTTGCAACAACATAGATGGTGCTGGAGGCCATCATCCTAAGCGAACTAATGCAGGAACAGAAAACCAAATCCTGCATGTTCACACTTACAAGTCAGAGCTAAACACTGAGTACACGTGTACACACAGAAGGGAACAACAGACACTAGGGCCTACTTGAAGGTGGAGGGTGGGAGGAGGGAGAGGATCAAATAACTACCTATTGGGTACTATGCTATTACCTGGGTGATGAAATAATCTGTACACCAAACTTCCATGACATGCAATGTACCTATATGACAAACCTGCACATGTACCCTTGAATCTAAAAGTTAAAAAAAAAAAAAAGAAGAAGAAGACGTGTGGGCAATTACCGTGATGCAATAGAAACCTCCAAGAAAACTGCCAGGCAAGCTAACCCAGAGGTCACAGAATACAATGGTTCACAGGCCAAAGTAAGATGCTCGAATCACAGTTTAATAATTCAATTCAGAGCATATATCAAGAAACAAGGAGAAAACAACAAAAATAACCCAATTTAAAAATGGATCGAGGACATGAATAGACAATTCTCCAAAGATACAGAAATGGCCAATAAGCATAGGAAAACATGTTCCACATCATTAATCATAAGAGGAACGCAAATCAAAATCACCTTGAGACATCACCTCACATCCATTAGGATGGTCACTGTCAAAAGAACAGAACATAAGTGTTGGCGATGTTGCAGAGAAACTGAAACCCTTGTGCATTGTGAGTGGAAATGGAAAATGGTGTAGTCATCATGGAGAACAGTAAAGAGGTTCCTCAAAAAATTAAAAACAGAATTACCATATGATCCAGTAATCCCACTTCTGGTGATATACTCAAAAGAATTCAAAACAGGATCTTGAAAAGATATTTGTACACCCATGTTCACTGCAGCAGTA
The DNA here is from genome assembly GCF_000001405.40 of Homo sapiens. Lineage (NCBI taxonomy): Eukaryota > Metazoa > Chordata > Mammalia > Primates > Hominidae > Homo > Homo sapiens. The sequence goes on along the minus strand of NC_000020.11, from coordinate 52,406,020 downwards.
TTCACAATAGCCAAGAAATGGAAGCAACCCAAATGTCCATCAATAGATGAATAAAGAAAATGTGCTATATACATACAATGGAATATTATGCAACCTTAAATATGAAGGAAATCCAGTCACATGCTGCAACATGGATGAAACTCAAGGACATTATTCTAAATGAAATCCCAGTCACAAAAGGACAAATGCTACATGATTCCACTGATATGAAATATTTAAAGCAGTCAAAATCATAGAACCAGAAAGTAGAAAAGTAGTTGCCAAGGGCTAGGGGAGGGGAAGGGGAAGTAGTGGTTAATGTGTATAGAGTTTCAGTTTTGCAAAATGAAAAGCTCTAAAAATCCATTGCATAACAATGTTAATACATTTAACACTATCGAGTATAGATAAAATTACATAATGTCTGAGATTTGCTGCAAAATAAGCCAATGTTTTGCAATTCAGATCAACAAACAGTACTTGAGCTTATGCTAAGTAGAATTTTGCAAACTGAGAATCATGACTCATTAGTAGGTAAACTGATTTGGTGAACTGTGACCAGAACATTTTTAATGACAAATAGAATAGAAAATATGAGTGCATGACATCCTGTCATGGCAAATTTTATTCCATGAAACTTTTGTTTTGTGTGTGTGTGTGTGTGTGTGTGTGTGTGTGTGTGTTGAACACATATAATACATCATGATGTAAAATTGTTTCTTACTGTGGGTTGCAGTTAATAAAGACTGAAGATCACAATTGAAAGCAAAGTCCTAATCACTGATGGGCACATCAGAGACAAGAAAAAATAAGACATAGTTCACGTTTTCTAGAAGAGACAGACATGAATAGATATACAGTATGGAATTCTAAGAGCTCTGCTAACTGAGAGCCAAGAACTGTGAGAAGACAATGGAGCTATTGACTAACTTTAGCCTGGGCTTCACAGGAAAGATAATACATGAAATGAGTGTTGAAAGATGAAAAGGATGAAAAAGAGTGAAAAAGCTATCTCTCAGAGGTGGAATAAAGTAGCACAGAGGTCTAAACACATACATGGTATATTTGGGCAAAAGAAAGCAATTTAGTGAGGCTAGGAGCCTATCGATTTGGGGTCTGTAAGCTCAATGTGGTAACCAAGGATGGGAAGAAGTTGATGATACTGAGGAAATGCCCTTAATTTGAGAGGTTACAAATACGTCATTTCTCCTTTGATGATCTCCACCGTTGATAATCTCTTCACCATCTTATTTGCCTAATCTACAATTGCACATCAAAGTCAAAGAATTTCCACTTTGAATCCTCTGATACAGCAATTTCACCCCTGGGATGCATACAAGGAATCATACTGAATGGGCACAATTACTTAACTATAAACGTTCATTTACAACATTACACTAAATGGCAAAATACTGAAAAGAACCAAATGTTTAATGACAGATATTGGGTAAATAAAATTATGGCCCATCTATAATACACATTCAATTTTAAAATTTGATAAAAAAGAATATTTTAACCTGGAAACATGTTCACAATATATTGCTAAGTTAAAGATACAGCATGCTAAAAAAGATGTACAAACAATTCCTGTTTCACAGAAGAAAATAAAAATAATCCTAAAAAAAGACTCTCTATACTTCCAAATGATTTATTTGTATGATGGAATTATAGGAGATTTTTACTTTTGTCCTTGTTCTTTTCTCTCAATTCCATGAATAAAATTTTCTTCCATATACAAAAAGACTTAAAACATTTTTAAAACAGCAAAATCATTACAAAATAGAAAGTAACCTAGAAGTATGTTCTCTATTATTAATCAGAAAAGGCAAGTGAAAAATAGTATTACATTATGGTATTTTTCAAGAGCTAGAGATTAGGTCGATTATTTTTCTTCTTTTTACTAATCAAAATTTTGTATATTTTCCACAGAAAATATATTCTTTTATTATTTTATTATTTTAAAAATAATTGCTTCTTTAATTCTAACAAGGAATCTTTGTCTCCTTAGAGCTTTAGGGAAGGGAGTTGTTATGGTCTATACCCCAAAATCAATCACTTGTGTTTAAATCAGCTTATGTGGATATTGTCTTACAAATTCAAACACATTCTGAGACTAATTTAAGACTTACAAAAACACTGATTAAAAAAAAAGCTAACACTGAATTTAAAAATAAAGCAAGAAGACTTTTTTAGAGTCTATTATTAAATCTTCAACCTAATGATCATGATTTTCCTCATTTTATTTTTAAAATCCATCACTCAAGATTGTTCATTGCATAAAAGGAGAAAAAAAGTGTGCAAAATGGTAGAATGATCAAATCATTCTAACTAGGATATGAGTTTCTTTTAAGACTGGGTCCAATGATAGAATTCTCAAAGATAAAAGCTCACTGGCATAGCTCTCAGAAAACACAAGGCATACACGTTACTTTTTCTACCAGTGACCGATGTGGTGCTCAATATTTCAGTACTGCAGTATTTTTCAGCACAAATTTGGGTAATTACATAATCGAGCTTCCTTAGCCCTTCTACTGCCTCTTCAGCTGTTACCTTTCCCCTGGCTTCTTATTTTTTTCCTAAAAACAGACACAAGTATCTCCTAGAGCAGAGCTTCTCAACTTTGCCTGAACATTGCAGTCACTTTTAAAATTCCTGATGCCCAGGCTGCACTCCAGACCAATGTAATCACGATCCGTGGGAATGGGATGCAGACCGGAATGTTATGAAAAACCCTTGGGCTATTCCAATGTACAACCTGGTTTGAGAATCACTGTCTTCACTGATCCTATTTCTTCCTTTGGTTTCTATCTGAAATTTCTCTTCCTTTCTTCAACTGCACATCTTGGCTTTCAGTTTCCATTTTCTCACCATTCATTCTCACACCTGTGATGAGCTGATTGTGTCCTACGTACGTTGGGTTACACTGTAAAAACTAAAGTTGACTGCTTAAGCAGTGTTATCACTTAGGACTTCTTTGGTTGCAAATAACAGAAACTCAACCCAACTGGCTTCAATATAATGGGAATTTATTGCTTCATATTACTGCAAAGTCCAGAAGTAGGAACTTCAGGCATGATTTGATCAAGACATAAATAATGGTACCAAGTGCCGATACCTCTCTCTCTACCTTTAGATGGAGAGAGAATGAGCTTAGAATGAGCTGCAAAAGGAAAGGTCTGCCGTGGGGCTCCACTCTGAGGCAAGGTCTCTTCTCGTGACTACAAGATGACTACAGCCGCGCATGTCCTCACAAGTGCATAGCTGAGGGAATAACAAAGTCCCTTTCCCAGAAGTATCCAGATAGGCTTTATCACACCATAATTCATTGTCTCTGATCAGGACCAGATGCCCATGTTTACAGCAATTGTGGCCAGAGGAGTGTGATGATCTGAGAGACCTGAACCAAGTTGCATGCATGTGGCAACGTGTTGAAACTCCATCTCTACAAAAAAAAACTTTTTTTAATTAGCCAGGAATGATGGTGCATGCCTGTGGTCCCAGTTACTCAAGAGGCTGAGGCAGGAGGATTGCTTGAGCTCAGGAGGTTAAGGCTGCAGTGAGTTATGAACACACCACTGCACTCCAGCCTGGGTGACAGAGCAAGACCCTGTCCCCTCCACCAAAAAAAGAAAAAAAGAAAATAAAAGCAATGTGAACTGAAGGTGGTTCCCCAAAGAAAAATCAAAGTATAGTTACAATAATTAAGGGGAGACAATGAGTGGATGTTGGTTTGAAAATATTACAGAAAGACATGCTGATAGGGTATGATGCTTCTGAAGAGAACTAAAAAAGTAGGATTGCTCAGGAAAAACCAGCATACAGAGCTTTAGAGGAAAGACTTCAATGAAAGACACATAAGTGTTTAATAGAGGCAGACTGCTTTGAGAAACAGGGAAAAGTTAGACCAGATATAGTTAAAAGCTGATTGCAAATAGCAACTAAAACATTGCTCCTAATTATTATTATTAATTTTTTTTTTTTTGAGATGGAGTCTCACTCTGTCACCCAGGCTGGAGTGCAGTGGTGCAATTTCGGCTCACTGCAACCTCCGCCTCCTGGGTCCAAGTGATTCTCCTGCCTCAGCCTCCCAAGCAGCTGTGATTACAGGTGCACACCACCACACTTGGCTAATTTTTGTATTTTTTAGTAGAGATGGGGGTTTCACCATGTTGGCTAGGCTGGTCTCGAACTCCTGACCTCAAATGATCTGCCCGCTTCAGCCTCCTAAAATGCTGGGATTACAGGTGTGAGCCACCACACCCAGCCTGTTTGTAATTCATAGTGAAGAAGTATTCTTGGGTACTTGAATACTAGCCCATAAAGTATTTATCAGCTTAGAATGAGCTGCAAAAGGAAAGGTCAAAACATGAGAAACTCCATAACAAACCTGGCAATATGCCTGGGGGGTAATATTATCCTTGCTTTTCAGACTTAGAAATTATTTCTGTTTTTTATCATGGCCATATTTGGTGCTACATGGATTTTCTAGTACTATTTTAAAATTAACTTCTTCAGTTTTATCATAAAAGTAAACAGTTGTGTAAAACTCTTTGAGTTTGGAAGGTTAAAGCTTGAAATGTTTAGTTTTCCATCATCAATTTGGCAATGCTTGTTTTCTGGAGAGAAAAATCAGGCTCACAGACACTCATGGTGGCAGGCTTCTATACAGAAGCTAAAGCATTCCTTAGAAGAGTTCCTAAGCCCTCTGATCATGTCTGCAACTTGAAAGTCACAACAATCCCCATGGTTTTCACTGTCACCTCCATTTGCATAATTTGTGCATCTACATTCTAGCCTTTCTGTTTTTCCTCAAGTTAATTTCAACAAAGATGAGATCCTTCTATGTAGAAGGAATCAGACATCCACTGGAGACAGGCTCCAGCATTTAAAGAGCTCATGTTTCAACAGGGAGACAGACAAACAGAACATCCCATTATGTACAAGGGAAAAGCACAGACCATTCTAGATTCATTCATTCACCCCACAAATATTTATTGAGCACCTGTTAGAAACCAGGTACTATCCTAGGGACTGGGGATGCAACAGTGAGTAAGACTCATCAGTCCCTATCCTCATGGAGCCTACTGAAGAGAAGCAGACATTTTTTTAAAAAAGCAAACAAATAAGTAAGATAATTTTGGATAGTAATAAGTAAGTAGTAAGAAAGAAAGAAGCTGCTTGGCATAGTCTAGACCAACTTGAGAGGATGATACACTTCTTTACATACAATGCTCAGGAAAGATGTAATAGTCAGAATTGCCAGGTTATCCTGTGGTAACAAACAACCCCCTGGTATGAGAGGCTGAAAACAGCAAAGGTTGGTCTTTCCTTCACGCTACATGCCCATCCGAAGTTGTTAGGGAAACTCTACTCATTGTAGTCACTCCAGACTATCGCAGTTTTGTACTCTGCAAATTATTTTATCTGGAACTACATTTCTTAGAGCTTTTTTGTGTGTGTAGTTGCAGATTACAGCTGGCCACAGGGAAACATGTGAAATCTAGACAGCAGATGTGAGGAACCCACTGAGTGTTCTTATTCAGCATTTTTAGGGTCCTGAACCAGATGCACCTGCAGCGCCACGGCACTGGAGACCAGCTCCTTCTGCAGGTCACCAGCATCACTGAGCGTGGAGGTGGTGAGAGACAGACATGGATTCCAGGCCATCCTCAGAGCATCCAATTATCTCTGTTCTTCCCCACTTTACATCCAGCTTTTCTTCATGCACCTACAACAAACTTCAGGCCCAAACCCGTTCACAGAGGCAACCATCTTCCAGAGATGTCTTGACCAACTTCCACAACTGTGTAAGCTCTAATCCCTCTAATAAATCCCTTACTCCACATGACTCAACTGGTTCTACTTCCCAGATCAAACTCTTAACTGATACAGCGACCCAGGCTGGCACAGTAGCTATTACAGGACCTCACAGTATTGTCCTGAGGCAGAAGCAAAAAAACTCTGGAGGGTCTCACACAAGCAGTTAAATGCTCTAACCTGAAACTAATACATGTCACTTGCACTCAGCACGCATTGGCCAGAAGCAGACATCCAGCCCCACCCGGACACAAGGGAGCCAGCAAGGTCTACCCCATCGTATGCCCAGACAATGCAGAAAAGAAGCATGGTGAGCGGCACTGACAACCCCCATAAAAAGCCTCTCCAATAAGAGAAGGTTTGAGTGAAGGATGTGCAGAGACCAGGCATTTGCGAGGCTAACAGGGAAGCATTCCAGTCAGAGGGAAAAGCAAGTACAAAGACCCTGGCACAGAGATGAACTTGGCCTCTTTTGGGAGCAGAAAGAAAGCCAGTGAGGCTAGAACAGAGTGGAAGAGGCTGATGGTGACTCGGGATCTTCAAGGTGAAACTGGAAGTTGCTGAAGGATTTCAGAGCAAGGAAGTAATACCATGTGATTGGAAGTTTAAGAAGATGATTCTAGCTGTAGTGCACAGACAAGGCAGGAGGGCCCAACAACATCAAAGCTGAGGAAAACACAGGAAGCTCTTACTGTGATCTGGCTAACACAGGAGGGCAGCTTGAAGATGAGCTGTAGCCATGGAGATAGATCCAGAGGATGTTTCACTCCCCGAAAAAATCCAAGGGCTGTGACTCTCCATCTCCTTCCCAAATCCCCTCTCAAATTCCTTTCTTCTTCTTTTTTTTAATTTCCATAGGTTTTGGGGGAACAGGTGGTGTTTGGTTACATGAGTAAGTTCTTTAGTGGTGATTTGTGGGATTATAGTGCACCCATCACCTGAGCAGTGTACGCTGAACCTAATTTGTAGCCTTTTATCCCTCACCCCCTCCTGCCCTTTTCCCCGAGTCCCCAAAGTCCATTGTATCATTCTTATGCCTCTGCATCCTCATAGCTTAGCTTCCACTTATGAGTGAGAACACACGATGTTTGGTTTTCCATTCCTGAGTTACTTCGCCTAGAATAATAGTCTCCAATCCCATCCAGGTTGCTGTGAATGCCATTAATTCCCTTTTATGGCTGAGTAGTACTCCATCATGTATATATACCACAGTTTTTTTACCCACTCGTTGTTTGATAGGCATTTGGGCTGGTTCCATATTTTTGCAATTGCAAATTGTGCTGCTATAAACATGCACATGCAAGTATCTTTTTCATATAACGATTTCTTTTCCTCTGGGTAGAGACCCAGGAGTGGGATTGCTGGATCAAATGGTAGGTCTACTTTTAGTTCTTTAAAGAATCTCCACACTGTTTTCCATAGTGGTTGTACTAGTTTACATTCCCACCAGCAGTGTAGAAGTGTTCCCTTTTTACCACATCCATGCCAACATCTTTTTTTTTTTATTTTTTATTATGGCCATTCTTGGGGGGATAAGATGGTATTACGTTGTGGTTTTGATCAAATTCCTTTCTTCTGTTAATGGAGACATCCACTGGCCACATCACAGGTCAGAGCCCTCAAATCACCTTCGACTGCTTAGTTTTGATGGTCAACACTGGTATGTCTCCATACTCCATACTCCATACCACTCCATACTCCATACTGCTGCTTTTATCATTCCTGTGCACGCTTCCCCCAGCTTATAGGTGCTTCTGCTGCTAGGCTGTCACCTGCTACTCTCTCTCTGTAAGACTGCTCTCTGACTACAGAAAGCTGGAAGCCCTGGAAGTTCGTACCTCACATGGAAGCCCTTGGCCAGTGACTGGCTGGTGCAGGGGTAGGAAAGCCCAGCTCCCTTGGCTCAAGCTGGGATCGACTTGGAGGTATCACTTCCATTTGAGAGTTTCTCTGCAGGATTAGGCTTAAGCTACTCTCTGGGAACTTTGCCTAAAATCATACCTTTGCTTGGCCTCCTCCCCCTCCCTGTCTGCTTCACTCACTTGTTGTTGTGTTGTTGTTGTTGTTGTTGTTGTTGTTATTGTTTAGAGAAAGAGTCTCACTCTGTTGCCTAGGCTGGAGTGCAATAGCACCATCATCGCTCACTGCAGCTTTGAATTCCTGGACTGAAGCAATCCTTCAGCCTCAGCCTACAGGTGTGTGCCACCGTTTCCAGCTAACTTTTTAAATTTTTTGTAGAGGCAGTGTCTCGCTACGTTGCCCAAACTGGTCTTGAACTCCTGGGCTCAAGCAATCCTTCCACCTCAGCCTCCCAAAGTGCCAGGATTACAGGAATGAACCACCACACCTGGCTGACATTTTACTGGTTTCTCCTGGAGTCACATCCCTAATAAGTTACCTGTACATGAACCCTTGTCTCAGAGTTCTGCCTTGACAGAGCTGGAACCAATGCATGTCCCGTATATAATCACAAGGTTCTCTAAGTCTCTGTTTTCTAATTCCAGCACTCTAGGTTACATACGTATGTTTTATTTTATAGTTTGCTGCAACAGAATTCTAACTCGGTTTACTTTTATTTAATTCATTTATTCAGCAAATAGTATTGTCTGTCTACTATATTCTAAGATCTTGATTTAAATTCATTTTCCATTAATTTGTCCTGAAACACCATTTTCATGAGGTCACCTCAGTGATCGAAACCTTTTAGTGTCTCTCAGTCACCTAAAGAAGTTTTTCTTTAGGCCTGAGGAGTTTCTCTTATTAAAGGGGTTAAAAGATATATATATGTGTGTGTGTGTGCATATATGTATATGTGTGTGTGTATATGTGTGAATATATACATGTGTATATACACACACACACACACACACACACGTATATTTTATGGACCCTCAATGTAATGTTAAAAATTCATTATAATTTAATTTCAATATGTATAAATATAAAACTAGTCATAAACTCTTTATTCTGACAGCTTTGATATAACTACAAATCTAGAATAAATTTTTAAATTATATTCAAGCACAACTAGAGAACCAATAAAATTTAAATTCCCAACATTAATTTAATGTGACATGATGTTATTTTGCTGGAACAAAATCACTGATATTTGGCTTAATAGAGGAAGAATATAGTCTCAAGTTTGTTTGAATACTCAATCTGGTTCTGTATTTCAGTTTTAATAATGCTAATGTAAGGAACAGCCATTCTCACAAGCATGCTGTATAAGATTGTATTAATCACTGCATTTTTTTTCTAATTCAGGATCATCAGAACCAAAAGTCTGTCTGGGAATAATCCTTGCATGCCAGTTGTATTGAGGCATCCATTGATAACACTGCACAACTATTTTGTTCACGTAAAGATAAGGCTGGCATTGTGTTATACAAATCTTTACCAAATGAATATTTGGAAGGCTTTTAGGCTAGGTTCCCTCAAAAGCAAACCTGAGACAAATACTTGGATAGAGGGTTTTATCTGGGAAATAATGTTCATACTGCTAAGCAATGTGAGGAAGCAATATCAAGAAAGAAAGGCCAATGCAGCATGCATTAATAAGCAGGTGACAGCTCCAGGCCACTGGGACTGAGTGCTCCTGAGAACTTTGGAAGACAATGTGAGCATGCCTCAGAATTCACCCACCCAAGAGGCGAGGAAGCTGGGGTATTTTTTCTCCAACTCCCATTTGTCATTGGTGGATGGATGCTCCCAAAATTAACACATCTGGCCTGCCCCAAACACATGCCTACCAAGAGAAAGCCCCTAGGTGAAGAATCAGAGGGGCTTGCAGGTGGATGCAGCGCCACATACAAGAATAGTTAGTGCCAGTAGGGTGGGGTGGAGGGGACACGAACAGTATCTGTCCCAGAAGCAGATTATTTCTTTATTGGGCACTAACAGCTACCCTTTCCGACACTGCAGGGCTTCAAGTCAGGAGATCCACTCACATGGATGGACATTCACTGTACAGAGGAGGTCTAGTATATCCAGCCTAATGGATGATATGAGCAGGTTCAGTTTGCACATGTTTTCTCTGTGTAAACAATGGTGAGATCTTTATGCATTCATCTGCTGGGATATCATTCAGCCTTCACTTGGTAAGACCACCACAGGATAGTGCACAGTTACAGGGTTGATCTCCATAGTATGCTCATAATGTTTTCTAATTTTCATCAAAAATTTTAAAGCAAAGTTTCATAGAGAACTTAGGAATCCTGACAATAAGTGCTAGGACCCCCAAGATGTTAGGAAGGGCAGTCCACTGACCTCAGAGTAACACTGACCTACTGAATGAGGGTCTAGAGAGCCTGAAATTCAAAGCTGAAGTCTACCTTCGAGCTCCTTCATAAACTTTTTAAAGCCAAACTGATCCACTAACAATATATTGATCGCATATTTTCCTTACTATATGCAGGATTCACACCTTTATGACTGTCTGGTTTTCATTTTAACCTATCTAAGTCCTACACAGAGGCCAGGCCTTTCTAGGTTACTGTAGTTCATGACAAACTCACAATTCCTAACACTCATTTGCCAATTAATCACATGCTGCATCATAATATCCTTGTTTTTATGTTGCTATTTGACATTTCATATGTTTATATGCTTATCTCCAACTAGGCTGCGATGTCTACAATGAGAATAAGCCAAGAAGGCTTGATGGAAGAATGTGATTTTGCAATCACAGCCACCTGCTCTTGGACATGAACTCAGCTGTGTACTAGCTGTGACCTTGAGTTTCCATGTTGCCATTATTATTATTATTTTTTTTTTGACATGGAGTCTCATTCTATTGCCCAGGCTGGAGTGCAGTGGCACGATCTCGGCTCACTGCAAGCTCCTAGGTTCACACCATTCTCCTGCCTCAGCCTCCCGAGTAGCTGCGACTACAGGCACCTGCCACCACGCCCAGCTAATTTTTTGTATTTTTGAGTAGAGACGGGGTTTCACCATGTTAGCCAGGATGGTCTCGATCTCCTAACCTCATGATCCACCTGCCTCGGCCTCCCAGAGTGTTGGGATTACAGGCATGAGCCACCATGCCCGGCCCATGTTGCCATTATTTAAGAGTGACACCTTACCTTTTTCACAGTGTTGTTGTGTGGATAAATAGCTGAAAGCATGTTACTGAGTGCCTATAACAGGGCAGGTGCCCACCAACTAGGAGTTCCCTTTCTTACTTTGTAAACCTTTATTTTCATTGAATGCTTTTCTTGCCAATAACATTGAGAAATTCCCAGTATCATCCTGAAGGTCTGGCCCTTGTGATGAGTTAAGAGATTTTTAGTTCCACTATGACATGCTAATAATCTAAACAGCCTGAAAACTCATTTTTATAAGACACTATTCTGGGGAGGGAACATCTGGATCTCTTTCATCTTTCTTGTAAAAATTATCCTGTCTGTGCCCATAGAAAGATAAAGAACTGCTAAGGAGATTCTCATGGCCATGGTTACATTTTGTTTATAAGAAACTTTTTAATTTGACTGAAAGAGATGTTCAGCTAAGACATTTTTTGCTGGTGCTCACTCTATCCTAGATGCATGCTACAGACAGAATGACCATGTAGCCCAGGACTGAGCAAACTGTCAGTCTCCTCTTCATAGGAAGGAAGAATTAAGGAAGTCGGGAGCCTGAGGCAGGAGAATGGCATGAACCCAGGAGGCAGAGCTTGCAGTGAGCTGAGATGGTGCCACTACACTCCAGCCTGGGTGACAGAGTGAGCCTCCGTCAAAAAAAAAAAAAAAAAAAAAGAAAGGAAGAAAGTCGGTTTCATGACCATGAAAACTAAGAGCAATTGTTAAGAATTCTAAGAAGCTGACTTAGTAATTGTGTTAGTCCATTCTTGCACTAATATGAAGAAATACCTGGCCAGGCACAGTGGCTCAAGCCTATAATCGCAGCACTTTGGGAGGCCGAGGCGGGTGGATCACCTGAGGTCAGGAGTTCAAGACCAGCCTGGCCAACATGGTGAAACCCCATCTCTACTAAAAATGCAAAAATTAGCCAGGTGTGGTGGTAGGCACCTGTAATCCCAGCTACTCGGGAGGCTGATGTGGAAGAATTGCTTGAACTCAGGAGGTGGAGGCTGCAGTGAGCCAAGATCACACCACTGCACTCCAACCTAGGCAACAGAGCGAGATCCCGTCTCAAAAAAAAAAAAAAAAAAAAAAAGCAAAGGAAAGAAATACCTGAGGCTAGGTAATTTGTAAATAAAAGTGGTTTTATCAGCTCATGGTTCTACAGGTTGTACAGGAAACATAGTGCCAGCATCTGTTCACCTTCTGGTGAGGGCCTCAGGAAGCTTACAATCATGGCAGAAGGTGACTGGGAGCCAATGTATCACATGGTGAGACCTGGAACAAGAGAGACACATGGGAGGCCCCAGACTCTTTTCAGACTCATTGAAACCACCAGGTCTCACATGAACTAACTGAGCGAGAACTCACTTATCACCAAGGGGATGGCATTAAACCATTCATGAGGGACCCACCCCCATGATCCAATCACTTCCCACCAGGTCCCACCTCCAACACTGGGAATCACATTTCAACATGAGATTTGGAGGGAACAAACATCCAAATCAGCAATAATTCATGATTTGTTTGATTTTTGTCTAAGGCAGACTGTTGAATTTTGTCACAAAAGACAGTTTCATCTTGGCCTGATTTCTACAAGGCCAAGACTTAAGGTTCTACCTGTGGTATCCCAGACAATACACCCACCCTTCCACCCATTGAGGTGCATTGAAAGAGAACATTTAAAACTCATTTGTGTTCCTTAAAGGATCAATTATAAAACTGCAATTAATAACAGTCACCTTTTAAAAGGAAGATTCTCCTTTCACAAATGAATTTTTAGATCTACAACGCATAATACTGTCTCCTGCTTTTTTTAAGATGAAAGTCAAAAGCAGCAGGAGGTGTCTACAGTTCAGTGAGTATTTACTTCATTTGAATTGCAGAGGCGGGGAAATTCCTTTTCAATGGGATGAGCCTTTGAAGCTCGGGTTATTAGGACTTACAGGTGAATTGCTCGTATGATCAGCAGTAGAAGTTTATTCATAAGGCACTAAGTACAAAGCATCATGTTAACCTTACCCCTTCATCTCGGGCCAGATGAGTTTTTGTTTTCAAATAATGGCATAGATCCCTAGGGTTCCTTCTATTTCCTCCCAATATTCTCTCAAAACCTTACAAAGAGTGCCAGGAGCATGCACTTTGAAAATCTGTGCTCTTAAACAGCAGTTACCCTTTATCCCTAGTTTTACTTTCCACAGTTTCAGTTATCTGTGATCAACCTTGATCCAAAAATATTAAATGGAAAATTCCAGAAATAAATAATTCATCAATTTTAAGTTGTATGTCATGCTCAATGGCATGATGAAATCTCTGACCTTCCCATTCTGTTCAACCTGTGATGTGAACCATCCCTTTGTCCAGTGTATTCCACCCTTTAGTCACTTCGTAGCCATCTCAGTTATCAGATCAAAAACCGTAGATTCTCTAGGCTTCAGTACTACCTGTGGTCTCACACATCCACTTGGGGTCTTGGAATGTATCCTCTTTGGATAAGGAAGGACTGCTGTACTGTCAATTTAGTTAACAAAATTTGTCCTGATGGAGCTAGTTCCATCCTGTGGCAGGACTTTTTTCTTCCTTTTATTTTTAAACACTACCTGTGCATTGGTTAGGACATGTTTGGCTTCAAGTATCAAAAAGCTCAAATAACATATGGGTCCACCTTTTTCGAGTAACAAGAAATCCAGAGATAAGCAATTCTGAGCTGCTTTAGCTGCATATGTGAATCGGCAAAGATCAAGGTTCTTCTACACCCCAGTTTTTCATTAGTAGAGTGAATGTTTTATTCTTATGATCACAATATGGCTGCTGAACCTCTGAGCATAGTGTTTTGTCTTCTAGGAAAAGAAAGAAAACAACGGGAAAGGCAAGGGGCCAAAATGATGTGCCATCCAAGTCTAAATATTTTCTTCAAAATTTTTCTTAGAAGCCCTTCTGCTTACAGCTCATTAGATAAAACTGGGTTAATTGGCCATCCCTAGCTGCAAGGAAGTATTAGATTTGAGTATTTTAGTTGAGTATATTTCCTCCCCAAAGACAATTAGAATTTTCTTAGTATATAAGAAGGAAACATGGGTAATGTCCAGGCAACCATCAGTGTCTGTCATAGCAGGATCTAGGAATGAGAGTCACATCTTAATGGAAAAATCACTTGCATTAAAAATACTAAAACCTCTTTTTCTTGAGATACGTCTACTTTCAACAGGAACATAAGCAGAGTTAGCCAAAGCATCAAAACAGGAATGCTAACTTGGTTGAAATCAATGAGCCTTGAACATCACTGAAATAATGAGCTTTGGATTGCATTGCCTTTCCTAGAGTCATAAATATGTTTCTGAAAATGTTTAATTTAAATTTAATAGGTATTTTCCATCATAAGATGAGTTCATTCCTAAAACCACTTGCTTTAAAAGCAAGATTCTCTGTGTTAAATCTTAGCAGCCCCACTGTCTCCCATTTTAAAATTAGAACTCTATTCTTAAAAGAATTTTGACCACCAGAAATCAGGTCTAAGAAAGCAGCAAACTCAAAAATTATACCTTTATTCCCCTGTTTTCCCATCTAGATTATTAAATCCATTAGGGAAGGAATAACGTTTACTTCATCCACTACTGTATTCTAGGTACTCACCACAAGGTCTGAAGTGTAAAACATAGTCAATTAACATTTTACAAATAAATTTATGTACTTAAAATAAAAATTATTACTTTCCAAAAAACCTTCTTATTGGAGCTCAAAATAAATCTAAAATATGACTGTAAACCAGAAAAACATCATAATCTTACTCATCTTAATCTGAAAAGTGTTAGATAAAATTCAAGATAAATCTCTGATTTAATAATAACAAAACACTCTTAACAAGCTTGAGATAAAAGTCAACTTCTAAAACATAAGAATATCTATATCGAATCAACAGACGAGACCACACTTTTAAAACTCTAACAGCAGTTCCATTAAAACCAGAAGCAGGACCCCCAAAAAAGGATCTCTTCTTAACAATATTATTAAACATTTTTTTCTGAAATGTGGCTACTAAAGTTAGATTAGAAAATAATGATAAGCATAATTATTTGAAAGTAGAAGATGAAAGTATTGGCAGATTATATGACTATCCTCTAGAAAATTCAAAAGGATCAATTTAAAAAGTTAGAAATGAAAGTTTAGTAAATTGACTGGATACAGAATAAATGTTGAGAATATGCCAGCGACGATCAGTTAGAAAATATCTGTGTTATAATATTGATGAGAAATGCTGGCTAGAAAATATTTGTGATATAATATTGATGAGCAATGCTGGCTTTAACACACACATGCACACACAATTATATTAATATTGAAATAGAAATGTATAGAGAGATACAGAAATAGATGTAAGTAAATTACTTAACCTCATTAGTGTTAGCCAAACAACATTATATTAAGAAATCCTTCACACCTGTAATCCCAGCACTTTGGGAGGCTGAGGTGGGAGGATTATGAGGTCAGGAGATCAAGACCATCCTGGCTAACATGGTGAAACCCCGTCTGTACTAAAAATACAAAAAATTAGCCGGGCATGGAGGCGTGCACCTGTAGTCACAGCTACTCAGGAGGCTGAGGCAAGAGAATCACTTGAACTCGGGAGGCGGAGGTTGCAGTGAACTGAGATCACACCACTGCACTCCAGCCTGGGTGACAGAGCGAGACTCTGTCTCAAAAAAAAAAAAAAAAATGAAATCCTGGTTGCCATTTACCTGTGAGCTTTCTATAGAGCAGCCCAGGTAAGAAAAGTTTCATCAAAACAATCAACACCGGGCATAGGTACATATACAACTGAAACCTTCAACCATGGATCCATATTTGAAAACTCATTTCTTCTGGCCACAGTATCTTCATAAGTACATAGATCTCTCCTGGTGCACCTTTAGCTCCACATTCTACCTTAGTTTCAACCTCTTACAGAATGATCACCTGCTTTTTCAAGTTGTCTTTCAAAAGTGGGTTTTGTAAATGGTACATATCTCGTATTGTAAGGGAAGTCACCCTAAATCCACCCTCCATATTTGGTTTAAATTAATCCAGGCCAAGAGGTAGAAAGGTAATTCTATTTCCATTGATATATCAAAGCTTGAGACATTTATAATGGGATTAGAGATTTATAAAAATTTTGTGCTTTCATTATATTTTCCAATTTTCTACAATGAATAGACATTACTTTTAGAATTTTTAAAGATCTTAATCCATCCCTTTCCCTCAGCCTCCATGTAGTATCTCTCAGCAAGCCTCGCCAGGATATGCCTCAAGTTTCAAACTTCAAAATACATCTCAAATCCTGCCAGCACTTCTCTCTATGGCTGCCATCTGGTCCAACACATGGTCATCTCCTTCCAGAAGCTGTAATAAACTCCTGATCCATCTCACCACTCCCTCTCCTGCTGCTATCAGTTCTCCAATCCAATATAGGTCAAGATGGTGCCTCTCTATAAGCTGAGAAACAGCAAATATTGTGAGTGAGCAGGCAAACCATAGGCAGAGGTAAGGGCTATGGAGTCAAGAGATGGACCATGATCCCCACAAAAGAAACAGAAGAGTGGTCCAGGCCCATTCAGTTCCAACACCAAACCATATTCATTCTCCTAATAAATTCCTCCTTCCTGGCTTAATCTGAGTAGGTCTCTGAGCCCAGTTAAAACAGACTAAAAGAATAAGCAAATAAGCAAAGACTGGACATTTTTTTAAATAGAAAACTGATAAGTGAGCGCAAAGACTAATTCAAGGTAACAGTTTATGGGGTACAATGAGGCAACAATTAAGTCCATGTGAAATTATAAATCATCCAATAAATGGGTCTGGAGGAGTTGGGAAGAAGAGACAATTTCAAGTTAGATCCATGCAACAGAACAAAGTTGAATTTTTTTACTTATAATTTAATTAATGTTTATTTTTAGATATACAATTGTACAACGTAGTTAAACATGTTTAATTATATATATGTCAAAAATACCATAAGTAAAAATAAAAGGCAAGTGGCCAGGTATTACCTGATATTGCAATATATGTGATAAAAGTTATGATCTTATCAAAAAAGATATTCTTATTAATCATTAATAAGAAAAAGAATGCCTCCCTTTGAAAAATGAGCAAAGAACATAAGCAGACGCTTTATAATAGAAAAAAATATGTGGCCAATAAAAATGGAAAAAAAAGTTCAACTTTATACTCAATAATTGTGAAGTAAAAGAATGTGAATAAAATTGGCAAATATGAAGATAAAAGATGATATTTATTATGGGTGAGGGTGTCACTATGAGACAGGCACTCATGCTCTGCTGATGGAAGTATAAATTGGAACCAGAATTATCACTGTTCTTAAAACATATTAAAATATTAATATCCACTCCTAGAAACTTGTGTGTGTCCAACACAAGCAAGGATTATTTCCAAAAACGTTTATTGCAGTATTACTTATAACAGTGAGGACCTGGCAACAACCAACAAAATTAGCAAATGAGAACATTTAAAATATCCTAAGTCTATTTTATGACATTGGAGAATTATCATGGCTATTGATTTTAAAAACAGCTCATGAAGTAATAAATTTAGTATGATGCCAATTTCATTAAATGTTATGCATTTCTATGGAGATAGAAAAAACCTGTAATAGAGATAAAATAAAATGTTAACAATGGCTATATGGTGATATTATGGGTAAATATTCTTGTAGTCTTTCTAATTTTTTTCTATTTTTTTAATATTTCACAAAACTAATGCATGCATGCTCATGGCAATCTGGAAGATACACTATAAACACACACACTTGTATGTATGTAGGTAGGTTTGCATTTTCCTAAAAGCAAATAGAAAGAATTATCAGGAGTGGGTTCATGTTGAATCAAATAATGTCAAGCAGCTTAAAAGAAAAGTTTTGTTACAGCTCTCTTCCATACCCCTGCTACCCTCTTATTTTAAAATAAATTTTGTCCCAATTATTCTAATTATATGAAGTTATTTTAGGACTCTGTATGCATACTTGTATTAGTCTGTTCTTGCACTGCTATAAAGAAACACCTGAAACTGGATAATTTATAAGGAAAAGAGGTTTAATTGGCTCACAGTTTTGTAGGCTATGTATAGGAAGCATGGCTGGGGAGGTCTCAGGAAACTTACAATCATGGCAGAAGACAAAGGGGAATCAGGCACATCTTACATGGCCAGAGCAGAAGGAAGAGAGAGTAGGGGAAGGTGCCACACGCTTTCAACAAGCAGATCTCGTGAGAACTCACTGTCATGGTAACAGCAAGGGGGAAATCCACCCCCATGATCCAATCACCTTTCACCAGGCCCCTCCTCCAACACTGGGGATGGCAAGTCAACATGAGCTTTGGGAGGGGATACAACTCCAAACCATATCAATACTCCTGTGTGCAATGCCTGACACGTGGTGAGTCCTCAATAAATACTGGTTGGAAGAATGAATAAATGCTACAGCACAGATGAGGACGAGGGTCTTCTAAACCCTTTGATGGTAATTTCTGGACACAAGTTTGAATCCATCTAAATAGACTATTGGTCCTGCTGTTTAGCTACTTTTAGAAATGCCTCAATATTAACTACTTTGAAAAGAAAAATCATTATTTGTAGCAGATGCTCTCTAAACTTTAATTGGTTTAACACCTATAATCCCATGCAGCAAGTTAATTTACTTAGCTACTTGGGGGCACATTTTGCAATTAATATTTTCCCGTGAGTTCACTGTGATGCTCATTGCTTAAACCCAAATGATTCACAAAAGCATCATTGAGATTTTTTACAACTGCTGCACTGGGTGACAGTAACACCTGTGGTGAAAATTTTTCAAGATAAATTACCTGGGCCCAGCTCTATAATATGGGAATTTCAGGAGTTAATTGATCAATCATTTATTTGTAGAGATGGTGCCAGAAATTATGATGAGGGGGGTTCTGTCTTTGCTTATAGATTCTAAGGCCCATATTTATAAAATAGTGAGATAGTCAGACAGAATAAGCTCTGAAAATACATAAACATGATGCAAAATGTATCCCTGCTTACCTAGCAAAACATATGAATCCAGTCGTCACAAAACATACAAAACTTTCACAGCAGAATCTCCTCAGAAGATGTACTCACTGTCTAATTATCTATGACCCAGCTCTCATCCCAAGCCTATTGAGAGATATTCATTATATAAACCTTACAATAGCAGATATAAATGTAATTTTCTTTATTTTCTTATATTGAACTTAACCAAGAGCAATAAGAGAAAAACCTAATCTAGTTGTTTGTGGTAACCAGCTGCCATGATGGCCTCAGTGATCTTTGCCTTCTTGTATTCCTAGCTTAGGTAGTCCCCTCTCATACTGAATAGGGCTGACCTGTGTGACCTAGAACAGTGTTCCCAACCTTTTTGGCACCAGGGACCAGTTTTACGGAAGACAATTTTTCCACGGACCAGGGGATGGAGGAGGTGATGATTTCAGGATGATGCAAGCACATTACATTTATTGTGCACTTTATTTCTATTATTATTACATTGTAACATATAATAAAATAATTATACAACTCACCATATTGTGGAATCAGTGGGAGCCCTGTGCTTGTTTTCCTCCAACTAGATAGTCCCATCTGAGGGTGATGGGAGACAGTGACAGATCATCAGGCATTAGATTCTCATGAGGAGCACGCAACCTAGATCCCTAACATGTGCCGTTCACGTGAGTGATGGGGAGTGGCTGTAAGTACAGATGAAGCTTCTCTCTCTCATCCACTACTCACCTCCTGCTCTGCAGCCCAGTTCCCAACAGGCCACGGGGCCAGTATCAGTCTGTGGCCCAGGGGTTGGGGACCCCTGACCTAGAAGATATTGTTGAAATGAAGGTGTGTGACTTCTGAGACTAGGTCCTAAGATGCTTGCAATTTCTGCTTTGTCTGTCCTGGAAGCCAGGTACCATGTTATGTGGACACTCAAGTAGCATATGGCTTGATGGGGGGAGTTGGGGAGTCCACATTCAAGGAACTGAGAGATTGCACCACAGCCACATGAGTGAGCCATCATGGAAGCAGGTCCTCTGTCCCCACGTCCCTGTCACACTGGCAGATGACTACAGCCCTGGCCAGCATTTTTACTACAACCTCATGAGAATCACTAAGCCAGAACCATTCCACTGAGCCACTACTCAATTCCTGATTCTCAGAAACTGAGTGATAATAAATATTTTTTGTTTCAAGCTGCTAACTTTGGAAGTAATTTGTAAATAACCAACAGATTCCTTCTAAGAAAACGCATTTAAATTAGTGACTAATCTGCCATTTTAGTGTTGAACCTCGGTTACTTCCGAATTCTCTACTTTTTCTCCTTTCTCTCTAGGGGAGAGGAGGAATCTAAGTTCCAGGGACTTTATTTACTCTCCTACTATTGAGAAAGGGTCTCCTGGCCATTCATTTCTGTATCAATTAGGATGCTTTGGGCTGTAAATAACAGAATGGCAGAATCAAAATCATTCACACAAAATGCATTTTTATCTCATAACAGTAAGTTTCGACGTAAGTACTTCCAAAGCCAGGTAATTCAGTGGCTCAACCACCTCAGGGCTTTTGTTGGTTTCTATTCTCTTGGTTTCTCCTTTATGGTTCCTTTTCCTGTGGATCATCTGTTATTATCCTTTAACTGTTTTTCTTTTTAGATTTTTGGTCATTTTCTTATCAAATTCTAGGAGGTCTTTGTATAGTAAAAGGTTAACTTCTTGTCTGTGACATAAGTTGCACTATTACCCAGTTTATCATTTGACATTTTGCTTTGCTTTTGGTATTTTTGATCACACATATTTTTAATAATATGCTTGAATTTATTGGGGTTGTTTTACGGTTTCTAGATTTTGAGTCACATGGAAAATGTCAGCTCTCAGGCCAAGGTTACCCAGAAATGATCTCTTGGTTTCTTCTAGTGCTTTTATGGCCTTATTTTTTTAACATTGAAAAGTTAATTCAGTTTTTTGTTTTGTTTTGTTTTGTTGTGTGTGTGTGTGTGTGTGTGTGTGTGTGTGTGTGTTTGTGTGTTTGAGACAGAGTCTCGCTCTGTCCCCAGGCTGGAGTGCAGTGGCGCGATCTCACCTCACTGTGACTTCTGCCTCCCACGATCAAGCAATTCTCCCTGCCTCAGCTTCTCGAGTAGCTGGGATTACAGGTGCCCACCATCACACCCGGCTAACTTTTGTATTTTTTAGTACAGACGGTGTTTCACCATGTTGGTCAGGCTGGTCTCGAACTCCTGACCTCAGGTTATCCGCCTGCCTTGGCCTCCCAAAGTGCTGGGATTACAGGCATGAGCCACCGCACCTGGCCATTAATTCAATTTTGATTCATTCCTTCACTCATTCGTTCATTCCTTTGTAATTTCATTACCCAATCATTTGTAATTTCATTATTCATTCATTCATTTGTAATTTCTCTTGGTATACAGATTTGAGGTATGGAGGCCACTAAATTTTTCCTTCAGAGCCTCCACACAGCTTATGGCGCAGTTCACACTTCCCAGCATTTTGACATCACACACCACTAGCTCATAATCACCACCCCATTTTCTCTGTGGCAACCTGAGAGGCTAAATGCGGAAGAGTAGTTACAGACAGCCTCCAAACCCACTAGGACAATTCGATGAAACTGCATCATATGCTTCAGAACAGGAGCCAGCATACCGTGGCAGGTGAAGCCAGATCCGGCCTGCCACTTGTTTTATGAATAAAGTTCTATTGGAACACAGCCGCACCGACTCATTTATGTATTGTCTGTGGCTTCTTTTGTACTGCAATGGTAAAATTAAACAGTTGCAACAGAAACATACAGGTTTCAAAGCCTCAAACATTCAGTATTTATATTCAGAAAGTTTCCCAACTCTTGCTTAGAGTTTACAGAACACTTGAGCTTACATTAACTGTAAAAGCCACAGCAGCCTCATGAGAAGGTATCCTCCCCGTTTCACCTGTAAAGAATACGAGACTGGGCCGGGCACAGTGGCTCCCAACACTTTGGGAGGCCGAGGCAGGTGGATCACCTCAGGTCAGGAGTTTGAGACCAGCCTGAGCAACATGGTGAAACCCCTGTCTCTACTAAAAATACAAAAAATAAAAAAATTAGCTGGGCATGGTGGTGGATACCTGTAATCCCAGCTACTCAGGGAGCTGAGGCAAGAGAATTACTTGAACCTGGGAGGCAGAGGTTGCAGTGAGCCAAGATCATGCCATTGCACTCCAGCCTGGGCAACAAAGTGAGACTCCATCTCAAAAAAAAAAAAAAAAAAAAAGAAGAAGAAGAAGAAGAAGAAGAAGAAGAAGAAGAATATGAGACTCGCAGAAATTAAGTAGGTCATGAGGGGGCAGACCCAGGAAACAACCCAAGTCCTATCACTTAAATTCCACAAACGCTTCTTCTATCATTTATTCTGTACAGGTAATTAATGGTTTTCAAAGTCTTTTCACACACCTTAATTCTCTTGACATTTCTAATAATCCCATGAATAAAGTCAACTGAGTTACAGAGAGGGTAAGTAAAGTCTCTAAATGCTCACAGCTTTTAAGTGGTAGAGCTGGCATCAGAAACCAGGTCTCCAGCAAAAATATGTTTTAAATCTCCTGTTCTTTCTACATCTCATTGCCAGTATCTTAATGCAAATTCTAGTCCAGTCCAGCTCAGAATGCTCTCAGCACCTCAGCTATTCTCTAGTTAAAGTTAATATAGAGATCTTTTTTTTTAATTCTGACTATTTGTCAAAAGAAAACAAAATTAAGCTGAGAAAAGGAAGGAAATAGTAGGAGGGAAAGGGAGAGCCTGAAAGCAGAATTTTAAATATGATTAGAGGAAATATATATACCTTCTCTTCAAAGCAAGTAAGAAGGAAGGATTGGAAAAGTGGCACTGAATTTCTTCTGTCCTGGGACGCCCACCAGCACAGATGTAAAATCCTTCCCCAGCTACTTCCAGCCAAATTAAGAAAGAGTGCTGCGCCGTTGTTTGCTAACTTTCTCAAGGCAATGTTTGTCTTTTGCAAGAACCAGGAGGGTTCACACTGGGACCAGAAAGAGGGATATTAAGCGCATTTTTTAAAGCTATCTTTTTAATAAACTGTATCCATAATATCTAAGCAATTCACACTATTCCCCCACAGACTCTATGTTTCCACCCCACTGGCCCAATGGCTCAATAAAGTCACATCTTTCTGTTATTAATAAGGCAGTTCACCTCAGGTACTTCTTTAATTTCCTGTGTTTTTTTTCTCCAACGCAAAGTTAATTTACTTTATCCCTTATCCCAAGAATGATAACAGGGTTTCTATAAAAGTGAACATTCATGATCAAAGGGAAGCTTGTATTATAAACAAATTATTACAACTGGGCTCCCTTTGAAATATTTTAACTTAATTAAGCTCAAACACTTTTGGCAAAGGTTTAAAAACTTGGGAGTAATTGAAGAGCCATTTCAGTTTGGCTGGATTTTTCTTTTAACGTTGGAGTAGAGGGAGGGTAGTTTACATGGTTATAGCCTACAATGTTGCGCTGATATTGTTCTGTAGTTGCTACCTTTTTAAAACAAAAGATATTAAACAAAATTGAATTTGGGGATGATGGAATTGTTACATAGCTTGATGACAGTGGTAGTCTATATGACTGTGTACATTTGTCAAAACACATAGAACTGTACACTTTTAAAAGAGTTGAATTTTACTGTGTGTAAATCATACCTCTATAAAGCTGACTTTAAAAATTTGAATTTGGACTACTCAGCTGAGTTGAAAATATTCTCAAGACAGTTTTTGCAGTATTGTCTATAGTGGCCAAAACAAAGAAAAAAATAACTGGAATAATGAGAAAGAAAAAAATAACTAAAAAAAAAAAAAAAAAAAAAGCTGATCAGTAAGGAATTTGACTGATTTTTTAAATGACTAAAATCTATATCTATATTGACCTGGAAGACTCTGTAAAATACTATTAAATGGGGTGGGGGGGCCGTGGGGGAAAGCAAGTTGCAGAATAATGTGTTGGTAAGTGATAATACCAAAAACCAAAGAAGTGGTACAATCTCATTTAATAAATCAACAGAAAAAAATCTTGGTAAGATTAAAAGTAACTAATATTTATTGACTACTACAATGTACCATGCATGATTTTAAGCAATTAACAAGTATTGCCCTATGAAGTAGGTACTACAGAGCCATCTGAGTCTTGGGGCCAGATATGTTTTGTAAGTCAGATGCTTTGAATTTTAGAAAGTAATATAGTGCTGTATTAGTTACCTATTGCTGTAAAACAAAATGCCCAAAACTTAGCAGCTTAAAATAACGACAAAAAAAATGTATTATCTCACAGTTCCTAAGGGTCAGGAATCCGGGCAAGGCTTAGCAGCTTAGCTAGGTGGCTCCATCTCAAGAGTTCTTGACCTTGGTTACAGTCAGGATGCCACCCAGGGCTGTGGTCTCATCTGAAGGCTTGACTGGGGCTGGGAGCATCTGCTTTCAATCTCACTGAGCTGTAGCTCACCTTAATTCTTCACCACTTGAACTTTTCTACAGAGTTACCTCAGAATATGGCAGCCGACTTCCCCCAGGGCAAGCAATTCAAGAGAGGATGACAGAAGGCATCCAAGATGAAAATTACATCCCATCTAATCTAATCTTCAAAGTGCCATTCCATCACTTCTGCCATATTCTGTTCATTGGGAGAAAGCCAACAAGTCCAGCCCACATTCACAGGGAGAGTTATGTACAAGGGCATAAATACCAGGAAGAGGGGATCATCGGGGGTCATCTTGGAGGCTGCTTACCCCAGAAGCACTTACCATGGATTATCTAATCCTGCCGAGTGGGGTCTGGGATGGCAAAAACATTACTATTTCTGCATTAAAAGATCTGAACATTCTCACTAGCTGCCATAAATAATGACTATAAATAGCCTTATGTCAGTTTAGGCAGGTTCTGCTTCCAAATGAGTTATAAAAAAACTTTTGATTTTCAGAGATTTTTAGGTTTCAAAAGTATGAAAAAAGATTGGAGATCTGTATTATTATCCCTCACTCTACAGATAACAGGTGCCAGGGCACAGGGAGGTTAAATGTGTGTATATATGCTGTGTGTCTTTGTATGGGCACAGGCAACAATAGAGACCCACATACATCAAGCTCTTAACACTGGTGTTCCCATATCATTAGAAGTGGAAGGATAGAGGTTTCTATACATGTCTTCATGAAATATTACAAAATCATGCAGTAGTCCTCTTTGTAATTTTTAAATTAATAAAATACATTAATATTGAAGGGTTAAGAGGTATTTCTGCCATAAGACAAGCAGTTTACATTTATGTTACAAGAGCCAAAGACTGCACACAGAGTAATGTTCGCTTCTAACATGCAGGATTGTTTGAACCTTGCATATCATAAAATGGAAGAAAAGAGTAAGAATAACAAAAAAAAATAAGAGAAACAAAAGTGTGGTAAATTAGAGGCATTTCCTCAGCTTACATATGGTTGGGAGTAGTCAAGACAGGACAGAAATGAGCCTGCTGTTTTATAAAACACCAAAGAATGTGTTGGGGTGTAGTGGAGGAAGAATTCTGATTTGATATGATTTTCGTGTGAGTTAATGAAAAACACTGCATCATTTAAAGGTTGGCCAGCCTTAATTAGAACACAAATAGTGGTTAAACTGAAACTTTATTTCTGCCTTTTAAGCTATTCTCTCTCTTCTGGTTTGCACTGATTCTTAATCGGAATTTTGAATATGTATTAAATATTATAGGAAGGAGGGAGTTAGTCCTTTATTTCAGATTTTACTTTTTTATGATCTGTTTAAACAGATAAAAACTGACTTTAATAACTGCAAGCGATATTAGCTACAGTGAATGGCCCTACTTCTGATTCTGTATATGTTTAACAAATTAAGCATTTCGCCTTTATGATTAAAGGTAAAGTGCTTAGCCAGGCACGCGGAGAAATTCATACAATCTCCTTTAAGGGACACTGATAAGCCAAATGTCATTGGCTTCTATTGTAATACTGGAACTTTAATGTAACACCTCAATTCCAAATACATTCCCTTCAGATGGTGAAGTGGCTTTGAGACTGTGACATGGCAGACATCTTTTTTCAAAGCACATTTTCTTTTCAGGGCCCGGATAGAAAAGGAAATTTGCAGGAATGCCAACAGGGCAGCCAAGGCTGTCTTGTCATGCCTCAGCCTGCCACGAGGTGGCGATAAGCCCCAATGGCAATTACATATTTTTTATTAATAAGCCAAATGGGCATTCTCTTAAATTTGTGATATGACTATTGTAGGCCTCAAGGAACTCATTCATTCTACCACCCAAGAACCACCTTTTTCCCCAAGAGAAAAGTATGCCTGAGTGGATTTGCTTTAGCAATGTATTTTTAAGGTATAATGAAGGATGATACTAATAATAAGAGCCAACAGTTTATGCACTTGAGATGGTATGGTGTGGGTGTAAAGATCAACCACCCAACTAGGTTCAACTCCCAACTCTGCTACTTAATGGCTGTGGTGTCTTGGGCAAATTATTTGTCCTCTCTGTGTCTTAGTTTCCTCATGTATAAAACATACAATAACAGAACCTAACTCAGAAGGTTGATGGAAGGCAGTAAAGTCCTTGGAATACCGCATGGCACATAGCAAACATTTCTTAAGAGGTAACTATCATCCCTATGTGCACCCTGAGAATGGATCCTTTTCTAGCTATTACAGTGAATCCTGCCAACAACCCTGAGAGTAAGGACCAGCATTAGACCCATTTAACAGATGAGGAAACCAAAGCTAAATAAGTGAAATGAATTACCCAGGGTCCGAGTCTATGGTAGAGCTAAGACGTGAAATCATATCTACCCAACTCTAAATCATGTTCTTAACCACTATAATATATCATACAGGCCCAATATTACAAGCAATAAAAATCAAGAACTGCAGAATTCAAACTGAGAGAATAGCAATCGCACTCCTCTCCTCCCTCCAATAAAATGGGTCTTCGTCTCTCAAACATAATTCTATTTCCCTTCCTTTACATGGTTTAGCTCCCCTAAATTAAATTTTTGCCCTAACATGTATTCCTGAAACCCACAGGAGGTTATCTATAACCTACAATAACCTAAATCTTTAAAAATTTCTGAGATACAGTTTTGAGATGAATTTAAGAATCTCCCATTAAAACAAGGTTAGATTATTTAAAAGCCAAGAAAAGACGATTCCACAATTCTGCACAAGATAAAAATAGAATTCCAAGTCCTCTACCCAAAAAAACTGCACCGCCTTCCAACGGCTGGGGTTTTTTTCCTCCTGTCAGTCCTTGAAATGACCTTGGTTTAATTACCTGCATCTCAATGAGTGAATCTACATAGAAAGTGAAGGTTAATTAATGAAGGATCGTTTCTTTCTCTAAGCCCACCAGGCAGTGGCTGACAGCAAGTCTTGTCCACGCAGTATCATCCTATATCTCATTAGAAATGGTCAGATTGATGTACTCGCTTTGGACCAAGGGAAAGAAAGAAAATAGTTTACTAATGATGGCCACTTGCAGTGAGCAGTCACAAAGCTTCCCACCTGGCACCTCTAACCTTGAATGACACTGCCCCTGAATTCATAGACTCCAAAATGTTAGTCCCAGGTAGAAATGCAGAATCAATTCTAATGAGGTTCAGACACTTGTATAGCAGCTGCAGTATAGTCACACAACTCCTATATTATTATTCTCTTAACATCCCTTGTGTTTATATTATTTTTAAAAAATATATTTGTTCTAGAACAGTTGTTCTAGAACAGTTTGTCAATCTCAGCATTGATGATATTTGAGCCCGATAGTTCTCTGTTGTTGGGGGCACCCAGTGCACCGTAGGATGTGTAGCAGCATCCCTAGCCTCTACCCACTGGTTGCAACGGCCAGAGATTTCTCCAGACATTGCCAGATGTCCCCCAAAAGGCATAATTGATCCACATGGGAACCATTGGTCTAGGAAGAAATGAAATTTTTACAGTTTGTTTTAGGTTTTCATGTTGAAATAATTTCAGACTTAGAGGGAAAAAAGTTGCAAAACTAGTATACCTGTACACTCTTCACCCAGATTCCAGATTCCCAAAATGCTTCCATTTCACATAACTATAGTCCAATTATTAAAAAGCAGGAAATTAACATAAATATAATACTGTTCAGTAATTTACAGATCTTACTCAAATATAACCAAATGCCCATCAATGTCATTTCTGGTCTAAGACTCAATCCAGGATCCAAACCAAGACCCAACCCAGGACCCAAACCAAGACTCAACCAGGGATCCAAACCAAGACCCAACCAAGGATCCACACTAAGACCCAACCCAGGATCCACACCAAGATCCAACCCAGGACCCAAACCAAGACCCAACCCAGGACCCAGGACAAGACCCAACCCAGGACCCAAGACAAGACCCAACCCAGGACCCAAACCCACACCAAGACCCAACCCAGGATCCAAACCAAGACCCAACCCAGGATCAAAACCAACACCCAACCCAGGATCCACACCAAGACCCCACCCAGGACCCAAACCAAGACCCAACCCAGGACCTAAACCAAGACCCAACCCAGGATCAAAACCAACACCCAACCCAGGATCCACACCAAGACCCCACCCAGGACCCAAACCAAGACCCAACCCAGGACCTAAACCAAGACCCAACCCAGGACCCAAACCAAGACCCAACCCAGGACCCAAACCAAGACCCAACCCAGGATCAAAACCAACACCCAACCCAGGATCCACACCAAGACCCCACCCAGGACCCAAACCAAGACTCAACCCAGGACCTAAACCAAGACCCAACCCAGGACCTAAACCAAGACCCAACCCAGGACCTAAACCAAGACCCAACCCAGGATTCAAAGCACATCCACGCCAGGATTGTGTGCAGTTGTCATGCCTCCTTAGTCTCCTCCAATCTGTGACAGGTTCTCAGTCTTCCTTTGTCTCTCAGGACCTCAACATGATCAAAGAGCACTGACCAGCTACTTTGTAAAATATCTCTCGGTTTACATTTGTCTGATGTTTACTCATGATTAGCCTGAAGTCAACAATTTTTGACAGTGGTGCTGCGCCTTCTCAGTGCCTCATATCAGGGGTGTTTAATGTACTATTAACTTTGGTCTCTTGATGAAAGCAGTGTCAGCCTCTTCTCCACTGTAAAGGTATTATTTCTTCCTTTGTACTAAATAGTGCCTTCTGGGGAGATTCTTTTAGTCTATGAGACTATGCAAATATCCTGTTTCTCACCTTAATTTTACCCACTAATTTTAGCATTCACTGATGATTCTTGCCTGCAATAATAATTACTGTGGTGTTGGCCAAATGGTGACTTTCTATTTCTGTCATTCAGAATTTATAATTGGAATTCCACTGTAAGGAATAGCTGGTTTTTCTCTCCCCATCTTAAAGTTATTTTTAAAGGAAGTTGTATCTCACTACCATAAATGAAAAACCAGAATTAAAATAATTTTATGATAAATAATAACAGTAAAAAATGAATTCAATGAAAAAAAATTCCAATTTCTAACTGGCTATTATAGCCTTTAAATCTCCCTATCTGAAGTCTCATTTCTCTTTGTTAAAAAGAGAAAAAGCATTAGAAAAGCATTTAAGAAAACCTACTAGAATAAAACTGAACTTCTCCTTGACATATAATCAGAAGGACTGGAAGACATTTAGAAATGGAATCACTATGCAATTCAACAATATTTGGTGTTGGACCTAAATATCACCTAGAGTCTTCTCAATTTACTCCAGTGGTGTGTGACCTGACTTTCGGGAAAACTAGCTAGCTTCTGCCATTTCCAGATGAAGTAACTGAGGTCCACAGAAGGTAAGTTACCTGTTTGATAGTCATTGATAGAGGGTTTTTGCTGCAAGGAACAGTAGTAACTCAAAGAAGCCTAAGAGACAAGTGCTGGGGGTGAAGTGGGTTGGTAGGTGGAGATTTGTTATCAGCATGGTAGTGTGTCTCAGAAAACCCAATGGTAAGATTGCAGCCAGACGAGGGAGGAACTCGAATCTGGAAAAGAACTGTGACCAGGGCCTCTGCCTGTCATTTCTGCTTTTCTCTGTGCATCTGTTTTATTTTTCTTTCCCTGTATCCCTCTCTCCCTTCTGTATCTCACTCTCCCTTCTATATCTCATAGCTATCTAAGCTTCTCAGTTCACATAGCAAAATATGGCAACCACAGGACAACCAAGTCACCACACCACACTCGGAATTCTCATTAGGTCTCCCTGGGTCCCAAAGCTAAACTCCTGAAAAGGAGAATCGGATTGGCCCAACTTAGGCCAGGAGAACACCCTTGGTCCAATCAGCTATATGAAGGAGCAGCATCACTTAATTCAAACATCCCTCAACAGGAACAGCAAAGCAAGTTTGTGTATCCAAAGGGCAGGAAAACTGGTTTCTCAATCACCAGTCCAGTTTCTTAAAATATTTTCCCAGCATCAGTCATTGGTATATCAGCCACCCACATACCACCTGTCCTAATTTGTCTTTATACTTTTTTCTTTGACCTGAATCAAATAAAAGCATTAAGTCAGGAAACTTATGATAGTGTGACCATAAATAGGAGAATCCAATTTTTTTTCTAATACTCATTAAAATACATACATATTACTAAAACCAAGAATGCACATCCTGGTATTGGATAAAAGCTCCAATGTTATGCATCCCCTGCTTCTGTGAATGCTCGGCACTCTATCCTTTGGAGTCTCTGTCCTCTGTTTATTACGTCCCCTGGAGCCAAAACATTCTATGTTCAAATCATTCCATTTTCAATCCATCCTGGCCTTATTCTTCCTAAAATTAAATTTTTCTGACTTGGAGAGTTGCACATCGTTGAAAAATTGACTTTTGATGTTTCTTTGAGCTCTTCACACCATTTTTTTTTTTTTAAATAAACCCTGCCCCGTTTTTTACTTGTTTTTACTGGTGTTGCCTCCAAGCCCTAAGGCAGCGGGAGGGGGGGTTCTTAAGGGTGGATTTGGTACATGTTTTCAGCTTCAGTTTTAAAGGTCCATGCAGATAATTACCTAATACGTACTTTGGAAGGTCCAAAGTTCTGAGGATAAATGAGGAGACCTTGAGCTTGCCCTCAAGGAGGAGCCCTCAGGATCTTGAGCAGGGACAGAAACCAAAGTAGATGGCCACAGAGAGCACGATGAGTGCTCCGTGGAGGTCCAACTGCCCCACTCCCCACCAGGGAGTGAAAGCAAAGGGGCACTTAGTCCATCCGAGAAATCTGGGCAGGCTTCATGGAGGACAGGGCACCCAAGCTGAGACTGAAGGAATTGCGGAAGGCTGGAAAAACCAAGATGAGGAGAGAGCACCCTAAAGAGGAAAGATCTGTCTGAGTGAAATAAAACAGGAAAGAACCGTGCAGCCAAGGGAGCAGCTGGTGCTGCCAGAGGATCGACTCAAGGGCGAAGTGAAGTGGGGTGAGGCTGGAGATGTCTCCAGGCTCAGCTTGAAAGCTATACTGGAAGAGGTATCTTTAAATTTAAATTAAAAAAAAAAATCAACACGGCACCTAGAGAGAGGCCAGGAGAGGAGACCCGGGAATAAAGAACGGGAGGAGGATTCTCAAAACCTGTGCTCAGAAACACTGGTCCTCATGATGTTCACTGATGTCACCAAATATGTTTGGGAAACACTAGACTAGATTTTTTTTCTTTTTCTTTTTTTCTTTCTTTCTTTTTTTTTTTTTTTTTTTTTTGTGAGACGGAGTTTCGCTCTTGTTGCCCAAGCTGGAGTGCAATCGTGCAATCTTGGCTCACTGCAACCTCTACCTCCTCCCAGGTTCAAGCGATTCTCCCGCCTCAGCCTCCCGAGTAGCTGAGATTACAGACGCCTGCCACCATGCCTGGCTAATTTTTGTATTTTTAGTAGAGACAGCGTTTCACCATGTTAGCCAGGCTGGTCTCAAACTCCTGATCTCAGGTGATCCGCCTGCCTCTGCCTCCCAAAGTGCTGGGATTACAGGCGTGAGCCACTGCGCCTGGCCGACTAGATTTTTTTCTAATGCGACGAATGCAAGACTTCTCAGAGCCCAAGACATGGACACACCCTGTGAATGTCTAAGTGTGGGTAAAGCTTTTCCCAGACTCTCAAGCCCTCACTGCTCAGAGTGCACTCAGAGGCAGCTGCAATGGGCTCACCTGGGAGAGAGTCGGTAAGAAATGCAGAATCTCCATTTTCATCAGATCCCCAGGGGATTCCTGTGAATACGAACGTGAAGGGAGCAGGCACTGGCCTCCATCATGTTAAAATGCAGATTCAAATGTCATTGGTCTGGGATGAGGCCTGAGAATCTGCATTTCTAACTTTGCATAACAAGATTCTAAGCCATAAACACTTTGGTTTAAAGACAATCTCTGGTGACGAATGTTCTGCAAGAAGAGTCAACCCTCTTGGAAAAGTGGAAGACATCACCCAACTATCAGCAATCTATTCCCTGACCATTTTGCATTTGGAAACAAAGAGAATTACAAGGAATCCATGTTAGTCTCTGCTGAAAAGATGTTGTAGTTTAGTTGGAAAACTAATACTTAATGACGAGAAATAACTCATGAACAATAAAATTACATATTATAATTTTTTTTTCAGCAAGTCTTTATTGAGCTTCTACTACGGGCTATCTCTATTTGATGGCTGGGAGACAGCATTGAAATAAATGATCAAAGCCCAGCCTGCACTATTTTTACATTCTAGAAAGGGCCTGGGGGGCATTGTATAAATAAACAAGTAAATACACAGGCGTTACGGAGAAAGAGAGAGCAATGTGAAGGAGACAGGACATGTTTGCCCCATAGGTAGGCAGGTCTGGGCAGGCCTCAGTGTCAAGGTGACATTTGAGCAGAGACTTAGAGCCATGGGCAGAAGGAAAGATGTGGCTCTCTGAAGGGAAACCATTTAAGTCAGAGGAAACAGCAAACACAAATGTCTTAAAGCTGCAGCAGAGCTGGAATGTTCACAGAAGGTTCACATAAACCCTAAGAGGTTTCCATAGCTGGGACAGAGTGTGTGAGGGGAAGAGGGATAGGACACGGGATGGTAGGAGCAGTTGGGGGCATGGGATGCAAACCACGTAGGCCCTTATCGGCCACTGGAGGACTCTGACTTTTCCATGGCTTGACAAACAGAAGGCACTGGGGAGTTTTGAGCAGAGAAGTGACTTCATTTCAAAAGGCTTCCTTTGGATGCTACACAGAAGTCGAGTGCAAGGGCCAGTGACAGAAACGGAATGCCCGTTTCAACCACTACAAACAAACCAGGTAAGCAATCAAGGCAGGGTGGCTTCCGGTGGTGTCAGTGGAGATGGTAAAAAGCGACTGGAGTCTGGATATATTTTGAAGGTGGCACCAACAATATTTCAGAAGATTAGATACGGGGCATGAGAGAAGGCACAAAGTCAAAGCTATATGTAAGGTCTGTGACATGGGCAGTAAAATGGATGGAGTTTGCAGTTTCTGAAATGGGAAAAGACTTTGGGAGCTGTGAGGTAGGAGGCTGGAAATTAAGGGCTCTGTTTTGGACACATTAAGTTTGCAGTGTTAATGAGATGCATCCACGTGGAGATGTGGAGAGGGCAGTTGGAGAAACAGGCTGAGGTTCAGGAGAAGGATCCAGGGCTGGATATATTGAGTACTATAGACTCAACGTGTTAGTTCATTACGTGGATAGAGTAGGAATTCACTAAATGGGCGTGAATGTCATGGCTCAGGCCAGCAGAAATATTTGCTTAACATTGGGAAAGAACTGGGCCTTCACACCCTCTAATGGTGGGTCAATAACATTTCCACATGAGAAGAAAAGCACTTTTTTTTCTTGTTCCAAGTGATCTGTAAAATAAGTTAGGATGGTTTCACTTAGGTTGTTTTCTATCTCCAAGATAACATTAATAAACAAATTTGAAATCACACAAGTATGAACATAAATTATTTACAGTGTGCTCGAAGAGCTCAGAAGGGCTTTGTAAGGTAAATAATTTATAAACTCATAGAAAGAGTTTCTTTTTTCACTAATTAAGGGTGAAAATTTTACCAATAAATCATGAGAGGTTTCGGGAAGTACGTGGAATGGAGATCAATTCAGTACAACAAACATTTACTGAAAACCTCCTATGTGCCAAGCCCTTGGCTGAACGGGGTGATTGAGGAGCTGTATGAGGGGTTTCTGCTTTCAAGGAGCTGCCTGTGCAGTGGGAGACTGGCATCCTTGGGGTTAAGTGCACACACCGCTATAGACATTGGTGCAGCTCAACAATGAATTCAGAGGCTCTGCTTGGCAGGTACGTGGTAGGATGGTAACCCCTGCCTACCCTAAGGGAAGGCATGGCCATGTGGTTTGCGTTAGACAATGAAATGTAGACAAAAGTTACAGGTGTTCCTTCCAGGTGGAAGCTTTAAGAGGCACTGAGTGATTTACCATATTCTGGTCCTCTGTTGCAGTGATGAGGGTCACTGTTGAAGTGCTGCTTCTTTCAACTTAGGTACATGGGTGACTGCTATCAGCAGAGTGTTTCCCCCACTCCACCTAGATAGCCTGCTGCATTTATGGCACAAGCAAGAAATAAGCTTTAGTGTGTTAAGGCACTGATACTTGGGGTTGTTAGTTACTGCTGCTTCCTAGCCCATCCTGAAGGATACCCATCCTATGTTGATAAAGGGCATGTCCTTTGTGAATTTCCACCTTCCAGATGCCCCATGGATCCTCCATTCTTTGAGTCTTTAGTTATCTATCTCTGTTTTAAAATCTAATGTCTTCCCTGACTGGGCTGGGTTTTCCAAATATTTTATCTACATTCATTTATAGAAACAAAGTCATAGACGCAAGACATCATTTGAATACTTTCTTCCACTCCTCAATTTATTTAAAAGCTCTATTTTCTAACTAAAAACCACCTTTTTTAAATCTCCACTTGTCCTTCAACTTTCATCACCTGTAGGTTTTTCTTGTTCATATCATATTTGTCAACACAAGCAAATTTGTAGTTGTTTTGTTATTGTTGTTGTTACTTTCACAAGAATTTCCAGGTGTATCAGAGGAATAAGGTCAAGGATCATGTAAAATCTGGATTCGAGTTGACAAAGGGGCTCCCCTTCTGCATCCTGACCTCATTTTAATATATTAAAATTAAACCTTAGCTAAAGTCATAAATGACTCTTCCCTAAGGGCATTCAAGGGCCAAAGCTTAGTGAAACTATGAAGGAATGTACTGTTTTAATGTGTCTTGTTGCCTGCCATCTTTCTAGTGCTTAGAAAATGCCTAAATAAATATTGTAGACTCTAAGTAAATATTGTAGAAGGAAAGAAGAAAGAAAGGGAGGGAGCGTGGAAGGGAGGGACTAGAATGCAGCCCGGTGCATGCAAAGACAGAGGTAAGCATTAGTCAAGAGTGTGCTATGAATACCCAGAGCAGGTTCAGGGGTTGCAGAGGCTGAGGCACAATGTATGATGGCTTCTTAGAGAACACATAAAAAGAAAAGCCAAAAGATACTTTTCCTAACAGTCCTGAGAAAGTTCCACCATTATTAATTTCAGACCATAAGAATTTCTATACAGGTCAGCAGTTGTTCTAATGGTTTGGCAAATCTACTCCGGATCAAGGGCAAATGCTACCTATAGCAAAGGTATGGGGTGTTGGGGTGTTTCCTTAAGAGCAACGAAGTGCCATTTCAACTGTTCTGCTAGGTTGCCTTGGGAAAGGTCAAGGCAAAGAGGAAAAATGCTTATAGCTGTGGAGGGGTCAAGATGTGGGGCGGGTGGAGTTCATGGAGGGCTTGAGCCTGCCTCCCCCACATAAAATCCATTATTCTTCCTCAAAAGTCACCACAAATAAGCAGTAGTAAAGCATCTGTTTTCATTAATTGACATTTTCTCGATCTAAAGAAAATATGATGAAAAGCAACCTTTCCAAATAGCTGTTTACATTGATCTGCAATGCAACCTAAATTCTTCGTTCTACCAATGTAAATTCAGCTTTGAAACAAATGCCATCACCCCACCAGGTTGCTCTCTCTCGGTATCTCTTGTTCTGAGTTTTGGAGCAGACCCTGATTTATAGTGGAACACTCATTTCCAGCATCAGCACCAATCAACACAGTGGTCACATCCTCAGAGCCCCTCCTCCAACCCCAACCCTGACAAGGGAGCTGGTATTGTTATATCCTGTGTTTCACTGCAGGCCTGGAGATAGTAGAAGTCCACTCTGTCTTTATTAAGATTAGTATTTGACTGCAAGGATAGAAAACCCAAAATAACAGTGGGTGATGTTTCCTAAGTCTGGCACTGGGAGGCCCAAGTTGACATGGTGGACAGAGGGGCAGGGTTCCAGGCTCCCTCTGCCTTGTTGCTTCCCCATGTACAGCTCCCATCCCTATGATCACCTCATGGTCCAAAATTACTGCTGGAGTACCAGACATTATAACGACATTCCAGCCATCAGGAAGGAAGAGCCAGAGACATAAAAGCACCCACCACCTCCTTTTGAATATATTTCCCGGAAGCTGTCACTTCCTCTTAAGACTAACTGAATGAGAACTTAGATCCATGGTCTCACTTATGAACAGGAGAGATGGGAAAAATTGCTTTGTTTGGGGCTGCCATGTGCCACTTAACAAGCAAAGGTCAATCACGGGGAATACGCAGGGAATAGCACTGGGGGATAATTGGCACTTCCACCCACTTCAATATGGTTTATGCCAAATTTTAATTTGTCTTACCCTGCTTCTTCTTAAGTGCTAAGAAAAATAATGAGATATATAAAGTTTTCTGAAACCATGAAACCGAACTCATTTACCTTTATAATTTTCTATTAATCTACCACCAGAATTCATTTTGCATTTAATTCCAGCCTCTAACACTTTAATACCATGTCTTTAGTCTTTACACATTAGTGGTCACACTCATGTCAGACTTTTTCATCTCCTTTATGTTCATTTATTTTAACTTTTAGTAGTCTTCTGGCCAATCCTTTATCCTTTTTATTACAAGAGCATGAAATTTTATAATCCCCTAGAGCTTTGTTAGTCAGCTGCTACAAGGTTCTTAACCTTCACTAATTTATTCCCTCATTTTTGACTTTCAGATCTGAAGCATGCCTTAATATTTTGTTTTTGAATATGAAAGTAACTTTTATTAAGTAGGTTTATTGCATTAATAGATTTTTATTTCAGTTTTTACAGTTATATGTAAGTTCCCTGCTAGTTATGCTGCAGATCATTTTAATAACAATTTATAATGCTATGTAATATAATTTGTATTTTAATACAATAAAAATGTACATAATATAATAAGGCAAGAGTAATTTTATAAAACTTTACCTGGAAATCATTTCAAGTAAGCACGTATTTTTTGAACTCCCAAACAAACCATTTTGTTGATATTTATTATAATAGAAACTCCCTAAACAATAATAGCTTCTCTTTTTAAGGAAAAAAAATATAAAGACAGTGCCTCTTAAAATACCACACATGTTTTGATTTTTTATTTGCCTCATCCTTTCTCCTCACTGTTTTGATTTCTCAAAGGCAGAGAGGGAATTGTATTTCCTTCATCATACAATTACATGAATGATCAATACCCAACTGTGAAAATTCCTAATTCAGGTTACAACAGCAAGAACAATCATGTCGGCATTAACTGAGATATATATGTGACAATAAAATAATACTAATAATTATAAAACACTCTCATGAAAATCTGGCAAGGAAATATAGAAAGACTGATAAAAATGCAAATGTTAGGCATATATTTGCACACCAAGGGAAGGAAAAACCGAGGCATGAACTTGAGGACTTTAAAACCTCTGGGCTTGAAAGTAAGAATGATAACAAGGAAAAAACTGGTCATCAGAGAATTGGACTCTGACAGTATTTCTCTTCAGGCAAGAACCTAAGTACCTATATCAGTTAGCATGTGTTGCATAACAAACCTCCCTCAAAACTCAGTGGTTTAAAACATTAACTTCTATTTAGTTCATGTGTCTGAAAACTGGCAATTGGGGTTGGGAGATGCTGCTGATCATGGCCAGGGTTGTCTGATCTTGGCTGAGACTCACTAGTGAGTTTGTGATTGGTTTCTGGATTAGCTGGGAAGCTGGGTGGCTGTTGGCTTGGGTGCCTCAGCTCTCTTCTACACGGTCCCTCATCCTCCAGCAGGCTAGTTCTGGCTCATTCAAATGGTGGCAGAGATCCAACAGCTGCACGAGGACAAGCCTGGCATGTCCTACATGCATGAGTGTGTCTCAAGCTTCTGCTCCAGTGATGTTTGCTAATGTCTCATTGTCCAAAGTTGGTTGTTCCCAACTCAGATGCAAGGATGGGGAAATAGACTCCACTTCTTTAAAGAAAGAGTGAACGATTGTGGGCATTTTATAATCTACCATATCACCCCCAGGATATTCATGATATTTTCTATTAAATCCTGAATTCCCATGGTCCATCTGAATATTTCATTCACTCAATTCATGAGTGTTTATTTTGTGCCAAGCCCTATTTTAGAAGTAGTGAATAAATGAAAACTCTGGCCTCATGAAGCTTGCATTCTAGTGTGGTCCCCTATTTCCCAAATTGATATTCTTTCTGCCCCAAGCCAATGTCTCTGCCTCCTAAATCTGTGGACAGACCTCTGATATCCCTTCCTTTTTCTTCAGACAATACATTCTTCTTTTCTCTTTTAGGAACCTCCCCTTCTAGCTCCTGGGGGACTGTCAAACATGAAATGTCCCTTGCTGGTCACACATCTGATCATGACATCCAATCTGGCCAATCAGAATACCTCACCCTGGACATAGGGAATGCTCCAGTGTTGGACAAATGAGCCAGGCAGGACCAAGCAAAGACATTCTTGGGAACTAATACAAGGCTGTTTAAGAAAATTTGGGATCTCTACCTACAGAAACAATGTAAGCTAGCAATGCCAATAACCTTAGACACTCCAAGAAAATAAATCAACTGGAGGAAGTGAGAATAAAACAATAAAGAGAAACAAAAGTTTTGGTGATGTCATTTGAACTCCTGGGAACGGCCATGTCTGGAGCTACATCCACTGTTGCTCTTGTTATACAAGTCAATTACTTATCGAATTTGAATTGGATTTTTGTCATCCACAACCAAATAAGTTGTGAGTAATATAATCTTCCAGCACTGAACACTGCTGTTCCAACCTCCTAAAGCCAGCGAGAGCCCCTGGAAACCCTGTGTGCTATATGCAGAATATCACGAAATACATGATACATAATTTTACCATACATACAAAGAGCAACCCATTCGGCAGAAAATAACTACATGACACATGTACCATGTAGCAACCATAAATGCACCTTTTTAAAAAAATTATCAAACTAAATAAGGTCTGTCATTTCCAATTTTTTATTAATAATCATTTGATTCTTGTTTATCCACCGGTCACCTATAGCTGGTACTCACAGACAGGCTCAAGAAAAATGTATGGGGAGGAAAATAAAATGAACAAAATTCTATCTGGTGGGTTATTTTTTCCTATAAAGTCAAAAGAGATTAGCTTCTGCCCAGGTCATAGAAAATCCCAGTGATCCTTTGGACCACAGACTGAGAACCTTTTTCTAAGGTAACATTAGAGATTACATTAAATTAATCAATCTGATATTACAAATGGAAAATTCTACTCTTCTCTAGCTACCTTCCCAAGGAAGACCTAGGAATTCAAATGCCACCCTTTAGGAAGTATATTCCCCAAATTATCACCCAATCCAGGCTTTCCCAAATGTGTCTTATAAATTATTACTTACACACACACACACACACACACACACACACACACACACACAGAGTTCTGGGTTCAAGTTATGCAAAATCTCTTCATCTTCTCGAAGAGAAACTGCACCCATCAGTACAGTAAAGGCTCTGAGGAGGGGTCTCTTTAACTTCATTTGAACCAGCATTTCCTTAACTTATTAGATCACAGAACACCCTTTTAAAAAATCATGTCACGCCTGTTAATATTTATGAACCCTGTTGTTCATGAAGTACATACGAATCTATCGTCTACAATAGGGGTCTGCAAACTGTTCTCTGGTAAAGGGCCAGAGAATAAGGTTTAGGCTTTGTGGGCTGTGCAGTCTTTGTCACAACTAATCAACTTCGCCATTGTAGTGAGAAGGCGGCTGTAGAGTGCATGTAAACAAATGAGCATGGCTGTGTTCCAATAAAACTTTATTGATAAGAACAGATGGAGGACTAGATTTGGCCTTGTGGCATAGTTTGCTGGCCTCTGTCTATACCAACAGGGGATTTCAAGCCTAGGACAGAAGAGTAGAGAAGACAAGGGACTTAGAGTCAGTCGTCTATGTTGGAGGCCCAACTCCATGCGCAAGGCTCCAGAGCCTCAAGCAAGTTACTAAAATTCTCAAAGCCTCCGTCCCATAGCTGTGAAATGAGGATTGCATGTACAATTTTACACCAACTGAACTTACATGTCTACATGACTTCTCTGAGTGAAGGGTGTGAGTGTGTGTGTAAGAGAGAGAGAGAGAATATGTATAATTCAAGAAAGGGTTCAATTCAACACATGGGCCATCATAGGTCAAAACAAAGTGGAATAGTGAAAAGATTCATAAACGAAACTAATGCAGCAAACATAGCACTCAGATCCAAGGATGATAGGTAACAAAAGCATTTTAGCCTCATGAGAATTTTCGCAATTTAAGGAGAGCATTCAGGGCTTCCACAGTGTGTGGAGTGAGGTTTGAGCCAATCTTACGGAGCTCCCAAGGGCCACAGAAAACTAGCTAACATCGTGTTTCCATAAACCTATCAGGAACTATGCTTAGATTTATATGGCATCTACGGAGAAAAAAGAGAGATGCCTTCCAACTCACTTACAAACACATGTTTTCACTATTTAATTTTCAGCCAGAGCCTCTGATTACCAAGTAGACCAGAAAGATTCTATTTTCCTTTTATCAGTGGAATAAAATGGACATCAAGCCAAGAACAGAGTTAAGCTATTAACTGCACTGTGGCTCTAAGTTGGGTTTTTTTAATGCCAATATTTGCTTTCATAAACTTTTCTTTACTCTCATCCTGGCAAAACTATCTTTTTATTTTGCCACACTAACTGTGTTCATGTTTTCCATTTTTACTATATTATGTAGATAGATCTTCTCTTCCACTCATTCTATTTTTTGCATGCAGAAATGATGGAAGGAAAGAGATAAGGAAACACTCAAATCCCTCTAGAGTTCCCCTTTTGCTCCATAGGGACCTAACATTTAACATGATTAATTTTTTTTTTTT
Source organism: Homo sapiens (assembly GCF_000001405.40). Taxonomy (NCBI): domain Eukaryota; kingdom Metazoa; phylum Chordata; class Mammalia; order Primates; family Hominidae; genus Homo; species Homo sapiens. The sequence goes on along the minus strand of NC_000020.11, from coordinate 52,364,814 downwards.
TTAAAGAAGAAGAAGAAGAAATGAACATTTCTTTGTCAGGGAGAAGCTTTTAGTCATCCTGACACCAGGCTTTCACGCAGCAAAAATATTACTAATACTATTTTCTCTCTGAAGTGCATTTGTTATCAATATGCACTTAAACTGGTGATCAAGTCTTGCTAGGAGAGACACCTGCTCTGCATTTTCTATCTGTTTAATACCTTAGGGATACATCACTTAATAATTTAGTGCTAAACCATTTAGCATTTTATCCCATCATCCCTTATATTACACACAGGATTTCAGTAATGTCTGATAAAATTATGTGTTAGCTGCCTTATGTGTGTGTAAAACTTAATAAGTCTTCTTTCCCCCCTCAAGTTTAATAACTGATTTTCTTACATTTATGGATGTGAAATTTTATTGCTCATGGATATAGTTTGAACCTAAATCTTCATATCTTATAAATTAATTTTTAGTTTCCTTTTTGACCTTATGAATTTCAATCAGACGTTGACCTCTTGTTGCTCATGAATCTGACTGATTTAATGCCTTATAACAATAATAGTGGAGAAAAGCATTATCATAAGAGCCCACAGGGTTTGCAGAAACCCATAACTAGATCTCGAAGGCCTTGAGCAATAATAATTCTTGACCTAAGACCATTCTCTAAAGCCAGCATTCTTTACTGTACTGGGATAGCCCATCCTTGTTACAGACTAACCAGGGTAAGCAATGGGAAAGTCCCCGAAGGAGATTGCTTAAAACTGTTTCAAAGACACAACATTGAATGTAAACCAGTAATGGGAAAGACGCAAAAAAGCTAATTTTATCTCAATTGTATTGTGAATGAAAAGAAAAGAGAAATAATATACTAGAGCTGTCTTTTGGGGGGGGGCAGGGAAGCATTTTAAGTATGTTAGCTGGAGAAAAAAATGAAAAATTAATATTAATTGCCTTTACAGACTGTATTGTTACTCCTCTTTCTTGTATTGTGACTGCTGAGTCTATGGTATAAATGGAAGAGTTGAAGGATTGTTCCTTTGTTTCCTGGCTGTGCTAATTTAATTTAATTGGTTTACTGAATAACTGGGTGTTGATGTTCATTGTTCCTTATTAAGAAAGACTCTTAAACCAAAAGCAAAAGCAGCTCCTTTTAACTTGTTCTTTCTTTTTTTGTGAACACAAGAGTCCAACTTTTTACTGCACAGCAATCAACATTTCTCAAAAGATAAACAGCTAAAACCTGGGCTTACCCAAGGGCTTTCCCTCCATGATTCATTCTCTCAAAAAATCTAAAAAAAATCCCTAAATTTCTACAATATCAGGCTGGCATTGAAATGCTTGACTAAAACTGAAATTACCTGGGGGAGAGAATAATTTTTTTCTGCTGAGAACTGAAGTTGATGTTCTATTTAACACAGTTGCTTTGTAGGTAAGTGCTTAAAAAGAAAAGGAAAGCAGGCCTTCAAAAATCCTCCTCTGAATGAATCCCACTTCAAGTCCCATGTAGAGTTCAACTATTGAGAGTCCAAAGTACCTAAAACACAATACTCATATCCCATTTCAACCAACCATAATGCAAGAGATTCAGAACCATAGCCATTGGTTCTGTTCCCCAATATTTCAATTTCGCGTCCTTCCAAACATCTGATAGGATTAATACTTCCCTGCCACCTGGAAACTAAGTGTGCCCATGTGACTGCTTTGACCAATGAAATCTGAGCAAATGCATTTAAAAGGCAGCACACAAGGTACAGCTTCCTCTTCTCCAGCCTGTACGAGTGAGGAAGCACCCACTGATTGGGAGGCGTAATGCAGAGTCACGAAATGCTGCCTTGAATACACCCATGTAACAAACCTGCACATGTACCCCCAACTCTAAAATAAAAGTTGGAATTTCAAAAAAAAAAAAGAAAGTCATGCAAACCATGGCAGACTTTATATGAGCAAGAACTAAATGTTGTTTTAGGCCAATGAGATCTTAGGGCTATTTTTTTACCACAACATAAAGAAAACTCATGTGTCTGATTCATCTACCTTTTTTAGCTTTATTTTTGGGAGATTTCCTGTGGATGAGGAAATTAAGGAATGAAATATGTAAAACTGAAGCAGAGTAGAGCCCCTGATCCCAAAAAGCAATCCTATCAATGAGAAATCATTACATCTTAAAGATGTAACCTGGGGCCGGACGCGGCAGCTCACACCTGTAATCCCAGCACTTTGGGAGGCCAAGGCAGGTGGATAACTTGAGGTCAGGAGTTCAAAACCAGCCTGGCCAACATGGCGAGACCCCATCTCTACTAAAAATACAAAAAAGCTAGCCAGGGGTGGTAGTGGGTGCCTGTAATCCCATCCCAGCTACTCAGGAGGCTGAGGCAGGAGAATCACTTGAACCCAGGAGGTGGAGGTTGCAGTAAGCGGAGATTGCGCCACTACACTCTAGCCTGGGCAACAGAGCAAGACTCCATCTCAAAAAAAAAAAAAAAAAAAAAAAAGATGTAACCTGGGTGTCACATCTTTAAGCTAATGCATTGCCACAAAAGAATCCTACTGTAGTAAAATACAAAGATAAATACACTTATTGATGAGCAGTCATTAATACATCAGAATGTCAGAACGTATTAGTAAATCTTGTATAAAAAGAGTAAGTGTCCTAAGATATAAAGGGCAAAAGAAAGTATATTGTCTTTCAGTTCAGAAGTCAAGAAAACATATTTCTAAGAAAGCAATAAGCCATCAAAAGAAAAATGAGTAGGAATGGCAAATGCAAGGTGAAGGAAATCATCATTTTATAAACCTAATTTTTGAGTTGTTTGACCAGTAATTTTTTTAGATTTTTTTGTGGTGAATGCAGACTTAGAGTTACAATATGCCCACTAGAAGAGCTAAGAGCAGTCAATCATTCATTTATTCCTTGGACAAATATTTATTAAACAACCACTGAGAGAAGCAAACTGTTCGGGAGGTTGGTGGCATGGCAGTTCGCCAATATTTGGCAAATCAGGCAGACAAAGTCTCTGTATTCAGTGAGATTACAGTTTATCAGGCAAACCAAAACACAAATAGATTACAGAAATGATTTGTCCTATGAAAGTACATAGAAAGGAGAACCTGAATTAATAGGCATAAGTAATAGCCTTTAACCCGAGGCCTGATGGATGAGTGATAGTGTTCTATGTGGATCAGCCAGGTTTCTTCAGATTGTAAGTTATAAGAAGCCAACTTGAAATTGTCTAAGCATTAAAAGGGAATGTATTGGCTCAAAACTGGGAAGACTTGAAAAAAAAAAAGTAAAACATTTAGATGTCCAAAACATTACGAAGTCCAAAACATTATGATGGACTTACACAAATGAGTGCATGCTGATTGATTCCATTTATGTGACGTTCTAGAAGAAACTAAACTAATCTATGGTTGAAAAAAAATTCAGGGCTGGGCATGGTGTCTCATGCCTGTAATCCCAGCACTTTAGGAGGCCAAGGCAGGTGGATCACTTGAGCCCAGGAGTTCGAGACCAGCCTGGGCAACATGGTAAAACCCCGTATCTATTTTTAAAAAATACAAAAACTAGCCAGGCATGGTGGCATGTGCCTGTAGTCCCAGCTACCCAGGAAGCTGAGATGGGAGGATTCCTTGAGCCCAGGAGTTCAAGGTTGCAGTGAGCCATGATCATGCCACTACACTCCACCCTCAGCAACAGAGAAAGACACTATCTCAAAAAAAAAAAAAAAAACAGAATAGTGAGTGGTGTCTCTAGGTAGAAATGAGGGCAAGAATTGATTGGGGAGGGGCAAGAGGAGACATTTGGAGCTGATGGCAATGTCCTCCATGTCTCCATAGTGGTTTGTGTTGAAAACTTGTCAAAAGTTCAGCCAGTGGTACACTTAAGATTTGTGCATTTTACTGTATGTAAAGTTTGCTCCTCAAAACCATAAACAAATATCGAATTATAGTTCATAAGATCTATGCTGAACTGCTTAGGAGTGAAGATTACCAATGACTGCAGCTTCCTTGGAAATGCATACCAAAAAATAGGATGGATTGATTGATGGATAACAGAGGAGTGAATGGACAGGTAGTGGAAAAGGTATGTGATAACGCAAGTATAACAAAAGTTAATGGTAGAATCTAGATAATGGAAATTAACGTTTTCTAATTTCTCTGTAAAGTTGACTTTTTTTCATCATAAAATCTTTGTAAAGGCTATGATTTGTCCAGCTTAGGTCACATGTCCCAACCCCTTAACGAATTACCAGGGTTAATGGGATGAGTGACTATGAATTGACAGGAACTGAGGGCAGGAAGGCAGAGAACTGCCACTGAAAGCCCGACAGAATCATGTGGGGAATGGAGAGGTAGTGCACACGTGGAGGACGGATTGATGTTACCAGAGGAAAAAGAGAAGAGACGCTGGGCCCACAAAAGCAACGGTCAACCTCTATATCAGGTGAAGGCATGGGATGGAGTCAATAAAGTGCTCCAGGTGGAGGAAACTATGCCTGAAAGTTCAAAAGCAACTTAGAATGGTGCATTTGAGGAACGGTACCATAGAATGACAATGTAGAAGAGGCAAACCTGGAGATCATGAAGAGTTAAGGTATTTGCTTTATGTACCATGGGATTTGTAGATTCATGATCTATGATCATGGATCCACGCAGGAATTTTAAGCAGAAGAGTGACATGAAGCCTTACGTAAAAGAGTACATTATTATTTCATTTATGGGAAGTTCTTGAGCAGACAAAACTCATCTATGATGGAAAAAAAAGTCAGAAACATCTTTGCCTCTGGAAAAGTGGGGGTGGCATTGACTAGGAAAGACCTGCAGAAAAATTTTCTGGGATGATGGCAGTGTTCTGTAACTTGATAGAGGCTTGGGTTACCCAGATGTACTCATTTGTCAAAACTTATCAAATATACATTTAAAATGTGTGCATCTCATTTGCTGAATTTTACAGCAAAAGTAAAATCGTAAAGAAATTGTAAACTTTAATAATATGAAGATTGAAGTATTTAGGCAGCAGTATACTGGCTACAATTTAATGTGAGTCAAAAACATAAGATGGATAAATGGATGGCTGGATAGATATATGATATAAACAATTATAGTGTATTAATGGTGGAATCTAAGGGTGAGTATACAGGTTTTCATGGAAAATTGTTTTAACTTTGCTTTGTGTTTGAAAATATTTTTTAAATGTTGAGATTTTAAAAAAAAAATAATTTAAAAAGTGATTCTAGAACTAATGTGGTCATGTAAGTTTAATTTTCATCTCTACTATGATTGGACTTGAATATAGCCTTGCAACATACTGAATTTTGCTCAGGACACTACCTTCAGGAGTCCATCAGCCCAAGTGAAGCACAAAACGAACTCCTAGTTAAACAGAGGAAGCTTCGGAGCCAGCTAGCCCTGGCCTTATTCAATCATCAATCAATTTTGGAGCAATATGTATTGTGCCAAGCATTGTGCTAAAAGTGTCAAGAATACACTGAGGAGCAAAAGATAAAAAGATCTTACTGCTACAGAATTCATAGTCTTGTGGGAGAGAGAGACAGACTTTAATCAAATGAGCAAACAAATACATTTATAATTACAATCCATTAACATGCACTGCGAAGAAACATATAGGATGCTATATCAGTTCTCCTATGAGAAGCAGATGCCACGAATGAAATTAGACATGCAAGAGATTTATTGACGGAAATTCCTGGGAAAGACTAAGGGAGAGGAGGCAAGAACAGGCATGGAGAGACTTCAGAATGCAATGCAGGTCTAACAATGACAAAGGAGGACAGAAAGAGGATTTGGTAGGAAGAACCGCAAACAACATTGTCACTCTGACAAAGTCTTGGCAAGGTTGACAGGAATTCCTTGAGCAAAGATTGCCCATAAAGCCATCCTGCACTGGGCAAAAATAACCCTGCTCTAGTGTCCTCACCATGTTTGGTCATTGCCAAGGGCAGCCTGGGAAAAGCATAGGTTCACTGTTGTGTGAATGCAGCAACGAATCTGAAGGTTCAGTTAGCTACACTCTTCACAGCAGTTTTCTTTAAGGGAGATCTAAGGGCACATCTCCATGACCATTACCATGACTATAAAGGCAGTGTAATGGAGTAGTGGGAGTATGGACTTCAGAATCAAGCAGATTCCTCACCGAAAAGTGAGGTCTTCTTGAGCAAGTAACATCTGTGAAGTTGAGCTAATAGTGCACACCTCCTGAGACTGTTGTAAAATGTAACTGAACTGATACATTTAGAGTGTTTGTAAAGCTGGCTGCACATATTAAGTGCTCAATAAATATTAGCTATTATTATTATTGTGGAGCCATGAGAGTAAATGAACCTGATATAATCTAGGAGGTAGAATACTGACTTTTGATCTGAGGACACAAGTCTAGAAACTGGGCTGTGCAAAGACTCTTAGGCAAGAGGTAGCATGCGATGTTTGAGAAAATGAGAAAAAGAAATTTTGTGACATTCAAAAAGGAGACTTTAAGCAGCACCAAAGCAAACTAAAGAAAAATGAGAAGGCGTCGGCAGGTTTTAAAGGAAGGTATGGCAATATTTAGACTTGCAGTTTTAAAACATCCCTCTGCCTGCAGGATGGAGAATGAATTTGAGAAGGCTTCCTAGAGCCCAGCTAGAATCCATGGCAGACGGGACAAGATGGTAGTGGCTTGGAAATAGAAAGAAGTTGATGGAATCAAGAAATATTTAGGAGATTTAGTATCTACTCCAACCTTACTGACTTAGTAGCCACATGACCCAAGGATAGGGCAAGTTTCTCAATCATTCTGAAACTCAGTTTCTTTATCTGTAGCATGAAAATTTTTATACACAATTTACAGACAAGCTGTGAGGATTCAATAGACAATCTAAGTAAAATAATGTACCAGAGGTGACCTTGGCAATATTTGTTCTTTTCACATCTCATCCCTACTTTCATCCTCATGGATAGAGTTCATTCCCTGCTTCTTTCTTCAATCTGTCTGATATTTACATATTGTCACTGTCACACTCACGCAGCTGTGACCTTTTATGGAGGACTTAGGGGGCTCACCTGTGTCTTTCCATCACACAGTGAGGTCCCTAAAGGCAATGACTAAGATTTGCTTTGCCCTTGCATCTATTTGAGGGTCTGGCACCTAGTTAGCCATTAACAAGTATTTGCCAAAATGAATTAAACTAATTTGAGATTGTCTGTAATGGATTTCCTCCAAACACCTGCATGCATCAGAAATGGAGATGGGTGAGGTCAAATATCCTTACCAACAACGCCACAAATCCGTTCTTCAGTTGATCGCCATCTGCAACCATTCCACAAATGACTGAAACCACAATAGGGGTTTATGACATGATGTCAACATCCATTCCTGAGCCTTCCCAGACATGTGCACCTTCATGTAGCAGCAAAACACTCTTCCAGGAAGGTAAAAGGAAATGAAAGACTTTTTTCAGATATTCTGGTTGTGGAGAGATCCTTTTAAATACATTCATGATCAATACAACTGTTCTGTAGAAGATACTGATTACAGAGTGATGGGGACAAGCACAAGGGTTATGCATTTCTAGAGGGAGCCTGTAACAGTTCACAAAACCTTTTCCAATTGCTGAGCACACAAACACATGAAAATGGCTTCACATCAGCTATTCTCAATGCTGGGATGGCTCAGCCATCCTAATTTGGCAATCAGGGAAATGGCTCTAGATCTCAATTCAAAGGGCTACTTATTCAGCACCCTAGGAAAGGTTGAAAAAATGAAGGAGCTGTTTGTGGCCATGTCTCAGCAAAAGATAAAGAATAGAAATGCATTATTCCTTCAAAAGAATCTCTCCATTCTTGCTTGTGTAGCCAATTGACATTGCAAATGGCAGACGTCAATCACAGACTTCCATTGCTGCCTAAAGCCCAGCCAGTAGGGGACTGCACAACCCCAACCTGCTAACAAATGGAACAGCAATTGAATCATCTGATTTGACTGCCTAATTAATAATAGATAGTTTTGAGTTTCTGCCTTTCAATTCTAGAGGAACTATAGAACTCACCCAAATACATCGTTTGGAACTTCAAATGTCAAAGGCTATACATTCACACTACTCATTCACATGTTTGTATGAATGTATGGTCCTGTGAATTATGAAAGCATCAGTCTGTGGATTTATTTGTTGTCTGAATTCTGGTGATATAATGTTAAACAATGAATGATGTGCAGGCAATGGCTAGAAGAATGTACAGTAAGGTGGGACACTGACAGTTTCCAAAACCCATCATTTGTAGTTCATCTTCACAATTTTTGTCATATTTACGTACTATCTGTTCTGTCACTTACTTAATATTTTTGTTTAAATCAACTATGAATTATTCCTTTTTAAAAATTTAGCCTTGTCCTGAGCAACAATACACATGAAGTTCTGGATGGGCAGCACTAGCTATATTATTTTTCAACACACATTAAAATAAACACATAGTTGTGAAACTTTTTTAAAATGTTCATCTTCCATGTAAAATGCTGTTCTTAACCTGGAGTACACAAATCACTAAGGGGTCTGAGGATAGAATCCATAGGGTTCATAAACATGGAAGGAAAAAGTTTACAGCTTTATTTTCAGAAAACCGTAATAGAAATCTAACACTTTCTTCAATTATGAATGTAGATCATAAACCACAGTACCTCCGACTGTCACCAACAGAAATCATAGATATTTCCATTTTATTATAAAGACACTTGCATGTGTATGTTCACTGCAGCCCTATTCACAATAGCAAAAACACAGAATCAACCCAAATGACCATCAATGATAGACTGGATAAAGAAAATGTGGTACATATACACCATGGAATACTATGCAGCCATAAAAAGGAATGAGATCATGTCCTTTGCAGGGGCATGGATGGAGCTGGAAGCCATTATCCTTAGAAAACTAATGCAGGAACAGAAAACCAAATACCACATGTTCTCACTTATAAGTGGGAGCTAAATAATGAGAACACATGGATACATGAGAGGAACAACACACACTGGGGCCTGTCGGAGGGTGGAGTGTGGGAAGAGGAAGAGGATCAGGAAAAACAACTAATGGGTACTAGGCTTAATACCTAGGTGATAAAATAATTTGCACAACAAACCCCCATGACACACGTTTATCTAGTAACAAACCTACACGTGTACCCCTGAACTTAAAATGAAAGTTAAAAAAATAAGAAATCATAGATATTTCTTACATTTTAGGAAGGTAATTCCTAAAAACCAGAAGAAAAGTGAGGTAAGCTCTATGATTTCCCAGCTTACTACCTTGAGAGAAGTTCCAGGCTTTGGTATAGGAAAAGGCAATTGAAATCAAGGCTGACAGACTCTCAGATGAAAAGATAGAGCTGCAAGTTTTGAGGACAGCAAAGAAGCTTAATTTTGCAGGACAGCCTGAAGAAATTCCCACCCAAAAGGAGTAGACGAAACAGTATCTAGTACTCACACAAAGGCTGGGAAAAGGGCCTCTTCCAACCAGTCAGACTGGAAAAAAAAAAAAACAACAACAACTCATAATTCACGAGACTAAGATGCGCCTGGCCTCAATCGTGGGAAATAATTAGCCCTAGACTAAATTCTGCTCTGGTGTTGCTTAACAAACCTTAAAAGCAAGAGTTAGAAGAATCAAGTAGTTTTCATGTAAAGAAACTGAGTCCCAGAATAAAGCTCAAAGACGTTTTGTAGAAATACAAAAACATTCAGACCACAAAAAGGTAAAATTCATAACGTCTGGCATCCAAGCAAAAATTGCCAGATGTATAAAGAAGCAAGAATGGGCTGGGCACGGTGGCTCATGCCTGTAATCTCAACACTTTGGGAGGCTGAGGTGGGTGGATCACCTGAGGTCAGGAGTTCAAGACCAGCCTGGCCAACATGGCAAAACTCCATCTTTACTAAAAATACAAAAATTACCCAGGCATGGTGGTGCATGCCTGTAGTCCCAGCTATTCAGAAGGCTGAGGCAGGAGAATTGCTTAAACCTGGGAGGCAGAGGTTATAGTGAGCTGAGACTGTGCCACTGCACTCCAGCCTGGGGGACATGAGACTCCGTCTCAAAACAAATAACATAACATAACATAACATAACATACAATACAATACAATACAGTACAGTACAGTACAATACAATACAATACAATACAATAGCAAGAATGTAAGATTCAAAATTGGAAGGAAAGTCAATCAATTGAAATGATCCAGAACTGACATAGATGTTGGAATTTGCTGACAAAAGCACTGAAACACAGATTTCATAACTGTATTCCATATATCCAAAAAGTTTAATAGAAATGTGAAAGATATTTTTTAAAAGCAGAGAAAATTTAATATAAAAGATAAACACAATACCTGACATGAAAAATACACTGAATAGGATTATTGGCAGATTAGACATTGCATAAGAAAACATTAGTGAATATAAAGTAACAGGAATATTAACTATGCTAAATATTCCTTTAAAAATAAACAGAACATCAGTAAGCTGTGGGAAACTTCAAGAGTCCTAAATAGATATGCAATTGGAGTCCCTAAAAGCAAAGGCAGTAAAGGTAAAAAAAAATTATAATATTTAAAAAAAGAATGGCAGATAATTTTCCAAATTTTATGAAAATTATAAACACACACATCCAAGAAGCTCAATGAACCCCAAGCATCAGAAACATGAAGAAAATGAGACCAAAGCATATCATAATCAAATTACTTAAAACCAATGTAAAGATAATATCTTAAATGTAGAATAGAAAAAAGATATGTTTACACAGTGTATATACACACAATGTGTGTATATAAAAATAAGATAATATAAAATTACACAATGTGTGTATATATAAAATATACACAATGTATATAAATTGTGTATGTATATTTTATATATGTATGTATGTAAATATAAAAATACACAATGTGTGTATATAAAAATAAGAATAGTCGTAATTTCTTATCAAAAACAGTGCAAGTAAGAAGACAGTAAAACAGCACCTTTAAAGAAATGAGAAAAAAAGGTTTGTCAACCTAGAATTTTATACCCAGTGAAAATACATTTCAAAAATGAAGGCAAAATTAACACTTAAGATTTTATAATCAGCAGAACCACACTAAGAAAAATGTTAAAGGATTTTTTCAGGCCAGGGAAAATGATACCAGATGAAAACTGGAATCTACACAGAAGAATGCAAAGCGCTAGAAATGGTAACTATTGGAAAACATATAATAAATTTTTCTTATTATTTAATTTCTTCAAAAGATAAATTACTGAATGACAAAAACAATAACAATGTAGTGTGGGGTTTATAATATGCGTAAAAGTCAAATGTATGACAAAAATTATTTCTCTCAAAAGGGGAGAAATGGAAGTTTACAATTATCAGGTTCTTATACTGTATATGAAGTAGTGTAATATAACTTGAAGGAAGACTGTGATAAGTTAAAGATCTATACTATGTACCCAAAGTAATCAGTAAAATAGCAAAAGAGTTATAGCTAATAAGCTAATGAAGGAGATAAAATAGAACCATAAAAAATTTTAACTAATCTAAAAAAGACAATAAATGCAACAAAGAATAAATGGAGCAAATAGAAATCAAGTCACAAAATAATAAATTTAAACATGATCATGTCAATATTCACATTAAATGTAAATGGTTTAAGACAAAGATTGAAAGATTTCATTTAAAAAAGACCATCTTAATTCTGCCTACAAGACACCCACTGTAAATACAAAGACACAAATAGGTTAAAAAAAAAAGATAAGTAAACATATACAGTGCTAATGCTAATCAAAAGAAACCTGGAGTGGCTATATTCACCAAAATGTAGAATGTCTGCTCTTAGAAAGATGATGTTAAAAGCATGGAAAGATATGCCACAGACTGGGAGAAAGTATTGGCAAATCATGGATCTGCTAAAGGTCTTGTATTCAGAAGATGTAGAGAACTCTCAAAACTCAATAATAAAAAAGCAAATTAACCCAAAAAGATTTGAACAAACACTTCACGAAAAAATATATGGATAGCAAGTAAGCACATGAAAAGATGTTCAGTGTCATTAGTCATCAAGAAAATTCAAATGAAAATCACAGTGAGATACCAATACACACGTTCTGACAGAATCACTAGAAGTAAAAAGACTGACATACCAAGTGTTGGTGAGGATGTGGAGCAACTGGTAATCTCATACAATGCTGTTGAAAATGTAAACTTGCACAACCACTTTGGAAAACAGCAGTTTCTTTAAAAATTAGACATAAATCTACTATGTGATCCAGCTATTCTACTCCTCAGCATTCACCCAAAAGAAATGAAAGCACATGTTCATGCAACGACTTGTACATGAATGCTCATAATGGCTTCATTTGTGATCGCCCAAAACTCAAAACAACCCACATGTCCATCAACAGGAGAATGGATGAACAAATTGTAATATATTCATACCATGGAGTGCCACTAAACAAGAAAAAGGAATGAACTACTGAGATGTAACAATGTGGATAAACCTCAAAATAATTATGACTAGAGAAAAAAGTCAGAGCAAAAAAAACCAGTACATAGTACATACTATATGAATTCATTTGTTAAAACTACTACACTAGGAGGCTGAGACAGGCAGATTACTTGAGGTCAGAAGTTCGAGACCAGCCTGGCCAACATGGTGAAAACCTGTCTCTACTAAAAATACAGATATTAGCCAGTTGTGGGGGTGCATGCCTGTAATCCCAGCTACTTGGGAGGCTGAGGAAGGAGAATTGCTTGAACCCGGGAGGCAGAGCTTGCAGTGAGCCGAGATTGCCACTGCACTCCAGCCTGGGTGGCAGAGTGAGACCCTGTCTCAAAAAAAAAAAAAAAAACTGCTGGAAAAAAATAAATGAATGTATCCTAACATCAAGCAGATCAGTATTTGCCTGGTCTTGAGAAGGGCAGGGAGAGAAAGAAGGAGTGGGTTACAAAGGGGCAGAGAGGAAACTTTTGGGGTTGATGGATTTGTTCATTACTTCAACGGTAGCGATTGTTTCCCAGGTGTGTACATATGTCAAAATTTGTCAAATTGTACACCTTAAATATGTGTGGTTTATACTGTGTTAATTATATCTCAATAAAGCTGCTTAAAAAGCAAGAGGAAGAGGAGAGAGTGAAGGGAAAGGGCCAAGGGAGGAGAAGCAGCAGCTAATGCAACAGCAGAAGCAACAGCAGCTGCCCCCAAACAAACATCCCCTCAGGTTCCCTTAGCAGAAATAAGTCACATGGCTTTGCCCTATTTACAAGGGAGGCTGAAAAGTAAATGTCCAGGGAGCTCACCCTTATTGTAGAAAGTGGGCTCTGGCATCAAGGGAGAAAGGAATAAACCGGGAAAATGGATTTTCAATCAGTAGCCAACAGTGTCTGCTACTTAAACACTGGGCAATAGATGCTCCTTTAGCTCTGCTTTAACAAAAACTGTTTTACTAAAAGTAACTAATTTCCTCATAAGAGGCATTTTGGATTGTTATATTTGTTTGCCTCTGGAAAACTTATAAAAGCAAAAGTGGATATACATGGTCTAACGACAAGAGAAAAAGTCAAATCCTGAATTCCGGTCTCTCAGAAATAGGATCCAGACTGAGCTTCCCCTCTGTTCACTGCCAGCTTTGCAAGATGTCCACTATGTGGGTATGGCCAGCAGAGGCCTGGTGAAGTAAGGAATATCCTTGGACAGAAGTCAAGATCTTAAGGAGAAAAGCTTGCCATTCTAAGCGTAGCTTGGTTAGTGAGGGCAGGGGAAATTCCAAATACATAATGATACTGACATTCCCAGTTGCTCCAAAGTCAAACCCCTACACGCTCATGTCTGGAGTCAAGAGAAAGCTATAAGGAAAAAAAAAAAGAGCTGTTTGGCTAAGAACTCATTTAGATTTGATCACAAGCAAAATAGACTGGTACCAACAGAGACATACAGGAAAGAGGGGTATGGAGTGGCTTACTCTCCCAATTTGTAGTTGAGTATTAACAAATCACCAGCATTTCAGGATGGAAGTGCATGCAAAACAGGGCCCAGTGAGAGGTGGTGGTCCCCAAGAAAAGCAGTGATGAAACCAGGGCAGGGGAAGGAGGACAAAATGGCCAAGAGACTGACAACCACATCTGTTCATGAGCAGATGAAAAACACCCAACCAGGGAACATGGAGGGCTATGCACCGGTTGACTGTGGGAGGGAGCTGGGTTCTGCAATTACAGGGAATGCAGTCTATTAGCCACGCTCTTCTGGTTGAATATAATAGAAACACAACTCAAAATGTCTTAGCAGAAAATAAAAACAACAAAAAAGGAAATGTCCTGACTCATGTCATCAAGTTTAAGGGTTACAACTTTCAGGCGCTGCTGGTGCTCAAACAACACCGTCAAGCAGCTCTGCTGGTGATCCCTGGTCTTGGCTGCATTCTCTAAGTTAGCACTGAACGTGAGCATTTATATTTTCAAAGCTATCAAACGAACCCAGCACAATTAAAAAGAGCACTCTTGGCTGGGTAATTCCAAAATCCGTAATAGAATTGAGTGTTACTGGGTTGAGGGACGTCATGTGTCTGTTTCTGAAGTAACCCCTGTGGCCAAGAGGGTAGAACTGACTAATTGGCTAGACCTGGATTATGCACCCATCCCTGGAGTCAGGCACAGGAGGTCAGCCCCATCATTTAGACACAGACAGAAAGTGGGGAAAAAGGGGTTCCCAGAGGAAAGCCGAGCTGCTGATATCAGAAGAAGGGAAAACAGATGCTGGCCAGGCAGCAACAACAGATTTCCTCTCTGGAGTAAGAGCCAGTTTAACCCAACAGGAGTTCAAGCTCATTCCCCCACACAGGACTGGTCGTCAGGCTAACAATGGCTGGCAGTCTGCCCTCCACAGCCTCTCAACTCTCCTTTCCTTTGTTTCTCTGCACAACTTCACACCATGCGTTCAGGGTCTCTCATGCTGACTCTGGCCTACAGCCTCATATCAAGGAAATACATCAGGTAAAAGCATTTGCTCTATGATGTTAATAGTAATATGTAAACTCATCCCAGGGTGTCTTGCACAACATGGAGGCATCTCCAATGTCCATTCCAACTTCACCTGTGATGCACAGTCTGAGGAGTTTCGGGATGACCTCAGCTACTAATATAAAGGTTAAATTAGGGGGAGAACACTTCCCCAAAAGGAAACTGTGGCATTTTTAGAAAGGGGATATGGGCACAGAGTTGTCCAGAAATAATGAATCTTACTCTATATTCAAAGCTATTAATAACGTGGTGGCTCACGCCTGTAATCCCAGCACTTTGGGAGGCCAAGGCAGATGGATCACTAGAGCCCCGGAGTTCAAGACCAGCCTGGGTAACATGGTGAAACTCATCTCTACAAAAAATATAAAAATTAGCCAGGTATGGTGTTGCACGCCTGTAGTCTCAGCTACTTGAGAGGCTGAGGCAGGAGGATTGTTTGAGCCCAGAAGGTCAAGTCTGCAGTGAGCCATCATCGCACTACTGCACTCCAGCCTGGGTGACAGAGCAAGACCTTGTCTCAAAAAAATTAAAAAATGAACAAACAAAAAACTATTAACAGTGTTAATAGTAATAAAGGATGACTTCTTATTTCTACATTTTACTTTTAATTTTTTTTAATTTTTCAAAAACATGCATTCATTCCAATATTATATAAAAGGAAAAACATAGTACATTTTAGATAACATTATCCTCTTTCAGCACTGATTGTTTTCATCAGTAAGATTGTATTCTAAGCAAAAATTTTCAAGTTCAGAGGAAATGATACCACTGGCTTGACATCCTGGAATTTGACCATCTATTCCAAAGTTATTTGAATGCCTCTGGCAATAATATCTTGCAAAAAAAAAGATTCTATGACATTTCTTTTTTCTAAACCACATCAGATTTTTGCAGAAGATGGGACACAAATTATGAATAAATCAATCAATATTTGTTTCTCCTGTTCTTCTGAGAGCCTGTCCTGGTTCTATTTTCTAGGGTTCATTGGAAATAAGTTCTTTAGGGGAAATCTCATGGTGTCTGGGATCTTTTTTTATTTCTTCATTTCCTTTCTTGTTAAGCCATATTACTCATAATGGCAGAGTGCTAGCTGACTATATAAATTTGCCCCTTTCTGTTTATCCTGTAGTTGCCTGTCAAAGCAAATAAGCCTGTTTTGCATTAGAGCTTGGAAATTAAATTGTGGGAGAGTAAGTCCCTCTAGTTAAGGTAAACCAGAGTGGTGTGAGTTCATACCCAAAGGAACAAGAAGCAGAACATCTGTATCTGTGGCAATTAGGCGACCTCGGAGTAGGAAGTGAAAATTTTTCCAAAGCACATTTATATACCCAGTGTAGCCAATCAGTTTTCTAAATATAAAAGCATCTGTTTTTAACCATCTTACCTTATCAAGACTGTGGCTGTAAAAGTTAATTCTCACTGATGCCATTCTCATAACTAAGAAGAAAATCTCACTTCCTACTTACTTCCTCTACCACTGTGTCATAACTTTAAATGGAATCCAAATCACTAAGAGTTTCTCTCTTAAAATATAGAAGCACAGAAAAAAGTGCTTCTGATTATGGCTCTATGTTCTTAACCCTGAACACCACTTCCATATTTTCTGGAACACTTTACATTTATCACGAGTTAATAGTAGTAAATATTATTGAGTGCTTGCTATGAACTTTCAATTGCTAGGCCCTTGATATACATTACCTTTTTTAATCCATACAACTCTAAGCGGTTAGCATTTTATGCTTATCTTACAAACACCAAAATTGAGTTTCAGTTAAGTAACTTTTCAAGTGGAATTCATCCATTTTTTTAAATATACATTAAAATAAATATATAACTCTGAAAATAAAAAAGCACTTCATCCATGTACTGTGTGAAACTTATCTCTTACTACTTGTTGTATATGTACCTCAGATTTTGAAAATTTTAAGGGAAAAGATTTTTTTGATCTACTGAATGCCTTGATGTGCCCACTCCTGCATGTGTGCATTCCAAACGGTTAATTGCATTTGAGCTACACAAATGGAATTATTAAGTTGTATTACTAAGACCAAACGCAAGCAATGGGCAGTGCTCAAACTTGGACCCAGGTCTCTCTGAGGAAGATATGGAAGCCAGCATTAATCCATAGGCTGGAACTCAGGTGTATACATTACAATCCCAGCTCCACCACTCACTAGCTGTGTGACCTTAGACAAATTAGTGAAATTCACCTTTGATTTCTTATAGCAGTAGATCCTACCTTGTATTGGCACCATTCCTCTAAAGATTAAATGAGGTAAAGCACATAGAGGCAGGGTCTGGTGCATGGCTGGTTCTTATGGTAGTCAGCCTCCAAGATGGCCCAGGTGATTCTAGCCTCCCAGTAATCATATTCTTGTATACACCCCTCTCCCACTAAATAGGACTGAACTGTGTAGAAAACTGTGGAGGTGACAGTGGTGTGATTTCTGAGACCAGTTCATAAAACACTTTTTAGCTTATGCCATGGTCTCTTAGCTCACTCTGGAGGAAGCCATCCATCATGCCATGAAGATACTCAGGCAGACTTCTGAAAAGGCCCATGTGGAGAAGAACTGAGGCCTCCTGCCAAGAGCCAGCACCAGCATGCTGGCCCCCTTCTTGGAAGAGTGAGCCTTCTTGGAACTGGATCCCCCAATCCACCATAATCGACCCTTCAGATGACAGTGACCCCAGTTGACACTTGCACAGCAATCTCATGAGAGACCTCAAACCTGAACTACCAGCTAAGCCACTTCTGAATCCTAGACTCACATAAACTGTGAGGTAATAAATGTTTACTGTTGTTTTAAGCCATGAAGGTTTGAAATGATTTGTTACGCAACAACAGACAACTAATGCAGTGCTCCAACAAACAGCATGTTCTTTACCAAAAAGCATCTTTCCACAAAGCAAAGACCTTTACAATAAACTTTAAGCTTTCTAGAACAGAGTAGGAGATGCAAATAATGGGATTTTTTTTTTTTTTTTTTTTTTAGGTTTGGGGGTTTTGAGTGGTACTATTCAGGTGACCACATGCCTGCACACAGGATCATATCCATTGAGAAGTTCCAAATTCCATTACTAAC
Organism: Homo sapiens; assembly: GCF_000001405.40. Lineage (NCBI taxonomy): Eukaryota > Metazoa > Chordata > Mammalia > Primates > Hominidae > Homo > Homo sapiens. The sequence goes on along the minus strand of NC_000020.11, from coordinate 52,346,714 downwards.
ACCACCAGTTTGGACACCCACCCTAATACAACTACAAATCAGCAAACTAGTTTGCATTTTCAATATCCATCTGCAGATCCCAAATATGCCATCTTTCCCCCATGATTTCCACCATTCACTGCCTTGTTTCTTTTCTTCTGATTTCTCCCAGAAGCCCAAAGCAATGAAAGAAAAGCATGCAAAGCAGTATTTGCAGTGAAGAATCTGGTTTTTCCTATATGTTGTATCTTCCCCATTGGCAGCACGCAGCAACGGGCACAGAGGGAACAAGAACAGGATTAATAGTTTTGTATTAACAAGACTCACAGTAGTAGCAGTGTTAGCAGTCACATCAAAATAAATCACTATCTCATCAACCCATCCAAACACCCCAGTTTCTGTTGCCCTGTACAAAACGCGTCATCTACTGTTCCAGGAAAAGTTTTGGAACTGCAGAGAAGTCCTTAGCTTTTTCCCCAGGTTCTAGTGATAAGTGGATCTACTTCTCTCCTACCCTGTCTTAAATTGGGGAAACATATACGAGTAAATGATAGAACTTCTAGATACTCTCTCCTAGATACTCTCTCTGCAGTCTACGCTATTGATGGGAATGTAGCTGGATACAACCATCTTAGAGATGATTTAGTGACATAATGATATTGTATTAACCACTCATTTCACACTGACTTTGAACTCAAGCATTTGTCAGATGCAATCCCACTGTAGCATCAGGGATCATGAGAGCAATACCAGGGACACAAAAATGATGGGGCTGAGCAATAAGTGCCAACTTAGAAAAACAGGTCGCCATATTCTATTTTAAAGGACAGTGTGTCAAACTTAAAGCAAATACATGTTGAGCACCTACTGTATGCCAGGCTCTGTGCTCAGTTGCATTTGCATACATTATTATCCTTGCAATCCTCAGAGCAAACAAATCTATTGGCACGCGTTATACTTATGCAGAACAGCATAAACTAAGGGTTGGAAAACCCTTTCGCCCAGGAACCAAATCTAGCCTGCTTCCTGTGTTTTAAATAAGTTATATTGTAATGCAGCCACATCCACATGTTACACATTGTCTATGGATGCATTTGCACTACAACAGCAGAGTTGAGTTTGCAACAGAGACAGTATGGCCCATGCTATGAACTAAATTTTGTTCACCAAAAATTCTTATGTTGAAGCCCTAACCCCCACCCCAAATATGACCATATCTGCAGACAGGGTCTTTAGGCGAATTAAGATTTAATGAGGTCATAAGGGTGAGGCCTTAATCCAATAGGACCATGGCCTTATATTTTTAAAAAAGAAAATGATCGATCTCTCTCTCTCTTTCTCTCTCCACCCGCCCACCCCCTCAACATCACCCCTGCCAGGAGAATACATAGCAAGAAGGCTGCTGTCTGCAAGCCCAGAAGAGAGCCCTCACCAAAACTCCACCATAATGGTCCCCTGATCTCAGACTTCCAGACTCCAAAACTGTGAGAAAAGGAATCTCTGTTGCTTAAGCCACCCAGTCTATGGTATTCTATTATGGCAGCCCTAGCTGATTAATATAGCCCACAAAACCTACAATATTTACCATTGAGTCCTTTACTGAACAAATTTGCAGAGCCTTGGAAGCTTTTCAAGCAAGCCAGAAGCCCTTGAGAATTCTCCACTCACTCTCTACTCACCATTGGGAAACCTATAGATCTCTTAACATAGGGTGGTTTGATTTGAAAATGCCTAAATATATAACTACTCATTTTCCTTTTACTTTTTTCTTTAGTCCATGGCAGTTCCAAAAAATATGGTGAGCATAACAGGGATCTTGAATGGAACATTGAACTTCTGGTTCCCAAGCCCACCATCCCGTCTCAGCCAGTTACTTCATCTTTCCAGCTCTCAAGCAAAAATCCCTGGTGTCTTCCTTGACCCCATGTTCTCTCTCAACCTACCCTCACCCCTCCAATCCATCTGCAATCAAATCTCCCTCCAAAGTAGATTTGTAATTTAACCTCTTCTCACACAGCTGCTGCTACCTCCCATTCCATCCCCAACAGAGCTCCCTGATGCTACTCTTGACCCTTTTGGTCCATTCTTTACAGGGAACTGGTGTTTTCTGTTCAGCCATAAGTCAGATCATGCCACTCCTCTTCTCAAAGCCTCCCATGGGCCCCACAGCACACTCAGTAAAAAGTAAAGTCCTACACCACCTGCCCCATCCACTCCTCCCTGACTGCATCTCCAGCTAATCTCCCTCATGCTCCATCAGCTGACCTCTAACTGTTCCTCAAACACACAAGGCACCTTCCTTCTACCAAGAATTCTGGTCCCTCAGCTATCCACATGGGTCTCTTCATTCTGCCTTCACATCTCTGTCACCTTCCTGATGAGTTCTTCCATGACAACGCTATTTATAATTGCAGTCTCCCCAGCAGCACAGCGACCACCTGGAACTGCTAACTAAGTGAACTGGAGCAAGTCATCCCCTCACTCAGACTCTGACCCATAATACAAGAGGGAAAACAACTATATCAGAGGATTACTTCGAGGAACAAACAAGATAATGCAAGTATACTTATTCTATGAACTATAAATCTCTAAGCCAGGGGTCAGCAAATGTCTTCTGCAAAGGGCCAGATAGTAAATATTTTAGGTCTTATGAGTCGTAGGGTCTCTTTTACAACTAAATTCAGCCACTGTCACCACTGCAGCATGGAAGAAGCCATAGACAATACTTCATGAACGGACATGGCTGTGTGCCAATAAAACTTTATCAAGTGGTGGGCCAGATTTCGCCACGGGCTATATGTAGCATACAGATCCCTGCTCTAAATCATTACTTACTGTTATTATTGGTAATGATAAAAATATACATGAAGATCTTAAATGCCCAGGAATACAAAACGTACTCTGTATCAGTTGTGTGTGTGTGTGTGTGTGTGTGTGTGTGTGTGTGTGTGTGTGTATTTATAGTGTGTGTGTGTATATATATAGTTTGTTTTCTCCTGGTCGAACATAAACTCCAGGGGGAGCAGGTATCTTATTTCCTGTGTGCCTTGCATACTGTTCCAACTTTAGCACCAAAAACAGCACATAACACATAGCTGCCCTTCAGGAAATATTTCTGAAGGAATGAATGAATCCTGTATTTTATCAATGATTTTAATAGATCTTCTGGTGTATTTTTGACTACATGTAATGGTTGCCTTGCATGCTGATTTTGCAGCAGTAGCTCTCAACCAAGAGACATTCAGTCATGTCTGGAGACATGCTTGTCACAACTGGGAAGGGGTGGTGATAATGGCATCTAGTGGGTAAAGACCAGGAGTTCTCTAAACACCCTACAATGCACAGGAAAGCCCACCAAAACCAAGAATTCTCCAGCCCCAAATATCAACCATGCTGAGGTTGAGAGACCCTGCTTTGGAGCCTAATGTCCCATGAAATCCTACTCCACTGTGTGTACCAACATTTAAATGCACATACTCCATATCCATTAGAATCTGAAATTAATAAGGCATCTTCCCCCTCACATAAATAGAAGCCGTCATTAGGAAGTCCAGCATGCTAAACAGCTCATAGAATGTTCCATAATGTCTCTTGCTTAGACAGCTGAGGACCTGTCACCTCACAATCACAAGGTGGCTGCGCCCCCTTCAGTATCACATCCCCGTTCTGGGCAAGAAAAAGCTGAGGGTGAAGTGCATAAAGAATATGTCCCAGATGAGTGTGACTGCCACTGCCTCCTACCCCACCTGGAGCCTTCCTGGAAGCTATAGCCAATTACTTCACTTTTATTGGTCAAAACTATGTCTCTAACATCAAAGAAGGCTGGGAAGTATAATTTTTAAAACTAGGCATGTTGACACAGCCAACAAATTGTTGTTGTGTCAGTAAGGAGGAAAGAACACTGGACATTGTATGAGTATCTGGCATTGCTACCACATCCTTCAGTTTAGAATTATCACATCTAAGAATTTTTCACAGCACACAAAGACATGAATAGTATGAGAATGTTCATCCCAAAATGATTAATATAGAAAACTGGAAACCATCTAAATACATGTAGCTGGTGCTGATGGTGTCCCACCAAGATCTCTTTAATGAATTGGCATTCCTCCCCTTAAATAGCAGTGAGGGTTGGCTGCTAAGAGCTCAAGCCACAGCATCATCTCAAGAGGACAAGAGGATTGCCAGGATTCTTCCTCTGTCCTCTCCTGCTTCATCCACTCCCTTGATAAATCACGTTTATAAAAATGCCCATCTCAGGCAATGGTTCCAGGAAACCAGTACTTAAGACAACATACATCAATAGAAGACTGACCATTTAGATTAAAATATAAGCACAAAATAATGAATGCCAGTTAGAATTAAGCAAAGCTATTTACAACAATATTGACAAGATGTCTGAGATATTTCACTGAATGCAAGATAAAAAAGCAAGTTAAAGAACATTATGTATAATATCGCTTGATTTGTATTTAAAAAACACTATACTTCAACCTGCTTAAGTATGTGTATTTCAAAAATTTCTATAAAAATGCAAAAGAAAGTGTTAGCATTTGTTTCTTCTGGTTACTTTTCCATCTTCTATTATTCTGTATTGTTTGAATTAAGAAAAAGATATTTTTATTTTGTGACTTAAAGTTTTACTTAAATCATCTCCATTATTCAATAAGGTGAGATGTTCAGATTTTTGGTTAACATAGTATTTGCTTCCAAAAGATTTCAATGTTTAAAAAATTAAATAGAAAGCTTAGGTTCCGGCCGGGCGTGTAGGTTCACACCTGGAATCCCAGCACTTTGAGAGGCCAAGGCGGGCGGATCACGAGGTTAGCAGTTCGAGATCAGCCTGGCCAATATGGTGAAACCCCATCTCTACTAAAAATACAAAAAATTAGCCGGGCGTGGTGGCATGCGCCTGTAGTCCCAGCTACCAGGAGATTGAGGCAGAACTGCTTGAACCCGGGAGGCGGAGGGTGCAGTGAGCTGAGATCACACCACTCACTCGGGCCTGGGTGACACAGCAAGACTCCATCTCAAAAAAAGAAAAAAAAGAAAGAAAGAAAGCGTAGGTTCCAGTCCAGTTCTGCCATTTACTGAGTCAGCTTAGGCAGGTTATTCCACCTCTCAGATGCTAACTTACAAAATAAGGGTTAAAACAAATATATTAACCTACAGTGTTATATGAGGAATAAATCAAGTAATGCATACGTAGGCATTCTGTGACCTATAAATCCTCAAATGATACTTACCATTGTTATCAATAATGATACAGAAAATATATCAAGACTTTAAATGTCCACAGATACAAATTAAATAGTATTACATAGTAGGCCGCAGACATGGTTCTGTGATGCAAATAAGAAAAACTGACTGCACTCGGAATCATTTAGGAAGGCTAGAGAACAAGGCACGGACAGAGAGCTGCACAAAAGATGGCTTTCCATCCCTAACCACAGGAAAAGCACATTACAGCCTAGTCTGGTGGGGATGTGCTGTGTCCCCCATGGAGAGCACTGGAAGCTGCAGCTTGTCCGGCCAGCACCCCCAACCCTGCAGCCTGCAGGCCCTGGAGAGAGGCTGCTCCTGTAAACGATCCCTGCTGCAGTTGGCACTGCTGCCCCCAAAGACCTCAGTGCAGCTGCAGCATCGCGAAAACACAACCTCTCCCACTACTTCTTAACCAGCACTGGCTACTCGGTCTTGAATTAAAGAATGGGACTCTAGGTGGGCGCGGTGGCTCACGCCTGTAATCCCAGCACTTTAGGAGGCCGAGGCGGGCAGATCACGAGGTCAGTAGAAACCCTGTCTCTACTAAAAATACAAAAAATTAGCCGGGTGTGGTGCCGGGGGCCTGTAGTCCCAGCTACTAGGGGAGGCTGAGGCAGGAGAATGGCGTGAACCTGGGAGGCGGAGCTTGCAGTGAGCCGAGATCGCGCCACTGCACTCCAGCCTAGGCGACAGAGTTAAAAAAAAAAAAAAAAAAAAAAAAAGAATCTGACTCTATATTAAGAGGCAGGAAAATTTCTTCCAACTATTAGAAGGGGATTTAGACACCAGAAACAGCAACAACGAAAGATAAATATTACCTGTTTTATGCAGGCATAGAAGTCCTTGTACGTAGACAAAATCCAAGTCACTTTACTTATACATTCACAAATATATTTTTATAAATTGGATTCTCAGAGAAGCTGACTTGAGACAGAAATGAACATGCAGGACTTGACTAGAAAGTGCTCTCAGCATCTGCACCTATGAAGGGAGGGAAAGAGAGGATTGGAGAGAGGCAGAGCTTGGGTTGCAAGGCAGCCTCAATGAAGGATTTGTGACACTGTTATAACCAGAGGGCTGCCACATCCTGGCCATCACAGCCACAGGAAAAATCGGGAAGTTGGAGATATAAACAAAGAAGGGACAAAGGGCTTTTCCTCAACTGGCTCTTTCCTTTCCCAGGTCGTAGATTTTTTTCCCAGAAGTCCCTGGAACAGTGGGACTCACATCTCACTGGCCAGAACTGGTCACATGGCTGTCCCTAGCTGAAAGGGAGACTGGGAAAGTGAGTTTCTGGGAAAGAAGAGAGAAGCGGCCATATTTGGATTACATGAACTGGCAAAATGACAGACAAAACATGTAAGTGCCCATCCTCACTTTGCTTACAACCCTGTGAACCTCTCAGTTCACTTGCTGGGTACCAGCCATAGGGCTAAGACTTTTTACACTAAGCACCCGTCTGAGTCTTACAATGACCCCATTGTGTGGCTTTTATTATCAGGCCCATTTGACAGATGAGGAAACTGAAGTTCAGAGAAGTTATTGGTCCACAGGTCCAAAGTCACAGAATTAGTAAGCAGCAGAGATTCAATTGAAACCCAAGTCTGCATAACCCCAGGGTCTGTATTCATAGCTACTTCCCAGTAATGCTTCCCAGCAGGTAGCTATCTAATTATGGTGGCTGTGAGGAAGGAATGAGATCATCTTTGTAAGGAACTTAATATAGTACCTGGTACTGAATATACAGGAACAACGAGGAGAAAGTACCTGACAGACTTTAATGAGATTTCAGCCAGTAAACTCTCAGCTACCCAAATGTGGCTATTTGCTGAAAACTTCTAGTACTAGAAAAACTTCTGTACTAGAAATGTGGGAAAGGGACATTCAAGGGATCTGAGAGATGAGGAAGATTTCCTGGAAGTCTGGCACCTGAGTTGGACCTTGCATGGCAAAGAAAAGCAGACAGAAAGCCTTGCTTCTTCTCTGAACCTGCTGTGGATACAAAGAAAACTAAAGTGAAATTAAAATGTTTGACCAAAATTATCCAGTGCCTCACCACTCCATGAGTGCTCCACAAGTCAGTACCATGAGCACCCTCCCAGAGCTTATTAGGAATGCAGAATCTCAGGTCCTGTTCCAGACTTACTAAATCAGAGTTTCTTTTCAACAAGGTCCCCAGGTGATCTGGATGCATTTAAAAGCTTAAGGAGCACTGTTCCAGAGGGCTCACTGAGAGCACAGGCTGAGGATAAGCAGAACACCAACTTTGAGACTAACCCAGTCTGTAATGGAACTGGACATCATAAGCCAGTCACTGTGCTTTAGATAGATTCTCTTATTTAGTCACCGTGGGCTGTCAGCAACTTTATGGCTTACCACTACTATTATTGGCAGATGAAAAACCTCATCTGATTTAGTAACTTGACCAATTTCACATAACTAATAACTTGGCAGAAACACAACTTGATTCTAGAAGTATCATTCTTTTCCACTACAAAACATCCCCTAATTATGGCGGCTGTAAGGAAAGAATGAGATCATCTGTGTAAAGAACTTAATACAGTGCCTGGTACTTAACATACGTGAACAATGAGGAGAAATCATCTGACTTTAATGAGATTTGAGCCAGTAAACTCTCAATTACCTAAATGTGGCTATCTCTTGAAAACTTCTAATGCCAGCTTCTACCAACAAGCAGAACACATTTCAACAACTTTCTTCTTCCATCAGCCCATGTTTTACCAAATGAAAATAATTCTTATTACTAGCCTAAACAAAATATAATTAGAAAGGTGAATCTGTAGCCCTGAGTCAAAAATGGGCCAAAGAAGTTTTACATAAACGATTTTGGGTTTTCCACTGTTTCGAATTATCCATGTCACTGCTTCCCTTATTGGCACTCATAACCGAGTGTTAACTATATTACATGCAATTAAATTCAAAATATTTGTGCAGCAATTATATGGATTCATCAAACCTAATGGTGCAGTCACGATGTCGTGTGTACTCATCAGCAGTACTCAAAAAAATTGGCATATAGAAATATATTCCCACTAGCTGATAAATATAAAACAAATATTGTGTCTAGTGCCATCATATTAGCTGGTATCTATCAATAGTAAACAAATTAGGAGATTCTAACAATATTGATCCTACCATCAGTACTTTTTTGCATTCTTCATTAGAGAGCTGATATATCCAGAAGGCATTTGTTCAGCAATCAATCACTAAGCCATACTTGTGTTTACTCTATTTTTTATTCACTTATTTATTTTCTGTCTTCTTTTGAGATCCTCTCAGCTTCTCATTTTCGGTTACCCAGTATATGAACCCCTTGTAGCAGACACTGGTGATGCCCACCCCTGATTCTCGTGGCCCACCTCCACATTTTCCAGGAATCAACGTGGACATTCTCCACCCACACTGACGCTTCCCACCTCCAGCTTTCATGACTCTTTCTCTAACCAGGGGCTCCTCTGGTGCCGAGCTTGCTCGGCCGGGGATGTAAGGCCTCTATGAACAAACCTCAACCAATGAAGAATGAGAGTTGGAGGATACATATTCTAGCTTTCCCACTAAAAAGCCAGTGGGTCAGTTCTGAAGTGAGTCCTACATGATGCTTCAGAGGCTCCTCAGTGGAATGGAGCCCCGGATGCCCACAACGGAAAGCCACTCACTAATGCATCTTTCATTGACTTTCCTTCCTTTTGTGTCTCATTTTGCCCACTCCTCCATTCAGTGCTTTCTGGGATCATCTTCCAACACGCTCCCTATACCCAAAGCCTTGACACATGATCTGCTTTTGGGAGAAACCCAACCAACCAACCAACACAGCCCCCTGTTAAGGACCTGACCCCTTTAAGTAATGCAGTGGGGTCAGAGAAAAACTGTCACTGTAGAGGTTTTATTCTCACTTTCCTGGACTCCCTTGTGGTTAGAACACATAACATATGATATAGGAGTTAAGAAAGAATTACTTAAGCAGTTAGTAAGGGTATGAGAGTCCTCCATAAGGCTTTTCTTTTTTCAATGAAAAGCAGCCCTAAATCATTTTCTTTTTTTCTTTTTTCTTTTTTTTTTTGAGATGGAATTTTGCTCGTCACCCAGGCTGGAGTGCAATGGCACGATCTTGGCTCACTGAAGCCTCTGCCTCCTGGGTTCAAGCGATTCTCCTACCTCAGCCTGCTGAGTAGCTGGGATTACAGGCGTCCACCACCACCCGGCTAATTTTTTTGTATTTTTAGTAGAGACGGGGTTTCACCATGTCGGTCAGGCTGGTCTCAAACTCCCGACCTCAGATGATCCACTCGCCTTGACCTCCCAAAGTGCTGGGATTACAGGCATGAGCCGCTGCACGTGGCCCCACAAATAATGACTTCTAACAAAGAGCAGCCCATAAAGTTGAGCTGCAGACACAGACAAGAAAGCTGGGAGCTTGCACGGGTGAATGCCGGCAGGAACCAAGGACTAGACATTTTCAAGATGGTGGCTCCATCTTCCCTTCTCTGCCAGCCACATGTACTGTAAGGAGCGGACAAGATGGTGTGGATCAACTGGAAAGCCCATTTGCATAATAAGATAGGGTGGAACGACCAGCCTTCCCCACGTGCTATGTAAACCTCATACCTGATGGAACCAATCTATGAGCTCTATGTAAATCAGACACCACCTCCCCAAACTGGACTATAAAATTCGGCACATTTGCCACCAGCCGGTCCTTTCTGCTGGGAGATCCCTTTGTCTATAGAGGAAGCTGTTCCTCTTTCTCTTCTCTTCTACATATTAAAACTCCGCTCCTGAACTCCTTGTGTGTGTCAATGTCCTAAATTTTCCTGGCACATGACCACGAACCCCAGAGTATATACCCCAGACAACGGAGCCACTTCAATAGGCTCCAACAATCAAGCGAATCTTGGAGAGTTTACAACACAAAAAAGCAGAGCTTGTGCACAACCTACTGTGGCAAAGGTACCGGCAGTGGGGCCAGAACTACATCCAGTTTGTACAAATGGTGGTGTCAGTGATGGTAGCTGGAGTTGCTGTTTCCAGTGAGGCCGGTATCCCTGGCCCAGGCAGCAGCATTAGGACCCAGCAATGATGACAGCAGTGTCTTCATGACACCAGTTCCTTCTACAGATCAGTTTTGACCCTTTTCCTGGTTTCTCTGATTCCCTGGCCCTTTTGTAGATCCTCTAATTAATTCCTTCTCTGTTTAAATAAGCCAGAGTTCATTTTCTATGGCTTGAAACTAAAAGGGCCAACTTATATAATGTGTTACAGTCTCCTTATATATCTAAATAACAGGGATATTGATTATGAGACTGTCTGTCAGAGGCACATGTTGAAGACAACCTAAATATCCATCAGTAGGAGTCTGATCAGTGATGAACTATCAAGTCAACAGCTAAGAACAATATAGCTCTGAATGTGAATATGTGCAATTATTCCAAGATTAAGTTTTTAAAAAGCAAAACCATATAAATGGTTTGCTACTGTTTCTGTTTTAAACATATACACATGTAGATATATATGTGTATACATGTATATGAATTATAGTTAGATATATATATACACACACACACACACACATATATAAAAGAGTACCATATGCTTGCACAAGCAATAAATGTCTCCAGAAGGGTCTGGTAACAGGGTTCCCCCGGAGAGGAGAACAAGTATCCTAAAAATCAGATGTGAGACCAAGTCTTATATTTCCCTATATATTCATTTAAATCTTTTCAGTTTATACTTATGAACATGTCATCTATTCAAAAATAAATAAAATTTAGATGTAAATGTGTAAAAGAACTTTGAAATTTGAAGGAAAAAAAAAAGAACAGTGATACGGTTTGGCTGTGTCCCCACCCAAATCTCATCTTGAATTCCCACATGTTGTGGGAGGGACCCAGTGGGAGGTAATTGAATCATGGGGGCAAGTCTTTCCCATGCTGTTCTCCTGATAGTGAATAAGTCTCATGAGATCTGATGGTTTTAAAAAAAAGGAGTTCCCCTGCACAAGCTCTCTCTCTCTGTTTGCCTGTCACCATCCATGTAAGACGTGACTTACTCCTCCTTGCCTTCCGCCATGATTGAGAGGCCACTCCAGCCATGTGGAACTGTAAGTCCATTAAACTTCTTTCTTTTGTAAATTGCACAGTTTCAAGTATGTCTTTATCAGCAACATGAAAATGGACTGATACAAACGGATTCCCAGACCCTGACACACTCAGTCTATGGTGAGATCAAGACTGTATTTTCAGCAAATAGCACAACTGGCTCTGATGCCAAGGCATGCTTTGGAAACCTGGTATAGATTCTCATAGATCAGGCATGTTTTGTGCATTGTGCTGCTCCCATATTGTCCTGATCTCTGCACTGAGCCCAAATTAATATTGTATTTTTAAAGTCAATATTTAAAAAAAGAGAGAGAGAGTTCATCCTGGGAAGAGACACACTCACTGGCATCCTAAGATTTCACCAGATGTGCAAAGGGAAGCATCAATATATTGACACCAGCAGTTTCCTAGACTGGTACTAACTGCCCAAAGGGCAAAGTTTCTTATTTTTACCACCTTTCCTGTGTTTCCTGGAATATTAATTGGAGACAATCATATATGCTCATGATGTGTTTTTTATTTCTACATCAGCTCACACACAGGCACACACGCGCACACACACTACTTTTAGTTCTCATAACCCAGTGTTTTCCACTGGAGTATATTTTGGCCATGAGGACAAAGATCACTCTTGGAAAGTTGAAAGGTCGCTATTCTCATTGAATATTAGTGTGGCTCCTTTCTCAGCTCAAATGCCCTCTGCACTATCCCAACTTTTGTCTCTTTCTTACTTTTTTACTTTATTTCTCTGGGCTTCATGCCAAAGATGTAAAGAGGTGACCCACCTTATCAATCTATTAAAATCTTTTAAAACCTCTGCCATTTCAAACCAGTTGATTTTTATGTGGCATCTCCCATAAAAAATCATCTCAAAATACTTTGTTGAGAAGAAAGCAAAGTTATGATAAAATGGTTTAAGCATTTTAAAATTTCTTGGAGGTGAGGATCAAGAGTTAAGCACATTTCAATAATTTCCTGTAAGTTCACAGCTCTTAATGTAAGAGTTTTATTACTTAGCAATTCCTGTTTTAGAGAACCGTGACTGTCAAAAACTTACACCTAGGACCAGATTATTCAGAGTGTGAGAAAAGTATAAGAACTGGATTCAGGAAGCACAACTGCTTCTGCTCTAGACCTGCAACCCACTGCGTTAAGCCAGGGTCCTGTTCAGCTCCCCGCCGCGCATTTCTGTCCTGTTCATTCGTCTCTGGTCCTCTCAGGGGCATTTAACTCTGTCGATAGTTCCTCTCTTATCTCTTCCCTGCTCTGGCCTCTGTGGCTCCAACCTCTACAACTTCTCCTCCTAACATTCTGGTCATTTCTTTCACCTCATTTTTTCTAGAATCTTCCACCTGTCCCTCAGATGTCCCTCAGGCTTGGTTTTGAGGAATTTGTGGAGATCTAACTTGACACCAATGCTGTCCCTGATTCTCTGCACTCTCCTTCTTGCTCCTGCATCTTCTTTCCCCCAGTGAAGCCTTCCACTCTGCTGACGAGCATACTCTTAGTGAACTACTCTTTTTTTGTTCTCAAAACATTCATCGCTCAGCATCCCTTCTCCCTTATTTTGGTATTTTCTCCCAAGATCTCTTTTGGAAAAAAAAGCCTCCCTCTTCTGTGATCTATGTGTTTTAAGTGAGGTTTACCCCAGGTCCAGGTTACAGAGGTGGGCACAGGATTCTGGTTGGTCCAACCAGAGCTTTGCATTCCCGTGGACATCGTGATTGGTTCAAGGATGAGCATGTGGTCCAAGCTAAGCCAATATATGTAAATTTTGGAATTTTCCACTGGAGTTGCTAAGCTGGTAAAACATCAGTCTAGAGCAGACATCAAGCAAGCTTTTTCTGTAAATGGCATAAGTGAAAATATTTGAGTCTTTCTGGGTTGTAAGCTCTGTATTGCAACTACTCCATTCATGAAAGTAGCCATAGACAATATGTAGCAAATGGGCATGGCTGTGCTCCAGTAAAACTTTATTCTCAGGAACAGGCAGCCTGCATTTGGCCTTAAAATCATAGTTTTCTTATTCCTTGTCTAGAGTTTCTGGTAACAGTCTTTACCATCTCATGAGAAGAACCTATCTGAGAGTGATAGTCTGAATAATGGCCCTCCAAAAGATATGCACATCCCAATCACTGAAACCTGTAAATATTACCTTATATGGTACAAAGGAACTTTGTGGATATGATTAAGTATCTTGGCTGAGATGGAGAGACAGAGAGAAATTTGACACATACAGAGAAGGAGAAAGCAATGCATATAGAAAAGGAGAAGGCAGAGATTGGAGTGAGTGGCCACAAGCCAAGAAATGCTGCCAACCACCAGAAGCTGGAAGAGGCGAGGAATTAAATTTCCCCCAGAGCCTCCTGAGGGAGCGCAGCCCAGCCAACACCTTGATTTTGGCCCAGTGATACTAATTTCAGATATCCCACCTCCAAAACTGTGAGCAAATAAATTTCCATGGCTTTAAACCACAAAGTTTATGGTATTTTGTTACAGCATCATAGGAAAACAGTACAATCAGCAAAAACTTAAAATCTGATTTTTACTTAAAGTAGTTTAAATTGGGTTTATGTCATTTTCAACCAAGTGATTCTTATTCAATATTCAAATCTTCCTTATGAGAACATCCTTTCTTCATGTCAGCTTCTGGTCAAGCTGCTCTTTCTTTACACAGCCAGATTTTTTGAAAGAACAGATTACAATAAGCCCATAGCTCCTTATCTGAAATTCTAAGAACCAGGTATCTTTTGAATTCAGGTTTTAAAAAGATCTGAAGTTATGGTAGACTGCATCTGTTATATAAAATATTCACTGCCCTCCCTAGGTTGGCCCTCCCTGCAGGAGGAATATACGTCTTCATTCTATTGAGCTCCAATGGTCATGTGACTTGGCTTGCCATGTGAAGGGTTAGCAATAGTGACATGTGCCACTTCCAAGAAGCTCTGAGAGCCAGCATGTGTTTGCATCACATTCTCACTTCCCTCTGGCATAATATTGGCAATATCCCAGGTAATGGAGGCTCCACCAGCCTGGGTCCTTAATAAAAATGTCAGGAAGCAAAGTCCCAAGTGACCCACAATGGGCATGTAACATTGCATAAGCCCCTGCTATTTGGGGCTTGTTTGTTACTGCAACATAAGCTACCCTATCCGGATCTATACGTGAGCATCTACTGCATATTATGTAATACCCCAGGATGCCCAAGACACCACCCTAAAACAAATCACATTAGTACTTTCAAGAGCATGTAAATACCTGCATGAAAGGGGGTGGATTAAAAAATGTAAATAGCCTCATATTAGTTCAGAGATTTGGGGGGTTTACGAGTTTGGGATTTCAGGCTCTATTTGCTCTATCATGTCTTCACCCACTCATCTACCATTTCCAGTTGTCTTTCATCCCTATCACTCTACTGCACCTACTCTCTCACAACCACTGAGTTTCTTACTCCCAATTCCTTCACTTTGTTTTAACTCTAAACCTCCCTAAGCCCAAACCAGTAGAGCCACTAACATTCGATGCTACCATTCACTACTTCTTCAAAACCTTTCCCTCCTCTGACTTCAATGACCCCATGCAACCCATATTGTCTGTCTTTTCCATCCCTTTTCCATCTAATTACCTAACTGATTTCTCTTTTCTCCTCATTACCCAAGCATTGCTACAGAGTTGATTGTCAATTCTTACCTATCCTCTTCTTTTCCTATTGCTTTACCCCAGGCAATCGTTTCATCCCCCAAGGCTTCAACTCTCACTTCTACATGGATGGCTTCCAAATAAATATTTCCAGACCATATCAACAGCTCCAGACATAACCTTTTTCCTGAGTTTTACGTCATGCATGGATAAGGGTAATATTCTTCCTACCCTAGCATATAAGTAAACAAACAAGTATCTCTTGAGCGTCAGGTGGCTACCGATATACCATTTCAGTAATACTCATTAGAGGGGCAAATCTCTTAGGATACTAAGTTTAAATCATAGAGGAAATGATTTGAAATAACACATTCAATATTATGGGTTTATATTTGAAAACCTCTTTAGGTGAGATTTGGTTTGGTTTTGCTTCCTGATACAAATCGCAAAAAATAAAGCTTAATAACATCTTCCTACATTGGTCTTAGTTTGGGATCCCCCTGAAGTATACTTTGAGACAAGGATTAGAGAGCAAGTAGTTCATTTTGTACGTAATCCCCAAAAATACAACCAGGGGAATGGAGAAGTGAGACCCAGGATGGAAGGCAGCCAATATAAGGTTTGTTATTAATGCTGTTTCCATTTTGGGTACTTGGAGATCAATTCTTCTCAGAAGCTCTGGCATTCAGTGCAAAACATGCCTCAGAGTTATCCCACCCAAGGGATCAAGGAGAAGAGTTATTTATATGCCAAAGACTCCCATTGGTCATTGATTAATGGCTAATCCCAGGGATATTAATTTCCCAGTATTTCTGGCTTGCTTTGCAGGTGATAAAGCAGGCTCTGGCTGCAAGAGAAAGTCATTTGGCAAAACAATGCAAACCTTGGAGGTTGAATTTGGGCCAGCATGCAATGAATTGGTGATGGCTCAGGATAGAGGCAGGACATTGGGAACACCTACTGCAGCTCGTAAGACTTAATGGACATTGCCATGCTTTCTTGCCTGCCCTAAATATGAACCTTCTTTCATATGCTCAGGTAAATTCCTGGTTATGAGTCTTGATGGGAGGTCATGGCCATTTATAACTATGGAGACAAAAATCCAGCTGCTCACATCAAAAGTTACCCTTGCAACTAGGATGCAGGCATGTGACCCATCTTCAGCCAATCAAAATCATCCAGGCCATATTTAAATAGGGAACTATTGGTATTCCATAGCAGGAGTCTGTTCTGGTGAGGTTGTCTAGGTTGCTGTAAGTAGTCAACAAATGTCTGCTGTTATTATGATTAAAGGAATATTTCCAAATATTTTCTTAAAATATGGGACCTTTCCCTTTGACAAAAAAAAAAAAATCCTATGCCCTAAAAAATGTTATTTGATCTTCAAGAAGAAATAAAGTATCATTGTGGAAAATAAACCAAAGCAATGGAATAAAGCACTGCACTGTTGGTAAACATGCCCAGCCCAATCTCCCCACATGTGCTGAT
Source organism: Homo sapiens (assembly GCF_000001405.40). Classification (NCBI taxonomy): domain Eukaryota; kingdom Metazoa; phylum Chordata; class Mammalia; order Primates; family Hominidae; genus Homo; species Homo sapiens. The sequence continues at coordinate 52,330,227 of NC_000020.11, read as the reverse complement.
GTGCCCACCTTGGACACCTTCCCCTCACTGAAAAACAGAAGTGTTTGAAAATTTATTACACTGACTACAACATCTAGCTGAGATTCACCTTGTTCTAGATCCTGCTCAGTGCTGGGAGTAACAAGATGAAAGACAAATTGCCCACCCTTAAGAAGAAGAAGATTAGGTAGGGAGAGACACTGGTAGAGTAAAAATTACTAATGCATAACCACAAAGATATTTTAAGAGGGCAATGAGAATGCCAAGGTAGGTGCCTAAAAGAGACAAGGTCACCCAATGCTAGTTGCTTAACCTGTATTTTGAAGTTCAAGTAGGATTTTTCAGAAAGAGAGAGAGTACAGAAACATATACCAAAGAAAGGAAATGGCATGGGCAAAGGCAAGGAGATTTAAGATTCTGTGAGAACTTTGGGTAGAACCAGGGCAGAAAACTCCAGTTAGCCACTGCATGCATTCCATGCTAGACAAATCCTATCAAGGCTTCCATTTTCCAGAAATAGAGGAAGAAAAGGAAGGAAAAAACCATTGAATGAACAAACAAAGGAAAAAAGGAAGGATTGATTTTTCAGAGAATAAAATCAAGGCTGTTGCTTGCTGTCCTCTTTTGAACAAACATTATTAAATACAGGCATACCTCAAATATATAGCAGGTTTCATTTCAGACCATTGCGATAAGGTGCATATTGCCATAATGCAAATCACATTAATTGTTTGGTTTTCCAGTGCATATATAAAATTTATGTTTACACTATACTGTAGTCTGAGTGTGCAATAGCATTAGGTCTGAAAAAGGAATGTACATACTTTAATTTTAAAATACTTCAATCCTAAAAAACGCTAGTGATCATCTGAGCCTTCAGTGAGTCATAATCTTTTTGCTGATGGAGGGTCTTGCCTTGATATTGATGGCTGTTGACTGATTAGGGTGATAGTTGCTGAAGGCTGGGGTGGCTGCGGCATTTTTACTTTACTATTCTTAAAATAAGACAACAATGAAGTGTGCCTCATCAACTGACTCTTCCTTTCATGAAAGATTTCTCTATAGCATGCAATGCTATCTGACAGTATTTTACCCACAGTAGAATTTCTTTCATTATTGGAATCAATCCTCTCAAACCCTCCTGCTGCTTTCTCACTAAGTTTATGTAATATTTAAAACCTTTTTTGTCATTTCATCAATGTTCATGGCATCTTCACCAGGAATAGATTCCATCTCAAGAAACCACTTTCTTTGCTCCGCCATAAGGAGCAAGTCCTATCTGTTCAAGTTTTCTCATGAGATTGCAGCAATTCAGTCACATCTTCAGGCTCCACTAATTCTGTTTGGTTTGCCACTTCCACCATGTCTGACGTAATTTCCTCCACTGAAGTCTTACACTCCTCTAAGTCATCCCTAAGGGTTGGAATCAACGTCTTCCTAACTCCTGTTACTGTTGATATTTTGACCTCCTCCCATAAATCATGAATGTTCTTCATGGCATCTAGAATGGTGAATGCTTTCCAGAAGGTTTTCTATGTACTTTGCCTCAATCCATCAAAGGAATGACTATCTATAGAGCTATAGCCTTATAAAATGTACTTCTGAAATAATAAGACTTAAATGTCAAAATTACTCCTTTACCCAGGGGCTACAGAACGGCTGTTCGGTCAGCTGGCATGAAAACAGCATTCATCTCCTTGTACATCTCCATCAGAAGTCTTGGATGACCAGTTGCATTGTCAATAAGCAGTAACATTTTGAAAGGAATCTTTTTTTTTCTGAGCAGTAGTTCCCAACAGTGGGCTTAAAATAATCAGTAAACCATCCGGTAAACAGAGATGCTGTCACCCAGGCTTTACCGCTACATTTCTAGAGCACAGGCAGAGTAGGCTTACATCATTCTTAAGGGCCTTACAATTTTCACAATGGTAAAGGAGGACTGGCTTCAAATTTAAGTAACCAACTGCATTAGCTGCTAACAAGAGAGTCAGCCTGCCTTCAGAAGCTTTGAAGCAAGGCATTGACTTGTCTCTAGCTACAAAAGTCCTAAATGGCATCTTCTTCCACCTTAACACTGTTTTGTCTACATTAAATATCCATTATTTAGTGTAGCCTCCTTCATCAATGATTTTAGCTAGATCTGGATAAGTTGCTGCAGCTTCATCAGCACCTGCTGCTTCACCTTGCATTTTTATGTTATGGAGATGGCTTCTTTCTTTAAACTTCATGAACCAACCTCTACTAGCTTCCAACTTTTCTTCTGCCCTTTCCTCACTTCTCTCAGCTTTCATGGAATTGAAGAGAGTTGAGCCTTGCTCTGGATTAGGCAGATTAGGCTTTACTTAAGGGAATGTTGTGGTTGGTTTGATCTTCTATCTAGACCACTAAAACTTTCTCTATATCAGCGGTGAGGCTCTCTAGCTTCTTATCATTTGTGTGTTCACTGGAGTCATACTTTTGATTTTCTTCAAGAAGTTTTCCTTTGCATTCACAACTTGGCTAACTGTTTGGCACAAGAGGCATGGCTTTCCGCCTGTCTCGGCTATCGACATGCCTCCCTCACTAAGCGTCATCATGTCTAGCTTTTGATTTAGTGAGAAACCTGTGACTCTTTCTTTCACTTAAACATTTAAGAGGCCATTGTAGGGTTATTAACTGGCTTAATTTCAATACTGTTGTGTCTCTGGGAATAGGGAGGCCCAAGGAAAGGGAAAGAGGTGGGAGAAAGGCTGGCGAGTGGAACAGTCAGAACACACACAACACTTATCCATTACATTTGCCATCTTATATGGGTACAGCTTGTGATGCACCAAAACAATTATAGTTGTAACATCAAAGATCACTGATCACAGATCACAGTAACAAATAAAGAAAAAGCTTGAATTATTCCAAGAATTGCCAAAATATGACACAGAGATATGAACAAATGTTATTAGAAAAAATGCCAATAGACCTGCATGATGCAGCATTGCCACAAACCTTCATTTGTAAAAAATGTGATATCTACAAAGTGCAATAAAGCCAAGTACCATAAAATGAGGTAGGCCTGTGCTAAAAACTGTCGCTACATGTGCAGCACGTAATGTTTAAGTGTTAGTTATTATTAAAGGGATTAGGTAACAATTTATGTATTATAGATGTGTAGTCCATGTATCGTATTTGCAACATTGCTGGTCCCATTACTTTAAAATACATACATACAACTGTCTTTGAAAGTTTTACTTTTATCCAACTTCATGGAAAAATTTTATTTTGGTCTTCACATATGTCACCAATACAAGAAATGCTAATTATTCATTTCTCTTTTTAATTTAAATCAAATCAACATGCCTTATTGAATACTGGTTATAGTACACCACTTAGTATTGAGAAACTAAATTTATTCTTGTCTCTTTGCAATTACTACTATATTTTTGTCATGAAATACATTTGGGAGACAAAAGAAGGAATTTTATCCAATTTCTTATCATGTAGGTAAATAATAAATAATTTTTAACTCTGAAAGGCACAATATTGGTCAGCAAACAGAGCACACATATGACTTTGTTTTTTAATACATTCTGTTTGGAGTCTACTTTAGGATCTAAAATTCAGATGGGATACTAGTTTTAAAATCAAATAAAAGATTAATGCTTATTTACCTATAGCCCTTCTTCTGCAACTTTAACAAAATCATTCTTCTCCTTCCAGGTCTGTAAGACAATTTATCTGGATGAGACTCTAATTCAAACTCCTACATAATTTTGGATTTTTTTTTTTTTTTGGCAAGTGGAAAACCCAGATGTTAAGGGACTAAGAGGTGTATTTGGAAGATGTGAAATGGATGATTCAGATGTCAAACACACATCTATATTATTTCTACTCTATGGACACAATGCTAGAAACCCTTTGAAATATAAGATTATCTGGGCTTACTATAGTGTAAAGAGATGAAATGATAAAATGTGGGGCTTATTGGGCCTAGAAATCTCTAAAATCAATGGTGACTTTAAGAAGGGGATCCTTTTGCATGGTTTTACATTGACTTTCATCTTCCTAGAAGGCGGCTTCATGATACTTTCTAAATTGAAGGTGCACTGGTTGGCCAGGTACAAGATGCAAACATAGTGAAGTGGCAACTTACACAGGAGTTGAGCTCTAAAGGCGGCACATGAAGTGCAATTTACAAATGGCCAAAATTATCTTTTTAGAGTGTCATGTCAACTACTCACAACCCATCTCCCAGTAAACCCATCACAGACCATTTTTCCTACAATATTGAAACAGATGGTTGCTTTTCAAGTTCACATTATAGCTTACTTACATTTAAGGACCATGTTAGAAGACCAATATACCTCTTTCAGTGTTAGAACCGCAGCAGATAGGGGGAACTGCTCAGTCTTTGGGTGAAATGCAGGAACAAAGACCAACTGAAGAAACAGCAAATTCTCATTTCCCATCCTACATTCCCTCTGGAGCACAGAGTTAAATAGACTGGGGAGTGTATTCACTAGCTTTATTAAATTGTTTCTCTTGTTCTCCTTTGCTTTATATATGCTTAATTGATAGACATTAAAAGTACATGTGATGGACTCGACTAGTCCCTATCTAAGACAACTATGTGATTAAAAGCATACCAAATGCACTAGCAGCATGAGTGCATTTAAGGCCACATTCAACTGCTACACTCTGGCAAGGCGATGCCAGTGGTTCATTTCCAGCATGTGTTCTGGCAGCCTGGGTTTCTCTCCTGACTGGCTGGTGCTTGTGGTTTAACAGTTTTAATATCCCTCATTGGACACAATTTCCTAAATCCAAGGATACAAAAAAAAAAGTACATTAACAGAGTTTTTAGGAAAAGTCTAGATGTTTCAGCCTAACCAGGATGCAAACTTTTGAAACCTAAGGGAGTCAAGATTTCCAAGAACAAAAAGTTTTCTCCTGTCTCTCCATGCCATCAAGATGTGGTCAAGTGGGCTCATTTTTTCCAGTTCTCCCACCTGCCCTCCCTACTCCCCAGAAAAAACAGCTTCTATGGGTACCTCCTGCCGATCATGTGGGCCTCGTGGCATAGCCTGATGTGATGGTGGGAGGGGAGATACCTGTCATATGCCTCTAATGGGCTCCTCTGTCAAGAAACTCAGCACAGACACCCCCATTTAAGGCAGCAGGTCGCCCTCCTCTTGCATGGAAAACTCAAGTCTCCCTCTTGGCAGCCACACAAAGGCAGCTCAAGAGGAAAAAGTAAGAGAGAAGGGAACTCAAAAGGTTAAAAAAAAAGGCTGGAGTAACATGAGAGAATAGATAGAAAGAGGTAGAATACAGGAAAAACTTCCCAGTTACCTCCCAACCAGTCACATCAAATTTGGCAGGAAAACAATGGGTCATCCCAATGGCTTTGCCAATGAAGAGCACATTTCACCCATTCATCCCTAGGTTCTGAGAGCCAGATCAGTCCCTCTTTCTCCGTGGTCATGCAGAGGTTTTGCAGTTTCCTGAATGTCACATACCTGTGCCAGGAGAGCGAGGTACACGATTTGGTCTCCAACTTCAACCTGAGCGTGGGGGAGGAGGTAGGAGAGTGTCCTTTATCATATTCAATAGGCTTCTGGTAGAACAGCAATCTTGTTTACTTGTTCTTGCTAATAAGAAATTATTAGCTGGCTTCCAGAGAGAGGGTACACGTGTAGTGCCTCAGCATCTGTCGTGCTGTCTGCATCCCACGGCTGTATTTATTGAGAATCTAGGAACCAGTACCAGGAGTACAGAATATATGCAAACTCCAGGTAAGTTCTCTCCCCTAACCACCAATATCAATCCGTGTGCTCTTCTCTTTGCTAACCAGATAGGCTGTGGGCAGCCTGCAGTGAGGACTTCCTGACCCCATCCCAAGTCACAGTCCCATGAAGCCATACCTGTGTGTTCATGATACCGCCACACCATGGAGTGACATGCATAAATCAATGATAGGCTGAGAGAGTGGCAGAAAGGGAAAAAAACATGGCATGCTGGTAATTTTGCTCCCAGTTCTCCTCTGTGAAGCACGTGCCCCAGAACAGGTGCGAAGGGTGAGGCATAAATCTGTGCTTCCCTCCGTACTCCTCCGTCTTCACATCCCTCCCACAGGGTGAGCATCTCACCTTGCAGAGCATAGATTTTGTGTTAAAAGATGCAAATTTTTCATACAGCACAGCCCCTAAATGCAAGCCAACTCTTTCATCTGGAGTTCCACCAAAGAAGCTATGAACCACACTAACACTGGAGGAAAACCTGCTTCACGTGGACTTACTAAGAGCTGTTGCATTTTTATGTTATGGTTTGGGGACTTGGTGAGGGCGTTGTTTGATTCCATGAGAATGTTCCCCTCAGTGATGACTTTAGAACCCAACTCCTACACGAGTCTTCCTATGGGTTGATGAGAAACTAAAGCATGACCCAAGGCAACTTCCACGAGGAATGTTTACAAAGCTGCGACCCAGGACCAGTCCTGTAAAGTCCCTATCTGTATCACAATTAAAGGAACATGTTGGGCCAGGCACGGTGGCTCAAGCCTATAATCCTAGCAGTTTGGGAGGCTGAGGTGGGTAGATCACTTGAGCCCAGGAGTTTGAGATCAGTCTGGGCAACATGGCAAAATCCCGTTTCTACAAAAAAAAAAAAAAAAAAAAAAAAAAACTCAGGTAGGCATGGTGGCATGAGCCTGTAGTCCCCAGCTACTTGGTATGCTGAGGTGGGAGGCTCACCTGAGCCCAGAGGTCAAGGCTGCAGGAAGCTGTGATTGTGCCACTGCACTTCAGCCTAGGCGACAGAGTAAGAACCTGTATCATATACAAAAACAAAAAATAGAGTGGGAGGGACTGTTTCACACAAGCAAATAAGTGATTTCAGAATTTCTCCAATTCTTTATTTGGACCTGTTTTTTTTCCTCTCTCCACCACTGCCTCACATAGGTCAGTGTCTTACCTCAAAGCGTCCTGAAATGCTCAATCTACCCAAACACCTCTTCTTACCTGCCTCCTCTTTTCTTCTCTTTATTCACCACTGCAAAGATCTGAGGGACACAGATCCTCTTTGAATGGCAGAAAAAGGGAAGAGATAGCCACAGGCCAAGCCAGAGTCTTTCTAGCAGGCAAGAAATGTGGGAAGGGTGAGGAGCATTCTATCATTCTTATTTCTACCTTGTCACCCATTTGGGAGCTCTTGAAAATCACAGTTTTTTTTAGGCTCTGAGGACTTCAGCTATGATGGGATGTCAGGTGGTCGAGGCGCCTATCTGGTGCCTTTTCAAGCTGCACTATAGAAGCAACTAAGCTCCATATGGTCAGGTGGTTAAGTCCAAGTTCTTTATTTTGTCAGTTGCAGCCCACGGGAGGATACCCCAGTGGGTATCATTCAATCTCAGTCTTCTCTCTCCCTAGGCTTTCTAGTACATTTTGCTCCTGCAAAATCCACCTCCTTGCTATGCCTCCAAACCACTCATGCTTTCCAGCTACCACTCCTTAGCCTGTGCTGTTCCCTCCACACTGATGTTATGTCCCTCGTCCCCACATGTTCAAGATCCTTCCAGTCTCCAATACCCCATTCAAATGCCACATCCTTCATGAACCCATTGCTAACCCCCCAGTTCCTCCACTTACTCAATGGCACTTACCACTGTCTAACTTGTGTTCTTTGGAGACCCATTTTATTATAGTTCAATGAATATGACTAAACCCCAACACAGATCGAGACAACTAATGGTCAATTATTAAGTGAAAAAATAAATATTAGGTGAGAAAACAAAATATGCGTATGTCAAAGACAACCAGGGAATTTTCTTAAGCCATCACTGTAACCATGATTCTAAATCAGGGATTGCAAATGTGTAGCATGTGTGCCATCCTGCATAACTCCAAAATCCATGGCAGACATTACCAATCAACCATGCCTCTCTCTCTCTCTCTGTGTGAACTCCAGCATAACCATGCCTCTAAATCAGGGATTGCAAATATGTAGCATGTGTACTGTCCTGCGTAGCTCCCACACTCATGGCAGACATTACCAATCAATCATGACTTCCTGCCTCCCCAGTCCCTGGCACAATCCAGAAGCCCTCCAACACAGAGCTCTTGGCAGACACTACTAAGCAATTTGGATTACCATGAGATGAAACCCATTGCTTTGCCAGCTTTCCTCCAGTCAGAATTGCTTACTCCTGTTATTTTATATAACTTATTCTAGTCTTCCCTTATTCCTGCTGGCTTCCAGACTTAACGTTTATCCTGGCCTCAACATTTGAACCTAGCACTAGGCATTGCTTCCCATACAACAAGCTCTGCTAGGCACTGACCACAGCTGGGGCCTTTCACTCACCCAAACTGCCTTGGGTAAACTGGCCACTAAGTTCAACCCATGTATAGGACCCCTGCCCTTCCTTTGACACTGTTCCTAGCCCAATTAAAGAAACTCCCATTACGTGCCCATCCAAGAAGCAAGAAACAGACACTTAGGTCAGGATGGTCAAATACATATTGTATAAACGGCCTCTACCCCTTTGCAAGCCCATGGCAAACACTGCTGGTTGACTAACGTCATCTCTTACATGAATGCAGAGGCATCCTCAGAAGTTTTCTTAGCATTAAGACCCCAGACAACCATTAAAAACCAATCTAATTTGCATTTGAGACAAAATTTGCCAGTCATTCTACATAAACCAATGGAAACTCTAGTTCCAAAATCATATAGCCCAGTAGAGTGAATTAGGTTGCAAAGAACCCTCTTGATCCCTGGGAGATTCTTAGGATAAACATAGAATCCAAATGAACCACAGGAGGGTCACAGAAAAGAAGACTAAGGACCCAGCAGAGACCGCTGCCTGATGTACCAAGCACCAACACTGTGGCAGCCTGGAAATGTGGTCCTGATTCAGAGGTCCTGGGTACTGCAAACCTTCTCAAATCCACTTCCTGCTTTACACTGAGGAAATCTTACAAAAATAAAAATTACAATCTGTCACATTACATTACCTCAAAGCATGATGTAACATCATAATTTTTTAAAGCATATGTTTTAATTTATGATGTTGTGTGATGCCACAAAAAGCTTGATTTTCCCTTGAGTACCAATAAATTTTGACAGTGATGGTTTATCCCAAAACTTTGGCAGACTGAAACACAAGGAAGGTTGGCCAAAGATAGGTAGTTAGCCACCACTGAAGAAATGCTTATGAGTCAGTCACCAGGACATCAACCTGTCCTTGTCCTTCAAAAGCTCAAACTCTATAGTCCTGTGCTGTCCAATATGGTAGTCACCATGGCCAGTGAGGATCTGACAGGTGACTAGTCCAAAAATCTAGAAACACTGCAAGTACAGAATATACATCAGATTTGAAAGGCTTAGTACATAAAATATATAATATTTTGTTAATATTTTTTTTTTGAGATGGAGTCTCATTCTGTCACCCAGGATGGAGTGCAGTGGTGCAATCTTAGCTCATTGCAACCTCCCAGGTTCAAGCAACTCTGCTGCCTCAGCCTCCTGAGTAGCTGGGATTACAGGTGCACACCACCATGCACAGCTAATTGTTCTGTGTATTTTTAGTAGAGACCGAGTTTCACCATGTTGGCCAGGCTGGTCTCAAACTCCTGACCTCAGGTAACCCACCCGCCTTGGCCTTCCAAAGTGCTGGGATTACAGGCATGAGCCACCACACCCGGCCTTCAGTATTTCTTTATAGCAATGCAAGAATGGACTAATACAAGGTGGAAGATGACACTAGAAGGGGGAATGAGCATATTTTGATCTTATATGGCAGTAGTCAGCAAACTAGGACCGGTGGGCCACATCTGCCTGGTTTTATAAGTAAAGTTTTATTGGAACAGAGCCACACCCATTCGTTTATGCCTTGTTCATGGCTGCTTTCAAACAACAGGGCTGAGGTGTAGCAACAGAGATGTTGTGGTCAAGAAGTTCAGAGATTGGCAGATTAATTCCCATAGTGTCAACCAAACCAAGTCCTAAATGCCTAGCATGGTGTCCTTCATCTTAAAGACAGAAAAGTGGGAGTTTATGGGGATTTTTGGAGAGGATGGTTTTTTTTTTTTTGACAGAGTCTTGCTCTGTCGCCCAGGCTGGAGTGCAGTGGTACGATCCCATCTCACTACAACCTCCACCTTCGGGGTTCAAGTGATTCTCCTGCCTCGGCCTCCCGAGTAGCTGGGATTACAGGCATGCACCAAAATGCCCAGCTAATTTTTGTATTTTTAGTAGAGACAGGGTTTCACCATGTTGGTAGGCTGGTCTCGAACTCCTAAACTCAAGTGATCCACCTGCCTTGGCCTCCCAAAGTGCTGGGATTACAGGCGTGAGCCACTGCGACTGGCCCCCACTTTTGTCATGTTCTATATGAGGGCAGAGAGGGCAAATGCATCCTGCTGCCTGTTTTTGTGTGGCCCAGGAGCTAAGCATGACGTTTACATTTTTTAATTTTTTTTTCAATCTTCCAAAAAGAGTAGTATTTTATTACACAAAAATATGTGAAAGTTAAATTTCACCATCAATAAATAAAGTTTAATTGGACCACGACCATGCTTATCTATTTATATATTATCCATGGCCGCTTTCAAATTATAACGGCAGAGATGAGTAGTTGCAAGACAGACTTCATGGCCTCCAAAGCAGAACATAGTTACTCTCTGGCCCTTTACAGGAAAAAGTTGCCACCCTCTGGGTTGGGCCTTATAAAGTATAGTGTGGACCTGGGTATTTGCTCGAAGTGAGAAGAGGAGCCAAGAGGGTTTTGTGCAGATGTGGCATGACCAGACACATGGCTTAAAGGGAGTACTAATAATAAATAGCAGGAAGATGTGCTTGACACGTGGACACTCCTGGGTCAGCCCATACATCCACAGTCTTCTTAAAGACAAAGTTCCTGTGTGATTAACCTCCAAGCCTAGGCAGACCCTTCTTCCTGAGAGGCCCTCAGTGAAGGTTTGTTGAATGGCTGACTGAATGAATGGGAAGCTAGCCCCTGCCTTTATCCACCAAACATCATGAGCTGGGACACATAGTGTGGGTTTTCTGAGGTCAGAAATACTCTGCCTGTGTGCCCATGAGAAAGTTGCTCTGCCTCTCCACGTAGATGTTTCCTAGGGTGCAGTTTTTGTCCTATATGCCTGCTACCTGCATTGGCCTAGGAACTTCGTCTTATCCGTATTAAAGTTGGCTCTCTATCACCTGATACAAACAAGAGGCTGCTTCCTTTGCTACATCAGGCTCGGACTGTGGCATAAAAAAAAAAAAAAGTAAAGTAGCTCAGAATACGAGCAGTCACGACTGCCTCAGTACAGCTGCCCCGATGATGTTCCTACAGCAATGCCAGGGACACGCCTCTGTCCTTTATCCTGCCAGCAGCCTTTCTGACTGCACAGGGCCCCTGCCACATGACCCCTAAGTATTTTTTTAACATCACCCTGAACAAGCCCTCGCTGTTCAGTCCTTTTCCCTTCTCCTGGCTCCTCAAAAACAGAGGCTTCAGTGTTTCCTCCTGCCAGGATTCCACAGACACCTCCTTGCTGGCCCTTGGCTTCTGCACTTAGATCCCTTACTGACCCCATGCAGACCAACCCATGCTGGAGTGTGGCTCCTGAACTCAAAACTCTCTCAGGTCTCTCACTGCACTCAGGCTAAAAACCAAGTCCTCATGAGGCTCCTACAGCCATGGTTCTCAACTGGCTGTGACTGTACTCCCCAGAGGACATTTGGCATTGTCTGGAGACATTTTGGTTGTCATCACTTGGGGGCAGGAGGAGCGGTGCTACTCACATCTAGCAGGTATAGCCGTAATGATGTTAAACATCTTTCAACGCACGACAAAGCCCCTCCAACAAAGAATGGTCTGGCCCCAAAAGTCAACAGTGTCAAGGTTGGGAAACCCTGCCCCACGGGGCCCCAGGGACGTTCCCCTTCTCACCCACAGTTTGTCTGACCTCATTGCCTTTGGCTGATCTTCTCTCTCACCCCACTCTAGCCACACTGGTTTCCCAGCTAATTCTTGAATATGGCAGGCACATGCTGCTTCAGGAACTTTGCACCTGCCACTTCCTGTGCCTGGAAGACCCTTTCCCCAGGTATTTGCATGGCCCTTCTGTCACCTTCTTTAAATCTCTTTTCAGAAGTCCCCTGATCACTAAGGCACCCTTGGCCACCCAGTTTGAAGTGGTATCCTGCCCAGAACTCTCTCTCCCCTTTCCTGCTTTATTTTCTATTTTCTTCACAGCATGCATTGCCATCTCACATACTACCTATTTGATTTTTCATTTTATTGTTGCCTATCCCTGAGTTAGAACTATTTCTCTTTTGGTTTTCTGTTTTTTAATTCCCAGTACCTAGAACAGTGGCTGATACACAGTAGCCATGTAATAAATTGGGGCTGAATGAATGAATGCAGTCACATAGTGATTTGTTCAAAGAATCAGTAAGTGATTAATATTAAAAAAATTTTAAGATGGAAGAGTATTTTGATGAATTCTTTTTGCATAAAAATAAAGACAACTCATGCCCACTAATTACAGTCTGGGACAAATAAATAAAAGAACACGGATTTTAAATCCTAACGGTCAGATTGGATTACTGAAAATGTTATATCATTTACATTTACACCTTGGTTTCCCAATCTTTTTACCCCAATGACCCATTTTTAAGTGACCCCAATATTCTCAAAAGTTTGTATCTACTAAAATATATTTCTAAAATAATTATTTATATTCTCACTTTTAAAATTAATTATAATAGCAGCTCTGCACACTGGATCTTCTGATTAGCAGTAACTGAGTACTATTTCCTCAATGAGTTGTAAGTCCCAAGAAAAAAAAGTGAAGAAATGTAATATTCCAATTAATTTGGAGTAGCCATACTACAGAAATCTAGAGTTTCAATTCAGGAGTTTGGAAAATTAAAATTGTCTTAGGGTTCACATTTTTAATTGCAAGAAACCTGAAAGTCTGAATACTTCAGGCTGGGAATGACCGATTTACTCCCAACCTTCCCATTTTACAGATGAGAAAAGTGAATCTAAGCTCTCTTATCTCCTAATGTCATAGAATAACTGCCTTGAAGTCAGGTAGACTAGACTTCAGAGTCAGACCTCAGTTGTTCTTACCTGTGTGTTTATTAGCCGGGGTCCTCTCTATATCACAGGTATTCCTTTGGTTGCCAGTGACAGAAATACCAACTCAAACAGGCTTACCCACAAAAGATAATTGGCCTATGTAAACGCAAGGCCTTAGGTAGATGGGCTCTGGGTTCAACCAATGCCATCTAGGAGTTCAACCAATGTCATCAGGACTTAGTCTTTCCCCAGCTCTGAGTTCTGCTTCCTCCTGAGTTAGCTCCATTCTCATTCAGGTTCATGCCTCATGGTGACAAAATGGCTGCCAGAAGCTCCAGATAAACATCCTTACAGCTCCTGTCCAGCAGAGAGAACATTATGCTCCCACTGGCTCCAGTTAACGTCCCAGAATTCTCACTACTTGGGTCTGCACATTCATCCCACGGTCCTTCTTTGAAGCTGGGGGTATGCTCTCCTCTGATTAGCCAGGCCTGTGTCACATGTCTATCCTTAGCCCTGCCCACCTTCTCCCTCCACCTTTTCCCTCTCATCTGCCCACCCTCCCTTCCCAAATCAAATAAGCAAACTCTTCTCTTTGTCTCATGCAGAAAACTTTTGCTCTTTCCTGTAACCCTCTTTTCTCAACAACTTTAAGATTTCTGGGGTCTCACATTCTGCCCCAAGTACATCTAAAACTTTGTATTTCCCCAAATAAAGACAATTTTCATGCCTTTAAAAATTCCTAGTGCCACCTCTCAGAAAAGTTTTTTCTCGTTCCTACATTATTAAATTCCTGATCACTTTAACCTAAACAGCAAAAAGAAAGTATCTTTTTATATTTGCATAGGCAAATAATCAAAACAATTATATTTTGCCTAATGTTTTAAAATGTTTCCATTATGTAGACTAAACTTCAGAATATGAGAAAAGCTACACGAGACACTAGGGAAAAACTCATACAATTAAAATTCTGCTTTCTCAGATTTTAAAAAAAAGGGGGGCAAGGAATAAGGTAAGCCTTTGGACACATAAACCCTTGATTCTGCACCACTGGAGATTCTGAAACATTGAAAATAATAATGGCAACAGTGGTGATTATGATAATAATAATAAAGTATCTAGTATTTATTAAGCACTTACTATATACCAAGAACTCTGAAGAGCTATTTAATACATTATTACATTTGTTGCCCTAATTTAATTGAAATTAAAGAGTACGATTATCCCCATTTCACAGATGCAAAAGCTATAGTTGAGAGAAGTGAAGTGGCTTGCCCCAAATCCTGGAGCTAGTAAATAATGGAGCTGAGACTCAAACCTCCTTCATTCCAACTTCAGACTCCAAGATTTGCAATCCTCACCCACGCTGCCTTTATTTTACCTGTCTGATCCTGATAGTTTATCACATCCACCCTTTTCTAGATATTTCTATGAAACCATATCACCTTCCAGTTCTTGCAAAGACTGGCCCTGTGCCTGGGCCTTTGAAAAATTAATTGAGTTTCCAAGATCATTTTACACCTGCTCACTTCGGTTCACTGAGGAAAAAAAAATTCATATCCACATGAAGCAATTGCATGTCCTCAACCTGCTTTCACTGCCTACATGTCTGCTTCTGGGCACAGAGATGTTCCTTTCAATGCGAATAAATACACGACTCTGCCTTACAAACACAGTGGATGCAATTCTCACTCTTTTCTCCTACCAGCAAGTCATCTGTGGAATATTGGAGAACAGGAAATTTTCATAACTGTGGACGCTTTTGATCCTAGAATTGGTAGGGAATAAGAATGTATTATGCAAAGCCAAAAACCATAGAGTAAGCTTTCTTAACCTTGCCACTATTGAGATTGCTGGCCCCATAGTTCTGTACCGGGGCACGGGGGCAGGCTGTCCTGTGCATTGCAGGATCTATAGCAGAATCCCTGGCTTCTACCCACTAGATGCCAGTAGCACTCCCACTCAGTCGTGACAACCAAAAATGTCTCCACACATCATCAAATGTCCCCCTGGGGACAAAATCACCCCTGGTTGAGAACCAGAGCCATAGAGCTTCAAAATATCCAACCAAAGTCTGCTATTTGCAAAAGACCCCATTTTGATCCCAATCTCTCTGTTTCCCGAGAGAATGATTTTACATTAGCATATCAGCATTTCCATGCTGAACCTGCAGCAGAAAGAAAGAAAGAGAGAGAGAGACAGAGAGAGAGAGAGAGAGAGAGAGAGAGAGAAAGAAAGAAAGAAAGAAAGAAAGAAAGAAAGAAAGAAAGAAAGAAAGAAAGAAAAAGAAAGAAAGAAAGGGAGTTCTCATTGTTCAATTCCCACCTATGAGTGAGAACTTGCGGTGTTTGGTAAATGACAAGTTAATGGGTGCAGCACACGAACATGGTACATGTATACATATGTAACAAACCTGCACGTTGTGCACATGTACCCTAGAACTTAAAGTATAATAAAATATATATAAAAAGAAAGAGAGAAAGAGATAAAGAAAGAAAAAGAAAGAGAGAGAGAAAGAAAAAAGAGAAAGAAGGAAGGAAGGAAGGAAGGAAAGAGAAAGAAAGAAAGAAAAAGAAAGAGAGAAAGAAAGAAAGAAAGAAAGAAAGAAAGAAAGAAAGAAAGAAAGAAAGAAAGAAAGAAAAGAAAAGAAAAGAAAGAAAGAGAAAAAGAGAAAGAGAAAGAGAAAGTCAGGCATCTAGTGGCCCTGCAACTAGGGAATGGCACAGAGTCCAGCAATGCCCAGCCCCAAATTCCCAGCAGCACAGAAGGGTCCTCCCCACCTGCTGGAACCTGTGAGGGGCCACTCTGCCATTTCACCTCAACAGCTCCTCTTGCCCAGTGGGTTCAAATTCACCTGGGTCCCACAATTTTCATGCTTTGATGCAGGAAGCACACGAAAAACGATCCTGAATATCACAGACATTCTGGCTTTTCATCTTCAGAGTCCAAGAAACTGAAAACAAAAACTAAATTTTCTGTAGCTTTCTAAAATCTATTTTCACGTTTTCTTCCTGGCTACCTGATGGCTTGCATCGGGATTTCTCAGCCTGGGCACTATTGATATTTGAGGCCGAATAATTCTTTGTTGTGGGGCTGTATTTTTTATTATGGGATGTTTAGTAGCGTGCCTCGTTTTTACTCAATTGATGCTACAGGCCCCCCACCACCTCCACCCCCGCCCGCAGTTGTAACAATCAAAAATGTCTTTAAAGGTCCCCTGGGAGCAAAACTGTTCCTGGTTGAGGACCACAGGATTACACAGATTTCTCTTTCCCAACTATTCTGTTTGGTTTTCCCAGATATTCCATTGTTGACTTTACCCAGCCTCCAACGCAGGATCCCAGGAGCCATTTAATTTTTAAATCCTTGGTCAACCATTAATACATATATGTTGTATCTATAGCTGTACTCTATTAATAAATCCTTCCATTTCCTTTTGGAAGAGAGGAAATGATTTTCTGCAGGTTATCACAAAATATCGGCTTGCAGGACGTACCAGGAAGCCAAGGAGGCTCCTTTCTGGAGAGTTCGGCCACTCTCCCCAGCACCAGAGCGTGTGCTGCACTACCTAACCTTTGCAGCTGCACAACGATGATCCGTCATTTCAGAAAAATAGGGAAAGAGCCTCGAATCCTTACTGCCCTCTAGAGAAATTCCGGCAGAAGAGCTCAATCTGTCGCAGTCAGCAGAAAAACAACGCTGCCAGAGGCAACTGCGGCTGGCAGTTGTAAAGCAAACAATTTATTTGCTGAATTTTTTGAAAGACGAGTCTAGCAGACCCTTCCTTTACAATCTCACACCTGAACAAGAAGCCGATGTGGGCTGGCACGTTGACGCAATCATAATTTTGCCAATTCCAGGTCTACCGCCAACGCGATGATTTTATGCCCACTGATGAATCAAATTCTGATATTCTACAAAGTAACTGTAGATCATGTTTTAAATGCAAATTCTCAAGTTTATACAAATGTCTTCTCTAGCCTTTGTTTACTGGCCTACCAACGGTGATATAAACAAAGATTTCTTTTTCTTGCTCCTCAGAAAAAACAGGACTGAAAAAATATTCACTAATTCTTCATGTTTGTATTAGGTTTTGGTGGGTGAGGACTTTTGGACACATTTTGGAGTTTAGAGTGACTTTTTTTTAATCTTCTGGGGGTGGGGCATGGTGGCTCATGCCTGTATTCCCAGCACTTTGGGAGGCCAAGGCAGAAAGATCACTTGAGCTCAGGAGTTCAAGACCAGCCTGGGCAACGTAGTGAAACCTCATCTCTACAAAAAATGTAAAAATTAGCCAGGCGTGGTGGCCCATGTTTGTAGTCGTAGCTACTCAGGAGGCTGAGGCAGGAGGATCCCCCTTGAGCCCAGGAGGTTGCAGTGAGCTATGATTGTACTGCTACACTCCAGCCTGGCAACAGTATGAGATCCTATCTAAAAACAACAACAACAAAAAAAAATTTAACTAACTTTGGTTGCTGTTGTTTTGATAAAGACTTTCCTGTTACTTAATGGCCATCTATATTCCAAGGAGAGCTTCGTCACTGAGATTAAAGTGAGCTTTCCCTACCAAAGTCCTGAAAAAGTTGTGCCAGGTCTAACTCACGTTTCTAGCACAGCTGAACATCAAAAGAAGTAAGTTTGAAAAGTATATGCTTGAAGACATACACTAGATAGAAAATCTTGCAGGTTTAATCAGAACTTTCAAATCATTGTTTTCATTATGACAGGCAACAGCAAAAAATGCTGAATGTTTATGCCTAATGGGTTTGCCCTTTGCCAGACAAATCCTTTTAGCTATGGCAGGAAACATAATTTTTATGGGCTCTTGGAGAGAGTGCACACTGCCCTCTAATGGTGACATGTGCTCACAATTTTATGGGGTCCCTTGATCAGGTTTCAGGAGGCTCTAAGTAGAATGTTATTACCAAAGGTAGACCATAATCCTGTAGATTGATGGCAGCCAATGGTTATTTTTACTATTTCCATTTTTTCCACCCTCTTGACAAGGAAATAAGATATTTGGTCCTTTCCTTTGTTATCAATAGCTGTGAGAATAATTTTGCTAAGATGGAAATATGTCAGAGTAATACTTAGAATATTTGAACTCCATCAGGCACAAAATAATATGCACACACATACCACAGGTATAAACCCTCAATGAAATAATGGTTTACTGCAGAATAAAAGACATTTCTCTATGGATATGAACTATCAATAAATAAGCTACTAAGGTATCAGAAACTTTCAGATTCAAAATTAACAAAAATAAATAAATAAAATAACATGGGAGGGTGGGAGGATTTGGGGGTTTAAGGGATGCTTTAGCTAAAATCTATACAGATATTCTTTAAATGAATGAGACAGAAAATAGAATAAATTTTCCCCCAAGCCTTTTTGAAAGTCAAGATACAGATACTGGTTCATTTTGACCTCTTTCAAAATATATGAATTTATCATATTTAATTATTTTCATCTACCAAATGACAAATGCCTCCTAACTTTGCTAATTGCCCACAGCTAAGAAAGGGAAACAGGGGAGAATAAAAGCCAGCACATTCACTGTCACAGCAAAGCTCCTGGAACTGTATCCAAACAGGAGCTGTTGATCTGTGGAAATGTAAATGTCATTTCTAAATATAGCATTGGGAAGCCAGAGAATCAGCATTTCTATGGATGAAACACCTTTTTGGGAAGTAACACGTGCAAGCCAATGCTTCCCTATGACACATGAGAGAGACAGGAATCTTCCCGCCCAGCCCTGCATCTGCAGGGGCTTAGAAATGCCACGTGCGTGCACAGAACCCTGCTCATTCTCCCCGACTTCCTTAACCTGCTCCTGCACCAGACCGTGAATCAAAGCAAATCATCTCCTGTGCCTCTCCCTCCTTGTCTTAAAAAATAAAAAGCAGAATTTCATTCTGACGTGCATGAATTCCTTACGAGTTAGAGATGCTCTCAACCTCACAAATGAAACCTGAAGATAAAGCCATATGCTGGGCCTCACCAGTGAGTCTGTAACGGGGTGTGGGGATGACTACACAACCCTACACAACCATCAGCTACGAGGACCCAACCACTGGCCCTGGCCCTGACCATCATCTCAGCCTTGACCTCCGCTATTCTTTCCTCCCTCTACCACTCTGGAATGCTTTTAGGTTCTTGAATATGCCATCCTCTTTCCCTCCTGGGTCCTTTGTGCTGTTCTCTTTGCCTAAAATCTTCTCCTACACACTTTGCATTTTCTCTCATCTTTTTCACCTCGTATTATTTGTCACTTTCTAGCAGAAGCATTTGTGACATCCTTAACTATAAAAGGTCTCCAGGCCCCTTGGCTTTAGTCTGTTTCAGCCAGATTGAGTGTGCAACTTGTGCTCAGAAGGACCCCGGACTTCTTTAATGTTTGGCTATAGCCATTTAAAATTCTTAAGTTTTTTTTGAACGAGGGTTCATGCATTCTCATTTTTCACTGGGCCCCACATAGCCAGCCCTGATCACAGACCTTGGCTTTCCTCATAAAACAAAATTCTTAATTGTTGATTTGTCCATTTATTGGCAGTTGGGAGTGGATGGGGGGAGGCAGAGGGCTGGTCTATTTTCTCCATTAGGGCAGAAATCATGTCTGTCTTGTTTATTGTCTAATCCAGAGCTGTCCAGTAGAATTTTCTGTGATGATGGAAATGTTCTGTATCTTTGCAGTCCAATATGTTAGCTACTAGCCATCTGTAGCTACTGAACACTTGAAATGTACCTAATGCAAAGGAGGAACAATTTTTTTATTTTATTTCATTTTAATTAATGGAAATTAAAAGTTAAATAGCCTCATATGGCTGGTGGCTACCATATTGGACAGGTCTCACCCTAAGGCCTAGCCCAGCAACTGGTAAATGCACAGAGGATATTATGTTCTTTTTAAAAGCTCCATGGCAGTAATATGGCACTTTGACATGCATCAGAATTTCAAAAATTTAGGTATCCCTGTTCCCACCCTTTAAAACTCTGATATAAAAAATTTGCAAAAGGTCCAGGCCCCTGATATACCTCAAAGACTCAGGAGGAATCTCAATTGCTCAAATATGAGTATGTTCTATGGAAGAAGCTTCTTGGCATCAATTATTCAAATCTTTTTAACACTTCCAAGTCAAATAATAGCAATACAAAAATCACCCTTATGAGAATTTTGCTACCCAAAAAATGTTCCAGCCACAACTAATGGCTTATTTCAAGCAATACCTAACCCAATAAAATTCCAATGGAGAAAATACATTTTGATCACCCCTTTGGTTTTATTGTAATAAACTCTGACCTATTACTTAGACTTTGAGAGGTCAAGAGTGATAGATGGCTCTTTTGTCAAGACTCAGAAGTATTGATTAAATGTATTTATAACACCTGGCATTAGGTAAATGGCAGGACTTTATTAAGGAGATGTATAGAGCTCAATTAGGACAGTGAGAAAATAGGAATGTCTTTGTCCCTAAATATGGAGTGTATTTTTTAGTGACTTGATATAATCTTATTCTTTCTTCTCACACACAGACAGACAAAAATGTAAAAGGCTGTTAGTGTCCCAGCCCCCCTTGATGTACCTTTGTCTTTAACCATTATTGTAATTCGACCCTCTAACAAGAGCACTTTTTCCTCCACTGAGCTATCAAAGACACCTTCCTAATCAACATCACACACAGTAGCATAATAGATGGCACCAGAATGAACACAAGGATGAGCCGTAATTCACTCTGGGGCTCTGCTGATGTCATAAACTGCACGACCAGCTTTATGGAGAAAGGCTGAGCCCAGAAAGTGAATTCCGATCTCAGCTCACTCTGGGAGCCATCTGTTAAGGAAACAGATTTAAATGCCGACCTTTTCATCTCTGTCGTTTACAGAGATTTCAAACTTTTGCTGTAAAATTTAAACTTTCCAGCCATGAACAGATTAAAATTCCTTTCTGGAGGCACTTTTGGTTGTGTATTCCCTCTTTTAACGGACAAATAGATTAGTGGTCTTTCCACCCTATGCTATCAATCTGTTTAAAAAGAGACAAATGCGCTCTGCTCTAGTTAATGTTGTGGCTATGCATATCCGTTCCCAATGCCCTAACCCACCTCCCACTCCAAAGCCTGAAAAGACCAGTTATTCCCTTCCCAACCTCTTCCGCAGCAAGTGCTGGCCCATAGGGCCCAGTTCTAGTCAACGAGACATAAAGGAGTCACTTCTGAGAGTTTTCTCCTTGTTTCAGGGAAAGACGCATGTGAGGAAAGACCCTTTTTACTTGCTGCTCCTCCACTCTTAGGCCCACCCAGCTCTTCCAACTTTTCATGCACAAGTGAAGGTGCATTATCCAAAGCGGCAGCAGCCATCTTGAACCATGAAAAGACCTGAATAAAGCCTAAATGTCCACTGCTGAGGCAGAAAAACTGGAAGGATAGAAAAGTCTGGGTGCTTGACAGCCTTGCTGAGCTGCTGAGTTAACCATCTCTAGTACTACCTACCTCCAAGCTTCTTATTAAGTAAATATTTTACATTGAGGTTCTTCAGAAGCAGAGCCTGAGACGGGCATTTGGTGCAATTCATTTATAAGGGAGGTGATCCCAGACAGCACCCAGGAACAAGAAGGAAACCCATACAGAGTATGTTAATGAGGAAGTAACCCCTGTGGGCAACCAAGGCCCAGAACTGCTGGGGATATGCTTCAGTATTGCCCCACTGAGGGGCAAGAGAACTGGGATATGTACCTACCAACGTACATCTGTTATTTGTTGAGGACTGCTACTGAGAGTGCTAACTACCTAGAATTTCCCACCCAACCCAACAAGCATGCTCAAACAGCGAACAAAATCCATGAAGCAGAGAACCCCAGGTGCTTTGAGTAATAAGCCGGTGACCTGCAGGAGAACACTGTGTGTGGGGCCTCGGTGATCAGAGGGTATTGAAATTAGGCAAGACTCCAACAGCTTCTTTCAAAGTAACTATCTGTCAATAGTCTGTTATTTGTAGCAGAAATTGTTCCTAACTGGCATTACTGTGGAATTGTTCCTCTAAGTCATTCATACCCCTCACATTTATCTACAACTCCATGCCATGAAACAACACAAATGCTCATTCATTTAGCATTGGCTATGCATCCAACATCAGCAATGCAGTGGTGAACCCAATGAATGTGGTCCTTGCCTGTGTATGGCTTACCCTCTAATGGGGAAGATGGATACAGAACAAACACTCTCACACATCAAGTGATAACACAAGGCAAAGCAAAAGAATAATGAGGCCAGGTGCTGTGGCTCATGCCTGTAATCCCAGCACTTTGAGAGGCAGAGGTGGGTGGATCACCTGATTTCAAGAGTTCGAGACCATCCTGCCCAATATGGCAAAACCCCGTCTTTACTAAAAATACAAAAATTAGCCAGGCGTTGTGGCGCACACCTGTATCCCAGCTACTTGGGAGGCTGAGGCATGAGAATCACTAGAACCCAGGAGGCAGAGTTTGCAATGAGCCGAGATTGTGCCACTGCACTCCAGCCTGGGTGACCGAATGAGACTGGGCGAAGAAGAAAAAAGAAGAAAGAAGAAAGAAGAAGGGGAAGGGGAAGGAGAAGGAGAAGCAGCAGAAGCAGAAGCAGAAAAAGCAGAAGGGTGGGGGAGGGGAAGGGAGAGGCAGAGGGAGAAGAATAATGAAAGATTGCCACCAGTTTAGAATGTGAAGTCGGGGAAGGGCTTGTGAGTCAGGGACTGGAAGAATGAGTGGGAGACAGCCAGGAGGAAAAAGAGAATCTTTTCCACTAATCTTTACCACTAATCTTTGCAAAAATGGGGAAGAAGTGCCGTGGGATAGGACATGATAAAGGCCCCAAAAAGAAGGTCATTCGAATAACATCTTGTATGGAAAAAGAAAATAAAAATTGGCCCTACTCCAAACCTCATCACTAGGTTGGTTCGACTGAAAAGTAAGTTGAGTCATCATAGGAGCCATCATTTTCTCTAGAAGCAAACAAGTCAAGGCTAAACTAAACTAAATTCTGATCTTTTACTTCTCTGGACTAGAAGACAACTGTTTGAGGACTTTATTCTTTAGAAATAAAAATGATTATTCATAAAAAATTTTCTGGTGGGAAAAAAATCACCATTTCTGTACCACCACACATGGGCATTTCTATGCATCCACAGGTCAAGAAAGTCTGATTCTAGAACTCAGTGTCTGGAAATACCAGGTTCACAAACGTGCCCAGTGCCCTTGGGTGAGGCCTCCTTCTCTTTGGCCCTCATCCTTCCAATAGCTCTGAAGGCTTTTATGCAACTCCACCAAAAACCCAAGGGACTACAGTACACAATTTGAAAAATCTTAATATAAAAGATTTTTTTTTATTTCCTAATAGTAAGTCAAGACATATTTAAAGACATTGCTGATCATCTAAGTCAGGAGTCAGCAAACCATAGCTCTCTGGCCAAATTCGCCCCACCACCTATTTTTCTAAATAAAGTTTTATTAGAACATAGCCACATCCATTCATTTACCCGCTGCCCTTGGCTTCCTTCATGTGGCAGAGTTAAGTAATCATGACAGAGACTTGCAGGGCTTACAAAGCTTAACATATTAACTCTGGCTCTTACAGAAAGAGTGAGCCAACCCCTGACCTAAGTCATTGTTTGCAAAAAGAAGCATAAGACATGAATTCGGGCCAGGCACAGTGGCTCACGCCTATAATCCCACCACTCTGGGAGACCAAGGTGGGCAGATTACTTGAGGTCAGGAGTTTGACACCAGCCTGGCCAACATGGTGAAACCCCATCTCTACCAAAAAATATAAATATATATAAAACTTAGTCTGGTGTGGTGGCAGGTACCTGTAATCCCAGCTATTCGGGAGGCAGAGGCAGGAGAATCGCTTGAAGCGGAGGTTGCAGTGAGCCGAGATTGCACCACTGAACTCCAGCCTGGGTGACAGAGCGAGACTCCGTATCAAAAAAAAAAAAAAAAAAAAAAAGAACATGAATTCAAACCCCAACCCTAGCTTGTAACCAAGCCACAGGGTTGTAATGAAAGCTTGAAATAGTAAGAAGAACAAAAGGAAACCACAGCCTCTGAGAAGTGAAGGTAAGAAAGAGATATGGCTTGGAGCAGAGCATTTCCTCAGAACACCGGAACACACTGAGTCGGCCTGCAGCTGACTTGCCTCACCCCCGATCTGAGACACAGCACCAGGGGCCTCACCTGGCCTCCAGTGGGATCTGTCCCTCACTAGGCTCTTGGTAAGCTCTTCCATCCCGCACTTCCTGGCCTTCGGTGTTGTCTTTAACAGCATGGGCTTTGAGAGTCTTCCCTGAGCTTCGAACCTGGGAAGTTTCCCTCATCTACACTCTTGTACTGCTTCCCTTTTCCTCCAACTCCACTGGTCACTCTGCATTATATCTGGTGATTACTTGCCTGATAGCTCTGCAAGATTATAAGCTCCATGTGGTCAGGGCTACACCTGTCTGGTTCGCTGTTGCACTATTCCTGATTCTAAAACAGTTCCCAGCACATGGTAACACATAAATGGTCATTGAGTGTATTCCTTTGTATGAAAGTTTGGGGATGAAATAATGGAGAGGAATAATGTGATATAAATGTAACAAGGAGAATTACACATGGGCTGCCTTGGTATTGGTCCCTCACCCTATTCCCTTAAAGTATGCATGAGAGAGGGCCAGAAAGAGAGGCTAGCCTGTGCAAAGGCCCTGAGGCAGGAAGGAGCATGGGGCATTGGAGGAAAGGAAAATAGACCAGAATGGCTGGAGCAAGAAAGCCAAAGCAGAAGGCTACAGGAGAAAGTCAAGGCCACATCACACGGGACCTGGTATACCACGTTAAGGATTTTCAGTCTTATCCTTCTTCCATGGAAAGTTTTAACTAGGGTAGTGGATGATTCAGTTTGCACCACCAGCAGCAGAAGTTGTGAATTTACAGGCAGTAGATATGTGCACAACAGAATGCCTGACATTGCGTTAGATATTATGGATGTGTTCTTAATGAATCATTGTCCTTGCCCTAGGGATATTTTATGTAAGGAAAATACAATTACAGTTTGATAAGGGCTTCAGCAGAGTTAAGCTTAGGGGACCACAGAGCAAGTGCTTAAAAGGAGCCTCTACATTTTGCTTACATGCATGAAAGGAGGGGGTTCCTGTAAGAAACCTCTAGTATTTCTCCTTACCTGGGGGCAGAGAGTCATTCAACCCAACAGAAGTATTCTGTAGACAAAACAGATCATAATTATTAAGCCTCTGAAAACATGTGAGGTTGTACAAATAAACTGTTAATTTTTAAAAACCACAATACTAATTCTAATATATACCCAGGGATGGTAAATTTTCTCTGTGAAGGGCAAAACAGTAAATACTTTTCGATGTCACGAACCAAACAGTATCTATTGGAACTAATGAACTGCTGTTGTAGCATGATGTTTTCTATAGACGGCATGTGAGTGAATCGACACAGCCACGTTCCAATAAAACTTTATTTACAGCAGTAAGTGATGGGCCAAATTTGGCTCCTGGGCTGTAGTTTGCTGTTCTCTGATCTATTCTATATTATAATTATAAGCATATACGGGTGTGATCTTTATGAACATGGACGAATGGGAACAGAAGAATGGAAGCTCTCATCTCTTTGGGGATTGGGATTATCAGTTGGGTGGCTCTCTGCTATTTTTGTCTATTGATTTATTCTTCTGGGAATGCCACCCTGATTGGGTAGGAGGGAGTAGAGAACTACTTGTCCATCATCTTTAACTCACTGAGTCCAAGAAATTAACCCACCCTTAGATCCAAAGTAGGGCACATACCCGAGACCTGACCGCCCCCTGCCCCCACCACCCTGGTCATTCCACTGTCTTGGCCATGGTAATCTGTTCAGACAGGAGCATGAGCACAAGCAGACCAATATGAAACTCACTTCCTTGTTTTGCTTTGATTTTAATATTAAGAGAGAGAGAACCTCAGGCTGCTGAGTTTACTGAAATCAAAGCATAGGAGGCTAAAAGTTTCTCATGGCCATTTTGCACCCCCAGGCATTGGTCCTGCTGAAGAATGATGCCCACACATTGGGAAACAGATCTAAGAAATGAAGAAATGATTATTCTACTTGAGCATTGTTTGAGTCTCAGATGAAGTGATATCTAAAAGTAATTCTGTTCCTGGATTTTTCTGTGACTCAAGCTCGTGTGTTTTTTCTCCATCTGAGCTTGTTCCAATTCAGTTTTTGTCACTTTCAACCAAAAATTTTAAATGAGATCATTGTTATGGGTTTTTTTTTCTTATTTTAAAAAGTCTTTCAATATCTGTATAATATCACTTTAGCAACAAATAAAATTGAGAGAAGATGGATGAAAAGGTAACATATTTTATGTATTCATTTCTGAAGCAAAACTCATGTTCCATTTTGGCAGTGGGTGGCGGGGGGGCGTTCTTTGTCATTGGACTGACTGAGCCACTTGCAGTTCTGAAATTTGACTGAACAAATCTAAGTACTCTCTCCAAAAATGGACTGGGGGCCTATTTTGAAGCAAATATATAAAGACAGGGCTATAGCAGAGATCACAAATGATGACAATAGAAAATAATTCAGAAAAGACCATCTGACTCTGCAAAAATGCAGTGACATATGTAGGACAGCTGAGAGTCTCCAGGAGAGGATGAAAGCAACCGTGACCATCACGTGGCCACAACCTCCCTGAAAAACAGACTTCGGAAGGAAGCACAAATCTGACAGTGTTCCTGCCGTGCTTAAACCTCAGCCCCAATTCCCAGCTGCCTTCTTAAGCCCAGACTCCCATCGTGGCTATGATTGTCACAGAAGACAAACTTGAGTGTGCAAGAAATAAAATCTTTTAAAATTCTTCTGTAACTCCACTTAAACTGTTTTTATGTCAAGCCCTCCATCTACCTAATGGCAGAAAATTTAGTCACTTCCAGGTAAGTGCCATCATTCTGAGTTAAACACACAACCAATTTAGGATTCTGCACACACACACATACACACAGTCACAAACTCCTTCCTTCTTTTTTGGTAAGCGTCCAAGGACCAAGACATTTTGGAAAATAATCATGTTAGAAAGCAGAGTCTGGCCTGTCACTATACTTTGCTCTCTAGTAGCATCTGGTGGCATTTTCTGGTCTTGGGTGCTGTTGGTGTTTATCTCCCAGCATGTTCTGAGAAGCCCGTGTTACTCACTGTGTCTCTAGTTATCAAGTCTACCAAGGCCAACATGTGGCCTCCACATCAGGTCCCAGTGAGGCGTTCTACAGCCAACCACCCAACCACATTCCAGCCAGGGAGTAGCAAGTGGCCTCTCTACACAAAGAGGCCCCCAAACAGTTGCAAAGAACACTTCCACTTAAACCACTCTGGCCAGAAATTAGGCACATAGTCACACCCAGACACACAAAAAATGCTGGGGTTTGTCATGTTATTCTCATGTGCCTGGATAACCTTTGTGGGTCCAATTACTAAGAAAGAAGGGTTATATTAGCAGAAAACTTGCACTTTCTATCCAGATATTTCATATGTACCTCAAAATTGTCCAAGGCATAAATGTTACTGGAAAGGGGTCCCTATCCAGACCCCAAGAGAGGGTTCTTGGATCTCATGCAAGAAAGAATTCAAGGTGAATCCATACAGTAAAGTGAAAGCAAGTTTATTAAGAAAGTCAAGGAATAAAGATATGGCTATGCCATTGGCAAAGCAGCCCTGAGGGCTGCTGGTTGCCCAGTTTTATGGTTATTTCTTGATGATATGCTAAACAAGGGGTGGATTATTCATGCCTCCCCTTTTTAGACCATACAGGGTAACTTCCTGATGTTGGCATGGCATTTGTAAACTATCGTGGCGCTGGTGGGAGTGTAGCAGTGACGAGGACCAGAGGTCATTCTCATCGCCATCTTGGTTTTGGTGGGTTTTGGCCAGCTTCTTTGCTGTAAACTGTTTTATCAGCAAGGTCTTTATGACCTGTATCTTGTGCCAACCTCCTATCTTATCCTGTGACTTAGAATGTCTAACCTTCAGGGAATGCAGCCCAGTAGGGCTCAGTATTATTTTACCCAGCCCCGATTCAAAATGAAGACGCTCTGGTTTAAATGCCTCTGACATAAAGATAATCATAGAGATGCAATAAGTCAGAATACTGAAAACAAAGAACAAAAGAACAAGGGCAGATGACAAAATTAAAAGAACAAAGGTAACACTTACAATTTAAAAGTAAAGGTTTTACGATTCTCCATGGCCAAACGTTGAAACAGAAAAGAGAAAATAAAGAGTCAATAGCTGGGGAGTGAGAGAGGTGGATCCCAGCCAACAGTAGAGTAAAATTGAGGCCACCTCAAAATGTGAACAGACTCTTCAGTCACTTTCTTGATCTTTAATGGAAATAAACTGAGTGTGAAGCAGAGAAGGTGAGAAAAACACGGCTTATAAATGGAAATACACCAAACAAAGTGGAAACTTCGTATCAAGCCCACAGACAAGTCTCTGAACAAAGGGAAACTCTTTAGGGTCAAAAAATAAAAACAACTAGAAAAATGTGACCAAAGGGAAAGGTAAGCTTTGGGAAGAAACTAACAACAGTGCTCCCACCTAAAGCGGACACAAAGACTAGTAAAACTTGAGTGTTTGGTTTAGCAAAATAGAAAATCAGGTTTTATCCTGGAGTTTGATGCCTTGCACATTCATCCATCCTCTGGTTTTATACAGTTCTAATTCTCAGAAAGAGAGAGAAGAACCTGCCTGCCTTAAACTACACGCAAATTAAGGTGAGACTTTGGCTCCATTTTTTATTATATATAGCTATCATCTGCTCTAGAATGAGCTGGATTTCTTCCACTGAGTTCATATCTCCTTCTGTCTTTTTAA
This sequence comes from Homo sapiens, assembly GCF_000001405.40. Lineage (NCBI taxonomy): Eukaryota > Metazoa > Chordata > Mammalia > Primates > Hominidae > Homo > Homo sapiens. Next base: position 52,301,299 of record NC_000020.11, on the reverse strand, counting down.
AAATGCATTTTAAAGCTTCATGTTTCTTTCTGGAAAATCTACCATAATGTAACAACAGATTTTAAAGCTTAAATGTATATTAATCATGATGCCAACAACCACAATCTAATATAGTCCTTACCTTTTACTGACAATGTGAATTTTAATTAAGTGTATAATGCATAATTAAGACCCGAAGTGCAGAATATATTTTTGGTCCTGTTTACTGTGTGTAAGAAACTCTAACATGGAATGAAGTTAGCCTCCCTCCTGCAAAAGACTCAAAATTTTACAAATTAAATGAATGGTGGCTACAATTGGGTTTTCAAAGACATTTTGACTACTCATTCAAGATGGTTGACAGAAATTGGAAACAAGCTTTATGTTCATCTGTAGAGTAGGGGAATGATTAAATAAATGATGGTACATCTACGCTACAGAAAATAACAAAGTAGCATTATAGGAACAGATATGGAAAAATCTCCAAGGTACATTATGTACATCATTTATATAGCATGACTTCATTTAACTAAAAATATTATGTGTGCATGTGTGCATATGCATACATATGTGTGTATAGGTATGTATTTTTGTAATTACATATATATGTGCATACCCAGACATGTGCAAAAACATGAGAAAAGGTATGAAATTGAAGACATAAAATTTGAACATTGATTAGCTCTGAAGCAAGTGTTGGCAAACTTTTAACATAAAAGGACAGATAGTTAATTTTTTCAATTTTGTGGGCCACTCTCTGGCATAACCATTCAACTCTGCCCTTATAGCCCAAAAGCAAAACTAAGTGCATGATCGTGGCTGGGTCCCAATAAAATTTATTTACAAAAACAGGTGTGGATGTTGGGGGAAGAGATTTGGTCTGTGGCCCATATTTGCCAGCCCCCTCCTCTGGCGAAATGAGTATTATTTGGGCAGTGAAGGTGCTAGCAGGGAGTCAACAAAGCAATGAAAAGGGAATTCTACTGTTTATTCTATATTTTTAAAAATTAATTAAAAGACTACCATATATTAAAATTGACTAAAGTTTTTTATTTGAAAATTCTTTATTTCAGATTATGATTACTTCACATTATTTAAGTTTATATTTAATTAATTATAGCCTATCACTGGAATTTATTTAAATATTGGAATATAACTTATGGCTTTTTTTTTATTTTACTTTAAGTTCTGGGATACATGTGCAGAATGTGCAGGTTTGTTATATAGGTACACATGTGCCATGGTGGTTTGCTGCACCCATCAACCCGTCATCTAGGTTTTAAGCCCCACATACATTAGGTATTTGTCCTAATGCTTTCCCTCCCCTTGCCCCCCACCCCCTGACAGCCCCTGGTGTGTGACGTTCCCCTCCCTGTGTCCATGTGTTCTCACTGTTCAACTACCACCTATGAGTGAGAATATGCAGTGTTTGGTTTTCCGTTCCTGTGTTTAAAAATTACAAAAATAAAGACAGAAACTACTTTGCGTCCTCTCTCATGCTTTATCCTGATAAAGTGTGTGTATGTATTTATTTATTTTAGAGACAGGGTCTCACTATGTTGCCCAGGCTGAAGTGCAGTGGCTATTCACAGGTGCAATCATTGTGCCCTGCAGCCTCAAACTACTGGGCTCAAGGGATCCTCCTGCCTCAGCCTCCAGAGTAGCTGGGACTATAGATGCTTGCTACCATGCCCAGCTCTAAAGTACATATTTTATCCCCATTTCAGAGATGAAGCAATCTACCAGATGGATTCAAGCAAGCAGATTCTGGGGCCCAGCTCTCTGGCTTTGGATCCAGGCCTGACACTTCCTAACTTTTAGACCCTGGGCAACTCACTTTACCTCTATCAGTCTCAGGTTCCTCATCCATAAAATGTGAATTAAAATAACACTTTACTTGTAGTGGTGTGAGGAGACTTAAATGAGCTAATACATATACAACACAAAACCCAGACTCCTACGCATAGTGTGCTGCTATAACTGTCAACTATTTTCATTACACTGCCAAACTAAATACAATGTCTTTATTTTTAAAAATAAAGGGAAAAAAGTGCTTATTTTTGCTATAAGTGACTTAACTTACTCTGGACTGTAAGTTCTGAGTCATCATCATGTGTATGAAAGGCAACTAACTGTGCCCACCACCCATTCCCAATTTCTTTCTTTTTTAAATTTTTTTTATTTTTATTTTTTGAGACAGTCTCATTCTGTCACCCAGGCTAGAGTGTAGTGGCGCAATCTCGGCTCACTGCAACCTCTGCCTCCCAGGTGCAAGCAATTCTCTGCCTCAGCCTCCCGAGTAGCTAGGATTACAGGCGCCCGCCACCACGTCCAGCTGATTTTTGTTATTTTTAGTAGAGATGGGGTTTCACCATCTTGTCCAGGCTGGTCTTGAACTCCTGACCTCGTGATCCACCCACCTCACCTCCCAAAGTGCTGGGATTACAGGCGTGAGCCACCGCACCTGACAATTTCTTCCTTTTAATGGTAGAAGTCTGTGGATTGTAGCTGGGCACATGGCCATGGAGCTGAAGAGTACATTTCTCAGCCCCCCTTTTAGCTAAATGTGGCCATGTGACTCATGTGTCTAGCCAAGAGAGTATGAACAGAAATAAAGAGTAGAACTTAAAAACAAGCTGTGCACCCCTTTCTCATGCTGGAATACAAGGTGCTGCTTATGAAGCCAGCTCCACTGGGTCAAGGGCAACGCTCTAGGAGATGGCAGAACCGCAAGAGAGAAGAAACCAGGTCATAGTTGATATCACGCAACAACCCTGACCACCTATCACTCTGGTCTTCAGATGAGAGACAATATACTTGGATTAAGACATGTTAAAATTGGGGCTAATAGCTACAGAGCAAACATAATAATAAAACTGCATTCATTAGAGAAAATCTAGCTGATGGCACAAATTGACCTAAAAATATAAAAATGGCTCAAACACAATTGCCATGTATTTCTTGCTGATACAACAATACTAAGTGGTTCCAGATTGGTATGCCTGTGGTAAGGGGAGAAAGAATCTTGGCTCCATACTGCTACTCAGGGCCAGCAGGATAAGTGCTGCCATCTTCAAGAAGTGGCTTCCAGCTTACTATGGTCATGTCCCTGCAAGAGGAAGAGCTATGAAAGAACACATACAGGAGATTTGTATGGGCCAGGCAGGGAAATGGTCCTTATTAGTCCTACTCATGTTCTATTGGTTAGAACCATCCTATGGCCACACCTAACTGGAAGAGAAGCTAGGAAACCCAGAACAGCTATTGCACAGGTTGAAGTTATCCATCTCTGACACAAGCATTGTGCAAGCCCTCCAGGGCAAAGATTTTTGTCTTTTTTTTTTTTCCACGCTGTGCCCCCAGTATCTAGAACAGAGATCAGCAAACTTTTTCCTGTAAAAACCCAGATAGTGGCCAGGCGCGGTGGCTCAGGCCTATAATCCCAGCACTTTGGGAGGCTGAGGCGGGTGGATCACGAGGTCAGGAGATGGAGACCATCCTGGCTAACACGGTGAAACCCCGTCTCTACTAACAATACAAAAAAAATTTAGCCAGGCGTGGTGGCGGGCGCCTGTAGTCCCAGCTACTCAGGAGGCTAAGGCAGGAGAATGGCGCAAACCTGGGAGGCGGAGCTTGCAGTGAGCTGAGATCACGCCACTGCACTCCAGCCTGGGTGACAGCGAGACTCCGTCTCAAAAAAAAAAAAAAAAAAAAAAAAACCCAGATAGTAAATATTTAGGCTTAGTGGGCCACACATTCTCTGTTGCAACTACTCAGCCCAGCCGTAGTAGCATGAAGCCAGCCGTAGACAATATGTAAACAAATGAGCATGGCTGGGTTCCAATAAAATTTTATTTACCTAAGCAGATGGAGAGCCAGATTTGACCAGCAGGACCTCATTGGCTGATTTAGAACAGTGCCCGACACAATGGTTGGTGCCCAATAAATGCTGGCTAAATGGGTGATAGGGAATGAATAATACAACTCTACAAGTTTGACCTAAGAAATAAATAAAATATTACAAGAAAAAATTTAGCAAAGTGCCTAATGCATAGGAATTGCTCAATAAATACTATTGATTCATTATTTGGAGATATAAAATAGGAATAAAATATATTTCTCAAGGAGCAATCAATGTAGTAGAGAAGACAGGTATTTCTAGGAAAGCAATTAAAATAGTATTTACATGGAATAATAGAAGTACATACAGTGGTCTGATATAGTATAGGGTGGTTAATTCTGGGGAGGAGAGAGTGGGCCTAGGAGAAAATCACAGAGGAGATGAAGCCTGCAAGGGGGGTAGAATTAGAAGGCATTCTAAGAAATGAAGACTTTTTTTTTTACATATCTGAGCCAGAAACTCATTAAAGGCAAGCTGATGGCAGATGCCAGAGTCTGTGTAGGAGATGTTCTGTCTGCCTGTAACAGTCTTCCCCTCCCACACTTCCATCCTTTCCTTCACACTCACCCTCGAAGTAAGTATCAGCTCAAACATCACCTCCTTGGGAAACTTCCTGACCATCTTTTCCTGCCCTGTGTCCCCCAGACCAGGTCAGCCTCCACTATTGCATGCTCTCTAATGTCTGTTTCTTGTAAATTTATACTCAGCTGACTCTGTGTGTGTGTGTGTGTGTGTGTGTGTGTGTGTGTGTGTGTGTGTACAATGTCTACCTCCCATAAGGACAAACAGCTGGACTGAGTTGCTCACCACTTGGTACGTAACTGACATAGAGAGCAGTCAATCATTATGTGTTGAATGAAAGAAGAAATTTTGCATTGTGTTCTCTGATGGCGCCTTAAATGTGGATAATTGGAGCCTCTAATTGAGGTTAGATTGATCTATGCTTCAGAAGCTAGATGAGCTGGTGGTGATGTTGACATGATTTGGTAAAATCTTAGAGGCTTAAAGAACAGCAAAAAGCAATGGCTAAAACAGTAAGCTTGTACTATAATATATGTGCAACTTTTCTGCAAATCTAAAATTATTCCCAAACTGAAAGTTCATTTTGTATAAATGGCAAGCCCTAGAGCTGACCATTGGGGCTGCAATCTCGGCCCTGCCATGTATTTATTCAACGTCACTGGGTGTTCACTCATGTCAACCTCTTCATCCATCACCTGTGGATGGCAATAATAAAGGCTCTGGCTACACAGGAGAGTAAGGGAATTCACACAGAAGTGCTTGCCCATGGTGAGTTCTCAGTAACTGTTAGCTACTCCTGTTATCATTTCCCTTTTTACCACCAGAGAGCTAAAGAAGAGGGTCATTCCCCATTCCCACAGAGGTGAGCCATGGGGCTAATGCAGGTGAGGGAGGCACAGGGTGAAAGAGATTGAGTTCTGAGTAATCATCATCATACTGCATTCTCTAGATGTTGCTATAACTTCATTTCCTTGAGACGATTTGCAGATGTGCACATACCACGGAGGGGAAATAGAGCCACCCCGGATAAAATTAGGTCAATATTGATCGAGAAAGCCAAACGACGTTCAGACACACTGCTATGTACACCCATTAAGCTGTGATGTAATTGACATTTCAAAATTAAGACCACGGGCATAGAGATGAGAACATGACTCACAGATATTTCATATACACTTGTTTATTGACTCTGTGTGTTATATATATACACACACAAACCATGCATTAGTCACTTGATAATTCAAGATTAGGTGCACATAAGCCAACAGTATCATTTCTATTTAAATAAAATGAGTGTGTGTATGCCAGTGTTTTGTAATAAAAGCTTACCTGAGTCAAATGTTTTACTATGTTATAGGCTTTGGACTAAGTATTCTATATATACAAAGTCTGTTTAAAATAAAAACTTATAGGCTGACATGTAAAGAAACTGATGAGAGGTAAAGCAAAGCACCCAAACAGCATAGCTGGAAGAGGCAGAGCTAGGACTCTAACACTTGGAAACAGTACAACAACATCTAACACTAGATACTGTTGGTGTTGGTGATATTACCAGCTAGTATATAGAATACACTACAAATACCCAATGAATATAATAGTAAAAAAATTTTAAAGTTAAGTGTTCAGGTACTGGAACTGGAATAATTCTAAAGAATAAAATTTAGTCCCATTTGCTACGATGAACATAACCTTTGAGATGAATACTAGCCCACCAGATCCAAGCCCAGATGATGTGCATCATCTTGTCCGAAAAAAAAAAAGTATCTCTAGTGTTTTAGAAACTGTGAATTGCTGAACACAGCTTATAAAAATACCACAGAAAGAAAATAGGTTCAATAAAAGGCTAAATTCTAATTAAAATAAATAGAAACACAACTAATAGCAGAAGGCAAGAGAAAAACATTGGGGAAAAATAAAAGCTGTGTGACTTAATCTTTTTATCATCACATGGAAACAAATAAACCATGATAAGTGAATTTTTCTTTTCCCTCCTCCTCTCTTTAGTTGATATTGCTCAAGAAAAAAAAATCTGTCCTTTTCCTAATTTGAAATAGTGTATCTGGGATAGTTCAAGAAAAATAACAAAACACTACTCTTGACAAAGCATAGATTTGCATTAATATTTTCTTCCAATATTTTCTTGACATTGAAACTCAAAGATGGATGATTTGGAGGTTCTTAAGGCTTTTGCTGGATGGAAACACTCAAAGCTCTCTCTGCTAAGGAAGAGAAGTCGGTAGCCCAGGGACATCCGCATGTCACTGTCAGGGCCATGCCCTGATCACCTGAGTGCTTGATGCTGGACTGCAACATCAGCAGCATCTGCATCTTTTTGCCTAAGGGATTTCTGTGGTCTCTGGAGACCAGTTTGCCATAGGCACGGTAGTCCAGAAGTACCAAGAATTAATGGTCCTCTAGGAGCTACCCTCAACAACTGACAATGTTGGTGTATAAATACCCCAACTCCCTCCCTCCCCAGAAAGAAAAACTCTGAGGCATTTTTCTCCACTGGCTTCCAGAGTTTTCCAGGAGACATTAAGCTCCAGTCTTCCATGGCGTTAGCTGTCTTGATGACTCAACTTTCCTTCCCTGGCTCACTTCCCCACCTTCTTCTGGGTATTTCCTGGTACAACCTCCCAAATAAACAACTTGTACTCAAATCTTTATCTCAAGTTCTGCTTCTGGGGAGAACCCTAAATAACAAAGAATCTATCCAAGTATTGAGGGGGAAGAAACTCTCAAGGACCTAGTTTTGTTCAGCTTCCTGATAGGGCAGGGGAGGTCAGAGAGGGAGGATGGGGTGATGCAAGGAGATTAGAAGGAGAAAATAAAGTTTATTTCTCACCCCATATCCTCTTTTCCAAACTCTCCCATGGGAATAGTTTCCACAAAAAGAAGCTGGATGAATAGTGATTCTGTAGTTTACATACACATAGGAGACTCCACAAGGAATTGCATTTCCTCCTGCAAAGTCCTCATTTAAGGCATTTATTCAATAAATATACATCTACAGAGAGGCAAAATAATTACATGGGCAGGGCTATGGCTTTTGGAACCAGACTGGTATGTTGCCACTGAGCTTGAGTCTCTGGCTCTCCTGATATTCTTTGAGCAAGCCAGTACTCTTGTAATAAATCATCCTTTTGTCTAAATTACCAGAGTTCATTTCTGTTGCTTACACCCAACAACCTTCACTGATAAGATGTCCCCTTCTGTTACTAGACTCTAGTACCTCATAGGGCAGTGTCTCTGCCTTAATCACCTGTATGACCAAGGACTGGATTTTAACCAAGGTCAGAGTACTAGAACTTTTGAGAATGTGTCTGTGCATGTGTGTGTGTACGTGTGTGTGTGAATATGCACATGTGTTAAGGGAGAGAGAAAACGGAGTATAGTTTGAAACAAACATTTCAAGTTTATTTCAAAGTTTCATAATACAACTTTGTATTTGTAGAATAAAAGGTAATGTTTCATCACACAAAATAGAGCAAAACAGCTCTGCAAAAGCTTCCTGGTTCTTGAGACTCCTGGGATGGTACAGGGCAAATGCAAGGCTGAGTAGAAGTTAAGAGTGCTGTATCTAGCATCAGATAGATGTGGGTTCAAATCTAAGCCCATTGTTTACTAGCCAGTGTATGCCAAGAAATGCACTCCTTGCGTTCTCGCCTTTCTCACTGGCAAAAGGCAAAACTCACTGTTCCCATCTGACAGGGTTATTGTGAGGATTAGAAGAGAAATGGCATACCTGCATTCAATAAATGTGGATGGATAGTGACGAAGGTGATGATGGCACCAGTGTGTCTGATCTGTGCATGGCAAAGCCTGCAGGGAGCCTGTTTGCCTGTAGGTCTGAAGAGGACCCTGGGAGATAACGCAACCTAAGGGAAGGGGCATCCAAACACACTTAGAATGGCCAGGCGTGGTGGCTCATGCCTGTAATCCCAGCACTTTGAGAGGCCAAGGTGGGTGGACTGCTTGAGGCCAGGAGTTCGAGACCAATCTGGCCAACATGACAAAACCCCGTCTTTACTAGAAATACAAAAATTAGCTGGGTGTGGTGGCACGTATCTGTAATAATCCCAGCTACTCGGGAGGCTGAGGCACAAGAATGACTTGAACCTGGGAGGTGGAGGTTGCAGTGAGCTGAGATCCCACCATTGCACTCCAGCCTGGGCAAAAGAGCAAGTACTCTGTCTCAAAAAAAAAAAAAAAAAGCAAATAAAAACAAACAAACACACTGAGAATGACCTTAGCTGCCTAAGAGAAAGGGAGATTCTGAATATAACATGGGGTGGGGCTCCTGGATGTGCCTTCTGGCCAACACCCCACTGGACTCTTGCCCCCAAGTCTAATGGACAACTGGGAAAATGCAAGTAAAAACTGGAGATACCATAGCCCCAGGGACTCTTTTAAGATATGGGGTACCAGCAGACTGCCTGGGGGCCTCTCTATCAGAGGGTATTATCATGAGAGCCCCTTACACATCCACAGAATACAATTGCCTTGGCATCTTGAGGCTGCAAGTTCTCAGTATTCCCTTACAAAAGTTGGATTCGCCCAGTCGGAAGGGCTGTGCCCTGTGTCTGCCCATTGGGTCCCATGGTGCCCTCTGAATGCTTTGCAGGTCAATGGTATTAGCCAGAGGGAGGCCCCTGACAGGAGCAGAATTTCATGTAAGCCCGTGTGGGAGAGCCTCAGGGCCCAGACCAGGGTGAGGTCAATGGAGAACTCACTTTGGAGCAGAAGTTAAGAGGCCACCAAGGAACACAGTAATCAAGATAAGTCATATTTTAATGCCATATTGTTAAAAAATTGAAATGACCAAAAAATATGTCAAACAAAATGTCATACACACAGACACACATATATACACACACATACACTCGCTCAATGCATATATATATGATATATATATATATATACACATACATATATGATGCTGTATATAAAGACAGGATCAGTCACAGCACTGTGCCGAGCCATATTAGAGCCCGATGCATACGGAAACATCACCAACACTGATCCTTTCTTTATCTGAAATTTTAATATTTTCTTCATCATGGATTTTTGGCATTCATTTTTATTTTTTAATTAAATCATAGATATTATAATTGTTTTGACTACTGAGTTTTTTGGCGCCCAATTCGTACCCAAGGTGAGCGCCTCCCTTGCCTCACCCTGGAAGCTGCCCAGAAATATTAACCTGGGGAAGGAGAGAAGCAGTTCACAGTGGAGGGCCGAGCAGATGCGACCAAGAGGCAGAAATCTGTGGATTATTCCTGTGGCTGCGACCTGCCCATTTGTGCCCACCAGTACAGATGGACCACATTTATAATGGAAACCATTTCAGAATGATTGGTATTTTGGAATAGAATTGATAAGTTACTTTGCAAGTTAGATTTGCTGTTTGGTGTTCCAGGGTATGGTTCTCTTTCCTGCCCTGTCCTGCCCACCCCCCACTATCTCCTCCTACCGGGTGCGCGCACACACACACACACACACGCACACACACACACAGGAAGTTTGTCAGCAGCTAATCTGAGCCCATCTACTGCTCTTTTGTCAGTAATGGCATATCTCCGTGTGGGGACACTGTGCTGCATACGAAATAGGGCCTGTCCGCCTCGCCGTGCACACTCGCTCTTCGGGAGGCTGAGGCTGGTGCTGACAGACAAAGGCTAATTGGCAGGATCCAGCAGTCAGTTTCTGATGACACAGGAGAAATAATAAAAGACAGGGACGGGAACAAAGAAAGTTTAGAGGGAATAATAAAGGAAATATCTATACCATGAGCATTTGCAGACGAGAAGAGAGGGCAATTTGAAATTGAGGGTGGGGGGGAATGTGGTCTCCGTAAACAAGAAAGAATAAGAAACAAAGACGTCGAAATGCTTTCCTTGATAGATCGTGTTTAAATAGATCAATAAGCAGACAGATACATAAATGGACAGAAACACAGATGAAATAGATAATTTGGCATTTTATTCTCAGAGCCTACCATTTGGGGGAATTCAGTGACAGACACACACTCGCATACACAAGTTAAATTTAGTAATACACAGGGAGTTCAAATTAGAAAGTCAAATAGTCCAGCAAATGATGTAACTTAAGGAAATGGCTACAATATCTGTTTATATCCCCATGTATGCCCTAGAGTGTTCAGGAATTTTTATCTTCTCATTTGTTACTTCGCCCATTATTAAATTCTATAAAATGAAGGGGGGAAAAATATCTAGAAGGGAAAGGGGGAAAAACTGAATACAAATAACTGCATTCCTCGTAGAGGTCACACGTTGTCTTTAGGGAAACTAAGCAGTTGATCACATTCTTACAGGAAAACTAATTTAGGGCTTCTGTTTAAATTAATATAATTAAAAATTCCTCTTTTAAAATGCATACATTTTACATTTTTGTCAGGCTTGGTTTTATTGTATTAAACTGTGTGTGTGTTCTCACGGAGAGAGCATGTGCTTCTTTAGCAGGAAAATGATCAATTTTTGGCTGCTTTTGTTTCAGAGAATTTTACTGTCTAAGGAAATGACCTAGTTTACGGTTTCTCTGCATTCAGGGCATGTTATGCTACTGTGCACACAGAGACAAAAAAATAGCGACAATGGAAAATATCCTTTGGATTATTTTTTTCAGCCCAGTTTGATGTATGGAAAGTACTCCAGAGTTCTTACACCAAAATCTAACTTAGTTCAACATCTATTTTTGCCTGTCTACTGTGGACAGGCCATAGTTCACACCCTAGAGGAAGTTATGAGATAAAGCAGAGATTACAAACTGGTGACCTGGGGGCCAAGTTGGCCTACAGGCATGTTTTATTTTATATTGTATATTTTATATTGTAGCACAGACACTCACATTGCAGCATTCTAGAGTGTATTGAATTTATTTTTTATTTAGTTGCCAACATCTACAAATTAGGAGATTTCATTAAAAAGTTCAGGTTTCTAGCTTCTTAAAAATCCATGACAACATCAGATCTTCATTCTCATACGACAATTGGCCTAAGTAGTGGCCGCCCCCTAAGACAGGGCAAGCTCACTCTGGTTCTCCCCAGTCCCCACCACTTCCTATTGTTCTCTTGCATAGACCTAAGTCTCACTTACCATTTATCATTCTGCTTACACTATTGTCTTCCTTAGAGTAGATTTAAGAAACCTACATAATATTCTCTGTACCCATATATCTATTAAAAGTGGAAAAATTAAAGACAAACCAAGCAATCCGTGTGTTTTAAGAAAACATTTTCTCAATTTCAGCTTACTTGATTCACTTATCTAATAGGTCCCTATAAAAATAACAGCTAATATTTATGCAACCATCACTATGTGTCAGGCAATTTTCTAAGCATGTTATATACTTAAATTCATTTTAGCCATACAACCACTTTATGTGGTTGGTATTATTATGATCCAGTCTCACAGATAAGAAAACTGAGGCTCAAAGAGGTTAAGTGACATGTTCATGATCCATTGCTAGCATGTGGTAGGACCGTGTAGGCACTGAAATATTTTCTGCTTGATATAAAGTGTGTATGACACAGCATGTGATAAAAATAGCTAGCATGCATTACCTGCCTAGTATATTCCAGGCACTAGAACAGGCTCAGAAAATATAAATCGATATAAAGAGAAACTTTCACTGGGTTACAAAAAGGCTACAAAAAAGATGCTTCAAAAGTTGGAAAGAGGAAACTATTACGTCAAGTGCTCAGAGGAAGCTTAGATATTTTCATCCAGGAAGTGGAAGTTGAAATTGACCTTGAAGGTTGAAGCTGAGAAGGAATAAAATACACAGAGATGTAGCTTGGAATGCAAGGGTCTTTAGTTGGAGAGAGTGGGAAAAATGAAAGATTATAAATGGGAAAATACAGAACACATCCCAGGAAGAACGAGGACAAAAGACAAATAGATATGGATCATGTTTCTTCATGTTTCTTGAAGTGCCAGCAATGATGATGCATTCTAAGGGAGATAGGGATGGACAAATCTTGGACACTGCCCTAAAATAGTTTATATTGTGGTAAAGAAGAATAAAATATTTGTATGCATTTATGATTCAAGGGGGAAAGTGAAAAGTGGCCTAGCTAAGACACCCTGTTATCCCACTGCCTGATGAACACCTCAGGCCCTGCAACCCCAACTTGCAGAAATATGAACCCATCATCTTCCACCACACCTGCTCTTCCCAGTTCAATGAAGGATGCCATTTTCCTAGGACCATGACTCAGATAATTGGGTATTATTCTTCTCTTCTCCCCTTTCTCCATCCCCAAGATTCTAGTCAACAGGCCCTGCCAATCCCACTTCTTAAAGGTCTCTGAAATATCAAACTGAGCTCAGTGGCACATGCTTGTAATCCCAGCTACTTGAGAGGCTGATGGGAGAGGATCACTTGAGCCCTGGAGCTCAAGACCAGCCTGGACAACATAGTGAGACCCCATCTCATTTAAAAAATAATAATAAAGTCTCTGAAATCCATCTCTTCTCTTCTTGCCTTCTGCCACCACCTTGGTCCAGGCTGCCATTTTTTCTTGACTAGGCTATTTCAACAGCCTTCTCACTGGAATGCCATCCTTTCTACCATCTTGCCTTTTTCCCTAAGCTTCCTGTATGTATTTTAATTTACCTGTGGCACATTGTTCCCTGCTGGAGTCCACTTGAATAGTCATATTATGAATGAGGGCAAAGTGGCAAGTTGTCAATGTAAAAATCTATTTAACATGAAGATAACAATGTGCTGCTAATTATCTCTATAGTTAGCATTATAATGGTTAAGAACATGAGTTCTTGGAGTCTAACAGGATGGAGTTCAAAGCCCAGCACAGCCCACCTACTAATGGTATGCAATCTTGGGCAGATGAACCTCTCAGATTTGCTTTTTGTAAAATGGGGTTAATAATAATATCAAACTTCCAGATAGTTGTAAAGATTGAATTAAATAATCATTATGCTGAGAGCTTGGCACATAGTAAGTGCTCGAGAACTGTATTGTTTTCTCATAAAGGCTATTATTATTCGGTAGTAAAGAATGGTGATGGTTTAATAAACCAGGTCAGTGCGTCACTGCTCCATGCCAGCATATAATCAAGAATTCCAGCATATCTGGAAGTCCTCAGGGCCTTGGAAACTGTGAAGCTAAGCAGTGTGGTTTGCCTCAATTAAGAGCAGAGAAATGGTTTCTTCTCTGTGTTGTGATTTTAAGTAATATCAATGTTTCCTAAAACTTATTAGTGTAGGTCTAGGTGAAACAAAAATAAGATACCACACTGGGAAATTAATTTTAAACAAATTACATGTAAAATGCAAGGATTTGTAATATTGTTTCTAAGGCAGTCTAATCTTCATATCATATATTTTGCTTTATGAAGCTCCCAGTTTTAATCATATTGTTTTTTATTTATTATTCCATATAATAATTGGCTTATTTGTAATATTAATATGCATGAATTTTTTTAGCCTGCTTCTTCAGGAAAGCATTCAGCCTGATGTTTATAATATGTTGATTTTAATATGCAATAGATGTGTTTATATGCAGATTAAATTGGATTGCATTTATACTAAACAAGAAAACCAAAATGTAGAGAGGTGCTGAGACCTGAGTAACTCTCATGAAAGTATAAGAACCCATGACAATTTTCAGCTCATTCCCTCCTAATAGCATAGCAGTAGATCAAACCTTAGCCTGTCTCCGTCAATATGATGCTGTACATATTTTTAGAAAAATGGAGAGGTATTTGACTCTAGAACGCTCCTATAGCAGTGGTTCTCAATGGGGAAGAGAAGGGGATTTGGGCTCCCAGTGGACATTAGGCAATGTCTGAAGATATTTTTGATTGTCATAACTAATGAGGTGGGTGGGAGAGGATGTTACCAGCATTGAATTGGTTGTTAAACACCCTACCATGCCCAGAACAGCTTTCAAACCAAAGAATTCTCCATCCCAAAGTGTCCATAGTTCTGAGGTGGAAAAACTCTGTCCTAGATGAGGAAAGGTGTTTTTTAAAAAGTAACTGAAAGCCTTTAAGCTCTATAAGTTGGGGCTGCAGGTTTTCAAACATTTTCTACAACTCAATCTTCACTAAATAAAAGTAAAAACAGGTATTCGCTGTTTAAAAGCAAATAATATATATTCAACACATATTTACTGAGTTTCCATTGTATGTCAGAGACTATTCTAGGCAAAGTCTTCCAGGGGTGACATCAATGGATAGACAGATGATAGACAGATAGATAGATAGATAGATAGATAGATAGATAGATAGATAGGCAGACAATAAGTAGACATGATATAATGTAGTGGGTAAGTGCTATAGAGAAACATAAAGTAAGTTCAGGAGATGGGAATTTTCAGAAGTTCTTTCTGAAATTATGACATTTGAGCAAACCTAATTGATGTGGAGAAGGGACCCATGCAGATACCTGGGAACAGTGCACCTGGCAGAGAGAACGTCAAATGCACACATTGTGAACTGGAAACGTGCTTGGTGTGATCAAGGAGGAGCAAAGAGACCACCATGAACAAGAGGGAGCATGAAGGAAACAAGGTTAGGCAGAGAGAGGGGCTGGGTCGTGCAGGGCCCTGTAAGCCCTGATAAGGACTTTGGATGTTATGTTAAGTGTGACATCTTTACAGGTGTATATATTTATTGGGATTTTTCTGATTCCAAAGTAATACACGCTCACTGTTTTTAAAAAATAGTAAATATTGCAGATATAATACTTGAAAACACACCAAACACCAATATTAACAATTTGCCGTATATTCCTCCAGTTTTTCCATGCATATACTAAGACCACCATATGTACTATTAAATCATTCGTCCATTCACTTATTACAAATAAATGTGCACATATACAATGCTTTTTGGCAACTTTCTTTTCTCCCAATTATTTCTTTAGCCCAAATGGTTTGGTTTTGTTTTTCTTTATTCAACTTCTCCAGTGACTGGCTTGGAGGGGAGGGGGATGAGGACATTTAAATGCGTGTTATTTAACTCTTTCTTCTCCTTCCCATATCTAGCAGAAAAGTAATCGTGAGAAAAAGTAGACAGGAAAATCAGACCAACTTATAACACAAGTGTTGGAATTAGGCAGAGCTCTATATTTTTAAAGAGCTTATTTTATTTCCTTCACTAATGCATTGTAATTTTTCTCTGTGGATATCTTACACATCTTTTGTTAGTTTTTCCCCCAGGTGTAGGTTTGTTTTTGTTTTTGAGAAGGTTGTTTTTGTATTTTGAGACAGGGTCTCGCTCTGTCGTCCAGGCTGGAGTGGAGTGGCACAATCTCGCTCACTGCAACCTCCGCCTCCTGGGTTCAAGTGATTCTCGTGCCTCAGCTTCCCAAGTAGCTGGGATTACAGGCATACGCCACCATGCTACACCTTTCTAGAACATACCACTTCTCCGTCTAAAACCTTCCAAAGGCTCCCCTTGGATGCTGGACAAAGGCCAAGCCCTTCTCCATTACAGACCCTCCCAACCATGCCTGCTAAAGCTGCAGCCACTGGGTACCTGCAGACACTTTCTTTTAGGTGCCCTATTTCTTCCATGAAGAACATCCTTTTTCTTTACTTTGCCTCAGAGACAGACTAATGCTTCAGTACCAGGTAAAATAACCCCTCTTAGAAAAACCTTCCATAGCCCTTTACTCAAGGTCTGTGGCAGGAATCGATCTTGAACTATTATTCTGCATTACTTCAGTTCAGTTTACTCACCTGCAGTTCTCTTACTGGCATTCCAAGGAACGTTTTCTCCCAAACCGAACCAAAGTCTCAGAGAAGCCACAGGACTATGAGACAAAAAGATTTGGAAACTGCCAGAGAGAATTAACTACCAATGGGCTTTTGTGTGCAGAACCACAGAGCAGAAGGAAAGAGATCTTGTACCAGTACGTTCCTGTGTACATACTGCAATCCAACAATCCTAGATGTCTGTAAACTCTCTGAACATAGCATGGGGGACTTGGATGTCTCAAGTCGGAAAAGAGATGTCAAGAGAAATCTTTGGCCTTTGAGCAAGACATAATAGAAGAAAAATAGAAAGTTTCCTTAAGTGAGGTTTCCAACAAGAGGGGAATCTCCAAAGGACCCATGACAATGCCCAGAGGAGAGAAAAGTCAGCCTAAACATCCCCCAGGTCCAGAGACTGTGCAGCCATTCCACAAAGGTAGCAGTAAAGTGTAGACTTTCTGGCTTCCCAGCCTCTCCTCTATCCCCTTTCTCTGAACACTGAAAGGTCAGAAACCCCTTTTAGCAAGCTTGTAGACTCAGAGTGAGGAAAGAAAGAAGGTGACTATTTACTGGATGTAGGCTTCCCTGGAGAGCACATCTATGGGAAGGAGAAGATTTAATTTTAAGTCAAGTTCAGAGGTTGGCTTATTATATGGTGCAAAACATTCTAATTTCTGAACTAAGACTGTGTTTAGTAGCTTAAAGTGACTGCAGAAATTTCTATTAAAATGAGTGATCAAAAAAGTCATGCAGGGGCAGGAAAAAAGCCTTCCCAGTTTAATAAAGTTTTAAGTGATAGTGGAAGACAAAATGAAATTGCTTTATGTTTACACCCCATTATTTCTACTTGTTTAATGTTCTATATACAGAAAACTGCTACTTAACATAATGCCTAACATATGTTAAATTCTCAGTAAATGTCCCTGAAAGAATGAAAAAATGCTGGAAAATTACCATTTGAAGATAAAAGAGTGAGAACAAGAGGACAAAATCCCATAGGTAATTTCTAGCACACTTACATTTAAAATGACGTGAAAATTATCATTCTGTTTATTCCTAGAGACTTGAAAATTCTTCTCTGGTACCCATTCCTATGTATTAAATCAGTGAACAAATGAATTTGCCTACCCCCAGAGTCTCAGAAGCTCAAGTTTTGAGCTGATTAGTCTACCAAAACATAAACCTCCAGAAAATAGGGACCTTGTATATATAAATACCCCCAAATGGCCAAACCGTTTGTTAAAATGTTTACCCAAATTGTATCCAGACCCATCATTGAGAATTTCCTCTATCTCTTCTTTAGGATTTTGTCTATAGAAAATAGAGGGAAAAAAGAGATATTTTAGGCAGAGAAAAATAACTATATGTGCTGAGAGATGTGGAAACAAGGAGATATTCAGGACCCGTTGGTGGGTTTGATTCAGCTGGAAGCTAGGCTGTATGGGGAGGAAGAGGTATACATGGCAAGAGGTGAGGTCAAAATAATAGACTGAAGCTATTCCAAGCAGTTTGGAATCCATTCCGCCAGGAAAGTACCTTAGGATGAATAGCCTACCCTATGGGAAATGGGCGTTTTGTCCTGGCATTTTCCCCACCTCCTCCTCACTTTTAATTAAGTGGAAAGATCTGCATATGGTAACTAAGGACAGAACACAAACTGTCCCCCAGTCTTTTTTAGCTAATTTTTTACAAAATCCTGTGATTTATAAATGTGCTTTTAAAAAAAAGTGAGAGAGAGGCAGTTTGCAAACAAAACCAAAGTATATTGGAGAAAATATGTAGGAAAAGGGGTTTCCCTATGTATTAGTCCATTTTCACACTGCTATAAAGAAATACCCAAGACTGGGTAATTTATAAACGAAAGAGGTTTAATTGACCCACAGTTCCTCATGGCTGGGGAGGCCACAGGAAACTTACAATCATGGCGGAAGGGGAAGCAGGCACGTCGCACATTGCGACAGGCAAGAAGTGAAGTGCAAGCACAGGAAAACTGCCACCTTTAAAACCATCAGATATCATGAGACTCACTAACTATCATGAGAACAGCATGGGGAAAACATCCTCATAATCTAGTCACCTCCCACCAGGTTCCTCCCTTGACACATGGGGATTACAAATGAAGATGAGATTTAGGTGGGGACACAGAGTCAAACCATATCACACAAGAATACAAGGAGAATCCTCCCAGGCTGGAGGAGAAGGCTTTAAGCAAAAGATTGAAGGAAGAGATCTATGGGCACAGAGAGGTAGGAGAGGTAGTAGACCCAGACTTCAATTCTCTGTCGGCTCTAGAAAGGCAACAAGCACCAGAAAAGGAATGACCATAGGGCAAGTCGAGGAAGGTGGGGCCATAAACAACTTCCCCCAAATCCCTTCATCCCAAACATGGCAGGGAGGTAGCAGAAAGCTGCTGTGCTTGTAGGTAAAATGGGGCAATGAACATTCCTGCAGGAAATCTATGTGGCCAAAGCCAGCAGATCAAGGGAGCCACCTCTTTTGCCTGGGCATAATGCAATGCCCCAAACACATGAAAAACCCAGGAAAGGCTGGGGCTTATAGTTGCCAACAACTGAAGCTAATTCTGATTAATTCCAGCAGGAAGAGCATTTATCAAGTGATTCTTTGTCACTCACAAAGCCCCCAGGAACTCCAAAGAGCCAGGTTTGGAGGTTTTGCAGTCAGAATACTGCACAAGATCGAGGTATAATACTGGTGCCATGACAATGCCCCCATGAACAGAGCTGGGCACAGATGCAGGAGTTTGGACCATATGTAGTGATGCCAACAGTGCTGGACACTAGACACTGGTGCCCAAACAACTTCTGCCCCTGCCACCACCATTGCTACTACCAGTCACCAGAATGCACTCCGTGCAATCCCTGTATTCTCCTATCTCAAGCTTTTAATGGCCATTTGGGACTTCCAGGGAGATCAGGAAAGCACATAACTGGGGTTTTCCTCTTCAGATGTGAGATGAGCTCAGCCTTACAAAGACAAGGTTTCCTCAGACATGGGAAGCAATTCAGATGCACTAACAAATGTCCACCTCATGAAGCAATTTCCAGAAAGAACTGAGCTGAATTCTTCTGCCAGCCCAGAACGATGGAAGCTCCAAGTTAGCGCTTAGATAGAGATATAGAAAATAAAATCTGATTGCACATCTTAGTTTACAGACTAAAATTTGTACTCACTTTTGTTTTTGTGTTTGTTATAATCAAACTGCTCAGCAGAGGGGTAAAGAACCCAGACTCTCTCGATTCCTGGTTCCACCACTTACTAGCTGGGTGACTTCTTGCTATTTAGTACCCTCTGCAATAATTCCCTGCACAAAAAAAAAGGGGGGTGGGGAATAATGATAGTAGCTACCTCATCACATTATTCTGAGGATGAATAAGCTCTACGGCAGATTGAATAAGGGCTCTAATTCTTCTCCATCACTGTATCTGCACTCTTTGGCATGTCTCATTGCAGTTTCACTCACTGTAGAGGCAGAACCTCAGCCGGCCACAATGGCTCATGCCTGTAATCCCAGCACTTGGCCCGTAATCCCAGCACTTGGCCCAGAAGCCAAGTTGGAAATATCGCTTAAGGCCAGAAGTTTGAGACCAGCCTGGGCAACGTAGCAGTTTCCACAAAAATTAAAAAATTAGCCGGGTGTGGTGGCATGCATCTGTAGTCTCAGCTATTTGGAAAGCTGAGGCGGGAGGATTGCTTGAGCCCAGGAGTTCGAGGCTGCAGTGAGCTATGACGGTGCCACTGCATTCTAGCATGGGTAACAGAGCAAGACCCTGTCTCAAAAAAAAAAAAAAAAAAAGAGAGGGAAGAAAAAAGAAATAGAGCTTCTTATATCACCTTGTGTCTTACTGGACAAAAGAATGTAATGAAAGTGATCGTGTGACAGTTCTGAGCCTAGGCTTCCAAGAAGCCTTGTATGGTCCTGCTTGGCCTACTACCACTGTCCTGAGACCATGCCCAGACTGACCTGCCAAAGGACACGAGCCAGGTGGAGCTGAGTCGAGTCACCCCATCACCCAGTGGCCCCTGCTGACAGCCTGCTGACCCCCAGATATGTGAGCAACCCAGACAAGCTCAGCAGGGCCGCTTAGATGACCAACCCTGAGCAAAATCAAGAAATGTCTATGTTGCATGTCACTGAGCTTTTGTAGCTGTTATTTTATGCAGCAATAGCTAAATGTTACAGAACTGTATTAAAGTTTTTAAATACAAACAAAAAAAACTAAGCACATCATAAGAATCCTATAAATGCTAACAAGCATACAAAAAAGAAGGTATCATATAAAACACTAGCAGCTATGTAATTTAACATGGCAAGCATAGAAAATTATCAATGAGATTTGTCACTCAAGGGCACTGTCCAGATAGATATTCTTAATATCAGGTAGAAAAGGCCGACTTTCTCCCTAAAACACAGATCTGAGTGAAGGTAAAAAAATAAAAATCTTGCACACCCTAGCTGTCTAGATTTGATATCTAGTAGAAGCGTATTTGGCCTTGCTGACTCAACAACTAAGTTACATGTGATAAAATAGACCACTGCAGGTCAAAGTCCTATTTAAGCCCTAGATCAATGGTTTAACTCTTATGTCAGGACAGGTAGACACTGCTATGTGATGGAAATGTTGTTTGGAAAAAAATTATTTTTAGTGGTAAAAACTGAGACAGCCACATCTGTTTTCACTGGTTTAATGTCCAACCAACTGTTCCTCAAAAGGTAAAGTCTGGATGTGTGCAAGTGTATTGTGGGGCATGTCGATTATTTTTATTCTCTATTATTGCATGTTTCTTCTAGCCCCGGTTCTCTCTCTTACAATTTTAAGTTTTTTAAAAATTCACTTTGGTAATCACAAAATAGTTCTACTTTGTAAATCTACTGAGATGATCAAAAAATCTGTTTCCTATACTTCCACAGTAGGTGGTATATAATGAATTCAAAACTTCAGTAAATAGAGCTCCATGGGCCTACTTTTTTCTCCTGACTCCTATGATTATCATAATTTGATTTTATAGTTTTCTGTCCTAAGCTACCAGCTAGGGAGTAATCTTTACTGAGTCATGAACTTTCCCATCATTAACTGTCTGCACCTATTTTGAACATATCAGAAGTGTCCAAAAACTACATTTTATCTGCCTTGAATAAAGTCGAGTTGAGACACTGGGGAGCACACATATAATAAAGTTTCCTCTGTGCTTTTACAAAATCCTTGTGGTTTCCAGCTCCAGCATTATCTGTGACTCCCTTTCCAGGAGCAGAGAGATTGCATAACACGTCTTCCATAGAGACCAGGACATATGTTTACAAGGAAAGAAATCTGAGTAATTTCCCACTGGTCCAAAGGGAATATTAAACTCTTCTGTCATTCTGTACTATATTATTTATGGTCCCTTTTTTGTTGGGTTTTTTTTTTTTTCATTTGTGAGTTCAACTCCATGTCCTGATAGAAGGTGATAAAATGCTCAATATGTTAAAAAATTTTATCACTAAATCAGGAGCAAAACTATAAATTTTGGCCTTTGAAATCAAAGTGACTGGTAAGGATCACTTTGCTCCTGAAATATTACAGTAGTGATCAATTTGCTGTAAAACTAAGCAGTTTAGCTCAGCAATCTATAGTTGGAAAGCAAGTTGTTCAAGAGGAAAGTTTATGCCCAGCCCAAGAGATAAATTAAATTTTATGGGGAAAATATGCATTATTACATCCTTATCTGTTTAACATATTATTGTTTTCCACATCAGTATAATAAATATCTTTAATCACATATTTTATCTCACATACATATAGTGATGTAGTAATTTTATTCTTCCTGTATTGGTCCAAACATATTCAATTAATAATAGAATAGAGAAGAGCCTTCAGATCTTTAAAAAAGAAAAATTCTGATTTGCTTAGCAAATATACATGCCCCATGAAATGGGGTTGGCTGGCAATAGAAGAATAATTCAAATAATATTTCCTAAAGGGTAAGTATCAACTGATCTAATTTATCCTTTTTCCCAAATTTAAACTCCCCTTCTTACACAGCAGCTTTCCACTAGAAAGGCTTTGGCTTAACTTGATTCCATTCATAAGGGGTAATTTCACTTTGAAGATTTTGCCTCAAAGTATCTATTGGTTGTAAAAAATCAAACATAGAAGATACAAATTCAGGGCTTGTGCATATATAAGTAATCAATCATAAGAGCTAACATTAATTGAATCTCAGCACTTGTCAGGCTGATTTACATCATTCTGTGTAATTTCCACAAAAATCCTATGGGCTAGGAATGTTGCTATTTCTATTTCATAGATAAAGAAACTGGGCTTCAAGAAACTAGCTAAGCAATGACTGGAGGATAAGAAGGGAACCATGTAGGAATCCATTGTTACAAACCCCTTTAAGAGAGGATGGCAGCTTGAAGTAAGATGGGGGCAAGGTATCAATGGAGGTAAAGACCAGCGGATGAAATCCAGAAATATTTGAAGGAAGAAATCAACAGGGCTAGATGGTTAGGTGGCTGTTGCCATTTCCAGAGAAATGCATTTTCAAATGTTTGCCAGAACCATTCGATGCATTTGTAAGAATAATATAAGGCAGAAAAACCAAAGCATGTTTCTACATTGTTTCTTCATCCCATCTATTTTGCCTGCAAATGAGTATACAAAGACTTTATTGCTCACAACACAACATGCAGTATGAGCTTCATGTTTATTTCTATTCCCCTTGTGCCCTCAAGTCTCATGGCAGCAACGGAGAGATGCTGCATGTTGTACAGTGAGTAATAAAGTCTTTTGTTTCTGACCCACAAGTCTCATGTCTGCTGCCAGCATCTACAAAATTGTAGTGGGAAGGAGCTGGGCGTGGTGGTTTATGCCTATAATCCCAGTACTTTGGGAGGCTAAGGTGAGCAGATCACCTTAGGCCACCTCCTCACCTTGAGGCCAGGAGTTTGAGACCAGCCTGGCCAATATGACAAAACCTTATCTCAACTAAAAATACAAAAAAAAGTTAGCCGGACATGGTAGTGGGCCCTTGTAGTCCCATCTGCTTGGGCAGGTGGGGAGGGGGCACTGAGACAGGAGAATCGCTTGAACCCGTGAGGCGGAGGTTGCAGTGAGCCAAGATCACGTCACTACATTCCAGCCTGAGAGACAGAGCGAGACTCCATCTCAAAAAAAAAAAAAAAAAAAAAATGTAGTGGGGTAACTGTTAGCTTGCAAGCAAGGTAAAAATCTCAGACCCTCCACGCTTCTTGACAACAGCATTGTCCATTGTCTAGTGATCTTTTAAATTATTTTTTAAATCTTATTATTATTAAATTAACTAATACTTCTTCTTCCTCTCCAAAAAATCTAAAACAGCCTATTAATTTATATTGTTCAAATTCCACCATTTTGGATTTCTACTTTTTTTCCTCATTTTTCAGCTGGTATAATTACACAGCAAACCAATATTATCATAACCCAGAAATATGAATTGCCACATCTATTTACATTTGCAGGCCAGGCGTGGTGGCTCATGCCTGTAATCCCAGCACTTTGGGAGGCCAAAGTGGGTGGATCACTTGAGAGCCACCAGCCTGGCTAACATTGTAAAACCCCATCTCTACTAAAAATACAAAAATTAGCCGGGTGTGGTGGTGGATGCCTGTAATCCCAGCTACTCAGGAGGGTGAGGCAGGAGAATCGCTTGAACCTGGGAGGCGGAGGTTGCAGCGAGCTGAGATTGCACCACCGCACTCCAGCCTCGGCAACAAAGCGAGACTCCATCTCAAAAAAATAATAATAATAAAAATATTTACATTTATAAATGTCTTAACAACATTCTAAATAAGTTGCTCCATATAAACAAACTAGCATAAGCACTCCAGTCATCAACAAATATTAACTGAGAACCTACTGTGTGCCTTTTACTGCACATGTGGTAGTGAAAAAGAAAGATACAATCCCTGCCCTCTGAGAGGTAAGCCTGTAAACAGGAATACAAATAATTGAGCAAGCAATTACAACACAAGATTATCATGTTAAATGGTAGCTGCCATCAAGGGGAAGGTAACCTGTGAGCTGATATTTCATGTCACTCGTACATAAAAGTTGACCAGAAAAGGGTGAAAAGGGTTATGGACTCAGAGTCTGAAAATAGTTTATGCCGAGTCCTACAGGTGAGCAACACCTCGATGCATTTATAAAGTATGAGTCGAAAGAGGAGAGAGATGAGGGGGAAAACAGGCAAGAAACAGGCAACACAGGTTTTTTTAACATGTTATAAGGATTCAGGTTCAGATTTTACCCTGCAGGCAAAAAGAATGCAATACAGGGTCTTATGCAAAGAAGTGTACTTTAGAAAATAAAATATTTACATTTTAGAAAATAGAAATCATACTGGCTGCTGAATTGAGAACCCATCAGAGGAAAAGACTGGCATGGACTCTCAACCACAACACTATTGATATTTTGGGCAGGATAATTCCTCCCTGAGCGGGAGGATGATCCAGTACATTGTAGGGTTTCATCAGCATTCCTAACCTGTACCCATGGATGGATGCCCTTTGCATACTCTTGATTATGGTACAAAACAATATATCCTGGGGAGCAAAACTGGCTCCCACTGAGAAGCACTGGAGGAAAGAAAGCCAGGTTGGGGAGCCGTAAACCTGAGAGAGATAAAGGCAGACTTAACTGCAGAAATGGAGGAAAGGAGATGGATTTGAGAAAAATGGAGAAACAGCCTTGAAGTTTCTTACTGGTCTGTTTGCACGTCCCTGAGAAGGGTCTGCTGGAATGACCCACCACTCAACTGTGTACAGAAACGACTTTTACCGCATACTTCTGCCTCTTATTCTGAGCAAAACCTACTATTGTGCTTGTCTGTCTCAACCCTGCTACGTCGTATACATTCATACATATGTATGCATACGTTAAGTTTTTGCAAGCATAATTTAGACTTTTCAAAACAGTGACACAGTAACAAAGAAAAATTGAGACATGCATGCATTTTGAATATTGATTCCAGTTTCTCACATACTACCCCTGACATTTTTCATGCTGCTTTGTTTTTATTCATTTGTTTTCTCTGCTTTTCCATGTCTTGCCCAACTTTAAAGAAATCTGCAACTAACAGGCAATTAGGCCCACCCATTACCTATAGAATGCAAACACTCTCCCATGCCAACGCCCCAGAAAAATCTGCTGGTTACTGAATAAGGGATTTTATAGGCTCGGGAACAACTGAGATAACAATATTTTCATAAAATTTATTTTAGTAGAAATGGCTATTATATTTGCAAGAGGTGAACTCTGTGCTAGGAACTTTGCAAATATTACCTCGTATATTCAATCTTCACAAGAACTATACAGGAGCAGTGATTTATCCCCATTTTACATCTGCAAAATCTGAGACTCACAGAGGTTAGTAAAGGGACCACTAATCAGTTACAAAGCTGGAAGAGAAAAGCAGTGGAGCAGGGCTGAGCAAACTGTTTCTGCAAAAGGCCAGATAGGAAATATTTTTGGCTTTGCAGGCCATTTGATCTCTGTCTCAGCTACTCAATTCTGCAGCTGCAGCACAAAGACAGCCATTGAAGTATGTAAACAAATGGACATGGCTATCTTCCCATTAAACTTTATTTATGGATGCTGACATTTTAATTTCATATATTTTCACATGAATATCATTCTTCTTTTGATTTTTTTGACCATTTGAAACTATACAAACTATTTCTAACTCACAGGCAGACAGAAACAGGCAGCAAACCAAACTTTGCCCTCTGGCCGTAGTTTGCAAAGGTTCTGGTGGAGTGCGGATAAGACCATGGACCCTAGCAGCTGACTCCCTGGGGTTGAATTCCTGCTCTCCCACATCATAAATTTATAAACTTGGTGAGTTGCTTAGCCAACGTCTCTGTGCTTCAGCATCTCAGGGTGGCTTCCCTAGAAACAGACCCTGAGATAGGTTTTGAGGGCAAGTAATTGATTTGGAACGTGATGTCAAGAAGCTCTGGTAGAGAGTATGACAAAGGAGGCAGGGAGGCCACGACCAGTCATGTTAATGATCAGGTTCCTACTGGAGGCAAGTGAAGACTTGTTAGGGTCCCCTGAAAGACTGCATGGGCCATGTGCCAGTATCAGCCTGCCTAGCAAGAAAGCTGGGGTACTGATCATCTGACTCTGGTCTATCACTGGTTGAGGGCTCCTCCTGGAGCATTAACGCACCCCAAGCTTGTCCGTCACCCGTCTGTGAACACAGCATTCCATGGAGCAGAGTCCCAGGGGACCTACAATGCAAAGTCTTTGGTGTATCAGGAAGCCGTGAAGCTTAGGCATGGAATGGGGAAATGAAGGTCAGCACTGTTTCTTCACCTACAAAAATAGGCATAATCACAACAGCTACCAGTTGGGCACAGTGGCTCACGCCTGTCATCCTATCACTTTGGGAGACCGAAGCAAGAGGAACGCTTGAGGCCAGGAGTTCGAGACCAGCCTGGGCAACATAGCAGGACTCCATCTCTACAAAAAAGAAGTT
The DNA here is from genome assembly GCF_000001405.40 of Homo sapiens. Lineage (NCBI taxonomy): Eukaryota > Metazoa > Chordata > Mammalia > Primates > Hominidae > Homo > Homo sapiens. Next base: position 52,274,637 of record NC_000020.11, on the reverse strand, counting down.
AGCCAGATGCAGTGGCACATGCCTGTAGTTTTAGCTACTTGGGAGGCTGAGGCAGTACGATCCCTTGAGCCCAGGAGATTGAGGCTGCAGTGAGCTGTGATCACACCACTGCACTCCAGCATGAGAGACAGAGCAAGACCCTGTCTCAAAAAAAAAAAAAATAGATAAAAAATAATGGCTACCTCTGTGTACGTGGAAAGATAGGAGGAAAGAACCTGTAAAGTGCTTTAGAGCTGGGATCAGGTGAGGAGGGCAAGCCACTCGCCCTGAGCACAGAATTTCACAAGATGCAAAAAAAACTTAGTAATCAACATAAATCATATTTTCATGTGATTTTTTTTTATTTATTTTTGTTTGTTTGTTTTTCTGAGACACAGTTTCACTCTTGTTGCCCAGGCTGGGGTGCAATGGCACGATCTCGGCTCACTGCAAACTCCACCTCTCAGGTTCAAGCAATTCTCATGTCTCAGCCTCCTGAGTAGCTGGGATTACAGGCTCCCGCCACCATGCCCCCGCCAATTTTTGTATTTTTAGTAGAGACGGGGTTCACAATGTTGACCAGGCTGGTCTCTAACTCCTGACCTCAGGCGATCCACCCACCTCAGGCTCCCAAAGTGCTGGGATTACAGGCGGGAGCCACTGTGCAGGCCTGTGATATTTTTTAAAATCAAAATGAGGGCTGGGTATGGTGGCTCATGCCTGTAATCCCAGCACTTTGGGAGGCCGAGGCAGGCGGATCACTTGAGATCAGGAGTTCAAGACCAGCCTGGCTAACATAGTGAAACCCCGTCTCTACCCAAAATACAAAAATTAGCCAGATGTGGTGGCGGACACCGATAATCCCAGCTACTGGGGAGGCCGAGACAGGAGAAACGCTTTAACCTGGGAGGTAGAGGTTGCCGTGAGCAGAGATCATGCTGCCGCACTCCAGCCTGGGCAACAGAGCAAGACTCCATCTCAAAAGTAAAGTAAAGAAAAAAGTAAAGTAAAGTGTAAAGTAAAGTAAAAAGTAAAGTAAAAAAGTAAAAAGTAAAGTAAACTAAAATAAAAATAAAATAAAATAAAATAAAATGAATACCAAAAAATCCATTATAAACAAAGATCAAAATTTTAAATAAAAACAGGATCAGTTACAGTGCTGTACAGATCCATCTTAGCACCTGAAGCAAAGGAGGAATGGTGCATCCCTACAAGGATATAAGTTTATGATGCCCTTCGCAGTCATTTTTCAGAATCAGGTTTTTCAGACCATTATGTTGTACACCTTAATTATATACAGTAAAAATAAATAGATAAAGAAATGAAAATATCATGGATGATTTTGTTCCCCTTAAAGCCAAAAGAGTGACATTATAATAGATTCTATTTGAAGTAAAAAAATATTAACTTAATGTGAGTTTTAACATACCTACTTTTCAGTTTTTCAGTATTGTTTTCAATTTCTTTAATGTTCTGGGAAAACACTGACCAATAAAAAATATACACAAGCATACACAGAGAAGGATAAACATTTTGCCTTTTGCCTCCAATTCTTTGTTTTTTAAATAAAATTTCAACTTTTATTTTAGATTCCGGGGGTAGGTATACAGGTTTATTACTTGGTTATATTGCATGATGCTAAGGTTTCAGGTGCGAACAATCCCACCACTCAGGTAGTGAGCATAGTACCCAATAGATAGGTTTTTTTTTTTTTTTGAAATGGAGTCTCGCTCTGTCGCCCAGGCTGGAGTGCAGTGGCACCATCTCTGCTCACTGCAAGCTCCACCTCCCAGGTTCACACCATTCTCCTGCCTCAGCCTCCCGAGTAGCTGGGACTATAGGCGCCCGCCACCATGCCTGGCTAATTTTTTTTTTTTTTTAGTAGAGACAGGGTTTCACCGTGTTAGCCAGGATGGTCTCAATCTCCTGACGTTGTGATCCGCCCGCCTCGGCCTCCCAAAGTGCTGGGATTACAGGCATGAGCCATCACACCCAGCCCCCAATAGGTAGGTTTTAGGGGTTTTTTGGTAGTTGATTTTTTTTTTTTTTTTTGAGACAGGATCTTGTTCTGTTGTCCAGGATAAAGTGTAGTGCTGTGATCCCAGCTCACTGTACCCTTGACCTCCCAGACTCAAGCCATCCTCCCACCTCAGCCTCTCTTGTCACTGAGATGACAGGTGTGCACTACCATACCCACCTGCCTTTTTTTTTTTTTAAGTAGAGACATGGTTTCACTATGTTGCCCAGACTGGTCTCAAAGCAATCAGCCCTCCTCAGCCTCCCAAAGTGCTGAGATTACAGGCATGAGCCCAGCACCCATCCCCTAGTAGGTAGTTTTTCAGCCCTTCCTCTCCTCTCCTCCCCCACAGTAACAGAACAGTGTCTACTGTTCCCATCTTTATGTCCATGAGTACTCAATGCTTAGCTCCCACCTGTAAGTGAGAACATGTGGTATTTGGTTTTCTGTTCTTGCATTAACTTGCTTAGGATATAATTTGTCCCCAGTTCTGAGAAGGCTCCTGTCTACTTAAAATTTTGGTATTTTGTTCATGATGAATTTTTGTGTTCATTTTAGTTTTTTAAATATTGCATGAAAACATGATTTATCTTGATTTTTCAGGTTTTTGTTGTTACCCTTCCCCTAAATTTTGTACCTGAAACAAGCGCTCCACTGGCCCTGCCCAAGTCCTGGCCCTAGATGGCTCATGCATGGCACAGCGACCAAGTGCTTAATAAACGATAGACAGCTCTGCTGCTCCTCTTCAAACCCAGATTGTCCGGCACTGCTCTGAGTATTCCTTCACAACTCCTGCCCTGCTCCCTGGGTCCATCAGAATAACCACATATTCACATCTTAACAGTCACCATATTAAATTGTCTTTTTTTTCTATCACGGCATGTGGGGAAAAATGCAGTCTTTTATTGAATATTTTTGAGGCATATGTGTTGATAACTACTCACATAACCTATTATGTAGGGGGAAAAGTTAGCAAAGCCAAGGCAATTATGGCTGGATAATTTGAAGGGCCCACTTTTTCTTGACAGCAAATTAATTGATGTTATAATGGGTATGCCACCCTGCCATCCATCAACATTTATTGAGTTCTGACAACGTGCTAGGTTACATGTGAAACAGAGCACGCATACACACACACACACACACACACACACACACACACACACACCCCAAAATCTCAACTTATTCCTTACCAAGCGTGATCCATTGATGATATAATTTGTAATGGATTTTTTTAATGTAAAAGGGAAATAATATTGCCGGTATGCCCTGTTTTCTGTTAGCCTCTTTTATTGAGTTCTGACAATGTGCTAGGTTACATGTGTAACAGAACACACACGCGCACACACCATACCCTAGAATCTCAACTTATTCCTTTCCATTAATGATATGATTTGTAATGGATTTTTGTAATGTAAAAGGGAAATAATATTGCCTGTATCCCTTGCTTCCTCTTGTCCTACGCCCATATTTACCTTAGCACAATGGCTCTGGTTGGCTTTGAGGATGAGTTGTCATCAACTTCTAAATGGAATAAAAAGAATTTTGTTTGTGGGAAGAAGTGGATTTGTGTGAAAGACGCATTTTAATGACTCTTGTTTATTAATGACCCAAGCTTTCTAGAACCACATTCAAGAATTAAAGCTGTTATCAGCTCCGCTGATTCAGTCTCGCAGCATTTCACTACATAAGCAGTGAAAAGAATCAGCAATTGCTGTCTAACCAACTAACCTCAGTGTGCTCTTTGGGCCTGTTAGCAGGGAGATGCTAAGGTCTGAAAAAGTAAATAAATAATAGTTTTGTTGAGAATGATCCTGGGGGAAAAAAAAGCCTATGAGTCAAAAGAAAAAAAAATCACCGAGTAATTAAGAAAGAAACTCCATTTCCAATTGCCAAATAAAACATTAAAGAATTGCAGGAAGCAAAACCAAACCAAAAAACAGCTATTTAATTTTTAGAGTTGCTGTTAGAAATTACAATGAAAGAACACTCTGGGGTAATGTATGACTTTGTCCCCAACAACACAGTACAGTTTATTTATTTATTTACTTATTTAGATGTATATTTGCTTTTGGCAACAACCTCCAGTATCAGCTCAAGACCTACAGCAGTGAAATTTCATCCTTAATCCCACATTTCCTTCATTCCAGCAGTTCTGGTTACAACCCAATGTTATTTTAACAGTTTTTCTTTAATTTAACAATATTTAATTTGCATTCGCTCAAGTGACATACAATAGATCATGCTATTACCATGATTTATACCAGATGAACTGGCATAAATTCAACATTATAAATTATGCCTGTAAATGAAACTATTATTTTACAGGAATTACTGTAGCAGAAAGGCTAAGGCCCCTCCAGTCAACCTTAGTCAAACCCACTCTTTAGAGTTTTATATTTTATGCCCGCAATAAATGCTTTTGTGAAAGCTCATAACCCACAAAAAAAGTCATTTGAAGTACATTAATTACGATAATACTATCCAAAAAGCTGCAAGGGCCTATTTTTGTGACATCATTCTCTGATTTCTTGCTGCCTTAAATTATCCCTTTGATGGCTGCGGAGATTAACAGTCATACTTTTGTCATTAAATATAAGGCATTTTAAAGCTTAATCCACCTAAGTTCTAATTGATATTGCTTTCGGTTGGCAGATAGCGACCTGATTTATAATTCAAATATGCAGCCTTATATGCATCTCTTCAGTATAATGAAAAAGCAAAGTTCCTCTCATCTCTCTCAGCAATGTTAACATCAAGGAAAAGTCACTTTCTTTTTTTCCTTTTACATCCAAAGCCTAATTGAAAACTGTTCATTGAATTTCAACGTGATAGAAAAGTCTTTTTATCTCTCAATTTGTCCATTAGCGATTATAATTGAAGTATCTGCTACACAGCTGAATTGATATTGTTCTTGTTTAAATTCTGAATTTCTCTAAATCTTTCAGAAGACATCAAAAAATATATGTCTATATATGCGCGCACACACACACACCCATATGTGGCTTAGACTGTATCAGCTAACAATATTGCTTAAACGGAGGATTAGTCTAACTCTCCACGTGGATAAAGCCACACAAAGAAGGAAGTCATCTAATTCTGCTGGAGAGCGTGTTGCATGATAATTTTACCAGCATGACCATAAGGTTTGCTAATTGCCACATCTGTTTAACAGCTGTCAGATGTTCCCCACATGCTGCCATCGATATTACAACAGAGTACATTACCGGGAGTTTTATTGTTTTCAACTCTTATTTATTTGTCATAGACATTACTACAGCTAATGACATCTATTTATGTTATACCACTAATTATTTTGTTTTTGTTTTTTTTAAACCTCTGTTTAATCCAGTTTTGCAGTTTGGATTGCACCTTTCTCTCCTGCCCCCACCTCTTAACCCCTGGCTTTGTGTCCCTGCCATGACAACGCCTTCGTGTAGATGACAATAATTACTTTTCATCTATAGTCATAAATATTTTAATAGATTTGTAGAATTTTTTTAAAAAAGAAGTTTTCAAAATGTCTTCATTCCTTAATGACACTGATGAATTCTTCCACTAAATCTCTAAGATGAGCCCATGTTACTAATGATAAATGCACAAATATATCACTGTTTAGGCTGTTTTTGTGGGGGCAGTTAGTCTTGCTGATTTTTTGTAATTACTTTTATATTGCACCTGGTTCCTCACTACGTTGCATTTTTTAAGCATAACAAACTTTGACATCTATTAAGTAGAAAGGAGAGACTGACAAACTGCAGACTGAGCGAAATACGCATGGCCTGATTTAAAATGAATTGATAGGTGTCACTGATCTCTATTATATATAGAATGTGTGAAATCCATATGATGTATTATTTATCCATAGTAGATGCCTTTTGTTTCATTAATAAACGTGTACATCAGAGATATACAGTACTGAGGGTTAGTTTGAGGCAGTACAAAACGACATGATATTTGCCTGCCATTGCTCAATTATTTTCCTCATTTTTTTCTGCATCTTTGCATGAATTATTAAGACCTGTGCTGTTTATTTAAAAATCTAATTTTAGTGCATGTGTCCAGCTGAATTCTGTTTTCTCCTCTAATGAAAGGAAAATGATGTGAGAATTTCCTATCTTAGCCTCAAATTTTAGATTTGCAATGCACAATGCAAGCTGTAAAGGTCACTCTGCTTTTGAACCACATAGCATAGACATTTGATGAGCCTAAAAATCCATTCTGGTTACTCATCACATCATGGCAACAAATTGAAGTAGAGCTGCTTGGTTAAGTCAAGCATAATTTGCATGTGCTTACAGAGAAATAGATTAAAGGAAGAAAGATCCAATGTGAGTAATTCTACAGGAACTATCTTATCCAAAACGAAGGTAGCTGATTGGACATAACTTCTGGAAGTAACAGTGAGTGACGATCCTTCAAATCATGATGTTCTAACACTGTCTATCTTAGTTATCATACTCAGACATCTCTCATTTTTATATCTAAGAATGCATATTCATTTGTAATTAAATTATGCTGTAACCTGCACAGAATTCTTTGAAAAGGCTTACTGGGCCAGGCGCAGCGGCTCACGCCTGTAATCCCAGCACTTTAGGAAGCCGAGGTGGGTAGATCACGAGGTCAGGAGTTCAAGACTACCCTGGCCAAGATGGTGAAACCCTGTCTCTACTAAAAATACAAAAATTAGCCAGGCGTGGTGGTGGGCGCCTGTAATCCCACCTGCTCAGAAGGCTGACACAGAGAAGTGCTTGAACCCAGGAGGTGAAGGTTGCAGTGAGCCGAGATCATGCCACTGCTCTCCAGCCTGGGCAACAGAGTGAGACTCTGTCTCAAAAAAAAAAAAAGAAAGAAAGAAGGAAGGAAGGAAGGAAGGAAGGAAGGAAGGAAAGAAAGAAAGAAAAGGCTTATTGACATATTGAACAGAGACTATCTTATTTACAGAATTTGCTGAGCTTTTCTAAACAGAGACTGAAGGATAATATTTTGTTACAGATTAAAAGTGATTTAGGCAATATATAGACTATAGACATTTTGTTAGGGAATTTTCTTTTTGGAGAACAGGGCTTTGCTCTTTCACCTAGGCTGGCACAATCATAGCTTGCTGCAGACTCAAACTCCTGGGCTCAAGGATCCTCCTGCCTCAGCCTTCTGAGTGGCTAGAACTACAGGCACACACCACCATGCCTGGCTGGGTTTTTGCTTTTATTTTTTAGAAATGGGGTCTCTCACTATGTTGCCCAGGCTGGTCTCAAACTCCTGGCCTCAAGCGACCCTCTCACCTCAACCTTCCAAAGTGCTGGGACTACAGGAGTGAGCCACCACACCTAGTTTGGGGATTTTCTTAGATATTTTTGTTTTGTTAAATGACTGCCACAAAGACAGGCCTGTAACCAAGATTTTCTTTTTTTTTTTTTTTTTTTTGCTTGTTTACTCAAGATCTGGAAAGGGAAAAATGATTAGCTTTTAATGTTCACATTTCTTTGAGAGACTGGTTACTTCCATTGGAGTCTGATAACAAGTCTCAGGTGGCGTAAATCAGGCAGTGTCTAGAAGCACACAGTTTTGCAACAGACAAATTTAAATTAACTAGGGAAATGGTGGAAAATGCAACACGGTAAAATGAAAAAGTTCACAGCACATGTCTAAAACACCTTTTTCAGAACCAGGCACTTTTCTTCCTATCTGGTGGGAGTACAAATGAATTCACACTTTTTGGAGGACGATTTGACAATAGCTTTCATACTGTATAACATCAGCCCATTTGACTCCAATATTCTATTTATAGGAATATATACACTATAGATATTCTTGCATATGAGTACAAAACTAAATGTTCAAAATTGATTTTACAAAGTTGTTTGTATAAAAAAAAACTGAAAACACTTCAAGGTCTATCAATGGGAGAATATTTGAACAAATCATGCTTGATCCATTGTTTGTAACAGCAGAACACTGGAAACAATCTAAATGATCATTACTAGAAGAGTAGATAAATGATGCATTCATATGGTGAAATGGCACAACCATTAAAAATAAAGATCCATAGTACTAACATGAAAAGATACACTAGGTGGTAAGTGGGAAAAAAAGTATCTTACAGATCACTGTGTATGATATGGCCAGTGATGCTGGTGGGTAGGCAGTGTGCATGTGTTGAATGTTTAAAGTTTTATATATCCACTAGAATGTAAATCCCCATGAGGGAAGGGATTTAGCCTGTCTTGTTCACCAACATATTGCCAGTCCCTACATCAATGCCTAGCACATTATAGGGACTCAAAAGCCATTTGTTGAATAAATAAATGATTGTACACTAGTGCAAGCATAATTTAAAAGATATGGAAAGATGCACACCAAATTCATAGGAGAAAAAGCACAAGATTAAAGGAGAGAGAGACTGGGGAGGATTATGCTGATCCTCTGCACAGTTGGAAATTTTACTATGAGATTTTTCAAAAGGCTTTATGTAAAAAAAATTGAAAGGCTTGCAAAATATAATAAAACCACAAAATACAAAGCTATAATGTGGCTTTCATTTGCAATTTTTTTAATCTAGAATACAGTTCCTCCTATCTTGCCCCATTTTCCACTTCTGTCAGCTCCCACAAGAAAGGAAAGAAATGGAGTGAGGATGACAGGTAGCAGTTAACCAGGAAAAGATGCTCTCCTAAAGCCAGTGTTATTGCACATTTGGGGGTTGACCTTAGCACTCGTGAATTCTGACCTTGTGAAATACTCAACAGGAAAAGACTCAAAGAAAGTCATCAAGAACAGCTCAATCAAGATGTCCGAGCAGTATGATACAGCAGTGAAGAGAGACGGGGAACGGATGGACACATTAAAAATGAATAGGAAGGATATTAAAGGACTTCCGGTTAAAAATGGTGGCTTGAATTCACCCGTTCATCTTCTCTCCTTCTCCAAACCCCACTGAAATGACAGTAAAGGAACTAAAGAGGTATAAATTCACAAGGACAAAGAGAGTGGGAGAATAATGACAGGAGAGAAATGTCAGCCAAATTTTGAAAGACAGAAAGTGGATGTATGAGTGTTAAGCGATTGAGGTTTCAATGTTTTCCCATCTGCTGAGGACTGGGTGGTGGGAAGAGAACAGGAAGCCAGTTTAAGCCCCAGGACCCTAGAGAGCTACAAGAACCGGAGGCTCCAGTTATTTCTGAAGTCAGGGATGAAGAACAGGAGTGAAATCAGAGATTCTAAGGAGCTTCTCCCCCACCTTCCTCCTACAGAGAGGAGACAATAGACCTGAGTTGAAAGGCTGGACTGGAGGACACTAGAAAATGAAAAGTGCAACTGACAAAGACACTCAAACCCTCCTTTCTCTGGTTTCTGGGAGTCCTGGTTACCTGGTTCATACTCACCTCCCTCTTAACTGGGAAATCCACTGTTTCCTAAAAAAAAAAAAAAAACAAAAACCTGGCCTACCCAAAAGAAAAATAAAATCTACAGACACTGATATATTGGACTCCCTCCGTGAAGCAGGCAAGTCACCACCTAGGGCTCCCACAAAGAGGTCAACCAGTCAACAAGATCAATCCAGACATAAATCACTGAGTCTGCTTTTCAGTGCCTCACTTCAAAATTCAAATGGGCATCCAAGCAACACCATGTACATGTATCTATAGATTTTAATACATATACATATGTATTTCAGACAGGGTCTCACTCTGTCACCCAGGCTGGAGTGCAGTGGCACAATCACAGTTCACCGTAACCTCTGCCCACTGGATTCAAGTGATCCTCCCACCTCAGCCTCCCAAGTAGCTGGGACTACAGGTGAGCGCCATCACACCCACCTAATTTTTTTTTTTTTTTTTTTTTGTAGAGACCGGGTTTCGTCCTGTTGCCCAGGCTGGTCTTGAACTCCTGAGCTCAAGTAATCTGCCCACCTCAGCCTTCCAAAGTGCTGGGATTACAGGCATGAGCCACCATGCCCAGCCAACATCACCATGTTTTTTACCAAAACCTCTTAACATTAAATTCAGAGATGAAAAACAGTAGGAAAAAGCAACTTGGAAGAAACAAAGATATTACAAAAAAAATAAAAAATGCTAAACATCTTCAGAGAGATAGAACATTCATGAATAAAATGTCTAAGAAGGAACATTCAAAGGACAACAAATCACTTTTTGAAAGTTCAAAAGACAGTTTGGAAGATGATGGTGAGAACTTTTCCAGAAAGTAGAACAGAGGAAAAAGAGATGAATAATGGAAGACTAAAATATTAAAAGAAAAAGTAAAGATACAACACCCAAATAATAATTTTAGAAAATAACAGTAACAAAAATTAAAAATAAAAAAGGAAAGTAACATAGAAATTTTCCAAGAAAATGTTCCCAAACCTAAGAAAACTAGCTTCAAGAATCCAACAATTACCCAGCTCAGTGAGTGAGGAAAGTCCCATATTTATTTCTATCATCATGAAATTTCAAATTTTAAAAACTTTCCAGAGGGTTAAATGTTTTTAAAAGGTTTATAGTAGCATCATCACACATCATAACAGTTATGCTGGAAATTGAAGACAATAAATACATTTCTTCAAAATACTAATGCAAAAGTACTTCTTTCCAACCAAGAATTCCATAGCTAGTTAAAATTATTGCTCAGTTGTGAAATATAGAATAAATATACTTCCAAATTGGCAACATCTCAAAAACTGACTCTCTGATCCCCTTTCTCCAGAAAAAGGGAAGCTTTTTTATTTTTTTCTTTTTCTCTGGAGAGAGTCCATGTCTGGCTGGGAGTGAAAGCACCATAGGGAAAAAGGGAGAGAGGGGGTAAGAGTTTAGAAAGATTGAATCCTAGTATTATCGTTTGAGCCCTGGACACAGAAGTTAAAGTGTGGGCACAATATCTGCACTGAAGTCTCTGGTTCACCATCAATTGCAACCTCTGGTAGTGAAAGTGCATCTCCCATTCTGCCTCTTTCATGAATTTTCTTGAGTTAATATCCCTCCTTTCTGACCACCAGTTATTTTCATGTATGATATTAATCTAAGGTCTCACTTCTTTGCAATGTAGATTTTAAGTTTCTCTCCTATGTATAAGCCTGTCCTTCCCAATGGGTTAAAGCCACTCTCGGATCCGAGCAGCAAGAGCTCTCCTGAATTCACCTCTTTCCCTCACACCCAATTGGCCACCGCGTTGATTCCTTTCTACCTCCTTGCTCTTCCCACCTTCTCTTACCTGAATTCTGACTAATTTCCTTGTTTTTGGTGTCCCTTCTCTAGAATCAATTCCCTACACAACTGCTGGAGAGATTATTCTAAAATACCAGTGTGATAGTGATCCTTTTCCCTGCTTGAAACGCTTTGTTCACTCCAAGCCAGAAGGATAAAATCCAACATCCTTAAAACTTTATGCAAGATTCAGCCCTGGACTACCTCCCACCTACATTCATCTGAAGCCACTTAGAGCTATTTCACTCCCCTATGACTCTGAAAATGCTCAGCCTGGCATCCTCCACCCTTTCCCACCTGTATGGTGTAGCTGTGTCGCCACCCAAATCTCATCTTGAATTGTAGCTCCCAAAATTCCCATGTTGTGGGAGGGTCCCAGTGGGAGGTAACTGAGTCATGGGGGCAGGTCTTTTCCATGCAGTTCTCATGATAGTGAAGAAGTCTCATGAGATCTGATGGTTTTATAAGGGGAAGTTTCCCTGCCCAAGTTCTCCCTTTGCCTGCTGCCATCCACGTAAGACATGACTTGCTCTTCCTTGCCTTCTGCCATGATTGTGAGGCCCCCAAGACATGTAGAACTGTGAGTCCATTAAACCTCTTTCCTGTATAAATTACCCAGTCTTGGGTATGTCTTTATTAGCAGCATGAAAACAGACTAATACACCACCTGTTGTGAACAGTCTGACAAATTCCCACTCATCCTTCTAGATCCAGCACAAATAAGTCCTGCTTTGTGAAACATTCCCTAGAAGTCACCCCTTTTCCATATATGTTGCCTACTCCCTCCTTTATACCATGTGTCCTCTATGATGGCACCTACCATGTGTCCTACAAGCTCTTGGTACATATTGGCTTCCCATACTAGAGAATGAGTTCAGTTATGTGTTCCAAAATTGAGGTGGCATCTGTCCTTGGTAGGTAATAAATGTTTGGTGAAGGGTCAATGAATTCTCTCTTCTAGAACATAATTCTTAGCACTTTTATGAGAATAAACACTCAAGAGGTCTTTCACAAAATAAATGGAAGCTTCACTACATTCTGTAGCAGGTATCTGTTGGTTTTATCTGCCCCACATCAATTACCGAATATTCCAGTGCTGGTACTAGAATGATGATTTTCTTGAAGGAACTACCTCTCCCTTGGTCTCAGCCAGTGCAATGCTGGAGCCAACTCACACAGCTCATTGTGGAAACATGAGCTGATTTCAAACTCTTCACATAATTTCAAATGACTTAGAAACCAGGAACTTCCTAAGTCATTTGATATTATGTGGAGAGTTTGAAATCAGCCATTGTGGCAGAATTTACAGAGGGAAATTGGCAAATGCTAAAATGTTTCCTACCTCCATACTCAGAGTCAGTTGTTCAAGATTTACTAGCTCATTCATGACCCTAGCCTATGTGGTTTGATGGAGAATGACTCCACCTCCAGTCCATCCAGGGTAGGCACTTAGCTCACACCTGGCCAATCAGTGCAGTTCAAGCCTCCCAAGGCCACAATGGTTGGTTCATGGATGAGCATATTAATGAGCATATTATTTCTGCCCAACCAATGGGAGTCTCTCCCAGGACTGTTGCTAAAACTACTGAAGAGAAACACTCCTGGCCCTGAAATGGCTGTCTCTAAGGATGGCAGATAATCCCAGAACTGCTGGGGCTGTCAGGGGGATAAAACCCAGCAGAGAACGCAAAAAATACAGAGAAGAGAGAGAAAGAAGAAGAGAAGCAAGACCAAGACCAGGCCTCGCATCATCATTGGAGCCCTGGATTCAGCAATGACTCAGGCTGGTTCTCATTCCTAGACAGTCCAACTTTCTGAGGCAATAAAGGAACTTTTTTTTGGCTTAAGTCAGAAAAATTTGGGTTTTTTGTCACTAGCAATTGAACATAACCTGCCTGATTTACAGCCTATCCCAGTTTATGTGTATATTCTTATAACGTGGAAGGCACCTCTTCTGGTGGTTACCTTGCTTAAAGCAATGACCCTTCCCTTGAACTGCCCCCTCCACCACCATCATGGACTGGGGCCCTCAGCAGCTGTCTACACTCCATGATCAGCCCCTCCTGGCCACAGCTGAATCTCTTCCTGCCCAGTGTTTGCAAGTTTCAAAGGGACATACTGGAATTAAGTTACACTGTTGAGAACTCTTTGAGAGGAAAGGGATACAACCCTCGCTAAGTCCCTAGGTCCCTTGTGACTGCACTGCTCAAGGCTGCTTCCTTCGTTTTATAAGAAATCTCCATCGGTACCTTATTTGGCTGAAGCTACTCAGCTCTGCTTTCTATTCTCTGCACTAAAAGAATCATAACTCAGCCTTTCTCAAAGGGTAGCACGTGAGCCCATGGGATGCAAGACAGTTTTAGGTAATACGGAGATTTTTTTATTCTAATAATTGTGTAGGTATTTTAATGCATATTCAGAAAAATTTTACTAACACATCTAAAGGAATACTGTGGATATCGTTGCTTAGGACGAAGCTCAAACAGGTATTTTTTAATCTGTCCATTTCAAGAAAAATATTTAACAACAAAAAATCAGTCAAGGGTTCTTGACTGCAGCAACAGAAACTAACTCCGGTGAACTTAGCAGAAATGCAATGTATTAGCAGGAAATCAGGAAGTCCCCCAAATTCAGAGGAAGTTTAGAGAACAGGGCTGGGAAAATGAACAGCAATGTAGGGGAGCCGTGTCACAGGAACCACTTCAAGGACATTCTCATTAGGATAGCTCCCAAGTACCAGGGCCGCTGCTGCTACTGGACTTCACTGCCATTGGGCTTACAATACTGTCCCCAGTGCCTTTGCCACAAACACTTTCTAAATAAAGTACCTCTATGTAGCTCAAGGTGCAAGGGCAGTTCATGATGGGAGCCAAGACAAGTTGCCATGCCTGCACTACAGTGGGTACAGAGAGGCAGTCCTTACCATGGGGTCTCAAACTTGGCTGCCCACTGGGGTCCCCTGGTGTATGAGTCAGGGTTCTCTAGAGAGAGCTAATAGGATAGATGTATATATAAAGCGGAGTTTATTAAGGAAATTGACTCACACAATCACAAGGTGAGGTCCCATAGTAGGCCATCTGCAAGCTGAAGAGGAAGGAAGCCAGTCCGAGTCCCAAAGCTGAAGAACTTGGAGTCTGATGTTCAAGGGCAGGAAGCATCCAGCATGGGAGAAAGATGTAAGCTGGGAGGCAAAGCCAGTCTAGTCTTTTCACATTCTTCTGCCTGCTTTTATTCTGGCTGCACTGGCAGCTGATTAGGTTGTGCCCACCCAAATTGAGAGTGGGTCTACATTTCCTAGTAGTCCACTGACTCAAATGTTAATCTCCTTTGGCAACACCCTCACAGACACACCCAGGAACAATACTTTGCATCCTTCAATCCAATCAAGTTGACACTCAATATAAACCATCATACCTGGGGAGCTTTAAAACACATTACTACCTGGTCCTACCCCAGAACTGCAGATTGTATTGGTCTGGAAAACATACACTGTGGGCATCAGGGGCAGTTAAAGCCCTCCTGGGCATTCTATTATGCAGTCAAGGTTGAGAACCAGAGGACTAGACCCTCTGGCTTCCACAGTAGACAATTTTACCCATCAGAGAGAACTTGGCCTTATTTGAACTTTTTTTCCTGCATCCCCCAATTGATTTCTTTGCTCTCTTCCTTATATGTCTAGTGCTAATGCTGTTTTCAGCTCTTTTCAATTATGTGATTTCCTTATCTTTATACTATTGAGAATACCTCACAAGATTTCTTCAACAGCAACTAAATTTATCTGCCTGTCATTTTGTTTTCATTATCCATGATAGCAATCTCTTGCATGGCTTATGAGAACATATCAAGTGATTGGTTTTAAACAAACAAACAAAAATCCACCAAGTCAACATTTGTCGCAGGATGTAGAGGGTGCTTGTTGCTTTGGTGGCTTGCACATGATCTGCATCCAATTCGGGTGTTCACTCCAGCCCACAGAGACTTTTCTCCTGAGTCTGTGCATGTTTGTTCTTATCTACTGTTCTCTCCTTATCACAAATAATGGTGTGCTGTTTCCTGGAGTGTGATGCTGTGGCCCAAGTTTCCCTCTAATGAAAGCAATAATTCTGAAAGCTTGCTGAAGGAATAAAGATGCATGGTAATTGTCAAAAGTTCTTCATCTTGAATGTGAATAGGCATTTGCTCATCGTGATTGACAGTTGATGGCTTTTAGCTGTAGAATGTCTGTAAAAATAACAAGAATTTTAACAACCTATCTTCTGCCTTGCTTTTGGATGAGCTTATCAACAATGGAGACCTGGATCCATGGAACTTACAAAGGTATCAAATGCAATTTTTTTCTTATTGTGATAAGGAAGTACACATGACATGAAATCTACCCATTTAACAAACTTTTAAGTGTACATTACAGTATTGTCAGCCATAAGCACAATGTTTTGCAACAGGTCTCTAGAACTTTTCCACCTTAACTGAAACTTTATTCCCATTGAACAGCAGCTCCCCATTCCCCACACCCATTCCACACTCACCCACCCCCTAGCCTCTAGCAACTGCTATTGACTCTCTGCTTCTATGAGTTTTATTATTTTTGATACCTCATATAAGTGGAATCATGCAGTATTTGTCTTTCTGTGTCTGACTCTATTAGTCTATTCTCACATTGCTATAAAGAAATACTTGAGCCTGGGTAATTTATCCAGAAAAGAGGTTTAATTGGCTCACAGTTCCACAGGCTGTATGGGAAGCATGGTGTTGGCATCTGCTCATCTTCTGGGGAGGCCTCAGGAAGCTTCCAATCATGGCAGAAGACAAAAGGGAAGCAGGTGTCTTACATGGCAAGAGCAGGAGGAAGAAAGAGAATGAGAGGGGAGGTGCTACACACTTTTTTTTTTTTTTTTTTTTTTTTGAGATGGAGTTTCACTCTTGTTGCCCAGGCTAAAGTGCAATGACGCGATCTGGGCTCACTGTAACCTCTGCCTCCCGAGTAGCTGGTTCAAGCGATTCTCCTACCTCAGCCTCCCAAGTAGCTGGGATTACAGGCATGCGCCACCACGCCCGGCTAATTTTTTGTATTTTTAATACCGACGGGGTTTCTCCATGTTGGTCAGGCTGGTCTCGAACTCCCAACCTCAGATGATCTGTCTGCCTCGGCCTCCCCAAGTGCTGGGATTACAGGCGTAAGCCACCGTGCCCGGCCAGTGCTACACACTCTTAACCAGATCTTACAAGAACTCACTCACTATCACAGCAAGGGGATAGTGCAAAACCATTCATGAGAAATCCACACCCATGATCCAATCACCTCCCACCAGACCCCACCTCCAACGCTGGGGATTACAATGCAACATGAGATTTGGATGGGGACACAGATCCATAATTAGTCCATATCACTGACTTATTTCACCCAGGTTTTATTCATGTCATATATGAAAGCATTTCCATCTTCTTTAAGGCTCATTTATATTCCATCGTAGGTAGAGACCACATTTTCTTTATTCATTCATCTGTCAATGACATTTAGGTTGTTGCCACATCTTGGCTATTGTGAATAATGCTGAATGAATATAGGCGTGCAAATATTTCTTCAAGATTCTGATTTCAAATTTTTTGTATAAATACCCAAAAGTGGGATTGCTGGATCATATGGTGGTTCTATTTTTAATTTTTTGAAGAACCTCTATGCTGTTTTTCATAATGGCTGCACCATTTTACATCCCCACAAACAGCACAAAGGGTTCCAGTTTCTCCAAAACCTTGCCAACACTCATTATGTTTTGTTTTGTTGTAACTGTCATCCTAAAAAGTCTGAAGTAATATGTCATTGTTTATACTATTTATTTTATGTATTTATTTATTTTTGTTTTTGAGACAGTCTCAAAACAGAAGCTCTGTTGCCCAGGCTGGAGTACAGTGGCACAATCATGGCTCACTGCAGCCTCCATCTCCCTGGCTCAAGTGATCCTCTCACCTCAGTCTCCCAAGTAGCTGGGACTACAAGTGCATGCCACCACACCCAGCTAAGTGTTTTTATTTTTTGTAGAGGTCTTGCTATGTTGCTCAGCTGGTCTCAAACTCCTGGGCTCCAGCAATCATCCCACCTCTGACTCCCAAAGTGCTGAGATTATAGTTGTAAGCGACCATGCCCGGCCTCAATGGGGTTTTGATTTGCATTTCCCTGATCATTACCAATGCCATTTTTAACCACAGCAGTGAATTCCAGTGATCAGCCATTTAGCCACCTGTGTATAACATTCGTGTGTTTCCACTTCCAGCCTGCCACCACCTGCCATAGAGTCATAGTCTGAGGATGCAGTTAGCTGGCCTTCTCTTTGCTTCCTCTAACCCAGGGTTCCTTTATCTCCACATTACTGACAGTTTGAGCCAAGTAACTTTGCATCATGGGAACTTCCCTGTGCTTAGAGGATGTTTAGCAGCAGCCCCGGCCTCTACCCACAGACACAGTAGCACACGCATCCATTGTGACAATCAAAAATGTCTCCAGACATTGCATTCCTTGGGGAAGAACTGCCTTAGGTTGAAAACCACTATTCTAGTCCTTGCTACATATTAGACTTACCTGGGGAGCTCAAATGCCCAGACCCCATCCCAGACCAATGGCGTCATGATCTCTGTGCATGAATCCCAGGCTCCAGTATCATGGACGTGGCCAGGGATGCTCAAGTGCATCCAGAGCTGAGACTCCCCCACCATCCTAAAGCAGCGAGCCCAACACTGCTGTGGCGTGCCCTCAAATCCTTCTCGAATATTTTCTAATGGGGCCCTCCACCTAGCAGCAACATGAGGAACTACCACACAGAAACAATATTTGCTCTTATGTCAAGTGCCGTCTTGTAGAGTTTGCAATTTAATGAGGTCCTGAGAGTGTGAGGAAAATAAGATACTTTTTATACGTGAGTACACATGGAAAATTACCTAAAAAGGAGACCTAAAAGGAATAAAAGAAAATAAGTTCTGATCTGCAAAAGAAGGGTGAGGAAAATTAATGGACAGATTGGAACCTGGGAACACTTTGGGGTGAATGTGCCTAAGTCCTCTTAGAGGCCAGAGGGGACTCGGACACTTAGAGTCTTTTTTTTAAGTTCCTGGTATATTTTTAAATGTAATGGGTTACAAAAATTATAGTATATCCTTAGCATTTTTTTTTTTTGAGACGGTGTCTCACTCTATTGCCCAGGCTGGAGTGCAGTGGTGCAATCTCGGCTTACCGCAACCTCCAACTCAAGCGATTCTGATGCCTCTGCCTCCCAAGTAGCCTGGATTACAGGCACCCGCCACCATGCCCAACAAATTTTTGTATTTTAGGTAGAGACAGGGTTTCACCATGTTGGCCAGTCTGGTCTCGAACTCCTGACCTCAAAAGATCCACCCACCTCGGCCTCCCAAAGTGCTGAGATTACAGGCATGAGCCACCAAGCCCAGCCTAGCATTTATTTTTAAATAATATCTGCATTATAATGTGCATACCATAAAATTCAACATTTCAAAATATACAATACAATGATTTTTAGTATATTCACAGAGTTGTGCAACCATCACCATTATCTAATTTCACAACATTTTTATCAACCCCAAAAGCAACCCCATATCCAATTGCAGTCACTCCCTATTCCCTGCTGCCTCCTGCCACCTGGCAACCACTAGTCCACTTTGTGTCTATAGATCTGCCTATTCTAGACATTCCACGTAAATGGAACCGTGCAATAGGTCACCATTTGTGTCCAGATACTGAGAAAACATCTTTAAAAAAAAAAACAAAGCAAAACAAAAGGGAAAGCAAAGTTTTCCTCCCAAGAAGCAATGAAACATAGTGTCTAAGAGTTGGACTTTCCCATCAGACAAAATGCAGAGCAAATATTAATTCCCCTGGCTACCTTCTAGCTGCTTGATCTTGGGCAGACACCACTGATCGATGACCCAGCAGACTTCTCCACACACTTCTCCCCTGCCCGGCTCTCACCACAGAGACTGGAAAGGCCAAATGGGCATTGTCCAGCCCTCCAGTTTTGGCAAGGAGCAATAACGGGAAGTCTCAGATGGTTGCTAGGAAAGGTATTTCTTTCAGCGATTAGAAAGAAATGCACTAGAAGAACACATCCTGCCACTTGTCCCCAACCCCTTTCTTCCTTTGAAAAACGTGTGAAGGCAGGAAGCTCGGGTACATGGCTGCCACACTGTGACCATGAGGCAAAGGCCAAGAGGATCGCAGAGATTCCAGCCCAGATTCTGATACTGATGAGCCACTGAACCCGTTCTAGTAACTGCCTTTCCATGGACTGGTACACATGAAAGATAAGCCCTGGTATGCCTAAGCTGCTATTACATGGGTTTTGTTACTTGAAGCATAAAGTATCCCTAACTAAGACGAAGTTATTAAATTTCTACTCACTAGTTCAAGCTTTGGTGGGTATAGCTCCCTCACCTTTGAACCAAGAATCTCTTACCATCTGCTAAACATAGAGCAGATTTTGCTTTTGGGGACTGTTTCTTTCCTTTGGGCACAAGCTCATGGCAGTGGTATTTATTCTCCCTTAGGCAAGATGTGGGCCTGTTAGCCATCCTACACCAATCAGAAACCCCTCCTTCAAATTTGGATATTAAAGTAAAAAGTTATTGCAGTTCATTCCTTTCAGGAGTCTATTCCTATATTCATCCACGCATGAATTCATTCATTTATTCACTCATTCCAAAAATATATTTATCGAGCATTTAATATATGCCAGTGTGAGGACGTGAAATTGAAAAAACAAAGAAATTCAAGGAACATTTATCCTAGGCAAGGGTGTCAAACAATAAACACATCAGAGTCTTATATAACATCAGCTGGTGATGAGGGTTATGAAAAAATTAAGTAGGGTAAAACGAACAGATTTCAACAGGAACGAGGAAGTGGGGCTTCTGTCTCAGAGGCTGGTCAGAGAAGCCTCTCTAAGGAAACTATATTTGAGCAAAGAAGCTCTGGCAAGAATGTTCTAGAGAGACGGAAGAGCAAGTGCAAAGGCCCTGAGGCAGCAATAGCATGCTGAGCATACTTGAGGACCATCAAGGAGGAAGTCACTGTGGCTGGGGCAGAAGGATGGCAGGGAAAGACAGTTGATGAGAAAGATGGAGACGTGACAGGAGCCAGATCAAGTCAGATCAAGTCATTTACTCAAGGATGATAAACCCTTGAAGGAAGCAGCATCATCTGGCACAGGCTTTGACACAATCCCTCTGGCTGCTGAGTGGAGTGGAGACTGTCCAGGGGAAGGAGGAGGAAGGAAAACCAGTGAGGAGGCAATTGTGATGTTTTAGCCAAGAAATGATGCTGCCTAGAACCAGGGTTATAATTGTGGGGGTTATATCCAGATTCTGGGTATATTTAGAAGGTGGAGCTGACCAAATTTACGGAAGGAATGGATGAGGAGTGTGAGGGAAACAGAAGATTCAATGATGATTCCAACACATTGTCCTGAGGAACTGGGTGCATACTGGTGCATGCAGGCTGCTGGGTGCCCGTAGCAGCCTCATCACTTTCCTCCCCATCTGTGTACTGAATGGAAAGGACACCAACACAGAGGAGGGCAGAGCCACAGGAGGAAGGGGCTGCTGGATCCCTGAGTGACTGTGTGGAACCGAGCTCCCTGGGGATCTGCATCGCAGCACAGCAGGAGCTGAGATGTGAGGTGGGCCTCACAGATGCACTTGTTGTGTGCATGGGCATGGACAGCATCCTACAGAGATCATGAAGCCTCAAAAATGTCCTCATCAGGGCCACGATGAGACCAACAGTGGGCCTCAGGAAGGGCCGAGGCAGAGAACCACAGGGAGGAGTGGGTTTCTGGTAGTCACAGTGACAACAGAAATCAAGATGTGGCCATTCCTGTGCTGTTGCTTTGCAGGACTCTGGGGCTGCCTCTCAGAAAGTTTGACCCCTCAGCCTTCTCCTGATTCAAAATTCCCAATATCCTTCCAGGACTTTCTCTTTGGCTTAACTTAACCAGAGTTAATTTCTGCCATTTGCAACCAAAGCCCCTTAATTAATAAAAATTGGTTAAACTGGCTTTTATGTGTGAGCACAGGATTCTAAATACCATTCTAAGTGTGGGGGAAAAACATGTATTCTGAGAATCAACTAGCAAATTCACAAATGAACTTTTGGACGCCACCCATTTCTCCGTTGGAGGCTGACGACTCCTTGCATGGCGTCGCTCCTCAGAGAGACAGCTTCTGCCAGTACAAGGTGGGGAAGTGTCAAATACGATTAAAACTTGATTGCTAATTCAAATGCTATTGTGCTTGATATGCTTGTCATGTAAAAGTGCACAATGTAGCTTAATAAAATTGATAGAACTCCCTTTGAAGATATTTTTGTCACAGAGGCACTCAATAAAACTGTTTCCATTAGGCTCTTCTGCCTCTTCCATATTTTGTTAGTGACACGTTTTCATGAAGTAGTCCAGGGCCCAGCAAGGCATGTTTCGCAAAGAATGTTTGGGGAAGAGGAGGAGTGTTTAGACTTTCCTTTTTATTTTGCTGTAATTAGTCAGACCTCTACCAGCTGCCTAATGATGCAGTTCACGCAGGTCACTAGGAGACCAAAGCAAAGCTGTTTTGCATCAGAGTCATGTGTGATCAAATAAATAACCAACAGAGGTTACTGTAACTAACTCAAAACTAGCTAATTATAAGTACGGAGTCCAAAAGTTAATCTGTTCAAGAAAATGTTTCTTTTCTTCCTGCCTAAGTCCAACAAGTGTTTACAGCACGGGATCCAGGAGAAGTACAGATTCACATTCACTAACAAGATGGTAGAGTTTGACTCCCTGTCTTTGGAAACAGCCAGCATGGAACAGAAGTGGGAATGTGATTTCTCAGTAGTCATACAGACGAGCCCTGGAATGATGCCGGCCTGAGTTCAAAGCTGGGTGATCCTGGGCAAATTACATACCCCTGGAGATCAAATCTCAAGTCTGTAAAACAGGGAAATACTACAACTACTACTACCTCAACTACTACTACTACTATTTAACAGTAGTACTGCTAATGAATCGCAATACTAATTTGATTGTAATTGACGGAAAATCCAATTCAAACTGATTTTGAAAAGAAAAAGGAGATTAATTGACTCAAATATTTGAAAGTATTGAAGAAAGAGCTGGCTGCTAGCACAGCCCGATTTGGGAGCTCCGAACTCTCACCACTACCTGAGATCTCTTAGCACAGCCCTCACCACATCAGCTTCACCCTCAGGCTGACCAGCTCCCTACCGTGGCCAGCTGCTCTTGGCTTCCCTGCTTTCTAATGAGAAATAGAACTCCTCTCCCCAGCCATCCAAACTTAGGCCCAAATTGTATCATGTCCCCATCCCTAAACTCTCCCCATTCAGTGGTGCTCTGATTGTCCATGCACGGTGGAGCCATGGATGACATCAGGGCTTCTCAAACCACAGGGATGGATTGCAAGGAAGAGAGAGTTCCCCAGAGGGAAATGATGTCTGTTACCTGGACAAGGGAGGATGCACACTGGGCAGAAAAAATGTCCACCACCAATACCTGCTTTATTAGAACTGTTGGAAGGTTCCATAAGACAATATTGGCCTAACACTTGTGTCAGTTAAGAACTCTTTTGATGTTGGGGTTAAAAGGTTTTGCAACTAGATAGAGGTAGTGGCTGCACAATGTTATGAACATACTAAAGGTCACTCAGTTGTTCTTTTTAAGATGGTTAATTTTATAATCTGTGAATTTCACCTCCATATTTTAAAAAGAATGCTTTTCATTGCAAATAACAGAAAACTCTAAGCCAGGGGCTTAAAAAGTAGAGAATGTATTTGTCTTATGCAACAGGAAGTCTGGAAGTTGACAGGCCAGGGCTGGTTAATGAGGCCACCTAGGACCCTGACCTTCCTTCTTTTGGCTCCACCCCGCTCAGCATGAGGCATTGATCCCCCTGGTCACAAGATGGCTGCGTCTCCTCCAGGCCTCACATCTAGATTCCAGATATGAAGGATGAGAAAGGCCAAGGGACAGTGGAGGTGGGGAGAGAAGGAAAGGACTGCATATGTATCAGGAAAGCAGAAGTTTTCATAGAAAGCCCAGCTTCAGCCTTACTGATTAGAACTGCACCAGATGGCCACCCCTAGTTGCAAGACAGATGGGGGAGCAAGCTTGTTATCTGGACACACTGCATGCTTGAAAAAAGTTGGAGTTCCACTAGTAAGAAAGAAGAGAGATATTGGATGAACAGCAACCATTGTCTACTATGTGCCTGGGACAAGGTAGGACTTCAATAAAGGGCAGTGGAAGTAGAAGTAGCAGATTTCGATACTGAAAGTCTGAAAACAAAAGATACAGTCCTCCTGGTTATTACCTCCAAAAGCTCACTGATTTTTCAGGTGTGAGTTTAAATCGGTTTATTTTTAGTCTTAAATGCAAGCTGACTGAGCAGGGGGAAAATGAAAAGGTAAGTGAAAAAGACCAGTAATCCTCTTCTGCCAATCATTTGCCTTTTTCTTTTTCTTCCTTTTCTTTTCGTGTGTGCGTGTGTGTGTGTGTGTGTGTTTAATTTTCTTTTGAATGTAGCTGAACTGCATCTGAAACAGTCCCCTATCATAGCAAAATCTGGGAGGCAGGTTTACCCAAATTTACTGTCTTCAGGTACCCCCAAAAAACAATTATTTGTAAATGCCTTTGTTTTTCAATCGTGATACCTACCTGTAACTCACATGTTTACATAGCAAATGAATGTACTGAGTATGACTTCTCACTCAAGGAACAATGAAAACATGAGAAGTCGTTTTAATAAAGAGAATTTGCACCGCCAGGCGTGGTGGCTCACGCCTGTAATCCCAGCACTTTGGGAGGCCAAGGCGGGCGGATCACAAGGTCAGGAGATCGAGACCATCCTGGCTAACATGGTGAAACCCTGTCTCTACTAAAAATACAAAAAATTAGCTGGGCGCAGTGGCGGGTGCCTGTAGTCCCAGCTACTCAAGAGGCTGAGGCAGGAGAATGGCATGAACCTGGAAGGCGGAGCTTGCAGTGAGCCGAGATGGTGCCACTGCACTCCAGCCTGGGTGACAGAGCAAGACTCCATCTCAAAAAAATAATAATAAAATTAAATTAAATTAAAATAAAGAGAATTTGTAAAGGGAATCTGAGTGAAGGCATAGGAGGAACTTGATTTATATCCAGACATTGAAAGGACATCAAAGAAAGCATGAAAAAGAATCCCAGTAATTATTTTCATCATGGAACCTGTATCTATTGATTTTCAGTGTTCAGCTGGTTGTAAAAAATACCAGCTGCATAATGAAATGTCATTTACATAGAGTATGAATTGCATGCAACATGAACAGAAACTTAGTTTTCTAATGGAAACATATTTCTGGGTTTTTTTCTCATGAGAGATATTATCCTTTATTTTTAAAAGTCATTTGACTTTTAAAGAGATATTGAAAATCCCTCTCATAGTCCCAGCCCATGGGGGAAGCCTACTTCTCACACATCCATCTCAGGCTTATTTTTATATCTTTTTATGCAAACATCCATACGTGTCTTCAAACAAAAATGGAATCACATGATAATGCTAAGGGCAGGAACACTTATTCTCTAGTCCTCATGTTTCCCTATGGAGGGACCACGATCATGGTAAGACTCCTGTCCTCACCCCACAAAAGAGTGAGTTAATTGATTGATAGGTGTATTAGTCCATTTTTACACTGCTATAAAGAACTAACTGAAAGTGGGTAATTAATGAAGAAAAGAGGTTTGACTCCCAGTTCTACATCCCTAACAGGAAGCATGGCAAGGAAGCCTCAGGAAACTTACAATCATGGCAGAAGGCGAAGGGGAAGCAAGCACATCTTAGCATTTTGGAGCAGGAGAGAGAGACTGAAGGGGGAAGTGCCACACATTTTTAAACCATCAGATTTCATGAGAACACAGTTACTATCATGAGACCAGCAAAGGGAAAATCAGCCCCCATGATCCAATCACCTCCCACCAGGCCCCTCCCCTGACACGTGGGGATTACAATTTGACATGAGATTTGGGTGGGGACATAGAGTCAAACCATATCAATGGGTGATAGCCATTTGTCCACATATCTCAACTAGGTAAGCTAACACACTAAAAGGCTATTTGCAATTTGCTCCCTTTCTTCTCTGCCCCAGAACCAAGCAATCTTTGAGGCAACAATCTTCCACAAGCGTAACTTTTGCCTGGGTGGGCTATAATGAACCCATGTGGATACTCTCGTAAGCTACATCCTCCGATAAAACTTTTATCCGTAATGAAGATGATGTTTTTATCACCATCTCTCTGACTTTTGCGGTTCTCTCTCAATTGATTCAAAACTTAAACAAGAAAGAAGAATATTACTTTATTAGGCCCCACTCAAGCCCCAATGTACACACATCCATTATTAACAGACTTTCATATGACAATATTTTGTGGACACATTTCCACAGTGATAAAGATTAGCTTACCTATTGGCCGGGCTAAATACGTGTATTAGTCTGCCTTCATGCTACTGATAAAGACATACCCAAGACTGGGCAATTTATAAAGAAAAAGAGGTTTAATAGACTCACTGTTACACATGGCTGGGAAGCCCTTACAATCATGGCAGAAGGCAAAAGGCACATCTTCCATGGTGACAGACAAGAGAGAATGAGAGCCATGTGAAAGGGGAAACTTCTTATAAAACCATCAGATCTCGTGAGACTTATCCACTACCACAGGAACAGTATGGGGGAACCACCTCCATGATTCAATTATCTCCCACCAGGTCCCTTCCACAACTCATGGGAATTATGGGAGCTACAATTCAAGATGGGATTTGGGTGGGGACAGCCAAAACATATCAATACCTAACTACATTGTGCATTAATACATACATCCTGCATGGTATAAGAATTTATTTGGTCAATCCCCTATTGATAGGCAGTTGAGTGCTTTCAGTTTTTCACTGAAATAAACAACAGTGCAATGAGAATCTTGGCACATACATCTTAATGTACTTATCCAATTATTTCCCTAGGTTAATTCCTACAAGTGAAATTGCTGGATCGAAGCACATGGACAAGAAGTATCTGTGGCACTTATTGCAGAAAGTTTGCATTGGTGGAACCTCGAGTGTCTGCTTTCCCACATCCTTACCAGCACTGAGAATTTTCTTTTTCATGTTTTCCACCTCTCTGAAATAAAATTAATACCTGATTTTGTTTGCAATTTCATTTTTACTGAGGCTGCATAATTTTTCATATACTTATTTTTCTATGAATTGCCTGAGGATATTAAATTTTGTTACCATAGCCAATGCCCATAGAGGCATTTGTTCAGTGTCAACTTACATCAAAAGTGCCTCTCCCAGCCTCTTCTCTCACCACTCTGCTCATGCACCCATCCTAAAGTCAAGAATCAGAGTTGTAAGCAACAGAAACCACCTCTGGCTACTTTGAGTGGAAATGGAATTTAATAAAGGATATTTTGTGATCAGACAATCCCCATGAGAAACAGAGAACCAGCTCAGCCAGGAAACAAATCCAAAAGCTCCTGAAGAACTACCTCATGAAACACCAAGGAGCCCCTCTAGACTCAGATCCGGGGGCTTGCACCACCTGCATCACCGTGTGGCTCTGAACACCACCACGAAAGCCCCTGGAGCTGCTGGATCCAGGACCTGGGTGGAGCTCCCACAGCACTCCCCAGCATGGGTCCCACATGGTGCCTGCTTCAGCTCACCAGCAAGAAGCTCAGGGTCTGGGGTGGGGTGTCTGGCTGTAGCTGCGCCCTAGCTGCAAGAGAGGCTGGGAAGGTGAGCCTCTGCCTGCTACAATGGATGACAAAGACATCTGGGACATTTTCCAAGCCTAGGAAAAATGCACACACACACACACAAAACAGAGGTTTGAACAACCAGAAGAAATAGCAAATGTACAATTCTTAAGGACCAGATCCATGTCTATGACACCTTTAGATGTTCAGAAGCTTCCATCTGTTCTATCCAAGTCAGGAAATCTGGAGTTCCTCCTCATCTACCCCTAATACATCAATTATCTCCCTTTTATAAATGCTGATTCCTCTCTCTAAAATGGTCTCTCTTCTGACTGTCAAAATGTTGGTCCAAACTACACTCCATTAAAAATTAAACTTAAAATATATTGTAGAATCTGAAGCTTCAAACTGTATCCCATGAGAAAAAAAACAACCTGTTTTCTGCTTCTTGCTACATTTCGAAGGAGACATTTGACTCATTCTTATGTGGAGGATGACTTTCCCCAGGATGGAAGACAAACATTCTCAAACAGACATGGTCCCTGTCCTCCTGGTACCTACAATACTAAAAAGGAAAAAAAAAAAAAAAAAAAAAAAAAGTTTGGAGCTTCCTGTAAGCGAAGCCCTGAAGGTTCCAGGAGGTTTGGGCACCTGGAAAGGGCATGGAAGCTGAGTGCCCCTTCCCACATTCCTTGCCCTATCCATCTCTTCATCTGGTGTTCATCGATATCCTTTGTAATGTCCTTAATAGTAAACCGGAAAACATGTACACCTAACAGCATGGTAAGGAAGCCCCAGAAGGATGTTTCTAAAGACCATGAGGGAGTCTGAAACCTGAAATCACGCCAAGGACTCTCTGCTTCCCTTTCACTTGGGGTGTCTACCTGATGCTGCCACAACCAATTGAAACATAACATTAATAACAAAATTAGTTTTTTTGTAACTTTAAAAAAAAGTGCTTAATGAATGAACAGGAACTTCTTCCTTAATCCAGAATTCTTCCAGCCATTCCTTTCCATTTTTTTCTGCACTGCAGCGATGGAGGCCTGTGATGAAAAATCACCTAATGGTGTTGATTGATAACTTGACAAGTGTAGACAGATATAAACATGTTTTGATACAGGCATTCAATTTGCTTGACTTTCTCTTTGCCGCACTGGATGGTGTCTCCCAGAAATGGTGATTGGGCATCTATGTGTCTCAAAGACCAAACTATCTCTGCCCTTGAAGAAGGAGGATCTACTTTTATAACATTAGCAATCAGAGCTCCATTTGAATGGGCAATCAGGCCCTTTCCAGAGAGCTCTGGGTGGTGTTGGGGAGGGCTTCTGTACCCATTCTTGTCAGCAGGATGGGACCCCCAGGAGGTATTTCCAAAGCTGGGATGTGTGGACCCTGTGTATTATAAAAATTTTATTTTTATAACTTTTTTTAATATTATAAAATATGCATTGGAAAAATCCAAATATTATAATATTTGTAATATTATAAAATATGCACTGGAAAAGAAATACACCACAAGAAGAGTAGTGGTTGTCTTGGTGAGGTTAAATTAATAAGATTTTTACATTGTTTTTATTTCTTTAATCTTCTACTATACCACTGCCCCCTCTCTCCCTTCATCTTCACTAGTGGAGGATCTGCCCAGCTTTCAAGACACATCTGCTCTCTCTCTTTCCTTCCTCCCCATTTATTTGTTCTCTCTCTCATTCTCCTCTCTCATTCTCTTCTCTTTCCTATTCATTTTCAAATCAATATCTCTTCCCCCTCCTCTCTCATTTACTTTGTCTCTCTCCCATCCATCCTCATTTTTCCTACCCAGCTTAGCAACTCACAAGACCTCTGGCCAGCTCCACTGTCTCTGGCTTGCATGGCCTGGGATTAGATTTAATTGTGTATTCATCTCATCTCTGCTGGTGCTGCTGCCCTCTTTGTGGGCACAGACTCTATTTAACTCATTTTTAATTTCAAGCCATGAGTAACATAGCAGCTTACACAGGTTAGGTACTCAACAAATGTTCACAGATTTGAATTCTCATGTTGTCTTTAACCAAGGAAGGTTTACCTTATCAGATTAATGGTCTCCAATGCCACTTCTAAGAAATTGAATCTGCTTGAACCTAGCAATATCCTTGAAACTAGGGCTTGAGGTTTTCCATGAAATCCACACGTGGCACCACGGAAGTTGTCCCACCTCCTCACAGGCATCAGGTGAGTCCTCATGAAAATTTCCGTAACTGTCTCCCAGGTCATAACTTTAGTAAGTTATTCCTGGTTTTAAGAAATGAGAAAGCTGGGCGCGGTGGCTCACGCCTGTAATCCCAGCACTTTGGGAAGCTGAGGTGGGCGGATCATCTGAGGTTGGAAGTTCGAGACCAGCCTGACCAACATGGAGAAACCCCATCTCTACTAAAAATACGAAATTAGCTGAGTGTGGTGGCGTGTGCCTGTAATCCCAGCTACTGGGGAGGCTGAGACAGGAGAATTGCTTGAACCCAGGAGGCAGAGGTTGCAGTGAGCCAAGATTGTGCCATGGCACTCTAGTCTGGGCAACAACAGCAAAGCTCCATCCCAAAAAAAAAAGAAAAAAAGGAAAGAAAGAAATGAGAAAATATGGTTCTGAGGATAGAAATGCTGACCAAAAATGTAAACCTGCCCTGTGATCAAGAGACTCCGCTAGAGATTCTACAGACACACCCACAGGTGTGTAAACATGGATGTCTCTTGCAGAGCTGTTAAAAATATCCAACAAGTGGGCCTGGCACAGTGGCTCACGCCTGTAATCCCAGCACTTTGGTAGGCCAAGGCGGGTGGATGGCTTGAGCTCAGGAGTTCAAGACCAGCCTGGCCAACATGGCGAATCCCTATCTCTACAAAAAATATAAAAATTAGATAGGCATGGTGGCACACACCTGTTGTCCCAGCTACATGGGAGACTGAGGCAAGAGAATCATTTGCTTCCTAGAGGTGGAGGCTGCAGTGACCTGAGATCGTGGCACTGCACTCCAGCCCGGGCAAGAGAGTAAGACTCTGTCTCAAAAAAAATATGTGTGTGTGTGTGTGTGTGTGTGTGTGTGTATGTGTATGTATATATGTGTGTATATATGTATATATATGTGTGTGTATATATATATATATATATATATATATAGAGAGAGAGAGAGAGAGAGAGAGAGAGAGAGAGAGAGAGAGACAGAACAAGTGGCTCCACCTTCAATCCCTCAATCCCTGGTTAAATAAATGAAAGAACATCCATACAGACTATAGAATATTCTTCAATAGTTACAAAGAATGAGCTAGACCTACAGGTAGTGAAATGAAGAGACGGCCAACACACAATTGTTCACTAAGGAAAGCAATATATCAATATATAGACTATGATTCCATCAGAAAAAAATAATAAAAACTAGAGGTTTCCTTTTCAACTACACATGTGCACAGGAAATGTCTTAAGATACACATTTAAATCTGAACAGTGACTATTCTGGGGAAGGAAGAGGATTTGCAGGAAAGAATGAAGAGGAACTATCATTTTTGACTCTATGTTAAGAATTATATTATGAAATGCTTACGGTTTGAATTTTTATAAAAACATGTTTCTGTAATATAGGTGTAATTATAAAAATTAAAAAAGAATGGGAATTTCAGGACAAAGTTAGAGAATTCCCAAATATGTTAATGAAGTCTTTTGTACAAGAACATGAAATAAATGTATATTGATAAAATGCAGACATGTATTAGGTTTAAATAACTTTGACATGTCTGCGTTATATCAATATCATAATTACAGCCTTAACCTAAAACTGTTTAAGAAAAATGTAATGCAGTGAAATAACATAAATTGAGAAAATCCTGTTATTTTTTCTGAAAATTAGAGGGAAAGTCACAATTTGTTTTTAAAGGTAGTGTAGACCAGTGTGGTTTTAAGAATACCAACATCTGCCAGGCACGGTGGCTCACAACTGTAATCCCAGCACTTTGGGAGGCCAAGGCAGGCAGATCACCGGAGGTCAAGAGTTCAAGATCAGCCTGGTCCAACATGGTGAAACTCCATCTGTACTAAAAAATACAAAAATTAGCCAGGCGTGGTGGCAGGTGCCTGTAATCCCAGTTACTCAGGAGGCTGAGGCAGGAGAATCGCTTGAACCCTTGGAGGTTGCAGTGAGCCGAGATCATGCCACTGCACTCCAGCCAGGGCAACAAGAGTGAAACTCTATCTCAAAAATAAATAAATAAATAAATAAATACTATCATCTCATACAGCATAGTTTGAGAAACCAGAGGGAAAAGAGAAAGGTAATGAGTCTAGAAAAACTAGAATCAAAGAAATGTAGGCCATGACTATTGTGGAGACAATATGAGCTTAAGAGACCGAAATCCTGAAAAACAAACTGAAAGACTCTCCTGTAAATTGTTTTAGATAACAAAAGCCACCCTGGAAAAAGTGACAGGATCACCCACCCAGAGCCACACTCCCTCTCTTTGTCTTTTCACATAAGATCTAAACAGACAATATTAATATTTACAATAAATTTTCTTCATGAGGTAACATATAAAGAGAAACAACAGTCAAAAGACCTCTGGGATTACAATAATTTAAACTTATGTCTTTTGCTTCTATTGTACCATAATACCGCTGGGACTGTATACATATTGAAAGATTCAGGGTCATGTATACTTCTTAAAGTGAAGTTTCACACATATAAGCTGAAAATAAAACAATGTCTGGGAGGAAATTTCATAACATGCTCAACAAGAATCATATCAGAATTCATCATCTTATAGCCTTTTTTATTTTTATAAAAAGAAAAAGAACGTTAAATACACAACTAAATAGCGCCCTCTAGTGGAATATATTGTTTATACAAAATACTCAGAATTTGACCTATTTCCAGAAAATATTGCATCTCACATTTGGTATGGATAAAACAGACTATGCTTAGAATGTATTGCTTTAAATCACAACTTTCTTTGTTAAGGTCATTATTTTTTTAAGTGTTTATTCTTTTCAGCTATTAAATGCAATTTTGGTCAGTCTTTAAAATATCGTTTTCATCTCAAATCACATCAAAACTGGAACCACAATCACTTTTCTTATTAAAATACCACCCTTTGTTTAGAAATCCTTGAATGCAAGCATGACCCCAAATGATTGTAAGATGGGAACACATCTACCCCCTCTTAAATACTTCTTAAATATTTATCTTTTTTGGGCTTCGGCAAAAATCTGCTGATGTCATCTTGTGGCCTGATGCAGATGACAATAACAACCAAATTAAAATCCCTCTCTAGGCAGAATGGAGAGATTCTGAGAAAGCCTGCTGCAGCATAATCTCAAAAAAGCACCCAGGACTGGCGATCTTTACATAACCATTCATCATAGTTGGTCTCTGTTTATACCACCTGAGTGAAGTTCGGGAAAAGATTTTTACTTTTTATTTTATTTTATATTTTTTGAAATGAAGTCTCACTCTGTCACCCAGGCTGGAGTGCAGTGGCACGATCTCGGCTCACTGCAACCTCCATCTCCCAGTTTCAAGCCTCAGCCTCCAGAGCAGCTGGGATTACAGGTGTATGCCACCATGCCTGGCTAATTTTTGTATTTTTAGTAGAGACAGGGTTTCACCATGTTGACCAGGCTGGTCTCAAACTCCCGACCTCAAATGATCCGCTCGCCTCAGCCTCCCAAAGTGCTGGGATTAAAGGCATGAACCACTGCGCCTGACATGGAAAAGATTTCTAAACTTAGCATGTGGAGAAGGTTCAACATATGATCAGAAAAGTCAGCAACAGGAAGTATCACAAAACAAGGTTCTCAAACAAACACAGAAACATTGGACTTTTTGAACAAGGAGAGCATTTAGAGTTACCCAATATCTCACCATCATAATTTTCATCATATTAACATCCCATGTGTCCGTTTACTGACTTAATGTTTGTCTTTAACCAGCTGGACTTTAAATAAAGGAGGGCTAAGATCATATTTCATATATAGACACTAGCAATAAAAATAAATAAAATATTTTAAAACAGTATTATTACATGCCAGATACTATAGTTTGGATTGAAGACTGCTTTCTTCTGTTAAAAGAGGAAGATTAAAAGAGAAGAGAGGAGTCTGGGTTAAAAGAGCACCCGATGGAGACTTTCTTGTCAATATATATGGAGGGCTGACTGAGACATGAGAACACTTCCTCCCTGTGATTCCCTGCTATTTAAAGCGAGTGTCCATGTGGCACCAAAATCATCTCCCATATTGGCAGGTCTCTGTCTCACACTTTAGGAAGCATTAATCAAACTCCCACTTCTCATATGATTCATGGAAAAAATATAACTCAAGAAGGGAAAGTGCGTGCCCACAGTCCCTATAACAGACATGGTGCCTGGCTCACAGCCCCTAAAAGGACTTTCCATTTTACTAGGCAGGTGCAAAAGTAATGGTAAAAATCGCAATTACGTTTGCACCAACCTAATAGTATTCACTAGGGTAGTTCCCTCTGCCAGCGTCCCTTCTCTTTGCTGAAGGAGTTTCCCTGGTGGCAGGAACCCACTCTGCTCATGCACTCAGGGCAAGCCAAAAGTCTGGGAGAATTAACATCCCCAGGAACAGCTCTCAACCAATGACTAACAGGACTGGGGTGTAAATACCCCAGCTCCCTCTCCCACTTGGTGGGAGAGGTGGGAGGGGCATGCTTTCCACATTCACTTGGGATTAAACTCCAGTTACCCACAGTGGTAACTTGCTTAATAGTGCACCCTTTCTTGGCTCACTACTAGTCTAACATCCCTACTCCTTTATGGGTGTTTCCTGGGATTACCACCCAATAAACTAGTTGTACTCAAATTTGTGTCTCCTCTACCTCTGAGGAATCCCAAATTAAAACAAGTAGCAAATTAGCAGTACAGTTCTTTTTTTTTTATTTTTTTTTTCCAGAGATAAGACCTAGCTCTGTTGCCTAGGCTGGAGTGAAGTGACCATTATAGCTCACTGCAGCCTCAAACTCCTGGATTCAAGCTATCCTCCTACCTCAGCCTCTCCAGTTGCTGAGACTACAGGTGCACATCACGACACCCCTGGCTGATTTTATTTTTAGTAGAGATGAGGTCTCACTATGTTACCCCAGCTGGTCTCAAACCCCTGTCCTCAAGCGATCCTCCCACCTGGGCCTCCCAAAGTGCTGGGATTGCAGGTATGAGCTGGCCAAGAGTCAGTTCTTAAACCCAGTTTTTCCACCTCCAAGTCTAGGATTATTTTTTTCTCTCTTTGCCAAGGTGTTTGGACTAACCAAGCCATCTCTAAAAAGATGGTGGCTTAAAATTATGATTATGCCAACTATAGGGTGACCAACCATTCTGGTTTGCCCAGGACTATGGGTTCCCAGGGAGTGGGACTTTCAGTGCCAATACCAGGAAAGTCCTGAGGAAACTAGGAACAGTGCCAATCACCATAACCAGCTACTTCTTTTCCCTCGGGGTAGAGGACCCCAGTTTCCAGTTCAGAGACCCTGGACCTCCCATATTTAATAAATAGGCTCAATCCATAAAACATCACTTCAATAGTTAAGCATTTGGGATTCACCCAAAGTGCAGTACTCAGCATTCAGGTAGCAGACACAATGGTTCCACTCTCTGCTAGTGATGTGTTTGTTTTAGCGTATATTAGGAAAAAATTTAGCACAAAAAATCTTTGATTTTGTAGACATCCTTGTGAAACAAGATGCCAAGATTGGAATTAAGCTTGATTTTTTTAGTTAATTTAATGAAAAACAAAATAATAGTACGCATTTATATATCGATGGCAAAAAAATCTTTGACTGAAAACTTGGAGAAATTTGACTACAGATAATACTAAAATCCTTTCTAACTTGTTACATAAATTAAATTTGATTATTTAATCTGATAAGCAGATATCCAACTGATTATGTCCTTAAGTGACCATTCCTCTTAACCTATTGAAGACAAAAATTACCATCTGTCAGCCAGCATGGTGCTGTGTGTCTGTAATTCCAGCTACTCAGAAGGCTGAGGCAGAAAGGTCGCTTAAGGCTAGGAGTTCAAGTCTAGCCTGGGCTGTAGCAGGCTACAGCAAGGTGTAGCAAGATCTTATCACTTAAAAAAAAATTACTATTTGTCAAGATTACAGACAAATGAATCCAGTGGTCTTTACCAGGTGGCACATAACAAAAATACATTTCAATTACTCTGTTTAAGGGGCCCTTGCTATATGAGGCTGGAAAAATTAAATCACAGATAAACTGCTGGGTGCCCATCACTAGACTAAGCTTGTTTTTTCAGAAAATATGTCCCAAGCACACAACCCTTGTGCCAAACATTCCGCCTGGTCTTTTATCCAACCATGAGAACAGCAAACACAACCCCTGCCTCGGGGAGTTTACAACCAAGAAGGCAATAGACATTAACTGAGCAATTACATAAATAAATATGCAATTATTATAATCAAATAAAAAAATCTTTAGCATGCTATGTTCATTTATGAAGGAAAATGTACCTTTATTTTCTATAACTGATCTTAATCTTGCTCTTTGACCCCTGGGTCAATGGGGTGGGCAGATGGGATGGGTAGAAATAGAAATTTAAATTTGCCAATTAAGGCATCTCAGTCTCTTCTTGTTTACATACAGTATCTTTTGGCTTAAAATAGAACCTTTCAAGTAACTTTTTATCTTTTGACTAATTTTCTCCCCAACCTACTTTCTGAGATTACTTTCCTCTCTGTAAAGAAGTTTGGTTCTTTCAAAAATTGCCAGGCATGGTGGTGCATGCCTATAATCCCAGCTCCTCAGGAGGCTGAGGCAGAAAGATCCCTTGAGCCCAGGAGTTCAAGACCAGCCTGGGAAACATAGTGATACCCTATCCTGTTTTTAAAAAAAAATCAATAACCTGTGAAGGGACCCTGGTGATCACTTCCTATGGTCCTTCCTTTCTTGTTACTGGGGTTGCCCCTGCTCCTCTCTGCTCCCCATTTCTGCCCCAGGCTCATGGTCCTGGCCCTCTGCATGCCCATCACCTACAGTCTCAGAAACAGAGGCCACACCCTACATACAGCAGGATTACGAATTTAAACTCTACCACTCAAGTAACAAGTAGAGCTTCTTTGTTCTCCATAACTGGCATCTTCTCCCTCTAGAGCCTCCTCCCCTGTATGGTAACCATGAACCACGTGTGACTATTTCCATTTACACTGTAATCAATTAAAATTAAAGAAAATTAGAAATTCAGTGTCTCATTGCATGAGCCCTATTTCAAGTGTTCAGTAAAACTGACCCA
Organism: Homo sapiens; assembly: GCF_000001405.40. Taxonomy (NCBI): domain Eukaryota; kingdom Metazoa; phylum Chordata; class Mammalia; order Primates; family Hominidae; genus Homo; species Homo sapiens. The sequence continues at coordinate 52,238,377 of NC_000020.11, read as the reverse complement.
TGTGGCTAGTGGCTACCACATTGAACAGGGCAGATATAGACCATGATCATCCTCACAGAAAGTTCAACTGGACAGCGCAGGTCTGGAGCCCAGAGGAAGTAAAAACAAACTTGCCCATTAAGGCATTTCAGTCTCTTCTGGAGACTTCAAAAGATTTCAAAGAATCTTTTGAGCAAACTTTTTTTAGGTTTCTCTTCACTCCTCTTCCAACAGAGGGTGCCTGCATTGAAGTCTCCCAGGAATTCACAAAAGTAGTATGACATCCAAGGGCTGGATGGCCACAACCCTAGAACTAGGGGAACTGAGGTCAGAGTTTCTCCAGATCCCCTGGAACAAGGAAGCCTCCGGATGACAATGTTATGCCCGTTTTCTAAGTGAGAATAGTGTTGCCAAGAACTTAAACTATTTGTCCAGTCATGAAGCCCAGAAGGAGTGGAGTCAGGATTCAAACCAGGTCTCCTCCTGTGAGACCTCAGCTCTCCCCATCCCATCCCATTGCCTCCTTACTGCTCCACAGTGCAATACATCTCCTTGCTCAAAGGCATGACCCACCGAAGTTTTGGTGGACCACTGCAAAAATCTTCACTGGGGAACCCAAGGGGTGGATGGTCAGCATCCTCATCAAACCCAACTAGAGCTGTTGTTCTGAGGGCTCTTCAACCAATTTTCTAGTGTTAAGGAACTTTATTTTTTTTATTTATTTACTTTTTATTTATTTTTTTTTTTTTGAGACAGAGTCTTGCTCTGTCGCCCAGGCTGGAGTGCAGTGGCGCGATCTCGGCTCACTGCAAGCTCCACCTCCTGGGTTCACGCCATTCTTCTGCCTCAGCCTCCTGAGTAGCTGGGACTATAGGTGCCCGCCACCATGTCTGGCTAATTTTTTGTATTTTTTAGTAGAGACGGGGTTTCACCATGTTAGCCAGGATGGTCTCGATCTCCTGACCTTGTGATCCGCCTGCCTCGGCCTCCCAAAGAGCTGGTATTACAGGTGAGCCACTGTGCCCAGCTGGAACTTTAAGTGTATTATAACGCCTAAACAATGTCCAGGAATCTTGAATTCTATCTTGTCACTCCTGACATGGGAATTACATGTATCGAGTACATATTGCATGCCAAGCACTGTGCCAAGGATGTTCCAAGGTCATTCTCTTACATGATTCTCACAACAGGTTTTTTTTTTTAGGTAGTTACTATCATTATCCCCATTCATTAATGAGGGAATAAAGCTCAGAGAGCTTCCGCCATTGGCTAAGATGCAATGGTATTTAAGCCATGCTCTGCCACTAATGGAAATGGAAAAGTAATGAAAGAAAATAAAGAAATGAAAGAAAATCAAGATTATCTTTGCCCTCTGAAGCAGAGGTCAATACTGTGGGAACAAATCCTGACTCTGTCCCTTACTCACTGTGTACTTTTGAGCAACTTCTTCAGCCTCTCTGAACAGTTTTCTATCTATAAAACAGGGATGGTGATACCGCCTTCCCACTCCAATCTGGCTAGTGAGAATCGCATATGAGACCATATGCTGTATCAGTTACAGTTCTTTGATGGCAAGCAACAGAAATTGGTTTAGCCAGCAAAAGGAAAAAAAGGGATTCACTAGAAGGGTATTTGGAGACTTCCACAATTTATGGGAAGGCTGTAAAGTCAAGTAGGAACAAGGATCAGGAATCAAGGAACTGACAGAGAATGTTCGTCAGGGTCTGTGTCCGGTTATTTTTTGCATGGTTATAAAGAAACACCTGAGGCTGGTTAATTTATAAAGAAAAGAGGTTGAATTGGCTCATGGTTCTGCAGGTTGTGCCGGCATGGCTCTGGCATCTGCTTCTGGTGAGGGTGTCAGGCACTGTAAAATCATGGCAGAAGGCAAAGTGGGAGCAGGCATATCATGTGGCAAGAGCAAGAGACAGAGACAGAGATGGCGGAAGTCCCAGAGTTTTAAACAACCAGATCTCACATGAGCTAACTGAGCAAGGACTCCGTGATCACCAGCAGGATGGCGCTAAACCACTCATGAGAAATCCACCCTCACGATCCAATACCTCCCACCAGGCCCCACCTCCAACAATGGGAATCATATTTCAACATGAAATTTGGAGGGGACAAACATGCACAACATATCAGGGTCCACTGCTCTTGGGCCATTTTTCCATCTCTGAGTCACTAGGCTCATGATTGGAAGTCCTGGGTGAAAGCTGACTTGCTCAATCAGACTCTCACTTGCTCACTTTGAAATGCACTGTAATATTAAGAAGAAGGTTCTGGAAGGGACTCCTTTGGCCTTATAGTGGAAAGACAGAACACTTTGACCATGCCCATGAGAAAAAGATAATTTCTGAACAAGAAATCAGGATACTGTTAGAATTGGGGTAGTGGGATTGGAATGCAGCATGCAGTGGGGGAGACAAATGTTGACTACACTATTAAAGGTCATGCAAACATAAAGTAGTGGTAATATGTTCATAAAAAGCAACTTTATGCAGTGTGCCTTATATTGTCTTTAGCAGAGTTCAAACAGTGAGAAACAGCATAGCAAGGGATTAAGGTGACAATCTGCAATTGAGCTGCCCGGGTTGAAATACCAGTCAGCTACTTACTAGCTGAGTTTCCTTAGCACACACTTAGCCTCTCTCAAGTCTCAGTTTTCACACCTGTGAAATAGCGAGGATGATGATAATAGCAGTTCATACCTCCCGGGGCACCATGAGGATTAAATGAGCTAAGTTACATGAAGGATTCAGAACACTGCAAGGCACATAGAAAGTACCAGTACCCTCCTTGGATGCGGGAAGTGGGAGTCCTGCTCTAGGCCCCAGGTGTAAGTGGCCTAAGTCCCCTCCCAGGGAGGGCAGGGTCTGCAGTAGTGACAGGTGGGATGCTCAAGGCCTACCTCATGGACCCCCCCTTGCCCCCAGGGTTTCCCCTCCAGGTTGCTCTCCAGCCCACTATCCCACATGTGTCCACTAGCTGCCCAGAGGAGCCCTGAATCTCACGCACGGGTCATCTGGGGAGATCCCAATTCCAGGAGACCAGCAGATAGCTCCCTGCCAGCTGGCACAGCATTTCTTTCATGTGATTGCACAAGATTGACAAGTAGAATGGGGCTAACACACCAATTTTGATGATTCTCACTCAAGCGCGGCACAAGACAACATCAGATTTCTGGACTACTATTAAACTAAACACTGTGGGCCCATGCCAGGCTCTCACCCACCCATGTGCCCCTCACCATGCTACCTCTGGTCTACAGCATCTTAGGATAGTGGGGGTGGCAACTGACATTCTATACATTGTGTCTCCTAATGCAGTCACCCGACAACCTCTACTAGCTTCATACCACACATTAGGCAATCCTCTTGGGTGCCCACACCTATCTCCTGAAGGGCTTTTTCAAGACCATTCATCCCCACACCAATGGGCCTTTCCAATTGGTGAGCTCACCTACCTCTGATTGACATGGTGATGTTGACCTGCATTCTCTCTTAAGCCTTGCATGAATGAGGACACTCTTCTTGGACACTCTTCTCATGCATTCCTAATTCCTCACTGGTAGTGGTATGTGGAAGGCAGAGGTGAGGTCAACATACTAAGAGTTCTTGCAGCTACCACCTAAAGATTCCAAAAGAAGATATACTCAGAAGATAGGCTTTCTACGTTTACACTCTAAAGTTCCAAACAGTAAATTTAACAAGACCAGAAAACAAACTACCATTCACATCTCCCTGCAGATGCTGAGTGAGACTTCCATTTGTGGTCACCATCATGGACACACAGTCATGACCTTTGAGAGAGTCATCAGAAGCCAGGGTTCATGGCCAGTCCAATGAATGAGGCAGCCATCAGAACTGATGATGTAAATGGCACTGGGGATTGCAAAGGCAAGAAGGCCTACATTGTCTCAATGCAAACAGGTTCCAAAGAGCATGGCATTATGAATAAAAACAGTGTGGCTCCCTCATTCTCCTGGTGGAAGACATGAAATTAGCCTGAATCAGCACATTAGATAATGAAGAATGGAAGCAATGGCTACTGGACCTTAACAGGACACAATGGAGCCTGGACACTAGAATCTTCCCATGTGCCAGTTGGACAATAAACAAATGTGTGACTACCTCTTCTCTTCTCCTTTGATGACTAGCATACCTCATACAAGCCCATGAGTTTTATGATATATTTTTTTAGTCCGGGTATGGTGGCTCATGCCTGTAACCCCAGCACTTTGGGAGGCCAAGGTGGGCAGATCACTTGAGGTCAGGAGTTCAAGACCACCCTGGCCAACATAGCGAAACCCCATCTCTACTAAAAATACTAAAATTAGCCAGGCATGGTGGTGGGTGCCTATGATCCCAGCTACTCAGGAGGCTGAGGCAGGAGAATCACTTGAACCCAGGAGGCAGAGGTTGCAGTGAGCAGTGATTGCACACCATTGCACTCCAGCCTGAGTGACAGAGGGAGACTCTATATCAAAAAATATATATTTTTTTTAATCAAATTGTTTATATGGACAAAAGCCCTTCAACAAAAGTGTTTATCCACAACCCACACACCCCAGAGATGCCCTGGTGAGCACATATACATGTTTACTAATTTCCCAAGAAGTTTAATATCAGGAATATGCACTTGGAAGGATGATAGTTTAATGATGTCAAAATTAGCTTAGTGATTCAGCAATCCCACTTCTGGGTATAATCCAAAGGAAAGGAAATCAGTCTGTCAAAGAGACATCTGCACTCCCATGTTCATTGCAGCACTGTTCATAATAGCTAAGATGTGAAATCAACCTACGTGTCCATCACCAGACGAATGAATAAAGAAGATGTGATACATCAATTTGCAATTGTGAAGACATGGAACCAACCTAAGTACCCACCAACCAACGAGTGGATAAAGAAAGTGTGGCACATATACACAAAGGAATACTATTCAGCCTTGAATTAAAAGGAAATCCTGTCATTTCCAACAACATGGATGAACCTAAAGAACGTTGTGTTAAATGAAATAAGCAAAGCACAAAAAGAGAAACATGGCATGATCCCACTTCTACGTAGAATCTAAAAACGTTGAACTGAGAAGCAGAGAGGAGAATGGTGGGTACCAGAGGCTAGTGAGTAAGAGGATTAGGGAGCTATAGGTCAATGAATAAAAAATTTCTGGCCAGGCACGGTGGCTCACGCCTGTAATCCCAGCACTTTGGGAGGCCGAGGCAGACAGATGACGAGGTCAGGAGATCGCGACCATCCTGGCTAACATGGTGAAGCACTGTCTCTACTAAAAATACAAAAAAAATTAACCGTTCATGGTGTCAATTTAAAAAAAATTTTAAACACCCCCAAAATTTGCAGAGTGACTTTATAAAAGACATCTCCATTTTCTTGATTCATAATTGTACCTTCTCCTTTCACACGCCCTGCTAAACATCAATGATTCCCAAACACCGCTGATTATCAAAAGTGTTTGGAATATTTTTGGGATTGGGTTTGGTTTTGTTGAATGAAGCTTACTGGCTGTACCCCAAACCTATGGAGCCATGTTCTCCTGGGGGCTGACCCTGGAATCCACGTTGTTAAGAGGTCCCCAGGAAGCTCTGATGACGAGCCAGGTTAGGGCAGCTGTGCTCTACACATTTACGGAAAGAAGAGCATTAAGTCCCTAAAGGGCTTTTTCAACTCTTGGTTTCTAGAATGATGGCAGTTAAATATATTTAACTGCAAGCCTACGCTTTAAGTTTCCATTTATACTAAATCTAAAATCTTCCCAAAGTATCAACCATATACAGCCATCCCTGGGTATTCATGGGGGATTGGTTCAAGAAATGCCCCAAAAAATCCACAAATGCTCAAGTCACTTAAATGAAATGGCATAGTATTTGTATATAACCTATGCACATCCTCCTGTAATTCTAAATCATCTCTAGATCACTTGTAATACCTAATATAATGTAAATACTAAGTAAATAGTTGTTACACTGAATTTTTTAAATATGTATTTTTATGGTTGTATATTTTCTTTTTTCCCCTAATATTTTCAAACCAAAGTTGGTTGAATCCCTAGATACAGAACTCATAAATACAGAGAGCCAATTGTATAGCAAATCAATCAATCAATAAGTGTATTTGAGCACCACTAAATCTATGGGATTCATGACTCACATATGAAATTACTGATGACATAAGAACATAATAAAACTATTACACCTCTTTAAGGTACAAATAGCAAATCATGTAAATGTAAGACACGGCCGTTTAGTTAAGAAAGGAGATGTTCCTGTTTAAGTTCAAAACATAATTAATTATGGTCCGAAGACATAAATTTTACCATCAGCTTCTATAAAATGTTACTATTGAAACTAGGTCACTATGCAAGAAGTATAGGTAGTTCCTCAAGAGGAAATACTTCAAAGATTAATATAAATAATAATGTTTTAAAGTTTCAAAAATATATCCAAGAATTCAAAAGCTGTGTATACATAATACTTGACTTTCTTTAAAAAAAAAAAAATTCATTCCAGGGGGAAGAAAAAAGTCTTCTCTTGAGCATATATATAAAGGTTAAGAAATATTAGTAGATTATTTATATATGTTGGTTTCCATTTTCTATCATAAAATTTAAAAAGTCAAGACAAATTAAAAATTGTCACACTTCATATCAATTATATATTGAAATATGCCTGAAAGAAAAGATTTGAAAGTAAGCAAACAATAAAATTAATACAGCAGGCCTCCTATTTCTGTGAATTTGTTGAAGCAGGAAGGGAAGATAAGGAGAAGAAGAAAAAGAGAAGGAGGAGGAGAAGGGAGGCAGGAAGAGGAAGCTGCCAAATTTATAATGCTGAAAGAACAACTTTACAAGCTCCAAAGTTCACATTTGGTTATGTTGTAAACATCAAAACCAAACTGTAGTAAGTCACCTCACAGAGTTATTTTGTCAATGATTGACTGACAATCTTTGAACAATCCCTTAGAAGACCAATCACATTTCAAAATGATTCATCATGGCATGAGGCAAACCTGTAAGGTGGACTTAGCCTTTTAAATTACATGATATGTTACTATCAATATAAGCATATCCATTATATGTCTCTAAATTTTGCCTATAGGCTAGAAAATAATAGGTAGCAAAAGCTTTTAAGAAACATACATTTGTATAATTTCCATTGTCTTTTCTCATTATCTATTGATACTGTATCTCCTGCTCTAATACAGGGGTTGTTTTGATGACACAAATTACACCAAAACTCACTATCTTCCCCGAATCTTAGTTATCAAATCCCAGAATAAAAAGTCCCTCTCAATGAGTGTTAAAGCTTCTCTCTCCCTTTTGTTAATTTTCTTAAAAAACAATAGGCCCTAACAAGAGGAAAACACGTCCTCTCCATTCCATAGTTATTTGCAAATATTGTGTCAGTGAAAAAAAGCCAGACAGTGCTGTTTTTTAAGTCCAGATCAATAAACATCACCCAGTGTAAAAACCATACCACCTTATCTGTAATGCTTGGACTCAAGGAGCTAGCAAAAGATTTGTAGGGTAAAATCTCCACAAAGGATACTACTCTGGGTGAGATTTGGTATATATGTGTTAATAAATTTTTTGTCAACTGGCCTTTAGGATTACTCTTCTGTCTGAATTTTGGTTTTGTTTTCTCTCTGTTCCTCCCCCATGGGGTTGAACCTAGAAATAGCATCGCTCTTGAGCTCGTTAGTTTGACAAACTGGCCTAAGTGTGCAGCAGCAATGGGTACCTCCAACACAGCAGCATTTATGAGTCTCCGGGGGATTCTGAGAAACACCAGGAAGTGTTTAGGTACTGAATCACAGCCAAGTATTCTGAATCTTTACTTTTTTTTTTCTATGAGGATGTCAGCATTAAAATATAGAACATGCTTTTCCCACTTGGCTTCTATTATTTGTAAAGCATTCAAGAGTTTCTAGGCTAGAACTACCTCCATCCCCAGGCAGGAGGGCAGGCAAAAACTCCAAGGAGCCTTAACAGTTCCTCTGCTGGTCTTCTTTTACACTTTTGACCCAACAACATAATAAAAATGACTAAATGCTAAACCTGAGTGCTGTGCTTGTAAATCCATCATATTTTTTATCATATTTATCCACGCAGTGTTCTCACCTTTGCTGCTTCAGATAATGCATGTTGAAATACATTTCAAAAGATAACTAGTTAGTTTTCAGATATGACACATCTATCATCCAAATAACCAGGCAATTATGACATAGTAAACCTTACGAATAAATGATTTGTTTTAAAGGTGGTTTAGATTACACTTAAAAATTAAAGTTCACATCAAAGGCAGGAAAAACAAGAAACAGTGTTTGTAAATAAGAATTTAAAACTGAAATTTGGGCAGGGATAGTATTTTTGCTCAGCTAATTTTGGTTTTTAATTACACACATTTGTTATTTATGCTACAATACCTCAGACAACTACTGGGGAAAAAGAGGGATTGCAAGTTTATTGTCTCAAATCTTAACTTTATCTATCTTAGTTTATGGACTACACCAGCATTTTTAAATAAATCAGCCCAACAATTCCACATTGTGATATATATCCACATACAAATAAGCAAAAAAATCGGTGCAAATATGTTGAATGTATCATATTATATTAACAAACTGCAGACAACTGTCCATCATTAGGGAATGGCTAATAAATTTGAATCAGAATCATAAAACCAGGATATAGAATACTTTGCAGCCATTTTTGAAAAATTGGTAAGGGCCAGGCTCCATGGCTCACACCTATAATCTCAGCACTTTGGGAGGCCAAGGAAAGACGATTACTTGAGGCCAGGAGTTTGAGACCAGCCTGGGCAACATAGTGAGACTCTATCTGTACAAAAAATAAAGAATATTAGCCAGGTATGGTAGCACACTCCTACAGTCCTAGCTACTCAGGAGGCTGAGGTGGGAGGATTGCTTGAGCCCAGGAGTTTGAAGTTTCAGTGAACAATGATCACACCACTGCACTCCAGCCTGGGCAACAAAGCAAGACTCTGTCTCTAAAAAAAGAAAGAAAAAATCATAGACCTGCATATACTGATGTGGAAGTTTATCCACAACATATTTTTTAAGAAAAAAAATTGTTTTTAATCTTTGTGGGTACATATTAGGTGTATATATTTATGGAGTACATGAGATGTTTTGATATAGACATGCAATGTGATACCCATGACATACTGTTGAATGAAAATGTATTCAGCATTTAGTATGTTAAGATGTCAGGCAAAAATAAGTACTCACAGATATATTTGAGCATTGTTGGCATTCTTATAACAAGAATATATTCATTTATTCACTACATTACTTTTTTTTTAAGACAAGGTCTTACTCTGTTGCCCAGGCTGGAGTGGAACCCAATGGAGGCTCACTGTAACCTCGACCTCCTGGACTCAAGCGATCCTCCCATCTCAGCCTCCCAAGTAACTGGGACCACAGGTGTGCACCATGTTGGGCTAATTTTTGTATTACTTATAGCAGCAGTCCATAACCTTTTTGGTACCAGGGACCGGTTTTATAGAAGGCAATTTTTCCATGGACAGGGCAGTGAGGGTGGGAGGGGTGGTGGAGAGGCTTTCAGGATGAAACTTCCACCTCAGATCATCAGGTATTAGATTCTCACAAGGGGTGCACAACCTAGATCCTTTCCATGCATAGCTCACAATAGGGTTCGTGCTCCTGCGAGAACTATGAGATCTAATGCTGTCGCTGACCTGAGAGGAGGTGGAGCTCAGGCGAATTGCTCGCTTGCCCGCTGCTCACCTCCTGCTGTGTGGCCTGGGTTTTTAACGGGCCATGGACTGGGACCCTTGGCTTATGTAATATAAATATAATAAATATAAATATATGGACCGGGTTTGTTTTATTGAGACATAAGGGCTATAGTTAATTATTAACTATAGTTGTACAATATAACACAACATTATATTGTGTTATATTCAGGATTTTTGCTAATTAAATAGATTTCAGCTGCTCTTGCCACACACAAAAAGAATAATGTGTAACTATGTAAGATAATGAATATGGTAATTTACTCACTATCGTAACCATTTTACTATCTATGTGGATCCCACTCATAACATCATAATGTATACCTTAAATATGTACAATAAAATTTATTTTTTTAAAAAAAGCATGCCAGGCACAGTGGCTCACACCTGCAATCCCAGCACTTTGGGAGGCCAAGGCGGGCGGATCATGAGGTCAGGAGATCAAGACCATCCTGGCCAACATGGTGAAACCCTGTCTCTACTAAAAATACAAAAATTAGCCGGGCATGGTGGCACGTGCCTGTAATCCCAGCTACTTGGGAGGCTGAGACAGGAGAATCACTTGAACCAAAGAGTTGGAGGTTACAGTGAGTCGAGATTGTGCCACTGCACTCCAGCCTGGTGACAGAGCAAGACTCTGTCTAAAAAGAAAAAAAAAAAAGCAATAATGAGGAAAGGTGAAATTGATCTTTCCTTACCACATTGAAGGACTAAGCTCTGTGCATGAGGAAGATGCCCCTCTTAGAGGGAGCAAAGGCAGGGTTAGGACTAGTCTGCATAGTCTTTGAAACCAGAAAAACTGTCATTTCAAAGAAACCTCAAAAGAGGTTGTATTAATCCGTTTTCACACTGCTAATGAAGACATATCTCTGACTGGGCAATTTACAAAAGAAAGAGGTTTCACTGAACTTACATTTCCACGTGGCTGGGGAGCCTCATAATTGTGGTGGGAGGCAAGGAGGAGCAAGTCATGACTTATGTGGATGGCAGCAGGCAAAAAGATTTTGTGCAGGGGAACTCCTCTTTTTAAAACCATCGGATCTCATTCACTATCATGAGAACAGCGCAGCAAAGACCTGCCCCCATAATTCAATCACCTCCCACCGAGTTCCTCCCATGACATGTGGGAATTTGGGAGTTACAATTCAAGATGAGATTTGGGTGGGGACACAGCCAAACCATATCAGAGGTCTTCATTCATTTCCAATTAAATCTTTCTATACAGATGAAAACTTTTGTGATGAAAGTGTGGTATTCTGTAACATTAAAATATTTCCCTTGTTTGAGTAATTCCCCTTCTATGCATCAGCCCAACAGATGCCCTCGTACCTGAGTGTAAAGGTAGACATTCCAGAATGACTGCTCGTGCACAATCTATAACAGGAAAGCACTGGAGACAGGAAAATGCCAATCAGTAAGGGGCCGGCCACGTCCTTGTGCTATGTTCTGGCCATGAAATGCACAGCAGCTGGATGGGCGCGCTGGCTCACGCCTGTAATCCCAGAACTTTGGGAGGCCGAGGCGGGCGGATCACAAGATTGGGAGCTCGAGACCAGCCTGGCCAATATGGTGAAACCCCGTCTCTACTAAAAATACAAAAAAAATTAGCCAGGCATGGTGGCACGCACCTGAAATCCCAGCTACTCAGGAGGCTGAGGCAGGAGAATCACTTAAACCCAGGAGACAGAGGTTGTAGTGAGCCGAGATCGCACCACTGCACTCCAGCCTGGGCGACAGAGCGAGATTCCATCTCAAAAAAAAAAAAAGAAAGAAAGAAATAAAGATATGCACAGCAGCCAAAATTATAATAAATGAGAACCTGCTGCTACACCCACAGAGTTCACCTTAAGCACTCACACTAGTCCCAAATCCCACATTCTAGAAAAGAGAAATGAGGGTGGAAGAGAAAGAAGAAGGAGAGAGAAGGTGGAAGAGAGAGATCAGCACTCAGAGGCAGCCTGGAAGAGAGGGAAGTGGATTGCCCAGAACATTCCTGGAAACTGGAGGTTAGCTGGCCCCTGCAAATATAGGCAGGCTGTGTGCTAACAGGATTAGGGAGGGATCCCGAGAACATGCCTGGGTCTACGGGTTTGGCAAACAGCCACATTTAACAGCTCTAATAGTCTTGTGCCTCCTCGAACTTTGCTGAAATCACACTGAAAGTTGTACCCTGTAATTTCTTACTATACTACAACAGAGAAGAGCCTGCCAGAGCCCCCACCCAAACCCACTTATGTCCACAGTGCTTGTCACTGAATCCACCTCCAATTAAAGAATGCTATAGAAATACTACACATGAAAATTTATGTATGTAAAAGTTATAAACAAAGCACAATTCAAAGAAAAAACTAGAAAGAGGCAGACAGCTCATCTCCTCCTGCCATCTGAGATGATGGCAGAAGGACACCATCAAAAATGTTCAGCCAAAATGGAGAAGGATTCTCTGAGGATGCATATATAATATTTAAAGAATGAAAAGAAGCAGGTGCACTTTCTATTTTTAGCTAGATATATAGCCTGGCAAACCAAATTAGAAGATGGTGCAGTCCTATTCACAACAAAAAGAAAACCTACCCCACAACGTTTTTATAAACAAAAAATTCTGATGATATTTCCATTGATATTTTCTAGCCATTGGCTTGTCATATGAGATAGAGGATGGAATTTCCCTAAAAGTCATTGGCCAACAAGTAACAAATTCTGCCAAAAAGGAAACCCCCAAAGAATACATTTCAGAGGAAAAGTAACCTCACTTTAGATGTTGAGCTTCAGCTCTGACAATATGCTTAATATTTTCTGCACACTTTCCCCAAATTAATAATTATACATATTAGAAAGGAAGCAGACAAATTACAATTCTGACATAATTAATTTGACATTTATTCATTGCTGTAAAAGTATTATTGTTGCATAGTCATACTTTAATGTGCACATGTCAATAAGGCTGGCCAAAGATGGGGATTTTAAATAGTTTCCAAAAGGAACACAATTAATTTTGGTGATTGTTGCATAAACATTGCATTAAGTGTCAAAGTAACACATTGAAGGAATTCAAATGGCTTCATAAAATCGAAGGGAAGGAGAGTCATAATTACACATATCAGAAAATGATTAACTATTCTTTTAACAGAATTCCTTTGCTGAAGATTAATGAACATTGGTTTTTGCCAGAAAGTTCCGTAATGTACATCACTGCTGAGAAGGCAGATAAATATCATTCTGTTTTAATAGTTATGTGTTTATTTTAATGTCTCTTAGAAATAAATATTTCTAGCATATGAAGCCTGAGGTGCCACTAATATTATTGCTTATGATGAACTTTGTTTTAAAAACAAATACATATAAATAAAACATCACTAAGTCTTTGTACAGCATTACACAGATCATAACAGGCACTGTCAGTATACTGCCATATCCCTTTGCATCTCTTTCCCGTTTTCCTGCATGTAGACTCCCAGTATGCTTCTCTGCCCAGCAGCCAAGCACCTGTGGCTTACTGCCCAACTTAAGCTGCTGAAGCCAGTTTTGCCTGGGATCAGGGAGAGCTAGAAATGCCTTAACCAATGTCCTTATCTAGTGATTTATGTGTGCAAGAATATAAACCAGCACCATCCAATAGAAATATAGTGCCATCCCAGGAGAATTGCTTGAACCCGGGAGTCAGAGGTTGCAGTGAGCCGAGATCATGCCACTGCATTCCAGCCTGGGCGACAAGAGCGAAACTCCCTCTCAAAAAAAAAAAAAAGAAAAGAAAGAAAGAAAGATAGTGCCATCTACCAGTGTAATTGTAAATTTTCTAGAGGCTAGATTTTTTTTACAAAAAAGCAAAAATAAACAGGTAAAATAAATTTGATTATATATGTTATTAAGCCATGAGAGTCCAAATATTATCATTTCAACATGTAACCAATATTTAAAAATTGCTAGTGAGATAGTTTACTTTTTTGTACTAAGTCTTCAAAATCAAGTGCATACTTCATACTTACAACATACTGACTTTGGACTGGCTACATTTCAAGGGCTCAATGGCCACATGTGGCTAGGGGTTGCTATCTCGAACAGCACAGTTCTAGACAGCTGCTATGGACTGAGTGAGCCCCCCCTAAATTCATACGTTGAAGCCTTAACCCCCTGTGATGGTATTTGATGGGTGGTGAGATTGGGAGGAAACTGGGTCATGATGGTAAAACCCTCATGAATGGGATTAGTGCCCCTATAAGAAGAGGCATGATAAAGATGATCTCTCTCTCCACCATGTGAGAATAAAGGAAAACGGTCTTCACCAGTAACCAAATGTGCCAGCGCAATGAACTTGGGTATTCCAGCCTCCAGAACTGTGACAAATAAATTTCTGCTATTTAAGCCCCCCAGTCAGTGGGATTTTTTCTGTTTTTTTTTTTTTTTTTTACAGCAACCTGAACTAACTAAGACATCAGCTGAGTATGCCCTACACCGTCCACAGAGCTCCCAGGGGGATTCAACAAAAGTTACCCTCCATGGGACTTTGCCGGATACTCCATCCTTCCTCGGCTTCTTTCCCTGTCACAAATCCCCACTCCCCACTGGCTTACCTGGGATTATGTCCTCCTAAATCACTCTCACACACACAATCTTTGTCTTAGGCTCTGCTTCTAAGGAACTCAACCCAAAACATGGGTATAGAAAAGAAATGTGAAAGTAATAAGCAAGTAATTTGTAGGTAATAATTATTTCCATAATCATTTATCAATACCTGTGGATCCCAGATTGCCTTAAAAATTATCTGTGCCTAGTGCAGTGGTTCATGTCTGTAATCCCAGCATTTGGGGAGGCTGAGGTGGATGGATTGCTTGAGCCCAGGAGTTTGAGGCGAGCCCAGGAGTTTGAGGCCAGCTCGGACAACATGGTGATACCCTGTATCTGCAAAAAATACAAAAATTAGCCAGGCATAGTGACATGTGCCTGTAGTCCCAGCTGCTCAGGAGGCTAAGGTGGGAGGGTCAATTAAGCCTGGGAGATCAAGACTGTAGTGAGCTGTGACTGCACCACTGCACTCCAGCCTGGGCAACAGAGTGAGATCCTGTCTCCAAAAAAAAAAAAAAAAAAAAAAAAAATGACCTCAGAATTTAGTGGTTTCATTGGCATCGGACTCAAATCTTTCATCATGTGTATCTTTGAATTTCACCTATAATTAGAATTACTTACTCGGGCTCTGTCCCTAAACCAGCTATTGGCCTTGGAGAAGTTACTTTCCTTGGCCTTGTTTTTTTATAAATAAAGTGACAGCCTTGCTTCTCTATGCACTCCATGACCCACAGCATCAGCATCTGTTGGGAGCTTGTTAGAAATGCAGGACCCCACAGCTACTAAATCAGAATCTACACTTGAACATGATCCCCAAATGATTTATATATTCAGTACAGTTTGGAAAGCACTGGTCTCCAGCACTTTCTCAACATCTCTTTGAACTGGCCAGATTTTTAGATTGACTGAAAAAAAATCTACGGGAAGAATGTCGAAGAATTTGCAGACTTGCTTTTTAACTACTACATTTTAGTGTCCTTTAAACTCCGCTATTTACTAATTATATAACTACAACAAGTTACTCAACCTTTTTGTGCCTCAATTTTTCATCTGTAACATGGAAATAATAGAAGTAACTACATCATAGGTTTGAGAATTAAATAAGGGAAATATAGAAAGCCCTTAGAACAACCCCGAAAACATTATTTTGTTGAATATATGAATCCCAGTGCATGAAAACGGTTTCTGCAGTGAGAGCTCTTAAATATTCTATATTTATATATTAATATTAATATTTATTATTATGGATGTTTATATTTAATATTAATGTGGACATGTAATATAAAATCCATATCCCTAATGTCGCTACTTCAATCATAAGCAAAATCATTTATCACCTTGGTAGATTTGCTCACCCCAAAATCACCCAAGGAGACTATGTATGGTAACATCTGCTGGGTTTATTGAATCAGGGCATGTTTATTAATATCTATAAGTCAAAAGTCTACTTTTAAATCAGCATGCCAGAGAGGAAGTGGGCAAGGGGTGGGGGGTGTATGAGGATTCTCCCATGCTGTTCTCATGACAGTGAGTAAGTTCTCATGAGAGCTGATGGTTTTACAAGTGTTCGGCAAGTTCTCCCTTTGCTCACACTCTTTCCTGCTGCCTTGTGAATGAGGTACTTGCTTCTCCTTCAGCCATGATTGTAAGTTTCCTGAGGCCTCTGCAGCCATGTGGAACTGTGAGTCAATTAAACCTCTTTCCTTTACAAACCACCCAGTCTCGGGTAGTTTTTTTTTTTTTTTTTTTTTGAGATGGAGTCTTGCTCTGTCACCCAGGCTGGAGTACAGTGGTGGTTCACTGCAACCTCCACCTCCTGGGCTCAAGCAATTCTCCTGCCTCAGCGTCCCAAGTAGCTGGGATTACAGGCACATGCCACCACATCCAGCTAATTTTTTTGTATTTTTAATAGAGACGGGTTTTTGCCATGTTGGCCAGGCTGGTCTCGAACTTCTGACCTCAGGTGATCTGCCTACCTCGGCCTCCCAAAGTGCTGGGATTACAGGCATGAGCCACTGCACCCAGCCTTCAGATAGTATTTTTATAGCAGTGTGAGAACAGACTAATATAGTAAATTGGTACTGGGAGTGGGGCACTGCCATACAGATACCCAAAAATGTGGAAGTGACTTTGGAACTGGGTAACAGGCAGAGGGTACAACAGTTTGGAGGGCTCAGAAGAAGACAGAAAGATGTGGGAAAGTTTGGGATTTCCTAGAGGCTTGTTGAATGGTTTTGACCAAAATGCTGTTAGTGACATGGACAAGGAAGTCCAGGCTGAGGTGGTCTCAGATGGAGATGAGGAAGTTGTTAGGAACTGGAGTAAAGGTCACTCTTGCTATGCTTTAGCAAAGAGACTGGTGGCATTTTGCCCCTGCCCTAGAGATCTGTGGAACTTTGAACTTGAGAGAAATGATCTGAGATTGGAACTTATGTTTAAAATGGAAGCAGAGCATAAAAGTTTGGAAAATTTGCCTGATGACGCAATAGAAAAGAAAAACCCATTTTCTGGAGAGAAATTCAAGCTGGCTGCAGAAATTTGCAAAAATAACAAGGAGCCAAATGTTACTCGCCAATACAATGGAGAAAATGTCTTCAAGGCATGTCAGAGGTCTTCATGGCAGACCCTCCCATCACAGGCCTAATGTCTAGGAGGAAAAAATGGTTTCGTGGGCCGGGCCCAGGGCCTTGCTGCTTTGAGCAGTCTCAGGACTTGGTGCCCTGCATCCCAGCTATGGCTAAAAGGGCCAATGTACAGCTCAGGCCATTGCTTCAGAGGGTGCAAACCCCAAGCCTTGGTGGCCTCCACATGGTGTTGGGCCTGTGGGTGCACAGAAGTCAAGAATTAAGGTTTGGGAACCTCTTAGATTTCAGAGGATGTATGGAAATGCCTGGATGTCCAGGCAGAAGTTTGCTGCAGGGGTGGAGCCCTCATGGAGAACCTCTGCTAGGGCAGTGAGGAAGGGAAATGTGGGGTTGGAGCCCCCACACAGAGTCCCCACTGGGGTACTGCCTAGTGGAGCTGTGAGAAGAGGGTCACTGTCCTACAGACCCTAGAATAGCAGATCCACTGACAGCTTGCATCATGCACCTGGAAAAGTCACAGAAACTCAATGTCAGCCCATGAAAGCAGCTGGGAGGGAGACTGTACTCTGCAAAGCCACAGAGGCGGAGCTGCCCAAGACCATGGGAGCTTTAAGATTTAATGACTTCCCTGCCAGATTTCAGACTTGCATGTGGCCTGTAGCCCCTTTGTTTTGGCCAATTTCTCCCCTTTGGAATGGGAGCATTTATCCAATGCCTGTACTCCCATTGTTCCTGCAAGCAACTAAACTTCCTTTTGATTTTGAAGGCTCCAAGGTGAAAGGGACTTGCCTTGTCTCAGATGAGACTTTGGACTTGGGGGACTTTGGATGAGACTTTGGGGGACTGTTGGGAAGGCATGATTATGTTTTGAAATGTGAGGACATGAGATTTGGGAGGAGCCAGGGCAAAACGACATGAGTTGGCTGTGTCCCCACTCAAATCTCATCTTGAATTGTAATCCCCATCATCCCCATACGTCAAGGGAGGAAGGCGGTGGTAGGTGATTGGATCATTGGAGCAGTTTCCCCCATGCTGTTCTCGTGACAGTGAGTGAGTTTTCACAAGACCTGATGGTTTTATAAGTGTTTGGCAAGTTCTTGCTTAGCTCACACTCCTTCCTGCCACTTTATGAAGAAGGTACTTGCTTCTCCTTCTGCCGTGATTGTAAGTTTCCTGAGGCCTCCCTAGCCATGGGGAACTGTGAGTCAATTAAACCTCTTTCCTTTATAAATTACCCAGTCTCAGGTAGTAGTTTTATAACAGTGTGAAAATGGACTAATACAATACCCAAATGATAGAATCAGATCTAAGTAAGCCTCCCTGAGACATGGAGAAGAATGTAGTTTCCAAAGCAAAAACCTTTGGCTGCACACAAAAATCGTCTGGCCTAAACTGTCACCCTCATTCTCCCCAAATCATCTCCCACACGCTATCCCAGAACTGTTTCATTGTGCCTGGTCAGGATCACTTTGGGTGTGTATTTAAAAGGCAGAATCCTTGGCCCCACTCTGACCTTCTCAATCAAACTTCAAGAGGAGCTCTGAGGCAGGAGAATCACTTGACTGAGGCAGGAGAATTGTTTGAACCCGGGAGATAGAGGTTGCAGTGAGCCAAGATCGTGCCATTGCACTCCAGCCTGGGTGACAGAGCGAGACTCCGTGTCAAAAACCAACAAAAAGAAAAAAAAAAACGATAATCAAAAGTAAGAGGAGCTGGCGAGGAGCCCTGATGCAGGTGGCTTGTGGGCTGCTCTGGAGAGACTCAAAAGCACACTGTGCCTTTCTAGTTCACAGTCTGGGGAAAGGTCTTTCCTATCGCCACTGGGTGGGGCTATTTGTTTTTGCTGTGATGATTAAATGAGTCAATGTATACAAAACACTTATAACAGTGGTGCGGGCCAGGTGCAGTGGCTCATGCCTATAATCCCAGCACTTTGGGAGGCCAAGGCGGGCAGATCACCTGAAGTCAGGAGTTAAAGACCAGCATGGCCAACATGGCAATACCTCGTCTCTACTAAAAATACAAAAATTAGCTGGGCATGGTGGCAGGCACCTGTAATCCCAGCTACTTGGGAGGCTGAGGCAAGAGAATCACTCGAAGCCGGGAGGCAGAGGTTGCAGTGAGCTGAGACTGTGCCACTGCACTCCAGCCTGGGTGACAGACTGAGACTCCACCTCAAAAAAATAAAAAAATAAAAACAGTGGTGCAATTACTTCACTGTTGCATATCATCATCATCATCGTCATCGCTGTTGTCATCATCACTGTTAATCTCCATCATCACTGTCATCCAATATAGATAACATTCTCATTCTATTCCCATTAAAAGAGTATGCACATACACAGAGTTGTAGAAACTAGTAGGGTTTCCCGTATGTCCTGGTTTGCCCAGGACTCAAGAGGTTTCCTGGACATGGAACTTTTCATTTTAAAACCAGATCAACTGGGCCGCCCTCCCAAGTTTTGTATATTTAATTTTTGGCCTCAGAGCTAAGGATGCACTCCTGCATCAAGTCTGACATTGTAGAGAAGGATAGAGTTGCCATTATGAGAGAGGGCTGGAGGCACAGCCCCTGGGCTTGAATTTTCATTCAAAGTTATTCAGACTCTCTAAAGTGCATATAACAATACCTAAAACTCACTGTGTCTTCACCTTGAGCCAGGCTCTCAGATAAACACTTCCATTATGTTATCTTTTTAATTGCCACTTTAAACTGGGAAGAGAGGTAGCATCATTTTCCCCATTTGACAGTGGTTTGGAGAAGTTGGGCAACTTGCCTAAAGTTCCCCAGCAAGTCAGTGACAAGTCATGAAGAAGAGGGATTGAACACACTCTGAACTTTGAAGTCCAACTTGCCAGTTCCATATTCAAAGAAATTATTTCAGAGTCTGTCACTTAATAAAACCTCAGGATAAAACTCTAATAATTATCAGCTTCCATTTGTGTAAACATTTAACACAGCTAGGTGAAACAATTCTGTGGGTTGTTTTAGCACAGTCAACTTTAAAGTATACTTATAACCCAGAAATTTGTCTTTAATATTCATGAAGAGCAAAAATAACCACATTTAAATTCACAGTCGTTTTTTAATGATATCAGCAAGATGGCAGATTAGGAAGCCCTAAACTTTATTCCCTACAAGGTACTGACTCAACAACAATGCACAGTCAACAATACCTTTATGAGAAATCTAGAAACCAATCCAGATGTCACAGTACCCCAGAGAAGCTCAAAGCCAAGAATGCCACACTGAAACAAGTAAGAACAGCCACTTCATGTCACCTGTGGTTACCCTTTCCCCAAGCTGGCACAGCTCCATACAACTGGGAGGAAAAGCCCAATTCTGACTTCTCCCTTGAGAGGAAAAAAAGAGTGGAACATAATCCAACATCCTGGCTTTTGGAGGGGATGCCACAGGGACTGGTTTCTGTCTCACCTGATTCAGAGTACTGATGGGGAATCAGCATACTTGGATTCTCTGAGTGCCACTGAAAACAAAGGAGGGCTCAATGGCTTTTTGTAGCAATAGAGAACCTGCAGTATCACAGGCAGACACCAGACTGAGCAAGACAAAGTATTGAAACAGAAACCCACAGACCTCTCTAACTGGTAAACTGCATTCACATGCCTAGAAAAGACACATCCCAGAAAAGTTTGTGAGGCAGCTGGGTTGATCGGTCAAGGTCTTTCACTACATGTGGCCAATTCATAAAGAGTGGGAGTGGTGGCTTTTTTTCAAGTGCACAAATCACAAAGAAAAATAACAAGGCACATGAAGAAACAAGGTAATGTGGTCTAATCATTGAAACAAAAGAAATATCCAGAAACCAACTCTAAAAAAAAAAAAAGCATTGATCTGTGAATGACTTGATAATTAATTCAAAATAATTGTCTTAAAAAGACTCAGTGCACAACACGAGAACTAGACAACTAAATGAAATCAAGAAAATGACACCTCAACAACATAAGAATATCCACAAGGACAGAAAAAGCATTTTTAAAAAGAACCAAACAATTCTGGAGCAGCATAATATAATAACTGAATCTGAAAATTCACTAGAGGGGTCAACGGCAGATTTGACCAAGCAGGAGAAAGAACCAGCAAACTCAAGAAGCTCATTTTAAATTATCAAGTCAGAAGAACAAAACAAAAAAGAATGAAGAAAAGTGAAGAAAGCCTAAGTAACTTATGAGACACCATTAGGTGGACCAATATTGGTATTGCAGGAGTCTCAGAAGGAGAATAGAAACAGAAAGGGGCATTCACAGAGCTTATCTGAAAAAATAATGGCTAAAACCTTCCAAATCTGAGGAAGGAAATGGGTATCCAAATTCCAGAAGCTCAGAAGATTCCAACTAGGATGAACCCAAAAGGCCTACTCTGAGATGTATCATGATGAAGACGTCAAAAGTTAGAGATAAGAAGAGACCCTCGAAAGAAGCAAGAGAAAAATAATTAGTCATGTACAAAGGAGCTTCTATAAGATTATCAATGGATTTCTCAGCAGAAACACTGTAGGCCAAGACAGAGTAGGGTAGTATTTCCAAAGTGCTGAAAGGAAAAAAACTGTCAATCAAGAATACTATATCCAGGGCCAGGAGCGGTGGTTCATGCCTGTAATCCCAGCACTTTGGGAGGCTGAGTTGGGCAGATCACTTGAGGTCAGGAGTTTGAGATCAGCCTGATGGTGAAACCCCATCTCTACCAAAAATACAAAAATTAGCCAGGTGTGGTGGCACACACCTGTAATCCCAGCTACTCAGGAAGCTGAGGTAGGAGAATCACTTGATCATGCAAGGCGGAGGCTGCCGTGAGCCAAGATCGTGCCAATGCACTCTAGCCTGAGCAAGAAAGCCAGACTCCATCTCAAAAAAAAAGAATACTGTATCCAGGTAAACTGTTATTCAAAGGTGAGGGAGAAATTAAGATATTCCCAGATAAATAAAAGCTGACAGAGTTCATCACCAGTAACCTACCTTGTAAGAATTGCTAAAGGGAGTTTTTCAAGCTGAAATGGAAGAATGGCTAGACAGCAACACAAAAGCACATGAAAATATAAAACTCACTGGTAAAGGTAAATATATAGACAATTACAGAATCATGTAATCCTGTAATGGTGGTATGTGAGTCAGTTTTAATTGTGGTATAGAATTTAGAAGATAAAACCATTAAAAAACTATAACTATAAAACTATGCTAATGGATACAAATTATAAAAAGATTTATTTGTGAAATTGAGAATATAAACTGAGGGGGACATAAAGTAGAGTTTGTATATGCAATTAAAGTTAAGGCTGGGAGCAGTGGCTCATGCCTGTAATCCCAGCACTTTGGGAGGCCAAGGTGGGTGGATCACTTGAGGTCAGGAGTTCAAGACCAGCCTGACCAACATGGTGAAACCCTGTCTTCACTAAAAATACAAAAATTAGCCAGCTGTGGTTGTGGGCGCCCATAGTCCCAGCTACTTGGGAGGCCGAGGCAGGAGAATGGCTTGAACCCAGGAGGCAGAGGTTGCAGCCAGCTGAGATTGCACCACTGCACTCCAGCCTGGGTGACAGAGCAAGATTCCATCTCGGAAAAAAAAAAAAAAAAAAAAAAAAAACACTATCACATGGGGGAAAAAAATTTAGTGGATCGACACAACACAAATTTATGATCTTACAGCCCTGGAGGTCAGAGGTCCAAAATCAGTCTCACTGGGCTGGTGTTAGCAGGGCTGGTTCATTCTAGAGGTGTTAGAACCAGTTCAGAGGAGAATCCAGGAACAGACACCTCCACAGATCAGGAATAGTGAAACGAATGTGCAAATAAGTATGTGTGTGTGTGTGTGTGTATTTCTGTTACTGTAACAAATTATCACAAATTTAATAGCTTAAAGCACTAAGTAGCTCGTTACCTTACAGTTCCAGAGGTCAGAAGTCCTAAAACCAAGGTGTTCACTGGGTGGCATTCCTTCTGGAGGCTCTGGGGGGAATCGTTCTGGAGGCTCTGGGGGAATCGGTTTCATTGGCTTTTCCAGGTTCTAGGGGCTGCCTGCACTCCTTGGTTCATGGCCCCCTTCCTCAGCAGTGCGGCATCCTCAAGTTTCTCTCTCCCCAGCCCCTCTGCTTCTGCCTTGTCCTCTTATCTCCTTCTTCAATTAGGACACTCCTGCCTCCCTTTTTTACTTATAAGGGCCTTTGTGATTACATTGGACCCATCTAGATGGTCCAGGACACTCTCCCCATTTCAAGAACCTCCTTTTTATCACATCTGCAAAGTTCCTTTTGCCCTGTAAGGTAACATATTCACAGGTTCCCAGAATTAGGAGGTGGACCTCTTGGCCAGAGGGGATTATTCCAACGAAGGGAGATGGGAAATAGGAAACCAATTCACCTCAACCACAGTGCCAGAGAGGAAGGTGTGTATATATCTCCACTAACTTATTTCCTTCCTTCCCTGACCTGCGGATCTCACCTCCTCCATAGAGCTCAGCTATGGGGCGGCGGGGGGAGGGGTTCAATTATACACTTTTCCAAGTTTAAAGCCTTTTAAGGCCAGGCGCAGTGGCTTATACCTGTAATCCCAACACTTTGGGGGGCTGAGGCGGATCACCTGAGGTCAGGAGTTCAAGACCAGCCTAGCCAACATGGTGAAACCCCGTCTCTACGAAAAATACAAAAGCTAACCGGGCATGGTGGTGCATGCCTGTAATCCCAGCTACTCAGGAGGCTGAGGCAGGGGAATCATTTGAACCCTGGAGGTGGAGGTTGCAGTGAGCTAAGATCATGCCACTGCACTCCAGCCTGGGCAACAGAGTGAGACTCAGCCTCATTAAAAAAAAAAAAGTCTTTTAAAATTGTAGTATCTTTAAATGTTTTTTATTTTATTTTTTAATTTAGAATACAGATAACATGATCTTTAGGTGTAAAGTTCATGCGGAGACAATCTGCCTAGAACAAAGCCCACAGAAAGGAAAGCAGAGCTGGGAAAAAGCTAGACGCTGAATGCATTGATGATCTGTTCCTTTTTACCCAATACCACTAAACATCAGAAACAGTCTTTTGTTAAGGTATAAACTCACTAGGTTAAAGGAAATGGGAGAAGCAGCAAAAGCAATGAAATGGTGAAATCTGGCATGGCAAGAAATGTATGTTTCAAAGGAAAACTACCCACTGACAGTAAGACACCCTCCACACAATCCCATTCTGATTTTATGGGAGCTTTTACAACTCTGTAAGCTGTAGATCTACTAGCAATGCAAAATAATTCTTGTCTGTAGACTTGCAAATGGATTCTGTCCAGTGAAAGGGATAGAATTCTCCGCCTATCTCCTGCTCCCACACCCATTCGTGGAAAAATCAGTTTGCCTTCTATGGTAGATAGAATAATGCTCCCACCCGCTGCACATCATATCCACAGAAACCGTGAGTATGTTACCTAACATGGCAAAAAGGACTTTGCAAATGTGAAGAAGTTAATGATCTTGAGATGGAGAAATCATCCTGGGTTATCTGGGTAGGTCCACTGTAGTCAGAGGGGTCTCTAGAAGGGAGAAGCTGGTGTGTCAGAGTCAGAGTTGATGTGACAATGGAAACAGTGGTCAGAGAGATTTGCAGACGCGATGCTGTTGGCTTTGAAGATGGAAGGGGCCACAAGCCAGGGAATGCAGGCGGCCTCCAGAAGCTGGAAAAGGCAAGGAAATGGATTCTTCTCTAGAGCCTCCAGAAGGAAGGCAGTCTTTGGTTTTAGGATTTTTTTTACCACCAGAACTGTAAGCTAATAAGCCATAGGAAAGGAAAATAAATCTCGATCTTAGCCAAAAGGCTGAGAAGCAATGGAAAATAAATCTTGGGACTCCAAAATCACTAAGACAAGGGAAAAGTCAAGCTGGGAATTATGTCAGGCAAACCTGCCTCCCATTTTATTCCTAAATAGGATAGTTACAAAGATAAAAAGCTATATACCTCCCTCACAATTTGCCCACAAGGAAATTCCTTGTGGACAAAGGACAGACAGAACTCAGTCATCCCTCTCAGGCTCACCAGAGACAAATGCATATATGATTGCTTCTTCTGCCTTATGTTTGTGTAAAAATGCAGATTTAATGAGCCAGACTAAATTGTGTATTTAGTGGAAGGCTGATCAAGGACTCAAAAGAATGCAACCTTTTGTCTCTTTTCTACTTATGACCTGGAAGCCCCCACCTCTAGCTGACCCACCTTACCAGACAGAACCAATGTAATCTTTCACATATTGATTGATGTTTCACATCTCGCTAAAATGTACAAAAGCAAGCTGTACCCCAACCCCCTTGGGTGCATGACGTCAGGACCTCCTGAAGCTGTGTCACAGGTGTGTCCTTAACCTTCAAAAAATAAACTTTCTAATTTGACTGAGACTTGTCTCAGATATTTGGGGTTCACAGCCACTTAGTATTTTAAGCCACTAAATTTGAAGCAATTTGTAACAGCAGCAGTAGGAAACTGATACTCCTCTGTTTGCAAATTCATTTCAAATTTCTGATCAGTGAATTTCAAATTTCTGATCTGCTCTTTGCGTTCTCCTTTGAGCTGGTTCTAACACCTCACCAGCTTCCTCATTCATGAGTTCAATAAAATCTTTCATGTGTGTTCATTTTTTTTCCTGAGAGTTACAATTTTACCTTTTTTTAAAAAACTAGCTTTTAACACTGGAAAGTAGATGAACAAGTGATAACTGGATTAGCAGACTCAGGAAAACTGAATCCCAAGCTGTCAGTGGGAAAAAGGCAAAAGAAAAACAAAAAAAAAAAAAGAAAAAGAGAAAGAACCCAAGTGTCCTGCAGGGCCTTGAAACATTCAGGAATGAGTAGCACCAGATATCTCTGCAGGTTGGAGGCATAAGTGGGGCAAAAAATAGAAAGAGTGTTTGAAAATCAAAGAAAGAGTTAGATCCCAGGTTTCCTCTCCCATGCCACGGGCATCTGACAGCCTCTGTCCTGTTCAGATGACTGCACTTTATTCTTTTGAGAGGATAAAAGAGAGAGTCTCTGGACAGGGAGCTTCAGGTACAGGGACTAAGCAGGGGGTACGGGGGGAAGCTTATATACGGATTGCTGAGACCTCTGCAACCTTCCTTCCCTAGCATGTCCCAAAAGCACTGGCAGGAGGGATTGTATCCTCTAGGCAGGAGAGTGATCCGGTCTGCTCTGAGAAATGCACCCAGTGCAGAAAAAGGAAAACGAAATACACTGATATTTTGGAGCAGGTAGGACACACCCCAGCCAGGTCACCCTGCACTGATACTTAAGCTTGACAAGCCACCCACCCCTACCCTGCGTTCTCAGAATTATCAATCAGCTCTTCAGCACCTCCTTCTAAAATAAGATCAGACTCCTAGCACTCTGGGAGGCCGAGGTGGGCAGACCACCTGAGGTCAGGAGTTCGAGACCAGCCTGGCCAACACAGTGAAACCCGTCTCTACTAAAAATGCAAACATTAGTCAGGCATGGTGGGTGCCTGTAATTCCATCTACTCGGGAGGCTGAGGCAGGAACCTCCCTGAAACCCGGGAGGCAGACGTTGCAGTGAGCTGAGATGGCACCACTGCACTCCAGCCTGGGCAACAGTGAGACTACATCTCAAAAAATAATAACTAAATAAATAAGATCAGACAGCCAAGGAGCACAAGACCTTCGAGCAAACCTGAGAGCCAAAGGCCAAAACAACCAAACAGAAAAAAGACAGGCCACATGGGTGAAACCAAAACTGGGAGAAGGAAAAAGGTTCCTCCCTCAAAACATTAACATCCTCAGAGAGGTAAGAGAAAATACCACACTCACGAAATAAGAATAAGATGCCAATTTGTTTTCATTCAAATGGTAGAAAAGGTTCTGAGAAATTAAAAATATGACAGCAGAAATGAAAAATTTAATAGAAAGCTTGAAAAATAAAGTTAAGGAAATATTCCAGAAAGTTGAGCAGAAAGACCAAGACATGCAAAACGGGGAGAAAAGATAAATTTAAAAATGACAGGACTAGTGCAAGAGTTCCTATTCCAAACACCAGGAGTTCCAGACAGAGAACAAAAAAACCAGAAGGGCAGAAAAAATGTTAATAAATTGTCCCAGAACCCGCAGAGAACAGGATTTATTAGATGGTAGGCGTGAGTATCACATGCAATATGTGGAAATAGATCCAACCAATAAATACTATCATCAAGTTTTAGATTACTAAGGAGCAAGGAAAGTAGCTATAAGCTGGTGAAAATAATGAAGTTTCCATTGAGAGATGTAACAATCAGAATAGCATCAGAGTTATATCACCAGCAACATGAGAAACTCAAGGACAACAGGGTAATACCTTCGAATTTCTTTTTTTTTTTTTTTTTTTTTTTTTGAGACCAAGTTTCACTCAGTTGTCCAGGCTGGAGTGCAACGGTGTAATCTCGGCTCACTGCCACCTCCTCCTCCCAGGCTCAAGCGATCCACTCACCTCAGCCTCCTGAGTAGCTGGGATTAAAGGTGCGCCCCACCACACCGGCTAATCTTTTAATTTTTTTGTAGAAACGGGTTTCACTATGTTGCCCAGGCTGGTCTTGAATTCCTGGGCACAAGAGATCCTCCCACCTCGGCCTCCCAAACTGCTGGGATTACAGGTACAAGCCACCGTGCCCGGCCCTACCTTCAAATTTCTAAGGGTCAATTACAGTCAGTTCTCATTACTTGTGAGTTCAATATATGCAAATTTGCTTACCTGAAAGATTCTCCCCCCGGCCTGAAAGCTTAAGGGAATGAATAACTCCTGCCTCCTCAGACCCAGTCGCCTGGCGCAAGACGACTTGCGCCAGCACTGTGCGTCATCAAGACAGCAGAAGCGGAAGAGAGCTGGCCGGAAGACACGTACCCGCCGAAGACCAAGAGAGAGGCCGTCTGGGTAAGCGTAGCAGTTACGTCAGACACGTCCTGTTAACAGGAGACTATAAAACCCCTGCCCCGTCCCCGTTTCGGGCTGACGCCATTTTAGGCCTCAGCCCGCCGGCGCTCGGGCGCTTATTAAAACAGCGTGTTGCTCCACACCGCCTTGTGTTGTCTGTTGGCGTGCGCTCGGGGTTCGAACCAATACAAGTGCCTTGCATTACCCACTAAAACTAGTTTGCAATCTCAAAATCAATGCTCCCGGTGCTTTCATGGACATGCACAGAGCAAGAAAAAATTTGACTTGCCCAATGCACACAGTCCCAGCTGAGGTTGAAGGAGGCAGCACTCTGCATTCTTGGACCACATCCCGTACTGCAAGCAAGGGTCCTCTTTACAGTCTATTTAATGCTGTGCTGCATCTTCTTTTGCATTTTCGTGCCTTTTGTTGGTGAGTTCACTGTTTGAAACACCCCCCAAGCTTAGAAAGGAAGTGTGGTCTAGTGTTCCTAAGTGCAAGAAGGCTGCAATGTGCCTCAGAGAATATCAGTGGGTTAGATGAGCTTCCTTCAGGCATGCATTACAGTGCTGTTGGCTGTGAGTTTAATGATAATGGATCACACTATACATTAAATAAGGTGTCTTTAGAAACACACATAAAATAAAGTTATGTATTGATTGGCTGATGCAGATGTTGTACCTGGGGTTCACAAGAACCTAACCTTATACTTCCCCTAGGAGCAATGGTTCAGTATTCACAAATTCAGTGTTCGTGATGACTTTATAGAATGTAAGAATCAACTGTACCTTTATAATGCATAATTCTTTGTTTTATTTTTAAACTTATACGCAATGACTTTTCAGTGTACAGTTCTACAATTTTTAACATATATAGATTTGTTTAACTGTTATAGGAGTTATTAAGAAATTATTTTAGGCAGATAGAGAGGAAAAGGGGTCTTTGGGAAGTTTTCGTTTCTTTTAAAGCAGCTCCAAAAACGTTTCTGATAGCAGGAAAGCCCCATCTCTTAGAGCCAGGTTGGCAACCTTTGATATGCAAATGCAGGCCATTAGAAACCGGGTCCGCCCAAACATGGCAATTCCCACAGTTATCCTCTTGCCCTTGCCCTACATGTGCCTGGCAACTTGGCCACCCCCACATATCCCAACATGTATAGAACATCATGACGACCTTCATTTGCATATTAAAAGACTAGGGTGGGAGGGCCAGTTTTTTCGTGGGCCACATAATGACATGCCTGGTCAAACCAATCCCCTGAGCCCTATGCAAATCAGACTCCATCTCCTCCAGCCTCCTCCTATAACTGGCTGGTATCTGCCACACTTGGGATCTCCTCTCTTGGCTTTGGAGCCCCCCTCCCTCTGTCTCTGTACAGGGGAGCTTCCTCCTTCTTTCTTCTCCCTTTTTTCTTGCCTGTTAAACTCTCCGTTCCTTAAAACCACTTCACGTGTGTCTGTGTCGTTTTATCCAATTCGCGTGAGACAAGAGCCCTGGTGTTCCTGCACTCATCAGAGCCGTATCATAACCACCACCAAGATCAGAATACAGAACATTTCCATCACCCCAAAAAACTCCTGTGGTCCATTTGTAGTGAGACCCTCCCTTCACCCTTAAACCCTGACAACTACTGATCTCTTCTCCATCACCATTGTTTTGTCTTTTAGAGAACCTCATATAAATGGAATCACACAGTATGTAACCTTTTGAAACTGGCTCTTCTTATCAATGTAATGTCTTCGAGATTCATCCAAGTTTTTACATGTATCAATAGTTTGCTTCTTTTCACCACTGAGTAATATTCTAACTAGCAAAGAATTTTAAAAGCAAATTATCAATAAAGTATGAAAATATACGTGTTAAATCTTAAAATGTACCTCACTTGTACATTGTCACAGAAGTCTAATACACCAAAAAAAAGGTAAAAAACTGAAAAAGTGAACACATAAAGTCTATAAAACCAGAGGATCTCTCATTAGGAAGAAATGTAAGAAATTCCAGGATAACCATGAAGAAAATATCCTAAGACAACCACTGCTCAGCTGCCCCAATCCAGATTGAAGAATCCTCTTCAGAAAGACCAAATTGATAGAGATTGTAATGTGTTTGAGTACATTGAGAGGAAATTTACACAACCAGTGGTGAATAATTCAGATGATTTAGTGCATAGAAAAGTAACCAAACAAACAGAAAATAATTTTTTTTAACTCTAATGAAAACAAAAAGTTGTGCAGAAAAGGAAAAGTAATCAGAATGTACTATGGCTCAGCTGTGACTACTATTTACATAATGTAAACATTGAATATTTGTCTAAACATAATTACACCATAATTCCTTTGAGGCCTGGGAAATAGGGATGAGAAGATCTTTTTCATAACAAGCCTGGTAGAGTATTTAACTCTTTAAACTATGTGCCTTTATAATGTAGATAAAAGTTGAAACTAGGCTGGGCGCAGTGGCTCACGCCTGTAATCCCAGCACTTTGGGAGGCCGAGGTGGGTGGATCACTCGAGGTCAGGAGTTCGAGACCAGCCTGGCCAACATGGTGAAACCCCGTCCCTATTAAAAATACAAAAATTAGCCAGCTGCGGCGGTGGGCGCTTGTAATCCCAGCTACTCGGGAGGCTAAGACAGGAAAATGGCTTGAACCCAGGAGACAGAGGTTGCAGTGAACCAAGATCGCAACACTGGACTCCAGCCTGGGTGACAGAGCAAGACTATCTCAAAAAGAAAAAAGTTTTAATTTCACATGATGAAGCAAAAACAATTTTTTTTTTTCTAAATCATGGCTAAGAAAGAGAGAGAGCCATCCCTGATGATGTATTCCCAGAAGCCATCTCTGAAGCTAAAGTCATGTTCCCTCCTTTGTTTAAAGCCAGTTCAAATTTGGGTTTTTTCCATTAGCAACCAGATGCATCCTGACAAATACAATAGGTATGGACCTTCCATGCCAAAAAGCAGTACCAGTCTTCAATTAGGTCCTCCACTGAACAGTGCTGACAGTGCTTGATGCATGCAATGTGGTCAAAAGGTGTTCCACCAGCCAGACATCTGCCTTAGTGGCCAGTTGCAAGGCTTGCTGCTGTGTACAGTGCCTAAGGGGCAATGGAACTGCTGGGGGGATTTGTGTTCCAAATGCCAAGGAACATGAGGTCCAAGCTAACACGGCATTGGTTGGAGGTCTGGCCAGAACTCCCGCTGAGTTCATTACCAGGTAGTTGTTCTGATTTATGTCTTTATATAACCTAGTTACTTCTGTACTTTCTCATCTGTGCCCTTTTAGTGAATCCAAGCTAGCAGCAGGGAATTGATCTAACCAGGCTTGTGTGTTCTGCCAGTGGGCACTTTACACTATTGTGAAATAGCTAGTATTCCATCTATAAAAATTTCACTGGACTCGCAAGCCATCTGCATTATCACAAGAAATCCCAAATACCAACATTTGTCAAAGAAAGAAAAGAAGATGCTTGCTTGTAAAGCCTTTAAATAAAATGTTAGCATTGGGAGTTTCTGAAAATATGTTTCAAAAATTAGTTTTGGCGAGGTGCAAAGACTCATGCCTGTAATCCCAGCACTTTGAGAGGCCAGGATGAGAGGATCACTTCAGTCCAGAAGTTTGAGTCCAGCCTGGGCAAGATACTACCTCTATTAAAAAAAAAAAATTAAAAATTAGCCAGGCATGGTGGCATACATCTGTAATCCCAGCTACTTAGAAGGCCAAGGTGGGAGGATTGCTTGAGCCCAAGGATTCAAAGCTACAGTAAGCAATGGTGGCACTACTGTACTCTAGCCTGGGTAACACATCAAGAACCTGTCTCGGCCGGGCATGGTGGCTCACACCTGTAATCCTTACACTTTGGGAGGCTGAGACAGGTGGATGATCTGAGGTCAGGAGTTCGAGACCAGCCTGGCCAACATGATGAAACCCCATCTCTACTAAAAATACAAAAAATTAGCCAGATGTGGTGGTGGGTGCCTGTAATCCCAGCTACTCGGGAGGCTGAGGCAGGAGAATTGCTTGAACCCAGGAAGTGGAGGTTGCAGTGAGCCAAGATTGCACCACTGTACTCCAGCCTGGGCAACAAGAGTGAAACTCCATCTCAAAAAAAAAAAAAAAAAAAAAGAACCTGTCTCAAAAAAATAAAAAAAATAAAAAGTTTTATATTTTTATGTAGCTTCTTTGTACTAATAAAGCTTTTCGTAGATAATGCCCATCAAATATGTGGCCAGGTCATCATTAAAAAGGCCTGAACAGAAATTGCATGTAGTTGCTTTAAGCATAAAATCTGACACAGGAAAGTTCTATCCATGAAAGCAAATTCAAGTTTCTCATGTAAAATTAAAAAAAAAAATGTTTTTGTAAAAATGCATTACTTCTTTCTAAAACTTCCTATTTTATTTTTTGTATTTTTTATATTTTAAGAAAACAACATACAGAAGTATGATTAATTTCTGTGAACAATGTCCATATCAAAGTCCCAAATTTTCTGCCATTTACCCCAGTGTGCTATACAATTGTTATCATTTTAATTATGTGTCCCAGTGGGAATAAGTTTGGGGAGAACTGTCTTAAATTCTAAGGCCATTTATTACAATATTTAATGAAAAATCAGAAGGTAGGTGGTCCTAGAGTGAATTCAGTGGCTCAGCACTGTCAGCAAGAACCCAGTTTCTTTTCATCCTTCTACTCCACCGACCTCAGCGTCCCAGCTTCCTCCCAAGTCCTGCGGAGGATGTCTACCACATGGCTGCTGCCGCCTTGGAAACCAGGTCTACCATGGCAATGACCAGACCAGAAAGGATGGAGGTGGGGAGGAGGGCAGGCAAGGGCTTTCTTCTCACATGCCTCTTTCTTTCCAGGAAGGAAAATCATTCTCAAAAGCCATCAGGAGATTTCCTCTATGTCTTATTGAGCAGAACTTGGCCCACTGGGAGCCCAATCACTGGCCAAAGGAAATGAGATTGTCATGTATAGTTTACACTGAGGCTGGGCACAGCCCCAGCCAAAAACTAGTCCTGACCAATGTAACCAGTCTAAGAGCTCCAATAAACCCAGTCCTCTCCAGCTACTGGAAGGACTGATGGCATATGCATCTTGAGGCATACCCAAGAAAAGTTTCAGGTAAGATGCTTGCTGCCAAAGGTGTCTTAACTGAAACAGACCAACAGATCAACCAATACAATACACTGTGGTAAGTACAGACCAACAAATCAACCAATACGATACACTGTGGTGAGTGCTGGAATGTAGCCACACTTAGGGATCTAGGGAGGGGATCCCAAATCAGTCTAGGCGATCCTCAAAGAGGTTCCATATAAGGCAGTTCTTCAGCTCAAATGGAAGCAGTAGACATGATCCCAGGAAATCAAATGGGAAACAGAATTTCAGATGAGAAATAGCACAAACTACATGGTACAGAAGCTGGGAGGAGCTTCAAAATAATTCAGTACAATAGGAGATAATGGCTATGTCTGGGTGACATGATCACATTTGTGACCCCTGTGATGGGAGATTGTGATTAATATTATGTGAAATAGTGGGAAACTATTTCCCCCAAAGGAAATCATAGAACAAAAATCCTGTTATCAGAAGTAGGAAGGGGATGCCAGACTGACGAAATAAAAAAAAACAAAAAAAAAGTCCACGAGAGGCTGGATGTGGTGGCTCACACCTGTAATCCCAGCACTTTGGGAGGCCAAGGCAGATGGATCACTTGAGCTCAGGAGTTCAAGACCAGCCTGGCCAACATGGTAAAACCCAGTCTGTACTAAAAATACAAAAATTAGCTAGGCATGGTAGCGGATGCCTGTAATTCCAGCTACCTGGGAGGCTGAAGCATGAGAATCACTTGAACTCAGGAGGCAGAGGTTGCAGTGAGCCAAAATCACAACACTGCACTCCAGCCTGGGCAACAGAGCAAGACTCTGTCTAAAAAAAAGAAAGGAGAGAGAGAGAGAGAGAGAGAGAGAGAGAGAGAGAGAGAGAGAGAGAAAAGTCCACTAGAGTCAGCTAAATAACAATTCTCTGAATTAAAACCTAGCTCCACCGATCTCTATATGTGCAAAAGTAGAAAACCCTTTCTGTGGCAGAGACAATTATCTATCAAAATTTGCCACACCTTTAGCGTAGTTTTGTAGCTGAGAAGCTGCTTCCCATCCAGAGGCTACATTTCCCAGCCCTGCCCACCTGCTTCCATGATGGACCATGTGACTGGATTCTGCCAATGGCACTTAAGCAGGAAATAGATGTGTGGCAGACAAAGCCTGTAGGAAGTGAGTGGCCTTCTCCAAGCCAAGCCCCAAGGGATGACAGAGCCATAAGACAGAAGGGGTCCGGGCCTTTGATGGAGAACCTCCTACTGACGGTAACATCTCTCTCAGACTGTTGAGAATGAGAAATACGTTTCTATGATTTTGAGCCTTTCTACTTCGGGGACTATTGATTTTTAGTAGCCAGTGTGGCCCTTACTAAAATCCTTCTTAGGACATCTTAATGAAAATCAAACACAATTGTATCAAATACTTATCTGAAAGTATTTGATATCTGATACTATTTGTATCAGATACGTTGTATCAGAAAGTATCAGATAAGGCCAGGGGCAGTGGCTCATGCCTGTAATTCCAACGCTTTGGAAGGCCGAGGTGGGCGGATCAGGAGGTCAGGAGATCAAGACCAGCCTGGCCAACATGGTGAAACCCCATCTCTACTAAAAATACAAAAATTAACCGGGCATGGTGGCGGGCGCCTATAATCCCAGCTACTCGGGAGGCTGAGGCAGGAGAATGGCTTGAACCCATGAGGCGGAGGTTGCAGCGAGCCGAGATCGCACCATTGCACTCCAGCCTGGGCAACAAGAGCAAAAAACTCCATCTCAAAAAAAGAAAGTATCAGATACTTTCTGAATAGGCTAAGCGTTTGCATGAATAATGAGCATTTAAAACTAATCATCATTTCAAGATTTTTTCCAACCCTAAACCCTAAAAGAATCCAATGTTTTCATTGGAGCGTGCTGGGTGAAGGGTATATGAGAAAACTAAACTATATTTGCAACTTCTTGTGAGTCTTAAAACTATTTCAAAATGAAAAGATATTTTTTAAAAGTACTCAAACATTTTTAAACAAAATTTTAAAAATTTCTATCAATAGCTTTGGACTCCTGTAAGAAGGAAAGGGCCTCTGTTTCCCCTCTGTAAAATGAGAATTAGATTAGTGGTTTTCAAACCACAGTATCAGGAGGTGTTTCAACAGTTCAGCAAAGGTCTGATTTGAATTTCATCTTTAACCTGTAATTAAAACCATTTGAAAGGTCCGGGCCTTTGAAGGAGAACCTCCTACTGACGGTAACACCTAGCTCAGACTGTTGAGAATGAGAAATACGTTTCTGTGACTTTGAGCCTTTCTATTTAGGGGACTATTGATTCTTGGTAGCCAGTGTGACCCTTACTAAAATCCTTCTTAGGACATTTTAATGAAAATCAAACACAATTGTATCAATACAATTGTAAACTCATACCCACAAGTGTTACATTCTAACTTCTAACACATGGGGGCTCCCAACAAGTTCACTTAAACTTTCAGATGTGCTCTTTGGCATTCAAACTTTGTAACAAAGTGTCCCCTTTGCCATATCTGCATGGTACTTGCACCTCTTCTGAGTCAATAATTACAAATTGTTAGTAATTTGTTGGAGGTGGGTGTTAAGTATGTGATTTTGTTTATTTAAATTCAGATATGCAAATTAACCCTATGGAAAACCATATTTTACCCATCAGATTGATAAAAAAAATCAGAGGCTGGATAGCACTTTGTGTGAGTGAGGCTGTAGGAAACAGGTGCTCTCATAAGATCTTGGTAGGAGTTCTACGCAGTACAACCCCATTGAAAGTGTCAAAATGTTAAATGCACCTTTGACCTAGCAATTCTATTTTAGCAAGTTAGTCTACAGATAGACTCTTTCATGTACAGATACAAATATAGATATTCATTACAGCTGTGTTTATAGTAATCAAAAACTAGAAACAAAGTGTCCATTAATGAGTTGCTTAAATTTTAGTATATGTGTACATGTACTATATATACATATATGTATATATTACATGTATAATATACGTATATATGTATACATATATACGTATATTTTCACAT
This sequence comes from Homo sapiens, assembly GCF_000001405.40. Lineage (NCBI taxonomy): Eukaryota > Metazoa > Chordata > Mammalia > Primates > Hominidae > Homo > Homo sapiens. The sequence goes on along the minus strand of NC_000020.11, from coordinate 52,202,414 downwards.
GTACAGTGAAAAACTGAATTTTTCCTAAAGCAATGAGGCAAATCTGGATGCACTGATAAGCAATATTTTTCAAGATACATTGTTGTGCAAAAAAGCAGGGTATAGAATGCTATTTGCATTAGAGTATAATTTGTTTGTTTTTTTTAAAAACTAGGGGCGATGAATATGTGTATGTCTTTTTGTATATATGTCAGAAAGTTCTGAAGAACAACCAAGAAACTGGTAACAATGTTGCTTTCTGAAAGAAATTAGGGGCCGGGCGCGGTGGCTCACGCCTGTAATCCCAGCACTTTGGGAGGAGGAGGCGGGCAGATCACGAGGTCAGGAGATCAAGACCATCCTGGCTAACACGGTGAAACTCCGTCTCTATTAAAAATACAAAAAAAAATTAGCCGGGCGTGGTGGTGAGCGCCTGTAGCCCCAGCTACTTGGGAGGCTGAAGCAGGAGAATGGCGTGAACCCGGGAGGCAGAGCTTGCAGTGAGCTGAGATCATGCCACCACACTCCAGCCTGGGCGACAGAGCGAGACTCCGTCTCAAAAAAAAAAAAGAAAAGAAAAAGAAAGAAATTAGGGGGCTGGGGAAGGTTGAAGAGACATCCACTTTTCACTATATACCCTTTCGTGCTGTTTGAGAATTTCTGCGTTGATGCATTAACTATATGAAAGAACAACAAAAAAATCAGGCCTGTGCATGCTTGCTTGTGTGAAATTATCCAAGCAAGTATATTATTAAAACACAGGTGTGCACACTCAGTTATGTGCCAGGCAAGACTCAAAGCCAGCTCTCATCAAAATGATTGATTGTGTAACTACCACTTAATGCCCAGCAGGTTTAGTCTGGATCATATCTCATTACAGAGAGTTTAGCACTTAAGTTAAATTTCAAGGGTTTCTTCATTGTCTTTTATGTTTACATAAAGGATTGCAGGCAGTTGCTAAATATTGTTAGTGAATCAATTTTTGGAAGAGAAATTTCCCTTAGTCCCCTTCCAATATTTGGGATCAGGATTCAGTGACAGTGACATCAGGAGGAGCTCGCTGGAGTCACCTGAGGCATCTCTCCATGCTGTGCATGTCTGGACCAGAGGCCCCAAGATTCTGTCCCAGGCCCCCTAGATGGTGCCCAAGCATATGTGTCCTCAACAAGTTCCCTTAAAATCTGAGGCACACTCCAGGTAAGAATCACCCGTGGTGTGTCCAGAAAAGCAAGAACAAAAGTATAATCCTTGCAAACTTTAATACAGCTATGTCAGTCAGGGACCAACCAGAGAAAGAGAAGCAAATCTAACAATTTCAGTAAATGTAACACAGGGAATTTGATATCCAAGTGATGCAAGAGCTGAGAAACCAAATGGGAATGGTTAGGCAACCCAGAGATTAGCAACACCTGGAAGCCACTGCCTTTTCTCTCCAGGGAAGGTGGCAGGGAGAGAGACAAAGGGAGGAGGTGGTGTTTTCAGGGACCACAGTCACCCGGCAGAAGGTGAGGCCACAGTGGGCCCATCCTATAGGATCTAGGGCCATGGAGGAGACACAGCCACTGCCACCAAGATAGACGGGGAAGAGGAGAAATACTCTGCCTTCTCCCTTCCACCCCTCAGCCAAACCCTACAGGAAGCTAGAAGCCCCCAGAACCCTGGATACAAGAAACAAGGGTCAGCGTCCCTGACAAATAGCAGAATCAAGGGAAGAATCACAGAGCAACAGCCTCTGGACCAGACCACCAGCCTTCGATAAATTTATCATTGAAACCTTAGCCACAATTTTCTGTAGTACTTTCTAAGTGGAGAGGTTGTCGACATAAGTACTTTTGAAAATGCCAAGCCCCAGGATACCCATTGTTGTTAGCCCTTGTCTAGAAAAATAAAGGAGGTTTAAAAATACCAGTTATCATAAAGTCTAAATGGAATCTATAATTTGCTGTATTCTGTTATTAGGTCACATTTTTCTCCGTGTGTTTACTAAAAAGGAAAAAAATGTTTTCCTGTAATAGTTAAATGTTTGCTTTAATAGTTATATTCTGAAGCCATCTTGACAAAAGGCACATTCATTCATTCGTCAACATATCCGTCCAACCTTTTCTAAATACCATGCATTGTTATAGGTGCTGGTACACAAAGAAGAAAATAAAATTTCCTGCCTTGAGAATTGACATTTTACTAACTATGAATGATTACTATAGGAAACTATGTATGTTAAAATACTGTTGAAAAAATTTTGGTCACTTGAAATTAAAAACTACAGACGATTCCTAATGTAAAATAGTACAGTTGATGATTGTTCAACTTTACAATGGGTGTGAAAGTGATACCCATTCAGTAGAAACCCATACTTTCCATTTTGATTTTTTATATTTTCCTGGGATAGCGATATTCAGTGTGATACTCTCTCATGCTGCTGGGCAGCACCAGTGAGCCATTCTGTTTTTCACTTTCAGTACAGTATCAAATAAATTACCTGAGGCATCCAACCCTTTGTTATAAAATAGGCTTTTTTATTTTATGTATGTATGGATGTATGTATGTATTTATTTTTGAGGTGGAGTCTCACTCTGTCGCTCAGGCTGGAGTGCAGTGGCACGATCTCGGCTCACTGCAACCTCTGCCTTCCGGGTTCAAGTGATTCTTGTGCCTCAGCCTCCTGAGTAGCTAGGACTACAGGTGTGTGCCACCACGCTCAGCTAATCTTTCATATTTTTAGTAGAGATGGGGTTTCACCATGCTGGCCAGGATGGTCTCAAACTCCTGACCTCAGGTGATCCACCTGCTTCAGCCTCCCAAAATACTGAGATTATAGGCATGAGCCACCACACTTGGCCAAAATAGGCTTTTGTAGATGATTTTGCCCAACCACAGGCGAATGTAAGTGTTCTGGGCATGTTTAATTTAGGCTAGACTAAGATAGGGCATTTGGTAGGTTAGGTCTATTAAATGAATTTTCAACTTACAACATTTCCAGCTTACAATGAGTTTATCAGGATGTAGCAAATCATACATATGCTGAACAGCATCTGTATATTGTTAGGAGAAGGATATATTTGCTCGAAAACTTACAGTAATTAATTCAGTTAATATGTCCTCATTATTCTTGTTATCAACATTACCAGACCCCCCCCTCCAAAAAAACCTGCGTGTTCTCTTAATACTTTAAGAAAGTATCTGAATATCTCTTGCCAGAAATAATTTAAGCAAGTGAATAATTCTAATAGATTGATTTTAAAATACTGTGAAAATCTGTTCTACAGTTTCTGTTACTTGCCATCAGTGATTCTTATTTATTTATTTATTTATTTATTTATTTAAATTTAGAGACAGGGTCTTGCTCTGTCATCCAGGCTGGAGTGCAGTGGTGCCATCACAGCTCACTGCAGCCTCAACCTTCTGGGCTAAAGGAATCCTCCCATCTCAGCCTCTTGTGTAGCAGGGACTACAGGTGCATGCCACCACGCCCAGCTAATTTTGATATTTTTTGTAGAGACAGGGTCTTGCCATGTTGCACAGGCTCGTCTTGAACTCCTCGCCTGCTTCTCGAAGTGCTGGGATTACAGGCATGAACCACCATGCCTGACCAAAGATTCTTAACTAACGTACTTTTATTGGTCTTTTGCCTGAAGAAAATTTATTTAGGCTTTATGAGACTCAGTTTCTGCATCTATGAAATAGTGATAATAGTGTCTACCTCTTGACTGTTGTTCTGACAGTCAAGAATAATAAATTACATCAGGCATCCAACACTTTGTTATAAAATAGGTATCCAACACTTTGTTATAAAATAGGCTTTTTTATTTTTTTATTTTATTTATTTGGACATAGTGGAGGTAATGTAAGTAACTTAGTGAAGCCTTTTAGTTAACAGAAACATTGAAACCATGGAGACGGAGAAGTTCTTTTTTTCTATCAGAAACATGTTACAAATTTTGGTTAAATTCAACATGGCTCACAGAGGCAACGAATGATGGAAACTGATTCTCAGCCTTGTTATCAAGAATAACAGGGAGGAGTGGGGACTGGGGTAAATCAGAGAGGCTGGGCTTCATCCACAGGAGCTTCTCCGGCCCAGCCAAGGGTTACCATTTGACAGTCCAGGCCCAGATTTGCCAGATCCTTCCATTTTTGCAAAAAGCTATAAATCCCAATTCTTATGAGAAATACATCAACTTTTAAGCACTGGTAACAAATTCAAGTTTATTTTAGTTGCCAGATTTAGAACATGGAGTAGGATTACCAGTATGTCTGCACCCTGCAAGACATTTGCCATTTCTATATTATATTTTATCTATTAAATGAGAAGTGGTCAAAAACTTGAGAACAGAAGAAATCGTGAGCTTTCTAGTCAAACAAAGGCTGTTAACTTTTCAAGAACTGTGATTCTTACTGAGAAATAGATCTGGATAGAATCCACATTGAAATAAATAATCTGAAAAAAGGAAGAAAAAGCCCTTCCACATGGTGTTGAAACAAGTTATTCTGGCAGCTCTTCAGGATGGCTGGCATAGAGAAATAATGTGTTCGCACGGGCCAATTAAAAAAGCTACTATGGTGTATTACTTATGATATCTAAAAAATCATTAACAGCAGGGCTGTGGCTGACGCCTGTAATCTCAGTACTTTGGGAGGCCGAGGTGGGCAGATCACAAGGTCAGGAGTTCGAGACCAGCCTGGCCAACATGGTGAAACCCCATCTTTGCTAAAAATATAAAAAATTAGCGGAGCGTGGTGGCACATGCCTGTAGTCCCAGCTACTTGGGAGGCTGAGGCAGGAGAATTGTTTGAACCTGGGAGGCAGAGGTTTCAGTGAGCTAAGATCACGCCGCTGCACTGTAGCCTGGGTGACAGCGTAAGACTCCGTCTCAAAAAAAAAAAAAAATCATTAACAAACATCCAGTAACATAGCAAATAAATTATGATGCAACCCTATAATGAAATATTATGTGACCATTAAAAAATGGTAGGGAGCAGAGGTTTGCAAGCACCAAGTGCTGATTGAACAACCCAAAAAGTCTGTCAAGCATACAGATACCCAGGCCTCATCCCAATCCTTCTGAAGGAGAGGGGTTAGGATATTTAATAATTTCTCGGGTGATTCTAATGCAACCCACCAAATCAAGATCAAAAGCCAATTGTGGAATAGTTTGCATAGCATTGTGTTAGAATAAGATTTGATTCAGGTGCATGTGAAAGAAACATTCCCCCACCCCAAATAACAATAGCTGAAAAAAGTGCATTTCTCATATATGATGTCTGGAAATAGGCAATCCAGTTGGAAGTTCCACAAAGAAGTTAGGGGCCTGGGCTCCTTCCAGCTCTCTATTCTGCCATACCTAGAGTATCGCCTCATTCTCATAGTCCAAAATGGCAGCTGGAGCTCCAGCCATCATATCCTCATCCCAAGCAAGGAAAAGAGGAAGAGCTAAAGAAGAAGGGACAAACAGCATATGCCAACTGCTATTTTAGGATATTTCCCAGAAGCTGCATCACATTTCATTTACGTTGTCAGAATTTAGTCATATAGCCATGCGTAGCTACAAAGGAAGCTGGGAAAAGTCTCTTTTCAGGAGGCCATGTGCTGAGCTATAAATTAGGAATTGTATTATTAAAAAAATTTGAGGCCAGGCATGGTGGCTCACACCTGTAATCCCAGCACTTTAGGAGGCCGAGGCGGGCGGATCACAAGGTCAGGTGTTCGAGACCAGCCTGGCCAACATAACAAACCCTGTCTCTAATAGAAATACAAACATTGGCTGAGAGTGGTGGCTCACGCCTGTAATCTCAGCACTTTGGGAGGCTGAGGCAGGCGGATCACTTGAGGTCAGGAGTTCAAGACCAGCCTAGGCAACATGGTGAAACCCCAACTCTACTAAAAACAAAAAACAGGCTGGTGGCAGGCACCTGTAATCCTAGCTGAGGCAGAAGAATCTCATGAACCCAGGAGGTAGAGGTTGCAGTGAGCTGAGATTGAACCACTGCACTCCAGCCTGGGTGACAGAGTGAGACTTCATCTCAAGAAAAAAAAGAAAGAAGTATAATATTAATGTTATGAGTACATATTGGTTTGAACCATATAAAATTACCATTTTTAAGTAAAAAATAAATATATCAGCAATTCATATGGTTCATTCTATTACATTTCTACAGAAAAAAAGCCTATAAAGATATAGACATGTAGTACATAAAGATATAAGTATATATCTCTGGTTGGTGAGATCTCAGATAGCCATGTATATTTCATGTGGAGGTGAAAAACATGTAAGCTGTAATTACATTTTTATAAAATATATGAATATGATTTATATGTGTGTGTATGCACACATACAACACACACACAAAAATTCATCAATCAAAATGTTATTTCTGCATAGTGAATTATAAGTGGGTTTTATTTTCTTATGTTTTCCTGTATTTTTTTTTCAAATTCTAACCAACAATTTCTAATACTTTTGCAATAAGAAAAACAAGTATAGGGCAAGTGCAGTGGTTCACACCTGTAATTCCAGCACTTTGGGAGGCCAAGGTAGGCAGATCCCTTGAGGCCAGGAGTTTGAGACCAGCCTGGCCAACATGATGAAACCCCGTCTCTACCAAAAATACAAAGAAATTAGCTGGGCGTGGTGGCACACACCGGTAATCCCAGCTACTCAGGAGGCTGAGGTGGGAGGATCGCTTGAACCTGGGAAGTGGAGGTTGCAGTGAGCCAAGATCGCACCACTGCACTCCAGCCTGGGTGACAGAGCGAGACTCTGTCTCTAAATAAATAAATAAGAGTGTGTTGATCTTGATGGAGCTTATGTTGAAAAATAACATTTTTTAAAAGTATAGAAAGAAAAATAAGAAATGAAAATAGGACATTTTCAGACCAGAAAAAGACTGTTGCAGTGGTCAAGATGTGTAATAGAGAAGGTTGGCTGGACATAGTAGCAAAAGGTTAAAATGGAGCTCATGGAAACATGCATGAAATCATTTCACAATAAAAAATGAACTGAGGATGCCTGTGTGCCAGGCTCTGTTCTAGGCCCCAGAGGATACAGGTAAATAAAATAGGCCAGGTCTATGCCCTCCTGGAGCTTACATGGTAGGGAGACAGATAATAACCAAAAATAATTAAAAGATAATAATAGCTAGGATTTATGCCGAGTTATATGAGTCAGGCACTATTCTAAGCACTTTACAGATATTGATTGGTTCCTCCTACAAAACAGCTTAATGAACTAGGTGCTACTATTATCTCCAAGCTACAGAAAACCGGGACACAGAGCAGTTGAATTTCCTATTCAAGGTTAAGCAACTAATCCTAGTTCAGCAACTCCAGGATTTGCATGGCAGTGGCATAGCCTAACTCCAGGGCCTACACACTTAACCACCAAACCAGTAAGGCCCAGACTTACATCATGATAAGAATTACCTGGGGCACTTTTGAGATATTTGCAGATTACCAAGTCTTACCCCAGAAAATTCTGATGCAGTAAGCATAGCTTGGAACCCAAGAACTCATTCTTTAGTGAGCCTTCCAGATGATGCTTCTCTTCAGGCAAATGTGAGATATATTGCTCTCAACAAAAGGAATCGTGACAATAAAAGTTAGAATGGTGACCTCTGCAAGATTGGATAGTAGGAATAGTATTATTTTATTTATTTATAGTTTTTTGAGACAGTCTCGCTCCATCACCCAGGCTGGAGTGCAGTGGCTCCATCTCAGCTCATTGCAACCTCCGCCTCCTGGGTTCAAACAATTTTCCTGCTTCAGCCTCTGGAGTATCTGGGATTACAGGTGTGCGCCACCAAGCCTGGCTAATTTTTGTACTGAAGAAAATGGGGTTTCACTATATTGGCCAGGCTGGTCTAGAACTCCTGACCTCAGGTGATCCGCCCACCTCGGCCTCCCAAAGTGCTGGGATTACAGACATGAACCACCTTGCCTGGCCAGAATAGTATTATTGGCTGGGAAGGTGCATGAGGGAGCCGACCAGGGCTGGAAATGTGTGTCTTGGAAGGGGACTTCCCAGGTGTGCACATATGTAAACATTCATCAAGCAATAAAAAATAAATATTGCCGTAAGCTGCGGTGCTCTGCTGGGTCATGTTAGCTAGACAGGTATCATGAAGGTGATGTCGCAGAGTCGCAGGGAGAGTGAATACTTTAGGTAAGACATAGGAAAGGTCTCTCTGGGAAGGCGACATTTCATTTGATGCTGGATGACCTAAAATAGCCAGTCCTGCAAAGACCAGGAAAGCAATCCAGGCAGAGGGAGGAGCAACAACAGCAAGGAGCCTGGTGGAGCTGCCTGGGCAATGCAGGGTGAGAGTGGTGTGATCTGCAGTGGGACTGGCAGGCCACAGCCAGTTACATCTAGCTCATTCCTGCCCCAGGGTTTTTGCTCCCACCAGTTCCTCAGGCTGGAATTGCTCCCCCCTCATCCTCACATGGCTGCATCCTCCCCGGCTCCTTGTTCAGATATTACCTGCTCGGAAAGGCCTGCTATGACCAGTTCTACAGCCACTATTACAGCCCCATTTTATGGTCTTTGGAGCCCTTATCACTAGCAAAATGTTGAGAACACATGGACACAGGAGGGGAACATCACACACCAGGGCCTGTCAGGGGGTGGGGGGCAACGGGAGGGAGAGCATTAGGACAAATGCCTAATGCATGTGGGGCTTAAAACCTAGGTGATGGGTTGATAGGTGCAGCAAACCACCATGGCACATGTATACTTATGTAACAAACCTGCACGTTCTGCACATGTATCCCAGAACTTAAGGTTAAAAAAAAAAAAGGAAGTTTTATATATATTTTTTATATATATAAATATATAATATATAATATATAATATTTTATATATAATATATATTGTATATATTTATATATAATATATATATACATAAATATAAATATATATTAAATATATTAAATATTATATATTAAATATATATATATTTACAGTACTGATTTGATTATTTCATGTTGACTGCCTCCCTGGTCTACCTCCAGCAGCTAGCCCAGTGCCTGGCACTTCACAAACACTTGAGAATAAACAGCTGCTGCAGGCAGAAACCAAGCCTTAGAGGCAGCAGCAGGGAAAATCCCATTCATTATACAAGCCATATTTACTAAGCCTACTATGTGTCAGGCACCAGCCAAGTCACTGGACTACATCAGTGAAGCAAAGAGATTTTTTTAATCCCCATTTTTACAGGGACTTACTGAAAATAAGGGGGAGGAGAACACAGATAATATACAACTAAATTATATCTAAGCAGATATACTCGAGATACATAATATGTTCCATCTAACACCTTTTAAGGACAAAGCAGGCCAGGCATGGTGGCTTACACCTGTAACCCCAGCACTTTGGGAGGCTGATGGAGGATCGCTTGAGGCCAGGAATTCGAGACCAGCCTGGGCAACATCTCTACAAAAATAAAAATTAAAAAGTGAGCCAGGGTGGTGGCCCACGCCTGTAGGGGGGATTGCTTGAGCCCAGGAGTTGGAGGCTGCAATGAGCTAGGATCCGACCACTCTTCCAGCCTGAGAGACAGAGAAAGACCCCCTCTCTAAAAAAAGAAAGGGAGAAAGAGAGAGAGGCAGAGAGAGAGAAAGAAAGAAAAGAAAAGAAAAGAAAAGAAAAGAAAAGAAAAGAAAAGAAAAGAAAAGAAAAGAAAAGAAAAAGAAAAAGAAAAAAACAGGAAGGAGACAGGGAGTGGTTGGGGGAGGAGGAGGGGGCTGCAATATTAGAATGATTAGATTAGGCCAAGCATGGCCTCCCTGAGTGTGAATTTGAATGCTGACCTTCAGAAGCAGGACAGACTCTATGGGCAAATCCCTCGAGGCTGGGAGAGGTCTGAGGCTTGGGAGGGTCGGCAGAGAGACAATAGGGCTGACGCAGGAGCCCGGGGGAGACAGTAGTAGTAAGACATGAGGGACAGAGCAGAGAGGTCACTGTCCTCAGAGTGTGGACGCCGACCAACACTAGGGGCATCACCTGGGAACTTAGAAATGCTCGTTCTCACGCCTCGCCCCAGACCTACTGAAGCAGAAACGCTAGGGTGGGCCCAACAGCGTGTGTTCTAACAAGCCTTTCAGGCGACTGCGATGCACGATAAAGTTGGCAGCTCCTGGAGCAGGGGTCCCTCCGCGCTACGACCCCACCTCTTCGCGGTCCTCTCAGTCTCCCTAGCGGGGCAAGGGACCCGCCCAGCGCTTTGCTGATTTGCCCAGCGCTCACGCCCAACCTGGGTTTCTCCGGAGCTCGCCGCGCCCCGCGCACCCACCCCGCAACGGCAGCCGCACGTGGGTCTCCCCGCAAACCACCCAGGCGTCCCGGGAGCAGCGCTGCTGCACGGCCGCGCTGGGGGCCCAACGCCTGGGGTTGCAGGTGCAAAAGGCGCCCCGAGCCGGGGAGGCCAATCGCGTCCGCGGAGAACGCAGAGTGCGGGCAGGGGCGCATCCCTCGCCACCCGCGGTCGCCCAGCACGCCGGGACGCGCGTGGCCATCCAGCTCCCCGGGGGCGTTGGGGGGCTCCGCGGGCCTGGGCCTCGGGATTCGCCCGCCGCTTCCCCGGGGAGCCGCTGCTGCAAAGCCAGGTTGGGGCGCCGGGCCCGGCCAGCGCCCTCTAGGCAGCGGAAGTGCAGCTTGCTTTACATCCGTCCTCCCCGCCTCGCAGAGTTGGGAGAAGGCAGGGTGGGGGGTGTGGAAAAATAAAAGGAAAAGTCCTTGCACCATGTAGATCAGCGTCCCCCACTTTGGCATCCCGGCCGGCCGGGGACCTCCCAGTCTGCGGCCATGAACGCGAGCAGCGAGGGCGAGAGCTTCGCGGGCTCGGTGCAAAGTAAGTGCTTTTCCGGGAGCAGTGCGCGCTCCGGGGCCCAGTGCGCGCTCCGGGGCCCGGGCCCAAGCACGTCTGCGACGCAGCCAGCAGGCCCGGGGCCCCGAAATCGGGGTGACGGCTCGGAGCCGCGTCTCGGGGACCGCGGCGGGCGCGCTGTGCAGGGGGCGCCGGAGTGGGCTTGGGGTGGGGGCGCACCCGACCTGGCGCAAGACCGGGGGCGCTCTCCAGCCTTGCGAGACCCCTTGGAAGGGAACAGTGGGGGAGGGCACGCCGTTCAGACAATCGCCACCCCCTAAGGGCATTCCCGCCCCATCAGGCGGAGTTTGGGGCGGGCAGGAGAAAGGGAGGAATCTAGGGTAAACGGGGCAACACTGATGGGAAAACTTCTGCCTCAGTGGCTCAAAATTAGAGCCTGGAGATTGGGGGAATCACCAGGTCTCACGAGGTCCTGCCGGCTCATTGCAAAGCCTTTTCCTCATTAAGGGTGGAGATCTGAATGGAAAACGGGGCCGTGGTCGCTTTATTTGGGTTTGGGGTTCAGTTTTTATTTAACCGAGGAGGACATCAGCGTTTTTCAAGTCCCTGGTTTCTCCCGGTGCATTGTTTCCCAAAGTGTGGTCCAGAGACTGAGTGCAACCAGCCACCTGGGAGCGAGAGCGTGTATTTTAAAACAGCTTTCTGGGCCCCACCCATTCAATCTCGGGGGTGGGGCTGGGGATCCGCTGTCCTTCGTAGCTGCCTGGGCAACTCTGAAGCACATGAAGTTTGAGAACCCATCTACCAGGGGTTTGCAGAAAATCTGGCACATAGTAAGCTCCCAGCTTGTTAGCTGCTACTGTTAACAGTTTGGGAGACACTGGGTCCCAAACTTGGCGGTGTATTCCTTGCATTACTGTGAAAAGCACAGATTTTCCTAAACACCATCCTCCCCACCCCACCCTGTTATGACTCAGTATCTCCTAGGTGGGGCTCAGATATGTCCATGTTTAAATAGTGTACCTCAGTAAGAACCCAGCAGGTAACATGCTGGGGGACTGGCGGGGAGGGGGGACTGTGCTGGTACGAGCACCATCCCATTTAATTCTCATAACAAGCCCGTGTTTTTTCTTGGAGAAATTAAAAACAAACAAAAACCATGGATTAGAAACCTCTCCTCCCATTTTTCAGATGAGAAAACCCACGCTTAAAGTCACTGTTGTTAAGCGACAGTGTCAAGATTCTAACGAAGGTCTATGTCGTTACTTTTGCACTTTCCACATACCAGTGACATTATCTGTTATGAAAATCCTTTCATTCTGGGTGTCAGTCCTATTCCATCATTAAGGAATCGTCAGCAATGCAAGCTACTTCATGTCTCACTTCCTTGTTTCCTTGTTAGTTCCATGGGTATCTCAGTATCTGCCAGAGAAGAAAAGGTTTCCTTCCTTCCATCCATTGATTGCAAAGTGCTTAAGTGTATCCCTGCAAGATGGCTTATCACAGTGCTCAGCCCAGTCTCCTTAGCAAGTCAACCAAACTGTATTTCTGAACAGAGATTTCTTGTCTTAGCTAGACCTGGGGAAAATTGGACATAATGTAAATATCTTACAAATTTTCAGAAAATTATGAGGCATAATTTTATCTAACCATATATGCACAAAGGTAGTCTTGTATCATTTAACTTGGGAAAAATTGGAAATTATGTAAATACCTTATTGTTGCTGAGAAGATTATGACGCATGGACACCATGGAATAATGTATTGCCATTAAATAATCATATATATATGAAGAGATTTTAATGATATAGCACAATGTTTATGCAATGTTTAGGAAAAAGGGCCAGGCACGGTGGCTCACGCCTGTAATCCTAGCACTTTGGGAGGCTGAGGCGGGCGGATCACATGAGGTCGGGAGTTCAAGACCAGCCTGACCAACATGAAGAAACCCCATTTCTACTAAAAATTCAAAATTAGCCTGGCGTGGTGGTGGCGCTTGTAATCCCAGATACTCCGGAGGCTGAGGCAGGAGAATCGCTTGAACCTAGGAGGCGGAGGTTGCAGTGAGCTGAGATCGTGCCCTTGCACTCCAGCCTGGGCAACAAGAGCAAAACTCCATCTCAAAAAAAAAAAGGAAAAAAATTAGGAAAAGGATTAGTTTTACAATACTATGATCTGAATATTTACAATATTATGATCTTATGCAATTTTTTTTTTTTTTGAGATGAAGTCTCGCTGTCACCAGGCTGGAAGTTCAGTGGCATGATCTTGGCTCACTGCAACCTCCACGTCCCAGGTTCAAGCAATTCTCCTGCCTCAGCCTTCTGAGTAGCTGGGATTACTGGCACGTGCCACCACACCCAGCTAATTTTTGTATTTTTAGTAGAGACGGGGTTTCACCATGTTCGCCAGGATAGTCTTGATCTCTTGTTGTGATCCACCCATCTCGGCTTCCCAAAGTGCTGGGTTACAGGCGTGAGCCATCTTACGCAACTTTTAAGTGTAAAGAAAATGAATGGAAAAAAATATTTTATAATATTCATGGTAGGCAGAGATGGAAATATTGAGTGATTTTCCCCTTCTTTATAAGTTTCTTCTAAATTTTCTTATAAACACGAGTTATCTTTTTTTTTTTATGTGAGACGGAGTCTCGCTCTGTCGCCCAGGCTGGAGTGCAGTGGCACAATCTCAGCTCACTGCAACCTGCGCCTTCCGGGTTCAAGCAATTCTCTTGCCTCAGCCTCTCTAGTAGCTGGGATTACAGGTGTGTGCCACCACGCCGGGCTAATTTTTTTTGTTTATTTTTAGTAGAGATGGGGTTTCACCATGTTAGCCAGGATGGTCTCGCTCTCCTGACCTCATGATCTACCCGCTATGTCTTTATTGAACAAGTATTTATATAGTAGCTTCTAATACAGTGCCAAATACTACACTAAGTGCTTTCCAGGTATTAATATAGTATTAATTCTTGATATGATTAGTATCAAGAAATAATGTCGGCCGGGTGCGGTGGCTCACTCCTGTAATCCCAGGGAGGGATTTGGGAGGCTGAGGCGGGCAGATCACGAGGTCAGGAGATCGAGACCATCCTGGCTAACAGGTGAGACCTCATCTCTACTAAAAATACAAAAAATTAGTCGAGCGTAGTGGCGGGTGCCTGTAGTCCCAGCTACTTGGGAGGCTGGGGCAGGAGAATGGCGTGAACCCGGGAGGCAGAGCTTGCAGTGAGCCGAGATCGCACCACTGCACTCCAACCTGGGTGACAGAGCAAGACTCTGTCTCAAAAAAAAAAAAAAAAAAAAAAAAGAAAGAAAAAGAAATAATGTCCCTGCCAGTTAGGAATGAATTTTGGCTACAAGTAGCAGAAACCCAAATTATACTGGCCTAATGAAATCTGGAATTGATTGATTGCAGTGTTGAATCAGGGAAATCAGTGAAGTAAAGGGCAGAGCCCATAGGGATCTTGGCATTTTTCTCATAGTTACAAGATGGCTGCAGAAGCCCCACCATCACATTTGCATCCAAAGCCAGAAGAAAAGGGGCACATTGCTAGCCACATCTGCTCCCTTTTCATCACAAATGCCAAACTTTTCCCAGAAACTCCTCCAGCTGTGTGCTGGAGAAGTTCACAAGTATGTAGAGGACCAAGATTATTTAGACTATTGGTTCTCATAGTATGTGTTTTGGGTGAGTATGTTTGGAAATGTGCGGGAGGATCAGTTTTCACAATTACCTTTTAGTTGGGATAGGAGGTGGCTGCTGGTTCTGCAAAGTGCAGGACATCCCTTTTATCTTTGATAAAAGAACTTTCTTGCAAACAATGCCACTAGTGCCCCATGGGTAACAATGCAGCGTGAACCATCACATGGATGGTTGCTATACATTATTTCCAATTTTCCCCAAGTTAAATAATACAAGACTACCTTTGTGCATATGTGGTTGGATAAAATTATGCATCATAATTTTCTGAAAAAAAAAATTATTTTTTTTTTGAGACAGAGTTTCACTCTTGTCCCCCAGGCTGGAGTGCAATGGTGTGATCTCAGCTCACTGCAACCTCTGCCTGCTGGGTTCAAGTGATTCTCCTGCCTCAGCCTCCTGAGTAGCTAGGATTATAGGCACACACCACCATGCCCAGCTAATTTTTGTATTTTTAGTAGAGACGGGATTTCACCATGTTGGCCAGGCTGGTCTCGAACTCCTGACCTCAGGTGATCCGCCCGCCTCAGCCTCCCAAAGTGCCAGGATTACAGGCATGAGCCACCGCGCCTGGCCAATTTTCTGAAGATTTCTAAGATATTTACATTATGTCCAATTTTCCCCAAGTTTAACTAAGGCAAGAAATCTCTGTGTGGAAATATGATACCTTGCTGCTAGGGCACAATTAGGATGCAGTTCGCAGGAAGAGGAAGGTGGAGTGGATACTGGGCCACTACCCAGCCATGTCTGCCACCATGCCTTTTCTTCCTACCATGAATCTGGTCTGCATTACAATTCAAAGCTGTTTGGAATTAATCCGTTACTTTCCCTTTGTCCCATGGAGTTCCAGGTGGCACAACGGTGCTGGTGGAGCTGACTCCCGACATCCATATCTGCGGCATCTGCAAGCAGCAGTTTAACAACCTGGATGCCTTTGTAGCTCACAAGCAAAGTGGCTGCCAGCTGACAGGCACATCCGCAGCAGCCCCCAGCACGGTCCAGTTTGTATCGGAGGAAACAGTGCCTGCCACCCAGACTCAGACCACCACCAGAACCATCACCTCGGAGACCCAGACAATCACAGGTACAGCTGGAGCATGGGGGAGTCGGCCAGAATTGGCCTGGCTGTGTCTCAAACACGTCCATGGAACTTGTTAAAAATATAGATTCCCAGAGCCCACCCCCTAGGGTTGCTGATTCATTATTTTTAACAAGCTCCACCAGGAAGCCAGCTGCCCAGCCAGGTTTGGGAGCTGCTAGGTTAAAACATTAACTGTTAGCAGTTATAAATGTTGTCACGTTACAAAAAAAACAGACAAAAAAGAGATTTCTGAAACAAAAATCTATATACTATAGGAAAAAAAAAAGGCTGGCAGAAAATACGTTGCAATAAAAAAAAAAGTGGTTGTTTTGGGTGGTGGAAGTATGGGTACAATCCTTGAGTTTGCATTACTTGTGTAAAGGGCCAAAAAGCATGTTGTTGTTAAAAAAAAAAAATCTATAAACTGGCATTGGTATCTCCTCCCCCTTGTGCTGCTGATCAGGAAAACATCCCTGTTCTCTGTTGTGTACACTCATTCCACCAAAAATAAATTACAGATGGGTCAAAAATTTAAATGTGCATAAGAAAACCATAAAAGTTCTGGAGGAAATGTACCCACAAACACCTACACACACAGTTATACCCCTGTCTTAAGGGGCAGGAAGATAACTTTAAAATTATGAAGTAGCCCATTTATGGGATAGTACTGGATCCTGTAGGGAAACAGAGAATGTATTCCTTAGCTAAAGGCATTTGATTCTAAAAAATATATTAATATGCCTACCAAAGGAGGCAGGTTGTGGACCACCCCCTCCAAGAAAAAGAATCATATATGTGATTGCAAATGAAGTTTTACTTTTTCCGAAGTAAAATGCAAAATCTAAAGACAATCAACTTGGGGAAAAATTTGTGGCATATATGATTAAGGCCTAAATCCCTCTTATACAAAGAACTGCTAAAACCAGTAAAAGGAGATAAAAAGTGCAAAGTGGAGCCTGGACACGGTGGCTCATGCCTGTAATCCCAGCACTTTGGGAGGCTAAGGCGGGTGGATCACCTGAGGTCAGGAGTTCTACACCAGCCTGGTCAACATGGTAAAACCCTGTCTCTACTAAAAATACAAAAATTAGCCGGGCGTGGTGGCAGGCGCCTGTAATCCCAGCTACTCGGGGGACCAAGGCAGGAGAATCGCTTGAACCCAGGAGGCAGAGGTTGCATTGAGCCGAGATCGTGCCATCGCACTCCAGCCTTGGGGACAAGAGCCAGACTTCGTCTCAAAAAAAAAAAAAAAAAAGTGCAAAGTGGAAAGGTCAGTGGATGATTTACAGGGGAGGTTTGGTCACCTTAGTAATTACAAAAATGTAAATCAAAACAAGGCTTGAGGAAGGACACTGATTTCATTTTCTGGGGATATAAATTCTTATAACCAGGGCAATTTTGTGATAGCTTTCAAATCTTAAATTTAAAATTTCTTAGTTTTAAAATATACATAAAGACATTTATCCAATAAGTCTACAGCTAGGTATTCATTCTATAAAACTTCATGAACAGGCCAGGCACGGTGGCTCATGCCTGTAATCCCAGCACTTTCGGAGGCCGAGGCGGGTGGATCACCTGAAGTGAGGAGTTCATGACCAGCCTTGCCAATATGGCAAAACACCTTCTCTATGAAAAATACGAAAACTAGCCCAGCGTGGTGTCACGTGCCTGTAATCCCAGCTACTCGGAAGGCTAAGGCAGGAGAATTGCTTGGACCTGGGAGGCAGAGGTTGCAGTGAGCTGAGATCGTGCCACTGCACTCCAGCCTGGGCAACAGAGTGAGACTCTGTCTCAAAAAAATAAAAATAAAAAACTTCATAAACAAATGTACAAGGATATTCATTTACAGCATGTACTATAGAGAAAGTGGAGCCTTTGTATGTATACGTCAAGAGAGAGTTAGGTATGGCCAGGTGCAGTGGCTCACACCTGTAATCCCAGCCCTTTGTGAGGGCAAGGCTGGAGGATCACTTGAGGCCAGGAGTTCAAGACCAGCCTCGTCAACATAGCAAGACCCCACCTCTACATTAAATTTTAAAAATTAGCCAGGCGTGATAGCACACACTTGTAGTCCTAGCTGCTCAGGAGGCTAAGGCAGGAGGCTCGCCTGAGCCCAGGAGTTTGAGGCTGCAGTGAGCTATGATCGTACCACTGCACTCCAGCCTGGGTGACAAATGAGACCCTGTTTCTTAAATAAAATAAAAAAGAGGGATTTAAACAAATAAATATCAAAGATTCCAACAATGGAATATGACTTAGCTTTGGAAAGGAGGAAAGTTGGATCTGTGTGTAGTCACAGAAAGATTCTCAAGGTAAGTATAAAAAAAATACATATGCCTACATATTATATGGTCTTATATTCCAGGGAAGTTTCTAGAACAGGGATGGGGCGGTAATGTAAATGAGAGAAGTTATCTTTGGGGGAGGTGTTAGAGAGTGGTGGGGACTGTGGTGAAGTAGAGAAATCACACATGCCTCATCCAAAAGTGCAGCTGTTCTTTGGATCCAGCCAGTTAGATATTTCAGTTTTTCAGAGAAGCTGAAAATGTGAAATTTTCCAAATATAAAACTTTGTTGCCAAACAATACATCTCTGAGCCTGACTGAGTCCATAAGTTTCTTCTAGCTTATTCTCAGAGAATGTTTACCCAATAGTCTGGAGCTGAAGAGTGAGGAGCATCAGACGTCAGGGCCAGGCGCAGTGGCTCACACCTGTAGTCCCAGCACTTTGGGAGACCGAGGCGGATCACTTGAGGTCAGGATTTCAAGACCAGCCTGGCCAACATGGTGAAACTCATCTCTAGTAAAAATACAAAAATTGGCCAGGCATGGTGTCACTCGCCTATAGTCCGTGCTACTTTGGAGGCCAAGGCACGAGAATCTCTTAAACCCAGGAGGCAGAGGCTGCAGTGAGAGTGCCACTGCACTCCCCACTGGGCAACAGAGTGAGTGAGATTCCATTTCAAAAAATAAAAAGGAAACCAACTTTCCCCTTATGAGGTATCTACTAGGGTGATGTTTGAATTTTTTTGGCAATAAGCAAAGTTTTGTGGGTTTTTTTCTTAATGCATCCAAAATAATGTTTCTACTGAGTTTTTTAAACAGTAGACATTTTGAAATACAATAAAACTGATCCCCTCACAAACCTTAACAAAAGTATGTTGAGATCTTCCCACTGTCTCCTGAGTTTATCTTCATTCCCATCTTAAAGGAAGTCACCAAGAAAAGGTGAAAACCAGAAAACCCTTAAAAGTGGGCCTGGTAGGACCTAATTATTTTGCACCAGGACCAAGCAAAGTTGCCTTTGGGGAAGGGACATGGCCAAGGTCCCATCGGAACTTCAGGACAGTCCTGGGACATGTGTTTTGCCCCTTATCGTAGTGGTCTTCTTCATGAGGACAGTGTTTCCTTTCTTGTCCTCGAAAACCAAAATCCCAGAACCTCTCACAGTGGATGGGAGCCATATAAAAATGGATGCCCTGCGTGTGGGAGGCTTCCAGGCCCACACTTTTTACTTGGGGCCATTGCTTCTTTCTGGGCTCTGAGCCTTCGTGGATGCTTTTTCCTTTGCCTGAAATACCTTTCCCACCTTGGCCTGGCTGATGCCAACTCAACCTCAAGGCCTTAAGTTTCATGACAATCTTCACAAAAAAGGGTCTGCATTCTTCCTGGGGACAATCCCCTTCTCTCCCCTCTATATTGCAGCAGCCATGATGAACTCCTTTCTGTTTCTGGAATGAGCCACATTTCCTCCAGGCTCAGACCTTGCCTGCATTGTTCCTTCTGCCTGGAACTGCCTTAATTCTTATGTCAGAGCTGGACTTAAAGGCATTTTCTCAAAGACCCCTTCCCTGCACGTCTCACTCTTTTCCCAGATCAGGTCATGTCCCATATTTAAATGATTAATAGAGGAATGACTTTAAGGTGTATCTCCATCACTGACCTGTAAGCCCCTCTCCTGTTCACCACTGGATCCCAGCACCAAGGCACTTATTATTTCTTGGGTGTGAACACTGCTCACATCTCATATGCATCAGTAAAGCTGACCTCACAACCAAATAGCGGCTCCCTTTTTTGTCCTCCTAGTTTTTTTGCTTGTTTCTTTGTTTTGTTTTTTGAGACAGAGTCTTGCTCTGTTGCTCAGGCTGGAGTTCAGTAGTGCAGTCATGGCTCACTGCAGCCTTGATCTTCTGTGCTCAAGCAATCCTCCCACCTCAGCCTCCCAAGTAGCTGGGACTACAGGCCTGCGCCACCATATCCAGCCAATTTTTAAATTATTTATAGAGATAGGGTTTTGCTATGTTGCACAGGCTGGTCTTGAACTCCTGGGCTGAAATGATCCTCCCATCTTGGGCTCCCAAAGTGCTGGGATTACAGGCATGAGCCACTGCACCCAGCACTTCTATTTCTTTGTTCAAAGAAGTTCACCCTCCTCTTAGCATTTACACGGCCCTGCGACCATTGGATCTTGCCATGCCGGAGTTTTGTTGACTGTCCTGAATGCTCAGGCCAGTCCTGGAGTCCTGTTTGTGCCTGGCACACAGAGCCCTCCCCTGCACAGTGCTGAAGGGAGCCACAAGCTCAGAGATAGACTGCTGGACTCGCATCCCAATCCACCACCTAACAGCCCTAGGCTGTGAGCAAATCATTTACTCTCCCTCTCACTAAACAGTCCCCATCTGTAAAAAGAGGTTATAATACCTAATCATCATTGCGTTATTGTGAGAATTCTGCGATAATCCACATAAAGGGCCTGAGATGGAGAAATTGGGTTCAATGAGCGATCGCTTTTATTAATGTAGAGTCTAATAAACAGGTGGCGAAAGGATGGTGAGATCTGCAGCTTGCGTTGTCTCCGTCTGACTCAGCTGCTCCTCCTGATGGTTCCTGCCTCTGTGCCAACTAAACAAGCAGAATTCTGCTTTCTTTTCTTTTTTACACTTATTAGATTGGTTTTCTGGGTGCAATTCCTCCTATTGTGCTTCAAGTTTCCATTGACTGGCAGTTCCCAGACCTGCCTATGGACCAAGATCCCCTGGGAGCTTGTTAAGGATACCGGTGCCCGGGCTCCACCTCCTGAATCTGAATGTCTGGAGCCGAGGCTCAGGTATCTGTATTTTTAACAAGCTCCTGGGGGATTCCGGATCTCAGCCAGGTTGGAGAATTATTCACTGCTCAAGACCACAGTCCAACCCCCCAAATGGTGGATTTCTGCAGATATCCTCATCTGGACATTTTCCAGACTTGTTTGTCCTTGCTTAAGCCAAACCGTTTCTCGCTCTTCTCCTATGTCTCCTCTGCCTGATAATACTTGGGTTTAAAGTAAAATTTATTATCTGCCTACTAGCTTTGAAAGCTGCCCGTTGTCTGGCATGTGACTTAAGGACTTTCATATGGGAGCTGTAAAATTACATGTGGATGCTCATGGAAATATATCCCATGTGCATTTTCTAAGTTCATGGCTTCAAATCACCGGGCTTTGGAGTCAGGTCCCTGAGTTTGAATCTTGGCTGCGTAAGGCCTCAGGAACCCCATGACCATGGCAAATTACATTACATTCATTTCAAAGTGAGGATAAAAATAAACAGAGAGGGGGCTGGGTGTGGTGGCTCGTGCCTGTAATCCCAACACTTTGGGAGGCTGAAGTGGGTGGATCACAAGGTCAGGAGTTCGAGACCAGCCTGGCCAATGTGGTGAAACCCCCATCTCTACTAAAAATACAAAAATTAGCCGGGCATGGTGGCAGGTGCCTGTAATCCCAGGTACTCGGGAGGCTGAGGCAGGAGAATCGCTTGAACCTGGGAGGTGGAGGTTGCAGTGAGCAGAGACTGCAGTGAGTGGAGATCGTGCCATTGCATTCCAGCCTGGGCGACAGAGCGAGAGTCCATCTCAAAAATAAATAAAAATAAAAAAATAAACAGGGGACAGGGTTTGGTAATGAAGAGTCTGGGGTCCTGAGACAGACTGCTTGGGTTCATATCCTGGCTGTACCACTTGCTGACCATGTGACCTTGGGCAGGTTACTTACACTGTGTTTCCATTTCCACAATAGTAAAATGAAAGTGATGATAGAACTCATCTCTGATGGTTCCAGCCAGGCTTCAGTGGGCTCCTACATGGAAGCCATTTCGAGCTGTCACTGTTAGCTCTCATTACATAATCAGGGGGCTGTGAAAGTAAACAAAACAGCCCATGGATTGTTAGCACAGAGCTCATAGCAAGCCCTCAGTCAATATTCATTGAATTGATCACTTGACCAAGATTGATTTTTTTTTTTTTTTTTTTTTTGCCATTTCTGGTTAATTCCTACTCTTTAAGTCCCAGGTTAAAAGTCACCTCCACCTAGAAGCCAGCTCTGATTTCCCCTTCTCCCTACTCCCACAATTAGGTTTCTGTTTTCTCCGCTAGCATGTATCACAATTGTAACTAATTAGTCTTTAATTAGAGAAGTGAATTCCAATGCAATTCCAAGGGCAGTGAACTAGAGAAGTGAATTAAATTAAGAAGTCAATTAGAGAAGTGAATTCCAATGCGATTCCAAGGGTGGCGTTTGCAGCAGCACATATTACGATAGAGAGGGAGAGGGCCTGTGGCCAACTAGCAGAGAAAGAGGAAAGCAGCCCCTGACAGCCAGCAGCCATGATTAGCTGGGTCTTGGTGTTGCTAGGAACTGGGCTGGCCCACAGGTAGGCCATGCTGTTCTACTGTTGAACATACACAGTTGTTCACAGTTTCATAAAACACCAACATCAGACAAGGCCACTCTGACCGTGGTGGGCAAGACAAAAACAATACCACATCTGTCATCATGTGTGAGCCCAGACAAAATGGGAACACTGTCCAAGCCACAAAATACCAGACATCCTCCTCCCCTCTGTTAATCTGAGTGACATTACTTCTTTGCCTATTAAAGTTTGAGTCTTGCTCTGTCTAGCCTTCTTTCCCTCTTGATAATATTTTTTAAAATAACAAATCATAGAATTAGCCCCACTTGCTGGTGCCTCTGATGGAGGTTTTCTTGAACTCCTCCAAAAGCATCTAACATGAGCCCAAACCTAAAATAAAATAAGTTATTTCTGGCACCCTCTGAGGTTTTCCTTATTGCAATGAGTAATAAACTTATTCAGTGACAGGGGTGTCCCTATTGGTCTTTGGCCAGAGGACAATGACATGGGGAAGGCCCTGCCCGCCTGATTGATTTTGAAAGCCTTAAAAAAGAATCTGAAGTTTCAGTTTGGCCTGTGAGCTCCAAATTAGTTGCTCAATTTCTAGTTTACTAGACTGTAAATCTCCCTGCATGCAGAGACCTAATCAGTCTTATTTTCCCACCACCCAACACACCAGGTCTGGCACATCATAGGCACTCAATAAAACAGCTATTGAACGAGGGCAGGAAAGGGTGGCTGTGAGGATTAAATGTGTTTATATGCCTGAAGCACATGGTGTGTATGGCATGTGCCCCATCATGAGGGCTTAGTGATGGTGGCTGTGTTAGTCCGTTTTCATGCTCCTGATGAAGACATACCAGAGACTGAACAGTTTACAAAAGAAAGAGGTTTATTGGACTCACAGTTCCACATGGCTGGGGAGGTCTCACAGTCATGGCAGAAGGTGAAAGGCACATCTTGAATAGCAGCAGACAAGAGATAAGAGCTTGTGCAGGGACACCCCCCTTTTTAAAACCATCAGCTCTCATAAGACTCATTCTCTATCACAAGGAACAGTGCAGGAAAGACCCACCCCCATAATTCAGTCACCTCCCACCAGGTTCCTCCCATGATACATGGGAATTGTGGGAGTTACAATTCAAGATGAGATTTGGGTGGGGACACAGCCAAACCATATCAGTCACTTTAGGGTTGTTGTGTGGCAAATGATGGAACTCAGATAATGGAGATGCTTGCCCTTGGAGAATTCCAAGCCCCTCGGGGAGGGGAGGAGGATTTAGTTGTAAGACATTCAAGCCCAGCTGTTTGTGACAAGTGTAGTCTTAAAGGTGTGAAGAATTCACAGAGACTGTTGGTTCCAACTGGGAAAGTCAGGGGGGAGAACTGTGAATGAAAGCAAATGTATAACCGGCTTTGAAAGACCCATTGGCTTTTGGGAGAAAGACGGTGGGAAAGGGGGCATTTCCTAATGGTGGTTTGGAGGGGGTGGGGGAAGCTCAGGGCAAGATTTGAAAACAGTGGCTAGAGATGGCACAGGGGAACGTGGTGGGAGTCATGCTTCAGCTCTGTCCTTTATTCTGAAGGAGCTGGGGATCCATTGAAAGTTCTTGAACACATGAGTGATTTAGTAAGACAAACTATGTGGTGATTGCCAGAAGGATCTGGAAACAATAATAGCAAATTCTTACACAGTGCTCATTCTATGCCATGCACTTTTCTAAGTACTCTATATAAAGTAGTTTTTTGTAACCAAAAGTTAGGTAATAATAATTATTATCCCCATTTGACCAGTAATGAAACTGAGGCACAGAGGGGTTAAATAACTTGTCCAGATGACAGAAAGTGGCAGAACCGGGTCTCAAACCCAGGCTGTCTGGTTGCAAAACCTGTGCTCTTAATCAGTACTGCCACTTAGTAAATTCCTCATTGCGATGTTTCTCAAACTTGCTTGTGCATAAGAACCATCTGAAGCTTCCGTGAAAAATGCAGATATCCAGACCCTTCCTGGGGATAATATATTAGGGGGTCTGAGCAAGGTCCGGGGAATCTGAACCAGCCAGGGAGTGGTTGGGTCAGGTCAGATGCTTTCGGTTGCTCTTTTTTTTCTTTTTTCTTTCTTTCTTTTTTTTTTTTTTTGAGACAGAGGCTTGCTCTGGCGCCCAGGCTGGAGTGCAGTGGTGCAATCTCGGCTCACTGCAACCTCTGCCTCCTAGGTTCAAGTGATTCTCCTGCCTCAGCCTCCTCAGTAGCTGGGATTACAGGCACCCACTGCCACACCCAGCTAATTTTTGTATTTTTTAGTAGTGACGGGGTTTCACCATGTTGGTCAGGCTGGTCTCCAACTCCTGACCTCGTGATCTGCCCGCCTCAGCCTCCCAAAGTGTTGGGATTACAGGCGTCAGCAACCACGCCCGGCCTCTGTTGCTCTTAACAACAGCAAACTAAAAGTGTGCACAACAGTTAAAGACACATATTATCTCTCATAGCCAGAACAGGCAAGGTCAGTTCGGCAGCTCAAAGGTGCGGAGTTCTTTCCGTCTTCCTCCTGTTCTCGGTGGTGGGCTTTTATCCTTTGCCCTCGCGTCCTCCGCATGGCCGCATGGTGGCGGCTAATGCCTTGGGCATCAGATCTCTCAGGCACACCCACAAGCAGGGAAAGGAGCAAATTAAATGTATCAGGGAGGAAATGCTCCCTGATGAACTCCCAAAACTCCAGATCCTGCTGGCCAAAACTGGGACACATGGCTTTGCCCAGTTGCACTGTAGTGGAGGCAGTTAGGCTGCCAAGGGACAAGGAGAAGGGGCCTACCAGTGGAACCCAATCCCAAGTCCCCTCCGCAGGGCCACGTTCCTACCACTGCCTCGTTAAAGGGACTAGAGTGGCAGTTCTCAAATGCTGCTGTGCAAAAAATTACCTGGAAAATGTGTTTAAAATACAGCTATAAAGATATCTAAACTTTACCCCAAATCTCTGCATCAGAATCTGTGATGCATGATCAAATTTGAGAACCATTCAACCAGAAGGGGTTGAAGGGATGGAAACCCACTGGCACTAGAGTCTAGTTCACAATAGGTGCTCAACAGATCTGAGGAATGAATGAACGGCCCACTGAGGGAGGGAGGGTAGGGTGGGATGTGGGAGGAAGCTCTGTTCCATCCATGGTTTATTTTTCCTGTTTGGTGAAGTCCCAGTATAGGGCAAGTTAATTTTCCGTTATATAGGACTGTTCGTTTGCTTAGAACAGACCCCCTACTTTGGCTATAATTCAAGCCAGAGGGGAGACTTTGTTTAGAAGGATATAGGCATAAGGGAGAATTATAGGCAGGCACGCAGCTGGATCTCAAAAAGAGATTGAACCGGCCGGGCGCGGTGGCTCACGCCTGTAATCCCAGCACTTTGGGAGGCCGAGGCGGGTGGATCATGAGGTCAGGAGATAGAGACCATCCTGGCTAACAAGGTGAAACCCCGTCTCTACTAAAAATACAAAAAATTAGCCGGGCGCGGTGGCGGGCGCCTGTAGTCCCAGCTACTCGGGAGGCTGAGGCAGGAGAATGGCGTGAACCCGGGAAGCGGAGCTTGCAGTGAGCCGAGATTGCGCCACTGCAGTCCGCAGTCCGGCCTGGGCGACAGAGCGAGACTCCGTCTCAAAAAAAAAAAAAAAGAGAGATTGAACCAGAAGCTAGAAATATTTTAGGGTTTTCCAGACTGTACAGCTCAAAGGGCTTGTTGGAAATGCTGGGAAGGCAGAGTCTCGGCCCCACCCAGAACTGCTGATCAGAATCCACATTTTAGAGAGATTGTGGTTGGATAAGCACTGCTGCCCTGTGACCATTCCCAAAGTTTATGTCTTCTTTGTTCAGAAGGAAAGTCCACACCAAACCTGAGCGTCTTAGTCTCAGTTTGGGTTTTTTTAAGAGATTGGGCGGGTGGGGGGAAGGTCTCACTACGTCGCCCAGGTTGGACTCGGACTCTTGGGCTCCAGAGATGCTCCCACCTCAGTCTGGGTCATAGTTGGGACTTTAACGGCAGCCGCCAATACGCCTGGCTGCAGGATTCAATTTCAGAGCAAGAGACTCGATTGGCCCAGTTGCTGTCAGGTGTCTTCCACTGCACCAATCAGCAAAGGCAGAGCTGGGGCGTGGTCAGGGCTTCCAACAGGGCAGCGCCACTCACCCCTGGGGAGGGACATTTGGGCCGGTCTAACGCCCACTGTGGACGGTAAAGGCCGTTTGGGAACAGCGTAAGTGAAAGGGGTGGATTTTCTCTTTTCTCTCAGAAAATGAATTATTTTGGGGGCGGGGGCGGCAGCGGGGGTGCGGGGGGAAGGGAACGGAGTCTCACTCTGCCACCCAGGCTGGAGTGTAGTGCGATCTCGGCTCACTGCAACCTCTGCCTCCTGGGTTCAAGCGATTCTCCTGCCTCAGCCTCCCACGTGCCTGGGATTCCAGGCGCCCACCACCACGTCCGGCTAATTTTTGTATTGTAGCAGAGACAGGGTTTCACCATGTTGGCCAGGCTGGTCTCAAACTCCTGGCCTCAAGGGATCCGACCGCCTCGGGCTCCCACAGTGCTGGGATTACAGGCGTGAGCCGCCATGCCCGGCCTCAGACAGTGAATTCTGAGTTTACAGTTGGGATACTTGCCTGGAGATCAAGAACCCTAAATGAGAATCCTAAGCATGAACGACACTGCAAAAAACAACATACACAAAAAAATCAAGAGACCTGAATATATGATAATATCCTGCTGGGCGCGGTGGCGCTTGCCTGGACTCCCAGCACTTTGGGAGGCCAAGGAGGGAGGATCGCTTGAGTCTGGGAGTTCAAGACCAGGCTGGCCAACATGGCGAAACCCCGTCTCTACAAAAAATACAAAAATTAGCTGGGCGTGGTGGCGCATACCTGTTATCCCAGCTACTCAGGAAGCTTAGGCAGGAGAATCACTTGAACCTGGGAGGCAGATATTGCAGTGAGCCGAGATGGTGCCACTGCCCTCCAGCCTGGGAGATAGAGCCAGACCCTGTCTCAAAAACAAAACAAAACAAAACAAAAGATAGTATCCTTAATCTGCAAAAAGCATTTACAAATCAAGAAAAAAATTAAAATTCCAATAGAAAAAATGAGCTAATAGAATAAACAGGAAGTTCACCAAATAAGGCATGTCATTGGAAAAATAAATGTTGAAAGGGAGTTTAATCTCACTAATTACATGTAAAGGAAATGCAAGTTAAACTCAAGTGATCTCATTTTGTCCTCTCAAGTCGTCTCTGTGACAGCCAAGGTTAAGGGGAAAATGCAAATAATTTCAGTTTTCTGAAAGGATGTTATAATTATATAATCACCAAGTAATAAAACATCTGTACCATTTTAACCCAAGTCTTCAATTTCAAGGAATGTACCCAAAGAAATGAGGGATAAATTTAAACTTCTGGACAGGTTTTACTCATAAAAGTCAATTCCTAGATGTCTCCTCCATGTCCAAGAAAGGGAAATGGTTAAACTATTCAGCAACCAAAATGATGAAATATTATGTGGCCATTAGAGGTTGTGTTTTCGATGAATGACAACATGATAAGATGTTTTAACATGGCAAAAGTGTTTCATTAAAAATATATATTAAATGATTTAAGCCATGATCCTAGTTTTATACTTTTAAAATATACTTTTTTTTTTTTTTTTTTTTTTGAGATGGAGCCTCACTCTGTTGCCCAGGCTGGAGCGCAATGACGCGATCTTGGCCCACTGCAACCTCCGCCTCCCGGGTTCAAGCAATTCTGCCTCAGCCTCCCGAGTAGCTGGGATTACAGGTACCCACCACCACACCCAGCTAATTTTTGTATTTTTAGTAGAGACAAAGTTTTGCCATGTTGGCCAGGCTGGTCTCGAACTCCCGACCTCAGGTGATCCGCCTGCCTCAGCCACCAAAAGTGTTGGGATTACAGGCGTGAGCCACCGCTCCCGGCCCTAAAATATATTTTCTATATATAAAAGAGGTTAGCCCTTTAGCTGATCATTAATTAAACAAATGTTCTTTGAGCTCCTCCCCTTCACCTGGTTCTGTGGTGGGTGCAGGGGGAACAGTAATGGAAAGAAACAAGGGTCTGTCCTCACTTAACTCCTCCAACCAAATAGAAGAGAGAATAGTCATTTAATAATTTCTCAAATAAGTATTTAATCACAGTAGCGATAGGAGCTTTGTATAAAAAGTAAGGATGTAGGCTGGGCACCGGTGGCTCACATCTGTAATCCCAGCACTTTTGGAGATCAAGGCAGGGAGATTACTTGAGGTCGGGAGTTCAAGATGAGCCTGACCAACATGGTGAAACCCCCATCTCTGCTAAAAATACAAAAATTAGCCAGGCATGGTGGCGCACACCTTTAGTCCCAGCCACTCAGGAGGCTGAGGCAGGAGAATCACTTGAACCTGGGTAGCGGAGGTTGCTGTGAGCCAAGACTGCACCACTGCACTTCAGCCTGGCAACAGAGCCAGACTCCGTCTCAAAAAAAAAGAAAAAAAAAAAAGCAAGGATGTATATTGCCATGTTTTGACAGCATTGGGAAGTTTTTTGTTTTGTTTTTCTAGAGACGGTCTTGCTCTGTCACCCAGGCTGAAGTGCAGTGGTGCAATCATAGCTCACTGCAGCCTGGAACTCCTGAGCTTAAGCCATCCTTCCACCTCAGCCCCACAATTAGCTGAAACTACAGGCACACAGCATCACACCCAGCTATTTTTTGTATGGTTTTGTGGAGACGGCGTCTCCCTGTGTTGCTCAGGCTGGTCTCAAACTCCTGGTCTCAAGTGATCATCCTGCCTCAGCCTCCCAAATTGCTGGGATTACAGGCATGAGCCACTACACTTAGCCTAGTTTTTTCTTCTCTCAACTTTTCTGTGTAGAGAAGAAAATCCTAAAATTCATGTTAACTTTTATTTTGCAAAAATAAACATTGTCATTTAAAAAGAGAAAAGGATTTGTTAAATGGAATTTTTAAGTTGAAGAAGGGAAGGGGGAAGCAAATTAGATAGGGAGATATCAAAGCTGTCTTGAGATGTCTGAAAGGCAATTTGGTAGAAAAGGAGCTATGGTTGGTTCATGTGAGCCCTAAGACTCCACAGAGACAAACTTCAGAGAAATAGATGTGGATTATCTATTTCATGAAATTCATATAACAGTCATACATTTTAAACAACATCATGATCAAATAACTGAATATGCCCCTGCTACAAACCAGAACTAAATACAATAAGCAATTCTCAGATGCACACCTGAACATGCAGGAAAGAAGGGAAATCCCCTGGAGCCAGAAAACAAACCTGAAAGCTGCAGCAGGTGTGTGAGGCTGTGAGCTTCTTGGGGTATCGGGGACAGGGTCTGATCTCACTAAACAGGAGGCTTGATTTTAATGGCCACACCAGGGTAGAGGCTGAAGCCCTGAGCTCTTGCAAAAAGTTAGACATAAGACCCCCACATAAAGAGGTGGCCCGTGCTGCATTCTCGGTGAAAAGAGGGACTAGAGAATATTCTTGGGGCGTGGGCAAGTCACGCCTCTACTGGAAGCACTTCCCCCCAAGGTTATGAGTCATCCCGCCTCAGCAGATGTGGGGCGTTTCACCTTCTTCTAGGGTGCTCTGAGATTCCCCAAGGCCCATGCCACTCATTATGCCAAACCTGAATACAGATAAATAATAACCTATTATGCATAGTTACCGTAATGTCCACTGAGAATTCTCAAGAACTTGCAGTGTGCCCGACTTGCAGTATGCCTTATCCTTCCCTTGAATCTTTACTAGAACAACAAGATCTAAGCTCTGAGATCACTGCAATATCCCCATTTTACCGACAAAAGAACTGAAGAGCAGAGAAGTGACTTGGTCAAGGCCCTATAGCTAGTGAGAGGAGACAGAGGTTGGCCCAGGGTCAATCTGACTGTACACACACACACACACAAACACACACACACACACCAACACACACACACACACCCCTGGCAATGAGTGGTGACTGCAGCATCAAATCACATGCACACACCCAGGTTGGTCCAAGGTCCACTACACACACACACATACACTCACCTGGGGATGAGTGGCTACTCTGGCATCAAATTGCATACAAACACCCAGTTGGTCGGGCGCGGTGGCTCACGCCTGTAATCCCAACACTTTGGGAGGCCGAGGCGGGCACATCACCTGAGGCAGGAGTGTGAGACCAGCCTGGCCAACATGGTGCAATTCTATCTCTACTAAAAATACAAAAACTAGCTGGGCACTGTGGCAGGCACCTGTAGTCCCAGCTACTCAGGAGGTTGAGGCGGGAGAATCGCTTGAACCCAGGAGGCAGAGATTGCAATGAGCCGAGATCACGCCATTGCACTCCAGCCTGGGTGACAGAGCGAGACTGCATCTCAAAAAAAAAAAAATTGGGGAGGCCGAGGCAGGCAGATCACCTTAGGTCAGAAGTTTGAGAACAGCCTGGCCAACATGGTGAAACTCTGTCTCTACTAAAAATACAAAAATTAGCCAGGTGTGGTGGTGTGTGCCTGTAATCCCAGCCACTAGGGAGGCTGAAGCAGGAGAATCACTTGAACCCGGGAGGCGGAGGTTGCAGTGAGCCAAGATGGCGCCGTTGCACTCCAGCCTGGGCAACAGAGCGAGACTCCATCTAAAAAAAAAATGAAATAAAACACCCAAATTGGTCCAAGGTCAGTCTGACCATGCATGCTCACACATACGCACACACAGACACATACACATACACATACGCATACACATACGCATACGCATACACAGACACATACACATACACATACACATATGCACACACACCCCCTGGGGATGAGTGGCGACTCCGGCATCAAATCACATGCAAACAACCAAAGGGGATGAGGAGGCCTCTGGTTGCCAGCAGTCCCTCAGTGATTACCATAAGCCTTTCCCTGGGGTGTCTCTGCAGGTCCTGCTGTTCACAGCAGATTCTAGAAAGGCCACGTGTGTGGGAAGGGATACCCTTGATAAATCCAGCTAGGAGGCGCCAGCAAGCCGACCATCTGGATGAGAGTCTTCAGCACCCAATGCCCCTTTGTTGCTATTGAATTCTGGACACCTGCAACAGAATACTATTAATATAATAATTATATGCTTCCATGTTTTATATTCAAATGTTACCTTCTCACTGAGGCCTTCCTGGACCTACTTAAAATTGCATGCCCACCAGCATTTCCTGGTTCCCTTCCCTGCTTTATTTTTCTCTGTAATATTTACACCACTTGATTTGCACACTATATATTTAAATACTTATTGCATGCACCACTCCTAACTAGAGTGTCAGCTCCATGAGGGCAGGGATTTTTGTCTCTGAGTCACTGCTCTGTTTCTAGTGCTTAGAACAGTTCCTGGCACACAGTCAGTACAGTACCTAATAAATATTTGCTGAATAAATTAGTGAATAAAGTCAACAGCAACAGCAGCTTTACATGCCTGGTTTCTGATCCTCACAGCAGCCCTAGGAGATAGGAATGGAAATTGTCCACATTCTCCAGGTAAAGAAACTGAGGACCAAGGAGGTAAGACACAGCCTAAGCTCTGGAGCAAACCCTTTCTGGTCTATAGCCATCTACTTTGGGATGACTCGCAGGTTACATGGGATTAGCCCTGCCCCAAAATGATCCCTGCACCTGGGTGCCTGAATCCCTTTGCTGTTGGGTTTTGTTTTTTTTTCCTTGAGATGGAGTCTCCCTCTGTCACCCAGACTGGAGTGTAGTGGCATGATCTCAGCTCACTGCAACCTCTGTCTCCTGGGTCCAAGCGATTCTCCTGCCTCAGCCTCCTGAGTAGCTGGGACTACAGGTGCGCACCACCACGCCTGGCTAATTTTTGTGTTTTTAGTAGAGACAGGGTCTCACCATGTTGGCCAGGCTGGTCTCAAACTCCTGACCTCAAATGATCCGCCCACCTCAGGCTCCCAAAGTGCTGGGATTACAGGCATGAGCCACCACGCCCGGCCCTTTGCTGTGTTTAACCTGCCCACTCATGATGCTTCCTGCTGCCTCTCCAAGACACCAAAGCACAGGCAACAAAAGTGAAAACAGACAAATGGGACTATATTAATTTTTTTTTTTTGAGACGGAATTTTGCTCTTGTTGCCCAGGCTGGAGTGCAATGGCATGATCTGGACTCACCGTAACCTCTGCCTCCCAGGTTCAAGCGATTCTCCTGCCTCAGCCTCCCAAGTAGCTGGGATTACAGGCATATGCCACCATGCCCAGCTAATTTTGTATTTTTAGTCGATATGGGGTTTCTTCATGTTAGTCAGGCTGGTCTCAAACTCCCGACCTCGGGTGATCCGCCTGCCTCGGGCTCCCAAAGTGCTGGTGTTACAGGTGTGAGCCACTGCACCCAGCTGGGACTACGTTAAATTTTAAAACTTGTGTGCATCAAAGGAAACAGCAGAAATGAAAATACAGCCTATGGAATGAGAAAATATTTGCAAATTATACATCTGAGAAGGGGTTGATATCCAAAATACTCCTGTGTTTCCCTCTGCTGTGACTTGCCCAGGCTTATGGTAGAGGACAGTTAAGAGATGGAGCCCAGCCAATCTCTGGAGAGAGCAGAAAGTGGCAGGAGGGTGAAGGGCCTACCACCTACCTTTCAAGAGAGTGCTGAGGAGCCCGCGAGCTGACTTGTAGGGAGGACCTGGCCACCCATACTCACCCCACTGTGAACACCTTCCAGCACAGGGGGTCACTTGTGCAGGAAGTTGTAGAGCAGAAGGTTGGGAGGCCATGGAGTATGACCATAGCCCAGCACCCTGGTTTTAGCACCAAAATTCTTGAGAAACTCCACTACAAGGCAAACAGGGATGGTTGATCATCCTAGCTCATGAGCATTTCAGTTGAGAGTTTGATGCACAAGTGCCAGAGTCTGGTTCTATTGAACTGTAATATATCCCTGTTGACATTTATTGAGATTCAACCATGGCCACATCCTGTGCTACTGAATTCTCTTGTTAAACTTTGCAACACCCTTATGAAGTGGGCATGGTGATTGTCCCCATTTATAGTGAGAAAACAAGTTCAATGAAGTTACATAACTGGCCTGAGGTCACATCCATAGTGAATGATCAAACCTGAACTTATATCAGTCTGAAGACACATTTTAACATATCTGAAACAACGATGCATTTTAGAATTAGTGAGATTTCTGTCAACCAGCAGGCAGTCCAAAAACATTACCTTGCTGTGCATGTGAACAAACTTGATTTCAGTGGGTCACATTTTTCTTACCTCAGCTGCATTGTGTGCAATTTTGGAACTGTATGTATTGAGTTTAATTGCTGTTTAAAATGTCTTCCAAGATATTGCATGATGAAGCAAGTTGAAGATGAAAAGTAATTGCTTACCCAGAAATGCCTGAAAACCGTAACGGGGTAAATCTGATATTAATGAAGCAAATCTTCAGTGTTGGAGGAGTGACTGCAGTTGCACGTTCTTGCAAAGCAACAACCGAGAGAGGTGGAATTCCTCATATAGACAGAGCTGGGTTAAGTTCTACTGCCAAGATAGGTGGAAAAGGATGGTCTCTGCTAATGGTTCTTAAACTTGAGCATGTATCAGGATCACCTGGAGGGCTTGTTAGAGCACAGATTGTTGGGTGCACCCCCAGAGTGTCTGATTCAGTAGGTCTGAGATGGGGCCCAAAAAATTTGCTTTGGTAACAAGTTCCCAGGCAGCTCCAATGCTGCTGTCTGGGGACCATGCTTTGAGAACCAAGCAGAGCGAGAGAAACCAGGAGAAATAGCCAGATCCCACAGAGCAAATGAAAACATTTCAACAAGAGACAGGTGCAGCTGATTCATGCATCAGAGATACTTGGCATGATAACAGGAAACATCAGTTTGTCTGAATCTTTCAGCTGACTTTAAACCAAAGCCCTTGACTTCCCTACACATATTTCCATTGAGAAAAATGGAAACTGTGGCTTTACTCAAATACCAAATGCTGACAGCACCAAGGTATCATTTGAGGTGTATCAGAGTGATATGATCACTACTGAAGGTGCCAAAGAGATGGAGATCAGGAACTTGGGTTTCCTGCCAAATGTCCAAAGAAGTCAGGAAAAGCCCATTCGATAAATATAAAATAAAATACCTAAAAAAAGAAAGAGTTGTCATAATGTGTTTAATTGGCAGCATTTTAATCATATATGAAATTATGACACATTTTACAATCTAAAACATCTTAGATTCAAAGAAATATAGTGTTTAAGAGAAAACAAACTAGCACCTGGAGCCTGTGGCATGGATATTAGTGCTTTGGACAAAGCTAAAATAAACAGTGATGTTAGGCCTGTGTTGACTTAAATAATCTGTAAATAAAATGTCAAAAATGTCAAAGGTGGTGTCTGAGTGACTGAAGTTTGGGAAACAGAATATTACAGCGGCTCTCAAAATCATCATTAGGGCCTCTTAGCCTGACAGGTTCATCCAATGAACAAGCCTCCATTGGTCATATTTACTTCTTATTTGAAACCCAATCTTCATATGACAAAGTACATTCTAAGAAAGAACCAGAAAAAGAAAGAGGAGGAGAGGAAGGAAAGAAGGGAGGGAGGGAAGGGGAAGAGGAGAAGGAGGGAGGGGAAGGGAAGAGGGAGGGAGGGAGGAAGGGAGGGAGAGAAGAAGGGAGGGAGGAAGGGAGGGAGGAAACATGCCTAAGTCCCAGACTATAAATGTAGTTAACAAAGTAGTCACTTAATTTTTTACAACAAAAAAATTTGAGACTGCCTATCTTATCTTTTACAATTTTATTTATTATTTACTTATTTTTATTTATTTTTTATTTTTTTTGAGACAGAGTTTTGCTCTTGTCGCCCAGGCTGGAGTGTAACAGCACGATCTTGGCTCACTGCAACCCCCGCCTCCCAGGTTCAAGCAATTCTCTTGCCTCAGCCTCCAGAGTAGCTGAGATTTCAGGTGCCCGCCACCATGCCCAGCTAATTTTTGTATTTTTAGTAGAGATGGGGTTTCACCATGTTGACCAGGCTAGTCTCGAACTCCTGACCGCAGGTGATCCACCTGCCTCAGCCTCCCAAACTGCTAGGATTACAGCTGTGAGCCACAGCGCCCAGCCTACAATTATATTTTATATTTAGTCTGTGTTTTGCTATTTTTTTTTTCTTTTTGCTTCAGAACCTCAGTAAGAGTACAAGGAATTTTTTGAGGGGGGGAAATACTTATGCTGAGAAGAATGTTAATTAGACTAATTTTGCCCCAAATCCCTTCTATCGTTCCTTTTTGGTGTTTCATTAGGATTTTGTCATATAGCTTATGAAAGCACTTAATGCATTTGGCTGCAGTTAACAGAAATCTTACCTGGCATAAATTATAGGGACATAAATTATAGGGACATTTCTTGTTTATTTAAGAAGTCTAGGGCAGGCATGGTAGTTAACAATGTGGGAGGCAGAGACAGGTAGATCACTTGAGCTCAGGAGTTTGAGACCAGCCCGCGCAGCATGGCGAGACCCCAGTCTTTACAAAAAATACAAAAATTAGCCGGGCATGGTGGTGCATGCCTATAGTCCCAGCTGCTTGTGAGGCTAAGGTGGGAGGATTGCTCCAGCCTGGAAGGTCAAGGCTGCAGTGAGCTGTGATCATGCCACTGCACTCCAGCCTGGGTGACAAAATGAAACCCTATCTCAGAAAAAAAAAAAAGAAAAAAGTATAGATTTGGGTGGCTTCAGAGCTCTGACTCAGCATCTGATTTCCATGTTTACCCTTATGGTTACAGAATGGCTGCCACAGATCCAGGCATCACATCATCACTCCAGCATATACAAAGACAGGAAGTAGGGCAGCCAGGGCAGCAAGATGAGCTTTTCTCAACTGCTTCTTTTACCATCTGCCCTGCCCACCCTGCCCCCCCATGCTATTTTAAATCAGGGAGGAAAGTCTTTTGCAGAAGTCTCCCAGCGGATGCTCTCTAGTGTCTCATTAGCTAGAACTGGGTCACATGATCACTGTGAAGCCGCAAGGGAGGCTGGGAAAGCAAACTAGTACATGCATTCTCTCTACAAAGGAAAGTAGGCAGACACCATAGCTAGCGGGCATTTATATTAAGAAAATTAATAATCACCATATCTTTTAGTTTCAGCTCCAGAATTTGTTTTTGAACATGGCTATCAAACTTACCTGCCCACGGAAAGTAATGAAAACCAGACAGCCACTGTCATCTCTCTCCCTGCCAAGTCACGCACCAAAAAGCCCACAACACCACCTGCTCAGAAAAGGCTTAACTGTTGCTATCCAGGTAAAGGCAGCATTATGTCCTACTTGTGTAGAGGGTGTGATATTTAACCAGGCTCCAGGGCTCCTCCTCATGAGTTCCTGACAACTGCTCATGGATGTGTTCCAAACTACCTGGCATAAAAATCAGAGCCCCCTGGCATTTACATCAGCACATACAACCTATCTCCCACTGTCTGTGGTCATTCTGCCTCTGGGTTCTAAGACTTTTCTAGCCATAGGCCTTTGAAGTGGAACTCGTGAAAATTTCAGGTTGCTATAAATTTTTTTCCTATGCTATAGCTTAGGAAGATATCCAGTAAGAATTTTCTTTCCTTACTTTGGTTTTAATTTATTCAGAAATAATTTCAGATGTACAGAAAAGTTGCAAAAATTGTACCAAAAAAATCCCTGTATGCCCTTCATCTAGATTCCCCAAATGTTACCATTTTATTATATTTGCTTTGTCATTCTTTGTATATATACAAATATATATACAAGTATAGTTTTCCCCAAACCATTTGAAAGTTGCTGACAATGTGATGCCCCTTTATTCCTAAATACTTCAGTGTGTATTTCCTAAAAACCAGAATATTCTTTTAAATAACCACAGGACAATCATCAAGATCAGAAAATTAACATTTATAGGAACTATTATCTAACCTACTGACCTTAGTCAGATTTCGTCATCAAGTGTCCCACCGATGTCCTTTCTACCAATATCAAAAGAATGACATTTTTCCCCTCTGATCCAGGCTCCAACCAGTGATCACTAATTGCATTTAGATTTTATGTCTTTCATTTCCTCTAATCAAGAACAGTTAAGCATTTATCTTTCATAAGCTTGACATTTTTGAAAAGTATAGGCCAGTGATTTTTGTCAAAAGGGCCTCAGTTTGGGTTTATTTGATGTTTCCTTATGATCAGATTCAGGTTATGCAGTTTTGGCAGGAACCACAAAATGACGGTGTGTTTTTCCCGGTCATCACATATGAAGGCACATGAGATCTCTTTTTCCCATTACCGTGGTGTTAACTCTTGTCACTTGGTTAAGGATGTTTCTACCAGTTTTCTCCATGCTAAAAGTTACTAAGTTTTCCTTTGTAATTAATCTTTCCTTTTTTTTTTTAGGTTGCCAATTCAAGACTGCTTATGGCATGAAGGACATGGAGCGGCATTTAAAAATTCACACGGGTAAGTAGCATTTCTTTAGCGCATATGCCCTCAACACCTGCTCTGTGCTAGGAGATGGGGATCCACATAGGTCAGACGAATGATACCACTCCAAACGTCACTGGCTGTTATGGGAATACAAGTCCAGATTTTAAAAAATAAGGTGCCATTTGTACACATGACTTTGGCAGAAAAATCTTTAACATAATAAAATCCAGCTCTGGAGAGGATGTGAGCAAACTTAGCTAAGTGGGAATGTGAACTGTTACAGCCATTTTGAAAATGATTCTGCCAAAATTAATTAAAATTTGAACGCACATATTCTCATTTTGAGGAGATGACCCTACGAGTTCATATGTGTGTGTGTAATGATTAGTAAAGAGAGGAATAAGGGGAGAGAAAAGAAACTGTCTCTTTTTTTGTCTTTTTCTTTTATATTTTGAGACAGGGTCTCACTCTGTCGCCCAGGCTGGAGTGCGGTGGCACTCGACCCGCCCACCTCAGCCTCCAGAATACCTGGGACTACAGGCAGACGCCACCACACCTGGCTAATGTTGTGTATTTTTTGTAGAGAGTGGGGTCTCACCATGTTGCCCAGGCTGGTCTCGAATGCCTGGACTCAAGCGATCCACCCACCTTGCCTTCCCAAAGTGCTAGGTTTACAGGTGTGAGCCACTGCACCTGGCCAAAACTTTCATTTTATGTATCTTTATGTTATATCACTGAATACAGTGAGTGTGTGTTATTTTTGTAATTTAGAAAGGAGAATTTAATAAATACTTGTTTTAAAAGAAGAGAGAAAGATCAATGCATGGGAAAAGAAAAAAGTGATGATTTCTGGTGATTTTATTTTTCTTTAATATATTATTTTTATGTTTCCCAGATTTTCTGCATGGAAAAGGAATTGCCTTCAGACTTTTTTTTAACAAGTGTTATATGCTTGTATTCAAATAGTACAGATTTAAATTTTAAAAGTATAAATGTGTATAAGATGCAGGGAGTTTTGGCTTTGGCTTCGCTAATTGCCCAAAGCCTGCTATTTAGCCTCAGCCTTTGGAAGATGAGTAACCAACAGTTATTTCTTACATTCCTTGGCCATAACCAATAAGTGCCTTATTGCACTGGGGTCACCATCATATCTAATCAGCCTCACAGTGTCATGCTATCTGGATTTGTTCTAATTATCCAAATATTAAGTTTCAAGTATTGATTGGTAAGCGTTCTAGTGTAATAAGCAATTAAACTCTCCATGTGGGTTTCATATATTGAAGTTTCATCCATCAAGCCATAGCATATTTATTATTGAAAGAATAAAGTACTATAATTTTTGTTTTGTTTTGGTTTTTGTTTTTTTGAGACGGAGTTTCGCTCTTGTTGCCCAGGCTGGAGTGCAATGGTTCAATCTTGGCTCACCGCAACTTCTGCCTCCCAGGTTCAAGCGATTCTCCTGCCTCAGCCTCCTGAGTAGCTGGGATTACAGGCATGCACCAACACACCCGGCTAATTTTTGTATTTTTAGTAGAGACGAGGTTTCTCCATGTTGGTCAGGCTAGTCTCGAACTCCCGACGTTGGGTGATCCACCCACCTTGGCCTCCCAAAGTGCTGGGATTACAAGCGTGGGCTACCGCATCTGGCTGAGTACTATAATTATTAATGATGATAGAGAAAGCGTTGTAAAAGTACAAGTGAGGGCCACAGCTTTGTCTATTTCTGCAAATCCGCAGAAAATATCTTCTACAGTTAGCCTACCTTGTGTTTGGAGGATAGTTTCTGCGGTCTCTGTCTACATTTTCAAGTTTAAATGTATCCTCACCTTAGTTACCTTCAGAGAGTGGGGGTATGCTTAATTACCCCTGGAGTTGGGGTTTGGGGGAACCACAGCAACAGGGCTCTTTACCAGCAGAGCTGGCCAAAAACCACTGAGCTCTGCCAACATCCAGCATTTGCCCAGTGTTGCAAATACACAGTGTAGTGACCGCAGGAACTACTGAGCCACTGACAATGCTGGTAAATTATTGTTCCTGGATTTTTAAATTTGATGACTAAAATTTTTGTTTGTTTGTGTTTTTGTTTTTGTTTTGTTTTTTTGAGACAGAGTCTCGCTCTGTCACCCAGGCTGGAGTGCAGTGGCGCGATCTTGGTTCACTGCAAGCTCTGCCTCCCGGGTTCATATCATTCTCCTGCCTCATTCTCCCGAGTAGCTGGGACTACAGGCGCCTGCCACCACGCCCGGCTAGTTTTTCTGTATTTTTGGTAGAGACAGGATTTCACTGTGTTAGCCACGATGGTCTTGATCTCCTGACCTCATGATCCGCCCGCCTCGGCCTCCCAAAGTGCTGGGATTACAGATGTGAGCTACCGCGCCCAGCCTACTAAAATGTTTAATAATAAAAATGCTAATTTTTTTTTTTCCTTTTGAGATGGAGTCTCACTCTGTCACCCAGGC
This sequence comes from Homo sapiens, assembly GCF_000001405.40. Taxonomy (NCBI): domain Eukaryota; kingdom Metazoa; phylum Chordata; class Mammalia; order Primates; family Hominidae; genus Homo; species Homo sapiens. The sequence goes on along the minus strand of NC_000020.11, from coordinate 52,162,268 downwards.
TGTAGCGCAGTGGCACAATCTCAGCACACTGCAACCTCCGCCTTCCGAGTTCAAGTGATTCTCCTGCCTCAGCCTCCCGAGTAGCAGGGATTACAGGTGCCCACCACGATGCCCAGCTAATTTTTGTATTTTTAGTTCAGACAGGGTTTCACCATGTTGGCCAGGCTGGTCTCGAACTCCTGACCTCAAGTGATCTGCCTGCCTCGGCCTCCCAAAGTGCTGGAATTACAGGTGACAGCCACTGTGCCCAGCCAAAATGCTGATCTTTAATAAACTTTTAGATGTATTCTTAAATCCCAAATATTTATTTATGACGACAGTGATCAGCTTTGGCTATTTTAGCACTTGGCTAGTTACGATTTGGTGAAAATACATATTTGATATATAAAGTAAAAAAAAGAAAATCCTGATTCACAGCCACCTCCTTCCATGACCAAAAGTCAGCTCTCCTAATAGACCTCTATGTCTCATTCTGAAATATTTGCATGCCTAGACCAGGTCTAAAAACACACACATTTAATTTTTCCATGTCTTACTAAGTTAATATGATACACGCTATCAGTGCAACTTGCTTCTTTTCATTTACTATTGCACATCATTTCACATCAGTATGTCATATCGACTTACTCTTTTTCATGGCCAAGTAAGGAATGGGTTCAGTAATTTATGCACATCCATACAGTGAAATATTTCAGCCTTAACAACCGCGTTGTGGGTATGTAATGATATGAAACAGGTGATCGAAATTACCGTACATGCAAGAAAGTAGTCAATAGGGAGGCAGTGCAGTATTTGGCAAAAAAAAAAAAAAAAAAAAAGAAAGCAATCACAAGACGGTCCTGGGTTCTAATTCCAGCTGTTGCAAGGATTAACTAAAGTAATTCAAAGGCACAGTGCCATTCAAAAAGGAAGTATTTAAATTGATGTTAGCCAGGAATTTTTATGTACCAAAAACATACACACACAGAGATTGGAAAAATATACATCAAAAAGTTAGCAGTAGTTCACAGATGTCAAGTTGACATAGCATTAGTGAGGTTCAGATTAAGCTGCTGTAAGAATGAAACTGAAACACCAGCTCAAACAAGATAGGGATTTGTATCTGTCCCGTGTAACTGTCCGGAGGTGAGCAGGCAGGCTAGGACAGGTGGGCAGCTCTGTCCTAGGGACCAGCCAGGCACTTAAGTTCCTCCCACCTCATTCTATTACATGACTCCACCATCTGCAGGTATGCCACCCTCAGCTGCTCACTCACCTGCCCTCACCTGCTCACTCACCTGCGCTCACCGACTCACTCACCTGCCCTCACCTGCTGCCTTATCCCCATGCCTTGGCTAGAAGCAGGAAAAGAGAAAATGTAAAAGGCAAGCCGTTTCCTCTTGTGAAAGAGACACACTTTACTTTCTCTGCCATCGCTTTGATAGGAACTTAGTCACAGATCACAGCTAGCTGCAGGCGAGGCTGAGAAGTGTAATCTTTCCCTGGTGAGCCATGAACTCTGCTGAAACTTAGGTATTCTAAATTTTACGGTGCATCTCTGTTGTGAAAAGGAAAAAGGAGAGAGTGAATACAAGGGAAAATTAACAAAACTGTTACTATTTTACGTACCTATACTTTAAAATTTTAATTGCCTTCTATTTTTAATTTATAAAAAATTTATAAGAAATTCATATTCATCATTTTAAAAATTCAAGTAATACCAATAAGGAACATGGAAGAAACTTCCCCTCTCCCAAGATGTTAGCTCTTTGCCAATCATCCACCCAGTGTTTTAGGGTTTTTGGAATATTCTTCGGTGGTTGTATATGACTTTTTTCGTAAGGCAGTGGGAAATAAGCCTTTTCCTTTTTTAATCTTGTTTCCTGCTGCCATCTGTGTGTGTATGTGTTTGAAGGAGACAAACCCCATAAGTGTGAAGTCTGTGGCAAGTGCTTTAGCCGGAAAGACAAGCTGAAAACTCACATGCGGTGCCACACGGGCGTGAAGCCCTACAAGTGTAAGACGTGTGACTACGCCGCTGCCGACAGCAGCAGCCTCAACAAGCACCTGAGGATCCACTCGGACGAGCGGCCCTTCAAATGCCAGATCTGCCCCTACGCCAGCCGCAACTCCAGCCAGCTCACTGTCCACCTGCGATCCCACACGGGTGAGTCCTGCCTGTTATTTGCTCTCTACGCTCCTCACTTTCTATGGCATAAATCATAAGCACCTTAAAGCATTCAGCCACAATGTAAGAAATCGAGTTGGAACCTTTGCTCATCCCGTTGTTTGCAGTTTTGTTTTTTTTTGTTGTTGTTGTTTTGTCTCGCTCTGTTGCCCTGGCTGGAGTGCAGTGGCGCTATCTCAGCTCACTGCAACCTCCACCTCCCAGGCTCAAGCAATTCTTGTGCCTCAGCCTCCCAAGAAGCATGTTGCACCACGTCCAGCTAATTTTTTGTATTTTTAGTAGAGATGGGGTTTTGCCATATTGGTCAGGCTGGTCTTGAACTATTGACCTCAAGTGGTCTGTCCACCTCAGCCTCCCAAAGTGCTGGGATTACAGGTATGTTGTACCACACCCAGCTAACTTTTTCTAATTTTAGTAGAGGTGGGGTTTTGCCATATTGGTCAGGCTGGTCTTGAACTCCTGACCTCAAGTGGTCTGCCCACCTCAGCCTCCCAAAGTGCTGGGATTACAGGCGTGAGCCACCGTGCCTGGCCCATTTGCAGTTTTGCTTTTCAGCTGCCTTGAAGAGCCTTTCTCAGTAAAATAGGGGAAAATCATGAAGTTTATAACTTTATACATATGTATATCTCTTTCTATAACTTTGTAACTTATTCAGTTGTAAAGTGTGTAATTGAGGAGATGCATGAAATGAAATACACGTATAAGCCATGTATCTTTGATAAATTCTGCATTATGGTTAGGCATTCCAATCATTTTTGAAGCATACTCTAGTTCAGCATGGAACAGCTTGACCAAAAAACATACAGCAAAATTAGCAGAGTAGGTAACTCAATAAATTACATACTTTTTTCTTTCGGTGTATCAGTTAGATAATGATTCAGTCATGCTGCAGTAACAACCATGAAATCTCAGTGTTGTATAATAAACATTTGTTGCTAACATACTTTAGGTCAGCAGGAAGTTGACTGGACAACTCTGTTGATCTTGGCTTGGCTTAACCACATGTGTGGGGAAGGCTGGGTGCCTTTCAGATTTCCCTGGGGATCTGCTGGCCATGGGCTGGCTGGCTGTCCACTGGCCTTGGCTGAGGCAATCTGGTTCTGTTCTGTGCATCTCTCATCTTCCTCCTGGGACCATGGACTAACCCAGGCTTGTCCTTCTCATGAGGATGGCAGAGGTGCAAGCAAGCAAGCCCCAGTGTAAGCCCATTTCAACTCTTTGCTTCTATAAGTTGTCAAGCATCACATTGGCTAAAGCAAGTCACATGTTTCATCCTGGTGTCAAGGGCGGGACTGAGCTCACTGACAGTGAGAGGTCATCACAGTGTTACATGGCAAAGGTCGGGGATGCAGGGAAGGTGAAGAATTGGGACTTTTTCTTTCTTTCTTTCTTTTTTGAGATGGAGTCTCACTCTGTTGCCCAGGCTGGAGTGCAGTGGCGTGATCTCAGCTCACTGCAACCTCTGCCTCCTGGGTTCAAGTGATTCTCCTGCCTCAGCCTCCTGAGTAGCTGGGATTACAGGCTCACACTGCCATGCCTGGCTAATTTTTTGTATTTTAGTAGAGATGGGATTTCACCATGTTGCCCAGCCTGGTCTCGAACTCCTGAGCTCAGGCAATCCACCCGCCTCAACCTCCCAAAGTGCTAGGATTACAGGTGTTAGCCACCGCGCTGGGCTGAATTGGGACCATTTTTGCAAACAACCACAGTCCGCCTTTATCCCCACCGTCATTCACATCTCTCTGACAGGCAAAATGCATTAACAAGTCTCATCCAATCATAGGATCAGCCTTAAAGACCACAATTGCGTGATCTCCCTTGGGTCTGGATATGGTTTCTCTTCATCTAGAGACGGTTGAAATAAAAGACAAGTTGTCTGTCATGATACACCCAATATACAGTGTAAAACAAAAAGCCAAAATAATTACCATAATTCTACCATTTGAAAGTAGTGTAAGACACATGCACACATATGTTTATTGCAGCAGTATTCACAATAGCAAAGACTTGGAACCAACCCAAATGCCCATCAATGATAGACTGGATAAAGAAAATGTGGCACATATACACTGTGGAATACTGTGCAGCCATAAAAAAGGTTGAGTTCATGTCCTTTGCAGGGACATGGATGAAGCTGGAAACCATCATTCTTAGCAAACTAACACAGGAACAGAAAACCAAACACTACATGTTCTCACTCATAAGTGGGAGTTGAACAATGAGAACATGTGGACACAGGGAGGGGAACATCACACACTGGGGCCTGTCAAGGGGTGGGAGGCTAGGGGAGGGATAGCATTAGGAGAAATACCTAATGTAGATGACGGGTTGATGGGTCAGCAAACCACCATGGCACGTGTGTACCTGTGTAACAAACCTGCACGTTCTGCACATGTATCCCAGAACTTAAAGTATAATTTTAAAAAAGAAAGAAAGTAGTATAGAAGAACGGGAGGCATTTGTCAGTCCCTGGTCCATAGCATTTCTGAAATTCTTCTGGGCACAGGTTCCCCCTACTCAGGGGTTAGGGAATGTTTCTTGGTTAGGCCTTGGCTCAGCTCTTTGGTTCTTAACCCTGCCCATTGGAACATCCTTTCCATCACTTTCCTAAGCTACTTCTGAAAAAGATTGCAAAATGTACCTTTGAGAAACTTTCTCAGCTTGCTTCCTGTCTACCAAAAGCTGGAGGTCTTTTACCTTTTGTTTTAGTAAGGCTGGTGACAGTTTTGCTGGTAGAGCTGTCTTTAAAAACTGTGTGAGTTTCCTATGTATCCATATGCCAAAAGCCATACCCACAGTTCTTTTGGAATCTTGCCTCTTTTTCTAAACTCAATTATAGGCACTTTTGGCATTTAACCTTCTGTGGGTTTTAGGAGTCCTTTGTCCAGCTGAGAGAACATACTTGGCACCAACTTAATTCTCACCATTCTTAATTCTCTTTTGGAGATTTTAATAAAGAGTCTTACATTCAGACCCCTTATTTCACATTTGGTCTTCACTCTGAGACTAGTTTCTTAGATATGGTCTTTGTCCCAGGCTTTTGTCTTACTTGGGAAAGCTGGCTGGAGAAGCTGGCTGGAGATGAGAAACTATATCCAGTAATCTTTGACTTTCTATATTCCCTCTAAATTCTGCTTACAAAATGTCCAGTTCTTTTTTTGAGTTTGTCTCTTTCTTGTAGTCTTTTATCATATGCAGCTTATAAAACACTTTCACTGTTCTGCCTAGAATTTATCTCTTTATTCAAGTCCAAAACTCATGATGTACATTTTCTGTCTTCTAAGCTACCACGAGTGACAGTCTTACCAAATGTTTGCCATTAAGTAGTGTGCATTGCCATTTTTCCAGCCTCCACATGCAACCGAATCTCAAAACCAATACTCTGTATTATGGTTTTCTGTTACAGCGTCACCCTTTTTCTAGATACCAATATCTGTATCCATTGTCTGTTGTCACAGTGATGCAGCGTAATAGCCCACAAAACCTCAATAGATGCAATATGCTTTTTCTGGTTCCCATGCGGGGATCAGCTGGGCAAACCAGCTGACCTTGGCTGGGCTCTCTTATTAGTCTGAGGATCTGCTGGTTATGGGCTGGCTGTCCACTGGCCTTGGCTGAGGAAATCAGCTCTGCTCCACATGTCTCTTGGCCTTCTGAGACCAGCAGGTTAGGCCAGGATTGACCGCATGGTCATGACCGAGGTGTAAGCAAGCAAGCAAGCCCCAGTGCACAAGCCCATTTCAAGCCATTCCTTGTTTCAAGTTACTAAACATACCATTGGCCAAACCCAACGACATGGTTGAGGCTTTTGTCATGGATCACGGGAGAACATGCCTAACTACATACATGGCAGAGGCCGTGCTAAAGGAGGGGTGGGAGGTGGGAAGATTTGGGAACATTTTTATAATCTACAGCAAGTTCAGACATTGGCATAATCGACGCCCAACTGATTTGCTTCAGAAATTTCCCCCAGCCTAAGTTAGAGAAGCTGAAAAATTCATTTATGAAAATGGTTCATTTTGATTGATAAGGATGAAGTTACTATTTATAGCAGCATCTTTAAAATTGGTCTAGAAAAGGTGTGTTTTTCAAAAATTTCAGTGTGTGCCATTTATGCATGGTCTTCGTGGAATGTTCATTTTCCCTTTTATAAATCTGTGGCACTGGTAAAACTGTAAATTAATAGGATTTTGTTTTTACCCTTTCGGCAATTGGATAGACTACATCAACACTTGTTTTAGTAGCAACCCAAACTCAAGGAGGACCTGTCAGCTTAAATATATGTCGCTCATTCATCCAACATTCTTTAAACCTCGCTATGTGCCAGACACAGTGGGAATCAGGTAGTAGGCAAGAATGAACATAGTCATTAGCTTTGAAGACCTTAGTGTCCAGTGGGACTATTTGACCAGGATACTTCATTAAAGAAATGTTTATGGTTAAATTAAAAAAAAAAAGACAAAGGAATTTAAAACCTTTGCTTTCATGCCAAAAAACGTTGTTAAGCTCTGCAACTTAGCTGCGAGATTTGGTTTTCTGGATTTTCTGGGTCTCACCTCTGCAGATTGCTTAAAAAAAGTGAAAAAAGACTGTCACTATAATTTTGACAGGGATATAACTGGAAAACCTAGTAAAACATTCTGGAGCAAGGATTCTGACTTTGAGTCTACAGACGTCTGCCCCTGAGAAATCCATGAGTAGATTTGGGAAGGAGGTCCTTGAATGGGGGTGGGGAAAACAAAGACGTCTTCATTTTCACTAGCCTGTATTAAAATTTGACACGTCCTTCAATTATGAAAACAGGCAACCAATCTGATAACAGTGCATGTAAAGTTGTCGCCAGCGGAAATCAAAAATCTCTTCATAATGATTGCTGCAGATGGAGCAAATATCTTTTACACTCTTCTTTATTTAGAAATGACTGTAGTTACTAGAGCTGCCGCTAGGTCTGATTCTTGAATTCATTAATGAAACACACACATTGGCATATCACAATTTTTTCTCTGTAATAACTATTTTAATATAATTAGTTTCTTTTATATTCCTATTGGTTTTTATTTTAGTTTATTTGGTACATTTAAAACATTATCTAAGAAGGGTTCCATGGACTTCACTAAACTGCCAAAAAGGGGTAATGGCATAAAAAAGGTTAAGAACAACATTCTCAGGCAGCAAACGGCCCTTTTTCTGAAAAGGGCCAGATAGTAAATATTTTAGGTTTTGTGGGCCATGCAGTATCTATCACAAATACTCACCCCTACCATTATGGCAGGCAAGTAACCATATGTAAACAAATATGCATGGTTGTGTTTCAGTAAAACTTTATTTATAGAAACAGGCTGTGGGCAGGATCTAGCCCATAGGCTGTAGCTTACTCTTCCTTGTTCTAGAGTTTAGTATGCATGATCTTGGTGGTATTCAGTCATACAAAGCATTTTTTTCAAGTTTAGGTTTAGGCCTCTCAGTGTTCTAGAAGCTTGTTCAATTGCCTCCTGCCATCTTTGTTTGCATTCATTAAGCAGCTCATGGTGAAGTAGCAGATCCTATGTCAAAAAGCTGGAACACCATCCCAGTCTTGTGGGTTTATGACCTAAGAAAGCAAACATCAGTTATATGCACAGATAATTACCTAGCATCTAAAGATACCAGTTGTGGAGTCAGCCTGGATTGGAATCCAAGCCCTTCTTTGTACTACGGGGCGACCAAGAACAAGTTATGTAGTCTGTCTGGGTCTCAGCCTTCTCCTCTGTGTAACTGTGTTAAAAAACAATATTAATAATAGCACCCACCACAGGGCAATCTTCCCAGCATCAAGCGAGACCATGCTTGTGGAGTGCTCAGCATAGCGCCTGCCATCCCGGAAGCCATCGAAGAATATTAGCTGCTATTTTGCTTACTTAAACAATGTTGAGATGAGGGGTCGCCAATTTGCTTGAATTGTCATTGCCTCAGATAATTTGGACTTGGCATTCATTGAGGAAGTAAATTTGGAATATGGTATCCAATCAGATGTTTGCAATTTCACTTGCCTTGCTCATCTTTCAGCGAATATGAATTTTTTTTAAAAAAAATCAAGCAGCTGGATTTTGTAACTTCACAAGTAAAGAACGCAGCTGGCAATATGGGATAAATAAATTTTGTGCAAGAAACACATCTTTATTAATAAAGATCTGCATGAAATATAAGCTGGGTGTTTCAGTCATTGTAAAACCATACTCCAATGAGTGCAGCACGGAGCTGACCCATTCGAAAATATATTGTTGAATCTGTTACAACATGTAACTCAATCAAAATCAACGGGTTGTGCAAAAGTCTTCAACTGTGAACCATTAACTAGCAGAGTGGGCAAATTAACTGTATGAAAGATAGTTTGAGTGTTTTAAAGAATATAACAAGTATACTTGTAAATCTTATTTTATCTGGGACAATTAAATTGCTCTTTTCGATCTCCCATTTTTCTTCTGGGTTTGATACCGGTGGTGGTGGTTTGGGTTCCGGGGAAAGATAAAGACGCCCTGCCCCTCTTCCCCCACTGCCAGGGGCTGCTAGAAGCTGCAGTTAGGAGGTCTGCACCCACCCACCTTGTATAAGCGATTTTCTGGTGTGTGCTTCGGGGGGATCCGCTGTGGTTGTTGCCTGCCTGTTCTTATCGAAACTCACCTTGTGTTGACAGGGGACGCCCCCTTCCAGTGCTGGCTCTGTAGCGCCAAGTTCAAAATCAGCTCGGACTTGAAAAGGCACATGCGGGTGCACTCGGGGGAGAAGCCTTTCAAGTGCGAGTTCTGCAATGTCCGCTGCACCATGAAGGGGAACCTCAAGTCGCACATCCGTATCAAGCACAGCGGGAATAACTTCAAGTGTCCTCATTGCGACTTCCTGGGTGACAGCAAAGCCACCCTCCGGAAGCACAGCCGCGTGCACCAGTCGGAGCATCCTGAGAAGTGCTCGGAATGCAGCTACTCCTGCTCCAGCAAGGCCGCCCTGCGCATCCACGAGCGTATCCACTGCACCGACCGCCCTTTCAAGTGCAACTACTGCAGCTTCGACACCAAACAGCCCAGCAACCTGAGCAAGCACATGAAGAAGTTCCATGGGGACATGGTTAAGACTGAGGCTCTAGAGAGGAAGGACACCGGCAGGCAGAGCAGCCGGCAGGTGGCCAAGCTGGATGCCAAGAAGAGTTTCCACTGCGATATATGCGATGCCTCCTTCATGCGGGAGGACTCGCTCCGCAGCCACAAGAGACAGCACAGTGAGTACAGTGAGAGTAAGAACTCGGACGTGACCGTTCTCCAGTTTCAGATCGACCCCAGCAAGCAGCCCGCCACGCCCCTCACTGTGGGACACCTCCAGGTGCCCCTCCAGCCCAGCCAAGTGCCCCAGTTCAGCGAGGGAAGAGTCAAAATCATCGTTGGGCATCAGGTGCCCCAGGCGAACACCATCGTCCAGGCTGCCGCCGCTGCAGTGAACATCGTCCCGCCTGCCTTGGTGGCCCAGAACCCAGAGGAACTCCCAGGGAACAGCCGGCTGCAGATCCTGCGCCAGGTCAGTCTGATCGCCCCCCCTCAGTCCTCGCGGTGTCCGAGCGAGGCGGGCGCAATGACCCAGCCGGCTGTCCTGCTGACCACCCACGAGCAGACGGACGGAGCCACTCTGCACCAGACTCTCATCCCCACGGCCTCAGGTGGCCCCCAGGAAGGCTCTGGCAATCAAACTTTCATTACCAGTTCGGGTATTACTTGCACTGACTTTGAAGGCCTAAACGCCTTGATTCAGGAGGGGACAGCAGAAGTGACAGTGGTGAGCGATGGAGGCCAGAACATCGCAGTGGCCACCACAGCGCCACCGGTCTTCTCCTCCTCTTCCCAGCAAGAACTACCCAAGCAGACCTACTCCATCATTCAAGGGGCAGCCCATCCAGCTTTGCTCTGTCCCGCCGACTCCATTCCAGATTAGTGCTTAAAAAAACAAAAGGAGTGGGGGAAAGGAATTGAGAAAAAGAAATCTTAAGTAGAATTCTCTAAAAGGTTTGCTCTTAATGTTTTCTTTGTTTTGTTTTGTTTTTGAGACGGAGTCTCGCTCTGTTTCCCAGGCTGGAGTGCAGTGGCGCTATCTTGGCTCACTGCAACGTCCGCCTCCCAGGTTCAAGCGATTCTCATGCCTCAGCCCTCCGAGTAGCTGGGACCACAGGTGTACGACATCATGACTGGCTAATTTTTGTATATTTAGTAGAGACGGGGTTTCATCATGTTGAACTCCTGACCTCAAGTGATCTGCCCACCTCAGCCTCCCAAAGTGCTGGGATTACAGGTGTGAGCCACCATGCCTGGCCGTGGTTTGCTCTTAATGTTTTTAAGGATGGTTGTGAATCCCCCTGGCCCCATAATAAATTGTAATTTTATACTGCTTACTATAATTTTTTTAACACTGTAACAACTTTGAGACCACCTCTGAATCGTCGCATTATAACTGTTGTAGAATCTTAAATGTTACCAAGATGATTCCAATGAGGGGTTGGAATTAAATGCATTAAGTAGTGAATTCATGTGTTTGTTTCCAACTTGATTTTCCAACTCTAATAAAGGTTTCTGTCCATCTTATTACATTTGTGTAGTAAATGGTACTTCCCAGCCTCTCTTTTGCCCCATTCTGGAATACTCCCCAGAGTTTGGGGGTGTTCATGTTTTATACATGTAAGTCTGTTGGCATGAAGGACCATTTTCTACATAATATGACATGGATACTTGACCCAAAAAAAAATGTTTAGTGCTAATGAGCAGAAAATGAATGGTTCCATAATAAATTGATATCTGATTAAAATATACTGAATGTTAATGATTCTTTAGAGCCAAGGTGGGATTTGGGAATGATGGGGCGTGAGTCATTAATCAAAAACAAACTGAAGCAGCAAAGGTTTTTAGTCCTTTCATAAACGTCACACAATCATCTTACCTCCTCCACAGTCACATTAAATAGATGTGGTACCTAAAGTGATAAAGTGATCCATCCCACTGTTGTTTTCATTTTGAAACTTCAGACTGACAATCCTGGCATTTCTGTTTAGACACAAAAATGATCAAAGTTCCTACTAACAAGACAGAATTTTCTAGAATACCATTTTTGAGATGTTAATATCTGTGCAGAATCCAGATGAGTGGACTGAGAGAGTACCTAGATTTTTTCCAAAGCATAGGTTGTATTGAGAAGAGGAAAATTCAGATTGTGTTGTTTTACATTGAAATGCTGTTTGATCAGTAGGTGGTGCCAGAGAGCAAGCTAGAATCATCCATATTTGTACCTTAAGCCATTCTGTAAGGTTGTAATAGCACTCATTTCTGCTGTCAGCAAGGATTGGTGAGGAGGGGAGGTTACTCTTGGGACAGAAGCATATTTAGAATATTATGAGAATACTTAGATACATTTCTACCACTTTTATTCTTCTTTCTTTGATCTGTAATAGTTGGACACAATTTTGATGACTTGCTATATTTGCCATAATTTCTTTATTTTCCTATCATCAATGATAATAGTGAGTTATTAACTATGTTTTTGGTAAGAAACAGAAAAGGCTTGCAGTGTACAATGTTAGTGATTTAAATAATTTTGTCACTTTAAACTTATTGCTTACAGCCCTTTAGAAAAACTGTTCTGCTTTTGAATTTCAGCTGGGAAACTTCCATTGTCATGGTCCTATTTCCTATGTCTTTCTCTTTTCCCACTTTTTTCAACCATAAAGGATTTTTTCCTGATTATAATGTGTATTCAAGATAGAAAATATGAAAAACAGAATATTACTAGGAAAAAAATAGAAGTTACTAATAATCTTACTGTCCAGATATAAACTATACAGATTGTAACCATTTTGATGGACTTCCTATCAGTCTTTTTTTTTTTTTTGAGGTGGAGTCTCACTCTGTTGCCCAGGCTGGAGTGCAGTGGCGCAATCTCAGCTCACTACAAGCTCCGCCTCCCGGGTTCACACCATTCTCCTGCCTCAGCCTCCTGAGTAGCTGGGACTCTAGGCACCCGCAACCAAGTCCGGCTAATTTTTTGTATTTTTAGTAGAGACAGGGTTTCACCGTAGCCAGGATGGTCTCGATCTCCTGACCTTGTGATCCACCCACCTCGGTCTCCCAAAGTGCTGGGATTACAGGTGTGAGCCACCGTACCTGGCCCCTATCAATCTTTTTTTATGCTTACGTATATATGTTTTCTACTCCAGTTATGAAGTTGTAGTTTAATTAAGCATAATATTTTTTATATTCTATATTTCCTTTTGTATCCTTAGATCTCTACCTACCAGCTGCCTTCCATATATAATACATACACATACATACATACATACACATGCATGCATAGAGATGTACACACATGCATATTTGATTTGTTGGTTGTTTTGTCTTTTTACAAACAAAACAGTAAAACTTACTCTTTGGAATAAATTATACACAGAATTGTACAAACACCAAGCCAACAACTTCCAGCCCCTCCGTATTCTCACCCCACCCAAGGTAAGTAATGTTAGGTGCTCTGTGTTCTTACCAATATACGTAGACTCAAAAGATAACATAGAAAAGGTTTTTCCTAGTTCTATAGTAATTGTATCATACTCTGTACATTTCTCTGCAACTTGCTTTGATTATTCCATTTATTGACAGTCCTGTGGGTCAACAAAACTAGACCTAGTTTTTTTAAATAAGTGTTAGAGACATGCCAGGCTTTAGTCCGTCATCTTGCTATTATGATTCTTCAGGTTGTTTGGGGAATATTTTTGCCATTACGACTGCCCCAGTAAACTCTCATATTCAGCTTTTTTTTTTTTTTTTTCTGTAAGTAGATTCAAAAGTGTAAGTTTCACGGAGTTTCCATAGTTTGTACTTGCATAAATACGGATTAATTTTCACAATGATAGTCTCATCCCTGATGTGAGCTCAACTACCTTTGGAAGTTTTATCACTCTGCTGCGTGAAAATGGTTATCTGGCCTTTGTGCACTCCCCTAGCTGGTGCTGTGGTCTGCGTTTTCTGAGACGTCTCTGCATAGGGCTGGTTGACCATGTGTGCTTCTCTCTTCTATGAACTTAGAACTCTTACTCCCTCCTTTTGGTTGTTGGGAAGTTGGGGACATTAACCCGACATCAGTCACACATTGCTGAGTTTCTTCCCCTCCTGTCATTGTCTTTTGACTTTACCTGTGGGGCTGTCACCATATAAAAATGACTGTCTTTTTCTGTAGTTAGATTCTTCTGTCGCTTCATTTGTGGCACGTGTGTTTTCTAAGAACGTCCATCCTTCCCCTGAGATTAAACTGGTTTTCCCTTTAGTGTTTTTACTGCTTGCTTATTTGTTTTTCAATGGCTCCTTGCTGCAGCCAGAATTCTTTTTTTTTTTTTTTTCTTGTTTTGAGACAGAGTCTGGCTGTCGCCCAGCCTGGAGTGCCGTGGCGCGATCTCAGCTCACTACCTGCTCTGCCTCCCAGGCTCAGGTGATTCTCCTGCCTCAGCCTCCCACGTAGCTGGGATCACAGGCGTGTGCCACCACACCTGGCTAATTTTTGTATTTTTAGTAGAGACGAGATTTCGCCATGTTGGCCATGCTCGTCTTAAACTCCTGGCCTCCAGTGATCTGCCCACCTCGGCCTTTCAGAGTGCTGGGATTACAGCTCATGCCAAGAACTCATATTTATATGTTATGATGAACAGGTTTGACTGTCCACTTATGCCAGGACCATTTGTTAAATATTATTTTCCTGAAAACTGAAATCCTAATTTAAGCCATCGTGTAGATAAAGTTCACAAATATACTTCCAGAACTTCTTTATTCTGGAAGATTATAGATCTGAGATTCCCAAAGAAGATCTGGCTGGCCAACATGACATATTTGATTATACTAGCATTAAGGTAAGCTTAATCTTTTAGACTTACAAAGCTTCCCCCAGCTATTATTTTCCAAAATGTTCTTAGCAATTCTTAGATATTTATTCTTCCAAAGGAACTGTTATTTTATCCAGTACCTAAACCACCCCCACCAAAAAAGAAAACCTTTTGGAGATTTTTATTGAAATTGCATCAGTATTTTATATGAACTTATCAAAAGCACAACTATGAAAATATTAAGTCTTCCACCCAATTTTGGCTCACTGCAGCCTCCACCTCCTGGGTTCAAGAGATTCTCCCACTTCAGCCTCTTGAGTAGCTGGGATTACAGGCGCCTGCCACCATGCCTGGCTAATTTTTTTGTGTGTATCTTTAGTAGAGATGGGGTTTCGCCATGTGGACCAGGCTGGTCTTGCACTCCTGGCCTCAAGTGATCCGCCTGCCTCGGCCTCCCAAAGTGCTGGGATTACAGGTGTGAGCCACGGTGCCCGGTCCTGTGTTTTCTTATTATTCCATAATTTTATCATAATTGTGAATAGGAATTTTTGCATTTGTTGCAAACATCAAGAAAAGCCAAAATAGGGTATATTTGTCTATATTAAAGAAAAATTCTCAGTAATGAATGGTATTTATTAGAAATTCTTGGTCTCTGATAAATATGATTTATAATTATCTGATATAGTCTTTTATTTTCAGATTGTTTCATCTCTTCCTTTAGAATATTTTTACTACTTATTTTGTTTTCTTGTCCTGTTGCTTTAGCCAGAACCTCCAAACAATGCTGATACAGCTGGCATCCTTGCTGTGTCCCTAATTCTAACTTCAGAATTTTCCAATGTAATATACACCACTCCTTTGGATAATGGTTTTTATGGTACTTAGGTCATTTTCTTCCACTCCAGTTTTCACTTAGAGTGAAATTGCTTGAACCCAGGAGGTGGAGGCTGCAGTGAGCCAAAATTGCGCCACTGCACTCCAGCCTGGGTGACAGAGTGCAACTCCATCTCAAAAAAAAAGAAACACAGACCTTATATAATGAAAATAGACTACATAATTTGACTGAATAATGTTTACAATGGAGTTAAATAAGGGTTTTTGAGTGGAAGACTTAATATTTTCATAGTCATTCTTTTGATAAGTTCATATAAAATACTGATGCAGTTTTACTTATCAGGGTAGCTTGCTGAATTTTATCAAATATCTTCTTAAAATTGTTAGCCGTAAGTATTTGGGTTTTGCACTTAAATATGTTGACACAGTGAATTTGTGTAGCATATAGCCTGGTATGTTAAGTCACCTTGCATTCCTGGAAGAAATCCTCTTGGTCATGTTGAATTATTCTTCCAAAACACTGCTGGATTTCGTTTTCTAATATCTTATCTGGAAGTTTTGCAACTCTAGTTCATGTGCTACATAAGAGCATTTTGGTCAACAACAGACTGCATGTTACAATGGTGATCTCATAAGAATAATGGAGCTGAAACATTTCTTTTTTTTATTATACTTTAAGTTTTAGGGTACATGTGCACAATGTGCAGGTTAGTTACATATGTATACACGTGCCATGCTGGTGTGCTGCGCCCATTAACTCGTCATTTAGCATTAGGTATATCTCCTAATGCTATCCCTCTCCCCTCCCCCCACCCCACAACAGTCCCCAGAGTGTGATGTTCCCCTTCCTGTGTCCATGTGTTCTCATTGTTCAATTCCCACCTATGAGTGAGAACATGCGGTGTTTGGTTTTTTGTCCTTGCGATAGTTTACTGAGAATGATGATTTCCAATTTCATCCATGTCCCTACAAAGGACATGAACTCATCATTTTTTATGGCTGCATAGTATTCCATGGTGTATATGTGCCACATTTTCTTAATCCAGTCTATCATTGTTGGACATTTGGATTGGTTCCAAGTCTTTGCTATTATGAATAGTGCCGCAATAAACATATGTGTGCATGTGTCTTTATAGCAGCATGATTTATAGCCCTTTGGGTATATACCCAGCATGGGATGGCTGGGTCAAATGGTATTTCTAGTTCTAGATCTCTGAGGAGCTGAAACATTTCTATTGCCTACTGATATCTTGATGATCCTGACCCTGCATAGGCTGAGGCTAATGCGCATGTTTGTGTCTTAGTTTGTTTTTTTTTTAAGTTGAAAAAGTAAAAGAAAAAAATAAAATAGAAAAGGCTTATAGAATAAGGATATAAAGAAAGAATATTTTTGTACAGTTGTACAATGCTTGTGTTTTAAGCTGAGTGTTATTACAAAAGATTTTGATAAGTCAAAATATAATTAATACATGTATAAAGTAAAACAGTTACAATAAGCTATACTTAATTTACTACTGAAGAAAGACTTTTTTAATAAATTTAGAGTAGTCTAAGTGTACAGTGTTTATAAGGTCTGCAGTAGTACACAGTCATGACCTAGGCCTTCACATTCACTCACCACTCACCCACTGACTCACCCAGAGCAACTTCCAGTCCTGCAAGCTCCATTCATGATAAGTGTCCTAAACAGGTGCACCATATTTTTATCTTTTATACCATACTTTTACTGTACTTTTGTTTTGTTTTGTTTTGTTTTTGAGAAAGGGTATTACTCTATCACCCAGGTTGGAGTGCAGTGGCACAATCACAGCTCACTGCA
The DNA here is from genome assembly GCF_000001405.40 of Homo sapiens. NCBI lineage: Eukaryota > Metazoa > Chordata > Mammalia > Primates > Hominidae > Homo > Homo sapiens. Next base: position 52,145,576 of record NC_000020.11, on the reverse strand, counting down.
GCCTCTACCTCCCCAGGCTCAGGTGATCCTCCCACCTCAGCCTCCCAAGTAGCTGGGACCACAGGCATGTACCACCACATATTTTTTGTAGAGATGGGGTGTTGCCATTCTGCCCAGGCTGGTCTCAAACTCCTGGGCTCAAGTGATCCACCCACCTAAGCCTCCCAAAGTGCTGGGATTACAGGCATGAGCCACCACGCCTGGGCTACAGTACCTTTTCTATGTTTAGTTATATTTAGATAGACAAGTACTTACCATTGTGTTACCATTACCTATAGTACTCAGCACATTCACGTGCTGTATGGATTTCTAGCCTAAGAGCCATAGGCTACGCCCTATTTCTCAGAATGGATCCCTGTTGATAAGTGGCAACGACTGTATACACATACATGCAGCTGGTCTCTAGTTTTCTTTTTTAGTGCTATCTCTGATTTTTGCTTGTTTCTTATGCAACTCTAAAAATAAATTGGAGCTTGTGCAACTCTAAAAATAAGCTGGAGCTCTTTTCTTCTTTTTCGGTGACCTGAAATAGTTTGACTATCTCAGAAATTATCTGTTCTGTTATCTTGGCTGATACTCTTTTTCACTGTAACATTCTTAACAAATTTCCCAATTATTTTCTGTAATTACTGATCTGTTCAGGTTGTATACCTTATCTGGATCAATTTTAGTAGTTTATATTTAGCAAAAGAAAAAACATCATTTACTCTGCTCTAAATTTTCAATTACGTGGCCCTATGATTCCATTTAACTTTCTTTTTAAAATATTTTAATATCTTTAGCATTTGGGGGTCCACCACCTTTCTTGTTACTACTGGTTTTGGGGTTTCTTTTTTTATTGTTGTATTTTTAGTCTTCTACTTAGTATGCTAAGGGTTTACTTATTTAGTCATTTGTATTAAAGTAAAAGTAGCACTTTTGCTTTTATTTATTTCTCTACCCCTCCTCCATTTCATTCATTTCAGCTTTCAGCATTTTTTTTTTTTTTTTTTTTTTTTGAGACGGAGTCTCGCTCTGTCACCAGGCTGGAGTGCAGTGGCGCGATCTCGGCTCACTGCAACCTCCACCTCTCGAATTCAAGCGATTCTCCTGCCTCAGCCTCCCGAATAGCTGGGACTACAGGTGCACGCTACCACACCCAGCTAATTTTTTTGTATATTTTGTAGAGACGGGGTTTCACCATGTTGACCAGGATAGTCTTGATCTCTTGACCTCGTGATCTGCCCGCCTTGGCCTCCCAAAGTGCTGGGATTGTAGGTGTGAGCCACCATGCCTGGCCTCAGCTTTTATTTTAATACTTCTTTCCCCTGCTTTTCTTTCATTTTATTTTGTTATTCTAATTTCATGTATTAAGTTCACTTAGTCTTTAGTAATAAAAACATTTAAAGCTATATATTTTCCATTATGCCTTCACCTGTGTTAAAAGATAATTTTTTAAGTTAAAATCATGACTGTCCTACAAATATAAGATTAACACGTCAAGTATTTAATTCATTAATTAAAGGGGGAATCAGCAAACTATCACAACAGGCTCAAAGGAGGATTAACAAATGCATGATTACATAGGCAATCAGGAATGCTGAAATAAATTCACCAACAGATCCAAAACTGGTCAGTATCTCCAGAGTAGTAATTAGCTGTGTTCCATCAAACGAAATCTGTTTGCAGTCCTGTGGATGAGTTATTTGCAACACTATCTATTTCTGTAACTTGCAAAGTTATAAAATGGCCAGGCATGGTGGTTCACGCCTATAATCTCAGCACTTTGGGAGGCCAAGGCAAAAGGATCACATGAGCCCAAGGATTCCAGACCAGCTTGAGCAGCATAGGGGAGACCCTGTCTCTACAAATACTATTAATAATAAAAAAAAAAATTGGCCGGGTGTGGTGGTGTGCACCTGTAGCCCCAACTACTCTAGAGGCTGAGATTAGAGGATCACTTGAGCTGGGGAGGTTGAGGCTGCAGTGAGCTGTGATCATGTGCCACCGCACTCTAGCCTTGGTGACAGAGTGAGACTGTGTCTAAAAAAAAAAAAACTAAGTCGTAAAATAGCTCAAAAACAACAATAAAGAGCACTAACCTCTATAGAAGCAGATAATCCAGAACTGGGAACTGACAGGATATCCTGTAATCTTTATTGCCTACAAAATCATTCAAAACTTGTCCTTATATCCATCCCTATAAACTTTTATATGACATGCCCTTCTTTCCATAAACTTCTAGACTTTGTTATTTCAGTTTTAGGGATGGTTAGTTGGTTGCTTTAAAGGGGATAGGGCCAGAATCCAGGGGTTATATAAAGGTATGTTTCCTATTTTTCAAGTACAGGCATGTTTCGGAGATATTGTGAGTTTGGTTCCAGACCACCACAATAAAGCAAATATCACAATAAAGTGAGTCACACGTATTTTTAAATTTCCCAGTGCATATAAAAGTTATGTTTATACCATACTATAGTCTATTCAGGGCACAATAGCATTATGACTTTAAAAAGTACATACTTTAATTTAAAAATACTATGTTGCTAAAAAAATGCTGACAATCATATGAGCCTTCAGCAAGTTGCAGTCATTTTGCTGATAAAGGGTCTTCCTCAATGCTGATGGCTGCTGACTTATCAGGGTTGTGGTTGCTGAAGGTTGGGGTAGCTGTAGTAATTTCTTAAAATAAGACAACAACAAAGTTTGCCACATCAATGGACTCTTCCTCTTTTTTGCTTTTTTTTTTTTTTTTTTTGAGATGGAGTCTCACTCTGTCGCCCAGGGTGGAGTGCAATGGCATGATCTCAACTCACTACAACCTCCGCCTCCTGGGTTCAAGCAATTCTCCTGCCTCAGCCTCCTGAGTAGCTGGGATTACAGGTGCACCCCACCACACCCAGCTAATTTTTATATTTTTAGTAGAGACAGGGTTTCACCATGTTGGTCAGGCTGGTCTCAAACTCCTAACCTTGTGATCAGCCCGCCTCAGCCTCCCAAAGTGCTGGGATTACAGGCATGCGCCACCGCACTTGGCCTCTTTTTTGCCTTTTTTGGTATAAATTTAAGGGATACAAGTGCATGCAGTTTTGTTACATGGATATATTGCATAGAGGTGAAATCTGGGCTTTTAATGTAACTATCACCCAAATAATGTACATTTTACCCATTAAGCAATTTGTGTGTGTGTGTGTGTGTGTGTGTGTGTGTGTGTGTGTGTCTGTGTGTGTGTGATGAAGTCTCACTCTGTCGCCTAGGCTGGAGTGCAGTGGCGTAATCTCGGCTCACTGCAACCTCCGCCGCCCGAGTTCAAGCAATTCTCCTGCTTCAGTCTTCCATGTGGCTGGGATCACAGGCACATGCCACCATGCCCAGCTAATTTTTGTATTTTTAGTAGAGATGGGGGTTTCACCATCTTGGCCAGACTGGTCTCGAACTCCTGACCTCAGGTCATCCGCAAACCTTGGCCTCCCAAAGTGCTGGGATCACAGGTGTGAGCCACCGCGCCAGGCCCATTAAGCAATTTCTTATCCCTTACCTCCCTCCCATCCTTCTGAGTCTGTAATGTCTACTATTCCACACTGTATGCCCATGTATAAATATTATTGAGCTCCCACTTATAAGTGAGACCATGCGGTGTTTGACTCTCTGTTTCTGAGTTATTTCATGTAAAATAATAGCCTCCAGTTTCATCTGTGTTGCTGCAAAAGACATAATTAAATCTTTTCATGAAAGATTTCTCTGCAGCATCCAATGCTGTTGGACATCATTCTACTCACAGTAAGACTGCTTTCAAAATTGGATTCAATCCTCTCAAAACCTGACACTGCCTAATCAACTAAGGCTATGTAATATTTTAAGTTGTTTGTTGTCATTTTCACAATGTTCAGAACATCTTTACCAGGAGTCGATTCTATCTCAAGGAACCACTTCCTTTGCTCAGCCATAAGAAGAAATTCCTCATCCATTCAAGTTCTCTCATAAGATTGCAGCAATTCAGCCACATCTTCAGGTTCCACTTCTAATTCTAGTTCTCTTGCAATCTCTACCATCTCTGCAGTTACTTCCTCCACTGAGGTCTTGAACCCCCTCAAGTTCATTTATGATGGTTGGAATCAACTTCTTACAAACTCCTGCTAAGGTTGATATTTTGACCTCCCCCCAAGAATCATGAATGATCTTCATGGCATTTAGAATGGTGAATCCCTCACCTTGATGTTCTGGTGAAAAAAATAAATGAATATTGAATCCTTTTTAGAAGGTTTCCAATTTACTTTGCCCAGATGCATCAGAGGAATCACTATCACCGCTATAGTCTTACAAAATGTATTACTTCAATAATAAGACTTCAAGGTCAAAATTACCCCCTCATCCATGGGCTACAGAATGGAGGTTATGTTAGCAGGCATGAAAACAACATTCGTCTCCTTGTACATCTCCATCAGAGCTCTTGGGTGACCAGATGTATTGTCAATAAGCAGTAATATTGTGGAAGGAACCTATTTTCTGAGCAGTAGGTCTCAACATGGGGCTTTAAATATTCAGTAAACCATGCCGTAAACAGAGGTGCTGTCATCCAGCCTTCATGGTTCCATTTTTAGAGCCTAGACAGTAGATTTAGCCTCATTCTTAAGGGCCTTAGGATTTTTGGAATGGTAAATGAGCACTGGCTTCAACTTCAAGTTACCAGCTACATTAGCCCCTAACAAGAAAGTCAGCCTATCCTTTGAAGCTTTGAAGCCAGACATTGACTTCTCCCCTCTAGCTATGAACATCCTAGATGGTATCTTCTTCCAGTAGGAGACGGTTTTATCTACTATTTTTATAAACAAAAATCTATTGTTTAGTGTAGCCTCCTTCATCAACGATCTTAGCTGGATCTTCTGGGTAACTTGCTGCAGCTTCTACATCAGCACCTGCTGCTTCACTTTGCACTTTTACGATGTGGAGATGGCTTCTTTCTTTAAACCTCCTGAACCAACTTCTGCTAGCTTCCAATTTTCTTCTGCAGCTTCCTCACTTCTCTCAGTCTCCATAGAATTGAAGGAGTTAGGTCCTTGCTCTGGATTAGGCTTTGGCTGAAGACAATGTCGTGGCTGGTTTGATCTATTCAGACCACTCAAACGTTCTTCACATCAGCAATAAGGCTGTTTCACTTTCTTATCATTCATTTGTTCACTGGAATAGCACTTTTAATTTCTTTGCAGAACTTTTCCTTTGCATTCACAACTTGGCTAACTGGTGCAAAAGGCCCAGCTTTCAGCCTGTCTTGGCTTTCAACATGCCTTCCTCACCGAGCTTAACCTTGTCTAGCTTTTGATTTAAAGTGAGAGACGTGGGACTCTTTCTTTCACTTGAACACTTAGAGGCCATTGTAGGGTTATTAATTGGCCTAATTTCAACATTGTTGGGTCTCAGGGAATAGGGAAGCTCAAATAGAGGGAGAGAGATGGGGAACGGCTGTTCTGTGGAGCAGTCAGAACACACACTACATTTATCAGTTAATTTCGTCGTCTTATATGGACATGGTTCATGGCAGCCTGGAGCAATTACAACAGTAATACCAAAGATCACCAATCACAGATCACCATAACAGATATAATAATAATAAAAAGCTTGAAATGTGAGAATTACCAGAATATGACACAGAGACCCCAAGTGAGCCCCCACTGTTGGAAAAATGGTGCCCGTAAGACTTGTTTGATGCGGGGTTGCCACAAACTTCAATTTGTAAAAAAAAAAAAAAAAACAACTCAGCGCCCGCAAAGCACAATAAAACTAAGGACAATCAAACAAGGTGTGCCTGTATTACAATTTGTGAAACTATATTTTGGCTTTTGGTTTCTGATGTTACTGGGTTTTGGTCTGAAAATGTGACCCGTAAAATAAATGTTTTTCTCTCTCATTATGCCATTTTCTTTATTTTGTTTTGTTTTTTCAACTTTTATTTTAGGTTTAGGGGGTACATGTGCAGGTTTTTTACCTGGGTAAATTGCATGTCACTGGGGTTTGGGGTATGAATGGTTTGGTCACCCAGGTAGTGACCATAGTACCCAATAAGTTTTTCAACCCTCACCCTCCTCCCACCCTCCATCTTCAAGTAGAACCCAGTGTCTGTTGTTCCCATCTTTGTGTCCACGGGTACTCAATGTTTAGCTCCCACTTATAAGTGAGAACATGTGGTGTTCGGTTTTCTGTTCCTGCATTAATTCACTTAGGATAATGACCTCCAGCTGCATCTATGTTGCTGCAAAGTCCATGATTTCATGTTGTTATGGTTGTGAAGTATTCCATGCTGTACGTACCACATTTCCTTTATCCAGCCCACCATTGATGGGCATCTAGGTTGATTCCATGTTGCTATCGTGAATAGTGCTGCGATGAACGTATGCGTGCATGTGTCTTTGGTAGAATGATTTGTATTAATGGGATTGCTGAGTCGAGTGGTAGTTCTAAGTTCTTTGAGAAATCTCCAAACTGCTTTCCACAGTGGCCGAACTAAGTTACATTCCCACAAGCAGTGTACAAATGTTTCCTTTTCTCCTCGACCTTGTGAATATCTTTAGTTTTCTGACTTTTTCATGGTAGCCACTCTGACTAGTGTGAGATGCTATCTCACTGTGGTTTTGATTTATATTTCTCTCATGATTAGGATGTTGAGCATTTTTTCATATGCTTGTTGGCTGCTTGTATGTCTTCTTATAATTTAATAGTTTTCTGTATGGCCATTTACATGACCAATTTTTGTACGTATTTGGTGACTATTAGAGAAGAATACACAGTCTCTGTAGAGTTTAAATTTTTATGAATTATTCAATTCTTCTAATCCTTTCTTAGTTTGTATCTATTTGGTAAACTCTGAAAGAAATATTTAAAAAATCTCTCTCGAGGATTGCATTTTTAAAACTAAGCTTTCCTTATATTACCAGGGTGCTTTTTTTTTTATTATATTTTGCCATATGTTGTTTGATGCATATAAAGTTTGTAGCTGTTCTACGTTCTTTGTCATTTTTTCCTTTTTTTCTCATGTACCTGTTCCTTCTATGTAATAATAGCTTTTGGCCTTAAATCATGCTTTATCTCATAATAACATTCTAAGTCTTATTTTGTATTTTTTTTTCATTTGCCTGGTTCATATCTGCCCATTCTGTTATTCAGTATCTTTCTTTATCAGCCTCTCCTTGTCTTTGATAGGACAATTCAAATCATTTGTATTTATTACAGTAATATATATGTGCTATTATTCACTTCCATCTTATTTAATATTTGCTATTTATTAAAGTTTGTGGTTTTCTCCTTTTTCCTTTTTAACTTTATTTCCTATCTCTAGAAAGTTATATATTCATCTCCATCCTGCTGACAGTTACATTCCAATTTTTTGTGTGTTGTTTTTTTGAGATAGGGTCTCTGTCTCCCAGGCTAAAGTGCAGTGGAGTGATCTTGGCTCACTGCAGCCTTTACCTCCCCAGCCCAAGTGATCCTCCCACCTCAGCCTCCCAAGTAGTTGGGACTCCAGATGTGTGCCTCCATGCCTGGCTTGCTTATTTATTTATTTATTTATTTATTTATTTATTTATTTATTTTTGTAAAGATGGGGTTTTTCCGTGTTTCCCAGGCTGGTCTCGAACTCCTGGGCTCAAGCAATCTGCTCGCTTTTGCCTCCCAGAGTGCTGGGATTAGAGGCATGAGCCAGTGCACCGGGCCTGCTTTCCAATATTTAACAATGATTGTTAAATATATATTTGCCTACTGCTGTGTAAAAAGTAAACATTAACCGTGCCTCAATCTTCCATTAAGAAATTCTTCCCTGATGAGAGGAAGCTTTTGGACTTCATCTTCTACAGCCGCCATCCTCAAATTCTGAGTTTTGCTGAGATGACTTATAAGTTTATTTCTAGGCCTTTGTTAAGTTTTGCCCTATGGTATGTCTCTTACATTCAAATTCCCAATTGACCATCTCCATTTAGATTTAACCAAAAATTACTGCATTCATTGTTCACCATAGTTTCTTACACCCTTCAGCTTCCCTATGTTGCGCTTTTACTCTGATTTCATTTTCATTTGGTTGGAGTACTTCCTGGAGCATATTCCTCAGAAGGGCACATAGGTGGGACTTCTTTTGTCCTGGCAGATGAATTATACCCTTGGACATAAGATCTTTTTTTCTTCAGTAGTCGTTAAACTCTGTTCTGGTGGAGATGAAAAGTTGGATCCCAATCTGATCCACTTCTTAGATGCCCTAGGTCCTGTAGCCCAGCAAAGTTGAGACAAAATGATGGTGTTACCAGGAAAAAAAGCAAGGCAGTGGCTCATTCTAGCCAGTCAGGTGGAGAGAACCCATCTCTGAAACTTCTCAGATAGAGAGCAGGGCTTCAAAATAGGAAATATTATTAATCTTAAAAATTATTATTTATTTCATCATACTTCTCAGCAACAAAATTATGGCTATATAAATTGAAATTCACATCTTTTATTTTCTATGATCACAGGGCTCCAAGCTTTAGACATTTCTTCAATATCAAATTACCATTAGGGCCAGGCACGGTGGCTCACACCTGTAATCCCAGCATTTTGGGAGGCCAAGGTGGGTGGATCACCTGAGGTCAGGAGTTTGAGACCAGCCTGGCCAACATGGCAAAACCCCATCTCTGCTAAAAATACAAAAATTAGCTGGGTGTGGTGGTGGATGCCTGTAGTCCCGGCTATTCAGGAGGCTGAGGCAGGAGAATCACTTGCCCGGGAGGCAGAGGTTGCAGTGAGCCGAGATCACGCCACTATACTCCAGCCTGGGAGACAGAGTGAGACTCCATCTCAAAAAAACAAGATAATTAGGAACTTTTGACCAAAGCAACATATATATATTATATAATTTGAAAAACAGTTATTAAATATAAGCAAGGTACTGGTGTTTTTCTATTTTAATGAGGTAGATAGGCCTGGTTTTTAGTTAGCTTATATATTCTTTATGATTATGAATTTTTAAAAAACCATTTTTCAGCAGTTGCTAGAATGAGATACAGTTTATTTTCAGTTATGTGTCAAATTCTTTTTTATTGATGTAAACTCTGAGTTTTATTCACATAAATAAGAATATAGAAATACAAGTTGTATTGTTATAGCAATATTTCTCAATTATTTTAATTTTTTCTGAATTCTATGCCAGAAAATCACATATTGATCAGTTGTCATTAATTGGGTCAATTTTATTAAAAACAAAGAACTGAAAACAACCTGGGGTTTCTTTCCCAATTATGGAATCACTTGCCTTCTCAACATTGATGCTGTGATATCTCAGATTTTATGGCTCCATGCATTGGTTCAGTATGGTTTATTAATAATGGGTCACTTTCTCTGCGCGTTCTTAGGTGATCAGTTTTAGGAAAAGGTATGCCTAGAAGTTAAGGATCTGAGAATTGATGTCCTTAATCATGCCTGTTTGTTGTTGTTGTTGTTGTTGTTCTTTTTTTTGGTTTTTTCTTTTTTTTTTTTTTTTTTTTTTTTGAGAGAGTCTCCCTCCATCGCCTAGGCTGGAGTGCAGTGGTGTGATTTCGGCTCACTGCAACCTCCACCTCCCTGATTCAAGCAATTCTCCTGCCTCAGTCTCCTGAGTAGCTGGGACTACAGGTACACACCACTATGCCCAGCTAATTTTTGTATTTTTAGTCAAGGCAGGGTTTCACCATGTTGGCCAGGCTGGTCTCGAACTCCTGACCTCAAATGATCCACCCACCTCGGCCTCCCAAAGTGCTGGCATTACAGGCGTGAGCCACCGAACCCAGCCAATCATGCCTGTATATACTGAAAATCTTGGCAGGGCGCAGTGGCTCATGCCTGTAATTCCAGCACTCTGGGAGGCTGAGGCAGGAGGATCACTTAAGCCCAGTAGTTTGAGACCAGCCTGGGCAACATGTCGAAACCCTGCCTCTACAAAAATTACCAAAAAATTAGCTGGGCTTGATGACACATGCCTGTAGTACTGGCTTCTTGGGAGGCTGAGGTGGGAAGATCACTTGAGCCCAGGACGTCAATGCTGCAGTGAGCCGTAAGCCATGATCACACCACTGCACTCCAGACTGAGCAACAGAGCGAGACCCTGTCTCAAAGAAAAGAAAAGCATCTTTGTGTATTTCCATAGTACAAAACTCCCAATTTGCAGACCTTTTGCCATAGAGCAGGAATCAGCAGTGTTTTTTCTGTAAAGCTCCAGATAGTAAATGTTTTCAGCTTTGTGGGCCATATCTTCTCTGTTCCAACTATTCAGCCCCACTGGGGTAGCAGGGAAATAGCCACAGTCAATATTCAGGGCAGTGGGCGTGGCTGTGCTTCGATAAAATTCCATTCATAGGCATTGAGATTTCAGTTTCATAAAATTTTCACCTCACAAAATTTAATTTTCTTTTGATTTTTGTTAACCAGTTAAAAATGTGAAAACCAGACCAGTCACAGTGGCTCACACCTGTAATCCCAGCACTATGGGAGGCCGAAGCAGACAGATCACTTGAGGTCAGGAGTTCGAGACCAGCCTGGGCAACATGGTGAAACCCTGTCTCTAGCAAACACACAAAAAAGTAGCCAGGTGCAGTGGCGTGCACCTTTGGTCCCAGTTACTTGGGAGGCTGAGGTGGGAGGATCGCTTGAGCCCAGGAGGCAGAGGTTGCAGTGAGCCGAGATTGTGCCACTGCCCTCCAACCTGGGTGACAGAGTGAGACCCCATTTCAAAAAAATATAAAAATAACAATAAAAATGTGAAAACCATTCCTAGCTCACAGACCATACAAAAAAAAGTGGTCCGTAAGTTCAAATTAGATTGAATTTGTATTTTATGGCTTCTCTTTATGTTGGAATGGAGAATTCTGTTTAAAAATTAGACCTTCTGTAGGATTTTTTACTGTTGTTATTGTTGTTGTTGTTATCGGCATGTGATTAAACAAACATATGAAACCCCTTCCTGGAACGTTCCAAGTCACTGTGTTTCCTATCGTGGGAATGGCCTATAAACTCTTGAAAAGCCATAAGGCAGTTTGTGAACCTTGATGCCACCCTTCCTGAAAGCATCGCAAAGAAGCAGCTTTAGGCTGAAAAGTTGTCAGTCCCCCAGCAGCTCTGGCTTAAGTCACAATGACACTTGATTAAATAAACAGGGTGCTTGCCACCAAACTGAGATATCTTAATAACCCCCTGCTTATATAAATCAGTGACTCTGCTGTAAAACACCTGCAAATTTGAGTTCATGTTTTCAGTGGCTTACTGTGGAAGGCTTGGCTTCCAGAAACAGAACAGGCAAGCTTCTCTCCTGAGTAGATGAGAAATTTAGCAGAGAGGCAGCCTGGATAAAATCTGACTTTAAATCAGGAGTAGATCTAGCTTTTATGGGGCCTGAAGTGTATTTTTTTTAAAAAATGTAAAATTACAAATACAGGGACTTAAAAAGGGCCTTGGGGAGCGGAGGGATCCTCAATTTCAGCATTCTCACAGTAAATCTGCCTTAGCATTTAGTTCTCAGTGGGGTGAGTGTGTGATTTCCTGCAATAGGGAAAAGTCCTCCTTTTTTTTTTTTTTTTTTTTTTTTGAGACAGGATCTCACTCTGTTGCCCAGGCTGGAATGCAATGGCATGATCATGGCTCACTGCAACCTCCACCTCCCGGGCTCAGGTGATCCTCCCACCTCAGCCTCCTGAGTAGCTGGGTTCACAGGCATGCACCACCATGCCCAGCTAATTTTTGTATTTTTTGTAGAGACAGGGTCTTACAATGTTGCCCAGGCTGGTCTCAAACTCCTAGACTCAAGTGATCTACCCCGGCCTGCCAGAGTGCTGGAATTACAGGCATGAGTCACCAGCCCAGACAAAAAGCCCTTCTTGAAGAAGGCAGAAACCACTACCCAAGGCACAGTGGACCAAAGGGGAATCCCTGAAGTGGGCCCATCAGGAAGCCAGGTCGTATGTTCTTTGGTTAATTCCTAGGTATTTAATTTTGTGTGTGGCTATTGTAAATGATATTACTTTTTAAATTTTCTTTTTCAGATTGTTCACTGTTGGCGTATAGAAATGCTACTGATTTTTGTATGTTGATTTTGTATCCTACAACTTTACTGAAATTGTTTATCAGTTCTAATAGTATTTTTCTGTGTGGAGTCCTTAGGTTTTTCCAAATATAAGATCATATCATCTGCAAACAAGGATAATTTGATTTCTTCCTTTCCAATTTGGATGCCCTTTATATCTTTCTCTTGTCCAATTGCTCTAGCTAGGACTTCCAGTGCTATGTTGAATAACAGTGGTGAAAGTGGGCATCTTTGTCATGTTCCAGGTCTTAGAGGAAAATCTTTCAGTTTTTCCCTATTAGTTATGATACTAGCTGTGGGTCTGTCGTATATGGCTATTATTATGTTGAGGTATGTTCCTTTGACACCCCGTTTTTTGAGGGTTTTTATCATGAAGGGATGCTGAATTTTATCAAATGCTCTTTCAGCATCATTTCAAATGATCAAATGATTTTTATCCTTCATTCTGTTTATATGATGTATTACATTGAGTGATTTGTATATATTGAGTCATCCTTGCATTCCAGAGATAAATCCCACTTGGTCATGATGATCTTTCTAATGTATTGTTGAATTTGGTTTGCTAGTATTTTGTTGAGGATTTTTGCATCAATATTCTTCAGAGATATTGACCTGTAGTTTTCTTTTTTTTGATGTGTTTTTGTCTGGTTTTGGTATCAGGGTAACACTGCCCTTGTAGAATGAGTCTGGAAATATTCCCTCCTGCTCTCTTTTTTGGAAAAGTTTAAGTAGGATTGGTATTAGTTCTTCTTTCAATGTTTAGCAGAATTCAGCAGTGAAGCCATCGAGTCCCAGGCGTTTCTTTACTGGGAAACGTTTTATTGTGGTTTTGATCTCGTTACTTGTTAATGATCTGTTCAGGTTTTGGATTTCTTCATGATTCAATCTTGGTAGGCTGTTTGTGTCTAGGAATTTGTCCATTTCATCTAGATTTTCCAATTTATTGACATGCAGTTGCTCATAGTAGCCACTAATGATCCTTTGAATTTCTGCAGAATCAGCTGTAATACCTCCTTTTTTCATTTCCGATTTTATTTATTTGTATCTTCCCTTTTTTTTCTTAGTCTGGGTAAAGGTTTGTAAATTTTGTTTAACTTTTAAAAAAACAGCTTTTTTTCATTGACCTTTTGTATTATGTTTTCATTTCAATTTCATCTATTTCTGCTCTGATCTTTCTTATTTCTTCTACTAATTTTGGGTTTGGTTTGTTTTTGCTTTTCTAGTTCTTTAAGATCCATCATTAGATTGTTTATTTGAAGTTTTTTCTCCTTTTTATGTAAACTCTTATAGTTATAAACTTTCCTTTTAATGCTGCTTTTGCTGTATTCCACAGATTTGGGTATGTTGTATTTCCATTATCATTTGTCTCAGAAATTTTAAATTTTCTTCTTAATTTCTTCATTGACCCATTGGTCATTCAGGAGCATGTTGTTTAATTTCCAGGTATTTGTATAGTTTCCAAAATTCCTCTTGTTATTAATTTCTAGTTTTGTCCCATTGTGGTCAGAGAAGATGATTGATATTACATCAGTTTTTTTTCAACATTTTAAGACTTGTTTTGTGACCTAACATATGGTCTATACTTGAGAATGATCCATGTGCTGAGGAAAAGAATGTGTATTCTGCAGCCATAGGATGAAATGTTCTGTAAATATCTACTAGATCCATTTAGTCTATAGTGCAGATTAAGTCCGATGTTTCTTTGTTGATTTTCTGTCGGGAAGATCTGGCAAATGCTGAAAGTGGGGTGTTGAAGTCTCCAGCTATTATTGTATTAGGGCCTAACTCTCTCTTTAGCTGTAATAATGTTTCTTTTATATATCTGGGTGCTCCAGAGTTGGATGCATATATATTTAAAACTGCGATATCTTTTTGCTGAATTCACCCCTTTATAAACATTATATATAGTGACCTGCTTTTCTTATAGTTTTTGTCTTGAAATGTATTTTGTCTGATTTAAGTATAGCTACCCCTGCTCTTTTTTGGTTTCCATTGGCATAGAATATCTTTTTCATCCCTTTATTTTTAGCCTATGTGTGTTTAGGGGAAGTGTGTTTCTTGTAGGCAGCAGATCAGTGGGTCTTGTTTTTTAATCTATTCAACCATTCCATGTCTTTTGATTGGAGACTTTAGTTCATTTACATTCAATGTTATATTATTGTTAAGTAAGGACTTGCTCCTGCCATTTTATTTGTTTTCTGCTTGTTTTGTGGCCTGCTTTTCTTTCTTCTTTTCTTGCTTTCTTTCTTTTCTTTCTTCTCTCTCTTTTCCTTTTTCTTTTTCTTCCTTCCTTCCCGTCCTTCCTTCTTTTCCTTTCTTCTTTTTCTTCTTTCCTTTCCTTCCCTCCTCCCTTTCTTTTCTTTCCTTCCCTCCTTTCCTTCCTTCCTGTTTTCCTTTCTTCCTGTCTTCCTCCCTTCCTTTAATGAAGATGAGAATCTGTATTTTATTTTATTATTATTCTTATTTTTGAGACAGAGTCTTGCTCTGTCGCCCAGGCTGGAGTGCAGTGGCCCAATCTTGGCTCACTGCAAGCTCTGCCTCCCAGGTTCACGCCATACTCCTGCTTCAGCCTCCTGAGTAGCTGGGACTACAGGCGCCCGCCACAATGCCTGGCTAATTTTTTGTATTTTTAGTAGAGATGGTGTTTCACCAGGATGGTCTCAATCTCCTGAGCTCGTGATCTACCCGCCTCAGCCTCCCAAAGTGCTGAGATTACAGGCATGAGCCACCACACTGGGCCGAGAATCTGTATTTTAAATTTGGCACCCTGGAGAGTGTTCTGATCTGAGTAATGTGGAAAATACTAAGATAAACAACTAGGGGCTAGAGATTGCAAGAGCCTGCCTGGTGTCACATGGCCATCAGCCCTAAGAAGTTTGATAAATGTTTCCTGAACACCTACTATAGGCTAGATGTTGTTCTGGAAACATGTGAAGTTTCCATGAGCAAAAAGGAAATGATCGTGACCTTATGGAATCTGCCTTCTCATAAGAGAAAACAGATAAATAATAAGCAGAATGGACGGGGTGCAGTGGCTCATATCTGTAATCCCAGCACTTTGGGAGGCCGAGGCAGGAGCATCGCTTGAGGCTAGGAGTTCAAGACCAGAGTGGACAACATAAGGAGACCCCCTCTCTACAAAAAATAAAAAGATTAGTCGGGTATGGTGGAACATTCCTGTAGTCTCAGCTACTTTGGAGGCTGAGGTGGGAGGATCACTTGAGCCTGGGCACTTGAGGCTGCAGTGAGCCATGATTGTGCCACTGCACTCCAGCCTAGGTGATAGAGCAAGATCCTGCCAAAAACAAACAAACAAACAAAACACAATTGTAGGCACCATATACAGTGTCTTAGAAGCTGGTAAGTGCCATGGCAGGGTGGAGGGACTGAGTATGATGAGGGAGAGGAGCCTGCGGGTCAGAGTAGTTCTCCCTAAGAAGTTGAGATTGGAACAAAGACTGGAATGAGGGAGTGAGGGAGCCATGTGGATCTCGAGAGGAACAGAGTTCCAGGCAAAGGGAATGCAAAAACCTTAAAGCAGGAACGTGGCCAGGGAAGAGTGAGCAAGGGAAAGAGGAGCAGGCAGCAGGAGTTTTTTGTGTGTCTGACATGTTTTATTATAATAATAAACAATAATGACGATTGCACTCATTCAGCAAAGATGAATTGCCCCGGGGCATACCATGGTGGTGACACAGGGCAGGCAGGATCCCTGCCCCCTGGGAGATTACAGTCTAGTTAGGCAGACAGGCGAGTTGTCACAACACATATGTGCTTTAATGGGATACAGAGGCACCATGAGGAACAGAAGCAGGCACCATGAGGAGCATCTGGGAACAGGCCTTCCCAGATTTAGGTCCAAGAGGCTGAAATGGGCCAGGGCCGGGGTGACCAGCACCTGAGCTGAGTCAAAATGCTACATAGGAGTTACACAATTGAAGACAAAGAACGGAGGAGTGAGGGAAATGAGCATTCTAAGGTGCACTGGACGTTAGGGCAGTCTGGAAAGACAGAGGGTATTTGTAATTGGAACATTTTTGCTAGAAGGAAAAAGGCAAATAAAAAAGGCTGGAGCGGCTGGGTACGGTGGCTCACACCTGTAATCCTAGCATTTTGGGAGGCCCAGGCAGGCAGACTGCCTGAGCTCAGGAGTTAAGAGACCAGCCTGGGCAACATAGCAAAACCCCATCTCTACTAAAAATACAAAAAAATTCCACCCTGGCTAACACGGTGAAACCCCATCTCTACTAAAAATACAAAAAAAAAAAGAAAAAAAGAAAAAAAATTCACCGGGCGTGGTGGTGGGCGCCTGTAGTCCCAGCTACTTGGGAAGCTGAGGCGGGAGAACGGCGTGAACCCGGGAGGCGGAGCTTGCAGTGAGCCGAGATCGCGCCACTGCTCTCCAGCCTGGGCAACAGAGCGAGACTCCATCTCAAGAAAAAAAAAAAAAAAATTAGCCAGGAGTGGTGGTGCGCGCCTGTAATCCCAACTACTCGGGAGGCTGAGGCAGGAAAATGGCTTGAACCTGGGAGGCGGAGGTAGCAGTGAGCCCAGATCGTGCCACTGCACTCCAGCCTGGGTGACAGAATGAGACTCCGTCTCAGAAAAAGAAAGAAAATTTAAAAAAAGGTCGGAGCTCCTTGTGGAGTGTTAGCTTCTGGAAATTTTGTTCATTTCTGGAAAAGAAATGCCACAGTTATACCATGTATATAAGACGATCGTGTAGTTTATCATCCAAGCTGGGGCACTTTTGAAAGTGGTAAAGACTGTGGGAGACCAGGTGGAAATCAGCCCTTGTTACTGACGGAAGACCAAGCTCAGAAGCTTTAGTAAAATGGTGACTAATGCTGCCCTCCAGTGGTGGAGTGCAGCAACTCAACACAAGGCAGTATAGAATTTCACCTCCCTCAGGTCAGTTTTCCAAGAATAACAAGTTAGGTGCCACAAAGCAGATCAGTTTGCTTTTTCCACCTAGCAGTTTAGGTATACATTTATTAATACTGTAAATGTGTCCATCTTTATCAATCTGTTCTCATCCCAGCTGTATGATTTTATTCCTGTTTTCAGGTTAGTTGCTATGGTAGGCTAGATAATGGTCTCAAATTCTGTCCTTTCTCCAGCTACAGAATATTTACCCACCTTGTCCATTGACATTATGGTGGGTGGGGCACCACCATAATGGGGCAAAGCCATTTGACTTGCTTTGGCCAATGGAATATCAGTGGACCTGATGGGAACAGGGGTATTATTATTATTATTTATAGAGAGAGTCTTGCTATGTTGCCCAGGCTGGTCTCAAACTCTTGGCCTCAAACAATCCTCCTGCCTTGGCCTCCCAAAGTGCTGTGATTAGAGGCGTGAGCCACCACATCTAGTCCAGGAACAGGGGCTTTCAATGTGGCTGTAGAATTTGACACAACCTCTTGCTCTGGAGTGATCTGCCTTAGAACAGATTCTGAGTAACTGATGGCCTAAACAGAAATGAACAGACACATGGAACACACCTCAATCCAAACCACAGCCCAGAGCCAAGCTCCACAGAGCCACAGTGAACCCACAGACCCGGGAAAAAAATAAATAAACATTTGTGTGGAAAACCACTGAGATTTTGAGGTCGTTGTATAGCAAAAACTGTCTTACACAGTAGTAGACTACCAGTGAATATCCTCAACTTATTATTTCCTACTGAGTTGCTGTAGACAGTGTTCAATATCTGGATAAGTGAAAATCACGTTTTCACTACAATACTGCTTTAAAGTCACTCTCAACACAAGTATGGTGAAAAAAAGGATTTGTCTTTGTAAAATTTCTTCCCATCCTGTCTTCTTGTCTTGCTTCCTGTATTAATCCATTTTCATACTGCTGTAAAGAATTGTGTGAGACTGAGTAATTTATAATGGAAAAAGGTTTAATCAACTCACAGTTCAGCATGGCTGGGGAGGCCTCAGGAAAGTTACAGTCATGGCAGAAGGCAAAGGGGAAGCAAGGCACCTTCTTCACAAAGAGGCAGGAAAGAGAAGTGCCGAGTGAAAGGGGAAGAGCCCCTGATAAAACCGTCAGCTCTTGTGAGAACTCACTATCATGAGAACAGCAGCCGCCCCCATGATCCAATTACCTTTACCTGGTCTCTCCCTTGACACGTGGGGATTATGGGAATCATAATTCAAGATGAGATTTGGGTGGGAACACAAAGCCTAACCATATCACTTCCTTTAAAAAAAAAAATCTTCCCTTTAAAAGAAAAAATTTCTAACCGTATCACTTCCTTTAAAAAAAAAATTCTGGGCCAGGCGTGGTGGCTCACAACTGTAATCCCAGCACTTTGGGAGGCCGAGGCCGGCGGATCATGAGGTCAGGAGATTGAGACCAGCCTGGCCAACATGGTGAAACCCCGTCTCTACTAAAAATACAAAAATTAGCTGGGTGTGGTGGCGCACGCCTGTAGTCCCAGCTACTCAGAAGGCTGAGGCAGGAGAATTGCTTGAACCTGGGAAGTGGAGGTTGCAGTGAGCTGAGATCACACCACTGCACTCCAGCCTAGTGACAGAGCAAGACTGTCTTAAAAAAAAAAAAAATTCTGACAAAGCCTAACCATATCACTTCCTTTAAAAAAAAAAAAAAAATTCTTTCCACTGACGGAAAACCTACCCATAAGAGTCCCCACCCAATTTGCCCACCACCTGTTTGCCTCCATATGGGTGTCTTTCATTAAAGGCACCATTTTCCCTATTGGCTCTAAGACTCAGCACCTCACAGGAGACGGTGCATAAAAGGCATAAGATGTTGGAGATGCCTAAGCTTTTATGAGACTTTACATAAAATCCTAAAGAGAATTCTATTCATTTTGTGCCAAATCTAAGTTACCATGTATCTCCAGAAGGAGAGTCAGACTTCAGATTAATTTGAAAGATTGATATGTTGAATGCTCAATGAGAATTTAAATTTTTCTCAGTATTAAAATTTCTTGTACCCAACCAACAGTCATCTTTATAGGGCATCTTTCAACCTAGTCTGGTGTAGAAAGCATAGACGCACCCAGATTACCTTTAAGCAGGCAGGTGCTGTCATTCAAAGACCTTTTAAGCCTGAGTTGTAGTTTTAAACAGGCCCATGAAGAACTAGAATGATTGACAGTAGAGGGTAATGGTTAAGCAAAGGGTTCTGAAGTCAGAAAGAACTGGGTTGAAATTCCAGCTCCACATCTTCCCAGGTGTCTGACCCAGATGCGTGAAATAACTTCCCGAATTTCAGTTTCTTCTTCTCTATAATGGGGATAGTAAAAGTACCTACCTTATAATGTTGTAGGGAAGAATTAAATAAAACAATA
Organism: Homo sapiens; assembly: GCF_000001405.40. Lineage (NCBI taxonomy): Eukaryota > Metazoa > Chordata > Mammalia > Primates > Hominidae > Homo > Homo sapiens. Next base: position 52,126,206 of record NC_000020.11, on the reverse strand, counting down.
CGTGTTGTGGGCCGGGCACGCTGGTTCATGCCTGAAATCCCAGCACTTTGGGAGGCCGAGGCAGGCGCATCACCTGAGGTCAAGAGTTCGAGACCAGCCTGGCCAACATGGTAAAACGCCATCTCTACTAAAAATACAAAAATTAGACAGGTGTGGCAGGTGTCTGTAATCCCAGCTACTCAGAACGCTAACACAGGAGAATCACTTGAACACAGGAGAATCACTTGAACCCAGGGCGCGGAGGTTGCAGTGAGCCAAGATGGCACTACTGCACTCCAGCCTGGGTGACACAGTGAGACTCTGTCTCAAAAAAAAAAACAAAAAACCATGTTAAGTTGTTAAGTACCTCGCACACAGTAGGCAGTCAATTAGTGTAGCCATATTCAGTGGCAGCTCTAATAATTTGCTTTCCCAGTGTATCTTGTGTTAAGCCATCAGTGGCTGATAGTTATCATTAGGGCTGCTCAGGTCCAACCTCTCCCTGTGCAGAGACACCAGTTATTATGTTCATCTCAGTGGAAGATAGTGACCCACCGCACATGGTACAGGCTGGCAGGCACCAGCTACTCCTCCCATGCCCTAGGAGCTGGACAACCACGTAACGTAGGCTTGGCCAGCCAGCTGCTGCCACCCAAGACCAAGGAAGCACACAAAACTATGGGAAGAGATTAATATTTGTTCACAGTAGCAGCATTTCAGCAGAGCTTTAACTAGTGTATGATGGCTGCTGCAGGGTTTCTGGGCAGTGGGGTGCAGCTTAGGGTTTCCCAGTGCATCAGTTCCAGTATGCCACCTGCAGCATCATAGGCAGTCTTGGAAGAGTGCCTTGGTCATGGTTATGGCTGTCAGGCCTGCCTCACTTTCTGCCCATCACCTGAGCCTGGCTCTCCACTCCTCCCATCAATGATCTCAGCTCCTTCACATGCTGCTGTAAATTCCCACCCTGGTTTCATTGATCAATGTCAGTTTCTGGTGTGTGTAATCAACAAACTGTAGTTAGTACATTCCCAGAGAGAGAAGCTCTGGTTGCATCTGTTGTCACCAAAAGTGAGGAGTCCAGTTGGGCAGAATTTGTGGCCATACCAAAGTAGAATTCATTGCTGTGAGCTCAGCCCTTGCCCTTGTAAAGGACACTAGCTTAGATGGTTTCACATGAACAATGCAAACAAAGCTTGGTGCTTTTATGCTGAAAGATGCCCCAGCACACCACAAATGCCTTCGTTCCCTCTGACAGCTGCATGTGCTTCAGGACTGGCCTTTGATTTCATCATAGTGGTGAGACTTTGTTAAGCAAAAATGTTTAGGCCGGGCATGGTGGCTCATACCTGTAATCCCAGCACTTTGGGAGGCAAAGGCAGGAGGATCGCCTGAGCCCAGAAGTTCAAGACCAGCCTGGGCAACATGGAAAAACCCTGTCTCTAAAAAAAAAAGAAAATACAAAAATTAGCCAGATGTACCTGTAGTTCCAGCTACTTGGGAGGCTGAGGCAGGAGCAACCGAGCCTGGGAGGTCAAGGCTGCAGTGAGCAGTGATTGCACCACTGTACTCCAGGCTGGGTGATGGAGCAAGACCCTGTTTCAAAAAAAAAAAATAATAAAGTAAAAAATGTTTACTTTTTTACAATATTTTTGTAAAAAGTGTCAAACATACAGCAAAGCTGAATTTTTTAGTGAACACTCAATACCACAAAATTTTATCATTCACATGTTACTATTTTTCTTTATCATATGTCTGTCTATTACAGTAAATTTTTCATTGAAAAGTAATACATGCACAGGGTAAAAAAAATTCAAAGATTTCAATGTGATATGCAGTGAAAAATTATTCTCCTTTTCTCACTGAATTTCCAACTTCGCTCCCCAGAAGCAATCACTTGTAGTGGTTTCTTTTGTGTGTTTTCAGAAAACTTCTATCCAGACACATGCTTATTTTTTTGTTTCAGTTTTTTTCTTCATCCTTTTTAATGGGCTCTTACTCTAGTGGCCAATAGTCTGACTTTTTTTTTTTTTTTTTTACATTTAACAATGTATCTTTCAATCAGAATTCATTTAAGAAAAGTTTACTAGCCCAGCACTTTGGGAGGCCGAGGCAGGCGGATCGCAAGGTCAGGAGATCCAGACCATCCTGGCTAACACAGTGAAACCCCATCTCTACTAAAAATACAAAAAAATTAGTCAGGCATGGTGGCGGGTGCCTGTAGTCCCAGCTAGTCGGGAGGCTGAGGCACGAGAATGGCGTGAACCCAGGAGGTGGAGCTTGCAGTGAGCTGAGATAAGGCCACTGCACTTGAGCCTGGGTGACAGAGCGACACTCTGCCCCCTCCCCCCCCCAAAAAAGAAAAGTTTACTAAGCACTTCTTACTTCTACTTCTCTGTAACAGACATACCACCCTCTAGGGGCTGGAGATTCAGAAGTCACTCATGTCAACTCATGCAAAACCCATTCATTCTTAAAGCAACTTTGAAACCAGGACTCCAATGTTTATGAGGCCCAGGTAGTAACAAAACAGTATGAAGGTATTTGTGATCAAATAATATATGCTATATTTACACTATACTGGAGTCTATTAAGTGTGTAATAGCATTATGTCTTAAAAAACAGTGTACATGCCTTAATTTTAAAATATTTTATTGCTAAAGAATGCTAGTGATCATCTTAGCCTTCAGTGGGTCATAATCCTTTTGCTGGTGGAGGGTCTTGCCTGGAGGTCGATGGCTGCTGACTGATCAGAGTGGTTGCTGAATGTTGGGGTGGCTGTGCCAATTTCTTAAAATAAGACAACAATGAAGTTTTTCTGCATCAATTAACACTTCCTGTCACAAAAGATTTCTCCGTAGCATGCAATGCTGTTTGATAGCATTTTAACTGCAATAGAACTTCTTTCAAAATTGGAGTCAGTCTGCTGGGCGCAGCAGCTCATGCCTGTAATCCAGCAGTTTGGGAGGCTGAGATGGATCACCTGAGGTCAGGAGTTCAAGACTGGGTAACATGGCGAACATGTTCGCCTGGCTAACATGGCGAAACCCCATCCCTACTACAATTACAAAAATTAGTCGGGCATGGTGGCGCATGCCTGTAATCCTAGCTACTCGGGAGGCTGAGGCAGGAGAATCACCTGAACCCAGGAGGTGGAGGTTGCAGTGAGCCAAGATCGCACCACCACTGCACTCCAACCTGGGTGACAGAGTGAGACTCTGTCTGAAAAAAAAAAGAGTCAATCCCCTCAAACCCTGCTGCTACTTTATCAACTAAGTTTATGCAATATTCTAAACCCTTTGTTGTCATTTCAACAACATTCACAGCATCTTCACCATGAGTAGATTTCATCTCAAGAAGCCACTTTTTTTGCTCAGCTGTAAGTAGCAACTCCTCATCTGTTGAGGTTTTATCATGAGATTGCAGTAGTTCAGGCTCCACTTCTGATTCCAGTTCTCTTGCTATCTCTACCACATCTGCAGCTACTTCTGACATTTAAATCTTGAACCCCTCAAAGTCATCGATGACATTTGGAATCAACTTCTTACAAACTCCTGTTCATGTCGATGGCCTCCTCCCATGAATCATGAATGTTCTTTATGGCATCTGGAATGGTGAATCCTCTCCAGAAGGTTGTTAATATACTTTGCCCAAATTCATCAAAGGAATCACTGTCTATGGCAGCTACAGTCTTATAAAATGTATTTCTTTTTTTTTTTTTTTTTTTGAGACGGAGTCTCACTGTCTCCCAGGCTGGAGTGCAGTGGAGCCATCTCGGCTCACTGCAAGCTCCACCTCCCGGGTTCACGCCATTCTCCTGCCTCAGCCTCCGGAGTAGCTGGGACTACAGGCGCCGGCCACCACACCCGGCTAATTTTTTGTATTTTTAGTAGAGACGGGGTTTCACTGTGTTAGCCAGAATGGTCTCGATCTCCTGACCTCGTGATCCACCCGCCTCGGCCTCCCAAAGTGCTAGGATTACAGGCGTGAGTAAAATGTATTTCTTAAATAATAAGACTTGAAAATTAAAATTACTCCTTGGTCCATGTACTGTAGAATGGAGGTTGTGTCAGCAGGCATGAAAACAACATTCATCTCCTTGTACATCTACATCAGAGCTCTTGGGTGACTAGGTGCATTGTCAATGAGCAGTAATCTTTTGAAAGAAATTTTGTTTTCTGAGCAGTAGGTTTCAACAGTGGGCTTTAAATATTCAGTAAACCATGCTGTAAACAGAGGTGCTGTCATCCAGCCTTCATGGTTCCATTTCTAGAGCACAGGTGGAGTAGATGTAGCATCATTCTTAAGGGCCTTAGGATTTTTGGAATGGTAAATGAGCACTGGCTTCAACTTCAAGTCACCAGCTACATTAGCCCCTAACAAGAAAATCAGCCTGTCCTTTGAAACTTTGAAGCCAGACATTGACTTCTCCTCTCTAGCTATGAATGTCCTAAATGGCATCTTCCTCCAGTAGGGGCTGTTTCATCTGCATTGGAAATCTGTTGCTCAGTGTAGCCTCCTTCATCAGTGATCTTAGCTGCATCTTCTGGAGAACTTGCTGCAGCTTCTCCATCAGCACCTACCTGCTGCTTCACCTTGCACTTTTGTGTTATGAAGACAGTGCCTTTCCTTAAACCTCAAGAGCCAACCTCTTACCTTCCAACTTTTCTCTTTTCCTCTGCAGCTTCCTCACCTCTCTCAGCCTTCATAGACTTAAGTAGAGGTAGGGCCCTGCTCTGAATTAGGCTTTGGCGTAGAAGCATGTTGTAGCTGGTTTGACCCTCCGTCCAGATGACTAAAAGTTTCACCATATCAAAAATCCGGCTGGTTCACTTTTTTATCACTCATGTGTTCACTGGAGTAGCACTTTTAACTTCCCCCAAGAACTTTTCCTTTGCATCCTTGACTTGGCTGTTGGACTCAAAAGGCCCAGCTTTCAGCCTGCCTTGGCTTTTGACATGCCTTTCTCACTAAGCTTAATCATTGCCAGCTTGTGATTTAAAGTGAGAGATGCACCACCCTCCCTTTCACATGAACACTTATAGGTCACTGTGGGGTTATTAATTGGCCTAATTTCAATGTTGTGTCTCAGGGAATAGAAAGGCTCGAAGAAAAGGAGAGAGAAGGGACTGGCTGGTCAGTGGAGCAGTCAGAACACACACAACACTTGTCAATTAAGTTCCCGTCTTACATGGGCACAGTTCATGGCACCCTAAAACAGTTACGAGGGTAGCATCAAATATCACTGATCATGGACTGGGTGAGGTGGCTCATGCCTGCAATCCCAGCACTTTAGGAGGCCAAGGCGGGCAGATCACCTGACGTCAGGAGTTTGAGACCAGCCTGGCCAACATGGCGAAACCCCATCTGTACTAAAAATACAAGAATTATCTGGGCATGGTGGCACATGCCTGTAATCCCAGCTACTAGGGAGGCTGAGGCTGGAGAATCTCTTGAACCTGGAAGATGGAGGTTGCAGTGAGCCGAGATCACGCCACTGCACTCCAGCCTGGGTGACAGAGCAAGACTCCGTCTCAAAAAAAAAAAAAAAAAAAAAAAAAAAGATCACTGATCACATTAACAGATATAATAAATGATAAAGTTTGAAATATTACAAGAATTATCTCAGCATGACACAGAAACACAAAGTGAGCACATGCCATTGGAAAAATGAAGCCGATACACTTGCTGGATGCAGGGTTGACACAAACCTTCAACTTGTAAAAAAAGAAAAAAACACACAGTGTCTGTGACGTGCGATAAAGTGGCGTATACGCACATGGTGAGCCATCTATCGATGCCCTCTTTCCATCCTCATAGTCATTACCACGACGAGGATCATCATTCTCCTTCATTGGCTCTCAGGCACCTTCCCAAACCAGGCCTGAGATTTGCCTCTGGATGTGTCTGAGGTTTAACAGGGGAAAGAGGGTGTCCCAGACACCCTCTAACTGCTATAACAAAGTGCCGTAGACTGGGTAGCTTACACACAACAAAAATTTATTTCTTGCAGTTCTAGAGGCTGGAAAGTCCAAGATCAAGGCACTGGCAGATTCGGTGTCTGGCAAGGACCCCACTTTCTCATAAATGGCACCTTCTAGCTGTGTCCACACATGGTGGAAGGGGAAGGCAGCTCTCTGATGCCTCTTTTATAAGGGCACTAATTCCTTCCAGGAGAGTTCCAGCTCCATGATCCAAACACCTGCCCAAAGCCGTGTTCTTAATACCATCATGTGGGGGTTAGGATTTCAACATATGAATTGTGGGGAGGCACAAACATTCACAGGGGAAAGGAAAAATAGGAAATTATTTAATCATATTCTTTTTGCCATATGAAACCCTTCACACCTCCTCCCCACCCAACTCCTTCACCTTATCTCCTGTACTCCCTGCACCTCTAGTCAGACTAAGGTTTCTCAAAAGTGCCGTCTCTTTGCCTCCTGGTCTTTGTAGTGAGTGGGGAGGGGTTGTTTTTTGTTTGGTTGTTTTTTTGTTTGTTTTGAGACAGAGTCTTTCTCTGTCACTGCAACCTCCGCCTCCCAGGTTCAAGCAAGTCTCCTGCTTCAGCCTCCAGAGTAGCTGGGACTACAGGTGCACGCCACCATGCCTGACTAATTTTTTTGTGTTTATATGTGTGTGTGTGTGTGTGTGTGTTGTGTGTGTATATATATATATGTATATATATATATATATATATTTTTTTTTTTTTTAGATGAAGTCTCACTCTGTTTCCCAGGCTAGAGTGAAGTGACAGTCTTGGCTGACTGCAACCTCCGCCTCCTGGGTTCAAGCGATTCTCCTGCCTCAGCCTCCTGAGTAGTTGAGTAGCTGGGATTACAGCTGTGCACCACCACGCCCGGCTAATTTTTGTATTTTTAGTAGAGTCGGGGTTTCGACATGTTGGCCTGCTGATCTTGAACTCCTGACCTCAGGTGATCCACCCACCTCAGCCTCCCAAAGTGCTGGGATTACAGGCGTGAACCACCGAACCCAGCTTCCCTCCTGGTCTTTGTACAAGCTGTCCCCCTACCTGAAACCCACTTCAACTCACTTCTTTTTTGCTTTTATTTATTTTACTTTATTTTTGAGACAGGGTCTTGCTCTGTCACCCAGGCTGGAATGCAATGGCATGATCATAGTTCATTGCAGCCTCCAGCTCCCAGGCTCAAGCAATCCTCCTGCCCTCGACCTTTTTTGATAGCTGCCACCACAGGCACACACCACCACACCCAGCTAATTACTGTATTTTTTGTAGAGACGGGGTTTCACTATGTTGCCCCAGCCAGCCTCTAACTCCTGGCCGGAAGCAGTCCATTCACTTTGGCCTCCCAATGTGTTGGCATTACAGGCGCGAGCCACTGCACCCAACCTACTTCACTTCTTTACCTGCCCAAGATCTCATCCTACATAGCCAGGGCTACAAATCCACCTCTCTGAGGAAGCTTTACCTGCCCACTCTGTGAGAACCTTTATCACATATTTATCACACTGTACTATAGCTGTTTACTTATTTATCCTCCTGATTGCTCTGCAACTTCTTTAAAGACTTGCTTTCATATTCCCAAAGGTTAGCAAAGCCTTGCCCCCAGTGGCAACCCAATTAATGTTTGTTAAACAAATGAATAGCTTCAGGACATGCCCTAGTAGAAAATGTCAGGCAGGCCGACTGTGGCATAAGATAAGGAGACACTAGTGGAACCTGAAAACAGCAATTGGTGTGATTTCACTCCTGCCACAAAGGATGGGGAATTCATTCTTCTCAGGAGTAGGCAAGACACTGACCACTCCAGGCCTGCCACACCCTGCCCTGGAGTCTGGAAGCTTAGCATTCTTATTCTTGAAGAACATCTGCTATAGCTCAGGAGCTTTCAAACCAGTAGGGGCCAGCAGGTGAATTAGAGGCTGTTTGTTTTCTCTATAAATAAAGACTTGGATCCATGTTGTTGCCCAAACAGAATCCTCCTCCACCAAATTTCATTTCCAGTTTTAAGCCATGAAGGGGTGGGTGGGGTGTGGGAGCAGAGGGGAAAGAGGAGGAAGAAGCTAAGATTTGTAGAGGGGTTATTTCCCTTTTCAACTGAGTTTGTGCACTAGTAACTTAACTAGTTTCTTTTTCATTTAAAAAATAATATAGTCCAGGCATGGTGCCTCACGCCTGTAATCCCAGCATTTTGGGAGATCTGGGCAGGAGGATTGCTTGAGCCCTGGAGTTCAAGACCAGCCTGGGCAATGTAGTGAGACCTTGTCTCTCCCAAACCAAAAAAAAAATATGCTGGGTGCTGTGGTGTGCACTTGTAGTTCCAGCTACGCAGGAAGCTGAGGCAGGAGGATGGCTTAAGGCTGGGGGGTTGAGACTGCAGTGAGCTGTGATCGCATCACTGTACTCCAGCCTGAGTGACAGAACAAGCAGAGGGAGACTCCATCTCAAAAAGAATAATAATCATAAAATGTAATTTATGATAATGGTATAGCTTGGCATTTCTAGGCAAGTTGAATGCAAACCTATTCTATGGCCCAGCTGGTCCACACCCATGCTGCACTTCTCAAACTTACTGTTCATAGAAGAAGTCACATGGGAATCTTCTTTTTTGTGTTTTGTTTTGTTTTCTTTTGAGACAGAGTTTCGCTCTGTCGCCCAGGCTAGAGTGCAATGGCGCGATCTCAGCTCACCACAACCTCCACCTCCTGGGTTCAAGTGATTCTCCTGCCTCAGCCTCCCGAGTAGCTGGGATTACAGGTGCCCACCACCATGCCTAGCTGATTTTTTAGTTTTTAGTAGAGACAAGGTTTCACCATGTTGGGCAGGCAGATCGCAAAGTCCTGACCTCAGGTGATCTTCCCGCCTTGGCCTCCCAAAGTGCTGGGACTACAGGTGTGAGCCACCATGCCCAGCTCACCTGGGGATCTTTTTAAAATGCAGATTCTGATGCCAGTGTGTCTCAAAGGTAACATGAATATGGATCACCTGGGGACCTTATTAAAAGCCCATTCTGATTTCAGCAGATCATTTTAAACTATAGAAGAATCACCTGAGGATCTTGTTAAATACAGGTTCTGGACATACAGAAACTTTCACATGTGAATCAGGAAAGCAGTGCAAGCAAGAATGCTAACAGCTACAACATTCATAATTTGTGTGTGTGTGTGTGCGTGTGTGTGTGAGACAGAGTCTTGCTCTGTCACCAGGCTGGAGTGCAATGGCACGATCTCGGCTCACTGCAACCTCTCAGCCTCCCAGGTTCAAGAGATTCTTCTGCCTCAGCCTCCTGAGTAGCTGGGACTACCAGCCTGCACCACCATGCCCAGCTAATTTTTGTATTTTTAGTAGAGGCAGGGTTTCACCATGTTGGCCAGGAAGGTCTCGATCTCTTGACCTCAGGTGATCTGCCTGCTTCAGCCTCCCAAAGTGCTGAGATTACAGGCGTGAGCCAGTGCGCCCAGCCTCGTGTTAAAATGTATATAGAGATGATGTTATACAAATTATGTTATACATATTATGCATAATGCAAATTATGCTGTTGGGCATATGTGTATATATGTGTATGTGTATATATGTGTATGTACACATATGCCTAACAGCATAATTTGTACACTTTGTCTTTTGGATGTTTCACTTAATATATCATAAAAAATATTCCATATGAATGTACATAGAAATGCATTATTTTTTATAGTTTAATAGAATTCTATTGTATGAAAGTATATCATTATTTATTTTAGTTAATTCTTAACTATAAAGTAGTATATGAATACATTCCTTATTTTCTTTAAAAAAAAAAAAAAAGAAAGAAATATGGCCAGGCGCAGTGGCTCACGCCTGTAATCCCAACACTTTGGGAGGCCGAGGCAAGCGGATCACCTGAGGTCAGGAGTTCGAGACCAGCCTGGCCAACATGGGGAAACCCCGTCTCTACTAAAAATACAAAAATAAGCCGTGCGTGGTGATGCATGCCTGTAATCCCAGCTACTCGGGAGGCTGAGGCAGGAGAATCGCTGGAACCTGGGAGGTGGAAGTTACAGTAAGCCAAGATCCCACCACTGCACTCCAGCCTGGGTGACAGAGCGAGACTCCATCTCAAAAAAAAAAAAGAAATATTGACGTGGTGCTGTGGCTCATGCCTATAATCCCAGCACTTTGGGAGGATGAGGCGGGCAGATCACCTGAGGTCGGGAGTTCGAGACCAGACTGACCAACATGGAGAAACCCTGTCTCTACTAAAAATACAATATTAGCCAGGCATGGTGGCGCATGCCTGTAATCCCAGCTACTTGGGAGGCTGAAGCAGGAGAATCGCTTAAATCCGGGAGATGGAGGCTGCCGTGAGCCAAGATCGCACCAATGCATTCCAGCCTGGGCAGCAAGAGCAAAACTCCATCTAAAAAAGAGAAAGAAAGAAATATTACTATGCATAATGTTCACACACACAGAGAGAGAGAGAGAGAGAGAAATTTAGGTTCTCCAATCTTCCTTCCTCCAAACTTCTCCCCTTTTCTTGCTTAAGATGTAGCCAGTACAGGCTGGGTGCTATGTCTCACACCTGTAATCCCAGCACTTTGGGAGGCCAAGGTCAGCGCATCACTTGAGCCCAGAAATTCAAGACCGGCCTGGCCAACATGGTGAAACCCCGTCTCTACTAAAAATACAAAAATTACCCAGGTGTGATAGCATGTGCCTATAGTCCCAGCTACTCGGGAGGCTGAAGCTTAAGGATCACTGGAGCCTGGGAAGTCAAGGTTTCAGTGGGCCATGATCATGCCACGGCACTCCAGCCTGGGTGACAGAGTGAGACCCTGTCTCCAAAAAAAAAAAAAAAAAAAGCTGTAGCGAGCATGTATTCTTCCAGTACTTTTTTCACTGGATTTATGTGAATATATATTTCACCATTGAAAATATGTATATATTTGAATATGTGTTTAGATCTATATATCTATGTGGGCCTTGCTTTTTTTTCTTTAATGCAATATATCTTAGAGCTCTAAGCATGCTAGTATTCATAAATCCAGCCTGGTGTTTCTTTTTTTTTTTTTTTTTTGAGACTCACTCTGTTACCCAGGCTGGAGTACAGTGGCGTGATCTTGGCTCACTGCAAGCTCTGCCTCCCGGGTTCATGCCATTCTCCTGCCTCAGCCTCCCAGTACCTGGGACTACAGGCGCCCACCACCATACCTGGCTAATTTTTTTTGTTTTTGTATTTTTGGTAGAGACAGTGTTTCACAGTGTTAGCCAGGATGGTCTTGATCTCCTGACCTCGTGATCTGCCTGCCTCGGCCTCCCAAAGTGCTGGGATTACAGGCATGAGCCACCGTGCCCGGCCTGGCCTGGTATTTCATGATCTGGCTAAACCTCAGTTTAATGTAGCCACTTGCCTATTGTTGGACATTGAGGATGTTTCTTCATTTTTTTTTGCTACAACAATGACTTGCAACAAACATTCTTGGACATTCTCCCTTGTGCGCCTGTGCAAATGTTTCTCTGGAGGAGAAAAGATGGAAAGCAGAATTGATAGATTGGCAGGACATATTTAAAAACGTATTGCCAAATTGCCCTCAAAAGTGGCTATAAACATTCATGCTCTCACTAGCAATGCATTAGAAAACCAATTTCCCTGTACTCTTCCTAACAGTAGATGTTCTGAGTGTTTTAAATTTTTATTGATCTGATAGGTGAAAAGAACAGTGGGAACAGGCTTTACTAGCCATTCCCTTATAATTAGTAAGATGGAACATCCCTTCCATGTTTGTTGCCCTGAATCTGCATTTAACAAGGTCCCCGGGTGATTCCTCTGTACATCAAAGTTTGAGAAGCACTGAAATCAGAATCTGACTTTTAACAAGGTCCCCAGGTGATCTGTATACATGTTACATTTTGAGACACACTGGCATCAGAATCTGCATTTTAACAAGATCCCCAGGTGACTTCTCTGCACAGTGAGTTTGACAAATACAGCATAGGCATGGAATAGCTGGCTCACGCTCAGCATGTGTGTGTGTTTAATCTTTTCTATCGGGACAGGTGAAAATCAGTGTTTCCGTTTACTTGAACTAACATTTCTTTAATCATAAGTGACCTTGAATATTTTTTTTCAAATTTTTACATATCATGTTTTTCTTATCTGGGAGCTACCTAGTCCCTGAATCTCCTTAGTTTGCTTCAAACATACCAAAGTTGGTCGCTTAAAAGAGTCTTTGCTGTTGCTCCTCCCTCCCCTGGGGACGCTGTCTCCCTGGTTCTTTCCATGGCTGGCTATTACATTTGTGTTTTAGCTCAAAGGTCACTTCTAGCCAAAATCAGGTACCCACCACTACCACCCAGTCACTCCCGATCACACTACCACAGTATTTTGATCACAGCACCTATTGCCCTCTAAAGTGACCTTGTACATTTTCTGGTTACTTCTCTGAATCCCTTCTGGATCTTGCCTGTCTTTATCACTCTATCTCCAGCCTAGAGCAGAGGCAGGCAATAAAGTGGGCTCAAAGAATTGTTATCAGATGAACTAATGGTGGCTCGTGCCTATAATCCCAGCACTTTGGGAGGCCGAGGCAGGTGGATCATCTGAGTTCAGGAGTTCGAGACCAGCCTGGCCAACATGGTAAAACCCTGTCTCTCCTAAAAATGAAAGAAAAAAAAAAAAAAAGCCAGGTATGGTGGCGGGTGCCTTGTAATCTCAGCTACTTGGGAGGCTGGGGCAGGAAAATCGATTGAACGCAGGAGACAAAGGATGCAGTGAGCCGAGATCGCGCCACTGCACCCTAGCCAGGGCACCAGAGCGAGACTTGGTCTCAAAAAAAAAAAAAAAAAAAAAAAGAATTCCTGGCAAGGGTACAAGGGTAATGATCAATAAATAAGATTTGTTCCTGTCTAGTTTTCTTTCTTTCTTTCTTTCTTTCTTTTTTGAGGCGGAGTCTTGCTCTGTCATCCAGGCTGGAGTACAGTGGCGCATTCGCGGCTCACTGCAAGCTCCGCCTCCCGGGTTCACGTCATTCTCCTGCCTCAGCCTCCCGAGTAGCTGGGACTACAGGCACCCGCCACCACGCCTGGCTAATTTTTTGTATTTTTAGTAGAGATGGGGTTTCACCGTGTTAACCGGGATGGTCTGGATCTCTTGACCTCGTGATCTGCCTGCCTCAGACTCCCAAAGTGCTGGGATTACAGGCGTGAGCCACAGCGCCCTGCCTCCTGTCTAGTTTTATACCTCTTTGGGGAATCATTTGTGCCTGGATAAACATTTATTTGTTCATTCTGGTATTCATAGTAGAGAATGGTAGTATTAATGATACAAGTTTAATGAAGATGCTTAGGAAGGAGAACCCAGCCAGGCACGGTGGCTCATGCCTGTAATCCCAGTACTTTGGGAGGCCGAGGTGGGAGGATCACTTGAGCCCAGGAGTTCAAGACCAGCCTGGGCAACATGGTGAAACATCTTCTCTACAAAAAAATACAAAAATTAGCCTGGGTGTGGTGGCATGTGCCTGTAGTCCCAGCCACTCGGGAGGCTAAGATGGGAGGATCTCTTGAGACCTGGAAGTTGAGACTGCGGTGAGCCAACATCACGCCACTGCACTCCAGCCTGGGTAACAGAGAAAGATTCTGTCCCAACAAAGAAAAAAAAAAAGGAAGGAGAACACAACCAGGGTGCCCACATCCCCAGAGGCCCAGGACAATCAGAAACAACATTGTATTGATACTTTGTTTTTGTATCTTTCTCTTTAAAAAGAAGAGTAAGCTTTCCCCATTTAATATATGGATTGAAACTATGAAAGCATGGGAATTCTGCAACTCAGAAGGGTTGAGTAAGGTCACACATGCTTGTTTGCTTCAAATATATTTCCATGTAAAACAGTAACTTTGCCTAGTTAAGTGGAATAACCAATTACAGATGAGTGCTACTTTCATAGATAACTATAACTCTTACTCCATTATCATAAATAACTGTTAATACTTAGAGTAGTATCTATGTACTAGATGTTGTTCTGTACCTGTTTACATATATAAATTCACTAATCCTCAAGCCACCCTTGGCATTGCCATTTTATTAATGAGAAAAATGGGACACAGAACACTTTTCTTGAGATCACACAGGTGGGATGTGAACAGAGCCAGGAGCTGGGATTCTTGTTTTTTTTTTGTTTTTTTTTTTTTTTTTTGGAGATAGAGTCTCGCTCTGTTGCCCAGGCTGGAGTGCAGTGGCACGATTTTGGCTCACTGAAACCTCTGCCTCCTGGGTTCAAGCGATTCTCGTGCCTCAGCCTCCTGAGTAGCTGAATTACAGGTGCCCACCACCAATCCCAGCTAATTTTTTGTATTTTTAGTGGAGATGGGGTTTCACCACGTTGTCCAGGCTGGTCTCAAACTTCTGACCTCAGGTGATCCACCCGCCTCAGCCTCCCAAAGTGCTGGGATTACAGGTGTAAGCCACTGTGCCCAGCCAGAGCCAGGATTCTAACTCAGGTTGGCTCCAAACTGTGCTTTTAGTTACTACATTATCCTGCCTCTGGCATCTTTATAATGTTTGTAAAGAGAGGTAGAGTGACCAGGAGAATCTGTTGTATAATTCAGAAGTATGCTGTTTATCTCTTGGCAAAATACTTAAGAGTTGCGAGAATTACAGATATTCTCTATTTTTCTTCTACAAAGCGACAATGTTTGAAAATTTATTAACTTTCTGTGTGAACAAAGGGGATTATCTAACAACTATTAAAAAAAAAAATCGGATTCTGGGCAAGGTGGCTCACGCCTGTAATCCTAGCACTTTGGGAGGCCGAAGCAGGCAGATCACCTGAGGTTGGGAGTTCAAGACCAGCCTGACCAACATGGAGAAACCCGTCTCTACTAAAAATACAAAATTAGCTGGGCGTGGTGGTGCATACTTATAATCCCAGCTACTTGGGAGGCTGAGGCAGGAGAATCACTTGAACCCGGGAGCTGGAGGTTGCGATGAGCCGAGATCGCGCCATTGCACTCCAGCCTGGGCAACGAGCAAAACTCAGAGCGAAACTCCGTCTCAAAAAAAAAAAAAAAAAAAAAAAAAATTGACCGCTGACTTGGGGCGTTCTCCACTACGGCTTCCCCACCTCCCCGTCGCGGAACCCGGCGATGTGGCTGCCGCCGTGCCCCGCTCCGCGTCTCTCTCCCTGCCGCTTCCCCTTCTCCTGGGCTTCCTGCTCCTCTCCGCTCCGCATGGCAGCAGCGGCCTGCACACCAAGCGCGCCCTTCCCCTGGATACGGTCACTTTCTACAAGGTCATTCCCAAAAGCAGGTTCGTCTTGGTGAAGTTCAACACCCAGTACCGCTACGGTGAGAAGCAGGATGAGTTCAGGCGTCTTGCTGAAAACTCGGCTTCCAGCGATGATCTCTTGGTGGCAGAGGTGGGGATCTCAGATTATGGTGACAAGCTGAACATGGAGCTGAGTGAGAAATACAAGCTGCTCAAAGAGAGCTACCCAGTCTTCTACCTCTCCCGGGAGGGGGACTTTGAGAACCCAGTCCCATGTACTGGGGCAGTTAAGGTTGGAGCCATCCAGCGCTGGCTGAAGGGGCAAGGGGTCTAGCTAGCTATGCCAGGTGGCCTGGTGGCCAGCTGCATAGGACACCCTGGCCAGGAGTTCATCAGGGCCTCTGGCGTGGAGGCCCGCTAGGCCCTCTGGAAGCAGCGGCAGGACCACCTCTCAAGTGTGAAGGAGACTGAGAAGAACTGGGCCGAGCAATACCTGAAGATCACAGGGAAGATCTTAGACTAGGCAGAGGACTTCCCAGCATAGAGATGACATGGATCTCCAGGCTGATTGAGAACAAGTTGAGTGACGGGAAGAAGGAGGAGCTCCAGAAGAGCTTAAACATCCTAACTGCCTTCCAGAAGAAGGGGGCTGAGAACGAGGAGTTGTAAAAAGGCTCTCTATGGTTTTCCAGGGTTTGGTAGGGGTGGGGAGGGGAGAGTTAACCTGCTGGCTGTGAGTCCTTTGTGAAATATAAGGGGTTGGTGGGAAAAGTGGTACTAACTTACAATTCTGAGCTCTGAGTATGCCTGGACGTTGATGCCGATGTAGCCATGCTTGGGATGTCTCTAGCTGGTGTGGGGATAGCTGGAGCACTTCTCAGGTGGCTGGTGAAATGACCCCTCAGAAGGAATTGGTGCTATAGAGAAGACTGAGGAGTGTACGGCCCAGGTCTTTGACAGGTGTAATTTGGATTCAATTAAAGTTTCAGTGTTTTGGTTAAGTGGAAAAGAAAAAATCAGGACAAAGGCAATATATGAAGAATGAAGAAGTAACTAGTTTTCAACAGAAACATCCCATGCAGAAAGTACTTTTCAATGCATGTTTGGCCATGATTCCCTTGTTATGTGATATTGTTGCTGAAAACAATGAAAAGTTGTCACCTATAAGAACCTCAGTCTACGTGTTTAAAATTAGCAACAAATTTTTTTCTTTTTTTTTTTTTTTTTTTTTTGAGGTGGAATTTCGCTGTGTCACCCAGGCTGGAGTACAGTGGCACGATCTCAGCTCACTGCAACCTCCGCCTCCTGGGTTCAAGCAGTTCTCCAGCCTCAGCCTCCCATGTAGCTAGGATTACAGGCATGTGCCACCACACCCAGCTAATTTTTATTTATTTTTAGTAGAGATGGGGTTTCAACATGTTGGCGAAGCTGGTCTCGAACTCCTG
This sequence comes from Homo sapiens, assembly GCF_000001405.40. Lineage (NCBI taxonomy): Eukaryota > Metazoa > Chordata > Mammalia > Primates > Hominidae > Homo > Homo sapiens. The sequence goes on along the minus strand of NC_000020.11, from coordinate 52,109,567 downwards.
ACCTCAGGTGATCCACCTGCCTTGGCCTCCCAAATTCTGGGGTTACAGGCATGAGCCACCGCACTCAGCCAGCAACAGATTTTTGTAGCCTGTTTAAACATCTTCTGGCCAGGCACGGTGGCTCACACCTGTAATCCCAGCACTTTGGGAGGCCGAGGCGGGCAGATCACGAGGTCAGGAGATCAAGACCATCCTCGCTAATATGGTGAAACCCCGTCTCTACTAAAAATACAAAAATTAGCCAGGCATGGTGGTGGGTGCCTGTAGTCCTAGCTACTCGGGAGGCTGAGGCAGGAGAATTGCATGAACCCGGGAGGCGGAGCTTGCAGTGAGCCAAGATCGTGAGCCAAGATCATGCCACTGCACTCCAGCCTGGGCGACAAAGTGAGACTCCGTCTCAAAGAAAAAAAAAAATCTTCTAAAAAAAAGAGCTTCCCTGGGCTTGAAATCCATTTGTTCCAGGTACAATATAGTAATGTGTCTTCTTCACTTTAATTTGCAGAAGCTCCTGATTATGAGGGAAGATTAAAATTTTCTAGCTGGATTTCAACAGAATAGTCAACCTGTGTAATAGGCAAATGGGATTGAAAGAGGAGAATCATGACTGATTACGCATGGCCAATGATACTTTGCTTTCATTTATATCTGTAGACCCTGTAAGTTTGTGTGTGTGTGTGTGTGTGTGTGTGTGTGTGTGTGTGTGTGTTTCAGATTTTCAATTTTGAGCCTTGAAATAAAGCCATTAAAACCAAACATGATGGCCGGGCGCAGTGGCTCACACCTGTAATCCCAGCACTTTGGAAGGCTGAGGCAGGTGGATTGCTTGAGGCCAGGGTTCGAGACCAGCCTGGCCGACATGGTGAAAACCCATCTCTACTAAAAATAAAAAAAAATTGTCGGGCATGGTGGTGGCTGTCTGTAATCCCAGCTACTCAGGAAGCTAAGAAAGGAGAATTGCTTGAACCCAGGAGGTGGAGGTTGCAGTGAGCTGAGATTGTGCCATTGCACTCCAGCCTGGGCAACAAGAGTGAAACTTCGTCTCAAAAGAAAAAAAAAAAAAGGTAATAAACTTAATTTAGGACTAGAACTCTGATTGGATGTTTTGCAAAAGAGTAAAAACAATTTTTTTCAAAAATAAGACTAATCAGTTGTCATTATATTTGTGGAACACATTTATCATTTTCACTTTGTTTTTGGCTACTATTATACCTACATGGAAAATGCAAGAAAAGACTATACCGAGATCCCATTTTATATCAATATAGTTGGCAAAAATCAAGACATTTTATAATCCTGAGTGTGAGAAAGAATGGGCTTCACATTTTGGGTTTTGTTTGTTTGTTTTCAAGACAGGTTCTTACTCTGTTGCCCAGGCTGGAGTGCAGTGGCGCAACCATGACTCACTGCCTCAGCTTCCAAGGGTCAGCTTCCTCCTGCCTCAGTTTCCAGAGTAGCTGGGAGCATAGGTGTGTGTCATCCGCCCAGCTAATTTTTGTATATTTTTTGTAGAAACAGAGTTTTGCCATGTCGCCCAGGCTGGTCTCAAACTCCTGAGCTCAAGTGATCCACCAACCTCAGCTTCCCAAAGTGCCAGAACTACAGGCATGAGCCACTGAGACTGACCTACGTTATTTCTTATACCTTGCTAGGGAAGTGTAAGTTAATACAATCACTTTGGCATTATCTCTTATACCACCCCCAGGTACACACTCACTCACGAGAAACTCTGACACTTTTTAGAAAGATCATAGCAGCACTGTTCACAATGGCAGAGACCTGGCAAAGGCCCAATTGCCCATCAACAGGAGAGTAGGTGAAGAAACTGGCATTTTCACACAGTGGAATATTTACAGAGCAGTCGAAATCAATAAACAATGACAGCAATTTGGATGATCTTAGCAAAATAATATTAAGTGAAAAAAAGTTATTCTTGGAAGATTACATACCCTTTTTATATTCTTTAAATATTAAAATTGTTTTTTTAAGGAATACATGTAGGTACAATAAAACTTGCTAAAGAGACAAAGCAAATGAATGAGATCTGTAGGAGTCAGGCTGTTGATTCTTAAGTTGTAGGGCAGAGGAGGGGAGGGGACATCAGGAGGCCATATAAAGAGAGATGTAGGTTGTGGTTAAGGTCCTACTTTGGGGCAGTAGGTTCCCTAGTACTTATTATATCATAATAAACAGAGGTGCAAGCAAGCAGCCTAAAAAATGTAGGCAAGTGTAGGCTAACAATAGGCCAGTAATAATGCCTCATGTACCAATAATTGATTGTGTACACCTGAGGTGAAATAACAACAAAGCAAATGCAAACACATGTACACACCTCAAGCAGTATAAGAGGGTCTCAGATGTCTCCCATCCCCCCATGCACCCCTCTTTCAACTTCCCCAGAGGCAACCACTGTTTATCCAGTCTCCTCAAAAGGAGATATGATAAACGTGTGTGTATATATACATATATATTTTTTGTTTGTTTGAGATGGAGTCTCACTCTGTCGCCCAGGCTGGAGTGCAGTGGCGCGATCTCGGCTCCACCTCCCGGGTTCAAGTGATTCTCCTGCCTCAGCTTCCCCAGGAGCTGGGATTACAGGCGTCCGCCACCATGCCCGGCTAATTTTTTGTATTTTTAGTAGAGACAAGGTTCCATCATGTTGGCCAGGCTGGTCTAGAACTCCTAACCTCATGTGATCCGCCCACCTCGGCCTCCCAAAGTGCTGGGATTACAGGAGTGAGCTACCGCACCCGGCCACGTGTATATATTTTCAAATGTCTTTACAGATCCGTGTAACTACACATACATCCCAAAGAAGACTTGAAGCGTTGTGTTTTTTAAAAAGTTTAAGTCTCGGAAATTTAACCTGACATGACTTCACCGGGCATTACACAAATATTCCCAAGTCGATTCACAACCTGAAAATCAAGGGGAAGTTTGAGGAAAACAGGTCAGCTTTTGAGAAATGGAAACAATTAAGCAAAAATGCCGTTCTCGCAGGCCCCGCCGTGGGGTTCGCCAACGGTAACCTCACAGAAGGCTCGTTACAGATGCTGCTAACCCCACAGGACCACCCCGTAAAACTCATACGCGGCGCTGTTAAAAATACAGATTCTCAGGCCCCGCCCCAAAAACTCGGAGATGAGCCTGGCTGGGTCTTTTTGAAACAAGGGCCCCCACGTGATTCTCAGGTTCGGGCAAGCTTGGGGCACAACCCAGTCTTAAGTAACTCCCTAATTTGAAGAAAGTAAACACCTGGGGGATGTAGGTGGCTTTCTTGCTTCCCATTGGATGTCAATTACGCGGCGCAAGGAGGGGTCTCCCTCGGGTCTCATCGAGGTCCCAGCCAGTCTGAGCATGAACGCTAATTAGCTCAACCCCCCGAGGACCACGCCTCCGTCACCTGCTGGGCGGGGCCGGCGCCGGGTTGGCCCCAAAAGCACTCCTGTGTGGTCCAAGAGCCGGTGCGCCCGAGTCACGGGGCGGGAGCGGGCGCGTGCTATATAAAAACACACATTTCTGGCCTCGGCCACCTGAATCCAGAACTTTCGGAATCTGCATTTCTCCCTGCAGTTGGAGACACTCCTCATTTAAAATTTAAATTTGGGTATGCAGCAGGGTTGAGAACCAGGAGTGGAGGTCGTGCTTCTCAGCTTGGATGCACATCAGAATGACCTGTGTGTGTGATGGGGGTGGTGAGGGAGGGAGACGGCTTTTTTAAAAAAACATCCCAGTGCCCAGGTCCCAGCCCAGACCAATTAAGTCCGAATCTAAAAGCGCAGCCTGTGCAGCGCAGCAGCCACAGCGCCACCTGGGAGCTCGTTAGAAATACAGGAGCTCAGGCCCCACCCCAGACCCACTGAGTCAGAATCTGCATTTTAACGAGATCCCCAGTGACTCGTGCGCACATTAAAGTTGGAGGAGAGCTGCGCTTCTGAAATTTTAATGGGCAAACGAATCACCTGGGGATCTCGTTAAAATGCAGACACGGTTTCTCAAACTTTAATGTGCATGCGAATCACCTGGGGATCTTGTTAAAATGCAGATTCTGATTCAGCGGGTCTGGGGTAGAGCCCGAGAGTCTGCATTTCTAACGAGCTCCCAGGTGGCGCGGGCTGCCCGGGAGCGGACCGCAAGTCCGCGGGACTCCTGGGGTCTTGGCTCCAGGCCAATCAGCCGTCAGGACTCTTGATAAATCGCCCTGCTCGGCTGATGAGCAGAATTGCCGGGACATGCGCGTTCCGGCCGAAGGGGGGTAATTTCCGAACTCCGGGAATTCGTTGTGTGAAGTAGGCCACTCCTAGGGACGCGCGGGGAGCCCGGTCCTCGCGCCATGTCGCGGCGCAAGCAGGCCAAGCCCCAGCACCTCAACTCCGAGGAGCCGCGGCCTGCGCGCCGGGAGTGTGCGGAGGTGGCCCCGCAGGTGGCGGGGGAGCCGGGTGAGTAGCGCCGCTGGAGCCCCGCCCGGGGGCTGGGGGCCGGTGCTCAGAGGTTCTCCGGACCCGCGCGGGTACGAGGACCGGGCAGGGGACCTGAAAGGGCGGGCGAAGCGTCCGGCGCAGAGTCCTGGGACTCGGACCTGGGCGTCCCCGCCCCCCGCCTTTGTAAATTACACTCTCCTGGAGTCCACCGTCCCCTTCCCCGCCTGGATTCCTCTAGCCACTCCTCTCAAGAGCTAGTCAACGAGTTTGCCTCCCAAACACGCTGGAAGGATGCTCAGAGGACCCCTCAGAGGCTGTTTTCGGGATGCGCGGGCACCCGAGTCTCCGGCCTCCTTGGCACTGGGCTTCGGCTGCGCGCCTGGAAGGTGGCTTCTTGCCTTGGGGTTACGTTTCAAATGCGTTGTCCAGGGAAGGCCTCACCGAGGAGCGGACGTTCGAGCGAAGACCCGAAGGATGGGAGGGAGCGAGCTGTGCAGGTACCCGGGGGAAGAGCATTCCAGGCCGAGGGAACAGAAGCGCAGGGACCCAGGGCGTCAGCGCTGCTGTAGCCCGAGAGGTCACCGGAGGCCCGAGAGGTGATGGGGGCAGACGGTGGGGGGCGGGGGACGGCCGTGAGCCTTGGTAAGAGCTCTGCATTTTATCTGAGCGAAGTGGGAGCCGTGGTGGGGATAGAGCAGTGATGCTGTCGCACTTAACAGGCGGCCCCCACACCCCCTCCTCGGCTGCCACGTGGACACAGGATGTAGCAAGGAGATCGTCGGCTACCTTAAGCCCCCCGGGCAGCATTTCTCGTCCCGGGATCCTCCGCTTCAGAAGAGCCTGCGGGAGGGGACCTTTTCTCGCTCGCCAAATTCTTCCTGCAAGTTAGGGATCCCCCCATCCCCCGCCTCCACTGGAATCTCAGGGGTGGGGTTGGGGAATCTGCATTTCTAAGGCGCTTCCCTTTTTGCTTATCTTGTGCTTAGATTAAGAGATTGTAGGTTCCTACTTTCTCTTAGGCTGCCAGCTCCCCGTGGTTAGCTGATACCTTTCCTTTAAGGGGCTGAGGAAAGGAGTTGTAACTGGACTTCCTCTTCTCCCCCGCTCTTTCCGGGCGCGGAAAGGAGGATGGGTCCCCTCTCCGGGGCGGCTCACCCCTCCAGAGCCGCGGGCTCTCCAGCTTCCGCATCAACTTCCACCACAGTCGGTCTGGTGGGTTTTGACCACAACTTCCCGAGGTGGTGGTGGAGGGGAGTAGTTTAATGAAGCCTCCACTAAACGAATAGCTTATATGTTAAAATAAAGCTTGCTCGAGTGGAGCTACCATAACCAGGATAGTACAACCACCCTCGTGCCCGAGGCCTGGGATGGAGATAGGCAGGTGAGACTTACAGGATCCCGTCCCCTGGGTCGAGGGGCGGGGCTCTTGCTGATCTCTGCGCCTCGGGGAAGTTGGGGAGGTACTGGGGATGCTGAGTCTTTTGGGGGAGGTGTTTATAGAAGAGAATTGCTGAGTAACCCCAGGCTGGAGTTGAAAGTCTGTGCACTGAGCTACTTTGGATTCCTGCAGCCAGCGCTGCGAGGCGCCTTCTGGAGCCGCACCCAGTGTTTCGGGCATGGGGAGGGTGTCGTGCGTCCTGGAGTACTGAGGTGACTTCTGTGGGAGCAGGACGCAAACTCTGCCGGCCCAGTAGTGTGCCTCAACCCCAGCCACCACTTCGGAGAAAAAACCGTCTTCCAACTGACGTTTTATCCTAGTACCTTTGGTCTGCGACACTGGCAAGGGGGTACATTTTTTACGAAGGTTGGGCCACTCTTAATTTGCAAGTGTCTTTGCAACTCAAGTAGCTTTTGGAGGAAAATAAAATGGAAAGTAATTAGTGGACTTCCTGTCACCACCAGTAAAATGACGAAGGGGCTGGAGGAACCTTACTGAGGGAACATCATCCGTTTCCCCAGGAGTTAAAACCCTCGCCATGCTAACCTGGTTTCTAATAGTCAAATGCGGCCCACCCCCACTTCCAGAGGCAGAGGGTCTCCCCCAGCTGCACCTTTCCCAGGAGAGTGGGCTTCAGGCCTTCTTTGGTTTCCTGGGTGTCTAAACGTAAAAGAAATCGGAGGCCCCTCACACCTCCCCATCAGAGGCTCTATCTGGGTCATCCTTTAACCCACCTCTCTCTCACTTTTCTAGTTTGCGTTGAAAACATGCATCTTTCTCCCCCTGAGAATCTGGTAGAATCTTACGTGTGTATATCAGTGAATAACACTAATAGCATTTATACAGTATTGACTAATACATGAGGTTCTCTTACATATACTAAAGAACTTCATCTAAGCTAATGAGACGGCCATAATACCCATTTCACAGATGTGGAAACTGAGGAACGGGGAAGTTGAGTAGCTTATCCAGTGGGACACAGCTAATGGTAAAACTGGAATTGAAACTTATCAGCTGGTTTCCCAGTCTGTTCCCCAAACCACTGTGTTATACAGTGCCTCACTTAGATTTGTTTTCAGTCTTGCTTGACTTCTGTGGAATTAAAACCCTCAAGAGTTTAATGGTTTTCTCTTCTAGTATGTGAGTTGCTATGTAATGAGGCTTTGTTTGTGTCTGTCCCTGAGGGACATAGGATGGGTTGCAGATCTGGCAAGTGTGGGTTCCAATGAGCTGAAAACTTCCAGTCCTGCAACCTTGAGCATCTGAGCCAGTTTCTTGCTCACAGAGCAAGAGACTCAAAAGTATGGTTCCCAGACCAGCATCGGCATCAACTGGGAACTTGTTAGAAGTGAAAAATCGCAGGCTCCACCCCATACCTACTCAATCAGGAACTCCAAATGGGAGCCCCTGCCACCTGTGTTTTAAGTAGCCTTCTAGGCAATTCTGATACACGCTGACGTCTGAGAACCACTGGCTGTGAGCTGTGCTTCTCAAATTGTAATGTGCTGTGCTCAGGAATCACCTGGGGATCTGGCTAAAGTACAGATTGGTTCTGTAAGTCTGGAGTAGGGCCTGAGACTGCTGCCTTTTTTTTTTTTTTTTTTGGAGATGGAGTTACTCTCACCAGGCTGGAGTGCAGTGGCACGATCTGGGCTCACTGCAACCTCTGCCCCACAGGTTCAAGCGATTCTCCTGCCTCAGTCTCCTGAGTAGCTGGGATTACAGGCACATGCCACCACACCTGGCTAATTTTTTTTTTTTTTTTTTTTTTGGTATTTTTAGTAGAGACAGGTTTCACTGTGTTAGCCAGGATGGGACGCCTGCCTCAGCCTCCCAAAATGCTAGGATTACAGGCATGAGCCACGGCACCCGGCTGAGACTCTGCATTTTTAACAAGCTCTCAGGTGATGCTGGTGCTCTAGGGACCACCCTTTGAGTAGCAAGGACTTACAAGTAATACAGCAGAATCATCTGGCAAGTGCTTCAAAAATGCAAGGCCCTGAGGTCAGGTGTGGTGGCTCATGCCTGTAATCCCAGCACTTTTGAGTGGTTAAGGTGGGCAGATTGCTCGAGCTCAGGAGTTTGAGACCAGCATGGGCAACATGGCAAAACCCTGTCTCTATAAAAACAAAACTACAAAAAATACAAAACTACAAAAAAATACAAAAATACAAAAACTAGGCATGTGGTGGTGCATGCCTGTGGTCCCAGCTATTCGGGAGGCTGAGGTAGGAGGATGGCTTGAGCCTGGAAGGCGGAGTTTGCAGTGAGCCATGTTGGTGCCACTGCACTCCAGCCTGGGTGACAGCGAGACCTTGTCTCAAAAAAAAATCGCAAGTCCCTGGAATCGCAAGTCCTTACTTGATCCACACTACCACCCCTCCTCCTGCCCCTAAGTTTTCAGTGAGTATAGGGTAAGGCCTGGGAAACTACACTGAACCCATGATCTAGGTGATTGTGACACAGATAGTATCAGGATTACACTTGGAAGAAACATTGGGAGTAGGACTACTGCAGACTTTCTCAACCCCAGCCCTATTGACCTTTGGGGCTGCATCGTTTCCTTGTGGGGGCTGTCCTATGCCCTATAGGATGTCTAGCAGCATCCCTGGCCTTCACCCACTAGATGCCATTCTCAAACATGCATGCAAACAGAATCATGACAATTGAAAATGTTCCCAGGCATTGCTGAGTGTCCTTTGGTGGTAGAATGGCCCCCAGTTGAGAGCCACTGGACTAGATCACTTGTTAAGGGGCTTCGAGCACAACTGCTAGGATGTGAAATCTGTAGTCCTCACTTGCGACATCTGAAGCCACGCAATTGTATTTACTCAGATGACACTGTACTGAGAACTTATATATTTTTTCATCTTGTTTAACTCTGCAACTCTGAGGCATGTAATCTCCTTTTGCAAACGAGTAAACTGAAGCTCAGAAAGGTTAAGTAGCTTGCCAATAGTTGCACAGCACATAGCTGAGCAAACCCTCTGCCTAAAACTGAAGCCCTCACCACTGTGCTCTACAGCCTCTCATGCTAAGATTCCTTCACCCGCACAAACTTCTCAATAAAAGTGATAATCCACCTTTTGTAATAACCTTAGGACAGAGAAAGTCCCAGACCTTGGCCTATAATTCATAAGCTAGTCAATCTTCTAAGACTTTAGATGGCTGTACACAGTGGCTCGTGGCTATAGTCCCAGCACTTTGGGAGGCTGAGATGGGCGGATCACTTGAGGTCAGGAGTTCAAGACCAACTTGGCCAACATGGTGAAACCCTGTCTCTACTAAAAATACAAAAATTAGGCAGGCGTGGTGGCGCACGTCTGTAATCCCAGCTACCTGGGAGTCTGAGGCAGGAGAATCGCTTGAACCCAGGAGGCAGAGGTTGCAGTGAGCTGAGATGGTACCACTGCACTCCAGTCTGGGCGACAGAGTGAGACTCTGTTTCAAAAAAAAAAACTTTGGGAGGCCGAGGTGGGTGGATCACAAGGTCAGGAGATCGAGACCATCCTGGCTAACACAGTGGAACCCCATCTCTACTGAAAATACAAAAAATTAGCCGGGCATGGTGGTGGGTGCCTGTAGTCCCCGTTGGGAGACTGAAGCAGGAGAATGGCGTGAACCCGGGAGGCGGAATTTGCAGTGAGCCAAGATCACACCACTGCAATCCAGCCTGGGTGACAGAGCGAGACTCCGTCTCAAAAAAAGAAAAAACTTCAGACCTTGATGGGACCTTTTTTCCTTTTAGATTTAAGTCTATTTTGAGATATTTCAGAATCTTCTAGTACTTAATCTTTGCTGTAGGAATCTTAAAACCTACATATTAGATTGAAACATGAAATTATTTGACCGTTTTGGCTAACAAAAATAGCGATTTCACCTAGTTCAACCTTCCTAAAAATAGACTATAGTGAATTCTCATCCATTGATCCACTTCAACCATTAATTGCATGTGGTCAATCTCATTTCTCCTTATGCCAGCTCTCTCCCTGCCCTGGATTATTTTTGAAGACAAATTCACATATCATACAACTTGTAAATGTTTCAACATTCATCCTTAGACTATGGGGAATGCTCTTTAAACTCTAATTCCATTTTCACACCAAAGTATAAAACCCCTGTAGCAAACTTGCAGTGAGTGAGCACACTTCTTACCATCTCAGCTTTTCCAGCATATTCTAATCAGGAGCCAAGTAAAGTCCCGATATTGTCGACCACCTCAAGTCTCTCAGTCTTTGCTTTTTCTCCTCTTCCATCTTTCTTCTTTCAAGTTATTTGTTGAAACAACTGTTTTATCCTGGAGATCAGTGATGTGTGGTCTGTGACCTTTTGCTGAACTGAGGCAAAACAAATCAGAAATCCAGAGTAAGCATCTTAAAAAAAAAAAAAAAAGTTTGACATTGCCATGGCATCCAGCTTTTTGCTGTATCTAATGATTGGGCTCTTTTTATCTTATTCCACCTCTCCCCTAATTCTTGTTTATCATATTTTACAGAAATATCAGCCTGGGATGGATTAGAAATTGTTAGAAAAAACTAGGTCTTCATGCCATTTAAGAAGTACTCATATGTTTTTTAGTTTAGATTTTGCCAGTTTCCCTGTTATGTGACAGTGTCCTGTCCCCTGTACTTCTTGGAAACCGTAGTAAGGGGAAGAGGACTTTTGCAAGACAGAGCATACATGGCTTGCTTTTTTTTTTTTTTTTTGGTAAAGACAGAGTCTTGCTCTGTTGCCCAGGCTGGAGTGCAGTGGCATGATCTCGGCTCACTGCAACCTCTGCCTCCCAGGTTCCAGCGATTCTCCTGCCTCAGCCTCCCGAGTAGCTGGGACTACAGGCACATACCACCATGCCTGGCTGATTCTTGTATTTTTAGTAGAGACAGGGTTTCACCATATTGGCCAGGCTGGTCTCGAACTCCTGAACTCGTGCTCCACCAACCTCAGCCTCCCAAAGTGCTGGGATTACAGGCATGAGCCACCCCGCCTGGTCACATGGCTTTCATTTTTTTTAAATTTTTTCTGGAAAGGTGAAGGGAGGTGAAATAAGCCCAAACCTACTGTATTCTAAGACTTAGCATGGTGGTTATAAATGAGAAACTAAGCAAAACTATGCCTCAATTTCAGCTTCAGAACTTGATGATGATGTTCCAAAAGCAAACTGCCTCTCCACTGAAAGCACTGACACTCCGAAGGCCCCTGTCATCACTCTTCCCTCAGAGGCAAGGGAACAAATGGCCACCCTTGGAGAGAGGACGTTCAACTGTTGCTACCCAGGTAAGAGTAAAACCCTGCGTGCTGAGCCGCTTCTGAGCCAAGCACTGATCTGCAAGCCCTACGTGAATCTCTGAGCTGCCTGCTCATGTTACTCTTGTTTGCTGACAACATGCCAGTATCTACATCAGCACACAACAGCCTTCCCTGGGGGGCCTAAGAGGCCTGTAGCATCCAGAGCTCAGCGTGGGACTCACCAGAACATTGGATTCATAGTAGCTTCCACCCTGAGGTTATACATATATGGACTCTTTTTTTTTTTTTTTTTGGAGACAGTTTCACTCTTGTTGCCCAGGCTGGAGTGCAATGGTGTGATCTCGGCTCACTGCAACCTCCGCCTCTCAGGTTCTAGCAATTCTCCTGCCTCAGCATCCCAAGACAAGGTCTTGCTCTGTTAAGGCTGGAGTATAGTGGTGTGATCATAACTCACTGCAGCCTCCAACTCACTGGGTGCATGTGATCTTCCCTCATCCGCCCCCTGAGTAGTTGGGACTACAGGCATGCACCACCATGTCTGGCTAATTTTTTTTTTTAAATAGGGGGCGGGGGTCTCTACGTTACCCAGGCTGGTCTCAAACTTCTGGCCTCCAGTGATCCTCCCACCTTGGTCTCCCAAGCTCGGGGATGGCAGGTGTGGGCCACCACACTCAACTGAGGTTCTTCTAAGAATTGTATTCTTCAGGCCAGGCATGGTGGCTCACACCTGTAATCCCAGCACTTTGGGAAGCCGGGGCGGGCAGATCACCTGAGTTCAGGAGTTTGAGACCAGACCAGCCTGGCCAACATGGTGAAACCCCATCTCTATCAAAAATACAAAAATTAGCCAGGCGTGGTGGCAGGCGCCTGTAATCCCAGCTACTCAGGAGGCTGAAACAGGGTAATCTCTTGAACCCGGGAGGCGGAGGTTGCAGTGAGCCGAGATGGAGCCACTGCACTCCAGCCTGGGCGACAGAGCAAAACTCTGTCTCCAAAAAAAAAAAAAAAAAATCTATTTTTCTTTTCTAGGTTGCCACTTCAAAACTGTCCATGGCATGAAAGACTTGGACCGCCATCTCAGAATCCACACGGGTAGGTATCCATTCTGTTCAACAGCTCAGTAAGAAAGATGGGACGTGAATGTGAATTAAGCGCTAGGGACACAGTAATGAACAGGACAGTCTCTGCCTCATCTGCCTCATGAAACTCAGTCTAGTGGGGTGGGCTTGGGAGAAGGAGCAAAAGGGCTGTGACATGAAGATGAAGTGATTCCCAGGATGAGCTACACAGAGCCTGTGGCTATAGTCATCTTAGAGCAATAAGGTGGCTTCTTAAAGGTGCTTTTTTTTTTAGGGCAGCCAGCTGCTGAGAAGAGAAATAAGACCTGCTGAAGCAAAGGAGTGCCATAATCTATGCCAGGATTACAAACTGCAGCCCATGGGCAACTCAGCCTGTTGGCATGCTCCTTCATTTACCTATTGCTTGCAGCTTTCTGGCCTTACAAGAGGTAGTTGTTACAGGGACTGTAGGGTGCACAAAGCCTAAAATACTATCTTTTTGTTTTGTTTTTTTCTCTGAGACAGAGTCCTGCTCTGTCACCCAGGCTAGAATGCAGTGGTGCAATCTCAGTTCATTGCGACCCCTGCCTCCCAGGTTCAAGTGATTCTCCTGCCCCAGCCTCCTGAATAGCTAGGATTACAGGCGCCTGCCACCTTGCCCAGCTAATTTTTCTATTTTTAGTAGAGACGGGGTTTTGCCATGTTGGCCAGGCTGGTCTCGAACTCCTGACCTCAGGTGATCCACCTGCCTTGGCCCCCTAAAGTGCTGGAATTACAGGCATGAGCCACCATGCCCATCCTGCCTAAAATACTACTTAGCCCTTTACAAAACACTTTGCCAACCCTTAATCTGTGGTACAAATCCTATACTTGCATGTTTGAGCGAGAATATTGGTTTGTTCTTTCAGAAACCAGTCTCAGTGGCTTAAACGTAATCCAGTTTATTTCTTGAGTACATCTTCAGAGGCATAGAGTCCACAGCTGGTCCAATGGCTCTGCCATCCTGAACACTTGGCTTAGCCTCTGGGTCTGAGGCAGCTGCTGTAGTTCTCTGCATCGCTTAGCCAGCAGGCAATGGAAGCAGGCCAGGGAGCCCATGGCATGCCTCCCTTGGGCTGTGACCCAGAAGCAGCGGCCCTTGTGACCTAGGGGAACATGAGCGGGACTTAGTCATGGCCACACCGAGTACCAAGGGGGCCTGAGGGATGGTTTTAAGCGGGGCAACACATGGCCAGATGAGCCTCTGGAGCCCCTTCACTGAGAGGACAGAGATTTCTGGACAAAGATGGTGGTCTCTGTCCAGAAAGATGGGCACTGTGCTATAATAGAGGGCCACTTTTGCCTGGGGACAGTGGATCATGACAAGCATGTTAGCAAGGAAATGTTTGATCTTCACCTTGGAAGACAGGCTACCAGGATGACGATGTCAGTGAAAGCATGCAGATTCAGGAGCCCTTTGAGGAAAGACGAGGCAGCTCAGTTTGAGGAATCTCAGAGTGGGTGACTTTATCCTGAAAATAACTTGAGTGCTTGTTCTCAACTGGGGCTAGGCTACTGCCATTCAGTGGGTGGAGGCCAAAAATCTTAAAATTCACAACACAACCTTCACAAGAATGAAAGGCCTGGAACATCCACAGTGCTGGGTTCGACCCCAAGAGATGTACAGGGGCTGGATTACTGTTTTCTTGAGGTACCGCAGAGCATGCTGGGGATCCAGGACATAAAAGATAAGGCCTTGTTCTTGAGTCAGGTAAGCAGACGCGCCTCCCTAGTGTAAGCAAACTTAGGCCACTTCTCTGGGCCCCAGGTGACTGCTTTAGTTCTCTGAATTTAACTAATGGAAAGTAGGAGAAAAGGCATGGAGGCCTCATGGTATTCCTCCCTTGGGGCACGACCCAGAAGTAGCATCCTTTGTCACTACTGGGACTCAAGTAATGGTGGTTTAAAGCCAAAGTATTTCTGCACCATGATGTTCCAGGTGTGAGTGATCAGGCTGGTGTGGCACTGGCCCGGTGGTCTCAGGGACCCAGGCTGTTGCTTTGCGTTGTCATCCCAAGGGTGCAGCTCTCATTAGCCTGCTCCACAATGGCCTCCTGCCACCTTAAAGCCACACCACTCGAGCTCATCTGTTTGGCCAGAACTGAATCCCATGGCCACCCCCAGCTGTGGAAATGAAGGCTGGGAAAAGGAAGTTTCTCCTGTGCGGTTGTGTGCCCAGCTGCAAAGAAGGTTCTGTTACCAAGAGGAGAGGGGAAAGGTCAGCGTGTGTCTCTGACCCAGTTGTAAGTGGGAGGCAGGGATTCTAACCTGTGGTTCTTTTGGATTGCTTAAGTAAATTAACATATGCAAATAAGCTTTCTCTTTCTGACTTCGTATTTGACCTTGTGTGCCTTGGCTTTGGTGCTTCAGTTCAAATTGAAGAGTAGCAGTCAACTCAAACCATCTGTCTTATTCCCCGTCATGGGCATGCTTTGGGCATGCCTCAAGGTCACCATCATTGTAGGGTTAGAACCCCTGGGATTTTGGTTGAGATCACTTATCACTTTCAAGTTAAAACCAAGCTCAGAAAGCTAGGAATACTGAGGTGTGTGTTTAACTGGGAATAGTGGTTGTATTTCAAATGTATTGCATTTTCCTTTTTATTATTTATTTATTTATTTATTTATTTTGAGACAGGGTCTTCTCTTGCTCTGTCACCCAGGCTGGAATGCAGTAGTGCAATCAGGTTCAAGTGATCCTCATGCCTCTGCTTCTTGAATAGCTGGGGCTGCAGGCATGCCCCATTTCGCCCAGCTAATTTTATTTTATTTTGTAGTGACGAGGTCTCACTATTGTCAAGGCTAGTCTCAAACTCCTGGCCTCAAGTGATCTTCCTGCCTCGGCCTTCCAAAGTGCTGGGATTACAGGCGTGAGCCACCCTTCCCCCCCAGCCCTATATTGCTAGTTTAAGATGGTCCTGTGGCATTTATTTAGCTTCGTAAAGGAGACTGATTTATGTTTGTATTTTTATCCCACTTTGTATTTCTTCATTTGGCATTGGTATCAGGTAGCTGTTATAAAGTGAACTGAAGCAAAATCTTTCTCTATGCTCTGAAACAGTTGACTACAGAAACGACTTTCCTTGAAAGTTTGGTAGAACGTGCACACAATCCCCTCTCTGCTCCAATCCTTAGGAGCATAGAAGGAGGATGGATTAGGCTGAGATAGCACTGTCAACCTCAGTGACAACTGAAGACTGCTCCATATATGCCACTATCCCCCACAGTCACCCCAGCTGCATTCCTTGTGGTCTTCTCTCCGGGACCCAGTTGGTAGATCTGCCTCTGTCCGGAACAGCCAGATGAAGGCGTTCTTGACCTTTGTTGTGCTATGCACTCCTGGCAATTTGGATGGACTCTTCTCAAAAAGATGTCTTTAAATCTAATAAGATATATCACATTTAAAAAAATCATATTGTGATATAATCATCAATGTTAAATGTGCAATTTTCATACTTTAAGCCCTTGCTACCCAAACTGGTACAAAGACCAGAAGTGTCCACATCAGCTGGGAGCTTGGTAGATCAAAATGCAGGAACCCAAGCTGCACCGTAGACCTACTGAATCAGAATCTGCATCTTAATGAGATGCTCCCAAGCCCGGGTGGTTAATATGCACAGTAGTCCCAGAGAAGCCCTGCATTTAATGTCAGGAGCTAGTGGCTAGCATATTAACTACCCTAATTGCAAAAGTGAGCATAAGTGATAACTTGGAGAACTACAATGAGTGTAATGTGGTACGACCACATTTCATGTCCATTGACGAGGGTCTCCAGCACTGTTACTAGTGTGGTTTATTGCCTACATCCATAATTGAAGGCAATGCTAAACAGTAGTTAAGGTAGGGAAGATAAAAATGCAATCATTTCCCATATAAGATCTTAGACCCCTGAAATTTTATACACAGACCCCAGATAAAAATCTCCTGATGGCTGGGCGCAGTGGCTCACGCCTGTAATCCCAGCACTTTCAGAGGCTGAGGCAGGCAGATCACCTGAGGTCAGGAGTTCAAGACCAGCCTGGCCAACATGGTGAAACCCATCTCTACTAAAAATACAAATATTAGCCACGCGTGGTGGTGGCTGCCTGTAATCCCAGCTACTTAGGAGGCTGAGGCAGGAGAATCGCTTGAACCTGGGAGGCACAGGTTGCAGTGAACCAAAATCGTGCCACTGCACTCCAGCCTTGGGGACAGAGTGAGGCTCTGTCTATTAAAAAAAAAAAAATTTTTTTTTTAATCTCCTGATTTGGAACAGTGTATCTTGAGCAAGAGAAACAAGTGTGAGGAACCACACAGTGGCCCTTGACAACAATTCTTGTCACTTTCTGTCATATTTCATTAGCCGGAGTACGTCATGTCCAAACCAGAGGCTATTGGGACAGGGAAGCATAATTCTCCCCATAAGTTACAGCAAATACTTGCGAACAATAAACAATTTACCTTAGAGAGTAGATCTTTAGCATAATTTGTCATTGTTATCGATCTGTTTTGTTTCAGTTTTTTTGTTTTGTTTTTGAGAGACAGTCTTCCTCTTACCCAGGCTGGAGTACAGTGGTGCACTCTTGGCTTACTGCAACTTATGTCTCCCTGGTTCAAGTGATTCTCGTGCCTCAGCCTCCTGAGTAGCTGGGATTATAGCTGTGCACCACCATGCCTGGCTAATTTTTGTATTTTTACAGTGGAGATGCTGTTTCACCTTGGCCAGGCAGGTCTCAAACTCCTGACCTCAAGTCAAGGCGGATCCGCCTGCCTTGGCCTCCCAAAGTGTTGGGATTGCAGGTGTGAGCCACTGCACCCGGCCTGTTTTCGATCTTTTAATCCAGACTTCGCAGTTTTACATCTTCCTGGACCATCACCCATCTTATTGAGTCTTCTAAATTTATTGGGGTATAAAGTTCTACTTAATAGTCACGATTGACTTTGTGTATCTGTAGTCCCCTTCTGCTTTTCCAAAGTCTATTGGAATGGTTTTCAACTAGGTATGATTTCACCCCCCAAGGGAACAATGTCTGGAGACATCTTCGATTGTTACAACTGGAGAAGAAAGGGTTCTACTGGCATCTGGTGGGTGGAGGCCAGGGATGCCGATAAACATCTTACAATGCAGAGGAAAGCACCAAACAGCAGAGAATTTCTAATAGTGTTGAGATTAAGAACCCTGATCTGTTGGTATCCTCTCTTTTTGAGCTAAGCCTTCCTTCTTAAGCACCATTTTTACTTTTATTGATCAAGTGCTATACGTAGCCTCAATTCTTTCTTTTGGTTTCTTGAATTGCATACTGTGCACTTGATTTCAGCATTTTGTTAGAAGTGAACTTAAATCTACAAACTACTTTAAAGCCATTATAGACTATAGGTTTTTTGTTTGGTTTTGTTTTGAGACGGAGTTTCGCTCTTGTTGCCCAGGCTGGAATGCAATGGTGCAATCTTGGCTCACCGCAACCTCCACCTCCTGGGTTCAAGCGATTCTCCTGCCTCAGCTTCCCAAGTAGCTGGGATTACAGGCATGTGCCACCACGTCTAGCTAATTTTTTTGTATTTTTAGTAGAGACGGGGTTTCTCCATGTTGGTCAGGTTGGTCTCGAACTCCCAAGCTCAGGTGATCTGCCTGCCTTGGCTTCCCAAAGTGCTGGGATTACAGACGTGAGCCACCGCGCCCAGCCACGGCCATAGGTTTTGAAATAGGAAACTTATCTGTTTCTGGAGTTTGTAATCTAATTTTGACAAAAACTGTCCTAAAAGACATTCTAAAACTTCCAAGATGACATTTTTGAAAAACCATTTGTGAAGCCATGTTACACTCATAAAAGTTTGACTTTTATCTACATACTGAACTCTCTCATCCATATGAAATTTTTAATGGATTTCACCATGATTTCTATTTTGCCTGATGCTAAAATTGATATTCCTACTTTTTTTAAGCATTTTTCTAGAATTTCTATTGTGTTCCTATCACTTTGATTTAGGTATCTTCAGAGCATTTAGTGGCTTTTTTTCTTAATTTAACTTAAATATATTTTTAACTTTTATTAAAGTAGAGATGAGCTCTCCCTGTGTTGCCCAGGCTGGTCTCAACCTTCCGGCCTCAAGCAATCCTCCTGCCTTGGCCTCCCAGTGTGCTGGGATTACTGGCGTGAGCCACAGCACCTGACCTATAATTTAAATCTTTAAGAGGGAAATGTAATACGTTTTTGTTTATAATATTTACTTTGACATCTAGTTATCTGATATTTGATGTGATTTTTATTTTGTGCTGTTTGGTTTTTTCGTTTCATAGAGACAAGTTCTTGTTCTGCCACCTAGGCTAGAGTGCAGTGGTATGATCAGAGCTCACCTTCTGGGCTCATGTGATCCTCCCACCTGAGCCTCCCAAGTAGCTGGGACTACAAGGGTATACCACCACACGTAGCAAATCCTTTTTTTTTTTTTTTTTTTTTTTTTGGTAGAGTCAGGGTCTCACTGTGTTGCCCAGGCTGGTCTAGAACTTCTGGACTTAAGTGATCCTCTCAAAAGTGTTGGGATTACAGATGTGAGCCATTGTGCCCAACCAAGTCTGTCTCAAAAAAAAAAAAAAAAAAATCTTGCTCTGTCACCCAGGTTGGAGTGCAGTGGCACGATCTCGGCTCACTGCAACCTCCTCCTCCTGGGTTCAAGCCATTCTCCTGCCTCAGCCTCCCCAGTAGTTGGGATTACAGGTGTGCATCACCAAGCCCAGCTAATTTTTGTATTTTTAGTAGAGACAGGATTTCACCATGTTGGCCAGGCTGGTCTCGAACTCCTGACTTCATGATCTGCCCACCTTGGCCCCCCAAAGTGCTGGGATTACAGGTGTGAGCCACCATGCCCAGTCGCCCCAACCAAGTCTTTTGATGGTTGTTTTTCTCTTGTCTGAAAGCTATACTTTTTCCATTGTAGTATTTTCTCATATTGCCATCTTACCTTCACCATCACCCTTATTTTTTTTTCTGGTGTACAGTGTTTAAGTGTGATACCAAGTCATATATCAACTATCTTCTCCTCTCACTGAATGCTAATTCAAGTATAAGATTCTATTAAAACAGTTTCTCTAGAAAGTTGAAGATCCTGTTCCTGTCTTGCTAGCATCCACTGTTCTGAGGAGCTTTATGCTGATGTGAGCATTTTGCTGGTGGTTTTCTTTCTGGAAGCTTCCAGATCTCACCCTTCTTAGGGTTCTGAAATTGGACCACCCTGCTTCTAAATAAGATGCATGGCTGTCTTTAGTGTTGGGAAATAATTCTTCTCAGTTCTATCCTGGACCATCTAGAACGAGCTTTCGTGTCTTACCTTTTGGCGTCTTTTCCCCCTTGTCCTTTTGGGAGATTCTTTAGCTGTATCTTCCATTTCTAAGATTTTTCTTAATAGGTGGCTTTTTCTTTTTGTTTTGTTTTTATAAGAGCAGTTTTAGGTTCACAGCAAAAGTGAACCTAAAGACAAGAAGATACAGATATTTCCCACATGCTCCCTGCTCCTGCGCATGCACAGCCTTCCCCATTACCAACATTACATTTGAATAGTGCATTTTTACCATAGATGAACCTGCACTGACACAACATTCTCAACCAAAGACCATAGTTTACAGTAAGGTTCATTTTTTTTTTTTTTTTTTTGAGACAGTGTCTTGCTCTGTCACCCAGGCTAGAGTGCAGTGGCACGATCTGTGCTCACAACCTCAACCTCCTGGGCTCAGGTGATCTTCCCACCTCTGCCTCCCAAGTAGCTGGAACTACAGGCATGCACCACCACATCCAGCTAATATTTTGTATTTTTTGTGTAAAGACAGGGTTTTGCCATGTTGCCCAGTCTGGTCTCAAACTCCTGGGGTCAAGCGATCCACCCACCTCAGCCCCCCAAAGCACTGGAATTACAGGTGTGAGCCACCGCACCTGGCCAAGGTTCACTCTTGATGTTGTACATTCTGCGGTTGTGGACAAATGTATGATGACCTACATCCACCAATAGCTGTCATTCGACACCCTTTTTGCTGGTCAACTTATTAGAACTTTTATTTTGATTTCCATAGTTTTCATTTCTCTAATTTCATTTCCTCCCTTTGCTTTAGTAACTAAGTTCTTGACTTGGGCGTGTCTTTCTGGTTCTGGCTTTCCCCAAGCATTTGTTTATTGGGTAAACTAATTTTATTTGGATATGATCAGCCTGGAAGGGTTGGGCTAGGGGGTAGTGATGAAACATGGCTGGATGGAAGTGTTCTGGGTATGTGGTCTTCTGCTGTCCCTGGCATCTCTAACTTACCAGGCCCTTGTATTCTTTTTCTGACCTCAGCACCCTTTGACCAACAGCCTAGGGGGAGATGCCGTGCTGCTTGCTGTTTGGAAGAAGTGAGAGGAAGGGGTCCACCTGACCATTCTCCATGTGGTTCATGAAGCTGCCCAAGATCCCTACAGCTGCCACTTCTTATCCTGAGTACTTCTATAACCACTGCCATTTTTCCCAAACAGGGTTTGGCCTGTAATTTTCTCCATCAATCAGATTTTTATGTCATCTTTCCCTTAGGATTTCTGAACTATCAATGAATGATACACATTCTTGTTTCCCAATATGCTGATGTAGACTTCAGTATCTTTCTCTCTCAGTATTTGGACAGGAGGAGGCGGCACACCCATATGCCCAGGCTATCATCTTGGTCAAATCTTTGTAGCCATCTTGACCAAAAAACCTTTAACTTTGACTCCTTATGTGTTTGAAGGAGACAAACCGCACAAGTGTGAGTTCTGTGACAAGTGCTTCAGCCGGAAGGACAACCTGACCATGCACATGCGGTGCCACACCAGTGTGAAGCCACACAAGTGTCACCTGTGTGACTACGCTGCCGTGGACAGCAGTAGCCTCAAGAAGCACCTGCGGATCCACTCTGATGAGCGGCCGTACAAATGCCAGCTCTGCCCCTATGCCAGCCGCAACTCCAGCCAGCTCACCGTCCACCTGCGATCTCACACGGGTGAGTCCCTGACCAGGAAACCTCAATCCCTTACTTTTTCTCTAATTTCTTAACCTTCATTTACTTAACAACACAAGCAACTTAAATGACTTGGTGTGGTAGAAGTACAAGAATTTGGAACTTCTGTGATAATTGTGAGATTTGTCATTTTTCTGTTGCCGGAACAACAACTTTTGGTAAAATATGACTGACAGCTGGGTTTTATATCTTGACTATATAGAATCCAGCTGGGAGTAGATACCCACTATAACTGCCAAGAAGCCAATGATGTATCTCAAGTCAGACCTATAAACTAGATGTTTCAGTAAATGTATACACTGATTGCATGGCTAAATTTGGAATGTAGCAGGATCCATTAAGTATAATTAAAAATCACAAACTTTTAATCTTAGGAACTTCCTTTATGGGACCCTACTGAAATGATAGGACCAACTCATCGTGGCATGGAAAAATGGGGTTTGAGATATTCATAAAGATGCTCATAAGTTGAAAATTTTCAATGAATTCCTGGAAAATGGTGAGCAGACAGGAACATAGTGATGTTTAAAACTGAGTATAGAAAGCTGTGTCCCAGCAGACAAATGGGAGGCAGCTGTACAGTTGGAAGCCAAAGTTTCCAGCCAATATCCAAGGGCCCTGAGGGCTCTGGGCTTGGAACAAGCATGTAGACAGCCAGGGCCACAAAGCTTGGGGGACTAGCCAAGGCCTGGCAAAACTGCCCAACCAACCCAGTAGCAGGTGAAACCTCTGGCATCCATGTCTAATCATTAAACCAGTCTACTTTCCCAAATATAGTCCACCAAGGATCATGAGTCATCTATAGGAAATGAATGGAATAAAATGAGCCAAGTCAATAACTAATCCTGGAAGTAAGAGTACTTGGGTAATTTTCACATTCTAATTGGTGTCTACCCACTGGCAGAAATGTTGCATCCAAATAGAGACCTATGAAGAGATAATGAGAACAAAGAAGTATGAAATAAAACTAGGATTGCTAGCTATAAAATTAATGTCCCAGAGATTACGGGAAAAAAATTGGGTGAGTGAACTGAGAATAAGAGCCAGTCCTGAAGTCTGGTTTCTGACCAGGTCTAGGAAGAAAAGAAAATGGAAGTGAGAAGAAAATAGAGTGAAAATAGAAAATCAAATGAGAAATGAAGTCCACAATTCTAAGGGGCCAGGAGAGTAAAAGTGCTCACAGGATTCCAATCAGGATGGAAGGGAGTGGACAGGGGACATCTATATCTAGAAATATGTCTGGGTAGTATTGGCTTCTAGGAGACAATGGAACAGTGCCCTCAAGAGTTGGGAAATGATTTTGAACTTAGAATTCTATACCCAGCCAAACTATCTCAAGTATGAGAGCAAAATAGAATGATGTGCAAGGACTCAAGATTTTACTCCCAGCCACCATGCTAGTGGGAGTTACTAGAAGATAAACTCTAGCAAAGGAAGGGAGGAAACATCTGGCATGATATATTTGATATGTGAATACCTGAATATGGCTAACTGGGATTGCAGCAAAGAGAAATATCAGGCTGATACTTGTATAGAAAGTCAAGAGAAACTAAATCAGAAGTTTTAAAAATCCATTTTAAAAATTCCTTGTGAAAGGGCCGGGCGCGGTGGCTCAAGCCTGTAATCCCAGCACTTTGGGAGGCTGAGGCAGGCAGATCACGAGGTCAGGAGATCGAAACCATCCTGGCTAACACGGTGAAACCCCGTCTCTACTAAAAATACAAAAAAATTAGCTGGGCGTGGTGGCGGGCACCTGTAGTCCCAGCTACTCGGGAGGCTGAGGCAGGAGAATGGCATGAACCTGGGAGGCGGAGCTTGCAGTGAGCTGAGATTGCGTCACTGCACTCCAGCCTGGGCGACAGAGTGAGACTCTGTATCAAAAAAAAAAAAAAAAATTCCTTGTGAAAGTTACAAAATTATGAGAGTGGATGACTTCTGAAATTGAGATTCCTTCTTTCAAGAAACACAGTCTAATCAAGAAGCAAGTTAAAATGTGCCCCCAAATGAGCAACACGTAAGAAAAGAAAACAAAATTATATTGATGGGTGGTTACGCCATCCACTGGCCTGAGTGTGACAGCAGACTTATAAGGAAGTGATTGTAATCCTGGTGCAGTGTTTGGCTCCGATGAATATCACATTCCCAGTCACCATTTAAATTATTTATAGTTGGCTTCTGAACTTGAAATCTGAAAATGATTAAAGTATAAGAATTCACCAGACAGAATGGAAATATTTTTTTACTTAAAGGTGAAAAGAAAGCTACTTCTAACAAGTGAGGAGTTAAGTGTGGAGAAGAGGAGTGAATCCTCAAAAAATCTCAGAAGCTGATGGACTAAAATGTGAGGCTACTACTCAGCTTAAAAGTGTAAAAGTCACAACCACCAGAATGCAGGGGAGAGGTTAGGGAAAGGATGGGTGTGTAGGATAAGATGCTTATCTTTGTGTATATTCAACTGACGTTTAAAGCAGCAACCTCAAAAACAACTAGAAACCCTTAGCAATGTCTCCAGGGAATGGGACTCTAAAGACCATGGCTCTTTATTATTTGTCCCCTGCTGCCATAATTATGCATTAATATTATAAATAAAATTTAGCCTGTAGTTATAAAAGTAAGAAACTTTAACTTGAAATACAAGCTCAATAACTGATGTCATATAGATTAAACACTATAGTAAGCGTCTTCACAGGTCTTAGCTTGATTTGAAGCAGTTGTTTGTAATTTAAATCTCACCTCTTCTTCCACATTCAATTCTGGGATGTCAAGTTAAATGGGAGTTTAGATTTGAAACTGAAGGGGTCATCAAGAGTATGGACTTGAGTGCCATAGTGCCTGGGTTCCAAATCCCTGCTGTTTGACCTGAGCCAAGTAACTTGACCTCTCTGAGCCTCAGTTGTCCCATCTGTAAAGTGGGGGTAATAGTACCCACTCATAGGATTGTTGTGAGGATTGCATTAATATGCACAACAAGTGTTGTCATTAGGAGGTTGGGTTTAGAGTTCACAAAACCCAACCATCTCATGGCGGCCAAGTGTGCTAAGGCAGGTTGGGGTGGGAGGGTCTGTTTTGCCTGCCTGTTCTAATGGAAACACACCTTCCATTGCTAGGGGATACCCCCTTCCAGTGCTGGCTCTGTAGCGCCAAGTTCAAAATCAGCTCGGACTTGAAAAGGCACATGATCGTGCACTCGGGGGAGAAGCCTTTCAAGTGCGAGTTCTGCGACGTCCGCTGCACCATGAAGGCGAATCTCAAATCGCACATCCGCATCAAGCACACCTTCAAATGTCTGCACTGTGCCTTCCAGGGCCGGGACCGGGCTGACCTCCTGGAGCACAGCCGGCTGCACCAGGCCGACCACCCGGAGAAGTGTCCAGAGTGCAGCTACTCCTGCTCCAGCGCGGCCGCCCTGCGCGTGCACAGCAGAGTCCACTGTAAGGACCGTCCCTTCAAGTGTGACTTCTGCAGCTTCGACACGAAGCGGCCCAGCAGCCTGGCCAAGCACGTCGACAAGGTGCACAGGGACGAGGCCAAGACGGAGAACCGGGCCCCTCTGGGCAAGGAAGGGCTCAGAGAGGGCAGCTCCCAGCACGTGGCCAAGATCGTGACGCAGAGGGCCTTCCGCTGTGAGACCTGCGGCGCCTCCTTCGTCAGGGATGACTCTCTGAGATGCCACAAGAAGCAGCACAGTGATCAGAGTGAGAACAAGAACTCAGACTTGGTCACCTTCCCACCGGAAAGCGGTGCCTCGGGACAGCTCAGCACCCTGGTCTCCGTGGGGCAGCTCGAGGCTCCCCTAGAGCCCAGCCAAGACCTCTAGCTCAGCCGAAGAGGGTGGTCAGCTGTCGGAACTTCTGACCAGTGCTGTTGCCCAGCCCTCCAGAGGTGAGGCCACTGAGAGACAGGCTTTGGGCACCACTTCTGGGGCTGGCCGCTCCAACTTCACAGGCCTTCAGAGGCGATGGCTGGGCGACAGTGACGAAAGCAAAGCAAAGCAGGGCTGTGGAGACACTCCTCGCATTTGTCTCTTCCCTCCAAGGATTATCTGAGCAAGTCGACTTGTTCATTCAAAGGCGGGGTCTGCCAAGCCCTGCTCTATCCAATGGGGATAGCTTCTACGTAACGGATTCCAATTTTAAAACTGATCCATCTCTGATGGAATTATTAAACTTAGACGATATAGAAAACTAAAACTAATCTCTAGAGTGGAAAGGGTTAAAGTGAGGAAGGTGTACGTGAAGGGTCTGGGGTTGCTGGAAAACTTCTATTTCATAACCTGGGTGATCGTTCTAAGAGTGTTTGCCTTATATGTTTGTGTGGTTTCTTTTACCTGTTGTCTTACAATAAAAAAGGCAGACTCATGGTAGCATGATGTAAGGAACACTCAATTTTGCAGCCCTCCACAGACAGTTACGGTAGAAGGTTCTCCATCCCCAGCCCGCGCCCCATTCAGTAACTTAATTATAAACGCACATTGGATTTCTCAATGAGTTCCTACTGTAGTAAAACGAAATGCAGTTTGATCTGGAGGTGGCGCCAAAGATCAAGCTAACTAGCCCAGCCTGTGCTTGTCTGTTGTGGAATTCAAAATTCTGTTTAATTCTATTTGGAGAGAAAAGTCCAGGGGCCCAGTGGGCCCTGAGCTTGGTGCTGGGTGCTGGGATATGTGATACGTGGGACAGCCTCACACCAGCATCTGTTTCATCACGGAAAGCATTTAGTGTTTGCTGAACCCACAAACTACTGAAAATCCAACCTCTTCTCATAGATGGACCCTTAGGAGGTTATGAAATCTCAGTGGATATAATACTTACCCAAAGTTGCTTGGTTTCTACTTTTGGCATCTTTCCTTCAAATACTCTTTTTAAATATAAAGTCTTGTGTGCCCTCATCAAGCTGAACATCTCTGGAATTGAAACAGATTAAGTAGATCCATTGTTCCTGGTAAACTAAGAAAAAAGGATGTAAGATTTTATAGGTTGTGTAGAAGGGACTATTTCACTTGTGAAATAGAGGTACCTAGTTTATTTTGTGAATGGTGGTAGTTTGGGCAAATCTGACTCCGTTTAAGTTTTACATCAGGTAGGTGATGGTGTACTGCTGAATCTCTATTGTAAGAAGAAAAGATTAAAATGATGACAGAGACCCAGGATAGAATTAGTCTCTTTGGAGATGATCGTTTTGATCAGAAAAGTGTTTGGTTACTGAATGCTGGTGCTATTGTACAGTTGCTATTGTTACCTTTCTGCTGTTTGTCGTGAATCTGATCTGCGTTTCTGTTCTAGAAGGTTGTTGACCTTTCAAGTGGGAACCCATAGATTGAAATCACATAAACGTTCCTTGTACTTCTTGTTATAGCTCTTTAGACAAAGAGGAAAGATATCAGCCTTTTTAGAAGGCATTTTTTGTTAACAGCTGTATGGACTTTAAGGATTTTATATCCAAGCTGGTATCACCCAGCAAACTTGGATTCCCAATAGAGCAGAGGTGAGTAAAAAGCTGTGAACCCAATATTTACTTCAGGCAGTGGGTGGGGCCATAAAGTTTTTTGCAACTACTCAGCTCTGTGGTTTTAGTGCAAAAGCAACCATAGATTGCAAGAAAAAACAAGTGTGTCTGTGTTCCAATAAAACTTTACAAAAACAGGTGGCAGGCTAGATTTGGCCCATGGTCTTAGAATGTAGCAAGCCCTCCTGCAGAGTACTTTGCTCTGAACTGGCAAGTGTGACTTGTAAAACACACTAAAAGATACCAAATTTTCTGGCAGAGACACAAATGGGATTTGCACAAAGCTGAGAGTGTAGTTCAAGAGAATAAGGCTGAATGAGTATTAAAAAGAATTTGGGTAACTTAAAAGAATTTTTGAGACTGGTAAGAATTCCAAGATTCAGAGAAAAGTAGGCTAAGAGGGAAGTCTAGGACCAGGAAACTTGTAGGAGTAGGGGTAGTCTTACCTTACCATTTCTAGGAAATTAGAAGATGGCAGTGGATGGGGTTAAATCATTCGGAATTGGGGGCTGAACTGGCTAAACCTGCTAGAATGAGACTTAAAATGTACAGGTAATAACCAAATAAAACAGCCTTAATAGAAAGGAGCAGCTGACATGGCACAGACCAGAATGGCAATTCTTACACCAGCCTTGATTTGCAGAGCCCTCTGGATCTGGAAGAGGAAACTGAGAATGTTTGCAGTTTGACTTCACCTGAGCCCCAGGGATCCGCAAACTTTTTCAGTTAAGGGCCAGATAGTAAATGTTTTGAGCTTTGCTGGTCCTACTTGTTATCAGCTCTGTTGCCACTGCTGTTGTAGCACAGAGGTTCCAACTCGGCCACTGTAATGCAGCTACAGAGAATAGGGAAGGAAATAAGTTTAGCTGTGGGCCAATAAAACTTTATTTATAAAAAGGACATGATTTGGAAGGCCAGTCTGTTAACCCCTAAGTACAAGCAACAGGGTGATTGGCCTTGGATAAAAGGCAAGGGGGAAATGTTAACATGAAATTGAGCCAGCATCAGTAATGAGTGTCTATGGTCCCAGCTACTTGGGAGACTGAGCTAGGAAGAACTATTTGAGCCCAAGAGTTCAAGTCGAGCCTGGGTAGCAATGCGACTCCATCTTTAGAAAAATTTCGTGGGGCCACTTTAAGGAAGGTGTTGCTCCATGCCACAGACAGATGAGTTTCCGGTTAGGTATTGGGGAAAACTGGATCCTTTTGATCTTTACTCAGATCAGCTTGTAAAATCTCCACTGAAGAACAGAAATCAAGGCGATCTCCCGCCCCTCTGCTTAAGGTTTCTTGCTGCCTTCTAGACACTACAGAACACAAATAGCTTGTTTGTCTCCCTGTATTTAACCTCTTCTAAGAAAGCAGATGAGCCTCAATTCGAGTTGCCATCATGACTGAGCCAGGCACTGCACTAAGAACTTTACCTGTCTGCAGGTGTTTTTCTCCCAGGTGCTACCCAGAGCTGGGATAGGGTGAGGCACTTGCCTGGGACATGAGACTTAAGGGAGTGCCGAGAACTCAGTCGCCAAAAAATATTTTAATGCAGATTGGCAAACGGTGGCCCCACAGGTCATCTGCTTTGTTTTTGTAGTTCTGTGGAAAGTTGGCCTGGGATTAGGGCAAGTCAGGGCTGTGCAAGCAGAGTTGGATCCCGTGTTTAGAGTTCTGACATCCTGTTCATTGTAGGTTTCTTTTGCATTCATTTTGGTTTTTAAAAAGTTGCGTTATGGTATTTACCTTGATCAGCTGAGATTTGGGATACCACCTTAAATGTGTGCCTGAGGCCATGGCCTCTCCCACCCCACCTAGCCCCTGTCCCTCTTTAAATGCAGAAACTAAAGGATAAGGGGAAGAAACTTCCTAAAACAATATGACCCAGTAATAAATTGGGGCAGGGTGGTGACATCCTAGAAGCTGTCTCTTGTTTCCTTGAGATGGAGTTTCACGCTTGTCGCCCAGGCTGGAGTCCAATGGCGCGATCTCAGCTCACTGCAACCTCTGCCTCCTGGGTTCAAGCAATTCTCCTGCCTCAGCCTCCCAAGTAGCTGGAATTACATACGCCTGCCATCATGACCTGCTAATTTTTTGTATTTTTAGTAGAGACAGGGTTTCACTATGTTGGCCAGGCTGGTCTCGAACTCCTGACCTCGTGATCCACCTGCCTCGGCCTCCCAAAGTGCTGGGATTATAGGCGTGAGCCACCATGCCTGGCCAAAAGCTGCCTCTTTTAAATATTTAACAGACAAAGACTGTATATATTCGGTGTCTATAATGTGTTGATTGGAAATACCTAAGCATCGTGTAATGACTACCACAGATTAACACAGCTGCCACCACTCATGCTGTGCCTTACAACCCAAAATTTGTTCATGTCATGACAAAGATTGTGCCCTTTGATCAACATCTCCCCGTTTCCCCCAACTCCTGGCAACCATCCTTCTACTCTGAGAAGCCACCTTTTTTTTAGTTATAAGCGAATGCAGCTGAAGATGGGAAATCCCTGCCTCGTTCAGCTAGGGGGATGTCATCTGAGTCTATTTTACTCTTCTGTAAAATGGGTCATGTCAGGCATTTGGCCTAATGATGCAATCTACTGACTTAAGAGAAGTTGGCTTCCCTCTGTCTCCCCCACCCCCTGAGCCCTGCTTGCTTTTTTTCTTTTGTAGGGGGAGGAGGAATAACCAAGATCTAGGTACTGTGGCCTTATGATCAGCAGGGATCATGATTTCTATCTTCCCATGCCCCCTGCCACACACATCTTCAACACATAGTCTCAGATGACACCTTAAGCGCCAACTAGGACAGAAGGTCATGTCCTTAACACCGCTGGGAAGTCGCACATAAGCTGCTGCTTGCCTCCCCACCTAGTCACACACCATAGCTCTACAAAGGACACGGGGAAGCAGGTTCCTCTGGAGTGGGCTGTGCCGGTGAAAACCTGGAAGGGGAGATGCTGAACTCATGAGCATCCTCTGCTGTCTGCACAGTAAGGCAGCCTCATAGGGGTGGGAGGCATTAATAGCTTTTTCCATGGGGCACGTGATACGGGTCCTAAAGACCCTGAGATGTTACATTTGCAAGTATTTGTCTTATCTGGGCTTTATGGGGACAGTTTTGCCTGCTGCTTGTGGATGTTGGGCCATGACAGTCTTCCAAGGCATCCTAAGGCTCTACTCCAGTAGCTCTCCACCGTGCCTGCCTGCTGCGGTCCCCTGGGGGCCTCTTTGGTGTTTGAAATATCTCAGGGGAGGTACAAGGGCATCTCTACTTTCTAAAGTTCTGCAGGTGATTGTAGTGTGGAACCAGGGTGGGAAGAGCCATGTGAGTTGGAGACAGACCGTCTTCATAGGCTGTGCTGTCACAAAGGGCCCCATAGTCAGGAGGCCCCCTGTTTGGTTGCATGTTCTGTCATCGACTTTAAATTCTTAATTTTTTTAATAGCAATTTTGAAAATATTTTGCATCGGGCTTTGCAAATTGTAACAGCCAGTTTTCTGAAGAAAAGGGCATACCTCAGCCTGTCTGCATCACTGGAAAGCTGTGGGAAGGGCCTTCGACCATTGAAATCAAGACTCCTGGATAGGGGGGACCAGGTCTCTGGATGGGAGGGACAAGCACTGGCGCCCACTAACATTCACTAGTATCCCCTCCATTATTTTGATGGTTCCTCACAATGGAAGGCATTTGCCTTCATCTTTGCAAGGGAAAATTGATCTTCAGAGATGTTAACTTGCTCAGCATCATGCAGCTGATACAGGGGAGTCAAACCTGCTGTGCTGAACTCTGGCACCTGCAGTCTTTCTCCACTAGCTTCCTTTTTTTTTTTTTTTTTTTTTTTTTTTTGAGGTGGAGTCTTGCTCTGTCACCCAGGCTGGAGTGCAGCAGTACTCACTGCAGCCTCTGCCCCCCAGGTTCAAGCAATTATCCCACCTCAGCCTCCCGAGTAGCTGGGATTATAGGCACATGTCACCATGCCTGGCTAGTTTTTGTATTTTCAGTAGAGACGGTTTCACCATGTTGCCCAGGCTGGTCTTGAACTCCTGACCTCAAGTGATCCTCCCACTTCGGCCTCCCAAAGTGCTGGGATTAGAGGTGTGAGCCACCACACCCAGCCTTCCACTAGCTTCCTTAACCTCTCACCTTAGTCTAGGGTGTCTCCCACTGGCAGAGGTGGACAGCTCAGGAACAGAATCATGAGTTCTAAGTGTTGAGATAGAACAAAGTCTTCTTTGCAAGAATAGTGAGGTCTATAGTAGGGTGGGAAAAAATTTCAAATGTGAGCATCATTAGGTTGGAAAAACGTCCCTGGGCTGCGTGTGTGCTAGGGCAAGTATTGCAGGAATGACCAATGTTGCATTCCCCCAACATAGGCAGGTTACGAAATTATAAATGTTGCTTAAATGCTTATCTTTGGTAACCAAACATGGATTTATGTGAGTTTAAGTGGCCACCTGAGCTTGAGAAGCTGCTGTCAGGAGACATTCACAATTGCATCTCGTTTGCTCCCCACATGCTGCTTCAGATGCTGCTTTTTTTTTTTTTTTGTAGAGATGGGTTCTTGCTTTGTTGCCCAGGCTGGTCTCAACTCCTGGCCTCAAGCTATCCTCCCCACTTGGCCTCCCTAAGTGCTTTTTACAGCTGTGAGCCACTGCACCTGGCCCACTTCTATTTTAATAGAGATAAAAGTGAAGGCATGAGAGACAGAAGCCTGTCTGAGGTCAAGCAACTTGTCAGGATTAGAACCTGCGTCTTAGGTCTCTGAGGTGGATCCCCTTTCAATACCCCTTGCTTAGGAGGACCTGCTTTAAGACACAGTGCATTCTGAGTCATGGACCCCTTTGGCAATTCGATGAAATCTGTGAATCTGCTCAGTGATGTTTAAAAGAATAAAATACATAGGTTTGCAAAAGGAAACTGCCATTAAAATAATAGTTATCAAAATATTTTTAAATTGTTAAGTGTGTTTTTATTAACACTAAATACAAGATCTATCAGCAGATCTAGTAACTACTTTTATTTTGAAGTAGCAATCTACAATGGCCATGATGTTATACGAAAATATCCAATTTATTTTGTTGACTAAAGCACAGGTTGTCTAATGCTACTGTGATTTGGTGCCTACCTCCAAAATTGGCAGAAATACTGGATTTCGTTCAGAGGCTAGTGAAACTAAAGATTCATTTTCTGGCCAGGTGCAGTGGCTCGTGCCTGTAACCTAAGTACTTTGGGAGGCCAAGGTGGGCAGATCACGGAAGGCCAGGAGTTTGAGACCATCCTAGGCAACAGAGTGAGACCCTGTCTCTACACAAAATTTTTAAAAATAAAAGATTTTCACACCTAAGTTCCTGGACTTGCAAAATTCCATACACTGTCCCCCTCACCTCACATTAGATCTCTGATGTTAAGGCTGGGCATGGTGACTCACACCTATAACCCCAGTACTTTAGGAGGCCGAGGAGGGCAGATCATTTGAGGCCAGGAGTTCGAGACCAGCCTGGCCAACATGGTGAAACCCTGTCTCTCCTAGACATACAAAAATTAGCCAGGCATAGTGGCATGTGCCTATAATCCCTGCTACTCAGGAGGCTGAGGCACGAGAATTGCTTGAACCAAGGACTTGGAGGTTGCAGTGAGCTGAGATCCCACCACTGCACTCCAGCCTGGGTGACAGAGCAAGGCTCTGTCTCAAAAAAAAAAAAAAAAGTCTGATATTAAAGGAGTTTCTGGGGTCCAGTTTTCTTAGTAAAATTTTGACTTGGCGGGGCGCGGTGGCTGATGCCTGTAATCCCAGCACTTTGGGAGGCGGAGGCAGGCGGATCACGAGGTCAGGAGATCGAGACCATCCTGGCTAACACGATGAAACCCTGTCTCTACTAAAAATACAAAAAATTAGCCTGGTGTAGTGGCGGCCACCTGTAGTCCCAGGTACTCGGGAGGCTGAGGCAGGAGAATGGCGTGAACCCGGGAGGCGGAGCTTGCAGTGAGCCAAGATCCTGCCACTGCACTCCAGCCTGGGTGAGAGAGCGAGACTCTGTCTCCAAAAAAAAAAAAAAAAATGACTTGCGATTGCTTCCGTCTTAACCAGAACAAGTAGAACCAGCATTTGAATACTTATTCCCCCCACATTAAAAAAAAAAAAAAAAAAAAAAAACCTTTGGCCCGGGTACAGTGGCTCATGCCTATAATCCCAGCACTTTGGGAAGCCAAGGTGAGAGGATCCCTTGAGCTCAGGAGTTCGAGACCAGCCTGGGTAGCATAGTGGGACCTCATCTTTATAAAAAAATAAAAACCCTTGTATTTGAGAAGGATTCTCCAAACAGGGCTCTTCGTAATACCTCTCTATTAGTCTTTTCCCCCATAAACTGCTCTTCAGATGGCTCAATCTTCATGTGTTAGTTTGAGGGACTTAGGCCTACAGAAAACAAATGTACATTTGTCAATTCCAAAATTCTAAAGGCATTGCACTCACATGCTCTTTCTCATGCTGTGCAGTATGTATTTCTTGAAAGATCGCCAAAGACTGATTTCACCCTAATGCTAAGGGCAGGATTTTTATCCCATAGCTGAGAGGGGCAACACATGAATAACAGTTAATTCTAGTACCCAGCCCAGTGTCATCTGCACTTGTTAGCTTTAAGCATCCTTTTGATAAACTATCTCTTTAAGAGAAATTGATTCTCTGTGTATAGTTCTTTTAAAAGGCATAGACGTGGCCAGGAGCGGTGGCTCATGCCTGTAATCCCAGTGCTTTGGAAGGCCAAGATGTGAGGATTGCTTGAGGCCAGGAGTTTGAGACCAGCCTGGGCAACATAGGGAGACCCCGTCCCTACAAAAAACATTAAAAATTAGCCAGGTACAATGGCATGCATCTGTAGTCCCAGCCACACGGGAGGCTGAGGCAGGAGGATCGCTTGAGCCCAGCAGATGCTGCTATGATCTATGGTCACGCCACTGTACTATAGCCTGGGTGACAGAATGAATGAATACATAGACAACCCTGGATTTTGAGAAAAAACAAATATTGACTGTACTTCAGTTATCCATTTGTTCCTGGTTGCAAGAAAACAGTTTTTATATCAATGTTTAAGAGAATTAATGGTGCAGATGTCACATAGAATTTTTATTCTTTGAAAGAATAATTTTTATTCCAGATACTCATTTCTTTACTAATCCTAGCCCAGTCTCTAGCCCAGAGCCATAATTGCACCACTGCACACCAGGTTGGGCAACAGAGAAAAACCCTTTTCCAAAAAGAAAAAAAATTCAAAAACTGCTTTTAGCTCATGGTGGTAGATTACGTAAAACAGGTGGATTACCACTGGAGAAACTGGGCGAAGCATACAAGGGCTTTTTCTGTATTACTTCTTACAACTGCACATGAATCTACAATTATCTCAATAAAAATTTCAATTTAACTTGCAGGTTATTGGCTAGAGTTGACCCATAGGCGTTAATTTCCTAACTCCTGCTCTAGCTGGTCAGAGCAGCTTATGAGATATGGTATTGAATTTTAAACTATTGCTTTAAAAAATTTTTTTATTAATATTTGTGATTATAGGATACACATGATATTTTGTTACATGCATAGAATGTGTCATGATCTAGTCAATGTATTTGGGGTGTCTATCGCCTCGAGTATTCATTTTTTTTTTGAGACAGCCTCACTGTTGCCCAGGCTGGAGTGCAGTGGCGCGATCTCAGCTCACTGCAACCTTCACCTCCCAGTTCAAGCAATTCTCCTGCCTCAGCCTCCTGAGTAGCTGAGATTACAGGCGCCCGCCACCAAGCCCAGCTAATTTTTGTATTTTTAGTAGAGATGGGGTTTTGCCGTGTTAGCCAGGCTGGTCTCAAACTCCAGACCTCAGGTGATCAACCTGCCTCGGCCTCCCAAAGTGCTGGAATTACAGGCGTGAGCCACTGCGCCTGGCCAAGTATTTATCATTTCTATGTGTTGGGGACATTTTAAGTCCTCTCTTTTAGCTGCTTTGAAATATACAATACAGGCTGGGCACGGTGGCTCAGGCCTGTAATCCCAGCACTTTGGAAGTCCAAGGCGGGCGAATCACGAGGTCAGGAGTTCGAGACCAGCCTGGCCAACGTGGTAAAACCCCATCTCTACTAAAAATACAAAAATTAGCCGGGCGTGGTGGCAGGTGCCTGTAATCCCAGCTACTCGGGAGGCTGAGGCAGGAGAATCGCTTGAACCCGGGAGGCGGAGGTTGCAGTGAGCCGAGATTGTGTCACTGCACTCCAGCCTGGGTGAAAGAGTGAAACTCCGTCTCAAAAAAAAAAAAAAAAAAAAGAGAAAAAAGGCCATGAAATATACAATACATTGTAGTAACTATAGTCACCCTACTCTGCTATTAAACATTGGAACTTATTCCTTCTAACTGTATGTTTGTATCCATTGGCCAACCTCTGTTCACCACCCCCTACCCCAACACCCACACACCCTTCCCAGCCTCTGGTATCTATCAATCTACTCTCCATGAGATCAACTTTTTTTAGTTCCCACATAGAAGTGAAAATATGCATATTTGTCTTTCTGTGCCTGGATTACTTCACTTAACATAATGACCTCCAGCTCCACCCATGTTGCTGCAAATGACAGGATTTTATTCTTTTTTATGGCCAAATAGTATTCCATCTATATATGTACCACATTTTCCTTATCCACTCGTCTGTTGATGGACACTTAGGTTGATTTTACCTTCGCATTGTGAATAGTGCTGCAATAAACATGAGAATTAAACTGCTCTTATTTCTCAGATTGTTTTTGACATGAACACAATGTTTGAATGTGATTTTTTTTCTGATATATGCTGTTCCCAAATATTCCTTTATATTAAGCTCAGACACAAAGGCCTTTGCCGTCTAGCTGTGGGTATATTTAGAGACTGTAGTGTTTCTCAAGAATATATATAAATGATATGAAGTAAATTTACATATGTCAAATGTTCATTCCACTACAAAACTAAACACATCTTTTCTAAATAGGAAAGCCATTTATTTATTTTTTGATATGGCATCTCTGTCACCCAGGCTAGAGTACAGTGGCACAATCTTGGCTCACTGCAACCTTCACCTCCCAGGTTCAAGTGATTCTCCTGCCTCAGCCTCCCAAGTAGCTGGGACTACAGGCACACGCCACCACGCCCGGCTAATTTTTGTATTTTTAGTAGAGACAGGATTTCACCACGTTGGCCAGGCTGGTCTTGAACTCCTAACCTCAAGAGATCCCCCCGCCTCAGCCTCCCAAAGTGGTGGGATTACAGGTGTGAGCCACCAGGCCTGGCCAGGAAAGCCATTTATAAAAACTCCTACATCCTTAAAACATCTTGTCTTTTAAAATATTGTGCATTTTTTTTTTTTGTCAAGCAATACCTGGGGATGTATAGGAAAACATCTCTTTTCACTGTCCCTTATTTTACCTCCCAAAAAGCAGTCATCATTAATAGTGTCTTGTGTATTTGTAAAAGTCTGTGGGGTTTTCTTGAGGTAGAGTCTCACTCCATCACCCAGGCTGGAGTGCAGTAGTGCAATCTTAGCTC
Source organism: Homo sapiens (assembly GCF_000001405.40). NCBI lineage: Eukaryota > Metazoa > Chordata > Mammalia > Primates > Hominidae > Homo > Homo sapiens. The sequence continues at coordinate 52,073,319 of NC_000020.11, read as the reverse complement.
ACTGCAACCTCCACCTCCTGGGTTCAAGGAATTCTCGTGCCTCGGCCTCCAGAGTAGCTAGGATTACAGGCACATGCCATCATGCCTGGTTAATTTTTGTATTTTTGGTAGAGAGGGGGTTTCACCATGTTGGCCAGGCCGGTCTTGAACTCCTGACCTCCAGTGAGCTGCCCACCATGGCCTTCCAAATTGCTGGGATTACAGACGTGAGCCACCATGACCAGCCAAAAGTTTTGATTTAAAATTTGTCATCGTGGCTGTTTTTGTGTTAGCTGCCAAATTAACAATTACAGTAGCTACCAGTGCCAGGTGTTGCTGTGAGTTTCACAAACACCTTGGCATCATCCAGCAACTTTCCAACATAAGTGATGCTGACCCACATTACGGATGAGGCTCCCGAAGGGCGGAGTCATCAGACATCAGCAGGTAGTGCTCCCAGGGCATTTCTTTGCGATGCCTCCCTCTAACCACACTACCTCATTCCTACACACCAAGCAGCAATGACCCTTCTCATCGCCACCTTGTGAATGACATCTCTCTGCTCTCTTTTTTCTTCACTGCTTCCATCAACACGTGTGCCTCACCTGAGAAGGATGTGCAATACAAGACTCCTGCAAGGGTCACTGCCCGTCACCTTGGAGACACATTCCCGCCTGTCATAATGCATTGCCGGTGACCATCTCATTAAAGCTGCATGGTTGGCTGGCATGGTGGCTCATGCTTGTAATCTCAGCCCCTTGGGAGGCCAAGGCAGGAGGATCACTTGAGCCCAGGAGTTTGACACCAGCCTGGGCAACAGAGTGAGACCTCAGCTCTACAGAAAAATAAAAAATGAGCTGGGCATGGTGGTGTACACCTGTAGTCCCAGGTGCTTGGGAGGTTGAGGTGGGAGGATCACTTGAAGCCAGGGGTTGGAGGCTGCAGTGAGTTATTATAGGACCATTGCACCCTAGCCTGGGCAACACAGACCCTGTCTTCAAAAAAAAAAAAAAAACCAACAACACAGGTTTGAACTATGTGGGTCCAGTTATATGTGGATATTCTTCCTCTTCTGCCACCCCTGAGACAGCAAGACCAACCCCTTCTCTTTCTCCTCGTCCTCAGCCTACTCAATGTGAAGATGACGAGAATGAAGACTTGCATGATGATCCACTCCCACTTAATTTTCTCAGTAACATTTCCTTTTCCTTAGCTTGCACTATTGTGGGAATACAGTATACAATACATACACAAAATATGTGCCATTGGTGCCCCTAATCCCTGCATTGTTCGAGGGTCAGTGCACTAAGGATGGACTGATGATCTGCTCTTTTCTTTAAAATTATTAAAGATTTAAGGATTGTTCTTGGGTAAGCCAAGACTAAAAGAGCACACATCTCCCTGACCTTTTTCCTCCTCCTCTTCCTCCTCTAGCAATAAAACTTACTTTTATTTATTTTTTTTTTTTGAGATGGAGTTTCACTCTTGTTGCCCAGGCTGGAGTACAATGGAGCGATCTGGGCTCACTGCAACTTCCGCCTCCTGGGTTCAAGCGATTCTTCTGCCTCAGCCTCCCAAGTAGCTGGACTTAAAGGCACCCACCACCATGCCTGGCTAATTTTTGTATTTTTTGTAGAGACAGGGTTTCACCATTTTGGCCAAGCTGGTCTCGAACTCCTGACCTCAGGTGATCCACCCGCCTCAGCCTCCCAAAGTGCTGGGATTACAGGCGTGAGCCACGGTGCCTGGCCAAAACTTGCATTTTTATATCCAGTGGGCATGGTTGACTATTAAAATAATTCCACATTTGTTTTTTTTGACTATTTGCTGCAAATCAATAGTCCTTCATCCGGAAAACAGAGACTGTAGTGGAGTGAAGAAAACACATACCCTGACAGAGGTCACCCCAGCTGTGCAAAGCAACATCTATTGCTTGTTGGCCAAGAATGCTGGATGGTGTATTAGTCAGCTATTGCTAAGATAACGCCCCATAACAAACCACCCCCAAAAGCCCAGGGCCTTACAGCAAGTGCTTATTTTTCTGGCTCATGCTTGAACAGGGCAGCTCTGTTCTAGGCTTCTGGGTAACTGGGCATGGCTTCACATTTTAGATTGGATTCAGTTCTATTCCCTGGATCACTACATTCTCCCTGGGTCAACAATGACTGTGATTTTCTCATGGCAGATCATGGGAGTAAAAGAGGGCAAGCAAACTCACAAAACAGGGTAAAGCCCCTCTTTGCATCATGTCTACTAATGTTCCATCGCCTAGAGCAAGTCCAGCCATCAGAGGGTGGGGAAATATACTTTGTGTGCAATGGGAGACCTCTGCAAATTTATATCACAAAGAATCCTGTCCCAGGGAAGTAAAAACTGGCACCAATAGTCTTATCCAGGGATCAGCAAACTACAGTCCAGGGGCTAAGTCTGTCCTGCCACCCATTTTTGTAAGTAGTTTTATTTGAATCTCAGTCTACATGGAGATCATTGTAGATTCACATGCAGTTGTGAGGAATAATAAATATCTCTTCTACATTTTGCCCAGATTTCCCCACTAGTAATCCACCACTTTTTTGGGGGTTTTTGTTTTGTTTTTTGAGACGGAGTTTCACTCCGGTTGCCCAGGCTGGAGTGCAATGGCTCAATCTCGGCTCACCGCAACCTCCACCTCCTGGGTTCGAGCAATTCTCCTGCCTCAGCCTCCCAAGTAGCTGGGATTACAGGCGCCCGCCACCACGCCCGTCTAATTTTGTATTTTTAGTAGAGACAGGGGTTCTCCAAGTTGGTCAGGCTGGTCTCGAACTCCCAACCTCAGGTGATCCGCCCGCCTCAGCTTCCCAAAGTGCTGGGATTACAGGCGTGAGCCACCGCGCCCGGCCCAATGCCCGGCTAATTTTTGTATTTTTAGTAGAGATGGGGTTTCATCATCTTGGCCAGGCTGGTCTTGAACTCCTGACCTCGTGATCCACCCACCTCAGCCTCCCAAAGTGCTGGGATTACAGACGTGAGCCACCGCGCCCGGCCTGGACATTTTTAACTTGGTTTTCTGCCACTCTCTGGAAAGTACTTGGGTGACAAACTGCAAAGAGCTTTTTATAATGCAATTTGTGAATTGCATGTCATCTCTCCTTTCTAGATGTGTGTCTGGAAGAACAAATTGCCTTCCTGGGCTTCTTTGTTATTCCTCCAGGATTCTAATTTTAGGATAAACAGGAGTTTATTCGGTTAGTGCAACAGTCATTTCAGCAGCTCACCTTGTTACTGCAAAAAAACCCATTTCCATCATAGAGTGGGTCTATTCCCAGATTCCATCTATAGTTTACCTCCCACTCTTATGCTTTTGTTTAATAAAATATTACCAAAAAATTTACCACTCCTTTTCTTTTTTGAGACAGAGTCTCACTCTGCCACCCTGGCTGGAGGGCAGTGACACAATCTTAGCTCACTGCAACATACGCCTCCCGGGTTCAAGCGCCTCCTCTGCTTCAGCCTCCCAAGTATCTGGGATTACAAGTGTGCAGCACCATGCCCAGCTCATTTTTGTTTTTTGTTTTTCGTTTTTGGTAGAGACGGGGTTTCACCATGTTGGCCAGGCTGGCCTTGACCTCCTGCCCTCAAATGATCAACCCACCTCAGCCTCTCAAAGTGCTGGGATTATAGGCATGAGCCACCATGCCTGGCCACCACTCCTCTTAAGAAGTATTAATATTGTATTGGGAGACAATACAGTAATGTATTATTGGTATTTTCATAACAAAAGAAAATATTATAAGACAGTCACTCATTTTCATTATATGCATTAAATTCATTTATTATACAGAAATTTTGGAAAATACAAAATAATACGGGAAAGTAGAATTACCTGTATAATCTAGTCCCAAATCTATAGGCCACTACTGCTAACATTTTGCTCTATTAGTCTTTTGCTCTGCCTATTATGTTTTTACATCATTGTATGGTGTATATTAACGTATGTACAACGTGAGCATTTTATTTTCCCTTCTTTGAAAACTAATATGGCATTTCTTCCTATTATTATATATGACTTAAAAACATGTTACTTGACCATGAATCTCTTGGTAGACGTTTGGTTTTCTTCTCATTTTTTTAAAGAGATGGGTCTTGCTCCATAGCCCAGGCTGGAGTGCAGTGGGTATTCTCCGGTGCAATCATAGCTCACTGCAGCCTCGAACTCCTGGGCTCAAGCGATTCTCCCGCCTCAGCCTTCTCCATAGCCAGGACTGTGTGCACCACCTCACTCTGCATTTTTGTAATTAAAAATAATCCTGCATTTATCATCTCAATGCTTTGAGCTCTTTCCATATATAGGGTTATTTTCTTCAGATAGATTCCCAGAAATTGAATTACTGGGTTAAAGGTTAGAGCATTTTTAAGGCTTTTGCTAAATGTTGCCAGATTGTTTTCCAAAAAGACTATACCGGTTCACCCTCATCAGCAATGGTGAAAGGCTGAAATGGTGACTGTCCCCTTTTCCAAACTGCGTATTATTTTATTAAGTACTGTACTAATTTAGATAAGCTGATTATTGTTATAGCATTAATAACTCTTAATGGCATTAGTAAAGAATTTTTGAAAATCCATATGAGATCATATTTTTGCATTGTTTAGGTGATATATAGTATATTAAATAAAAGTATACCAAAAATATCAAGGATCATGAGTGTTCTAATGACCAGGTGTCAATATACAAATATAAAATCTACCAACCCCTTAATCAGACAACGTTAAGTGCTATAAGCATAAAATCATTTGAAGTTTCACCATTTTCCTACATAACCATTGCAGTCACCAGCAAAAAGAGGAATTATTTAAAATCTTTTTGTGCCCCAAATGTTGGGAATTTATCCCATAGGCCTTGTTTGCTGAAGCAATATTCAATATCAATTGTGTATAAATCACGGGACTCGGCAAGGGCTGTAATTCTAATTGGACAGTGATGTTCACGACGGCCAAAAGCTGCCAGCACAATTGGTTTTTGGTGATGACTCTGCTTGAAAATTGCCCAGCAGGGAACCATTTCCAATTGATTATCTTTCATTGCTAATAGCCTCAAAGACTGTTTCTATTCCTATATTTAAATGTAAATCTTGATCGCCGGACAAAGCAGTGATCAAGGAAAGCCAATGGGGTGGGTGCCACAGTAAAATAAATGGACAGCTTTGCCGGATTTTCAGTAACTCTGAGGGCAACCTGAAAATTGGAAACGAGCAGCCATTGACAAAGCTCCTTATGTCAGAAAATGAATGGGAGCCGCTTTGGGGAGGGGCGAGGGAGCTGGAGGAAATCCTCCCCCAGAGATCCCTTAAAACTTGACTATTTAAAACGACGGAAGGAGAAATGCACAGCCAGTAGTATCTTTTTTTGAGACGGAGTTTCGCTCTTGTTGCCCAGGCTGGAGTGCAATGGCGCAATCTTGGCTCACTGCAACCTCCGCCTCCCAGGTTCAAGCCATTCTCCTGCCTCAGCCTCCCAAGTAGCTGGGATTACAGGCACCTGCTGCCACACCAGACTAATTTTGTATTTTTAGTAGAGACGGGGTTTCTCCATGTTGGTCAGGCTAGTCTTGAACTCCCGACCTCAGGTGATCTGCCCACCTCGGCCTCCCAAAGTGCTGGGATTACAGGTGTGAGCCACCATGCCAGGCCCAGGCAGTATCTATTAAATGCTACTCATTGTGCCCTCATTTTCTGTAACCTCGTTTACTTATTTGGGAAAAGATCCAGTACTGCTGCAAGGTAGTTTAAGAATAGCTGAAAAAGTGTGATATGAATAATCCAATAAGGGCATTAGAGGGTATAAAGATTACATGTAGCTTGTCAATTTCATTTTTTCAAATAGCAAATCCTGGCACCCAACATTACTGTTTTTATATCTGTAGAATGGGATTCTTTACAATCTAGCTAAAAAGCTGACACTAAGAACAAAACCTTCAGTACTGTGATCTTACCACCAAATGCCTGGAATGATGCCATAGTTAACAAGAAGAAGGTATTGTTCATAATATTTTTAAATAGAAAATAGAAAAGTTGGTGCCTTAAGTTCAGAAATATTTATTGAGCACATGTTATGTGCCTGGTCTTGTGCAGGACAACTGAGAAATGCAAGAAAGGTAATCATCAGCACATAATTGTATTCCTTTTTTCTTTTCTTCTTTTTGAGACAGAGTCTCACTCTGTCACCCAGGGCTGGAGTGCGGTGGCACAATCTCAGCTCACTGCGACCTCCGCTTCCCATATTCAAGTGATTCTACTGCCTCAGCCTCCTGAGTGGCTGGGATTACAGGTGCACACCACCATGCCCAGCTAACTTTTGTAATGTTAGTAGAGATGGGGTTTCACCATATTTGCTAGGTTAGTCTTGAACTCCTGACCTCAAGTAATCTGCCCGTCTCGGCCTCCCAAAGGCCTGGGATTACAGGCGTGAGCCACCATGCCCAGCCCTTTTTGTTCCTTTGTTTTTTGAGACCAGGTCTCATTCTGTTGCCCAGGCTGGAGTACAGTGGTGCAATCACAGCTCACTGCAGCTTCAACTTCCCAGGCTCAGGTGATACTCGCCTCAGCCTCCCAAGTAGCTGGGACCACAGGTGCATGCCACCACACCTGGCTAATTTTTTTTTTTTCTTTGAGACGGAGTCTCACTCTGTCACCCAGGTTGGAGTGCAGTGGCACGATCTCGGCTCACTGCAAGCTCCGCCTCCCGGGTTCACGCCATTCTCCTGCCTCAGCCTCCCCAGTAGCTGGGACTACAGGCGCCCACCACCACGCCCGGCTAATTTTTTGTATTTTTAGTAGAGACTGGGTTTCACCGTGTTAGCCAGGATGGTCTCGATCTCCTGACCTCGTGATCTGCCTGCCTCAGCCTCCCAAAGTACTGGGATTACAGGCATGAGCCACCGCGCCTGGCCACACCTGGCTAATTTTTTAAATTACTTGTAGAAATGGGGTTCTCCCGCCTGGCACGGTGGAGGCAACAGGCACTCCAGCCTGGGCAACAGAGTGAGACTCCCATCTCAAAGAAAAAAAAAAGACACCAAAAGGAAAGTAAAAAGATAAGCAGGATACGGGGAAAAATATTTTTCACCTGTATTAAATAAATGATTAACATCCAGCATGCAGAATGCACAAAGAACTCCTTCAAATCAATCAGAAAAAGTTGATCCTATGGGGAGAATGTGGACAAAAGCTGTGGACAGACATTGGTTAAAGAGGACAGACGTGGTTAGTGCCACATACAAAGAGCTGGACTTAACCTGGTGGAGAAATAGACTTAAGAACAAGCGAGATTGTTTCCCATCCTAAGACTGGCAGACGTTTTACAGTTGGTGATATCACGTGTTGGCAGGGGTAGCTAAAACATAAACATGGGATTTGAGCATCCAGTCCCCAAAATATACAAACTTGCCATGTTGCTCTTGCAAGCAAACACACTGACTGGGACAAAATTGTAAAGACTCCCTAAATGGTCCTGCCCTTGGTTAGTTGCAGAGAATGGAAGACAGAACAGGCCCTGCAGCTGTAGTTAGAAGTATAGACTCACATCTCAGACCAGCTCTGCTGCTCACTGGCTGAGAGACGTGGGCAAGTTACTCCCAAATGCCTCCGCTACTGTTCCCTCACGGTAAGATCGTAAGCAGGTCCATCAATTTCTTGGAAGCTCAGCATCCTCAGCTAAGTGGTGGTCACAGGGTTGTTGGGAGGATTAAGTGAGATGAGGCATTTTTGGCACCTGGTCCAAATCCTGGCACATAATAGGTGCTCAGTTAATAATGGATCATTGTATTTGATCCTCCAAAAATTTTTGACCTGTCAAAATAGACTCTGGTACAGACACAAAATAAATACTGGCTAATTCTAATGTTTGGTCTCAAATATTCAGAAAATATTCTAATTTCAGATAATGAAATCAAGATATAAATTAATAAAGCTGGTCTCCTCTCCTCACCGTCACATGCAGCCCTTCCAGAAATTTATGAATGAGATGATGCCCAGTAATACAATTCATGCTTAACATATAAAACAGATTTTACTGTATGCAAACAGATGGAAATGCACAGATTATACAATTGATCTTAAGTGTTAGGGCTTTTTTATTTTTTCTTCTTTTGCTAGAAATGAGAGGTCTCTCCTTGTTGCCCAGGCTGGTCTCAAACTCCTGGCCTCAAGCAGTCTTTCTGCATTTCCGCCTTGGCTTCTCAAAGTGTTGGGATTACAGGCATGAGCCACCACAGCTGGCCCAGAATTGCTACATGTGTCTATTTCTTCTTATCTTGCTTGATGACAATGCAACAAAGCAGTAAATATTTTTCCTTCTCCCTCCTCCCCAGCACACCTATTGACCAGCAATTCTGTTACTGGTGTCTCCAACTGAAATCTTTTCTCCCCCCTTGAGCTTTTAACTTTTTACTTTGAAATAATTTTAGATGTAGAAAAAAGTTGCAAAAATAGTACAGAGTTCCCAGAAAAACCTTTCACCCAGCTTCCCCAAGTGGCAACATCTTATATAATCACAGTACAGTGATCAAAATCAAGAAAGTAGCCTTGCTACAATGTGAAGCTACAGACCATATTCAAATTTTGCCAATTGTTCCACTAAGGTTCCTTTTCTAACTCAAGATCTAGTTCAGAATCTCGAACTCAAAGTCTTCCTTCATCTTTCATGACCTTGATACTTTTGAAGAGTACTGACCAGTTGTTCGAGAATATTCCGCAGTTTGGGATTCTCTGATGTTTTCCCACGATTAGATCACAATTATGCCTTTTTTTTGGAAATGGCACACTTGGCCTTTTTTTTGTTTTTGTTTTTGTTTTTTTTTGTTTTTTGTTTTGAGACAGAGTCTCGCTCTGTCACCCAGGCTGCGGTGCAGTGGCGCGATCTCGGCTCACTGCAAGCTCTGCCTCCTAGGTTCACGCCATTCTCCTGCCTCAGCCTCCCGAGTAGCTGGGACTACAGGCGCCCGCCACCACACCTGGCTAATTTTTTTTGTATTTTTAGTAGAGATGGGTTTCACCGTGTTAGCCAGGATGGTCTCGATCTCCTGACCTCGTGATCCGCCCACCTGGGCCTCCCAAAGAGCTGGGATTACAGGCATGAGCCACCGCGCCCAGCAACACTTGGCCTTTTTAGTGTATCATATCAGGAGTTACCTGAAGTCAGTGTGTTACATTATTACTGCTGATGTTACCTTGGTGAAGGTAGTGTCTGTAGGATTTCTCCAGTGTAAAGTGATAGTTCTTTTCCCCTTTGTCTTTGATAAGTATCTTGTGGGGAGATTCTTCGAGATGGCAAATGTCCCATTTGTCATCATTCTTTTCCCCAATACAAACCATCCTCCATGATTCTTGCCTGCAAGAGTTATTCCTCTGGTGTTTGCCAAATGGTGATTTTCAAATTCTATCATTCCTTTCACACTTATTAATTAGAATTCTTCTGTAGGGAAGTGCTGTTCTTTCTCCCCTATTTATTGATTTATTCAGTTATGGACTTAACTAGTTTATTATTCTCATTGCTTATTTGGTTGCTTAAATTGTTTTAGATTTGTTCTTTCAGAGGTCCTCCAAGTTGGCTCCTGGGTCCTTTCAACATGTCCCATCATTTTTTAAGCACATTCTTACTTCCTGGCATCACAAGATGTTCCAGGTTCATCTTGTATATTTCCTACCCCAGCCCTGGAGTCAGCCATTTCTCAAAGCCCCAGTTTCTTTAATTGGAGAATAGTATTTAGAAATCATGATGTGGGCACTAGGTGTACCCATTGGTACTGGGTGTCTCTAGACTATATCTTCTGAATCTCCCTCTCTCCATCCCCACCACTGCCCTCCTGGTACATGTAATTGTCATGTTTCACTGGAATAATTGCCTCTTTATTACCTCCCTACTTCAAATCTTACCTTCTTCCAATTTACCCTCCAAGTAGTCACAAAAAAAATTCTTAAAACATTATCTGGACCATATCATTCCTTCGCATGAAAACCTTCGTTGGGTGTCAGGGTTAGCCTGCCACATCCTCGCATGGAGTTGGCAAACCTTTTTATTATATTATTATATTTTAGAGATGGGGTCTTGCTATGTTGCCCAGGCTGGTCTTGAACTCCTGGGCTCAAGCAATCTTCCTGCCTTGGCCTCCCAAAGTGCTGGAATTACAGACATGAGCCACCATGCCCAGCCTGCAAAACTTTTTTGTAAAAAGTTTGGTATCTATTTTAGGCTCTGTGGGCCACTCTGCTGTTGTAGCAAAAAAGCAGCCATAGACAATATGCAAACAAATGGGTATGGTTGTGTGCCAATAAAACTTTATTCATAAAAACAAGCAGAGGGCCAGAATTCTCAAGCCATAGATTACCGTAATTTACCAACCCAGCCCTAGTGGGTAGTTTTCATAAGCTTGCCAGAAGCCCCTTCAAACCTTTAGGAAGCTCTCACTGAGCAGCAACCACAGTTAATCCTCATGACGTTCCCCAGGAAGTTGTCTGACACCCCTCGTTAGCCTGCAGCTGCCTCCAGCTAGCCTCTCTTCTGACTGCCAGGTTTCCCAGGCATACCTCCCCCAACAATCTCTAACCCAGAACTCAGGGAAGGAGAGCCTTATCATGCTGCCCTCTCCTCTCTTTGTTCACTGCACACTCGTCACTATCTTCTTCTCTCCCAGTTCTTCAACCTGCTCAAGACTTTTCTGCCTCAGGACCTTTGCACACACTGCTCCATTTGCTTGGAATCTTCTTTCCACGCTTGTTCCAAAACTAGCTCTTTGTCTTGTTTTTTCTTCTTCTTCTTTAATTTTTTATTTTTAAAATAGAGACAAGGTTTTGCCATGTTGCCCAGGCTAGCCTCAAGCTCCTGGGCTCAAGCAATCCACCCACCTCCACTTCCCAAAGTGCCGAGATTATAGGGATGAGCCACAGCCTTTTTCATCTCTTAGAGCCCAAATTAAACAATACTTTTATAGGGAGGCCTTCCCTGACTCCTTTATTTAAAATAGCCTGCCTCGGTGTGGTGGCTCACAGTTGTAATTCCAGCACTTTGCTGAGGTGGGAGGATCGCCTGAGCCTGGGAGGCAGAGGTTGCAGTGAGCTGAGATTGTGCCACTGCACTCCAGCCTGGCCAACAGAGCAAATCCCTGTCTTTAAAAAAAACAAAAACAAAACAAACAAACAAAAAAACGCAATAAAATAGGCTCCCCTTTTATTAGAATCTGTCTTTGCTTCAAAACCTTTTTGTTCCCCATCACATCTCCAGGATTTAGAAAAGTGCCTAGCACCCAGAGGTGCTCAAATATGTGTTAAATGAGTGTAACAGGCCAGGCGCAGTGGCTCACGCCTGTAATCCCAGAACTTTGGGAGTCCGAGGCAGGTGGATCACCTCAGGTCAGCAGTTTGAGACCAGCCTGGCCAACATGGTGAAACCCTGTCTCTACTAAAAATACAAAAATTAGCTGGGAGTGGTGGCAGGTGCCTGTAATTCCAGCTACCTGGGAGACTGCAGCATGACAGTCAGTTGAACCCAGGAGGCAGATGTTGCGTTGAGCCAAAATCGTGCCACTGCACTCCAGCCTGGGTAACAGAGCAAGACTCTGTCTCAAAACAAAAACAAAAACAAAAATCACGCTTTAAAAAAAGTTAAAAATTAAATAAATAAATAAATAAATAAATGAGTGTAACACTTAGCACAATTGGTTAGCAGTTCACTTGCCTATTTCCTGTACTATTGATAGGATAGGGGTCAGGACTCTTTCATTTACTGCCTATACCTAGCTCCTAAATCTGTCTGAAATGCAGGAGGTATCAGTAAATGTTTGTTGAATGTATAAGTGAATGAAACTCGCATATTTTTTAAAAACTCCATTATGGATAGTAGGTAGCAGATGGTTGTGGGAATGGGGTGAAATTACACAGCAAAATGTTCTTTTTATTAAGGGTCTAGATTTCTCCTGTTTCCAGGTGGCAACCCCTCTAAGGAGGGGGATCTGGATTTGGAAGTTCCCGTCTGAGTTTAGGGCCAGCGCTCCCTGTCAGTTCTTTGCCTCACCTTAAGATGTCACTAAATGACTTGGGCCATGGCTTCCACTGGCTGTCAGGGAAAAGCTGGGAGGTCAGGACAGGAAGGGAGGAAATGACCCGGTGTTATGAACAAATCTCCCACTTCCTCCAGCGCCTGGCAGACAAGGTGACAAGGCGCTGATGTCCCCCACCCAGCTTTACAAGCTGTTCATTAGCACACCTGATATTCCAGAGCCATGGAACTTTCTGTTTCCTTCTACAACCAGAACCTTGACAAATCAGACCAAGCTGGATAAATCATATCACATCATGATTGACTTCCTGTTGTGGGTCCAGCACTGTCTCTAGGGCTCTAGGATAGACTCAACAGAAACGTTCCGTAATATTTCTGCTCTCCAGAAGTAGTTGGGGGGCTAAGACATACAGGAAAGAAAAAATTTAAAATAGTACAAGATTCTACAGGCAACGTGGTATTCTGGATTGGGTCCCGGAGAAGAAAAATGGACATTCGTGAAAAAATTGGCAAAGTACAAATAAAACCTCTAGTTTAGTTGATAGTGTTGTATCAATGTTAATTTCTTAGTTTCGATGAATATATCATGGTTACCTAAGATGCTAACATCAGGAGAAGCTGGGTGAAGCATATGCAGGAACTCTCTGTACTATCTTTGCAATATTTCCATAAATTTAAAGTAATCCAAAATTGGCTAGGCACAGTGGCTCATGCCTGTAATCCCAGCACTTTGGGAGGCCGAGGCAGGAGGATCACTTGAAGTCAGGAGTTCGAAACCAGCCTGGCCAACATGGTGAAACCCCGTCTCTACTAAAAATACAAAAATTAGCCAGGCGTGATGGTGCACACCTGTATTCCCAGCTACTCGGGAGGCTGAATCACTTGAACACTGGAGGCAGAGGTTGCAGTGAGCCAAGATCGCGCCACCGCACTGCAGCCTGGGAGACAGAGGGAGACTCCGTCTCAAAATAATAAATAAATAAATAATAAATAAATGTCCAAAATTAAAAGCTTTAAAAGTATTCAAGACAGTGTTGGCTTGGATGGTCTGCATGTATATTGTAGTAGTCCAGAGATACTGGATGAATCCCTGGACTCAGACCTGAAACTGAGTCCCTCTCCCCGCCAGCTACCAGCTGTGTGACTTAGGGCAAGTGACTTAACCTTGCAGAACCTCAGTTTTCTTTTTCTTTATTTTCTGTCTTATTTTTAATTTTTAATTTTTTTCTTTTTTAGAGGCAGGATCTTGCTCTGCTGCATAGACTGGAGTGCAGTGATGCAATCACCACTCACTGCAACCTCACTCCTGGTCTCAAGCAATCCTCCTGCCTCAGCCTCCTGAGTAGCTAGGACTACAGGTGCATGTCACCACACCCAACTAAATTTTTATATTTTGTAGAGATGGGGTCTCACTATGTTGCCCAGGCTGGTCTCAAACTCCTGGCCTCAAGTGATTCTCCTACCTCGCCCTCCCAGAGTGTTACAGGCATCAGTCACTGTGCCCAGCCCCTCAGTTTTCTTAGTTTTAAAAAACACCAAGCTCATGAAGTTACTGTGAAGTCTCCAGGAGATAATATATAAATGCTCCTGGTCCAGTGCCTGCACAGGGTAAATTCTCAATACCTGCTGGTTTTTTCCTTCTCTGTCATTTCAGGAAAAGTAGCAATCAGTTGGGCTTCAGGATTCAGAAAAGAAATAACAAGATGAGATTTGTAGTCAGTCATTGGAGTTGGCTAAGGTTGAAGTTAGAGAAGTGGAAGCTGGACAAGAATCCCGCACAAAGGTGACCCAAGAGGATCACTCTGTCAGTTTCAATTTTAGGAAACATACTTCTTAAGCTATTGGAAGGAGGCATTTTTATATTATAACTAGTCTTGAAAAATTGTGGATTTTTTTCTAAGATAATCTCAGAGATGAGCAAAATAATATTTGTGAAGGTTATTCATGATAGCACTGATTGTAAAGGCAAAAGATTGAAAACCACTTAAATGTTTCTAAATAGGGAGGAGCCTGGCTAAATTCACTCCATGGAATTCATTGAAAACATTAAAAGCTGTATATTAAAAAATATAAAGCAGCTGGGTGTGGTTGCTCATGCCTGTAATCCCAGCATTTTGGGAGGGTGAGGTTGGAAGATCGCTAGAGCTCAGGAGTTTGAGACCAGCCTGGACAACATAGCAAGACCTTGTCATTACAAAAAATTTAAAAACTAGCTGGGCATGATGATGCATATCTATAGTCCTGGCTACTTGGGAGGCCAAGATGAGAATATTGCTTGAGCCCAGAAGATTGAGGCCACAGTGAGCCATGATTGTGCCACTGCACTCCAGCCTGGATGACAGAGAAAGACCCTGGCTCTAAAAAAAAAAATACACACACACACACACTTATATATATAAACAAGTCTATGTATATATACACACACACATAAACACAGACTTGCTTTATAGATATATGACATGGCCATAGCTAAAGCTATATAGACAGAAAAAAAATGCAGAATGGAACACACAGTATGTTACCATTTGCAGATCAAAAAAGTATGAATGAGTGTTTATTCATATGTTCATCAATATCTCTGGAAAGATACACAAGAACCTGATGACAGTATTTCCTACTTGGTTGACACCAAAACCAGAGACCATTCAAGTCACATCCATCTTGTTAAACATCTTGTTAAAATGTTATTGCCGGTAAAATGTTACATTTCTTTTGTTTAGAAATTGTTAACCAGAATTTGTGACATACTTATTTTTTAAACATGTGTTTAAACTTTTTATTATGGGAAATGTCAAACATAAACAATGGAGTGAGAACCATAATGATCCTCCCTGCCCCAGGAACCAGCTTCAGTTATCAACGTTCCATCATTCAGATTGTGTGGGACATTCACATTGTTTTCATTAATTACATAAAAATAATAATTGTAAGAGTAGTTTAATTCTGATCAAATGAAGTTAAATTTTTTAAATTTCTCTATAAATTGTCTTGCTGAGAGCCAGGCGTGGTGGCTCACGTGTGTAATCCCAGCACTTTGGGAGGCAGAGGCAGGTTGCTCATGAGGTCAGGAGTTCGAGACCAGCCTGGCCAGCATGGTGAAACCCTGTCTCTACTAAAAACACACACATAAAAAATTAGCCAGGCATGGTGGCACGTGCTTGTATTCCCAGCTACTCAGGAGGCTGAGGCAGGAGAATCGCTTGAGCCCAGGAGGCGGAGGTTGCAGTGAGCTGAGATCGTGCCACTGCATTCCAGCCTGGGCAACAGAGCGAGACTCTGTCTCAAAAAATAAATAAATAAATAAATTGTCTTGCTGAGAAGTCCGATAGAATGATCAATTAACAATTTCAAAGACCCCCAAATTATTATGTTCACATAAAATCCCACAGGGGAAGTGGAGTTGAAGTACAAGATGAAGGGGAAAAAAATGATGTAAAACTTCAACTGTTAGAAAAACAGCTTGTTCATGCGTAGTTTAAATGGATGACGATGAATACAAATTTAAGAATTATTTACAAATATTTATAATACCCCAGAATCCTCTAAAGATATCTAAAGATATGAAAACATTATAGATATCAAGTTTAGAACATGGAAGGAATTATATATCTTTTTAAAAATTATTGGCAGGGCGCAATGGCTCACGCCTGTAATCCCAGCACTTTGGGATGCTGAGGCAGGAGGATCACAAGGTCAGGAGTTTGAGACCAGCCTGGCCAATATGGTGAAAATCCCATCTCTACTAAAAATACAAAAATTAGCCAGGCGTGGTGGCATGCACTTGTAGTCCTGGCTACTCGGGAGGCTGAGGCAGAAGAATTGCTTGAACCTGGGAGGTGGAAGTTGCGGTGAGCCGAGATTGTGCCACTGCATTCCAGCCTGGGCAACAGAGCAAGACTCCACCTCAAAAAAAAAAAAAAAATTTAAGCCAGGCATGGTGGTGTGTGCCTGTAGTCCCAGCCATTTGGGAGGCTGAGGCAGGAAGGATCCTTTGAGCCCAGGAGTTTGAAGCTGCAGTGCACTGTGATGGTGTCTCTGAATAGCCACTGCACTCCTGCCTGGGCAGCATAGTGAGATCCAATCTCAAAAAAAAAATTTATTTTAGAGGGTATATATGAGGAAGATAGTTTGAAGATCACTGCTTTAGAAGACCCCATGTTTATGTCCAAGTCCTAGGAAGCTACTGTGTTGTTTAGACAGAAGGTCACGTCAGCCTAGAGCTCAGGAAAGACAAACTGCCTTGAGCCTGAGACTGAGTTCTGATCAATGTATCTCTTCTCCACTAACCATCATGAGCAAGTTGGATTATTCCTGGAATGCAAGGTTGGTTTAATCCTGGAAAACCAACCAATTTAATTCATCCATCCAGACCCAAAGTCACAGATATTTGAGTGCCTTTGACCATTATATACATACAGGAAAAATAAACACCTCCAGCCACCATCCCTTCCTTTACTCCCTTAGCAACCTGTTGAAAGCTACCCATTTTCTTTTGTAGACTTTGTATTTTTTTGTACATGGGTAGTGGGGGTGAGACACATGGACACCCAGTTAGAATTCCTGTAGATTCCTGGGCCTCAGCCCAGAACTACTGAGTCATACTTTCTGGGAATCTTCATTTTAAATATCTACCTCTCCCCTCTCCAAGGTGACTCATAGATGTCCTGAAGCTTATAAAATGCCATTCTAACTCACTTGCACTCTCAGCACTGTTCTGAAAATAAGGCCTCTACTTTTTATTTTCAAACAGAACCTTCCCTTATCCCTCCCTTGGCTTTTCTCCTTCCTTACTCTTCTTTCTCTGACCCCCTTTGAAGGTTCCACTTCCTTCTCCTCCCCCAAATACATATGCCTCTAAATGTATAGGCTCTGCTAGGTGCTCTCTTCAGATATCAACTGTGTACCTCACTGCAGATGTCTCATCTAGCCCACAGTCTGCCTTTAGGCTTGGGCAAGAGGGGCCCCTGCCCTGGACTTCTCATTTTAGTGGCTTTGAATATAAACTACACAAATTCTCATTGCTAATTCCAATCACTCTCCAGTGAAGAATAGGCAGCATTTATTGAGTACTTACTGAGGAATGGGTACTAGACTTTGACTTTGATTCACTCATTTACTGCCCGCAGCAGCCCTTTGAGGTAGGTAATCATCACCACCTTATATAAATGATGAAGCAGGAAGGAGCTCAGAGGGAAAAGCAACTTTTTCCAGCTGGTGAGTACAAAAACTGGGTTGTTTTTGTTTTGTTTTAGACAGAGTCTCACTTTGTAGCCCAGACTGGAGTGCAATGGCATGATCTCGGCTCACTGCCACCTCCGCCTCCTGGGTTCAAGCAATTCTTGTGCTTCAGCCTCCCAAGAAGCTGGGATTACAGGTGCGCACCACCCCACCCAGGTAATTTTTGTATTTTTAGTAGAGATGGGGTTTCACCATGTTGGCCAGACTAGTCTCGAACTCCTGACCTCAAGTGATCCACCCACCTTGGCCTCCCAAAGTGCTGGGATCATAGGTGTGAGCCACCATGCCCAGGCAAAAACTGGGTTTTGAACTTGGGAAAGTCTGACCTCTTAACCACTACACCAGACATCTCACTTGTGCTCCAAAATGCTGGAAACATAACTTGCTGCCTTCCTCTCTTCTGGTGCCTTCGCTACTCCCATACCAGATATCTTCTGTTGTCCCTTCCAGAACTGCAGGATAAACCATGTCCTGAGGCTTCACATCTTCTAGAAACACTCTCCTTGGATCTCTAACTTTGTTCTTCTATTAGAGACTGGGAAAATCTCACTAGAAAATTTTCTCTACTCTGCTCTTACTGAAAATAAGGTGCAGTAGAATGAAGATCTCTGAAAAATTATCCTAACTTAGTTGCAGAGCCCATAACAGACTGACATTTTCAGGTATGGAAACTTCTCTGCCTTTTTTTTTTTTTTTTAAATGGGGGTCTCACTCTGTCACCCAGGTTGGAGTGCAATGGTGCAGTCACAGCTCACTGCAGCCTCAACCTCTTGGGCTCAGGTGATCCTCCTATGTCAGCCTCCCAAGTAGCTGGGAATATAGGTGTGCACCACCCATGCCCGGCTATTTTTTTTTTTTTTTTTGGTATGTTTTTGTAGAGAAGAGGTCTTACCATGTTGGCCAGGCTGGTCTCGAACTCCTGAGCCCAAGTGATTAGCCCACCTCAGCCTCCCAAAGTGCTGGGATTACAGGTGTGAGCCACCGTGCCCAACCATTTCTTTACATATAAACAGGAGATTGCTTGGTCCATGTTTTGCTAAGTCAAAGTGGCAGCACACATATAACCCTTGTGTACACATTGCTATACACTTAACTTTCACTTTCTTTTCTAAAATGAGGAATTTGGCCGGGCACAGTGGCTCACGCCTGTAATCCCACCACTTTTGGAGGCCAAGGTGAGCAGATCACTTGAGGTCAGGAGTTCGAGACCAGCCTGGCCAACATGGCAAAACCTCATCTCTACTAGAAATACAAAAATATTACCCAGGCATGGTGGTGAGCACCTGTAATCCCAGCATCTTGGGAGGCTGAGGCAGGGGAATCACTTGAACTCAGGAGGCAGAGGTTGCACTGAGCCAAGATCATGCCACTGCACTCCAGCCTGGTTAACATAGCATGGCTCCATCTCAAAAAAAAATAAGGAATTATTGACCATAAACACTTCAAAAGTATGCACAAATATAGCATAATGCAGTAGACCAGAGGGCTGATCATGGTGGCTTTGGGAACAAATCCAGCCCAGAGATGTGATCCCCACCCAAATGTGCTTTTCAGTTTTTTAAATTTTAATTATTCATCAATATTCACTTTTCACATGAAAATTTAAACTGTGGCATTCTCTTGAGAAATCAAACATTTCAACAAGGCCTGGTCCACTTTCCTACCAGTCAGTCACTGGTAAGGGCAGAATGTTGACAGTGCTCTATAGACGAGCACAGGCTCCCCAGGTCACCACAGCCTCTGCCACATCCGTCACCTCTGTGGTCCTGCCTGCTGTGTCAGCACTGCCTTCATCTCCCACTTGAGCTGTGTGTTTATGTCATCCAACCTGCAGTCTACCTTTAGACTTGGGCAAAAGGAGCCCCTGCCCTGTTTTACCGGCTCTCGATATAAAATACACACACAAAATATTCATTAAAAATCATGGGTAAGCCAGGCATGGTGGCTCACGCCTGTGATCTCAGAACTGTGGGAGGCCAAGGCAGAAGGATCACTCAAGCCCAGATGTTCAAGACCAGCCTGGGCAACATGGGGAAACCCTGTCTCCACTAAAAATACAAACATTAGCCGGGCATGGTGGTACATGCCTGTAGTCCCGGCTACTTGGGAGGCTGAGATGGGAGGATCACCTAAGCTCAGGGAAGTCAAGGCTGCAGTGAGCTGAGATTGCGCCACTGCACTCCAGCCTGGATGATAGAGTGAGACCCTGTCTCAAACAAACCCCCCCAAAAAAACAAAACACGGGTAAATCAGCCCCTCAGTGTCTGCTACTTAGCACTGGCATTGTGCCATCCATAGCACTAAACACCCACCATTGACACTAACACTGCTCAGGCCCCAGGGAAGCCGTTCTCTGCATCTTTTGTCCTATATCTGTAAATTGAAAGGCACTGTTCCACAGTGCAGGGAGGATTTGATCAGGGAAAACACCGTGGAAAGAGAAAAGACAACTGAGTTAACCCTCCCATCTTTCTCTCCCGTAGCTGGATACTTGCAGAGCCAAGTGTCCCCAGCAACACCTGAGCATCCTCGTTCTTGCTTCTCAGTGTCCCGTCATTATTCCAAAGGTGCTTACAAAAAGCACAGTATTTGTACTAGTTGCAAACGGCAGCTGAAGAACATTTTGCAGAATAAATAATTCAGATTGCCCTTTTTTTAAATTTTTTTAATTTTTTTTGAGATGGAGTCTCATTCTGTCGCCCACCCTGGAGTGCACTGGCACAATCTCGGCTCACTGCAACCTCCACCCGCTGGTTTCAAACGATTCTCCTGCCTCAGCCTCCTGAGGTACCTGGGATTACAGGCGCGCACCGCCATGCCCAGCTAATTTTATATTTTTAGCAGAGACGGCGTCTGGCCATGTTGGTCCAGGCTGGTCTTGAATGCCTGACCTCAAGTGATCCACCCGCCTCGGCCTCCCAAAGTGCTGGGATTACAGATGTGAGCCACTGCACCCAACCCCAGATTAT
The DNA here is from genome assembly GCF_000001405.40 of Homo sapiens. NCBI lineage: Eukaryota > Metazoa > Chordata > Mammalia > Primates > Hominidae > Homo > Homo sapiens. Next base: position 52,053,106 of record NC_000020.11, on the reverse strand, counting down.
TCTTGAATCTGCTTATACATTGGCCTTGATGTAACTAACATGCCTACAGATTCTTCACATTGGCAACTATAGATGGACACTGAATTCCGGAATTGAAGCTAGTTTTATTTTTATAAGAAATATTTAGTGGGATTTAGCCAAAACTTTAAAAAATATATTTACATTTTCTTTAATTTTGATATGAAGGCTTAATATCAATTATCGTGTATTTTACTTTCCCATCTTAAATATTTTGAATATTTTAGAAGAAAAATATTTGTAAACATTTATGAGTTTTTTGGTTTACTTTTTAAAATTTTTTATACTTTATAATTGCATTTCAGGCCGGGCGCGGTGGCTCACGCCTGTAATCCCAGACTTTGGGAGGCCGAGGCGGGCGGATCATGAGGTCAGGAGATCGAGACCATCCTGGCTAACACGGTGAAACCCCATCTCTACTAAAAACACAAAACATTAGCCGGGCATGGTGGCAGGCGCCTGTAGTCCCAGTTACTCGGGAGGCTGAGGCAGGAGAATGGCGTGAACCTGGAAGGTGGAGCTTGCAGTGAACCGAGATCGCGCCACTGCACTCCAGCCTGGGCGACAGAGCGAGACATCGTCTCAAAAAGTAAATAAATATAATTGCATTTCATTTTTTTCACCTTTTAGATGATTATTGTCAATAGCAAAGGCCAGCAAATGACAGCCTAAGGGCTGAATTTAACCCATGAACTAAGAATGGTATATATACAGTATACAAATATATATTTATTAGGTATTTTTGTATATTCATATATTTATATATGTAATATTTTAAAATTTCTTTAAAATATTTATATATTACATATACAAATTGCACATATTTATATATGTAACATATAAATATTTTAAATAATTTTTTATAAATATATAAATATAAAGTATTTTATAAATATTAAATATACAATATTTTACAAGTATTTTAATAAATATTTTATAAATTTTTTTTGAGACAGGGTGTTGCTATGTTGCCTAGATGGAATGCAGTGGCATGATCACAGCTCACTGCAGCCTCGACCTCCTGGACTCAAGCAATCCTCCTCCTCCTGCCCCAGCCTCCCAAATAGCTGGGACCACAGGCATGTGCCACCACGCCCAGCTAATTTTTTTATTTTTTATAGAAACGAGGTCTTGCTCTGTTGCCCAGGCTGGTCTCAAACTCGTGGGCTCAAGTGATTCTCCTGCCTTAGCCTTCTGAAATGCTATGATTACAGGCACGAGCCACCGTGCCTGGCCTATTTTTTTAATATTTTTAAAGATTTGTAAAACAAAGAAGCATGTATGGACCACAAAGCCTAGTACTACCTGGCTCTTTACCAAAAAAAAAAAAAAAAAAATTGCCACATCCAGGTCAGTAGAACATAAATTATGTAAAAACTTGATCACTACACATTTAGTGATTTTGCTGAAATCAACACAAAAAAAAGAAATGTTATGGAATAAATATATAATAATTTATTAATTATGTTTGTTACTCATACTAATAATATCAGAGGCCCAGCAATACAACACCCAGACATATGCAATAATAATTAAATTCCCTCATCTTTGATAGTTTTCTGACTTTTAATCATATGTAAACCATAGCTTGACAGATATGTTTTGCTTCTGTCATTATGAATGTATACTTGTCAAAGTAGGAGGATAAAATGTTTTATTTAAGATTGATTTTTTTATTTTTACACATTCCAGCATATGATATGTGGGCTATGGCCCACAAACATGGTTGAAAAATCTGCCCGTCTGTCTTGCTCTGCCTCTTAAGCGAGTTTCAGTCCTTGTCTCACCCCAGAAACTTTGAGAAGTAAATGTCAGATCCCAGTATCTATCGCCCTGTGTTGGCAATGGGCTGAATTATCACTCTTTTGCTTCTTTTTTTGGGGGCGGTGGGGGACAGAGTTTTGTTCTTGTTGCCCATGCTGGAGTGCAATGGCGCGATCTTGGCTCACCGCAACCTCTACCTCCTGGGTTCAAGCGATTCTCCTGCCTCAGCCTCCCGAGTAGCTGGGATTACAGGCATGCGCCACCACGCCCGGCTATTTTTGTATTTTTTTAGTAGAGACGAGGTTTCACCATGTTGGTCAGGCAGGTCTGGAACTCCCGACCTCAGGTGATCCGCCCACCTCAGCCTCCCAAAGTTCTGGGATTACAGGCTTGAGCCACCGCGCCCGGCCACACTTTTGCTTCCGTGTGGACTTTTTGTTCAAATCAGTTCTGAATTGAACATTCATAACCAGAGGAGCCTCTGTACTTTATGTTAATACTCTAGACACATAATAACTCATAAATACATACATCAGCTAAGGTGCTTTATTAGGCAAAGTTTTTAGCCCAGAAAACAAAGTCATTCTGGTCAAATCCCATTTTTCTTTTTGGTAATCACCATCACCTGTGGCAAATGCTTCAGGCCAATGTTTCCATTCAGTCTCAGACCTCCATCTTTTTTATTGATAATATTTCCACCCAGGAAAGAAGCACATCTTCCAATTACTTGCACAAAGGCAAAGAGTGAAAAGCCATGGATATTCCTAAAGAAGAAAGTCTCAATCTCCTTACAAATAGAGGCAAAGTAAAAAAGGAAGAAGAGGAGAAAGAGGAGGAGGAAGGAGGAGGAAGGGGAGAAGCAGAAGGAGAAGAGGAAGAAGGGAAAAAAGTATAAGGAGGAAGAGAAGGAAAAGAAGATAAAGGAGAAGGAAGATAAGAAGAAGAATTGGAGGAGGAAGATTTATTTATTTTTGAGACGGAGTCTCACACTGTCGTCCAGGCTGGAGTGCAGTGGCATGATCTCCACTCACTGCAACCTCTGCCTCCTGGGTTCAAGCGATTCTCCTGCCTCAGCTTCCCAGGTAGCTGGGATTAGAGGCATGCGCCACCATGCCCAGCTAATTTTTTGTATTTTTCCTAGAGACGGGGTTTCACCATGTTGGCCAGGCTGGTCTCGAACTCCTGACCTCGTGATCCGCCTGCCTCAGCCTCCCAAAGTGCTGGGATTATAGGCGTGAGCCACCATGCCCAGCCAGGAGGAGGAAGATTAAAAGAGGAGGCCGGGCATGGTGGCTCACGCCTGTAATCCCAGTACTATGGGAGGCTGAGGTGGGTGGATCACTTGAGGTCAGGAGTTCGAGACTGGCCTGGCCAACATGGTGAAACCCTGTCTCTACTAAAAATACAAAAATTACCCCAGCATGGTGGCACTCGCCTGTAATCCCAGCTACTTGGGAGGCTGAGTCAGGAGAATCGCTTGAACCCGGGAGGCTGAGGTTGGAAGGAGCCAAGATCACACCACTGCACTCCAGCCTGGGCAAGAGAATAAGACTTCGTCTCAAAAAAAAGAAAAAAAAAAAAAGAGGGAAGAGGAATTAGAAGAAGAAGAAAAGGAGGGAAAAGGAGGAGGGGAAGAGGGGAGAAGAAAAAGGAGTGGTAGTGGGAGGAGCTGAGAAAGGAGCAGAGGAGGGTGGGTGAAGGAGTAGGAGAAGGGCTCTGACCCCTACTGAGTTCTTATCAGTCTCCTCGACCTTAATTGCCTCCCTCCCTTTTGGCTTTTACCAGTTACACCAGTTACTGCGCTTTCTTTCATGGTGAAAAGAAGGACCAGAGTTGCTGTCACCACCTCCTTTTCAGAGTGAGCCTTCTAAGAGCTGAGGCCGAGTGAGCCTTCTAAGAGCTGAGGCCTTTGGCTCTCTCTCCTGTAGCACACTGGCCAGGCCCTGGAGCTCAGGCTGTCGCTGATCACACCCAGCTCTTGAGAGCAAACTGACCACCCTCTCCAAGGGACCCACCTGGAAACTTCTGCGATCCATTCTATTCGTTCAGACTGTAGGCTGAGAGTCCCTTTAAACTGCACTGGGCTGCTATCTCTTAGCATGTATGATTTGAGTGTTCCTTTAAGTGCTCTACAAAAGCCAGAAAGCAGGCAGGGGAAATCCTAGGTCTAAGAAATTAGGAAAGCTTTCTATTTTTGTTGGGTAAGTTTGATTCTGCAAATCATTTTATAAAAATACACTGAGAAAGTAGTCTAGCACACTTGCTACATTTTTAACATTCCTAAAGTTGCCCACAGTACTTAAAAAAAAAAAAAACGGTTTGTGTCACTTTCAATTGGGGCTAAAAGATCTTTTTGTTTGTTTTCTTGTCTTTAAAAATACTGATACCTGCATCTAATTTCTTGCCAAAAAATACGAATAAAAATACTGATTCAATAAGGAGGGCTGGGGTCTTTTTTCCAGATTAGATTTTAATTTTAAACTCAGGTCCACTATTCTGACGCGCCAGGACAAATAACTGTATGTGAGCCTATAAATTAACTTCCCTTAATTCCATCACTGATGAATTTTCATGTCGATAAGCCCCCCAAAAAGGAGGGAGGAGGGTCCCCTGTAACCAAACATAAGTCAGTTTACAAAGGAGTTCGGGGGACTTGGGGACACTGACTCCTCTTCAGAATTGCCTAAAGAGACTGGCCATTGACAATTTAAATCTTCAGTGCTTTATCTCTTTGTTTGAGTCTTGGAATGCCATTGATACCTTCTTTGTATTTATAATTGTTTTAATTAGCTACCCAGCGGGGGCCTCTCTCCCAGCTTGGATTATGGGCTGCACAGCGGGACAGGACAACCCAGTTAAAATAAAGCACAGACATTATGGCTCGCTTAATTTCTTTTATCTGTGTCCATTTTTTTTTCTCTTATTCCCCCTCATTTTCATCCTCTTTTTTCTTTTTTTCTTTTTTCTCCCCCTTGTTGTCTGTGGAAGGCAGGGGCAAAAAGCCTTGACACCTTGAATGGCTTAGCTTTTGAAGAATCAAAGTATGGAAAAAACTCAACCATGGATATTTATCAGCAGTTCACATCTCAGCGGAAAAAAGAAATATCGCCGATGTGCTTGTCCACTGCGTTTGATAACATTTCATAAGCCTCAAACGCGATCATATCTTGAGCGATTATGCTGACATGTACGTCGGTTGCCTGACTTTTGTGGGTGGAGTGAGGGGAAAGTTTGCAAAAAAGCTTCTCTCCGCGGCCCCTGTGTTATTTGTTCTTACTGACCACATCCTTCTTTTGTGGGTGGAAATCTGGAGGATCAATTATGATGCAGATCTGATACTATTTCCATTTGTGGGAGCGGTGTGGCCCGGGCGTTTGGACTTTGGGAAATTCTTGCATTGTTAAAATGGGTTTTCCCCCCACTTTGAACTCAGTGATGCTACTGGTGTGATCACACACACAAAAAAACTGCCTGGCCAGAGCTTTTTCTAAGAACATACAGAAATGCAGGGCTTGTTTGTAGCTTCAAAGAATAGCCAGGATTTCTCTTTTTTTGTGAATCTCTAACTACCTGTCTGGAAGCTAAAGCAGGGCGGGGGTTTGGGTGAAAACAGTCATTATTTTAAAAAGTAATCCTCCTACACTATGATGCAAATAATGGAGTTTTAATTTTTTTCTAATAATACCCCCAAAGAACTTATTTGCATTTGAAAAGAAATGATAGTTCAAATTATCAGTATAGGAAAAGCTTTGAACTGTCTTCTATAATTCAGTGCACTTATAAGTATTAAATGTTATAGAGCCCAAATTTATTCTGGAAATTTTCAACAGTAAGCATTGAATCTATCCCCCATCAAACAACCTGACAAAGGGCAGAGGAGATTATTTTGAGTTTGTATGTAAATATTCAGGGCGAGGTGGCTCATTCCTGTAAACCCAGCACTTTGGGAGGTTGAGGCGGGCGCATCACTTGAGGTCAGGAATTCAAGACCAGCCTGGGCAACATGGCAAAACCTCGTCTCCACCAAAAATTAGCTGGGCATGGTGGCGTGCACCTGGAATCCCAGCTATTGGGAGGCTGAGGTGGGAGGATCACTTGAGCCTGAGAGGTCGACGCTGCAGTGAGCCATGATTGCACCACTGCATTCTAGCCTGGGCGACAAAGTGAAACCCTGTCTCAAATAAATAAGCAAACAAACAGAATCTGGGGGCCTTTAAAACCAAGTATGGTTATAATTAAAATTTTCTCATTATCTGGATTATTTTTGGCTTTGTAACCAATCAGAGACCCAGACATTTACTTGCTGTATAAACCAGCCACATATCAAAGAGACTGTGAATTAAGACCCATAGCAATTTGTTTAGTGTGTTATAAAGCTTTGAAATTCAACGACAAGATGTAGAAGAGGCAGGAAACCCAGTATGAGCCAGAGGCCTAGGGTTGGGAAAATCTTCAGGAGCCAAGTGTCCTTGAGGGACACTAAATGACTATACGATAAAATAGCAAAGCCCATCGTGCCCAGAGCCCTGTGCAATGTACATGTTTGTGAAGATAATCCAGCTTGGGGGCTGTGCAACATCATGAATGACTAAGTGTCTCTTAATTGTATACTTTAAGATGGTTGATTTTGTTAAGTGAATTTGACCTCAATACAAAAAATAAAATGAGACAATCTTTTAAAAAATGTACATATATAATTAAGATTTGGAAATTACTTTAAAGATGTTTGCGATTTTTTTAAATTTTTTTTTTCCATTTTCACATGCATTTTCTTACTTATTCGTCAAAGGATAGGAACTCTTTGGGATCAATATTTTGAATACTCATCTCATTTTCTAGCCTAGTCACCCTCCAGTGAGGAGTAAAGCCATGTGGAGGCTTCGTGCTTTTCTCTAGGAGTACTTGCTACATCAAATATAGCAACTAACAAAGGGCAGTCCAGTTTTCTTTTTTTTTTTTTTTTTGTTCTTTGTTTTTTGTTTTTTTGAGATGGAGCCTTGCTTTGTGGCCCAGGCTGAGCGCAGTGGCATGATCGCAGCCTACTGCCACCTCTGCCTCCCACATTCAAGTGATTCTCCTACCTCAGCCTCTCGAGTAGCTGGGGTTAAAGGCATGCACCACCACGCCCAGCTAATTTTTGTATTTTTTTAGGAGAGACAGGGTTTCACCATGTTGGCCAGGCTTGAACTCCCAACCTCAGGTGATCTGCCCACCTCGGCCTCCCAAAGTGCTGGAATTACAGGCTTGAGCCAATATGGCAGGCTCTTCTTAGCACATTTTTAAGTGTACAATACAGTATTGTTGACTCTGGGTACAATGTACAACAGATCTCTAGAAATTATTCATCTTGCTCAATTGGAAACTTTATACCCATTGATTAATAACTCACGATTTCCCCCTCTCTCAGCCCCCGGCAACCACTATTCCACACTTTGATTCTACAAATTTGACTATTTTGGATATCTCATATAAGTAGAATCATGCAGTATTTGTCTTTCTGTGATTAGCTTATTTCACTTAACATAACGTCCTCAAGTTTCATCTCTGGCCGGGTGTGGTGGCTCACACCTGTAATCCTAGCACTTTGGGAGGCCGAGGTGGGAGGATTGCTTGAGTCCGGGAGTTTGAGACCAGCCTGGGCAATATGGTGAGACCCTGTCTCTACTAAAAATACAAAAAATTAGCTGGGCATGGTGACACGTGCCTGTAAGTCTCAGCTACTCAGGAGGCTGAGGTGGGAGGATTGCTCAAGCCTGGGAGGTAGAGGTTGCAGTGAGCCAAGATTGCACCACTGTACTCCAGCCTGGGTGACAGAGCAAGACACTGTCTCAAACAAATAAATAAATTAAAATAAAAACTTTTCAGCTCTGCCGCTGCAGATTGCAGTATTTCCTTCTTTTTTATGGCTGAATAATATTATATGTATATATCACATTTTAAAATCCATTCATCTGTCATCTGATAAAGGCAGAAAATTCTTTTAAATATAGCAGATGGGGCTGGGCATAGTGGTTCATGCCTATAATCCCAGCACTTTGGGAGGCCGAGGTGGGCAGATCACTTGAGGTCAGGAGTTCAAGACCAGCCTGGCCAACATGGCAAAATCCCATCTCTTCTAAAAATACAAAAATTAGCCAGACGTGTTGGCATGTGACTGTAATCCCAGATACTCGGGAGGCTGAGGCAGAAGAATTGCTTGAACCCAGGAGGTGGAGGTTGCAGTGAGCCGAGGTTGCGCCACTGCACTCCAGGCTGGGCGACAGAGCAAGACTCCGTCTAAAAAAAACAAACAAAAAATAGCAGATGGTTTAAAGTTTCAGCATTTTTTTTGGATGAAGTTTTGCTCTTGTTGCCCAGGCTGGAGTGCAATGGCGCGATCTTGGCTCACTGCAACCTCCGCCTCCCGGGTTTAAGCGATTCTCCTGCCTCAGCCTCCCGAGTAGCTGGGATTACAGGCACCCACCACCATGGCCGGCTAATTTTTTGTATTTTTAGCAGAGATGGGGGTTTCACCATGTTGGTGCAGGCTGGTCTTGAACTCCTGACCTTGGGTGATCTGCCCACCTCTGCCTCCCAAAGTGCTGGGATTACAGGCATGAGCCACCATGCCCAGCTAAAGTTTCAGCAATTTTAAGGATAACTCTGTGTAAAGATTAAAAGCAAACAAGAATATTTTATGTCACTTATTTGGGAAATCCTCATTCCCCTCACAGGTGTTCTTGGGAGTCTCTGTGTATCTGTTTAGGTATATGCATATATACACTGAGAATCCCCACATGTTTAAAATCATATGTTAGCATCTGCATTGAAGGTAAAAGAAAATTTGGAGAAATCCGTCATTATCCCTGGCAAGTGCGAACTATAGTCTTGCCTTTCTGTGGAACATATTTTGAAACACTTGATTTGTTTGTTTTGCCTTCTTCATCTTTATATCCCAGACCTTGAAGTATACCAGGCACAAAGTTCGCCCTCTATAGCTATTTTCTGGATTATTGTATATGGTAAATTTGTCCATCAGAAAAGCAATAAAAGAATTTTTCATTTACTTACATACATAAAGGAAGCTCTGTTAAACCACGGCCCTTACTGGCATCAAGAAATTCCCCTGTGACAATGTACTGGTCAAATTTCTTTCTTTTTTTTTTTTTTTTTTTTTTTTGAGACAGAGTCTTGCCCTGTTGCCCAGGCTGGAGCGCCACCATGCCCGGCTAATATTTCTTTTTTTTTTTTTTTATTTTGAGACAGTGTCTCTCTGTCGCCCAGGCTGGAGTGCAGTGGCACAATCCCGGCTCACTGCAACCTCCACCTCCCGGGTTCAAGCGATTCTCCTGCCTCAGCCTCCTGAGTAGCTGGGACTACATGCGTGTACCACTATGCCCAGCTAATTTTTGTATTTTTAGTAGAGGTGGGGTTTTACCATATTGACCAGGCTGGTCTCAAACTCCTGACCTCGTGATCCACCCGCCTCAACCTCCCAAAGTGTTGGGATTACAGGTGTGAGCCACTACGCCCAGTCAAATCTTTTTATTTTTGGTAGAGACAGTGTTTCACCATGTTGGCCAGGATGGTCTCGAACTCCTGACCTCAAGTGATCCGCCCGCTTCAGCCTCCCAAAGTGCTGGGATTACAGGTGTGAGCCACCATGCCTGGCAACTTTCTTTTATCTTAAGCTCAAACTGAAACAATAAAATGCACATTTTCTGCAGCATGTACTGGGGGCCCCTGAGCTCTAGAAGGGAGAAGCTGTACAGTTCTTGTGTTGGCTAAATGTTATTAGCAGAGGGCCACGTCGTGGGTTCATGTTGCCTTACCAGCATCAGATGATTTTCGGCAGCTCATAAAGTCTCTCTGTGACATCATTCGCATCTGTGGCAACTTAAGCCTCATTTTCTTTGAAAATGGAATTTGAGATTATGAAGGGTTTAGACTCTCTAAACTAATTAGCAGTGACCAGTAACTCGAGGAGGCCAACGTGCCCTCCTAAGGCACTCAGTTTACCCAGGAGTCTCCCCAAGTCAGTCTGGCCATTTCTGGCCACTTTACCAACTCGAGGGAGGGAGGAAAGGAGGTGTACACTTTTTTAAAATGGAGAACTAATTAAGTATAGTTCCCTGGAGATTTTTAAAATATGATATGAGCTTGCAAACAAATGTAGCATCCAGCATTAGAGAAATGGATTTTTAAGGCCAGGCATGGTGGCTCACATCTGTAATCCCATCTCTTTGGGAGGACTAGGCAGGCAGATCACTTAAGGTCAGGAGTTCGAGACCTGGCCAACATGATGAAACCGCGTCTCTACAAAAAAATACAAAAATTAGCCGGGTGTGGTGGCACATGCCTGTAATTCCTGTTACTTGGGTGGCTGAGGCACGAGAATCACTTGAACCTGGGAGGCCAAGGTTGCAGTGAGCTGAGATGGCGCCACTGCACTCCAGCCTAGGCAACAGAGTGAGACTCTGTCTCAAAACAAACAAAAAAAAAGAAATGGATTTTTAAAGGAAACAACTCTGCTTTGCAGAAGGAAGTTTGATGATATAAAGCAATTGGTTATAGCCACACTTCAAAAAAGAAGACAAGTGGATTTTCTTGCACAATTGTAATATATGAAATGTATATTTATAACACAAATATATAACATAGAATATAAATTTTTATATGGAACAATTCCAAAGATATATTAAATGAAGAAGGCAAGATATAGAATGATGTGTATACTGTAACAAAAAGCATACATGTAGGTAGTAGATAGATACATATTTGCTTACCTTTGCATAGAATATCTCTGGAAAAATACATAAGAAACTTCCAACAGCCTGTGTCAGTAACACCATCCTCCCAAGCCTAACTGGAGCTTGAGGCAAAAAGAAACAAACAGTAATATTGATTTGGGGGGTTTTGGGGAGTTTGGTTTCGGTTTTGAGACAGGGTCTTACTCTGTAACACAGGCTGGAGTGTGGTGGTGTGATCTTGGCTCACTGCAGCCTCGACCTCCCGGGCTCAAGTGATCCTCCCACCTCAGCCTCTTGAGTAGTTGGGACTACAGGTGTGCACCGCCACATCTGGCTATTTTGCTTGTATTTTTTATAGAAACAGGGTCTCGCTTAGTTGCCCAGGCAGGTCTGGAACTCCTGAGCTCAAGCAATCCTCTTGCGTCACCCTCCCAAATTGCTGGGATTACTGGCATGAGCCACCATACCTGACTGATCTTGTTTTTATTTAAGTATGTCATTTTATTTTAGAGACAGAGTCTCGCTTTGTTGCCCAAGCTGAAGTGCAGTGACACCATCTTAGCTCACTGCAACCTTGAACTCCTGGCCTCAAGCCATCCTCCCACCTCAGCCTCCCAAGTATCTGAGACTACAGATGCATGCCACCATGCCCAGCTAATTTATTATTATTAGTTTATTTTATGTGGAGACAGGGTCTTGCAATGTTGCCCAGGCTGGTCTCAAACTCCTGGGCTCAAGTGATCCTCCTGCCTCGACCTCCCTAAGTGTTGGGATTATCGACTTCAGCCACTTTGCCTGGCCTTTATTTAAAATGTTGATACTTTGTTCACCATCATTTTTTCATTAACTTTTTTCATTTCCATTAGTTTTGCATGTTTAAAATGTTGCATGGAAATAACAGTTATCCAGATGACTGAGTTTTTGGCGCCACCTTAAACAGCACGCTCAGGGTAAGTGAGGAATCACTGTTCAGGCTGCCCTTTCAGACTGATTTTATTTTCACCACATGCAAGTGTGGCCTGTTCAAATGTAGAAAAAAAATCAGTGCATGTAGCCACAACTGATATTTGGAACCCTTTGCACTTGTGGTCCTTCATCTTTGGGGGGTTATAGATCCTACTGAGAATCTGATGAAAGCTGCAGCCCTTTGCACGTACAAACTACATTCTGCATTTAATTTCCAGAGACTTCACAGACCCTCTTCAACTCCATCCAAGACTTTCAAAGAATCGTACTCCAATTAGCGAGATTACTACAAAGCCAAACTTCCTCTTTAAACTTGTGTTGATTTCCCCTACACCCTCCCTACCAAAGAAGGACTAAATATCTTCTTCTTTTCCATGCTTTGTAAAGCTATTTCTTAAATGATGGGATGTATGTTGCCTATTGTGGAGACCAAGGATATGTTTCTTGCCCTCCAAATGATCTTGGAGAACAGAAAAATGATTGTTTTTGTGGTTATTGGGGAGTCCTCCTGGGATCTGAATAATTCCCCCCCAAAAAATTATGTGTCATGGGCTAGGCGCCAGCCTGAAAAGGAGTTGTCGGTCTGAATTTATGTTACATTGAATTGCAAGAAAAGAGTCCCTGCCAATATCATCCAGCAAAGCACTAGACCTCGGTTTCTCAACCTTGGCACCACTGGCATGTTGTGGAGAATTATTTGTTGTAGGGGCATTCTGTGTTTAGAATGTAGAGTGTGTGTGTGTGTGTGTGTGTGTGTGTGTCTGTGTGTGTTTTGTTTTGTTTTTGAGACGGAGTTTCGCTCTTGTTGCCCAGGCTGGAGTACAATGGCGCAATCTCGGCTCACTGCAACCTCCGGCTCCCAGGTTCAAGTGATTCTCCTGCCTCAGCCTCCCGAGTAGCTGGGATTACAGACATGGCCGGCTAATTTTTTGTGTTTTTAGTAGAAAGAGGGTTTCTCCATGTTGGTCAGGCTGGTCTCGAACTCCCAACCTCAGGTGATCCGCCTGCCTCGGCATCCCAAAGTGCTGAGATTACAAGCGTGAGCCACCACGCCCAGCTAAATGTAGAGTGTTTAGCAGTATTTTTAGCCTCTACCCCTCAGTCGCGCCCCCCCAGTTACGAGAACCCAAAATGTCTCCAGACAGTGCCAACTGTCCCCTGGAGGACAGACTCGCCCCCACTTAGAACCGCTGGGCTAGACCATGCAAGTTACCTCAAGCTTGATGACTGTTTTCCAAGTTTTCTTTCCAACTTTTGGGTGAGATGTGTGTGCATTTTCTATAATAATGATTGACACACTGAACAAACAATGGGCTCTCTTTTACTGGGGCAATGGGTTAAGTACAGATGTGTGGAAAGGTTAATCCTCAAGTTCTGTCCTTCTTACAATAAATACTGTTGTTATTTATGAATTTGCAGCCCTGGAAAAATTCATAAGGACCTTCCTTTTGTTAACTGGACTCTCCTTCCTCCTAAAATAGCCCCTTCTGCCTCCCCCGCCCAACTCCAGGAAGTTAAAACACAACTTTTACCTGTTACAAATGACTAACTAAAGTAATCCCCAGTTTTTATGACCCCCCAACTTTACTTCCGAATGAGTGTTTTTACCCAGCCCTGTAAAGTATTACTTTCTGCTCGAGCGTAATTAGAATCCCAGTTGTGCGTTCAAGAATGCCACTCCCTGTAAGAAATTAATTGTCTCTTGGAGCTTGAAAGTATTCTCCCTAACAGAGTTTAATGGAGCGTGCAGATCCAAGAGACATTCATAATCACTGTCCCCTCCGGAAATATGACACTGTGGGATGGATCATTCACTTCCACTGTTTTAGGATTTAATGGAGGGTAAAGTTTTTAAATTTACTTATTGGGAGCTTACTATTTCTAAGAAAGAAAGGATGCCTTAAAGTTTCAACAGCCAGACAGGAGTCTCTTATTATTTCTTTTTATTTTAAATTTTAGTTGCGTTTAAAGACTTTTTTGGTGAGTCTTCTTATAGAAACCTATTTATCATCATATTAATTTTAAATAATATGAATTTTTCCCACCCTTAATTACTAAATACACATGCAGAACAACAACAAAAATTAAATTACAGAAAAGGCCCAAAGAAGCAAAACAGATTTTTGTGAATACCAGCATGCAAGGAAACTATGGAAACACGGTGTGAACCCGTCTGTTATACACCATTATGACGGTGAAAACTAAGAGCAACCCTCAATTGATCCTGGGACATACATAGAAAACATTAGATTCCCTAAGTGAATTCCATTAGGAAGCCCTAATTCCCTAACATGATTTAAAGTCTGAGTGAAATTCTAAACCAGTCATTCTTAATTCCATTGGGCCAGGACACCTTTGATAATCCTATGTTATTTCAGTGTTTGCAATTTTCATTTGATGTGTTTTTGTGTTTTTGTGGTTTGTGTGTGTGTGTGATTTATTTATTTAAAAGAGGCAATCTATTCACACGATTCAACACTCAAAAGGTACAAAGAGCTGTGCCTTGAAACATTTTCCGCCTACCCGTTCCTACCCAGATGGAGCCACCATTATTCGTTTCTTGTATACTTTTCTGGAGATGTTTATACGTTTACAAGCAAATAATGTTATACTCTTTTTTTTTTTTTTTTGAGATGGAGTTTCACTCTGTCACCCAGGCTGGAGTGCAGTGGTATGATCTTGGCTCACTGCAACCTCCGCCTCCTGGGTTCAGGCGATTCTTCTGCCTCAGCCTCTCCAGTAGCTGAGATTACAGGCGTGTGCCACCACGCCCAGATAAAGTTTTTTTTGTTTTTTTTTTTGTTTTTTTAGTAGAGACGGAGTTTCACCATGTTAGCCAGGCTGGTCTTGAACTCCCAACCCCAAATGATCCGCCCGCCTCAGTCTTCCAAAGTGCTGGGATTACAGGCGTGAGCCATGGCACCTGGCCATACTCTCTTTTTATTGTTACAGAGGAAGCACATTCACTAAACACACTGATCTGCATTCGCTTTTTTCACTACATATTCAACTTGTAGATTGATCCGTATCACCAGTGTAGAGAAAGCTACCAACTACTTTTTTTTTTTTTTTTTTTTTTTTTTTTCTGAGATGGAGTTTTACTCTTGTTGCCCAGGCTGGAGTGCAATGGCACGATCTCGGCTCACTGCAACCTCCACCTCCCGGGTTCAAGTGATTCTCCTCCATCAGCCTCCCTAGTAGCTGTGATTACAGGCATGTGCCACACGCCTGGCTAATTTTGTATTTTTAGTAGAGACGGGATTTCTCCATGTTGGTCAGGCTGGTCTCGAACTCCCGACCTCAGGTGATCTGCCCACCTCAGCCTCCCAAAGTGCTGGGAATACAGGCATGAGCCACCGCGCCCGGCCATGTTACCAACTATATTTTAAAAAACAGCTGTATAGTATTTCAATATGTGGCTGTACTTCTGTCTCACTGATTGCTGTTGTTTTTTTTTTTTTTTGAGACAGAGTCTCGCTCTGTCACCCAGGCTGGAGTGCAGTGGCGCAATCTCAGCTCACCGCAGCCTCTGCCTCCTGGGTGCAAGTGATTCTCGTGCATCAGCCTCCCAGGTAGCTGGGATTACAGGTGAAAATGACCACACCTAGCTAATTTTTGTATGTTTAGTAGAGACGGGGTTTCACCATGTTAGCCAGGCTGGTGTTGAACTCCTGGCCTCAAGCGATCCGGACCCCCTCAGCCTCCCAAAGTGCTGGGATTACAGGTGTGAGCCACTATGCTCAGCTGTGTTCTACTCTTTTTTCTATAACAATAATGCCTTGGCCTGTTTTCTCAATGTCAATTAAGATAATTTCGCATTTTCTTATCTGATACAAGTCTGACCTGTACATTCTCATTGGAATAGTGTCCACACATGATCTTGCTCTTACATTTTTCTAAATCCGAACGTGGCTGTTATCAGTTGGAATCCTCATCAGGCTTCTTTACAATGTCTTCTAGCACAGTGTTCCCATTCATTTACATATGGAAATAATTTTTTTGTTTGTTTGTTTAGATAGGGTCTCACTCTGTTGTCCAGGCTGGAGCACAGTGGTGCAATCATGGCTCACTGTAGCCTCAACCTCCTGGGCTCAAGTAATCCTCCCACTTCAACCTCTGAGTAGCTGGGACTACAGCCACATGCCACCACACCTGGGTAATTTTTGTATTTTTTGTAGAGATCGGGTTTCTCCATGTTGCCCAGGCTGGTCTCGAGCTCCTGGGCTCAAACAATTCACCCACCTCAGCCTCGCAAAGTGCTGGGATTCCAGGCATGAGCCACCATGCCCACCCTGGAAATAAATATATATATATATTTTTTTTGAGATGGAGTCTCGCTCTGTCACCCAGGCTGGAGTGCAGTGGCACCATCTCGGCTCACTGCAACCTCTGCCTCCCGGGTTCAAGCAATTCTCCTGCCTCAGCCTCCTGAGTAGGTGGGACTACAGGTGCGTGCCACCACGCCCTGCTAATTTTTTTTGTATTTTTAGTAGAGACGGGTTTCACCGTATTAGCCAGGATGGTCACGATCTCCTGACTTCGTGATCCGCCCGCCTTGGCCTCCCAAAGTGCTGGGATTACAGGCATGAGCCACCGCGCCTGGCCCAATATTAATATTTTTATCCAGAAAATGAAAAGTAATTCCTCTGGGAAGCCTCCACTGCCCGCCCTATGTTCTCCCAAACCTGGGTCAGGACTCTTCAAATAAGCTCTGTTGTGTTGAGAACTTCTCTTTCCTGGCACTCATCGACAAGGCAGTTAAATCATTTTACCTGGCGCATGGTGGCTCAGGCTTGTAATCCCAGCACATTGGGCTGAGGCAGGTAGGTCACTTGAGGCCAGGAGTTCGAGAACAGCCTGGCCAACATGGTGAAACCCCATCTCTACTAAAAATATAAAAATCATTTTTCTTATATTTTACTATATTACATGGCTTGGTATGTGTTCTAGAACACAGGAAATGGTCCGTGTATATTTGCTAGATTAAAAAGAAAGTGATGGAGAGAAAAAAGTCCTACCTAGAACCTTGTTTTTGGAAAAAGTATTAACTAACACATCGAGGTTTTATTTGGGGTTTGGATGGACACCCTCTAGGATCACCTGAAAGCATTAACTCCCATAGTTTGCAGTTTATTTTTTAATTTTTAATTTTATTTTATTGTAAGTTTTGGGATACAAGTGCAGGACATGTTTATTTATTTAAATCCTCAAGGGGGAAAACGTGAAAATTGAGGCCTTCTTGAAGAGAACAAGTTGGATTGGCAAGAGGGAATGGTTGCTTTCTGACAAGGAGAGGTGGAGGTTGTTCTTTTAACAGATTGTGCAATAGCTCCTGCTCTAGGGAGACCCCATGCCTGCCTGCCAGTGGCTCACCTTCAAGAGAGAGTCAGACCCAGAGACAGGTCTTTGCAGAGCTGTGTGTTAGGTGTCAGCAGAGAGTGGGCAGAGGGCCAAGGAGTGCTGGGCAAAATGACAAGGATCAGGCCAGGCATGGTGGCTCACACCTGTAACCCCAGCACTTTGAGGGGCCAAGGCGAGAGAATGGCTTGAGCCCAGGAGTTCAATACCAGGCTGGGCAACATAGTGAGACCCCCATCTCTAAAAAAATAAGTAAATAAAAATAACTGATCACAGTGGCATGTGCCTGTAGTCCCAGCTACTTGGGAGGCTGAGATGGGAGAATTACTTGAGCCAAGGAAGTTGAGGCTGCAGTAAGCTGTGATCATGCCACTGCACTCCAGCTTGGGCAACAGAGCAAGACCCTGTCTCAAAAAAACAAAAATAAAAAAGGCAAAGGCCAGCGTGTTATCCAAACGTGTCAGTTTCTGGTGACAAATGGAGCCACGGGGTGGAGCAAGGGTTGGGGAGTGACAATCTCATCGGAGCAAGCTTGACACGTGAGCTCAATGCAGCATTAAAGCCTTGGCCATAGATGGGAGGACATTCAAATGTGTCATCCTTGGGTCAAGTCAGTCCCCAGATCTGTCAAAACACCCCTGGCCCCAGGCCAGCCTTTGTAGAAGGAATTGTTTTCCTGAACCACCGCCATGTTTCATTTCCTCACTGTCTGTGTGCACAATCTCTCCAGTTTAGATTATTCCAGATAGTTTTATAAAGCCTTTTTCTTTTTTTTTTTTTTGGAGTTGGAGTCCCACTCTGTCGCCCAGGCTGGAATGTAGTGGCACGATCTCTGCTCACTGCAACCTCCACCTCCCAGGTTCAAGCAATTCTCCTGCCTCAGCCTCCATAGAAGCTGGGATTACAGGCACACGCCACCATGCCTGGCTAATTTTGTATTTTTAGTAGAGACGGGGTTTCTCCATGTTGGTCAGGCTGGTCTTGAACTCCTGACCTCAGGTGATCCGCCCACCTCAGCCTCCCAAAGTGCTGGGATTACAGGCGCGACCCACCGCCCACGGCCTGCCTTTTTCTGTAAGGTACAAAAGGAGTACGTGAACATTGCAAAAAACTTATAAAATACATATATAAGGAAAGAAAAAAATTAACCACTACCCCACCACCCAGAGATAACCACTGACTGTTAAGATCTTGGTGTTATTGAGGTCAGGAGTTCAAGACCAGCCTGGCCAACATGGCAAAACCCCATCTCCACTAAAAAATACAAAAAATTAGCTGGGTGTGGTGGCGGGTGCCTGTAATCTCAGATACTCGGGAGGCTAAGGCAGGAGAATTGCTTGAATCTGGGAGGCAGAGGTTGCAGTGAGCCAAGATCGTGCCACTGCACTCAGCCCGGACAACAGAGCGAGACTCTATCTCAGAAGAAAAAGGGAAATAATCATGATCTTGTAGGACTGTCATAAGGATCACATAAGCTAACACATGTAAACAGCTGATGCATGGTCTGGCATATGTTAGCTTTAGCTATGATTTTGCCAGATTGTTTTTTAATTATGTGCAACAATTAATCGTTAAAATAGCCGGCTATTTCAGTTGCTTTCTATTTTTCGCTGGTTTACATAAAAGTGCAGTGAGCTTATATAGGTAAAATTTTGTGGCCGGGCCCGGTGGCTAACACCTGTAATTCCAGCACTTTTGGAGGCTGAGGCGGGTGGATCATGAGGTCAGGAGTTCAAGACCAGCCCAGCCAAGATGGTGAAACCCTATCTCTACTAAAAATACAAAAAAAAATTAGCCAGGCTTGGTGGCGGATGCCTGTAATCTCAGCTACTCGGGAGGCTGAGGCAGAGAATTGCTTGAACCCAGGAGGTGGAGGTTGCAGTGAGCAGAGATTGTGCCACTGCACTCCAGCCCGGGCAACAGAGCAAGACTCTGTCTCAAAAAAAAAAAAAAAAAACTTTCTGCATATCCTCAATTATTCTCTTAGGGAAAAATATTCGTGATGATTGGTCATAAGCTTCTCTCCCCAATCAAGCTGTTTCTCTTATTATATAATGATTTCTTCTGCTTTGTTTTTCTATCACCAAATGTCTCATATCTCATAGATCGTACGAACAGCCCTCAAGCAATAGTTGTTGAATGAATAAATATATAAATAATGAGAAGCATACTTTATTTTCCTAGTATAAGCTTGTGTTAGTCCGTTTTCACGCTGCTAATAAAGACATACCCGAGACTGGGCAATTTACTAAAGAAAGAGGTTTAATGACTTAGACTTCCACATGGCTGGGGAGGCCTCACAATCATGGCAGACGGCAAGCAGGAGCAAGTCATATCTTACGTGGATGGTGGCAGGCAAAGAGATTGGTCAGGAAAACTCCCCTCATTATACCATCAGGTCTCATGAGACTCACTGTCACAAGAACAGCATGGGAAAGACCTGCCCCCATGATTCAAGTACCTCCCACCGGGTCCCTCCCACAACGCGTGGGAATTCAAGATGAAATTTGGGTGGGGACACAGCCAAACCATAGCAAAGCTGACGTATTAATATGCTCTGCCGTCAGTGTTTCATAAATGGCACATGGTGGGAACCTATGGGAGAGGCTGCCCTTTACCTTAGTTAGCCATTCTTTTCTTCCCTATAAACAGAAACCCTTACTGTTAACAGGATTCTTTGCTGTCCAGAATAAAGACTACATTTCCCAGCTTCCCTTACAACTAGGTATGGTCATGTGACTGTTCTGAAAAATGAGATGTAAATGCATGTGTCACAGGCGACTTCCCAATAACAGCCTTAGGGAAGGAGTGGGGTCTATCTGCTGCCCCTCCTCTTTACTGCTAGGTAAATGTTGACGTGCTCTCCGGAGCTCATGCTTCCATATTGAACCACAGTGAAAACTACAAGTTGAGAATAGTAGAACAGATAGAACGAGCCCCAGTTCCTGATAATCATGAAATCACCATATTGGCTCTGTACTGCCTATAGATATGCAAGAAAAATAAACTTCTCTCTGTGTTTAAACCACTGTTACTTTAAGTTTTCTATCTTTCCTAGCCAGACCTAATCCTAACTGATTTGGGGCTCAATAACTTTTTGTTGACTGATGGAATGGATAGTGTATGCATAGATTCTATAGGTTTGCATTTTGCAAAGCATTTTCTCAAGCATTAATTTGTTTAATTTGGTAAAAGTAAAAAACTACTTTCCCAATCCTATAACTTCTAAAACCTACTAGCCTCTGATATTTTCTGTAATGTGATATGTCATGTAGGATGCATTTGTGCACAAAGGTAACACAATATGGCTTGGACAAAGACGTTTAATTGTCTCAGAAAACAAAAATCTTGCATCTCCAAAAGATTCAACAGTGTCATCCAGGACAGGGGCACGTCCTATCCTCCACATGACCTTCCTCAGCACTTCACTGATGTCTTACTTCATTGTCCCAGGACAGCTGCCACTGCAACCAATATCATATTCTCTCTCTCTCTTTTTTTTTTTTTGAGACAGAGTCTCTCTCTGTCACCCAGGCTGGAGTGGAGTGGTACAATCTCAGCTCACTGCAACCTCCACCTCCCGGGTTCAAGCAATTCTGCTGCCTCAACCTCCCGAGTAGCTGGAATTACAGGCGTGCACCACCACACCGGGCTTGTTTTTGTATTTTTAGTAGAGACAAGGTTTCACCATGTTGGCCAGGCTGGTCTCAAACTCCTGACCTCAAGTGATCCGCCTGCCTCAGCGTCCCAAAGTGCTGGGATTACAGGTGTGAGCCACCATGCCTGGCCTACAACAAAGTCTTATGCAAAAAGAGCTACAAAGCCTTCACAGGTATGGTGTCTTTTACCAGAATGAAACAGTCCCTCTCCTTAAGGCATAACAAACAACATCTTCCGAAGCCACGCCAAGAAGTGTGTTCAGATCATGTCTTCATTCTTCTGAATTTCAAGTGAAAGAGCTGCCTTCTTGGAACTTTGTAGAAATCTAAGATGTGTACTAGAGCTGCTCAAAGACCTGCCATTTACTTACTGTACTTGTGTTATCAAAGACTCCATAAAATCAAGTGATTTCCTCTGCTTTTGTCCAGGCCGCCAAAGAACGTGGCGCTTAGTCACTTCAGATTCCCTTCTGTCTGTGATCCCCTCTGAGAAATAAAGCCATAAATATGCTGAGTTCTGTTGACATTCACACCGGAAATAGCACAGAGCTCCAAGTATTGTGGTCTCCTTTCCGATTTTATTGCTAAACAGCAAGAAAAACAGCAGAGGGGCTTTCCTGGCGAGTCAGAGAAATGCAACGTGGTTTTTTGTGTGTTTTTTTTTCTCCGCAAGACAGAGGAAACTATCTCTTCACACCATTGCCAAAGCCAAGAGACTTCGAATGAACAGATAGAGCCCAGAGCAGAACAAACACCATTTGATAAAATGCTTAGAGCACGTCTCCCCACACGGGCAGGGACTATGAGCGTCTGAAAAGCAGAGGTCCGGCCTCCCCTCCTCCCCAACTCAAGGTTGAAAATATCAACAACATTCCTGTCCACTGTAATCAAATACTTACGCAAAAAGCTATGGAATGCACAATAATTTGTCAGGCATCCTTTTAGCAGAGTCCACTAGAGCAAACTCTGGTAGGCTTCCTTGACCCTCAGAGACTGTGCCCTTTAACCTTATTTGGGTCTCTTTTATGGGGGCCTTCACTCTGACCAGATGGCTAAACTATCAAAGGGTTTTATGAGTAAAAACTGCTTTCCCAACTCGTAAGTTGTATATTTCTTTCCATGTTAATGTGAACTATCAACCCAGAGGCTTTAAATTGAAAACACAAGAGGTGTCCTGCAGCTGGGGCTCCCCCCGCCATCCCAGCATTGTGTGTGACCACAAGGGTGATGGGTGTTTGCAGAGAAAACAGCTGACACCCAGATGAGGACAATTTCAGCTAAATATTTAAAATGGCCATCAAGAAAGGAATGATTGATTGATTTTTTTTTTTTTTTTTTTTTTTGGTTCAGGCCATGATCTTTTATCAAGCTGCAGGCAAACATGCTTCCTACATAAATCCAAACTGTATCTTTCTTTTCTTCCATCCCATCCTGTGCATCCACTTTTCAGGGAGGCTGGGTGGCAAATTAAACATAATTAGATCAAATTCTGTGGAATCCAAAGTAGAAAAGGATGCTGTCTCTCAATGTTGAATTTCAAGTTAAATAGTCCTGAGACCTTGAATTGGCTGTATGTGTACACTTATAGTTTGTTTTGTATAATTCTTGAAAATTTTCATAAGAAATGATCAGGATGAGTTGATGCAACGAATATTTATGAGTGAAAACCAGGAGGCTGACACTGTTCTAACACTTAGCAGGCTGCGTGAACAAGAGAGCAGACACTTCATTGAGAAAGTGCTTATGTTCTAGTGGAGAGACGAACAACAAAGAACCCCAAAATGGCAGGTGGTAATAAGCAATGGGACAGGACAGTGGGACAGGGGCTAAGTGCATAGATTCTGCATGGTTAGGAAAGACCCCACTGGGGAGGTGATGACAAAGTAAAGATCTGAATGAGAAGAAGGAGAACAACTCAGGAAGATGTGGCTAGCGCTCCCATTAGACATGTAACGTGCAGCCGGGCGCGGTGGCTCATGCCTGTAATCCCAACATTTTGGGAGGCAGAGGCAGGTGGATTGCTTGAATCCAGGGATTTGAGACCAGCATGGGCAACATAGTGAGACCCTGTCTCTACAAAAAAATACAAAAATTAGCCAGGTGTGGTGGTGCACACCTGTAGTCCCAGCTACTCAGGAGGCTGAGCCCAGGAGATAGAGGTTGCAGTGAGCTACGCTTGCCCCAAATGTACTGTACCAGCCTGGGTGGCAGAGTGAGACTCTGTCTCAAAAAAAAAAAAAAAAAAGAAGTAATGTGAGCCATGTCTGTAATGCTAAAATTTTCTAGTAGCCAGATTTTAAAAAGTAAAAGGAAATGTATGGAAATAATTTAATATATTTTATATTTTTAGTTTATTTCTATTATAATTTATTATATATATTTTTATTTTGTTACTTATTTAATAATACTAGATATATATTTCTGAGACAGTGTCTTGTTCTGTCACCCAGGCTGGAGTGCAGTGGCACATTCATATCTCATTTCCACCTCGAACTCCTGGGCCCAAGCAGTCCTCTTGCCTCAGCCTCCTGAGTAGCTAGGACTATAGGCATGAGCCACTGTGCCTGGCCTATTTTATTATATTTAGATCCATATGTACTATTATATTTTCTAGTAGCTATATTTTAAAAGGGTAAAAAGAAATGGGTGAGCCGTATGCAGTGGTGTGAGCCTGTAGTCTCAGAGTTTCTCAGGAGGATGAGGTAGGAGGATGGCTTGAGCCTAGGAGTTTGAATCTACCCTGGGCAACATAATGAGACCCAGTCTTATAATAATATGAAGAAGAAAAGAAGAAGGAGGAGGAGGAAAAGGAGGAGGAGGGGGAGGAGGGGGAGACGGAGGAGGAAGAAAGAAGAAATGGGTAGAAACAATTTTAATATATTTTATTTTTATTTTTATTTTTTATTTTTTCTTCTTTTTTTTGAGACAGAGTTTCAGTCTTGTCACCCAGGCTGGCATGCAATGGCATGGTCTCGGCTCACTGCAACCTCTGCCTCCCAGGTTCAAGCGATTCTCCTGCCTCAGCCTCCCACGTAGCTGGGATTACAGGCATGCACCACCATGCCCAGCTAATTTTTGTATTTTCAGTAGATAGGGTTTCACCATGTTGGCCAGGATGGTCTCAAACTCCTGACATCAGGTGATCCACCTGCCTCAGCCTCCCAAAGTGCTGGGATTACAGGCATAAGCCACCGTGCCTGGCCAATTTTAATACATTTTGTTTGATTTTAATAATATATTTATTTGCATTGTCATCATTTTTATTTATTTTAAATTTTTAATTTTGCTTATTTGTTTATTTAATAATACATTTTATTATATTCAACTCATATGTAGTGTTAAATTTTCTCATAGCCAGTTTTAAAAGATTTTTAAAAAGAACACAGAAAAAACAGGTACAACAAGCCAGGCATGGTGGCACACACCTATAGTCCCAGCTACTCGGGACATTGATGTGAGAACACAAGTTGAGCCCAGGAGTTTGAGGCCAGCCTATGAAATGCAGTGAGACCCTGTCTCTAAATAAATAAATAAAAAGGAAAAAACCAAGTAAAATAATTTTAATAATATCTTTTATTTTTATTTAATCTATTTTTTTCCAAAATATTGTCATTTCAAAATGATTTTCAAAAATGTTTTTTAAAAAGTAGATGAAAGGCCAGGCGCGGTGGCTCAAGCCTGTAATCCCAGCACTTTGGGAGGCCGAGGTGGGCGGATCACGAGGTCAGGAGATCAAGACCATCCTGGCTAACACGGTGAAACCCCATCTCTACTAAAAATACAAAAAATTAGCCGGGTTCGGTGGCGGGCGCCTGTAGTCCCAGCTACTCGGGAGGCTGAGACAGGAGAATGGCGTGAACCCGAGAGGCGGAGCTTGCAGTGAGCCGAGATCCCGCCACTGCACTCCAGCCTGGGTGAAAGAGCGAGACTCCGTCTCAAAAAAAAAAAAAAGTAAATGAAATATTTTACATTCTTCTTTTCATACCAAGTCTTCACAATCGTGTGTATTTTACACCAACAACACACCTCAATCTAGACTGTAAATTCTCACTAGAAGTACTTGATCTGAATTCAGGTTTCATACAGTTGACAGTCACAAAGGTAGATTCCTATATCCCAGTTGTACTAAAGATACTTAAAAGTTTTCTAATAACTGAGTGAAGTTGTTAGATGTTTTCTAATTACTGAGTGAAGTTATTAGATGTTTTCTAACTACTGAGTGAATTTATCAGTTTTGAAGTTTTAATGCAGATTAAGTAAAATGAAAAATCCAGTTCTGGCAGGGCAAGGTGGTTCAGGCCTGTAATCCCAGAACTTTGGGAGGCCGAGGCAGGTGGATTATCTGAGATCAGGAGTTCAAGACCAGCCTGGCCAACATGGGGAAACCCCATCTCTACTAAAAATACAAAAATTAGCCGAGCGTGGTGGCATGTGCCGGTAATCCCAGCTACTCAAGGAGGCTGAGGCAGGAGAATCGCTTGAACCCGGGAGGCGGAGGTTGCAATGAGCCAAGATAGTGCCACTGCATTCTGGGGGAGAGAGCGAGACTCTGCCTCAAAAAAAAATAAAAAATAAAAATCCAGTTCCTCCCATGCACCAGTCACATCTCAAGTGTGGAGTCACCACCTGGGCCATGTGGCGACCTGATGGACAGCAGAAGTCTGGGGAAGGACATCAGAGGCCCAAGAACAACTAGAGCAAGCTCTGGAAGCTGGGAAGAGCTTGGCATATGCCAGGAGCAAAGGGTGGCCAGGAGCTGCAGGGCACCCAGACAGGGAGGAGCGGCAGGGATGGGCTGCCAACACCTTGCATCTCCTTGGATCCACAGGCTGGGTGAAGAGCTCGGATTGACCATACTTGTTAGTCCCCAGTTGGTAAGAGGGATGCAAGACCAGGATAAATTTCTCTGTGATAGCTTGGAGAGTACCGTATCAAGAGGAAAGTAACATGTCCATGACGTAGAACCTAGGAACACACCCTCAGGAATGTCCCAAGGTCATAAGGAAGCTCACGGCATGGCTGGAATGGCAAAATATTGCCAACAGCCTAAATATCCACCAGGCAGGGGAAGGGTAATAGACTGTGATCTGTTCCCAAAAGGATCATCACTGCAATTGAAAAGAATCATATGTGTCAACACGTCATATCTTTTTTTGTTTTGTATTTTGTTTTTTGTGTTTTTTTTGAGGCAGAGTCTTGCTCTGTTGCCCAGGTTGAAGTGCAGTGGTGCAGTCTCAGCTCACTGCAACATCCACCTCTTGGGTTCAAGCGATTCTTCTGCCTCAGCCTCCAGAGTAGCTGGGATTACAAGCACCCACCAGCACGCCTGGCTAATTTTTGTATTTTTAGAGAGGCAGGATTTCACCATGTTGGCCAGGCTGGTCTTAAACTCCTGACCTCAGGTATTTGCCAGCCTCGGCCTCCCAAAGTTCTGGGATTACAGGCATGAGCCACTGCACCCGGCCTATTTCCTTCTTTTTTAAGGCTGAATAATATTTTATTGTATGTATATACCACATTTTTTAAATCCATTCATCTGTCATCTGGTAAAGGCAGATAATTATTTTAAATATAGCAGATGGGGCTGAGCGCAGTGGCTCCTGGCCAACATGTTACATCTTAAAAACAAAAGGATGAATAAAAGAAGAAACTATGTATATAAATTAAGAATACCTTATAGCATTTAAAGATACAGGTAAATACATATACACACATAGACATGGACACATACATTTATTACTAAACTGATTAACATGGGCTGGAAGGAAACATCAGTTTCATGATAGCCATAGCTCCTGGGGAGGCATTGAGGTCCAGTGGGCTCAACTTTATCAGTACTGTCTTATTTTTAATTAAAATAGTATCAGCCAGGCGTGGTGGCTCACACCTGTAATCCCAGCACTTTGGGAGGTCAAGGCAGATGGATCACAAGGTCAGGAGTTCAAGACCACCCTGGTCAATATGGTGAAACCCCATCTCTACTAAAAATACAAAAATTAGCCGGGCATGGTGGTGGGCACCTGTAATCCCAGCTACTCTGGAGGCTGAGGCAGGAGAATTGCTTGAACCCGAAAGGTGGAGGTTGCGGTGAGCCAAGATCATGCCGTTGCACTTCAGCCTGGGTGACAGAGTGAGACTCCGTCTCAAAAAGATAAATAAATAAAATTTAAAAAAATAGTATATAAGATGCTACAACACAATGGTTATATTTAGTAATCTTAAGTAGTGAAGCTGTAAGTGTTTGTTATACTTTATTCTGTACTTTTCAGTTGCTTTAAATATTCTCCAAATTTAAATAAAAACAAACCTATGATAAAAGAAGAGAAAAGAAACCTCTTTCACTTCCAGCCCTCTATATTGTCTGTGCCTGTGTCTCCTGTAACCTTCCAGTGCTGTCCAGGGCTTACAATTAGAGAGTACAGATCTATTACATACAGTGTTTACTTATAACATTTTCTGGGGGGAGAAAAGTTTCTGGCCTCGTCCAGCAATGTCTAAGTCAGACAAGCAAGATAATTTTTAACTCTTTCCTCACTAGCATCAAGCCACGTATTTTTCTTTTCTTTTCCTGTGGCTTCAGGATTTTGAGCCCTACATGCTCCTCTACCTCTCAACATTTGGACCACTAAAGGCTAAATATGTTCCATGTTGAATGGAAAAAATAAGTAACGAATAATTTAAAAGTTGGCCACACAGTTCTCCATTGCTTCAAAGAAAATAAGTGTCTCAGCCGGGCACGGTGGCTCACGCCTGTAATCCCAGCACTTTCGGAGGCCGAGGCGGGCAAATCACAAGGTCAGGAAATCGAGACCATCCTGGCTAACACGGTGAGACCCCGTCTCAACTAAAAATACAAAAAATTAGCCGGGTGTGGTGGCGGGCGCCTATAGTCCCAGCTACTTGGGAGGCTGAGGCAGGAGAATGGCATGAACCCAGGAGGCGGAGCTTGCAGTGAGCTGAGATCATGCCACTGCACTCCAGCCTGGGCGACAGAGTGAGACTCCATCTCAAAAAAAAAAAAAAGGTCTCTTGTTTGTTTTCTGAAGCTCTAACTGCTTCTACAGGCTGTCTCTAAATCCATCACTAGCTGCACAGCCTTTGTTGTTCAACCTCCCCAAGCCTTAGTTTGCTCATCTGCCGTATCGGGATAATAATAATCGGACCTAGCCAGGCGCAGTGGCTTAGGCCTGTAGTCCCAGCACTTTGGGAGGCAAAGGCAGGTGGATCACCTGAAGTCGGGAGTTCAAGACTAGCCTGACCAACATGGAGAAACCCCATCTCTACTAAAAATACAAAATTAGCCGGGCGTGGTGGCACATACCTGTAATCCCAGCTACTGGAGAGGCTGAGACAGAAGAATCACTTGAACCTGGGAGGCAGAGTTTGCCAGGAGGCAGAGTTTGCCATGAGCCGAAATCACACCATTGCACTCCAGCCTGGGCAACAAAAGCAAAACTCCGTCTCAAAAAAATAAATAAATAATCAGACCTTCTTCACAACACCAATAGGAGATGTAAAGGTCTTAGTACAGTTTTTATTAAATACATTTGTATTATTTTTCTGGTATCTTGATCTCTTTTTGTCACTCGATATGACAGGGTAATTTTTTTTTTTTTTTTTTTTGAGACAAAGTCTCACTCTGTTGCCCAGGCTGGAGTGCAGTGGCACGACCACAGCTCACTGCAGCCTTGACCTCCCAGACTCAAGTGATCCTCCCACCTCAGCCTCCCAAGTAGCTGAGACTACAGGCACACACCACCACACCCAGCTAATTTTTAAATTTTTTGGTAGAAATGAGATCTCACTATGTTGTCCAGGCTGGTCTTGAACTCCTAGGCTCAAGCAATCTTTCAGCCTTGGCCTCTCAAAGTGCTGGTATCACAGGTGTGAACCACTGCACCTGGCCCTGGGTGACTATTTTGGATAGTGGCTTAGAACATAGGCTTTGTGGTCAGACAGGTGGGTTGTAAACCTAGCTCACCCACTTTTTAAGTGAACTTGGGTAGCTTACTAGCCATACAGGGGTTGAGAAAACTAAATGAGATAGTCCTTTAAAGATGCCAGCAGGAGACCTGGCATGTATGTGATCAATGCTACAGGGATGCCAGCTGATGCAAGGAGGACATGGTGCCGATTCATGTTGGACAGCAGCAGCATTTACAACAGAGAAAACTCTAGTATTTCCATGATGTTTGTCTACGCATACATATAGCACATAAGCCAACTTAGCCTTTTTGCAAATTCATTTAACAGTTTCTTATAGAAATATGTTATTCTGAGCCACATCAATATAAACCATCACACATTCTTTTTTAAAATATGCTGTACATTTAGAAGTATGGCTTGGCCTCCAATTTGAAGCTTGTCACTTTCTTTAGTGCCTCTAGTTATCACTGTGAGCCCATCAGCCTTGCTTATCCAACAAGTTTATGAATAGCAAATGTTGATGGCTTCATTGAGTTGTGACTATAAATGCAAGGAAAATGAGAACAAGGGTGAAGAGGTGGCTTCTTTATAACAGCTGTAATTTATCCAGGGTTTTGTGCTGGCCTTTGATTTGGGGGCTGACTCTGAATCTAGTGTTCCCCCGGATTGCATTAGGAGCAGCCCTTAGGGGTCAGATGGAATTCCAAGGTCCTGGAATTAGTTAGAAGAATGAGAATGCACATGTGTGAAGGGGCAGGGCAAGGGGCCTTTACAAAACTCATCCTTCAAGACCCAAACAACAGCTTTCTGCCCAG
Source organism: Homo sapiens (assembly GCF_000001405.40). NCBI lineage: Eukaryota > Metazoa > Chordata > Mammalia > Primates > Hominidae > Homo > Homo sapiens. Next base: position 52,023,871 of record NC_000020.11, on the reverse strand, counting down.
GTGACCTTGAGAGAGGACAGGGCCAACTTCTGGGACATGCAACCCTTGCAGTTACACAGGGCCCCGAGCTCAGACAGGTTCTAGCTTGGCTTAATGCTCTGCTGTGGCCATCTTGAAATTCTTAATAACATTTTTAACAAGAGGCCCTATGTTTTCATTTGCACCATGCCCTGCAAATTCTGTGGCTGATCCTGGGACCCTTGAGGACACTGAGGCTTTTGCTCACCCCTGGGCACAGTCGTGACTGTTATAATGAATGACAAGTATTTTGTACATCCGGGGAATAATACTGATCCCAAGTAACATGTATGAGCCAAGTACTTTACCCAGATGACCTTATTTAATCCGTCCATGGACCCATTTTAGAGGTGATGAAACTGAGACATGAAGATAATAATAACAGTTCACATTTATCAAGCATATGCATAATCTTACTTTTCACAACAATCCTTTACAGTGGCTCACGCCTGTAATCCCAGCACTTTGGGAGGCCGAGGCGGGTGGATCACGAGGTCAGGAGTTTGAGACCAGCATAGCCAACATGGTGAAACCCAGTCTCTACTAAAAATACAAAAATTAGCTGGGTGTGGAGGTGCACGCCTGTAATCCCAGCTACTCGGGAGGCTGAGGCAGGAGAATAGCTTGAACCCGGGAGGTGGAGGTTGCAGTGAGCCAAGATCACGCCATTGCACTCCAAGCCTGGGCGACAGGGCGAGACTCTGTCTCAAAAAAAAAAAAAAAGAAAAGCCTGTGAGCTTAGTACTATTGCTTGGCCACATTTTAATTCCTACAAATGCAAGCTATTAGGTTAAAAAAAAAAAAAGTAATCCAAAGAAAGCAGAAGGAAGAAGGTAATAGAGGTAATTTTTAAAATTATATAGCAAACAGTTTCACAGAAAAAACTAGCTAATCCAAAGCTGGTTCTTTGGAAAGACTAATAATCTACTAGTCTACTAAGTGCTAATAAAAAAGAACAAATGCATAAAAATATTAGGGATAAAAAGAGAGCATAACTGCAGATGCAGAAGAGAGTAATAACTGAAATTTAATACTGTAAAAAATTCATGCCAAAAAAAGTTGAACACTGCAAAATTAACAACTTCCTAGAGAAACATTATTTACCAAAACTGAACCAAGAGACTCCAGAATCCTAAATAGACCTGTGTTGAGAAAATTAAATTAGTAGCTAACATATATGCATACATGTGTACATGCATACATACATGCGTAAACATGCCCACACACACCAGACGTAAGCAGGTTTACACTTCTACCAAACATTCAAGAAACGTGAAAATAAGCCGGGTGCGGTGGCTCATGCCTGTAATCCCAGCACTTTGGGAGGCTGAGGCGGGTGGATCACGAGGTCAGGAGATCGAGACCATCCTGGCTGACACGGCGAGACCCCGTGTCTACTAAAAATACAAAACATTTGCCGGGCGTGGTGGCAGGTGCCTGTAGTCCCAGCTACTCAGGAGGCTGAGGCAGGAGAATGGCATGAACACAGGAGGCGGAGCTTGCATTGAGGCGAGATTGCACCACTGAACTCCAGCCTAGGCGACAGAACAAGACTCTGCCTCAAAAAAAAAAAAAAAAAAAAAGAAAAGAAAAGAAAAGAAAGAAAAAGAAACAGGAAAATAGGCCAGGTGCAGTGGCTCACACCTGTAATCCCAGTACTTTGGGAGGCCAAGGCAGGCAGATCACCTGAGATCAGGAGTTAGATACCAGCCTGGCCAACATGGTAAAACTTTGTCTCTACCAAAAATACAAAAATTAGCCAGGTGTGGTGGCAGTGCGCCTCTAATCCCAGCTACTCGGGAGGCTAGGGCCGGAGAATCACTTGAACCTGGGAAACAGACGTTGCAGTGAGCTGAGATCGTGCCACTGCACTCCAACCTGAGCAATAGAGCAATACTTCATCTCAAAAAAAAGAAAAAAGAAAGAAAAAAACAGGAAAATAGCGGCCACTTATTGCTGCCTGATACAGACAGCTAACATTTATTGGGCACTTACTGTTCAGTAAGCATTATGCTAAAAGCTGTCTGTGTATAATCTCATATAAGGTAGGTACTATTATCTTCATTTTACAGATAAAGAAACTGAGGCCAAGAAATTTTTTTTTTTTTTTTTTTTTTTTTTTTTTGAGACAAGAGACTCACTTTGTCACCTAGGCTGGAGTGCGGTGGCGCGATCTCAGCCCACTGCAAGCTCCACCTCCTGGGTTCACGCCATTCTCCTGCTTCAGCCTCCCGAGTAGCTGGGACTACAGGCCTGGGACTACAGGTGCCCGCCACCATGCCTGGCCAGGATGGTCTCAATCTCCTGACCTCGTGATCCGCCCACCTCGGCCTCCCAAAGTGCTGGGATTACAGGCGTGAGCCACCGCGCCCGGCTGAGGCCAAGAAATTTTAAGCATTTTGCCCAGAGTCCTACAAATGATAAATGGTAGATCTGGGATTTGAACTAAGTTCTCTGTCAACTCCACAACCAGCATTCATTACCATTACATTCAACTGCCAATCAGAACTGAATATGGGAGATCTTGTAGTTTGGGTTAAGCAGAGAAAAGAGCAGGGCCTTCGTGGTCTCTGGTTTTCTTGGTCTATTTCAACCCCTGGGATATTCACTAATCACCTAGTTGAGGTTTCAGCACCCATAGAGCTCACATTCCAGTGTTCTTGAATTAGATGCTCTTATTTGATTATCCTCCTAAGAGATAGCGGCTATTGTCATGTGAAGGCCATTGTCCTTTGGAATCTGAAGGTAATCAAGTTTGGAGGCATGACCTGACTGATGGGTATTTCAGCCACAAGTTTAAGAACAAAAAGACAGATGCATAAGAATTATGCGATGTTCATAGTTTCCACATGGAATCCCATTATGAAAAAGGCCATTTTCCATTTTTAAGAAACATACATCTATGGAGAGTCTCCTAGGGTTGGTTGTGTGCTATCGTGATTAATTCCCATATTATTCATGAGGCCATAGGGCTCAGGGAGGTAAGGGAAGGTGTCCAGAGTCATACAGCTAAGGAGTCTGGAGCCAGCCAATCGACTCCCAAATCCAGTGGTCCCATGTTCATTACAGTGGCATTGGATGCCATGGAATTCCAGTCCAGAGAAGGAAGAGTTGGTTTTGTGGAGTTTGTTGTGCTGGTACTTCTCCTCCATACAGGACAGATCTAGATTTTGTGGAACCTGAAACTTTACAATTGGAGGGGGTAGGGACCTCTAAAACAAACCCTATAAAAACACCTTGTGTTTGCAAATTTTACAGACACATGTCACCATGTGACGACATTGCTAAGGCCCCTGCTGGGGCTATGAAAGAGGCCCTGAAACTTAAGCCTCACAAGCCTAACAAAGCCATTGTGGCCTCTATTTATACCGTGTTTTCTAATTTGTGTTTTGGGGATAATAATAACAGACATGGTGGACTAGAAAAAAAAAAGGGATATGGAAGCACTCAACTATATTATTATTATTATTTTGCATTTTTGTTTTGTTTTGTTTTGAGATGGAGTCTCGCTCCATCAGCCAGGCTGGAGTTCAGTGGCGTAATCTCGGCTCACTGCAACCTCTGCCTGCCGGGTTCAAGTGATTCTCCTGCCCCAGCCTCCCAAGTAGCTGGCACTACAGGCACCTGCCGCCATGCCTGGATGATTTTTGTATTTTTAGTAGAGACGGGGTTTCATCATGTTGGCCAGGCTGGTCTCGAACTCCTGACCTCAAGCAATCCACCTGCCTTGGCCTTTCAAAGTGTTGGAATTACAAATGTGAGCCACCGCACCTGGCCTCAACTGTATTATTTATTCAGTGTTTTCAATAGGCCAGACTTCTGCTGAGTCTTTTTTTTTTTAATTTAAACCTAAGTCCTGTTAGAAGTAACTTTTTTTTGAGATGGAATTTCACTCTTGTTGCCCAGGCTGGAGTACCACGGCATGATCTTGGCTCACCAAAACCTCCGCCTCCCGGGTTCAAGCGATTCTCCTGCCTCAGCCTCCTGAGTAGCTGGGATTACAGGCATGCACCACCATGCCAGCTAATTTTGTATTTTTAGTAGAGGCAGGGTTTCTCAATGTTGGTCAGGCTGATCTCGAACTCCCGATCTCAGATGATCTGCCCGCCTTGGCCTCCCAAAGTGCTGGGATTATAGGCGTAAGCCACCGTACCTGGCCCAGAAGTAACTTTTTTTTAAGTTTAAATCTGTTAAATCTTATGTCTCTGAAGTAAGTATGATTATTATGCCCATTCTACAGATGGAGGGACTAAGGCTCAGAGAATCTGAGTGACTGGCTCTGGGTCACATAGGTGGCAACCGTATAATTGAGACTCAAACCAGTTGTTCTGATTTCTGGACTTCATTCTACCTCTTTGTTTCAGCCAGGATATTCATCCCAACTTAGAACTTTTGTGGTGCTGCTCACCCTCTGCTCTGATACCCACCATGGCTCACTAGTGCCTGTATACATCATGACATTGGATCAGCCAATGATATAGAAAGCGGTATTTCCCAAAATAGCCACACATTTTAAAAACCAATTTGGGAAATTATTTCACAAACAGATTTTATGGCCTCGATGCATGAAAACCTGAGAGTACATTTGCAGATTTTAATTTCAGTAAATATTTGGCATAAGCATTGATGAAACGAGACTTATATAGTTTACAGCCAAAGGTGCACTTTTTTTTTTTTTTTTTTTTTTTTTTTTTTGAGACAGAGTCTTACTCTGTCACCCAGGCTGGAGTGCAGTGGCACGATCTGGGCTCACTGCAACCTCCACTTCCTGGGTTCAAGCAATTCTCCTGCTTTAGCCTCCCGAGTAGGTGGGACTACAGGCGCACACCACCATGCCCGGCTACTTTTTGTATTTTTAGTAGAGACGGAGTTTCATCATGTTGGTCAGGCCCATCTTGGCCTTCCAAAGTGCTGGGATTACACGCGTGAGCCACCGCGTCCAACCAAGGTGCACTTTTTATCATGAAACAAGTTGGGTTTTACAGAAAACTTGCAAAGACAGTACAGCGTGTTCCCATATACCCCTCCTCGCTTTCCCCTCACTGGGGATACATATGTCACTGTTAAGAAACTAACCTGGGTATGTTATTATTAACTAAACTACAGACCTTTATTTCAATTTCATAAAAGGTACATTTTTTTTTTTTGAGACAGCATTTTGCTCTTGTAGCCCAAGCTAGAGCGCAGCGGTGCGATCTCAGCTCACTGCAACCTCCACCTCCTGGGTTCAAGCCTCAGCCTCCTGAGTAACTGGGCTTACAGGTGCCTGCCACCACGCCTAGCTATTATTTTTGTATTTTTAGTAGAGATGGGGTTTCAACATGTTGGCCAGGATGGTCTTGAATTCCTAACCTTGGGTGATCCACCTGCCTTGGCCTCCCACAGTAGTGGGATTACAGGTGTGAGCACCGCCCCCGGCCCAAAAGGTGCATTTTTAAAGGACTTTCATAGCTAACTTTTGTTGTACACCTATTGTGTGCCACGCATTGTGCTTAACACTTTATATCCCATTTAATTCATGTAGCCACCTGGTGTAACAGCTACTTTCCCCATTTTACAGACGGGAACTCTGAAGTCCAGAGTTCACTATGCAGCAGCTAATAAGATGGGGTTTGAATCCAGGCAGCCTGACTCCAGAGTCCCTGCCTCAGATCATCACATTAGGGCATTCCTTGTATTTTCTATCCTTCAAGCTACCCAGAAAACTCAACCCAAGCCCAGGGACATATTCACTCATTCATTCATTCATTCATTCATTCATTCATTCACTCAACAAATATTTTATTCCCTCCTCAATTTCTTCAGACTCCATCACCACCACCACTGATCTGCCCACTTCAATGAACTCAAATGGCTTGAAACATAAGGGTCACAACTCCAGTGATCTCAGGGGGCCCTGGCATGGGTCAGAAATGTGTGCAGTGGGCCAGGCAGGAACTCTGGTGACGACGAAGGCCATTCTCTCTCCAGGGGCTGTGTCTGTGTGTCTTGCCAGTCAGCCTCTCGCTGTTGCCCCCGTGATCCAGACAATGGTCCCCATGCAGAAATGCAGGCCCCAAACCACCCAATTTTTCCATTTTTTAAAGAAAAGCCAGAAGTTTTCATTTTATATGAATTTTACCAACCTTCTAAACTCTTTGTAAGTGAAAACCTATCTGTGGGGCCAGGCGCTATGGCTCATACCTGTAATCCCAGCACTTTGGGAGGCCAAGGCAGGTGGATCACCTGAGGTTAAGAGTTTGAGACCAGCCTGGCCAACATGGTGAAGCCCCGTCTCTACTAAAAATACAAATATTAGCCAGGTGTGGCTGTGGGCGCCTGTAATCCCAGGTACTTGGGAGGCTGAGTCAGGAGAATTGCTTGAACCTGGGAGGCGGAGGTTGCAGTGAGCCAAGATCACGCCACTGCACTCCAGCCTGAGTGACAGAGGGAGACTCCACCTCAAAAAAAAAAAAAATCCATCTGTGAGTCAAAGAGGGGCCATAGACCAGTTTATAATCCCTCTCATGACTTGATTCCCTCATCATTCAAATGCAGATAAGAAAAGTTACCATGAGATGTAATTGAGTTCATGTTTGTAAAGCATTCAGAACCGGGCCTGACACAAGGTAGCAGCTGCTCTCATTCTTGTAGATTTTTAAATAATAGTAATAAATTAATTCAAGGGAGAGACCTATTCAGTCTGAGTCATCAATGGCCTTTCCCTCCCTCCACAAACCCCAAAGTGTTGACTTACTGAATCTTTCAGTTTTCGTCTGTGTTTAGTCTTGTTGACACAGCCTCAGTGCTTGCACTGGAGTACACCGGGGCCTCACTCCCCAGTCATGTGGTTGGAGTCATCGAAGTCCCTCACTCACATTACAAAACACAAAAAGGAGAAACTTCACTATCCCCAGTGAGGTCCCTATGTGCATGCTGAGGCTCACCTTACAGAGGCATTATATGCTCTACCGGGTGTGGTCCTCCCGCCGATAATGCCACCTGCAACAGCCACATCATGCGTTAAAATAGGAGATACCTATTTTATTTTATTTTATTTTATTTTATTTTATTTTATTTATTTTTTGAGATGGAGTCCCACCCTGTCGCCCAGGCTGGAGTGCAGTGGCACAATCTCCGCTCACTGCAACCTCCACCTCCCCGGTTCAAGCGATTCTCCTGCCTCAGCCTCCCAAGTAGCTGGGATTACAGACATGCACCACCACACCGGCTAATTTTTTGTATTTTTAGTAAAGATGGGGTTTCATCATGTTGGCCAGGCTGGTCTCGAACACCTGACCTCAAGTGATCCGCCTGCCTTGGCCTCCCAAAGTGCTGGGATTGCAGGCGTGAGCCACCACGCCCAGCTGGAGATACATATTTTAATGTATTACACTCTTTCATCAAAAGACGTAATGCAAGAGAACTGACCTTTGGTGGAGACAGATGATCTGCCCACTATTTTCTATTTCTAGCACTGGAAATCAAAAATAAGGTTTTGCTCAGAAAAGTCTGGACGCTTCTATCTCTGAATGAGTTCCGTGTAAGGTGAGAGAAGCTCTCCCCATGATACTGTTATCCTTGGATGGCAAAGTACACCCTGCACTTGGCACTGAGACAGTGCCTGCATTCAAAACACGTGGAGAACATAATTTGAAGACTCAGGTATGGCCAGCAGTGCCAGAGGGGTAGAAATAAGTCTAAGGCTGGCGAATGAATCATTGCTCAGCTGTACCTTGGGTTGCCTGGTCTGCAGCCCCAGGGTGGACTGGAAGGCTTCCTTCATTGGATGGGAAATCTCCCGGTGCTGGGACTGGACCCACAGTTGTGGCAGAGTTGAAGGGGCAGGTGGCCCTTGTGGGCCCTGGGTGTGGATCTTGGACTCTCCCAGCTCAATTTTTGGAGAATCATCACATTTCACCTGCAGGATTATCTGGATACAAGGAGAGAAATCAAGTCAATGGCCAAAGCCATCTCCCTTCTGCATGTTGCCGTAAACATGTTATGTGACACACTCAAGTTTGCATTTTCTTTGAATTTCTGAAATTAGCCACACAAGTAGTTCAGCTGTTTCCTGCAGCTTCATCAGGGTCCGTGTGCCTAATTCAATAAGAATTGGAATTTTAAAAATAGACAAATAGCAATTATACCACTTATTCAAACCAAGCAGCCAAAGCATGTTTTTTTCCTGACCCAAGGTGGTCCTTTAGAAATATTTCCAACAGATTGTAGGAGTGTGTGTGTGTGTGTGTGTGTGTGTGTGTGTGTGTGTAGTATCAGTGTGTGAGGTTTTTGTTAAAAATTTTTAAACACAAAGGATAGGTTAGCAATCTAAATCTAAATTAACTTCTTGAACTGTGCACACATTTAAAGCTTTTTATTAAATTTTCTTTCTTTGTGTGTGTTTTTAACTAACTGATAAAAAAGATCAGTCACGGGCATGTCAGTAAGACAGAGTAATGTGGTACCTTAATATTTGTCATCATTGCCTAACACACCCTTAGAAAACGAACAGCAAAGAATGCAGCTTTTCATGCGTTATCAGCCATCCCAAACATCTGGTTTTCCCCAAAATAAATCACTCCAAGTAAATGAGGTCTTGGTGATGATTTCATATAATTCTCGCTAAACAGGAACAACGAAAACACCCATTAAGGAATACAATAGATTAAACATGGTGTATAATCAACTAATAGCTTAACTTTTATGTTATTTGCCATTCATTCCACTTTGGATTAAGAAAGATTTTATTTTACAAGAGAATTCAGTCAAGGGGCTGTATTTGATAGGCGTTCAGTGGAATTATAACAAGGAAAAGCATTCTCAAAGTCTAACGAAAACCAAACCAGCTTAAGACGCATTTAAGACAATGCACCAACGAGCAGTTCTGCCTATTTAACTGATAAAAATATGAGTAATACATTTATTTATTTGTCTATATAACTTTCCTTTTTTAAAGCAGGGTCAAAGAGTCTTATGTTACAAAACTTAAAAGGCGCAAGGATATGCAGGGAAAAGTCCTCCTTCAGGCCCCATTTTCCTGTTCCCTCCTCAGAAGAGATCAATGGAGCCAGGTTGCTGGGGAGCCCTTTAATGCAGTGAACTTATTCAAAGAATGCGCAACAGGATATACAATGCCATATTTAAATGCTCCCCAAAGTCTCTTATTATATGTCATTTACGTTTTTCCCTTCTAGGTTTTTTGATTTCTAATACTCGAAATGGTAATTTTAGCAGAACCTAAATCACCTATAGTAGCCAACAAAAGCTGAATCCTGAAAAATGTAATGTGTTACTTGTGCTTCTTCTGCCTTGCCTTCAAGGTTTAAATTTGGATAAAGGCCGGGTATGGTGGCTCACAACTGTAATCCCAGCACTTTGGGAGGCCAAAGCAGGAGGATCATTTGAGGCCAGGCGTTTGAGTTGCTCACTGGGCAACACAGTGGAACCCTGTCTCTACAAAAAAAAATTTACTTTTTTGAGACAGAGTCTTGCTCTGTCGCCCAGGCTGGAGTGCAGTGGCGTGGTCTCAGCTCACTGCAATCTCTGCCTCCGGCGCTCAAGCGATCCTCCTGCCTCAGCCCCCAGAGTAGCTGGGATTACAGGCAGGTGCCACTGCGCCCAGCTAATTTTTGTATTTTTAGTAGAGACAGGGTTTCGCCATACTGGCCAGGCTAGTCTTTAACTCCTGACCTCAGGTGACCCACTCGCCTCGACCTCCCAAAGTGCTGGGATTACAGGTGTGAGCCACCACACCTGGACCCCCAAATTTTTTAAATTAGCTGGGCGTGGTGGTGCACACCTGTAGTCCCAGCTACTCAGGAGGCTGAAGTGGGAGGATCAGTTGAACCCAGGAAGTTGAAGCTGCAGTGAGCCACGACTGCACCACTGCACTGAAGTCTGGGCAACAGAGCGAGACCCTGGCTCTAAAAGAATAAATTTTTTTTTTTTTTTTTGAGACAGAGTCTCGCTTTGTCGCCCAGGCTGGAGTGCAGTGGCGCGATCTCGGTTCACTGCAAGCTCCGCCTCCTGGGTTCACGCCATTCTCCTGCCTCAGCCTGGGACTATAGGTGCCCACCACCACACCCAGATAATTTTTTTTTATTTTTAGTAGAGACGGGGTTTCACCGTGTTAGCCAGGATGGTCTCGATCTCCTGACCTCGTGATCCACCCACCTCGGCCTCCCAAAGTGCTGGGATTACAGGCATAAGCCACCGCACCTGGCCAAGAATAAAAATTTTAAAAAATAAATAAATTTGGATGAAGTGTTCAAAGCCACTGGAGTCTGCGTGATGCCTGTCTAGGAGCCCTGCGTGGGTGTCCTATAGGAGATAGGGCTTAGCTATACTTTTTGAGACCCTGAGATTCAGCAGTTCTTGTGCCAAATTCCTCACTATCTGGGATGTTCCACGTCAACACTATGCAACAGTGTGTTGTACCACAACTTGTGTTCATTGGATCGTATCACTCCCATGGCCCCTCCAATAAATTCCATCCTCCTTAGAGTGTCCACAAGGACCTGCACCCTCCGATCTGGCCTCTCTCTCTGCCTCCCTCCCTCTGTCAGCCACACTGGCCTTCTTGCTATCCTTGAACATGCCAAGCTGGTTCCCACAGCAGGGGCTTTGTATGTGCTAATCCCCCATCCTAGAATGCGCTTCCCCCACGTTTTTTGCATAATCTCATCATTCAGCTTTCAGCTCAGAATTCACCTCCTCAGAGAGCCTTCCCTGACCATCCTGCTAAACCCTCACATGCACCCACTCAAGTCATTTTCTACCCACGTTCCCAGTTTACTTCTTCATAATATGCATTGCTCTTCATCATATGTACTGGTTCATTAATTCGCAGGCTACCTGTCACATCTCCCACTAGACAGTGCACTCTGTGTGAGTATGTCTGTCCAGTTCACTAAACCATTCCAGGCAACCAACTACACAGAAGTTACTCAAGAAATAGTGGTTGAGCGATTGAAACATTTTGACCCTCTTGCTTTGACAAAAATATAAAAATTATACTTGGTGGGTTGGGATAGCTTTATTTGGTTTCCCAGTGGGAAGGTAGTGGGGAAAGAGAAGGGATCCAATAATAATTATGCAATCTTCCATGCATCAAAAATTGCATCAAAAAGTTACAAACTCATAGATGCCATCTTTAGTTCTGCCTGCCGCTTGTCACCTTTGTGGCCTTAGGCACTTTGTCAGCGCCTCAATTTCTTCATCTACAGAAAGGCAGTATGACTGCATGCCATGTTTTTCTGAAGATAAAAGATGGTCCCACTAGGTCTTCTTAGTGCTAGTCACTCTTTGAGAGGATTTGGTGTATTCATTTGTTTTCTTATTAATTAATCTATTTGCCCCTAAAATGTCAGCTCTGACAAGGGGAGGACATAGATCTGTCCAGTTTACCCAATGCTTAGATTTAGCATTTCTGGAGTAGTAGTATCTACCTCCTAGGGTAATTTTGACAAGAAATGAGATAATACATGCCAAGTGCTTTGAATGATATGTGAAATACACGTTAGTGATAATTATGTTTATTAGAATTATGCGAACTTGGGTTTCTGATGCTTTCTATTAGGAGGAAATTAAAAACATCTGTGTCTGACTGTTTTACTTCTCTAATCCTGTTTTTTTGGCAGGGATGCACGGCGTCAGGAATTTAATAATGGACAAGTATCACTTAAAAGCAGCAGAATTTATATATATTCGAAAAAGAAAAATTGGCTTGGGGAAATTTTGAAGATTGTGTCAGATAAAAATCATGTTAAATGATTTCTGTTTTTCACTAGAAAACTCAAAACATATTGGTTAAGAATGATCTTATTCCAGTTTCATCTTCTCTTCAATATGTTTAATAAAGGGGGTAAAATAATGCAAAATGTTATTAACAGGAGAGGGCAGAAGTTAGGTGAATGGGGCTCCTTGCTTTAGGAAAATTTATTTTCATTCAACTTCGATGGTCAATTTTAGGAATCTAAGATTTAAGGCTGGAGGTGAGAGAATTGCCATTTTCAGCATTTGTTCAAACATGTTGATGTTCAGTATCATATTGGAATTCTGTCTAACAATTCCAATTTTGTTCCAGAGGGAACAAGAGTGGTTCATTTGGGTACACCTGCCAAGATGTGTACAGCTGGCTAGATTTTGTACAATGCATCAACAAATTGGTGTATTAACACTTTTTGACAATAGCTCCTGAAATGCATTACCATGATCTTCAGGAGGCAAAAATTATGAAGCACACATATATTGACTCCAGGAAGAATTTCTGAATTAAGCCTAAAACATATGTATGGATGTACTTGCATAGAAATAAAGGTCTGTTATTTGTATATAGCAACCTGATAGCAACTGATCCCTCTTAAGGGGATGGGGACTGAATTTAGGGATGGTGATCAAAGACTTTTAGCTTTATTTCTGAAGCATGCATGTTTTTACAGAACAAATTGGATTTATGCATTCGTTGTATAATTAAAATTTGATTGAAAATTGTAAAACAATCATTTTAAATGTATGAAAACTAATAAGAGCAGCAGTCACCACTAAAAAACAACATGCAACCAACCACATTGATTTAATTAATTAACATTACTACATTTATATTTATTGTACAACAAAATGCAGTAACCTTCCTTTTTCCTCGGGTGAATAGTTATGATAGTATAGCATTGAAATTTGAATATATGACAATGTGTTAATTCCCACAAGGATTTGAAACCGTATTCATGCATCACTTTTTCTGGATCACCCTCTCCCCATCCAAAAATAAATAAATAAATAAACAAAATGAGGTCCACAGTTTCGACAAGACCAAGGAGGTGTCCTTGCAGTCAAAATGAATAGGCAAAGCTGCTTAGTCCTGTAACTGCTACTTCATCCCGGACTCACAGCACTCCCGGTTTGACATTTGATTCCCTGAAAAACATCTTATCAGATCAACAATGATTGCCGTCCAAAAAAGAAAAATCCCCTGCCTTTCCTCCATAGGAGGGATGTCAGTCACTGTGCAGAGATTCTAAAGCTCCGAGGCCATGACCAGCAGAGGAGTCATGGCGCGTCTGAAGGGATAAGGGCAGATAAAGTGTATCAAAGGGGGCCTTGACACATGGGATGCTACGCAGGCCTTCTCCAGAGCTTCTCTGGCCTAACTGACAGGGGATTAATCCACGGGAGGGCGATAAACAACGGCTCAAGTGGGATTGAGGCCCAACACCTGGATACGAGGTTGGATCCAGTCTGGGAGGCTCACCATGCTGCGAAGGAACACAATCTCTCCCAACACACTTCTTAACCGCCCCTTCTGCTGCTTGCAGGGCCTCTAGCTTGACACTCTTCCCCTTGAATAACAAGTTTGAAAAATAGGTTGGGATTTTGTTTGTTTGTTTGTGTTCTGTGCTTGTGAGCCAGAGAAACTGAAGAGTTTAGAAATTCAACAGTTGCCTGCTGAGAGTTCTTATAGAAAAGGGTTTCATTTGACAACCAAATGCAGTGGGGCAGATCTTGCTTGGATCCTGATTCCATCAAATCCAGGGTAAAGCAGGCATTTTTGAGATGCTGAGGACCTTTGGGTAGTAGATGATATCAAGGAAACATTGTTTGTTTTGTTGGACAAGATAATGGCATTGTGTGGGAGTTTTCTTTAATAAACTTTAAAAACATTGATGAATACTAAGTGTATAGGGTAAAATGACACGAAGTCAAGGATGCTTTTTTTTTTTTTTTTTTTTTTTGAGACGGAGTTTCACTCTTGTTCCCCAGACTGGAGTGCAGTGGTGCAATCTCGGGTCACTGCAACCTCCGCCTTCCGGGTTCAAGTGATTCTCCTACCTCAGTCTCCCGAGTAGCTGGGGTTACAGGCATCTGCCACCAGGCCTGGCTAAATTTTTTGTATTTTTAGTAGAGACAGGGTTTCACCATGTTGGCCAGGCTGGTCTTGAACTCCTGACCTCAGGTGATCCACCCGCCTCAGCCTCCCAAAGTGCTGGGATTACAGGCATGAGCCACCACACCCAGCCCAATGATGCATTTTTAAAAAACTTTTTAAATTATATGATACACTTTTTAAAAACTTTTAAAATAATAATTGAGCACATTTATGCGGTACATAGTGATGTTGTGATACATATAATGTATAGTGATCAGATCAGGGTAGTTAGTCATGTCCATCATCTTTGTATCATTCTTTGCACTGGGAATATTCAGTATCTTCCTTCTAACTATTTGAAACCATATAACATGTTTTGATTAACTATAGTCATCCTACAGTGTGATATGCTTTAAAATATAAAGGTGGGGTAAGGAGAGGAGACTCTCTGAAGTAAGTGTTGCAAAATCTTAATTACTGAATCTGGATAATGGCCTATGAGGGTCCGTAGTACTATTCACTCTACTTTTAGGTGTGTTCGAATATTTTTGCCAAAACAATTATAATAATTGTAATAATAAGCTTTTTTAAATGTTCCAAAGAGGCCAGGTGCGTGGCTCACACCTGTAATCCCAGCACTCTGAGAAGCTGAGGCAAGTGGATCCCTTGAGCTCAGGAGTTCAAGACCAGCCTGGACAACGTGGCGAAACCCCATCTCTACAAAAACTACAAAAATTAGCCGGGTGTGGTGGTGTACACCTGTAGTCTCAAAAAAAAGAAAAGTTCCAGAAAGTGTCAGTGTTGGTGTGAAAATTCAGAGTTCTACATCAGTTGGTTCTGTGACCTGGCCATGCTTTGTAAGTGCACTAAATCATGAACACATTCTCTTTTTTTTGAGACAAGTTCTCGGTTTGTCGCCCAGGCTGGAGTGGAGTGATGCAATCACAGCTCATTGCAGCCTCAAACTTCCAGGCTCAAGCAATCCTTCCACCTCAGCCTTCTGAGTAGCTGGGACTACAGGTACACGCCACTATGCTTGGCTAATTTTTATTTTCTGTAGAGACAGGATCTCGCTATGTTGCCCGGGCTGGTATCAAACTCCTAGGTTCAAGTGATCCACCTGCCTAGGCCTCCCAAAGTGCTGGGATTACAGGTGTGAGCAACCACGCCCGGCCATGAACACAATCTTATCTGCATGGATGAGGCAGAGACGCCCTTCAGAAAGTGGTGGCCGGCACCGTCAGTGGCAAGCAGAAGCTGAGTAAACTGAGATGATGGTTTTCTTTTTTGGGTTGCACTGTCTCGTTAGCAACACCGCTGCCCCTGACTGAGTGCTTGCTCTCCACAGACGATCTCATTTAGTCCTTATGTGAGATCTATTTCATTGCCCCTCTTTTACAGATGAGGAAAGTGTGGTTCAGAGAGGTTAAGTAAATTTCTTAAGGCCACCCAGCTAATAAGTCATAGATCCAGAATTTGAACTTAAGGAAATCAAATTTTAGATCCTATGCACTGCTTGATAACCCCCTCCCCTTTTTTTTTCCTTTTCTTTTTGAGATGGAGTCTCACTCTGTTGCCCAGGCTGGAGTGCAGTGACATAATCTTGGCTCACTGCAACCTCCACCTCCTAGGTTCAAGCAATTCTCCTGCCTCAGCCTCCTGAGCAGCTGGGATTACAGACACCCGCCACCACACCTGGCTAATTTTTGTATTTTAGTAGAGATGGGATTTCACCATGTTGGCCAGGCTGGTCTTGAACTCCTGACCTCAGGCTATCCACCCATCTCGGCTTCCCAAAGTGCTGGGATTGCAGGCATGAGCCACTGTGTCCGGTCACCTTTTTTTTCAGATGAAGTCTTGCTCTGTCACCCAGGCTGGAGTGCAGTGGCGCGATCTCAGCTCACTGCAACCTCCACCTCCCAGGTTCAAGTGATTCTCATGCCTCAGCCTCCCATGTAGCTGGGACTACAGGCAGGCAACGCCATGCTCAGCTAATTTTTATATTTTTAGTAGAGATGGGGTTTCACCATGTTGTCCAGGCTGGTCTTCAACTCCTGACTCAAGTGATCGACCTGCCTCGGCCTCCCAAAGTGCTGGGATTACAGGCGTGAGTCACGGCGCCCAGCCTGATACCTGTTTTTTGTTTGTTTGTTTGTTTGTTTGTTTGTTTTTGTTTTTGAGACGGAGTCTCGCTCTGTCGCCCAGGCTGGAGTGCAGTGGTGCGATCTCGGCTCACTGCAAGCTCCGCCTCCCGGGTTCAGGCCATTCTCCTGCCTCAACCTCCCAAGTAGCTGGGACTACAGGCGCCCGCCACCAAGTCTGGCTAATTTTTTTGTACTTTTAGTAGAGACGGGGTTTCACCGTGTTAGCCAGGATGATCTCGATCTCTGACCTCAGGTGATCCACCTGCCTCAGCCTCCCAAAGTGCTGGGATTACAGGCATGAGCCACCGTGCCCGGCCCAGCCTGATACCTGTTTTTAACAAAGGAGAGGAGAAAAGAGGAGACAAGGACGATCCGCACAAGCCTTGCTTGCCTGCCCTTACTTGGCATCAGAATCCTTGTTAGTTATTTTGCTCCAAATGACCCATTTGGATTTTTTTCAAAACTCACTCAGTGAAATCTTGCTCACAGATTCTGTTCTTTATCTAAAATTTTGGAATTTCGCTCATCTTGGACTTTTGTTGGGCACTGAGCAATTGTATGTATTACTGGTTAAATATCACAAATCCAAAATGCTCCAAAGGCTGAAGCTTTCTTGAACACCCACATGACACTCAAAGGAAATGCTCACTGGAGATTTCAGATTTCAGGTTTTCAAATTCAAGTATAATGGAAATATTCCAAAATCTGAAAATATTCCAAAACCGAAGTACTTCTGGCTCCAAGCATTTCAGATCAGGAAATGTTGAACCTCATTTAATCCATAACAACTCAGGTGAACATTCCTTCCATTTGACAGATTAGACATAAAAGGTGAGTAATTTGTCCAAAGCCGCATAGCTAAAAAGTGGCAGAGCAAAACATTGCAATGAAATATTATTTATCTTGATTACTGAGTTTTTTTTACAGCCCCTTAAATTTTCTGCCTCCCTCTAGTCCCAGCCCTGCCTGTCTGGTGGCTAATGAGATGTTTTAAAAGGTCCTAAAAAGTAAATAAATTAAATAGCTGGGTTGGGGGTTTTGCCCTCCCTACTATGCATTTCTCCCCAGCAAAAACCATGTCTCTTTTATCTTTTTGTCCCCAGTTGTTCACACACAGAAATGTATCAAGCCAAAGCAAAATCTCTGATTATCAGCATGTTTCACCCTGTTCAGAAATTTTAACAAATAATGCTCATAGTCAAAAGATGACAATGATGGATGAAGACCAAAAGATAGGTCATTGATTATGTAGCTGTTTCAACTTATTAGGAAAGAAAGACCAGCATTTAAACAATAAAAGCCCTAGAAAATAATACTCATAAACAGGACTTAGAAATAAGAAAGGGTGGCCTGGCACAGTGGCTCATGTCTATAATCCCAGCACTTTGGGAGGCCAAGGCAGGTGGATCACCTGAGGTCAGGAGTTTGATACCAGCCTGGCCAACATGGTGAAAACCCCATCTTTACTAAAAATACAAAAATTAGCCGGGCATGGTGATGCATGCCTATAATCCCAGCTACCTGGAAGACTGAGACAGGAGAATTGCTTGAACCCGGGAGGCGAAGGTTGCAGTGAGCCGAGATTGTGCCACTGCACTCCAGACTAAGCAACAAAGCGAGACTCCACCTCAAAAGAAAGAAAGAAAGAAAGAAAGAGGAAAGGGAGCACATGTAGACATTTTGCCTGATGATTTGCAGTTATTGCAGCTAGATATAGAAAAATACTGATTTACAGTTTTGAAGGAAGGACTGACAGAGACAAAGAAAAGCACATTACTCATAATAATCCTAATAACAGTAGTGAGAGTTTACCCTTTGAGGAATTCCAGGCTATGTCAGGAGAACAGTGCATCTGTTTGGGAACCAGCATGAAATTTTGGCAGCTTTGGGTCAAAAGCGACTGTGTCTAACAAAAGCAGGAATAATGACAATTAACAATATGCACAGAACACTCAGCTAAACATGTTATATGCATTCACTCATTTAATCTTGCTAGGTGAATATTGCTCCCTATTACAAAAATGCAAACCTTTGCCCAAAAGTCTCCTAGCTAGAAAAAGGCAGAGCAGAGATTTGAACCAAAACATAACACCCCTCATGACCATTTAAACCAAGGGGAAAAAAAATCAGTTACTTGATTTTTATTTTTTTAGAGGCGGAGTCTCACTCTGTCACCCCCGCGAGGGTGCAGTGGCATGAACATAGCTCACTGCAGCCTGGAACTTCTGGCCTCAAGGGATCCTCCCACCTCAGCCTCCCGAGTAGCTGGGACTACAGGTTCGTGCCACCACCCCCAGCTAATTTTTATGTTTATTTTTGTAGAGACGGGCTGTTGCTTTGCTGCCCAGTCTAGTCTCAAACTCCTCACCACAAGTGACCTCCTGCCTTGGCTTCCCAAAGGGCTGGGATTACAGACATGAGCTGCCATGCCCGGCCCAGTTACTTGATTTTTTTTGTTTTTTTGTTGTTTTTGGTAAAACTTCCCTACATTCCTGATGGCTTGATTATTTCTCATACCCTTTTGTTGGCTTCTCCTGAAGCCTAAACTATTAGCAATAGACTAGTAGAATCTTCTAGGCTGGTACAAAACTTAAGATAACTTTCACATGCAAGTATTATGGGGGGAAATATGGCTGACACTTTTAAAAAAAGGACCGAAAACCTTCTCAGCTCATTGTGGGTCTTTTAATTCTTCCCAGAAGATAATAAAATCCTACTGACCCTAAACCAAGCTGCTCAGTAAAATAATAAAAGGAAACCAGTTGCCCATACTGTGATTCTGACTTGCAGCCCAGGGTACACAATCTTAGCAAGTGGTACCAGGGGATCTTCCTTAGATGAGTCTGAAAACCGAAAGGTAGAGGAAAGCCACTGGACATCCCTCAGCAAAACCCAGCCACCAAAGGAAAGAAACACAGCTGAAGCAGATGGCAGGTTTCCTGGTAAATTGCAGAAACATAAATTGCATAATCTCTCCCACAAAACTGTGCGAGGGTGTGCACCTACTAGCAAATTGCATCAGTCCCAGATATGCATTTTTTTTCACATTTTTACATCTCAGATATTAGGCCTACGTCTTAGAATCAAAGGCATATCACAGATTGGTTAGTATAAGTTTTTCTTTCTTTATAGTACCTAAAAATAATTCTAAAATGTACAGTTTGTAGTATCTTGGATTCAATGAAATAATACATTGAAAAATCAATCACCTGTGTGATTCTGCTTAAAAAAAAATCCTAGTTTATATCTACATAATCTGTTTTAGGAGATTAAACATCAGTACATATGTTGCCTCATAATAGAGAAAAACAAAGGCTATCAGGCCAAAATATGCAAACAAGTCACAGTAAAAATAGATACGTGGATTCCAGCCTTAAATTGCTTATGAAAGAAGCGAAGCTTAATTGTTTGGTTAATGCACTGCTGTCTTGTCCAGCCATGCATAATTTTAAACCTGCTGAAGATGATTTGGTTAGAATATGAGAGTCACTTCATTTTTCATATTAGCTTGCAAAAGTTTTGTCTCCATTCAGCACCAGAAGCTGCGTACACAATAGCATGCATGAATCTTGTGTATCAGTGAAGAGAGCCCCTTGAACTCCGCCTTACGGGAACAAAGAGTTTCCAAGATGCATCAGAGTAGCAGATGTTGAGTTATCTGAAGGGTCAGAATGCCAATTAGATATTGAACATGGCAGGAGGAGGGTGGAGTTTCCAAAACAAATGAAAGATGAATGGGAGCGGTCCCCGAGTTTAGGCTTAGGTCCTGCTGTTCTTTTGTACAATGATTTGTGGCAAATTTGTTTTGTCACTGAGGCATAGTTCCCCCTGGGTCTTAAAGTGATTTTGTAATCACCAAAAGATTTTTTTTTCTTTAAAATATACTTTTCCTGATCAAAACAGGATATAGTACCTTAAAAATAAATTTGAGTAAGCCACATATTATCTATGTGAGGGATGACGAAGAAGAGTCCTACATGAAAAAATAGAAGACAGAAGCAGTCAAGAGGGAGGGAATCATTCCACTAAAAAAAAAAAATTAGGTAGAAATCCAAAAGAATTCAGGGGATCATTTTTTCACACTTTAAAAAAGATAAAAACTTATTTGGTCTAGCAATTTACGAATTTTGCTGATTTTTCAGTTTCATAGGGTAAAGGTATAATTTTAAATCTAAGAAGCCTACAAATGAGAAAAAATGTGGGAAACCTGAGATGCAAAATGCTCCCATGGTTAATTATGTATTTGTATCGGTGTTACCATCATAAATCATCCTTAGAGAAACAAAACCAAGTAGTTAAGAGGACAGACACAATGGCGTTCTGTTTAAATAATTTCATTTGGTCCTTGAAATACTTTTGGCTATTTTTTCTCTCGAAACCACCCACATTTAGTAAAATTATATCACTGAGTAGACCCTACCCTGTTCTCTCTCCTGACTCCTGGCGAGTACTAGACCGTGGAATACCAAAGGCAAACCGGCAAAAAAGGAAATTGGGATTGCATTGATTTAAATCAGTCAGTGCTGCGACCAAATTATTTAGTTCTCTCTTGACCTTTGGAGGTCAAATTTGACTATTTACGCTATCTGCTAATGCTTTACTATTTTTCATTGCTTTGCCTGTTAACAATTCTGACCTGCAGCCTTTCCAGCCTGCAGGGTCGTTATATTAAACAATCGCTAATTGCTCCCGAAACATATGCTCCTGTTTTAAAATGCCATTTGAGTCCAAGCCCAACCAAAACCCATACATTTGTTTCACGAATGAAAACAAAATGTAAGCATTTTGATATTTCTGAGAAGCCAAACATCGTCAGATTTGAGTGATAAGGTGGAAAATAACCTCTTCCTCAAATTAACATGGAAATGGCTTAGAATAAAGACTATTCCTAAAAAACGAATATTAAAGGCAACACATACTCTCCTGTAATCACATTGTCAAATATGCTACTTTAACATTCCTGCAGAGAAATATGCTTTTATCCTTCCTAAAGATCTTAAATGCAAGAATATTATATGACATTTTCTTCCTCTTCATTTGTCTATCCTACAAATATGAGTGTCTGATGCTGATGATCCTGGTATAGAGGGGTGAGCTAGATAGGCAGAATTCTCTGAAATTGGACTTTTTGTTATCTGTATTGAAAATGTTACATTTGTTAAAGAACAAACGAGAGACAAACAGAGATGTTCACATTTCCAATGTTTACCATGAAGAGAGGTGAACACGAAGTTGTTTGTCAAGGAGCATGGTTTGCTTTCCAAAATTTATCTTAGATTGTATTTGAGACAAAAAGAACTTCTTTACTGCCCACAAGAGAAAAGATAAGTAATTCATTTCAGATCAAAATAGCCAGAGAAAAAGAGCAAATTAAGATAACTCAGCTAAAATAATGATAATAATAATACGGCTAATAATAACAATAATAACCCAGCTAATAATAATAATAATAATACAGCTAAACCATGCGATTGAAATTTCATGCAGGAATTTCCAGCAGTTTGGCTGGGGGTGGTGCATGCTGCTTTCAGCCCCCAGTGGTGGATCAGGGATATGTGATGTCAACATAATCTAGCAAAATCTCTGCTCTCGGTGATGCTGCTGTATGTAAACAAGTGAAATACAACAGGAAAGTCGTTCCCCATCAACTTCCTGGTTTCCTGCTCTTTACATTCTGACACGTAAACCTCTAATTCATTTCAGAATGCAAAGGTCACCGCAAAAAATCTGAGGCTAAATATACCCTTTTGTCCAGCAGAAGGATCACAGAGATCTTTTTTTTCTTTTTACCATAATGTGGCCATGGCCAGGTGTTTCCCATGTTTGCCTAACCGCATTGGGAGTGTGTTTACAGATCTGAAAAATAGCCTTCAACACTCATTTAAAATATACTTTTTAGCTGGAATAATTGTTAGAAGTATAGAAAAGTTGCAAAGTTAATACAGAGAGCTCCTGTCACCTCACTTCCCCTAACAGTAACATCTTGCCTACCAAGGGTACATTTGTCCAAACTAAGAAATTAATATTGGACAAAGACTATTAACTAAACTCCAGGCTTCCTGGATTTCCCCAGTTTTTCCACTAATATCCTTGTCTAGGATCAAACCCAGACTACCATGTTACATTCAGGCTATTATAAACTTGCAAATTCAAATATTTTTGTGACTTATCTCTCAAAAAATTTATTTGCGATTTATCTCTCAAGAAAATTATTGTCTCTTTAAATTACTTTAACTTAAAAATATGTGGGAGGCTGAGGCAGGCGGATCACGAGGTCAGGAGATCGAGACCATCCTGGCTAACACGGTGAAACCCCGTCTCTACTAAAAATACAAAAAATTAGCCAGGTGTGGTGGCGGGCACCTGTCGTCCCAGCTACTCGGGACGCTGAGGCAGGAGAGTGGCGTGAACCCGGGAGGCGGAGCTTGTAGTGAGCTGAGATGGTGCCACTGCCCTCCAGCCTGGGCGGGCGACAGAGTGCCACTCCGTCTCAAAAAAAAAAAAAAAAAAACGGACGCCAGGCATGGTAGCTCATGCCAGTAATCACAGCACTTTGGGAGCTGAGGTCAGAAGACAGCTTGAGTCCAGGAGTTCAAGACCAGCCTGGGCAACATAGGGAGACCCCATCTCTTTAAAATAAAAATAAAAATATGGGCCAGGCACAGTGGCTCGCGCCTATGAATCTCAACAAAATTAAAAAATGATATTAAGAGGCTTTTTTTTTTTTTTGAGACAGAGTTTCACTCCTGTTGCCTAGGCTAGAGTGCAATGGCACGATCTTGTCTCACTGCAACCTCTGCCTCCCGGGTTCAAGAAATTCTCCTGCCTCAGCCTCCCGAGTAGCTGGGATTACAGGCATGCACCACCACACCCGGCTAATTTTGTATTTTTTTTTTTTTTAGTAGATAAGGGGTTTCTCCATGTTGGTCAGGCTGGTCTCCAACTCCCGACCTCAGGTGATCTGCCCGCCTCGGTCTCCCAAAGTGCTGGGATTACAGGCGTAAGCCACCATGACTGTCCCTATTAAGAGGCATTTTAGGAGTAAAAAGAAATCTGAATTTATTTTAATGATTTGGATCTAGATGGCAAAAGAATTCACATTTTACAGACACATTTATTTATTTATTTATTTATTTATTTATTTATTTATTTATTTATTTATTTATTTAATTTTGAGACGGAGTCTCGCTCTGTCGCCCAGGCTGGAGTGCAGTGGCGCGATCTGGGCTCACTGCAAGCTCCGCCTCCCGGGTTCACGCCATTCTCCTGCCTCAGCCTCCCGAGTAACTGGGACTACAGGCGCCCGCCACGACGCCTGGCTAATTTTTTGTATTTTTTAGTAGAGACGGGGTTTCACCGTGTTAGCCACGATGGTCTCGATCTCCTGACCTTGTGATCCACCCGCCTCGGCCTCCCAAAGTGCTGGGATTACAGGCGTGAGTCACCGCGCCCAGCCCAGACACTTATATTTAAACAGGATACATATTTTATCAGTTGAGAAATTTACTTTATCCAAATAAGGAATTAAATTGTTTTCAAATTCAAAGAAGAAAAGAATAAGAGATATCTTTAGAGAGTAGAACCATAAGATACCATTTCTCACCCATCACATTTGCACCAATTAAAAAGATTGATAATATTTTTGGCCAAGTTTCCTAGCTTCTTTGTACCTCAGTTTTCCTCTCTGTAAAATGGAGACAATCATTGCTCTTACCCATGGAGAAGGAAGATAGAAGCGTGGTTTACAGTAAGGATTCTATAACCGGACTTTCTGATCCAACCTGGCCTGTCCCACTTCTTGGCTGTCGGATCCTGGAGAAATTACTAGACCTAAGGTTTCATGCTTGAGTTTCTCATCTGTAAAATGATAATAATAATAATAATATCCACCCCAGAGGATTTTTACAAGGACTAAGTGAGATGATGTACATAAAACACTTAGGGCCCGGGGTGGTGGCTCACACCTGTAATCCCAGCACTTTGGGAGGTTGAGGTTGGCAGATCAGCCGAGGTCAGGAGTTCAAGACCAGCCTGGCCAACATGATGAAACCTTGTCTCTACTAAAAATACAAAAACTAGCCAGGCATGGTGGCATGCGCCTGTAATCCCAGATACTCGGGAGCCTAAGGCAGGAGAATTGCTTGAACGCGGAGGTTGCAGTGAGCTGAGATGGCGCCATTGCACTCCAGCCTGGGTGACAAGAGCAAAACTCTGTCTCAAAAAACAGAAAACAAAACAAAACAAAAACACTTAGGACAGTGTTCAGCATGTCCTATATAATCATTTCCTATAATCACTTACTATTATCATTTTCTGATTTATCTAAGAATTAATTAGATTAACACATGTAAAGGGCTTAGAACATAGTGTTAATTAATGTTAGTTCTAATTATCCAGTGTTGATGAGGAAAGACAAGAAAAGGGCATTCTACTTTTGGAACTCAAATTTGTAGCAACTCTGATAAAAAGTTTACATTTGATCCACAATTCTGCTTCTGGGAATCTAGCCTACAGAAATTCCTGCACAAGTGTATAAATATGTGTATAAGATGCTCATTGTGGCATGATTCATAAAATCACTCCCATTTGTCCCCCACAAAAGGAAAAAATACGACAACTTATGTTTTCATCAACTTGAAAATAGTAAAATGGCCAGGTGCGGTGGCTCAGGCCTGTAATCCCAGCACTTTGAGAGGCCGAGATGGGCAGATTGCTGGAGCTCAGGAGTTGAGACCAGCCTGGGCAACATGGTGAGACCCCGTCTCTACCAAAAATTAGGCGGGCATGGTGGTGTGTGCCTTTGGTCCCAGCTACTCAGGAGGCTGAGATGGGAGGATCGTTTGAGCCTGGGAGGTGGAAGTTGCAGTGAGCAGAGATTGCACCATTGCATTCCAGCCTGGGTGACAGAGCCAATCATGTCCAAATAAAAAAAAAAAAAAAAGGAGAGAGAGAATAGTAAAATGAATATTGGGTAGCCATCAAAGGGAATGAGATATGTTTTTATTTGCATACATGGACATCAACGGATATATATGATACATTCATTGTTCTTTCATTTATCCATTTGTTGATTATAATAAATTTTATTTATTTTATTTATTTATTTGAGACAGAGTCTCACCCTGTTGCCCAGGCTGGAGTGCAATGGCATGATCTTGGCTCACTGCAACCTCTGCCTCCTGGGTTCAAGCGTGCCACCACACCCAAAGGTATCTTTGGTAGAGATGAGGTTTCACCATGTTGGCCAGGCTGGTCTCGAACTCCTGACCTCCAGTGATCTCCCTACCTTGGCCTCCCAAAGTGCTGGGATTACAGGCGTGAGCCACCGTGCCCGGCCAATAATAAATATTTATTGAGTGTCTATTAGGTGCCAGACTCTGCTTTAGGTGCTGGGGACACACATTATGAAAGACAGACACAATTTCTGCCACCATGGAGCCAGCATTCTAGGAAGGGCGCAACCAGCAAACAAGCTAAGAAGCATCTGCCCACGTGTCAGAGAGGAGACCTGCAAAAAAAAACTAAAAAAGTCACACCGGGTAAGAAGAGGAGGTGGAGGCCGGGCGCGGTGGCTCACGCCTGTAATCCCAGCACTTTGGGAGGCCCAGGCAGGCAGATCACGAGGTCAGGAGATTAAGACCATCTTGGCCAACATGGTGAAACCCTGTCTCTACTAAAAATACAAAAATTAGCTGGGTGTGGTGGCGCATGCCTGTAATCCCAGCTTCTTGGGAGGCTGAGGCAGGAGAATCGCTTGAACCCAGCGGGTGGAGGTTGCATTGAGCCGAGATTGCGCCACTGCACTCCAGCCTGGCAACAGAGTGAGAGTGAAACTCCATCTAAAAAAAAAAGGAGGAGTTAGAAGAGGAAATGGTTTACAGAGGGAAGTCAGGGAGCTCCCTTTTAAGGAGAAGATATGCTCAGATTTTAATACATCCAGGGATGCAGGTCTACAGATACCTGGGGGAAGACTGTTCCAGAAAGAAAGAACAGCAGGTGCAAAGTTTGTGGTTTGGAGTTCAGCACTGAATGAAAAAGATGTGAAAGAAGATGTGGACCAGGCACAGTGGCTCATGCCTGTAATCTCAACACTTTGGGAGGCCTAGATGGGAGGATTGCTTGAGTCCAGGAATTCAAGACCAGCCTGGGCAACATAGTGAGATCCTGTCTCTACAAAAAATACAAAACATTAGCCGGGCATGATGGTGTGTGCCTGTAGTCCTAGCTACCTGGGAGGCTGAGGTGGGAGGATCACTTAAGCCCAGGAGTTCAAGGCTGCAGTGAGCCATGATTGTGTGATATGGTTTGGCTGTGTCCCCAGATCTCACCTTGAATTGTAACAATCCCCACGTGTCAAAAGCAGGGCCAGGTGGAGATAACTGAATCAGCGATTTCCCCCATACTGTTCTCATGATAGTGAATAAGTCTCACGAGATCTCATGGTTTTATAAATGGGAGTTCCCATACACAAGCTCTCTTTCCTGCCACCATGTATGATGTGCCTTTGCTTCTCCTTTGCCTTCTGCCATGATTGTGAGGCCTGCCCAGCCACATGGAACTGTGAGTCCACTAAACCTCTTTCCTTTATAAATTACCCAGGTATGATTTTATTAGCAGCGTGAGAACAGGCTAATACATCTGCCACTGCACTCCAGCCTGGGTGACAAAGCAAGAACCTGTCTCAAAAAAAAAAAAAAAAAAGGAAAATATGTGTAGGCTTCTATTTTTGAAAAGGGGAGAAAAAGAGATAAAGATGTAAGTAGATAGACTGACAATGTAACAAAGGTCTGTAATAGAAAAGGCTGCAGCAGAATATGCCACACTGTTGATAAGTGTTTGCCGCAGGGCGCGGAACTAGGGAGAGAATCTTTCAGGTCTTCCTTTATAAACATCTAATTGTTTCTATGTTTCCAATGAGCATGTATGATTTGTAATTTAGAGAGCAAACAAAATAATTTTTTAGAGTTCTAGAAGAAAAGTAGTCTTTTCCTAAAATAGGACAGAGTTTTTAACAGCAGCACTGTTGACACTTGCAGTGGATGATTTGGTGGGGAGAGAGCTGTCGTGCGTCTTGTATGATGTGTTTAGTAGCATCTCAGCTTCTACCTGCTAGATCCTAGCAGCATCCTCCAATCGTGACAACTAAAAATGACTCCAAACATTGCCATACGTCCTCCAGCGCAGGCGTCCCCAACCCCGGGCCACAGACCAGTAGGAACCAGGCCACACAGCAGGAGGTGAGCGGCAGGCAAGTGAGCAAAGATTCATCTGTATTAACTGCGGGCATTAGATTCTCATAGGAGCACAAACCCTATTGTGAACTGCACATGCAGGGGATCTAGGATGCACACCACTTATGAGAATCTAATGCCTGAAGATCTGTCACTGTCTCCCATCACCCCCAGATGGGACCATCACATTGCAGGAAAACAAGCTCAGGGCTCCCACTGATTCTAAATTATAGTGAGTTGTATAATTATTTCATTATATATCACAATGTAATAATCATAGAAATAAAATGCACAATAAATGCAATGTGCTTAAATCACCTTGAAACGATCCTCCCGCCCCCCCAACCCCAGTCTGTGGAAAAACCGTCTTTCACAAAACCAGTCCCTGGTGCCAAAAACATTGGGGACTGCTGCTCTAGGGGTCAAAATACCCACACACCCTCTACCACCCCTGAGATCCACTGGTCTAGGGTAAAGCTTGGACTCCGGAGGCAGCTGACTAGGTTCAAATCTCAACTGTGTCCCTTGCAAGCTGTGGAACCTGTGATTTCTCCTTTCGGTGCCTCAGTTTCCTCACCTGTAAAATAGGCATAATTATATTGTCTTCCTGGGCTTTCTCTGAGGGTGAAAGGAGCCAGTTGATGTGGTATGCTTAGGACAGGGCATGGTAGGTGCCAGCTGTTATCACTGATGTCCATCAGCATCCCCCACTGTCTGTGACTCCTTCAACAGGACAGACCAAAGCCTCTTTGCTTTCACCCTCAGGCTCCCTGACAAGCAGCCCTTCCCAGCCCCAGACTCTGCCCCTGGGAATAGAAACTCAGATGGGGAACAAGGGGAGGAAAAGACTCATTGTTCAGGCTGGGTAGACACCCTCCTTAAGTGCTTCCTGCATCTTTTGTGTAAGGGGAAAAGTGAGATTTATATGATCTGAAAGTGGGTGTGTACCTGCGGGGATAGTTTTCTTCCCATAAGTGTTTCTAAACATGCCTGTGTGTGCCTTTACCAAAGGGTCATTGACCACAAAATCGTTTTGGCCACATTTCCTCCTTCCCCAACCTCTGTTGCTCACACGCACAAACACACACACATAGACTCTCCCTACAATGGATAAGATAAAATATTCACATATAAGTGTAATACATTATATAAGATATAAAAACTGAAACGTAAAAGATACACGAACATTGACAGTGATGTGCTGCATAACGACATTTCAGTCAATTGACTGAAATGAGATAGACACACAGACACACACACAGACACAAATACCCCCACAGACACCCACACAGAAACACACACAAACACAAAAAATAGCTTCTTTCCCCAAAGCAAACTGCATTCCTCTATGCGGCCGGCTCACCCCCAACCCCATCTGGTCCGCATTTTGCTTTGGTGGAAATTAGAAACCACATCACTTTTACTTATGTTTGAGACTGCCTTTTGTTTACTTAGATTTCTCCTTCCCACATACATGGCTTTTTGTTTCTCTTCAATTTTTTTGACTGTCCTCATTATGTTTTCCTTAAAAAGGAATAATATTTCTGTTCTGAGAAATGTGTCATTTGGCGATTTCACTGTTGTGGGAACATTTTAGATTGTACTTACACAAACCTAGATGGTGTAGCCTACGGCAAACTCAGGCTAGAGAATATGGCCTATTGTTCCTAGGCTACAAACCTGCACAGCATGTGCCTGTTCTGAATACCATAGGCAGTAGTGACACAGTAGTATTTGTGCCTTCAAACCTATCTAAACGTAGAAAAGGTACAGTTAGGATACAGTATAATAGGCCGGGCACGGTGGCTCACGCCTGTAATCTCAGCACTTTGGGATGCCAAGGTGGGCAGATCATGAGGTCGGGAGTTCAAGACCAGCCTGGCTAACACGGTGAAATCCCATCTCTACTAAAAATACAAAAATTAGCCGGGTGTGGTGGTGGGTGTCTATGATTGCAGCTACTCAGGAGGCTGAGGCAGGAGATTCTCTTGAACCTGGGAGGTGGAGGTTGCAGTGAGCTGAGATCGCGCCACTGCACTCCAGCCTGGGTGACAGAGCAAGACTCTGTCTCGAAAAAAAAAAAAAAGATACAGTATAATAATTCTTTTTCTTTCTTTCTTTCTTTCTTTTTTTTTTTTTTTTTGAGACACAGTCTTACTCTGTCCCCCAAGATGGAGTGCAGCGTGGTGCAATCACAGCTCATTGCAGCCTCAACCTCCATGGCTCAAGGGATCCTCCTGCCTCAGCCTCCCAAGTAGCTAGGACTACACCTATTTTTTATATACCTTTAATATAAATAGTTGGCTGGGCACAGTGGCTCACGCCTATAATCCCAGCACTTTGGGAGGCTAAGGCCAGCAGATCACGAGGTCAGGAGTTCAAGACCAGCCTGGCCAACATAGTGAAACCCCGTCTCTACTAAAAATACAAAAACTAGCTAGGCATGGTGGCACGCGCCTGTAGTCCCAGCTACTCGGGAGGCTGAGGCAGGAGAATGCTTGAACCCAGGAGGCAGAGATTGCGGTGAGCCGAGATGATGCCACTGCACTCCAGCCTGAGCAACAGAACAAGACTCCATCTTAAAAATATATATGTGTGTGTGTGTGTAAGTAAATAGAAATAGTCAAAATGCCAAAACAGCATATTTTAATGCCTTCACCATAAACACAGTATTTGTTTATATTTAATAAATAACACTTTATTATATTTAAATATATAACACATTACATGGCTTGCTTGTTTTTTTTTGAGACAGTCTCGCTCTGTCACCCATGCTGGAGTGCAGTGGTGCGATCTTGGTTCACTGCAACCTCCGCCTTCCAGGCTGAAGCGATTCTCCTGCTTCAGCCTTCCGAGTAGCTGGGAGTACAGGCGTGCACCACCATGCCTAGCTACCTTTTTTTTTTTTTTTTTTAGTAGAGATGGGTTTCCACCACCCTGTCAACCAGGCTGGTCTCAAACTCCTGACCACAGGTGATCTGCCTGCCTTGGCCCCACAAAGTGCTGGGATTACCACACCCAGCCATATTACATGTTTTATATTATGGATATGTGTGTATTTATTTATTTAGAGACAGGGTCTTGCTCTGTCGCCCAGACTGGAGTGCAATGCCACAATCACAGCTCACTGCAGCCTTGACTTCTTGGGCTCAAGCAATCCTCCCAATTCAGCCTCACAAATAGCCGGGACCACAGGCGTGCACTATTATACCTGGCTAATTTGTATTTTTATTTTTTGCAGATGAGGGTCTTACTGTGTTGCCCAGGCAGGTCTTCAACTCCTAGCCTCAACTGATTCTCCTGCCTTGGCCTCCAAAAGTGCTGGGATTATAGGAATAAGCCACCATACCCAGCCGATGTATATATTTAAAATGTGTACATTTAAAGCAGTGGTTCTCAACCAAGGACAATTTTTGCCTCCCTCCACTCCACCCCCTAGGACATTTTTAATGTCTGGAGACATTTTTTGTTGTCGCAAGTTGGGGTGACGCCGCTGGCATCCAATGTGTACAGAGCAGGGATGCTGCTAAGCGTCCTTTGCTCAGAACAGCCCCAACCACAAAGAATTATCTGATTCAAAATGTCAGTACTGCAGACACCGAGAAACTGATTTAAACAAGCAAATACCACACAACTATTAAAATAGTATCTAACATATGCTAAGTGCTGAGAATTTTACATTTATCATCTCCTTTTAATCTTTTTACAGCACTTTGAAAGGGGTAGAGACTCTTCTGTCATTCCTATTTGCAGACGAAGAAATTAAGGCAGACAGAGTAAGGGACCTTGCCCAGGATCACACAGCTAGTGAAAGGCAGAGTCAGGATTTGAACCCAGGCTCATCTGAATCCAGAGGCCAGGATCTTACCTACTGTGCTGTTTGGCCTTGGAAAGCTGCCTTGGGTAATTTGTTAGGCAAAAACAGGTGAGTGTTACACAAATTAATAAACATGATTCTGTTATTGGAAAAGAACAAACATTAGTGTGTACATTGCAGAAAAATCAAACAGGATGAATATGCATTATGCTTTTGCCAGTGGTCCCTCTCAGTAGCATCAGTTTAGGGAGGCGTGGTCAGACACGTCACACACAAACACATCCCCTTCGTCTCCCATGGTAGCATCTCAGTGCAAGTTGCACATTTTCCACAAAGCACTTAGTACATCATATAATTTTATATTGCCTTGTGAGACTCTTTAATACCTTTCACTCTTACTATACTGTTGGCTCCTTGAGAACAGCTTCTGTGCCTGTTGTTTGCTTGTTTCCTCGGTTGAATCCTCTGGTTAGCCCAGAGCCCAGCATAGGAAGAATTCTCAATGGATATTTACCAGATAGATAGGCAAATGGATGCTTGGGGTGAGACCATGGGAGACCTCTCCTTCCTACATGATAGACTACTAGAATGTTTGAATTTATTTACATCAAATGCATTCTTTTTAAAATCAGAAAAAAAAATACCGTTTTTAAACACAAATTGGGGTTCATCCATACAATAAAATATAGTACAGCCTATAAAAGTAAAGTTGTAGGTATAGATTTAATGCATGGAATCCCTATTGTTGCATTTGTTTTTTTTTGTTTGTTTGTTTTTTTGAGACAGAATTTCGCTCTTGTTGCACATGCTGGAGTGCAATGGTATGTTCTTGGCTCACTGCAACCTCTGCCTCCCAGGTTCAAGCAATTCTCCTGCCTCAGCCTCCTAAGTAGCTGGGATTACAGGCATGTGCCACCATGCCCAGCTAATTTTGTATCTTTAGTAGAGACAGGGTTTCTCCATGTTGGTCAGGCTGGTCTTGAACTCCCGACCTCAGGTGATCCTCCCGCCTCGGCCTCCCAAAGTGCTGGGATTACAGGTGTGAGCCGCCACATCCGGCCGCACTTTTCTAATTTTTCTACAATGAACATGTAATTCACTTCGTAGCACAGTCAGTTCTATAAGATGACACATGCATTCCTAAAAATCACTGTGCAAAGAACATTGTACAGTAAAAACCACAGGGCTTATGGAAAAATAGGGGTAGTGGCCTACACTCAAAAACCTCATCAGTGACACATTTTTTAAAAGATGAGAACTTAACAAAAATCATGGCCAGGCACGGTGGGTGGCTCACACCTGTAATCCCAGCACTTTGGGAGGCCAAGGCGAACAAATTGTTTGAGCTCAGCAGTCGGAGACCAGCCTGGGCAACATGGTGAAACCCTGTCTCTACTAAAAATACAAATATGTGACTGTGATCCCAGCTACTTGAGAGGCTAAGGTGTGAGGACTGCTTGAGTGTGAGAGGTCAAGGCTGCAGTGAGCCATGATTGCACCATTGCATGTCAGCCTGGGTGACAGAGCAAGACCCTGTCTCAAAATACACACACACACACACACAATAAAAATTTTAGCACAGTTTTACACATATTAAATTCCTCAAAAGTATATAAACGCTAAGATTAATGGCACTTTACTTTTAAAAAGTCCTCAAGTTTGCTTGTGGAAATATGATTCTAAAAAAATTGCAGCCTGTGGGCCATCGTGAAGCAATTGAGGATTATCTGAAATGAGACAGGCCAGGTATAGATGAGTGTGGCTCCTAACACGTGGTGAGCCAAGTCCCTGGAGATGTATAGGTGTGTGCATTTTGTGTATACCTATGTGATTCTGTTTACCTGGGTGCAGTTTTCAGTATTCAGCTAGTGTTTCCTGCAAATGAACTTGCACATAAGCAAATGCAAAATGTATGTTATGTTCATAGATGCTATTGCTCCCTAATATACCAGTCAATTGGAACAAATCTGTGTTTTCACAATAAAGGTTATAGCAGAACTGACTGCTAGAGCGGGGGAGGGCAGGAGCATCTCAAGTTATTGAAGTACAAATATTTCTGGATTATAATTTGAGTTTTCTGCTTTTCTGAACAGTTATATTCAGGTTTTACAGGAAAATAGTACAAGGGTTACATAGGTTTAAAAGTGACAATAGGAAACATCTGTGGAGCTTCTATTATGTGCTTTTCACATGCATGATCTTAATTAATCCTCCCCAGAACCTCTGAGGTAAGATCCACACTGAGGGACCTAAGGCTCAGAGGTTAGATGGCCTGCCCAAGGTCACACAGCTATGAAGCACCAGGGCCAAAATTCAAACCCAAGTCTTCCCTGAGCCAAGGCTTGCCTGTATTCTTTATTCTCTACTGTATTTCAGTTGGACATGATATTAGTAGTGATTTTAAGTAGCAAGCTATAAGAAGGACAGCATGAAGGACAGAGGAAGACCCAGGAAGCTGGACTTGAATGAGGCCATTCTGCCAGGAACACCAGGTAACATGAGGCCATCATCATGATCCTCAAGGACATGTCCAGTCCTACACACAGACTCTCAGATGTTGGATCAGCAAATCCTATCAACATCAAGACTTACAGACCTTGGCTGGGCGTGATGACTTACGCCTGTAATCCCTGCACTTTGGGAGGCCAAAGCAGGCGGATCACTTGAAGTCAGGAGTTCAAGACTAGCCTTGCCAACATGGTGAAACCCAGTCTACTAAAAATACAAAAATTAGCCAGGTGTGGTGGCATGCACCTGTAATCCCAGCTACTCATGAGGCTGAGACACAAGAATTGCTTGAACCCAGGAGGCGGAGGTTGCAGTGAGCTGAGATCACGCCACTGCACTCCAGCCTGGGTGATAGAGGGAGACTCTGTCTCCAAAAAAGAAAAAAAAAAAGTCTTGCAGACCAGAAAGGGCAGGTGGCAGCC
This sequence comes from Homo sapiens, assembly GCF_000001405.40. Taxonomy (NCBI): domain Eukaryota; kingdom Metazoa; phylum Chordata; class Mammalia; order Primates; family Hominidae; genus Homo; species Homo sapiens. Next base: position 51,989,885 of record NC_000020.11, on the reverse strand, counting down.
CTCCTTGCTGTTCAGAGCAGTGCTTTGCTTCCACCAGGCTTAAATAGGGTGCCACTGTTGAATACATTTCTTGGTTCATTTGGTTTATGGGATACACCAAGCCTCTGAATCATCTCAGAGGCAGTTTGGCATAGTGTGAAGAGCGTGGGCTACACACAAGCCTGGGGTTCAGCTCCAGCTTCACCCCTTGCTAGCTGTGTGACCTTGGGCAAGTAACTTCACCTCTCTGTTTCCTCATCTATAAAATGGGTAATAATAATAGAGTGGTTGTGAGGATTCAACAGGCTCTTCTGAACAAAGGACTTAGAAGAGTACTGGGCCACACTGATCTCCCACTACATGTAAATGAATGTAATAATTATGGCCACCCAGGGTTGTCCAATATAGCTCATAAATGAAATTTTGATCAGAAATAAAAGTTAGTACTGGGCGCAGTGGCTCATGCCTGTAATCCCAGCACTTTAGGAGGCCGAGGCGGGCGAATCATCTAAGGTCAGGAGTTTGAAACCGGCCTGGCCAACATGGTGAAACCCCGTCTCTACTAAAAATACAAAAATTAGCCGTGTGTGGTGGTGGGCACCTGTAATCCCAGCTACTCGAGAGTCTGAGGCAGGAGAATTGCCTCAATCTAGGAAGCGGAGGTTGCAGTGAGCTGAGATCATGCCACCGCACTCTACCCTGGATGACAAAGTGAGACTCTGTCTCAAAAAAAAAAAAAAAGAAAGAAAAGTTAGTGAAGTAGAATGGCATTATTTCTCAGCTGTTGTTACATAGATGCAGAAAATAGGTCCAGCTAGCGGTCTTCAAACTTTTAAAGTGATGCACCCCAGCAGTTATTAAATGTTTAGCCCTCTCTCCAATAGAGAAATGACTATTTATTTATAAACACTATGCATTTAGAATTCTACAACTCCAAACACTGCAATAGCTCCCATTTTCACACAAAGTAAGAGCCAAAGTCCTTACTAGCCATAAGAGCCCACCCTAGAGGAACCAGCTTCCTCTGACTTCCCCTACTCCCCTCAATATTCCCAGCTTCCTCTACTCCCGTCAATATTCATTCTGCTCCAGCCAGCTCTGGTCTCCCTGCCTCTTTCCCCACATCAGTCCTGCTCCCACCTTTGCCCGTCGCTCTGGCTGTTCCCTCTGCCCGGAAGCCTCATCCCCTGGAGTTCTGCAGACCTCACTCCCTCACTTTGTTTGAGTCTGCACAATTGTCACCTTCTCAATGAGGACAACCCCTGACCACATATGTAAAGTTACCACCACCTCCCTTCACTTCCACATCCCTTTCCTCATTTTTCTTTTTTACTGTGATAATTTATTGTATCAGCCAGACGCAGTGGCTCATGCCTGTAATCCCAGTATTTTGGGAGGCCGAGGCAGGTGGATCACCTAAAGTCAGGAGTTTGAAACCAGCCTGGCCAACATGGCAAAACCCCATCTCTACTAAAAATACAAAAATTAGCTCGGTGTGGTGGCGCGCACCTGTAGTCCCAGCTACTTCAGAGGCTAAGGCAGGAGAATTGCTAAGGCGGAGGTTGCAGTGAGCCAAGATCGTGCCACTGTACTCCAGCCTGGGTGACAGAGTAAGACTCTGTCTCAAAAAAAAAAAAAAAAAAAAAAAAAAAAAAACATAATTTATTGTATCTATTAACTTATTCTTTCTAATACACTATGTAATTGTTTTAGCTTATTCAGCCTGCTATAACAAATTACCATAGATTGGGTGGCTTTATTTATTTAATAGACAGGATCTCACTCTGTTACCAGGCTGGAGTACAGTAACATGATCCTGGCTCATTGCAGCCTCAACCTCCTGGGGTGAAGCAATCCTCCTGCCTCAGCCTCCCAAAGTGCTAGAATTACAAGCATGAGCCTCTGGCATGGCCTCTGGGTGGCTTAAAAAACAAGAATTTATCTGTCACAGCTCTGAAGGCTGAGAAGTCCAAGATGAAGGCACTGCCAAATCCAGTGTCTACTGAGGACCCACTTCCTGGTTCATAGCTGGCCACCTTCTAGTATCTTCACATAGCAGAGAGCAGAAAGCAAGAGCAAGCTCTTGTGTCTCTTCTAATAAGGGCCCTCATTCCATTCATGAGGCCTCCACCCTCATGATGTAATCACCTCTCAAAGGGCCCACCTCCTAATTCCATCACACTGGGGGTTAGAATTTCAGCATATGATTTTGGAGGGGCACAAACATTTAGTCCACAGCAGTAATGTAACTACTTATATTTATTATTTATTGTTTTTCCCTTCCTGCTAGGATGTAAGCCCCAAGAGGACAGGGGACTTTGTTTTATTTACCAGTATATCTCAGCCCATAGAACAGTGCCTGGCACATACTAGGTACTCAATAAATATTTATTGGCCGGGCGCAGTGGCTCACACCTGTAATCGCAGCACTTTGGGAGGCTGAGGTGGGTGGATCACCTGAGGTCAGGAGGTTAAGACCCGCCTGGCTAACATGGCACAACACCATCTCTACTACAAATACAAAAATTAGCCAGGTGCAGTGGTGCACCTGTAGTCCCAGCTTCTCAGGAGGCTGAGGCAGGAGAATTGCTTGAACCCGGGAGGCGGAGGTTGCAGTGAGCCAAGATCATGCTACTGCACTCCAGCCTGGGCGACAGAGCGAGACTCTGTCTCAAAAATAAATAAATATTTATTGAATTAAGCAATTGAATGACTAAATGAATTAATGAATATTTTATCTACATGAAACTCTGGGCTAAGCCCAGAAAGGCAATTATGTTTTGGTAGACAGTTCTAGTTATCAGCTGGGCCTGGCGGCTCACACCTATAATCCCAGCACTTTGAGAGGACGAGGCTGGAGGATTGCTTGACCTCAGAAGTTCTAGACCAGCCTGGGCAACATGGCAAAACTCTGTCTCTACAAACAACACAAAAAAATTATCCAGGTGATGTGGCACATGCCTATGGTTCCAGCTACTCAGGAGGCTGAGGTGGGAGGACTTCTTGAGCTTGGGAGGCAGAGGTTGCAGTGAGCCAAGATAGTGCCACTGCATTCCAGCCTGGGAGACAAAGGAAGACTCTGACTCAAAAAAATAATAAGAAAAAGAAAAAGGTTTTTTGTTTTTGGTTTTTTGTTTGTTTGTTTTTTTGAGACAGAGTCTCACTCTGTCACCCAGGCTGGAGTGCAGTGGTGTGATCTCAGCTCACTGCAACCTCCACCTCCCGGGTTCAAGAGATTCTCCTACCTCAGCTTCCGGAGTAGCTAGGACTACAGTTGCGCGCCACCACGCCCAGCTAATTTTTTTTTTATTTTTAGTAGAGACAGGGTTTCACTATGTTGGCCAGGCTGGTCTCGAACTCCTGACCTCAGGTGATACACCCGCCTCGGCCGCCCAAAGTGCTGGGATTACAGGAGTGGGCCACCACGCCTGGCCTGTTTTTTTTATTATTATTTTTTTTTTTTGAGACAGAGTCTTGCTCTGTCGCCCAGGCTGGAGTGCAGTGGCGCGATCTTGGCTCACTGCAAGCTCTGCCTCGCGGGTTCACGCCATTCTCCTGCCTTAGCCTCTGGAGTAGCTGGGACTACAGGTGCCCGCCACTACACCCGGCTAATTTTTTTGTATTTTTAGTAGAGACGGGGTTTCACCGTGTTAGCCAGGATGGTCTCGATCTTCTGACCTCGTGATCCGCCCGCCTCGGCCTCCCAAAGTGCTGGGATTACAGGCGTGAGCCACCGCGCCCGGCCTGTTTTTTTTTTAATGAAAGTTCTAGTTGTCAAGATCCTGTCTCTTTCTTCCATGGAATTGAATTCTCAGCAGGGCTGAATTTTTTCAGAAAGAAACGCTACCTTTCCAAGCCTCCCTTGTAGCTTAGGTACGGTCACGTGACTTTGTTCTGGCCAATGGGATATAAATGGAAGTGTCAAGCCTCGGGTGGGTATCTTTGCTTTCTCTTTGTTCTTTTCTCCATCTTGCTGCCTGGAACTTGGATGCCGCCATCTTCGGCAATGAGGTCATTTGACTCTGCAAAGCAGAGAACCAAGAAAGAAGCAGCTTGGAGCTGGGCGCAGTGGCTCACGCCTATAATCCCAGCACTTTGGGAGGCTGAGGCGGGCGGATCACGAGGTCAGGAGATTGAGACATCCTGCCTAACATGGCGAAACCCCGTCTCTACTAAAAAGTACAAAAAATTAGCCGGGCGTTATGGTGGGCGCCTGTCGTCCCAGCTACTCCAGAAGCTGAGGCAGGAGAATGGCGTGAACCCGGGAGGCGGAGCTTGCAGGGAGCCGAGATCGCGCCACTGCCCTCCAGCCTGGGCGACAGAGCGAGACTCCATCTCAAAAAAATTAAAAAAGAAGCAGCTTGGGACCAAGGAGAGTCATTGAAGCCTTAGACTACCTATGTAGTGTTTAATTGAGAGAAAATACGCATTTATCTTGTTTAAGGCACTGGTTTTTTGGCTGGATGTACATAATAGACTTTTTTTTAACCAGGAATAAAAATTAAGTTAGGCTTTTGTTTAACTTCAGTGTGCAATTGGCAAGCCCTTCTCCAACCCCCATGTGGCATAACAATCCTTTCTAGCTGCTTTAAGTTGCTGAGCCACCAATTTCTATTATTCCTGGAATCTGAGTCATCTATACTCCCTGTGTTATTACACATAATATGTTATTATGACTTTAATCAAGGAAATATTTTTTTCACTTGATATATTAGTCACATAGCTCCTGGATTGTCAGAAACAGCCAGGAATGCTAGCTAGTATTGCATCATTTTATCTGTTATTTCCTGTGGGGAGTGGCTTAAAATCAGACCAGCCAAATCTAGGCAGGAACTGGATCTTGCTTTCATTAGTTTCTGCAATTATTTTCAGAAGGAATCAGTTTCCAAGGCAGAGGAAGGAATAAATACTATTTGCTTGGTTTTACTACTGAAGTTGTGTAATTTACATAACAGCAAAATTACAGCTTAGAATTCTAAGTAGCAATTATAATGTTTAAAAAAAGACAAAACTTTGCACTTAAGCAATAGCAAAGAGTGGAAAATGTTAAATAAACTTCACACAAAATTTAAATATTTATTTAATCTCATTTGCCTGGAGGGAAAAAAAACCACATTCTTTAGCCCTAAAATTGAAATAGAAGAGAACTCTCACAGACAGTAAATTCAATTCTAAAAGCCCCAACGCGGCCGGGCGCGGTGGCCTACACCTGTAATCCCAGCACTTTGGGAGGCCGAGGCGGGCAGATCACGAGTTCAGGAGTTCAAGACCAGACTGTCCAATATGGTGAAACCTGTCTCTACTAAAAAATACAAAAATTAGCTGGGCATAGTGGCACGCACCTGTAGTCCCAGCTACTTGGGAGGCTGAGGCAGGAGAATCGCTTGAACCTGAAGGCAGAGGTTGCAGTGAGCCGAGATCATGCCACTGCACTCCAACCTGGGCCACAGAGTGAGACTCCGTCTCAAAAAAAAAAAAAAAAAAAAAAAAAAGCCCCAATACAGGAAAATAGATATGGAAGGAACTCAAAAACTCATACAAATAAGGTGGCAAATGAACTTTCTAAGCCTAATGATACATGTGATGTCACCCAAACAAAACAAAAAGCTAATTAGGCATTCTTGTTTTTCCCTTAAAGCCAATCTTTTTTTTTCTCCTCTTGGATCCATCCAGTGAGGTTTTATAACCCTCCTATTTGCCCTAAAGCAAATGGGCATTAAAACCATATTTTAATATTAGGTAAGTTATTGGTAAACAATCTTTGGTCCTAAAAAAGTGAAACTGTTCTTCATTCAGTGCATAAGGATTGAAAAAAGTCTTGGATTAGGAGATCAGTTTAATGCCTATCAAATCACTATGGAAAATGCTTTGAGAAACTCTGGCAGTGCCAGTTTCCCCAAAGTGAGGAATGGCTGCAAGGTGTGGTCTGAAGATTATTATTGTCCATAAGCTAGATAATTTAGATGGTGCATGGATGTGGCATTAAATAATGCTATAAGGCCTGGTGTGGTTGCTCATGCCTGTAATCCCAGCACTTTGGGAGGCTGAGGTAGGAGGATCGGTTGAGTCCAGGAGTTTGAGACCAGTCTCAGCAAATGGTGAAACCTCATCTCTATTAAAATACAAAAATTAGCCGGGCATGGTGGTGCGCACCTGTAATCCCAGTTTCTTGGGAGGCTGAGGCAGGAGAGCAAGACCTTGTCTCAAAAAAATAAAAATAAATAAAATAACAATAAATAGGCTGGGCGCAGTGGCTCACACCTGTAATCCCAGCACTTTGGGAGGCCGAGGCAGGTGGATCACAAGGTCAGGAGATCAAGACCATCCTGGCTAACATGGTGAAACCCCGTCTCTACTAAAAATACAAAAAATTAGACGGGCACGCTGGTGGGCGCCTGTAGTCCCAGCTACTCAGGAGGCTGAGGCAGGAGAATGGCGTGAACCCGGGAGGCTGAGCTTGTAGTGAGCCAAGATCGCACCACTGCACTCCAGCCTGGGCAACAGAGCAAGACTCCGTCTCAAAAAAAAAAAAACACAATAAATCTACAGGGGTTCATCTTCAATCTTTCGGATTACATTAAGGAGAAAGTCTCTGTTTGGTGCTAATAGATCTTTATCACCTCTCCACACTTAACTAATTTCCCTTGTTGAACAGACAGCAAGCCCCAGCTGCACAGCCTTTAGCAGATTAGACTGCTTCCCTAGAATTTTATTTTATTTATTTATTTATTATTATTTTGAGACGGAGTCTCAGCTCACTGCAACCTCCAACTCCTGAGGTCAAGGGATTCTCTCATCTCGTCTCCCAAGCAACTGGGACTACAGATGTGTGCCACCATGGCTGGCTAACTTGTCATTGTTGTAGAGATGGGATCTCACTCTGTTGCCCAGGCTGGTCTTGAACTCCTGGGCTCACACGGTCCTCCCACCTCAGCCTCCCAGAAAAGGGCTGGGATTACAGGCATGAGCCACCATATCTGGCCTAGAATTTTTTTTCTTTTCTGGAAATTAATTTGTGCCATTACCTGCTGTTTAATAATGAATACCAAGTTCTCCATTCATAATAGTAATATATAAAGTTTCCTGTGAAAATACATTTGTATAAAGGAAAGGACATGAGTTAAATTGTTTTACCTATATGCGTATTAAGTAAAACATTGACTCCTTAGATTTGGCAGAAATTGTGAAGGTGGTACACAAATGATGAATACGGGGAGACACTGGATTGGAGATCCATCTCCTCCCATCTTCTTCTACCATCTTCTCTATATCTTTTAGGAGAGAATGCTAGAATTGCGGTCAGCAGACTATTCAGGAACATCTTTTTCAGGAAGTTCACAAGATTAAGACTCTTTCATAATAATAATACTAAGCCTTTATTTATCATTTTCACTTGTAGTCAATCACAAGTACAGTGGGATTTTCCAGAGGCTGCATGACATATGATATCACAACAAAGTAAATGTAGAAGCTGCTGTGTGTATCTGGCCGTCTTGTATAAAGCAAGGCATTAGAGGGATTAGCAAGAAAAAAGAAGCAAAAAATGTTACTCTTTTCACTAAATTTTTTGTTTTGGAAATTTTTTTTTTTTTCATAAAAGTAACATTACTTTCTTTCTTTTTTTTTTTTTAAGACCCAGTCTCGGCCAGGTGCGGTGGCACACGCCAGTAATCCCAACACTTTGGGAGGCCAAGGCAGGCGGATCATGAGGTCAAGAGATTGAGACCATCCTGGCAAACATAATGAAACCCCGTCTCTACTAAAAATACAAAAATTAGCTGGGCGTGGTAGCACGCACCAGTAGTCCCAGCCACTCAGGAGGTTGAGGCAGGAGAATCGCTAGAACCTGGGAGGCAGAGGTTGCAGTGAGCCGAGATCACGCCGCTGCACTCCAGCCTGGGCGACAGAGCGAGACTCCGTCTCAAAAAAAAAAAAAAAAAAAAGGCAGACTGAGCATAGTGGCTAATGCCTGTAATCCTAATACTTAGCGAGGCCAATACTGGTGGATTGCTTGAGCCTGGAGTTCAAGAACAGCCTGGGCAACACAAACAGACCTTGTCTCTACAAAAAAAAAACAAAAAAAATACAACAATTAGCCATGTGTGATGGTGCACACCTGTAGTCCCAGCTTGGGAGGCTGAGGTAGGAGGATCACTTGAGCCATGATCACATGACTGTACTCCACCCTGTGCAACAGAGTGACACCCCATCTCACAAACAAAACAAAACTAAAACCTCATATCCCAGCTCTACCACCTCCTAGTTCTGTAGCCTTGGAGAAATCAGTTCACTTCTCTTAGTTACAATTTATTCATCTGTAAAATAGGAAAAGTAGTACTAATAATACCTGCCTAAGGGGGTAGCTGTGAAGATTCAATAAAACTTGTTGTTGTTGTTGTTGATGTTGTTGTCATTGTAGAGACAGGGTCTCACTATGTTGCCCAGGCTGGTCTCAATCTCCTGCACTCAAGCTATCCTCTGGCCTTGGCCTCTCAAAATGCTGGTATTATGAGCATGGTAGCAGGCCTGGCCTCAATAACATTTTGCTTGTAAAAAGCACATAGTACAGTCGGCCCTCCAGATCCATGGGTTCCATATCTGCAGACTCAAACAATCAGGGCTGGAAAATAGTTGAAAAAATAAAAATAAAAATAAAGACTACAATAAAAAATCATATACATAAAACACGCCGTATAAACAACTATTAACATAGCATTTACACTGTATTTGTTTTCAGTTTTTTTTTTTTTTTTTTTTGAGATGGAATTTTGCTCTATTGACCAGGCTGAAGTGCAATGGCACAATCCTGGCTCACTGCAACCTCCGCCTCCCTGGTTCAAGCAATTCTCCTGCCTCGGCCTCCCGAGTAGCTGGGATGACAGGTGTGCACCATCACGCCCAGCTAGTTTTTTTGTATTTTTAGTAGAGACGGGGTTTCACCCTCTGGGCCAGGCTGGTCTTGAACTCCTAACCTCGAGTGATCCACTCACTTTGGTGTATTAGGTATTATAAGTCAGCGGTACCCAACCTTTTTGACACAAGGGACCAGTTTCGCAGAACACAATTTTTCCACAGACCCGCTGGTAGGGGGATGGTTTTAGGATGATTCAAATATATTACATTTATTGTATACTTTATTTCTATCATTACATTGTAATATATAATGAAATTATTATACAACTCACTGTAATGTAGAATCAGTGGGAGCCCTAAGCTTGTTTTCCTGCAACTAGACAGTCCCATCTGGGAGTGATGGAAGACAGCGACAGATCATCAACAACCTAGTTCCCTCATGTATACAGTTCACAATAGGGTTCGCACTCCTATGAGAATCTAATGTGGCCGCTAATCTGACAGGAGGCGGAGCTCCGGTGGTAATGCGCGCCATAGGGAGTGACTGTAAATACAGAGGAAGCTTTGCTTGCTCACCTGTTGCTCACCTTTTGCTCTGCAGCCTGGTTCCTAACAGGCCATGGACTGGTACCTCTGTTATAAGTAATCTAGAGGCTGGGCACAGTGGCTCACACCTGCAATCCCAGCACTTTGGGAGGCCGAGGCAGGCGAATCACCTGAGGTGAGGAGTTCGAGACCAGCCTGACTAACATGGTAAAACCCCGTCTCTACTAAAAACACAAAAATTAGCTGGGCGTAGTAGTGGGTGCCTGTAATCCCAGCTACTCAGGAGGCTGAGGCAGGAGAATAGCTTGAACCCAGGATGCAGAGGTTGCAGTGAGCTGAGATTGTGCCCTTGCACTCCAGCCTGGGTGACAGAGTGAGACTCCCTCTCTAAATAAATAAATAAATAAGTCTAGAGATGATTTAGAGTATACAGGAGGATGTGTGTAGGTTACATGCAAATACTAGGCCATTTTATAGCAGGGCCTTAAGCATCTGTGCATTTTGGTGTTCACAGGAGACTCCTGAAACCAGTGCCTCATGGATACAGAGGGATGACTGCATATATCAGGGTTTCTCAACCTCAGCACTGCTGACACGTTGGGTTGGATAATTTTTGGTTGTGCATTGTAGGGTGTTTAACAGCATCCCTGGCCCCTGCCCTCTAAATGCCAATAGTAATCCCATCCTCTCCCCTTCCCATCAAGTTGTGAAAACCAAAAATATCTCCAGGCATTGCCAAATGTTTTCTGGAGGTAAAAGCACCCCTGATTGAGACCCTCCAGCTGACATGTAAATATTCTATACATTCCCCCTCACAGATTGGCCCATGGTCTTGGGTTCAGAACCACCAGTATAATCAAACCTCACACGTCACAGGGGAGAAAATCAAAGCCCAGAGTGATTTGCCTATAGTGATTGTCTTTGTTTCCTTGGGTTGCCATAAGAAATAGCCACAAACTGAATGGCTTAAAACAGCAGGAATGTATTCTCTCACAGTTGTGGAGAACAAAAATCCGAAATCAAGGTATCAGCAAGGCCGTGCCCTTTCTGAAACCTCCAGGGGAAAATTCTTCCTCATCTAGTCCAGTTCCTGCTGGCTCCGTGCATTCCTTGACTTGAGGATGCGTCAGTCCAATTTCTGCTTCAGCCTTCACATGGTCTTGCTGTGTGTGTGTGTGTGTGTGTGTGTGTGTCTGTGTGTGTGTGTGTGTCCCTCTTTTTTTTTTTTTTTTGCTTTTTACTTTTTTTTTTTTTTTTTTTGAGACAGAGTCTCCCCTGTCACACAGGCTGGAATACAGTGGCACAATCACAGCTCACTGCAGCCTCGACTTCCCAGACTCAAGTGATTCTTGTGCCTTAGCCTCCCAAGTAGCTGGGACTACAGGAGTGCACCACCATGCCTGGCTAATCTTTTGTAGTTTTTGTACAGACAGGGTTTCGCTATGTTGTTCAGGCTGCCCCAATTTCTAGGCTCAAGCAATCCACCTGCCTCTGTTACAGTCTCACCCAGGCACCACAATGTAGCAGTCTCTCATTGTGAGGTATAACCTGGAGTTCTGTGTTTCACAACCAAGAGAATTAAGGAGCATGGACACAAAGTGCAAGGTTGGAGCAAAAGTTTAATAGCAAAAGAAGAAAGCTCTCCACTGTAAAGAGGGGGCCTGAAAGAGGGTTCCTGGGTTTTTTTTTTTGAGACAAAGTTTTGCTTTTGTTGCACAGGCTGGAGTGCAATGGTGCAATCTTGGCTCACTGCATCCTCTGCCTCCCAGGTTCAAGTGATTTTCCTGCCTCAGCCTCCCAAGTAGCTGAGATTACATGTGCCACCATACCTGGCTAATTTTTTTTTTTTTTTTTTTAGTAGAGACAGGTTTTCTCCATGTTGGTCAGGCTGGTCTTGAACTCCCGACCTCAGGTGATCCACCCACCTCAGCCTCCCAAAGTGCTGGGATTACAGGCATGAGCCACTGCACCTGGCTGGGTTCCTGTTTTTACAGTTGAATGCAAAGGCTTTTATAAGAAGCTGATGAGGAATGGTCATATCATTTGCATAAGGCACGAATTTCTGGTAGCTCCACCCTGTCCTCCTAATGCACCTGCAGGCCCTTAGCTCGAGTTACTCCATATCACTTTGTTCCTCTTACCACACATGTGTCAGGGGACGGCATTTTCATTGTGGGCATGTCTAGGCAAGTCACTTGTGTAGACTTTTTTATCTGTGCAGCTGTGGGCATGTCTTAGGCTGCGGGCACAGATAAGGGAACGTGCACAAGCCCCCCTATGCAAGTTCCCTTATCTGTACCTGCAGCTTGATTTTTCCGGCTGTTCTTTGGTTTGAAAGAATTCAGCTGAGAACCCACCCTAACTGCCTGCCTGACCGGTTTCTTCCTTTCTCCTCTCTCACTTTGGCCTCCCAAAGTGCTGAGATTACAGGCATGAGCCACCACACCCAGCCATGTCTTCTCTTCTTATAAGGACATTTGTCATTGGATTTAGAGTCCATCCAGTTAATCCAGGATATCATCTGAAGATCCTTAACCTTATTACATCTGCAAAGACCTTTTTTTCCAAATAAAGTCACATTCACAGGTATTGAGGATTGGGACTTAGACCTATCTTTTAGGGGACCACAATTCAACCTACTGCCAAGAAGTTATGTGTAAACAGCTCTATAGCATGTTAGTGATAGAGTTAGAATGCAAGCAGGCTGGGCGCAGTGGCTCACACCTGTAATCCCAGAACTTTGGGAGGCCGAGGCGGGTGGATCACGAGGTCAAGAGATAGAGACCATCCTGGCTAACACGGTGAAACCCCGTCTCTACTAAAAATACAAAAAATTAGCCAGGCATGGTGGCGGGCGCCTGTAGTCCCAGCTACTCGGGAGGCTGAGGCAGGAAAATGGCGTGAACCCAGGAGGCAGAGCTTGCAGTGAGCCGAGACTGCGCCACTGCACTCCAGCCTGGGTGACAGAGCAAGATTCCGTCTCAAAAAAAACAAAAAAAATGCAAGCTTAAGTTTTGTGACTTCCAATATTATTACCCACCCTCTCTAAATTTCAATTTCCACATCTGTAAAATGGGCCTAACAAAGAGATCTACCTCATAGAATAGATGGGCTCATAACACCCCAGTTTGTGATCCTAGTTTTACTCAAGAAAGTACTTTGCACAATGGCTGGCTTGTAGCAAGTGCTTCAAAAATGTTAGCTATTTCTGTCATTATTGTTACCATTTTATTATAAGGTCATTCTTTCAACTAAGAAAAAAATAAAATCCCAAGGGAAAGACTGTCTCAAGCTTTAAGTTTATAAACTAGATGGTAACACCAACAATTCAGTTCTCTGGTTGGTTGGTTGGTTGGTTGGGTGGTTGGTTGGTTGGTTGGTTGGTTTTTTTGAGACAGGGTCTCATTCTGTTGCCCAGGTTCAAGTGCAGTGGTGCGATCTTGGCTCACTGCAACCTTCTTCTCTAGGGCTCAAGCGATCCTCCCACCACAGCCTCCTGAGTAGCTGAGACTACAAGGCACACACCACCACACCCAGCTAGTTTTTCTATTTTTAGTAGAGATGGGGTTTCACCATGTTACCCAGGCTGGTCTTGAACTCCTGAGCTCAACCTGACCACCCACCTCAGTCTACCAAAGTGCTGGGATTACAAGTGTGAGCCACGACGCCCAACCCAGTTCTCTATTTTAAACTATCACTTCTCCCTTATCAGGTGGTGTGGCATACGGAACAACCTTTGTAAAGATCTGGTCAAACTTTGAAAGTAAAGTAATGAGAGGAAAGCGTACTTTGTATATTTCTGTTAAGTCTCTGTAAACCAAGAAGACAAGATGGCATTTGTTTGTTTGTTTTTTTAAATAATTAGATTCTGAACTCCTGACATCCATGTCTAGCTACTTTTAAACAGACAGAATGGTCTCAGGAAGAATTTTATCCCAGAAGACAGTAGGTTCAGGCTGGGCGCAGTGGCTCATGCCTGTAATCCCAGCACTTTGGGAGGCCAAGGCAGGTGGATGGATCACTTGAGGTCAGGAGTTCAAGACCAGCCTGGTCAACATGGCTGGTCTTTTCTTTTTAGCTCCCGCATGTGTGTGAGAACGTGCAATATTTGTATCTGCCTTGTCTGTGCCTGGTTTATTTCATTTAGCATAATATCCTCCAGTTCCATTCATGTTGTTGCAAATGACAGAATTTCATGCTTTTTTATTGCTAAATAATATTTCTTTATTTCTTTTTCTTTCTTTTCTTTTTTTTTCTTTTTTTTTTTTTTTGAGACAAAGTCTCCCTCTGTTGCCCAGGCTAGAGAGCAGTGGTGCGATCTCTGCTCACTGCAACCTCAACCTCCTGGGTTCAAGCGATTCTTCTGCCTCAGCCTCCCGAGTAGCTGGGATCACAGGCATGTGCCATCATGTTCGGCCAATTTTTGTATTTTTAGTAGAGATGGGTTTTCACCATGTCGGTCAGGCTCGTCTTGAACTCCTGGCCTCAAGTGATCTGCCTACCTCAGCCTCCCAAAGTGCTGGAATTACAGGCAGGAGCCACTGTGCCTGTCCCCTGAATAACATTTCATATGTAGCACATTTTTTTCACTCATTCATTGATAGACACTTGGGTTGATTCCATATCTTGCTTACTGTGAATAGTTCTCTACTAGCTTTATCAAAAAGTGTAAAAAGTGACAAGTGGACTTAATTTTAATAATATAGACTTTTATGTAACTCAGTAGATCCAAAATATCATCATACATACAAGCAATATAAAAATTATGAATTTGAGGCTGGGCACGGTAGCTCACACCTGTAATCCCAGCACTTTTAGAGGCTGACGTGGGTGGATCACCTGAGGTCAGGAGTTCGAGACCAGCCTGACCAACATGGTGAAAACCCACCTCTACTAAAAATACAAAAAATTAGCTGAGCATGGTGGCACATTCCTGTAATCCCAGCTACTTGGGAGGTTGAGGCAGGAGAATCACTTGAACCCGAGAGGTGGAGGTTGCAGTGAGACGAGATGGTGCCATTGCACTTCAGTCTCAGTGACAAGAGCAAAACTCCATCTCAAAAAAAAAAAAGAAATTATGAATTTGATATTTTGCTTTTTTTTTTTTTTTTTTTTTTGAGACAGAGTTTCGCTCTTGTCCCCCAGGCTGGAGTGCAATGGTGCAATCTCGGCTCACTGCAACCTCCGCCTCCTGGGTTCAAGCTAGTCTCCTGCCTCAGCCTCCCAAGTAGCTGGGATTACAGGCACGCCATCAGGCCCAGCTAATTTTTGTATTTTTAGTAATAATCGCCTCCCAAGTAGCTGGGATTACAGGCGCGCCATCACGCCTGGCTAATTATTTGTATTCACCATGTTGGCCAGGCTGGTCTCAAACTCCTGACCTCAAGTGATCTGCCCGCTTCGGCCTCCCAAAGTGCTAAAACTACAGGCGTGAGGCACTGCGCCCGGCCGAAATCGCCATTTTTATACTAAGTCTTTGAAATTCAGCATGTATGTTACACTCACAACACATCTCTTACATCTTTTTTTTTTTTTTTTTTTTTTTGAGACAGGGTCTTGCTCTGTCACCCAGGCTAGAGTGCAGTGGTGCAGTCTAGGCTCACTGCAACCTCTGGCCCTCAGGCTCAAGTGATCTTCCCACCTAAGCCTTCCAAGTAGCTGGGACCACAGGCAGGCACCACAACACCTGGCGATTTTTTTTTTTTTTGTAGTTTTAGTAGAGACGGGGTTTCACCATGTTGCCCAGGCTGGTCTCGAACTCCTGAGCTCAAGTGATCCACCTGCCTTGGTTTCCCCAAGTTCTGGGATTACAGGTGTGAGTCACTGCCTGCAGCCTCCAGCCTCAGCACACCTCAATCCGGATATGGCACATTTCAGCTGCTCAGTGGCTGTGTTTCCATATTGGAAAGATGGAAACTAGTGGTTTTCCTATTGGACATTACAAGCTAAGAGACGGCCTGTAAGATGGACCTGAAGCTCCCTCCCATTACATTTTTAATTTTTTTTAAATTATAGATTTAAAGCTGTTGGGGATGGGATGCAAAAAAAGAAAGAAGGATTTAAAGGTGTTGATAGATATCACATATCTATGGTGCAAAAGTTTAGCAGGTATAGAATTCTATGTAGCGTAAAGGAAATCTTGCTCCCTCCCTTGTCTTCCGTGCACTGAATTTCTGTCGCCAGAGGCACCCACAGTTCATAGACTCTCAGATTCTCCTGTCTCCATCCAAAGATATTCTAAACCAATACGAGCATATATAAACATACATGCATATCCGTACACACACATATATATATCCATACACATACATATATGTTTATATATATGTTTATATATATATGAAAAATATATATGTTTATATATATGAAAAAATATATATGTTTTTATATATATGAAAAAAATATATATATATATTTTTTTTTTTGCTCTTTTCTAAATTTTTTTTTAGATGGGGTCTCACTCTGTTGGCCAGGCTGGAGTGCAGTGGCACAATCACAGCTCAATGCAGCCTCAAACTCCCTGGACTCAGGTGATCTTCACACCTCAGTCTCCCAAGTAGCTGGGACCACAGGTGCACACCACCATGCCCACCATATTTTTTGTTTGTTTGTTTGTTTTGTGGGGTTTTTTGTAGAGACATAGTTTCGCTATGTTGCCCAGTCTGGTCTCAAACTTCCAGGCTCAAGCAGTCTGCCCACCTCGGCCTCCCAAAGTGCTAGGATTACAGGCATTAGCCACTGTGCTCAGCCCTATCTTTTACTGCCTTTTTTTTTTTTTTTTTGAGACGGAGTCTCACTCTGTCACCAGGCTGGAGTGCAGTGGTGCAATCTTGGCTCACTGCAACCTCCGCCTCCCAGGTTCAAGTGATTGTCCTGCCTCAGCCTCCTGAGTAGCTGAGACTACAGGCGCCCACCACCACACCCGGCTAATTTTTTGTATTTTTAGTAGAGACGGGGTTTCACCATGTTGGCCAGGATGGTCTCGATCTCTTGACCTCATGATCCACCCGCCTTGGCCTCCCAAAGTGCTGGGATTACAGGCGTGAGCCACTGCGCCTGGCCTCTTTTACTGTCTTTTGTACTCAGTATGGGAGCATGCTATACACACTGTTCTACACTGTGATTTTTCTCACCTAAGACTGACCCTGCTACTTATTAGCTGTGTATCATTGGGCAAATTACTACCCTTTTTTGTACCTCAGTTTCCTCATCTGTGAAGTGAAGGTGACAATATACCCAAATATCTACTTCAGCATTCATGAGATAATTGAGTAATGAAACACACAAGACTTAAAATAAAATAATGCCCAGCACACTCAACTGTTAGACTTTTTTGTTTCTTTTTTTTTTTAAGACAAGGTCTCACTCTGTTGCTCAGGCTGAGTACAGTGGGGCAGTCATGGCTTGCTGCAGCCACACCCTCCTGGGCTCAAGCAGTCCTCCCACCTCAGCCTCCCAGGTAGCTGGGACTGCAGGCATGTGCCACTACAGCTGGCTAATTTTTGTATTTTTAGTAGAGACTGGGTTACACCTCGTTGCCCAGGCTGGCCTCAAACTCTTGGGCTCAAGTGATCCTCCCACCTCAGCCTCACAAAGTGCTGAAATTGCAGGCGTGCGCCATTGCACCTAGCCAATGTTAGACTCCTTTTTTTTTTTTTTTTTTTCCTGAGACTGAGTCTCACTCTATCTCCCAGGCTGGCTCACTGCAACCGCTGCCTCCCGGGTTCAAGAGATTCTCTTGCCTCAGCCTCCCAAGTAGCTGGAATTACAGGCGGGCGCCACCATGCCTGGCTAATTTTTTTGTACTTTTAGTAGAGACAGGGTTTCATGATGTTGGCCAGGTTGGTCTCGAACTCCTGACCTCAGGTGATCCACCCACCTCGGCCTCCCAAAGTGCTGTGATTACAGGTGTGAGCCACCACAACCGGCTTCAATGTTAGACTTTTATTAGCCACAGAATATTGCATTGTATCTCTCTACTGTAACTGATTGAAACAGTCCCCTTTTAATGGACATTTAGTTTGTTCTCAGCTCCACAACTTAATCTTTTTGCTCCTACAAATAATGTTTCAATGGCTAGCTTTGTGCAGATATCATTTCAACCCCATGCAAGTGCACCAGAGGAGAAATCCAGAATTGGAATTTCTATGTCTGAGAATATGGGCGTGTCTCATTTTGGTCTCACTGCCAAATTCCCTTCCCAGGAGACTATGGCAGTTGACAATCATACCTACTATGTAGGGAGCCTGCCTGTGTCCCACGGCCTCGCCCTCACAGGGTACATGCACATGTGGTTTTCTCTGCCAGGCCACTGCACATGGACAACGATACAGCCCCGTGGTTTCCACTTGTCTTTCTCTCCCCTTAGCAAGGATGGGCATCTTTTCCTATGTCTAAGGGCTGCTCGGATTTCCTTTCCTGGGAATCTTTGCTCATTTTTCTTTTGGATTATTGGGCTAAGTCTTTTTTAATCCTTGTCTTTTCTGCCAGCCTTCCCAACCTCTCTCTACAGACCACCTGGCTGCCATTCCCCCACATCCCTCACGGCAGTAATCCGGACTTACTTTTTGTTGTCATCCTGAGCTGTAATGTCCATCTCATATTGTCAAGATGTCACACAGGAATAGCATATGTCCTTGGTCAAAACATAAGTGCTCCAGGGCAGACGTGGGCTTGAGGACTGAGTCCTGAGCAGACGTAGCACTGAGCCTTGTATCAGACAGGCATTGCGTGACTATTTCTCAAATTTGTTTTGAAAAAGAAAATCAGTGGTAAATAGTTATAAAAAAGAGATCATCGCTCTTACTTGCCACGCTTATTTTTTCAAGCTATTAAAATGATTAAATGTATCACATCATTATAATTATCAAATTATTAACAATTATTAAAATTAAATCTATTGCATTTCTGTAACTAAATTATTAAAATTTAAGCACAATAGGAGGAAATATTTTCTCTCCCCAAAGAAAGACACTTTAAACAGTTTGTCAAACACTTTTAAGATTTTACCTATGGGCCAGGTGCGGTGGCTCACGCCTGTAATCCCAGCGCTTTAGGAGGCTGAGGTGGCCAGATCACGAGGTCAGGAGTTCGAGACTAGCCTGGCCAACGTGGTGAAACCTTGTCTCTACTAAAAATACAAAAATTAGCTGGGCATGTTGGCACACGCCTGTAACCCTAGCTACTCAGGAGGCTGAGGCAGCAGAATTGCTTGAGCCCGGGAAGCGGAGGTTACAGTGAGCTGAGATCGCACCACTGCACTCTAGCCTGGGTGGCAGAGCGAGAGTCCATCTCAAACAACAAAAACAAACAAAAGTTTTTACCTATGATTTTACAAACTTACATATTAAAAAGCATGAGGATGTGCGTGTGTATAAGCACATGGAAAGACAGAAACGTAGTTTTGGGAAGCTGTTAGCAACAAATCAGACTTTACATTTTGTTCTTCGATTGGCAATTTCGCAATTTTACCTCGATCATTCAAAAAATATCATGCGCCTACTATGTGCCAGGGACTATGTTTTCTTGTTTCATTGTGTGGTTATCTTTTGTTTTTGTTTTTTAGTGAGTGTTTTCCGTGATCAAGCAAGTTTGGGAGGCCAGGCGAGGTGGCTCAGGCCTGTAATCCCAGCACTTGGGGTGGCCGAGACGGGTGGATCACTTGAGGTCAGGAGTTTGAGACCAGCCTGGCCAACATGGTGAAACCCCGTCTCTACTAAGAATACAAAAATTAGCCAGGCGTGGTGGTGCACACCTGTAATTCCAGCTGTTTGGGAGGCTGAGGCAGGAGAATTGCTTGAATGTAGGAGGCAGAGGTTGCACTGAGTAAAGATTATGCCATTGCACTCCAGCCTGGGTGACAGAGCAAAACTCCATCTGAAAAAAAAAAAAAAAAGAAAGAAAAAACGAAAGTTTGGGAAACAGTGAGATGATCACAGAATCCTGGGTTTGGGATAAACTTTCAGATTTCTGTCCCTGTCTCCAAACAGAGCATCCAACCTATCTAAGTCAGTCTGGCTAAAGTTATAATTTAAAAGGCTTCCCATGAAAGGAACTTTACTGCGATCTTCAGCATTTCTCCTGATGTTCACTGAGCTCTGCGCTCTTTGGAAGAAATTTATATAACAGACAATAATAAATGATGCAGTAAAGTGCTCATAGCATGAACCTGTATTGAAGAAGTAAAACCTAGTGAGGTGTTAAATTTAGGAGACAGGTTAGGATCAAAGCCTCTGGGTCCCCATAGTGGTTGCCTCTGCTCCTCCAGGTGTGTGACTCTGCTATAGAAGACATTTAGCCCCCTCTAAGCCTTTGTTTTCAAAGGAGTTCATTCTAAAAGCCAGTGTATAGAGGAAAATTTTGAGTATGGTCAAAAATGACCTTGCATATCTTTTCTATTATAGTATCACCATCAGGGACTGGACAGAGCTCAAGACCAGAAAATGCACGTGTGCCTCGTCTCTTACCTGCAAGAGTGCACATGGTGGCCCAGATAATTTAAATCAGTCTTCTTTTTCTCTGTCTCCGTTTTCTCTCCACACAACTGGTAGAAATCAGGTAGATTCAATGCATCTATTGGTGACTGCACTTGAATAACCATGCTGTAGGTTTTTCTAATTATTAAATATATAATTCATGCAAAGCAACTAGTTCCATGCCTGGCATGCAGTAAGCCCCTGATAAATGTTGACTTTCCTTATTATCACCATCACTACTACTCCTCTATGAGAAAAGTGTTTTTTTTCTTTTTCTTTTTCTTTTTTTTTTGCGGGGGGGCGGGACGGAGTTTCGCTCTTGTTGCCCAGGCTGGAGTGCAATGCCATGATATTGGCTCACCGCAGCCTCCACCTCCCTGGTTCAAGTGATTCTCCTGCCTCAGCCTCCCGAGTAGCTGGGATTACAGGCGTGCACCACCATGTCTGGCTAATTTTGTATTTTCAGTAGAGACGGGGTTTCTCCATGTTGGTCAGGCTGGTCTCGAACTCCCAACCTTGATCCGCCCTCCTCAGCCACCCAAAGTGCTGGGATTAAAGGCATGAGCCACCACTCCCGGCCAAGAAGTGTTTTTTTCTTTTGAAGAGATTATTTATGCCAGATTTCATGTCTCATTCTGAGTTGAGTCACCCAAGGCCACTCTCAGCAAAACTGCAGACCTGTAATTTTGCCTTCATTCCATGAGTAGTTCCATGGCACAGTCACTGGCACACGGGGGGTGATCAAAAACACTTGTTAAGTGAATTATAAAACCTCTGGCTCAGGCCAGGTGTGGTGGCTCACACCTGTAATCCCAGCACTTTGGCAGGCCAAGGTAGGAGGATCACGCGAGCTCAGGAGTTCAAGACCAGCCTGGTTAACATAGTGACACGCCATCTCTGCAAAATAAAAAAGAAAAGAAAGAAAAAAAATCAGCTGGGCGTGGTAGCACATGCCTGTGGTCCCAGCTACTTAGGAGGCTGAGGTGGGAGGATCGCTTAAGCCCAGGAGGTCGAGGCTGCAGTGAGCCGATATCGTGCCACTGCACTCCAACTTGAGCGACAGAGTGAGGCCCTGTCTCAAAAACAAAACACGCCTGGTGCAGTGGCTCATGCCTGTAATCCCAGCACTCTGGGAGGCCAAGGCGGGCAGATCACAAGGTCAGGAGATTGAGACCATCCTGGCTAACACGATGAAACCCCATCTCTACTAAAAATACAAAAAAATCAGCTGGGCATGGTGGCAGGCACCTGTGAGCCAAGATCGCGCCACTGCACTCCAGCCTGGGCGACAGTGCAGTGCAGTTTGAGACTCCGTCTCAAAACAAAAAACTGAAAAAAAAAAACAAAACCTCTGGCTCAAAGGTAAGAAGGGCAAAACAAAGGAAGAGTATCTGACAGTAGCACTTGCCTATAACTGTCAAGATTCATTTTAGTGAGTCCAGTGTTGAATTAGTCCACTGGCTTCTGCTTTTCAATAAGTCCATACACTCTTTCATTTATTCTCTATATATTTTGTACATTCTTGTCCTGTACCAGGCTCTGTGCTAGGCCTGGAGGTGCAGTGGTGAACAAGACAGGCAAGGGCGCTTAAAGTCTCCTGGGAGAGAAAGCAGTAAACAAGTACAATCCAAAAGATGCTTTCCGACTTCTGTGCTTGGGAAGGGAAATAGACAGAAGGGAAGGGAAATAGACAGATGGGATAGTCAGTGACTGAAGGGAAAACCAACTTATATAGGGATTCAGCAAAGTCCTCCCCAGAAGAGACATCGGAGCTGAGATCTGGGATAACTAAAATGTAAATATCCAGTAACAGTAAAATTAAAATTGTTCAATATGTCGTATAGCCTAAAGTGGACCTGCCATTTTCATTCTTCCCTTTAAAGAAAAAGCATTTCATTCCCATCAGGATGGCATAGCAGTTAAAATCCGAAAGTACCAGGTTCTAGAGAGAACGTGAACAGAAGGAAACCCTTATAAACTGCTATTTGGGAGTAGAAATTGGCAGACCTCTTTGGAGAACAATTGGTGATATCTAGTTGAAGCTGAAGGTGTGAATTTCCCACGACCCAACAATTCTATGTCTAGGTATGTTCTTTAAACCCTTAAAAATATCTCCTCCTAGGCTGGGCATGGTGGCTCACACCTGTAATCCCAATACTTTGGGAGGCCGAGAGGCCGAGGCGGGCAGATCACCTGAGGTCAGGAGTTCGAGACCAGCCTGATCAACAGGGAGAAACCCAGGCTCTACTAAAAATACAAAATTAGCCTGGCATGGTGGCGCATGCCTGTAATCCCAGCTACTCAGGAGGCTGAGGCAGGAGAATCGCTTGAACCTGGGAGGTGGAGGTTTTGGTGAGCTGAGATCGATCGCGCCATTGCACTCCAGCCTGGGCAACAAGAGCGAAAGTCCGGGCCGGGCGCGGTGGCTCACGCCTGTAATCCCAGCACTTTGGGAGGCCGAGGCGGGTGGATCACGAGGTCAGGAGATCGAGACCATCCTGGCTAACACGGTGAAACCCCGTCTCTACTAAAAATACAAAAAAATAGCCGGGCGAGGTGGCGGGCGCCTGTAGTCCCAGCTACTCGGGAGGCTGAGGCAGGAGAATGGCGTGAACCCCAGGGGGCGGAGCCTGCAGTGAGCCGAGATTGCGCCACTGCACTCCAGCCTGGGCGACAGCGAGACTCCGTCTCAAAAAAAAAAAAAAAAAAAAAAGAGCGAAAGTCCGTCACAAAAAAAAAAAAAAAAAAAAAAAAAAAAATCTCCAAGAGAAGTAAGGGAAGATTTAAAGTAAAACTACAAAGCAAAAGTACTTCATTCAACAAATATTTCCAGAATGCCTACATGTGACAGGCATGCATAAACGCTCTAAGAAAACCATGCTGAACGAAACCATGAAAGACTATGCCCTCCAGACAAACTGGGAAAGATACACAGTAAACAAAAGTCCAAACACTCATTATCTACTTAATGTATACCCAGTTTGTGGTCCTAGTTTTCTGCAAGAAGAAACTGAGTCTTAGAGAAATTGTCATTTGCCCAAGGTGAGCCCACCAGTGAGATGATGAACATGCCAGCCCAAGAACTTACTCCCCAGGACTCCACCTGTGCCAAGTCCAGCTTCCCCGCCATGGGAGTCTGTGAGGAAGGGAGGTGCGAGTTTCCCTTTATGCGGGGTACCTACTGCATGGCTCATACATAGTGCACCGTTTGGGGGTGGGAGTGGGAAGTGGACAGGATTGAAGAACTATCCAGAACTAAAACCTGCATAAAAGATGAGGAGTAGACTTCCAGATTATCTACCCAAGTATGGGAGTAGAATCCACGGAGCCGGCATCATTGACAAGGGAAATGGGAAGAAGGAAGGCTCCTTTCCCCAGGCCAGGGATGCCTTAAGTGGCTCCCTGACTTTTTAGCTTTCATCCTCTACACAAGATCCACATCAAGGCTCCAGAACACTCTTAGCTAGGGACATAACCAAGGAAGACAAAACCCTGGCAAATGGCTACCATAAGGGGGCAGTAAGGAGAGAAGTAAAGCCAGGCTGACCAGAACCGAAATGAGGTGTCCCCTGGTTAGGAAGTCCTGGCATCAAGGTTGGGAGGAGCACGGCATCACCCCACCCAGAGGCCTGGCAAGCCTCCCACTCCTGGGGACAGAATGACCTCATGGGGACACTTTACTTTTGATGTATAATTTTCTAACAGGAAAGTTTAAAAATACAGAAAGTAGAAAAAAAAATACAATGAGCAGCTTTGTAACCTTCTTTTAAAATAACAACTGTTAACATTTCTTTTTTTTTTGAGATGGAGTCTCGCTCTGTTGCCCAGGCTGGAGTGCAGTGGCACAATCTCAGCTCACTGCAACCTCCGCCTCCCAACTTCTAGCAATTCTCCTGCCTCAGCCTCCTGAGTGGCTGGAATTACAGGCGCACACCGCCATGCCCGGCTAATTTTTTGTATTTTAGTAGAGACAGGGCTTCCCTGTGTTGCCCAGGCTGGTCTCAAACTCCTGAGCTCAGGCAATCCACCCGTCTCGGCCTCCCAAAGTACTAGGATTACAGGCGCGAGCCACCGCGCCCAGCCACAACTGTTAACATTTCATATTAGCTTTTTTTTGAGACGGAGTCTCACTCTGTCGCCCAGGCTGGAATGCAGTGGCACGATCTCCGCTCACTGCAACAACTCCCAGGTTCAAGCGATCCTCCTGCCTCAGCCTCCCGAGTAGCTGGGAATACAGGCATGTGCCACCACACCTGGTTAATTTTTGTAGTTTTAGTAGAGATGGGGTTTTATCATCTCAGTCAGGCTAATCTCAAACTCCTGACCTAAAGTGATGTGCCAGCCTCAGTCTCCCAAAGTGCTGGGATTACAGGCATGAACCACCGCACCTGGCCGAACGTTTCATATTAGCTTTAGGACATTTTCTGTTTAAATTTTTTTCAGATGGTTATTTCCTTTTATTTCCATCTTTCTTTATATTTGACCCTGTTTTTCTTCTTACTGCATTTTGAAGTAAATGTTAGCTTATTTATTTTATTTTTTATTTTTTTTTTTGAGACAGAGTCTTGCTCTGTCACCCAGGCTGGAGTGCAGTGGCGCGATCTCGGCTCACTGCAAGCTCTGCCTTCCAGGTTCATGCCATTCTCCTGCC
The DNA here is from genome assembly GCF_000001405.40 of Homo sapiens. NCBI lineage: Eukaryota > Metazoa > Chordata > Mammalia > Primates > Hominidae > Homo > Homo sapiens. Next base: position 51,965,381 of record NC_000020.11, on the reverse strand, counting down.
TCAGCCTCCTGAGTAGCAGGGACTACAGGTGCCCGCCACCACGCCCAGCTAATTTTTTGTATTTTTTAGTAGTGACGGGCTTTCACTGTGGTCTCGATCTCCTGACCTCATGATCTGCCCGCCTCGGCCTCCCAAAGTGCTGGGATTACAGGCGTGAGCCACTGTGCCCGGCAGCTTATTTATTTTTAATCCTTCTTTCCTACATTTGAAGCTATACATTATCCTTTTTATCACTGTAGGTGCATCTTGCTTTTTTTGTTTTTGTTTTTGAGACGGAGTTTCACTCTTGTCACCCAGGCTTCAGTGCAATGGCTCCATCTCGGCTCACTGCAACCTCTGCCTCCCGGGTTCAAGCAATTCTCCTGCCTCAGCCTTCCAAGTAGCTGGGATTACAGGCAAGCACCACCATGCCCAGCTAATTTTGTATTTTTAGTAGAGATGGAGTTTCACCATGTTGGTCAGGCTGGTCTCAAACTCCTGACTTCAGGTTATCCACCCACCTCAGCTTCCCAAAGTGCTGGGATTACATGCGTGAGCCACCACACCCAGCCATCCCACATTTTTTAAAAAAGAAAACTTCTGCTTACATACAAGCATGTTTAATTGTGCAATTTTCATAGATACATAAAGTGGATATATCATACATATTTTTAAAATACCACCATTATTTAATTTTCTTCTTTTTTAAAAAAAATTCTACCAACTTTTCCCTTTCTATCATAATAATCCTACCTCTTACCCAGCCTCTCTCCTCCCTCAACAATACTTAATGGAAATTCCTTTAAGACAATTTTTCCAGTTTTATCTCATTTTACTTAATATCTATATAATATTCCATGGTGTGAATGTGTCAGGATTCTTTCCTTTTGTTTCTAGAGGTTTTTTGTTGGTTTTGTTTTTGTGTTTGCTACCATTAACAATACTGTAATACACACCTTTGAGTATTTGAAACAAAAAATCCCAGGTGTCAGAGGAGAAGAAAGTTGTTCACAGTGGCCACTGTGGCAGGTATGATGAGAAGCCCAGGAATGGTGACCTCAGCTAGCCAGGTTGGCTTTCTGTCCTGCCTCCCAGGATTTCTTAAACAAGGAGGCCAGATCAGATAAATGCTAGGGTATCTCTTAGCTGACTGAACCTTTTCTAATCAAATCATTCGTTCAGGCCAGACACAGTGGCTCACACCTGTAATCCCAGCACTTTGGGAGGCCTAGGCAGGCGGATCACTTGAGGTCAGTAGTTCAAGACCAGCCTGGCCGACATGGTGAAACCCCATCTACTAAAAATACAAAAATTAGCTGGGCGTGGTGGCGGGTGCCTGTAGTCCCAGCTAGTCCGGAGGCTGAGGCACTAGAATTGCTCAAACCCAGGAGGCAGAGGCTGCAGTGAGCCGAGATGGCACCACTGCACTCCAGCCTGGGTGATAGAGCAAGATTCTGTCTCAAAAAAAAAAAAAAAAAAAAAATTTGTTCACTCATGCACCCACCCAGCAGAAACTGAATACCTGCGATGTGTAGACACTAACCTAGACACTTTGAACTTGACCGAGAAGAGGGTGGAAAAGACTCTGGCTCTTAGGCAGCTAACATTCTGTTGGGGAGAAGCAAATGATGAATGCACAGATAAATGATATCCACTCTATGCTATTAAAAGGGCTAGAATTTGGAAGATGATGGTGAAGATCTCTTTAAACAGGTGACATTTACGCTGAGCTGTGGACCTGGCCAGTAATCAAATCTGAAATTGTTTTCTATGTATTAGTGATTCTCATAACTTTAAATTTGTATGTGTTCCTATGCATTCATAGTTATTTCTGATTTTGAGAATCAGCGGAGGGCACTTTTGCAATGAGTCTAATTACTAGACCTTCAGGATCTGAGCCTGTATGTAAATTGGAAGCAAATATCTGTTTTCTGAAAATTCACCAGGTGAGTCTGATCCATAGTTGGCCTTGGTAGTAACTTTATTATGGGAGTGTCAGAGAGCAGGTGTGAGCCCCCAGACATCCAGTGAAAAGACTAGGGAGAAGGTGGGTGAGGATTTGAATTGAAAAGGCTCTTTGTGCCAGCTGCAACGGCTCATGATTGTAATCCCAGCACTTTGGGAGGCCGAGATGGGCAGATCACCTGAGGTCAAGAGTTCAAGACCAGCCTGGCCAACATGGTGAAACCCCATCTCTACTAAAAATACAAAAATTAGCCAGGCATGGTGGTACATGCCTGTAATCCCAGCTACTTGGGAGGCTGAGGCAGGAGAATCGCTTGAACCCAGGAAGTGGAGGTTGCAGCGAACTGAGATCGCGCGGCTGCACTCCAGCCTGGGCAACAAGAGCAAAACTCCATCTCCAAAAAAAAAAGAAAGAAAAAAGAAACCGCTCTCTGGGGGGACTTTCTCCCCTTGCCCCTCAGACCCTCTGCCTTTCAAAATCTTAAACTGCAAAGAGAAATATCACAGAGGCCCCACACCCACACCCCAGGAAACCTCCCAGGACTTTTTCTACGGCTTGACTTATTTGATGTGAAGTAGATATATAACAAACAGTAGTGGTCTGCCGGAACGCCAGCAGAAAGAAAAATCTAGAATTGCAAATGTAAAACTCCCGCCTTCCGACAAAGATTATGCTGATGAAACTGAAAGCTCAAACACAAGCAGAAATGATCAGATACGGGAATATCCATGAAGGAAAATGCCAGGGGCAAGTCACACGAGCCATCCCCCATCCCCTATTATTATTCTGGGAATAATAATACCTTCCTCAAAGAGATGTCCTGAGGATTAAAAATAAGACCGTTTTTCATGTCAGGCACTGAGCAACCCCTCCATGCTTAGGGAGGGCTTAACCCAGGTTCGTCTAGTTCCCTTCCCCCAAGCAAATTCCTCCTCCAACGTTTCCAATCTGTCCGAGAAATCCCTGTGGTTACTGTGTACATTATCTGGATATTTAGCTAGTAGGCTTACCCAGGTGGCATATTGTAACTTTACTCCGACAATTTGGAAAAACAAACAGAGCAGTTCTGACCTTTTCCACTGGTTTTGCTTCTGCATCCCCTCAAAGCCTGCCCATTCGATAGGATCCTATTTAAAGATGATAGTCTTTAAACTGGGAAGTTCCAAACTGCACATGGGGTGCGGGTTTGGCCAAGAGGTTCCTTTTTTGTTTTACCACCTTAAAATGCTAACTTTGCTAATGGCCGAGATTGATTATATAAATGTTCTTGCTTTTGTTTGCACTTATCTGATCTTGTCCTATCAAGGGGCTTAATCTCACTCTTACTGGAAATTACAATTTAGTCCATTTTAGGATGGCCCCAATCTTTCACAGCTGTTTAAAGGCTGTGTTGTGAAAACAACCCAAAATGGTACTAGGTTTGTTCTGGTTACACAACTGTGGGGAGGTGGGAAGTGAAGCGTGTTTGAAAGTCACTCATTTAAATGTCCTCATGAAATATATATATTTATTTATATTTATATATTTATATAAATTTCATGAAATATATAAATTTATATATAATATAAATCTATAATATGTATATACTATATAAATATATATAATATATAAATATAATATATAATATATAAATATAATATATAAATATAATATATAATATATAATATATAATATAAAATATATAAATATAATATAATATATTATATATTATATATTATATATTATAAATATATAAATATAATATATAATATATAATATAAATATATAAATATAATATAATATAATATATAATGTATAAATATAATGCATGATATATAAATATTATATATAATATACAAATAAATTTGTATATATTTATATTTATATGCAAAGGATTTGCTTCAAGTGATATGTTTGGATCATATGGAAATTTGCCGAACAGAATTTTTGTGTGAGCATCTACACCTCAATCCTCCTTTGAGAGAAACTTTGAGATCTTTGAGACCCTTTGAAAGCTCCTTTGAGACCCATTCCTGGACCTCCGAAAGCTTATTGGATATTTCTGCTGAGTATGAGAGTGACTGACACAGGTACTTTATTAAACATTTTGAAAAGGGCTATATTAAGAAGGAAATAAAAATCCACCTCTTGTCCAACTCCTGGTTAGCACTCAGGTGTGTTTCCTTCTAGCCTTTTCTCAATGACCTGCAATCAGGATTTTCAACCTTCAGCCCTGCGCCTAAGGCTGCCATCCCTGCTTGTAGCCTATCTGCTCATGTTTTGTCTGTGTTCACAAGCCCCGCTCAAATTGCTGTTTTAGAAAAATCTAGGGCTGGCTGCGATGACTCACGCCTGTAATCCCAGCACTTTGGGAGGCTGAGGTGGGCGGATCACAAGGTCAGGAGTTTGAGACCAGCCTGGCCAACATGGTGAAACCCCATCTCTACTAAAAATACAAAAATCAGCCAGTCATGTGCCTGTAATCCCAGATACTAGGGAGGCTGAGGCAGGAGAATCGCTTGAACCTGGGAGGCGGAGGTTGCACTGAGCCGAGACTGGGCCATTGCACTCCAGCCTGGGTGACAGAGTGAGACTCTGTCTCAAAAATAAATAAATAAATAAATAAAAGAAAAATCTAAAATGTTCTTGAGGGAAGGTTGGGGGAAGGGAGGAGGGAGGAATGAATCATTTAGAGAAGCAACTGCAAACGGAGAAGAGCTTTATTTTTGCTTCATAATTGATAGCATGTCTCCCTTCTCCACTACCCCCCAAAAAGACCCTCCTCCCTCTATTCCACCTTCCCAAGGCACTTCACGCTTTTTGTACCTGGGATGAAAAGGGAGGGGAATTTACTGCCCTTCGTGGAAATGTCCGGGGTCAAATTATATACTCTCATGGTAGAGAGAGGGGAATGGGAGTTGGGGCAGTATGGTTTTGACAATTCCTAGCCAGGCTTTAGCCCTGGCTGACTCGCTTGCGTCACGATAATACAATTTTGTATGTTAAACAACAGATGTCAAACAGAAGAAAGAGACGGGGCTTCGCTTTTCTTCTCCTGTGGACCTTGTTCCCCCCAAAGCAGCCATTTTTTCAGTTGCCATGACAGTGGTAATAGGAGTTTATCATTTTCCCATGCCTGCTGCATGCTAATGTGGAATCAATTCATGACTCTTATCTGGTTGGGCTACCAAGGGATCCCAACCACACACAATCTGGGTTTGTGCAGCGGTAGAGAGGGCACCATGGCCTTTTCGCCCTCCTCACAATCCTCAGCTCCCAGTTTATAGAGCAATTTATGTAAAGCAGAAGTTTTTATTTGCCTATTAAAATACCAGTTACAATCAGCCTCAGAACTACTGAAGGTCTATGCACGTATTGACAAAGCAGGTTTATCGTTGCCTCTTGTGAAAAGAAGTCATAAAGAACAAAGATCACCTAGACAGAAATCATACATAATATCTAGAAATCATATATGTATTATATAACAATTTCACTCTTACGTCTTAACGCTAATCTAACTTTCAAAACAAGACCCATTTACACAGAGCAGGGAAAGAAAGCTCCTTTGAGAAACTTGACTAAAACTGAGAAAATCATATTTTTATAAGAAGAACACCTTCTTTTAGTGAACAAAGGTGATACAGAAATCAAGAAAAATCACATTTGAAAAAACTCAGAATGAAGGAAATGTATTCTTTAAAAATGAACAGGAAGGAAAAATAGAAAAATTGTTAAACCCTGATGGTAGATACACGAATGTTCCTTACGGTATTCCTGGTACTTTTCTGTATATTTGAAATATTTTATATTCCTAAAAAATGTATGAGTCAAAATCTTTCAGTTTGGCTTTTAATTAACAATGTTTAAGCCACAGCCAAATGAAGAAAAAAGAAGAAACAGAAGAAACGATGTAGCAGGGTAGAAGCAAAATTAAACCCCAAAGTGATTTATAGCGTACTTAGGTTTATTTCCCTCTTAATTTCTAACAGAATGTGGCAGTGCTTGTCAGCTGATGTTTGCTTTTTTTTTTTCCTTCCTAATCTCTTAAAAAAAAAAGTGTGTATCAAGTAACCACCAAAATGATTACTTCAATTGTGGGTAGAGTTTATTCTCCAGAATAGAAAAACCAGTTGCTTTTATTTGCATTGTCCTCCTTATTTTTTAGGCATCTGGCACATTTTATTCCTTTTTTGTTATTTTGAGTTGTTCCTTTATCATTATCTGCAGGAAGCAGCATTAGCATGCCGCAGATAAGACCACAGATCCAGATGTGCATATCAAAGGATGAACAGCTACTTATTAAGAAAAACTTTTCTTTTTAAGCCCAGCTTCTGTTCAAAGGAATAATAAAGCCTATGGCGTTAGTGACAAACTGGTAATTCAATGCCTTGTCACCGCCATGCATTGGAATGGAAAAAAAGGAGGGGGAGGTCAAAGAAATTGGTAAGGTCCACATTTTAGAAAGCTGAAAAGGCAGAACTAGTGTAAAAGTTCATCTTCTCCAGATGCATGCATTTATATCCTGCTGTGTTTATACACTTTTTTTTTTTCTGGGGGAAATGAAAGAGCCACAAAAATGGGCTGGCTGCTACGATTAAGGATGGATTCCGAATCACCAAAGTTATTTTTAGAAGAATGAAATATGTTTCCATTGAAAGCATCTGATTTCACCATCGACCTCTGGTTCCTTTGTGCTTGAAAATATACTTAATAACACCAGCCGTGCATATCTGTAAAAGAGTCGACACTGAGAGTTTGCAAAGTAAATCTAAATGTCTCTTGCACTGTTTCTCTGTTTCTAACATTAGGCCACTCCCCTCTTGCTAGGATGTGTGTGTGTCTTCTGTGTCTCTTGCAGGAATTTACATCCATAAATGCACATATCTACACACATACATGCAAAAATGCATATCTATACACATATATTGCCGTGGTTTTTTTTTAATTAATGCTGTCATACCATAATGACAATCATGTACTTCTTTTATCTCACTCAGCTATTAGACTTGCCAGTCTTTCCAAACTGATACATATAAGTCCGCCTCATTCTTTTTTATTTATACATAGTAGTCCATGGATGGATATATCATGATATATACAACCACTTCTCTTTTAGTGGCCATTTAAGGTTTTTCAAATTTTTCACGATTGCCAACAATGATGCAATACGTGCCTTCATTCAGGTATTTTTGTGAGCTGGTCCTCTCTGGTGATTTATTACTTTTGTTTCATTCTCTCTGTTATCAATAAAGATTTCTTTAAGTCTCTGGGAAAACTTATGCATCTATATTCTTAAGCCTAAAATAAATTAGATTTAGAAATGTCAGTCTCTAACTTTTTCCTTAGACGTAAGATTTCAGAAAACGGTCACATGTAAATTCATTCTGAGGCTCTGCCTTTGTTCTTGGGTTCCTAAACTGAGTTTTATTACTGACTAAAAAATGACTTCGACTGAAGTAATATTTACAAGGATTCTTTTAAAAGTAGTTATCTGAATCTTAAGTCTGTGAAACTAGCATTGGAGTTTTTTTAAAAACATGATTAGCAACAAAAGAAAAAATAAATTAATAAATAAAAATAAAAAATAAGAAAAATTTACCCGTTTGGTAAATAAGCAACAACGAAGTGAAGAAATTTTGCCCAGGGCATAGGCCTACTAAATTAATTTTACTATAAAAATGATAGTGGTAGGCCGGGCACAGTGGCTCATACCTATAATCCCAGCACTTTGGGAGGCCTAGGTGGGAGGATCACCTGAGGTCAGGAGTTCGAGACCAGCCTGGCCAACATGGTGAAACCCCGTCTCTATTAAAAATACAAAAATTAGTCAGGCACGGTGGCATGCGCCTACAATCCCAGGTCTACTCAGCAAGCTGAGGCATGAGAATTGCTTAAACCCAGGAGGTGGAGGTTACAGTGAGTCAAGATCACACCACTGCATTCCAGCCTGGGCGACAGAGCGAGACTCTGTCTCGAAAAATAAATAAAATTTTTAAAATGAGGCCGGGCACGGCGGCTCATGCCTGTAATCCCAGCACATTGGGAGGCTGAGGCAGGCGGATCACCTGAGGTCAAGAGATCAAGACCATCCTGGCCAACATGGTGAAACCCCGTCTCTACTAAAAACACAAAAATTAGCTGGGCATGTTGGCACATGCCTATAATCCCAGCTACTCAGGAGGCTGAGGCAGGAGAATTGCTTGAACCTGGGAGGTGGAGGTTGCAGTGAGGGGAGATGGTGCCACTGCACTATAGCCTGGGCAACAGAGTGAGACACCATCTCAAAAAGAAAAAAATGATAGTGGTTTAAATCCTATCAGCATATACAAAGGGATCTATACTATGACATTATTTATGATAGTAGAAAAAATAGAAATGCCTAAATAGTCACCATGAGAGGTTTCCTTAAAAATTTATGGTATGTGGCCAGGCGCGGTGGCTCATGCCTGTAATCCCAGCAGTTTGATAGGCCGAGGTGGGTTGATCATGAGGTCAAGAGTTCGAGACTAGCCTGACCAACATGGTGAAACCTTGTCTCTACTAAAAATACAAAAATTAGCTGGGCATGGTGGCATATGCCTGTAATCTCAGCTACTCAGGAGGCTGAGGCAGGAGAATTGTTTGAACTGGGGAGGCGGAGGTTGCAGTGAGCAGAGATCGCACCATTGCACTCCAGCCTGGGCAACAGAGCGAGACTGTGTCTCAAAAAAAAAAAAAAAAATTTATGGTACGTGCAAAGGATAAAATACCACTAAAATAAAATGAAGGAGCAGATATTCTGACAGGAAATGCATCGGTTGCATTGCCAATTGAAAAGACAAATTGCCTGGGCTCAAGTGGTGCATGCCTCTTCCCAGGTACTCAGGAGGCTGAGGCAAGAGGATTGCCTGAGCCCAGGATTTTAAGATCAGCCTGGGCAATGTAGCGAAAGCCCCATCTCAAAAAATAAAAAATTAAAAAATAAGGTTAATTGTAAATCTACATGTGTTATGTAATCTAACCATGAAGATGGTTAAAGTGGTGAGGAGTGGATGGAAGATGAGGGGCTCCTATTAATAAGAGTTATCTCCGAGGTATGGAAGGACTAAGGAAAAGAAGAGGCATGGTCAGACATGGTGGCTCACACCTGTAATCCCAGCACTTTGGGAGGCCGAGGTGGGCGGGTCACGAGGTCAGGAGTTCAAGACCAGCCTGGCCAATGTGGTGGAAAACCCGTTTATACTGAAAACACAAAAATTAGCCGGGCATGGTGCCGTGCGCCTGTAATCCCAGCTACTCGGGAGGCTGAGGCAGGAGAATTGCTTGAACCCAGGAGGTGGAGGTTGCAGTGAGCTGAGATCGCGCCACTACACTCCACCCTGGGTGACAGAGCAACAGTCCATCTCAAAAAAAAAAAAAAAGAGGCGTTAGGTATTTCAATATTTTCATACTAGTTAACTTATTTGTATGTGTGTGTGTTGGAAATATTTCAAATCTTTTCTTGTGGCTGTTTTGAAATACACAATACATTCTTGTTAACTACAGTCACCCTACTGTGCTATAGAACACTAGAACTTACTCCTTCTATCTGATTATGTGCTTGCATCCATTAACCATCCTCTCTTCATCCCCAACCCCCTAGTTAACTGATTTACAGTGGCATGTACATATTTTCCCATTAAAAAAATCATTATTGTCAGCTGTCTCAAAGATTGGAAAGATAGGCTTCTTATAAAAATTTAACCAGTTTATTTTTTAAAAGAATATTTATAAGGTAGTATACAATTATCTTACATCCTTATTATTTAACTTTTCATGGGTGTATATCCACATGGTTCAAAAGTCTAAAACTAGGCCTGGTGAGATGGCTCATGCCTGTAATCCCAGCACTTTGGGAGGCTGAGGCAGATGGATATCCTGAGGTCAGGAGTTCGAGACCAGCCTGGCCAACATAGTGAAACCCCGTCTCTACTAAAAATACAAAAAAATTAGCTGGGCATGGTGGCATGTGCCTGTAGTCTCAGCTACTAGGGAGGCTGAGGCAGGAGAATCACTTGAACCAGGGAGGTGGAGATTGCAGTGAGCCAAGATTGCGCCATTGCACTCTAGCCTGGGCAACAGAGCGAGACTCCGCCTAAAAACAAAAAAAAAACAAAAAAAAAAAACCATAGAGACATTAACAAGGAAAAAATATTCATGAAAGTCTCATGATGGTAGAAGTCTTGATCCACGATCTTAGGAAAAGCTGTTCACATCAAGGATGCCATCTTCTTCTGGGGAGACTTCCTTGGTTAGCTTTACCTTAAAGGTTCCAATGGGTGTACAGTTCCAAGAGTGTGGAGGGACCCTTTTCATTTGCGAGATTATGAACGCAAGGTTCAAGATCCTGAAGTTTTCTTGCAGTGTGGATGGCAAGGACAGTCTTTCTCTGATGTTCTCAGAAGATCCAATCTTCGGGTTCTACATTGTGAAGGGGTTGACTATTCTCAGTGAAACATGAAAAGCTTTCTTTACCTGATGAAAATGCAGGACAGTATAATAATCGACTGTTATAACATCAGCCCTCTTGCATGGGAGAGCTTTTATACAACCAGAAAATATGCACTAAAAGTGACAATTGAGAGCTGGGCACGGTAGCTCATGCCTGTAATCTCAGCACTTTGGGAGGCCAAGTTGGACGGATCACCTGAGGTCAGGAGTTCGAGACAAGCCTGACCAACATGGTGAAACCCCGTCTCTACTAAAAATGAAAAAATTAGCTGGGTGTGGTGGCACACACCTGTAGTCCCAGCTACTTGGGAGGCTGAGGCAGGAGAATCAATTGAACCCAAGAGGCAGAGGCTGCAGTGAGCTGAGATCGTGCCACTGCATTCCAGCCTGGGTGACAGAAACTCTGTCTCAACAAAAAAACGAAAATGACAATTAGGCCAGGCGCAGTGGCTCACGCCTGTAATCCCAGCATCTGGGAGGCCAAGATGGGTGGATCACCTGAGGTCAGGGGTTCGAGACCAGCTTGGCCAATATGACGAAACCCTGTCTCTACTAAAAATACAAAAATTAGCCAGCATGGTGGCACATGCCTGTAGTCTCAGCTACTAAGGAGGCTGAGGCAGGAGAATCACTTGAACCCAAGAGGTGGAGGTTGCACTGAGCCGAGATCGCATCACTGCGTTCCAGCCTGGCCAACAAGAGCGAAACTCCGCCTCAAAAAAAAAAAAAAAAAAAAAAAGAGAGAGAGACAAGGAGGCTTTTAAAAGCTGCAGGTGCTGCTAACAGACTTTAAATTCATAAGCAAACAATAAAGGAGACAGTGTTGGCCATTAATAAGTACACTGAAGAAACCATAATCGTGACTCAGGGGAAGGGAACCACTTTCACCTAGGAAGTTAGGGAAGGCTTCCTGGAGGAGGGAGTATTTGAACTGAGACTGAATGACAAAGAACCAGCCACGTGAACATCTTGAGAAGAGCATTTCCAACAGTGAGGCCAACCAGGACAGATGGCCTGAGAAGGAAACAAGGCAGGGTTGGAGCTCCATAAAATAGACCAAGGTGGTCAGAGTCAGACAGCAGAAAGTCTTCTTTGTACAAAGAGAGAGGGAGGGAAGTCATCAGAGGGTTGTTCTTGTTTCGATTTGTGGTTGAGGATTTGCATTTTTAAATAAAACAAAAGTATATGAGGCAGATATTAAGTTACTTTTACAATTTTCTAGCCAGGCACTTTGGCTCATGCCTGTAATCCCAGCACTTTGGGGGGCTGAGGCAGACAGAACACTTGAGCCCAGGGTTCGAGACCAGCCTGGCCAACATGGTGAAACCCCATCTCTACTAAAAATACAAAAATTAGCCAGGCATGAGGGCACACACCTGTAGTCACAGCTACTCGGGAGGCTGAGGCACGAGAATCACTTGAACCCAGAAGGTGGAGGCTACAGTGAGCCGAGATTGTGCCACTGCACTCCAGGCTGGGCAACAGAGTGAGACTCTGTCTCAGAAAAAAATTTTTAAAGAAAAGAAGGAAGGCCAGGTTATGGCGGATCACGCCTGTAATTCCAGCACTTTGGGAGGCCAAGGTGGGCGGATCACGAGATCAAGAGATTGAGACCATCCTGGCCAACATGGTGAAACCCCATCTCTACTAAAAATACAAAAATTAGCTGGGTGTGGTGACGCGCGCCTGTAGTCCCAGCTACTCGGGAGGCTGGGGCAGGAAAATTGCTTTAACCCAGGAGGCAGAGGTTGCAGGGAGCCGATATCACACCACTGCACTCCAGCCTGGTAACAGAGCAAGACTCCATCTCAAAAAAAAAAAAAAAAAAAAAAAAAAAAAGAAAAGAAAAAATTGTAAAAGTAAAATTAAGCAAATCTTTTTTTTTTTTTTTTTAAGAGATGGGATCTCACTATGTTGTCCAGGCTGGGCTGGAACTCCTTGGCTCAGGAGATCCTCCTGTCTCAGTTTCTTGAGTAGCTGAGACTACAGGCATGTGCCACCATGTCTGGCAATGTTTATTGTTTTAAAGTCTCTATTCATGTCAAGCTTTAGTCATGGTTTAAATAACAGTTGACTTTTTATTGAAATAAAACTACAGTATTTATGCAATCTAATTCTAGAGAGCCCAATGAAGTGGAAATAATGTCTTCATAAAAATTATATTAAAGGCCAGGCGCGGTGGCTCAAGCCTGTAATCCTAGCACTTTGGGAGGCCGAGGCGGGCGGATCACGAGGTCAGGAGATCGAGACCATCCTGGCTAACATGGTGAAACCCCGTCTCTACTAAAAATATAAAAAAAAAAAATTAGCCAGGCGTGGTGGCGGGCACCTGTAGTCCCAGCCACTCGGGAGGCTGAGGCAGGAGAATGGCTGAACCCAGGAGGCAGAGGTTGCAGTGAGCCAAGATCATGCCATTGCACTCCAGCCTGGGCGACAGAGCAAAACCCCATCTCAAAAAAAAAAAAAAAATTAAGCAAATCAATATTTGAAAATAGAATCTAGGAATTGTAATGCTATAAAAACTTGAATGTAATGCTATAAAACTAAATAATAGCAGTTAAACCAGAAAGAGATCAATCAATGACTTTTTTTTTTTTGAGACAGAGTTTCGCTCTTATTGCCCAGGCTGGAGTGCAATGGCACAATCTCAGCTCACTGCAAGCTCCACCTCCCAGGTTCAAGTGAGTCTCCTGCCTCAGTCTCCCAAGTAGCCTCCCACCACGCCCGGCTAATTTTGTATTTTTGGTAGAGATGGGGTTTCACCATGTTGGTCAGCTGGTCTCTAACTCCTGACCTCAAGTGATCCATCCGCCTCGGCCTACCAAAGTGCTGGATTACAGGCGTGTGTGAGCCACTGGCCAGCCCCAATCAATGACTTTTAAAGAGAGAAAGATGGCTGAGCATAGTGGTAGACCGTGGCTGTTGGCTTTCGAGGTGTGAGCCAATGGTGCCAGAGCCTATGGAGGTGGCCATAGAGTTTGACTCAAGGGGTTGAATTCAGGATTAAGGGAGATAAATGGGGCACATGAGTGTCATCCAACAAAGGTGCTGTGGTGGCTGGGTGCAGTGGCTCACGCCTATAATCTCAGCACTTTGGGAGGCCAAGGCAGGTGGATCACGAGGTCAGGTGTTCAAGACTAGCCTGACTAACATGGTGAAACACCGTCTGTACTAAAAATACAAAAATTAGCCAGGCATGGTGGCATGTGCCTGTAATCACAGCTACTCAGGAGGCTGAGGCAGGGCAATAGCTTGAACCCAGGAGGCGGAGGTGGCAGTGAGCCGAGATCACACCACTGCACTCCAGCCTGGGTGACAAGAGTGAAACTCTGTCTCAAAAAAAAAAAAAAAAAAAAAAAAAAAAAAAAGATGCTGTGGCTGTTTGTGTTCTGGGTGATGTTCCTGACCATGTGATCACTGGTGCCATTCAAACTGTCCCAGCCTTTCTAGCCAGCTCCCCAGAAAAGATTTCTATGGCCTTTGGGATGCATTTCTTCCCAGTATTCAGTGCCACACTGTCTGCTCCCAAGCTTCTGAGAGCCTCAAAGGAGAAAGCATAAGGATGTCTAGGGGCAGGATGCAGAGTGTGCAGAGCATCGGGCCAGGCCTGCATCAGCTGACTCTACTGGGCCTCAGTTTTCTCATCCATATAACTGGGCTGGTGGCAAGATGATAGTTCTGATATTTTGTAAATCTATAGGGTGAATTTTTCAGTTGAACAAGTTATACATTCACATGCTACAAAATTCAAGAAGTGCCAAAGAGTAGACTATCTTCTGTCCCCATTACCCAGCAGCCATTCAGTTTCCGTCCCTGAAGCCAATGGGTTAATCATTTTCTCGTTTATCCTTCCAGAACCACTCCTTGCGCAATAATGCACATTTATAAAACCTTAACAATGATAAATACCATAACACCAGTTTGTGCCTTGCTTTTTAATTCACCTGCATAGGACGGGGGCATTCATATCAGCTAACATTAGGTTGGTGCAAAAGTAATTGTGGTTTCTGCAATTACTTTTAATACCTCCTCATTCTTATGATGGCTGCATAATGTTCTTCAGTAAGGAGGTACCATCATTTCTTTGGCCAGTCTACTATTGATGAGCAAGCAACTTGGCGATATTTGCCAAAATTTACCATGCATATTTTACTTTGATGCAGCTGTTTTATTTCTAGGAATTGATCCAGCAGATATTCTCCCTGGTGTGAGATGTTTGATGTTCTCACTGGTGGAGAATCTCTGCTGGATCAATTTCTAGAAATAAAATATTAATTCTTCCCATCCATGAACGTGGGCTATCATTCCATTTATTTGTATCTTCTTTAATTTCTTTCATCAATGTTTTATAGTTTTATAGTGCACAGATCTTGCACCTCCTTGGTTAAATTGTGAAAATTATGTACCAGTATACAATTTTAAGTAACATTTATTATATAATTAAATACATGGTTATTCTGGCTGGGCTTGAGTGTACTGGTGCAATCATAGCTCACTATGACTTCAAACTCATGGGCTCAAGCATTTTTCCCACCTCAGCCTCCCAAGTAGCTGGGACTACGGGTGCATACACCACCACGCCTGGCTAATTTTTTGTAGAGACAGGGTCTCACTATGTTTCCCAGGCTTGTCTCACACTTCCGGCCTCAAGTGATCCTCCTGCTTTGGCCTCCCAAAATGCTGATATTACAGGCTTGAGCCACCATACCTGTCTACATGCTGAATTTTTTAATTTTTTAAGGCAACAGAAGAGTTTATAAGAGATAAGAAACAGAGACCAGGCATTGTGGCTCACGCCTGTAATCCCAGCACTTTGGGAGGCTGAGGCAGGCAGATCACCTGAGGTCAGGAGTTTGTGACCAGCCTGGCCAATATGGTGAAACCCCGTCTCACTAAAAATACAAAAATTAGGCAGGTGGGGTGGTGGGTGCCTGTAATCCCAGCCACTTGGGAGGCTGAGGCAAGAGAATCGCTTAAACCCGGGAGGCGGAGTTTGCAGTGAGCTGAGATCACACCACTGCACTCCAGCTTGGGTGACAGGGCGAGACTCCGTCTCAAAAAAAAAAAAAAAAAAAAAAGAGAAACAAGAAACAGAATAACACAATGTTTAGGAAAGAAGCTTCCAAAATAGTCTACATCTAAACACCAGCTTTAAGACTTCCTGGATTAGCTGCTTTTCCTTTCTGAACCTCAGTTTGTTCATCTGTAGAATGGACACAATCATCATGTCCACCTCATAGGGTCATAGTGGGGATGAAATATTAAGCATTCAATAAATGGTGGCTGCTGGTATGCTTACTGTTATAATTATCATCATTATTTTTACTCAAGTTTTATCTTTGTTTTGGATAAAATATATCTGATGGGTTCTCTGATGTGGAAACAGGCTCAGAATCCTGAAATGAGGAAAGCATTATTCCACAACCTCCCAGGGCAGCAGAAATCCTCATCTTTTCCTCTAAAAATATGAGTGTGTACAATGTGTCACATGTTAACAGGCTCCGGGGTTTTGAGCTGTGGTGTCTACCTCCACGTTTCCTAAGAGGTCAAATGACCTCCAGGTTTCATTTAAGTTTTCTATTATTCTCTTCTGAAAGGGACAACGGAGCTCTTGTTTGAACGGCTTTGGTGAGCCCAAAGGAAAATGTGGTCATTATAGACAGCACAAAAGATTCGCTTTCCATACATTAGTTTGTCAATTGCTTTCTTAATGCAAGGTTGGGTAGGGAAATAGACAGTGGGGGAGGAAAAAAAAAGATTATTTTGTGTCCACAGATAGATGTCAATATTTGACAGCAATAAATGAAATTTCATATCACATCTTTGCAAACATAAAAATCGTACAATAAGAAGTCCTGTTAAGTTTTCACTTTCTCTCTTTTCCACTGGTCTTCAACCATCACTGTGCTATGTGATGTTTATTAGATCAATAGAAAGAAGTGAGGGAGCAACACAAAGAATTGGTTTTGTTGAAATTTTAGTTGCTTCTGTCCCCTCAAAATAAAACATATGCGGCCGGGCACGGTGACTCACGCCTGTAATCCCAGCAGTTTGGGAGGCCAAGGCGGGCGGATCACCTGAGGTCAGGAGTTCCAGGCCAGCCTGGCCAACATGGTGAAACCCCATCTCTACTAAAAATACAGAAATTAGCCAGGCTACTCAGGAGGCTGAGGTAGGAGAATGGCTTGAACTCGGGAGGCAGAGGTTGCAGTGAGCCGAGATCGCGCCAATCCACTCCAGCCTCAGCGACAGAGCAAGACTCCATCTCAAAAACAAAACAACAACAAAAAAAAACTGACTTTATGATCCAGCACGAAGTTGAATATAAAGTCAAGACTATCTTAACATGCTGAGCTACAATTTTTCTCGGGAAAATTAAACAACTCCCAAAACAAAAGAAAAAATAATATTTATTCATTCTTAAGGACATCCTCAGAACTAATGCAGAGGCTGTCATTATGACTTGCATTTGGTTAAAAACACAGCATAAAGTAAGCTTATTTTTGTAGCTTTGATTTTTTTTTTTTTTCCAAGGAGATTCATTCTATCGCCCAGGCTGGAGTGCAGTGGTGTGATCTTGGTTCACTGCAACCTCTGCCTCCTGGGTTCAAGCGATTCTCTTGCCTCAGTCTCCCGAGTAGCTGGGATTACAGGCACCCGCCACCATGCCTGGCTAATTTTTGTATTTTTAGTAGAAACGGTGTTTTACCATGTTGGCCAGGCTGGTCTTGAACTCCTGACCTCAGGTGATTGATCCAGTCACCTAGGCCTCCCAAAGTGCTGGGATTACAGGCATGCGCCACCGCACCCAGACAGTTGTTTTATCTTTTGGTACTATAAATAATGCTGCATTGATGAACACTTTTCATATAAGACATTAGATATTTGTACATGTATAAGTATGTCTGCACAATAAATTCTTGGAAATACAGTTACTGGTTTAAAGGACATATATGTGTTTGTAATTTTGATAGATATGAAAATGACTGTGTTACCACATCCTTGCCCACATAGTATGTTATCAAAGTTTTTGATCATTTGTCATTTAGTAGGTGAACAAAACCAGTATCTCCCTATAATCTATTTTGCATACCTCTTATTATAAGGAAGGTTAATCACTTCCCACATGTTTAAAAGCCACTGGTATTCCCTTTTCTGTGAACTATCATATATATCCTTGTTTCAGTTTTTCTGGCAGACTCTTGGCCTTTTTCTGATTGATTTTTAGAAACTCTTTATATATAGGGAAATTAATACTTAGTAATATAAGCTGCAATTATTTTTTTCCAAGTGTCTTGTCTTTTCACTTTACTTATTATAGTTTTTGCCATGCAAGTGTTTTAATTTTATAGCTTCTGATTTATGTGTCTTAGTAAAAACGATCTCCCCCTCTTCAAGATTATTTTAACATTCTGATAGCTTCTTCTAGTGCTTTTATAATTTGTTTGTTTGCAATGAAATTTTTTATCCTTTTGAAATTCATCCTTGGGTATGCTTTGAAATGTAGCTCTAAGTTTATAGTTTTTCTAGACAGCCACTAAGTTATCCCAATACCATTTATGGTATAATTCATCTTTCCCCCTTACTCACTTTTGTTTGTTTGTTTTAGAGACAGAGTCTAGCTTTTTCGCCCAGGCTGGAGTGCAATGGCGTGATCTCAGCTCACTGCAAACTCTGCCTCCCAGGTTCAAGCGATTCTGCTGCCTCAGCCTCCTGAGTAGCTGGGATTACAGGTGCCTGCTGGCACACCCGGCTAATTTTTGTATTTTTAGTAGAGACAGGGTTTCACTATATTGGTCTGGCTGGTCTTGAACTCCTGACCTCAAGTGATCCACCCGCCTCGGCCTCCCAAAGTGCTGGAATTACAGGCGTCAGCCACCGTGCCCGGCCACCCCCTACTCATTTTAAAAGGCAATTTTTATCACATGCTAAATGCCCAAATATAATTGGCTTCACTATATATAATTTTAAAATTGTTATCTTATAAATTAATATGGCCACACAGAAGTATATGTATGTGTACACTTTGATGTTCAGCTCACTAGTGTAAGATTGCCAAAGGAAACTACTAACTACTAACCAAATCAGAATACACTGGAATAAAATGTCTTTTATATTAATGTTAGATATGTAAGCATGTACACACACACACACACACACACACACACACACCCATGTTCCCTTGGATGTGAGCCCACCAGGGCAATCTCAATTTCTTGCCAAGTTGTGAGTTAGGAATAGGTATGTGATGCAACTTTGACCAACAAGATATGAGGGAGAGTGGTTGAGAGGCCTTCAGGGAAGGTTTTCTTCACCCTTAAAAAGGGACAGAAGGCTGGGACTTTTCTTTTTGCCTCTGGACATTGCCATCTCCCTGTGACTTCTACAACTCTGCAGCCATCTTGGGGCCATGATGAGAGGCAGCCAGAGAAAACAAGCTGAGCATAGGAGAATGAAAGGAAGGAAAAATCCTGGCTCCTCCGTGGGGCGCGGTGGCTCACACCTGCAATCCCAGCACTTTGGGAGGCCAAGGCGGGCCAATCACTTGAGGTCAGGAGTTCAAGACCAGCCTGGCCAACATGGTGAAACCCTATCTCCACTAAAAATACAAAAATTAGCCTGGCGTGGTGGTAGGCACCTGTAATTCCAGCTACTAGGGAGGCCGAGGCACGAGAATCGCTTGAACCCAAGAGGCGGAGGTTGCAGTGAGCCGAGATCGTGCCACTGCACTCTAGCCTGGGAGACAGAACCAGACTCTGTCTCAAAAAAATTAAAAAAAATAAAAATCTTGGCTCCCAAATTAACTACTAAATCACCACCCTGGAGACATCCTAACGCCAAACTCCTTGAGAGACGGTTAATCAATGACCTTATTGTTCAAGCCCTGCTGAGTTGGGTTTGTGTTATTTGCAGCTAAAATATCCTAACATTCCAGCTTCCCCAAGATATTGAAACATTCAGAATGTTCTCTTCTCCTCTGTAGAGCTGAACTGACCATACCCTCTCTTTGAAGTCACCGAGTGTGGAGTAGGGTGAAAGGGAATTTAATTAAACTCAATAGGTTAAATAAAATTATAAAAATACAGGCTACCCATCCTGAGCAACATGATGAAACCCTGTCTCTACAAAAAATACAAATAAAAAGCTACTCCTCATGGAGGGGGTACTGAGGTGGGAGGATCTCTTGAGCCCGAGAGGTCGATGTTGCAGTGAGCTGAGATCGCACCACCACACCCCAGCCTTGGCAACAGAATGAGACTCTGTCTTAAAAAAAATACAGGCTACCAGTGGTCACCTACACCCCAAATATGTGATACCCTCACATGGATGCACAGAGAAAGCTGTTGGTCTCCTTATGACAAATGATATTTCCTGCATTCTAATGTAATATTGTATTTTTTAAATCATTACTTTAAAGATTAATTATTTAGAAAATAGGTTAGAAACCACCCCAAATGCCTTGGAGCTATTTTTGCAGAGACAGGAAATTACTCTATAGATTACAGAAAGTTAACACTAAAAGAAAACTTCCAGGGTCTCTAAAGTGCTGGTTTTCAACCAGATGACTTTAGAGTCATCTGGAGAACTTTAAAAAATTATGCTAACGGCTGCATCCCATCCCCAGAGATTCAGACTTTATCGGTCCAGGGTGTGGCCCAACCACCAGGATTTTTTTTTTTAAAGGTCCCCAAGTACGTATTATTTTATTTTCATTTTGTAGTACTTTGCCTTAAGGTTTTTTTCTGTTTGGTTGGGTTTTTTTTTTTTTTTTTTTTTTTTTTTTTGTTTGAGACAGAGTCTCGTTCTGTCGCCAGGATGGAGTGCAGTGGCATGATCTCAGCCCACTGCAACCTCCTCCGTCTCCCGGGTTCAAGCAATTCTCCTGCCTCAGCCTCCCAAGTCTCCCGGGTTCAACCAAGTCTCCCGGGTTCAACCAATTCTCCTGCCTCAGCCTCCCGAGTAGCTGGGATTACAGGCGCATGCCACCACGCCCGACTAAGTTTTTGTATTTTTTTAGTAGAGACAGGGTTTCACCATGCTGGCTGGCCAGGCTGGTCTTGAACTCCTGACCTCGTGATCCGCCCACCCTGGCCTCCCAAAGTGCTGGGATTACAGGTGTAAACCACCGCGCCCAGCCTGTATTTCTTTTAAGAACAATTTTAAATGAAAGAATCCCTTGCTGGTGGTTAAAAATTAATCAACTGCAGAAGGGGTAATAATGAAAACTAAGACTGCCCTGTCCCACCCCCAGGCCTACTCTTCTCAGGAAACGACTTTTAACTCTTGCTGGTTGTATTTTTTTCCGCTTTTACTCCCGAAATCTAAATAGTACATTTACACTCCTGGCTGTTGAGCATCAATTATAGAATTTAATCTTTTGACTTCCTGCTAGGGAAGAAAGAGGGTTTTTTGTTTGTTTGGTTTTTGGTTTTTTTTTGAGATGGAGTTTCGCTCTTGTCATCTAGGCTGGAGTGCAGTGACACAATTTTGGCTCACTGCAACCTCTGCTTCCCAGGTTCAAACGATTCTCCTACCTCAGCCTCCCCAGTAGCTGGGATTACAGGTGCCCGTCACCACGCCTGACTGATTTTTGTGTTTTTAGTAGAGACGGGGTTTTGCCATGTTGGCCAGGCTGGTCTCGAACCCCTGACCTCAAATGATCCACCTGCCTCGGCCTCGCAAAGTGCTGGGATTACAGGCATGAGCCACTATGCCCAGCCGAAAGAGTTCACTTTTTTTTCTTAAGGTTCCAAACAGAAAGATACAAGATAAGATAACCTTTCTAGCCATTTAAGAGATGGAGATGATTAGTGAGTTAAATGTTCAAATCTTTATAACCTGCCAAAATGCTTTGGGGAAAAATAGCCTCTTCTTAAGCTTAAATACATTGAATAAATATATTGTTTGTTTGGGCTATGGTAGTAACAAATTGTAGAGGATTTTTTTTCCTTTTCTGGGGTTTGAGAGAGGACCGTCGGGTTATCGCGGAGTGTGGATTTACATCTTGGCCTTTCCTGTTCTTCTGGATACGTAGTCCTACAGATTACAGTTGAAGAAATTGTTGCTATAGCCTTAAACCATGCTTCTATGTATTCATTCAACAAACACCAGGAAGAGTGAGGCATTCATGATCCCAGGATAAGGGTTATTGTGGAGTGATGAAAATATTTTGGAACTAAACAGAGGTGTTGGTTGCATACCATTGTGAAAGTACTAAATACCACTGAATTGTTCACTTTAAAATAGTTAATTTTATGTTTGGTAAATTTCTCCTCAATTAAAAATGAAGGCCAGATACAGTGGCTCACACCTGTAATCCCAGAACTTTGGGAGGCTGAGGCAGGTGGATCACCTGAGGTCAGGAGTTGGAGACCAGCCTGACCAACGTGGTGAAACCCCATTTCTACTAAAACTACAAAAATGAGTCAGGCATGGTGGCGGGCGCCTGTAATCCCAGCTACTCAGGAGGTGAGGCAGGAGAATCCCTTGAACCCAGGAGTCAGAGGTTGCAGTGAGACAAGATCGCGCTATTGCACTCCAGCCTGGGTGACGAGCAAAACCCCATCTCAAAAAAAAAAAAAAAAAAATTAGTCAGGCAAGGTGGTGCACCCCTGTAGTCCCAGCTACCAGGAGGGCTGAAGTGGGAGGATTGCTTGAGTCCAGGAGGCTGAGGCTGCAGTGAGCTGTGATCGTGCCACTGCACTCCAGCTTGGGCAACAGAGCAAGACCCTGTCTCAAAAATAAAAAATAAAATAAAATAAGATAAAAAGAAAACGAGAGAGGGTTTCCATGGCCAGATCACTTGGACCCTTCTATTATTCCTCCCATCTTAGATCCATCTGTTTGTCTCTCATTATCAAAGTATCTTGCAACAATGTTCCCCAACTGCCTCTACCCTAGGATCTTCAAGATAATCTCATCCTAGAACTTATTGTAATACCTGTTAACATTCTTTGGAAACCGCTCCGGGAAATACTTTTAAGAAAACTTGCTGCTGGGCGCGGTGGCTCATGCCTGTAATGCTAGCACTTTGGGAGGCCCAGGCGGGCGGATCACGAGGTCAGGAGATCAAGACCATCCTGGCTAACACGGTGAAACCCCATCTTTACTAAAAATACAAAAAATTAGCTGGGCGTAGTGGTGGGTGCCTGTAATCCCAGCTACTCGGGAGGCTGAGGCAGGAGAATGACGTGAACCAGGGAGGCGGAGCTTGCAGTGAGCCAAGATGACTGCATTGCACTCCAGCCTGGGCGACAGAGCGAGACTCCGTCTCAAAAAAAAAAAAAAAAAAAAGAAAACTTGCTTAGCCAGGTGCAGTGGCTCATGCCTGTAATCCCAGCACTTTGGGAGGCTGAGGTGGGCAGATCACGAGGTCAGGAGATCAAGACCATCCTGGCTAACATAGTGAAACCCCGTCTCTACTAAAAAATAAAAAAAAAATTTAAAAGATATTTTCTGGGCGTGGTGGCATATGCCTGGAATCCCAGCTACTTGGGAGGCTGAGGCAGGAGAATGGCTTGAACATGGAGGCGGAGGTTGGTTGCAGTGAGCTGAGATCGTGCCACTGCACTCCAGCCTGGGCGACATAGTGAGACTCCATCTCAAACAACAAAAAAGAAAGAAAACGTGCTTATTGGCATGGAAAGATGTACATGGTGATTTAGAACACCAAGTAGTCACAAGATGGTTTATGCAGTATGATCATTTTTTGTGAAAATACTTGTGTATTTAGGCCAACAGTAGTTATCTGTTCTATATTGTAACAAGAACATTTATTTTTCTTTTTTAAAATCTGTATTTTAAAATTTGTCTAGAAGAGTTATTTGTGTAAAATTTTTTTTAAAAAGAAGTAACTATACATATTTATATTTATGTTCCATTTATATTGTACTTTTGCCATATTCTACCTACACAATTTCCCAATTTTTGTTCTTGTCTCACTACAGACTATAAGTTGGACTCTGTATTCATTAACATAACAGTGAAGGTGAGATTTCTGTTTTTCCTTTTTTTTTTTTTCTTTTGCCCAGGCTGTTGCCCAGGCTGGAGTACAGTGACGAGATCTCAACTCACTGCAACCTCTGCCTCCCAGGTTTAAGCGATCCTCCTGCATCAGCCTCCTGAGTAGCTGGGACCACAGGCACATGCCACCACACCCAGCTAATCTTTGTATTTTCAGTAGAGACAAGGTCTCCCCAAGTTGGCCAAGCTGGTCTCAAACTCCTGACCTCAGGTGATCCATCTGCCTCGGGCTCCCAAAGTGCTGATATTATAGGCATGAGCCACCGTGCCCGGCCGAGGGTGAGATCTCATGATGTGAATGAACACAGCTTCAGACTCTGGTTCCTTAGGGAAGCATGGATCTGCCTGTGTCATAGTTTCCCATTCTGTGAGTGGATTCAGCAACTCTGTTCTCACAGTCACAGTCCACGAACAATTGCAAAATCTGAAAACAAAACAGTGGCTCTATGCAGCCCAGGCAATGCAAGGAGACTTATTTAAGGAAGCACAATCAAGCAACAGAAGGAATTCTGATTTTTTCCTCTATCTAAAAAAAATTAAGAGGAGTCCATTTAAAGTGATTAGCACTATTTTTATTGTTTTATTTTTATGGATGAGATCTTGCACTGTCACCCAGGCTGGAGTGCAGTGGTACAATCATAGCTCACTGCAGCCTTGAACTCCTGCGATCAAACAATCCTCCCACCTCAGCCTCCCAAGTAACTGGGACTATATGTACGTGCCACCACACCCAGCTAATTTTTAAATAAGTTTTTGCAGCGACAGGGGTCCCGCCCACTATGTTACCCAGGCTGGTCTTGAACTGCTGGGCCCAAGCAAGCCTCCTGCCTCGACCTCCCAAAGTGCTGGAATTACAGGTATGAGCCACCAACCCCAGCCCAGTAGCACTGTTTATTAAAGTCCCCTTTCACTTTTCTCCCTAACTCACTCACAGGCCCTGCGTTAATTCCCTCTTGCTGCTGTAACATTACCACGAACTTAAAACTGAGGGGCTGGCCGGGCGCGGTGGCTCATGCCTGTAATCCCAGCACTTTGGGAGGCCGAGGCGGGCAGATCACGAGGTCAACAGATCGAGACCATCCTGGCAAACACGGTGAAACCCTGTCTCTATTAAAAATACAAAAAAAAATTAGCCGGGCGTGGTGGCGGACGCCTGTAGTCCCAGCTACTCAGGAGGCTGAGGCAGGAGAATGGCGTGAACCTGGGAGGTGGCGGAGCTTGCAGTGAGCCGAGATCATGCCACTGCACTCCAGCCTGGGCGACAGAGCAAGACTCCCTCTCAAAAAAATTAAAAAAAAAAATCTGAGGCGCTAACAAAACAAATTTATTTGTTTATTTATTTTGAGACGGAGGCTGGAGTGCAGGCGCGATCTCCGCTCACTGCAAGCTCCGCCACCTCCCGGGTTCACGCTATTCTCCTGCCTCGGCCTCCCAAGTAGCT
Organism: Homo sapiens; assembly: GCF_000001405.40. Lineage (NCBI taxonomy): Eukaryota > Metazoa > Chordata > Mammalia > Primates > Hominidae > Homo > Homo sapiens. The sequence continues at coordinate 51,940,524 of NC_000020.11, read as the reverse complement.
GGGACTACAGGCGCCCAACACCACGCCAGGCTAACTTTTTTTGTGTGTGTTTTTAGTAGAGACGGGGTTTCACCGTGTTAGCGAGGATGGTCTCGATCTCCTGACCTCATGATCCGCCCACCTCGGCCTCCCAAAGTGCGGAGACTACAGGCGTGAGCCACCGCGCCCGGCCCACAAATTTATTCTTACAGTTCTGGAGGGCAGAAGTCCTAAATTAGTCTCACGGGATGCATGTCAAGGTGTTGGCAGGGCTGGTTCCTTGGGGAGTCTGGAATGGAAAGTCTACTTCCTTTCCCTCTCCTGGCTTTCCGGCTGCATCCCTTGCTCCTGAAACCCTTCTCACATCACCCGACCGCTCCTTCTGCTGGTGCATCCCCTCTCTCCTCCTTTGACTTACCTGCCGCCTCCCTCTTATAAGTAAGTACTTTTGATTACCTTGGGTCCACCCGTATAATCCAGGATGATCTTTCCATTTTAAGAGCCTTAATTTGGCTGGGTGTGGTGGCTCACAACTATAATCCCAGCACTTTGGGAGACCGAAGTGGGTGGATCATTTGAGGTCAGGAGTTCCAGACCAGCCTCGCCAATATGGTAAAACCCCGTCTCTACTAAAAATACAAAAATTAGCCAGGCGTGGTGGCGCACACTTGTAATCCCAGCTACTCGAGAGGCTGAGGCAGGAGAATCGCTTCAACTCAGGCGGCTGAGGTTTCAGTGAGCCGAGATCAGGCCACTGCACTCCAGCCTAGGCGACAGAGAGAGAGTCCATCTCAAAAAAAAAAAAAAAAAAGCTTTAATCGTATCTGCAAAGTCCCTTTGACTGTGTAAAATATTCACAGGTTTCAGCGACTAGGGCACGGATATCTTTGGGGACCATTATTCAACCGACCACAGTCCGTATAATTTCATGAGAGCCTCTTGCTCTACCAGGCGTTGTAAACTTCTGTATCCCGTTTCTCTTTCCTGCCATACTTAGCCACTGAGACTTCTACTCCTGCCCGTCGATCTTGCTCATCTGAAAAATGGGGCTAAAAAACAGCCCTGATTCTACAGGGCTGTGGTGAGACTTGGATTTAAAGCACTTAGCACTATGATCAACCGCCATCTACTGCTGGCACCGGCTCAGAGCCAGCACTCCTACCGCACCCAAATCTCATTAAATTGAGCCCCTAAACACTTGCTAGAGAGGAAGAAAATGTAAGTACTGTGGGCAATAATTTAATTCATCTGGAGCTTTTTAAAAGCATTAATTCTTGTGCCAATTCTTCCATAGGCATCTTTGGCAAGCATCTATTTTTCAAAAGGTCACAGATGGTATTGACGCAATATTGCCTTTTCACTCATTCATGAAATGCATTTATTGTTTCTATTAAATAGGACACATGATATAAGAAGACTTGCTTAAGGGCTCCATTTCGCAACAGCAATAAAAAAGGAAACAACCTAAATATCTCTCTGTAGGGGAATGGACACATGAAATGGGTATAGACATAGTGGAACCCTCTACAGCTGTTCAGATTAATGCACTAGAGCAGGGGTCAGCAAACAGTGAGCCAAAAGTGACCCATTGCCTGATTTTGTACAGCTCATGGGCTAAGAATGATGTTTACATTTTTGAATAATTTTAAAAGGACGAAAGAAGAATATTCATAATATGTAAAATTCTATGAAAATCAAATTTTAGTGTTCAATTTTACTGGAACACAGCCACATCATTCATTTACGTACTGCTATGACTACCTCTCAGCTATAGCATTAGGGTGTGGCAGAGTGAACAGGGACCCTATGGCTCACAAAGCCCAAAATATTTACTCTGGCCCTTTATAGAAAAACAGCTCTGAACAGGAGATGTATGAATCAACATGAATAGATCCCAAAAATATAATGGCAAATTTGGAAAGCAAGTTGAAGAACGATATGTAAAATACCAATCATACAATTAAAAAAAAGTATGAATTAATTTGAATTCTTTTTTTGTTGTTGTTATTGAGACAGAGTCTCTCTCTGTCACCCAGGCTGGAGTGCAGTGGTGTGATCTCGGCTCACTGCAACCTCCACCTCCTGGGCTCACGCCATTCTCTTGCCTCAGCCTCCCAAGTAGCTGGGACTACAGGCACCCGCCACCATACCCGGCTAATTTTGTTTTTGTATTTTGAGTAGAGACGGGGTTTCACTGTGTTAGCCAGGATGGTCTCGATCTCCTGACCTTGTGATCCACCCGCCTCAGCCTCCCAAAGTGGTGGGATTTCAGGCATGAGCCACCTCGCCCTGCCTGAATTCTTATATGCATGATAAAATATAAGGAACAGATTGAAAGGTACACATACCGTCTTGATAATGGTTGTCTCTGAAGAGGGAAGATGGAAAGTAGAATTTGGAAGAGCTGCCAAAGAGATTTCCAGTTTATTAATGATGACATTTCCCTTTATTAAAAAGAAACTAGCTGATGTGTTTAACAGTATTTGTTATTGGACACACTTTGTGCTATTCGGAGGTTTAACTATACACATACACACGTATTTATACATGTAATTAATTTTTTTAAAAAGCTGACTATGCATTTGTATAGTCATAATTTCTTTAAAAAAGAAATTACTGGGCGCAGTGGCTCACACTTGTAATTCTAGCACTTTGGGAGACCGAGGTAGGCAGATCACAAGGTCAGGAATTCGAGACCAGCCTGGCCAACACGGTGAAACCCCGACTCTACTAAAAATACAAAAATTAGCTGGGCGTGGTGGCAGTCACCTGTAATCCCAGCTACTCTGGAGGCTGAGGCAGGAGAATCACTCGAACCCAGGAGGCGGAGGTTGCAGTGAGCTGAGATCGCGCCACTGCACTCCAGCCTGGGCGATGGAGTGAGATTCCATCTCAAAAAAAAAAAAAAGAAAGAAAATTAAGGGCCAGGTGCGGTGGCTCACGCCTATAATCCCAGCACTTTGGGAGGCTGAGGCAGGTGGATCACCTGAGGTCAGGAGTTCAAGACCAGCCTGGCCAACATGACAAAACCCCGTCTCTACTAAAAATACAAAAATTAGCTGGGCGTGGTGGCACATGCCTGTAATCCCAGCTACTTGGGAGGCTGAGGCAAGAGAATCGCTTAGAATCCTGGAGGTGGAGGTTGCAGTGAGCCGAGATGGTGCCATTGCACTCCAGCCTGGGTGACAGAGCAAGACTCTGTGTCAAAAAAAAAAAAAAAAGAAAAAAAAAAATTTAAGTACCACTGCTGCACTTCAGCCTAGGCAGTGGAGTGAGACCCTATCTCAAAACAAATTTAAAAAAAATTTTTTTAAATGCATGGTTAGGCCCAGTGGCTCACTCCTGTAATCCCAGTACTTTGGGAGACCAAGGCAGGCGGATCACTTGAGGTCAGGAGTTCGAGACCAGCCTGACCAACATGGTGAAACTCTGTCTCTACTAAAAATACAAAAATTAGCTGGGCATGGTGGTGGGCTCCTGTATTCCCAGCTACTCAGGAGGCTGAGGCAGGAGGATCGCTTGAGCCCAGGAAGCAGAGGTTACAGTGAGGCGTGATTTTGCCACTGCACTCCAGCCTAGGTGACAGAGCCATACCTTGTCTCAAGAAAAAAAAAAAAGTTACCCCCAAAAAGTGGACACTTCCGTCTACTGATCACCACTATTAGATTTGGCAACCTCCAACCATACACTTCTCTGAGCATATTTGTGCACCATTTTGCTGGGTATGTTTTGTGTAGGCATTCTGCTCTGCCATCTGCATCTTTAAATTTCAACAATATGTTGTGGGCATCTATTTTATGACTCACTTTACTTTGTTTTTCTTTATTATTTCACTTACAAACTAATAGATGCCCTATTGTAACTTTTTATTTTGAAGTAATTTTTAGATCACAGAAATGTAAAAATAGTACAGTAAGTCCTATTTACTCATCACCCAGCTGCTCTCCACAGTGACATTATCAAAACCAGGCAACAGACAATGACACAATACAGTCAACAAGGCTACAGGCCATAATCGGATGCACTCACCTTTTTTTTTTTTTTTTTTTGAGATGAGTCTTGCTCTGTCACTCAGGCTGGAATGCAGTGGCACGATCTCAGCTCACTGCAACCTCCACCTGCTGGATTCAAGCAATTCTCCTGCCTCAGCCTCCTGAGTAGCTGGGACTACAGGTGCACACCACCACGCCTGGTTAATCGTTTGTATTTTCAGTAGAGACGGGGCTTCACCATGCTGGCCAGGCTGGTCTCGAACTCCTGACCTCATGATCCACCCTCCTCGGCCTCCCAAAGTGCTGGGATTACAAGCGTGAGCCACCGCGCCTGGCCGCACTTTTGTTTTTTAATGTCCTTACACATAGATCTATGACATTTTATCTCTACATAACCTCTAAAAAAAAAACAATTAACACAGAAATACAAAGTAGAGAACATTCAAACCCATTGTGATGTTTGGGCTGTTTTCCCCAGGTTATTTTCTCTGTGTAGATGCTATTTTTTAAAACAACAATAAAGGATCTTCTAAGCTGGAAATTTTTTATTTTTTGAGATGAGGTCTTGCTATGTTGCCCAGACTGGCTTCCAACTTCTGGGCTAAAGCAATCCTCCCATCTCAGCCTCCTGAGTAGCTGAGGAATATAGCTACTGTGCCTGGCTAAAATTTGCTTTAAAAAAAAAATTGTGGGCCAGGTGCGGTGGTTCACGCCTGTAATCCCAGAACTTTGGGAGGCCGAGGCGGGTGGATCATGAGGTCAGGAGATCGAGACCATCCTGGCTAACACAGTGAAACTCCATCTCTACTAAAAATACAAAAAAAAAAAAAAATTAGTCGGGCGTGGTGTCGGGTGCCTGACACCCAGCTACTCGGGAGACTGAGGCAGGAGAATGGTGTGAACCCGGGAGACAGAGCTTGCAGTCAGCCGAGATAGCACCACTGCACCCCAGCCTGGGCAACAGAGCGAGACTCCGTCTCAAAAAAAAAAAAAAAATTGTGGAAGAGGCCAGGCGTAGTGGCTCATGCCTGTAATCTCAGCACTTTGGGAGGCCAAGGGAGGAGGGCTGCTTGAGGCCAGGAGTTCGAGACCACCTGGTCAACATAGCAAATCCCCGTCTCTATTTAAAAAAAAAATTGTGGAAATCTTTCTGTGTCAAAACATATTTAGATCTACCATATTGTCACTGTCTTTAGGACACTAAAACATCTGCACTGTAGCTATTGACTTCTCATGGAAGTCATCACCCAATTCATACCCAGCCTTTAAATTTCATTGAACAACGTGGTGGGCCCCAACTGTCAGAATTTCAGAACTTGAGCCTTGGCATTTTCTGGCACTCTGTGCCCAGGCCTCCTCCATGCCCTGCCCTGGGCATAAGGGAAAGCACTTGCTTCCCCTCAGAGTGGGCAGGACTTCCGGTCCCTCTTCCCATTGTCCTCCCAGGGTTCACTGCCCCCACACCTGCTTAAGCTTGAATCGCTGTTAACATTTACAAAACATTTTTATGAGACATCCACCTTAACAACTTCCAGCGAAATCATTGGGGGGTCGTTGGGGGTAGGGGGTGGGCTTCTGGCTCCCCTTCCCCCACTCCAGGGCAGCTCATTTCAGGTCTGATGTGAACGGTTCCATTTCTGCCTTTATGCATTGGCATAAACATTTCTTGCAGCCCATAAACACCTTGGCCATTTTACCAGTGTCGTGAAGGATGTTTATGACCCAAATATGAAAACTTTGTGAGAATTAACACTTAGGCAAACAGGCTGTGTTATTCTTGGAAAGAAATATCTTCTCAAAAAGACCCAAAGCAGGCAGGGGCTGCATGTGAAAATACACCCACGTCGGCACACTTAAGTATAAAACCCTGAAGATAGTCTATGATCCAAACTCTTTGCTGTTGCTCAGTAGCAAGGCGGTCCTGCAGTTTTTAATGGTGATCAGCTTCCTGTTTGAGTGTTTTTATAGCGTTATTATGTTGCAAAGTGAATGAGGCAAAATAAAATAGGAAAAGAGATGCTGGACCAGGAGGTTAATAAAAATCCGTGTTGTCACTCGACAGCCTCCCCATACAACTTCTTTTTCCATGCACCTCTGAGTCACTTTGTATTGACAGATGCCATTTGCTCATTTACGATGTGATAATAAAAACCTTCAGCCTTGTTCAATGTTATTCTTTTCCTCCCCTGACAGGAGGGAACCAAATGGTTTGTAGTCCGCTCAGCAGGCATTTTTTCATTAAAGATAATAACCTTGCAATGAACAACATTTAAAAGACATTTCAGAAAAGTAGCAGAATTTGGTCAGGGAGAGAAAGATCTATGGCGACATACTAACCACTCAGACCCAGAAACAGATCTGTAAAATGACCCAGGTTTTACACAATTAAAAAATATTTAGTAAGCATGGATGAATGCTCGACAAGTATGAACCTGAATGACAGTATGTGCAGAGAAAATCAAACATAAGGCTCTGCTCATTTTTGCAATTATGTTGTTTGCATAAAAAATGACATTTAAGCAATAACTGCCTGATATCAACTTTTAATTAATCCTATAGAATCTGATGCCAAAATATTTCCCTGAATTTCTGCCATTAATTTGTTTCTAGTATTTGACTCCGAAGATAATTTAAAACGAAGCCAGGAGGTTTCATAGCTTTTTATTCCAAAAAGCGACACTTTATTGATAGCAATCATTTTCAAAATTAATGGTTTTCCAATCGGGTAAGGTGGCTCACGCCTGTAATCCCAACACTTTGGGAGGAAGAGGTGAGCAGATTGCCTGAGCTCAGGTGTAGGAGACCAGCCTGGGCAACATGGTGAAATCCCATCTCTACTAAAATACAAAAAATAGAAATAAAAAATTAGCTGGGCACGGTGACACATGCCTGTAGTCCCAGCTACTCGACAGGCTGAAGCACAAGAATTACTTAAACCCAGGAGGCGGAGATTGCAGTGAGCCGACACTGCTACTGCACTCCAGCCTGGGCGACAGAGCGAGACTCTGTCTCCAAAAAAAAATAAAAAAGGTTTTCGGCCAGCAGAGCCATATGGCTTTTTTCTTAAAACATATATTATGAGTGCTTTTTGTCACTAGTTCAAATCATAGATTAATCGTACCCACTAGTTTCAAACAAAGCCATATTAGACAGTTGTGACTCAAATTGCTCCATTTCTATATGTGCCATAAACCATAAATTAGAATTGTTGGCAGTCGACAGATGTCTTTTGAAAGAATGTAGACAGATTGCTGTGTTTTAACATTAACTCTCTAGAGTCTAGACAGAAATTCCTTTATAACCACCAATTTTTGTGTATCCTTCCTGAAATGTTCTATATACAAATAAACCTACATAGTAAATACAAGTCACAGGCACAGCCTTGCTTGAAAAGCACAAATGTGATCAACCATATTCAACATATTCTGCCATTTATTGGGTTTTTTCCTTAACCATAAATACGAACATTTCAGCACATATAGATCAACTTTAGTCTTTTTTTATGTTCATTTCTAATATCGAGTTGTAATAATATATAATAGCAAAGAGTATTGAGAACTTACTCTGTGCCAGCCTTGTTCTAAACGCTGTCTGCACATTAACTAGTTTAGTCCTCATCATCAGCCAATAAGTATTCTGAATATCTTTGTTCTACAGATGGGGATATTGAAGAACTAAGAAGTCAACTAATTAACGATGGACTTATTAATGAACAGATTGTTTCCAGATTTTTCTTTTTTTTTGAGACGGAGTCTCTCTCTGTCACAGGCTGGAGTGCAGTGGCGCGATCTCGGCTCACTGCAAGCTCCACCTCCTGGGTTCACGCCATTCCTCTGCCTCAGCCTCCCGAGTAGCTGGGACTACAGGCACCCGCCACCATGACTGGCTAATTTTTTTGTATTTGTAGTAGAGACGGGGTTTCACCGTGTTAGCCAGAATGGTCTCAATCTCCTAACCTCGTGATCCACCCGCCTCGGCCTCCCAAAGTGCTGGGATTACAGGCATGAGCCACCGTGCCCAGCCTAGATTTTTCTTTCTTTTTTTTTTTTTTTTTTGAGACAGGTCTGACTCTGTCACCCAGGCTGGAGTGCAGTGGTGCAATCTCGGCTCACTGCAGCCTCCGCCTCCCAGGTTCCAGCGATTCTCCTGCCTCAGCCTCCTGGGTAGCTGGGATTACAGGCATGCACCACGACGCCCGGCTAATTTTTGTATTTTTATTTTTATTTTTTGCGACAGAGTCTTGCTCTGTTGCCCAAGCTGGAGTGCAGTGGCGCAATCTTGGCCCACTGCAACCTCCTCCTCCCGAGTTTCTCCTGCCTCAGCCTCCCGAGTAGCTGGGACTACAGGCGTGCGCTGCCACAGCTAATTTTTGTATTTTTAGTAGAGACGGGGTTTCGCCATATTGGCCAGGCTGGTCTCGAACTCCTGACCTCATGATCCGCCCACCTTGGCCTCCCAAAGTGCTGGGATTACAGGTGTGAGCCACTGCGCCTGGCCTTAAAATTCATTTTCTAAGTGCTCTTGAGTTAATAGCTTTTCATGCTAGCTGTCCCTCCCATCACCACCAAATGTAGAGGCTAGACTAAAAGACTGAGATTGTTTTCCAAAAATCACGGAAAAGCTATTTGCTGGACACAAATCTCAGCTTTTTCCTCTCATCTTCACTTAGTTATCAAGTTCCCCAAACTTCTAAAAATCAGTTGTTGTTACTGTTGTTGTTGTCATAAAATTCATCCTGAGAAGCAACCCACACACCAAATGGTGAGTCCCAGCAATGACTTCCTCGCACAAGGAGGGGCTTCCTAGATTTTAGGCAGGAGTCATTCCCCAGAAAAAAACACTCAATTATCAACATTCCTAGCTCCCTTTCTCCCTTTCCAATGAGTACACAGCAAAGGCAAACAGCTTTGACTTCAAAAAAGCAGATCAATCTGCTTCCAAACCCACAGTTCAATGCTCATAAAATCGGATCGTGAGCAAGGCGGCTCTGAGTGTCTGCACACCTTCGTACTCAGCAAGACAGAAAGGCACTTCAGCAATTCCTGGTGATTGGTAGGCAGCCCTGTCATCTGTGAACTGAAAGATCAAAGGCTTAACTCCAGGAAGGGAAATGAGGAGAATTAGTGTCCCGCCAGAAACCTCTCGCCCCACAGTAAGGATGGTGGTTCTTCTTATGATCACCAGCTATTTGGATCTTAATTTGGGATTTCATTAAGGGAATATCCACACTTGAATAAGGGGAATGAAGTTTGCTGTTTCTTTTGAAGTCCAGCTATTAGAGTGAATCGTGATTCAGAACTGTCCATATTTGCAAAGCCCAGAGCTGGGTCCCTGGCACACAGTAAAGCCGTGGTAGCTTTGGCCATGGTTTTTATCATGAACATAACTTGATGGCAAAATTATCTGCATGGTTCAAATAAAAAGGAGTGATTTTTATCCTGCTTTTATGGAGCGTTGTGGAAATTTCTAGAATGGAGTCTGGCACATAGAGGAGCTTAAAATCTTTCTTGTACAAATGACTCAGAGCTTTCCTGGATGATTTAGCATCCCCATGAGAAGCTGGCTGAGGCCCAAAGAGCTGATGTCATTTCCCTGAGGTGGGATTTGAACTGAGGTCTCCAGAGGGTTGCCCTGCCTTTATACTTTTCTCCACAAGTTAAGTCCACGTGGCTGAGCCATTGAATTAACTGAGGTGTCTGTCTGTTCTAGTGCAGCCAGTACATGGAAGAGATCATTCTGCAAACATGACGTAGCCAAGCTTAGCCTGCTGGAAACTCACAGACTTTGGGGCCCCACAGACTTGGGCTTAATCCCCAACCCTGACACTGTATCTGTGTGATCCTGGGAAACTCAGTTTACTTCTCTGAGCCTCATGCTCTTCATATGCAAAGTTGAGATCATGGCATACACGTTTTAGGATCCTTATGAGACTACATAAAATAATATCTGTAAAGAATCCACAATTATGGGATGTGGAGACACAGCTGTGTCTATAGGCTATCAAAATAGCGAGTGGGGTAGACAGAATAGTGGCCCCCTAGAGATTGTGTACATCCTAATCACTGGCAACTATAAATATGTTATATTACGTGGCAAAGGGAAATTAAGGAAGCAAATAGAATTAAGGTTGTTAATCAGCTGACCTTAAAATATAGGGATTATCTTGGATGTTCTGAGTGGGCCCAATGTAATCACAAGGGTCCTGTCAGTACCAAAAGGCAGCAGAAGAGTGGGAGACTGTTGTCTATTGTTTCTCTGCTACTTAGAACTATGTGTGGCACATAGTTGATGCTCAATAAATATTTGTGGCGTGAACGACTGACTGAATGAATGAATGCTATGTTAACTCAGATCATTCCTGTGACCATTTTAGAAACTAAATTTGCCAGGCATGGTGGCACACACCTGTAATCCCAGCATTTTGGGAGGCTGAGGCAGAAGGATCGCCTGAGCCCAGGAGTTCGAGACAAACCTGGGCAACATGGCAAAACCCTGTCTCTACAAAAAAATACAAAAATTAGCCGAGCGTGGTGGCATGCGCTTGCAGTCCCAGCTACTTGGGAGGCTGATGTGGGAGGATTGCTTGAGCCTGGGAGGTCAAGGCTGCAGTGAGCTATGCTTGTACCACTGCACTCCACTCTAAGTGACAGAGCAAGACACTGTCTCTAAATAAATAAATAAATAAATTTTGGATTAGGCAAACCAGGAAATTTTGTGTTTAAATTGAATTTTTAAAAACAATTTTATTGTGGTATAATTTACATACCATAAAATTCACCCATTTTGTTGTGCACAGGTCAATGATTTTTTAAGTATATGCACTGAATTATGCAGTTAGTTTCACAACTCAGTTTTGGAAACATTTTCATCATGCTAATAAGGTTCCCTCATTTCTGTCCTTCTTGTTCCCACCTCCAGCCCCTGGCAACCATTCATCCACTCTATGTCTCTGTGGATTTGCCTTTTCAGCCAGGCGTGGTGGCTTATGCCTGTAATCCCAGCACTTTGGGAGACCAAGGTGGGCAGATTTTTTGAACCTAGGAGTTCGAGACCAGCCTGGGCAACATGGTGAAACCCCATCTCTATGAAAAAATATGAAAATTAGCCGGGCGTGGTGGCACACACCTGTAGTCCCAGCTACTGGGGTGGGCAGGCGGGGAAGGCTGAGGTGGGAGGAACGCTTGAGCTTGAAAGGTCCAGGCTGCAGTGAGCCGTGATCACACCACTGCACTCCAGCTTGGGTGACAGAATGAGACCCTGTCTCAAAAAAAAAAAAAAAAAAAAGATTTGCCTTTTCTGGGCATTTCATAGAATAGCAGATCAGAAATATGACTAATGGCAAGATGAGGCATTGTGATGGCTGCAGCCGCTTCCCGTGGAGGGCCCTATGTCATGGGAAGGTGAGAAAGGTGCAGTGAGCATCTTCCCTTAAGGCCCAGGCTCACAGATTGTGGGTGGGGACAGCTTATCCTGGAGACTTGGAGCTCTCAAAACTGGGGTAAAAGTCTGTTTGGTCAACATAGATGGAGATGGAGTGTGTATCAGATGTTAGCAACATGTATCCAGTTCTTCCTTAGTTAGGTTAAATGTGTCTTTTCCCCCCTTATTCCCTTCCTCCCTTCCTCCCTTCCTGCCTTTTCTTTCTTCCTTTTTTTTTTTTTTTCTTTAGAGATGGAGTCTTGCCCTGTCGCTCAGGCTGGAGTGCAGTGACTCAATCTTGGCTCACTGAAACCTCTGCCTCTGGGATTCAAGTGATTCTCCTGCCTCAGCTTCCCAAGTAGCTGGGACTACAGGTGTGTGCCACCATACCCGGCTAATTTTTGGTTTTTGTTTGTTTGTTTGTTTTGTTTTTTTGAGACAGAATCTCACTCTTGTCGCCCAGGCTGGAGTGCAGTGGCGCAATCTCAGCTCACTGCAACGTCCACCTCCTGGGTTCAAGCAATTCTCCTGCCTCAGCCTCCTGAGTAGCTGGGATTACAGGTGCCCGCCACCACGCCCGACTAATTTTGTACTTTTAGTAGAGACAGGGTTTTGCCCTGTTGGCCAGGCTGGTCTTGAACCTCAGGTGATCCTCCTGCCTCGGCCTCCCCAAAGTGCTGGGATTACAGCCGTGAGGCACTGCGTCCGGCCTAATTTTTGTATTTTTTTAGTTGAGATGGGGTTTCACTATATGTTGGCCAGGCTGGTCTCGAACTCCTACCTCGGTGATCCGCCCACCTCAGTCTCCCAACATGCTGAGATTACAGGAGTGAGCCACAGCACCCGGCTTTCTTCCTTACTTTCTTTCTTCCTTCTTTTTTCCTTCTTCCCTCCTTTCTCCCTCTTCCCTCTCTCTCACTTCCTTCTTCCCTTCCTCATTTCCACTTCCTTCTTCCCTTCCTCATTTCCACTTCCTTCTTCCCTTCCTCATTTCCACTTCCTTCTTCCCTTCTTCATTTCCACTTCCTTCTTCCCTTCTTCATTTCCACTTCCTTCTTCCCTTCCTCATTTCCACCTTCCTTCCCTCCTTCATGTCTTTCCTCCTTACTTCTAATTCCCCTGAGGACCCACTATGCTCCGAGCCCCAGATAGAGGGTGAAGGAATATAACCCAGGCCCTCAGAGTACCCCCTGCTGTCCTCTCCCTGCAGGCCCCCACTTCCTGTAATCCTGCCCTACCCTCTCCCTGGCCAGCACAGCCGTCTTCCAGATCTGGGCATCATTATCACTTCCTCAGGAGACCCCCTCCCCCCCACTCCCCCTCATCACCTCATCACCTTTTACTAATCCCCTGGTTAACTCTTCAACTGTCTTCCTCCCACACGGGACTCTAGGCACCGTGGGGATGGGATCAGGCTAGCCTGTCCCCTTCACCATCAGATCCCAGAAACCTAGCTGAAGTCTTTGCACAAAGTTAAGTGTCCCAATAAGTATTTTGGTTTTTTGGAGGTTTTTTTGTTGTTGTTCGTTTGTTTTTTGAGACAGAGTCTCACTCTGTCACCCAGGCTGGAGGGCAGTGGCGCAATCTTGGCTCACTGAAACCTCTGCTTCCTGGGTTCAAGCGATTCTCCTGCCTCAGCCTCACCAGTACCTGGGATTACAGGCGTGTGCCATCACATTACAGGTGTGTGTGAATTTTTGTATTTTTAGTAGAGGCAGGGTTTCACCATGTTAGCCAGGCTGGTCTCTAACTCCTGACCTCAGGTGATCCACCCCCTTCTGCCTCCCAAGGTGCCGGGATTACCGGCATGAGCCACTGCACCAGGCCTAGTGTCCCAATAAGTATTTGTTGAATGAATTAATGCTTGAATGAATGAATGGAATTACAGTCCCATATTCCACCGAATAATTAATTTGACTTTGTTGACGTTTTTCCTGATTTCCCCACTCTCTACCATTACTCACTTCCTGAATTCGCCAGAGCTGTATCTGCTTCCTGTTGCTTTTGTAACAAATTACCACAGACAGGTGGCTTCCAACACCATAAATTTATTATCTTACCAGTTCTGGAGATCAAAAGTCCAAAGGGGTCTCACGGACTGCAATCAAGGCGTTGGCAGGACGGTCCCTTGTGGAGGCTGTAGTGGAGAATTCCTTTCGTTCCCTTTTCCGGCTGTTAGAGGCTGCCTGCCTGCCCCGGCTCATCGCCCTGTCCACCTTCAGGGCCAACAATGACGGTGGAGTCTCTCAGGCCGCATCCCTCTGACACGGACTCCCCTGCCTTCCTCTCCCATGTATAAGGAACCTGGGACAAGGTTATGTTACACAGCAAGGCGGGATTGAGGTTGCAGATGGGATTAAGATTGCTAATCAACTGAATGAGATATCCTGGGTTATTTGAGTGGGCCCAATGTAGCCACAAGAGGTGTTTGGTTTGTTTGTTATATACCAGGGCTCAACAAACTTTTTTCCATCAAGGCCCAGAGAGTAAATATTTTAGACTTCGTGAGCTGGGCGCGGTGGCTCATACCTGTAATCCCAGCACTTTGGGAGGCCAAGGTGGGCAGATCACGAGGTCAGGAGTTAAAGACCAGTCTAACCAATATGGTGAAACCCCGTCTCTACTATAAATACAAAAATTAGCTGGGCATGGTGGCCCGCACCTGTAGTCCCAGCTACTCCGGAGGCTGAGGCAGGAGAATCACTTGAACCCGGGAGGTAGAGGTTGCAGTGAGCCAAGATCGCGCCACTGCACTCCATCCTGGGCATCAGAGTGAGACTCCATCTCAAAAACAAAAACAAACAAACAAAAATTTTAGACTTTGTGGGCCAAAAGGTAACGTCCTCAACTCCTCAAGCAACCATTCTTGCTAAAAGACTGAATTGCCTTTTTTGAGACAGAGTCTCACTCTGTTGCCCAGGCTGGAGTGCAGTGGTACAATCTTGACTCACTGCAACCTTTGCCTCCTGGGTTCAGGCAAGCACATCTGACTAGTTTTTATATTTTTAGTAGAGACGAGGTTTCACCATGTTGGCCAAGCTGGTCTCAATCCCCTGACCTCAAGTGATCTGCCCACTTCAGCCTCCCAAAGTGCTGGGATTACAGGTGTGAGCCACCACACCTGGCCTTGTATCCTGTTTGTTTGTTTGTTTGTTTTTATTTGTTTGTTTTTTGTTTTGAGACGGAGTTTTGCTCTTTTTGCCCAGGCTGGAGTGCAATGGCTCAATCTCGGCTCACTGCAACTTCTGCCTTCCGGGTTCAAGCAATTCTCCTGCCTCAGCCTCCCAAGTAGCTGAGATTACAGGCGCCCGCCACCACGCCCGGCTAGTAGAGATGGGGTTTCACCGTGTTAGCCAGGATAGTCTAGATCTCCTGACCCCGTGATCCGCCTGCCTTGGCCTCCCGAAGTGCTGGGATTACAGGCGTGAGCCACTGCACCCAGCCGCAAATTTTGTATTTTTAGTACAGACAGGGTTTCACCATGTTGGCCAGGCTGGTCTCAAACTCCTGACCTCAGGTGATCTGCCCGCCTTGGCCTCCCAAAGTGCTGAGATTACAGGCGTGAGCCACTGTGCCCGGCCTGTATCCCTTTTTAAAAGCTCACCATATATTATGAACATCTCCTTAGAATACTAAGCTATTTAACAATTCTATTTATTTTTTATTTATTTATTTATATTTAACTGCTCCTTAAAAATTAAGAGTAAAAGAGCAGGGCTACCCTATGGGCAGTGTGCCCTGAGTAGCCTATTTATTTATTTTTAGAGACAGGGCCGTTCTCTGTTGCCCAGGCTAGAGTGCAGTAGCACGATCACAGCTCACTGAAGCCTCGAACTCCTGGCCTCAGGCAATCCTCCCACCTCAGCCTCCTGAGTAGCTAGAACTACAGGTGCTTGCCACCATGCCTGGCTAATTTTTTATTTTTATTTTTTGTAGAAACCAAGTCTTGCTATGTTGCCCAAACTCCTGGCCTCAAGCGATCTCACCTCAGCCTCCCACAGTGCTGGGATTGCAGGTGTGAGCCACCATGCCAGGCCTCAACAATTCTGTTTTTATGATTACATAATATTTTCTTATAAGAAATGTACAATGTTCACCATTTAATCTCTCTCACACTGTTTTTTTTAGACTACTATAAATAATGTCATGCTAAATACCTTTGAACATAAATCTGTGTTCATATCTCTGAATATTTCTGAGAATCAGTTCCCAGAAGTGGAATTACTTCTAACCTTTTAGACAAAAGCCTTTGAAAAGGTCAGTGGAATGAAATGTGATTTCAGCAAAAAAGGATAAAACTCTGAATACGGAGAAGCTTATGGAGGCAAAGAATTAGTTGACAGAGGTTCTGCCTTGCCAGATAGCACCAGGTTCAAATCCTCACTCTGCCATTTACTAACTCTACAGCCTTGTGTATCCTCCTTAACCTGCCCGGGCCTCAGTTTTCTCCTCTGTAAAATGGGGATAATAATAGAAGCTACCTTCTGTTAAATGAGATCACACACATGCCTGGCCCACAGCAAGTGCTCAGTAAATAATGGCTTTGATCATTATGACCGCTGCTGCTACTCATTTTTACCAAGACTCTGAGAGGAAATAGAGTCTATAGTGTGTTTCACTGACTCTTACCACCTTGATTTTAACCCTAAGATTTAAATTTATTGGCCGGGCGCGGTGGCTCACACTTGTAATCCTAGCACTTTGGGAGGCCGAGGCGGGCAGATTGCCGAGTTCAGGAGTTCGAGAACAGCCTGGGCAACATGGTGAAACCCTGTCTCTACTAAAATACAAAAAAAAAAAAAAAAAAAAAAAGCCTGGCGTGGTGGCGTGCGCCTGTAGTCCCAGCTACTTGGGAGGCTGAGGCAGGAGAATTGCTTGAACCCAGGAGGCGGAGGTTGCAGTGAGCTGAGATGGTACCACTGCACTTCAGCCTGGCGACAGAGCAAGATTCCATCTCTAAATAAATAAATAAATGAATAAGTTGTTGTTGTGTTTTTTGCTTGTTTGTTTGTTTGTTTGAGATAGGGTCTCACTCTGTCGCCAAGGCTGGAGTGCAGTGGTGCAATCTCAGCTCACTGCAACCTCTACCTCCCAGGCTCAAGTGATCCTCCCACCTCAGCCTCCAGACTAGCCGGGACTAGAGTAGCTGGGACTTAAGGTATGTGCCACCAGGCCTGGCTAATTTAATTTATTTTTTTTTTAAATAGCCGATGACAATACCCTTGCTACTAATTCCTGGGGATCCTGCAGTGTTGATAGGCATGTTCCTTAACTGGGTTAGTCTTGTTTGTTTTGGAGTCTGGACAAGTTGCCTGACAAGTTGGGAATCTGTGCCTCAATATCTCCATTTATTAAGCAGGAGGTCATCATGCCTGCCTTACCTGACTCATGAGGATCAGATGAAATCATTAGTTGGAAACTCAACTAAAGAAAAAAAGTCATATTTATAGCAAGAGAAATACATGTTCATTAATGCCATGAATTTTGGAATTCAACATGTTTCCACTTAGAAAGATAATACAGTGCTTATACCATATATCAGTATGGGTCTACATAGCACCATCAAACACATTGCTATTTCTGCAGCAAAAACTATGGATATTCATAGAAATTCTCTTGTGCCGATTCAGCTCAAGTTTTGCCAGCAAATGAGTTCAGATCAGATGAGCTTTGGCTATCAAAGTAGTTTTTTAAAGTTTGGTTTTCTGAGCTTGTTGGATTTAAATCACACCCTTCTAAGGGCATTATGTAGGTGACTTACTCCAGTGTGCACAATAAGCTTATGAGATGGATACTATTATACTCCCCAGTTTACAGAGAGAGAAACTGAAGCCCAGAGAAGATGAGTAAATTGCCCAGCCACACAGAGCTAGTAAATGGCAGAGCTGGGATCCCAACTCAAGAGACCTTACACCAGGGCAGTTCTTACCTGAGCACCTCATCAAGAGATCTTTTTGTTTTTTTGAGACAGAGTCTTGCACTGTCCCCAGGCTGGAGTGCAGTGGCGCGATCCCGGCTCACCTCAACCTCTGCCTCCTGGGTTCAAGCGATTCTCCTTGCCTCAGCCTCCCAAGTAGCTGGGATTACAGGCATGCGCCACCTCACCCGGCTAATTTTGTTTGTTGTTTTTGGGTTTTGTTGTTGTTGTTGTTGTTGTTGTTTTTGAGACAGAGTTTCACTCTTGTCACTGAGACTGGAGTGCAATCACGCGATCTCTGCTCACTGCAACTTCCGCCTCTGGGGTTCAAGTGATTTTCCTGCCTCAGCCTCCCGAGCCGCTGGGATTACAGGCATGCACCACCACGCCTGACTAATTTTTGTATTTTTAGTAGAGACAGGGTTTCACCATGTTGGCCAGGCTAGTCTCGAACTCCTGACCTCAGGTGATCCACCCACCTCGGCCTTCCAAAGTGCTGGGATTACAAGTATGAGCTACCTTGTCTGGCCAACCTATAGATATTTAATTTCTTTCTTCCAATAATCACGGCCTAAGATGAATACAAACCTGTGTGTTCACCCCTGAGTGGGTCTTACGGAGGATCGATTGGAAATACCTCCTTGCAAATTTCATGGTCTTTTGTTTTGCTACCGAAAGTCTTGCCTGACAGTATCTATGTGATATAAGCATAACTAATTAAAATGTAGATTTACTTAGGTGACCATTTGTTTGGATTACATGACAAATGGTTGACTGATAATTTGACCCTAAATTGACTGCATGGTTGGATTGGGATTTTTTTTTTTTTCTTATTGAATTGACAAGTTGTTTTAGAGGCACGTGGACACCATCTGACTGCTCCATCTCATTGGGGGATACTTAGCTAATGACAGGTCTTTCCAGATGTCCATGAAAATACATACTCAAACGTGTATGTGGACTGCTCTGCCGATTAAAGAAAGACATTTGGAACTGATATTGGCAATTTAAATATTTGCTCCAAATTCATTCTAATCATTACATTTTTAACTCAAAAATGGATCCTTATTAGGTTTTTTTCTCATCTTAAACAGAGTTAGACTTGGTGAAAAAAAGTAGTTTTGGTGAAAGAGTCCAGAAATATACAACATAGAGGCTGGAGATCTCTCAGTCTGCCTCTCGGATCATCACTGTTTCCAGTGAGTTACCATCATTTATTTAAATGCTTTACATTGTGATCCATTGAAACCATTCCTGCAGTGGAGGAAACAAACAAACAAACAAAACAAAACCCATATTTAAACAAAACTAGATCCCCAGCGTGGGTTAAAGATGGTTATTTCAGCCGGGCACGGTGGCTCACGCCTGTAATCCCAGCACTTTAGGAGGCTGAGATGGGCGGATCATGAGGTCAAGAGATCGAGACCATCCTGGCCAACATGGTGAAACGCCGTCTCTACTAAAAAATACAACAAATTAGCTGAGCGTGGTGGCGCGTGGCTGTAGTCCCAGCTACTTGGGAGGCTGAGGCAGGAGAATCGCTTGAAACCGGAAGGCGGAGGTTGCAGTGAGCCCAGATTGCACCACTGCACTCCAGCCTGGGCAACAGAGCAAGACTACATCTCAAAAAAAAAAAAAAAAGATGGTTATTTCAAGGTAGGATTATGGGTGATTATTTTTCTATTTCCTGTTGTTTATATCTGCACTTTCTCCAACAACATGCGACTTATGTATTTTTAAGTTATAAAGAAAGTAAAACGGTTCAAGAAGCCAATTTATTTCATTATATGCATGTGTTTGTTGTGGTTTGTATGTGAACCAACTGACCATAAGTGACCAGCAAACTGCGGTGGTAAAATGTACACACTCAGCTTCTAGTCTCACCTCTATGAGGTTTCTTGTTTTTCTTCTTCTTCAGTTTAATGGCATACTTTCTGGGAGATCTTAGCGTGTCAAAATCCTGTTTAAAAAACTGACAATTAATCCAGAGACCAAGGAAAGCAAACTCTGCGTAATCTATCACCTTCCCCAGAACAACAAACACCATTTTGACATGGTAGCTGCCCCCCTGAAGATGTCAGTTAAATAAACATGCTATGAAGTCAAGATTTGAAGGGTCAGCTCAGGTTCCCATTCATTTATTAATTTCTGATGGCTTATGTTCCAAATTAGTAATAGCAACAGATATAATTTATTTTGTTTCTTTTTACTTTTTTAGAGATGGGGTCTTGCCATGTTGCCCAGTGTGATCATAGCGCATTGCAGCCTCAAACCCCTGGGCTCAAGCAATCCTCCAGTGTAGCTGAGACTGCAGGCATGCACCACCACGTGCAAACAGATCTAATTTTTTGAAAGCTTGCTATATTACAAGCACCAGTTAAAGCATGTTTCCTGCAGGCCTAATCTCACTTTACACTTATAATTACCAGATGAGGTTGTAGCTCTACCACTTCCTGGCTGTGGGACTCTAGATAAGTTACTTCAGCTCTCTGAGCCTGTCTCCTCACCTTTAAAATGGGGACAAGCACAGTAATATCTTTTTTTTTTTTAAGACAGAATCTCACTGGGTACGGTGGCTCATGCCTGTAATCCCAGCACTTTGGGAGGCTGAGGTGGGAGGATCGCAAGGTCAGGAGTTCGAGACCAGCCTAGTCAACATAGTGAAACCCCGTGTCTACAAATATTAGCTGGGTGTGGTGGCACGCACCTGTAGTCCCAGCTACTTGGGAGATTGAGGCAGGAGAATTGCTTGAATCCAGGAGGCGGAGGTTGCAGTGAGCTGAGACCATGCCATTGCACTCCAGCCTGTGTGACAGAGCGAGACTCCATCCCCCTACCCAAAAAAAAAAAAAGACGGAGTCTTGCTCTGTCACCCAGGCTGGAGTGCAGTGGCGTGATCTCGGGTCACTGCAACCTCCACCTCCTGGGTTCAAGCGATTCTCATGCCTCAGCCTCCTGAGTAGCTGGGATTACAGGTGTGTGCCACCACGGCTAATTTTTATGTTTTTAGTAGAGACAGGGTTTCACCATGTTGGCCGGGCTGGTCTCGAACTTCTGACCTCAGGTGATCCACCCACCTCAGCCTCCCAAAGTGCTGGGATTCCAGGCGTGAGCCACCATGCCCGGGCAAGCATAGTGTGTTCTTCATAGGGTTGCTGTGAGTTTAAATGAGTTACTGCATTCAAAGCACCTTGAACAGTGCTGGGCACATTGTAAACATTCAGTAAATTTAGCTATTATTTTTCTTATTACTCCCATTTAATAGGTAGGAAGACTGAGATTTGAAAATCTTAAGGAATGTGCTCAAGGACATACAGCTGAACAGAGCTGGATCCTCAATCTGGACCTGCCTGACTCCAACATTCATGTTATTAACACAGTTTTTAGTAAAGGCCAGATAGTAAATACGTGAGGCGTTACAGATCAAGTGGTCTTTGCCTAAACTACTCAACTCTGTCTTTGCAGCACAAAAGCCCCCACAGACAATCCATAGGGAAATGGGCTTGCCTGTTTCTCGGGGAAACTTTATTTGCAAAGACAGAATTGGCCCGAGGGCCTCAGTTTGCCACCCTCTGGTATTAACTGCTACATGGCAGGAGTCTGCAGTATTCATTGATTCCCAACTTTTAACTGTGCTGAAAGAATTGCTTCTATGACATGATTTTCCTTCTGCTTCTGCTATGTTTGAATTTTACATTAGCAGAATAAAGATTTCATATGCAGGGAATGCAATATTAGGCTAGTAACTATTAACTTTCCTTGTGTCCCTTAAAAAACAAATTCACGCCAGGTGTGGTGGCTCACGCCTGTAATCCCAGCACTTTTGGAGGCTGAGGTGGGCAGATCACAAGGTCAAGAGATAGAGACCATCCTGGCCAACATGATGAAACCCCGTCTCTACTAAAAATACAAAAATTACCCGGGCATGGTGGCACGTGCCTGTAATCCCAGCTACTCAGGAGGCTGAGGCAAGAGAATTGCTTGAATGCAGGAGGTGGAGGTTGCAGTGAGCTGAGATGGCACCACTGCACTCCAGCCTGGGTGACAGAGCGAGACTCCTTCTCAAAAAAAATTCATTGAATTTTTTTTTTTAATTCTACAGAGAAAAGTGTAGACGTGCATTCTATGAATTTTTATGTGTTTATAAATGTTATTGTTATGTTAGGTCTATCTTGATTGACAGAGCCGCCCTGCCAGCCCACTGAAACCAGATAAAGAGATAGGTCAGACATTTAAATTTTTAATCAATATAGCTCTTCTTGCTAATGTTTAATTCCACCCACCTGCATCAGCTCTTGAAGTTCCTTGAGAACTTTTATAAAAATTGAAAGCAATTAATTTTGTTGTCAGCTCCCGTAGCCATGGATTCTTTTCTCCGTAGATGAGTTTGAGTGAGTTTGAGAATGGGACCTATCTTAAAAGCTTTTTGGAATTTTTTGGTGTTTCAAAATACTGTTTGCATTTTGGGATCTGAGTCAGTTCCAGATAACCATGAATCCCAGATCTGAGTGACAAGCTGCCGTGGTTTGATGCTATGCTAAGGTATTTCACTGTGCAGAAGGCTGCAAAACGTTGCATCCATGCACTTTGGTTCTTCAGGAATTCCTTCATCAAAAATAAAATTAATCCAGCGTTTGCTACTGTGACGTGCGTTTGTGGCCAACAGTGTCTTCTAGATTCTAATACTAAGTTTCAGAGGGCAATCAGGAAACTGATTTCTGATCAGAGAGGGGTGGGGAGCTGGCTAGGGGAATATAACTATGGTCATTTACTATCTGAACTTACCTTCTTTATATATGACTGCACCGGGAAGTTAACTATTCACATTGGAAATAATACAGTGAAATTTGATCACTGAACTAACAGAAATGGTTTAACTGGTTAATCAGCTTCTTTCCTTATCTCCAAAGTCACCTTCTCTCTTCCATTTTGGAAAGTAAACAGAGTGCTTATAAGAAGCTGGGTGGGCCCGTCGGGTCATTCTAATATCTCAGTTTTGATAGAATCACCGGGAGGGCAAAATGAAGGAAGAAAAAGACAATAGCCACCCCATCCTATCACAGGGAGATCAAGGAAGCCATTTGACCCTGTCTTCAGATGCAGGGTCTAAAATGTGGACTTTTGACATTATCTCCACATGAGGTCATCCTCAGAGTCACAGAGAAACACTGGTAAGAAGATGGGAAGATGACATTCCTCATGCCCTTTTTTTCTCCTCAAAATATTCCTGTTATCTTCTAATCACTCTCATTTATAATACAGATGACTATATTAAGTACATACAGTAAATGCTTATCCTAAGCTCCTGAGTGTTCTGTGTTCTATTTTCACTTTTTATTATGAAAATTCTCAAGCATGTAGAAAAGCACAGACAGCAGTTTCTATCTCTATGCATGCACCCATTGCCTAGATAGGATCATGGTTCACATGCTGCCGTATTTGCTTCATTAATCATTTATTTTTCCCTTGAAGATTTCACATTATAGACTTTATGAATGTTTGTCACTAGATCTCTCAGGCTGTATCTCCAAAACAATAGGGAGGACTTTTTCAAACAACTGCATTTTTCCCAGAAATATCTTTTACAGCTGGTTTATTCAAAGCAGGATCTAATCAAGGCCCACACGTTGCATGTGGTTGTTACATGTCCTGTCTCTCTCTCTCTCTCTTTTTTTTTTTTGAGATGGAGTTTCACTCTTGTTGCCCAGGCTGGAGTGCAATGGCGCAATCTCAGCTCACCACAACCTCTGCCTCCCAGGTTCAAGCAATTCTCCTGCCTCAGCCTCCTGAGTAGCTGGGATTACAGGCATGTACCGCCACACCTGGCTAATTTTTGTATATTTATTAGAGATAGGGTTTCTCCATGTTGGTCAGGCTGGTCTCGAACTCCAAACCTCAGGTGATCTACCTGGCTCAGCCTCCCAAAGTGCTGGGATTACAGCTGTGAGCCACCGCGCCTGGCTGTCCTGTATCTCTTTTAAAATCTAGACCAGGCGGGGCATAGTGGCTCACGTCTGTAATCCCAGCACTTTGGGAGGCCAAGGCAAGAGGATCACCTGAGGTCGGGAGTTCGAGATCAGCCTGGCCAACATAGTGAAACCCCATCTCTACTAAAAATACAAAAGTTAGCTGGGCATGGTGGGCACGCCTATAGTCCCAGCTACTCAGGAGGCTGAGGCAGGAGAATTACTTGAACCTGGAAGGCAGAGGTTGCAATGAGCCAAGGTCACGCCACTGCACTCCAGCCTGGGTGACAGAGCAAGACTCTCTCTCAAAAAATAATAATAAATAAAAATAAAATCTAGACCAGCTCTTCCTGCCACCCTGCTTTTTTTTTCTTTAATGACAATAACTTTTTTTTTTTTTTTTTTTTTTTTTGAGACAGGTTCTCTCTCTGTGCCCAGGCTGGAGTGCAGTGGTGTGACCACAGCCCACTGCAGCCTCCGCCTCCTAGGCTCAAGCAATCCTCCCACCTCAGGCTCCCACATGGACCACAGGTGTGTGCCACCATACCTGGCTTTTTTTTTTTAATTAATTTTTTAAATTAATTTTTGTTAGAGATGGGGTTTTGCTATGTTATCCAGGCTGATCTTGAACTTCTGGGCTTAAGCGATCCTCCTGCCTCGGCCTCGCAAAGTGCTGGGATTACAGGCATAAACTACCTTGCCTGGCAGGAATTCTGTGACACAATAAAGAGAAACTTCGAAAACATTATACTAAATTAAGGAAGCCAGAGAGGATCTCACTATATTGCCCAGGCTGGTCTTGAACTCATGGACCCAAGCAGTCCTCCTGCTTTGGCCTCCCACAGTGCTGGGATTACAGGCATAAGCCACAGTGCCTGGCCCAACATTAACTTTTTGAAGAGCTCAGGCCAGTTGCTCTGTACAATATTTCATCATCAGGAAGGTTTTGTACAATTTTATTATATATATATATTTTTTTTATTTTTATTTTATTTTATTT
Organism: Homo sapiens; assembly: GCF_000001405.40. Classification (NCBI taxonomy): domain Eukaryota; kingdom Metazoa; phylum Chordata; class Mammalia; order Primates; family Hominidae; genus Homo; species Homo sapiens. Next base: position 51,916,251 of record NC_000020.11, on the reverse strand, counting down.
TATTTTATTTTATTTTTTTTTTGAGACGGAGTCTCGCTCTGTCACCCAGGCTGGAGTGCAGTGGCGCGATCTCGGCTCACTGCAAGCTCCGCCTCCCGGGTTCACGCCATTCTCCTGCCTCAGCCTCCCGAGTAGCTGGGACTACAGGTGCCCGCCACCACGCCCGGCTAATTTTTTGTATTTTTAGTAGAGACAGGGTTTCACCGTGTTAGCCAGGATGGTCTCGATCTCCTGACCTTGTGATCCACCCGCCTCGGCCTCCCAAAATGCTGGGATTACAGGCGTGAGCCACTGCGCCCAGCCGATTTTGTACAATTTTAAACGTGGGTCTCATCACTGGACCACAGTGTACAGCACAAATGAATTAATGTTTCTTAAAACTATCTTTGGTTGGCCAGGCGCGGTGGCTCACGCTTGTAATCCTAGCACTTTGGGAGGCCGAGGCAGGCACTTGAGGTCAGGAGTTCGAGACCAGCCTGGCCAACATGGTGAAACCCTGTCTCTACTAAAAATCCAAAATTCAGCTGGGCATGGTGGTGTATGCTGTAATCCCAGCTACTCGGGAGGCTGTGGCACAAGAATCACTTGAACCCAGGGGGTGGAGGTTGCAGTGACCCAAGGTTGTGCCACTGCACTCCAGCCTGGTCGAGAGAGCAAAACTCCATCTCAAAAATATATATATATATTATCTTTGACTAGCACAATTATGTTGCATTTTTTTAGGGTTTTTTTGTTTTGTTTTGTTTTGTTTTGCCTTTTTTGGGGGTTTGTTAAAAGTTATGATTTAAAACTGTACACATTTAACATATCACACAGTTTTGATAATAAATCACACAGAATATCCCCTTTTAAATTTTTTAATATACAGAAAATCTCAAGAAATGGAAGTAACTGGGCCTCTTGTGTTCCTGATAGCCACTGATTATATATACTCAAAAGTAACTGTGATCAGCCGGGGCAACAAAACGAGACTCAATCTCTACAAAAAATGAAATAAAATAAATTAGCCAGGCATAGTGGTGCACGCTTGTAATCCCAGCATTTTGGGATGCTGAGGCAGGAGGATCACTTGAGCATAGGAGTTCAAGGCTGCAGTGAGCTATGATTATGCTACTCCACGCTGGGCGACAGAACAAGATCCTGTCTCTGAAAAAAAAAAAAAAAAAAAAAAAAAAGTGACTGTGGGTGCATCCTAATTCTGCGGTTCCTGTTCTCTGTAATCATCGTTAGATGTCTGCCACTCCCAAACCCATTTGTCATTTCCATTCCTGTAATATAGTCATGATTGAAGCCAGAGCCCGCTGCCCTTGGGCATGTCGCATGCAATGTGAATTTGTTTCCGAGGCCGCCTGGCTCTTTCAGCCAGGGTTCTCCAAATCTGCACATGTACCTTCCTAAGGCTATGACAATCATTTCCTGGAGATTAAGCTGAATTATTTGGCCAGTAGCTCATGGCCCTTTTTTCCCTTGTCACCTTAATTTCATGCCAACCTTTTGTGGGATGGTGAGTTTTCCTCCTTCAATACAAAAGCCCTCTGCTTGCCAGGGGTTTCAATTTTAATCTGTGTTGACTGGGAGGATTATTTGATTTGAAGAGATCAGCTGAGCCGCCCCACACCGGAAGACCTGCCTCACCAGCCTGCACAATTATGAGATACATAGGTGGTTGTATTAAGCCATTAAGTGTTGAGGTGGTTTGTTATGCAGGAAACAAAGCTCTTTCTCTCTTTCTTTTTTTTTTTTCTTTTTTTCTTTTTTTTGAGACAGGGTCTCACTCTGTCACCCAGGGTGGAGTACAAAGATGCCATCACAGCTCACTACAGCCTCGAACACTTGGACTCAAGCGATCCTCCCACCTCAGCCTCCCAAGTAGCTGGAACTATAGGTGCACACCACCATACCTGGCTAATTTTTATTTTTTTATTTTTTTGCAGAGACAGAGTCTCACTATGTTGCTGAGACTGGTCTCAAACTCCTGGCCTCATCTGTCCTCTTGCCTTGTCCTCCCAATGTGCTAAGATTATAGGCAAAAGCCGCCATACTGGGGCCAAGGGAAAGCTGCCCCCATAGGCAGGATTGGGCTTACTATTTTTTTTTTAATTTAATTTTTTTTTTTTTTGAGACGGAGTTTCGCTCTCGTTGCCCAGGCTGGAGTGCAATGGCGTGATCTCTCTCACCGCAACCTCCACCTCCAGATTCAAGCGATTCTCCTGCCTCAGCCTCCCGAGTAGCTGGGATTACAGGCATGTGCCACCACGCCTGGCTAATTATGCATTTTTAGTAGAAACAGGGTTTCACCATGTTAGTCAGGCTGGTCTTGAACTTCTGACCTCAGGTGATCCACCTGTCTCAGCCTCCCAAAGTGTTGGGATTACAGGCGTGAGCCACCGCGCCCGGCAGACTTTCTAATCAGCACTCCCCATTTCTCCTATTGCAGAGAAGGAAGCAGATGCCCTACAAAGCCCATGTATAGTCACCCAACAAAATGTACTGGACGACTGCCATGCACCAGCCATTGGAGTAAGCACAAACATGTACAGCCCCTGACTTTGAGTATTCGAATAGATGGTAGTAGTCAAGTAGACAGATATTAAATCATTCAGCAAATAATGCTTGAGCTCTGCCATGTGCTAGACATTATTCCAGACAGGAGATAGAGCAATGAATGAAGAAAGCCCCTAATCTCATGGTGCTCACATGGGGTGGGGGCTGGGGGGTGGTAAGGGAAAGGAGATAATCAACAAAATTATCTAAGTAAAATGTATAATGTGTTAGATAGTGGTAAATGCTATGGATTTAAAAAAAAGTAGAGAGAGGAACCAGTGCTGATGGGTAAGGATTGTCATTTTATATCCGGAGGTCAGTGAAGGTCACAGAGAAGGTGATTTTTTTTTTTTTTTTTTTTAGACTTGAGTCTCACTCTATCGCCCAGGCTGGAGTGCAATGGCGTGATCTCGGCTCACTGCAATCTCTGCCTCCTGTGTTCAAGCGATTCTCCCACCTCAGCCTCCCGAATAGCTGGGATTACAGGTGCGTGCCACCACGCCCAGTTATTTTTTGTATTGTTAGTAGAGACAGGGTTTCACCATGTTGTCCAGGCTGGTCTTGAACTCCTGACCTCAAGTGATCTGCCCACCTTGGCCTCCCAAAGTGCTGAGATTACAGGCATGAGCCACCTCACCCCAATGAAGGTGATTTGAAGGAAGGACAGAGCAAGGGAGGAGAGGGGCATGGAATATGGGGGAATTGCCCCAGACCGAGGGCACAGCCAGTGCCAAGGTCCAAAGGCAGAGCCTCCTGGGGGACTCGTGGAGCAGTAAGGAGGCTGGTGTGGCTGGAGGAGCCAGCCAGGGGGGAGAAAGTAGGGTAGCTGTGGTCAGGAGTCAAGGGAGGCAGAGATTGTGGGGATTCGGGCGTCAGCTGAGACTGCACGTGAGCTATGTAGTCCAGCCTGCACTTCCGTGGCATCACTCAGCCTGCTGTGTGAAGAACAGGGCATGGGGCAGGAGGCAGCTGGGGAGTTAGCACCACGTCCCGATTTGGACCACGATGGGAGCAGTGGGGATGGAGAGAAGGGTCTGATTCCGAATCCGTTTTAACGATGAAGATGGATGGCTGGGTTGGATGGGAAAGCAGAGAAATCGAAAAGTCAAAGAAATCTCCTGTTTTTTTGTTTATTTGTTTGTCCGTTGTTTTGCCAGTGGTGGGATAGAGTTGCCAGGAGCCAAGCAGGTGAATCCTGTAAGAATGCAGATTTGAGGTTGACCAGGAGTTTGGTGGGGGTTTTTTGTTTGTTTGTTTTGAAATGGAGTCTCTTCTGTCACCCAGACTGGAGTGCAGTGGTGCAATCTCAGCTCACTGCCACCTCCGCCTCCTGGGTTCAAGCAATTCTTCTGCCTCAGCTGCTGAGTAGCTGGGACTCCAGGCACGCGCCACCACAGCCAGCTTGCTTATTTATTTATTTGTTTATTTATTTATTTATTTAGACAGAGTTTTGCTCTGTCGCCCAGGCTGGAGTTCAATGGCACGATCTCAGTTCACTGCAACCTCTGCCTCCGGGGTTCAAGCGATTCTGCTGCCTCAGCCTCCTGAGTAGCTGGGATTACAGGTGCCTGCCACTATGCCCGGCTAATTTGTGTATTCTTAGTAGAGACGGGGTTTCACCATGTTAGTCAGGCTGGTCTTGAACTCCTGACTGCATGTGATCCGCCCGCCTCGGCCTCCCAAGCGCTGGGATTATAGGCATGAGACACTGCACCTGGCCTTATTATTTATTTTCTAATACATTGTTAGGAAAGACAGTCAGACTTTAAGAAAATGGATCAACTCAGGAGAAAACGAAGGGAAGAGCTGAGAGACTAAGCCTGGGGTAAGAGGCTAGTGAGATGGCAGGAGAAGGGCAAGGAGCTGAGACTGGACCTCCCGTCCTTCTTTTCTCTTGCTCCCAACCTCACTCTTCCTGCTTTCCTTGGTCTCCCCAGCATCACCTGCCACCCCGTTCATTTCCATGGCCAAACCACCCCTGGGGAAAAAACACAGGAACACAAGCTCTGCCTCACAGCCATAATACAATAAAAAGCTAAAACAACCACAGCTCCCATTTATTGAGAATTCTCCTGGAAGTACAATATACACACACCCACACATCTATATATAAATACACACACACACATATCTATATATAAACACACACACACAATTACATGTGCAATATATACATATGCAACATGTGTACACGCGTATGTATACACACATGTATACCCTTAAAACAACCCTATGAGGTGGGGACTATTATTAGCCCCATTTTAGAAATGAGGACATCAGGTACAGAAATGTTAAGGAACTTGCCCAAGGCCAAGGTGGAGGAGGCCTGGGTTTAGACCCAGACAATCATATTCTAGATTCTACCTGCTTAACCATGATGCGATATGTTGGAAGGGTTTTAGATGGGTGAGGAACATCCTTAGAAAGCATTCTAAACAAGTGCCCATTTGATTTAGGGTATTTATGCATCTGGGACTATCTCAAGCCATAAGTTCTTCTGATTTCATAGTTTTTCAAATACCAAAAAACACTGTACCAACAAAAATGTTGGTATTGTAGTTTTCAAAGAATAGTGCCTTATTAAAAGGGATATTAAAATCTCAAAAAGTAGCTTTGCAGTGAGTAATGGCTAATGACAAATAAATTTTAAAAGGAAATGAGGGTGGCTGTTTGAGTAAATACAGTCCTAGACAAGGGGTGTGTCGAGAGCAGGATTGGAATTCCACAGAAGTCTTTTCAGCGTGGCTGTACAAGAAAAGGAGTCCTTAGCCTGCTATTTTATGTTTGATCATGTCCTCTTGTTAATAAACTTGCTGTGCTCCTATTTGGCAAGCTCCTGGCTATGCTGTAAAAAGGCATTGTCCCCAGAACGTATTTAAATTTCAAATGCATGCCCAATAAAACCGAGCCCAGCGCTGGTTAAATTCTCTGCATAACTCAAGGGGTTATTTCATTTCACTCCTGCTCTTAGGAGTTCTGCAATTGGGTTTTGTCCACCAGCCCCTGCCCCCAAGCCTGTCTTTCTTTCTCTCTGCAATCTGCTAGCGGCAATTAGCCTCAAAGATATACCTTTGTGCTCTGGTTTGGTTTAAAAAGGCATTAATCTTGGTTATAGGGAGAACACTCTATGCTAATGTGTGTTTTATTTTCAGCAAGTCTTATTGATCTGCACTTTCAATTCTTCCTTATTAATGTCCAGCAGCCCAACTTTTAAAGGGTCAAATTTCAAAGAGACTACATCCTCTCCTTGGGAAGTACTCCCCCCTCATATTTCTGGAAATGCAAGTAGAGTATCTGGCCCCTAATCTATATGCATGGATTGAGTCATAGAAGGCTAGAGGGTGCTGGTTCCGGCCCTGGAAGCTAAGGATATCCAAAGGAGAATTTCTAAAAGTCGTCACTGAACTTTTATAGAACGCTAAGAAAAAAAAGAAAACAGAAAATCACCTCTGAATTTGCAAATCTCTCTCTTTTGTTTTGGGACTATCTAAATGTAACTTTTCAATAGTTGCCTACCCCAAATGGTTTTCTCCTGCTATTTGTGGAAATTCCAAAGTTAGCCATTAGTCATTGGTGGCTATTGTTAATGACAGTAATATAAACTGAAGAGGAAAAAGATGATTCCAACCTCTAAACTTAAATTTTTAAAATACATTTCTTGTTTTGGAGTAATTTTAATTTCACCAAAAAGTTACAAAGACATTGTATTAAGAGTTCACACATACTCTCTACTCAATTTCCCCAGATTTTGACATCTTACATACCACGGTAACTGAGAAATGAACATTAGTAAAATACCGTTAACTGACCTCTAGACTTTATTTGGATTTTACTGATTTTTCCACTAATGTCTTGTTCCTGTTCTAGGATCTAAGATGCCACATTGCATTTTTAGTGGTTTCCTTTTTTCAAATCTTATTTTGGTTTTATTTCCGTTGACCTCCCCAGGATACCCCTCCCTCCTTCCCTCCTTTTTTTGGCCATTCAATAAAAAATCACAGAAACGTCGGCCGGGCACAGTGGCTCATGCCTGTAATCCCAGCACTTTGGGAAGCCAAGGCAGGTGGATTGCTTGAGGCCAGGAGTTCGAGACAAGCCTGGCCAACATGGCAAAACCCCGTCTCTACTAAAAATACAAAAATTAACTGGGTGTGGTGGTGCATGCCTGTAATCCCAGCTACTCGGGAGGTTGAGGCACAAGAATCACTTGAACCTGGGAGGCAGAGGTTGCAGTGAGCCGAGAATTGCACTACTGCACTCCAACCTGGGCAACAGAGTGAAACTCTGTCTCCAAAAAAAAAAAAAAGTCTCTTAAATAAAACCTTATTGTAAATTAATACGTATGTATTCTATAAGATGTTGGACAAGGTAAGTAAACAATAAAAATCACTCAATGATGGCTCACGCCTGTAATCCCAGCACTTTGGGATGCTGAGTCGGGTGGATGGCCCGAGGTCAGGAGTTCGAGACCAGCCTGGCCAACATAGTGAAACCCCATGACTACTAAAAATACAAAAAATTAGCTGGGCATGGTGGCACATTCCTGTAATCCCAGCTACTTGGGAGGCTGAGGCAGGAGAATCACTTGAACCCGGGAGGCAGAGATTGTAGTGAGCCCAGACTGCGCCATTGCACTGGAGCCTGGGCAACAAGAACAAAATTCTGTCTCAAAAAAAAAAAAAAAAAAAAAATCAGTCAGAATCTTATCCAAAAATGACAAGTATTATCTTTCTTTTCTTTTTTCTTTTTCTTTTTTTTTTTTTGAGACGGAGTCTCGCTCTGTCGCCCAGGCTGGAGTGCAGTGGCGCGATCTCGGCTCACTGCAAGCTCCACCTCCCGGGTTCATGCATTCTGCTGCCTCAGCCTCCCGAGTAGCTGGGACCACAGGCGCCCGCCACCACGCCTGGCTAATTTTTTTGTATTTTTTTAGTAGAGACAGGGTTTCACCATGTTAGCCAGGATGGTCTGGATCTCCTGACCTCATGATCTGCCTGCCTTGGCCTCCCAAAGTGCTGGGATTACAGGCATGAGCCACTGCGCCCAGCCACCAGTATTATCTTTCTATCCAATTTCCTATGTATAAAAGTAGCTATCCATCCTTCCAATTTCCTATGCATAAGAAAGACATGTGCATGTCTTTTACAAAAATGGCATCTTTTTTTTTTTTTTGAGTCTGAGTTTCACTCTTGTTGCCCAGTCTGGAGTGCAATGGCACGATTTCCCAATCTGAAGTACAACGGCTGCAACCTCCGCCTCCCGGGTTCAAGCAATTCTCCTGCCTCAGCCTCCTGTGTAGCTGGGATTACAGACATGCACCACCACACCCAGCTAATTTTTGTATTTTTAGTAGAGACAAAATTTCTCCATGTTGATCAGGCTGGTCTCGAACTCCTGACCTCAGGCGATCCACCTGCCTCAGCCTCCCAAAGTGCTGGGATTACAGGTGTAAGCCACTGTACCCGGGCATGGCATCATTTTTAATATATGTTTGGAAATTGGGTTTTTATCATATTAAAATATATATAACATAAATTTTAGCATTTCAACCATTTTAAAGTGTACAGTTTACTGGCATTAAATACATTCACAGTGTTATGCGTTGGTAACTGATTTTTAAAATTATTTCATAATCTTTTAATATCCCTGTTTTTCTGCACTTGCTAGATTATAAACTCTATAACAGTAGGACTTTTTTTTTTTTTTTTTTTTTTTTTTGAGATTGGGTCTCACTCTGTCACCCAAGCTGGAGTGCAGTAGCACAGTTGTAGCTCACTGCAGCCTCAAATTCCTGGGTTGAAGCCATCCTCCTACCACAACCTCTGGAGTATCAGGGACCACAGGCACACGCCACCACGCCTGGATAATTTTTCTATTTTTTTTGTAGAGACAGGGTCTCACTGTGTTGCCAGGGCTGGCCTCAAATTCCTGGGGTCAAGCAATCCTCCTGTCTTGGCCGCCCCCCACAAATTCTGGGATTACAAGCATGAGCCACCACACTCAGTCAAGGTAGGATTTTCAGACAAATAACTTTATTCCCATACCCCGATCAAAAATCTTGTCTACATGCATAAAACCTGTATAATTATTTACTTTATATTTTCCTTTAAAGCAACTCAAATTTCTACTTAGCCTAACCTTATATAATTGTCTTTTTGAAGTTATAGGCTTGATAAACTAGACATTCTTCTAATATGAATTAATGCAAATACATAACTACACAATTCAAATGTTCATCTACGTTTCGTCTTATATCATCTTGTGTACAACCAGCTCTGTGTGTACCACATTTTGGCAAACCAACTTTTTAATGTTTTTTTTTTTTTTTTTGGCTCTGTTGCCCAGGCTGGAGTACAGTGGCATGATCTCGGCTCACCACAACCTCCGCCTCCCAGGTTCAAGAGATTCTCCTGCCTCAGCCTCTCGAGTAGCTGGAACTACAGGCATGCGCCACCACACCTGGCTAATTTTTGTATTTTTAGTAGAGACAGGGTTTCACTATGTTGGCCAGGCTGGTCTTGAACTCCTGACCTCATGATCCACTCACCTCGGCCTCCCAAAGTGCCGGGATTATAGGCATGAGCCACTATGCCCAGCAGCAAACCAAGTTCTATAGCATCATATTTCATGGCTAAATAGATTTTAGATTTTTAAATTATTGACTTTATATATGTATGTACGTTCTATGAGTTTTAACATACTTTCAGAGTTGTGTAACCACCACTACAATAAGAATACAAAACAGTTCAAATGCCTCCTGCTGCCTCTTTGTAGACTTCTCTTATCTAGACAAACTGTGATTTCCCACAGTTGCTTCCTAGTTTTCTCTTTGATGATAAACTTGCTTCCTTTCAGTATTGTTGTGTTTGAAGCCATCTGGGATAGCTTGTAATCAATCTGGGATTTTTAAGCACTACTGTAAATCCTCACACAGACATAATTCTCTGTCTCCCTGAGATTTTATGCATTTATAAGGAAGTCATGATTCTTGTTACTGAGCACAACTGAAGACAGATGGTATAAACATTCCAAAGATGGAGTATCTCAGATCTAATATCCAATATATATTGGGCCAGGGGTGGTGGCTCACACCTGTAATCCCAGCACTTTGGGAGGCTGAGGTGGGCAGATCACCTGAGGTCAGGAGTTCAAGACCAGCCTGGCCAACATGGCGAAACCCCATCTCTACTAAAAATACAAAAATTAGTGGTGGCGGGTGCCTGTTAATCCCAGCTACTCGGGAGGCTGAGGCAGGAGAATCGCTTGAACCCAGGAGGCAGAGGTTGCAGTGAGCCGAGATTGCACCACTGCACTCCACCCTGGGCAACAAGAGCGAAACTCCATCTCAAAAAAAAAAAAATATGTATGGGTGTCTGATTTCGGCTTTCTCTCCCATTCCCCTAGGGCGTTCCCCGCCCTCTTGGTAGACAATCAGCCCCGACACTAACAACACTCTCCAGCACAGGCACCCCCTCCCATTGGCCTGTGTCCACAAGAGGCATCACTAATCAACCATTACACTCTTCAGCTGAGCCCTGATATGCATTAGAGTCCTTCACAATCCAGCCTGCCAGGCAGTTGGGTGGAGTGGGCACAATCAGATGAAATGTATTTGCTATCCTCATTGAGTTCTAGATTGAGGTTGGAAAAATGTCTCTATCTTGACCTGCTGGGTCTCTTGGCCCATAAGTCTTCAATCATCACACCTGAGTTCACTCATCCTGCCCTTGTAATCCCAGCACCAGATCTTCACTTAGGTGTAGAAGGATGGTGTGGTTATAAAAAGGGTGTCCCATGGCAGCTCTTCAGAGTGCCGGAACTGGTCTGCCTCCTGATAGTAACACAAATTGATAGATGAGTTAAAACACGTCAGCTCACGCCTGTAATCCCAGGCTCTGGGAGGCTGAGGTGGGCGGATCACTTGAGGCCAGGAGTTTGAGACCAGCTTGGCCAAAATGGTGAAACCCCGTCTCTACCAAAAAATACCAAAATTAGTTGGGCATGGTGGTGCATGCCTGTAATCCCAGCTACTTGGGAGGCTGAGGCAGGAGAATCACTTGAACCCAGGAGGCGGAGGTTGCAGTAAGCCGAGGTTACAATGAGCTGAGATCACACCATTGCACTCCAGCCTGGGTGGCAGAGTGAGACCCTGTCTCAGAAAAAACAAACAAATAAACAAAAACTGTACACCAAAAGGAAAACTCAATCCAAAAATAACATAAATGAGGGTGGGAGCCAGGCACTGTGGCTCACAACTGTAGTCCCATCTACTCAGGAGGCTGAGGCAGCAGAATCACTTGAGGCTAGGAATTCGAGACCAGCCTGGTCAACATAGCAAGACCTCATCTCTTTTTTTTTTTTTTTTTGAGTCAGAGTCTCACTCTGTCACCCAGGCTGGAATGCCGTGGTACGATCTCAGCTCACTGCAACCTCCGCCTCCCAGGTTCAAGCGATTCTCCTGCCTCAGCCTCCTGAGGAGCTGGGACTACAGGTGCCCACGACCATACCCTGCTAATTTTTGTATTTTTAGTAGAGATGGGGTTTCACCACGTTGGCCAGGCTGGTCTCGAACTCCTGACCTCAAGTGATCTGCCCGCCTCAGCCTCCCAAAGTGCTGGGATTGCAGGCGTGAGACTTAAAATATATTTTATTTTATTATTATTATTATTTTAAGCGTGAGAGGGGCTTTCCGGCAAAAACTGGAAAGACTGCTAGACAAATTCTAAAAGAGCTGTAACACTGGGCTATATTTTAAGGTCAGAACCCATAGAGTTTGTGGAAAGGCTGGATGGGGATCCAAGGATTAGATGAGGGTCACTTGAGGAGCTAAAAAATATGAATACCAACAAACAGCCCCTCCACCTCCAGACCTAGCGTTGGTACGTGTCTTAAAAGCTTGCCAGGTGTTTCAAATCTGCAGCCAGACTTGAGAGCAACCTAGAATAGCATTTCTCAAAGTTTGATGTGCATGGGGAACACCTGGTAGTCTTGCTAAAATTCAGTAGGTAGAGGCAGCGCCCGAGAGTCTTCATTTCTCATACGTGATGCAGATGCTGCTGATGCTGCTGGTCTATGGTCCACACATTGAGTCCCGCCTAGAGCTCATCCGCTCTGCCAGCCTCTGCTTCTCTGATACCCTGCTTCTATCAAAAAGTGAGTCCAATCAGCATTACCTTGAATATATCCATATTCTGACTACCTCTCACTTCCTCCACCTCACTAGTGCTGGCCACCGTCCATGTCTCACCTGGACAACCATCGTAGCCTCCCAGCTGGCTTCTCCCTCCTTCCATGCTTTCACTAACTGCTATTTTTCTGTACAGCAGCCGAAGTAGCCTTAACTTCAGCTGAGATCATATTGCAGCATTCTCTGCTCAATTCCCTGCAAAGGTCTACATAGCCTGCAATTTCTCCTCACCCCTTTTTTTGATCTTATTTCCTGCCACTGTGTTTCTCTTCCATATTGCTCCAGCCATACTGGCCCCTGTACTGAACCACAAGCGCATTCCTGCACCAGAGCCTTTGCCCTGGCCCTTCTCTCCCCTTGAAAGCTTCTGCCCTGTATCCACGTCACTTGCTGCCCCGCTTCATCCAGGTCTCTGCTCAGATATCCCCTCATCAAAAAGGTCTGCCGTGACCACCCTGTTTAATTAGCACTCACTCTCCTACCACCTTCCACCTCAGTCTCTCGCCCCTTTATCTTTTATTTATTTATTTATTTATTTATTTTGAGACAGAGTTTCATTCTGTCACCCACACTGGAGTACAATGGTGGGATCTCAGCTCACCGCAGCCTCCGCCTGTTGGGCTCAAGCGACTCTCCTGGCTCAGCCTCCCAAGTAGCTGGGACTGTAGGCACCCACCACCACGCCCAGCTAATTTTTGTATTTTTAGTAGAGACAGGGTTTCACCATGTGGGCCAGGCTGGTCGCAAACTCCTGACCTCAAGGGAGCGGCCTGCCTTGGCCTCCCAAAGTGCTGGGATTACAGGTGTGAGTCACCATGCCCCGCCCTCTCCCCTTTATTAACTATTCCTTACTGTGTAAAAGATTATCCCCAAGATGAATGGCTTAAAACAATAATCATGATTTATCATTTCACCTGGCTTCTGTGAGCCAGGAATTCAGAAAGGGCATAGTGGAGACAGCTTTCTCCGTCCACAATTATTGGGACTACAGCTGTTAAGAGTCAGAGGCTAGGCTGGGCGCGGTGGCTCACGCCTGTAATCCCACCACTTTGGGAGGCCAGGGCAGGCGGATCACCTGAGGTCAGGAGTTCGAGACCAGCCTGGCCAACAGGGCAAAACCCCTGTCTCTACTAAAAATACAAAAATTAGCGGGGCATAATGGTGCGCCCCTGTAATCCCAGCTACTCGGGAGGCTGAGTCAGGAGAATCGCTTGAACCCGGGAGGTGGAGGTTGCAGTGAGCTGAGGTCGTGCCATTGCACTCCAGCCTGGGCAAAAAGCAAAACTCCACCTCAAAAAAACAAAAACAAAAAAGAGTCAGAGGCTGAGGACAGATCACATGCTCTTTGTCACCCAAGTGCAGCTGAGGCTGTCACTCACTCAGAACCTCTAATGTGGCTTCCTTGTGGCTTGGGCTTCCCTCAACATGGTGGCTGGATTCCAAGGGCAAGCATCCCAAGAGACAGAAAGAGAGCTGGGCAAAAACGGACCCTCAGAAGCGACATTACATCACTCGGCTGTATTCTGTTCACTAGATGTGGGCATGCAGACCAGCCCATGCTCAAGGAGAAGGAAACTAGCTTCATCCTCTGCAGGGAGGAGCGTCAAGGAATTTGCAGACACATTTTTAAGTCCCTGTGCTCCCCCTTACCTTGCTTTCTTTTTCTTTAGAGCTCTATCATTTCCTGAAAGATTGTGTATCTATTTCTGTTTATTGTCCTTCTTTCCCATCAAAATGTCAATATCTGGGGCCGAGTGCGGTGGCTCACACCTGTAATCCCAGCACTTTGGGAGGCCGAGGCAGGCGAACCACGAGGTCAGGAGTTCAAGACCAGCCAGGCCAACATGGCGAAACCCCGTCTCTACTAAGAATACAAGAATTAGCCGGGTGTGGTGGTGCGTGCCTGTAATCCCATCTACTTGGGAGGCTGAGACAGAAGAATCATTTGAACTTGAGAGGCAGAGGTTGCAGTGAGCCCGGGTCATACCACTGCACTCCAGCCTGGATGACAGAACAAGACTCCATCTTGAAAAAAAAAACAACCAAAAAGTCAATATCTGCCTTGCTCACTCCTGCCTCCCTTTTGCTTATAGGCATGTGTAATACATAGTAGGTGCTCAATATATATACACATATGAAACGCTTTGTGAATTTGCCAGTCACCCTTGCTCAGGGGCCATGCTAATCTCTGTATCGTTCCAGTTTTTGGCATATGTACTGGTGAAGCCAGCAGTCAATATATATTTTTGAATGAGTCAATTACCATGTATTCATCTCTGATAGATTTTGAAAACAATCAAACTGTTTGCTGAGAATCCAAAGAATTGGATTGAGAGGCCAGGCACGGTGGCTCACACCTGTAATCCCAGCACTTTGGGAGGCTGAGGCAGGCAGATCACCTGAGGTCAGGAATTTGAGACCAGCCTGGCCAACATGATGAAATCCTGTCTCTACTAAAAATACAAAAAATTAGGCTGGGCGCAGTGGCTCAGGCCTGTAATCTCAGCACTTTGGGAGGCTGACGTGGGCGGATCACAAGGTCAGGAGTTTGAGACCAGCCTGGCCAACATGGTGAAACCCTGTCTCTACTGAAAATACAAAAATTATCTGGGCGCGGTCGTGGGCGCCTGTAATCCCAGCTACTCAGGAAGCTGAGGCAGGAGAATTGCTTGAACCCAGTAGGAGGAGGTTGCAGTGGGCTGAGACCGTGGCATTGCACTCCAGCCTGGGTGACAGAGAGACTTGATCTCAAAATTAATAAAAATACAAAGAATTAGCTGGGCATAGTGGCGGGCGCCTATAATTCCAGCTACTCAGGAGGCAGAGGCAGGAGAATCACTTGAACCTGGGAGGCAAAGGTTGCAGTGAGCCGAGATCATGCCACCGAACTCCAGCCTGGGCAACAAGAGGGAAACTCCATTTAAAAACACACACACACACACACACACACACACACACACACAAAGAATTGGATTGATGGGGAGATAGTCTATTCATGGAGAAGAAGAGCAGAGAAGCTTAATGAAGCAATACCCTGTGACCGTGACTGTGAGGACTCCATAGCTGAGGGCATACAATAGGGTTGCTTTCCCAACTGGCCTTCACTGCAACCAATCAGGTTTCTAGGAGCAGGGGCAGCTTATCTAGGAGTGCCTTGGCACCCACTTCTTGGGATTATCTCTGATCTATACAAGTGAGAGACTTGCCTTCCCAAATGGCCTGCTTTTTCCGGAAGGGAAAGAAGTATGTCTTATTTTCTTGGCATCCTACATATAATGTAACATACTTAAAACTCAGGCCGGGCGCTGTGGCTCATGCCTGTAATCCCAGCGCTTTGGGAGGCCGATGCAGGTGGATCACGAGGTCAGGAGTTTGAGACCAGCCTGACCAACATGGTGAAACCCCGTCTCTACTAAAAACATAAAAATTAGCCAGGCATGGTGGCACGTGCCTGTAATCCCAGCTACTCAGGAGGCTGAGGCAGGAGAATTGCTTGAATCGGGAGGCAGAGGTTGCAGTGAGCCGAGATTGTGCCACGGCACTCCAACATGGATCACAGAGAGAGACTGTCTCAAAAAAAATAAAAACAAAAAACTCAGTAACTACATAATTGAGGGTCACCAGGCATGGTGGAACACTAATAACAGCTGTGGGGGTTTTTTTTTAGTTTTTTGTTTTTGTTTTGAGACAGTCTTGCTCTGTGGCTCAGGCTGGAGTGCAGTGGTGTGATCATAGCTCACTGCAGCCTCAAGCTCCTCGGCTTAAGCAATCCTCCTATCTCAGCCTCCCAAGTAGCTAGGATACAGGCAGACACCACACTTGGCTAATGTTTTGTACTTTTTGTAGAGACAGTGTCTCACTATGTTGCCCAGGCTAGTCTCCTAGGCTGGACAACATAGTGAGACCCTGAGCTCAAGTGATCCACCCACCTTGGCCTCCCATAGGATGACAGGCGTGATCCACCATGCCCAGCACAACTATTATTTATTGAGTGTGTGCTGGGTGCCAGGTACTTGTGTTAAACATTTGATGTGTACTGCCTCTGAATCCTCAAACGGCATTATGTTCATTTCATAGATGAGGAAATTGAGACCTAGAGAGATAAAAACAAAGGTCCAACACGTGGTGGGGCCCTAGTTAATATTTGTAGAATGATTAGATTCCAATTATCTGGTTATGCCTCCATATTTATACACTGGACCACCATATACTGTGTGGAGTACATAATTGTGGATATAATAGGAGTGTATAATTTAGGGGTAAATAAATGTATCCTTTGGCCACAGGCTACTAGCTCCTGAGAAGCCACATCCTGACTAAATCAGCAGAAGCCACGTCATCCAGAGATAATGGGATGGAGACAGGGGTGCCTCTGAGGCTGAGGTGACTCCCATAGGGATGGGTAAGTCTGTTTTACTGTATTAATACTGGGCAGCTGAGGTGCAGTTTGGGAATTTTAAGCAAGGAAGAAGGATGTACATATCTGTGTGATTCTGTGAGAATGGCGGCCCCTGGAGCTGTGCGGCACATTGCTCTCGTCTTCCCGGCAAAATTTTTCCTCCATCAGCCATCCCACTACCTTTGGGGAACTTCTTCCTGACTCCACTAGGGCATGGGGAAGCTGTCAATCATGTTGCCTTACTGCACACGCCCCATCTACCCACCCAATTCAGCCAATCAGAGACCTGTATTCCACGCCCCTACCATCAACACTGCCTTCCTCATGGTTCAGGGATGAACAAGAAATCACACTACACTAATCAGAGCACTCCCTGAAATTCCTCTGCCCCTGCTAGTGTGGAGAATACCGTTACCTTTAAAGTTTAAGAAAAAACTCTCCACATCAAGGGGCTTTAGATCTATGTTATCCTCAGGCCGGGTGCAGTGGCTCACACCTGTAATCCCAGCACTTTGGGAGGCCAAGGCAGGTGGATCACTTGAGGTCGGGAGTTCGAGACCAGCCTGGGGAAATCCTGTCTCTACTAAAAATACAACAACAACAAAAATTAGCTGGGTGTGGTGGCACTGCCTGTAATCCCAGCTACTCAGGAGGCTGAGGCAGGAGAATCACTTGAACCCAGGAGGCGGAGGCTGCAGTGAGCCGAGATCACGCCACTGCACTCCAGCCTGCTTGACAGAACAAGACTCCATCTCAAAAAAAAAAAAAAAAAATCTGTTATCCTCACCCCTACCTCTATCCCACAATGTCAATCTACCTAATTGCAACTTCCTGAAGGCAAAGAGAGATTTCTGTCCTTCCCCACAATGCCCATCCTCCCAATGCTAATTTACATCTATCAGTTTATTAGACTTGGCAGGGAGGGCCTAGCAAAAGAAAGTATCGGCCTCTTTCCATTATATTTTGGGCACTCTTTTAAAATACTTAAAACCTGGGTGCGCTTTGGTACCAACAGAGACCATGTTTAAACTTGGATGCTGAATTCCCAGTAATGAAGGCTTTGAAGCATCTTGTCAGGCTTTCATTCCTGTCTACTGCACAGTGATTCTGTGCTAGTCATTGTGCTAAGCACTGGGATACAGTAAGAAGACACTATACTAGAATTTGCAACCCACCAGAGGAGCAGAGCAGTAGAGTTCAGCTCTCTTTGTCTCTATGAAAATTGTTTCCTAGGCTGGGCGTGGTGGCTCACACCTGTAATCCCAGCACTTTGGGCGGCTGAGGTGGGCGGATCACCTGAGGTCAGGAGTTCGAGACCAGCCTGACCAACATGGAGAAACCCCATCTCTACTATAAATACAAAATTAGCCAGGCATGGTGGCACATGCCTGTAATCCCAGCTACTCAGGAAGCAGAGGCAGGAGAATCACTTGAACCCAGGACGCAGAGGTTGTGGTGAGCTGAGATTGCACCATTGCACTCCAGCCTGGGCAACAAGAGTGAAACTCCATCATAAAAAAAATAAAAAAGAAAATTGTTTCCTAAACCCACCTCCTAAGAGCCCCTATGGTACCCTGTTAACCCCACCTGGTGGCTTCAAACCTGTCAGCCCCAGCATCTTCCTCAGAGTACATGAAATTCTGGTAATTCTTCCAGAAGATTCTCTCAGGTTTCTCCTCCAACCACGCTCTCGGTTCATTTAACTTGAAGCAATTTAGAATTTCAGAGTTTGACTTTATTTTGTAGTGTTTATTTCAAAACAAATTATGTTCCTTATTTAAAAATTCAAATACTGTATGAATATATGGTATTAAAAGTCTTCAACATGGCCAGGCACAGTGGCTCATACCTATAATCCCAGCACTTTGGGAGGCTGAGGTGGGTGGATCACAAGGTCAGGAGTTCAAGACCAGCCTGGCCAATATGGTGAAACCCTGTCTCTACTAAAAATACAAAAATTGGCCGGGCGTGCTGGCACACGCCTGTAGTCCCAGCTACTCGGGAAGCAGAGGCAGGAGAATCACTTGACCCCAGGAGGCAGAGGTTGCAGGGAGCCGAGATCCTGCCACTGCACTCTAGCCTCGGAAACAAAAGGAGACTCTATCTCAAAAAAAAAAAAAAAAAGTCTTCAGTATATCTCAGGGAAACCCACTATTACTAGTTCAGTGTATTTTCTGTCTGACTTCTAAAAATTTCTAAATTAACATATATTATTTATTATCTTTTAGAGGAATCATACTCTTCATTTTTCAACTAGCCTGTCCTCAAAACACATTTAAAATATGTGAGGTCCAGTACAATATCATAGGCCACATGTGGGAATTTAAATTCAAATAAATAGCGGGGTGCAGTGGCACACACCTAACATCCCAGCTTCTTGGGAGGCTGAGGAAGGAGAATTGCTCGAGGCCAGAAGTTCAAGACCAGCCTGGGCAAGATTGCAAGACCCTGTCTCTAAAAATAAATTAATGAATAACATAAAATAAATAATTACTTTAGTTACATTACACACTCAGTTTCTCCATTGCACTTGCCACGTTTCAAGTACTACATGTGACTAGTGGCTACTGTATTGGACAGCACAGCATAGAACATTCCATCATTGCAGAAAGTTCTATTGGGTAGCACTTTCTAGCACTGGTCTACATAACTTTCTATGTCATTACATAAACTTTCTGCCTCATTTTTTTTTTTTTTTTTTGAGTTGGAGTCTTACTCCATCACCCAGGCTGGAGTGCAGTGGCCCAATCTTAGCTCACTGCAACCTTTGCCTCCTGGGTTCAAGTGATTGTCCTGCCTCAGCCTCCCAAGTAGCTGGGATTACAGGTGTGCACCACCACCTGGCTAATTTTTGTGTTTTTAGTGGAGATGGGGTTTCACCATGTTGGCCAGGCTGGTCTCGAACTCCTGACCTCAGGTCATCCACCCGCCTCGGCCTCCCAAAGTGCTGGGATTAGAGGCATGAGCCACCATGCCTGGCCATTCTTTTTTTTTTTTTTTTTTTTTAAATTAGTCCCTCACTTTTCCATGTGGATATACAATATAATTAATCACTTCCCTACGGATGGACATTGAGTTTATTTCCAATTTTCACAGTTGCAAGCAAAGCTGCAAAACACATCCTCACGTAGAAAAATTGGCTTGCTTATGACATGACTCTCCAGAATGAAGTCCCAGAATTGAAAATACTCAGTAAAAAGCTACAAACTCAGCTGGGCGCGGTGGCTCACGCCTGTAATCCCAGCACTTTGGGAGGCCGAGGCGGGCGGATCACGAGGTCAGGAGATCAAGACCATCCTGGCTAACACGGTGAAACCCCGTCTCTACTAAAAATACAAAAAATTAGCCGGGCGTGGTGGCAGGCGCCTGTAGTCCCAGCTACTCGGGAGGCTGAGGCAGGAGAATGGCGTGAACCCGGGAGGCGGAGCTTGCAGTGAGTGTGGAGATCGCGCCACTGCAGTCCAGCCTGGGTGACAGAGCAAGACTCCGTCTCAAAAAAAAAAAAAAAACTACAAAACTCGATTCAAATTTTCAGTTGTTAAAATAGAACCTTTGTTCTTCAGGACCTGAGACTGAAGGAAGATGTTCTCATTGGTCAGTATGTCTGATTATATGTCAATATAGGGTAAAAGAAAGGAAAATAGTTTGTAGCTTTGGGTAATTTTAATATCCATAAGTTGTAGCAGTATAATTTTTAAAGTTGCATTTGAACTGGAGGTTTGGTTTTGAAACCACTGGAGAAAGTAAAAAATTAGAGCTGGGCGTAGTGGCACACACCTGTAATCTCAGTCACTAGGGATACTGAGGCAAAGCCTGGGTGACAGAGCAAGACTCTGTGTCAAAAAATAAAAAATAAAGAATGAAATATAAAGAAAGTAAAAAATTACATATAATTAAAAAAATTGGCTTCAAAACGAAGTCCCAGCTGGGCATGGTAGCACATTCCTCTAGTCCCGGCTACTCAGGAGGCTGAGAGAGGAGGATTGCTTGAGTCTAGGAGTTCAAGGCCGTAATGCACTATGTGAATAGCCACTGCACTCCAGCCTAGGCAGCATAGCAGGACCCTATCTCAAAAAAAAAAAAAAAAAGTGGAGGGTTACATGTACCAAATATATCAATAAATTGTTTTGAAAGATAATTCTTGGCTGGGTGTGATGGCTCATGCCTGTAATCCCAGAACTTTGGGAGGCCAAGGTGGGTGGATCGCTTGAGGTCAGGTGTTCAAGACCAGCCTGGCCAACATGGTGAAACCTGGTCTCTACTAAAAATACAAAAATTAGCCGGGTGTGGTGGTGGGTGCCTGTAATTCCACCTACTCGGGAGGCTGAGGCATAAGAGTCGCTTGAACCTTGGAGGCAGAGGTTGCAGTGAGCTTAGATAGTGCTACTGTACTCCAGCCTGGGAGACAGAGCAAGACTCTGTCTCAAAAAAAAAAAAAAAAAAAAAAAACAAACCCCACAAGGAAAGAAAACTGGCACAGGCTGGAAGACACTAAAGACAAAGAACAGTCACATGCAATGTGGGACCCTGGGAGGGATCATGGAACACAAAAGAGACATTGAGGAGAGCAGCAATGAAATTTAAATGAGGTCTGTAGTAGTAGTAGTAATGATAATAATGTACCAGTGTTGAAATTTTCTGTTCTTGGTCATTGTACTCTATAAGTATGCAGACTGTTAGCAATAGAAGAAGGAAGGTGAGGATACAAGAGGACTCTGTACCATTTTTGCAGCTCTTCTTAAGTCTAAAATTCATACTAAATGAATACTTTTTAAAAATTAAATGTTGGTGCCAGGTGCAGTGGTGCGATCACAGCTCACTGCAGCCTCTACCTCCGGAGCTCAAGCAATCCTCTCACCTCAACCTCCCGAGTAGCTGGGACTGTGGGAATGCACCACCACACCTAGCTAATTTTTAAGTGTTTTGTAGAGACAGAGTCTCACTATGTAACCCAGTCTGGTCTCAAACTTCTAGGCTCAAGTGATCCTCCCTCCTAAACCTTCTAAAGTGCTGGGATTATAGGTGTGAGCCACTGCACCCAGCAGGCCCTTTTATAAGGGGCCAAATCCCCTCTACAAGGGCTCTAATCTCATGACTTAATTACCTCCAAAGGCCCCACCTCTTAATACTGTCACTCTGGCCATTAAGTTTCAACACATGAATTTTGGAGGAAATATTTAGACCATACAAAGGGCTTAGTCTTATGGGCTAGAGCAGGGGCCCCCAACCCCCAGGCCGTGGACAGGTACTGGGCTATGACCTGTTAGGAACCAGGCCACAGGGCAGGAAGGGAGTGGCAGGTGGGCGAGCGTTGCCGCCGGGGCTCCACCTCCTGTCAGATCTCTCTAGGCATTAGATTCTCATAGGAGCGGGAACCCTATTCTGAACTGCGGATGGGAGGGATCTAGGTTGCACGCTTCTTATGAGAATTTAATGCCTGATGATCTGAGGTGGAACAGTTTCATTCCAAAACCATTTCCCCCAACCCATCCCATCCATGGAAAAATTGTCTTACACAAAACCAGTCCCTGGTGCCAAAAAAGTTGGGACCCACTGACTAGAGCTCTGAGTTTGAAGACACATATTGGGAGGAAGTACCATTGGATCTCTATATTCTACATTCTAGCAAGAGCGTGGAGGGGAGAGGAAGGGAGATACGGAGAGATGGCAGGCGACAGCAGAGCTTACATTTATAACGATGACTCATTTTTGTATAGTACTGTATATACGGCTTTCAAAGTCCTTTTCCAACACCCATCATCCCAGCACTCAGGAAGGACGGAGGAGGTAAGAGGAAGTATCTGAAGCTCAGGGAGTTGAAGAGAAGCCTGATGCAGAGACATAGAGAATGTGTCATTGCAAGGTCACAGACCCTAAACAAATGAATAAATAAATAAGTGCTTTCTGATGACCAAGTTGGCTGGAGGAGCAAGGTAGTATGGAACTGGTGAGGAGAGTGAGGGTGACTTGGAGAGGTACCTGTGCCAGAATAACTCTAAATTTTATCGTTATCCGAAGTATATGGTTCTTGAGGATTTTGGCAAACTACTTTTCCGTTTCTGCAATTTTGGTTCTGAAGGTAGACATGAGCTCATAAACACAGAGCTAAAGATTTTCTTTACAGTAAACAAATACTAGCTCAGCCAGGAGATCCAAGTTAACATCAACAATGATAAGTCGTGTTGATAGAATGTACCTTTGATCTAATGTGATGAGAATGGCTTTACCTCTGTGGTTTTCCTTCCACAAACATTTAACAACAAATAAATCCAAATTGAGGGACATTCTTTTTTTTTTTTTTTTTTGAGACAGAATCTCACTCTGTCGCTCAGGCTGGAGTGAATGGCAGGATTTCAGCTCAATGCAACCTCCGCCTCCCGGGTTCAAGCCATTCAATTGAGGGACATTCTACAGCATATTTGCCCAAAGCTCCTCAAAACTGTCGAGGTTTTCAAAACAAGGGTAGTCTAAGAAACTATGACAGCTAAGTGTAACCTAAAGAGACATTAGAACTAAATGTAATGTGGTGGTTTAGATAGGATCCTAACGCAGTAAAAGGACATTAGGTAAAAACCAAGGAAACCTGAATACAGTATGCAATTGAATTAACAATAATGTATGGCTGGCCGGGCGCAGTGGCTCACACCTGTAATCCCAGCACTTTGAGAGGCCAAGGTGGGTGGATCACCTGAAGTCAGGAGTTTGAGACTGACTCATGGCCAACATGGTAAAACCCCATCTCTACTAAAAATACAAAAATTGGCCGGGTGAGGTGGCTCATGCCTGTAATCCCAGCACTTTGGGGGGCCAAGCTGGGTGAATCACTTGAGGTCAGGAGTTCAAGACCAGCCTGGCCAACATGGTAAAACCCCATCTCTACTAAAAATACAAAAATTGGCTGGGCGCAGTGGCTCACACCTGTAATCCCAGTACTTTGCAAGGCCAAGGCGAGTGAATCACTTGAGGTCAGAAGTTTGAGACCAGCCTGGCCAACATGGTGAAACCTTGTCTCTACTAAAAATACACAAAATTAGCCGGGTGTGGTGGTGGGCGCCTGTAGTCCCAGCTAATGAGGAGGCTGAAGCAGGAGAATCAATTGAACCTTGGAGGTGGAGGTTGCAGTGAGCCAGAATTGCACCACTGCACTCCAGCCTGGGTGACAGAGCAAGACTCCGTCTCAAAAATAATAATAATAATAAAATAATAATGTTTGGCTAATAGTTTAACTGATTAAAACAAATGTGCCATGCTAATGTAAGATGTTAATAACAGGGAAAACTGTGTTTAGGGTATATGGTAACTCTTAGTACAATCTTTTCAATTTTTCTGTAAACCTAAAACTGTTCTAAAATTAAAATTTTATTTATGAAGAAGAGAATTGGCTGGGCGCAATGGCTCATGCCTGTAATCCCAGCACTTTGTGAGGCTGAGGCAGGTGGATCACGAGGTCAGGAGTTCAAGACCAGCCAGGCCAACATGGTGAAACCCCGTCTCTACTAAAAATACAAAAATTAGCTGGGCGTGGTGGCACATGCCTGTAGTCCCAGCTACTCAGGAGGCTGAGGCAGAAGAATCGCTTGAACCAGGAGGCTGAGGATGCAGTGAGCCGAGATCACGCCACTGCTCTCCAGCCTGGGAGACAGAGCGAGACTCCATCTCAAAAAAAAAAAAAAAAAAGACAATTGACTCTAAAGCAAGAAAAAAAAAACAAATATTTCAGAGTTTATAACATAAGTAGTAATAAAATCTATGACAAATACAGTGCAAAAGACATGGGGAGAGGGAAGTATATTGCTACAAGATTTTTATATTATATGTGAACTGTTATCATTTGATGGTACATTGTGATAAGCTGAAGATGCATACTTTATACCTTAGAGCAACCAAAAAAAAAAAAACAAGATATAGCTAATAAACCAGTCATGGAAATAAAATGGAATCCTAAAAAATAACTCATTCCAAAGGGAGCCAGGCAAAAAGAAGGAAAAAGAATAGACTACAAATAGGACAATAAAAAATAAAGAGCAAGATGGTAAATTTAAGTTCAACCATATAAAAAATTCCTATAAGGGTAAATGATCTAAATATTCCAATTGAAGTCAGAAGTTGTTGGTTTTGTAAGAGAGCAAGACCCAACCATATGCTGTCTCTAAGAAACTCTGCTTTATTTCTTATTTATTATTTTTTTGAGGTGGAGTCTCACACCACCTTAGGTGTGTGTTACTTAGGCTGGAGTGCAGTGGCACAGTCTCAGTTCACTGCAACCTCTGCCTCTTGGGTTCAAGTGATTGTCCTGCCTCAGCCTTCCAAGTAGCTGGGATTACAGGCGTGCGCCAGCATGCCCAGCTAATTTTTGTGTTTTTAGCAGAGAAGGGGTTTCACCGTGTTGGCCAGGCTGGTCTCGAACTCCTGACCTCACGTGATCTGCCTGCTTCAGCTTCCCAAAGTTGTGGAATTATAGGCATGAGCCATCGCACCCAGCCTGAAACCCCACTTTAAATATAAAGACCAGGTAGATTAGAAGTAAGGGATTGAAAAAGATACTCCATGCAAACACAAAGCCTAATAAAGTGGATTGGCTGCATTAATTTCAGATAAAATAGATTTCAATTTGAGAAATATTTCCAGGGAAAAAATGGGACATTTCAAAATGATAATGGAGTCAATTCACCAAGTGACATAATCCTAAATATGTATATCCTGATAACACAAAACTAAAACAATAATACATGCACGTGGTTTGGAATTCAAAACAAAAATATGAATTCTGATTGGCATATGAAGAGGGAATTGATCCATAGGAAGAACTCCTATAAACTGAGTTGCTGGGTGAAAGTGTATGTTTAAAGTTTGGCGAATATTGCCAAACTGCTCCCAAATGAAGTTATACCAAGTTATAACCAAGTTGAAGTTATACTAAGTAATTGCAGAAATTACTTTTGCACCAACCAACTATAAATTGCCATTAAAAGTAAGGCAAAAAAGTGGTCGGGGACAGTGGCTCACACCTGTAATCCCAGCACTCCATGAGGCCGAGGCGGGTGGATCACCTGAGGTCAGGAATTCGAGACCAGCCTGGCCAACGTGGTGAAATCCTGTCTCTACTAAAAATACAAAAATTAGCCAGCCTTGGTTGTAGTGCCTGTAATCCCAGCTACTGGGGAGACTGAGGCAGGAGGATCTCTTGAACCCAGGAGGCAGAAGTTGCAGCGCCTGTAATCCCAGCTACTGGGGAGACTGAGGCAGGAGGATCTCTTGAACCCAGGAGGCAGAAGTTGCAGCGCCTGTAATCCCAGCTACTGGGGAGACTGAGGCAGGAGGATCTCTTGAACCCAGGATGCGGAGGTTGTAGTGAGCCGAAATCACACCACCGCACTCCAGCCTGGGTGACAGAGCAAGACTCCATCTCAAAAATAAAAAATAAAAAAATAAAAATAAAAATAAAGTAAGGCAGAAACTACAATTACTTTTGCACCAATCTAATACTTCTCCAACAATAGGAGATGGAAAAGTACAAGAGCAACTGCTGTTAACAATAACCACCCCCCTGGCCGGGCACGGTGGCTTACCCCTGTAATCCCAGCACTTTGGGAGGCCGAGGCTGGTGGATCACAAGGTCACGAGACCGAGACCATCCTGGCCAACATGGTGAAACCCTGTCTCTATTAAAAGTATAAAAATTAGCCGGGCGTGGTGGCGGGCGCCTGTAGTCCCAGCTACTCGGGTGGTTGAGGCGGGAGAATCGCTTGAACCCGGGAGGCGGAGGTTGCAGTGAGCTGAGATCATGCCTTGCACTCCAGCCTGGGCAACAGAGCGAGACGCCATCTCAAAACAAAACAAAACAATAACCACCCCGATAAGAATAACAGCTAAGATTTTCTGAGCATGTACTGTGTGCCAGGCTAGAATAAACACGTGCCTATCTATCAACCTTTTACTCCTATGAGAGAGGTGCCCCGCTTCTTCCCCATTTCACAGAAGATTGCTGGGTAGAGGATTATAAAAAGCACTGTGGGTGCAGGGAGTCAGACATGCCAAGTTATGATTACCAAAATCCTGGAAATCTTTCCTTATACACATTTTCTATTTTTCCTGTGTCCTCAGGTAGCTAAAAATGAAGCATAGAGTGGCCCGTTCATCTTTCATCTTCCCCCTCTCTCGGGATTGCTTTGCTTTGCTTTACTATTTTGGCTCCTGAGACAAGAAGCTACATTCCAATAAAGCTTTCTTAATGGACACTGAAATGGGAATTTCATATCTTTTTATGCATCATAAAATATTCTTCTTTTGATTGTTTCTCAACCATTTAACCCAAATGAAGTGTTTTACCTTTGTGTATGTGTGTGTATGTGTGTGTGCACTACACACAAACTGAACACTGCGCCCCTCCCTTTCAAAGATCTTCAACCACCTCTGCACCCCTCCCCCTAACGGGCACCAGCTTAACTTTCCTTCCATTGTGAAAAGAAAATTCCATGAATGCAAAAGCTGAGACTTGTGAATTTCTTTTTTCTCCTCAAGGTGCTTACCTAAGGTGAGCTTTACGATTGAAATGCAAAGAGTCATCAAACACATCTCAGTCGCATTAGAGGAGATAAGCAGTTATCAGATGGTTTGACTGATTGGATGCCTAAGTACTAGGGGAAGGAAACCACTTTCAATATTGCACATTGCGGGGCTTATAACAAACTGTGTCTGGCCTGGCAGTTATCCTTGCTAACTTTTACTTTGGGTGTATTAATTTTTTATTTTTCTACCAGTAGCAGCCAACACAGGTTTTCGTTTTACAAATTAAAGGGCCGGAAAATCTTTCCACTTTGTTCCTGCCAAGGGAATCCCAGATCACTCCAGGTAATCCCCACAGTAATCAGAGTGGTCTGTTTTCTAAAATGAGGGTATGGGACAATATAAGGTTGTTTGTAGGTTTGCTTCCAAGATGCAAGCTTCCATTTCCAGAAATTCCAAAGAATTGAAAGCCATCGGTGAAAACTCCTGTAGACTTAGAGAGAAAAAAAAATCAAATCCCAACTGGTCCCAATGCATACAAATCATTTTTAATCAGTTTTTACTTTCTTTCTGAATAAAGACATTCTCAGAATTTGAAAAAGTGAGACCAAGGCAAGAGGATTGCTTGAGACCAGGAGTTCAAGACCAGCCTGGTCAACATAGCCTGATGCTCACTACAAAAAAAAAAAAAAAAAATTTTTTTTAAAGTCCATTCACTGGACAAGTTGTAATGTTCGCTATAATCATATAATCATAAAAATGACAAGGATTTAAAAGCCAGATTTCAATTTGTTGAGAAAGAGTTTAACAGGCCATGGGGGTGGAGGAGGCTGGAGAGGTTTCCTTCCAGTCTGTGCAGGGTAACTTGAAGGAAAATCCTGACTCCAATTATAAAGCAAGGACAAATCCTCGAATCCTTTCAATATATCCATCTTCCCTGGCCAAATTGTATTCTTTCTCCTTCCCTCCACCCCCTTTTGCATTTCCATCAACAATACGGCTATCGGCTGAGCCCCTTGGTCAGCAAATAAAGGCAGAGGGCGAAGTAAATTTGCTTCCCAGCAATTATTTTTGTGAGGTCATGGAGTGAAGCGTTAAAAGAATACTACCGTGGAGGGGAGTATTCAGTAACTGTATGATCTGTGCTGCAAAACTGACAAAAGAACTCAGCCAGTCTTTTACTTTCAGACCCACAGAAATCATTGACCACGGGGTCTTTGTTCCCTAAATTCATCTAAGAGGAATCTTTCACATGAACGCCCCTGCATGGAAGCTAATCCCCTCCGCCCTCGGCTTCCCGAAGAAAGTCCATTTGGTCATTTGCTCTGTGTCTACACCTGCAAATTATCAGGATAATTTTGATCTTAAGAAAATAAAAGAACAAATGGGTAGGGGGAGGGAAGGAAAGAAAAAATCCAGTAAGGTCTTTAGTATCTAGAGCAGGAATTAGCAAAGTCTTTCTGTAAAAGGGCAGGTGGTGAATATTTTCAGCTTTGCGGACCCTGTGGCTTCTGTGGCTGGACCACTCAACAACACGAAAGCAGCCCTGGGCAATACTTTTATATAAATTATGGTGGTGACTGTTCCAAAGAAGTTTTCTTTGTGGACACTGAAATTTGAATTTTATATAATTTTCATGTGTCATAAAATATTCTTCTTTTAATTGTTTCTTTTTTTTTTTTTTGAGACCGAGTCTCACCCCATCACCCTGGCTGGAGTGCAGTGGTGCGATCTTAGCTCACTGCAACCTCCGCCTCCCGGGTTCAAACAATTCTCCTGCCTCAGCCTCCTGAGTAGTTGGGACTACAGTGTGCACCACCATGCCCGGCTAATTTTTGTTATTTTTAGTAGAGATGGGTTTTCGCCATGTTGGCCAGGCTGGTCTCGCTCGAACCCCTGACCTCAGGTGATCCGCCTGCCTTGGCCTCCCAAAGTTCTGGGATTACAGGCATGAGCCACCTCATCTGGCCTTCTTTTGATTGTTTCTCATCCAATTAAAGAAATATATAAAAGCCATTCTGTTCACGGGCAGGCTTGGCCGGGACTGTGTCTTACAGAGCCTTGATCTAGAACAATCTAGCCTTAGAAATGCCTTTTGGTCTGAGTGTTGTGAATCCCGTTGAATGAGTCTCACAGGGAAGTGTGGGCACTTGAAAACCCAGCTGGGCAATGATTTCTGGATTTTAATATCCTATTCAAAATATTAGGAGGAATTCCAGGAATTCAAGCCAGGAAACTAGACACCATGCCACATACACTGAAGAGTCCTTATCAGGCTTTTAATTGCAAATTAACCCATCCAGATCCTGAGGAATTTAGCATTCTGGTCATACAGAGAAAACTGTCACCCCAGTGCCTTCCTGTAAACCATGTTTCTCAGCCTTAGTACTGCTGACATTTTGGGCCAAATACTTCTCTAGCGTGAAGCTGTCCTGTGTATTGTAGCATGTATAGCAGCATCCCTGGCCTCTACCCACTAGATGTCAGGTCCATCTTCCAAGCTGTGATAACTAGAAAGGTTTCCAGACATTGCCAAATGCCCCTTGGGAGGCAAAATCTTCTCCAGTTGAGAACCACTGATCTCAATCAGCTCCGTTAATGGAACTTTCTGTGACAATTGAAATGTTCTATATGGGAACTCTCCACTAGCCATTTGTCACATGTAGGTACTGAGCACTGGAAATATACTAGCATGCCTGGGGAGCTGGGTTTTTAACTTTATTTAACTTTCACTACTTTAAAGTTAAATTTAAATTGCCACATGTGGCTAGTGGCTACCATATTGGACAATGCTGCTCTAAGTCATGACCAAACCCACTACCACACAAAGAAGGGTGTGAGAAGAAGCACAGCCTTGTGTTAAGTACAAGGGCTTGGGAGTCAGACACCAAATTCTGTTATTCATTCGTTTATTCAGTCAACACATACTTATTGAGCATCTACTATGTGCCTGGCACTGTCCTGGGGATATATAGATGAACAGGAGCAATAAAGTCCCTGTTTTTATGAGGCTTTCATTTCTAGTGATGAGAACAAACCAAAATATAAATTGAAATAAAGTAATTGCAAGTCATGATCAGGGTTATCTGCCACAGAACAAGAGGGTTGGAAGAGTTCCTCCTTTAGAACAGACATTCAGGAAATGCCTCTCCAAAGCCTAGTGGACAGCTTAGATTTAAATATGTAGCTTAAAATGGCAATGTGAATTGCCTCACGAGGTCCACAATGCCTGCTCTTAATACATTTTGAGCTGAGCACAGTGTCTCACCCCTGTAGTCCCAGCAATTCAGGCGGCCAAGGCAGGAGGATCGCTTGAGCCCAAGAGTTTCAGACCATCTTGGGCAACACAGTGAGACCCCCAGCTCTAAAAATCAATAAACAGATAAAAGCCATGGCTGCAGCGTGTGGCTTCCTGACCCACTTGTTCCTTGAGAGCCCACAGCGGTGAGGCAGGATCAGGAGCAGGCAGACCACCGCTTCGCAGTACCTGTAACTGCATCTTCCTCAAAAAGCCCACCAATCTTCACAATGATTTTTACATCTACTGCAAAAATTTTACATTGTTACAGACAAGGGAAACTGAGGCACATAAGCTGGTTCAACATTGCACAGCTAGAATAGAGCTCAGATTAGAACCCAGGCAGCCAAATGGAAACTGGATCTACTATTATATTAACTATAGTGACTTATTTGAGTTTTCCAGAGCGCTCTGGAACCAAAAGCATGTTAGAATTGGTTTTTGTTGGGGTTTTTTTTTTTTTTTTTTTTTTTTGAGACAGATGCTCAGTCTGTCACCCAGGCTGGAGTGCAGTGGCGCGATCTCGGCTCACTGCAACTTCCACCTGCTGGGTTCCAGCAATTGTCCTGCCTCAGCCTCCCGAGTAGCTGGGACTACAGGCGTGTGCCACTATGCCCAGCTAATTTTTTGTATTTTTAGTAGAGACGGGGTTTCACCATGCTGGCCAGGCTGGTCTCAAACTCCTGACCTCATGATCCACCCAACTCAGCCTCCCAAAGTGCTGGGATTACAGGTGTGAGCCACCGCATCCAGCAGATTCTTTTTTTTTTTTTTCCCTTGAGACCGAGTTTCACTCTTGTTGCCCAGACTGGAGTGCGGTGGCGTGATCTCGACTCACCGCAACCTCTGCCTCCTGGCCTCCGCCTCCTGGGTTCAAGCAATTCTCCTGCCTCAGCCTTCCTGAGTAGCTGGGATTACAGGCATGCCTCACCACGCCCGGCTAATTTTGTATTTTTAGTAGAGACAGGGTTTCTCCATGTTGGTCAGGCTGGTCTCGAACTCCTGACCTCAGATGATCCGCCCGCCTCGGCCTCCCAAAGTGCTTGGATTACAGGCGTGAGCCACCGCGCCTGGCCCAGAATGGGTTTTTAAACAGCGAAACCAGCCAGGTGTGATGGCTCACGCCTGTAATCCTAGCACTTTGGGAGGCCAAAGCAGGCAGATTACTTGAGGTCAGGAGTTCAAAACCAGCCTGGCCAACATGGTGAAACTCCGTATCTACTAAAAATACAAAACTTAGCCAGGCGTGGTGGCGTACACCTGTAATTCCTAGTCACTCAGGAGGCTGAGGCATGAGAATGGCAGAATGACTTGAACCCGGGAAGCGGAGATTGCAGTGAGCCAAGATCATGCCACTGCACTCCAGCCTGTGCGACAGAGTGAAACTGTGTCTCAAAAATAAAAGAGTAAACAGCCATGTCTTAGGAACAAGAGAGAGGGAAATAATAAGATGGGCTCTCCTGTACGGAGGAAGAAGGACTTCTGCATTCTTCAACTCTTGGCTGAAATATCCTAGCCACAGAGAATCCCTCAATAATCAGTTGTGACTCATCTTGGGGGTGTGAAATCTCTGTCTCCCAAATGCTATGGAAAACACTCCCTTTCATTCATGATTCTTGGTGAAATCTGGGATTCTGGATCAGTTAGGAGACTCTCAGCTGCAAATCAGGAAAAATTTCGACTCTAACATTTCTCCAGCAATACTCGCACGGTTTTTCATCAGAATGAGGCTGGCTTTTCCAAATGCACTTATGCAATAATGGTCTTCAAAAGACAGTGATCCTCATTAATTGAGGCCTGCATATTTTCAAATTCACCTACTCACTGAAATTTATTTGTAACCCCCAAATTAGTGCTCCTGGTGCTCTTAAGGTCGTTTGCAGATGTGCACAGAGCAGTGCCCAACATGGACAAGAAAACACGCTACCTTCTAATTGCAGCTCTCATTCTATAAACAAGTGCCTTTTCTGGGTGTATTTATTTATTATTTTATTTTTATTTATTTTTTGAGACGAAGTCTTGCTGTGTCACCCAGGCTGGAGTGCAGTGGCGCGATCTCAGCTCACTGCAACTTCCGCCTCCTGGGTTCATCGTATTCTCCTGCCTTAGCTTCCTGAGTAGCTGGGACCACAGGCGCACGCCACCATGCCGGGCTAATTTTTGTATTTTTAATGGAGGCGGCATTTCACCATGTTGGCCAGGCTGGTCTCAAACTCCTGACCTCAAGTGATCTGCCTGCCTCAGCCTCCCAAAGTGCTGGGATTACAGGTGCGAGCCCCCGCACCTGGCCCACATTTTCTTTATCCATTAATCCAGTGGGCATTTTGGTTGCTTCTACATCTTGACTATTGTCAATAGTGCCGCAATGAACATGTTGCAAATCTCTCTCTGAGATCTTGTTTTCAATTCTTTTGGATATATACCCAGAAGTGGGATTGCCGAATCAGGTGATAGTTTTTTATGGTCATTAATTAATTTAATAATTAATTATTTTGAGATGAAGTTTTGCTCTGTCGCCCAAGCTGGGGTTGCAGTGGTGCGATCTCAGCTCACTGTAAACTCCCGGGTTCAAACAATTCTCCTGCCTCAGTCTCCAGAGTAGCTGGGATTACAGGCGCGCACCACCATTTCTGGCTAATTTTTGTATTTTTAGTAGATACGGGGTTTCACCATGTTGTCCAGGCTCAAACTCCTGACCTCAGGTGATCTGCCCGTCTCAGTGTCCCAAAGTGTTGAGATTACAGGTGTGAGCCACTGCGCCCAGCCATTTATTTTAAATTTTTTGAGGAACCACTATACTGTTTTCCATGGTGGCTACACCATTTTTCACTCCCACCAACAGTATCTAAGGGTACCAATTTCTTGCCAATATTTGTTTTCTGTTTTTGTGTTGTTTTGTTGTTTTGTTTTGTTTTTTGAGACAGAGTTTCGCTCTTGTTGCCCAGGCCGGAGTGCAGTGGCAGGATCTCGGCTCACTGCAACCTCTGCCTCCCAGGCTCAAGCAATTCTACCTGCTTCAGCCTCCTGAGTACCTGGGATTACAGGCACCCACCACCATGCCCAGCTAATTTTTGTATTTTTAGTGGAGACGGGGTTTCACCATGTTGGCCAGGCTGGTCTTGAACTCCTGACCTCCAGTGATCCGCCTTCCTTGGCCTCCCAAAGTGCTGGGATTATAGCCATGAGCCACTCCGCCCCGCCCCAGTATATTTCCTTCTAGAAGTTTTATAATCTCAGGTCTTATGTTTAGGTTTTTAATCTTTTTTACAATTATTATTTTTGTAGACATGTGGTCTTGCTGTGTTGCTCAGACTGGCCTCAAACTCCTGGCCTCAAGCAATCCTCCTGCCTGGGTCTCCCACAGTGAGGGGATTACAGGCGTGAGACACCACACAAAGCCCTGGTTCCTAATCCATTTTGAATTAATTTCTGTATATGGCACAAGAAGAAAAGGGTATGTCTTTAGTTCTTTTTGTGTAGATATCCAATTTTCCCAACACCATTTGTTGAAGAGACAATCCTTTTCCCCTTGTGTAGTTTTGGCACCCTTGTCAAAGATCATTGGCCCATATACCTGAAGGTTTATTTCTGGGCTCTCTATTCTGTGCCAGTGATCTACTTCTTCCCTTTTTACAGCTGAATAATATTCCGTTGTATAGGTAGAGCATATTTTGTTTATCAGTTCATCAGTCAATGGACATTTACGTTATTTCTACTTTTTGGAGTTTAGGAATAATGCTGCTATAAACATTTGTATACACATTTCTGTGTAGAGGGCCAGGCACAGTGGCTCCCAGCACTTTGGGAGGCCAAGGTGGGTAGACCTCTTGAGGCCAGGAGTCTCAGACCAGCCAGGCCAACATGGTGAAACCCCATGTCCACTAAAAATGCAAAAAAAAAAAAAAAAAAAAAAAAAAATTAGCCGTGTATGGTGGCACATGCCTGTAATCCCAGCTATTTGGGAGGCTGGGGCACGAGAATTGTGTGAACCCTGGAGGAAGAGGCTGCAGTGAACCAAGATCACACCACTGTTTTTCAGCCTGAGCAACAGAGCAAGACCCTGTCTAAAAAAAAAAACAAAACAAACAAACAAACAAAAAAAAACAGTTTCTTTGTAGACATATGTTTTTAATTCTCTCAAATATATACCTGGGAGTAGAACTTCTGGATCAAATGAAAATTATGTTTAATATTTTAAGAAACTACCAGATTTTTCAAAAGCAGCTGTACCACTTATACTCCCACCAACAATGTATGAGAGTTCCAATTTCTCTCCATCTTTGCCAACACTTGTTACTCTCCATATTTTTTATTATAGCCACCCTACAGGGTCTCAGGTGGCATCACATTGCAGTTATGATTTGCATTTCGCTAATGACTAATGATCCTCAGCATCTTTTCATGTACATTTTGGCCATTTGTATATGTACTTTGGGGAAATGTCTATTCCATTTTTTCCCCCGTGTTTTAATTGGATTTTTTGTCTTAAAAACAATGAATACAATTGTCAAGTGGTGAGAGTTGTTTTCATATTTTGGATACTTATCAGATATGTGACTTGTAAATACTTCATGGAAAAGTGTTAATCAAGGCAGTGAAATAATTGATCAGATTAGTGGCTTAGAAAAATGAATTGTACAGGCCGGGCATGGTGGCTCACACTTGGAATCCCTGCACTTTGGGAGGCCAAGGCGGGCGGACCAGAAGGTCAGGAGATCAAGACCATCCTGGCCAACATGGTGAAACCCCATCGCTACTAAAAATACAAAAATTAGCCGAGCATGGTGGTGCACACCTGTGGTACCAGCTACTCAGGAGGCTGAGGCAGGAGAATTGCTTGAACCCGGGAGGCGGAGGTTGCAGTGAGCTGAGATCGCGCCACTGCACTGCAGCCTGGGTGACGGAGTGAGACTCCATCTCAAAAAAAAAAGAAAAAAAGAAAAATGAATTGTACGGGTTTATTCATCATTTGCTGTTTCGCAAGAGATAAAGATGATAATGGTATCCATGGATGTTTTTGTATGTTCAGCTCATCAAATAGGAATGGTGCAGTTTTAAAGACGATCAGTGGTGGCCAGAATAATGATACATTTATAAATTACCACTATTTTAAGCATGTCACACATTTTAAACTTGTTTAATCTTTCTATAATTACACTTTTTTTTTTTTTCCCGAAGACAGAGTCTTGCTCTGTCACCCAGGATTGCGTACAGCAGTGCAATCTCAGCTCACTGCAACCTCTGCCTCCTAGGTTCAAGCAATTCTTCTGCCTCAGGCTCCCAAGTAGCTGGAATCACAGACATGCACCACCAGCCCGGCTAATTTTTGTATTTTTAGTAGAGATGGGGTTTCTCCATGTTGGCCATGCTAGTCTCAAACTCCTGGCCTCGCGTGATCCATCCATCTTGGCCTCTCAAAGTGCTGGAATTACAGGCATGAGCCACTGCACCCAGCCTGTAATTACTCTTAGCTATCCCATTTTAGAGATGCAGAAACTAAGGTATAGAGAATTTACATATCTTGTCCAAGGTACACAGCTAGTATGAACCGGAGCTCAATATTGAGCCCAGGCTCTGACTCCCGGGTCTGAGAACCTAAACACAGCACTACAGGGAGCCCAGGGTGCAGCTAGGCATCTGTCTTCTCATCTGACATCTCTATCTTAGTTTCTGACCCAAGGTAGACTCTCGGCCTCATCATTCTAAAATCACGTTATTTAATTAGTTGATTCCTAGAACCTTCTTCTGCTCAAAATTTCTGATGTCTTGGCCATATCTCTCTTAACTAGGCATTTACAGACAGCTTTACAAGTCGCAGTCAATCTCACTTACATCATCAAAAGGCAGCTTCACGTCGAATGACTTGGGGTACTGTTTTTGCAGTCATATGTTCCTAGGTTCATATCCCAGGTTTGCCACTTTCAGGCTGTGTGACCATGGGCAAGTCACTTAACCTCTCTGAGGCTCAAGAACCTCACCTGTGATGCTAATAACTGTTCACACTTTATAGGTTAGTCAAGTGACATAACACACATTCACAACACGTAGCTAAAAGTTTATACTTAATTAAATAACTGTCAATTATAATGAAAATAAATAGGCCAGGCATGGTGGCTCATGCCTGTAATCCCAGCACTTTGGGAGGCCGAGGTGGGCAAATCACAATGTCAGGAGTTCAAGACCAGCCTGGCCAACATGGTAAAACCCCGTCTCTACTAAAAATACAAAAATTAGCTAGGCATGATGGCACATGCCTGTAATCCCAGTTACTCAGGAGGCTGAGGCTGGAGAATTGCTTGAACCTGGGAGGCGGGGGTTTCAGTAAACCAAGATCCGCCACTGCACTCTAGCTTGGGTGACAGAGCAAGAATTCGTCTCAGAAAAAAAAAAAGAAGGGCCAGGCACGGTGGCTCACACCTGTAATCCCAGCACTTTGGGAGGCTGAGAAGGGTGGATTGCCTCAGCTCAGGAATTCCAGACCATCCTGGGCAACATGGTGAACCCTGTCTCTACTAAAATAGAAAAAAATTAGCCAGGTGTGGCAGTGTGCACCTGTAGTCCCAGCTACTCGGGAGGCTGAGGCAGGAGAATTGCTTGAACCCAGGAGGCGGAGGTTGCAGTGAACCGAGATCGCGCCATTGCACTCCAGCCTGGGCGACAGAGTGAGACTCCGTCTCAAAAAAAGGAAAAAGAAAATAAATACTAATTTAACAGTCCGGGCGGGATGGCTCATGCCTGTAATCCCAGCACTTTGGGAGGCCGAGGCGGGCGGATCACAAGGTCAGAAGTTCGAGACCAGCCTGACCAACATGGTGAAACCCTGAAACCCTGAAACCCTGTCTCTACTAAAAATACAAAAATTACCTGGGCGTGGTTGCATGCACCTATAATCCCAGCTACTCAAGGCAGGAGAATTGCTTGAACCCGGGAGGTGGAGATTGCAGTGAGGCAAGATTGCGCCACTGTACTCCAGCCTAGGTGGCAGAGTGAGACTCCGTCTCAAATAATAATAATTATTATTATAATAGTAATTTAACAATGCAGTGGCATATGTATTATCAGTTTCACTTTACTAATAAGGACATGTGGGGTCAGAAACAATGATTGATGGGCTCAAGATCACATTATTGCTAAGAACAGAACTTGAACCCTGACCCTCCAACACCAGGTTTTGTGGGTTTTTCCCCTACAATGCCTCCCCAGAGGACCTAGGAACAAAACATATACATTGCACATATAAATTATTTATTCGTTCAGAGGCTGGAAACAACATAAAATGTTGCATGATAAAATCTATAATTCCTACACTTTTTCAACTATGTCCACACAAGTGAAATATAAATATCTATTTTTCAAGTTAAATATAAATGATATTCAGTCAACAGGAACTATGAAAGCCAAATAGGGACTATGTGAAATGCTGATGTTAAAATTTAATAGCAATAGGCCAGGTGCAGTGGCTCACGCCTGTAATCCCAGCACTTTGGGAGGCTGAAGCAGGCAGATCACAAGGTCAGGAGATCGAGACCATCCTGGCTAACAAGGTGAAACCCCGTCTCTACTAAAAATACCAAAATTAGCCGGGCGTGGTGGCAGGCACCTGTAGTCCCAACTACTCGGGAAGCTAAGGCAGGAGAATGGTGTGAACCAGGGAGGCGGAGCTTGCAGTGAGCCGAGATTGCGCCACTGCACTCCAGCCTGGGCAATAGAGAGAGACTGTCTCAAAAAAAAAAAAAAATTAACAGCAATAAAGAAATAACCATCTAATAGTCAATTATAATATTTAATTGAATAAAGTCAGGAAGGGTCAATATATACCATGTCATATGTACTTTTCTTAAAAAAATAAAAAATAAAAAAGAGATCCCCAAATAAGAAGGATATAAAGTATAAAGGAAAGGGCCAGTCACCGTGGCTAATGTCTATAATCCCTGCACTTTGGGAGGCCAAGGTGAGTGGATCACTTCAGGTCAGGAGTTCGAGACCAGCCTGACCAGCATGGTGAAACCCCGTCTCTACTAAAAATACAAAATTAGCCGGGTGTGGTGATACATGCCTGTAATCCCAGCTACTGGGGAGGCTGAGGCAGGAGAATTGCTTGAACCTGGGAGGTGGAGGTCGCAGTGAGCTGAGATCGCACCATGGCACTCCAGCCTGGGCAACAAGATCAAAACTCCATCTCAAACAAAAACAAACAAACAAACAAAAAAGGATATAAAGGAAAGGATTAAATTATTTTCTTTATTCTTCAATTTACAGATTTCAAGATTAAACCTGAGATATTTGTCGCCATCACAAAGTCTGGTTTGTGGCGGTCGTTTTATTTTACTTGATTGAGAGGAACACTTATCATGAGATATACACTTTTAACAAATTTTGGGTTTTTTTTAAATGAAAAATAGAGGCAGGGTCTCACTATATTGCCGAGGCTGACCTCGAACTCCTGGGCTCAAGGAATCCTTCCGCCTTGGGCTCTTAAAGTGCTCGGATTACAGGTGTGACCCACCAAGGCT
The DNA here is from genome assembly GCF_000001405.40 of Homo sapiens. Taxonomy (NCBI): domain Eukaryota; kingdom Metazoa; phylum Chordata; class Mammalia; order Primates; family Hominidae; genus Homo; species Homo sapiens. The sequence continues at coordinate 51,877,807 of NC_000020.11, read as the reverse complement.
GGCCCTTCTTTTTTTTTTTTTTTTTTTTTTTTTTGAGACGGAGTTTCGCTCTTGTTGCCCAGGCTGGAGTGTAGTGGCGCGATCTCGGCTCACTACAACCTCCACCTCCTGGGTTCAAGCGATTCTCCTGCCTCAGCTTCCCGAGTAGCTGGGATTACAGGCATGCGCCACCACGCCTGGCTAATTTTTTTGTATTTTTAGTAGAGACGGGGTTTCTCCATGTTGGTTAGGCTGGTCTCGAACTCCTGACCTCAGGTGATGCGCCCGCCTTGGCCTCCCAAAGTGCTGGGATTACAGCCATGAGCCACTGCTCCCAGCCATACAAGGCTGGCCCTCTTAACAAATTTTTCAGTGTATAATCCACTGTCGTTGACTCTAGGTTAAATGTCATACAGCAGATCTCTAGAACTTATTCCTGTTGCTTAACTGAAACCTTATGCCCATTGATTATTGGCTGATTGGTAATTCCCTATTGCCCTCTCCCACAACCCCCTGGCAACCACCATTCCACACTTTGATTCTATGAATCTGGCTCTTTTAGATCCCTTATATAAGTGGCAGTATTTTTTTCTCAATGAAGTAGTATATCATTCTGGGGCTTAGGACACCCTCAGTCTTAATTGAAGTCTATTTCAGAAAGGATATGAACTTATGAGTAAAACATCACAGTATCAAGAAACTCCTCTTCTTGCAGAGAAGCAAAAGTGGTTTTTTTTGTTGTTGTTGTTGTTATGTTATTGTTTTTCCCCAGAACCATAACTGTTAAATTCCTCACCAGTAAGGAGAGAAATGTGAACACTTTCTAGAGCCACACCTTCAGTCCAAACTCAACGGAAACTCTAATTAATTTCAGGCAGGCTGGCCAGAGTTTCTCAGAGGTGAACAGCTTGGCAAGAAGAATCCTGGGCTGAACTTTACTTAATAAGGTTGAATTCAGATTGTGGTCGAAGCAGCTTGGGCGTGTAAATTGCAGGAAGTGCCCGAGAACTAAAGATGCTCCCTCTGAAGCGCTTGTGTCAGGAAGGGGTGGCATCAAGGATTATAAATTACCCTGTGGCTTTTCAGGGGTTTATGAGCTCCCAGGCCTCCTCCACAATAGGATGCAGGATGACTCTTAACACCTCATTAAGGATGTTTTTTACCAAATGCTGATAATAAAAAACAGCCCTAAAAGCCGGGCTCATTTTTATTCAGAATCCTCTCCTGTGAAATATAAAAAGATGTCATAAAATGTAAATACAATGGAGAGTCCCCATCTCGGGTGGACTCATTACAACGTTCATGTGGACAGATCCTGGGGAAGTCAAGGCTGGGTCCCTGCCATGGAAACTGCCTTTTTCTCCTGGCAAAGGTGCCTTCAGTTTCTGGAGAAAGGAAACGCCTGTGAGATTCATAATCCTTGCCTTGTTTCATCACCAACTGAAATCTTTTTTTGAGCTTTTCATTTCTGATCACATTACAACTTTGTCACTGGGGCCTTTCATGGCTAACCCTGAAACCCTTTTATTTATAGAATAGTGTAAAACTCGTTTTTGTTTGTTTGAGACAGAGTCTCACTCTGTCGCCAGGCTGGAGTGCAGTGGCATGAGCTTAGCTCACTGCAGCCTCCGCCTCCCAGGTTCAAGCGATTCTCCTGCCTCAGCCTCCGAAGTAGCTGGACTACAGGCGCCCGCCACCACGCCCAGCTAATTTTTGTATTTTTAGTAGAGATGGGGTTTCACCATGTTGGCCTGGATGGTCTCGGTCTCTTGACCTCATGATCCACCCTCCTCGGCCTCCCAAAGTGCTGGGATTACAGGTGTGAGCCACCACGCCCGGCCCATTTTATTTTTTTAGAAAGGGGCTGCCTGGGTGCAGTGGCTCATGCCTGTAATCTCAGCACTTTGTGAGGCTGAGGTGGCAGAGATAGCTTAAGCCCAGGAATTTGAACCCAGCCAGGGCAACATAGTGAGACCCTGTCTGTACAAAAAATTAAAAAATTAGCTGGGTGTGGTGTCACACGTATATAGTCCCAGCTACTTGGGAGCCTGAGGCGGGAGGATCACTTGAACCCAGGAGGTTGAGCCATGATCGCACCACTGCACTCCAGCCTGAGTGACAAAGGGAGACCCTGCCTACAAAAGAAAAAAGGTAAGCGAGAGCAAGTGCTGAAAAAGGGGATATATTTATAAAACCTGGAACAGTGAAAAAAGTTACTACATGTGGGCCGGGCACGGTGGCTCATGCCTGTAATCCCAGCACTTTAGGAGGCCAAGGCGGGCAGATCATGAGGTCAGGAGACTGAGACCATCCTGGCTAACACGGTGAAACCCTGTCTCTACTAAAAAAATACAAAAAAATTAGCTGGACATGGTGGTGGGCACCTGTAGTCCCAGCTACTTGGGAGGCGGAGGTAGGAGAATGGCATGAACCTGGGAGGAAGAGGTTGCAGTGAGCTGAGATTGCACTCCAGCCTGGGAGACAGAGTTGAGACTCTGTCTAAAAAAAAAAAAAAAAAGTTGCTACATGATGTAAGCCCTGGAAATTATTCTTGTTTCCAGAGATTCTGGTATGAGGCAATGTAATTCTAAGTTAAACTTGGACCACCCTGAATGGAAAACCTCAGTCACTGGCCAAGCTGTATGACTCTGGCATGAGACCTCTTCTCTCTGTCTCTTTTTTTTTTTTTTTTTTTTGAGACGGAGTCTTACTCTATCACCCAGGCTGGAGTGCAGTGGCACGATCTCGGCTCACCGCAAGCTCCGCCTCCCGGATTCACACCATTCTCCTGCCTCAGCCTCCGGAGTAGCTGGGACTACAGGTGCCCACCACCATGCCCAGCTAACTTTTTTGTATTTTTAGTAGAGAAGGGATTTCACCATGTTAACCAGGATGGTCTTGGTCTCCTGACCTCGTGATCCACCCGTCTTGGCCTCCCGAAGTGCTGGGATTACAGGCGTGAGCCACCGCCCCCAGCCCTCTCTGTCTCTTACTCTGTAAAATAAGACTGTGGGGAGTGGTACCTGCCTCTGGGGTCTACTCCAAGAATCAAATGAGATGATGCTGGCAATATACTTGGTGTGTTCATTGACAGAAAGCCCTCAATAAATGGTATTAATACTTAGTATTCATTCATTCATTCAACAAATATTTACTGGGCACCTATTTGTGCCCAGCACTGTTCTAGCATCACACAACAAGTTCATACCCTCTTGAACTGACCTTTCAGTAATCCTTCTCCAGGGCATAGGAAGGTAAAAGCAAGTGGGATCTAATCACTGCTCTACCCCTTGCTAGGCATGTGAGCCCCTCAAACTCTGGAGTGAAGGGTTCCCCAGGAGTTGCCACCCTTTTCTTGATTTAGACAAGAGTTTCTCAACCTCAGAGCTATTGGCATTTGGGGCCATGTAATTTCTTTTACTGGGGTAGAGGGAGGCCGTTCTGTGCAGTGTAGAATGTGGAGCAGCATCCCTGGCCTCTATTCACTAGATGCCAGCAGCAACCCCATCCCAGGTTGTGATGATCAAAAATGTGTCCAGATAGTGGCAAATGTGCATGGAGGGCAAACCCTCCCCTGCTTGAGAACCACTGGTCTAGATCAATCTCGCCAGCTCTCCACACCTCAGTTTCCTCATCTCTGGGCTGGGATAATAATCTTATCTATTTCGCAGATAATTGGACATGAGAAGTGGATGAAAACAGGCATTGCCTGGCACATAGTAATTCCTCAATAAAAGTGATCTGTTAGCCAATACTGAGGATTAGGGCAAAACTTTCTTGTGTCTATCTAATGAGAACTTTCCTGAAGCCAGTGTTTGGGGTATTTCCCTTTGGGTGCAGGTACTCTGAGCTCTGATATGCCCTGAATTTGGTGGGGAAATCTCACCCCATCCTATGCCTGGTGCTCCCAGGTGGCCAGACCAGCAGTACTGGGTTTGCATATAGCCACGGCCAATGTAGGTCTGTGAGTGATTTATGGACTTTCCTTCCAACTCGGCATTTGCCAGTGAAAGAGTCCAGATAGTTTTAGAAAATTAGACTTGACTTTTTAACGTGCAAATAAAGTTCAGCTGAAAGTCATTCTCCTACCCCGTTGGTTAACAATATAAGTATCTCCAATGACTCTTTTTGTGGGAAGCTTCTGGAACCCCAAAAATCCAAGGCAGATTAAGAAAGATGAAGGCCAGGTGCAGTGGCTCACACTGTAATCCCAGCACTTTGGGAGGCCAAGGCGGGTGGATCGCTTGAGTTCAGGAGTTTGAGACCAGCCTGGGCAATACGGCGAAATTCCGTCTCTACTAAAAATACAGGCTGGGCACGGTAGCTCACGCCTGTAATCCCAGCACTTTGGGAGGCTGAGGCGGGCAGATCACTTGAGGTCAGGAGTTTGAGACCAGCCTGGCCAACATGGTGAAACCCTATCTCTACTAAAAATACAAAAATTAGCCGGGTGTGGTGGCGGGCGCCTGGTAAGCTCAGGAGGCTAAGGCAGGAGGATCGCTTGAACCCAGGAGATGGAGGTTGCCGTGAACCAAGATTGTGCCACTGTACTCCTGGCCAATAGAGTGAGACTCCAACTCAAAAAAAATTACAAATAAAAATCCAAAAATTAGCCGAATGTGGTGGTGCACACCTGTAATCCCAGCTACTCTGGAGGCTAAGGCACAAGAATCGCTTGCACCCCGTAAGTGGAAGTTGCAGTGAGCCAAGATCGCACCACTGCCCTCCAGCCTGGGCAACAGAGCGAGACTCCATCTCAAAAAAAAAAAAAAAAAAAAGAAAGATAAGGAAGAATTAGAGGAGCAGTTCAGAGCATGAGCTATGGAGACACAGACACCATTTAAGGTGTGACCTTGGACAAGTCACTTTAGCTTTCTGAGCCTCGGTTTCTTCACCTGTCAAATGGGGATAATAATAACACCAAGCTCATTTGGTTGTTAAGATGAAACGAGACACGTCAGGTAAAGCACTGTCTTTGCCCAGCACCTGACACATTGCAGAGCCTCATAAATGGGAGCTAAATATGAACAAATGTTTTTGTCCTGTTGAGTCGCAGGCATTGCTTGCCCCCAAGGTACGGAGGAAATAGAGTGACCAGTTCATCCAGACTTGCTTGGGACTTTCCTGATCTCTTGTCCCAGGAAACCCTTTCATCTCAGACAAACAGGGACAGTTGGCCACCTGAAAGGATGACTTTGAAAGTGATTTTCGGCTGGGTGCAGTGGCTCACGCCTGTAATCCCAGCACTTTGAGAGGCCAATGTGGGCGGATCGTGAGGTCAAGAGATTGAGACCATCCTGGCCAATATGGTGAAACCCCATCTCTACTAAAAATACAAAAAATTAGCTGGGCATGGTGGCGGATGCCTGTAATCCCAGCTACTCGGGAGGCTGAGGCAGGAGAATCGCTTGAACCAGGGAGGTGGAGGTTGCAGTGAGCCAAGATCGCGCCACTGCACTCCAGCCTGGGTGACGGAGTGAGACTCTGTCTCAAAAAAAAAAAGAAAGTGATTTTCTGCTTCAGTGTCCTGGGCAGAGATGGCAGCAGGGTTAATCTGTGACTGGCTGGTGGTTTGGAAAAAGAGGCGAGTCCCTCTCCACATAGGCTGCTCCAAGAGAGAAGATGCTTTGTGAGTTTCCAGCGGAGGTTTACGAGCACTCTTCTTGAAGGTTTAATGGTCCTGGGTGATTTATCCTATCTGGAGAGTCATTGCTATAAGGAGAAACCTGCTCCCCAAGCTTCTGCTTTCCTTTACCACCAAACCTTTCATCTTCCCGAAGAATCAAGAGAATCGGCTCCAGCCCTCATAAATAACCTTATTACGGCCACACAAAGGCAGGGTCCCATCGGCCTGCAAGACTGGACTTCTCAAATAGTAGTTTCATAAACCAGTTTGACCAGAATGGGAGAATACTTAATAGGATCCACAGAGGGTGATTTAAATGGAGGAAAGACACAGCTGGAATTGGGTGCTGGGTCCCTGGAGTGATGAGCTTAGAATCACACACTAGGCACTCTCTGAAGTGCTGAAGTTACCCACTCGGTTACCTTTCCTGGATGTCTCTGAGTACTTAAAATACAAGAATGGCCCAAGGAATGGTGGCTCACACCTGTAATCCCAGCACTTTGGGAGGCTGGAGGCAGGAGGATCACTTGAGCCCAGGAGTTCCATACCAGCCTGGGCAACATAGTAAGATCCCATTTCTACAAAAAATAAAAAAAATTAGCTGAGTGTGGTGGCAGGTACCTGTAGTTCCAGCTACTTGGGAGACTGAGGTGGGAGGATCACTTGAGACCTGGAGGTCGAGGCTGAAGTGAGCTGTGATTGTGCCACTGTACTCCAACCTGGGCAACAGAGCAAGACCCTACCTCAATTTAAAAAACAAAAAAACAAAAAAACAAAAAAAACAAACAAGAATTCCTTCCCATGGTAAAAACCTTCTCACATGGTGGTGAACAAGAATAATATCTATATAAGGTTTTAATCCAGTACTGTCCATCAGAACTTTCCACATTGGTATAAATATTTTTAATCTGCATTATATAATACAATAGCAACTAGCCCAAAGTAACTGTTGGACCCTTGAAATAGTGGGCCCATGTGACTAAGGAACTGAATTTTTAATGTTATTTAATTTCAGTCAATTTAAATTTAAATAGCCACATATGGCTAGTGGCTACATATTGGACAGCATAGTTTTAAACTCATAAACAGATTTATAATAAAAGGTATTGTAAAGGCTGTACGTATAATTTCCTTTTCAGATCTCAAGAACATAAAGGAACCTTTATTTTTTATTTTTCTGCTTAGCTTTACCTTTAAAAATGTTTTTATTTCTAATTATTATGGATATGTAATCATTGTACATGTTTATGATAAAGGGAATTTTACCACCTATATCACAGTGGTGGCCCTATGTTCTTCTGATGTGTGCTGTTCACATCAGAGTTACCAACTGAGGCGGAGTTAGGTATGGTCCAGGTCACTGGAACCTTGTTTACTCTTTTCTTTTTGGACATGGTGGGTGTGGGGGTGGGGCACTTTACTTTATACCTGTGACAGTCCACAGAAAATTTGGATATTTAGGCTGGGCACAGTGGCTCACGCCTGTAATCCCAGCACTTTGGGAGGCCGAGGCAGGCGGATCACGAGGTCAGGAGATCGAGACCATCCTGGCTAACACAGTGAAACCCCGTCTCTACTAAAAATACAAAAAAAATTAGCCAGGTGTGGTGGCGGGCGCCTATAGTCCCAGCTACTCAGGAGGCTGAGGCAGGAGAAAGGCATGAATCCGGGACGCACAGCTTGCAGTGAGTCGAGATCGTGCCACTGCAGTCCAGCCTGGGCAACAGAGCAAGATTCTGTCTCAAAAAAAAAAAAGAAAATTTGGATATTGAGAATGAAGGAAATATCAGAAAGATTTTTGTAAAATAACATAAAAATGTTAAATCGCAGAACTAGTGAATTTTGTATTAAAGACTGAAGAAAATATCCAATTTAAAAGGTGCATAAAATTTAAAAGGAACAATTATATACCGCCCCCTACTACCCCTACCCTCCTTAACTCCACCACTGCACAGTTGCATCCCCACCTCCACACAGAAAACCACCCTTAAAAACTCTGAGAAAATTATTTCAGGCCTTCTTCTATACACACACATACACACACACATATAAAGCAATGCATGTATGTGTGTGTTTACATATAATTTTTTAAAATAAAAAAATTAATGATGCGTACTGATCTATATCTTGCTTAATTTTTAGATCAATTTTTTCTTTTTTTTGCGGGGGGGATGGAGTCTCACTCCGTCTCCCAGGCTGGAGTGCAGTAGCATGATCTCAGCTCACTGCAAATTCCGCCTCCCGGGTTCAGGTGATTCTCCTGCCTCAGCCTCCCAAGTAGCTGGGATTACAGGCGCCCACCAGTCCTGGCTAATTTTTTGTATTTTTAGTAGAGATGGGGTTTCACCGTGTTCACCAGGATGGTCTCGATCTCCTGACCTTGTGATCTGCCCACCTCAGCCTCCCAAAGTGCTGGGATTGCAGGCATGAGACACCGCGCCCAGCCAGTTTTTTCTGTTTCTTGAGACAGAGTCTCATTCTGTCATCCAAGCTGGAGTGCAGTGGCATGATCTTGCCTCACTGCAACCTTGACTTCCCAGGTTCCAGCAATTCTCCTGCCTCAGCCTCCCAAGTAGCCGGGACTGCAGGTGTGCACCACCACCCCCAGCTGATTTTTTTGTGTGCGTGTTTTTAGTAGAGATGGGGTTTTGCCATGTTGGCCAGGCTGGTCTCGAACTCCTGGCCTCAAGTGATTTCGCCCACCCAGGGCCTCCTAAAGTTCTGAGATTACAGGCATTAGCCACCATGCCTGGCCATTTTTATATGAATTTTATAAGCATATTAAATAATTTTTGTTGTAAAAATGTGAAGATCACACAGAACAAAGTATTCACATCCCACCCCTCCTTTTCCACTCCCCTTCTTAGAATCACGGTTTTAGATCTTTTTCTGTGCATTTGTTCCCATCTAAAAATACACAGCTTTATTTTTTGATAAATGCCCAATATATAAAGTGATGATTAACCTTATTAATGATTGAGACAATGCAAATTAAAACCGCAAGATTGGCAAAAATTAATAAATTTAAGGGCACCCAGTATTGATAAGGATATAGGACAAAAAGGAAACTCTTTTACACAGTTGGTGAAAAGTGTAGTTGGTACAACCACCTTAAAAAATAGCTTTGAAATATCAGATACAGCTGAAAACGCACATACCCTCTGACCAAGCAATTTCATTCATAGATAAATATCCTAAACATTTCTGGCATACATGTCCCAGGAGCCATGTACAACAATGCTCTTGGCAGCATTGTGAGTAACAGCAAAAATCTGGATACAACCTAAATGCCCCTTCCCAAGAAAATGGGTGACTAAATTATGTGATCATCATAGATTAGAACACAACTATGAAAATTAATAGTGGTCCTGGATGAATCTCAGGAACATAATATTAAAGCAAAGCCCCTAAGTACAAAAGAATGCATGGTGTTTCCAAAAAAGTGTGTGAGAACTAAAAGAATGATTGCTTAGTGATGTATACACCGGCAGGCATTCTATAAAGAAAAGCCAGCCGGGCACGGTGGCTCACGCCTATAATCCCAGCACTTTGGGAGGCTGAGGCGGGCAGATCATTTGAAGTCAGGAGCTCAAGGCCAGCATGACCAACATGGTGAAACCCCGTCTCTACTAAAAATACAAAAAATTAGCCAGGAGCGATGGTACATGCCTGTAATCCCAGCTACATGGAGGCTAAGGCAGGAGAATCGCTTGAACCTGGGAGGCAGAGGTTGTAGTGAGCTGAGATGGCACCACTGCACTCCAGCCTGGGTGTTAGAGTGAGACTCTGTCTGAAAAAAAAGAGCAAAGGGAAGGGTGGTTGTAGACACTGCCAAGGAGGGAAAAGACGGCAGTTCATGCAAGGCTCTGAAGACCAGAGTGGGTGCTCCAGATTTTGTCCTAAAGGTTGGGGGTGAGGGTAGGGGGAGTTTGAGCAGAGGTTTGTGGGACTCTGTGTTTTTTTTTCTTTTTTTTTTTTTGAGACAAGGTCTTGTTTTGTCATCCAGGCTGGAGTGCAGTGGTGCACTCATGGCTCACTGCAGCCTCAACTTCCTGGGCTCAAGCAATCCTCCCACCTCAGCCTCCCAAGTAGCTGGGACTACTGGTGTGTACCACCAAACCCAGCTAATTTTTGTATTTTTTATAGAGACAGAGTTTTGCCATGTTGCCCAGCCTAGTCTCAGTCTCAAATTCCTGGTCTCAAGTTATCTGCCTGCCTTGGCCTCCAAAAGTTCTGGAATTATAGTCATGCACCACCGCGCCTGGCCCCCAAATTACTTTTTAAGGTATGATTTACATGCAGTAAGACTTACAGTTCCTTTTTTTTTTCTTTTTTTTTGAGATGGAGTCTTGCTCTGTGGCCCAGGCTGCAGCGTGCAACCTCCGCCTCCCAGGTTCAAGCAATTCTCCTGCCTCAGCCTCCCAAGTAGCTGGGACTACAGGCACGTACCACCATGCCCAGCTAATTTTTGTAGTTTTTTTTTTTTTTTAGTAAAGACAGGGTTTCATCATGTTGGCCAGGCTGCTCTTGAACTCCTGACCTCAGGTGATCCACCTACCTCGGCCTCTCAAAGTGCTGGGATTACTGCCCAGCCAAGACTTACAGCTCTTAAGTGAGTTCAGTAACTTTGGACACCTGTAATCACCACCCAAAACAAGATAAAAATCATTTCCATCACTCCAGAAGGCTCCCTCATGCTCCTTTTCAATCAATCCAGTCAAACCCCTGACCATCCCACTGGCTAGAAGCCATATTTTAACATATCACCCTTGAATCATTTTTTTCTAGAACCTCTTATAAATGCATTCATAAAGTTTACCCAGCTTCTTTTGCTCAGAGGAATGTCTATAAGATTTATTGACGTTGCTGCTTGCGTCAGTAATTCATTTCTTGTATGCTGAATAGTAGTTTTTTGGTTTTTTTTTCTTTTTGAGACAGAGTCTTGCTCTGTCGCCCAGGCTGGAGTGCAGTGGCGTGATCTCGGCTCACTGCAAGCTCCGCCTCCTGGGTTCACGCCATTCTCCTGCCTCAGCCTCCCGAGTAGCTGGGACTACAAGCGCCCCGCCACCATGCCCGGCTAATTTTTGTATTTTTAGTAGAGACAGGGTTTCACTGTGTTAGCCAGGATGGTCTCGATCTCCTGACCTCGTGATCCGCCCACCTCGGCCCCCCAAAGTGCTGGGATTACAGGCGTGAGCCACCGTGCCCGGCTGCTGAGTAGTATTTCATTGTATAAACATACTATAATTTGTTCATCTGTTCTCCTGTTGGTACATTATGGCATTTCGTTATTATGGGTACGTTATGGAGTGAGTCTACACACCTAGGCTATATGGTATGGCCTATTGCTCCTAGGCTACAAACACGTACATGTTATTGCCTTGAATGATGTGGACAATTGTAACACAATGGTATTTGTGTATCTCAACATATCTTTATTTTTTTTTTGAGATGGAGTCTCGCTCTTTCACCCAGGCTGGAGTGCAGTGGTGGAATTTCGGCTCACTGCAATCTCTGTCTTCCAGGTTCAAGCAATTCTCCTGCCTCAGCCTCCCGAGCAGCTGGGATTACAGGCGTGCATCACCACACTCGGCTAATTTTTTTATTTTTAGTAGAGATGGGGTTTCATCAAGTTGGCCAGGCTAGTCTTGAACTCCTGGCCTCAGGTGACTCACCCACATCAGCCTCCCAAAGTGCTGGGATTACAGGTATGAGCCACCGTGCTCGGCCCTTCTTTTGGTTTTAATTGAATTTCCCCAATGGCTAATGAGCTGAGCATCTTTTCATGCTGAGTTTTTGGGCTTGTTTGTTTTCTGGAAACAGGGTTTTGCTCTGTTGCCCAGGCTGGAGTGCAGTGGCACAATCATGGCTCACTGCAGCCTCCATCTCCTGGGCTCAAGCAATCCTCCCACCTCAGCCTTCCAAAGTACTGGGATTGGCCGGGTGTGGTGGCTCACGCCTGTAATCCCAGCACTTTGGGAGGCCGAGGCAGGCAGATCACTTGAGGTCAGTAGTTCAAGACCAGCCTGGCCAACATGGTAAAACCTCGCTTCTACTAAACATACAAAAAAAAGAAAAAATTAGCTGGGCGTGGTGGCACGCGCCTGTAGTCTCAGCTACTCACGAGGCTGAGGCAGGAAAATTGCTTGAACCTGGGAGGTGGAGGTTGTAGTGAGCCGAGATTTCACCACTGCACTCCAGCCTGGGCGACAGAACAAGACTCAGTCTCAAAACAACAGCAACGACAACAACAAGTTCTGAGATTACAGACATGAGCCACCACACCCAACCCGGAGCTTCATTTTTTCATAGATTTTACATGAGCTGTTGGCAGAGACCAAACTAGAAGGATTCAAAAGAAGAATAGGGGATCTCCAGGCTAGCAGGGGAGGTGGGGAGCAGAGATTAGAATGGGGATATATTTTGACATTATAGCTGTTGAGAATTCCAAAAAAATTGGCTATGGGCTGTGAGACAAAGAAAAGAATCAGAAGGTGTTCAGTTTTTGCCCTGAAACAGCTGGGGGACCCTGGTGAGAAGAGAAGCAGGTGTGGAGGGGACAATCCACTTTACTCTGGCAAGATGAGTTGTCTCTTAGGCACTGAAATGGTGATGTTGAGAAAATAAATTGGCAAGTCTGGACCTCAGAAAAGTGGTCACAGATGGGGCCTTCTACCTGTGGGATGGACAAGGTCCCCAGAGCAGTGGATGTCTACCTTGGCTGGACTTTGGAATCACCTGGGGAGCTTTAAAATACTTATGCCCAGGTCCCAGCTACGGGGTTTCTGATATAATTGATCTGTGGGCATGGCTCAGGCATCAGAACTGTTAGAAGTTTCCCTGCTGATTCTCAAGTACAACCAGGGTTGAGATCCTGTTGTGGGAGCCAGTGTAGATAAAGGAGAGAAGTTTGAGGGAGTCCCAAGCACTCTCTGTGTTGCCCGCGGGTCTGCGGGAGCCAGTGTAGATAAAGGGGAGGATTTTGAGGGAGTCCCGGGAACTCCGTGTTGCCCGCGGCTCTGCTTTGCAGCGTTGGCTCCATCTGCTGCATCGTATTCACTGCAGCTCAGCTTCCCAAGCAGCTCAGGTCAAGCTCATCAGTATCCATGGATTGGCGAATTCATTGACTCCGGAGAGTCACCCAGTTGTTGAATCGCAAAGTTTGAACTGACTTTTTTTCTTTGAGACGGAGTCTCGCTCTGTAACCCAGGCTGGAGTGTAGTGGCCAGTCTTGGCTCACTGCAATCTCCGCCTCCCAGGTTCAAGTGATTCTCCTGCCTCAGCCTCCCGAGTAGCTGGGATTACAGGTATGTACCACCACACCCGGCTAACTTCTGTATTTTCAGTAGAGATGCCATGTTGGTCAAGCTGGTCTTGAACTCCTGACCTCAGGTGATCCGCCTGCCTCGCCTCCCAAAGTGCTGGGATTATAGGTGGGAGCCACCGTGCCTGGCCTGAACTCATTTTAAAGGTCATTGAGCCTCTACGATACCCCACCAGGACTCACCAGGATGCCTATGGGGGACGTCACTGTGGCTCAGTTGAAGGGGCTGCGTGAGGACAAGTCAGAGAAGAGCCTTCCAGGTAGAGCCTGGGTGGAGAGCTGGAGACACAAGAGACCATTTGGAGCAGGGCATCTGCTGGGGGTGCAGAGCAACTCAGAGGCCCCTCTGAATGTTCTTTTCTGGGATAAGCCCTGCAGGGGATATTTATGCTATTCCTGGAGACATCATGGCCTTTCTTAGAAAAGGAAGCCTTTTTGCTCTTTCAATTTCTATTCTGTGGGTTGGTTTCCTAGGGATATTGCTCCTGGTGAGAAGACCTGCTCATGGACCTCCCCCAAACCTGGCCAGGACCTGTTCATAGAATCTTCCGCCACCCAGATCTGAGCTTGGAGCCCAGACCAGTACCTTCAGAAGTTGTTCGCATTGCTTTGAAAGAATGTAATGTCAGAAATGCTTAGAGAAAGAGTATACTTTTCTCTCCAAATACAATTTCTATAATTAGGCAAGGCGCAGTGGCTCATGCCTGTAATCCCAGCACTTTGGGAGGCGGGCGGATCACTTAAGGTCATGAGTTCGAGACCGGCCTGGCCAACATGGCGAAACCCCATCTCTACTAAAAACACAAGAATTAGCTTGGCGTGGCGGTGGGTGCCTGTAATCCCAGCTACTTGGGAGTCAGGAGAACCACTTGAGCCCAGGAGGCGGAAGTTGCAGTGAGCCAAGATCACACCACTACACTCTACCCTGGGTGACAGAGTGAGACTCCATCTGAAAAAAAAAAAAAAATTCAATAAATAGACTCTCATCATGGATCCATTGTACTTACACAAATTCAGCTACATACATGCATTAAGAAAAAAGAAAAATGGGCCGTGCGCGGTGGCTCACTCCTGTAATCCCAGCACTTTGGGAGGCCGAGGCAGGTGGATCACGAGGTCAGGAGATCGAGACCATCCTGGCTAACACGGTGAAACCCCGTCTCTACTAAAAATACAAAAATTAGCCGGGCGTGGAGGCGGGTGCCTGTAGTCCCAGCTACTCGGGAGGCTGAGGCAGGAGAATGGGGTGAACCCGGGAGGTGGAGCTTGCAGTGAGCCGAGATCGCGCTACTGCACTCCAGCCTGGGCAACAGAGCAAGACTCTGTCTCAAAAAAAAAAGAAAAAGAAAAATGGTGGTGGTGGAGATGATAAAACACACAATCATTTGGAGAACTTTCACCTTTTCAGAATGTATTTGGTAATGCAGTTTGGTCCTCCCAATAACTCTATGGAAGTCATTTATTTTTTCCCCCATTTCACTGAGGTTCAGAGGTTTTTTTCATTTCTGAGTCCAAGGTCTCAGACCCAGAAACAGTGACGTTCAGAGGCAACCCCAGGTCTTCTGACACTTCTGCCCAGGGACCTACTTCCGTCTTGCCAGAAAACCAGAGCATTTGCAATTCAAGCAAAGCCTAAAGACTCTCAATGCACCAGCCTGTCCTTCTGCAGCCCGGGAGTCATGCTCCCAGCAGAAGAGGCAGTGAGAAAGCGAGGGGCTCAGAAATGTACCCACTGGATGGATCAAGGCCATAGGAGCGTATGAAAGAATTTGCTGGTTCTCCCTCCATGGCCATCCCCACTTTTGTGTAGTAATAGATGTGGACACATGGCCAACCAGAACAAAGAGCTCAGCTCCCCTGTGCGGTCTCGTGACTAAATCCTAGGCTATGGGGAGAGCATTCCAGTGATGTGAGAGGCCTCGGAGGCACATCCTTCTGGGGCGTGCCTTCCCTTCATTGTCTCCCCTTTCTGCTGGCTGGATGGGGATGTGGAGGAGAGGACCCTTGGACCATGGGGATGGGAGCAACGTGCCAGGCATGGCAGCGCAATAGAGGTGGGTTCTACCAAAGGAGCTGCTCTACCCATCCTGGACTGCTTCTATCTGGATGTTGGTACGTGAGAAAGACATGGATTACTTTCTTTCTTTTCTTTTTTTTTTTTTTTTTTTTGAGATGGAGTTTTGCTCTTGTTGCCCAGGCTGGAGTGCAATGGCGTGATCTCAGCTCACCACAACCTCTGCCTCCCGAGTTCAATCGATTCTCCTACCTCAGCCTCCAGCTAATTTTGTATTTTTAGTAGAGACGGGGTTTCTCCATGTTGGTCAGGGGTCAGGCTGGTCTCAAACTCCCGACCTCAGGTGATCCGCCCACCTCAGCCTCCCAAAGTGCTGGGATTACAGGCATGAGCCACCGCCCCTGGCCAGGCCAAGATTTTTTAAATGGCAGCTCCCTGGAGGCTGAGGAAAAAGGGAGAGGGGAGCCACAGCTCATACTTAAAATGGTTCTCGCAATCGTACTGTAGCCGAAGGGAATTCTGAGTCACTTTCTCTGGTCTGTTCCTGCAGCCCCCAGCCCTGCTGCACCAGCCTCAGAAGGGAAGGCTGGAATTCCTTTCTGGGAGGGCTTTCCTTTGCAAACCCTGTGAATCTGAGGAGCCCTGTTTTCTCTGTAAATAGAGCAAGTGTCCCCACTGTGACCTAGCAACATCCTCCCAATGCACATGGTGTCTGACGCAAAATGGAGGAGAAGGAGTTGGCAGAAAGAAGGGAAGAAAAGGTGGGAAGAAGCCTAGAGAAGAATATTTAGGTTTGAAGAGTGTGATTTACTGTTACCTTGAACCCAAATTATTTTGTTTGTTTGTTTGTTTGTTTGGGGCATTTGCCAAATGTGTAGTCTCACCGTGTAACTGACTGTGTGGATGAAGCCATGTTCATCCACTGAGCTCTGAGCCATCAGGAGCCCTGGGAGGTGAGTGCGTCTCACATATCATCTTAAATCACCAGGGCTAGACCAGAAACTAAACACTTCCCCAGGTTTTCTCTCACTATTTCCTTCAGGATCAGATGCTGCCTACAGCCAGAGACCTAATGCTGTCTTTCCAGCTAAACTGGGATCTCCATGAAGTCGGGATATATCTTATTTGTTTTTATAATCTCAACAATCTGGCATAGAGTACCAGGCAAAGAAGGAATGAATGAGTGAGTGTGTAGATAAATGGACAGATGGAGGGATAGATGGAGGGATGGATGGAAGGATGGGTGGGTGGGTGGGTGGATGCATAGATGGATGGATGGATGGATGGATAAATGTTGGAAGGAAGGAAAGAAAAGAAGGAAGAATGGACAGATAGGTGAATAAATGATAGAAGGAAGGAAGAAAGGAAGGGTGAAGGAATGGATGGATAGGTGGGTGGATGGATGGATAGATAGAGGGATGGTGAATACGTGGATGGACAGATGAATGCATGGATGATAGACAATAATAGTGAATAGTTTTGAGCTCTTATTATGTTCCAGGCAATTTACACAGATAATTTCATTTAATTTTCCTCCATGACTTTCAACATATGCAAAATAAACTTCAGGAAGGTGAAATCACGTACCTGAAATGGCACGAAAGTCGATTAGACTCCTGAGTGAGTGTTCTAAACTATTATACCCTAATGCTGAATAAATGAATGAATACATGAAGAAATGACTTATCTGTATATAAATTTTGCTCCAAGGATATACAAAAGCTAGGCCAGGCATGGCATGGTGGCTCATGCCTGTAATCCCAGCACTTTGGGAGGCCAAGGCAGGTGGATCACATGAAGTCAGGAGTTCGAGACCAGCCTGACCAACATGATGAAACCCTGTTTCTACTAAAAATACAAAATTAGCAGGGCGTGGTGGTGCATTCCTGTAATCCCAGCTACTTGGGAGGCTAAGACAGGAGAATCACTTGAACTCGGGAGGTGGAGGTTGCAGTGAGCCAAGATCATGCCATTGTACTCCAGCCTGGGCAACAGAGCAAGACTGTCTCCAAAAAAAAAAAAAAAAAAAGTTAATTCTGCTCACTTCTCTCTAAAGTGACAGGCCAAGGTTTAAGAAAATCTGTATATTTGGATTTTCTGCCAGTTATAAGTGAATATTATGTGGTGAAGTGGCACATTCACAGGGGAAGGACACTTCCAGAAGGCTAATTCTGAGAAGATTCTGGGCTTTTCCCACTCACCCAACCTGATAATTAATAGGAGCCAGGAAGAAGCCCCTGAATTTCTAAGTGCCGATTCCCGCTGTACCAGCACTCCAAACATCTGAAGGAAAAACAGTTTGTTAATTGCTGTCTAGACAGTTTATTGCGGCAATAAGATCAAAACCAAGAATCCTGAGGTTTGTGGTATGAATCATGCAGACTAAACAATTGTTTTATTGCATTTACAGAGAACTTGATTTATAACTGCACTGGGTAATAAAATTCCTTCATGGTTTATCCGAAATAATTTTGCTTCTTTTACACCACTCTGTGATAATCCCACCTCTCTGGGCTGTTAAAATGTGTTCTCTGTGACATCCAAACAGTTTCTTATCAGGTATCTTGCTGTCATCAAGTAACACATGAGGGCCAGGGTTCAATCCATCCTGGCAGAGCCCTGGTGGAGGGTGGTGGCCTGGCTGGGGTGGCCTTTGTAACCCTGCTGTCATGGCTGCATCTGCTCAAACCAACAGGCGAGTAAGAGTAGGCAGCTCCTGGGCTGGGCAGCCTGTCTGCTTTGTTGGCAAAGGCCTGGTGTGATGGCTTCCTCTTTACGCCACTGACTGGATTTTGGATGAATTGGACAAAGCTGGCCAGTTCTTTGGTGCCTCTGAGACCCCAGGACCAACATCTTTCTTGTGTGCAAACATACCTGTACACTGACAGCCTGTGGAATAGAGAAGGAAGGAACAAGCCCACATGCATACACGCATCACTTCCCTCCATCCCTGCAGCTGTCCAGGGAAATGGGGCTGCCCAACACAAAACATCGGGAAAAGCTCAGGAAGTCTAAGCTCAGGCTTGCTTAAGGCCAAATGTCAGGAAGTCTCAGTTCTTCAGGCTCCAAGTCCAGTGCTCTTTGGCACCAGAAGTGACTTAAAAGATCAGCATCAGATAAATTGCAGTATCTCTCCTAAACGAGATCTGCCTGTTTTGCTCTTCCCTTTTCACCCCTGCACTGGCTGCAGCAAACTCCATGATGAAGGGCAGCAAACTCCCAACCCCTGGAATCAAACGTGAAATTTAAAAATTGACATGAAGCTGGGCGCGGTGGCTCACGCCTGTAATCCCAGCACTTTGGGAGGCCGAGGCGGGCAGATCACCTAAGGTCGGGAGTTCGAGACCAGCCTGACCAACATGGAGAAACCCTGTCTCTACTAAAAATACAAAATTAGCTGGGCGTGGTGGCGCACGCCTGTAATCCCAGCTACTCGGGAGGCTGAGGCAGGAAAATCGCTTGAACCCGGGAGGCGGAGGTTGTGGTGAGCCGAGATTGCACCACTGCACTCCAGCCTGGGCAACAAGTGTGAAACTCTGTCTCAAAAAAAAGAAAAAAGAAAAAAAATTGACATGAAATTCACATAACATAAAATTAACCATTTTAAAGTGACCAATTCAGGAGCAGTTGGTATATTCACAGTATTGCGTTATCACCACCTCTGTCCAGCACCGAAACATTTTCATCACCCCAAGTGGAAACCGTGTAGCCAGTAGGCAGTCGCTCCCCAGTTCTACCCTAGCCCCCAGGACCTGGCAACCGCCAATCGGCATCTCGCCATGGCCTTACCTATTCTGGTTAAAGTGAACAGATTCAGATTCCTATTTCTTATCAACAAAATCAAATGTGGCTTTTTGTGTCTGGCTTCTTTTACTTACTGTAATGTTTTCAAGGCTCATCCACATTGTAGCACGTATCAGTATCTCATTCCATTTTATGGCTGAATAATTGTCTGTGGTACAACAGAACTTATACAGTACTTCATCTCATTTCTGCACTCACCAGTTGATGGACATTTGGGATATTTACACCTTTTGGCTATTGTGTATAGTGCTACTCTGAACACGTATGTACGTGTATTTGAATGCCTGTTTTCTTATTTTTTGTTTTTTTGTTTTGTTTTGTTTTGTTTTGTTTTGTTTTTTTGAGATGGAGTCTTGCTGTATCACCCAGGCTGGAGTGCAGTAGCATGATCTCGATCTCGGCTCACTATAACCACTGCCTCCTGGGTTCAAGTGATTCTCCTGCCTCAGCCTCCTGAGTAGCTGGGACTAGAGGTGCGTACCACCAAGCCAGGCTAATTTTTGTATTTTTAGTACAGACGGGGTTTCACCGTGTTCGCCAGGATGATCTCAATCTTCTGACCTCGTGATCCACCTGCCTTGACCTCCCAAAGTGCTGGGATTATAGGCATGAGCCACCGCGCCTGGCCTGTTTGTTTGTTTTTGAGATGGAGTCTCACTGTCGCACAGGCAAGAGTGCAGTGGAGCAATCTTGGCTCACTGCAACCTCCGCCTCCCGGGTTCAATCTATTCTCCTGCCTCAGCCTCCTGAGTAGCTGGGATTACAGGCGTGTGCCATCATGCCTGGCTAATTTTTGTAGTTTTAGTAGAGATGGGGTTTTGCCATGTTGGCCAGACTGGTCTCGAACTCCTGACCTCAGGTAATCCAACCACCTTGGCCTCCCAAAGTGCTGGGATTACAGGCATGAGCCACCATACCCAACCTGGGTTTTTGTGTTCTGTTTGGTTTTGTTGATAATAACCATCCTAGTGGATGTGAAATGATGCCTTGTGATTTTGAAGTGCATTCTCTAGTGACTAATGATGCTGAGCATCTTGTCATGTGCTTTCTGGCCTTTTGTACATCTTCTTTGGAAGAAAATATCTATTCAAGTCCTTTGCCCATATTTTGACTGAGTTGTTTGTCTTGTTGTTGCTTTGCAAGAATGCCTTACAAATTTTAGATCCCAGGCTGGGAGTGGTGGCTCACACCTGTAATCCCAGCACTTTGGGAGGCCGAAGTGGTTGGATCACCTGAGATCAGGAGTTCAAGACCAGCCTGGCCAACATAGTGAAACACCATCTCTACTAAAAACACAAAAATTAGCCAGGCGTGGTGGCTACAAAAAAAATTTAGATCCCAGACCCTTATCAGATTTATGATTGATTTGCGAATATTTTCTCCCATTCTGTGAGTTGTCTTTTTCCTTCCTTGATAATGTCCTTTGATGTACAAAAGTTTTTAAATTTAATGAAGTCCCGGCCGGGTGTGGTGGCTCACTTCTGTAATCCCAGCACTTTGGGAGGCCAAGGTGGGACAATCACTTGAGGTCAGGAGTTTGAGACCACCCTGGCCAACATGGTGAAACCGGGTGTGGTGGTGCACAGCTGTATTCTCAGCTACTTGGGAGGCTGAGGCAGGAGAATTGCTTGAACCTGGGGAACAGAGGTTGTAGTGAGCCGAGACAGCAGTAAGACTCTGCCTCAAAAAAAAAAAAGAAAAGAAATTAATGAAGTCCAATTTATTTCCTTTTGTTCCTTGTGCTTTATTTTTTATTTTGTTGCTCATGTTTTGTGTGTTCATATCTAAGAACCCATTGCCAATTCCAAGTTCATGGAAATTTCCTCCTGTGTTTTCTCCTAAGAGTGTTATGGCTTTAGCTCTTCTGTTTAGGTTATTGATTCATTTCAAATTAATTTTTGCATATGGTGTGAGGGAAAAGTCCACTTTCATTCTTTTACTTATGGATTTCCAATCGTTGCAGCACAAATACTAAATTTGGTGAATACTCTTCCGGTCTGATTTTCTAGGACACCTCTGAGGCATAGTTGAAGAACATTTCCTCTAGTGCTTTAGGATTCAAAATCTCATTCTTCCCCATTACTGCTCTGAGACCCTCATGGACCACTTCGCCACTCAGAGCCTTTGTGGCCTTAGCTATAAAAAGGGAGTTATACTGATAGCATATTCCTCCTGAGGTTTCTTTGAGCACCCAATAAGAATTGGTGCAAAGTGCTTGATATCTAAGTTAGACAATGGTAGATAATTATTACTCATCCTACCACTGTCATCAAGATGAGGCAACTCTGTCTGAGGATGGCAAGAAACCATTCCCATTCTGGGATATGAAAACGATAATATCAGCAGCAGTGCTGTCACAATGTTCCTGACAGAACAGCAGCTTATAGAGGACAGTGAGGGTTTCCTGCTTCTGGACATGTGCTACACCCAGTACACACGCTGGCTTATTTAAATTCATTACCATAAGCCTCAGAGTGTGTTTGGGAGCCTTTGTTTGGGGAGTCATCAAAGTTATAGAGAACATCAGATGGGAATCTAAAATCAAGCCAGGCACAGTGGCTCATGTCTGTAATCCCAGCACTTTGGGAGGCCAAGGCGGGTGGATCACTTCAGGTCAGGAGTTCAAGATCAGCCCGACCAACATGGTGAAACCCTGTCTCTACTAAAAATACAAAAAATTAGCTGAGCGTGGTGGCATGCACCTGTAATCCCAGTTACTCAGGAGGCTGAGGCAGGATAATCACTTGAACCCAGGAGGCAGAGGTTGCAGTGAGCTGAGATTGTGCCACTGCACTCCAGCTTGGGTGACAGAGCGAAACTCTGTCTCAAAAAAAAAAAAAGAAAGCAGGCGAGAAGAGAGTTCGTCTGGATTAAGTCTTTTCAAGGCATTGAAAAAAAAAGGTGTGGGGGGGCAGTGGAGCAGCATTGCATTCCACAATAACACATTTATTCTATCTTCAGGTGTCACTTTCCCTCCAAAGCCTTCCCTTTTCACCACTGCAGTTGATCCATCCAGACCCTTGCAGACCCCACCCCCACTGGCTGCCTCATTCTCTCCAAAGCACTTATCCTTGTCTAATACAATGTAGATTTTGTTCATTTGTTCACACCCACCCCACTTTCACTAGAGTTCAGATGGTTTGGCGACAGAGATTTTTTTTTACCACTCTGTACATAGCACCCATGCATTTCTGGAGGTAATGTCACGTGTTACAGCCACTCTGGAAAACTGTCAGTTTGTTAAAAAAAAAAAAACTAAACATGCAGTACCACATGACCCAGCAGTTGCGCTCCGGGGCACTTATCACAGAGAAATAAAAACTGTGTTCAGCTGGGAGCAGTGGCTCACGCCTGTAATCCCAGCACTTTGGGAGGCTGAGATGGGCGGATCACCTGAGGTCAGGAATTTGAGACCAGCCTGGCCAACATGGTGAAACCCCGTCTCTACTAAAAATACAAAAATTAGCCAGGCATAGTGGCAGGTGCCTGTAATCCCAACTACTCGGGAGGCTGAGGCAGGAGAATCACTTGAACCCGGGAGGCAGAGGTTGCAGTGAGCCGAGATCGCACCGCTGCACTCCAGCCTGGGTGACAGAATGAGACCCTGTCTCAAAAAAAAAAAAAAAAAAAAAATCTCCGGGCATGGTGGCACACACCTATAGCCCCAGCTACTCAGGAGGCTGAGGTGGGAGGATTGATTGAGCTCAGGAGTCGGAGGCTGTAGTGAGCCCAGATAGTGCCACTGTACTGCCGTCTGAGTGACAGAGCGAGACCCTATCTCAAAAAATAAATAAATACAGAGAAAAAGCTGATCTCAAAAGATTATATACTATATGACTCCATTTATGTAACATTCTTGAAATGACGAAACTATAGAAATGTAGAACAGATTAGTGGTTGCCAGGAATGAAGGAGGGGTTAGGCCTGGAGGGAAGTGGGTGTGGCTATAAAAGTATAACATGAGGAATCTTTATGATAATGGAAATGTTCTGTATCTTGAATATATCAATGTCAACATCCTGGTTATGATACTGTACTAAAGTTTTGTAAGAGGTTTCCATTAGGAGAACTGGGTAAAGTTTACACAGTATCTATTATTTCTTAAAAGTACACATGAGGCCGGGCACGGCGAGGTGGCTCACACCTGTAAGCCCAGCACTTTGTGAGGCTGAGGCGGGTGGATCACGAGGTCAGGAGATCAAGACCATCCTGGCTAACACGGTGAAACCCCGTCTCTACTAAAAGTACAAAAAATTAGCCAGGCGTGGTGGCGGGCGCCTGTAGTCCCAGCTACTCGGGAGGCTGAGGCAGGAGAATGGCGTGAACCCGGGAGGCAGAGCTTGCAGTGAGCTGAGGTCACACCACTGCACTCCAGCCTGGGCGATAGAGCGAGACTCCGTCTCAAAAAAAAAAAAAAAAAAAAAGAAGAAGAAAAACAAAAAAAAATGTGAATCTTCGCTTCAAAATAAAAAGTAAAAAAAAAAAAAAAAAAAACCCTACATACCTATATATGACATTGAAGTACATGAAACTGTCATGTTTATATGTCAAAAATGGTCTCATATTGGTACTTTCACATGGCTCAACCTAATATTTTTTCCTACTCAGTTGGTAGCATCCAAAACAGTCTGGCAGCTTGTGTTTTTCTTTCTTTTTTTGAGACAAAGTTTCACTCTTCACTCTTGTCTCCCAGGCTAGAGTGCAATGGCATGATCTTGGCTCACTGCAACCTCTGCCTTCCGGATTCAAGCTATTCTCCTGCCTCAGCCTCCCAAGTAGCTGGGATTACAGGCATGTGCCACCACGCCCGGGTTATTTTTATATTTTTAGTAGAGACGGGGTTTCACCACGTTGGTCAGGCTGGTCTCAAACTCCTGACCTCAAGGTGATCCAACCACCTCAGCCTCCCATGCTGGGATTACAGGCGTGAGCCACCGCACCTGGCCCCAGCTTGTGTTTTTAATTTCAGTCTATCTCTCACAGAATGTCAGTTCAAACACAGCTGCCTCCAGCTGCAGAAATACAATGCCATATCATAGATGACCATAACTTATTTTGACAGCTTCCTCTAATGGACATTTGGGTTGTTTCTATTACTTAGCTTTTACATACAATGTTGCAATGTATTTCCTTATACGTACATCACTTATCATATATTCCTGAGTGGGGGTCTATAGGATAAATTTCCAGTAGAATAATTGTTAGGTCAAAGAGTATGTACATCTCAGTCAGGCATGGTGGTTCATGCTTGTAATCCCAGCACTTTGAGACGCCAAGGCAGGTGGATCCCTTGAGAGTTCAAGACCAGCCTGGCCAACATGGCGAAACCCCGTCTCTCATAAAAATACACACACACACAAAAAATTAGCTGGGCATGGTGGCGCGCGCCTGTAGCCCCAGCTACTCTGGAGCCTGAGGCATGAGAATCACTTGAACCCAGGAGGTGAAGGTTGCAGTGAGCTGATCGTGCCACTGCACTCCAGCCTGGGCGATAGAGCGAGACCCTGTCTCAAAAGAAAAAAAAAAAGGAACGTGTATAGTTTCTATTTTAGTTTATGTTTCCAAATACTCCCAAGGAGACTAAAGCATTTTTAACTCCCACCCTCTTGGCAGTGTATGTCAGAGCCTGATTCCCCACACCCTGCAAAGACGGCATTATCAAAAGGTTGGATATCTGTTGATCTGATAAGGAAAAAAAAGATATACTAATTATATTTGCATTTTTCTTATAATGCCTGAGGTCAAGAATCTTTTCTTATACATGCCTGCTAGCTTCCTCTACAGTATTCATTTGCAATCTTCTAAAGGGGTTTTGTTTTATATTTCTTCCTATCATGTAGCTCAGTAAAGTATTTGCATACAGTGGAAGATTAAGAAATATTCAGATTACTAGACACACCTGGACACAGTCCCCACCTCTCAGCCATCTTCAGAGCCCCACCTCCACCTCCTCAGGCTACAATGGACAGAATGAAGTAGAGAAATCAGAAATGCGCTTTGAGATAAATAGTGAATGAAACCAGACAACAAGTGGGATCACGTCCACCACAAAACCAAGCATGACTTTGCCTACACTTTCAGGGATATTTTTACAGGGTGCTGCAGTACTAGATCCAAGGACGCAAGAGCTTTGCAAGAACCAAAGAAAAATATCAAATCCTGGCTTACCAAAACAAATTTAAAAATAGACAGAGGCTGATGCAGTGGCTCATGCCTGTAATCCCAACATGTTGGGAGGCCAAGGCAGGAGGATGGCTTGAGGCCAGGAGTTGGAGGCCAGCCTGCGCAACATGACAAAACCCTGTCTCTACAAAAAATTGAAAAATTAGCTTGGTGTGGTGGTGCATGCCTGTAGTCCTAGTTACTTGGGAGGCAGAGGTGAGAAGCTGCCTGAGCCTATGAGTTTGAGACTGCAATGAACTATGATCACCCCACTGCACTCTAGTCTGTGTGACAGAGTGAGACCCTTCCTCTCTAAAAATTAAATAAAAATTTAATAAGTGATAAAATATACACAGAGAATTCACAAATGGCTACAAATTGTTACATCATACTAACTGGCATCTGCAACTGGTGGTTTTTAGAGGTCTTTAGATCACAAGAGCAAGCTGGGTGTGGTGGCTCACTCCTGTAATCCCAGCACTTTGGGAGGCCGAGGCGGGTGGATCACCTGAGGTCAGGAGTTCGAGACCAGCCTGGCCAATATGGTGAAACCCTATCCCTACTAAAAATACAAAAATTAGCCAGGTGTGATGGCACACACCTGTAAACCCAGCTACTTGGGAGGCTGAGGCAGGAGAATCACTTGAATCTGGGAGGCGGAGGTTGCAGTGAGCCGAGAACGCGCCACTGCACTCCAGCCTGGGCGACAGAGCGAGACTCCATCTCAAAAAAAAAAAAAATCACAAGAGCAAAATATTCTATCTGAGCAAAATTAGTAATTGCACACTTCAGAACATTTCAAAAATTACACACATTTGTTTAACTGAATGTGAAATATGGTCGTATTTTACTATATTAGGTGTCGTATATAGTAAGGCCCACCACAGCAAGAAAAGCCTGTGTTAACCACATTCCTAGGTGCCGCTAGAACTGCAGTGACCAGGCCGGCCGCGGTGGCTCACGCCTGTAATCCCAGCACTTTGGGAGCCTGAGACAGGCGGATCACGAGGTCAGGAGATCGAGACCATCCTGGCTAACACGGTGAAACCCTGTCTCTACTAAAAATACAAAAAAATTAGCCTGGCATGGTGGTGGGTGCCCGTAGTCCCAGCTACTCGGGAGGCTGAGGCAGGAGAATGGCATGTGAACCTGGGAGGCGGAGCTTGCAGTGAGCCGAGATCACACCACTGCGCTCCAGCATGGGTGACAAAGCGAGGCTGTGTCTCAAAAAAAAAAAAAAAAAGAACTGCAGTGATCAGGTGTGGGCTGCAGGAGAACACACTTGACCTATAGTCCCCATCTACCCATTTCCAGGCCCGCTGAAGCCACAGCCCTGAGCTTCGCTGTTTTGTTTTATACCACTTCCATTTCCTCCCCTGTAAAATAAAGCAATGATAGCAACCTGGACATAAAATTTCAGAAAGGATGGACAAAACAAGGTGTTCAGGATGGAACATCAGGCACAGTGGATGTCTAGATGGTGGATAAGACTTGGGTCAGGCCTCCTGCGGTGTTTCTCAAAGCTTTGAAAGGCCCCTGGTGGCATAAGAATGGTCTCTCCAAGCAAAATCCCTGGAAGAAAGTGTACCAGCCTACATTTTAAACAAGCGTGCCCAGGGCATATGAAAGTGCACTAAAATGTGTTTCTTACTTTTTTTTTTTTTTTTTTTTTTGAGACGGAGTCTCGCTCTTGTTGCCCAGGCTAGAGTGCAATGGCACGATCTCGGCTCACGGTAACCTTCGCCTCCCGGTTTCAAGTGATTCTCCTGCCTCAGCCTCCCGAGTAGCTGGGATTACAGGCATGTGCCACCACCCCGGGGTAATTTTGTATTTCTCCATGTTGGTCAGGCTGGTCTGGAACTCCCGACCTCAGGTGATCCCTCAGCCTCCCAAAGTGCTGGGATTACAGGCGTGAGCCACCACGCCCGGCCTTAAAATGTGTTTCATAACAGCTTTAATGAGATATACTTCATACTCAATTTACCTATCGAAAGTGACCAATTCAGTGGTCTTTAGTGTGCGCACAGTCATTGCAATGCTCACCATAATCTTTTTTTTTTTTTTTTTGAGATGGAGTTTCACACACTCTGTCACCCAGGCTGTAGTGCAGTGGCGCTATCTCAGCTCACTGCAACCTCTGCCTCCTGGGTTCAAGCGATTCTCCTGCCTCAGCCTCCCAAGTAGCTGGGATTACAGGCATGTGCCACCATTCCTGGCTAAGTTTGTAGTTTTAGTAGATATGGGGTTTTACAATGTTGGTCAGGCTAGTCTCGAATTCCTGACCTCAAGTGATCCACCTACCTCGGCCTCCCAAAGTGTTGGGATTACAGGCGTGAGCCACCATGCCCGGCCTCAAGTAAGAATTTTATTCTTTTCTCTTTTTTGCTGAATAGCTGAATATACTCTAAATTTTGAGACCACTGAATTTCAGGGCTTTTTTTTTTTTTTTTTTTTGAGACAGGGTCTCATTCTGTCACCCAAGCTGGTGTGCAGTGGCATGATCTCATGATCTCGGCTTACTGCAGCCTTGACCTCCTGGGCTCTGGTGATCCACCTCAGCCTCCTGAGTAGCTGGGACTACAGGCCCACAGTCACCACGCCTGGCTAACTTTTATCATTTTTGTAGAGATGGGGTTTCACCATGTGGCCCAGGCTGGTCTCAAACTTCTGGGCTCAAGCAATCCACCTGCCTCAGCCTCCCAGAGTGCTAGATTACAGGCATGAGCCACACACGAGTGCTAGATTACAGGCATGAGCCACACACTGGCCAGTTTGAGGTTTTGAAGCACTATCAGAGTATTTTGGTGTTTGTGGTTTTGTTTTTTAAAGAAATCCAGAATTTGAATAGAGTAGCCTGTGTTTGCACAGCCCCCAAGGTAGTCTCCTAAAGCCGGGAACATACATCTTCTTTTTTTTTTTTTTTTTTTTTTTTGAAACAAGGTCTCACTCTGTTGCCAGGGTGGAGTACAGTGGCGCCATCTTGGCCCACTGCAACCTCTGCCTCCCAGGTTCAAGTGATTCTCATGCCTCAGCCTCCTGAGTAGGTTGGGACTACAGGCTTGCGCCACCATACTCAGTAATTTTTGTATTTCTAGTAGAGACGGGGTTTCACCATGTTGGCTGGGCTGATCTGGATCTCCTGACCTCAAGTGATCTGCCTGCTTTGGCCTCCCAAAGTGCTGGGATTATAGGCAGGAGCCACCGCGCCCAACCTATAAGTCTTTTTAATAACCACTGTCCGGAGGGGACAACCACAGCTACCGTTGCTTTGTGCCACTTGCCTATGTCTTTCCAAATTTATCTTGTGGAACCCCCTCCATATGGGCGGTTACCACCCCTACTTGCCAGGAGGACATGGAGGCCCAGCCAGGTTAAGTCACTTATCCAAGTTCACTGGGACAACCAGAAGTTGCTCTGACTCTACAACCTACATTATTTAAGTTTGTGAAGTCTACAACCTTTCACCTTTGTCGAAAAGCTTGATGGATTTAATATGCTGGATGTATAAACATCTACATACACAGAAACATATGTATAGACATACATATGTAATATAATATAACAATATATGTCATACGTGATATAATATGGCAGAGTAACATAACAAAATTTGAGGAGTTGTTTATTTCACCCAGTCATCTAAGGTAAACAAGGAGACATTCATTGCAACATTCATTAAAACATTCATTGAAAAGTAATTATATAAACTTCCAAATCTAGGCCAGGTGCAGTGGGTGGCTTACACCTGCAATCCGAGCACTTTGGGAAGCCAAGGTGGGGGAGGATCACTTGAGGCCAGGAGTTTGAGAGCAGGCTGGGCAACATAGCAAGACCCTATCTCTAAAAAATATTTTAAAATTAGCCAAGTGCAATGGTGCCTGTCGTCCTAGCTACTCAGGAGGCTGGGACGGGAGAATCACTTGAACCTGGGAGGTCGAGGCTGCAGTGAGCCATGGTTGTGCCACTACACTCCAGCCTGGGCGACACAGTGAGACCCTATCTCATAAATAAATAACAAATAAGAAATATCCAAATGTCCTGGACAAGAGGCAGAGACTTCTCTTGACCCAATAACGGATCCAGAAGAAAATAGCGGAAGCTTCCTATTTTGAAAAATGGGTGGGACTCCAAGTGATATGAAACCTTTCACGTATTCATGAATGCTAACTGGAAAGATAGTTGGGAACATTCCAGAAGGTTATTCCTTCCCTCTTTCTCTCTCTCTTTTTCTCTCTGTCTCTTCTTCTCCCTCTCTCCTTGGGAGATCTTTGATAACCATCTTGGCCTTTGGAAACCTCTTTTATTAAGCCATCCTATTGTATGCTAAGTTATGGTGGCTGAGACTGATCCCTTCACAAAAGTCCTTTGTTTGGGGATTCTCTCAATAAGCTGGGACTCAGTGAATTATGCTTCTTCTTGGAAGCCTTTCTTAGCCGATTGTATTTACCTAAGGAAGCATTATTTTCTGTCTTGTTTTATTTTCCTCTTTTTCTCAAGCGTAATTCAGATATCAGGAAAGCATGAGAGAGATAAAGAAATTACCAACTAACAAGGAGTTTCTGCCTTCTAAGCTTTGAAAATGGTAGAGATTTTTTGTAACAAGCATGTATCACTTACAGAACTTTTTGAAAAATTGTATTTCTTCGGTACCGGGACCTTGTACCAGGAAAGATGTTTCTCCCCCAGCCCTGGAGATGACATGAGATGTTCTCATTCTGACATATTTCCCCTTGTCTGCTGTTCCTAGTCACTTTCATTGTTATTTAGTTTTACTTCAATATTCAGGGGTGGGAAGAAGGAAGAATAAACAGCTCTTTCCTATTCATTATTTTCATCCTAGAATAAGATCTTCATTATTGTAAAAATTAAAAAAAAAGGGGGAGTGCTTTAAAAGTAAAATTAAATTGGTTTTTAGTTTTAGTTTTGGTGCTGTCTTTAAAGAGAACTGGTGGGAACTTTAAGAAAAAAAAAAAAGCCGAGCCACATCAAATGAGAGCAGCAAAGGACGAAATGGCAATAAAGGAAGCATGGGGTGTGTGGGGGGTGTCCCCTCAGGATGGAGAATGTCCCTCTCCTTCCTTGAAAGGCAGCCTTCTTTTCATGGGAAACCAAGCCCCTGTGTTATTGGGCTCACAATGAGTTCTCCAGATGTAGTTCCCAGGAGTAAGGATTCTCAGAGAAATAAAAGAATCCTAGAAGCTTCTGTTTGTTTGTTTTGTTCTTGTTTTAGTAAGATTTTGAATAGGTAATGCATCCAAGTGCTTCAAATAATCACCAAGTTTAACAAATGGTGAAAAGTCTCTTAACCACTGTCCCACAGCCACCCATTTGTTCCCCTTCTCATAGTCAACCACTACTCCTTTATGTTGTATAATATGATACTCAGAGCTACATTGTGCATATACAACCAAATATAAATATGTATTCCACTCCCCGCTCCCTTTCTACACAATTGTCAACATATCATCCAGATGGCTCAGCCCCTTTGTCCTTGCATGAACCATTGCTCTTGGCCATTGTTCCATCTCAACACATATAGAGCTTGATCTTGTTTTTTTTTTTTTTTTTTTTTTGAAACAAGAGTATCGCTCTGTCACCCAGGCTGGAGTGCAGTGGCGCGATCTCGGCTCACTGCAACCTCCATCTCCCAGGTTTAAGTGATTCTCCTGAGTCAGCCTCCTGAGTAGCTGGGATTACAGATGTGTGCCACCACCCCCGGCTAATTTTTGTGTTTTTAGTAGAGACAGGGTTTCACCATGTTGGCCAGGCTGGTCTCAAACTCCTGACCTCAGGTGATCCTCCCACCTCAGCGTCCCAAAGTGCTGGGATTACAGGCACGAGCCACCACGCCCAGCCCTTTGATCTCTCTTTTCTATGACTGTATAGTGTTACGCTGTAAATGTCCTTTATTCTATTTAACCAATTCCCAAATGATGGGCCTTTATTGTTTTTGAGACAGTCTTTCTCTGTCACCCAGGCTGGAGTGCTGTGATGCGATCTTGGATCACTGCAACCTCCACCTCCCAGGTTCAAGCGATTCTCCTCTCTCAGCCTCCCAAGTAGCTGGGATTACAGGCACGCGCTACCACACCCAGCTACTTTTTGTGTCTTTAGTAGAGACGGGGTTTCACCATGTTGGCCAGGCTGGTATCAAACTCCTGACCTCAAGTGATCCGCCTGCCTGGGCCTCCCAAAGTGCTGGGATTACAGGCGTGAGCCACCGTGCCCGGGCTATGATGGGCCTTTAAGTTGTCTTCAATATTGGGCTATTACAAACAGTGCTCCTGTGAATTATCTCGGTTGCACATCATTTCTCACATGTGTGAGTAATTCTGAGGGCACCTCCCCCCA
The DNA here is from genome assembly GCF_000001405.40 of Homo sapiens. NCBI lineage: Eukaryota > Metazoa > Chordata > Mammalia > Primates > Hominidae > Homo > Homo sapiens. The sequence goes on along the minus strand of NC_000020.11, from coordinate 51,846,547 downwards.
GGAGGAATTGGTAGGTCAAAGAGAGGAGGGACTTGAGATGTCCGTGTTATTTGTAAGATTAGTTTTTTAGGTCCTCAGCTTTATACTATCTTAATATTTAAATTTAAATTACCCAAGTAATGCATTAAGCAGTTCTGTCTGGCCGGGCGCGGTGGCTCACACCTGTAATCCCAGCACTTTGGGAGGCAGACGCGGGCAGATCATGAGGTTAGGAGATGGAGACCATCCTGGCAAACACGGTGAAACCCCGTCTCTACTGAAAAATACAAAAAAAATTAGCCAGGCGTGGTGGCGGGCGCCTAGATCAGTAAATCTAGGTTATCTGGTATATCTGGTAAAATGTGAAAGCCCCCTTTGAATTTCCCACTTACTATTCACCACCACATTCACCTTGAAATCCAAACTTCTCAAAATTAACCACCGTGAGCAGTTTAGTCCAGACTTTTCTATGCATTTATATTTCTATTCATATACACATATCTATGTATGTCTAGGATAATAGATATATTAGATACATAGATAATATATTTATCTACATATATAACACACACAAGTGTTTGTGTGTGTGTAGAAATATAAATATAGACTGGGTGTGGTGGCTCACGCCTATAATCCCAGCCCTTTGGGAGGCTGAGGTGGAAGGATTGCTTGAGTCCAGGAGTTTGAGACCAGCCTGGGCCATATAGTGAGACCTTGTATCTAGAAAAAATAAAAAATAAATAAAAATAAAAATAAAAAGGAAGAAAAGAAAGAAAAAAATTAGCTGGGTATGATAGCATGCACCTACAGTCCCAGCTGCTTGGGAGGCTGAGACGGGAGGATTGCGTGAGCCCAGGAGGCTGTGGTGGACTGTGATCTCCAGCCTGGGTGACAGAGTGAGAACCTGTCTTAAAAAGAAAAGAAAAGAAAAAGAACTGTTAACAGCAGTGCTTGTCAGACTTCAATGTGCTGAAGAATCAGCTGTTGATTTTGTTAAAATGATTCAGTGGGTCTTGGGTAGGATCTGAGATTCCCCATTTCTTTTTTTTTTTTTTTTTTTTGAGATGGAGTCTCGCTGTCGCCCAGGCTGGAGTGCAGGGGCACGATCTCGGCTCACCGCAAGCTCCGCCTCCCGGGTTCACGCCATTCTCCTGCCTCAGCCTCCCGAGTAGCTGGGACTGCAGGCACCCGCCACCACGCCCGGCTAATTTTTTGTATTTTTAGTAGAGACGGGGTTTCACCGTGTTAGCCAGGACGGTCTTGATCTCCTGACCTCATGATCCACGCGCCTCGGCCTCTCAAAGTGCTGGGATTTACAGGCGTGAGCCACTGCGCCCGGGCGAGATTCCCCATTTTTAGCAAGCTCCACTGTGATGCCAATGCTGCTGAATTTGGAGTGATTTTCAGTTTTAGCTTTTGTCACTGCTTTGTTTTGTTTTTACATAAACGAGATCATATCTACTTATTGCTCTGCAACTCACTTTTTTTCGGTAACGGTCATTCTGGAAAATAATATGGATGTGGCTTTGCAAGTCTAAGGAGTCTGTGTGTGCCTGCAGAGCTATAAACTTTTATGAAGGAAAAATCACTTTAATCGATTTTCAACCTGAATCTCTAAATCAACTTTAGAGGACCAATGGTGGTATTTGAAACAGTTTTTATTTGCTAATGAAATTAAGCTTCAAATGACATGAAAATTGTTTCTGATCAGCTCATTATCCTACCCTGACACTGAGCAATAGTGTGTCTTTTGAGAATGTAACAGACATGAAGACAGAAGAGATGAGATTCAGGTTTCTCGACATAATTAATTTCATTGGCAAAAAAAGGAAAAGTTTCCTCTGGATTGATTTACAAAGGGTGTTTCGTTTTGTTTTTATGTATATATTTTTGAGACAGAGTTTCTTTCTTGTCGCCCAGGCTGGAGTGCAATGGCACGATCTGGGCTCACTGCAACTTCTGCCTCCCGGGTTCAAGCAATTCTCCTGTCTCAGCCTCCCGAGTAGCTGGGATTACAGGCACATGCCACCATGCCCGGGTAATTTTTGTACTTTTTTTTTTTTTGAGACAGCTTCTTGCTTTTGTCCCCCAAGCTGGAGTGCAATGGCGCAATCTCGGCTCACTGCAACCTCCCCTTTCCGGGTTCAAGCAATTCTCCTGCCTCAGCCCCCCACCCACCCAGTAGCTGGGATTTCAGGCGCCTGCCACCACGACTGGCTAATTTTTTTGTATTTTTAGTAGAGATGGGGTTTCACCATGTTGGCCAGGCTGGTCCTGAACTCCTGACCTCAGGTGATCCACCCGCCTCAGCCCCCCAAAGTGCTGGGATTACAGGCGTGAGCCACCGTGCCCGGCCAATTTTTGTATTTTCAGTAGAGACGGGGTTTCATCATATTGGTCAGGCTGGTCTCAAACTCCTGACCTCAGGTGATCTGCCTGCCTCGGCCTCCCAAAGTGCTGGGATTACAGGTGTGAGCCACCATGCCCGGCCATTACAAAGGGCATTTTAATTAGCATAGAGAAAAACAAATAGGAACACAAAGTTCTGTCTTCAATGTAGATACTTCAATGTTGTTTCTTGCCTGTGCAAGGGAGGGAAGGATGGTTTGAATTTATGAAGATCACCTGAGGATCTACTGTTGCTCTATTTGCTCGAGCAGGAGGTCAGGGACCCCTCACTCTGCTCCTTATCCCTCATGCACTCCATCACCAAATCTCCAAGTACATCATGAGTCCATTTGTTTGCACCTTGCTACCACCCCACTATCCCGATCGTCCATCACCTGTAGACGGGCAGGAGCTTCCTCACTGGTCTTCCCATGCACTCTCACCTCCCTCCAGTGAGTTCTGCAACTGTAGCCGGCCGCGACTGCATTGCACCCAAACTGAATCCCATGAATGCTCAGAGTAAGACCCCATGGATGCCCGCCATCACCTGCCTCTGATCCATCTCAAGGTCTTTCCCAAGTGAGCCTCTGGCTTCCTCTCCAGTGTCACTGCTCAACCCTCTGCCCAGAGGCTATCTCTGCCCACTTTACCCAGTTGCCCCATCCTACAGGTTTCAGCTCCAAGGTCCCTTCCTCAGAGAAGCCCTCCTGGACCAGTTCCAACTCCTGGTGGCGGTGCCTGGCACTTTTTCTCCATATCCATTATCATACTGTGCAATAAGATCTTTCTGCGTACTTGGGGGTGATTATTTAACTGATGTCCACCTCCCTCCACTAGACTGTGTGCTAAATGAAGATGGGTAGGTACCATGTCTGTTTTTGCTTATTGTTGCATTCCAGTGCCAATCACAGGGCCTGGCATATAATAGGCAGTCCAGTAATAATCTGGTTATTTGAAAGAGCACAGGAAGGAAGACCCAGGGCATATTGGCTGTTGTTGCTGACACTGGTGCTGAAGGGCTTTGGTGAGGATGCTTAGGGAGGAAGTGATGAATCAGAGCAGATTGGGTTGGGATGGCAGAAAGGATCAGAAAGCTAAGCTAGACCCATTCTTTGCAGCTGGGCCAGAGGGTAGGACGGTGAGTAATGATAGCACTTCGGGGGTCACCTCGGGGATGATAGTCTTGTCAAGTCTTATACGTGACAGGGAGAAGCAATGGCTAATACATCTATATATCGATAATATGAATAAATAATTTTAGAAGTGTCTTCATGCACAAACCAATGATGAAAGCAGGCCATGAATGGAGACACATGATCAGTTTCACTGTGTGTCCTAAAACACATTATTTTTAGGAGTTTCCTAAAAATAAACCCCAAGGCTCAGTGACCAAACGTCAATGATGATAACAACGAGCGTTTTCCTTCCTAGGGTGGAACATCTTTTGAAGAGCTCAGACCCTGGACCCCTGATCTTAATGAGCTTTGCAGCCTTCAGTAAGTCGCCAACATATATCTGTACCTCTGAGCTCAACCAACCTTAAGTAATGTGTGGAGTGCTAGAGTACACCCTTGCAGGAGTCTCTCGGACCCACGCCAGATCTGAATCTTGTCTTGGCCAGTTTTCTCTATGGGTGAACCCTCCCAGCTTTCAGACCAACTGTGACCTCAGTTTGGAAAGTGGTGAGAATCACTGGTCCCACCTCATGGGGCATGACATAGATTGCATTGGTCAATCTATCTATAGCCCCAGACATTGGGGAGCACTCAGAAGATGGGGCTTTCCATTGTCCAAGCTAGTCCTGAACAACAAAGGGCTACCTGGGGATGCAGAGTAAGAAGTCAACTGAAGCAAGACTGAGATCACTTAGTAACTCCAAGCTGAAGAGTGGGCAAAGACCTCTGTTTCTTTTTTTTTTTTTTTTTTTTCCGAGATGGAGTTTCGCTCTTGTTGCCCAGGCTGGAGTGTAGTGGCATGATCCCAGCTCACTGCAACCTCCGCTTCCCAGGTTCAAGTGATTCTCCTTCCTCAGCCTCCCAAGTAGCTGGGATTACAGGCGTGTGCCACCACGCCTGGCTAATTTTTGTATTTTTAGTAGAGACGGGGTTTCAATATGTTGGTCAGGCTGGTCTCGAACTCCTGACCTCAGGTGATCCACCCGCCTCAGCCTCCCAAAGTGCTGGGATTACAGGCGTGAGCCACCGCGCCTGACCTGTTTCTTTTTTTTGAGACAGAGTCTCACTCTGTTGCCCAGGCGGAGTGCAGTGGCACAATCTCAACTCACTGCAGCCTCAACCTCCTCAGACTCAGGTGATCCTCCCACCTCAGCCTTCCGAGTAGCTGGGACTACAGGCGTGTACCACCATGCCCAGCTAATTTTCATATTTTTTGTAAAGCTGGGATTTCACCGTGTTGTCCAGGTTGGTCTCAAAACTCCTGGGCTCAAGCCATCCTCTCGCCTCAGCCTCTCATAGTGCTGGGATTACACACATGAGCCACTGTATCCGGGAAACCTCTGTTTCTTAACGCAGTCAATTCAGCACCAAAATATCCAATTCTGAAATGTGGAGACTTGAGCATTTGTCCAGCTTCTTTTTGTTTTGTTCACTGCTGCAGCGTCAGTGCTTAGAACAGCGTCTGGTATGGAATAGGCACTAGGATGAGGCCAGGCAGGCACCACGGGCAGGAAATGCAAAGGGAACCTTACGCTAGGGGTTTTGCAGGTGTAGCAGTGACAGAGAGTGAGGCCTTCTTGCCTTTTGTGCCTGAGGTGCCTGCCTTGCCTCTGGCTGGTCCTCAGCGTGGTCTGGTACATGGTAGGTATTCAGTACATAGCCATTGAATGAATGAGTCCAGTTTTATAGAAACAACCAGATTTTTTACTTAACCTTTTCTCTCAGATGTTTTGACCTCAGCGTTGAGCAGCCTCGGACTAACTTGAAATAATTTCTGTGATTCTGAGACCCCCCAGGAAATGTAGATATTGTAATCACCAAAATGTCCATGATAAAGTTGCCATTCAACCTTTTTGGAGCACTGTGTCTCTGTCTTCTGCAGTTCTTGGCAGGCATTTCACACGTGCCAGGACTATGAAATAGGTCATGGCAAGCAGGTGGGAGGAGAGAGAGAGAAAGAGAGAGAGAGAGAGAGAGAGAGAGAATGTAAGCACAGGTTGGCTACTGTCAAGGAAGATAATTTCCATGTAGTTAGAAAAGGCTGTGGAATGGCCATCTTCATTACCGTTTTAATCTCTGCTCTCACCTGCTTGCTGGCTAATTTCGTTCTGTAACTGACCTTCACGTCAAAAGCAAGGTTGTACCATTTTAATACTTTGGGACATGTTGCCTTTGCATTCCTGAAACCTTTTCAGTTTTTTGTTTTGTTTTGTTTGTTTTTTGTTTTTTTTTTTTTTGAGACAGAGTTTCACTCTTCATTGCTTAGGCTGGAGTGCAATGGCGTGATCTCGGCTCACTGCAACCTCCAGATCCTGGGTTCAAGTGATTCTCCTTCCTCAGCCTCCCAAATAGCTGGGATTACAGGCATGCGCCACCACGCCCAACTAATTTTGTATTTTTAGAAGAGACAGGGTTTCACCATGTTGGTCAGGCTGGTCTTGAACTCCTGACCTCAGGTAATCCACCCACCTCGGCCCCTCAAAGTGCTGGGATTACAGGCATGAGCCACCGTGCCCAGGCCAGTTTCATATTTTTTATTTAAAAAAAAATATTAGTCCGGGCGCGGTGGCTCACGCCTGTAATCCCAGCACTTTGGGAGGCCGAGGTGGGCGGATCACGAGGTCAGGAGATTGAGACCATCCTGGCTAACATGGTGAAACCCCGTCTCTACTAAAAAAATACAAAAAATTAGCTGGGCGGGGTGGAGGGCGCCTGTAGTCCCAGCTACTCAGGAGGCTGAGGCAGGAGAATGGCATGAACCCGGGAGGCGGAGCTTGCAGTGAGCCGAGATCGTGCCACTGCACTCCAGCCTGGGCGACAGAGCAAGACTCTGTCTCAAAAAAAAAAAAAAAAAATTATTTTGTATCATATTAAAAAAAATTTTGGCCGGGCGCGGTGGCTCACGCCTGTAATCTCAGCACTTTGGGAGGCCGAGGCAGACGGATCACGAGGTCAGGAGATCAAGAGCATCCTGGCTAACATGGTGAAACCCCATCTCTACTAAAAATACAAATAATTAGCCAGGCATGGTGGTGGGTGCCTGTAGTCCCAGCTACTTGGGAGGCTGAGACAGGAGAATGGCGTGAACCCGAGAGGCGGAGCTTGCAGTGAACCAAGATCGCACCACTGCACTTCAGGCTGGGTGACAGAGTAAGACTCCGTCTCAAAAAAAAAAATTCTTTTCATTTATATCCTATCAAAGTTTTTAAAAAATAATTCAGGCCGAGCGCGGTGACTGACACCTGTAATCCCAGCACTTTGGGAGGCTGAGGCAGGAGAATTGCTTGAACCTGGGAGACGGAGGTTGAGGTGAGCCGAGATCGTGCCATAGCACTCCAGCTTGGGCAACAAGAGTGAAACTCCGCCTCAAAAAAACAAAACAAACAAAACAAAAATAATAATTCAAACTTTGGAAAAGATAATACATTCATATGACCCAAAATGTAGAAAGAATGGGCACAGTGGAAAGTCTCCCCCAACTCTTAATCCTCCTCGACCTGGCTCCTGGCAGGTGCAGATATAGATTCTTATCCACCTCTGATTTTTTGTGTGTGAGCCACCGCCTAGCCTATCATCATCTATATTTGGTCCTGAGCCTTGGGGTTTATTTTGAGGGTACTCCGGGGCACAGAGTGGAGCTGATCACCTGCCTCTATTCATGGCCTGCTTTCATCATTGGTTTGCACAAGGGGACACTTTAAAAATTATTTATTTATATTATCAACACATGAATGAGTTAGCAAATTCAAATGATTTAGGCCGGGCGTGGTGGCTCACGCCTGTAATCCCAGCACTTTGGGAGGCCAAGGCGGGCAGATCACCTGAGGTCAGGAGTTTGAGACCAGCCTGGCCAACATGGTGAAACCCCGTCTCTACTAAAAATACAAAAATTAGCCAGGTGTGGTGGCACACACCTGTAATCCCAGCTACTCAGGAGGCTGAGGCAGGAGAATAGCTTAAACCCGGGAGGCAGAGTTTGCAGTGAGCTGAGATCGCACCACTGCACTCCAGCCTGGGCAACAGAGTGAGACTCCATCCCAGAAAAAAATATATAGATAGATAGATAGATAGATAGATAGATAGATAGATAGATAATACCAATGAACCTTTTCCTTCATAGGGTGGAGCATCTTTTCTAGAGCTCAGACCCTGAACCTCCACTGTAATGAGCTCTGTATCCTTCAGCAAGTCATCACCCTTCTCTCTGCCTCAGTTTCCTCTTCTGCAAAGTGGAGGCAATAGTGTTACCTTCCCCAAAGCGGTACCGGGAGGATGAAATGAGATCGTGCACACGCAGCTTTTAGAACTGTGCCTAGCCAGCCGGGCACAGTGGCTCACGCCTGTAATCCCAGCACTTTGGGAGGCCGAGGCAGGTGGGTCACGAGGTCAGGAGATCGAGACCATCCTGGCTAACACAGTGAAACCCAGTCTCTATTAAAAATACAAAAAATTAGCTGGGCGTGGTGGCAGGTGCCTGTAATCCCAGCTACTCTGGAGGCTGAGGAGGGAGAATCGCTTGAACCCGGGAGGTGGAGGTTGCGGTGAGCCGAGATCGCGCCACTGCACTCCAGCCTGGGCGACAGAGCGAGACTCCCTCCCCCCGCCCCCCCAAAAAAAAGAACTATGCCTAGCCCAGAGCACGTGCCTCCCAAAGCTACCTGTTCCTGTTCTCCTTACCATCTCTCGAGTATTTCAACATAGATAACTTCAGGAATCCAAAGCATTGAACACTAGGAGGAGAGAAAAAAAAAGCTTAATTCCAGAGGTTGTTCAAGAATCTATCTACCCATGGGAGGGCTGCGTTTGGTTTTCCCTCTTTGTCTCCGCCTTCTTTAAATAATGAACTGAAGTCTCTGGGTTTCTGCAGGCTGCACAAGTTGCCTAAGGCCATTGGGCCAGGGCAAACCTGGGCCATTTATTCTCCCCCTTTCAGCCTGTTCCTGTGTTTATACTACCCTGTTTAGTTTAATGCACATCCCAAGATTACCCCTAATACACATCCTCAGAAATGTTTATGGAAATTCTTTATAAGCAAACGGCTTTATTTCCCTTGAGTAGCTGCAGATACAAAGCAGCGGTCACTTTTTTTATTGACAGGCTTAAACACCTCGCGATACCCCCAGCCCCCACCCTGAGTAGATCTGTTACCCCAGCCCACCCACACATCCATCGTGGGATTCTGCAGTTATAAGAAGCCAAGACTTGCCCACTCTGGATCCATCCTAGATTCCCAGCCCCTAGCCATTGTTCCAAAGCGGGAATCTTTTTTTGTTTTGTTTTGTTTTGTTTTTCTAGAAACAGAGTCTCATGCTGTTGCCCAGACAGTGGCAGGATCAAAGCTCACTGCAGTTTCCAACTCCTGGGCTCAAGCAATGCTCCCACCTCACCTCGCTGGAACTACAGGCATGCGCCACCATGCCTGGCTAACTTTTTAAAAAAATTTTTGTAGAATCAGGTATGGTGGTTCACACCTATAATCTCAGCACTTTGGGAAGCCAAGAAGGAAGGATCACTTGAGGCCAGGAGTTCAAGACCAGTCTGGTTAATATGGCGAAACCTCGTCACTACAAAAAAATTAGCCAGGTGTGGTAGTGCACGCCTGTAGTCCAAGCTACTTGGGAGGCTAAGGTGAGAGGATCACTTGAGCCTTGGAGGTTGAGGGTGCAGTGAACTATGATAGTGCCACTGCACTCCAATGCAGGTGGCAGAGCAAGACCTTGTCTCAAAAAAAAAAAAAAATTTGTTTAGAGATGGAGTCTTGCTATGTTGCCCAGGCTGGTCTCAAACAACTAGGCTCAGATGATCATCCCAACTCAGCCTCCCAAAAAGCTGGGATCACAGGCATGACCACTGTGCCCCAAAGCAGAAATCTTGACAACTCATAGACTTTTTGTTTCTTTCCTCTGCTGGTGGTTTCGTTTGGAGAGGGGGCAGAAAAGAGAGAAGAGAACCACATATCATTTTGTGTTTGCTTCCCATCCCACCCCCGCAAAGATTTACTGGATGCCTATTAAGTGCCAGGCACTGTTCTAGGTGATGGGGATTCAGCAGTGAGCATGGGAGACCTCTCAACTATCAGATCAATTGCATTCTGGTGGTAGAGGTGGACCGTAAGCAAAACAAAGAAGTGCGTAAATAGAACTGCTGAGGGTGATTAATGCTGTGAGAATGGTAATATAAAATAATGCAATTAAGAGCTGGCCGGGTGCAGTGGCTCACGCCTGTGATCCCAGCACTTTGGGAGGCCAAGGCAGGTGGATCACAAGGTCAGGAGACCGAGACCATCCTGGCCAACATGGTGAAACCCCATCTCTACTAAAAATACAAAAATTAGCCGGGTGTGGTGGCATGCGCTTATAGTCCCAGCTACTCAGGGGGCTGAGGCAGGAGAATCGCTTGAACCCGGGAGGTGGAGGTTGGAGTGAGCTAAGATCGCACCACTGCACTCCAGCCTGAGCAACAGAGCAAGAGTCCATCTCAAAAAAAAAAAAAAAAAAAAAGAAATAGGGAATCTCGGCCAGGCATGGTGGCTCATGCCTATAATCCCAGCAATTTAGGAGGCTGAGGTGAGCAGATTGCTTGAGTTCAGGAGTTTGAGACCAGAGTGGACAACATGGCAAAACCCTGTCTCTACTAAAAACACAAAAGTTAGCTGGGCATGGTGGCTTGTGTCTCCTGTCGTTCCAGCTGCTCGGGAGGCTGAGGCACAGGAATTGCTTGAACCTGGGAGGCAGAGGTTGCAGTGGGCCGAGATCGCATCACTGCACTCCAGCCTAGGTGACAGAGCAAGACTCTGTCTCAAAAAAAAAAAAAAAGAAAAGAAAACAAACAAACAAACAAAAAAAAATGGTGGGCAAGGAAGACCTCCTTGAAGAGGTAACATTTGAGCAAAGACCTGAATGAAGTGAGGGAGAAAGTTCTTGGAAGGGTATTCCAAGCCCGGAGAACAGCAAGTGCACAGGCACTGAAGCTGGATCTGCTTGTTATATTGGAGGAAAAGCAGGAAGACCCATGTAACTAAAATCTAGTGATCCAGGGGAGAATGGTAGGAAGTCACATTGGAGAGGCAGGCAGAGACCAGATCATTAGGGCCTTGGAAGAGGGCCTTAGAACAAAGATGTGTAGATTTTGTTCTAGTTTCAATGGAAAGCCATCCAGAGTCTTACGCAGGAAAAGACATGATGGGATCCGTGTTTTGTTTTTGTTTGTTTGTTTGTTTGTTTTTGAGACGGAGTCTCGCTCTGTTGCCCAGGCTGGAGTGCAATGGTGTGATCTCTGCTTGCTGCAACCTCAGCCTCCCAGGTTCAAGCGATTCTCCTGCCTCAGCCTCCCAAGTAGCTGAGACTATAGGCGCCCGCCACCACACTTGGCTAATTTTTATATTTTTAGTAGAGACAGGGTTTCACCATATTGGCCAGGCTGGTCTCGAACTCCTGACCTTAAGAGATCTGCCCTCCTCGGCCTCCCAAAGTGCTGGGATTGCAGACGTGAGCCACCATGCCCGGCTGGGATCCATGTTTTTAAAGATCCCTTGGCTCCTGTACAGAGGATGATCTCTAGAAGGGGTGCAGTGAAAGCGGGAAAACAAGCTAAGAGGTTACTGCTTTGTTCAAGAGAGTGTCCAAGAGAGGACGGCAGGGCCGTCTCATCAGATCTAACTAATGAGATGAAGAGAAGCAATGAATTCAGAATACAGCGTGTCCTTGGAGGGGTATCCAGCAGGTTCACTGGTGGAGTGAAAGTGGCAATGATGAGAAGGATCATGGACAGCTTGAGCAACTGGGCTGGTGAGGGTGCCATTTTCCAAGATGGGTAGGATTAGAAAACGAGCCAACTGGACGGGGAAGTTTGAGATGCCTGAAGACGCTCAATGGAGTTGTTATGTGAAAGTACAACACTTTAGGTTAATAATAGCGAAAGCCCACACCGACAACATTTGCCACACGCCAGGCACGTTTTTGTGTTTGTTTGACACTCTGTCGCCCAGTCTGGAGTGCAGTGGCGCAGTCTCGGCTCACTGCAAGCTCCGCCTCCAGGGTTCATGCCATTCTCCTGCTTCAGTCTCCCGAGTAGCTGGGACTACAGGTGCCCACCACCACGCCCAGCTAATTTTTTGTATTTTTAGTAGAGACGGGGTTTCACTGTGTTAGCCAGGATGGTCTCTATCTCCTGACCTCATGATCCACCCGCCTCAGCCTCCCAAAGTGCTGGGATTACAGGCATGAGCCACAGGCATGAGCCACCGCGCCCTGCCTATGCCAGGCACTTTTTAAGCAGTCTCCCACCCCTTATTTCACAGTATCCTGCAAAGTGATTGTAAAAATATTATCCCTATTTTATTTTACTTTATATTTTAGATAGGTCTTGCTCTGTTGCCCAGGCTGGAGTGTAGTGGCACCATCACAGCTCACTGCAGCTTGACCACACAGGCTCAAGCAATCCTCCAGCCTCAGCCTCCTAAGTAGCTGGAACTACAGGCACATACCACCATGCCTGGCTTTTTTTTTGAGATGGAGTCTCGCTCTGTAGCCCAGGCTGGAGTATAGTGGCCCAATCTCAGCTCACTGCAACTTCTGCCTCCTGGGTTCAAGTGATTCTCCTGCCTCTGCCTCCCAAGGTGCTGGATTACATGTGCGAGCCACCAAGCCCAGGCTATCCCCATTTTCTAGATGATGAAACACAAACACTGAGCAGTTTAAATAATTTGCCCAAGGTGGCCGGGCATGGTGGTTCACGCCTGTAATCCCAGCACTTTGGGAAGCTGAGGCGGGCAGATCACCTGAGGTCAGGAGTTCGAGACCAGTCTGGTCAACATGGTGAAACCCCGTCTCCACTAAAAAATACAAAAATTAGCCAGGTGTGGTGGCGGGTGCCTGTAATCCCAGCTACTCAGGAGGCTGAGGCAGGAGAATCACTTGAACCCGGGAGGCAGAGGTTGCAGTGAGCTGAGATCACGCCATTGCCCTCCAGCCTGGGTGACAGAGTGAGACTCCGTCTCAAAAATGAATAAATAAATAAATAAATAATTTGCCCAAGGTGACACAACCTGGATTTAAACTCATGGATGTCGGCCTCTGCTCTGCGTTGAATTGTATCCTCCCAAAAAGGAGATGTTGGAGCTCTGAGACCCAGCACCTCAGAATGTGTTTCTACTTGGAAATAGGGTCTTTACCAAGACCCTATTCCAATAGGACTGGTGACCTGTGGGAGAAATGTGGACACAGAGACAGACAGACATAGAGGGAAGATGACGGCAGAGTCACAGGGAGAAGACGGTCATCTACGAGCCAAGGAGAGAGGCCTGGCACAGATCCTTCCCTCACAGCACCCAGAGAGCCTTCAGACAATACATCTGTGCTGTGTAAGCCGCTCCGTCTGTGGCTCTCTGTTACAGCAGCCCCAGAAAACAAATAGAGACTCTTAATTGCCAAGCCATGTTCCTCCCATAGTACGATTTCTCATCAGATAGTCTATCTTCGCTGCTAAAACAGGTATTTCTGGATGGTAGAGGTCATGTGTAGCTTGCATATTTAGTATGAGGTATGTGAAAGTCACCTCATAGATATTAAATTATTTGGCTACAGCTTTGAGCTTGGCCTCTCTCTTAAGGATTACCTTGCCATAGGGACAGGAAGCCATCGTGATATAAAGGCTGAAGTTTCTGTAAGATTTTGATTTTTAATCTAACATGATATTAACAACTGTGCCCGTTGGGCGTGATGGCTCACACCTACAATCCCAGCACTTTGGGAGGCCAAGGCGGAGGATCACTTGAGGTCAGGAGTTTGAGACCAGCCTGGCCAACATGGTGAAACCCCGTCTCTACCAAAAATACAAAAATTAGCCGGGCTTGGGGGTGCATGCCTGTAATCCCAGCTACTTGGGAGGCGAAGGCAGGAGAATTGCTTGAACCCAGGAGGTGGAGGTTGCAGTGAGCCAAGACTGTACCACTGCGCTCCAGCCTCGGCAACAGAGTGAGACTCTGTCTCAAAACAGACAAACAAACAAAATAATAACTGTACCTATACAAGGTCCCCAAGATAATTAAAAGGCTCACTTGAGCAGAGTAACTGAGGAGAGTCTTTTGGGGTTCTTTGTTTTTTTTTTTTAGAGACAGTCTCACTCTGTCGCCCAGTCTAGAGTGCAGAGGCGCAATCTTGGCTCACTGCAACCTCCGCCTCCCAGGTTCAAGAGATCCTCCTGCCTCGGCCTCTCAAAGTGCTGGGACTACAGGCACATGCCACCATGTCCGGCTGAGGAATGTTTAATAAAAGGGGTATTTACCAAGATATAAGCAAGGTATAGAGAAATCAGCAGGGTTGATGAAGCACCCCGGGGCTACCAACAACCAAAAGCCCTTCCCTCTCCAAGGCCTCCAAAGGCAGCAGGAGGGAGTGGTTATCAGAAAATGGCAAGATCCATAGGAAAAAGGCCACCCCATGGGAGCTGTGGGTTTCAGTAGAGGGACACAGCCACTGCCAGACCATGGCCAGCCAGGGAGTTAATAGCCCAGCCCCACCTTGGCCCTCCCATCTCCCACTCCTCCTTATTGGCTGAACCCAGCAAGAAACCAGATGTCACAGAACCAGGAGATGTGGTCCCCACTGCCCGGCCTCTTGGGCACAGAGGAGGGAAGAGAAAATGGAGAGTGGATCTGGAGGGGCAAATGAAGTATTAATATTCTGTACACTCAGAATGTCCACAGAGTGAACACTGGCTTGCCGGCTGACCCCATTTCTTGAAAATCATCCTATCCCTGCAGGTTATTTATGTTGTTACCCTTTTGCAAGAACCACATAAAATATTTTACATGCTTTTAAAACTCATAAATGTAATGAAGCCAAGATGTTTCAGCAAATGTGCTCAATGGGCAAATCCTTCCAAAGATCTGCTCTCAGCTGACGTCAGGACAAAAGGCACATCTCACGACCTGCAGAGCGTCTGACGTTAAAGCCAATAAATTCATCCCCCTGACCCACATGGCTTCCAGAATGTACAAGCTGTCAGTGGATCTTAAAAATGTATCTATTCCTTCATTCACTTCCTGCCGTTCGTCTCTTGCAAGTATTTACTGCTCTTTAAAAACTGAACTCCACCAGCTGGAAATGCATTAGTGCAGGGAGATGGCTGTACTTTGTTCCGGCAGGAATTGTGCATGCAACTTCCAATCTGACTTTTCTGAGACATTAATAAAAACACATGCGTCCTGAAATTTGGGTTGATAATCTTTGGGGGCTCAGTGTAAAAACCAGTAAGAGTTTTAGCACAAAGCCTGGCATTCAAAAAGAGAAGCTGGGCCGGGCGCGGTAGCTCCCGCCTGTAATCCCTGCACTTTGGGAGGCCGAGGCGGGCGGATCAGGAGGTCAGGAGATTGAGACCATCCTGGCTAACACGGTGAAACCCCGTCTCTACTAAAAATACAAAAAAAAATTAGCCGGGCTTGGTTGCAGGCGCCTGTAGTCCCAGCTACTCGGAAGGCTGAGGCAGGAGAATGGCCTGAACCCGGGAGGCAGAGCTTGCAGTGAGCCGAGATCGTGCCACTGCACTCCAGCCTGGGCGACAGAGCGAAACTCCGTCTCAAAAAAAAAGAGAGAAGCTTGACTGGAATTTGAATATGTATCGTGTGTCAAGCATGGCTCTAGCCTTTTACATGTGATAATCACATTCATCCTCCTAATAGATGTACAATGCAGGTGTTATTATCCCCATTCTACAGATGGGTAAGTGAGGCCCAGAGGGAGCTGAACCAACATGACTGGTGCCAGAAAGATTGCAGAGGGGAGAGCTAGCAGTCAATTCCAGGCTGTGTAATTTCAGAGGGTACTCTTAACCTCTATGCCTCTGTAAATGAACAATATTCTTGAAGCCAGGCGCAGTGGCTCATGCCTGTAATCCCAGCACTTTGGGAGGCCAAGGCGGGCAGATCACCTAAGGTCAGGAGTTTGAGACCAGCCTGACCAACATGACAAAACTCCATCTCTACCAAAAATACAAAAATTATCTGGGTGTGGCAGTGCAGGCCTGTAGTCCCAGCTACTAGGGAGGTGAGGCAGGAGAATCGCTTGAACTCAGGAGGCAGAGGTTACAGTGAGATGAGATCATGCCTCTACACTCCAGCCTTGGCAGCGAAGAATATTCTTGAAAAGTATAGTTTAGGTCAATAGCATGTGTAGACAGATACGGGTTTGAGTATTTGATAAATGAGTATCGATGATCTCTCTCTCTCTCTCTTGCTCTCTCTCTCTTGCTCTCTTGCTCTCTCTCTCTTGCTCTCTCTCTTGCTCTCTCTCTCTCTCTCTTTTTCTTTCTCTCTTTCTTTCGTGACAGAGTCTCACTCTGTCACCCAGACTGGAGTGCAGTGGCACAATCTCGGCTCACTGCAACCTCCACCTCCCAGGTTCAAGCAATTATCCTGCCTCAGCCACTTGAGTAGCTGGGACTTTTCTGTATTTTCGGGAAAGACGGGGTTTCACAGTGTTGTCCAGGCTGGTCTGGAACTCCTGACCTCAAGTGATCTGCCTGCCTCGGCCTCCCAAAGTGCCGGGACTACAGGCGGGAGCCACTGCGCCTGGCTCTTTTTCTTTTTTTTACCCTCCGACCCTCGATATCTGATGATGGAATATCTTGAGCCTCAGTCTTCAGGTCTACAGCTCGGGCTGAAATGAAGTTCTGATCCATGAGTACACCCAACACCCTAAGTTCTGGGTACCCGCTGGGTGCCTGGCACTCCAGCAGGCACTGAAAATACACATTTGGGTAAGATGGATGTGGCCTCTGCTTGGATGGTACCTGTAGTCTGGAGCAAGAAAGAGGTCTTAGCCAATCTCACAGATAAAAAATAGTAACTTCAACAAATGCTATTGGAGAAGTGCCCAGCTCTCCAAGGGTCCTGTGTGAGGGAACCTGACCTAGTTGGGGAGAAAGAAGAGACAAGACTGAAGACAGATGCCTGAGCTAGGGGTGAAGATTGAGTCATTAACAAGATCAGGGAAGGGGCCAGTCTTGGTGACTCATTCCCGTAATCCCAGCATTTTGGGAGGCTGAGGCGGGAGGATAGCTTCAGCCCAGGAGTTCGAGACCAGCCTACGCAACAAAGCAAGACCCCATCTCTACAAAAAAAAAAAAAAAAAAAAAAAAAAAAAAATCAGGCCAGGCGCAGTGGCTTATGCCTGTAATCCCAGAACTTTCGGAGGCCAAGGCAGGCAGCTCACCTGTGGTCAGGAGTTCAAGACCAGCCATGTCCAACATGGTGAAACCCTGTCTCTACTAAAAATACAAAAATTAGCCAGGCATGGTGGCGGACACCTGTAATCTCAACTACTTAGGAGACTGAGGCAGGAGAATCACTTGAACCCGGGAGGCAGAGGTTGCAGTGAGCTAAGATCGCTCCACTGTACTCCAGCCTAGACAGCAGAAGGAGAGTCTGTCTCAAAAAAACAAACAAAAAATCAGGGGCCGGGGGTGTGGTGGCAGATGTCTGTAATCCCAGCACTTTGGGAGGCTGAAGCAGGTTGATTACTTGAGGTCAGGAGTTCGAGACCAGCCTGGCCAACATGGTGAAACCCCATCTCTACTAAAAATACAAAAATTAGCCATGCTTGCTCACTTGAACCCAGCAGGTGGAGGTTGCAGTGAGCTGAGATCGTGCTATTGCACTCCAGCCTGGGTGACAGAGTGAGACTCTGTCTCAAAATAATAATAATAATAATAATAATCAGGCAAGGCACAGTATTTCAGGCAGGGAGAATAGCAGGTGCAAAGGCCCTATGGTAAAGGAGAGGGTCTGAATGGAAGGTAATAGGAGGATACCGTTACCTATGTGGTAGTCAGGGAAGAGCTCTGAAAAATGGACAGGAGAGCAGAGACCCAGATAAAGCGAGGGACTGAGCCACGTGGATCTCTGCAGCAAAAATATCCTAGGGAGAGAGGAAAGTGAGGCAAAGGCAGGAGCCTGGTGGGAGGACTCAGGGAAAAGCCAGGGAGCCAGGGGGCCAGAGCAGAAGTGGGAACAGGGCTGAGAAAGGAAGTGAAACCAGAGAAGCAGCAGGGGACCGGCCCAGCACGGAGGGTTTCCAGGGCCTGGGAAGGCCTTGGGCTTTGCTCCTGGTCCCCAGCTTCTCTCCTCCTGTTAACGGATGTCCCTCCAAAAACCAATCCCGCCGCCTCCTAGCCCTGCCTGCCACCTCAGAACCTTCCTTACTCCTGATCCCCCATGAATATGCAAGCTTTCCTTTTGAATTACATCCTTCCCTTCAGCACTTATAATCTCTCCCATCTTTAAAACAAAAACAAAACCCTCCCTTGGCCACCATCCGTCTAGCAACTGCCCGGTCTCTCTCCTCCCTTAACAGCCTCCCTTAGCAAAAGGTGCAGGTCCACTTATTTCTCATTTCCCCTCCATTGATGTCTCCTGTCCCTGGAAGCGGCCCCCCAGTGTGCTTCATGACTCTCATCCCTTCTCTCAAATCCAACAGCCCTTTTCCCAGCCCTGACGTTGATCTCTCAGCAGCATCAAGATACTAAGGAGTGTGGATAAGTCCTGCTTTCCAGAGAGAGCCCTCAGGTAACCATCACTCACCCCTTTGGGCTACTCCCATTTCTTTTTTTTTTTGAGACGGAGTCTTGCTCTGTCCCCCAGGCTGGAGTGCAATGGCGCCATCTCAGCTCACTGCAACCTCTGCCTCCTGGGTTCAAGTGATTCTCCTGCCTCAGCCTCCTGAGTAGCTGGGATTATAGGCATGCGCCACCATGCCCAGCTAATTTTGTGTATGTTTAGTAGAGACAGAGTTTCACCATATTGGTCAGGCTGATCTCAAACTCCTGACCTCAGGTGATCCACCCACCTCAGCCTCCCAAAGTGCTGGGATTACAGGTATGAGCCACTGCGCCCAGCCTACTCCCATTTCTTAATGGCTCTTTCTCTGTCTTCGACCTATGACCACACTCCCCTGCGGCACCAAGGCAGACCCAAGGACATTGTCACTTCTTTTTTTTTTTTTTTTTTTTTTGTGATGGAGTTTCACTTTGTCGCCCAGGCTGGAGTGCAGTGGCATGATCTCGGCTCACTGCAACCTCCGCCTCCCAGGTTCAAGCAATTCTCCTGCCTCAGCCTCCCAAGTAGCTGGGATTACAGGCGCCCACCACCACGCCTGGCTAATTTTTGTACTTTTAGTAGAGACGGGGTTATACCATGTTGGCCAGGCTGGTCTCAAACTCCTAACCTCAGGTGATCCTCTCACCTTGGCCTCCCAGAGTGCTAGGATTGCAAGCATGAGCCATCGTGCCCAACCAACATTGTCACTTCTTACTAGATACTCTCTCCCCAGGCATCTCCTCCTGCAGCCCCCACACCATCCATGAACCAGCATCTTCCCAAGTCCTGTCTCCACCCCAGACATCTCTTGTGAAGTCCAATGACCTCAAGCAATCCCGCGGGATTTGCTTCTTCAGCAATAGTGGCTGCTGTGAGTGGAGCCCTGTTCTAAATGCTGGGATCCAGAAGTGAGAGAAACAGTTCAAATTCCCAGCTCCTGCAGTTCTAGAGGAAAAGAGAGACAAACAAATAAGTAGAGAATGTGATGTTGGGTATGGAACTTTCTTCTATGACAACAATAGAGCAGGAAAAGTGAGCTCCAGCGACGGAAGCGCCCGTCCACTGCGGGGCCACAGTGTCCGTGATCGGGGGTGCTCCCTGGCTGCCGGATTGCACTGTGGATCTCAGTACTTACAGAGCAGGAAAAGTGAGCTCCAGCAATGGAAGCGCCCATCCATTGCGGGGCCACAGTGTCTGTGATCGGGGGTGCTCCCTGGCTGCCGGATTGCACTGTGGATCTCAGTACTTGCAGCACATAGTAGGTGTTCAGGAAATATCTGTTGGACAAGGATCAATCTTGTAGTATTATCAGGAGAAATATAAGAGATACAGTGTCTATGCAATGTCTTCCACTAAGAAGAAGGATGATACAAGATGGTTCAATCAAATGTATTGTTTATTTTTTGATGATAAATATTTTGTATTAACATAATAAATACTTACACAAGCATTTTTTTTTTTTTTTTGAGACAGAGTTTTGCTCTTGTTGCCCAGGCTGGAGTGCAAAATGGCGTGATCTCAGCTCACCACAACCTCCACCTCCTGGGTTTAAGCGATTCTCCTGCCTCAGCCTCCCAAGTAGCTAGGATTACAGGTGCCTGCCACCATGCCTGGCTAATTTTGTATTTTTAATAGACAAGGGGTTTCTCCATGTTGGTCAGGCTGGTCTCGAACTCCCGACCTCAGGTGATTCGCCGCCTCAGCCTCCCAAAGTGCTGGGATTACAGGTGTGATATGCAAGCATTTTGTAAATATGATGATGATGATGATATTCATCATTGTTCCTATAGTGCTCTTAGTTTCGTTTTCCCAAGTGGTAGCACGCACATGACCTCATCAGATGCTTTGAATAGGTGTCTATGTTAGGTGAAGATAGCCACCGAGGGAGGTTTTACGGACTGGGTGGAGCAGTGTTGTTGGGCAATGTGGTCCAGGTGTGTAAGACAGGCTGCCACCCCCTCTCCCCACTTGGTGATTACAAAGCAACATCTGCTGGTACCAAGACAGTCATAATCTCTCTCTCTCTCTCTCTCTCTGTGTTTTTGTTTGTTTGAGATGGAGTCTCACTCTGTCTCCCAGGCTGGAGTGCAGTGGTGCGATCTCGGATCACTGCAACCTCCGCCTCCCAGGTTCCAGAGTTTCTCCTGCCTCAGCCTCCCAAGTAGCTAGGATTATAGGCACCCACCACCACGCTCAGATAATTTTTTGTATTGTTAGTAGAGATGGGGTTTCACTATGTTGGCCACGCTGATCTCGAACTCCTGACCTCAGTTGATCCACCCACCTTGGCCTCCCAAAGTGCTGGGATTACAGGCGTGAGCCACCGCAACCAGCCTGTTTTTTTTTTTTTTTTAAAGACAAGGGGCTGGCTCTGTCACCCAGGCTGGAGCGCAGCAGTGAGATCACAGCCTTGAACTCCTGAAGTCAATGGATCCTCCCACCGCAGATTCCCGAGAAGCTGGGACTACAAGCATGCGCCACCATACCCAGTTAATATTTTTAAAAATTTTTTTGTAGGCTGGGCACGGTGATAGAGACAAGGGTTTCACTATATTGCCCAGACTTGTCTTGAACTCCTGGCCTCCGGTGATCCTCCTGCCTGGGCCTCCCAAAGTGCTTACAGGTGTAAGCCACCGCACCAGGCCCAAGAAGGCCATGATCTCTGAAGGAGGTCAGGTGTCACCTTCTCAGAGCAGCCTCCCTAACCATTGGGTCCAAAGTCTTCTCCCCACTGTCAACTTCATGGGGTCTGTGCTCAGAAGGGCATCATGCTTGGCTGAACACTCTGCTGTTAGCATCTTGCATTTCTTTTTTTTTTTTTTTTTTTTTTTTGAGACTGAGTCTTGCTCTTTCGCCTAGGCTGGAGTGCAGTGGCGCGATCTTGGCTCACTGCAAGCTCCGCCTCCCAGGTTCCCGCCATCCTCCTGCCTCAGCCTCCCAAGTAGCTGGGACTACAGGCGCCCGCCACCACGCCTGGCTAATATTTTGTATTTTTAGTAGAGACGGGGTTTCACCGTGTTAGCCAGGATGGTCTCGATCTCCTGACCTTGTGATCCACCCTCCTCGGCCTCCCGAAGTGCTGGGATTACAGGTGCGAGCCACCACGCCCGGCTTGGAGTCCTTATTTTCATTTTGCACTGGGCCTAACTAATTATATAGCAGGCCCTACCCCAACTTGCTAGGCTCCCTCTCAATTAGAGAGGTAGGAACTGGAAGGACCAGATGGAAGGTGGTTTCACCCAAGCTTCTGGGGAGCGATGGGGGTGAGGCAGGGAATGGCATCCTTGAGGTCTGTCTCGAGGTTGCCTTCCATCTTGCCCTCTTCATTTTCTTCTCCACAAGCATCTAGGGCACTCTTTTCCAGGGTGAATCAGGTCACCTCCCTCCCCAGCTTAAAGCCCCCATCACTTAGAATGAAATTCAAATCACAGGCAGGGCCTACAAGGCCCCTGTGATCTGGTCCCACCCACCCCTAACCTCAACTTCTCCCACCTTTTTTTTCTTGGCTGTACACCAAGGACAGTAGCTTCATTTTTGATGCCTCAAAGCTCCTTCCTACCTCAGGGCCCTTGGTGTTTTCTAGAACATCCTTCCTGTAGCTCTACAGGTCTCTGCTCCAAGGGGGCACCCATGAACATCTCATCTGGCCTCCACCTGCAGTCTCTCCCTAATTCTATTATCTTGTTATTCCCTTACAACTCCTGTAACAATTTTGCATTTCTTATTTTATTTTATTTTTTTTCTGAGATGGAGTCTAGCCCTGTTGCTCAGTGCTAGACAGTTGATCATGCAATGGTGTGATTGCGGCTCACTGCAACTTCTGCCTCCCAGGTTCAAGCGATTCTCATGCCTCAGCCTCCCCAGTAGCTGAGATTACAGGTGCGTGTCACCATGCCCGGCTAATTTTTGTATTTTTAGCAGAGTTGGGGTTTTACCAAGCTGGCCAGGCTGGTCTCAAACTCCTGACATCAGGTGATCTGCCTGCTTCGGCCACCCAAAGTGCTACAGGTGTGAGCCACTGTGCCCAGCCAATTTTTTTATTATTTTATTTTATTTTTAGAGACATAGTCTTGCTCTGTCATCCATGCTGGACTGCAATGGCACAATTTTGGCTCACTGCAACTTCTGCCTCCTGGATTCAAGCTATTCTCCTGCCTCCCAGTAGCTGGGATTACAGACACTCACTACCAGTCCCATCTAATTTTTTGTATTATTAGTAGAGATAGGGTTTTGCCACGTTGGCCATGGTTGGTCTCGAACTCCTGACCTCAAGTGATCCACCCGTCTCAGCCTTCCAAAGTGCTGGGATTACAGGTGTGGGCCACCATGCCTGGCCTATTTTATTTGTGTATTGTTTGCTTGTTTATTGTCTGTCTTTCTCCCTGGACTGTGAGCTCCATGAGGCAGGACCTCCTTTGCTGAATCTCAGAGGTAGAGCCTCGAGGGCCCTGTGGGTAGCATGAAGACACAAATGGCCAACCGGCAGTAGACAGGTTGATGCAAAGCCTAGACCCAGTGCTGGAGGAGGCAATGCCCTGGGATGGAGCACAGCTTCTTTCAATCCCAATTTCTGCATATGTGAAAAGGGAATGATAAAATTACTTCTCAGAGTTGGAAGGACAATTACATAAGGGACCCAGCACAGTGTTTCAAATGTAGTTGGAACCAGATAATTACTGGACTTGCCTGATTAACTCTTCTCAGAGGACCAGCTCCTCAGAATCTTCTCCCCAGTCCCCCAAATCCCACATTCATTTCTTTTATGTTCCCTATAAAAATATTCCAGAGGTATACAGGTCTTTTAGTGAAGCTGTGGAATTTTCCATCGGGGGTCAGATACTGAGGACAATGGTGAAATTACCCAGCTTCAGTGATCATTCCCAGGGTTTATGTGGAGCTAGTCAACTCACCTCCAGCAACATTTCTGGAAATGAACTCACTGCTTCTGCTCCTCCTCCCCCGATAAGCTCTCTGCCTTGGTGAAAGATGTGGAGATTTCTAGCACCCTCACTCCCACCAACTTCACATCCTCCTCCACTTCACCTACCCACTCATTCATTCACTCACTCACTCATTCATTCAATAGCTAACCTTTGTTTTTTGTTATTTATTTATTTATTTTGAGATGGAGTTTCACTCTTTCGCCGAGGGTGGAGTGCAGTGGCACGATCTCAGCTCACTGCAACCTCTGCCTCCTGGGTTCAAGCGATTCTCCTGCCTCAGCCTCCCGAGTAGCTGGGATTACAGGCATGCGCCACCACGCCTGGCTAATTTGTGTATTTTTAGTAGAGACGTGGTTTCGTCATGTTGGCCAGGCTGGTCTCGAACTCCTGACCTCAGGTGATCCACCCTCTTCAGCCTCCCAGACTGCTAGGATTATAGGTGTGAGCCACTGTGCCTAGCCAACATTTGTTTAATATCTTTTGCGTGACAGCGCAGGGCTGGAATCATAGCTAGCTTGTTTTGAAGTCCTGTGAATTAGGTGTCAATGATGATAATAATATCAACAATAATATCGGACATTTATTGAGCATTTCCTCCACCGAGAGATATGTGAATATAATACGGAGGTTGGCACACTCTTTCTGTAAAGGAACAGACAGAAATATTTTAGGGGCCGGGCATGGTGGCTCATGCCTGTAATACCAACACTTTGGCAGGCCAGGGCGGGAGGATGGCTTGAGCCCAGGAGTTCAGCTTTGGCAACATGATAAGACATTGTCTCTACAGAAAAATTAGGCCAGGCTGGGCGCGGTGGCTCACTCCTGTAATCCCAGTACTTTGGGAGGCTGAGGTGGGCAGATCACGAGGTCAGGAGATTGAGAACATCCTCGCTAACACGGTGAAACCCCGTCTCTACTAAAAAATACAAAAAATTAGCCAGGCATGGTGGCGGGTGCCTGTAGTCCCAGCTACTTGGGAGGCTGAGACAGGAGAATGGCGTGAACCCGGGAGGCGGAGCTTGCAGTGAGCCGAGATTGTGCCACTGCACTCCAGCCTGGGCGACAGAGCGAGACTCCGTCTCAAAAAAAAAAAAAAAAAAAAGAGAAAAGAAAAATTAGGCCAGGCTCAGTGACTCACACCTGTAATCCCAGCACTTTGGGAGGCCAAGGTGGACAGATCACTTGAGGTCAGGAGTTTGAGAACAGCCTGGTCAACATGGTGAGACCCCGTCTCTATTAAAACTACAAAAATTAGCCTGGCATGGTGGTGTGCACCTGTAATCCCAGCTACTTGGGTGGCTGAGGCAGGAGAATCAGGCTTAAACCTGGGAGGAGGAGGAGGTTCTAGTGAGCCAAGATGGCACCACTGCATTCCAGCCTGGGCAACAGAGTGAGACTCTGCCTCAAAAAAATAAAAATAAAAAATTAGGCCAGGCACAGTGGCTCACACCTGTAATCCCAGCACTTTGGGAGGCAGAGGCGGGCAGATCACCTGAGGTCAGGAGTTTGCAACCAGCCTGGCCAATATCGTGAAACCCCGTCTCTACTAAAAATACAAAAATTAGCCAGGCGTAGAGGTGGGTGCCTGTAGTCCCAGCTACTCAGGAAGCTGAGGCAGGAGAATCGTTTGAACCTGGGAGGCAGAGGTTGCAGTGAGCCAAGATCGTGCCACTACACTGCATCCTGGGCAACAGAGCGAGACTCCGTCTAAAAAAACAACAAAAAAAAATTAGCCACGCACGGTAGTGTGCCTATAGTCTCACTACATGGTAGGCTGAGGTAGGAGAACCGCTTAAGCCCAGGAGGTTGAGACTGCAGAACCATGTTTGTGCCACTGCGCTCCAGCCTGAGTGATGGAGTGACACCCTATCTCAAAAAAGAAAGTAAGAAAGAAAGAAAGAAAGAGAGAAAGAGAGAAAGGAGAAAAGGAAAGAAGGAGAGGAAGGAAAGAAGGAAGGAAGGAAGGAAAGGGAAGATTTTAGGTTTTACAGACCAAGAGGCACAATCAAGAATATGATGTAGGTACACAAGTGAGAAAACAAATTTTCACAAATTTGCAATTGATGAAATTCAAAATATAATAACAATTTAATTTTCTCCTAATATAGGTCTACTAATGAGAAGAATGGAATTCTTTTAGAGGGGATGACATGTTGGTTAACTGGGATTCAAAGTAAATGTTCATCATCAAATAGATTGAAATGTTCATCTCTAAAGCCCACTGTTAGCTCGAAGGTCATACAAAGACAAGTGGTGGGCTGGATTTGGCTCAGGGGCTGACACCCAGTATGGTCCTGAGGCGGTGGCCTAGTTCTATAGCTGAATCTTGGTCATTACTTTCTATACCTCAAAGTTCTCATCTGGAAAATGCATCTGTTAATAATAGTAATTATCCCATGGGGTAAACGATTAGATACAAGCAAAGTGGTTCGGACAGCGTCTGGTCCTACGTGACCAATTCTATAAAGCCCTTCTTTTTTTTTTTTTTTTTTTGGAGACAGAGTCTCGCTCTGTAGCCTGGGCTGGATCCAGGCTGGAGTACAGTGGCGTGATCTTGGCTCACTGCTACCTCTGCCTCTCGGGTTCAAGTGATTCTCCTGCCACAGCCTCCCGAGTAGCTGGGATTACAGGAGCGCACCACCACGCCCAGCTAATTTTTGTATTTTTAGTAGAGACGGGGTTTCACCATGTTGGCCAGGCTGGTCTTGAACTCCTGACCTTGTGATCCACCCACCTCGGCCTCCCAAAGTGCTGGGATTACCGGCGTGAGCCACCGCGCCCGGCCCATAAACCTGTTTCTTATCTGACCCAATCCTCAGCCCTGTCACCGACCCCCAACACTTCCTCAGTGTCTTCTGGTTCGTCATGGCAAAGTCTCCTTTATCCTCACTTTTTTTTTGGAATGTTCTTGCCCTAATTGGCCCTTGGTTCTCCCCTGGGGACACTGCTTCTCCCCCAGCTCTCTCCAGGGGCTCTGTTTCCCTCTGTCACCCTGGTGCACTGACTGGAGTTGGGCTAAGTGAGTTTCTTGCCTCTTGAGGCCTCAATTATCCATTCTTCCTCCCCAAAGCATTCAGCTGAGACTCAGAAGCTCAGACTCACCTGTTCTTGTCTATGCCCCCTCCTCATTGCCTCTTCTGCAGACCCGAGAGCCTACTCCTCAGTTCCTAAAGACACTGTCACCCGACTGTCTTGCTCACCTACAATACTTCTTGACATTTTCAGTATTTGGTAAGATGACCCTTTGATACCTCAGCTGCTCAGCTCCTTGTCCTCCTCTCCATGAGGCTCCTGTCATCCACCCCACCTGAGCAGGTGCTCCATACCCTCATCCTTTCCAGCCACGACATCGGCTCCACCATCTCAATTTCAAGCATCTTTTCCTCCGACTATCCCCTAAAATCTTTCTGGCTTTGTCCCTTTGGGACCCCAAGTCCAACAATCGCTTGATTTTCCCCCAACCTCCATGCTCACAAACCTGTTTTACTCCTCTTCACTTCTTCCTGCTCTGCCTCTCTTACCAGGCCTTGAGTCTAGGGTCCATCATTGTAATCCCCCACATTCAGCCTCAGTGCCCCTGTTCTTTTATTCTCTGTTGTACTTGCTTGGCTAAACCCCATTCCTTTTCAATCCAACTCTTAGTCCATTCTGCACTTGGACAGGTACCACTGAAAATGTCTGAGGGAAAAAAAAAAGCACTACCACAGCTAACTGGTTTCCCTTCAAATGCATGACCATAGCCAGGTGCCGAACCTCATGCCTGTCATCCCAGGACTTTGGCAAGAGGACCACTTGAGGCCAGGAGTTCAAGACCAGCCTGAGCAACATAGCGAGACCCTGTCTCTACAAAAAATAAAAAAATTAGCCAGGTGTGGTGTTGTGCACCTGTAGTCCCAGCTACTCAGGAGGCTAAGGATGGAGGATTGCTTGAGCCTGGGAGGTGGAGGCTGCCGTGAGCCATGATCGCACCACTCCAACCTGAGCAACAGAGCAAATCCCTCTGAAAAAAAAAATATATAAATATCTATTTAAATATATATATATATATATATATATATATATATATATATATATATAATTTTAAGAAAAATGAAGAAATAGGCCGGGCGTCCACTCACGCCTGTAATTCCAGCACTTTGGGAGGTCAAGGTGGGCAGATTACCCAAGGACAGGACTTCAAGACCAGCCTGACCAACATGGTGAAACCCCGTCTCTACTGAAAATACAAAATTAGCTGAGGCAGGAGAATGGTGTGAACCCAGGAGGCGGAGCTTGCAGTGAGCCGAGATGGCACCACTGCACTGCAACCTGGGCAACAGAGAGAGAGACTCTGTCTCAAAAAAAAAAAACAAAAAAACAAAATTAGCTGGGCGTGGTGGCACAGGCTTGTAATCCCAGCTACTCGGGAGGCTGAGGCAGGAGAATCGCTTGAACCCGGCAGGCAGAGGTTGCAGTGAGCCGAGATCATGCCATTGCACTCCAGTCTGGGCAATGAGAGTGAAACTCCATCTCAAGAAAAAGAAAAGAAAGAAAAGAAAAGAAGAAAAGAAAAGAAAAGAGGGAGGGAGAGAAGGAAGGAAAGAAGGAACAAAGGAAAGAAGGAGGGAAGGAGAGAGAAGAAGGAGGGAAGGAAGGAAGGAAAGAAGGAAGGAAGGAAGAGAAAAGAAAAAGAAAAGAAAGAAGAAAGAAAAGAAAGAAGAAAGAAAGAAAAGAAAGAAGAAAGAAAAAGAAGAAAGGAAGAAAGAAAGAAGAAAAGAAAAGAAAGAAAGAAAGAAATGCATGAGCGCCCACATGGACCCAGCCACCCCACTACATTTCCCTCCTTCATTCTTTCTCTTTCTCTCCTGGAAGACTTTTACCCCTTTCTTTCTCTCTTCTAACACTCAGCATCCTCTTCCCTTCCTTACTCTTGTTTCTAATTTCACTAATGTAATAGACACAATAGAGGCAATCAGTAGTGAACTCCCACACATTCCCAAGCTAAATTAACCTACCTGCCTTGAACTGCACCCAACTATTCTGCCTTCCCTGCTATTGCAGCGGATGAACTATGTTACCATGTCATAGGCCAGCACTCCATCTCTTCCTTTTTTAAAGAATTTTTAAAAATTTTTAAATAAAATATAAAAGGCTCATGCCTATAATCCCAGCACTTTGGGAGGCCAAGGTGGGCGGATCACTTGAGGCCAAGAGTTAAAGACCAGCCTGGACAAACCGCGTCTGTACCAAAAACTACAAAAAAAGTAGCCAGGCTTGGTGGCACGTGCCTGTAATCCCAGCTACTCAGGAGGCTGAGGCAGGAGAATCACTTGCACCCGGGAGGCAGAGGTTTCAGTGAGCTGATATGCGCCACTGCAGTCCAGCCTGGGCAATAGAGTAAGACTCTGTCTGAAAACTAAAATAAAGTAAAATAAAATAGGCTAGGTGCGGTGACTCGTGCCTGTAATTCTAGCACTTTGGAAGGCCAAGGTGAACAAATCACTTAAGGTCAGGAGTTCGAGACCAGCCTGGCCAACATGGTGAAACCTCATCTCTGCAAAAAATATAAAAATTAGCTGGGTGTGGGCCGGGCGTGGTGGCTCACGCTTGTAATCTCAGCACTTTGGGAGGCTGAGGCGGGCAGATCATGAGGTCAGGAGACCAAGACCGTCCTGGCTAACACAGTGAAACCTCGTCTCTACTAAAAATACAAAAAAATTAGCCAGGCGTGGTGGCGGGTGCCTGTAGTCCAAGCTACTCGGGAGGCTGAGGCAGGAGAATGGCATGAACCCGGGAAGGTGGAGGTTGCAGTGAGCCGAGATCCCGCCACTGTACTCCAGCCTGAGCAGCAGAGTGAGACTCCGTCTCAAAAAAAAAAAAAAAAAAAAAAAAAAAAAAGGCCAGGCGCGGTGGCTCATGCCTGTAATCCCAGCAATTTGGGAGGCTGAGGTGGGTGAATCATGAGGTCAGGAGATCAAGACCATCCTGGCTAACATGGTGAAACCCCGTCTCTACTAAAAATACAAAAAAATTAGCCGGGCATGGTGGCGGGCGCCTGTAGTTCCAGTTACTCGGGAGGCTGAGGCAGGAGAATGGCGTGAACCTGGGAGGCAGAGGTTGCAGTGAGCCGAGATTGCGCCATTGCACTCGAGCCTAGGTGACAGAGTGAGACTCTGTCTCAAAAAACAAAATAAATAAATAAAAAATTAGCTGGGTGTGGTGGTGCACGCCTATAATCCTGGCTACTGGCGAGGCTGAGGCAGAAGAATTGCTTGAACCCGGGGGGCAGAGGTTGCAGTGAGCCGAGATTGCGCCATTGCACTCGAGCCTAGGTGACAGAGTGAGACTCTGTCTCAAAAAAATAATAATAAAATAAATTGAGACACAGTCACCTTATGTTGCCCAGGCTGGTCTCGAATTCCTGGGCTCAAGGGATCTCCCTGCCTCGGCCCCCCGAGTTGCTGTGACTACAGGCATGAGCAGCCACCATGCCCAGCTCTTTCCTACTTTCCTGAGATCACTACAGATGAACCAACTTACAATGGTTCAATTTAAGATTTTTCAATTTTACAGTGGTACAAGGGCAATTAGTACATTCAGTAGAAACTGTACTTCAAGTACTCACAACCATTTTGCTTTTCAGTTTAGTACAGTATTCAATAAATTACATGAGCTATTTAACATTTTATTATAAAATAGGCTTTGTGTTAGATGACTTTGCCCAACTGTGGACTAATGTAAGTGTTTTGAGCATGTTGAAGGTACGCTAAACTGTAATGTTTGGTAGGTTAGGTGTATTCAATGCATTTTTTTTAAGACAGTCTCTCTCTGTCACTCAGGCTGGAGTGCAGTGGCGTGATCTCAGCTCACACCAACCTCTGTCTCCCAGGTTCAAGCAATTCTCGTCCCTCAGCCTCCAAAGTAGCTGGGATCACAGGTGTGCGCTACCAAGCCTGACTATTTTTTTTTTTTTGAGACGGAGTCTCGCTCTTTCTTGTTGCCCAGGCTGGAGTACAGTGGCACAATCTCGGCTCACTGCAAGCTCTGCCTCCTGGGTTCAAACAATTCTCCTGCCTCAGCCTCCCAAGTAGCTGGGATTACAGGTGACCACCACCACGTCCAGCTAATTTTTGTATTTTTAGTAGAGACGGGGTTTCACCATGTTATCCAGGCTGGTCTTGAACTCCTGACCTCGTGATCCACCTGCCTGGGCCTCCCAAAGTGCTGGGATTACAGGCGTGAGCCATTGAGCCTGGCCAAGCCTGACTAATTTTTGTATTTTTAGTAGAGACGGAGTTTTGCCATGTTGGCCAGGCTGGTCTCAAACTCCTGGCCTCAAGTGATCCACCCGCCTAGGCCTCTAAATGCATTTTCAGTTTATTATATTTTCAACTTACAGTGGGTTTATCGGGACGTAAACCCATCAGAAGTCAAGGAGCATCTGTACTCTGTAATTGTTCCCTTTCTCTCCTGCATCATCAACATTTCCTCTTCCCTCGGATCCTTCCAACGTCATCCAGCACTTGCTATGTTATCTCCCTCACACTCATATTCACCCTGATGCTCCCCACTCCCCACTCACCATGAGACAGTTTTAAAAGAATTGACCCTAAAGAGTTCGCCATCTCCTCTCATCCTTCCCCAACCCTCTCCAATCAGCTGTTGCCCCTAGGTATCCCCAGGCATCTTCTTAATGACTAGTTGTCTCTGTGTTGCCAAACCCAACACTCAGTTCCAATGCTTGTCTGCCTTGACACATCAGTGTCATGTTTGGACAGTGAGTCCCTGCCTCCCTGTGAAGCACGTTCCTCTCTTGGCTTCCTGGACTGCTCTCTCTGTCATCCTGATTCACTGGCTGCTCTTTCTCTGCACCTATGTATTTTTCTCCTCAACTTCCCTCCTGTAAACCCAGGAGTTCCCCAGGCCTCATCCTTGCTCTTTTCTCTTCCCTATCTCCATTCACTGCCTAGATGATCTCAGCCAGTTTCTCGGCTTCAAAAACCATCTCATACTGATGTCAACAGCCTGCTGGTCCTTGCCTCTGAACTTTAGACTGGTGTCTCCAACTGTTGATCTAACTTTTCCACTTGAATGTCTAATTGGCAAATCAAACCTAACATGTTCCAAACGAGTTCTGAAGCACCCCCTCTGCCAAATCTACGTCTCCCACAGCCTTCCCTATTTCTCTACCTGGTACCTGCAACCTTTTGGATGCTCAGGCTGAAAATCTAGGCGTCATCCTTGACCCCTGTGTCTTATACCTGCATCCGATCAGTTTGCAAGTTCTATCAGCCACATGATCACAATGAATTCCCCACATCTCTGTTTTATCTCTCCCACCCCTGCCACTTCCACCTTGGTCCAAGCTCCATTTTCTCATTCCTGGACTACTGCAAGAGCGTCCTCACTGCTCTCCCCACATCCATCCTATCCCCCACCTACTTGGGTCTATAACCTCCCTCAGAGTTCTCCTAAAACCTAGGAAAATCCTGTCATTCCCCTGCTCAAAACACTCTGACAGCCTTTCATGTCACCAAAAAAAAAAAAAAAAAAAAAAAAGCAAAGTTCTTTTTTTTTTTTTTTTCTGAGACAGAGTCTCCCTCTGTCGCCCAGGCTGAAGTACAGTGGCGCAGTCTTGGCTCACTGCAACCTCTGCCTCCCAGGTTCAAGCGGTTATCCTGCCTCAACCTCCTGAGTAGCTGGGACTACAGGCGCGTGCCACCACACCCAGTTAATTTTTTGTGTTTTTAGTAGAGAAGGGGTTTCACCGTGTTAGCCAGGATGGCCTCAATCTCCTGACCTCGTGATACACCTGCCTCAGCCTCCCAAAGTGCTGGGATTACAGGTGTGAGCCACTGTGCCCAGCCCTAGCAAAATTCTTAAAAACAAAACAAAACAAAAAAACCGGGGTGGGGAGGGCTGTCCTATCGCTAATTGACTTGGCAGACATATTAAGATGAAACCTATCTAAATATTTCAACTCTTACGTTTTTTGATTTTAGAGATCCAGGTCTCACTATGTTGCCCAGGCTGGGTCACTGTGGCTATTCACAGGCACGATTGTGGGGTATACATCTTTCAACTCCTGGGCTCAAGTGATCCTCCTACCTCACCCTCCCCAGTAGCTGGTACTACAGGCATGTGCCACCATGCTTGGTTCCCTTAGACATTTTTGCTGCAGGACAATTAAGAATTTATTTATTGGCCGGGCGCGGTGGCTCATGCCTGTAATCCCAGCACTTTGGGAGGCCGAGGTGGGCGGATCACAAGGTCAGGAGTTCGAGATCAGCCTGGCCAACATAGCGAAACTCCATCTCTACTAAAAATACAAAAATTAGCCGGGTGTGTTGGCACGCGCGTATAGTCCCGGCTACTTGGGAGGTGGAGGCGGGAGAATCGCTTGAACCTGGGAGGTGGAGGCTGCAGTGAGCTGAGAAGACGCCATTGTACTCCAGTCTGGGTGACAGAGTGAGACTCCGTCTCAAACAAAACAAAACAAAACAAACAAACAAACAAGAATTTATTTTTTATTATCATTATTATTTTTGAGACAGAGTCTCGCTCTGTCACCGAGGCTGGAGTGCAATGGCATTATCTCAGCTCGCTGCAACCTCCATCTCCCAGGCTCAAGCAATTCTCATGTCTCAGCCTCCTGAGTAAGCTGGGCTTACAGGTGTGTGCCACCATGCCCGGCTAATTTTTGTATTTTTAATAGAGACAGGGTTTCGCCATGTTGGCCAGGCTGGTCTCAAACTCCTGACCTCAGGTGATCCACCTGCCTCGGCCTCCCAAAGTGCTGGGATTACAGGCGTGAGCCACCATGCCCAGCCTGACAATTAAGAATTTATTAAGCATTCTACTACTAATCACTCCTTTTGAGTATTTCTTAAGCCTTAAAATTTTCGAGCAGTTATATGGATCTCTATTTGGTAAGCTGCCACTACGAGATGACATTTAAAATAAGTGGAAATGCGGTGGCTCACGCCTGTAATCCCAGCACTTTGGGAGGCCGAGGCAGGCGGATCACCTGAGATCGGGAGTTCAAGACCAGACCAGCCAACATGGTGAAACCCCGTCTCTACTAAAACTATAAAAATTGGCTGAGTGTGGTGGCACACGCCTATAATCCCAGCTACTGGGGAATCTGAGACAGGAAAATCGCTTGAACCTGGGAGGCGGAGGTTGCAGTGAGCTGAGATCATGCCACTGCACTCCAGCCTGGGCGACAGAGCAAAACTGCATCTCAGAAAAATAAATACATAAATAAATTTCATATTATGGATATTTAACCACAATAAAAAAAATAGGAAAACAAAGTATCTAGAGCCATGATCTCTAAGGTCATATGTCCTCTGCCCCTATTACTCCTCACTCACTCCACCCCAGCCCCACTGGCCTTTTTCTGGTTCCTCAAACACGCCAAGCACGTTCCTGCCTCAAGGCCTTTGCATTGTCTGTTGCCTCTGTCTGGAATGCAATTCCCACAGATCTATATGACTTTCTCCCTCACCTCCTTCATGTCTCGGCCACTTGTCTCCTTTTCAGTGAAGCCTTTCCTGATCACCCTACAAGAAAAGCATCCACTGATGGCCTCTGTCCTTTTACCTTGCTTTGTCTTCAAAGCACGTGCTCCTAGATGCTGTTCATTAAAGATATTTGCTTATGCAATGCAATTTGTTTATGCAACGGTGAATGAGATGAATATGGCCCCTTCTGTCACGGAATGCTTATTCTGGAAAAGAATATGTTCTAAATCATGTCTTTCGTGTTTCCATCCCATCCTAGCCATATTCTAGGCAGAGTCAATGTACCATAGACCACCATTGGCCCACAGGCTAACATTTTTGCAAAAGCCAACAATTTTGACATTAAACTTTTAGACATTTTAGGCTGAACTACTTAAGGTTTTTCATGTCTAAATTCCCAGCACTGGGTGAGCTCAAGGCCCTGTGCATAGCAGACAAAATTATTACTCCTTGAATGAATGAATGATCAAATAAATGACCATGTAAATTAAATAACTCCGACTCCAAAACTATCATGTATGTTGTGCGTCTGCTTAATATTATGAGAAAGCTTAAACATTCCTGCTGTACCCTGAAATAATTCATGTGGTAATAGATGTTTCCTAAACACTAATTATATGCCAGGGGCTTCACACAAATCATTTCTGATTTTTGCAGCGAAGCCACAAGCAGCGATTACCCTCCCCATTGACTAGGGAAGAAATCAAGGCATAGAGAGGTTGAGAACCTGGAGGAAATTATCCAGCCCAGATGGAAACTGCCAAGAAGCAAGATCTACATCTGGGTCTGTCTGACTGTGCTTGTCGACTCTGCTGTCTTTAAGAAATTAACTTGCAGATCATTTGGAGAGTGAAGAAAGGGAGATGACTCCTTTCTTATTCTCTGTGTTTAACTCTTGTTCTGTTTCCTAGGGGTTTATGCCTTCTGTTTTGGTTTTTCCCTTTATTCCTCTACATTTATCATCCTCCTTTGTTTTTCTTCTTCTTCAGCATTTGCTCTCTTCTCTTCTCGCCTACCCAGTTGGCTTTTCTCTCTTTCCCTCCATTTCTCTCTTTAGTTACCCACACCAGACTAGGGCCAAGTCATTTGTTTACTTGAGCGTCTGAGCGAGAAAAGAAGTTTAAAATCTCTCCACACATTAAAACAAAGAAAAGAACATTTTATATTCCCTTTCATGGTCAAAAGATGATCCTTTCTTCCCCTTCACAGAATCCATTTAGGTGTTTATAGAGCAGTTATCTTAACAATGACTGTCCTTTGCTTTTCTCTGTGTTCCAATTAACATTCTTAATTGCCTCGTTCTAAACGTCTCACTTTTTGTGTGTTGCCTAGAGTTCTCTGACAAGTTTATTTTTAATTATAATTTATATTGCAAAGCCGGATAGATATTTATAACAGTCAACTTTCCATTGTGCCGCGCTTTTAGCTCTTTAAGCTTTGTTATAATAAAGTTTGCAGCGAATTTGAAGAAGCGCCTTCTCAGTAATAGTTTTTAAACATAGAGTTTACAATAGGCACTTTTTAGGGGACTAAGGGGTTGGATTTGTGCCTGGTAGATAACAAAAAAAAATTTTCTTTTAAGGCAAGAGAAAACTTTTAAGAAGGGTTTTGGACGCCAGTACAGAAATATTTAAGTAAAGAGTGAATCAGACTTATGTAAAAAGGAAATGAAAAGGAAAGCATTTCTAGCAGAAAAAAAAATGTTCAATCAATTGAACCTTTGACTTGTTTTTGAAAATCTATACATTTCTGCTGTCCAGTTACGCAATATGTGAGTGTCCCGATAAGCATGTTTATGAGATGACCCATTTAGCTTGATCACTCATGTTACTGAGGCCCTGGTCTTGCACAAGAGCCTACAAAAGGAGTAAGATAGTATTTGAAAAAAGCTCTCAAAGGGCTGTGAATCTGTGAAATTCATTTCAACATTCACTTCAGAAAGACTCAAGATGGTAGGCCTTAAGGCAAGAAATCCAAAATTTGGACAGAGCCGTCTATGAGCAAAGACGTTCCCTGAAATGTTACTAAAGTAAAGACAAAGATCTCAAATACTCAACAGGGGTTGGTTAAGTGAATTAAAGGTTCATCCACAGAGTGAAAAAATAACAAAACACATTTACAAAGATTTCTTTCAATGCGGCAGGAGAATCTTATGATAGCCCATTCAGTGAAATAAACAGAATTCCAAAATGTTATCTTTCTCTAATCTGCAGGCGGAGAAGTAGATAAATTACTCAAATCATCACATGAGTGAATATAAGACGGTAATTGTGCAATCTTTGAGGGAAAGGGTCGAAATGCTGAAGTTTGATTTAGTTGGGAAGGTTAAGAAGCCTCCCCTGGAGAAGATAAGAGGATTTGATTGTGACTTAATACTTTTTAGAAAGGACTTTACTATTTTTTTTTTTAATGGTATTAGTTAGGTGCTAATATAGCCTTGAAATCATATTACCTGTAAGCCTCGTTTCTCATCTCTGGCACCGTTGACCTTTTGGGTCAGCTATTCCTTTGTTGTGGAGGTTATCCTGGGCATTGTAGGATCTTAAGCATGACCCCGGGCCTCTACCTACTAGACAGTAGTGACAACCGAAAATGTCTCTAGACATTGCCAAATGTCCCCTGGTGGGGGAAAAGGCACATTGTTCCCATTAAGAACTGCTGCTGTGGACTTAGAGAACCAACATTCTCGACTGTATGTGTGTGCCTGAGATTGACCGAAAGACTGCATGCTTGGACTAGCATGAGTTTCAAGCGACTGAGGAGTAAAAAAAGCTAGTCACACAAACTATTTTATTTATTTATTTTTTTTGAGACGGAGTCTCGCTCTGTCACCCAGGCTGGAGTGCAGTGGCACGATCTCGGCTCACTGCAAGCTCCGCCTCCCAGGTTCAAACGATTCTCCTGCCTCAGCCTCCCGAGTAGCTGGGACTACAGGGGCCCGCCACCAAGCCCGGCTAATTTTTGTATTTTTAGTAGAGACAGGGTTTCACCGTGTTAGCCAGGATGGTCTCGATCTCCTGACCTCGTGATCCACCCACCTCGGCCTCCCAAAGTGCTGGGATTACAGGAGTGAGCCACCATGCCCGGCCAAATCTTTTATTCTTAATCCATTTAGTCTTTAACCAGCAAACTTACAGAAGAAAGTATCATTTCTGACAATTCACTCTTGCTTTAATAAGCTTGTTGGAAATTTTTTTTTTTTTTTTTTTTTTTTTTGGAGACGGAGTTTCGCTCTTGTCGTCCAGGCTGGAGTGCAATGGCATGATCTTGGCTTACTGCAACCGCCGCCTCCCGGGTTCAAGTGATTCTCCTGCCTCAGCCTCCCAAGTAGCTGGGATTACAGGCGCCCGCTACCATGCCTGCTAATTTTTTTTTTGTTAAGTAGAGACAGGGTTTCACCATGTTGGCCAGGCTGGTCTCGAACTCCTGACCTCAGATGCCCCACCCACCTCGGCCTCCCAAATATTGGGATTACAGGTGTGAGCCACCACGCCCAGACAGAATTTTTTTGTTTCTTTGAGACAGAGTCTTACTCTGTCCCAGGCTGGAGTGCTGTTGCGCGATCTCGGCTCATTGCAACCTCTGCCTCCTGGGTTCAAGCAATTCTCCTGCCTCAGCCTTCTGAGTAGCTGGGATTACAGGCGCAAACCACCACGTCTGGCTAATTTTTGTATTTTTAGTAGAGACAGGGTTTTACCATGTTGGCCAGGCTGTCTCGAACTTCTGACCTCGTGATCTGCTGGCCTCGACCTCCCAAAGTGTTGGGATTACAGGCGTGAGCCATTGTGCCAGGCCCTTTTTTGTTTGTTTGTTTTTTAAGACTGACTCTCACTCTGTTGCCCAGGCTGGAGTGCAGTGGCATGAACAAGGCTCGCTGCAGCCTCAAACTCCTGGGCTCAATCAATCCTTCCACCTCAGTCTCCTGAGTAGCTGGAACTACAGGTACACACCACCATGCCTGATTAATTTATTTGTTTGTTTTGTTTTGTTTTTCTGAAACAGGGTCTCGCTCCGTCACCCAGGCTGGAATGCAGTGGCACGATAACAGCTCACCGCAGCCTCGACTTCTCCAGGCTCAGGTGATCTCCCACCTCAGCCTCCAGAGTAGCT
Organism: Homo sapiens; assembly: GCF_000001405.40. NCBI lineage: Eukaryota > Metazoa > Chordata > Mammalia > Primates > Hominidae > Homo > Homo sapiens. The sequence goes on along the minus strand of NC_000020.11, from coordinate 51,808,854 downwards.
GGGACTATAGGTGCGTGCCACCATGCCTGGCTAATTTTTTTGTGGTTTATTTTCTGTAGAGATGGGGACTCCCTATGTTGTCCAGGCTGCTCTCAAACTCCTGGGCTGGGCTCAAGCAGTCCTCTGGTCTCAGCCTCCTAAAGTGCTAGAATACAGGTATGAGCCACGGTGTCTGGCCTGGAATATTTTTACCTTTTTTTTTTTTTTTTGAATACACAGTTGTAGGCTTCAATACATCAGCTGCAACTAAGAAGACTAATTGGAGCTAGAAATTGTTCAATACCAATTTGGAATTGATGAAATGGCAACAAGCAGAGAGATATTAAAATGGGGGAAATATCATCAGTTAAGTGGTGATTATTGCAATTAGCCAACTTTGCGAACATAAATCGTCCCAGCAGAAGGGCTCTGGGCCAGGACACTCAGAAAAGTGGACATTTGGCCCCATAATAAAACAGTCCCATTGAATTACAAGCATGATTTTGGAGGCAATTTTAGCTTAACTTCTAAATCTCTAGAATTTGAAGAGTGCCTTCCAGACATCAAGCCTTCCATTTGGGGTAGGCAGATATCAAATGTACTATGATACATAAAAGTCCATAGACTCTAAGACGTTGGTCCATGTTAAGATACTTCCCAAATCCAACCCTTACATTTCCCAAATTGAAGCAGCTGTGGTTACCAAGTCAGTCGACTTTGCTTCCTGGCATGAATAAACAGAGGTCCAAAGGGGCAATACTTTTGCAGTGGCAGATCATGATTTATGGGACTCAACCTCGCTACTTTAGTCATTTCGAGCTTAAGATGCTGGGAATCCCACACAGAAAAAAACACACACATAACTGTGGTCCTTTCAATGACAGGGATAGCCAAGTATGTAATTGTCTTCCTAAAAACCATTTCATGTACATATGCTTTACATATCATGAAACTCACTCACTGTGAGTGTACAGTTGAATTATTTTTAGTAAATCCATACAGTATGCAGCCATCGTGATAATCTAGTTTGTAATTGCCTTTTTTTCTCTGCAACTGTGTTAAAATACACTTAACATAAGATTTACTGTCTGACCCATCTTTAAGTGTGCTGTTTTGAAATGTTGAGTACATTGACATTGTTGAGCAACCAATTTCCAGATCTCTCTCTTTCTTTTTTCTTTTTTTTTTTTTCTTTCGAGTTGGAGTCTCGCTTTGTCTCCCAAGCTGTAGTGCAGTGGCACCATCTGGGCAACCTCCGCCTCCCAGGTTCAAGTGATTCTCCTGCCTCAGCCTCCCAAGTAGCTGGGATTGCAGGTGCCCACCACCACGCCCATTTAATTTTTGTACTTTTAGTAGAGATGGGGTTTCACCATGTTGGTCAGGGTGGTCTCGAACTCCCGAACTCATGATCCGCCTGCCTTGGCCTCCCAAAGTGCTGGGATTACAGGCGTGAGCCACCGTGCCCAGTCCAGATCTTTTAAAAAAAAAAATTATTGTGTATATTTAAGGCATACTACATGATGTTATGGGATTTATATAGATAGTAAAAAGATTACCAGTGAAGCAAATGAACCTATCCGTCTTGCATTGTTACCTGATTTTGTTTGTTTTTGTGGCAAAGCAGCTAAAATCTAAACATTTATCTAGATCCCTTTTCATCTTGCAAAACTGGAACTTCATGCCTATTGAGCAGAAACGGCCCCTCCACCCCCCACTCTCCCTCCCTCCAGCCCCTGGCAACCACCATTCTACTTTTTGTCTCTATGAATTTGACTACTCTATTTGTCCTTCTGTGACTGGCTCATTTTACTTGGCATAATGTCTTCAAGTTTCATCCATGTTGGCTGGGCATGGTGGCTCACGCCTGTAATCCCAGAACTTTGGGAGGCCGAGGCGGGCGGATCACAAGGTGAGGAGATGAAGACCATCCTGGCTAACATGGTGAAACCCCATCTCTACTAAAAAAACAAAAAATTAGCCGGGCGTGGTGGTGGGCTTCTGTAGTCCCAGCTACTCGGGAGGCTGAGGCAGGAGAATGGCGTGAACCCGGGAGGCAGAGCTTGCAGTGAGCCAAGATCGCACCACTGCACTCCTGGGTGACAGAGCGAGACTCTGTCTCAAAAAACAACAACAAAAAAACCCAAAAGAAAACAAAGATTCATCCATGTGGTACCATGTGTCAGAATTTCCTTCCTTTTTAAGGCTGAGTAATATTCCATTGTATGGATAGACTGCATTTACTTTATTCATTCATCTGTCCATGGACACTTGAGTTGTTTCCACTTTTTGGCTATTGTGAATAATTCTGCTGTGAACATGGGTATATAAATACTGCTTCGAGACCCTGCTTTCAATTCTTTTGGATATATACCCACATGTGGAATTGCTGGATCATATGGTAATCCTTTTTTACATTTGTTGAGGAACTGCCATCTAGAGTGGCTGCAGCATTTTACATTCCCACCTACTATATTGCCTTTAACACTTCATTTCATATTCAGGCCTCTAAAGTTACTCAGCATGGATTGAGTCCATCGCTATTTATTTGTTGTGACTTCTGTGTTCCATTACTGTGGCTAAGTGCTAAGGACACCGTGATGACGGTGTCTACCCTCACGGAGCCTGCAGTGTGAGAAATAAGCAATAAACAGATACATGAGAAAGTCTGTCATTATATATTTTGAAGTGCGCTATAAAAAGAAAGATATGGTTTCTTGAAGCCTGAGAGAACTAATAAATGAGACCTAGTTTGGAAGAGGGAAGGCTGGTTTAAGGAAGGGAAATTTGAAGAGATTATAGGCTTTTTAGGAGTGGGCCAGGTGAAGAGAGGCAAGCAGTGGAAAGGAAGACGATTCCTTGTAGAAAAGAGCAGAGGTGGGGTTTTCAGGGAAAGATCTGCCTTCCACTGAGACCTGTGCAAAGTTACTGAATCCATAATTTGGCATGCATTCGTTAGTACTCGCTAGGAGCTGATGGGAGCAATGAGCTTCTGTTTTTCCATAAATGAAGTAGAAATAAGCCGGACACGGTGGCTCACGTCTGTAATCCCAGCACTTTGGGAGGCTGAGGTGGGCCTCACTTGAGGTCAGGAGTTGGAGACAACTGGTGAACATGGTGAAACCCCATCTCTACTAAAAATACAAAAATTAGCCGAGTGTGGTGGCATGTGCTTATAGTCCCAGGTACTCAGGAGGCTGAGGCAGGAGAATCGCTTGAACCCAGGCAGAGGTTGCAATGAGCAGAGATCGTGCCACTGCATTCCAGCCTGGGTGACAAGAGTGGTCTGTCTCAAAAAAAAAAAAAAAAAAAAAAAGGAATTAAAAAAGGATATTAGTGAGGATAAAATGGGATTATGCATCCCAAATCTCCTTATAAACAATAAGACTGCTGAAAAATATACCAAGAAGTGTATTTTTTGAATATTCCTGCCTGGCACAAACATTGAACATGACTGGATTACATAAACATTGACAATGACTGGATTATATAAACCCAGTCACCTAACAAAGGACGTTAACATGAAAAAGTTTAATATCATCCTTTACTCTGAACATTTTCTTTTCAAGCTTGGGTCCCAACCAGGTCCTTTGGTTTAATAAATAACTTTTTTGTTGTTGTTTTTTCATGAGACAGAGTCTCACTCTGTCGCCCAGGTTGGAGTGCAGTAGCTAGATCTTGGCTCACTGCAACCACCGCCTCCTGGATTCAAGTGATTCTCCTCCGTCAGGCTCCTGAGTAGCTGGGATTACAGGCATGCGCCACCACAACCAGCTAATTTTTGTATTTTTAGTAGAGATGGAGTTTTACCGTGTTGGCCAGGCTAGTCTCGAACTCCTGACCTCTGGTGACCCGCCAGTCTTGGCCTCCCAGAGTGCTGGGATTACAGGCGTGAGACACTGTGCTCAGCCTGAAACAACTTTTGATTACGGACTTGCCTGTTGCTATGCCCTCCGTTCATCCCCTGCTTTGCTCTAGGACTTACTTTATTTTCCACCAACTGGCTCCTGGCTGCAGCTGTTAAACTGGGGGTAGATTCAAAACATGTACTGTGTCCTGCTTTTCTTGATATGACATTTGTGGAAGGTTTCCATTTGAGGGAAACTTCTTGACTTCATCTGTTGGAGTGATTTCTGAAGACCCAAGATTTTTCTAGGACACTTTAAATTTAGTTTACTGTACTCCGATTTTTCTTCTTTAGCTATCTTCTCTATATTCAGCTATAGTTGGAAGACAGGTATTAGGATGTGATAGAATTTTGGAGTCAGACTTAGAAACTGACCACCGGCTTAGAAACTGACCACCAGCTCAGCCAGTTTCTAATTAAGTCACTTCATGTCTTTGAGCCTCAGTTTCAAAATGGAGAGGACAATAGGGCCAACCTCCATGGGAAGATAAAACAAGGCGGTGTGCATTCATTTAATGCAGTCTGTGGCATGTACAAGGGGCTCAATCAATTATTATTATTACTATCACTTGGAGAGTCAAGCGGCACAATTTTGTCTCGTAGTAAGGCTAACATGTTACAACTATCATCTACTAAAATAAATATAAACAACTATATAAATGAAATTTTCCTTAACCCAATAGTATTTTTTGAGCCATAAACCCACTGCACATTCGTTTAGATTTGTAAGTTAGATCTCCTGCCACACTATCTTACACAGAAAAGGTGTTGAGAATATTAGTAGATTAGTCAGCAAGGCAGGTGCTAATTGGCCTTTTTACTCAGTATCAGAATTCTAAACTGCTTCTATGTATTATTAAACCAAATTCTTACCTTTTCAATCTGGCTGTTGGCTATAATTCTGTCTTACTTGCTTTAAATATTATACATAAAATAAGGCAAGACTTTTTCAGAGACTCAAAAATTGAAGGTTAATCTTCCTTCAACAAGTTTTTACTGATGGCCACGAATATAAAAAAGATGATCAAGCTGATTTATTTTCTGCCTTGGGTTGTCCAAATACCCAGGTGAACACATTGATGAGCCCAGCATTCCATTTTGCTTGTATTCCTGATGAGTTTACAAGCTGGGAACGTGATGAATAACTAATCAAGAGAATGCAATGCACAAATGTGGAGGGAGGGTTTATATCTGCACAGTCCCTTACAATGAAGTAAATGCCAAACAAAGACGCATGCCCAGAGCAGTTATGGAAAGACCAATCAAAGACTTAGCAGGTTGATGATTTCATCATTCATTTAACATTTATTGAGCATGTACATTGTGTAAAGCAGTTAGCCAAATTAAGTATACATGAATTTACGGTATAAATGTGTATACATGTAATATATCATATACACACACACAAGCCCCACTTTAAAAAATTCCAGGCATCATGTGTCAATGATACAATCACTTTGAACGATACACCTTTTCTGTAATAATGTGTGTATTGCACAAAAAAATTCCAATAGTGATTAGTAACAACCAGATACTGTGACAGTGCCCCATTGCCATTCCATGGGAGATGCAAGAGCATTGTCTCAGTAATAAAATATGATGTTATCAGGCATTTATGGCTCCTGGGGAAAAAAATGCAATTGCTTGCTGTTTTGATATTATCTCTGACTATGCTTGCTTATCATTTGCCATTTCTATATTTAGTAGCCAGTCATTTTGAAGTTAAAAAAAAATCAAGGTTTGCATTGTAACCACAAACCAGTCTTTGTGAACAGGAATCCTGGAGGCTATTAATCAGCTTTTAAAGGAGGTAAGTCATGGTGGTGGTGGGGTATCTGAAATTTTGGAAGTTCCGAGCTCACTTTAAGAGTTGAGATGGGTGGGAGGGCTGAAAACACCACCATTCATCATTCTTCAGTTATCTCGAGACTCAACTTAAACATTTTTAATCAAAAAGATGGGAGGGGACACGGGTCACATCTCAGGTTTGGGGGAATGTGTGTGCGTGTAGATGTGAAAACTGAGCCAAAATATTCCACTGTGAAGAGATCTCCCTTCTCGGCTGGTGGACATCAACCTTACCAAGTAATCTTTGGAGCAAGTAACTACCAAATAAAGCCGTTCCAAAACTTCTACGTAAGCTCCTACTTTTTAATGAGTACGCATTTCTCCCCATTTTCTTTTCCTCTCCAAGGACTGAGATAGCTGGAGCAAGGATGGGTCCCCCTCTGATTTCGTCCCCGCCCCAGCCAATCTGAGCCCGGATGCTAATTAGCTGCGCTCCCCTGATGAACACGCCTTTGTCACAAGTAGGCCCGGACTACAAAGCCCAGAATGCCTCACCCCTCCCTGATCAATGAGGGCTTATTTAAATGATCTCTGAGGTCTTGGACCCAGGCCAATCAGCTGTCAGGGCTCATGATAAATCGCAATGCATTATTGATAATAATAATTACTGGGACATGCGCGTTCCGGCCGAAGGGGGGTAAATTTCCCAACTCCAGGAATTTGTGGCGGAGAGGGCAAATAACTGCGGCTCTCCCGGCGCCCCGATGCTCGCACCATGTCGAGGCGCAAGCAGGCGAAACCCCAGCACATCAACTCGGAGGAGGACCAGGGCGAGCAGCAGCCGCAGCAGCAGACCCCGGAGTTTGCAGATGCGGCCCCAGCGGCGCCCGCGGCGGGGGAGCTGGGTGAGTGGGGCTGGGGCGCCCGCCCGGGGAGGGGAGCTTCCCGGACGTACGCGGGATCCTCGAGGGCGCAGGCTTCGGGGAGCGGGCGGCGTCCAGCGCAAATTCAGGAGCCGAGATTTGGGGGCTCAGTGCCCGGGAGGAGAGGTCTCCTCCTCTCCCCACCACCCCGCCTTTTGCACATTTCACACTTTTTTCCTCTTCTCCCCTCTTGTGTAAGTTTCACCCCCAGCTTTCTCCCCTAATTGTAAAATTGACCCCCACTCGCTCCTCTGTTCTCGCTCCCGAAAGGTTCCCTTCTCCTTGTCCTCTGCCCCTCACTTAATTGGTTCCACTCCCCTCACTGGTGTTACCCCCCCCCCTTGTAACTTAGGTCCCCCTCCCTCGCGTCGCTCTCAAAAGAAAGAACCCCGGGGGATCCCCACCCTCTCCACCAGCCCCTTGGGGCTTTTCTTGGAGGCTGGAGGAGGGGCGCACCCCTGGAAGACCCCCCGGAGGAGGACGATCTGTTGCACGCGCCCCTCCCGGGCCAAGTGGGGGGAGGGGGCGCGACCTCTCCCCACCCTCAGGAGCTGGGGTGCGGGCCACCCGCGCTGCGCAGGGGATTGGAGGGCCCAGAGAGGTGGGGGAGGAGGGCTCAATGTTTCCCTTTAAAATTTTTTTCTTTTCTGGATTTCGCCTTTTCTGCCCGGGCTGCGCCGCCTGCCGATCTTCGCCCTAACCTTTCGGGGCCTGACCTCCAGCCATCTTTGATTTCCGACTTCCTAAAAATAACCGCGGCAAGCCCGAGGGTGCGAGCCCCCAGTGGCCGGGGTGGCGGGCGCGCGGCAGCCCCACTGGGGTGCACCGGCCTCCCGTTTTGCGTGGCTTTTCTGGAGCGCTCGGCTTTCCACATTTGCGCTTGGGTGTGAAAGGGGAGAGGTGGGGGGCCAGAGCGAACTCCCGCGGCTGACCTGGCCCACGCTTCCGCGGCCAGCGTTTCCCAGATCGAGGGGAGTTCGGGACCCCAGCCGCGCCAGGAACGGCGGGGCCAACTCTGTTCCCACTTCATCACTTCACCGCGGAGGTTTTAGGAGCGAGGCGGTTTTCCACTATCTCGTCTCCATCCCGGCCCGCCAAATTGTCGCCTGATAAGTTTTTAGCGTGCGCGTGGGGGGAGGGGGGATTTGTAGCCTCCTCTCCGGCCTTGTTCGTCGCTCCGCTCCCCGCCTGCTTTCTAATTTCCCTGCAGCAGACGGGTGTGCGCGGCAACCCCGGAGGACTCTCAGAGACCATCTCTGATACCCGGGGTTTCCCGAGAAGACGGTCGCCACTTTTTGGCTTCCGTATCCCCGCCTTTTTGTCGGAGACTGAATGTAATACATTTCCCAAGTTTATAATACGTCAATAGAATTCCCCGTTTAACATTTTTCCAGGGCAAATTAAAAGGATCGGCTTGACGGAGGGGATGGCTGGGCGTTTTCGGGGCGCCGGGTGGTCAGCGCAGCGCGCACCCGAGGTCCCAGGCGCCTGGAGGGACTCTCTTTGTGCCTTGGTTGGGGGCGGGGTGGGGTGGGGGTTGAGGGGAGCGTGAAGGCTTCGTGGCCTGGCCCACCTGGAACAAAAGGGTTAACCCTCAGCCCGCCTGCTTCCTCCGGAGAGGAGGGGCGAGCTCCTGGTTCTGACCCCTCCCCTGGTCCTACGCTGACCTCCCCTTCCCCCTTCATTTTGGGTGGGCGCACACACGTGGGGCTTTTGGTGGTGTTTGGCACCTTTCGGGAGGGAAGCTTGTTACGAGAGGGCTTCTGAAATTAACGATGGTTGGAGTTTGGAATCAGAGTCAACCTGAGCTGAGCTAAAACCTCGGGCCTGGCCGTGCGCTGCCACTGCGATTTGGGAGGGAGGGGAGTTGGCTATTGATCACCAGGGTTGTCGCGGACAGCCCACCCGGCTTGCGCGCGGGCGCCCCCTGGAGGCCCAGCTTGAAGCCTAGCCCTTTGCTGGGAGGCGGGGTCCCTTCGCAGGTACTGGCTCACACCTGGTGGGTGGGACGGGTTGTGGGGGTGAATGGAGAGTGCTGGGCTGGGCCAAGGATGGGTACCCTAGGGGATTCGTGCCGGTCGCCTGCTTGATCGTCGTCTGTGCCCGCTGTTCTTTGCCAAGTGTGGAATTCTTGGTAATAACTCCTGGCGGCTAGAATGTGTTTGCAGAGCCTCCAATTGCCTCCTTGGGAGAGAAGGTTGTTTTCCCAAGCAGTGCGTTTTTAATGGCTGCGTTTGGGTTGTTTGCATTTGAGCTGCCTAAAATTATATGTGTTAGGTATATAATGTAGACATACATATCTAACTTAGATGTATGTATATGTCTCACATAATTTTTTAGAATGCAGATTGAGCTGGTCTTATTTTGCAAAGCCATTCGAGAATGCAGTTTTTGAGGGAGGAAAATGACGTCTGGCGATCAATTAGCAGATCAAAAAATCTGCAGGTGGTCGCAGGGCTAACACTACATACAGGAAAAATTAGCATTTTCTCAAAAGAGTTTCAAATGCCCTTTGTGCTAAACTGGATTACAAACATCAACGATTAGGATTCCCAAGTTTCGAATAACTTCCTATTTCCAATTACTCACCAAAATGACCTACGCTGGCTTAGAAGGATTTTGACGTTAGTTAACGTTTCAGGTCAACTTTCTACGTTAGACTTCATGTGGGTTTCCCATAGGGAGAGAAGCTACAATTTGCCAAACAGCTCCTTTTGTTGAATAAAAATGTGCAGTGCAGAAGCAAATGATACTTTGTCATTCGTGCTGCTGTTAGTGAGCTTCCTCCTGGGCTGTGGGTTGGGGAACCATCTTGGGAGGCAGAAGGCAGTTAGCATTTCCTTTTTTAAAATGTGAAGTGTTAGGTTGATGCCTGGGAAGTCAGGTTTTAGAATGGGATCCGCGTTCCACTGTGGCTGTGTGACTTTCAGCTGTGTAACCTTGAAGCCAGCTTGGTGGCGTTTTCTGTTTTTTTGTTTTTTCTGAGTTTTTGGGTTCCTCCTCTATATAGCAGTGATAAAATGCCCTGTTTAGATAATTTCAACTATAGAAGGGCTACTATGAATTGGGAATGTGATCAGTCTTAATTTTGTTCAAAATACCAAAATGTTTTTATTTGTGTTTATTGTGTCAAGATGGTGTTGAGCTGCCAGTTGAGGCAATCTAGCAGAAATGGCAGTGTGCTGCCTGCCAGACACCAGGCTGGGGACTCGAGTGCGCTATCTTTAATTCAAGATATTAAAGACCAAAAGTGATAGTCATGTTTTTACTCATTTTAAATTGCAGCACCTGTTTGAAATGGCTTTGCCCGTGGTGCCTTGCCCTGCTTGATGGCCCATGGTGTCTTGTCCTGCCTCGCCCCAGAGCCCAAGGAACTGTTTTTTTTGTTTTGTTTTGTTTTGTTTTGTTTTGTTTTTATTGGTTTTTTAAAAATAACCTTAGGTCAGTTGGTGATGTGATGAGATGTTCTTTTTGGCATCTTCGACAAGGGAGCCGTGATTGGTGCTTGGCTGGTTGGGTTTGGTGGCCTCTCCTCTGCCATCTTAAATGTTGGGATGTGCCTTCACACGGTTTAGATGAAGAGGTCCCAGAAATAAAACAATGTTGGAGTTTGGTCGGCTTCTCTGGGTTGTACTACCCTGGAAAAATTGATGGCGAAAAGAGTTCCAGAAGTTGTCCCTTCCTCATCACCTTTAGCCTACAGTACTTTTGACTATTTTTTAAAATGTCTAAACATTTTTAAAAGCCACTAAATCCAGATAAGAACTGCATCGCCAGTCACCACAATCCCCCCCCACCCCCGCCCCAACAAATTGTATGTCTGTGTCAGGATTTGTTCAGGGGGGCTCTGGAGACAGGCGACAAAAACCCCTGCCCTCATGGAGTTTGCAAACTTGCCTGATCTCTAGTTGGGGACGAGTGGGACACTTCCCTAACCTTGGAAGCAAACAGAAGTCACACGCCTTAGCGCCTGTGAAACTTTCTTTGAGCCATTTACTCTTTTTTTCCTCTCCAGCAGCATCCCCGAATTTTGGTTCAAGGCTGTTTGAAACTTTGCCTTTTTTAGATCTTAATTAGGTGGAAACTTAAAGTCTTATCTGCCTTCTATGAATTGAGTTGAAGGCTTTTTGACTGCTAAAATTAAGCTGCTAAAGAGGCAGTTTTCTTTCAACTGGTTAAATACTTAAGAAGGCACATAATTTCCTTTTGTTTTTTGGTAAGCAATTATCCTGGGGTTGGGGGAGGGTAGAAGATGTTGTGTGCTTTAGATAATCTACTCATTGTCGTTCTTTAAATGTAGGAATGAAAAAAAGATAAGCTTGAGTCATAATGCTTTTATCAAGATATACAGGTTTTACTTTTTAAGCATTTCAGTGTCTCCAGAATTTGATTGGCCACTAGTAGATGAACTTTCTTCCTATACAATAGTAAGAGTATTTTCTATCCATTTGGCAGTGATTGAATCTAAGACCCCTGCTGGGTTTACTGCATTCTTCCAACTTATTGGATAACTAGATGCTGCAAGATAACATTCCTAAAATTCGGGGTGGGGGTGGGGTGGAGAAATGGAAGAACTAGTTGCTGTGTAATCCCTCTGAACTTTGCTTTTTTTTTTTCCTTTTTGGTTAACTTAAGCATGCCCAGCAATTGTTCATAACAGAATCTTCTTACTCCTTGGCAAATACAGTTGCGGTATTTACCAGTGGTGGCCTGGATGTAGAAGCACTTTTTACTGCACAAGCAAACAGAGCTGCTGCTGTTTTAAGAGTCAAGTGGGATGTTGCTGGTGGAGGCTACAGAAGAGGCAAGCTTGTGTATACAGCAAAGGCAAGCTGGTATTCAGGCTGTAAATCACTCTGGGAACTGCTGGATCCTTCTAGGGGAGGGAGCTTAACCTTTTTTGTGCCATAGATCCCTTCTCAACATAGTGTATAAAATACATAGATGACCAAGGAAATAAATTGCATTGAAATACAGTCATCAAAAATGAAAACATTTTTAACTTAGTAATATCAGCTACTTTATTAATACAATAAATAACAAGATCTAGTAGCCTGTCAGATAACAAGAATTTCCAAGTCATAACAACTTGTAACACTATATGAAAATATCTGTGGTCTCCACTGATGACAAAGTCACAAGTTCTATTAATACCACTGTGGTATGTTGCTTATATTCATCATTGAAAGAAAGGTTGAATTTTAGTTCAGCTTAGTGAAAATTAGTATTTTTTTCTTATCTAATTTCATAGACCCCCTGTTTAAAAATGCCTGTGTTAAATAGAACATGCATTTTCAATCAAGTGATATTTTCACCAATGGGATGAAAACGTTTTATTGATAGTACAGTGGTTTGTGGCCTTCCAAAGGAGATAAATGTATATAATATGTTTGTGATATTAGAACTTTATAAGTGGGGAGCTATTAGGGAAAAATAACTTAAAAGCCTCCATAGAGGGGCAAAATAAAAAAGTTTCTCCCACAGAGGGGAGAAACTCCGCTCTAGAAGAAACGATTATGAATTGGGCCACTAATTTTAGTGCTGTTAAATAGTATTTAAGTCACCTCTGTATTGTGACTAGCAAGCAGTATGTCATCTTGAGCCATTTAGTTCTGAGCCTGTTTTCCACATCTGCAAAATGGAAACAAAGGAGCTTGTTTGATTATGTGGCTATGAAGATAAGCGACCTAAGGCAAGGGTGTCTAATCTTTTGGCTTCCCTGGTCCACATTGGAAGAAGGATTATCTTGGGCCACACATAAAAGACACGGACAGTAATGATAGCTGATGAGCTTAAAACAAATTGTAAAACTATCTCACGTTTTAAGAAAGTTTATGAATTTGTGTTGGGCTGAATTCAAAGCTGGCCTGGGCCTGGTTTGGACAAGCTTGCCTTAAGGTGTAAGAGTATGAAGTATGTTTTTGTTCTTGCTTGGAGAGGTTGGTGGTGGTTAGCTTTGGCCTCTAAAAAGTAGTATGGAGTGGTTAATGTTTTTGCATGGGCTTTATTGAGGGTTTTTTTTTTCTTTTCTTTTCTTTCTTTCTTTCTTTTTTTTTTTTTTTTTGAGACAGTCTTGTTCTGTTGCCCAGGCTGGAGTGCAGTGGCGCAATCTCGGCTCACTGCAACCTCCACCTCCCGGGTTCAAGCAATTCTCCCACCTCAGCCTCCCGAGTAGCTGGGATTCCAGCGATGCGCACACCATCACACCTGGCTAATTTTTCTATTTTTAGTAGAGACAGAGTTTCACCATGTTGGCCAGGCTGGTCTCAAACTCCTGAACCCAGGTGATCCACCCACCTCGGCCTCCCAAAGTGCTGGGATTACAGGTGTGAGCCACTGTGCCCAGCCTTGGTCTTCTTTATTTCTGGAGGCTATAAAGCGTTCGCCTTTTCTGCACCCTAACTTATTTAACCAAAATCTTACTGATGGACCAAGGTGCATCCATTTTGTTGCTGTTTGTTAACATGAGAAATGCTGCAAGTACATTGAGGAAATTCCTAAAGCAGGAATTGCTGGGTCAAAGGAAAATTGTACTAAAATGAAGATGTTGCCAGATGACTCCCTGAAAGAGCTGTATCTGTCTATACACTCGTACCAGCAGCGTGTATTTCCTTCCCTAACAAGAGAAACTGTTTTAAAAAGTTTCACTTCTTAACATTCTTGACACATAATTGTCAAAATTGCTTTTCTAGAAAGATTGTGCCACCTAGCACTCCCACTAGTGCTGGTTTCCAGTCTTGGAAAATCATACAGATAGATACTATTTATCTGAGAGTTGGCGGTTCCCAGATAAATAGTTGCCAGGGTTCTGGGAATTGACGAACATTTTTATCTGTTTTTGTTTTTGTTTTTTTGACACGGAGTCTCGCTCTGTCGCCCAGGCTGGAGTGCAGTGGCACTGTCTCGGCTCACTGCAACCTCTGCCTCCCGGGTTCACGCCATTCTCCTGCCTCAGCCTCCCCAGTAGCTGGGACTACAGGCGCCCACCACCGTGCTCGGCTAATTTTTTGTATTGTTAGTAGAGATGGAGTTTCACCGTGTTAGCCAGGATGGTCTTGATCTCCTGACCTTGTGAGCCACCGTGCCCGGCCGAACATTTTTATCTGGATCACTGAAGTGAGGCAGATTCGCAGCAGTATTGGGGCCTTAAGAAAGGAGAGTTTGTGCTGGTACCTGCTACTAGAACTCTACCTGGAAGTAGCAGCATCGCACTGCATCTTAACACTTTCAGAGCAACTTCTGGAAGTCCTAGAAATGAGACAGGAATGGGTGGTCGACTCCCACCCCTTCCTAACCAAGGCAACCTCCCAGGCTTTCCTGTCCCATCTTAACATCTCTGTGAGAGGAAAGAAAGTTGCAATCTTTACAGAAGAAACATGATCAGAGGGGTACAAATGAAGGGTTCCAATAGAGGGTGTGGGAACTGCATGTCTGGGGTTTAATACTGGCTCTGCAGTTTACTTAACATGTTAGCTTGGGCAAGTTCATGTCCTCTGTGCCTCAGTTTCCCCTTCTGTCAAATAGGGTAATAGTTTCTATTTCAGAGTTGTTAATATAACAAATTGTTTAGAATCATACCTGGCACATACAAAGTAAGTGCTCAAAAGTTATCTGTCAATAACTTTTGTTATGTTGCACGAGTGACATTATTTCTCAGAGTCTCTGTTTTTCACATCTTTATTTTTTCATTATTTATTTATTTATTTTTTGAGATGGAGTTTCGCTTTTGTTGCCCAGGCTGGAGTACAATGGCACAATCTCAGTTCACTGCAACCTCCGCCTCCTGGGTTCAAGTGATTCTCCTGCCTCAGCCTCCTGAGTAGCTGGGATTAGGCATGCGCCACCACGCTGGGCTAAGTTTATAGTTTTAGTAGAGATGGAGTTTCACCATATTGGTCAGGCTGGTTTCGAACTCTCAGCCTCCCAAAGTGCTGGGATCACAGGTGTGAGCCATCACGCCCAGCCTTTAATGGAGCTGATATTTAATAGGATTGAATGATTACAGTATGGGCATCTGCTGGTACAAAATCTGAATTATAGGAAGATAATGGGGCTCATCTTTTCACCATTGGGTCCCCAACCCCTGCTTTGCACGCAGTAGGAGGTTAGTATTGTGGAACGAGAGGCATTACATTGTTTTATTGTAAGGCATTGTTCTCAGCAGTCCTGGTTGAATCAGTAAATCCAGGCATCTACCTAATCATCTAATCACGAGGTTGTCATCTCGCGATTACGCGTGCCCAGTAGGCTTTCTTAGGGGTGTGCCGACTTGCCTATCAATAACTACCTGTTATTGATAGGCAAGGCTAGGTTGGCCCTGCCTAGCTTTCTTAACTCTGGCAGGCCAGACCTGCCCATGGCTGTTGTCTCTTCCCCTGACCCACCCCCAGCCTACACATACCTTGCAAGACTTCATATTGTGACCCAGTCTGAAATAAGTAAAGATTAAATCAGTTTGTTAAGGCCATGCTTCAAGATCAGCCCCTCCTGGAAACCCGTGGGTGGACTGTGCTGTCAAAAGTCCGTGGCTTTGGCTGGGCACGGTGGCTCATGCCTGTAATCCGAGCACTTTGGGAGGCTGAGGCAGACGGATCACTTGCACCCAGGAGTTTGAGACCAGCCTGGCCAACATGGTGAAACCCCATCTCTACTAAAAATACAAAAATTAGCCAGCTACTCGGGAGACTGAGGCATGAGAATAGCTTGAATCCAGGAGGCGGAGGTTACAGTGAGCCAAGATTGGGCCACTGCACTCCAGCCCTTCCTGGCCTTTTCCTTGTGCATTTGTACTTTTTTTTTCCAGACAGGGTCTCACTCTGTCACCCAGGCTGGAGTGGCTTGACTTCCCAGGCTCAAGCGGTTCTCCTGCCTCAGCCTCTGGAGTTGCTTGAACTATACATGGACGCTGCCATGCTCAGCTATTTTTATCTTCTTATTTTTTTTATAGAGACGGGGTGTCACTGTGTTGCTGGTTTCAAACTCCCGGCCTCTCAAAAGTGGCCTCAAAGTGCTGGGATGACTGGTGCGAGCCACTGCACCCAGCCACATTTGTACATTTCAAACACAGGTTTTGTTTTAAGCAAAATGGTCATGTTGTACATATTGTTGCGCAACCCGTTTCTTTCACTTAATTTCTGTGGCATACAGAAATTCTGCATATTTCTCACACTATGGGTGGGTGGGCCAAAATTTACTTCTTTGCTGCTGTGAACATTTCTGAAAAAACAAGAAAACCTAGATCATTGTATGCTCGTGTGAATGTCTTGTGTGGTTTAGATTTATAGGCTTAGCTGCTGGGTCTGAGATATGCCTGTCTTTGTCCTGTGGCCCCAAGCTCCATTGATATCTTGATGATGGGGTATACCTGAGAGGACAGCAGGGAGGTGAGAACAATGAAGTAGCTTCGAGAGACTTCCAGGCATCATGTGAAGGACCCCAGCATCTGGCTAAAACACAGTCCCAAGTTCGGAGTTGCAATGTGTAGGCTGGCACTAACCCTAAAGTAAGTAAGCCCCAGTTACAAAAGAAATTCAGGGATCAGCCTTTTTGCCTTTTTTTTTTTTTTTTTTTTTGAGATGGAGTCTCGCTCTGTCGCTCAGGCTGGAGTGCAATGGCGGGATCTCAGCTCACTGCAACCTCTGCCTCCTGGGTTCAAGCAATTCTTGAGCCTCAGCCTCCCGAGTAGCTGGGACCACAGGAGCCCACCACCATGCCCAGCTAATTTTTGTGTTTTTAGTAGTGACAGGGTCTCACCATGTTGGCCAGACTGGTCTTGAATTCCCAACCTCAGGTGATCTGCCCACCTCAGCCTCCCAAAGTGCTAGGATTATAGATGTGAGCGACGGTGCCCGGCTCCCCCCACATCTTTTACTTGGGCAGAGTCCTTAGCTTTTTCTGTCTTGTTACAGGTGCTCCAGTGAACCACCCAGGGAATGACGAGGTGGCGAGTGAGGATGAAGCCACAGTAAAGCGGCTTCGTCGGGAGGAGACGCACGTCTGTGAGAAATGCTGTGCGGAGTTCTTCAGCATCTCTGAGTTCCTGGAACATAAGAAAAATTGCACTAAAAATCCACCTGTCCTCATCATGAATGACAGCGAGGGGCCTGTGCCTTCAGAAGACTTCTCCGGAGCTGTACTGAGCCACCAGCCCACCAGTCCCGGCAGTAAGGACTGTCACAGGGAGAATGGCGGCAGCTCAGAGGACATGAAGGAGAAGCCGGATGCGGAGTCTGTGGTGTACCTAAAGACAGAGACAGCCCTGCCACCCACCCCCCAGGACATAAGCTATTTAGCCAAAGGCAAAGTGGCCAACACTAATGTGACCTTGCAGGCACTACGGGGCACCAAGGTGGCGGTGAATCAGCGGAGCGCGGATGCACTCCCTGCCCCCGTGCCTGGTGCCAACAGCATCCCGTGGGTCCTCGAGCAGATCTTGTGTCTGCAGCAGCAGCAGCTACAGCAGATCCAGCTCACCGAGCAGATCCGCATCCAGGTGAACATGTGGGCCTCCCACGCCCTCCACTCAAGCGGGGCAGGGGCCGACACTCTGAAGACCTTGGGCAGCCACATGTCTCAGCAGGTTTCTGCAGCTGTGGCTTTGCTCAGCCAGAAAGCTGGAAGCCAAGGTCTGTCTCTGGATGCCTTGAAACAAGCCAAGCTACCTCACGCCAACATCCCTTCTGCCACCAGCTCCCTGTCCCCAGGGCTGGCACCCTTCACTCTGAAGCCGGATGGGACCCGGGTGCTCCCGAACGTCATGTCCCGCCTCCCGAGCGCTTTGCTTCCTCAGGCCCCGGGCTCGGTGCTCTTCCAGAGCCCTTTCTCCACTGTGGCGCTAGACACATCCAAGAAAGGGAAGGGGAAGCCACCGAACATCTCCGCGGTGGATGTCAAACCCAAAGACGAGGCGGCCCTCTACAAGCACAAGTGTAAGTACTGTAGCAAGGTTTTTGGGACTGATAGCTCCTTGCAGATCCACCTCCGCTCCCACACTGGAGAGAGACCCTTCGTGTGCTCTGTCTGTGGTCATCGCTTCACCACCAAGGGCAACCTCAAGGTGCACTTTCACCGACATCCCCAGGTGAAGGCAAACCCCCAGCTGTTTGCCGAGTTCCAGGACAAAGTGGCGGCCGGCAATGGCATCCCCTATGCACTCTCTGTACCTGACCCCATAGATGAACCGAGTCTTTCTTTAGACAGCAAACCTGTCCTTGTAACCACCTCTGTAGGGCTACCTCAGAATCTTTCTTCGGGGACTAATCCCAAGGACCTCACGGGTGGCTCCTTGCCCGGTGACCTGCAGCCTGGGCCTTCTCCAGAAAGTGAGGGTGGACCCACACTCCCTGGGGTGGGACCAAACTATAATTCCCCAAGGGCTGGTGGCTTCCAAGGGAGTGGGACCCCTGAGCCAGGGTCAGAGACCCTGAAATTGCAGCAGTTGGTGGAGAACATTGACAAGGCCACCACTGATCCCAACGAATGTCTCATTTGCCACCGAGTCTTAAGCTGTCAGAGCTCCCTCAAGATGCATTATCGCACCCACACCGGGGAGAGACCGTTCCAGTGTAAGATCTGTGGCCGAGCCTTTTCTACCAAAGGTAACCTGAAGACACACCTTGGGGTTCACCGAACCAACACATCCATTAAGACGCAGCATTCGTGCCCCATCTGCCAGAAGAAGTTCACTAATGCCGTGATGCTGCAGCAACATATTCGGATGCACATGGGCGGTCAGATTCCCAACACGCCCCTGCCAGAGAATCCCTGTGACTTTACGGGTTCTGAGCCAATGACCGTGGGTGAGAACGGCAGCACCGGCGCTATCTGCCATGATGATGTCATCGAAAGCATCGATGTAGAGGAAGTCAGCTCCCAGGAGGCTCCCAGCAGCTCCTCCAAGGTCCCCACGCCTCTTCCCAGCATCCACTCGGCATCACCCACGCTAGGGTTTGCCATGATGGCTTCCTTAGATGCCCCAGGGAAAGTGGGTCCTGCCCCTTTTAACCTGCAGCGCCAGGGCAGCAGAGAAAACGGTTCCGTGGAGAGCGATGGCTTGACCAACGACTCATCCTCGCTGATGGGAGACCAGGAGTATCAGAGCCGAAGCCCAGATATCCTGGAAACCACATCCTTCCAGGCACTCTCCCCGGCCAATAGTCAAGCCGAAAGCATCAAGTCAAAGTCTCCCGATGCTGGGAGCAAAGCAGAGAGCTCCGAGAACAGCCGCACTGAGATGGAAGGTGATAGAGCTTTGGATTTAACTTATGTCCATTTTGGGCTCAAGGTCATCAAAAAGGAGCCTGGGTTGAACTTTACAAACGGAGAGTATGACTTGAAGCAGCCCCTTCTATAGGGCAATTAGCTTTTCTTTACTTCTGGGTAGAGGGCAATAGTAACTGCCTCTATCCTAGTAACGAACATGCTTTTAATTTATGATGGTTAATGCAAAATGGGTATGGACAGCATACCTTTTTTGTTGGTTTTTATTTTTGTCTTTGAGCCCCTTGGGACATAGGGGTGGGTAGTCGTTCTATTTTGTTATAGTTTTTTTCTTTTTGTTTCTCCACACTATGATTCTGTATATGGGTGTCTTAAGAGTATGTTTGAGGAAGTGGCCACTGCTTTTTGACCACTGAAATAAGCCGTGGTTCCCTGACTCTGAGGCCCCACTGCCTGATGTAATGTTCACAAATTAGCCACTCTTGAAGCAGGGAAAGATGAACCCATTTTAAATGCACATATCTATTGAGAGGTTTGTTGATGTCATTAATGGTAAAATAAGGGAAAAGCTGTATCAAAGAATCAAAGAAAGATGGTGTCTGGGCATATGCTTTAAAGGTAGTTTCTTATGCAGAAATTTGAACTTAAATTACATATGTGTTTATATGTTGCCCATGCCTTTAAAAAAAAAAAACCCAAAGTGATACCTTTTCCCAAGCATTTGAAGCTTTATTCTTTGTGCAGATAAACAATTCAAAGGGGAAGGTGTTAATTACTTACAAAGCCAGCTCCAGACTCTCAAACTAGCAGGCAGTTATTTTTAAAGATCTCTTTTGCTTTGAAGAGAAAGAATGAAGGTTGGATGATAAAGGTCTGGCTTTTTTCCCCTCTGTGTACTAGGTCGGAGCAGTCTCCCTTCCACGTTTATCCGAGCCCCGCCGACCTATGTCAAGGTTGAAGTTCCTGGCACATTTGTGGGACCCTCGACATTGTCCCCAGGGATGACCCCTTTGTTAGCAGCCCAGCCACGCCGACAGGCCAAGCAACATGGCTGCACACGGTGTGGGAAGAACTTCTCGTCTGCTAGCGCTCTTCAGATCCACGAGCGGACTCACACTGGAGAGAAGCCTTTTGTGTGCAACATTTGTGGGCGAGCTTTTACCACCAAAGGCAACTTAAAGGTGGGTTTGTGTGGGCTTTCAGCAGGATGGGGGCTAGGCACCAGGTGTCTTCTTATTGGCACAAGCCGTGATGAGTTCTTCCATCCTTCCATTCCTCCTTTGGGAGGCCGAGGTGGGAGGATTGCTTGAGTCCAGGAGTTTGTTTATTTATTTATTTATTTTTGAGACGGAGTCTCACTCTGTCGCCCAGACTGGAGTGCAGTGGCGCCATCTCAAGCTCAAGCTCACTGCAAGCTCCTCCTCCCGGGTTCATGCCATTCTCCTGCCTCAGCCTCCTGAGTAGCTGGGACTACAGGCGTCCGCCACCATGGCCGGCTAATTTTTTTGTATTTTTAGTAGAGGTGGGGTTTCACCGCGTTAGCCAGGATGGTCTCGATCTCCTGATCTCGTGATCCGCCTGCCTCGGCCTCCCAAAGTGCTGGGATTACAGGCATGAGCCACTGCACCCAGCTGAGTCCAGGAGTTTGAGACCAGCCTGGCAACATAGGGAGACAACGTCTTTACACACACACACACACACACACACACACACACACAAATTAGTTGGGCATGGTGTTGCATGCTTGGGTCCCCGCCAATTGGGAAGCTGAAGTGGGAGGACCACTTGAGCCTGAGAGATCAAGGCTGCAGTGATCTGTGATCATGCCACTGCACTCCAGCTTAGAAAACAAAGTGAGACCTTGTCTCTTAAAAAAATTAAAATGTTTACATTTTAATTTTAAAAATTAGAAATACTACCTGGGTGCAGTGGCTCAGCACCCATAATCTGAGTACTTTGAGAGGCCAAGGCAGGTGGATTGCTTGAGCCCAGGAGTTTGAGACCAGCCTGGGTAACATAAGGAGACCCTGTCACTACAAAATAAAAATAAAAATTAGATGGGCGTGGTGGCATGCGCCTGTAGGCCCAGCTACTTGGGAGGCTGAAGTGGGAGGATCACTTGAACCTGGGAGGTCGAGGCTTCTGTGAGCTGTGATCACACCACTGCACTCCAGCCTGGGCAAGAGAGTAAGACCCTGTCTCTTAAGAGTTTTAAACTCTTAAGAAGCTGAAAAGGGCCGGACGCAGTGGCTCATGCCTGTACTCTCAGCACTTTGGGAGGTGGTGGTGCGAGGATCACTTGACCCCAGGAGTTGAAGACCAGCCTGGGCAACATAGCAAGATGCCATCTCTACAAAAATTAAATTCATATAAATAAAAAAAAAAGAAGCTGAAAAGGATTTCAAAACTTGAAAGCCAGACAGGAAAAATAATTAAAGAAAGCAGCCAGGTGCTAGTAAGGTCCCTTCTTCAGCAGAAGCCTTGCCTACCACCTTAGATTAAATAGCATCCTATTCCCACCATGGCCTTCTGTAGCTTTCCCAGCCAGATACATTTTTCTCTGTAGCAATTATTAGAGACATTGATGTTCTCTATATTTAGATGTCAGCTGCATCAGGGAATGGTCGTTTTGCTCTGTCACCCAGGCTGGAGTGCAACGGTGCAATCTCGGCTCATTGCAACCTCTGCCTCCCGGGTTCAAGCAATTCTCCTGCCTCAGCCTCTTGAGTGGCTGGAATTACAGGCGCCCGCCATCATGCCCGGCTAATTTTTGTATATTTTTAGTAGAGTCGAGGTTTCACGATGTTGGCCACGCTGATCTCGAACTCCAGACCTCAGGTGATCCACCTGCTCTGACCTCCCAAAGTCCTGGATTGTAGGTGTGAGCCACTGCGTCCTGCCCCAAAATTTGTTTTGTTTTGGTTTGTTTTGTTTGTTTGTTTGTTTCTGAGACAGTTTTGCTCTTGTTGCCCAGGCTGGAGTGCAGTGGTGCCATCTTGACTCACTGCAACCTCCGCCTCCTGGGTTCAAGCGATTCTCCTGCCTCAGCCTCCTGAGTAGCTGGGACTTCAGGCGTGTGCCACCATACCCGGCTACTGTTTGTATTTTTAGTAGAGATGGGGTTTCACCATGTTGGCCAGGCTCGTCTCAAACTCCTGACCTCAGGTGATCTGCCTGCCTCAGCCTCCCAAAGTAATGGGATTATAGGCGTGAGCCACTGTGCCCTGCCCACAAATTGTTTTTAACTGAAATTTTTACTTAAATAAGTATAGATTTTCACTGGACTTTTGAAAAGTAATACAGAGACATCCTTGTATGCTTTGCCCAGTTTTCCCCATTGGTAGCACTTTGCAAAACGGTAGTATCAACATTGTAGCATAATCAAGATATTGACATTGTTACAATCAACATTCAGATTTTCCCATTTTACTTGTACTCAGGTGTGCATGTTGTGCACTCTACAGTTTTATTACCTGCGTAGGTTTGTGCATTTTAAAAATGTTAACTCTAGGCTGGGTGCAGTGGCTCATGCCTGTAATCCCAGCACTTTGGGAGGACAAGGTGGGAGGATTGCTTGAGGCCAGGAGTTCGAGACCAGCTTGAGCAACATAAGGAGATCCAGTCTCTACAAATAAAAATAAATTAGCCGGCCAGGTGCAGTGGCTCACGCCTGTAATCCCAGCACTTTGGGAGGCCGAGGTGGGCGGATCACAAGGTCAGGAGATCCTGACCATCCTGGCTAACACGATGAAACCCTGTCTCTACTAAAAACAAAATAGAAAAAATTAGCCGGGCGTGGTGGCGGTGGGCGCCTGTAGTCCCAGCTACTCGGGAGGCTGAGGCAGGAGAATGGTGTGAACCCGGGAGGTGGAGCTTGCATTGAGCCAAGATCATTCCACCGTACTCCAGCCTGGGCGACAGAGCGAGACTCTGTCTCAAAAAAAAAAAAAAACAATTAGCTGGGCATGGTGGTGTGCACCTGTAGTCCCAGGTACTCAGGAAGCTGAGGTGGGTGGGTTGCTTGAGCCTTGGAGGTTGAGGCTGCAGTGAGCTGTGCCACTGCACTGTAGCCTGGGTGACAGATTAAGACTCAAAAAAAAGGCCGGACGTGGTGGCTCACGCCTGTAATTCCAGCACTTTGGGAGGCCGAGGCAGGCGGACCACGAGGTCACGAGATCAAGACCATCCTGGCCAACATGGTGAAACCCCGTCTCTACTAAAAATACAAAAATTAGCCGGGCATGGTGGCGCGTGCCTGTAGTCCCAGCTATTCAGGAGGCTGAGGCAGGAGAATCGCTTGAACCCGGGAGGCGGAGGTTGCAGCGAGCCGAGATTGCGCCACTGCACTCCAGCCTGGGCGACAGAGCGAGACTCCGTCTCAAAAAAAAAAGGACTCAAAAAAAAATGTTAACCCTGGCACTTGGATCAATGCCCAGGATATAGTAGGTTTTCACATAGGTACACCCATGATTGGTGGAGCAGAGACAGTTGGAGACTATAAGCCCCATCTTGGTTGCTCTGGGGAGGAATGTTTGTTAGGTGATATAAGAAATCTGATTTTCTAAATATAAAGTGCAGACAGTCCCTGACTTAAGATGGTTTGATTTACGATGATACAAAAGTGATAGGCATTCAGTAGAGATCAGACTTTGAGCACCCATACAACCATTCTGTTTCTCACTTTCAGTACATGCTCAATCACATGAGCTATGAGCTAATTTTTTATTTTTTATTTTTTTTTGAGATGGAGTCTTGCTTTGTCACCCAGGCTGGAGTGCAGTGGCATGATCTTGGCTCACTGCAACCTCCGCCTCCCAGGTTCAAGCGATTCTCGTGCCTCAGCCTCGCGAGCAGCTGGGATTACAGGCATGTGCCACCATGCCTGGCTACTTTTTGTATTTTTAGTAGACAGGGTTTCATCATGTTGGCCGGGCTGGTCTTGAACTCCTGACCTCAAGTGATCTGCCCACCTCAGCTTCCCAAAGTGCTGGGATTACAGGCGTGAGCCACCGTGCCTGGCCTACATGAGCTGTTTCAGTGCTCATGTATAAAATAAAATAGGCTTTGCGTTAGATGATTTTGCCTAACTGTAAGCTAATGCAAATGTTCTGAGTGTGTTTGAGGTAGGCTAAACTGAGCTATGATGTTTGGCTAGTTAGGGGTATTAAATGCATTTTAGACTAAGAATATTTTCTACTTTCAATCAGTTTATCTGGGCATAACCCCGCTGTAAGTCAAGGATCATCTATATGTTAAAACACTGGGTAGAATGAAATCCATATGCAGATTGATTCTTGGCTTGCCAGTGAGCTTCAAATCTCTATTTTGGTAAAAACCTTTCTGTCCTGTTCCCATAGGTTCACTACATGACACACGGGGCGAACAATAACTCAGCCCGCCGTGGAAGGAAGTTGGCCATCGAGAACACCATGGCTCTGTTAGGTACGGACGGAAAAAGAGTCTCAGAAATCTTTCCCAAGGAAATCCTGGCCCCTTCAGTGAATGTGGACCCTGTTGTGTGGAACCAGTACACCAGCATGCTCAATGGCGGTCTGGCCGTGAAGACCAATGAGATCTCTGTGATCCAGAGTGGGGGGGTTCCTACCCTCCCGGTTTCCTTGGGGGCCACCTCCGTTGTGAATAACGCCACTGTCTCCAAGATGGATGGCTCCCAGTCGGGTATCAGTGCAGATGTGGAAAAACCAAGTGCTACTGACGGCGTTCCCAAACACCAGTTTCCTCACTTCCTGGAAGAAAACAAGATTGCGGTCAGCTAAGGGAGAACTTGCGTGGAAGGAGCAATGCAGACACAGTGAAATCTCTAGAATCTGCTTTGTTTTGTAAGAACTCATCTCCTCCTGTTTTCTTTTTCTTACTGATATGCAAATGATGTTTACTACGTTGGTTGTGACCACAACCTCAGGCAAGTGCTACAATCACGATTGTTGCTATGCTGCTTTGCAAAAAGTTGAAAAAATAAAAAAAAAATGCATACCAAAACAAATACAGACTCTTTTTTTTTGAGATGGAGTCTCGCTCTATCACCCAGGCTGGAGTGCAGTGGCATGATCTCGGCTCACTGCAACCTCCCCATTCTGGGTTCAAGTGATTCTCCTGCCTTAGCCTCCAGAGTAGCTGGGATTACAGGCAGGTGCCACCACGCCCGGCTAATTTTGTATTTTGAGTAGAGACTGGGTTTCACCATGTTGGTCAGGCTGGTCTCGAACTGCTGACCTCGTGATCCACCCGCCTTGGCCTCCCAAAGTGCTGGGATTACAGGCATGAGCTACCACGCCTGGCACTTTTTTTTTTTTTTTCTAATTTTGGAAAGAAGCGGGTCTTGCAAAGTAGCTTTGTTACTTGTAACAGACGTATACATAGAACCTTTGTACAACCTAGAGTGACTTTTTCCAAAGACTGTTACCTATTTCAAGGTAGAATCGTTGGAACTTACTGAACAACAGTGGAAAAGACAACTACACAGCCTCATTGAGGGGAGATGGGTACTGTATACTTACTGGTAACTGGACACGGGTAAAAGGACAAGGTCTGTCATCTCTTTAGGGACCTGTTTTATATGCCCCAACCCTGTCCCCATCTTATTGTTTTTTTTTGAATGTACTTAAAAAAGGAACAACAAAAAACTAGGGTTGTAGAATTATAAAACTGCTTCAACCTTAGAACCTTAAGTAGGAGGCCCTCAAATGGACTTACGTTAGTCCTTAGGGAGTCAATGTGTGTGTTGCTGCTTATTTAAATACAGTTCAGTTGGAGCCCCGAGAGTGCCAATGTTTTCCCCACACCTCTTGGATGCCTTCCTCTTCCCAAATCCCAGAAGAGGTGGGCACCTGAGCGGGGAATCTCAGGTGACTTAGTTTGCCAGTGCCTACTCTATTGAAGAACTGGGTTTTCATGCTCGAGAAGAAACTCGTGGAAGGGCGTGTTTCCCATCACAGGTTCACATACTGATTGCTTTTGTTGAATTTCCTTGGTGCGACTTATGCCAAGTAATTATGACGATTTTTTGTTTTGTTTTGTTTCCTTGCTGAATATTTCATGAAGGCTACGAAGTTAGAACAGGCACGTCCTGGGTGTGAAAGCTTTAATTTATCTACCTCATTTATTTTTTATTTTTTGTAGCCATAGTGTCTATTTTCCTATTTTAAGACCGCTGAAGTATTCCCAGGCCCTGTCTAAAGCCTAAGAGTTGATGTATTGGTGGGAAGAGGTGAACGTTCAAGATGATTTTGTGATGCCTTTTTTTTTTGTAGTTTCCTTTGTAAATGTGATATTGAGCAAACGAAACATTGCTCTTGGTTTAACAAGAAAGAAAGAAAAAAACTCTAATTTCTGGGAGAAAAGTCTTTCCCCTCTATGTGGAAGGTCCTGACGGAAATATGCATCCAAGACGATTAGCCAAAGTGTTGTCTCTTCATCGTTGCACCTGACTTTAGGATTCCGCCCCCCTTTTTTTTTTTTTTTTTTTTTTTTGCCAAGTTGTGCCTTTCCTTCTGGAATTGTAAGTGAACACGATAATAGTACCTGTTTACACTGTGAAGTGGATATTGTTACAGAAAACACACCAGTGGCTTTCTCACTGTTGAGCTAATAATGCCTTGTGAATGTATGATCTACGGAGAAACCCCTGTAGTTGTACCTGCTGATGCTGTCTGTCTGTTGGAAAATAAAATTTGAATGTTTTTTTTTCTCACCCAGGTGTATATAAATTTTTCTGGTACTTTCTGCTCTATACCTGAGAATCTTTACTTGACAATCACTTTCAGCTGCCTTGTGACACTCTTGTTCCTAGCGTCAAAAAGATGCACACCTGGCTATGTCCATACTTGCCTCACTTTTTTTTTTTTTTTGACAGTTTCCCTCTTGTTTCCTAGGCTGGAGAGCAATGGCATGGTCTCGGCTCACTATAACCTTCGCCTCCCAGGTTCAAGCAATTCTCCTGCCTCGGCCTCCGGAGTAGCTGGGATTACAGGCATGCGCCACCACACTCGGCTAATTTTGTATTTTTAACAGAGATGGGGTTTCACTATGTTGGTCAGGCTGGTCTCAAACTCCCGACCTCAGGTGACCCGCCCACCTCGGTCTCCCAAAGTTCTGGGATTACAGGAGTGAGCCACCGTACCCGGCCTTTTTTCTTTTTTTTAAGACAGGGTCTCACTCTTTCATCCAGGCTGGAGTGCAATGGTATGATCTCAGCTTACTGCAGCCTTGACCTCCCAGGCTCAAGGGAGTGCAGTGGCTCGATCTTGGCTTACTGTATCCTCCGCCTCCCAGGTTCAAGCGATTCT
Organism: Homo sapiens; assembly: GCF_000001405.40. Taxonomy (NCBI): domain Eukaryota; kingdom Metazoa; phylum Chordata; class Mammalia; order Primates; family Hominidae; genus Homo; species Homo sapiens. Next base: position 51,781,735 of record NC_000020.11, on the reverse strand, counting down.
CCTGCCTCAGCCTCCTTACTTGGGATTACAGGTGCCCACCACCACACCTGGCTAATTTTTGTATTTTGAGTAGAGATGAGGTTTCAGCATGTTGGCCAGGCTGGTCTTGAACTCCTGACTTCAAATGATCCATCTGCCTCGGCCTCCCAAAGTGCTGGGATTACAGGCGTGAGCCACCTTGCCCAGCCTTTTTTCTCCCCTCTCACATATTTCAGACATCTTTCCAAGGTAAAACCCAATTCCAGCTAATCCTTTTAAAATAACTGCAATTACGTAACAATGATGTCTAGTCATCTATTGACAACACTGCTGGTGTTTACCCATAAACGTCCCTATCACTCAGGCTGCAGTGTAGTGGCATGATCACAGCTGACTGGCCTTGAGCTCCTGGACTCAAGTGATCCTTCCACCTCAGCCTGTGGAGTAGCAGGCACACACCATCATTCTTAGCTAATTTTTTTTTTGCAGAGATGGTCTCATCATGTTCCCCAGGTTGGCCTCGAATGATCCACTGGCCTTGGCCTCCTAGAGTGCTGGGATTACAGGCATGAGCCACTGTGCCTGGCCCCGTGAACTTTTTTATTTTGTTTTTGATTGCCTTTGTGGTATTTCTTTTCTTATACTTGAGTTCACTTCCAGGGTAAATTCCTGCTTGGGATAGCTGGGGAAAAGATTATCATTGTCTTTGTGTGTGTGTGCTGTTTTCCATAATACAGTGTGTAGTGTGTATATGTGTGCATCATTCCTCTCAGCCTTAATCTTTGAAGTCAGTTCTAAAGGGTAGATTGTGATTGTACCTATGCAAGTAGATTATGCCCGCATAGTGTGGCCATAACTTTGTTTTGTCAGTTAGAGACCGCATATACAACCATGGTCCCATAAGATTGTAATACTAATTTTTACTGTACCTTTTCTCTGTTTAAATTTGTTTATAGGCCAGGCGCAGTGGCTCACGCCTGTAATCCTAGCTCTTTGGGAGACCAAAGTGGACAAATTACCTGAGCTCAGGAGTTCGAGACCAGCCTGGGCAACACAGTGAAACCCTGTCCCTACTAAAATGCAAAAAAGTAGCTGGCCATGGTGGCATTGCGCCTGTAATCCCAGCTACTGAGGAGACTGAGACAGGAGAATCACTTGAACCTGGGAGGCAGAGATTGCAGTGAACCGAGATCACGCCACTGCACTCCAGCCTAGGCGACAGAGCAAGACTCTGTCTCAAAAAAAAAAAATTAAGTACTGCTTAATTTTTTAACGTCTGCCTCCCGCATTGAAGTGATTCTCCTGCCTCAGCCTCCCGAGTAGCTGGGATTACAGGTGCGCACCACCACACCCAGTTAATTTTTGTATTTTTAGTAGAGACGGAGTTTCACCATGTTGGTCAGGATGGTCTCGAACTTCCAACCTCAGATGATCCACCCGCCTCAGCCTCCCAAAGTGCTGAGATTACAGGCATGAGCCACTGCACCAGGCCCAAGAAGACATCTTCCTAATATAAAAATGCAGCTGGGCGTGGTGGCTCACACCTGTAATCCTCACACTTTGGGAGGCTGAGGGGGGCAGAACACCTGAGGTTGGGAATTCGAGACCAGCCTGACAATCATGGAGAAAAATCCATTTCTACTAAAAATACAAAAGTAGCTGGGCTTGGAGGTGCATGCCTGTAATCCCAGCTACTCGGGAGGCTGAGGCAGGAGAATCACTTGAACATGGGAGGTGGAGGTTGTGGTGAACCAAGATTGTGCCATCGCACTCCAGCCTGGGCAAAAAGAGTGAAACTCTGTCTCAAAGAAAACAAAAAAAAAAAAGCAAGGTAAGGCAGTAAATGCTGATGTAGAAGCTACAGCAAGTTATCCAGAAGATCTAGCTACAATAACTACAGTAGCTACACTAAACAACATATTTTCAAAGTAGACAAGACAGTCTTCTATTGGAAGAAGATGCCATCTAGGACTTTCATAGCTAGAAAGGAAAAAAACACCTTGCTTCAAAGGACAAGGTGACTCCTGTTAGGGGCTAATGCAGGTGGTGACATTAAGCTAAAGCAATGCTCATTTACCATTCTGAAAATCTTAGGGCCTTTAAGAATGATGCTATTTCTACTCTGCATGTGCTCTGGAAATGGAATGACAAAGCCTGGATGATGGCATATCTCATTTTTGTTTTGAGATGGAGTCTCTGTGTCACTCAGGCTGGAGTGCAGTGGCACAATCTCAGTTCACTGCAACCTCTGTCTCCTGGGTTCAAGTGATTCTCTTACCTCAGCCTCCTGAGTAGCTGGGATTACAGGCACCTGCTGCCTTTTGTATTTTTGGTAGAGATGGGGTTTCACCATATTGGTCAGGCTGGTCTCAAACTCCTGACCTCAAGTGATCCACCCGCCTCGGCCTTCCAAAGTTTTGGGATTACAAGTGTGAGCCACCGCGCCCAGTTTAGCATATCTGTTTATCACATGATTTACTGAATATTTTAAGCCCACTGTTGAGACCTACTGCACAGAAAAAAAAAAAAAAAGATTTCTTTCAAAAATTATGGCTGCTCATTAACAATGCATCTAGGCCGGGCGCAGTGGCTCACATCTGTAATCCCAGCACTTTGGGAGGCCGAGGCGGGTGGATCACAAGGTCAGGGGTTCGAGACCAGCCTGACCAACATGGTGAAACCCTGTCTCTACTAAAAACACAAAAATTAGCTGGGCGTGGTCATGGGCGCCTGTAATCCTAGCTACTCAAGAGGCTGAGGCAGGAGAATTGCTTGAACCTGGGAGGCGGAGGTTGCAGTGAGCCGAGATCACGCCACTGCACTCCAGCCTGGGCGACAGAGGAAGACTCCCGTCTCAAAAAACAAAAAAACAATGCATCTAATGCATCTGTCAAGAGCTCTGATGGAAATGTACAAGGAGATTAATACTGAGATTAATACTGTTTTTCATGCCTGTTAACACAACATTCATTTTGTAGTCTGGATCAAGGAGTGGTTTTGTTACTGGTAAGGAGTCTGGATCCAGACCCTAAGAGAGGATTCTTGGATCTCACGTAAGAAAGAATTCAGGATGAGTCCATAAAGTGAAAGCAAGTTTATTAGGAAAGCAGAGGAATGAAAGAATGGTTAGTCCATAGACAGAGCAGCCCTGAGAGTTGCTGGTTGCCCATTTTTATGGTTATTTCTTGATGATATGCTAAACAAGGGGTGGATTGTTCATGCCTTCCCTTTTTAGACCATACAGGGTAACTTCCTGATGTTGCCATGGCATTTGTAAACTGTCATGGCGCTGGTGGGAGTGTAGCAGTGAGGACAACCAGAGGTCACTCTTGTCGCCATCTTGGTTTTGGTGGGTTTTAGCTGGCTTCTTTACTGCAACTTGTTTTATCAGCAAGGTCTTTATGACCTGTATCTTGTGCTGACCTCCTATCTCATCCTGTGACTAAGAATGCCTTAACCTCCTGGGAATGCAGCCCAGTAGGTCTCAGCTTTATTTTCCCCAGCTCCTGTTCGAGATGGAGTGGCTCTGGTTCAAATGCCTCTAAGAGTTTCAACTTCCAGGTCTTATTATTTCAGAAATACTACATTTTGTAAGCTGCCATAGTTTGTTATTTCTCTGATGGGTCTGGGCAAAGTAAAGTGAAAACCTGGAAAGGATTCACCATTCTAGATGTTGTTAAAAACATTCGTAATTCATGGGAGAAGGTCAAAATATCAACATAAACAGGAGTTTGGAAGAAGTGGCTTCCAACCCTCATGGATGACTTTGATGGGTTCAAGACTTCAGTGAAAGAGCCAGGCACCGTGGCTTATGCCTGTAATCCCAGCACTTTGGGAGGCCGAGGAGGATGGCTTGAGAGCCAGGAGTTCAAGACCAACCCAGTCAACACAGTGAAATCCTGTCTTTACAAACAACAAAATTCAGTGGAGGAAGTAACTGCAGATATGATGGAGATAGCAAGAGAGCTGGAAATAGCAGTGAAGCTTGAAGATGTGACTGAATGGTGGCAATCTTAGGAGAAAACTTGAATGAATAAAGAACTGCTTCTTACAGATGAGCAAAGAAAGTATTTTTTGAGATTGAGACAGAGTCTCGCTCTGTCACCCAGGCTGGAGTGCAGTGGCGCAATCTCAGCTCACTGCAACCTCTGCCTCCCATGTTCAAGTGGTTCTTCTGCCTCAGCTTCCCAAGTAGCTGGGACTACAGGCGTCTGCCACCACGCCCAAGTAATTTTTTTTGTATTTTTAGTAGAGATGGGATTTCACCGTGTTAGCCAGGATGGTCTCGATCTCCTGACCTTGTGATCCACCCGCCTCGGCCTCCCAAAGTGCTGGGATTACAGGCATGAGCCACCGCGCCCGGCCTGTTGTGGGTAAAATATTTTCAGACAGTATCACAAGTTACAAAGAAATCTCAGATAAAGAATCAATATAGCCAACATCATTGTTGTCTTATTTTAAAGAAATTGGCATAGCCATCCCAACCTTCAGCAACCACCACCCTGATCAGTGAACAGCCATCAACATCAAGGTAAGATCCTTCACCGGCAAAAAAATTACGACTCCAGAAGGCTCAGAGGATCATTAACATCTTTAACAATAAAGGAATTTATAATTAAGGTATGTACGTTGTTTTTTTTTTTGGTTTGTTTTTTGTTTTTCCCGAGATGGAGTCTCACTCTGTCTCCCAGGCTGGAGTACACTGGTGCGATCTTGGCTCACTGCAACCTCTGCCTCCCAGGTTCAAGCAATTCTCCTGCCTCAGCCTCCCGAATAGCTGGGATTACAGGTGCCTGCCACTATGCCCAGCTAATTTTTTGTATTTTTAGTAGAGATGGGGTTTCACCATGATGGCCAGGCTGGTCTCGAAGTCCTGACCTCATGATTCGCCTGCCTCAGCCTCCCAAAGTGCTGGGATTATAGGCGTGAGCCACCGTGGCCGGCCTGTACATTGTTTTTTAGATGTAATGCTATTACACACTTAACAGGATATAGTGTAAACGTAGCTTTTATATACACTGGGAAACCAAAGTCATATGACTTGCTTTATTGCAATATTTGCTTTATTGTTGTGGTCTGTGTTGATCTAAAAGGAAGAGGCTGAGGCACAAAATACAATTTAGAGTTTACTTGAGCCAAAGTGAGGACAGCTGCTTGGAAGACTCAGCCCCAAGTAACCTTGGATATGACCTCTGTATGGCTTTTGTTACCAACAGGTAGGTTGGTTGATTGATTAATCACTGCCCTCTAGACTGGGTGACAGAGCAAGACCCTGTCACCCAGGCTGGCGTGCAGTGATGTGAACATGGCTCGCTGCAACCTCAACCTCCTAGGCTCATGCAATCTGCCCAACTCAGCCTCCTGAGTAGCTGAGACTACAGGCGTGTACCACCATGCCCAGCTAATTTTTGTATTTTTTGTAGAGACAAGGTCTCACTATATTGCCCAAGCAGGTCTTGAACTCCCAGGCTCAAGTGATCCTGTCATCTTGGCCTCCCAAAGCGCTGGGATTACAGGCATGAGCCACTGAGTCTGGCCCATTTATGTATTTATTTGACAAGGTTTCGCTCTGTCACCCAGCCTGGAGTGCAGTGGCACAATCATGGCTCACTACAGCCTCAGCCTCCTTGGCTCAAGCAATCCTCCCACCTCAGCTTCCTAAGTAGCTGGCATTACAGGCGTGTGCCACCGTGACCCAGCTAATTCTTTTATTTTTTTGTACAGACGGGTGAAGGAGTCCTACTTCCTCGGCCTCCTAAAGTGCTGGGATTACATGCGCAAGCCACTGGACCAGGCCATAAGCAGGTATTTAAAGGGTAAAAAAGCGGACAGGGAGTGGGCTGATACAAACTTGTTCATCAGAAATTCTCATTGGTTTACAGAAATAACATTGATTAGTAATTGACTATACATTGCTAACCTATGGGGTGTGGGTTATAGTGTCTGGTGCAGCATTATTAGGTTAATTTCTAGCTACTTGTGGCAATAACGGGCAGTTTCAGGAGATGAATACATAGCTCAAAGGAGGGAGTAGAACGTGATTGCTGCTTCATTTTAATGTCTCTCTGGGCCTGATAATTTAAAAACACTCACATTCCTGAGATAAAAGTTGTTTTCTTTTTTCATCTGGAGCCAAACCCACAATATCTCTCAGGTATGCCTGTATAAAATGAACACATGTCAAAGAATTATTAATAAATTTACAGTTGATTCAGAGGAGAATTTAAAATGAGCTCCTAAATTGCTGGCAATTAGGAATGTTGAAAAGAACTTACAAACAGATGCAAAACATGATCAATATCCACAGGCAATAACTGCATTCCACTGGACAAAATAATTTGCATTTCTATGGACAAGAATCATTTGCATAATTATCAGTTTTCTACAATTTATAGAGTTGTAAAATAGCTCAAGGACGATGAAAGACACAGGGAACCTGGAAGGGTATGCTAAGGCAAGCTATCAAGTCATCTTTTTGATGCTTTCAATTTTTTTTTTTTTTTTTTGAGACAGAGTTTTGCTCTTGTTGCCCAGGCTGGAGTGCAGTGGTGCAATCTTGGCTCACCGCAACCTCCGCCTCCTGGGTTCAAGCAGTTCTCCTGCCTCAGCCTCCCCAGTAGCTGGGATTATAGGCATGCGCCTCCACACTCGGCTAATTTTGTATTTTTAGTAGAGATGGGGTTTCTTCATGTTGGTCAGGCTGGTCTTGAACTCCCGACCTCAGGTGATCTGCCCCACCCCCCCCCGCCTTGGCCTCCCAAAGTGCCAGGATTACAGGTGTGAGCCACTGCGCCTGGCCGATGCTTTCTAAGTTTTTAACAACCTTTACTAGGATGTCATCTCCTTGAAACAGGGGCTGTGTCTGACTGTACCCTCTATGCATAGACCATTGTAGGTGTTTAGTGAAGACTGCTTGACGGAATGATTGGACATCTGTTGATTTTTTTCCCCCAACCTTCTTAGTGCCCTTTTTGGAGGTGAAAACAGAATATTTTTGGATGTAATTGCTCACGCCTCTAATCCTAGCACTTTGGGAGGCTAACACAGGAGGCTCATTAGAGCTCAGGAGTTTGAGACCAGCCTGGGCAACATGGCAAAACCGTCTCTACAAAAAAATTTCAGAAATTAGCTGGGCATGGTGATGAATGCCTGTAGTTCCAGCTTCTTGGGGGACTGAGGTGGGAGGATAGTTTGAGCATGGGCGGCCAAGGTTGCAGTGAGCCATGATCGCGCTACTGCACTCTAGCCTGGGCGGGACAGAGCAAGACTATCTCAGATGGAGTCTCGCTCTGTTGCCCAGGCTGTAGTGCAGTGGCGTGATCTCGGCTCACTGCAAGCTCCGCCTCCCAGGTTCATGCCATTCTCCCGTCGCAGCCTCCCGAGTAGCTGGGACTACAGGCACCCACCACCACGCCCAGCTGATTTTTTGTATTTTTAGTAGAGACGGGGTTTCACTGTGTTAGCCAGGATGGTCTCGATCTCCTGACCTCGTGATCCACCTGCCTCGGCCTCCCAAAGTGCTGGGATTATAGGCGTGAGCCACTGTGCCTGGCCAACTCTATCTAAAAAATACACACACAGCCCAGAATATTATTAAATTTTAGCTAGATATTGTTGTTCATGGAAAGTTCTCAACCTAAGACGTTCTTTTTCTTTCCAAAAAAAACAAAAAACAAAGGGTTGGGAAAGGACTGGATTGGTAAGTGTTAGAGAGAGACACAGTTGGTTGGGCACAGTGGCTCACGCCAGGCTTGTAATCTCAGCACTTTGGGAGGCCAAGGCGGGAGGATCACTTGAGGCCAGAAGTTCAAGAGCAGCCTGGCCAACATGGTGAAACCCCCTCTCTACTAAAAATACAAAAATTTGCCGGGCTTGGAGGCACACACCTGTTATCCCAGCTACTCGGGGGGCTGAGACAGGAGAATCGCTTGAACCCGGGAGATGGTGCCACTGCACTCCAGCCCAGGTGACAGAAGGAGACTCTGTCTCAAAAAAAAAAAAAAAAAAAAATGACACACACAGTCTTATTAGAGATTTTAAAATGATTTAACATCACATTCTAGCCCAGTGGCTCTTAACTAGGGACAATTTTGTCTCCCCAGGAGACATTTCATGATGTGTGAAAACATTTGTGGTTGTCACAGCTGGTGTGAGGCAGCTACTGGCATTTAGTGGGTAGAGACCAAGAATGCTGCTAAATTTCCTGTAATGCATAGCACAGCCCCCCATGATAAATATTCAGCCCAAATGTCAATAGTGCCAAGGTAGGGAAACTGCTTTGGGGGATACCTAGAATGTTTATTCAGAGAGAATTCATGGAGAGAGAATTGTAGGCACTAAAAGGATTTTATTTTCTCACTCCCAGCCTGAGTTTACCCAAAGCATATTTATTATTTATTCCCATTTTCCCTGCCTCCTCCATCTCTCATCACTGCCCGTACCCTTGACTTCTTGCCCACTTACCACCAAACACTCCTTCTTTACAGCAGGTCCAAAGTAGCAGTGGGGCAGGGCGCAGTGGCTCACACCCATAATCCCAGCACTCTGGGAGGCTGAGGCGGGTGGATTACCTGAAGCCAGGAGCTCGAGATCAGCCTGGCCAACATGGCGAAAACCCGTCTCAACTAAAAATACAAAAATTAGCCGGGTATAGTGGCGCGCGCCTGTAATCCCAGCTACTTGGGAGGCTGAGGTGGGAGAATTGCTTGAACCTGGGAGTTGGAGGTTGTAGTGAGCTGAGATCATGCCACTGCACTTCAGCCTGGGCAACAGAGTGAGACTCCATCTCCAAACAAACAAACAAACAAACAAATAAATAATAAAGCAGGAGTGGGCTTGGAGGTCTATGAACATAAGGCTTCATGGTGGGCCAAGATGAGAGTTTCAAGGTATATTCCGGCTCCAGCCTGTCATCCATCGGGCATGGATGGCATGTGACATAGAGGCATGTGACATGACCTCTTTGGGCCACAGTCTCTCTGATTTCTGGAAAGTAGAAGTTGGACTAGATTGGCTTATCCCTCCAGGACCTTTCCACTCCACATACCTAGGAGTCAGGGGTGCACTGTACCCAGGACCTATTGGATGGAGAGGATTGTCAAGGGGCTTTTCCTGAGGAAGCAGAACCATGAGGTGACTATTCCTGGGCAGAAGGTAGTGCTGTGTCAGGAAGAGGGGTTGCTGTATACCCAGAAGGGGGCCTCAGATTAACCTCTCACATCTCATCACTTCCCCCAGCCTTGCCCCTCTCCTAGACCCTGGCACCGCTCTGGTGATCCCTTGGGTGTCTCGCTTGTCCCAAGCAGGCATCTGATTCTCTCTCAAGATGAGATTTAAGCCTGCAGGTGCGTCCCTTCCTGAGGGATTACCTTGCTGAAAAGGAGTTTCGGCCTGGTGCAGTGGCTCACACCTGTAATCCCAGGACACTAGGAGGTCAAGGCAGGAGGATGGCTTGAGCCCAGGAGGTCAAGGCCAGCCTGGGCAACATAGTGAGACCTTGTCTCTATAAAAAATAAAATAAATTAGCCTGGCATGCAGTGCACACCTGTAGTCCCAGCTACAATAGAGCAAGACTCTGTCTCTTAAAATAAAAACGGCCATGCGCAGTGGCTCATGCCTGTAATCCCAGTACTTAGGGAGGCGAGGCAGGTGGATCACCTGAGGTCAGGAGTTTGAGACCAGCCTGGCTAACATGGTGAAACCTCTTCTCTACTAAAAATATAAAAATTAGCCGGTCATGTTGGTGTGTGCCTGTAGCCCCAGCTACTCAGGAGGCTGAGGCGGGAGAATCGCTTGAACCTGGGAGGCGGAGGTTGCAGTGAGCTGAGATCATGCCACTGCAATCCAGCCTGGGCAGCAGAGTGAGACTCTGTCTCAAAAAATAATAAGAATAAAAACAAAAAGGAGTTTTTTTAAATGTATTTTCTCCTCTGATTATGAAAGCGTACTAAAGAAAATTTGGAAAGTAAAGGCCGGTTGCAGTGGCTCACGCCTGTAATCCCAGCACTTTGGGAGGCCGAGGCAGGTGGATCAGGAGGTCAGGAGATCGAGACCATCCTGGCTAACATGGTGAAACCCTGTCTTTGCTAAAAATACAAAAATTAGCTGGGCATGGTGATGGGCGCCTGTAGTCCCAGCTACTGGGGAGGCTGAGGCAGGAAAATGGCGTGAACCCGGGAGGCGGAGCCTGCAGTGAGCTGAGATTGTGCCACTGCACTCCAGCCTGGGCGACAGAGTGAGACTCCATCTCAAAAATAAAAATAAATAAATAAAGAAAGAAAATTTGGAAAGTAAAAAGGCAAAAACAAAACAAAACAAAACAAAAAACCACCTACAATTTCCCCCTCTCTTTCCATATGAGAGTGTTAGTACCTTTGAGGGTTAATAGTGGGCTCTTTCATCTTTTAAAAACTTATTTAAAGAAAAAATTATTGCAAAAGCAACACGTTTTGCTAGAGAAAAAGTAGAGAGTATTGACAAAACAAAAGCAATGAAATATTTAAGATCCACCTGGATGTACCGCAAAATGTTAATAAGGGAAACTGTCCCCATGACTGGGGACATGGATATAGGATGGGGACATATGAAACTCTCTGTGCTAATTGCTTATGTTTTCTATAAATGGAAAACTACTAAAACAAAAAATCCTGCTAATTAAATTGTATTTTAAAAACCCACCTGGAATCTTTCAGGGATGAGCATTGATAATGCTGTTGTGTTCATTCTTGAATTAGGGAAAACTATGAATATTCATATCATAGAAGTAGGACTTTTAATAGCTAACCTTTTCTTTCTTTTTTTTTTTTTTTTGAAACAGAGTCTCGCACTGTTGCCTGGGCTAGAGTGCAATGGCATGATCTCGGCTCACTGCAACCTCCGCCTCCCGGGTTCAAGCAATTCTCCTGCCTTAACCTCCTGAGTAGCTGAGATTACCAGTGCCTGCCACCATGCGTGGCTAAGTTTTTGTATTTTTAGTAGAGACAGGATTTCACTATGTTGGCCAGGCTGGTCTCGAACTCCTGACCCGTGATCTGCCCGCATTGGCCTCCCAAAGTGCTGGGATTACAGGCGTGAGCCACTGCGCCCGGCCGTGCCCGGGTGATTTTAATATATTTTTGTATTTTTGTTTTTTAGTAGAGATGGGGTTTCACCATGTTGGCCAGGCTGATCTCGAATGCCTGACCTCAAGTGATCCGCCCACCTCGGCCTCCCAAAGTGTCAGGATTAGAGGTGTGAGCCACCGCGCCCGGCCTCCTTGGTCTTCTCTTGTACCCTGTGTAGTAGTGGGGTTGAGAAGAGGGTGTGGAGTTTGAAAGGGGGATGTCTAGCAAAGCAGATGGGAGATGGTGGGACCCACACTGATGCCATAATTGGTGTGTCAGGGTGTTTATCCTTCTTCCATGCAAGAAGCCTTTATTGAGTGCCAACTTGTGCCATGCTATGTACGAAGCATCATTTTAGATGTAGAAGAGACAGCAGGAAGCAAAGCACACCAGGCCTGTTGGCTGGAGAATGCTATTTCCTCTCCAAATGTGCAATGCAGCAATTACTAATGACATGCTTCTTTTCTTGAGGAACTTCTCTGGTGCATGAGATAAGTCACACTTCTTGGTTTGAGATCCACCTCAGACACTGGGATATTTGGTGGCTCCATCCTGTGTGACAGCAAACACAAAAGGCATCCACTTGCTGGCAGTTAGCACTAACTTAAAAAAACAAACAAATAAAACAAAATAAAAGGGCCAAGCGCAGTGGCCCGTGGGAGCAGGGAAAGGCTTCTGGTGAGAGTTGGAAAGGTGGACTGGGCCGGATGCTCTTCCTTCATCCCAATTAAATCTCTATGGCATTTAGCAAATGCCAAGGAAGAGCCCAGCACTTTGGGAGGCCGAGGTGGACAGATCACATGAGGCCAGGAGTTCAAGACCAGTCTGGCCAACATGGTGAAACCCCATCTCTACTAAAACTACAAAAATTAGCCAGGCACATGTATAACCCCAGCTACCCGGGTAGCTGAGGCAGGAGAATTGCTTCAACCTGGGAGGCAGAGATTGCAGTGAGCTGAGATTTTGCCACTGCACTCCAGCCTGGGCGACAGAGGGAGATTCTGTTTCAAAAAGAAAAAAAAGAAACGGCGTCCAACATGATCAGTCATTAGATGTAACTATGTAAAAGTCAGCTTTAGATTAGTTTATATGGTATTATTACAATTTCAGGCTCTTTAGTTACATATTGATTTTTAAACTCCCTCACTTTGTTCCTTCCCTCTGTTTTTTTTTTCCTGCTCTCATAACTTTATCAGGCCTTTGAAAAGTTCATGGGTCCCAGACACTGTGTGGGAGGGTGTGGAAGTGAGTGTGGATGTGGGCTGCGGTGGAGATAGGTGTGTGTGTGAGACCGTGAATCACAGTGACAGGTAATGCAGGGTGACTGTCTGAGGCCTGAGAGTGGGGCCCATGTGCAAGCCCAAGAAAGTGGCTGGTGTGAGAATGAGGGTGTTCAGACTATTGAAGGGTGTTTGGATGAAAGAGGCAGGTGCGTGTGTGTCATGGTGAGTTCCCAGAATCCAGATAGAGAATGAGGGTGAGGATGGTGAAGGTCAGAGGGTGAAGGAGTCTGATAAGCTGAGGGTCCCTGTGTGACTGTGATTTCTGCAGGCACATGGGTGTGAGGCTTGAGAAACTGGGTGCATGGATGATGGTGACCAACAGGAGGGTGAGAGTGTTATGTGTGTGTGCAGGACTCACATGTGATTGTGAATGTTAGATGTTGCAGGCAGTGAGCAGTGGCAGGTGTGTGTGTAGGGCCTGGGCGTGAATATGCACGTTGGTGCAAGAGTGAGTGAGAATGACTGACTGATGGGGTGAGCGTGGCCGGGTGCCCGTGTGATTGTGCATGTCAGATATTGGTGGGGATGAGTGTCACAGCGCGCGTGTATAGGGCTGGGATGTGATTGTGAATGTGGGATTTTGCGGGGGGTGCGGTGGCAGGGTGCGCGCACGGCGGGCGTGGGCGGGGGGCGCGTGGCCGGGTGGGCGCGCGTGGGGGGCGCGGGCGCGGGCCGGGGGCGGGGACACTGCAGCGGTCGCGGCGGCGCGGACACGGCCCGGCCGCCCCCCGTGGCAGGCGCGGCGCGGCGCGGAGCGAGCGGGCGCAGCGCGGAGCTCGGGCCCATGGTGCGCCCGTGTCCGTCGGTCGGGCCGCGCGGGCGCTCCGCGCGTGGCCCGGCGCTCGCGAGCTCGCCCCCTCGCTGCGGGCCCGGCCCGCCCGCTGCCGCCGCCTCCTCCCCCGGGGCGGCGCGGCGCCGGCGGGCGGCGGCGCGGAGGCCGGACCGGGCGGCGGCCCAGGCGGCGCGGGGGGCGCGGCGGCCAAGGCGGGCGGCGCCGCCGACATGACGGACAACATCCCGCTGCAGCCGGTGCGCCAGAAGAAGCGGATGGACAGCAGGCCCCGCGCCGGGTGAGTGGGCCTGGGCCCGTGTTTTCCTTTGTCCGCGCCTCCCGGAGCCCGGCGCTCGGGCCAGCCTGGCCGGGCCTGACAGGTTGGCCGCGCGCCGCGCCCGGCGCCATGAGCCTGGGGCAGGGCTGGGGAGGCGGGGAGGTGGGGAGGGGGTCCCTGCGCTTCAGCCCCGGGCGGCACCTAGCCTGATGCCGGCCCTTTGGGGTTCGAGCGCCCGGTTGCCTGGGCCTCCTTGCCCACCTTCCTTTAGAAACCCCGAGAAGCCGGGCCCGCCCCAGTGCTGTTTACACACTCGCGGAATTCGGATCAGCCGTGCTTTCTCACCGTTTTATTGTTCCGTAATTAATATCTGTCCGTAATTAATATCTGAGGTAACAATTTGGTCAGTGTCACACCGAGCTCTGCGCTTGGAGCATTACTCGGGAGCCCAGATATGCTCAGCTTTTAGGGGGGCGCGGCCTACGCCTCGGGGTACCCCATCAGCGCCCCTGGGTCCCAGCCCCAGGAGGCTGCGCCGAGACCACCTGCGCTCCGGTGGCCCCTTCCCCCTCCGCCCGGGGTGGACCCGAACCAGCAGTCGCAGGAGGGTGGGAGGGTCTCCTACTGGCCGCTTGGTGACACTACCCCTTGTGTTCTCCCCCCACAATTTCGGGGAAGGAATCCCACGGCTGGGACAGGGGCTGCCACCTGCTGTGCCCTTCCCGCAGTAGGAGACCCCGAGGGCAGCTTAGGCGCGGAACAGGCAAGGGTTTTTCTGCATTTGGGAAGAGGGGACGGGTTGGTATTTTGCGCCTCGCCGTCTTCCTGTTCGGAGGATGGCAGCGTGACGCGTTGAGGTTTGCGGGGCTCTCGTATCGCCTGCCATAGACTTACCTGGGCGTGAGGGGCGGGGGTGGGAAGGACGGGGGTGGGCGCTGGTGCAAATGCAGATTTCCCGGCCCCCGCCTAGACCCGCCAATCAGAGTTCTGGGGGGCGGGGCCTGGAGATGTGCAGCTCCACAGGCCGCGCAGGTGAGGCTGGAGCCCGCGGGAGGCTGAGCGCGGTGTTGGGCGGGGCCTGCGGCCGCTCTGCTCCGCCCTTCCTCGGGCGTCTGGTCCTCTCTGGGCATTTCCCGGTGGCGGCCGCTTATTGCAGCGTCAGTTGCTCGGAACAGGAGACGCGGCGGGTGGAGTGAACCATAAGGGTGGCTTCACCAGGTGTCAGTGGAATTAAAAAAAAAAAAAAAAAGAATGGTGCTGGCGGCCATTTTGTGGGGTCTTTGTCCCTGGCTTCCTGAATCCTCCGAAGAAGAGGCCTCACTGATATTACCCAGAGGAGGAAACTGGAGGTTACGGAGGTTAAGGGCTATAGGGAAGACTGCAAAATGGAGATTGAACTCCGGATTGTCTGACCCAAAGATAGTTCCCTCACTCCTCCCTTCTCTGTTTTGCGTTTATTATTATTAGTATTATTATTATTATTGAGACGGAGTCTCCCTCTGTTGCCCACGCTGGAGTGCTGTGGCGAGATCTCGGCTCACTGCAACCTCCGCCTCCCGGGTTCAAGCAATTCTCTGCCTCAACCTCCCGAGTAGCTGGGATTACAGGCGCCCGACACCACGCCTGACTAGTTTTTGTATTTTTAGTAGAGACGGGGGTTTCACCATCTTGGCCAGGCTTGTCTTGAACTCCTGACCTCGTGATCCACCCACCTCGGCCTTCCAAAGTGCTGGGATTACAGGCGTGAGTCACCGCGCCCGGCCTCCTTCGTTTTAATGATGACAATTGACTTGAACACTATGCCTGGAACAGTGCCTGGTACATCGTACATCCTCCGTAAATACTGTGATGAATTAATATGATCAGTGGAGTCTAAAATCCAGTGGTTATTAATTTGTGCCATGAGCAATTATGAGACGCCTACTATGTGCAGGAGCCACTCCAGCTGATGGGGATGCAAGGATGAATTAAAGAAGACCTGCCCAACAGGTGTGGGTGTCCTGACCCTGGCTGTTCATTGCAATCACCAGGGAAACTTAACTAGCCTTTTCTGATTCATTCTAGACCTTTGAAATAAGAATTTAGGGTGGGACCTGGGTTTCTATCTATATATTTTAATAAGCTCCCCTGATGATTTTAACATGCAGTCAGAGTTGAGAACTTTTGAGTCAGTACATGAAAGAAAAATGCAAATATTGTTCAAAAGTGATCATTAGCGTGATAGAAACATGAGCCGTTCATATGGAGAGCCAGAGGGAGTGGTGCAGATAATTTTATTTAAAAGTAAGTTTTCTAGGTTGCGTTGGAATGGAGCATCACAGCCCCTTTAGAATTTACCAGCTTTGGAACTAATCTTTCTTTTTTTTTGAGACGATGTAGTTTCACTCTTGTTGCCTGGAGTGCAATGCCTTGGTCTTGGCCCACTGCAACCTCTGCCTCCTGGGTTCAAGCGATTCTTCTGCCTCAGCTTCCCAAGTAGCTGGGATTACAGGTGCCCACTACCACTCCCGGCTAATCTTTGTATTTTTAGTAGAGAGAGTTGTTTCACCATGTTGGCCAGGCTGGTCTTGAACTCCTGACCTCAGGTGATCCACCTGCCTTGGCCTCCGAAAGTGCTGGGATTACAGACGTGAGCCACCGTGCTTGGCCTGGAACTAATCTAATTCTGTTTTTTTTTTTTGAGATGTAGCTTCACTCTTGTTGCCAAGGCTGGCACGATCTCGGCTCACTGCAACGTCCGCATTCCAGGTTCAAGCGATTCTCCTTGAATCAGCCTCCTGAGTAGCTGGGATTACAGGCATGCACCATGCCCGGCAAATTTTGTATTTTTAGTACAGATGGGGTTTCTCCATGTTGGTCAGGCTGGTCTCGAACTCCTTACCTCAGGTGATCCACCCACCTTGGCCTCCCAAAGTGCTGTGATTACAGATGTGAGCCACTGTGTCTGGCCAATCTATTTCTTAAACAGTGACATGGATTTGGATTCAAATTGTGTATCAGGGTTGCTGTGCATTTGCGTAAATGCTCTTGTATATAATCTGCATTTTCAGGAGTAGCAACATCAAGGTGGAATCCTGAAGTTTAGAAACTCTTGAGAAGCACAGAGAGATGGAGGAGCTTCCTGAAATAGAACTAGGGGCTGGGGGATGGCAGCGTGAGGGCTAAAGTGGGTGGGTGGTTAAAGGAAGAAAAAAGTAATATGTAATGGGTCAGGCTGTCTGCTGGACACTTGAGATAAATAGGGCTGTTTTAATCCTTACAACAACCATGTGAGTTTTTGGAGTTAATTCTCCCATTTTAGGGGCCAGATGTGGTGGTTCAAGCCTGTAATCCCAGCACTTTGGGAGGCCAAGGTGGGCGGATCACTCGAGGTCAGGAGTTCGAGACCAGCCTGGCCAACATGGTGAAACCCTGTCTCTACTAAAAATACAAAAATTAGCCGGGTGTGGTGGTGGTGCCTGTAATTCCAGCTACTGGGGAGGCTGAGGCAGGAGAATTGCTTGAACCCAGGATGTGGAGGTTGCGGTGAGTCAGGATTGTACCACTGCACTCCAGCCTGGGTGAAGAAGCAAGACTCCATCTCAAAAAAAAAAATTCTCCCATTTTATTGACAGGGAAACAAAGATTCACTGATATTAATGTGTTCGTGGTCTTGGAGGTTGTGAGAGGAGGCAGTTTTGAACCGGATCCACCCATTTCACCTAATGGTTCTAGGCAATAAAGCTGTGGAATGGTTGGAAGATTTGTGGTTAAAAAAACCAAAAACGATGCCACATGTCATAGGGGACAGAATGCAGTTATTTCTGGGGTCACTCAGCGAATGTTGCGAAGACGTGCAGCTTATTTTTGGAGGAATCTCCTGGCTTCAAAGTTCTTTTCTCTCTTGAGAAAGTTACCACATCCTGATGTTGAGAAAACTTTTGAAATGGTGTAGTTAGGAAACAAGGCATTTCACCTCCATTGCTGGAAACCATTTTATGACATCATGCCCTTTGCTTATGGCTGAATGGAGCTCCTCTTGTGGTGAAATGGCAGGGATTATTTGTTAGGAGCCAGGACGCAGGAGTCCATTGAGGAGCTGGGTTCACACCCAGGCTCTGCTGCTTACTAGCTGTGTGATCTTGGGAAAATAACTTTACCTCTCTGAGTCTCAGTTGTTTCATCTGTAAAATGGGAATATCAATAATTATGTATCTCATAGTTTTTTAGTCCATGTAAAGTTTAGGAGAATAAGTGCTCAGTATGCCTTAGGTGTTTACTAGGGCTAATGGTAATCCTTAGGTGTTTGCATGAGGTTTACCGTTGGGGTCTACAGTGTGCTTCTTTGAGAGGAGGGGCCTTTTATGAGAAATTTAGAAATATGAATTTCACTGCTTTTTCCTGATCAAATTTAGGAAAATGAATAACTATGTAGAGCATTCTGTCCAGGTATGTCGAGGCCCTGGTGTGATGTTGTGGCAAGGATGGGAGCTTAGGTACCAGGTGGCCCAAGACTTTGCCTCATTGTAACAATCTACGTTTTGTGGGTGGCCACACTGGATGAGGATGCTTTGATGCTTGATATATTTGGATTTGGGGGACTAGGAAGTTTTGAATATGAATCAGATTGAGAAAGAAGAACTGAATAGATATGTTGTCTACCACAATGTTTTAAACAGCTTTATTGAAGTATAATTTATATAGCATACATCTATTGAAAGTATGTAAACTGGCCAGGTGCGGTGGCTCATTCCTGTAATCCCAGCACTTTGGGAGGCCAAGGTGGGCGGATCAGGAGGTCAGGAGATCCAGACCATCCTGGCTAACACAAGTGAAACCCCATCTCTACTAAAAATACAAAAAATTAGCTGGGTGTGGTGGCGGGCACTTGTAGTCCCAGCTACTCAGGAGGCTGAGGCAGGAGAATGGCGTGAACCCAGGAGGCAGAGCTGGCAGTGAGCCGAGATCGCGCCACTGCACTGTAGCCTGGGCGACACAGCGAGACTCCATCTCAAAAAAAAAAAAAAAAGTATGTAAACCATTGATTAAAAAAAAACCAGGTGTATGGAGTTATGCAACCATCACTCCGGCATGGGTTTTGAATGTTTCCATCACCTCCGAAAGTCTCCTCCAGCCCATCTGCAATTCATCCCTGCCCTTGCCCCAGTCCCAGGCAACCAGTGATCCGCTTTCTGATTCCATAGGTTTGCCCTTTCTGGAAATTGTCTATCAATGGAATCACACCACGTGTTGCCTTTTGTGTCTGGCTGCTTTAATTTAGCATGAAGTTTTTGAAGTTTCTTTTTATTGTGTAATAGAATTTCAGTTGGGCTTGGTGGCTCACACCTGTAATCCCAGCACTTTGGGAGGCCCAGGCAGGAGGATTGCTTGAGCCCTGGAGTTCAAGAGCAGCCTGGGCAACATAGTGAAACCCTGTCTCTACAAAAAATAAATAATAATAATAAAAAAAGCCAGGCATGGTGGCTTGAGCCTGTGGTCCTTGCTACTTGGGAGGCTGAGGTAGGAGGAGTGCTTGAGCCCAGGAAGCGTAGGTGGCGGTAAACCCTGATCATACCGCTGCACTCCAGCCTCGGCAACAGAGTGAGACCCTGTCTCAAAAAAAAAAAAAAAAAAAAAAGCCATTTGTGGATATATCACCTTAAATCTTTTTGTTTGTTTGTTTTTAGACAGGGTCTCGCTCTTGTCACCCAGGCTGGAGTGCAGTGGCATGATCTCTACTCACTGCAACCTCCACCTCCCGGGTTCAAGCGATTCTCATGCATCGGCCTCCTGCGTAGCTGGGATTACAGGCTCCCGCCGCCACGCCCAGCTAATTTTTTTTTTTTTTTTGAGACAGAGTCTTGCTCTGTCACTAGGCTGGAGTGCAGTGGTGTGATCTTGGCTCACTGCAACCTCTGCCTCCCGGTTCAAGCAGTTCTCCTGCCCCAGCCTCCGGAGTAGCTGGGACTACAGGCGCATGCCACCACGCCCAGCTAATTGTATTTTTAGTAGAGATGGGGTTTCACCGTGTTGACCGAGATGGTCTCGATCTCTTGACCTCATGATCCGCTCACCTTGGCCTCCCTAAGTGCTGGGATTACAGGCGTGAGCCACCATGCCTGGCCTAATTTTTGTATTTTTGGTAGAGACGGGGCTTCACCGTATTGGCCAAGCTGGCCTTGAACTCCTGACCTCAAGTTATCTGCCCACCTTGGCCTCCCAAAATGCTGAGATTACAGGTGTGAGCCACTGACCCTGGCCCGGCCCAGTGTTATCACAGGGTCCTTAAAAGCGAAAGACAGGCAGGAGAGTGAGTGTCAGCATAAGAGAAAGATTGGGAGAGGCTGCACTGCTGGCTTGAAGAGGGAAGAAGGGGCCATGAGCCAAGGAATGCGGGGGACTCTAGAAGTTGGAAGAGTTAAGGAAACGGACTCGGTTGGAGCCTCCAGAAGGAACACGGCTCTGCTGACACCTTCCTTGATTTTAGTCCCATGAGGCCCATTTTGGACTTCGGACCTAACTGTAGGGTAATAAACTTGCATTGTTTTAAGCCACTCAAGTTGTGCTAATTTTTTTTTTTTTTTGAGGCGGAGTCTCGCTCTGTCGCCCAGGCTGGAGTGCAGTGGCGCAACCTTGGCTCACTGCAAGCTCCGCCTTCCGGGTTCGCGCCATTCTCCTGTCTCAGCCTCCCGAGTAGCTGGGACTACAGGCGCCTGTCACCACGCTCGGCTAATTTTTTGTATTTTATTAGAGACGGGGTTTCACCGTGTTAGCCAGGATGGTCTGGATCTCCTGACCTCGTGATCTGCCCGCCTTGGCCTCCCAAAGTGCTGGGATTACAGCCGTGAGCCACGGCGCCCGGCCAAAGTTGTGCTAATTTGTTACA
Source organism: Homo sapiens (assembly GCF_000001405.40). Classification (NCBI taxonomy): domain Eukaryota; kingdom Metazoa; phylum Chordata; class Mammalia; order Primates; family Hominidae; genus Homo; species Homo sapiens. Next base: position 51,761,457 of record NC_000020.11, on the reverse strand, counting down.
ACAATGAGGAGAAGCTGTCACACACCGATGTGTGCTGCAGACCCTGGGAACGGATTGTCGTGCTCCTCTTTCCATCCCACAAAGGGGACTGGAATCTAGACAGGAAGCCCGCCACCTGGGTGGAGGCATCAGAGGCATTTCAGAGGTCCTACATTTTGCCTGAGAGCATAGAGCTTATGTCAGCATGTTTATGTGACTCATTATCTGACGGTGGAGGAAAAAGATGAATATTTATTTAGGACCTGCAGTGTTTTGGCTCTGAACTCATGTTTCCTCTTTCATGCTGCACAATGGCCCTTTGATGTTGGTAATTTTTTTTATTCTTGCTTTACTGATAAGGAAACAAAAATGCCCTTTCTCTTTGATGTGATGGAGGTGGTGTTAGGTAGGACTCTCATTACTCTCAGGACTTACATTCTTGTTTTTTATTTTGAGACGGAGTCTCACTCTCACTCAGGCTGGAGTGCAGTGGCGCAGTCTCGGCTCACTGCAACCTCTGCCTCCTGGGTTTAAGCAATTCTCTGCTTCAGCCTCCCAAGTAGCTGGGACTACTACAGGCCTGCGCCACCACCACGCCCAGCTAATTTTTGTATTTTTAGTAGAGACAGGGTTTCACCATGTTGACCAGGATGGTCTTGATCTCTTGACTTTGTGATCCGCCTGCCTCGGCCTCCCAAAGTGTTGCGATTACAGGCGTGAGCCACTGCACCTGGCATTTTTTTTTTTTTTTTTGAGACGGAGTCTTGCTCTGTCGCCCAGGCTGGAGTGCAGTGGCGTGATCTTGGCTCACTGCAACCTCCACCTCCCAGTTCAAGTGATTCTCCTGCCTCAGCCTCCCAAGTAGCTGGGATTACACATGCCTACCAGTATGCCCGGCTAATTTTTGTAGTTTTAGTAGAGACGGGGTTTCGCCATGTTGGCCAGGCTAGTCTCGAACTCCTGACCTCAGGTGATCCGCCTGCCTTGGCCTCCCAAAGTGCTGGGATTACAGATGTGAGCCACCGTGCCCTGCCCAGTACTTACATTCTTTATTTCAGTCGTTGTGAGCACTGAATTTTCGAATATGGAACCATTGCTCTTAGGGGAAATATGGGGTTAGGTTCCTGAGAGGCTCTGGTCACATTATTTTTGTTGACTGATCAATGAAGAACCTCGTTTTAGGTGTGTTTCTGTTTTTTAAAAACCGCATATTTAATGTACGTTATGGATTCATTAACATCGAACTCACAGGCAACAACTCTGTAACTCACGCCTGGAGGCAGCTTATCTGACACGTGTATTTTTTCCACGTGGCACATCCCAGCCTTCCTGTGCTTAGAGATACTAGTTCTTCTGCACTGTGCTGAGGGGCCATTTTAAACTGCAAAACCATCAGGGAAAAGCACAAAAATGCACAAATCGTGGCAGTAAGAGACCACAAAAATGACTCCTATTTGTAGTGTGAGAGCTGCAATGAGAAGCCTTGTGTCACCTCAGCTGGGAATGTGTGTGTCTGGGGGCGGGGCAGGGAGGAGCAACTCACCATTTTGGCTACACTGCACGCATCCATTAGTGACTGTGAAGGGGCTGCAGCTGTTGATTTGGGATTACAAGTTTGAGGGATTTGGTGAATTTGCAAATACAGAAATTATAAATTATGAGGATCAATTGTATATAGTGGGGTGGGTGTGTGTTTCAATGTCCTTCCTTTGACAAAGTGGAGATAGTATTAGATATGTGGCATGTAGGGGTGTGTGTACATCTTATTTTATTTTTTAATTTTATTTATTATTATTATTATTTTTGTGACAGAATCTTGCTCTTGTCGCCCAGGATGGAGTGTAGTGGTGCGATCTCGGCTCACTGCAACCTCTGCCTCTGAGGTTCAAGCGATTCTCTTGCCTCAGCCTCCTGAGTACATGGGATTACAGGCACCCGCCACCACGCCTAGCTAATTTTTGTGGTTTTAGTAGAGACAGAGTTTTGCCCTGTTGGCCATGCTGGTTTCGAACTCCTGACCTCAGGTGATCCACCCACCTCGGCCTCCCAAAGTGCTGGGATCACAGGCATGAGCCACCGCACCCGGCCGTGTGTGTACATTTTAACATCCTTTCTTTGATGTGGTGGAGGGAGTATTAGATACCAAGCATATAGGGGTATGTTTTGAGGGAGGGGATTGTGCTGGTGGGTGAAACCCAGAGACACCCCCCTCCTCAGCCACCGACCTTCCCCTCTCTGGGCTGGAGGAGAGAGTTGCACCAACAGCTCTTTGCCCCCCTGGGATGAGAACAGTGGAGCTTGGCAGCGGCCCATGGGGCTGTGCTCTCTGTCCTCTGCCAGCGCCCAGCTGCACTTGCGCCATCCCCTTCAGTTACAGAGGTCCTCCCTTGCTCTGCCTTGTGCTGACCAAAACCAGACTAGCTGCTCTCTGCCCACGTGGAGACCAGAAGATGTGTTGTTGCAAACCCACAGAGGGACTCTGAAGGATGGAGTGTGGACATGGGTGCCGTGCCTGCCGGGCTTCCTTGCAGACGGGCTCTTTCTTTTCTTTTTTGAGACAGAGTCTCCTTCTGTTGCCCAGGCTGGAGTGCAGTGGTATGATCTCGGCTCACTGGAACCTCCGCCTCCCGAGTTCAAGCGATTCTCCTTCCTCAGCCTCCTGAGTAGCTGGGATTACAGGTGCAGGCCACCATGGCTGGCTAATTTTTGTATTTTTAGTAGAGACGGGGTTTCACCATGTTCTGCAGGCTGGTCTCGAACTCTTGACCTCATGATCCGCCCGCCTTGGCCTTCCAAAGTGCTGGGATTACAAGCATAAGCCACTGCGCCCAGCCCAAAAGGGCTCTTTCTACCTACTGTACAGCTGGCTGGCGAGAGGAGGTCCCTGTAGTCCAGTCCGCAAGGAGATGGGGGCACCCTTTGACCTTGACCTCTGTCTTGCATGCAATAAGTTGGAAAAAGGAGGCAAGGCATGGAACCGGCCATCTTTGGACTTTTGTCCCTTACTTCTCAGAACAGAATGTTCTTTTAGTGTCTTTACCCAGATGGAAATGTTGAAAGTCAGTGATAAGGGCTGGCTGTATTTTATGACTGCCTTTGAAGGGGTGGAGGGGTTGGGACGTGTCTTCAGGGTCACTCATGAAGGTGGTGATTTTGGTTTAATTTGGAAAGAAAAAGACTAATTATAACATTTTTATTGATGACATTTAGAATGATTCTGATTTTAACAACTAGTATCTGTTTTCTCTAATTTGTGAGTTTGAAAGATTAATATATGTATGAAAGGTTAGCAATTATTTTTATGAGCCCTTCTGTTTGTACCAAATGATACTTGCTTTCTTGTGTCATGGCAGGAAGTTTCCTTTTAGAATTTAAATAAAAGGCAGTCAATTTAAAGAAAACCATGAAGTCTATAAAAGTTCCTGAGATTTGTAAATACCCCAAGTCATGCCTGACATTTAGGAATTAGTGGCCCATGCTGAAATGGCGCAGTCTAAACACATAATGTTACTGCTACAAGGGGAAAGAAATAGGATAGTTGGTTGTGCTTATACATTTAAAACCTTTTTTTTTTTTTGAGACGTACTCTCATTCTATTGCTCAGGCTGGAGTACAGTGGGTGCGATCTCACTGCAACCTCAGCCTCCTGGGTTCAAACAATCCTACCGCTGCAGCCTCCCCAGTAGCTGGGATTACAAACATGCACCACCATACCTGGCTAATTTTTGTATTTTTTTATAGAGATGGGGTTTCTCCATGTTGCTCAGGCTGGTTTCAAACTCTTGAGCTAAAGCAGTCCGCCAACCTCTGCCTGTCAAAGTGCTGGGACTACAGGCAGCAGCCACTGTGCCTGGCCCTGCTTTTATTTTTGTCTAAACAGAATTTGCAGAAACTCTGGGGGAAGACAGTTGGAAGAGGCCCTGTGCGAGCAGGGAAAGGCTTCTGGTGAGAATTGGAAAGGTGGACTGGGCCGGATGCTCTTCCTTCGCCCCAATTAAATCTCTGTGGCATTTAGCAAATGCCAAGGAAAAGCCTGTTGGCGGCGGTCCCCAAGGAAGAATCAGTTTGTAGTGTCAACAGTGCCCTGCTCCTACCGTGGGCCTGGCAGGATCTCCCACGTGCCACGGGCAGTTTGCAGTGATGAGATAAAGTCAGGCTTGGGGCCGGGCTTGGTGGCTCACACTTGTAATCCCAGCACTTTGGGAGGCCGAGGTGGGTGGCTCACTTAAGGTCAGGAGTTCAAGACCAACCTGGCCAACATGGTGAAACCCTGTCTCTACTAAAAATATGCTGCGCCTGGCCGATATTTTGGGTTTGATGATTCCCTGTTATGGAGGCTGTCCTGGGCATTGTAGGATGTTTAGCAACATCCCTGGCCTCTGCCCACTAGATGCCAGTGCCATCCCCTCCCCACCTTGTGACAATCAAGAATGTCTCCAGACATTGCCAAGTGTCCTCTGGGGGGTGAATGGCCCTCAGAGCCACTGGACTAAGGAAGCTGATACTCACTGAGTGGCCATAGTCCTTTTAAGGTGTCTCATCCTGTCTTTTTAAAAAAAAAACAAAACCGAAAACAAAACTCAAGACACCTGTTGGATGAGAAATTCATATAGTCTGGACTATTGTTCTTGCTATGAGGTCAGCTTTCTGATTTAGTAATTAAGGAAGCCTTGTGCTGTTAGAACATTTGGGAAATGTTGCAGACGTGGATCCCCCACACCTCCCCAAATTCACGTTTGAAGCTGGAATCCCCAGCACCTCAGAATGTGACTGCATTTGGAGACAGGGGGCCTTTAAAGAGGTGATCAATTTAAAATGAAGCTGTTAGGATGGGCCCTTTTCCATCCAGCCCGGTGACCTTATAGGAGGAGATTAAGACAGAAAGAGAGGCTGGGCATGGTGGCTCACACCTGTAATCCCAGAACTTTAGGAGGCTGAGGCAGGTGGATCACCTGAGGTCAGGAGTTCAAAACCAGCCTGGCCAACATGGTGATATCCCATCTCTACTAAAATTACAAAAATTAGCCAGGTGTGGTGGCGTGCACCTGTAATCTCAGCTACTAGGAAGGCCGAGGCAGGAGAATTGCTTTAACCCAGGAAGCGGAGGTTGCAGTGAGCCAAGATCATGCCCCTGCACTCCAGCCTGGGCGACAGAGCGAGACTCCATCTCAAAAAGAAAGAAAGAAAGAAAAAAAAAAAAAGACAGAGACACCAGAGAAAAGACCGTGTGAGGACACAGGGGGAAGGTGGCTGTCTGCAAGCCAAGGAGAGAGGCCTCAGGAGAAACCAACCCTGCTGACACCTTGTTCTTGGATTTCTGGCCTCCAGGACTGTGAGAAAATAAGTTTCTGTTGTTTAAGCCATCCAGTCTATGATATTTTATTATGGCAGCCCAAGGAAACTAACGTAGAAAGCGTCTCATTTATTGCCATCTTGGCATGTGCAGTATCTCTTAGTGTTATTAAGCTTTTATTTGAAATTAATGTCATGAATAGTGCAGCTATGAACTTTTTTTTTTTTCTTTGAGATGGAGTCTCGCTCTGTCGCCCAGGCTGGAGTTCAGTGGCACGATCTCGGCTCACTGCAAGCTCCGCCTCCCAGGTTCACGCCATTCTCCTGCCTCAGCCTCCAGAGTAGCTGGGACTACAGGCGCCCACCACCACGCCTGGCTAATTTTTTGTATTTTTCATAGAGACGAGGTTTCACCTTGTTAGCCAGGATGGTCTTGATCTTGTGACCTGCCCGCCTCGGCCTCCCAAAGTGCTGGGATTACAGGCGTGAGCCACCGCGCCCGGCTGCTATGAACATTCTTGAACACATCATTCAGTATGTATTATGTGGCTTTGCTGGGCCCTAGGGTATATTTGTGTTTAGCTTTAGAAGAAAATGATAATTTTCCAAAGCAATTGTACTAATTTATACTTCCACCAAGCTGGTCAGTTGTTCCATGTCCTCATCAACACTTGGTATTGTCCGTCACCTTTTGTTTCAGCCATTCTGATAGGAGTATAATGGTATTATAAGAAATTTTTTTTTTTTTAATTGAGATGGAGTCTTGTTCTTTCACCCAGGCTGGAGTGCAGAGGCGCGTTCTTGGCTCCCTGCAACCTCCGCCTCCTGGGTTCAAGCGATTCTCCTGCCTCAGCCTCCTGGGTAGCTGGGATTACAGGCCCGTGGCACCACGCCAGCTAATTTTTGTATTTTTAGTGGAGACGGGGTTTTACCATGTTGGTCAGGCTGGTCTCGAACTCCTGACCTTGTGATCCGCCTGCCTTGGTCTCCCAAAGTGCTGGGATTACAGGCGTGAGCCATCACGCCCAGCCAATAAATTTATTTATTTATTACTTATTTTTTATTTTTTGAGACAGAGTCTCACTCTTTTGCCCAGGCTGGAGTGCAGTGGTGCAGTCTCGGCTCACTGCAGCCTCCGGCTCCTGGGTTCAAGCAATTCTTCTGCCTCAGCCTCCTGAGTAGTTGGGGTTACAGGTGTATGCCACCATACCTGGCTAATTTTTGTATTTTTTTTTTTTTAGTAGGGATGGGGTTTCACCATGTTGGACAGGCTGGTCTCAAACTCCTGATCTCAAGTGATCCACCTCGGCCTCCCAAAGTGCTGGGATTACAGGCATGGGCCACCATGCCCGGCTTATTTATGTATTTATTGAGACAGTGTCTCACTCTGTTGCCCAGGATGGAATGCAGTGGTGTGGTCTTGGCTCACTGCAACCTCTGCCTTCTGGGTTCAAGCAATTCTCATGCCTCAGCCTTCCTACTAGCTAGTATTACAGGCATGCACCACCATGCCCAGTGATTTTTTTTGTATTTTTAGTAGACACAGGGTTTAGCCATGTTGGCCAGGCTGGTCTCAAACCCCTGACCTCAGGTGATTTGTCCACTTTTGGCCTCTCAAAGTGCTGGGAATACAGGCCTGTGCCACCATGCCTGACCTAAGAAATTTATTCTTCTTTTTTTCCCGAGATGGAGTTTTGTTCTTGTTGCCCATGCCAGAGTGCAATGGCGCAATCTCAGCTCACCATAACCTCCGCCTCCTGGGTTCAAGCAATTCTCCTGCCTCAGCCTCCTGCGTAGCTGGGATTACAGGCATGCACCACCAGGCCTGGCTACTTTTTTGTATTTTTAGTAGAGACGGGGTTTCTCCATGTTGGTCAGGCTGGTCTTGAACTCCCGACCTCAGGTGATCCACCTGCCTTGGCCTCCCAAAGTGCTGGGATTACAAGCATGAGCCACCGCGCCCAGCGTTGGCTTCCTTTTCTGTATCTGAGATTGAGTTTTAGACATATAGGTTAGCCAAGTCACAGGAACACTGAGCTTAAATTGTCAAGTCAGGGTGGTCTGTCCTCCTGTGGGGCTCCAGGCTCCAGGGCCTGGCCAGGCACTCTCTTCTTGAATAGTTTATGTTATAAGGGGAGCAGTGAAAAAGTCTAATCTTTGTTTTCCTCTAATTGAAAAATGAGTACATATCTATGTAAAAAAAAATGAGAGAACAGGCCGGGCATGGTGGCTCGTGCCTGTAACCCAGCACTTTGGGAGGCTGAGGTGGGTGGATCACCTGAGGTCAGGAGTTCGAGTCCAGCCTGTCCAACATGGTGAAAACCTGTCTCTACTGGAAAAAAAAAAACCAAAATTAGCTGGGCATGGTGGCACATGCCTGTAATCCCAGCTACTTGGGAGGCTGAGTCAGGAGAATTGCTTGAACCTGGGAGGCGGAGGTTGCAGTGAGTCGAGATCGTGCCACTGCTCTCTAGCCTGGGTGACAGAGCGAGGCTCAGTCTCATTAAAAAAAAAAAAAAAGAAAGAAAAAGAAAAATGAGAGAACAGAGAAAACTGATAAAGGAAATGCTGGTATTATGTTATTTTTCCTTCAAAGACAATCACAATGAACACAAACCTTTTAGCAGATGATGTTTTCTTCCTGTTTGTTTCTGCGTGTACATTGTTTTATGACTAGGAACCATGTAGAACGTGGGTTTGTTGTTGTTGTTGTTGTTGTTGTTGTTGTTGTTTTTTGAGACGGAGTCTCACTCTGTTGCCCAGGCTGGATTGCAATGGCATGATTTCGGCTCACTGCAACCTCCGCCTTCCGAGTTCAAGTGATTCTCCTGCCTCCGCCTCTGCCTCCCAAGTAGCTAGGACTACAGGTGCACACCACCACGCCCAGCTAATTTTTGTGTTTTTAATAGAGACAGGGTTTTGCCATATGCAAATGACATTTTGAATGACAGCATATTTCTTTGAATAGACATCTCTAATTTACTTAACCAGTGCCTTATAGTCTCACAAGTTGATTTGTATTTTATTTTCACTTTACAAGTAATGTTTTCTTTTTCTTTTCTTTCTTTCTTTCTTTTTTTTTTTGAGACAGAGTCTGGCTCTTGTTGCCCACGCTGGAGTGCAATGGCGCCATCCTGGCTCACTGCAACTTCTGCCTCCCAGGTTCAAGTGATTGTCCTGCCTCAGCCTCCCAAGTAGCTGGGATTACAGGCGTGCATAACCACCCCCAGCTATTTTTGTATTTTTAGTAGAGACAGGGTTTGACCATGTTGGCCAGGCTGGCCTCGAACTCCCAGCCTCAGGTGATCCACCCACCTTGGCCTCCCAAACTGCTGGGATTATAGGCATGAGACACTGTACCCGGCCACAGGTAATGTTTTCATTCTGAATCCTGGCCCTTCCTAAAGCAAACAAAGAGAAAGTAGAGAGAGGCACTGACTCCTGCCCGGGGCCTGAGAAGTCACCTAACTGGGATCGGATAAGCCTGACCAACAAAGAAGCACTCAAAAATGCAGTTTTGTGTGTGATACCACAGAAAACCAGTGCTTAAGAATCTTGGCCTTGTTTTTGGATATTTCAGAGAATTGCCGGCTGTTTGAAAGGGCATCCAGATCTCTACACACTCACAGAAAAGTTAACAGAGGTTTATAGCATGAAGACTAAAAATAGCTACTGTTGATTCATCCGTTTATTCACTCCATAAATATTTCCTGAGCACTTACTCTGTCTCTGGCAGTTTTAATATTAGGGATATAGTGGTCAACACGTGCGAGAGAAATCCCTGACAGTGTGGGGCTTCCGTTCTAGTGACACACAGTAGTTTTTCTTGTAAGAATTTTGTTAAACTCCGTTGGTGTCTTGGGTGCCAGCATCACTGTCTTAGGTATTTTAAGTGGATTGTCTTAATGGCATCGTCCAATACTAGGTACTGTCATTGTTTTATTTTCCAGGAAACGGAGGCTTAGCAGGGTTAATTAACTAGTCCAGGGTCCCACAGCTCGTAAGCTGCTGTCTCTTGTCTCCCAGGTCTCAGCTCAGCTGTGTCTTTGGGACATCTTTCCAGACCATTCACTCTGTAGGAGCCACCTACCGCTGAGTAGCATATATTTTTTTTTTCTTGTTTTTTTTTTTTTGTTGTTGTTCCTACCTTGCCCACCTACAAAATGTAGGCTCTGTGAGAGCAGTGCCCTCGTTTGTCTTGTGAGAATCCCAGTGCTTAGCACAAAGGCTGGCACCTAGTAGGTGCTCAGTAAATACTGGCTGCTTGATTAAATGAGCGAGTGAATAAAGAAGAGGAGCGGCCGGGCGCGGTGGCTCACGCCTATAATCCCAGCACTTTGGGAGGCCGAGGCGGGCGGATCACGAGGTCAGGAGATCGAGACCATCCTGGCTAACACGGTGAAACCCCGTCTCTACTAAAAATACAAAAAAATTAGCCGGGCGTGGTGGTGGGCGCCTGCAGTCCCAGCTACTCAGGAGGCTGAGGCAGGAGAATGGCGTGAACCCGGGAGGCGGAGCTTGCAGTGAGCCGAGATTGCGCCATTGCACTCCAGCCTGGGGAGAGCGAGACTCTGTCTCAAAACAAAACAAAACAAAAACAAAAAACAAACAAAAAGGAATAGGAGCAACAGGGCATGGTGGCTCATGCCTGTATCCCAGCATTTTGAGAGGCGGAGGTGGGAGGATTTCTTAAGCCCAGGAGTTCGAGACCAGCCTGGGCAACATAGGGAGACTCCATCTCTACCAAGAAAAATAAAAAATTAGCTGGGCATGGTATTGCATGTTTGTGGTCTCAGTTACTTGGGAGGCTGAAGTGGGAGGATCCCTTGAGTCCAGGGGTTTGAGGCTGCAGTGAGCCATGATCGCGTCACTGCACTCCAGCATGGGATGGAGTGTGACGCTGTCTCAAAAAAAAAAAAAAAAAACAAAAAAAACCCAGAAACGTTAAAAAATCTCAAGAGTTTTGCATTCCTAATTCATTGGGGGTATAAGTGGTGGCAGGGCCCACAATGGGCTTCAGTGAGGGTACATGTTGAGCACTGGAGCCAGAAGGAGGATAAACAATGGAATCCTCATCTGCAGAGAAAAAGGGAATTCTTCCTTCCTGATGCCCCTCCCTTCTTCCTTCCCTTCTTTATCCGCGTGACCCATGGCTGCAAGGAAGGAGCCACGTCCAGCCTCCTGCCTCTTGTTGGACGTAGAGCTCTTAGACCCCAATGTGTGTTGCTCATGGACGCTCCCATAGCAGTGCCAGCTGCCATAGCAGGCTTGGAGGGAGGAGGCAGGTGGGCTTGGCAGTGCCAGTGGGGACCCTTGGTGTGTCTCTGCTGGGTTCCTGCCATTTGGATTCCTCCCTAGGTTGCCATCTAGACAATTGAGAGGTGGCTCTCAGATTCTACAACGAGATGAGATTGCCAGACTCCAGCTAAGAGGGCTGGCTCCGGGGTCAGCCTGCTGGACTCACATCCTGGCTCTGTCCCTTATGGGCTGCAAGACCCTCTGAGGTGCAGTGTCCTCATCTACAAGAGGGCGAGGATAGAAGCCCTTGATGTAGGACAGTCGGGAGGAGCAAGGCAAGTCATTCGCGTTGAGGGCTTTGCCACAGCGCTTGGCACACACTCAGCACTTACTCATGTTTTTGCTTATTGTTTTGGTGTCTAGGAAATTGCCTTCCACTGGATTCTGTCCTGTTTTCTGGAATTTTTTGGGCTCGTGCTGTGTGGGGTTGCCAGCCAGGCTCTGTGGCCTAGGTCTGTGTTAGAACCTATGACCGAGTGTCTTGGGTAAACACAAATGCATGAGGTGAGGGAGGAGTGCTGGGCACTGGGGCATGTGAAAGGGCCCAGGAGAATGAGTCATCAGCCCACGCTTAGTGACGGAGCACGTTTGTGTGCCAGGCCTGGGGGAGGTGAATGGTGTCTGCTCTCTGACCTACAAGCTCATGGCAAGATCAGAGGCTGCAGACAGAGCTGTGTGCTGTTTGGGCAGCGGGGTGAGCTTTATTATTTTATTATTATTTTTATTTATTTTGGAGACGGAGTCTTGCTTTGTCACCCAGGCTGGAGTGCAAGTGGTGCGATCTCGGCTCACCGCAACCTCCGCCTCCCGGGTTGAAGCAATTCTCCCGCCTCAGCCTCCCAAGTAGCTGGGATTACAGGTGCCCACCACTATACCCAGCTAATTTTATTGGACTTTTTTTCTTTTTTTAAGTAGAGACAGGGTTTCACCATGTTGCCCAGGCTGGTCTCAAACTCCTGAGCTCAGGCCATCTGCCTATCTCCCAAAGTGCTGGGATTACAGGATGAGCCACTGCACCCGGCCTATTTTATTTTTAGATTAGAAAAAAGTGTACTGAGTCAGAGTCACATGGTTTAATACTTAAAAGCTACAGAGGTGTAGCCATTGCAAAGTCAGTTTCCCTCCCACTCTCTCTAGTCAGCTACCCTGTACCCTTCCCCAGGCAGCCAGTCTTACCATGTTCTTCTGTATTGTTCTAGAAATTTTTAAGCATTTATCAAAAAAACCATGCATCTTTATATAGATAAATAGACATAGATTTTTTGTTTTTATTCTATTATTAATATACCCTACACAGTACATGTATTGTTCACTTAACAGTACATTCTGGCCGGCAGTGGCTCACGCCTATAATCCCAGCACTTTGGGAGACCAAGGTGGGTGGATCACCTGGGGTCAGGAGTTTGAGACCAGCCTGGTCAACATGGTGAAACTGTCTCTACTACAAATAGCAAACTTAGCTGGGCATGGTGGTGGGCACCTGTAATCCCAGCTACTCGGAAGGCTGAGGAGGCAGAAGAATTGCTTGAATCCGGGAGGCGGAGGTTGCAGTGAGCCGAGATCGCACCACTGCACTCCAGCCTGGGTGACGGAGTGAGACTCCGTCTCAAAAAAAAAAAATTCTGAGCTCGTTCCGTGTCAGTATATAACAACCTTCTTCATTCCCTTTTTGAAATTATTTATTTATTTACTTATTTGAGATGTGGGGGCTGTGTTGCCTAGGCTGTCTCAAACTCCTGGGTTCAAGTGATTCTCCTGCCTCAGCGTCCCAAATAGCTGGGACTACAGGCACACACCATTGCACCTGGCCTTTGATCATTATTTTAATGCCTTTGTAGTATTAAATTGAATAGTACTGTAGTTTGTTTAGCCAGTCTACCACTGATGGTCATTTAGATTATTTTTCCATTTTATTTGTCTGTCTGTCTGTCTGTCTGTCTATCTATCTATCTATCTATCTATCTATCTATCTATCTATCTAATCTTTAGAGGCGCTGTCACCCAGGCTGGTCTTGATCTCTTGGCCTCAAGTGAACCTGGGCCTCCAAAGTGCTGGGATTATAGGCGTGAGCCACTGAGCTTGGTCAGTTATATTTATTTTTTCTAATGGTTTACTATTACTAGAAATGTCACACAAGTCTTTGTGCCCATGTTAGACTGCACGGAATATCTGGAAGGGGAATGGCTGAAGTGAAGGTACATTTGTAATTTTGATAGCATCGTCAAAATGTCCTCCCTGAGGTGATGCCATCTTGGATCCTTGCTGGCAGTGACAGCGCCTATTTGTCCATCCTTGCCATTATTAAGATTTTTGACTTTGGTCGTAAAAAAAAGATATCTTGGTGTGGTTTTAGTTTTGTATAATATTTAAAAATTGAATCAGTTGCCAACATTTTATAACTGAATATTTGCTTACAGAATGTCTTTGTCTTGCAGAATCAGATGGTCTAGGCTTGTGTAGGAACTGGACTGGCGGTGTGCCCCATCCCACTGGACCCTGTGTTTATTTTCATTCATTGTTTTTTCTCCTCCTCCCTCCTCTCTTCTTTCTTTCCTTCTCCACCTCCTTCTTTCTTCTTTTCTTCTTCTTCCATTTTTAAAAAATAAATAGAGATGGGATCTCACTATGTAACCCAAGCCGGTCTCACACTTTTGGCTGTAAGTGATCTTCCTGCCTCAGCCTTTCAAAGTGTTGGGATTACAGGCGTGAGCCACTGCACCTGGCCTATGTATTTTTTTATGTGGCTTGCTGGGCCCCTGTAGGTTTGAGTTTGCCAGTCCTGGTCTAGAGAGAAACAGACCAGTAGAGTCTAAGAGAGCCCAGAACTGCTTCCTCCTCTCCTTGTGAAGAGCACAGAGTTGGGTTTGGAAGGATAGATAGAAGACAAAGGGACAGGCTTGCAGGAGGATGTCTGGTGTGAGTGGGTCTTACAGACATGTTGGGTAGTTTGATAGAAATGGAATGGTGGGGAAAGATGAGAGCATAGGGTTCCGGGGCATGCCTGCCTTGGCTGCAGGAGGGTGGCTTGGTAAAGGGACAGCAGAGATGAAAAGGTGAGAAGGTGAGAGCCTTGGACTTGAGTCTGATAGCTGTAGGATCTTTGTGGGAGTGGGTCAACACACGAGTCATACTTCTATAAGAGGAGTCAGGTCTGCTGAGCAGCAGAATACCCACAGGGAAGACTCAGAGATGGAGAAACAGGGAAAGGCGACAGTCCCAGCATCCCTGACTGCCCATCTGCTGGAAGCACCTGTGGTAACAGTCATGGGGCAGAGGAGGTGTTTGTTCCTCAGTGCTTTTTCCTAGGCTTATATTAACACATATTTTGGTATTAAAATACAAAATAATAAATTACATGTTTCTTGCCTTCTTTTTTTCTTCCCATTTAACCACCTGGATCTTTCCCTGGAGTGTATATGTCTCTACTTCCTTCTTGCAATTGGTACAAATCCATTGCACAGGGGGTGCCTTTGTCATTTCCGGGGTGTTGCCCTGTCTATTGCCGCTGTGAACATCCTCGTGCATCTCCCATAGGACCAGAGATCGCTCCCTACCTCCCTCTGGCAGGACTTGCTGGGTCAGAGGACCTGAGCTTTACATTTAAAGAGAAGCTGCCACATTGACTTGGCTTTTCTCATGAGGTGATTGATATATTCCCATTTCTCCTCCAGACAGTAGCATTTCTGTGGCAGGGATGTGTTCAGACTTCAGACTTCGCTTCTTTCTTTGCATCCTTCCTGACTTAGGTTTTGTATTCTCCTAGTTAAACAGGAAAAAAAAAAAAAAAAACGAAAAACCCAGACCTTAGATGTATTTAGAAGGAAGAGCAAAAGTTTCCCTTCATACCTTTCCTTCCACTCCTTTTTCTTTTCTCTTTTTTTTGAGACGGAGTCTCGCTCTGTTGCCCAGGCTGGAGTGCAATGGCACTACCTCGGCTCACTGCAACCTCCGCCTCCTGGGTTCAAGCCATTCTCCTGCCTCAGCCTCTGGAGTAGCTGGGATTACGGGCGTGCGCCACCACACCTGATTGATTTTTGTTTTTGTTTTTTGAGATGGAGTCTCGCTCTGTTGCCCAGGCTGGAGTGCAGTGGCGTGATGTTGGCTCGCTGCAACCTCCACCTTCTGGGTTCAAGCAATTCTCCTTCCTCAGCCTCCTGAGTAGCTGGGACTACAGGTGTCCCCCACCATGTCCGGCCCATTTTTTGTATTTTTAGTAGAGACGAGGTTTCACTGTGTTAGCTAGGATGGTTTCAATCTCCTGACCTCGTGATCTGCCTGTCTTGGCCTCCCAAAATGTTGGGATTACAGGCGTGAGCCACCGTGCCCAGCCCTGACTGATTTTTGTGTTTGTAGTAGAGACAGCGTTTAGCTATGTTGGCCAGGCTGGTCCTGAACTCCTGACCTCAGGTGATCCGCCTGCCTCGGCTTCCCAAAGTTCTGGGATTACAGGCGTGAGCCACCGTGCCCAGCCTCCTTCCACTCCTAACTGCCCTCTTAACAACTGCTGTCCATAATGGTACCACGTGGCTATTTCAATCAGTTAAGTGAATGAAATAAAAAATTTTAAAAACTTTTATTTTAGGTTCAGGGCTACGTACCTGAGGTTACATCAGTAAACTCATGTCACCGGGGTTTGCTGTACCCAGGTATTAAGCCCAGTGCCCAACAGTTATCTTTTCTGCTCTTCTCCCTCCTCCCACCCTCTACCTGCAGATAGACCCCCAGTGTCTCTTCTTCCCTTCTTTGTGCCTGTAAGTTCTTATCACTTAGCTCCTACTTATAAGTGAGAACACGTGGTATTTGGCTTTCTTTTCCTGTGTTAATGTGCTGAGGATAATAGCCTCCAGCTCAATCCATGTCCTGCAAAAGACACAATCTTGTTCTTTTTTATGGCTGCGTAGTATTCCATGTGCATATGTACTACATTTTCTTTATCCAGTCTGTCTTTGATGGGCATTTAGGTTGATTCCATGTCTTTGCTTTGTGAATAGTGCTGTAGTGAACATTTGTGTGCGTGTGTCTTTATGGTAGAATGATGTATATTCCTTTGGGTATTGAAATAAACTTTAAATGTCACATTTTGGGTACTCAGCAGCCACATGTGGCTGCTGGCTACTGTGCTGGATGATGGTGCAGTATAGAATGATTCCATCATCACAGAAGCCTAGTGGGCAGAGCTGCTCCAGAGCAGGGCTCTCCACCGCAGGACTATTGACATTTGGGGCCAGATTACACTCTCTGGTGGGGGGTCTCCTGGGCATTGTAGGATGTTTAGCAGTATCCCTGGCTTCTACCCACTACGTGCCAGTAGTGCCCTACTTCCCTGTAGTAGTGACAATCAAACACATCCCTAGACATTGCCAAATGTCTGCAGGGGGCAAAATCCCCCCGCCCTGCTATTGAGAACCACTGCTGTTGACTAATTCATAACGGCTTTTAATTTTTTTCCTTTTTTTTTTTTGAGACAGAATCTCACTCTGGCTGGAGTGCAGTGGCAGAATATTGGCTCACTATAACTTCTTCCTCCTGGGTTCAAGCGATTCTCCTGCCTCAGTCTCCCCAATAGCTGGGACTACAGGCACCCGCCACCATGCCCAGCTAATTTTTTTTTTTTTTTTTTTTAGACGGAGTCTCGCTCTGTCACCCAGGCTGGAGTGCAGTGGCATGATCTTGGCTCAGTGCAGCCTCTGCCTCTCGGGTTCAAGCAATTCTCCTGCCTCAGCCTCCCCAGTAGCTGGGACTACAGCCACACCTGGCTAAATTTTGTATTTTTAGTAGAGACGGCAGGGTTTCACCATGTTGGCCAGAATGGTCTTGATCTCCTGACCTCTTGATCCACCCGCCTTGGCCTCCCAAAGTGCTGGGATTACAGGAGTCAGCCACTGCACCCGGCCCATGCCCAGCTAATTTTTATATTTTTAGTAGAGACAAGGTTTCGTCATGTTGGCCAGGCTGGTCTCGAACTCCTGACCTCAAGTGATTCTCCCGCCTCGGCCTCCCAAAGTACTGGGATTACAGGCATGAGCCACCATATCTGGCTACTTTTAATTTTTCTTCATGTTCTTCTTGGATCTGCCCAGCGTCAATGCTGAGACTGTTCTTTCCTGGACCCTGTAACTTCCTGGAAGGTTGGTGTGTCATGCAGACAATTCAGCAAATATTTGCGCAGTGCTAACTGATTATAGGGGAACTCCCAGCAGAGATGATGGTTTCTGTGGAGGCCAACTCCTTGTTACATTAGTTACCTTTTTCAGAAACATTGTTCCCTTGGCTCTGCTCCTCTAATATTTGCTTTTGCATTTCAGCCAGATTGTATGAAACCATTGCACATCTGGTTAGCAGACTATCTGCTGTTAAAACCTTTATTTGTCTTAAAGTCAAATCCTAAGAAAATCAATTTTGGTTTTCCTTTATATAAATGGTCTAGGCTGGGCGCGGTGGCTCATGCTTGTAATCCACTTTGGAAGACTGAGGCAGGTGTATCACCTGAGGTCAGGCGTTTGAAACTAGCCTGGCCAACATGGTGAAACCCCATCTCTACTAAAAATACAAAAATTAGCCGGCTGTGGTGGTGCAGGCCTGTAGTCCCAGCTACTCAGGAGGCTGACATGGGAGGATCACTTGAGCCTGGGAGGCGGAGGTTACAGTGAACCGAGATTGGGCCACTGCA
The DNA here is from genome assembly GCF_000001405.40 of Homo sapiens. Classification (NCBI taxonomy): domain Eukaryota; kingdom Metazoa; phylum Chordata; class Mammalia; order Primates; family Hominidae; genus Homo; species Homo sapiens. The sequence continues at coordinate 51,744,217 of NC_000020.11, read as the reverse complement.
TTCCAGCCTGGGTGACAGAGTGAGACCCTGTCTCAAAAACAAACAAACAAAAAATAAATAAAATAATAAATAAATGGTCTAAGCAGGAAGCAGTGTAAACGAAGTTATTTATAAACTTACACTTTAACCTAGTTGAATGGCTGTTATCAATGGGTGAGAAAGTTATTTCATATTTTCCTTTTTCATCTGGAAAAATAACTTTTTTTTTTTTGAGATGGAGTCTTACTCTGTCACCAAGGCTGGAGTGCAGTGCCAGAATCTCGGCTTACTGCAACCTCCACCTCCAGGGTTCAAGCGATTCTCCTGTTTCAGCTTCCTGAGTAGCTGGGACTACAGGTGTTTGCCACTGCATCCAGCTAATTTTTGTATTTTTAGTAGAGACAGGGTTTCACCATGTTGGCCAGGATGGTCTCGATCTCTTGACCTCGTGATCCGCCCGCCTCAGCCTCCCAAAGTGCTGGGATTATAGGCGTGACGACCGTGCCCGGCCTAATTTCTTACTCTTAAAGGATTTGGGCTGGGCACGGTGGCTCATGCCTATAATCCCAGCACTTTGGGAGGCTGAGGCGGGCGAATCACGAGGTCAGTAGTTCAAGACCAGACCAGCCTGACCAATATGGTGAAACCCCGTCTCTACTAAAAATACAAAAATTAGCCTGGCGTGGTGGTGCACGCCTGTAATCCCAGCTACTCGGGAGGTCGAGGGAGTAGAATCGCTTGAATCCGGGAGGCAGAGGTTGCAGTGAGCCGAGATCCCGCCACTGCACTCCAGCCTGGGTGACAGAGTGAGACTCCGTCTCAAAAAAAAAAAAAAAAAAAAATCAGTTTCGGTCTTGCAGCCCATCTCCCCAGCCTGTCTGGAATGTGGGATGGAAGTTTATTTGTCATGGCAGTGTCAGACGGTCCAGTTTCAGTTTGGTGTTAAGGAACAACAGCAGCACCCACAACACCAACGTGACAGCTGCCACAACACAGCTTTGGGCCACTGCTCCTCTGGAACCCTGGGGCACCAGGGAGCTGAAGTCCATGCATGCAACACGCAGGGTGTGGCTGCAGCTTCCCCAGGAAGAGAACTGCATGTATAAATCCACTCCTCAGTAGGGAGGCTGGCTGTCACTTCTCTTGTTTGGACAGATGTGGGGGAATTTGGTCACTTGTAGTAAGTTTGCCACCAAGCTCAAGGTTTCTACCGTGGGACAACAGTTCCAAAATGCTGGGCAGGCAATGGTTCTGGGTGCTGCAGTGATAAATTTAAGGAATTCATGGGCAGGAACTGACTCACATTGAGACATTTAGCAAGACGCTTATTTATTTTTCAGTTTCCCTTCAGTATTTACAGCCCTGTCAGGGCCTACTTTTTAACACCAAACACTTGCTAACTTCTCAGCAATAAAGAAAGGAGGGGCCAGGTGCGGCGGCTCATGCCTCTAATCCCAGCACTTTGGGAGGCCGAGGCGGCTGGATCACTTTAGGTCAGGTGTTTGAGACCAGCCTGGCCAACATGGTGAAACGCCGTCTCTACTAAAAATACAAAAGTTAGCTGGGCGTGGTGGTGCACACCTGTAATCCCAGCTGCTTGGGTGGCTGAGGCACAAGAATTGCTTGAACCCAGGAGGCGGAGGTTGCAGTGAGCTGAGATCGCGCCACTGCACTCCAGCCTGGGCGACAGCAAGACTGCGTCTCAAAAAAAGAAAAAAAAAAGTAAAGGAGGAGGAGCAACAGCAGGGTAGGCTTCTGGCTCAGAGGCACTGCCAGCTGCAGCAGCCAGCTGGAGTGGAGTAACACACTTTGCTTTTCATTGTGCTGGTTTTGTTATTTATCTTCTGTTTATGGCAAGTGATACTGGTTTCTAGTTATGGTAATGGCATGAAGTTATCTTTTTTTTTTTTTTTTGAGACAGTGTTTTGCTCTGTCCCCTAGACTGCAGTACAGTGGCATGATCAGGGCTCACTGCAGCCTCGACTTCCCGGGCTCAAGCAATCCTTCGTCCTTAGCCCCCCAAGTAGCTGAGACTATAGGCATGTCCACCATGCCTGGCTAATTATTTTTGAATTTTAGTAGAGATGAGGTCTCACCGTGTTGCTCGGGCTGGTCTCCAACTCCTGAACTCAAGCTGTTTTCCTGCCTCGGCCTCTCAAAGTGTTGGGATGACAGGTGTGAGCCATGCCTGGCCAGAGGCTATCATTTAAAATACATTTATGTAAATGGAGTGAATCCATTTTAAACAAATAGTTTATATATAAAACCTAGAGCAGGAGTTCTCAACTGGGCACAAGTGGCGTTTTGGGCTGGATACTTCTCTGTTGTGGAGGTTGTCTGTGCATTGTAAGGTGTCTCGCAGCATCCTTGGCTGCCTCCATCCACTAGATGAGAGTAGCATCTTGGAGTTGTGACAGACAACAGTGTTTCCAGATATTGCCAGATACCCACCCTGGGGGTGCAAAATTGCCTGTAGTTGAGAACCACTGATGTAAGGTGATCAAATTTAGACAAAATTGTGTAGGTAGAAGCTAGAGGTATTTGGAGATCATAGAAATCCCATGTGTGTATGAAAATGGCTGAAGTTTGGGAAACTCTGTTCAGGCGAGTTTCCCTCCATTGTGAGGTCCACTTCCTTTTTTATTTTTATTTTTATTTTTTGAGACGGAGTTTTGCTCTTATTGTCCAGGCTAGAGTGCAATGGTGTGATCTCGGCTCACTGCAACCTCAGCCTCCCAGGTTCAAGCGATTGTCCTGTGTCAGCCCCCTGAGTAGCTGAGATTACAGGCATGCGCCACCACGCCTGGCTAATTTTGTATTTTTAGTAGAGATGGGGTTTCTCCATGTTGGTCAGATGGTCTCGATCCCCTGACCTCGTGATCCGCCTGCCTCGGCCTCCCAAAGTACTGGGATTACAGGCGTGAGCCACCGCGCCTGGCCTGTGAGCTCCACTTACTAATGTTCGTGTGTGCTTCCTTTGCCATTGACATCAGTTCAAGAGTAAGGTGGAAGGAGGTGTCTTGAAAGGGATGCTCTCCAGCAGTGTTGCCCAGTAGAACTCTCAGCCATGATGGAATGTTCTGTGTCTGCACAGTCTAGTCCGTAGTTAGTGGTCACATGTAGCTATGGAGCACTCAGTGTGGCCAGGGAAAAGGAATTTTTAATTTTTAATTAATTAATTAAAATTTATTTTTAATTAATTAAATTAAAATTTAATTTTAATTAATTGAAACTTAAAATAGCCACATGTGGTAGAAGCCGCCAAGGTGGACAGCACAACTGTAAAGAAGTCAGAGCAGTGAGGACAGGATGATAAAATGCAGGCTTTAAGGTGTAGACTGTACTCTTTAAACATTAGAATTGGGGCCGGGTATTGTGGCTCACATCTGTAATCCCAGCACTTTGAGAGGCTGAACTGGGAGGATTGCTTGAGACCAGGAGTTGGAGACCAGCCTGGGCAACATAGTGAGACTGTCTTTACTAAAAATAAAAAATAAAAAAAATTATCCGGGAGTGGTGGTACACACCTGTAGTCCCAGCCACGTGGGAGGCTGAGGCAAGAGGATCACTTGAGCCTGGGGAAAAGGAGGCTGCGCTGAGCCATGATGGTGCCACCACAGTCCTGCCTGGGTGACAGAATGAGACCTTGTCTCAAAAAACAAAAACAACAACACAAAATTTTTGTATTTTTTGTAGAGACGGGGTTTCACTATGTTGGTCAGGCTGGTCTTGAACTCCTGACCTCAGGTAATCCACCCGCCTTGACCTCCCAAAGTGCTGGGAATACAGGTGTGAGCCACCGCGCCTGGCCTGCCAGACAGGAATCTTAAAAGATTTTAGATAGTGGCTGACAGACTCCCAACTAAAATTGGTTTGTGTTGGCTGGGGCGTGGTGGCTCATACCTGTAACCCCAGCACTTTGGGAGGCTGAGGTGGGCAGATCGCTTGAGCCCAGGAGTTTGAGACCAACCTGGGCTATGTAGGGAGACCCCTGACTCTACAAAAAATTATAAAATATGCCAGGTGTGGTGGTGCATGCCTGTAGTCCCAGCTACTCGGGAGGCTGAGGTGGGAGGATTGCTTGAGTCCAGGAGGTTGAGGCTCCAGAGAGCTATGATCTCGCCACTGCACTGCAGCCTGGGTAACAGAGTGAGACCCTGTCTCTAAATAAATAAATAACAGTGAAACAAAGTAAACTGGCTTGAGCAAAGTAAAGTACAACAAAAGCTATTTTATTGACTCTGAGACTGAAAGTCCAGGGGTGGGTGAATCTTTGCAGTCTCTCAAGGCTATCGGGAACTTCTTGTCTCTGCTGTCCTCCTTGGGGGCTTCATTTTCAGGCCGACTAGTCCCTCAATGGGAACAGGATGTCTGTCCCCTGCCCAGGCATGTTTTCTGCTACCTTAGCAACCCCAGGGAGAAGAACACATCTTTCCAAGTATTTCTAGCAAAATCCCAGCCAGGGGTCTCACTGTCCCTTCTCAAGCCTGTCACCATGTCCAGAACATCCAGGGCTCTCCCTGGCTAAGCCTGGAGCCTGCGCACATCATGCCTGAAATTCAGAGATGGGATTGGGCTCAGCTAAACCCCTGGGAAAGAAGATGGAGGAAATTGACTTTTACAACCATGATTAAAGAGTGAGTGTAGGTGAGGTCAGGAGATCGAGACCATCCTGGCTAACAAGGTGAAACCCTGTCTCTGCTAAAAAAAACACAAAAAATTAGCCGGGCATGGTGGCGGGTGCCTGTAGTCCCAGCTACTCGGGAGGCTGAGGGAGGAGAATGGCGTGAACCTGGGAGGCAGAGCTTGCAGTGAGCCGAGATTGTGTCACCTGCACTCCAGCCTGGGCGACAGAGCAAGACTCCATCTCAAAAAAAAAAAAAAAAAAAGAGTGAGTGTAGGATAGAAGAAAACTCTATGGCAGTCTAGGACTGAGGGAGTAGACCTAAGAAAGGACGTACTTGGAAGGGGACCCTCTCTGGGGCCAGGGTTCAGACCTGGTTGGGGACAATGGGGTCCAGACTGTTGGATGGCAAGAAAGTTGGCGGGCTTGCAGGGCCAGAACTGGTCTGCACCCATGGGGAAAGGGGGAGGCAACCTTCCAAGTGCAGGTGGGGCTGGTGAGTCATAGCTGGTGGTTCACACGCGTCCCTCCAGAGTGTTGCTCTGTCACCCAGGGTGGAGTACAGTGGTGTGATCTCAGCTCACTGCAACCTCCGCCTCCCAGGTTCAAGCGATTCTCTTGTCTCAGCCTCCTGAATAGGTGGGACTCAGGCCTACAGGCACCTGCCACCACGCCTGGTTAATTTTTGTAGTTTTAGTGGAGGCGGGGTTTCTCCGTGTTGTCCAGGCTGGTCTCGAACTCCTACCTCAAGTGATCTACCCGCCTTGGCCTCCCAAAGTGCTGGGATTACAGGCGTGAGCCACCGCGCCCAGCCTCCCTCCAGCATTCTCTACTGAGAAAGCTTAACACTGGAGCACTGTAAAGGAGAGAGGCATACACTTTGTTTTTTATTTATTTATTTTTTTGAGACAGAGTCTTGCTCTGTCGCCCAGACTGTAGTGCAGTGGTGTGATCTCTGCTCACTGCAACCTCCGCCTCCCAGGTTCAAGAGATTCTCCTGCGTCAATCCTCCCGAGTACCTGGGACTACAGGTGTGTCATGCGCCACCATGCCCAGCTAACTTTTGTATTTTTAGTAGAGACAGGGTTTCACCACGTTGGCAAGGCTGGTCGTGAACTCCTGACCTCAGGTGATCTGCTCGCCTCGGCCTCCCAAAGTACTGGGATTACAGGCGTGAGTCACTGCGCCTGGCCGAGAGGCATACACTTTCGATGGAGCTTGTGCTGCCCTACTTGCCCCAATCTATATGCAGTTCAATTTGCTTACTTTTTAAAAAATTTTTTAGGCCAGGCACCATGGCTTGCGCCTGTAATCCCGGTACTTTGGGAGGTCACGGGTGGGTGGATCACCTGAGGTCAGGAATTCGAGACCAGCCTGACCAACATGGTGAAACCCTGTCTGTACTAAACATACAAAAAATTAGCCGGGCGTGGTGTTGGGTTCCTGTAATCCCAGCTACTTGGGAGGCTGAGGCAGGAGAATCGCTTGAACCCAGGAGGTGGAGGTTGCAGTGGGCCAAGATCACACCACTGCACTCCAGCCTGGGCAACAGAGAGAGACTCTGTCTCAAAAAAAAAAAAAAAAATGTTTTAGAGGCTGAGTCTTGCTATGTTGCCCAAGTTGGATTCGAAATCCTGGGCTCAAGTGATCCTCCCACTTCAGTCTCCTAAGAATCTGGGATTATAGATACTTAGGATATAGAGTATAGCATATAGATAGGATATAGATCTGCGCCACCACACCTGGCTCTTTCGCTTACTTATTTTACCTGCCTGTCCCGTGGAGGTGTTTGGTTTTGTATCCCGTAGTATGAGTCCTTGAAGCATACAAGTTCAAAAGTTTAGGACCACAGTACCTCTGCTTAGTTTTTTGCTTAGTTAATATCATCTTTAAAATCAATATTGAAAAGTGTAATACATGTTCATAAGAAATTAAAATATGCAGAAGTGGGTACAGCAAAAAGTACAAGTCAAGTGACTTTATTCATCCAACAATTCTCTTTTTTCACTCCCCAGCAATAATACTGTGAGTAGTATCTTTTGTATTCTTTTTCTGTGAATACGCTTCTTAGTCCAACTGGGGTTACGTACTTTTGGTAAGGCTGAATGTATATATATTGGGCCCCACACGTGTGCAAAGAGTGACATGGTAGATTAGTAATCTGTGTAATTAGCAAAGGAAATAATTCATAAGGGAGAGAGGCATAAAGGAAATCTGTCCATTGTGGCAGAGCAGGTATTCAAGGGTGATGTTGGCACTGAGAGGGAGTAAATTGATAAGTGGCTCAAAGGTGAATGGGTACGGGGCAAGAGAGCTCCTGCATGGACCGAACAGTCACTCTTGATGGTCCCCAAAGACGCTTCCAATTTGTGAACTGAGAGACTGGGAAAAAAAGTATTGCTGTGAAAGAATTGTGCAGGTGAGGCTGTTCATGGTAGTGCAGGATGCAGAGAGCTCTTAGCCCAGGGTCTGGATCAGACAGGCCTGGGCTCCATTCCTGCTTCTACCCGTTAGTAGGAGAGAGAGCGGATGTAGCAGATGATTTTGGGCAGGTCACTGAGTCCTCTGGGGCTCACTTTATCCACTGTAACAATGGGAATGGTGCTAGTACCTTGTAGGATTGTTGTGAACATTAAATGAGACAGTGCATTTCTTTTTCATTTTTGACATTTTAGAGATTGTGCATTTCTACATCTATAACATATCGAGAGTCTGTACCCTAGTACCCTACTCCTCACTCCCCCACTGCCACCCCCCTTAGTCTGGACTGCTCTATAGTCTTGCCTGGATGATGGCACCAGCCTCATAAATAATTCCTGTTTCTGTTTTTTTTGTTGTTGTTAATATAACAGTTTCATTGAGACATAACTCATATACCTTATAATTCACCTATTTAAAGTGTACAATTCAGCAAGTTTTAGTGTATTTGTAGAGTTGTGTAGCTATCACTACAATGTGAGGGCCAGGCGCGGTGGCTCCCGCCTGTAATCCCAGCTCTCAGGGAAGCAAGAGTCAGGAGGATAGCTTGAGCCCAGGAGTTCGAGACCTGCCTGGGCAATATAGCGAGACCTCGTTCTCCAGAAAAAGGAAAAAAAAACAAAAACAAAAGACAAAAAAAAAAATAAGAGTAACTACAATGTGAGAACATTTCATTCCCATAAAAAGAAACCCTATACCCATTATCTGCTTCAGCTCTTGCTCACTGCAGTGTTTTCTCTGACCAGTGGCCTGGGGGACCTTTTAAAACTATAAATGAGATCATTCCACTCTCCTGCTTATAACCTTCAAATGATCCACACTGTGTATGGAGTAACATCTAGACTCCTTGCCCTGGTGACAAAGCCCTGTGTTGTCCGCCCCCCATCTCCTCCCTCCTTGTCCTTTATCTTCTCCCCGTGATGGGTGCATTTCTGCTGCAGCCAGTCTTTGCATGCTTTGCGAGTGCCAGGCTGCCTCCCACCTCCGGATCTTTGCCTGTGCAGTTCCATCTGCCTGGATTGCACTTCCTTGTATGGGTGCATGGCAGCTTCTTCTTGGCACTCAGCTAAACTGTCCCCTCACCTCCCTGGCCACCCATTCCCGGAGCCACACCCCTTCCTCATTCACTCTCTGGCCCCTGGCCTTATTTTCTTTGGAAGTTGTTTACTGTCTCCCTCCACTAGGCTACAAGGTCCATGGGAGGAGGGCCTTGTCTGTCCTGTTCGCTACTGAATGCCCGGTGCCTAGGCGAGGGCTGGCCACTGTGCAAACACTCAGGGCACACTTTGGGAATGGAGGAGTGACAAAAAGGAAGCTGCTATTACTTGCCTTGTTGTTGTTACTAAGTGTTCAGTATCTATTGACTTGAAAGTCAAATAAGTCCTGTATTAAAAGGTGTAAGTTATATTCAGTGCAGGTGAAGACTGAATGAATGTGGTAACAATCAAATTGGTTAAATGAGATGGGCTTTTGGCTCAGGTAACACAAAGTTCTTATTTTATCCTGTGCCAAACACTCCAGTTTTGCAATGAGATTGTGAGGAAGGAGAAGGCAAGGATTCTGTTCCAATGTTTGGTCCCAGAGGACCTAGAATAGTACTTTGTACCGGGTAAGCGCTTAATAAAATAATGCTTACTCTTATGAATTTAGCTGCAGAAACATTTAGTCCCATAGACAATATGTGTAGAATGTAAAAAATGCAAATCTTACTAAAAGAATATACAGGAAAAGTTCTCCCTACTCCTTCTTCCTGAAAGGGAGCCAGTGTTATTAGCTCGTCGTGGAGATTGTCTGTGCTCATGCAAGCGTCTCCCTGCATGTATGTCCTCTTGCTTTCGTGCAAAGAATAGCATCCTACACACACCTTTTAGCCCCTTGCTTTTCGGTTTTGTGTATTTTGCAGATTGGGTCATTTTGTGCACACAGCGCTATTTTATTCTTTTTTTTGTTTGTTTCCCCCTGCCTCAGGCTTATTTGTACAAATAGCACAGGAAGATACCAACCCCATGCAGACGGCAGCCCAGAGGTCATACCAATCCTTCTGTCCTCATGTTTGCAGATGGAGATCTCTACTCTGAAGCCTTTTAGGGGCGTGGGCACTTTTGAGAGCCTGAGCTGGAACTGAAGCTGGAGCTGCAGTCTGGGCCTTGGTTTGATTCTTGGCCTTTGGCCAGCACAGCCTAAGACCCTTAGCAGTGCGGGCATGAGCATGCGTCCCAAGTTTGGAGTGGGCAATGTAGGCAAGTCGATGAATTTTGCTGCCGACACCCTTTGAGATCTTGGGCTTAACCTCTTTGGACTTTACAAGGGTCTTGATAGCCTCGGCGTGTGCACTCAGGGCCTTGGTGGTGTTGGCCTGCATCTTCTTCATGCACTTCTTCTTGTACTTCTTGGCAAAGTGCATGTTCCTCAGGAACTTGGGGTTCACCCACTTAAGAAAGTCATATCTTTGTGACTGGGATTTCTTCCTTTCTTTCTTTCTTTCTTTTTTAAATTTCTTCTTAAAAAAACCAAAATGGGATACACGTGGACTGGGATTTCTTGATGCCATTTCTGTTCCATTTTCGGGCCTGGTTGTGTGTGGTTGTATGTGGACTTGGACATGTCTGCACCGAACCCACAGCTCCCGAAGTGCCTGGAACCGGAAGAGGACCTTATGCTTTAGAGGGGGTTAGGAATTTCATTTATGGCTTATCCCTGTTTATTTAACCAGTCTTCCTTTGATGAACGGTGTTATGGTCTGAATGTATCCCTTCTCCCTAAATCTGATAGTTGTATGAAGTTGGGCACTGAGGAGGTGATTGGGTCATGAAGGCAGAATCCTCATGAATTCCCTTATAAAAGAGGCAGGAGGGGCTGAGTGGGGTGGCTCACACCTGTAATCCCAACACTTTGGAAGATGAGGTGGGCAGATCACTTGAGCCCAGGAATTTGAGACCAGCCTGGGCTGCATGGTGAAACCCCATCTCTACAAAAAAAAAATTACAAAAATTAGCCAGGTGTGATTGTGCTTGCCTATAGTCCCAGCTACTTGGGAGGCTGAGAGGTGGGAGGATTGGTTGAGCTTGGAAGGTTGAGGCTGCAACAAGCTGAGATCATGCCACTACACTCCATCCTGGGCGACAGAGTGAGACCCCATCTTAAGAAAAGAAAAAGGCATGAGGGGCCAGGCATGGTGGCACAACTTGTAACCCCACCACTTTGGGAGGCAAAGGTGGGAGGATGGCTTGAGGCCAGGTGTTTGAGACCACCCTGGACACCATAGTGAGACCCTCACTCTACAAAATATTAAAAAATTAGCCAGGCATGGTGGCACATGCCTTTAGTCCCATATACTTGGGAGGCTAAGGTAAGAGGATTGCTTCAGCCCAGGAGTTTGAGGCTGCAGTGAGCTGTGATTGTACCACTGTACACCAGCCTGGGTAATACAGATTTTTTAATTTAAAAAAAAATTAAAAAAAAAAGGCCAGGTACAGTGGCTCACGCCTGTAATCCCAGCACTTTGGGAGGCCAAGGCAGGCGGATCACGAGGTCAGGAGTTCAAGACCAGTCTGACCAACATGGTGAAACCCCGTCTCTACTTAAAAATACAAAAATTAGCTGGGTGTGGTGGCGCACGCCTGTAATCCCAGCTACTCAGGAGGCTAAGGCAGGAGAATGGCTTGAACCCAGTAGGTGGAGGTTGCAGTGAGTGGAGATCGTGCCACTGCTCTCTAGCCTGGGCAACAGAATTAGACTCTGTCTGGAAAAAAAAAAAGGCATGAGGAATGGGCCTCACCAGATACTGAATCTATTGGTGTCTCCATCTTGGACTTTGCAGCCTCCAGAACTATGAGCAATACATTTCCTTGTTTGTAAATTACATAGTCTAAGGTATTTTGTTATAGTAGCGGGAAGGGACTGAAACAAATGGTTAGATTTGTTTCCAATCTCTTGCTCCCATAGTGCAGTGAGTGACCTGTACTTTGTGCATATGCACAAAGGTGATAGGCTAAGTAATTAATAAATAGCATAACTGTAACCGGATAGCTTGATGTCTGGAAACTTCTGCTAAAACAAAACAGAACAAAAATTTTGTATAAACAGTCAACCTGACAGTTTGTGATTCTCTTAAATTCATTTTTCATCTTTCATTAGAACTGTACAACTATGAAGACAGTCATTACTAGATTATTATAGGATAGGGAGAGAATTACTGGCTCTTAGAGGAGTCAGTCTTCACCATCCAGTAAGGTTTCTGCAAATACGGTGATGCGCTTTCTGTCAAATGAATCTTCCTTCGCTCCTCTCCTCCTTCCCCTTTTTCTCCCATCCTTTTCCTCTCCCCCTCCCTCTTTGCTTCCTCCATTCATTCAAAATGTATTCAGTGAGTGTCCACTGATGGCCAGCATGGGTGATTTGCACTTGGAAACAGGAGTGGCGAGAGTGGTTGGACTCCTTGAGGCTTCTGTGTGTGTCTCTGGCTTTTGGACAACTTAGAAAGGGGCCAACAAGAATGAGTTACTAGAAGTGAAACCTTAGCAGAGCCACACTCCACCATGAATGCTGGTTTACTGGAATGAGGATGCTATTTTTAAGAAAGAGCATTGTGTTTCATCATGGAAATTTTGAGCATCTGAGCAGGCAGCCTGCTGGCTCGCTCATCTTTAAGGTCCTGATGGACAGAGGCTGTGTTTTCTTAGCTCTGTACCCCAGCACCCACCAGGACCTGCTCTGTGGGAACAAGGGAAGAAGGAAGGTCTGTGGTGGACGAGTAATATGTGAGTTGTTGGTTTCACCTTAGCTGGCGACATCCCAGGGGGCTGGCAGGGCTGGGACCTTGCCTCAGCCTTTGAGTGCTGGGGCGGTGAGGTGAGCGGTCCAGCGAGGGACGTTTTTGTTGCAGTTTTTCGGGAGCTTGTACTTCTCAGAGTGCCTTGTTTAATAAAGCTCTCCTGAAGGACAAGCTGCCGTTTTTGGGGTCCTCAGAGCACCTCGTTTTGCCAGAGCAGCCCAGATTCCTAGGTGTTCCTTTGCCTCGTGGGAGGGTGACCTGGGAGTGGGGGTGCTGATGTTGGCACCAATGAGCTGTCCTCTTGGGAAAACCACGTTGGGGGCGCCCTTGGGGTCGTTCTGCCGACAGCTGGTGTGCTGGCTTCTCTCCAGGTTATATCGAGCTCTGAGACATCATCTTTGTGGCTTGCTCCTCTAATGTGTTGCTGAAAAGGAAAGCTGGGGGTGGAGAGGAGATTCCCCCGCTCCCCCTTTTCCTTTATATAGCAATCTTGGTGGAACTAGCAGCTGTGACAGCATGGGGTGGGGAAAAGACACTAGGCTTTGGAATAAGGCTGACACAGTTCAAGGCCAGACCCAGCTGTTTCTTACGTCTCTGCAAACTTGGGTGCTTTAGCTGTTCCAAGCTTCTCTTTTTTTTTTTTGGAGATGGAGTCTCCCTCTGTCACCCAGGCTGGAGTGCAGTGGCATGATCTTGGCTCACTGCAACCTCCGCCTCCCGAGTTCAAGCTATTCTCCTGCCTCAGCCTCCCTGGTAGCTGGGATTATAGGCGTCTGCCACCACACCCAGCTAATTTTTGTAATTCTAGTAGAGATGGGGTTTCACCATGTTGGCCAGGCTGGTCTTGAACTCCTGACCTCAGGTACCTCCGCCTGCCTCGGCCTCCCAAAGTGCTGGGATTACAGGCGTGAGCCACCTCGCCTGGCCCAAGCTTCTCTCTTATCTGTGAAGCATAGATGTAATAATAGTACTTACTGTGATATATTTATTTTCTTAAATCCTTTTATTCTAAAATAAAGCCTACCTTTAAAAAATTATTATTATTTTTATTTATTTATTTATTTGAGACGGAGTCTCGCTCTGTTGCCCAGGCTGGAGTGCAGTGGCAATAGCTCACTGCAACCTCCGCCTACTGGGTTCAAGCGATTCTCCTGCCTCAGCCTCCCGAGTAGCTGGGATTATAGGCGCCTGCCACCATGCCTGGCTAATTTTTGTATCTTCAGCAGAGACGGGGTTTCACCATCTTGGTCAGGCTGATCTCGAACTCCTGACCTCATGATCCGCCTGCCTCGGCCTCCCAAAGTGCTGGGATTACAGGCATGAGCCACCGTGCCTGGCTAAAAAATTTAATTTTTAATAGAGATGAGAGTCTCACTTTGTTGCCCAGGCTGGTGTCAATCTCCTGGCCCCAAATGATCTTCTTGCTTTGGCCTCCCAAAGTGTTGGGATTATAGGCATAAACCACCATGGCTGGCCGAATCTTACTTTTTGGAACACAGTCTTTTGCCACATAATGACATATCAACCAACCACAGACCACATATATAACAGTGGCCCCATTAGATTAGAATACTGTATTTTTACTGTATTTTTTCTATATGTAGATATGTTTAGAGACACAAGTACTTACCATTGTGCTACCACTGCCTGTCTTATTCAGTACAGTCTCATGCTGTGCAGGTTTGTAGCTGAGGAATAATAGGCTGTACCATTCAGCCTAGTGCATAGCAGGTGATGGCAGCCAGGTTGTGTAAGTCACTCTAGAATGTTCCCACAGTGCCGAAATGGCCTAATGCGTTTCTTAGAGCGTATCCTTGTCGCTTAACAATGCAAGACTGTAAATAATTTGGGATTGGGGACAAAGCATCTTTTTATTTATTTATTTACTTATTTTTTGAGACGAAGTCTCAGTCTTTCGCCAGGCTGGAGTGCAGTGGTGCGATCTTGGCTCACTGCGACCTCCGCCTCTTGGTTTCAAGCGATTATCCTCCCTCAGCCTCCTGAGTAGCTGGGATTACAGGCACGTGCCAACACGCCCGGCTAATTTTTGTATTTTTTAGTACAGACGAGATTTCACCATGTCAGCCAGGATGGTCTCGATCTCTTGACCTTGTGGTCTGCCCACCTCGGCCTCCCAAAGTGCTGGGATTACAGGTGTGAGCCACCGCGCCTGGCCAGGACAAAGCATCTTTTATTTGGACCACAGCTTCGTGGGAGCTTCTGCTCTGTTTTCTTGTTTCACTGAAAGATGAAGCCTCAAATATGGCTGTGGTCCTGAGCCAGAGAAGATGCTGTAGAGAAAAGCAATCTGCGAAGAGTGGGCAGACATGAGCACAGCCTCGATGCGTGGGCGTGGCCTTGATGCGTGGGTTTCTTTCCCACAGGTGCTGCGAGTGGCTGAGATGCTGCGGTGGAGGGGAGGCCAGGCCCCGCACTGTCTGGCTGGGGCACCCCGAGAAGAGAGACCAGAGGTATCCTCGGAATGTCATCAACAATCAGAAGTACAATTTCTTCACCTTTCTTCCTGGGGTACGTGCAGGCAGGGACCGTGCTCTTTTCTTTTTTCCATCACAAATACATGCATTGGTACAGATGTTATGTCATGTCATGTTATTTTTTAGACAGAGTCTTACTCTGTCGCCCAGGCTGGAGTGCAGTGGCGCAATCTTGGCTCACTGCAACCTCCGCCTCCTGAGTTCAAGCGATTCTCCTGCCTCATCCTCCTGAGTAGCTGGGATTATAGGCATGTGCCACCACGCGTGGCTAATTTTTGTATTTTTAGTAGAGATGGGGTTTCACCATGTTGGCCAGGCCGGTCTTGAACTCCTGACATCAGGTGATCCACCCACTTCAGCCTCTCAAAGTGCTGGGATTACAGATGTGAGCCACCTTGCCCGCCGGTACAGTCTTAAAAGACTGAGTTCCCTGTGGCAGATGTCAGTGACTTTTCTGTGCCACCTTAGTCCCTGGTTGTTCATCTTCCCTGGGTTCAGCACTGGGTAGTGGCGGGGTTGGAGGTGGGGTGGGGTGGAGGGGGCACCTGCCTTCTCTCTGCAAGGCTGTGACCCCACCTGCTCAGTTAGAGTAACTTCACATGTATTTGGTGTGCTAAGCCTAAGAATGAAAAAGACATTCTGGGGACCTAGCATTATGACCAAAACAGCAGAAAAGAATGTCAGCAGTGCTTAAATTTCCCCCCATCATGACACATGTAGTCAATATTGGCAAGTTGGGAGATAATAGCTTAGAGGAGAAAAAATAAAGATGCATTTTAATCTTACCATCTATAGAGAGAATTTTCATTAGTATTTTTGCTAATAATAAATGTTTCTGGTGGCATAACACTTCCACATTAACTTACACAAATCTGTGGACATGTACTCAGCAAACCTTCTCCCCAACATGCACATAAATTAAATATCTATTTTTATCCAGCACTGCCTCCAAACACACACCAGTTGACTTTGAGAAGCAGCAGTAGCAATCAGCTCCAATGCAGAAAGGAACATAATGGTAGTGTTAGATATTGAGTGATAGTGCAGAGGCACAAATCTATTATATAGTCGAGTTCAAGGTCAATTGGAATTTGTTTTTTAAGAGACCAGATCTCACTGTCTTGCCTGGGCTGGAGTGCAGTGGCATGATCAGAGCTTATTGCAGCCTCAGACTCCTGGGCTCAAGCCATGCTCCTCTCTCAGCCTCCCAAACAGAAATTTGAATTTTTTTTTTTTTTTTTGAGATGGAGTCTCGCTCTGTCGCCCAGGCTGGAGCACAGTGAGCCATCTTGGCTCACTGCAACCTCCGCCTCCTGGGTTCAAGCAATTCTCCTGCCTCAGCCTCCCAAGTAGCTAGGATCACAGGCACCCGCCACCACGCCCGGCTAATTTTTTGTATTTTTAGTAGAGACGGAGTTTCACCATGTTGGCCAGGCTGGTCTCGAACTCCTGACCTCAGGTGATCCACCCACCTTGGCCTCCCAAAGTGCTGGGATTATAGGCACGAGCCAGCGCTCCCAGCCGTGAATGTTTTTAAGGGTGATTTTGACTATATTCATTGCTGGTTTCCTCAACTCCCCCCAACTCTCAGTACCTCAAGTGAGGAATAGGTTTATTCTCATTCATGGAAAGTCTGATGCAGACTGGGCCACACTCCTCCATTTCCTGGGTATGGCACCTGGACTATGTGGCCACCAAAGTCACCAGAGTGGCTCAAGAGGCACCAATGGTTCTTAGCTGCCTTAGCCTCAACGAGACACAGTACGTCCATTCATTACCTATTGGCCCAAACTAGTCATGTGGTCTCAGTCTGACTCTCGGGTGCATGCCAATGGTCAGAACCACACTAGCACCTAGCTGCTCCCCAGGGGAGGATTTGACTGTGTTATTTTATGGAGTTGAGGTCATGTTGTGGACATAGCTTTTTTTTTTTTTTTGAGACTGAGTCTCCCTCTGTTGCCCAGGCTGGTGCACAATGGCGTGATCTCGGCTCACTGCAACCTCCACCTCCCGGGTTTAAGTGATTCTCCTGCCTCAGCCTCCTGAGTAGCTGGGATTACAGGCACGTGCTCCCATGTCCGGCTACTTTTTTTATTTTTTAGTAGAGACAGGGTTTCATCATGTTGGCCAGGCTGGTCTTGAACTCCTGACCTCGTGATTCATCCGCCTCGGCTTCCCAAATTGCTGGGATTACAGGCGTGAGCCACTGTGTGCGGCCATTTAACTTTTTAAAAATTATTTTTTATTTTATTTTTTGAGATGGGGTTTCACTTTTTATTTTTTGAGGTGGGGGACTCATTGTCACCCAGGCGAGAGTGCAGTGACATGATCTTGGCTCACTACTATCTCCGCCTCCTGGGCTCAATTGATCCTCCCACTTCAGCCTCCTGAGTAGCTGGGACTACGGGTGCATGCCACCACTCTTGGCTAATATTTGTATTTTTTGTAGTGATGGGGTTTTACCATGTTGCCATGGCTGGTCTCGAACTCTTGAGCTCAAGCCATTTGCCAACCTCGCCCTCCCAAAGTGCTGGGATTACAGGCATGTACCACCACGTCTGGACATGCTGTGGACGTAACTTTTTTTTTTTTTGAGATGGAGTTTTGCTCTGTCACCCAGGCTGGAGTGTAGTGGCGCGATCTCAGCTCACTGCAACGTCTGCCTCTTGTGTTCAAGCGATTCTCTTGCCTCAACCTCCTGAGTAGCCTATAGGTGCCTGGCTAATTTTTTGTATTTTTGTAGAGACGGGGTTTCACCTTGTTGGGCAGGATGGTCTTGATATCCTTACCTCGTGATCCGCCTGCCTCAGCCTCCCAAAGTGCTGGGATTACAGGTGTGAGCCTCTGCGCCTGGCTGGACATAACTTTTTATTTCTTTTTGCACTCAACCTTATAGCATAAGCATTTTCCGCAAAAACCTCCTCCTAAACAACAGAGCAAGGCTCCGTCTCAAAAAAAAAAAAAAAAAAAAAAAAAAAGAAATAACACAGTCTGGACGCAGTGGCTTAGGTCTGTAATCCCAACACTTTGGGAGGCTGAAGTGGGAGGATCGCTTGAGCCCAGGAGTTCAAGGCCAGCCTGGGCAACATAGGGAGACCCTGTCTCTACAAATAGCAAAAAATTTAGCTGGGCATGGTGGTGCATGCTTGTGGTTTCAGCTACTTGGGAGGCTGTGACAGGAGGATCGCCTGAGCCCAGGAATTCGAGGCTGCAGTGAGCTACGATCACGCCACTGGACTCCAGGCTGGGTGACAGAGCGAGACCTGGTCTCAAAAAACAAAACCAAACCCCAAAACACACATAACATAGTTGATGCCCCTGTGTGCCCCTCCATGTTAGATTTTACCCCTTCCCCAGGAAGTAACTACTCTTCTGAATTTGGTATTTACAATTTCCATGTATATCATTATTTACTCTTTCTTTTACAAATGATACTTTTATTACCCATGTATGTTTTTCTAAACAACATATGGAAGTGTTTAAGCTCTATGTGAAAAGTATAGTGTAAATTGTATTATAAAGCAGGATTTTTTTTTTTTTTTTTTTTTTTTTTTGAGACAGAGTTTCGCTCTTGTTGCCCAGGTTGGAGTGCAATGGTGCGATCTTGGCTCACTGCAACTTCCTCCTCCCGGGTTCAAGCAATTCTCCTGCTTCAGCCTCCTGAGTAGCTGGGATTATAGGTGCCTGCCACCACGCCTGGCTAATTTTTGTAGTTTTAGTAGAGACAGGGTTTCGCCATGTTGGTCAGGCTGGTCTCGAATCCTGACCTCAGGTGATCCGCTCGCCTCGGCCTCCCAAAGTTCTGGGATTATAGGCGTGAACCACCACGCCTGGCTGCAGGAATGTTTTTAGATGTTATTCATTTCCCACCAAATGTTCCAGATCTCATCAGACAAGCCCTGAATGTCTTTCTCTGTTGTCTCCCTCCATTCCAGGTGCTGTTCAACCAGTTCAAATACTTTTTCAACCTCTATTTCTTACTTCTTGCCTGCTCTCAGTTTGTTCCCGAAATGAGACTTGGTGCACTCTATACCTACTGGGTTCCCCTGGTAAGTTAATCGGCATTGTTTGTTCAGTAACCTTAGAGGTTTGGAAACAGAAAGTTCTTTGTTTCTCTCACTTAGGCATCTGGAATGGGATGGTGGCCTTGTAAGGGAAAGGATGCCCTTAGGCCAATACATTGGGAGTCTCTGAGACTTTAACGTTGAAGCTCCATTTCATATACCGCCTGGATCAAACTATAGCAAAGCCTGTGCCGTTCATTTATTCATTTAGCTGTTGGGTCTTGCATTATCTCAACAAGGATTTATTGTATGTTTATTGTATATGGCACAAGTCTAGACTCTGGGAACACAGAGGTAAATGAGAAAGACAAATCCCCTGTCCTCATGGATTATATCACAGGTTGAGCATCCCAAATCCAAAATCTCAAATGGTCTAAAATCTGGCCAGGCACGGTGGCTCATGCCTGTAGTCCTAGCACTTTGGGAGGCCGAGGTGGGAGGATTACCTGAGGCCAGGAGTTTGAGACCAGCCTGGGCAACATGGTGAAACCCATCTCTACTAAAAATATAAAAATTAGTGGGGTGTGGTGGGACGTGCCTGTAGTCCCAACTACTTGTGAGGCTGAGGCAGGAGAATCGCTTGAACCTGAGAGGCAGAGGTTGCAGTAAGTTGACATCACGCCACTGCACTCCAGCCTGGGTGATGGAGAGAGACCTGTCTCAAAACAAAAACAAAAACAAACAAAAAAATTCCAAATAAATAAATGTAAAATCTAAAACTTTTGAGCACTAACATGGGACTCAAACGAAATGCTCACTGGAGCATTTTGGATTTCAGATTTTTGGATTTGAGATGCTTAACTGGTAAGGATGGCACAGATGTCCCCCAATCTGGAAACATCTGCAATCTCAAACACTTCGGCTCCCAAGCATTCTGCATCAGGGATGCTCACCTTGTATTTGAATTGTTTCCTGGGATCACATTTTCTTTTTAACCAATGTAGAGTATTTGAGTGTGAGGGGTTGGAAAAGTAGCAGAATCTATGCTTTTGTGCATGCGATGTGTAGCAGAACCGAGTAGCCCCTCTGTTCCTTCCCTCGCCTCCTTTTCTTTCTCCATTGATTTGGCAGATGGTGGTTGAGCACCTGCTGTGTGCCAGGCCCTGTGCTGGGTTCTGGGGGTGCAGCAATGAACAGAGTAGACAAATATTTCTGCCCTGTGGGGCTGACATTCAGAAGGGATAGACAATAAACCAGTAAATGAAATTGTTACAAATTGTGAAAAGTGCTCTGAAGGTAACAGAATAAGGTCGTAGGACAGATGGGGTATCCCAGATACATTTAGTATTTTTTACATGAATGAAGGTGAAGGGTAGGAGATGTGAAGGGGCAGCCTTAGCCTGTGTGGCTGTGAAAGGCCTCCTGAGGAGTGATGGGAAGGAGACTATTCCAGGGGGCAGTGATGCAAAGGCCCTGCAGCAGGCATGTGCTTAGAGCATTTGAGAAACAGAAAGAGGTCCAATGTAACTGAGCTATGGAGAGGGCAGAATAGATACCCTTTTTTCTCCAAACTGAGGTATTATGAAATGCAGTTGCTGTTTATATTCTCAACAAGTGGGACCCAGGGGGGGAACGCTTGGATTCTCTGTTCATAAATCTCATTAACGTTTTTATTTTTATTTATTTATTTTTGAGATGGAGTTTCGCTCTTATTGCCCAGGTTGGAGTGCAGTGGCGCAATTTCAGCTCACCACAACCTCTGCCTCCTGGGTCCAAGCGATTCTTCTGCCTCAGCCTCCCGAGTAGCTGGGATTACAGGTGCCCGCCACTGTGCCCAGCTAATTTTTTGTATTTTTAGTAGAGATGGGTTTCACTCTGTTGGCCAGGCTGGTCTCAAACGACTGACCTCAGGCGATCCACCCACCTCGGCCTCCGAAAGTGCTGGGATTATAGGCGTGAGACACTGCACCTGGCTCTATTTTTATTTTTAATTAAAGAATTTGCTTTTAGGCCGGGCACGGTGGCTCACACCTGTAATTCCAGCATTTTGAGAGGCTGAGATGGGCGGATCAAGAGGTCAAGAGATCAAGACCATCCTGGCCAACATGGTGAAACCCTGTCTCTATTAAAAATACAAAAATTAGCTGGGCTTGGTGGCATGCACCTGTAGTCCCAGCTACTCAGGAGACTGAGGCAGGAGAATCGCTTGAATCCGGGAGGCGGAGGTGGCAGTGAGCGCCACTGTACTCCAGCCTGGTCAACAGAGCGAGACTCCGTCTCAAAAAAAAAAAAAAAAAAAAGAATTTGCTGTTGCCCAGGCTGTAGTGCAGTGTGCAATCATAGCTCACTGCAGCCTTGAATTCCTATGCTAAAGGAATCCTCCTGCCCCAGCCCCCTGTGTGGCTGGGACTACAGGCACATGCCACCATGCCTGGATAATTTTTTTTTTAATTCATTTTTTTTCCTATAGGTTATTGGGGTACAGGTGGTATGTTGTTACATGAGTAAGTTCTTTAGTGGTGATTTGTGAGATTTTGGCACACTCATCACCCGAGCAGTATACACTGCACCCTATTTGTTATGTTTTATCCCTTGCCTCCCTCCCCACTCTTTTCCCCAAGTCCCCAAAGTCCATTGCATCATTCTTATGCCTTTGTGTCCTCATAGCTTAGCTCCCACATATTAGTGAAAACATATGATGTTTGGTTTTCCATTCCTGAGTTACTTCACTTCGAATAATAGTCTCCAGTCTCATCCAGGTCACTGCAAATGCTGTTAATTCATTCCTTTTTATGGGTGAGGAGTAGTCCATTGAATATATATACCACAGTTTATTTATCCACTCGTCGATTGATGGGCATCAATCTCTACTAAAAATACAAAAAATTAGCTGGGCATGGTGGCGGGCGTCTGTAATCCCAGCTACTGGGGTTGGTTCCACGATTTTGCAATTGTGAATTGTGCCACTATAAACGTGTGTGCAAGTATCTTTTTCGTATAATGACTTCTTTTCCTCAGGGTAGAACCCAGTAGTGGGATTGGTGGATCAATGGTAGTTCTTCTTTCAGTTCTTTAAGGAATCTCCACACTGTTTTCCATAGTGGTTGTATTTACATTCCCACCAGCAGTGTAGAAGTGTTCCCTGTTCACTGCATACACGCCAACATCTACTGTTTTTTGATTTTTAGATTATGGCCATTCTTGCAGGAGTAAGGTGGTATCGCATTGTGGTTTCGATTTGCATTTCCCTGATCATTAGTGATGTTGATCATTTTTTCATATGTTTGTTGGCCATTTGTGTATCTTCTTTTGAAAATTGTCTATTCAAGTCCTTAGTCCACTTATTGATGGGATTGTTTGTTTTTTTCTTACTGATTTGTTTGAGTTCTTTGTAGATTCTGGATGTTAGTCCTTTGTCAGACGTATAGATTGTGAAGATTTTCTCCCACTCTGTGGGTTGTCTGTTTACTCTGCTGACTGTTCCTCTTGCCGTGTAAAAGCTCTTCAGTTTAGTTAAGTCCCAACTATTTATCTTTGTTTTTATTGCATTTGCTTTTGGGTTCTTGGTCATGAAATCCTTGCCTAAGCCAATGTCTAGAAGGGTTTTTCCAATGTTACCTTCTAGAACTTTTATAGTTTCAGGACTTAGATTTAAGTCCTTAATCCATCTTGAGTTGATTTTTTGTATAAGATGAGAGATGAGGATCCAGTTTCATTCTCCTACATGTGGCTAGCCAGTTATCCCAGCACCATTTGTTGAAAAGGGTGTCCTTTCCCCCACTTTACGTTTTTGTTTGTTTTGTTGAAGAGCAGTCGGCTGTAAGTATTTGGGTTTATTTCTGGGTTCTCTATTCTGTTCCATTGATCTATGTGCCTATTTTTATACCAGTACCATGCTGTTTTGGTGACTATGGCCTTATAGTAGAGCTTGAAATCAGGTAGTGTGATACCTCCAGATTTGTTCTTTTTGCTTAGTCTTGCTTTCACTATGCAGGCTCTTTTTTGGTTCCATATGAATTTTAGAATTGTTTTTTCTTTTTTCTTTTTCTTTTTTTTTTTTTTTGAGATGGAGTCTTGCTCTGTCACCCAGGCTGGAGTGCAGTGGTGTGATCGTGGCTCACTGTAAGCTCCGCCTCCCAGGTTCATGCCATTCTCCTGCCTCAGCCTCCCGAGTAGCTGGGACTACAGGCGCCTGCCACCACGCCTGGCTAATTTTTTTGTATTTTTAGTAGAGAGGGGGTTTCACCTGTGTTAGCCAGGATGGTCTCGATCTCCTGACCTCGTGATCCACCCACCTTGGCCTCCCAAAGTGCTGGGATTACAAGCATGAGCCACTGCGCCTGGCCCAAGAATTGTTTTTTCTAATTCTGTGAAGAACGATGCTCTTGGCTAATTTTAAAGCTTTGTGTAGAGACAGGATCTCATTATGTGGCACATACTCATCTCCAACTCCTGGGCTCAGGAATCCACCTACCTTGGCCTTCCAAGGTGCTAGGATTACAGATATGAGCCGACACGCCCAACTTATTAAATTTTTTTGACTAAGAGAAAGTTGTAAACATAAAAAAGATTTAGGCTCTCCTTAAAGAAACAAAAACAATAAACCTTTTTGCTGTTGGCAGTAGGTGAGGGATGATAAGGATTTGGTGTAGACGTGCTTGTGGAGTGGAGGAAGCCAGATGCTCAGGGACCAGGGAGTGGGCGTGCATACGCCGTACGTGCCATGTTATCAGACAAGTGATGCCAGCAGCTCTTGCCCTGAGAAGAGGAAGGGAGGTCATTTCTTCCACACAAACAATGCAGGTGCTTCTGAAATGACGAGAATAGTTCTTTTCTGCTCTGAGTCATTTTGGGGTGAAGTAGCATCCTGAGAGCTAGAGAGGCCCTTTATCCAAGCATCCCTTCCCCTCTGATAACAGACATTCCTGCCTGTATCAGGTGGCATGCTTAACCAACTGCCAGGTGGTGCCTGCGCCTTTAAGCACTGATATTGTGATCATCAGGAAACGGTTTTTGTTTTTGTTTTTTGTGAGACAGAGTCTCGCTGTGTCGCCTAGATTGGAGTGCAATGGCGCGATATCGGCTCACTGTAGCCATCACCTCCCGGGTTCAAACGATTCTCATGCCTCAGCCTCCTCAGTAACTGGGATTACAGGCAGCCACTACCACACCCGGCTAATTTTTGTATTTTTAGTAGAGACGAGGTTTCACCATGGTGGCCACGCTGCTATCAAACTCCTGACCTCAAGTGATCCGTCCACCTTGACCTCCCAAAGCTGGGATGACAGGTGTGAGCCACTGCGCTAGGCCTAGGAAACTGTTGGGCTTTACCTTATAAACTGAGATGCCCTAGAGCTGGGCTGATGCAGTAAAGCCCTGGGAGAATGAGAAGCTCCTGTCGGCTACTCTGCCCAGTCAGGTACAAACAGGGACCAGGAGTTGCCAGACCCAAGAGTTACAAACTCTATAGTTTTATGTGAAATACTCTAACTTCATTTTAGTTTTTTAGTTCCATAACTGTTTACTGTATACTTACATAAAAATCAAACCATAAGTTACTTTAACAAAGTTGGTCTACAATGTATATAAAATAACATTTATCATACTGCCTTTTATTGGTTATCTTTTTAAAGTGTAGTTATTTGAAAGGTAGTACATTCACATGACTCAAGAAATATACAAATGTTCCTTTTGAAGAATCTACTTCCATCCAGTTTTGCAATACTTTCATTTCTTGTCCTTCCCTCCAGAGTTGCTTATGAACAAAGTACAATGAATAAAAATTCTTACAACTTTCTTTTTATTGATTGATTCATTGAGAGTCTCACTCACTGTCACCCAGGCTGGAGTGCAGTGGCATGATCTGGGCTAACTGCAACCTCTGCCTCTCGGGTTCAAGTGATTCTCCTGCCTCAGTCTCCTGAGTAACTGGGATTACAGGTGTGTGCCATCACGCCCAGTTAATTTTTGTATTTTTAGTAGAGATGGGGGTTTCACCATTTTTGGCCAGGCTGGTCTCGAACTCCTGACCTTAAGTGATCCTCTCGCCTTGGCCTCCCAAAGTATTGGGATTATAGGCGTGAGCCACTGTGCCCAGCCCGTTTCTTCTTCCCCCCCCTTTTTTTTTTTTTTGAGACAGAGTCTTGATCTGTTGCCAGGCTGGAGTGCAGTGGTGCGATCTTGGCTCACTGCAACCTCTGCCTCCTGGGTTCAAGCGATTCTCCGGCCTCAGCCTCCCAAGTAGCTGGGACTACAGGTGCGTGCCACCACGCCCAGCTAATTTTTGTATTTTTAGTAGAGACGGGGTTTCACCATGTTGGCCAGGATGGTCTTGATCTCTTGACCTCTTGATCCGCCCATCTTGGCCTCCCAAAGTGCTGGGATTACAGGCGTGAGCCACTGCGCCTGGCCCATGTTTCTTCTTTTTAGGAAAAAAATAAGATACACATAGTTTTTAATCATTTTTAAAAATTTTTAGTATTTTTTCTCTTGATTTTTAAACATCAACAACTCATTAATAACAATTTAAAGCAGTATGTGAATTGGACCCATCCCTTTTCCTCGTGGTCTGTATGTTCAGGCTGTCCCTTGTCCTCTCTGCTCTTGTTGAAGGTGAGGGACTTTCATATTACCTCACCCCTGTGCTTCTGGGCTCAGGAGGCCCTTCCCTGGCCCCCAGCAAGGAATGCTCCAGACCCCATCTCTCAAGCCACATCTCTCTCTCTTTTTTTTTTTTGAGACAGAGTCTCACTCTGTCGCCCAGGCTGGAATGCAGTGGCTCGATCTTGGCTCGCTGCATCCTCCACCTCCCGGGTTCAAGCGATTCTCCTGCCGCAGCCTCTTGAGTAGCTGGGACTACAGGCGCGCACCACCACGCCCAGCTAATTTTTGTGTTTTTAGTAGAGATGGGGTTTCATCATGTTGGTCAGGCTGGTCTCGAACTCCTGACCTCGTGATCCACCTGCCTTGGCCTCCCAAAGTGCTGGGATTACAGGTATGAGCTACTGCACCCGGCCTGTTTTTTTTTTTTTTTTTTTTTTTTTTTTTTTGAGATGGAGTCTTGCTCTGTTGCCCAGGCTGGAATGCAGTGGTGCGATCTCGGCTCACTGCAACCTCCGCTTCCCAGGCTCAAGTGATTCTCCTGCCTCCACATCCCCAGTAGCTGGGATTACAGATGTGGGCCACCACACCTGGCTAACTTTTGTAGTTTTAGAGATGGGGTTTCACCATGTTGGCCAGGCTGGTCTCGAACTCCTGGCCTCATGTGATCCGCCCACCTTGGCCTCCCAAAGTGCTGGGATTACAGGTGTGAGCGCTCGACTCAAGCCACATCTTTTGAATTATCTTAAAAGCCAGATCCTGCCATTCTTTTTGCCCCCCACTCCTCCAAAGCTGCTCCTGTTCACTGTTCTTTTTTCAAATAGAAAAGATCGCATGATATTGGAGAAATATTTAAAGTACCAAAACAACCAAACAAACAACCCCCCCCCACACACACATAGGGTGATGAAAATCACCTGTGTAGCTACTACCCTAAAATATCCCATTTATGATTCTGGTGTGTTTCCTTCCAGTGCCTTCTTACTTATGCATGTATTTTATGTATACTATAACTTACCTTACATAAACCATATATATTCTGCAGATGCATGTTTTATAGATTTGGGATCCCAAGGTGTCCTCGAAGGCAGCCATGTGTCTCTCCGTCTCCCTGCCTTTTATATCTCAAGCGTGATGTGCAGTCTGGTCTCTGCCGCCTCCCCTTATCCATTGCCCTGGCTGCAATGTCTTGGGGTACAGACATGAGCAGCCCTGCAGCCTCATTTACACTATCATTGGTATGCATGTTAGGAGGAGACCTTAGCCATGTTTGGCATACATTTTTCCTTTTCTTTCTTTCTTTTTTTTTTTTTTGAGACGGAGTCTCTGTCACCCAGGCTGGAGTGCAATGGCGTGAT
Organism: Homo sapiens; assembly: GCF_000001405.40. NCBI lineage: Eukaryota > Metazoa > Chordata > Mammalia > Primates > Hominidae > Homo > Homo sapiens. The sequence goes on along the minus strand of NC_000020.11, from coordinate 51,717,905 downwards.
CTCAGCTCACTGCAGCCTCCACCTCCCGGGTTCAAGTGATTCTCCTGCCTCAGCCCCCTAAGTAGCTGAGATTACAGGCATGCGCCACCATGCTCGGCTAAGTTTTGTATTTTTAGTGGATACGGGGTTTCACCATGCTGGCCAGGCTGGTCTCGAACTCCTGACCTCATGATCTGCCTGCCCTGGCCTCCCAAAGTGCTGGGATTATGGGAATGAGCCACCACACTCGGCAATTATGACTTTTTAAAAATTTATTTCCACTGAGGCCTTCTCTGCCCCTACTCCCACCTCTGCTGTCTCCTGACTGGCCTGTTTTCCCTTTGACTATAGCTTAGGATAGAAGCCAGGCAGGTTAATAGCTTGTTTCTAGGTTTTGGCACCTCCAGCAGTTGGTCTCCACGTTGTAGACCCTTTTTAGTCAGCTTTTCCTGTGATGGCTAAGTTGGGGGATATTTGTCTTGTATTGTTGCCTCTCTTTCCAACAGCTACAGAAAAAAGGGTTTGTGGTGAAAAATTAGACAGCATCTACTTCTAGGTGACCATCGCTGATTTCCTTAATAGATTTTTATGTAGAGAGTCAATTTTCAGTTCTTGGCTAGAAGACATTTTGAAACGTCTTCTAGCCACTCTGAAAGTTGCCTCATTTCAAACCCAACTCTTAAGTGCAGCAGTTCTGAATGAGGGCTGTGGAGCCAAGTGGTTTGGGTTTAGATCTTTTTTTTTTTTTTTTTTTTTTGAGGCAGTCTTGCTCTGTCACCCAGGCTGGAGTGCAGTGGTGAGATCTCAGCTCACTGTAACTTCCGCCTTTCAGGTTCAAGCGATTCTCCTGCCTCAGCCACCCGAGGAGCTGGGATTACAGGTGGCCACCACACCCAGCTAATTTTTGTACTTTTAATAGGGGTGGGGGTTTCACCATGTTGGCTAGGCTGATCTGGAACTCCTGACCTCAGGTGATCCGCCCACCTCGGCCTCCCGAAGTACTGGGATTACAGGTGTGAGCCACGACAGCTGACTCTGAGAAGTCGTGTAATTTGAACCAAGGCTACTTTTCTGAGCCTCAGTTTTGTCATCTGTAAAAAGGAATGATCCTTTCTACTGCCTTGGTTTGTTGGGAGGTTTAAATGAATTACTGCAAGTAAAAATGCTTCATGTGGCTGTATAGAATTCTCAGGAAACATTCTGATTTTAATTTTTAAATTCTGCCACTAATGACATGTTTTTCATTGTTAAGTTTTAAATTTTTTGCCCCTGAGACAGAGTCTCATTCTGTCGCCCAGGCTGGAGTGTAGTGGCTCAATCTCTGCTTACTGCAACAATCTCTGCCTCCTGGGCTCAGACAATCCTCCTGCCTCAGCCTCCTGAGTAACTGGGACCATAGCACGAGCCACCATGCCCAGCTATTTTTTTTTTTTTTTCTGTTTCAGGTTTCTATTTTCTTTTGTAGAAACCAGCTGATTCTTTTTGTAGTTTTTGTAAAGATGGGGTCTCCCTATGTTGCCCAGGCTGGTCTCGAACTCCTGGGCTCAAGCGATCTTCCCGCCTCAGCCTCCCCAAATGCTGGGATTATAGGTGTGAGCCACCACACCCAGCCATGTTTTAGCTTTTAATAATTTTTTCTTGGTACTAATATGTTAGGGGAGAAGTAACTCAGGAGAGCAGAAATAATCTGTAACATTATATGATGACCAAATAAATGTGGAGTATTTTTGTTATTGAGATATAATCTATATACCATAAAATACACAGATCTTCAGTTTTCAGTTCATTGAGTTTTGACATTTGTCAGCCTCCACATAAATACCACCTCAATCAAGATATGGAACATTTCCATCACCCCAGGAAGTTCCCCAGTGCCTGTTCCTATCACCCCACCCGCCCCCACCACCCCAGGCAACTGCTTTTCTGATTTCTATCTCCCATAGATTAGCTTTGCTTTAGTGAATTTATTTTTGAGGTACAACTTGGCAAAAGAGGCTTGCACTTTCAGAGTTGCTTGTCTGTGAGTTGTCACTGCCTATGATTCTTCACCAGCTCCAACAGCTGCCTCCTTCAACAGCCCCCCTTCCCCTGCCCATTAAAGCTTCTTTCTAAATATCTGTGAATGGATATTAAGGACCTCCTAAATTGGATGGTTGGAATTTATTCCTGGACTACATTTGCATCTCTTTGTAAGGCAATTTCACCAGCCTGGCCAATACGGTGAAACCCTGTCTCTAGTAAAAATACTAAGGCATGGCGTGGCCCCTAGGATTAATGAGAACTGTGTGTGTATATGTGAAGGGAGACGTGATAATTTAGGAGGTGGTATTTATTTGCAGCAGGGAGGTTAGTGAGCGGCTCCTGTCTTTGTATGAGCACACACTTTCCATGAACATCAATGGGATTTAGCCAGGCCCACGCAGAGAGAAATAGAAACTGGAACATTCGAAAAAACAAACAACAACGAAAACTTGGGTTTTGGCACAGAACAACAAAATAGCAGCATAGTGGAGGGGGCAGCCCTGCACACCGGGTACGTGCTCCTCACAGAACAGGTTTTCTCTCACTCCCTATGTGGTCTGGTTATGCTTTGATTCTGAAATGTACCAGTTTCTTTTGGCTGCAGTGTGTACTTTACATCTGATTGGAAACAGGAGTAATCCTTTGATTGTAAAGATGTATGGGCATTGGGAGGAGTTTCACAAAGCAGCACATCTCTGGATAGATTTACATAAGAGATTTAAAGTCCTTTGAATCGAAGTTAATATATTTCACAGGGTAAACTATGAAAGTGAAATTCTCCAAGAACCACAACTGCTAACCCTTGGGTGGTTATGCTGACTGTATTTAAAAAATAACTGTCCTGGCAAGCTTTAAAAGGGGATAGGGGAAGGAATGACAAGGAAAACGAATGACTGTAAACAAGTAAGTAAAATAAATGAATGATTTTGGCTTTATTGATTACAAGAGGAAAAAAATCTAGATTGGAAGTAGATTCTGCTATGGGTGACTCCCTCCACCCAACCAGATATTATGAGTTGGGGTTCCCAACTCAGAGGAAAGTTGGGGAAGTTTAAAATTTTTATTAGTTTCTACTTATGCAATTAATACTTTAATAGAGTTTCCTTATAAAAACTTAAAACAGCTGGGCGCAGTGGCCCATGCCTGTAATCCCAGCATTTTGGGAGGCTGAGGTGGGTGAATTGCGTGAGCTCAGGAGTTCAGGACCAGCCTGGGCAACATGGCAAAAACCCATCTCTGCTGGGCGTGGTGGCTCACGCCGGTAATCCCAGCACTTTGGGAGGCCGAGGCGGGTGGATCACCTGAGGTCAGGAGTTCAAGACCAGCCTGGCCAACATGGTGAAACCCTGTCTCTAGTAAAAATACAAAAATTAGGTGGGCATGTAATACCAGCTACTGGGGAGGCTGAGGCAAGAGAATCGCTTGAGCCCGGGAGGCGGAGGTTGCAGTGAGCCGAGATGGTGCCACTGCACTCCATCCTGGGTAACAGAGTGAGACTCTGTAACAATGACAACAACAACAACAACAAACCATCTCTACCAAAAATACAAAAATTAGCCAGGCATGGTGGCGCACACACCTGTGGTCCCAGCTACTCCGGAGGCTGAGGCAGGAGGATCTCTTGAGCCCGGGAGGTGGAGATTGCAGTGAGCCAAGGTCATGCTACTGCACTCCTGCCTGGGTGACAGAGCGAGACCCTATCTCAAAACAAACAAAAAAGCCCTGTAATCCCAGCACTTTGGGAGGCTGAGGTGGGCGGATCACGAGGTCAAGAGATCGAGACCATCCTGGCCAATATGGTGAAACCTCGTCTCTACTAAAAAGACAAAAATTAGCTGGGCGTGGTGGTGCGTGCCTGTAGTCCCAGCTACTCGAGAGGCTGAGACAGGAGAATCGCTTGAACCCGGGAGGTGGAGGATGCAGTGAGCCGAGATCGAGCCACTGCACTCCAGCCTGGTGACAGAGTGAGACTCCAACAAACAAACAAAACAAAAAACTGAAGACATTACAGATAGGCTGAAGCACCTTTCAGTCCCTCCCTATCCTAATTCTAGTCTCCTTCCCGGCAGAGAAATCTAACCTGTAGTTAAGGAAATTGGAAAACATTTAATTGTATAGAATCTTTGTTGCTATTTATATGAATGGGGTTGCAGTGTATGTCCTGAAAGATGGATTTTTTCCACTTGGCTCTGTGAATGCAATGGATGTATCTTATTCTGTTTAACTGTTGCCTGGTGGTCCCTCTTACTGGCTCCATCCACCTAAGTTTCTCTAGATACAGTGGCAGTAAAGATTAAGATTTCCTACATTGCAGTTCCCATTTATCACTTAGTAGCTTTATGTCTTTGGGCAAGATTACTCAGCCTCTCTGTGCCTCAGTTTCCTCATCTGCATGGGGATCTCAGTTATAGGAGCATATCTCAGGGTTGTTATGAGGATGAAGTGCACTTCCAATACTGCCCAGCACATGGTGGGTGAGAGACAGTATTAGTAGTCACCATCGTTTGCTTGTGGAGGGACAGTTTGAGTATTCCTGTGTGTGTCACCCTCACCCTGAGGTGGTGAATGTGGACGTGCTTGTGTGTGTGTGGCAGTGAGTGTTTCTCTAGGGTAGTGTTTCTACAGGTTGTGTTTGGGAGTGCATGTTCCCTAAGACAGATTCAGAGAGGGGGCTTGCAGCGGCGTGTGCATTTGGAATAACTCACAGGTCCTGCCCCCCTGCCCTCCCAAGTGACCTCTCGCCTTTCCTGCCCCTGGCACCAGGAGGGGACGGTTGGCTGCAGCAGGGCTCACTGCCTGTAGCAAGACTCACTGTCGTCTGTCTCTGCAGGGCTTCGTGCTGGCCGTCACTGTCATCCGTGAGGCGGTGGAGGAGATCCGATGCTACGTGCGGGACAAGGAAGTCAACTCCCAGGTCTACAGCCGGCTCACAGCACGAGGTCAGCCTTCTGGCTCCTGGGCCACAGGGTTGCAGCTCAATCACGGGCCGCTGACAGTCAGGGGAGAAGAGTTCAAGGCCCGGGCCGCAGGTGTGGGAATGCCACGTGGCGGAACAGTCGCTTGGTTACTCCAGCACCAGGGAGGCCTCCATCTGCCCTGGATGACAGGTTGACGGGGTCCCACCAGGCCCTGGCAGCATCCACAGGCCTCTTGGTGTTGGTCTTGTCAAATAACTTATGTGTCATAAACCTGGAATTACATTTTGTGTGCTGGCATCCCAGCTGGCTAATCCCTTTCCCGTTCTGCCGCCTGGCTGAAGAGGGAAGTAGGGCGCCTCTGCTGTTCAAATGAGAGGCTGCAAACTGTTTTCAAAGATACTCTTTTGGCAGTGATTAAACTGTTGCTACTTTAGTTTTTAGAAAGGCAACCGATTTAGATAAATAACTGCATCCATGAAGATTTCTTTGAAGGCATTTTATAAATCCTGGAAATTGAGGCCTGCAGAGCATGGAGTCTGATCCAAAAATAAATGACCAGTTGTGTATGTCAGAGTTATATGTATTGGGCTCAAAAACAAAAAATTGAAATTTTGGCCCAGTACAGTGGCTCACGCCTGTAATCCCAGCACTTTGGGAGGCCGAGGCGGGCTGATCACAAGGTCCGGAGATCGAGACCATCCTGGCTAACATGGTGAAACCCTGTCTCTACTAAAAATACAAAAAAAATTAGCCGGGCATGGTGGCGGGCGCCTGTAGTCCCAGCTACTTGGGAGGCTGAGGCAGGAGAATGGCGTGAACCTGGGAGGCGGAGGTTGCAGTGAGCATAGACCGCGCCACTGCACTCCAGCCTGGGCGACAGAGCGAGACTCCATCTCAAAAAAAAAAAAAAAAGACCAGCCTGGCCAACATGGTGGAAACCCTGTCTCTGCTACAAATACAAAAATTAGCTGGACATGGTTGCATTCATCTGTAATCCCAGCTACTCCGGAGGCTGAGGCAGGAGACTCACTTGAACCTAGGAGGCGGAGGCTGCAGTGAGCCAAGATCACGCCATTGCACTCCAGCCTGGGTGACGAGGGAAACTCCATCTCAAAAAAAAAAAAAAAAAAAAAATTGAAATTGAAATTTTAATAATATTTCCCAGGGATATGAAAAAGCTTTAATCACTGACCCCCCACTTGCAAGATATGTGCATTTTAAATGCTAGAACTTAAAAACCCACTGAAACACACGGTGGAAAAGCCACAAAACAACCCAGCCATTGTTGATGTCTGTGTCTGACTACAATAGATTTACTGTAAGGTTGCATTCAGAAATGAGAGAATGTTACCTAAAGTTTGCTAATCTGGCCAAGGAAAGTCTATTCGATTGTCCCCTAAGATGACTGATCCCATTCAGGGATTAATGCTGTTTAAAGAGGTGGAGGGGAATAAAGGCTATGCCTTGCCTTCAGGAAATTGAGAATTTGGAAAGAGATAAGATGGTTAGATGCCAAGGGACTTAGCACCTGAGCCAAGGTCTGAACTGCTGTTTAAGTGCTTTATGCTTCCAAGGAAGCAGTCCATCCATGGTTCCTTCGGGGTTTTCAGTAGAGTTTTCCTTTTGGGAAAAATGTCAAAGGTGTATGTTTTGGGCTAAAAAAAAATGCAGATTTTAATTATATTTCCCAAGGGTATGAAAATACTTTGTTTTAGGGTATTTGAATACATTGTCGTGGTTGGTGGTCTTAAAAATATGCACATCTCTGGGAGAAGGGGGAATTTAGAGTTGGTAAAGAAATGCTTTATTCATGCTAAACTACTGTATTTAGGACATGTTGCTACCAAAAGAAAAAGAATCAGTGTAATCTTTGCAGAGGCAGGTGGCTTGGGCTTTCTGCGTGAGTAGTCAGAAGACCCTTCTGGAGGGCTTTTTTTGTGTGTGGTTCGTGTATATTAAATCCTCCCTTAATAACATATTCTTACTATAACATTTAAAACGCTTGGCAACCAACAAAAGCCCCATCGGAGAGAGTGCGGTGGATCTCTTCAGAGCTCAAGAGAAGAGGCCTTCGGATTCCATTCATTCATCCATCCGGGCTTCGACCCTCCTTTGGTTCTTTTCATATTGCAATTGCTTTTCCCGTGAATGATTTTTCTGCCCTCCACTGCACGCCCCTTCCCAGCTCTTGCTTCAACTTCACTCAGCTCTTGAGAAAGTCCTAAGGAGAATTGGCAGATGGCTCTAGCATTAAAAACTTGTCTTCCTTTGTGGGTCTCTCTTTGCGGCCCCTGGTGTCCATTGTTATGCCAATCCCACTCTAGGGAAAACAGAACACAGTTCTGAATATTAACCCAGACCCTAGCGCTGCAGTTTGTTGTGAAAGCCCAGCAAAACACTGAAGAAACTGTCAGCTTGGAAAGTGATCGAGGCGAGTTTAGTTATTTGATACGCTTTTGGGGGGAGGGCCAGAGTAGCAAACCTAAACTGGGAGATTGCAGGGAAGAGGGAGAAAAAGAAGCCTTTTTTGACTTTCCTGTCGAATTCCTTCATAATATTTCCTTGAGCAAAAACTTCACCATCTTCACTTAGTAAGTTCCAAAGCAAAATGAAATAAGTATGTATGAGTATATTCATGATGGACTGTTTTCTTTCTATCACATGAAGTTTTTTTCTTTTTTTTTAGACGGAGTTTCGCTCTTGTTGCCCAAGCTGGAGTGCAATGTCGCGATCTTCGCTCGCTGCAACCTCCACCTCCTGGGTTTAAGCGATTCTCCTGCCTCAGCCTCCTGAGTAGCTGGGATTACAGGCACATGCCACTACACCCAGCTAATTTTTTGTATTTTTAGTAGAGATGGGGTTTCACCATGTTGGCCAGGCTGGTCTTGAACTCCTGACCTCAGGTGATCCACCTGCCTCAGCCTCCCAGAGTACTGGGATTACAGGTGTGAACCACTGTGCCCGGCCTCACATGAGGTCTTAAAATGTTCTTTTCAACAGTATTTTGTGGGGTGAAAATGGCCAGGAGTCAGAATGCCTTGATCACTAGATTATAGACCATGGTATTTACCTACCTGCTACATCCTTTTATGATGAATAATAATAGCAGTACTTGTATTATTGTAGTTAAATTTTAAAATTTGTTTTTGCAATAATTCCTAACAAGCAAAAAATTTGCAAGAATTATATGGAGAATTCCAATATGCCCTTAACCCAGATTCATGAATTGTGACATTTCACCACAGTTATTTATTTATTTAGAGACAGGATCTCACTGTGTCACCCGGGTTGGAGTGCAGTGGTGGGACCTGGACTCACTGCAACCTCCGCCTTCCAGGCTCAAGCAATCTTCTCACTTCAGCCTCCGAGTAGTTGGGACTACAGGTGCACACCACCACGCCCTGCTAAATTTCTATTTTTTATTTCTAGAGATGGGGTTGCCATGTTGCCCAGGCTGCACAGTTGCTTTTTTTCTTCCCCACCGAACCCCCTCGCGCAGGCTGGAATGCAATGGCGCGATCTCGGCTCACTGCAACCTCTGCCTCCCGGGTTGAAGCGATTCTCCTGCCCGAGCCTCCCGAGTAGCTGGGATTACAGGTGTGCACCACCATGCCCTGCTAATTTTTGTATTTTTAGTAGAGACGGGGTTTCACCATGTTAGCCAGGCTGGTCTTGAACTCCTGACCTCAGGCAGTTGGCCCACCTCAGCCTCCCAAAGTGTTGGGATTACAGGTGTGAGCCACTGTGCCTGGCCACAGTTGCTTTTTAATACTTTTGTTTCCCCCAATGTCCATATACATATAGGTATATCTGGGGTCATTTGAGACAAGTTGCAGACATTCCCTTTTGTGCCTAAATACTTAAGTGCTTAATTCCTTGAAGGACGTTTCTCTTATATAACACAGTTATGTACAATTACCAAAATCAAATAAATTGAGCATCAATATATTGCTATTAATCTAATTTACAATCCTTTTTAAAATTTTGCTATTTGTCCCTAAAATGTCCTTTGATAGCATTTTTTTCTTAGTTCAGGAACAGACCAGGTTTGTCAGTTATATTTAGTTGTCCTCTCTCCTTGGTCTCTAGCCTGGCAGAGCTCCTCGGTTTTCTTTGTCTTTCGTGATCTTGACATTTCGAAGAGGACAGGCCAGTTTCAAGGCAGTTACTTTGTATCCTGTCCCTCCATTTGTATTTGTTGGATGTGGCCTCAAAACTAGATTTATTTATTTATTTATTTGTTTATTTATTGAGACGGAGTCTTGCTCTGTCGCCCAGGCTAGAGTGCAGTAGCGTGATCTCAGCTCACTGCAACCTCCACCTCCTGGATTCAAGCAGTTCTCCCTGCCTCGGCCACTCAAGCAGCTGGGATTACGGGTGTGCGCCACCATGCCTGGCTAATTTTTGTATTTTTAATAGAGACGAGGTTTCGCCATATTGGCCAGGCTGGTCTCGAGCTCCTAGGCTCGAGTGACCCGCCCGCCTCGGCCTCCCAAAGGTCTGGGATTACAGGTGTGAGCCACCATGCCTGGCCAGTAATTTTAAACAGCTGAATTAAAATCCTCATTAATAGGAACTCATTATTGGGAGGAAAAATGGATGACAGGTTTTTTTATTGTTGTTGCTTTGTTTTAGTTTTCAACATTTTAGATAATTTTATTTCAATCAAGGTGTATCATTTTTTTTTTTTTTAAATCATAGAGATGGGATTTCGCCATGTTGCCCAGGCTGGTTTTGAACTCCCGAGCTCAAGTGATGGCACCCGCCTCACCCTCCCAAAGTGCTGGGATTACAGATGTGAGCCACTGTGCCCAGCCAAGGTGTATCTCGAACAACATCAATTGGATTAATTTTTGATACAACTGCCATGGCTTAATAAAATGTATTTGAAGTACTTTGATAATCAAATTAGCTATCTACATGGAAATGACCTTTTAGTCATTATTTTAGGAAATATTTGGTTGGGCACAGTGGCTCATGCCTGTAATGCCAGCACTTTGGGAGGCTGAGGTAGGATTGCTTGAGGCCAGGAGTTGAACACTGCAGTAAGCCATGATCACATCACCGTACTCTAGACTGGGGGACAGAGCCAGACTCCATCTCTAAAATACACGCTACACACACACACACACAAACACAGTTGAGACTTCATCATGTACCAAGTCTATGCTAGGTTTCTGCATCACAGAGATGAACGTGAGAGCCTGGGGTCCCAGGAAGTTATAATCCAGTGAGGCGTTCAGGCCTGTAGACAGATAGTTACAAAAAGTGGAATAAGTGTGGTGATCCTCATAAGGAATGTCCCTTTTCTGGCCACTGCATTCTCGGTTCTGAGCATCGTTCCCAGGAGTTGAAAGTAGTGGCTCCAAACTTGCTCTGCCAGGGTTCAGGAGTCCTGCTTCCACCTGGGTAGATCCTTTAAGTTCTCAGTAAATGAATCTACATCAGGGAAAATAATAGCACCTACCTTAAAGGGTTGCTGTAAGTGAAGCTCTTGCATGGGAAGAGCTCAGCACTGTGCCTTGGGACTTGGCATGGTGGAGAGAGGCCAGTGTGGATGGTATTGAAGCAGGCATTTCTTAAGTGTCAGTGGGTGGATTAATGGAGGTATGAGCCAGGGGTGATGGGAGTCCATCAGAGAGAATCTGGTGATGTCTTTCCAGAAGAGGTGACCTTCATCTTGAGTCTTAGAGGAGGGAAGAGAGCAGGACTGGCTACATGATTTGTGGGACCCAATGCAAATGAACATGTGGGACCCTTATTCAGAAATTATTAAGAATCTCAAGATGGCAACAGCAGGGCATTAAACCAAGTACGGGACCCACCTGAACATGGAACTCAGGCCAGGACCCAGATGGCATGCCCTGGTAAAGAGTTCTCCAAAAAGAGCATCAAGTCGAATGCAAAGCTGCAGCCTGTGACGGCTGGGGTGGCAGGCTACAGAACCCCAGGTTCCAACAGCAGCTTGCTGTTCCCAATTAGGCGAAGTTTCCTGAGCCTCTCCAGAGAAGACCACACAGGCCAGTGAGAACCTGAGGCTATGGAAGGGTTGATTCTGTGTTTGAAGAATTCATATACAGTACAGGCATGCTATAGGAAAAAGGTGGCACTGAGCTGTTTGAAAAACTGCTGTTCAAATTAGGAAGCAGGAGAAAAAATGAAGAAAGGCTACCTGCCATCAGCTAGCCAGGTGCTAGATAAGGTTTAATCTGTAGTTTCTTTTCGTTCTTTATTTTTGAAATGGGATTTCACTCTGTCACCCAGGCTGGAGTACAGTGGCACAGTCACAGTTCACTGCAGTCTCTACCTCCCAGACTTAAGTGATTCTCCCACCTCAGCCTCCCAAGTAACTGGGACCATAGTTGCATGTCACTATACCTGGCTAACTTTTTAATTCTTTATAGAGATGAAGTTACCAGGCCAGTCTCGAACTCCTGGGCTCAAGCAATCCTCCTGCCTTGGCTTCCCAAAGTGTTGGGATTACAGGCATAAGCCAATGTGCCCAGCCTAGTCTGTAGTCTTCTAGATAGCCCTGTGAAGGTAGCTTTTATGGGTGTGGATGTAGGGAAGGAAAACATTTCTTTCTCTCACTCATTGCTAGGTTCATGGCTGAGGCCCCTATAACAAAATAGAGGAAAAGCATCCTGTCTTGGATGATGAGCTAGCAAAAGGCAGAGCTGGAATGTGAACCCAGGCTTGTTTGCATGTAAAACCTTAGCCTTTAAGTCAAGTTACCTACTATGTGCCAGGAGGTGAGCTCAGCACTTTTGCATATAATATCTCAACAACTGCTACAGCGTTCAGCCTTAATACATATGCTACAGGGGTGCTTTTAAGATTTGAGTCATTTTAAAACACATCTCTGAGTCCAAAGAAACCTATCAATCTAGCCTCCTCATTGTCAGATGGACAAACTGTTGAAAACCACATGGGGTAGTGCTTTTGGATAAACAAGCATCCCTTTCCTCCTACTTACAAATTCACATTTAAACATCAGAGACTTAAGAGCAGTTCTTAGACCTTTATGAGTTTTTATGGTTTTAATTATAGAGCTGTCTTCCTAAATTAATAGCATTCAGTGGCACTGGAAATAAAGCCAGAAAGGAGAAGATCTTGGAGATGTAGCAGACCCAGCAAAACTTAGTTTTGTTACTCAAGAGAATTGGGTTGGATTGGAAAAGAATAATTAGTGAAGGAATTATTTCTCTTTATACTTGCCTTCCCCAAACCAAAAGTTTAATGGGGGTGGGGGGTTGCCTCGATTATCACAGGTGGTGAGGAAAATGGGATTTGCATTTTCACAAGATGAATTCCATGGGTGTTCATACCAGGAATGCTTTCCCAGACTAACTTCTGATCAAGGACTAAATGAAGCAAGCGGACAATTAGCCTTGAAAGAAGTGCAAACAGAGGCATAATTAACACAATTGCTGATGCTTCTTTCCTGCTGGGGACATCTGGGCAGGCTGACCATAAGTCATAAGCCAAAGATCTATGCTCTTTTGCGTATCTTCAGCTTTCTCCTACATATGTGGTATAAAAAATCGACCTGATATCTTTCCTTTTCCACTTCTTTCTAGATAGTTGAGTGATGCTCTCTGCTTACTCTTTCTCATTTACAGAATCACCTGTAACCTCAAGGATCTCTTGAGTAACAAGAGACAACAAATTTTTCAGTGTAGCACAAAACCCATGTTGTACCATTATCTAGGATTGCAATTAATGTGACTTAAATTTCAAGACCTAAGAATGCACCTTTTTCTTTTTTGGAGTTGTATGTCATTGTGGTTAATCAGAAGGTATAATAATGTAGGGAAGGTGCATTCATTAATGGGGAATTGTTTAGCTAATAATTAAATTGAAACTTTATATTCCTAAACCCAAGTACTACTTATGTTTCAAAGTATAAGCTCTGTCCAGACATGGAGAACACTAAGATATGCATTATGATTTTTTTTTAAAGAAGAGAATGGTATGGATAGACTTTTCAATGTTACTGCAGCAAAACTGCTGCAAAGATCCTTCACTAAGGACCTCAAAGACAATTCAGTGAGCAAAGAATTCCCTTCCCAAATTTCCCTTGTCTGAGATTCAGAGCATCAGCAGGTACAAGTGAATCTTACTTATAACAGATTTTGCTGAATACTTTTTCATACTGCCTGGTACAGATATAAAGTTTTTTTTTTGTTTGTTTGTTTTTTGTTTTGAGATGGAGTTTCGCTCTTGTTGCCCAGGCTAGAGTGCGATGGCGCGATCTCGGCTCACCACAACCTCTGCCTTCTGGGTTCAAGCGATTCTCCTGCCTCAGCCTCCCGAGTAGCTGGGATTACAGGCATGTGCCACCATGCCCAGCTAATTTTGTATTTTTAGTAGAGACGGTGTTTCTCCATGTCAGTCAGGCTGGTCTTGAACTCCTGACCACAGGTGATCTGCCTGCCTCAGCCTCCCAAAGTGCTGGGATTACAGGCCTGAGCCACTGTGCCCCGCCCAGATATAAAGTTATTTAAGATCCACAAAGTTCAGATTTTCCTTTCAAAGTACTCAATTTCATTTTAGTACAAGTCATTGGTGAACTGATCTATTGTTTAATTAAAAAAAAAAACAACAAAACACCAGAAACTCAAACTTGCAAATTGCACTGTTATTCCCAAAAGGTATTTATTTCCCCCCTGTAAGGGTGTTCGTCTACTTCATCATTTCTGGGCACCATAAACCGGCAAGACCATTTATATATTTATTTTAAAAGCCACTGTTGGGTATAAACTTGTTACATTTAAACTGCAGCCTTTTTTTTTTTTTTTTTTAAGTTCCCACTATTTAAACAAAAGCCCCAGGAAGTGGTAGTGATTATTTATAATAATCCTTTCAACTCTTTGCCTGTTTTCAAATAACAGTCTTTTCTTTGGCTTTGGGGAATGCAGACAACTCTATTTGAATATGAAAATTTCAACTTTAAACCTCTGAACTCTGCTGGGTCTGCAGAGGCGTTTTAATGTCAACCTCAGGAAATGTACACATGAAGCAGAATTTACAACTCATCACTGTCACAGTTAGATTAGAGTGTGAGTTAAAGAGTAATACATTAACCAGGGTTAGTGCATGGAGATTGTTGTTAGAGATCTACAAAAGCAATCAGTGCCCTGCATGAACAATGAAAAATACAAGTATAGATGGAGGTGTTCAGGGTCAAAAAATAGGCCCACACATATTACTGCCCTGGAATTTATTAAAAAAAATTTTTTTGGTAGGCTATTCTGCAGTTTGACTGAATTGTCATTTGCTTGTTTCGACTCAAGGGAAACATCTGGTTTCTCCCTGCAATGTAGACAAACTGCTCTTATTCTGAAGCTGTCATCCATGAAAGGCATGGTTTGGGCTCAATAGGTTTGCTTATGAAAGGCTTGGGGGTCCATCGCTACAGAAATAAACAGCTCTAATAATTGGAAATTTGTTCCCCGTTACAAACTCTGATTGAGAGACGACTTGGGTGAAGTGGCGAAAGCTGAAAGGGATAGATTTATTAGAAGACTTTTAATGATTTAGGATGTGGCAGGCAGAGAATTTTCCGCTTAACTTTTGCAAAAATCTCTTACCTTTGTAGAATTTCTGCAAATGCGTTTAAAAATCTTGGAGCCTCGATATTGGAGATGGGGTGTTACAGGAAAAGTTCAGAGTTCTGTGGCCTCGGTTCTTAGGACAGGGCCAGGTTTTCCTGTGCACTTTATAAGAAGATATTATTGGGTGTTTTTACTTCCCTTCTGGACCAGCTACATAATTTGTGGGACCCAGTGAAAAATGAAAATTGTGGTGGGAGGTGGGGTTGTTCAAAAAGTATTAAGATCAGGTGGTTAGATCTTGAGTTTAAAAAAACACAAAACTGACCAAGAATTTTAAGACATTAACAGTGAAGCATCGCCCAAGCTGGGAGTGTATTGGTCCTTTTTCCATCTTAGGAGTCTCTGGGGAAGATGAGACCAAAACAAAACAACAACAAAAAAACCAAGGAGCGCTTGGGAAGTGTGCCTGCCGGAGGCCTGTTAGGAGGGCATTTTCTTTTCTGTCAGATCAATTGTAGGGAGAGTTCCTGCCCTTTTTTGAGATTGGTAATAATTGCTATCAATGTGCTATTTTTTCTTTCTGCTGTTACTTTCTTAGGAAGACAAGAACCCTTCTGTTAGGTTACTTCTCCGTATCTTGTTCTTCCCCTTTTTTGCAACAATGTTCGTAGAAGACTCAGAATAGTGGTTGCTGTGAAGTTAGAAATCATGTGTTTTGGGCCCTTTCCACACCCTTACCGATTTTTTCATTCTGGGAGTCAGTTCTGACCACTGAATGCCCAGTGATTCCTCACTTCTAACTTTGGTCTCTCTTTTCTCTCCCTCTTTCTCCCTACCAACTTGAGAGCTCCTTGGAGAGGGACATTTTAGTCAAATACTGACAGCCAAGCCTAGGGCCTGGCTGGTGGAAAACTCCCAGTAAATATGGGAATGTAAATAACAGTATCTGCTTTTTTATCTCTTTTCTTCTTGCTGCTTTTTCTCCTTTTCATTCTGGTTTTATTTGTATTTTCTCTCATTACATGCACACACACACACACACACACACACACACACACACACACGAACACACACACCATGAAGCATGAAGGCCCAAACTATGTATCTATAGATATTTAATTTTTTTTTTTTTTTTTTTGAGACAGAGTCTTGCACTGTCACCCGGGCTGTGGCACGGTCTTGGCTCACTGCAGCCTCCGCCTTTGCAGGTTCAAGCGATTCTCCTGCCTCAGCCTCCTAAGTAGCTGGGATTACAGGCGCCTGCCACCACGCCCGGCTAATTTTATATATTTTTAGTGGAGACAGGGTTTCACTATGTTGGCCAGGCTGGTATCGAACGCCTGACCTCATGATCCACCTGCCTCGGCCTCCCAAAGTGCTGGGATTACAGGCATGAGCCACCACGCCTGGCCTAATTTAACTTTTTTAAAAAATAGAGACAGGGTTTTGCCATGCGGCCCGGGCTGGTCTCAAACTCCTGGGCTCAAGCAATCCACCCGCCTCGGCCTCCCAAAGTGCTAGGATTGGGAGCCACTGTGCCCAGCCAAACTACGTGTTTTTGATCACCAAAAGAAAAGACAACATGGGGCAAGAAGTCCAAATTGACAGCACTCTGCAGTAGCTCAACAGAAGGGGAGAGTCTGGGAATCTGTGTTTGTTCAAGCTGCAGATCCGAGGCTCATCCCCTCAAAACACTGCAATGCTAATGAATGACCGTGGCTAAAAATCCCAAGTGACCTCATGATGGTGTGGCTCCTTGCTTCCTCCCTTAGAGGTGGAGCAAGAGCCCTGTTGGCTGATGGACAGTTGGGTACAGTAGGTGTGTTTGCATGAAGGATTGGCCTGCTGGGGTTACTCAGAAACTGCTCTGCAAACACAGAGGATTAAAGGGGTTTTTGTTGAGGCAGAACAGATGGACAGAGAGAGGCAGAGTTCAAATGAATGGATCATAAATCAGCACTCACTTGCAGAAGGGAAAAATCTGGGTCTGGTCACTTAAAAATTTGAGCTAATTTTAATTATTATTTTTTTCTTCTTAGGAAAGCAACCTTACGCTTAATGGAAAAACAATTCATGTGAAAAATTTGGAAAATATATGTGCCAGAGAAAGCCCTGCTGATCCTTTTAGTGAAATCTCCCTGATTTTGTCCTCTGTCCTGCTAATGTACACACATATACATAGGCAATTATTATTTAATAAGAATGAAAACACATGCTCTTCTATGAGTTAGATTTTAAGAGGGAACCTGTAACTAGAGCTTGAAGATCTGAACCCGGGTGTGATCATTTGGGCCAGGTCAGCAGCATAAATTTTAGTAATAAAACCAAAGACAATGTGTAAATTTATGTTTGGGAAAGTTGGGGCAAGCTCAGGTGAAGGAAAAGTTCATTGGCGCTGAGGGCCACGTTGAATTTACGGTCTTCCTTCAAGTAATACCTTCCTGAGCTCCCAGAAAAACGACAGGTCTGTGTTCATTTTTCCTTTTGCCCCCTAGTGGAGCAAGAAGAGTGGTTCAGGCCATGAAATCGTTCTGCCAATTAGACCGTCTCTTTACCCATTTCTCTCTTTCTTTCGCTCCCTCTCTGTTTTCTATTTTTTGAGACGGAGTTTCGCTCTTGTTGCCCAGGTTGGAGTGCAGTGGTGCGAACTGGGCTCACTGCAACCTCCGCCTCCCGGGTTCAAGCGATTCTCCTGCTTCAGCCTCCCGAGTAGCTGGGATTACAGGCGTGTGCCACCACATCTGGCTAATTTGGTATTTTTAGTAGAGATGGAGTTTCTCCATGTTGGTCAGGCTGGTCTCAAACTCCTGACCTCAGGTGATCCGCCCGCCTCGGCCTCCCAAAGTGTTGGGATTGCAGGTGTGAGCCACCATGCCCGGCGCTCTCTCTTTCTCTGTCTCTCTTTTTTGAGGCAGGGTCTTGTTCTTTTGCCCAGGCTGCCGTGCAGTGGCACAATCTCAGCTCACAGCAGCCTTGGTCGCCTGGGCTCAAGCATTCCTCCCACCTCAGTCTCCGGAGTAGCTGGGACTGTAGGTGCACATCACCACACCTGGCTGATTTTTTGTGTTTGTTGTAGAGACAGGGTCTTGCTATGTTGCCTAGGCTGGTCTTGAACTAATAGGCTCAAGTGGTCCACCTGTCTCAGCCTCCCAAAGTGCTGAGATTACAGGTTTGGGTCACTGTGTCCGGCCTCTTTACCCATTTCTAATCATCTAATTGGATGTTCTCCAGTCTCTCTGTAAATGTATTGACCAAAGCCCAAGACATAATGAAAGGAGGCCAGTGGATCTCTCTCTAGCAGGCCAGGGCTCCGGTCACTGAATTGAGTTTAGCATCACATTTTATGAAAATGAGGTGCCATTAGATGCTAGATGCTCACTTAGTAGGGTGAAATACTCACACTAGGAGAGTCCAGAAGTCTTACCAGCGATCGAGGGTTAGTTCAGCTCGCCATTGTTAGTTGAGTGCTTTCTAGAAGTCAGTAGTGTTGGCCGGGCGCAGTGGCTCATGCCTGTAATCCCAGCACTTTGGGAGGCCGAGGCGGGTGGATCACGAGGTCAGGAGTTCGAGAAAAGCCTGGCCAATATGGTGAAACCCCGTCTCTACTAAAACTACAAAAATTAGCCAGTCTTGGTGGTGGGTGCCTGTAGTCCCAGCTACTCGGGAGGCTGAGGCAGAAGAATCGCTTGAATCCAGGAGGTGGAGGTTGCAGTGAGCCGAGATCATGCCACTGCACTCCAGCCTGGGTGACAGAGCGAGACTCCGTCTAAAAAAGAAAAAAAAAGAAGTCAGAAGTCAGTAGTGTTTATATCAGACCTTTTGATGCCAGTTCTACTTATTGTTTAATGACAAGATTTAACGACACACAAAAATTAGTTAAAAACAAATCTTATGGAACCGATTAAAGAGAGTTGTTTCAATAGGAAAACATTGGAATGCTCTGAAAAATCTCAATGGTAGTGAAATACTTAAAAAATAAATGATATTAAATTATGTTAAAATGTAAAATATGTGAGACACTAAAAGTCTAGAGTTGTGCACTTATATTATTTCGTGTCTTTAAGTCTTTAAGTTCTTTTTTTTTTTTTTTTTTTTTGAGATTGAGTTTTGCTTGTGTCGCCCAGGCTGGAGTGCAAGGGTGAGATCTTGGCTCACTGCAACCTCCACCTCCCGGGTTCAAGCGATTCTCCTGCCTCAGTAGCTGAGATTACACGTGCCTGCCACTATGCCTTGCTAATTTTTGTATTTTTAGTAGAGACAGGATTTCACCATGTTTGCCAGGCTGGTCTTGAACTCCTGACCTCAGGTGATCTACCTGCCTCGGCCTCCCAAAGTACTGGGATTACAGACGTGAGCCACTGTGGTGCCCGGCCTATAATTACTTTTTATCTCTCTCTTAGCTGAACATTTGTAAGTTACATGGGCTTGTTACAAGATAGCAGCATCATAAAGATTTTGTGGTGTTGCTCCTGTATGTGAATTTCACCTATCACCAGAATAAATTCTCTCTTCCTCTCTGGGCTCCCTCACAGGGTGTGGGGCCACCTGGCCCCAACTGGCCCCTTCCACTTTCATCTCTCGCTGTTCCCTGCTTTCCTGATGCTTTACGTCTTGCTGAAGGAGTTCTAGCCTTTGGCCGTGTGCATGCTGTTAGCTATTCACCTGTCCCACTTTCTCACATCTCAGGGTGCCTTTCGTCTGTTATTGGTAAACACAGTGTCCTTCGTCTGTCTAATTCTGGCCTCAACTCTCCCACAGAGTTTGTTGACAGCCACCCCTCTGATTCTCCAACCCCTTTCATCCATTATTTGTTTATTGCCTCCTCCCCTCCACTGGAATTGAGTTTCACGTATCCCCAGCCCTTAGAACGCCTGGCATACAGCAGGCGTTCAGTAAATGCTGTCTGGCTGTTGAGACAGGGTCTCACTGTTGCCCAGGCCGGAGTGACATGATCACGGCTCACTGCAGCCTCTATCTCCTGGGCACAAGCGATCCTCCCACACCTCAGCCTCTCGAATAGCCGGGACTATAGGCATGTGCCACCACATCCAGCTAATTTTTATGTTTTTGGTAGAGACAGGGTTTTGACATGTGGCCAGGCTGGTTTGGAACTCCTGGGCTCAAGCCATCTGCCTGCTTCGGCCTTCCAAAGTCCTGGGACTACAGATGTGAGCCACTGTGCCTGGCCCAGTCATGTTTTTTGGGTTGAATGGAACTCACTGCTTTTATTCTGTACTGTGGAGTCAGATGCAGGTGTGAATCCCAGCACTGACCTGTTCTAACTCTGAGACTTTGGGGGAAGGTGGGACATCCTGAGTCTCCTTTCCTCGTCTGAAAGCTGGAGATGGAACTACCTTCTTCTGAGGGCTATTGTGAAGATTAAATGAAACCTTCAAAATCTGTACAGTGCTGAGCACAGAATTAGCATTTAATGTTAGCTTTTACTGTTTATCTAAACATCCAGCAAAAATTATATAGTCTGATCATAATCCTATAAATCAAAGCATGTAGCAATTATAAATTAAAAAGTAAATCAGTCATTTGGAATTAGTTAGCTTCTTTCTTTTTGGTGGTGTTGAAAATTAAGACTTTTTTCCCCCGGTACTTTGCATCTAAGTCACTGTTAAGTGGTGTTGAAAATTAAGACTTTTTTCCCCCCACTACTTTCCATCTAAGTCACTCTGAAGGCAAATAAATGATCTTTCATGAAGGGCTGAAGTTATTCCAGTGCCCTGTGAAGTGGGCATTTATTTCTGCAACGGCCTCTGTAGCGGTTGAACCCTTTCCTGGAGAGGCAGGAAATAATGGTGCTGGAGTCACTGGCAGCTGTGTGTGGGAGCGTGTACTTCTGGGTGTATTGTGTGTTTGCAGGCTGGGCACTCTGTAAAGACGTGTTGAATTGAAATGAATTAAGATGGTGATGTATCTTGAACCTGCTGCTTTGCAGGCACAGTGAAGGTGAAGAGTTCTAACATCCAAGTTGGAGACCTTATCATCGTTGAAAAGGTGAGCAGAATCTGGAAGCTTGTGTGTGGATACCACTTCATGGGTCCTAATGTGTCATTTGTGTATCTGGTAGACGAAGTGAATGTTGAATTTTGGGATTCTATCCAAAAACTTTGCCTGGGGAGAAAAATCTCTTTCCTGTGAGACAGACAGACAGACACACACACACACAGACACACACACACACAAATATTTTTTCAAGGTTTATATGCGTTGGTTAGCCAGAAATCCTGCTTACAAACACAAGTACAAGTTTTGATTTCCTGTTCGATGTGCTTATTATTTTGGGATAAAAAATATCATAAAGTTTTTCCTAGAAGTCTGCTTACTACATAGACACTTAAAATATTTATCTAATTTACCCTTTGAGCCATTTTAGCTTGCATTTCCTGACCTAACCATTGTGCTTGTCTATTATTTTATGGGGAGCAGGGGTTAAGTGTAACCTGAGAACAGTAAAAAGACCAAAAATACATTTTAAAAAATAGCCGTGTCAGTATGTTTGCTACTTTAGCAAACACTCATGTCTTTTTCTAGTGTGTATATTTGGAAGGTATTGGATTTTGAGGGGTGGCTCTGGAGAGGCTTGGAATAATATTTGATTAGAAAAGGGTTGTGTCTTAACTTGTTTCTGTAGAAATTGAGCTATGCTCTTTTAAAGGGATTAAATCCAAGAACTCAAAGCTGCTTTAAGGTAAAGTGAAACTCTTTTGGGTGGCAGCTCAGAAGAACCACACAACCCCCATCTATGTTATCACATACTTTTCTGTTCATAATTAAATGGGGGCTACTGGCTCCCCACACCCCCCAGTTTTTTTTAGAATGGCTTTTGTTGCTTCTTACTACTTTCCTTCCTTATTAAAATCCACTAAAAGCCAAACATCAAGCTGGTAAGTTGGTAGAAGCAGAAAGCGAGAGAGGAGGGTCTGTCTTGAGTCTCAGCAGACAGCCTGGAAGAGAGCCAGCTGGGGAGGCAGGCTTTTGGGATTTTGGGAGGTAATGGTTGAATGTGCCAGAAAACTAGAAGCTCTCTTTCCAAGATAAGATTTTGATAGGGGATTAGTAAAGTAGCAGCAGTGTGCAAGATTTTTCAGATTCAAAACAAAATAAATCCCCAAATCTGTCTTTGACAAAGGCAGAAACGTAAAAGAGTCTGTGAGTTTCAGTCCCCCCTGCCCCAACCCACCGAGGGGTTGGGGGTGGGGGCGGAAGCCCCCCTCCCCACCGCACAGCACACGGTCATTCATTCACAGTAACAGTCTTTCTTTTCATAACACAGAACCAGCGGGTCCCTGCCGACATGATCTTCCTGAGGACATCAGAAAAAAACGGTAAACATCTGAGATCAATTTGGAAAATAACCATTAACCTTTCAGTGGTAATTTGGCAAAATAATCATTTGAAAATGTCACAAAGTAGATTATCATTTTGGAGCCATGGAGGCAAATCAAAAGCATCTTTTTAAATAGACCGTGCTTTTTAAACAGTGTTGTTGGTGTTTTAAAAGTCAATAGATTGTGATCATTAAAAAATACAGTTTGTGGAACACCGGCTGACTCACAGCTGGTAAAGTCACGCATACAGTGGCTTTGGATTTCCTCTCCCGGCTGTGTTAAGCTCAACCTCAGGAGTTGGGACGAGGAAGTGTCTCTACCATGTAGAAGTAAACAGAAATCCTTTCTCTTCTAAGCTGATACCAGCAGATGTGTCATGATGGGGGCAGTACAGAAACTGGGGAGAGGTGGGCGTCTTTTCTGCCCTTTGTTCATGAGTCAGGGGACCTTGCCTATAGCACCTATTGATTTATTTATTGTAGCCTGAGTTTGTGGGGTGGGAATCTCTGAAGTCTCCTACAAGGCCCTTAACTCCTTGCAGTTGTTCCCTAGGGTGGCAGCTGTCATTGCCTGCCCACCCTATGAGTCTACTAAAATTGCCTTAGTTTTTTTTTTTTTTTTTTCCTTGAGACCGGGTCTTGCTCTGTCGCCCAGGCTGGAGTGTAGTGGTACGATCTCGGCTTACCTCAACCTCTGCCTCCTGGGTTCAAGCCATTCTCCTGCCTCAGCCTCCCGTGCACCACCATGCCCGGCTAATTTTTGTATTTTTAGTAGAGACGGGGTTTCACCGTGTTGGCCAGGCTGGTCTCGAACTCCTGACCTCAAGTGATCCATTGGCCTCCCAAAATGCTGGAATTACAGGTGTGAGCCACCACGCCTGGCCAAAATGGCCTTAGTTTTAATTTTTGTTATTTAAGCTGTTCTGAGGAAATAAGGCTGTTTTTCCCTTATCTGGCATGATCGGAGGTTTTTTGAATACATGAAAAATTTACATTCGTATTCCTTTGAGGATGCTGCAACGTATTTCATTATGAATAGAATTAAAGTACAAGTAAAATTTTATACTAATATGTAATCAGGACAGGAGATAAAAGGCACTAGATTAAAACAGCCTTTGAAAAACTGCAGCTTTGTCTTTAAATTCGTTCTTGTGTCCTATTTAGTGAAAACAGAGCATTATGGAGTAGGGCCCCTGACATGCTCTTTTTTTCTTGAAAAAACAAACAAACAAACCAAAATTATGAGTGTTCTACATTAATAGTTCTCAAAGACTGAACTGCAGTGGCAGTGAATGGGGTATGTTCTGTATCTGATGGAGTATACAGCTGACTACTTGCACGGATCTGTATGTCAGACTGAAAGATACACCTCTGAAATGTGCCAGCCCATAATGACCTAGTGCTTGCCTGGATCGATCAGTCCTGTTCTGAACTCTGCGCACGAATCAGCTCTTTAATTGTCACAACATCTCTACAGGGTCAGTGCTGTTCCTATCTCCACTTTTACACACGAGGAAACTGAGGCTCAGAGAGGATAGGCAACTCTCAGGGCACAAAGCTATTACGTGGCAGAGCCTGGACCTGCACTCAGGTGGTTTGGGTCCTGAGAAGGTGCTGGCGATGCCTGGCCAGACGGCTCGGAATGCTGGTCAACCTGTGCTCGTCCCCGTTCTATCTCCCCATTGAATCTTTACAGCAAGCTTGCGAAGTCTGCGTTTCTCCACGTTTTACAGACACTAAAGCTTGACAAGTCCAAGAAACTAGCTGGGGATCCCACTCAGAGGGAGTGGCGGAGTGAGGATTTGAACTCTGAGCTTTTTGACCCCAGAGCTTATTATGGAAGAAGTAGGAGATAGGATATGTATTTTCTCTTGTGGTCGCTGGCCATTGGTTGGCTGTTTTTACAAGGACCAGAGCAGACGCTGCCCAGAGCTGCCAAGGGAAGGGTGCTTGAGGTGCAGGTGACGGCACCCGACTTCCTTCCACAGGGTCATGCTTCTTGCGGACGGATCAGCTGGATGGGGAGACGGACTGGAAGCTGCGGCTTCCCGTGGCCTGCACGCAGAGGCTCCCCACGGCCGCCGTGAGTAGCTTTCCCTGCAGAAGCCCATGCGGGCAACCTATCTTAGCAGGGTTCTCAAACTCATACCTGGGGGGCCAGGCATGGGATGGCAACTTGTGAAGTGGGGCCAGTAGGGGAGCGTGGGGTCCTGGAGAGCCCCTGGGCCTAGTTGGCTTTCCTGACGTGACCAAAGCAGACCCCGAGTGCAGGGAGTGAGCTCTCCTGCGGGAAGCTAAAAACCATAAGGAGCCTTGCCAAGGGGCCTCACCAAAATTGAAAAGGTAAGCCAGAGCATGCCATTCCTCTGCTCAAAACCTACGAAGGTAGGCCAGGCTCAGCGGCATGCACCTGTAGTCCCCGCTCCTCAAGAGGCTGAGTCGGGAGGATTGCTTAAGCCTGCGGGTTCGAGGCTGCAGTGAGCCATGATTGTGCCTGGGAATAGCAACTGCACTCCAGCCTGGGCAGCATAGTGACACCTGTATCTAATAAAAGTAATAACCATAAAATAAAAAAAAAACAACCCTCCAAAGATTTCTCATCTTACTGAGAATCAGTTCTGCGGTGCTTGCTGTCGTCTTCAGCTCCTTCCCATTTGTCTCTCTGCAGAGGCTCCGACCTCAGTGCCTGGCCCTCTCTCCTCTGCCTACCAGCCTGTCGGGTCTGTCATTCTGTCCCTGGATGTTTACTGTTGCCATTTCCTCCACTGGGAGCCCTCTGATCCCTGGCGAGTCTGCCTGGCAGGGCATCTCCGCACTCCACTGAGCTTTTGCTCACGATTCTCCTTATCGGAGAGGCTCTTTCTGCCCACCTCTCCCTGCATCCCTGCTTCACTCACTTCCAGGCAGCATCCCTGCGGGTGGGTTCTTCCTGTTGTATTCTCTGCCGTATCCCCAGTGTGTATGATGGGGCGCAGGCCCTGGCTGAGAGGATGGCCGCAGTAGTT
Organism: Homo sapiens; assembly: GCF_000001405.40. Classification (NCBI taxonomy): domain Eukaryota; kingdom Metazoa; phylum Chordata; class Mammalia; order Primates; family Hominidae; genus Homo; species Homo sapiens. Next base: position 51,693,085 of record NC_000020.11, on the reverse strand, counting down.
GGCCATGTGTAACTTAAGTGCCTGGTGAGTGGCATGCCCCACTGTGGTCTGGAAGGATGAAGTGGAACACAGAAGCTTCCCCTGTGCTCACGTCACATGGATCGAAGCCACTCCTTACTGTGTCCCCTGAGGGAGGAGGAAAGTTCCATGTCTTGGCGGGATTGACGTAACAAGAAATGTAGCCACCCTATGAATGATTTTTCATGGATAATAAAAAGTGAAATAACACCATTATTACTGTTAATTTTAAACCAGGAATTTTATTTTATTATTTATTTATTTATGAGACGGAATCTTGCTCTGTCACCCAGGCTGGACTGCAGTGGCATGATCTTGGCTCACTGCAACCTCCACCTCCTGGGTTCAAGCAATTTTCCTGCCTCAGCCTCCTGAGTAGCTGGGATTACAGGCACCCGCCACCACGCCCGGCTAATATTTGTATTTTTAGTAGAGACACGGTTTCACCGTGTTGGCCAGGCTGGTCTCAAACTCCTGGCCTCAATTGATCCACCCACCTCAGCTTCCCAAAGTGCTGGGGTTACAGGCACGAGCCACCACCTCCCAGGGGCTCTCCAGGACCCCACGCTCCCCCTCCAGCCCCACTTCACGTGATGGTGGCTGCTACAAGTCCCCAGGGGCTCCTAGACAGTAGTTAGAAACTCACTGTTCTAACAGTGACTGCTGCTCCCCCTGACTGTGCCTGTCTTACGCCACTTCACATATGCTGCTTTGAAATGTAGTTTTTGCCAAGATCTTTCACTTTTGGGCTTTCTTATCACCTAAGGTTGACTTCTTGTTTGCTTTTTAAAAAATTGTGCTAAAATACACATAACATAAAATCTATCGTCCTAACCGTTTTTAAGTGTACAGTTCAGTGGCATGAAGTACATTGACGTTGTCATGCAGGCATCAGCCGTGTTCATCTTCGGAACTTTTTTCATCTTTCAAAACTGGAACTCTGGACTCATTAAGCAGTAACTACATTCCCCCCTTGGCCCAGCCCCTGGCAAGCATCTTTCTGTTTTCTGTCTCTATGAATTAAACTACCCTAAGTTCCTCCTATAAGTGGAATCACCTAGTTTTTGTCTTTTTGTGACTGGTTTATTTAACTTAGCATAATGTCTTCAAGGTTCATCCGTATTGTAGCCTGTGTCAGAACTTCTTCCTTTTTAAGGCTGAGTAATATTCCATTGTATGGACAGACCACACTTTGTTTATCCATTCATCCACTGATGCTTGTTTGAGTTGCTTCCACTTCCTGGCTATTGTGAATAATGCTGCTACGTACATGGGTGGACAGATGATCACTTCAAGTCCCTGCTTTCATTTCTTTTGGGTATATAGCCGGAGGTGGAATTGCTGGATTATATGGTAGTTTTCTGATTAATTTTTTGAGGAAGTGCTGTTTCCATAGCTGCTGCACCATCTTGCGTTCCCAGCAACAGTGCACAGGGCCTCCACATTCTCCACATCTTCACACTTGTTTTTGTTTTTGTTTTGATAGCAGCCATCCTTACGGGTGGGAGGCGTTCTTACTTTTTTCAGCTCTTCCCAGAGGTTTATACAGAGTAGATGCCCAGTAACCATTTGTTGAATGAGTATTTTCTTTTCTTTTTTGAGACGGAGTCTCGCTCTGTCGCCCAGGCTGGAATGCAGTGGCGCGATCTCAGCTTACTGCAACCTTCACCTCCTGGGTTCAAGCGATTCTCCTGCCTCAGCCTCCTGAGTAGCCGCAATTACAGGCACGCGCCACCATGCCTGGCTAATTTTTTTGTATTTTTAGTAGAGACAGGGCTTCAACATGTTGGCCATGCTGGTCTCAAACTCCTGGCCTCAAGTGATCCGCCCACTTCAGCCTCCCAAAGTGCTGGGATTACAGGCATGAGCCACTGCACCTGGCCTGAATGAGTATTTTCAATGGTACAAACAAGTCTTGCAAGCCAGAATTTAGCAGAGGAGGGTCTGCCACTTTCCAGGGTATTCATAGGTGTGTAGCATCACCCCATCAAGTCTGGAAAGGGCTGAGTAAACAGAGAAACGAGGGTCTTCACTGTAGAGTCTGTCAGGGTGCTTTGAGATACTGTATGCTGCGACTCCTCAACTTACTTAACAGAGGACTTTCCTCTTCTTTCCACCTCCCCTGTAATTTTGAGGGGCCATTTGCTGTGTGTGGGAAATATAGTTGCTTTGGAAACATAGTGGATGCCTCCTGAAGTCTTGCATTGTGAACTGACTTTGACTCCCGAATGTGCCTTCTGTTGAACAGGACCTTCTTCAGATTCGATCGTATGTGTACGCAGAAGAGCCAAATATTGACATTCACAACTTCGTGGGAACTTTTACCCGAGTAAGTGAGCTTCCTTCACATGGGATCCTGTCACCGGGAGTGTGTAAGGGATGAAATGAAGGCCAAGAAGTACTGACAGTTCTTTGTCAGGAAGTTGTTTCATGCCAGGTGGGGACATAAAGAAGGCACCGCCTTGAAAGCCAGCGTATTGTTTCTCAGTAAGGTCGACACAACTGGAATTTTCTTCTGGCCTTGGAACAGCTTAAATGACCTGACAACTTAGAGGAAGCATTTGCTGCAATTCATGTGAACGCTGGCGTCTGAAAGAGTTTTTCTTTCTCTGTCCTTCAGATGGATCTGTGTCCTCTTGTTTTTTTTTGAGATGGAGTCTTGCTCTGTTGCCCAGGCTGGAGTCCAGTGGCACCATCTCGGCTCACTGCAGGCTCCGTCTCCCGGGTTCACGCCATTCTCCTGCCTCAGCCTCCCAAGTAGCTGGGATTACAGGCGCCCGCCACTGCGCCCAGCTAATTTTTTGTATTTTTAGTAGAGACGGGTTTTCACGGTGTTAGCCAGGATGGTCTTGATCCCCTGACCTTGTGATCCGCCCGCCTTGGCCTCCCAAAGTGCTGGGATTACAGGCATGAGCCACTGAGCCTGGCCTTTTTTTTTTTTTTTTTTTTTTTTTTTTTGAGACGGTCTCCTTCTGTCGCCTAGGCTGGAGTGCAGTGGCGCGATCTCGGCTCATTGGAACCTCTGCCTCCCGGGTTCAAGTGATTCTCCTGTCTTAGCTTCCTGAGTAGCTGGGATTCCAGGTGTGCATCACCACGCCTGGCTAATTTTTTGTATTTTTAGTAGAGACGGGGTTTCACCATGTTGGCCAGGCTAGTCTTGAACTCCTGACCTCAGGTGATCCACCCACCTTGATCTCCCAAAGTGCTGGGATTACAGGTGTGAGCCACCACACCTGACTTTGTCCTCTTTTATTCATACAAATCCTATCTGCCATTTTCATAATTTTTAAGCCACTTCCAGACCTTTCAGAAGAGAAATTTAATTTGGATTTAATTTGTTTTAGGAGGCCTGGCGTGGTGGCTCACACCTGTAATCCCAGCATTTTGGGAGGCTGAGGTGAGCGGATCTCCTGAGGTCAGGAGAATTGCTTGAACCTGGGAGGTGGAGGTTGCAGTGGGCCGAGATCGCGCCACTGCACTCCAGCCTGGGTGGCAGAGCGAGACTCCATCTCAAAAAAAAAAAAATTATTTTAGGAATATGGGTCAACAGGTTTCTAGAACCCATATTACATTGTCCACATTCTCTTTCTATAAGCCACAAACAAAGCTGGCCTGCAAACAGCCTGATTGGTTTGCTTTTACGTTTTGATTCTTAACCTCATAAAACATTTTTCAGTGCTAAGAGGCCTGCGCTTCTTAAATCACAGGCCAACTTTTTCACATATTTCTGTGGGAGATGAAAACCCCAAGGGCAGTAGTGGAAGAGCTTGGCCCTCCCCTCATGGTGGAGCCGTCGGCTTCCAAACTGGGCTTCCAGGTTCATCGGGGGGAGCCTGTCTTTCTATCTCCAGCGGACCATGCTAGAAGCAGCCTGTGGATTCTGGGGAAGCTTTGGGGGGTGAACGTGTGTCCGTTTGGTCTTTTCCAGGAAGACAGCGACCCCCCGATCAGCGAGAGCCTGAGCATAGAGAACACGCTGTGGGCTGGCACTGTGGTCGCATCAGGTGAGGCGCCGTTTTGAGGAATGTGGTAGCAATTTGAAAAGGAAAGAAAATCCTTTTGTAATTAGAATAATCATCTGTCAGTTGGAAAAATGAGTGCTCGGTCAAATGGCATTTTCCACTTGTTCCGACACCTCCAGGGAATTAAACTGACATCTAATTGCAGCTCGGACACTTAGAGATGCCTGGAGGAGAAGCCCGCGTGGCCTGTGGACCTTTCTGCAGCGTCCATGCTGGCAGTAGCTCTAATTGCCTGTTCAGATTGACATTCTAATCTGTACCAGAGGGGGAGGCAGCCTGGATGTTCTGGCTGGAGGCTGTGTTTGTAGGGTATGTCGCGCTGGGACTGCCAGCACTGGGGCCCTAGGAAAGGGCATGGGCTTGAGCTGGAGCTTCTGTGTTTAAACACCAAGAGGAAGTGGATATTGGTGCCTTTCTTTTTCTTTTTCTCTTTTTTTTTCTTTTCTCTTTTTTTGAGACAAGGTCTTACACTGTCACCTAGGCTGGAGTACAGTGGCACAATCTTGGCTCACTGTAACCTCCGCCCCCCGGGTTCAAGCGATTCTTGTGTCTCAGTCTCCCAAGTAGCTGGGATTATAGGCCCGCACCACCACGCTGGCTAATTTTTGTATTTTTAGTAGAGATGGGGTTTCACCATGTTGGCCAGGCTGGTCTCAAACTTCTGACCTCAAGTGATCCACCCACCTCAGCCTCCCTAAGTGCTGGGATTACAGATGTGAGCCACTGCACCTGGCCCATTGGTGTCTTTCAGTGCTGGGATGACACTGATCAGGACTGCATGGGCTGAATATGACCCCCGATAGCAGTGGTTAACATCAGCGGCATGCAGCCCATGTGTCAGGCCCTGTGCTGGGTGCTTATGTGTGTTACACACTGCACTTAACCCTCCTAACGGCACCATGAGGGTAGATACTATTATTCATATTATGCTCATTCTGCAGATGACGGAACGGAGGCTGAGTGAGGTTAAGTAACTTGCTCTGAGGTCACACAGCAGGTGAAAGGCAGAGTTGGAACTTGAACCTAGGCATTTTGCTCCAGAAACAGAACTTACTGTGTAGCCATCACTTTTCTTACATTTCGTGATATCATTAACTTAATAGTATAGTTAGTATTATAATTCTACTGCTGGTGACTTTCTGTCTTTACTATTAGATGAATCAATTTTTTCCTCTCTTCAAACATAGTATTCTCCACTCCCCACCATCAAGCCGTTTTACTCTGCTGGTTGCTTCTCTCTTTCATTCATTCATTCATTCATTCATTCATTTTTTTTTTTTTTGAGACAGGGTCTCATTCTGTTGCCCAGGCTGGAGTGCAGGGGTGCAATCATGGCTCACTGCAGCCTCGAACTCCTGGGCTCAAGCAGTCCTCCTGCCTCAGCCTCCCAAACAGCTGGGACTACAAGTGCATGCCACCAGGCCCAGCTAATTTTTAAATACTTTTTTAGAGATGGGGGTCTCACTCTTGCCCAGGCTGGTCTCAAACTCTCAGACTCAAGTGATCCTTCTGCTTCAGCCAAAACGCTGGGATCATAGGTGTAAACCACCTTGCCTTTTCCTTCTTTGTTGCTCTCTAGTACAGTAGTAGACACTCGATTAGGATCCTGTGTGGCAAGGAGAGGGAATGAAGCAGCACAAACTATCCCTGGAGTACCGTGTGTCACCATCCACACATGCACTACTTAATACAAATAGGCAGAGGTGCACTCTCCCTTGAGGTTTTTTCTGCTACATTTTATTTCCACTGCCTGCCTTTATTTTCATCATACTTTGGTACGTCTCTCAGTCCCCCTGATGACTAAAGAGCGAGAAATTCTGCACGGTCATGCCTGGGCCACGCCTGGGCACAGCCACCCAGGGGACGCAGCATGCAGACGTTCACATCCTGCCCCTCCTTGCCACTTTCCACCCATGTCACCTGAACCAATTTTTTCTTGCTTTCAAGTCATTTATTAACAAATAATAATTAATTACTCTTTTTATTCTTTGATAATTTGACTGAAAAATAATTATCTCATTCAGTTTGAATTTCCTAGATTACCTGGCAGGTGGTCATATTTGCATCTGTCTCTTTTGTTTCTTTGTAAGTTACTAGTTGGCTTAAAAAAAAAAAAAAAGAGTCCCTCTGTGGCCCAGGCTGGAGTGCAGTGGTACCATCTTGGCTCGCTGCAACCTCCGCCTCCCAGGTTCACGTGATTCTCCTGCCTCAGCCTCTCCAGTAGCTGGGATTACAGGCATGTGCAACCACCCCTGGCTAATTTTTGTATTTTTAGTAAAGATGGGATTTCACCATGTTGGCCAGGCTGGTCTCGAACTCCTGACCTCAGGTGATCCACCTGCCTCGGCCTCCCAAAGTGCTGGGGTTACAGGCATGAGCCACCGCACCCAGCCTACTGTTTTAATTTTGATTTAATTGCAAATATAGTTGAATGTCTTTCTACCTGTCAGCTAATTCTTAATATTCTGGTCTATCTACTTTCCTTTGTGGTTCTTCTTTTTCTCATTACTTTGTTAGAATGCTTTATAGAGGAAAGAATATCAAACTTTCACTTTTTGTGGGTTATACATATTTTTGCAGTTTTTTGTTTGTTTTTTGTTTTTGTTTGTGATGGGCTTTATTTTCTTTTACCATATAGAAATTTAAAATTTTTTATTGCCTACATTTTCTTTTTTTTTTTAATTATACTTTAAGTTCTAGGGTACATGTGCACAACGTGCAGGTTTGTTACATTTGTATACATGTGCCATGTTGGTGTGCTGCACCCATTAACTCGTCATGTACATTAGGTATATCTCCTAATGCTATCCCTCCCCACTCCCCCACGCCACGACAGGCCCCGGTGTGTGATGTTCCCCACCCTGTGTCCAAGTGTTCTTACTGTTCATTTCCCACCTATGAGTGAGAACATGCCATGTTTGGTTTTCCGTCCTTGCGATAGTTTGCTGAGAATGATGGTTTCCAGCTTCATCCATGTCCCTACAAAGGGCATGAACTCATCCTTTTTTATGGCTGCATAGAATTCTATGCATAGTATTCTATTCGTTTTCTTAATCCAGTCTATCATTGATGGACATTTGGGTTGGTTCCAAGTCTTTGCTATTGTGAATAGTGCCGCAATAAACATACGTGTGCATGTGTCTTTATAGCAGCATGATTTATAATCCTTTGGGTATATACCCAGTAATGGGATGGCTGGGTCAAATGGTATTTCTAGTTCTAGATCCTTGAGGAATCAACACACTGTCTTCCACAATGGTTTAACTAGTTTACAGTCCCACCAACAGTGTAAAAGTGTTCCTGTTTCTGCACATCCTCTCCGTCACCTGCTGTTTCCTGAGTTTTTAATGATCACCATTCTAACTGGTGTGAGATGGTATCTCATTGTGGTTTTGATTTGCATTTCTGTGATGGCCAGTGATGATGAGCATTTTTTCGTGTCTGTTTTTCTTTTCTTTTCTTTTTTCTTTTCTTTTTTTTCTGAGACTGAGTCTTGTTCTTGTTTCCCAGGCTGGAGTGCAGTGTTGTGATCTTGGCTCACTGCAACCTCCACCTTCCCAGGTTGAAGTGATTCTCCTGCCTCAGCCTCCCGAGTAGCTGGGATTATAGGGGCCCGCCAACACGCCCAGCTAACTTTTTTTGGATTTTTAGTAGAGTTGGGGTTTCATCATGTTGTCCAGGCTGGTCTCAAACTCCTGACCTCATGATCCACCCGCCTCAGTCTCTTAAAGTGCTGGGATTACAGGCGTGTGCCTATGTTTTCATAAAAACAGGATGGCTGTTGGAAGGCCATATACATTTTATGTTTCGATTCACCCAGGAAACTTGCCTCTTCTTCTTCATGCTCCTGATAAACTTAACTTACATGTGTATCTAGCCAGCAGTGTGTTTGGCTTTCTAATTTTTGCCCATGTGATAGACATTGAACAAATTTTAGCATATTGATTTGCCTTTAGAAAAATTATTTGTGCAGACATCTTCCTTTATGTTTACTATTTATTTGTATTTTTTTTTTTTTTTTTTTTTTTATTTTTGGAGATGGAGTCTCGCTCAGTGGTCCGGGCTAGAGGTCAGTGGCACAATCTTGGCTCACTGCAAGCTCCGCCTCCTGGGTTCATGCCATTCTCCTGCCTCAGCCTCCCTAGTAGCCGGGACTACAGGCGCCTGCCACTACGCCAGGCTAATTTTTTTGTGTTTTTAGTAGAGACGGGGTTTCACCTTGTTAGCCAGGATGGTCTCGATCTCCTGACCTCGTGACCCACCTGTCTCAGCCTACCAAAGTGCTGGGATTACAGGCGTGAGCCACCGCGCCCAGGCCTGTATTTTCTTTCCTTTTTTTTTTTTTTTTTTGAGACAGAGTCTCACTGTTTCACCCAGGCTGGAGTGCAGCGGTGCGATCTCGGCTCACTGCAAGCTCCGCCTCCCGGGTTCACGCCATTCTCCTGCCTCAGCCTCCCCAGTGGCTGGGACTACAGGTGCCTGGCACCGCGCCTGGCTAATTTTTTGTATTTTTAGTAGAGATGGAGTTTCACCGTGTTAGCCAGGATGGTCTCAATCGCCTGACCTCGTGATCCACCCGCCTCAGCCTCCCAAAGTGCTGGGATTACAGGCATGAGCCACCGCGCCTGGCCGTATTTTCTTAAATATATGTGTGAATGACCACTTTGTGTCCTGTGCCCATTATTTCTGCTTATAGGTTGGTTTTTAAAAAATAATTTGTAAGAATTGTTTATGTCATAAGAATATTAATATTTTATTTGTTGCCTTAATTGCAATGACTGTTTCACTTGGTCTCATTTGTTTTTTGGAACTAAAGTTTGCAGTTTTTATCTAGTCAGACCTGTTGATCTTTTTTCATTTCAAGACAGGGTCTTGATCTGTCACCCAGGTTGTTGTGCAGAGACATGATCAGGGCTCACTGCAGCCTCGACCTCCTGGGTTCAAATGATTCTCCCACCTCAGCCTTCTGAGTAGCTGCGACTATAGGCGCACCTCACCATGCCTGGCTAAGTTTTTGTATTTTTTGTAGAGACAGGGTTTTGCCATGTTGCCCAGGCTGGGATCTTTTGTTTCTTTGTGGTTTCTGTTTTTTGTGTCATGCTAAGAAAATTTTCCCTGCTCTAAAATTATAAAAATATCCACTGACTTTTTTTGGAGTGTTTATATAGTCTTACATTAAAATACTTGCTTTAAGGAATAGAGTTAGGAGAACTAACAGGCAAGGGAATATTACCTCAGGTCAGACTCCAGGCTCCAGACTCTTAGGCCCAGTCTGTGTTTCTGGCCCCGTGTGAACAAGCAGCCTTATGGGGAATGAAAGTGTAAAACGAGGCTGGGTGCAGTAGCTCACACCTGTAATCCTAGCACTTTGGGAGACCAAGGCAGGAGGATTGCTTGAGTCCAGGAGTTTGAGACCAGCCTAGGCAACATAGTGAAAACCCATCTCTACAAAAAATAAAAACATGGCCAGGTGAGGTGGCTCACGCCTATAATCCCAGCACTTTGGGAGGCTGAGGCGGGTGGATCACAATGTCAGGAGATCGAGACCATCCTGGCTAACACGGTGAACCCCGTCTCTACTAAAAATATAAAATAATAATAATAATAATAATAATCAGCTGGGCGTGGTGGTGGGCGCCTGTAATCCCAGCTGCTCAGGAGGCTGAGGCAGGAGAATCGTTTGAACCTGGGAGGTGGAGGTTGCAGTGAGCTGAGATAGCACCACTGCACTCCAGCCTGGGCGACAGAGCGAGACTCCGTCTCAAAAAAAATAAAAACAAACAAACAAACAAACGTCCAGGTGTTGTGTTGTGTGCCTTTGGTCCTAGCTATACAGGAAGCTGAGGTGGGAGGATTGCTTGAGCTTGGAGGTCAAGGCTGCAGTCAGCTGTGATCACCAGTGTACTCCAGTTTGGGTGACAGAGAAAGACGCTGTTTATTATTATTTTTTTTTTGAGACAAAGTTTTGCTCTTGTCCCCACGCTGGAGTGCAATGGTGCGATCTCTGCTCATTGCAACCTCCACCTCCTGGGTTCAAGCGATTCTCCTGCCTCAGCCTTCTGAGTAGCTGGGATTACAGGCATGCACCACCACACCCGGCTAATTTTTTGTATTTTTAGTAAAGATGAGGTTTTACCATGTTGGTCAGGCTGGTCTTGAATGCGGTGACTCAGGCCTGTAATCCCAGCACTTTGGGAGGCCAATGCGGCTGGATCACCTGAGGTCAGGAGTTTGAGATCAGCCTGGCCAACATGGTAAAACCCCGCCTCTACTAAAAATACAAAAAATTAGCCGGGTGTGGTGGTGCGTGCCTGTAATCTCAGTTACTCAGGAGGCTGAGGCAGGAGAATCACTTGAACCTGGGAGGCAGAAGTTGCAGTGAGCCAAGATTGCACCATTGCACCCCAAACCTGGGCCACAAGAGGGAAACTCTGTCTCAAAAAAAAAAAAAAAAAAAAAAAAAAAAAAGATACAGTGAAAAGCAACACACTTTAGAGCAGAGGATGTCTGGGTCAAATGCTTGTCTCTTTGGGTGGAATAAAGAGGCGTTAAAGGCAATGAGAACAAGATGGGGTTAAAGTTGTCATGTCCCGTTGCATCTGGCATAGGCAGGGCTGGAAGTTCATGACTACCTGTCATGTGCTCATCTCCTTACTAGACAGCCACGTGAATAGGACGTACTTCATTTTTTGTGGACGGTTCACCATTCTTCTTTTCTAAGCCTTCTGTGGAAGGATAGTACGTACACAGAAAATCCTAAACATAGTGCTTGGTGGATTTATATTTTTTTCTTTCCAACTTTATTTTAGGTTTGGGGGTACATGTGCAGATTTGCTACACGGGTAAATTGCATGCTGCGGGGGTTTAGTGTACAGATGATATTGTCACCCGGGCAGTAAGCATAGTACCCAATAGGTAGTGTTTTCTGATCCTCACCCTCCTTCCACCCTATGCTTGATGGATTTTAACACAGGTAACACATTTGTGTGACTAGCACCCAGATCAAGAAACAGGATATTATCACCGTCCACCCCCGAAGAAGCTCCCTCCACTCCCTTCTAGCTGCCCCACACCTGCCCAAGGGTAACCACCACCTTGGCTACTGAAAATGTTAGCATTTCAGTAATAAATGCATTTTCATATGCCTGTTTGTTTTTCATCTGGTGATTTTCTTCTCTCCTTCCGTCCTCCTTTTCATGCAGCAAGAGCGCACCTGTTCGGTGCTGAGGTCCGTTGCCGGTCCCAGCACTGTGGTAGTGCCTTAGGAGACAGATGCATGTGCCCACAACATGGGATTTATAGTTTATTAGAAGTTTCGGATGGAGGCTGGGCGCGGTGGCTCACGCCTGTAATCCCAGCACTTTGGGAGGCTGAGGCGAGTGGATCATTTGAGGTCAGGAGTTCGAGACCAGCTTGACCAACATGGTGAAACCCCATCTCTACTAAAAATACAAAAATGAGCTGGGTGTGGTAGCGTGCACCTGTAGTCCCAGTTACTTGGGAGGCTGAGGCAGGAGAATTGCTTGAACCTGGGAGGCGGAGGTTGTAATGAGCCGAAATTGCACCACTGCACTCCAGCCTGGGCGACAAAGTGAGACTCCTCAAAAAAAAAAAAAAAGAAATTTAGGATGGGCTATAGAGGAAATGGGAGAGAGTTTTATGTATTTCCTCCAAAATCAGTAAAAAGGAAAACAGTTGAGCTGAGCTGCAAATGCAGAGAAATCTGAGGTGGAAGGAGCAATGTTGGAAGGGCTTGTCAGTCTTAGTCTCAGAGATGAGCAATACTAATTAAGTCTTCACTTATCACTTACTTTTAATTGATGAAGTGTTTTGCTGCCATTCTCTTAACTTGGTCTCATAACATTACATGAGGACATTTAATGGGATGAGGCACTGAGTCTCAGGTTAAGCAACTTGTTCAAGGTTACATGCCTTGGAGAGGTCATCTCCTGGGAGGAGGAGAGTGGAAGGCATATTGGCATCTTGAAGAAGAAAGATATTTCAGACAGTTCATGGGAGATGCCTTGTGGAGTTAAAGATACATTTTCACTTGTCTGAATTCCTCTCTGTGTGCTCGGTTATTTTGGGGGGAGGGGTGCGGTAGGGGAGGGAGAGCACAGCAGTGATCTGATGGCATTGCCTGCCCTGCCTCTTAGTGGGTGTATGATTTGGAGTCAGTATGAGCAGCTGGGCATTGACTGCTTCCTTAATTGGCCTCAGTTTCCCCTGCATCTCACTGAGTAGACATCTAATTGCCCTCTGATTCTAATGTAAACCCAAGCCATTTCCTTCTAGTTCTCAACGCCAGGAACAGCCAGCAAGAGTCATCTTAATTATGTGAGATTTCACTTCTGTGTTCCCTATAGGCTGTAACTCTTGCCTCTCGGTTAACAGGTCTGCTATTATCTGTTGGAAGTTGAAAAAAAATAAAAAAGCTTGCCAGGCAGTGCTGAGGTCCGTCTGTATCAGCTGGCATTAATCTGTAGAAGATGTGGTTGCCATGGTAGCCAATGCAGGGCTGCAAGGCTGAGGCAGCACAAGAGTGAAGGATAAGGGGAGGGATGGAGGAGGACCAGGAGCTTGGCAGAGAAGGTGGCCTGGATGTTACAGAGCCCAGGTTGAGGAACAGCCACCTCTTAGAAGGTGAGAAGAACTGGTGCTCTAGCCCAGTTCTTCTCAAACTTTTAGTGGAGAGGGACCAGTTTGTTGGGTTTTCCCCTAATGTGTAGAAGATCGATTTGTGGTCCTGCCTCTGTGCATGAGTAATATGCAGCCACACTATGTGCACCTTGCCACAAGTTTTTTTTTTTTTTTTTTTTTAAGACAGTCTCACTGTCGCTCAGGCTGGCGTGCAGTGGTGCGATCTTGGCTCACTGCAACCTCCACCTCCTGGGTTCAAGCTATTCTTCTGCGTCGGCCTCCCCAGTAGCTGGGATTACAGGTGCCCATCACCACGCCTGTATAATTTTTATATTTTTAGTGGAGACGGGATTTCACCATGTTGGCCAGGCTGGTCTCGAACTTCTGACCTCAAGTGATCCACCCGCCTCAGCCTCCCAAAGTGCTGGGAATACAGGCGTGAGCCACCGTGCTCAGCCCACAACAGTTTGATAGTGCCTCCATGGTCTATACCCCATTTGATGAGACGACTACTCTGATCACATGCTCGAATATTGCAGCAATACTTAATTGCTATAAAAATTTCCAAACGCTGATTCTCGGGTTCAGCATTTATTTTGTTGTGGATGAGGAACAAAGGGGTCACAGAATAGCCCTGACCCCAGGCAGCACCACACTGTTCCAGAGAGTCAGTTAGAACTCCGTGAAATGCCTGACCATGACCTCTTGGCCTTTTGGAGAAACCAGATGGACACTGGCTGGGAGAATGGAAAGGGCTGCGTGGCCTGCAGGCTGCAGAGGGTGGGAGTGAAGAGAACCTTGAGAGCAAGGAGGGGCTGCAGAGGTGACAGCAGGGGAAGGAGGGGATCAGAGGCCTGGGGGTGGATACTTTCGGGTCAACAGTTACAAATTGGGCAGAGGATTTAAAGGAGTGGATAGTGGTGGATGGGGACCATGGTGAGCTCAGAGCACGTGCCTGTCTAAGAGGTGGTTGTTCCTCAGCACTCCCTGGGTGTAGCATGAGGAACGTGGACTCAGTGTCATCAGATCTTCCACACTTCCAGGAAAAGCCAGAGATCTCTTTTTTTAGAATTTTGTTTTTCTTGACAGAGTGTCACTCCGTCACCCAGGCTGGAGTACAGTGGCGTGATCTCGGCTCACTGCAACCTCCGCCTCCCAGGTTCAAGCAGTTCTCCTGCCTCAGTCTCCCAAGTGGCTGGGATTACAGGCATGAGCCACCATGCCCGGCTGATTTTTATATTTTTAGTAGAGATGGGGTTTCGCCATGTTGGCCAGGCTGGTCTCAAACTCCTGACCTCAGGTGATCTGCCTGTCTCGGCCTCCCAAAGTGATGGGATTACAGGCATGAGCCACCGTGCCCGGCCTCATTTTTTTTTTTAGATAGGCAAGCTCCTGAATTTAAAAGTGGCCAGTTATTCAGAACCTTGAAGGCACCGTGCAGACCAAGCCAAGGCGCATCCGGTGTGTGCGTCCTCTCCGGTTGGTGGTCTCACTGAGGATGAGGCTGGGGTTTGGATCTTGTGGAGGCAGAGCCTGTGTCCTGAGCACAAGAAGGCATGGGATGGGAAAGGCCATTTTCAGCAGCATTTGATGGCATCGAGGTTAGCCAGGCCAGACGTAGAGGGCACTCCCTTTGGGGTCCCCCTTGTTACTGGGGCCCTCTCTGACCCTGGGCTCTGGGGATTGAGGCTGAGCTGCATCTGCATAGGAGTGGATGCAGCGGTCGTGTGGTCATTCCAAGCTCAGCCCGGGCTCGGTTCCCACTGTCCAGCCATCTGCTGTGGTGACAGGGGCCTGAAGGGAGGGCTGCCTGTGTTCACAGGAGCCTGCCATCTGCCGAGAAGCCACCGCAAGCTCTCCCTGGCCTGCCATCTGCCGGGAGCCTCCTTGGAAGGGAACTGCATTGTGCTGGAGAACATTGTTTGCCTGGCTGAGTGTGTTAGACCCTTGAAGGACTTCAGCGCCTCCTCCTAGGGCTCTTTGTCCAGGACGTGGTCCCTTCAGTGCATTTGGGGGCGGGCTCTTTACTGCAGATGTGCTTCAGCCTCTTCGGATTTTTGTATCTCCTGACAGTGGCATTCCTGAGAGTGAGGGGGAGAGAGCACAGAGAAAGAGGTGTTTTCTCTTTCTGGCAGAGACCAAATTGCTTGTATTCCTGGGATCTTCCCTGAGAGCTTGGCAGGGCTGGCTCCTTCGTGTTCCAAGTTTTGGCTCAGATGATGTGAATGGAGACAGTACAAACTGCCTGCCCCCCACTGCCCCCTTCCCCCCGCCCTGCCACCCAGTCCTGTATGTTTCTCCGCTTGACTTGACTTTCAGCCTAGCGCCACTCACTCCCTGTGATGCCGTGTTTCTTGGTTTCCTTCTTTACTGTCTATCTTTCCTGCTGTGTTGATTTTCTTGGCACACACTGAGAAGGGGAGAGAAGTAAAATTTTGACAGATACTGCCAAATTTCTCTCCAAAATAGATCACACCAGTGTGCACGTCAGCCAGCAGTGTGTACCACAGGATTTTTGCCAATCTAATTGGGATAAAAATGATTTTGCATTTTTTGATTATTTACTAGATTGAGCATTTTCCTCTTGTTCACTGGCCATGTTGATTTCTTGAGTAAATTGTTGACTTTCGAAGGATTCATGCCTTTTCTTACTGTGTCTGGAGGATAGAAGGGGTGGGGGAGTTCTTAGGAAAGAGTTGTCCTTGGGACAGACATCCCCAAATGGGCAAGTTAGACTGAAAGGGATCAGGTTTAGCAGGAAGAATGTGCTCTAAAAAGAAGCATCTGTTTCCAAGTTTCCATAATAGTTAATGAAGGTAGGAATGTTCTAGGCACCTCTGGAAGCCTGTATGACCAGAGGCACAAACGGCAAGCCACGCCTTTCCCCAGTCACCTTCCATTAGAAGCCGCTGGGCCCCGTAGACCAGCATTCACCAGTACAAGTTTTGTGGTAAAAGGAGAAGGCTCTGGGTCTTCTCTGTTCCATGAGGTAGCTACTAGCTTATATGGCCATGAAACAGGGCTAGGGAGGGTGGGCGCTGTATTTAATTTAACTGAATTTAAACTCAAAGGGTTTTCAGTGGTTAGTGACTGTTCTTTTGGTCAGTGTAGCCGCAGATCATTGGTTTGGCCCTAATGTAAAACCTTTGATGTTCTCATAGTGTGGCTGTTGGGTTGGGCGAGGTGGCTCATGCCTGTAATCCAAGCACTTTGGGAGGCCAAGGTGGGAGGATCACTTGAATCCAGGAATTCAAGACCAGCCTGGGCAACATAGTGAGACCTCATTTCTACAAAAAAAACAAAAATTAGCCAAGCATGGTGGCATGTGCCTGTGGTCCCAGCTACTCGGGAGGCTGAAGTGGGAGGATCGCTTGAGCCCAGGATGTTGAGGCTGCAGTGAGCTATTAATATGATTGTGCCACTGCACTCTAGCCTGGGCAACAGAGTAAGACCCTCTCTCAAAAAAAAAAAAAAAAAAAAAAAAAAAAGAGACTGGGCGTGGTGGCTCATGCCTGTAATCCCAGAACTTTGGGAGGCCGAGGCAGATGGATCAGTTGAAGTCAGGAGTTCAAGACCAGCCTGGCCAACGTGGTGAAACCCCATCTCAACTAAAAATACAAAAATTGAGGTTGGGCGTGGTGGCTCATGCCTGTAATCCCAGCACTCTGGGAGGCTGAGGCAGATGGATCAGTTGAAATCAGGAGTTCAAGACCAGCCTGGCCTACATGGTGAAACCCCGTATCTACTAAAAATACAAAAATTAGCCGGGTGTGGTGGCAGGTGCCTGTAATCCAAGCTACTCCGGAGGCTGAGGCAGGATAATTGCTTGAACCCAGGAGGTAGAGGTTGCAGTAAGCGGAGATCACGCCATTGCATTCCAGCCTGGGGAACAAGAGTAAAACTCCGCCTCAAAACAAAACAAACCCAAAAGTTAGCCAGGCATGGTGGTGCACGCCTATAATCCCAGTTATTGAGGAGGCTAAGGCAGGAGAATCGCTTGAACATGGTGGGAAGCTTTCAGTTAGCCCATGTTGTGCCACTGCACTCCAGACTCCAGCATGAGCAACAGAGCAAGACTCTGTCTCAAAAAAAAAAAAGAACCCAGTCTCTCAAGAGGATCAGACTCTTCTATTTGCAAGCCTGCCTGTCTGTATTAATATTTCTTTTCTTTTTTTTTTTTTCTTTTTTCCATTTTAGGTACTGTTGTGGGTGTTGTTCTTTACACTGGCAGAGAACTCCGGAGTGTCATGAATACCTCAAATCCCCGAAGTAAGGTGTGTACGAGGTCATGGGGTACATTGACCGGCTGTGGGCTGGTTGGTTCTGGTGGGTGAGTGACGAGATATTAAAATAGGAACACCTAAGAGTGATATTTATACAGACATTTTATCTTTTTATGCATATGTGTGTGTGTGTATGCAATAAATACATATACAATACACATATATAATACAGTACGTAAATATGTAGTTACATGTTTGTGGATATATGACTTTTTTGTGCCTTTTTTTTTTTTTTCTTTTTTTGAGACAGGGTCTCACTTTGTTGCTCAGGCAGGAATACAGTGGCTTGATTTTGGCTCACTGTAACCTCTGCCTCCCGGGCTCAAGCAATCCTCCCAACTCCACCTCCTGAGTAGCTGGGACTATAGGCGTGTACCACCATGCCTGGCTAATTTTTGTATTTTTAGTAGAGATGGGGTTTCACCATGTTGGCCAGGCTGGTCTCAAGCTCCGGACATCAAGTGATCCTCCCTCCTCGGCCTCCCAAAGTGCTGGGATTACAGGCGTGAGCCATGGCGCCCAGCATTTTTTGTGCTTTTAGGTTAAACTGTGGAGCACGTACGGTTTGCACGCCTTGTGTTTCACCCTTCACGTGCATCTCATTTCATCTTCATAACAGCCCTGTGAGTGCATGCTTCCTTTATCCATGAGAAACGGCTTCAGGAAGCACCGTGCCCTGTCCAGGCTACACAGTGAGGACGGGGCAGGCCCATGTGATTCAAACCGTGACCCACCATCACAGCTTACCCCTCCTCCAATTTTTAAGAGTCAGAACATTACAGAATAATTGTCTTTTGTCAGTAGCAGGAAGGAATGCTGTGTCTCCTAAACTTCAGTCATGGTCGCTCCACCATTAGACGTTACAGCCATCATTACAACTATAAAATCGTTTGTTTAATGTTTTAGCCTTATCCTGGGGCATGTTTCTATGAAGTTATGGATATGATTTGTTACTTTTTAAAAGACTAGACATGAAGATAAATGTATTATTATTAAAATAATAATGTCCAGGGCCGGGCACGGTGGCTCACACCTGTAATCCCAGCACTTTGGGAGGCCGAGGCAGGTGGATCACCTGAGGCCAGGAGATTGAGACCAGCCTGGCCAACATGGCGAAACTCCGTCTCTACTAAAAATACAAAAATTAGCTGGGTGTGGTGGCGGGCGCCATAATCCCAGCTTATCGGGAGGCTGAGGTAGGAGAATCGCTTGAACCCAGGAGGTGTGAGCCAAGATTGTGCCCTTGCATTCCAGCCTGGGTGACAAAGCGAGACTCCATCTCTAAATAAATAAATAATAAAATAATGTCCATTAATGCACCACCTAAAAATCGGGTGCCACCACTGGTGTGCGCCCCAGACTTTCAGGCACTGCCGAGTTGGTGTTGGGTAGGGTGCTGAGAGTTTAGGATCTGAGTTGTTTTACAAGGCCAAGGGCACTCTGCAGGGTGGTGGAGGCTATTCAGCACACGACCCAGCCAGCACAGCAGTAACTCGCTGATACATTTCCAAGTGTAAATCTTCTTTAGTTGTAAACATTTTTTTGAGTTTTCAGAATTCTTTGAGTTCCCTTGGATGCCTGTTATGAACACCAGCCCATGGAAGCAGTGTTCTTAGACCAAAGATATGAGGATCGATGGATCCCACTGTCCTACCTGGGGTAGAGGTGTTTGTAGGGGAAGGACCAGCTCTCCGGCAGGCTGAGTTAGTGCAGTGAGGCTCAGCTCACTGCAGCCTCCACCTCCTGGTTTAGGTTTGAGATTAGTTACACCAGCTCATCTCAAGCCCTGGTTTGTGCTTCGTCCCACAGATCGGCCTGTTCGACTTGGAAGTGAACTGCCTCACCAAGATCCTCTTTGGTGCCCTGGTGGTGGTCTCGCTGGTCATGGTTGCCCTTCAGCACTTTGCAGGCCGTTGGTACCTGCAGATCATCCGCTTCCTCCTCTTGTTTTCCAACATCATCCCCATTAGGTAAGCAGGCGACGAGCTTGAGTTTGGCTGCCGTGACATCTTCTTCTCTTTACTCATTCAAAGATGATGGTTCTGTGGCTTTTATTATTATTATTGTTTTCTGAGATGGAGTTTTGCTCTTGTTGCCCAGGCTGGAGGGCAGTGGCGCGATCTTGGCTCACTGCAACCTCCACCTCCCAGGTTCAAGTGATTCTCCCGTCTCAGCCTCCTAAGTAGCTGGGATTACAGGCATGCACCACCATGCCTGGCTAATTTTTGTATTTTTAGTAAAGATGGGGTTTCACCATGTTTGCCAGGCTTGTCTTGAACTCCTGACCTCAGGTGATCTACCTGACTCAGCCTCCCAAGGTACTGGGATTGTAGGTGTGAGCCACCGCGCCCATCGGCTTTTAGAAGGAGCAGATCTCTTTGTAGAGTGAGGACCAAGAGCAATCAGTCAGGAGTGTGAACCACACTGAGGCTCTAGCACCAGAAGATCACATTCCTCCACAAGCCATCCTTTCTTGAATCAGAGATCTTTCCTTGCCTTGCCTCCCTATGCTAGGGATGCCATTTAGAGCTCCTGTCATCAGCCAGCTCTGCAAGGTTGATAGTGGCTGTTGGGACTGCTGTGTTGAGAAGGATTTTGAGCCTGCATCTGGGCTCAAAGGGAAATGGTGTTGTGATTGACAGCAGTGTCTGCTGTAGGTGTGCAATGAAAGCTTGGTGGCACATGCCAGTCCTTTGCCTACCTGATTTGGAGGTTGAATAAATGGTTATTTATTTATTTATTTATTTTTGAGATGGAGTCTTGCTCTGTCGCCCAGGCTGGAGTGCAGTGGTGCGATCTCAGCTCACTGCAGCCTCCACCTCCTGGGTTCAAGTGATTCTCCTGCCTCAGCCTCCTGAGTAGCTGGAATTATAGGCTCCTGCCACCACGCTTGGCTAATTTTTGTATTTTTAGTAGAGTTGGGGTTTCACCATGTTGGCCAGGCTGGTCTGGAACTCCTGACCTCAAGTGATCCACCCGCCTCAGCTTCCCAAAGTGCTGGGGTTACAGGCGTGAGCTACTGCACCTGGCCTGGTTTTTTAAAGTGATATAAATAATAGATTTTCATAGTAGAAAAAAGTGAAGGCCTGTATTAGCAAAAGAATAAAATATAAATCACCTCTGCTCTCACTACCAAGTGATAATCATTGTTAATAGTATGGGATATACTTTTTTCTAGAGTGCTTTTGATTTTAGAAAAAGGGGAGTTTGGTCTACTAAAATCTGCCTTTACAAAAAATTGGAGCAGTGTTTTGAATAACTTTTCACATCACTTGTATGTGTGTCCCATCATTTTTTAGAGCTGCTCTGTGATGTGGGTTAGCAGTCTACTTTCCCCCATATTGTTCTGTTTGCTTCTACTTTTTCCCCATGATAATTAGTAAATATTAAATTACATATTTTTTCCCTGAAACTTTTAGTGCTTATACTCTGTCTTATACTTGATATATTATCTTATATTTTGTCTTGCTATTTTATATATTTAGATCATCTTGGTGAGAATTTGTCTTTTTCTGGGGACAGAGATTGTCGTTTTGTGTAAAACAGTGTGACAGGGACAGGGGGACTGTGCCCAAGTCAGCATGCTCTGGATGGTGGATTCAGAGGATAAATACATCCACTTTAGTGACTTGACTGCTAGCAAAACAAGTATTCAATCTAAGTGACGTGGTAGCCTTCAAAGTTCTACATGTAACATGATTAAAAATTGGTGAGTCGACTCTTCATTTGTCCCAGGGCTAGCCAGTAAAATGGCAAGCAGTTTGATTAGTTTATAGGATGATGAATTAATGTGAAGACTTCTATTTACTTTGTGCAGTAAAATTAAATTTCAAAATGAGTATAATACATACAATGGAATACTCTTCAGCCTTCAAAAGGAAGGAAATTCTAATGCACCTTACAGTGTGGATGAACCTTGAGAACGTTATGCTAAGCAAAATAAGCCAGAAAAATAAGCCCCCCCAAAAGTCAGAAAAAGTGTATGATTCAACTTACATGCAGTGTCTAAGGTAGTTAAATTCCGGCCAGGCGTGGTGGCTCACGTCTGTAGTCCCAGCACTTTGGGAGGCCAAGACGGGTGGATCACTTGAGCCCAGGAGTTTGAGACCAGCCTGGGCAACATGGTGAAACCCCATCTCTACTAAAAATACAAAAAATTAGCCCGGCGTGGTGGCACACACCTGTAATCCCATCTACTCTGGAGGCTGAGGTGTGAGAATCGTTTGAACCCGGGAGGCAAAGGTTGTGGTGAGCTGAAATAGCACCACTGCACTCCAGCCTGAACAACAGAGTGAGACTTCGTCTCAAAAAAAAAAAAGTAGTCAAATTCATAGAAATGTAAGTAGAGTGCTGGTTGCCAGGGGCTGCCAGGGCTAGGGTTGGTGGGGGATGGGGCGTTATTGTTGAATGGGTGTGGAATTTCAGTTTGGGAAGATGAAAGAATTACGGAGGTGGATGATGCTGATGGCTGATAACATTGTAAATGTGCTCAGTACTATAGAATGGTCAATTTCCTGTTATGTATATTTTACCACAATTAAAAAAATGAATATAGCATCAAAAATATATTAGCTTAAGGGATCAGTAATTTTTCTAAAAGGTGAGATGGAAACCACTACCCTTTCTGTATTTTAAGTGACTTCAGTCCATAACATGAGCTTTGTGACAATAATGGATTTGTTCCGTGTGTGACTTGACGGTGGTGCTGGCTCTTGCTGAGTCTGTGCGTTCAGCTCTGGCAGTGTGCTTCTGCAGGGAGTGAGTCCGGATGCGATGGCACATGTGTTTAGAGTCCATGTTTTTATAAAGATACAAGGAGCCTTACATCTGTCCTGTTAGCCTGTTTGCTCTGGTTTTGTGCCTAGTTTGCGTGTGAACCTGGACATGGGCAAGATCGTGTACAGCTGGGTGATTCGAAGGGACTCGAAAATCCCCGGGACCGTGGTTCGCTCCAGCACGATTCCTGAGCAGCTGGGCAGGATTTCGTACTTACTCACAGACAAGACAGGTGAGCTGCTTTCTGGGACCTGCGCAGGATTCCTGGTGAGAGAAGATGCCTGAGGGCTTTGGCTGAAATTCTTGGGCTCTCTCTGGACATATGAGAGATGCGTGTTGCTGCTATTTTATTCCCTTCATCTTTTGATGAAGATTCTTTGGTGATGAAGATGATGATAACAGAATTATGTGCAGAATACAATTCTGGGGAGTTTCAGTGCGGTCACTCCTTCAGTCCTCACCTGAACCTTGTGAGTTAGGTAGTGTTTCTGTCCCGCTTCCACAGATGAGGAAATGTGGCCCAGAGAGGGTAAGTGACTTGTCACGGGCGCATAGTAGCCGAAGCAAGCTTTAACTCAGGCAGTCAGGCCTGATCTCTGACCACACCCTGATACTGCTACACAACTTAATGCTTGTCCAGGCATTAGGCTATCAGAGTGGTGAAGAGCAAGGATTGGGAGGGGGAAGATCTGGTTTCAGCCTCATCTCTACTGCTTAATGTCCATGGGGTAGAAGGGAAGCTAATGCAAAGATCCTGGGCGGCTCACCAAATCAGAGAAAAATGAGGTTTCTGGAAGGAGAGCCACCAGGAAAGTTCTGGTTAAGTCAGCATTAGGACCCTCCAGGTGGTCTCTGTAGGGCTCTGCCATTAGGGATGTATCTTTCTACTCAAGGGTCAGAATCCTTCGAGATAGAATCTGATTGCTCTAGTGTATGTCATTTGTCACCCTCTTGGCCAACGGAATGGGCCAGGCCCCTGATTGACAGTCCTCTTGGGCCACCTTAGGTAATGGGCATGGTGTGGTTAATTTCCCCTGGGAAAGCTAGGAAGCCATTTTCAAAAGGGGAATGGGATTCTAGGCAGGCAAAATGCTGCAGGTGTCTTCCCCAGCAGGGACAGTACTGACTGCAGTGTGTGACATAGGGCAAACTCTCCAAAGATGGCAGCTGTCATTACTGTTAATAATAACAAACATCCTGAGAGACAGGCCGGCCACTCATTTGTCTTGTGTTTTAGGCACTCTTACCCAGAACGAGATGATTTTCAAACGGCTCCATCTCGGAACAGTAGCCTACGGCCTCGACTCAATGGACGAAGTACAAAGCCACATTTTCAGCATTTACACCCAGGTAAAGCCTTCCATTTCAACACCCAAAACAATTCTTTGACTTTTTTTTTTTAACAGCTATATTGAGATGTAATTCACAATACCGTACAATTCACCCATTTCAAGAGTACAATTCATTGTTTTTTTTTAAGCATATTCAGAGTTGAGCAACTGTCACTGCAATCGATTTTATGTTTACCCCAAAAAGAAGCCCTCTACCCATCAGCAGTCACTCCCCAATACCTCCCTTCTATACCCATGACACCCACACTTCCTTTACACTTTGAATAAAATTGCATTTGGGGTCCTTCCCCATCTTCCCTATCTTCAGGGCTAATCTGCTCTGCTGAAGTGCTGATGGACATTAGGAAAAACCTGTGAGAAAATTATATGCCCAATAAATAGAACCAGAAGGAACCTGCTGGTTGATTATACTTCAAGTTTACGACCACGTTGATGTTTTCCCTTTCCCTGGCTATGACCCGGAGCACCAATAACAAATGGTCTGCTTGTGAAATAATCATGACGTTACTGATTACCTTTAGTTTCTCATCTACATTCAACTCAACAATCACGAGGAAGAAATTAGTTCATCAGAGATAACTTGCAGTTTATCTGTTCCTACCTTTATTTTTCCTACCAAGTTTCCCAAAACCAGTCACTTTTCAGAGAAAGTATTACTGGCAAATATCCTAATATTCCTAAAGTGTTAGACCGGTGGGTCCCCATCTTGGCTGTGTGTCAGAATTGCTGGTGGAGTTTCAAAACAACACAGAACAAAAACGAGACATTTATTTGGGCTTGATACCCTGGAGATTCTTACTCATTAAGACTTAGGGCAGGGCGTGGCTTTGGGTTTTAAAAGTAAGACAAACACACCCCTTGCTAATTCTGAGGCACATCCAAGGCTGAGCCAGACCGCGTTAGACCAGCTCCATGTTGCAGCACTTGTTTGGAGATAACAAGAGAATAAGGAGGTCATATTTTGCTTAAATTCGTCGAAATAGAGAACATTCCCATAGTCAGAAGACCAGTAAGAAATATGAATGAATTATCTCTGTATACAGGTTAAAGGCAGAATCCCTGAATACTTCTTGATACGGTCATAACTGACATTTAATTTTCTGGAACATTTGTCAGTGGGCTGGATTTCCAGGCTGTCTCCTGAAAATGGCAGAGCAGGGGACAGTGTGACAGTGGGAGTGGATGTTAAGTTAGAACAGCTGACTTGACACAGTTCTTGTCATCATCTACAACCAGCAACAAAGCCCTTGTTGCTGTTCCAGGCTCCATGGGGAGGCGTCATGGCTGGTCTCCAAATGGATCCATGGACCTTTTTCAAAGATGTACTTTAGCACTATTAAGAAATCACGAGGAACTTCCCTGGACAGGGAGGATGAGCCGCACAGCCCCCGTTTCCTTTCTGTCTCTTTGACCGTCTTCCTCTGTGTGGTGATTTGGGGTTGGTGTCTCTGGGGCTCGGTGCTGGACTCTGTTATGTTGTTCCCCGGATGGCCCCTCACCCTGCTTCCATCGCTCTGTGGATGCTGATGGCTCTGTCTCCATCTCCATCTCTAGGCCTGACCTGGAGCTTTGGATTATAACGTAGCCGAATGTTTGGCATTGCTGCATGTGGCTCATAAGGATGCTGTACCTGGGACCCCTCCTGACTTTCTTCCCTCATCTCCTAAACCTATTCTCTCCCAGGGCTGCTTGTCTTAGTGCACACCACGCCCTCCATCCTGGTACCCTCGTCACCCCAGCTGACAGCCACTGCCCCTTCTCCAGTACCTGCTCCCACCCGATCACTAGATCACCCCTTCGGCCTTTTTTTTTTTTTTCCTTCTCCCTTTCTTCCCTTCCTTTCCTTACCCTCCCTCCCCTCCCCCAGCCCCTCGCCCACTCCCAGCCCTTCCGCCCCCCCCCCCCCCCACCTCCCTTCCTTCTTTTGTAACAGGGTCTCACTCTGTCACCCAGGCTGGAGTGCAGTGGTGCAATCACAGCTCACTGCAGCCTCAAACTTCTGGGCTCAAGCAATCCTCCCATCTCAGCCTCCCAAGTAGCTCGGACTACAAGTGTGCACTGGGTATGCACCACCACACCTGGCTAATTTGGTTTATTTTTTATAGAGACGAGGTCTCACTGTGTTGCCCAGGCTGGACTTGAACTCCTGGGCTCAAGTGATCGCCTCACCTCCCAAAGGCTTCCCAAAGTGTTGGGATTACAGGCATGATGCACTGCGCCCAGCCACCTTTGGCCTTTTGTCTTCATCCCTTCTCACTCACTCAGCAAGGTGACCCCCTTCCTCGCCTGTCTGCCGTGACCCCCTGCACAGTAGCTGCCCGGCTTTCCTTCTTGCTGTCCTCTCAGGAGCCTCTCGGTACCATCAGCTCTGTGGTGGAGTCTGAGACTTGCAGTGGGATCTAGCCTTGGTCTTCATCCCCTCCCCTTTCCCATGTTTCAGCCTTCCAGGCAGGGTGAGCTGCCTTATTTCTGTGTCTCAAATTAGACCCTTCCCTCGGAGCCACCAACCCCAAATGCCCACCAGGCTCCTTCTTGGGGGGCTCATTGATTGGATTGTCATGCATATCAGCACCCAGCTACATGTCTGTATCACTCGCAGCCCCTTCTCAGTCGTGTTGACTCTTGATGGTTATATTAGACAGCTTCACAGGTGGTGGTGTGTACATCCGGTGGGAGTTACACCCATGCCATGTTGCTGGTATTTTTAAGAGCTCCTGGTGTTTACGGAAGCCGTCCCCTCTCAGGATATTTGTGTATTTTAGCTTTTATGGTTCATTTTTGGCTTAGCACAGATAACACTCTTTGTAAAGTGTTGAAATTCAGAAAACCACACTTCTTACCGTGAACCTCACCTCATACTCCTTCCTTAGGGGAAGCTCATAAATCAGTTTGCCCATCCCGGCCTTGAGTCTGACACAGCTGTGTGTTGTGGGGTTAGGGTTAGCTGTGCGAGGCTGGGGTGAACTCACAATTCCAGTACAGATCTACCCAAGTGAGAGTGTGTGCATCTTTCTCTCGTGATGTCTAAACATCCTGGCATAAGCACAGGACCACGTGTGTGATGGGACATATGGAAGCTTTTGCATGCTTTTTTAAAACCAGTTTTATCGAGGGATGATTTACATACCTGAAAGTTCAGCCATGTTGAATACACAGTGTGGTGACTTTAGTAAATTTGCAGCTGTGGAACCATCCCAAATATGCACATCACCCCTGCTCCCACTGCAGTCACGCCTCCCACCTTAGAGCTTCGTAAGGGGTTCTTATACCAGTGGTTCTTTCTTCTTTTTCTTTCTTTCTTTTTTTTTTTTTTTTAAGACACAGTCTCACTCTGTTGCCCAGGCTGAGGTACAGGGGTGCGATCTCGGCTCACTGCAACCTCCACCTCCCGGGTTCAAGCAATTCTCTGCCTCAGCCTTCCTAGTAGCTGGGATTACAGGCACCTGCCACCACGCCCGGCTAATTTTTATATTTTTAGTAGAGACGGGGTTTCACCATGTTGGCCTGGCTGGTCTCAAACTCCTGACCTCAGGTGATCTGTCCGCCTTGGCTTCCCAAAGTGCTGGGATTACAGACGTGAGTCACCATGCCTGGCCCAGTGTTTCGTAAAGTACAGCCTTTGGAACCCCTGGGCTAGATCACTTGGGCCAGAGTCAGGAGCACAAGGAGTGGTGCCCAGACCTGCAGTTTTAACAGGTGAACCAGGTGTTTCCAGAGTACAGTAGCATTGGAGAACAGCTGCTGTGAAACTGAGGTTCATCCCTGTTCAGAGCATGGGTATCTAAACCTGTGGACTCCAAGGAAGAGTTTGCAAGATGACCCACTGGGGTACAGGAAGCGACTCTTTACATTTCAGTTCCATCTCCAAAATTAATGCAAAATTAAAATCTTACTAATACTATTGAGGTTGACCCAGGGGCCCTCACTCCATGTATCAGACAGGTACTTGTCAGGTCCGGTCCTTGAGGTGTCCTGCGGAAGGGGCTGGAATTCCACAGTTGTTTATTTTCCCAGTGTTGAAATGTAGGCCGCAGTTTATGAGTGTCCAGGTGACTTGTTCTAAGGATGTGGTTGAACTAAACTGGACTCATAAAGAGAGCAGGTGGTTTTAAAAGATTCCTGCAGGAAAGCTTCAGATTATTAATACAAGGCCAAGTAAACAGTAAGAAAATGGCCAACACATTAGGAGAGAAAACTATAACCAGCTAAGGACTTGTGATGGTTTTTCCCCTGGGTTATTCATTTACTGGTACTTTTTTTTTTTTTTTTTGAGACGAAGTCTCACTCTGTCGCCCCATCCTGGAGTGTAGTGGTGCTATCTTGGCTTACCACAAACTCTGCCTCCCGGGTTCAAGAGATTCTCCTGCCTCAGCCTCCCGAGTAGCTGGGATCACAGGCATGTGCCAACACACCTGGCTAATTTTTTTTTTGTATTTTTGGTAGAGACGGGGTTTCACCATGTTGGCCAGGCTGGCCTCGAACTCCTGATTTCAGATGATCTGCCTGCCTCGGCCTCCCAAAGTGCTGGGATTACAGGCTTGAACCACCACGCCTGGCAATTTACTAGTACTTTTAATGGAAAAAGGGGATACAATTTAAAAACCATAAAATTTGCTCTTTTAAGCATATGATTCTGTAGTTTTTAATATGTTCACAATACTGTGCAAACATTGGTACTGTCTAATTTTAGAACATTTTTATCAACCCTAAAAAGAAAGCCCACATCCCTTGAGTTCCCAAACCCCCCTGCTCTATCCCCCCAGCTGTCAGTCTACTTTCTGTCTCTGGATTTGCCTATTCTGAACATTGCCTATAAATAGAATCAAACAATATGTGACCTTTTGTGTCTGGCCGGTCTTCCGTTTAGCAGAGTATTTGCAAGGTTCTTCCGGTTGTAGCAGGTGTATGTACTTTATTCCTCTTTGTAGCTGAATAACAGGTATGATGATTTAAAATTTAAGTTTAGGCTGGGTGTGGTGGCTCACGCCTGTAATCCCAGCACTTTGGGAGGCCGAGGCGGGCAGATCACGAGATCAGGAGTTTGAGACCAGCCTGACCAACATGGTGAAACCCCGTCTCTACTAAAAATACAAAAAAAAAAAAAAAAATTAGCCGGGGGTGGTGGCGGGCACCTGTAATCCCAGCTACTCAGGAGGCTGAGGCAGAAGAATAGCTTGAACCCGGCAGGTGGAGGTTGAAGTGAGCTGAGATCGCGTCACTGCACTCCAACCTGGGTGACAGAGGGAGACTCCTCTCAAAAGGAAAAAAAAAAGAAATTTAAGTTTAAATCTATAATTCTCAGTGTTCCTTACCCCAAGTATATGTTATTTTGAGATATTAGCTAATTGTGTGAGAAATGCTATTTTTCATTTTGTTTTCTTATTTATTTTTATTTTTATTTTTTTGAGACAGAGTCTTATACTCTCTTACCCAGACTACGGTGCAGTGGTGCCATCACAGCTCACTGTAGCCTTGACCCCTCAGGCTCAGGTGATCTTCCCACCCCAGCCTCCCAAGTAGCTGGGACCACAGGCATGCGTCACCATACCTGGCTAATTTTTGTATTTTTTGTAGAGAGAGGGGGTGTTACCATTTGCCCAGGCTGGTCTCGAACTCCTGGGCTCCAGCAATTAGCCCACCTCAGCCTCTCAAAGTGCTGGGATTACAGGCATGAGCCACTGCAGCCAGCCCTGTTTTTCATTTTTATCATAGGATTTTAGAATTTTTTTTCTTGTTTTGTAATGTTCAGTAGTACAATACAATATTTATACAAAGATCAATATATATAGATGGAAGGTACTTGGAAAACTTTTCCTGCTGGGCGTGGTAGCTCATGCCTGTAATCCCAGCTACTCTGGAGGCTGAGGCAGGAGACTTGCTTGAACCCAGGAGGTAGAGGTTGCAGTGAGCTGAGATCATGCCACTGCACCCAGCCTGGATGACAGAGCAAGACAGTCTCAAACCATAATTGGGATTATTCCACATACTTTGGTCTGTGAACTGTCATTTTTCATTTACTGAGTTGTTTTTTTTATGAGCGTGTGAGTTTGTGATTTATTTTTCTACACACAACATATATACACAGGATGCACTCAGTTCATCAGTACTGACTGCCAGAGAGCGTTCTTCTTACTTTCTGCATCCACAGAAAACAGATACAAAGTTCAGTTTATGTTCTCTTGTTTTTTTTTTTTTTTTTCTGAGACGGAGTCTCGCTCTGTTTCCCAGGCTGGAGTGCAGTGGCGCGATCTCCGCTCACTGCAAGCTCCACCTCCCGGGTTCACGCCATTCTCTTGCCTCAGCCTCCCAAGTAGCTGGGATTACAGGCGCCTACCACCATGCCCAGCTAATTTTTTGTATTTTTGGTAGAGATGGGGTTTCACCATGTTAGCCAGGATGGTCTTGATCTCCTGACCTCGTGATCCGCCCGCCTCAGCCTCCCAAAGTGCTGGGATTACAGGTGTGAGCCACCGAGTTTACATTCTCTTGAGGAAGAATTTTTTTTGTCAGTGTGGTTTTCTCTGGGACATGGAGCCTACTTCATTTTTTACTCATTGAAAAAACTTTCTGGTATTTATGAAAGTTTTTTTTGCAGAAAAAATAAATCATACGGCCAAGCACAAAGACAAAACATTGAATTCACCTGTATTCATATCATTCGGCAGTAACCAGTATTAACACCTGGGTGGACAAAACGCCAAATGCTCTGCCTTTGTGTGTCTGGATAGATGCGTTCTTTATTTCTCTCTGTCTCTGTTTTCTTTTCAATGAGAACCCATCATATTCCTTTCTTTTTTAACTAGAGTTGACCACCAGAATTGCCTGTAAAGTTTTAAAAATATAAATATAAATATATGCCTGGGCTGTACGGCATTCTTTGGGTCTGGATCTTAAGTATGTATATTTTAAAAATGTTTTTTTTTGAGATGGAGTTTTCGATCTTGTTGCCCAGGCTGGAGTGCAGTGGTGTGATCTTGGCTCACTGCAACCTCTGCCTCGTGGGTTCAAGCGATTCTTCTGCCTCAGCTTCCTGAGTAGCTGGGATTACAGGTGCCTGCCACCATGCCAGCTAATTTTTGTATTTTTAGTAGAGACGGGGTTTCACCATGTTGGCCAGGCTGATCTCGAACTCCTGACCTCAGGTGATCCGCCCGCCTCAGCCTCCCAAAGTGCTGGGATTACAGGTGTGAGCCACTGTGCCCGGCGTGTATATTTTAAAAAATCTTTATTGGTTATTCTGAGAAGCCTTCCTGGTTAAGAACCACTGCCAGAATAACACTATTTAACTTCCTTCTTTTCACTCATGTCAAGGTTTTTAATGGTTTCATAACACAGTCCAGACTAGAGTAAGACAAGTGAGGAACTCACATAGCAAATTTAACCGGGTGCCAAAAAAAAAATAAATAAAGCAAATCATACTTTGGTGAAAAAAAATTTTTTTTTTTTTTTTGAGACAGAGTCTTGCTCTGTTAACCAGGCTGGAGTGCAGTGGCGTGATCTCAGCTCACTGCAACCTCTGCCTCCCAGGTTCAAGCAATTCTCCTGCCTCAGCCTGCCGAGTAGCTGGGATTACAGGCACCTGCCACCACGCCCAGCTAATTTTTGTATCTTTAGTAGAGACTGGGTTTCACTCTGTTGGCCAGGCTGGTCTCGAGCTCCCGACCTCAGGCGATCCACTCGTCTTCCCCCAAAGTGCTGGGATTACAGGCGTGAGCCACCACACCTGGCGCAGTGCAATATTTTAAAAACTCAAGCGCAAAACATTCGTGAAGAACAGTATATTGAAATTTTAAATGAAGGCAAGATCCAACCTTGTGCTAGCACAGTTCAGTTGCGCTAACTCACCCTGGTCCTAAGCCCTGGATTTATAGTTTCAGTGGCTGTCAGGCTTCTCATTATTGGGGCTGGATTATTCTTTGTCATGGGAGGCTGTCCTGTGCCTTGTAGGAGGTTAAGCAGCATGCTACAGATTTCTATAGTACCCCTGTCCCCTCACAGTTGTGACAACCAATTATGTCTCCAGACATGACCAAATGAGGGTCAAAATCATCCAAGTTGAGAATGATGATGATATATGGGTACATTTAAATTTATTGACTTTGTGTTGCAGATGATGTCTGCTCTAAAACAGTAAACATTGGATTTACTTAGTCACTTAATCAGCCTGTGGCTCAGCTGATTCATTTGGAGGTAGTAGCTCTGAGCCTGTCTCTTTGATGGTGGCCCTTTGAGGTGAGTGAGTCATCAGCTCTGAGCTTTTTTGATGTGGCAGGTTAGTTAGGGTTATCATAACAGAAATTCTTTATCTTTAATAGTGTATTTCTGGCTGGGTGCAGTGGCTCACACCTATAATCCCAGCACTTTGGGAGGCCGAGGCGGGAGGTTGACTTGAGCCTGGGAGTTAGAAAACAGCCTGGGCAATAAGAGGGAGACCTTGTCTCTACCAAAAAAAAAAAAAAAAAAAAAAAGCTGGGCATGGTGGTGCACGCCTGTGGTCCCGGTATTCAGAAGGCTGAGGTGGGAGGATTACTTGAGCCCAGAAGGTTGAGGCTGCAGTGAGCTGTGATCATGCCTCTTCACTCCAGCCTGGGCAACAGAGTGAGACCCTGTCTCAAAAAAAAAAAAAAGTGTATTTCAGTCAATTGCAACCCATTCCTAATATCCATTAATAGTATGAATGCCCATATGTGGTGAAGTTTTAACTGCATTTGGAAAGAAAACTGGCATTCCTGGTGACTCAACGTTTAATTTTTGTATTAATCTTTTCTGTAATAACAGGCTGGAGTTCTTGTCAGGAAATGGCCCTAGCTGTGGATTACTAATGGGAAAGGGAAGCCTATTTTCCCTGCCTTGGTGTCTCATTTATTGGCTGGGATGCTATAAATGACTCAGGGGCTTTATAGGATTCGAGACACCCGCCCAGGGGCCCAAGTCAGGGCCCTTTGTATTTGGAGATCTTAATTCCTCTCCCAATAGTGACCTGTGCTTGGTTCTGAAGTCACTTCTGACCTCGTGTGGAGCTGTTCTGCCCTCCCTCCCTCCATAAGGGGACCAGTGGTTTTTCCCCAGGGCAAAAAGAGTCATAACCTGCCTCTGTGGATGCCACATCTGTTTTTGTTTTCCCCTGGTATTTTTTAAGTAAGAAGAAATGTGTGTAGGTTAAAGGGCCTATGGGGAGGAGGTTAGAGATAAACACTGTACAATGTGAAACTCTTCCATATGGGGAATGTGAGGATGTTTGAAGGCCAGGCCTAAGACAGGCATCATCCAAACACAGCCCCTGGTCAGTTTCAGTGCCTTAAGGATGTATGCGCATGACCATTTGGTGTGCAAATGAGACTTTATTTAACAATTAAAAGAAGCAGTTTCAGCACCAATGAGTATTTCCTCTCCTTCCTGGAACATTTTAGTAGGAAAGGTGGGAAAGTATTAATTTAAGAGAGAAAGATATGTGGGTGGAGGCATTGAACCTGTGGCCTGTGATGTTGGTCAGGCTATCATAGTAGTCTTCTAATTCATTCGTTGTCAGATGGTCTCCTGAGTGAGGCCTTTGTCAACATCTGACCGTCTGTGGTTCTCTTTTTGCCTTGCTTGGGAATTGTTTCACCTGGAATACAAAATCCCATGGCTCTGTGTTATCCCATGTTTGAAATATTAGTGGAAGCATTTGACTTTTGTAGATATGAAAGCAGATTGCTTTACAAAATCCAGAAGTTCATGAAGGATGCCCTCAGTACAGCTTTTCATTTAAATCCGTGGATACTGAAACTTGCCAACCACAGTAATTACTTTGTCAAAGGTCTTGTTATTGCGCCTAATGTTAAATAACGATTTGGTCCAGGTGCTGAGGAATGCGGACAGAAATGAAGACACGTGTTCGTGGCTAGAACCTAAATTATAGAATTTTTTAAAAAAAGGGTTCTCGATTTAGTCTCTCCAATAGAGAACCTTTCTGTAAATCTTTTCTTTATAATTTTAGAGTTAAATTCTTTATAATTAAAAGCACTCGGCAAATAATGATTCATTTAAACCGGAGTTCTGATTCATTACTCTAATTATTGTTACCATGCAGTGCCCTTTGGCCTGGAAGTGAAACTCGTGTGCTCCTGACACCAGAGGTTAACAGAGCAGGAAGGCAGAGCGCTGTGTCCCCGCAGTGACCAGAATAATTTAGTAATTGTCTAATTACCTGAGGAGTCTAATGCTAATACTAAAAATAGTATTAAAAAATTAAGTGAAAGTCATTTTCTTGTTTCTTGTAACCCATCTGTTCTCTATTTTGGGCAATCGGGTGTCATGGGTGTAAAGTGCGACTCATTTTAAAGGATCAGATCACTTCTCTCCTGTTGGATAAATATGTTTTTAATAGAATGTAGAATCTGGTAACTCCATACACATTTCTAGCCTCCACAATTCAGTTGGCTGTGGATTCAGTAAGACTGTTGTAGGTGACCCCTTGTCTAAATCTGTGATTTAAAATCTGAAACTGATGTCGATTTCATAGTTGTTACTTCTTGAAAATGAAAAAAAATGCATGTCAATTGAGGACTCCCTACCACCACCTTGGGACTATTAAGTTATTAATTTAATTGTTCAGCAAATATCTGTTACATACCAGACACTGCCCTGGATACTAGGAATACAGTGATGAGTAACTCACTCAGGTGAGCCTTCTGTTTCTATGGTCTAATGAGAGGGAACCGTCAGGTAAATAGGCCAATTTAGACAATGAAGAGAGTAACACACAGGGTGTTGCCAAAATGTGACTTGCAACGGGAAGGCAAGTGGAGTGCCATGAACTGGGGGGCCCAGGAAGAGCCTCTTTGAGGAGGTAAAGTTGAATTGAGGCCTGAATGATGAGACTGAGCAAGCCAGCCCTGCAGTGAGCTGGGGGATGGGGTTCCAGGCAGAGGGCACAGCAAGTGCAGAGGCCCTCAGGCAGGAAGAAGCTTGGCAGTGCCCAAAGAACAGAAAGGCCAGCATGGCTGGAGCAGAGGGAACGGGAGGAAGATGGCATGAGGGACAGCTGGAGATGCAGGCAGGTGTTGATCAGATGCGAGGGCATTTGGCTTGTGTTCAACAATGAGCCTTCCCCCCCCCCCCCCCGCCAGTGGTCTTAATTTTCATTATATTCTAAAGCAGTAGAACCCTTTCTTCAAAGGAAGCCTAGGTGGGGGTCGGGCACGGTGGCTCACACCTGTAATCCCGGCACTTTGGGAGGCCGAGGCAGGCGGATCGCTTGAGGTCAGGAGTTCGAGACCAGCCTGGCCAACATGGTGAAACCCCATCTCTACTAAAAATACAAGAATTAGCAGGGCTTGGTGGCGGGCGCCTGTAATGCCAGCTACTCGGGAGGCTGAGGCAGGAGAATCACTTGAACCCAGGAGGCGGAGATTGCAGTGAGCTGAGATCATGCCACTGCACTCCAGCCTGGGTGACAGAGTGAGACTCATGTCTCAAAAAAAAAAAAAAAAAAAAGGAAGCATAGGTGGCACCCGATGTGTGACAGAGGAACGGAGCTGCAGGCTGCATCTCCCATCCTGCTGCAGTTGGTGGTGCTGAGCGGGTTTCTCAGGATTCCTGGGGCTCAGTGTGGAGCATGGATTGAAAACCACCTCTAGTTCACTCCTCTCCTGCCTCAGCCTCCCGAGTAGCTGGGATTACAGTGCCACCACACCCAGCTAATTTTTGTATTTTTGTAGAGACAGGGTTTTACCATGTTCGGCAGGCTGGTCTTGAACTCCTGACCTCAAGTGATCCACCCGCCTTGGCCTCCCAAAGTGCTGGTATTACAGGCGTGAGCCACCGTGCCCGGCCACTCCTCTCGTTGACAGGAAACAGCCTCAGAGGACAGACACCACTTGCTGCAGGTGTCCTAGCTGCTTGCCACCCATCCAAGAATAAGGCTTAGCTTTGGTTACCCTTCAGTGCTCTTTTTACCATGTTGCTCAAAACCATTTTTCCAAGACTTAACCCATTCCTGGCCTTTCAGGGGCTGAGCTGTGTTGCCAGTTGGAAAGGAAGGGATGGAGAAGGCCAGTTGTATGCCATGGAGCTGCCTCTCAGGCAAGAGCTGGGGTCTAAAGTCAGCCTGCAAGGCAAAACTTGAGCACAGTTACCATTACACCCGAAAGTCTAGCTTCAGTGGGGAGCCAGGTGCCGTTTTGCAGTGAGTCCCATCCGGCCAAGGTTTCCTCTGGCTGTTCCTGACGCCTTGCTGGACTGCCCTGGATTGCTTGTTGCTGATGGTTGTTACTTGCATACGGTACCAGATGAGGTTGTTGCCTTCTGTTGTAAACCAAGAAGATTGTGAGCTTAAACAGTGGTTCTAAGCCGAGGGTGATTTTGGCCTCTATTGGACATTTGGTGACATATCTTGTCACAACTAGGGGAGTGCTGCTGGCGTCCAGCGCATCTGGTGGCTGGAGGACAGGGATGCTGCTGAACACCCTATATAATGTCCCCCAACATAGGAGTACCCAAGTGGGGAAGCCCTGCTCTGAACTACCGGGATCCCTTTCAGTGCAGTGGGGTCCTCATTCTGTCAAAAGCCCCCGACACCACCCCAGGGAGGATAGATTCACTCAATCTGCAGGTAGAATCGTTCTCGTTCATTAAATTGTATTTTTTTTCCTCTGTCTCTTTTTCTTTTTTTTTTGCCGAGCATAAATGACAAACCCTGAAAATTGCATGTCATTTATTTGCAGCATCATTGTAGATATATCTAAGGGTTCTGTGTGTTGGAACAGTAGAAAAAAGAAACAATAGCTGCACGGCTGTTCTTCCACTCTCCAAATCATTCCTGCCTCTGGTCATCTTCCTTGTTCATTTCTCCTTCCTGTAGCAATCCCAGGACCCACCGGCTCAGAAGGGCCCAACGCTCACCACTAAGGTCCGGCGGACCATGAGCAGCCGCGTGCACGAAGCCGTGAAGGCCATCGCGCTCTGCCACAACGTGACTCCCGTGTATGAGTCCAACGGTGTGACTGATCAGGCTGAGGCCGAGAAGCAGTACGAAGACTCCTGCCGCGTATACCAGGCATCCAGCCCCGATGAGGTAAACCTGGGCAGGTGCAGCAAGGCATGGGGAGGCCCTGCTTGTTTTCTCTGTGCTGGAATTAGGCGTTTTCTAAGGAAGCAATGTGTCAGGGCAGACAGGAGCCAGGATGATGCAGGGCTGCTGGGAAACACATTTTCAAATACAAGAAAGAAACGCCTTTCCTCTAAAAAGAATAGCCTTGGACTTGAGGTATAGTCTGAATTAGGAAAGTTAGAGATTTTGTTTTGTAACTCAAAAGGCCAGCATAACAGGGCACAAGGTCCCATTTAAACCACATACTTTAAAAAAGATGTAAATAATTAAGATCTTAATTAAGATAAACTCCACATTCCATACAGTCTACCTATTTAAAGTATGACTTTTTTATTTTATTTTTTTCCCCGAGATACAGTCTCACTCTTTTGCCCAGGCTGGAGTGCAGTGGCGTGATCTCGGCTCACTACAACCACCCACTCTGGGGTTCGAGCGATTCTCCTGCCTCAGCCTCCTGAATAGCTGGGATTACAGGCACCCACCACCATGCCCGGCTAATTTTTTGTATTTTTAGTAGAGATGGGGTTTCACCATGTTGGCCAAGCTGGTCTTGAACTCCTGACCTCAGGTGATCCACTGGCCTTGGCCTCCCACAGTGTTGGGATTACAGGCGTGAGTCACTGCGTTGGTGAGTATGGCTTCTTAATATAGTTAGTATATTTTGGGATTTTTTTTTTTTTTTGCAACCATCATCACAATCAAATTAGGATATTTTTATCACCCCAAAGGAAATTCTATACCCACTTTCCTGCTGTACTCCCTTGTCTTCCTCATTCCTCCAGCCCTAAAGCACCCACTAATCTACTTTCTACCTCTATAGATTTGCCTATGACAGACACTCCAAACATCTGGAACCATACAATAGGTGGCCTTTTGTGATTGGCCTGTTTTACTTAGTGTGATGTTTTCAAGATTCATCCATGCATATTCACTCATCAATGCTTCATTCCTTTTTATCACTGAATAATAATCTGTTTATGGATATATTACATTTTATTTATCCATTCATCAATTAATGCACATTTGGATTTTTTTTTTTGTCTATATAGATAATGCTGCTATGGACAATTGTGTACAAGTATTTGAGTGGGTGTAGATTTCTGTTTCTCTTGGGTATATACCTAGGAGTGGGTTGGCAATGTCATATGGTGACTCTATAGTTAACCTTTTGAGGAGCTGTCTGTCTGTTTTCCAAAAGTGGCTGCGCTATTTTACGTATCTACCAGCAACGTATGACAGTTTCCGTTTCTCCACATCTCGGTCAATCCTTGTTACTGTCAGTTGTTTGGATTCTGGACGTTCTAGTCAGTGTGGAGCGGTATCTCATTGTGGTTTTGATTTGTATTTTCCGGATGGCCCCTGATGTTGAGCGTCTTTTCGTATGCTTATTGGCCATTTGTTTATCTTCTTTGGAAAAATGTCTATCCATATCCTTTATCCATTTTCACTTTGTCTGTTTTTCTTTTTGTTGTTGAGGTGTTGTTTGTTTGTTTTTGTTTTGCTCTGTCACTCAGGTTGGAGTGCAGTGGCACGATCTTCCCGGCTCCATCTCCCAGAGTGCTGGGATTTTAGGTGTGAGCCACAGCGCCCGGCCACCTTTCAATATCTTTTAATTTACTTTTTAAAACGTGAATTTTCCTATTGATATAGTTTGTATCCTCCTTTTTTCACTTACTATTTTATCATTTCTGTTTTCTAATCATCTTGAATATTATTGAAAGCATTCTTTAAGAATTGCTACCTATGCATATACCCTAATATCCTAACTATTCTCATAATTGGAACTTCTCATACTGTAGGAACTTAGGTTATTCCTAATTTTTAGCAATGATATTTATAAGTATTTTGCAATGAACATCCTTACACCTTATAATTCTAGAAGTGGCGTGATTGGGTTTATGAATTCAAGAGATACTTTTGAGTAGACTAACACTGTGATATTAGTGCTAACAAGACAGCCCCAGGCCCCTAGGGAGGAGGCTTGTGTGACACAGTATAGTGTGTGACTTACTCCCGGGATCCAGCTCCACACTTGGGCAGTTACTTATGCTTGCTGTGCCTCCAGATCTGTGCCATGGAACCCCCACAGTGGGGCTGTTGTGAAGCCCCAAGTAGGCAGTCAGTATATCTTGTGGGTCAAATTGAATGAGTATTTTATTTTTAGAGATGGGGTCTTGCTATGTTGCCCAGGCTGGAGTAGTGCAGCGGCTCTTGATAGGTGCAATCATGGCTCACTGCAGCCCTGAACTCGTGGGTATGAGCCATCCTCCCACCTCAGCCTCCTGAGTAGTCAGGACTACAGGCGTGTGCCACCATGCCCGGCTTTAAATGAGCATAAGGCTCATGGTAACTATGGCCAGAGTGCTTCCCAGAATTTTTTTTTTTTTTTAAACATTTAACTCTTGTACCAACATTGGGAGGAATCCCAATTTTTTTTTTAACCCATTTTAGGAAGAATGGGGCTCCTAAAGTTCTGGACCAATTTGCAAGTATCAGTGAGCCTGCGGTTCCTGGCGGTTGGGGGATGGCACAATGAACATCTTTCCCAAAGTTCACAAATGGAAGAACGCTTGAGTGTCATCTTCTGTGTCCTGGTGCTTCTTTCTCCCTTTTTTGGGCAGTGGAATTTGTCACCTGGGAGACTCCTCCTTCCAGCCTGCAGGGTGTTTGTGGAATAGCTCAAGCTATAAAACCCAGTTCATCCGTGACTGTTGACATTTGAACCAGGCTTTTTAGGAGTGAAAAATGTTGTACACCCCTGGCTACCTTCTGAGATGGGAATTGTGTGCAGAAAGAGAGAGGGGGAGGGAGGGTAGGTTTGGGTGATTGTCCTGATCTACTTGGACTTGTGCCATAGTAAGTGACAATTTCAGGTTTATCATCATTTCTTCTTTCTGTGGCTTGGCAGGTTTAGTCTGTTTTTCCCTTTGGGAATGATACTGTGGAATAGCGATGTCAGAGAGGGCCATATTTTTGGTAGCTATGGACTTGGAACCAGTAACCTGTGGGTATTTGATGGAATTCAAATTTATTTTATTTTATTTGAGCTCCTGACCTCAAGTGATCCTTCAGCCTCCCATAGTGCTGGGACTACAGGCGTGAGCCACCGTGCCAGGCCTTTTTTTTTTGCTCTGTCGCCCAGGCTGGAGTGCAGTGGTATGATCTCGGCTCACTGCAACCTCCACCTTCCGGGTTCAAGCGATTCTCATGCCTCAGCTTCCCAAGTAGTTGGGATTACAGAAGTGCGCCACCATGCCTGGCAAATTTTTGTATTTTTAGTAGAGACAGGGTTTTCCCCATGTTAGCCAGGCTGGTCTCAAACTCCTGAGCTTAAGTGATCTCTCTGCCTCAGCCTCCTAAAGTGCTGGGGTTACAGGCGTAACCACCGCACCCAGCGGAATTCAAATTTGAGCAAGCTCCAGATGCTGATGATCTGAGAAGCAAGTCCTGCCTGAGGCCCCTGATGCTCCTGTTGGCATCTCTGGAGGCTTTAATGCCCGTTGCCCACTCCTCTGCTCCCACTGGACTTTGGTGTATTTGTTTTAGGGCTGTGCAAAGATTTTTCCATGAGGATAAATCTTTCATGGAATGCTTTGCACTTCTCGGCCGCTTTTTCTCAAAGTGAATGGTACTTTATCTCTTCTGTGGATGAATTGCACTTGAAATCAGATTTGTCTTGTTTTTCTAAGATTCTGAATCATGATTGAGAAAAAAAAAAAGAACTACTTTCCTTTGGCCTTTGGTGTCTTCAGAGGCCAGTGTTACCTTTTTGCTGTGGTTGTTTTTTTTTTTGAGACGGAGTCTTGCTCTGTCACCCAGGCTGGAGTGCAGTGGCGTGATCTCGGCTCACTGCAAGCTCTGCCTCCCGGGTTCACAACATTCTTCTGCCTCAGTCTCCCCAGCAGCTGGGACTACAGGCACACGCTGCCACGCCCGGCTATTTTTTTTTGTATTTTTAGTAGAGATGGGGTTTCACCGTGTTAGCCAGGTTGGTCTCGATCTCCTGACCTCGTGATCCGCCCGCCTTGGCCTCCCAAAGTGTTGGGATTACAGGCGTGAGCCACTGCGACTGGCCTTGCTGTGGTTTTTTTTTTACAACTTTTATTATTTTGTATTGCACAGTTATTTTATGTCTATAGTAGAACACATGAATGCATTGATCAGAAAAGTAAAAAGTAGCCCATAATCTTACTAAAGGTATAGTCATTGTTAATGTCTTCCTGATCAGCCTTCTAAAAACTACTTCAGAGGCCGCCTACTGCCAAATACAAATAGGTTTATATAAATGCCTCATGAGGCTCAGAGGAGGCTAAATCTAGTTAAGGTGAAATCTTTCAGAAAGCCGTACTGTTTCCAAGTCCCTGTAGGATTCTGCATAGACTTGGCTGGCTCTAGAATCGTGCCTTTGAAATTCAATATCAATAAAACATTGCTAGCCTAGGCAAGGTCAGTTTATGGAACATGTGTAGAAACCAGTATGCATTTTACTTGGGAGCTGCTGGAGTAATTTCTACCAGTTGGCGTAGGATTCATTTCCTGTAACAGAAAGCAGGATTTCCTAAATTTGTTTCCTGTGCACATTCCAGTTGGGGAACCTTGAAGTGTCTTTATTCAGCTATCGATTACAGCCTGGGGGCGCTGGGCCCTCCCTGCCACCGTACAGTAAGTCACGGAGGAAATGAAATAGATACAGTCGGACCCGGAGGAGCGGAGCACTGCTCAGATGCTGGAGCGAGCAGGCCTCAGCCCTGACAGCATCCCACCATTTCCAGGATGTTCCACAGTGTCGAGAGTGGGTGGTGGGGAGTGGCAGTGGGGGCCTTGGTGATAATGCAACTTTCCAAGCCTTTGTTTCTTGGTTTGAGCCAGGAGGTGCTGTCCTGTAAGCAGCTAGGATCAGCTCTGTCCATGGCTCATTCACTTGTCTTTTCCATGAATTTTTCATATTTAAAAAACTTTTTTTCTTTTTTTGGCCAGGCGCTTTTGAGACAGAGTCTTGCTCTGTCGCCCAGTGGTGTGATCTTGGCTCACTGCAATCTCCGCCTCCCGGGTTCAAACCATTCTTCTGCCTCAGCCTCCTGAGTAGCTGGGACTACAGGTGCCCACCACCATGCCTGGTTAATTTTTATATTTTTAGTAGAGACAGGGTTTCACCATGCTGGCCAGGCTGGTCTCAAACTCCTAACCTCAAATGATCCACTCACCTCAGCCTCCCAAAGTGCTAGGATTACAAGCGTGAGCCACCACTCCTGGCCAAAAAAGGTTTTAAAATCACAAGTACTAATGTCTTCACTACAGAAAAGGGAGAAATTGTAGAATCAAAAAGAAGATAAAAAATAACCTGTGATTCTTGCCACCTGGCGATAACTACTACTGTTTATGTTCTGGTATAGATTTTCTCAGACTCCTTCTAAATGTATGCATATTTAAATATACATATATATTTATTTTATTTTATGTGTATTTATATAATATATGATATGCATATTTATAATATGTAAATATTTACATATTATAAATATGTAAAGAAATATATATAATGTAAATATATATTATATAATATATTATGTAAATATATATTATATAATATATTATGTAAATATATATTATATAATATATTATGTAAATATATATTATATAATATATTATGTAAATATATATTATGTAAATAATAATTTAAATATTGACATAATATATAAATATATAAAATAATATTTACTTTGTGTGTGTGTGTGTATATATATATATGGAGAGAGAGAGAGAGGACCAGTACAGAATCATGCTGTAGTACATATAATTAAACAGGAAGGAGGGTGAATTAAGTAACTTCCTTTAGAAAGTCATATGGCTTTCCGAGATTGCACCACTGCACTCGAGCCTGGGCAACAGAGCGAGACTGTCTCAAAAAAAAAATTTAAAAAAAAGAAAGTCATATGACTTTCACATTTCTGTAGGACTTACGCTTGTGTTCAGGTATACGTGTGTGTGTGTGTGTGTGTATGTGTGATGTATTTTCCTGTGTGCCATGTTAGTATGTGTGTGCACATGGATGCACATGTGTGTGTATGAATGAAAGCTGCTTGCTGTATTTCACTGGGTCTTGAATAGCTGAATAATTCCAGAGCAATGAATCAGCAGTTCTAGGTAACATGCAGAGTGTCTCCATGGCTAGCACATGCTCATGGCACAGAGTGAGAAGCCTGTTGCTCTCCTTCCCTGACTTCCATTCTCCCAGGCTTCTTCCTCTGCGACACCCGCTGTTATTAATATCTGAGTATACTTGCAGAGATAATTCTTTGCATGTATTAGAATTACCCTCACGCTTCATTAAAATATATATATATTTTTTATTTTTTATTTTTTTTTTTGAGACGGAGTCTCACTCTGTCACCCAGGCTGGAGTGCAGTGGCACCATCTCGGCTCACTGCAACCTCCGTCTCCTGGGTTCAAGTGATTCTCCTGCCTCGGCCTCCCGAGCAGCTGGGACTACAGGTGCACGCCATCACGCCCAGCTAATTTTTGTATTTTTAGTAGAGACGGGGTTTCACCATATTGGCCAGGCTGGTCTCAAATTCCTGACCTTGTGACTCACCCACCTTGGCCTCCCAAAGTGCTGAGAGTACAGGCGTGAGCCACCACACCCAGCCTATTAAAGTATTTTTTAAAATTTAAAAGCACAACTGTAAATTATAGATGCAGCTTTACACTTTGCTTTTAGTAGCTCAGTTTTTACAAATGTGCCAGGACATGGAATATCATTGCACTGTGACCTCAGCGAGGGCTGAGTTTTACTGAAACATCTGCCGTGGGTTCCTGTAGCCTCCCAGTGGCATAAATGCATGTCTGTATTTCAAGACCCTGTCTACTCACTTTCATGGAAGGTGAGGGCATCACATTGGCCTTCCCTGCTTCTGCAGTGCAATTGCTGGCCATGTTTAACTTGTAACTTTCAATTCAATCAGCTGTGTGATTTTTTTTTTTTTTTTTTGAGACGGATTCTCGCTCTGCTGCCCAGGCTGGAGTGCGGTGGTACGATCTTGGCTCACTTCAACCTCCGCCTCCCAGGTACAAGCAATTCTCTTGCCTCACCTCCCAAGTAGCTGGGACTACAGGCATCTACCACCACGCCCGGCTAATTTTGAATTTTTAGTAGAGACAGGGTTTCACCATGTTGGCCAGGCTGGTCTCGAGCTCCTGACCTCAAGTGATCTGCCCGCCTTGGCCTCCCACAGTGCTGGGATTACAGGCGTGAACTACTGCACCCGGCCTAGCTGTGCGATTTTAAGCAAATCATTGCTGCACCTCAGCCTCCTCAAAGGTAAAGAGGGACTAGGGCCATTGACTTCACAGGTCCTTGCTAAAGATGAGGTAGTAATGGTGATAACAGTGGTACTGACGGCAGTGAGAAATGATCACCTATTGAATACCTGCTCTGTGCCAGGCCCTGGGCTATGAGCCCCTCTTATGATAGAGTCACAATGATTGTGCCCATTTTGTAGATGAAGTGTAAGTTGGCTAAGGAAAGTTCCCATGGTCGCATAGCTGGCACGATTAAAACCAGACAGCCCATGCCTAGAGTCTGGACTATGCAACCCACAATACCACTTTCCTCCCCAGGGGATGATGGCTTGAAAG
Organism: Homo sapiens; assembly: GCF_000001405.40. NCBI lineage: Eukaryota > Metazoa > Chordata > Mammalia > Primates > Hominidae > Homo > Homo sapiens. The sequence continues at coordinate 51,649,265 of NC_000020.11, read as the reverse complement.
TGCTTTGTAAACTCCTGAAGTGCTCCAGAGAGTGAAGATGCCTGTGTGTGGGAGACTCAGGGCTGATACTGGATGAAGTACCACAGTCTCTGGCTATTTTTAGCCAAACAGGGTGCCCTGTTTGGAGGTAATGTTCAGACACTCTGCATCTTCCAAGTGCAGTGGAATTTTTATTTTTTATTTTTATTCTTTGGTCCCTTCCCTCTTTTCTCATCTGGGGAAGCTTCCGAGCTTGGTGAAAATAAGCCTTTTTCTGCCAGACCCTGGCAGCCTACCTTCTGAGTATCTTGCCTTTACCACCCACCTCATTAGGATTCATCCCTTAGAAAGGAAAATTAAAATGAGCATGTTTCACTTAGCAACTTCCAGTTCCACCTATGTTGCTGCAAGTCACAGAATTTCTTTCTTTTTTAATGTGTTTTGCTTATTTTTTTGAGGTAGGATCTTGCTGTATTGCCCAGGCTGGAATACAGTGGTGCAGTCTTGGCTCACTGCAGCCTTGACCTCCTGGCCTCAAGCAGTCCTCCCGCCTCAGCCTTCCAAGTAGCTGGGATGAGAGGCGCACACCACCACACCTGGATAATTTTTGTATTTTATTGTAGCAATGGGGGTCTTGCTATGTTGACCAGGCCAATCTCAAACTCCAAACTCAAGCAACTGTCCTGCCTCAGCCTCCCAGAGTGCTGGAATTACAGGCGTAAGCACTGCATTGGGCCAATAAGAGGTTTTTTAATGGCTATACAATATTCTTCTGCGTACGTACACCACAGAGTATTTGTTCTATCTCCCAAGCTTACCACTTAGGAGGTTTCCCCCTTTTGGCTATCATAAATCATGCCACGATGCATTGCCTTCCACCTTCTCTCTGCACATCTTTGACCATGTGTGTAAAAGGTCCCGTTTGTCTCCTTTTGCCTCGTCTTAATCTTGTTGCTGAACGTGAGTGTAAAACCTGCTGGAGAGCTCAAGTACATGGTGCCGGGGAGGGCAGGCAATCTCGCGGTCCTTCTGCGGCTACGAGGTTGGTTGGTTTGTTTTTTTATGAGCACATTCTTGGTGAACCATAAGATGTATGCAGTTCCCCTCCATGCCTGGGTATAGCCTGAGCCTCAGCCTCAGGTCCAGACAATGACAGCATTCAGATGTGTGCATGAATGAGCTCGGAGTGTGAAGCAGAAAGATTTAGGAGGGTGTTGGAGTTTTACCACCACGTTGCCATGACCTTGGACCCAAGGGGTAAGGTCAAAGAACAGAGGTTAGGAACTATAGGGGAATTCTTCCATCAGTATTATTGATTAACCACCGAAGTGGGGTCTCAAAACAGGATTGTGGTTGTTCAGAAGAAGACAGCGGGGGCTGTTTGAGCAGGGCTGGACAGTGTTTTACAGACACTGTAGGAAACTGTCAGATGTGCCTCCCTTGGTGTTAGCTTATCCATGGGCCATAGAGGCAAAAGCTCTGTCCCATGTGATATTAGTGTTGGCTCAGAATAGAGTTAATATATAGTCATTTCTTTTTTTTTTCTTTTTCTTTTTTGAGACAGAGTCTCGCTCTGCTACCCAGGCTGGAGTGCAAAGGTGCAATCTTGGCTCACTGCAACCTCCGCCTCCTGGGTTCCAGCTATTCTCCTGCCTTAGCCTCCTGGGTAGCTGGGACTATAGGCATATGCCACCATGCCTGGCTAATTTTGTATTTTTAGTTTATTTGTTTGTTTTGAGATGAAGTCTTGCTCTGTTGCTCAGGCTGGAGTACAGTGCCACAATCTCAGCTCACTGCAACCTCCGCCTCCCGGGTTTAAGGGATTCTCCTGCCTCAGCCTCCCGAGTAGCTGGGATTACAGGTGTGTGCCACCACGCCTGGCTAATTTTTTTGTATTTTTAGTAGAGACAGGGTTTCACCATGTTGGCTAGGCTGGTCTTGAACTCCTTACCTCAAGTGATCCACCATCCTTGGCCCCACAAAGTGCTGGGATTACAGGCATGAGCCACCGTGCCCGGTCTATAAATAGTCATTTCTTAATGATCACATTTTAGGAAGATGATGCTGTTCTTTCTTCTTAAGTATTTATTTTTATCAGTCAAGTGATAGGAAGTTCAATTTCAAGTACAAGACATTTGGATCAAGAAGTGACTATTATTTATTTATTTGAGATGGAGTCTTGCTCTGTTGCCCAAGCTGGAGTGCAGTGGTGTGATCTCAGCTCACTGCAACTTCCTCCTCCTGGGTTCAAGCAATTCCGCTGCCTCAGCCTCCCGAGTAGCTGGAATTACAGGCACCCACCGGCCCAGTGAATTTTTTGCACTTTTTTTTAGTAGAGATGGGTTTTCACTATGTTGGCCAGGCTGGTCTTGAGGCTCCATACCTCAGGTGATCCGCCCACTTCAGCCTCCCAAGGTGTTGGGATTACAGGCGTGAGCCACTGCGCCTGGCAAGAAGTGACCTTTTATGCCACTGTCTCTTCCGCTGATTCCTAGCAGGCTGTGTTTTGTTTGTTTCATGCTATGTTAAAAAAAAAAATTGAAGCAGTATTTAAAAATCACTTGATTTTATGTCAAAATTAGTTTTTCTCAAGAAAGATCAGGTCTGGAAATAGTAGGCCCAACTTCTACCTGGCAGTGGTTGGCCAAGCTGGGCAGCTGCTGCCTCAGTTTTCTTCTGACCCCCACATGGCCCTGCCCTATGCCTGTCTGCTTCTCTCCCAACGCCTGTCGGCATTTGAACCTGCAACCACTGCCTGGTGCATTTGAATGTATTTTCGTATTGAGTGAAGAAAACCGTGTGTCTGTGGATAGATTTATAATTTTGAAAGGCTGGATTAGGGCTGACCGGTGACTCTTTGTGAGCTTAAGTATTTATCTTATTGAATGCCACCAAATAACCCCTTTTATCAGATGTCACATTCCCGCCTCGTATCATACGTGCTCTGATGATTGGTATGTATCCTGCTTTTGACAAGAATTCAAGGCTACTGAGCGTGATCTGGCTTATTTCCCAAGCACAGCATCCCAGGTACAAAGAGAAAACTTTAAAAACTTGTCACAAGTGGTTTATTGCTGGCCAAGAAATGATGAAAAAGCCCTTTCACGGATGGTTTCTGGCCTGAGTCCCTCACATGGGCATTTGAGGCAGGGAAAGGTGTGGGCTCTGCCCCTTTGGTTTCTTGTCACCCAAAGGAGAAAACACAACAGACTCCTGAGACAGGATCCCCTCCCCGCCCTTTCTACCTTTCCAGCATTTTATCCAGCTCGCGTCTAATGTATCTGTTCATTCATCCACCTTAACGAGGTTGTGTTTTCTGCTGCTGGCCTGACCTGCAGTTATTGAGACCCTAACTCAGGCTGTTAACAGCAGTGAGATGCAAGCCCCTGAAATCCTCTATCTTGTGTGTTACGGGGTGATTTCTTTGAACAGAAGCCAGAATGTTAAGTAACCTTGTTGTATATCACTTTGTTTTGGGAGGGAATGCAGTTATCTCAGCTCACTCCCCAGATGTTTGTCTGGCCCACAATCGAGAGGTGTTAGTGAGTACCCCACTTCTAAACTGGTCCTCCCTGAGTAGGACTCTGGGGGATGTTATGTGTCCTGTTAGAAAGTAGCTTTAAATTAACACTGACTTAAGCTAAAATGGAGGAGAGTGGAAGGGGAGAAGGAAAGACTTCCTGCAGGGCTCAGATCCTGTTGGAATCAGCTCCCAAAGAGACTGAGAACGTTCTTGTTTTTTTTTTGTTTGTTTGTTTTTGTTTGTTTGTTTGTTTGTTTTGAGACGGAGTCTCACTCTGTCGCCCAGGCGCGATCTTGGCTCACTGCAAACTCCACCTCCCGGGTTCACGCCATTCTCCTGCCTCAGCCTCCCGAGTAGCTGGGATTATAGGTGCCTGCCACCACGCTCTGCTAATTTTTGTATCTTTAGTAGAGACAGGGTTTCACCATGTTGGCCAGGCTGGTCTCAAACTCCTGACCTCAGGTGATCTGCCTGCCTTGGCTTCCCAAAGTGCTGGGATTACAGGTGTGAGCCACCTCGCCAGATCCTGCAGAGGTTTTGATTAGGATGGTGGATCCCAGGGGTGGGGAAGGGCTACAGATATAGCTGTCGTAGGCTCCTAAGCTCCACTGAGAGGCTTGCTCTAGAAGAAAGCAAGGCTAAAAGATGTTTACATACAGCTGTAATTGATCTTTCCTCAAAAGCGTTTGTCATTTCTGATCATTTCAGGTTATAGTTATTCAACGTTTCCACTAACATGAACCTGTGGGGTCTGTAGCTGGGCATGCTGGGCTGGCCGATTCTGCTGCCCAGCCCTGGAAGCCACTTCTGGTTCTGGAGTTACAGATTCTTTCTCGATTAAAGTTAAAAGCAGGCTTTTGGGGAATTAGTGTATCTCCTGGAAGCCCAGTATCACAGACTTTTCACATATTTTCAGGGCAATTAACAGGCAAAGTAATAGCTACTTGAGAATAGGAATAAAAAAATCATTTCCATAAGTGTTTGAAAGTACCTGAAGAATAATTTTTTTTTTTACTTTATTACTTAATAGGTATATAAGGAAGGATATAAATTTAGTCAGGGTTTTTTAGCTTGTACATAACTAGGTATTTGTAATATTTGAATTGTATTGGGATGTTTATTTAATTAAAGTTAAACGTAAAAGAAATGCGTATACACGTTTGAAACATTTCGGTGGTATAGAAAGCTAGAAGTGGCCGGGCGCCATGGCCCATGCCTGTAATTCCAGCACTTTGGGAGGCCGAGGTGGGCAGATCATGAGGTCAGGAGATCGAGACCATCCTGACTAACATGGTGAAACCCATCTCTACTAAAAATACAAAAAAAAAAAAAATTAGCCGGGTGTGGTGGCGGGCACCAGCTACTTGGGAGGCTGAGGCAGGAGAATGGCATGAACCCAGGAGGTGGAGTTTGCAGTGAGCCGAGATCGCGCCACTGCACTCCAACCTGGGCAAAAGAGTGAGACTCCGTCTCAAAAAAAAAAAAAAAAAAAAAAAGCTAGAAGTAAAAGCTAGAAGTAATTCTCTCCATGTGTATCACTCTATAAACATTTCTACACTGCACCCAAGCTTTTTTACATAGACAGATGGGATAATTTTTTTTCTTGTTTTTATTTATTTATTTATTTTTGAGGCAGAGTCTTGTTCTGTTGCTCAGGCTGAAGTGCAATGGCGCCATCCCAGCTCACTGCAACCTCTGCCTCTGGGGTTCACGCGATTCTCCTGCCTTAGACTCCCGAGTAGCTGGGATTACAGGCACCCGCCATCATGCCTGGCTAGTTTTTGTATTTTTGTAGAGATGGGGTTTCGCTATGTTGACCTGACTGGTCTTGAACTCCTGACCTCAGGTGATCCTCCTGCCTCGGCCTCCCAAAGTGCTGGGATTACAGACATGAGCTACTGCACCTGGCTGGTATGATTTTATATATGCGAATCATTACTGATTTGTTAATTTTAAACTTTGGAAGACAATTGTTAGCAGACAAAACAGGGCTATATTGAAAGTTAGAGTGTCTTAGTCTGTTTGGCCTGCTATAACATGGCCTGCTATAACAAAATACCATCAACTGGGTATCTTGTAAACAACAGAAGTTATTTCTCCTAGTTCTGGAGGCTGGGAAGTCCTGTGTCAGCATACTGGCAGATTTGGTGTCTGGTGAGGGCCTGTTTCCTGGCTGATAAAAGGCCCTCTTTTCACTCTGTCTCTCGCAGCAGAAGGAGCGAGGGACCTCTCTGGGGTTTCTTTCATAAAGGCACACATCCACTCATGAGGAACCCCACCCCCAGGACTTAATCACCTCCCAGAGGCCCCATCTCCAACTGCTATCATATTGGGGATTAGGTTTCAACATATGAATTTTAGGGGACATAAACATAGTCTATAGCATAGCCATTAAATTAAACAAATAACTAAGTGAATGAGTTTTCAAAGACTTAGGCAGGCCAGTAGCCAAAAACTAAAACTAAAAAAACACAAAATAAAAACAGAAAAACCCACTACTTGATTGGTCCTTTCTTTGAAAGGTAGAGGTCAGTATGACAGTTTCTTCCATTGGTCAAAGCTCAAAGCTCGTTAGTGCTGGCTGACTCATTATGACTTGAACTTAAATAAGGGAGAGTCTTGAAAAATAATTTCTTGCTAATGTAAATTTAGTTAATAGAAGCAACAGAAACTGAACTCGATATCTGAGCATAGTAGACTAAGGATGCATAAAGATACATTTTCAGAGCTGGAGCAGAAATGAGAAATAGTCATCTACTCCAAGATCTTTATTTTGCAGAGGCCTGTGGGGGCTGGGGGCTGGGGACAGAGCGGGGACTGGAACCCCAGTTTTGAGCTCCAGCTTGATCTCTTCTTCGGGGTATAGCAGGTCAGCTAAGATGACATCCAGGGGTTCCAGAGAAAGAAAGGACTAGGGGTGGAGAGCTGCATACCTTTGCCTTGTGGCTTCTGCAGAGCTCTCTTGGTAAAAGGAATGGGAACTCAAGAGGAACGCCAGGTTTTTTTTTTTTTTTTTTTTTTTTTTTTTTTTTTTTTTGGAGACAGAGTCTCACTCAGTCACCCAGGCTAGAGTGCAGTGGCATGGTTTCAGCTTACTGTAGCCTCTGCCTCCCAGGCTGAATCAATCTTCCCATCTCAGCCTCTCCAGTAGCTGGGACTACAGGTGCTCCCCTAGAGCCTCCGCAGCAATGCAGCAATGGTGATCAAGCGACCTTGATCCTGTCTCAGTGAGACCCTCATCCCATGTCCACCCCTGATCTATAGAACTGTAAGAAAATCTATTTGTTTCATTTTAAAACAGATGCTGGCCGGTGCGGTGGCCCATGGCTGTAATCCCAGCACTTTGGGAGGGAGGTTGAAGCAGGTGGATCACTTGAGATCAGGAGTTTGAGACCAATTTGGCCAACATGGTGAAATCCCATCTCTATTAAAATTACAAAAATTAGGCAGATGTGATGGCAGGTGCCTGTAATCCCAGCTACTTGGGAGGCTGATGCAGGAGAATTGCTTGAACCCGGGAGGTGGAGGTTGCAATGAGCCGAGATCGCACCACTGCACTCCAGCCTAGGTGACAGAGTGAGACTCCATCACGAAAACAAAACAAAACAAAACAAACAAAAAAAAACAGATGCACAGTAATTTGGTACAGCAACAACAGGAAAGGAATACAGGAGGGCTTCCAACTTCAATGCCAAACAAGCTGTCACTTTATTCCCATCCAAGTCCAAAGGTACAGTGTCTACAAAAAATCAAGAAAGAAGAAAAGGAAGGCCCTCCCACTTTCCTCTCATAAAGCTTAATCTTTAGGGGGAGTAGGGGAGGCAGGTTTTAGGAGGGTGTTGACAGGGGCTGCAGGTAGGTGATAGGGAGAGGGGTACTTGGGAGGCATCACCTCCACTGGAAGTGTTTTTTATCTTTTTTTTTTTTTTTTTGAGATGGAGTTTCGCTCTTGTTGCCCAAACTGGAGTGCAATGGCGCGACCTCGGCTCACTGCAACCTCTGCCTCCTGGGTTCAAGTGATTCTCCTGCCTCAGCCTCCCTGGTAGCTGGGATTACAGGCGCCTGCCACCACGCCCAGCTTATTTTTTATTTTTTTTATTTTTATTTTTTTAGTAGAGATGGGGTTTCACTATGTTGGCCAGGCTGGTCTCGAACTCCTGACCTCAGGTGATCCACTCACCTCAGCCTCCCAAAGTGCTGAGATTACAGGTGTGAGCCACCGCGCCCGGCTCTATTATTATGTTTTTGAGACAGGGTCTTACTCTGTGTCCAGGTGGGAGTAGTGTGGCACCATTATGGCTCACTGTAGCCTCCACCTCCCAGATCGTGATCCTCCCACCTCAACCTCTTGAGTAACTGAGACGACACACATGCACCACCCCACCCTAATAATAATTTTTTTTTTGAGATACAGTCTCGCTCTGTTGTCCAGGCTGGAGTGGGGTGGTGCGATCTCTACTCACTGCAACTTCTACCTTCCAGGTTTAAGAGATTCGCCTCCCTCAGCCTCCTGAGTAGCTGGGATTACAGGCGCATGCCACCACCTCCGGCTAATTTTTGTATTTTTAGTAGAGACTGGATTTCACCATGTTGACCAGGCTAGTCTCGAACTCCTGACCTCAGGTGATCTGCCTGCCTCAGCCTCCCAAAGTTCTGGGATTACAGACATGAGCCACCACCCTAATAATTAAAAAATTTTTTTTTAGAAATGGGGTCTCCTTGTGTTACCTAGGCTTGTCTCAAACTCCTGGGCTCAAGTGATCCTCCTGCGTCAACCTCCCCAAGTGCTGGGATTAAAAGTGTGAGTCACAGCAGCTGGCCAATTGCTTACATTTAAAAGTTAGGCCGTCTCGGGGAGAAGTCTAAATTTCTGTTTTTTCTTGAGAAACTGGAAGCTCCATCCACCCTGGCCCTAGTCCCTGCAGGGCAGTAACTGCCACCTGTGTGTATAGTGGCAGCAGCCTCCTTTGGCTGGGGCTGGGCTCCTGCTTGCCACAGCCCCCACTCAGCCCTCTTTGCTATTTGTATCAACACTCTGGCCCCTGTCTTGGAGTTTGCAACCCTCATGCCTTTGACCTTAAGCTGAGTATGTCTGGCTGAGGCCATGAGAAGGTTCTGACTTGACACCCGTGCGATGACTCTTGGAAGGGAAGAGTGTGTGCTGTGGAACTTTACACCAGGCGGATCCAGGTGCCAGTCTGGCCTAGCTTTGCCACATGCCAGCGCTGTCACCTTGGGCAACTTCATTAACTGCTCTGAGCCTTGGTTTCCTCTTCTGTGTGGACCCGTGTTCTCCACCTCAGCACTATTGACATTTGGGGCCAGATCAGTCTCTGGTGTGGTATGTCCTGTGTGTTACGGGACGTTTTGTAGCATCCCTGGCCTCTGCCCACTGGATACCAGCATTACCTCCTTCCAGTTGTGACAAGTACAGATTCCCCCAGATGTTGGCGCGGGTCCCCTGGGGGACAGAATCACCCAGTTGAGAACCACTGAAGACACTCCCCCAGTGCAGTGTGTGAGGCTGAAAGGAGAGCCTGAAGGCGAAGGGCTGTGTCAGTCAGCATTCTCTTCCTTCTTTTTTTTATTGTTTAGCTTGTTGCAGATACTTCCAGGAGTGATCCGTAATTGTGCCAATTGCTCCTTTTTTCGGAGTGGGGGTGGTGTGGGGTGGGGACGGGGACAGAGTCTCGCTATGTCACCCAGGCTGGAGTGCAATGGCGTGATCTCAGCTCACTGCATCTCTGCCTCCTGGGTTCAAGCGATTCTCCTGCCTCAGCCTCCTGGGTAGCTGGGATTACAGGTGTCCGCCACCATGCCTGGGTAATTTTTGTATTTTTAGTAAAGACGGGGTTTCACCATATTGGCCAGGCTGGTCTCGAACTCCTGACCTCAGGTGATCCACCCACCTCGGCCTCCCAAAGTGCTGGGATTACAGGCCTGAGCCACTGCACCCAGTCACAATCACTCTTAATTCTGTGCCATCTCTTTCCGCCATGCCTCTGGTGTGCAGCCTGTTTTGAGCCTAGAAAAGATGAATTGTGCCTTATAGAGGGGCAGCTTTCAGTGTGGGAGCCCTCATAGACCCAGAGGAACAGACACTGTCATGGGCCAGCACAGAGCACTTGGCGTCCCTAAGGGCAGTGACTACTGTGATTCCCCTGTCTCTGAGCCCCCTTCTGCCTTTGTGTTCATAGCACAGCCTGTGAACCCAGATTCTCGGCTGGGCATCTGACCTTCGACCCTGTGTTATGTTTAGGTGGCCCTGGTACAGTGGACGGAAAGTGTGGGCTTAACCCTGGTGGGCCGAGACCAGTCTTCCATGCAGCTGAGGACCCCTGGCGACCAGATCCTGAACTTCACCATCCTACAGATCTTCCCTTTCACCTATGAAAGCAAACGTATGGGCATCATCGTGCGGGTGAGTCGTTTTTATTCATGGCTTAAAGTGCTTAAGTACCCCAGGTGTGCTGCGTGTGTCCCTGTGGGTTGACATTCTTTCTAACCCTCTTTACTGTGGTATCTGTCACCCAGACTAACAAGGGAATATAATTCCCTAAGCAGAAAGGAAATTAGTTCATTCATTGGACACACCCCGTAACTCTGATCCGCTTATGGTGTCCCTGGTTCTGGAGTGAAAGTTAAAGAGAACGTCCATTGGGGATTTCTTGGTAATACATCTCTCATTCTCTTTTGTTTAATATTGAACATGTATTTTTTTATTGAGGTGAAATTCACATAATATAATCATTTTAAAGTGAAAACTTCAGTGGCATTTAGTCCATTCACAGTGTTGCTCAGCCACCACTTCCCTCATGTTTCAAAACATTTTCATCAAAATGATGAAAAAAGAAACCTTGTGGCCGGGCACGTTAAAAAATTTTGCCAGTCTGAAGAGTCTGATTGGATTTGATATGTTGTTTTTCTACTGGCTCTTTTAAAAATTTTTAATTTTTAAATTCTTATTAAAAGAATGTATTTATAAGAGTCCTCCCACCTCAGCCTCCCGAGTAGCTAGGACTACAGGCTTGCAAAACCAGGGCTGACTCATTTTTTAATTTTTTATAGATACAGGGTTTCACTGTGCTGCCCAGGCTGGTCTCAAACTCCTGGCCTCAACCGATTCTCCTGCCTGGGACTCCCAAAGTGCTGGAATTACGGGTGTGAGCCACTGTGCCCATCCCTCTGTTTTCTCTTTTTACCCACGGAGATCACACTTTCCGTCGTGGGGAGGCTGGAAAATCTGGTGTTCATATGCCACTTGGTCTGGTTGTTCTGCAGTCTGCATGATTGTCTGATTTTTCCCAGGGAGCTTTGAAAATACCGATTCCTTGGTTCAGTCCCACACCTATGTTGGAGTGGGGTGGTTCCTCACATCATTTAGCTTCGTTGCAGAAAACTCTCCTTCAGATCTTAAGGATCTTTGGAATAAGGCTCTTTCATCTTTTCTGGACTTTTTTTTTTTTTTTTCCTTGACAAATGAGAATCCTCTCCACCCTGATCTACCCAAGTGTTTCATGCCTCATGGAGGAAAGAGATACTTGCACATGCATTTTTATAGCAGCACAATTTGCAATTGCAAAGATATGGAACCAGCCCAAATACTCATCAGTCAACAAGTGGATAAAGGAACTATGAGATATATATATATATATATATATATATATATATATATATATATATATATATATAAAATGATGAAATGCTACTTAGCCATGGAAAGGAATGAATTAATGGCATTCGCTGCAAACTGGATGGGATTGGGGACTATTATCTAAGTGAAATAACTCAGGAATGGAAAGCCAAATGTCGTATGTTCTCACTCATAAGAGGGAGCTAAGCTATGAGGAAGCAAAGGCTTAAGAATAATACAATGGACTTTGGCGAGTCAGGGGGCTGAAAGGGTGGGAGGACGGTGAGGGATAAAAGACTACAAGTTGGGTTCAGTGTATACTGCTCAGGTGATGGGTGCACGAAAATCTCATAAATCACTGTTAAAAAACTTACTCATATAACCAAACACCATGTGTTCCCCAAAAACCTTTGGAAATAAAAAAAAAAAAACAGAGTGCACAAGTAGAAGTAGAAATTGATAACATAGGTTGTTGGGCACATGGCCCTGCCCCCTGCCTGCTGGCGGAGAATTTTCAGCTAAGGCTTGGCTTGTGAACTTCTCCTTCAGCCTTACAGGTTCCTTGAATTCAGACCACCTCTTACAGCATCTCGTTCTTCTTCCGTAGCATTCATCACACTGAAATTCTTGATTTCCTGCGGGTTTGCTTGTCACCACCTGTCTTCTCCCTGTGGGTTAGAACAGGGGCCAGGATCCTTTTGGTCCTCCCGTGTCTCCTGTGCCTAGCTTTCCTGCCTGGCACACGGTAGACTCACAGTCAGTGCCGAAGTGAGCAGGATTCAACAGTGATAGCCAGTTGTCTTTTTTTTTTTTTTTTTTTTTTTAATGTTAGGGAAGTTATCAAATAAGATACTTAAAATAAACAACTCACAGCTTTTTCTCGCCCTCCTATCTTTGCACCACTCTTCTCCTTGATCATTTACCGTGTAGCTTTAGTGCCATGGGCAGCTCTGGGATAGTAGTAGAAATGGTAATAGCCACTAGCAGCAGCAGTAGTAAGAAGAATGACAGGAATGACAAGTAACATTTATTTATTTTTTGAGACACAGTTTCACTCTGTCACTCAGGCTGGAGTACAGCGGTGCCATCTCAGCTCACTGCAACCTCCACCTCCCAAGTTCAAGCAATTCTCTTGCCTCGGCCTCCCGAGTAGCTGGGATTACAGGCGTGCGCCACCATGCCCGGCTAATTTTTTGTATTATTAGTAGAGACGGGGTTTTGCCATGTTGGCGAGGCTTGTCTGGAACTCCTGACATCAAGCAATCCGCCCACCTTGGCCTCCCAAAGTGTTGGGATTACCCCGCCCAGGGGCTTATTGTGTGCCAGAGGCTGTTCTAAGTGATTTGCATGAAGTAACTCATTTAATACATAACCATGTGAGGTAGGTACCATTAGGACTGATGTTTGGCAGGGGAGAAAATTGAAGTGGAAGGAGGCTCAGAAACCGTTCAAGTTCACACAGCTGGAATTGAGGGGAGCTGGGAAACCTGTCCAAGTTCACACAGCTGGAATTAGTGGGGCTGGAACTCACTCCAGGCTGCCTGGCTTCCAGCTCCCAGCTCTCTACGCCAGGACTTGGGGGTTAGGGCTGGGGTGTGACGAGAGGGACATCGAAAAGCTCACAAAAGACCCACAGTAATGTTAGGGTGGGATATTAACTACGTATTGCTTCATAACAGATTGCCCCACATTTAGTGGCTTAAAACAGCAATATGGTAATCCCCACTTATCTGCAGGTTCAGTTACCCATGGTCAACTGCAGTCTAAAAATATGAAATGGAAAATTCCGGAAATAAGCAATTCATAAGTTTTAAGTTGTGTGCCATTGTGAGTAGTGTGACGAATTTCATGCCATCCCACTCCATCCTCCCGGACATGAATCATCTGTCTAGTGTACTCACGCCATCTACCTGCCTGCTTGCTAGTCACTCAGGAACCCTCAGATTGGCTGTTGTGGTATTGCCGTGCTTGCGTTCAAGCAAGTCTTATTTACTTTTATTACAGCATATTATGTGTTCTATTTTGTTATAAGTTATTGTTGTTAATTTCTTACTGTGCCTAATTCATAAATTAAACTTTATCATAGGTATGTATGTGTAGGAAAAAACATAGTGTATATGGGGTCAGTATTATTCATGGTCTTAGACATCCATTGGTGTCTTTCTTACAGGGAAATGCATTCCCTTACTCCAGAAAATGTATTTCCCTGGAGTAAGGAAGTTCCTCCTGTCCTCTCCCCTCCCCTCCCCTCCTCCCTCCCTCCCTCCCTTCCTCCTTCCTTCCTTTTTCCCTCCCTCCCTCCCTCCCTTCCTTCCTTCCTTCCTTCCTCCTCCCCTCCTCTGTTTCCTTCCTTTTCTCTTTTCTTTTCTCTTCTCTTTTTCCTTCCTTCCTTCCTTCCGTCCATCTTGCTCTGTTGCCTAGGGTGGAGTGCGGTGGCATAATCATGGCTCACTGCAGCCTCGACCTCCCAGGCTCAAGCAACCTTCCTGCCTCAGCCTCCCAAGTAGCTGGGACTACAGGTGCACACCACCATGCTCTGCTAATTCTTATCGTTTAGTGAAGATAGGGTCTCACCATATTGCCCAGGCTGATCTCAAACTCCTGGGCTCAAATGATCCTCCCATCTCGACCTCCCAAAGTGCTGGGATTACAGGCATGAGCCACCACACCTAACTGGGGGCTCTGTTTTCTATTTGCTATCTGATGGTTTTTGTGGCCAGGACAATTTCTGTGGCAGGCTTGGCTGGGTCCTCTGGCTCAGGGTCTCTCACAGCCTGGGCTCAAGGGGTCTAAGATTCTATGGTGGTAGGACCCACATACAGACGTCAGTGTTGTTGGCAGAGTTTGGCTCTGGGTGGGTTGTTGGACTGAGGGCCTTAGTTCTTTCCTGGCTGTTGGCCAGAGGCCACCCTCAGTGCCTTCCCACGAGGGCCTCCCTGTAGTCAGCTCCCCTGTCAGCTACCTGTTCAGAGTGAGCAGGTGAGAGTGAATGAGATGGCAGTCACAGTCTTCTGTCACCCACTGTCAGAGGTGACCTCCCCTCACGTCAGCCTCATGCTGTTATCAGAAGCAAGTCACTAGGCCCAGCTCCACTCCAGGGGGGTGGCTGACACACAGCATGAGTACCAGGAGGTGGGGGGCATTGCGAGCCACTTTGAAGACTTCCTGCCCAGGAGGAGATGGAGGTGGCACTGAGCACTTGTATTGAGGAACCAGAGACGCACACCATGAATATGCTTTGAAACATCACACGTTAGGGGATTTTTTTTTTTTTTGAGATGGAGTTTTGTTTTTGTTTCCCAGACTGGAGTGCAATGGCGTGATCTCAGCTCACTGCAACCTTCGCCTCCGGGGTCCAAGCGATTCTCCTACCCCAGCCTCCCGAGTAGCTGGGATTACAGGCATGTGCTACCATGCCCGGCTAATTTCGTATTTTTAGTAGAGATGGGGTTTCTCCATGTTGGCCAGGCTGGTCTCGAACTCCCGACCTCAGGTGATCCACCCACCTCGGCCTCCCAAAGTGCTGGGATACAGAAGTGAGCCGCCACGCTCGGCCCTATGTTAGGGGATTTTTATGTCCAGAGGCCAATAGGTTCTTTCAGACTCTGCAGGACCTGTGTCCTTGGCAACTCTTGGGTGGAGAGGGAGCTTTCTCTCCCACACAGCTGCTGCTTTTCCCACTGGTCCACACCTGGCTGGATCCCTGGCTTCTAAACCGTATCTTGAGTGTGCATCTGATGTCAAGAACATCTGTGGTCTGGAAGCAGCAGCATAGATCCTGTGGGTGGGGTGTTTCCTGGGGAATGAGTGTCATTATCTCCTATCGAATTACTTTAATTTTGTTCCAGTCTGAAGTTGTTCAAGACGTAGGGCTGTGGGCTCTGCTAGGGTCATTTGAGGGTTGACTTATCATTGAGCAGTCCCTAATGTCAGCCATCCTAGAAGAAGTGAATGGCATACGCCACTCTTCAGCTAGTTGTGAAGGACATGTTATATTTTTTTGAGATGTGGCTCGTGTGTCTTCCAGCAGGAAGAACAGGGACTCTGTGCTTAGAGTCTGTGATGCTGTCAGATGGGCAGATCTATTTTTGTTTTAACCTGGCATGCCCCCCTTCCCAGGTTATTAAAAAACATTCACAGTTAAGGCATTTAGAACAAAAAGTTACAGGTAAAGAGGGGGATCAAAACTGCCCTCCCTCTCTCTCTCCCTCCCTCCCTTTCTTCCTCCCTCCCTCCCTCTTTTCCTTCCTTCCTTCCTTTCTCCCTCCCTTCCTTCCCTCTTTCTGTCTCTCTCCCTCTCCCTCTTTCCCTTCTTCTGTCCTTTCTTTCTTTCTTTTTTTTGCCTCCCTCCCTTTTTTTCTTTTCTCTTCTTTTCTTTCTTTCTCAAGACAGAGTCTCACTCTGTTACCTAGGCTGGAGTGCAGTGGTATGAACATGGCTCATTGCAGCCTTGACCTGCTGGACTCAAGGGATCCTCCTGCCTCTGCCTCTTAAGTAGCTGGGACTACAGGTATGCACTGCCACACCCAGCTAAGTTTTAAATTTTTTGTAGAGCCAAAGTCTCTCTGTGTTGCACAGGCTGGTCTCAAACTTCTGGCCTCAAGCTGTCCTCCCGCTTCAACCTCCCTAAGTACTGGGATTACAGGCGTGAGCCACCGTGCCTGACCAGTTCATCTCCATTTTCACCCAACAAAAGACCTTTTACCTTTTCAAGGGATTTCCTTTCAGTCTCTTTTCTAAGCATATCCGAGTGTAAATATCCACACACATTTTTGTAAAATTATCACTGAACTCCATAGAAGGCTTCCTAAACTTCCTCCCTCATTGAACTATATGTATACGATGAGAATTTTTTCGTATTATTAAAATCTGATTTTAATGATTTTTAACGCATGTGCAGCGTTCTGTTGAAAGAATGTGCCACTATTTCATTCATTAACTTATTTTTTGGCTGCTTAGGCTGTTTCTCAATTTCAGTTTTTTTGTTTTGTTTTGTTTTTGTTTTTTGAGATGGAGTCTCACTCTGTCATCCAGGCTGGAGTGCAGTGGTGCAATCTCAGCTCACTGCAACCTCCGCCTCCTGGGTTCAAGTGATTCTCCTGCCTCAGCCTCCTGAGTAGCTGGGATTACAGGCACCTGCCACCACGCCTGGCTCATTTTTGCATTTTTTAGTAGAGACGGGGTTTCACCATGTTGGGCAGGCTGGTCTCGAACTCCTGACCTCAGGTGATCCACCAGCCTCGGCCCCCCAAAGTGCTGGAATTACAGGTGTGAGCCACTGCGCCTCGCTTTTTTCTTGGTTTTGACTACTAAAAATAGTGCTGTGAATGTCCATCTTGGTGAGGTTGTCTTTAATGAAATAAGTATTATTTTGCTATTTTTTTCTCATTTTCTGACCTCTTTATCTTTGGTTGGGTTGGTGGAACTGGGCCTCTGGGGCTTTTGGACTAGTTCTCCCCTTGGCACAAACCTCACCACACTCCTCTAATGTGATGGTTCTCATCCTGGGGGCATTCGAGAATGTCTGGCAACATTTGTGGTTGTCACAACCAGAGGCTGAGAGTGCTACTGGCATGTCATAGGTGGAGAGCAGGGATGCCGCTCAGCATCCTGCAATGCACAGGACAGCCCCCACCTGAGGAAGGGCCTGAGAAACCCTGTTATGATGTGTTCATATAACCCAAATGCTCTATGCAAATGACTGTCCAGTTATCTGATGTGAGGAAGTTTTAGTTCAGTTATAAAACTTCTCCTAGGCTTGGTACGGTGGCTCCTGCCTGTAATACTTTGGGAGGCCAAGGCAGGAGGATCACTTGAGCCAACGAGTTTCAGTCCAGCCTGGGCATCATTGCCAGACTCCACCTCTACTAAAAGCAAAAAAATTAGCTGGGCATGGTGGTGCACACCTGTAGTCCCAGCTACTGGGAAGGTTGAGGTCAGGAGGTCCAGGTTGAGGTCACTCGAGTCCAGGAGGTCGAGGCTGTAGTGAGTCGTGATTGTGCCATTGCGCTCTAGCCTGGGCAACACAGCAAGACCCTGTCTCAAAAAAATAAAGAAAAAGAAAAAAGAATAAGAAAAAAAAGAAAAATTCTCTTGACTTGGTTTAGTGACTGTGGACAGCCCCAGTTTGGGTCTCCCCTGTCTCTTTTTTAAACATGTGTGAGTGCACGCACAGTGCAAGATGGCACCTTCTTGCACCCACAAAGCAAGGCCATTTCCTTGTGTGAATGTCTGTCTCTTAAGAAATCAGGCAAGGTTGGAGAAGGACTCGTGTGATGTCTTTTTGCAGGAAGGTTGTGTCCCTGTTTTGTTTTTGTGGCGTACAAGATGTTCCAGTGCCTTCTCCCCCTTCCCACGTGGAGCCACGGGTTTGGATCGTGGCTGTAGATCATCGTAGCGCTGTCATTGCTGGACTAAAAGAGGCCTTTGAGCAGGTGCCAGATGCAGACCACGGTGGGAAAAGATGAGGCCCCCAAACAATGCCACACAGCCGGCCGATCTCTGTAAATTTATGGCGTAATCTTGCCATAATATGGGAACGAAATAAACTTGTGATGAACTCCGTGGGAGGAAGTGACTCATGGGAGGGGATCGTTGATGCGGTATTTATATTGGACAGAACTTCTGAACTCACTCAAGCCCTTTTCTTAGTGAGGAAGCTGGGCTGGGAGCATCATTTCCTACAGCCACATGTTGTTGAGCACCCTTTGGTTGTCGGGGGGAAGGAAAAAATAAAACCTCTGATTCTTTAATGTGCAGACCCCACAGCTCTCTTTGGCCTGCGTCAAGAGCAGGCATAGCCACAGTCTATCAGAGATAAAGTGTGCAGTTGAACGCTTTTAAACGT
Organism: Homo sapiens; assembly: GCF_000001405.40. Taxonomy (NCBI): domain Eukaryota; kingdom Metazoa; phylum Chordata; class Mammalia; order Primates; family Hominidae; genus Homo; species Homo sapiens. The sequence goes on along the minus strand of NC_000020.11, from coordinate 51,631,283 downwards.
GGGTGCCTGTCTTGGCCTGGGGGTGCTCTTATGAGTCAGCATGTTGTTCTAAAAGATTGTTGGTGATTAAGGGGCATTTGAAAGTTATTCTAAAAGAGGAAACTCTACCACTAATCTGATTTTGGATATTTCTGTTCCATGAAAGGGCTGCATAGACAAAGTGGCCTCCAAAGGAGCCTGAAACCAAAGAACAAGGCAGGCAAATCCAGTTTGTCGTTAAAGGGTGTTTTATTGGGGGAAACTTACAGATAGAAGCGTGGTTTTTGGGGGAGCCGAACAGACAGAAGTGTAGTTTTGGGCGGCAGGAAAACAGGTGGATGTCCATACTGTTACTCCCTAGACCCAGGGCTTATACCACAGGGAAAGGGTCCGCGTGCCCCAGCAGGACAATTACGGGCACCTTCCAGGAGAGGCAAGAAAGCTGTATGTTTCATCACCTGTAATTTGTGCGATAACATCAAGGTTGACATGTTCTTATGTGAAGGACGGTGAATTAAGTAGGAATCGGGGGTGTTCATGGGACTGGGCTAATCAGAAGTCAGCATGGCGCATTTGCACCTGAGATGCAGTCACTTTTTTTTTAAGATGGAGTTTCGCTCTTGTTGCCCAGGTTGGAGAGCAATGGTGCAATCTCAGCTCATTGCAACCTCCGCCTCCCAGGTTTAAGTGATTCTCCAGCCTTGCCTCCTGAGTAGCTGGGATTACAGGCATGCACCACCACGCCCAGCTAATTTTGTAATTTTAGTAGAGACAGGGTCTCACCATGTTGGCTAGGCTGGTCTCGAACTCCTGACCTCAGGTGATCTACCTACCTGAGCCTCCCAAAGTGTTGGGACTACAGGCGTGAGCCACCACACCCAGCTTGAGATGCAGTCACTTTTGTCTCCACGGTTCCATATTCAATGAAGACTTTCCGGGCATTTATTCTGGGCTTCCTGGAGTAGCAAAATTTAGGCACAAGGTATTGATGGCCATGCTCAGTTTTCTTGCTTATCTTTACTGCCTCCCACCTCCCAGTGACGCGAATCATTGGGGGAAAATGGGGGAAGGATCTGTGGCTGCGCCGTCATTCCTCAGAGCTAGGACTTCTCAGTCTCAGCACTGTTGACTTTTAGGGCTGGAGGAGTTCCTGGTGGTGGTTGGGGGCGTCCTGTGTGATGTAGGAGGGTGAGCAGCACCCCTGGCCTCCACCCGTCAGATGCTAGTAGGACATTGCCTGCGTTGTGACACCTAGAGTGTCTCCAGACATTGCCACATGTCTCCTGGAGGGCCACATTGCCCTGTTGAGAGTACTGGGCTGAGCCTTGTTCTCTACGTACAGTATGGCTGGGGGACTTGGGAAATCACTCTCATCCCAGCAGCAGTTATACCACTGAGGGGTCCTTTCCATGTGTCAGTCTCTGTGCTACATGCTTGATTCCTGTTTTACAGATGAGAAAACTGAGGTTTAGGGAAGAGGAGTAGCTTGTCCAGCTGCACACAACTAGAAACTGGTACTTGGTCCAAGCATTTGATGCCTGTGCCATGGTGCTACCCACTACCCAGAAAATCTGGTTAGGGTGAACTGAAACTCTGGGTAATTGGATCTCTAGGCAAGTCCTTAGTTAGACTTAGGGATCTGGAATTATTCTCAGCTGAGACAGTCAGTTTGCCCCCAGGAGACATTTGCTAAAGTCTAGAGACATTCTGGTTGTCACCATGGAGGGTGTATGACTGGCATCTAGTGCGTAGGGGCCAGGGATGCTGCTCAACATTGTACAGTGCACAGGAGGGGCCCTGCAGAGCAAAGAGTTATCTGGCCCCAAATGTTCACAGTGACGAGGTTGAGACTCCCTGTTCTAGTCCTTATCTTCCCTATTCTTTCAGTGGACCACAGTTTGATGATATCTGCAGTCCCAAGTGTAAATCTAAAATCATAGCATGTGAGTCTATTCCAGTTGAAATAGTAATAACTTTCAAAACAAAGGTCTTAAATCCATTTGATCTTTCTTTCATCATTGAAAATCTTCCAAGTGCTTTGAGTTTTCCTTTTACTTTCTGTAGCCTTTGCCCCTAAATGAGGCCCCTTCTCGCTTTTCATCTTCAGCCAACTGAAAAAACATTGGTGTCTGTTAAGTGCACTTTGTACACTGTCTGTCATGGGAAGCGGGCTTTGCCGCTGAAAGAGGGTGTTCCTTTCAGTTTCTCATTCCTTCCGGCCTCCCTCTCTAGGATGAATCAACTGGAGAAATTACGTTTTACATGAAGGGAGCAGATGTGGTCATGGCTGGCATTGTGCAGTACAATGACTGGTTGGAGGAAGAGGTAAGTGTGATGCAGGAAGTTAAACCAGGCCTTGGAAGCATGTTCTGCAGAGGCAGCCCCTTGCATGGTAAGGTGGGTCTCTGTATTTGTTATCGGTGGCTGTGTAACAAACCACCCTGAAATGCAGCTGCTTAAAGCAGCACCCATTTAATATATAATGGTTTCTGTGGGTCAGGGATGCTGGTGTGGCTGAACTGCATCCTCTGCTTCAGGGCCTCCCACTGGCCGTAATTCAGATGTTGGCTGGGGCTGTGGTCTCATCTCAAGACTTGACCAGGGCAGGATCCATTTGTGAGCAAGCTCAGTTGTTGTGGGCTACATTCAGCTACTTTTGGACTGTTGAACTAAGGGTCTCAGGTTGTTGCCAACTGTTGGCCAGAGGCCGCCCTCTATTCCTTGCAGGTGGGCCTCTCCCATAGGGCCACTCACAGCCTGGCAACTAGCTTCAACAAAGAGAGCAGGTGATGGAACAGGAGAGGGCAAACAAGATGGAAGTCACTGTCTTTACTAACCTGATCTCAGATGTGACATCCCCTCACTCTTGCCCATTCTGTTTGTTAGGGACAAGTCACTAGGTCCAGCACACACTCAAAGGGTAGGCGATTATACCAGAATGTGAGTTCCAGGAGGGGCCACATCAGAGGCTGCACAACCCAGTTTGTGACGTGGACAGTTGGCCAGCAGCAGGAGGGAGGCAGTTTTCAGGCCATTTTTGTCCCATCTCTTAGCTCTAGGGGGAATTTACATTTTGCATAAGATTCTCAGTTTGAGGGTTGCAAACTCAAATGCCTACAGGGGCCTGGCAGTTAATGCAAATGAACAAACAGGTTGTGATTTTGAGCAGAGTTGCACTTTGCGTGTAAAACGTGCTGGAGTGTTCTTCACTTGACACCTCCACTTCCTGGGAACACGTGGAGGCCACTGCTCCTCAGCCATCATTGATTGTGGTTATTTGGGAAAATGCACCTGGTTTTGTCAGATGCTCAGTTTTTCCACCCATTCAGCAGTCCAGATTTGTGTGTGAGACCGCACAATGTTGACTTAAATTTGGAAACATACATGTGCTAGTTGAAGACGACCTGTGGGTGGGCTGTGTTTGGCTCACCGGCTGCCTCTCTGCAACTTCCCCTATAGAAAGCTTGCTCCAGGGAGGATTGCCGTAGGGGAAAGCAACTTTCTGATTTGCCATTTTCTCTGACCCTGTGGGAGGGGCACATCCACTTGGGCACTGGTCCTTCCCCAGTGAGGTCAGGAGCTCTCAGCACCGCTCCCACTCGACCGTGGTCTATTTTTCAGTGTGGCAACATGGCCCGAGAAGGGCTGCGGGTGCTCGTGGTGGCAAAGAAGTCTCTTGCAGAGGAGCAGTATCAGGACTTTGAAGTAAGTTGTTCTGGGACCTTTCCATTGCCTTTGCAGCCCCACCTGCCTCCCAGTCACTCCTTCCACCATCCCTCATCCTATGCGAGCCATTCTGATGTCATTTCTGGGCACACTGGGTTCACTGTTGTTGAAGGCCTTTGCACTTGCCGTTCTGTCTGCCTGGAACTCTCTTCACCCACAGAGCCCCATGGCCCATTTCCTCGCTTCTTTTGGGTCTCAGCTCAAAAGCCACGTCCTCCAAGAAGTCTTCCTGGACCACCTGTCTAAGGCTCCTTCTCACTTTCCATCCATCATACCATTTCACTTTGTTCATTGCATTTGTCACTGTCATCGCGTGCTACCATTTGGGGCCAAAAAATATGTCTAGGAGTTGAATCTGGAGAGGCCAGAAGAATATAAACTTGACCCTGTTCATATATTTTTTTTTAACATTCATCTTATCCATCTCCTTTCGGGAATAAAATATTTTTGAAGACAGGGACTTTACAAGTCTGGTTTGTTCTTCTTATTCTTGTTCTTCTTCTTCTTTTTTTTTTTTTTTTGAGACAGAGTTTCGCTCTTGTCGCCCAGGCTGGAGTGCAGTGGTGTGATCTTGGCTCACTGTAACCTCCGCCTCCCAGGTTCAAGGGATCCTTCTGCCTCGGCCTCTGGAGTAGCTGGGATTACAGTTGCCCGTCACCATGCCCGGCTAATTTTTGTATTTTTAATAGAGATGGGGTTTCACCATATTGGCCAGGCTGGTCTCGAACTCCTGACCTCAGGTGATCCACCAGCCTTGGCCTCCCAAAGTGCAGGGATTACAGGTGTGAGCCACTGTGCCTGGCCTGGTTTATTCTTATATCCTTAGTAGTTAAAGATAGTCCTTGGCATATGGTATGCCTTCGGGAAAATTTGGCATAAATCATTCTCTTGGAGCCCTAATTTCTTTTCTCTTTTTTTTTTTGCACATTTATTCTGAGACGGGGTCTCGCTATGCTGCCCAGGCTGGTCTCAAACTCCTGGCCTCAAGCCATCCTCCTGCCTCAACCTCCTTGTAGCTGGGATTACAAGTGTGAGCCACCGCATCTGGTTCGGCTCCCTAATTTCTTTTCTTTTTTTTTTTTTTATTTGTGACAGAGCTTTACTCTTGTTGCCCAGACTGTAGTGCCAATGGCACGATCTCTGCTCACTGCAACCTCTGCCTCCTGGATTCAAGCGATTCTCCTCCCTCAAGCCCCCAAGTAGCTGGGATTACAGGCATGTGCCACCATGCCTGGCTAATTTTTGTATTTTTAGTAGAGACACGGTTTTGCCATGTTGGCCAGGCTGGTCTCAAACTCCTGACCTCAGGTGATCTGCCTGCCTCGGTCTTCTAGAGTGCTGGGATTACAGGCATGAACCACCACACCCGGCCTCCCTAATTTCTTTAAGCTGTAAAAATGTTGGGGTTGAACCAGATTATTGACTTGCTTATTGTCATCCCATCCCATAGATTGTGTGTTCCCTGAGGGGAGGGTCCTCGTCTTGTTTACTGCCGTGTCTCTGGTGCCTGGCCTAAATCCAGCGTGCAGGAATGCAAGGGAGGGAGGCGGGACACGCTTCGTGGGGCCCTGCCCTGCTCCATGCGGGGAAACTGCCTGGATCTCTCTTTAATATATTTGAGTTCTTTGTAAGCCATTATTTAACAAGCATTTTAGCCCCGATCAATGCTACCTGCCTTTTAATTTTAAAAGCATGTGCTTCAAGCGGGCCCATTAGATGACTGGTTTTCCTCCAGGTTTTTGCTAACATGATAAAGAGAAGAAGCGGCAGTTTGGGTTGATGGTCTTCAGAAGCTCGACTTGGTCTTTAGAAAACCTGGTGACCCACAGTTTGGCTTACAAAGTGCATGTTGTGTATGGGAGAACTTACTGTTTTTTTGAGATCTTGGTTGTGCCCGTCCCTGAGACAACCCAATGAGGTTGGTGCTGTTATTGCCATTTCGTGGCCACGGCTCAGAGAGGTTAAGTGACTTGCTGGAAGTCTCCCAGCAGGTGAGTGTGGAGTGTAGGGTGGGACTCAGGTCTGTGCAGTGTCTACATGGAGGACTTGTGAGGAAGCTGGAAGCCTATGTCACCCCTGTGGGGTCCAGCTCACCTGCTGGGGTCCCCCACCCCGTGTGGTGGGGATCGGGTGTGGCCCTTCCACTCTTGGCACTGGCCAGTCAGCCTGGCCTCTCCTCACCCTAAGCAGTGACTGCATCTGCTGGTGTGTCCCAGGCCCGCTACGTCCAGGCCAAGCTGAGTGTGCACGACCGCTCCCTCAAAGTGGCCACGGTGATCGAGAGCCTGGAGATGGAGATGGAACTGCTGTGCCTGACGGGCGTGGAGGACCAGCTGCAGGCAGATGTGCGGCCCACGCTGGAGACCCTGAGGAATGCTGGCATCAAGGTAGGGCGGGCTGCCCGCAGGGAAGGGCACTCCAGGGCAATGCCAGTTATCCCTCAGCAGTGCAGGGAGATCACAGGGGGAAAGGGTGGGAGGAGCAGCAGAGGACACCAGGAGTGCCTTATCTGCAATGGGCCACAGGCACTGTTTCTGCCCCTCCAACTGTGATTTTTTTTTTTTTTTTTTTTTTGAGACGGGGTCTCGCTGTGTCGCCCAGGCTGGAGTGCAGTGGCATGATCTTGGTTAACTGCAACCTCTGCTTCCTGGATTCAAGCAATTCTTGTGCCTCATCCTCCCTAGTAGCTGGGATTACAGGCACGTACCACCACGCCTGGCTAATTTTTATATTTTTGTAGATAGAGGGTTTCACCATGTTGGCCAGGCTGGTTTTGAACTCCTGACCTCAGGTGATCTGTCTGTCTCAGTCTCCGAAGTGCTAGGATTACAGGTGTGAGCCACTGTGCCTGGCCCTCCAGCCCTGATTTTGGAAGACATCTTGTGTAGCGTTTGCCTTTACTGTACCGATGACTCCCCTGACTCCACTGGGCTCCCTGGTGCTCAAGGCCGAGCAGTGTCCAGCGTGCATGGCTGCTGATTAAATTCTAGTTGAGTGATCAGCACGCCGGTCTGTCTGCCGTGTGGCCAAGTGAGTGAGTGACCACCCAGCAGAGTGACCGTCAGCGCCATCACACTGTCGTATTAGCATTTTGCACTCTACCAGTGGCGACCCAAAAAAAAATACTAGGAGTTGAATCTGGAGGGGCCAGCAGAGGGCGCGTGAGGACCTGGTCCTCAGTGGACCAAGGGAGGTGTGAACAACCAAACTCATTGGCCTGGAGCTCCTGGAAACGTGTGCCTGCCACCGGCCTCCACTCAAAAGTGGCTCTCTGCTGCATCCTGGGGCCTGTCCTTTCAGCAGGGCCATGGCAGGAGGACAGGTTAGATGCCAGGCAACATTCAGGCCCACTGGGGACTCCCACCCCTGCGTGCCTGTTTCCTTGTAAACCCAATTCTGTCGCTTGCATTTGGCTCACAGGCCTGGTTCGTCATAAGGAAATCACCAACGGGACCTTGCTTCCGGAAGTCTGGCCGCTGGAGGCCCATTTCTGCTTCATCGTGGGGTCTGCAGTGGGGCCCTGGCCATTCCTAAGACTTCTGGAGTTTCCATTTTCTGCTTCCATCTTTGTCCTGGGGTTTTTCTCCTTCTCAAAACTATGTTAGCCCAAGACGAGATATTTTATTCACAGAGTGTGCATGTGACTTACCATTCTAGTTTCCTGTTAGATGACAGGAGGAGGGGAGTGCCTGGGATGGGGCAGGTTAGTTGGTAATTAAAGTCTAAGATACGATCTTGCACAGGAAATTTTCTTTTCTTTTCTTTCTTTCTTTCTTTTTTTTTTTTTTTTTGAGACAGAGTTTCACTCTGTCGCCCAGGCTGGAGTGCAGTGGTGCGATCTCGGTTCACTGCAACCTCCACTTCCTGGGTTCAAGAGATTCTCCTGCCTCAGCCTCCCAAGTAGCTGGGATTATAGGTATGTGCCACCATACCTGGATAATTTTGTATATTTAGATATTTAGTAGAGATGGGTTTTCTCCATGTTGGTCAGGCTGGTCTCGAACTCCTGACCTCAAGTGGTCCACCTGCCTCGGCCTCCCAAAGTGTTGGGATTATAGGCGTAAGCCACCGCGCCTGGCTGCACAGGATATTTTCTAAATCAGCCCCTTGTATGGATGTAGAAACTGAGGCTAAGTGAGGCGTCTCCATTCCCCAGGTTCTCACATTGGGAAGCAGCAGAGCCGGGACTGGAGCTGGGGTCTTGGACCCTTCCTGTAGTACCTTGCCTTCATCACAGCATGGGACATTAGCCATGTCGTGCACCTGATCGTTCTTTTCATGCTTTTCTGGAACTTGAACTTCCCAATTCCTTCCCCAGTGTTTGTTCTCTTACCTCAAACCCTGAGAACTATGACTAAACGAAGCTCACCAAAAAGAATATTATTTTTAGGACAGGCGGGATATTGAGGGAAAACAGACCCAGCTAGGGGAGAGGGCCCGGGAGGCTCAGCCCTGAGAGGTGCCCGGTGCCTTCCTTCTGCCCGTCTCACTGCCTGGGTTTCCATCCTACCTCTCCCTTTACTTCTTCTGTGACCCTTGGCAAATGACTGAAGCTCTTAGCGCTTCCATTTCCAGCCTCCAGAAGCTGTCATGAAGGTAACAGAGAGCTCAGCGTGGGTGCTGGGCACGTAGTGGACACTCAGGAGACAATTGTCATGATCTTCTTTCCTATACTTTCCCTCCTATCCAGATTTTCTTTGACCGATAGCCCCAAGACTGCTCCCAGCTGGGAGCAAAGAGAACAAAAGGGTTAATGAGGTAAAATCACAGAGCAGGAAGCACATTCCATGAGGACTCTAAAGACCCGGATTCTGGGCCTGGTTAGGACAAGAGGTAGCTGTGTGGTTTGGGGCAAGTCATCTACCCTCTCTGAGCCCACAGCAGAGAAATGCAGTGTGAGCTAATGCACGATACGGAAGAACCTGACTCATTTACGGTCAGCGTTTTATAAGCTGAGTTAAACCCCAGAAGGGTCTGTCTTGCTCATCCAACTACATAGAAAGTCCACAGCGTCAAAAATGAGTGTTTCCTGTAGGACAGGGAAGTGCCCCCTCACCTGTACAGCCTTTCCCTTCTTTTAGGATATTTATCACTTTAAGAAAAATCCTCAGAAGGGGAATTATGCGGTCCAAGGACCGAGCTTCATAGTACCTCCTGTAGTGTGTGGCCAAATGGCCCTTTCTAGAAGCATCTGCCAGTTTTTGCTGCTACCAGCAGTGGTTGCTTGGAGTCCCAGAGCCCTTCAGCCAGGGCGCTTGCTGTGTTGTGTTGGGGACAGCATGAGTCGGCAGGAGGTAAACGGAACATACCAAGTTCAGCTCCATGTTGTTGGAAACTCAGCTGTTGCAGATGACAGGCCGGCCTCAAAAACTAATAAACAGGACCTCTGTCACGCCATGATTTCAGGTTTGGATGCTGACAGGGGACAAGCTGGAGACAGCTACGTGCACAGCGAAGAATGCACATCTGGTGACCAGAAACCAAGACATCCACGTTTTTCGGCTGGTAAAGTGTCCTCTGCGTTAGGGCCATGTGGGGATGATGTTCGATTTGTCCTATAACCTCCTAACCTTGAGTGGGCCCCTTAAGAAGGGAGGGGCAGCATGTGAATTACCTAGGGTGGGGAGCATCAACCACGGTTGCTTTGGATGGGATGATTAATGACCCAGGCGCCGGCTGGAGAGTTTCTTCCAGTAGTGGTTTGGGAGTACCTCCTTCTAGCCCTGTGCTAATGCCATGCTCTTAACCTTTTGGGGGTCGTGGTCCCTTTGAGAAGCTGATGAAAGTCAGGCACTCCCCCCGAAAGATGCAGATCCACTCATACACATGAAATTATGCATGGGATTCCTGGGATTTCACGGAACCCCTGAAAGTCAAGTCCTTGGATAAGAAAGAAATTCCAGGCCACAGATACTGGTCCATCTGCCCTCCTGAGAGGGGAAGCATTTAGGACCATTGAGGAGCCTTTTGAAGGAGGTGAACTGGATGGGCAAATGAGAAATCGCCCGCCCTTGTGGCAGACATTGACCAAGACAATGTGCACATCAGGAACTGCTGCCAGTGAGGACTGTGCTAGGCTTTATTGCATTGGGGAGGTAGGGGGACCGGGTCCTCTTTGGGGCAGGATATAGTAATCCCACTGATCTGAAACCAGAGCCACGATGGCAAACCACTGGAGGGTCTCTAGATGTTTGGGGGTCTCGCCCTCACCCCGCCTTTGGTCCATAGCACACAGAAGCTTCAAAAAATCCAGGGATTTTTGAAATAGCATAGTATTGTATAGAGGCAGGTACAGTCAGTTCTCATCATTCACAGATTCTTTGTGAATTCTCCTCCTCCCAAAATTTATCTGTGACCTCCAAATCAGTACTCTTGATATTTTCACTGTCATACGTAGAGTGGCTTAAATCTCTCCTTTTTTTTTTTTTTTTGAGATGGGGCCTTGCTCTTATCACCCAGGCTGGGGTGCAGTGGTGCAATCTTGGCTCACTGCAACCTCCGCCTCCTGGGTTCAAGCAATTCTTCTGCCTCAGCCTCCCAAGTAGCTGGGATTACAGGCGCCTGCCACCACACCTGGCTAATTTTTGTGTTTTTAGTAGAGACGGGTTTCACCATTTTGGCCAGGCTGGTCTCGAACCCCTGACCTCAGGTGATTCTCCCACTTCAGCCTCCCAAAGTGCTGGGATTACAGGCGTGAGCCACCGCGCCTGGCCTAGAGTGGCTTAAAATTTTAGCTGCCTGAGACACACATTCCCACCTGAGGCTGAACAAGCTCACGCACTCCCCCCTCCTTTCAGCCCCGTGTGACGAACCAGTGTCGTTTTTGCAGTCCATCGAGTATCCGGTTTTTTGCATTTTTATGCTTTTTGTTGGCAGTTTGTCGTTTAAAATGGCCGCACACAGCGCTTCTTTGCTGGCTTGTTTTCTGGAACTTGAACTTCCCAACATCCATAAGTCACATCAACAGGAAGGCTGTTGATGTGACTTATGGAGCGAATGCGTGTGTTAGATGAGCTTCCTGCAGGCATGAGTTACAGAACTGGTGGCTGTGAGCTCAATGTTAATGAATCCAGGTGTCTTTAAGTAGAAACGCACATAAAATAAGGTTATATATTTATGAAGATATTGCAACCAGGGGCAAAAACCTAACCCTGTATTTCCCCTACAGGTGATGGTTTAGTATTTGCTAATTCAGTGTTCACAGTGACTTTAGAAAACATAGCTACTATGAATAATGAGAATTGACTGTCTGTTCTAGAATTCAGGGATTGCAAACTAATGACCTATGTGCTAGCCACCTGTTTTTCTAAACAGCAGGTATTTTGTTTTATTGGAGTGTAGACAGACCGGCTCGTTTGCATATGGTGTACGACTGCTTTTGGATTACAACGGCAGAGCTGAGTGGTTGTGATGGAGACCATGTGGTCCTCAAAGCCTACAATAGTTAACATCTGGTCCTTTACAGAAAAGTGGCCCAGTCCCTGCTAGGTGCCTGGCTCTGCATACCTGGGCTACAGCATACTAGCCATGTGCCTTTAGTCAGGTTAGCAGATGTCACCATGCTTCAGTTTCCTTAGGTGCAAAATAGAGCTTCTTCTTTTTGGCACCTCATAGAGCCGTTGTGAGAAATAAATGAGAAAAATCCACCGAATGCATCATCCAACACCTGGCCGAAAATGAAAGTACAGGCTTTTTTTTTTTTTTTTTTTGAGACAGAGTTTTGCTCTTGTTGCCCAGGCTGGAGTGCAATGGCATGATCTCGGCTCACCGCAACCTCCACCTCCCAGGTTCAAGCGATTCTCCTGCCTCAGCCTTCCCAAGTAGCTGGGATTATAGGCATGTGCCACCAAGCCCGGCTAATTTTGTATTTTTAGTAGAGATGGGGTTTCTCCATGTGGGTCAGGCTGGTCTTGAACTCCTGACCTCAGGTGATCCGCCCACCTCAGCCTCCCAAGGTGCTGAGATTACAGGTGTGAGCCACCGTACCTGGCCCCCCCCCCCCTTTTTTTTTTTTAAAAGACGAGTCTTGCTCTGTTGCCCATACTGCCAGTGCAGTGGCATGATCTCGGCTCACTGCAGCCTCTGCCTCCTGGGTTCAAGTGATTCTCCTGCCTCAGCCTCCCAAGTAGCTAGAATTACAGGCACCCACCACCATGCCCAGCTAATTTTCTATTTTTAGTAGAGAGTGGGTTTCACCATGTTGGCAAGGCTGGTCTCAAACTCCTGACTTCAAGTGATCTGCCCGCCTCAGCCTCCCAAAGTGCTGGGATTACAGGCATGAGCCACTGCGCTTGGCCAGTACAGGCATTTTTAGTCCTGGGGGAAATTGTAGGTGGTGGTTGGCACATGGGCTCTCTTGATTCCTGCAGAGTCAACCAATAGGATTCCATTTGGTGCTGCCTCTGGTGGCAGGGGAGGGGAGGGACCCTTGGCTGGGGTGGCCGTTGTCTTCATGTGGGCTCCTGGAAGCCACTGTTTGTTGTTCTATCATGTCCGGAGAGCAATGCCTCCTTCCCCATCTCTGTTCCCTTCCAGGTGACCAACCGCGGGGAGGCTCACCTCGAGCTGAACGCCTTCCGCAGGAAGCATGATTGTGCCCTGGTCATCTCGGGAGACTCCCTGGAGGTGAGCTTGGGGACCCCTGAGAGCCAGTCCTCCCAGCAGCCTGGGTCTTACCCGGCTTCGGCAGGGGCACTGCAGGCTCGGCAGCGACCTCCACCAACGCACCACCTCTCCCTCCACCAACGCACCACCTCTCCCTCCACCCTGCAGGTTTGCCTCAAGTACTATGAGTACGAGTTCATGGAGCTGGCCTGCCAGTGCCCGGCCGTAGTCTGCTGCCGATGTGCCCCCACCCAGAAGGCCCAGATCGTGCGCCTGCTTCAGGAGCGCACGGGCAAGCTCACCTGTGCAGTAGGTAGGCGAGGCTCAGGCTGTGCTGCTGGCCCTGGCCTGCCGGTGCACCAGGCTCCCTTTCCCTAAGGATATTTGGACACTGCTGCTCTTTCTTCAAATTCCCCAGGCCCCTTTGTTCAGGTCATGATTTTTCTCCACCTCTCAGACTTTGGCTCTTTTTGTTATTATTTTTAATATTTCCCTTGGAGAGTAGATAAGCACGTGCCAGGCCTCTACTCCTTTGCCAGTGGCTCAAGAGTGCAGCCTTCCAGGGGGTGGAGACCACACACTGTGGGGTTGGATCTGGGTTCAAATCTTTCCACTGGCCTTTGCCAGTGGGTGCCCCAGGTGGCTTCTTTCACCCATCTGAGCCTCGGTTTGCTTATGGTAGAATGGGAATAATAATTGTGGCTTCCTTAAATGGTGTCATGAAGACTAAAAGGGGTCACCTTTTTTTTTTTTTTTAAGACGGAGTCACACTCTGTTGCCCAGCGGGAGTGCAATGACACAATCTCAGCTCATTGCAACCTCCGTCTCCCGGGTTCAAGTGATTCTCCTGCCTCAGCCTCCCGAGTTGCTGGGACTGCAGGCGTGCACCACCACGTGTGGCTAATTTTTGTATTTTTAGTAGAAACGGGGTTTCTCCATGTTGGCCAGGCTGGTCTCGAACTCCTGACCTCAGGTGATCTGCCTGCCTCAGCCTCCTAAAGTGCTGAGATTATAGTCGTGAGCCACTGCTCAGCCTAAAAAGGATCACCTTTAAAATGTGCTTGCCACGCTGCATGGAAAGCGTCCAGTAAGAGCACTACAAGTTGCTGCTGATGGTAATCCTGGGGTATCCCGGCCTCCGAGGAGGACAGGTGGTGGTAAATGCCTATGTGGACACAGTCCCACTGCTGCTGCTCAGTGCCGGGACCCTTGGCAAGCCGCCTGGGCTCTCTGACACTCAGCCACTCTGCCTGTGAAACAGGATCTTGGTAGTCAAGGGGTTGGAGAGATGGAATGGACGGGGCAGGCCAGGCACTCAGCAAGCGCTCCGTGAAAGACGAGAGTGCGGTAAAGACAAGCATACATTCTTGGTTAAGGTAAGAATGAAACATCTTTTCTCTCTGGTCTGTGTGGCTCGCAGGGGACGGAGGCAATGACGTCAGCATGATTCAGGAATCTGACTGCGGCGTGGGAGTGGAAGGAAAGGTGAGAGTGTTTCCCTCTGCTCGGCTCCACTTGCTGTAGTTTCTTGGTTCTTTTTCCCTCAAAGACACAGCTTTAAGCCTTCTGGAAATTCCAGATAAAGAATGATAAAACATAAGGAATCATGTGTCACAGTTACCTTGTGTCACTGGGAAGATAGAGGTCTGTATTGCTACATCTTACAGACAGATGAATGTTGGCTTTTTGTTTGCCACGACCTGAATTTAAAAAAAGAAAAAGTGTTTCTAGGCCCGGTGTGGTGGCTCACGCCTGTAATCCCAGCACTTTGGGAGGCTGAGGTGGGTGGATCATCACTTGAGGTCAGGAGTTTGAGGCCAGCCTGGCCAACTTAGAGAAACCCTGTCTCTACTGAAAATACAAAAATTAGCTGGGCATGGTGGTGGGTGCCTGTAATCACAGCTACTTGGGAGGCTGAGATAGGAGAATCGCCTGAACCCGGGAGGCAGAGGTTGCAGTAAGCCGAGATTGCGCCACTGCACTCCAGCCTGGGCAACAGAACAAGACTCTGTCTCAAAAAAAAAAAAAAAAAAAGTTTCTCTATATTCTTAGGGTATGGTAAGTATACTTCAGACTTCTCTGGGACAGTCAGCGTTGTCAGTAAAAGCATTAGTTATCCTGCTCTGTGCTGATCTCTTGGGCGCTATGGAAGAGTGTGGCTTAGTTCACTTCTCACCAAAAGGCCTTGGCAGGTATAATTTTTAAAAGTTGGTGTGTTAGGAAATATTTTTTCTGTCTTTTTCTCCTTGCCAATTGTGCGCTTGCCTCTTACAGTTTACTCGGCCCTAATTTGTGACCTCTAAATGACAAGAGGCAAGAAGATGGGTCACCGAGTTTGTTAGGACTGTGTGTGAAGGGCTGGAAGCGGTGGCTCACGCCTGTAATCCCAGCAGTTTGGGAGGCTGAGGCGGGAGGATCACTTGAGCTCAGGAGTTCGAGACCAGCCTGGCAAACATGGTGAAACCCCGTCTCTACTAAAAATACAAAAATTAGTGAGATGTGGTGGCACATGCCTGTAATCCCAGCTACTCAGGAGGCTGAGGCAGGAGAATCACTTGAACCCAGGAGGTGGAGGTTGCAGTGAATCGAGATTGAGCCACTGTACTCTTGCCTAGGTGAAAGAGCAAAACTCCATCTCAAAAAAAAAGAAAAGAAGTGTGTTTGAAGTATAGGAGTGCCAAGGCCCGGAGGGGGCAGCAGAGATGCTCCCCTGTCCATCCTGTTGCATAGCTTCATGACTTTGGCTGACCCATAGGGCTTTTTTTCCCCCTCTTTACCACCCTTTCTGGTTCTCTGGTTCTCAGCAAGATGACGATGATTTAAAGTTGTAGAGTGAAATGATTTTTGAATGAGATATATCAGAAGTCTGTATAGATTCCCTGAATACAGTTTTTAAGAAGCATGTTTTTGAGTTTAATGGCATTCTCTACCAGTTCTTAAAAAATTAAAGCATTTTCCCTTCTATTAAAAATGGTATTCTGGTTCCTTTGTTTCTTGGGATATAAAATAGTGCTCACTATAAAAAATTAAAAGAATCTAGGCCAGGTTCAGTGGCTCACACCTGTATTCCCAGCACATTGGGAGGCCGAGGTGGGCAGATTACCTGAGGTCAGGAGTTCAAGACCAGCCTGGCCAACATGGTGAGACCCCGTCTCTACTAAAAATACAAAAATTAGCCAGGCATGGCAGTGGGTGCCTGTAATTCTAGCTACTCGGGAGGCTGAGGCAGGAGAATTGCTTGAACCCGGGAGGCAGAGGTTGCAGTGAGCGGAGATTGTGCCACTGCACTCTGGGTGACAGAGTGAGACTGTCTCAAAAATATATATAACATAAAATAAAAGAATCTAGAAGTAAAACGCATCTTTTCTTTTAGGTAACTGCATCAAATGAGTAACACTGGTTATTCTCTCAACATTTTTTCTGTGTGTATATTACTGGTTATGAGTGTGTATATATTTGCTATCTATACAAATATCTTACACATGTATATATATGTAATTTTCATGTATTTTTTTAAATTGAAAACACACTGTACATTTTGTTGTGCAGCTTACTTAAATCTGCTACATCATGGATTTGTTCCTACATGAGAGCATACAGAGCCATCACTTCTTACTCTGACTCTACCTTTTTATTTTGAAAAATGTCAAAAGTTGAAATACAACAATGGAAAAGTTGAAATAGAACAGTGAGCATTCATCTACCCTTCACTTTGGCCAATTGTTACTATTTGCTACATTATCTTTCTTTCTTTGAATCAGTAGAAAGTAAATTGTATGTAATGTTACCCCTAAATATTTCAGCTGGATCTCTTTAGAACAAGGACATTCTCCCACACAAAGAAAGTAACATCATAACCACGCCCCACCCCCCGCCCCGCCCCCCCAGGCACCCCCACCCCATGTAACATCGATACAATGCTACTATATAATATTCATGCTCAACCCCGTGTTAACATTGATATATAATGGTACTGGATAATATTCATGCTCAAATTCCCCCATCTGTCCTCTGAGTGTCTTCACAGCTTAAGTAATAAAAGCTCCAGGAAGGATTGCAAATCACATTTATTAGCATGTCCTCATGTTTCTGATCTTCTTTATTGTAGAACACGTTTCTCTCTTTTTGTTTGGTTTGGTTAGCGGGTGTTTTGTTTTTCATGTCAGTGACATTTTTGAAGCATTCAGGACAGTTGTAGTGTCTCACGGCACACAGTTCTTGAACCCATCAGATTGATTCGGTTCCAATTCTGGTTTGGCATGAGCACTGTACAAGGGGAATTGGTGTTCTTCCTGTTGTGTCGTATCCAGAGGCTCTCATGTCCCTCTGTCCCTTTATTGCTGGCTGTCACTGCCTTTTAAAATGAGAGAATTCGGCCAGGTGCAGCTGCTCATGCCTGGAATCCCAGCACTTTGGGAGGCTGAGGTGGGCGGATGGCTTGAGCTCAGGAGTTTGAGACCAAACTCGGCAACATGGAGAAACCCCATCTCTACCAAAAATAACTAAATTAGTCAGGTGTGGTGGTGCATGTCTGTGCTCCCAGCTGCTCAGGAGGCTGAGGTGGGAGGATGGCTTGAACCTGGGAGGCAGAAGTTGCTGTAAGCCAAGATCACACCACTGTACTCCAGCCTGCGTGACAGAGTGGGACCCAGTCTCAAGAAAAAATAAAAATTAAAAAATACAAAATGAGAGAATTCCATTATATGGTTGCACTGCAAGTTATTCCCACTTCTGTGAGTGTGCAGAGCTGTGTATTCAGGAATATCCTATCTAATATTGTTAGTAGCTCTGGGTTTTTGCCTCTTGTTTAATTAGCTCTTAAGGGAACTGAATGTTTTAAAATATCTATTTTTAAATGATTCTTTGCTACTTATGGGGTGGGCTGAACTCCCAAAGTATTAGATCCACTTGACGTCCAAATTATAACTATATGTGATTCGGAATGGTTTTTATTTAAATAAATTCCCCTTTTAAAATCAAATTTAGACTTGGACCACCAACTGCATATAGCTTGAAACCAAAGAATTTCTTTCTTGAAGTTCTTCAAAGATTTCCTACAATGTCTTGCTTTTTCAGTGAAAGAAAATGTGTTTGCCCTGACCTCTTGTGCTTCTGATGGTGCCTAATTTTATTGGATTTTAGGAAGGAAAACAGGCTTCGTTGGCTGCAGACTTCTCCATCACTCAATTTAAGCATCTTGGCCGGTTGCTTATGGTGCATGGCCGGAACAGCTACAAGCGGTCAGCCGCCCTCAGCCAGTTCGTGATTCACAGGAGCCTCTGTATCAGCACCATGCAGGTGAGTGGACAGCTGGCCCCTCTGCACATGTGCCTGTGGCTATACCATGTAGGTGGGTGGGCAGCTGCTCCCTCTGCACATGTACATGTGGCTATGTAATTATCATGGAAAAAGCCTGGGAATTAGATTATGCTTTGGAGCTGTCACCCCTACCTCGCCAGTTTAAATCCCCCACCTGGCTGCATTCCAGCTGATAGACCTTGAGCCAGTCCCTGAACTTCTTGGTGCTCAAGATTCCTCCCCTGTTAAGCGGTGCTGGTCATTCCTGCCATGTGGTGAGGATGTGTGCGTTAGCAGTGGTGACATCCAGTGCCTGGCATGGGGCAAGTGGAGTGTACATGAGTTATTTTAATTGTGGGTACGTTGTTATAATTTGTTTGCTGGAGTGAAAGACGCAGAGTTAAATGCTGAATGACTATTCAGGCCCTGGTTTTTCACCTTTTGCAGAGGTAAGGGCCATCAGAGAACAACCACTAAAGAAGAATGTACTTTGCTTGTGTGCCTCCTGTACCTTAGGCATCAGGCTAAGTGTTGACAATGCAGTGTCTCACATAAGCCTCACAATAGCCTGAGCCCATTTTACGGATGGGGAGGCTGAGGCTGAATATGGATGAGAAATTTGTGGTGTCCCGCAGGGATTCAGTCAGCTCAGGCAGGTGGACCTCAAAGCCTGCAGTCACAATCTGAGTACCTTCTTGATACACTCGTCATGGAGGGCCTGGGACCGTGTCCACTTGCAGGGGTCAGCATGACACTTGGCACTGAGATTGACTCAGCATCACGGTTCTGTCTTCCAGCAGAGCCTAGTAGGGGAACTGAGTTTAATTATTATGATCACGAATACCCTTGGAAGTTAACATCTTGTTCCCATCTTGCTTTTTCATAAAAGGATTCTAGAGTATATATTTTCTCACCTTCTCTCTCACAAACTTCTTCAAAATCTGTCATCATAGGCCAGGCGCAGTGGCTCATGCCTGTAATCCCAGCACATTGGGAGGCCGAGGTGGGCAGATCGCCTCAGGCCAGGAGTTCAAGACCAGTCTGGTGAACGTGGTGAAATCCTGTCTCTACTAAAAATACAAAAATTAGCTGGACATGGTGGCATGCACCTATAATCCCAGCTACTTGGGAGGCTAAGGCACGAGAATCACTTGAATCTGGGAAGTGGAGGTTGCAGTGAGCTGAGATTGCGCCACTGCACTCCAGCCTGGGCAACAGAGTGAGACTCCATCTCAAAAACAACAACAACAAAATTTGCCATCAGTCTGTAGCAATTAAGTGTGGAGTAGAAAGGAGGCCAAAGGAGGGAAAGAAAATATTTTTGGTATTAAAAAGCTATTGATTGTCAATCTTCCTTTTTGGGCATTGAGGTGAAAATGCTCCCAGTTGAGTGGTGAGAATGTAGGTACAGTAGATCCTGGAACTCACGTCTCCTTCTGGCCATACCATTAAGGATCTGTGAGACCTTGAGCAAATAACTTTACTACTCTAGGCCTCGGTCTTCCCACCTGGAAAACGGGGATGATGAGACCCTCCTTGCCCTCGGACAGGGCCACTGTGAAAAACAGAGACGTTTTTAAGGCATCAGTGCTAAGGCATCCTTACCGTGATTAGTAGAAGTGAAATAAGGTAATATGTAAACATCAGGTGATATTTTAATTTGTGAGAATGTTTAATCATACTTGAAAGGCGGTCTGCCTTGTACAATGTATCAGGTAGTGCTGCTTTGGGTACATGAGAATTTTCCGTCCACTGGCTACACCCCAGTTTTTTGGGGGTGATTTTATGTTTTAAATATCTATTGCAATTGTGAGTAGGGGAGCCTGAAAGTGACTTTCATCAAAATGATCTAAACCCAAACAGCTGCTGTGGTTCACCAGACCACATCTGTACTTTTATGTTAACTCACCAATTGAACAGGATAATGCTGTGGCTTTAATGATTGGGAGATTAATCAGCCCGTCCTTGGACTCATACACAAAAGCTGGCCGGGATGAGCTGACTTCTTCAAAAACTGGATGTTACTGTTAACATTGATGTAGAAAAAGAATTCCAGGATGAGGCATTGTTCTTTGTGCTAAAGAAAATGCCTTTAACCCCTGTCCACTGTGCTGAAAATGGCCGAGAGCAAGTCCCAGTTAGAATTGCACCGGGACATGAGTCTGTCAGAGAACACAGTGTTTTTATTTTTCCCAAAGTGCTCTTGTCGAGATGAAGACTTTGTGGTTAGGATGACCCTTTTAGAGGAAGGGGCTCCTGATACTGGTCTGGAAAATAAACAACAGATTCTTGACATTTTTACAACCATCCTTCCTAAGCAGCGGCACAGCCTGGGTGAAAAGTCACTGGAAAAGTGGCTTTTCCGGCGCAGCCAGGGCGAACTGGGGCTTCCTGTGGCCATGGCGCTCAGGATCACCTGCGCTCTGAGCTCTGTGCCGAGAAAGCACGTGTTTCTTACATGCTTTCTCTCTGTGTCCATTGAAGGTGCTCTGGGGAGCTAGCCCTGGTCTGATGCTATTTCTAATGACTAGGGTATCTCTGCCTTGCTTTCTTCTGCTTTCTAAAAGCTTTCAGGCAGCATTTGTCTCTGGCCTTCCTTCAGCTTTATATGAATGGATATCAGCTTGGAGACCGTGTTTCCTCTGTTAGCCCATAGAGGTCCAGAGATGGAGCTAACAGAGCTTCAAGCCTGATTGGATCTCCCCAGCCTATTCATCATTACCAGCAGCTAATATTTTCCAAAGCAGGAAGCAGACATTTCCGCGAGGGTTTGTAAATATCTTCATTGCTTTTGTCTAATTGCAAAAATAATCTGTCACCATGCTCTTTTCAAAAATTTCCCCAAATACCGAAACATGTAATATAAGAAGTGAAGCCTTTTCTGCCATCCCAGCCCCCGTAGACACTTCAGAGGCTCTTTTTCTGTATGTGTTTCCATACCTACGGCACTTTGGTTAGCAGCGTGCATGCCTACAGAGGTGAGGATTCCGAGCTGTTTAGAAGTGTGGCCACAGAGCTGTGGCCACAGCTGGGCTTGAGTCCCATAGGGCTGTTTACCTGCTCAGCCTCCCCTTCTGTAAAGTGTGGGTGATAGTAGGGCTTGATCCTGTGGGCTGCTCTGGAGATCAGCTGTGCTCATGTACAAAGCATTCCTGGGTCCTGGAACTTAATAAATATTCACAACAGGCTGAGTAGACCCTGGAGCTGTGATACATCACCCTACCCGGGAATGATTCCTAGATTTGCTGCTTAGGAACTGTGTGGGCTTGGGCAAGCCACGTACCCTCTCTATGCCTCACTTTCTGCTTTGCATAATGAGGATGATGAGAATCGTACCTACTTCATAGGGTTGTTGTTGATGTTGTGAGAATGAAATGAGCAAATCCATGTAAAGTACCTTACAGCAGTGCCGGCGCGGGTGTTATGTAAGTATCAGGTGTTATTTTTATTCTGTAAATGTAAGGGATTTTGTCATGACTTTTGGTGACATCCTCCTCTCTCCTTGGCACAGGCTGTCTTTTCCTCCGTGTTTTACTTTGCCTCCGTCCCTCTCTATCAAGGATTCCTCATCATTGGGTAAGGAAATCCTGCCAAGGAATTAATTGTTTACAAAACCTTCTTCAAATGCTGCAACAGAGAGAAGAAACGTGGTGGAAAAATTCTTGGGTTCCCAAGCCACATTGGATTCCCAGCCCCAGCGAATGCAGGCCCAGCACCATGGTTTAGAACCTCCTTCAATTAACAAGGTTTTGAGCTGTTAAGCCCTTAACCAGATGGAGGAAGTGGAGTTGGAGATGTGTGTGGTGTGTTGCACTTTGCCATTTGTACCTGGTCTTGAAAAAATACTCCAGAGTTATCAGTTGATTGAGGAGAGCAAGGTGGAAGGTTTGCAGACTTGGTGATTTCACTGGGGTCTTAATAAAAAGGGGTGGGGGATCTGAAAAATGCCCTCCTGGCCTGAACTGAGCCCAGTAGAAGTCCCATCCTTGGAGCTCCAGGGAGGGCCAGAGTCCACTGCCTCGGGGATGTGCAAGTAACAGAGCTTGGCTGCTGTGCCACAGTGACAGAGATGGTGTCACTTGGGCCTTTGCAGCCTGCAAACCCACCCCCATTACTGACCTGGAACTTCAGGATGATCCTTCTGACCTTTTCAGAGAATGTGCTCAGTCTCTGAATCACCCAGGTAGGTGGAGTTTGGTTACCGAGTGCCCTAGATACAGACACATGCAGCTGAGGCCACTTCTGGTTATGAGGAGACGGCGGGTGCGGGAAGGTCAGCTGCGCTCTGGAGAGTCTCACAGAGTCCGCTTTCCATCCTACTGTGT
Source organism: Homo sapiens (assembly GCF_000001405.40). Taxonomy (NCBI): domain Eukaryota; kingdom Metazoa; phylum Chordata; class Mammalia; order Primates; family Hominidae; genus Homo; species Homo sapiens. The sequence goes on along the minus strand of NC_000020.11, from coordinate 51,609,351 downwards.
TGGCTGATGAGTTCAGCCTGAGAGGAGGCACTAGAATTCTGCCTGCTTCTAACTGGAAAAGCGGGCTGTCTTTCGTCGGGTTCTGGAAGAGTACAAGAACATTACAGAATATAGTCAGGGGTTCCCTGAGCTGTGCGCCGTGCGACCTTCCGTGGTCTGGTCCCATCTTTCCCGTGGGTCCTCATTTCCTCTTCCGTCGCCCTCAGCCCCAGCCCCACTGGCCTTATGGCTGTTCTTCAGACATGACAGCCACTCCCGCCTCAGTGCCTTTGCACTGGTGGTTCCTTCTCCCTGGAATGCTCTTCCTCCTGGGATTGGCTTGGCTGGCCCTCACCTTTTGTGGGTGTTCACTCAAATGTTCTGTTCCTCAGCCTCTAAAATTGTACCATCACCCCCTACACACACACACACACACACACACACACACACGTCTTATTTCCTCTACCCCATTATATTTTTCTCTTTAGCACTTCTCTAACACACATAGAGTTTACCTAATTTATTTGTTTATTGACTCGCTGACCGGGATGAAAGCTCTTCAGGGCAGACATTTTTGTCCATTTTTGCTCATGGGTTTCTGGTGCTTACAGCCAGCCCCGGAGCATAATAGACAAGCAGTAAATATTTGTTAGAGGCATGGTTGGGACTTGGGTGCCGGAGGCTGGCACAGCACATAGCTCCTATCGCGTCAGCCAGGTCTTACCTATGGCGGTTTTCTCTCCCAGGTACTCCACAATTTACACCATGTTTCCTGTGTTTTCTCTGGTCCTGGACAAAGATGTCAAATCGGAAGTTGCCATGCTGTATCCTGAGCTCTACAAGGATCTTCTCAAGGTTCTGTTAGCTTTTCAGTCCCTCCTTCCTCCTTTCCTCCTTTGCTTTTCCCTTCCTTCCCTCCCTCCCTGCTTTTTTTCTTTGAATTTATTTCACACAGACCCTCCAATTCTGATTTGAACACACTTGAACTGGTAGCTTTTTTACTTTTGGGGGGAAGGTGTGGGAGTTTACATTTTTTCTTAAAGCAGTAATATATTCACTGGTATAAAGAACGTGAAAAAGTACAGTAATAGATAAACTGAAAACAAGCCAACTCACGACTTGCAAAAAGCCCCTGACAGTTCCGCTTTGCAGTTGCAACTTAACGTTTGCTCCCAGAGATGTTCTTGTGTACAGTTCCAAAAAGTGTGTGTGGTGGCGTGTGCCTAGGCAGGTGTATAATTTTATTTGTCTTCAGGGTTTTTTACCCAAGGGAAGGTTTATTCCCATGTAATGTTAATTTTAATGTTAATTCTTTTTTTTTTTTTTTTTGAGACTAATTCTCACTTTGTCACCCACGCTGGAGTGTAGTGGCTCGATCTCGGCTCACTACAACATCCACCTCCTGGGTTCAAGCGATTCTCCTGCTTCAGCCTCCCGAGTAGCTGGGATTACAGGCGTGCACCACCATGCCTGGCTAATTTTTGTATTTTTAGTAAAGAGGAGGTTTCACCATGTTGGCCAGGCTGGTCTCAAACTCCTGACCTCAAGTGATCCACTTGCCTCAGCCTTCCAAAGTGCTGGGATTACAGGTGTGAGCCACCATGCCTGGCCAATTCTTTTTTTAAAGAAATAATTCCTCCAATGTGTTCAGATGTGTGCGAGCCACTTTATTGATGAAGACAGATGGGTTGCCTTATCTCGTTAGCGGGAGAATAACGTGAAAGCTGATGGCATGCTGCGTGAGCCCCCCGCGAAACCGGCTCTAACCTTTCTCTGTCTCTCATTCAGGGACGGCCGTTGTCCTACAAGACATTCTTAATATGGGTTTTGATTAGCATCTATCAAGGTAAGGATGAGTGGAGACACCTGTTTGTCTTGTGCTCTGGTACTGACTCAGGGTGTCCCCTTCTTGCCTGTAGAACAAGAAGAGAAGAAACGAATCTGAAATAGCAGGAAGGAGGGTGGCAGTGGGACCCAGGGGAGACCCTGCTCACCCTGTATAAGGACTTGAACATCAGACATGCACAGTGCTGCTGTGTGAGAAATGAGGTAGTGAAGCCAGAGGAAGGCAGTGGACAGTAATCAAAGCCTGTGGGGCTGCTCCACTCATGAGGCAAAAAGCAGATGCTTTCTGGGATGTTCTGAAACCTTTTCTGAGAGTCAGGTCAAGTCGTAGTTTTGGAAAAACATGTTTACCTCAGTGGCCTCCAGAGGGGGGTCTTCCCAGACTGTGGAGGCGTTGTAAGATGACCTGTTGGAATATAAGAAGAAAATAGCAAAACTTCTGTTTGTATTTATTTTTCCTAACTCTTTTAAATTTACATATATATATTTATTTATTTATATATTTTTGAGACACAGGGCAAAGCCACCATGCCCAGAATCCTTTTTTAGTATTTCTATTTTTATGTATGTTTTGTAGTGCACATAATAGATTTTATATACTTATAAAATATATTTTATATAATATGTAGAAACAGAGTGAGACCCTGGGTGGCGGAGGGTCTCACTCTGTTGCCCAGGCTGGAGTTCAGTGGAGCAATCACGGCTCGCCGTAGCCTCGACCTCCCCAGGCTCAGGTGATCCCCCTACCTCAGCCTTCTGAGTCTGGGACCACAGGTGTACACCACCACCAAATCAGTTTCCAAATCAGTTCATTTCTTCCCAATGGACTGTGAGCCACGAGTCCCTGCAGGTCCAGCAAGATGACCTCATGCTGTGCTGTGGATCCTGTCGGGTGCTGACACAGGCTTTAATTCCTGTCTAGAAACCTGTTTCTAGTTCAGCATCTTAGACTACAGGTGTACACCACCACACCCGGCTAATTTTTGTATTTTTTGTAGAGATGAGGTCTCACCATGTTGTGCAGGCTGATCTCAAACTCCTGGACTCAAGCAATTCTCTTGCCTCAGCCTCACAAAGTGTTGGGATTACAGGCATGAGCCACTGTGCCCGGAATCCTCACTCTTTTTTAGTATTTCCATTTTTATGTATGTTTTGTAGTACATATAATATACATGTGAAATGATCCTAATATTTCTATATATCTGGACAGGTACACATATATAACTTACAAATAAACATGTGTATTTGGGGATTATTATTATTACTATTCTGAGATGGAGTTTTGCTCTTTTGTCCAGGCTGGAGTGCAGTGGCGCCATTTTGGCTCACTGCAACCTCCGCCTTATGGTTTCAAGCGATTCTCCGGCCTCAGCCTCCCGAATAACTGGGATTACAGGCGCCCACCTAATTTTAGTATTTTTAGTAGAGGCGGGGGTTTCACCATGTTGGCCAGGCTGGTCTCGAACTCCTGACCTTGTGATCCGCCCACCTTGGCCTCCCAAAGTGTTGGGATTACAGGCGTAAGCCACCGCGACTGGCTGGGGTTTATTATTTTTTTAAAAAATAAATTTACTGTTCATGTCTCCTATTGGGGTTTATTCTTTTTTTTTTTTTTGTAACAGAGTCTTGCTGTATCACCCAGGCTGGAGTGCAGTGGCACGATCTCGGCTTACTGCAACTTCCACCTCCCAGGTTTAAGAAATTCTCGTGCCTCAGCCTCCCGAGTAGCTGGGACTACAGGCATGCGCTTCCACGTCCAGCTAATTTTTGTATTTCTAGTAGAGACAGGGTTTCGCCATGGTGGCTAGTCTGGTCTTGAACTCCTGGCCTCCAGTGATCCGCCCGCCTCAGCCTCCCAAAGTGCTGATTACAGGTGTGAGTCACGACATCATTTTATTTTTTATTTTTTTGAGACAGGGGCTCACTCTGTCACCCAGGCTGGAGTGCAGTGGTACAATCTCAGCTCACTGTAACCTCCATCTCCCAGGCTCAAGTGATCCTCCCACCTCAGCCTCCTGAGTAGCTGGGACTACAGGTGCATGCCACCATGCCTGGCTAATTTTTGTATTTTTTGTAGAGACGGGCTTTCACCTTGTTGCCCAAGCTGGTCTCAGACTCCTGAGCTCAAGCAATCCACCCACCTTGGCCTCCCAAATTGTGGGTTTTCAGGCCTGAGCCCCCGCGCCTGGCCGCGACTCCATCATTTTAAATATTATATTTAACTTTCTATTTCTTTCATCAACTCTAGATACTCCCCTCCCTGCCTTACTTCCTTTTTTCTCCCTTTTTCTCACTTTGTAGTTAAAGATTATTTATCCTACAAGGTCAAAGAGGAAAATCAGAAAACCATAGGTTCAGACCTGCATAAAGCACCAGTCATTAACCTCATGTAACAAGTGATGCCTTTCATGTCTAAATGAAAACTGCGGAAAGGAGCCAGGTGTAGGCGAGCAGCGCACGGCTTTCGCAGGGAGGGTGAGGGGAATACCCTTCTCTGGTGTTTGCAGGGAGCACCATCATGTACGGGGCGCTGCTGCTGTTTGAGTCGGAGTTCGTGCACATCGTGGCCATCTCCTTCACCTCGCTGATCCTCACCGAGCTGCTCATGGTGGCGCTGACCATCCAGACCTGGCACTGGCTCATGACAGTGGCGGAGCTGCTCAGCCTGGCCTGCTACATCGCCTCCCTGGTGTTCTTACACGAGTTCATCGGTAAGACCCCTGAATGCTTAAACCCCGTCCGTCACCCCCAGTGAATCTGGCCCAGAGGTCTCACTGCCGTATGAAGGAAGGGGGGTTCCCAGCGCTCGGCCTGGGCTCTTCCTCCAGCAGTCCTTCCCGCTCAGCTGTCCACGTTTTCTTAACAGGTGTTCTCTAGGGACAGGTGGTAGTTGTGCCTCAGGGTGTGAAATTGAGGACAGAGGGCGTGATTGCAGTAGACAGTGTTTTTGTTTTTCTTTTTGAGTCGGAGTCTTGCTCTGTCACCTTTTTTGGGCCACAAAATCTTTTTGTTCCCATGAAATCTTAATCTGAAGTCCAATCTATGAAACTGATAAAAGGGGACTTGTGATAGCAAAGTGGCAGTGCTGGGAGGTGCCGAGCCCCAGAACCTTGCCCGTGCAGCCCTGCCTTGCTGCTGTGTCCTGATAGAGCTCCTGAGGGACTCCAGGGATCTCAGAATACAATCTGCTGCTCCTCACAGCAAACCAAGTGCTGAAGGTACTCGCCAGTTCCGTAGACGTGGGAGCACCTGCCGTGTGCCAGGATTATGGTGGCAGATGAGGTGGACGGGCTCGCCAGGGAGCTGCCCTTCTCGTTGGGAACACACGATAAACACACATTAAGTGAGTGTGAGCACAGGAATATCAGATGTGATCAAAGTTACCAAGAAAGAAAAATGGGGTGAGGTGCTAGACGCCCAGGCACACCCCAAATAAAAAATGTTATGGAGGCCGGGCACAATGGCTCACACCTGTAATCCCAGCATTTTGGGAGGCAGAGGCGGGTGGATCACGAGGTCAGGAGTTTGAGACCGGTCTGGTCAACATGGTGAAACCCCATCTCTACTAAAAATACAAAAATCAGCAGGGCGTGGTGGCACACACCTGTAGTCCCAGCTACTTGGGTGGCTGAGGCAGAAGAATCGCCTGAACCCGGGAGGCGAAGGTTGCAGTGAGCTGAGATCACGCCACTGCACTCTAGCCTGGGCGACAGAGTAAGACTCCATTTCTAAATAAATAAATAAATAAATAAATAATAAAAAATGTTATGGGAATGTAGAGATGGGGGAGTGTCAGCACCATCCTAATGTGGGGTGGTGGCAGATTTCTCTGACCTCAGTAGTGATTCCAGGTACTCTTGGGCTTGTCCAGCGTCAGCCACTGTCTCTAGATGGACAAGCCTGGTTTCATCACTCTTCCATGCTGACCTCACTTGCTTTGCCATATCAGTTAATTTCTTCCCAATTGATTGAGCCACAAGTCCCTGCAGGGCCACCAAGATGACCCCATGCTATGCTACGGACCCCATCGGGTGCTGACACGGGCTTTAATTCCTGTCTAGAAACCTGTTTCTAGTTCAACTAGAACTTGCAACACGGGCACGGTTCAGATGATCCAGCATTTTCTGTGTTGTGCTGTGGATAGATTCTGAACTCTAATCTTGGTTTCCCCCGCACGGGGCAAACTCAAGCCGCTATGGCTTTGGAACCTCAGGGCCAGGGGTCATCCTGAAAGTCTAGCTGGTTTAGCAGACAGTCCTCTTTACACCTCTTTCCTCCTCAGTAGGAGCATTTAATTTTCTGTCTGTGTTATTCAAACAAAAAACCCTCAAGAGTGATACTGTTTCTCCTTTATCAGCTGGGGGAGCAGGGCCCGGAGGCTGCTTCTCTGCTAAGAAGCTCATGTGTGTTCAGGATTGCAGGATAGACTCTCTCTGGGGGAAACTTTCAGTTAATGACAACCCCCTCACGCCCCATCCTCCGTGGGAAACCTGCAGGGCCCAGGCTCTCTAGCAATGGCCCATCCCTTGCTCCTTTACCTCAGGCCTTCTCAGTGGGGGTGGTGTGGACCCCACCGCCTGGGGAACAAACAGTGGTCTTTGGTGGGGTGTGAACAAACCCTAACCTTTTACGTATAAAGGAGATGTATATATAATATTATAAACAGATACACAGTATACCTGTGACATTAACATGTCATGGAGGTGGTCAATTAGGAGAAGAAGAAAAGTCTAAAAATGTTCCTTAAGGGGCAATAACAACAAAAAGGCAGAGAAACTCGACCTTACCCTGGAAGCATCTTTGATCGCGGCTCTTTTGCCAGCTTCCAAAGCTCCTTAGGAAGGTTTTAGTAAAGGTAAAAGAAACATCCCCTGAAAAGTAAAGGTTTCACAGTTGCAGCCCCAGTTTCTAGAAAGGATTTGTGAGCATTTACTGTGCGCTCCAGGAACTAAAGGAGCATCCCTGTGAACAGTGGAGTTTTAAAGCAGTTTCACCCTTGTCACTAGTCTCTAGAAAGCGTTTTGTGAGACCTAGTATGTGCTCAAAGGCTTGGGCCTGAGGTGGTCACAGAGATGTGGCCCCTGCTCAGGAAGCTCAGCTTGTTTGTGATAGGGACACACCACAGGACCGGGTCAGAGGTGTAGGAAAACCACAGGGTGAGTTGAGCCTTGGGCCTGGCACTTAGTAGGTGCTGCCTCAGTGGCAGCTGCATTTCAGCATCCTGTGCTCAGAAAGTGGAGAAGGGGCTTATTCTGGCTTCTGCTATATTGAAAGCCACAAACTGTCACTCCTCTCTTAAGAAAACCTCATAACCGGGTTTATAATCCTGCAGCAGGAAAGGCAGTACGCCCGCCCCCCCCACCTTCCATCAGAGTCCCTGAGGGTCAGCTTAAGCCTTTCTCTGACAAGGGGGTCTGAACACTTTGCACCATGACCCAGACTCATCCTGTGGCTTTCTGCGACCATCACTGGAAGCAGAGGGTGCATTTGAATGTCATTTTCTGCTCGCCAGTGGCCGGGACTTAGAAAGACTCTCCAACTGTTAGACAACACCAAATCAAAAGCATCTCTGAGTTTTCTTCCCCTGTAATTTTCTTTCCTTCTTTTTTTCTCTTTTTTTTGAGACAGTGTCTTATTCTGTTGCCCAGGGTGGAGTGCGGTGGTGCAATGTTGGCTCACTGCAGTCTCAAGCTCCCCGGGCTCAGATGATCCTCCCACCTCAGCCTCCTGAACAGCTGGGACTATAGGCATGTACCACCATGCCTGGCTAGTTTTTGTATTTTTTGTAGAGACAGGGTTTTGCTGTGTTGCCCAAGCTGGTCTCAAACTCCTGGGTTCAATTCTTCTGCCCGCCTTGGCCTCCCAGAGTGCTGGGATTAAGGCATGAGCCACTGCATCTGGTGGCCCCCATAGTTTTCTTCTCCTGGGTGTTAAAAGTAGCATTTCACTGTCAGGAAGCTACAGAAGAGAGAGCGAGGAAAATCAAGCTGCGGCGCTGTGTGCTCTTAGCCATGGTACCTTCCCTTACAGTCCATGGAGAAAGAGGGCCAATGCCAGGAGGCTGTGGGTTTGTGACGGGAGATGACTTTCCCTTTGATAGTTGTGACGCCTGTTTCTGGACCCCATGCACCTTCCGGAATATTCCTGCCTGCTCACTGCCGTCTTCCCCTTTCCTTGCAGATGTGTACTTCATCGCCACCTTGTCATTCTTGTGGAAAGTCTCCGTCATCACTCTGGTCAGCTGCCTCCCCCTCTATGTCCTCAAGTACCTGCGAAGACGGTTCTCTCCCCCCAGCTACTCAAAGCTCACATCATAGGCCGTGCGTTCGCTGGAGGGGGCCCTGGTCTTGGCGCTTCCCTGATGGACAGAGCTCAAGTTCCATTTATATTAACCGCCACCTGTGGATTTTGCAGTAATTGCTAACACATGCAGTTTTAATGGGAAGTGGCTCTGCGCCTAAACGGAGTCCTAACGCTGCATCAACGGGAGGGAGGGTCCTGAAAGAGACCCATCTGGGCCTGTCTGAACCCCTCGTTCTTCATGTTTAGGTGAATATGAATATGTTAAAGCTGGTGGCTCAGCTGGGAGATTTATATGGGTCACTGTGCGAGCTTCCTTATGACTTGAATTTTGTTGTCACATGATAAAAGTTTCTGTGTAGCTGAAGGTTGTAGAAGGCTTGTGTGTGTGTGTGTGTGTGTGTGTGTGTGTGTGTGTGTTTTTAAAGAGTCCTAATGTGTATGTACTCTTTATGTCTTTCTTGCTCTTACAAAGAGGTGTCAGAAAAATAGAAAGCTCTTGGTGTCGGTTTGGGAGGAAAAGACAGTGACATTTGGTAAAAAGTTATCCACACAATAATCTCCATTCGGAAATGCTCAGTATCGTCTCCAGCCAGCCCTGCTTATCCAGGTTACACTGGATTCCTGGGATCGTAACCAGTAAATGAGAGGAGAGGGAGAGAGAGTGTCCTAAGTCCAATCTGTTATCCTTGATCTGATTCAGCATCCATAGTGTGTGAGTTAACTTCACCTGCCACCTCGTAAAAGAATTTCAGAGGTGTGATCCCGCTTTATTGGGACCTGGTAACAATCACAAAGCCAGTGGCTGTTTGAGAAGGACCTCAGACATTTTCAGCAGAGTTGTTTTAGCAGGAAACGTGCCACTGAATGGCCCCTAAATGTGTCGACAGTGTGATAAGAGACTCAACTAATTCTTTAGGCAACATGGCAGATGTGACTCAGATCCTCCAAGACCAAAGCGGAAAGGTCAGGGGGCTGGGACTCTTCTCTTCCATAGAAGCCTGTTTCCTGTTAGGAGGCATAATGGAAGATGACCCCACAAAGGCAGAGGCATCTTTCGGAACAACACTGGTGGCAGCTTTCAGAACAAGGAACCCCTGGTGGGAGGACGCCCAAGCTACAGCGTTGGGATCTGGGATCTGTTCCACTGCCGGCAGATTTCAAGGGGAACTTGCTGAAAGGCAGCCAGTGGTGAAGATTTCTCCCCTCCCAGGATGGACTACATGCCGGCATGTTTCTTATAAAGCTGTGGCTGCTTGTTTCAGAGGAAGGGAGTTTGCAGTCGCGGGACGTGGTAGAGCAAGGCATTCTTGGGTTTTCAAGTTGCTTCTTGCAGAAGCCACATATGCATGCCATAAGGGTTAAGTTGGTGGATCTTTAAGAGCCAAGTGTGGTTGAGATCTTGGATTTGCGTTTACTTCTTGATGAATACATATCCTTCAAACCCTCTGCCTGGCGCTACTTCTGTGTGCTTCAGAGATGTACATCACAGCCTGGTTTCTGATGCCTACTAACTCCTGCTCTTGGAGAGCTGGAGACACGAGGATCAGATAGTCCCTTGCCTTTGGAGCACTCTTGATAAGCTTTTGTATTTTGTGTTGTCCTTTTAAAATGTTCTAGAATGACTTTACGTTGCAGGTACTGGTTAATTGGCTGTTGACACCACATCTATTTTGTCTTATGATTCTGCAGTTTTGCAGTACTTTTCTCTATCTGATTCAGCCATTTCTGCCAGAGGGAAAAGGTCGGCAGAAAAGATGTATTGAGTGAATAGTTAAGGATAGGATCTTTGTCCAAAAATTTCAGAAAGATTGAGCAAATCTGACGTATTCATTGAGTGAGTTTCTGTGTTTTCAAAGGTGGAGGAGAAATTTGTGCTGGAAGTTTTTAAGCCTCCGTTTTCTTGGAAATCAGTCTGTAACACTGGCAAGTCTTAAGATAGTCCCATTTAGACTTTGCAGATGCTGAACCTGGCTCTGTAACGCTGGGAAGTCTTAAGATAGTCCTGTTTAGACTTTGCAAACCCTGTACCTGGCTTTGCTCGGAGATTCGGGATGCTGGCTCCTGCAGGCAGGGCGTGTGGGAGCCTCGTCAGAAAGTTTTAGAGGTTTCCAGCAGAAGCAGAATGAAGATGGTCTCCCTGGCCTTTTCCTTAATTCTCAATTTTGATTGAGGTGCACAAGTTGACTTTTAAAGCCAACGCTTAAGATACTGATTGACATCTTCAAGGGAGAATGCTCCCAGGAGGGGCTGAAGAAGCCATAGTTGGAAGTGGAAGGTACTCGTCAGTGTTCTCCACAAACCTTTTTACTCTGTTGTCTCAGCCGCACTGGGGCGGAGGCGGTCAAGGGTGAGAAGTACCGACACTCAAGTGCAAACTGCCACGTCGTTGGCCCATCCCATCAGTGGGCAGCTGGCTGACGCCATTCACTGGACGGTCCCTGAACACCTAGGAATGCACACACCGTGCTTCTCAGACACTGGAGACGCAAAGGCAGGAGGATGCAGTCCGGTGAGAGGACACGATCTTTACCTGCACAATCAGACTGTAAGCCCAGCAGAGAACCCCAGGGGCGCCTGGGTACTTCTCGGAGGTCATCTTAGTTGTGGTGGGGAAGACAAAGAAATAAGCAAACAAGAAACTAGAGTTACTATACAAGAAACTCTCCTGAGTTTGTAAACCTTAAGCATAAGGATTCAGTTGACCTTTTTCTTGGTTCATCAATCTGGAAAGAACTTACATAAAGCGCCATTGACACTGTCACCTGGGAGCTCCATGGGCCGTAAGTCTTTGACAGCCAATTTAATTTGAGGTCAGAGGGCCTTGAGGTACACAGTCAGCACTGTTTGAACACTTTTCCTGAAAGCAAAACTCACAGCTCCCTGCGCCCTCTGACAACACTAGCTATTTCTGCCAGAGTAAGAACTTCTATTACTATTTTATTATTGTTCATATGTCTTTTGATGATGGTTGTGTGACAGGGGGAAGCAGGATCTATTTGGTTTCTTCCCCTCCCCCCACCCCTTCCTTTTTGTCTCTCTTTTTTTTTCTCTAAGAAAATCACCAGACTAGTTTTTCCATCTTGAGTAATTTCTTATGTGGGACAGTTTTGATCCTCATTTTGAAAGCATGCGTGTGCACATGTGTGTTGCCTGTGGTGCCAGGTGAGACAGGTGGCACTAACTCCAGCTGCTTGGAAGGCATCCCAAGGGCGCATCTTAAAGTTGGAGCAGACCTCCCTTTTCCAGCCCCTGGGGCCATTAGACCACGTGCTGGAACTAGCATTGTAAAATTCCCATCCCAGTTCCACTCCCCTGAAGTGAAACCCTTTTTTTTTTGTGACAGTAAATCTTAAAAATCATTGTCTCTTTATGAACATTTCCTCAGTTTCTTCTCTGCTGAAAATGTAAGCCATGCTACTTTTTAATGTATTTTGAATTTTGTGCTCATTGGAAATTGATATGCTAATGCCTCCCCCACCCCCCGCCAGACTTTTCTTTTTATACTTTGTCTTGTTTTTACTGGGGTAGGCTGGGCATGCGTGCGTGCCTTTAGGGCAGCATTTTAAACCTTTGCCAAAATTGCAAATGGGACATGTACATTCTTCTGCTCCATCCTACTTAAACACCTATCAGCTATTTTTATCTTTAACCTTTTCTGTATGTTTGAAGTGTGTGGGGGGTGTGTGTGTGTGTGAAAGAGCGAGAGAATGATGTCATCTAAAGTTTTTTGAAGAATTATTTGGTTTTCATTGCATTAAAATTCTATCACTCCCAGCTTTGTTTTCATTTAAAAAAATATACAAAGAGCTTTGTAAATACAACACATTTTATTTCTCCCCCTTCTTTTAATGTACAGCTTTTTTGCCACTTATATATACTTAAAATATTCCCATGAATTATGTCCAGTTCTTCTTGGAAAAAAATTTGGTTTTGAATGAACCTGCAAAGCATCCTGCAGCGTGAGCAGCTCCTCCACCTGGAGCTCCGAAGCATCTTCTCAGGCCAAAGCGGCATTACCCGTGAATCTGTCTTCTCCGCCACAGCATGGTTTGAGGCGCAGTCTGTTAATATAGCTGGGCCATGTCAGTGACTGTTGTGTTTGTGGGGTCAGGTGGGGGGCATGGTATTTGCAAAAAAAACAAATTATGGCTAATTTATTATTTTGTTGCAGTGGGGTTAACTGTAAACTCATGTAAGAGTCTGTGATTTCCTCATTGGTTGATCTCTCTCTCTGTAATCCTCATTGCAAATTTTCACCAGGACAGCGTTTTTTGATTAGAGGGGAGCTCTGGCACAGTATGCTTTAATTTAGCAGGAACTTCCAGATGATTTAAATTCTCGATGCTGTGATGACACACATATGATCTTTCGTGTTTCTGAGCGACTCTACTTTCATTGTTTGCCAGCGTGGCTCGTTGCTGTTGCCCAATAAAGCTTGTGTACGTTCTGCCTTGGGGGATTATTTTAATTTGTACAGAAACATGAATTCTGGTATCAAAATGAGGACTTTTTATTATAACGCTCCTATTTTTTCTTTATTTCATGGTACATGAAATGTAAAGAAAACTCTTTCCAGTTCAGAAAATTATTTTGATTTTGGCAAAAAAAACCCCAAATCAATGCATGTTATTTATTATTTTGTACTATTGTCCATCCCAGACGTGTCAGAATTTCAAAAGGTGATAGATATAAATGGAAAATAAGATGAAAACCATAAGCTTCATATTGTATTTCTATACACGGTCCTCGATGACTGGAATCTTTTTTTTTTTTTTTTATCGAGGGATGGAACATATAGGAACAGTCAGTTAAGTTTTAGGCAGAAAAAATTTTTAAGGCCCGGCGCAGTGGCTCATGTCTGTAATCCCAGCTTTGGGAGACCAAGGCAGGAGGATTGCTTGAGCCCAGAGTTTGAGACCAGCCTGGGTAACGTGGTGAAACTCATGTACAAAAAATACAAGAAAACGAGCTGGGTGTACTGGCTCAAGCCTGTGGTCCCAGCGACTTGGGAAGCTGAGGCGGAACAATCACCTGAGCCTCGGAGGTCGAGGCTGCAGTGAGTCGTGATTGTGCCACTGCACTCCTGCCTGGGCAACAGAGCAAGACTCCGTCTCAAAACAAAACAAAACAAAAAAAGCTTTTGTGTAGGAAGTAGTTGAAATCAATTGGGTGATTTTTGTCCCTTGGGGGACACGTGGCGGTATGAAGACCTTTTCAGTTGTTACAACTCGGGGAAGAGGAGTGCTACAAGCAAGAGATGCTGCCGAACACCCTGTGATTCACAGGGTGGCCCCCACAACAGAGCCCAAAGTGTCAAAAGTGCCAACATTGAGAAACCCTAATTATTTTTTTTCGAGGTGGAGTCTTGCCCTGTTATCTAGGCTGCAATGCAGTGGTGCAATCTTGGCTCACTGCAACCTCCGCCTCCCAGGTTCAGGCGATTCTCCTGCCTCAGCCTTCTGAGTAGCTGGGCCTGCCACCACGCCCGGTTAAGTTTTGTATCTTTAGTAGAGACGGGGTTTCACCATGTTGGCCAGGCTGGTCTCGAACTCCAGGCCTCAGGTGATCTGCCTGCCTCAGCCTCCCAAAGTGCTGGGATTACAGGCATGAGCCCATACGCCCAGCCAGAGAAACCCTAATTTAATTGGCACGTGTCAGCTGTACCATTTGTCTGTCTGTATTTGTAAAAGGGCCCGGAGGTATAAGCTCGTGTGTCTCAGGAAGCAAGTTATGCCTCCGCCTACTATACCAAATACTATACCAAATGGTGTAATTAGTGGCTGTCTGCAGTGTGAGCTGCTGGTTCCCTCTTTTTGGTTCTCAATGGAAAGGGCCATCCTCAGTATATAGATTAGAAAGATAATTGTAACTTAGTTGTGTTATCTCATGACAGCAGCAAAAGGAAGGTATGTGGTTTCAAAGGTAGGGACCGACCATGCTTTCCCTTAAACGTGTGCTATCCCTGCACGACCTTAAGCCTCTGCATTTGCCTGCAGTGAACTTCCGTCCATGTGCGGACACTCCTCCGCCGGAGCCGCTAGGGGGAACTTGAGGACTGAAAGACATTGCTGTTTCCTGTTTTCCACAACCAGCCGGACCCCACGTGCCCAACTGCCCTGAGTTTCAAGACTGTGCTTTCATAGCTTCAGAATTTATTTCATGGCCAGAGGCTCCGTGAAAAACAGACATTTCTTTTCATGTTGTTGACCAGAATATTTTGCTGGACTTAGTTAAAAAAAAAAAAAAGGAAAAAAAAAAGGCAGGGAGGGTGAGAGATGAATATTTATTTGCTCTTGGATATTTGCATTTTTGAATAATTGGCAAGTAGGAAGCTTTGCCAATTCACTGTTCAGTCTAATAAGGTTTTGAGACGAAATGTACCAACACCCCAAGTACTTTTAGTGTTTTTGTTATGAAACTTTTCAGGGTGACATGAAGCCCTGTGGTATTTGTGAGGAGGTCTATAAATGATGGATTTGCTCACCTCAAAATAGAACTGTAGTCGCTCCAAATTTTCCAGAAGTGGGAGCACAGTGACAGAATTCATTCAGGACTTGCTAATTTCCTACTTTAAATGGGTTACATAACAGAACCGGTCCCGCCTTCGCGCCTCTCAAAACTACCCATGAAGTGATGGTGAAATGTATCATTAAAAGCTAGAAATAGCTCTGCTAAACTCTGGGAAAAAGATGAATTTTTTTCTGATCTCCCTCTCCCCACCCCCCTTTTTTCACCCAAACATTGCATAATGTTAAAAAAGTCAAATCTTTCCGTGGGATTTAATTTCATTTTCCATGTGGCTGTGGTCGGAGGGGTAACTCAAGCACTTTGGGGGCTGGTGGATTTTTGGAGGATCACGCATTCCCGGATCAGTTTGCATCCAAAGCCTTAGCCGAGAAATACACCCAATCCTGGGGTTTCTCCCCATCCCTCCTGCCCCCCTTTTGTGGATGAGTTATCTATAACATAGCATCTTTTCAGAAAGCCTGCCTTCTTGCAGGAATGCCCAAACAAAGCCACCCTCCACTTTCCATGTTGACGTTTTGATTTTGAAATGGATTCCCCCTGAAATTTGGGGTAACTGAGTCACATGTGAAGTCATCGGCCCCACAACCTATGCTTGATACCAAGCCAGGGCTCATTTCTTAGAATTCAGCCAGCAGGTTCTGTTTGCTTACATTAAGAACTTGGTGTTCTAAGCCTGTGGTGTTTGTTTTCAAGAGATTTAAAAGAAATACATTTTTTTTCTTTGATCAGATCAGGTCCAGATAAGCCCAGGACTATTTTTTATTTCCTTTGAGAAAGATTGCAGAGTCCAGAAGGAATGGAAAAAGTGTTGGGGGATGGGTAGGAGATGTGCAGAATATGCTGACATTTTTATTCCTTCATTGATCAAATATTTGCTGAGCACTTCCTATGTGTTAGGCACTGTTCTTGGGGCTGGAGGCGTGGCAGGGAACCAGACAAGCGTAGTGTCTGCCCTCATAGTGATTACACTCTGTGTGTGTGTGTGTGTATGTGTGTGAAAGACAATAAACAGATTAAGACTAACATCAGGTGGAGAGAAAGCTTCCTAAGATAAAGCAGCCTAAGGGTTAGGCAGAGGATGACAACCAGGTAGGAATAAAGGTGGGGAAAGTGCTGGGAGTCAGAGATGGGCCCACTGGAGCAGAGGGCTGCAGGATGAGAAGGAGGGTGCTGTGCACCTCTGGACCCTGTAAGAGCAGAAGCTGGTAGTGATGCCCCCCAACCTATCCATGTGGGTGCCAGCCACACCGTCCCCCTCAATTTTCTCATGCCTTGTGGGGTTTTTTTTTTTAATCTCAAGGAAATTCTGCTTTCTATTCCATTAGTGGATTTAATGTAAAAAAAAAAGTTTTTAATGATTGGCCAATTCTATTCTCCAAGATCCCCAAGTAAATGGATTCTTTTTTTTTTTTTTTTTTTTGAGACAGAGTCTTGCATTGTCACCCAGGCTGGAGTGCAGTGGCACGATCTTGGGTCACTGCAACCTCTGCCTCCCAGGTTCAAGCAATTCTCCTGCTTCAACCTCCCGAGTAGCTGGGATTACAGGCACGTGCCACCACACCTGGCTAATTTTGGTATTTTTAGTAGAGGCGGGGTTTCACCATGTTGGCCAGGCTGGTCTCAAACTCCTGATCTCAAGTGATCTGCCTGCCTTGGCCTCCCGAAGTGTTGGAATTACAGGCATGAGCCACCGTGCCCAGCCAGTCAATGGATTCTTGAGGAGTCCCTTTGCTTTCTCCTTGGGCTGCCCCATGAGGGGTATGTTCTCTAGTCAGGGATGCCCAGGCCAGCCTAGCATACTGGGGGGAGGTTCATTTCTAACTTTGAACAATGGCTAAGGCCACAGGACCCTGGGCAAGTTTGCAAAGGCAGAGCGTCATTCAGAGAGATCTGGGGAAGTGACATTGTGGTTGCAGTGTGTGCAAAGGCCCCGGGGTAGGAAAGGCTGGGCATGTCGGAGGGGCACAGGGCTGGAGTGCTGAGACCGAGGGGGTGGGGCATGGAGGAGGTGAGGTCAGGGAGATAGGGAGGGCCTGCAGACCTTGGCATTCGGACTAAAGAGTCCGTTGCAGAACGAGCAAGCATTATTAAAGTTAGCCCTCTACACTGAACCATGTTCGAGGGCCCCTTTCACTCCTTCTCTTCTACCCCGCCTCACCGACCCTTTCCCACCTGTTCTCATTTCTGCGTCTATGTCCGAGGAGGCTCAGGTGCAACCCTTTCCATTGGAACCAACCCACTCCCATGCCCAGTGGTTCTGCATGACTTTATTGACATAACCACACTAGTAAATAAAGGAGAGAAGAAGCCAGTCCTTGGATGAAGTTTCCTCTTGCTTTTCCAGCGAATGATACGATGGGTCTCTGTTCAGCCCTGTAGCCTGGGGTGCTTTTGGCAGAGGTGCCTTTTCCTTCGACAGTCCTGGAAAGCAGGCTGCATAAACCAGCTGCCTAGAACTGGGAGGTGAGTGCGGAGGAAGAATAGGTAGAGAAAACTTAACTGGCTCATGTTCTTCGAAGCTGCCACATTTCCCGAATATGCCCACTTGGGTCAGATTTCGAAGGCGAAGCCTTTTGCAGTCATGAACTGCGGGAGCCCAGGCTGTGTTCAAATTCCTCCGGAAGAAAGAAAGAATAAACGAGAACAGGCTGTGGAAAAGAATGTAGTTAGTGTCTTAAAGATGGCCAAATATTCATTCTCATTTGTCCTTTTATATGAAACAGATTTTTAAAAAGGCAATTGGAGTAGCTAATGACATCCAGAACCCCGTTGATTCGAGTGGGGCTGGGGGTGGGGGCTTAAATTGGCCCAAACAGCTAATCAGGCCGAAAGAAAGAGGTGAGTTGATTACCCTGGAAATTGCACAGGAATTCTTCAAAGATGTGGCCAATAATTAGAGTTTAAGATGCTACTCTTTATGCACATAACTTAGCATAATTTTATTAGGCAGCTCATCACCAACAGAATTAGTGAAAATCAGGCCAGAAAAAATCTGAGAGCCAGGCTTATGCAGACGTGGAGGCTTTTGCTCTAAAATGGTCTGCTCACGCTTGGGGAAGACCCCAAGAGAAAGCACTACCTTTCTTCTGGGCCCTGAGCGGGTTGGGAGTGGAAATGAATCAGAGCCATTTCAGGGGGCTGTGCTGGAGTTGGGGACAATGTGGCCTGGACCTAGCTGGGACGGACACAGACTTGGTTTGAACACCAGTTTCCCCACTTACTGGTGAGTGAGATGGGGCCAATTCCTTAAATTCTGACCTCCCATTCCTTGCCTGTTTTTGGGAGCAGGAACCCCATTTGTGAGGATCAGCCATGAGGCTGATGGCATTGGAAGCAGTGCAGATATAGAAACAGTAGCTGTCATTATCACTCGAGGCTGCTGCTGATGGAGGGAGGCCTGGTCTCCACCAAGCTCAAAAGCCCTTCATCAGAATGGGTTTATGCTACTGTTTCCCCCAAACACTGCAGTCACCTGGCTGGCTAGAGTTCTTAGAAGATTTCAAAGTTTGGGGGCAGAGGCAATGTCCAACCTTGAATCTTTTTTTTTTTTTTTTTTTTTGAGACAGAGTCTCACTCTGTAGTCCAGATGCCCAGGCTGGTGTGCAGTAGCGAGATCTTGGCTCACTGCAACCTCTGCCTCCCGGGGTTAAGAGATTCTTGTGCCTCAGCCTCCCAAATAGGTGGAACTACAGGTGTGTGCCAGCATATCTGGCTAATTTTTGTATACTTAGTAGAGATGAGGTTTCACCATGTTGGCCAGGCTGGTCTCGATTGCCTGACCTCAGGTGATCCACCTGCCTCGGCCTCCCAAAGTGCTGGGATTACAGGTGTGAGCCACTGCACCTGGCCTCGACCTTGAATCTCTCTGTGCACCTTTCATGGATTTGCAAACTTGCCCAGGGTCCTGTGGCCCCAGCCGTGGTTCTCAGTTGGAGGTGAACCTGCCTCCAGTATGCTGGGCTGGCCTGGGCATCCCTGACTGGAGAATGTACCTGTCATGGGGCAGGGGACATACAGACAAAGGAGAAGGCAAAGGGACTCCTCAAGAATCCATTTCCTCAGGGATCTGGAAGGGAGAATGAAAGTCATAGAATTGGCCAATCATTAAAAACTTCTCTTTTTACATTAAAACAAACTTATTAATATAATAGAAAGCAGAATTTACTTGTGTTAAAAAAATATAGCTAAGGTATGCGGGGCTTAATACCTAGGTGATTGGTTGATAGGTGCAGCAAACCACCATGGCACACGTTTACTTATGAAACAAACTTGCACGTCCTGCACATGTATCCCAGAACTTAAAATTCAATTAAAAAAAAAAAAACACACAAGGCATGAGATAATTGAGGGGGAGGAGGTGGCTGGTGCCCATGTGGATGGGCGGCGGCGGGGCTTCACTATTGGCTTCTGCTCATAGGATCCAGAGGTGCAGCTTGAGAGGAACTGGCTTATCCTTAGCAAGCCAGGCGTCTGGCCCATGGTTAGGGCTCAGTAAACCTTTGTGACATTTGAGTTGGTTTTAAAAATAATTCTGGTAAAATATACATAGCATACAATTTATTATTTTAAACTTTATTTTTTTTTTGTGATGAGATCTCGCTCTGTTGCCCAGGCTGGAGTAAAGTGGCACAATCATAGCTCACTGTAACCTTGAACTCCTGGGCTTAAGTGATCTTCCTGCCTCAGGACCCTGAGTAACTGGGACTACAGGCCCAAGCCACTGTGCCTGGCTAATTTTTTAATTTTTTTTTTTTTGTAGAGATGGGGTCTTGCTATGTTGCCTAGGCTGGTCTTGAACTCCTGACCTCAAGTGATGCTCTCACCCTGGCCTCCTAAAGTGCTAGGATTACAGGCCATTTCAACTATTTTTTGTTTGTTTGTTTGTTTTGGTTTTTGAGACGGAGTCTGGCTGTGTCGCCCAGGCTGGAGTGCAGTGGTGCGATCCCGGCTCACTGCAACCTCTGCCTCCTGGGTTCAAGCGATTCTCCTGCCTCAGACTCCCAAGTAGCTGGGACTACAGGCATGCGCCACCACACCTGGCTAATTTTTGTACTTTTAGTAGAGATGGGATTTCACCATGTTGGCCAGGCTGGTCTGGAATTCCTGACCTCAGGTGATCTGCTCGCTTCGGCCTCCCAAAGCGCTGGGATTACAGGCGTGAGTCACCGCGCCCAGCATTTCAACAATTTTTTAAGTGTACAGTTCATTGGCACTAAGTTCTTGAGTTTTAAGAGTGGATTCTGGGCTGGGCGCGGTGGCTTGTGCCTGTAATCCCAGCACTTTGGGAGGCCGAGGCGGGCGGATCATGGGTCAGGAGATCGAGACCATCCTGGCCAACATGGTGAAACCCTGTCTCTACTAAAATACAAAAAAATTAGCTGGATGTGGTGGCACTTGCCTGTAGTCCCAGCTACTCGGGAGGCGGAGGCAGGGGAATTGCTTGAACCCGGGAGGTGGACGTTGCAGTGAGTCAAGATTATGCCACTGCACTCCAGCCTGGCGACAGAGCGAGACTCTGTCTCAAAAAAAAAAAAAAAAAAAAAAAAGTGCATTCTGGAAGATTCAGGAACCTGACTGAACAAAATGACTCTTGCCTTTTGATGGCTTTTTACACCTGCAAAGTACTTTCCCACCTAGACCTCACAATTTCGTGAGGCAGGTGTCATTATCTCCATTTTGTAGATGAGAAAAACAACACCGAGAGAGGGTGAGGTTGACCCAGGCCCACATAGCACCTAAAATGATTGAATTTTGTGGTTGAATTTTGACAGAGGATGTATCTGTGAGAAAAAACATCTGTTATAGCAGAAAACTCTCAAACGACCTAGTTTAAATAAGATATAAAGTGCTTTCTGTCTCACATCAGAGGAGGCTGGGGTTAGGAGGTTCAGGAGAGGTATGCTGGCCTGGATTGTCACTGGGAAACCAAGGCTTCTTCAGCTCTGCACTGGCCCATCCTAAGGCTGCTGCCCTTATCCTCCTTATCCAGGGTGGCTGCTGGAGGTCCCGCCTTCATGCCTGAAGTCCGGCCAGTAGGAAGGAGCAAAGAGAGGGAGCCCTGTCCTTTGAGGGAGACTTCCCAGAGTTCCCACACATTGCTTGTGCTGACATCTTGGGCAAATGACCACATGACCACACCTGGCTTGCAAAGAGGCTGGGAAATGTAGCTGTTTAACAAGAATACTGACAAAAAGCAAGGTTTTGTTTCTGAGGCAGGAGGGAAAAGAAGGTGGGCAAACAGCAGTTTCTACACTAGACAGGGGAAAGACGTGGGATTCTAAGGAACCTTCACCTTAAATTACTTCATTTACTTACTATATACTATTTTTTTTTCTTGTATACAGAGTCTCACTCTGTCACCCCGGCTGGAGTGCAGTGGTGCTATCTCGGCTCACTGCAACCTCTCCTTCCCAGGTTCAAGTGATTCTTGTGCCTCAGCCTCCCAGGTAGCTGTGATTACAGGTGCTTGCCACCACATCCTGCTAAATTTTTTTTGCATTTTTTAGTAGAGACAGGGTTTCGCCATGTTGGCCAGGCTGGTCTGGAACTCCTGGACTCAAGTGATCCACCGGCCTTGGCCTCCCAAAGTGCTGGAGTTAGGGCATGAGCCACCGCGCCCGGCCACCATACACTTAAAGTTAAATGGGTGCCAGAGGTGAGTGAACAGGTAGGAGACGTGAACTCGCCCTCTTGTGAGAGCAGTAGCTGTGATCTCACTAGGCACTCTCTGGCCAGACACATTATTTCTTTTTATTTTATTCCTTTCTTTTTTTGCATTCCTTATTTCATTCATCTTAATTTTCCCTGAATCTCTTAGTTTTTCTTCTCCTGTTGTCTTTTTGTTTTAAAAAAATGAGTATAGAATACATACAGCAAAGTGTATCTAGTAGGCTAATATTAAATGCATAGTGATACATTTTTGCATAGGTTTGCACCCATGGGACCCCTACTGGGATCATGGAGAAGGTGTCTGATTCACTTTATGAGAAACTGCCAACAAACTCAAAGTGAGATAGTACTTTATCCTTACTAGGATGGTTACAATTAAAAGGACACGGTCAGTGTTGGAGGGGATGTGGAAAAATCAGAACCTTCGCGCACTGCTGGTGGGAATGTGAAATGGTTTGCTTGCTTTAGAAAACAGTCTGGCAGTTTCTTTTGGGGGTGATGGTTGCACAACTCTGTAAATTTACTAAAAACCATTGAATTATATACTTTAAATGAGTGAATTTTGTGGCATGTAACTTATATCTCATTAAAGGTGTTAAAATCCTGCCAAACCATTTTCCAGAGTGGCTGTACCATTTTTGCATTCGTATGAGAGTTCCAGTTCTACATCCTTGTCTGCGCTTAGCATTGTCGGTATTTAATCTAGCCATTCTAACAGATGTGCAGTGGTATCTCACCATGGTTTTAAATATCATTTCCCTAACAGTTGATAATATTGAACATCTTTTCATGTGCTTGTTTGCCATCCACTTTTCTTCTTTGGTGAAATGTTCACGTCTTTTGCTCATTTGTAAGAATTAGATTGTTTTCTTACTTTTGAGTTTTGAGAGTTTTTAAAAATATACTCTGACTATATATATTGTTGGTAAGTGATTTGCATATTCCCCTGCCCCACTTATAGCTTGCCTTTTCATTGTCATTGTTGTTAATATTTTTAATTTTAGCCTTTCTGGTGGGTGTGTTCTGGTATGTCGTTGTGGTTTTAATTTGCATCAGATCACTTCAAGTCTGGTTTGTGGAGTCTTGGTTCAACAGCAGCTATGGCTATAGGCAAAATGCTTTACCTACAGAATCGTTTCAAAGAGGGATATTTTCATTATCTTTTGTTCCTTTTTTTTTTTTTTTGAAACGGAGTCTTTCTCTGTCGCCCAGGCTGGAGTGCAGTGGTGCAATCTCGGCTCACTGCTACCTTCGCCTCCCGGGTTCAAGCGATTCTCCTGCCTCAGCCTCCCAAGTAGCTGGGACTGCAGGCATGCGTCACCATGCGCAGATAATTTTTGTATTTTTAGTAGAGATGGGGTTTCGCCACGTTAGCCAGGATGGTCTCCATCTCCTGACCTCATGATCCACCCGCCTCAGCCTCCCAAAGTGCTGGGATTACAGGTGTGAGTCACCGCACCCGGCCTTCATTGTCTTTTCTATAGATGAGGATTTAAGAGCTGTGGTGACTTGTTCAAAGTCACACAATTTGTAAGAGATGGAGCCAGGATTGGTGCTCAGGTCCACAGACTTAGAGGCAGCTGCCTCTTTTAAGCTATAATCTAATTCAACTTCAAGCCTCCTGGTGAAAGCAACAGCCTCCCTTCTCTCCAGCAAGCTGCATTCTTTTATGGCATGTCACAGGAGGTTGAAAAATGCCAAGGCAGATTTCCAAATTAATGCTCCATTTATCTGAATCCCATCATTCCCAAGGGCCATCCTCACCTCCATCCCTGACATAGCACTTCCCAGGGAATTGCCACATTCCCTAGCTGCTGTCATTGTGGCTGTTCCCACCTTCTAATTAAGAGCAGAGCCAACCTCA
This sequence comes from Homo sapiens, assembly GCF_000001405.40. NCBI lineage: Eukaryota > Metazoa > Chordata > Mammalia > Primates > Hominidae > Homo > Homo sapiens. The sequence goes on along the minus strand of NC_000020.11, from coordinate 51,586,163 downwards.
GAATGAGGTAGAGGCCTCGAACCATGAGTCACTGTGGAGATGTCGTCACCCCGGGGGACGGGAGGAGCCCAGCACTGTCTGGAAGCACCAGTAGACAGCCATTGCATGCATATTTATTGAGCACCTACTGGATGCTAGGCAGCTTCCAGGCACTGGGGATGTGATGATCTAGATGTTCATGGGTCCTGCTTTCTTACTGAGTGGAGTGTCTATATTAGGCAGTGGAGAAATAAACAGGCCTCCTTCAGGTCGTCGTTTAGTTGTCCCTTCTTAAAGAGGTTTTCCACTTTGGGAGGCCGAGGTGGGCGGATCACGAGGTCAGGAGATTGAGACAATCCTGGCTAACACGGTGAAACCCTATCTCTACTAAAAAATACAAAAAACTAGCCAGACGTGGTGGCGGGCACCTGTAGTTCCAGCTACTCGGGAGGCTGAGGCAGGAGAATGGTGTGAACACGGGACGTGGAGCTTGCAGTGAGCCGAGATCGCTCCACTGCACTCCAGCCTGGGGCACACAGCGAGACTCTTGTCTCCAAAAAAAAAAAAAAAAAAAAAAGGTTTCCTTGACCTCCTCCCATTGGATGTGTAGCCCTGTCACTTCCTAGCCCCTTGCTTGCTCTACTTGTCCTCAGGCGCTTAGCCTCAGTCTTGGTCACTAAAATGTGAGTTCTGTGAGGACAGGGACTTTGACTCATTTGCTATTCTGAATGCCTAGAAAAAGATGGCCTATGGTGAGTGTTCAATAGACGTGAAATGAATAAATGAATAAACAAATATGGTAATTCATTGCACAGTGATGAATATTATCATAAAGTTAAGTCAGGATGCCATCTGGGAGACCAATCGGGATAGAGGTTGGGGGTTGGGAGTGGGGAGGGTATGGGAGGCTATTTTTAGACTTGGTGGTCAGGGAGAGCCTCCTTGAGGAGTTGGCTTTTGAGCTGAAATCTGAAAGGTGAGAGGATCCAGGATTCATAGACGCAAGGAGCAGTGTTGCAGGCAGAGAAAATATCATGTGCAAATTGCCCTGTGGCAGGAAGCGTTCAGAGTTTTCAGGAACAGGAAGAAGAGCAATGGCAGCCAGTGCTGAAGAGTGGCAGGAAATGGGTATTGTTGCCTAGTAGGAAGGCTTCTATGTACCCTGAGTCTGTCCCCACCATGCCAGGCAGCAAGCTACCCTCTGACCTTTGGAGATAAGTGTGCAGAGCGGGCCTACTATATGTCATGTTGAGAGACTCCAGATCCCGGGATCATGGATTCCCATAGCCAGAGACATCAAGGATATGGTTCATACTCCAGACCACATTGTTACCCCAAGTACGACTGGTTTCTTTCTCCAAGTTCAGGGATGAGAAAGCTCTTTGAACTCCTGAAAGAATCTCTCATGGGCCTAGGAAAAGCCTCTCAAAAAAGACACTTCTGAGAGCCATGGAAGTTCCAAATGAGAGTGTGTACCAGGCACTTGGACCTGTATTTTCTTGTATCCTCACTCTAACCTTGCAGGCTAAGTGGAGTTAAACTCATCTCACAGATAAGCAAAACAAGATACAGTTAAATTTCAGGGTTGGCAGTTTATTAACTATGAAATGCTGGGCAAATGTTGCAGTCTGACCCTGAGATTTTTCATCTGTAAAATGGGTAGATGTCTGTGTGCATGTGTGCCCACTCCATAAGTGATATTGTGAAAGAAAAATAAATGTGATGTATGTGATATGCCCGGCATGGTCACAATCAACTTATTGTTCCGTATCGGTTACAGTTCTGTGGTTGCACACAACAAAAATTAGAACTGGCAAAGTTCAGCCAAGAAACGGGGAGGGGAAATTTATTGCCAGGATGTGGAGTGGCTCACAGACTGGAGCTTTGGCTATGAACAAGAATGAGGGCATGCCGGAAATGGGAGGTAGCAGGAGCTAATATGCCGTGCAACCAGGTCCCTCAGCCTGTTTTATCACCTGCAGGTTTCTTATCCCGCCACCCCCACCACATCACTCCCATCTTGCATCACTCAAGGGTCAACATCCTCGTGTGAGAATCTGATGGGCCAAGTTTGGGTTACATGGCAGGGTATTTTGATTGACAGTTCCTCCAAGACTGCCTGCCATGGGGAGGAAGTAATTCCCCAGAGAGATTGTTTTTGCTTTCCCCAGGAGAAAGGGTGACTTAGATGCTTGGTGGTCAAAGAGTAACACATGTCCACTACAGTAATAATGTTGGCGTTGCCACTGGACTCGCTGTGGTCAAGACTATCACTTCTCTATAAGCTTCAGTTTTTACTTTGTCCAATGAAGGCACTGAGTTCCACACCAGGGTAACTCTCAGCATCTCCAGTGGAACTTTAGAAAAACGAGGACGCTCTCTTCTAGGCCGTCTCTTTTGATCAGCTTTGAAAGAGTTTCCTGGAAATTCTCTCACATCTCATTGGTCAGCACTGGATACACGCCCACCCCTAGATCAATCACTGGTGTGAAGGAAATGGATAAAGGCCAATCAGAGTCAAGCTCTAGTTTTCCGGAAGCAAGCCGGGATGGGATGACCGTGTGCCGAGCACTCACGATCGGCTATGCTTTGCGCTCTCAAGGATAGCAGCTTCTGTGGACGGAATTCTCCTAGCCAGTAAAGCTTGAAAACGAGGGTCAGGGTGTCCTTTTCGGTCTAGACTATGTCCTTGGAAGTTGGTTTGTGCTGCCTCTGCTCCATGGATCCACCTCAGAGGGAGGCCTCCTGTCACCCCGTCAGGTAGCTCAGCCACCCCGCGGTACTGAACCTAAAACGTGCCAAAGCAAGCCGCGAACTTCCAGACGAAAGAAATACCAGGTGTTAGCATCCAATAAATAAATAAGGTTGTGGCTGAATTGAAAAAAGAAATTCATCTTGCCAGGCACCGTGGCCGCGTCGGTGTTGACTTAAGGCAGGTCTTAATTATAGTGCCAGGTAAGCTGTGCTCTGCCTGCTTCGGGGCTGTCCCCAGCTCAGCTGTCAACTCAGCTTACCTTCCAGAGAATTGACAATTACATGGTGGCACTTTTCCATTCGTGTGTAACCTAACACAGCCCCTCTTCTTAAAAGTTGGTAACTAAATTTGAGGTGCTGAAAGAAATATTGCAATTGAAATGATGCTTTAGGGAACGTTTATATGCCTTGGAGTGAATTAATGTCTTGGGAAAAAAAAGCCCCTTCTCTTAGCACCAATACATACTTTTCACATTACTTTTTAGGCACTGAGGATTTTAACAGCAGTGTAAATCAGATTTTACAGGCCACATATTTCAAGTATGGAGTTCATTAAATGTGTGAAATTTGACATTTGCTTCAGGGCGTGGCTAAGGTCTCCAGTAATGAATCGCAAGTTGTGTTGGACTTTCTGATCAAGTTCAATATGCTAATACCTCTGTGGAGTGGCACAAAGAGGCAATTTCTCTTCAAGCCCTCCCACGGCTGGTTCTCCTGGAACCCTCCATCAATGGACCAGGTAGTAGTAAGAGACATGGTTCCACCATCTTTATTCAAGTTGAGAAACCTGGGAGACATATTCTTTGATTCCTGAGTTGTGTCAGTACATTTATTAATTCAGTAGCCATTTACTGAGCACCTACTATGTCAGGCTCTGCGCTGGGCCCTGAAAATGTAGAAGCAAATGAGACTATGTATGGCTGGTGAAGTTTGCAGGTTTGGGAGATACAGATATAGAAAACTTAATTTCTCCAACAATTATGGAATCATCAACTGTGAGAAAGAAAACCTGGGGTGTTTTGAGGCTCAGGTGTTAGGGGGAGACCAATTTTTTTCTGGGAGTGTCAGGAAAGGTCTTTCCGGGAGTAACAGTTAAGCTGAGACTGGAAGAATGGGTAGGTCTTAGCTAGAGTAAGAGTTGGGGTGTGCAGTGGAGGGAAAAGGATCAGTGACAAGGCAGAGAATAAGTCCTGCCCTTAGTCAGCTGATCACTAACTAAAGACCACCTGATGTGCTCTGGATTAGGAATAAGGATGGGGATAAAGACTTGGACCTTGTATCGGTTGAGACTCATGGTTGCAGGTGACAGAAGCCCAATCCGTTAGGAATTATTCACTCATGTATCTAAAAGTACAGAGTAGGACTGGCTTCAGACATGGCTGGATCTAGGATGCAAATGATATGAAGCATCTGCCTCTAGGTCCTGGCTCTGTTTTGCTTTATGTTTGCTTTTTTTTTTTTTTTTTTTCCTCAGGCAGAACTTCTTTTCCTGGTGGCTCCAGCAGCCCAGGCTCACATCCCCCTAGTTTTCTGATCCCATTCAACAGAGTGTCCCCTTCTCAATGGTTCCAGCAAAAGTTCTATGTTTGAATCTCTGGCATTGATCACATGTCCAAACCTGAGACAATCACTGGGGTTAGGAGTGTGCAGTGCCCTGGTTGGCCAGGTCTGGGTCACATGGCATCTGTGGAGTCAGAGAGAGGGAGGGAAGGGCTCTACCTAAGTCTTAAGAATGAGGATGGATACCAGGAAAGGGTGATGGAAAAAAAATGAGGATGGAGATGGAGTGGTCCTTCAAAGGAAAATTGGGGTACTGGTATGAAAAGATGGGATAATGAATGTGAAACAGGCAGGCAGAACATCTGTCCCAAAATTAAGGTCTCAGGTGAGTGAGTCCTGGGAGGCTTCACCAGGCTGGCCATGAGCACAAAGATGCTTTTCCTGAGTTTCTGTTCCGTGCATGTGTTGTGCTTAGGAAGAGCTGAACAATAATGTCTCCTTGTCATCTGAGTCCCTAACTCTGAGAAGGGAAAGGAGATATACAAATGACCAGGATTCAAGGAAGGGCAATAAGTTCTTGGAGAGCATTATGGGGACAGAAAGTAAGAAAATGACAGTGATGACATTCTCATGGAAGAGACCAGCTTGAGAAAGGCCTTAAGGGAGGATTAGAGCTTTGTAAAGCAGTATTTACAAAGAAGAGGGTATTTCGGGTCAAGGAAGCAGCAGGACCAAAGGCACAGAGGCTGAGATATGGGGTATGTTTCACTGGCTGTTCAAGAGACCATTTTCTCAGAAGCACTGACGCACGTAGGAAAATAGAGTAAAGCTAGAAGAGGAAGTCGGAACCCATGATTGGAGACTATATTCATTACAATGCCTTTGGCTGCCAGTGACAGAAACTCATCTCAAACTAGTTTAAACCTAAAAAAATAGTGTGGGTCGACTGGCTTCAGGCACAGCTGTATGCAGGAACTTAAAGATGTTTTAAATACCAGTTCTTTCTTGATCTTACAGCTTTGCTCCCCCTCGACTCTCCCCTTGTGGTGGCTTGATGGCCCTCATCAGCTCCTGACCTGTATCTTCTCAGCCTGGTGACACCAACACAGAGAGAGCCCCTCTTTCATCATTCCAGCCAAGGACCTAGGGTTGGCTGTGACTGGCCTGACCTGGGTCATGTGGCCAACCCTGAACCAACTCCTTGTTCAGGGGAATGCTGCACACTCAATGGCCCAGCCTGGGTCACACAACCTCCTCCTGGACCTGGCATTGTGGGTAGACCCTAAAACAGTTGGACTCAAAGTTAGGGAGGTGCGATTCCCTGACCCTCAAGAAAACCACCAAGGGTGGAGTTACCAAAAGAAGGAAAAAGGAACACTGGAAAAATAAAAACAAAAGACATCCATTGCAGGAAGGTTTAACATCACAGTGAGGAGCTGCTGGTATTTATTTCAGGAGACACTAGGAAGCCATAGGTTTTTTTTTTGTTTTGTTTTGGTTTTTGAGACCGAGTCTCACTCTGTTGCCAAGGCTGGAGTGCAGTGGCGTGATCTCGGCTCACTGGAACCTCCACCTCCCAGGTTCAAGTGATTCTCCTGCCTCAGCCTCCTGAGTAATCAGGACCACAGGTGTGCGCCACCACGCTTCAGCTAATTTTTATATTTTTAGTAGAGCTGAGGTTTCACCATGTTGGTCAGGCTGGTTTTGAACTCCTGACCTCAAGGGACCCACTTGCCTCGGCCTCCCAAAGTGCTCGGATTATAGGCGTGAGCCACTTCATTGGCCTAGAAGGTTGTTGAGCAGGGGAAAGGGGTATTGTGATCTGAGGTGTACTCTGAGAAGATACTTTAGCAGAGGTGGGGTGAAGGGTCAGGTGGAGTGGAAGGAGAAGAGGTGAAGTGAGAGGCACAGAGGCTTTTGTGATGGGTCAGAAATGAGACAAGTCCGAGATGGGGCATGGCTGCCAGAATGAAAAAGACCTAAGCGGGAGGGAAAATGATGGAGTAGGGTCGGGGATGTGCTGGGCGTAAGTCAGGGAGGCTCAGCAGCCTGGTCAGGGTGCAGAATGGGAGCTGAGAGCCATGCCGATGGAGGTGGTGGTGTTTTGGGAGGGACATGACCCCCAGGGGAAGACAGGGATTTGGTAGGAGAACAGTGAGGGGGTCTCACCTCTCCTCTGAGAGCATTCGGGGGCCAGTTGAGAGTCCCGTGGGCACTTGTGTTCTGACTCCGGGGAGGGCGGGTCCTCTGAACAAGATGCCATTTTCCACAAAGCTTTCCAGATGTCTGCGTTGTTGGTTTGCCTTATTTATTTATTGTTTTAAGTGGTAACAACAAAGGAACTTTAAAAAAAAAAAACAACAAAGCAAAATAGCAAAACAGAGGTTGAGAGTGAGCAGGCCTTCAGGAGAGGGGCCTGGGAAACGCCAAGGAGGTGAGAAGCAGGAGGTGGGGCACCTGCCCCCAGGTGACCCGCCAGCTGCCGGCTTCCTCTGCTCCCCAGGCTGTCTGAGGATGGCTTGGCCAATGTCCTTCCCCTTTCCCTGGGCCCAGTCCTTTTAAATCCCTAAGGGAGAGAGTCTGCTAGGTTTTCTGCTGATCCCAGCACCCCTGCTCTCTAGCCACACAGTGACTCAGACCTCCCCAGGCCTCCTGCCTCTATCCAGAGGGCGGCTACTGGGCTTCCTCGGAAGGATCCTCCTTCCGTGGAGAGGCAGCTCCTTCCGTATCCCCTCCGGCTTGGAAGTGTCATTCCTAGAACCTGGGCTTGGTATGAAACATAGCCCTACCTCTTACTAGCTGTGGGACCCTGGGTGGGTCACAGAGCCTCTGAGCTGCTTTACTTATCTATAAGATGAGGACTGTAGTTTGCCTGCTTCTTAGAATCGTGCTGTGGGGAGGAGGTGGAAGGGTACAGGTTAGCCCTTCACACACAGTAGGCATCCCCAGTAGGAGCTGTGGCCACGGTTCTTCACTGCCGTGGGTAGCACCCTTGCTAGCAGGAGAAATGAGGTATGAAGGAGGCTGATGGAGTGGCCGAGGCTAACCCCTGTGGTTGGGCAGTGGGGGGCCCTGTTCTGTGAAGCGCGGCAGGAGGAGTAGCACTCCTGTGCCCTTGTTGAAGGGGATGGGACTGGGCCTCAGTTCAGACTCTCTTGCGTTCAAAGAATGAGAAACCTGGCCCGAACTAGTAGGGTCGCTGCATATAGCACAGGATACCCAGTTAAATTTGAATTTCAACTAAACAATGAATAATTTTTTTTAGCGTAAGTAGGTACCAAATGTTGCATGGGGCACACATATACTAAAATATTGTTGTTCATCTGAAATTCAAATTTAATCCGAAGCCTGGATTTTTATTTGCTAAACTTAGCAACCTCACCAACTGGTCGAAGTAATGAAAAAGAATTTCTTATTGAAAAGTTCCAGGGTGGACCCCAGGCTTGGTTGGATTCAGGAGTTCAGACAACGTGGATAGGGTTTGGTTTCACCTCTGCTGTACTGACTCTCCCTTACCTGTCCTCTCCTGCTTCCATGACAGCCACATTCTTCTTCCCCTTGCATTTCCAGCAGGAAAGACTGAGCTGCTATCTAGAGCCCAGCAGAGACTCCTGGGTAACGCTGGCACTGCCTGGGTCACATGCTATTCCCTGAACCAATCACCAGTGGTCAGGGGAAATGTGACAGGCTGATAGGCTTACACCTTCGTCACATGACTCAACTTTAAACTGGGGATGAAGCCCCCTCCAAGAGTACAGAGATAGGAAGGAGTGGACTGCCAGAGAGAAATGGGGGCACTGTGTTACCAGAAGGGGAGTCAACTGACATGCATTACTGGGAGGACTGGGTGAAGCCCCAGCTCTGGTTGCCCCTGGACTGCCCCCTGTCTTTGCAGAAAGGAGGTGTCGCACTTGATTCCATCTGTGGGACCAGTGACCACTGTACCTTGAGGCCTTGTCCTACCCGGCCTGAATCAGCAATGACATGGCCCTCAGCCTGCGCTGCACGGGACCAGCAGCGAGGAATGGGGAGAAAATAAGTCAGAGAAGCAGTGGGAACGCATCTGTGGAGCCCCTGCTCTGTCTGTTAGGCTCTGGGCAGGAGCATTTGCACATCTGGTCTCTATTCCTCAGAGCCACTATTTGAGGTAAGTGTGATTATCTCTGTGTTACATGGAAGAAGACCGAATGTGTCACTTGAGACTCTTTTGGCCACAAGTAATGCAAAACCTGACTCGAACTGGCTTTAACCTTAGGGAACTGTATCTCCTCACTCTCGGGAACTTTAGGGGGAAAGTGGGCTTCAGGAATTGCATGATCAAGGCTCTGGATCTATTTCTCTGCATTTCCTTTGGTTTGCTCCCCTCTGCGTTGGCCTTGCCCTCAGTCTGGCTTTCTTCATGGCAGTAAAATGGCTACTGCCAGCAACCAGCAGCTGGGGCTCCGGTTCTCCAGGTCTCCAGATCTCAAACTCCTGTGGATGAAATAGGAGATGTTGCAAGTGACAGAATATCCAATTCAAAATGGCTTAAGTGAGGAAGAAATGTTTTTATATATGTGAGAAGCTATATGGAGTTTCCTCTAGCTTCAGGGATGGCTGGATTTAGGGGCTCAAATGTCGTCAGCAGCAACCAATCTCTTTCCATCTCCTGGCTCCGTCTTCTCCTGTGACATCTTGCGGTATAGAGTGCAGTGCACCAAGCTGGTGGAGAGCAGTTGCAGATCTTCATCCTCACATCTCAGCAGGAAATAGAGAGAACGTCTGTGTGAGAGACATTTGCTTTCCTGGCAGTTCAAACTACAGTCCTGGGGTGGATTCTCATTGACCCGAGACCATCACCCTGATGCTGATGAGGAGGACTTGGGTCACGTGCCCATCCCAAGCGCTGAGAGAGTCAGCCCCTCTCCAACTGCACAAGCTGAGAGTCAGAAAGGTCTGACCTCAAAGTAAAAATTGGGGCACTATTTCCAGAAGAAGGGGAAGGGGTGGGGCAAAGACAATGACTATGGACAGGGGCCTTCCTGCAGGGTGGATGCCCCTAGCAGGCTCACCCCCAGGCCCCTCCTCCCCAGTCTGGGTTTAGGGTCTTCTGGGACTGAAACCCTGAGACGGTCTTTCTCCTGCTGTTTCATGCTCTGACTTTTTAGCTTTAAGGGGAGAGGATAGTGGCAGACAGTTGCCCTCCCTGCGGCCTTTCATTTGTAATTCCCATTTTGGTTTTTAAGTTTTGTTCTTAAAGCTGATTGAGATGCAATTTTATACTGCCAGCCTGACTACAAGTTGAGTCAACACCATGAAACAGAATCACTTTGAGAGAATCTGACCCACACAGCCAACCTGGTGGACCGATGTGTCTTTGGAGAAGGAAAGAGAAAAAGAAGGAAGGAAGAAAGGGAAGAAGGAAAAGAAATTGTATGTAGATAAACATAATTAATGAAATGTAGACAATCCCCCAAAAGTGCTGCCCGTGTCTCCTGCTCTGTGGGCCGAGTTCTTGATTCACCAGCTCAGGCAGGGGTCCCAGACACTAAAAAGTGGGCTGTAGAAAGCACTTCTAAGGAAATGTCGAACAGTTCCCAAATGCAGACAAGTCGTGGGATCTTCCGGGAGAACTTGGATCTTCCCACATCTGTCTGCTACTGGGAGAAGTTGCTGTGCACACACATGAGCTGAGGGCTGCTACAGTTTTAGGGTAAAAAGATTGACAAATTGGCATACATTTGGCCCTGAAAATGGATGCATCTAAAGTAGCATTAAACTGTCCTCCTAGTTTTCCCTCTAGAGTTGGGGTCAGCAAAATTGGTTTTTTTTTTTTTTTTTTTTTTTAGACGGAGTCTCGCTCTGTCGTCCAGGCTGGAGTGCAGTGGCATGATCTTGGCTCACCGCAACCTCCGCCTCCCGGGTTCAAGCAATTCTCATGCCTTAGCCTCCCAGGTAGCTGGGACTACAGGCGCACGCCACCATGCCCAGCTAATTTTTGTATTTTTAGTAGAGACGGGATTTCACCATGTTGGCCATGATGGTCTCTATCTCCTGACCTCGTGATCCACCCACCTCGGCCTCCCAAAGTGCTGGGATTATAGGCATGAGCCACAGCCCCCGGCCAGCAAACTTTTTTTTGTAAAAGACCCAGATAGTAAATATTTTCAGCTTTGCAGGCCATATGCTCTACTCAATTGTGTCACTCTGCCATTATAGTGTGAAAACAGCCATAGACAATCTGTAAATAAATGTGAGTGGTTGCGTTTCAATAAAACTTTATTTACAGAAACAGGCAATGGACCAGAGCTGGTAAAAAATTTGTCAATCTCTGACCTAGACCAAAGAAATTATAGGAATAGTTTACTCAAAGTCAGGAAGCTGGTATTTTTAAAAATAAACTTTAATAAATTACAGTTCACATACAATGAATTGCATATTTTAAAGGTACAGTTCAATCAGTTTTGACCATCGTCCCAGTCAAAATACAGAACATCTCCATTGCCTTTTGCAATTGATCCCTCCTTCCCCCACCTAACCAACTATTGACTTGACTGCTACCTTGCAAATTGATTTGGACTGTTCCAAAGTTTTGAATGAATGGATTCCTACAGTGCATACTCCTTTGGTCTGGGGAAGCTAGTATTTGAGGCCTTTGTGATCTGTTTGGGGGATCTATTTGGTCACTGTCATGATTAAACTATACTTGTAAGTTTTTTTTGACACGCCACTCTTCAAAGGGCAAAGGTAAAGGCCAATTCCTTTGCCTTTGAATGTGGGCTGGACTTAATGACTTGCGTCTAAGGAATAGGATGTGGTAAAACTGACCGCTGGTCACAGCTTCTGGTTCTGCTGCTTCCCTTTCTCCTCAGTCACTCACTCTGGGAGAAGCCAGCTGCCATGTTGTTAGCACACTCAAGCGGTCCTGAGGAGAGGCCCACATGGGGAGGAACTGAAGCCTCCTGCCTATAGCCAGCACTAACTTGACAGCCATGAAAGGGAGCCATTTAGGAAGTGGATTCTTCAGCCCCAGTCCAACCTTCAGATGACTGCAGCCCTGGCTGACATCTTGACTTCAACACAATGAAGAAGCCAGAGCCCAACTAAGCAGCTCTTGAATTTCTGACTCATTGAAGTAATGAGAGATGATACATGTTTATGAATGCATCAAGACACTAAGTTTTGGACTGATGTATTATGCAGCAAGAGATTACTAATACAGTTACTGACACATTGACTCCATCCATTCATCCATCCATCCACCTACTTCCTCATTCATGCATTCATTCATTCATTCATTCATTCAACAAATATTGATTTCTTGACAATGATTTAATAGCGAACACTTCTGCATTGTGTACGGTTTTATTCTAAGCATGTTTCTTATATTAACTTACTTAGTATTGCCACTTTGCAGATGAGGAGACTTGCTCCCTGAAAGGTTGAGTCACTTGCCTACAGTCCCATGGCCCGTGGGCGGTAGATCCCAGTTTGAACACAGAGCCCATAGTGATCACTGCTGCACTAGGTGCTTCTCTCCCCTCTGCCCTGGCTTGTCTCCAGGGAGATATCTACCATGGCACCTGTGGGTTCACCTGCTCCCACATCTGTTGCCCTGCAATAGGGTGGAAGACTGTATCTTTTCTGTGTGTTGCTGGGCCCAGAGCAGGACCTCAACAGACGTGTGTTGACTGATTGACTGATCAGCTGGAGGGAAGATGGATGCAGCATGCCCTGGCAATGCAAGCCCGGGGGACCCTGAAGAGCACTGGCAGGGCCCTCTGCTGTGGATAGGGCAGCCCATCCTAGAACCTGCTCTCCCTGTGCCAAATCAGGGCTCAGAGCACAGAGAGCTCCAGAATAAGAACAACCACGCCCCTGCTCAGTGGCCCAGAGCCACCGGCTGAGGTTGGGGATGAGCTCTGTTTACCTTGGAAGGCCCAACCTCTTTTGTAACACTCACTCATTGTTGCTGGGAGCCCAAAAATACTTTTATTAATGGAAAAACAGGGATGGCTCCACAAAGAAATATTTTGACAAGCCCAGAGGAGCCAGCAGGAGGGTTCAGAGCATATCCTCAGGAAGCTGGGGTTTCTTATCTTCCAGGGAGCCCACGGAGGGGAAAAGTGCAGCACGCTTCTCCTGGCAGAGCAACCACCCCGTTTCCATGTGGGGCTCCCAGGCACGGCTTCCTGGGCTGGACTGTGCTGAGGTGGCTTTCTGCAACATGGCCCATTACCAGCTTATGCCCCACTCTGGATACAGCTCCCCAGGGCCCATTGGCTTTATTCCTGGGTCACTGCTCCATCCACGTGTTCTCCCTCATGGCCTGTTTCCTCTGAGTGCTAATGAAGGCTTGGAGCTCCTTAGACATCTTTCTGGGCTTGCCGTGGTCCCAGGCACCCACAGAGCCTAAGGTTCTTATATCTGCCAGGTGCTATTTTAAGCACCATTCCATGTGCTAACTCATTTCATCCTCACAACAGCTCTCCAATGGGTAATATTACTTTCATTTTGTACCCGAGGAAACCCAGGCACAGAGAAGTTAAGTAACCTGCCAAAGGCCACCCAGCTAGGGAGAAGCAGAGCTGGGATCTGAACACAGACCAGCTGGCCCTGGAGCCTGACTCTTTATTTTATTTTATTTTATTTTATTTCATTATTATTATACTTTAAGTTTTAGGGTACATGTGCACAATGTGCAGGTTAGTTACATATGTTTACATGTGCCATGCTGGTGTGCTGCACCCATTAACTTGTCATTTAGCATTAGGTATATCTCCTGAAGCTATGACTCTTTTTTTAAGATGGAGTCTTGCTCTGTCCCCCAGGCTGGAGTGCAATGGCACAGTCTAGGCTCACCGCACCCTCTGCCTCCTGGGTTCAAGCGATTCTCCTGCCTCAGCCTCCCGAGTAGCTGGGATTACAGGTGCCCGCCACCACACCGGGCTAATTTTTGTATTTTTAGTAGAGATGGGATTTCACCATGTTGGCCAGGCTGGTCTCAAACCCCTGACCTTGTGATCTGCCCGCCTCAGCCTCCCAAAGTGCTGGGATTACAGGCGTGAGCCACTGTGCCCGGCCGAGCCTGACTCTTAACTTCAGCTATGGCCATCTTTCTAAAGTGCATATCTGTTCGTGTCACTCAGAGTCCCCATACTCGATGGTTCTTCATTACTCTTAGAATCCATATTGGTTAGGGCACAGGTTTAGCTGTCGTACTAAAGATCCCTAGACAGCAATGGCTTAAGTAAGTTAGATATTTATTTCGCTCTCAAGAAGAATGTGGGTGGAGATCTAGGGTTGCTGTGGAGGCTCCCTGGTCATTAGGGACCTGAACTCCTTCTATCTGTCAGCTCTGTCTTCCTTAACACAGTTTCTACCTCATGGCCCATGATGGCTGCTCAAGCTCTTACCATCAAATCCATATTTTAGCGGGAAGGAGAGAAGGGAAAGTGGAGAATATGTCCCACCTCTTTAAAGGTTTGATTTCCAGCTCTTCCACTATGTGGCCTAGGGCAAGTCATTTGGCCTCTCTTGTCATCTGTGAAAAGGGGAAATATTTGAATTTTCAAAGGCTAGGAGGATTAGACAAGCTAATACATGTTGATATGGTTTGGTTGTGTCCCCACCCAAATCTCACCTTGAATTGTAGTTTCCATAATCCCCACGTCATGGGAGGGATCCAGTGGGAGGTAATTGAATCATGGAATTGGTTACCCTCATGCTGTTCTTGTGATAGTGAGTGAGTTCTCACGAGATCTGATGGTTTTATAAGGGGTTTTTCTCCCTTTTGCTGGGCACTTCTCCTTGCTGCTGCCATATGAAGAAGGACACGTTTGCTTCCCCTTCTGCCATGATTGTAAGTTTCCTGAGGCCTCCCAGCCATGTGAAACTGTGAGGTCAATTAAATCTCTTTCCTTTATAAATTACCCAGTCTTGGGTATGTCTAATGAAAACAGACTAATACACATGTCAAGCACTTGGAATAGGACAAAGTGCAACGTGAATACTCAATAAATTTTAGCGACTATGATTATGGATTGACTCTGTTTAGATGTCACTGCTCTTGAAGGCCTACCCCAGCACCCCAACGTGACCAGGTTTTGTGCCCTCCCACATATTTCTCGGCTCCCAAGCCTCCTCCATCCTTGCACTTGCCCACTGTTTTGTACTGTCAGTTGACCTCTCTCGCCCCGACTGCATGAACTCCCTGAAGAGATTAATTTCTGTCTTGTTTTCTGTCTGTATCTTCAGCATGAAGTTCAGGGCCCCATGGCAGTGCCCAGAAAACTTGTCAAATGCATGAAAAAAATGACTCTTTCTGGTGATGGCAGGCTCCCTATTTTACAGGATACTGCCTCAGGGCCTTTGCACGTCTTGTTCTCGCAGCTTGCAATGCATTTTCTCAGCTGTCTGCATGGCCAGCTCCCTTAAGCCATTCAGTTCTCCTCAGTGTCACCTCTTCTGTGAAGTCTTCCAGACCACCCTGACTAAAAAAGGCTCCTTTCCCCAGCCCTCCATATCTTCCTGCTCTCCTTTATGTGTTTTTCTTGGCACACGTCACCACTCAACTGTGTTGTCTATATTTGTGTGTTTCCTCTGAGTCTCCCCGCTAGACTGAAAGCCTTGTAGGGCAGCACCTGCATCTGTTTTGCTCGCAGCTGCATCCCAAGTGCTTGGAATATTTTAGGTACATGACAATGTCTATTGAATGAATACACAAAGGAAGAAGATAGCCTGTCTGATTTTTAAAATATAAGAAAAAATAGTCTAGCTATAGGTACTTCAGTCCTTTCCTTTCACAGGAGAGATGCTTGATGTTTCAAGGTTCACTCTCAAAAAACTGCAAACGAGATACCGCCCCGCTTCTTCTACCCACAGAGGGAGAAAGACAAGCCAAGCTGATCGCAGCCTCTAGGGCCAAAAGCCAATTCCCTCTCACTCCACGTCAGCTCTCCAGCTTCTAGGAAAATCTTCTCCATCTCTGAGGGCCGGGGCGTTCCTAGGGCTGCCGCTGGCCACTGTCACATCTCAGTTCAGCAGCTGGGAGCAGCGAGGGAGCCCCGTGGATGGGCAGGCTGTCACCGGAAACTTGCTGTCAGCAGCCCTGTGAGCTGCCGAGGAACATCGGGGTTCTCTCCAAATGCCTCAGAAACCTCCCTGTTGGGTTACATTCTGTCTTGGGGGACCCTGGGATTACCACAGTTCTTTGCAGCAGCCAGCGGCTGATTGGGAGGTAGCAAGATTCAGCACTTCTGAGTTGGAAAAAGCGGCGCCGGGTATTATTTTGGGAACAGTCAGTCATGAGAACCTCCAAGAGCTGATCAGGGAGGCTATTAAAAGCAAGACAATGTATTTTGAAACGAACCCGGCTGGGGAGACACCTCACTCTCTGCCACAACCATGGAACTGGGAGTTCTTTCCGGATGAGGTGAAACTTTCCATCGCTAGGAGATGGGGAAGGCCTCCCCAGCTGCCAGCCACCGCCCCGTTCCTTCTCCTCTGCCAACCCCAGCTGAGCACCTCACCCACCTCCTCGGCCATGTGACGGAGCGAGGGTTCTCTCCAGCGGGCTGAGCAGGTGGCCAGACCATCATGGTTGTGCCTGTCGTTCATTCATTCACCAAACATAGACAGGACCTGGGAGTCTGGCTCTGGAGCCAGGCTGCCACTCTCCACATTCACACTCTGTCGCTTACTATTTGCTGACCTTGGGCCTCTCTGCCTCAGTTTGTCCCGCCCCTCCTGCAAAATGGGGATAATAGTGGCCTTCATCTTAGAGAATTGTTGTGAGACCCAAATGAGTTAGTCCCTGTGTCCGTCACAGATGCTAGATAGGATAATTGACTGAGTACCACCCGTTCCAGACACCATGCCAAGTCCCGAGTAAGACAGACATGGCCCTATTTTCCTAGTCTAGCGGAGAGATGAGTCATAACCAAGTAAACAAACAGATGAGACAATTTCATATTGTGTTATTCACTCAACAAACATTTTTGAGGTCCGACCGTATGCCAGGCATCATTCTAGGTGCTGAGGACACGGCAGGGAATAAAACAAAGTTCCTGCCTTCGTAGAGTTGATATTTTAGTTGGGAGGCAAAGGAGACATAGAATACACAAATGAATATGTAATTTATTTGTGGTAAGTGATAAATGCTATAAAGAAATATGACAGGGCGTTGGGACTGAGATTTGTGGGGTGGGGTTGAGCTTCAGGGCAGAGGAACCTATTTCAGAGGTGAGGGTCATGGAAGAATGCATTCACAGGATGGCATTTAAACTGAGGCTGAGAAGATGGAAGAAGCCAGCCATAGACATGTAGGGACAAAGGGTCCCAGGCCAAAGGGAAGGAAGCACAAAAGCCAGGAGGTGTCTGGCTCATGGGGAGTAGATGGGAGACCAGATAGGTGGGTAGGGCCGGACCTCAGAGGCCGTTGCATTCGTTTTCTGTTGCTTCCCCCTGGACATTGTAGCTTAAACGAGCAAGTATTTATCATCTCATAGTTTCTGTGGCTCAGGAACAGATTAGTTGGGTGGTTCAGGGTTTTTCCTGAGTCAAGCCATTGGCTGTGGCTGCAGTCATCTGAAGGGTTGACTGAAATGCGGGCTGTGGGCAGGAGGCCTCAGTTTCTTACTACATGGGCCTCTCCAAAAGGCTGCCTGTGTGTCCTCACAACACGGCAGCCAGCTTCCCCCAAGGTGGGTGATCCAAGACAGCAGTGCAGAAGCCACACATCTTTTATGACCTAGACTTGGAAGTCATACATCTCATTTCTGCAGTAGCCTTGTGTTGCCCATTTAGGAGGGCATGGCCCAGGAGCAGGAACACCAAGGTGGGAGCCACTAGGACCCTCTAGAGGCTGGCTACATCAGCCTTGGTGAGGAATTGAATTTTATTCTAAGAGGGATGGGGCACTTCTGAAATGGTATATTTGGTTGAGCTGGGTGATAAAGCATGACAGGTGTTTGTAGTGGCAAGATGATAGTAACTGTAGCTACCATTATTGAGCACCTACTGTGTACTGGGCACTGTGCTTAGTGCTTCATCAGATACATTGGCCTCTCAGATGCTCATATCTCCCTGTATTAGTCCATTTTCATGCTGCTGATAAAGACATACCCAAGACTGGGCAATTTACAAAAGAAAGAGGTTTAATTGGACTTACAGTTCCACGTGGCTGGGGAAGCCTCATAATCATGGTGGAAGGCAAGAAGGAGCAAGTCACATCTTACATGGATGGCAGCAGGCAAAGAGAGAGATTGGGCTGGAAAACTCCCCCTTATAATACCATCAGATCTCGTGAGATTTATTCACTATCATGAGAACAGCATGGGAAAGACCTGCCCCCTTGATTCAATTATCTCCCACCAGGTCTCTCCCACAACACGTGGGAATTCAAGATGAGATTTGGATGGGGACACAGCCAAACCATATCACTCTAAGAAGTAGATGTAGCTCCATTTTATAGATGAGGAAGCTGAGACTTCTCCCTAAGAAATGTTATCCAAGGCAAGACTGGGAGGCCACTAGAATTACCCAAGCACAGAGAGGAGCTTGAGGGTGGGAGGAGAGAGAGAACAGCCTAGCGGAAAGCCTGGAAGTGAGGAATAACAGGGAGAATTGGCAGGGGGTGGGGTGCTGAGTATTTCAGTAGGCAGGGGTGTGGAGTTGAAGGGTGTAAGAGGTAAGTGGTGGTGAGACTAGAGAAGGTGGGTTAGATTTTATAGGTCATTGGTCACATATGGGATTTTGAACTTTACCCGCAAGGTAATTGTGATTCAGTGGAGGATGACATGGTCACATGTCCCCTTTAGAGTCTAAAGCTGAGAAAATATCACATTGGTTGTGCAGGAAAGAATAGACCTCAGGGAAGGAACAGGAGAGAAGAGGAGGCGAAGAGGCCGAAGAGTCACCAGGAGAGAGATGTTGATGGGGGTCCTGGCAAGGCTGGTATTGTGGAGAGGAAGAGAAGTGACCTACCTAGAATAACAAGGAACATTTATAGAGCAATTGCTATGTGGTAGGCATTAACTCATTAAATCCTCCCGACAATCTTAGGATGGTCATTTTACAGAGGAGGAAACTGCAGCACAGAGAGGTTGTGCAGCTTTCCCAAGGTTGCACAGCCGGTAAGTGGCAGAGATTGGAACCCCAGCCACCTGGCTCTCAAGTGTTTTCTCAATCGCTCTGAGAAACTGGCCTCTCAAGTTGTCTAACCCAGGGCTGCCCAAGAGAACTTTCCACGGTGATGGAAATGTTCTGTTCTGTGCTGTCCAATTTGGTAGCCACCAGCCACGTGTGCTTTTGAGCACTTGACATATAGCTTGTGCAACTGAAGAATTGACACCTACATTTTATTTAATTGTTAATTATTTAACATTTTATTTTAGTTATTTTTATTTTTAAATTTTTTTGAGACAGAGTCTCGCTCTGTCACTCATGTTGGGGTGCAGTGATGCAATCTCAGCTCACTGCAACCTCCGCCTCCCGGGTTCAAGTGATTCTCCTGCCTCAGCCATCCAAGTAGCTGGGATTACAGGTGCCCGCCACCATGCCCAGCTAATTGTAATTTTAGTAGTGACGGGGTTTCACCATGTTGGCCAGGCTGGTCTCGAACTCCTGAACTCAAGTGATCCTCCCGGCTCAGCCTCCCAAAGTGCTGGGATTACAGGTGTGAATCATCACGCCCTGCAATTATTTAAAATTTTAATGGCCACGAGTGAATTTGAGAGATTTTTCCGAGGGAAGATGTTCAGAGCTGGGAGATCTATCTGTAAGATGTGGCAATGGAAGGGGAGGATGTTCAGGAATGGCAACCACCAGGTTCCAGCTGGGAGGGTGGAGACCCCTGGTCAGAGCTCACCAGGATGCACTGACCAACTTCCGTGAATACCTCCAGCATTTCCAGCCCACGTTCCTGTTGCTGCTGTTGATCACTACTGCTCGTTCGGCCTTGTGGTGTCCTTGTCAACCAAGTAGGAGGCAAGGACTATGACTTCTAATTGTGTCCTCACCCCACCCCCACCACTTAGCCTGAGCCATGCCCATGGAATAAGCCTGGCAAACAGATATTTGATAGGGAGCTTCTCGGAGCAATTCAGAAAACACCCGAGAGCCAGGTGGCTGGGGTTCCAATCCCACCTCTGCCACTTACTGGCTGTGCAACCTTGGGAAAGCTGCACAACCTCTCTGTGCTGCAGTTTTCTCCTCTGGAAAATGATCATCATAAAGTTGTCATCAGGATGTAATGAGTTAATGCCTACCATATAGCAATTGCTCTATAAATGTTCATTGTTATTCTAGGTAGGTCAATAAACCTTTCGGACACCTGCGTTGGTCCTACTTTCTATGTATGAGACATGTAGAAATCTAGAACAATTCTCAACTGCCATCTACATTTCAGCCAGGAAGGGGTTGACAGTCAAGGGGACCTATTGGCACAGAGATAACACTTGAGCGATGCAAAGAAGGGCCCTCACCTAAGCTGCCCTAGTCCTTTTAAATAACCCTGGTGTTGAATCAGTTGTTTGGGGCAGCATCACTTAAGTGGTGTCTCAGCAGAAATACCTGTGTTTCTGATTTATGAGGCTGATGGAGGGAAGAGAATCTAATAAAAGGCTTCCCCGGTGATTCAAGGTCTCCTCCAACCCAGATGTCTCTGCAGCCTCCCTGGACCATTCCCCCTACGGCCACCTGGACGCCTTCTATTTGCTTTGATTCAGTTTCTCTTTTGCTTTTTCCTTACTTGCTGGTGCATTCCCACCCCAGCTGAGAGCCTCTATTTTTGGGAGTTTTCGTGGATAATTTAGTGGGCAGAAGCTCCCCACCCACCCCCCTTGGAGCATCCCTTAAAAAAGGGAGAGTGCTCGAGAGAAGTGAAAAACAGTGGGTGGTTCAGTTCAAAAGGACAAAATATTTCTTGCCCTGGCACTGGGAGAGGAAAGAAATTGTCTGAGGAACCAAAGGACGGCTAAACTAAGAAGCCGAAAGCTGCAGCCCAGAAGGGCAAATTAGGTGACTCAGCTGCAACTGCCCCGGCTCCAGCCCTTGTAGTATTAATGTGCTTTAAAAGGGAAAAACGCTTAACCGTGACAAAGAGTGGGCTCTATAAAAATGTGGCTAATGCTGATTCTATCGAGTTCCAAAAGACATCCCCTGCTCAGCAGCTCTGGGCACCTGTGGAGTTGGGGAATCGCCTCAGAGGCCTGAGTTGGGTGGGACTGAGTCTAAATTTATCCCCGATAATGAGTCCGCCAGAGGAGGGCCCAGCAAGCTTGTTTCCTTTCTCGCTTCTGGCCTCTAAAACCTCGGTACCAAGGGAGGATTCTGGGAGGCAGGGGATATGGTGCCAAGAACACAGGCTTTGTTGCCAAACAGAGCTGGGTTCAACTCTGGGCCGTCCATTTACTGGCTGTGTGCACATCAACTTGTAGAGCCTCAGTTTGCTCATCTGTAAATGGGGCTCACAGCATCAAGCTCAATGGGAGGGTGAAAGGAAACAGACCTTGCCAAGCTTGTCTGATGCTCTGGACATGGCAGTTGTAGGGAGCCCTGGAGAGGAAGGGCATGAATGCCGAGTCTAATAATCCTACTCCTGGCTTAATCACTACTCATTTCTTGACTGTGGGAAGGTTTTCTTCAAAAAAAATTTTTTTTTTTTTTAGGATTTGTTATATGCTTTACTGTTCTTAGCACTTCAATTAAAGAAACTCATTGAATCCTTATAGCAAGTCTTTAAGGAGGGTATTCCTAGTGTCCCCATTTTACAGAGTGGGGTGAGTGATGCCATGGCAAAGCCAACCATCTGACTGTAGAGCCTGAGCTCTAAATGGCCTCTCAGGTTGTCTAACCCACTACTGCCCAAGAGGACATTCTACGGTGATGGAAACATTCTGTTCTGTGCTGTCCAGTTTGGTAGCCACCAGCCACATGTGGGCTTTTGAGCACTTGACATATGGCTTGTGCAACTGAAGAACTGACACCTACATTTTATTTGTTAATTATTTAATATTTTAATAGCCACATGTGGCTAGTGGCTGCCATATCGGATGGCACAGGGCTAACCCCTTTCAGCTTTAGTCTATTACTTTGCAGTGGGATTGTGAGTGGGAATTTATAGATGACTCTAGCTCAGGGCCTGGCACCTAGTAGGTACTGAGGTGAGGGGTTGCCATTCATAGTGTTACTAAGTGTAGTAACTGTCTGCAGAAGACAATGGTTAGCAGGCTTCCTTGGTGTCTGGATACTGGCAAAAGGAAGTTGAGTTTCATTCACGCCTGGGATGACCAACCTGTCCCAAGTTCCACCTTGGGTGGAAGGTTCCACCTTCTCAGCTTTAAAACTGAAAGTCTTACATTCTAGGAGCCCCCTCAATCCCAGGCAAACCAGGAAGGTTGGTCACCCTGTTCTTGCTTCAGATGGTTGGTGAAGGAGGCCTCAGGGAATGAGTCTTCCTCAATAGGCTCCACTGAAAAGAATCCTCTCTACGCCCTTAAAGGCTGCACCCCAGAATTTGCCAAGTAAATCAACAGGCAAGCCACCTGCCTTCTATGTGCCTCAGTTTCCCTTTTGGAAAGTGGGAGAGAGGATCCCCTCCTTGCAGGGTGGTTGCAAGAAATTTGGTGGCGCCACGATTTTTGAGTTACTCGAGAGTCAGTGAGACTTCCCTACCTTGAATTCCTTGGCACACAGTAGGTGGACAGATAATGGCTGCTCTCTGGGGGAGCAGCATTACTTAGACTGTCCTGCTGGAGGCCACCCTGGTTGAGGCAGGCTTGAAGAGAGTCCCCTGGGCGGGGCTGGGGGTGGGGCTTTCTCAGGCGCAGTTCCAGCTGGTCTCTGTGGGCCAGCATCTATCTCCAGCAGGAGTGGTTATGTCTGCGAGCTGCCCAGTGAGGCTATTGTGGGCCAGTACTGGAAAACAGAGTGGTCCCACGGATGGAGCCAGCTGCCTCTCGATGCCTCTTTAAGTTCAAGTCTCTCTGTAAGAGCGTGCGGGGGGAGGGGGGGTGTGTATGTGATGAGTCACCAGCCTTGGTTGCTATCCACAATTTTATCAGAGCTCACAACAGTATCTGAAGTCCATTTTCAAAGCCAGCTTTATCTTTGGGCTCAGAATTTCCCACCCTGCAGGCAGGTGAAGAGGCAGACCTAGTCCAAGTCCAGAAAAGGCATCTTGACCGCTGCACCTCTCCCTCTCCCCCTCCCCACGGACCTTCTGGGGGTCTCGTGGCCTATTGCTGTGAACCATGCGTGGCATCGCAAGGACTTTCTTCTGGACACTGTGCAAAGTTCATGATATCCTTTCTCTTTATTTTCCTGTTTATTCAGAGCATGTGTAAACACATGGGTTGCCTGGTTTCAGCTTCTCTTTGGCCATTTCATTATTTCTGGAGCCTCTGAGCATCACTGGAAACCTTGGATTTTCTAAATGAATCTAAAAATAAACTCTTTGAAAAAAAATTCTCGAAGTTGGAGAGTTGACACAAGGCACCGTTATTTATTTCTTTTCCTTCCTCCTCCTTCTCCTCTTCCTCCTCCCCACCATCCTTGAACACACAAAAATCTGGGCAGCCAGAGGCCGTGAGGGACTGGGAAGGGCCCCTGGGCAAACGTCCAGGAGCTTGGACAACCTGGGGTGTTGATTTGAACCCTGGGCAGCTTTCTCCAAGAGGCGCCCGCTTGGCAAATGGGGGGCTTGGGAGTCTCGGGCTTGATTTATGAAAAGCTGCCACGGGCCAGGGAAGGCGGTGGCTGGGCACTCCTTGCAAACAGCCGCCTGGAGCTCCTGCAGGGCTGACTTGGACACTCGCACGCCCCCACCCCCTTCTTCTCGCCGTCGCCCGCTTCGCTCCCTCTCCCAGACTTTTCTCCCGAACAATCAGGGACTTGTGCTGGCGGCCGAAGGAGCCACGGAGCTGGCTGGCCGCGGAGGAGGCGACGTCATGGATTCCTGAGTGTGAAGTTTGCAGGAAAGCCCTTAGTTTTGGAGATGGACGGGATCCAGTGGTTTCCATGGCGCTGGATAAACAGGAGGAAACAGTGAGGGAATCCCGTTATTTTACTGCATTGAAAGCCTATAAACACGGAGCGCGGGGAAGGAAGTCGCGTTGCCTCTGGAGTAAGCCGGATCGCGGAGCCGCGCCGACTCCGCCGAGCCGGGAGCCGGGAGGCGCGCAGCTCCCGGGTCGCTCCGAGGCTCCTCGGCCAGGGCAGCCCCGCGGGCACGCGGTAGAGAAGACGGCGTCCCCTCGGCTGCTGGTCGATACAAACAGATCCCCCTTTCCAAACACGCGCCAAGTCCCCGTGCCCTCCAGATGCAGAGAGAGGCTGCGTTCAGACTGGGGCACTGCCATCCCCTCCGCATCATGGGGTCTGTGGACCAAGGTAACTGACTCTCGATCCCTTCCAGCCTTTTCCGCTCGCTCCTCCCGGCCCTTTCCTGCTGCTCCCGTCCCGGGCAGCACTTTCAGCTCCCGGCAGAGGTCGGTGCGGGAGGCCTGGGGACCCCGCTCGCCCTCGGCGCACAGGTAGCGGGGCCCGCGGAGGGGCGCCCGCGCCCCGGCCAGGGAAGGGACACTTGGGAAGGCGACTTTGGACAACTTTACGCGGGGGCAGGGAAGTGTCCCAGGCCGGGATTCCCTAGGCCAGTCTGTCGGGAGGATTTTCCTCTCCACGGGACACCGGGAGGGATTCTCGCTACTAACCGCTGGCTGTTTAACCGTTTCAGCACTCGGCTTTTGACAGCAAATGCCATAACGCTGCAGTATTATTATTATTACTTTTTTTTCTTTTAAGAGAACAGGCTTGGCATTTTACTATACAGCAAGTATAGTAAGGAAGACTTTGCTTTCTAACAGTTACAGCAGCAGCGGATGCTCTGGGACATTTAAACTATTTTCTTCCCCCTTTTTGATGTGCCTGCTGGATAGAGTCCTCCAGCTACCCCTTTAAAGTGCAATGTACCATCAGTTTGTTTGGGGATCTGATTACACTGTACTTTCCCTGTTTCTGCTTCTTTCCCCCTTCTCTTGGATTTAGTCCTGGTATCACACCACTTGGATCTTATGGGAGGGGGTTAACTATAAGGAGCATAAGATATGAAAATGTCCCATCTGGTCGGGATTGCGGAGGGGCTTTGGCTCCACAATAACGAATCGGTCTTTAAAAGTGGAAATGGGCAAAGCGTTGTGTTTTTCAGAGGGGAGCACTGCGTTGGGGGCTGCAGGGCCTGGCTGCCAAGTGGGAGGGGCTTCGAGAGTTAAGTGAAATAAATTCGCGGAGGAGGAGTTAGCCTCCTGTCATAAAATCAGAGTTGAATGTAGGTTTTGTGCTTTGCGTGGCTGATTAAAGTTCGGGGTGTGGGGGTGGGGGGGGGAAGAAATGACAATTTCAGTAAATAAACCTGAGAGGCTTTTGCTTGCTTGCTTGCTTGCTTGCTTGCTTGCTTGCTTGCTTGCTTTCTTTCTTTCTTTCTTTCTTTCTTTCTTTCTTTCTTTCTTTCTTTCTTTCTTTTCTTTCTCTCTCTTTCTTTCTTTCTTTTCTTTCTCTCTCTTTCTTTCTTTCTTTTCTCTCTCTTTCTTTCTTTTCTTTCTCTCTCTTTCTTTCTTTTTTTTTTTTTTAACTAGATTGAAGCCAAATGCCTTGGGTTAGGTAAACGGTGTGCTTTGCCACGGCAGACCTCAATGACACATAGTTTTAGCTGAGCTGCGCTTTTGAAAGCAAGACCCTGCCAGGACTTCGAACGTTTTAACGGGTACCAGTTTATCCTGTCCTCTGCTAGTGGTCAAGCCTATGACATAATGGCAAAAAAAATTTACTGATATCGTATCATCTGTAAAAGCAATGCTCTCAGACAGAAGACAGATATATTAAGGGCGAGAAAGGGTTTTTACTGTCATAAATACTGAAACCGGGTGTTTGATGTTCTCGTGGTGGGGGTGGAGGTCAGCCTAATGCCAAATTTAGCTCCATTTGGAAAGAGAGAGAGAGAGAAAGAACTTGGATGAGAAACTGGGCTTCTGTTTTACTGTGTGATCTAACACAAGCCTCGAATTTTATTGAGGCTGCTAACTCTGTGCCCCAGGTGTATGAACTAGTTCTGCTAAGGTTTCAAAATGTGGGTATTTTGTGTGCGCGTGTTCAATAGCTACCCTCCCCAGCCCATGCTCATGCGTGCAGGGATTGTGGGTGTATGCACACCAGTGTGTGTGTGTGTGTACATGTGGGAGACAAGGGCACCAGATTGTTCCAGGCGAACCACACTTGGTCTGCCAAGGCAACTGGGCACATAGAATGCAGTTCCAGGCATCAGAGACAGCTGGCTTGACACAGGCTGATCCAAATGCTCCCACTATGCCCTGCACGGTGGTCTCTTGAGGGAAAGCCCAATATCCCATCCAATGGGTGGGGTCGTTAAATAGAGAAGAGAAATATTTGCATTTAAAAAAATTCCAAACTTTCTGCACAGAAAGCGGCATTGGCCCTGTGAAAAACTGAAGATCTGAAAGAGGTGTGTTCAGTTTTATCTGAGTGAGATGATGGAAAGTATTTCAGCAATAAACAAACCCAGGGTGAGCTTTGTTCTCTCCCAAACCCAGACTCCCTGCCTTCTGCTTCCATTAGAATTTCTGCTTGGCCACATCACAACTGTGTGATCTTGGGCAAGTGACTTAACTTCTCTGTGCCACACTTTTCTCATCTGTAAAATGGAGCCAATAATTATGTCTCTCTTCCAGGGTTGTTATGAGATTCAATGAGGTAAAACAGATAAGGCACCGAAAATGGTGTCTTGGTCATAGTCAATGCTCCATAAATATTAGCTACAAATCCTGTTATATTAAAGATGCAAAACAATAAACTGAGGCTGTGGAGAAACTGGATTTGACAGTAAACATTCTTTGAAGAGATGCAGTACTTTCTACTTTCCAAAGTACTTTTAAACTTACTGGAACTTTATAATGACACAGATAGGGTTAAGATCTTGGCTTGTGAAGCCTCAATTTTCTCATTTGCAAAAAGGAATAATGATAGTATCAACTTCATCGGATTGTCAAGAGCATCGTATGAAATGATGCATGTAAAATGCTCAGTTCTGTGCTTAACATGCAGTAAACACACACCAAATAGTATTGTCTGACAGTTGAGGATAGTGAGACCCGGCTTTGCCCAAGGTCACATAGCAGATAAGGAGCACAGTGACTGGCACACAGTGAGTGCTCAATTCCTGCCCTAGATGGTGACGGCAAACATAAATTTATCATTGACTGGAGTAGGACAAGGGGCTAAGTGCTCTGCAAGCATTAAGTCTTTTAATTGTTATAACACTGTAGATGATAAGTACTGCAATCATGGTCTCCTTCCTGGAGGAGGGGTTGGGCACAGAGATGTGTGGCAATGGGCCAAGTGTTATCCAGGAAGAAAGTGGTAGAGCCTTAATTTGAACTCTTCACCATATGCTCTGCTGTCTCTGAAACTCAATAACATCATCATAATTTTTTATACCATTTGACAGATGAGGTGACCGAGGTGGGACCAGAGCCTGGTTCTGGGATCTTTCCCCAATACCACGTTGTTCCCTGACATATGCTGGAAGGGAAAGAGACATATGGGAGGATGTGGAGGGTATAAGGCTTATTGCTAGAGGTGGTGAAACTGAGGCAGCAGCTGATTTGTGCTTTAGCGAGGGCTTCTTGCTTTGACTTCCCTCAGGGAAATGAAAGCATAAGGCTTCCACTCTTAGTAGAAGAAGAAAGTCCTCAGCCAGCCAGTGTGGCAGCTCCAAAGCCCATGCTGCTTTCTGTACTGAGAGCCCCTCCCAGGGACCCCTCCTCCTGGCTAGTCTTTCCCTTGCTACCCAGGAAGGGAAGCCCCTCCAGCTTGCAAGCCTCTCTTCTCAGACTCCAGAGAGAATCACACTTTCACCAGACACTCCCATGACTAACTTTATTAAGAACTTTCTTTGGCTAGATTACAAGCCCCCTGAGGCCAGGGATCGGGTCTCCTATTTCTGTGAGTCTCCACTGGGTCCCAGGTAACATTGCTACTATCCAAGAGGTTAACAGCTTGAGGTCTGAATCAGAGGTTCAAATCTTGGCCACTTGTATGAGTTACTTCACTTGTGCCTCAATTTCCCCATGTTATGAGTGATATTAATATTATCCAGAATAATATTTAGTAAATGTAACAACCAGATACAAACCAATCAGAACCATAGGAGCAGGGCCCCTAGACACTTCTCTGCTGGGCCAGGCTTTAACTATTTATTTGCTGAATTATGGGGAGGGTCCCAGGCAGTAGAAGTCTTTGGAGGGTGGTAGGAAGCAGGGGAAACAGCAAATAATCTATGGAAGTTCTCAATCCTTTAATAAACAATATAATCCGGAAGGTACCCATTCAAAAAATAATTGCGGTCATTACTATTGTATAATTTATTATTTCAACATTTACCTCGCCCCCCCCCAAAAAAACCAATGCCTAAATCCAATTACTAAATACTTTCTCATGCGTTTTCTCATTGGATAACTCACACTTAATATGTAAATGACTGATTATTTATACTTCCTGACTGGAAGAAGCCGGTCAAGTTTTTATTTTTTTATTTTTGAGACATGGTCTCACTCTGTTGCCCAGCATGAAGTGCAGTGGTGTGATCATGGCTCACTGTAGCCTTGACCTCCTGGGCTCAAGCAATCTTCCCACCTCAGCCTGCTGGGTAGCTGGGACTGGAGGGGTGCACCACCATACCTGGCTAACTTTTTAAATTGTTTGTAGAGATGGGGTCTTGCTATGATTCCCAGGCTGGTCTTGAATTCCTGGGCTCAAGTAATACTCCCATCTTGGCCTCCCAAAGTGCTGAGTTTACAGGCATGAGCTACCATGGCCGGCCAGGTTCCTATTTTTGTTCCTTTGCTAGAACAGGAATTTGAGAATCTCTGACTGCCCAGCCTGGATGGGAGGCCTCCTCTGGGCTCTGCTGGCCTCTGTCCTGTGCTGCTTGCATCCTGGTACTTATCACACTGATGGTAATTATCTGACTATTTGTCCATGTCCTCCAACAGATTTGAACTCCAGGAACCAGAAACCACACCTGTCTTGGTCACCACTGTATCTTCAGTGCTAGGAGAGTGCCTGGCACTTAGTAGGTGTTCAGTAATTCTTTTGGTTAAATGGATGGATGAATGAATGAGTTAGGAATGAGTGCAGCACAGGAGAAGTTCTGTGGCTTGTTAGGACCACAGCATTCGGACAAGCTGAAGGACCGCACTCTCATTGTGTCTCACTCTCTTCTGCTTCCTTTTAACAATGATAGTGACCTTTTGACTTCCACATTGTCCCAGCCGGAGCTGGTGACCTCAGTAGGATTTCTCCTGGGCCATCCAACAGATACTCACATTTCTCTTGTTTTCTGGAATAAATAAGCCCCCAATAACAGCAACAAGCCACAAATGACAATGACAGTGACAGCAGCCACCACTCACTGAGTGTCAACCGTGTGTCAGGCACCATGCCAAGGCCTTTCATGTGCCACCTCAAGCATCCTCTCTCCCGTCCTCCCCATTTTGTACAGGGAGATAGAGTCACTCACCAGGGTCGCAGCCCTAGCGAGTGGTGGAGTCTGGATTCAAACCCACACCCCTGTTGCTCCCTGACTGTAATGCTGAATAATAATAATAGGGCGATCATCTTTTCCCTACTGGATGTGTACCCTAAGGCCAGCCACTTTACAGATATTATCACATTGGATTCTCACACACACCCACAAAACCCTGAGAGCTTGGTATAGAGTAGGACCCTCCTTTTAGAGAACACGGGGAGTGGTCAAGGCATTTTATGGGGCAGCCCTAGGCCCAGCTGATGCCAAAAGCTTGGTTTTTAAGGGCTCCATGGTCCAGTCTTTACTGCTTCCTGCAGCAGGACTATTCAGCCAAGATGAGCTGAAGAGGAAGGCCCCAGCCCCCTAAAGGAGCCAGCCCGCCACGAAGTCTGGAGTCAGGGGAATCTCTTCCCTTCCTGCTTGACTTTCTGCACCACGCAATGACTCCTAGCAGCCCCCATCCCCTCTCTCTGGCTCTCTATCACAATGGACCTATCCGGGGCTCCTTTCCTCAGAGCTTCTCTGGGTGGCTGAAGCCCAGCTGGGTGTTTCTTTCCCCTGACACTCCGGGGCTCCGGGCTCCAGCAAAATTGCTGCTTCCATGCTGGCCTTTGCCTGTGCTATCGCTCCTCCTCAACGGGCACTGTTGGTCCCTCTCTTTGCCTGTGCTTGAGTGAGGCTTCCTATCTGGGTTTCTCTCCTTTCCTTCACATCTTTCTTGAAGGCCCAGCCCAGTTTCCATCTCCTCTTAGATGCCCCCTTGACCATTTAATGTGTTTTCACCAAGATGTTTGGGGATCTATCACGTGCCGGGTACTTTCCAAGATGCTGGGGATTCAGCGGTGAATGAGGCAGATACAGAGCATGGCCTCATGAGGCTTGCCAGGAAATAGCCAGGATGACTTCAGATGCCGTCAAGGACCAGGGACCAAAGGAAGTCTAAAGGCCATTGTTACGGTTAAAAGGAGAATGGAGTTGCGAACGACTTGGGGTGTGTGTGTGTCTGGTGAGTGGGTGGGTGTAGTAGTTTCCAGTGGCTGCTATAACAAATGACCACAAATTGAATGGCTTTAAACAATACATATTTATTCTCTCATAGTTCTAGAGGCCGGAAGTTTGAATCAAGGTGTCACAGGGCCATGCTCTCCCTGAAGGCTCTAGGAGGAAACCCTTCTTTGTCTCTCCCAGCTTCCAGTGGCTCCTGGAGACCCTTGGCCCTCTGTGGCCTGTGGCTGTGTCACTCCCATCTCTGCCTCTGTCTTCATGTGACCTTCTTCCCGAGTGCATGTGCGTTGATTCCTCTTCTCACGGGGACAGCTGTCATTAGCCTGGACCCCTTTAAGTCTAGTATGACTTCATCTGAACTTGATTACATCTGCAAAGACACTATTTCCAAATAAGGTCCCATTCATAGGATCTAGAGTTAGGACTTGAATATATTTTTTTGGTAGGGTCAGGAGGGACGATTCAATCTACAAGAGTAGGATTCCTCATTCGGGCTGGATAGCCCTTCCTCTCTAAGGCAATATCTTTTTTTGGTTGACCCCTGAATGGTGAGGAATCCGCCTGAAAGATGTCTGGAGGAAGAGCATTCCAGGCAGAATGAGCGATGTGTGCAAAGGCCCTGAGGAGAGGCATGTGCTCGGGATGCTCAGTGAACAGCAAGGAGCCCAGTGGGGCTGGATCAGAAGGGGCAGGGGGAGCATGATGGAGACAAGATCGTGGGACAGGATCACATAGGATCTTTTTTTTTTTTTGAGATGGAGTCTCACTCTGTCGCCCAGGCTGGAGTGCAATGGCGGCAATCTCAGCTTACTGTAAGCTCTGCCTCCCGGATTCACGCCATTTTCCTGCTTCAGCCTCCCAAGTAGCTGGGACTACAGGCGCCCGCCACCACACCCAGCTAATTTTTTGTATTTTTAGTAGAGACGGGGTTTCACTGTGTTAGCCAGGATGGTCTCGATCTCCTGACCTCATGATCCACCTGACTCGGCCTCCCAAAGTGCTGGGATTACAGGCATGAGCCACCGCACCCGGCCCACATAGGATCTTGTAAGGAGTCTGAAGTTCATTCCTGGGGTAATCAGGAGCCCCTGGGGGAATGTTCAGCAGCAGTGGTATGTGGTCTAATGAATCTTTTCAAATGGTCTTACTGCCCATTAAGGGGAGAGCAGCCTCTAGCCAGGTAAGAGTGAATGCTAGGCAGGCAAACAGGAGGCTGCTGCAGTGGTCCAGGCAGGAGATGAAGATGGCTGGGGCCAGTGTGGGGCAGGAGAGCTGCTCAGAAGCAGTGCCTCCCAGTCCATAGAGCTTTCTCCTTTAGGGTTCTCAAACTGTGTTCCCTCGAGCCCCAGGGTTCCACAGGGATGGTCCCTGGCTTTGGTACCTAGGGGTAGATGCCATCAATCCTATGAATATTCGAACCACTTCAGATGTGCTTTCTTGTCAGCCCCGCCTGGATTCCCCTCGTCAGCTCCTCCTCCACCCTCCGCTATCACTGGCAGTCATGAAGACTTTTCTGGGTTTCATCTTGATCCAGAAATGTCCCTTGGCAAATCCACCCTTAGCTAATCACCCAGGAATAGCATGACTCAGTAATGAGTATCAGACTCGTGCGAGACAAAACCATTTTCATGGTGCACGTGTGACTTTGCAAGTCACACCACAACCTGCTGCACGCCCTCATTTCCTTAACTGAAAAGTGGGCTATTAGTAATTCTTACACATGGGGGTACTTTAAGGTTGAAAGGAAATCGTGTCTGTGACGCTCTCAGCAAAGACAAAGGGGTCAGTTCCTGTTAGCTTCCATTTTTACTATTGTTTTAAATTCAATTTATTTCTTTCCTCCAGCTCAGTAACTTTCAGGAGTTCCTGTAGGGACAAATCCACTTTCTACCAAGCCTCTGGGGTCTTTTCTGTAGGGTCCTGATGACCCACTTCAATCACTGAGCCACTGAGTCCAGAGGTGCTTGTGGAGAGTCTAACAGATGCAGAGCTCCTGGTGAGGTGGTGGGGAGAAAAACCCAACGTCTATGAGACATGCCTGTTTGCATTTGAAAGTCAGATAGAGATGTTTTTGTGAAGTTGGGGGAGACATAGGAAGTCATTTATAAGCTAAGTGACTATGAGCTTAGGTGAGGTCTAGTGATTGTGTTGATGGAGAAGCAAAAGAGGGAGAGAACAGCCGATGTCTTGTGCTTTTTTGGAGGCGGTGGGGGTGTGTGCTCCAGGGTTTAGTTGTGCGGATGGGAGCTGATGACGGGTACCTCTGAGTCAGCCAGCTTGTCCTCATCACTCCCTGACTTCAAAGATTAGGAAATCGGTACAGATGTTTGAGTCTGCAAAGAATATGGCAGGGAAGAGAATGGAGAGAGAAATGATCTTGGGGCATACAGGGGAAGACAGCTTGGGTGACTGAGGGGGGACAGTGGGCCGACGGTGACAGGTACATTGAGTGAGAAATGATTGTGGGGATGGGCAGATATTAACCAATACTCTATCCCCTAACGAACCAGCCCTACCCACCCTGCCCCTTGAGGTTCTACCTTGGTAGAAGATGGAGCCTCCCTGGCAGAGGGATGGCGGCATCTCCTGTTCAGTTAAGATCAAGGACCGTCGTTTAAGGGGGAGGCAGGTTTACTGAGCCTGCCCTCCCTCTTTTTTTTTTTTTTTTTTGAGATGGAGTCTTGCTCTGTCGCCCAGGCTGGAGTGCAGTGGCATGATCTCGGCTCACTGCAAGCTCCTGCCTTCCAGGTTCATGCCATTCTCCTGCCTCAGCCTCCCGAGTAGCTGGAACTACAGGCACCTGCCACCATGCCCGGCTAATTTTTTGTATTTTTAGTAGAGACGGGGTTTCACCGTGTTAGCCAGGATGGTCTCGATCTCCTGACCTCGTGATCCGCCCACCTCGGCCTCCCAAAGTGCTGGGATTACAGGCGTGAGCCACCGCGCCCAGCACGCCTGCCCTCCTTCTAAACGTTTTTACCCAAGACAGAGGGGAACGTGCTAGAAAGCAAGGAACAAAGAGGAGAAACAAAACCAGGGCAAAGTAGTTGTGCGGGGACCAGGTGGAAGGAATCAAGACTCTGCAGCCCAGGCGCTCAAGCTCACAGGCTCCCGGCAGGTGGAACAAATGAATGAGGAAGACAGGTGGGGGCTGGGGCAAACGGAGGAGGGCATCCCCAGGGAACAGCCTCTACTCACCTCCAGCCGATTGGTCCATACGGGAATGTAGGCCTGGAGTGGCGGGATCTGCCTGCCTTTTTTTTTTAAGAAGTTGGAATTTTGGACTTTTATGTGAAATCTCCCAATTTAAAAATGTTAGTTCGACATGGACACAGGGAGGAGAACAAGAAGCACTGGGGCCTTGCCAGGAAGGTGCGGGAGGGAGAGCATCAGGATAAATAGCTAATGCATGTGGGGCTTAGTACCTAGGTGATGGGTTGATGGGTGCAGCAAACCACCATGACACATGTTTACTGATGTAACAAACCTGCACGTCCTGCACATGTATCCCAGAACTTAATATATAATTAAAAAAAATAAAAATATTAGTTCAGATTAAAAATAAATTACTGGGCAGGCCAAACATAATATGCCTGCAGGATGGACTTGGTGGAGCTCCTGCAGACCTGTGACTTCTACTGCTGTCAAATGGGGCATCTTCCTACAGTCCACCCGTTGATTTGGGTGTTGGCTTTTAGTAGAACCCTGCTGTCTTACGAGGTACTGATGGCCATCAGTGCCTGCCCAGTGGGAGGGTGGCATATTCAACTAACGGCCTTTTGCTGCAATCCCCTCTTGGAAAATAGTTTTCTCACAACAGAGAAGTCCTCTTCGGGCTTTAAAAGACTCTGTAGGAGATGATAGATTGGAGTGCAAGTCAGGTTTGAAACTGTCTTGTTTTCTCAATCTATAAGGAGCTCATCCCTAAAAATGGCTTTGCAAGAGCATGAGGAAGCCAATGAGGCATTTGGGGGAGCAAAATGCAAGAAATTCAGTAATCAGGATGAACTATATGTATATATATATACACACACAGACACACATACATATATGAAATGTATATATATTTGAGACAGGTACTTGCTCTGTCACCTGGGCTGGAGTGCAGTGGCACGAACACGGCTCACTGCAGCGTCAGCCTCCTGGGCTCAAGCCATCCTCCTGTTTCAGCTTCATAAAGATGGGGTGTCACTATGTTGCCCAGGCTGGTCTTGAACTCCTGGGCTCAAGCGATCCTCCCACCTTGGCCTCCCAAAATGTTGGGATTACAGGCGTAAGCCCAGGATGAACCATATTTTAATACACATTTTTTTTTTTTTGAGATGGAGCCTCGCTCTGTCGCCCAGGCTGGAGTGCAGTGGCGTGATCTCAGCTCACTGCAAGCTCCACCTCCCAGGTTCATGCCATTCTCCTCCCTCAGCCTCCCGAGTAGCTGGGACTACAGGCACCCGCCACCACACCCGGCTAACTTTTTGTATTTTTAGTAGAGATTGGGTTTCACCATGTTAGCCAGGATGGTCTTGATCTCCTGACCTCATGATCCGCCCACCTTGGCCTCCCAATGTGCTGGGATTACAGGCATGAGCCACTGTGTGCGACCTAATATAATATTTTTAAAACAAAATTTTTGTTTTAAAATTTTGGCTTATCATGCCAAAACTCCATGATAAGCTTTTTTTAAAAAGGCCAGATGCGGTAGCTTGAGCCCAGGAGTTCGAGACCAACCTAGGCAACATAGTGAGACCTTGTCTCTCCAGAAAAAAAAAAAAAAAAAAAATAGCAGGGCATGGTGGCAGGAGCCTGTAGCCCCAGCTACTAGGAGGCTGAGGTGAGCGGATCATCTGAGCTGGGGAGGTTGAAGCTGCAGTGAGCCATGCTCTCGCCACTGCACTCCATCCTGGGTGACTGAGTGGGACCCTGTCTCAAAAAAAATAAATAAATAAAAATGTTAAATAAAGACAAGATCAACATTACTCATTTTCCCTGTGGCCTTAGGGTGCAGTGTGGCTCACATGGACTGTTACTGACCCTGTCTTTATTAAAATTATAATAGCTTGTTCAGCGAGGATTTTTTTTTGCATTCATTTTGATGTTTTAAAACATGGTGTGAAGATATAATTTATCTAATTACTGAGTTTTTGGTGCCCTCTTTCATTTTACCTCTCTTGCCTCACCTTAGTGCCAGCCTTGCTGGAGTCAAATGCATCTGTGTATAAGTTATATATTAACACCTAGAGTGATCATGAGTCCCAGGGAATGCTTCCGTTGAAGGGAGATGGTTTTTGGAGTCTGGTAAAGAATGTTCCCACTTTTTGAATCCAACTTAAAACGTTTCAATGCCTGCCTTTTATAAGCAGTGTTTTATTATAATGGGAGGTTGTTAGGACATGGAGTTCATGATGAAAATGTGTGACTTATGTGTTATACAGATGGTCTCTGACTTATGATGTTTGACTTAGGCTTTCTTTACGATGGTGTGAAAGCGATATGAGTTCAGTAGAAACTGTACTTTGGGTACCCATAAACCATTCTGTTTTTCTCTTTTGGTATAGTATTCAATAAATTACAGAAGATATTCAACACCTCATTATAAAGTAGTCTTTGTGTTGGGTTATTTTGCCTAAAATCAATTGCGTAGGTGACTGTAAATGTTCTGAGCATGTTTAAGGTAGGCTAGACTAAGCTATGGTGTTCAGTGGGTTAAGCATATTAAATGCATTTTCTTTGTATTTATTATTATTATTATTATTATTTGAGATGGAGTTTCGCTCTTGTCACCCAGGCTGGAGTACAATGGCGCAATCTCGGCTCACTGCAACCTCCACCTCCCAGGTTCAAGCGATTCTCCTGCCTCAGCCTCCCGAGTAGCTGGAATTACAGGCGCCCACCACCATGCCTGGCTATTTTTTGTATTTTTAGTAGAGACGGGGTTTCACCACATTGGCCAGGCTGGTCTCGAACTCCTGACCTTAGGTGATCCACCCACCTTGGCTTCCCAAAGTCCTGGGATTACAGGCTTGCATGAGCCACCGTGCTTGGCCTATTATTATTATTTTTTAGACATGGGGTCTTACTCTTTTGGAATGCAGTGGTGCGATCATGGCTCACTGCAGCCTCAAGCTCCTGGGCTCAAATGGGAGCCCGGCTAATGTATTTTTATTTTTCATAGAGACAGGATCTTACTATGTTGCCTAGGCTGGTCTCAAACTCCTGGCCTCAGGCCATCCTCCTGCCTCAGCCTCCCAAAGTGCTGGGATTATAGACGTGAGCCACCATGCCCTGCCTAAATGCATTTTCAACCCAACAATATGTTCAGTGTATCATGGGTATATTGGGATATCACCCACCATAAGTTGAGGAGCACTTGTACACTATCAGAGCCGGCTACATAATTTTCAGGGCATTGTGCGAAATGAAAATGCATCGCCTCTTGTTCAAAAAGTATTCAGAATTTAAAAAATGTCAACAGCAGAGCATTCAACCAAGTGCAGGCTCCTTCTAAGCACAGGTTATTCCAGGTGCGGAATGCCGTGTGACTCTGCATGTCACATCCCATGAAGCGAGCCCCGGCTGCTACTCAGATTAGCTTGGTTTTCCTTGTTAAACAATCCTTGAATTTTAGAGCTGAAATGGTAACTCAGGTATTATCTAATTCATCTCTTCCCATTTTACAGACAGAGAAACTGAGGCACTGAAGGTGTCTTGCTTAAAGGTCACAGAGTGAGAGGAAGAACTCAGTTTGGATCCTGGGCCTCCCAGCTCTGGGTTGTTCTTTAATGTATCACAAGATCACTCCAGGCTTGGTCAGACATTTATGTCTTCATGCCATTGACCTTCAGCAGGAAAGTCAGCCTGGAAGGGGTGGAAGGGGTTCATATGTACCAGTCTTGTTGTAAAGAACTCAAATTAGCTGGGTGTGGTGGCACATGCCTATAATCCCAGCTATTCGGGAGGCTGAGGCAGGAGAATCGCTTGCACCTGGGAGGCAGAAGTTGCGGTGAGCTGAGATTGCACCGTTGCACTCCAGCCTGGGCAACAAGAGCAAAACTCCATCTCAAACAAACAAACAAACAAACAAACAAAAAAACCAAAAAACCTCAAGAAGCTATTTACATATTTTCTATAACAGAACATTGTCTTTTATAATATTCTTTTTTTTTCTCTCACTCCTTGTTTTGGAGACGGGGTCTTGCTGTGTTGCCTAGGCTGAAGTGCTGTGGTTTTCACAGGTGAAATTGTCACACATTGCCGTCTCAGACTCATGGGCTTGAGCGATCCTTCCATCTCAGTCTCCAGGTAGCTGGAACTACAGGTGTGCACCACTGTACCAGGCTCTTTTTCTTTTTAAGCAACATGTGCAGGTAGAATTTCCCTGAAGCCATTGAGTCAGATGACATGTTATTTCTCTACAAATAATTACAGGTATTGGAACCAGGCTAGAGGCTGGGCTGCCAAGGCTACAAAACACTGCTAAATTTCAGGACATCCCTGTTGAGTCCCATAAAGCTGAGCAAAGAAGGGACTTTGGGTTCTCCTAGTGGTGCAGTTTTATTCACTGATTGATCTCAGGTAGAAGCTCTGTTGGGCGCCATTCTTCCATTCTTTCCTTCAGCTGCTTTTTAGTGAGAAGCTACCATGTACTGGGTACCAGTCTAGGATCTGGGGATACAGCTGGGGTTGCCAGATAAAAATACAGGATGTCCACTTAAATTTGAATTTCAGGTAAACAATGAATAACTTCTTAGTTTATGTCTGTCCCACATACTATTTTGGACATACTTCTTCTACTAAGAAAAGCATTCATTGTCTAAAATTCAAATTTAACTGGGTATCCTGTATTTGTATTTGCTAAACTTGGCAACCCTAGATATCCCAGGGAAGAAAACAGACAAATATCCCTGCCCTTGTGGGGACTGCATTCAAGTGAAAGGAACAGGCAATAAAAGAAATATACATATGAATAAAATACACCATAGCGGAAAGGGCAATGAGGAACATGAAGCAGGGTGAGGAGACAGAGAATGCCGGGGGATGCGATTTTTATTAGGACAGGCAGGGAAGGTCTCTAACAGGTGACTTTTGAGCTGTGAAATGAACAAAGTAAGGTAGTGGCCAGGCAATATCTGAGGGAACAGTAAGTACAAAGGCCCTGGGGTGGGGTCATGTGGGCGTTATCAAGGAACAGGCGGACGATCAGGGTGGCAGAGGGAGTAAGAGAAGGGGAGAATGGCAGGAGATGATACCCAAGGAGAGTCAGGTGGGACGTAGCTTACGTAGGGCCTTGCAGACCAAGGGCTTTGTATTTAATTTTAATTTAATGGGAAGCCACTGGAGGGTTTATCAGATGTATATTTTTTAAAGGCTCCCTCTGGTTGCTCCACATAGGGGCAAAAGTAGAAGTAGCAAGTCCAGGGAGGAGGCTTCTGCAGTTGTCCAAGTAAGAAATAATGAAGGCCTGAATTCTTGGGAGGTGGGAGGAAGAACAGTGAAGTTAGTGAGAAATGGGTGGCTTTGGGTTACATTTGGTGCAACTGCCTGCTTTTGCTGAGGGTTTGCACGTGGGCATGAGAAAAGGCGAGGACTCAAGAACCACTCTTTGGTGTTTGATTGGAGAACTGGATTACAGGCAGAGCAATACTTGAGTTGAGGCACAGTGAGGCAGGAACAGCTGGAGACGTAGGGTTTGGTTTTGGACACATTCACACTGAGGTGCCTGTTAGATGCTCCCGTGGAGATGTTGGGTCGTCATTGGATATACAAGCCTGGATTTCTGTGGAGAGGCCCAGGTTGTAGATAAAAATGAGCTTTCTACCAGAAGGTGGAAAGGAAGGCAGAGCTGTAGGTGGTGGGTAACTCCAGGGCCATCTTGAAGCAGCCTGGGGACGCAGAGCCACCTTGGGTGGTAGGAGGAGCTTCTTGAAGGCGTTTCGGGAGTCAGTGCTTCTTGACTGTTTCTATCCAGGTGGACCCAAATTATGCTCCATTTTAAGGAAGCCTAGAAGAGGAAGAGAGGTAACTCACAGAGGGACCAAAGGATGACAGTCTATGAGTCTTGTGAATCCTTCCACATTTTCTTATCTCTATGGCTACCACTTGTCTCTGTAGTCTACGCCCCCATTATCTCTTTCCTGGACGGCTATAAGAACCATCTACTTGGTCCTCCGGCTTCAACCCTTGCCCCTGCAATTTCTCATCCTCAGAGAACCCAGAGCCATCATCTAAAAACTCGTCTATGATTCTGTCATGTGCTGCCTAACACTCTCCAGTTGTTCCCAATTGCTTTCAGGTCCCAAACTCTCAACATGGTCTCCTGGGCCCCACTTACCTCCCAGCCTGATCTTACACCATCTTCTCATCCTTCCCTGAGCACCTGCCACTCCTGTCTTCTTTCGGGTCCTCCATCGTTTCATACTTTCCTCCTGCCTCAGAGCCTTTACACATACTCCCTCATCGCTCTGTTAGTACCTCCCCTCATCATTCCCTAACTAACTTCTACCAACCTTCCAGTCCCAGCTTAAACATCGCCTCCCTAGGGCAGCCTTATCTGAATTCCCTGTCTACGTCAGGTTTCCTTGACATAAGCTCTGTAACACATTCTCCTTGCCTTTCACGGCACATACCTCAGTCTGTAATTAGACTGTGGGTTAAGTGCATGTTGAAGGGAGCTGAGTTCCTGGGCCAGGGTCAAATAGTACCAATGTGTGCTAGAAGTTTCAAAGTCTCAGTGGCTTCACTAGCTTTCTGTTGCACTTCGGTTGGAGAGGCTGGGGAAAAACTCAGAGGCCAGGGTGTCCAAAGGAGGTCAGACACAGGATAGAGAGAAAGTTGACAGCGATGCCCTGTGAAGATCACCATCCCACCTCCATCCCTCCACCTCCCAGAGTCACTCTCGATGCATAAAGCTCATGCATTCTGCTCCTGGACCTTGTTCCTAAGAGCACAGATTATTTATTTTTGAATTGAAAATATGCCTTTCCCCCAGCCCAAACTCCCACCCTTCAAGGTAACCTTTAGGGAAGAAGACCCTTTTACTCCCCACTGTCCAGCAGAAACTCTTTTATGGGTTGGCACCTAGTCTGAAGCACTTCCTTTTAAAGAACTCTGACTACAATAGTCCAGACTCCAAATCCTAGAAGCTTTGAAAATATATCCACTGTTCAGAGGGACAACAAAGGCAGTTAGACTGTCCTGAACGGTCCTGCCTCAGGCTGAAATTTTTGTAGCACTTGATCAGTTGCAAAGTGATCTTCCCTTTAATATCTCATTTTATCATTGGGTATCTGAAGAGGAAGTGGAATTGGGGTAAGAATTTAGGTTCTTGCCATAGCATTTGGGTGGCCAGGGTAAGCCTCAGGGTGGAGGACCCTTAAAGAAAACTCTAAGGATTTTAAGGAGAGTCAAACTCTACATTCATCCAGGCAAACATCTACTCTTCCATTGATTAATGGATCCACTCATCCGTGCAACACATTCACTCTTTCATCCATCCATTCATCCATCTATCCTCCATCAATCCATCCATGTATCTTTCATTCATCCATTTATCCATTTATCCTCCATCCATCCGTCCATCCACCCTCCATCCACTCCTCCATCCATCATCCATCCATTCTTCCATCCATCCCCTATCCATCCATCCACCCATCTATTCATCCATCCACCCATCTTCCATCCATGCATCCATCTTCCATTCACCCATCCATCAATCCATCCCCTATCCATCCATCCACCCATCTATTCATCCATCCATCCATCTTCCATCCATGCATCCATCTTCCATTCACCCATCCATCAATCCATCTACTTATCCATCCTCCATTTATCCACACATCCATTGCACATAAAGCTGCGAATGAGGTGGTCATAGCCCCTGCCTTAGTGGATCTCAGGCTAGTTAGTGGAGATAAAATTCTCTGATTGGCGCAGTCTGGGTCATTCATCCACTTCGTTGCTTGGGGAAGGTGGGGCAGCTGGGTTGATAGCTCTACCAAGATTATGTTTAGAGTAGTTTCCCCAAGGAACACACTGGGGTGCTGTTATGAGAAGAAGGGAGGAATTATTCTGGGTAGGCACAATCAACAAATGTCCACTAGATTTAGTGGCACTTAATAATTATGGGATGGAGGGACGAGAAAGGATGTGGGGAGGCATTCCTAGCTTTTCTCCTTTTCTAAATCACAGGGGAAGCCTGGTTTTCTTGTTTATTGGCCAAAATTTCATCATCTGGACCTTGGGTCCCTGTCATAAGGACCCAGAAGAATCCATCTCTTTCTAGATACCTGTCTATAAGTATCCTAGCTGGGGTCTTCACTCTTCCTTCCTCCACCTAAATGCATCAGCTGCCCCCAAGATGCTTGTTGGATACACATGGCACAGAAGTGCTTATAGTTAGGAAACAAAGGCTGGAATTTCTTTATGCTCTGACAACCAGGAGGTGCTGCCCAAGACTCTGAAATGATTCCTGAGCCAGCCCCCAGGCCCCTGCAGTAGAGTTTGAGTCTAAACCAAAGTGGTTCTCATCTCTGGCCACACATTGGAAGCATCTGGTGAGCTTTTACAAAATACTGATGCCTAAGTCCCAACCCCAAACATTCTGATCAAATCGATGTCTGGTGGTGCTCAGGTCGTTGAATACAAATTTTAACAGCTCTCCAGGTGATTCTAATGTGTAGTCTGGGTTAAGAACCACTGGTCTGAGTGCAATTTTGAAAACCCCGTTCATAACTGTGCTACTTTGCTTTCAGGGCATAAGCATGATGAAGGGAGAGGCTGTGGCTTGTTGATGGTTGCATCCCCAACATCTTGTGGCAGTGCCAGGCAGGTGCTCAATAAATATTTGTGGAATGATGGATGGCTTGGCACAAATCCCCTTAATGGAGCTGAGATGGCTCCCCTGAAGAATGCGTGTCCTCAATTCCTCCTGGCACATGGGGAAGGATTCGAATCACTTGAGGTCAAGCTGTGGTTCTCACGAGGATCTTAAGACCTCTCCCGTCTAATCTTCTCATCCTCAACACTGGCTGCACCTTAGATTCATCTGAAGTTTAAAAAAATTTTCAGGCCGGGCGTGGTGGCTCACACCTGTAATCCCAGCACTTGGGGAGGCCGAGGCGGGTGGATCACGAGGTCAGGAGATCAAGACCTTCCTGGCTAACACAGTGAAACCCCATCTCTACTAAAAATACAAAAAAGTAGCCAGGCATGGTGGCTGGCGCCTGTAGTCCCAGCTACTCGGGAGGCTGAGGCAGGAGAATGGCGTGAACCCAGAAGGCAGAGCTTGCAATGAGCCAAGATCGCGCCACTGCACTCCAGCCTGGGCGACAGAGCGAGACTCCGTCTCCAAAAAAAAAAAAAAAAAAAAAAAAAAAAATTAGGAATTCTGCTTCAGTGGGTTTGGATTGCAGCCCAGCACGGGAGTTTAAAAAGGTGTCCCAGGTGATTCTAATATGTGGGAAGGGTTGAAGACCACTGTTTTGATCTTTTCTACCTCTGTGAGTCTGTTTCCAACTTCAGCTAAGTTGGTGGAGCCCCCTGGCAGAGTTTTATTGGAGGGTGTTCTTTAGTTACTGGGTCCTTATGCAGTGTTTGCCAAATGTACCTGTTCATTAATGCTCACGTTGGGTGCTTAATTAAAAATACACATTCACGAGTCTGTATTCAGACTTATGGAATCAGAAGCTCCAGGGAGGGGCCTGGGAATCATGCTTTAAACAAGCAGCCAGGCGTGTTTGTCACTTGCCAACCGCCCCATCAGAACTGTACTCCTCGTTCTCCCTCCAGCACACCCAGCCCCTTCGAGCTCTGGCTCTGTGTTTTGGTTCTCACTGCCAGAACACACTTCCCCAAGATCGCCTCATCAATCAGGTTTCTTCAAATGTCACCTCCTCAGAGAGGTCCTCCTTGACCACCCAAGGGACTAAAGCCACCCCAACCTTTATCCCATACCCTGGTGAGTTCTCTCCTGGCCCCATAAGCAGATGCTTTTTGTCCTGTTTCTCTCCTTCAGGCCTCTCCCACTACCAGAGCCTGAGCTTCCGAGGGCAACAGTGTCTGGCTCCGGCTGGGTGCCCAGCACCTGGCACGTGGTAGGTGGCCAGGAGGCATAGCTGTAACGGGGGGGACTAGTGCTGTCAGTCCGATTCCTTCCTAGGCGCTGGGGAGTTGAGTTCAGGGCCATGCAGGTGTCTGAAGTACTGTGAAAATCATGCCGCCCCCGTGGGCACACGGAGACGCCTGGAGACACGGGTCTGCAATAGAAGGGGGTGGATACCCCCTTCCACCCCATGGAGAAGAAAAGCAGGAAAAAGTGTGGGGCCAGTGGGTCCCTTAGGGCAAAAGTCCTAGTGGCGGCAGCTTTCTTGTCTAGACCCTGGTTCGCGCAGCGCGTGTCGCACTCACCCGTGGAGGGTGGGAGACAGCGGCCGCCCCAGCGCCCAGCGGTGGCCCGGGACAGTGTGGTCAGGTCCGCGGACAGCCTCCTTCCTCCCGGCACCGGCCAGCCCAGGCCGCGCGCCCCTCCCCTCCGGTCCCCTGGTGGCGGCCCCGCCCCCGCCGGCCTGGCCGCCCTGTCCCCGCCTCCACGCCCCCCCCCCCCCCGCCTCCCCGGGCTGCAACAGGTGCCTCCGGAGCAGGAAGCTCGCGCCGCCGTCGCCGCCGCCGCTCAGCTTCCCCGGGCGCGTCCAGGACCCGCTGCGCCAGGCGCGCCGTCCCCGGACCCGGCGTGCGTCCCTACGAGGAAAGGGACCCCGCCGCTCGAGCCGCCTCCGCCAGCCCCACTGCGAGGGGTCCCAGAGCCAGCCGCGCCCGCCCTCGCCCCCGGCCCCGCAGCCTTCCCGCCCTGCGCGCCATGAACGCCCCCGAGCGGCAGCCCCAACCCGACGGCGGGGACGCCCCAGGCCACGAGCCTGGGGGCAGCCCCCAAGACGAGCTTGACTTCTCCATCCTCTTCGACTATGAGTATTTGAATCCGAACGAAGGTCGGTGGAGGCTACCCCTGGCCTGGCCCCTGAGCCCGCCAGGGGCTCAGGCCTGGGGACTGGGCACAGGAGTCCTCTTGGCTCCAGCCGTCCCCCTTCCTAAGGGGCCTGGAGGGAGGGTGCCCCTACCCAGGTGCCAGGGAGGGGAGGCGTCAGTGGCCCCTGCCACCCTTAGGGGGCGGTCGGCTCCCTCTTGCCCCTTAGGGGCACCAGTTTCTGGTTGCTCATGACTGCTCCCTGAGGGTCACTCTCAGCAAAACAAAAGGTGGCAGGCAGGTCCCAAGGCTGGGGGGCGGGTGCTGTCTGCTGGCCTCTTGCCTGGGACTGGGCTGTCAAAGGGCAAGGGACATGATTTCTGTGCCTTTGGAGGGAGGAGGTGAGGAAGCGAAGAATGGAGTTAGCAGGGAGGAGTTGCCAAAAAAAGAAGGAAGGGGGGTGCAGCTGAACCCAGTTATCAAGGGTAGGAGGCCGCTCCTTCCCTCCAGGCACTGAAGTGAGGCCACGCAGCTCCCATCACCTCCTGTGAGCAGTGGTTGACGGGGACTTTGTGTTGAAACTGAGGAAGAGGTTGTCTGTCTGATGCTGGAGAGGGTTAAAACCTTTGGTATTATAAGGCCGGCCCATTTCCTCCCTGGGTTCTGCTGCTGAACCCATCACTTACCACTCACAAGAGGATTGGTCTGAGCTATATTAAGTGATCTTCTACGCTTAGTCCTAATGGATGTGGTGGGATGGGGTAGGGTGAGGGGCAGCTGCAGCATGGATTCAGAAGGACACAGGCTCTTTCTGCCTGAACTTTGTCACTCTGTGCCTCCAACTGCCCTCAGTTGCTGGGGGCTGGGGACTTCCCCGGGCTGGGCCCAATGCTTATCTGTCACTTCACGTGTTTAACAGGAGCATTCGTTAGAGGGAGGAGGAGGAGGAGGGGGAAGCGGCCACACGCCCAACCTCACTGTGTATTTCTGGTTAGCAGGTTGTCTTGGAAAAAACAAAAAACCCAACCAGGCTTCCTGATTTTGACAGCCCAGC
Organism: Homo sapiens; assembly: GCF_000001405.40. Lineage (NCBI taxonomy): Eukaryota > Metazoa > Chordata > Mammalia > Primates > Hominidae > Homo > Homo sapiens. The sequence goes on along the minus strand of NC_000020.11, from coordinate 51,541,340 downwards.
CCAGCCCAGCCAATGCTTGTTGAAGGCTCAGTGGCAGGCCTGTTAGTAGCTTCCAGACGCACTCTGGGCTTGCCTCCATCTAGTGTGTAGGAAGGGCTTGTGCTGACTGGCTCGTGGAGGAAGCCTGTCAAGGAGGCTTGGTGGCCTGATGTTTCCCACAAACACTGTGTTAGGCAGATAATGAAGTTTTCGCTTCCATCGGTGTCCTCTCTGGCCACGTTAGGTGAGGGGTTTGCTTTAGCTTTGGGTATCCTCTTCCCTTGGATACCCAGAGATGGTCATTAGTAATAATTTTGTGTCTTGGCTGGAGATGGAAACAATTAGCCAACAGAAGAGACCAGTCTTCTAGAGTTGCAATCTGGAGGACATCTTTTGCTTTGAAAAGATACAATTAAGAATCTGCAAACGATCCGCACTAATATCCGTGGTCTTTCTGTTCATTAAGATTAAAGTCATGTTTTTCAGGGAACGAATACTCACACCCCTCCCAGATTGGTAATCAGCTTTTATTTTCCTTGTCGGGTGGGGTGGGGGGATTTCCGGGGAAATAGTTTCCAAGCCAAATCTGAAGGGAGGTACTTTTTATGGTTTTTCTTGGCAAGTGCTGCTTGGTGGCCACCAGATGGGTATCTAAATGACCACAATGAAAGCCCTGGAATCTGTTTTCTCAAAAAAAAAAAAACAAAAAAAAAACTTCAGTTTTTGGAACAGTTTCAGATTTACAGAAAAGTTGCAAAGATAGCACAGAGAGTTCCCATATACCCAATACCCTGTTTCCCCGTGTTATTAATGTTTTACATTAGTATGGTGCATTTATTGTAACCAACAAACCAATATTGACACATTATTAACTGAGGTTTATGCCTTATTCAGATTGGGAATGTTTTATGTGACCTTCACTGTTTTGAGGAGTGTTGGTTGTATTGTAGACTGTCCCTTCATTAGACTAGGGCTCTAGGTTTTCGGGAGGAAGCCCACAAAGATAAAGCTCCCTTCTCATCACATCGTATCAAGAGTATGTACTATCCAGCCAGGCGTGGTGGCTCACGCCTGTAATCCCAACACTTTGGGAGGCTGAGGCGGGCGGATCACCTGAGGTCAGGAGGTCAAGACCAGCCTGGCCAACATGGTGAAACCCCAACTCTACTAAAAATACACAAATTAGCCAGGCATGGTGGAAGGCACTGTAATTCCAGAAACTCAGGAGGATGACGCAGGAGAATTGCTTGAACCCAGTAGGCAGAAGTTGCAGTGAGGCAGGTGGCACCATTGCACTCCAGCCTGGGTGACAAGAGTGAGACTCTGTCTCAAAAAACAACAACAAAAAGTATACTATCCATGTCATTTATCATTAATGCTAACCTTGATTACCCAGTAGAGGTAGCTTTTCTCAGTTTCTTCAAACTCTTTGGAAGGCATTACTACATGAAGCCCACACTTAAGGAGTACAGAGTAATACTCCAGAATCTGGAAAGCACTTACTCTTTGCTGAGAAGTAGGCAGCACAGAAGAGTTAGCACCCAGAAAGAGAAGGGATGCTGTGGCCGGGAGTGGTGGCTCATGCCTGCAATCCCAACAATTTGGGAAGTCGAGGTGGGAAGATTGCTTGAGTCCAGGGCTTCAAGACCAGCTGGGGCAACATAGCAAGACCTCATCTCTAATAAAAATAAAAAAATAAAACAATTAGCCTAGCCTAGTTGCGCATGCCTGTAGACCCAGCTTCCCAGCTACTCGGAGGCTTAGGTAGGAGAATCTCTTAACCCCAGGAGTTCGAGGCTGCCCTGAGCCGTGATCGTGCCACTGCACTCCAGCCCATGGGACAGTGCGAAACCCTGTCTCAAACCAACAAACCAGACAAAAAAAGAGAAGGGACATGGTAAGCTTTAAGAGGCTAATGTGAACTGCCCCAGATGTGCATCTGGCTCTGGGTCACCCAGATGTTAATAGCAGTCACCTCTCTTTGCTTCTGTATGGTGGGACTCCTCAGGGGTGAACACTAGCCTTAATCTTTTTATTAGGTTTTGTCCCAGATGGCAACATATTGGTGACGCATGTAAAGTTCTATCCTTAACTCTGGGCACGAGCTTGGCAAAAACCAAGGAAGGAAAGGTACTGCTAATGGGGCAGACATTGTTGATAGAATTGGTGAAGGTAAATTAGGGAATTTTGGGGAGGTCGGATGCTCATTTTATGGAGTTTAGCATGTAGCAGACGTTCATTAGCCCATGTGATTCCACTCCAACCCTAGGAGGCAGGCACTATTATCACCCCTGTTTTATGGAGGAGGACGCTAAGGCACAGAGAGGTAAAGTAATTTTCCCAAAATGGGCAGTGTTGCTCCATACCATGTGTTCTGAACTATTGTGTTAGGGTCCTCATTCTCTCATTTGGTGAGAGACACATGCAAACCAGTTAGCAAGGTGTCTGGGACCATGGCAGGGCTGGAATTGAAAACCTTGTTTACCAACAAGGTGATCTTGAGCAAGTCATCTCATCTCTCTGGACATCTGTCTGCTTATCTGTAAAATGGCTGAAATAATACCACTTGCCTCATAGGACCGTTACCTGCCTTGAATAGGTTAACCCATTTAAATCAACACAGCATGTGATCTGTTACTAGTGGTTTAGTAAACCCTTGCTTTTGTTAATGGAGGTGTTCAATTAATATGAGCCATTGTTTATTTACTCATTCAGCTATTGAGCACCCTCTGTGTTAGATCCTAGGGTCACAACGGGGAATGAGACCCAGATCCTGTCCTCTCTGAGCTACTGCCTCTAATTGTGCCTCTGTTGTTTTCTCTTGTCTAATTGCATTAACTAATACCTCCAGTAGAGTGTTACATGATAGTGAAGACAGTGGGCATCCTTGCCTTGGAGGAGGACTCCAGTGTTGGCTTTAAAATTGAGGTGTATGAATTATGTAAAGGAAGTATTAGTTCTTTCTTTTTTCCCCCGAGAGTTTTTATTACAAATGGGAGTTGAATTATATCAAAGGCTTTTTTAGCATCTATGGAAAAATATGATCTTATTCTTCGTAGACCTATTAATGTGTTGGCATACATTATTAGATTTCTTTATATGAAGACATCCTTGGTATGGACTCCACTTGGTGTATTATTTTCTTAAGGTGGTTGTGGCATCAGATAATATTTAAGCATTTTTCAGTATTCATGAGTGATATTCATATTGGCCTATTTTTTGTGCTATCAGGTTTAGGTTTCTTTCCTTTTCTAAGCTCAGGAATAATTTCTGTCTCCCTGGGACTCCCTGGTCTCTAAAGCTGTGATAGAATTCCTCTGTGAAGCCGCCTGGACCTGGTGCTTCTTTGTGGAGTTGTTTCTTGATGGCTTTCTCTATACTGTGGGAATTGGTCTCTTTACACTTTCTACTTCTACTGGAGTCAATTTTTGTAAACTCTATCTTTCTGGGAAATTATCCATTTTATCTGTCTAGGTTTCAAACGTATTCACTAGAGATGTGCAAAGAAGACTCTTAATTTTCTTTCTAGTGGAGGAGACAACCAAGTACACAGTGACAGAAAGACCCGGTGGGCAAGGATGTGGGAGTCCTGATGGGGCCACTGATCCCACCCTGGAAGGGGAAGATGTGCTGGCTGTCAGCAGACAGTTCAGAAGCTGAATTCCCTTATGCATGCTTGTGAATACAATGGACTCTTATTTCTCCCAACTTGTAATACACTGAGAGAGACGGGTGGGTACTGGGAATCCCTGGTCACCTCCAGAGATGCCGGATCTCCAGTTACTGTGTTGGGGACAGATATGTGGGGAGTGCTCACATCTGCTTTGCCTTAACAGTCTGGTGCAGCCCTCCTTCAATTTCTGCTAAGCTAAAGCATTTAATACCAACTTCGGCCTTTCAGAAAGGAAAACTGGTTCCTTCTGATCACTGCTGGTTGTTTTATAGAGTCTATTCCTGTGATCCTTACACTTTTGAGGTCACAGCCCTTTAAAAAGCTGATGAAATCTGCAGATTCTATAGACACACACACGATGCGTGTGCATGCTCCACATGGGCAGCCCTTTCCCCTGGGCACTGCCCCCTCACCACATACCCCCTGCACCCCCCACCCACACATCCCCACCTCCCCTCTCCACTCCCTCTCATATCCCCCCACGTGCTTTTGATGTCATTTCTCAGCACTCACAGACCCTTCTGTGTCCCATTCCCTAATTTTACTGGCACTTCAGTGTAGGAACACCTGCTCTCGACCCATTCACAGGGCACAATTAAAACCCCATTCTTTCAGCAAACACACTGAATGCTGGTTTTGTGCCAGGCCCTGTAGCAGCATAGGGACAAATTAGATATGGTGTCTGGCCTCCCCTGGCCCCCAGGCCAATATGGGTCACAGTCTGGTAAACAAATAGGGACAAATGAGGTGCTGTGATACAGTATCTGTGTGTGTGTGTGTGTGTGTGTGTTTGGTGCTTGCTAAAAATAGTGTTCTACACTAAGCAAGCAGGTTCACTAAACACATGTGACATTCAGAGACATTGCCTTCTGTGTTGAGTTAAAGACAGGCCTTAATAAGCCTGCTTTGGACAAATAACGTCTCCAGGTGCAGCTGGAAAGGTGAAATGAGGGCTAGAACTGAGCATCGGCCTTGCAGGGAGGCAGAGGAAATGAAGTTGCCTCACTCACTCTTCCCTGTGAAACACGTGGCATCTTGGCTTCTAAATTCAAGCCCCTGTGTTCTTTTGGTGGCATAGATTTTGATCAGGAGTAGAGGCTCCTAAAACTTTAAAGCAGTGTTATTCAGGTTGGTTCTCAAGGCTCTCCAGCCATATCAGGTGGCAGGTTAAATACATTTGAAAAATGTAGAATGGGTGGCAAGGGGCTCTCAGTCCTGGCTGCATTAGAAGTTCTCAGGCTGCATCCTGGACCAGTGAGATCAGGTTCTTGGGGGTAAGGTAACTTTGCTGAGAGTTTGCATTGGTAAGTGGCAGGGCAGGCCTTGAACTTGGGCACTGAGCATTCTAGGTCCCTGCCATCAGCACTATATCTCACAGCCAGGATGTGGCCCTGGAGGGCAGCAGGACACCGTATGGAGCTGCTGTCTCTAGCTTTGTCTGATGTGTCTCATGTACGGTGGGATGTGTGCACGTTCACCTCTTATAGTTGATATTTATATAATTAGAAATTGTATCTTGCTACTGTCCTAATGGGATTATACTCATTGGAAAACTCCTGGCTAAGGTAGAAATGAGAAATGACAGGGAGCTCTGCTATTTTTCTGTTTCTTTCTCCATCCCGGTGGATGGTCCTGCCTGCCTCCTGGGCATTTGGATCTAAAGCCCTGCACTTGAATCTTTAATGCTTTTTCCCTCTGTGGAAGAAATATACCAAAGGCAGACTGTAAGCCACATGCAGAGTGGGGAGATTGCTTTTCCTGGGTTGGTATTTGGGACCCTCCCGACCTTGTAATCTGAGGTTTTGGAAAAAGAGCATTTCTTCAGCTGGGTCTGAAGGGAAGAAAGTGGCCAGCAAAGCTCAGGATTTATGAAGGTCCTTATCAAAACAGACCTGCTTGGGCATGCCTGCAAAAGTGAGAATGTTAAATGAGGGGGAAAAAAAACCCCAAGTCTGAAATGCCTGCTAAAGTTATTTTAAAGGTTATGGAAAGGGGCTGTTTACCTGTATAATCCTAAGAAGGTGCGCTGCAGGTCTAAAATCCACAATGGGTGACATCACCTCTGTTGCCATGGAGTAGGGAGGAATGTCTTAATAACCAGGGGGTTGGCAGGGGCCACTGATGAAGTGTGCCCACCCCCAGGAACATGGCACTGAAATGAAAGCTCCTGGGGAAAAGTATAAATAAAGAAGCTGTCAGTCAAGAAGGCATTAATTTTAAATCTCTGACCCCGGCCAAGGGTTACACAGGCCCCACTGTCTTCAAGGGGGAAGTTTCCACTTGGATTTTAGGTTGGCTGAAAGAAAAATGGAAATCAGCCTTTCAGGCTGTGCGAGGGGATGTGGGGATCAGTAAGAGACCAAACTCGCAGAGGTGGCTGGTCGGAGAGAGGGACTGTTTGCTAAGTTGGGCAGAGGATGGAAAGAAGGGATGTTCCCCTGCTCATGTCATCTTCTGCAGGCCTTTGACAGAGTGGGTGGGTTTAGCCCTGGCGAGTCCTGTTGCAGGAGGATTATCTGAAGTCTATTTCTGGGGAACTCTTCTGACCAAATCTTTCCTTCTCCTTTTGGTGAGGAAGCCACTCTGAGGTCTGTTCTCTGTCATGCATTGAACTCTCTTCTGTTAGACGCAGACCTTGCTAAATCACGAGTTTAATCTCAAATGCTTTAAAAACGGAGGGAGTTCAGCAAGGTGATTGGATAAATTGTGGTGGATTTGACAGTGAAATAGTACACAGCAATAAAAAAGAAAGGACTACTGCACACAATGTGGGTGAAGCTCAGACATTCTGCTGAGCCAAATAAGTGAGACATATACATCCTGTATGATTTTATTTATGGGACATTCGAGAACAGTCAAACCCAGCATATGGTGAGAAAAGTCAGGGAGTGGTTCTTCCTGGGCGAGGGTGTCTGGCTTCAGGGGGGCCACAGAGAACCCTCTGGGGGACTTGAAATGTTCGAGTGTGTGTATATATATGCAAAGGCACAAGATGTATGTGAAATATTTGTGCATTTTACTTCATGTAAGTGATGCATATTTTAAAAATTAATGAAGGCCGGGCTCAGTGGCTCAGGCCTCTAATCCCAGCACTGGGAGGCCGAGGTGGGTGGATCACCTAAGGTCAGGAGTTCGAGACCAGCCTGGGCAACATGGTGAAATCCTGTCTCTACTAAAAATACAAAAATTAGCTGGGCATGGTGGCAGGCACCTGTAATTCCAGCTACTAGGGAGGCTGAGGCAGGAGAATTGCTTGAACCCTGGAGGCAGAGGTTGCAGTGAGCTGAGATTGCGCCACTGCACTGTAGCCTGTGCTACAAGAGTGAGACTCTGTCTCAAAAACAAACAAAACTGATGGAATCTGCAGATCTTGTATAGACACACGTGCATGCTACACATGTACAGCCCTTCCCCCTGTGCACTGCCCCTCCCCCTGGCCCCCGCTGCAGCCCCCACCCTGAAATTGAATGCAAGCTTTGCCCTGACTTTTTGTGGTCTTGGGAATTTCCCTGCACCCCAAGCCTCAATTTCCCCATCTCTAACACAGAGGTGTTCGGAGTAGCTATCTCCAGGGGTTTATGTAAACTGCAGAGAGAACAGGGGAGCGTACACGTGAAAGCTTGCGGCACAGTGGACATAAGCTATTAGAATGACTAAAAATAGGAATATCTCTGGAATTCTCCAAGGCAGGAGGGCCCCAGGAAATGGCTTGAAACCAGCAAGAGACAGTTCTTCCCATCCAGATTTGAAGATGGAGATGAGTCCTTATGTGTGCCACATGCCTGGGCCCTGCTGCCCCCATCTAAAAGGTGACCTTGAGGCCTGCGGGTTGCAGATTCCATACATTTCTCCACCCCTATCCAAAAGCAATACGTGTCAGCGCGTGGGTTCGTGTGTTTTTGCAAGCGGTCATGCCAGAGCCAGTCTGCAAGCCTCATTGCTTGTGGATCACCTCAGTCCTGTGTCCTGGGCGCCTGGCCTTGCGGCAGCCTGCCTGGAAGGCACCACTGAGTCCTTCTTTCAGCCCCGTCTGGGGAAGGCAGACAGCTGTCTTAGCTGGGGCAAGGTCAGCAAAGACATCGCCTTCAGGATGACTTTTTCCAGTGGTTCCATGGACGAGACAGGATGGCAAATGTCCTCCCTTTCCTTTTTGGCATTTCTGGACCTGATTTATCCAGATGGAATTTCTCGACTTTCAGGCCTGTGTCTGTATGTGTCACCTCCGAACGAAGGGTGTGACAACCTGACTCTGGTCATTAATACACATGATTCATTGATTGAGAATCTACTTACTGTTAGGTGGTGTATGTGTGTGACTGGGTGGGGCGTGGGCAGCAGTGGTCTGGGGGCTTGTCAGAAAGTTTGCTGAGTGTCAGATTTGTTATTTGGAGGCAACCCATTGCTTTTCAAAGGGGTTCTTTCTCTAGGTTGTGCACACCTGCCGGATGAAGAATCTGTCCACCTTCCTGCTCTGTTTTGGGATTCTTTGTGGCCCCTGATGGGCAGGAAGTTATGAGAGTTGTCGGGGCGAGTGGCAGGAGGCGAGGTTTGCCTCTCTGTCTGCTCCCCTTTCCTCCGGCTACAGATCTGCGGTGCCAGCTGTGGCATCCTAAGTGCTGCCTTGGCGACAGACTGTCATGTCCCAAACCCAGGCCCTGGGACTCACGCCACCTCGGCATCGGGGTGAGCTCATCAAGCCGTGGGTCGGATCAGCTTGGCCAGGGATCAGTGGAGCCCTGTGGCCCTGCTGCCCATCGGAGGGGCATCCAGCCCCCAGGCCAGGCCCTGCTTCTCTCTTCCCAGCCACTCAAGCCTGAAAGCTCCATTTGCCTCTGCCCCTCCCTGTGCCCCCCAAGGACGGCTGCCTCTCAGAGGTTCCCTAGCTGGGTTTCTATTTTGGTCATACGATTCTGCTTCCCGAAAATTCCACCCGCCTGCAGTTCTAGGCAGAGAAGATGTTCTCTTGCTGTTCCTTTTTTCAAAAGTGATCTGTTGGCTGGCGGGTTGGCGCTGAGCGAGCGGCCACCTCAGACTTGGCTGTGTGTCCGTCTGCGAGGGTGAGCAACAGGCTCACAGAGCTTCCAGGGGGAGAGGCGCTGGCGGGGACCACTGTGTGGCCTGAGTGGATTTTTAAAATAATCTTTGACTCAATCCTGGGGCAAAAGGAGAGACTGTGAACATTCCCGAAGAAAGGAATCTGTGTCTTCAGTTGTCAGGGGCAGCCCACCTCCCGAGTGAAATGATGAGGCCCCCAGAGTGATTTCTTTTCCGGGGGGGATCCTTGCTTCCCTGTGTCAGGGTCAGGGTGTCGCCATCCAGGAAATCACCTCTTTCCTGAGATGCAGGATAAAGTAGTGGTTAGGGGGGTGGAGGAGCCAGGTTGCCTGAGAATGAATCTTGGCTCTGCTACTTAGAAGCTGTGTGACCTTGGGCAAATTACTCACCCTCTCTGAGCCTCATTTTCCCCCTATATAAAATGGGGAAACGATATCAGCTGCTTCATAGGGTTCTTGTGAGACAAATATGAACATACACTAGATGCGTACAGTTCTCGATATAAAGTAAGTGGTATAGATGTGCTAGTATTTTGATTATGACAAGCGGCTCACTGACCCACTAACACTTTAGTAAGATTTAGTCGATCCACTGCCAGGTAGCCTGGGAGGAAAAGTACAAAGTGTGGAATGGAGAGGGTGTTGGAAGCACGTTTTACCTCCTCCACACATTTTCTGAAGGTCAGCAGGATCTGAGGTAAAAAGAGAATTCCTAAAGTGCTGACCAACCCATTTTATTTTTATAAAAATGTCTTCCTTTTTTTCGTAATGCTTTCGAAGGGGTTGGGGACTAGTGCGTTCAAGTTGTTGTAAAATAGACTAACTATAGCAGGGAAAGGGCAGAATTGTCACCGAAAAGATTGTTCTTTCAATAATAATCCAGTAGGCCCCATTTACTGGGTATTGATTCTGTGTGTCTTGGGCTTTGCATAGGTTAGGGAAACCGACAGGCTTGTATCATCACCAGTGTCATCACCCCGTGTCACACATGAGGACATGGAGTTTCCCCAAGTCTCACAGCCGGGGGTGGGAGTGGATCTGGAGTCCCCTAACCCCGTGCTACCCTCTGTTGACTGAGACCTGGATCTCAGCGTAGAGCTCTTGCTTGGTGGGGCAAAGAGGAGGGCTGAACTGGCCTCCCCAGCAATCTTGTCCTGTAGTTTTTGGGAGTGGCCAGAGATTTCTCCACATATTCACAGGGCCTACCTATTGGGTAAGCACCCAGGAACTTGATGAAAGGAGGGGTGATAAGAATGAGAACTTTCAGGTGTCTGCCACAGAGATGAGCGTCACCTGCCAGGGCTGAGAGTGAGAAGATGTCTCATTTCTGAATCAGTTCAGGTTGAGGGCGTGAGTCATGAGTTGATGCTTCCAGCAGTCTTTGGGCCTCTGCTGTGCGCAGGCCTCCTGTGCCATGCTGGGGCTCTAAAGCCAGGAGCCGTGGTTCTCAGCTGGGGGCGAGCCTGCCTGGCAGGAGATGTTTGGCGATGCCTGGAGACATTTTTGGTTGCCACAACGGGGAGAGGGACAGGGCAGCTGCTATTGGCATCCAGTGGGTAGGTGGCTGTGAGGATCAAGTAATTTACTACATGTAATGTGCTTATAACAATGCCTAGCATGTAAGTTCTCAATATATTTTAGCTGCTTTTTCTGCATTATAATCATCTTCATAATAATTATTGATGTAAGACTCCTATCTGCCTCTAAGAACCTCAGAGTCTAGAGGGTAGACAGACGAGTGAATCCATAGATAGACTTCAATGTGGGACTCTGTGGGACCTGGGAGTGTAGAAGAGCTGCCTGATCCAGCCTGGGGAAACAGGGAGGGCCTCCAGGAGGGGGTGGCTCAGGTCAAGTCATGATGGATAAATAGTGGCTTGTTAGGAGATGTAAGGTCGGGAGGTATGGAAGGGAGTTCTGGGTAAGGGGAACAGCATGTGCGTGACATGGAGGTACAGAGGCCCTTGAGCAGCAACCTCTGAATCCCCCATCCCTGCTTCTATCTTCTTCCTCCCTTTGGTACTGATGCTTCGTATGCAGGCCAGGTACCTCCCATGGTAGGTGAAATGGATTTTAGGTGGTCCACCAGTGAGGACGTTGTATGTGCTAAGAACTATTTTTCAGCGCTATTTTCTCTTTGAACTAGTCAGAAGGAGTGGAGTTTCAGGCCAGGCATGGTGGCTAATGCCTGTAATCCCAGCACTTTGGCAGGCCGAGGTGGGCAGATCACTTGAGGTCAGGAGTTCGAGACTAGCCTGACCAACATGGTGAAACCCTGTCTCTACTGAAAACACAAAAAAATTAGCCGGGCATGGTAGTGGTCACCTGTAATCCCAGCTACTCAGGAGGCTGAGGCAGGAGAATCGCTTGAACCCGGGAGGCGGAGGTTGCAGTGAGTCGAGATCGCACCACTGTACTCCAGCCTGGCAACAGAGCAAGACTCTGTCTCAAAAAACAAAAAACAAACAAACAAAAAAGGAGTAGCGCTTCAGTGAGGTACTGCTGTACCATTGACACCTTTCTTTCTAACACTGGCTCCTCCCTTTCCCTGTTCCTAGGTCTTGACTTTCTGGGGTCTTGGAAATGTTCCATATTTTGATTATGTTGGTGGTAGCAAGAATGTATGACATTTGGCAAAACTCGTCAAACTCTATACTCAAAACACTGACATCTGTGTATATGAGTTATACCGCAGAAGCATTGGCGGGGGCGGGGCTGTATAAAGCCTCAGACTCAGAGCCTTTGCCCAGCCACTGTGTCTTGCTTGAATTTAGTAAGTTTTATTTTTATTGTATTTTTACCCTACCTTCTATTTATGGAGGTGACATTGATTTTCCATCTGCAGTAGTGGTGTAAAGTTTCCTTTTAAAATAAAAAAAAAATAAGTGAGTGAATTTAAATACTAGAAGTATTAAGTAAATACTTTTTGGTGGCACATGGATAGAGCAAAGATCGTGCAAGTGGTTAAAAAAAAAGCAAGCTTTTTGGAAATCCTCCTGAGAACATTTGGTGGTTCTGAGATGAAACTAACTTCACCCAGTGCCGTGCGGGCATCGTGATGACTGTAAGAAAGCCGCCTGTGAGCGTGGCAGTTGTTTAAGGAGAAATAGTGACGAATCTCAGCCACTGACTTAGAGAAATATTTTAATGATGTGCTATTTGTGAAATTTACTGTCAAATACCCAGGGGACTGAGAATTAAATGATTATTAATTATCTTCATATTCCCTGCTTGCTGGTAAACATTTAAAGTCTTGTCAAGAGGAAAAAAAAAAAACTGCCGCTTGGATTAATGAAAACCAATGTAAATGCTTTAAATACTTTTGCTCAGCACACTGGAGCTTTCTGTTTTTCAGAGCTCCTAGGGAGTGTGAGTGATGTGTGTTTTCAGGACTGCGTTTCTGTGGACTGTGCACATCAGCCCCAAGGGTGTGTTTCTGATAAGATACAGTGCAGTTCTTCTGATACGGCCGGAATTTTTGCTAAGAAACTTTTTGTGTTTTGTTTTTCTGGTTCGAAGGGCAGTGAATTCTCAGAATGTTGTCGGCCATGGGTTTGACATTCCTCTTTTCCTAGATTAAAACTCTGTGCTCTGTTACCTTCTAGGAAGGCGTGTGTGTGTGTATGTGCGAATTCAAATACACATTTACATTAAACTACAGCCTCACAAGAACTCCAGGCCTTACAGATGCTAGCTAGAAAAATCAAAGGATTTCAGAGCCAGAAGCCACCAAGGAAACTGATTCAGTTTAATGCTGTTCAGTTATAAATGAGAAGGTGTTGAGGCCTCCAGTGGGTGGGGGACTTTTCCAAAGTCACGCTGCTACTTAGTGGCGGAGCAGGACTGCACTCTTCATTTCCTGCTTCGTAAAACAGGGTTTCATTACTGTATATCATGCTATGTCACCTACCACCTATGAAATAAAATTAAAAATGTTTCTTTTGGGAGTTACATTTATTTTCTTACACAATTACACAAATCAAAGGAAGTCTCCTTTCTGCCATGCCACTGTCCTCCCATTCCTTAGTTCCCCTCCCTGGAGGATGTCACTATTACTTGTGACTTCCAGAGAAAGCCTGTGCATCCTTCAGCTGTGCGTGTACATCTGTCTGTGTGTGTACATATGTGTGTGTACATCTGTCTGTGCGTGTACATCTGTACATCTGTGTATATATGTGCAGGTGTAATCTGTATACATCTGTGTGTACATCTGTCTGTGTACATTGTGTGTACATCTCTCTGTGTTTGTGTACATCCTCTCACTTTTTATGCTGTGCACACTATACAGCTTGCTTTTCTCTAATACTAAATCTCAGTGGTCATTCCATGTCAATGCATAAAGAACTTCTTCAGGCCTTTTTGTAGCTATACTGTATCCCATCATATGAATGAGCCAGAATTAATTCATCCCCAATAGATGGGCTTTGGGTTGCTTCCAGTCTTTTGGGATTACAGTCAGGGTTGTAGTAATGAATCTTAAGCATACACAGGTCATTTTGCACAGGTGAGAGTATATCTGCAGGAAGAATTTTTTTTTTTTTTTTTTTTTGGGACAGGTTCTCATCCTGTCACCCAAGCTGGGAGGTGGTGGTACGATCATGGCTCACTACAGCCTTGATCCTCCCACCTCAGCTTCTCCAGTGGCTGGGACTACAGGTAGGTGCCACCATGCCCAGCTAATGAAAAAAAAATTTTTGTTTTAGAGATGGGGTCTCTACGTTGCCCAGGCTGGTCTTAAACTCCTGACCTCAAGCAATCTTCCTACCTCTGTCTCCCAAACGGTTGGGATTCCAGGTGTGAGCCACCATGACTGGCCCAGGATGAATTTCTAAAAGTAGCATTGCTTGGTTCCGAGGGCACATGTGGTTCCGGGGGCACGTGTGTTTGGAATTTTCATGGATATTACAAAATGACCCTCTCTAGAGTTATAGCCTTCTATCTTTTGGTTTGGATATTAGCATCTTTGAGTAATAGTTTATTCCAGGTAGACTTTTCTGAACTTGCCTCATTCATTCAGCCAACACATCCTTTCTGAGGGCCTGTTTAGTGGCAGGACCATTCCAAGTGCTTAGGGGCATGGCGGAGCAAGAGTCCTCATGGCATTTGCTGATTGGTGGGGGTGGATCTCGAGGTCGAGGGAAGGGCAGACTGGAGGTCGAGGGAAACGGAGCACTCCACAGTTCCTCAGTCGTTATGGTGAGATGTGCACAGAACACAGCAGGGGCCTGTGAGTGGGGCCTGAGCTAGTCAAGTGGTCAGGGGTCCTTCTAGAAGCATGCAGTACTTAAGCCCAGCTCATGGGCATGAATGGGCTTTAGTCCTGTGGAGAAGGGGGCCTGGCAGTGGGTAGGGGAGGAGCTGTTGAGGCAGGGGGAGCAGCAAGTACCAAGGTCCCGGGGCAGGAAGGAGCTTGATGCTTTTAAAAACTCCCCTTTGCCAGACACGGTTGTTCTCGTCTGTAATCACAACACTTTGGGAGGCTGAGGTGGGAGGATCACTTGAGCTCAGGAGTTGGAGACTAGCCTGGGCAACATAGTGAGACCTCCTGTCTACTAAAAATAAAAAAAAATTAGCTGAGCCCGGTGGTGTGCACTGGTAGTCCCAGCTACTTGGGAGGCTGAGGTGGGAGGATTGCTTGAGCCTGGGAGGTGGAGGCTGCAGTGAGCTATTATTGCGCCACAGCACTTCAACCTGGGCAGCTGAGTAAGACCTCAAAAACAAAACAAAAATCACCACACTCCCCTTTGGCTGGAGTTCAGAGAGAGGGAGGGGAGAGAGTGAATGCAGGCGAGGGTAGATGCACAGGCAGGGCCCAGCCAGGCTGCCTGGCGGGGGTCATTTATTTTTACCTAAGAGCTGTGGGGAGCCATTTTGGAAGTAGGGGTACCATATGGACCCTAAGAGATCAGCTTGGCTAAACTGGACAGTATTTCCTCTAGGATAGCCCAGAAAGGGAACAAGGAGGCTGAGGCTCACTGGGGTGGCCACCTGGGGTCCCCCAAAGCAGGAAGAGGGCTTGTTTCTGGCTGGCAGGCCCCGGACATGGTTCTTATATTTACTTATTCTCTCAGCCACTCGGCAAATGTTTATGGGGGCTTGCAAGTGCCAGGCCCTGTGGTAGGTGCTTGGCAGACAATGCTGGGCCACAGTGACACGGGCCCAACACTGACGGAGCTCTGGGTCGAGTGTGGGGTTGTAAAATTCTCTAAAGGGCCAAGGAGTAAATATTTCAGGCTTTGGGGGCCATTCGGTTCCCAGACTACCAACTCTGCTGTTGTAGTATAGGAGCAAGCTGTAGCTTGCTTTGTTCACCCTGTGTCAATAAATAGGCTGGCTGTGTTGTCATAAAACTATTTACAAACACAACCCATGGGCCGCATTTGGCCCATGGGCTGTGGTTTGCCTGCACCTGGTTTGGCAGAATGAGATTCCCTAAACAGATACCTGGTGCGACGGGAGCTGTTAGCAGGCGTCAGTGGAGAAAAGATGGCAGGGAAAAGGGAAGGAGGGGATCTTTTTGATGGGTCGATCTCAGGAGGTGCGGGCTGAGCAGATGCAGGAAGGAACCAGGGGAAGTGGGAGGATCTCGCGGGGAGGGTTTCCAGGCAGAGGGAACCCAAGGCGTCTGAGGCAGGAGCTGCTTAAGTACGGCGAAGAGGTTGGAGGGGTTGTTGCTGACTCAGCTTGGGGAGAAGTGGGGAGTGGTGGGGGTGGGTGGCAGGCCGGGGCACATGCTGCGTTAGTGACTTTAGGTTCCATCTAAAGTGTCCAGAAGCCTTTATAGTAGGTTTTGAGAATGGACATTTTAAAGGCTGCTGCGTGACAAACAGACTGACAGAGCCACAGAGGAAGTGGGGAGGCCAGGGAGGAGATGACTGCAGTAGTCCCCATGGGAGAGGACGGCGGCTTGGACCAGGGTGGATGCGATGGAATGGGGAGACCTGGGAATCTAGTTTCTGTTCTGACAGTGGAGCAGTCAGGGCTGATGATGGATCAGATGTGAGGCATCAGAGTAAGGAGTCCAGGCCGCCCCATGAGCTGGCGGGGAGGTTGGAGGAGCCTCTGATGAGGTGGGGGGCCTTGGAGGTGGAGTTGCTGTGAGGGGTGGGTGGGTGGCACTAACTCCGTGGGAATTTCCCAAGCAGCCCCACGTGCCTGGACCTGTACAGGATGCAGTGAGGCAGGGTGTCTGCTAGAAGAGGGTCAGGCTGAGAATTAAATGACAGTGTGAGGTGATGGGTGGCAGTGTCCTTGGGTGGCTGACATAGAACATTCTACTTGAACAGCATTCTGCAGCGGTAGGGCCTTTCGAGGTGGCAGCAGGAGCCCGGGCTAGGCAGCCGCTAAAAGAGGAAGTTAGGTCATTTTGCAGTCATTGGTTTTATCTTTATTTTAGTGTATTTTATTTTATTTTTGAGACAGAGTCTCACTCTATCACCCAGGCCGGCATGCAGTGGCACAGTCTTGGCTCATTGAAACCTCCGCCTCCTGGTTTTAAGCGATTCTTGTGCCTCAGCCTCCTGAGTAGCTGGGATTACAGGCCTGTGCCACCACGCCTGGCTAATTTTTGTATTTTTAGTAGAGATGGGGTTTCACCATGTTGGCCGGGCTGGTCTCAAACTCCTGACCGCAAGTGATCTGCCCGCCTCAGCCTCCCGAAGTGCCGGGATTCCAGGTGTGAGCCACCACGCCCGGCCTGCATCCATTGGGTCTAATAGTTTGGGTGTCAGGTAACCTCTGTAGCAGTGACCCTGCCTGTTGGGGGGCAAGTGGCTTGCCTGTGGTATTTTTAAGCCTGCTAATTCCGTATCTTTCGGTGGGCCTTTTCCCCGCTCTGGGCCTCAGTTTCCTCATTTGTAAAATGACACAGATGAGACATGAGTCAGGAGCCCTGGATCTGAATGAAGCCACTTCTTGTACTTGGTGTGAAATCTGGGATTGAAGCCCAGGGCACTGTGGGCTGCAGAGTCTGCGCAGCCTCCCTCTGTGTCCTGCGTCCACGTCATGTGTGTAGAGTGCTGCCATAGGCCCTAGATAGGTGCTTTTCAAACTAGGGGTCATGACCTACCGCGCAGACGGGTTAGGGGATCCGTCTAATGGGTCGTGACCAGCGTTGAAGCAAAATCACTCAGGCAGGAGGGAGGGTCTGAGGGTGTCATGTAGCAGGGGTAAGTATTGACTCGAGAGGCTTTTGTTTCAGTTGTGGGTGTATATGGTGGCGTGAATGGGGTTGTGAGATAAAGTGCACTTCTCCGAAGGGTTTCATTTAAAGCCAAGTTTCGAGGCCCTTAGCCCAGGGGTCTTCCAGAACTCATTCTGCTTCGACCTGTCTTCTCCAGGGACCTGGGACAAAGTGGCCTCAGTTTTCTTCTGGTGAGGGACGGAGCTTCTAGCTTGGGGTTTGGCATGGTGGGAATTTGAAAAAAATAAACGACGTGAGACGAAATCCAGCCTGTGATTGCTCTGCACCGGGAGTTCTGTTTTTGAGGCTTAAAAAGAACCCCCTTCCCCCTTCTCTTTCCAGAAGAGCCGAATGCACATAAGGTCGCCAGCCCACCCTCCGGACCCGCATACCCCGATGATGTCCTGGACTATGGCCTCAAGCCATACAGCCCCCTTGCTAGTCTCTCTGGCGAGCCCCCCGGCCGATTCGGAGAGCCGGATAGGGTAGGGCCGCAGAAGTTTCTGAGCGCGGCCAAGCCAGCAGGGGCCTCGGGCCTGAGCCCTCGGATCGAGATCACTCCGTCCCACGAACTGATCCAGGCAGTGGGGCCCCTCCGCATGAGAGACGCGGGCCTCCTGGTGGAGCAGCCGCCCCTGGCCGGGGTGGCCGCCAGCCCGAGGTTCACCCTGCCCGTGCCCGGCTTCGAGGGCTACCGCGAGCCGCTTTGCTTGAGCCCCGCTAGCAGCGGCTCCTCTGCCAGCTTCATTTCTGACACCTTCTCCCCCTACACCTCGCCCTGCGTCTCGCCCAATAACGGCGGGCCCGACGACCTGTGTCCGCAGTTTCAAAACATCCCTGCTCATTATTCCCCCAGAACCTCGCCAATAATGTCACCTCGAACCAGCCTCGCCGAGGACAGCTGCCTGGGCCGCCACTCGCCCGTGCCCCGTCCGGCCTCCCGCTCCTCATCGCCTGGTGCCAAGCGGAGGCATTCGTGCGCCGAGGCCTTGGTTGCCCTGCCGCCCGGAGCCTCACCCCAGCGCTCCCGGAGCCCCTCGCCGCAGCCCTCATCTCACGTGGCACCCCAGGACCACGGCTCCCCGGCTGGGTACCCCCCTGTGGCTGGCTCTGCCGTGATCATGGATGCCCTGAACAGCCTCGCCACGGACTCGCCTTGTGGGATCCCCCCCAAGATGTGGAAGACCAGCCCTGACCCCTCGCCGGTGTCTGCCGCCCCATCCAAGGCCGGCCTGCCTCGCCACATCTACCCGGCCGTGGAGTTCCTGGGGCCCTGCGAGCAGGGCGAGAGGAGAAACTCGGCTCCAGAATCCATCCTGCTGGTTCCGCCCACTTGGCCCAAGCCGCTGGTGCCTGCCATTCCCATCTGCAGGTGAGCAGGGCTTTGAAAATGATTGATTCTGTGGTTTAGTTTTAAGAGATGGTTTTCTGGTTATGAGCATGGGATTCAGAGTCAGGTTTAAGACTGACTTTAAATGGATTTAAATCTTGGCTTGGCCCCTTGCTGGTTGCGAGACCCTGAGACGGAAGTTAAATTCCCGGGCCAGGTTTTTCTCATCTGTAAAATGGGTATAATTCGTGTACCTGACTCACCAGGTGGCTATGAGGATGCAGTCATGATAAATGTAATTGCTCATATGGCACCTGGTTTATTCAAAAAGTGTTTTTCAAACATCTAGGTGGCAGATTCTGTTACATAAGTAATGGAGAGACAGTGGTGAACTAAACAGGCAAAAATTTCTGCTTTCATGGAGCTGACATTCTGGTAGGCACAAAGCAAGCCTTAATATGTAAAATCTATCTCATTATAAGAGGAAGTGATGTTTGTTAGCATCTGCTGTGTGCCGCAGTTATATGGAGGACCTAAAAAAAAAAAAAAGAAATATGTGAGCCAAGGAGCTTAAAGTCTTGGGAAGCTGAGGAGATGTATGTAGATAGCAGAATAGCACGTAGGCTTTGGAGTCTCTTAAGGCTCGCTTTGAGTCCTGCCTCCGCCACTCACTACCTGAGTGAACACGGGCATCTCTGCTGCTGCCTTTCTGCTGCTGTGCTTGTGAAAGACATTGCTAATCAGTCAGCACCCTCTTTCTCATTGGGCACCTTTATGAAGCCGTGCCTAGCGCAGACATCACTAATCAATCAAGAGCTTCCCCCTCCCCGACCCCCCCGCCCCGCTTTTGTACTGAGCACCTTTGTGGTCTTGGTTTACTCCCTGTGAGAAAATAATAGAACCTACCTTGTGTTTTTTTAAAAAATGGATTAGATGAGATGATATATGTGAATCTCTTAGTATAGAGCCTGTGCAGTGATATCCTGGGATACCAAAATCTGAGGATGCTCAGGTCCCTTATGTAAAATGGTATAGTATTTGCATATAACCTATGCACATCCTCCCATATACATTACATCATCTCTAGATGATCATACCTTAGAATACCTAATACAATGCCTGCACACCACATGGACTCAAAGTAGAAACTGCAGCATGGAAAATTCAAATTTTGCTTTTTGGAACTTTATGGAATTTTTTTTCTGAATGTTTTCAATCTGAGGACACAGAACCCATGGATACAGTGGATGAATTGCACTCTCTATGTATGTTATTTCATTTGATTCTCACAGAAACTTGGTTTGTATTATTTTTTATCTTCATTTTGATGAAATGACAAAGGAGGTACATGAGGGCTAAGGCCAGAGATTATCCTATCTGTTCTCCTACATGAGGAATTGGAAGACTCATGCTATTACCACGATCCCTGTGGTTTTCAGGTTATTTTTTATTTTAGCAAATGGAAGCCTTTTATCCCCAATATTAAATTGAGTCCCCAAATAGGCCGGGTGCGGTGGCTCACGCCTGTAATCCCAGCACTTTGGGAGGCCGAGGTGGGCGAATCACCTGAGGTAGCAAATTCAAGACCAGCCTTGCCAACATGGCGAAACCCCATCTCTATTAAAAATACAAAAAATAGCTGGGTGTGGTGGTGCATGCCTGTAATCCCAGCTACTCGGGAGGCTGAGGCAGGAGAATTACTTGAACCTGGGAGGCGGAGGTTGCAGTGAGCCAAGATCATGCCACTGCACTCTAGCCTTCGTGACAGAGTGAGACTCCACCTCAAAAAAAAAATAAAAATAAAAATTGAGTACCTAAATAGATAAAGGTAGAGCTCTTTTGATTGGTGTGGGGTTGAGGGTGGCCTCGGGCCCTGCCCGCTGGGCCTTGTTCACCCCCATACCAGATGAAAATGGACAGCAGGGAGCATCCAGCCTGGCATTTCCTCCACAGCAGGTTCTGAGAACACCAGGGCTACAGTATGTCAGTTGTTGTATCTTTAAAAAAAGGAGTTTCTGGGTTTAAGAGAGTTAAGTAGGTGCCTGTGTGCAGGCCTTCTCAGAGACTTCAGTGTGGACAGAATATGCGGTGATTTCAAAGGCCATTTGGCTACAGAGTTCTGAGTTTGGTGACTGAAGTTTCACAGGGCTATCTTAGAAAATGCTGCCAGGCACAGTGGCTCATGCCTGTAATCCCAGCACTTTGGAAGGCAGAGGCGGGCGGATCACCTGAGGTCGGAGTTTGAGACCAGCCTGACCGACATGGAGAAACCCTGTCTCTACTAAAAATACAAAATTAGCCGGGTGTGATGTTGCATGCCTGTAATCCCAGCTACTCGGGAGGCTGAGGCAGGAGAATCACTTGAACCCAGGAGGCGGAGGTTGCAGTGAGCTGAGATGGTGCCATTGCACTCCAGTCTGGGCAGCAAGAGTAAAATTGTCTCAAAAAAATAAAAATAAATAATAATAATAATAAATAAAAATAAATAAATAAAAAGGAAACATCCTTTTCTTCTTTTTCCCTTTTTCTTTCCTTCCTGCTTTCCTTCTCTTTTTACCCTTCGTTCACTTTTCCTTCATTCTTTCATGAAATGCAGCCAGGCACTGTGCTAGTCACTGGGGAGACAGGTGCAAACTAGACACACACCCCCGTACCACACGGAAATGGACTGTAAAAAAAAAAAAAAGAAAATCCTGATCAAGACTAACTCCTGGTACAGATTGAGAAATTTGGGCTCAGAGAGGTGAAGTGACAAGCCCCATGATCACCAGCTAGTTAATGACTACATTGAAAATTAGAATCTGGGATTCTTAACTCCTTGTTCTTTGTGCTACGTAGACAGGTCAGTCTCCAAACCATGATTTTATTTAGTGGTTGAGAATAGGGAGGGACACTGCTATAAAATATGATTATGATACATTTATCGGACACTTTGTTTACAAAATCCTTTCCTCTCCATTAGGCAGGTTGATCAGAGAGGTTTTGAGTGTCAGAGTCCTTTAGTTCCTCACAAGTACCAACCTGTGCCAGCCGATGTGGTCTTTGCAAGAATCTTCTATAAAGTTGAGAGGATGGGGCATCAGGGAAGTCTCTTGATAACATTGATCTCAGCTTATACAGGCAACTCAGCAGAGGGCTGGAATTCAAATCAGAATTTCATGCTGGCTCTGATGCTCTACTTCTTTTTTGTTCTTTTTTTTTTTTTTTTAGATGGAGTCTCGCTCTGTCACCCAGGCTAGAATACAGTGGTGCGATCTCAGCTCACTGCAACCTCTGCCTCCTGGGTTCAAGTGATTCTCCTGCTTCAGCCTCCTGAGTAGCTGGGATTACAGGCACCTGCCACCACACCTGGCTTTTTTTTTTTTTTTTTTAGTAGAGATGGGGTTTCACCATGTTGGTCAGGCTGGTCTCAAACTCCTGACCTCGTCATCTGCCTGCATTGGCCTCCCAAAGTGCTAGGATTACAGGTGTGAGCCACCGCACCCGGTCTTTTTTGTGTTGAGATGGAGTCTTGCTCTGTCGCCGAGGCTGGAGTACAGTAGCTGATCTCGGCTCACTGCAACCTCCGCCTCCTGGGTTCAAGTGATTCTCCTGCCTCAGCCTCCCGAGTAGCTGGGACTACAGGCACACACCACTATGCCTGGCTAATTTTTTTTTTTTTTTTGTATTTTTAGTAGAGGCAGGGTTTCACCATGTTGGCCAGACTGGTCTTGATCTCCTGACTTCATGATCCACCCGCTTCAGCCTCCCATAAGTGCTGGGATTACAGGCATGCTCTACTTCTTCAGATTGTATTTCAGCATCAAATACCTACTTCGGAACCAAACAAAAGTATAAATTGATACCTGGGGATATGCCGCTGAATTTTCTTCTCACAAAATTTTTGGTGCTTTAAAGCATATTAATACAGGGCTAAAGTGGTTTTTTAAGGAGTCATAGTTTGTAAACCTTTAAAAACTTTTCACTTGTGTATATGATATGGGTAAAAGTGTTTGACACGTGTGGCTCGTTGGTTGCAGGCAGAAGCTTGAAAGCATGTTGGCACTGTAACTAAGGTAAAATAAAGGCACTTTGGATACCCTAAGACTGCAGAGTGGCCAGGCGCAGTGGCTCACACCTGTAATCCCAGCTGGCCCCGCCACAAAATGTTTAAACTTAGCTAGGCCTGGTTGCATACACCTGTGTTCCCAGCTACTCAGGAGGCTGAAGCAGGAGGATAGTTTGAGCCCAGGAGTTTGAGGCTACAGTGAGCTATGATTGCACCACTGTACTCCAGACTGGATAACAGCAAGAGCCCATATTTTAAAAAAAGAAAAAATTAAAAATATACTTCATGGTTCATGTCATAGCCCTAGAGAGTGAAAAATTTGCAGTAGTCAATAAATGAATGAGTAGTTAAATATTCTTTAAAGTCAACTCTATTTCATTGTAATTTTTGTTTTCTTTTTATCATTGTATCAAACTATATGGAAATCATATGGTTAGATGTGAGTGATTATTTGATAATGTTAGTCCATTTGAATCCATTTTCGATATTTCAAAATTAAAGAATATGAAACTTCAAAAAAAAGGACTGCAGGGTAAGAGGGATTTCAGGAGGCAATGTGGTTGGAAAGAAGGGGAGGAGATTTGCTTGCACAGGGAGGATATGATTATAAGTTGGATGAAATGTTTAAGTTGGACTCTGGCACAGATGAAGTTTATGGAGGTGCTACCCCCTGGGCTCCCCTTGGTACTGCTGTGATAGAGAAGACATAGAATTGGCTTTATTGCAAGTGCTTAACCAAGCCCAGCTGATAGTGTCAGCTCCTAGCAGCCCTGAGCTAACTGGGAAAAAATACTCTGATGAATGATTTCTGCCATATGTGAAAACTCAGGACATGGTGACATAAATCCATAGTGATGCTTTTCAAAATTCCCAGGGGAAAAGAAGGGACAGCAGTTAGAAATATGCTAGAACTAACATAAGCTTCATTAATTGAGAAGTTGCTCACACTGTCTTTATCAAGGTGGAAGAGAAAGCAAAGAGGAAGATCTCTACCCTGTGAACAGTTCTACCTGTCATGTGTAAGAAATATGTGCTGCCTCAGCATTTTGTTCACATACAATCATGCCCCCCATGATCACATTTTGGTTAGTGATGGACCCCATATGTGGGGGTGGTCCCGTAAGATTATAATACTGTTTTGTTTATGTTTTTTTTTTTTTTTGAGACAGTCTCTCTGTTACCCAGGCTAAAGTGCAGTGGCGCAATTTCAGCTGACTGCAACCTCCACCTCCCAAGTTCAAGTGATTCTCATGCCTCAGCCTCCTGAGTAGCTAGAATTACAGGCATGCACCACCAAGCCCAGCTAATTTTTGTATTTTTAGTAGAGACAGGGTTTCGCCATGTTGGCCAGGCTGGTCTCGAACTCCTGGCCTCCAGTGATCTGCCCACCTCAGCCTCCCATAGTGTTGGGATTACAGGCATGAGCCACTGCACCCAGCCTTGTGTTGTTTTTTGGTTTTGTTTTGTTTCTTTTTTTTTTTTGAGACAGGGTCTCACTCTGGTCCCTCAGTCTGGAGTGCAGTGGTGCAATCACAGCTCATTGCAACCTTGACCTCCTGGGCTCAGATGATCTTCCCACCTCAGCGTCCCAGGTAGCTGGGACTATAGGCATGCACCACATTGCTTGGCTGATTTTTTTTGTATTTTTAGTAGAGACAGGGTCTCTCCGTGTTGCCCAGGCTGTCCTCAAATTCTTGGGCTTAAGTGATCCACCCATGTTGTCTTCCCAAAGTGCTGAGATTAAGTCATGAGCCACCACACCCAGCCATAATACTGTATTTTTAGTGTACCTTTTCTGTGTTTAGATAAGTTTAGATACTCAAATAATTCCCATTGTGTTACCATTGCCTACAGTATTCAGTACAGTCACATGCTGTACAGGTTTGTAGCCTAGGAGCCACTATACCATATAGTGTAGGTATGTAGTAGGCTGTGCCATCTTGGTTTGTGTAAGTGCACTCTGATGTTCACATAATGGTGCATTTCCCGGAACGTATCCTCATTGTTGAGCAATACATGACTGTATCCATGATTTTCAGAAAGGGCCGTTTACAATTATTGTACAAGTTGACTAATTTTGGTTTATTGCACACATGGCTGATTTTATTTTCTCCTTTAGCATCCCAGTGACTGCATCCCTCCCTCCACTTGAGTGGCCGCTGTCCAGTCAGTCAGGCTCTTACGAGCTGCGGATCGAGGTGCAGCCCAAGCCACATCACCGGGCCCACTATGAGACAGAAGGCAGCCGAGGGGCTGTCAAAGCTCCAACTGGAGGCCACCCTGTGGTTCAGGTATGGACTTGAATGCTCTTCCTTTTGTGTGTGGTGTTTGTCACTAAGAGATTCACTTCTGCTGACCCACTGTTTGTTGCTTGTTAAGGTGAGGTATGTGTCTCAGCCTCTTACTCCTTTGAGGAATGAGAAATATGAGATTAAATTAGCATTAGAAGCTAATCCAGCTACTCATAAGCCAGAAGAGAAAGTCTTCTTCAGCAGGATAAGGATAGAAATGATATTCATGTGCCCGGATGCTTCTTCCCTTCTCTTTCTGATGGAGAAACTGCTAGAGTTTTGCAGAGGTTTGTGTGTTGACAGAAGGTTTCTGAAACCATCACCTTAAGTTTCAGATGAAGAGTTCATTAAGAAAAAATGGTAATTTTTGTAAAATATAGAAAAGTAAGAAAAATTAAAACTATACATTATCAAACTACCTAAAATAGCTATATTAGTATTTTTATATATTGCCTTTCTTTTTTCTATTCACAAACACGCCAGCCTCTGTTACCATATATTTCTATTCTTAATTCTATAGTGAACATGTAGATTGTACTCTGATTTTTTAAGTTTACATTTTGCCATGAGCATTTCCTTTTGTTTTTTTCTTAATCAGTAGCTTTTTTGTGTGTCTGTGGCTTTTGATTTAACCTCAGATTTTTTTTTCAAAATAAGTAGAGAAGTGTGCCTATTTTTCCCCAAAATAATTGGAGTTGAAATATTCTTAATTGTATAATCTGGTTAACCAGGAACAACTGACTGGTGCCCACTAACAAGTCAATTAACTAGAACCTTTAATACATTTAAATTAATATAACTTTTTTTGGTATTTGCCTTAAAGTAGAAGTATCCTATTAATATGATAAAACTTGGTTCTTAATCTATAGTGTGCATCAGAACCTCTAGGGTGGTTCTTAAAAATTCAGATTGTTGGGCATTCTGAAACTAAATTAGAAACTATATAACATGAGTAAAGCCCAGGTAAACAAACAAACAAATGAAAAACAGCAAACTCCCCAAATCTCCACAGGTGCTTTGGGTGTGTACCTCTGATTAAGGACATCTATGATAATATTAAGAACTTGTAAGTCCTGACAATTGCTTTTTTTTTTTTTTAAATCAGACACCATAGCCATCTTGGAATCTGTTTCTATTCATTGAGTTTTGGTTCTTGACCATGAGTCCCATTTTCCTGTTGTGTTGCCTGTCTAGTAGTTGTCGACTGCATTCTGACATCGTGATGATATATACTGGATGTGGTAGACATTCTGAACTTTCTTTCGTGCTTCATCAGGTGGATCTGTGGAAAGCACAAGGTGTATCTAACTTGATGGGGCTTAGATTTTAAACTGTCTTCTCTGTATTTTATTTGAGGATTGGTTTTAGGCCCCATTAGGGCAGGCCTGGAGTAGCCCTTCCTCTGAGGCATGTGCCTGTTCTGAAGGCATGGCCATTTTGGATGCTTGGTGGGGAGGTCTCTTTAATCTGGTGGGCTGGAATTCCCATATGCCAGCTCCGCTGCACTCTTAGTCTCTCTGTTCTCTCCACCCCATAGCAGCCCCTCTCTGGTAAACCTCGCACCATCTCTCCCTGTGCTTACACAGCCCAGCCCTTGGCCAAAGAGTTGAGGGTTTCCCCCAGCAGCTTCCTCCTCTCTGATGCCACCGATTCCAGCAGTTTCCACAGCCTGGCACTCTGAGCGGTGCCAGGAATCCAGGATTATTTCAGGAATCCTCAGCACAGCGGGACCACTGTGCTCTGCTCAGATGCTACTTCCTGCACGTGGCAGGGGAGCTGTCCCCAGGCAGAGAGCTGAAATGAAGGTGGGCTCACCTGTGCACTTCCTCTCCCTTGGGGACCGCAGTCTTCTGATTCCTGCCGTCCAATCCTGAGAGCAATTGCCTTATGTAATATATATATGTATTTTTTGACAGAGTCTATCACTCTGTCACACAGGCTGGAGTGCAGTGGTGTAATCTTGGCTCACTGCAACCTCTGCCTCCTGGGTTCAGGTGATTCCTCTGCCTCAGCCTCCTGAGTAGCTGGGATTACAGGTGTGCGCCACCATGCCTGGTTAATTTTTGTATTTTTAGTAGAGACAGGGTTTCACTATATTGGTCTGGCTGGTCTTGAACTCTTGATTTCAAGTGATCCACCCACCTCGGCCTCCCAAAGTGCTGGGATTATAGGCGTGAGCCACCGTGCCTGGCCAAGTGCTCTGTTTTATGTGTCCACAGCTCCATGCACCTTTCCTTCATGCTACCTGCCACTACTTGTAATTCTAACATTTGCATAATTATTTTGTCAATGTCTCTCTCTCTTAGACCATGAGCTTTGTTTAAAAGAGACCACAACTTCCTTCTTATTCTTCATTGTATATCACCATCAAGCACAGTTTGCTGCCACAAACATAGCAGGCACTCAACAAATACTTGGAGAATGAATCTGCTCATTAAATGCATTGGCCAAACAATTTTAAGTCTTAAGGAGAGAGAATCTGTATCCATTTCTGGCTTTGTGGCATCTTCATTCACTGATTATTCAAAAGATGTTTATTGAGCACCTACTATGTACCAGGCATGGTGCTTGATTCTGGGTTATGATATGAACAAAACAGCTGGAAATTCTCACCATCATGAGCTTACATTTTGGCAAGATGATAGTAATAATAAACATTTAGAAAACATTTGCTGCCTGTGAGATCCTGTTCCAAGTGCTGCATATGTGTTAACTTATTTAATCCTCAAAAGAGCCTTATGATGCAGGTAACAGGTCAAGTAGCTGTCAAGGACTTGTTCAAGGTTATGGCTATTAAATGGTGGAGCTGGGATTTGGATACCGCAAGCTCTATTTGCAGCACAGTAGATCTGATCATCCACGTCTCTTTGCAGACCAGCTCTTCCTGCCTTCTCACTTGTGCAGAAAAAGCCTGAAGGGGAAATGCCCACGCCTCCTGCGGGCCACTCCATTCCCCCTAGTTTTGCATGCTGTTCCAGTATGAGCCTTGTCATCACCTCATGGGAGCTAAATCCTGATTCTCAGGGAGATGCTGATTGGCCCTGTCTTGGGAGGGTGCCGCCCATTGGTCCAGTAGGCTGTGGCCTGGAGGTTGGGCTGCATGAGGAGTGAGGCTCAGCTCACCCATTCATCAGGGGCTGGGGCCCTGGAAATTTCCAGAGAAGGGAATGGGCTGAGTGTACAGTCCAGGAGACACCTGCTAGGCTGTCCCTGAAGTTTGTGCTTCTCCCTCTGATAGCTCCCAAGGACTCTTGCCTCTTCATGCATGTGACTTTGTTTGTTTGTTTATTTGTTTGCTTATTTTAGAGATAGGATCTTGCTTTGTCACCCAGGCTGGAGTGCAGTGGCATGATCACTGCTCACTGCTGCCTTGAATTTCTGAGCTCAAGTGATCCTCCCACCTCAGCCTCCTGAGTAGTTGGGACTATAGGCGTGTTACCACCATGCCCAGCTAATTTTTTCCTTTTTTGTAGAGACATGGTCTCCCTGCGTTGCTTAGGCTGGTCTTGAACTCCTGGGCTCAAGTGATCCTACCACCTCATCCTCCCAAAGTGTTAGGATTACAGTGTGAGCCACCACAAGTGGCCCAAGTGCCTGTAACTTTGAAGATCCAATATATGATTTAAAAACTTGCAGACAAGTCTCTTTAAAAGACAAAAAGTGGAGTCTTTTTAAAAAGTCATTTGAATAGATTATGTTTTTTCAAAATAAGTCATGCTAATTACTGATTTTTAGCATGGGAAGTCAGTTTAAAAAAAAAAACTTCTTGGAAAAATTGAGAAAAGAGTGGACTTTAAGAGGATTGCTGCTCTTACCCTTCAAGGGAGTGTGAAAACTCCTTCTGGAATCTGCAGCACTGCCCCTTTCATATCCAGAAGAGCAGTGTAGCCTGCTTTGTACCTTGCCTGAATGCTTCCGCCGGCTTCTCTGTTGATTTCTGTCTCACTCTTTATCTCTGTATCTGTTTCTATTTCTGAACCACAGCCTCTTCTCCCCTCTCAGTTACTCAGTCTCCACCCTTCTCTCTTTTATTTGCCTCACTATAGAACTTCATTCTTTTTTCATGCCTAGTGGTTTTAAGCTCCTCTTTATATAAAAAGAAAATGAATATAAGACCATTTCATTTTTTATCCTTAAGTGTACAATTAAAAATCTTAAACATATGCCATGCTCAGCTGTTCTCTTCATTGCTTTTTTTGAATGGTACTTGGTCTTGGGAGAAAGTTTGTTCCCAAACCTTAAGTGCTTGTCAGATCTCATGACTCATTTGTATGGGGAATGTCTCACTGGGGACCTGCCATGTGCCAGGCACTGTGCTGGTTGCAGGTGATACAACGTTGGTGAGATCAGCACAGCTCATGCCCTGAGGGAGCTCAGGGGCTGCGGGAAAGTGGACTAGGATGGTTTGAGTTGGTCAGGGAGGCCTGAGAGGCCAGATGGCGGCCACTTGGAGGGGATCTGTGGGCTGATGCCTGGACTCACGGTGGGACGTGATGGCTGATTAGAAGCTTGTCCATTGGATTCACCGCTTGGGAGGAACTGCTTCTACAGAACAAACCATGACAAGAGATGGTACTTGGAAGACCTACTTTAGAAAGAGTGTCTCGTTGAGGAGGTGACTTGTCAGCTGGGACCTGGAACAGGTCATAGAACCAGCAAAGAGACAAATGATGTCCTCCTCCTCCTCCGTGCTCTCTGTCTCTCTTAGTCGGGGGAGAGTGTTCTACACACAGAGCACAGCACATGCAAAGGCCCTGAGGCAGGGAAGGACTGTGTGTGGCTGAAGAGCTGAAGGAGGGCCAGTGTCATTCAAGTTTAGCTTGCAGGGTGATGGTTGGCAGGCCCAAACTGTGCAGGGCTTAAAAGCCAAGGTGAGGAGATGAAATTTTGCTTATTCCAGGGCAAGGGGAAGACATGATACGTTTTGAGTAGAGGAGGAACTTGATTCTGATTTAACATTTTATAGATCACTCAGGTTTCTCCCTGGGGACTAGATTAGAAGAAGTTACGGAAGAAGCAGGGAGATGAGATTGTTAGCCTGTGGCAGTACCAGGGGAAAGATCAAGGTGGTAAGGACTAGAAGGTGGCAGTGGGAGCGGAAGCTATGGACTCTATAATGTGATCTTCAGGACTTAGGTATGGGAGGTAAAGGAGCAACTGAGTGGATGGTTCGGTTGGATGGATGGCGGAGAAGGACTTGGGAAAGAAAGTGTTTTCTTGGGGGAAGATTGCAAGTTCTCTTTGGGGCATAGAAGGTACAAAGGGCTTCCAAGGCACACGAGCAAAGATGTCAAGTAAACAGTTGGATATATGAGCTTGGAGCTCAGAAGCAAAGTCCTCAACTTGCTCTCAGGCCTGTGGGATGCCTCGGGGCCACACGCTGCATCACCAGAGGCCCCAGCAAGCACCCACTTGCAAGGACTGACTGTCCACACCCTCAGTAACAATGCGCCTCTCTCTAGAAGCAGTGGACTAAGGAAGAAGCAAAGAAGAGACTGTATAAACAAGATCACAAACAGACAAGCCCAGGAGGGCCAGGCAATGAAAGGAAATGACTGAACTGACCAAATGTCAGGGAGCAACAGGGGGTGGTGGGGAGTAGGGCAGAGCGGCATGTGAGTCTTGCCTCAGGAGGCAGTTGCTGTTCAGTCCCTATAGGCTGTGACATGTGGGAATGTGGGTGGAATGTTGCCAGGTTTTATAGGTTTTGTTTTTTCTTCTTTCCCAAGAGCTAGGAGTTGGAATTTTTATGTGAAATTTCTGATTTTTCAGTTTTGGCCATAAATCAAACTTTGGGTTGAATTTGGCTCATGGCAAATATGCTTCAGTTCACATCATCTGGAATAAATAAGAATGGTGCTACTTCAAGGTTTATCAAATAGGAAGGGAGATAAGAGAGAGGTTATATTTATATGATTTCTAAGAATTGTCTAGTTACAGAACGAACCCTGTTAACAGCCGGATCGAGGTAGTTTCTCTTATAAAACCCTAAATCTCAGGTGAGTGTGGTGGCTCACACCTGTAATCCCAGCTACTTGGGAGGCTGAGGCAAGAGGATTGCTTGAGCTCAGGAGTTCAGGGCGGCAGTCCGCTGTGATCGTGCCACTGCACTCCAGCCTGGGTGACAGAGTGAGACCATGTCTCTAAAAAAACAAACAAATAAATAAAAAAGTTCTAAATCTTATTGAAGTAGAACAAGTCTAGGGTTCTTTCAGAGGAACCAATGAATCTTAATGCACAAGCCTGACTTTGGTCTGCAGGTATCAGATGAAAAGGGGAACCACTTGATTCATCTCAAAAGAGCCACACGCTTTTGGTGGAGCCCTGCCATCATTCCTCGCCCTGTTTCAGGACAGGATGCAGTGGTCCTCCGGTGGACAAAACATCCATTCAGAGCGGTTTTGCAAGGTTGGGCTTTAAGTGTTTCCATAGTTCTTCAGCTTATGAGGTCTAATAATATCCCAGTTGAGAGTGGCCTGTATAACGCCATTGTCATTTAATCCTTTCCTGGCGGCTTCCAAACCCTTTAACCATATTCTGCACAGAAATTCCCTGGAGGGGATACTTTGGTATATTCCTTATCCATCCTTGTGCTGGGGCTTTCAAAAAATGTTATTCTTACAACTCTCTGGGATGCATGTTTAATGGAAAGAATAATCAGAACGCCATCCTTTTAGGGAGTGATCAAAATATGAGAACGTGGAAGCGTCGCACTCACCTCCAAAGAGTCCTCTTGGTTCTTTCAAGCAGATGTTCAGACATGTGGAAAAAACATGGGTAGCTCTGTTACGAGGAATTCCTTGCAGATGCGGAAACCCGATGGCCATTTCATTCCCGGTAACAGTAATGAGCTTTGCAGGGAGGTGAGTGAGGGCCTGAGGCCCACCTGTCCAGGCTACTGCCTCCTGGGCTGGAGGAGCTGGTAAAGTCTCCAGTCTTTCAAAACCTCATAAAATGGATTATGGGACGTGGATGCTCATTCTGTTGGATTTCAGCTTTTATGCTAACTGCAACTTACTTGAAATGATATCTAAGGAAGGGAAGAAGCAAGCCAGATGGGATTTTTTCCTTTCCAGGTGAAAGCTGCACTCGTGACAGTAAGCAGTGCTCCTTTAGCAGTTGGCTGGGTGTGTTAGCTTCTATTTGTCTAATAAAATTTTGTGTTTGGGGACGTGAGACAGGAAGTAGTTCTTGCTGATGCTAATTTGTCTTGATCAGGGCTGCTGTGTTGGCATCTACAGAAGGTTCCATTGGACCTCCTGGGGAGGGGAAGGGAAAGAGGTGGTGGCCGGGTCACTCAGGCTTCCAAAAAATTGGAGGAGGAGAATGTTCTGAGATCACTGGGGTTCATTTGCTCATTTATTAAAAATACTTACCAAGCACCTACTGTGTGCTTGGCACTGGGAATATGGCAGTGAACCACAGGCAAAAATCCCTGGCCCTGTGGAGCTGATGTGCTGGCTAGGGGGAGATAGCAATATAGCTTATAAATAGGAAAATTTTAAATAGTATGTTAAATAGGAAAATGAAATAGTATGTTGGGAGGTGATAAGTCCTATGGGGAAAACTATCAGGCCAAGGAGAATTGGGAGTGGTTTGATGGATCTCCCTGGGAAAGCCACATTTGGGCAAAGAAGGAGGTGCCCACGTGGAAGCTGCAGGGACCTCTCCAGGCTGAGGAGAGAGCAGGGCTGAGTTGGGTGACATCTTGAACAGAGAGGAGGCCTGTGTGGGAAGGGCAGGGGAAGGGGAAGGATAGGGGGGCGGATCGTGGGCCTCGCACATGTTTAGTTAGAGGACTTGGACTCTGAGCGAGGCGGGAGCTGGGAGGGCCTGGCTTGACGTAGGTGTCAGCAGGATCCCTCTGCTGGGGTGTGGACAGGGAGAAGCTGCTGCAGAGGCCCAGGCCAGAGGGGATGGTGGCTGGACCAGGGTGGGGGCATGGGGGAGCAGGAGAAGGGGTTAGAGTCAGAGCATGTTTTGAAAGTCAGGCTAACTGGATTTTTTTGAGACTGGCTGCAAGAGGGGTGGCATCTGTCTGTCTGGGGCTGTAGCCTTGGGAAAGGCCAGAGTCTCTAGGGACCCTGTTCATCCCTGCCGAGACTCCTGCTATTTTTAGAGGGAAAGCATCTTTTAGAGGTGACTTGATGTAGCCTTTTCACTTCAAGATGGAGGCGGGGATGGGGTGGGGAGTAGCAGAGCGGGGTGTGTGATGTGGGGGTTCTGAGGCCGACTTTTGAGGAGCCATCCTCACCACCTCCTCCTTGTCTATACCAGTCTTTTGATGAGACTGGTGATTTCATTAAAATTTGAAAAAGACTACAGTCCAAACCAGGTACACCCGTGGGCCAGTTGTGGCACTGCTCTCTGCCCCGCCGCACGTGTCCCCGGCTGAGGGATGCCCGCAGTGGTCGAGGATGGACTTGTGAAACGATTGAGACCTGCACCCTGGCCTCCGAGGTGAGAGGTGGAGAGAGGGGGAGGGTGCGCCAGGGTCGGGGCTGGCGCAGGCAGAGAGGTGGCGTGGTGAGACCGGCCCGCCTGCTAACTCATCTTCTAACTGAAGACACGGAGGTTCACTGAGGGGTGCTTTCAGCCCACAGTAGAAGGGAGATTGTCAGGAATGAGCCTCAGTAAAGTGTTGTCCCCAGACATAGGCAGAAAACAGAAGGCTTCCAGAATCTTGGAGAAATAGCTGTTGCCAAAAGGGAGATTAAGTCTGAAACTTGCAGTATTTCTGGCAACCAAGAGGAACAATATAGAAGAAACTTTATTTGTGTCACAAATAAATGTTGGGGCCCTCGTGTGTGCTGGGCAGGGTGGCATAATGGCTGGAGCTACACTTCACCATGTGCTTTCTTTAGAGTGACCTAGTTAGTCTTTGCAGCGATGCCATAGAGTGTAGGTGGTAGGATTACTATGCTCATTTTACAGGCAAGGAAACTGGGACACAGTTCGGGTAAGCAGCTTGCCAGGGGTCACCCCCAGCCAGCGCGCGATGCTGCTTGATTGGGGCATAGGACGTCTGCAGCCACAGCCCATGTTGTTGACCACTGGCCCATGCTGCCTCTTGGAAGTAGACGAAGCGGGTGGTTCGAAGTGAGGCAGCTCTAGGGTTTGGTAGCTTTGGGACTCTGGGAGACTCACTGGGCAGTAGTTTCTTCAATGATAAAGTGATGTAGACTTACGTCTGTCAGGCTATTTGTTTTGTGTTTGTTGAGCATAGTTAGGATGCTAAACAAAAGTTCCAGTGTGATCTTTGGCACAGAGAAGGCATTTCATCTGTTGTTCTTTCGTTGAGAGAGAAGGCCATCTAGACATAGATCACTTTTGAGCTCTACGAGCCTTAGATTCCTGAGCCTGTTCCAGCTTTTTCTGGTTGAATTAACCACGTCTGAGACCAGGCTATGATACGGAGGGGGCTCTGAGAGTTCTGAGAGTTGTTTATTTACACGCTGTTTGTTACAGACATGATCTTAGCTCATCCTTGCAACCACATGGTGAGTCGGGGCTGCTATTATTCCTGTTCGACGAGGGGTGAGAGGCACAGGGAAGTGAAGCTCACATACCTAAAGTCAGGCAGCTGGTCAGCAATGAAGCCCTGGCCTTGGCTTTGAACTTCTGGGTTCTTATCTTTCACTCACCCACTCACTCATTCATCCACCTGCTGGCAGCAGCATCACGCCCCAGGCATGGGGTACAATGAGCACATGGGCTGAGCCCAGACGCCTGTGGAGCGCTCCAGCCGGGGCTGGATGTGAGAGTGAGATGGGACAGGCTTTAGAAAGGGTCCTCTGCGGCAGCTCAGCGCAGTGCCTGGCTGGCCATGTGACCTGAGTCCTGGACCTAGGGTCAGGCATTCAGGTTCTGCCCTTGCCTCCGCCCTCGCCACTGAGGGACCTTAGGTGAAGCTGATTTTCTCTGATTATATGGGAAAGGAGACATCTGCTTTAGGTGGGTTTCTAAGCACCTGTCAGCTGCAACATGCCACAAGAGGGGACCATGACCACACCTGGGACCACTTCGCAGGCCCCCGAGCCATCTCGCTGCAACCCGTCCGCAGGCCGAGGCTGATGTTCATAGGAGTGTCCGTGTCACCAGCTGGCCCTGCTGCCCTTCTGGTACCCTGTGGGTTTAGTGGGTGTGGAGGCCAAGACCTCTTTATTGAACATTGAGCATTTTCTAATTTAGTCCCATGAATGAGACTCCTAACGGCCTCGGAAGGCACTAGCTCCGTTGACAATAAAGTCATGAACTGGAGCATGTGGGGAGGTGGGGCTGGGTGGGTGGGGAGGAACACGGGGAGGTGATGGCTTCTCACGGGGCTCTGTTTCCTCTGGATCCTGGGAGACATTGCGAATGTCAAAGTCATTCATTCTGAACCTCCTAGAAGACTATGGGCCGACTCTAGCAATAGTCATGCATGTTTACTGAGCACTTACTATCTGACAAGCACATGATGTGGAATGGCTCAATGGCTTGGGCAGGCATGCAGCCTCTGCTCTGTGAATGAGGAAACCAAGGCTCAGAGGCATTGAGCCTCACCTTCCCCAACGAGCACCTCATCGCCAGTGATGAGCAGGCTGACCCTGGCCGAGCTTTTCCTGTGTGCCTGCTTGGAGAGATAGTGGCGCTGCCATTAACCCCATTTACAGCTGAGGAAACTGAGGCTCGGAGAAGCTGAGTGGCTTTTTCAAGGTTGCATTGCTCTTCAGGAGGCTGAGACGAATGCCTGCCTCCCAGGGTCATTGCAAAGGTTAAATGGGTATTAAATTGGTGAGGTGCCAAAACAGGGCCCTGCCTGCGATGAGAGCTCAAGATATGCTCATTGTTTTTCTTATTAATTTGTCCTCTGAACCATCGTGTTAGGATTTTAAAAAGGAGCATTTGTTCTCATGTGGAGGCTTTAGTTTCATGCCGCGACCTCTGAGCTGGCATGGGTGTGAGTTAGGGGCAGACGGTGTGGAGGGCGTTCCCTCTCACCATTTCTTATGTGTTCTGTGCGCAGCTCTTGTCCTCAAACGATGCCACGACAACGACACCCAGCCTGCAGCCTGGGAAACTGATACTCTTGAGGTCAAAGGACTTCCTCAAGGCCAAGCATCTGGGATGTGGGAGAGCTGAACGTAAAAGCATTCTGTTGGGCACTTTGGCCAAGCCATTTCCATTGCACGGTGTGGTTCTCAAGTCCACAGCTTAGCGGGGGCCTATTCTGAATACTGGCACAGGTTCGAAAAATTTCATTCGTATGCATGTGTATATGTATACACAGAGACACATACAAATACACATATAAATTATATATATTCATATATATATATATACACACACCTACACATATATATACAATGTGTATGTACACCGATATGTATTTGTGTGTCTGTGCCCCTGTATTTTTATTCAATTATTTTACTTTATTTTTAGCTCTTTAATGTGTATTCATTTTTTTAAAAGTACAGGAAATGGCCAGACGTGGTGGCTCACGCCTGTAATCCCAGCACTTTGGGAGGCCGAGGTGGGCAGATCACAAGGTCAAGAGATCGAGTGAGACCATCCTGGCTAACACAGTGAAACCCTGTCTCTACTAAAAAAATACAAAAAAATTAGCCAGGCATGGTGGCGGGCGCATGTAGTCCCAGCTACTCGGGAGGCTGAGGCAGGATAATGGTGTGAACCCGGGAGGTGGAGCTTGCAGTGAGCTGAGACCGCACCACTGCACTCCAGCCTGGGTGACAGAGCGAGACTCCGTCTCAAAAAAAAAAAAAAAAAAAAAAAAAAAAAAAAGGAACTAGATAGCACTCTTCATGACCTGGAGTGAACTACTCTTATTGCTGGTGTATTTCTTTTTAGTCTTTTTTTTCCCCTGCGCCTGCACACTTGAGCTCACAAAACTCAGCTCCTGCTGTTCTCACATATTTGAGTCTATATCAGGTTATTTTGAAGACTGCAGGGGAGGTGACAGCATTTACTGAGTAAGTTTAAGTGCATTCCATGCATAAATGGATGTAATCCTCCTAATATTTCTAGGCAGTACTTGAGACACAGAGAGGCTGTGCAACTTGTCTAAGGTTACACAGGAATTGGGGGAACCACGAACTAAACCTAGGTAGTCCAGCTCAAAAGCCCACGCTCTTAACTGCTTAGGCCACAAAGAAGAAATGGAAATCATTTTGTTTGTTTGTTTTTGTCTATTTCAATAGGTTTTTGAGGAACAGGTGGTGTTTGGTTGCATGAATAAGTTCCTTAGTGGTGAAGAAATGGAAATCTTTAACGACCTTGAGATAATTTTCCAGGTTGCTCCTGGGGGCTCTCATTGTTGCTCTAGCATTTTGAAAAATTCAGGAAACAGGCCAGGTACTTTGAGTCATGCCTATGATCCCAGCACTTTGGGAGGCCGAGGCTGGTGGATCACTTGAGGCCGGGAGTTCAAGACTGGCCTGGCCAACATGATGAAACCCCGGCTCTACTGAAAATACAAAAATTCCTGTAATCCCAGCACTTTGGGAGGCTGAGGCGGGCAGATCACCTGAGGTCAGGAGTTCGAGACCAGCCTGACCAACATGGAGAAACCCCATCTCTACTAAAAATACAAAATTAGCTGGGTGTGGTGGTGCATGCCTGTAATCCTAGCTACTCAGGAGGCTGAGGCAGGAGAATCGCTTGAACCCGGGAGGCGGAGGTTGCAGTGAGCCAATATTGCGCCATTGCACTCCAGCCTGGGCAACAGGAGCAAGACTCCATCTCAAAACAAGCAAACAAAAAAACCCCAAAAATTAGCTGGATGTGGTGGTGCATGCTTGTAATCCCAGCTACTCAGCAGGCTGAGGCAGGAGAATTGCTTGGACCCGAGAGGCAGAGGCTGCAGTGAGCCAAGATTGCACCACTGCACTCCAGCCTGGGTGACAGAGCAAGACTCTGTCTCAAACATTCAGGAAATAAATCCAGGCTGGTCAAGCATCAAGTGAGATTGTTTCTTCATCAGGTTGTTCAGGCTTTTGTCATCCATTGGTATCTACCCTGCCCCAGCCTCCTCTCCCTGTGTTTGGCTACAGCAGCCTGAAGGCCCCTCCCAGGCAGAGGTAGAACAACAGTGGCTCATGGGGCAGGTGCAGCCTCGCTGTGGGCTGCTGTTGACACCCCCAAGCATGTCCTCCTGTGAGTGGCCTGACCCAGGGCAGCTGGGCCCAGAAGCATCTGAGAGTAGAACCTGGGGAGCCTAGTGGCCTGAGCCTGGGCCCTCCGATGCCCGCCTCCTCCAGGAGGATGAGCTCCCAGTGCAAATGGTGGTACATTGAGATGGTCATGGGACCTACCTGACCCTTGCCCTCCAGCCTGAGTTGTTCTCACCATACTAGTGGCATGACTGTGAGCAAGGATAATTTGACCTTCTGGGGCTTCAATTTGCCGAAGAAGCAAATTGGAGAGAATGTTACTTGTCTTTTAGGATTTTTACAGGAGTCAATGAGAACGTGTGTAAAACACCACTTAGCACAGTGCCAAGTGCAAACTGCTCTAGTTTCTTTCATAAATTGATTTTGGGGAAATGCATTCACATGGTGCACAATTTGAAAGGTATTAATACAAGCTGTGTACAGGGCAAGGTCTTCCCTCATACCTAGGTGGCCACCTCGTCTTCCTAAGCCCCAGTGCCATTGGTTCTCTGGACATCCCGCCAGAGATAGTCTGTGTTTGTGCTTGAGGTTGTATTCGTGGTCTTTGTTGCCGTCATTATCAGAATTATAATGTATGAAGGATTTGGCATACTGCTCAGCACATTTTACCTTCCTAATAAATGATCAAGAC
Source organism: Homo sapiens (assembly GCF_000001405.40). Classification (NCBI taxonomy): domain Eukaryota; kingdom Metazoa; phylum Chordata; class Mammalia; order Primates; family Hominidae; genus Homo; species Homo sapiens. The sequence goes on along the minus strand of NC_000020.11, from coordinate 51,502,980 downwards.
AGTTATTACTGCTCAACTTAGGAAGCCATTGCATTTTCATTTTTCTGAATAAGAAGTGAAGCTGAATTGATCCTCTTGACATCATTTATTTAACCAAGTAGGCTCTTCCCATGAAACTGAGGTTTCTACTAAGTGAATCCCATGTTCCTATTTGACATTTATTGTAAAACTGTAAATGCTGTCCTAGGAATAGTTTTTGGAACCTGTATCAGGTGAATATTGATTAAACCTTGCCTTTGCTTGAACCCTGGCTTAGTGACATAAAATAAACCCTCAGGACACACTTGCCTTGTCATGTATCTATCCGTCTCTCCTTCCTCTATCCATCAGAAAATGATACAGCAGGGCCAGGCATGGTGGCTCATGCCTGTAATCCTAGTACTTTGGGAGGCTGAGGCACAAAGATCACTTGAGGCCAGGAGTTCGAGACAAGCTTGGGCAACATTACCAGACCCTTGTCTCTACCAAAAAAAACACAAAAACAAAAAATTAGCTGGGCGCAGTGGAACATGCCTGTAGTCTTGGCTAGTTGGGAGGTTACAGTAGAAGGATTCCTTGAACCTGGAGATGGAGGCTGCAGTGAGCTGTGATCATGCTACCACACTCCAGCCTGGGCAACAGAGTGAGATCCTGTCTCAAAACAAACCCCAAACAGTAAAGATAAAACCTGATTAGTAGATAGTTTAGCAAGGGCATGGTGCCATGGTCAAAATGCAGCAATAAAAGTGTTGAGTGGGATTATGAGTGGTTTTCCTCTTATCTTGTATTTATTCAACAAACATTGGGCTTCTACCACATACCAGGCATTGTGTTAGATGCTGCCTGCTCAGTTTGGTCCATGGATTGGTGGCCTGGATATCCTCTGGGAGCTCATGAAGAATGCAGAATCTCAGGCCCTGCTGCAACTTAATCTGTGTGCACATTCGAGTTTGAGACACATTATTCCAGAAAAAGAGTCGTCAAACTATGCCAGCCAAATTCGGCGCATCACCTGCTTTTTGAAATAAGGTTTTATTGATACACAGCCACACCTACGTATTTGCATATTGTCTCTGGTTGCTTTTGTACCACTGCAGCAGAGGTGAGTACTTGCAACAGAGACTGTATGTGTGGCCTGCAGAGCCTAAAATGTTTCCTATCTTGTCCTTTACAGAAAAAGTTTGCTGACTGGAGATGGAGATAGAGTAATGAACAGAATAGATAAAATCCCGAGCTCTCGTGGAGGTGGGCTTCTGGTGGAGGGAGACCTATAACAAATCAGTAATTCCACAATCTGTCAGGTTGTAAAAAAGCTATAAGAAGAAAAATAAGGCAGGAATGGGGGATGGAAAGTGACTGGGAAGTGGTGAGGATGCTATTTAGGGAAGAACTTCCTGAAGGGGTGCCGTTTGAATGGAATTTTGAGTGCAGTGAGGGAATAAGCTGTGTTGCTATCTTGGGAGCCAGCGTGGTAGGAAAGGGAGCAGCCAGTGCTGAAGCCCTGAGGCAGAAGCTTGCTTGGTGTCCACCTTGAGCATCAGTACAGAGGTTGGAGCCAGCTGAGTCTGATTCAGGAGTTAAGTGTTGATGGTGAATGAGGTTTTTGGTTTCCATGTCAGCTTCCCTGTGGCATTTCAGTGCCTTTTATAAGACCATGGAATGTAGATAGAGGTCCCCAACTCATAACCCAGGGAAATCTTCTGTGTGTCACTGGATACAGTTGCACAGGCTGTGCATGGCACAACAGCTGTGTGTATCATGAGGGTGCCATTCACATTTGCAGGTTTATTAAGACAGTGTTCTGACGCATACCTGCCAAAGGTATAGAGGAAGTGTTGTCTGCTGTGAAGCTGCATGAAAGTGCCAGACAAGCCAGCAGTGAGTGGCCCTGGTGGTATAATGGTTTAAGAGAGAAAAACCATCTGTGTTTGAGTGTCTTTAGGTTGGGAACTTGGTTCCTCAGTCTTTGCACTGGTTGCCAGCTCATTTTCATTACTTGCCTGGCCCCTTAAGGTGTTTGTGTTGAACTCTGATAGCAAGAAAGGTGTTTCTGCTAGTCTAAAACACTTCCCACTCCATTCTTTTCCTTTCTTTTGGATGGAGCTTTTGTTGGTTCCTCCTTCTCACCCTCTGACTGACCAGACTGCCTGGGAGGGTGAGGGTGGGGGTGGGGGTGAGGGTGGTGAGTGTGGGGGTAGAGGTGCGGGGTGGTGAGTGTGAAGGTGGAGGTGGGGTGGTGGTGAGGGTGGGGGTGGTGGGGGTTGGTGAGGGTGAGGGCGAGGGTAGAGGTGCGGGGTGGTGAGTGTGGAGGTGGGAGTGGGGTGGTGGTGAGGGTGGGGGTGGAGGGGGGGGTGGTGAGGGTGAGGGTGGAGGGGTGGGAGCATTCTTGGCTTCCTCTTCTGCCTGAGCCTCGCTGTGCAACCTCAGCCCACATACTTCTCACTGAGCTGTAGGAGCCTCTGCCCTAAAACGAGTGGGTAGGGCTCTGTAAGTTCCCTCCTACCTCTAAACTTACTTAATTCTATGACTCAGAGTAATAGGTATCACCCAAGTAGAAGTGCCTATGTTTAGTTTTGTTCACTTTGAGGTGGGAGTTCCAACTTCTCTTCAACTTGGGTTGCCTTAACTTGCAACTCCAGGGTTGATTCATTCAGGGACTTGAAGCTGTTAAGCTGTCATTTTTTCTATTAAAAATTTTTTTTAAAGAGTTTGGGGATAATTGAGCTAGAAGGAGACTTAGAAATCATCTAGTTGGATGACTGGTGTGTCTGATTCATGTATCATTTTACTGAGGGTTTCAGCTACCATTTTACTGAGGGCTCTGGTTATCATTTTATTGAGGGATTCCTACGTGCCAGACCTTTTGCTAAACTAAAGTTGTCTCATTCAATCTCATACTGAGTACTTGAGGGTAGGTACTGTCATGATCAGTTTTCAGGTGGCCAAATAGAGGTTCAGAGAGATTATATGAAATTTTAATATAAAGATAATACAGCAACTAAATTGGCAGAGCCACGACTCAGATCATTAAAGGCAGAGGTTAGAAAAGTATTACTTATTGAGCATGTACAATAGGCCAGACATTAAGAGAAGACTTGCATTAACCATTGTAACCCCATGAATTGGGTTCTACTATCTTACAAATGAAAAAACTGAGCCCCAGAGAAATGTGACTTGCCTGAGGTAAAGCTTTTACAGGTAGGAAGCAGAAGTGTTTTAGATTTCTTTTTCTTTCTTTCTTTCTTTCTTTTTTTTTTTTTAAGATGGAGTCTTGCTCTGTCATCCAGGCTGGAGTGCAGTGGTGCGATCTCGGCTCACTGCAACATCTGCCTCCGGATTCAAGCGATTCTCCTGCCTCAGCCTCCAAAGCAGCTGGTATTAGCCACCACGCCTGGCTAATTTTTGTATTTTTGGTAGAGACGGGTTTCATCATGTTGGTCAGGCTGATCTTGAACTCCTGGCCTCAAGTGATCCACCCACCTTGGCTTCCGAAAATGCTGGGATTATAGGCATGAGCCACCGTGCCCGGCCGCGTTTTAGATTTTGAATCTCTTTCTCTTTCTCATCTGCTTCTCTTTGCCTTGTGATCTTTTATGGGCATCCAGTTGGCCTGTTGGCCTTCCTCACAGTTCTGTGCATCTGTGTGGGAGCTGGGCTCGGGGTAGGGTGCTCAACCATTTCTTACCTCCTCCCCTCTGTCACCTGGGGCCAAGCTAGCATCATCTCTTGTCTGGGTGACAGCCTCCTAACTGGTTTCCCTGCCTCCACTTGCACCCTTCATTCATCTGCTCCCCACACAGCTGCCAGAGGATCTGTTCAGAGTGTACCTTGGTCTACACCACCCCCATTCTGAGCCCTCCTGTGTCTCCCCTCCCGGAGTATAGATGCAGAGTAGCCTTGTGCTCCTCACCGTGGACCAGGCCGTGTCACCCGGTCCCTGCCTGCCTCTCTTCCTCACTCACTCACTCCCTCACTCCATTCCCACCTGCTAATGGCCTCTGTGCTATTCCTCAAACACTCCAGGTAGGCTCCTGCCTCAGGGCCTTTGCACGTGCCTTTCACTCCTCCCAGCTATCCACATGGCTACTTTCTCTGCTTCATTCAGCTGTCAGCTCAATTGTCACCTCCTCAAAGCAGCTTCCCCTGATTCTCCTACCAAAATAGATCCCCTTTCTCTCCTGCCATCATCTGTCTTTCTACTTAGGTGTTTGTTTTGAGATGAAGTCTCACTCTGTTGCCTAGGCTGGAATGCAGTGGCTCAATCTTGGCTCACTGCAAGCTCCACCCCCTGGGTTCAAACAATTCTCATGCCTCAGCCTCCTGAGCAGCTGGGACTACAGGTGCATGCCACCATGCCTGGCTAATTTTTGTATTTTTAGTAAGGATGGGGTTTCGCCATGTTGGCCAGTGATCTGGCCTCAAGTGATCTGCCTGCCTCGGCCTCCCAAAGTGCTGGGATTACAGGCGTGAGCCACCATGCCTGGCCTCTGTTTGTTTCTTTTTTTCCATAGCCTGATATATGTTCTCTCTTCCTTTCCTCCTCCCTTCCAACCCCTTCACCCACCTACTCATCCACCCCCCTGCCACACATTCATCTTTCATCTCCTTCATCGTTGCTTCATCCCCAGTCCCAAGCACAGTGCCTGTCACATAGTAGGTACTTCATCTATCTCAAGAACAGCGGTTGAGAGGTTGTTGCTGCTGCTTTGAGGCTTTGGTGAGCCCCGCTGTGTCTGGCCTCTCAGATGAACAGTGCCCTGGGAGTCTGGGTGATGGATGTGCTGGCGTAGGCGGCTCCTTGGTGGCTTTCCTGTGCTAAAGGAAGCAGAGGAAGGAAATGACAACCATTCAGAAGGACCGGTTCAGTTCACTAGGACATGCCCAAGCTTCCCGGCCCCTCGTGTCTGTGGCCAACATGAATTGGGCTCGCTTGAGGCCAACAGAAGTCGTGACTTGATGGAATAGGCACAAGTTAGTTTTATGATGATTAAGAAGGAAAAAAAGAAAACCTTATTTTTCACTTTCCTTTTTTAATCAAGAAGTATGCCGTGGGTGTTCCCTTGTGGTTTTTGAGTCAAAGAGAGTATTGTTTTTGAGCTCTGAGTTCCCCCGGGGGCTGCAGCTTTGCGTGTATCTAACTTTAACTTTGAACTAATGCTTTTAGGGCTCTGGTGGGATTGGGGGTCCCGGGTCCCTTTCTGAACAAGGCAGCAGGCTTGTTTATTGTGTCCAAAGCGTGCCTCTCAGATCTCACCCCATCTTCTTCCTGTTCTCAATCGCCCCCTCCCTGGCCAATCTGCCCCTCCTCTCAGCAGTTCCCCCTCACTCCTCCGTGAGCAAAGGAGGGGGAAGGATCTGCTTTGGTGGAAGGCGGTGGCTGCAGAGGCTGGGCTCAGGCGAACGTCTATCATGGGGGGAGGCGTGGAATAAGCCATGAGTACCCAAATGTGGCCTTGTTTGCAGGGATTGAACAAGGGTGGTCTGGGGCTGGACCGGGGGTTTCAGCCAAGTAATATTGGGGTGAAAAATGCAGAAAAGTCTTGTGCAAAAATGGGATCATATTAAGTTCATGCACTGGCCCTAAAGCAACCCCGTGACTATGTCTCTAGAGCAAGTGCTTACACATCCACGTGGACTCGTTCTCACGTGCATCTTCTTTTTGCATTTATCTTTTGGTGGATTGTTATTTTTCTTGCTGCGGGAGGGAGAAGAATGATTGGCCCAAGTGCACCTTGACTTTGGACCCGAAGTTGTTGAAGTCGTGAGGCAGACACATTGCTGCGCTTGCCTTGGGCAGAGACAGAGCCTCGGAGGGTGCCTGGTTTGGTAGAAGTTAGACTTTGGGAAGCTTGTTGGGACTTGTTAGTAACCTGGGTGCTAGTCCCAGCTTGTAACCAAGCCCCTGTCCCCTCTCAGGGCCAGGATGGGAGTGACATTTCTCAGTGTGGGGCTTTGCAGCATCACTTGAAGCCCTCTGCAGAACCCCATTAAGCTGCGGAGAATGGAGTGGATTCTAGCCCCTGCCACCCTGCCTGGGGCCTTCCAGGGCTGTCGCGGCAGCCAGGATAGGCAGCAATGCCCATTCAGTCAACAGATGCTGAATGTGAGCTGTGTACTCTGGATAGAGGGAGAAATGAGATCAATTCTTGCTTTCAGGGAGTGCCCAGTCTGCTGGGAGAAACAGACGGGAAAATAATTGAGGTCACAAGGGGATTGGTTGAACAAAGAATAGCAGGAAAGATGGAGCCGGATGACCTGGGTTTGAATCCTGGTTCTGCCACTTATTGGCTTTGTGACCCTGGGCAAGTTACTTAACTTCTCTGTGCCTGTAAAGTAGGATGATAATAGTACCCCAAAAAGAGGTTACCATAAATACTGAAGCAGAGGGCCTGACAGTATGTGTCCAATTAATGTTAGTGATTCTTTGTTTATAGAGATAAGACCTATAATAGAGAGATAAGGACTATAAAAGAAGGAGAAGGTAGTGAGGCTCTGGGTCACAAGGTTCACTTTGCCTCAGGGAATCTGGGGCAGCTTCCTGAGGAGGTGACATTTGAGTGGGGGGCGGGGGGTGGTTGCAGGATGTAAAGGAAGAATGGTCCAGGCTTCAGGGGTGTGCAGAGGTGAGGGAACTCTGTTTCTGATTGCTCAAGACCTGAGCCTGTCCACAGATGGCATTTGACACGCTCAGGGCTTTAAGCAGCAGCTGACACTAGTTAACCAACATTTACAAATTAGGAAATTTCTCATACCAAGTTGGATTTCTAACAATCAGAAGATCTGGCAACAATGGCTGGCTTCCTGCATGGCAAGTTGTGAACAGCTGCGCTTCGATCCTCCCTTTGGACTGGATCTGCCTCCCGCATGGGGTCTCAGCACCACTAGGCCCAGTTCACACACCCACATTCCTCACCTGGCTCCTCTGGGCATCTTGTTGGTGACCCTGGGTGGGGGTTTGGAACCTGCTTTGGAAATGCTTAGAAAAATAAACCCAGATCTTGCTGACCTTCACGTCCAAGTGTTTGCTCAAGGCCTCTTTTTAATATAAAAAAGATGCTCCCGACTGTAAAGCTGGCCTTACCTTCCTACTTTAGCATCCTCCTCCTGGGAAAAATGGGAGTCCGCTCTGATCCACAGGTTTCCCACAGGGACAGAGGAGGGATGATTGAGGTGTGAGTTAGAGTCCCCTTCAGATGGCATGGTGGCATGTAGACCCAGCCAGTGCATGGGACGTGAGCTCTCTTACACCTGGGGGTGTGCATGTGGGTGTTTACTATTGGCTTCAAACACAGAAAGTGACAAAATTGAACTCCACGAATTTGTAAGAGGGAGTGAGTCAATTTTCCTTGGTCCCGGCAAACTCCATGCTTGCTAAAAATGAGTGCTGTAGAATTTATTTGCCTTCTGTCATCAAAGAAAACCCAGGTTCAGAACTGGATAAGACAGTTCCCCAGAGAGGACAGATGATCTGTCTGTACTCACACATCAACAAGTTCTCTCTTGGGCATTTACGATGGAATGTGTCCCCCTCACCCCTTTAAATTATGGAGAAGCTGTGTTCTCTTTGAGGTGAATATGCGGTCACACAAGTCTTTTTAAGAAAGGAGGCTTTCCAGCCATGTGTGCTGGCTCATGTCTATAATCCCAGCACTTTGGGAGGCTGAGGTGGGTGGATCACTTGAGCCCAGGAGTTCAAGACCAGCCTGGGCAACATGGTGAAATCCCGTGTCTACAAAATAAAACCCAAAAATTAGCTGGGTGTGGTGGCACGTGCCTGTTGTCCCAGCTACTCCAGAGGCTGAGGGGGGAGAATTGCTTGAGAACAGGAGGCGGAGGTTGCAGTGAGCTGAGATGGTGCCACTGCACTCCAGCCTGGGTGATGAGTGGGAAGCTGTCTAGAAAAAAAATAAAATGAGGTTTAGGGTCTAGCTGGGATTCTGGCTCTGCTGAGCTGGGTTGGTTCTTACTTTGCCCCCACCTGGAGGCAATTGCTGTAGCACAATGCCCATGTTGGGATTGGGTGTCCACTTGGGGGCTGTGCTGACCTCCTTTCCAAGTGTGGATGACTAGCAGGAGGGGGACACACCAGCTGGCAGTCACGTTCAGGACAGTATGTGACCATCACCTTGGTAGTGGCTTTTCTCAGTGGACAGAGGACCTCAGAGCTGGAGCCCAGGGTTTTACCGGGGATTCAATAATCCTTAAGAAGTCAGAGTTGAGCTTTCCCCTCTTACGACAAACTTCATTTCCTGTTTCATCAAAAAGTTCTTCCTGGCAAACTGTGGCTTCTCAGCCTGTCACCTCTCTGCCACGGGAGGTGAGAACCTCTCCCATGCTGTGAGATGACTGAGCCGCGGCCTTGTTTATGGAAGCCAAGTGCCAGTCCCTCAAGGCGCGTGGGTTCTCAGCCCTAGGATTCAGGATGGAGCCGTGTTCAGCTCTGGGCAAGGGTAGGATGCTGACTCTGTGCACAAAGACCTGCACGTAGTAGTAGCAGAAGAAAAGGGCCTTGGGGCCTTAAATAAAGGTGAGGAGTGGGGAGCCCCTCAAGAGCGAAGTGTGAGGGAATTACTGACGTGTGCCGCATTTCCACTTGAAAGTAAAATAAAAATGTTTAAACAAAGAGGAAATAGGAGGAGCAGGTGTAGCAGAAAAGCCACCAGCCAGGGAAGCCGCCAGATTTGCTTTTGATTTCCAGTGGCACCCGCCCTGTGCCGGACACCTTAGGCAGCTGACTTAGCCTCTCTGAGCAAACCCATGGAAATTCAGTGCCTGGTGCCCACTCCGCGTGGAGAAGGAGGGGAGCACTGGGGTCCTGTCCTTCCTCATGTCCACATTCAAAAGAGGACTCATAACCAAGCAAAGTAACGGTGACCGAGCTGCCTGAGATGGCTTGGAGGAAGGTCTGAAATGGGTGACGATGGTGGCGATGATGGTAACTGTTGACGCTCACTGAGCACCCACTCTTTGCCAGGCACTGTACCCATTATATCGTCTAATCTTTGCCACAGCTCATGGGGCATGGGATGGGCATCTGTTATTTTCCCCTTTGCAGAGGTGAGGGCTCAGAGGTGTGGCCAGCTTTCCGCAGCCCCAACCAGTCTCGGATCTGAGACTTGGTTGGTTCTGAGCAGGCTGATGGTCAAGGGTGTCACGTTCCGGGCTGGCTCTTTGCTAAGCGTTTGATGCCCATCACAGTGGGGAGCAGCTCTCTGGGGACATGGTGCTGAGGTTGCCACTGATGAGAGGATTGGACAGGGACCAAGCTGCTCTCAATGTGATCGACTCTGTTCCTGTCTCTCAGCATGCCCCGCCTCTCAGGGAATAGGCCCAGTGGGGTTTCCCTGCGGTGACGTTGAACCAGTGTCTGCTGCATTCGAGGGGCCTCAGATGGAGCTGCTATCTGAATCCAGGGCCCCGGTGAGTGAGACTCATAGTCGGGGTGGAAAGGTGCTCAAGTAATGAGAGGCTTTCTTTTATCGTAGATTCACTGTGTCAGTCTGGGACATTCCCTCTGTAAATGGGAGGTGCCTAGAAGATCAAAATCATTTCTCTAGCATGTTGTCAATTTCACATCACTCAGTTGCAATGTGAGGTCGCCAATCCCCATTCTATGCCCATAACAGCCCCATGAGAAAACGACAAGAATTACAACAAGATGAAGGCCAACGTTTACTGAGCGCTTACTATGTGTCGCCACTGGTTCTAAGAGCTGTGCTTATACCAATTCATTGGGTCCTGGCAACTCTATGAAATGTACAAGTGCTTTTTTCTATGTGACACATGTGTCAAAGAGTCAGAGTGACCTGCCCAAGGTCCACAGCCAGCGAGTTCAGCAGTTGGGACTTGAGCTTGTGTCTGCCGACTCCCTAGCCCCCAGTCTAAACTGTTGGACCCCACTGCTCTGGAATCTTCTTCTCCTGGTTTCCTGATGGCAAAACTGGGACCCAGATGGTTCTAGTGGATTTGCAGATGCCACATGGTTCACCAGAGGCCCAGGCTGGGAGGCACACGATCGCATCCTCCTGGAGCCTCTGGCCCCAAGCTGCAAACTCCAATGCTGACGCTACAGTTCCATGAGCCCGTGGATACGTCGCTGACCGAGGAACCCAGGGCGACATGAAAGGAACACGCTTGGCCTTGACAGGCCCAGCCCCGGCCGGCGCTCACTTGGAGGCAGTTGAAAGGAAAACTGCGATAAGGGGCTGCTTTATCACGCCTCTTGACAGGCCGAGCTTCCTCCCTTGTGTGGCGTGAGCCTTAAACCTCTTCCAAGTCGCCTGGCATGGAGCCCCGGCCGCCTCCTGCTCCCCAAGGGCTGGAGCGGGGAGCCCATTAGCCAGTGGGAGTGGGAGCGGGCCCGGGCGGGTGCCAGCCCTTTGAAGCCGCGCAGAGGGCCCCGCACAGTCCCCTTATCTTGGCTGGTGGTGTTCCTCGGCCGGAAAAGGGAAGCACAGAGAGGAAAAGCTTTCCCCTGTGGCTTTTGTGTTTGGTTCGCATTAAATGAGGCTGGGCGGGGTTTTTGTTGTTTGTTTTCCAACTTTTCAGCGAAAGGATGACGGATGACGTTTAGCGCAGCAGGCGCCCACTTCTCTGGGGTGGCGTGCCCATGTCATGCCGCACTCACGCACACTCCTGCCTGTTGATTGCGCAGTCTCCTCTGTGTCTTTTCTAGAAGCTGGGGGGCTGCCCAGGTCGTCCTGAGAATAGCGGCGGGGTGCGGCGGGGCTCGGTGGTGCCAGCGGGTGGAGGCTGTGAATCCATTCACTCTGAGGCCCTGGCAGCCAGGGACCTCGTCTAGACAGGAAGATGTGTGTGATGGGATTTAAAGATGAGGCTCTCCCTCCTGCTGGGGCGAGAAGGCTCTAGGAGCCTTGGGGCCGAGGTGATTTGGTTTGTAGGATTTGCGCATTTCTGGGATGTGCAGGGATGCGGCTTTCTCCAGATCTAAGGGGAGCCCGGGCCAGTGAACAAGGGGTGTTCATGGCACTCCGGGGGCGCGGGGCTGGGGGTATGTGTGTGCAGGCCAGACCATAGCAGGGTCCTCATAAGCTTTCACAGGGAGTAGGGCTGGGGCAAGGGGTGTGTGTGTGTGTGTGTGTGTGTGTGTGTGTGTGTGTGTGTATGTGTATGTGTGTGTTGGTGGGGGTGGGGCTGTTCTCAACGAGCAGATGTGAAAATCAATGGGAGAAGAGAGTAAGAGATGGGCAGACTGCAATCTGAGTAGTTATGCACCTAAACAGATGCACACAGAGACCTATGGGTGCCCAGGAGTGTCCTGGAGCCCGTTTTCGTGGCCTTGTGAGAGCTGATTTTTAAAGTTCCAGGAACTCTGTTACATGTTGTTCTGACCTATGTGCCTGAGGTCATAGGCATCCGTGTATCCACATGGCGGAGGTAGCACGTAATGGTGCCGCTGCACTTCTCCTCCCAGCTCCATATACAGTATCGTCACACCGGGAGCTGGAAATCAGCCACTGTGGGAGTGTTGACACCGTGGAAATGGGCAAACACTGCAAAGCAAGCTTTCTGTCTTGGAGAACTGGTCGTTGAATATTTCCTGGTCTACCATTGCATACCTCACAGGCACAGCGCATGCAAACCCAGAGCAAGGAAGACAGACAGACGGGCTACCTGAACGAATGCCACTTTTTAGTTTTGGGAAAATACATTACATTTTTATACATTGGTTGATTTCCCTCTTCTTTTTTTTTTTTAACCTTGTCCATTTTATGCATGTGGAAGAATCACTCAGAGATAGGGCCATGGCTTCACCAAGCTGCAGAAGGGGTCATTGGTGCAAAAAAAGGTTAAAAATTTGTGCCCTGGAGCCAGGAGATGATTTTCCTTTTCTAGTCCTCTCTCTGAATACAGGACATTCTCCTAGCTTGTGGGCAGGCAGTGGTACTTTTTCTCTCCTGGTAAAGAGTCCTTAGCAGACCTCCTTGGGTCCTTTTGCAGAGGTTTGCTGAGCACCTCTTGTGTCTGGGCACTGACCTGGGTGGTTTTCTTAATCATCCCTTGATGATCTACTGGCTTTGGAGATGGTGGCTTCCCATCTTGGGGCTCCCCAAACCCAGTGCTTCAGCACCTCCTCTGCTGTACTTTGAATGCCAGTCCTGTGCTCTGCAAACCATGGTTCCCTGGGAAAGGAGCATGTTGATTAATGTTGTGTTACTTAGTCAGCATTTTTAACATTTATAATTATTTTATTTTTAAATTTTTTTTTATGTTACCCAAGCTGGTCTCAAACTCCCGGGCTCAAATAACCTTCCTGTCTCACTCTCCCAAGTAGCTGGGACTACAGGCATGTGCCACCGTGTGTAGCTGCTATAATTATTTTAATGGCACCTTTATTTCATTGTGTATTTATGCACACATTTGATTTCCTGCTGGTGATCCTGGTTTCCTATTTATGGCAGCAACATAAAGTTTCTTTCAAGATAAATTTCTGTAAGTAAAGATATGAATTTAAATTGTGGAGAGATTCAGTAACCAACAGTCCAGTAGAAGATCAGGAATAAGGCTGGAAAATGACTGAGGTTGGGGAACAGTGGTGTGTCCATTTGTGGCTGTGTATTCTTCCCTCTTTAGAGACTACAGGAACAGAAGATCGTATAGTTGTCAAGAGAATGGGTCTTGGAGGTAGACCTGCCGTGTTGGAATCCTGGCTTCTCTCTTCTTAGCTGCATGACCTTGAACAAACTAATTTCTCTGAGCCTCAGTTCCCTCTTGTTTAAAATTATAATACCTCTCTCATAGCGTTGCAGTGAAGATTGATAGATATCATAGTGAAGATTGATAGATATCATACATCACAATGCCCTGTATTTAGCAAGCACGCAATACATTATTAGCTGTCATTGTTGTTGTTATTATGATTAATTATAGCATCTCCCTATTATCCAGTTTTCCCCAGCATGGCCCTTTTTGTGAATAGGCAGAACTTAACAAATATTTGTTGACTTGAATTGAATTTTAAATGTTTAGAAAGCTGCCAGGCCTGGCACCTTTTAACCAGGAAAAAGCAATTCGGAAACCAGACAGAAAGTAAGCAGCAATTTTATTTCTAGTGAGGACCATCGTCATTCCTGCGTGTGTCAGACAGTCGTCTTTCCCCACTTCACCTCTCCTCTTGGGAATACCTTTCTAGACGTTCTTTTGGATTGTGAGTAAGAGGATGAGAACATTTGCAGACTGACTTGGGTGTCATTACTTGGTATGTTTCTGAGCAGTTGAATCATCTGACTCTTTGTACATGGCAGTTTCTTTCAGATTCTCTTTTGGCACTGGCTTTTCAGAGAAATCATTGTTTTTGAAGCCTTTGGTAAAGCAGGCCGGTGCACGTATCCATGTGCCATTTGTACCTTGAGTTTGTTTAACCAGAAGCCGCCTAGACATGGTTGTCTTACTGTCTTTGCAATGCAGTTGAGAAGAAGTTGAATGAAGGAGTGGGGGACTTGATGTGATGCTGATGGGCTGATGAGTCCTTCAATTAGACTTAGGTTTAATTACCTCTAACAGAAAACCCCAAATAACAGTTGCTTCTCATCTAAGAATGTAGAAAATCTAGAGATGGGTAGTCCAAAGTGCTATGAAGTCATTAGGAATCTGGGTTCCTTCTTACCTCCTGTTCAACTCCAGGTCACCTCAGGGTTCAAAATGATTGCTGGGGCTGCAGCTACCACCTCTATACTCCAAGCACTGGAATTCCAAGGAAGGAGGGAGATAGGGCCAAAGGGGCCCCCCTCACCATCTTGGTGAGCTTCCTCCCAGGAACTCTTCTGCAAGTCATCTGCACACTTCTTTTTTTTGAGACAGTCTCACTCTGTTGCCCAGGCTACAGTGCAGTGGCACGATCTTGGCTCACTGCAACCTCTGCCTCCTGGGTTCAAGCGATTCTCCTGCCTCAGCCTCCTGAGTAGCTGGGATTGCAGGCGCCCGCCACCCTGTCTGGCTAATTTTTGTATGTTTAGTAGAGACGGGGGTTTCGCCATGTTGGCCAGTCTGGTCTTGAACTCCTGACCTCAAGTGATCCGCCTGCCTTGGCCTCCCAAAGTGCTGGGATTACAGGCATGAGCCACTGCGCCCAGCTTGAATGTAATTCTTTATGCACTGGGAAGCCATGGGGGGATTTTAAGTAGGGAAGTGATAGGATCTCATTTGCTTTTAAAAGATCCCTCTGGCTGCTTGTGGAGATTCTATTCAGGATAGGGACAAGGGACAAGGCAGAAATTAGCGAGAGGCTGGATGCAGGGGTCCAGGTGAGAGATGACAGTGCTGGGACCCAGGGAGGTTGATGAGAACGTGAAAAGTGGGAGGATCTGGGGTGTTTCTTGAAGGTCCCGTTGAACAACACTTTCTGATGGACAAGGGATAGGGTTTCAGTGCAGATTTTCTGTTTCCCCTCCTCATAAATGTTAGCTTAATTTAAGAATGTTTCTCAATAGGAGTGATTTCGTGTCCCAGGGGACATTTAGCAATGTCCAGAGACTTTTTTGTGCATCACAGTTGGGAAAAGGGTGGCTGCTGCTACCTACTGGGTAGAGTCCAGTGATGCTGACAAACACCCTACAATGCCTGGGGCAGCCCCCGACAAGAAAGACTTATTTGGCCCCCAAATCAATAGTCCACACTGGCCAATAGTGCGAAGGTTGAGAAATCCTGATTTACTGGTTTCTTACTCCAATGTCTTAAATTCTGGGATTATGATAATCCCACATGTTACCATCCATCCAGAGAAGCACCCGATTCTTCACCAAAGGAATGTGTATTAATAATCCTGAAGGACAGCCTTCAGCTTAATCTTCTTTCCTGAGAGGCACTTTGCTGCGTGAATGACTAAACGGAGGAGTGAATGAACTTGGGAACGGCCCCGATGAAGAGGTGAGTCAGACTGGCTCAGCCCACAGGCTTCCATCATGTTTATGGAAGCCAGGCCCCATACGCTCCACATAAGAACGGGCCCCTTGTTCCTGAATGATGCGTTTTGTTGATCTGCCAGTGGGTCCCGCCTCTCCCCAGGTCACCGACAGAGCCCGTCTCAGCGCCGTCTCGCCGTGCTGAGTCTAAGAGTTATGCAGAGAGCCCTCCAAAAACCCACCCTTTGAAATGAAAGAAACTGGATCTTAAAATCCCAAAATAGAGTGTGGAAAGGTACACATCACGTCTGCCTTCTCCTTTTTTTTTTTCCCCCTTGTGGCAAAAGTGACTCAGAATTTTTGGTCTGAATCCAGAGAGACCTGCACAGTCTTTGGTGTGGGGGCGGAGGTGTCATTCGATTGGGAATAACTCACCTTTTTTATGCCATGGCTGGCTCGGCCGGCTGTCCTGCATTTCCTCAGCCCTAGCTTTTGCCTCTTCACCATCTTGGGGTTCTTTTTCAGCTGTGGCTGTAGTGAAAGAGGAGAGGCCAGAGCTTATGGCTCATCCAGATGTCTCTGGTGGAACATTTTTTCAAAGCTGAACTGCAGTTTCCTGGGAATGTTTTTGTTTTTTAATTTAATTTTATTTTAAGTTCCGGGATACATGTGCCGGATGCAGAGGTTTGTTCCATAGGTAAACATGTGCCATGGTGGTTTGCTGCACCTGTCAACCCATCACCTAGGTATTAAGCCCTGCATGCATTAGCTCTTTATCCAGATAGTCTCTCTGCCCTGGCTCCCGCAGAGGAATGTCTTATCAATGTGTTCTGAAGCGGCTGCCATCCCAGCATCCCTGGGGCATTCACACACTGCCATGCTGGGCACGGTCAGGGCCAGATGCTTGCACGGAGTTTCTGCAAGCTGCATTCCCCAGTTGCCGTCTCTTGGGGATCCCCTGCTTCTCCCAGAGCCCAGGCCTCTGCAGATAGTAGATACCTTGTTTCCTAATATCAGGTCAGTGTCCTGAGTGAGAAACTCCGGGAGAAATGTTTCTGAAGGATGCTTTCCCCTTGTGTTCTGGTCTTCGGGTAAACACTTGGCAGCAGGGAGCACTGCGCATGCCTCACTTTTCCCTCGCCATCTCCATGAGCTGCCAGGCTGCTGTGCTTTCAATTCAATCTCAAGATTGTAAACTTCATTTTTCCAGCCCAAGTTAGTCTGCTCTTCTGACTTTCAGTGTAATTGGCCTGGTATAATATGTCTCTTTCATGGTGAGACACATTCCTGCAGACTGGCTCAAATGATAGTGAGCTTAGGCAGACTCCAAACGTAGGGATTCTGTTCCAGACATGAATGAGCCTCCTTTCTCAGAGTCGCTGGAGAATGAATCACTCGGCAATATGTGGATCCACATAGGAACCTGAGAATCAATCTATTCGTTTATTTATTCAGCAAATATTTATTGAACATCTACTGTATGCCAAATACCGTCGGAGGTGCTGAGGCATGGTGATGGACAAGCTTACATTCTAGTGGGGCGGGGGGTGGGAACAGGCAATAAGCAAACACATAAAGTAACACTTAGCACAGTCAGGAAGGAAATAAACAGGAAGACATGGTGGAATGATGCTAGAGGAGCTCTCTTTCTGCCAGGCTACCCAGGGAGGGCCCTGCATTTAGGCTGAGACCTGAAGGATCAGGAGGAACCAGCTGTGGGAAGACCCAGGGGAAGAATGTTCTAGGCCAAGGGCATAGCATATGCAAAGGCCCTGTGGCAGAAACGTGGCTTGTTCCAGGAGCAGCAAGGAGGCCCCTGTGGCTGGACTGGAGTTGGGGAGATGAAGCTGGTGATATGGGCGGGGGTCTGATCATGCAGTTTTGTCGGCTGCAATGGGCAGTTTGGATTTTCTTCTTCTTTTTTTTGTTTGAGGCAGTGTCTCGCTCTGTCACCCAGGCTGGAGTGCAGTGGCACGATCTTGGCTTACTGCAACCTCTGCCTCCCGGGTTCAAGCGATTCTCATGTCTCAGTCTCCTGAGTAGCTGGGACTACAGGTGCACGCCACCACGCTCGGGTCATTTTTGTATTTGTAGTAGAGACGGGGTTTCACCATGTTGGCCAGGCTGGTCTTGAGCTCCTGGCCTCAAAGAATCCACCCTCCTTGGCCTGGATCTTATTCTAAATGTACCTGAAGATCATGACATGTTAGCACTGAAAGACAACCTTCAAGATGATTTCTTCCAAGAACTGAGACCAGAAAAGAGGCCCTTAATTGCCACAAGTCACCCAGCCATAGATGAAAAAATATGAATGAAAGTTAATATTGATTGCTTGTGACATGCTTTATACACAGCCCACTTGTTCCTGCCAACAGCCTAGTGAGGTGTGCAGGGTCAGGAGCCACATTTACAGATGATGAAACTGAGGCCTGGAGATGTAAAGTAACTTTCCCGCCATGACACATTAAGTGCCAATGCCAGGATGTAAACCTAGATGGTTGGACTCCAGGGCTCAGACTCTTGATCTCAGTGTTACACTGGTTCTGCGCAAGAGGAATATAGACAGAAGATGTGAAAAGCACTTGTATGGCTTCTTAAAAAAAAAAAATCAACAAGAAAAAGCCCAACTTCAAAGGTCAACTCAAAGAAGGCTTGCATATTTTAATCCCATACTTCCAGACCCAGCTCCTATATGATGGTGGGGACGGGAATGTTGGTAGGGAGCCCGTGGCTGGGTTGACATCTCTGTCCAGGGGACCAGAAGCTGGAAGCTGAGAGTGGAGAGGGGCAGCTGAGAGCAGAGAAGGGAAGGTTCATGCCTCCAGCCCCCAAAGGAAGGGACAAAATGATCCAGGTTTTTTATTTAAAGACCCCATGGGGGACCATGAGTAGAGGGGGCTGGGGTGCAGCGTTTGGTCCTGAGTCCTGTTAGGCTAATGTGCCTTGTCTCTGATCTCTCCACACTGGTTTCTAGGGCTTCCTCAGGGTTTCAAATGTGGACATGGTAATTGGAAACAAATCTAGCATGTTTCGGGCCATCAAGTCTCTCTTGAGTGAGCGTGCTTGCTATGCGGTAGATATGTCTGTTTTTAATTTTCAGTGATGTGAGAAATATAGAATGACTTGATTCTTAATTTAGAACACTGAGAGAGCCTGACTTGTTTGGTTTTCAAGCCTGTCCAGAATGTCTAATTCTTTTTATGGTTCCCTGTGTAATTTCAAAATGTGCCACTATCAGCAGGGCGGCTGATCACAGTGGCCTCCTGCAGGACTGAAGACACATCCAGCCAGTGGGATCCCAGCTGGGTCAGAAAGCAGGCGCAGGGCTCCTTCTTCATCATACCTGGAGATGCTGTCACCTCTGTTCGGAACAGGGCAGCCCAGGTACCAGTTGTCCAACCAGCTGAGTCGTGCCCACACCGAGCAGGACAAGGCTCTGTGACACAATGGTCGCTGTGGGCCGGGAGGAGAATTGCCCAAGCTGGAGAGAAGCCGGTGTGGGCGTATAACAGCTCTTTGTCATGGGAGAGGCGTAGGTCTGGAGAGACTGCAGCTGCTCCGGCCCCTCCCATGATGTCACAGACTCTTCCTTCTAGCCTTGCTCGCTCGTTGGACACCTGTGTGGTGCTCTAGGCATTGAGGCTGCACCATGAACAGGAAAGATGGGGTGCTGCCCCCACGGGACTGACATTCTAGTGGGGAGGCAGCAAAGAGCAAATAACTATCACATGTGGGGTCAGGTGGAGGGAAGCGTCAGGTGGATGATGCAACTTAAGGCAGGGTGTGTGGAGGGACAGTGGGAAGGGCGTGGGGTGTCACATTGGGGTGCGGCTGTCTGGGAAGGCTTCTCTGATGAGAGGTCACCTGAGGACAGGTTCCAATGAAGAGTGGGGTGAGCCCTGCAGGTCATGGAGGGAGAGCATTTCAAGCTGAGGGCATGATAAGTGTTGGGATGCAGGGACGGGCACCTGCCTGGTGGGTGTCTGGCTCTCTTGAGGGTGACAAGGCCAGTGTGGCTGTCATGGGGGGCAGCAGGGAGGGAAGAAGGGTGGGTGGGAGATGGAGAAGCAGGGCCAGATCATATGGGATCTTCTGAGTCATGGTAAGGACTCGGGCTTTTTGATGCAAGGAAGATGTTTGCTGTTGGGGCGATTTTAGCAGAGGTGGCAAAAGCTCTAACTTACCATTTTAAGGATCTTTCTAGCTGGACTGCTATGTGAAGAAGACTGTGTGTAGGTGGAGGGAGAGGGGTGGGTAAGGAGACTGGGCCCCCTCTTTGACCAGGGCACTAGAGTGGAAGTGATGGAGAGTCACAGGTGGCAAATTTGAGTGGGATTTAGGGAATGGAATTGACAGGGCTTTGAGATGGATCTAATATGGGATGGAGGCAGAGAGAGTTACCAAGAGTTAGGGTTGTTATTGAAGTGATTAACACACAGTCATGGCTTGTTGGAATGGGTGAGAGTCAAGTCATGGACGAAGTGTGCCTGGTCTGCTTGTGTGTGTGTCTGTGTGTGTGTGTGTGGTGGGGGGGAGAGGGTGGAAGGTGGGGTTAGGATGGCAGGTACGTGCTGCAACTTTAGCACCCCAAAATAGATACTGAATTGGGATCCATGTGTGTTTGTAAAAATTTTCTCCCCATGTGCTGCATGGCCATGGGGAATTGCAGTCCTCTTCCCCGGTACCCTCCCGCTCGGCCTTCTCCCCCACCCTGGGCTTTTTCTTTCTTTCAGAGTGAAATCTTTGAGGATGATAGCAATTTCCTAATATTTCAAATTCAACAAAATGCTACTTAACATCGTTAATGTTTTATTTTAGTAAAATTCAAAACTGTTTGGCCCGTTGCCATTTTGAAAATCAGTCTCACATTTTGGATTGGAATCGTCCAACTGAGAGTATTTAAAAAGCCCTGAGCAGAGTTGATAGCAGAGTCGTTTTCAGAGACGTGCCACTTGCAAGGGTTCTTATTGCAGTGTTTGTAATGGGGGAAAGTTGGGAACCATCTAAATGCGCACCTGGCTGCAGGGATCCACAGGCAGAACGGGCACGCAAGGGCTGGGGCTGGGTTGCGGGAAGAGAGGCACCAGGGGGCCAAATGTAGAGTGGGGCTCACTCTCAGGAGCCCACCTTGCATTTGCTGGACCTTGATAGTGAATGCCCCCTCAGATCGCGTGTCCTGGGGACCTCACTGGCCTTGGGCTAGTCCGAACCCTGGGATGTGCCATGTAGTTCTTTGAGATTCTCATAAAGCAAGATTCAATGACAAGAGGACATGACCATCTTAGTCAATGGAGACAGTACATAAACTCGAATGCCAATATGTTGATCTGTGTGCCTGGAAGAAAAGTCTGAAAGCGTAGATAACTTCAGTTAGGGGGATAAGCTTTAGTGATCTCTTGTACAGAATGGTGACTATAGTAAATAATCATTGTCTATATTTCAAAAGTGCTAAGAGTAGATCTGAAGTGTTTTTACCACCAAACAATAAGTATGTGAGGTGATGGATGTGTTAATTAGCTTGATTTAATCATTCCACAATGTAAACACATATTAAAGCATCACATATTGTACCCCATAAATATATAAAATTGTTATTTGTCAATTAAGAGGAAAAATAAAATGAATAATAAAACAGTTTGGAATGAAAGAAAAGTTTGGAAGGATGTACACTCAAATGCTTACTTATTTTCAAGGGGTATTCTTTTTGTGATTTATCTTGTCTATTTTTTCCTGCAATGAGTGAGCTCTTAGTACTTTACACCAAAAAAAAAAAGGAACAGCAAGAATCAACAGATATTGATGCCTTTTTATCTTTGTATCAGGACAGTTAAGTTGCCACTAAAAATAGGCAGATCTTGAATTTGGTGGCAGGCAGGGGTGAGTCTGAATAACTTTCTCTTTGACGCTGAGGGTCTTTGACACGTGGAGGCCATGTTTGTGTGTCTCTGGGTTCTTATTGCTGAGCTGGTGGGGTGGATTTGCCTGTCTTAAAATGCATAGGCCAGACTTGGGGGGCTGGGGGTGGGGGGATTTTGCCTTTTTCTGAATCAGGAATCAGCCATACAACAGAAGAAACAAACAGGGCCAGTGGAGGCTGTTGCCACCTGATCACTTATGACCTGTAGGATAGTGAGCAAGTTAGTTAACCTGGTTGAGCCTCACCGTTCTCATCTAAAAATGGGATAACACTGCTCTTCTCTGAGCATTGTTATGGAGATTACATTAGCTATGTTTGCAAGCGATCCCAATACACTGTGTAGAAAGGTCTTCACCTATGGAGGGTGCAAAGTTTTCCTTGTGATGAGGTTGGATGGCGTCATTTATATAGCTAACTGTGGCGGGATGTCTAAATCACACGTCATTCCTCAGATCCGGTTTTTCAAGTAGCTGAGTTGACAAGGGGACAGAGTGGATTATTAATAGAATGATGCCCCCAAGCCTGCAGTTGGCTTCTTGGGTCCCTTTGATGGGAAGGTTGGTGGATGGAAGTCGCACCAAGCTGCAGCCTGGGCCCCCACCCCCGCAGACGCCACAGACACTCCCCTCCCGTGCATTCAGCCCTTCACGGTGTGCACTAGAAGCACTGCTTCTTCCTGGAACCTTTTCAACTGCCTGGGAAATTACAAGAAGCAGAAAACTTTCGCTCTCACCTTGGCTGCAGGAAGTGGCGTTTCCTTTGCTCGGGAGGCCAGTGACGTGGAGCTCCTGTATTGCAGAATGTGTCTGCTGTGCCTGGAGTGTGATCCGGCTGGTCCAGGCCACCGAGAAGACCTCACCTTTGGAGAAGCCTGAAAAGGCCGCCCCAAAGCCTCCTGACCGAGGTCTCCCGAAAATGGGGATGGTGGGGAGTTTGGAACCTGAAGGGTAGATCATGTCATCTCAAAACATCAAGTTCTATTTGCAAAACCCAAATCACTGAGTTTTTGGAGAAGCAAGTAAATGGCTATCTGTTCTTCTCATCAAACCTCCAGGGACCTGGCGAGGAAGGCTCTTCCAGAATGAGGCAGCTGAGCAGTTGGGATTCTGGGCACATTCTGTACCTTTTGTAGGAGGGGAGGATGGAGGGTGGACGGGAAGTATTCCTTTCATGAAAGATGGTGAGGTTTCTTCACCTGGCCCCTCTTTCCTCTGACACTCCAAGCCGGCAACTGTTGAGCCAGCCCACTGAGAAGACTGCAATTAGTGCCTGGGCTTTCCCATATGGGAGGCCTTCACGTTGGTTCTCACTTTGTTCACATTCATTCTTCACCCTTCCATTCAGTTCTGTAATATCACCTCCCTGTTTCGATTTGCGTCATCCTCCGATGACAAGGAAAGTTCTCGTTTCATGGGTACCTACCGTGTGCTGTGCTTTGGTGCCCAACAAAGGTCACCTTATTTCGCCTTTCAGAAGAGGCCTGCAGGGTGGGGGGTGATGTCTCCTTTTTATCTGAGCATATGGAAACTCAGGGGTGGAGCGATTGCTCACAGTCACACAGCCATCAAGAAGCAGAGCTGGCATCGAAATTCAGATATGTCTGACCCAAAGTGAAAAACTTTGTGCTTTCAGCTATACCACACTGCTTTCTGGTGTTACCCGGGGAGGCGGGGAAGGGACCCTCACCAGTGCCAGGTGGATTCTATCTGCTCACATTGTATAAGCCAGCCCAGCTCAACCCAGAGGCTGCTCTTCAACTCAGAGAGGCCATTCTTGGCTTTCCTAAAGAGGTTTTTCTCTCAAGGAACTACCGTTTTTGTTTGTTTAGGTTGCTGTTTGTTTCTCTCCCTCCATCTCCCTCTGTGCCCCTTCTTTTCTCCCTCCTTCCTGCCCCACTCTCTCTCCTGTGCGGCAGGAAGCACATTCTATTTTTTTTGAGACAGAGTCTTGCTTTGTGACCCAGGCGGGAGTGCAGTGGTGCAATATCGGCTCACTGCCACCTCCAACCCCCGGGTTCAAGTGATTCTCCTGCCTTGGTCTCCTGAGTAGCTGGGATTACAGGCACGTGCCACCATACCTGGCTAATTTTTGTATTTTTCACAGAGACGGGGTTTCACCATGTTGCCCGGGCTGGTCTTGAACTCCTGACGTCAAGTGATCTGCCCACCTCAGCCTCCCAAAGTGCTGGGATTACAGGCACGAGCCACCGCGCCTGGCCCCAGGAAGCACATTCTTGATGTTGCACCTTAGCACTTGCTTATTTTGCCTTTGAGGACCTGCCCTTTCTGACCTGTAGTAATCAGAGAGCAGAGTGGAATCCACCAAGCGCTGAGGACAGAGAGAGGGTGGCAGGGAAGCGGGTGGGTTCGGAGCCTGAGAGGCTGGAGTTTGGAGCCTGGCTCTGCCCTATGCTCACTGTGTTGACTGGGACAAGTTGCCAGACCTTAGCAGCCTCAGTTTCCTCACCTGTAAAATGTGGGTAGCAGTGAGCCCATCTTACGTGGAATTGTTGTGAGATGTGTAAAACATCAAGTGTGGTGTGTGGCATGAGGGAAACAGATGCTTTCACTGCTGCATTACTGTTTTTTGTTGGTTTATTTGTTTGAGACAGGGTCATGCTCTGCTACCCAGGCTGGAGTGCAGTGGCACGATTGTGGCTCACTGTAGCCTCAACCTCCTGGACTCAACTGATCCTCTCGCTTCAGCCCCACAAAGCAGCTGAGACTACGGACGTGCGACACTATGCCTGGCTAATTTTTGCATTTTTTTGGTGGAGACGGGTCAGGCCATGTTGTCCACGCTTGTCTTGAGCTTCTGGGCTCGAGAGATCTACCCACCTTGGCCTCCCAATGTGCTGGGATTACAGGCATGAGCCACCATGCCTGGCACTGTATTACTGTTGATGGTGACAGATTATTCAACAAATGTTCATTGACCATGCTAACAAAATAGCAAGGTCCCTACTGCTGTGAAACTCACGTTCAGGCAGGAGAGAGAGGTGTTCAGCAAATAACTAACTAAACAAGGAAATTTCAGATGTTAATGAAGTAAATATTCCAGTGATGTGCTAGTAAACGTTTAACATCCAGTTTTCCAGGGGGAAAAAAAAAGCCCTGATCTATAGCATTTGTCAATTTTTGTGGTGTAAATATTCCCACTACGGCTGGAAACGTACATACCAAAGTGGTGTCAACTGGCTCTTAAAATTCCTATAGGTTTAACGATTGGTTCTTGTAATGCCTAAAGAGCTGGCTTTAGCACTGAATGCATCTAATCTGGTTCAGGAAAAACCTGAAGATCTGAAACCCAAATGTGCTAGTGGAAGAGGATTCTAGGTGGAGAAAATGGCTTGTGCAAAGGCCCTGAGGTCAGAAAGACCTTGGTGTGTTCAGGGAACAGGAGGATGGCTGGTGTTGGCAGGAGCCTAGTGGGGTGGTGGAGGAGAAGGCAGAGGCTGGGCTGTGGGAAGGCTCTTAGACTATCACACAGAGTTTGGATTTTAATATAAGGCCACAGGAAGTCTTTGAAGGGTTGTAGGCAGGGGAGTATCTGGATCTGATTTGCATTTTTAAAAGATCATCGAGCTGTTCTGTGAAAGACCAGCCAGAGGTAAGCTGGGCAATCAGTGCTGGTCACTCTAATAAGGGTTGATGGTGGCTTGGGCAGGTGTGCCAACAAGAGCGGGGATGGAAATGGCTGGATTCACATGGAGCTGTAGGGACACGATAGATTTTTATCTCCAGGTGTTCCCTGCCTGTTTACCTTGAGTACACCCAGCAGGCGATTTCTGCTCTTCTTTCATTGAGGAGGAAACAGCTCCACATCATCAGGGCTCACTCTCCATCCTACCTTTCTTCTTGATACCAACTCTTGATAAATCCAGGAGAGGAGATGAGGAAATATATTTGTCTTGGGCTCAAATGCAAAGCAAAAACAACAAAAACAAAATCTCTTCTCAATGCTGCCCTTATTTTGATTTTCGTCACTGAGTACAGTAGCTGTTCTTCAGATAAGAGGCTTCTGACTTGGATTTCCATCTTGGCCCAAGGCCGCCTCTCAGGTGTGTGTCAGACACTTATGTAAGTGTCTGGCAGGTTATGAAAAAAGGTGATCATCTAGCACAGTTCCACTCCCAGCCTCTCTCTTTGTATGGCTTTTAGAAGGGGACATGAGCATGCCATCTTTCTAGACCAGCATTGTTCAATAGGACTTTCTGTGATGATGGAAACATTCTGTGTCTGTGCTGTTTGTTCATTGTGGCTGCCACTAGCCACATGTGGCTTCTGAGCACTGAAATGTGGCTAGTGTACCTGAAAAACTGAATTTTCAATTTTACTTAATTTTAATTAATATATACATGTGGTTAGTGGCTCTTGCATTAGATTGCACAATTCTAGACCATATGTAACCATTCATCACCCTGCAACTTTGCCTTTTGGCAGGTGACTGGAGATCCTACCGAAGGATCTCCAGAGAAGAGTGGGGTCTTCGTGAGTTGTCACCTGTAGTCCCACTCAATTAGTGGAGAAAGGAATAGAGGCACAGAAAGATTAAATGATTTGTCTAGTGTTTCTCCACTCAATGACAAGACAGGAACACATCATCAAACTCTAGACCAATGTCCTTTTGTCTCTTGTTATTTTATATATATATATATATATATATATATATATATATATATATATATAGACACACACACACATATGTATATATATATGTGTATATATATATATTTTAAATATTTCACAGGTTTCTAGGAATCTATCCTTCCTATAACATGGCATATAAAGTCAAAGTCCTCTTTGATCACCTTCTCAATCTTGAGCTTCTTCTCCATTCACAGAGGTGATGATGTGGTCAGTTTGGAGCACATCCTTTCACACCTTTTTCTATTATAACTGGATGGATGGAAAACATTCTGCATTTTTTTAAGTTGTATCATGCTGTATGTATTTTTCTACACATTGCTTTTGTTTTTCAACAGCGTGTCCTAGATCTTTCTGGGTCGGTTCATAGGCTTCTACCTTACTATTTTTTAAAGTGCTTCTTAGTGTATCACAGCCTAGGCATGTCCTGTTAGTAGTCAGGCTATTGATGTAACTCATTGTTCATTATTCTGTTTGTTTTTGTAAACATTTTTGTACGTGTCTCCTGCATATACAGTGTTTCTCCAGGCTGCGTATGGAGAGGTGGAATTACTGGGTCAAAGAGTGTTTATTTATGTAGTTTTACTAAAGCTGTTGCTCTGATACTCTTTAAAATAGTTATACCAGTCTATATTGCTCTTACCTGCATAAAAGTGCCTGTTCCCCCACAATCTCCAAAATACTTGATATTATCAAATATCTACATGTGTGCCAATCTAACAGGTGAAAAGTGGTATCTCATGGCTGTCTAATTTGCATGTTTGTTTAGAAGTCAAACTGGTCATTTGTTTTCTCTGAATTTCCTGTTCAAATATCTTACTCACTTTTTTTCTGTTGGATAGCCTTATTAATTCACTCATCAAATATGTACTAGAATGCCTACTATGTGCCAAGCGTTACTCTAGGTGCTAGAGATTTTGTGGCAAATTAACTAGACAAACATCTCTGCTCTCAGAGAGGTGACAGTTTAGTTCTGGGAGAAAGACTTAGGCAAAAGGAATCAAGAAAATGTATAGTGTGTTGGACTGGATAAAAAGTAGGAGAGAGAGATAGGGAAAGCCATTGGGATTAGGATTCAATTCTAAATAGATGGCCAGGGAATCTTTTACTTACTCACTATAGGCATTCTTCATATATTCTATGTGCTAATCTTTTATCTGTTATATGTTGCACATATTTTCTTTCAGTCTTTATCTTTTGACTTAGACTATGGCATTTTTGTCACACTCTTTTTTAAAGTTACACAATCAAACTTTGTTCATTGGAATATAGTCATATAAGAAGTGACAGTTCTACATGGACACAGGAAGGGGAACATCACACACTGGGGCCTGTTGTGGGGTGGGGGGAGGGGGGAGGGATAGCATTAGGAGATATACCTAATGTTAAATGATGAGTTAATGGGTGCAGCACACCAACATGGCACATGTATACATATATAACTAACCTGCACGTTGTGCACATGTACCCTAAAACTTAAAGTATAAAAAAAAAAAAAAAAAGAAGTGACAGTTCTTTCTTCTGATCTTCTCAGGCAATCACTATCAAGAGCTCTATGTTTGTCCTTTCAGTTTATTTGCAGTTAATTTCAGTTATCCTCACTACTATGCAACACTCCTTCCACCCTCAGTCATCAATTAAGCACAGTTTCTGGCTGTTTCTCCATAAATGCAGTTCTGACTTACTGTATTCTTTCTAGTGGCTGCTTAATATTCAGCATTAGAGGGGATCCCTGTAATTTATCCAAGCGTTACCCTCTGGCTGGACATCAAGGTTGTTTCCAGTTCTCCATTCTTCCAGATGCTGCAGAAATCCCATAGTCTCTCTACTGCCCATGAGCTCTCTGGTCTTTTTTTGTTTATTGGATTAGAGCCACCACACCCCGCACCTTAATGATTTTGTTTTCTCCCCCACCAGCTCCATGGCTACATGGAAAACAAGCCTCTGGGACTTCAGATCTTCATTGGGACAGCTGATGAGCGGATCCTTAAGCCGCACGCCTTCTACCAGGTGCACCGAATCACGGGGAAAACTGTCACCACCACCAGCTATGAGAAGATAGTGGGCAACACCAAAGTCCTGGAGATACCCTTGGAGCCCAAAAACAACATGAGGGCAACGTAAGGGCTGGGAGCTGAGGGCGGCGGGTCTTCATGGAGAAGCGAGCAGGGGGCAGGTGGCAGGGATTTGGGAGAGGGGACTCTACAGAACTGATGGAAGCAGCTGTTGATGGCAGTTCTCAGTCTGTGATCCATCGACCCGTTGTGATTTCTGTTTTAAATGTTTCCATTTTAAAAGCATAATATGTAGGCCGGGCGTGGTGGCTCGCGCCTGTAATCCTAGCGCTTTGGAAGGCTGAGGCGGGTGGATCACTTGAGATCAGGAATTCAAGACCAGCCTGGCCAGCATGGTGAAACCCCATCTCTATTAAACATACAAAAATTAGCTGGGTATGGTGGCGGGCGCCTGTAATCCCAGATACTCTGGAGGCTGAGGCAGGAGAATTGCTTGAACTTGATGCGGGCAGGTTGCTGTGAGCCGAGATCACACTACTGCACTCCAGCCTGGGTGACAGAGTGAGACTCTGTCTCAAAAAAAAAAAAAAATAAATAAAGTATAATATGTCAGTATTTTCATGTGCCTCGGGAGGAAGAACTCGTGAATATTTGTGTTATGTTGCATGGGATCAGGTTAAATTTACTTATATTTAAAAAATTAATTTGACCTAGAGAGATCATTAAGTGATGATGCAGAGAGGCCCAAATTCACAAAGCTAATATGGCTGTGGCTAAAATCTGGGAACCATTGCACACATTTTGGGGTTAAAAAAACCTTTGGATGGGAAAATAAATTCAAACTTACAGAAATACTGCAAGAAGTGTACAAAGAACTCCTGAATCCTGCCCCCTCGGCTTTCCCAGGCGTTAACATGCTTCACCTGTGCTCCAGCACTTTCTTTCCCACCTCTCCGTTTTTTCCTGAACTGTTTGAGAGGTATTTGCAGACTTTATGCCCTTTTACTTTTAAATACTTCAGGATGCATTTCCTAAGAGCAAGGATGCTCTCATACACAATCACAGTACATTTATTCAATTCAAGAGATTTCACGTTGATTCACTACTCTTATCTATTGAATAGTCCACAATCAATAGTCCCCAGTTACATAGAGTTTTTCAGATGTTTTTGAGAGTAGAAGAGTTGGCATGAAAAATCTCCCTAGACAAGTAATTTTCACTGGGGAATTTCTCTAATTGCTTTTGTTAAGTATTTTTTACCCCCATCTTGGTATACATTCCTGGCTGAAATGCTTATGTGAGTGTATTGCAGTTTCCCCCAGTGACTGGCTGTAGACTGGCAGCTTTGGGGGTGATCTTTCCTGCTCCTGAAGGTAGTTGGTGACAATGGGGTTCTTAACATCCTGGCAGCATCGACTGTGCGGGGATCTTGAAGCTTAGAAACGCCGACATTGAGCTGCGGAAAGGCGAGACGGACATTGGAAGAAAGAACACGCGGGTGAGACTGGTTTTCCGAGTTCACATCCCAGAGTCCAGTGGCAGAATCGTCTCTTTACAGACTGCATCTAACCCCATCGAGTGCTGTAAGTTGGGCCCTGGGGCCCGGTCTTTCTTCAGAAAGCGTAGGGCACGTGGGCTTCCCCCGGGAGCAGTGTATTCTGGGCGAGGTACCCGGGGTGGCCTGCGGGAATGTGTGGGACCCACAGGGTTACACTGGCCCAAGATGACCAGAGGGGACAGAGACAGAGCACATTGCAGTGTTCTCTTGCTGCTTCTATTGACTTCTGGAAGGTTTTGTGGCCTCACAGGAAATTTAAAAATAATAGGGCCAATAAGTAGCCTAAAGCTTCATTCAGAAGACTTGAAATGTGTAAATATCATTCTGGTCTTAAAGGATAGATGCATTTGGAGTGAGTTTGCTGTGCATGGTGCCCTTTTTTCTTTTCCTTCTTTATCCTTTCAATAACAATAACAAACCACAGCAGCTCTCACTCATTGAGCTTTGACTCTGCTGGTCACAGTGTGAAGTGCTCCGCATGAGTATTCACAGCAGTCCCGGGAGCTAGCTGGTGTCAGTGTGCCCATTTCACAGATGAGAAGGTGGAGTCACAAGGGGGTAAACTGTGCACACAACCAAAGAGTGGCAGGGTTGGGATTGGAACTGGGGCTTTTGCACGTGGGAGGCATGCCCTGTCCCCCACCCATGCCCTGTCCCCCACCCTGTCCCCGCACCCATCTCTGCATGTTGACTGAGGTCTGTTTTTTATCCTGCACTATGCCAGGGGTTGGGGATCCATAGATGAGCAGGACACTTTCTCTGGCCTTAATGAGCTTACGGTCTGGAGAGGATAAGGACACCCAGACAGATGGTTGTATCATTGCAGAAGATTTTCGGAGTCTGATACGAAGTGACCAGGATCTGCCATTTGGAAGGACACTGAGCAGAAACCTGGCACATTTCTACCAGGTTTCAAAACAAAAAGTAGCTTTGAGCTCATTCTTACGTACTTTATACCTAAGTTTAAAGTCTACTTATACATTAACACAGTTTTGTAGTTAATCTCTGCAATTAGATGTGACAACACTTATTATCTGCTCAGTGTTTGAAAGTTTAGAAGTTATTTTAGAAAGCATGAAGAAGAGGCAAGGCGCAGTGGCTCACACCTGTAATCCCAGCACTTTGGTGGATCTCTTGAGGTCAGGAGTTCAAGATCAGCCTGGCCAACATGGTGAAACCCCATCTCTACTAAAAATACAAAATTAGCCGGGTGTGGTGGTATGCGCCTGTAATTCCAACTACTTGGGAGGCTGAGGCAGGAGAATCACTTGAATCCGGGAGGTGGAGGTTGCGATGAGCTGAGATCGCACCACTGCCCTCCAGCCTGGGCAACAGAGTGAGACCCTGTCTCAAAAAAAAAAAAAAAAAAAAAAAAGAAGAAAGAAGAAAAAAATAAGCATTGTTCCAGAAACAAAAACTGTTTCTATTGTTTTAAAGTCTCTTTCTTCTAAGAACATTTGGTTTCATGCTGTTCTAATCATGTTCCATATTAAATTATGGTTCAGGATTTTTTTTCCTTTTTGCTGGACATTTTACCATAACTAGGTGTCACAATATCAACTTCCTACAGAGGCCAGGGAGGTTGTGAAAATGAATGGGGTAGGTTGGGTGGCAGACGTCAGGGAATAGTGGAGATTGGGGACATTCACTATCTAAATGCGCTGCTGCTACTCAACTGCAGCCAGTATTTCCACGTGGGAATATAGACTCAATGTGATCAAATATTTTGGTTATTTTATTTTATTTTATTAAGAAGGAATCTCACTCTCTGATCCAGGCTGGAGTGCCGTGGTGCGATCTTGGCTCACTGCAACTTCTACCTCCCGGGTTCAAGTGATTCTCCTGCCTCAGCCCTCCAAGTAACTGGGATTACAGGCACCCACTACCACGCCTGGCTAATTGTTTGTATTTTTTAGTAGAGACAGGGTTTCGCCATGTTGGCCAGGCTGGTCTCGAACTCCTGACCTCAGATGATCCACCCACCTCAGCCTCCCAAAGTGCTGGGATCGCAGGTGTGAGCCACCACACCTGGCCTATTTTAAGTTCCAGGGTACATGTGTAGGATGTACAGGTTTGTTACACAGGTAAACATGTGCCATGGTGCTTTGCTGCATCCATCAGCTGGCGCTGGAAATCTTCTGGTTTTTAAAAATAAACCAAAAAATATCCCGATTTAAAAAAATAGTAGAAAAATCAAAATGCTCTGCGGTCAGAAAATATCTGCAGATAGCTTCTGTTAATCAGAGATAGTCTGAAGACTAACATGCAAAGGGAAAGCGTATTTTCTGCAGAAGAGGTTGGGAAAGCCTAGCCTTCATGGTGAAAAGTCAGGAAGGAGAGAGGATGGTCCTTTCTTTGGGAGAGCAGCCAGAACTTGGTCTTGGTTGGTCTTTGGAAATGAATGAAGAGTCACTCTAATTTCTTTCAGCCTTTTGAGTCAAGACGTGGATCAGTCTGAATTGGTGGTGAGCTTGTATTCTGATCTTAGAAGAGAAAGACCCAATAGTAGATACCAAGGGAAAACATGTTGAAAACCCCATTACTAGAAATATTGGAATTCTCCTGCTCAGCTCAGTAGACCCCACTCCTGTCCATCAAATGCTGGTCATGGTGGCTGCCCCACCAAGGTCTTGGTTTTGAACCTCTCAAGATGTTTTTGGAAGGAAACTTGCAGCGATTTGGGGGATTGTGAGCAGATAAGGTCTCCCCTTTCTGGCAAATGACTCATGTTCCAGGATGGGACTGGGGTTTGTAGCAAGGTGGGGACAGGAGCCCCTGATCCTCCCTCTCTTTGGGTTTCTCAAGGCAACTTATCTTATGTCGATCTAAGACTTTGAGGATCATCGCTTAACCACATGTACCTCCAGCAAGATCTTCAGGGTGTTAGAAAGCTGTTTGAACATTGAAAATTGTTTTCTTTTCTTTTTAAAAAGGCATTTGCCTGATTCACCTGCCTTCTTTTGACAGAGAAGGAAACTGAGACTTCTTGGTAAGGTGATTCACCTGTTTTTACTTGGTAGGTAGGAAAGCCAGTCTTCAACTTTCTGGTTCTATGAAATCCTTTCTTCTTTTGGTTCCCATAACCCACCCTCTCTTGCAATACCAAGCTGAGCTACCAGTTGGCCACTCTAGTTCTCACTAATAATTTTCTGTCATTTTTATTTACTTCTTTGTTCTGTTTCCCTAGACCAGTGCCTAGTAGGTCCATAAATATGTATTGACTACTTACTGTATAATCCACAGGGAGGTAGTCAGTAAATACATGTTAGCAATTAGTCCGTAACACGCGCTGGCAGAGTATTGTAAAATACATTGTTACTAATGACAGTATACCCTTAGACAGTGTATACTGACTAAGCCAGAGTCTCCAATGACAGGGAGAGTGAGTTGGTGAGAAAAACACTTCGTGGGCTAGTACTTATTTGCAAGGCTAATTTATTTACTTTGGAGATGCCTTTTATGTACTGTCTTAGGGATCAAGGGTAAGTTCTTCGATGCTAGCAGAAACAACATGAACAAACTACCAGAGGCAGCTCTTTGGAAGGTGGAGTGATTTCCTAGGAGTGCAGGTGCCTTATGTTTATTTGCATGCCAGCTGGTCAGAGCTGCAATCTCACTTTTGCACAGACTGGCACTCTTGTGTTTCCAGTCTTCTGTTTCCACTAGGGCTTCAGCATTGCCGAGGAGATCCTTCCAGCTTCCCCGACTGCTCCTTTCCTTATTCTCAGGAAGACTGACCTGACCCTTCTCCAGTCTCCCAGCCTCTGAATGCTGCCCCCACCCCTTCCCACTCCATGTAGATAACCCCACCTCCCACTTCTCTGGAGTATGGAAGAGGTCAGAGGGATCACCCCCGTCTTCCCCAACAACAAGCCTACCCATGATAGACAGCAGCTGCAAGGGCCTGCCCTCCCTTCTCCACTTGGCACGGAGCAGTTCCCCTCTCCTCCTGCTCAGCCTCATTCCCGCCTGAGCCCAGCCTCCTCGGTGTTGTCAGCTTCAACTCCACTTTCCCTGCAGGGGTAGAGCTGGCGCCTGCTTCCCTCTTATGTTAGTTTCCTAGGCTGTCATAATCAATTACTGCAAACCAGGTGGCTTGAAACAACAGAAATGTGTTCTCTCACTGTTCTGGAGGCCAGAAGTCTGAAATCAAGGTGTCAGCAGGGTTGGTTCCTGCTGGAGACTCAGGGGAGAAACCGCCGGTGCCATCCCCGCCAGCTTTTGGTGCCTGCTGGTCTCCCTGGCCTTCCTTGGCTTGTGGCTGCATTGCTCCAGTCTCTGCCTCTGTCTGCACATGGCCTTCTCTGGGTCTCTGTGTGTATCTTTTTCTGTTGCTTACGAGGATGCACTTATTGGGTTTAGACCTAATCCAGGGTGATCTCATCTCCATTCTTACCTTAATTATATATGTGAAGACCCTGGTTCCAAATAAGGTACGTTCTGAGGTTGTGGGTGGATGTGAAGTTTGCAGGGAGGAGGAGTCGGGTAGGGGGTACTATGTGTAACCCACTACACTTCCTCAACTGCATTTGTTGGCTTCCCTTCCTGTCTGCTCCTCAGTTCCCAAATGCATTGGGATCTTTCTCTGACATTTTGGCTTTTGCACACTGTCACCTCTGCCCAGAGCATCTCAAACTTGACTGTATGTTAGAATTACCCGGGAGTTGTATTAAAAAATACTGATGCCCAGCCAAGCTCGGTGGCTCACGTCTATAATCTCAGTGCTTTGAGAGGCTAAGGCCGGACGATCGCTTGAGCTCAGGAGTTGGAGACCAGCCTGACTAACATGGTGAAAACCCATCTCTACAAAAACAATTAGCCAGGCATGCTGGTGCATGCCTGTAGTCTCAGCTACTTGGGGGCCTGAGGTGGGCAGATTGCTTGGACCCAGGAGGTTGAGGCTGCAGTGAGCCAAGATTGCACCACTGCACTCCAGCTTGGGTGACAAAGTTAGATGCCATTTCAGGAAAAAAAAAAAATACTGATGTCCTGGTCCCATCCTGGAGACTCTGATTTGGTTGTCAGGATGTGGCCTGGGCATGGAGGCTTTCCGAGGTCTCCCAGTGATTCTGATGTGGGGCGGACTTTGAGAGGTGCATATCTGGAGCCCACCCCTCCCCATCCTTCAGTGGCTTGGCTAACCCCTCCTCATCCAAGGCCCCTGTTTAGATGGCTCCTCAAGGAGGAAGCATTCCCTGACCCCACACGGTACGGGGTGCCCCCCTTTGTGCTCTGACAGCCCAATTTACTTGTCAGTCTCTGTCCTATAAAGACGGAACCAGGCAATGTTTGCCGGGGCTCAGCACATGGTGACGGTCTCCAGGCTGTATTTCCACACTGCCCAGTGGGGAGAAAAAGGCTGCAATGAGACAGGAGATGTCCACAGGCACACACCTGGTCCTGTGAGAACTTAACAGAACCTCTCCAGCCATGTCTCCAGGTAGCTCTGCCCAAGCCACTATGGCTTTCTCCCTGCCCAGCAGATGGGCCTCTCTGCTCCGTGTATTTCAGAAAACACGTAAAGCAATTTCACACAAAGCCCTGCCAGCTCAGGGCACAGAATGTAAATTCGCTTTGCTCATTTTGCAGGGCTTGGGAGTGGGTATGGGGTGTGGGTTAGAAAGTGGATTTTTTCACATGCTCTTTTCCCTCTCTGCCTCTCTTTGTGACATATATATATATTTTTATGGAGGTATAATTAAGATAAAGTAGATTGCATAGATTGTAGGTGTTCAGTGATTTTTGACAATCGCATATACCCACGTAACCACCACTCAAGACAGAGCACTTTCTTCACTCTTGAACGTTCCCCATGTCCCTTCAGCCAAGGCCGCCTCCTCAAGCCCACACACGGAGGCAGCGCTGTTCTGATTTCTATCACGGTTGATTAATCTTCCCTGTTCTAGAACTTTATAGAATGGAATTAATACAGTGTGTACCCTTCTGGGTCTGGCTGTTTTTGCTCAGCATGTTATTTTTGAGATCTGTCACTGCTATGGTGTTATTCAGTAATGCATTCCTAATTATTGCTGAGCACTACTATTCAATTGCATGAATATAACAATTGTTTATTTACCATTGATAGAAATTTGGTCTGTTCCCGGGGCTTAGGTTTATGGATAAGGCTACTATGCACATTCCTACTCAAGTCCTTCTGTGAGCAAATGCTTTCATTTCTCTTGGGTAAATGACCTAGGAAGGGACTTGGTTGTGTATGTTTTTATTTATGTATTTTCAACATCATAGTCCACTCTGAACAAGGATGTATGAGAGTTCCAGTTACTCTACATCCTCACCAATATTTGGTATTGTCAGTCTTTTAAATTTTAACCCTTCTAATGAGAGTAAAATGGGATCTCATTGTGGTTTTAATGTGCATTTCCCTAATGACTAATGATTCAGGTGCTTGTTGGCTATCTATGTGTCTTCTATTTTTTTATTTTTTTTGAGATGGAGTCTCACTCTTTTCCCCTAGGCTGGAGTGCAATGGCATGATCTCGGCTCACTGCAACCTCTGCCTCCCAGCTTCAAGTGATTCTCCTGCCTCAGCCTCTGGAGTAGCTGGGATTACAGGCGCCCACCACCATGCCCGGCTAATTTTTGTATTTTTAGTAGAGACGGGGTTTCACCATGTTGGCCAGGCTGGTCTCGAACTCCTGACCTCAGGTGATCCACCTGCCTCCACCTCCCAAACTGTTGGGATTACGGGCGTGAGCCACCATGTCTGGCCTATGTATCTTCTTTGGTAAATTGTCTGTTCAAATATTTGCCCATTTTTAACTGGGTTATTCATATTTTTATTGTTAATATGCATCAGTTCTTTATATATTCTGGACATAAGTCCTTTGTCAGATTTGTGTATATTTTTCCCTGTCTGTGGCTTACCTGTTTATTTTCAGGTAATGTCTTGTGTCTTTTTTTTTTTTTTTTTTGAGACTAAGTCTCGCTCTTGTTGCTCAGGCTGGAGTGCAATGGCGCAGTCTTGGCTCACTGTGACCTCTACCTCCCAGGTTGAAGCGATTCTCCTGCCTCAGCCTCCCGAGTAGCTGGGATTACAGGCGACTGCCACCATGCCCAGCTAATTCTTGTATTTTTAGTAGAGATGGGGTTTCACCATGTTGACCAGGCTGGTCTTGAACTCCTGACCTCAGGCGATCTGCCCGCCTCGGCCTCCCAAACTACTGGGATTACAGACGTGAGCCACTGCGCCCAGCCCAGGGAGTGTCTTTTTATGAACATTCATATTTTATTTTGATGAAGCCAAATTTGTCATTTTCTTTTCTTCTGGGATTAGTGCTTTTTGCATTCCTCCAGGAAATCTCTGCCTATCTGAAGGTAGCAAAGACATTCTGTCACATTTTCTTCTGGAAGCTTTTCGGTTCTGGTTTCATGTTTGGGGCTCTGATCCGTGCAGGTTGGTTTTTGTGTATCGTGTGGGGTAGGGTCCAGCTCCATTGTTTTCCCTGTGGAAATTCAGCTATTTCTGATGCCTTTTTTTTTCCTGAAAGCAAAAGATTAGACAACCTACGACCCCGATGCTTCTTGCACACCTTCCGTTTTATCCCTCACTTTACTCTCCTGGGTCTAGCTGGCGGTTGGGTGCTAATGCAGCATTGCTTCAGGAAACCCTTAGAATTAGGGAGGGAGGCCCGGGCCAGGTGTGGTGGCTCATGCCTGGAATCTCAGCACCTTGGGAGGCTGAAGTGGGCAGATCACTTGAGGTCAGGAGTTCGAGACCAGCCTGGCCAACATGGCGAAACCCCGTCTCTACTAAAAATACAAAAGTTAGCCAGGTGTGGTGGTGCACACCTGTAACCCCAGCTACTCTGGAGGCTGAGGCAGGAGAATCACTTGAACCCGGGAGGCGGAGGTTGCAGTGAGCCGAGATCCCACCACTGCACTCCAGCCTGGGCGACAGAGTGAGACTCCATCTCAAAACAAACAAAAGAATTAGGGAGGCCTGAATGGCATGTTGACTGTGCTTCGCTTTGTGAATCAGAAATGCTCATCTTGTTCAGCTGCTCCTGCCGGAAGCTGAAATGACTCACATCATTATCGTGGGCTTCCCAATATTTATTCTTTCAACTTAAAATACATTTGGCATGTGATATATACTGTTCTGGGCACTAGGGATGCAACACTGAACAAAACAAAGTCCCTGCCCTCACAAAGGTTACATTCTAGTGGGGAAGACAGACAGTAAACAAGCAAAGACAGCATTTGAGAGCCAAGTGTCATGATGAAAATAACAAGGACCACGGGTTGGTGGCTTGGGAGTGCGGGAACAGCAACATCACCATGTTGGTAGGCTGGTTAAATATGTGTCTGTCATGCCGATCAGGGAAGGCCCCTGTGAGGATGGAGCTTGTTCACCAGGACCTGAGTGATTGGTCCACGGGGAAGTATAGCCAGTACAAAGGCCCTGAGGCAGGGATAAGCTCAGGGTCTCCAGGGAGGAGAAAGGTACCCAGGGAGACTGTGTGGAGTGTTATAGGTGGGGTGAGGGGTCGGAGGTGAGGTCTGAGCCCAAGCTGGGGGATTCGGATTTTATTCTAATTAGGATGGGAAGCCATGGGTTCCAAGTAGGAGGTTGACATGATGTGATTTCTATATATATAGTTTTTTGAGACGGATTCTCACTCTGTCACCCAGGCTGGAGTGCAGTGGTGCAATCTTGGCTCACTGCAGCCTCTGTCTCCCAGGTTCAAGTGATTCTCGTTCCTCAACCTCCTGAGTAGCTGGGACTACAGGAGGCCACCTGGCTAATTTTTTTATTTTTAGTAGAGACGGGGTTTCACCATGTTGGCCAGGCTGGTCTCAAACTCCTGACCTCAGATGATCCACCTGCCTTGGCCTCCCAAAGTGCTGGGATTACAGGCCTGAGCCACCACGCCCAGCTGTGATTTCTATTTTAATATTCATTTAGCACACAGCCTAGCACATAGTAGGTGCTAATCAATACTTGAAGGCAGAATGAAGGAAGAAAGAAGATGAGAGGGACAGGACAGGGAAGAGGTGTAGAGAAATGAAGTTATTAATCATCTGCTGTGTGTCAAGTACGTTCTGTATTGTGGCTGAATCAGTATGAGAAGAGGCTGGAAAAACTGTAGCATGGAGAAGTGAGCTTGCCTGTGGCCATCCAGCTAGTGAGGGGCAAGCCAGTGGTAACATTGCATCCCACTGAGCCTCGGGGCATCAAGCCTTAACTACATATTGAGTGATAGATTAATTTGGGCCAGAAACCCAAAGGGTGGCATCATCTCATTATAAATCAGAGACCAACTCAAGGGCCTCCAGGGGGCTGTGGGCACCTGCCCACCCCACTCCTCATCCCCCCACCCCCCGGCACTAGATTGTCTCCTTCAAGATCCTGTAGTGGTAAATCTTGGATGAAACTGGAGCATTGGGCAGAGAGCAGGTTGGCCAGGCCTTTGTCAGCCTCTGCTCTCGAAGGCAAGTGACCAAGAAGCCCTATTTCAGAAGTGCCAGAAAGCTGCATGATGGGGAGAAGCAGTTTAGAGTGGCGGTTAGGAATGTGGGCTTTGGAGCAGGTAGCTTGGGTTCAAATCCTGCCTCTGCCACTTACTGGCTGCTTAGTCCTGGGGAGATTACTTAAACACTCTGTGCCTCGCTTTCCCTATCTGTAAAATGGGGAGAATAATAGTACCTCCCTCAGGGTGGCGGTTAAATGCGTGTGTGTCTCACACAGTAAGTGCCAGACGTGATCCCACAGGGTAACTCAAGTGCCTCCTTTGTGGTGGCCTTTGTGGTGGCCCAGTGTGGACGGATCTCATTGTCTTGCCTGCAGCCCTCCCGTAGTTCTGTAAAGCAGGCTTTACGTACCTCTGGCTGCCACCCTGTCACTGCAGGAGTCTGAAACCCAGGCAGCAGTAGGCCGGTGTGAGAGGAGAGTCGAGCAGACAGCCTGCAACATACCCTGCTGCTGGGAAGGAACCCCAATAGTTATCTGGCCCAGTGGGGTGGGCCACCTGATGAGTGAGTGGAGGAAAGTTGTTTTTTTTTGGAGAGCCCAGGATTGGGGTGGCTTCTTTGCTGATTGAAATAGTTACCTACCCGGCCCTTTACTGGGCTACTTATGAGGGAGCTGGGAAGGCAGAGTGCCCTTCTGAACACCTACGATGTACCCACAGATGCACTGAGGTTAACTCATTTCCATCCTCATCATAACCTCAGAAGGCCCATCTTAAACGTTTGCTCAGTTCATTTGTTCGAAGCATTTGATAATATGCCAGTGATGGAGGCACAGAAAAGCACCCTTGCAGGGTGTGGGCGCCTGCAGGCTGAGGCTCCGAAGGATGAGTGACTTGCTGCAGTCCCACGGCTGGCAAGGCAGGGGCAGAGCTGGGGTTAAAGCCATCTTCTTTTCTCTGTCCCGGCTGCCTGGGTTCCTCAGTGATCCAGAGCTCATCAGGTTTTGGACTGAGAATATTCTGAAGAGGGTGCCTGTTAGTACATTGGAATGGTAGAGTAATGATCTGATGGGAGGAGAGACAGCAGCTCCTACTCTCCCTGATGTCCTGTGGAGTGGATGAGATAGGAAAGTCTCACAGGAGGGGCCGTGCTGCTGCATTTCTCCATATGAGAAAGCTGAAGCTGAGGCCCCCCGCCACCGAGGCCCACAGCTACAACTTTGTCACTCACTGTGTGTCTCATGCATTTGCACACATCATACCCCACTCCCTTGCTGTGGACCTCAGTGGTTCCCTCAAAGAGGTGAGCCCCACACTAGGGGAGATTTTGGTTCCCCTCCACTCTCCCACTTCCCAGGGAAGACCCAGGGAACAGCCAGAGTGGAGGCTGAGGGGCCTGTCTGCTGGCCCTGCTCACAGCCTCTCCCGGGAGATGCCTGAGTCGGCAGCACATTCTGGGCCAAGCCAGGCCCAGCCAGACCAGGCTCACAGCCAAGGATGGGGCCTGATACAGAGACAAGAAGGGCTGACAGCAGCTGGAGCGCCAAGGCCAGGGTTGCTCAGTGCTCGGGCCAGAACGATGACCAATGGGAGGAACCTTCTTGCCTGGGCTGGCCGGTGTCTTTCCCACGAAGTCCTCCGTTTCACTGCAGAGGGTCCCATGGGGTAGCGGAATCCCCCAGTGTAGGTCCAAATTCTGCTTGTCCATTTGCTGTGAGCTCCCAAGCTTATTCCTTCTCCTCTGGGAGGATCAATGTCTTCTACTCTAAAACGGGAGTGATTCCTGCTTTGTGGTCTCATGAAGTTTAGCAATAAAAATAAACACAACTAACATTCACTGAGTCCTGATGAGATGCCACGCAGGCCCATGGATTAGCTCATTTAATCTGCAGGCAGCCCAGTGAGGTTAGTGCTGTGATATTCCCATTTTATAGATGAAAAACAGAGGCAAAGAAATTAAGTGTCTTGCTCAAAGTCCCAAAATTAGAATGTTACTTTTACGTGTGAACCCTAAATTGCTTCTTGGTGTGGGCGTTTTATAATATTTTTAAAAATGTGTATATGTTGTGCCTGCAATCTGTAGTCTTTATAGCATTTGTAATTGTCTGCTATTTATTTTTAGTTTTTTGAGACAGAGTCTCGCTCTGTCATCCAGGCTGGAGTGCAGTGGCGCGATCTCGACTCACTGCAACTTCTGCCTACCGGGTTCAAGCAGTTCTCCTGCCTCAGCCTCCCAAGTAGCTGGGATTACAGGTGCGTGCCATCATGCCCAGCTATTTTTTTTTTTTTTTTTGTATTATTAGCAGAGATGGGGTTTCATCATGTTGGCCAGGCTGGTCTCAAACTCCTGACCTCAGGTGATCTGCCAGCCTCAGCCTCCCAAAGTGCTGGGATTACAGGCATAAGTCACCCTGCCCGGCCTGTTATTTCTTAAATTTAAATTTATTTTTATTGTTGAAACAGAGTCTTGCTGTGTCACCCAGGCTTGAGGGCAGTGGTGCAATCTCAACTCACTGCAACCGCCACCTCCCAGGTCAAGCAATTCTCTTGCCTCAGCCTCCCAAGTAGCTGGGATTCCAGGCACGTACCACCACGCCCAGCTAACTTTTTTTGTAGTTTTAGTGGAGATGGGGTTTCACCACCTTGGCCAGGCTGGTCTCGAAGTTCTGACCTCAAGTGATCTGCCCACCTTGGCCTCCCAAAGTGCTGGGATTACAGGGGTGAGCCACCACACCCAGCCTGTCCGCTGTTATTAACAGAAACTGCCCTCTCTGTA
This sequence comes from Homo sapiens, assembly GCF_000001405.40. Classification (NCBI taxonomy): domain Eukaryota; kingdom Metazoa; phylum Chordata; class Mammalia; order Primates; family Hominidae; genus Homo; species Homo sapiens. The sequence goes on along the minus strand of NC_000020.11, from coordinate 51,461,797 downwards.
GGAGCGAATTTCTCTAACCAGTCTCTCCTGAGGTTCTTGGATAGATCGTAATTCTTGGCCACCCGGCTTGACGGCGAATTTCAGATAGTCAGGCAATAACTTCCCATTTCCAGGCCTACTTGGGCGATGTGGGGGAACCCTGTGCCGGTGTCAGTTTTCTTCGCTGAACCTTTGCGGTGGCTGCTGCTGTGCTGCAGGTGGGCACAGTTGCAAGACAAAGTCAACACCCAAACTGGTTAAACCAACAGCGTCCTGTTGATTCAGAGCTCATAAAATACAAGAGCCCCCCCAAGCCACTTTATGACGTGCCAGAATCCAGGGGCAGGAGGGAAGCCTGGGGAAGTCACTTTGCAGGGGCCACCTTGAAGCTTAAGCTGGAGCAGAGGTCAAGACTTCACCCGCAGGCCTGAGCCAGGCCCTCAAAGATGACTTTAAAAGCAAGGTGCCTGGTTTGGTTGGAAAACTGCAGGCTGTGCGGTTTGGATTGTCTGCAGTCTCAGAAATGAATGGGAGAAAGGGGGGCTGATGAGGAGGGTGGGTGCAAGCCTGGGAGGCCCACTGGGCTTCCTTAGAGCCTCCCACCCACCCTGGACCTGTCACCCCAATTAGCAGCCATAGGTGATGGAGGTTGCATCAGAGAGCAATAGAGAAGTAGAGCTCAGGAGGGTAATTTGGGCTGCTGTGCGCTGGCTTCAGTTCCTCTTTCAAAAGCTAATTGCTTTGCCTCTGGGTTCTCTGAGGACTGGGGCCTGCCCTGGAGGAGTTCCCCGTCCTCAGGTGGCCTCTTAAGTGTGGAACTTGGCTCTTAAGCAAACGTGCGTGACAAGTCACCCGGAAAGATTGTTAAAATGCAAATGTCTGGCCTCTGCCCGAGAGATTGGGGCACAGAGGGTGAGGGATGTGGCCTGGGTATCTGCATTTTTATCTAGCACCTTCTGACCCTGCGTTGCTGGGGGAAGATTCTGCTACAGGTGACCTGAGAGCCACACTTTGAGAAACACTGGCAACTGGGGTCAAGAAACCTGGGCCAGGCGTAGTGGCTCATGCCTATGATCCCAGCACTTTGGGAGGGCGAGGCGTGCGGATCGCCTGAGCTCAGGTGTTTGAGATCAGCCTAGGCAACATGGCAACATCCAGTCTCTATTAAAAAAAAAAAAAGAAGAAGAAACCTGGGTTATGGCTCAGGATTCACCGAGAACAGCAGTGACCACAGAGGTGACCTGTGTACACACATGCATATGTTTGGTACATATATGCTAAAATATATAAGACAACAATGTCTATGGCTGGCACATACAGCCTCTCAGAAGCTACAGCTTTTAGTGTTGCTAACCTTGCTGACCCATGTTTATTAAGCCAGACACGCTTTTGATGAACTTGTTTAATCCTCGTAATGACCTGTGAAGTGGGACTGTTAACAGCCCCATTTTACAGATGGGGAGACTGAGGCTCAGAGCTGTGAAAACCCCTACAAGGATCAACCAGGGGGGTGTCCAACACTATAGCCTTAACCAAGAGCACGTGCTGCCCTTCACTGAAGCTGAGCTCTGAGCATCTGTCCTCTCCTCTCTAGATGGGAGTGATAGTGTCTTCCTTGCTGTAGGGCTATGATTTAAGGGTTTAAACAAATAAAGTGTTGTGAAAATAACTTAGCAAGAAAAAGAGGGGCATTTTTGAAAGTCAACGATAGCAAAGACCATCATGTCTTGAGTTGTTACTGTGTGCTAAGCATGGGCTGTTTTGTCTTATATAGGATATTTTCTCCTATTGTGGTAAAATACACATAAAATTTACCATTTTAGCTATTTTCAAGTATGCAATTCAGTACATGAAGTACATTCACAATATTGTGCAACTACCACTACTCTGTAGTTGCAGAACTTTTTTTTGTTTTGTTTTGTTTCTTTGTTTGTTTTTTTGAGATGAAGTCTTGCTTTATTGCCCAGCCTGGAGTGTAGTAGCGTGATCTCGGCTCACTGCAACATCCGCCTCCTGGGTTCAAGCGATTCTCCCACCTCAGCCACCCAAGTAGCCGGGATTACAGGTACATGCTACCAGGCCCGGCCAATTTTTGTAGTTTTTAGTAGAGATGGGGTTTCACCATATTGGTCAGGCTGGTCTCGAACTTCTGACCTCAGGTGATCCACCTGCCTCGGCCTCCCAAAGTGCTGGGATTACAGGCCTGAGCCACTGCGCCCAGCCAAACTTTATCATTTTTGCTGAGGAAACTGAGGCACAGAGAGCTGCCACTCGAAGGCCACACAGCTAGTAAACTATGAAGACAGAACTTGGACCCGGACAGAGTGACATCAGGCTGAGAAAACCCCATCTGGCCTGCAGAACTTTTTTTTATCACCAGAAAAAGAAACGCCTCACGTATTAGCAGGCACTGCCCAATTTCCACCCCCCAGTGAGCCCCGATCTGCTCTCCGTCTCTCTGCGTTTGCCTGTTCTGGCCGATTGATATAAATGGGATCCTATGCCATTTGTCCTTTTGTGTCTGGCTCCTTTCACTTCACTTAATGGTTTCAAGGTCCACCCATGTCATGGCATGGAACCAGCACTTCATTCCTTTTCATGACTGAGTAATATTCTGCATGGATAGACCACGCTTTGTTTATCTGTGTATCCATGCATGACCATTTGGGTTGATATTTGATATTTTACCATCTATGTACTGACTGCGTCCATATAGTCATATGCAGGGTCTTGTACTGCTTGAAGCAGACCCGTGAGGGCAGGTACTGTTGTGACCTTACAGAGGAGGCATCTGTGACTTAGGTGAAGTGACTTGCCCAGGGTCACAGAGCAGGGATGGCAGATGCAGGACTCAAAACCATGGCTTTCTGACCCCGGAGCCCAAGCAGCAGTTAATGATGTATTCTCTTGCAGCTCCCAGGGCCCTGTATTACCCTGCAGTGATGGTACCACAGATAAAACCTGGCTGTGGCCTCTTGTAATCATTTGAAGATTTTTTTTTGTTTTTGAGAGGAGTCTCGCTCTGTCGCCAGGCTGGAGTGCAGGGGCGTGATCTCTGCTCACTGTAACCTCCGCCTCCCCGGTTCAAGCAATTCTCCTGCCTCAGCCTCCCGAGTAGCTGGGACTACAGACACATGCCACCACCACGCCCAGATAATTTCTTTTTTTTTTTTTTTGGAGTTTTAGTAGAGACGGGGTTTCACCATGTTGGCCAGGATGATCTTGATTTCCTGACCTTGTGATCCGCCTGCCTCAGCCTCCCAAAGTGCTAGGATTACAGGCGTGAGCCACCGCACCTGGCTTGAAGATTTTTTTTTTTTTAAGATAAAAACAATGCTGGGGTCCTGACCCTCAGACCATTTAAGTCAGAATCTCTAGAACAGCTGTTCTCAACCAGGGATGATTTTGCACCCCTCTTCCCCAGGGGATATCCAGCCTTGTCTGGAGACAATCTTGGTTGTCACAGCTGGGGGGTAGGGTGCTCCTGGCATCTGATAGGTAGAACCCAAGGATGCTGCTAAACATTGTACAATGCCCAGGACACCCCCAGGACACCCCCTGCCTGCTGACAACAAAGAATTACCCAGCTCCAAATGGCAATAGTGTCAAGGTTGAGAAACCTTGCTTTAGAATTGGGCCCTGGGCTAGACACAGTGGCTCGTGCCTATAATCCCAACACTTCGGGAGGCCGAGGCAGGCAGATCGCTTGAGCCCAGGAGTTCAAGACAAGCCTGAGTAACATGGCAAAACCCTGCCTCTACAAAAATAAGCAGGATGTGGTGGCACACACCTGTAATGCCAGCTACTCGGGAGGCTGAGGTGGGAGGATCACTTGAGCCCAGGAGGCAGAGGCTGCAGTGAGCCGTGATGCCACCACTGTACTCCTGCCTGGGTGACAGAGCAAGACCATGTCTCAAAAAAAAAAAAAAAAAGGACGAGGAGGGCCTGGGTGTCAGTATTTTTAACTTCCCATTCCCATTCTAATTGGCCAGGGCTGAACAGAGCTTCTCAAACTTGATAGTGCGCAAGAATCACATGGGCTCCTTGTAAAACTGCAGACCTGGGCTGGGCAGGTCTGGGGTGGGGCCTGAGGTGTACTGCATGTCTGACAAGCTCTCCAGTGATGCCAAGGCCCCTGGCCTGCACTTGGAGTTGTAGTAGTACTAGAATATAGCTAAAGGCGTGTTTTCTCTTTTTTCTGTCTCTTTAAATTTTCATTAAAAAAAAAAAAGTTTTCCTTCAGGTAGGGAGGTAGGAAATGCAGACTTGGCAAAGGTTGAATCTGTTGGTTGCTGAGACTATGAGGCTTTGAAGGGGGAAGCAACGAGGCTGCCGCAGGAAAGAGAGGAGCTGTGTTCACAGCAGCGTGCAGTGATTCACAGCCCAACTGTCCGCGCCAGCCTCCCGCCCAGCACTGAGAGCTTGCAGCCCCTTCCAGTCCCCAGGCCTCCTGGCTGCAAGCCTTGGGCTGGCTTGCCCAGTAGCGATGACTCAGGCTTTCCACCTGTAAAATGGGTGGGATGCTCTCGCCACTGCACCACCCATCCCCGGGGCCAAAAGCCCCCAGCTGCTCCCCAGTTTCATCAAAGGCAGATCTTCAAAGCCTGAACCTGCAGCTGCTGCTCTTGCTGCTAATAAATCTCATTTGTGGCAGCTCAATTAGGAAGTCATCACAAAACTTTGATATTGAAAGAAAGGATTAATAACCCAGCCCATGTGGGAGAGATTAGCAGCTTCTGCGGAGAGGTCTTTGTAATCTATCCTTGTAGCCGGCAGCCCCTGGGGCAGCGCTGGCAGGCGGGTCTCTGGGAACAGAGGGTGCCTGGGCTGAGCTGGGGTTGGGAAAAGCCATCAGGGGATTGGTTTGAGTCACTGCTGGGTGGCACTCTCAAGGTGGAGTGTCTGGAAGCCTCTGGCTGGTGCACGGCGACTCCTGAAATGTTGCCAAGTGCATCGTTGCTCCATTGAGTGGCCCCAGCAGATGCAGGGGGATGCCAGTGGCCTGGAGGCCCAGGCAAGGCAGGAGGGAAGGGTTAGAATTGGGCCGTGGGCCTCACGCGGTTGCTGCCCAGGCTCGCGGATGGGGAGGTCCGTAGGCTCCTGCCATGGAAGGGGCTGGCCCTCTGCCCAGTTCTCTGGGCTTGGGGAGGAATGCCAAGAGCTCAGACTGACTCACCCCAGGGGGCGGGCCTGGCCTCTTGGCCCACGCTGGAAGGAGAGAGGCCTGAGGAGGTGGGGCCCTGGCTGTGGCTGGGATCTGTTTCTTGCCTGCCCTGGGAAGGTGGCTGGAGCAGGTTTTCATTCTTTTCTGCAGCCTGGCTTCTGGAATAGGTGGCTGGCTAGTTAACCTAAGAGATTGGGCGCTGGAGCTGGAGAAACCTGCTTTTGAGGGTTCAAATGTAAGCTTCACCATGGATCCTTGGCCAAGCGGTGACTTTACTCCTCTTAGCTTTGGTTTTCTCCCCAGTCAAATGCGAATCATTTTAATACTTCCTTCCTCAGAGGGTTGCTATGAGCATTCAACTATAGCATTCTGGTTTAGTGCTCAGCACAGGCCTGTCCTGTTCCTCCATTTTTCATTTATTAAAGTATAGATGAGGACATAGATGTAAATAGATGTATTGAGAATACATACTGGGAGATACAGACATATTCATATCCATTCATCCACCCACCCATCCATCCACTCACCCACCCATCTGTCCACCCACCCACCCATCCACACACCCACCCTTCCACCCATCCATCCACCCACCCACCCATCCATCCACCCATCCACCCATCCATTCATCCATCTACCCACCCACCCATCCACTCATCCATCCATCTACCCACCCACACATCCACCCACCCACCCACCCATCCACTCATCCATCCATCTACCCACCCACCCATCCACCCACCCACCCACCCACCCACCCACCCATCCACTCATCCATCCATCCACCCATCTATCTACCCACCCACCCATCCACCCACCCACCCATCAATTCATCCATCCACCCACCCACCCACCCACCCATCCACTCATCCATCCATCCATCCATCCACCCATCTATCCATCCATCCACCCACCCACCCACCCACCCATCCACCCACCCACCCACCAACTAGTACGTTCTCCTCCTAGGTTCTTGGCACTATTCCTGGTCTAGGCTTACAGCAGTACACAAAGCGAAGCCCCTCCTTCCTGGGCTTATATGCTAGTAGGTTAAAGATGAAAGAAGATAAACCAATACAAGCTACATATAATGTATCTGAAAGTGAAAAGCTCTATGGAGAAAAGCAAAGTAGGACAGAGAAAGCAAAGGTGACAGAGAATGAGAGAGAGGGACCGGGCTGGGTACTGCTGTTTTAACTCTTGGGAGGGGATGGGGTGGGTTAAAGAAGCCTCCCAGAGGAGGTGACAGCTGAGTAGAGACCTGCAAGAAGTGGAGAAGGGAGACATGCAGGTAACTGGGGAGGACAGACACTAGGAAGTGCAGATGCTCAAAGGTAGGAGTATGCTGAGTATATCTGAGAGACAGAATGTTCTAGAAGTGTGGCTGGAACAGAGTGAATGAGGGAGAGTTCTAGAAAAGGACCCCATGGGTAGATCATGGATGTCTTAACGACTATGTTAAAGATCATAAATGAATTCCAAAGTCAATATGTCTAAACCCTTCAGGTACTATATCCTAAGCTTAGCATACATGATGCCTTCATGTTTTGGCTGACATCAAATGTACAAAGAAAGGATATGCTTTAACAAAGGAAACCTCTTATAAAGAAGTTTATTTGCCCATCCCTTTATAAAAGGATAAAGAAAACCAATTCTCATGTACCTGTTCTCCTTATAAGGACAACAGGCAGCCTCTGGCTTCCTGTAAGGAGAACAGGCCTCTGTCCCTTGATTCATGAAAACGAAATGTGTTGTTAGAGGGAAATTAGCTCAAATGACTTAGAGCACTTTCACAAGGCATAACATTTGTACGTCATTGATTGTCAGGGGTGATGGTTCCACATTTTAGATAACAACAGGTGACACAGGTGGGCAGAGCATGTCATATCTCAGTACCATGAAATCAGACCTCCTCTTTTGAACAGACATCTCCCCTTATCACAGTGACTTCTCTCTCTTTTGCCTGCAGCCCAGCGATCTGCTCACGAGCTGCCCATGGTTGAAAGACAAGACACAGACAGCTGCCTGGTCTATGGCGGCCAGCAAATGATCCTCACGGGGCAGAACTTTACATCCGAGTCCAAAGTTGTGTTTACTGAGAAGACCACAGGTCAGTGGATTTTTGAGCTCTTTCTCTGTCCCCCAGAATCATGCAAAAGTGACCATCTCTTTATTATATACAACTTTGGTTTTGGGGGGTAGATCCCACCGTGCAGTTTTATACCCTGCTCTTTTTACTCAGCGTGTCTTCAGGGATTGTGATGGCCATACCATTCGCCATTGCATGAATGTGCCATTCTACATTTTAACTCTTCTAGGTCATTTTGACAGAAAATGAGATTATCTCCCACCCTCAATCCTTTTTTTAAAATTACTTTTTTACATAAGGAAGGAAATTTTTAAAACTTTTTGCTATTATCAAGAAGGGAGGCCAAACAGCACAGTGATAAAGCATGCATACTCTGGCCCTGGATATCTTGGGTTCAAATTCTGGGTTTGTTATCTGCTTGCTTGGTGATCCGAGGCATATTACCTATCCGTTAAAATTTCTTACCCCATAAAGTTGTCATGGAGGTTAAATGAGCTAATACATGTCACGTAATTATAATAGTGCCAAGTACAGCATAAGCCAATTAATATTGGCTACTTGTATTTTTATTATAAGTAGTTCTGCAGTGAATCAGCTTATACTTCTAGGATTAATTAATCTTGTACATGAATCTATATGTATATCTTTTTAGTTTATTTAGGGTTTATTCCCAGCAGTGGAATTTTGGATAGTCATTCTGAGGACTTTAAATACATATTGCTAAATTACCTTCCAGAAATCTACAAATTGAAGTTGCCATCATGTCAGTCATAGTTTCACCCCCATCCCAGAAATGCCATTTTTTTAAATTAAAAAGGAATCATTGTGGAATTGGTACTTCTTTCTACTTTGCATTTCCTTGCTCTGAGACGCATAATGTTTTGTTTATTCACCACGTGTATTCTTCCTTTGGTGTACTATCGGTGTCTTTTTCAGTGGGTATGTGGTAGAAAAGATGCTGATCTGAAGTAGGAAAATATCAGATTAAGCAATAATTAATGAAACAAATGTGTTGTTAGAAGGAAATTAGCTCAAATAACTTGGGACACTTATTTTGGATACTAGAACCAATTTTCCTTTTCCTTAACAGACATGATTTCAGTAGGTTACTTCAAAGGGGTGTTGATGTTTGTCTATTTGTTTATTGTCCTTAGAACAATCCGAGAATATAACAGGTGAGTTGTCCAGTTGGAGGGATTGTGCACTGTACAAGGGCACCTCCTCTGAGGGCTGCCATTCAAATTGGATACATCACCAGTTTACACGTTAGTAAGACAACTTCTGGCAGGGGGAAGCAGACTGTCTTAGGCAAAGAGTGCTTCTTCCAGTCTCGCACAAATCATCCTTCTGGGATGGGCTGGACATGTGACCGGGGTGTGACAACTGCATTCTCACAGTTGGAAGCATAACAAGAGGCAGAATTTATTTTAAAAGGGTTTGATGACGCCTTTGCGAAAAATAACAAAAAAGGTATTAAGTAAGGCTGTGGCAGTGGGGAAGGGAGATGCAGGGATGGGTCGGGAGTGGTTTAGAAGGCAGATGTCACTGAGGTTTGATGGGACGTAGTGGTGTAGAGAGGCATTAAGAACGCAGGTGGCAGGGCCAGCCACCAGGAGGGCTGCGTGCCACCCGGGCAGCTCTGCTGCTCACTGGCAGTGTCACCTGCGGAAACTCTCCATCATCTATCCCCTGAAAAGCAGGGACAGTGACAGTGCCTACCCACAAAGGTAAGGTCTGAATGAATTAGAGCAAGTGGGCTTAGCACCGGAAGTGCTCGGTAAGGGGCAGGGGCTGCTGCTGTTTTTCTGGAGCTGCTGTGGATGGGGAAGGGGAAGAGGTTGAGTGTCGAGATTGTTTTGTTCACGTGGTGCACTTGGCCAGCTGAGATTTAGCACACAGGAGAGGAGGTCTGTGTGGGGATGAGGTTGGGCAGGGAGGACGGGTTTCATTTTGGAAGTGGAAGCGTTGAGTCTCATGTACCCATGGGCCTTCTTGGATGAACCATGATCTCACCTCTGTGGAAAGGCAAGAGATTGGTGGGTATGTGGCCACGTGGTCTAGACTAAGAAACCAGATCCTGGCTGCAGATGTTGTCATGGGAGCTGTCAGCAATGAGATCTGAGGTGAAGTCCTGGGAATTGGCTCCGACCTCCCAGGATGGCCTCCAGTGGGAGAAGGGGAGGCTTAGAGAACTGAGAGCCACATCCCTTAAAGGTGGCAGAGGAGGAGCTGTCACAGCAGGAGGAGGAGAACCAGGGGAGTCTGGTGCCCTGGAGACCAGGGGAAGGAGACTTGGGAAGGGTCAGCAGAGGCAGTGCTATGAAGGTCACAGAGCCCGAGGTCAGCCTGAGAGTCCAGTGATTGGGGGGCCTCTGGTGATTTGAATCACACGTACCCAGGTGGCAGTGAGTTGAGGAGTGAGCTGAGGAGTAGCGTTGCTTGAGGGATCAGAGATGATGAAGGTAAAGTCTGCTCTAGGCAAGAAGACTCTGCACCAGCAGTCCCCAACCTTTTTGGCACCAGGGACCAGTTGCATGGAAGACAGTTCTTTTCAAGGGTTGGGGAGATGGGCTGATGGTTTCAGGATGATTCAAGCACATTACATTTATTGTGTACCTTATTTTTATGATTATTACATTGTAATATACAATAAAATAATTATACAACTCACCATCATGTAGAATCACTGGGAGCCCTGAGCTTGTTTTCCTGCAACTAGGTAGTCCCATCTGGGGGTTGACGGGAGACAGTAACGGATGATCAGGCATTAGACTCTCCTAAGGCGTGCACAACCTAGATCCCTGGCAAGCGCAGTTTACAGTAGGGTTCATGCTCCTGTGAGAATGTAATGGCAGGCTCATCTGACAGGAGGCAGCGCTCAGGCGGTAATGCAAGTGATGGGGAGTGGCTGTCAACACAGATGAAGCTTTGCTCTCTCGCCCGCCACCCACTTACTGCTGTGCGCCTAGTACCGGTCTGTGGTCCGGGATTGAAGACCCCTGGTCTATACCACATTTTTAGCCTCAGCATTATTGACAGTTTGGCCCAGATAATGACTTGGCAGGGGCGCTGTCCTGGGCACTGCAGGATGTTCAGCAGCATCCCTGACCTCCACCCACGTGACACCAGTAGTGCGGCCCAAGTTGTGACAACCAAAAATGTCTCCAGACCTTGCCAAATTTGCCCTGGGGGGCAATATTGCCACTGGTCAACAACTGCTGGTCTACAGCTTAGAAATTTTCAGGAAAGACAAGGAAAGGAAAAGAGCATGAGGAAAAATCAGAATCAGGGTCACCTTAAGCCTTCCCCTCTGCGTCTCAGCAGTTCAGGCCCAGCATCTGCTTGGTGGAATGCCTGCACAGCTCCCCCGAGCTGTCCTGCAAAGTGGGGTGCAGGGAGAAGGCCTGGCCTCTGCCTGCTTTGCCTTGAGGGGCTGATCCAGCCACACAGGGCTCTGTTGACTGAGTGGTTTCTATTTACACTGAAATCTTTTTGTTGCTGATGGAACTGTGCAGGAAAGAGTTTGAGGCTGGATCCTACCAAGTTCCTTACGGAGTTAGGAGTCAGCCAGCTTTTAAGCACTCTGGGAGTTTAATTATTCTGAAGCTATCCAAGGGCATCAATTAAGCATTTGTGGAATGAGTGAATGGCATTTATTCTCTAGCTTCTATTCTCTTGGTTTCAGAAGAAATTTCATATTTACCTCTTGAAGGCAGGAAAACACAGAGCCTGTTTCAGCTGTGAAAAGTTGGCTGTTAAGAACAAGAGTAATAATCACAGCTCCTATTATTGGCCACTGTCTGCAGGCAGCCCTGTGCCTGCCACTTTCCGTGTGTGGTCTCATCTAAGCTGGCACCCATGGGAGGCAGACAGTTTAGCTTGGAGAATCCAGGGGACTCGTCCACAGGTGATATTCAGCATTGACCTGTCATTCAACCTCTTTGGGCCTCAGCTTCCCTGTCTGTAAAATGAGATAGTGACAGTCTTTCTTTCCTGGAGTTAAATATGTAAATAAGCAGCATGCACTTAGTGCTCATGGGATGTTCATCGTTATTTTTTGAAGTGGGGTCTCACTATGTTGCCCAGGCTGGCCTTGAACTCTTGGGCAACATAGTGAGTTCAACATAGTGAACTCCAGTGACCTTCCTGCCTCAGCCTCCTATTTGGGATTACAGGCGTGTGCTTTTGTTATTATTTTTATGGTCTTGTGATATTCATTACTCAGGACATAGTCATCATTCAGTTGATACATGCTGCCCCAGGTGCTGGCCTAGGCTGGGAGAGATCTGGGGGGCTGTAACCCACAGCGGTCACCAGCACAGCTCTGAGGTCGGATGGCCTGGGTTCAAATCCCTGATCTGCATTTAGTAGCTGTGTCGTTCTGAGTAAGTTACTTCACCTATCTGGGCTGACATTTCCTCTTTTGTAAGATACAGATGATGATTTACTTCTCTTGGGAGGCAAGATTAAATGAGATTATACACGTTGGGTGCTTTGCATAGGGCTCAGAACATTGAACATGCTCATTAGATGTTAGCTCTTTTATTATCATCATTATATTTTGGCTGTAGAAAAACAAAGACAAGTAAGACTTTATCTCATGGAACCAAGAGACATTAAAAAACAGTAGTAAGTACTAATAATGAACGTTATTAGTAATTGAGTAATTAGTAGTTCATTAATAATGAACTATGTGCCAGGCCTTATTCTAAGCACTTTGTATGTGCTAACTAATCTGATCCCTCATAAGAGCCCAAAAGATAGACTACTGTTTTCTCAATTTTACTGGTGAGAAACTGAGCACAGAGAAGTTAAGTAACTTAGTGAAGATCACACAGCTGATAAAGGGCAGTGGTGGGATGACCTCAGGCAGCCTGGCTCTAGACCCCACACCTTGGACTCTGCTGTTCTATGCTTAAAAAGCTTAGAACCAGGTTAATTTTGCGTGAAGACCCTTCAGCTGCTCTGAGCCACAGGCTTACCCATTTTGTGGCGATAGAGATCCTTGAATTAACCACTGCACCGCTCTGAGCAGCAGTTTGAATTCTCTAGTGTGTTTCCGGCATCAAGAGGATACATTTCTGACCCTTCCATGCCTAACTGAAGAATCCCAGGTGAATGTAGTTCCTGGATTAACGACAAGAGACAATCGGGGGTGTTAGGGACACGGTGGGCTTCTCTGCGGGGGATGTCTGGCTCTGAGGGCTCTCTGCAGAGAGGGGGCTCGCCTTGCATTTGCTGGTCCTGCTCTTTTGACCTCAAGAGCTCACCTCCCAGCCCGGGACGCCTTCTGCAGGGGGAATCCCTGTTGCTCAACTTCTTTTTTCCAAAACTCATCCCCGTTCCCATCTCCATGGACATTTGGCCAGCAAGGGCTCTGCGGGGCGGGGCGGAACAGTTGAAGTTTTCCAAGGAAGGGGAATCCCAGCTGTTTCTCACATTAAGGAAAGGTGACAGCCTCCTGGGCTAATCTTAGCCCCGAGTTTGGTCATCGGCACCACCAGCTCCAATGTTCTTTTTATAGCTGTCGACTAAAATGGAATTGGCAGTTTCCACTCCAGCAAGATGACAAATTGGAGAGCAGTGGAAAAACAGTAGGAGAGGGGCAGCGTGGTGTTTCTTAAGTTAGAAAAGCTTGGTGTTTTGGAAAATGGCATCTTATTTATAGCAGCAATAATAATAATGATTATTATATTATTTGTATTACTATTTTTGATTATTTTTGTGACTTTCAAGAGCCTGTGTGATCTGGCTCTGACCTCAGCTTTTTTGACTCTCTCCCTGCCACTTGGCCATAGCAACACCTGGCTTCCCTCTGTCCTCAAACACCCCAAGCCCATTTCTGTCTCAGGACCTTGGCTTTCTCCGTTTGCTCTTAGAATGTTCCTCCACCATTTCTTTTCTTTTCTTTTTTTTTGAGACGGAGTTTTGCTCTGTCGCCCAGGCTGGAGTGGCGTGGCGCGAGTGCGCGATCTCGGCTCACTGCAAGCTCCGCCTCCCAGGTTCACGCCATTCTCCTGCCCCAGCCTCCTGAGTAGCTGGGACTATAGGCACCTGCCACGACGCCTGGCTAATTTTTTGTAGTTTGTTTAGTAGAGACGGGGTTTCACCATGTTAGCCAGGATGGTCTCAATCTCCTGACCTCGTAATCTGCCTGCCTTGGCCTCCCAAAGTGTTGGGATTACAGGCGCGAGCCACTGCGTCCGGCCTCCTCCACCATTTCTTTTCAAGCCTGCGGCCTCCTATTCCTCCCAGTCTCAGCTCAAAGGTCACTTCCTCCACGGGGTCCTCCTTGACCGTCATTCTGAAGTTGTCCCGCTTCCCAGACACCTTGTCACCTTCTGTGCCACTGCCCGGCTCTGTTTTCTTGGGGGCACTTAGCGCTGTTGAAATCACCTACCTTGTCTGTCTGTTCATTTATCACCTGGTCTCTCATGCTGGACTCTTAGTTCCTTGACAGCAGAGTCTCAGCGTTTGCTGCTGTATCCTCAGCATCCAGAGTGGTCCCCGGCACATAGCAGGTGCTCATTTGTGTTGTTGAATGAATGCATCTCTTTTAGTTGTCACTCCAGCCCTGAGAAGCGGGCAGCATTATCCCCATTTTACAGATGAGGTAACTGAGGCTCACAGATGTCAAGTCATGCACCCCAGGTCAGCCCACAACTGGTGACAGAGGTGGAATCCCAAGGCAGCATTTGTCGTCAACTCGAGTAATTTTTTCTAGTCATGTCAGAGAGGACAGAGAAACCAAACAGAACAATCAGGGTCTTTCCTATTTATCATTCTCAGTAATTGCTGAAAAGCCATTTGGATGTTCTCTGAAATTTAAAAAATGTGTAACCCTTCAGGCAAAGTTCACGCTGGGAAGTCCAGGCTGTTCCTGACTTCAGTGGGAACCCTGGCCCTTGGCCACAGGGCCTCAGGCGGAGTCGGGGGTCCCAGCAAAACATTGCAAAACAGGAAAAAATCTAAGGACACAAAAATAAAAGTGATGTGGCAGCGGGAAAGGGGTTGCCATGGCTTTGAGCGACTCGCTGCGCCTGGGTGGGATCCAATGTTTTGGAAGGTTCCTTCACATGACACAGAGTTTTGGAATTTTTCGGCTGGTAAATCCTTCTTAATTCAGGCCCCCAGGCTTGGCCAACTAGCTCCCTGGCTCTGTGTGTCCTGCGGGGGCGTAGGTTGGAAACTGGCCTGCATCAGATTACTCAGCTTTGAAACTTAAATTGTTTGAAGAGAATTTTTTGTTTTGTTTTGCTGGACGATTTTCTTGGAACGGTCTGATGGCAGAGGCTCCCATCACCTGTCCAGAGGACAAATTGATTTTTTAGAAAGGACGCGTGGGTGGTGGAATTCCCTCTTTCCCACTGAGTCATCATATCCTGACATGAGTCATTTTATTACTTGGAGGTCCCCAAAGGTTGTATTTTGAGCTTTGTTTAATAAATATAAATGCATATGCTTAAAATAATTTTTTTTTTTCTAAATTAAGTATTTTTCCGTGAATTTGTGCCCTGGAACAATCGGAACCATCTTAGAGCAGACACCTGCTCTTCCCACCTGTTTCTCTCCCTGGGTTTGGTTGTACCCGGCGTGATGTTCTCTGAAACAATAGACCTGGTATGGGAGTCTCTAGATGGGGCTTCCCTCTGGGAAATGTCAGACTCCAGACAGGGCTGGGGCATGACTAAGGCTCTCCGGACCTTTGCCCTCTGTGACTCATGTCCCTGGTGTCAGTGGCCCCCCGGGCTGGAGCCCATCACTTACCCACAGCTTTGCTGGGACACGAAGCTGCTCTCCAAAGATGCGATCCAGATTGCAACTCCGAAGCTGCCGTGGAGATAGAGAAAATGGTCTCGTTTTCAGGGATCTAAATATTTGCCTAAACTTGGTCCCCTGCATTGAAGAACAGGCTTTTAAGTCCAAGAATCCTGCAGTTCATTCCGTTTGCATCCATTTGAAGGAGGCCACAGAGAAATGAGTTTTTAGTTAGAACACTCATTGTGTCTAAGCACTTCCACCATCAGAAATTGTTCCTGGTACCAAAGGCCTTTGTGTAATTCCCACTTCAAAGGCTGGATTTTGAATCACCCAGCAGACTCGGCCTGAAGCCTGGATTGGCCTCACACTATGTACCTTGGGACTCAGTTTTCCCATCTCTGAGATGGGGTTGGTGGTGTATTAGCAATAGAAGGAGATCAAGGAACTGAAAGTATCAGGCACATAGTAGGTGCTCAGAAAACATCAGCTGCCCTTCTACCTGCACTCTGGGAGCCTGGTTGACTTCACACAGGGTTCAGAGGGCAGAGCCATGTTGGTTTCTTGTCTGGGAGAAGAGTCCTTCTTGGCGAGGTGAATTCCTCTCCTGTCCTTACCCTAGACCCATCAGACTCCTGGAGTCATAGCCTGGCAGCTGGAGGGAGGGTAACTCATGGTCTGCTTCCTCCCCTTCCCATTTTACGGATGGGGAAGTCGAGTCACACAGTGTGGTCACTAGACTTCTTTGAGGTGACAGAGTTCATCAGTGGAGGGCTGGGCCTGAAACCCCAACTTCCTGGTTCCCAGAGTAGCTGGCTGTCTGAAATGTGTGGGGATCATCCACAGATGACAGCTTAGGGCCGAGAAGAGTCACGTCTAGGGTGGGACAGGGGAGGAGCTGAAATCCGACCTCTGTGTAAGATTGACCTTGACTGAGCATCCAAGCGTGCCCTCTCAGGCTTGCTCCACTCACTCAGCCCCCGGTGCTTCCATGTTCATTTCCCGGGTGTTTATTGAGCACCTACTATGTGCAGTGCCATGCCAGGCACAGGGGACACATGGCAGGTGAGGTCCCTGCCCTTGGGAGTGGACAGTCTGAAACTTGTTTATAAGCAGGACACTTTCAGATGGGGAAAATGCTATGAAGCCAGGGAAGCCAGGTCACAGGCCCAAGAGAGAAAAGCGTGTGGAGTTAGGGGGGAAAATATAGGATGCGCAGTCAAATTTGAATCCCAAACAGTGAATTTCTTTAGTAAAAGTATGTTCTATACAATGGCAAGGAGTTTGGGACATACTTGCAGTAAAAAGGTATTCGTTGTTTTCTGCAGTCCAAGTTTAACTGAACATCCTGTATTTTTATTGGTTAAATCTGGTAACTCTGGATAGAGGAGTCAGGGAGCTCTTGCTGGAGGAGATGGCTTTCAGCAGACCCCTGAAGGTGGGAAAGAGAGAGCCACAAGGACTGCTGGGAGAGTGTCCCAGGCAAAAGGAGCTGCCCAGTGCCAAGGCCCCAGCGTGGAGATGAGCTTAGGGCATTTGAGGAATGGGAAGCAGGCCCGGGCGGCTGGTGCGTCGTGAGAGTGAGAGCCCAGCCTGGAGAGGTGCTGCGGGGGGCAGGCCCAGCTGGGCCCTGCAGTCATGGCAAGGAGTTTGGATTGAATTCCCAAAGCAACAGGTAGTTGTTGGAGGTTTTTGAGCAGGGGAGTGGCATGGTCTGGTTGATGTTTGAGTGCTCTGGCCACCTGTATGAACAGTGGACTTGGTGGGGGGCAGCACTCGGAGAAACTGGGAGGTGAGTGAGCAGCTGGACCAGTTGTCCCGGTGGGGGATGGTTGGGGCAAGCCCACCAAGGAAGTAGTGGGGCAGGAGACTCGGGAATCAAGGGACTTCCTTTCTAGATCTCAGTAAATCCATTTGAGCAGTGTTACCCTGTCGGGCGGCTGAAATCCTAAGCTGGGGGGGCCATTCCTGAATCTCCCCCACCCCACCCCTGTCTGCTGGGCTCATTAAGCCCATGCTTCCAGGGAGGACACGTTTTTCTGCTAGTTAGCAGTCATAAAGAGCAGACTGAAATGACTTCAACCATTTTTATTTGGCTAATTTTTAAAAGCACGGCCAGGACTGGGAAGCATCATGTGCGGTTTCCTAACACGAGCTGACACTTTGATTTCCTCCCCATTCGCCTCGAGCCCAGTGGCATGCTCACAGCCCGGGTGAGGATGGATTTGCCTTCCTCCTCCCAAAAGCTTGCTCATTTCTCCCAGAGTGCTGACATGAGCCCGCAGCTCCTCCAGGCTGACTGCTAAGACTCCAGCCCCAACCCACGGCCAACCCTACTGCTTCCTGGCTGCTTTGTTCCATCACAGGGTTAAATAATTGCCTGCAAAGAGAAACCAGGAAACCAACGAAAGTATAGGGGCCATACATCAGCAAACGGGCTGGTTAGCGATGCCCATTCTTCTTGCATCTAGTAGGGGTTTTCTTCTGGAGTTGACTCTGCAGTGAAGATAAAGCAGAGGCTATAATGTCAGGTGGGCGTGGTGGCTCATGCCTGTAATCCCAGCACTTTGGGAGGCCAAGGCGGGCGGATCACCTGAGGTCAGGAGTTCAAGACCAGCCTGGCCAACATGGTGAAACTCCATCTCTACTTGAAATGCAAAAATTAGCCGGCCGTGGTGGCATGTGCCTGTAATCCCAGCTACTTGGGAGGCTGAGGCAGGAGAATCTCTTGAACCTGGGAAGTGGAGGTTGCAGTGAGCTGAGATCGCGCCATGGACTCCTGCCTGGGCAATGAAGTGAGACCCTGTTTCAAAAACAAACAAACACAAAACAAAGGCTATGATGTTACTTTAGCCATCCCCCCACCCTATTTTTTTTGTTTTTTTTTTTAACTTGCAGAGTTGTGCTAAGTCTTCTCTAGACCTAACCCTTTTGCCCAAAGTGGTTGGCTCCTTTCTCTTCCCCTCTGACTAAGACTTGGAAGGGCTGTTTTCACACCGGCTGCCAGTCCTTGTTAATTTTGGATGGGGTAATTTTGCCTGAACATCTGCTCAAGAGACCGAAGTCCTTTATTTCATCTCAGCCCAGAGCGGTAGAAGCATACTTGGTCTTCTCAGTCCTGTTCCACGGGGGTAGGTCTGCCCAGAGTCCCAGACCCAAGGTGTGGGTTGGGAGGTGGATTATACGGAACTTCTGGTCAATGGCACTGGGAATGCTGTCTGGGCTGTGTTGCTCTGATTGTGTTTGATTCCTTGTCTGCACCCATATTCCCAGCTCCTTCCTCATCAGCTGATTCCCACAAAGGATCCCGTAATAAGGGCTTGGTGATTCCTCCTTGCAGGGTCCTGCGGCTGGAGAGGTCAGTGGTCAGATGTTTCCTGGACCCTGGCTGTAGGGTGCACACTGGAGGATCCTGAGGTCAATTTGTTTGTTTATTCAGCCAGTATTAATTGAGCAACTGTTATGTGCCAGATGCTGTAGAGCTAAGGATAAAGCAGAGAATGAGATAGCTATAGCCCTGCTCTGGGGTAACTCACAGCCTGAGGCTGGGTGGAGATAGCAAACCAATAGGTAGCTAAAATGATTTCAGGCTGGAAGGGAGGAGTAGAAAGTTATAAGGGGATGGTGTAGGATGAAGGGGGGGTCTCCCTGAGCTGCACCTGAAGGATGGGAAGGGGATGGTCACAGAAGAGCTGAAGAAAAGCATCTTGAGAGGTGGCAACAGCAAGTTCCAAGGCCTGGAGATAGGCAGGTGTGGCTGTTGGAGGGAGAGAGAAGGCCAGTGTGTCTAATGGAATCAGGGGAGGAAAGCTGGGTAGAGAGGCTGGGTCCCCACCTCAGTAGACATAAGCAACCCTGAGTCCATGTCTCTCTTGAGCCTGGGTGGAATGTTCGGCCCTGCCTCCCTGTTTGGGGGCCCCGGAGGGCTGGAAGGCATACATGGTCCATCTCTCGGCCTGGGGTACAGCTGTGCCGGAGCTGAGTCAGAGCTGATGGTCCATGCCCAGCCTCCCTCTCAGGCTGTGGCCCCGGAGGGCTCCCAAGAGACAGGAAAGTCAACAGGCAGTTGCAATGTGCCTTTTTCTTAAGAAAAAAAAAAAAAACAAACTTTATTTAAAAATAATAAAAATATAAACAAATTAAAGTCACTGTGATGTTACATGTTTCTTGAATCAGTGAAGAAAGGCATGAAGGTCTCACCTCACGCATTCAGGCCCAGCCCTGGAGGTACAACCATATGAGTAGCTTGGGGCACAGGCTTTCTAAGTTTAAGCAGACTTAAGAATAGACTTACAAAGCGGCATCATGCGGTACATACTGGTCTGCAGCATTTTTTTAAAATCTGCTTTTTATTTTATTTTATTTTACTTTATTTTTTTGAGGCAGAGGCTCACTTTGTCGCCCAGGCTGGACTGCAGTGGTGCGATCTCAGCTTACTGCAACCTCTACCTCCCGGATTCAAGTGATTCTCATGCCTCAGCCTCCTGAGTAGCTGGAATTACAGGCACGTGCCACCACACCCAGCTAATTTTTGTATTTTTAGTAGAGACGGGATTTCAGCATGTTGACCAGGCTGGTCTCAAACTCCTGACCTCAAGTGATCCACCCACCTCGGCTTCCCAAAGTGCTGGGATTACAGGCGTGAGCCACCGTGCCCAGCAAAATCTGCTTTTTAATATAACAGGGTCATGTTTTCAGGTTAGAAAACACAAATCTACCTAAGGGCTGCCCAGTGCTCTTCTACTGATTTTCCATACTAATTACAGGTGGCCCATAATTAATTCAACCAGTCCCCTACCAATAAATACTTTTTATGACCATTTTATTTATTTGCAATGAGGAATTCAATGCAATGAAATGAAGCAAAAAACTTCAATACCCACCAAAGCACTTGGGTCAGGATGGCCCTTCAATTCTTTTTTACTGGAATCAGAACAATGCAAGACTCCAAATTCTAAAATCATAGTAATGACAGCAGCATTAACTATGCGCTGGGAATTTTACTAAGCATTTCACATACACTGTCTATTTTAATTCTCGCCACATCTTCTTAAGTTCAGTAATATTAACTTTATCTTTTTTTTTTTTTTTTTGAGATGGAGTTTTGCTCTTGTTGTCCAGGCTGGAGTGCAATGGTGTGATCTCGGCTCACTGCAACCTCCGCCTCCCCGGTTCAAGCGATTCTCCTGCCTCAGCCTCCCAAGTAGCTAGGATTACAGGCGCCCACTACCACGCCCAGCTAATTTTTTGTATTTTTAGTAGAGACAGGGTTTCACCATGTTGGTCAGGTGGGTCTCGAACTCCTGACCTCAGGTGGTCCACCTACCTTGGCCTCCCAAAGTGCTGGGATTACAGTCATGAGCCACCGAACCTGGCCAAACTTTATCATTTTTGCTTATGAGGAAACTGAGGCACAGAGAGCTGCCACTCGAAGGCCACACAGTGAGTAAACTTTGGGGACAGAACTTGAACCTGGGCAGAGTGACATCAGGCTGAGAAAACTCCATCAGCATTTATTTTTTATTTTTGAGATGAAGTCTTGCTCTGTCACCCAGGCTGGAGTGCAGTGGTGCGATCTCGGCTCACTGCAACCTCCACCTCCCAGGTTCAAGTGATTCTCCTGCCTCAGCCTCCCGAGTAGCTGGGATTGCAAGTGCCCGCCACCATGCCTCGCTAATTTTTGTATTTGTAGTAGAGATCGGGTTTCGCCACGTTGGCCAGGCTGGTCTTGAACTCCTGACCTCAAGTGATCCACTCGCCTCGGCCTCCCAAAGTGCTGGGATTACAGGTGTGAACCACAACACCTGGCCCCATCAGCATTTGTTTTGAATTCTACTGCCCCATGGGAGTGCAATTCAGAGGTTGGGATTATTGGGTTCTCCAGGCGAAAGCCCAGGACTTGTGCACCCGTGGATGCGGGGTGGAGTGGGGAGGAGGAGCCTGGGAAAATGACCCCAAGGTACCTTGCAAACCGCACACTTCCCTTAGAGACCAGCCTCCTGGAGTGTGTCTTGCACGTGCTGCATAAAATCAAGAAAGACAACGGATGTGGGCTTTCACTTCCTGTTGGGGACTTGTTTGTCCAGAACCGAGTGCAGACCTTCCATGAGAAAGTACAGGTCAGGCCAGATTCCTTGGCTGCCCTTGGAGCTTCTGGTACCAAAAGGGTGCAAAAGAAAGAAGATGGACCCTTGGCTCATAGTTTAAGTTTTGATTTCTTATTCCTCTGAGGTCTTTTTCTCTGTGTGTGTTTTTAAAGTTAATGGTGAAAAGACCCACTTTGGAAAGCAAAGGAAAATCAGGCACCATGCTGCAGTCTCCCATAACAGACTTCGTCGCTTCATAAATTCCCTCCAGCCCAAACCTGTAGGCAGAAGTATTGCAATCATAAAATGCACTTGGAAAATGTTTATTATTTTCTGATTTTAAAATGCTTGTGTTTTTCTCAGTATTGACACATTGTGGAATATATGCAACAAATGATAAAGAAGACAGTGTTGAAATAATCTGTTGCCACTAGCCATAATCGTAACAGGTATCTTCTGTTGAACATTTTTTTTTTTTTTTTTTTTTTGAGATGGAGTTTTGCTCTTGTTGCCCAGGCTGGAGTGCAATGGCATGCTCTCAGCTCACTGCAACCTCCATCTCTGGGTTCAAGAGATCCTCCTGCCTCAGCTCCCCAAGTAGCTGGGATTACAGGTGCATGCCACCATGCTGACTAATTTTTTGTATTTTTAGTAGAGACGGGGTTTTACCATGTTGGCCTGGCTAGTCCCAAACTCTTGACCTCAGGTGATCCGCCCGCCTTGGCCTCCCAAAGTGCTGGGATCACAGGCGTGAGCCACTTTGCCCGGCCCTGAACATTTATATAATACCCTGCTCAGGTCTGTTACCATATTTAATCTTCAGAACGACCCCATAAGGTGTGGGTACTATGATTATCTCCATATGTTGGATAAGAGGCAGGGAGAGAGATCGTGCCATATCTAAGGTCTCACAAATCATTGGGGGTAGTCAAGGATTTGAAGCTGGGTGTGTCTGCTCCGAAATTTGGGGTACGTGGGAGTAAAATGGCAGAGCACTGGGGTGACAGAAGTTGGTTGTGGCCGCAGGACATGGCCAGGAAGGCTCAGGGTTCCAGTCAGCGTGTTGTGGAAGGCCTGGCAGAGAACACTGGAGAGGGCAGGACTTTCCCCCTGCCCCCCATGGGCGTCTTTCCCTGTGACCCACACTTACCAGGCTCTGGGGAGGCTGTGGGATGTGGCGGCTCACCGCCTCACTTTGGGGCGTCCCGAGGAAGGGCTGGTTGCTGTGGCTGGAACTCAGAGGAGAGGAACTAGATGGAGGAGCTGCAAGGCACAGGGATCTGAAACTGCATAAGGAGTGCTGACTCTGAGGCCAGGCTGCCTGGGTTCCAATCCGGCTTCCCCACAGGGTCTGGCTGTGTGACCTTGGCCTGTGCTCTTGCCTCTCTGTGCCTGGTGTCCTCCCCTGTAGGATGGGGTGAGGAGACCTGCCTCCTATGGGTGCTGTACAGATGAGACAAGCCCATGTATACGAGGTGCTTAGAGTGATGCCAGGCATGTAGTGAGCGCTCATAAGACTCAGGGGTAAGAATAGTGCCTGGAGAGGCAGGAATGAGGGTAGGAGCCAGGTTGTGCAGGGCCTTGAGGGCCACAGTGAAGCTTCCACGGTATCTTGAGGGCACAGCAAAGCAGGGAAGGGCTTGAAATCTGCATCTGCATGAATCTTTGTGGTGAGTGACCCTACAAGGGTCCCACCCACATGAGATCTTTCTCCAGCCTCCCAGGAACCTTCTAGCCTCACAATGATCTGGTAAGTTTCTCTCGTGTAACAACCTTGACCTGTCTTTGAAGCCATCTCCTTTGTTATTAGATTATGTCAGTTGTTGCTTAAAGGCTGTGATTTAATAACTACTGTGGGTCTTTGCACAGCCGCCTTGCTTCTCTGGGCCTCAGTTGCCTTGTCTGCCAGTGCAGGGCTGGCTAGTTTCTAAGGGTACTCTCAAGAACCTGTGTGCTGGAATTCTATGGCTGTCAGTGGGTAGAGTTTTGTCTGCCATGCACACCCACCAGAGGTGGGAAAAGGTCTCCTTCTTCGTGTTGCGTCCCTTGACCCGGAGAGGACAGTCCATGAGAACTCTCCTCTTGGTGATGCCCTTTTTGTTGGACCGCCATTTTGTATTTTCTGTTTCATCTGCCACTTATTGGTGTGAGCCTGGAAGACAGCTGGGAATGGAAGCTTTATGGATCCTACTTAATACTTCCTGACCACATTTCCAGCTACTATTTTCTCCCTTTCTTCCCCATTATGAACTTCTGAAAATGATCTTTTTTTTTTTTTTTTCAAAGCAAGCTCATATAAGTGGAAAAAGAAATGATGCTGTTGGTAGCAGAATTCAAGAATTCAATTCAGGCAAGGAGAGGCTATGGGGGAGGGTGACAAACCAAACATCAACATGTTGCCATTTCCGCTGTTCATTTCTTACTCAGTCTTCAGGCTTCAAGCTCACTTTGCAGGTGTGGATGAGGACCCACTTTTTGATGAAGACCCTAGGTTGGCCTGTACAGTCACGCTCCTGGTGGTGACCTCTACCTGAAAAGGGGACATGTGTCTCTGTTGGGTGGTCTTTGACTTGTCTTTGACAAAGAAATGAGGATTGTCCCTGACTAGTTCTGTACAGGACTTTGCACACTGAAAGGACTCAGGTCTTGATGACTTCACTTCCAATTCCTCGATGTCCATCCAGCGATCTTCCCTTGCTTCCTTTTGAGCATCAGACATGCCTGCTCAGTTGTCTGAGAAAACAGGGGGCCGAAGTATTCTGCCCTCATCAAGGGGGCATGGGTGATGTTAGCCTTTGGCCTTTTCTTGGCCTCACCAGCAGCCTTTGGAGCTGCTGACACTTCTGTCTGTTCAGTCATGAGATGTTGATTAGGCATTTGTGCGTGTTGGGGAGATGGTGATAAATATGACTTGGTCCCTTCAGCAGGGACCAAGGGACACTAGAGTGAGAGTCAGTAAACAAACTGCCTGTTCTTTTCCCTTTTAACATAGCCCATGTCTTGCTGAGTCATTTCAGGAATTGCGCTGTAAGGTCAGGACTTACAGACTTAATTGTTACAAAGGGCTCTAGCGTGTTCATTGCGTGTTCCTTGTTAAGATCATCTAGAGAGCAATCACAATACTTTATATTAATTTTTCATGGGGGAGGTGGGTGGGAGTATGTTTAAGAACGCTTGAAGTCCAGATTTCGCTGGGTGAATCTTAAGAGCCAAGACTATATGGGTTCAAACCTAAGCAATCACAGAAGATGGGAATAGCTGTGCTTAAAAGTAGGGAGGGGTTCATTGGTCAAACCTTGGGAAGTGCTATGTACTCCAGCCCACCTCGCAGAGTTACTCTGCACAGCAGCATGTTAAAGCTTCTGAGAAGTCCTGCAGTGAAGAAAGCCATTTGACTTTGACTCAGCAGTTTCCAAATGCTCATTAGCATGTAGATTTTTCCCCCTTCTCATAAAACTATTTAATATCCTTCAGAACCAGTGTTCCACAAAACACCCTGGAAATACTTGTTGAAATTATTTGTTTCAGCTGAAAACTACCAATGACCAGTATAGGTGGTCAGCAAGAGAAATCAATTATTTGCAAATGCAGGGTTTTTTTTTTTTTTTTTTTGGCCCAACTTCTTGGCCCCAAACTGGGGGAGTAGTGTTCTGCTTCTGGACAGGAGAGTTTACTGAGCAAAACCTCTTCATCAGTAGTTATGAGTGACATGAGATCCAGGCTGTCTGCTGAGGAAAGGTGGAGGGTGAGCCCCTGTCTTTCTGCTCTTCAGTGACTTGTGAGCCAGGATACCACTGAAGTCACTGGCTTCCCTCATGACTTGGGGCCGCATCTTTAAGCCTGTGTTCTCAGACCACCAAGGAGGCGTGTCTGGGACAGTCAGGGACCTGTCATGGCGCTTCTCTAACAGCTTTGGCGTAGGATAAAGTGTAACATATAACAATGCTTTTTAAAATTATTTACTTATTTATTTACTTATTTATTTGTTTGTTTGTTTGTTTGTTTGTTTTGAGACAAAGTCTCACTCTGTCGCCCAGTCTGGAGTGCAGTGGTGTAATCTTGGTTTGCTGTAACGTCCGCCTCCTGGGTTCAGGCAATTCTCATGCCTCAGCCTCCCAAGTAGCTGGGATTACAGGCACCTGCAACCACACCTGGCTAATTTTTGTATTTTTATTTTTAGTAGAGACGGGGTTTCACCATGCTGGCCAGGCTGGTCTCGAACTCCTAGCCTCAAGTGATCCATCTGCCTTGGCCTCCCAAAGGGCTTGGATTACAGGCATAAGCCACCATGCCCAGCCCTTAATAATGCCTTTTTAAAAAAAAAAAAAAAATAGAAAGATAGACATTCAGATACAGGGAAAAAATGATGGGAGGATTCTGGACAGTTTCTATTTTTTTTCTTATTTTCTGTTGTTGCCCTGTTTTCTTTCTTCTGGCTGTCAACATTATTTTATTTTTTAATTTTTTAAAATATAACTTCAACTTTTAGATTTGGGAAGTACATGTGGTTTGTTACATGGGTATATTACATGACACTGAGGTTCGGGTATGAATGAGCCTGTCAGTCAGGCAGTGAGCATAGTACCCAATTGGTAGATCCCTGGTCCCTGTCTCCCACCTACATTAGTCCTCAGTATCTGCTGTTCCCATCTTCATGTCCGTGTATACCCCATGCTTAGCTCCCACTTATAAATGAGAACATGTGGCGTTGAGTTTTCTGTTCCTGCCTTAATTTGCTTAGGACAATGTTGCCTTGTTTTCTATTGACACCATGTCTCCTTTTGGAAAAAGGAAATATTTATATGTATAAATACATATGTACACACACGTGCACATATTGACACACACCTTACTGAAATGACATAATATACAAGCTAAGATAAACAGAAGTTGGTGAGTTTTTGTCTTAAATCTTTGGTTTCTAATAGTTCCTTCAAAGTCTGTCATTTTTGAATTTTTCTAGATGGACAGCAAATTTGGGAGATGGAAGCCACGGTGGATAAGGACAAGAGCCAGCCCGTAAGCACGTGACGCACCTGAGTGTCTCTCAATCCCCCTCACGTTTCCCTCTTTCATGCTCTTTCCTTCTTTCCCTCCTTCCTTCATCAGTGTCCCCCAGAGCTCTGGACCTAACAGGTACTCAATATGTGCATATTAATGAGTGAGTTCAACATTTATTGGGCACCACACTCTCTGATTTGCAACTGTGACACCTTATTATATTTTGATGGAGTATTATTTTTTGCTGCCGCTGACAAGTTAAATTCCCCTGAAATTGAACTTCCCCTGTAAACCGATGAAAGGCACATCAAAACACCCATTAGACAGTGGGCTGCCTGGATGCGCTTAGGGTCTGGGTAGGAACTGAGACATGATTGCAGTTAAGTTCATGACAACTCCTTCCTTATAGAACATGCTTTTTGTTGAGATCCCTGAATATCGGAACAAGCATATCCGCACACCTGTAAAAGTGAACTTCTACGTCATCAATGGGAAGAGAAAACGAAGTCAGCCTCAGCACTTTACCTACCACCCAGGTAAGGAGTGTTTCTGATGACCCCTTTGTTATTGAGAGGCAGTACAGGCACAGGGCTCAGGACTCCTGAAGTCTGCTCCTAGCCGGGTAACTTTGGACAGATGACTCAACCTCTCTGAGCCTCAGTTGCATCATCTGTGAGACAGCATCTTCCTTATAAGGGTTCCGGAAATTAAATGCACATAAATCCTTAGCACAGTGCAAAGTAAGCTGATGTCAGTGATATTAGCTCTTATTGCCTTAGTACCTTCCTTTAGGGGAAGGGGGAATAGAAGAAGGGTGTGTGTACGCATGTTCAGCAGAAGGGTGGTAAGTGGATGACTCCTGTCCCTGGCTTGGATTTGATCATGATAGAGGGGCTGTGCCCTAAAACCTGCAGAATCTTTATGTGACCCCCCCATGTGAGTCATCACCCCATGGCCTAATGGAGTGACTGGTGGATAACCGGGTCAGGAGGTCTCATTCCCACAAAGTACAGCCCCAAGAAAGGTGATGAGTACCATTTTTTCATGCATTCATTTGTCCAGAAAATATCTGAGTGTCAGGCACTGTTCTTGGCTTGTGGACACAGCTGTGAACACTACAGGGTAAGAATCCCTGTCCATGTGGAACTGCCATTCTAACAGAGGGGATTAGGTCATAGATAATGTTGATATTATTGATATGTTGGATTACGATTGGGGCTGTAGAAAAGGTGGACAGGAACAGCCAGGGGAAGCATAATTTTAAATTTTAAAAATGCTTCTCTGAGCTCTCCCTTGGGAAATAGGCTATAGGCTTCCCAGGCTGAGAAACGCCTGCTAGCTACCTTCCAAGATTGGAAACCTATAATTCGAGACAATCACCCAGGGTATAATTTGCATCCTATGACAGTTTCTCAGGGAGCCTCTGGGCTTCTAGAAGCATTATACTGAGGGGTGCCCTGGCAGCCTTGCCTTGGTGAGCTTGACTGCCCTGGCAGCCTTGCCTTGGTGAGCTTGACTGCCCTGGCAGCCTTGCCTTGGTGAGCTTGACTTGTGCCCACAGTTTTGTGTTGACCCTTGTGAGGACACTGCTGTCTTGGGACAGACATGACACTCTATCAGGGCAGGGTTCAGGTCACCAGGACCCAAAACTGTGGGAGATTGCTGGGGGGGCTCTAGACTGCAGCTCAGGAATCCCTTTGAGCAGACATGCTCTCAGATATGTTTCATGGTGCTCTTGCCTCTCATTTGTGGCCCGGCCTTGGCTCTTGTCTGGTTGAGTGTGGCTGGAGTGAGCTCTCAGTCTCCCAGTTGGGCCAGGGAGTGAGGTGATGGCCTTTGAATGGCACCTCGAGGGACAATTTCTGTGGTTAGAGACAGCCTTGCCTAGTCTCCTTATCTCCTCCAAACCCCAATACTTGGAGGTCCCCCACCACAACACACACACACACACACACACACACACATGCATGCATGAACACACACGCATGCGCACACACACATGCACACACACTTGGTCACAGTCCTGTCACTGACTCACTCCAGTAAAAAGAAAACTGATTCCTCAACTCCTGGGATTGGTAATGCTTTAGTATGGATGTTGGGGAAGGAGTGATTTCAGTGACTGGTGCTGGGCAGGGAGAAAGGAATGGCCACAGCGACAACACAAGTGGTAGTCATGATGGATGATCATAGTAAGAGAATAGCAGTGACAGCAAGCATTGAGCACTTACTGTATGCCAGCCACTGTACTCAGTGCTTTGCACACACATTTAATCCTCCCAGTGATCTCGTGGGGGTAGGTATGATTGTTCCTGCCAGGTAACAGATGGGGAAACTGAGGCTTGAGACAGTAGTGCTTATTCCCCCAAAGCACTACAGAATGGAGGAAGGAAACAGTCACTTTGCTGATTCCTTTGTCTAGAAAATATCTGAGTGCCCATTAAGTACCAGGTGCTGTTTTGGGTCATGAGGATCAAAAACCAGACAAAAGTCCTCTCTTTGAGGAGCTGACATTTGGAGGCAGGGCGTATTTAGGTAATAAATCAGCATGTAAAGCATCTATGACATTTCTGACGGGGATAAGCAGTAGAAAGGAAAGCAAGCGGAGACAGGAGCTGCTGGGATAGAAAGAGGGGGAGGCATCATCTGAAATCAAGCATTCTCCTCTGAGCTGTCACCTGGAGAGATAGGCTGTAAACATCCCAGGGCTGAGTCAGACCTACCAGCCACCTTTCCAATATTGGAAAAATCTATAATTCAAGATGTTCATGGCCAGGGTAAAATTTCCTACCTAAGACAATTGCATGGGGAGCCTTTTGCCCAAGGCTGATAAGTGACAGGGACCAGCTGTTTGTCCCACCCGTATGGACTCCCAAGGCCATGTTCTCAAGCACCATCCACGAATCCTCCGTGCACATCCGTGGCTCACTGCCATGGGCGCCCCTATGTGCTCTTTTCTCCTCCCAGTCCCAGCCATCAAGACGGAGCCCACGGATGAATATGACCCCACTCTGATCTGCAGCCCCACCCATGGAGGCCTGGGGAGCCAGCCTTACTACCCCCAGCACCCGATGGTGGCCGAGTCCCCCTCCTGCCTCGTGGCCACCATGGCTCCCTGCCAGCAGTTCCGCACGGGGCTCTCATCCCCTGACGCCCGCTACCAGCAACAGAACCCAGCGGCCGTACTCTACCAGCGGAGCAAGAGCCTGAGCCCCAGCCTGCTGGGCTATCAGCAGCCGGCCCTCATGGCCGCCCCGCTGTCCCTTGCGGACGCTCACCGCTCTGTGCTGGTGCACGCCGGCTCCCAGGGCCAGAGCTCAGCCCTGCTCCACCCCTCTCCGACCAACCAGCAGGCCTCGCCTGTGATCCACTACTCACCCACCAACCAGCAGCTGCGCTGCGGAAGCCACCAGGAGTTCCAGCACATCATGTACTGCGAGAATTTCGCACCAGGCACCACCAGACCTGGCCCGCCCCCGGTCAGTCAAGGTCAGAGGCTGAGCCCGGGTTCCTACCCCACAGTCATTCAGCAGCAGAATGCCACGAGCCAAAGAGCCGCCAAAAACGGACCCCCGGTCAGTGACCAAAAGGAAGTATTACCTGCGGGGGTGACCATTAAACAGGAGCAGAACTTGGACCAGACCTACTTGGATGATGGTAAGACGCTTGAGTTTTGTCACTGCCTGTAAGGATGGTGCCCTGAAGCATCTCTGCCCAGGAAGTTCACTGCATGGCCTACGGATTCCGTAATCTCTTTGGGCCTCAGTGTCCCCATTTTAATTTAAGGAGGTTGAATAATATGACCCTGAAAGCCACCCCTAGCTCTGTGCAAGAATTACCTCCCAGCAGTAGTTGCAGAGGGGAAGCAGTAACAATTTCAGATGCCCCCCTCCAGAATCGCCCCCATAGAAAAAGCAAATGAGGGCAACCCGGCATCCCCTGGGTCATGAACTGGGTCCATTTAACTGCTTCCACACTCTTTCCAATTGCCAGATTTAGACTGAGGCCAAGAAAATAGGAAGGAAAGCTAACCTCCTTTCATTCCTGTACAGAAAAAAAATCCCATTTTATAGCCCTCTTTTGTATATTTGAGGGAGGGAGAGGGAGGAAAAGGAAGAAGAAAGCTCATTGAAAAGTGGCTTTATCAGAACAGCTTGCAGGCAGGCTGCGGGCACTTCTCTACCCTGTGCTCGTGGAACAGAGATGCGCATTGATGGGAAGGAAGCAGTGGGCTTCCGCTGTGGTGAGCCCAGCTGATGGGTGGTTTGGGCCAAGGAAAAGATGCAGAGGAGGCTTTGTGTGAGTCTGTAGGTGCCCGTTTGTGGGCAAGGGGTCTGCCCAGAGGGTAGTCTTGTGGAGAAGCTGTGATGAGGTGTTGGTCCAGGATCTCAGGGAGGAAGGACAAACCGCATTGCTAAGACTCACCTGGGAGCCGCAAGGTGCATTGGGAGGTCGGAGAGGGTGGGATGAGCAGAGCAGCCTTGCCTTGGGGGCTCCAGACAGAAAAATAGGCTGTTGGACTTTCTTTACCTTCATTTTTCTTTTAAAATTTTTTGTGGATATAGAGCAGGTATATATATTTGTGGGGTACATGAGATGTTTGGAGACAGGCATGCAAAGTGAAATAAGCACATATAGAGAATGGGGTATCCATCCCCTCAAGCGTTTATCCATCGAGTTGCAAAGCCCATGACACTGTTTACATTATTTAAAAATGTACAGTTAAGCGACTGGAGTTTTTTCTTAATAGAAGAAGGAAAAACCTAAATTGCTGGCTGTCATTCCCAGTTCCAGTCCTGTATTTTATAGGCAGTAGCGTCTGATATACCCTGAAACCTCAATTATTTCAGAAAATTAACTCTCAGGAGCCCAGCCAAGGGGTAGGAAGTAAAGCGAAAGCTTTGAAACAGCCACAATAGTTACCATCAAGACTGGGTACTAAATTTCATATACCGCAGTGCCAGAAATATCCTCTGCTGCATAGTCAGAGGCTGTTGACCTTTACTCTACAAAACGTCTTGACAAGCCAGGTTATCTGGGGGCTCTGTGACTTCTGGTATTCTCCATACCCAATCCCTAGGGAGACAGTCGATCAAAAACGTCCCCTGAATTCACCAAGCAAAGACCTCTGGGGCCACTTCTTGTAGGGTCATCCTGCCCCACGTGCCTTACAAGGCTGACCTCTAGGTATTGCTCTGTTAATAATTGATCCGTTTGATCCTGAATAATCAAGCACAGGTTGAGTTAAAGTCATGGTGCTCTGTTTTGAAACGGACACCTGCATACAATCCATCCTTGAACAATTTACATTCACAATGGTGAAGATAAGGTTTTGGTGCTTATTTTCAAGGGGGCAATCGTGTAGAGAATTAACTAAGGCAGAACGTGGAGGATCAATGAAGCATGGTCGTAACCAGATCCCTCTCCACGTGAGGCCCTGGGGGATCGATTGTATTGGAGAAGAGGTGCTTTATAAATAAATGAGTGTCTGTGCAGGGCTGGATAATTTTCCCCAGCTGACTCTGCACCTAGGGCTGGTCTGGTCTCCAGAGCGAGAAACACACTGGCCTCTCCTACCCTGTCCATCCCTTGTTAAAGGCAAATGGTGAGTGCCTTGGATATTGGGGCACCCGTGTCCAAGTGGCCCGAGGTGGTCATGACTGGCTATGGCAGCCCCGGATCCACAGATGTCCTTGCCGTTTCCAAAGAAGCTTATGTTACAGAGAAAGCAGCTGAGCACCGAGACCCTTTTGGGCCTCCTGAGGCCCTTTCTCAACGCAGGCAGGTTCAAAGTCGTGGTGAGGGGGAGTCCCGCTAGGTCCAAACCTGAGTCAGCTCTAAGGATGTCTCAGAGAACCGAGCGAGGTGAAATTTAGGTACATGCTGTATGACCCCAGCCCATGGGATGTTAGGAGCTATTTTCTGAAGGAGGGTTCCATGGCTTTAAAAGATGAAAAAACTAGGTTAAACCAAGTTTTTTGTTTTTGCTTTTGTTTAATTATTTGTTGCAGGACTTCTGAGAGTCTTTATCCTGCTAGCGGACATTATAAGTCTCTAAAATGCGGGGGTGTAGCACAAAGGAGAGCGCATCGCACGCTCCAGGTGGTGATGTCCACACTGGATTGTACTGTGTTCTGCAAGAATGGAGGCCCGGGAGTCGTGCTACACAGCTGGCCTAGAAGCTCTTTTCCTGATACTTGGCAGAAATAACATAAAGGAAGCTCAAGAGCTCTGAAGCGCAGCACTGCCCTGTCCCCTGTGCCATAGTCCGGCTTCTCAATTTGGGGGCTGCACATTCCTGAGGCCAGAGCTGGATGGGGCAGTGGAATGGTTTCCACCCACGTGGCCTCCAAAAGGCAGCAAGTGCCACTAGTTATGTTCAGTGCTCCACCGGCCTTGTCTCCAAGGCTCTGCCCACCCCAGGACCCTCCAATGGGCAGGTCCCCTGGTGGCTCGTGCCCAGTGGCAAGCCCCAGACTGCATCTCCACCGTAGCCACCAAGATGTGGGTGCAGTTTTGTCTCTGAACTGCTGCAATTTCAAATTCTCCTAGCCCGTCTCCTAGCTAGTCTGTGTAGCCCGTGCATCCGTGGAACATTCCAGATATGCCACCATCAGCTCTAGGGATATGAGATTTGGACGTCTTGGTTTGCTGTGTTGTGTTATTTCTGACAAGTAAACTGGAAAATCCCCTGGGTCATTCCTTTGGTGTCTGGTGGGGCAACTTCCTTGGTCTTTAGGTCCTTTTCTGTCCCTTTCGTTTATGATTTCAAGGGAGTCTGTCGCACACGGCACATATTTGGCTGCACGGGGCCCGTGCTAAACCCCAGCGTGCTGTGCTGCCTGTGCGTGGGCATTTCTGGTCTGTCATTTATTTCCCTTGGGATTTTGCCAAAGTGGGCTTTCCTTGGAAACTTTGTAAGAGCTGGGCTTATGCGTTTTGAGGGTTGAGGGAAGGTTCTGTGGCTGGAAAAGGAAGCAGTCACCAGTGGACACACAGGTCCTCCCTCCCCCGCACAAGTGCAAACAAACCATCTTTGAAGCTGATCCCGCCCCTGCCCTGGGGTCCAGGGAAGCCCCCGGCTCTGAGTTATCGTTTCCTGCACCTTGGCCAGTGATCCCAGCGTCGCGTCTGGGCATTCCACCCCGCTCCCTCATGGGGCATCTGTGCTTTATCTCAGCCCTTCCCGCCTGCATTCCTGCACACAGACGCCGGCTGGCTTGGCCCCGTTTGTTCTTGGAACACCAAGGCGCTCCTTCTGCTTTCTCCACTCCGAGTACTTGAGACGTTTTCAAGAAGTCTCTTTGGAAAAGCAAAATAAGTAATATTCCAGGGCCCAAGGCATGCACTCCCCTGAGCCCCGTGTTTCTCCACCCACCCCAATTCAGGCACTTTCTTACAGCTCTTCAGAAACATATGGTTCATACACCGTCACTTGCGTTCTCTCTGCTGTCATCCCCCTTCCGTGACTAGTCCCTTGTTCTAAGGCCCCAAATTGTACCTGGGGAACACCAGCAGCTCCTAGCAGTAGCTGCTTCTGGGACCTCATTCTTCCCTACCTTTCTCCCCTATTCCTCTGTCCTCCCCAACCCTCCCTGTCCTTAACCCTTCCTTCTTCCCTCTCTCCCTTCCTCTGTGTCCTTGACCCTTGACTTCTCTGTCCTTGACCCTCCTTCCCTCTCACCCACTAGTATTTTCTGGCTGTCTACTCTGTGCTGGACACTGTTCTGGGACTTAGGGATCCACTAAGTGAACAAATGAAATGAAATCTTTGCTCTCACGGTGATTGTTTAGTAGGTAAGCGAGACAGACATTAGCATGGAAGGCAGTAAGTAAGCAAGCGAAATTCAGACAGCAATGAAAGCCACAGGGAAAATTCCACGGGGTTAGGAGCGAGAGGGTGGCTGCCTGGTTTGGGGGTGAGGTTGGCCCCTGCAGATGAGTGTACAGAAAGGCCACTCTGAAGAGGCGGCCTTTGGGGATGGACGCAGACCTGGGGAGGTCTGAGGGAAGAGTGTTTCAGGGAGAGGGAACGCAGGTGGCGGAGGCCGTGAACTCGGAGACGTGGGCTTGCTCCCGCAGGCTTTCAGCAGCAGTGCAGCGTGGTTTGATTTACTGTTTGAGAAGATCACTCTGGCTGCCTTTGCGAAATGGACTATAGGGAGTCAAGGGTTGAAAAAAGGGGGATGTGTGAATTGAAAACGAATCCCGTGACAGGAGCATGATGGAAGGCGGTGCATTTCACAGGGAGTGTGCCCCGCAGGCCCTGTCATGAGCGCGGTTACTTAAAATGCAACTGGAATTGCCCAAATGTGATCAATACACAGGTAATTCTCAGCTTCCCTTGCATAAAATGAGGGGCGGCTGCACTTTTTACCACTCAGGACGCAAGCAAGCGGGAGAGGCGCTGGGGAAAGTGGACTCAGAGGTGACTTTTACTAGCGCTCTGTGGTGCATTCTAGGAGCTGTGCTGACTCCACAGCTGAACTGGGGGTGCAGAGGTCATCGGGCCATCTCACCACCAAACCCACCACAGGTTTTGAAGTAGAGAGCTTACTACAGCTGCCCAGAGACTCAGCCACAGATGAGAGAACATGGGGGCAGGGGTGTGGCCTGGGACTCAAAGGAGATGTTTTACCCCGTTCTGGAAACGTCCAGAAAAGAAAGGATGTGGTCTCGGTGATGGCTGCAGCCCCTGCAGTGACTTGTGAGGATAGCAGCTTGTGTGTGTGAGAGAGAGTATATTGATGTGTGCAGGGAGGGCACAAATCAGTCTGCTTATTCTTAAATCTACTTCTGCCCTGTTCTTCATGTAAAGTGCTTAATTATGTGCACATTCAGAAATCAGTAGTGCATTCTGTATATTTCACAAGCGGGCCACCCACAGAATTGCCACCTGGATTATGACAGTCTTGTTGGCACCCCAGAAGCCCCCAGATGTCCCTTTCCCTTCTACAAAAGTGACCACCATCCTGCCTTCTAACTCCAGAGATTCATGTTGCCTTTTTATACAAACAAAAGTCAGATTTCATGACTCTTTTGTGTCTTGAGTGTCAGCTCCATCACTGACTCTGACCTCAGGCAAGTTACTTGCTGCCTTGTGCCTTCATGTCCCCATCTGTAGAATGAGACAGTCACAGTTCCTCCCTTCAAAGGCTGTGCTGAGGATGATGAGTTAGTGCATGTCAATAAAAGGGATCTTCCATAAATGTGATCTGCTGTTTTGTTTATGATTTTTTTTTTTTTGAGACAAAGTCTCGCTCTGTTGCCCAGGCTGGAGTGCAGTGGCATGATCTTGGCTCGCTGCAACCTCTGCCTCCTGGGTTCAAGTGATTCTTCTGCCTCAGCCTCCCAAGTAGCTGGGACTACAGGTGCCTGCCAGCACGCCTGGCTAATTTTTGTATTTTCAGTAGAGACATGGTTTCGCCATAGTGGCCAGCTGGTCTCGAACTCCTGACCTCAGGTGATCCATTCCCCTCGGCCTCCCAAAGTGCTGGGATTATAGCTGTGACCCACCATGCCCAGCCTTGTTTATGAATTTAATTGCCTTGATTTCTTGTAGGACATGGTTCAAATTTTAAAAATCTATTTGTGTAGGAGAAAAAATGGGCTACTCTGATCTTTGGAGATGGGCTTCCTCACCCTCATGCCCTGCTTCTTCCATGGGATAGATGAGTGGACGTAGCCCCAGAGCACTGCCCAAGGCTCCCTCCCCCCGCTTCCTCCAGGGGACCTCAGGATGTGTATCTGCATGAGGGAGATGATGTCCTCGCCGGGGGCTGCTGAGAACTCCAGTGAGTGTATCCCCTGCCATGGCTCCCTGGAGGAGTGTGGACCAGTGGCCCAGGTTTTGCCAGTTGTGCCTCTGGCAGAGGGGCCATGGATGTGCTTTGAAAAGGCTCTACGCAGAAGCTGGGTGCACCAATGCGTGAGAAACAGGCGGGGGAGGAATGAACAGAGAGACCCACCCTCCAAAGCTCAGGAAGCAGGGAAAGGAACCCAGCGATGGAAAAGTGTTTTGTAACTGGCCTGCTTTGTTCAGCAGTTCAGGGATCTTTCACTAGGGCCCCTCAGTGCCCACGGCAAGCCTGGGACAAAGCGGCTCCTGTGTGGGGAGGCGTGCAAAGCCCACGCGGAGCCTGGTCACCGCAGAGCCCTGCCGTGAGCCCGGCAGCCACGATGACCCCGGCAGGGCTGGGCCTCCTGGTGCCGACAGAGGGTGAGACACAGGGAGTCTCTGTGCTGATGAGAACTGAGCCAGGCAGTTGCCCAGCCAAGTGGCCCAGAGGCTGTGGGCACCTGGAGAGCCCGGTCTGAGTATCTCAGCGTAGGCCTTGCTGGTACACCAGTAACCACCAGAAACCGCCAGCAGCAGGTTTAACTCACATGGCCACCTGGAGCCGACACCAATAAAAGGCCAGGCCCCCGTTGGGAGGGCTTTTGCCAGCGTCCTTTTTTTGCCTTCATTTAAAAATGTATCTTTATATAGGTAATATGTTCCTATGTTTAGGAAAAATATATAAAAAAGACATCCAGCAGAAGATGTCTTCCCCCTTCTGGTCTGCTCTCTAATACTGGTTTTTCTCTAGCCTCCTAGAACATTATTTCTCAACCTTTGTTTCATTATTACCAACCCCCCACCCCCAGCCAGGAGCCTTTTAAGACAATTTTTTTCCTAATCTCCATGCCATGAAATGTCAGTGCTATAGACACACAATGTGTCTGTTCATGTACCATAGCCCTTTGCAGGGCCACAAAGCATTGTCATATGGAAGATTTTTTTCAACACCCCTCCCGCAGAGAACCAATTTTTACCCCCGTGGAAGCAACGTCATCCACCTTGAGGATGAATGCTTTAGGGTTTTTTTTTTTTTAATGTAATCCCGAGCATATGCAAATACACATGTATTCTTATTTTCCCCTTTTCTACAAAAGGTGGTAAAACGTACACACAGGTCCCCCATGGGTGGAAACTTCCGTATCACTTGCTGTTACCCACAGTGCTGACGATTTGTCCTGTACCTGTCATTTGGTCAATGGGGACCCATTCTCAGGAATTGGATGGTTGGTCTGAAGGCCCAGCCTCAGTTCTAGGATTTGTCTGGCAAAGAGTTGCTGTGGTTGTCCTGCCTGGCTCTCAGTCTGGCCTCATCACTGCCCTCTTTTGTAACTTTGGCCAAGTCACTTATAATGGTGCCCGACTCTCTGGGTTACCGTAAGAATGAAAATGGGGGCGTCCTGTAAAGCTCTTTGCCCAGTACCAGACGCGCACGGTGAGGGTTCAGTAGTTGCTGATCACTCTTCTTCCCCTAACCGCAGTGACATTTTCCTCCTCCTCCTCTTCCTTGTCAGTTGTGAGCTATAGGGGCAGGGGCAGAGCTAGGCTCTGACGAAGAGCCAGGAGGCTGACTCTTGGCCTGAATTCTCAAGTATGTTGTCAGGCTACCTCTGTAAATTCAGCAAAGGTTCAGCAAAGGATAGTTTGAGTCTTGAAAATGTCAAAGTCCAGAAAACTGTGGTTGCCTACAGAGGAGCCCACAGAATCTGCAAGAGTTGCTGTTGGAAGATCATTGAATTGAGCTGGTAGCCGTTCTCTGTCCCTCTCCTGGGTGCCTAAACGATATGCAGGTATCTGTCCCTGGGGCATCTCTCGTTTCCCTCTCTTGTTTCCCCTCCCTTTCTAAGAATGTCAGATTTCAAGCTGTGCCACTTAGCTGTCCTTTCATCCCGAATGATGTGGACTCTGCATTTCTGGCTTATGTAAGAGAGCTACGTTCCAGCCGACTCCAGACCCAGAAACGCTCAGTGATCTTTTTGAAATTCTGCAAAGCAAGTGTTTCCAAAGGAATGTGCACTTGCATTTGGAGGTCAGAAGCCACCAAACCACAAGAAAGTCCCTTCCCAGACTTGCTGTCCACGCAGCCCTCATTCCAGAGCAGCATCTTTCCTACCAAAAGCAGACAGCTCCTAAAAAAGAGGACCAAGTGAGAGGCAGCATCCAGTGTCATTCGTGGGCTCCCAGTCATCTGCTGGAACCAGCACTTTTAATTGTTCTGAATTGTTTATGCTACATTTAATTTCCAAATGAGGCTATTCTCTTGTGGTAACAGGTGAATATCCTTGTGAAAGAGTGAGGTGCTCCTTTAAGCAAGATTTATGGGTAGGTCAGCATCATAACCAATTTTAAAGGCCCTCCTTTGTAGTTTCATTCTTACTAGAACACAGGGCAGAAGGGCTAAGACTCACTTCCCTGCTCTGTGGGTGTGCTATGCTGGATGTACCATGCCAGCTACCTCACTCATTTCAGGATGATGCCGCCACTCAGGTGATGGTTTTCAGCAGCATAACTTGTGGGGCTGGAAACTGCAATGGATTTTCCCTGATTCCAGCCACAACCCAAGATAATCCTTTTTTTTTTTTTTTTTTTTTTTTGAGAGAGGGTCTCTCACTCTGTCACCCAGGCTGCAGTGCAGTGGTGCCCCCATAGCTCACTGCAGCCTTAACCTCCCAGGCTCAAGCAATCTGCCTGCCTCAGTCTTCTCAGTAGCTGGGACTATAGGCACATGCCACCATGCCTGGCTCAACTTTTTATTTTTTATAGAGACACAGGGTCTTGCTATGTTGCCCAGTCTGGTCTCGAACTCCTGGGCTCAAGTGATCCTCTCGCCTCAGCCTCCCAAAAAGCTGGGATTATAAGCGTGAGCCACTGTGCCCAGCCAGAATATCATAATGTTAAAAAATCTACATAACTTTCTAATATCAGCGCTAGCTGTAGTCTGTTTCTCTCTAGAAATGTAGAACTTGAAAAAGAATTTGGTTACTTTAGTCTATGAATTGGGTGGCAGTTACTCAACTCATTTCATACACTAGATTATTCTCTGTGCTCCTTCCCTTCCCACCCTTGATAAACCCATTTTGGATCAAGGGCAAAGCTTTGTTTTCCCAGGGGAAAACCCACAAAGAACAAATGAAAGCCCCCTGCCCTGAAGTAGCTGTGGTTGCCAGTCATTCCTAGACTTGAGATTTGGGTGTGTTTTGGTGTGTGCTGCCTTCAAGTAACATTCTGGACTCTCTTTTTGCTCTGAACCAGTTCAACTTTGTTTTAGCACCAATTTTCCTTTAGTTTCCACCCTTTCAGAAAAAAAAAAAAAAAAGAGGGGTTTTCTTCCTGGGGAATGATGAAACCATTTATTTGGCTCTTCTCTGCTGCATTTTTGACACCTCTTTAATTTTTTATGGATCCAGGGATCTGGTCAAGTTGTGCCTGTGAATAGACGCAGGGCTGGGGCCTGTTTTGCCCATCCAGAGTGTCAAGAATCTTTCTCTAGATGAAGTCAAAGACAAACTGAGGGCTGAATTTGAAGGAGTCCGTTCTGGTCCTCAGCAACAAATTCTGCTGCTCTCAGGTTTGGGGATGACATCTGTCTCATCCCTTTAAACAGTCATAAAATCAGATCTCTGGCAAGGCAGCCGAAGTGGATTCTCTGGTCATTTTATGATGAGCCTTGAGCACCCCAACTTGGTTTTATGGCAGGACTGTCTGTTGCGAGCAGTTTGGACTTAAGTCCCAGGCTGTCTGCAAACCAACAAATAGGTTTCATCTGAAGCCTGTTAGTTCCACTATCCCAGGAAAGCTGAAAGGACACTCCCTCGTTGTTAATTTCCAAAACTCTGGGCAAAGTAGAGGTTCTGTTGCATAAGCTGATGACGTGGAGGACGCCTTTGAAATGTTCCGCAGCCGGTTCTTATAGATTTCTGGAAGTTGATGGTGTCTTTTGAATTCTCAGCTTTATTAAATGCCCAAAAAAGAATTGACCCAAACTTGATGAAAGCACCCTCTCCCCAACTGGATTGAGTTGTGGTCTGCTTCAGCACTTGGAAAAGGAGCGGCCAACTGGTGCTCCATGGGCTGCATTTCGCCCGCAGATATTTTGTTTGGCCCACACGGTATTTGAAAAAATATTTTGATTAGATGCCAGTGTTGAAAAACCGGGGATTGCACATAAAAATAGGGATTTCTGACTTTGCTTAGAAAATCCAAGGATCTAGCCACCTTGGGCCCCACCTCCTGCATGGCAGCTACTGGGAGTCAAAACCAAGGCTGGCCCTGAGCAGAGGCTACTTCCTTTAGTTGGAACATCCACTTGCTCTGTCCACAGCCCCCGCCATTCCCTTTTGTCTTCCGACGATAGGTGGATTGTCCATTGTTATTTATCTTCACACTTGTTTTGTTGTTCCTCTTAGACTTCACCGATTTCACTCATTCAGGGTTCCTATCTGGACCCATTAGGCGTTTGAATTGTGCCCCCATTACGGAAGTGCCACACATATCCAAGGCTCATTAATCCAGGACCTGCATCCGGCCGGGGCCTTCGAAAGTGTTCCCTCCCTCTACCTTCCTTCCCCTCCTTGTGGCTGGGGAAGATTTTTAAATGGGGGTAAGATTTTAAAACTTTTAATTAAATATTTTGAACATATGTAACTATAGCATAGTACAAGGTACCCCTACATACCCACCACGAGGCTTCAGCTGTTATCAATGCATGGCCAATCTGATTTCTTCTACACCTTCATCCTGTTATATTCATTACCTGGTAATTTTGTTTTGGGGGTTTGTTGTTATTAGTTTTTTTTGTTTTTTTTTTTTTTTAAGACATAGGGTCTTGCTATGTTGCCCAGGCTGGAGCATAGTGGCTATTCACAGGTGTAATCATGGTGCACTGCAGTGTCGATTTCCTGGGCTCAAACAATCTTCCTGCCTCAGCCTCCAGCATAGCTGGGACTGTAGGTGCCTGCTATGGTGCCTAGCTACACAGCAATATTTTGAAGCAAATCCTAGACATCCTATAATTTCGTGTAGAAATAGCATGTATCTCTAAAAAAAGGACTCTGAAAGTACAAGACCACTAGCACACATGGAAATTAATAATACTTCCTTAATATCATGAAATACCTAGTGTTTAAACTTCCGGTTGTCTTATATATAAATATCATAAAAGTGTTTTCTTCTTTGTTTTTATTATAGTTCATTTGCGTCGGGAGTCAGACCAAGCGTTGCAAGCAGATGCCTTTGTTTTAAGTCTGGTTTGATGGGGAGGTTCTTCCCCTAGATTAAATCTAGAGGTTCTTCCTCTAGATTAAATAATAAGATCCTTTTTTGGTTTCATCATTAGTATTATATTGCAATTTATTTGTTGAAAAAATGAGGTTGTTTATCCTGTGAAATTTTTCAGTCTGGCTTTTGCCAGTTATATCTCCATGATGAGGTTTTTAGTGTGTTCCTGTCTCCTCTGTATGTCCTGTAAGTTAGCAGTAAAACTGAGAGGCTTCATTCATTCAGATTCAATTGTTTTTGGCAAGATTGCTTCATGGGTGATGACACATCCTTCTGACAGGAGGTACGTGGAGTTGGGTTGCCTGTCTTTTGGTGATAGTCAGTGCCTTGCTCCATTAATTCAGTGGTGCATGAATTATAAAATGGTGATATTCTATTCTAATTCTGCCATCCCTTCCTCTACTGTTAGCTGGAAAACTTCTATAAAGAGAAACTTTCCTTCATCAACAATGATAGAATTCATATAGGAAAAGCAGGATGAATGCTTGATTCTTTCCCTTTATTTACCAGTTTTTAAAATAATGGGTTGGTTCATTAATATCTTACAGTGATGATCCATTACGGTTGTTTGTGTGTAGTTGCTTTTTTTTTTTTTGGTACCATTATGAACTCATGAATTTAAGCATAATTGGTGTTTTAAGATTTTAATGGGCTTTTTTTTGGTA
Organism: Homo sapiens; assembly: GCF_000001405.40. Classification (NCBI taxonomy): domain Eukaryota; kingdom Metazoa; phylum Chordata; class Mammalia; order Primates; family Hominidae; genus Homo; species Homo sapiens. The sequence continues at coordinate 51,419,943 of NC_000020.11, read as the reverse complement.
GTTCCTTTTGTCCTTATCATTTGAAGGACTGAAATAATATGACTTCCTGTCCTTTCTTTCTCTGGCTTAGCAATGTCCTCAGATATTCTGAAGCCTGAGGGAGGAAATAATCCTACATGTGAACTGAGGATCACATCTCCTACACGTGAGAAGGGGAAATCATGAAATCCCTCTCGAATGCCAGCTGCTGAGATACTCCTTGCGGTGTTATGGAGTCTTTGAGCGTGATTCCAAAGCAGTTAGTGCTTGCAAGGCAGGGGAGGTTATTGGGAGGATTATTAGAGGGTATTGATTAGGATGTAGAGGCTGCTGTAACCAAACCCAAAGTAACAATGACTTTAACAAGATAGATGATTTCTTCCTCTTGTAACAGCACAGGGATAAGCAGTCCATGGCTGGTATGCTGGCCCCATCATACCAGGAACCCAGGCTTTTTCTGTCTTATCACTCTCCATTCTCAGGATGGTACCCTCATCTGAGTCATCCAAGATGGCTCCTGGATGGGAAAAAAGAGGAAGGAGGGCACGCCCTTTCCTTTAAGGGCGTAACCCAGAAATCACATTTATCCCTTCAGCTAATACTGTATTGGCCAGAGTCTTGTTATGTAACCACACTGAGCCACAGAGGAGGCTGGGAAGTATAGTTTTTATATTTATATTACCCAGTCATGTGCATAGCTGAAACCTGCTACTGTGGAAGACAGGAGAATGGATTTGGGGTCTTTGTGCAGGATAGATATGATCATAATGAGAAAACAGCTGCAAAAGGAGGTTGGATATTTTGTATGACTTGATATTCTTAGGAGTTTCTTTATTCCACAAATATTTATTGAATCCCTACTGTGTGCCAGTGAGGACACAGCAGCATGTGAAACAGAGTCTCTGCCTTCAGGGAGCGTACTTCTTAGTTGGTGAGACAAACAGTGAAATAAATATATATTATAATGTCAGGTGGTAAATACGTACTATAAAGAAAACCTAGGGCGGTGGGGGTGGCTCACGCCTATAATCCCAGCACTTTGGGAAGCCGAGGCAGGCAGATCACTTAAGGTCAGTAGTTCAAGACCAGTCTGGCCCAACATGGTGAAACCCCATTTGTACTTAAAATACAAAAATTAGCTGGATGTGGTGGCATGCGCCTGTAATCCCAGCTACTAGGGAAGCTGAGGCAGGAAAATCCCTTGAACCTGGGAGGCAGAGGTTGCAGTGAGACGCAATCGTACCACTGCACTCCAGCCTGGGGGACAGAGCGAGACTCCGTCTCAAAAAAAAAAAAAAAAAAAAACCAAACAAACAACAAAAGAAAACCTAAAACAGAATGAGGGTGAGGCCTTAAATGTCCAGTTATTGCCAATTTTCCCCAAATTCAGGAAACTCCTCTCCTAACGGTCAGTCCAGGAATCTCAAAACATTTTCTTATTACCTTTTCTCTTGAAGCAAGTCTTTCAGCTTCAGCACTACTGACATTTCGGGCTGGATTATTCTCTGTTGTGAGGGGCTATCCTGTGCATGAAAGGATGTGTACCAGCGTTCCTGGCCTCAATGCACCGGATGCCAGTAGCACCCCAGATGTGGCCATCAGAAATGTCTGCAGATACTGCCAAGTATCCCCTGGGGGGCAGAGTTGCCCCTGGTTAAGAACCACCATCTGAAGGATTTAGTGTCCAGCTCTGGTAGAAGTAACAGCTTTATAATATTGAGTGCTGACCACACCATGTGTGTTTCGGGGAAGGAGTGTCCACTCTACAAAAAGATTGTTACTGGTGGACTGGAGCATTCCTAGCACTCTCTGAGTGTGGGAAGCCACCGGGAACTAGTGTCTCCCCATGGCACCGCCTGTTCCCTAGTACAGCACCCAGGACAGGGGCCCCAGGGTCAGAAGATGTTGCTGAGTAGTTAGTGTCAAAGGAAGCTTGATTCAGAGCCTTCATTCTTCCTTGCTTGTGGCCTTGGGCGAGGCATGTGTGAAAAGTGACTTACGGACTGCCCGGTGCCCCGCGGGTACCAGGGAGGGCTGATGCTGTGATGTGGATGCCGCCTCCTTTAGCATTCAGCTGGCAGGCTGGCTGCCTCGGGAACTGCTCAGGGGGCGTGTTGCTGAGCATTTGCTTTTTTGGTTTGTTTCTTATCAACTGGTGTTCTTTCCTTCTTTGAACAGATATCCACTGAGTATGTAAAGTGAGCTGGGCTTGGTGGTAGGTGCTGGGACACAGAAGTGAACCAAATGGATGGGGCCTCCCTGCTGGCAGAGCTTGCTCTGCAAGGGGAAGGCTGTTCATCAAATGTCAACCAGAAAATGATGAGAATTTCAGATGTTGGGGGTGGAGACTAAGTGCGGAGTTCAATAAAGTGACGATGGGGACGGGCATAACTTCAAACGGGGTGGTCAGGACCAACCTCTTTGAGGAAGTGACTTTGGATTTGAGACCGGGAGGAAGAGAGTGAGGGGAAGGAATTCCAGGCAGAGGGAAGAGCAAGCACGTAGGGCAGAGCTGGGAGGAAACGTGGTTTGTGTGGAGGACAGAGAGAGGTCTGGTGTGGTTGAGAGTAATGACGGCGGCGTCATGGAAAGGGAGCATGGAGGGGACAGGCCTCGCGGGTTGAGAGCTATGGATTTTATTTTGGGAGGAAGGGGAAGCTACTGGCAGGTGGAAGGTTGAAGTTTTGGAGGGAGTGTGTTTGCCAGACTGACAAGTACAGGAAATATTGTAACAATGCTAATGATCCCTCCCCCTTACTGGGCGCCGTGGAAGGCAGGGATGGTCATCTCTGCATCTTAGATGTGAAAGCAGGCTGAGAAAAGGGAGGGATTTGTCTGAGGTTACAAAGCCAGAGGCACAGGCAATGGGTGGTTAGAGGCACGTGTGTGAGAAGTGATTCTGAGTCCACGTATAAAGAGAATAGGGCATTTATCCTGGGCTGCTCCCCCTGCCTTTTCACTCCTTCATCTGATGAGACTCCAGGAAACTGGCTTTTGCCCCAGACCCACTGATCTGACCTCCTCCTGGGCCCTCCATGTGGATTCCCTGCAGGAACCTCACATTCAACCAGCGCTAAAGTGAATTCTTGCTACTGCCCCTACTGTCCCTCTGGCCCCCATGCTCAGCTCCCATCTGTTGCCTAAGGAACTTGGGGGTGTGGCCTTAGGTGAGTTACTGAATGTCTGTGACCTCAATTTCCCCATCTGCAAAATGGGGATATTAGCAGTGCTTGAGGTTTAAAGGAAATGATGTATGAGAAGTGAGTATAACCAGGTCAGCCACACAGCACTCCATAGAGAGCAGCTATCAGCTTCATCATCTTCTTAGCCTCATCTTTATCTGTCCAGGGCTGCAGAAATGTCTTCATCTCTGCACTTGGGATGTGCCAACCCTCCTTTAATATCTTCTCACCAGTTTTTGGCCCCCACGTAGCCTCTCCCAGATTTGAACGGGCCCTTTATTCCAGACAGATGTGAAACCCCTTCATCATGGCTTCCTGTTTGAGGGAGCAGCCCCTTCAGCCAGACAGAGTGAGAAGCCAGGAGCTGGCACCCTGGGAATCCCAGGTGGGTGCTGTGCCCTACCCAGGCAGAGCCGGCAGGTCCTCTGAGTCCTGAGGGTCCTGGTCTGGTTCCTCTGTTTTCTCTCTGGACCATTTCAGAACCAATTCCCTCAGCTATCTCTGGGATTTTTTTATTTTGAGACAGAGTCTCACTCTCTCTCTCTCAGACTGGAGTGCAGCGGTGTGATCTCGGTTCGCTGCAACCTCTGCCTTCAGGGTTCAAGTGATTCTCCTGCCTCAGTCTCCAGAGTAGCTGGGATTACAGGAGTGTGCCACCATGTCCGGATAATTTTTGTATTTTTAGTAGAGACGGGGTCTCGCTTTGTTGGCCAGGCTGGTCTTGAACTCCTGACATCAAGTGATCCACCCACCTCGGCCTCCCAAAGTGCTGGGATTACAGGCACGAGTCACCACACCTGGCAGCTATCTCTGGGATTTTTAAACTCCTACTGTTTTCTTTTTCCCTGGACTTCCTATTATCTGAACATCATTATCTGTATTTGGTGCAGGATTGTTCCAGACCAGGGTCAGTTTTTCCTCCTGTGAGACTGACAACATTGGCAAGAAAGAAAGGGAAAGGAGGAGGAGGAATGGAAGGAAGGGAGGCTGATAAAGTGCGGTATTGGTGAGAGGGTGTGAAACATGTCCTCTCAGTCATTATTGGTGGGCATCTGCATGGGTAGAACCTCTTTTGAAGGGCAATTTGGTGAAATGAACCCAAATTTAGAATGCACACATCTTTTAATCCAGAATATCCCACTTCTAGAAATGTATCTTTAGAGGTGTGCTGGCCCAGCTGTGAGCCAGGCTGGCTGTTGATTCCATGTCACTGGTCCCCAGCCCTGCACAGTGTTCTCTGGCATGAAGCTTGGTGACTTCAGGAGCTCTTGGTTTTCCTGGATCCCCAGAGACAGGTGGTGGCCAACTACTCAGGGACCACAATAAGCCTCATCTGTCTTCAGGAAGCCGGGTCCATCCAGATACCTGCTGCGTGTGGTGTGTGGGATGTTGACTCCAGCCTTGTCTATAGTAGCAGGAGACTAGAAACAGGCTAAATGTCTGTTAATAAGATGCAGACACACAAGGAAATACTGAGCAAGAGTAGAAGGGAGACTTTCTCCTGATTGTGTTTTTAGAATTTTTTTTTTTTTTTTTTGATACAGGGTCTTACTCTGTCACTCAGGCTGGAGTGCCATGGTAGGATCATGGCTCACTGCAGCCTCAAACTCCCAGGCCCAAGTGATCCTCCCACCTCAGCTCCCCAAGTAGCTGGGATTACCAGCATGTGCCACCACACCTGGCTAGTTATTTTTTGTAGAGATGGGGTCTCACTATGTTGCCCAGGCTGGTCTCAAAACTCCTGAGCTCAAGGAATCCACCAACTTTGGCCTCCCAAAGTGCTGGGATTACAGGCATTAGCAACCATGCCCAGCCCCTAGGAGAGAATTTTTAAAAAGAAAGGGGCAGATTTCAGGTCCTAGAAATGACCCCAGAGGCTGGAGTGAAAATGAGGATTTAGAAACAGAAACCTTTCTGTTCTGGTTGGGGCTGTGTTTCCGGCTGTGTGTATGCATGATCAGCCTCGCCCACCCCTCAGCTGTGAGGGGAGGATGACTGCGGCTGTGCGGAGGCTTTCTTGCCTCCAAACCTTTGCCCATGCCTTAACCACCGCCTGGAAATCCTGCTCTCCTGTGACTTTTTTTTTTTCTTTTTTTAACAGAGTCTTGTTTTGTTGCCCAGGCTGGAGTGCAGTGGCACAATCTCTGCTCACTGCAACCTCTGCCTCCTGGGTTCAGTTGATTCTCCTGCCTCAGCCTCCCAAGTAGCTGGGATTATAGGTGTGTGCCACCACACCTGGCTAATTTTTGTATTTTTAGTAGAGATGGAGTTTTGCCATGTTGGCCAGGCTGGTCTCGAACTCCTGACCTCAGGTGATCCGCCCACCTCGGCCTCCCAAAGTGCTGGGATTACAGGCGTGAGCCACCATGCCTGGCTCTCTGCTGTGACTTTTGAAATCTGGCCAGCGTTCCAAGGCTCTGACAATGTCTCTGCTCTGCACCTGGAGGGTTTCTCTCTTGCCTTGAAGTCCTGGAAATGAACATGGTCTCTTTCAGGTGTTTCCATTTATTTATTTATTTATTTTTTCTCCCTTGCTCGAGTCTCTGGGTAGTGAGGACAAATGCTGTGACTTGTCTGCACTGCTGACTGCCCCTGGGCTGGCTTTGCACATGGGAAGCCCTTGACAACATTTGCTGACGTCCACCCTTTGCTCAAAGACCTGGCTCAGCTTCCTGCATAAAAGGTGCTCACCCAATATTTGTGGTATCGAATGAATAACCAGGCATGAAACTGAGAACCGAGACTGCCTGGGTTTAAAATGATTTAAAACTATTTGTCACAAAAGAACAATAATGATAATAGCAGCTCATGCTTAGATGTTTACTGTTTACCAGACATTCTTCTAAGACTTTGCTGCATTAGCTCATTTAACCCTCATGGCAGCCGCAGAGGCATTTTATAGATGAGGAAACTGTAGCCCAGGGAGGTTAAGTAACTGGTCCAAGGTCCCACAGCAAGTGAGTACATTTGTACATGTTCTTTAGTTTTGTTTTTAATTTTAAAATTTTTATTTAATATTTTTGGAGGGGACAGGGTCTTGCTCTGTCACCGAGGCTGGAGTGCACTGGTGCCACCATGGCTCACTGCAGCCTTGAACTCCTAGGCTCAAGCAATCCTCCCACCTCAGCCTCCTGGGTAGCTGGACTATAGGCGTGTGCCACCACTCCTGGCTGTTTTTTCTTAATTTTGTAAAGACAGGGTTTCACTATGTTGCCCGGGCTGGTCTTGAACTCCTGGCCTGAAGCAGTCCTCCCAGCTCAGCCTCCCAAAGTGCTAGGATTACAGTATGAGCTGCCACACCCCGCCTCTTTAGGTTTTTTTGAAAAAAGATGCCATATGTTTCTTTGGGAGTTCAGGAGTGCAAATAAAAACCTCTAGCATCTGCTAACAAGATTTGCCAGTGAATAAACCCTGAGGAGACAGACTGTGTCCTGGTCCTAGAATCAGGCTGTTATCTCTTCTCAGCAGGATGGCTTTGGAACCCAGGGCCCTCTTAGTGCCATGCAGTCCAGCCTCAGAGGGCACAGTGGATTGACAGAGGCAGATGCTTGGGGGACTCCACAGGCCAGGCCGGGGCATGACCTCAAAAATGTGCTGGCCACTGGGCCGGTGAGAAAATCGATTTCTCACCTCCAGCCAGCAGTGCTGCCCAGCACCGGGTCATCCTGCAGTTGTTGTGACAGCAAACCCGAGTGCCATGGAAAGGATTGTGAAACCCGGGAGCTGGCTGCCTGGAGAGCAGGACACTGTACTCGGCTCCATGTGTTTGGCGGGGAGGGGGGGGGGCGGCGGGAGCGGGGGATGGGGGGGCCGGGGTCGGTGGGGCGGGGGTGGGGTCGGCGGCCTCATCCTGTGCTTCTCCTTCTCCTTCTCCTGTGCTCCTTGTTGTTCTGTTGTGCTTGGCACCAGCTTGTTTTGGACACAGAAGTACTCCTTTTGCAGGGAGACCCATGAGATTGCACCCCCTTTGCATGCCAAACGTCTAGCCCAGCTGGCATGCACCCCTGTTCTGAGGGCTGCGTTCCAACTCCCTGCTCCTCCCGAAGATAGCATCCCCGTGGACCCAGCTGGCAGAGAGTATGAGGTGGCCGGGGACGCCCAGGAATCGGGCATGTGAGCCGGCCAGGGTTTCCCTCTCTAAACAGCAGCAGTGTTTGCATCCTGGCCTGGCCAGGGTGCTCCCGACCAGGCCAGCGGGGCCTCCCTCCTGCTGTGGTTACAGGCTGTTTCTGGGGGTGGAAAACAGAAACCAGCTCTGTGTTTTCCAGGCTGCCAGGGTTCTGAGAAATTCATGCCTCAGCCCAGGAACTGGAACTCCCTGCTCCTGCCCACCCCCTGGCCCGTGTGGAGAAGGGGGCAGCAGCTCTCAGCATGCTAGTTTCCTGTTCTGTTCCTATTAGGGAGAAGGTTCTGAGGATGGCCTTGTGACTCAGAATGCAGACGGCTTGGCTGCATCTAAGAGGGCCACCCCTTTTGGTCGCAGACCCCTTCCCCAGTCCAATCACCCCCAGCTGTGTGATGCCAGAGTGTGCCAGTCATGGGGGCTCACACCAAAACAGGCTCTGGCCAGGCCTATCCTGGAAAGAATTCCCTAAATTCAAACTCCAGATCTTATAGCCCTTGGTTTCTTATTATCAGAGTTCTTAGCTGTTCAGGGTCCCCTCTGTAAGGCTGGAAGGGGAGCTGAAGGGAAAGCAGTTAAGTAAATTCCTGCTGGGTGGGTGTGATAATGGGGTTAGGGCTCCCTCCTATGGGGGCCTTGAATTTCAAAGAGGGGCTCGCTCACCCTAATGGGGCTCTTAATAGTGATGTTTTCTCACTGAGGTTGGGACCTCTGCTTTGGAAAGTTTGGCATCCTGGCCCAAATTTCTTGCACTTTGGTCAGTTCTACTCAACACATCTGCAGAGTGCCTACTGTGTGCCAGGCAGAAAACAAGTCAAAGAGCATTGCTTCAGGCCAGGCGCGGTGGCTCACACCTGGAATTTCGGTACTTTGGGAGGCCAAGGCAGGTGGATCACTTGAGGTCAGGAGTGCAAGACCAGGCTGGCCAACATGTTGAAACCTTGTCTCTACTAAAAATACAAAAACTAGCTGTGCGTGGTGGCACACGCCTGTAATCCCAGCTACTCAGGAGGCTGGGGCAGGAGAATCGCATGAACCTGGGAGGCAGAGGTTGCAGTGAGCTGAGACTGTGCTACTGCACACGAGCCTGGGAGAAAGAGCAAGACTCTGTCTCAAAAAAAAAAAAAAAAAAAAAAAAAAAAAGACAATTGCATTGCTTCAGGACCTTGCACTATGGTTTGTAGTGTGGCCAGGTGTAGTTATACTGTGTGTGTGTGTATGGGTGTGTGTATGTGTGTGTGCATGGATAAAGAACACTGGGGCTAGTATGGGCAGGAGAAATAATTAGGTTTAATCAGGTCCTCCTTGAACTTCAGTGGTTAACTCAGGGTCACTTTAGGCCTGAAAAAAAGCTTCTGTCTTTACTATTAAATGAAATGTTATCAGCAAGGCAGGAATCCAGGGTAGGCCCTGGAACCAGAACTTCTGGATGCAAATCATTGCTCGGCCACGTGCTACCTGCGTAACTCTGATCGAGGCCCTTTGCCTCACTGAGCCTTGATTTACTGAACTGCAAAATGGGAGTAATCATTATAACACTTACCTCATGGGTCACTGTGAACATTGGGTGGGTTAGTACATGTAGATTGCTTAGAACAAGGCCTGGCACAGAGTAAATACCCAGTAGATACCAAATACCACCACTGCCACCACTATCATTATCACCATCACCACTGTCATCTATCAACACCTGCTTCCAGCCAGGTAAATTGGTAGGTGCTGGGTGAATGGAGTGAGGTTCCTGCTCTGTGGTTCATACAGTCTAGTAAGGAAGAAAAAAATGCCAGAAAGAAATAGATTTCAGCTGGTGACACATGCCATGAAGAAAAGAAACAGGGTGCTGGGGGAGAGACTTTAGACAGGGTCATCAAGGAAGGCCTCTCTGAGAGGTGACACTCTCCTGCCCTAAGTGTGTTAGAATGCTCTCTAGATGTGCCAGGATGTGCAAAAATACCAGCTCTTGTATGGTGGGTGCAAAGGAGATCTGTCTCCTTTTGTCTTCCTTCTCTCCAAATAATCCCTTCCCCACTGCCTTCCTTCCCTCTCTTCCTCCCTCCTTCATTACCTTCTTTCTTCTCTCTCCCTCCCTTTCTCTCCCTCTTTCTCTCCCTCTCTTCCTTTCCTTTAAATAATAAATTGCTTTTATTAAATGCATATAAATATGTTTAAAATATATGTGAGTACACAAACATACTGTGTACTTACCCCTCCCCCTAAGCTTAAAGAACAATAGGATAGTCATTTCCTCTGAGCTCTTCTGCGTAGAAAATGTTTTCTGGCAAATCTTTCAGTTACATTTTTCTAAAAGATGACTTTAAAAAAACAGTTTTCCCCTGATATTGTTATCACACCTAAAAATGAAGAATTCTTTAATATTATCAAACTCAGTGTTCAAATTCTCAATTGTCTCATAAATGTCCTAATATTTCGCTTTTTTTTTTTTTTTTTTTGAGACAGAGTCTCGCTCTGTCGCCCAGGCTGGAGTGCAGTGGCATGATCTCGGCTCACTGCCAGCTCCGCCTCCCGAGTTCACGCCATTCTCCTGCCTCAGCCTGCCAGGTAGGTGGGACTACAGGCGCCCGCCACCACGCCTGGCTAATTTTTTGTATTTTTAGTAGAGACGGGGTTTCACCGTGTTAGCCAGGATGGTCTCCATCTCCTGACCTCGTGATCCGCCCACCTCAGCTTCCCAAAGTGCTGGGATTACAGGCGTGAGCCACTGTGCCCGGCCATATTTCTTTTTGTTAAAGTTTGTTTGACTCTGGACTCAAGGAGGGACCAGATATTGTGCTTGTTTGAAATGTCTTTTCAGTTTCTTTTGTCTGCTCATACCCCACATTCATCTGTTCTCTTTGCCATCTTTGTACTGAAGAAACCAGTTCGTCCTGTAGAATTTTCTGTAGTCTGGGTTTTGCAGGTTGCAGTCGCATACTGTCGTCTGACACGTGGCTCTGTCCTCGGTATTTCCTGTAAGTTGTCAGTCAGATCTGGAGGCTTGATCCAATTCAGCTTCGATGCTTTTGGCAAGACTGTCCCATCGGTGTGGCGTGTTCCTCCGTCAGGAGGCAGGTGGGTCTGGTGGGCTCATCTCTGAGGTTCACAGCCATGATGCTCAGTGATTCTGGATACAATTTCAAACACATCCTCTTCATTCACACCTTAGCATAATTGCTACCCTGAATTTTGTGTTTGCCACTTCCTTTTCATTTTCTTTGTAGATTTCACTCATTGTCTTTGCTTTAGCTGTAATTCTTTCCTTTTCTCTGCTGCATAATATTCCATTGTAAAGCCTATTTTTCCATTCTGCTGATGGTGGGCATTTGATTGTTTCCAGATTTTTCCTCTTTCTGGTTACAGGCAGTGCTGTCTGGAATGTTCTTTCGCTGTCTCCTGGTGCTTGCACACAGAGGACTTTCTGTAGGGTTATACTGACAAGCAGAGTTGCATGGTCACAGGGTGTACACACACTTCCAACTTTAGTAGACGATACCAAATTGTCTTCTGAAGCAGTTATACCAGTTTACACTCCCATCAGCAACACATATGTAATTCATTGCTCTACAACCTCACAAAGTTTGATACTGTCAGACAGTTAAATTTTTTCACTTAGCTGGTACATGTAAAATGATGTCTTTCGGTGAACAGAAAATTTTCATGTAGTTAAATTTCTTTTCTGAAAGGTGTGAGTTTTCTGGGTGTAGTTTAGGATGATGTGTTGTCAGGTCACTCAGGAGCTTGTTAGAAATGCAAATTCCCACCTCCACCCCAGTCCTGCTGAATTAGAAACTCTGCCAGCGAGACCCACAGTCTGTGCTTTTACAAGCTTTCCAACTGATTCAGAGGTTCCCACCAGTTTAAAGCAGTGGGTCAGAAAATCTTTCTCTACCTTGATGTCACAAAGAGATTCTCCTATAGTGTCTTCCAAACTTCTTGCAGTCTTACCTTGTACCCTTGGGTCTGTAATCCACCTGGAGTTGATTTTTATGTCCAGTATGAGGGAAGGTTCTAATTTCACTGTTTTTTTGTATGGATAACTAGTTATCACCAACCATCTATTCAGAAGATGTAATCTGTTGGTGTTGTAAATATCTTTCCCATGTAAGTGTGGGCCTCTTTCTGGGCTCTGGCTTTTTTTTTTTTTTTTTTTAAAAAGAGTCTTGCTCAGTCCCCCAGGCTGGAGTGCAGTGGCGCGATCTCGGCTCACTGCAACCTACGCCTCCTGGGTTCATGGGATTCTCCTGCCTTAGCCTCCCGAGTAGCTGGGATTACAGGCACACACTACCACACCCGGCTAATTTTTGTATTTTTAGTAGAGATGGGGTTTCCCTATGTTGGCCAGGCTGGTCTCGAACTCCTGACCTCAAGTGATCTGCCCGCCTCAGCCTCCCAAAGTACTGGGATTACAGGCGTGAGCCACCACACCTGGCCAGTATTGAATTTTTATGGTGTTTTTTCAAAGGCTGCTAAAAGTTATCTTTCATACTAGAAATAAAGAGCCACTTCTCACGAGGCTCACTGTCCTTCCCAGCCACCGACCCTGCCACATGGGTGGGAAATGCTTGAGAAACTGGCTTTGGCCTTGTGGTCCACCTCTCCCTCCCCTGGACACTCAGTGGCCTGAGCGGATGGATGCCCAGGGTTGGGCCACAGAGGACTTTGGTTGGAAGGCTGGCCCTCCTGTCTCTAAACAGCTCAGGTTTCCTGAGGATCTGCTGCTCTTAAAACCTGCTTCCTGCTACAGTCTTTTCATGGGCAATTTCTAGCCATGTCCCAGTTGGCATATGAAATAAGCTCAGGATGGAGATATTCACAAACGAAGAAACAATTTCTCCTTCTTTAAGTTGGACCGAGTGGAAAGTGAAGGCTTAGGGTTCCAGACTCCACGGTTCTCGTCCTGACCCCGTCTGCTCAGCAGTTGAATAAGCCTTCCAAATGCCAGGCACGCGGCTGGGTGCCCTAGGGGCTGTGGGCCTCTGCAACTTTGGGATCAGGATTTCACTAGTTAGCAGGGGAGATGGGGTGCCAGGCAGGAGTGCAGCATGAGCAAGAGCTCAGAGGCACTGTCTCCTCCTTTGTGACCATGAAGCGTGATTCCCAGTTTCCTTGGAATCTGCTCTACAGAGCTGAGGACTACAGCACCCGATGTCCACAAGATGAAGTCAGCACTGGGTTGCCAATACCCGGAAGCCATAGTCGGTTCATTTATTTGTCCATTCTTTCGCTAAATCATTCATTCATCCAACAGCCGTTTATTGCTCACTGCTGGGGCTAACACAGTGAAGAGGCTCAAAGTCCCGGCCCTCCTACAGCTTGCAGTTTGAAAATATAAATGATAAAACTGGGGGTGCCAAGTGTTCTGTTGGAAGAGAAAAGCAGGCTGGGGGACAGGGCATGATGGGGTGGCACGGAGGCCTGCTTGCCGTTCCAGTAAGGGGAGCACCTCAGGGGAGGTGGCATTTGAGAAGAGGTCTTATCAAGAGAGCCCTCCAAACGTCTAAGGCAAGAGCAGCAGTCCAAGTAGAGAGAACAGCAGGTGTCTAAGGCAAGAGCAGGAGTCCAGGTAGAGCGAACAGCAGGTGCAAAGGCCCTGGGGCGTGAGCAGGCTTGACGTGAATAGCGTATACTAAGGAAGACTGTGGACTAGGGGAGAGTGAGGGAGAGAAGCAGATCATCTTCAGTCTTAAAGGCCAAGTGGGATCCCTGGGTCCTGACAGTGGGTGGGTGCTGGCAGGCAGCTAGGGAGAGTCAATCAAGATGGAATTCCGACGAGGCGGCCAGCAAGTGGTCATAACACCCAGGCTTCTGCTGTGGAAGCCACTGACTCCTGTCACCCTTGGAGGTGACCTGAATTTCCCTTTCAGACAGGCGCCGCTATGGAGCTAAGATGTCACACCCTCTCTAGAGAGGATGGCTTACGTGGGCTGCAGATGCCCCCAGGCCCCAAGCCAGAGTCAGACTGATACCACAGGAAGGCCTGGGCTCTGTGAGGTCTAGAAACCCCGGTTGCTGGTGGGTTTGTGGGAATTGAGCCTACGTTTTCCCCTTCTGCTGGAGAACATTGCCAATGGAAGCAAGCCGGGGCGCCTCCAGTCATTCCTCTGCGCAGCCCAGGCCTTGGCTTTAACTCTTGTAATACACCAGCACCATTTCACCTTTTAGATGTGTACCGGGCTTGGCATAGTGGTCCCGAGGGGGCCAAGCCGCTCTTTGCTTCTTAAATCTCAGTATCTGCTCCCCGCCACAGGTTACCCAAAGCTAACAACGATGCCAACACTGTCACCCCCATTTTTCTTTGTGTACCATGTGGGTGATTTCTACTGCCCAACCCTGATAAAAGCTAGGGTCTCCCAAGGACCAGTGTTTGTGCTGAGCTGCATTCAGAGAAGCGTATTCTTGTTGCCAGGTGGTAAGTGAAAACGAATTTCTATCTACAAGTAGCCTGAGCCACACTGCTCTGCCACATAATAGCTGCAGAGCCTGGGTTTGTTACTCTTTCGGAGACTTGGTTTCTTCAGCTGTGTAATGGGGGCAGTCAATACCTACTTCATGGGATGACCGTGAGGATTAACAACATATATATGTAGGCTGGGTGTGGTGGCTCACACCTGTCATCCCAGCACTTTGGGAGGCCAAGGCCAGCGGATCACCTGAGGTCAGGAGTTTGAGACCAGCCTGGCCAACATGGTGAAATCCTGTCTCTACTAAAAATGCAAAGTTTAGCCGGGCATGGTGGCGGACACCTGTAATCCCAACTACTCAGGAGGCTGAGGCAGGAGAATCGCTTGAACCTGGGAGGCGGAGGTTGCTGTGCTCTGGGAGACAGTTGAAAGCCAGACCTGATCGGAAAAATTCTGGGCAAGTCCTATCAATTAGGAGGTGGTAGTTATTCTTTCGCCCAATCATTCCTCCTTGAGATTTTTACTGAGCACCTACTATGTGCTGGGCTCTGTCCTAGGTGCTGGGGATACAGCAGTAGATGAGAGAGATGAGGTCTGTGCCTTAATGAGGGTATTACCAACCAGTGAGAGGTTGGTGTTAAAATGTCACGGGTTTCAAGATACGGGGTTCTGTGATCTGATTCATGCTACTCCCTCCCAAAACACCAGGGCCACAGGAGCCATGCACAGCTGAAAGGCAGTGCCTATGAAAGCTTGCCTATCTGATGCCAAGCTTCTACGAACATGGCACATGCAAACAGACCTGCTGGTGAGGCACGGTGAGATGACACGTGTGAGGTCATGGCGCCTGCACACCCACAGTTCCCTGGGAACTCGAGGTGAATGTGTTTGCCTGCCTCACATCTTCCTGAGTGGTGTCTCCAGTCCCGAAGAGCAGCCTCTGGTACTGCTCTGTTGGCCTCGCGTTGCATGTGGATCTGGGGTTTGAAAGGCATCATTGAAGTCTAGTGGTGGAGGGTGGGTTGGGGGAGGACTAGGAGGATGTCTTACGGTCCCTGGAAGCTAATTTGGGGGGCATGTCCTGTCTGGTGTTGCTTGGCTGGCGTCTGATGCATTTCTCTTCCAGGAGCTCAACTCGAAGCAGGTGGCTCCTCTTGCCATCTTGGGGCTTGGTGCCTTCCTGGCCACAAACTGATCTGCCAGTGACATGCTCTCCTCCCAGTGAGCCCCTTTTACTAGAAACCAGAGTCTCAGAATCACCATGTCTACTCATCCCAAGAGCTGGGGACAGTTTGGCACGTGGTGTGGCATCTTTCTCGTAAGCCCCAAGGTCTTGCTCATAAAATGGCTGGTGGCAGGGTGCTTGTGAGTCTGCTGTCTGGGCTGGTTTCCGGAGGCCTCTGGTTTGCAGAGAGCGTCAGTGACTCACGCTGCTCTGCAGGTCGCCGGCCCAAAGCTGTCTGCGCACACTAGGGCGCAGTGAGGCCTGGGAGGGGCCCCTCTCAGCAGGATGTGAAAATGCATCTCTGAGAGCATGGCTGATCTCAGCCCTGCCCATTCTGAAAATGCAGAAATAGCTTCAAAGGTGAAAGTGCTTTGGTGGAAGAGGGTGGACTGGCCATCATCAATTCAGTCTGTTAACAAGCATCCTCTGTGTGAGGGCTGAGACACACTGCTGCTGCTAATAGAAAGAGCTGCTACTTTTGGTTATTTCTTAGCTTGGCATAGTGCCATATATATGCATTCCCATATTACAGATGAGAAAAACTGAGACTCGAGGACTTAAAAGATTGGCTCTGATTCCCAAAACAAGTAATGTGGTACAGAGTTCTTATGATGTGCCTTGCATGTTTGAAGAACTTTGCATGCATTGACTCAGATTCTCTCTAAAAGCCTTAGAAGCTGGGAATAGTTTTTGCCCACCTTTAACAGAGGAGGCACAGAAAGGGTTAGGATTTGCCTCAAGTTCTATGAAAGGATGTGGCAGAGCTGGGATTTGGACCCCAGCTGTCTGTGTGTCCCTGGGACTCTGACCCCAGGGTGTGAGCCCCTCGCCAGGACAGCTGAGAAAGGGAGGAGCTGTTGGCTGCAAGAAACAGAGATTTGGGCCTGATCATGGGCAGACAAGCAGGATTCAGATGCAGAGGAAAAAGAGGGCCTCCTAGGCATCAGCCAAGCGACACAAAGGTGTGGCGGTGGGGATATCAGGGTCTGCTCCTTGTTCAACCCCTGCCACGGACCAGCCATGGGATGCTGGACCTAAAATAGAGGGATGTCTGCTTACCTGAACCTCGATGACTTCACTGGCCAGATGCCTACCTCGTGAGCATAGACCGAGACTTTGGAGAGGAATGTACTTTGGGGACTGTGTCAGTCAGCTCGGGCCACATAACAAAATATCATAGACTTAGTGGCTTAAACAACAGAAATTTATCTTCTCACAATTCTAGAGGCTAGCAATCCAAGACCAGGATTCTGGAGAATCCTGTCAAGATCAGGTTCTGGAGAGGACCTGCTTAGGTCCTGGCTTGCAGACAGTCACCTTTTCTCCCATTGTGTTCTCCTGTGAGACAATGAGACTGACCTCTGGTGGCCCTTCTTCTTAGGCCACTAATTCCATCACGAGGGCCCCACCTTCATGACTGCACCAAGTCCTAATTATCTCCCAAAGGCCCCATCTCCAAATACCATCACAGAGTGGTTTAGGGCTTCAATATAGGAATTTGGCTGGTGTGGTGGGGGCATAACTTAGTGTGTAGCAGGGACTGTATAGGTGAAAGGTTTGATCAAGGGGTGAATCAGGAGTGAAGGTTCTGTCTGCCTGTTCTGGGAACTACTGTCTTTTAGGAACACCTGGTGCAGTGTCACCCATGAATACAGTCCTTGCTGGTCACTCCAGGTGGCCTTTGAGATGATAGCAGTACGTGCAAGGGCCACGCATGTGGATCTCACTTGGAGAAATTTAAGACAGAGCCTGGTCCCTACTCAGATCTTGAGAAATTTCTTTGCAGGAAGCCTAGTGGCTTCTCTTGCCTGTGAATCTGGAAGGTATGGAGGGAGTATGGTTGACATCTCTTATGGGAAATCCAAGACTTAAAATACAAAAGATAGATCCAAAGGTTTGTGGAAGAAACTGTGACATGGCCAGGGATGCCTCTGCTTCCAGGACGTGCGCTTGAGTTGGGCTTCGGGAGAATGTGGATGTGTTGGGGGGAGGTGTGTCCCATGTTGGGCCTGTGCTGTGAGCTGGTCCTGGCATATGTGGGTAAACATAGAATGATCTGGAAGGTGAACTTATGGGAGGGCGAGATGGAGACTGGACTGGAAATTCAATAAATATCCAGTGAATTCTTTCTAAGAATCAGGGGCCATGTTGGTATTTGAAGAAATATCTTTATGAAGCCAGGCCAGGGGTTTTGCCCCTTCTCCCAGAAGAGGGGGAGGTTTTGCATGATTCTGTGACATGAGCAAAGCAAGTTAGGGTGGAAATCTTTCTTACTGCTCCCACCTGCTAATCCACCTGGGAGTGTCTGACCTGCTTACAATTCCATCTCTCTTGGATAAGCAAAGAGGCATATACTCAAATGTCTTAAAAGAAATGTTTGGTTAATTCCTCTAACCCCCAGAGGGGGTTTATGGTATATGTCTTCCCCAAAACTCAGGTATTTATTTTATTATCTCATTTGTGATCACAGGCTGATTTGTGGGTTTGAATTACTGTTTGTTTCCTATGTCTCAATTCAATATAGTAACAAGTGCTTTTCTTTTGCCTTTTTTTTTTTCCAAAGGCAGCAAGTTATTTTGCAGGGCTTGTGCTGTTGGCTGATGTTTCTTAGCAGAGGGTTGGGGCCGAGGTGGTGATGAACTGGCTGAAGGACAAGGAAGTAAACTGTGGTTTGTTTAGAATGCTTTCCTGCCTGTGGTTGCTACTTTAGAAGCCGTGTGGTTGCTTGATAGGAGAGGTGCAGCTTAGTTGCATGTAATCAGAAGAAATTCTGCTGAATTGGAGAATAGAAATGGGCAGTTCAGGTCTGAGTTTACACAGTTGGTTAGTCCTTCCTTGTCGGGCAGCTTAGTTGAGAAAGTCACCAATTGTTTCTCCGTAGATTGTAAGTTGATGTGCAATCATTGCAAAAAAGCAGACAATGGAGATGATGGTAGCATATTCTACACTGGCTAGGAGGGGACATCTGACTTGCATTGTAGAAACACAAAACTGGACGTCCCTTAGACCAGTGCCTGATTCCCATTGGTTCCACCACGGAGATGCACGCAGGGTTTCCCTTAAATTCCATCCCATTCAAACGTGCATGCCTGTGAGCTCAGAAGTCTGGGAAGCTAGTTGTATATTTGTCAAGGAGACAGATTCTTGGGTCTGTACTTTTGTCTGTAATGGCTATTTGTTGACACCTTGTGTTTTTATGAAAATTATCACCATTGATTAAGCTCATCAGTGAACCACTTCTAATTTACATCTTAAATTATCACCTAGTCCATAGGATCAGTGGGATGACTCACCAGTTTATGCCTGGGGTAAAAATGCAAGGCCACTGTATAGGTCTTAGGCTGTAACCTTGTATTAGGTTGGCGCAAAAGTAATTGTGGTTTTTGAGGTACCCCTGTGTCTTTGGGAGGATTTGTAGATGACACTTAGGGACCATGTAGTAAGTCTAAATACTGCCTTTTCTCTTGACGTCCGCATCTCCATATTACTGACAACTGACCAGCACATTCACGTGGATCAATGGACTTACCTCCCATTTAAATATGTAGGGAAACAGAATGGTATCCTTGGTTATTGGAATGGCCTCTTTTAGACTGGTCTTTGTCTCTTTCTCTTCCATCTTCTTTAGGGGACCATATTGTGGGCTTAATAAACACATGCCAATGAGCCAGCTATAGCATCTCATTTATTTTTATTTTTTTGAGACAGTCTTGCTCTGTTGCCTAGGTTGGGGTACAGTGGCACCATCTCAGCTCACTGCAACCTCCGCCTCCCAGGTAGCTGAGGTTACAGGCACCTGCCGTCACACCCAGCTAATTTTTGTATTTTTAGTAGAGACGGGGTTTCACCATATTGGCCGGGCTGGTCTTAAACTCCTGACCTCAAGTGATCCACCCACTTCGGCCTCCCAACGTTCTGGGATTACAGGCATGAGCCACTGTGCCTGGCCTATAGCATCTCATTTAATCCTCAGTGACTTTGCCAAGGAAGTGTTCTCATCCCCATCTCGTGGCTGGGGAGACTGAGGCAGAGGCACTGTTGAAGTGCTTATGTTCCAACAGCTTCTGATGTGAGTCTACATTTTAACAGAGGCCCCAGGGCAGCCAGAAGATCTTTCAAATTGGGGAAACCCTAGCCCAGGACTAGTACCCATAGAGCTGGGGCCACATCTGGTCTCTACCCAATGCTAGGAGGCTGTTCCTGGACAAGTCGCCCCATCTTTCTCTGCCTTACTAACTTGACCTGAGAAATGGAACTCTCACCACCACCCCCGGAGATGTCTGTGAGGATGAAGGAAGGCAGAGCGAGTAGCCACCTGCGGAGGAGGGTGTTTGGCGGTGGCCTGGTCCCGAGTTGATTTCGGGCCTCAGTTGAATGAAGACAGGCCCTGCCTCTGTCTTCCACAAAGAAGCTGACAAAGAGTGAAACTCTATGACTAAACAGGAAGCTGCACCTCCGAATGCTGCAGACGGAGCCATCATGTGATGCTTTCTATTTCTCTGAGAAGGTGACAGAACAGGGCTTGGTTTCTCGAGTCCCCTGAGATAGCGCCATTGTGCCCCCCCACCCCCCATATTAACACTGGGCACCATGTGGTTTGGTGTTTGAAGGTTTGGAGAGAGAACTCGTGTTCTGGGTGGATGGTCTGAAGAACCTGGTCCCTGGGGTTCCAACTAGATTCGAACGACTCCTCCAAGGGTGTGACTTCAGACCTGTGCCTGATGCCTGAGATCCACTGAAGTGCTCCTTAAATGAGTAGATATGGATAAAGTGACAACGTGTTGGTCATTACAGAACTTTAGAGCTGTCAGCTGAGCAAAACAGGGAGTGGCGTGCTCTAACATCAGTTCCAACAGGATCACCTTGCTGTAGGGCCGGGGTGGCAGTGGAGGTTGTTGGTTTCTGGCTACCTGGGGTAAATCCAGAAGCATGTATGGGTGGGTGGGATGTGGGCTGTGAACAAGGAGTCAGGGAACACACAGGTTGGCCTGAACAACTGGAAAGAGAGAATGTGTGTTTCCCATCATGGGAACAGGTGAGACACGGGGAGGAGGGGTGAGGATCCAGAGATTGGTTTTGGCCCTGTGAAGTTTGGGCAGGTAGATATTGCAATCTGAAATTCAGGAGTGATGGTCTGGGTTAAAAACATTAATGTGGCCATCGTCAGGATAGAGGTGGTATTTTAAGGCCCTGAGTGAATTATCCGACAGTACTGTCTGCTCTTGGACTTGGAAGAAGTCAGTTTCAAGTGGAGACTGGGCAGTTTAGTGTGGGAGCTGCCTTAGGGCCACATCCACCTGGAAATGTTTGCTTTGGGAGATGGCCTGAGATGCATGGTCAGAAAAGGAGGAGAGATGAAGTGCTTCTTTTGCCCCAGGGCAGCAGTAGCCAACCCCAACTAGCCAATTCCTGTTGGAGCCCAACATTGGGAAATCCAGGCCTCTAACTGCATAAGCGCTGAAAGGATCTCATTTATTGAGCATTCTGTCTCCCTTGAAGATGAGATTTCAGGGAGCTTATGCCTCTATTTGAAAAAGCATCCTAGTTTACTTGACATTTCTAATAACGCTGCATTATTCCCTGTAAGAAATTGGACTCAGAAAACATTTCTAAATCAGGCATTTGGAATGGACTTGGGTATTCCAATTCGGCCAAAGGGGATTGGGAAGACAGGTGTTTTGAAAGCCACAGGCATTGTACACATGTAGAGAGGAGTATTATTTACAATAGACTCCCCAGGTCTCATTCAAGTGCCTTCGTTGTTCTGATAGGGCAGGAGCTTTTTTTTCCATTGTTGACAAAAAACAGGAAGAAAATGTGCAGTTTTATGAATTTCCCTGACCACTGAGGTGATATCACTAGTAAGAAGGAAACTGGGGCCCAGTTTAGTATCTGTAGATGCCTGAAGGAAGATAACAGTTGAGTAGATCTTTAATGAAATTCTGATTTTCCTTTGACTGCAGCAGAAACCAGCTTAATTTTCTCTTTGTAGTTGGCCATGATTTGAAACCCCATCACATACCCACAGCAGCCCTTTTGTCCACCCTGAACACGCTCCCCTGATCCCACACCCCACATAATGTAATGCACTTTGCACAGAGTCCCTCATCTCCATGATTATTACCCTAGTGTTGGGTTAATTCTGGCACAAATGCTAAGATGTTGCAGAATTCTGGCTTAAACTAGAGCCAAAGGGTTAAGTTCCCTCCTGGGCTTGGATGATATCGGCATGAGTTGGAAGCGTAAGAGAGATCAAAGGTGATTTTTTTTTTTCTTCTCAAAAATGATTTTGCAAATCTTTTTCAGAGCTGATAGACACACACCTTAGCTGGATACAAAACATATTATGAAACAGAATGACTGTGATCTTTGATCCGAGAAATCAAAGTTAAAGGTAATCGATATCTTCTGCTTCTCCTTTTGTTTTCCAGCTGTGTGTTTCCTTAACTTGAATTTTTTTTTTTTTAAGTAAAGTATAAGAAAACTTGACAGGCTGAAGGCCCTCTCTTCTCATTCTCCTGCTCTTAAGGGCTAGACCCCTCCACTCCTGAAGTGGACACTCCTGGGGACCTCCCTGAGAATCTCAGGGTTGGGCGGGAGAAGGGGGGATGAGGCCCCATTAACTTGCATGCTCCCCGATTCCAGGGCTGGCCTGCGTGGAAAAATGCAGCAACGTCTTTGGAGCCTGCTCCTTTTTGGTTTTGCACACTTTGTTGTGGGTGTCCAGTTAAATGAGGCTCTCCATCCGTGGTGGGTGTCCGGCACTGGGGAACAGCAGAGTGGGCAGGGAGGTCCGAAAACCTACCTAAGAAGCCACTGAGGAAGCCCCGCCCTGTGCTTAGGTCATTTCCAATCCTGATTCCCTCCACTCAAGGTTTCAGCTCCTCCCGGGGGGCTTCCTTGTTGTGGCTTTTGAAGTCGCAGGATTCTGCTACTTGGTTTCTGGATTTGAAATCAGCCCCTTGGAACTGAGTTTCCCAGGGTGCTCGGCTGAGCCCCTCACCCAGCAGATCCACCTCGATGGGCCTCCACAGAGGAGCCTGGCCGCTAAGAAGACCTTATCGTGCAGGTTTCAGGAGGCCCTGGGGTGTGAAGTCCAGATGAGACATTGAGGAAGGAAGGTTGCATTACCTCTCTGTGCCTCAGCTTCTTAGATGCTGTTGCTGTTATTTAATCTTCTCCATATTCTAATCGGAATAAACCAGCACACACAGTGCCCAGCCCATCTTAGAGTTTATATTAGTACACCCAGGGGAGCTGACGCTTGAGAAGCATGATTGCCAGAGGATGGGGCCTGCTGAGATGAACCCCTACTTCCCTATGGCAGAAGGAAGCCCTGGGGGGAGGAGCACATTCTCCAGCCATCTGCCACTGTCCCTCCTCAGGACTTTTTGCATCTGAGGAATCGGCTCCTGGGGAGTCCCTCAGGAGTGTCCTCAGGACTTTGCATCCGAGGATAAAAATGCAAGTAAAATATCAGTGCTGAGGTTGTAAGCCCCCCAGGGAACTTGTCGAAGGGCGATGCCTTTTTAATGTGTGTCTTGGGCTTGGGGACTTTGGCAAGCCAGCGGCTCAGGCCTGTGGCTGACTCTGACCAGCGTGGCCTGGGAGGGGATTTACTGCTGTTCCACCATCACTCTTCAGACCCCACCCACAGCTCTGGGCTACAGTCCTATTGAGGGTCCTATTGAGGGTTTTATGTTCTTTTCACTGAGCCTCACTCAAGTACGGCCAGGTTTCCCTGGAGAAGATGAACACTGGGAAGTTACTTAGTAAGTGTAAAGCAGAGGTCTGGGAGAGCTCTGTTTCAAGTAACAGGCCTTTTCAGTTTTGAGACAGAAGAAGTCAGAGGGGAAGGGCTGGGCATGGTGGCTCACGCCTGTAATCCCAGCACTTTGGGAGGCCGAGGCAAGGTCAGGAGTTCGAGACCAGCCTGGCCAACATGGTGAAACCCCGTCACTACTAAAAATACAAAAATTAGCCGGGCCATGGTGGCAGGTTCCCTTAGGAGGTTGAGGCAGGAGAATCGCTTGAACCTGGAGGCGGAGATGAGCCGAGATGGCGCCACTGCACTCCAGCCTGTGTGACGGAGGGAGACTCAAAAAAAAAGGCACAGGGGAGGGCTCAAGACCAGCAGGCCCGGTTGCTTAGGAAACTTACCTCTTGGCCTTCAGAGTCGCTTCCCCCTGAGAACAGTTAGGACCAAAGGCAGAAGATCCCAGAGAGGACTTCATGTGCTTTCAGGTTCATGCATCCTGACCCAAGCATGGAGGGGTCGTGGGAGTGAATTCAGCAAGGCACTGCAAGGCAGAGGAAATAGTCAGTAGTGACTGGGGGGTGGTGCCTTGGGCCCCCTCTTGGCTCTCAGATTCTTTGATTTGGCCTGGAGAATGCAGCCCTCTTGATTCCCATCCAAGCTTGAGGAGTGTCTTTCTGGCCATGGCCTTTGTGGCTGGGCCCAGGCTCTCGTGGGCACTCACGTGGTCTCACCAGATTTTGGAAAACATGCTTGAGGTTTGAGCGAGAAGCAGGACCCAGCCTATCCGTTCCTTCCTGTTGCTGCTTTCTCAGGGGATTCAGTTCCAAAGTCAGCAGTCAAAGGGAAAGGGCCTAGAGTGAGTGAAATTCACCCTTGAAAGTCCTTTAAATTGCACCTGAAGTATTAATACCTCTGGGTTGTTTTCCCCATGTAATCCTGAGCAGCCATCCTGCTGCAAACTGAAGTTTGGGAACCTCTGAGCTCTGATAAAGGAAGGAGGAGAAAGTACATGCAGGTGTCTGGGCCTTTTAGCAAAACAGAAAATTCCTAGTGCAGAATGGGATACTAACAGAAGTCAGTTTTAGCTTTTAGAAATCCAGTAAGAGGCACTGGCTTCCCCAGATTGCCACCCTCAAAAAGCAGGCAAAGAGAACACCCTGCTTTTTCTTCTTTGCCATTAGCTTATATATATATATATATATATATATATATATATATATATATATATATATATATATACATACTAGGAGCTGACAAACTACAGCTCTTGGGTCAATCCTGGCCCCCAGCCTGTTTTGGCAAATGAAGTTTTATTGGAACACATCTGTGCCCATTTGCGTACTGTCTATGGCAGCTTTTATGCTACACTGGCAGTGCTTAGTGAGAAAGAGCCCACAAAGCTGAAAATATTACCTGGCCCTTTCCAGGAGAAGTTTGTTGACCCCTGGTATATCATCATTTTGTGTCTATAGCCATTTTTATTAGAATATTAATATCCTTCTTACTGAGTTGAAACACCTCTTTATATATAAATGACTTTGTCATATATACTGAAAATGTTACAGCATGTTTTGTGCGTAATTTTTACATAAGATCGGTTCACTTTTTCCTTTCCAGTTGCAGGCTTAGTAGTCACCCTGAGATCATTCTCCATCAGTCTTTTAGGGCACCTCTGTGAGATCATTCTCCATCAGTCTTTTAGGGCACCTCTGTCTAAGGATGAGCACAGGCCAAGAGCACCATGGCAGACTCACAACTGCTGGCCTCAATTGTGTTCTGAGAAAGGGACACTTTCTCCAGCAGAGCACTTGCCTTTGTCACACGGCCTCTCTCTGCTGGCTAAGCAGAGTCTGCCATAGCCGTCCCCTGACTTCACGCAAATGACACAGAGGATTCTGGGATCCCCAAAAGAAAGAGGATCAATACCGTACAAGTTAATTAAAGGATCAATACCATACAAGTTAATTAAATAGGCTCTGAGTTCAAATCCCAATCCCCTGTCACCTGCTAGGGAGAGTATTGGTCTGCCTGTCTCTATTTCCCCATCTATAAAATGGGGATGATGACGTTACCTAGGAGCAGTGTGAGAATTAAATAATAGTCCCTGGCACTGTATAGGGCCTGGCACACAGCTCTCAGGAAATGTGAATGGCTCGTATTCTTTCATAGAGAGAAAGACTCCAAACAAGTAACAGATCAGCAACCCATTTGTCAATCGCATGAAAATCAGCTTCCTTAAACCAAGGGACCTAGACTGATGGTGCAGGGTCTTTGGGGTGGGCTAATGCAGGCATTAAGCACCTGCTGTGTGCATGGTGCCATGCACGAGTGGGGCTACTTGGAAATTTAGTACTTGCTTTTGGAGCGAGTGAGGGCACCATGGCAGGAATGTGGGGCGGCTTCCAGGAAGAGGCAGAACACTGCACGTGGCCCCATTTGGGAACAGGTAGGAGGAGAGGTACAGTTGCTGGCCTAGGGTAGATTATTGGAGGAATAAAATGTTGATGGCAATAATACAGGAGAGTGGTTCAGCACCCAAACCTCAGAGGCCGACTTGGGGAGGACAATCCTGACTGTGACCTGAAGTTTCCCAATCCCTTTCTAAGCTTCTGTGTTCTGTTCATAAATAAATGTTATTGAGTACTTCCCATGCACCAAGGCATCATCTAAGGGATATGGGGGGAAGGAGAGCATCAGCGCAGCAGGGGATAGTGAGGAGACAGGAGTGCGACTGGGCTGGGGGTGGCCACCAAGGGGGGCTTTGCCAAGGAGGCTGTTTGAGCCTTGGGTAACATGAGCGAAAAGGAAAAGTGTTAGACTGGGGAAAACATGATGCTACCCAGAGGAGCAGCGTGAGGAAGGTGAGACAAGAGGAGGGAACAGTGCTGAGGGGGGACAGACAGAGACCAGGAGAAATGGCATGGTGAAAGGGCACTGGGGTTCCCCTGCACCCTGGTACTCGAGTCTGCAAATGTGGGACCTGTGGACCCTGCATGAAGTGGTTGAGCAGAGACCCCCCTCTCAGAACTTAAAGCCCAGTGTGGCTCTACTCTGTCACCACCACCTAGCCGGCATTTCTGTTCTAGAACTTTCTCCTTGTTGGCAGTCAGGGGAACAAGTGCCGACATTTCAGAAAGAGGAGGTTCCTACCCAGAGAGGTTTGGGCGGCAGTTGAACTCAGGGCCACTTCACCACCCCCAATAGCAAGAAGGTCTAAGTGCATAGGGTCACTGAATTTTCCAGATGCAACTCTTCACTTCTATCTGAAAGTAACTCCCAGAAAGCAGGACCATTTCCATCAGCAGGACCATTTCCATCCAAGAAGAGGGAAACATGCTTCTGCCTGTTTGAAAAGTTTCCCTACTTCCCATCCCCTGCCCCAGCCCTGTGTTCTGAGAAGGGAAACAGCCCTTCGAGAGGGCCTTGGTGCCAGCGTCTCTGCCTACCAGCTAATTTTAGAAAGCTGAGGCTGTGGAAAGTTTTCATTAAGGATCCCCTCCTCTCACTTCCTAGGTTGAGAAAACAGGAAGCCCTTTGGAATCCGGGCTTTGAAAAGCTTCACATGAAGCTGCCCCGACCCCACCTGCCCCGGGCATTTGGCTTTCGCTACATAAGTCCTACACAGCATGGTCAGCTTATCACCCCTGCAGGGAGCACTGAGGGTCTGGGCTGACAGTCCTTATTCAGCTTCTGGTTTAGGGCCCCTGGGAGTCAGCTGTTACCCAGTACACAGTAGATGCCCAACTAGTGCTGGTTAGCTAAATATATGAATTTGTCCTCTACATTCCTATTAATGAATCCGTTTCCACATGTTGGAAAAGTTAAGTTATACATAATGTATGTATTTCTAATACATATCTAATACATATATACTGGTCTACAAACCAATACTGGCTGAACGCTGGGCACTGTGATCTTTACTTGCATTATCTCATCCAAGCACCTCAGCAACCTGGGAGGTAATATTTTTAGATGCAATTTACAGATGAGGAAACTGAGGCACAGAGTGGTTTTGTCACCAAGGCAAGGTTCACCAAGCAAGGAAGTGGCAGAGGTGGAAATCTAACCCCGCTGGCTCCAGAATCCGACCTCTCATG
Source organism: Homo sapiens (assembly GCF_000001405.40). Classification (NCBI taxonomy): domain Eukaryota; kingdom Metazoa; phylum Chordata; class Mammalia; order Primates; family Hominidae; genus Homo; species Homo sapiens. The sequence continues at coordinate 51,393,180 of NC_000020.11, read as the reverse complement.
TACATGCTTGTGGCATGCCTGATGTTCTGGCACAAAACAAAGCCAATGTTTGCAAAGCACGGAATTCAGAGTCCAACATGAAGCATGGGGATTTTACTAACCATCATAACCACCAGCTATTGAACACCAGGCACTGTGCTGGGCACTGTTACCTATGTGAATGCTTAGCATCCTCACAACAGCCTGAAAAGGTATGTGCTATGATTCCCACTTTACAGATGAGAAAATTGAGGCACGGAGAGGTAACATCATACAGTCAGAGAACGAGCTGAGAATCAAACCCGGTTCATTCAGCTCTTTGCATTCCCCGACTCTGTTATGGAGGTTGCAAACCATCTGGGCAGGGGTTTTCCAGCGAAAAGCACCCTGAACCTAGAAGGGCCCAGCTTTGACCATGGAGAAACTTCGGGCAACTCTGAACATTTAACCCTCACTGCCAATGTAACTTAAGGCTAAGGTGAGAAAAGGAAGTATGAGGAGGTGTGGGAAGAATTCAGTGTCAGAACCAGGAAATGGGAAATGAACCTGCCTTTGATGGGACTCCCAAAGGGGTCTACAGCCTCATGCCTTCCACCCCACGACTAGTCAGTATGGTCTACCTGTAAAACTGAAGGTGTAGACATACCTTAGGGAGCATGCCTCATGGATGGGCTGTCACCAATAGCACCTTCTTCTTTCCAAGAATGTTTTAGGGAACCTTTTTGCAGGATCCACTATCCTAAGATCTCAGTGCCCTAATTCTAGTAATTAGTACCTTACCCAGTGGGCAAAGTGGGAGAAGGTAGCTTGCTTCCTGATGCCAGTGACTGTTACTGCTCTTGGTTCCCTGCTAGGAACTCCACACATACTTCTGGGGAGAGGGGTGACCAAACTTTCCTGAGCTGGCACATGATCCTTCAACTGGTTGTGCTGAAATGGAAACTATGTTTATGTTGATGGCTAGTCAGTCTTTGGGGGGCCCTCACTTGCTCTCTTTGTAAGGGTTCCTCTTTTGAGAACCGTAAGTTTTATGGATCAAGAAAGAACCATGTTTTATCAGACTTAATCATGTAATAGGCATTTTCTAGATGTGGAAATAGTGGAAGTAGTTTGGTACACAATAGCCTCAAGCATGACATCAAATGCAGAAGAGGAGAAAGTTACTTCAAACATGCCCTATGGCTCAAATCCATTTTTCCCACAAAGATTTCCATTTCTGCCACAAAGATTTGAAAAAGTTACCATTTGAGCAATTTTCACTAACAGATCTTTAGCAAAAAATATTGCCTGAAGAAAATATGATATAGGAAAGCATTCCTTATATTAAAAATTGTCAAATATACAAGCACAAGGAACAACAACAAAAAAAGTATTTAAAAAAAATAGAGATGGGCAGAATGGTTCATGCCTGTAATCCCAACACTTTGGGAGGCTCAGGTGGGAGGATCGCCTGAGCTCAGGAGTTTGAGACCAGCCTGGGCAACAGAGTGAGACCCTGTCCCTACTAAAAATTTAAAAATGTAGTCAGGTGTGGTGGCGTGCACCTGTATGTAGTCCCAGCTACTCGGGAGGCTGAGGCTGCAAGGAGCCATGATCATGCCATTGCACTCCAGCCTGGGTGACAGAGCAAGACCTTGTCTCAAAAATCAATAGCCCAATAGAGGTTCTAGAAAGTGAACCTGATGCATGTTTTCGGTGCCCTCTCACTTGCCCCATTCTCTCTCCCCCCCCCTCCTCTTTTCTTTTGTAGTTAATGAAATTATCAGGAAGGAGTTTTCAGGACCTCCTGCCAGAAATCAGACGTAAAAGAAGCCATTATAGCAAGACACCTTCTGTATCTGACCCCTCGGAGCCCTCCACAGCCCCTCACCTTCTGTCTCCTTTCATGTTCATCTCCCAGCCCGGAGTCCACACGCGGATCAATGTATGGGCACTAAGCGGACTCTCACTTAAGGAGCTCGCCACCTCCCTCTAAACACCAGAGAGAACTCTTCTTTTCGGTTTATGTTTTAAATCCCAGAGAGCATCCTGGTTGATCTTAATGGTGTTCCGTCCAAATAGTAAGCACCTGCTGACCAAAAGCACATTCTACATGAGACAGGACACTGGAACTCTCCTGAGAACAGAGTGACTGGAGCTTGGGGGGATGGACGGGGGACAGAAGATGTGGGCACTGTGATTAAACCCCAGCCCTTGCGTTCGTTTTTCCAGGTCACAGATACAGCTCCTGTACCTTTTGAAGGCAAGGAGTTCTCAGAGCAACCAAAGGAACGTGACCCAAGAGCCCAGCTTACAGGCTGAAGAAACCCAAAACCCTCGATAGAGACAGAAACTGAACTGTCAGTCCTTAGAGCTCGCCCAGTCCATGCCACAACTGGGCCACAGCTAAAGCTTTATTTTTGAATTCTCATTCCAAAACCAAACTGTCTTGCCCAGACAAGATCACCTGTTAAGACTTCTTGGCGTTAAGTTATGACATGTATACGCGTTTGTTATTATTATTTTTTCTGCTTTAAAAGGCTGACCAGGGCACCTAGCCCTGGAGCTGTCTTGGCGAGCTGTTCTTTAACCCCTGCAGCACGCAGTCCTGCTAACACAATTTCCATAGACTTGGGGGGCTGACCCAGGCTGCAGAGAGCAAGCACCTGTCTGCTGCAGCTGTACAACCTGGATGCTTTGCAAGGTTCCGGCTTGCTTTCTTCCTAGCAGCCAGAGTGCTTTTCCGTAAAGCGGTGGAGAATCTCAAGCATGTGCATTTAATTGAGGAATAGCAGAAGGGCTAAAGCAACCAAGAAAAGAAGTGTGGGTATTTTTGTTAAGTAAAACAGCCCAAGTGCTTCTGGAGGTGGGTTTCTACCAAGATAGAGGAAAAGGGCTGAATTCCCTCTAAGTGGGACAGCCGAGCTCAGGATGTGCTTCCCAGCTTCACTGGTTAATTTGACCTGAACCTATTTAAAGATCCCTTCTGCCCCTGAAGACCTATCCGCACTCAAATTCTAACATGAAGAAATCTACTCGAATGCATCCTTTACTTTGAATGAGCTCTATTCGGTTGCATGTTATATGTGATTTCCTTCCTCCCAACTGTTTCCACTGAGCGCACCCAGTCTCCCCTAGTCTTCCTCTGTGGGTGTGATTTTTGTGATTTTTACAAACAAAACCCTTGAAGTTCTTGGCAGATGTGTTTGTTTCTGTTTGCATGTACTGCAGATACCCCAGGACAAGCGGGGGATTCATTTTTCAGCCATTCAGTTGTTTCCTCAATAATCCGCAGCAAAGTGAAAATATTCTTAGCACTCAGACTGTACTTAGAGTGTTTTCTCAGTCCAGTCTGTACAGTCTGTAGGCAGAAGGCCTCAGAAGAAAGTCATGGCCACTCAGTGCCCACTGTGGGCTTTGTAAGTCCTGGCTCTCCCGTCAAGGTTACCCAGAGGTAAAAGCTTCCTGGGAGTGGGGCCAGGTGTGTTTGGCACTCCAGATAGAAGGCAAAATGCTCAGATTCGGGCCTGTGCACTTGTATGCAACCTGTCGGTCGATACCTAGCATTTATTTTTCCCTGACAATGAACGACCTTTCCCTCACCCACCCTAAGCTCAAAGAGTTTAGCAAAATTCTCTTTTAAATAAACAGAATGCCAGTAAGAGGTTGACCCCTACCATGGAACTTCTGGGATGCTAAATACTTCCTCATGAACAAAATAAGTTCCTTATTATAAGTTCCTTATACTAGCAGCTTCACCTAAAGAATTTTCTCTCCAGCAATATTGACTTCACTGGGGAAAAGCCAAGAGTGTGTGGTGAGTGATTTGTTCTCACTCGACCTGGCTAGGACTGGCTAGGAGCTGTTTTTTGTACATGAGGGAATTTGGGCTTTCCTCAGTTATCTGAATGTTTTACCCAAGTGCCTTCCTGCTATTGTAGCAAAGTAGCTCAGCTTCCTTGTCCACAGGGTGAAAAAGGACTAATGCATTTTCCATCAGTTTTCTAACTATGTTAGCAAAAACGGCCTCCTGGTAGCTCAACCTCCTGTACGCGTGTGTGTGTGTAATACACACACAAATAAACCCCTCTGTTTTTCTAAGACATCTTAGCTGGATATTATAGGAAGCACTTTCATAAACAACTGTAACAAATCGCAAAGGAAAGAGAAACAAAAGCATTAGATTTGAGACATAAACAGGCAAGAGAAAGTGTATTAGGAACTGACAGCTATCAAGGAAGTTTTGTCAGTTACAAATGCTAGGAGGAAATTTTGCCAAGAAGGATGGCTCATGAAATATTTCCAGTACGGGAAGAGGCAATAAGATCCTCTAAGAGAATGAGAAAGTAGGGGTGTCTAAATGGTAAAGATGGGTGTGTTGCACGTGTGTTAGAAGGATCTCAGTTGAGTGAAGGTTTGCACTGCTACATCTAAGTTAATGTAAATATGTAGCACTCTGACAGGTCTACCGTGTTGCTGAATGTAGTATATTTCCAAAGTTTGCAAGTCTTCCTGTATTGTACAAAGATGCTGCTGCTTGATAATATGTATAGCAATCCAGATTAGTATGTTATTAAATTTTATTTTCTTACCTGTATTTTTATGCTTTTTACCTGTCCTCAAAATATTACACCCCTGTTGGAATTAGATTTATATTTATAAATGGTCAGAAATCTTTTTAAGTGTCTCTTTTTACACATAGGTTGATTTTTTTTTCTTAAGAGAAATGATGTATTCTTGAAACATTTGTTACTCATTCCAGGAAACAAAAACCCATATAATAAAACCCCCACTCAGAGCCTGTTAGTCACCTCTCTAGAAGATGGCATCTCAGGAGAAGGAATGGCTTTGTGGAAGAAGGAATCACCTTTTTCTTGCTCAAGAATTATGCTGACTTCAGCCCTGAGCCTGGATCTGGTCACTGAGAATCATCAAGTGTCTAGATCCTCCCCCCAAAATAACTAATTTAGTAGGTGATTTTGATTTTAAAAAATTGACACCAAAACCCTGCCTGCATTGTAATGGAATTCGAAAAGAATTCATGTTCACAGAACTCAACGTTCAGGCTAATATTTACAGAAGGGACCAAATCTAAATCCTGGTAGATAACTCCTGTATGCTTTATCCAAAGGACACCCACAGTTTTCCAGCATAGATATAACCAAGGATGAATTGATTCCTTCAAAGAACTGGGAGGCACGGATATTGCATTTTTTGTTTACATCCAGTAGCCAAGACGCCTCAGTGAGCCAGTCTTGGGCAGAGGCTGTCACATTTAGGCAGATTGGAAGTTGGTATGTTCTAATTCTCACTCTGGACTACAGTGAGGCTGAATTTATCATGTCAAAAAAAAAAAAAAAAAAAGACCTTTCCAAGTGCTTTCTATTGCTCAGAATTGAAAGAATGTTTTCATTTCAAGTTTACAAGAGGCATGGATGGAGTTGTGACGTTCTTGACAAGCTGGGCTAACCTTTCCCGAACTTGTTTCCCGGAGGCAAGGTGCTCGGTGACCCAGCGCATCTTAACCTTGGGTCTCCTAGGCTCGAGGCTAGGGCATTACGTTTCGTGGAACCAAAGCAGCCAATTGCATAGCAAGTATTTTCCTGCATTCCAATTAAATGCTTAAGAAAAAGCAGCATCCTATAAAATTGTGATCATAAACATCCATTTCCCTCAGCTTTTGTGAGTGCCTTGACTTACAGCCAACATCACTGTTTAACTCAGTCTGTTTAAAAACAAACTTTTCTGGTGGTTGATAACAGAGAGTTGCTCCCTGAGCCATCAGGGTCCTGGGAGCTGGAAGTGAAAGGGTTATTAACATTCTACCTTTATGCAGCTGTTGGCTGACCAGAATAAACTCCCTGCTGAGTTCAAGCTTTGAATGGAATGGATGCAAATGATGTTGTTTCCATTAGAGCAGGTGCTCACAGCATTCTGATTGGCCTGAGCAGACCGAGGCTATGGCTGTTGGGACAAGCTTAGCATCCTGGACATCTTGTCAAAGAACCTCACTCACCCCTCTGGCCTCTACAGCCCTCAGAGGAGAGAAAACCAATTCTCCAACAAACAGGTCTCTCCAACATGGTGGTGCTGGCAGGCTTAGGTTTAGAAAATCCTGACTGTTAAAGGCGTTTGAATACATCACATTCCTATGCAAATGTTTTTAATCTCCAGTTTAATGTAGTTTATTTTTCCTATATGTAAAGTATTTTTATACGGCTTGTATCATGATAGTTTAGCAATAAAACAGTTGGAAGCAACATCTACTTTGGTGTATCTTTCTTTTCCAGAGAGGCTACTCAAATATTCCCTTTACATTTCGGGCTCCCTCAGCAAGGAACATTTTGTGTGTGTACATAAGTGTGTGCATTTACTCCTCGTCTCAGCCCTAGGAGGTAGGTACAGTCCCACCGTGCTTGTGACTCAGGCTCAGAAGCCACTTGCCGGAGGTGACAAAGCCACATGGTCAACCTGAATTTGTCTGGTTCTCTCCAGCACAGCTCTGCTGTAATCTGTGCCTTTAGACTACTTTTGAGGTAGCATTCATAAAAGAGATTTATGATGCCCACCTTAGACCAGCTTTCCAAGGGTCCCAAAGCATTCATGGTCAACTGGGCTAAGCCAGCCACTTGGAAGGCAAAAGCCATCATTTTTATTTGAGCATCTTGCAAAATATCAAGGCTAAAGAAAAAAAATGCACCTTATACCTTCAAACCCACAAACATAAGTACTAGAACCTTCTAGCCAAGTTCCTCCTTAAAACAGCTTTTGCCCTCCTGTAGCTAAAGCACCTAAGAGGTTTGGAAGTAGCTGCTATTTTTAATGTCTTAATATGGTTCGAACCTCCTCCCACCCTTTAACCCCAGGGAAACGGGATACCTGCCCCCGGCCCTGTGTTTTAGGGACCCACTTCACCCCACCATAGCCCTGCACTTGGAATGTCTTCCTGGGAATTTTCTAGCCCCCCATTCCAGTGCGTGTAACCAGCACTACCAAATGGGCAGGGGTCCCAAGCTCAGACAGGGACCTGCATGGGTCCTGGCTGCTGGAAGTGTCTATCTTGAAATAGCCTTAGTCTCCCTCTGGTGGCTGGGACTAGCTGGCTCCCATTTCTCCCCTTCAGATGCCCCAAAGAGCTCTAGAACCTGCACCTACAGGGTCCAGGCCAGCTTCCAGAAGAGCACCCTGGTGAGCAGATTGCTCCTGATGGCTGGTGCAGTATTTTCATTGTGATTTTTGTGGGATGGTGTGAGACTGAATCACCAGAATGGTGCTGATTTAGGAATGGCTCAAATTGCACATGCAGACAGGAGCCCCACAAAAAATATCTGCCCAGGGCTACACCTAAGAGGCAACTGTGCCCCACTAAGATGATTGCTGCCGCTGCGGCCAACTGTTTTGCTTTAACTCACTTTCTGAAAACCTTACACCACTTCTCCTGAATCGAAAGTCAAAATCACTTAAGCAGAGGACAAGGCTAAAACTATACAGTCATTTTTAAAAAAGAAAAAACAAAAAACAAAAAACAAGTCTGTGTTCTACATTTATATTTAAGCCACACTTAATAAACACAAATTTGGCCTGTGCCTCAGTTTCCCCAGATATAAAATGAGTTCTCTAGTCCCCACCTCACAGGTGCTGCATGTTTAATCAATATTACCTATCGATCCACTGTCCCGTCATTTAACAAACAGATTTCAGATTCACCTAAGGCATATCATGGAGCCTTGAGCTCATCTTGAGACCTCATTTGACTAATATCTGGAAGAAAACATTTAGAGCTCTGACTATGGGATTTAAATTTTTCTAAATAGATCATTAAAGCCAGAAACTTGAGTTTATCCAATTTTCAAAACCTGAGATAACAAGGAAGTTCGTATTGGAGCATCTTGGGGTCACTTTGCCAGGAGTTTGCAAATCTGAACATTGTTCCTTGCTGTATCCAACAGCATGGGGTAGTTTCGTACAAAGGAGCAGAAACAGAACAGTGGTTTCGTGCCAAGTTGGGATTTAAGAAGTGGTAAGATTGACAGGAGAAAACAAATGCTGACTCCTACTCAGCCTCTTCATGTTCATACATTGGGAGGAAACTGGGTTCCTGGTAGGACCAGGTTGAGTATAAAATAACGCTGAGGACAGAGGCACAGAACCACAAGGACCTTTAAGAAATGAAAGTGAAGTCATTTCTTTTGTCTGTGGATCCCCAGTAGCTGTGATGGGGTATAGGGGACACACTTGCTATAAACCTCATGACATTTTGTGGTACAAAGATGGACAAGGTCAGACCAAACTTTCTCCAAAAAGGGCTTCTCACTCTAAACCACCTCTTGCCCTGCCCTCCTGGTAAAATTCAGAAGTTGAGCTTTGTAAATGGCCCGATGAGGAGTTATCAAAGAAACAAAACCCCCTGCTGTATATCTGCCGTGTCCCAGGCCCTCTAGGAATCCCTGATTTACGAAAAACTTCAAGCTCTGAAACATTGCGCTGGACTCGAGACAGGAAGTACAGTGACAATTCACTCTGATTTCCAGGGGCTATACTTTTTACATCAGTGATCCCTAAATTTTTTGTTGAAATGGGGACACTTCATCCTTCTATGAAATACTGACAAAACTCCTTGAAAACACGTTGCCAACAGTTTCTGCTGCTGTGCAAAGTGTCAGAGGATATTTGATTCAGAACCCTCTGCCCTTAATACCATGAGAAAAAAGCATTCACAGGACAACCGTGGAGAGGGTTGTATTTACACCTTCACATACACACGTGCCAGACTCCTGTATGACCTCCCCAACTATGTGCCTTCTTCTCTTTGGTAGCCAGGAGGCATTTTGAGTTCAACATGCCCCAAAATTTCCTGATTCCCAATCTCCTCTTCCTCCCTTCTCCCAACACACACCCATCTTACTCATCAGTTTATGGCAACACCATCTACACAGTCGCTTAGTCAAAACCCTGGGAATAACCCCGGATCCTTCACTGTCCCCACTGCCCACATATCAGCAAGTCCTGCTGGGTCCCTTCTGAAATCATCCCACCTCTATGCCTCATGCTCACCAGAACACCCTCATCTCCTACCTGGATGACACAACAGCCCTTTGCTGGTGTACTCCCGACCTCCCCGTCCACACAGCAGCCAGATCGAGGTTAAAGCAGCCTCAGATCCCATCACAGCCCTGTTTAAAGCCCTCCACGGCTTCCCTTTGCGTTCAGGATGATCCGAATTTCAGGCAAGAGGCTCAGCCATCTTCCTCGGCCCCAAGTTCTCCAGCCTCCAGGTCTCTTTTCTGTTCCTTGCCCAGACCACACCATTCCCCACCTCTCTCTCTGTCTCCTCCTAAAACTTGAAACGCTTTGACCCCCGAGTTTCGTGGACTGGCTCTTCCTCATTCTTCAATTTTCCAATCAAATTCTTGTCCTCAGAGGACTTCAGTGACCGCTGTCATGTGGGACCTACCCCATGCCCCACCCACACATGCACTCAGCCTGGCATGTCAAAAACGCTGTTTGGATGGCCGTGTGCATGTTTGCTGCCTGTCTCTTGCCCCTGTAAATTCCATGGCGGCGACGATTGTCTTGATTTGCTCAATGCCATCTCTCTACCACCCTGGCATGCGGTATGGTAGGCCCCCAGGAACCGGGTGTTAAATGAGCAAACATGCCTTTTCCTGTGCATGGAGAACAATGGGCTCATCTGGCATGTATGGAAAATTAATCATTTCCTAATATTTAACACATTTTATAAACCAAACAACTGACTCAAGGGAGACTTTCCTCCTGCCCCACATGGCTCGGTTTATTCATCTCTAATTACACAGCAGTGTATTCCAGCCTGTCTTCTAGACAGAGCCAGTTCCCTTTGCTACAGAAAGCCAAAGGCCATAATTCCCTAGAATCCTGGAGCCTGCCAGGCCAGTTATCTGCTTTCTGGCAGCCTGCAGTCACCTGTGGCCCTCCTGCTTGTAAAATGCTCACTGCTGTGGCTCAACAGCTCCTTGGGGACAGGTAAGAGAAGGGCCGGCCAGCCAGCTGCCGTTTACAAGCCCAATCTGAAACCGGCTTCTCGGGGGAGTCTGTTTGACAAGGTGAATAACGGATTGTTTGCAGTGGAGCGAGGTGCGGCCAGCGCCTGTAGCTTGCTATGTTAGATGGTGCTAACGCGCTCCGGCTGGGCGCCTCTCCATCTGGTCCTCCCCAGATACACCTGCAGCCGTGCAGTTCAGGAGCCCACGTTCTCATTTATCCTCCCCGTGGTGCAAATAAGCCAGGGCACCCTCTGTGTGCTGCTGGGGTCTTCGACACAGACCTTGGCCCCTGAGCTGGGCTCCAGGATCTGAAGGTGCAAGGGCAGGCTCTCCTAAAATCTGCCCTGTGGACACCCCACCCCCCGTCTCCAGTTCCCTAGACCAGCACTGCCCAGAGTATGTCCAGGGCTCCTCGGAGAGTCGGGCAGTGGGGGTCCCAGGTCCCGTGACTTCCATCTCCCAGGGCTCACGGCCTCCCCTCTGGGACGAGTCTCTTTTGCCATTTATCCCTGTTTATGTCACTCTCATCTCATCCCCTGCGTCTCACTCTGACCCCCATGAGGCTCAGACCCCACTTTCTGCCCCACAGCCCCATGAAATGGTGCTGCCCATCCCTCTGCACCTCACTGCCCCCCATAAACAAACCCCCACATCCTCAGTCTTCCCTCCCCCCAGGGCCTGCGTGTTTTCATCCTAGCTGAAACCCACCGCTCCTGAGCCCTGTCTCCTTGCAGGCCTCTGCGACAATTAGCACAAACTTAGTGGCATAAAGCAACACAAATTCATCACCTCACAGTGCTGGAGGTCCAAGGTCCAAAGTAGGTCCCGTGGGGCTAGCATCCTGGTGTCAGGAGGGCTGCGCTCCTTCTGGGGGCTCTGGGGGAGAAGGTTTCCTCATCCTTTCCAGCTTCTTTGGAAATAGACACGGCTGCCCGCATTCCTTAGCACTCAGCTCTCATCTGCTGGGCCAGCCATCCCATCACTCTGATTCCACTTCCAGCCTCACGCCTCTTTCTCTAACAAACTCTCACATCTCTTTCTTTTGCCTCTAAAGACTCCTGTGATTACATGGGGCAAACCTGGGTAACCCAGGGTACTCTTCCTTTCTAATCACTGGTGATTAGCAATCGCACCTGCAAAGTCCCTTTTGCTGTAGAAGGTAACACATCCACAGATGATGGGCATTAGAACATGGACATCATTACGGGGCCCTTATCCTGCCTGCCATGCCAATGTGGCAGTGTTCAGAGGTGATGCCTTTAAGTGGTGACTCTGGATCCTGAGGGCTCTACCCTCGTGAATGGATGAATCCATTCATGGATTAATGGGTGAATGGGTTATCATGGGAAGGAAACTGGCGGCTTTACAAGAAGAGGAAGAAAGACCTGAGCACAGCACATTAGCGCACTCAGCCCGTCCCCATGCGATGTCCTGTGCCACCAGGGGATGCTGCAGAGTACCCGTGAGCAAGAAGGCGCTCATCAGATGTGGCCCTCGGCCTGGGACTTCTCAGTCTCTACAACGAGAAAGAAATTCCCTTTCAAAATGCCCAGTTTCAGGTATTCTGTTATAAGCAACAGAAAACGGATGAATACGTTGTTCAAGGCTCACGGACCACATCAGTGAAGAACACAGACTAAGCAAAGTCTCCATCCGCGTGAAGTGGACATCCCAGCAGGGTGCAGAGGGAGGGAGAAAGGCCTCAAAGAGACCTGGAGCTGATCATGTTTCAACCTGAACTCTTGCATTTCTCCTTCCTAGCACCGTCCCACCCCAGCGTTTATTTCATTTCATGGGACACCGTCACCCCGGTCACTCAGGCTAGAAGTCCAGCACCATGCTTGGCCCTCTTCCTTCTCTGACACCCATCTCCGATCTGTCAGGAAATCCCATCAGTTCCCTCTTTCAATTTTATCCCGAAACTGACCCCATCTCGGCCTGGCACTCTTCTGAGTCTGGTGTTTGTTTCAGCACCACCTCCTGCTAGGACTGATGTGGTAATCTCTCGGCTGGTCTCCCTGCCTTTCCCCTTCTGCCTGTCCTCATCACAGAGTGTTCCTGCTAATCTTAGATCAGGTCCTTCCTCTGCTCAAGATCCTCAGTGTGAAAGACAAAGACCTTAAATGGCCACCAAAGCTTTCCACTGCCCACCTCCCTTCCTACCTCACCTCCCAGTACTCTCCCATCTTGCCCTCTGCTCCAGCCCCCTGATCTCTCACTCTCAAACATGCCACACTGCCTGCATCTCAGGGCCTTCGTCCAGCTGTTGCTTCCACCTGGCATCTCTTCCATTAGATGTAATAGCTCCAGATGTCAGCAGAGACACTGCCTAAGCTCCCATCCTAAAATCAGGCCCACTGTATTCTCCATGGCTACTTGGACCCAAACAGAAGCTGCTATAGTTTGGTTTATCTGATCGCCCTCCCCTCACAACCGCTGCCATATCTCATGTTGAAATTCCATCCCCAGTGTTGGAGGTGGGGCTTAACAGAAGCGTTTGGGTTATGGGGTGGATCCCTCATGAGTAGGTGAATGCCCTCCCTGGTGGGGGGTGGGGGTAAGTGATTTTTCGCTTCATTTGTTCCCATGAGAGCTGGCTGTTAAAAGGAGCCCGGCACCTCCCCTCTCTCGCTTCCTCTCTCGCCAGGTGACCTGCACACATGAGGTCCCCTGCCTCTTCCACCATGAGCGGAAGCAGCTTGAGGCCCTCACCAGAGGCAGATGCCCCATCTTGAATTTTCCAACCATCAGAACCATGAGCCAAATCAACCTCTTCTCTTTCTAAATTGCCAGCCTGAAGTATTCCTGTGTAGCAAGACAAATGGACTAAGATGTCTAACACAATCTCTGAAGGCCTGAGTGCATCTGTTGGTAAATGTCCTTCAGCTGCATCTTGGTGGCATCCCGATGAGGGGAGGGGGTGGTAGGAATGATCCACCTGGTGCTGGCACTCAGGGGTTGCACTATCTACAGAGAATTTTAAAACAGTATTTCAACAATTGCTCTGATTTTTATTATCACTAGGTACTGGCTTTTTTTCTTTTTCTTTTTTTTTTTTTTGAGACAGGGTCTTACTCTGTCATCCAGGCTGGAGGGCAGTGGAACAATGACAGCTCACTGTGACCTCTGTCTTTTGGGCTCAAGCAATCCTCCCACCTCAGCCTTCCAAGTAGCTTGGACTCCTGGTAGCCACACCCTTGTGTGATCCCCTACCCTTGATTGTGGGCTGGACCTAGTGACTCGCTTCTTAGATTACAAGAGGTAATGACTTCCATCTTGCTGGCGCTCTCTTTATCTGAGTCTTCTCATTTGCTCCCTCTGATGAAGCCAGCAGCACTGCCTACGTGGAAAGAACCCAGGGCAGCTCCTGGTCACAAACAGTGGGGAACTGAGGCCTTCGGTCCCAGCCTATGAGGAACTGAATCCAGCCACAACTGCTGATCTTGCTTGGAAGTGGATCCTGCCCCAGCGGAGCCTTGGGATGACCATGGCCCCCGATGACTCCTGACTGCAGCCTGAGAGAGACCCTGAGCCTGGGGGCCCAGATAAGCTGAACCCAGATTCCGGGCCCATGGGAGCTGTCAGATAATGAAAATGTGTTGTTTTAAGCTGCTATATTTTGAGGTCATTTGTTATAGAGCAATGAAGAACTAACATATACAGAGAGGTCATGTAACCAGGCTGAGGCCACATAGTCTGTCGGGGGTTGGGGGAGGGTCAAGATTCAAGTCCAATTTGTCTCCTAGAGCTTGTGAGTTTTTTTGAGACAGGGCCTCACTCTGTCACCCAGGCTGGAGTTCAGTGGAATGATGAAGGCTCACTACAGCCTTGACCTCCTGGGCTCAAGCGATCCTCCTGCCTCAGCCTCCCGAGCAGTTGGGACCACAGGCACACATCAGTGCACCTGGCTAATTTTTTAATTTTTCATAGAGATGGAGGTCTTATGTTGTCCAGGCTGGTCTCAAGCTTTTGGTCTTAGGCGATCCGCCCACCTCAGCCTCCCAAAGTGCTAGAATTACAGGTGTAAGCCACTGCGCCCGGCTGCTTGTGATTTTTATCTCAAAACACACCACAGCATTTTCTGTATCTGTGTTATAATAGGCATTTCCACCAGCATCGCCACAAAGCAGATGGGCGCCTGGTAAACTCCACACGTAACAGGCATGTGGCAGCCACTGGGCCACATGGACCAGCATGTCCGCCCCCTAACTGGTTTCCATACCTCCCCAGCCCATTCTCCACGCAGCTGCCAGATAATGGTTCTGAGGCTCCAGTGGGTCGCCATCACAGTTAGGTTTAAAGCTCTGTAATGACCCCTTTCATGTAGCTTTTAGAGCCACCAGTGACCTGGCCTGGCCTACCCCTGGGCCACCCAGAGCTGGTGCTCACACATCTGCCGCACACAGGCCCGATCAGAGGGTTCCACATCACAGAGTCTCCGCAGCTGGACCCTTCATCCGGTGAGGAAGAGCTGCCCCACCCTCCATCCCACCTCCACCACCCCCGTCCCCCCGAGGATTCGAGAGGAGCCGTCCCTGCCCACGTGGACACCCTGGTTAATCCCTTTCTTTTATCTTCACCCTCCCTCTCTCCCAGCTCCCAACCATCAAGGTTCAAACATGCTAGGTGTCCCTTGTCTAAATCAACCAGAAATAAAAATAGAAAAAAAATCATCCATCGAACCCGCATCTGCCTCCAGCCACCAGCCTGGCTTTCCCCACGCCTCCCAGCCAAGGGTCTAGAAGGAGTTGCTGCTGCCTCTCATCCCCTGCTCCTGCTCACTCACTCCCCAGCCATTGTGCTGGGACTTCTGCGCCTACCTCACTGCCAAGCCACCAGCGCCCTCCCTTGTCAGCGAATCAAATGGACTCTTCTCATTTCTTCTCTTCCTGGACTTTCCAGTGGCGTTTGGCTCTGAGGTGTTCTCTCCACTTCTTCAAACTGTCCCCTTGCTCTTGGTTTTCAGGTCACCCATGCTACCTACTTTCCCCGGCTTCAGCCAATGGTCCCTCTTCCTCGATGCTAAAATCGCGGCGCCCAGACTCCACCCAAGATCTTGATCAACAATGAATGACCCTATGATTCAGCAGTGGAACACCTGCGAGTCTTCCTCTAGAAACACCCCCGACGCACCCAAAGACACACACAGATACTCAGGCTGGTCTACTGAAGTAGCAGAAAAATATAAACAATCAGAACACCCATCCTCACAGCCCTGGTGACCTGACGCCTGGCGGACGCCCGTAGGGGGATCCAACGCAGCTTTGGAACAGAATAGGTGTGTGCATTCATTTCCTAGGGCCGCCTACAAATTGCCATCAACTGGGAGACTTTGAACAACAGAAATTTATCTTTACGTAATTCTCGAGGCCAGAATTCTGAAACCAAGTGCTACAGGGCCGTGATGCCTCTGAAGGCTGTGGGGAGGACCCTTCCTGGCCCCTCCCAGCTTCTGGGGGTTCCTGGTGTTCCCTGGCTGTGGCTGCATCACTCCAATCTCTGCCTCCATCTTCACATGGGCTCCTCTTCTTATAAGGATACTTGGTTTTGGATTTAGGACCCACCTGGTTAATCCAGGATGGTTTCATGCCAAGACCCTTCATGTGGTGACATCTGTAGAGGCCTTTCTTCCAAGTTGAACCACACTCACAGGTACCAGCGTCCACCACAAGAACACATCTTTTGAGGGGGCCACGATTCAACCCAGTACAGTGAGGAAAACACCCTGTTTCCTCGGGTTGTGTTTAGGGTCAGCTCCTTTGTTGCTCTGTTGTGTCTCCTGGCCTCATCCTTCCTCATGGGCCTTCCCTCTGTCTAACCTGTTATCTACATGGTTTGTCTTGGCCGGGCGCTGTGGCTCATGCCTGTAATCCCAGCACTTTGAGAGACCGAGGCAGGTGGATCGCTTGAGCCCAGGAGTTTGAGACCAGTCTGGGCAACATAGTGAGACCTCATCTTTACAAAAAGTACAAAAACAAAACAAAAAAGGACAGTTTGTCTTGCTCACTGCTGTGTTTCACCCCAGTGCCTGGAACAGTGGCCGGCAAGGGAAAACGCAAAGTGCAGACCTGTGCGTCCCATTCATGGGATGACCACACACACGCACACACACACACACACACACACACACAATGACATAAACTCATACACACACAATGACATAAATTCACACTGCATACACACATACTGCATACACACACTGCATACAAACACACACATCCACAATGCAAACACACATACTGCATATACACATGCTGTATACACATCTGCATATACATACATACTGCATACACGCACACTGTATACACACACACATCTGTATACACATACATACTGCATACATGCACACTGTATACACACACATCTGAATACACATACGTACTGCATACCTGCACACTGTATACACACACACAAACACACGTGCTTTTTCTGAAAGACATTTCAGAATTACTAATGGTCCTGGGAGTCCAGGGGCATGGGGGAGGGGACGAGAGGGGCTTTTCGCTCCATATCCATTTGTACTGCTTGAAATCTGTAACCACACAATCTATGACCAAGAAAAAGTCTTAAAGTAACAACACATCGTTACCTACACCCGGAACAAAGCCACTACAGGTGTGACCCCCTCATCTGCTGCAAGCCGCTCAGTGCCGCTCCTGCCCCTCTCAGTCCCTCTCCGGCCCCTCCCCTCATGCCTCCTGCCCCTCTACCCTCTGTAAAGATGGAGCTGGGGGAATAATATGGTTTGGATCCATGTCCCTGCCCAGATCTCACGTTAAAGTGTAATCCCCAGTGTTGGAGGTGGGGCCTGGTGGGAGGCGATTGGATCATGGGGGTGGATCCACTGGTGCTGTTCTCGTGATAGTGAGTTCTCATGAGATCTGGTCATGGAAAAGTGTGTAGCACTTCCCCACCCTTCTCTTGCTCCTGCTGCTCTGCCCATGTGATGTGCTGGCTTCCCCCTAGCCTTCCACCACGATTGTAAGTTTCCTGAGGCCTCCCCAGAAGCAGAAGCCACTGTGCTTCCTGCACAGCCTGTGGAACTATCAGCCAATTAAACTTCTTTTCTTTGTAAATTACCCAGGTTCAGGTATTTCTTTATAGCAATGGGAGAACAGCCTAAGGAGGCGGGGGGCGCGCTACATCTTCCGTGTCTCTCCCTCTCCCTCCTGGTGTGTTCTGCACAGGGCTGCCATGGAGCAGCAGCCCTAATATTTTTTTCAAGGATCCAAGTTCTAAAGCTAGACAGCAACGGTGGCTACAGGCACAGAGGCTACAGTGTCAGCTGCCCTGCGTTCAGGGAGCTGGGCAGGGAGCTTGTTCCAGTGTCTTCCATTTGCCCTCCAGGTTCACCCTCAGCTCTCTGGGCCTGGGAGGCGGACCATATGACCAGCCTCTCCGGGGCACCTCTGGCTTTCAGAGGGTTCCTTCAATAGGAGGTGCCAGCAAGAGATGGAAGGTTGGGTGTTCATGCCGTGGCCTGGATATGTCCCTCAACAAAAGCCACTGTCTCTCCAAGTGGCCCTCTCCATGGGGTGCCATCCCTCCCGGTCCCAGAAACTGCTCTCCTCCTTAACCTCTTCGGGCCTTGGGGCGGCAGAGGTGCCCCAGTGCTGATAGCTCTGGGGGATTCATCTTGCATTACGTTTCCCCTCTCTCCTGTGCCTTTGTGAATAATCCATTAAAACTCTCCTCAATTTACTCCTTTGCCTGTGTAGCCTCCTTCTGGGTTCCTGGTTTCTGGCCTGCTATCGTCTGTTCCCTTCACAGAAGCCAGAGGGATCCTTTTCAATATGAGCCAGATGATAGCACCTTTTGCTAAAGCCCGCCAAAGGCCCTGACCTCACTCAGAATAAAAGCCAGGGTCCTGCTATGATCTGGCCCCCAGCTACTCTCAGACCACCTCATCCCTCCAGCCACGCTGCCATCTTGCTGTTTCTTGAAGAAGCCAAACACGTTCCTGCCTCGGGGCCTTTGCACTTGCCAAGCCGTCTGCCTGGAACGCACTTCCCCCATCCCCTGCATGGCTCTTTGGGTCATGTTCCACCTCCTCAAAGAGGCCATCCGTGGCCACCCTAGCTAATGTATCTGCTCCACCACCCTCCCTCGCAATACCTGGGGTCTTGTTTGGGTTGAGTGCCTATGATAGGATCACTCTCCCACCTGTCTTCCCCCGAGAAGGTCAGTTCCTCGAGGGCAGAGTCAAGTCTGCCCAGTCCACAGTTGTGCCCACAGTGACCAGAAGTGCCAGGCATGTGGTAGGTGCTCTGATATTTGATGAATGAATGGGGACATTTCCCATGCAGCTTTCTCTGGAATTCTTGGCTGCCGCCTGCCTTCTAACAAGTCCCTTGACTACAACCTGTATGGTCCGGGGACAATGGGGGGATGTTTGAGGAGACACAAGCTTTCTCCTGCAATTCATCCAACCAGAACCCCAAATTAGAACCAAATAACTCCTTTGGTGTCAAGGCTAGAGCAAGAGAGAGACAGAGATAGACAGTGCCTGCTGGAGGAACAGTGGAGCAGGGCCAGGATGGGAGGCATCATAAGAACAGTGTGGTCGGCTGAATTATGGCCCCAAAGAGGTCCCCGCCCTAATCCCCAGAACCTGTGAATATGTTACCTCATAAGGCAAGAGGGATTTTGCAGGCGTGATGATGTTAAGAACTCTGAGACAGGGAGATTATCCTGGATTATCCAGGTAGACCCAGTGGAATCACAAGGATCCCTATGGAATGGAGGCAGGACCGTCAGAGAAGATGTAATGATGGACAGAGAGATCGGAGTGATATGATCCAAGGAAAACAGATGGCCCCAGGAGCTGGAAAAGGCAGGAAACAGAATCTCCCCTAGAGCCTCCAGAAGGAAGGCAGCCCTGCCAATATTTTGATTTTAGGACCTCTGCCCTCCGGAACTGTAAGATGTTAAATTTGTGTTGCTTTAAGCCATTAAGTTTGTGGTAATTTGTTATGGCAACAAGAGAGAACTCATACAAAGAGTAATATCTGCTCTTTCCTAACTGCTTATCAAGTGTGTGCCAGCCGCTGCAGGAGCCGTTCCCAGCACTCTGCAGAGCAAGGGCTCTTGTTATCTCCATTTCACTGATTAGGAAATGAGAGGTGATATGGCTTCCCCGGGGTTGCATGGTGAGTGGCTGAGGCAGGCCGGAAGGCAGGTCTCCTTGATCCCAGAGCCCACATTCTTCCCACTAAGACACCCTGCTTCCCCGGTGCACTCACACTTCTTTGGCCTTCCATTTCCCGTTTGTCACCCATGGGCCACCTCTCACCTTGGAGTTTCACAGCCCCTGGCTGCTTTATGCAGAGAAACGGCCAAGACAGCCTCGCCCAGTGACCCCACCTCTCTGAGCCTTGGGGTGTTTCCTGGCCTCAGTCTTCCCTGCCTGGCCCCTGGGAGGATCCAACATGAGGGCGCCTGTTCAGAGAACTTGCAGGCCTTGTTGGGTGAGTCTGTATCAATGCCTGGCCAGTGACCCATCCCTCTGAGCTGCACTTGGAGGCCAGAGGGTGGCGATTCTCCTGACTCCATTGTAAAGCCCAAGACAACCTCGGAATCTGATTGGGAGAGTGGATTTGCATCTGTTGCCTGCCTGGGCTGGGTGCTCTTGCACATTTGCTCAATCCATCTGAAGCCACCTTTGACACTTCTAATGCCATCATCCGCATTGCACAGCTGGGGAAACTGAGGCCCAGAGAACTGTAATACGAGCTCCAAAGCATTCATTTATGCACCCAACAGGTATTTTTTGATGCCAACCTTGTGCCTAGAACAGAGTGTTTTGGACACGGCAGTGGAGCTTGTGTCCCAGCAGGAAGGATAGACTGTATAAACCATAAGAACAGAAGAGTTCAGCAATGGGTGCCTCGGGAAAAATTAGCAGCAGGGAGGGTGCGGCTGGTGGTGCTTCTGGCAGGGGCTGTGATGTGCCTGGTGTTGTGCTATATATACTGGTTCCAGGATTTCTGTCCCCGAGCCCTGCGGCCATCCCGTAAGGTGGGGCTTTCCTCATTTCTCAGATGAGCCGGAGGCTCAGAGTGGGTGCAAGCTGGTGACCCTGCAGCTGTGCAGTGGCAGAGTGACGATTTGAACCCAGGTCTGTGTGCACCCAAAGTGGATATGCTTGCACCCCCTAACCTTGCCCCCAACAGGGATTCTGTGGCCCTTAGAGGGTGCAGCCCATGAGGCTCTGATCCCTGGGGGCTCTGATCTCTGGACCAAAATGCATCCAGGGACTTCCCTGTTTGCCAAGCAAGAACGAGGGGTAGGAGCAGGCAGGGGCGAACCGTCGAGGAGATTTATTTTGGGGAATCTAAAAGCCTGAGTCTGGCCAAGAACACTCCAGTAGAAATGCACGTTTTCTCCATGTGAACATTATGAGCCCCAGAAATCTGACTTCCCCCTGGCCAGGCTGGTGGGAGATGGCCTCTGTGTGGCCCGGAGTCCCCAGGTACCCCCTAAGTAGGTACAGCTGTCGGGCTTCTGTGCTTGGAAACGTTCACATGCTACTGACACTAGATACTTTCCTTCCTAATGAGCTTTCCCCCGCACAAACAACTGGATGTGGAAAGATCCATCCTCTGCGCCCAGCCAAGGCAACCTGTGGGTAGAAATTTCCCTTTAGGCTGAGCAGGGAGGCCCGTTCTAAGGTGAGGAGTATTTCCTGGCCACTGGGAAGACACTGGAAGGGACTCTTGGTGGAGCCCCACTGCCCTCTAGAGGTACGGATCCCCAAGCCCCACTGAGGATGCTCAGATCCAGGGCCTGGGGCTCTCCCGGGACCTGCTGCAAGAGTGGCTTCCACAGGCTTCCCTGCAACCTCCTCCAGCCCCTACCCCGAGTCAACCTTTCCCTGACCTCCGTCCATTTGCTGAGTTAAGAGAAGTAGGACATGTCCAGCCTCCAGCCAAGTCAGGTCCCTGGACCGTAGGCTGTAGCTCAACGAACTCGGCTTGCTCTGTCCCAGACAATGGCACACATCCCTGGGAACTGCTGCCAGTCCTCTCCGGAGACTTTTAAAGCCACAAATCCCGAGGCGATCAGGATGCCCCATGCCCCCTAATTAATTCAAACCCAACATAATGCTGTACAGTAAGAGTAAGGAAGTCTAAGACACTTCGGAGTTTTGCGTGATGGCTACCTTGATGTCCTTTTTGTTTTCTAAAATAAACATCCTTCAAATTATTAACAAAAAAATGTTTGGGGCACTGCTCTGATTGAAATCACTCTTGCAAAAATTGTGACAATGAGAAATTGTGACAGTGAAAGAGATCTGACCTAACCGACTCCATCTTGCTTCTCACCTCCAAGCTGCCCTTGTTCATTCCTGGGCATAGGTAACTTTGGGAGGAAGTTAGTTTATAGTTTAACTTTGAAACAAAGATGATAACAGCCCATTCCCGAAACAAACCTCCTTCTTGCCTGGGGACCAGACTGCCTTTGTACAACTAACAAGTGAGCCACAAGATCAGAAGTTAACTGCTCAGGAGTCATGCAGCCAGAGGCCAAAATATCCCTAAACTTCCCAATTTCTCCTATAACACTGGTATTATAAAATCTAAGATTGCTGTTTGAGGGACTTTGCAGACCCTGCACTCAGCTGGGATCACCCAGATTGATCAACTGGCTCATCTGGTCCTGTGGCCTGCATGTAGGAACCAACTCAGTGCAAAAGGACAGCTTCGACCCCCTATGATTTCATCTCCAACCCAACCAGTCAGCATTCCCCACTCCCTGCCCCCCTGCCCACCAAATTATCCTTTAAAAACCCCAGTCTCTGAATTTTTCAGGGAGACTGATTTGAGTAATAATGAAACTCCGGTCTCCCATTCAGCCGACTCTGCGTGAATTAAACTCTTTTCTCTATTGCAATTCCCGTCTTGATACATTGGTTCTATCTGGGCAGTGGCAAAATGAACCCACTGGCGGTTACATGCTGACATGTGAATGACATTGTTAACATGTAAATACTCTTTCGTGAAGTTTGGCTCTTGCTTAGTGAGTGGGTACCATGTGCTCCGCAGCTCAGAGATCATTCACCGAGACCTCAGGACAAGCCTATGAAGTGGTACTGCTGTTGCTGTCATCATTTTACAGATCACACAGCTGAGAAGTGAAGTCTTGGAGGCTCGATTTGGGGCAGTCTGATTCTGACCGTTAGGTCACCCTTCTTTTTTGCTGAATTGGGTCACCCAGCAAGGAAACCATCTCTGGCATCCAGAGCTTCCATCTCAGAGGGGAGTTGAAGCAAGGACACGCCATGGTTTCCACGCCTCCTCCGAGTCTCTGGACTCTCCCCACGTCTCTCCACATCTATGGGTCACACTCCAATCCTGTCCTGTGGTCCAGTCCCTGTCCTCTCTCACCAGATGGCCACAACAGCCTCCTCCAGCCCCTTTGAGACAGTGATGCTTTCCAAGGGCACACATTAGCATGGTGCCTCCCGGAGGAAAGCTGAGTTGTCCAGTGCTTCCAATGCCTTTAGGATAACTCAGATGCATCCTCAGAGCTCAGCCCTTGCCCCTTCCTCTGGGAAGCCCTTCTGGCCTTACTCGTCTCCCCCTCAGCACTTCTCCTTCCAGAACCCACTGAAGTTGTAACTTAACATGTGGTGTGTGATCATGTAACCCATCTCCCCACTGCTGGACTCTGAGTCCCCTGAAGATGAGGACTCTGCGTGGGCTCCCACTGTGTCCCTTGGGCTGACTTCTGTGTCCTCAGTCCTCCACCTCCAACCCCCATGACACAGAGCAGGCACTCTAATATTTGCTGAGTAAATGAACACATAAATGAATGAATGAGGCTGGGCATGGTGGCTCACACCTATAATGCCAGAACTTTGGGAGGCCGAGGCAGGCAGATCACCTGAGGTCAGGAGTTTGAGATCAGCCTGGCCAACATGGCAAAAACCCCGTCTCTACTAAAAATACAAAAACGAGCTGGGTGTGGTGACGCATGCCTATAATCCCAGGTACTTGGGAGGCTGAGGCAGGAGAATTGCTTGAACCCGGGAGGCGGAGTTTGCAGTGAGCCGAGATCGTGACGTTGCACTCCAGCCTGAGCAACAGAGTGAGACTCCATCTCAAAATAAATAAACCAATTAATTAATTAATTTTAAAAAATGAATGAATGAAAGCAAAGTGCAGTAGGTGCTCCCAGGAGGGAGAGATCCCATCTTGATGGTGGGTGGGAGGGGGACCAGGGAGACTGTGGAAAAAGTGGCACTAGAGTCAGAACGTAGACATGCGGAGAAAGGGGGGAGGGCACTGTATGAGGAAAGGCACGGGGATCGGACACTGTGCCACATCTCCGGGGAAGAGAACCCTTTTACCAAGCCTCCGAGATCCTTGCAATGTGGTCACAGTCTGCCATGTTTTGTGGTCACACTCAAACTACGTTTCAGCCATAGCAAGCCGCTCACAGCTCTTCGACTGTCCCAGCTCAGGCCTTTCCGCTGCTGTCTCCTCTCCCTGCCGTGCCCTCTCCTTGAGTACTAGGCTGCTGCAGTCCAATCCGGCTTTCCACCCAAAGGCTGCAAAATGGTGACCTGCAGGCTGGACCTGGCTTGGGGATGTTTTTTTTTCATCCACCCAGTGTTTTTTTTTTTTTTTTTCTTCTTCTTTTAAGGCAGGTTCTTGCTCTGTCACCCAGGCTGGAGTGCAGTAGCGTGATCTCAGCTCACTGCAACCTCTGCCTCCCGGGTTCAAGTGATTCTCGCTCCTCAGCCTCCCGAGTGGCTGGGATTGCAGGCACCTGCCACCATGCCCAGCTAATTTTTTTTGTATTTTCAGTAGAGACGGGGTTTCTCCATGTTGGCCAGGCTGGTCTCGAACTCCCAACCTCAAGTGATCTGTCTACCTCAGCCTCCCAAAGTGCTGGGATTACAGACGTGAGCCACCGTGCCAGGCCTCTTTTTGCTTCTTTTAATAAAAGCACTTGAAATTCAGATGTCTTTACCAAAAAAAAAATGTTTAGATTTCTACTTTCTTTTGAAGAACTAGATGATCTGGCCACACTCGCCCCACATCCTTTTTGGTGACCATGAGTCAGAGCTGAGTAGCAACCACCTCTTTGATGGGGGCACGTGTTGTCAACTGGCCACCATCTGCCCCTCACTGTGGCATTACCCTCCACCCACTTTATTCATCCTCGTCACGCACCCAGGCCCTGCGGGACCTCTCCACACACATATGGAACTCAGGTAGCCCTGCCCATGGGATGCCTGGTGCACGTGCCCATGTCTTCTCTAAGCCTCTGTACTAGGCATTGCTGCAGAGGGGCCCTGCTCCTGAGGCTGGTCCTTCTCAGCATCCAGGGCTCAGCTTACCTGTTATACCTTCGGAGAGGCCCTCCCTGGCTACAGCGGGCCCACCCGCCCCATGGCAACACTGTTGTTCTTGCTCTCTGCTTGCTCCTTTTACTGCTCTCCCTCCAATGTGTCATCCAGTTTCTGTTTTCGTGGAGTTGGCCTCCCCCCAGTGCAAAGTCAGTTCCATGAGAGCAGGCATCAGATCTGTTGGGATTGTGGCTGCATCCCCAGGGCCTCGCAGCGTGTCTGGAACACGGTAGGCATTACATCAATATCTGTGGGACACAAGAATGAAGGAATGAAGGAAGGAAGGAATGAACACACAATTGCTATTCTCCAGGAACTCCCACTTAGTAGCAGGGCAGGGAATAGACCTTATAGACTAGAGGGTGTTGAATGGTGATGACTCCCTCCAACCCCCGCCCCACAAAAGACAAATCCAGTAAAAAACATGTGAATGTAAACTTATTTGGAAAAAGGGTCTTTGTGGATGGAATTAAGTTAATGATCTCAAGGTGAGATCACCTGGATGATCTGGGTGGGCCCTAAACCTAACAACAAGTGTCTTTAAAGAAGAAAAGAGATCACAGACATGGAGGAGACGTTCAGGAGAAGATGGAGACAGAGGCTGGAATTCTACTATCACAAGCTAAGAATCCCTGGAGCCATCAGAAGCTGGAAGAAGCTGGCCAAGATGCCCCTGTGGAGCTTTCAGAGGGAGCACAGCCCTGCTGACACACGGATTTTGGACTTTTGGCTTCCAGAACTGCAAAAGGATGGTTTTGGGCCATCCGGTGTGTGGTAATCTGTCATGGCACCCCCAGAAAATGAATACATTGACCAAGCACAGATGCCTAGACATTCATGCGACCTGCAAAGGGGCTTTCAAGATGCCAGGGCTGCAAGTCTCCATTCGATGAGCTGCTATCATTTTTTTTGAGACAGAGCCATACTCTGTAGCCCGGGCTGGAGTGTAGTGGTGTGATCTTGGCTCATTGCAACCTCTGCCTCCCAGCCACCTGAATAGCTGGGACTACAGGGGTGTGCAACCATGCCCAGCTAGTTTTTGTATTTTCAGTAGAGACAGGGTTTCACCATGTTGGCCAGGCTGATCTCGAACTCCTGACCTCAAGTGATCCACCTGCCCCAGCCTCCCAAAGCACTGGAATTACAGGTGTGAGCCACCACACCTGGCCGATGAGCTGCTTTTGCTGGAGCAGCAGCCAGCTTGGCTCTTCCTGCCTTGCGGAGCATCTGCCCGACACCCATTCAGAGCCATGAGACACCACATCTCTCTTCACCATGCTACTCCTGTGATTAGAACTTCACAGACTTCTCAGCCTGCAGTTTGGATTTTGTTTCCTGGAGTCCCCTTCCCACAGCTGCGCACTTGCCAAGTGGAGCAGCTTCCTCCCCTGCACACAGGTGCCCGGTCCTCTCTGTGTAGAGGTCTATCCCACCTCCCCCAGCTCCAAAGCCAGTACCCCCAGGGAGCTTTCCCTAATCCCCGGTTGGATTCTTCTGCTCGGTTTCTGTGTCTTTCTCAAGGTGGAAAGTGTGATCTGCCTCCCAGCCTTATCTCTTCCAGTAGCCTGCAGGGGAAATGGACATGCCGTGCCTGTCTGCACACTTCCAGGCACACAGTAGAAAAAAAAAAAAACACAGCAAAACCCTCGGTAAAGCACAGCTTTCTGCCACCCTCCATCCTTGTGCAGCCAACAGCCCACCGCCTGGAGCCACTTCCCAGATACCACTGAACCTCTGACCTGACTCAGGTCCAGCTCACAACCTCTGACCTCCGTTTCCCACCCCACCAGGGTCATACCTGCTGCCTCAGGGCCAGGCAGACCTTGCCTTGGGAGCTTCACATTCATAATGAGACCCGTGATTCCACCCACTGGAGGGTCCTGCACCTAGTGGGTCAAGGGCATGACCTTACTCACCGACATGCCCAGCTCCTGAGTGGGACCTCAGATGGTGATAATACTCAGATGGCAAACGCCAATGGTACCTGCCTGGCAGGATGCTGTGAGAATGATGTGAGGTCACTTCATGTGACTCCCTTAGAAACCATGTGGGTTGGAATAAGCACTTGATAATAGTAGCTAGTGTTGATGATGACGATGGTGATGATGATGGTCATTGCCATCCACAGCACTGGCCCCAGGTCAATACATAAGTGTATGGGGGCTCGACAGGGCTGGCCTCCTACCTCTGACTCAGGCTGGCAACACCCCAGGGAGTCTGTGGGAAGGCCTTGTCCCCGGCAGAGGCAGAGCGTCCACGCCCCATCCTGGCCCCTGTCCACTCAGTGTCCTTTCTCCATCTGAGTCGATTTCTGTGGTGCTGGAAGATGCTTTCAAAATGATGTGAGCATATTTCTGAGGTCAACTTCTAATCAAAAACGACTCCCAGACGGTGCCCTGGTTTAAAAAGAAAAGAGAGAAGAAATGGAGTGAGTCACCGTCCAAACCATTTGAATGAAACAAAGACACAACAAACTCTCTGCTTTCCTCTTGAGCCAGAATGGATGACCTCAGCCCTGTAGAGACACAGCTGGAGGGAATTAAGGGGGATCTCCGGTTCCCCGAGATAGCGAGGACGGCACAGCAGAGCCACCATGACTCACGGTGAGAACCACAGGGATGGAATCCAGGGGCCTGGAACCCCAGGGACCTGCAGCCAAGGCGAAAACCAAAACTGGTGGGTGGGGAGGGGTGGCAGGAGGCTGAAGGATTGCAGGCCTTGGGAATAGTCGATGAGTGAGCTTGAAAAAGACCCCAAAGCTGGAGCAATGTGACCCCCACGATGTCTTCTGGGGACCTGGGGGACATTGCCAGGCCTAGACTTGGGCTTTTTAGTGCCCAGAGTGCCTCTGTTGGCAACTCTATTTCCAGTGTCTGGAATCCTTCCTCCCAATATTCCCAGGGCCCCAGAATCTGTCATCCTCGCCCTCTGGGAGGAGAAGGGCAGACACAGTCATGGCCCAGGAATCTTAGGGCTTCATTTTGGAAGGCTGTGTCTCCCCAGGCTCTGAACTTGGAAGTCTCTTTGCCAGACAGACTTTTCCTGGGGATGGAGGGAGACTTGGCTGGACAGAGATGGGCAGGCCGAGTGGGAAATTGTAGGTGGGCTCCATACTTCACCACAACTCTTAGGCCAATGTTCTCACCTTCCACTCAGGATTGTCAAGGTGACTCACTAAACTTACAGGATCAAATCTTTTTTGAAAATTGAACTGGTTTCTAAAGTGATAGCAATAATATATACATAGGGTGAAACTTTTTTTTCAATAATAAAGAGAAGCATAACAAAGTTTTCTTCTGCCAGACTACTCCTAAGCCCATTTTTCAGTGGTATTAATTCTTGGTTTTGGCTATTCTAGTTTTCTGATGGTAAAGTCTACCTTTAATAATATGTCTGCTTCTACTTCTTGATTTATCAATTCTATATGGTATTCAATGATTCCTTGCATTGAAAGATTAGGAAATTACTGCAATTATTCTGACCTTTGTGTGTTCTTCCTCCTCTCCCATCCACGTTAGTTATAAAATTTTAAATCATGGACCCTAATGTTAGTCTGAATTCAATTCCCACCTCTGCCACTTACTGGCTGTATAACTTCGGGCAAGTTACTTAACCTCTCTGTGTTCCAATTTTCTCATGAGTAAAAATGCGGATAATGATACTAACTGCTTCATAAAGTTGTCATGAAGATGAAGAATTAAAACATTTAATGTTAATTCATGTTGAGTGCTTGGAACAGTACCTGATATGTGGTATCAATAACTGTTAGCTACTATTTCTCATTATTCTGTTCTAAAGTTTAGAACAGTATTCACCAAGGAACTAAGTGTGAATAGACTCATGGAGAAGAAAAGGTGATCTCGAGTCACAGAACCGTTACAGCACAAAGGAGAATTTTCCAAGTGTCAGATTTCATAGATAACTCTTTAAGTGCCTTTCTAGTATCCTTTGCCTCTTCTGTATAATTGTCAACTGCCACTTTTAAAAATCTTTATGCTGCCGGGCGCAGTGGCTCACACCTGTAATCCTAGCACTTTGGGAGGCTGAGGCGGGCAGATCATGAGATCAGGAGATCCAGACCATCCTGGCTAACACGGTAAAACCCCATCTCTACTAAAAATACAAAAAATTAGCCAGGCATGGTGGCGGGTGCCTGTGGTTCCAGCTACTGGGGAGGCTGAGGCAGGAGAATGGCATAAACCCAGGAGGCGGAGCTTGCAGTGAGCTGAAATTGTGCCACGGCACTCCAGCCTGGGCAATACAGCGAGACTCTGCCTCAAAAAAAAAAAAATCTTTATGCCATCCTCTTTCTTAGATTTCTTTTGGAGAGATGGCCATATATCTTTGGGTAATTTTTTCATATACAGTATATTATTTGTAAATTTTCAAAATCTTAAATATCTAAGAGCATCTTTGCTTATCTATATAAATAATCCTAGCTGAAAGTACTTTACCCTCAGAACATGGAAGATGTATCTTTATCATCTTCTGGCATCCCAATAGACAACAAATCTGGTGTTAATATGATTTTCAATCTTTTATAATTGACCACTTTAAAAATTATTATTTCCAAAGGCCTGTAGTCCTTATTTGTAAAGTTTCAAAATTCTCTCTGATGTTTGCAAGTATGCATTGCAATTGGCACCAGATGGAACTATGTAAACTGAAGACTCAAGTCAAGATGTGCAATAAAATGTTGTCCTTCCTTTTACTGTTTCTTCCTCCTCCAATCTTTCTCTTCTCTTCTTTTGAAATGCTCATTTACAGAGGCTGGACCTCCTAGATTTATCCTCTTCTATCTCAACTTTTCTAATTTCTAGTTTTGTCTAGTCATCCTACATTCTAGGAGATTTCTTCAATTCTGTCTTCCATATTACTAACTTTATCATCAGCCATGTCTATTTCATTTTTCATTCACTGAAATTTTCAAATGTAATTATATTTTTCATTGTCAAGAACATTTCTTGTTCTCCAACTGCTCAGTTTTCACAATAATCTACTCTAGTTTTGTTGATGTGACAGTCTCTCAAATATTCCTCAAGACACAAACTAGAATGAAAACTTAAAAAAAATCTTTCCCTGGAAATATCTCATATCATTCCAGTATGAAGTATTCAGTTTATTTACTTTGATTCTTCCCTTTTTGTGACATTTGTTTTCTGCAGATGTCTTTCGATGCCCTGAATGTGGTTTCACATTTACAAATAAAGGACCAAGTTGGTTAGTTTCTGTAAGTGACATGGGCTTCCTGGACAACCCTATATGGTCTTGTTCCCCAGTGGGACTCTCCCTGAAATGGCAAGACACACCATGGGCTGTGTATACATGGACATGAACACTGCCCAGCAAGGTTCCCTACAGGACAGTGGTCCCCAACCCCTGGGCCATGGACTGGTACTGGTCTGTGGCCTGTTAGGAACCAGGCCGCACAGCAGGAGGTGAGTGGCAGGTGAGCAAGCATTACCACCTGAGCTCTGCCTCCTGTCAGATCAGCAGCTGCATTAGAGTCTCATAGGAGAGCAAACCCTATTGTGAACTGTGCATTTGAGGGATCTAGGCTGTGTGCTCCTTATGAGAATCTAATGCCTGATGATATGAGGTGGAACAGTTTCATCCTGAAACTATCCCTGTTCCACCCTGGTTCATTGACACGCTGTCTTCCATGAAACCAGTCCCTAGTGCCAAAAATACTGGGGACTGCTGCTATAGGGAACAAGGGCAGAGAGCATATAGGCAGGCCAGGGAGACACCAAATTGTCAAAGCAAATGGGATTAAACAAACAAGAGGTTACTTTTTCTTGGGTAGAAAGACGTCTAAGGGTAGACAATCACCAGTGGTAGAGTGGCTCAGAGATATCATTAAGCACTTGAGCTCTTCCTAGTTGCCCCCTGGTAGGGCTTGAAAGATGGCTGCTGCCCCTGTGGTCTCACTCCTGAGCTTCTGGTGGGGAGAGGAAGCAAATGGGGTGGGGTGAAGGCACACACCAGGAATTCAATGGCTAAACCCCCAGCAGACTTCTTATATCTCATGATGTCATAGGAGACTGGGAGATGGAGCTTTTTGGCCAAGCATTCTGTGACCTTGAACAAGCTAGGGTTTCTCTTAGAAAGGAAGAAGAAAGATAGATCTTGGGTAAGCCACCAACTATATGTGTGATGGGCATTTTTACCCTGGAATATCCATCCTTGGGAGGAGCTGCTTATTCTCCCCCATTAGCCCCATGTCTATGGTGGAGAACTTGGTTTTCTCTCTAGCAGCCCTGTGGCAGAGATTGCTATTTGTCCCCAACACAAATTCTCTCCCTCCCTTTCAGTAGCAGAACTCCCATTGCTTCTGGGCATGTGGCCACCTGGAATAGCCACATTTCCCAGCCTCCCTGGCCTCTGGGTGTGCTCATGTGACCAAGTTCTGGCCAATGTGGTGGTGGCAGAAGTGAAGGTCACTTGGGTGTGACTGTAGAGGGAAGGGAGTGTGCTATGCCTGTCACCTTTCCCTTGGCCAGGCTGCAGAGGTGGAGGACGTGCTCTGAACACCCTGCGGATGGTGGAGCATCAGAGTAGAGGGGGTAGGAACCTACGTGATGGACACCTCCTCAGGCCTACAGACTGTGTGGAGCAGAGCAGCCACCTCAGCCCAGTCTTGAAAGAGAGAGAGAGATTGAGAGAGATCGAGATTGAGATTGAATCTTGTTTTAGCCACTGTTATTTGGGCCTTTGTTGCATATATCTTAAAACAAAGAAGACCCAAACAGACACCCTAAGATGTCTTCTAAGGCCTTTTTTTTTTTGAGACAGAGTCTCACTCTGTCACCCAGGCTGGAGGGCAGTGGTGCAATCTCAGCTCATTGCAACCTCCACCTCCCGGGTTCAAGTGATTCTCCTGCCTCAGCCTCCCAAGTAGCTGGGATTACAGGCATGCACCATTACTTCTGGCTAATTTTTGTATGTTTAGTAGAGATGGGGTTTCACCATGTTGGCCAGGCTGGTCTTGAACTCCTGACCTCAAGTGATCTGCCCACCTTGGCCTCCCAAAGTGCTGGGATTACAGGCATGAGCCACTGCACCCATCCAGCCCATTTTTAAAAATCATTATTCCATCTTCCACAACACCAGTGGAAAACTGGTATAATGGCTCCCAAAGTTGTCCATATTCAGATCCCCAGAGCTTGTGAATATGGTTCTCTATATGACAAAAGGACAAAAGGACTTTGCAGATGTGGCTAAGTGATGGATTCTGAGAGGGGGAGATTATCCTGGATTATCTGGGTGGGTTCAATGGAATCACAAGGGTTCTTAGAAGAGGGAGACAGGAGTATCAGTGTCAGAGAAGGAGACAGGAGATGTGATCATGGAAGCAGAAGTGTGTGTGTGTGTGTGTAGGAGAGAGACAGAGAGATTAGTGTGTGTGTGGAAGAGACAGAGAGACAGAGGTGTGTGTGTGTCTGTGTGGAAGAGAGAGAGACAGAGAGACTAGTGTGTGTGTTTGTGTGTGTATGTGTGTGTGTGAAAGAGAGAGACAGAGAGAGACAGAGAGAGAGAGAGATTAGAAGATGATGCGCTGCTGGCTGGCTTGGTAGATGGAGGAAGGGGCTAGGATCCAAGAAACGTGGCCAGCCTCTGGAAGCTAGAAAAGCAGGAAACAGATTGTGCCCTGGAGCCTCCAGGAGGATCAGGCCTGCCACAACTTGACTCTAGGACTTCTGACCTCTACAGCTGTAAGATCCTGAACCAGCATTGTTTTAGGCCATTCATTTTGAGGTGATTCATTACAGCAGCAGTAGGAAGCTCAGACACTGGTTAAAGACGTGCTCATCAACAGAGCGTTCCATTCACGCTGGGGGCTTGACTGCTATGATCTCAGTCCTTACAGTCCTGCCAGGGCATTACTCCTATTATTTCCATTTTACAGATGAGAAAGTTGAGGCTCAGAGAGGTTACATAAATCATCCAAGGTCACACAGCGAGTAAGTGGCAGAGCCAGGAGATGTTCCTACATATTACTCTTCTGCAAAAAATGTACAGGGTTCAAGAGGAGACTGAGAGATGCAAGCCTGGCCCTCTGAGTCAACCCGGGAAGTGATGCCTTATTTTTTCTGACTTGTCAGGATATCCTTCTAACCCCCTAACTCTCCCTCTCTTGGTTAAAAATAGCCTTTGCTCTATTGCAGTTTGGCAGCTCAGTGACCCCTCATTTGTGGCTGCCCATAAGCACACCACAGACCTCCTTGCTTTGGGAAAACAGCTTTCCTGTGATGACAGAAGCCTGAGTCAGGGCTGCTGACGGCAGGGTGAGGGAGAGAGGGCGATTCCTGAGAGCGGCCAAGCTCAGGACACCTCTGGGGCGGGCATCGCAGCCAACTCTGCAAGGCGCCCCATCCCGTCTCATCACACGCCGGGGACCCTTTGGGCATCTGCTTTCTAGAGGCCACTTTAAAAGGAGTTGGAGCAAGTTCTGACCCCCACCCCACGAGCCAGGGAATCCCCTGCTCCCTTGCAAATTTGTTCTTTCTGCTTCTCTACCTGCAGTGATGCCTCTCCCAAGACCCCAGGCTGCTACTACCTGGCTGGCTGTCCAGGGGCAGGACCTGTCCTTCTCTCTTCTGGCCCCAGCCTCATCTATAACTTGGGTGAAGGGATTGGAATATCTCATGTCAGAGGTTCCTGTGACCACCTGCTGGTCCTGGGTGGAGCCTGTCTTGGTCTGCACTTAATGTCTTAAACACTTGTACCTCTGAAAGGACCTCTCGTGTAGGATGGTTTGAGGATTCAACCAGATAGTGCAGGGAAAGGGAAGGGCATAGTCTTGATAGAGTCAGCTCACCATAGATTACTGAGCCTTTTCATTATTATTTTTTATTTTTAAATTTTTGAGACAGAGTCTCACTCTCTCACCCAGGCTGGAGTGCAGTGGTGTAATCTCGGCTCACTGCAAGCTCTGCCTCCTGGGTTCAAGCGATTCTTGTGTCTCAGCCTCCCAAGTAGCTGGGATTACAGGTGCCCGCCACCATCCCCAGCTAATTTTTTGTATTTTAGTAGAGGTGGGGTTTTGCCATGTTGGCCAGGCTGGTCTCTAACTCCTGAGCTCAAGCAATCTGCCCGCCTCAGCCACCCAGAGTGTGGGGAGCCACTGCGCCCAGCCCCTTTTCATTATTATCACTGTTATAGAGTGATGCTCTCCTAACAAAACAGGTTTATTTCCTGCTCTCTCCTCCCGGGTCAGGTTTCTGAATCTAAGCAGAGATTGCAAACAAGTGGTTCCACAAGTCATGCCCAGCCCATGGATGTGTTTACAAGGTGTTATTCTGCACAATTATTTCACAACTTGAAGTAGTTGCCACAGGTATGTAGGGTACAGTTTCAGCTGCTGACCTGGAGACCCCAAATAACAGCAAAGAGATGTTTGTAGTTCTCCCCCAGAGCAGTTTCAGGATAAGCAGGTGGATATGTGGCTCTGTGGGCAGGGACCCAGGCTCCCTTCCTCTTGTTGCTCTTCTTCCTTCCAGAATGTTCCCTACCAGAAGGTCCACAGTGTGCCTCACCATCAGGTCAGCCAGGTCTGGATTCAACTGGCAGGAAGAGCGGAGGGGAGGGTGTGACCCTCCTTCTCAGGGCCCAGCCTGGCTGTTGCCCACATCTGCTCACAGCTTATTGGCCCAAGCTGATCACTTGGCCACATGTAGCTGCTGGAGATGTAGCTTATTCAGGGTGGCAGCAGCCCAGCTCAAACCCAAAGGTACCATTGCCAAGGAAGAAGGAGCTAATCAATCTGGGGGAGACAGAGTGGTCTCTGACACACTGACATTTAAAAAGCAGGAGATTTGAGGTGTGTGTTGAGACCCTGGTGCACACGGAGGATGCTAAGTGCTGAGTGCCTCTATGTGCCAGGCCCACATGGAGTTTCCTCGTTTAATCCTGGAATCGGCCATATGCAGGAAGTTCTGTATCATCCCCAGCCACACATGAGGAAACAGAGGTTTAGCAGAGTCCTGCGACATGCCCCAAACCACAGCTAGAAAGTGGAAGAGTTGGTTCTGCCCCAGGCCTGACTCCAAAGCCTGTCTTTTCATCTCTGCGCTCATTCTACATATTTGGCAGGTTGGGCTCCTGTATTTCCCAAGAAGCTGAATGTGAACTGCCATGGCCCTTTCCTCCGCATCTTCCTTTCTAGACACACTCCAGAAGTAAAATCATAGCAACAAACATTTCCTGAGTGTCACTGAGGTCCAGGCACTAACTATGCCGAGAAGTCAATGAATGCTATCACATGGTCATACTACTCTACCAAGCTCATTATTCCCATTTCACAGATGAAGAAACTGAGGTTCTTAGGGCCAAGTAATCAGCATGCAGTGTTACACAGCTGCTCCAAAGAGCATAGAGCCAGCTGAAATTCTCCTTTCAAATGTCAACTGCTATCAGTGGGTCTCAACTTGTTTAGTCACCCCATCACATGTCATCCATCTATTTATCCATCCACTCACCCATTCATCCACTCACCCACCAGTCCACCTGTCCACCCGTCCACCCATCCATCTACCCACCCATCCATCCACCTACCTATTCATCCATCCACCTACCCACCCACCCATCCATCCACCTACCTATTCATCCATCCACCTACCCACCCACCCATCCATCCACCATTCCACCTGTCCACCCATCTACCCATCTACCCATCCATCCACCCACCCATCCATCTGCCTACCTATTCATCCATCTACCTACCCATCCACCCATCAACCCATCCATCCATCCATCCACCCATTCATCCACCCATCAACCCATCCACCATCCACCCATCCATCTACTCATCAACCCATCCATCCATCCACCCATCCATTCATCCATCCATCCATCCATCCACCCATTCATCCACCCATCAACCCATCCACCATCCACCCATCCATCTACTCATCAACCCATCCATCCATCCACCCATCCATTCATCCATCCATCCACCCATCTACCCACCCACCCAGCCACTCATCACTCATTCACCCACCTGTCTATTCATCCACCCACCCACCTATTCATCCATCCATCCATCCATCCATCCACCCATTTATCCACCAGTTCATCCACCCATCTATCCACCCACCCATTATCTATCTATCTATCTGTCTATCTATCTATCTATCTATCTATCTATCTATCTATCATCTATCTATCCATCCATCCATCCATCCATTCAGTAAATATTTATGTGCCAGGTAACATTCTAGGAGCAGGGGAGACAACAGCATACAAGAGAGACAAAAATCCCTTATCTGCTGGAGCCGACTTTCTAGAGGGAGACACAAATAAATATAAGTTAGGTCATGATGGGTGCGAAGAAGGATAAAGCACTTTAGGGAAAGAGCAGGGGTTAGTGAAGTGGGGTCTCAGTGAGCAGACCCTGAACGAGAGAAAGGAAGGAGCCATGTGCACACCTAGGATAACTATTCTGGGCAGAGGTACCAGTAAGCACCAAGACCCAGGTGCGAATATGTCAGGTTTGCTTGAGGTTTGCTGAGGGAGGCAGAGAGCAGGAGGGGATGAGGTCAGGCAGGCCACAGAGCAGGATCCTGCTGGGCTTGTGACCATGTGGCATTTTTCTGGGTATTTCTCCAAGCCAGTGAGGAGCCATGGAGGGTTTTGACATCCCAACTGTCCCTTTAATATGCCACCCTCCCCTTGGAGCTCAGGCAGTGTCCCCATCACCCCACCTTTCACCCTTGCCCCTGCCGAGAAAAGCCAGGCAGCTGGATGGGGAGTTTTCCTCCCTGGCTGCTCAGGCTCTGGGAGGGATGCCACTGGCTGATGGGGGAACAAGAGCCTCACTCACTGTTGTGGACGGCCAGGGCAGCTGTGATTCTCTAATACAAGCCCAGTTGCAGGCCGGGCATGATGGCTCATGCCTGTAATCCCAGTACTTTGGGAGGCTGAGGCAGAAGGATCACTTTAGCTCAGGAGTTCAAGACCAGCCTGGGCAACATAGCAAGATCTCATCTGTATTTAAAAAAATAAAAAAAAATTAGCCAGGCATGGCGGCACATGCCTGTAGTCCCAGCTACTCAGGAGGCTGAGGCTGGAGGTTTGCTTGAGCTCGGGAGGTGGAGGTTGCAGTGAGCCATGATCACGCCACTACACACCAGCCTGCGTGACAGAGCAAGAGAGTGAGACCCTGTCTCAAAAAAAACCTCAAAACCAAAAAAAACCCCACAAAACCAAACCCAGTCGCAGGCTGTGTGCCCAAGGTGACTCAACCATGTTAGCAGAGGACTTACAGAGGTCTTCACTTGCAACCAGGAAGGTAAGTCAGAAGGGGATTCCATCCCTTGCCTGAAGGTCCCTGTCCCGCTTCCCACCCCTTCCCTTCTAAGGCTGAGACTAGGGATGCCCTCAGGACTAGGGGTGGGGAGGGGCCAGAGATAAGGCTCAACATCTCCTTTAATTCTCACAACAAACCTTGCAGAAAGTTCCAGTGTCATCCCCATTTTACAGGTGGGGAAACTGAGGCTTGAGGTTTAGCTGGTGAGGTATCATGCCCAACACCAGCTGTGGAGTAAGTGATGAAGGTGGGATTTGCAAGCAGGGATGGCAGCTACATGACCAAGGCTCTCACCAAGGCAACGGAAGTGGAATCACCCCCAATCACTCCCCACCATTGAACACCGGCTGGATCCAACACAGTGCTCACCCCTGCAAGCCATCTCACTTGATCCTTACTACAAGCCCATGAGGTAGGTGAGCTACCATCATTCCCACTTTACAGATGAGGAAACTGAGATCCTGAGAGGCTAAAGGAACTTGCTCAACATCACCCAGCTGGCTGGTGGCAGCCCCAGCACTTGCACCCCCATGGGGTCTCAGAGCTCATGATCTACTCCGGTGCAAGATTTGCTCTCTGTGGCTTTATATTTCACATGCATTTTACTTCCTACTTAAGTTTGGCTGAGGGAAGCACACGGTACATTTCCACTGATGGGAAAGGCTGGGATGGACCCTTAATTTCGAAGAGGGCTTCCTCAATCGGATGTCAGTGTCAGCTTCCTGATATGCAGCTCCCTGACATGCAGCTCCCCAGACAAGGCTGTGATGTGAACACAAAACAGCGAACCCTCCAGGACAGGGACCATGACCTTTTTATGGCTCCTAATCAGTAAACCAATAAATGACATTTAATATTGATCAAATGCCTACTCTGTGCTAGGAACTCTGCCAGACAGTGGGGATGCAGAGATGAATGAATTGAACCTAGCTTCTAACCCCATGGAGGGCCTACTGGGCAAAAAGACGACTGGGCACATGGAGACCATGCAGGCTATGAAGGGAACATGTAAGGTGAGACAGTGGCTCATCGAGATCGTTCCACCCAGGAAGCCCCTCTGGGGAGGGGACATTTGAAGATGAGACCTGAGTAACAAGAGGACACAGACCAGGCTTCTTTCTTTTTGCATCTCCAATGCTAAGCACATGTCTGGCCCCAGGTGGGTCACCATCAACATCACCACCTCCATCACAGCTCCCATGCTGGTTGCTAGTGTGCGCCTTCTAACTATTTGCTTGTTCAGAGTATTTATGTCCATTTTACAGAGAGAAAACTGAGGCTCTGGGAGGCACTATGTGTCACCCACGGTCACTGGCAGAGCTGGTGTTTAAACTCATATCCAAGTGGTGCCAAAGCCAAGCTCCTCCCCCAACACATCCTGCTCATTTGCTGAATGATCACACTAAAGACAGTAAATTCCACAAGCCCCACTCCATCTGTCACCAGAGGGTGACATCATCCTACTACGGGTCTAGGGAGGTGGCAAGGTTACCTCTCTCATTTCCTTCCTGATCACTGAGGGCTACCAGGCACCGGGCTGCCCTCCAGGGTGTGGTCCTCCCACCTTGTCCTCAGGCGTGGGCACTAGAAGGTGCTGGAAGGTTCTGTTAGCACCGGCCCTCACCCAGGCCCTGGAAAGGCCACCGGCTACCCCTTGCCCTAGCTCCCTACCCTGCACCTCCAGCTCCACAGCTGAGGAGTCTTTGGGGCTGTCCCTGCAGGGGGGTGGTGGATCACCCCAGGGCTACCTGGTACAGGGTGCCCCACGCCACAGCTCCCGAATGTTCCAACAGGAAAACCAGCCATGCGT
This sequence comes from Homo sapiens, assembly GCF_000001405.40. Classification (NCBI taxonomy): domain Eukaryota; kingdom Metazoa; phylum Chordata; class Mammalia; order Primates; family Hominidae; genus Homo; species Homo sapiens. The sequence continues at coordinate 51,354,724 of NC_000020.11, read as the reverse complement.
TCCACCCCTGTGGCTCATAAATGTCACCCCTGGAGATTAGCTGAGCTCCATGCTCCTGAACTCGGCCTCTTTAAGGAGCATGAGGAAGGACTGAGTCACGGCCCCCAGCCCTTTCTAAATTGGACTCAAAATAAAAAAAATAAATGAGAGAAGGAAAGGGCATGATTGTTTTTGAGAGCAGAAAAATGAGCTTTCTTCGTGCTTGCACGCCTCCAGAGTGACCCAAGGGAGTGAGCTCAGAGCAGCTCCATGCAAACCCCCGTCAACTTCACCTTTAAGGTGAAGACGGGAGCCAAAGGAAATATTGTGATAGAGTCTAAGGTACTGCTGATGCCCGCCTGGCGACTTGATTCACTGAACTGAGTGCAAACAAATCTCACAGCTCCTTCCTCTCTGCAAATGTGGGTGTGGGAGGCAGGGCCTGGGCTCAGAGTCACCCCCGCTCCCGCCAAGCACAGCTCCGTGTCCCTGCTCATTGTGTCTCGTTTCTTTCTGTAGAGCACACAGGACTCGCTCCGGAACTTGCATGGCCCACTGCGAAAGGAAAATGCAGGGTCCCTGTTTGCAAAGCAGGACAAAAAGCGTCACTAAAGATACTAACGTAAACATTTTTCTTTTTGCTTTCTTCTGTGGGCCCTCTCTTGAGATGGTGTTTTTGTGCTTTTAAAAATTTGCTATTTATTATTGTTTGAAGCAAAAAAAAAAAAATTTAAATATTTTAAATTAAATTAAATATAAATGAATTTTTATATTATGCAATCCCAATTTCAAATAGAAGCCTATGAGCATGGAGCCCATCGGCAGCATCACTGAAACTTTAACATTCGTGTTTTGGAGCTTGCATATGGGTATATATGTTGTTCTTACCAGGGTAGTGGAAACGTTGCACAAAACTTTCTCAATTGTTTCTATTTCACTCCTTGAGACATGCACATTTATACCTACATTGCCTCTGGCTTACTGATGAATAAAGAAGGGTTGAAAGGAGAAGGAACCCTGGTCACCCTGTCTTTCCCCTTCTGGAAAAGTCATCGTGTGTAGCAATAAATGGTTGACCACTACAGGGAAGTCCCACATGTAAGAAAAGGTTCCTGGGCCATGCATGTTTTTTTCTGCCTTGACAGCAAGTGAATGGTTCTGAGAAAGAACATGGCTTTCAGAGCTGCCAGCGTCTCTTCCTACTCAGTCACACATGGGACGTTCACCTTGTATTTGCTCTAAGTCTCACTGAACTCACACAGAACTCTGAAATCGTGGGGCACAGTGAAAACAGTGTCCTGGGCTGGGCTTGATGGCTCATGCCTGTAATCCCAGCACTTTGGGAGGCTGAGGTGGGCGAATCACGAGGTCAAGAGATCGAGACCATCCTGCCCAACATGGCGAAGCCCTGTCTCTACTAAAAATACAAAAATTATCTGGGCGGGGTGGTGTGTGCCTGTAGTCCCAGCTACTTGAGAGGCTGAGGTAGGAGAATTGCTTGAAGCCGGGAGGCGGAGATTGCAGTGAGCCGAGATCAAGCCACTGCCCTCCAGCCTAGAGACAGAGCGAGACTCTGTCTCAAAAGAAAAATTAAAAACAAAAACAAAAACAAAAAAACGCACAAAAAAACAGTGTCCTGTGCCTGTGTTCTCTGCTCAGGCACACACTCCCTTGTCCTGTCAGACTCCACTCATAAAACCTAAGTTCAAAGATAAAATCATTAAGAATTTTAGGATAGCAAAAGCAGTGTATGAAACTAAGTTCAAAGTCCTTCTGAGCACGAGGCCCTGTGCAGTCGCACAAGTTGCACACGCGTAAATCTGATCCCGCTACAAACATGTTTATTTTTCTTACTCAAATAATGTATGTATATTATAGAAAAATTAGGACGCATAAAAGTGACAGTTACCACCGAGCCGTGACTACCATTAACATTGGCTCTCGGATGGGTGCAGTGGCTCATGCCTGTAATCCCAGCACTCTGGGAGGCCGAGGCAGGTAAATCACTTGAGCCCGGAAGTTCGAAACCAGCCTGGCCAATATGGCAAAACCCCATCTCTACAAAAAAATACAAAAAATTAGCCAGGCGTGGTGGTGGTGGGTGCCTGTAATCCCAGCTACTCAGGAGGCCGAGGCATGAGAATGGCTTGAACCAGGGAGGCAGAGGTTGTGGTGAGCCAAGATCCTGCCACTGCACTCCAGCCTAGACTACAGAGTGAGACTCTGTCTCAAAAAAAAAAAAAAAAAAAGTAAAGAAAAAAAGAAAAACATCGGCTGTGTAACTTTCGCGATGGTTCTTGAGGCCTCTGTCACAAGATCACTTCTCAAAATCCTTGATTGAATTCTCCAGTGGCTTCTTCAAACGCTCCTTACTGGGGGAACAGGCCCTGGTGATCCCCCTCCCATCCATGCCACCCTCCGTCCCCACCTCTTGTTCACCCCGCCCTAGGCACCAGGCTTTTCCTGATTCCATCTCTGGTTTTGTTTTGTTTTGTTTTGTTTTGTTTTTGAGACATAGTCTCATTCTGTCGCCCAGGCTGGAGTGCAGTGGCGTGATCTCAGCTCACTGCAAACTCCAGCTCCCAGGTTCAGGCAATTCTCCTGCCTCAGCCTCCCAAGTAGCTGGAATTATAGGGGTGCACCACCACACCCATGTAATTTTTGTATTTTTAGTAGAGATGGGGCTTCAACGTGTTGGCCAGGCTTGTCTCAAACTCCTGACCTCAGGTGATCCACCAGCCTCTCTCCCAAAGTGCTGGGATTATAGGTGGGAGCCACTGCATCTGGCTCCTGATTCCGTCTTTGTATCTGCAGTTCCCCATGCCTGGGATCGTCATCCACAAGCTCTTCCTGTAACTGCCTCTTCAGCTGCAGGCCCCAGCTCAAATGTCACCAACTCTAGGAGCCTTTTCTGACCTATCATTGCCTCCCTGTTATTCTTCTTCATCTGCGGGACCAATAACTCTCCCCAGGGCTGTGCCTGCTGCCCGTGGGCTTCAGACTGAGTTTCTGAAGCAATTATTGATGGGGGATTGGGCTATCATGAATGGCTTATAATGGAGTGGGCAAACTCCTGCCTGCTGGCCAAATGTGGCCCATGGCCTGGTTTTGTAAGTTTTATTGGAATCATTTTTGTATATAACCAATGGCTGCTTGTCTGCCTCAACAGCAGATGATTCATTGTGAGAGATACTGCATGGCCTGCAAAGCCTAAAATATTTACTATCTGGCCTTTTATATAAGAAGCGTGCTGGCTGGGTGCGGTGGCTCATGCCTGTAATCTGAGCACTTTGGGAGGCCGAGGTGGGTGGATTGCTTGAGCTCAGGAGTTGGAGACCAGCCTGGGCAACAGGGAAAAACCCCATCTATACCAAAAATACAAAAAATTAGCCCAGCGTGGTGGCTCATGCCTGTGGTCCTCAGGAGGCTGAGGTGGAAGGATCACTTGAACTCAGGAGGCAGAAGTTGCAGTGAGCTGAGATTGCATCACTCCAGCCTGGACGACAAAGTGAGACACCCATCTCAAAAAGAAAAAAAAAAAGTGTGCTGACTCGTTGCTTAGACTAGCTAGAGCCTACCCTCAGAGCAAAGGATGGGGTCAGCTTCTCTTGAGTCTCATGGCTGCCTCAGAAAGGGGCAGAAATCCAAAGAAAACTGAGTGTCCTGAGGAAGGAGGAAGAGGGAGTGAATGCTGACCAGTCAACCAACAGTCACAGTAAACACAAGTGTACAATCAACATAAAGCCAGCTCCACTTTAAGGCAGTGCTATGACTTACTTAGCAAATCCCATAAGATTTAACATCTAGATTGCTTCTAAATGTTTGCCATTGTAAATACAGTTGGCCCTTCGTATCCACAGGTTCTACAACCACAGATTCAACCAACCAATATTTGGTTGGTTTCAACTAACATTTGAAAATAGAAAAAAAAAACAGAAATAAAAAATAATACAAATAAAAAACAATACAGTATAACTATGTACATAGCATTTACATTATATTAGGTATTATAAGTAATCTAGAGATGATTTAAACTATTCAGGAGGATGTGCATAGGTTATATGTAAATTTTATATCAGGAAATTGAGCATCTTCAGATTTGGTATCCATGGGAGTCCTGGAACCAATCTGCCTCGGATACCAAGAGATGACGGCACTCCTGTAATATACATCTTATGCACGCATCTCTGGAACTGGCCATTTCCTTAGGCCCCACCCAATTTTTTTTTTCTTTTTTTACTTGGGGGCCTGAGCTATTCCTCCACAGCACTGATCTCCCATCATTTTCCAGGGTGGGTAGGGAGATGAAGTCTTGCCTTATTTTTCAAGATGAGTGCTAGGGTGCCTGTTGAGATGCTATGGGGGGACAGGCTGCAAGGAAGCCTGACATTCATGGAAGGGCCCTTGTGTTGGCTGTGGCAGCTTCATCTCACACTTGAAAGGCTAGCTTTATTGCTGCACTTTTGCACCAAGGAAATGGAGGCTCAGAGATATCCAGTCATTTGCCCTAGGTCACATAGCCAGCCAGTGGCAGAGCAGGGCATAGAATCCAACGTGCACTTCCCCACACTGTCATTCATCCTGGGCTGTGGGGGAGGGACACTGTTGCATTGCTGGATTGTCTGGGAGCTTGTGGGATAATTTTAGAGGGTTAAAAACATTCCGAACACAAAACTCCTCACGTACATGCTGGATGGTGCCGTGAGCTTCTTCACCAGGAGTTAGTTTCAACCTGCACTTGGAAAGAAAACTTTGTGCCTTTCCCGGGGAGAAGGAATCCGCTTCTCAAATCAAACTCATTCCTGCTAAGATACAAAGGACAGGTCAGAGCTGTTCTCCTAAAGGCTGCCCCAGAAAGGCAGCAGAGGGAAGGAACTAGGGAGAGCCCAAAGGCACTGGGGTGGGACAGAGACAGCCAGGTCCCAAAGACGCACGATCCCCTCTCCCCAGCGCAGTCTACAGGCCTCTGATGAGTTCTTTCTCCATCTATCCCCTGCTGGCCGGAGACTCTTTAATGAGTGGCCCTGGCAAAGCCACTTCAACTGCTGCCTCAGTTTCTCCTCCTTACAAATCCACTTTAAAAATTTGGTGGTACTCCCCACAGGATCTACAGGGCTGTGTTGGGGACCCAGCCTTGCCTACGGAGCTTGCCAAATGAAAGTCATCCAGGCTGCCTTCAGAGTTTAGTCTACATCCGGGTATCAGCTTTACTATGACTTATTTCTTTTCACTTACATAAACGTCCTTTAAAGGAAACTTAAAAATCATTACCATCAGTAATAAATTAATCCACCTGCCTCAGCCTCCCAGAGTGCTGGGATTACAGGCATGAGTCACCGCGCTACTTGGGGAGGCTGAGGCAGGAGAATTGCTTGAACCTAGGAAGCGGAGTTTACAGTGAGCTGAGATCACGCCACTGCACTCCAGCCTGGGTGACAGAGCTAGACTCCATCTAAAAATAAATAAATAAAAATAATAAATTAGCACCATTTTTCAAATAAAGAAGGCACCCATAAAAACATGTAACTATTATACTAAATGCTTTTCTCATGTACCCTTGCTGTCCGGTGTGGTCATGTGTCTAATTCTGGCATCTCCCTGTGCCTTGAAGGGCCACTCCCCATTTCCTGACTATAGCTTGCAGTGGGCAGGGACATGCCTTTCTTCTAGGCTGCTTTATCAGGATGAGGCTGGTTTTTTGTTCACCAACTGTTTTTTGTGTCTATATCTCACCAGGTTCAAAGCTTGAAGGATAGCGCGTTTCAAATTGCAACCACAAATACCATCGTCTTCCACCATGACTAGCCACCACCCCATGAAGGCAGCAGTCCTTACTCAGCCTAATTTTTTTTTTTTTTGGTAGAGACAGAGTCTTGCCAAGGCTGGAACGCAGTGCTGGGATATCGGCTCACTGCAACCTCCATCTCCCAGGTTCAAGCAATTCTCCTCCCTCAGCCTCCCAAGTAGCTGGGACTACAGGCGCCCACCACTATGCCCAGCTAATTTTCAGTATTTTAGTAGAGACAACAGGGCTTTGTCATGTTGCCCAGGGTGGTCTTGAACTCCTGAGCTCAGGCAGTCTGCCCACTTCGGCCTCCCAAAGTGCTGGGATAACAGGCGTGAGCCACTGTGCCTGGCCCCCACTCAGCCTAATATTAACAACATCAAAACAATTGATATTTATTTCTTGATTACTCCCTAATCCCTGGCTGATCACTTCCCATGCATGGTTTAGTTTAATCCTGAGAGGTAGTCATTAGTAACTCCATGCTGCAGATGAAGAAAATCAGGCACAGAGAGGTTAAGTAAGTTGCCCAAGTTCACACAGTTAGCAAGATTCAACTCAAGATTATCTGAGACCAACACTCTTCACAATGATGCTATTTTGCCTTCCCAAAATAGCAACAGCAACTATTTATGGGAAAGGACACAAATTTGGGGAGGTGAGATGATAGGTACCCGCTTCTCCAAGATGCAAAACTATCAAGGGGCAGCTCTCATCAGCTCATGAACCTTCCAACATGCTGACCTCTGAATCCAACTGTTATCCTCACCCCCAGGGCCATGGCTTACTCATGAGGCCATAGAAGAATGGCCACATTTGTCCATTCCTGATCCTGGCAGAGGCTTCTGTCTTTGGGAGAAGTGGTCAGGCTAAGGAGAGAGCTTCGTATTCTCCAACTTGGCAGGGACCTTTGGGATGGTCTGCTAGTCCCCATTCTCTCATTACATCTCAAATTCCATCACTGACTGGGTTCTGGGCCCTAAGGCTGTTTATCTAATTTGGGTGTCAGCCAATGACCACCCAGGAGCCAAATCTGGTCCACTGCAGGTTTTTGTACCACCCATGAACTAAAAATGGTTTTTACATTTTTAAGTAGTTGAAAAAAATAAAAAGAAGAGTAATATTTTATGACAGAAGCACATTATATGAATTCTTGACTGCCTCTGCTAATAGAATGTGGCAGAAGTGCCAGAATGATGTCTGAGGCTGCACAGCTTCTGCAGGTTTCTTTTGGGACACATGTCTTTGAATCCCTGAGCTGTGATGTCACAAACCCAGCCATCCTTAAACCACCATGCTGCACAGATCATGAAGAGGAATCACCCAGAGATGAAAAGAAATGCCTAAGGAGCTCTGGCTGTTTGAGCTCAGAGCCAGCAGCATCATCAACACCTGCCTCAGCATCTGTATCAGCACCAATACCTGCTTCAGCACCTGCATCAGCATCAACACCCGCTTCAACATCTGCATCAACATCTGCACCAGCATCACTACCAGCATCAGCATCACTACCAGCATCAGCATCTGCACTTGCATCAACACATTTTTCAGCACCTGCATCAACACCTGCTTCAACATCTGCATCAACATCTGCACAAGCATCACTACCATCAGCATCACTACCAGCATCAGCATCTGCACCTGCATCAACACCTTTTTCAGCACCTGCTTCAACATCTGCATCAACATCTGCACCAACACCAATACCTGCATCAGCATCAGCGCCTGCATCAGCATTACTACCAGCATCAGCATCTGCACCTGCACCAACACCTTTTTCAGCACCTGCATCAACACCTGCTTCAGCATCGGTACCTGCATCAGCATCAACACCTGCTTTAACATCAGCAGCTGCGTCAGATTAGTATCTGCATCAACACCTGCTTCAGCATTTGCACCAGCATCTGCATCATATCTGCCTCAGCATCAGCACCAGCACCTGCATCAGCATCTGCATCATTATCTGCATCAGCACCTGCCTCAGCATCAGCACCTGCATCAGCACGTGCATCACCATCTGCATCATGATCTGCATCACCATCGTCATTGGTATTGGCATCGGCATCATCTGTGAGTGAGTGAGCCTTCGGGGATTTTGGTTGCTAGCTTTTCTGCAAGCCACCCTAGCTGACACCACATAAAGTCAGACATAAGCTGTTCCTGCCAAGCCTTGCCCAGACTGCATATTTGTGAGATGAATAAACAATGGCTGTTTTTGAGCCCCTAAAGGTTAAATGATGCGTTCAAGGTTGCTAGCTCATAAGTGTCAGAGCTCTTCCTTGAACTCCAGCTCTGTCTGATTCCAAAACTCCAGCTCTGATTCCAAAGCCTCTGGCATTGCAGGACAAGGCTTAATGAGATGATGAGTGCCGAGTGCTCAATGAATGGGGCTGTAGTCATTGCTGTGGTCATTATTAATATTGTAATAAGTCATCCCAGGCCCCCCAACAATTTAGCGGTGAGTGGGTCTTCCATCTGGGCCCCCTGATTCTCAGCCCCGTGCTCTTCCCTCTCACTCCGTTATCGAAGAAAAGCGAGAGATGATTGCGGGCACTTCAGGCAGGGGCTGGCACATGGACAGCTCCATCAACGTGAGCTGCCATTATGGCTTGGCATGAGTTAACATAGAGACAGGGGCCTACCTGCCTCCTGGCCCTCTGACTTCTGCTTCTACCTGGCCTTGTCTCCACATGCCAACAAGATTTATTCTCATCGATGGATCCAGTGACTACTGGTTGCCACAAACCTAGGACCAGCCAAGACCCAGTTAGCAGCCCAGGGTCTTCCCCAAGAAGTAGACCTCACCCCAGCAAGGTCAGCTCACAGGATGAGATGCGTTTTTGCATTTGGTGGAGGCAGCCGACATCTACCAAGTACATGTTTCACTCCTAGGAGAGAACACTCTGGGACTCAGAGGCTGGAAGCTCTGCCAGCAGGAACCAGGCCCTGGAGCCTCTGTGACTCATCCTTTCCCCAAGGTCAATCGTTGTTTTGAAGGTCAACTGTCCTCAGAGCTCTGGAAGCCATGCCTTTAGTAGGTCAAGTTTGCAAGTACACCTCCTGGTTCCCTTTCCTTGTCTGCACCCCTCCACGGCCTTTATCTGAACTTCCCCCTAGTGTGTCCTGTGCTTTTATAAATAGTCCTGAGATGTTTCGTTTTAAATTCTGGAGAAGTCAGCCCTCATCTTTTCCCCACCCAGAGATGCCCTCGGGGCCATGGGTTAGTCACAGGCATCTGGAGTTACATAACCCAGGGCTGGTACCAAAGTGGGCGTCTGGCCGGGAGGCTCCTTCCCGGCCCATTCCAGTGTTGTGTGAGTCAGGCCTGTGCAGAAACACCCTTTGTCAATCTGCAGCACTGCCCCCAAAGAGTCAGGCTTCAGAGAAGGGTCTGAAGCGCCATGTGAGTCCACACTCTGGACCCTCAAGCTACAGGAGTGATGCCAATCATCAGGCCACCACGCCTCCAGCAGGCAGGAGCCTCCGAGGAGGGCAGTGTTCCAATAGCAATTCTGGACTCCATGCCATTCCCTGAGTGGGTTGGGATGATAGCTTATCATGAAGTGTGGCCCCCTCCAGGACACTGGCATCAGAACCCAGTGGAGATCTTGTTAAAAATGCATGTTTCCAAGTCCAAACCCAGACTTAGTAAGTCCGGCTCTCAGGATTGTACATTTTCAGTAAGTGGCCCTGGTGATTCTTAAGCAGTAAGTGTCAGAGCCAGGGGTCTAGGATGCTGAAGGTCTGGTGCAGCCACTAAGCACCTCCTAATTGCCCCTCAGTGAACACTTCTTAGGAGTCTACTGTGGGCCAGGCACTGCCCAGACCCTTGCGGAGTCAAAAAAGAAAACAAAACTTAAAAAATAAAACAACAAAAAATCAAATAAAAACAGAGAAAGCCCCACCTTTGTGCAAATCTAGAGATTGTGAGAGCCTTTCTCGGTGTTGGGAAAACACAGGACCAAAAGCAATCAAAGAATATGGTTATTTCAGAGAAGATTAAGTGCTGGGAGGAAAATGAGGCAGGATGATGGGGCACCGTGGGTGGCATGGGGACATTTTAGGCAATGGGGAAGGCAGGCCTATCTGAGGAAGGGGTGGAGGACAGAGACCTGAGCCTAGCAGTCAGGTGCAGGAAGAGGTGGGAGAAGGTCAGGCATGGGAGATGCTTCACCCACAGTGCCTTCTTGACCCTCACATCCCTGCACAGGAGTTATAGGGATTCCCCCATCCCCTTTGCACAAACTGCCTGCTCCTCCTATAGCCTCCATCTCAATTGGTGGCAACTCCGTCTTTCCAGCTTGTATCTGTTTCCTAATTAGGGCTGTGGGAACAAGGAACAACCCGGGTGGCTAAAAACAACAGAGATGCATCCTCTCCCAGTCCTGGAGGCCCAAGTCTGGTATCAATGTGTTGGCAGAGTGGGTCCCTCCTGGGGCCTCTGAAGGAGAACCCGTTCCTTGCCTCTCTCCAGCATGCCTTGTTGCTGGCAGCTCCTGGGGTTCCTTGGCTTGAAGCCGCATCACTCCAATCTCTGCCTCCATCTTCTCTTGGCCTTCCCCTCCGTGTGTCTCTGTGTCCTGTCCTTTTCTTATAAGGACACCTATCATTGGATTCCAGGGCCTCCCCACATCCAGGATAATCTTATCCTGAAATCCTTAACTTAGTTACATCTGCAAAGATTCCTTTTCCAAACAAGGTTGACTTTGCAGCTTCCAGGTGTTGTGACTTGGGGATATCTCTGGGGGGCTGCTAGCCAGCCCACTCTACCGTTGCTCAGGCCAAAACACTTGGAGTCACCTCTGATGCCATTCTCTCTCATCCTCCACCTCTAATCTATCAGTGTAACGGTCTGTCTTCATGCTGCTGACAAAGACATACCCAAGACTGGGCAATTTACAAAAGAGGTTTAATTGGACTTACAGTTCCACGTGGCTGGGGAGGCTTCATAATCATAGTGGAAAGCAAGGAGGAGCAAGTCACATCTTACATGGATGGCAGCAGGCAAAGGGAGAGATTGAGCAGGAAAACTGTTTTAAAGCCATCAGATGTCATGAGACTTATTCACTATCACAAGAACAGCACAGGAAACACCCACCACCATAATTCAGTCATCTCCCACTGGGTCCCTCCCATAATACATGGGAATTATGAGAGCTATAAGATGAGATTTGGGTGGGGACACAGCACTAAACCATATAAATCAGCAAATCCTATTGGCCCAGCTTCAAAATATACCAAAAATCCAACCACTGTTCCCCTTCTCTGCCATAACCCCTCTGATCCCACTGCCATCCTCTCCCACCTGGGCTATTGGAGTGCCCTGCTCTGTGGGCTCCCTGCCTCTACCCTGGCCCCCCTACAGTCCATTCTCCACCCAATAGCAGAGGGACCCTGTTAAAACCAAGTCATGTCATGTCTCTCCTCTGTTCAAAACTTTCAATAGCTTCTCATTTCAGTAGAGTAGAACCCAAGAACAAGAAGGGTCTGGTCTGTCCCCCAACCCCACGACTCCTCCTTCCTCCTCACCCTGCTCCAGCCATACTGGCCTCCTTGCTGGCCTTTGAACATACCAGACCTTCTCCCTCCAGGCATTTGTGCTTACTGCCTTTATGTTTCTGCCTTCAGGCCTTTATGCTTACTGTTACCTCTGCCTAGATTGCTCTCTCTGGAAGCATCCAAATGGTTTTTTCTCTCACCTCCTTCAATCCCTTCTCGATGAGGCCCGAAACACAAGAAATCTGGGTGAGGAAAGGCGTGGTCCAAATCTCCAACAATCTAAAATGTGGCATGGTTAAGAGCAGTTAAGGGAAGGTAAGATAAAGCATCCACTTGGTCGGTTGTTTGGACCATCCTCCTTCAAACGGCTTGGGTTTGGCAACTTGGACTTGCATTTGCTTCTCTCTCGGGCAGCCTCACCTCTTGGTTCTGCATGGAACACTATTTGCATAACCACAGGAGATTTCTGTTTTTTGTTTTCAACTTTAGAATCAACCTTTGCTTTCCTTTTAGTGGCGGTACAGGGTCTGAATATTATAATTCTCAGCATGGAAATTTCTCATATATATTAGTATTTATCTTATTCAATCCAGTTTTGCAAACTTGAGGGAGCACAATGTGCCTGGCATTGTATAAAACACCTTATAGGGATTAACTCATCCAAACCCCTGAAAACCCCAGAGGTAGGTACCAATGCTGCAGGTATGCAGACAGGCTAAAGAGGTTAGGGGACTTTCACAAAGCCACATAATTGCCACGTGGCAGAGCTGGGATTTCAACCCAAGCCTTTGACCTCAGAGCACACAGTCTTAACTACTGAGCTACACCATCATTGTTCCCTTCAAGCCAGGGCATCTCAGCCTTGACACTGTTAATATTTTGAGCCAGATAATTCTTTGTTGTGGGGGCCTGTCCTCTACACTGTAGGACGGGGTGTCCAGTTGTTTGGCTTCCCTGAGTCACACTGGAAGAAGAAGAATTGTCTTGGGCCATATGTAAAATACACTAACACTAAGGATAGCTGATGAGCTAAAAAAGAAATCACGAAAAAAATCACATAATTTTTTTTTTTTTGAGATGGATTTTCTCTCTTGTTGCCCAGGCTGGAGTGCAGTGGTGTGATCTCGGCTCACCGCAGCCTCCACCTCTGGGTTCAAGCGATTCTCCTGCCTCAGCCCGGCGCCCCTCCAACCCCCCACCACGCCTGACTAGCTGGCATTACAGACGTGCACCACCACACCCAGCTAATTTTGTATTTTTTTAGTGGAGACAGGGTTTCTCCATGTTGGTCAGGCTGGTCTTGAACTCCCGACCTCAGGTGATCTGCTTGCCTTGGCCTCCCAAAGTGCTGGGATTACAGGTGTGAGCCACCATGCCCGGCATGTTTTAAGAAAGTTTACAAATTTGTGTTGGGCCACATTCAAAGCTGTCCTGTGACACATGTGGCCCATGGGTTGTAGGTTGGACAAGTTTGCCATGGATGTTTAGCACCATTCCTGGCTTCTACCCACTAGATACCAGTAACACTCACACCCCCATCCCAGCTGTGACAACCAAAAATGTATCCAGATATTGCCTAATATCCCCGGGGTGGGAGCAGGGGGGTGGGGAATAGGCTCCAGTTGAAAAGCACTGCTTTGACCCAAGTTCTTTCCTCTGGGAAAGTCCCACTGATGCCTTCTTTCCTGTTGCTTATTAGGAAAGAGCTGCTGATCAACTCCACTATCTATACCTCTCCACCATGGGATGAACCCAACCATGAGAACAGCCAAGGCTGGGCTCCCGTGGGAGGAGACCCCACTTCCTCTGAGCCACCCTGCCCTGTAGCCGACCTCTAGTCTTGTAGAAAGAGCAGTGGGGGTTGGGAGTAAGATGAGAGAAGGAAGGCAAGTTGGATGATGGAATGGCTGACAGGTCGCTGATGCCCCCTGTTTCAAAGCAGAGCCTTGAACAGCTTTTCTGTGATGCAGGTGTGGTCAAGTTGGGCAGGTTGTGAGTGAGAAGGACAGAGGATGGAAAGGGTGTCCCCCAGATTCTCAACTTCAAAGTGTCACGAGGGTGCAGCTGGATCTGGGGTAGAGCTTGGAGAAACACTCCTGGGAACACAGGGAGATTGGTCCTTTGGCTTTGCCCAACCACATTTATGACAGGTTGAGTATCCCTTATGTGCGATGCTTTGGATCAGAAGAGTTTCAGATTTCAGATATTTTTGGATTTTGGAATATCTGCATATACATAATGAGATATCTTGGTGATGGCTCCCAAGTCAAAACAGGAAATTCATTTATGTTTCATATATACCTTATACACATAGCAGAGGTAATTGTATATTTCTAATAATTAATATTCTAATCATTATATATTTCTAATAATACACATACAGAGGTAATTTTATATTAGCAGAGGTAATTGTGTATTTCTAATAATTTTGTGCATGGAACAAAGTTTGTGTTAAGTACCCATGTGGAATTTTTCACTTGAGGCATTATGTCAGCGTTCAAAAAAGTTTCAGATTTTGAAGCATTTTCAATTTTTCAAATTTTCAGATTAGGGATTGTCAGCCTGTACCTAAAACCAATAAGTCACTTCTATCCCTAGATCGCAATCCCTTTGGAAGAAGGGATTTAGTCCCAAGTAATGAAGAGTCAGCTTCAGTGAATGATGGGAGAATCACCAGGGGACTCCTTGATGCCTAACACTGTGCTGGGTGCTCAGAACTCCTTCCTTCTAATTACACAGCATCTCTAAGGGTGATCTAGTCACACAGCATCTCTAAGGGTGATTGACACCACAGTGTCAGCCAATGTCCAAAGACTACATTTCCCAGCATCCCTTGCAGGAAGGCATGGCCATGTGCCTTTGGTTTGGTCTAAACTACTGACCCTGAGTCTTTGTTTCTTGGGACTAACTCCCTTTCTTCCAGAGAGGCTGTGATCTAGGGATACAAGTAACTTATTTGTATTAGGTACAGACTGAGCATCTCTACTCTGAAAATTTGAAAAATTGAAAATGCTCTAAAACTTTAATGAGGTATGAGAGGAAGGCTCTGTAAAAAGGAGGCTAGGAGGGTCCTCTGGCTCTTCAGTTTATTCTGGCTGCTGGCCTAGAATGTGGATGAGATAGCTGGAGCTGCAGCAGCTACCCTGAATTGTGAGATAGCCTTGAGAATAGAGGTCACATACTGAGGTTGGCAGAACAGAAGGATAGTTGTCTAGATCTCTGATGACAGTTTTATGTGAGAGAATAATAAACTTCTATCTTATTTAGGCCATATTTTTTTCTATTCTATTTAGTGAAACCTAATTCTAACAGATGTGACTGGGTATAAATGGAAATCTGAAATGGTACTCTTCCTCTGAAATTTTTTACAAAGGCAGTCCTACAAATTTTGATATTTAGACCTCACTGAAGGTCAAAGCTGTCCTAATGGCACACTTGGGATGCAGCAAAGGAAACAGGCTTTGTATGGCTGTGTAGATAACACTAATTGCAGCAATTGTGAGTGACAAAGGAAATTGCTTCTTGGCTGGGGGTGGGAATGGGGAAAAAGTGGGGGCGGTGTGAGCTTGAAATGTATCCCACAGGCACGGACAAAACTTGTGTTTATGGTATTAGCACAATTAGATGTGGGTCAGTGGCCACAGCTGGAGTTTGTAAATAGCCTTTTGAGTAACTGTACATTTTTTTCTGGCTTGATCAAAATGAAACATCATTTAAAACAGCTCCATTGCCAACTGTCAGCTCTGCCAGGGCTTGGGAGGCACCCTCGGTCACATCAGGCTAGCTATAATTGGCTTTGAAGTTTGTATATGTGAAGTGTCTTGAGGATCGTAGGCTATAGAACTTGGGTGGAGGTATAGAAACTGACAGAGCTCATTGTTTACGAATATGGGTTCTGAGCCTTCACTGTAAAATCATCAAGCAGCCATGAAACAGCTTTTGCTGAATGAACCTGAAAACAGGTAACTCAAGAGGTGTGGCTCCTCCTTGTGCCATCTAGAAAGAGTGAGGTCTTCTTAAGAGGAGATGATTGAGAACCATATCCTTCTAGGCCTTATGGGTCAGTGGTTAGGATCAATTATGTGCTAGATGAGCCAGCTTCAAGTCCCTGCTCTATCATTGACCAGCCAGGTTGCCCCAGCTAAGTTACTTCACTTCTCTGTGCCTCAGTGTCCTCATCTATAAAACAGGTACAATATTAGTACCTTGCTCATACTGATAAAGTGCTAAGAACAATGCCTGGCTCACAGATGTGCAATATATGTACACTACCATTCCTACTGTCAGAGGCGTTTGCACCAGAGTGACTCCATCTTGAATAGGGGCCGGGTAAAATAAGGCTGAGACCTACTAGGCTGCATTCCCAGGAGGTTAGGCATTCTTAGTCATAGGATGAGATAGGAGGTCAGCAGGATTGGTATCACAAGACACAGGTCACAAATACTCTGCTGATAAAACAGGATGTGGTAAAGAAGCCAGCCAAAACCCACCCAAGCCAAGATGGCAGCCAAAACCCACCTAAACCAAGATGGTGATGAAAGTGACCTCTGGTTGTTCTCACTGCTCGATATATGCTAATTATAATGCATTAGCATGCTAAAAGACACTCCCACCAGCTCCATGACAGTTTACAAATGCCATAGCAACACCTGGAAGTTGCCTTATATGGTCTAAAACCGGGAAGAACCCTCAGTTCCAAGAAATCCACCCCGCCTTCCAGAAAACTCATGAATAATCCACCCCTTGTTTAGTGTGTAATCAAGAAATAACTATAAGTATACTCAGCCAACCAGCCCGTGCTGCTGCTCTGCCTATGGAGCAGCCATTCTTTATTCCTTTAATTTCCTAATACATTTGTTTTCACTTTACTCTCTGGATTCACCCCGAATTCTTTCTTGCACAAGATCCGAGGACTCTCTCATGGGGTCTGGATCGGACCCCTTTCCAGAAACATCACTGTTACTACTATTATTCCACAGTTTCTATTTGAAGTTAATCTTCCAGAAAAGAGTTGTTTTAAATTTCATGACATTTAGTTTGCTTTTGTTATATTTATTCCATTAAAAATTGAACAAGAAGAAAGTTTAGAAAGTTATTTTCACTTCATGTTCTTATTTTACAGCAGATAACATTAGAAGAAGTTTAGAAGTATCCAACAAAATGGATTTAAATTATTTAAACAACTCAACAAAAGAGTGAGGCTTATCCACACTTCTCACTTAAAATAGAAATAGGTTGTTTATAGGCAGGTTCTATCATGAGTATGCTTTATTATTAAACCAGTTTCAGGAGTTTGTCCCCAAATTTAGGTACGTTTTATTTGGAGAGAGGGGATCCCAGGGGGTATTTTGCTCTAAGGAAGGGCCAAAAAGTCATGGCAAGGGAGACCTTTTCCTCTCAGCCATTAGAGATGAGGGGGTGGGAGGTGCTGTCTGTGGTTAATATCCAGGACGCAGTGGGTATTGAGGAGGTTCCTGGGCCTGGCCGGGCACTACCCTCCCTGAAGCCTTCTATCCTTTGGCAATGCCCCTTGCACAGGAGTTCCCCATGCTGACACCTGCTCATCAAGAAATGCTGGCTGGCTGACAGCATCAAAAACAAACATTTGGTTAAGTTGGAAGGACTTTAGCTCTTGGGTTTTATGCTCAAAAAGAAGGGCTAGGGGGCCTCTAATGTTTGGGCTGCTACTTCTGGTAAATTGCTCTGATCTTCTTTTGTGGGGACACTCCTCTTCCGTTCTCACTCTAGATTGTTTCCATGAGGTTGCCCCTGTTCCAGATCAGAGGGCAGGTACACGACCAAGGCCTGGCCAATCAAAACACCACTTCCCCTTGTCTACAGGGATTTGTTCAGGAATGGGCACATGACCTGAGATGGGCCAACCAGAGTTGACCTCAGGATTTCTGCTGGAACTCTTGGGAAAGACATGCTCTCTTTCAGCTGAGGTTCTAGACTTGCCAAATGTGAGTCCAGAGTTGTCACTGGGGGTAGGGTGGGGAGGTTTAGCCAGTGCTTGGAAAGAGCTCACCTGAGGATGTAGCCAAGGTAGAGGAAATTAGCATGTGAGATCAAGGGAGAGAGATTCCTGGAAACATCACTTCCTGAATCCATCCACACCTTGACTTTCTGTGGTACGTGCCAGTTCATTTCCTTTTCTTGGCTTAGTCCCATTTCAGTAGATTTTCTCTTTCTTGTGACTAAAAAGTTCTTGACTCATCCAGGTGGAAAGCTGAGGCCTTAGCCACATTTCTGTACCTGGGAACTGGCCATAGTTAAGAAGAATTGATATCAGAAGGAAAGAAAACCATACAAGGAGTCAAAGGCAACTGGGGACCTGTGGAAGCCACCAATGTGCCTGAACACGCCCACCATGCGGGTTCATCATAAGAGCCCTGAAGGGCCTGCTGTGGGGCCTGGAGCTGCATTTGTGTCCTCCCCAGTGCTGGAATGGGCTATTCCCAATTGTGCCCATTTTCTATACAAGTCCTTTTGTCACTATCCTTCTAATTCCTTCTAGAAGGTCTATTGCACTGTGCTAGACACCGGAAAACAATGAGAGCTGGCACAGGTGGCAGAGATGGAACCAAGGCTGTTTCTGTGGACTCATGGTGAGGGAGGGAAGAGTGAATGAATGAATGAATGAATGAATGTCGCTAACATTTATTGAGCACTTACTGTTCCAGGAGCTGTATACCTGTCCCCTATCAGATCCTCATCATTCTACAAGGTGGTTCTTATGAAAACACCCATTTCACATATGAAGAAACTGAGGCACAGAGAGATGACCTTGTCCAAGGGCACATACTTAGCCAACAGCAGATCTGAATACTTGTAACCACCCCCAAACTGGTGTAAACTCACAAAGCCCCAACACCATGCCAAGCGCTGTGCCAGATATAAGGAAAATAATTCCATGCATAAACACTGTCTCTGTCCTCATAGCACTTTTCATCATCTGAAATTATCTTAGGAAATATTACTAATTTGTATACTGGTGTTTAAAATCTGCCTTCTCTACCAGAATGTTAGTTCCATAAGGGGAGGAACCTCACCAGTCTCATTCACAGTTTTATCTTTAGGGCCTAACAGAACCTGGCACATAGATGCTCAGAATTTGCTCCATAAACAAACAAGTTAATCTAAAACAGAGTTTCTCAATCCCAGTACTATTTATTTATTTATTTATTTATTTATTTATTTATTTTTGAGACAGAGTTTCGCTCTTGTCACCCAGGCTGGAGTGCAGTGGCATGATCTTGGCTCACTGCAACCTGCACCTCCCAGGTTCAAAAGATTCTCCCATCTCAGCCTCCTGAGTAGCTGGGATTACAGACACCCACCACCACGCCCAACTAATTTTTTTTTTTTTTTGTATTTTCAGTAAAGATGAGATTTCGCCATTTTGGCCAGGCTGGTCTTGAACTCCTGACCTCAGGTGATCCACCCGCCTCGGCCTCCCAAAGTGCTGGGATTACAGGCATGAGCCACCGTGCCCAGGCAACCTCAGCACTGTTGATACCGATCTTTGTTTTGTGGCTATCCTGTCCATTATAGGATGTTTAGCTGCATCCCTGGCCCCTACTCTGACAGTGCCACCCCCAAACCTCCCCCAGTTGTAACAGCTGGAAGGGACAAATCACTCCCAGGTGAGAACCACTGGTCTGATGTGTTAGAATGACACTGTGGATAATTCACATCACCCCCGGGGATTCAGGAGCTTAACAAGCTTAGCAACATCAAAGTGCCTGACATAGCACATATTTGACACATAGAATCGTCAGCACCTATGTCAAGATCCTGAAATATCTGTGATGTGAATGACTGCGATTAGGCCTGGAAACTAAGAAATGACTCCAGCCCACAAATATGTTACGGTTCCCCCCATCAGCACTCAAAACCCTGAAATCTATACATCCGTAGTGGCGAGACAGAACATTCAGACCCTGAATGATGTCAAGATGCAACTGGGCCTGAGTCATCCTGAGAAGCATCCGATTTCAGAGGTTCTGCTGGTTTGAGCAGAGGCCATTTCTCAGGAGGGCGCCATTTGCAGTTGGCAGCAAAAACATAATGCAATTTGTCTTTGCCACAACTGGCAAAAGTGAGTTTTCAGCAAGATGGTTCTTATTTCCTTTGAGTGGCTTATTTCTTCCCACAGATAGAACTAGAAAAAAAATTTCTAAAAGTGAACACTTCTCCTGGTGGTCTCAGAGCCCCCAGACTGCAACTTCCCCAATGTTTTAATATAAAAATCACGTATGTGAAAATCACATCTAGCATCTGTGGCATGTATTACATATAAATCACAGATAGTAATTGTGCCCATGGGTGTATAAATCTTTTTGCTTGTTCCAAGTGTCTTCATGCATTATCTAGTTTAATTTTTGCAATAGCCCTGCTAGGCAGGTTTTACTAACCGTACTTCACAGATGAGGAGACTAATGCACGGAGAAGAGAAGTGACCTGCTCAAAGTGTCCACTGTTCCTCATGTTTTCCATCACCAAAAGCAGCACCACCATCCACGTGGTCACCCCGACCACAAATGGAGCTGTCCCTTGACATCCCCACTCCCTCAGCCCTCATGTCCTGTCTATGGGCAGGTCCTGTGGCTCTGCCTCTGGTAGACCACTCAGGTCTGGTCACGTGTCTCCTCTCCCCCATGGCCATCCTGGTCCCTGCCATCTGTCACCGGCAGAACAGTCCCCTCCCCTGGTTTTGCCTCTCGTCTCTGGCTCCTCTGTCCAGGCCATGCTCGCGGGTAGCCTGTCCTTCTGTCCTCCTGCTGAAATGTGAACTGAGGCTCTGTGGCCCCAGGACCAAGTCCAGGCTCCGTGAGGAGGCCCGCAGCCTTGCCCACCTGCCCTGAGCTCTCTTTTCAGGATCCTCCCGTTGCCACTCACCTCCCTTGACCACACGTTTCCTACACATTTATTGGGCACCTACCGCATGCCCACCCTTCACATTCTAGGCACTGGGGATATGGCAGTTGGTGAATGAGGCCGCGTTTCTGCCCTTACAGAGTGGTATTTGCAGCTTGCGCTCTAACCCAGCTAGATCCCTGTGGTTCTGCTGGGGGCCCATTCTCAGTTCCTTCTGGGCCTCTGCACTGCTGTTCCCAAGTCCAGCATGGCCTCTCCTCCTTCCTTCTCTTCCCTCCTGACACATGACTGATCCCTACCCTTCCGTATTCGTTATCTGTTGCTGTGTGGCACATCTCTCCGAATGTAGTGCCTTAAAACCACATTTATTATCGCACTGCATCGATAGGTCAGGAATCCGGGAGCGGCTTCACTGAGTCCTCTGGCTCCAGGCGTCTCCCAGGGTCATAGGCATCTCAAGGCTTGACTGAGAAGGGCCCCAGCTCGCTGTTGACAGTGGGCTGTTGGCAGGAGTCAGTTCCTCGTGGGTCCTTGGACTGAGGACCTCGGTTCCTCCCAAGTTATCGGCTGGAAGTCTTCCTTAGCTCCCGCCACGTGGCCCCTCCATGGTACCATCTAATGACATGGCAGGCAGCAGAGCACGCAAGCGGACAGGGTAAGAGAGAGGGCAGCAAGGCAAAGTCACAAGGTTTGGAACCTAATCTTGGAAGTGACAGCCCATTATTTTGCTGTATTTTATTCTTCAGAAGCAAGTCACCAGGTGCAGGCCACACACTAAGATGGGGGTTACACAAGAGTGTGAGGACCACAAGGTGGGCAGGGACCTCTAGGGGCCATGGCTGAAGCAGCCTACCATATCTTCTTTCAGTATTAAGTATCAGTGTCTCCTCCTCCAGGAAGCCTTCCCTAGCTCCCGGGAAGGAGCTCCTTTTTGAGCTCACACAGCTTGGGAATCCTCCTGTCAACACTAGGGCCACTACTGCGTGTGGGTCCTGTTGGGGAGACCATTTACCTCACCAGACCAGAGCTCTACGAGGCCAGGGGCCCTGCCTTATTGGTTTATTCTTCATGATATTCCCAGCCCCTACCAGCACTGAGCACACAAGGGTCCTTGATATTTAATTTAATATTTTGTCATTAGCTGAAAAGTAGTGACATATATTGGTTCCATATTCTTTATTTTATAGACACGTAGAATATTAGACTGTGCAGAATTTAAAACAAGAATAATCCTCACAGATCATCTAAGACTGAGATTGAATTTATTTTATTTTAACAGCAGAATCCTGCCTGAATTCAAATTCCTGTTCCCTCCCCATACTGGTGGTGGAACCTTAGGCAGGTTACTTCTCCCATCCACCCAGTTTCCTCATCTGTGTAATAGGGATTATAGCTGACATTTATTGAGCACTTACTGTGTGCCAGGTATGATCCTAAGCACTTTATGTCTATAATGTCCTTTAATCCTCTAAATCACCTGATGAGAGGGACATCACTGCTGCTGTTCCCATTTCAGAAAGAAGGACAGTGGGCACAGAAAGGCAAGGATTCAAATCCAAGTAGCTGGGTCCAGAGCCCCCTACCTTACAATGGTAAGGGTTAAATGTGATGGCGTGAACACAGTTCTTAGCTCAGCAATCAGCATACGGGAAAGACTCAGTGAACATTGCTATATAAGTTTAACTTTCACTGAATACAAAAGAAACCTAAATACAGCTTTAAAAAGGAGGGGCAGGGGCCAGGCACGGTGGCTCACACCTGTAATCCCAGCACCTTGGGAGGCCGAGGTGGGTGGATCATCTGAAGCCGGGAGTTCAAGACCAGCCTGGCCAACATGGTGAAATCCTGTCTCTACTAAAATACAAAATTAGCCAGGTGTGGTGGCAGGTGCCTGTAATCCCAGCTACTTGGGGGGCTGAGGCAGGAGAATCACTTGAACTTGGGAGGCGGAGGTTGAGGAGAGCTGACATTGTGCCATTGCACTCCAGCCTGGGCAACAAGAGTGAAACTCCATCTCAAAAAAAAAAAAAAAAAAGAGGGGCTACATCAATGACAGACTGGATAAAGAAAATCTGGTACATATACACCATGGAATACTATGCAGCCATAAAAGAGAATGAGATCATGTCCTTTGCAGGGACATGTGTGGAGCTGGAAGCCATTATCTTCAGCAAACTAACACAGGAACAGAAAACCAAATACCTCATATTCTCACTTGTAAGTGGGAGCTGAACAATGAGAACATATGGATACAGGGAGGGGAACAACACTCACTGGGGCCTGATGGGGGATAGTGGGGGTGGGAGAGCATTAGGGAAAAGAGCTAATACATGCTGGGCTTAGTATCTAGGTGATGGGTTGATGGGTGCAGCAAACCACCATGGCACATGTTTACCTATGTAACAAACCTGTATGTACATCCCGCACATGTATCTTGGAACTTATAAAATAAAATAAAATAAAATAAAATAAAATAAAATAAAATAAAATAACCAAATTATTCTCACAAAGCCTCAGTTTTTCCACTTGGAAAATGGAAATAATAATGGCACCCCTATAAGATTATCAGGAAGATTACATGTGACTGTATTGGTCCAGCACCTGACACTCAGAACATATTCAATAAGAATCACCTAGTATTGCTTTCATAACCTGTAGAGAAAAAGCAGTAACATCTAACATCTGGGCCTCGGACGTCTCAAAAGTGCTCTATTGACTTTTTCTTTTAAACCAATGTACCGAATCCCACTCGGTTGGCAGGAGGCCACGGGCGGATTTGGGGCGGCACAGAGCACAGCCGAGTGCCAGGGTGTACCCCGCCGCAGCATTTTTCCAAGGCTCTGCCTGGCTGGCCCTGCTCGCAGTGGGAGCTGTGGTCCCCGCAGAACGGCGCGTCCTGGGCAGGCTGCGCGCGGGTGATTCATGCATTCATGCATATCTGTGGGAAGCTGGGAACCAAGCTGGTGAGCTCGGCTGCCAAGTAGGCCTTGCTGGCCCTGCTTTCCCCTGGGGCTGGGCAACCCCAGGCTCCTTCGTGACTCCTCAGAATCTCGGACACCCCCTGAATTCCACCCTGGTGGGCCATTTGTGGTCTGTGCCCCATCCAGGGCCTGAAAGAGGTGCACCAACCTCCTACATGGATTCCACAGATCCTGATTCAGACAGCGAGCACCCCGGACTATAACGATACCTGGGGGAAATAGACAGAGTCTGCGCACCACCGAATTCCAGCTGGTGGACTTCAGACCCGGGTTTGAAGCCTGGCTCTGCCACATCCTGATCATGTGGACTTAGGTAAGAAATATAAGCTCTGTGAGCCTCAGTTTCCTCATCCGGCAAGTGAGGAGGGCCACAGTGTCTACCCTGTTTGGTGAGGACTGAAGATGGCAGTGCTGGGAGGGGCCGTGCCTGGCACCAAGATGTGTCCGGGACCATGAGCTACTGTGACCAGCATCTCATCACAGGGTTTCTGTATCTCAGGGTCCAGCCCCTTACCTCTCTGGCCTCATCTTTTGCCATCTGTGTCCTTCACCTGTCCTGACCACACCAGCCTCTTTGCTGATCCCTTGACACACTCAAGCTCCTGCCTCCCAGCCTCTGATCTGCTCATCCCTCTGCCTGGAAGACCCTTCCACATGGTTCACTCATCTCCTTCCAGTCTTTAATTGCCTGTCACCTTCTCAGTGAGATCTTCCCTGACCACCTTACTTAAAGTTGCAATCCCCTCCCTCACCAGTCCCCTTCCCTGTTTGGTTTTCCTCCAGAGCTCTTATCCACCACCTGGCAGGCTGTATATTTTGCTCATTTTTGGCCCATCACTCCCCAGGTATTAGTTTTCTTTTGCTGCATAATGAGTTGCTCTAAAAACATAGTAACTTAGAACAACAAATATTGATTACCTTACAGTTTCTGGGAGTCAGGAGTTTGGGAATCAGCTGGGATTGAGTCATCTGAGGGCTCAACTGGGCCTGGAGGGGCTGGTTGCAAGACGACTGCCTCATAGGGCTGCTGGTGCGAGGCCTCAGTTCCTCACTACGTGAACTTTGCCATAAGATTGCTTGAGGCTTCACAGCATGGCAGCAGGCCTCCCCCAGAGTGAGTGACTCAGTTTTACCACTTGGAAAATGGGAATAAGAAAGGCACCCCATAAGACTGTCATGAAGATTAAATGTGACAAAACAATGTAACATATTGGTATAGTACCTGGCATTCAATACATGTCCTCGAGAGAGAGCAAGGTGGAAAGCACGTTGTGTATATGATCTTGCTGCAGAAGTCACTGCCATGCCATCATCTATCTATCATCTATCTAATCAATCAATCTATCTATCCATCCGTCTATACATCTATCCACCATCTATCTACTATCTACCTATCATCTATCTACCAACTGACCTATCATCTGTCATTTATTTATTATCTGTCTATTATCTACTATCTGTCTATCTATCTATTTATCATCTATCTAATCAATCCATCCATCGATCCATCCATTTATCCATCTGTCTATACATCTATCCACCATCTACCTATTATCTACCTATCATCTATCTACCTATCATCTGTCTATCATCTATTTATCATCTGTCTATTATCTATCTACCATCTGTCTATCATCTGTCTACCCATCTGTCATTTATTTATCTATCTATCTATCCATCCATCATCTACCTATCATTTATCTATCTACTTATCATCTGTCTATCATCTATCTATTCATCTGTCTATATATCCATCCACCCACCGACCCACCCATCCAGCCATCCAGCTATCCATATTGGGTGACACAAGTCATCCCTATTCAGTATGGTTGTGAGTACCAGGAGGCAGGGATCCCTGGGGCTCTCTTGGAAGCTCACTCCCACAGCCAACCAGAATATAAGTTTCATGGGAATAGGGCTATGTCTGTTTTGTTCACTGCTATATCCTCAGCTTCTAGAACAATGCTGAGTACCTAATAGATTCTTAATCTAGTTTGTTGAATGAATGAACCAGACAAGGTGAAACTTAACCAGTGAAAGCAGCACATGCAGGTCTCTCTGAAGACAGACAGAGCACAACCTCTTCAACAGTGGTTCTATGAAGAACTCCAAGCATTTGCTACAACATCAGGGGAAATGAAAGAAGAGGGAGCAGCTTCTGTACACAAAGCCACTTCTTCATAGTAGTCCCAGAATGTTCTGGTATGCGGGAGAGATGTGGCAGTTTGTGTTGGAAAGGACAATGGATTTGAAGGTGGGCACAGAGCACGCGGCTGCAGTGCACCCACGTGGACACCCTTCTGCGGGCTCACCTGGTTGGTGTGGGCATGAGAAGATCAGGCACCTAACCCTGGCTTGGCACTTAAATCAATAAAGTTTAGTTTGTTATACTTAAGCAGGCGTGATCACACCCACTCTGCCTAGTACCCAGGAATATAGTAAATTCATTAATTCACATCACTCATTTACTCATAACTCTTGACTTCATGGAGTTCACAAGTTAGTGAAAGACTCAAATGGATTGATACATTCTGAAAATAGTGCCACACAATGTGTTGTGCTGTTGTTATGTGCCTTGATGAATTGCTGTTTCGTTTATTGAGCACCTACTGTGTGCGGCCACTGTGCTAAATCTTATATGTATCAGCTGTATGCAGTAGGTGCTCTTAATCCTCTTTTTACAAGTGAAGCTATGCAATCTCAGAGAGGTTAAGCAACTTGTCCTAGGCCACCCAGCTAGTAATTTGGATCTAGGTTTTGTGACCTCGGAGCCTTTCCTACTATGTGGTAACTTTTTGCTTAGGGACGTTTTAAATATCTACATTTAAACTGACAGTGGGAGTAATATTTCTAATAAAAGCCCTAGTCAATTCACTTACTGCCATTTGCCTTTTAATGTAATAATTGTGGTGGATTTGGATCATGTCAACTCAGCTAAGTTGGAATTCTCAGAATTCCCTTCCCTGCATTGTTTCTGGTTAGCATAGACCAAAAGACATTTTGAGTGAGACCCGGGAGGGGGAAGCGAAGTGGCAGGTAGACTGCTGCCATGCTTGGAAGGTGGGCATGGAGCACGCGGCTGCAGTGCACCCACGTGGACACCCTTCTGTGGGCTCGCCTGGTTGGTGTGGGCAGCAGCTAAGCCTGCAGCTTCCAGTCCCTGTGGATCCTCCTTAGTGTCTCTGAATCCTGGCAGAGGCCTGTTTAGTTCCGGGATGAAGAATGCCACCTTTTCCTGCAGATCACCTGAGTGAGTAATCACAGATGGCTGCTTGGAGGTGGCAAGAGATGGACGGGGGGTTTCCAGTCTGTCATCCCGGGTTCCAGCTTGTCCTGGTGGCTCCAGTTTGTCGTCACTCCCTCCCACTTCCCATCCATCCTTCCTTCTTGGTGGCTGCCCTGCTGACTTGAGGATCCAGCGTCAAATTCAAAGAAGCAGCCCCATGTAGACTGGTGAACCAGCTCCCCAAGTTGCATAAGGTAAATCTCTACGATAAATCCCTCCAGTTGATTCTGCTGTGGTCAAACCCTGATACAACAATTTAAGCCTGAATCTCATTTCGTGTACTTTAATATATAATAACTCAAGCCTGTCTTCATTCCTCCATTGTTTTCAAATATTTAAAGCAAATACCTATGAGTATGTGAGGGATACCTATGTCTGCCACACATCATGGTTAAAACTCTGTTTGAAGATTTTAAAAAGCACCTTGGCAATGCCTGGCAGGTCTGTCTGGAAAGGAGCAGAGAGGCCAGGGTGGGAGGGAATCCCCCTGCCTTCGACCCAGACGCCTTGGTTCTCCCAAATCACTTGATAGATTTTCCCCAGACCTGTCCCTGAGGCCCTGGACTTGGCTGTGGCTTTGAGGGCGGGAACGCCTCCGAGCTGGCCGCTGGGGAACGCGGACTGTCTAGTGGAAAATCCTGATGCCAACTAGAGCTCTGTGTCGTAGGCACACGGCTAGACTGGAGGGACGCGCCCACACGATAGGAAGTGATGTGTCTTGCTGGACAATGCCAGCAGATACTATTTGATATTTATAAACTTTTCCAGACTCTCAGAGCAGAAGATGAGCAGCTTCATTTTTACAACCACAAATAGTACATTCCTAAGCTTGTACGTGTGTGTATACATATATGCATTAGAATGACTGAGTGTAACTCACAAAAGAAGAAAAAACAATGAAGCAAATCCATGACTGAGTTTCCATTGGCCTAAAGGAGAATACAATAATTCATAAATACCTCTCCATTTATACAAAGGAAGAAATGCGGTCAGGCACGGTGGCTCAGGCCCCTAATCTCAGCACTTTGGGAGTGCCGAGGTGGGAGGATCACTTGAGCCTGGGAGTTCATGACCAGCCTGGGCAACACAGCAAGACCCTATCTCTACAAAACTTTTAAAAATCAGCCAGGCATGGTGGTGTGCGCCTGTAGTCTCACCTATTTGGGAGGCTGAGGTGGGAGGATCGCTGGAGCCTGGGAGGTCAAGGTTGCAGTGAGCCATGATCAAGCCTCTGCACACCAGCCTGGGTGACAGAGTGAGATCTTGTCTCAAAATAAAATAATAAAATAAAATAAAATAAAGAAACAGCAATGAACAAATGGAGGTCTGTGAACTTCCATTTATCCAAAGGAAGAAAGAACATTTCACAGAACCAGAAACATTCACAAAATCTTCTCTTTTACAAAGGTGGAAAGACTAGCCTCAACTGTTTACCCCAGGAGGTCAGAAAACTATGACCCACAACTGGCTGTTTTGGTAAATAAAGCTGTATTGGAACACAACCATGGTCACTCTCTTACTTATTGTCTATACTGCTTTCATGCTACAACAGCCAAGTTCATTAGCTGAGACAGGGATGTATGGCCCACAAAGCCTCACATATTTATTATGCAGCCCTTTAGTAAAAGTTTATGGACTTCTGGTTTATTCCATAACCTTTGGGACCACTGAAGCATCCTCCCTATTGCTTTCACATTTTCTTGAATAAATTGAGCCCCTTACACCTTCAGCAGCAGGAAGTCTAATACTTCCTCTTGAGCACCTCACTTTCTCACCACTCCCATTATCCAAGAATCCTGGGATTTACATGGTCCAAAGAGGATCAGTCCTATTTCCAAACAACAGAAACCTACACTAAAGCCATCAGGTCTCATGGCCACCAGGGGTCACTGTTAAGCACAGGCTGTCCTCTGAGCTCAAGATCCACTGCTCCCCAACACAACGCTGGGACTGCTGGGGCCTGACAAGATTCCAGCTCAGCCAGTAGCCCTGTTAGAAGCAGTCCCCTGTGAACCTCATTAAGGCGCTCAAGCTTTGGCCAGGTGCTCCCACCCTCTTGATGATTTCTTGTTCTGGATCCGTCCCCAGCCACGTGGGTTTCCTGTCTTTCTCCAGTAGATGTTAGGTGAGAGCCCCAGAGTCCACTCTGATGGCTTTTCCCAACTTCAGGTCATGGGGAGCAATGATGGATATCTCAGTTCCTTCCTTCCCTAGAGAACCTGGCTCCACATGCAAACGGATGCAGCTCCCCCAACCCCATCCCCAGCAGCTAGGTCTTTCTGGTGAGAGACGTGCTTTGGTCAGGTTACAGGAGTTCTTTTACAACCACCCTCAAGAAATGTCCCCTGTTCGCATTAACTAAGAAAGACCATTTCATTCCTAAACAAAGAAGATTTATTGCAAGGAGAGGCGTGGACAGGTGCAGATACCTAAAGAAGATAACCTGGATCCAATGTCGCTGGGTCTTTGTTCACACCTCATAGCTTCTTCCCTGGTGGTTCAGGCAGCTTCTGAGATGGTCTCTGTGATCTTCACTTTCTTATATTCATGCCCTCAGGTAATCCCTTCTCCTTGGGTAATTTCCATCAAACCAACAGCATACCTCAATATTGGGGGAATGCCACATCTGTGATTAGATTACAGAATAGTTGGGCTTCCATCTTGCTAGCAGACCCTCTCCCTCGCCAGCTGTGAGGAAGCAGCCTGCCAGGTTGGAAGGCTCACATGGTCAATAGTCAGCTCATGCTGAAATCTGCCCTGTGGCGAGCGGGGAGCCGGTGTGGCAATGAACTGACGGAGTTCTCCATCCAACAGCCAGTGAGGAGCTGAGGCCCTGAATCGAAGAGCCCACACATGACAGAATCCTCCCAACAACCACATGTGTGAACTTGGAAATGGAGCCGACACCAGTTGAGCCTTCAGATGAGATCCTAGCCCTGGTTAAGACCTTGATCGCAGCCTTGGAAGAGACACTGAAGGAGAGGACCCAGCTAAGCTGTGCCTGGATTCCTGCCCCACAGATACTGTGAGATAGTTTTAACTGTTTGTTATTCTAAGCTATGAGGTTTGTGGATGATTTGTTATGCCACAGTAACTAATATACCTGTCCACAGACCATTTCAGCACTAAACACACGGGAAACTGTCAGGCTTTACAAATGTATTGACCTTTAAAATGCCTACATTTTGCAGCAGAGAGTAGTAGATAAATAGAAGTACTTCTCAGAAAGATAAAATGTCTAACCTAAACAGGTGAACATTTGGGATTACCTGACAAAGGTCAAGGAGAGTAACAAATAGCTGACCCTTCCTCCCAGGTCCAGAGACTGGCCGGCTTTTGATGTGAGGGGTGGAGCATGCATCCAGCTCTCTGAGGCTATGGAGGGTGCCTGTCCACCTCTCCCCACCTACTCCACCTACTCCCACTTCCTGGACCACTCTCTGCAAATCAGTGAGCCCCATCTTCTATTCTGCCTGGCCTGGATTCACAACCTACCGAGCTGCTCTGAAAGGGAAATCTGGGGAATGACATTTATCAATGTAATTGACCAAGAGGAGCTGGCATTTCCACGACTACCTCTGCTGCTCAGAAAGGGCATCTAGGAGTCAGCTGGAAGCTCCTTCTCATATCATAGCTCACTTAATCCTCACAGACTCTTGTTTTGATGGAAGCACTAATATCCCCAATTTCCAGATGGGGAAATGGAGGCAATTAGAGAGTAAGAACCCTGACCCAGGTCATAAGCTAGTGAAGGGACAATCTGACCCAGGCAATGGCCCCAGAGTCTATGCTTTTAACAGGGGCCCCATATCACTATTCACCCACCTAGGATTCCCCATCTCCCCTCTATGTTGAATGGCCCCTCGGCTCTCCTAGAGGACCATTGCTCCCCAGTTCTCAGCTCAAATAGTGATGGTGGGAAGGATTGTCCCATTGTTTTTCTGTGTGTGCACACTCACACACACACACTCACACACCCTCTTATAGTCACGTGTGCACTTGCACACACTCACCTGCACAAGCGCTCTGAAGCTCCAGGTCAGAGCCTGTAACACGGGCCTGACGCATCACCACGCTCCACAGCTCTGCCTGCGCCAAGGGTTCCCTGCCCGCACCCAAGCCAAGCTGGGCCAAATCAACCCTAGGAGGTTTGAGAAAAGGGATGCTCTTTTTCCAGGGCCTCACTGAGCTGTAGGATGCAAGCCTGAAACTACTGGTGATGAAAAGAAAAGCAGAAAGAGAAAGCGCGATCCCTGAACACGTTCTTTAAGCCCCAAGATTCAGCCAGGCACAAAGGTTCATCAAGGTCTGTTTAGGTTCATGAGTCAGGATGGCCCCTGAATCGCTGGAGTCAGTCTGAGGTTGGTTTCTGTCACTTGAGACCAAGAAAAACTGAGCATTTCAGCAGAGAAAGGGGTATCTGCAGGGCTGCTAAGAGATTGCTGCTCCCAAGGCTTTAGACCTGCCCAAGGCAGCTCGCACCTGGGCACGTCATGCCTGAGTTCTCTGCTGCGCTGCCAACCGGCATCCACCTTCCAACCTCTCCTTCCGCCAGACACAAGGCCCAAGTCCATGGGGTCCCTATTCCTCTATCCTAAAGTCACACCACACACACATTGACTCTGAGCCTTGCCTTCCTAACACCCAACTGGATTTGTCTTTCTTGTTTTCAACGAAAGCTAACAAGGTTTCCCAGGAGCTAAATCGAGAAGGTATAAGGGAGAAAGACTAGATTAAAGAAAAACTCCAGCTGACTTCCAACCCACAACGTAAGGACCCAGGCAGTGATAGAATGTGAAAGCTGGGAAGAACTGAATTTGAGTTCCTCATTTTACACATGAAGCAACCCGGGGCCAGAGAGGTGAAGTGACTTGCCCCAGGTGTACACCAAGTTACCTATGCGTGGGTACCTCACACAACAAAAGTTTTTAAAAGCTAAAATGTATTGCAGGCATAGTGTGTGCCAGTCACGGGCTCAATGTTTTCGCGGTATTATCTAATTAGATCCACCCCCAGTCTTCTGTAAGTGGTTACCATTATTAGCTAATTTTCAGATGTTAAAACAGACTCAGAGAGGATGTGTGACTTCCCCAGGCTCACACAGCCAGTAAGGAAGGAGCAAGGCGGGCCGTCAACCCAGGCAGCTAGATTCTAGGGCTCTCCCTCTTCACACTTCTCCCCTGCTTTGGACAAGTTTCACAAAATGTTACCTCCCTTGGAAGGCAACACAATTGATTCAGGCTCTTCAAGAAGTCTTCCCTGAATGAATTCTCCAACCCAAAGTGAGCAGGCCTTTGTCTGCACCCAGCCTTCTGCTCTAATCTGGATCCCACCATCCGGCCCAGAGTGAATGACGACGTTGATTTCTCCCGTAATTGTGTGTTGTGTGTTCAACACTCATCCACACATTTGCCCTCTCTTAACTGAGCATCTGCAGTGCCAGGCCCTGTTCTAGGCATGAGGATACAATACTGAATGAGGCAGACAAAAGTCCCTAGCCTCACAGAACTGATGTTTTAGTGTGGGAGACAAGTAATAGGTAAATAACCAAACATACAGCATCAGGCCAGGTAGTTACAAATGCTATGGGGGGAGAAACAGGGTAGGAAGGATAGAATAAAATAATGGGGATAGTATTAATATTTTGGACAGAGTGATCCTGGAGGGCTTCCCTGAGGAGGTGACAGATGGGCAGAGACTTGAGAAGAGCATTCCCGGCAGAGGACACAGCAGGAGCAAACGTGTAGGGGTTGGATGGTGGAAGAAGCCTGGGATATCTGAGAAGCTCCAGGAGGGATTTGGAGGCTGAAGCGGCAAGGAAGGGAGCGGGGGAAGGTAGGCAGGGCTCACATGACATAAGGCCTCATGGGAATCTGGGTTTTCATGATTGCTTTTTGGGGGATGGCGGGGTCCTAATACCCTCCTCACACCTGGCCAGAGGAAGGATCTGGGCCCCTTAAAGTGGGCGCAGGAGCTGCTTCTCTGCAGTGGGAAGATGCTGCCTTCACTCAGAACAATAGCAGCTTGAGAGAGCTGACTTGGGGAGGGGTCGCAGAGGTGGAAAAAGTGACTCATTGCCAGCCCTGGCAGGGGACCCTGCAATGGCCATATCTGCTTTCTGCGTGAGTGTGGAAACCTGCACTGCACATGGCGCCCCACGGGGCTCAAGTCCAAACTGCAGACAGTGCTGGGGACCCAGGCTGATCCAGTCACGTGCTGTTCATCTTTCCCTTTCCTCCCTGTCCATGTGTGTCTCCGTGTGTGCCCGCGTACGTGCATGTGTGTCCGTGTACATGTATCCGTGTATCTCTGTGTGTGCATGTATGATGCACGTGTGTCCATGTGTGTATCCATGTATCTCTCTGTGTGTGTCTCCATGTGCATGCTATACATGTGTGTCTGTGTGTATGTATGCATGTATGATGTGTGTGTGTGCATGTGTGTGTATCCGTGTGTGTGTGTGTGTGTGTGTGCATGTGTGTGTATCCGTGTGTGTGTGTGTGTGTGTAGCATTAGGCCTTGGCAAATGCAAAACCTAAGTTGTCCCAGGTCGCTGCCATGCAGGTCTTGCTCCTGCCCCTCCTGGGGCCACCACTAGCATTTAGGCTCCCTGTGCTTCTAGCTCTAGAAATGTTTATTTTACATCTGCCAGTTCACAAGGCAATCATTGGCAACCAAATCCCTAGCCCAAGAAATCTGACTTCATCAGGACATCGAACACCAGGACAGGGAGACACTTCTGGGCCCCAGTCTGACCACAGACACCACGGAGGGAGTTCCATGCTGTGGCATTGGGTGACATCACTTCAGCTTGTGTCCCAGATCTGAGGGCAATCCCTGAGGATGTCAGAGCCCGGGTATCTTTTGGAGGTTCCCCTCTGTCTGCCCACCATGGCCTGGGTGCCTCTACTTCTGGCACCCAGTGAAAAGGATGTGGTGGCTGTGGGGAGGGATTAGCTGTTGACAGACTCGCCACAAATGGAGGTTAATTTCCAATTTTATGGATTTCTGAGTGGAGGGAGTTTAAAGTTAAAGATTCATAAATGAGTAAAATATAACTGCTAAAATGATCTAGCAGAACATTCTCTAGCATCCTAGAGTACGTAGTCAAGGAAACGCCAGAAAAATCTCCAGACTCCTCTGAGCAAACAGTATTTCACCTCTGTTCTACATACACACACACAGCACAGCCAGTCCTTTGAAACCTTTATAAAGTAATACAGCTTTCAACATAGGCACAAAAGCTAAGACACAGAGATAAGACCCTGAAACCTTAAAGTCTATTTCCTAAGATACAAAATGAATTAGCAAGGATTTCAATGTCCTAATTGGCCCAAAAGTGTGGTGACAGTGACTCAAGGTGGTTTAGAACTGCAGGCATTATTGTACAGTAGGTCGGCAGCTGGTCATAGAGTCAGAGACCTGAGTTCGAATCCTGCTTCCACTCCATCTTATTTGGGTAATGCTGAGCCAGTTTCTTAATCGGCCTTCATTTTATTTCCATCTGGAAAATGGAGATAACAACAGTCTATCTTTCACCTGGGTTTCTGGGAGGACTGAATGATGTGATATGTGTAAGTGGGTTCAGTAAAGTATAGCAGTTATGAGTATTGTACATCAGCTGATCTCAAAGCGTCTTCAAACTGCTTCTGCCTCATCTAATGCCCGGGTGCTCAGGCACCTTGTCATTCTCCCAACATCCAGGCACCGGAGACTCTGGGCCTGAGAGATGGTGTCTGCAGAGATGGCTTTGACCTCAAGTCTCGGGCCTGAGTTCAAGTTTCTCAGTGGCGGGATCTGCAGCAACAGGCTCCCCTCTCTGAGCCCCTGTTTCCTCATCTGTCATGTAGACAGGGATGATGCTCACCCCAGCCAGTGACTGCTGCGAGTATGAATTAAGGCAAAACCTGAGAAACCCTTTGGTGATGACATGGTTTGGCTCTTTGTCCCCACCCAAATCTCATCTCCAGTTGTAATCTCCATGTGTCAGGGAGGGACCTGGTGGGAGGTGACTGGATCATGGAGGTGGGTTCCCCCATGCTGTTCTCATGATAGTGAAGGATTTCTCACAAGATCTGACGGTTTATATATAAGTAGCAGTTTCCTCTGCACTTGCTTCTCTCTCTTGCTGCCTTGTGAAGAAAGTACTTGCTTCTCCTTTGTCTTCCACCATGATTCTAAGTTTCCTGTGGCCTCTCCAGCCATGCAGAACTGTGAGTCAATTAAACCTCTTTCCTTCATAAGTTACCCAGTCTCGGGTATGTCTTTATAGCAGTGTGAAAATGGACTAATATAAGCAACTACAAAGTATCAGGGCAAAGTGAGGAGATTGTATCTTTTCCCCATTCAAAACCCTAGGTCTTCGTCCCATTGGCTCCTCAAGTTACTTCCTCCCTTGCCTGTGCTTGCCAATATGCTGTTTCTAACTAAAGTGTTACTGACTGCCATGAGCATTTGTCATTCTTGTCTGGCCTACATTCGTTATCTATTTTTCTGGTTACAGTACCCCCATTTCCCACTGAGGCCACCCTCTTTCTCTCTCTCAGATCATGTGGCCCTGTGGTGTGGGCTCCCCCCCGGCTCCCAGGAAGAGCAAGTGACCCAGAGTTGGCCAATCACAGGATCACGTTGCCCTGACCACAGGAGGGGAAGGGACATGAGTATATCAGAGCCAACAAGATCCTTGGGGCTTTCCAGAGCTGTCAGCAGAAAGCCATGCCTTCCGTTCCCCTGGATCTGACCCTGGAAGTGCCAATACATCCAGCCCAGGTCTGCAGAAAGACCCGCCTGAGAGTGGTCTGTGGGGCTGTAGGCAAAGCCAAACCTCAAGCACTGGGGCTTGAGGAAGCGGGTGCAAACCACAGACTCGGACTTTCCACATATGTCAGCCAAAACAAACAAACAAACAACAACAACAACAACAAAAACTCCTCAAGCAACCCTTTTTACAGTCACCAACCTTGAGTTCATTTTCCTGTATCCAAAAGACCCCTAACAAATACAGAGAATAACAGCATCAGGCCTCAACACTCCCAGGTGAGATGACAGCATTTCAGGAGAATTTACTTGCAAACACCACCTTCACTCTAAGGAATGTGTCCCCTATTCCATGTTTCAAACCAGGTCACTTCCTTCTTTGTCCATGGCCCTGACCTGCCACTGGCCACATGCTCTCAGCAGCATCATTCAGCTGTCGTGTGTGCCCTCCCCCACCCGCCTCTGCCGTCATTCCTCCACTCTGCAGCCTGCAGAAAAAAAAAAAGCAATTCAGTCGCTTGAACCTGGGAGTCGGAGGTTGCAGTGAGCCAAGATCGCGCCACTGCACTCCAGCCTGGCGACAGAGCAAGACTCTGTCTCAAAAAAAAAAAAAAAAAGCAGTTCAGATCATACCCCTTTCCTTCTTCCTTATACCTTAGGCAGATGGGAAATTGCAACTCATCCCTCAGCCCCCAGCACCCACCCCTGTCCTGAGCTTCAGTCACTGGGGCCTGCCTGCTCATCCTTAAATGCACTGAGTTTGTTCCTGCCCCAGGGCCTTTGTTTGTGCGGTTTTCTCTGCCTGGAACGTTCTCTCCTCCCATGCTCTTTGCCTGGCTGATGCCAAGTCATTTTTGAAGGCGCAGCTGAAGTGCCACTCCCTCATAGAGGCTGTGCTTGTGACCGTGGCTGTGTAACACATTACCCCAAATACCAGCAGCGTGAAACAAGGGTTTCTTCTGCTTAGCGACCCAGTGGGCCGGGACTTTGGGCAGGATTCAGTGGGCATAGCTTGTCTCTGCTCCGGGATGTCGCGGGCCTCAGCTGAAGGACGTGAGGCCTGGGCTGGAGCTGACTGAAGGTGCGTGCATTCAGAGGGGCCTGGCTGTTGATGCTGGCTCTTGGCTGGGGCCGCTGTTCTCCTCCAGGGGGCGCTGTTGTGGGTTTCCTCACAGCACGGTGGCTGGGATCCAAGGGTGATTGTCCCCAGAGAGGCAACAAAGCAGGCGGAAGCTATGGCACCTGCCTTGGTAGTCACACAGCCTCACTTCTGCCACGTACTAGGCATTAGAAGTGAGTCAATAAGACTGGGCGTTATTCTAGGATAAGGGACACAGAACCCACTTCTCAGCAGGAAGCGCACGTACATCACACGGGAAGAGTGCGTGGGAGGGACGCCACCCCTGAGGCCGTCCTCGGAAATGACATCTACCAGCAAAGCCGCCTTTCATTCCCTGACTAGGACAGACCCCGTTACAGGTGGAGAGAGAGACAGGAAGGGAGAAAGAAAGACAGAGGGGCCTAGCAAGAGAATTAAAAACAAAGCCGCCGTCTGCGAATCTGCTTCCTTCCTAACACTTGACGCGTTGTAATTACATGTTCGTTTAGGTGTGGGGTTATTTGCTATCTGTCCCCAGCTAGGCTGCAAGCTCTGCACACACACCTGGGCAGGCCTGAGTTTCTTCGTTTCTTTTCCCCTCCGTTCCCTTCCCTTCCTTTTGCCAATCTGCATAGTGTCTGGCACATGTGTGACCCGCAGAAGATGCTCAATGACTATTTGTGGAGGAAAGGAAGGAATTTTTCTACTTTATACAAGAAAGAAATTATGTCCTGCCCCCAACACCCATTGGCAGGCCCTGGAGTTGCAGAGATGGCCGCTTTTCTCCGGTGTCCATTCTCTCCTCTCCTCTCCTCTCCTCTCCTGGAAATACAACCCCTGACTCTGAGCCAGGCCCCTGGTGGCTCAGCTAAAGACTGTAACTGCCCAGCTCCCGGGCAAGAGGAGACACTGACCAAGCTCAGGCCGATGCAAGGTGAACAGAAGTGCTGCTTGCCATTTCTGTGTCTTGGGCTAAAAGCGAGGGGTACCCCCTTTCTGATTTCTCCCCATCCCCATGGGCTGGAAGGTGCATGTGACTGAGACATTTTGCCTCAGGTGGACAAGGACATTACTCAAGGGGTGGTAGAGTGTGGAAGGCAGTTTTGGAAACTGTCCTCAGTGATTTCCCCCTCCTTGTATTCACATGGTATGTAACTCCCAGCCCCGGAGTGTGGCTGGACCTAGGGACCTGCTTCTAATGAGTAGAATGTGGCAAATGGAATGGAACGTCACTCACAAGATTATTCAAGAGACTGGCTTCTGTCGTGGTTGCATTCTCTTGCTAGGTCGGTCTCTCTCCCTCTCTCTCTTTCTCTCTGTCGCCTTCTTGGCTTGCATGCTTTGACGAAGTAAGCCACCATGCTGGAAAGGCCCAGGTTGAAAGGAACTAAGGGCTGCCAACAGCCCCCAGTCAATGCCCTACAAGAAACTGCATTCTGCCTGGGAGAGCCTGGAAGCAGAGCTCTCCCCAATCAAGCCTTGAGACAAGATGGCAACCAAGGCCAACACCTCAACTGCAGCCTATGGGAGACCGTGAAGCTGAGGACCCAGCCTCATCACACTGGATTCCCAACCCACAGAAATTGTGAGATGATAAATGTGGCTGCTGCGCTAACCCACCAAGTGCAGTAATTTGTGAAGCAGTGATGGATAACTAACATGCAGAACAAGGAAGAAGGAGGCAGAGCCCTTAAGACCTCACACAGCAGAGCTGCTACACCAGTGGGGGAATGTCCATAAGAGAAAAGAACTTTCCTGCCTTGTCCACACCCTTCTGCTTTGAGGATTCGCCCTTATGGCAGCCAAACCGTGTTCTAACACACACACACCCAGTTAGGGCCAAATCCCTTAGTGCAGCTCATGCAGTCCTCAACAGCATGGCCCATCTTATGCACAGATTTGCTTCCTGCTGTCCCCTCAGCTCCCTCCTTCCTCTGCCATGCCCAATGCTTGTCTGAACTTGTCATTGACTTCCTAGCCCTGTGACCTTTGCCTGCCCACCTCCCTGTCTTGGAAAGTCCCTTCCTTTCTTTTCTACCTAGCAAGCCCCTCCCCATCCTTCCATACCCAGCTGATATAGTCCCTTGCAGACAATGTCCACCTCAGGAGAGTGAGCACTTCCTACTTGTGCCTCACTCTCCATACCCAATCCTGCAATTCTAATGCTTATTACATGTGTTTATCTGCATATCTGTCTCCCTCAGAAGACTGTCAACCTCTGAGAGATCCTTATTTATGTATTTATTTATTGAGATGGAGTCTCGCTCTGTCACCCAGGCTGGGGTGCAGTGGCGTGATCTTGGCTCACTGGAACCTCTGCCTCCCAGGTTCAAACCATTCTCCTGCCTCAGCCTCTGAGTAGCTAGGATTACAGGTGCCTGCCACCATGCCTGGCTAATTTTTTTTTTTTTGTATTTTTAGTAAAGACAGGGTTTTACCATGTTGGCCAGGCTGGTTTTGAACTCCTGACCTCAAGTGATCCACCTGCCTCGGCCTCCCAAAGTGCTAGGATTACAGGTGTGAGCCACCATGCCTGGCCCCTCTGAGGGATCCTTATGCAATCATGAACGGTCTAGAATGAGTGCTTTATTTACATTCTCATTTAGTGCTCACAATTATTAGTGTCCATATTTCACAGATAAGAAGACTGAGGCACAGCAAAGTTAGGTAACTCATCCACATACAGAGCAGAGCTGGCTGCAGAATCCCAGCCTTTCTGATTTTAAACTCTATGCTCTGAACCACTAAAATGCAGCCTTCTCATTTACCTCTTCATCCTCAGTAGGCCTAGGCTCATGGACAAACCTGTCTCACTTGCCTATTTATCCCCTCCCTGGCCATGGCAGACATCACTAATCAATCACAGCATTTTTTCCAATCAGCCAAATGCAGCCTCACAATTTATCTTGGTAAAAGCATCTGGGTAAGCTGCCAACATCAACAGGAGTTGGCATGCCTGATGAAACCTGTAGGCTGTGCTAGTAGTGGGTGCCCATAAATAATGCACTGAATTGAGACTATTGTGACTGATTTGAGAAGGTAAAACATGGCCACCATCTACTGATGTTATTCATTACCCTCTACTGAGACATTGCTATGGTCACTGCTTAATTCCTGTGGGAACAGTAGCCACTCCAGACCCATCACTCTCCATCCTACTGACTTCCATGCTGATAGTCATGTGCGGAGACAGAGCCATCTCCACTCAGGAAAGACCACTCCCAAAGCCCTTCCTACACATGTGTGAAGCATAAATGGCAGCCGGGGTCATGCCAATAGGTCATATACGCCAGTCGCAGAGATGGGAAGGTGTCACCACCCAAGGGGAAGCTTGCACTTGTTGGACATGAGCCCTTTTGGACAAGAAGCTGCAACAGAGTCAACACAGAAATCCTGGGCCAAATGCCCAGAGGGCTGCTGTATTGGAGAGTTATAGGAAGGTGGTTCTAGAACTATGGCCTCGAAGGCAGAGCCCAAGAAAAGCAGGGAACAGAGTCCTAGAACCTGGCTCCAGGCAGATGACATCCCTCCAGCTGGGCCCAAAAGCACCCCTGTCATCTGCTGCAGTGGCAAGTAAGCTGTTGCTGAAGTAAGCCATGGTGTTGATGGGGCTGTTGGCACAGATCTGACTATTCTTTAGGACTTTGAAGCCACTGCAATAGGCAGGATTCTAAAAATGGTGCCAAAAGATGTTCTCCCTTAACCCCAGAAGCTGCATCTGTGAGTCGGATGCAACAGT